>NC_000013.11:28408106-33408106 GCF_000001405.40 Homo sapiens | reverse complement strand
ACTACTAACACACAGAAGTAAGGCACAGGCAATGGGTAGAGAATGCCTGCTCTGAGGGTGTACCACAGAGAAAGAGACCACAAGAAACGACAGCCAGGGACAACTCCCGTTCTTGAGGCTGGCTTTCATTTCACGTTGAGATTAGTAAATGCAAATTACTCAATCAACTCATGAAAATACATTGCTACAATTATTCCCAAATCCAGACTCTGTGAGAATAGGGGTAACATGAAGGGGCATTGACTTCACTGTAGCTTTGATGGCTTTCTGACAATGGTTCCTCGCTACCACCAATATCCCTGAGTTTGCTTTGCAAGAATTGCCACTGCCACCCAGGCGGTTAAGGCAATGTTCTAACTCCCAGGCCAAGCTTTTCTAAGCAGCTCCTGGCTGTGATTTGAGCATGAATGGAGAAAATAACAAGATTCATTTAAGCTCAAAAATAAGGATGCTGAAGACCCTCTGAGATATGTGTGTAGATTATATGCTTTTAAAAATACCTGCTGTGACAAAAAAACCCATAATTTCCATCTAAAATAACACTTTCAAATAGTATTTTTTACAATTATGATTAATTAAGCTGTTTCTACCTAGTATTGCCCAGAAAAAATAGGAAGAAATGGCAAAATAAAAGCCAAAACCCAAAATGCAAAAAGCAGGAGCAATACTGTGCACACATTCCATTTTGGTGGGTATTCTACCCTTGTGGTACCCGAAGCGCTTTACCTCTCTGACTACAGTTTCATTCAGCCACAATCTGCAAGATGGAACACCTAGGCCTTCCATGCTGAGGGGACAATGACTGTGAACATGGCCAGGGCAGAAAAGGAGCTAGTGACAGGCCTTTACAGCAGACTTGAAGGAGGCCTGCATTTTAGAGACCACCCCGCTGCCCATCTGAGTTAGAAATACAGATTCAGAGACCACATGCCTTTAGTCTTTGTAGCCAGAGCATAACAGATTATTTTACATGCGTGCTGCTGGACCGTGGGTTAAACTGGCTAAACTTTTACATTGAGAACCCATATTCTGAGCTGCTCTCTCAAAGAATGAACTAGTACATCATTACCTCCGCTCACTTTAACTGCCAGATTTCCTTTAAGTGAATTTCTGTGTACAGTCAATCCTCCACATTCACAGATTCAGTATTTGTGAATTCATCTACTTGCTAAAATTTATCTGTAACCCCCACATCAGCACTCGGTATGCTTTTACAGTCATTTGTGGACAGGCCCAGAGCAGTGATGCACCCGTGCCTGGCTGAGGTCTCACAAGGCGACGCTCTGCCTTCCTGTTTCAGCTCTCTACTATCAACAAGGGTCCTTTATGGGTCTATTTAGAACCACAGTTTTGCATTTTTGTGCTTTTGTTGGTTATTTCACTGTTTAAAATGGCTCCCAACCAGAGTACTGAAGTGCTGTCTAGTATTTCTAAGTGCGAGGAGGCTTGGATGTGCCTTACAGAGAAAAGGTAAGTTTTACAGAGAAAATGGAAATTTGGTTCAGGCATGAGTTACAGTGCTGTTGGCCATGAGTTCAACATTAAACAATCAATAATCTAGATTAAACGAGGCATCCTTAAACAGAAACACACAAAAAAATAAAGTTATGTGTTGATCAGTTAGTTGACTAGAAGCTTGCAGGAACCTAACTCTGTATTTCTCCTAATAGCAAGAGCTCCGTACTCAAATTCAGTGTCCACAGCAAATTTTTAGAACATAATCACCATAAATAGTAAGAACTGACATATTTTGAAAACTCTGAAAAACATTCATGCTACCTAGTTAGTAAAACAAGTATAGTATCTAAAACAAGAGGTTTTTTTTCTGCAAAATATTGTTCTTCGGCTATGTCAGTGGTCAAACATGTTTCTATGTATTAAATCACAGCTTAGAAAGCCCTTGTTAGCCTTAGGTAGTATTTCAAATCTGTTTGGTAACAATATAGAGGAGTAGCTTAGAGTATGGGTTTTGTCATTAGATAGATTTGGGTTCGTCCTCTTGCTAGTTCTGTGAATGTCATCTTCATGCCACTTGCTAGATGGACAAGTTGTTTAAGTTGCCTGAAGCTCGATTTTTCTCATATAGATAAAAGGGAATAACAATAGTTCCCATCTTGTAGGACTTCTGTAAGTCTTAAACAAGACGACACACAAAAATTACTAAACATACTTATTGGCACATAGCAGTGCTCTCTACATGTTAGCTATTATTATTACTGTTTTCTGAGTCCAATTCAATGTAAGATTTGGAGGGAAACTTGTCTCTGAACTGTTCTATGTGGAGTTTACGGTTGGGATATTTGAGGAAATGGAGGAAGCACAATATGATGACACAGAATGACAAATTTTGAATCCTTTTCTGTTTACCAACCTTGCTGGGTGGGCTATGCCCATATCTTTGTATATATCATTCGTTCAACAGATATTTGTTAGCACACAGAACCATGGAATGGAAGGCTGCTATATTACTTATTAACACTTATGTTAATTTTCTAAATCCATTGAGTTAGACCTGAGTCAGTCTATCTGCAAATACATTACAAGGAGGACCATATTTAGATAAGTTCCCTGAAGTGGAAACTACAGACTTCAACGATTCTCAGAGCAGAGATCATGTTGCTCTGTCCTCTGATCTCTCCTGGACTTCTCAAACTAGTGTTCTGAGCCATGTGAACACAAGGAATGGCTCCTGGCTTCTCCCTGCAGGCCCTGTGTGTGTGAGCACCCACAAGTGAGGGGCTACGAGGGGCTACACACTCAGCCCCACCCAGCAGAACCTGATGCACGCTTAGCAGCACAGAGGGGCACGCGAAGTGTGGAGGAAAATAAACTCACTAAAGCAGTGGTTCTCAGGTTCTCAGCCTGCTTTCTGGCTCACCCTTCCCAAGGGATATGATAACCTACTGATCAGTACCACTGACTCAGATGGGCATTAATTCTTAAGGAGGAGGCGGGGATTGTGTGCAGTGGGGTGGGGACAGGGGCGTCAGAATTTCTCTGAAGCAAATGTAGTTTGAAAGAGTCCCAGAAGGCTGGGTGTGGTGGCTCACGCCTGTAATCCCAGTACTTTGGGAGGCCATGGCAGGCGGATCACTTGAGACCAGGAGTTAGAGACCAGCCTGGCCAACATGGCGAAACCCAATCTCTACTAAAAATACAAAAATTAGCTCTGCGTGGTGGCACATGCCTGTAATCCCAGCTCCTCGAGAGGCTGAGGCAGGAGAATCACTTGAACCTGGGAGGCCGAGGTTGCAGTGAGCGGAGACCATGCCACTGCACTCCAGCCTGGGCGACAGAGTGAGACTCTGTCTCAAAAAAAAAAAAAAAAAAAAAGTCCCAGAGGTGATTCTGACATCCTCCCCCACCACTCCCTTTGGCATGGTGTGACAATTCCTTCTCACATTACTGTCTGGTGAGGGAGAAACTTAACATGTTCCTTGTCATTTCACAAAATGTTTGGTTCTAATTCAATGCCCACATGTGGTGTTTTTTCTACCCCAAGATCTTACTTTATTGTTTAGAGTGACTTGTTCTTAGTCATGCCTTTAAGTAGCTTAAGGGACATATCTTAGATTCACTCTCTGGAACACTACTTATTCCAAGTCACCAGCCATGCATTCTAAACAGCAGGAATACTCCTCTATAAAAGCATTCTGCCATTTCTGTTTAAGGCCCTTGATTTCTTCCATTAGTCAGACTCTCTCTCTCTCATTTCTAACTTTAACAACAGAGCATTTTATTTTGCTTTTTCTTGTTTGTGGGAAAACACATCCTGTTTGGATTCTTGCCTGTTAAAAAAAGACTTTAAAAGGCAATAATACAGTTGAGAAGAGATTTATGCCAGCAGAAATCCAGTTGCTGTTTTGACCTCTTTGAATCTGCTTCTTATCAAGATGTCCTTTGTAATACCATATAGTTCCTTCATCTGTATTCTAGGAGCCATTAAGACGTCTTTCCCACTACCCATGAAAAACTTATCTCATTATTATCTATTTCAGCTACGCAAAACCAATGATTATCAGCCTCTTCTGCGTATTACTACTCATCAATAACACTAGCTATTAAACTAACGATGAAAGGTTGCGTATGACTCAAGAGGTCTGAAGAGAAACATGTAATAGAACTGCCCTATTAATAGCACCTAGAGTAATGGAAGAATCTAGAGGAGAAAAAGGATAAAAGTTTGACCAGAATTTATATAGGAGAGTGAACTGCTGAACTGCAATTGATTTTTTTTAACCCTTATAGCAAGTGAAGGTTCTGGGTATTTTGATTGCCATTGTGGAATATTTTCTATGTTCATGAGTTTTGGGAGGGAAAAATGCAGAATAATACTCTGTTTTCTATAACCTGGCACCCAAATGGACTGCAGATTTATTGAGGGACCTTGACCTTAGACAAGATGTCTATTTATACAAGGATAGTGCTTTGTAATGATGTCATGATGGGATGCGTACTTGAAGTCATGTCTAGGTTTCACCTCTTATTAATGACAAAATTTATTACAAAGTATTTATTTCCAGCCTATTACGTTTCTTTTCAAAAAATACCATGCTATCTACAAGTGAATGAAAAATGAGTCCTCTGAAGTATCAAAATTATTTTTAATATTAGCATGGCTATCCATGATATAAAACAGTTTTGGGGATGATTTATTCACTTGCCTATTTGCCACACCCTTGGCCTCTGCTCAAATTAACCTAAAAACAATTAGTTTAGGAAACCCCTAACTCCACACAATCGTTCCTAAGTGTAAACACAAACAAACTCTGTCATTATTGCTACACCAAGTGTTTTGAACTCTCACAGCTCACAAAGAAGCAAGCCACTGAAACAGGAGAGTTCCCTGATCCCCCTTGCAGGATGTGCAGCAGGGGTGTGGCTTGCCTGTTCGGTCATCGTTGTTGCTCAAACTCCTGACAGGAGGGGGAACACGCAGATGGGCAGGTACAGGAGCCGGGGCAGGTACTCTGGGCTCCGCTCCTGCAGTAGTGTCTAGGGGTGGGTGCCTGCGGCCCCAGTGTTACAGTGCTCTTTTAGCCTTGCCATCCTCAGACACCTTAATGTTAACCAGCTCAATGGACCCTCTGCCTTTTTGCAAGGGCAGAGGGCCAGTGTGACAGCTTTCTGTATCCCGAGCTCTTGCCCAGTGTCCCAGAAGAATCGGTTCACACACGGGCTTGAAGGATGAATGCGGGGTTTTATTGAGTGGTGGAAGTGGCTCTCAGTGGGATGAATGGGGAGCCGGAAGTGGGGATGGAGTGGGAGGATGATCTTCCCCTGGAGTTTGGCCATTCAGCAGCTGAACTGCCCTCCGGCCACCCCCAGCCGAACTTCTCTCAGTGTTCAGAAATTCCTCCTCTTCTCTCTTTCTCTGCCATGTTGTTCCACTGTTCATCTGCTTTTCTCCTCATCTCCTTATCTGCTCCTCTGCTCATCTGCTCATCTGCTTCTGGAGCCTGGGGTTTGGGATTTATATGGGTACAGGATAGGGGGATATGGCAGGCCAAAAGGCATCTTTTTGGGCACAGAAACAGAAATGCCTGTTCCTACTTAGGGTCAGAGGTCTCCAGGCTTGAGGGTGGGGCCTTTGCCAGGGAACCGCCCTCTTCTAGCCAGTCCATCTTCTAGCCATTTCCATCTCCTGTCCATTCATCACCAAATCCTTATTGAAGAGAATCCACTTACACTGTTTCTGAAGGTTATTTCATATACTGAGTAGTTCTTGCTGCTGTAAGAGCTGAAATTTTTATGCTGTGCTCTAACCCTAATTTTATCAAGAACAGAAGAACTACACAGCTTGTTTCTAAAACTACGAAAGATTACTTCTTTCAAATATTCTTTTCTACACTTTTCTGGTGTCATTGCTATCTTGGTGAGAGTGATTGTAAACACCTTCTGTGTGCAAAATATCATGGGAGATGTACAATTTGAATATAAGGGCACTATCCATCTCACTACATATAATTTAATATTTTCATAATTATCCAATATTTATTCACTTTATGAAAACAGATTTATTTGTACTGTCAGGCTTATTATAGGCCTTGATTGCATTTCCAAAAGGGCCTGTCATTTGGCAGCTACAGTTTAATGCTTTTATTCACAATTTGTAGAAGACATGTAATAACTACTCATCACATTTTGGGATGTCATAAAGATGGGAAAGACAACAGATGTAAAAGATAATGGAGTAAGATTCAAAAATACTTTGATGTGTTGGAACAAATGGCCTTAAACCCACAAAGATGAAGTTTAATGGGAAAAAATATAAGAGCATGAGAGTCACCTGTGGGCCTTGTTGGCCATGAAAGATAATCAAATATTGGGCTGTGAATTTGTTCAGGTCATCCAAGAAGCTGACATCAAGATGAAAGTAAATTTGCAAGGATTTTATTGGGGAAAATGTCTGAGAGAGAAAATGGAGAGGGAGCTGGGAAGAGATGGGAGAGCCATCCAGCCTTGATGCAAATCTGATTCCTAGTGAGGAGAGACAAGAAGGAAAGTTGGGTAAAAGCACCCTGGACTATCCTGAAGTCTAATGGAAGTGCGGCCAGGCCACTGGTGTCTTTAAGCCAAAGTTGGCCTAAAGTTGAACAAGTTCTCAGGCTCTCAGTGACAGGCTGCCTTAGGAAGCCTGCGGCACTTGATAATTGTCTACAAGCGGCTGTTGGGAGGCTTGGCTCTCTGCCCCAATTTTATGAGTGCAAATGAAACAATGCATTTCAGAGTGTGGCAGCTGGGGCCAATAGTCAAGTAGTTGAAAGTCTGCAAGGTGCATTCTCAAGGTACACAGGAGCCAGTGCGTATGTAATTTGGCTTTTCAAAACTCCATCCTAGTTTTGCTTAGAAAATATTTCAGAAAAAAAATGTTTAAATAAATAATTCAAAACTAAACAAATCTGAGATCCTGAAAATGCAATCCTGTTTTAGGATTTCTGGTTTCAAAATAGTTACTGTTCACTGAGAAGATTTTTAAGACAAAGAACGAAATTCTGTTCTTTGCTGGAGGGGTGTCCCAGGGGTGGAGGGGTGTCATGCACATATATTACTAGGGAATAATGATTGTTTCATATTCCTTTTATTTCAAGGATCTACAGTCATTCTCTTTTTGATGCTTAAACTGCCAACTTTTGCCAGTGGGAGCCCTGTTAAGGCTGGCTCCTGAGTCGTTTTGACATTCCACGTTAATCTTTGTTTTTAGCTTGTAGATCTTTTTTTAAAAACCAATTTTATTGAAGTATTATTTACATGTGCTGAAATGCACCCATTTTAAGTGTAAAGCTTGATGAGTTTCAACAACTATATCTCCCACATCACAGTCAAGAATAGCCATTGAAGACGGGCTGGGTGCGGTGGTTCACGCCTGTAATCCCAGCACTTTGGGAGGCCAAGGCGGGCGGATCACGACGTCAGGAGATCAAGACCATCCTGGCTAACACAGTGAAACCCCGTCTCTAGTAAAAATACAAAAAAAAATTAGCTGGGCATGGTGGCGGGCGCCTGTAGTCCCAGCAACCCGGGAGGCTGAGGTGGGAGAATGGCGTGAACCTGGGAGTGGAGGTTACAGTGAGCTGAGATTGTGCCACTACACTCCAGCCTGGAGGACAGAGCAAGACTCTGTCTCAAAAAAAAAAAAAATAGCCATTGAAGTGATATCTGCACCCCCATGTTCATTGCAGTGTTATTCGCCACAGGCAAGATATGGAAACAACCTAAGTGTCCATCAAAGTATAAATGGATAAAGAAAATGTGGCATATATATATTCACACAATGGAGTATTATTCAGACATAAAAAAGAAAGAAATCTTGCCTTTGTCACAACATAGATGAACTTGGAGGACATTATTCTAAATGAAATAAGTAACACATATGAAGACACTGTGTGCTCTAACTTATATACGGAACCCATAATAGTTGAACTCTGAAGCAGAGAGTAGGATGGTGGTTACCAGGGGATGGGGAGTGGGGGAAATCAGGGAGGTGTTAGTCAAAGAGTGCAAACTTTCAGTTACAAGATGAACATGTTCTGGAAATCTAATATACAGCATGGATGATTATGGATGTATTAAACTAATTTGATTGAGATAATCATTACACAATGTATATGTATATCAAATCATCATGTTGTATACCTTGAATGTATTCAATTTTTATATGCTGGTTAAATATTTTTAAATTAAAAAATGAATAGTCATCCACAAAGTTGCCTTGTACCCCTTTGCCGTCATTGCCCCCTCAATCCCAGCCCTAGGCAATCACTGACCTGTTTTCTTCCACTCTAAATTCCTTGTGCCTATTCTAAAATTTTATATTAATAAATCACATAGAATATATTCTCTTTAATTGATGCTTGATTTGTAAAAACTTATTTTAATGCTTTTTTTTTTTTTTTTTTTTTTTTTGAGACAGAGTCTTGCTCTGTCTCCCAGGCTGGAGTGCAGTGGTGAAGTCTCGGCTCACTGCCACCTCCACCTCCCGGGTTCATGCCATTCTCCTGCCTCAGCCTCCCAAGTAGCCGGGACTACAGGCACCAGCCACCACGCCCAGCTAATTTTTCTTTTTTTGTATTTTTAGTACAGATGGGGTTTCACTGTGTTAGCCAGGATGGTCTCGATCTCCTGACCTCGTGATCCACCCGCCTCGGCCTCCCAAAGTCCTGGGATTACAGGTGTGAACCACCATGCCTGGCCTAATGCTTTAGAGATTAAACTGTATCATTAAATGTTTAAAAAAGTTTGTACCCTTTGACTAACATCTCCCTGATTTCCCCTACACCCCATCCCCTGGTAACCACCATCCTACTCTCTGCTTGAGAGTTCAACTTTTATGGGTTCCATATATAAGTGAGAGCACACAGTGTCTTTATATGTGTCGCTTATTTCATTTAGAATATTGTCCTCCAAGTTCATCTATGTTGTGACAAATGGCAAGATTTCTTTCTTTTTTATGCCTGAATAATACTCCATTGTGTGAATATATATATGTCACATTTTCTTTATCCATTTATATCCATTAATGTGGTGGTAGCTTGCTCCTTTTTATTGCTTGGGAAATACTTTTTTCTATGGATAGATTATAACTTGTTTATTTACTCACCTGTTGACAGACTTTTGAGTTGTTTGTAGCTTAATGCTATTTAAATCTGCTATGAACGTTCACATGAAGGCCTTTGTATGGATATATGTTTTCATTTCTCTTGAGTAAATACCAAGGGATGGAATTGTGAGTTATGTAGTCATTATGTAAGAAAACTACCAGACTACTTCATAGAGAGCTTGTGTCATTTTAGATTTTCTCCAGCAATGTATGAGGGTTCCAGTTGTGGTACATCCTCACAAACACTGGTGTACAGTGGTATCTCATTGTGGTTTTAATTTACATTGTCCTGATACTGATAATATTGGGAATCTTTAATGTGCTTACTGATTATTTGCATATCTTCTGTTTTGAAGTGTCTGTTCACATCTCTTTTTTTTCCCCATATTCCTTGTCTTCTTTAAAATTTAGTTGAATTTTTTATATATATTCTGCATCTATATCTTCAGATATATGTACTGCAAATATTTTTCCACTCGGGGGCTTGGCTTTCTACTTTTTTAACAATGTCTTTCAAAGAATAGAATAATTCCATTTTGATGATGAAGTCCAGTTGACCAATTTCCATATAGTTCATGTTTTAGTGTCTTAAGAATTCTTTTTCTGCCCTCAAAATCTTGATGATTTTATCTGATGTTGTTTTCTAAAAGTTTTATAGTTTTAGATGATACTTTTGTTCATTTCGTGAATGTTGTAAGGTAGTGTCAAGAATGATTTTTCCCATATAGATATCCAATTATTCTGGGATTAATGTTAGCTCTAATTATTACAAGAGCACAGACCTAAGGCTGACTGCAAGACTTGTGAGGAATAGCCTCTGTCTCCTCAAAGGAGAGTTAGCAAAAACCAGGACACCTGTCTTTGAGCCTGTAACCACCTCCCCAATTCCTCTTCAATAACAGGCAGTAAAGGAGAAGATCATTTATTGCCCAGTTGACCATACAATTTGGTCAACATATTTGCTATGTTTGCTGCTTCTGTCATCTGAATGTTTATATTACCCCAAAATTCAAATGCTGAAATCCTTATCCCCAAGATAATAGCATTAGGAGATACGACCTTTGGGTCGTGTTTAGCTCATGGGGGCAGAGCTCTCATAAGAGGCCAGAGAGAGACCTCTCATCCTTTCCACCAGAGGTTAAATTGAGAATGCTGTCTATGAGGAAGTGGGTCAGTCACTGAATCTGCCATTATCTTGATCTTAGATTGCCCAGCTTCCAGATTGTTAGAAATGCATTTCTGTTATTTGTAAGCCACCCAGTCTATGGCATTTTATTACAGCAGTCCTGGCAGACTAATACAGGTACCAATTCCTGTGAATTTCTCTCAAAACCCATTATTTGTCCCATGAGGCCCTTGTCCTTCATTTTCCAGAAAGCTACATCTCTGTCAGCATCCCATACTCATCACTAAAACTGTCAAACTCTGTGAAGGGCCTGAAATTTTACCCTCCTTGCAAACTAACAAATTAGCCTGCCATAGCTTCAAGATGTTGGCAGAAGATATGAGTCTCCTGGATCAGAGACAAAGGACTTTATTACTCATGGCAACAGCAGAAGCCACAGTATTGACATCTGCACTGTCTCCCTGAGCCCCAATTCCTACAGAGCAATACTGGCACATGTAGTGCATTGTGGTACAAGAAAGAATCCTGGGTTTAGTGAAACTGGAGTTTTTATAATGGGCAGTAAGTGTGCCTGCCCCTTGCTCCTGAGAGAGGCACTAGCTCCATCTGCCATGGCTGTTGGCTATGCAAACATCTGTGAAAAAAAAAGATTGTCCAAAATAAATGCAGTCAATGTCTGTTTATAAGTCGTCTGGAAATGTAGGAGAGAAATGGAAAATTGTTGCTCAGTACTCACAGCTCCCCATATTGTTCTTTCCTGGCCTCATGGAGTTTCTTTCTATGAATCCCAATGGACTCAAGGAGATCCTCTACAGATCTCTGTAGCTTCTTGTCTGCACAGCTCCCTACTCTCCAATTTTCTGGTCTGAAAATTTCAGTCATTTCAGCTTCCCCTTGAATTCTTGTCTCTGTCTTCTCAATTTAATATGATTTTTTTGCTTTTGCTGGAGTTCCTCCTCACAGGCCCTTAATTCAGAAAGTGCTTCCAGGAAGAAAGCTGGGGGTGATTATAGGGCTAACCTTATCTATTTCCATTCCCTCAGGGATCCTGTTTCTGTGCTACCTCCTATACTGTCTGAAAACCAAACAGATATCTCATAAATTTTGTCTGCTTTTTTATTGTTTACAGTGAGATTATGAGTCCAGTATCAATTATACAATTACCAATTCTACCCCAACATGGTAGAATCAGATATCCCCTTTTGTTTGTTTTTCAGAAATTTTTGGGGCAGTCGTTAAAAATCATTGGCTTTAAGTTGTGTAGACACAGAACTAAAATTAATTATATACTTAAAATGGGGTAGAATAATATAACAGTTATACTGAAGCAAAAATGTTTCCTTTACTATGTGTGCTTTTGTGTAACAGACTGAAGTTTAAAGGTGCCATTCGGGGAGTGAACTGGGTTAGTCTGTCTGCACCGAAGCCAGTAAGGTGAATGAAGAGTCACTAGAAAAGCATTATGGAAGTCCTTCTTTGAAAATACAACTTATTTTTAAACCTTTGAGGAAATGTCAGATTAACTTCTTTCATGTGCTCATCTACTTCTTAGTAAATGTTTTGGTCTTGAGGAGAAGCACATCTTGGTTGGACACCGTGGCTCATGCCTATAATCTCAGTACTTGGGGAGGCTGAGGCAGGAGGATCACTTAAGCCCAGGAGTTCAAAACCAACCTGGTCAACATAGTGGCACTCCATCTCTACAAAAAAATTTTAAAACTAAAAAATTAGCTGACATGGTGGCACATGCCTGTAGTCCCAGCTACTCAGGAGGCTGAAGCTGGAAGATCACTTGAACCCAGGAGTTCGAAACCAATCCTGGTCAACACAGTGAGACCTCACCTCTACCAAAAAAAATTTAAAAATAAAAAATTAGCCAGGCATGGTGGTGAGCACCTGTAGTCTCAGCTACTCAGGAGGCTGAGGCAGGAGGATCACTTGAGCACAGGGATTCGAGGCTGCAATGAACCATGATGGCACCATTACACTCCAGCCTAGGTGACAGATGAGACCCCCGTCTTTAAAATACAAATAAATAAATAAATAAATGTTTAAAAGGAGTATGTATTTCTTCTTTACTAAGTCAGGACTTTCCATCTTTATTAACTATAAAAGTAGTTAATAAATAAACTTATTAATAAATAGTTAAGAAAGTTGTTAATAGTTAACCAAGTAACAAAATAGTTAATAGTTGGTTTCTAGCATAGTCTCACTTATTTTGACAATTAACTCAGGACCAAATTAGTAGAGTGGGAAAAATCAAGGGAAGGGTCTGTCATTCATTTTCCCAAGTCTTTTTTCCAAAATCAACCAAACGCCAGCATAGTTAGGGTGGTCTGTCTGGCTCATTTCCCACCTCTTCTCATCTTTAGTATTTCATGTATCTTCCTCTTTTATTTCCACTACAACAATGGTGCATCATTTAAACGCTTGCGTTTTATGATCTTATAAAACCAATTAATAGAATTATAAATATTATAAATATATTCACCCAAAATGGATTTAAGCTGGTACAAAGGTCTTTATTATTCATTCACTAGGTGACTACATTTTTCAGACCACTCTGAGCCCATTTTACCATAGTTAACAAAACACTACTATAAATTGTCCTTTTAGTATCATTGTCAGTTAATGTCAGAAAATTAATAGAGATTTTAAAAATCATCCTTACTTTGAACTATAAGGTATTATGACTGACAAATAGAGCACAATAACTCTACCAAAGGAAAATCCAGAAGTTGTTTCTCAACCTCTAAACTAAGCTACTCTGCCCACCCATGTGTTAATTACCTTCCTGAAAAATAAAGCTAATCCAGCCACGTCACTCCACAGCTTGAAGACTTCTGATGGCTCCCTGAGTCCTGATGGATAAACTAAAACATTTTAGAGAACACAAGGCCCGTTACAATTTCAACCTAGTTCTAACCTTCAACACCATTCTCTGCTATTGTCTCACCTTAGAACTCTATCACTCTGAAATCACTTTATCAGGTCAGAAGGGCTTTTCACAATTCCATGCCTGCTCTCAGGCCATTGCATCTGTCTACAAACACTCCTCTGAATAACTCTGCCTGCTCTGGCCAGCGTTGTTGTGTGGTTTTTCCTTTTCACATCTTTCACACCTCTGTGCCAGTGGAATGTACTAGGAACACATCCCTGGCATGTTCTGTGCTTTAACCAGCTGGTGCAAGAGAGTCTGGTTAAGATAATTCTCCAAATTTTGATGCTTTAATCTGCTATCATGTTGATCAACAATAAGTCCAATATCATTCCATGAATTTCTACTCTAAACATCCTCGTAAATCCTCTGGCGTAATTACATAGATAATGTGACTGTCCCCTAGGCCCTAGCAGATCCAGGCAGAGAGAGGATCATGATTTCATGTTCTGGAGCAGGGCTGTCCAATACAACTGGCTGCAATGATGGGAATTCTTCTGCACTGTCAAATATGATAGCCACAGGCCACATAGGGTCATTGAGTATTTGAAGTTTAGCTAGTGTGATGGAGGAAATGAATTTTTAATTTCTTTTTATTTTAGTCTAAATATACTTTAAATAGCTACATGTGGACAGTGGTTACCACACTGAACAGTGCAATTCTGGAATTTTCATAGGCTTATAGACCCATTCATAGGACTATTATCCCAGGGATAGTTGATAGAAAAAAAAAAAGGAATAATAATGTAAAAGGAGACAATGGGCCATAAAAATTAAAGGACTAACAGAGTAATATGGTTGTGAGAATTATTTTCTTTTTCTAATCTTTCAGGATGTTCATATTGTATTTTAAAGGTTCTACAGCCTTTCTTTACTATGCAAGTTCTGTTGCTCTAAAACAGTAGTCTTAATTTTATATAATAATTTCCTTATGCCTTTATATATGTCCTTCAAGGAGAGAACATGCATTAAATTATAGTGAGCTTGTGATTGAACTACTCGGTAAAATGCTAGACAAGAAAGATCATTTTAGAGGAATATGTGAAAACAGAAGTTATGCCTGAATGAATTGTTAGCATTTGTTATCATTATAATAAGGAAGGTAATTCACTGTGGAAGTCAAAGCACAATGTGGGTATCCAATAGACCTTGGTCAAGTTATTTAATCTGAGTTTCACAACTTCCTATTTTGTCAAATAGTATGCACCCCAGTAAGAGAATTTATATGAAACCTTTAGCTTAGTGTCTGGCACCGAATAAAATATGTAAATGTCATTTGGTAGTATTAGTATCAAATGAGTATTACTCTGATCATGATTATTATATTATCATTTTATTAGTATTCTCATTGATAGAGAATTTTAGTTGACAAAGTACTTTCAGAACATAATCTCATTTGACCCTCTGAGCAGCCCTCAAAGGCAGGCAGATAATCCCACTTTATAAAAGAAAACTGAGATTGTCAGACTTTAAGAAACCTGCCAAGTACCAAAAGATTGGAGCTATCTACCGATGCCATAACCCATACGCAGCCCACTACACCATGCTGACATTGCTTTTGGTAATCACGTTGCTGCCTTTTTAGCTATGCTAGTCAATTCATTTTTTTCATCTCCAAATGCTTAATCTAACCTGGGTTTTTGCATCCATTCCTGCTTCCCAGGAATGCCCTCCCCTAGAGCTGCCTCTCTTTCCAGCCACACTCAGCTATTTTGTTTTTAATTTTTCTTATGTGTTAGGTGAGCAATGCTTCATAATATGCAGTAGTGGCTTGTGTAAGCATTGGCAAATAAATTTTTCAAACTACTCTTATCCATAGCCAAGAGCAAACACCTAAGATTTATCTCTGAAAAGCCAGGCCAGCATTTAAATCTGGAGTTCAACAAATGCGTCTTTGTTTCAGTTGATCTTGACATCAGTTATAAAAGTTCTTAGGCATCTGCCAAGAGTCTTTGCCGTATTGTACCTTACAAGTAAGAGACAAAGGGCTTTGGAGTAATTAAACAAAGCGCAATTCTACATTTTGTTTACTCAAGACTCTATCCTATATTTTTCATGCCAGCAATACTTAAATGGAAGTTAGTTGAAAGGTGACCCACATGAGGCTTAGAGAATTAGACTCCCAGTCCACATTCAAAAAGTGTTTCTGCCAGTGCATATTAGGGGATATTAAGAAGATATTTCTCTTCTTAATTAGGCAGAATACAATGATGTGATAGAATAAATGTAGAACTTGATTACCAGGCCGGGCACAGTGGCTCACACCTGTAATCCTAGTACTTTGGGAGGCTGAGGCGGGCAGATCACCTGAGGTCAGGAGTTTGAAACCAGCCCGGCCAACATGGTGAAACCCCTTTTCTACTAAAAGAACAAAAATTAGCTGGGTGTGGTGGCACATGCCTGTAGTCCCAGCTACTTGGGAGACTGAGGCAGTAGAATCACTTGAATCCAGGAGACGGAGGTTGCAGTGAGCTGAGATAGCGCCACTGCACTCCAGCCTGGGCGACAGAGTGAGACTCTGTTTCAAAAAAAAGAAGTTGATGACCACATTCATTCCACCTCATCGGATCAAATATGAAGATATGGCCAAATCAACATGGCATCCTTCACATCCAAAGGCAATATGAGTGTCTTCATCCTCTATAATATTTTCCCATCCACACATCCAGCCTGCTGGGCATGGGGTCACCAGGCATGAACACTTAGCAAAGAACGCACATGGGCAAACACAACAAGGTTGCAAGAAAAACAAGGTGGAGAAGCAAAGCATATTATAGGACCCTAGGGGCCCTCTGTGCATTTTAACTTCTGATTAATAATTGTGAGCTAGATTACGAATCTGCAGGATGTCTATACAATCTTAAGCAACTGAATTTCTCTCTCTGTTTCACCACCTGCAAAACGAAGAAGTTGAGGGAAGAATTTACGCCACAGAATCAAGTAACAGTGCTGCTAAAGCCCTCTGCAGCAATAATATTCTAGGATATTATATCACGGAGCTTTTCCAAAAGGCAGTCATTTCACTCTTCTCTGAGTTCTTTCCAAAAAATCATAAGTATTGCAAATCTTTCTTTGGTATCCCATCAAGAGGCCTCTTCCATGTGGCAGGAAGGTGTTTCCTCTGAAGCAGGGCAAACTCTGAAGGCCACTGGCAGTCCCACTGAGAGATTGCTCGAGAGATCACAGCCCCATGCAGAGAAGAGTCATCAGTAATGATGTGGTGAGCACATTTTGACGCAAAGCTGACAACATATGGCCTCTGCTCCCCGGCTGATTTCCTGAGCTGTCCTAAGTGTCTTTACCAAAACACTCCTTCTTCCATCATTTGTGAAGCCCACCTAACGGTCATTTATAACTGATTCTGTCACGTCCATAATAAGCTGCCTAGATGTATTAAGATTCTTAAGAAATGTTTCCAAATTATGTGTTAAAGTAATATGTGGTGTGATTGTCTTGTATATCAGCCTTGTGTATACTGGGGACATTTATCTCACTAAAGCAACACTGCTCTTGCAACCTTGATTTACGGTAAATGTTCCTACTTGCAAAGCAAAACACCTTGAATCCGATTTTAAAACAAATTGCACACATTTCAATCAGCCATGATTTTGGTAAATGCAGTGAATGTTAAAAGACAGAACATATACCACATGATCTGCTTATTTTGAAGGGTTTCGTCTTGCTGATTGTCAATATCGTTGGCTCTGCTTTTCACTACCTAGAGCACACAATCACAATGTTAAACCTGATCTAAATTGTTTTCCATTTCTTAAGATGCAGTCACTTGTTTTAAAATAAAATGAAGTTTTGTATTCTTGGTGAATTTTCTTAACAATAATTAATGATGTTTTCTTGTTATATTTTTGTGATAACCCAGACTCTGATGTTTTCTAGTCAATAAGAAGGGAAAATCCTTTCTGTGACACACATACTTTAAGAAGCAACCAGCTGAATTGTTACCAGAATTCAAGTGCTGCCTGATAAAATCAGTATGTCCTGTTAAAGAAAGACAGAAGTAGGAACCAGTCCATGAAACTGCACCTGAAAATATGATATATAAACTTATCTAGAGGAGAAAAGGGACACAGAGATTTTTAACGATGCATCTAGAGTAGTTCTCCTTCTGGCCCAGTGTGCAAAATGTAAAGAACTCTTGCATCTTAATGACGGATAGGGTTTTCTAGCCACTAGTATGATATTCACCAGAGATAAAGCCTGCATTATTCTCTAAAGGAGCTAGAATGGGAGCTCGCTCTCTTCCTGGACCAGGAATAACAACTCTCTCTTCATACTTGACCATAGCATTCCTGACACAAAGTGTGTGTCCTGAGTTATATTTCCAATAGTGATGTTAGATTTGCATTCATTTATTTTTGCCCTCTTATTTCTTCTTTGTAACAAATGATACAAATTTATGAAGAGGTTGGAGCTCCCAGTGCCCTCTGTCATTCTCAAGTAGAGTAAAGCTTGCGCTGCAAAACAAGATAGAGCTGGTGCTCTTGGAATTCCTAGTAACTTGTTCTAACAAAGTCAGGTGTTCCAGGGAGCTGGGTAGCAAAACTCAAGTTCTATTAAAACACCAGGTTGATGGTAAACATATCCTAAGGCAATTGACCCATGTCACTCTTGGGCAAAGCAACATAAAAGCCAGAGAACAGTCTTTGGTTCAGATTTCAGAACTGAAGTTAATCTCAACAATTCTAGCTTTTATAAAATTATCAAAGATGAGAATACTTTTTTCTTATATTTATTAATAGCTTGCATACCTTTGCTCATAAAGTAAGTACTAAAGACATACTTTTAATTGAATTTTCTGGGTGTTTTACCTTTTCCAGACCCTAGCATCTTTTCTTCTAATCTAGATTCCACAGGCACCAATGACGGTATGAAATTTTGCTGCTGAAAATGGCCTCCATATCTCTATTTTATCCTTGCACGAAAGAAGGGTGGATCATTCTCATTTCTGTTTCTTCAACTGATATTTTAAAATAAGATGAGAAAATAAGTCAGACTTCTAGCAGTGTAGCTTTAAAAACCCTTTGAATTACTTCCAGACTTGTGAAGATACTGAGGTCAAAATTACAGGATATTCTTGCTTCCTAAGCATAATTACAGATTACCTTACACTCAAACATAATAAACGAAGATAAATGAGATGAAATTAATGTAGTAAATTCATTTTAATTGCAATTGGCATAATTATTAGATTATATGACCATGTAATATAAATTTAATGGAAGTAAACTTTTAAATTTTATTTATGCACTTAGAAGTAATTAAATGTGAATGAACAATGTGACTATAAGAATAATTAATTTCTCATGTGAATTAATTAAGGGTGTTTTTAAAATGTTCTCTGTAGTTTACGATAGAAAAAAGATTGTAAACCCATATTATTACAGTATAGCAGGCAAATAAATAGCTGAAAATGGTAGATGATGGAGAGGATGCAGTGAGAAGCAATTTGCACCTGGCCTGGCCCAGCTCACTCCCTCGCTCCTCCACCAGAAGGTTTCTCTGCTTTCCTCCACCACAGTTCCTCCCACCATAGCTCTCTCAAATGATGGGAGAAAGGACCCTTTCCCTCCTCAAACTGTTCAATTAGTGGGTTCATTCTTCCTTACATACCAGTTTCACATACCTTATGTACTGGGTGTTGTCTTAGGAGGACCACTAACCTCAAGAGGCTGGGTGCGGTGGCTCAAGCCTGTAATCCCAGCACTTTGGGAGGCCAAGGCAGGCAGATCACCTGAGGTCAGGAGGTCGAGACCAGACTGGCCAACATGGTGAAATCCCATCTCTACTAAAAATACAAAAAAATTAGCCAGACGTGGTGGTTGGCACCTATAATCCCAGCTACTTGGGAGGCTGAGGCAGGAGAATCGCTTGAACCTGGGAGGCAGAGGTTGCAGTGAGCCAAGGTTGCACCATAGCACTCCAGCCTGGGCAACAAGAACGAAACTTCATCTCAAAAAAAAAAAAAAAAAAGAAGGACCCCTAACCTCAAGGACTGAAGGATTGATGAGGCAAAGATGTAAAGAGTCAGCGAGGTACTAGGAGCTCAGGACACTGAAGTCACAAGGCACCGGCAGCAACACTGACACAATGCTCAATGCCTCCCATATAAGGCTACTGAGATTAGGTTTGATCTTAGAGTCTGGGACAGATCTCAGCCTGCTAATCTGAGTAACGTTGGTGTGGCTGCCAGGCTGCTAGACAGAGAACCAAGTAGGTAATTTCAGGTCCATAGGCTTGTGCAAGTCAGAGGATAGGGCGTGTCTACAAAGGGGAATTAGCAATGCAGGGCAGCAGCTTACTGACTTCCAAATGGATGACAACATTCTAGAAGAGATGTGACTTAGCTGAACTCTGAAGCCAGATTCCTCCTTTGTGGGTATGTACTCAGCTTGGGCCCCAACTTCTATAGGCTTTGAGCAACAATCCCAGCAGCTAAAGAGCTCCTCCAAATCCACACAGAGCTGCCTCTGCAGGGTGTGGCCCTGCGGTTAGACCTGTGCGTGACTGCACTGCCCTGGCCCTTTAACTTTGCCCATCCACTAAGATATTATGCCTCTGCTGGTGGATAAAGGCAAGCACAAACTGGCCTCTTCTAGGCAGTCACTCTTGATCTCTGGCTACTTGCTCTAAACCTGGTCGTTTTTGCTCAGTTTTCCTTTAGTTCTCAGAACCTCAGTCTTGATGTCTGTTTTCAGTTCCTACTGTTCACCAAGCCATTAGATTTGTCTGGGGCTTGGTGGACCACAGCTTTCAACTCCTGTTGGCTCTGCTCGCCTCCTAATTTTAACGCCTCTGGTGGTTGGGGAAGAGAAACTCTATGTTGCAGTCCCCACCTTATAGAAAGGCACCATTGAACTCTAGCTCCCCTCATACCCTTCACTTTTGTCCTTTTCCCCTTCCCAGCTTCTTAGCCCAGGACACTCATGTGCTTACAGAGGAAAGACCACCATATGGCCGATGCATCTGAAAGCAATAATTTAACTGAGGCATAGCCCAAGAATGACCCTGTGGTCTAAGGAGAGTGTGTGTTTGGAGTCCCAAGCTAAAGAATCTGGGAGCGGCCAATCTGGAGTTTCACTCCTTGTCCATGAAGGACATCTGGACCCCAGTCCCATCCTTTGAAACACAGGCTATACAGGGGATAGAGGCCCTTGGTGCTGGGTTAAATGGAGGTTGCTAGGTGGAAGGTGCTAAGTGAAAATGTTATACTAACATCAGGCTTTTTACCATCAGTAGCGGTACTCCTGTCCAGCCTGCTGCCACTGCACTGTCCCTGTCTGTAAATTCCCCAATAAACCTTATATCTCGTTCACTCTCTCCAGATCTCTTCTTCAACCTCTTGGACTCATGCCATCCCTATTGGAGTGAATAGGGGTCCAGCATAACAACCACTTAAACACAGACTGGGCAGTACAGGGGAGTGCATCCTTGACTGTGGACTCCTTGAGACAAGTCACCACGGTTTTTTGTTTTGTTTTGAATCCCCAGCACTTAGCACAGGGCCAGCAAACATGGGCACAGACTAGAATGTTTCTGTTCATTATAACCCCATGATAAAGCACAACCACTTTAGTCAGTTTCACCTGAGATTCCCTACTATTGAGATGAAAACATTACGCACAGCTGGTCTCAGTGGCGCACTTCTGTAATCCCAGCAACTTAGGAGCTGAAGTGGGAGGATTGCATGAGGCCAGAAGTTCAAGACCAGCATGGGCAATATAGCACAATCCAATCTCTAAAACTAAAAATAAATTAGCTAGGCATAGTGATGCATACCTCTAGTCCTAGCTACTGGAGAGGCTGAAGTGGGAGTATCACTTGAGCCCAGGAGTTCAAGGCTGCAGTGAGCTATAGTTGCACTACTGCACTTCATCCTGGGCAACAGAAACCCCATCTCTAAAGAAAGAAAATTAGGTGACATGTCCCTCCACCTGTCAACCCAACCAAACCAAGATATTAGCAGGCCTATGCAGAATTGGCAAAGAAGGTTGTAAAAATCCCTGTCTGTTCTCAGCCCATCAGCCACCTCGAAATTTTAAAAAAGTTTAAATTAAGGTAGAAGAGTGAGGAGGGCAGGTCTGTTCTTGGTGGAGCAGTCAATATGCTGGGCTTTCTCTCACCCCAAGTCAGATAAGGGGCCCCCAGGATTCCAGTGCCACAAGAGAACCAGAGAACTTGGCGTATATTTTCTGGACTTTGGAGGGCCCAGGAAATGGTGACTTCTGGAAACATAAAGGCAAAAAGGCTCTGCCTTGGTCTACCTGCCATGATGAGAGAACAGAAAGAGACACTAGGAGGAAACCCCTCCTACTAATGGCAGTGGGCACACGTCCCTTAGTTCCAGGCTGCACGTCGACCCCCCCAGAGGAGGTCACCTTGAGAATTGCCTGTTGGGACCTGGATGGGGGAGGCCACCACACACCCAGGGCTGAGAAAGAACCCCAGCAATGTGCCCTCCTGGAGAAGAATCAGCCTTGGGAATTTACCATACCTGGAGGGTGACCATATGGAGCTCATGTGACCCGCTAGCTCAGCATGTAAGACATTTTCTCTTCCTGGAGCCCCTGAGGAAGGCAGGGTGATTTAACAAGAGCAGGGTAGGGGAGAAAGGGGAAACTGAAGAGCAAGAAAACCTTGAATCTTGGATCCAATTTGAAGCTTTTTATAATTACAGTGGACTGGATATTTCAATTATGAAAATGAGGTTGTCCTTAGGACCAAATGTGACCAGGTTACTTTTAATTAGCTATGTGAATCAAAGAACCATGGCACTTGGGTTTTCATCCAGGGTGAGGAACAAATGGTTCACAGGGAGGGTTTCAAGACAAAATGTTGAAAAAGAGAGTGAAGCTGCTTTGTGTTTGCATGCAGTTGAATTCAGCTGATATCAACATACCTGATGAATAAATAATGAATTGATGAGCAAATGAATAAACGCAAGCAAGGAAATAATTGCAAATTTAGTATTATTACTCTTATTACTCAATTTGACTCACACATTAGGCTTAAGTTTAAGCTTTTTAAATTTTATTTTTATTTAATTTTAATTTTTTTTTTTTTGTTTTTTTTTTTTTGAGACAGAGTCTTGCTCTGCTGCCCAGGCTGGAGTGCAGTGGCACAATCTCGGCTCACTGCAACCCGGACTCAAGTGATTCTCCTGCCTCAGCCTCCCAAGTAGCTGGGACTACAGGCATGCACCACCACGCCCAGCTAATTTTTGTAGTTTTAGTAGAGACAGGGTTTCACCACGTTGGCAAGGCTGGTCACAAACTCCTGACCTCAGGTGATCCGCCCTCCTCGGTCTCCCAAAGTGCTGAGATTACAGGCGTGAGCCACCGCGCCCAGCCAAGTTAAGCTTTTAGAATCTAGTTATCTGGTTTACCCTTCTCATTCCCCTTTATCTCTGCTCTTAAACAGGTAAAAATGCTGGTCATTTTTTTTTTTTTTTTTTTTTTTTACCATTCTGGGCAAATACTCTTTTACTCAGTTACCAGTTCCTCTGGCTTCTGCTTTCCTATTTTTCTGATCAATTTTACTTTTTTCCTGTGCTCACAGTTTAGGACAGCTGTACCAAATAGGCACTTTGCCTTTTTTTCATTTTGAAAACTTTCTTACTTTGACACTCTATGGATGCATCTAAGAGCAATTTCCCTTTCTGTTTTCTACATATATATATATATATATATATATATATATATATATATATTCCGAACCTTTCTTCCAAACCAAAAATCTGGATTTCCAAGGTGTGTTGAAACTATTATCAACCCAGACATGCATATATATATATATATATATTCCGAACCTTTCTTCCAAACTAAAAATCTGGATTTCCAAGGTGTGTTGAAACTATTATCAATCCAGACATGCATGTGTATATATATATATTCCGAACCTTTCTTCCAAACTAAAAATCTGGATTTCCAAGGTGTGTTGAAACTATTATCAACCCAGACATGATTCAGGAAAAAGATTATGTATATTCTTTGGAGTCTCTTTCTATTCTCTGCCATCATTTTGGTTCCATATGTAGGTCATCTGCTCTCTGCTAGTTTACCACCCATGCTCTTCCCATGGAGCCCTGGGCACATTTAACTAAGTCCCTCCTTGCTCAGCATGCAGTCTTTTTTGAGGGTAGAGGTGGGTGGAGTAAGGATTAAGGAGATGGGCAGGATATGAGTACCACAGTGGATGAAGAGATCAAAGAGTTTGAGGACTACATTTCTGTAGAACACGGTGGGTGTCATTAACTAAACCATTAGAGTAGTTTCAATACTCTGTACTTTGAGTCCTTATTCTACAATTCAAATTAGTATATTCTATTTTTATGCTAATTCACTGTTGTACTACTCTACTTCCAGGATTATTTACTTTTGTGCTACAGTACATAACTGCTACATTTTAAAGTTCATTGCAGCTTATTAATATTAAATGACGTGATTCAAAAGCATTTGCTTTCTCGGGCCAGTGGACACAGAGTACTCTTAAGATGCATTAAAATATGGATTGGTCAGTGTTTAACAAACCCTACTGAGTGGTTTCTGTGATTTAACAGTCAGCTTCCCGGACTCTTAGCTTGGCTGGCAACATGACAGTGCTTTAACCATTGATTTAGAAACTGAAGAGAAGGATTTCCGTTCAACAGCCACCAAGTAATAAACAGCAGGGTTAAAGCTAAAGGAAGAAGCTACCTAGTTGTTATTATTGGTTGTTAGATTCAAAGCAATGTCACTGTTCCTTTTATCTGAGTACAGCCTGTGATCAGACCTCATTGTACAAGACACTGTCCTTAAGCCTTAGTTATCTTTGCTGTAGAGCTGGGCTAGCCAACCAAGTTGCTCTCCCAGGGATAATTTATCTTGCAGGTGACACATTAAATAGAACCACGCAATCAAAGTTTGAATTCTAGCCTTCTGTTGTCTTGGTTGGTCAGGCTAAATTAATAATCGAACCTGGTGCCCTTGAACGAGCTCCCTGCTGTATACATTTAGCTGGCCAAACCACTTCCCCTCCCCCGACACTCCACCTCCTCATGGATGAAAACTTCTGGTAGAAAAACAAACTCACGAAGGAGAAAAGTACCAGGTGCATGAGACATGCAGATGACTAGAAAGGGAATGTGCAGCTTCGTGTTCGTGTTTCTTTTTTTTTTTTTTTTTTTTTTTTTTTTGAGACAGTCTCACTCCGTTTCTCAGACTGGAGTGTAATGGCACAATTTCAGCTCACTGCAACCTGTGCCTCCCAGGTTCAAGCAATTCTTCTGCCTCAGCCTCCCAAGTAGCTGGGATTACAGGTGCATGCCACCATGCCCTGCCAATTTTTTTCTTTTTTTTTTGTATTTTTAGTAGAGATGGGGTTTTGCCACGTTGGCCAGCCTGGTCTCAAACTTCTGATCTTAGGTGATCCACCTGCCTTGGCCTCCCAAAGTGCTGGGATTACAGGTGTGAGCCACTGCACCCAGCCACAGCTTTGTATTTCAAATCAAACACTGACTGTGTGCCAGTTACACTGGTCCCTGCAGAAGCCATTGCCAGACCTTTTTTTTTGACACAGGGTCTCACATTGTTGCCCAGGTGGGAGTTCACTGCAGCCTCGACCTTTTAGCCTCAAGCGATTCTCCTGCCTGGGACTCCCAAAGTGCTGGGATTACAGACATGAGCCACTGTGGCCAGCCTTACTGCCAGATTCTTCTCCGTGTGTAGTATTCCGTGGTAAACTCAGCCTCAAAGGAAGCATACGCTACCCATGTGGCATGTCTGTGAGACAAAGAAAGGGAAATAGTGGGAGAAACATGAAATGTCTTATGAGGGAATCTAAATAAATTTTGAAAGTTTGATTTCCAATATTTCATTTTTCAATTTATAATGGAAGCTCTAACTAGATGTTACCCACCATCCCAGACCAGCCCAGACCCACTAGGCCAAAAATATTTAAAGTATGTAAATGCCAATTATGTTGCGTATATAAATAAAGTACTGCCTGGAAGCTAGATATCATGGAATGATACTAAAGGCAGTTAAGTTTACGTTGTTCACTAATTATAATAGTAATAGCTAATATTTATTTAGCTATCAACAGAATAGCTAAATCATAGGAATACCATTTTTCTATAATGCTTATCGGTGGAAGAGCATTTATTTCTTATCAGTGTTACCAATGTAATCATGTTCTTCTGTAATTTCAAACATAAGATAGCCTATTTGTTACCAATGGAATCGCATTTTTCTGTAATTTCAAATGAGGCCTAGGCTATAGCCAATATATGTAGAGTCACAATTTCTACTCTCTTAAATTATGGCCTTTTAGAGTTCTTGAATCCATGTTTATTTGTTTACTTAACATTTGTGTGCTGGATGCTACAATGCAATATCGAGCAGAATCAGGGTCCCTCCCTTCATAGATTTCAGAGCCTACTGAAAGGACCAACAGTAAACAAATAACCACATAAATAAACTTACAATTACAGATGATATCAATGCTAAGTAGGAAGAGATACATGGCATCCCGAGAGTTGATATCAGCGATCTGCCCAGTGTGGGGAGGGTCTAGGAGAAGTGGCATTTCAGCTGAGGACAGTGGAGAGTAGGAGTTACCTGTGGGGAGGGGACAGGGCACAGCACCGCAAAAGCCCTGGATGCCAGGGAGATTCGGCACAACTTCTATAACTGGATTGACTTAACTTGAAATGTAATTTGCTCGAAAGAAATTAAAATTAAAATTCAGGGCAAGTGACCTGAAGTTACCCAACAGAACACAGAACATCAGATAATTCCACTAAGAACATTCAATTCTGCATGACTCAGTGCCTGCAAGGTATGCCATGCTTCGTTTATGATGGCAGCGTAGCCTGGTCTCCTGGTCTATGCGTTTGCGCTAGGAGCCAAGAAGATCTTCAGCTTATGGAGTTCATGTGACCATCCCATCCTTTGTGGCCATGGACAAGTCAGTTCCGTCTCTGTAGGAAACTTAAAGGACAAGCCCTAGAGGGGGCAGGTGTGGGAAATTATTGGATGGTATTTTGACTTTGATGTATCATTATGCAAAACCATATCGAGGAATGAATTATTCATATTCCAAGAAATAATATTGAAAACACTTGAAAGTAATTAAAGAAGCAGATCCTTAATATATAATCAAGGAATTTTTTATGTTTTAATTTATTTTTAGTTTTATTTTTTTATTTTTGAGAGGGAGTCTCACTCTGTCACCCAGGCTGGAGTGCAGTGGCACAATCTCAGCTCACTGCAACCTCCGCCTCCTGGGTTCAAGCGATTCTCCTGCCTCAGGCTCCTGGGTAGCTGAGATTACAGGCGCCTGCCACCACGCCTGGCTAATTTTTGTGTTTCAGTAGAGAGGGGGGTTTCATCATGTTGGTCAGGCTGGTCTCGAACTCCTGACCTCAAATGGTCAGCCCACCTCGGCCTCCCAAAGTGCTGAGATTACAGGCATGAGCTACCGTGCCCAGCCAAGGAATTATAATTTCTAAAATTCTATGAGCATTTTCTTCTGAATGCTTTTCTGAATATGTAATGTATGTGCCCATATGTATATAGCCTCTCCTGGGTCACACCCTTATTGCCTATTAGCATAAGTCAACTGTGAAGCGTTTAATAGGCGTTTTGTAGGGGGTAGGGAGCAAAAAAATTCAATGGTTAAATAAATTTAATGAAGATTGGAGTAAGCAAATAGATTTTCTTACTGCCAAAGTGGTCAAAGTGTTTAATATTTTTATATTAGTCTAAATTGTAAAATTCTGATAAGGTAATATAATATTTGGCATCTACTAAATTTATTTTCTCAGAGGACATTTGTTCCCTCAAATATACATTCCTCAGAACATAGCATTCCTATATACTCGTAGAGGTGATCTAAAATTAGAAAAAAGTCAGTCAGTGATATTTTTGCTTCTAGAATTTGTTCCTACCTCATTGCCTTTGTGATTATGTCTACAATTCTGGGCCAGGCCTGTAAGACCATTCACTGTCTGGACTCAATCCAATTCTGTCTGCCATGCCATGCTGTGCCACCCTTGCCCCTGCACTTTATGCTCCAGACACACTGACCTTCTCCTTCTCCCTCACCTTGAACACACCCCCCTTCCCCACCTGAACCTGGCACGGGTACCCTCTGGTTGGAAAGGCCTAGCCTGCTCTACACCTCTCTGCCTGAGCCCCACTTTGGCTTGTCAATTGCCTGTTTGTTCTTCAAGGTCTAGTTCAAATAGCTTCTCTGGGAACTTTGTTCTTTCTTCTCTGACAGCATTGACACCATTGTATTCTCTTGCATCTGTTTACCAGATCCTCTCCTGCCTCCCCCTTTGACTAATTTCTTGCTTCAGGGCCAGGGCAGAGACAGTTCCCTCGTTTGCATGCAGTCTTACCTAAGAAAGCACACAGAGGAAAGGTCTATACCAACTGGATGAACTTGAATTTGTGTGTGGGGGGGGTGGGGGGTGGGGGTGTGTGTGTGTGACGGTAGGGGTATTCTCCACCTTTTTTTTTTTTTTTTTTGAGACAGAATCCCGCTCAGTTGCCCAGGCTGGAGTGCAGTGGTGCAGTCTCAGCTCACTGTAACCTCTGATTCCAGGGCTCAAGCCATTCTCCTGCCTCAGCCTCCCAAGTAGCTGGGACTACAGGCGCCCGCCACCATGCCTGGCTAATTTTTGTATTTTTAGTAGAGACGGGGTTTCACCATGTTGGCCAGATTGGTCTTGAATTCACCACGTTGGTAAGGCTAGTCTTGAACTCCTCACCTCAGGTGATCCGCCCACCTCAGCTTCCCAAAATGCTGGGATTACAGGCATGAGCCACCGCGCCTGGCCTCCACATTTTAAGTAAAATAAATAAGTCAAACTATAAAACATCTGTCTGATAAGTAACTCTTCTCTGTCTTGCATGCATTTATTTTATCGCAAGAGTATTAAAATTATGTGTTTTTATGAGTCATGTCTGAGAACATTGTCCTTGAGTGCAGGGACCTTATCATATTCATTTTTCATCCTTAGCACTTAGCATAGATCTTGGCATTTAGTAAATGTCCAATAAATGATGCTCAAATTAAATGGAATCAAATCTTGCTCAGCTCTTTGCTGCCTTGTCACAGTAAAGTGACTAAGCAAGCATGTGAACCCTGGGATCAGAATGCCAGGTGTGAATCCCAGCTGGTCACCTGCTGTGTGACCTTGGGGAAGTTACTGAACTGTTTTGTTCTCTGTTTCCTTATCTGTAAAAGAGGATGTGAATATTGTCCACCTCCTGGGCCTGTTGTGAAGATTAAACTTATCTATATTTACATCCATTTCTACATCAGTATTATCTATTTATTTTAATTATACAAAGTGTCTTTCTCATGCCTTCCCAGTGAGAGAACAGGCAATTAAATGTTGTGATATACAAACAGAAAACCTCCTACCCTTCTAAGTCCTATTAAATGTCAAATCAGAGATGGGGTCATGTCAATAAAGGAGCTACCAGAACAAACATGAAAGTATAATTTACATTATGCATTATAATCCTTCCAATTAAAACCCCCATTGTAAAGAGATCTGATTTCTAACCTTTTAAATATTGTTATATGGCTTTTATGAAAAATTCTGCAAATGTCAGGAAAAAATACTATAGGGTGTATTTTTAATGTGGACTATTTTACAAGGTGCTTTCAAACATATGATAGGATATCTTAGTCTAATTGTCATAAGAGCTCTCTAAGGAAAATCAGATCCAGTTTTATAGTCCATTTGAGCTGATGGTACAAAAAAGTGACAGTTAAGATCAAGTACACTACATGTCAGATCACGTTTCTTGTTTTTTTATTTTGAGATAGGGTATTATTCTGTTGCCCAGGCTGGAGTGCAGTGGCGTGATCTCAGCTCACCACAGCCTCGACTTCCCAGGCTCAAGAGATCCTCTCACCTCAGCCTCCCTGGTAGCTGGGACCACAGGCAAATGCCATCACACCTGGCTAATTTTTGTATTTTTGGTAGAGACGGGGCTCCACCATGTTGCCCAGGCTGATCTCGAACTCCTGGGCTCAAGCTATCTGCCTGCCTCAGCCTCCCAAAGTCCTAGGATTACAAGTGTGAGCCACCACGCCCAGCCTATGTTTCTTTTTTTCTTTTTTTTTTTTTTGTTTTTTTGAGTCAGAGTCTCACTCTGTCACCCAGGCTAGAGTGCAGTGGTGCCATCTCAGCTCACTGCAACCTCTGCCTCCTGGGTTCAAGCAATTCTCCTGCCTCAGCCTCCCAAGTAGCTGGGACTACAGGCGCCCGCCACCACACTCGGCTGATTTTTTGTATTTTTAGTAGAGACGGGGTTTCACCATATTGGCCAGGCTGGTCTCGAACTCCTGACCTCGTGATCCGCCCGCCTCGGCCTCTCAAAGTGCTGGGATTACAGGCGTGAGCCACTGCGCCCGACCACGCCTGGCCTATGTTTCTAATAAGAAGTGCAGGTTTTCAGAGAATGGAATTATTCCTGAGAACCACAGCAAGTCAAGGTGTAGTGGAGGAGATGGGGCTCCAGGTGGGCCTTGGAAGGTAAGACTAATGCAGGTGGGAAGAGGAGAAAGGGCATGAGGACAGGGAGAGCAAAGGTGCAGAGGGTGGAAAGCATTTGGTATGTTTGGGGTGACAGCTCCCTGTGTGGCACAGTGGACGTTCAGCCTGGCCTTGGGAGTGGAGTCTCAGCTGGTCTCAGTAGGGAGTGGGGGTGCTGAAATGCCAGGGCTTCAGGGCTTGCTTGCTTTGCCAGTTTTAAGTTTAACCACCCACTTCCCTGAGAACACCACTGGCTAACTTGCTGCATGAATTACAAGTATGATAACCAAGGAAACTCTGGAGACCCCCCTTTAAAATAAACTTGGCTCAATTGCTTCACTGGACAAATAGTAACTAATACCAGCATTGTCCCAGGGCTGTAAAAGTAGCCATCCAGCCACTAAGAAATTACCCAACATTCCTACCAGAATTGTATTGGCTATTGTGAATGGCTTTAATAACAGGACCTTGTTCATTTGGTTTTTAGATAGGTTATTACTGATTTACCCATTCAATCAATTCCTGTTTTCCTCTGCTGGGTGTAAAAACTGCTCCCAGCCCCAACCTCTGGGTTTAGGACAAGGGAAAAACAAAAAAGGACTACATTATAACCCAGAAGGTGATCACACACCTTCCTGCTCTAAGTGTAGGCTTTTCTATTGTGATATGGATTATCCAGGAATATTATATCATCTTCCCTAAAAGCATTAAAAATAGGATGCATTCTCATCCTCTGTAAGTGGAGCTTGCGTGGTTGTGTGTGTGTGTGTGTCCTGGGGGAGATGAGAGTATAAGCGGGGGTGGGGGAGAATAATTTAAATGCTCTGCTAAGATTTCATTTAGTCCCATGAGTCTACGATAACATTTTTCTGTCATCATGCAAAGATCAATAGAATTAATAAGAATAACAGTTGTAGTACCGACAATTCTGGATAGATAAAAGACCTTTGACCTTCCAGAGAAAATCCAGTATTTTTTCCATTCAGTATCATTAAAGTCACACACATACCTCTTATTACTTTCAGTATTTTTCCCAGATGTCTCTTCACATTCAAAAGAAGACACAAAGTAAAATTAAATGTTTTTTTTACCAGAACGTGGCTCTTGTTTGCTGCTTCAGATTTTTAAAGCACACAGGCATTATCTATAACCCATCCTCAGGGTAATCCTGTGAGGAAAAATATGTACTCATTATTGATGGAAAAGGAGATGCTTATAGCTTTTGCTTAATTTTGTTCCAAGCCTCTAGGAGCAATAACAACAAAATGATTGTTTTTACTAACAATAGAAAAAAATTGCATAAAATACATAAAACTATCTTAGAATAAATCGGACACCTTAAGAGTCTCAGTAAGTTTTTCTTATGTGCTGAATACCATGTAGCATCTTATTGACCAACCCCCAAGTACATGTTCATTCCTTCCCAAAGCCAACCCTCCTTTTCCCCACAGTGGCCCCAGGCCTGTCTTCTAGAACTCTCAGCAGCATTTGATATTGTTACTTGGAAGGCCCTTGACCTCCCTGCTTCCTTGGCTGTCATAGAGCAGTGTCCTGGTGCTTCTTTCACCTCCCTAACTTCTCCTTCTCAGGCTTACTGGCTCCTCATTCTGTCCCCTAAGCCTAGGCACTGCCCAAGGTCTCTTCTTTCTTTGGTCTCTGTCAGGGAGATATCTCACCCAATCCCAAAGCTTCATCCTTCCATAAAAATCCGTATCTATATCTAAATTGTCAGCTTCCTCCCTTTGAAATTCTAATCCTTTTTTTTTTTTAAAGATGGGGTCTGGCTATGTTGGTCAGGATAGAGTGTGGTGGGTATTCACAGGTTCAATCACAGCTCACTACAGCCATGAACTTCCAGGCTCAAGTGATCCTCAGCCTCCTGATTAGCTGGGACTATTAGGTGCCTGGCTAATCCTTCATTCTTGATTCTGTGCTTGACACTGCCCCAGCTGTAATTCTTGCACCTTCAACCTGCTGCCTTCCCATTTCCTCCTCCACCCCACTTCTAGAATGCGTAAGTACCCACTAAGTCATAAACTACAGGAGGACAAGGCTTTTTGTTGTTGTCATTTTTATTTAAACTTAGGTATCCTCAGCACTTTAGAACAGTACCTGGCATATAATTGACATTTGCAAAATACTGAATGAATGAATGAATGACTATCACTTCATCTCTACCCACTACAAACCAGCCTAACTCATCTTTATGTCCTGTTTGTCACCTGTGCTTAAAGCTAGGGTGTAGCTTTACACATTAAGCTTACATTAAGTAATATGGTCAAAACCATATTAAGTAATATGGTTTAAGTAATATGGTCAAACCATACTTAAGTAATATGGTCAAACCATATTTCTTTTCTATTACTTAAGTATGGTTTGACCATATTACTTAATATTAAGTACATTAAGTAATGTGGTCAAAACCAGTAAAGTATGGTCAAGTATGTTTTGACCATATTACTTAATATTAAGTATGTAAAGTAATGTGGTCAAAACCAGTCATATTACTTAATCAGCCAAACCAGGGCATTTTTTGGTGTGAAAGGGGGCTGATATGGTTGGCTGTGTCCCCTCCCTGCTAATAAAAACATACCTGAGACTGGGGAATTCATTTTGAATTGTAGTTCCCACAATCTCCACATGTCATGGGAGAGATCCAGTGGGAGGTAATTGACTCATGGGAGTGGTTACCTCCATGCTGTTTTCATGATAGTGAGTTCTCACGAAATCTGATGGTTTTATAAGGGGCTTTTCCTGCTCTTTGCTCAGCACTTCTCCTTGCTGCTGCCATGTGAAGAAGGATGTGTTTACTTCCCCTTCTGCCATGATTCTAAGTTTCCTGAGGCCTCCCCCAGCCCTGTTGAACTGTGAGTCAATTGAACCTCTTGCCTTTATAAACTACCCAGTCTCAGGTATGATTTTATTAGCAGGGTGAGAATGGACTAATAAAGGGGCACTATAAATAATTATGCTGGGATGACAGGCATAAACTTAACCTGATTGAATGTTTACCCTAATCATTAGCATTTTTTACTTTTCCTCCTCATCTATTCCCTTGCATTGTCAGCTGCCAAGACACACATCTGCCTTTGCACTGTCCCCTCACTTAGTCTTCCCTTTGCATTCTCACCCCTACTTGCCTCTTCAGGCTTCGGCACATCTGGATTGGTTTCTATTAACAGCCTCTTGACTGGTCCCCTGAGCCTAACCAGTCTCCCCAGTGTCTGTCTCTGCCCATTCTATTGCCACCTACACATGGCTGCTGGATCAATCTTCCTAAGGGATAGCATGAGTAATATAATTTCTCTACCCGGAAGAGTTTCACTGGTTCTTCACTAATTCTGAAATTCATACAAACTTGCAGCCTTTAAAACCTTCAATCTTGGGCCAGTCTAATTTGTAGGTATGGATTCTCAAGACATGAGTACTAAGAGTGGAATTGGCATCACCATTTCTAATAGGGGGCCTATTAGCAATAAAGAATTTTGGATTGTATATTAGAATCTATAGAATCAGAGTCTACAATTTAGCAAGATTCCCCAGTGATCTGTATAAAGACTAAAGTTTGACAAACACTGCTCTACACTGTAGCCTAACAAGGAGAAATCACAGCTCTAAAATCACCCCCAAGATTTTAGCTTCCATGCTTTGTTTGTATGGGTCACTTTTTGTAGGATACCTGCCCCCACCATCTCTATTCAGTAAAATTGCATTAATCTTCCAAAGATGAACTCCAGCAACTATATACTCCATGAAAAATTTCCTGTAACCCCTGAATATTATCTTTGCATCCCCTGAACACCATAGTATTTAATTTCTAGTGGCTTGCCGCTATCTCTCTTACCTTGAATTACAGATATTCTAGTACTAATTTTATACACACACTCATCTCCTCCTTACATTGTTAGCACAATATGGGTAGTTACATTTTTTATTGTGATAAAATATACGTAACATAAAATTTACCATTTTAACCATTTTAAGTATATAGTTCTTTGGCATTAAGCACATTTATATTGTTATGTAACCATCACCACTATCCATCTCCAGAACTTTTTCATTATCCCAGACTAAAACTTGTACTCATTAAACATCAAATTCCCATTCCCCAGCCCCTGGAAACCACCATTTCTACTTTTTGTCTGTATGAATTTGACAACTCTAAGTACCTCATACAAGTGGAATCATGTATTATTTTCCTTTTATGACTAGCTTATTTCACTTAGTATAATGTCTTCAAGGTTTATCAATGTTGTAACATGCACCAGAATTTCCTTCCTTTTAAAGGTTGAATAATATTTTACTGTAGGTATATACCACATTTTGCTTAATCATTCATCTATTGATGGACATTTGGGTTTCTTCCACATTTTGGTTCTTGTGCATAATGCAGTTATGGATATGTGTGTAAATATCTGTTTGAATCCCTGATTTCAATTATGTGGGGTATATATTCAGAAGTGGAATTGCTGGATCATATGGCAATTCATTTTTAATTATTTGAGCAACCTTTATACTGTTTTCCACAGTGGCTTTGCCATTCTACATTCCTGCCAGCAGTGTGAAGATTCCAATTTCTCTACATTCTCACCAACACTTATTTTCTATGTTTTTTTTTTAATAGTGTCCTAATGGTATAGGTCTGAGATGGTATTTCACTGTAGTTTTGAATCATATTTCCCTACTGATTGAAGATATTGAGCATCTTTTCATTGGCCATTTGTATATCTTATTGGCAGAAATATCTATTCAAATTCTTTGCCCATTTTTTAATTGGGTTGCTTGCTGTTGTTGAGTTTTAGGAATTCTTTATATGTGCTGAATATTAACCCTTATTAGATATGTAACTTGCAAATATTTCCTACCATATTGGCGTTTTTTCTCTGCAGTGTCCTTTCTTATAGGAACTGTTCAAAGAACAAATGAACTTAACTATAGTGCTTTCAAATGGTATCTAATCAATATTTATATTTTTTAATTTGAGTTGTTAAACGATGCTTAGTTAATGATTTATCACTGTGCTTAAATTTATGATGAAACCTGACTAAATGTAAATTAACTTTGCTTTAAAATTATTTTGGTCAAATCCAATGAGATCGGGGAATGCCAAATATAATTGTGAACAATTTCAGGCTTGAGCTCTGTTTGGGGTGCACAAAGGAAGCTTCAAAACATAGACTGACAATGCCCCATCATTGTCCTTAGATTTAAAATCTTAACACTTACACAGGGAGGCTCTGAATATTACTTGCTAGCATATGGCAAGAAAGAGATTAGAAATTATTTGTAGTACAGTTGGAGGAACATTTAAATTCCTGTTTTGTTAGGGCTTGTAGCATAATAAAAGTCAACTGAAAAATAGAAAGTAGCTCTGAAAGAAATAAACTTTCAGAGAAGTAAGGATGTTTATAAAAATTCAGACTGTACCCTGAAGCATGACCCCTGTTGGTCTTAATGTAATCAAATTCATCATTGATATGGCAGTAGCAAATGAGAAAAGCTAGTGGACATTTGTGGGGTAATAAAAACAAAAGGATAGTAAGTTATTTATTTTTTCTGAATTGTATTATTTGGCTAATTTATAGGCCAAGAAAACTACTAATAATAGCCATAACAATCCTGTCTCGGTTTTACTTTCTCACCCTCTGGCCTTTTTGCTTTGTGATTTATTTTCAGCTCAAGAACTTTCTACCACAAACTATCATTAGGCCACAGAGTCACATTGGTTGTCTATGGCTATAACCATGTGCCTTCTGTGGAATAGTTTAATGGGAATTCGGTTGGTTCATATTTGAAAGGATTACATAAAACCTCTTTGAATAATTAGCACAGCATCCCAACAAAGGGTTAGTTGATTTTTTTCCAATGAAAGGTCAGACAAGAGAAAGTCATTCAGAAGGCATACGAGATTGCTTTCCTGGGGTCATTTTCATTCTGAATTATGAAACAACTTCAAAGACATGAGTCGATCACTTAGTATTTTTTGGTACAAAACATTACTACTGAGTAACTGTAGTTCAATGACAACATCTTCACTGGATTAACATAAATGAGAGCTAATAATGGTGCATTCATGCACATATGTAGGTGTATTCAAAGGGTATGTGTGAGGACATTAGCCAGGGTCATACTTAGCCCTTCATTATGACTCCCTATTTACTCGACCCCTGACTTTATGATGAATGATCCATTTGGAATGAACTTTTTGTGCCCTTTCAGATATATGGAGGTTACATATATTCCCCGACTGCTTATGTCTAATACTTTAAACTTTTTTCTGGCTTTTGTAGACTCATTCACTAACCTTTGTTTTGAAGTGATTTGTCTGATTGCTTACATTAAAAGGGGTTACACATGAACAGAGATTCAGAGTGGGGAATCCATAGGCCCTCACACTTCTTTCTGATTGGTTGCTTGGTAAGTCGAAAATGTGGCAGGTATTTCTGAGATGCAATCAATTCTTTCAAGTTTCTTTGTCTGAGCTTTAATTGGAATTCAAACAGAAATAAATTTCATGATGACATTTTCCTAATTTCAGTTCTGAAATAGAAGAAATATGGTATTGTATAAAAACCTTGAATTGAAAAATGAGGAGTTCATGCATTAGGTATAAAACGTGTACCTGTAATTATATAACTTTAGAAAAGAGACCTCAGAGGGTCTCCGTTTTATTTCTCACTTTACAAATGGAAAGCAAATGAGAGCTGGTGAGTTCAAGGGACCAACCGAACATTCTCTAGCTCATCAATGGCAGAGCAAGGATGAGAACTCAGGGAGCAGGAGGGAACTCCGTGCAGTGTCGTTTTTACTATTGCGCATCACCTTCCTTCAGTGAGTCCTTTTCAGAAGCAGCATATTAATCAATTCTTGCCTTTTTAATTAGAGAAACCCTGTGCAAAGATGAAATTAAAAGATTGTTTCTTTATTATATGTTGAAATTTTTCTTAACCTTCACCATGAAAAAACAATGCTTAAAATAGCAAATATTTTTGGTAAGGTGACAAAATGCTGTCTAGTATGAAATCCTTAATGGCATCAGTCTAAAATTCATAGTGGTTGACAACTTCACACGCAGACCCAAAGAGGGTCCACTTTCTCAGTGGTTTTTCAGAAAGGACATAGTGTCTAACAGATGTTTAACCAGAGCAGATATGGGAAGAAAAAACAAGTGCTGACCTCTTCTAGAGCATACTTTCAGATGTTAGTAAGGGTGAGAGTAGACAAGACTTGGATAGCATTTCAGAGTATCTCTTTGCTCAGATGGTAGAAGCATTGACATTGAAGGAGGAAAGATAACGAAATCCTTTCTTTTATTGAGGAGGAGCCCATGTAAAATTTCTGTGAGCATAATTCATGCCTGTTTATTTAGAGATGAAGTGAATTGATCTTGATTGTGAGACAGATTTTTAGACGAAACTAACTATTTCTTTGAAATTATTATTTCTATACTTAAAGAAAATATGTCAAAGTGGCTGGGAGCGGTTGCTCACACCTGTAATCTCAGCACTTTGGGAGGCCGAGGTGGGAGGATCACCTGAGGTCAGGAGTTCAAGACCAGCGTGGCCAACATGGTGAAACCCGTCTCTACTAAAAATACAAAAAAAATCAGCCAGACATGGTGGTGGGCACCTGTAATCCCAGCCACTTGGGAGGCTGAGGCGGGAGAATCACTTGAACCTGGGAGGCGGAGGTTGCAGTCAGCCAAGGTTGCGCCACTATACTCCAGCCTGGGAGACAGAATGAGACTCTGTCTCAAAAAAAAAAAAAAAAAGAAAGAAAGAAAGAAAGAAAAGAAAAGAAAGTATGTCAAAGGAAAGCAGAGTGACATTCAGAAAATACAATTTTGTTTTACATAAGAATGCTGCAAAATACCAGGATACTGATTAAATTATAACCAAGCACCAAATAAATCCTAGAATATTTTTTAAATGGTATTAGCAGTGTTGTACGTGTATTTCTTCTTCTGAAGCTAATTGTACCGTGAAAACCATTGTTCCCTATTCTCCAGACCCTGCTGAGAGTGAGAGATGTATGGAAATTCAGCAAAAGTGGCCCATAAATATCAAAATTAACTCATTCTAGGAATTCATTTGATTCTGGGAGGATCAAATCATTTATTTGATTCTAGAAGGATCAAAGGTGGTTAGTATAGCTGTTTACAATAGATTCAGTTTAAAAAGCTCCCAGTGATTGATGGTTATATGTGCCAGGCCCTGTTCTAAGTACTTTATAAATATGATCTTATTTAATCTTTGCAACAGTCCTATGAGGCAGGGAAAATTATTGTCCCCATTTTACAGATGAGAAAGCAGAAACACCAGAGAAGCTATAAATTGTTCTGGCAAATAGCAGAGCTCAACTGGAAAACATCTAGGATAAAGGCCATGAACAATAAGCTTATGTACTTTATCATGTAGCTTCCAGTTATTTCTAATATTTTAAGCTATCATGATAATTTATCTTTTGAATGTAACACTAGAAACATCTGGAGAAATTAAAGTTAAACAATTAAAAGCTTATGAACTGATCGATATTTCTTGAATCACTTAACAGATGTTTACTGAGGGGCAACTGTGAGCCAAGCCCGGTGATTTTCTATTCCATTAATGATAAGTAACTCTCAAAGCAAGGGAAATTTCTTCCAACTGCCTTCAAAAAAAAAACTGTATGTAAAAAATATATGTAATGCACTTATATGTGCATGTATGAACATATATACACATTTTTAAACAAGTAGAAAGTGAGCTTTCAGATCCTTTGTACAAGCCTAAAACAAGTGACATTTGATTAGAAGAAAAATATGTTCTCAAGTTGATTTCCATTTGCCTTGAACTACTAGATCCGTTTCCACACCATTAACTTTGCTCAGGACAGACAAATAAGGATCCATTAGAAAACGTTCTTAACTTAAATGTAAGCTTTTTTGAAGTGGGCATTATTTTTTTGGTAACTAACGTCAAGTGCACTGAAATGGAATAAAGATGGTGATTTTTCAAGGTATTTGAAGGGAGAAAAGCTCAGCAAGAGTGGTATGCATTTTCACTGCAAAAGGCCAAATTTAATTTGGCAGTGGAGATCGAGGAGCAGGTAAGATTTCATCTGTGTCAGCAGAAAAACGAAACAACAGAGGCACCTGCCAAATGTCTCAATGCTTTCAGAGGCTGACAAGGGTGGGAGGAGGCTACTTCTGAATTGGTCTAGGATGCCTGATGAAGCTAAACAGAAGTAAAGATGTTACCCCACTTGTAGAGTGGTGGGATAAAATGCAGAACAATACAGACACCAATGCATTTTATGGGACATATAGGGAAAAATTATTTGTTTGTTTAGTTGAAATTCGAATTGAACTAGGCACCCTGTGTGTCTATTTGCTAAATCTGGTAGCCCCACTCACTTCCCAAGTCTGCAGCTCACCTGGGCTCCAAGCTACTGGTGGCTTCCATGGTCTTGGTCAGAGATGCCAGTAGGGGATATAAATGTGTTGTGCTGGAATCTCTAACAAGGAATATAGGAAGGGCCTTCCAGAAGAGTTTCCTGGAGGCCGGAAACTCCTGCCTGCCTAACCCCATGGGAGACACACCAAATGGTGGGCCGGCTCCTCCGAGTGCTGCTCGGAGGAGGGTTAGTTGGCCTGCCTCATATCCGCAGCCACCACCTTGTTTCTGTCCAGACTCTCATTCTCAAAGCTATCCTTGTCTACATTCTTATTTAAGACCCTTCACAGCGCAGGCCCTTTTGTTCCTATGTTGCTATCTCCAGCACCAAGCACAGAGCCCAGGATATAGTAGATGTCCAGTAAATGTTTCCTGAACTTGATGTTTTCAAAGGTGGTGGTGGTGGTGCTGCTGCTGCTGCTGCTGCTGTTTCTTGCTAAAAACAGAAAGGAGGAAACAGGGATAAATTGTTCCATCCTAGTCACTCATTATTTTTCTTAATTTTTGAAAGCCCATAGTGAGTGACAGAGCTGCATGCATATAATGCCTTTATACTATGTGCCCAACACAGTGTCTGGTACATAGAAGGTACCCAACAAATATTTGTTGAGTGAGTGAATGTTAATTATGACATTTGAGTATAAAGAGAGCCGGCATAGATCTATCTACGATTCTCAGGAGTACCATTTCACTGAAAGAGCTTTTCTATGTTACAGGCACTGGGCCAGGATCGAGGAGGGAGGCTGGTTAGATGTGACCTAGCTCGGGACACATTGCAAAGAGTTAGTGGGGGCTTTAAGGAGGAAGTGGAGGCAGATATGAGTCATGGGGTTTACTCCCCTGAGATAAGAAGTGTTTGAAGTAAGGGGGAGAGACTGGGGTACAAGCAGTATCAAACAGCAGTAATAAGAAAGAGAAAGAGGAAGGAAACCCCAAACCACATTATCGGGAAGCTGGGGAGAGTTCTTATAGTTACTGGGCCTTTGGAACACTTTTTCCAAATGGCCACATATCTGGCCATGACAGATGTAAATTAATATGCACTAATTGTGAGAGATTACTAAATCCTTAAATTCACCTAAAACAACACACTTTCTTAAATGTAGTTCAATTTGAAATCCTTATCACACTCCACTACAATATTGGATACAGGCAGGAAAAAAATACTTTCAGTGAGAACTGAGTTTTCCCCAAAATTGCCTCTAATTGATTTACATTATATAATAAGATAAAGGCATGCTAGATAGGCAGCCTGATGCCATCTTACTTTGGGATGCTTTTCTGATGAGGATGAAAGCAGAAACAGACCGGCTTAATGCAAATCTATCACTGAGACACTCAAGAATTAAACAAATGGCTATGAAACCATAAGGAGCTTACTGCTGGGGGTTCTAATACATGAGGTATGTTTTATTGTTGTTTTTACTATCTAAAAATTTTTTTGTCCTTCTTTTTTTTTGAGAGCTACTCACCTTTGGGAAGTGATAGTTTTAATCTTTTTTCTCCTTACTGCAGTTAACTGAATCGCAGATATCACAGACTGAATTTAATTGAAGCCAGCTTGTATGTGTCATTGATTAACTGTTTAAGGCAGAGAACTGTCTGCAGCTTTCAAAACTCAGCTTGAAGTTTTTACCCAAATGTGTGCTTTATTAGAAATAAATTGAAAGAAGATCTGGAAACAGCTGGAAACATTCTTTTTTTATGTCTAACATACATTTTGTAAAAGAAAAGTAGTCAAAAATTAAGTCATTTGAACCATGATAAAGCTCATCTCTGACCTGATAAAAAATATGCTTTTCCCTTGTTTTTGATATATTATCTCCATAGCGGCAGAAAGATCGTGAATGTGCATGCTGTTAATGCTGCCATTAATCACTTGGCTATATACTGATTTTAATGTATTTTTAAGGCAGACTTAGACTACCAGATACTTAAGTGGTATTCTCTCACAGGCCATGGGTAACCTCCTGTCATATGACTCAAAATCCCTCATAGAAAATAAACTTTTAGCTTGAATCCAAAAGGTTAGCTTTCATAAGAGTTCATCTTTGAACCCCCAGCAATAAGCTCCTTTCACTAAATGTTGATATAATATCCGGCCTATCACATGAAATCAGTGTTTGATGTTTATGAAACTCGTAGGACTGTACAAACGTGCTGTTTTATAAGGCATTAATCCAGAGGTCCAATAATATGTATAGTGAAGTTTATCTTGACAGGTAAATCAACTCATTGCTAAGTAAAATAGCCGGACAATACTATCGTTGTTACTGAGCTGCAGGTGTTTAAAGAGCTTAGTGAACTAAGGGGGAAACTTCCCAGAATCACATGGCAGGAATGCATGGTAGGGAAGGAAGCAAAGCTTGGTTAGTTGGTTAGGCAGGTGTTCAGAAAATTTAAAAGGGAAAATAAAAAATCTAAAATCCAAAGCAGGTACCCGATTAAGTTTTTATGGCCTTATTAGAAATAATAAAAGAACTAAGGTTAGAAACAGGAAGATGAAGTTATTTCTAAATAATCTTTTTTAGAATAATAAAGTGAAAGTTTTGGAGATAACCTCGCTCTGAAAATTTACAGTGTCCAGCTTACAGGGAACTTCAGTTATCTAAAAACAAACATACTGGCTATCAGCCTCAGAAATATTTATTAAATCCCTCCAGGGTCTGTGACAGAGTTCTATCCTTGATCCTGTCTTTCTTAAGCTTTCTTAATAGAATGGCAAGAAGTATTATTTGCAAGCATTTTTGACAATAGTAGTCCAGTAATATATACATATAAGTGATGCATTCATTGACATACTAAGCAAGTATAAGCCATTCTGTATCTATGATACTATACCTAGAAAAAAATTCTATATAATTTTTAATACATATATCAAAAGTGATATATATATATCACTTTTAGTGATAAAAGTCTCTAACTGGCATTATTAAGAAAACAATTGCCTAAAATTTTAAAAAGAAAACTATCAATGGATGTATTTTTGGTATGCTAATAATACCTTAATAAACATATTTAAAAACATGAGGGTGGCACAAAAAATAAAAGAAAAGCCTTGAAAAGAAATTAGGAAAAGAACAGAAAGGGATTTGTGAGCAGCAGCAATTAATGGCTCAAGTGAAAACTACTATGTTTTATAATTGTACCAAGAAAGCCATGCTGAGTAGAGAGAAGACAATCCGAGCAAAATGTTTTACTGGTCCAACACCTGACCTGCAATGAATTTATAGTTCATGGGTGAGTGTTACAGTGAGCATGATTTATTCTTCAAGGTATTAAAACCTGAAGAATTGTATTTAGTATTTAACTCTCCCACTATTCATCCACAAAGCCCTTTGATGAAATCGTGGCATTTTATCTTCTAGATAATCTTGTGTTCACTCTTGGCTGCTACTACCTAAGGGTCAAGGAGGGAAATCTCAAGTCTTGCTACCCGCCTTACCTTCCCTGGCAGGGCTCCCTTCTCCAGCCCCGACTGTCGCCGTCCAGCGTACAGAGGTGTTCAGATACACAGTTTAACCTTATAACTGTGCAGTGAATGCAGAGGCACCAGCTGTGTACTGTTGATGCACATGAGAAGCATACCTTTATTTTGCCTAGTTCCCTTTGCTCGATTAAAGGCTCTAGAAAAATCTTCCAGCACCTCCTGTTCCCAATTCCTGTTACTTTCTAGATTTCTCTATTAGGAGCCTCAAAGCTGTGGATGTTTGTTTGGTCCACCTCTTCCCACCCTTCCCCACAGACTCCCCCATTCCCTTCAGCATCCCTTTCTTACCCTCATCTCCTAGGAACCCAGGACCTTTACTGCTTGAGGCTCAGGTGAGCCTCAGTCCCTTCATTTTGTGGTCATCTCACATGTGTGGAAGGTGCCCAGCTGATTTGACTCCAGAGTTTTTTACCTCTTGCAGTCACCTCTCTCCAGAGTAAATTCCCGCAGTTTCTGTTCCTACTCCAGCCCTTTTATATGTTGTATTTGAGCCCCTTTCTGTTCTCCTGGTTTCATGTAACAGCTACCTTTCTTTTCTCATGCATACCCTATAGTTTTTCTCCTGTTTCTTTTTTTTTGAGACGGAGTCTCGCTCTGTCTCCCAGGCTGGAGTGCAGTGGCGCCATCTCGGCTCACTGCAAGCTCCGCCTCCCGGGTTCACGCCATTCTCCTGCCTCAGCCTCCCGAGTAGCTGGGACTACAGGCGCCCGCCACCACGCCTGGCTAATTTTCTGTATTTTTAGTACAGACGGGGTTTCACCGTGTTAGCCAGGATGGTCCCGATCTCCTGACCTCATGATCCACCCGCCTCGGCCTCCCAAAGAGCTGGGATTACAGGCGTGAGCCACCGCGCCCAGCCTCCTCTTTTTCTTAATCGTTATTCTATTCTCCTTTAAAACCACACACACCTTGCCCACGAGGAAGTCGTATTTTTCCCCTAGATGGGACATTTAAAAAAATATTGTTTTCCCATTCAGACACACAACAAACTTGCACGTTAAATTCATGATAAACTCTTAAATATTAAGAGTAACCCATTTCATTTTTATTATATTTTTAAAATACTGATGACTGTGCATTTATGTTTTCACAAAGAACACTCCAAACTCCCACTCTGGTTTGAGTGGAGTAAAGATTTTATTATGTTTTTAAATTTTATTTTTTGTTGAGAAGGAGCCTCATGATGTTGCTTAGGTTGGTCTCGAACTCTTGGCCTCAAGCAATCCTTTTGGCTTGGCCTCCCAAAATGCTATGATTACAGGCTTGAGTCACTGTGCCTGGCTGAGGGAAGGGGTTAATCTATGATAGCATTAGTTTTATCAAGTGTAAACTGTAGATTTGGGGGTGGGGGGGAACCTTAAGTAATGTTTTAAATTAATCAGCTTGATCAAATATTCCAAAACGTTGTTCATCACATTCACCCATAATGCATGGCTATTATGAAATTTCCTGTCATTCATGGTGATTTAATCAACTGTGACTTAATAGTTAAGTGTTTGTATGTACATTTTCTATCTTTTTAATGGATTAATGCTAAATATTTCAACATTTGGAAGGGTAACGCATAGGCATATCTAGCTTCTCTAGCCCACTCTGCAGCCCCAGTTTTCAATGCTTAATTCACTCAGTAAATATATATTGAGCATTTACTATGTTCTGAGCACTGCATTCACTACTAGGGATGCAGACATTAAAAATCCACTTCCTACCCTCAGGAGGGTTTCAATCCAATGTAGGAATAAAACTGTTACTTTGTGGGGCTTAGGTGTAACTTTAGAAAAGAAGAGTCAGTGTGCTCCAGGCAGAAGAACACGTGCAAAGGCACTGAGGCAGAGAGTGTGGTGCATTTAAGGAACTGCCAGTTCCTCTATTTCTTCTATGAGTATCTGACAAGTATTGGTGTTGAGGGTAAGAGGAAGAAAGTGTACCAGGGCCTTGAGGACAGTGATGAAGATTTAAGCTAACCACTGTGACTGTTTCTGGAAAACAGGAACCAGACCCTGCTAGAGACATGGCAAAGATTTTGCTGATAATTCTCACCCCATTGGCATCATGTCATCAGTCTGTGCAGTTCTGGAACTTCATTGACAGTGTGTGGTGGCCTGCATATAAGACTAGATAGAGGGGTTTTGCCAGATAGGCATGGAATAACTAAGAAATAAAATAGCTCTGTGTGTACATGTGTGTGTGTACTGAGAAGGTTTTGAAAGTCTGGTTCATGGAACTTAACTGAAGGCATGATGTCAAGAAAAAGGACTGATTAAGTAAAGGAAAAGCAAACAAAGATCATGAGACAAGATGAGGAATGCTAAAAGGATACAAGGTCCATATAGAAACTGAGATAAAGGTTCAAGATTCTGGAAGCACAGTGATAGTGACTTGGCCCAGCGTGTGTCCCTGGGAGTAGATGGGTGAAGTGGAGTGGAGACAAAGGTCCTGGAGTTGTGAGTTGAAATATTTAAGCTCTCCAGATGATGCAGGACAGACTCTTCTAGGATTGATAATTTCCACTGATGGCACTAGCTTTCTTGGCAAATGATGTGTGATTCCTTGAGCATCTACTGTGTATCAAACACTGCTCTAGGTGCTGGGAATCAGTTTCGGGAAAGAAAGACAAGGTCCTTGCTCTTATGGAATTTACAGTCTAGTGAAGGGGCAAGTCAAGCAAGGAATAAAAAATAATCACAAAATATTATGTGGACATACGTTCTGGTCAGAGTTTAGTGAAGTTTGATCATAAAATGGTCAGGAAAGGCTTCCAAAGAGGGGACAGCTATGCTAAGACCTAAAAGTTAAGAAAATCAAATTCAACAACCTTTGTTGTGGTGGTGGTTGACGTTGTTGTTGAGATCACCACGTGCCAAGCAATGTTCCAGGAACAGGGGATGCAAAGAGAGATAAAACAGAGACCCAGGGTTACACAAGTAAAATAGAGGTATCAATAAAATCCATTAAATCCAAAGGATTTCTCAGGACTCCAAAGATGGATTTGAACTTGTCGTTTTTCCCTTATTGATATGGTTTGGATGTTTGTCCCCTCCAAATCTTATGTGGAAATGTGATTCCCAGTGTTGGAGGTGGAGCCTGGTGGGAGGTGAATGGATCACGGGGACGGATCACTCATGAATAGTTTAGCACCATCTCTTTGGTGATGAGTGAGTTCTCACTCAGTCAGTTCACACAAGCGCTGGTTGTCCCTCACCCTTGCTCTTGCTCTTGCCATGTGATCCTTCTGCCCCCTTCCCCTTCCACCATGATTGTAAGCTTCCTGAGGCCCTCACCAGAAGCCAAGCAGATGTTGGTGCCTCGCTTGTACAGCCTGCAGAACAACGAGCTAATTAAATCTATTTTCTTTATAAATGACCCAGCTTCAGGTATTTCTTTATAGTGACACAAAAATGGCCTAACACACTAAGTAATATCAGACATTTTTATTTTAAATGGTACTTGCAAAATGATGTATAAAAATAATTACAACAAATATATTATTAGCAGTGAATGACCACTACTGAAGTGATATAGAAAATATAGTATTTTCTCATATGGAAGGTAAATGCAGTTGACCCTTTGATATAGTTTGGCTCTGTGTCCCCACCCAAATCTCATGTTGAATTGTAATTCCCAGTGTTAGGGGGTACCTGGTAGGAGGTGATTGAATCATGGGGGTGGATTTCCCCCTTGCTGTTCTCACGATAGTGAGTGAGTTCTCATGAGATCTGGTTGTTTAAAAGTGTGTAGCAATTCCCCTTTCACTCTCTTTCTCCTCTCCACCATGGTAAGATGTGCTTGCTTCTCCTTTGCCTCTTGCCATAATTGTAAGTTCCCTGAGGCCTCCCAGCCATGCTTCCTGTACAGCCTGTGGAACTGTGAGTCAATTAAACCTCTTTTCTTTATAAATTAGCCAGTCTCAGGTAGTTCTTTATAGCAGTGTGAGTATGGACTAATACATCATTGAACAATGCAGGAGTTAGGGGGACCAGGTCCTCCTACTCCCCCGAGCTACAGTCTAAAATCCAAGTATGACTTTTGACTCCCCAGAAACTTAACTACGAATAGCCTACTGTTAATTTGGAAGCCTTATCATTAGTATAAACCATTGGTTAACACGTTTTGTTATGTTACATGTATTATATATTATATTCTTTCAATAAAGTAAGTTAGAGAAGATATATTCACTATTCATTAAGTGCAAGTGGATCGTCACAAAGGTCTTCATTCTCATTGTCTTCACATTGAGTAAGCTGATGAGAAGGAAGAATAAAAGAGGGTTGGTCTTGCTGTCTCGGAGGGCAGAGGAAGAAGCAGAGGAGGTGGAAGGGGAGGCAGGCACACTCAGTGTAACTGTTTTTGAAAAAAAATCCAGGCCAGGCGCGGTGGTTCACGCCTGTAATCCCGGCACTTTGGGAGGCCGAGGCAGGCGGATTACAGGTCAGGAGATCGAGATCATCCTGGCTAACGCGGTGAAAACCTGTCTCTACTAAAAATACAAAAAAAAAAAAAAAAATTAGCCGGGCGTGGTGGCGTGCACCTGTAGTCCCAGCTGCTGGGGAGGCTGAGGCAGGAGAATGGCGTGAACCTGGGAGGCGGAGCTTGCAGTGAGCTCAGATTGCGCCACTGCACTCCAGCCTGGGTGACAGAGCAAGACTCCGTCTCAAAAAAAAAAAAAAGAAAAGAAAAAAAATCCACATATAAGTGGACCCACACAGTTCAATCCTATATTGTTCAACGATCAACAATATGTCCTTCTGTCTACACAGAAGGATTCCTTCTGTCTACACAGAAGGATTCCTTCTGTCTACACAGAAGGAATCCTTCTGTCTACACAGAAGGAAAATGTATATTAAATAATAAAAGTAATTTCCATTGCCCCAGATACTCTTAAAACTAATAACTCTCCTTTACTAACGATGTGATCATAAGGCACTAACAGGAAGACACTTAAAATTTAAAAAAATCGACTGCCGGCCAGGAGCAGTGGCTCACGCCTGTAATCCCAGCATTTTGGGAGGCCGAGGTGTGTGGATCACAAGGTCAGGAGATAGAGACCAGCCTGGCTAACACGGTGAAACCCTGTCTCTACTAAAAATACAAAAAACTAGCCGGGAGTGGTGGCACGCGCCTATAGTCCCAGCTACTTGGGAGGCTGAGGCAGGAGAATAGCTGGAACCTGGGAGGCGGGGTTTGCAGTGAGCCAAGATGGCGCCATGGCACTACAGCCTGGGCGACAGAGTGAGACTCCGTCTCAGAAGAAAAAAAAAAATCGACTGCCTTTGAACTATTTTTGTTGAAGAAAGAGGAATTACATCTTGAGGCTCCCCCATTTTTAAAACGTCATAAATTGAAAGACACTTTGTTTAAACTCCTAAGAGTTCTGTTACTGATAACAAGGAAATGTTGCAGGACGTTGGCAGAACCCAGTCTGTGTCCTCATAACCCCTTGTTTATCTGAAAGAATCAGAGACCAGTTATTTTGAAGTAATCATTCCCTTAAAATGCACTCAGTCTTAGAAATCATTTTAGATAACCAGACGTTTTCCAAGGGCTTAATGATAGATTTAAATATAAGGTGAGGTAACTCTAGATTACTTTAAAGAATGAAATAGGTTTAATCTCATTGCTGATGGAGAAGACATTTCTATACTGATCATAATATATTATCTGACAACCTCCAAATTTCTACAAACTAGTGGGGAAATAGCCTATCAAGTTAAAGGGACAACTTTGGCCATTATACTATGGCCTCTGAAGAATGGCAAGGGAGCTGTGGGGAGAAGAGAATGAGACTAGATTTTTTTTTTTTTTGAGATGGAGTCTTGCTCTGTTGCCCAGGCTGGAGTGCAATGGCATGATCTCAGCTTACTGCAACTTCTGCCTTCCAGGTTCAAACAATTCTCCTACCTCAGCCTCCCGAGTAGCTGGGATTACAGGTGTACGCCATTGTGTCCGGAATTGGTGGGTTCTTGGTCTCACTGACTTCAAGAATGAAGCCGTGGACCCTCGCGGTGAGTGTTACAGCTCTTAAGGTGGCGTGTCGGGAGTCTGTCCCTTCTGATGTTCAGATGTGTTTGGAGTTTCTTCCTTCTGGTGGGTTCGTGGTCTCGTTGGTTCAGAAGTGAAGCTGCAGACCTTCGCGGTGAGTGTTACAGCTCTTAAGGCAGCGCGTCTGGAGTTGTTCGTTTCTCCCGGTGGGCTCGTGGTCTCGCTGGGCTCAGGAGTGAAGCTGCAGATCTTTGCAGTGTTACAGCTCATAGCAGCTCATAAAAGCAGCGTGGACCCAAAGAGTGAGCAGTAGCAAAATTTATTGCAAAGAGCGAAAAACAACGCTTCCACAGTGTGGAAGGCAACCTGAGCGGGTTGCCAATGCTGGCTGGGGCATCCTGCTTTTATTCTCTTATCTGGCCCCACCCACATCCTGCTGATTGGTAGAGCCCAGTAGCCTGTTTTGTCAGGGCGCTGATTGGTGCCTTTACAATCCCTGAGCTAGATACAAAGGTTCTCCACGTCCCCATCAGATTAGTTAGATACAGAGTTTCCACACACAGGTTCTCCAAGGCCCCACCAGAGCAGCTAGATACAGAGTGTCGATTGGTGCATTCACAAACCTTGAGCTAAACATAGGGTGCTGATTGGTGTATTTACAAACCTTGAGCTAGATACAGAGTGCCGATTGGTGTATTTACAATCCCTGAGCTAGACATAAAGACTCTCCACATCCTCACCAGAGCAGCTAGATACAGAGTGTCGATTGGTGCACTCACAAACCTTGAGCTAAACACAGGATGCTGATTGGTGTATTTACAAACCTTGAGCTAGATTCAGAGTGTCGATTGGTGTATTCACAGTCCCTGAGCTAGACATAAAGACTCTCACCAGAGAGCAGATACAGACGTCCTCATCAGAGCAGCTAGATACAGAGTGTCGATTGGTGCACTCACAAACCTTGAGCTAAACACAGGGTGCTGATTGGTGTATTTACAATCCCTGAGCTAGATATAAAGACTCTCCACGTCCCCACCAGACTCAGGAGCCCAGCTGGCTTCATCTAGTGGATCCCACACCGGGGCTGCAGGTGGAGCTGCCTGCCAGTCCTGTGCCGTGCGCTTACATTCCTCAGCCCTTGGGTGGTCGATGGGACTGGGCACCGTGGAGCAGGGGGTGGTGCTCCTCGGGGAGGCTCGGGCTGCACAGGAGCCCATGGAGTGGGTGGGAGGCTCAGGCATGGCGGGCTGCATGTCCCGAGCCCTGCCCCATGGGAAGGCAGCTAAGGCCCGGCGAGAAATCGAGCGCAGCACTGGTGGGCTGGCACTGCTGGGGGACCCAGTACACCCTCCGCAGCCACTGGCCCGGGTGCTAAGTCCCTCATTGCCCGGGGCCAGCAGGGCTGGCTGGCTGCTCCGAGTGTGGGGCCCGCCAAGCCCACGCCCACCCGGAACTCCAGCTGGCCCGCAAGCGCCGCACGCAGCCCCGGTTCCCGCTCGTGCCTCTCCCTCCACACCTCCCTGCAAGCTGAGGGAGTGGGCTCCAGCCTTGGCCAGCCCAGAAAGGGGCTCCCACAGTGCAGTGGGGGGCTGAAGGGCTCCTCAAATGCCACCAAAGTGAGAGCCCAGGCAGGGGAGTTGCCGAGAGCAAGCGAGGGCTCTGAGGACTGCCAGCATGCTGTCACCTCTCACCAGCACACTCGGTTAATTTTTGTATTTTTAGTAGAGATGGGGTTTCATATGTTGGCCAGGCTGGTCTTGAACTCCTAACCTCAAGTGATCTACCCACCTCGGCCTCCCAAAGACTGGATTTAAAGATGGATGGTAAACATTTGAGTCTTGGTTCCGCAACTTATTAGCTGATGATCTTGATCAAATCATATAACTTTTCTGAATTTGTTTCCCTGCCTGTTTTGTTTTGTTTTTCTAAAGAGTAGCTGCTGACCTCATGTGCTTGTTATGTTAAATAATGCTTACAAGACGCATTATCCTGGGTAGTGCTAAACTAGAGCAAGGTCTTATTAATGATGAAATTCCTAAAGAAAATGCCATACCTACACAGATTAATTAACAAGGTGGGAGTTAGTACTGAGATATCTCCAGAAGATTTTCCTCTAGAATGTGGAACACATGCTGCCTGTCTTTAGAGATGCCAAAGGTTTGTTGAACACATATTTGTGGAATAAATATAATTGGAGTGGAGGGTTACCCCATGGAAGGTGACAAGGGTCCCAGCCCCTTTCAAGTGTCCACACCAGTAAACATACTTAATCAGCCTTGATTTATGTCAGCAGTTGGAGCACAACTAGGGCCACCAGGAGAAACCTGTGTCACTCTAGGAATACAGATCTTTGTTGAATAAATATCTTTTTATGCATGCAAGTAGGAAATGTACTTGCTCCATATGCAGATTTTCCCTAAACTTTCCTATTATTTACAATACCTTTCATTTTGATGACACTTTGAATTATAAAACACTCTCACATATAGTTTAAGTATGAGCAGGGTAGGTAGAACAAAGAGTTCTTTGCTGCATTTGACAGATAAGGAAGTCTATGTTTAGGGATATTAAATAGCTTCTATCTCTCCTACACCTTATCATTCCCAGAGCTAAGATGTGAATCCTATTCTCGTACCTCCCACATCCAGTGCTAGTTTATAATTCTCATGAGTGACTTCTTGCTGTTTAGCATGAGGCTATTCAGAATTTGGCTGGACTGGAATCTCATGAGAATTGCAGAAATGGTTTAGGCAAAATAGTAGCAACAACAACAATAGCAATTAAAATGTAATGCATGCTCATTATATGCCAGGCATCATTCTAAATATTTTGCATGTATTATTGCATTTGATCCTTGCCAAAAATCCTATGAGGGAAGCATTATTATAATCCCCATTTTATAGATGCTGAGGCTGAGGAACTCAGAAAATGGGTAACTTATGGAGATTACACAGCTAGTAGGTGCGGAGCCATGGTATGAACCTAGTTGGCTACCTCCTCTGTCTATGCCATCAGCCACTTCCCTGTACTGCCTATGGGAGCTGGGGACTGGGGCTTTCACTGCTCTTCAGATGATGTGTTCATTGACCTTAAGAAGCTCAGTAGCAATGGAAGAATGCTTCACAGTGTATGTTTGAGGTCTCAAACTACTCTATGTATACTAAGACAGTCATAACAAATTACCTAAATCGATATGCTAATGCGAGGTTGTGTGGTAAGCTAAATTACTTACTCAACCTTTATAAAACAGACAGTCTGAAGGATAGCACAAGTGATGTCAAGATGATTTCAATCACTGGAAACGTCTTCAATCCAATGGCCTGTGAATGCCATCAGAAATTTGTAAGACACTTACCCAACGTCTCCCATATGGTAATCATGGTCCCCCCAAAGTGTACATGAAAATATAGAAAGGAATTGTGATATTTGTAAAGTTGATGACCATGATATGACATTGAGCCTGAAGATTCAAAGCATTTACCAGTCTACATCAGGAAAATATGAAACACAGCCAAAGTTATTAATTGGCAATGCAGAGCTTACAGCTAACACTAAATTTTGCTTCCAAGAAAGTGTGGAGCCTGATGCTTTTTTAATTAACAGAACAAAACCCGAAAAGCAATCAAAATTGTTAGCATTCAAAGACTGGCAGATTCAGAGCATGGCAATGGGACACACAGATAGACCAATCAGGGCAGGCACAGATTGGTGACTGTGATCCAAGGACCCAGCTTGAAAAGTCAGCTTCTCCAGAACTTTCAGCAACACTTTTAAAATGAGGAAATAAGTAACATGAGATTGCATTTCACAATCTCCAACAGCATGTCCCTGAAATGGAGCGAAGGATACACCAAAGGAAGAGTTGCTACATCCCATCTCTCCTGGGAAAGGAACATGCTGCAGGGAGAGAGTTGCGAGAGCTCTTCACCCTTCTACCCTGCAGCAAAGGAAAATGGGTCTCCTCAAGGAAGGCATTTCCCCACAGCAAAGCTGCAAGCAACATGAAATAATGCACCATGACTATGGGTTCTTGGCAAAGGATTCCTGGCCTGGTACAGTTAGAAATTGGGCTCTATTCTCAAGCAAAGGGTTCCAACAAAAAAATACCGCAGCAAGCAGACCGTGGAATGTGCTTCTCCACTCTTCCATACGGGGTGATGGCACAGAATCAGAGTTGAACATGGGAGGGAAGTGGAAGGGATAAAAATGTAATGGAATTGCAGAGTTGTTGGCATTCAGATGTGTAGGTGGTGGGTGGCAAGTCCTGCTTATTGCCTGTGGTTGTGAGAGGCAATGGTGATGGGTCTTATTACATAGCAGTAAGAGAAGGAGAAAAAAATATATATCTTTTCATTTGTCAAAGTTATTTATCGCAGGATTATTTGTAATTTTAGAAATTTGGAGAAAAATATTCAAAATTGTGAAAGCTTTAAAATAAATTATAGTGTGTTTATCCCACAGAATTTTAGATATTCATTAAAAACTACATTTTAAAAGAAAATACATTGGAAAAATGCTCACAATCTACTGCTTAGTGAAAAAAAATGAAAAACTTGGTATAAAAATTCTTCCAAGTTTTTTTAATATGCAAGGAAAAAAATAAAAAGGAAAATTTTCAAATGTTATCAGCTCTCTTTTTGGTAATATTACAGGTACTTTTAATGTTTCTATTACAATTTTTGTGTTTAAAAAACTATAATTATCAGTATGTATATTTAAAATTAATAAATATTATATAAGAAAAGAGTGATAATTAATGAGAATGAAGCAATATCACCATAAGCATCCTTAAAATTTACACTTAGACTAAGGAGCAGATCCTAGTGGTAACCAGTCATTTAAAACTATAGGAATAGTCATTCAGTCAGTAAATGATCCTACTCCTACTATGTGCTGTTCACTGAAAAAGGTACAAGAGGTTGAGAAATAAAAGTTCTGTGCTAGTCCTACCTGGAGGAACTCAGGACTGCAGGGACAGCTGAGAAGAAACAGGTAAGGACACTGAACTCTGGCTCTTTGATAAGTGCTCCTCCGGCAGTATCCCCAAAGCATGGAAGAAACACAATGGAAGAGGAATCCATCCAGCCACTGGGATTTGTAGAAGGATTAAGGAGGAGGTGACATCTGAGTACATCTGAGTTGAATCTCGAAGGATGAGTGAAGAACAAAAAAATTAGGGTAAGGGCATTCAAGAACAGCTAATGTATAAAGACGTAGAGTGCAGTGAGACCAAGAGCTTTCAAATGGGACTCTTTTTATGCTGAAATTCAGGGAAGGGAAAGAGAAAACCTGAACTAAATCAGTTACTCAGGAGATAGAGAAGTGGGGGAAGATTGAAGCAGCATAGGATGTATGGAGGTGTTTCAGATGTCTTCTAGATTTCTCTCTCAGTCACTAGATGGGTGGTAGCACCAGGTGGCTCACATAGGAAATAGAGATGAAAGAGCAGGTTTGGAAGGAAAGTTTTGGAGATACCCATCCGGAAGGGAAACAATACATGGCCCTAGAGTAGAATCATTCATTTACTCTGCAAGTATTTACTGATCATAACTGTCTGGGACTGTTTTAGGCACTGAGGATGCACAAGCAAGTAAGACGGACAGGGCCTCAGCTCTTATGGAGCTCACAGTCTGCCTGGGAGACCAACCACAAACAAACAAACACAATGTCTGGAAGTGGAAGCGCTATAAGGAAAACTAAACTGGATGCCGTGAGAAGGAGCTATTTTGGTTGGGTGTCAGGGAAGGCTTCTTGAAAGGGCTCAGGATAGATTTGGGCTAGGACAGTAATGTAATTATAATAGTATTGTTGTTGGAAGCATAGGTTAAGTCTTTTCTATGTGCCAAATGGATTATTTCATTTAATCCACAATGCAATCGTCTAGGGAGGTACTACTGAGAGGCAGAAACATATGCAGAATCAAATGGGACACTGCCTTTAGCCACACTCTTAACCACATATACTTTCTATCTATAGCCTGTCAGGCCTTAAGAAGGACCATGTGAGGCCATCTGTGAAAAGGAGGAACCCAGGGGAGGGTGTCGCCTGACAGCCACGAGACAAGCCTGTGTCAGAGGAAGGAAATGGGCTACAGTGTCCAATGGTCCATGCACCCTGGAAAGGACAACAATAACTGGAACACGTTGTTAGATTTAGCAACCAGATGATTATTGGTGACCTTGGCAAGATCACGTTCATTGAGGAAGGGAGGAAGCCCAGATTGCAGTGTTGACAGGGAAAGACTTCTCTTCCCAGGGACACAGGGTAGAGGCAGTGGGCTTTAGGATGGCTGCTGTTATTTTAGTTTTGGTTTATTTAAAAGCAGGGTGAGACTGGAGGGTTGAGCCTGTGGAGAGGCAGAGATTGAGGGTATGTGAGGGAGAGGAAATAACCAATGTAGCAAAGTACCTGTAGGGACAAGAAGGGAAAGAAAGCCCAACACAGGTGAGGGACGTGGTCTCGGGCTGGAAGAGCAACACCTCTTCCGCTGCGATGGGAGGGAAGACAGTAAGCAAGAAGGTAGGTAGGGCTAGGGGGTTACCTGAGTTCTTTTCTCCTAATAGGTGATATTTTCATCTGGTGAAGGCCCCACAGGGGATGCTACCTAAGGTTCAACTTTGAAACAGATCTTGGGGAGAATGAGAGCGGATGCTGTACAGATTACTCCAAGTAGCCCTGAGGTTCCTGTTGAGGTTGGAACACTTGGCATTTGTGGCGGCTCCATCTGCACAGCTGTGTGGTTTCTTCCAACAGGGCCAGCAGCCGGGGCTGGCAGAGAGCTGGGCCATGCTGGGTGGCACACACTGCTCAGCCGGCACCTGTTCCAGGCAGATCATTTCCGTCTTTCATCTGGCTTCTCTTGGACAGTCCTCAATTCATGGGCCATCCAACAGCCAGAACTAAACAAATGTGCAATTCCAGAATTTAGTCTTCAAATTAGTCATTTAAGGAAAACTCCTAATCAATGGCATCTGAATATAAAATATGTGCTAGAATAGAAAGTAGTAGGGGCCCACGCTCTTGAGAGCTAAATGATCACTGAAATAGCTTGAATGGTTATGTTCTGTTCCCGTGTATATAATGTTAAAACTATTGCGTCTGTTTGATTCAACAAGAGGTCCCTTCTAAAAGTCAAGTATACAGCTTTCCTGGGAATGTAATTGATAAACATTTTGTTGTTACACTGTATAGCAGCCACTTTAAGACAACAGGAGTCTTGTTCTTTGCAGAGCATTTTGTTACCTCTGCATGCATACAAAGCAGAGGATGGAATCAAAAGGGTATTTGGCTTGTGTCCAGAAAGCAATCTGGATTAGTCTATATAACCGGCTGTCACAGTTTCAAGTCCGTTTCTGATCCGTGACTTATTGCTTCATAACTGACTATTTCAAAGATTTACCAGGATTCTACAAAAAAAGTATCTCATTACTTTCTAGCTCATTCTGAGGTATGTTTCACTAGTTAACATTTTTAAATATTTAAAGTAACAAAATAAGACAATAAAGACTATTTCTTACCATCATCCCTGTCATTCCCATTTTCTACCAACAAGATAAACTGATGGAGGGAATATTTACTAGAAGTGTAGCAGAAGTGTAGAGGGAATACTTTAGGTAGAGGTTAGTTTGCATTCCCTAAGTCAGTAGCAATTTATATAATAGAGGAAGGACTGAATACTTTTAATTTTCAAACTTCCTGTGGAGCACCTGGAATTAAAATGAATATCTGATTAAATTTTGGTTCTTATGTGGCAGCTTGGTACAAAGACATTTAAAAAGAAATGAGATTCAAGCAATTTTGCAGATTCAATAATTCAGAAATTCCTTTTGAAAAATTTGTTCCCCTCCCCAAACCTGAGGTGTAAGGCATTAATCACATCTCTGAATTAGTTAAATGTTGTCACAGTTACTTTCTTGGAAGACCTCAAAGCACTTCAGAAACAAAACTTTGTGAACTGCAGGACACCCCGAGGCCTGAGACAGTATTGTCTTCTCCTTATGAATGAGTTGAAGTCCAGGAAGTGGGCTTGGACTTCAGTGATGATGTATTTCTTAAAGAGCCAATACATTTCCTTCTTTCCTTCAGGAATCAGAGTTAATTTCTAACTACAAGCCTACTTTACGTTTTTGGCTAAAATACCTTAAAATTCTTCTATTTTCATATTTCACTTCTTCATAATACGTACTTCTTTCACTGCATACAGATTGTAATGCTTTCTCAAAGTATGTAAATCTATTTTAGGTAGGTTCCTTATGGTTTGACCTGAATATTTTAAAGTTATTTTTCTCCTCATAATGGCTATGCAATGGAAATAATATTTTGACACTTCAAACCGTATTAATTTAATTGTAGTTTGCAGCCAGATAATTATTTCATTGAAGAAATCAGGAAGGATTAACATAATGTTCAGATCACCAATATTGAACATCAAAAGAATGTCAACCTAACCGAGTAGCTGACTTCAAGTAACTTGAATTTAGGGAAACTGGGATGAGTTATGCTCTCACTGTGGCATATATAAATTTTTGTTGTTGTTGTTGTAGTTGTGAAGGTGGTAGTTTCTGAAACTGAAAAATAAAGGAAAGTATCAAGAAATAGGAGGAGTATGGTCCAGCCCCTGATTTCTGGGTAAAACTGGAAAAGAAGCTGGAAGCTCCTTGAGTGGGGGGCCGTGGGGACCAGGCTGTCAGGTTGGGCGAGGGAGGGAAGGGGAAGCGCGCTCCTGGAAGGAGTGGGGCGCGAGGCAGCCAGGGGGAGGGCAGGGGAGGGAGGGGAGTGGAGGAGCGCCCAACGGAGGGGAGGAGGGGAGGAGAAGGAAAGTGGGAAAGGAGTAGAGGAGTTGGCGAGCGCAGAGGTTAATAACCTAGCGCGGCGTTTCTGGTGGCCAGGCATCCCGGTCCTCGCGCGTGGCGCAGCCTCCCAGCGCCGGACCGACCCATGTCGCGCCCGCATTGGGTCCCGGGACCCCGGCGGGAGTGCCGCGTCCGTCCTTTCCAGTCGCCGGGAGTCTGAGTCGCGGGCCACGCGGGAGTGGCGGTGGAGAGCCCGCCGGTCGTTATGAGGACGGATCTAAAATGACCAGCAAACGGAAACCTTGCCAAACGCAGCTCAGGAGATCCATCAGTGAGCAGTTGCGGGACTCCACGGCCAGAGCCTGGGATCTGCTGTGGAAGAACGTCCGGGAGAGGCGGCTGGCAGGTCAGTGCCCCGGAGACGCCGCGACCCACGGGGGCGGGGGAGGCGCCGGCCCCGTAGCCCGCCCGGGCCCGCCGCCCTCCTCTGCTCTGGGCTCCAGGGCATGAGTTTCAGAGCCCAAGGCCGGGGCGAGCGGGCTGCGGGCACCACCCTCCCTGGGCCGGGCCCCGAGCGCCCTCCCGCCGCGCCTCCCGGTGGGTGTGGGCTCCGTGCCGGACGCGCGCGCTGACAGCCAGGCCTGGTGCTCCATGCTGGCGGGCCGCGGGACGGGTTACCTGGAGGGGCTGCCCCCGGGCGGCCTTTTAGCCTAGGCTGTCCCCTGCTCCGCTGCCATCCCATTCCACCCCAGTGAATAAGTGCCCAGACCAAGTGGCCCTTCGCGAGGGCTGCCCCTTCCCAACTTCGCCTTCTCCACGTGGGACACATCCACTGAATGCGCGGGAGGGAGAGTGAATGCAAGGCAAGGAGCACGTCCGAAGCGCCGCAGACCAGCCACTCGGGGGTAGAGGGGGGGATGTGACGGGAGACAGGTGGACGGTAGTTGGTGCAGGTAGCTGGCTGGCTGTCCGCAGGCCCTGCCAGCTGTGAAAGCAGGCTTTCCTCCCTTTGAGGTTGCAAGGAAAGGCCTCCCTTTGGGACTCCATTGTCCACGAACCACAGCAAGAGAGGAAGTGATTGTTTTGAGCCAGGAGGTCCTTAAGAATCCTTGCGTGGATCAGAAGGCCGCCCCCTCCTTAGTACCTCTCCCAGTGTCACACTGCCCCTTGCTGCTTCTGTGCATGCTCCATGGAGCCCTCTTTCTGTAGGGCCAAGGATGCAGTGGGCGGTCCAGCCATCTCAGAGCCTTCACTGGGAGCTTTAGGACACTTTAGTCACTGCCTCATGCCTGCCCCAATAAGGGAACGTGGCCAGACTCCACAGCACAGTTCCTGGGCAGTGCAGGGTTTAGGACCCCATTCACCAACATGTTGGCTGCTGGAAGATGCTTCGGGGACTGGGGGAAGCATGATTGGAAGGGCCCCTGAGGTGACCCTGAGGCAAGTCTCTGGACCTTGTTGCCTCTGTGTCCTCTCCAGGACTATCTCTTGAGCTGGGCAGTGACCACCACATGGGGCAGAAGAAAGTTCTAGAGAAGAAGGTCTGATGCCTAGAAAGAAGGAAAGGACACCACTGGTGAAGCGGGAGATTTAACCTTCTTTGAACTCCTCCCTTTTTTCCTTACTTGAACTGTAAAGCAAGTGGTTTGCTAGGTGTTCTGCCCTTAAACCCATGCACCCACATCCTCATCAGCCTGAAAGCATTCTGGGGAAGATGCCCAGAATCTATAGCACCTTGAGAGAAGGTCACTAGCAAGCTAAATTAGAAGTGGAGATTATGGATGATTCCAACACTCAATGTTGTAAGCATACAATGTTCATTCCACATTTTCTCTCCAACACAGTGGCCACATTTAGTGTGCACCTAAGAAATAAACAGACTTTTTTGGTTTGGACCCAGAAATAAATTGTGGTAACCCAGCAGTTTTGACTGTTGATGTTTAAAAACCTGTACATGCACTGTAGACCTCAATTAATAACAATTAGTAACTTTCCCTGTTATCATGCTAAATTGTATATTCTACATGATGGATGGTGTTAGAGAAATTTTTGTGGTCTAGTAAACTTTTGTTGCTTCATAACTTCAGAATGCTTACTGCAAATGTTTCTTTCATAGCTTCTGTTATTTACGTTTGTTAGTTTGTTAAATCAATGGGTCCTCAGGAAACAAGAAGTCATTCCAGGAGGCCTGCCAAGGCTGTGCTGGGTTTTTATAGAACCTGAGACCGAAGATGACTGCAGCTCTGTCTTTTTCAAGAAGAGATCTGGGAAGGAAGAGAGTGTCATGTAAAGATTTTAAGCTATTAAGATTGTCCAAGAAAGTCATATTCACATGAATTTTACATTGCAGTTAAGGTGGTGAAGGGAAAAAGTTTTAATCCTGGGAAATAAACTGTAGATAGAGACTTTAAGATCGTGAATATATAGAAAGCTAAAAGTGGTTTCAGAATGGGAACTATAAGAGTGCTCTCAAGAGTAGTGCAATTATTTTTTAAAATAGCGGTATGAGGTTTGAAAATGTTTAATCAGAATATTAATATCTGCTTACCCATAATCTGCTTACCACTCTGCTCACAGTGGATGCCAGCAGGTTATTCAGCTGGGACCAAACAATCCTCTGTGAGGCCGACTTCAACTTCTCCTTCTCTAAGCAAGCTGGGATGCCTGCCACAAAACCAGGCCAACTCCGTGAAGGCGCTTTTAGATGCAAATTGATTTTCTTGGATTTTCTTGCTAAGGTAGCTAAAATATGGAACTTTGGCCATGAGACACTGAAATACTTAAGTTATTAATGTTGGCATCAATTCTAGGTGAAAATGTTCTTCATTTGTAAAAGTGTTCTTTGTATGGTTCAGTTCACAGTACCAGAATAACCAACCACAGCACGCATCACTTTACAATGAGGATATAGTCTAAGAAATGCATTGTTAGGTGATTTCATTGGTTGAGTGAATCAAGTGTAAATCATAGAATGTATTTACACAAACCTGGATGGTATAGCCTACTACACACCTAGGCTATATGGTATGGCCTATTTCTCCTAGGTTACAAACCTCTAGAGCATATTACTATACTAAATACTGTAGGCAATTGTAACACAATGGCAAGTATTTGTGTCTCTAAACACATCTAAAAGGAAAGGGTACAGCAGTCAGGCGTGGTGGCTCATGCCTGTAATCTCAGCACTTTGGGAGGTCAAGGCGGGCAGATCACTTGAGGACAGGAGTTTGAGACCAGCCTGGCCAACATAGTGAAACCCCATCTCTACTAAAACAAACAAACAAACAAAAAAATTAGCCAGGTGTGGTGGCACACATGTGTAATCCAAGCTACATGGGAGGCTGAGGCATGAGAATCATTTGAACCCAGGAGGCAGAGGTTACAGTGAGCCAAGATTGTGCCACTGCACTCCAGCCTAGGTAATAGAGCGAGACTCTGTCTCAAAAAAAGAAATAGAAAGGGTATGCTAAAAACACGGCATTGTAAGCTTATGGGACCACTGTCATATATGCAGTCCAGTTCATCATTGACTGAAACGTTGCGTGGTGTATAACTGTATATGAATACGCCCCAAGAGGGCATCTGTTCTGTCAACAGATGATATTAGGCTATTGACTTATTTTCTGTCTTGCTTTTATATCTGTTTTTATCAAGTAAGCTTAGTGCTGGAACTTCTTTAACTTGCCTAAAATTTTCTTCTTACTATACTTAGTCAATGGAACAGTGTTCAAAGTGCTTTATAATTAACTTGTATTTGTGGCCAGGTGCAGCGGCTCATGCCTGTAATCCTACTACTTTGGGAGGCTGAGGCAGGTGGATCACCTGCGGTCGGAAGTTCAAGACAGCCTGGCCAACATAGTGAAACCCCATCTCTACTAAAAAAAAAAAATACAAAAAAATTAGCCTGTCATGGTGGCATGCACCTGTAGTCCCAGCTACTCAGGAGGCTGAGGCAGGAGAATTGCTTGAACCTGGGAGGCGGAGGTTGCAGTGAGCTGAGATTGCACCACTGCACCCCAGCCTAGGTGACAGAGCAAGACTCCATCTCAAAAAAAATAAAAAATAAATAAATAAATAAATAAACAAACAAACCTGTATTTGCTATCTAGGGCATTCTGAAGGTATTTGATTCTTCCTTTTGCTTTTTTCCATCCCAAGGAAGGAAATCCTTTTTCTAACTCACTCTTATTTCTCTTCATGAAAAGCTGTCTTGTCAACTGAACAGATAGACAAAAAGAAGTAGAGCTATTTAAGCATATTAAAGCCTATGGGTTTCTGTGCCATGTGACCATATTTAGGAAGGAGGGGATCATACATACTTGAAAAATGCCAAACCAAACCGAACTAAACCAGTTATTATCCTAGAGTTTCTGGGGCCTGGGGAGTTTAGCTGGGTGGTTTTGTCTTAGGGTATCTCATAAGATGGCCTTCAAGCTGTCAGCTGGGGTGGCAGTCATCTGAAGGCTTGACTGGGTCTGATGGATCTGCTTCCAAGCTCGCTCACCTAGTTGTTGGCAGGCCTTGGTTTCTCTCTGGCTGTTGGCTGGCAGCTTCAATTTCTTGCCCTGTGTGCCTGACACACAATATGGCAGAGATCTGAGAGAAGAGAGCATGCACTCAAGACAGAAATTGCAGTGTTTGTAACCTGATCTCAGAAGTGACATATCATGTGGGAGGGAACTGACTACATACGAAGTGGCTACCAGGAGGTGGGGATGACTGAGGGCCAAACTGGAGGCTGGATACCACAGGTACAAAAGCATTTAAGATTGTCCTTAGCACATGCCAGGTCAAATCTGAAATCTTCCTAACAAGGAAGCCCCAAAGCAAGACCTTTTTTTTTCTGCTTGAACAAATAGCCTGGGAAAAGCATTTCTTAACGTAGGTCACAGTGACACAAATAATGAAACCAATGGAAAGATAAGATATGAATGATGTTCAAATATATTCACTTCATTGCAAAAATATGAAAAGGAGTTATTGTTAAAGAAGAACTTATATTGGGAGCTCTTATTGGGCTTTCCAATTCCGTGGCAGTTGCTAAATTTCCACTAGATTGTGGAATTGTTGTCCATGCATACTTCTTAATTTTCTAAAATTATGCTCCTCATGGGGCCCAGCAAGTTTTTCTCACTGTCATCTCAGTATCCATTATTACAATAATGATGGTAATTGTTTAGTTGTTAGTGTTCAAAGCAGGATTCAAATTCAGGTCATCAGAAGTCAAAAGCCATCTGTGCCTATTTCCTATTGTACCACATGGCCTCCTCCCTGGACTTTGTGGAGACCTGTGGACCACCAAATCCTTTCTAAGACCCTCTGTCACTTGCAGTTCAATTACAAAAGAACAACAAAAAGAACTGGAAAAGTACTCTTTCTTCCCTCCTGGAGTAACAAGAATAACCCTGTGCACCTAAAGTAGCTTGTCCCCTAATCATCCCATTGCACTCTTTAGTGTATGGGCTTATAGGGATTTGAAACAAACAAACAGCCATACATCTAGCTTGTCAGGGCCCCTCTGTGGTTCATTCTGCCCACAACCATTGGGAGAGCTACAAGAATGAGATGCTGTTGTAAACCCTACATGCACAGCAGGTTTCTTCAAGGTGGGAGAGTGACAGGTTATTTTGGCTTCCCCAGTTCCCTAATCAACCACTGCTGGTGACAATTCTAAACTTTTATGGCATCATTAAATTCTTTAGGCAGAAGCATACCCGTTAGCTTTTGGTGTTTGTAAGCAGCTTGAATTACTTTTTAGCTGTTAAAGTCTAAGAACATTCAAATGACTTTCCTAAAGCTTTCTGATTCTCTGCTTTAAAACCCTACTCTATTTTAATGGAAATGTAATCCATATGTTTGATTCCATTATACTCATATAACAATATTTAGGTAGCCTGTGAGCTAATTGATGTCTAAGTCTTTTGATCTTCTTTATAGTCTCATTTTAAATCATTTATCATAGACACAGGAAGTTATATTGCTGCCAAAAATATTCTGACTTAAAACAGTGAAAAGTTCAAGTTTTGTTAGAAACATTAATTCCACCAAATTTCCGTGAGTTCTTGTCATGTTAAAACAGGTTCATTCATTCTCAAAGTCAACAGTAGCATCCTGTGAAGTGATATAAACACAAGATTGGGACTTCAATGCAAAGCAAGATCAAGAATAAAACATGAGCCACAAAAACTTCCTCTTAACATCTAAATGTGTTCTATAATATCAAAAGTACAGGATGATACTCAACTATTCTTTTCATGTATTTTATATCCGTTTTATCATCACTTTTCTGTGTAGAATTGACCATTCTATTCTGTCAGCATTTTTTGTTTGTTTTTTAAACATCTTTTGAGATGATACTACGTTTAGATGCTATTTATATTAACAATAACAAAAAAATCTAAGTCAAGAAAATATACAATTAAAATTAGAAAAGAAGAGCACATCACTTATATCAGGGTTGTCAACTTTAGCCACATAGACTCATTTGGAGCCTTTCAGAAGTACTAATTCTCTGACCTCCTCCCGGAGATTCTGATTCAATTCAGATGGGGTCTTGGTATCCATATTTTTAAAAGCCCTGCAGAAGATTTCACTGTGCAGTCCAGGTTGAGAACCACTGACTTACCTTAATTCCCACATAATAACTTGCAGAATTCTGGGGCGAATACAGGGTTATATTCTAAGCCCTAAGAAAAGTTTTGCTTAATTGAGGTCAGAAGGAACTTGTCCTATCACAGGGACAGAAAAAAAAAGATCAGTCGTGCCTGGAGAATAATGAAATAGGTGGTAAGAGTGGATGTCAGAAGTGTAGACAGAGGGTCAGGTTATAAGATAAAGTTAGGCTTTGTTGGCAGGAAAAGAAGTTTTGATTTGGTTCTACAGGAGATAAGAACAAAGGGCTTCAAGCAGAGGAGTGACAAGACCTGAATAAATTACTACCAGTGATGGTCTAGGTGAGAGATAAACAGTGACATGGACTAGGGTGATAGTGATAGAAATGGAGAGAAAGGAACAGATTTGGAGTGTGTCTTGAAATAGAGACAATAACAGGTTGGTTGTTGGAAGCTAGGGAGAGGGACTACTAGATTTGTAGATTTGTTTTTTTTTTTTTTTTTTTTAAGACAGGGTCTCAATCTGTTGCCCAGTCTGGAGTACGGTGATGGAATCATGGCTCAGTGCAGCCTCAACCTTGAAGACTCAAGCGTCCTCCCACATCAGCCTTCCGAGTAGCTGGGACTACAGGCTTGCGTCACCACTCCTGGCTAATTTTTGCATTTTTGTAGAGATGGGGTTTCTTCATGTTGCCCAGACCAGTCTGGTCTCAAACTCCTGGGCTCAAACAATGTTCCCACCTCCACCTCCCAAGGTGCTGGGATGATAGGCATGAGCCACCGAGCCCAGCCAGATTTTTTTTTTTAATTAATAATTTTTTTTAATTTTACTATTATTATACTTTAAGTTTTAGGGTTTTGATCTGAGCAGCTAAGTGGAGTGTAGCAATGTTGGCCAAGATGAGGATAACTGGCAGATTTGCATGGGAGAGAAAAAGGACTCAAAGGTTCTCTGTTGGCTCCATTAGCTTTGGAATGCCTACTAGACATCCAAAAGTAAAAGTCAAGGAATTGGATGCATAAGTATCGGCTTTGTAGGAAAGTCAGAGCCAGAGATATAATGTGGGAATTATTGGCATATGACTACTTTATAAAACTTGGGAACTGGGTGGAGCTACTTAGAAGAGATTGCAGATAAGGGGAAGGGGCCAAGGGCCAAGTCCTGGGGGGCTCTTTGGTTAGAGTGCAATATTTGGACATAAATATGTCCATATGCAAGTACTATTAGTACATACGCACGTACTAAATTTTCAGGAAAATAGAAAGAGAGCAACATTATTTCTAAATTCAACATTCTTCTATCACAATAGTACTGCTATATTACATAATCTTTTGTGATAGAGTTACAAATTTGGTCCTAGAACTGTTGATGGACAAAAATAATCATTGATGGGCATGGTGGCTCGTGCCTCTGTGCTCCCAGCTACTCAGGAGGCTGAGGCGGGAAGATAGCTCTTGCCCAGGAATTCAAAGATTCAGTAAGCTATGATCATGCGACTGCCCTTCAGCCTGGGTGGCACAGTGAGACCCCATGTCTTAAAAAAAAAAAAACAAACTATAAAAAAACCCTCACTGATCAAATGCCTTTTTAATTTAAAAATTATATTGCAAAGTAAAAAAGCAAACAAACTTTTTTTAAGGAAAATACTTCTCAAGTTGCCTGCATATGCACAAAAAAGAAAAACACAGTTTATTAAATAAAAAATGTTTTTAGCATGAGCACTCCTCTGGTTACTATAACTGGTTGGGCCTACGTATAATGGGATAAGAGCTTTACTTTTGGCAGGACTTGGCCAGTGTCCTGATACCCAGGAATAGTCTGATCAAACAAAGCTTAGCTCTTAGGAAAGGCTGTGCATATTGATTTTTCCAATATAGCATCCATTTACTGACCTTTAAGGGTTATGCTTTGCCTCTGACACCACTGGTTAAGGTAAAATTTTTCAGAGCATATAAATAGATAACCAATGTCTTAAATGTTTGTATTTGTGGCCTGGCAGAGTGGCTTATGCCTGTAATCCCAGCACTTAGGGAAGCTGTCCGTGGCGGGCAGATCCCTTGAGGTCAAGAGTTTAAGACCAGCCTGGCCAACATGGTGAAACCTCGTATCTACTAAAAATACAAAAATTAGCCGGGTATGGTGGGGATATGCCTGTAATTCCAGCTACTCCAGAGGCTGAGGCAGGGGAATCACTTGAACCCAAGAGGAGGAGGTTGCAGTGAGCTGAGATTGTACCAGTGCACTCCAGCCTGGGCCACAGAGCTTCCATCTCAAAAAAAAAAAAAGTTTGCATTTGTAAAGGGTGTAACTTAACCTTGGCCTAACCTATCTGCAATATGCTGGCCCACCCTGGGGGGCAATACAGCGTCCTCCTTGAATTGGAAAAAAGAAAGACCATATTCATTAATTGCTGGTGGCTGCTCTGAATAAGAGGCACAAGCCCAGCTGGTTCGCTGAAATTTCTTTTTTTCTTCTTCTTTTTTTTTTTTTTTGGAGACGGAGTCTCGCTCTGTCGCCCAGGCTGGAGTGCAGTGGCACGATCTTGACTCACTGCAACCTCCACCTCCCGAGTTGAAGCCACCACACCCGGCTAATTTTTTTGTATTTTTAGTAGAGACAGGATTTCACCATGTTAGCGAGGTTGGTCTTGATATCCTGACCTTGTGATCCGCCCACCTCGGCCTCTCAAAGTGCTGGGATTACAGGCTTGAGGCACCGCGCCATGCCGTTCACGGAAATTTCTTGAGAGGACCGCAGAATATGATTTTTTGTAAGCCACCAACTTGATCATTTAGACATAGAGCATGTCTAATGAAATTAATATCTACTTCTCTTTTGTGCTTTTTACATCTTATGTTGAACAAAGCACATATGGAGAAAATTTTGCTTTAAGACTTTGTGAAGTTTCCTAGGGGTTTATCCAACAGTATATTTCTATTCTGTCCTTTTGCAAGTTTAGCAAGCTTGTAAAATTAAAATAAAAGTGGTTTTAAAAGTCTTACAACATTTCTGGGCTTTTTTCAGAGTCCTTGAATGTTTAGTCCTAAAAGAGTTGAGTTGAAGGACAAACATTTTTGTCACGTTTGTAGTTAGTCCATAAGTATTTATTGAGCCATGAAATAGCATCCTTGTCAAAGCATGTTGGGACAGTAGTGCAGGATATTAATTCAGTACCATGGCTGTATCTTGGTGAGGCACATAAATTTTACTATGCTGCCCAAATCACTTAACTCATCTATCTGACCAGAAATGAAGCAAGCTTCCAGAAATTGCACAAGAGCAGTATAGAATGTAGCATGACTACACAATATTTTATTTGCAAATCTGCTGTGTCAAGACATCTTACACTCTCAGGCAGTATCTTTCTTTAGTAACATTTTTCTCCAAAATAAAATTTTCAGAATCTTATGTTTCTGGTTTTTTGTACAATAGAGGCTTCATTATCTATAGTGCATCATGGCATATTGTGTTTGTTGAATGCTCCTTTCTCCTTCCTATATAGGAAATTCAATGAACAAGAGAGACAATTATGCAATCCATAAAAATTCATACATTTGCTTGCAATGATATTAAACTGGAAGGTCTTATGCTTCTTATTCTCTCTGCATCTGGATAAAATGGAAACATTTCAAATTTCTTGAAGCATCTTTGAAAGTGTTTTTCCACACTGGGAAACAGGGAGACACAGTCTCTACAAAAGATAAAGAAAATTAGCTGAACATGGTGTCACGTGCCTGTCCTAGCTACTCCTACTTGGGAGGCTGAGGTGGGAGGATTGTTTGAGCCCTGGAAGTTGAGGCTGCAGTGAGCCATGATTGCACCACTGCACTCCAACTTGGGTGACAGTGTGAGAACCTATCTCAAAAAAGAAGTGTTTTTCCATTGGAAATAAATATTTATTATTAGAAGAACAATCTAAAAGTATGAATGTTTGAATATCATAAAAAGCGTAACAAATTATGCTAATCTACCCCTTTGTGGGAGCATACATGTTGTCACAATGACACTACAAAGATGGCAAGATAGTGCTTCCCTCCCTTACCTGATGTTGAGTTGTATTCATCACAGAAATCTTAACAACCAACTAGAAAACAATGATGGATTGCACCTTTCCTGGCCACAAGGTGTTGTCCTCATAGTCTTGGTAATAAATAGTATTTTCCTTTTTTTTTTTTCTTTGAGACAGAGTCTCGCTGGTCTTGAACTCCTGACTTCGTGATCCACCTGCCTTGGCCTCCCAAAGTGCTGGGATTACAGGCATGAGCCACCGTGCCCAGCCATTGTGTCTTTCTTTTAGTGCCAAGAAAAGATTTCCTAAGCAGTAGATATAAAAGAGAACTTATTGTTACAATGAACATAAGTCAAAAAAGCTTTTGCATATTTCAAGTATTATCTTATAGAAGGTTTTATTCTTTCTAGACAGAAAGAAGAGAGGCTTTGTGCTAAGTGTTTGATTTCTAGCTCTTAGATCTAAAACAAAGCAATGACAAATGAAAAGTGTATGTGTAGCCTTTAGAGTAGCACCATAAAGGTGGGAAAGGGGTGGAAGCTATTTGGGATATCATACATATAAAATCAAAACCCATCAAAAAATGGGTATTAACATCTGTGAAGTTAGCATCAGTTTAGTCATATGGTGACATAAATATTTGTCACAACTACAGTGCTAGAAGCATAGATTGTACAGTGTCTTAAATGCATGTCCTTTAACTTTTGGTACCTATAGCTGTGTAGTAGAGGGTAGCGTTGGTGGTATTAGGGCATGATGGAAGATGACTGGCACAGCATCACGATCTAGTGGTTAAGAACAGCTACTGGAGTCAAAGCTACATGAGTTTGAATCCTGCCTCCACCAGTTAAACCAGTGGGCCCTTGGGCAAGATAATTAATCTCAATGTTTGTCAGTTTCTTCATCTTTAAAGAGGAGGATAAGCATAGTACTTACCTTAGAGGGTTGTTATGAGGATTAAATGAGTTAATATTTGCAAAGAACTTAGCACAGTGTCTGGCCCATAATAAACCCTATGTAAGGGATTATTGAAGACAACATACATATAAGTAGGGAATAGAGGAGCAGAGGCATGTGTTCCTGATAAAGGAGATCCTTTAACCCCCACCCGAAACCACCCATTTCCTTCACTTCTAGATTCATATGCTTTGTTCCTGTATCTTTCTTTCTTTTTTTTTTTTTTTTTTTTTGAGACGGAGTCTCGTTCTGTCGCCCAGGCTGGAGTGCAGTGCCGCGATCTCAGCTCACTGCAAGCTCTGCCTCCCGGGTTCAAACAATTCTCCTGCCTCAGCATCCCTGAGTAGCTGGGACTACAGGCACATGCCACCACGCCTGGCTAATTTTTTGTATTTTTAGTAGAGACAGGGTTTCACCATGTTAGCCAGGATGGTCTCGATCTCCTATATCTTATAAACTCATTCTAGATCCCATGTCCAGGGAATTCCAAGAACTAAGACATTCAGCTCACTCTCCTTGCTCTGACTGGGATTTTTTAAAAAATCAAATGCTAAATATATTGTTAGCATGGCTGGCAGCATCTCGTATCGATCCATTAGTGTTATATCATGAATCTTTCATTATACTAACATTTTGTCTTTCTGAAAGACTGTCAACTATGATTTCATCATCAAAATCACCATCAGCTGTAGAGCTATGCAAATGAGAATTCATCTGCATGCTTTTGGCCTAAATGGAATTTGATGGAGACCTAATTAAAATGAGAGAAATTGGACTAGATAATCTCTAAGGTCCCATTTAACTTTAAAGATCAATGAGTCCGTAAAACTAGACCGTGAGTCTAAAAGAACCTTAATGTCCTCAGTCTTTTAGTACCTTTTCTGTCTGGATTTCATGGGTTGGTCTGATAGTTGAGAGAAAGGGCAGAAGCCCATAAGTGTACCCTAGGAAACCTACCAGTGTCACTCCCATGAAGCTTTGGCTACTTAGCAACTTATACCAGCAACTTATAACTGGTACCTTCTGCTATTGGAACTACATCTACCAGAATTGAAGAAGGGACAAGAGGGGACAAGTCAGGAGTCCGGAGCCTGCAAACTCCTCTAAGATCTCAACAGTCTTTGCACTACACCCCGGCAGGGCTGACTGCAGGGTCATGTGACCTCTGCAGTCACACAGGGCCCCATGCATAGAAGGGCCCCTCATTTGGTTTAATGTTCTGCTGTTACCATCTTGAAATTCCTAATAATTATTGAATGGAAGGCCCACATTTTCATTCTGTCTTGGACCCTGCAAATGATGTAGCTGGTCCTGCACTCAGGGGAAGCCAGTTCCTTGTAGAGCCATGACTTGCTTTGTGAATTCACCTTCACTGGTGACTTGGTGTTATATACGTAAGACAACAGCCATGTGTAAATCACTGAAAGGACCTTGGAAACAGTCCCTTGAGTATCTACAATCTACAGTCCACATCCTCTGTGCCCCTTGCTTTTGGGGAAGGTGAACCCCCAAAAAAGAAAGTGTTTATTTTATTTTATTGTTTATTGATTCTGACAACAGCATTATAAAGTAAGGCAATAATATGACCCTTGATGTTTGCAGAGTTACTGATACAGTGAGTGTATTTCCTTATGACATATATTGAAGCAAATATTTTAATTAGTTTTTTAAAAAGTATTGTGGTACTGAGGAATAATAGGAAATTGGGACAAGGTACAATTCTTGATATGATAGACTTGCAGATCTTTTTTTTAAATGTCTTAATTAAGCTGTGTCTTAATTAAATATTTACAATGCTCATAATAGATTAGTTCATTAAACCACTACTATTAAAACCATTAAAGCTATTTCTTGTGTAGGTTTCACCTAGGGTACTTACTCAGAAAAGGAAATTAGGAGAGGTAGTAATAAAGCCTATCATTTATCATCAGGGATTTTATATCTGCCAACATTTTATTTTGTCATTATTCCCATTTGTCTCTGGGAAAAACACTAAAGCTGACTGGAGTCTAGTCTTATAAAATTGCATAGGTTAAATCCTCCTTTGCTAATGCAAATGTAAATATTTTACATTTAACCTTGTAAAATATACACACATATATGTATATATATATTTCTTTTGTTTAAAAATTATTATTTAATGTGAAGTATTATGTTGGTGCAAAAATAATTGCAGTCTTTGCTATTACTTTCAATGGCAAAAACCACAATTACTTTTTCACCAACCTGATATTTCTGGACAATTGAAAATAAGAGTGCATCCATGCGTTTTCACTTGTTCTTAGGCTACTTCATCCAATAATATATTTGAGTAGTTCTGAACAGGAACACAAGTAAGGAGAATTTTTTTTTTTTTTTTTCTGATACAGGGTCTTGCTGTGTCACCCAGGATGGAGTGCAGTGGTGTGATCTTGGTTCACTGAAACCTCAACTTCTGTGGCTCAAGCCATCCTCCCACTTCAGCCTCCTGAGTAGCTGGGACTACAGATACATGCTACCATGCCCAGCTAATTTTTTAAAATTTTTTGAAGAGACAGAGTCTCGCCATGTTGCCTGGGCTGGCCTCAAACTCTCCGGCTCAAGCAATCCTTCCACCTCGGCTTCCCCAAATGTTGAGATTACAGGTGTGAGCCACCGAACATGGCCAGCAGGCAGCTTATAATCAGCCAATTCTAGGCCATGTTGTAAGGAAGTGGACCTGTCTTTGACAGCAGGGTCCTGGCACCCAAGTGGACACAGGTGGTGGTCCTGTAACAGTGGCTTGATTACGCTGTTTTGTGTGTCTAATCTGAACATAGGGAAGTATAAGATGTGTAAGCAGCTTTATCAAAGAGTTATAACAAGTTTTACTTTCCAGATATGAAATGCTGAATTTGTATAAATAAATTAAACCTTAATAGCACAGTCATTAGTATTCAGAAATTTAAGCTATAAGATCACTCTGGAGAAGCCCTCCTGTATCCATACTTGAATATAATGATTTACTTGTGTCTCTGTTTACCCTTAAACCACAAGCTCATCCAGGGAAAGGGTAATGTCTTATTCATTGCAGACATGCCAGCTGCCCTAGCATGTAGCTCGTATACAGGAGGTGCACAATGAATGCTTGCTGAGTGAATGAATTAATGAATGAATGAATGAATGAATGAATAATATTTTAACATTAACAGCTACCCAGTATTGGACTCTGTTGTATTCCTGGCACTGTGCTAAGGACTCCGTGTATGTTCGTACTTAATGCCCAGGCTTCTCAGCAGGTACTACCAAGGTCACTGTTAACACAAACAGCACCTTGCTGTGATTTAGAAAATTCACATCAGTCCTCTCTGGGATGATGAATTAGAAAAAGTTGCCTCTTCAGTGACAATGCAGCCCCGTAGTTGTGAGGCTTGGCGAATGTAGCTGGGGCTGAATTTCAGCCTCCACACACCTCGTTGGTTGCTTGCTGTGCGTATGGCACAGACTACATAATGGTACGTGTTGACTATGCTTACCGTTACTAACCTACTTTAGGCGGAAGAGACCTCCAAGGCTGGGAGAGGTTAAGTGGCGTGTGCAAGGCACATACCCACTACTTGTAGCTATGTAGGTTTGAGAGAGCAGCATGACTCTCATGACTTATGAGACCCCAGTGACTGCAGGACCTCCACCCTAATCACAGTCTAGCACTTAGGAAGGCATCACAGTTCATGGGTGTCGTAGTGACAGCATGGAACCATTTTCGGAGTCCTGCCCCACTGTTGCCTCACACAGGGTGTCACAGAGGGAGCTGGCTGTGACGTTCCAGCATCCCAGAGTCTCAATGATAATGATGGGGATTAATGGTGATCCTGATTTTTTCTCTAGCGCATTACAGCTAAGTGTTAGTCTATGAATGTAATATAACAGTGGTTTAAAATCAACAGATTGTAACAAAAGTCCCTCACAGGAGACAAAGCTGGTGCCGTGATCTCTATTGCATTAATGAGACAAATGAGGATAGGAAACATCATGTGGCTTCCCAGGGCTCCATGGCAGGGGCGTGGCAGGGGGGATTTGAGTCCAGGCTCCTACTCCAGTGCTGACCTTTCCCGTCACTTTCCTGCTGCCCAGTGTGAGCTCTATCCTGTCCAGGTCAGTCAGCTGCTGTTTCCTCCATCCAGCCAGTGACACCCAAACCTCACGGAGCATCGGAATTACCAGAAAAGCTTTTTAAAATACAGGCTGTGTTTTAAAATGTGTGAGTGTGTGGTGTGTGTGTGCGCTGCGGGGGGGTGGGGGGTGTAGGAGTGTGTGTGTATTTATTTCATAACAACCTTTCCAGGTGTTAGTTTACCGCCTGCCTGGCGCTGTCCTTCCATCAGTTATTGGAAATGGCTCTAAACTCTATTTCAGGCTCATGGCTTATGCCATGGAATGTTTTCCAGGTCAGATACCTTTATCTCTCTCTCTGCCTACCTAGATCCTGCCCACTTTTAAAGAGCTGGCTCAAGCCCTTCATGGTTTCCTTGCCAATTCCATTCTAGTGATGCCCACTCCCACCTCTTGAGGGTCTCTCCTTTTATGTCTTGGGGGTGAGAGGGCAGGAGGACCGGCCCTGACAAGGGTCCGCTGTGTGTCAGGCCCTGATTAAGGGTTTTTCCGTATGTCATCCTTCCATGACACTGAGGTCCCGATCATTACTTTAAAGATGAGGTAAGTGAAGGAGCTTGGCCAAGTTCAGTGCAGGTAGTGAAGTGCAGACTGGGGTCTCATCTGGCTTCAAGTTTCCCCCTTTTCCATCCACTCTGCTGAGTATTTCAATCTGGTCCTTGTCTCACCAGCAAGATTTCTTTTGTAGTAGAATAGAGAAACTTTGTCTTGCAATAAAAAAGTCTTTCACCCTCTGCTGTATAATCCACATAGTAAAATAACCTAATTGTTGAGGAAATACAAGAATGGATGCCTTCTCTTACTTCTCTTGCAAATCAGTGCCTAGCAAACTTCTAAAAGGTGAATTGTTGATAGATTATATGACTTATTTTTCTTCAAGCTTTTTAATATGACAAGGGAATTCCAGCCAGTATTTTTACCTCTTCTTTCTTTTCAGAGTCATGAAGTATTAGAGCACATGGATGTCTTATAGATGATCTTGTCCAAGTCATTCATTTTAGAAGAGCTGATGGAACTTCAGAGAGGTTAAATTCACCTGTTGCAGGTCACCTATCTCCTTAGTGACAAGTTTGAGATTACAGCCCAACTTCAAGTCACACTGACTCTTGTGATTATAAGTGAAATCATACTTGGCCACTCATTCCTGAGCAAGATGCCTGTTTCTGAAATTAGTCTCTAGAGTACCAACTTTTCAGGAGAAAAGATGGTACCTTACTTACCTTCAAGAGCAAAGCCTTTCCCATGTTTCATAAGTGTTTCTTGGCAGCCTAACTGACTCAGTGACTGATTAAAGGAAAGACTGAAGGACATGAAAGGCATTGACTTGCTCCCTCCTAAGTGAGTTCCTCCTCAGTTTACCTCTGATGACCCCAAACCCCACCTGTCCTGCCATGATCCCAACCTCAGGTGTTTGGTGCACCTGTCAGCTTTGTAGACTTGTGCCAGATAAACTCCTACCCTCCAGCCTCCTTCTAAGGTGCAATTGGAAATTTTCATTTTACAGCTAAAGGAACCTAATACTGCTGTTGTTATTGCATGTTGGAGGGAGGAGGGAAATGGAGAAGGCATAGTTGAAATTTATTTTTTATTTTATTTTTTGAGGCTGAGTCTCACTCTGTTGCCCAAGCTGGAGTGCAGTGGCATGATCTTGGCTCACTGCAACCTCCGCCTCCCAGGTTCAAGCTATTGTCATGCCTCAGCCTCCTGAGTAGCTGGGATTTGGTGCCCGCCACCAAGCCCAGCTAATTTTTGTATTTTTAGTAGAGATGGGGTTTCATCATGTTGGCCAGGCTTGTCTCGAACTCCTGACCTCAAAGGATCTGCCCATCTTGGCCTCCCAAAGTGCTGGGATTACAAGCTTGAGCCACCGTACCCAGCCAGCATAGCTGAAATTTAAAAATATGTTTGTCATCTGTTTAAAATGGAAATGTCCCTTTTGGCCACTTAAAATTATTATTATTATTATCATTATTATTATAGAGTTTAAGAAAAAAATGAATTTCTTGAGTAATTTCCCAAATTATATGATTTTATTTTTACGAAGATTGCAAGGTTCTCATTCACTTAATTTATTCAACAAATATTTCTTAAGGACCTACTATGCTAAACACTCACAGCACTGAGGATTCAGTGTTGAACACAACTGACAAAATCAGCAGCCTTACTGAGCTTCTATTCAAGTGGTGGAAACAATAATAACTATATGTAAGTGTTGTAATTAGCATATTATGAAGAAAAAACAAAAAATGTAGAGAAGCTGGAGACTGAAAGGGGGTGCTATTTGGGATACAATGAACAGAAAAGGTGTCTCAGGTGGTGTGGGCTGCTCTGACAGAATATCATAGACTGGTGGCTTAAACCGCAGACGTATTTCTCAGAGTTCTGGAGGCTGGAAGTCCGAGATCAGGGTGCCAGCATGGTTGGATTCTAAAAAGGACCATTTTGCAGTCTGCAGACAACCGTTTTCTGGTTGTATCCCCACCTGGCAGAAAGAGAGTGAGAAATCTCTCTGTGGTCCCTTTTATAAGGTCACTAATCCCATTTACCAGAGCTCTCCTCTCATGACCTAATTACCTCCTAAAAGCCCCATCTCCCAATACCATCAAACTGGGGGTTGGGACTTCAACATATGAAATTTGAGGGGGACACAGACATTCAGTTCGTTGCAAAAGAACTCTCTGGAGAAGTGGTGTTGAAGCAGGGACATTCAGAGATCTGGGAGAAAGAATGTTCTAGGCAGAAGGAAAAGGACGGGAATGAGTCCTGAAGCAGGAGCCTGTGGAAGTGTCTGTGGATAGGTGGGGAGGTGGGCAGGGCTGGAATGCAGTGAGCTACAGGGAGAGGTTTAGGGAATGGGGTCGACAGGTAGCCAGCTCCTCTGCAGCTTTATGCCTGGGAGAGAGTCTGGATATGCTTTGGGGTATGATTTGCTGTGAGCAATTCACCTGGTTTATGATGTAAAATGTGGAAGGAAAAGACAATACAGGCCAAGAGTGGAAGCAGTGAGACCTTTTACAGGCCTCCTTGATTATTCAAATTTAGTTAATGTCTCAATTATACAAAAAATACTTAGTTGCTAATTACGTAAAGACCATCACATAATTAAGAGGAAGGAGCAAATAACCTCTGGCCCTTGGTTTTTTTATGCAAATGGGAGAAATTAGCTACATTCATTCATCCATGAAAAACATTTATTGAGTGAACATCATGTGTCAGACACTCTGCTATGCTCTGCACTGAGAAAAAAGATGAAAAAGACCCTAATTTTAACTAACACTCAAGGAACTTAGGACAAGTATGGTAGTAGAAGAATGAAGAACAGACCAGGTGTGGTGGCACACACCTGTAATCCCAGCACTTTGGGAGCCTGAGGCAGGTGGACCACCTAAGGTCAGGAGTTCGAGACTAGCCTGACCAACATGGCGAAACCTGTTCTCTACTAAAAAAAAAAAAAAAAAAATACAAAATCAGCCAGGCATGGTGGCGCATGCCTGTAATCCCAGCTACTTGGGAGGCTGAGGCAGGAGAATCACTTGAACCTGGGAGGCAGGGATTGCAGTGAGCCGAGCTTGCACCATTGCACTCCAGCCTGGACAACAAAGAGCAAAACCCCACCTCAAAACAAAACAAAACAAGAAAACAAGAATGAAGATGTAGGGAGAGATCAGAGGGTGGAGTGGCTTGTCACAGAGGAGGTCTCTGAGTTGAGCCTTAAAGGAGAGAAATTACACTGGAAGGAGAAGGAAGTACAGAGCACAGGCAAAGAAACAGATGCACGGAGCAGCATGAGGAATTATTTGATGTTGCTGGGACCTGAAGTGCAAGAAAAAGAGCCAGTGAAGAGAAGACTAGCAAGGGGGGTCAGAGCCAGATGAGGAGCTTGCAAAGCTCATCCTTTGGTGCTCTATTGGATAGTCTGCAAATTATTTTCTGACTCCAGGATGACAAAAATATGTGAATCCATTTTCTTTTCTCTCTCATGAGCATCACAAGCCCGTTTATTTTTATATCCATTCTGTCTAAATTACTTTGCTCTACAACTTTATAGCATAATCATGAGAGCCTCTTTTCTTGCATGGATGTTGCAAAGAGCATGAAGTCCTCCATGGCTTTTAAAGAAGGCTTTTGTTGAATTAGCAGAACCTACCAGAGCTCCTGGAAATTCTGGGTTTCCGGTCTCTGGGGGCGTCTTCACTCCAAGCCTCGGTGCCCTTACTTGGATTTGCAAGTTTAGAGTTAAAGTAAGTGTCAGAAATACGTGTGGTGATTACAGACACTTTGTAGCCAATAATTTCCATAGTGGAACTGATATCACTTCTTGACCTATTTTTTCAGAGGACTTTTGCGCAATAGTTACTTTAGAAGCACCCTCTTGAAAAGAAATCTGAAATGGACGTAAAAGGCTATATTTATTTGTTCATAGCATTTCTTGATGACCTGCTTTATGCAAGATTTCAAAGAGCTCACAGCTATTAATGACTACTTAAAACTCTTAATATCCAAAATATATAAGGAACTCATACAAATCAATACCAAAAATACAAACAACTGGATTAAAAAATGGGCAAGGGACCAAAATAGACACTTCTTAGAAAAGGAAATTCAGAATGCCAATAAACATGTGAAAAGGTGCTCCACATCTGTAATTATCAGGTAAATGCAGGTCAAAACCATAATGAGATATCACTTCATACCTTTTAGGGTGACTATTGTAAAAAAGATAAAAGATAGCAAATGTCGGCAAAGATGTGGAGAAAGTAGAACCCTTGTTCACTGTTGTTAGGAATATAACTTTATACAACCATTATGGAAAAAGTAGGAAGGTTCCCCCAAAATTCAGAATGGAACATATGATCAAGCAGTCCTACAGGATTGTAAAGAGCTCTCTGCATTCCCATGTTCACTGCAGCATTTTACACGATAGTCAACATATGGAAACAACCTAAATGTCCTGCAGTGAACAGATAAAGAAAATGTGATTTTGGCCAGGAGCGGTGGCTCACGCCTGTAATCCCAGCACTTTGGGAGGCTGATGGGGGCGGATCACTTGAGGTTAGGAGTTCAAGACCAGCCTGGCCAATATGGTGAAACCGTGTCTCTACTAAAAATACAAAAATTAGCCAGGCATGGTGGCAGGCACCTGTAATCCCAGCTACGCAGGAGGCTGAGGCAGGAGAATCACTGGGACCCGGGAGGTGGAGGTTGCAGTGAGCCGAGATTGCATCATTGCTCTACAGCCTGCGTGACAAAGCCAGATTCTGTCTCAAAAAAAAAAAAAAAAAGAAAGAAAGTGATTTTATACAATCACACACACACACACACACACACACATACACACACACAATGGAATATTATTCAGGTTTAAAAAAGAAGAAAATCCTGTCATTTGTGACAACATGGATGAAGCTGGAGGAAGTTATGCTAAGCAAAATAGTAGGCAAGACACAGAAAGAGAAATACTGCATGATCTCCCTTTTACGTAGAATCTAAAATAGTCAAACTATAGAAGTAGAAAGTAGGATGGTGGTTGCCTGGAGCGGGGAAGAGGGGAAAATGGAGTGATTTTGGTCAAAGGGTGCCAAAATGGTAATTATATACAGGGAATAGATATGTTAATTAGTTGGAATGTGATAGTCATTTCACAATGTATATGAAGACATCCCGTTGTACACCTTAAATATATACAATTTTTTATATGTCATAAAAACTAAATTGTCACAAAGAATTTAAAAGACAAAAAAAAATCCTGTAATTCCATGACTTTAGTATATTTACAGAATGATTTTAGGGGTACATAGTTTAAAAGGTTTCACAAAATTTCATTAAAAGTTTTTGAGTTATTTGATTATGTATAAGTTCAACCTCTCATGAAAAGCTGAATTTATTTAACATACTGACTAGAGGCAAGAAAATAAGCCAGAAGAAAAGTATTAATTCATGGTGCAGAACTTGAGAATATGCATTGAACAGCTGCACCGTAACACTTAGCCTTTTTGTTCACATGAAGTTGCTCTCTGGAATCCTCAGATAGCTGTAGTTGCCTGAGGGCTCTTCAAATGTCACCAGGGCAACAATAAAGTAACACACATGAAGCAGGCCCTCTGTGGCATTCTTTATGAAAACCATTGAATTAAATTATTGCATAACAAATCATCTGCATATGAAAGGCAGTGAACTGTTAGAGAACCCAGCTGAAACAATGCTGAATTTGATGCCTACCTCCACTGATAACTCACTGGCACCCTTAGAACTCTTGTTGTGACTCAAGGGCCCCTATTTGGCATGTGGGAAATATTAATACTGTATTTATAAGACCACAAAGGAATTATGAGCTAAATTAGAGAGATAGTTGTGCTGCTTAGAGAAAAACTTCCATGTATCCCATGACCCCATCCCTCTTACCCTTTCTTGGTCAATCTTTCAAAAAGAAAAATGCATTTCCTGCACTCTGGTTGAAATGGTTGCTTGCCATCATGGAGATTCTAGAAAAACCGACAATAGTTAGCAGTGATGGAGTCCTTGCTATGTTTTAGCACAGAGACTGTGCTAAGCACGTCTCGTGCATTATTTTATTTCATTCTAGTGGCCCATAGGGTTAGTACTATTAACATACCCATTTTATAATGAGGACATTTTGACTCTAAAATGTTAGCTGATTCTGGCCTGGGTTCTCAAAGCTAAAGAGAACTCTGAAGTAAACATTAAGAACCACATGATCTGTTTCCAGAGCCCTCAAACCTCTGAACATATTGGTTTAGAATAAACTACTTCATATCACAGCCTCTATCACCATTATACCTGGATCCTGCTTAATCTAGAAGCCATAGATGGAAATTGTTATCATTGGAAAAACAATTTTCACACTCAAGTATATTAATTCAAGAACCCTGTGGAGAGACAGTATACGAAAAACAAATGTCATATGATGTTTTAGGTATGATTAAGCCAAAATAAGACAGACTTTAAAAATATACATAGACTGAAATATTTACATTCAAATGATATTAGTGGCCTGCCACCTTATCTCAGCAACACTTGAAGCTCTTCTTGGGAATTGTCAACTTTTGAACCGCACAAGAAAACAAGTCTCTTCTTTGTTCAGGTTTCAGTTTTGGATTCCTGAAGATCAATCACCTTCTTTTCATCAGGTTTGACCATGAAAAACTTAACTATTTTAAAGAGCAAATCCATTTTCAAAGTGCATAAATGTAGCACCTTTACCATGTATTTGAAAGGACAAATTTCACCCTCTTTTTAAATTATACTTATTTACTTACAATGATAAAAAATAATACTGATTATAAAAATCACCAAAGGGACCAGCACAATGGCTCATGCCTGTAATCCCAGTGCTATCGGAGGCTGAACCCAGAGGATCCCTTGAGGCCAGGAGTTCAAGACCAACCTGGGCAACATAGCAAGACCCCATCTCTACAAAAAATTTAATAAATTAGCCAGATGTGGTGGCCCATGCCTGTAGTCCCAGCTACTTGGGAAGCTGAGGCAGAAGGATCGCTTGACCCCAGGAGTTTGAGGCTGCAGTGAGCTATGATTGTGCCACTGCACTCCAGCCTGGGTGACAGTGAGTCCCTGTCTCTAAAAATTTTAAAAAAAAGTAAATATAAATGCAAAATAAAAATTACCAAATATAATAATCACATACGTCTAAAGTGTACTCAAAATAGCATTTGGAAAATATTTCAAGCTGGCCAGCATTTAAAAAATGAATATCGTCTCTCAAGAGAACTTATTTAATGGAGACAGAAGATATGTAGGTATTACATGTATATTTTAAATGGTAACATTGGTTTATCATCACATTTCTAGTGTGGTATTCTAAGATTGAAGCACTAATTGTGGATAAATGTACAACTATTTCTTAGGTGCACCATTTTTCTCAAGGGAAATTAAAATACAGCTTTTTGAGTGCTAACCATGTGCCAGGCACACTTGTGATTGAAATTAATACATAAAACAGTCCTAGAAGGTCAGAATTATGCTCAGTTTTCATAGCATACAACCACAGTTCACACAGGCTTAGGAACTTGAACAAAGTCACGTGGCTCAGGCATGTGACCGTGAAGTGTCCAAGATGGAAGAACAGCATGGTTTTTGCTGCTTAAAGGGGGATAAACATCTACAACAAATTATAAGAGCACCACTTGAGTGTGAATGGATTACTAGAACTGAGGTGAGATATATTCTTAACCTAATACATAAGATAACCTATGTGAAAGCATTAGAAGCAGTCATTTTATTAATTCCCAAGTTTTAATACAAAAGAATCACTTTGAGGTGTTTTTCAGTATACATAATTTGGGGTCCACCTGTCAGAAAATCAGATTGAACAGATGGGGGTCCAGGAACCTGCATTTTTAAGAACCATTTCAGGGAATTGTGAGGCTGTTGATGTGTGAACCCCACTTCGAAAACACCATTATATCACTCAGCAGATGCTCTGAATACAGTTTCCTTTTTCTCCCCTTAATGTCGGAGTACAGGAAGAAACCAAAGACAATAGTTTTAAACAGGGAACTTAGTACATAGGGTATTGTGTTTGGTTTACATTACTTTATTGACGTACACTAAAAGAAAATTTCATTTCAAATTTAGCTTCTTACCTTAATGGCCTCTTTGTAAAACTCTAGTGCACAAAAGTGGTGTTTAACTAAGTGAAAACAGCTCTGGCAGAAATCTCTGGCTGATAAATCTCTTTAGGGCTTTCCTAGCATAGGGAGTGGGTGAGGAAGGCCAGGTGGGGAAGAGGGGATTTCCTGTTTATTTGTGCTACCTATTTAAAATGATTCTCTACATCCTGTGATTTTTACAGTTGTTCTGAAAGGAAGCGCTGATTTTTAACTCCACTGAAGTGCAGTGCTTGTGTTTCTGGAGGAGAGAGAGAGGGAGATGGGGATAAATCACCTCTGCACGTTTCACCGGTTGATGAATTATATATTCTTTCAGCTTCACTTTTCTGCTCTTTTTTTTTTTTTTTTTTTTTTTAAACGGAGTCTCGCTCTGTCGCCCAGGCTGGAGTGCAGTGGCGCTATTTCGGCTCACTGCAAGCTCCGCCTCCCGGGTTCACGCCATTCTCCTGCCTCAGTCTCCCAAGTAGCTGGGACTACAGGCGCCCGCCACCATGCCCGGCTAATTTTTTGTAGAGACGGGGTTTTACCATGTTAGCCAGGATGGTCTCGATCTCCTGACCTCGTGATCCGTCCGCCTCGGCCTCCCCAAGTGCTGGGATTACAGGCGTGAGCCACCGCGCCCGGCCACTTTTCTGCTTCTTAGTAACAGAGACAATGTTGGGCTTCACAGGACTCAAGATGACTTTCTAAGGTGATTTGGGGATGCAGTGTATGCATTTTTTTACTCTTTTTGAAAAAAATCTTTTCTTCGCCTTTGGAGTGTAACATTTGGATAGTTTTATTCAGCCCATAATAGGACCAAAGGGAAGGGGATAAAAAAAAATTCTTTAAAGTACCTCAGATAAAAAGGTTTTGTGAAGAAAAGGACTCAAAATCCTAGGTTATACCAAGACTTTATGTTCATTTTGAATTTTCTTTATTCATTTTTTTCCTCTCTGTGTATAGAATAATCAGGAGATATTGGTGGGCAGAACTGTTGGTTGATAACAGGAAGCAGAGTATCTGAGAAAGGCCCTCATCCTGTTTCCTTTTGGAGCTACTGAGGCCTCACATGCCAGCCATTTTAGGATTTGATGAAGGCTAGAGAAGAGTTAAACTGAGCCTTCACTTACTCAGCATCAGTAGGAAGTAGTGTTGGCTACACTAAAAACACCGTTGTGCCAGTGAGGATTTGGGGGGAAAATGACAAGCTGCCTGTGATAAACAAGCAAACTGTGACAAACTTTTTGATGTGTAGGTTCTGAAGCTTTTCAGTTTACGTCCTCAAAAGATTATTTATATATATATATATGCACACATGCACAATATAGCATATATACTTTTGATATACATGAAAGAGAAAAGATGAGTGGCAGTAAAATAGAGATTCCAGGATTTGTAAACACAGGGCAATAGAAATGACATTTCCGGTACAGTCTGGAGGAGCAGCACCCATTTTCAGAAAGGAAGGTGTTAGGGATAAACTTGACAAGGATGTGGAAGACCAACATATCACAATCAATCTGCAGGCATTTGTTGCGGCCTTCCATGTACTCAGAAAACACATGCAGTCTTTTTATAGATGATGAAAGTGGTTTTCTTGATTTGGGATAATCTAAATATTATAGTCCTTCAAAAACATACAAATGCTAAAAATTGAAGATAACATCTCTTCATTAACATTGAGTGAAAAACAGAAAGCAATGAAGTCCATTGGGGGGATAGAAAAGACATGAAACGCTAAACACCCCTTACCCTGAATAATTTACATGAGTATTTTCAAATTGTTTTTTAAAATAGAAAAGCAGTGATAGCTACCTTGACTTTGAAGCTCAAACTCTAATTTTCTATTTGACATCAGCTGTTGGTTTTGTGTTTGATAGAGTTGGGTCCTAAAGATACACGATTACAAAATCCATTTAGAACTTTTAATTCTGGATAAAATAAATCCAGTTTCTAAGTTCAGTATCAGCCCTCACTCCTGGCATAAGGAGCTTTTGTTATGTAGGACTTGAGGAATGCCCCAGCTGGGGAAATGCCAGTTAATAGATTCAGACAGATGGATTTTGATGAGAGTCTGCACCGTTCACACCCCTTAGCAAATGTTTTCGAATATTCTCAAGTAACACACTTAACTTGAAAACAAATATGGATTTGCTTACTTTAGAGTCAATAGTAATTATTATTATGAGTAGTGCATAAAAATATCTGCTCTGTTTTTGCATCTTAGAGTGCTAAATTTATATGTCACATTATAACTTTAGACCTTTTACTGCCTTCTACATACAGAGAAAACATACTTTGAATTTAAAACCAGGCTTTGGCAGAGAATTATTTCAGCTGTTGCAGAATATTGCATTTTTTTTCTTAACCTCTCCCTGCCCAAAGTCAGAGTGATAATCAGCTGTGGAAATAGCCTTATGAAATCCCCAAGAGGAGCGCAAGATCCTGACGGTGTGTTTCGTGTTTTTGTTTCCCTCAGTAGAGACTGTGAAACCAGACCAAAAGGGAATAACACCAGAATAGAAATTAGACTGGACCAAGGAGCAAGTTGGCGTTTCTTACCTGAGCCATTTTGTGGAGCCAAGTGGTCTTTTAAGAGCATGATGCATATTTCTGGCTATGTTTTCTGCCAGAATCCATTTTCTTCTGGCATTAAGTTAATTGAAGGCCAGAGAATCAAGTTTAAAGTATAGAAAAATGGGAAAGCAGAAGATCAGAGACAGTGCTTTGTTTGAGGTAGTAAAATGAGAAGCTAAGTACCATGTATGTACCGTTACATTGAGTGTCTTTTTTGGGCAAGTCACTTTGCTGGGTGCTGGGAATTCAGCTGAAAAACAACTCTCATAAAACTTGCCTGCCGTCTAGGGGGTAGATCACACTTATGTGACAAATTGCCCATGTAATTATTTAATTACAGTTGTGGGAAGGGCTGAGTGGGAGAAGGGTGCGATCAGAGTATAGCAGGGAGGCTAACAGCATCTGTAGGTTAGAGAATGCTTCCTTGAGGAATAGCGTTTGAGCTGAGTTCTGGAGGGTAGTGTAAATTCCATAGGAGAAAGGGTTAGGAAGGGCGTACAAGGCAGTGGGAACAGCATATGCAAAGGCTCAGAATCAGGCAAGCACTTGGACTAGAGCAGGGATTGGAGGCACCTAATATGGCTGGAGCTCAGAGAATCAGTGGGAGCCAGGCTGGCAGGCACTGTTAACACAGTGTGGCACAACCCTGGTAGGGGCCTCGTCACATTACAACCTGTGCTGCCCAGCATGGTGGCTCTGGTTGTTGCTACTCATTTTCTGGCCGGAGGAAAAAATATGGAGATTTCAAATTTCTTCTCTTATTCTGTTACAGTTCTTACCTATGTCTCTATCTCCATGTTTAGATGCCTATAAAAAAGAAAAAAGAGTGTTTTTAAAAATTTCTCCCAAGAAAATTATACTACTGCTTGTTCATAATGCCCTGCCAATTTTAATTAATTCAACATCCACAGGGACATTGTTTAGGTTGTGTATCTTTCAAAAACTGGACTATTAGTTTAAATTGGTAGAAAGGAGAACTAGATTGCATGATTGTAGCAAATATCGACTTAGGTTTTTAAAGATAGCAGTCTCTTCTTTTTAACTTCTGAAGTCCTGGCTTATCAAGAGAAAAATAAATTTTTGCTGTGTACCAAAATAGAATGCTTTCCAGATCCTATTTCTGAATAGCTGAATAATGCGTCTGCAGCTTTTTACGTCACTGCGCGTGCAACAGCTGTTAGGTCATTCCTGCAACTCCAGCATTTGTTCATATTTTCAGATGTTCAACATTTTTATGAGCAGATGTAAGATTTTAAGTTTCATTTGGAGAAAACATGCCTTTCCTACTTGCAAAATATAATTTCTGCTTCATTTGTTAGGAAATGAAAATATCAGATACATTTTTTAATGTACTTATGCTGGATTTAACTTCTCAGCTAAACTGCGTGGAGAACGGTACAAACGACAGTGAAAACAGAGAGCTCCTTGAGCCTGTAGGACAAGATTTACTGATTGCATTGTTTGGAAGGCTCATGTTAGTAAGACTTTGGGCTGTTTATTTGTACATCGTGTACGTTCTGAGGACATCCAAGCCATTCTTGTTGTCATCATCAGATTTGAAAAGTTGTATAACTGAAGGTATTAGATACGAGGGTGAGTAGTTGCAGTATATAACATTGGTAAATGAAATCGATTTGGAAATGAGCTATAATACTTGTTAGCAGTTACATATATGCGAATCTCAACACTGTGATTAATGAGCTGTGAATTGATAGTATCTGCTGAACACTACTTTATTCAGAACATTGTTTTACTCACAAGTCATAGCAGAAGAATTCAAAAAAATTAGAGGACGCAGACTCTGATTTTTAGTTTAGCCTTAGCCTGATGCACAAATTATGCATTCTTGATAACACTGAAAAAGTAACAAAATTTTCCAAAAATTACGCATGAATGCTCTGCAAACTGAGTGTGTAAGTGCTGAAAGAATAGAGAAGAAAAACTCCTATGAGCAAGGATCACTTATGGAACTCTTCTCAGAGGAGATGAATTTGGGCTTGGGTGGAGAGAGAAATAAGCAATGTGGACTGATGTTCAGCAATAAGATCCAGAGAGCAGGAAAGCCCCGTTCTTTGATGCTACCACCTCCTAGCTCTGTGGCTTTAGGCAAGATACTTCACCACTCGACCTCAGTTTTCTCATCTATAAAATGGAGTTAATAATCATTTTTGAATGAGTATTAAATAAGATAATATATGTAAGAGAACAATGATGGCACAGAGTCAGTGCTTAAAGTGTTGGCTTTTATTATTTATTGCCTTTTTTTTTTTTTCCCTGAGACGGAGTCTCTCTGTTGCTCTGGCTGGAGTGCAGTGGCATGATCTCAGCTGACTGCAACCTCCGTCTCCCAGGTTCAAGCGATTCTCGTGCCTCAGCCTTCTGAGTAGCTGGGATTACAAACACCTACCACCATGTCTGGCTAATTTTTGTATTTTTAGTAGAGACGGGGTTTCACCATGTTGGTCAGGCAGGTCTCAAACTCCTGACCTCAGGTGATCCACCGGCCTTGGCCTCCTAAAGTGCTGGGGTTACCTCAGGTAAGCCACCACACCTGGCCTATTTATTATTATTATTCATTAATAGAAATTACAGAAATCAGGTTTACTAGGTGGAGGGAATGCTGTCTACAAAAGAACAAAGGGGGCGACAAATCTGTCTCAGAAATATTCAGTCAGTTTTAAGCAATAATAATGTTATTTCTAGCAAATACAATACATTCAATGTTATTTTAAACATACAATATTGAATGATCTCCATAAAGTTGACTGTGTGACTTATAATAGTCTCTGAAATCTAGAAATTATTAATATACATCCAGAACTCATGGCTAACCTTCAATGATATGTTAATAGTGAAAGAACGAGCTTGTGTTTACTTGCATAGAGGGAGGGTATGACAACTTCTACTGAAAATGTGTCAATATAGTTTTCCATTTAGAATGGTACACATCGGAAGTTGATTTTGTTTGTTTTCTAGAGATGGGGTCTCCCTGTGTTGCCCAAGCTGGTCTCAGATTCCTGGCCTCAAGCAGTCCTCCCCTCCTCAGTATCCAGTGTAGCTGGGAGTACCAGTGCAAGATACCATACCTGGCCAATCTTTTTTTATTCATTTAAAAAATATCTGTGGGTAGAAATATGATTTAGAGAAATATACATAAGGTATATAATCTAAGTATATTTTGAAAAATTGCAGGTTCTGAAAAAATCATCTGAGTACACCTGAGAGGAGGACTGAAAACATAGGAGTCATCTTCAGAAGAATTTCAAATGCCATTTTCCATGCTAGTTAGCTAGCTAGCTAATCCCTCCACATAATACATACTACATAGCTAATCCTATCAAATTTCCAAACCATTTTCTTATGCTAGTTAGCTAATCCCTCCACATACTACTCCTAGAGACCCTGCAATGCCTTGATGTCAGAACAGTCCCCTGGAATCCTGGAGTGTGGTCTCTGGGAAGGAAGAAAAGGGCCCTAGAGTTTGAGCTGGACAGCCCTCAGCTCCTGGCTCAAGTCACTCAATAGTTCCAACTCTGTATTCTCCTGTTAAATAGCTACCTTTAGACTTTCTGTAAGGAGCAGGAGAAATAACATTTGCAAAAGTGACAAAACACATCTCTATCTGCAATCTAGACATTCATTCTAGCAGTAGCCAAAGGCTGTGATCACCTTTGCTTTGTTTTCATCCTTTATGAGTGTACTCTATAATTAGTGCTTTCAATACACAAACTCACTTAACATTTACAACAGTAGGCAATCCTATTATCCAAGTTTACAGAGGAGGATGTTGAGATGGAATGAGGTGAAATAACTTGTCTAAGAGCAGGCATTTAGCAAGCAGCCAAGCAGGGCTTTGAACTTGGATGGTATGGTTCCGTATCATGCTATAGAGCCTCATCTATATCCAAAATACAGCAAGGAGTACACAAGTATGCATCTGGTTCCTTTTAGGGTTTTATCCAAGTTTTAAGTTTTTGTCCAGGCTTATAAATATTGAGCTATGAAACTAAAGGTGCCTTAGAGATAATCTATGAGTCCAACCCCTTATTTTGCCAAGACCTCACTAACGACTGGACAGGATAAATGATTGACCCACACCAAGACAGAGATCTTGGTAACAGGGATGTGGCAGGTCTCCTGATTCAGTGCTTGTCCCATTCCACTGTGTAACTTCTCTAGCTTTACAGGAGATAATTTAACTTACTGTTAAAATCACATTCATTTTAAAATAAATTTTTAGATAAAATTCACATAAAATACACCCTTATAAAATGCACACTTCAGTAGTTTTTAGTATATTCACAAATTTGTGCAACCATCATCACTATTTAATTCCAGAATATTTTTATCACCGCAGAAAGCAACCCATGCCTATTTGCAATTATGCTGTATTTCCCCTCCCTCCAACAGTTAGCAACTTTCTGTCTCTGTGAATTCATCTCTTCTGCACATTTCATATACATAGAATCATAAAATAGGTGGCCTTTGGTGTCTGGCATCTTTCACTTAGCATGTTTTCAAGGTCCATCCATATTGTAACATGCATCAGTACTTCATTCCTTTTTATTACTGAATAATATTCCATTGTATGGATATTCTACATTTTGTTTATCTGTTTATCAGTAGATGGACATTTGGGTTGTCTTCACATTTTAGCTACGATGAATAATGCTGTGAGCATTCACATACAATTTTTCTATAAACAAATGTTTTTAATTTTCTTGGGTGTAGATCTATGAGTGGAATTGCTTGGTCATTGGTAACTCTGTGTCTAACTTCTTGAGGAACTGCCAAATGGTTTTCCAAAGTGGTTGCACCATTTTACATTCCTGCCAGCAACAGGTTCAAATTTCTCTACTCCTAATCAACACTTGTTATTGTCCAACTTTTTTATTGTAATTATCCTAGTCATTGTGAAATGGTATCTCATCGTGGTTTTGACATGCATACTCTTAATGACTAATGATATTGAGCATCTTTTCATGTGCATTTGTATATCTTCTTTGGGAAGATGTATATTCAAATCTCTGACCATTCTTACTTTTTTTTTGTCTTTTTATCATTGATTTTTAAGAGTTCTTTTTATTTCTGGATACTAGACTCTTATCAGATACATGATTTGCAAGTATTTTTTCCCATTCTGTGGGTTGTCTCTTCAGTTCCTTGGCAGTGTTCTTTAAAGTTCAAGTTTTTAATTTTAATGAATTCCAATTAATCTATTTTTCTTTGATTGCTTATTGCTTTACATGTCATTTCTAAAAAATGACATCTAATCCAAGGTCATGAATGTTTTCTTCTAAGAGTTTTATAGCTTTAACTCTTACACTTAGGGCTTTGATTCATTTTGAGTTTATTTGTGTATATGCTATAAGGTAGGGGTTTAACTTCATTCTTTTGCATGTGGATATCTAATTGCCCCAAAACCGTTTGCTGAAAAGACTGTTCTTTCTTCACTGAATTTTCTTGGTATCCTGTTGACACATTCATTCTTATATTAAAATAAATACGTATTCTCTGTGAGTCAGAATGAGTGAGTCAATTGTAAGTTTGTTGTATTGCTTTTAAAACTGAGTAGATCATAAAAATGTCTCTGTTGTTTCATCTATAAACTGAGGGTGATACTACTTTTTGGTAGCATAATTTAAGGTGTAAAATATCTTGCTGAAGGCAGAGGGCTAGATCGTATTACCTCCCAATAGATTGGACACTAGCCTTAATTGTAAACCTCTAATTGATGCCAATGTGGTTGAAAGACTTTTGAGTCTGACCAACATAGATCCAAATCTTGACTCCATTACTTACTAACTGCGTGACCTTGAGCAAGTTAGTTCTTGGGAACTGGTTTATTGTGAGGATTGAATAGGATAATGTATAAAAATATTTGACAAAATTACTGAGATTTATTCATTCATTTATTCATCCATCCGTCCATCCATTCATTCTGGAAAAACTTACGGAGTGCTTAAAAAAGCTAAAATAAATTGAATAGACAAAGTCCGTGCTCTCATAGAGTTTACTTTGTCCTGGGGACACAGATAATAAGCAAATAAATCAATAAATATATAACATAGTATCAAGTACAGATAAGTATATGAGAAGAAAAATCAAGCAGATTTTACAAAATAGAAAGTGAGTGTAGGGTTCTTATAGATAAGATATTGAGGAAGACTTCTCAAGGATGGTGATATTTGAGGAGAGATCTAGATGAAAGGAGGTAATTGGCCTCTTAGATCAGGGGGATGAGTGTTCCAGACAAAGAGAAAGTGGAGAATTGACAGTAGAGGGCAAGAATGAAAGCAGGGCTGCTGCAGTAGTCAGTAGGTGAGAGAATAGTGCTTGAAACAGGAAGTAATGAGACATGGTGTGATTGGAGTGCATTTGAAGGGAAGACCATCAGGTGTTGATTGTAGGATGCTTCATTGTTGGATGACTCTTAAAGATTTAGTTTAAGAAACTGGCTGAATGAAGATGCTATTAAATGAGTTGGAGAAGCCTGGCAAAGAGCATGTTGGGTTGGATGGGCACAGAGTTCTCTTTGGGACATATTAGAGATTCAGGTGGATACAAGTCTGGAGTTCAGATGAGAGATGGGATTTTTAGAATGACCAGGATATATTTAGTGTTTAAAGTCAGGAATGTATGAGATCACCCAGTAAATGAGTATATACAGAGAAGAGAGGAGGACAGGGAATGAGCCCTGAGGCACCACCACCTCAGAGGTCAGCAAGGGAAGAATGTCTCAAAGGAGACTGAGATGGCAGGAAAATCAGGAAAGCCTGATATCCCAGAAGACAACTGAAGACAAAATTTCAGGAAGGAGAGACTGATCACAAGTGTCAAAAAACTTCTGAGAGGTCGAGAAAGAAAATGGCCAAGAAATTATCATGAGTTTGTCAAGACAGATGTCACTGGCACCCTTGATGAATGTGGTTGCACAGGAGTGGTGGGGACAAATGCCTGATGAACGGTGGGGACAAATGCCTGATGAACGGGGTTCAGGATAGAGAGGGAGATGAAGAAATGAATGCAGTGGATAAGTCCTAGCAAGGTGCTGTAGTACATGCTCAAGAAATATTATTAAAGCATATAATTGGAGATCGAATTCAGAGGCAGCACAATAGCTTGGAAAGAGCACAAGCTTTGAGTTCAGCTCCTAGCAATATCACCTACTTGCTGTGTGACAGCAGGCAAATCACTTCCTGAGTCTCTGGGCCTTATTTTCCCACATTTATAAAATAGAGATTATAATACCAATCACACAACATTGCCATGAAGATTATAGATAACGAATAACCTATCCTGGGACAGCTTCTGGCATGTGATAGTCACACTACAAAGTGGAAATCTTATATTACTAAATTTATTTATTTACTAATCAGAACCAAGATTGCTTATTTCTACATTGCTTATTATAGATGAATCCATAGGCTTTGTAACCAGATGACTGGGAACACTTCACAAAACAGGAGGAGTCATTTCTGTGTTTTGAAGGCTGAATGGAAGTTTTTTTGGTAAAGAAGAAGTGAAGGCATATTTCTGATAGAGGAAACCACATGTGAGAGATAACAGGTGTGTCAGAAGGCTGCCTGAAGAGAATTAGAGAAGATTAGGTTGGAGAGGAAGGCAGAAGGTAGAGTCTGAAGACCCTTATAAACCATGCTAAAGTAAATGTGATCTTTATGTAATCTTTAAAAGATAAATTGTACATCACGACAGTGATTTCCATTTTATTATCAGAGCTCAATGCTTCCATAGATCTGAGTTTTAGAATTTACCAGCTAGAAGAACCACTTGGTAAGTAGAATGCACGACAACACAGTAACCCCTGTGCGCACCTTAAAGGTAAATTTATAACATTTTGGGAGCATCAACCACTGCTCCCAAAATGCTGGTTCTTGGATAGCAATCAGATAAAACTCATGATTACATATGAAAAAAATGTTGTGTAGGATTTCCAACTGACATTTTTGTTTATTATGAGATTTTTACCTTTTTACTTTTTGATGTTTAAAATGTCATTTATTTTAATGAAATGGTGATGATGTTGAATGCTTTGACCTAGCAAAATTAAAAGGTAGTTAAACTCTAGTGTTACTCTTGAACTTTGTTTTGAAATTATTCTCATCTGTAAAATTCTAAAGTCTGGGATCTTCTGTCTTAAGGTACATGAAACCTGATGTCTGTAAATATTGGTTCACTCAATTAAGAAGGCCTCACAAAGAGTTTCTATTTACCATTGCTGTCAGTGGATGCTAACTCTGCCAATTAAGGGTCTTAAGGGTCTTCTCACTCTGGGGGTGGCCATTCAAATGTCCCTAAAGAAAGTTTCTATATATGCACAAAAATGTAAGGTCTGGTATATGCAAATAAATTCACAGCTGTGCTCTTTAATTTTGAATCCCAACCTCTGCTGAAAGAGATTGACCAGATGCTCAGATCAGAGCATACTGAATATTCCTGCTAATCTTTCTCTCTTCAGTGGAAGGATTTGATGAATTTGATGAAGTGGAAAAGTGAGATTTTGCCAGGAGCTTTCACGTGCTGAATCAAATTTCTATAGTTTTTACTTCACATTTGTGCTACAAAGACAGGTATCTGAGGGGAACTGTGTTTTAATGACAGTAAGCTCATTTTAGTTTACATTACTGAAGATGAGCATCTGTCTGTTCCTTGACAAAGTATTTTGCAAAGTGTTTTCTGTTATTTCTCTCCAAGGATGTTACAGAGGACACACATCATCCAGATCTTATGTACATTATAACTTCCAATGAAAAAGTGCACTCTTCCTAACTTTTTTTTAAAAAAAGTGTTTGTGTGTCATTTGTTTTGGCTTTGTCTCATTCTATAACCTAAATAATTCTTAGTCAACCACATGTACTCTCCATAGATTATATTATCAGGTACAGAGATTATAAAATACATCACTTCCAGTCTTAAGAACTTGATTGCTCATTATTAAATAGGTGGAATAAAGCACCAATGCAAGCTAGTACTGGGGAAGGAACCCAGCTGTGGTGTTCTAACAGACATGGGTTTGAATTCTGGCTCTACTGCTTAGTTTTCTGGTCATTTCTTTGTCTGTAGCATAGGGATAATAATACTGATCTCATTAGGTGCTCGGTTGTGTTATTGGTTGTTATAAGAATTAAATGAGACATTGGTTTCATTCACTTATCAAATATTTATGAAATGTCTGCTATATGCATAAAAATACTTAACAAAGAGCCTAGAATATGGTATTTAATCGCAGTTGCAATTATTTTGGCTTTTCTTCCATGTCTTGATTCAGATAACTGGCCTTCTGCTATAATCCCTTATGCCAAAGTCCTTATCCTGATAACACATCTAAGCATTTCGTCATTGCCCATGACATTCCTACCACCGTGGCTGTAGTCCTGCTCCAAATCACTATTGGTGCCCAGGAGTAACTGTTGACTCTTGCCTGCTTTGTCTGTTGCCCTTGAGTTAGCCATCACTGGGTTTTGCCCACTATGGAGTTTCTCTGATGCCACTATCTCTGCTGGACTTTGGGTACCTATCCAGTTCTTATCCCTCAGCTTGGGCTTGGCCTGACAGCTACCATAATTAGATTTGCTCTTATCTCATTCCTTGGAGAGGGGTCTCTCTCCAGGTGCCAGCCCTTACCGGTATTCCTCCTAATGTCACAGTTAACTATGCCACATCTAGCTCTAAGGATTCACGCACTGATGGCAGGGTTGACTTACTGATGGCAGTTACAGATGGCATGTGACCACAGCCATGTGTGTGATGGAGATACATGGAAAAGGATGAAAGTACCTAACTATCATATCAAAAATATAATTATAGAAAAGATGGAGATTAGCCCAAAGAAGGTCAGAGAGTATTTTAAGGGGGTGCAACATGGTATCTGTAAATGCTTGGGAAAAGACGATGATGAGTTGTTTTGCTAGGCAAAAGTAAGAGGTTTCAAAAAAGGTCAGGTAGCTATGAAGTCAGTCAGCTAAGGAGAGTTTAATGATTGCCCTAGAGTAAGAGGACTTGGATTAGAGTATTGGCTCTGCTATTTATTATCATTATGATCTTGGTCATTTCTAGTCTGTCAACATCAGTTGTATTACTCATTTAATAAAGTGAAGGAGTGGAATTGTGCTACATGCAGCTGAAAAACATCAGCTTGGGGTTCTGTGGGAGCCAACAAATTAGAGAAAGGTGGAGTTGGGACAAGTGGATTGTGGGATGCTTTCCAGAAAAGAGGATTCTCAAGAGAATGTTTAAATCTAGGTAGAAATTCACCAGAGAATGGAGAAAAGGGAAGATGCTCTGGCAAGGGTCAGCATCATATGCGAACTTTCAGGCATGAAAGATTAGCAAGTTGGAAGAGAAAGAATTAGGACCATGGATGCCAAATCAGGGTGGCTGAAGGACATACAAATGGAAATATTTAATGGGATTGGTGGCTTCTGCTTATTGAGTTCCTGTTAATTTTTAATTAATAAAGCAAGCATTAATTAATGCTACATTGTAATAAAATTTCCCCTTGGATAACACATTTTTTTCATTCCAAATATCCTGTTTACTAAAAGCAGATATCTACAGCAATGCACTCATGATAAATTTTAAAAATTCCCATCAGTAATACTTTAAATAATGTTTACTTTTACTGGATGCTTATACAATTTCTATTTGTGTGTGTCCCCAACAATCTACAGTCTTTCATATCCAACAGCAAAACTGGCCATTCTCTGAAGAGATTAAAAGCAAATTATGGGCTTGGATTCAGAACTTCAGTTCCGCTAACTAGGATCCAAATGTTCTGGAACTCATCACAGTTGGCTTAGAATTGTTATCACCTAGGAACAATGTTATTACTTAGGAAAAGAGTTCAAGTAGAACCCTGGTAAATCTGGCTCAACAAATGGACCGTGCTTTATGGAATTTTTGTTGTTTATTATTACAAATGTTGTTGTTACTTTGATCTGAATAAGATGTTCTAAAATAAAATTTGTCTCTGTGTCCAACAACAGGTCCTGGCATACTCAATCAGCAGAGTTTCTGTTTGTTTTGATTTGCAAAGGAAAGCCATGTTGCCACATGTCTACTCAAATAAATTACCACCACCATCTACACTGACTCATTTAGAAGGAGCAAGTCCACAAAGCAAAAATTATAATATATATTAGAAAGTATTCATGCCAAACACATTGAGAATGAACAAATGTCTCATTTTTCTCCTTGTTTTAATGATACCATCTTTTGACTTTTACCTGCATCCCGAGTCAAGCACAAATGTGGAAATGTAGAGTCACGCAAAATGAGAGGATGGGGGTGGGGTGAGGGCAGAAAAGGCCGGAGAAAAGGGGTGGAGCAGGAAAGGCATGGGTTAGTTTCTCTAGATAGGAATATAGGCACAAAACACCCCTGACAAGGGAATTTCAACTTGAAAGACTATCTTCCCCAGCTAGGTGGCATCTAGAACCCAGGATTGCCATTCAGAGAAAAGGAAAAAGAAAATAAGAGGAACAGGAACATAACGTTTTGTCCCTAGGACACAATGACTTGTTTCTCTTTAATAAATGCATGGGTTTAAATATGGAACCTTGTATTTTATAGTCAAAGCAAATGAAACCCTAAGATAAACAGTAAAAATGTTTGTTGATTACATGTTACTGCAGCTTTTATGTATATTGTGTAAAACAAAACATGGATATTTCATGAAATGCTTCAAGCACAACTTTCTAAGGAGAAACAACCATTTGTTCTGACACGAACTGCATATCCAATAGGTGACAAATCCTGTAGCATTAACTTTTTTTCTTATAGAAACAGCATTAAGTGTTTTTTGGGAAATGAAAGAATTACACTTTCCCTACCTCTCTGCCCCCTGCTTTAACATAGAACTTACTGGATAATCCACATGCAAGAAAAGCATCTCTTGCCTACCAAGGTGCTTCCCACCTATGCTGAGAAAGGACTTGGCCCTGCCCTTGGCCTCATCTTCTCTCACGGCTGCCTGCCTCCTCTGAGCCATGAGCTCTTGAATGTCTCAGCCTTTGTGCTTTCATCTCTGTATCCCAGAACCAAAAAGGAGCCCACTAAATATTCCGTTTTGACTCAATGAACAGAGAGATGGATAACTTCAGACTACAAGTGATGAAATACGTAAATAAGATTACAACTAAAATATATAGTTTACAAAGCACTTTTAATAATCTGATTTATACTCAAAATCATGGTATAAGGTAAACATCTCCTATCTGCATTTTGCAAATAAAGAAACAGAAGCTCAGAGAGATTAAGTAGGCTTCCCAAGAGCACAGCTGATGAAGTTGGCGAGTTGGGATTTGAACCCAGTTCTTTCCTAAAAATCCATGTCATATGCCATAAAATGATGTTTTGGTCAACAATGGACCACATATATGATAGTGTTTCCATAAGATTATAATGGAGCTGCCCTATACAGGTGCACTCTTTTTATCTTTTTATTTTTAGTTTTATTTTTTTGAGACAGGGTCTCACTCTGTTGCCCAGGCTGGAGTGCAGTGGTGCAATCATGACTCACAGCAGCCTTGACCTCTCTGGCTCAAGAGATCATCCCGCCTCAGCCTCCCGAGTAGCTGGGACCACAGGTGCATGCTACCACACCCAACTATTTTTTTTTTTTTTTTTTTAAGAAATGGTGTCTTATTATGTTGCCCAGGTGGGTCTCAAACTTCTGGGCTTAAGTGATCCTGCCTTGACCTTCCAAAGTGCTGGGATCAAAGGGGTGAGCGACCTCACCCAGCCTATCTTTTATACTGTATTTTTACTGTACCTTTTCTATGTCTAGATGGACTTAGATACACAAATACTTACCATTGGGTTACAGTTGCCTGCAGTATTCAGTACAGTAACATGCTGTGCAGGTTTGTAGCCTAGGAGCAATAGGCCATACCAGATAGCCTGGGTGTGTCATAGGTTCTACCATCTAGGTTTGTTTGCAAACTGTGATGCTCGCACAATGATGAAATTGCCTAAGGACACATTTCTCAGAACATGTCCCCATCATTAAGTGATGCATGACTACTTTCTACTACATCCTGCTGCCTCTGAGAAGTATTATACACAATGAGTAGAAGGTGAAAAGATTATATATTAAAATTCAATATATATATTGAATTTTATTCAAGGTGAATAAGAAAGCAGTCTGTTTTCAAAAAGTTCAGAATATTAATGATATTTCATGAATGCCCACATTCATTTAGTTTGTTATTTTTTTATAATAAAGGAGAAGAACCAGCAATGCAAGTTTTATATCGCAAGAGAGTTGGCAGTGTTTTATTAACCTTCCTGCTCAGTTGCCTTCAATGATATAATTACTGCTATTTATCAGTCTGTGCAGTTTTCCTGAATTACAGCCTAGAGTTGTGTAACTTTCACTTATAAAGAAGAAGGCTGGAGGGTGCAAAATATTCTATTATAATCCTATGAAAATATTTTGTAAAATATGTTTCCCTTTTGCAATCCCCTAATTATTTCTTTTCCTGCAGTCTTGTCTTAAACTCATTGACAGCCGGAAGAACCACCAGCACCTTTGCTAGCAAAGGGGGAATTAGGGCCATCAATGCATCCAGGAGGGTGTCAGCAACGTGGTCTCCCAAGAACCAAGTGAGCAACAGCTGCCTGCTGCCGTCTAACTTGCAGTTGAAAAGAACTCAGTGTGGCCCTGTATTCCTAACTATCCAAACACTGGGAAGAAGAAAGCCTTTGCAAGTCATTATTCTCTATATATACATCCACTTTCTTCTCTTAGGAGAGCATGATGTCAATAGACCCTACATAAAAGTTGTAAAAAATGAATCAGAGATAGATCATTCACAGAGCTAGATCTAGAAATGTGATTCCATATGAAGGAAAAACACACAGGAACAGGTGGGTCAGAGCTTAAGAACACATATTTTCCCCATCCCCAATCCCTCTCTTGGAGGTAAACCTTTGACTCAGAAGAGACTCTTTCTGTACCATACATTCATTCCCAGTGGAGATTATCAGTATTTCCTGCTGTCTTTTCTGCTATAATATTATGTGCAGTCTAAGAAACGTTGCAAATTCTACAAAACTGTGGCAAATGTCCTGAGTGGGACTAGGAAATCCTGAACACAGGGCAGTTGTTACAGATTACCAGTGCTTTATAGGGTTCTCATTCAGTGTACAGTATTTGAATGAAACAGTAGTTGAATACGGCTGTTCTCTCTCCTCTCTCCTCCTTGCAAACCTTCTGCCTCAATAGCGAACTCTGTGCTTTGAAAGTGTTACCATTGCACCAGCTTCTCTCCTGCCTTCTCTTGATCTTGACCTTCATCCTGAGACATTAGTTGGTCAGGTGTCTCCTTGCATAGAGCTAAGAGCTGACCCACAACTCCAATTTTCATTATCACCCTGATTGTGAAGGCTTTGACTTCCCTACTTCCAGCTCTGCCGCTTTCTCTGGGCCCTGGATATATTGCTTGCGTCCTCAACTCGCTAATTTCACTTCAAACTCATTATGAGTTCAGAGAAGGAAGAGTGGTTGTATGATCCCAGGAGGGCTCATGGAGGAGGCAGGGCTGGAGCTGTCGTGTTAGGTTTTTCTCTATCAACCTGGCTAGAGCTTTTATATTAAGAAAATGTATTGAGTTATTGGAATTTAGTGTCATGCCTTGTACACATCCAGTGTTTCTCATTAAATCTGAATTGCTAATCTGAGGTCAGTATTAAGTCCACAGAAAGTTGTGCTTGTTAGAGAATCACAGAATAATGTAGTTTATGAGAGAGCCTACTAAGAGGCAAAGTGCCCATCAGGTTCACTGGGGCTCTTGCTGACCTCAGAGCTTGGAAGAAGCTCATAGCATGCACTTACTGTGGGCAGACAATGATCAGGTATGCTATGGGAGGAAATGGGTATTCCCATGAGACAAATCATGCTTTGCCAAGACATCTGACTAGAAATTAGAAAACAGGCTGGGCGTGGTGGCTCATGCCTGTAATCCCAGCACTTCGGGAGGCCAAGGCGGGTGGATCACCTGAGGTCAGGAGTTCGAGACCAGGCTGACCAACATGGTGAAACGTTGTCTCTACTAAAAACACAAAAATTAGCTGGACGTGGTGGTGGGTACCTGTAATACCAGCTACTCAGTAGTCTGAGGCAGGAGAACCACTTGAACCCAGGAGGTAAGGGTTGCAGTGAGCTGAAATCATGCCATTGCTCTCCAGCCTGGGCGATAAGAGCGAAACTCAAACTCAAAAAAAAAAAAAAAAAAAAGAAAGAAAAAGAAAAAGAAAAAAGGAAGAAAAGAAAAAGAAATTAGAAAAATAAAATAAACAAGTAATTAGTGGGGCTCAAGTTTATCTCATGGAAGAAATGCAGATACGCATATTGATAGATGCTTTTCTAACACTTAAAAAATATATATATACTATAAACCCTATACTTGTGTCTATTTCAGGCATACTGGCCTCAAAACAGTCTTCAGCTCTATTTTCGCCATGCACTGTCTGTACACCGCTTATATGCAAAGGAACATTTTAGTTAGAAGAAATAGTCAAAGGAAGAAATAAGCAACAGCTAATTGGGAAACAGACATTCTAAAACCATGATGATGATCATTTTCAGAGGAGATAGCCATGATTTAATTGTTCTTTTTCCAGAAACTACCAGTGGAGTGTTTTGCCAGGTGTCCTGAAGCAAATGCTACTACAAAGCTCCACGTGGAGCAGGACTCCTGTCTCTCCAAATATAGCCCCTTTGTGTTGAAGGCCAAGAAATCCAATGATGGAATGAAACAATGGAATTCTGCCCAGAAACTTTTGTAAATAATGATCCCTTTGATAAAAATTGACTAGTAAGGAAACCACAATTGCTCTTTTAGCAGTAATTGTTTAAGACATTTGATTATAAATGAACAACACATGGTAGTCTGTGACCAAGACTATTCTCATTTATTTTTTAAATTTTATTTTATTTTATTTTAAGTTCCAGGATACATGCGTAGGATATGTAGATTTGTTATATGGGTAAATGTGTACCATGGAGGTTTGCTGCAGCTATGAACCCATCACCTAGGTATTAAGCCCCACATGCATTAGCTATTTATCCTGATGTTCTCCCTTCCCTCTCCCCAACTCCCTGACAGGCCCCGGTGTGTTGTTTCCCTCCCTGTGTCCATGTGTTCTCATTGTCCAGCTCCCACTCATAAGTGAGAGCATGCTTGTTTGGTTTTCTGTTCCTGCATTAGTTTGCTGAGGATAATGTCTTCCAGCTCCATCTATGTCCCTGCAAAGGACATGATCTCGTTTCTTTTTATGGCTGCATACTATTCCATGGTGTATATGTACCACATTTTCTTTATCCATTGTAACCTTGATGGACATTTGGGTTAATTCCATGTCTTTGCTATTGTGAACAGTGCTGCAGTGAACATACACATGCATGTATCTTTATAACAGAATGATTCGTATTCCTTTGGGTATATATAACCTAGTAATGGGATTGCTCGGTCAAATGGTAGTTCTGCTTTTAGGTCTTTGAGGAATTGCCACACTGTCTTCCACAATGATTGAACTAATTTGCATCCCCACCGACCGTGTAAAGGCATTTCTTTTTTTCTGCAACCTCACCAACATCTGTTGTTTCTTGACTTTTTAATAATTGCTATTCTGAGTGGCATGAGATGGTATCTCATTGTGGTTTTGATTTGCATTTCTTTAAGGATCAGTGATGTTGAGCTTTTTTTCATATGTTTGCTGGCAGCATAAATGTCTTCTTTTGAGAAATGTCTGTTCATGTCCTTTGCCCACTTTTTTCTTCTTTCTTTTTTTTTTTGTTTCTTTTTTGAGAAGGAGTCTCACTCTGTCGCACAGGCTGGAGTGCAGTGGCACAATCTTGGCGCACTACAACCTCCACCTCCCGGGTTTGAGTGATTCTCCTGCCTCAGCCTCCCGAGTAGCTGGGACTGCAGGCATGTACCACCACTCCTGGCTAATTTTTGTATTTTTAGTAGAGACAGAGTTTCACCATGTTGGCCAGGCTGGTCTCGAACTCCTGACCTCAAGAGATCCGCCCACCTTGGCCTCCCAAAATTCTGTGATTACAGGCGTAAGCCACCATGCCCAGTCCTTTGCTCACTTTTTAGTGGGGTTGTTTGTTTTTTTCTTGTAAATTTGTTTAAGTTCCTTGTAGATTCTGGATATTAGACCTTTGTCAGATGGATAGATTGCAAAAATTTTCTCCCATTCTGTAGTTTGTCTGGTCACTTTGATGATAGTTTATTTTGCTGTGCAGAAGCTCTTTAGTTTAATTAGATACCATTTGTTAATTTTTGCTTTTGTTGCAATTGTTTTTGATGTTTTTGTCATGAAATCTTTGCCCATGGCTATGTCTTGAATGTTATTGCCTAGATTTTCTTCTAGGGTTTTTATAGTTTTGGGTTTTACATTTAAGTATTTAATTCATATTGAGTTAATTTTTGTATAAGATATAAGGAAGGGGTTCAGTATTAATTTTCTGCGTATAGCTAGTCACTTTTCCCAGCACCATTTATTAAGTAGGGAATCCTTTCCCCATTGCTTGTTTTTGTCAGCTTTGTTGAAGATCATATGGTTGTAGATGTGCGGTCTTATTTCTGGGATCTTTATCCTGTTCCATTGGTCTATGTATCTGTTTTTGTACCAGTACCATGCTGTTTTGGTTACTGTAGCCTTGTAGTATAGTTTGAAGTCAGGTAGCTTGCTGTCTCCAGCTTTGTTCTTTCTGCTTAGGATTGTCTTCACTATACATGCTCTTTTTTGGCTCCATACAAATTTTAAAGCAGTTTTTTCTAATTCTGTGAAGAATGTCAATGGTAGTTTAATGGGAATAGCATTGAATCTATAAATTGCTTTAAGCAGTATGGCCATTTTCACAATATTGATTAGAAGATTCTCATTTTTATGTGTGCTTCCCAAAGGAAGAAGTGATGGGTATAAGATAAGCACAGAAGGATTAATATAAAATCTATGATCTTAACACATATCTCAGACTTTAGTAGATATAGGATCTACCTCCAAGATGCAGATGGAGAGAATGTGTGCCAACTTTTAAACTGGATCATAAGGCTCCCCAAATACCTTACTGCTTACTTGCCAAATGGATGGCAAGGCCTGCCTGCAGGTTTCCATAGAACCCTGTGCTTTAATATGTCTTAAGACTTACAGAGGGTATTATAATTGCTGTTATTTCTTGTCTACTCCATGCAGGGAGAGTCTATGCCCTTTGTTTCTTTATGCTCAGTATTTAGTATAGTTCATAGCACATAGTAGGTACTTGCTAATAATAAACAAATCTTGATTCAGAAGGTATATGCTTATTCTGTATAAAGTGTCCTGCTAGTTACCGTGGAGGACACGGAGATGTAAAAGATATGAGGCTCTACCTAATCCAAGATTTATCTCCAGCCTTATATGGAACACTTCTGCTTAACTCATTCTGGATCTTTATCTGTCAGTTCTTCGTGTGCTTAGTGACGGCAGTAAAGTAAGTGCTCATTAAATGTATGGTGAAGGAATGAAGAAATGTACCTACCTGGCAGTCTTGATTAATTTGACATCAAAAGCTTGGGACTGCTGTGGCTCATGCCTATAATCCCAGTACTTTGGGAGGCTGGGGCAAGAAGATCACTTGAAGCCAGGTGTTCAAGACTAGCCTGGGCAACATAATGAGACCTCATCTCTACAACAACAACAAAAGCTTGGGGCTAATATCTCTCACTGTATGAATGAAATCCTCCAACCTCTCACAGGCTGTTTCCTCAGCCAGTTGTGTTCAACACTCTTAATATTTAACTGCAGCATAGATCCCTGAAGCAGGTACTAACATTATGGATTTTGTTCACCATTGCATTCTCAGCCTCAAACCCATGGTAGATGATCAGTAAATCTTTGTCAGATGAATGAAGTTGTTAATGTTTCCTTTTTAGCCTATATAGAGGAGATGCTAAAAGTAAACAAATAACTATGATGGAAAATAAAGAGTTAAAGAGAAGTAAAACAAAGTGTTTTAGGGGGTTCACTTGTGGGCAAGGCAATGTCTCGTGGGGGTACAATATACTTGTAAATAAAATGTATCAATTTTTATATTATTTAGGGTAGATCTTAGAATGTCAGAAGGTGTGGCTATCAGGGAGGACATTAACTTATATATTTTTAAAACTCATGCATTAAAGTTACAGAATTCTTTGATTCAGAGATGTGGAGTTTAAAAATTACATAGAATTCTTATCTGTATGTCCACGGGGAAAATCCAGTATTTTAAGGGGTTTTTATTACATGGAATGTTGACAGATGTTTCTTTTCAAGATTTAGAAGTGAAGGGCTTCAAAATTTAATTATATGAAATTAATGTAAAGCACTAAAACACATTCCTACAAGAGTTTAAAGTGTTTTGGTATCTGAAAATAGACCCTATGTCTTTTCAGAACTAAAAGCCCTCTAAATGAATAAAATCTTTAAGAAAAATAATTTTACTTTTAACAATAATTATATTTAATATATGATGTAAATAAAATAGAAACCATCAAAGCAATTCCTAAAACATTTGCTAACCATGTAGACATCTATGGCTCAGTAACAAGATCTAAAACCTCAGAAGTAAGGGCCTTCGGCCTGTGGTGTGTCTGCAGTGAGTGGATTTCACAACGTGGGAAAGTCCACACAGTTTTCTTCCTTGTTGATGAAAAAATGAGCTACATTAGAAAATTGTCTTTCATTGTGCCAAGTCATCTGCAAATCTTGTTAAAATGTAGGCTCTGATTGAGTAGGTCTAGGGTGGGGCCTGAGATTCTGCATTTCCAAGAAGCTCCTGGTGATGTCACACTGCTGGTTCTTGACCTCACCTTGAGTAATATAGAATTTGAAGTCTCCTAAGAGTCCTGCTGCCCCAGGGTCCTAGGTGAGGTTTCCAGGGTTCTAGTATGAAGACCTTGTCATCAGACATCAACTGGGATGATGGTTCAACTACAGAAGGTGTCTATAAGACCTTCTCACTGAGTGTGCACAGTGCTTTTCATTCCTTTACCACTTCAGCTTGAAGGAATAATCTCCCTGATTGTCTTTGACATACAGCCTACTCCCTTCATCTCCCTCTGTTTAAGTGCCAGAATATAGTGGTACTTAAATTCCAGTATATAACAGAATATACCTTGTGTGACTTCAGGCTCTTTGAGGAACCTGGTCAGTACTTGTTACATCATCTGTCAATCAAAACTTCTGATAATTTACTGAGCCCTACCATATGTCAGAGGCTCTCTGTATAATGCAAGGTATGTGTCACTATCATTTATTTTGCAGATGAGGACACTGAAGCTAAGATAGATAAAGTGAAGTCTAGGGTCACCCAGCCATGAAGAGGAGCCAGGTTTTGAATCATAGTCTCACTGGTGTCCAAGCTTTGGTCTTTCTGATATACCACACTGCCTCTCTGAGGGAGACACTAGGCTGGATCAAGAGAAAGGTTCAAAGATGTGCGTGGGATATTGTGGGTTTCAAGAAGTTTATCATATAAGAGCAATAAGAGATGACAAAAAAGCAACACAGAGTGAAAGGCCCAATGACTATGCCAGAAATAAGTTTCATGGGAATGAGGAGGAAGGAGTAGGTGGCGTACACATGAGGGGCCTGGGAAGGTATCCTAGAGAAGGGGGCCTCTGAGTCAGGTCTTGAAAAATGAGTGGGAATTGAAGGAGTGAGAAGAGAGCCTCACAGGCTGTGAGAGCAGGGGTGGACTCTCCTTCCAAACATGAATGATTTCAAAGGTTTTTAAGGTGACAACAAGAAAGGCTACCATGATGGGCCTTTAATGCCAGACTGAAGAATCTGGACATTGTCCTTTTACCAGTGGGGGAAGCTCTTGATATTTTAAAATAGTATCAGAATGATATTGTAGAAGGAACAATATATCAGAACTATACTTTAGGAGATTAATCTGAGAGCTATATATGCAAACAACTAGAGCAGGAAGACAGGAGGTTAGTTTCCTCATCTGTAAATTGAAGAAAAAACAGTAACTACCTCATAGGTTTGTTTGTAGAATTAGATGAGATAAAGCCAGGCACAGCAACTCATGCCCGTAATTCCAACATTTTGGGAGGCCGAGGTGGGAGGATTGCTTGAGTGTAGGAGTTCAAGACCAGAGTGGGCAACATGGCCAAAAATACAAACATTAGCTAGGTATGGTGGGGGTGGCACACGCCTGTGGTCCCAGCTACTTGGGAGGCTGAAGTGGGAAGATCACCTGGGCCCAGGGAGGTCAAGGCTTCAGTGAGCCATGATCACGCCACTGCACTCCATTCTGGGCAACAGAGTGAGACCTTGTCTCAAAAAACAGAAAAATTAAATTAAATGTAAAAATTTGAAAGAAAAGAATTAGGTGAGATATATGTATGTAAAGCCCTTAGAATAGTGCCTGACACATACATGTTCAAAAATGTGAGCTATCATTACTTCAGCATTCTAGTCATGATGGTGAATGAGCCCAAATTCTGTATTTATTTACATTTAACAAATATTATTGTCAGTTCTTCATTTTAGAGTCTCTTAGTACAGTTCCAGGCCATGGAAGTTACTCAGCATCAGGTAGTGTTGCTGTTATCATCATTATTTCCCTCTTGCACTCTTCCTCCAGGTAGGTATGAATTTGTTTCATCTCTTCTCTGACTTTAATTATTATCAGGGGTACAATGACTTTCCTTTGCCTTAATGTTGCCTCATTGCTTGTATCAGTCCTTCCTCCTTTAATTCTACTCCAATTATCCATGAGAAGCCTTTCTGAACATGCTTCCTGCCTGCAGGCACAAGTATATGAAGGAAGGGCTATAATTCTGAGAAAAATTTAAGAAGAAATGGGCAAGTCCAGTCTTTCTAAAAAAAGAAACTCAAGGTGGAGGCCGGGCGCGGTGGCTCACACCTGTAATCCCAGCACATTGGGAGGCTGAGGCGGGTGGATCACGAGGTTAGGAGATCGAGACCATCCTGGCTAACACGGTGAAACCCTGTCTCTACCAAAAATACAAAAATATTAGCCAGGCATGGTGGCGGGTGCCGGTAGTCCCAGCTACTCAGGAGGCTGAGGCAGGAGAATGGCATGAACCTGGGAGGCTGAGCTTGCAGTGAGCCAAGATCACGCCACGGTACTCCAGCCTGGTCAACAGAGCGAGACTCCGTCTCAAAAAAAAAAAAAAAAAGAAAAAAAAAGAAAAAGAAACTCAAGGTGGAAATTTCCTGCAGAAGAACTTGATTGGTTATGGCATTTGGTGTATACCAGCAGCTTTGAGTCTTCATACGTTAGCCCCCTCTATACACAAAGACTTAACATAATGAAGTAAAAGGCATATTAGACATCATTAATTAGGACAGAAAGTCATATCCAGAAGAAGAGAGAGAAGACAGGAGGCAGCATGGAGGAAGAGGAATAAAGTAACCATCAGGGCACTGGTCCTCATGCTCCATCTGTGCTGAGTAATCAGATGCCCTTGTGCAATTCACACATGCCAAGTGAAAATACCATCCTTCCTACCTGTCTTTCACCCAGCATTTCATTCTATCAAAGTTTATTGTCCATTCCTATGTACCAGGCACTGGACTAAATGCTGTGATACAATAATGAGCAGAAAGACACATGGTCCCTACCTTCATGGATTGTACAAGCTAGGGGAATAGACAGATATTAATCAAATAATCATGTCCCCAAAATATCACAATGCAAGTATGACAGAGACTACAATGGAGATGTACAGGGTGCTGCTTAGGAAGATGGAAAGCATCCTTTAGGAAATGAGCGTTGAGCAGTGTTCATTATGCCACTGCAGGGATGGTTAGCATTTTAGCTCAGTACGAGGGAAGCGCATGTTCAAAGCCTCTGGAAGGGAAATGCCAGTGTCCCTAGAATACAGAGACCAAGAAGGAGGCTGTGAATTTGAGGCTGCAAGAGGAAGTAGGAGCAAAACCGATTAGGGACCTGCGGGCCCTTTTAAAAGGTTGATTTAAATGGTAATTTCCATAATCAATAAAATGAAGGGCTTATATTTATAACTTTTAAATCTTGAAAACTATACTAAACAAATAGAAGGCAAATTTCATTATCATCATGAGTATTGTCTTTCTGAGTTATACTAAGAGAATTTTACCAAGTAACATAGCATAGCTTTAAAATAAGCATTTCACGTAAAGTAAGCATTTATTTCACTCAAGGAATCAATGAACAAGGTTGGACTGATCCTGCAGTCATAAAATACTCTCCAGAGAAAAGTCTAGGCATCCACCCTTTTAATTCATACGAAGTTGGCGATTTCACAGACTCATAAACTCTTAGTTTGGAAGGGACCTTCCCTGCTAACCTATGACATTTCTGATTCAGTTGACCACATAAAATTGAAAACATCTAGCTATGGAAGGAGGCCTATTCTATCTCTATACTTTGAACTTGCTTCAAAGTTCTCACCCATATTTTTGGTCAAAACCTGCAGGATGAAGTGATGGGAAGGAGAGCACTAATATTACGATATCTCAGTGCTTCATATACATAAGCTAATTTAACCCTTACAAGAGCTTTATGAGGCTTAACTTCAATTTTATAGATGAGGAAACTGAGATGCAGAAAAATGAACTAATTTGATTTGTCCAAGCTTATGTAGTTAATAAATAAATAACAGAGCCTGACTTTGGTTAAAAGTTAACTCGACTCCAAAGCCACATTTCTAGGTGTTCTTGAAATCATACTTTAGAGCCATTTAAAAAATATTTTGAGTGTTCCAGCATCCTTTGAAGATCTGATGAAATCTAAAAGCCTCATGTTCTAGAAAAGTGAATATACACCCAACATATTGCATGCAGTTGTAGAGTTCCAGTGGCCCATCCATCACAGGTTAATAACTTTCAAGTTACTGTGTTCATTGGTTAAATCTTAAGCTTTATTACGACAGAGATGATGTCTGTTTTATGCATTGATGCATTCCAAGCACCAAGAACTTTGCCTGGCACAGAGTAGGCATTCATGAAATCATTGTTAAATGAAAGTGATTCCAAGTGCCTGGGCCCATTCACCTACCTCCTTAGAACACGATGGTAAAAGGACAGTGCAGATGGAGTGTCTCTGTACGGAATTCAACAAAACCACAGGATAACTTCTCAAATCTGAGCACACAGGACCTCAAGGGACCTCCCAGGCCCAGGTTTGAGAAATTATGGGCCAAATTTTGTTTTGTTGTGTTTCATTATGTTTGGCTTTTTTACTTTAAAGTCACTTCCTCTTCATCCTGAGAAAAGAATAATGTCTTTAATAGTTCCTTTTAAAATTTGAATTTGAGGTGCATTAGTGGAAATAGCACTTCTGAGTAATTTCTTAGGAAGTGTTTGGATAAAAAGTGTTTAGACTGCTTTATGCAAATGGTTCCCAGTGTCACCATTGTGTTATTTAAATAGATTTTGCTCATTGTTGTGAGGCTAGAGCTTTAATATGCCTAAGTGTATAGTCATGCATTGCTTAATGATGGGGACATGTTCTGAGAAATTCATCATTCGGTGATTTTGTTGTTGTGTGAACATTATAGAATGTACTCACACAAATCCTACAACACACCTAGGCTATGTGGGGTGGCCTATTGCTCCTAGGCTACAAACCTGCACAGCATGTTACTGTACTGAATTCTGCAGGCAATTGTAACACAATGGTAAGCATTTATGTATCTAAACATATCTAAGCATAGAAAAAGTACGGTAAACGTATGCTATTATAATCTTATGGGACCACTGTCATTAAGCAAAACGTTATGTGGTGTAAGACTGTATTTTTAAAGCTGAAGTAAATATCAGCTCTTCAGAAAATATTGTAAGGCTATTCTATGGAATTTATCTCAGGTTTTAAAACCAGGGATAGCTATAAAGAGAGTTTCCTACGTCTGGAGATTGGATCTGTGCAGTGGACAGCTCTTGCCATGCCCATTCAATCTTTCTCCAAAAAGCTACATGCAAGAAAGGACACAAAATCCTTCATTCAACTAGTTTGCTTTTGCTTGGCTTAGATTGTGATCTAGTTGACTCAAATAATAGAAAAGGAATTGATAATCATATAGACTTGGTCTGTTTATATACATTCATATGAGATGCGTGTGTGTATGTGTGCATATATACATGTATATGCACATATACTTATAAACCTTTTTTTTTAAGATATGGAAAGAGAGCCCCTAAGAAGCTAAATGACTTACATAGTAAGCCGTAAAGGTGGTGCGTGGTTTGGTGTTTTGTGGCAGGAGGGTGGTATGACTGCAGTGGTCTCCTGAGAAGCTGAACGTTCTGTGGCATTAAGTGTAGATGGGGATTGGGCACAGTGGCTCACGCCTGTAATCCCAGCACTTTGGGAGGCCGAGGTGGGTGGATCATTTGAGGTCAGGAGTTCTAGACTGGACCAACATGGTGAAACCCTGTCTCTACTAAAAATACAAAAAAAAAAAAAAAATTAGCTGAGCATGGTGGCATATGCCTGTAGTCCCAGCTACTTGGGAGGCTAAGGCAGGAGAATTGCTTGAACCTGGGAGGCAGAGGTTGCAGTGAGCTGAGATGGCGCCACTGCACTCCAGCCTGGGTGACAGAGTGAGACTCTATCTCAAAAAAAAAAAAAAAAAAAAAAAAAACTGTAGATGGGATGGGGCCAGACTAGACATAGAGACACAAGTAAAACTGTCAGGGTGCTCCAGGCAGGAGGGCAGGTCCCTGTGTACAGGACACATCATGTAATAAGGAATGGATTTGAGAGGCATTTTGAAAGAGGAATCAGTAAACTTTTTTTGTTTTCTCTTTCTTAGATGAAATTATTTTGAACACTGGAGTTTTGCATAACTGTATGAGACACTGGGAAGTTCAAGCCATGTAAGACCGTATCTGTCATTGTTGTGCAGATTTTTCTTGTCTGTCTGTCTTATATCTGCAATACACAGAGGCAACTGGAAATAAACTAAGACTGAGGTTCCTTCTCCATACCCGTATCATATATCATTGGTTAGGCTTCATCCCCTAGTCATACAATAGAATATTTTAAAAATGGAGATTTAAGAATTATCACCCATCATTTCACCATCCTAAAAATGGTCATGATTATCTTTTTGGTGCAGTTTCTTCTAAACTTTTCTTTAGCATGCTTTTTTTTTTTTAATTTTCAAAACATTATAATCATAGTCTATACCACACAATTTTGGTCTTACATTTTTTCACATACAGCAATGCACTGGCTGATTAACAGAGTGCTGGGACTGGATTTTCCAAAGCAAGCCATATTAATAAACAAGCCAAGGCCAAGGACAGCCCTTGAGATTCCCAAAGTCAGGGAATGAAAGAGAGGGTTTTAAGGTCATTGAAGATTGTGAGGAGCTTTTGTTACAAAAGATAGCAAGTTCTATCTTTCTGTGCAGCAATACATTTTTGGTGCTCAGTAAATATTCTCTTGTGATTGATTAGTGTTGAGTCATTTTGGCGGAGCCACTAAGGAGAAGGTAACCATGGCTGGCTATCTGTGTTATACCAGATCTGTTTAAACAGGTCTGAACTATAAGACACAGTGTGATTATGGTGGTGCTCTGGGAGACTGGCCAGAGGCCACTGCGTGCTGTGATAAGCATCACGCTGTAAAGATAAATGGTTAAAAAATCTCAGGAGTCTCTGTATCTTCATGCATACACACATATTCTCTAATGGGAAAGAACTCCTCCAGAAAGTCTGTACAAAACAGGCACAAAAATAAATGAACCTGGAGGACATTATGCTAAGTGCAATCAGCCAGACAGAGAAAGACCAATGACGCATGATCTCATTTACATGTGGAATTTTAAAAAGTTGAACTCGGCCGGGCGCAGTGGCTCATGCCTATAATCCCAGCACTTTGGGAGGCTGAGGCAGGCAGATCACCTGAGGTCAGGAGTTCAAGACCAGCCTGGCCAACATGGTGAAACCCTGTCTCTACTAAAAATACAAAAATTAGCTGGGCGTGGTGGGGGGCCCCTGTAATCCCAGCTACTTGGGAGGCTGAGGCAGGAGAATTGCTTGAATCTGGGAGGCGGAGGTTGCAGTGAGCTGAGATTATACCATTGCACTCCAGCCTGGATGACAAGAGCAAAACTCCATCTCAAAAAAAAGTTGAACTCACAGAAGCAGAGAGTAGAATGGTGGTTGCCAGGGGCTGGGCCCAGGGATAGGGGATGCGGAATGGGGGAGATGCTAAGTTCTGGGGATTTAATGTACAGGATGGTGACTATAATTAATAAGACTCTATTGAATACTTAATGAGGGAGTAGATCTCAACTGTCACCACACACACACACACACACGTGTCACTATGTGAGGTGTTGTATCATGATGATTTTTAAATTTTAAAATATTTAATTGACTGATAAAGATTGTATATCTTCAAGGTATGCAAGATGATTTGAGATAGAGATACATTGCGTGATGATGTCTGCAGTGGAATTAACACACGCATCACCATTCATGCTGTCCCTGAGATCCCCTATGTCATGGTGATTTTTTTTTTTTTTGAGATGAAGTCTTGCTCTGTCACCCAGGCTGGAGTGCAGTGGCACCATCTCAGCTCACTGCAAACTCTGTCTCCTGGGTTCAAGCGATTCTTGTGCCTCAACCTCGTGAGCAGCTGGGATTACAGTAACGAGCCACCATGCCCAACTAACTTTTTCTTTTTTTTTTTTTAAGTAGAGACGAGGTTTCGCCATGTTGGCCAGGCTGGTCTTGAACTCCTGACCTACCTGACCTCAGGTGATCCACCCACCTTGACATCCCAAACTGCTGGGATTATAAGCGTGAACCACTGTGCCTGGCCTGTCATGGTGATTTGAATACTAATCTGTCTTATTAATTGAAGGAGGGGTATCACATAGGAAAGTATTTATGCAGTTTTTTTCTCTTCATGGGCATCTTTTCCCCCATATAGTCTTCCTAGCCTTCTCGCCCAGGTATGCATCCCTCTAGGCACCTGCAACACCTTTCTGCCATGCAGAATACCTCTATTCTGTTCTGACTTAGTCGTCTCTCCTCTGCCCCCCCCGGGCACCCTCTGCACACCTCTGTCATAGCACCAGCAACGCAGTCCTATAATTGTAACTGTCCTCCTCTTTTGTCATGATAAATTATTGTTGAGAAGAGAGACAGTGTCTTATTCTTCTCTGTACCATCACAGTCTAGCCCTGTGCCTGGCATGAAGAATACATTAGAAATATCTGAATAAAAAAGGGTAAAGGAAATGGTAAGGTGAGTTAGGGACTTTGTCTCTGTTGATGACAAACGAGACGTCAGAAAAAAATCTTTTTATTACACCAGGATCACTTTTGGTTAAATTATTTCTCTTAACTCAAAAGAGGAGCCTCCCCTTGCTGCCCTGCTATTACCCTAAAATGTGTCTTCCAGTCACTTCAGAGCTACATGACACCTAAATCTAGACCTCTAGAGGGATATTTTGCTACTCTCTCAAATTTGTAGTGCTCTTCTCTTTACAGGATTTTTAAAATGTTGCTACTCTTCTCTGCACCACTTTCAAGTACAGATTGGTGGTCTTATATTAGGAATATGGAAGGAAAGCATTCTATCATATTTTTCATATTTTTTGGTATACTGGGCTGGATTTATCCAACAAGGCATATCTAAGAAATGCAATTGCATTATTCCTCCCGCGCCTTTATTCCTCCACAGTCGTGGGCCATACTCAATTCCCAACTGCTGCTTGACACCATGAAGAAAGGGATTGTATATAAGAATGGAGACAGAATCCAGGGCAACAGGTCAGCAGACAATCGTAATAATGGTGTGCCTCTCACTGGGTAATCCCAAATATTTACAAAACAGATGATCAGAAGATTTTCCAAAGGATTCATCATAGGATTTCTTCAATGAGCAAGTGTTCATTTCATATTCAAATTATAATTTGAGTCAACATTAAGAAAATATATTCACTGTTGTTCAAGATGGGAGGAGGTTATAGAATCCTACCTGAAGTAAATGAAGGTAATCCTCTAAGTGCAGACAAATTCTACCTAAAAGACTAAAAATTCCCCTCTAGTAATCTAAGCAATTCATTGAAAATAAAAATAAGCAATTGCTTTTATTTTCATTGAGGACAAAAATAAGTAGGTTCTAGAAAATACCAGATAGTAAATTTGTTAAAATCTCCAGTAAAATTATTGAATGAACTATTAAAGAGATAAGTATGAGCATGAAGAAACAGAGATGGTTGATAACCCAGATGCAGTTTGAGTCCACGAAGAGCAAATGAAGCTACATGAACACAGTCTCCCACTTTGGTAAGGTAGCAAGACTGGCCCATCAGAGGAAGGTCATAGACACAGTTAGTGGGTGATCAACTCAGAAGATTCTGCCATCATATCCCTTTGGAAAAAATATAAGCTAGAAAAGAAGGCAGCTTGGAGCACTGCATCTGGTTGGATAGCTGTTCCCACAAAATACAGACCAGTGGACTGAAGTCCCTCAGAAGAGGTATCTGTAGGGTCAGCTGAATGTAGCTGGCTCAGTGCCGCTGTACTGTTTAGTTAAAGGCACGGCAAGCATGCCTATACAATTTGTAACTGATACAAAGATAAGGTAGATATTACTAAAATTTTCTTATGCCCTTTATCCCCTCTTTGTGGAGCAAGAGGTTTGCTCATCCCTCCAGGCTCCCTAATTTTCACAAGGGACCTTAAACTGTCCTGTTTGATGGTCAAAGCATATACTTTTGTCACTAGCCAACAAAGTGAAATACATGTCTTTGCATTAGTCAGGGTTCTCTAGAGGGAAAGAATTAATAGGATAGATAGATATAAAGGGAAATTTATTAAGTATTGACCCACTCAATCACAGCATCCCACAATTGGCTGTCTGCAAGCTGAGGAGCAAGGAGAGCCAGTCTGAAGCCCAAAACTGAAGAACTTAGAGTCCAATGTTTGAGGGCAGGAAACATCCAGCACAGGAGAAAGATGTAGGCTGGGAGGCTAGGCCAGTCTCGCCTTTTCCTTTCACGTTTTTCTGCCTGCTTTATATTCTAGCTGTGCTGGCAGCTGATTAGATGGTGCACACCCAGATTAAGGGTGGGTCTGCCTTCCCAGCCCACTAAATCAAACGTTAATCTCCTTTGGCAACATCCTTGCAGACACACCCAGGATCAATATTTTGTATCCTTAAATCCAGTCAAGTTGACACTCAGTATTAACCATCACAGTATTTAAGGCTCTTCCCAGAGAATAAAACCTAGAATTATCTGCTGTCCAATCCTTGTTCAATCCAAGTTGTATCATCAGCAACAAGAATAATACCTATAATGATTGCCTAAAAAAATATGCATCTATTCCTCTAGACATCCTAAATTTTATCTTTGGGGAAATTCATATAATCATTTATTCAATTATTTATTCAATCAATTTGTTCAACCAATCGCTACTGATGTCCTCCCACTCTGTGCCAGGACTTACAATAGGCATCAAGTATAGAATGTGAATGAAATAGACACAGACCACCCAAAGCAGTCTACTGGGAAAAATTAGCAACACACAGGTCCATGAGCGAATACATATGTAATTATAAATTGGGAGAGGGGCTATAGGAACCAATAAGGGGATACTGCCTTCACTTAGAGGAAGTCAGCAGGGATGGCTTGCCTGAGGATGCATCAGTTAAGCTGATACTTGGAGGCTGAGAAAGAGCCAGCCATAGGAAGGCTCCATGCAACACTGCAGCTGAGGAGTAGCACGTGCAGAAAGGCAACTGAGGCAGCAACGTGGAGGAGGCTAACGGGGAGCTGGAGTTGATAGGGGAGGGGTTGGCAGGGACTAGATTGTGCAGGACCTGGTGGTTCAAGTAAGGAGTTTCACTTTCATTCTCGGTGCAATGGAAAACTCTAGAATATTTTAAGCTGGAAAGTGCTGACATGGTCTGAGACATGGTTTAAAAGATCACAGACAATAGTGTACTTGAACCACGGTTTTCGAAGACCCTCACAGAAATTACTTTCCCTAAATAATTTGTGAAGGATACAGTTAAGAAACTGTGAACTAAATTTTGCTACTTTCCCTAAATAATTTGTGAAGGATACAGTTAAGAAACTGTGAACTAAATTTTGCTACCATATCCAATATTTTTGAGGGTGGTGATTTTTTTTTTTTTGAAATGGGGTCTTGCTCTGTTGCCCAGGCTAGAATGCAGTGGCACACTCATGGCTTACTGGAGCCTTGACCTCCCAGGCTCAAGTCATGCTCCTACCTCAGCCTTCCAATTAGATGGGACTACAGGCCCTCACAACCATGCCTGGCTAAGTTTTGTAATTTTTTTTTTTTTTTGTAGAGATGGGTTTTTGCCATGTTGCCCAGGCTGGTTTCAAACTCCTGAGCTCAAGTGATGCACCCAAAGTGTTGGGATTACAGGCCTGCTGATTCTTTATGAGGGCCTGGGAAAATCTTCCCTGGGGTCAGCATACCTGGTGATCTGTATTTATCTTGACCACTGTTTTGTTTTTCATCTTACGGATATGTTGAATTTTGTAACTGGGTTTTTGCTTTGTCAGAGAGGCATCTTAAGCCACATTCTCACCCACTTCCAGCAAATGTGCAGGACTTCATGGCTTGCATATCTGTGAATGGATTTTACCCCTAGCTTTATTATTTTCCTGCCCTTACTTTACCTTTCCCCCAAATTCAGTTAGTTGTTTATTTTTTACTTTTATAATATTGGGGTAGGGGTTGTTAGCTACTAGAAATAACAAGGCAGAAATAAATAGCTGGAGGAGAAAGTCAGGAATTGAACAAAACTCAACTACTGCAATAAGATTAAAGACCTCTTCTTAAGTTCAAAAGATCTTTTGGTAAGTAAAGAATAGAGAACAGTCACATAACAGCAGATTTTATGAAAATAACAAAGATAGCATCCAGCTATTTATGCACTTAGATATATATGATCTAATATATGTGCTTATATATGATCTAAAACATTTAGATCATATATAACAAATAGCACGAGACAACAGATAGCCTCTAGCCTCCCACACTTCACTTAACGTGGGGTATAGTGGTAAATTTCTTTTCTGTCTTCCCTGGCAGACAGTCCCTTGAGAACAGGGGCCACATCATACTCACCTTTGTATCTACTATACTTACTGCCCTGTTTTTCAGGCATCCCATGTTAAATTTATGAATGAGTGAATATAGATTATAAAAAATAAAGCCTCCCATAATCTCAGACTGCATCAGCAAAAGTACAATGCCCTGAATGCAGGAAATATGCACACAGTGTACCATGTACTACTGTGCTTGGCCAAGTCTAGAGCTCTAAGCTTAGAGTAGATACCCACATATTTTTAAAGGGATACTGACAGACTGGAGCAGATCCAAAAGAGAGCAGTCAGCTGGATGAATGGCTAAAGTCATGTGGTTCGATGGAAAAAAACGTGAGACTACACAAAAACATTCTTACAAGGGCTTTTGACAAACATCTGAAGGACAGCTTGTGGAAGAAAGCATAGATTTGTCCTGCCTGATTCAAAATGGCAGAATCAGAGCTAGTGGATGGAAATTAAAAAGAAGAACATTCTTCAATAGCTTGGGGTCCTCTGTGGGATAATACACTCTGTATATGCAGGTAGAGAATTAACTACTGCAGTAGTTGAGTGGTTGGATTAGAAAATGTTTAATATTCCTTCTAAATTCAAGATGTCAAAACTTTATGCCTGTAGTAGTTGCAGTAACAAACAGATTCCATATGAACATGTAACAAGCCAATCTAATTAATGTGCCACATAACAGTGGTTTACAGGTATTAATATGACTGGTAAGACCAAAGAGCTTTGTATTAGTCATGAAAGTGTTTCTGGAGGCAATAGGTTTTAACTGAGTCTCATGGGTGGAAGAGAAGGGAATCACACAATTCTAGATCTGTGAAACAACTGAGAAAATGAAAGAATTCTGGTTTGGCTGGAGTGCGTGGGTGTAGTAATGGTCCCAGGACAGGACAGACCAGGTTACTGTCATATGGGCTGGAGCTGATGGTTGCATCCCCAGGGAATGGCATACGGGAGAGCACATGCTCCTGGAGGCCCATAGATGGGAATGCACCAGACAGTAGGGAGGGCTGAGAGACAAAGTAAAGGAAATCTATTACCACTTACAAGTGTTTGCGGCAGGATCTGGACTCCAGATGAGAGCTGTGGTCTGGAGCTAGGAAAGCTGATCTGGACCAAGCTCTTTCATGGAGTCCTGGTCAAAGCTGCCAGTGTTAGTGTCACCAGCTTGTCTGCACTGGGCATGGGACATGGGGTGCATGCAGATTGGGAAAGTTAATTGGCACAGAGTTGGGCACACACATCACAAATCAATCGGTGAAAATCCTCAAATGCTGGCCTTCAGAGCCCACAGGAAGGCTTTGACATCAACCCACAATCTTTGGGTTCATGTAATTTCGAAAGCAGCCTTCCAAATCAGCTCTGCATTTTTCTGCCTGCCACTTGTATCTCAAACATTTTCCCAGTTGGCAGAACTACCTTGGCTCCCTCTGAACAGACTGATGAGGAGGCTGGAATGTGTGTGAAGGAGTAGAAAGGGCAGCAGACAGTGAGCCATTCCTGGCTTCTGTAAAAGCACTCCTTAGCGTTCTGCCCTGTGTATACAAGATTCCATTGAGCGCTAATCTGGGATCATCTATCAAAATACTTGAAAATTCCAAATACCAAAAGTTTTGCTTAGAGGTCAAATTTCAGAGTTTTGACTGTATTTGGAGTGTTTGCATTGACAGTGAATGCTATGAGAAACTCAAGGCATACGCAGCATTAGCCTTGAGGACGGACAGAATGCAGAGAATAAACTACCCTGGAAAGGATTGGCAAAGAGGGTCAAGCTGAGCTGCTTATTCATTTGAGGGTTGGGGGGGTGGGGAGAGTCTCTAGTCCTCACCTATGGGTTACTCCTAAGAGGGCTTGTGGCTTCTATTGATTGACTAAGGGCTCTGGGATCTGTACTTCTTACTTGAAGACACCAACTCTCAATCACCACGGGATTTTAGCCGCCCCATACCCATATTTCCATGTAGGCATTCCAGTATCGCAGGCAGTTAAATAGGATTAGGATGATTTTCAGGCTCTTCTTCCAAAATGCTCTCCCCTTTCCAATTTCCGGAGTGCCTTTTCGGTGCCGTGTTTTTCCTTCCCTGTCTCTCCTGTGTAATAGTGAAAAGAGTGAAAATAGCATCAGCTTGGAGATGCACAAAGGCTCTGCACTTGCTTGCTTTGTGACTTCTGTGAATCTTAGCCTCCTTTCCATCCAATCAGATACCTCCAGTGATAGCTGTGGAGATTAATGTTAAAAAACCTAAAATGTGAAGCCATGAAGGCTTCAGACCTGGCACATAGTAGGTGCTCAATGCTGTTCCCTTCTCTCCTCTTTCCTTTCCCTTCTCTTTTGCTGTCTTTGGTTCTCAGTAACCATCTGTTTATCTCACTCCTGAAATAGTCTTACTGAAGATCACAATTGATGAGCAGATTAGGAGGGAAGAAAAGTAGGTGAAAACTGAACACAAGTGCCATCTGTTTTCCTCATTTTTAAAGGAATTAGAGAGGAAGAGATATGGTGTCAGTCCTGGAAGATGCTTGTGATTTGGGCACTCTCTCCCTCTTTGATTCCATAGGACTTCATGCACTCACTGGAGAAGAGGACCAGCTCTCTCAGTTGCCTGTAAAGGAAAAGCCAGAGAGAGAACTAGCCACTTCTTGATTCTAATACAACAGACCTGTCTACCCCAGTGGTAATTCTTCTAACACGGGGACTATATGATCACAAAAAAGAATTTATTTAAAAAATACAAGTTTCATAGCAATGGCAATACTTTAGCATAAAACAAGGTACTAATGACATGCTAATGAGAAAATAATGTTACATATTTGCTTTAAATATAGTACCTTGGAAATACAAAATGACAAAAACATGGTGAGCAGGTACATGAATTTATAGATACTACTTGAACTATGAAATAAAACTTTAGCGGCCCTGTATATGCATACAGAAAACCAAATGTTGATATGTGATCCTTCCTAGAGCCCCTTATTAAAATGCTGGCTGATTTTTTGAAAAAATGAGGCTTCATTCTAAGTTGGCTTTTTTTTTTTAATTAGGGAATAAAAATTCCCTTTTTTTAAAAAAAAAAATGTAGGGCCAAGTGTGATTGGTCACGCCTGTAATCCTACCACTTTGGGAAGCTGAGGCAGGAGAAATGCTGGAAGCCAGGAGTTTGCCATCAGCTTAGGAAGCAAAGAGAGACCCCCATCTCTACAACTTTTTTTTTTTTAATTGGCCAGGTGTGATGGTGTGCACCTGGAGTCTCAGCTACTTGGGAGGCTGAGGCAAGAGAATCACTTGAGCCCAGGAGTTGGAGACTACAGTGAACTATGATTGCGCCACTGCAATCCAGCCTGGGAGACAGAGTGAGGCACCATCTTAAAAATAAATAAATAAATTCAATTCTTGCTCTTTATTGCTAAGATTATTTTAATGAAATATTATATGTAGTCATAAATACAAACTTATGATCTTAATGTTTTCAGAACCAGACACCCCAGCACTTTCAACACATTCATGACTATGCAAAAAGGAGACAATGTAAGTTTTATTGTCGTTGTTATTGTTTTATCTAGTAACCTCGCCTTGACACACTGCAATCCTTCTCAGGAAGAATCATTCCACTTGTTTTCATAATAGAATGCAGCCAAGTCAGCAATGAACTGCAAGGTTGGCATTGGAAATGGCCGGTCTATCTTTAAGTGCTCTCCAAAGCTATAAAAAGCTACGTATTTTTTCCTCACCTTTACCTTTTTACCTTTTCCTCACCTTTACTTGGTTTCCCAGAACATGTTCAATGTTCTCAAGTCCCATGCTCCCCTCTTCTTTCTCTCTCCACCCTCCTTCCATTCTCTTCCAGTAAAAAAGTGATAACCACCAAGTGTCTGCCTTGAACAAAAAGTTATGACACAGATGCTCCCAGTGTTGGACCATCAAGCCGAAAGCACGTGCACAAAGCAGCTGATGCAAGCACCTTAATTGGACGGCCACCGGTGCGGACTGAGCTGGGCTCATGAACCTTCCAGGCAGCCAACTTTGCAATATGGTGCTCGACCTTTCTCCATTCGAGCTTCTGCCGAGCAGTTCCTTAGGTCTCAGATCCCTTTCACCTTCCACAGACGATGCTATGGAACAGAAAAACTGCTGCTCAAATCCTAAATAAGAATGGAAAGTGCACAGTATGGCCCCATAGATCTTTCTTTCCCTTCCTGCCATGAAGCCAACCTGAAAACAAAGACATGATGACTCTTGTGTAACCACCCGAAGAGGCTGACAATTACCAACTACGTGAGGTAGTAGGCAATTGTCACATGCTGGGCTGCAGAGATCGTGCTTAACTTGTTTATTCTCATAGCGGGACAGTTATACAAGACGAGCTGCTTCTCAGAATCAGGCTAGCAACAATTCCCTCAGGGAAAGTTGTTAAGGCTTATGGGCCTCGGAGAGCCAGAGTAAGAAGAATCAAAGTCCTAATTTAAATCCTGTTAAACTTTTAATTTGGAAATAATGTAGAAATAATTTCTCATTATTAGACTATAAATTCCCAGCCAGGCTATGTTTCCGTCAGCCAAATGTAGAAGCAACTTGGTCATATACTTTTTGTATCAAAGAACTTTATTCTTTCAGCCCCAGGCTCAGAATTTGATAACATGTTTTCTGTGGACTTTTTCTCTTCACATCAAACAATGTTAAAGAAGAAAAACAGGGAAAATTATAATGACATATACATATATGTCACTCAGTGTGTGTATGTATATATATACACACATATATACACATATATATACACACATATATATATACACGTATATATATACACACACACTCAGATATGGCCAAACTGAATTACTAGCAGTTTGCTTAAACCATATACTCTGGTTCTGGATCTGCACACATGGGTACCTACAGTCTCTTGCAAAGCCCTCCCCAGCCTCTGCCTATCAGAATTCCCCCCATTTTAAAAAGCCTATCCAAATGTCTCTTTCTCTATCTGGCTTGCAATCATCACCCCAGTCAAAAATAATATTGCTCACCTAGCATTGTGTTTGCGTCCTTTTTGAGACATATATATGGCCTCATGTTAGAAGCTTTTGTATAACTTCTCAATGGGTCCTTAGCAGGTTGATGACAGTATCTTTGAAGTACCTTTGCAACTTCTGCAGTGATTCTTGTCTTAAATGATTCAGTGTCTTAAATGTGATAGGCACCTTCTAAGTATTTTACCTCTAGGTGATTAAAAATTGGGGAAGTAGAGAAATCAAAGAGGAAAGGATGCTTAATACGTAACGCGTGTGTACTTTGCCTCTCTGAGTCTTATCTGTAAGAGCCCTCCAATTCCCATCACGTGAGGGTCAGGATCTGTGGTGTATTCACTCCTGGTGTTAAAGCCCTTGAAGTTTATTTTTCACTGGAAAAGTTTTTATTTGAGTTGTTTCTTGATAATGAAGGTGGTGGCTTACGCTCAGCTGTTGATGCTTGTTTGAAGTAGTTTTTTTTTGTTGTGTTGTGTTTTTTAAATTTAAGAGATTTATCAGGTCCATCTTTTACCTGGCTGCTGCTGCCCTGTAGAAAGCGAAGGAGCTTTCTCTAACTTTGACAGGCTGAAAAGTTTCCTGAGCCCTGGACTTGTTTGTCTTCTACTTGTTTTGCCCTTCCCTCTCTCTTTTTCTTTCGACTCCTTTAGTGAGGGCTGCTTTTGGGTGCTTCGTCAGCTCTGAGGCACGTCAAATACGTGTATTTTGCTTTCAGCGTTGTGTGAGGGACCCTGGCGGCTGGAACTGCCTCTGGTCGGGGCTTAGGGCTGACTGCAAACGTTCCCATTTTCCTCTCTTCCTCTCATTGGTTCCCGAGGTCACGTGAGGGCCCCGGGGGTTGGAATTCTGAGTTGTGGCTTTGGCACTCCTCTTTCTTTTTAAAAATCGCTGGGTCTGTTGAGCTGTCCTGGGCTGGGTGCCTTGCTCTTTGACTGAGACTGGAGACAGACGGCAACAGCCACAGGCAGACTGAGGTGGCAATAGGAAATCTGCCGAGATGTTCAGTCAGGTGCCCAGGACCCCAGCCTCAGGCTGCTACTACCTAAATTCCATGACACCTGAGGGCCAGGAGATGTACTTGCGATTTGATCAGACTACAAGACGCTCTCCTTACAGGATGAGCCGGATTCTAGCACGCCATCAGCTAGTGACTAAAATTCAACAAGGTGAGTGGCCGGCAGTGGAAGGCTGTTGCTCATTCTGATTTCTGTTGGCTCTATTTCATGCTAACCCAGTTTTTTTTGTTTGTTTGTTTCCACTTTATAACATATGGATTTCTATGCCACACTACCCGTAACTTTGAAAAATAACTTTAGGCTGCAGTTTTCAGCAAACAGGACAGTCCTTAGCTGCCACATAGCTCAACATAAAGTGCACAAAAAACTTCACGGTGGGACAGTGAATCATAAATTCCCAAACTGACGTGTGTCTACAGAACAGATGAGAACTGTTACTCAGTGTGTATCTTAGGAGCTTTTCTGCAGTTTCCTCACACTCCGTCACATTTAAAATGTGGACACTTGTTTATTTCATTAGGGAGGAGGCGAGGGACTAATGTCCACCCTGCCCAGAGTATTTCGAATATCCTTAGTGAAGAGGAGGAAAGCAAGAATTCTGTTCTAAAGGCCACCAGGCTAAGCACTAGAATCGCATTCTCTTCCTGTTTGTATGTTTATGTCAGCAGTTGCCACAGATGTGTTAATATTGTTTTCCTGGTAGAGAATTAAGGTGTTCGTTCATCTCAAAACAAATCCCGTAACCTGCACACAAAACTCCAGCTTCCTAATGCAAAGAGAAGAGAATATTGATTATAAGCTGCTTGATATTCTTTTTATTCCCAGCCCCTCAAAATACCAGCCTGGAAGTCTGGACATTACTAAAATTTACCAGTCTCAAAAAAAAAAAAAATTTAAAACATGCTCCTTATAGGGTATATCAGTAGAAAGCAGAAAGACGAACATTCCTAAGAAGCCCCTAACACACACGTTTACAGTCAGTTAATGATCACCCTCCTCCTAGACTACAAAAAAGAAATTATTATATTGGTGCTAAATAAGTTAACCAGGAATTTTTAGAGCCGTTCCTAAGAAGCCCCTAACACACGTTGACAGTCAGTTAATGATCACCCTCCTCCTACACAACAAAAAAAGAAATTATTATATTGGTGCTAAATAAGTTAACCAGGAATTTTTAGAGCCATTATAAAAATACAGTTTCCACTTAAATAAATGAGTTTAAGATTATATTGAATATTAAAGAGGAAGTTGGGGTTTGTAATCATGAAAATCTTATTGTAATGTTTCCAGAAAGAACAATATGTATTCTAGCGGGCAGCATTTGATGAGATTGTTTCCTTGGAAATTAGGATTTGTTTGTAAAGGTTCAGGAACTAGTTATGTGTGAAGGATGCTGGTCCTTCCTACATGCTGGTCTGATTTCAGGAAGGATATTATGTCATTGCATAAACTCTGTGTCCAGGTCTTGATTGAATAGAAACAAAAGTAATTATTTCCCTGTGGCTAGATTTAAAAATACTTTAGGCTTAGAATAAAAACCAGCTCCACTTTGGTTTTAGAAATTTCTGACAATGGTGCCTTTCCAAATGCCATCATCTTTATGAACACCGAGGCTTAATGATGCGCTATCATCTACAAGATATAAATGTTCCTCAGCATGCATATCATATGAGAAATATTGCAGAGAACTAGCTGAAATTGCTTTGCAGACCTCCTTAGATGTATTTACAATAATTTATTTTATTTAAATATTATTTATGTTCTTTTTGGAATGAGGGTTATTTTTCCATTCAAGATTTGAAGTTGTGAACACATGCACTATCACTGAACGTGCCCTGTCACACAGACATATGGGCACCCTCAGTTTATGTTTCATTTTTGTCTAATTAGGTAATTTGAGAATTCCCTCTTTTTTATACTGGGCAATGGAGTGTTTGAAGTCAATGAATGCCTAACACTTAAAACTGACAGTTAAGATCACAGGGAAGCAATAAAGATTTCCAACAGTCTTGTGATTCAGAAATCATTATGTGTTAACATCATACAACTCTTTAGTAAGACAATGAGAAAGCAATGTGAAACAATTTTATTGAGTTTATTGTATTAGAAGATTGGTTTACTGTAATTTCAGAGAATGTGGATTAAACAGTTACAGCATACCAAAATCATTGTAGTTAATTTTTTTTATTATGCCCATTTTACAGATGAGAAAACAGAGGCACACAGATTTCAAGCATCTTATCCAAGGTCACCCAGTAGGAACTGATACTTGAATACAGCTTGACAGTCCATGCTCTGCAATACACTAGACTATTTTTTAGTTTTTATAATGAGTGCTAAAGTACTGAACCTATGATTGAGTTTCAGATTATATAATATACTAGAGACTTTTTAGACTTTTCTACTCAGGATACAGCAATACACTATATTATAGGACCAGAATTGGTCACTCATTATGAAATTTCCTGTCAGGTTATATTTCTCTAGTGGAAACAAAGTGCTACATGTTTTATTCTCTTTAACCAGTTACTACCCAATAACACAGGATGTCAAGTTATTTTACTAAAAGCTTTGTTTTCTTTTTGTTTTTGAGACAGAGTCTTACTCTGTCGCCGAGGCTGGAGTGCAGTGGTGTGATCATAGTTCACTGTAGCATTGACCTCCTGGGCTCAAGCGATCCTTCCACCTCAGCCTCCTCAGTAGCTGAGACTTACAGGAGTGTGCCACCATGCCTGGCTAATTTTTAAAACTTTTTTATAGAGACAGGGTCTCACTATATTGCGCAGGCTGGTCTCAAACTCCTGGGCTCAAGTGATCTTCCTACCTCAGCCTCACAAAGTGCGGGGATTACAAATGTGAGCCATTGTGCCCTGTCACTAACAGCTTTTAATCATTCCATTAATCATGTGCAAATAAAATTAATGACAGCATTATTTTCTGTAGTTTACAGGTTAGTATCTTAAAGTGACAGCCACATCACTAAAATTGTTTGCATTATTCTACTTTAGAGCTTTAAGATTTAGAATTATGTTAATTTGATTTAAGACATCATTACTTATAATTTCTCATGGTTGTTGGGAACAGTGGAAACAAGTAAGTTGCTCCCCACTGACCTCATTATAGTGAGATAATCATTGAATGGCGTGCACATGATTCAATAGCAGATACACTCATGGGGAGGAAAAACAAGGAGGAGAAATAAAGGAATCTTTGATGATGCATAGAATCAGAATTCATTATCCAAACCCAGGATGAATCTAAACTTGCTCATCTTAGGGTACACATCAAAACATACATGCATCATTTCTCTAGCCTGTTTTTTAGTTCTGGGGTTGCAATTCCATTTCAAAAGAGAGGAGATGTTTAAAAGAGGGTGTTGTTTTGCAGAGTGAAAGTTTATCATAAGTCATACTGCCCATAATCCCTACCCCACATTCTTGCTTGAATCAATAGGGAAATTGTTGTAGAGAGAGAGAATGGAAATAAGAATGGTCCTTATTTGCCTCACTGACTGGCGCTTGGGAGTGGATAGGAGAGAGGATGCTGGGGGTGGTGGAAGACCATGTTAGGCCAAGGAAAGGGAGAATTGGATTTTTTTCTAATTTTTTTTATTGTGGTAAAATACACAATACATTAATTTTGCCATCTTAACCATTTTTAAATGTATGGTTCAGTGGTACTTAATACATTCATAATTCATAATATCCAACCATCACCGCCATCCATCTCCAGAACTCTTTTCATCTTGCAAAACTGAAACTCCATACCCATTAAACAAGAATTCCTCATTCCTCCTCCTCTCGGCCTTTGGCAACCACCATTCAACTTTCTGTCTCTATGAATTTGACTACTTTAAGTACCTCATATAAGTGAAATCATACAGTGATTCACTTTGTGTGACTGGCTTATTTCACTTTGTACAATGTCTTTGAGGTTCATCCATGTTATAGCACATGGCAGGATTGCCTTCCTTTTTAAGGCTGGATAATATTCCATTGTATATCTATACTACATTTCACTTTCTGTTTTTTTATTAGTAGCCATCTTAATGGGTGTAAGGTGGGAGAATTGGATTTCTATGTCATTATTTGATGGTTTTGATTTATTAGTTCTACATCATTATTTGGTGGTTTTGATTTAGTGCAACATGATGGATGCACCATGTTTAAAGTCTACATACACACACACACACACACACACACACACACACACATATTTGGAAAACCCAAATGTAAGTAGAAACATAAATGTGATTGCTTGCTTTGTGAAAGAACTTATCACACTATTATACTTTTTATTTTATTTTAAATGCTTAGAAAACAGCATAATCCGGATTGCAGTCAAGTCCACTGAAGTAGGATAAGGAGACAGGCATCCAGGCTCTGTATAGAAGCTCCTTCGCTCCTTTACAGCGTTGAGTTCCAGAGCTTCACTGGACCTTTGGTTTTTGATGAGACAATGAAGTGGATGGACTATGATTGCTCAAGTTTATTCTGTGTCTCAGGTTCTGGAATCCTCTCTGTGGTTAAGTCAGCAACTCTTTGAACAGGATTGTAGAAAGCAGGGGAACATAAACGTAACATACTAGAACCTAAAAAGGCAACAGAGCGGCTTTATTATGTGGAATATATCAGTGGCTTACAATTGTTCTACAGTTTCTCAAGGAAATGGTAAAGTGGAAGTTAGGTTTTTGTTCTACCTCAGCAACTAATTTATTGTGTGATCTGAGAGAAGTCACAGCTTCTCTAGACCTTTTTCCCTTCTTCCATTAAATAAAGGGTTTGGATTAAAGAATCTCTGAAGTCCCCATCATCTCTACATTCTAGGATTCTGCAATCACAAGTATTACCTTAAGACAAAAGCAATGCATATTTACATTTTTCTTATTATGTCATTCAGCATATACCTGGACATGCTTCCTTGAAACCTGTGTCATGCTTTCATTAATATCGATGTAATAGGAATGTTAGGAAGTCCAGTCTGTTGAACTATTTAAATGTCAGTATAACTATAATTATACAGAAACTTGTAAACACCTTTCTTTCTCCAAAATCCAGGCCTGTAAAGTGGAATTGTCTTGATGCCTGACCTATAGCAAGGATTGCAGCTACTGAAGGAAGTCCGTGTGTGTGCCTCTTACCTCACAATACAACCTCTTTCTTTTCTTGATAGAAAATGTGGAATGTAGAAAGTTTCACTACCGAGAAAGTAGTGAAAGTTAAACTGTCATTTGAGTTGCCATTCTATCTGAGGCTATTTTTAAGTAGATATGGCACCTGATTTGAACTCAACTGGAGTGGGATATACTGCCTTTTAAAAATTTCCCCAGAGAATGCCAGTGGGCATGAGTGATGTATTCCCCCTCATTACTATGTCAAAAGGCATCTTGGGAATTTGCCCAACCTAAGTGGTGAACATGGCCCATCCCCATGGCCCATACCCCCAGCAACTGGGTAATGTCAGCCTAAATTAAGCAATCATTTGTTCTTTTGGAATTGCCCTTTCTCTATGTTTAGTACTTTCTTGCCCGACTACTTTCAAACCTGGAGGGTGAATGCACTGGCAGAAAGACAGATGGAACACAGGAAGCAGGCTGAGAATGCATCAGTCATGTATTGCTCAAGTTCTGTCTGTTTGTTTTTTTTTTTAAGAGTGGCAACTGTCATAAATTCACATTTCATGAATCAGAGCCTCTTTCTACTCAGTGCTGGTGTTTGGAGGGCCTGTACAGAAAGGATACTGTTTAACCAAAATTACAGGAAAATCTGCTAAGTGAATTAAATTAACTAACTTTGACTAACATTTTAAAAATTACTACATAGTAAAACTAAAAGAAGTCAAGAAATGAGTACTGGGAGGAAATTAACAAAAGGACAATATGCTTGTAAACATATAAAACTTGAGAGTTTAACTTTAACCAAATTGTAGGTTCAATAGCTACACATCATTGCTTTATAACTCACACATTGGCCAGGGTGGCCAATCCATTGGAGTTGCCTGGAGCAGCACATGACACAGTAGCACAGGGTGTACAGAGATGGGTATTTGCCTTGTGCCTTCTTCTGTGCCAATCGTCCAGGAGTTACTCTGTTGGCAGAATGTTGAAACTTCTGTTGTTCAGATGCAGACAGTTGCCAAATTTGGGTTCTGTAACTTTAGCTTAAGTAAATAAAAATTCATTTTTTAAAATGTCTTTCCCTCTCCCACCTTCCCCAATCATCAGTGCTTTAATTCTTAGCAAATTTTGGACAATGGTCAACTCTTACAATGCAAAATTCCTCATTTCATTAGCAAATTAATCATGAACACAGAAACACAAGTTAGAAAAAACAGTCACTGCTAGTGGTCTTAATAGTATCAATTGATGACCTAAAACAGATTTAAAAAGAGAACAAATGATAAGTGGGTTTTGGCAAAACTCTTATATAAAGGGACATAAATAGATGGAGATTTAGTGGAGACATGTCATTAACAAGAGTACACACTTTCTCTGTGTTTCATTAGCTATGACAACAGGGTAGTGAGGCAATCAAGAAGACTTAAGAAGATAGGAGAACCTGAACATGCATTGCACACCAGATATTTGAATGATCTAAAGACCACATAAAAAATATTTGCCGTCTCCCTTGGAGCAATTGAAATATGATTTTGGTATGGGGAAAGATACTATATATTAATTTACATTCCACCTCATTACCTAGAGGATTTGAGGTCATTTATAGAAGAATATATAACTAAAGATTGCAAAAAAGATAAATCTGATGAAAAGAGAAATGTTGGCCAATTAATGAGGTAAAACTAGGAAGATATATCACATGGAAATATAAAATGTAAGGCCTTGAATAATAATCAAAAATGGGCTGCAAATTTGGCTTGAGCTTCCCTGATCTAAGCAAAGAGGAAAACACAACCAAGGGAAGATTTTCCCTGTTCTTAAGGTAAGAACTTACCAGCCAAGATTTTCCTGGGACTTGCTCTTTGGGAGAATTTTCTCCCAAGAACTTGACCTATGAGAGGAATTTCTCATACAAATCTCATAAAGGGAACACTGCAAGCTATAGTGAATGGTGCCTTCAACCATGCCTGCTGTGAATTCAGTAGTGAGTCTCATTTCTTATAACATCCTGCAGTGGAAATGGGGGCGTCACAATAAATTATAGTCCAGTAGAAATATTTGGGTGTGGGTGGGTGGGTAGGTAAAAACGAGAGGTCAGGTATGCAGTCTTCAGATTCTCTGTCTTAACCTAGAAATAGCATGGAGATTATCCACAGGCAATTTCTATAAGTCTGCTTCACAGAACACTAGGCCCATTAGACAGATATTCAAGGGAGAAAACATTTCTGTGGTTAAGTCATTTTTGGAAATGCTACATTCCCTTTCCCTTGGAAATTCAGACTTATGAAAGGCTCAGGAAAATCTTGCACAAAGTAGTTTAACTGTGTTTAAACTGGTATATTTCATCTTGAAACCACTTTTCACAGGATACTGGGAAGTCACATATTGCAAAACCAGCTTTCCCTGGGGAACACATTTTGGAAATGCTGATCTAGGAGAGTATGTGGCCTACGCTTCCCTTAGATAATTCTCTCTGAATATACTTCTTGCATAGATTTGGCAGTAGATACTTTGAAGTTGTGTTTTGGAGAGGAACATTGCAAGTATTCTATGTTTTCCAAAAAGGCCAGCCACAAATACTTTAAAAGTCAACTGAGTAAAGGCCAGATGACCATCTTTTTATGAAAATTAACAACCACACAAAGATTCTATCTTGGGTAGGCAGAACAGAAAGCTGAGTCGGTATATGGGTAGAGTTAATAATTATAACATCAAGAATACAACCATTCCTCAAATAACTCTACAAGATAGGTACTGTTGAGCCAGAAGGAAGAAATTATTGCCTTCTAGCTCTGGCTTTGTCTTACCATAATGTAGTTGAAGTCCTGGGTGAGGTCCAAATGGTTCTAACATTAATGTAGCTAATTCAGGATATTCCATTACTGCTGGGAAGTGGAGTCACTGCCCCACAGGAAAGAAGCAAGAAACTCTTCAGAAGTCTTAGAGTCTCCTTTGCCGTGGGTGACATGGGATATGGACTCACTGAAGCTCAGGCACTGATGGGTGGCTCCGAGAATTTCTGAATTCATGGTCCAAAAATATCTTTGGTTATATAAAGGCTCTCCTAGTATGACAGAAAGAAGTGAATGAAGTAAAATTATGTAGATAATTCTAATTAGTAAAATCTGCTTGCTTTAGTTATGGAGACAACTTATCAATTTCCAGGAAGTCTACAAATATATTCTTCAGATGTTTTTCCTCCTGCTGGCAAAGAGATACACATTAGCATTCACATTATGAATGACGCTTCTGGAGAGAAATCACACAACATCCAAAAACTCCAACAGAATGCATAGGGAATTACCATACTGCCTAGCCCAAGCCGCCACACTGTGAAGTCACTCAAGACCATGGTGGTCATTCTGGACTGGTGCAGTCTAGGGAAGGACCAAGTACCATGAAAATTTATATACTACTGTTTGAAAAGACATGAATTCTCTCTCTTTTTTTTTTTTCAGAAGCTTAGGATCTAAAATAATCTAAATGGAGAACTTGGAAAATAACTTCAAAATTACAGAAAATGCTAATGCTGTTAGCAAAAGAAAATCAATAGAAATAGATCTACAGTGTCTGGCTAGACTGTCAAATGATTTTCCTCACACAGCATAGGAATCCTGAGAATTTTAAAGGTCTGACAGAGGCAGAGCTTACTAAAATACAAATGATTTGTGTTGCTTTGCCTCCTAACAGTTGGATAAAACACAAGGGCGAAACAATGCAGAGAGATTGGAAAGGAACTTGGCAGTCACCAAGTACCTAATTTACATGTCAGGATTTCGAGCTGAAGTAGGCATTCTCTTCCTGCATTCCAACTCTCCCCTTCCTGCTTACTTCTGAAAATCATACATATGGACAGCAGGAACCTTTGATTAGTATTCAATCTCTATGAGTGAACAGTAGCATTTCATATACATTTATATTCACCAAACGACACACTGGATACAAAAAGTATGTATAGTCATAAAATCACATTTTCCTCTGAGAGTTATACCACCCTGAAATTATGTATAATATGTAAAATTATTATAAGAAATAAGAACGATTCACAAATCCTGCGTTAATGATATTCCAACGATTCTCACTCAAATAGACGGAGTTCTTATTTGAGAAAATTAAAGAATCTTCTCCAGATGCTTTGAGGGACACAACACATTTCCCACTACATGCATTTCTCAAAATAGAGTGTGAAATCCATCGCAAGGCCCTTACTGTCTGGACTTCTGTAAACCCATGCGTTATGTTTAACAGGTTCTTAATCATCAAACCACCTTCATTTTCACCATTGGTCTCTTTCAGATAGGAAAGTCTACTGACCTCCTTCCCTGAAAATTTGGATCCTCATATTAGCATTCCATTCCACTTGCTGTACTTTTAGTTGGAAGGTCTAAGGCAGACAAAGCTGCTTAAATATTTTTATCACTGACTTCCTAGAAGAAGGAGGAAAAAATCTTGGCAAGAAGAAGGGAAATCAGTCTTGCAGAATATCTTGAAGAAGCCTGCGAAGGAATTCCACTGACTGTGTTCATTATCTATTGGTCCCAATACTGAGTGGAATTTTTATGTGTTATCACTGGCCAGGGTGGCCAATCCATTGGAGTTGCCTGGAGCAGCACATGACATGGTAGCACGGGGTGTACAGAGATGGGTATTTACCTTGTGCCTTCTTCTGTGCCAATCTTCCAGGAGTTACTCTGTTGGCAGAATGTTGAAACTTCTGTTGTTCTTAGGAGCAAATAATTGAAACATGTTGGTTGAATTTCAAGACACCTTTTCTTCTCTTTTTCAAATAGCCCTGTGATTACAGATAGCCTTGATTCCTGTGGGATCAAGAATGTCTTAGGGATGTTGTCCATCAACCCAAACTCCAAACTTACTATAACTCTAATTTAGAGCACTTTCAGGGCTTTGGAGTCATGTACACGTGAATTTGAACTCTAGCTCTACATCATCCCCATAGAGTGACCTTGGACGAGTCACTTAATGTTTCTTAGCTTTTGTTCCTCTGTGGGTAAAATGGCATTAAAAGAGCAACAGTCTCAGAGTTATTGCAAGGATTAAATGAGAGACTATAATTAAACACAGATCACAGTGTCTGGCACATACTAAGTGCTCAATTTAAGACAAAATGATTATTAAACATCCATGTACATATGACCCTTCAAACTGCTGCATCATCAACTGAAGAGTAAATTATGTTTGAGTAAGTTATACACTTTGTATCATGTTTATTATGGCAGACATATATAATGCCACATTTTTTGTGTGTGTCCTCATGTCTTCCAGAAAATTTGAAACAAAAGAGGTTTTTTTTCTTAAACTGTAATGAAAACCATTGCCTTTTCCAATTGTGGTTTCCTGTGGACACCAGTTGCTCTCTCTCAAGTTGCCCTGAACTGGCCTGAAATGGTGGGTTTAGGCCAGGCTTCAGGTCTTATAGATAAATAGTAAAGCCCGTTGAACTTTACCTTGTAGCAGTGAAAGAGACAGTCCTTGGCAGGAAGTGTTCCTAGCTCTCGGAATCACTTGGTGGTAAATACTGAGCTGAGAGGGCAGGAGTGCTGGAGGAAAGGGCTGTGCCTCACATTAAACCGAAGGGCCGGGAGGTTCTTGGTGGGGGTAAGCGGGTGGGAATGAAGTCTGAGGCAAACATCATTAACTGGTAATAGATGGGACATTTGGGTTTAAAACTGTATTCCTTAGAACCCAAATATCCGTTTAACAGCCATCTTTTCAAAGCAATCCAATATCTATTTTTGATCCTCCAGTGATGGCAGCAGGAGGCCACCAAACCCAGGTTGGGGTGATCTTAGATAAGTCACCTAAGTCTTCCGGTTCTACATTTTCTCTTCTATCATGTAAGGGGTGAACGGATCAATCTGTAACTGAGGTTCTGGAAAGCCAATTTGCCCAAAGGCTAGTGCTACATTCGTCATGGAAAACAACTTAAAAATTATAAAACATGGTAATGCTTTGAATGACTGTCTTAGTTTGCTGGGGCTGCAGTAATAAAGTGCCAGAGACTGGGTGACTTAATCCCAAAAATATGTTTCACAGTTCTGGAGGTTGGAAGTTGAGAACAAGGTGCCGGCAGGGTTTGTTCCTTTGGAGGCCTCTCTCCTGGGCTTGCTGACAGCTGCCTTCTTGCTATCTTCACCTGGTCTTCCTTCTGTGTGTGTCTGTGTCTTAATCTCCTCTTGTAAAGACACCAGTCGTATTGGATTGGGGCCCATCCATATGATCTACTTTTATCTTAATGACCTCTTTAAGGGCCCTATCTTCAAATATACTCACACTCTAAGGTATTGGGAGCAAGGACTTCAACACATGAATTTGAGGAGATGCAATTCAGCCCCCACTACATGAATCAAATATTTATTTCCCAATTTTATTTGTTACATCAAAAAAAAAAAAGACAGACTGATTTTTATGATATGCCTCTGCTTACCAGCATGGTGCTGATTGCTTCCATGTTTTTGTCTTATTCAATACTCAACAGCCCTCCCTTGAAGATCGATATTAGTATCTACCTGTTTTCAGCATAGGATACTGAGAAAACATTCATCACAAGCTGAAAGAAAATGAATGAAAGAATAAGAGTATATATTTAAAAAAATTTCAACTCTCTCAAATTCTTGTGATTTTTCTAAACTGAGGTTAACTTTGAGATTTTTGTTAATTTTGTAAACCTTTCCAGTTTTACATATCTTTGTGGAGAGAAACAGAAAAAAAGTGCTGTACAATGCATGTAAATTTTCTAATGCCCACTTGACAACTTAAAAACTAAGCTCTCGTACTAATTCAAATGAATTATTTAAGAAACTTTAATTGCCCATTTCCTCTAAGGATTTCATTCCTTTTGATTGAGGAATATTCTTCATATTTGTTGAATCCCTCAGCTATGAAAGACTGCCTACAAATCTGATCACTATCAATTTGTTGAAATTTATTCTTAGAGTTTAATGGACTAAAATCTTAACAATTAAACATTGTGGATTCTTTTGCGTTATTGATTTTATGGAATATGTATACTCTTAAGTCCCCCTCTATTTAGAAATTCCTCCAGAAAGAATAGAAACATCCTTTAGTACAGTCTTATACATCATAAGTTACATGTTAATCTTGAGCCTTGCAAAAACCTTGTTTTGTAGGATAAAATATTGGCTGTCTGCATATGGTATCTTGGAAACCCTGAAAAACGGTTGTCATATTAATTCCTTCACCAGTGTAGTGCATGACACTTTGTGGAGCAATTCCACATGCATTGTCATTTTGAAGACAGGTGTCCAATGAAATTATAGTCTTGTATTAGGAATCTCTGTCCTCTGAAATCTTTCAGAGAACTGAAAAATGCATAGACAAGTTTTCCTACTTTGACATGTTTCTGATTTCATTTTCCTGAATCATTCCTTTGGAATCGAGTTTTGTTGTATGGAAAAACACATTTGTCCAAGAGGGCGCTATCAATAAGTGGAGACTGACTTGATATAATAAGGAAACTTGGCGGCATGCAGCTGCAATTGTAAAACATTAACCGGTAAAAGAGAGATTGTTTCAGAGTCCAATTTTCCCTCCTCCCCAACCCCCATTTAGAGTAAAATTACTTCCTCACCTCCCAATTGATAATTGCATTTCTGCCAAAGCCATTATATTTCTGTTGGTTTCCCATGAGTTTCTTCTGTCACTTTTGCCTCCTTCTCTGTCTTTGGTTACCTTAGCAGAGCTGGCCCTGGACACTGTAGCTTCCATTCTGTGAGGTTTATTGCTTTGTTCGATAATGCCAGGAATGACGTTGAGTTGAGACAAGTTCTTTTCAGATCATTAGCTGTCAGTCACCTTTCCTTCAGGCTGCTTGAATCTGTGCAGCTGCACCCAGAGGCCCAGGCAAGCCATGCCTCTGACTACGGGAGAATATTTCCACTGAATCACCCATGAAAAGACTCAGGGTTTGTCATGGATAGGCAGGTTGTCAGCAGAGTTTATTAACCTTTAAGATGTACTTAGATGAAATATTTGGGTCTGGATTGGTCATTTGACTTTTATATTTCTCACCACAATATTGAGCCTTTGAAATGTTTACATTTTAAAAAGTAGTAACAATATACTTATGCAGGTTGAGTAACCCTAATCAGAAAATTCAAAGTCTGAAACGCTTCAGAATCTGAAACTTCTTGAGCACTGACGTGACACTGAAAGGAAATGCCCATTGGAGTATTTTGGATTTCGGATTTGGGGATTAAGGATGCTTAACTGATATAATGCAAATATTCCAAAATTTTTAGACATCTCAAATCTGAAACACTTCTGGTGCCAAGCATTTCAGATAAGGGTTACTAAACCTGTAGCTACTTTTGTTGAGGACCCACTGTGATGTACCAAGAACTATTTTCAGCACTACCTATATTACTATTTTATTTAATTTTCATAAAGACCTAAGAGTTAAGTTTACTCATCTGGAAAATAAACATAGTAAGACCTAACAGATGAGTAAACAAATTCTCCAGGAGTTAAATAAACTTTCCCAAAGTCACACAGCGAGTGGGAGTTGGAACAGGGCTTTGAACTCAAGTCTGGACGATCTGGGAGCCCACGTTATTCTTGACTGTGCAACCCTGTCATCTTCATAATTATACGTAGGCATGTTTACTTGGAACCAAGAAGTTTTTTTTTTATTTGTATGTTTTATGCTTTTTTTTTCCCATCATTATAGACCTGGTTGGTTCTCCCTTCCTCACCAACCCCTCATGTTGCTGGAGGACCTCATTGTGCCACCAGCAGCAAAGCCGTGTGCCCATCCTATACTAACTACCCTCCCACTCCCCTCTTGAGGGCTGGCTGCTCTTTATCAAGAACTCTGCTTCCCAAGTAAATGTCCAAGGCATCAGGATTCCCAAGGGCAGGATCCAGCATGTTGCTGAACCTACCTGAGGTTCCTAAGTTCCTACCTAAGGAATAGGCGTCACAGAAAGTATGGAGTCTTCTACCCGCAACCTCCTTCCTCTACTTCCAGCCCTTCAAAATGCTGCCCTTCTTCCTAGAAAGTGCTGGGGTGGGATGCCCATTCTCCCCCAAGTTTTCCCGGGGCACCTGGGGCCCACAGAGCTCAGGGCCTCTTGTGACTTCACAGTGGACCTTTTCTGACACTAGGGAGTACAAGGAGTGAGGTGGGAATTGGGTAAGACCTGTGTTGTTCTCTAGACAGTGGATCTGGAACTCAGCCATCCTCTAGTGAGAGAAAAGTGTGTATTAAAGGAGGGTCCACATTTTCAGAGAGAAGTCTTGGGTGGAGATTTTTTTCTTCCAGATTTTACAGTTCTGTCCTCAGTCATAGCTGAGGCCCGTAGACCAGAATAGTTACAGTTGTATTCTGCACTTGTAGCTAGTGAACAGTAGCCAGTCAGAAAAAAGTATCAATGTTCTGCCAACTTCTGGTGTTTGTGAAATTTTGCCAGAAGCAAAACAGGATCAAAAATAATAAACAGACCTCCTCCCTGGCTTCTTGACTGCTATTTACATAAAGAGATTGATGAACTGACTCTGCTTGTGGGAGTGTGCAGGGAAGGGAATTTTTAAGGAGAAAAGGTTAATTTTGGGGTCCTTGGTTGCAAGTGATTTGAGGTTTTCTTCACTAATTGGGTTTCCAGAGACAACCTTTACTATAGATGGTGTTGCTTCTCCATTATAAGCAGCCTAAACTATGGATAAGACAACCTGACACATGGATTACATGCAGCTATAAAACTTCCACAGGGAAAGAAAATGAACCTTGAAAACAAAGGAATAATATGAGCCTTAAGTAGAACACTTATGTTCCCAGTAGAGGGAGAGACCTAATTTGTATGGCAAGCTTGGGAAATCTGGGTACGGGAGGCCTGGGTTCTCGAGCACGTTTGTCCTAACATGGTAGTCATCGATATTTTTGTTAACCTCTCATGCCTCAGTTTTTGAATCTATGAAATGGGAATACTATTAGCTCCTACTATTCTGTAATATAATTGAGGAAAAAGTAATCAATGTGAAATCAATTCAAATGGAAGGTGTGGTGCTCAGTTCTAGAGTGCCTGAGGGATGCTGGCATCTGTTAGGGGTCACTAAACTTGCCTGCATACAGGTGCCATATAAAGCCAGACCCAGCTCTTTGCTGTCCTCAGTTGCACCAAAATATAACTATATTTGCTTCTCTTCCTTGAATAATAATTCATACCACTCCTCAAGGATATGGGAATAATGTGCCACTCTGTGCTGTTTTGTTTTGTTTTTTTGTTTTGTTTTAGGCCGAGTCTCACTCTGTTGCCCAGGCTAGAGTGCAATGGCGTGATCTCAGCTCACCGCAACCTCTGCCTCCCAGGTTCAAGCAACTCTCCTGCCTCAGCCTCCCAAGTAGCTGGGATTACAGGCACCTGCCACCATGCCCAGCTAATTTTTGTATTTTTAGTACAGACGGGTTTTCACCAGATTGGCCAGGCTGGTCTCGAACTCCTGACCTTAGATGATCCACCCACCTCGGCCTCCCAAAGTGCGGGGATTTCAGGTGTGAACCACTGTGTCCAGCCTTGTTTTGTTTTTATTCGGTTCACAAATGGGCAACACCTACTTGAATAATTCTCAGCTTCACTTTAAATATTTTTTATATATTTGATGCACTGTGAGCGAATGTATATAATTAATTAGGGTCATTTCAAACTCTAGTTTTCCCTCTCATTTTTCTTTCTTCTCATTTTTCACCTTCATTCTGAAGTGTCAAGAATTATACTTTGTATTTTTACTCAGCTTATAAATATTGTTTCACCTTTAATAATTTCCCATCAGCAGGAGGAGAATAAAACCTTTTAAAGTGAAAGGTACTGTGCCATAGACTGAGGGACTCTGACAAGTCCAAGTGTCATAAGTCATAGCTTTCAAAGTTATGAATTTCCAAATGTCAATTGGGCTTACTGCCTAAGGCCGTGATTTTGTGTGGCTGGCTATTCCTAGGCAGAAGAGCCTGGTGTGGGTGTCTAGCTGGAGGCTTCCAAGTACTTATTGTGGTCTTAGCGGGCTGTCTGACTCTGAAGAGACTTAAGGACCCCAATGTCACACCGCCCACATTATCTGATGAGGGATGCCTGGTGTTCCCCTGCCATCCTACCTAGCACAGCCTGAGCTGGAAAGTCTTAGGAAAGTAGGGTGAAAGTTGCCGGAAACACACACTGTATAAACATATTCCTTAACGTGTTTAAGTTTTGTTTGATAGTTTTGATATCAGTATTATTTTGTTTGCTTTAAATATTTGAGTATGCTGATGATGGTAGTTTTTAGGGAAAAGGGTAGTTACTAAGCTGATACTCATGTGAAAGTCTTCAAAAATTGGTAAACACCCTACCCATTTGGTCATTATTTGGAAAGTCTGGGTATCCTAACTTTTTTTTATCTTCTGAGTGGAGCTTGAGGGGAATGTGAATGAGGAAAGAAAGCGCTTATGTGGCAGAGGAGTACCCAGCTCATGGAATGGCTTGTCAAAACTTTTTGCTCCAACAAAAACTTAGACTCTACATTGACTTCTTCCTTACACAAGAAGGTGAGACTAACTTCTCGTGCCTCCAAACTTCCTGGCAGCCTTTGGTTTAGCAGAACACATTTCTTGTTTATAGCTGGCTCTGCTCACTGAACAACCACTTAAATAAATTACCATGTTTTGTGATTGATGCTAATAATCTGACATGGAGTTATTAAGACTTCAGATCCTTGATTTATTGGAGAAAGAATCTTTCAGATGTTTCTTTTGTTTGGCTCTGAGAAGCTGTACATTTTCTGAAACTTGTAGTTGTAGAGGCCATGTTCATTGCTCTAAAGCATGGCTTTGGCGTTAGCTGGACCTACGTTCAAATCTTAGTTCCAGCACTGATGCGCTGTGTGACCTTGGGTAAGTTCCAGGAACTCTATAAGCCTATTTCCTCGTCTAAAATGGGAATAATAATAATAACAACATCTTCTGCCTACAGTTGTTTTAAGAATGAAGTGTTCTCACACCTGCAAAGTGCTTATCACAGAGCCCGGCTCTTACTCAGGGCTCAGTGTGTGTTACTTTAAAGGGAAAACAAAAAAGGATATTAACCATCAGCAACACGGCCAGTTCTGCTATGGATGAACTACTTATGGGGAAGATGAAAATACCCGAGCTTAGATAAATACATAAAGTAGAAGCTAAAGAACAGCCACAATCCTAGTGAATCTGAAATGAGTGTTTAAAGTATCCTCAGAGGAAGAAAAAGTATAACAAGGGCAGCTTAGAAACTGCAATTTTAGCAGGGAGTTTTCTGATCAAATGTATTTACCTTTGAAAGCAGATAGCTATCGAACTCTTGGTATGATAGATAATATGTTTTGTCCTAAAACAAATGAGACCAACCCCCAGAAGTCCAGTGTATGAACTTCATCTCTGGCATGAAGTTGACAGAAGCGTGTCTAACCTTTGATAATGCCTACTCTTAATATTTCAAGTCCAACTTCCCAAAACGAAGCACAGAATCTTTCAGACATTTGCCTTAACAGTACAGTTAACTGGAAACTAATAATACATGGTCCCAACTCCTCTCATAAGATGTGGTAAGATAAGCCCAGAAGAAGCCTGGGACAGTACCCTTCATCCCACCCTCTAGTTTGCAGCCTCTTCCACAGCTGAGAGGGAAAGAGACGGCCCAGCAGCAGAGACAACATATCTTCCATGGCCAGAATCCCCTCAGCTTCTTGTCAAAGACAGCCTTTTAAGTCTTCTAATCTAACTACGTTTTGCCAAACTCAAAACATTGGATCTTGCATTTGTTGTAACTCCACTGGCTTACAGAAAATGAAGTGCATTTATTGTCTTTCTATTTCTGTACAGGGGAAACTAGTCTTCCATTCACTCACTCACTCACTCACAAGATTGTTTGTAAAGTAGCTACTCTGTGTCAGGTGCTCTCAGGTCCTTGGGATATAACAACGCATTCAAATACAATATCACACCAGAGTTTGATGGGCGGACCTTAAACAGGCTCTGAGGAATGTCATAGGTGCGGGAACGGACATCTGTGTGGGGAGAGTGGAGGCACAATGGAAGGTTTCAGTTCTCATGATAGCTGTTGGGTTGTTGTTGTTGTTGTTGTTTTAAGGTTTATTGTTCCATTGCTTCAGCTTCTATCCCTTGGTCAGAAAGTGTCCATGCCTGTCTTTACTGGGAGATTGAGGGAGGATTTCTTGTTAGCTGTCTGGGGAATCATGAGGTTATGACTTCATCAGTTTTTGCCCTTTTATGTGTCTTCCTTCAAATTTGAATAGGTGGTCCAGTCTGGGAACAGGGAACCCTCTCCCTTTTGTGAAAGTGTGCTGTCCTTGAAAAACCAGGGCCCACCCTCTACGGAGAGTTTAGCTGTGTGCTGACACTGCTGCACTCGAGTTTGTGTTCCACCTGGAAGGATTATGATAAGATAGTGGTAAATTTCTCATGAATTCAACTTTAGTAACATAGCAGTAACTTATCACAAATATTTAAGAGAGACTACATTTCAGAAACAGAGACCACTTTTTCCGCATCAGCTCTTCTATTGGAGAACCTAGCCTAGTCAATATCTCAACAAATATTTGTTCAAAGCCGATTGTGTGCAAGATCTTTTCTGGGATTGTGTATGATGCAAAAATTATATAAAACATGATCACTGCCTTCAAGGAGATTATAAGTAAGTGTGATAAGACATATAAACTGTCATAAATATTGACAATTCAAGGGAGCGTATGGCTTAGTGACTGACAGGCTATCAAAACAGGCACTTAGAAGTATGTGTAGGCAACAGAGTGGTAAGGTAAAGAGGGGAGACCACTGGGCCTGAGCCATGGGAAGAAGCTGTATTTCCACCGGGCAAAATCGCAGAGTTGTCCTAAGCAGGGCAACAGAATGAGTGGAAAAGTATGACTTGAGCAATTTAGAATGTAGTCCAAATTCAGTGACATGTGGAGGTTATAGGAAATACAGATGATAAGGTTGGCAAAAAAGTTTGAGGCCAGACTGCAGTGAGTTTGAAATTTATTTGATAGGTAATAGGGAGCTCCTGAGGGCTTTTAAGTAGAGCAGAAATAGGACAAAAAGAGCAGCCTAGAAAGATGAATAGATAAACATGGGTTTGAAGTGGCCAGACTGAATGTAAAGATATAGTCATCGTGGTTGAGCATGTATTTTATGCAGGCCCTGCCTAAACATGATCAATAATTATGTCATGTAATCCTCAGAAGAGGAAGTACCATTGATGTTCCCATTTTAAAGATTAAGAAACGAAAACCCAGAGAGGTTAAAGTCACTTGTTCCAGTTAAACCCAAATAACTAGCGGAGCCAGGAGGTGAACCCAAGGCTGTCTATTGCTGTCTGTGTTCTGCCACAGCTCCAGGCTTCTCCTTAGAGTGGTTGTTGCTTCTGCTGCTGCTGCAGTTACAGTGACTACTCAGAAAAATACCATGAGGGATGAGGATCTTAACTATGGTGATAAAGAAATTATAAATACAAGAGATAGCTCCATAACTTTTCGGGATGGACAATGTTTACATGCCTTATAAAATTTTTATGTTTACAATTCCTAATGTATCTCTTCATGTTCTCTCCCCACTCCCCATGATAAGAACCCATTAATTTGAATTTATTACTGTACCTTCTGCTTGAGATTTTTATTCTACTTCAAGACACCTCTTCAGTGATTTGTGTCATCAGTAATTCTTACTCAGTAAAGTCTGGGTCACCTTACAACAGAAATTTCACTGGAATCATATACATTTTCTTCCTGCTTTTGGCATGACTAAAAATGTATTGAAAAGGGATAAATACAATAAACTACGAACATTAAATGAATTTAATATGAGTGGCAAGGAGATTTGAATTTTAAACTGCTAACATTATAGTTGCTTGAACTATTTCATATTTTATAATTCTTAGAGTAAAATTTGCCCAAATACAACATAATTTAGTGCCTGATTTTAGAAATGTGAATAAACCAAAACACTAGTTAAATTGGTACAAGTTGTCTGAAATAGCTGTAAACCCCAAGATTAATTTGTAAAGAAACTCAATAAACAAATGTCCCTATAGGACACCTGTTCATATTGTTTACACCAAATTCCTAAGTGGTCTGTCAGCATCTTAGCAAGAAGGAGATTTTCAAATGTGAACTCTTCCAGAAGTAAAGATGTTTAAATATTTAATGAAGTAGGAAATTGCACATATTTGCCTCAGGCAGCTGCCCCACTGATACTGAATAAAAAATACTCATAGAGTATTTTATAAGAGCTATTAATATAGAGTTTAACTTCTCCACCTGAATTGTAGTTCAGATTCTGAATCTCTAGCTGCAGGTTAAATCCAAATTAAATGAGATGAGTAAGGAAGCTTCAGGAAACAGAGTTTGTGTGCTTCAAGGAGGAAGAAGCCACCTCGGAGAACTGGCTTACTCTGAAAATGCGCAAATGATCCTGAATGATCTCTGTGCTCATTAGCACCCCTGCACACATTCTGCTATTCTCTCAGCACACTCTAGTCTCTTGACTCCTGTTTGGAAAGCAATGTTTCACTATTTCCCTCAAATCCAGGCCACTTTTATTTCTCTTCATCAAGACGGGTTGTCTCTAGGGGTCAAGATGGGCAGAGGTTATGTTGAGTCAGCAAAGACTCTCTGCTTGGCAGGTCATGGTCACACCCATTCCCGTAACTTCTCCCAGCATGCAAGAACTAGAGGCCACTGCCCAGCCTCTGAGTCAATGCCAGGTTGTTCTCTAGAATAGGCTGCTCCTGACCCAGTAACCAGCTCCGGAAGTTTCCAGGCTTCTCAAAGGAGCCTTCTTCTTTGAAGGCTCCCACTTAGTGTTCTTGTCCCGTATTTATATGTCAATGCAATTCTCTCTTTCCTGCTGATCAAGCCATTCTGTTCATGGGTGGCATGGAAGAGGTCATAACCTCTGCAACCCTTCTATGTGTCAAGAAAGACCTCTAGACTCTGCTGATGAAATACGTGACCCTAATTGCCTCTCCATGCCAATGGCAGACTCATTCCCTGGCTGTTTCTGACATTACCACCAGCTGAGCTAAACCAACAGGACCCAAGTTCCTCAGGGAGCACATTGTTTGGGCAATTAGTGGTTGAGCTCCATGGAAGTGTGATCCATGACTGTTGCTATGTAACAAACTGTCCCAAACTTAGTGGTATTAAACAACCATGTTATTATGCTCATGGATTCTGTGGGTCAGGAGTTTGGAAAAGACACGGTGGAAATGGCTTGTCTCTGTTCTTTGATGACTGTGACATAGGCTGGCAAGACCTGCGGGCTATGCCTGGCTCAGTGACTGGGCTCCAGGAACATCCGAAGCCTTGGGCACTTGCATGACTGGCAGTGGATGCTGCCTCTCGGTCAGGACCTCAGTGAGACTGGCAGCTGGTGCATCTACATGTGTCCATGTGGTTGCCCAGGCTTCCTTCTTCCCCACATGGAGACTGCATCCCAAGAGTGAGCAAGGCAAGGTGTGTGACTTTTTATGATCTAGTCTTGGAAGTTGCCTCTTCACTTTTTCTGTATTCTATTAGTCAACATAGCCATAAAGGTCTGCTCAGGTTCAAGAAGAGCAGACCCATTATTCAATCGGAGGAGTGTCAAATAATTTGTAGATTAAAAAAATATATGTTTGACACATTCAGTAATGCTGGGTTCCTGTCATTTTTTCTGGCATGTGGCTGGCACCTAACTGATTCATTTGACTGAATGCTCCAACTAGAATCATCACGCGATGTTCTTTTGTCCCCAACATGAAGAGAGTGCTCGGGTGACATTCCATGTATGCCAGCTGCATTGCACCAATTCTTTGGTTGTGACTGTGTGAATAGTTGCAGGCATCATTCTGTGCAGTTTCAAATACATTAGGCTCATTTAAGCCCCTACAAACCCCGTGAAACAGGAAAGAAGAACATACTCCCACTCCCTTCCCAAGATTAAAACAAAATCCAGAATCTCTAAGCAAGGCCAATTGGTACTCAATTTTATCCCAAACCTGGTTTTCCACCAAAAGTTCTCTCATTTCATTTGTAGCTGTTTACTTTGCTGCTCCTGAATCCTTGGGAGGTAGAATTAAAGTTTCTGGGTGATGTTTTATTAAACATTTAAAGGAGAGGGGGCTCCTTTACAGCAGAGGCTTGCAAGCAGGTACAATTTTGCCCTCCAGGGAACATTTGGTAATATCTGGAGATACTGTTGATGATCACAACTAGGGGGTGGGTGCTGCTGGCATCTAGTGGGCAGAGGCCAGTGATGCTGCTGAACTTCCTGTAATGTACAGGATGCTCCCCCACACCAAAGAATTATGTGGCCCAAAATAGTGCCACTGTTGAGAAACGCTACTTTACAGGGGGTTTTATAATCCTTCTAATAAAATGAGGAAACTGGGGTTCAGAGAAGCTGAGTGACTTGCTTAAGATTCTACGACTAGTAAGTGATGAGCCAGAATGTAGACTCTCATCTTGAGATCTTCGGTCTCATGTCTTTATTTCCTATGGTACTTGAGCTGGCCTTGCCACCTGCCTGTAGAGAGAGGACTTGGAGTGGGGAGTGGGTATTCTTGCTTTCCTGGAATTCTGGGCATCCACCACACCCATCTAATAAGCAGAAGTCACTGGGATGGACATTGTGCTCCTGCAGTTTTCTTTACTCATTAGGATCCAGGGGCAGGGCTTACATGAGCAGAGTGAAGATTTCGGTAAGGCCTGGGTGGGAACTGGACTCTAACCTCCCAGATCGAGACTTGTAAATAACAACTGAAAAACTAGAGTACAGGGTGTGTGTGTGTGTGTGTGTGTGTGTGTTGTGTGTGTGTGTGGGGGGGGGGGTTCTGGGTGTGGTGTGGGAGGGAAGTAAGATCTTATCCCACAACAATAAGCAAACAGCTAATTACTTGTAATTTTGGAGATAATTGTTTTCTCCTCCTGCAAACATGCCAAACAGGAAATTAATTTAAACCCCAGAAAGTTCGAATCATCTGCAGATTGTCAGGAAAGAAACACTCATTATCCCCTTAGAGCCCCCATCATATCTAACAGGCAGGCTGAAAAGTGCAGCTGCAGCACAGGGCTGCCACCTCTGTGCGAGGTCCCCCCACTGGCTGGTGGCTGGAGAGTAACAGGACGGAGCCTCTAGCAGAGGCAGGACCGAGGCAGGCAGACGGGGCCCAGCTTCCCATTGACACCTGATTCATGCCACCTGATGCAGAATGTCTCACTGTGAGTCATCCTTGCTGATAGACCTATTCATCACTTTGAATTCCATGTCAGTGCAAGAGCTGGCTTCATTCGGCCTTGGATAAATGAGTCTTCAGGTAATAGATGACAGTTAAAATATCAGGCAAATGTTATCTCCAGTGAAAGACTTGGCTTTGCCCGCTTAGTCTGTTTTGCTTCTCAGCTTAAGGCAGTCTCTCTTCACTTCTAAGAGGGAGGATGAACACAATCCAGATTGTTCATTTAGATGAAGCATCTTCCTCCTCCTAACTTCTCACTGCTCGTGGGCCCGAGTTCACCAGGGAAAGCCTTCTAGGGTTGAGCAACAGAACAAAAGGAATGGGCTGCCCTGCCTTCCGAACCCAAGCAACCCGTGCATACAGTGTTTTAACTGTTCTGGAAAGAATGAAGCATTCATAAGCCCTTCCATTTTCAAGAAAAAAATTTCCTGTGACATTTTAATCCCCTTTTGTGCTGGAGAATTTTTAGAGTTTTCTCCTGCCAGTCATCTCAAATGTTTTGTATCTTTCCCTTTTAGCTGAATTGCGTATTATGAGCCATGACCCACAATAAAAAATAATGCCACTGTTATTGAATGAAAGTCTCGTTCTTTGGGTTATTCTGGGCTATGGGGTCAGCATATAAATGCTGACCTCTGAAAGTCCAAAGATGTTATCTAGTTGAGGCTTATGCCGGGAGAACAAAAATGAGCTGTGAGATGAAAATGACCACCTGGGATCTCCAATTTGGTTTATGTTTCCGTGAAATAGTTTCTATAAATGATATGAGTGGGTGCCACTGCATTTTCTCTAAAAGGAGCGCTGGCTTATTTCTGAGATCTCTTGTCTGTGTATGGAATTTTTGTAGTTACTCTCTATCTAAATTGGGGTTCTCAATCTCCCCACTATCGACATTTGGGGGCCAGGTAATTGTTTTTTGTGGGGACTGTCCTATGCATTGTGGGATGCTAAGAGGCATCCATAGTTTTTACCTCTGGATACCAGAAGAGATCTAACCCACAAGTTGTGAAAACCAAACATGTCTCCAGACATTGCCCTGTGTTCTCAGGGGAGCAAAAATCCCTGCAGATGAGAACCATTGAGCTAAATAAAAATAAGGATCCCTAGATAGATACAAATGAATTCATTCCTTTGTTCAATCTTTTAACAAATGTCTCTTAAATGTCTTCTGTGTACCAGAGTCTTCTTTGAAGATTGTAAATTGAGAGATGACTAGATCATAGTTATTGCCCTATAGGGACTTGGAGAGAAGACAGGCATGAATCTAAATAATTACACCAGGAATGCCCTCTAATGAAGACGGGAAGGACGTGGCTTAGGAGTTCAGAGGAATAAGTGTTAACTCTTCTTGAACTTATCAGATTTCCTGAAAATTCTGATTCTCCATTTATTCAGAAACACTTACGTTTTCAAGGGAAAAAAATCCTGTTTATTAAGATATTACACTACAGAGAGTTTCAAAGTCAAACTTATGAATTCTTTTATGTAAATGTTTTGGTAAGGTAAATTTTGGTTTCAAATGTAGATAAAAGAAGTCGCAATATCTAGATATTAGTTGATGTACAAAACATGTACATGAAAGGCTCTGAATGAACGGATTGGGTAACAGCTGTTCAAAGGGCTGAGTGAGCCCTGAGCTTGGACAGTGTCCAGGCTCTGTCTTAGGAAAGTGTCTGCCATGCTTTGAAGTCACAATTTTGAACCTTTGTTCACAGTAACAGACAAAAGTGGATGTTTACACTTCCTGGGGCTTCAGATTTGATGACCTCCCCCGTAAAATGTAGAGGGCAGTAAGATGAAACAGAAATAGACCTGCCTCCACTGTTGAAGCAGCGTTGGCAATGGCTGCCCACTGTGAGCTGCAGCGAGCACAGCTCCCAGACCACCAGCTGGAAATCCACCCCTTTCTCTTTCATTGCAAATAAGTGCGAAAGATGCTACGATAAGGTTTTGAATCTATGGCAAATGAATATTTGAAATCCTTTGTATGTTTTAACTATGTGGGAGGTACTGTGATGTAATCATGAAGAACACTAGCTGGAAAGTTAGAAAGACCTGGGTTAAAACCCAGGCTCCACCAGGCCTAGATGTTTGACCATGGACCAGTTATCTAACCCCATGCTGCCTCAGGTTCTTTGTAGAAATTAGACTAATCCTTCCCACCTCAAAGGATTGTTATGAGGTAATTATAGGAGATATTTTAACTGTCTAATTTTTTTTTTTTTTTTTTTTTTTGGAGATGGAATCTCACTTTCTTACCCAGGCTGGAGTGCAGTGGCACGATCTCGGCTCACTGCAACTTCCACCTCCTGAGTTCGAGCATTATCCTGCCTTAGCTTCCTGAGTAGCAGGTCCCTCCCATGACATGTGGGAATTATAGGAGCTACAGTTCAAGATGAGATTTGGGTAGGGATACAGCCAAACCATATTAATATGGAAGGTCATCATTGCCTAGGAAGTGCCTGCATAAATAGATATAAGTTGAGCTTTTAATTTGCTTTCAGTTCAGGTTAAATTTGGAATATTGGTAATGATTTTTAAACTCAAGCAAGCGTATTGTCACTTTTTGGCGATTTCCTAGGCCCAACTGAACCATAAACAGAGGATTCCTTTGCTCTTGATCTTTTGAGACCTAATAAGAATGCACAAACCACTTTCAGTGCTCTCTTTGCATGACAACTATGTAGATGTGATGGAGTCTGGCAATGTCAAAAGAAAGGAAGCATCCTCTACCCAGGGTTGAGATTGCATCAGATCATGGGAACTGACACCAAAGCCAGTGTGAAGTTTAAGAGTGGAGGCATTGCTGAGAGTCCCATTTTGAAGAGGTCCTTTTTATTCCTGTGCACATTCTTGCCCAATATCCTCCTTACTGATATATGCTTCTCTATTAATTTTTAATTTCTACCAAAATCTCAGAAAGAAGATACTGTCAGTCCCTATGAAAACAAGGACTGTAACAATCTCACAAGTTTGTTTCTCAAAAGATAATTTTTCTCATCCATTCCTGCATTTATTCATTCAACATTTATTCAGCAACTGTTAGATGCTGGGCAAGACAAGATGTGGGCCCCACCCTCCAGGAGCTTCCATTCTAGTGGGGGCAGGGGAGGAAGGGAGGGAGGTAGAGAGGTAATGATAGTACAGGACAGAAGTACAAGGGTAGGCATTAGTGCAGGATCCAAGGGGAGCTCCAGAATCCATACTAAATGCTTAGGGAAGGCTTCCAAGATTAGGCAATGTTCCTGTTGACTTTTGAAAGAGACAGCCCAGCAAAGATAGAACAGAAAGATGTTGTTTTCCAACAGTATGGCACAACACTTGAAGAACAGAAAGACACTTATAGGAGAAAGATCTCATGTGCTGTAGTCAAGCACAGTGAGAGAGCATGGTCTGTTCTAGGAAGAGCAAATTAAGGAGAAACCTTGTTTTCTGTATGGAAGCAAAGGCCTAGATAGGTCACTGTGGCTCCAGAGTTGAGCATGCATTGCAGAATTCCATTGCACTGATCCCTGTTATCCTTCTCCAAATCAGCCTGACCATAAAAGGGTTTGTGGCTCTATTAAGTCCTTGTGTAAGAAAAACTACACATAAAGATTTAATTGAAAATAATTGCAAGAATGGTTCTCGGAAATATTCCACTACTCTGCATTTAGAAATAGCCTGAAATGTTTTGTAATCCATCTGCGTGCCTTCCAGCTAGAGAGCGTGCAAACAATACACACTGAAAAGGCCACTCTTTTTTTTTTTTCTTTCTTCCTAATCTCCAGCATTGACGATTGCATGGTGTCTTGTGTGTTTCTGGTCTTCATAGCCATTAAACTATTTCTAAGTTGAATCGAAATCCAGTTGAAACCTGTTCTTTTTTGCTCTTCTTCTATTGAGAACATAGAACAACTGCTCTCTAGCACATCTATTTTTTTAGGAAAATGGTTATGGAAGCATTCACTCCAATCACATAATATGGGTGGGCAATTGCTTGCTTTAACTACGCCAGATAAAAGATGACCCCCAATTCTCCATGGCAACCAGAATCATTGACGATCAAGCCAGAGGAAGATGCTTTGTGTAAATTGTGTAGCTAGAAGGAGATTTGCAAATGAGGGGACTCTCACTGGCTTAACCCAAGAAGCTGATAAAGGGGAGCTGTCCATTTAAAATGCATCAGAGCCTTATCACATTCATATAAAACAAAATGACTAAATGAAGCAGCTGGAAGATTATAGTGAGTTTTAATTATCTTTTAATAGCCAAAGGGCTCTTGCCAACACATGCTGATAACCTGTCACTTGTTATGTGTCATATAATCTCCATTTATGAGTCTCAGCTGTTACAAATTGAAAATATATTTACAGTGATGATCTTTCCTTGTTAAATGCAAATTCCCAGAAATGTTCAAACTGCAAGGTATCCTCACAGCTTTGTTTCTGTTACCCTCTTGTGTGGAATTGAAAAGGCTGGTAATACTAAACAAATAATAATAACCAACCTTCTTCTTGTTCATAATTTATGACTCTCATTATGAGTATAATAATACCAGTTCTTAAAAAGTAAGGGTAAAATAATTCCTGAGGCTTGGAGATTATATTTCTGAAATTGCTTACAAATCCTTTTTTAATGGTAATCCACATTTTTTTCAAATCTGCCTGCCACCTTCTCCTCCTCTCCTTAGGTGTATCCATCTCAAATGTCTTCAGGCTCCAGGGCTCCAAGGCAGCTGCTGTGATGTCATTCATATTCCCTCTATATTCCCTAGATAGATAGGTAAAGATATAGGTATAGATATAGGTACACTTTTATATACCATGCTTGGCATTCAGTACATGTGGGATCAAATGAGAAAAAGTCTTGCAAAGTTGCTGACCCCTTCTACTTGTCTTCTTGCCTTGACCTCACTGGTATCTCATTTCTCTGCTTCTCTTGACTATTTTTACTGATGTCCTTGGTAGCAGCTCTTATTCCTCTGCCCAGCTCTGTGTTTCCCAAGATTTAGTTCCCATTCATGGTCTTATCACCAAATTTACATGGATAATTCCCAGATCTACATCTTCAGGTCAGACTTTGCACCTTTTTTCCAGTTCTATATGTCAAATGGCCTTAATTGAACATCCTTAATTATATAGTCATGATCTCTTCCAATCAACAAGTTTAACAACTGAATATGTTAATTTTATGTCTGAAAACTTTTCCTGTTTTGGTTAGAGCTTCATTTGCTCTGCCTATCTTCTTGATAAGAAACTTTGTGTTATTTTGTAGCTTTTGTATCTGTATATAGTGAGTCTGTAAGGACTACCTTCGAGATCTGGCATAAAGATTAAATTATTCTTTATTTCCACTGCAAACATTGTGGTTCAAATACAGAAACTTGTCTATTTACTTTCAACTTTAAAAATTTAATATATAAACAAATTATACTTTATTGAAATCTTCATCAGTCCTGCTCATCACCTACAGATGGGGTTAGCAGCAATGAGTCAACATTTTTGTTTCTGCCATCTTGTTTGTTAACATGCTTGTCTCGTTTAAGCTTGACTAGGAAGGTTTTTTGCAGTCATTTTGAACTGATTCTGGTTTGTTAAATGCAAAGCAGTATTCATTCAGAATTTAAAAGCAGTTCAAAGTTCTATTAAGAAAAAAATACCCCTATGATTACCATGGAAACAAAAGCAGATGTTTCAAAAAAATTTTAAAGAGAAGAAAATGTGCTGCATTGTGGACTTGGGATGAATAGTTTGCTAGCTGCTGAACTGTCAATGTGCTGATGGGTTCTGAAGGAACAGGAGTAAATAATAGAACAAGTGAAAACTGTGGGGCCTGGGTACCTGGTGATCATTTGCAAGAGGGGAGGAAGTGAGGCGGACACAATGGCAACACTGCTGACTGTAGGGCTGGAGGAGCAGCCTCTTAGTCACCAGGGCCAGCAGGAGCCCTCTCAGGAAGGCCGAGCCAGTGAGGGTGCAGGTAATGAAATGCACATCATTGACCCAGGATCATTTCTTAGTTCCCATGCCTGTAAAAATCTGCACATCAGAGTGGTCACAGCCCAGGGCTGGTGACAGGTTCAAGGCATGTTCAGAATTTGGGACGCCACGAAGCCAAATTTGAAAATTCATTTTGAAGATGAATCCTTTGTTATTGTTGAGTGTATACTTGGCTCCTTTAGTATTTCAGTAGGCTTCATTAATGAACACATTTGGAAAGTGGTCAGATGAAGATAATCAACTTATGTATGTATATTTATGCTTTTTATTTATACTTGATATAAAAATTGACCTGCATACATGTGCTCTTTCTTTAGTGCTTATGAAGAGTCTTATACTACCTGTAGACCATCATGATATGTGTCAGTTTGGGGAACATGAGCAGAAGGGCCAGTAATTAGTGTTAGCTCCTCAACTCAGAGTAGATAGAACTCCTGGAGGTCTCTTCCCTGCACAGTTGCAAGCAAGGGTTTGTGCCTTTGCCATGAGCCGTCCCCTCCCTGCCCTGGAGGGAGTGTGGCAGAAATGAAGTTAAGGATGGAAATCTCTTTATGCACAACCCTTGTTTGTTGGGGAGGAACAGGCATTTTGGGGCTCACTCTGGTTCAGTCTGATTTTTTTCTGTCTCTAGCAGCCTCAGTAGGTATGGCCTTTGTAGTAAGAAGAGAGGAATCATCTCTGTGAAAAAACTTACCATCAAGGCACACTGTACTATGAAAACTCTCCCTTCCCATTCACCACCACATCTACTAGGCTGGGAGAGGGTGGACAGGGGTATGGTTGATGGCAACAGGGTGTGCGGGCCCTGGAGGATGGAGTTTGGCCCAGTTGTGAGCGGTTCTCTTTAGAGAGGGTGGGCCTGGATAAATATTTTTCTTAGCTTTGATAATAATAGTGAAAGTCCCTCTCAGCATCCTAAAGGTGAGGATTTATCCATCTCTTACCATAAGCCAAGAAGGGTTGTGACACTGGGGTCCCTCTGAGTAGTATGAATGATACACACATCAGCTTACACATCTGTATGAGGCTTTCAACTTTGTTGTATTCACAGTGAAACGGGAGAGTTCCCTGGTCCCCCTCGTAGGATGTGCAACAAGGGTGTGGCTCACCTGCTCGGTCTCTGAACCTGATCAAGCCTCTGAGGGGGGGGGGAGCACACAGATGGACAGGTATAGGAGCCCAAGTTGTCGTGTGTTACAGTGTGCCCTTTTAGCCCTGCTGTCCGCAGATAGTGTGAGTGTTATCCAGCTCAGTGGACCCTCTGCCTTTTCTCAAGGGCAGAGGGCCAGTGTGACAGCTTTCTGTATCCTGAGCTCTTGTCCAGCATCCTGGAAGAATCAAGTCACACACAGACTTAAAGGATGAATGTGGGAGTTTTACTGAGTGATGGAGGTGGCTCTCAGTGGGATGGATGGGGAGCCAAAGAGGGGTTGGAGTGGGAACACGATCTTCCCTTGAAGCCTGGCCGTCCAGCAGCCAAACTCCTCTCTGACCACCCCCAGCCAAACTCATCTCAGCATTCAGACATCCCTCCTCTTCTCTCTTTCTCTGCCACGTCATTCCACAGTTCGTGTGCTTGTCTCCTCACCTACAGGTCTGCTTCTGGAGCCTGGGTTTCGGGATTTATATGGGTACAGGATAGGGGGGCATGGCAGGCCAAAAGGACATGAAAACAGAAATGCTGTTCCCACTTAGGGCTGTGGGTCTTCAGGCTTGATGGTAGGGCCTTTGTCGGGGAATCACCCCCTGGTATCCAATATTTCCCTGCCTCCTGCCCATATCAACAGAATACTTTCAAATGCTAGAATATAGGCAACAGCTATGAAGGGATTGAGAGGCCTAAAACAATACTCAACAAATCAGCAATAATGACAACTCAGCACAGTGACACTGTCTCACAGAGCCTGTAAAGGTGCTCACCTGTGTCACACGCACGTGTTCTCTCTCCAACACTGTTAAGCCTATTGTCCTGACTACCCCTTGGCATATCCACTCTGTTGAGGTGTACAAATTATCCTCTTTGCCGCTGACTTGACCTCATGCTGTGCCTCTGACCTCAGTCCGCTTTGCCACCCACTACCCCATCAGCCTAGTGTCCTATCTGCTGGGGACCAACCAGCCCACTTTGTCTGAGATTCAATAGTTTCCAGAGACATTAGGCTTTCAGTGTTAAAATGAGGATCACTCCAGGCAAAGCGGGATGGCTGATCACCCTGTGTGTGTCAGACTGTGCATCCCAATAGTGCATATATTCAATTGCAGCACTAATACATTTTACAATTTGATCACCAATTGACAGCACACCTGGACAGGGTGTTCCCCCATGGTCTGTGGCAGGCCTGTTGAAAAACCTTCATTTATGTTTTGTTCATTGCTCATCAAATTTGTATCCGTTCAAGAGAGGCCTTTATTTTTATCCCGTTCAGTCTAGGCATCATCTTTAGATCGTACTATTTTGAAAGTTCAATTTCAGGCTTTGATGATACGCTTATAAATCAGAGCTACCCTTGACATAAATCAGTAGAATCAACGCCATACATTGAAGGGGGTCACCGTGGTCTCGGGGGCCACATGAAGCAGACACAGCTGTACAGCTGTCAGCAGAGGTGGCCGAGAAGGCATCCCTGCCCTCATCACTGACCGGCAGCCTCGGCCTTCACAAGGAGGTCCCCCTCACCCAGCAGTGCTGCAGCTAGAGCCCAACAGCATGCTTCATCTTATAAATACACGCTGCGGCCCTTGTTGTAGGTGGAACCTTCATTTAGTGCTCAACTTAAGTTCTGTGTGGATAATTGTGTTCTTTGGGGTAATTGTGTTTTTCCTGGATGAAGCATGTACTGCATATATTATTTCCAGGCATGTTTACGCTGTCCATTGGCTTAATGTAGCTTTTAAAATGGTCTGTGTGTTAACACCTATTCTTAATTGCCAGAATTTGAACTCAAGGGCAAGAATAGTGAACATCACATCACAAATCCATGTTCAAAGGAGGAATACAGCACCTGTCTTTCTACCGAGGTCTAAGAAGTCTTTTAGGAAGTCTGGCTGTCCATAGTCATTGCCTTAAGACCATAAAAACTATCCTTTTAGCAGGACTACAATGATGGTAGGCAAAGAACACACATGGTGTTCTGGAGGCATAAAGTTAGGGCTCTTTTCTGGTTCATGGAAATACCACATGATACTAGGATCTAAGTATCATGGGAAAATTGTTTGGTGGTGACCTTTTTATATGTCCCTAAAATAATCCAAAAAACGGAAAATGACTGGGTCAGATCATCTGTGACATGGGCCCAAGGTCAGTACCTTAGGGAAGCTCGCTTGGTGGGTGATGTGCTCACTGTCTTCTTTAACCCACCAGCTCTCTAACATTCTCAGGCAAAGGCAACACATTTTCATCCTTTACAACCCTCGTCGTACCACCTACTGGCACTGTAAAACTTCTGCAACTTGCGTCAAATCCAATTTTATTGGAAAAGTACTTTCAGATACAAATCTTGCTAAATGATTTGATGTGGGAAAAGTTAGAAAAATATCTAAGCAAACATTCTCCTGGATCAGTCTTCAATTGTGTGATTTCGAGCAATTCTTCCGTAATTCAAGTGAAACACATACCTGCTGGGTCAATACTATTGATAGTGACAAAATTGGTTTCCCTCTGACGGCTTCAACATTATGTTGGAAGCCCTGCATGTGTAGATCTTAAAGATTGGGATTGATAAAGTGAGAACTGTTCAAAGCTGAAACTGGTTGTTTAGTCCATTTGAAAGTATGCGGAAGGGAGGGACCTGAATATGGCCCATAGAGTGAAAATCTTCTCCGTCACTCACTGTGGTTAGAAACAAATGACAGAGGGCTGTTGTGCAGCTATTTCAGTATTGTAAATGGAACATCTAGCACTCTGTTATCACTGCTCCCAGGGCAGCCTCTTGAGGCCCTTGGGCCATCCCAGCCTCACCATGTTCTCCTCTCCATGTTGTCAAAAATAGGCAGGACGTAGGAGTGTGGCAACCGGAGAGGGATTAAAGGCAGGGAGTTCCAAATAAAGGGCAGCCTCTGAGCTGTAAAAGCTGCTCACAATTTTGGATACATCATATACATAACCAGAATAAATTGAATTAGAAGATGATGGTCTTTCCTTTTTAGTGCCAGAGGGCCATTTATCATGTAGGAAATATTTAATGTAGTAATGATAGGAGTATCTTATTTAACGTGTGATTATTTTTATATCTATTTTATATCTTTAGCCTTTTAGGATGAATAAAGCTTATCGTTTTGATTTTCAGCCTTTACCAGAACTCTGAAGAAGTAAGGTTTTGCTAGTTTGTCTGTTTTGGAAAGGAAGGGAATTTACTTTGAAATTGTGTTCAGGATTAGGTGTTACTCATTTAATGTAAGTAGCAGCCTTACTTGACAAGCTAAATAGGGTGGTAAATCTGAGGTTTGCAGAGTAGACTTCTAAAATCCCCATCTAACATTAAAAATGTATTTCATTATAGCTTACCATCAAGGGAGGAACTAACCCAACATATAGATATGCCCATACTTTACACAAACAGCCAATTAGACATATGTATTTTCTTTTGATGAAAAGAGAAGCTTTTGGAAATGCAAACATGTGCATCCACTTACTAAGAGTCTACCAGCCTCTTATGTGGGACTGACATAATGATGTCTTGTGCACTTCCTCTTTTAAAATACAAAAATAAATGACACTGAGACCAAAAGCTCTGCAAATTAGTGGCTATTCAGGCTTGATAACTGTACTGAATGCACATGGTTTTCTGATGATGGCCACAGCTGGGGAATGAATCATCCTAACCTGGCAGACTGTTTTAGTAAACCTTTCATTTTAATGAAGTGATTCACTTGGAAAGAGGGGCAATGCAGCGAGCATAAGGCCCAGATACTTCCTTCAGCAGCCCAAAAATGGCTCAGAGCCACAGAATCTTGTCATTTGATCATCCTGGCAGGCTTGAAAGTGAAAGAATCCCAGGCGGCCTGTCAACCTCAGTGGGTCCTACCTCCTGTAGACCAGATGTTTGTGCAGCATCATCTCCCCCCATGCTCACAAAAATCCTGTGAGGTTGATGTGATGATATTTTATAAATAAAAACATGAGCCTCAGAGAGTTAAATAACTTACAACTCAGGCATCTTAGATTCTACACTATATGTGTTGCTGTTCCTTGATCTTATCTTGTTCTCTCTTCTTCCTCTACCTATAACGTCTCCCTTCCCTTCCCTTCCTTATCCTATTCCCATTTCTCCCCTCCTTCTATGCTTTCACTTATTCAAAGCATAGTGAGCTTCTACACCATGCCATGCCCTATGATAAATGCCAGGATCCAGTAATGAACAAGACAGACTTAAGTCTTGTCCTCATACAGTTTATGATCTAGCAAACAAGAACAGATGTGTGTTCAAATAGAGACTAAGGAACATGGGAGGAGGGGCAAGACATCTGGAAGGGATGCTTCATAGGAAGAGAGCAAGTGTACTGGTTGACAGACAGACTGAGAATATTTAAAGATTTCAACAGCATGGGTCAATGGGCCAAAATCACTGGTTGAAATTACACAGGAATAAATGTAAATCTGCCATTTCATATTATATAAATACAGAACTGGGACCACATGACTTCATAGGGTTCCAAGTGATGTTTGAAGCCTCAGCAATATGAAATAATGCCTTTAAAAGGATGCAGTCTTAGGCTGTGTCTGTACCAGCATGGGTTCCAGAATGAAGTTGCTTGTAATTCCATGCCACATCTGCAACTCTCTGCAGGGCTTTCTTGTTTTAAGGGAGACATTGGTTACAAGACAGTGAATACTGTTTTTGCGAGAATAAAATTCTCCAGAATTATATATTTCCCTTGGTAGAAGGTGAGAGACACACACTTAATTCTTATTCATTCCTCTGCGCTAATGAGCTTTCCTATAGGGAACTTTTGGCTTGGTAGATATGAACTAGGAGGAGATAATTGGCCCCCCAAAGTAACTGACTTTCCTTAACAATACCTAGCAATGTCTACTGCTCAGAATTTTCAGAGAATTATTTTCCAGATTTTTTTTTATTGTTGTTGCTCTTTTAGTCTGATTGAGGAAACAAAATAAGGGTGTGTAAAGCTGCTGTAAAAGAACATAATTAGTTTATGATGGGGGCTGGGCACAGTGTCTCATGCCTGTAATCCCAACACTTGGAAGGCTGAGACGGGGGGATCACTTGAGCCCGGGAGTTCAAGACCAGCCTGAGCAACGTAGTGAGACCTGATCTCTACAAAAAATCAAAAAAATTAGGCAAGCATGGTGGCAAATGCCTGTAGTCCCAGCTACCCAGGAGGCTGAGGTGGGACTATTGTTTAATCCTGGGAGGTAGAGGTTGCAGTGAGCCGAGATGGCGCCACTGCACTCTGGCCTGGGTGACACAGTAAGACCCTGTCTCTAACAAAATAAATAAATAAATAAATAATAACAGATAATTGGTGTATGATGGCATTAGGAAGAAACGAAAGGGAGACAGTTTGAGGAAGTGGAAAGGATACTGTCATTGGAATTAAACATGCAGATTTAAATACCAACTATACCTGTATTAATTGATACAGACAGGTTATTTAACACTCTCTGAGGCTTAGTTTCCTTAATTGCAAAATGGTATACTAATATCTGCATTGTACGATTGTTGCAGGGATTAGAAATAATATTGGCAAATTCATGACCAAAAAGCCTGGCACATTGTAGGTGGCTAAGGAAACCTTGAGAAAAGAAATCATTCAAAGAAAGGAGGTGGAGTCAAAGACGAATTCTTGGAAGAAATGCATTTTTAGATTCATACTTAAGAAATCGTAGACATAGACTGACTGAATATTAAGAAACCCATTACAGACGGAAGAAACAGTGACAAAATGAAGAAGTAAGGTCAAGGCCTTGTGTAGATACTATTGTGTTTTCTTTTTGGTCAACTGAGTCATCGTGAGTTAGTGTGTTCTCTTAGGATTGGAATTTATTGACAGCTGCTTGTGGCCAGTGATAACCTTTGTGTGTCTGTTGATTTCCCTGCTTCGAAATCCTCCTACCATTTAGGAAATGATGTTATCGTGTTCCCAACTTTTTTTTCCTCATTTTAATGTATAAAGCTAGCAGTCATTTCAATGTCATGTAGCATGTCACCTATTTTTCATGAAACACATTTGCAATGGCTGCCTTTAAAATATAGTACTCATTTATCTTCCTTTATCAGAAATATCTGGCAAGGGGAAAAAGGAGTTTTGTTTTCTTTTCTCTTCTTTAGTAGAAATGATTTCCCAACTTATTAGTGAAAAGTAGCTTATTTAAAATTTATTGTTTTAAAGAAAACTAGATGATATGTTCAACTTGCCACCCTAAAATCTAAGACCAGGGAGTATCAAGCTCATTCAATAAATACAACTAATAATTTAAAATATTATGTAATTCAGGTGTTTTGGGAACACCCAAACACTGAATAAGGGAAAGGATAATGGTGAGAAAGAAACAAAGTGACTGGAGAAGTGGAGGAAGAAGAAAAATCAAAATATGGGAAGCAAAAGGGGAAAGGAATGGGAGGAATACCAAAACAAAAGAAGATAAATGAAGGAGAAAAGAAAGACAAAAAACAGGGAAGAGGAATAGAGGGATGGGGGAGCAGTGTGGAGTGGGAGTCACTGTACCTAAGGCCAGAGGCCCTGCTGCTCCTTCCCCACCCATCATTCAAGTCTGGACCCCAACTGGTAGGTAACACTGGAAGCTACAGCTCACAAATCTCTTAATGCTCTCACATGCCCAGGATCGCCATAGACTTCCAGTTTTAAGTAGTGACTAAAAATTCCTTTGTTATTAAAAGTCTATTAAATTACATTCCTTTATTCTTCCTTTTTTATCTTCTTCTTTTTTTTAGAGAGAGAAGTTCTCACTCTGTCGCCCAGGCTGGAGTGCAGTGGCAGGATTATAGCTCACCACAGCTGGTTGCCACCACACCCAGCTAATTTTTTATTTTTTGTAGAAATGAGGTCTCACTATGTTGCCCAGGCTGGTCTTGAACTCCTGGACTCAAGCAATCCTCCTGTCTTGGCCTCCCAAAGTGCTAGGATTACAGGCATGAGCCACCATGCCCAGCCTTCTTCTTCTTAACGATAGCCCTGACTCATTCGAAAGTCAAGACAATAATAGAAATGTAAGTTTAAAATGTTATATGCCCATTTATTCAAAATTAATATTTTTAGCCTCATTGAGTCTTCAAGTGCAGTATATAAGGACCCCCCAGAAGATGAGGTAAATCACCCACATGAAAAGCCCTTTGTGTCAGTGGTCCCCAACCTTGTTAGCACGTCAGAATCACCTGGCCATTCATGAAAACCTGGGGTGTCTGGGCACCTCAACTGAGAGTGGTTTGAATTGGGGTCTCAGCACCCACTATTTTGTAAGCATCTCAGGTGATGGGAAGTTCAGCCAGTGCTGAGAATTGTGCGTTTTGGGCGATAGCAGTAGAGTGAGTGAATCACGGTTCCAGCACTTACAAGTGAGGGCCATTCATATACATATATAACTGGGATATCTAATATATAGCAAATTGAAAATTTGTAATACAATAGATATGTAATATATTTGATATTGTACTTGATATTATATTTGGTGTCTGTTATATATACAGCAAATTGCAAAAATATATGATAGAAATATATATTATATCTAATATAACGTATATTAGGCACCCTGAAACATGTTATGAAAAGACTAGCTCCAAAAAATGAGAGGGCACTGGTCATATGGAGCAGTTGTCCTGGCGACGGCATTGCAGAGACCTCATGTTGAATTCGTGTCTGCTTGTCCATCATCTGAGCACAGTGCTCATCACGTTGCCCCCATCGCCTGCTGAATTGAGTACTAAGTCCCCACTCAGAGTGTCCCTCCATTCTGACTCTCTGCCGCCTGGTATCTTGGCTCCAGACAAACCAAGCCGCACTTTCTCTTCTGGACTTTTTTCCAGCCGTTTTATTTATTTATTTATTTATTTAATTTATTTATTTATTTATTTATCCGAGACAGAGTCTCACTCTGTCACCCAGGCTGGAGTGCAGTGGTGTGATCTTGGCTCACTGCAACCTCCGCCTCCAGGGTTCAAGCCATTCTCCTGCCTCAGCCTCCCAAGTAGCTAGGACTACAGGCATGTGTCACCACACTCAGCTAATTTTTGTATTTTTACTAGAGACGGGGTTTCACCATGTTGGCCAGGCTGGTCTCGAACTCCTGACCTCAGGCGACCCACCTGCCTCGGCCTCCCAAAGTGCTGGGATTACAGGCATGAGCCACCACACCCAGCCCAGCCATTCCTTTAAACTGGACCAATCTATAACTCTCTCCATAACCACACCCTTGTCACTGTCTTTTGAAATTTTATCCATCCTTCAAGGTCTTCTTCCAAGAAGCAATCTTAATTCTCTTGCCAACAGATAATTCTTTTTGCTTTTGAAATCCCACCGCATAGTGTTTTATTCTCTCCTCTCTCTCTCTCTCTTAGTTTTTGTTTTTGTTTTATGGTCATCAATATTTTTATTATTTTATTTGTCTAATAACCTGAGTGAAGGTTTAGAATATCTTCTATATCTTTGGATCCTCGTTGGATCTACCTAGCACAGTGTTTTGCACAGAAAGTGCTCAACAAATATTTATTCAATAGAATTAATAAAATTTTTAAAAAGATGTTGATAGGGGTATGAAACCTATTGAAATATGAAACTTAAATTTAAGCAGGTGTGATTGTTGAAACAAATGGCTGGTTTTAGAAGATGCTTGTCTGTTCCTAGACATACAGACTTAGACAAAGATACAGCCCTGAGAAGCTCAGGTGGACTAGAGATGTGTGTGTGCCTGTCTGGGGTACATTAGGTGCATAGAAAGTGAATGAATAGGTAACGTTCTAGCCAACCCTGACTTGATGGTAGTGCTTTCCTCTTTTGTGAAGCAACACAGCCACTTATTCATCTTAAGTCACTTCTCCTTACCTCTCTTTGATGCGCATGTCTTAAATTATAACCCTGGGATTTATTATCTTTTGCTTCAAGAGACAGACAAAGCATTTATGTCTATGAACACAGTGCAGTTGCCCTTCTACCCACACACTAAAAAATGAATTAAAAAATTGCCAAGCTTGAGCTTATTCATTACAATGTTTCTCTGGATAACAGGCCCACCCCATCCCTTCCTGCACCCTTCAAATATCCTTACTTGTACGGTGAATAAAATGTAATTTTATTGTCCTTAGGCTATATCATTCTTCTGCTCACAGTAACCATGGGCATGCATTTAAAAGTAGAATCTGGCCTCTTGAGTTTACCAGTTAATTTAATCAACTCCCTATAAATTACTTTACAAAAAAGGTTGGGGGAGAATGAAAGAAAAGAAAATCTATTTTAGAAACAAAAATGTATCTGTGCAGCTTTGTTTTCTCATGGAAGACAAAGGTTCTTTCCAATAGGACAGAATGACAGTTCCACTTATCTTGGCTGCACAGAAATTAGATCAGTAACATATTTTCTGTTGAAGAAGAAACCTTATCTTAGTGGCTCCATTTCAGAATCAATCATCTGCATTTCAGTCCTGCCCCTTCTCACAAGCAGGGAACATTATACAATTTGTATGTTTCAATTAGTTTGCCATAAAAAATAAGTAGCTCAAGGGCATTAGTTTATTACTGGTATCCAGCCATGTTTTCTTTTGCTAAATGACATTCTGAAAGCCTCCATTCTGAGCATAATCACCTTAGGGTACCCACAGAATGTGGCCCCAAATGATTCAATTACAGCTAGAAGTTGTTCTCTTCCCAAAGCACGAGTCTTTTGCATTCACAGGATATTTTTTCTTTCATAAACATTCCTGCGAGAATGTAAGTGCGGATGAAGATTGTGTTCTGTCTTCTTCTTGTCTTTTTTCTGTTTACTCTGATTTTATAAAATGCAGTGTCATGTCTTAGGACAAATTATCCTCAGTTTGCCAGCAAGTGAGTTTATAAATTATTTTATTCAAATGAGAAAATTTTCCGCTAGAACCAATAGTAAAGGATGGTGAGTTTCCAGCTGACCCACAATGACGTATTTAACTCACAGTGAAACTCAGCTCTGCGGTTTTAATAGTTTCCTTTTATTTCTAAGAGCAAGGGAGCCTATGTTTCTAATAATTGGACATGTCTGGAACTGTCCCTAACATTTGACAGTTTTTTCCTCCTTGCCAGTGTTAAGGAGATTCTTTCTTCCTCACTTCAGAGACAGCTTAATGTGTTGTATTTGGATGTAGGGATGTGTCAGTTACCTATTGCTACATGACAACCGAATTCAAATTTAATGGCTGAAAACAACAGTCATTTATTGGTTCACAGTTCTGTATGTTGGCAATTTGGTCAGGGCTCAGCTGTTGAGTTCTTCTGCTGGTTTCTCCTTTCTTGTGCAGTTACAATTCATTGGCAACTTGATGGAGTTTTGTGGCCTAATAGTGTCTCCCTCAGATGCCTCGTGGTTGGTTTCAGCTGTCAGCTTGGCCTTTCTCTACATGTGGTCTCTTATCCCCAAGGAGGCTAGCCTGGGCTTCTTGTCTCAGAGTTCCAAGAGGGTAAGCATAAAAGCTGAAAGACCTCTTCAGCCCTAGGCTCATAAGTTGCACATCACTTCTGCTTGATTTGTTGGTCAAAACAAGTGGCATGGCCAAACCCAGATTTGAGGGCTCTTCTTGATAAGAGGAGCAGCAAGGCTAAATTTCAAAGAGATACAGGGATGTGAGGAATTATCGCAGCAGTAGTCTATGTAAAAAGTCTGCTAGAGGACTGGTGGGGTGAGTGGTGAGAGGTGACAGGTGGTGAAAGGAGTGAGAGGGTGACTGATAACTTTGAAGTTCAGAGGACCTGGATTCCAGTGTCGCTTTACTATTTCCCAGTAATGTGACTTTGGAAAAATTATTAACCTATCCAAGCTTTAGTTTCCTATCTCTTGAGACTAATTCCTCATCCACAGAGAACTTACTAACTCTCCTCCTTCACCTCCCACATCCTGATTTTCAGCTTTCATGGTATCGGCATTCCCAGATGAAGGTACAAGTTGACCATCCCTAATCCAAAACTCCAAAATCTGAAATGCTCCAGTGAGCATTTCCTTTGAGCATCATGTTGGCATTCAAAATCTTTCAGATTTTGAAGCATTTTGGATAATGCAAATATTAAAAAAAAAAAAAAAAGAGCCGGAATCTGAAACACTTCTGGTTCCAAGCATTTCAGGTAAGGGATACTCAACCTCTATTCCCATCCAAATAAGTGCCCAAGTTAGAGACCTGGAAGCCATATACTCCCTTACTCTCATCTCACTCTTAGCCGTTGGTTCCTGCTTTCCACCTTTAAACCAGTGCTTAAATACCTTACAGGTGCCAGACCTGGGCTTAACAGGTAAACGAAGCTGACATAGTTCCAAGGAACTTGCACTCCACTGATAATATGAGAATCTCCAAGTTCTATGAAGGAAACAAAATGTTGTGAGAAACAGTAAGGGCCCGGGGACCCTGTTTTTGCCCACCCATCTCCACCACTCCCTGCTGAGTCCGGGACACCATTATCCCTGGCCTGTCACAAGTGTCTCAGCCACACGGATTCTCTGTCCTTTATGGTTCATCCTTCACACTGTTGCTAGAGGTATCATTTTTGAGAAAAAAAAATTAATTCCATACTTGAAAATCCCTATGACCCATAGGATTAAAATCTGAACTCCTTAAGGTGGCATAAGAGGCCCTTCACTCTTGGCTGTGGTGTAGCCCTTCCCACACCCAGGTACTCTTCACCCTGAGGAGCTACACTCCTCACAGGTTGTGGGATTGGTCATACACTGGCAGGAATCTGTGCCTTCCCTATAGGAAAGTCTTTACTCTGAAATGCCTCTCTTTGATGCCTACCATTCCCCCTTCCACACTCCAACATTTCTATTTACTTTTGTACTTTAGAGCTTTAGAACATGTAAGTGCTCAATAAATGTTGAATGAATGTTTGTGGTATTTAAAGGAGGGGTAGCTGAGTATGGTTGTGTCCACCAAAGAGTACCATGAGGAAGAAGAGGAGGTGCACTGTGCTATGGAGTGGGCGGTAGGGATGGAATGAGGGGGCCTTCCTTGGCAAAACAGCAATAGAGTAGGAATAGGAATTCCTGTAGCCACATCATCCAGGAAGGAGAGTTGTGATGGAGAGGTGTTTTCTGAGGCTGAATACATGCTTGCAGGAGCCAGCAGTTTGGAAAAGACTGGGACTGTTTTTGTTGTACAGTGAGAAGTAATATATACCTGCTAACTTAGAGGAATTACTAGGAAGCTCTAAGAACAGAAAAACAGACAAAGACACACCAGCTAAGCCTCCAAATATATCAGACTCAATACATAGTAAAGAAAAGGTGTTTTGAAAATAGTTTTAACCATAAAACTATTAACTCCATACTTTTTTTATTTTTTATTTTTTTTTTAGTATTTACTGATCATTCTTGGGTGTTTCTTGGAGAGGGGGATTTGGCAGGGTCATAGGACAATAGTGGAGGGAAGGTCAGCAGATAAACATGTGAACAAAGGTCTCTGGTTTTCCTAGGCAGAGGGCCCTGCCGCCTTCCGCAGTGTTTGTGTCCCTGGGTACTTGAGATTAGGGAGTGGTGATGACTCTTAAGGAGTATGCTGCCTTCAAGCATCTGTTTAACAAAGCACGTCTTGCACCGCCCTTAATCCATTTAACCCTTAGTGGACACAGCACATGTTTCGGAGAGCACGGGGTTGAGGGTAAGGTTATAGATTAACAGCATCCCAAGGCAGAAGAATTTTTCTTAGTACAGAACAAAATGGAGTCTCCTATGTCTACTTCTTTCTACACAGACACAGTAACAATCTGATCTCTCTTTCTTTTCCCCACATTGCCCCCTTTTCTATTTGACAAAACTGCCCTCGTCATCATGGCCCGTTGTCAATGAGCTGTTGGGTACACCTCCCAGACAGGGTGGTGGCCGGGTGGGGGCTGCCCCCCACCTCCCGGATGGGGCGGCTGCTGGGCGGAGGGGCTCCTCACTTCTCAGACGGGGCGGCCGGTCAGAGACGCTCCTCACCTTCCAGATGGGGTGGCGGCGGGGCAGAGACACTCCTCAGATCCCAGACTGGGTTGCGGCCAGGCAGAGGCGCTCCCTACATCCCAGATGGGGCGGCGGGGCAGAGGGGCTCCCCACACCCCAGACCATGGGCGGCCAGGCAGAGACGCTCCTCACTTCCCAGACGGGGTGGCGGCCGGACAGAGGCTGCAATCTCTGCACTTTGGGAGGCCAAGGCAGGCGGCTGGGAGGTGGAGGTTGTAGTGAGCCTAGATCAGGCCATTGCACTCCAGCCTGGGCAACATTGAGCACTGAGTGAGCGCGACTCCGTCTGCCATCCCGGCACCTCGGGAGGCTGAGGCTGGCAGATCACTCGCGGTCAGGAGCTGGAGACCAGCCCGGCCAACACTGCGAAACCCCATCTCCACCAAAAAATACGAAAACCAGTCAGGCGTGGCGGCGCGCGCCTGCAATCCCAGGCATTGGGCAGGCTGAGGCAGGAGAATCAGGCAGGGAGGTTGCAGTGAGTTGAGATGGCGGCAGTATGGTCCAGCCTCGGCTCGGCATCAGAGGGAGACCGTGCAAAGGGGAGAGGGGGAGGGGGAGGGGGAGGGGCATACTTTTTAATTAAATTTTATTTTCCATTTATACATACATGACTGAAATTGCCTAGAAAAATACCTTTGATTCAGAACTAAAACTGCTTTATCATAGCTTTTGTTGTAGTTTAACATTAATAAAAATGCAGTTTTTATTAATACAAAAACTGCATTAATATCAATTACGGTTTTATTCTATTGTGTTGAATACCCAAGTTATTTCTTAGCTAGATTTTAAACATTCACTAGGTTCCTTTTACTCATTCCATTGTTTCTATCTTTATTGACCTCCATTAGTGCTAAGAATTAACTTAGATCTACTTTCTATGAATAGAGGTCTGTTTTGACACTTAATAGATTGTAGAAATCAATGGCCCTGAAATAGTTTACAAAACAATTTCATACCTGTAAGCTCATGGAATCCTCACAACAAATTCAGAAATATGACAGAACACAGTTTACTCATTTATAATACAATCTTAATAATGGCACCCTACACAAGATATCCAACTTGGGAAGTGATAAATGAAAGTATCTCTGTTTGCAGATGACATGATCTTATATGTAGAAAACAATAAAGACTCCACCAAAAAATGGTTAGAACTAATAAGCAAATTCAGCAAAGCTGCATGATACAAAACCAACATGCGAACATCAGTTGCATTGCTATACATGAACAATTATCAATCTGAAAATGAAATTAAGAAAACAATACTACTTATAGTACTATCAAAAGGAAATAAGGATACTTAAGGATAAACTTAAGGATCCTTAAGGATAAAATACTTAAGGATAAACTTAAGGATCCTTAAGGATAAAATACTTAAGGATAAACTTAAGGATCCTTAAGGATAAAATACTTAAGGATAAACTTAAGGATACTTAAGGATAAAATACTTAAGGATAAACTTAGGGATCCTTAAGGATAAGATACTTAAGGATAAACTTAACCAAAAGGCAAAAGACTTGTACATTGAAAACTGCAGACATTGCTGAAAGAAATTAAAGATACAAGTAAATGGAAGGAAATCTCATACCATGGATTAGAAGACAAGATTGTTAAAATGTTTATACTACTCAAAGTGATCTAGAGATCCAGTGCAATACCTATCAAAATCCCAATGGGATTTTTTTATTTTGCAGAAGTAGAAAAAATTCTAAAATGGATGTGGGATCTCAAAGGATCCTGAATAGCCAAAACAATCTTGAAAAAGAAGGACAAAGTTGGAGGCTTCATACTTCCTGATTTCAAACATGTTACTAAGCTTCAGTAATCAAAACAGTATGTTACCGGCATGAAGACAGACATATGGAACAATGGAACAGAATAGAGAGCCAAGGAACAAATCCTCGTGTATACGGTCAGATGGTCTTCAATGAGCTCATCAAGACTACATAATGAGAAAACGACAGTCTCCTCAATAAATGGGAAAACTGGATATTTACATACCAGTGAATGAAGTTGGATCCTTGCCTTATGCCACATATAAAAATAACTCAAAATGGATAAAATAGCTGAATGTAAGACCTGAAAACTATAAAATTTCTGGAAGGAAACAGGAGAAAAGCTTAATGACATTGGATTTGCAAAAATTTATTTGATATGACATGCAAAACACAGGCAGCAAAGCAAAAATAGACAAATGGGACTACATCAAACTTAAAAACTCCTACACAGCAAAGGAAACTGTCAAGATTGAAAAAGCAACCTATGAAATGGAAGAAAATATATGCAAACCATACATCAGATAAATGGTTAATATCTAGAATATATAAGAACTTCTACAACTTAACAACAACAACACAAACAAATTGCCTGATTTAAAAACATGGGCAAAAGACTTGAATAGATATTTCTTCAAAGAAGATATACAAATGGCCAAGAAGTATATGAAAAGATGCTTGGTATCACTAATTATCAGGAAAATGCAAATAAAAACCACAATGAGATATCACCTCATATTCATAGGGGTGGTCATTACCAAAAACAAACAAACAAACAACAAAACAAGAAGTCTTGGCAATGATGTGGAGAAATTGGAACACTTGTGTATTGTTGATGGGAATAAAAAACAGTGCAGCTGCTATGGAAAACAGAATGGAAGTTCCTAAAAAAGATTATAAATAGAATTGTCATATAATCCAGCAATTCTACTTCTTAGTATATCTCTAAAAGGATTAAAGCCAAGAGCTCAAAGAGATTTGCACCCCAAGTTCATTGTTGTGTCAGTCACACTAGCCAAGAGGTAAAAGCAACCTAAATGTCCATTGATGATGAGTGAAAGCATGAAGAAAACGTGGTATATACATAAAGTAGAATACTATTTAGCCTTAAAAAAGAAGGAAATCTTGTTATATGCTACAACGTGTGTGAGCCTTGAGGTCATTATGCTAAGTGAAATAAGCCAATCACAAAAAGACAAATTCGACATGATTCCACTTCCATGAGGTATCCAAAGAAGTCAAACTCATAGTCACAGAAAGTAGAATGATGACTGTCAGTGGCTGGGGGGGAGGGGGAAATGGGGAGGTTGTTGCTTAATTGATATAGAATTTCAGTTTTGCAAGATGAAAAAGATGTGGAGACCCATTACACAACATGTACATAGAAAAAACACTAATGTGTTACCTCTTAACACATTAAGAAGTTATTTTTTATCACTTAAAAATGGTTAAGATGGTAAATTTTATGTTGTGTTTTTTTACCACAATAAAAAAACATGCTACCTCATGGGGATATCATAGGATTACAGAGATAATGTATATAAAGCACTTGACTCATTATATGCACTTCCACATTAGCTATTATTATTGCTACAAATTAATCAACTCAAGCCTAAGGATGATAAGTGACTTTCTCAAGGTTCCACAACTACTAAATGGCAGCACTGACCATCAAGTCAGGTTTTCTCACTCTAGAGCTCATAGATTTTCTACTGTTCCTTGCTTCCTAAAACTGAAACTTTCTTTCATATGGCAAAAATTTACACCCTGGGATCCCCAACCAAAATTTCAAAATCACTAGTCTGTTTCTTACTAAACATACATATAAAATAGATGATCTACTTTTAAGTCTATGCTGCTTTTCTAATGTAAACTTTTTTATCACTCACTTTACCTTTTGGGGGATATATATTCATTTTCCCCAAATCTTTCACCTTATTTGACCCCATCCTTATTCCAATCTCTTGGGCAGCCGTTCTTAGTCCATTATAGTGCCTTAGGACAAGCAGATGTTTAGGTTTTAACTATTAAATAAATCTTTAGTCTTGAAATCTGGTTTTGCCATTGAAACTAGCCAGGGAGTTGGACCAACAAAGAAAAACCCAAGTGAGTGAGGATTATGTCTGTTGTGTTCAATGTTGAATTCTCAGGGCTTTATGTGGTGCTGTATTAATGGATGAGTAAGTAAAAGAAAGGTAAGTGCTATCTGAAAGAGAGTCCTAGATTATCTGAGCTGGAAAGTAATCCAAGGTCACCTGTAACTACTCAGTAGAAGAGCTAATCTCAAAACATATTTCTACTTAATACTATCCCACTCATAAGTGATACTGATCAGTTACTCTGTGTCGTTTACATAAGATGTGTTCTTGAAAGACATAATTTTGTCTATCTCTTTTTATGAAGACACTAATGAAACATTTCTTCAGACAGTGATGAAACAGTTCTTTGAATCTAACATACTCTTGGTTTTTGTCACCAGGTAAAATGTTTCATTTGATTCTAAGCCATAAAGACTCTTCTCAACCCAATTGGTATAGTTTAAAGGCAAAAATCATTTCAGAGGAAATATGGTGTTTCTCAGAACATCAGTAGAGATTGTGCCAAGCTTTTCCTTAAAATTTTTTGGTAAGTGTAGTCAAATGGGTGTAGGGGATGGTGGTGAGGGGGGAGATGGGAAGTTTTTAATCAAGGGATCACACTGATGAGTGGTATGATCCAGAAATGTCTTTTCTAGCACCAAAGTTAGGATTAACTGGAGAAGCAAGATGCTGGAGGCAGGAAGACCAGAAAAATAGTTCATTGCAATAGTTCATGTGGGAAGTGAGACTACTGCAAAACAGGTCAATGGCAGAAACAAAAAGGAGGAATAAGATGTTATAAATTGAGGCTCGTTTACATTCTTGAAGGCAGGGCCCAAGTCTTACACCTGCAGCACTAACACAATGCCTTCTTGCTGGCAGGGACTCAATTTATAGATGTTTTATGAATTTATGAACCGATTGAAAGTGAGGCCAAGGAAAAACAGGGATTACAACATGACTTCATTATTTAATTATTTTTCCTAGTTAAGGAAGAGTGGTGGCTTCTTTAAGAAGTTAGAAATCTGGAACTAGGACTTTGAAAGAGGACAAGAGTGAAGTTCCAGGAGTGGGGCTGAGTGCAGAAAGAGATTAGGATATGACTAGGAGAAAGCTGAATTCCTTGACATGGACAAGATTGTAGAGGGCTGGTTTAGGAAGAAAAGAGAAAAAGTTAACGTGTAGATCTTTGGGGAAAGTACATATAGAAGAAGAGGAAGAAAGAAGAAAATTGAGCAGTGAAAACCAAAAGTAATTCCATAAGGGTATATATCCTAGGGAAGAAAGAATTTCAGGAAGGAATCAGTGGTCAAAAACTATCAAACTCTGAAGAAGAGATTGAAATGTTTAAGAGAAAGGAATGAATTTATACCAACTGCAGAAGATGGCTGTAATTTAATTTCTAAAAGTAATACATTCAGTAATGCAACAACGTTGAAGAAAGCTATTGAGTAGCTATTGTGAGCCAGAGTGGTTGTAACGCACTGTCCTCACTGTCCGCAAGGGATTGAAGACCAGTTGATTCCTGCTGTTACCTCAAGATCAAGCATTGAAGCCATCCCAGCATCAGAGGACTCAAGATAATAAGGATTGCTCTTCCCCTGTATCCACATAGATGCACTTTCCTAACTGGCTTCCTTATGCTCAGCATTAGACCACCATATTGCTAAGGAAACAGGGGGATGCCAAGGAAGACTGTTGCTGAAAGCTTCTGATTTAGCACTCCAAAGTTTGGAAATCTTTGCATATGTACAAAGGCTTAAGAGGATTAACCAGGATGAAAAACTGAGGTCTGCTATTCAGCACAGGAGATTTTCCTCAAAATCTCTAACACTCACGCAGCCATGCGTTTCCACCGAACCCAGGGAACTCCTCGCACCTGGTCCTTCCTTATTCCTCTCCACAGAAACACTAACAAGGCGTTTGAGGAGGGTCCTGCTTGCTACCAAGTCAGAAGAGAATGCAAATCAGATTCCTGCCAAAGATTTTGGATCATGCCTTACTGGCCAGCCATAAATTCTGTCTTCTGAAAGGAATGATATGATTCATTCTCAGCAATCTGAAGCATTCAATAATAGAGTGATTCAATCTTCAAAAATCAAAAGGCACTTCGGGTTCCCCAAAATGCCCAAGAGAAAGCACAAATTACTCACGATTTGTAATAAAAACAGTACGTTTTCATAATTTTAAGAGGCTAGAATGAGCTTTAAGAGAGCAAGATATATGCATTATGTATTTATGTAAACTGATTTGGGGGGTGGATTTTTTGCCCCCAGTTGGGTCATTTCTGTACCTTCTCATTCAAACTGTGAGATTAGCCTGATGTTCATTTACCAACGGAACATCCACCTGCCCAAGCACACCTGCTGCTCTTAGGACATAAGCTGCTAATGCAATGTTTCTTAAATGTGCACATGCATTAGAATCACCTGGAGGCCTGGCCAAAGCACAGATCACTGTGCCCCACCCACAGAGTTTCCGATTTAGGAAGTCTGGAGGGGACCCAAGAATTTGCATTTGGAGCAATTTCTCATGTCAGAGGTTTCCAGACTTCCTTGGCTCCTGGTGTCCTCAAGGCCTCAGTAGTTTTTGCACAGTGCCCTTCGACAGGGCTACCAGACTTTTCTGGTAACTCTGTTTCTAGGCCAAAAGAAATACCTAACAGTTGCATTTATTAAGTACATAGACCGAAACACCTGGAGAAGTATTTATGTCCTAACAACTTAGCAGCTATTTTTAAAAACACCCTTAAATTGAAAGAAAAATAATATTTTATTTCATTAATAATAACCACAATTACTTAATAATGAGATGTCTGCACTGGCTGGACACTGCACAGTTTCTCAAACCTGGGAATCAGATGGGTTATTGCCAGCCTTATTTTCTGTTCCACATTGATTTTCACATAGCACCTGCTTTTTATCACAGCATCTGCCAAAAATCCAGCTAGATATGGCCTCATGGAAAGGAATGTTGTTGACAGGACCTCATGTTGAAAGCAGGAACTACTTTGGACTAGTAGTTTGCTCAGTGTCTGACAGATGTCCAGTGTTGCTTGTGAGCCTCTCAAGAATTTAAAAAATATCCCAAGCCTCCTGTGTGAGTTTGCTACAGTGCCCCAGAGTGCCCTGGTGCACATTTGGGGAACTGGGGACTCAAGCATTCCTGATGCTAGTTTGAAGACGCCACTTTGAAAACCACTGTACTAATGGCTTCAAGAGACCAGAGGAAGGAGTTTTCTGAACATTTTTACATTTTCTGTGATAATACATAAGATCCTTAAAATATTGAACAGGAAGAAATGCAGATAAAAACATACAAATTCACCACTAATGACTTTTTATTTCTATAGCAGAAGAACTGGATATGGAAGAAATCAGAGAAGGAATAAAGATATCAGAAGGAGTTGTATGCCATCATTGTTATGAATAGTTTACAAAGCAATTTTTTACAACCTTCTAAAGTCATAACTAATTAAACCTGGCAATCCCAGTGAGCCAGGTAACAATTATTTTCCATGCTTTACACACAGGAAACTGATATATAAGATTAGGTGACTTGCCTCAGGCCAAAGAGAGGTAGATTTGTTGGAGGCAGAATGCTAAAATCACAGTATTTTTGCTTTCATCAAAAAAAGTTATAAGAAACTAGACTAACATTTCATAACATTAAAAAAGTCCCTCAAACTTCATAGTTAATTTTCACGAAAATCATGTAAGGTGGATGAACATTGAGTAGCACCATTTTACTAATGAGAACTCCATGGCCAGTTGCGGCCTTGTGCAAGGGGAATGTCAGTGAAGCATTTGAGAGAGCCCATGAGTGGAAGAGAGCAGATGGCATGATGAGTGTGAAGACACAGAGTTACAGGAAGAGGAAGGCTGGTTCTTACCTTTGAAAATAGCTGGGACTCTGTTCCTGTATCCTCAGGAGCATTTTCTCAAAAGAACAAAATTCAAAGTCACTTGAGGACAAAGGGGCAGAAAACTCAGCTTATGACCAGAAAAGCGGGTACCAGTCAGTAGTTCTCCATCTCGAGGGGTAGATGTTCTGCATCTGTTTGATGAAATCATTACTTCACTGGGGGCTGGAACCAAGAGGTTCAAGAGGGTCTATTCAGACACAGCCAGTCTGGCATATTTTTCTATTTGTACGTATGCTATAAGCCACATATGTACACAGATATGATCATACATATCTTTGGCTCATCCACAGTGCCTGGGACAGTGAGGGCCTGGTGCATTTGATGCAGGATTTTTCTTGGCCCCTTCAACAGACTCATAGAAGGGGCACCCCACCTATTCGGTCTGCCATGCTCAACCCCTTGCAGGAGGGAGCACGTGAGCAAGCAAGTGCAAGATCCGGCTGGCTGCTCCGGCTGCTGACACAGGAGCAACTTCTGTGCAGGGCCTGCATCCAGACCAGGTGTGTCACCTTGAGGGGAATGCAGCAACACCCAGGTAAGGATGACTGCAACCCTAAGCCCCAGAGGGGGTGTTACAGTGCTCCTTTAGTTCTGCCATCTGCAGACTTGTATTAACAGCTCAGTTGGCCCCTTGCCTCATCGTGTGGGGTGGCTGCTCTGCCAACAAGGGCAAAGGGCTGGTGTTACAGCCTTTCTGAGTACCTGCACTTGATGGGTCCTGAGCTCTTGTCCAGCATCCAAGACAAAGGAGATCATGTGAACAACTGAAGGATGGTGAAGGCAGAGAATTTTTATTAAGGGCTGAAAATGGCTCTGGGTGGAGAGGAGAACTGGAGAAGGGACAGGAAGGGCAGGTCGTCTTCCCTGAAGTCAGGTTGTCCCTCTCCCTGCAGTCAGGCTGTCGTCTCCTCTAATGACTGAGTCTGGGGTCTTTATAAGCACAGGATGGGGAGTGCATACTGATTGGTTTGTGAGTATGCAAAAAAGGTTAAAGCGAAGATACCACTCAAAGGTGGGCCTGACAGTGTAGAAAACCAATTAGGAAAGGGTAGGTATATGTAAAATAGATGAAGGGTGGGGATCCATCAGAGGAAAGCACACCAAACAGGAAGACAAGCTCTCAGTCCAATCCGAGGATTTAACTTGTAGCTTGACTTTCAGGCTTTAAACTCTCTTTGGCTTGGAGTTGGGGTTTCACCCAGTACCTGCCCCTATCTGCTGAGGCATTTGGCTGCCTCCTGTCGCTATCACATTGAGCAGTGCTTGATATGTTACTGAAGTGCCAGGGGTTTGGTCTAGGTCTTGCTGTTCTCAGCACAGAATGTCAATCACTGAGACAACAAGTATTGCCAGAGAAGAAGGCTTTAATCAGGTGTTGCAGCCAAGGAGAATGGGAGATTTAGTCTCAAATCCATCTCAGTAATGGACTAAAATTGGGAGGTTTATACAGGAAAACAGGGAATTAGGGAGGAACAAGGAAGCAATCATGATGAATGAGGGGTCTTGTATCTCATTGTCTGGATGTAGTGATTGAGTGAGTTTCATTCCCTTGAGTGAGGGTTGATTTCCTGAGGAAGGCACTCAGAATAGACAAGTGTAAGTTTCTAGTTTTAATTCAGAGGGTCAATTTCTATGTTTATTCAAAAACATTCAAATATCATTTCTATGGGACAATTGGGCTGGTTTCAGATACACGTCGTCAAAGTTTTTGGAGCATGACTGCAAGATTCTGGAGGAGAAGAGAAGAGATGAGAGATTATAAATTGAGTGATTGTGTTTTCACCTGTCCTGGGATATATAAGATTTAATACACTAACCAGTGATCTAGATGACTAAACAGAGTACAGTATCCCTCTGTATCTGAGGGTTCTTCCCCACTTGTGAGTCAACAAATCCCAGATAAAAATATTTGAAAAAAAATTAAAAATAAAAGAATAACCGTACAACAATAAAAGAAATTTTTAAATACAAGAATTATTTACATAGCTTATTTATTTATTTATTTAATTTTGAAGACAGAGTCTTGCTCTGTCACCAAGGCTGGAGTGCAGTGGCGTGATCTCGGCTCACTGCAACCTCCACCTCCCGGGTTCAAGTGATCCTCCTGCTTCAGCCTACCAAGTAGCTGGGATTACAGGCACACACCACCATGCCCAACTAATTTTTGTATTTTTAGTATAGACAGGGTTTCACCATGTTGGCCAGGCTGGCCTCGAACTCCTGACCTAAGGTGATCCACCCATCTTGGCCTCCCAAAGTGCTTGGATTACAGGCATGAGCCACCATGCCTGGCCTATTTACATAGCATTTACATTGAAGCAAGTATTACATGTAATCTAAAGATGATTTAAAATATATGCGGGATGTGCTCGGTTACATGCAAATACTATGCCATTTTATATCAGGGACTTGAGCATCTGCAGATTTTAGAATGGGTGAGGGGAGCCTGGAACCAATCCCCTGTGGATACCAAGGGATGACCCTATATACTAAAATGACACTGAATCATGAAACTGTTAAAATCTTTAAAGTTTCAGGTAAACCTTAGTCATCTGGAAAAGTTATGGGAATGCCCCGGACCTGCAGTCAGAAACAGAGACTGCAGTTTGTGCCCCAGCTTTCTCCCTGCTGGCCATGTGACCAAGGCCATTCTTTAACAGTTAGTTTTCTAAGATGTGGGTCTAAATAGAGCTCCAAAGTGAGATGGTAAATGTGAACGCATGCCACAAGTTTTTATTATGTTACCTTCAACTCAAGATGATGCGCATGGCCCAAACCACAACTCCCCCAAATCTGCCCCTCCTCCAGTCCCTCATTCATAATGTAGGGTTCTCTAATGCCCTAGCCTGCAGGGCAGTGAGGCCAGCCTGAGTAAGCCCTCATGTGTGTTATAGGAGTCCCAGGACTACGAAGCACCAGAGCTCATACCCAGTCTAAAGAAAGCCACTCAGCCACCACCCATGTGCCAGGCCTGAGCCTCGTCTCCCTGGTGCCTTGTGCAATGTATGGCACAGTGAGAGCCTGGCCCTGCTGTCCTGAAAATCTTCACCCTGTCCAGGGCCTTATGCACCGATGGCTGCCAAGTCAGCAGCTTGAGGGCCTGACCAGCCCCTCATCTCCACTCCCAGCCCATTGCCATTGAGACTTTCTTCACTGTGTCTCACCCTTGAGATAAACTTGAAGTTACAACTGTCCTTTATCACTCACTCAGCCAACTGAGGAGTGTCCTGAGATGCAGGACTTTAAGTTTTAAAACTGGGATGGTAGGTCATCCTATATATAGCCCAACTTAAACTCTATCTCCTTCTAAGCTAGTGTCCCAATCTCTCCAGTTGGAAATAAGTATTATTTTCTCTCTTCTTTATATGCCCACAACATTCTGACTATGCCCGTATCTTGGCACTTCACAGGTATTAGAGTTCTTTCCCAAGTGTTTCTGCTTCCTTCACCAGGTTCTTAGCATCTTGCAGTTATGGTTCTTCCATCCTCCTCAGTGCCTCGCTGGCACTTTGCACATCAGGGGTACTTAAGAGTACTTTGCATAAACTGAACAAATTAATCATTCAAACATAAAATGAGTAAAGACCGACCTTACGTGTCATAATGGACTAAGTAAACAGTGTTTTAGAAGAGATAATGTGATTCTCAGATGAATCAACATGAGGATAACAGGAAATAGGCTGAGATTTCAGCAAAAGAGAATTCTTGTGCATCAGAAAGCAGCCCTTGACCGGAAAGGGTGATGAAAAAAAGTGGATATAGCTTACAAAAGAAGATTATGAAAGCTCCACTCTCAAAATCATTCAGCAGTATCCCAGCATTCATGAATGTTTGTTTAAAATGAAGATTTTTCTGAAATAAAGGGCTGGGCAAAGTAATGTTGGAGGCAGTGTTCAGGCAGGCTGCCTCCAGGAAACCCAGGGTGCCAGGATGAGTATTCTCCCTATTTCTACCAGAGCAGCCACGCCTCTTCTTCTTTCTAACCAAGGTAGGATGTGCATGTACTGGCTTTTTCCTGTCCAAGTTGTGGCTGTTTAGGTTTAGAAGTCAAGAGCGTGACAGTAAAACTAACTAGCTGCAGATGATGATCTTATGTTGCAGCTGAATACTTTTCCAATACAAGATTTATCTGGGGACATAAGACTCAGTGAATTACCATTTGCCATGGTCTTCACTGGAGAACGATGGCTACAATCTCCTTCTTCCCCATGTGGACTGACCATCTGCTCCCAATAATTGCAAATTCGCTTCCAGGCCTCATAATGTCTCCCTGTGTTCTTGCTTGTCTTTGAAATGCCTCAGGCAACTGCTCTTCTCTCCAATGGAGCAGCCACAACAGCTGTGGGATTCACTAGGGTTTGTCTCTGCTCCATTTCTGGCAGCAGGCAACCACCACTAAGCCACTCTCCAAAAAAGCCTGCAAATTGTGAACCCATTAAGGTTTAACTCCTGGGGGACAACAAAGAGAGCTGCCTTTGAATGTGAGCTCTGTGTGCCTCACTGAGGCTTCTGGCACAGGGGCTTGTCCTCAGGGCCAGGGTGATGCGTAGGGAAAGTTACAAGCTTCTGAGGGAATATTTTCACAGGTTTTCCAAACAAAGGGTTCTTTCTTCCAACCCCATACAACTCTCTTCTGATTGCTAATTAACCAAAGCTAGTGAAAAACAGGCCATTTCTGTAAATAGACTAGAAGTAGTGTGTGTGTGTGGTGTGTGTGCACGCGTGCACTCGCGTGTCCATGCCTGGCACGGGTGATGTGACTTTTAGTATTTTTCGTCTTTGTTTGTGTTTGTTCAAGCAGACCATGAAATGAATGAAAGTCTGTTTTGAGTTCGACAAGAGATAAAGGGATGTTACAGGGCATCTTGTCCTTCTGGTAATTTTTCCAGTGCTCACGCAGTCTTGCGGTTGTCCTGGCAAATCGAATATGTTAAGTGTTTTGCTTTAAGTTGCCCTCTTTCCTCTTAAGTTGAGAGTTTCCACAGTCTTCACCATAGGGTCGGTTTTGGTCTGTGTCATCTCAGTGTCCTGGCCGTATCTCAACTGTCTTCCCCTGTTTACTTCCATGGAGTCGCTATTTAGGAAGTCCCTTTTCAGCCCATCTGCCTTAAATCACTGCATTGTTTACTTTCCCACCAAGGAGTTTTCCCTCCGTTGGTTGCATGCCTTTTAGATTGAGTATGCATTTGAAGATCTAGAAGCCCATACAGGCTGCTGGCAATTTTTATTCAGGCTGCTTCACCACTTGGTGCAGTCTTCCACCTAGTCAAAGCCTGCCAGAGTCTGCTGGCCTTTTGGAATGGTTGCTGAAGTCTTCAAAGCCCTACTTCTTTTAACTTTGCTTTTGTGGTTACATATGAGTAGTTTCATAAGTTTTGCAATTTGGTATCTTGGAGTTTTGAAACAATGTTGCATTTTGATTATTTTATCCACAATTATGATACTTACTGTGAGGTTACGTACCAATTAGATCCTTGTCTTACTCGTGTCTAATCAATATTTCTTATTTGTTTTAATTCTGGCCTTTTTGGTTATCAGACTCTACGTGATGGGGGAAAAAAGCTCTTCACAGGCCTCTAGTGGACATGTAGTGGAACTGCAGAAATCTTGTATTCGAAGGTGTAAAACTGTGGTGTGACCCATGTCCGAATTAGCAATCACAAACATGTTATTCATTTAGTATTTAATTTAAAGATAAATAGTATGCTTGGAAGCAAGGAAGATAGGGATACTGGTGGAATCAAACTCTTGGTTGACTAACCACAGAATATGACCAGGTTGTCCACTGTCGCCTGTTGTCCTCTGAACTGAGTTTCTTTCACTAAGGAGTCCACACAGTCTCTGTTTTATAACAGGAGCTCAATTTTAACTTCCAAAAAAAAAACACTGTAAATGAACTGTACTCTTAATTCATTTTTTATCAATGATTTTTATGAAGAATGCCTGATATTTTAATAGATTCATAGTTTAAATAAGAAACAATCAGTATGAATGTTTCTTCTCAAAAGAGTTGAAAATAATATGTCTCTATAAAGAAATACATGGGGGAGTAATGTGGTCCAGAGGCAACCTCAGCCTTCGCCAGAGGCTGCAATCCACCAGAATCCACTGGGGCTCCCTCCCAGCCTTCAGTGATTTTCCATGAGCACTCCATGTACTCTTCATGCTTCTGTGCCATGCTTTTATGTTGCCTTTGCCTGAAATAACTCCTCCCTTCCACCACTTCCCCACCTGGCAAAATTCTTCATGTCCTTACAAATCCAAGTCAAATGTTCTTTTTTATTTGCATCTCCCTTCCCCCACCACGCAACTGTTAAAAACTGCTCTGCGTTGTTTCGTTTTACGATCGCACATTCAATCTATCATTATGTTCATTTGTAAAGGGCCTGTCTCTTTCTTCTGATGGGCTTTGAGCTTCTCACATGTTGTCAGGATGGTGTTGTGCTTTGCAGTATTCTCCTCATCACTTTAACCTCAGTACCTGACACAGCTCCTGGCATCTAGTAAAGACTTTTTCAATTAACTGATACTCCTTATGGTGCTTGTCCTAGGAAAAAATGGGAGTGAGGGAAGTGTGCCTCATTTTGTCTTTGGTATCTAGGTTTGCATCCAGCATCTTGCCTCCCTGTTGTACCCCCTCCATAGTCATGTCCAAGTTAAAGTGGTCCTAATACCCTAAATTACCTTTTTCAGGGTATTTGGAGTATAAACCTTATCTCAAATTTAAAATGAAATGCTTTGCCCTAGTGTTAAACAAGAACAGGAATTTCAAGCAATTAGGCTGATGAGAGAGTAGTTTGGGGGAATGGAATGCCTAGCTCTAAATATAGAGTTAATGACTGTCTCTTTTCCCTAAGAATTGGACTAGCTTCACTATTTGTAGAGGAAGTTTCCATGCCTCCTTTTAGATTTAACTTACAAAGTATTTTCAAGGTATTGATATGGAAAGTAGTTCTGGAACAAATTAGGTATCTGTTTAAATCCACATATGGTTGAACTACCTGGGATCGTATTTTAGCTATCTATGAGGACATTGAGATTCTGATGAGTCCATCACTGCCAGCAGACCTTGAACTAAGATAGAAAAGACTAACGATGGAACTTTAAGGGAATGGCTTTATGGCTAGAGATCTGATGTTACTTCACATCAGAGGGCTGAGCAAAGCTCGCAGGTTGTAGATGAGACCAATTCAAAGCAACTGGTCACTGAGGCATTTTGTTATGGCCATTTAAAGGTTAGGAATGAAGTTTGCTTTGCTGAAAACACTCAGTTTGGTTTTGCTTAATTTTCTCTGGGGCAGAGGTTCTTAATCTGGTGACTTCTCTTTAAAACTTCAGAAATTATAAGAACGAATGAATATACATATGCCATATGTTTAATGGAGAGAAATGTGTTAAGATCCCTAAAAATCTTTAAAAACAGTTAAGAAGTACTGTTTTAAGAGAAAGATAGATGTTTTATAGTATGAGTCAAGTTAATAGACTTTTTACCTAAACATCGCTTGGACTAGCCTGAATATTACATTTTCATTTATTGTCCAATTGTCTGTTTATGAAATGTTCTTATCTGAATAATAGAAGTAAATTTGAGGCCGGGTGTGGTGGCCCATGCCTGTAATCCCAGCACTTTGGGAGGTCGAGGTGGGCAGATCACCTGAGATCAGGAGTTCAAGACCAGCCTGGCCAACATGGTGAAACCCTGTCTCTACTAAAAATAAAAAAATTAGCGAGGTGTGGTGATGCATGACTATAATCCCAGCTACTCAGGAGGCCAAGGCAGCAGAATCACTTGAACTCAGGAGGTGGAGGTTGCAGTGAACCATGATCGTGCCACTGAACTCCAGCCTGGGCGACAAAACAATATTCATCTAAAAAAAAAAAAAAAAAAAGAACTAAATTTGAAAGCTATTGTTCAAGTATCCTAACACTTATGGCAATAGCTGGCAGTAGACTTTTACTAAAGACTTCCTGTACTTTTATGAGCCAAAAATGAAGGAATGATTAGTTGGGGCAAAAGAACAACTTATTTATAAAAAAATGAAAAAGCACAAATAAAGTTTGTCTCTAAGAAGAAACTGCTTGGAGCTTGCATTAGTTTGCTCAGGCTGCCGTAACAAAATGCCATAGACTGAGTGGCTTAAACAACAGAAATTTGTTTTCTCACAGTTCTGGAGGATGGAAGTCTGATATCAGCATGCCAGCATGGTTGGGTTCTGGTGAGGGCTCTATGCCTGGCTTGCAGATGGCCGCCTTCTTGCTGTGCCCTCACATGGTGGAGGGAGGGCAAGCTCTCTGATGTCTCTTCTTATAAGGACTTAACTAACCCCATCATGAGGGCCCTACCTCATCTAACCCTAATTACCTCCAAAAGATCCCATCTTTAAGGATGCAGTCACACTGGGGATTAAGGCTTTAACATATGAATTTGAGGAGGAGACACACTTCAGTCCATATCAGAGCTTAATCCATTTGGTGCAAGTGTTACTTCAGTTATGTAGTTTTCTAAATTTGTAATTAAATGTTACTATTAGAAGGAAATCACATATTAATACGAAGAGTTGTTTTTTTTTTAATTAAGGAAAAGATTTAAAGAGCACAAAGCAGTATTTTATGAAACATAAAAAATATATCAAAGATCATTGTGCCAAGGAAATGAGAAAGCTAGGTGTTTAATACCTCTACGTTTATGATACAGTGATACTTCGCTTATCCAAAATTCTGCTCTGTGGTAGCATGAGCTATACAGAAAAGACCTAAAAACAAGCAGCATAAATATTATGTACCAAAGCTCTTCTGTTTTATTCATAGGACAGTTCCTGGCATCTTTACAACTAGGTTTATTTACTCTTACTTTACACGTAATCCTAACAAGCTTTGTTTCTAGGACTTTAGAGAATTAAAAAATAAAAGTTAGAAGGAACAGGGGGACTGCAGATGTACAGACGGCGGCCAGAAGTGGTGACTGACTTGTTGATAGCAATAGAGGAGAAGAAAATAACTGTAAAAAACCAGTCTGGCTCAAAGACCCTGCACAGCTGCCTGAGGTCAGGAATGGCCCTATTTCCCATGTATTTCCCAGTTTCTGGCATAGCACTTGGTATATGTTTGTTGAATGAATGAATGTTTTATTTGGTACCAAGAACATCACAGTACAGTGTCTGATATTCATAATGTTGATCTTCAGTGATTAAGAATATATTAAATTATTTATGTATATTCCGTTTAGAAAGAAAGAAATATATCTATTTTTAAAATATTGTCATCCAAAAAAGTTATTTTTTTTTAAGTTCAGATATTCTAATGTTATATTTTTAGGTACACACACACACACAAAATCCTGTTATCCTGAAATACCTCATTCCTGAAATATTCAGGTTTTACTGTCATTTGTTCCTGAAAAGAACGGGATGATGTAGGCAACTGTCCAACTGCTGAATCAAAGGTCGGTTATGCTTAGAAAAGCATAGTTACGAGAGGAAAATGTACAAAGATGGTGATGTTTTACATCTCATTTGTGTTCTAGTCAATATTGCTGATGTTGTTTTCTGAAGGAACAGAGACCCATTCAAACTGGCTGAAGTACTAATGGTGGATGTAGTAGTCAATTAGCTATTGACAAAATATTCTAATGTAACTCTTTTTGGCATGTGGTGAGATTATATTTCCTCTTTGATATGAGGCATGGCTATGTGACTAGCTTTGGCTGCTGAAATGTGAGTAGAAGTTACATGAATCACATCCAGGTAGAAGATTTAAAAGCCAGTGTGTGACTGCCATGTTTCCTTCCTGTAACTGTGGTGAGACTGTTGAGATGAAGTCTCCATCACGCTGTGTCCTTGAGGGAGTAATATGGGCTGAGCCTCACTGCCAACCCTTAGTGGCCACAAAGAGTGATAAGTACACTTGTGTTGTATGAAGCTGCTGAGACTTGGGAGCTATTTGTTACTGAAGCATAACTTAGCCTATCCTGACTAATACAGACTTTATTGTAAAGATACAGTACTATTCCCCAAATCTAAGACTAGGAAAGAAAATACAGCTGGGGCTTGTGGCAACTGAAATGAAATCCTGAAAAGATGAGAGCATTATCTCCATCCTATGGCTACCTGGTGTTTCCTACCTTTGTTTCTCCCCTCAAGTTGTGTATTACTCTTAACTAGTCAAGCTGCTTTCTCAGCCTGCACATTATCAAGTGTAACTGCTCTCTTTTCTCCCTACCAGGGATTCAAACTGTTTTGGGTCACCCAATTCAGGTTCCCCAGAGTAGGAATCTATTGGCTCAATCAAGCCTATATTAGGGCCTCTTGGATCAGGTGTCCTCCCCTACTGTAATCAACTGTGGCCATCACTCACCAAACCTGTGATCTAGGGAATTCCTAAAGCTAGGGAGAATAATGGTTAATATTTAGTGATCATTTAATATGTAGTAGGCACTGTTCTAAGTGCTTACATGTGTGAACTTATTTGCTCTGGCAACCACCATATGACATAAATATTATTATTATTATTCTCATTTTATAAATGTACAAACTGAAGCACAAAGAAACTAAGTAAATTGCTCAGGGCATACTTACAAGATAGAGGCAGGATTTGAACACAAGGCAGTGTGGCTCCAGAGCCCACACTTTTAACTACTATACATAGAATTATATATATATATATATTGAGATGGAGTTTTGCTCTTGTTGCCCAGGCTGGACTGCAGTGGCACAATCTCAGCTCACTGCAACCTCCACCTCCCAGGTTCAAGCAATTCTCCTGCCTCAGCCTCCCGAGTAGCTGGGATTACAGGCACCCACCACCTCACCTGGCTAATTTTTGTATGTTTAGTAGAGATGGGGTTTCACTGCATTGGCCAGGCTGGTCTCGAACTCCTGACATCAGGTGATCCACCCACCTCGGCCTCCCAAAGTGCTGGGATTACAGGCATGAGCCACCGTGCCTGGCCATAATTGTATTTTTAAGTGTATTTCGCCTATACAACCAGAAGTGTCTTACATATGAGCTTCTAAAATGTCTCCAGGTTGCTTTCAGTTTTGTTTTATGACAGCAGTGTAAAAACATCATTCTTGAAGGACCAAAGTGGGACTTCTCTATAACCATGTATTGCCTGAGCTGTTGTCCTCAGATAACTCATTAACATCTTTCTCCAGACTCTCAGACCTGCCAGCACAGGCTGGGTAATCTAGGACAAGTTGGATGACTTCCACCAAAGTTGTTCAGCTGACTATCAGATCTTAACTAAATTAACAGGTGGTCTGTTTTCAGAAATGAAATTCTTCAGTGATCCTGAGTAGCAGATGGATTCCTAACCCTTCTTTTCCTTTGAAAGTTATCGTATTTACCAATCACTTAATTTATCAGCACTTCACAGGCCAGTGGTCCAACAAGAAATTAATCCAGTCTTAGGAAAAGTCAGCCTGGGAACAAATAAGAATTACAGCAGTTAGTCACGAGGACATGTTTCTTCTGTTCTCTCTGTGACATTATTTGTTACAAAAAGGAATTTTGAACATTTTGCTGGTTGCTGAACATTTCAAATGGCTGAGAATCTTTAGGGCCTTGCCATTTACACATTATGTGCATAGAACATATAGCTATCTTATTTCTTCTTCATCTCTAACATAGAGGGCTGTGAAGAAAAAGAAAAATGGAAACCCAGGAGAAGTAGACATGATGTGTGTCGTAGGAAAAGGCAACAGAAGGTGCTTTGGGAAATGTTGTCTATCTGCTAATATTATATATTGGATGCTTATGTAGATTGCACAGGTTCTGGAATTCAGAAGGCCCCAGAGCTTGGCTTAATGTTCTGCTGTTGCTGTCTTGAAATTATTAATAATTTGTAAAATTGTAGCAAAATACACATAACATAAAGTTTGCCATCTCCATCACTTTTAAGTGTACAGTGCAGTAGTGTTAAATCTATTCACATTCTTTTGCAATCAATCTCCAGATCTTTTTTCACCTTGCAAAACTGAAACTCTATGCCCATTAAACAACTCTCCAATCTCCATTCCGCAACCTCTGGCACCCACCATCTGACTTTGTTTCAATGAGTTTGACTTCTCTAGGTACCTCATGCAGTGTATCTTCCTGTGACTGGTATTTTTCACTTAGCCTAATGTTCTCAAGCTTCACTCATGTCGCAGCATAGGTCAGAATGCCCCTTTTTTTTTTGAGATGGAGTCTCGCTCTGTTGCCAGGCTGGAGTGCAGTGGTGTGATCTCGGCTCACTGCAACCTCTACCTCCCGGGTTCAAGCAGTTCTCCTGTCTCAGCCTCCTGAGTAGCTAGGACTGCAGGTGTGCACCACCACACCCAGCTAATTTTTATATTTTTAGTTGAGACAGGGTTTCACCATGTTGGCCAGGATGGTCTCGATCTCTTGACCTTGTGATCTGTCTGCCTTGGCTCCCCAAAGTGCTGGGATTACAGGTGGGAGCCACCGCACCCAGCCTAATGCCCTTGCTTTTTAAAGCTGAGTAATATTTCATTGTATGTATATACCACATTTTTTTATCCATTCATCTGATGGGTACTTGGGTTGCTTCTACCTTTTGGGTATTGAGAATAATGCTGCTATGAATGTGAATGTACAAATATCTCTTTGAGACAGAAGTTATCAATAATTTTTTGGCAAGAGGCCTGTGTTTTCATTTTGCACTGGGATCCACAAGTCTTATAGCCAGTCCTGCATGGAGGAATGGGACGAGAGTTAGCTGGAGACCCAAGGAGGAGCTGAGTTGGCCGAACAGAGGAACAGGAGGAGGGATCCACTCAGATGATCAGCAGGAACCCAACTCAGAGGGAAGAGGGGGATGCATGTCAAAGTAAGACTGATGCTTTTGCGCTACTGTCAGTTTGCAGTTCTCATAAGTTGCAAAAGTTTATGATGATGTTAGTCTGCCTTAAAAAGCAAGGAAATGTTTACCGTGCTACAACATGGGTGAAGCTTGAGGACATTATACTAAGTGAAATAAGCCAATCACAAATGGACAAACACTTACATGAGGCACCTGGAGAAGTCAAACTTATAGAGACAGAAAATCCAACAGTGGTTTCCAGGGGCTGGCGAATAGGGAAAGGGGGAGTTGTTGTTCAGTGGATACAGTTTCAGTTTTGCAAGATGAAAAAGTTCTGGAGATTGGTTGCATAAATATATATTTAATGCTACTGAAATGTACACTTTAAAATTGTTAACATGGTACAATTTTTGTTAGGTTTATTTCACCACAATTTTTTTTTAAGTTGATGACGAGTGTTTTCATTTCAGTAGTCCATCTACTACTGAATACTCTTCCAGGGCTTATCTATATGGATATGGGGGTAAGTTAACTATTGTAATGAATGTAAGGACTATTGTGAACTCCTCTAACTGCTCCAACGATATTCAGTAAATCTCTCATCTGTTCTTGCAGTTCTCTATAACTTTGTATCCCTCCATTCATTTTATAGAAGGCAAACATTTTCTGTTAATATAAAAATGCTATTCTTTTGTTGTTCTGAATTATGGAAACAATTAATGACATAGTGTAATCCATTAGAATCAGAACCTGGATGACTTTCAGTCAACTGTTTTCTAGAGATATCAAATATTAAATGCAGCCTTTATTTTATTTATTTATTTATTTTTTGAGATGGAATCTTGCTCTGTTGCCCAGGCTGGAGTGTAGTGGCACAATCTTGGCTCACTGCAACCTCCGCCTCCCAGGTTCAAACAATTCTTCTGCCTCAGCCTCCCAAGTGGCTGGGACTACAGGCACCCGCCACCACACCCGGCTAATTTTTTGTATTTTTAGTAGAGACGAGGTTTCACTATGTTGGCCAGGCTGGTCTCGAACTCCTGACCTCATGATCCACCTGCCTCAGCCTCCCAAAGTGCTGGGATTACAGGCGTGAGCCACCACGCCTGGCCTAAATGCAGTCATTTTTATAAGGGATCATCTTCACCCTTATAGCTAATATTCATTGTCTACAACCAGCTGATACTCATTCTCTAGAATCTAAAATAATAAATAATTAGAGTTATTTCCATGAATTTCAGATCAATGTGTTTCATGACCCTGAGGAAATTCATTCCCTTATTATTGTGTAAAGTTTTCTAGCCATTCAGTTTGCTATATCAGCTAGTTTTCACATGTGTTCTCCATTTGTATGATTCAGGTGTTTTATATTTGAATGCCTATTATGTGCCAGCAGTGCTCTACCCACTGAAGATATATCAATGTCCAAAACAGAAAAACATCCCTGCCTCATCAAGTTTTTAATCCAGGAAAAGACAGGCATTAAAGCCAAAAAGTGAGCAACCAGTGTGAAGGTGAAATGTGCTGTGGAAGAAAAAAGTTAAAGCAGGAACAGGCGTCTGATTGTAACTTTTTGATAAGGTGCTGTGGGTATATCATGGAAAAGCGTTCCTCTACCCATCAGTATTTCAGTCTGGAATCTGCAGTTGTCTATTTTTATACTTTTCTTCTCTTTTCTTCTTTCTTTCTTTCTTTCTTTTTTTTTTTTTGTTTGTTTTTAGAGACAGGATTTTGCTTTGTCGCCCATGGTGGAGTACAGTGGCGTGATCATAGCTCACTGCAACCTTGAACTCCTGGGCTCAAGATCCTCCTGCCTTGGCCTCCCAAGTAGCTAGGACTACAGGCATGCACCACCGTGCCCAGGGGTCTTGCTATGTTATCCATGCTGGACTCAAACTCCTGGCCTCAAGTGATCCTCCCGCCTCTGCATCCCAAAGTGTTAGGATTACAGCTGTGAGCCACTGCACCTGACCTATTTTTTTTTTTTTTTTTTTTTTTTTTTTTGAGAAGGAGTCTCACTCTGTCGCCCAGGCTGGAGTGCAGTGGTGCAATCTCAGCTCACTGCAAGCTCCACCTCCTGCATCCGACCTATTTTTATACTTGTTTCATTTTGCACTGGGATCCACAAATCATGTAACCAGCCCTGCATGGGGGAGCAGGATGAGAGTCAGCTGGAGCTCTAAGGAGGCGCTGAGATGGTCAAGCAGAGGAGCAGCAAGAGGGGTTCCCTCAGGATCAGCAGGAACCCAACTCAAAGGGAAGAAAGGGACACACATCAAAGAAAGATTGGTGTCTTTGCAGTACTTTTCCCTGCTCTACAGTCATGCCCTGGAACTGTGGCGTACTGCATGGTGACCGTCTCCCTCAGTCCATGGAAAGTTACTTTTATTTATTTATTCTGAGATTTATCCACCCCTTAGCATCTTACATAGTACCCTGTAATTGTATTTCACAATAGATATAGTAAACACGATTGTTATATTTTTAAAATTAGAAAGGGAAGACGCCCTGTAGATTTCCAGGGCCCTTATTTGTAGAGTCATCCAAGTTCTAGGTTTACCTTTAGGTTCTCCTTTAGAAGAAATAATCTTACAGGTATTCTCTGTTTTTTCAGTGCCGTGTTGTTCAGCATAACCAAGCATAGAATGATGTGACCTAATTCGTATTTATCACAGAGTATCCTTCCCTGTCTTTTTAATATCAAAATCTTAATGCTGAGTTTCACAAATATATAAACTACTATCTGTTCTTCACAGACAACTGAATGAAAGATATGTTACAATAATGCCATCTGAATTTATATAGTACTCTGCTGTGTTAAGGTATGGCAGCATTTCTTATAATGTTCTATTTAACAAGGAGGTTAAACAGGTTCCTATGAGTCAGACAAATGAAGTGAAATAGGCATCATAATGTAGGAATAGTGTGGGCTTTGGAATTACATGCTTTGGAGTGAGAACTAGATTTGAATATTGTCGTACCAGACCCCTATTCACTTCAGTAGAGATGGCACCAGGTTCAAGAGGCTGAAGGAGAGACTCAAGAGTCAGCAAATGAGACATAGGGTTTATTGAGAAGAACTTACATGCAGAGTGTTCCAGTGGTGGCAGGCTGGACAGGAGCACGGAGACCACCTTCAGAAAGCATGCAATTTATGTACCATTTTCACTTACCCTTCACCTGGAAACCTTCACTTAACCCAAAACAAAGGGTCTGACTCCCCAGGACAGCCCACATTCCATGGGACAGGCCGTGGGCTCAGATGTTCCTCATAGATAAGGAATGAATCTCTGGTTGGCCACTCCTGGATTCCTTAGCTTGGAACTCTGAACACGCATTCCTCTTAAACCATAGGGTAACTCTCAGGGTGTTGCTCAAGCTAAGCTGTTGCTAGCAGGTATGTTTGCCATACAGTAAAAAGTTGGCTACTTCCGTGTAACTTTTGACACCATTGAAATCTATGAGCTTTTGTTTTCTCCTCTGTAAAGTGGAATAAAATGAGATGTGTGTGAATTTGTGTGTGTGTGTGTATGTGTGTGTAATATAGTCTGCTCCAAGCTTTGCCATGAAGTAGACACTCAGTAAATGTTCATTTCCCTTGTCTTTCTCTTTTAAAATAAATCACTCGCCTGATTTACCTGTCCTGCTAGACTGAGGGCTTCCTGTTGGAAAGAACCGTGCTTTGTTTATCCTTGCCCCAGCAGAGACTCTGAGCTTATAGTTTTTTCAGTAAAGCTGCATTTAAAAAACAATTTTGAGCTTAACTTTTAAAATATTTTTCATGAAGGTGTTTATTTCTGGCTTGGTGCATTCTTCCCAGAGGGAGCATCACTCTCCTCCCTTGCTCTCTTGGAGGTTTTATCTTGTATCTTCCTGTTTTGGAAGGGCTTTCTGATGCCAGCCCAGTGAGCTCATGCAGCGCTAAGTGGAGAAGGCCAGGCCGCATGGTCCTCCTTGACCTGAGAAAATCTAAGGCCCCCTTCCCCTGTGTGCTTGCACCACACGTGCAGTCAGACATCACAGCAGCCACTCTGGCTTCCTGCCCATGAAATAAATGCTCTCAGTCTGACATTGCTCAGTCTGACAAGAGACATATTTGACAGGAGCAGGTTGGATGGAGAGGGTTTTGAAGAGGCCAAGCAGTGGAGGTGAAAGGCAGGAGGCAGGAGGTGCTCACACCATGGAGTCACAAGGGTGGGGCAGCCTCCTCACTCATCCCCAAGTGGCATGTCAGTACTTAGTTGGCACATGCCATCAAAAACAATGAGCTGCAAGAGTAGAAATGTCTTTCAAATTTCATGTCCTGTGGGCTATGATAGGTGTCATATGGTGTCATGCCAGATCCCTATTGACTCCAGCAGGGATAGTACCATGTCCAGAGGCCAAAGAAGAGACCTGAAGCCAGCCAACGAGACATAGGGTTTATTGGGGGGACTTACATATGGGGCAGTCCAGTGATAGCAGACTACACAGGAAGACCACTACTGTTTATAAAAAGCATGCAGTTATATAGCATTTTTACTTAGCACCCTCCACCTGGCAACCTCCATTTAACCCAAAACTAAAGGCCTTGATTCCCTGTATGGCCTGTGTTCCAAGGGATGGGCCAGGGATTCGAATGTCCCTCATGGATAAGAAGTGAAACTCCAGGTTGGCCACTCTCAGATTCCTTAGCTTGGGACTCCAAACACACATTCTTCTTAGACAATGCGGTCATTCTCAGGGCATGCTTCAGTTATGGTTGTCAGGTGCCTCTCCTATACATATGGTCAAATGTTACCAACCATATATTTATTTAAATTTTTTATTGCCATAGATTTTTGGAGAATAGGCGGTGTTTGGTTACATGAGCAAGTTCCTTAGTGGTGATTTGTGAGATTTTGGTGCACCTGTCACCCTAGCAGTATACACTAAACCCAATTTGCAGTCTTTTATCCCTCACCTCCTTCCCACCCTTTCCCCCAGAGTCCCCAAAGTCCATTGTGTCATTCTTATGCCTTTGCATCCTCATAGCTCAGCTCCCACTTATAAGTAAGAATATATGATGTTTGGTTTTCCATTCCTGAGTTACTTCACTTAGATTAATAGTCTCTAATCCCACCCAGGTTGCTGTGAATGCCATTAATTCATTCGTTTTATGGATGAGTAGTATTCTATCGTATATATATACCACAGTTTCTTTATCCACTCATTGATTGATGGGCATTTGGGTTGGTTCCACATTTTTGCAATTGCGAATTTTGCTGCTATAAACATGCATATGCAAGTATCTTTTTCGTATAATGACTTCTTTTCCTCTCAGTAGATACCCAGTAGTGAGATTGCTGGGTCAAATGGCAGTTCTACTTTTAGTTCTTTAAAGAATCTCCACACTGTTTTCCAGAGTGGTTGTATTAGTTTACATTCCCACCAGCAGCATAAAAGTGTTCCCTTTTCATCGCATCCACGCCAACATCTATTTATTTTTTATTTTTTTTATTATGGCCATTCTTGCAAGAGTAAGGTGGAATCACGTTGTGGTTTTAAGATTTGCATTCCCTGATCATTAGTGATGTTGAGCATTTTTGTATACGTTTGTTGGCCATTTGTATATCTTCTTTTGAGAATTGTCTATTCATGTCTTTAGCCCACTTTTTGGTGGGATTGTTTATTTTTTCTTGCTAACTTGTTTGAGTTTGTTGTAGATTCTGGATATTAGCCCTTTGTCAGATGTATAGATTGTGAAGATTTTCTTCCATTCTGATACCAACCATATTTTTGATCACAAAAAGTTTCCTGTTCTATCTATGGTTTTAAAATGGCCTGCACTCAAATACTTCAGGGAAATGATACTCTGCCTTCCTTTTAAGATGCCTAGAAAATGAGATTTCTCTGCTTGTTCTAGTCCCCACTCCAGTAACTCTTCAGTCACATTTAAGCCATGAAGCAGCCACATCTCCAGGTGATAGAAGTGACCTTGAATATCATGAGCATTATTATGTCTGAGCATCCTGGATCCAAACTCTGAACTACATCATAATCAAAAGAACAGAGTAAAAAAAGTTTTCAGTGTAAAAAATAAGTCATTTGCTATATTACAAAGTGAAAGAATGTTTATAGGTTATGAGGGGATGCTGTTTGGAGAGTTGCCAGAGGTTGAAATAGGAGATAGATCTTCACTGTTTTTGCTTTGTTTTGTAGAAGTAAAGCACTTGTTAGCCTTTGAGGGTTAAGACCGGCTGGGCAGAGCAGAGCCCAAGCTGCAAGGATGGGGCCTTCAGCATGACTCCAACAAGGCAGAAACATGTCTGCAGATGAAACCTCAGGTCTTGTAAGGAAGAATCCTTATGTGAAAGCAAGATCCCACCAGTCAGAGACTAGCAGGCTCAGTGAGAGGTGCTTATTTCCCCCCACCCCCCCCCCCAAGTACTCATTCTATTCCTGAATTTTCTGATGCACTTACCTCTAAGCTGGGCAAAGCATTTTCTTGTTCACTAAATAAATTATTTTGCAAGGAGCAACAGTCTATGTGTCTGAGGGGAAAAACTACAGTAGAACCTAATGCTTCCAAAGGACTTAAACAAGATTCTGTTTCCCTGGAAACCAAGTCCTTTCCTGCTGGTTGTACACATTTTTTGCAGGAGCACCTGTGAAAGGAGATCAGTAGCATCTGAATCTCTTGTCAGTGATGGCCCCCTTGAAACTCACAATGTCTGTGGTGTTTTGAAGCACATTCTGGTTGTTTTAGAAACTCATACACTGCACAGCACTGGGAATATTTGGTTTTAGCTACCATTGCAGGGGATGTGTGTGTGTGTGTGTGTGTGTGTGTGTGTGTGTGTGTATGTGTGCATGTGTGTGTGTATCTGCATGTGTGTGTTTGTGTGTAAGGTGATGGAAAAGAAAATCTGGGATTTATTAAAAGCTAAGGTCTTTAATAAGTTCTGAAGTCACTGAAAGGTTGTGGAGCTGGCAGATGCACTTATCACTCGGCGCGGATGTTCCTGCATTTGGATTACTGGGAGCATTATAGTAGAGCAGCTAATCTTTTGTGGCCAGTGCTGCTTGCCTATGTTGATAAGTGTGATTAACAACTTTAAAAGTCAAATACGTTAGCAAATGCCTTATAGCTGCCAGGAATGCTTGTGGCCACCCACGCTTTGCAGCAAAATGAGAAGTCAGTCTCAGGAGCTTAGGATTCCTAGACTTTTTAGATAAGTATGCCTCCAAGTTTGGTTTTTAAGTTTATTTCAACCCAGTCATGTAAAGTTATTGTTAGAAAGCAGTCAGATATAAAACCAAAAAATGAAGAATGTGCTTTTTGTTTGTGAGGTTTAAAGAGATGATGCTCATTACACTTTCAGAATCCTCTTTAAGTCTGCTTTCTCCTTAAATTTCAAAGTGAACTTTAAAAGAGATGCTAGATTTTTAGAATATTTCATCGCACAGTCGCTTGTGATGCGAACCCCGAATGAAAGTGAAAACTCTAGTGTATATATGATTTGGGTGAGGCCGGGAGAGGTGAAGTAATCTTCAAAATAGTGGAAGAAATCCAGCTTAGAAAGTGATCAGCCTGCCTTGCCACGTGACCTGGGGCTTTGTTCTTTCCATACTGCAGCTTCCTTGTTGATGCCCATTAGCATCTTAATTAAAGCAGGCCCTGTGCTAAGTGTTATACCAAGGATTTCTGGATTTCTCTGCCCAGGATTAAAGATACCACCATTGAAAATTTAAAGTATAAGCTTTGATATACAGGTAAAAGGTTAGTAGACAGTTGGGGTGAAAGGACAAGATAAGCACAGAATTAGGGTAATCAATCCTGAAGAACAGCAGTGCCAGTTGCAAGAGGCAAATCCAATCTTGTCTTGCCATGAGCACAATGCATGAAATTGGCTTGCCCCAGCAGGTAGTTTATGCTTTCTGCCTCACTGTTGACTTTCCCTGGTCTGCGGCTGTTGAATGCCAGAACTTCACATACTTTCTCTACCTCGAGAGAGCCAGAGTAGGTTCCATTCCTTGGCAACAGAAACAAAGAGCAGACTCTCTGGAACATCAGACTTGTAGGAAAGATGCTGATGTGATGGAGATTTTGTTTATCCCTTATGTCCTTCTGAGCCTCTCTTGTGAACATAGTTAATTTTGTACTACATGATTTTGTCTTCTGTTTTCAATACGACTCCCCAGTGCATGGTTGACTCTTTGCCGACAAGATTTTTTTTCTCCCCCATTTCTCTCCCTCTCCTTTTGGGTAATATAAGCCAGAGTGTATAACTCTTAGAATTTTACAAATATTGACATAGAAATCCTATATGTGCAGTGAAATGTCCACAGAGATAAGGCATTGCCGACATTTTCAAACTGTACCTGATGTGGAATGAAATTCTTAGCATTGGAATTTTATGTACCCAGCTGGCATTACTGTTACAGTTCATTGTCAGAGCCCTCATGTTACAGATGTACTGTCTGATTTTTCTTACGGAACCTTTTTGGATAAAGGGAGTTCAAAAAATCAGGGTCAATAACTCAACTAGCAAGTACATTGCCTTGATTTGCTTCAAAACAAGAACGTAGCAGAGATAAGGGGTAGGTTGCCTTGATCTAAAAACATGATGGTTTGACAAAACTTTCCTTTTTAAGCAATACTTGCTAACAAAAAGGTGAAAATGTGTCATTTTATAAGGAAAGGTAACTTTTTTCTCAGAAAAAGAAAGGCAATTTAATAATAGCAGAAATTAGATGACAGATTGTCATACCTGTTTAGGAATGTAAAATTCTGGAAAGGGTTTTGCGAAGAGATTGTTTTTCAAACACACTATAAACATGAGTTTCTTTGGTTCTCCACATTACCTGGAATGCTTGCGAGTGAAATTGAGTTGGAGGCATATGTAGTAGCCTGAGAACCTGAGAACCTCAAGTTGCGACTTGAAAATAGGCTCCATGACCCTAGAGACTGGAAAGTCCCAGAGTCCTCCTCATGCACATCTGCACCTGCCCACACCTGCCTGCAGGACCCCTGAGGATTAATACATGTTGCTGCTCATGTAGGCTCTGGGTGCCAGTGTGCCCAAGCAACTCAGTGTCCAAATCTGAAAGGTTGACATTTCTATTGCTGTAAATAAGAATAATTCAACAGTAGAAAGTGGCTTTATTTTCTGCTTAAAATGGGAGTAGAAAACAAGGCAGGCATGCTCTGGATATCTGCACATATGCTAAAGGAACAGTTGGTCACGAAGTAAGACACTTAAATTCTACTTAATAAATGTTTTCATTTATGAGTTTGTGCGGGTTCACTCACCCATCTTTTCTACCACACTGCTCGGGATGTAAAGCTATTGGAGAGGTACAGAGGGACAAATCTGTCAGCTTCAGGGGGACAGGTGAGCCACCCCAAAAGGCATGCTTCTGAGTGGTGCTGGTTCCTTGGTCTGGTCCCCTGAAACCACACTTTTGACTAAAACAGTCACTGGGGTTCCACTGAGCTAATTTGTTATTAGCTTTCTTATTTGTTTATTTGAAAATCTCCAAGACATATTGTCCAATGAACAGAGTAAGTCTGAGAATAATACATATATTATGATTCTGTTTCAGTGAAAAGCAATTCTTATGGGTGTATAACATGGGTATATATGTACAAGTATGTATAGACATATGTGTATATTTTACATACATAAGATATGTGTATGAATATGTGTCATACACACACACACACACACACATACACACACACACACACACACAGAGTCAGCTCTCTCTGTCCATGGATTCCAAATCTGTAGATTCAACCGGGAATTGAAAAATATGTTATTTTAAAAATTGTGTCTATATTGAACATGTACAGACTTCTTTCCCTTGTCATTATTCCCTCAACAATACACAGTAGAACAACTGTGTACATAGCATTTACATTGTACTAGGTATTATAAGTAATTTAGTGATGATTTAAGGTATACAGGAGGATGTATGTAGGTTAAATGCAAATACTATCCCACTTTGAATCAGGGACTTGAGAATCTGTGGATTTTGATATCTGTGGGGATCCTGGAACCAATCCCCCTTGGTGTCTGATATCACAGATATCAAAACCCACATATATAACAAGTGTGTTATATATGCATAATAAGTTTGGAAGGATACACACCAAACTGTTAATAGTGACTACTTCCAAGGAGACAAGTGAAATTAGAAGTTAGGAATAAAAACAGGCTTTTACTTTTTTAGGCTATGCTTCTGCATTATTTAAATATTTTCAATGAGCATTATTTGGTATCATTAAAATATTTTTAAAAGATATTTTAAATAATATTTTTATTTTAATATCTTTCATGTTTTATGTAATATTTTTATTTTAAAATATTTTTAAAATAATATATTAAAGATTTTTTATTAGCTACTAGAGTGTGTTAGATATTCTTTGATTTCACTTTGTGAAGATAAAAATAATTTACTAAAAAGGAATGATCCTGTCCTATACAATAACTATATTTTCATATTTATAATGATATTCATAGCATAATGCAAATAACGTATGGTACATTTCCAGTGAGTTTTTGTTTTCTCATTCCTTTATGTCAAGAAATTGGTGAATTTCTTGGTATCCAAGATCTAAACCAAAATATATGACCAAAAGAAATGGAGAAATGGTAACAACAGGGCTTGAAATGGCCGATTCTGATGTGGAGGTGCCCTCTTTAGAATGCCAGCTAAACTGTTGGTCTACCAGATTTTGAATGGTTGATTAGATGCTAGCAGCATCTGCAGGATCGCTTAACCTAAGTGTTAAATAACACACAATATCGCACCCTATTTGCTCAAGTATTTCAAATTGCAGGCATTAATACAATTAGCAGTTCTTACAGAGAATTCTTAATTTCTTGATTTGTGGTTAATCAAAGTCAATCTTTTAAGTGTAGTCGTAATCACCTATATTTTAAATCACCTGTGTTTTATTCCATTCTAACTATGGAATGATAGCATGTATTGAATGCTTATGCTAAGCTCTGTGGCAAGCATTTTATGTACATTAACGCACTAAATCTGTGCAACAACCCTAAGATGTGTACCATTATTATCTAGTCAACAATGAGAGACTGCAAGTAACTTGTTCAAATTCACACAGCTTGTACCGTCAGAGCCAAGATTACAATTCAGGCATTTGGGCATTAAGTGCAGTTTTTTTATTGCACTGTAAAGGGAGCACACTCTTATCCATGAAGTCATACTGCCCTCACTGGCTGTGAAATACTGTGTTCTTCATTTACTCTTGCCGGAATTTGCAAATTGTCTGCAACCTGCTACTTTGTAAGGGCTCCTCCCTTGATGTGCAGTAAGTTCTGCTTCCTCAGTGTGCTCTCCCCTCTGCAGAGCTGATGTTTAATAGACCTGGCTCTTTGCAAGAAAGAAAACAAAGTCCCCAAGGAGCCATATTTATTGCCTCTAGGATCCTTCCTACCTTGCCCCTTCAAAGAACACTGCGGCTGTTGTCGACCCCAGCGTCTGCTGTTGAAGCTGCACACCCACTCTGTGCATGAAGCTGGAACTGGACTCTGTTTTTTTGTTTGTTTGTTTGTTTTTCAAGACAGGATCTTGGTCTATCACTGGACTGGAGTGCAGTGGCATGATCACAGCTCACTGCAGCCTCCACCTCCTAGGCTCAAGTGATCCTCCCACCTCAGCCTCCCCAATAGCTAAAATTCCAGGTGCATGCTGCCATGCCTGGCTAATTTTTATTTTTTTTGTGTGGAGACAGGGTGTCTCTGTGTTGCCTAGGTTGGTCTTGAACTCCTGGGCTCAAGTGATCCTCCCACCTCGGTCTCCCAAAGTGTTGGGAGTGCACGTGAGCCACTACAGCTTGTCTTGGACTCCGCTTCTTGTATATGGTCATTCAAGATGTCCTGTCATTGAAAAGAAAGGGAATGATGATTGAAATATCGGTCCCTCACTTAAGGATGGCAGGACTGACGACCAGCAGATCTGTCCTAATTGTTGTTGCTGTGTTCAGTTTATGAACTTTCACTGCACTTACACCTAGATATTGCTTGGAATGGTTAATTGGCTTCTTAGGCCCTGGAATTTGGAAAAAAAAAAGAGAGAGAGAGAGAGAAGATTCAGACATCATGCTTTTTGCTTTGCCATCTGGTATAATTCTTAAAGGCATTTTTAGGTCCCCAATATGGGTAGTGTTGCTGTTTGTTCCTTTCCAATGCTGATTGGCTCAGGCACACAGGTTCTGGGCTTTTGATTATGAAATTGATCAAGGCTGGATGAGGCAGATTTCTGGCACCTTTGAGTCAGTGGTTGTAGGCAGAGACACCATATACATTTGCGTAGGTTGTACACTGCACAGCTCTAGGTTGTCCTGGTCCTGGGGAACGCAGGTGCCAATATGGGGGTAACACACAAGTCCTGAGGTCCCCACCCATGCACATTCCACTCCCCAATATTTTCCTTCCTTTGCCATAAATTGAATCTCTGTCTAAAACTTCTCTTCTAGGCATACTTCCTGACCACTAGCAATCTGGTGCTTATCACCAACATGTGACAACAGTAGTCTTGTAGCTGTGTGTGTATTTTAAACGGCTGCAAAAGTATTTCACTATGTGGCTGTACCATAATTTATTTGTAAGTTCTCTATTGGTGAGCACTGAGGTAATTTGCAATCTTTTGCAATGAAAGATGCTGAAATTAAAACTTGAATATGTGTGTACACCTGTCTGCAAATACCTCCAGGAAAAATTCCTCCAGATGGAATTTCCTAAGACATATCTCCCTGGACTCACATGTCTTTCTGGTTGCCTCTAGCACTCTTCCTGTTTTCAACCCTGTCCTCCTAGTTCAGCCTTCATGACCTCTTGCTGAAATAATTGCCATAGCCTCCTGAGTGGAGCCATCTGCCTACGCTTCCCTTTAGAATCCATCCTTAACATGGTTTCTAGCTCTCACCGCTCAGACTGTGTTACACCTGTGCTCTAAAACCCCCAAGGGTTCATAATTGCTACCTGAGCTGGTATGAACTCCCCATACCCTCTCCCAGCATCCAAGGCCATCCCATATATGGTTCCGCCCCACCTTTGATGACTCATTTGCTTGATTTCCCCCACGTGTTCCCTGTGCTTCAGCAGCACCAGAAGGTTCCTGAGTCCCCAAGCTTGCCTTGCCTCCTGTTTCTTTGGGTGCCTTAGAGCTCACTCCCTACTTGGAAGTGTCCTTCTCTCTCCTGGGTCCTCCCTCATCTCTGCCTGTGTACCCTCATGCTACAACCCCGCCATGTTTTCTAGATTCTCCCACTCCCACTCCCCAACCTAGACTCCTTCCACCTCCCACTGTCCTCATATCCTGCTTTAGGTGATAATTTCATTTCATGTACCCTTGCAGACCACCTGTGCCAGAGAGAGCTGGCAGCACACATCCTCTGAAGTGGCTAGCACGGAATGTCTTGCACATTTTAGGAGGTTTTTTAAAAGGATTTATTAGATAAGATCTTCGCAGTTGACAAATTCTCTTACCCAAAATTGGCATAATCCTTTAGCTTGGGGAGAAGAGATCACACACATGAAACTATTATGGAAGTAGGGAATTTCCCAATATATTTAGTCAAGAGCACAGAAGCTCATTGGCAGTGAGGTGCCAGGCAGGGTAGGAGCAGGAGCAGCCCCTATAATCTGCCTTTTGTGGGCGGGGCAGGGTCACAGATGCCTGTCACACAGCCTGCATCGAGCAGGGCCTGCTGGATTAAAAAGCTGACTTCTGGCCAGCTACAGCAAGCAAAGACTTGCAACACCATATGGGAAGAATTGACCCAACAATCCATGTGCTTTCATTAAAGGGATGTTTACAGACATCCTGGTTCTTGACTCAAGTTCATTGTCACAGAATGACGTTCTCATGGAGGAAGTGGGAAAGGGGTGGAGTTGAGGGGTGAGTGTAGAAAGCTGGACGAAATCAGGGGACCCTGAACAAAATCTCTCGTGTTACTTTTCAGTTACTCAGAAAGCCTCTCTCTCTACAAATCCCTACAAGGTTGAGACACACAGGCACTCTCAACCTTGAAGTATCTGATTTTACAACTTCAAACTCAGGCTTCTCACAATACTCTATACTCCCTCTCTTAGAGTGAGTACCTCTTATCTAGTTCAAAGTCTCATTCATTCTCTTATTTGACAGACTCCAGTTGTGTTTTTCTTGCCTTTAAGGAGCTCACTGACTAATGGCAGATGCCAGTTCTAGGGTTCTATTGAGTGAGAGTGGAAGGAGAACTAAGGTATCAAACTTTTGCTATTCAGCCCCACTCTGCCCTATGCTTACTTCGTATTCTCCCTCACTGTGGAGTTCAAACATTTAAAATCTGAGTGGCTGTTATCCTCAGCATGCACTGTATACTCTGCACCTTACTCCCGGAATCCTTTCATCTTTAGCTCTCCTTATCACAGGCAGTGGTAGTTTGGTATCATCCTCTGCCAGATTAAACATGTATATTTATTTAATATTCTCTCTGTTGTTGAAAATAACAATACGAATGTTGCATAATAACAACAAAGTTCTTTATCATCTTCATTTGATCTGCTGTCATCTGTGAGGTCTCCAGAGCATACTCTGTGCCTTTCATGTTCGAGGACACTGCCGAGAAATAAAACTGAGACTCGAATCCAGATCCTGTGACTGTGAATCCTAGTACAGTATTCCAACATATAGCCTTAGTTTAGGAACACTCACTTTTTCTATTCATGGTAAACGTGTGGCCTCCACTCACTGATAAGGTGAGATTACCATCGAGCATGCAGTATACGAAAGTCTACAATGCATTGTTTGTCATGCTCACTTACAGAGCAGACTGATTGTTCCACAGTCACCTGTTCAACCCCACTTGGTAGTGGTTAACCCAGAGAAGCAACTGCCTCTCATCTGGAACCTGAAATGCATCCCATGCATTCTCCTGATTCACCAAGTTCATTGGCAGTGTAAATACAAGCAAATCCTGTTGCCAACTGAGGGTGTAATGTCATCAGAATGTGAAGGATGACCTGAGTTTTTTAAGGATACACAATTAAATGTGCACTGATTTTGTTATATCCTATTTTGGCATTTTCTCCTTTTCTGTTTTCTCCTTGGAATTGGTTTGCACAGTATTAACAGATTAAAAATTATTTATGGGTGTGTGTGTGTGTGTGTGTGTGTGTGTGTTTCAGTCATGGGCATCTTCTTTCGAGTCTTATTAGGCATGGAAAAACCTAAGCTTGGTTTAAAACACTTCTTCCCTTCCTGTGAAGTTTTAGGCTAACTTAAAATGGGATGTGTTATATAAGGAAGGCACCTGACACTAGCGGTGGGGGTGCCTAGGAGAAGGAGCACCCCCCTTGGTTTGTGATAGACTGGCAGCGTTTCCTCTGGTATGTGCCAGAGCGGCAGAGCCAGTTTTAAAAAGAGGATTTATAGGAAATCCAGCTGTGAGTTTTCGTTTTTTTCTCTTAGAGCTGGAGGCGGGGCCAAAACCAACCTCAAACCAGGCACACCATTGATCAGGCTAGAATGATGTGGACCAGTCTCACAGACAACAGCCAAGCACAGAGGAAATATTAGCTGGCAGAGATAACGAAGAGAAAACACTCGGTGACAGATGCACCATCTGTCAGTTTCTGAGGAGCAGTTTTCAAGAAAGCTGAAAATGAATTGAAGAAGAGAGGGGTTTTGTTTGAAAGGTACAGCACAGCCTAAGGACAATTTTAAACAAAGTAAGTTTGTGTTCCATAGAAAAAGAGGTCGTGGTGGTGGGAAAGACAACAGTTACTTCCTATGTAGATTGTGAGTTTTGTCATTGATATAAAAAGTTTTCTTTGTAGTGGACTTGATATTTACAACATTCTCTTAACAAGAACTTGATTTAAAATTAAAAAGCAGTGACTGTCATTTTGGCTACTCACTCTAGAAACATTTGCAAGTTACAGTTAGATTTATTTTACTTTTATTTAATCTCAGAGAGAATTGTTTTATCTCAGACTACAGATATAGATAAGGCCTTCCTTCCTTCCTTCCTTCTCTCTCTATTTATAACAATGGGCAAAATTATTTGTATCTTTCCTCAAAGGCAGTTTATTAAGAAAGCGACCCACCTTTCAGATTGACGAGGTTGGCAGTAAATGCTTTGTATTAGCATGCTTAATTCCATGGGCTACGTTACTTAAATAGCTATGAATATGACCTGGACTTCCTACGAGCCTTCCAAATAATGTTATTGGTGTTGACATCATTTTTAAAGGAAGCTGCTTCTGGATCTTCTGTAGTTTATCTTTCTCAGAAAGTCTGTTACCCTCTTTCAGAACATAAGCTACCATATGAAACAATCCTGCTATTTATGTTTAATACATTTTTCAACGGCTTCGTTTTCAAAGTTGGACTTGGGCTGTTGGTAATTGTATGTTACATCTAAGTGGTTTGCGTTCGATGTCATATGTCGCATGTTTTATTAGGCCAGGATTCGTCTAATTCCAAGGGGATCTAAAGCAGTGATTGAGAATGATAAGATTCTATGAGCGATAGCAGAAAGTTTTCAGGGGGCTCACAGGAGGTCCTTTATTGGAAAAAGTCAATTCTTTTACAATTTACACAGGCGGAAAGGGACTTATTTTGCATCTGCATTAGCAGGCTGTCTAGTCCAAACCAGAAGTGGAAGCGCTGGCTGTAAACTCGCCAAAGTAGAAACCACTCAGTGTTATGGCCCAATATGGATGTCAGAGCTCTGGAGCATGTGTGGGAAAATGGCCACAGGCCAACGTCTGGAATCATTTATCTTCCGGTAGAGCTGAGAGGAGAACTGTTTTATGCGTTTTGCAGAAATCCTTGCTGATTGATTTCATTTACATAGAGCTGGTGCAGAGACTGATGGTGAGGACAACTATAAATGGGAGAGAAATATTGATCTATTTCTGCTTTTCCTGACATCCTGGTCTCATTAGTGTTCTTAGCACCTTTGAATGAGATTATGCCGTTACTGACAACCATATGGTTTCTACGGGGTTCTTTCCACGCGTCTCATAAGAAATGACACATTTATGTCTTTTCTTATTGGGGAAATCAGAAACTGAAAGTTGAAGATTTTGTCGTACTGTCTTTTCATTAGCTTAGCCTGTTTCCTACAGTCTAAATGTGAAAAATGAGAGGAAGGAAATATCAGTAGACAGAGTTCTTTGTACACTCTGTGCAACCTATGTAGTCATTGAGAGATGTGCGTCTGATACTCTTTGTGAAATACTGGAACATACTGTTGTTGTGTAGATTCATATCTGCATGTGAAGGAATCATCTATGCCAACCAGTATGTTCTGCATGAGCTAAACTCACATGTGCTGACACATGCTGACATGTGACAAGGTAGCATCCGCACCTGTTTTTCTAATGTGTAAAAGAATTTTGCCAGCTTCTGACAGTACCCACGTCAGACCTTATGGAGACGATTTTAATTGATTTCAAGGACCGAGGTAACAGTCAGAAGCCTTGGATTTCAGATACTACCTTTATGCTGCCTAATTTTGTGACCTTGAGGAAGATGATTAACCTTTTGATGAATCTAATTCACTGCTTACAAATATAATGAATAATTATAGCCATTTTTGTCTCCCAGAGATATTTCAAATGTCAGTAAGACATTTATAATGCATCTTGTGCTATTAGCTTTTGGTACGTATGCCATTAATGAAATTGCCTCCACTCTCTTAGACAGAACTTCTGCATTACACTGAAAAAGCTAAAAACTTTAGCCTTTAAAGTTAAAACAAAATTAAAAACAAAATTCTATAATCTTATGTAGTAATACTTTTGTTTATAGGAGGCTGCTCTTGAAGGTATTTGCATCTATTTTTTTTCTCTTTGTAGAATAACTATTTGATTTTCTCATCAAGATTCTCAGCATTGTGTAAGACTAGTCATTTCCTCAAACAGGTTGAACTTTAAAAAATAGGGCTAAAATTGGTGTGATGCTGCTTTGATTTAGTATGGTTGAATATATGTAATTTTTAAACTTCCTAATGTAAAAAAAAATGGATAATAGTGCAGATTAAGGTACCTAATATTTTCTCACATTTTATAGATACATAGATATACCATACAAATAAATATATGCTAATCTTCATATATGCATATACCCACACACATCCACTTCATCTTTCAAAATAATCCAGTAAAACTGATAGCATAGCAGCATATAAGATATGAAAAGATAGGAGTGATTACTGTGTTTTCATTTTAAATCCTTTTCATTTTACATGATGAACATGATCACAGCTTAGTGTACTGCAAAGGACATCAGAAGCCAGACCTGCCAGTACAGAGAATCACCACGCACCCTGTTCTGTGAACACAGGTGTGTGGTGGCCCCTAGAATCTCGAAATATGGCAGCCTTGGGAGCCACGCCATTCAACTGTGCTCTTCCGCTGCATTGTGGGAATCAGAATGTGTGCCTTACTGTAGCACGAGGTGGTTGGGAGGCCCATATGACATAATGTGCATGAAAATGCTTTGAAAACTTTCAGGCCATTTAAAGTCACTAATTGAACTTCGACAACTTCTTTGCTGCTGGAATATTCCTTTCTTCCCTTTCTTAATAAATTCTGCCCGTCATTCAAAGGCTTCTCTTAGCTCTTTTTTGATCTCAAAGGTTTCTTTGGAGCCCCCAGAGGTCCCTCTCAGAAAGAGGAAGTGAGCGAATTTTGCCACCCGTGTCCCTCCTGCCCCACCCACCAGATGACTTCACTATTACACTCCATGTTTTCACACCTCCACGCTCTGCCCAGTTCTGTCCCTGTGCTCTGCTAAATGTTTTCTCTACCACTTGCCAACATCCTCCTCCTCCTCCAAAGCTACCTTAAGCATCACTTGCCTTTGAAACCTTCTCCACCACCATTCTTTCACAGAGCTAGAGCCTTCTTCATTCATGGTTCCAAACTTCTAATCAAGGTTTTATCTTATTCTACTTCATTCTTTATTTACACATCTTCCTTCCTCCCTAGGCTCCGCAAAGACAGGCCAGGTACCATGCTGCTTTGACTCCCTGGTGCTCGCTGTAGTTTCTTATGTCTGGTTGGTGTTCAAGTAATGTTTGTCAAGTGAATGAGAAAGTCAGTCTTTCCATACCACTTCTTTGTGGGGTCCTGTCATTACACACCTTCTGGGACAGAACCCTGGTACCCATTTTTGTGTCTGGAATAAATTGTCCCTTATGGCATAACAGCATATAGACTGTTGTCAGCTGGGAACCTGAGATTGCAACAATGCAAAACCCTACATCTAATCACCAGCAGATTAACTATTAACCTACTAGTCCTATCTGAATCCTACTAATCATAGTTAGGTAACTAAACATTAAAACTATCATCCATCTGTCTCTATTCTGAGAGAGCCTTGGCATATCTGTGACTAGCTGTGTTTTAAAAAGAAAATCTGACCATCTTTTTGAAAGGCAGTTTGGCAGCATTTATCAAGATCCTCTGATCCAGTAATTCTCCTAGGAAACTATCCTAACGAAATGGTTTCATAAAAATGTAGACAAAGCTTTCTGAACAAAGATGTTCAGCATGATATTATTTATAAATAATATGAAAAATGGCAAATAAGTGACCAGTATTACTTTTATAATCAAATAAAAATTCTTAAGAATCCAAAGGTTGCCTGACAGATTATGTACTAATTATGTTGACCATAAGGCCTCCATTTTTAGGTTCTTTACACAGAATCAAGGATATACTTGGAACAATCAAGTTGAGCAACTTCTTACCATGCTTCCAATTTTACTACTCTCCCTTCTGTTTAAATTTAGAAAATGTTGAAAATAAGGTAACCTTTGAGGCCAGAATTTGAAAATTCTTTGACAGAACAATAATCTGAGTATCAGAAGGGGCCTAGAAGGCCTGCCTCAACCATTTTCATTTAAAAATTGACTGCATGGAGAGCTGGAGATTCAAACTGGTTTAACTTTGCTCTTGAGCTGAGGTTTAAAACAGGTAAAAAGAAAATTTGAGTCTACTTGTTCAAATACTATGAAGAAAACTATGTAAATTGTGGAAGTTTTTTGGCAATCTCTCATTTAATCTCTTTTTACATGGAATAACTGGCAGAGGTAAAGCCATGTTATCATAGTAGATTCTGCATGTTACATTGGGATAAACCACAGGAATACCGGAAATAATCACTGACAAAAATAGGTTCATGTAGTCAGTTGAACACGGGATTTGATGGGGCCATGCCACTGAGATACATCATCCATCACCACATCTGTGCTCAGTGTGGGAGGGTTTCTGTTTCCAATTCTTGGAATAATACTTAAAGTGCATCCCCACTAATAATGCCACCCGCTGAAGCTCTCGGTACAGGGGCCAGAGCTAAGGATTGCTAGTGGGCAGGAACATTTCCATCTCATCCCAAAAGTGCAGAGAAGCACATTGCTTCTTTAAGCATATTTCTATTTTTTATTTTTTATTTTTTTATTTTTATTTTTATTTGTTTATTTATTTGTTTATTTTTATTTTTTATTTTTGAGATAGAATCTCACTCTGTCACCCAGGCTGGAGTGCAGTGGCACAATCTCGGCTCACTGCAAGCTCCGCCTCCTGGGTTCACGCCATTCTCCCGCCTCAGCCTCCCGAGTAGCTGGGACCACAGGCGCCTGCCACCATGCCCGGCTAATTTTTTGTATTTTTTTTTTTAGTAGAGACGGGTTTCACCGTGTTAGCCAGGATGGTCTCAATCTCCTGACCTCGTGATCTGCCCACCTTGGCCTCCCAAAGTGCTGGGATTACAGGCGTGAGCCACCATGCCCGGCCCTTTAAGCATGTTTCTAAATGGTCCTGTTCAGTTGTGTTCCATGTGCAACAACAGAGTAAGTGGGTGCAAGTCCTCTGCTTCAGAGAGTTCACTGTTTAAAAGGTGAAGGAGTGCCAACTTCCAAAGTGAATAGAAACACAATAATACATATATGGGTAAGTCCCCCAGTAGGGCAACAGCCAAGCACACATGCAATGTCGGTGGCAGCAGGTTAGGTGTGGAAGGAGCAGGGGAAAGTGGAGTCCTGAGAAATTCACTACAGGGAACTTAAGTGTTAATGACCGGAGAGTACCTTGAAGTGGTCTCGTTGTTGGTGACGCTTTGGAAGACTGAAGCAGACTTCAAGGGGCTGGCACGGTAGCTCCTGCCTTGCCAAGGGCTTCCACATACAGATGGTGGGTGGCACAGGGACGAATAGGTCATTTACCTGAGCTTGAGCTGAGCCAGGCTGGTTAGGGGAGCTAGATGTGAATGACAGAGCAAGCGGCTAGCTGAAGAAAGCTTCACTATCTTCCAGCCCCAGGAACCCTTAGGGGATGGCAGGGAAGGGCATGAGCTGTGTCAGCAGACCACAGGGCTAGAAGGCAGCGTGTTTGGTTACCTTCAGCCTCTGTGGGGCCTCCCCAAAGACCTGTTTATTCTGCACTCAGCAAAGGGCAAGAGGATCCTATCTGAATTTGTTGCTCATGGGCCCAGATTTCAAACATGCTCTACTGCCTCAGCAAAGATTATGCCATAAAAGCTACTTGGAATTATTGGTTCTCTACTCCCCAAAGGAAAACAATGATTTAGAACAGTGTCCTGAGAACCGCTGTTCTTCCCACATGTGCTTATTATACTGCATCCTGGACCATTGGTACTGGGCCCGGCCAATGACTGGCCATATATATACATTACGAGACATGCCTAAGGAGGAGAAACCCAGCAAGCAGATGAGATACAATTTCTCAAACTAACCATAAATTACTCCATGAAAAGAACCCTTATGTAACACTGAGGCATCCTGATTAGTGTTCTTTGGGCCTTGCAAGTACCTGAATGAAACCACAAAATAGTTAAACAACAATATTGGGAACTCAGTTTCAATAAAAGCTGTTTATTTTTAGCTGAGGATCAAACTCCAAAATAAGTGACCTCTCTGTGGCAGGCATTCTAGCAGAGCAGAAGTTATTTTTATCTTTAGAGTTTCTTGTAAAGTCTTCTGCTTCATGTTGGCTTAAACTATAGCTTTCTGTTTCTTTTCGGTTTTGCTGACATTCACTTATTTGGTGTTGGTGTATTACTTCTACAAAGGACCTAAATGCTTATCTCACTACAGTTCTCCTCCTCCAAAATGCACAGCTAGTGACATTGTATACTTAATGCCAACAAACATTTATTGAGCATCTACTGTGTGAAAGGAACTATGAAAAGGAGACATATAATGTCTTTTCAAGAATATTACAGTCACGTCTTGGGGACAGATATGGACACAATTCAAGAAAGAATGATTTTTGTTGTAATCAGGGGCTTAAGGCAATGTGCTATGGGGCACATATTTAAATCCAATTCAAAGAATGGAAAAGCTTTATGCATGATATGAAATGTGGCCTGGAAACATCAACAGATTTCAGTAGAAGGTAAAGTAGGAAACAGATGCTCAAGATCAAAGGATGTATGTTTAAAAACACAAAGACTTTAAGTGTGTAATGTGTTCAAAAATAGATGAGTGAACCTCAGCGTGACTATACCTTAGGATGTATGGAGAGATCACTGCATTGGGAAAGGCGATTGGAAAAGGAGATGGGGGCTAGAACTTTTTAAGGGTTTTAGATGCTATTTAATAAATCATATGTAGTTACTGACAAATTATGAGGAAGGTGGCGATTTTCAACTTGTAATTTAGGATGAATATTTTGGTAGAAAGTGCATTAGAGAAGATGCAGTAGCACCATTTATAGGTCCATTGCAATAACCCACCTGTCCATTTAAGTATATATTCATTAGATATCTACTGTGTGCTAGGCCCAATTTTAGACTATAGAGGCACAGGAATGAGCAAAATAGGAAAACAAAGTTTCCTGACTCGTGGGGCTCATGCTCTTGTGGAGAAGACAGAGAGTGAATAGCATAAATAAATGAACTATGTTTATTTTAGTGATAACTGATAAAGAGAAGGAATAAAACAGGGAAAGGGGGTATGGAGGTGAGGGAGAAGGGTTAATTTCTGTACATTTTGCAATATATATTCAAGGTAATTAAGGAAGGCCTCTTGGAGAAAGAACTTGAGGGAAGACCTGAAGGAAGGAGGCTTTAGGCAGGGTCTCTAAACATCTGGGGTAAGCCTGGGTCAAGCAGAGGAGACAGATAGGGCCAAGGCTCTGATGCTGGGTGAGCCTGGGATGCTCACAAGTTGACTAGTGAGTTGGGCAGTGTGGGCAGAAGAGGGAAAAGGAGAGAAACAAAGCATCCCTTAGTGACTGTGGGCTTGGTTAATAAAGAATAAGTCAAAGACAATTTAGATTTTTTTCCTGGATGGCTTAGGTTGACATATTTGGTGTTGAAACAGCTTTTCTTTTGTTTTGTTTTTTTGAGACGGAGTCTCACTCTGTGGCCCAGGCCGGAGTGCAGTGGCGTGATCTCGGCTCACTGCAACCTCCGCCTCCTGGGTTCAAGCAATTCTCCTGCCTCCCTCCTAAGTAGCTAGGACTACAGGTGTGTGCCACCATGCCCGGCTAATTTTTTGTGTTTTTAGTAGAGGCGGGGTTTTACCATGTTAGCCAGTGTGGTCTTGATCTCCTGACCTCATGATCCGCCCATCTCGGCCTCCTAAAGTGCTGGGATTGCAGGCGTGAGCCACCGCGCCCGGCCTGAAACAGCTTTTGTAAGATGGCCTTGGTGACCTCATCAAGGAAGAGGGGAAGTCAGCTAAGAATTAGCAGCCAGGGATTAGGACTGGGGATGGAAATTCAGTGGCAATGTTTTGGATTACCTCCTGGGAGGAACAGGAAAAGGATCTAACTACATACTAATGTAAGGACGGATGAGCAGGGTGTTGGTTCTACCATGGCTTGCTGATCCGTTAGGCAAGCATACATTAGCACTTACTGCGTCAGCAGCAGCACTGTGTCGAATGCTGGGCAGACCGAAGTGGAATTGGCTCGCTGACGGAGAGGAAAGAGAATATTTATAAAGTTTGTTCCTTCATCAGATCTGAGAGAATGAGATAGCGTAAATATTTAACTCTGACAATAAGCCCACTTGCGATACAAACAAGTTTTATTGGGCTGACGCTTAAGAGGTCTATTGAAAACACACACACACACACACACACACACACACAACTCTCTTCCTTTGTCTATAGAGATAACTCAATTCACACCAAATAGCTATATTCTTCAATAATTAACCCTGCCTAAATCTGTCTATAGAACTGAGTTTTCAACCAGTACGCTTACAGGGTGCCTCACATGGGATATGAGTGTGCCCTGAATTGGTAATAGGTGTGCTGAAAATATTGACCTCCTCAGTCTTGGGCTGGCTGAGCGGGACCTGGGGTGACCAAAGGCTTGAGCTTCCCATAGCCTAGTAGCTTATCCCAGCATGTAGTACAAACACAACGTGTGTGCCATGTGTGAAAAAGGCTGGGAAGCAGGCAGTGTGGCCACCCTATATTCATTTCCCCGGCACAGTGGCCCCAGCCTTTGTTGAATATACACTCATATCAGTAACAAAATCTTGAGCAGTACTCCCAATATATCTATCTTTATGTATTTTATAAGTTACATGCAGTTCTACTGTCATTAATATCTCAAGTCATAAAGGCCAAAGTCCATCAATAATTACGTAAATCTCTATTTCAAATAGTCTTCCAGACAATTTTACACTAGTTCAGTTGGCTTCTTTTCTGGTCTAAATCTGTGTTCATTATTGCTGCCTTGTAGAAGTGACTGTTAACAGGGCCAGTACTAGGAGTAAGGGAATTTCAGCTTTGTCTCTTTCTTGTTGGCTACTCATTGCTGGTAATTAATATTTTCTCTTTGTGGTTCCTCTGCAAGAATCTTTTTAAGTTGCCTCTCCATTCTGTTAGGATTAGTTTGGTTAAAGATAAGCAATGTAGCTCACAGTCTCTCAATCGAGTCCATGTCGGCTGCCGCACATCATGATGTAGGGCAGTACTGAAAGCAAGCGTGGAGGTAAGATTGCTGGGGTCAATCCTCTCTACTATACAATCGCCACCCTCCCTCCCAGAAACCACTGGCAGGCTGGCAGCTCCAGTGAGGGCGCCTCCTATCATATCCTGATATTGCATACTGGCATAACAATTTGTTTCTTTAAAAATATTTATTTTATTTGTATTTATTATTATTATTGTTTTTTGAGACAGAGTCTCGCTTCATTGTCCAGGCTGGAGAGTGGTGCAATCTCAGCTCACTTTGCCCCCCAGGTTCCAGCGATTCTTGTGCCTCAGCCTCCTGAGTAGCTGGGATTACAGGCATGCGTCGTGTCACCACGCCCAGCTAATTTTTGTAGTCTTAGTAGAGTCGGGGTTTCGCCATATTGGCCAGGCTGGTCTTGAACTCCTGACCTCAAATGATCCACCCACCTCGGCCTCCCAAAGTGCTGAGATTACAGGCGTGAGCCACTGCACCCAGCCTAATTCTTTAAAAATATTTTAGAATATTTTAATACGAAATTTTAAACACAGATAACATTTCTCATATAATCATCTGAACCCTATTTTGGAGAGCATTGTTCTTGTGGCCTCTAAGTGTCTATTACCTCCCTTCTTAACCAAATGGAGAAAGCTTTTAGTTGTTATGTGTGTCCCATCTGCCAACCACAGTACAGAGCACTCATTTCATCCTCACGACCACCCTTTGAGGGAGAATGATTGTCTCCATTTTACAGATGAAAAAACTGAGGCTCAGAGGGTTTATTAACTTGTACAAGTTGGCATTGCTTGTAAGAAAGAGAGACAGATTTGAAACATATGATCTTTCCCATCTTCCTTCCTTCTTACCGCCTTCCTTCACTTAGGGCTTGGGGTAATTTCCGTTCTTGTGTCTAAAGAACTAAGTCCTAGAAAATAATGAATTTTCAGATCTCAAGACATGCTTTACGATAATACTGTCGTGGGTGCTACGTGTCGGCTTCCTGGCTAAAATTGCAGCATCGTTATGGCTGGTTTCTGTCCATGCGGCAAATCTGGTTGCTATGGTATCCTTCACATAGAAAAATATTTGTCAGCTCCAGGTGGCTGGAACACCACACAGGCTTACTGATAGTGAGAATACAAGCAATGATTCAGTGAATTACAGGACAGTCTCCTGAGAGAAAAATGTGGTCCCCGGGGACTTTGATGAAGTAGCCTAGAGATGTTCACTTTGTATTTTTCCCGCTACAAAACTTCAACTTTAGTTGGTTGAGTTACAGAGAGAGTGGCTAAATCTGCAAAGATGTCAGTAACAGGGGATTACTGAAATAGTGTTCCTTCCTGTGGGGGAATATATATTGCATTAAAATAAATGAATGTGTTGACCTAGTAAAATTAAATTGCCATATCCAAAGTAGTGGCAGATTAGGCATTTTAATTGTTGGTCATTGATTTAAATCATCTCCTGAGTCAGAATGTATTCTCATTGAACATGATTACATCCAGATAATGTTTTCTTCCAGTAAGAGGGAAAGAACAAAGGAAAATAAATAAAACACAGTTCACTAGAATCTCATAAAAGTTCTTGCACAAGAAGTGAAGTAGCATGGGAAAATATGAGTTCTTTTACAAAAACAACTTTTTCCTTGAAGTCACTGCAAGATTGCTGTTCACATAACATATTGGTATGTGTATATGTTTATACAAGAGGGGGCTGCAGGCCCAGGAAAATGTAAATAAATCAAAGTCTCTATGGTAGCTGTGGTCATTTTAAAAAATGACTAACAGCATATATAATCTCCTTTCAAAAAAACAGTGAGTTGTTCGTTTCTGATTTTTTAAAAATCCATTTTCACTTTCTCCAAAGAAGCCCATATTTGAGGGTTGAGAATCATTTTTCTTTTCCTCCCAATTCTTCACTGCTTTGAATTTGTTTTATATTCTGCCCAATACAAGCAAAGCATTATAGTATTGAAAAGTTTTCTATTAAAAAACATGACAAATTACATCTAGTTTATATTAAAGTAATTTCATTCTGCACTAAATACCTTAAAATATGATGTTTAAGTATAAACTTACTTTTAAATCAAAAACAAATGCTGATTAACCTTTTAAAAATATTCTTACCATGAAAGAATGTACATTTACAAGATAATGTAAATCAGGGATTTTTTTTTAAGATTCAGTCAAAATATTTTTTTAATGAAAACATTAATCCTCTTAGTAAACTGAATTTCATAGCAGAATGTTTCCATAATGAATATTAACCATCTCTCCTTACTTAAATTATTTACCAAAATTCATTTAATACACAATTTTTAAGGTTTTTTTGAAGTGAAGTATATTTATGGTTCAAATATCATCAAATAAAAATATGGTATTAGGCATGTGCTGTGTTCATTGCCTTCTCCGTGTGACTTTTCTGCTAAGTTTAGTCCATTGAATCTAAGTCCAGATTGAGGCAAGAAGAGCTAGAAGAGTATGCATCTACCTAGCAAATACTCTGTCTTTCTTTTTCCCTATATAAGTGAAATAAGCTCTAACACTCCTTGAGGTCTCTGGGATCATTCTGGACTAGTTTGTAACAGGAAAAAAACAACCTGAAAACCTCAGCTTAAAGGGCCTTTTTTTGTTTCAACTCTAAAAGAAAAAAAATGCATAATCCTATTACACTTAGTTATCAGCACCATTTGAAATCCTGACTACCTTGATAATCACCATGGAGCCGTGTAGCACTTAGCTAGTAGAGAGCTAAATTCAATTAATAGTACAGATGACTGGATAAACCTCCTCATTTATTTTACTGATCTCTACAGTTTCTCTCTCCTGTCCTCCAAGTTAAGATCTTTTTTGTTTTGTTTTGTTTTCCTGCTTCAAATACCATGTCACAGCCAACAAAAACACCACAGGAAGTCAGCTCTGAGCAGCATGGCTTTGAGGAAAGGTGGGAGGCATTGGGCTTCTGTATGTCTGGGTTTGAATCCTGACACTGTCGCTGGTTGTGTTCACGCTTTCCGACTGGTTTGTCGCTGGTTGTGTTCTAAGCTTCTAGTTGCTCATCTCCAAAATGGCAACAGTAATGTCTACCTGAGTGTCATGAGGGTGAGAGATAATACAGTAAAGAGCCTCGAGTTGTGTTCTGTCTGCGTGTTTGTCCAACAACAAACTATTATGTGACGTTTTCATTGTTACTGTTTCTCACCTCTTAAAAAGCTCTTAAAGACCATTCTGACTGGAAATAATGTTCCCACCTAGAACCTTCTGCAAGGCGTCAAGATCTTTGATGGTTCAACTTTTCCTTCTCCTTCTAATCACTAACAACTTTCATTTTCATTAAGCCCTGCTGTATAGATGATCTCTTTTCTTACTCCTCATACTACATGCTGCTGTGGTGAACATGTGTATTTAGTGGCTGATTAAAGTATGAATAAATAAATGAAGAAATTATGTGAGGAATTGTTTGTCCTTTCTTCAGTTGCATTTTTATTTATAATTTATACCCTCCTTCTTTTAAAAAGATGTTTTAAAAGCTTTGCCATTTTCTCATCCACTTATTCCCATTTAGTTATGAATGAGGGCTAGAATTTGAGCAAAAGCTGTGGTATGAGTTATAGCATCCCATTTGTGACCTTGGGCACCTCATTGAACCTCCCTGATCCTAGCTTCTTCCTCCATAAGATGGGAATGGTAATACCTTTTTTTTTTGAGACAGAGTTTCGCTCTTTTTGCCCACGCTGGAGTGCAGTGGTGCAATCTCGGCTCACTGCAACCTCTGCCTCCTGGGTTCAAGCAATCGTCCTGCCTCAGCCTCCCAAGTAGCTGGGATTACAGGCGTGCACCACCACACCCAGCTAATTTTGTATTTTTAGTAGAGATGGCGTTTCTCCATTTTAGTCAGGTTGGTCTTGAACTCCCGACCTCAGGTGATCCGCCCACCTTGGCCTCCCAAATTGCTGAGATTACAGGCATGAGCCACTGCGTCCCACTGGGAATGGTAATACCTTTTTAAAAGCTCTTGTGAGGATTAAGTGAGCCATTGCACATAAAGCATTTAGCATCACATCTGACACCTGATATCAACAATAACAATGCAGATACCTTTAAGCAGAATATTTGAATGGCATATGCATATGAGAATTAGAAAAACAATTGAATGGCTTTCACAGGTCCTATAAACTTTCCTCGTACAACTTATATCAGGGCAAATACTCCTGAATATGCATTAAGAAACCTGCAACATTCTCACAAATTCCACAAATTCAACATATTCCAGTAACAACTGTGGATGATTATGATTAATTAATTAAGGAATAAGAGAAGGAAAGTTGTCGATGTACTGTTTTAGCTTCTAAGTAGCATATTCCCTGTTTAGTAAGTACTGCAATTAAAGCCAATGTTTATCTCCAAACTACAAAATGCAAGAAGCTCTAGAAATGTTCTTTTGTTTTTTCAATAGTAACTATTTCATGAATTGCCAACAAGTTTTACCATGCCACTGTGTGCCTAACACCGGGTTAATTGCTGTGGGAACTGCCAAAAAACAGAGACTCCAGCTCACAGACTCCTGTAACCTGATTTCAGAGAATACCATCCAAGGCCATGTGCACCAAGGGCCAGATTGCCCGGCTGATTTGCAGGCTGGCTGCAGTCTGAGGCCATTTCTCCAGCTGTTTTAATAACTGTCTTACAATAACTGACTGCCTTGCAAAATGCAGTTTTATTTATCTCCCAATATCAGAATCCTGCCTGCCTTCTCATTTTTATTAGAATTGGATTACAAAACAGGGAGAAATCAACATGTTACCTTTAAGAATAAAATTGAAAATGAACAATCAGTTGAGGTTGATGTCAGGGACAAAGACATTGCTGAGGCTGTGGTCTTGGATGTTTAGCTAGCTGTGTCAGAGACCACAGTATGAAATTTATAAACCATTTGGATTAGAGCTCATCAACCATGCTTTCCTAGCAACCAAGTGCAAGGGCAATCTTAACTTTCCTACAATGTTCATGTGGATTTTTCTGGATTCAGTTAGCCTGGGTGTGGCTTTTGTCTATAATCACATAGCCAGGACATCGGCATGTGGTTGACCTTCTCTGGAGTCCCATTACATTTTTCCAAAGAGACATTAATGTCACCGACTTCAACACAACATTTCATCTTAGAAATCACAGGATTGTAGAGCATTAAAAGCATTACAAGACTCTAAAAGAGCCCTCATTTTACTGGTGAGAAGATTAAAATCAGATAGGGTAAAGTTTTGTGCCCAAGGTCATACAAGTAGCTAGCCACGTTGTTAATTAACCTTTCAGTAACAATAATAGATGGGGTCTGTGACCAGCCAAGTATTAAATCGTTTTTTAAAAATTAAATTAAAAGCATTCAGAAGTTAGTTAACTTACCATCTAATAATCCATAGTGGGCCAATCATAAAAGCTTCCCAAAGAAAAATACACTTAAAAAGCTGAAAACCGCGTATATAGTTTTTGACATGACCTTACTTTAGTAATTGTTTATGTCGTAACTTATTAAAATAAACATACCTTGTAAATTGTTTACAAAATCCCAACATCTTTTTGGAAATGAGTATAATAAGGCATTGCAGTAATACTTGGTATTTTGTTTTTGTATTTTTGAAAGCTGATATTTTGGGTTTTTTTTGAATGCTGGTATTTTTAAGACTGTGTAATTTATATTCAGTACTTTAATAAACGGGTGTAGTGGCCGGGTACGGTGGCTCATGCCTGTAATCCCAGCACTTTGGGAGGCCAAGGCCGGTGGATCACAAGGTCAGGAGTTCGAGACTAGCCTGGCCAACATGGTAAAACTCCATCTCTGCTAAAATACAAAAATTAGCCAGGCGTGGTGGTATGTGCCTGTAATCCCAGCAACTCAGGAAGCTGAGGCAGAAGAATCGCTTGAACCCTGGAGGCGGAGGTTGCAGTGAGCCAAGATTGTGCCATTGCACTCCAGCCTAGGCAATAGAGTGAGACTTGGTCTCAAAAAAAAAAAAAAAAGAAAAGAAAAGAAAAGAAAACGAAATGGGTGCAGTATTCCAACAGTACATCATTTATTTTTCATCTCTCATGGTGGTGGTGTTAAGAACCACATGCTTAAAAACCCTTGGGGTTTTGTTTTCATGCCTGGCTCAGGAAATCCTTAAAATATATTTTATTATTTTTTTTGAGACAGGGTCTTTCTCTGTGACCCTGGCTGGAGTACAGTGATAGGATCATAGCTTACTGCAGCCTCTACCTCCCGGGCTCAAACAATCCTCCCACTTCAGCCTCCCAAGTAACTGAAGCCACATCCGGGCTAAATTCTTTTCATTTTTTTTTGTAGAGACAGAGTTTCATTGTGTTCTTGAACTCCTGGCCTTAAGTGACCCTTCCTCATTGGCCTTCCAAAGTGCTGGGATTACAGGCATGAGCCATCACACCCAGCCTATCCTTAAAATATTTTTAACTAAACCAGATTTAGGGTAAAATAAAGCCCAAATTGGTATTCACTAGCCATGATAGACCTTTAGCCAAATATTTAGTCATCAATTAATGTGAACTTCCTGGGTGATTATAGGGTATCTAGTATAATGAGAAAGTTGTTTTGTCCCAAAAGGGGATCAGGAAGCTAAATTTTAAAATAACATAAATCTAGAGTTAAGTTTGGGATCATCATTTTTACAATAGTATATAAAATGGCTTAGAGTGGGTTGCAGTTGAAAGTAAGATGCTGTTTCAGGTGGTACATTTCAATCAGTGACTTCTGCTGAACTCCTGCTAGAAACTGGGATCACCCGGGCAAGGATGAACACAGGGAGGACACGGGGCAGAGGACCATTTTGTACATGAGAGAGTAACTGAGTCAAGCAGAAAACTGTACTTAGATGAAATTGAGAAAGGCGTTGAAGTTTCTGATTAGCGAAATAGCTGTGAACTGGGCCCTGTCCCACAGCAAGGGCACCCATATAGAACAGGAAGGGCACACAAACAGGTTCCTTCTTTGTGGGAGGGAGGTTCATACACAGCAGCAAGATGACCAGCTAGAAGTGTCCAGAAGTACTCCTGCTAGCCTATGAAAGTGCCATCGGAAGGACTGAATTTGTTTAGGAATTTTGAAAGGACGACAAACCAGAGAGTCCCTTCCCTTTCCTCCTGCTTTCCCTCCTTCCTCCGAAAGGAGGAAGGAGGGAAAGCAGGAGGAAAGGGAAGGGACTCTCTGGTTTGTCGTTCCCTTCCTGCCCTCCTGCTTCTTTTCCTGACTTCCTTCCTGCCATTCCCACTTCCTCCTTTCCTTCTTTCTTATAACTGAAAGTTGGTTATATCTAGCCATTAAATACTAGTTTTAAAAGATACAGCCACTTTGGAGATTCTAACCAAATTATAAACATGCTTTCTATCACCTCTCAAAAAATATTAAAGTAATAAAAAAAGCTTTGTTTGTAGTTCTTCCTTATGGTTTTATATGAAGCATCGAGCTATTCATGACACTACTTTTAAGCAATTAAAAGAAACAAAATAAAACATTTCTAAATGACAAAAGAAAAGCATAAATACAAAGTGTGAGAGTCATTGACTTATACCTGACAGACACTAAATGTCTGCTCTAATAAGCAATAACAATTAGTTTAAAAAGGAAACACCAAATGTCACTTCACAGCTTAAGCCTAGAAAGCAAAGTTAGCCGGAAAATAATTACAAAAGTCTAAGGGATTTCATGGGTTTTGTTATTAAGGCAAAGTGTCTTTTCGTTTGTCATTTTCACCAACTAATCTGACAGATTCTTTATGAAGAAAGCACAGAGCCAGGAAATTGTACCCATCTGGTCAGTACCTGCTCAGAGGATCTGATATTAAAGTCTAGATCACTCCAAACTGCTTTTTCAATGCATTTCATTTTCTAGAAGTGACGAACAGTGAAACAAACCTATTCAGTCAATTGAAATAGTTATTTCGGGGAGAAAATTGAATCCTCTTCAAAAGAAGCTGTTTCACTATCTTAGTGTGGTGAGTATTGAAAGTTGGATGGTTTCCATGAAAACAAAAATGGACATAAAAGACAAAAGAGTTTGTGAGTGATATTTACAGTGAAGTTGAGTATGTGTGCATGTGGGTGGGTGGGTGTGTGTGTGTAGCAGCAGATCATAACCAGAAATTTTTCTCAGAATTAACTCTCTGTGTCCATTTTAATTTTTGTTGTATGACTCATTCAATGTTCACTATTCCCATAAATATAGGCCATACACCTACTGTTTTCCAGGCATATGTGGCCACTGGGGGTTAAAGAAGGTTGAGGTTCCTGTCCCTAAAGTGTTTATCATGGTAACCAACTAAATGTTTGTTTCCTACTCACATTGAGGGCAGAAGATACTGCATCACTTCCAGGCCTACTGAAGTTCCATCACCTCCACATGAAGCTTCTAGGTCACCTGGGCACTGGAACATCTGCTGTGGCTAAAGAAGGAGAGCCGGTGGCAGGTCACATGGCAGATTCACCCACCTGCCTTTGGCCAGTGCTCTTTCCCATGGCCCAGCAACCAGGAAGGCTAGAATCAGAGTCCACTCAAAGGTCTATCCCATAGTCAGCCGGGTTTTGCCACAACATTATTTAAAGATGCTTCGTTTAGGTTGGGCGCAGTGGCTCATGTCTATAATCCCAGCACTTTGGGAGGGCCGAGGTGGGCAGATCACTTGAGGTCAGGAGTTTGAGACCAGGCTAGCCAACATAGCAAAACCCTGTCTCTACTAAAAAATACAAAAATTAGCTGGGTGTGGTGGCACAGGTCTGTAATCCCAGCTACTTGAGAGGCTGAGGCACGAGAATCATTTGAACCTGGGAGGCGGAGGTTACAGTGAGCTGAGATCATGCCACTGCAGTCCAGCCTGGGTGACAGATCAAGACCATCTCACAAACAAAATAAATAAATAAATTTTTTTCTTTTAAAAAAAAGATGCTTCATTTAATTTTTTTTTTACCATAGTAAAAATATCCTTTTATTAAAAACTGATCTGGAAAGCTAAGACTCATGCACTACATTTAATGAATGAATGGTTAGTGACAAATAAAGATAGAAGTCTCAGTAAAATGCATGCCCTTCCAAGCCCTTTCTTCTGAACAGGTCTCAGGTTTGCCCAATCAGACTTTTCATAAATGTAAGACTGATGAATTTGCTTTTTATTTCTTTCACTCTCCACCCTTTCTGAAGTTGCAGATAAGCAGTAGAAAGTCCATGAGCAGATTCTGGAGGTAAATCAAGTATTAACTAATGCACAATTCAGATCATGACTGTGACAGCAATGATTATCTCAAAAAAATCAAAAGTGGGCAGTTCTCAGCAACTCCTTGTCTGACCCCGATAGAGCGGGACCCTTCCCCCTCTTTCCCTGCCTTCCCGGCAACCCTCTCCCTCTGTCATTCTCTTCACATCCCCCAGGTCAATGCTCTTAAACAGAAACGGAAGTTAAGCCACAAGGTTAGAGGACAGGAAGTGACTCAATGATTCCTTGGGGGTCAGGTGTCTGGGTAGTGAGAGAAAGAAGGGAGAGAAAATTCCAGATTAGAAAAGTAGCCCAGATGGGAGAGTGATCAGGGCAGGAATTTCAGAAACGACAATGACATCAGCATTAGTGGTACTCCTCCACTCTCCTACACAAGCACTTAAGAGCGTTGCTGTGAACTACTTCCCACCCATTTTCTTTGCAAGCCTAGGAACGCGGGGCTTTCTGGCAGATTTAACAGGTAGTTTGGTGGTGTCTGGATTGTGCTAATAGAAGCCATTATACCAAAGATAATTTTTAAAACCTAGAATTTAGTAAACAAGGGTTTTTTTTGTTTCATTTTGTTTTGCTATTTTGAGATTGTTAATCTCAAATACTCTCAATTTGCTGATTTCATTATTGTGTTAGGACATAAGTGAGATAATGAAGTGGATAATTAATGACATACTCTTTAGGATGTAAATAAAAGCCACACTCCACAGAAAAAAGAAGTACCATAAAGCTTAAAAGAGATCACGAACCTTAGTACCTGCATTATACAATGAGGATAGTTTTCGTACCGAGGAAAAGGAAGGAAGTCTCTTAGAATCATCATCTTTGCTGCTTTTAGTCAACTGTGGAATGTTTTAAAACTGTATTTATGGTCTTAAAGGGCATGTAAGAAAATATTTGGAAATTTCAAGCAAAAGATTAACCACTGGAATTATGATAGAAATCGCACTGTTTCTTTACGAGAGGAGAGTTCTGTTCGCTACTAAAAGACTCTGTTGAGAATGTGAATGAGTGGAACATACCCCACCTTACATTTTAGTCCTCTTTAGGGGTTTGATTCATTAGAAAGTGTGTGGTTCTTTCTATTCCAAACAGAATCCTTTTCTCTGGGACTTTATTTTAAGGCTGTGATGCAAATCTTTGGTGTTCCTTTTTAATGGGAATGAAAACAATGAGGAAAGGAAGTGTGGAGGCTTGGAATCTCAGCTGAGGCTTCGCAGGTCACTGGGGAGCAGTGAGGTTCCTCTCCACTGTTAGCAACCGGAAACATGAGAGAGGACTATCATCTGCTCCTTGCTCTGAATTTCTTTGAACCTCCATGCTGGAACCCTCCTCAGTTCTCCATGCAAACGTTAACCAGGCCCCTTTGTGGTGCTTGGTGCTGCGCTGGTGCAGAGAATGCAAAGACACTGTCTGTGGTGGGAAACAGAAAAGCAGAGTGAACCACACATTCCAGCGCCGGGGTAAGTGCTGGATCAGAAGGGCATGTGGGTACAAAGGATAGACCTTTGTGAACTTGTTACTTAGCCTTGCATGGCCTCAGTGGCAGTGGTCAGGTGGTCTGGAAGGACATGGCGGAAAGATAAAACTAGAGCTGGGAATCAGAGAGGCAAAGAGGAAAAGAATTGACTAGTCACATAAAGCAGAAGAAGAATGTCATTCTAGACAGTGGGAAAATTGCCTATAGGGAACAGAGGATGGGAGTTGGAGGGTCGATTTTAGGAAACTTTGAGTTGTTTAGCACCATTGCCAACTATCAGGGATGTGGGCAGTTGAGACACAGAAGAATATCAGGGACCCAGGCTGAGCTTAAGAATTTCATAGTGTCCTCGGAAATTTGGATTTTTCTTTGGAGAGATTTGAGAACCATGGAGAATTCTAAGCGAAGGAGACAGTGATCAGACTTGGGTTTTGTCTCTGAAGTTATCTTTGCATGATGTTGGTAGCACTCCTAAAAAAATGCATAAATTGCCTTCAAAACATAAGATGTCCTGCTATTTTATGGAAACATATACAAGAAAGTCTTTATTTTCCAGCACTTCGTGTTGCTGAGCAGAGATTCTTCCTTCATCCCGTGATCTTAAGCTTAGCCAACATCAGCCACTGATGGCCTGTGTGCGTGTGTCTCAGTTCTTTAAGGGCAGATACCTGGGTCCATCATAAATGTCTAGAGTGCAGTCAGAATTTACCTGAACCCCACATTTTCTGGCATACATGGAGGCTGCTGTTGAAAATAAATAGATCATCTCTCTGAAAATGAGATTTATCTTTTAAATTTACACCTGAGCCTCTTCAGCAAGGCAGCATGGCCAAGAGTGTTTAGAAGCTACAGGACAGTGCATTTTCTTGGAGCATAGATTTTCCTCAAATTTGAAGGAAAGCTTTGTTGCATTAAAAGAAGTATGGGCATGTTATATTCCAACTACACATAGGAGGAAATAAATAAATCCATTGGAAGTATCTGTTTATTTTCTTCTCCCATTTGGGTACATCAGTGGAAATTGTGAAAAGTATTCATTTCGGTTAATAATAATAGCTCCAATTTTTAAGTGCCTGCTCTGTGTCAAATTACATAATTCATTTTAACAAATGTGAACATAACGTCAAGTTCAAATCCCTGTGACAGAGACCAGGATTGCAGCAGTAAACTAAATGCTCTTCCTTGTTCTGGAGTTTCTCACATCCTTACAATGACTCAGAAGAGTATATATAATGTTGTGCACATTTTGCAGTGAGGAAACTGAGGCTTTGAGATGTAATGAGACTTGCTCAGGGACCCATAGAGTAAACCCACACTCAGCCAGCTCCCCATGGCCACCTTCCTCTCTGAAAGATTTTTTTAAAATTCCAACTTACTGTCTCTTTCCCCTTATCTGTTCCCACCTTTACTTTATCCACTAGAGACATCCATTTCAGAATCCACTTTTCTTTCTCTGAAAATCAACAACGGCCATCAACCATCAGCAGCAGCAGCAGCAGCCGTGCCCATATACAAGCTTGTTTGTATCTTCATTCTTAACAACAGCCATGGCAACCCCAACCACCACAGACCTGTCCCTACTGTTTTCAAATTCACTGAGCTCACACTGTAACTCTAAAAGAGACAGAAGTCACAGTTACATCTAACAGGACAAGTAAGAATTCAAGATGGCCAGAGATCATAGAGTGGAGGTGGCTATAATTATCAGAAGGGTTCAGGAAAGGTTTGTTGGAGGAGGTGTCCAACAAGCTACACCTTCAGGAAGGAGAAGTTTAAAGTAGAGAGAAAGGCTTTATAGGCAGGCCCGACTAGTTCAGTGCCCCAAAAAACTCATCCCATTACATCATATATTTTTCCTCTGCTCCTGAGAACCAGCGTAGTCATAGCTGAATGTGGTTACATTTCAAGGGAAAGGAGGCATTACTGAACTGCAATTAAAAGCATCCCCACATCTCCAATTCCCCAGGAATGCCTTCTTGGACTGGCTGGATGATTCCCTTGGAGGTGTGAATGGGGCAGCCTGGGGGAATTGGGTTTCCTCCAGGGCATATTCAGGGAGATTTTGGGTGGTCCTGACTGGACCAGGCCTCATTCCTGCTCATAAGGTGACCTAATCCTTTGTTCATCACCGGAACTGCCCTCCTTCTCCAAGTTCCTCCAGATTGGAGATGACTCCCCTCACCAAATCTGACTTCCCAGCACTATTCCAAACCCACATTTGGAAGACCTCTAAGCTTCATGAGATTTCTTGTTATTGATTAAGGCTGGGGTCTGGCACTCAGCCCAACCACAGCCCCAGCAATAGTAGCATCAGACTTCTCAAACAGAGTGGAACAGAAAGCTATGAAAGCCTGGCATGTGCCCTTCAGCCTCTTTACATCAGACCAAGAGAGAAAAAAGAGAGCAGGAGAGCTTTTTCAGGGGGCAGAAGTTTCCTTTGCCAAAGATCTTTGACCAGCAGCAACGTGCAAGTCCTTTGCAGGGAATAAATCAATGGGCTGCAGTCCACTCTGGCTTGAGATTTATGCAGAGCAAGAAAGTCACTCTCAGCTCCTCCTTAATTCAGCATGTCTTGAGCACATGCTGAGCTCCGAGCACTCTGCTAGGCACTAGTGGTACAAAGAGTAAATAAGGCAACCTCTGCCCTCAAAGAGCTGTGGTCTAATGGGGGAGAGAGATGTGTAACAAGAACATTTCAGTATAATCTAAGGACCATAATGAATGTGTGAAAGTCCAGAGAAGAGCCGAGCTAACCTGGGATACAGATGATGTCTTCGCTAAATCTTGATAGAGATAAATGTGAGCAAGTCAGGAGGTAAATAGGGAGAGGAATGTGACAGATGGAGAGGAAACAGTGTAAGCACAGGCGTGGGATATGCAACAGCAGCCTGGGACTGGGGATCTCCGGGCAGCTTCACGTGACTGCACGTGAGCCCCAGAAGCACACAGAGGCCAGGCAGGAAGGCACTGTGGGCCGTGGTGATGGGCTGGTACTTTATTCTGCAGGTGACAGGGAGACGTGAAGGAGTTTGAAAGAGAATGAACATAGTTTCACGTTAGAGATTCAAGGAAGGCAAGAACTGAAGCAAGGAGAGCTATTGGGTTCTGTTGCAGAAGTCCTGGTTTAGACAAAATGAGAGTCTAAACCAAGCTCGTCCAGCCCACGGCCCCAGGCCGCATGCAGCCCAGGATGGCTTTGAATGTGGCCCAACACAAATTTGTAAATTTTCTTAAAACATTTTGAGATTTTTTTTGTAATTTTTTTTTTAGCTCATCAGCTATGGTTAGTGTTAGCATATTTTATGTGTGGCCCAAGACAATTTTTCTTATTCCAATGTGGTCCGGGGAAGCCAAAAGATTGGACACTTCTGTTAAACCAAGTCCAGGAGACAGAGGTGGGGAGGAGGGTAGGAGTTTAAGAAATATATTTGAGTCAAATTCAGCAGGTGCTGGGGTTGTGTAGTGAGAATATGGGGACTGGAAGAGACAGAATGAATCTAAGAAGACCCTCAAGTGTCAGACTCATAGAACTGTGTTCCATTTTTACATTAATATATTTTACCAGATGCATCTCATACAGCTGAGTGTTATCTAGTCAGTGTTTTAAACGGGTGATGAAGTCAGTGGATATGACTATTAATTCTGAATAGGAAAGCATAGAACAGAAAAATGTCAGATCTCCTTGCATACATAAAGTGCAACTATTGTTTTATGAAACTTTGTTTTAGTCTATGTGTGTATGATGTGTGTACATGTGTGGTGTGTGCATGTTCACAACTACATGAAGTTTATTTCTGACTAAAGATTGTGATCAAAATATTTGAAAGTCCTGGGATATTCTTTTTCTATGGTTATGATTGGTTATTCTCAGGTATGACTGACTATGCCTCAGTCAGGTTAAGATGATCTTAAAAAGCGAGACCGATTCTTTTGTGGGAAAACAGGGAAATCTTTTCTCACTACTCTTCTTCCAAGACTAAATCTCTCATTACTGTGCGCACTTGGAACTCCTAAAGATTCCATCCAGAGAGAAAGGGAAAGATTGCAGCCAGCAGAAGCAACAATCCTAGTCAGTGCCAGGACAATGTCAAATGCCCCACCCTTCAGAAAACAGTAGCAATATCGAGATACACAGACATTGCTGCCCACGAATAGCCATGTCCCTCAGAGGCAGAATCAGAACTAGAAGAATAATGTTACCTTATTTTCATATGGAGCTTACAGTTTGCAAAGGACTTTCATAATACATTTTCCCATATGTACAACAGCCTTGTGAGTTTGGAAGAACCTGAATATCTGAGAGATGTTTTGGGTGTTTATTGGCCTTCAGATCTATAAATATTTTTCTCTTATAGTCATTCACCCATTCAGTCAACATACTAAATGATAGCCATTTACAAGACTCTAGGCTAAGAACATGAGATGTAAAGATGCAATCTGGTTTCCAATCTGGTAATGTGTACCTGCAATGTCAAAATTTAAGAGGATACAAAATCCACATATTTATTTAAGGATGTTTGCAGTTTTACCTAAGACATATTTACAGAATCCATGTGCATGAATATGTGTGTGTGTGTGTGTGTGTGTGTATGTATGTGTGAGTGAAAGACAGAGATAGAATATCTATGTCTCCAAATTCCAAAGTCAGAAATTGATAGCCCACGGGAGACAGAGCAGGACAAAGCTGATATGCCTTAGGCCTCCAAGGGGCATAGTGTTATCTTCTTCTTGGGCTAAGGGAGAGCACCTTAGAGGTAGAGTAAACACACACATTTGAGGAAAGCTGTGTAACCTCAGGAAAAACAAAAAACACACAACAATGTTTGCATACAAAGGGTTTCCCAGGCCTCTCAATTATATCTAAAAACCCCAGGTAAAGAGCTCTCGGTTTATGCGTTAAATTGAGCAAGATAGACTTCATCTAAATTTTTTAAAAAATTATGTGTCGATATTTACTTGTTCCTTATTTTAGAGAAGCAAAAGTTTCAAGGACGGATTTCTAAATTTTCCATTTGGCACTAGGTATAATTCAAGCAGTCATGGAACATTAATTGTAACCATTATATGCATAAGAGCAACACTTCCTTTGTTTTTAAATGTAAATGTATTTAAGTATTTGAAAGGTATTTGAATTACTTTCCCCGTCACCTCCTCACAAAGCAGATCCCTGAATATACACCTAGCATGTTTCTCATAGTGAGAATGACCTTAGGAAGCCGACCTGGGAGATTCATGACCTCTTGAGATCAATGACCTTGGACTCCACATTAACCCACAACTTCTCCCAGTCATTAGTCCACAGGAAGCCCATATCCCTTGCTCACAATTTACTTACTTGTTGAGATTTTTTCTCATAACATGGAAAAATAATCTTCTGAAGGCATTTCCCTTAATGAAGCCCACATGTCTGATACAGATTTCTTTCCCAAGGTCCTGGAGTGTTTGGTTATGTTTTAACACATCTTTGCCCTTGAGATCCCCGCATATCAGGCATGTGATTGCTAATATTTTACTTATTAACTGGTAAGCACGTTGTAAACCATAATCGCAATACTGTCTTCCCCAGCCTGGTGTTTATATCCTAAAAGTAACAGCCTCTTAGGAGAAGGCTCTTACTGCCATTATCCTAAGGTGTCATATTTCTGAATGTGTCCAAATGTCACATATCCAAAGTGTCACATCTCATTTATGACTCTCATTACATCTTGTTAAAGAGCACTGCATTGTGTGAAGCATGGCTTCCTGAGATACAGCTTCATTTACCAGAAAGAGTATCATGAAACATTCTGTGGACTGCAAAAAATGAATTGCATGTTAGATACTTGTCGTGTAAGAATCTCCAGGCAGGTTGATGGGTGCCATGTGACCCCAAGGACCTCCTGCAGGCACAGAGGGAGGAGCATGAGATTCTACTTCCAAGAAGGCAGTGAGTTCACACGAATCTCAGCTCCTAATTCATCTGGGGGAAGAAGATGGGTTGTTTATGGCAGAACCATGTGGCTAACCTTCTTCTGCCTTCTTCTGAATCTCACCTCAACTGCAAGGCTTTTCCTGGTCATCTTATCCAAAATGCCCCCTCCTGCTCTGAGACCCGGAGGATAGTGTCCTGTTCTGCAGGGCTTTTGCTTTCTTTGGTTGTGGTAGTGCCTGGATGGGTCTTTGTCTATCCCTGCTTGGTTTAGAGACCTACAGGGTAGGACCCACTGCCCACAGCCTTGCATTCACCTTCAGCACCTACCAGCAGGCTTTCACAACAGGGGCACCCAGCAGGTGTCTGTTGAATAAATAAGTAAAGACAAATGCCTTCCACTTCTGCATACCAAATGAAGAGAGCTGAGAGAAGAGAAGCAGAGACCATCCATCAGAACCACTATCTTCTAATATGGGAAAGTAACATAAGCACCTCTGCCCTAGTAATAGTAGCAAATGCTGTGCTCCAGGTACTTTACAGAAATGCAATCATTTAATCTTTACGGCAACCCTCTGAGGTAGGTACTCCTGTTTATTCCCATTCTATAGATGAAGAAACTGAGGTATGCTAGAATTAACCTACCCAGGGTCACACAGGTAATGAGAGGTGTATCCAGAATTTTGGACTCACTTCTAACTGCTTGATGCCGTATTTACCCCTCTTGTGCCCATCTGGTTCAATTATGCCCTCAAATAAAGGAGTATTTTCTAAAAACATTGACAGGTTCTTTTTAAAAAGTTAATCTGTAAAACTAAGTATATGTATTCAATAAGAGTAGAAACTTGAGCTTTATTCCAGAAACAGATATGCCATTGGTTAAGAACAAAATGAAATTAGAATGTATCTTCATTGTAAACTCTCTTTAAAGCAATAACATGAACCCTGTACAAAAGTAGTCTTGCCTTAAAGAGTTGCTCTTTTGGTAAATTTGCTAGTTTTACAAATTTGGATCATGTTTTGCTTTTGATTATTTGAAGAATTTTGGGAGTCACATAGACTCCAGATATTCATTTAGTCATTAAAACAAGATGTGGAGATTTTCTTTATTTGGTCTAGTTTGTTTTGTTTTTTGAGTACAACCTTGAAACTTCAGCAACCAGGAAATACCAAGTTATTACATAAAGTAAAATATATCTTTGAAATTGTCTAAATACATATGCAGAAGGTCAAAGACAAGTGAAACAGCTGTTACATAAAATCTCCACTTTCCAGATACCTAAGACATTCAAGAAGGAAGAGGTGGGAATACGGTCCAGGACCTTAGTTTTGAATTTCCTGGCTCCTGTTAGTTTAAGATATCCCTGTAGCATCATTTAAACACAGTTCTGGTACATGAATAAACTTCCATTTGGAATTTCCTTTTTGAAGTCTGCTGAGAATATAAATCAAAACCATATGAGATGTGTCTTAATCCAGAATGTGAAATAACATGAGAAATGTCAACCCAGAAGTAGTCCCTGAAATACGTTCACCAGGATGCACGTTCTGGTGAAATTCTTTATTTAGAATGAAAGCCTCCAAAGAACTGGATTTATTATTTTTAACCCATGATTATGGCAGCCTGAATTGATGAAAGAAGATACTTTTTAAAGTAATGTCAGTAGAAATGTTATTCAAGCCACCTAGAATGTTTGAGAAGGACATCTGTTGACATAAAAAGATGTTCAAAATGCATTGTCGAGTGCAAAAGCAGATTCCAATTTTATTTAAAGATTATGTAAAATAGATAGTATACTTAGCCTAGATACATGAACACATCTTCATAATAAAAGAACAAGAGACGTTATGCCAACAAAATATTGATCAATCTCTAGGTGGTAGAATTATGGCAATATCTTCCTTCCTTCCTTCCTTCCTTCCTTCCTTCCTTCCTTCCTTTCCTTCCTTCCTTCCTTCCTTCCTTTCCTTCCTTCCTTCCTTCCTTCCTTCCTTCCTTTCCTTCCTTCCTTCCTTCCTTCCTTCCTTCCTTCCTTCCTTCCTTTCCTTCCTTCCTTCCTTCCTTCCTTCCTTCCTTTCCTTCCTTCCTTCCTTCCTTCCTTCCTTCCTTTCCTTCCTTCCTTCCTTCCTTCCTTCCTTCCTTCCTTCCTTTCCTTCCTTCCTTCCTTCCTTCCTTCCTTCCTTTCCTTCCTTCCTTCCTTTTTTCCTTCCTTCCTCCCTCCCTTTCTCCCTCCTTCCTCCCTTCCTCCATTACTTTCGTTTTCTTTTTGCTTATATTTTTGCTTAGTAACAGAAAATTGAAATCATTTATTTGATTTTCAAATAATAAGCATAGTGCCTTCATTTGACAGCCTTCTTGTTTATCACATGGCTTGACATGAATGCTGCTAAAATCCAGTGATATCCCCAGCTCAGCTGGTCCTTGAGTTGACTTTGACGGATTTGCCAGCCTTGCAGTATGCCAGAATTGTGTAACTAGCATCACCAAAATCTTACAATAGAGCCCATTTGCTGGTACTTTAGTCATGAAAGGATTGGTTGCATTTTTAAATGGCTGATTTGGTTTGTGTTTTTTCCTTCTATTCGTACATTTGCCTTGATTTGACTGTGTGTGTGTAAGTTTTTCAAATCTTAGGTTTAGATTTTGCTACTCTTACAATCAGATTTCATTTAGGAATTTTAAGCCACTTTTATCTCTTATTCAAATCTATTCTTACAGAAAATGATCTTTTTATACCTGAATTCAGTGAGTATTTGGCAGGCAGATTAGCCAAGACCGTCATACTGACTTTATTAGTAAAAGTTGTCATATTCCTCAAAGCTAGCCAGGGAATTAAATTCTATTCATATTAGACAAGGTAGCCACCTGGACCTCCATTTAGAAATAGATGTATCTTTACATAGCATGTACTTCTGCTGTTTCCTACTTTGTTTTTAAACATCAAATGTGAAGATCCTCAATTAAGATTTTGTGACGATAATTATAAAGGCCCAAAGAGTTCTTTAAAATTTGAAGTTATCTGCTATACAATTTTAAATATTCCAGAATTTGTAAACTTCTATTATATTAAACTTTTAAAACATTTTTATAGTTGATGTAACTTTCTTAACCTTTTGGATTACATTTGTGGCATGTTTATGGGATGCCTCAATTAACTTTAATCTGAGTATGCCGTGTGTTTAGATTGTAGCATGATACAAGTCATTGATGCATCACTGTGCCTGATGACAAAAGGGAGTTGCAGCATAGGAATTAAGTTTCTTAAGTCTTCAGTGGAGAACTTCATCTCTTCCATCCCAAATCAAGTAAAGCTATTTCAAATACCTGAACTCATTTTAAATTTCCTTCTATAAGGAATATATAATGTCAATATCTATTAACAAACTGCAAATAAAAATCCCTTAGAGAGCAGACTTTTAAGCTCAGCAGTATCTTTGACCTTGAAGAGCATAGGGAAAAATGAATCTATCGATAGCTGTAAACCTAGTAACAATTTCATTTCTTGAATGTAATCTTTATTCCTGGAATGAGTGATGCATGTTTAGAAAATCATTCATACTGCCAATGCTGTTGCCTACGTTCAGCAGACAAGTAGAAAGGGTTCCAGAAAACTGGCAAAGACACGTTGAAAAATCCTAGTAAATATTTTATTTACACTCTGAGCCAGTGCCAAGGAATTTTTTAAGAAAATACATACAATATCAAGTTTTCATGTATACTCAGATAATAGGATTATACTTGAGCTGTGGAAATCTTTTCCTGGAATTAAATTAAGCAAGAACTAGTTTTGATTGATCCAGATATGACAGTTGCTGAGAAGTTACATGCAGAAAGCCTTGCAGAGGGAGTCAGAAGCTTCAGCCAAGCTGTATCTATCTTGCCATGTCAACCCCAAAAGGAGCAAAGGAATTGAAAAGGGCCTGCAGAAGTATTGGAGTGACTTTATCCTAACAGAATCTGTGCTCCTTCTTTCACCTACATGGCAAGGTTTTCCCCTGCTATCATGAAATCTTCTTGGGTAATTGGAGTACCAAGAGCTAAAAAAGAGTTGAGCAAATCAAACAGCAGATAACCTCTTACAAGCATAGACATTCAGAAATGTCTGAAAAGATACAGGAGGAGTTTGCATCCCTAAAAACACGCATTTTTTTAACATTTAAAAAAGAAAAATCTTAAAGCAATGTAGGATGGAAGAGTACCTGTCAAAAGCTAAGAAATCTGACTTCCTAGTGGTGGTGGGATTTGTCCAAAGCAGTTGCTCTTCCCCAGGCAAGAAATCATCAGCATGACACAGAGTGAGTACCCACAGGCCCTTCTGATACTGGTCATTTGGCCAATTTTGTGGAAGTTGGAGCTCGGCTCTGAGAGCCAATATCAAGACAGCAACCTGGACTCTTGTTCACCACCTTTCCTACAGAAGCTGGAGAAACTGAATTAGAGAGGGAGAGACAATCTGCAGAATCTCATGCACTTGTCCCAAGAAGGGTTACTGAAGACTCTACTGGCTTGGTGGTTCAACATGGAGGTGTTTTGGCCAATGCTTGCAAATTATGATGCTCTATCTAATTGTCTGGTCAACTCTGTGTTCCCTGCCTTGCATTTCAGTTGCTTGACTGACTCCATCTTGAAGAATCTCTTGGGATTTAGTGGTAGGCAGTGGCTCCACAACTTCAAAAAGCTGGGGATGTATGCATGCAGCCTCCCTGAGAAATACCACAAGCGCCTGATTGGAACAATCTGTATCAAATGAAAGAGGAGAATAAAGAACTACTCTGCTTCATGGAAAACTTGAGTCAAAACAATCTGGTCAGAAACTATTTGGCTGGGAGAGCATCTATTTTCTGCTTTCTTTTTCTCTCAGATTGACTGGGGTTTGGGGATTGTAAACATTTTTTTCTTTTTAAATACTATTGGGAATACAGGCATGGAAAATATATTTCTGATGAGTTTCCTCATTCACTTGCAACGGAGCTTTTGATTTTCTGTGGTGCAAATGTGTATATGAGCACACATTCACACACATGGATGCATGTGAGGATTGTTTACAACATTTTTTGGAATTCATATAGATCATGCACTCTAGGCAGAGAAGCAGAATTCGGAGCAGAAATGATTACTGAGACTATGTTCATCTCTACACCACACTAACAGACATGCAACAACAGTTTCCGCTTGAGATAAAGGTCCATAGTGCCTTCCATATGCCTCATCTATAGAGTGAATAGCTGGCAGCTGTGTTACATTAGCTTACGCTAGATTATGCCACTTGAACAAATTGCCCCTCAAGTTGTAGTGGCATAAAACAAGTGTATTTATTGCTTATATTACATGTCAGCAGCTGGTCTGCTGTTTCTCTGTCCCCAGTGTCATCATTCCAATACCTAGGCTGAAGGAATATCTCTTAGCCTCATGGTAAAGGGAAAAGAGCAGGAAAGGTGGTTGGGTTAGGGGATGGCTCTTGAGATGTTTTTCTGAAACTAGCACAGGTCACATCTGTTCACATTTAATTGGCCAAAGTGGGTCATATGGCCAAGCATAACATTAGTGAGGTGGGAAGGGTATGCCTCCTAGTTGCAGGAGAACTGCACATGGCAGCTGGAAAGGGCAGGGCGTCACTGTGGGCATACAAAGAAAAAAAAATGCATAAGTGTGTGTGACTATATAGTATATATATATGTTAATTATATATTTAAGGCTAATTAAAAATTAACAGTAAATATGTGTAACGTATTTGTTTACGTATATGTCATATGTCGTAATATCTATGGTTTCCCCAACCAGGCTGAAAAAGACTGATTAAAAATAACCCTTGAGTGACGAGGAATAAACCTGCTTAGGTTTATTCTCTACTTAGCTGGAGAATTTGCTCGATCTTCTTTTACTCTAATAGGAATTAAGTGACTAGATTTGCTATGAATCCAGCTTCCAGAAGATATTTCAAGGCCTAGGAAACAAGGCTTATGTGTAGAATTGGTGAAGGAATTTTATGTCTCAACACATCTCTCATTCTTGCGTTTGGGAAAGAAGTCCACATAAACAGAGCTGAGAGTCTCTGTCTTGACTGAGTACAGGTAAGCGTGATCACTCTATACGGGTCTTCCAGGTTTCCTCTTCCTATTGCTGTATACTTGCTGACAGTCAGATATTTTATTGCACATCAAGGAAAAGATTGCCTCAAATTATGGATAGATAAAGTGGGTGTTTATAAGTTGATCCACTATTTTGAATATTCAGTGATTAATAATCCCAAATTCATTCCAAATAACCTGTATTTTAGTTCCTCTTAGTAACTTAGAAAATCATGGAAAGAAAATGTTATGAATATTAGGAAAAAATTATATTTGGTATACAATTAAGGTCTTTTACATATCAAAATAACTTAACATATAATTTTAAAAGTGCAAAAAGATATATCCTGATGCCATACCATGGGATGTAAATCAAAGTCTGTTACTACTAAAAATCTGACATTCCTTCCTGTATCTGTCACTAAGGTTATAAAGCCCTCCTGGCAGGATTATGGTGGTAGCGTATGGTTCTATGTAATATTAATGATTGCATCATTGGTATCCATATATAGATGGGATGGATACCCTGGCATTGATTTTAACAAAACTGGCTTAATGTATGGCCAAAGAAATACACCTTCAATAAATACGGACTTCACTAGAGAAATTCTGTCTGAAGACAAAGGAGTCATTCTCCTGAAGTAGTAAAGTTACTAATGAAGCTACCTTAGCCATATAAATTATCCTAAGCCAGCAACCACAAGCCCGTTGAAATGTTAACACCTTTGATATACTTTAATAGTGATAATTTCATCCACTGCAGGCATCTTGTGGTGGCTGAGTCATCCTGCTATGCTGGTACCCGTAGTCTTTTAGAAACAGGGTGCCCACCAAATAGGCCAGTTTAAAGGAAAAGACAAAACACTCTACTCAAGCCTACTTTTTCTTAAATCCCATGACGATCACACTCTTTCTTTTCCTTACTTCTCTTAAGTACTTTTAACGAACATTTAAAAAAGAAGACCTATTTAAATTGGAGCCAGTTTGTCCATAGAAATTCAAGGAGATTTGTAGGAACAACATAAATACATGTGCTCGTATGTAATGATTTCATAAACTTTCCACAATAGAACAGATTCTTTCTAGCCAGCTACATGTCTGATAATAATAAATTTTAATTTGGGCCTCATTTGAATTTTTGGTCATTTAGAAAGGATACCCAATACCTTTCAGTGAGCTATTGAAAAAGTATTTGCTATGCTGAGAAAAACGTAAAACAAAATGTACATACTTAAAATGCTTAGCCAAGAGAACACACTGTTCCCAAGCATGCTAGAAGCACGCTAGACACACCAGCTTAAAAATACAATGAGGTTGTAATGTGAGATGAGGCCTGCAAACCTGGGCAGCAAATTTGCTGTGCTCACTATGTTTCCTGACTTGCCTGAGGTCCTACAGAGCCTTGTCCACAGACTGTCTGTAGCTAAGAGACTACATTAAAGAAACAGCTTGTAAATCTCTTTTAACTCCCATAGACTTCCAGCCTTCTCCACCGTCAGTCTACACTGGTGAGGTCCTATTGAACTCTTTTCTCTTGGCTACCTTGATGTTATAATCTTCCTACAGGGAAATGCAATTGGCAGTATTCAAAAATCAAATATTTAAAAAATAAGCATCATTCTCGAAACAAAGTAAATTTCCCATTTTTTTTACAAATAAGATCATTATATAAGAAAATATTCGCAATGTATTCTTAAGTGAAAAAAGCAGTCAACCAAAGATATTAGCATAGTACTGTTTTGACAGATAACATATATAAAGTTAGGTGTTCATAATGGGGCAAGAGTTGACTTTTTTCATTCATTGTGACTTTCTCTATTAGGAAGTTTTCAACACTGGGCATGTATAATTAAGAAACATGATAATATGTTCATGTGAAAACCCACATCGGCCATGGTTTGTTTCCACGGTGCCTTTGTTCTCATGCCCATGGTAGTGGGTGCCTCCCCAGGTGCTAGCAAGAGCTTCCCTCTGCTGGGTCTGTCTGAGGATAGTGGTCACATCATGCTCAAAGCATGTGTAAGGCAACTGAGGCAAAGCCAGTGACTTTGCCTTAAGTGGAATCGCAGATATATGGCTGAATAGCACGGGTAGCACCACACCAACCACTGAACTTACTGAGTAAAACAGTGAAAATGTTTGCTAGACCAGGCTACCAGTGGAAACACTGGATATCTCCCTTTTCAACCAGTTGATTTCAGCCCCCAAATGACTATTGGTCTCCTTAGACTAACAGGGATGGGGTGCTCTTAAGAATCAGGTCACCTTATGTGGGTGGTGGTGATAGGGCTAGGGAGTGTGCTTGGAGGCAAGAGGCGTCAGCCCTACATAAACCATGTAGAAGAGGCTCCTTGCAGAAAGAGGTTCCGTTATCAGAATACGTAGGGAAGGATGTTGGACAGACAAAAATAGATACCTGCCAGAGAGCAAAATGAAATAATTATTACATAGAATAGTTACAAAAATTACATAGAAATCTTTTCATAATACCAAGCTGAATGGATTGGATTTTCACCAGCAAAGCAGCACAGTAACCTCCGTAGAGATTGGTGGGCCCTTCTGTCCAGGTCCACTCTCTGGTTTCACTCCACACTCAGGTTTTCCATGAGACAGCTACAGTGAGCTGAGGCTTTGCCTTGCAGCCCTGGAGCTGCTACAGGGGTGGGTAAGGGTAGCAAATGGAGAACAAATAAAACTGTCAAAATGTGATTTTAATAGCTCTTAATGCTTTTACATAATATTATGCTGGCTAGCAAGAGAACAATAAAAAAGAGTTTTTCACACTTTTCTCCTCAAATGTCATTTAAATCTCATTAGGTAGATCTTTGTGAAATGATGGCACTGGCAATAATGATTCCTTTTTAGTTCTCCAGTCATTTTGGCCAGTGGAAGGGCCTGGGGAAAAGCATTAGTATTTGGCTGATTGGTATTAGTAGGGGCCATGAAGAATTAATAAAAATTGTAAGACTTTTTTACCCTTCCCCCCTCAATTGGATGGGCAAACTCAGATTTGATAGGGGTTAATTATGCCAGATTATTTTGCTTGTTTTGTCACTAGCTGGTAAATGAGAGTTGGCTTTGTCCTTAAATTGAGGTATCAAGATGTTGGGACTGCAGCTAGGGTGGGGGAATATGAAATGAGGGTGTGTGTTTGAGAGACATTTGGGCAAATAGAATGGCAAGTTGGGTATAGGAAATGATGCTACACGAGGAGTCACCTGCCATGGCTAGGACAGGGCTGCTTCTAATTTATGATATTTACTCATTGCAGTTTTGTTGTCATTTAAGCCTGAGGTCTAAAAGTTTAAGTGCCTGCCCATTAAAGCAAACAAAAAAAATCATCTTATTTGAATGATTGATTTATCTGGGTTCTGGTTAAAATTTGGTTATTCATGTATGTATCTGAATAGGATTTCAGTTCGTTATCCATGTTGCTGTCATAAAAAATGAAATGCAGCTATTATCTGAGGAGCCTTTTAAATAAAATTTCCCTGGCTAGCTTCAGCCCCATTGCACTGTCCAACCAGAATTTTAAGTTCCAAAAGGAGTGTTGTTTTCAAAATTTTTAAATTTTTCATTTTTGTGGGGACATAGTAAGCGTATGTATATATTTATGGGGTACATGAGATATTTTGATACAGGTGTGCAATATGAACTCATTACATCATGGAGAATAGGGTATTCATCCCCTCGGGCATTTATTCTTTGTGTTACAAACAATCCAATTATACTCTTTTAGTTATTTAAAAATGTACAAATAAGTTGTTATTGACTGTAGTTACCCTGTTGTGCTATCAAATAGTAGGTCTTATTCATTCTTTCTAATTTTTTTTTGTACCCATTAATGATCCCCACCTCTCCTCCAGCCCCCACTACCCTCCTCAGCCTCTGGTAACCATCCTTCTAATCTCTATGTCCATGAGTTCAATTATTTTGATTTTTAGATCCCACAAATTAGTGAAAACACGTGATGTTCCAAAGGGAGTTTTCTAGAAGGATTCCTGGCTGCCCACTTCTTCTCCACCATGTTATCCTTTTCATCTTCAGGATCTGAGCTCACCACATTCCCTGGGCTGGAGGGGTGCGAACTCTTTCATAGGTCACTTCCCACTCTCTGTCTTTGAGCTTTCTAGGCTGCAGAGCCCCTGTCTTGTGGGTCTTCCCCATTTGTTCTTCATGGCCTGGCTCTCTGGGACTGTCTTGCTGAACACTACATTTTCATTGTAGTAAAGGTAATAATAAAACAGAAAAAGGCATAGGATTCATGTAATGCCAAGAGAAAATATAATATTCTGTGCTTCTCTCCAAGACTTGCTGACTCATAATTAGGTTTAGAGCATGTCTAGAAATTAGGTGTTTTCTCGTTACTATCCGCTGTATTATATGGGAGCGGGAAGCAAATCTGAGCTTGAAAATCTATTAGGCAGCACTTTATCCATGACTCAGGAGCAACTCACCACATTTTCCACACGTTACAGATGGAATGTATGTTTTCCTATTTCCTCTGAAATACTTGTGTGGTTATCAAAGTAGGAACCTTCAAATACAGACTCTCAACTGGGTACTAAATAGAACTTTTGAGCAATGCAATAATTGCCTTTTGTACCTTCCCAGAGGAAAGCCCAAGTTAGCCCAGGCAGCACAATTCAGCTAAGCTGTGTTTTGAACAGCAGTTGTGGAACTCAGAGACTCCTTTTCTGATAGAAATGCTTTCAATAGCTTTTCTTTCCAGCTTGGTTCCCTGGATGTTTCTGAACCATGTGTCCATGGCAGGAATGGGTACATGGTAGGAACATGCTGGTCACACTTAAGTGGAAAACCCTCACACAAGAGACAAATCTCAAGCTTTTGAAATCATCAGTCCCTGGAGTAACAGTAGATTAGGGGATGACAGAAGAGGCAGGCGTTCCGGGGCAGGAGCCACCACAGGCTCTGTTTCCTTGGATTTAATGACAAAGTTCAATCTAGATTTAACCAGATCTGTGGAACTAGGCGGTAGGGTTTTGCTCTTCCTGGTGATGCCTGAGTAAGATCTGGCCTTTGGTCTATTTTCCTAACATATACCAAATAGCTCTGGCACATCAAACATCTTACTGCACAGACACTGAGCTTTCAATGTTGAGGTACAATCGCAGGCCCAGGGTGATGTTAGTGTAGATCATTTCTGTGCAGTGATCCCAAGAACGCCCTGTACACTCCAGCTTTGGCTATGGGGAAAAATTAGCATCATAGTAAATGGAAATACAATGACCTGACAGGGACCCATCCTAACAGCGGAGGAAAGGGCCTTGGTAAAGACTTGTGATAATAGGCTGTTTAATTTTGTTTGGAGAGACTGGACTTTCAACAGATGAACTTCTTTCCCCTTGGATTCATATTTGTCTAACAGAGTTGTGGTTGGGAAATGATCCAGGATTCACAAGGTCAAAAAGTGACCTGGTTCACATACTGTAGACTCCTCCTATCTCACTCCACAGCTTCCCCAGGCAGGTGGTCCGGTGGGCTGTTGGTGCATCCACACCAAAAATGGTCACCCAAGGGACATATCAACCTCTTGGGCTTGGCCCTCAGAGGTTCTGGCAGGCTCATCAAACTCAAGTCTCAATTCCAAATAATCAACTTTCCTCTTCTATGCCGCACTCTACAGCTTGAAATCATTCCAATGTGCTTGATTAATGAACATTTTGTTATAATGCATGGGGAATTAAGGCTATTAGTGAAATTTTTAAAACAATAATACACTGGATTTTAGCTTTTTTTCATGAGAAAATACATTTTCATAGGCAATCTAGTTGTAGTCTTTCTTAAAGTTATCCCAAGAGTGAAAGAATGAAGGAATGTTGAATAAACATTTTTAGCCTAATCTTTGGAACTTAAAAAAAAAATTCCATTAAAAAAAAAAAGAATTGTAAAGAAGAATGCCCTCTTTTCCCCTAGTGCCCTGGTTCCCTGGTGTATAAATAAGACATTTTTCCCTGCCTGAAATTCAGCCTTTGTCTTCTATGATCTGTGGTTTTGTTATTATCCACATACTTATGGATCTACATTGAAGATTATCTTAGCAGACACATAACAAGGACCTTTGTATTACCCGCTCGTTTTCCACCCACTCCCGGGTAAGCCTACTTATGCAGACTTACCTGGAACAATTTTGCTTTGTAATAACTTGCACAAAGCTCACCAGTGTCTCCATGATTAAGAAGGCAGAGTACTAGGGTGCGGCTGTGGGACTCACAATTTTATCTCTCTTGTGTTTTTCAGAAATTGAGGCAAAAGAAGCATGTGACTGGCTCCGTGCTGCCGGGTTCCCGCAATACGCTCAGTTATATGAGGGTACGTCAGCCCTTCGCTTCGCTCTTACACAGAGAATAAATCCAAAATGAACCACACGTATCCTGTGGTGTGTTTTGACTTCCAGATTTTTTTTTCTCGCCCATTTTGCTTCGCTTTCTTTTTCCCTCGGCCTTTTTGCTATGCCCAGGGGTTATCCTGATACCAATTTAGAAATGAATATCACTTCCCAGGCCCACTTTACTTTCTGCTTCCCACTACTAATTCCCATCTCTTTACCGCAAACCCCAACTCGACGTTTTCCTTCCAGCATTCTGCCATCAGCAGCTTTTCTGCACTTCCTTCTTTTTCTCCTTGTTTTTCCTTTACTACTCTCACTTTTCTTGAAATCACAATGAACTCACTGTTAAAAAACTTCCTAGAAGTCACAAAATTAATTATCCTGAAATTTCTGTTTAATTCTGTTTACTTTATATGAAAAATGTCAAGATATAACATGAATCAGATGTTATTCTTCCGAGTTTTAGGTAAGGTGTCTTATTGCTAGCATTACACTTCCTTTCATTGATTTTTTTTTGGTTTTTTTTTTGTTTTTTTTTGAGATAGAGTCTGGCTCTGCCACCCAGGCTGGAGTGCAGTGGTACAATCTCCACTCGCTGCAACCTCCGCCTCCTGGGTTCAAGCAATTTCCTGCCTCAGCCTCCCAAGTAGTTGAGATTACAGGCGGGCACCACCACACCTGGCCAATTTTTGTATTTTTAGTAGAGACAGGGTTTCACCACGTGGGTCAGGCTGGTCTCGAACTCCTGACCTCAAGTGACTTTCCCACCTCGGCCTCCCTAAGTGCTGAGATTACAGGCGTGAGCCACCACCCAGCCTTTTCATTGATTCTTTAATTGACAGTTAATAGACATACTCATGTCCCTTATATCTAAAGTTATAACCAAAGCTTTTAACTTCTTCTCGGATTGTCCTTATCTAGTAATGAACTAGTCAGGACCCCAACAATGAGCAGGTGGCAGGCTCAAGGCCATTTACAGAGGATTTGTTTCTAACAGTGCTCATTGCAAAGGTGCAGGCAGGACAGGGGGTGGCCACGAGGAACGGTGCACAGTGCAAGAGCCCAGGGCTTGTAGTGGCACAGCTGTCACTACCATGAGCCCAAAGGGACAGGCCAAGGAAGAGAGTGCCAGAGCCCAGGAGGAGAGAGGAGCCTCAAACCAGACCCTAGGAAGGAGCACAGCTGGCAAGAGGCAGCCTTCCATGAAAAAAAATCACAAGTGTCTCCCTCCCTCCCTCACTAGCCGAGCAAGACAGCTTCACTCTGGAACCATCTGTAAGTCACTCACATGATTTTTTTTCACCAGAAGGGGAATTATGTCTGTTTCCAACTCATGCTAAAATTTAGATACCCTTAGATTTATCATGACTGGCAAGGTGTAGACAGCACAAAATACAAGATGAGATAAAGGAAAAAGTGGCAAGTCAATGATAGTGACCCAGCATGGTTACATTTGGCTATGTCCTCTATTCCAATGAGCTGCAGATTGCTACCTCCATGAACGAGGTACCCAGAATTCACACCATGTTCTAAATATTGCCTGTGACCTTCAAAGCTGGCATGAATTGTCTGTTGGAGGGAAGTAGTGTTCGAATTATTCTTTTTGGATAGAATCAATTTGAGTATTTTGCTGATACTCCAGAGTGATAAAGATTTTGCTACTAAAAAAAATTTCAGATGATAGAACTTTGGGTATTTTTGGAAATTTCCTTTTTGAAGGAAAAAAATCTGCCAAATTAAGTATTTCGTGAAACCATCAAGATAGACGCCAGTGACCTACGTGTTAGGTGGATGGTGAAAGCACAAAAGCTCTTCTCTGAGGCCACATCCACCTAAGACTGTAATAAGGATGAGCTAGAAAAATGCAGGCACTTAGTGTTCAATCCTATCCAAGGTCAAGCACTTGACTATCCTCATATTTCGCACTTATATTGTACTCCTAAAAGCATTTACAGTGATAGCAATTTTTTGCTCTCTTAAACATTCCCAACAATGATGATGGGCAGTCACTGCTATTAAAATCAGTGGCTTTTACAGACCTTGAAGGTCTGAATATGTTGGTGCTCATTCAGATAAAACAAAGTACATCAACTTCTTTGTCTTTCTCTCTCAGATTCACAATTTCCCATCAACATTGTGGCTGTCAAGAATGATCATGATTTTCTTGAAAAGGACCTTGTAGAACCTCTTTGCAGGTAAACCATGTGAAGTATTTTTGTTTCTTTCCACTGTTCAGTCTGCAACAGGCATCACTATACTGAAGGGCGAGCTCAGCTATTCGGCAAGTATTCACTGAGTGCCTACCATGTGCCTGACCCAGGTGCAGGTTCTAAATGTACTACTGTTAATGAGCATGATCAGTTTGTGTTTTCATGGAGCTTAAATCCTAGCAGGGGCCTTTGGACACTAGATTAGGAAAATGACAGAGAAAGAAGAGAGAGAGAGTGAGAGTGAGAAAAAGAAAGAAGGAGGGGGAAAGTTTATTTCAGAGAGTATAAATGCTATGGTCAAGCTAAAACAACATGGGGATGTAGACAGTGATTGGGGGTGTGGATGGGTCAGTAGAGGGAAGAAGCATGAGCAGGCTCAGCATGTGTGGTGAGGGAAGGCTCTGAAAAACTACGAGTGTGTCAAACTTGGCTGTATTTTTTGCAAAGTCAAGTGATTATCTCCTCAAACTCGTGTGTATGAACTCAAGTAATTGTAGCACCAAACTGGCCTATTTAAGCTATTAGTTTGTGATAGATAGTGTAAGGAGACAAAGATGTATATATGGATAATTTCTTCCCCTTAAAACAACGTATTATCTTGTTGAAGAAACTCAGTTGAAGAAATGAGGTGTGAATACCTGAGCAAATAACAATTATAATTTGGGTAATAATAAAAGATCCAGGAAAAGCTATATTCCTGAAGAATTAAATGCTGCCTGAGAGGTGGTGTGTCTGTAGGAATTTGAAGTTTCATAATTAAAGCCCTGAAGAGAGGTCAGAGCTGAAGATAAGGATTAGTTATGGGAGATGAGTCATTTTACCAAGGCCATACAGCTAGTTTAGGGCCAAAATGACCTTAAAACCCAGTATTCCTAATGCTAAATCCAATGTTCTTTCTAGTATATTCTGCATTTGACATAAATAAGGTAGTAGTTTAAAGGGAAAGTAATGATTAGCAAAACTTATGAAGACAGGAGCGATCAACGCACATTAAATAGTGTGTAAATTACCTAATCCTAGGCTTGCTGAATCTTCAGACACGTATATACATAATATATTTTTGTGTCACAAACCAGTCACTCTGTGTTTTCTATATGAAGAGAAAATAGGTTTGTGTTAAGAAATGATCTCTGAATGTTCAAGAAAATAATACTATGGGCTTGCTTACATGGGTGGAAGAGCAAAGAACTCCTCAAATCATAAATGACAGGACTAAGTTATTTGGACGAGAAAACAAACAAACTCAAAATGACATTTATGAGAGCTTATGAAGTGAATGGATGATTTGGTTGTGATTCTGTAAAGGTAATGAATTGGAAAGACAGTGTTTCCTCTTCTGCATGTCTAAGGTACACAGCAAGCAGGAGCAGATTCCTCCTCATAAGCATTCACTCCACTCAGAGCCATGTAGCCAGCACTTCGTCCTGAGTTTTATCTCTCAGTTTTAACCACATATTTTTTTGCTAGTTGGCTTTTTTTAATATTTGAAAAATTATATATTATTTTTTCCCATTGAATTTTTGAAATGTTTTCATTAAGTTGAGGTATAACATATATATATGTTATATATATATGTTATATATATATGTTTTATATATGTTATATATATGTTTTATATATATGTTATATATATATATGTTTTATATATATGTTATATATATATGTTTTATATATATATATGTTATATATATATGTTTTATATATATATATATATATTTTTTTTTTTTTTTTTGAGACAGAGTCTTGCTCTGTCGCCCAGGCTGGAGCACAGTGGTGCAATCTCAGTTCACTGCAAGCTTTACCTCCTGGGTTCAAATGATTCTCCTGCCACAGCCTCTAGAGTAGCTGGGACTACAGGCATATGCCACCACACCTGGCTAATTTTGGTATTTTTAGCAGAGATGGGGTTTCACCATGTTGGCCAGGCTGGTCTGAAACTCCTCCTGGCCTCAAGTGATCTGCTCACCTCAGCCTCCCAAAGTGCTGGGATTACAGGTGTGAGCCACCGAGCCCAGCTGAGGTATAACATTATTGATATGGTTTGGCTCTGTGTCCCCACCCAAATCTTATCTTGAATTGTATTCCCATAATTCCCACATGTTATGGGAGGGACCCAGTGAGAGATAATTTGAATCATGAGGGCGGTTTCCTCCATACTGTTCTCATGGTAGTGAATATGTCTCATGAGATCTGATGGTTTTATCAGATCTTTCTGCTTTTGCATCTTCCTCATTTTCTCTTGCCACCACCATGTAAGAAGGGCCTTTTGCCTCCCGCCATGATTCTGAGGCCTCCCCAGCCATGTGGAACTGTAAGTCCAATTAAACCTCTTTTTCTTCCCAGTCTTGGGTATGTCTTTATCAGCAGTGTGAAAATGGACTAATACAATAAATTGGTACCGAGAGTGGGGTGTTTCTGAAAAGATACCTGAAAATGTGGAAACAACTTTGGAACTGGGTATCAGGCAGAAGTTGAAAGAGTGTGGAAGGCTCAGAAGAAGACAGGAAAATGTGGGAAAGTTTGGAACCTCCTAGAAACTTGTTGATTGGCTTTGAAAAAAAAAAATGCTGATAGTGATATGAATAATAAAGTCCAGGTTGAGGTTGTCTCAGATGGACATGAGGAACTTCTTGGGAACAGGAGCAAAGGTGACTCTTGTTATGTTTTAGCAAAGAGACTGGTGGCATTTTGCCCCTGCCCTTGAAAGGATGATTTAGGGTATCTGGCAGAAGAAATTTCTAAGCAGCAAACAGAGCATTCAAGAGGTGACTTGGGTGCTGTTAAAGGCATTCCATTTTAAAAAGGAAACAGAGCATAAAAGTTCAGAAAATTTGCAGCCTGACGATGCAGTAGAAAAGAAAAACACATTTTCTGAGGAGAAATTCAAGCTGGCTGAAGAAATTTGCATAAGTGTCAAGGAGCCAAATGGTAATCCCCAAGACAATGGGGAAAATGTCTCCAGGACATGTCATAGGTCTTCACAGCAGTCCCTCCTATCATAGACCTGGAAGTCTAGGAGGAAAAACTGGTTTCATGGGCCAGGCCCAGGGTCCTTATCTGTTTGCAGCCTAGGCACTTGGTGCCCTGTGTCGTAGGCAGAAGGGGCTTGCCTTGTCTCATATGAGACTTTGGACTATGGACTTTTGGGTTAATGCTGAAATGAGTTAAGACTTTGGGGGACTGTTGGGAAGGCATGACTGGTTTTGAAATGTGAGGACATGAGATTTGGAGGAGCAAGAGGTGGAATGATATGGTTTGGCTGTGTCCCCACCCAAATCTCATCTTGAATTGTATTCCCATAATTGCCACATGTTATAGGAGGGACCCGGTGGGAGATAATTTGAATCATGGGGGGCAGTTTCCCCCATACTGTTCTTGTGGTAGTGTATAAGTCTCACAAGATCTGAAGGTTTTATCAGGGGTTTCCGCTTTTGCATCTTCCTCATTTTCTCTTGTCACCACCATGTAAGAAGGGCCTTTATCCTCCCACCATGATCCTGAGGCCTTCCCACACATGTGGAACTGGACTACGTCCAATTAAACCTCTTTTTCTTCCCAGTCTCGGGTATGTCTTTATCAGCAGTGTGAAAATGGACTAATACATATATATATAAAGTAAAATTGACTATTTTCAGTGAATAGGTCTTTGAGCTTTGACAAATGCCTCCAAGTTGTTATAACCACCACCACACTCAACATATAGAGCAGACCAGGTGTTGTGGCTCATGCCTGTAATCCCAGCACTTTGGGAGGCTGAGGTGGGTGGATGTCTTGGGCCCAGGAGTTTGAGACCAGCCTGGGCAACACAGTGAGACACCATTCCTACCAAAAATACAAAAATTAGCTGGGCATGGTGGCACACATCTGTAGTTCCAGCTACTTGGGAAGCTGAGATGGGAGGATCACTTGAGCCCAAGAGGCAGAGGTTGCAGTGAGCCAAGGTTGTGCCACTGCACTCCAGCCTAGGTAATAGAGCAGGACTCTGTCTCAAAAAAAAAAAAAGATATAAAACAGTTTCCTCACTCCCAAAATTTCCCTATTCCTCTTGTTAGCAGCTTCTACTCCTACTCCCAAACTCTAGCAAACCACTGATTTGTTTTTTGTACCTATAGTTTTGCTAAAATATCATACAAATGAAATCAAACAGCATGTAGCCTTTTTAGTATGGCTTCTTTCACTTGTTATAAAATAATAAAAATTCATTTATGTTGCTATGTGTTTTAATAGTTCATTGCTTTCTATTTCTGAATAGTCTTGCATTGTATGGATGTCCTACGGTTGTTTATCCATTAGCCAGTTGAAGAACATTTGGTTGTTGCCAGTTTGGGTGATTATAAACCCACTCTAAACATTCATATTCAAGTTTTTGTATGAGCATTTAAGTTTTCATTTCTTTGATGTAAAATCCTAGGAATGGGATCGTGGGCTCTATATGATAAGTTTATTTTAACTTTATAATTAACCACCAAATTTTTCCAAAGTGAAATATTATCTTGTACTGCCATTGACAATGTATGAGAGTCCTTACTGCTCCACATCTTTGTTAGTACTTAGTATTGTCAGTTTTTGTTTTGCTTTTAGACATTTTAATAGATGTCTGGTATTAACTCATTTGCACTTTCTTAATGACTAATAATGTTGAATATGTGCTTATTTACCATCCATACGTCTTCTTTTATAAAATATCTATTCAACTCTTTTGACCATTTTTAACTGTATTGTTTTTCTTATTGTTGAGTTTTGAGAGTTTGGATATGTCCTAGATATGAGTCCTTTGTCAGAAATGTGTTTTGTAAATATTTTCTGCCAGGCTGTAGCTTGCATTTTCAGTCTCTTAACAGTGTCTTTCACAGAACAAAAGTTTTTAATTTTTCTGAAGTCCAGTTTTACCTATTTTTATTTATGCTTTTAATGTCATATCTAAGAAATATTTGCCTAACATAGGGTCACAACTATTTACCCTATGTTTTCTTCTGGAAGTTTCATAGGTTTGTGTTTTATATTTAGACCTATGATCCATTTTTAGTTCATTTTTATAGAAAGAACAAGGTGTGAGTCAAGATTTACTTTTTGTATATCAATGTCCAATCATTTCAGATCAATATTGAAAAGACTATACTGTCTTTACTGAATTACCTTTGACCATGTATGTATAAGTCTATTTCTAGACTCTCTATTCTGCCCCCATTTATCTATGTGTCTGTTCTTTCATCAATGTGACACTGTCTTGATTACTTAGGTAAGTCCTGGAATGCAATATTCTGAGTTCTTTAACTTTGTTCTTCTTTGTCTGCTTTGGCTATTCTAGTGCCTCTGACTTTCCATATACATTTTACAAACAGTTTATTGATATTTATTTTAAAAATCCTAAAGGAGTTTTGATTTGGATTTGTGGAATCTCTGTATCAGTTTGTTCAGAATTGATATCTCAACAATATTTAGTCTTTGTGTTAATAAACACAGTATATGTCTCTATTTAGGTCTCCTTTGATTTTTTCAAGAGTGCTTGTAGTTTTAAGCATATGAGTGGTTCACATTGATAGTATCTAAGAATTTCATGTTTGTGGTGTTACTGTAAATGACACAGTGTTTTAATGTTTGTCTTCAGTTGCCCATTGCTAGTATACAAATTTGTATATTGTCTTTGTATCCTGCAATCTTTCTAAAACTCACTCATGAGTTCTAGTAGCTTTGTAGTAGTTTCCTGAAGATTTTAAGTCTAAAATGTTAAGGAAAAAATACATTTTAAACCAAGAATAAAAATTCTATTGCATATTTTAAAATCAGGATTGCAAGGACAAAGATTGTCTCTGATTATGCAGTTCTATTTACAGGATGATATAGGTGGCTTAGCGGGCCAAGCTTTGACTCTCAAACATGTGGGTGTTGAATCCTTATCCACTTGCTGCTGCATGTGATCTGAGATGCCTTGACTACGTTATGGGCTTTTCCATCAAAGTCTATGCTTTAACAACAGAAAGCATCTTCCAGACATATCATAGGGATGAGCAAGTACAATTCATGTGAAATCATTCAGAGATATAAAGTTCAGGATAATAATACTAGTGTCGTCCAGAAAAATCAGGAAGTCTTCTCTTGTAGAGCACATGACCTGTCATGATATAGCCCGTAGCAGGATTCGTCCATACATACCCCCAAAGGCATTACCACATCACCGTGGAATAAGGCTGCAATACTAGACACCACAGTGCTCCTGATAAGGGCCCGGCTTGTATAAAAATGGTTAGAGTGGCAGGAAGTTGTTATAACTGGAATAATTCTTATGGCAGCTATGTCTCCAAAAATATTACGAAGCAAGAAAAACATTTGGCTGGAGGTGTGCGAACTGAGATTCTCAGGGCGTAGGAGCTGTGTGTAGAACAGAGGCCAAAGGAGTAGTCATACCCGGGGTGGATCAAAGGAAGAAGCAGAGGAGGTAGACAGATGGAGGTGGCTTGGCTACAAAGAAGTGTGGAGTTTCTTTCCCTTCCTCTTGAGATCCACCAAGACACAGATTTCCAGCTTTGCAAAAGCAGAAAGCAGGCAGAAGGAAGATCTCCAGTCCGCGGGGAACGGCAGCACTTTTAAAACTTTGAGATTGATGAGTGGTTAATTAGACCCTCAGCCACTCCTATGGTAAGTCATGATGGATGCCAAGACAGCAGTAAGGGGTTGTGATTTTCTTTGTTTTCTTCCTTGTGCACCAAAGACACAGAGATGGAGCTGGTCTCTTGTTTTATTTTTAAAGCTTTGTGGGCTCTACATTTCATGTATGTATTTGAAATGCTGAGCTAGTGCAGATCATAAACCGAATCACAGCCGGAGGGCAGGCAGCTTCTGCCAGGTAGGCAGATGAAGATGGGAGAGTCAAAGAGCTCCCGCAAGTGTTAGCCATGACAAGAATTCCACTCACCTTTGGTATTCTGCAAGCATCTCTCCTGAGTAGATAGATAGTGAATGCCCTAGGTCCCAATTTACTCTTGAGTTGTTAAGCAGTGTTACCTTTTTTGATTGGTTTGGAAATATGTATTGTACTAAGGATATGTCTGGCAGGGAGGACCAAGGCCTGGCTCTGAGGCTCTGAATATGTAAATGTGTAGCTTTCTCTTGCTCTCTCTCTCTCTCTCTCTTTCTCTCTAGCTCTCATTTTAGGCCCCAGAAACTAGACACATTTGCTGTCTTTGCAGAAGGTGTGACCTCCAGAATGACAACCATGTCTCTCTGTTGCTTCAGCAAGGCTGCATAGTAGACACTCCATAAATGTTTGTCCCTGCAAGTCAGGAAAGTGCACTTTTTATTAATGTAACAACCACAATTGTAATTGTATTCTGATGTTTTTTATTGAATTCTTAATTGAAAATTATTTTCTCCTGTAAGTCATGAGAAGCTACTTGGAAATCTAAGTACCTAGGTGAGCTCATTGAAACTGTAACTTTATCAGAATGTAGGGATAGCCAAGGTGTTAAAATAGTTTACAGAGTTTGTAACCTTTAGGACAAATTGCAGTAAACCAAAGCTCCTGAATGAACTATTTTGAAGGAGAAGTACTATGTTAAATTTGCATTTTGGTTTGCAGTATTTGCTCAGGCTGCTGACATACAGCCCCGATGCTCAAGATGATCTCTGAATTTCTTTCTTTGTTTGTTTGTTTTTAGGCAGAGTCTCACTCTGTCACCCAGGCTGGAGTGCAGTGGTGCAATCTCAGCTCACTACAACCTCCACCTCACAAGTTCAAGCAATTCTACTGCCTCAGCCTCCCAACTATCTGGGATTACAGGCACCAACCACCACGCCCAGCTACATTTTTTGTATTTTTATTAGCGATGGGGTTTCTCCATGTTGGCCAGGCTGGTTTCAAACTCGTGACCTCAAGTGATTCACCCAACTCGGCCTCACAAAATGCTAGGATTACAGGCGTGAGCAACCATGCCTGGCCATCTCTGAATTTCCAATTTAATGTTAGGCCAGTAAGCCATTTGCATAATTTGTGTTTTTTAATAAATACTAATTAATTATAGCACATGCAAAACAAGGGCATTCACCTTGTTTGATAGAGCTAAGGAATCGGTTAGGATTATACAGTATACGTATCATTGCCCTTAGTATTTAAAAGGATAATAAATAATGATTTTCACATGGGGCAGGGGTGGGGATTGGAAGGTAGTGTTGACAAAAATGGTATCTACAATTTATCTACACATACAAAGGCCCATACTTGATTCGAGTATGTTGAATAACATTAATAATATTAAATAATTAAAGTCTTTATGAATATTGATATTTTAAATATTTTTCCTTTTAGAATATTTATCACAGAAAATGTACAGTATTACATTTCAAATTATTATGTCCTATAATAAATAATAAGTGACAATTAACTGATTTCTTGGGCAAGTCATTGGGAGAAGGATATGAGGGTTACATGATCACCACAGTCACTTCCACCTTTAAAATCTTGAGTCTATAAATAAATACAGATCCCAATAAATCATTATTTTATTTCTTTAAAACACTTACAAAGTGCTTATTATATACCAGGCACTGCATTTAAGTATATTGCAAATATTTACTCATTAAATTCTCATGGTAACACTGTAAGATAGGCTCCTGTCTGTTTTAAGCTCTTCAGCATTCTTGACTGTAAAGATGGGCTGTTAACATCATTCCCCCTTTACAGAGGAGGAAACTGAGAAACAGAGGGGTAAAAGAATGTGCCCACTAACAGCTAATAAATGGTAGTAGGAATTACCCAGACAAGAACACATGACATTTGGATGGGCTTGTTTGAACTTTTAGTTTTTTTAAAAAAACTAAATTAATGTGCAGAAAAGCCATCTTCCCCCTTCCCCACCCCACTCTATGAACCCCACTGCAATCTTAGTGTTGCCAGTGGAGCCATTTCAGGTTCTTGTCTTTGCCACACAAAAGAATTTGAAAGCAAGACCAAAGTGAAAATGTAGCAGATTTATTGTAGAGCAAAAGCAAGAACACACTCAAGAGAGGAACAGGGACACGCTCAAAAGAAGGAGCCGTGCCCAACATGGCCAGGGCTCACGAACTAGATGAATAGGTATAATGAAGGCTTGGAATATTCTATACTAAGGGAATGGGTTTTCCAGGAAATTGATGGGCAGTTTTCGGAATTGGAATGCCACCCTTTTATTGACTAAGTATTGTTAATCCAGAACCGCCATGGCGTTAGCTGCGTGATAGGAGTGGGATGCCCTTACCCATGGAAATTTTATGGTAATGGGGGCGTAATGCAGCCAAGGTTTGGCAGTCATTCATTTGCATAATTTGTGTTTTTAAATATATACTAATTAACTGTAGCATGTATATCTTGCATTTACCCTGTTGTGGCCAGTTTCTTCTTTGTTACATTCTTATCTGTGCCTAAAGCAGGATGGCTGCTGCCTGTCTTTATTGGTACAGCCTGTTGTAACCATTCCTTTCCACTAGGAAGTGGGTTCTTGCACTAACCTGTTTGGCCCTATTTGTATTGCTTTTAGCTTCCTGCAAGTAATCATGTCTGTTCTCTGGCTAGCTGTCTGCCTCACTAGTCTATAGAGTTTGGGGACAGGCTTGAGGTATAGTCAGGAACAGACATAATAGGTTCAAAGATAGGGGATTTTGCTAGTATATATTATTTTGTATAAAAAATGATTTTATATATATTTTTAATGGCCTCTTTTGTGATCTTTTTCAACCAGGTACTCAGGATGACTTTTATATGCCTAAGCTTTCAGGAAGAATGTGTAAGAAGATACAAAATCAGGGAGGAGATTGAGGGGAAGAGAGAGACTTTATATTCTTGTTATTCACTTCTCTATGTATATTTCAGGTGTTTGTATTGCATTATTAAAAACATTAGCAATGTTTTAAAAAATGCCTTGCCTTGCAGATGCTAATGGCTAACATTTAGTGAGTGTTCATTATGCATGAAGTTGTGTGCTAAGCTCTTTACATTGATCTCACTTAATTTTCATAACAGCCTATGAATAACAGGTGTTGTTCAGAATTGAGGGTGAGCTGAGTCCTCCTGGTTTGAGCAGCTGGGTGGCAGAGATACCCTTCCCTGAGGTGGGGAACAACCATGAAGGAGGAGCGAGTCAGGAGGGAAGATAGGGTGGGCTGAGGTGTTGGGTGGGTGAGGTGCCAATGTCCAGTGTTCAGTAGGGTGCCCGGCCCGGAGCTGGGGATGGAGATGTGAAGTCACCAGCATGTGAGGAGGAAGGCCCTGAGAGTGCATGAGGTCACTCAGGGACAGCTGGGACAGTGAGGAGAGGACTAAGAGTGGATGCCGGGGAATCCTCTCTACGGGCAGGCAGGGGAAGGGGAAGGAAAGAAGCCCCAAGTGAAAAGAAGCCCCAAGGAAAGAAGCCCCAGGGGAAGGGGAAGGAAAGAAGCCTCAGTGTGAGTGAGGGGTGGGCTCCTGAGCAGCCGGTTCCCGCGCGGCTGCTTTGCTCAGCCTTCAGTTCTTGACCCTCTCTCAGAAATCGCTAGTCATGACCCTCACTTGAAGCTGGACCAGTTCTCACTAGAAAAATTATCTGGATCTGATGCAATTATTGTAAACAGTTACAATAAAAAGCTAAGGACACCCCACTCAATTTTCCAATACAAGCACATGTGAATATAAAATTGGTCTGAAATTCCACAAACTAAAGAGGTCCAAGAAAACCTGGACTTTTTTTTTGTTTTAAGTTCTTTCCCCCGGGCCACTTTGGCCATCACTTTTTATTGAATAGCCAAGAGAGCCTATGTTCTTCCTTGAAGTCCTGATGATTAAAGCACATAGCTTATTTACATTTATTTTCTTGCACAAGCTAAATGAAATTCACACAGTTCCACATAGATATCGTGTCCCTGGACAGCATACATATACTTAATTTTCTTTGTATAGCTAGAGCCCTCAATGTTTAACTGCTTTTCTTCCACACCTCAACTAATGTCCAGGGGCAGTTCTTTTGGGGTTTATGGACTGGAACAGAGGTCAGTATTCCTGCTGCAGCCTGACCACTCGGCAGAACATCAGAGGGAAAAGCTGAACAGAGGTGTGGCCTTCCCTGGCTGCGTAGTGGCACGGTGACACCACCTGCTGACTTCTGACTTCTGACTGTCCTCTTTCTTTTTCCTGCCCCCTGCCCCCAGTGCGCCCGACACCCTCCCTGTGGATGGCCTGTGATTGTTGAAAGGCCCCACCCTCATGGAGTTACATACCAGAATTGTCTCTTTGGCATTAGTATATCCATCTCTGCTCTCCAGAATCTGCATTTTCCAACAGTCCGCCAGCATGGAGACCTTTCCCATGCCCTGCAGCTACAGCCCGAGGAGGAGGAGCTGCTCCCTGACTTGCCTTTGATCCCTAGGTTAAGAACACATCCTCAGTGACTTAGGTTCCTGAATGTCTTGGAGGGCCCCACCCGGAACACTCCCCAGCAGGCCGGGCTAGGACATACATAGGAGCCTGGGTGAGAAGTTCAGGCTGCTAGGCTTTAATCAGAATTGTCTGTAAGAGTTGAACTCATCATGCCCCTGGTTGTTATTTCTCTCAAGCCTTTGGCAGGAATATTAGAAGTATCACAGGAAACTGGTCATTAAATCAACACGAGAGACTTCATGACCAGTCTAAAGTCTGGCAGTTTAGATGTCAAATGGGAATCTAAACTACAAAGAAGGAGAGAGTCCTATTGTTTTCCTATACATCTGTAGGCAGAGGGCCGCTGGGTGTCTCTCCAGGCTTCTGTTTCAGCTTGAGTCAAACGCCCCTGCTGGTCTGGGCCCGGGCACCTCCCAGCCACCCTGCAATACTCAGGGCACACAGGCTGCTTAACATCCCTCCCGGCACACAGTCGCCCAGCGTTTCTCTGGTCCTTCTTCCTGGTCCCTCCGTTCCTGCACTCCTGGCCATCCTCCCAGGCCCTGGGCATCCCTCTCTGGCTCTTTTCCTGTGTGCCCAGGCAGTCTGTGCACAGCTCGATTTTCTGCTGACGACCGCCTTACTTCCATTAGGGTCTGCTGACCATGCAAGGGACTTTCTACCAATTTCCAAGTGCTCAACAGTGGGGATGGCATCTTAGTCAGTGGTATATCGTGGGTGCTTGGTGTCACATGGCCTTGTACTGAGCAGGACTTCCATAAACATTTGTTAAATTGAACTGGAACCTGGAAGAAAACAGCCTGTCAGTTCTCAAATTACTTGATGGCATCTTCATGTTAGAGAAGACTATGTGGTGATAAATTCTTCACTTTCTCCTCAAAATAACCTAAATCACCCTCCTTCTTAGCTAGACATTTTAAAAGAATGTCCATGCCTTTCCTAATACTGCCCTCATGAACTGCTCAATCCAAAAAGTGTTTTTAGGCTTTATCACTTACTCTTTCTTAAAGATTTGATACAGCCACCCAATTACTCCCTCCTTTTTTTAATGCTCATTCTGTTATAGGCCACGGGCTCTTCGGCTCCCCATGTAATACGGGAATTAACGCGGGACCAGGCACATTTCCCAGACTAGGCTTTTATTTCAAGGCTTGTGCTTGAGCACAAGGGAGACAGCAGAGGCCCAAGGATCCTCCAGCTAGTTTCCCAAAAAGAGCTGGGAGGGATTTTTTTTATTAGGCAGAGAATTGACATCGGAGGAGGTATGTGGGCTGGGCTGGGCAAAGCCCATGGTGGGTAGGGGATGAGTAGGTCACGATGGTTATCTTGAGTAATGGGCCACCTTGAGGTCTGGCTGGAGGCAACAAGGCTGTACATTAGTTGTTCCTCATTCCTTTCTGAGGTGGGACACTGCAAACTTGGTTCAGTGTTTGGTTTCCTAAGGCCAGTTCCTGGAGTTCTTTAAGTAAAAGACAGGGTAAAACTTTATAAGAGCACAGAAGAATGGCTATTTTTTTTTTTTTTTGTATGACTGAAGCCTCGGGGTTAGCAGGTATAGTGTCAGCAAAGTAGTAGCATGGGTTTTGAGAAGAGAAGAAGAAAAAAAATGAAAAAAACATGTGAAGGAGGAGCCTCTCACCACTCCCATTCTATCTCAATTCCAGGGTCCTAGGACACCATCTTCAGCTAGTTGTTGTCGACTCCTACATCTCTGACTGCACCTTCCCTGAACCTGGCTCCCTTCCTTGGCCCATGCCTTAACCACTGTAATTCTCCAGAGTTCTGGATTTCCCCTGGATGATTGACTTTAATTATTATGTATCTTCTGTGTATATCATCCATATGTGGACCATTCCCAAGTGGGTCTGAATGTGACAGGGCCCCTAAAATTTAACATATCCAAACATGAGCATGATCATGATCTCCCCCATATCTTAGCTCCCTGTCAACTTCCCTATTTCCCTGTTTCCTCTGTGTTTAACGGCATGTTCAGCAAAGTCTGAAATCTGGGAGTCATCCTCTGTTTCTGCCTCTCTGCAGCTTCCACATCAACCAATGGCCGAGTCTCTGTCTTCACGCAGACATCCCACTCTCACTCCCCTTTTGCATCTCTCTGCCATCTCTCCCCTGGACTATTAGAACCATGTTATAATTGTTTCTCTTTAGTTCCTTCTCTATCCTGCTGCCAGTTACATTTCTAAAATGCAAATCTATGTTACGCTCCTGTCTAAATCCTTCAGTAGCTCCTCATTGTACCAGATTGCTCCTAACATCTTCATTTGAATCCTTTGTGATCTAGCCCCTGCCTGCTTGTCCAGGCTTATCCCTCAATATGGTTTGAATGTCTGTCCCCTCCAAATCTCACATTGGAATTCAATTCCCAGTGTTGGAGTTGGGGCCTGGTGGGAGGTGTTGGCTCATGGAGGCAGATCCCTCATGAAAGGTTTAGTGTCATCTTCCTGATGTTGAATTCTCCCTCAGTTAGTTCACGTGAGATCTAGTTATTTAAAAGAGCCTGGAACCTTCCCCTTTTCTATCTCTCCCTCCTGCTTTCACCGTGTGGTATGCACACCCTCTCTTCACCTTCTGCTGTCATGGTAAGATTCCTGAGGCCTTACCAGAAGCAGAGGCCAACACCATGCTCCTTGTACAGCCTGCAGAGCCATGAACCAAATTAAACTTCTTTTCCTTATAAATCAACCCAGTCTCAGGTATTCCTTAATAGCAATGAAAACAGACTAACACCCCTTTTCATATATTTGCAATTCCTGGATTATACCCTGCTATTTTGTGCCTATTTTTTTTTCCTGTAATTCTCCTTGCCTAGACAGCAAATTTCTCTTAATCCATCATAGGTATGCTCAAATATTACCTCCTCTGGGAGGCGTTGTCCCTATGCTCTCAGAAAGTGAGTAGCTTCTTCTCTTTTTAATCATGTTTCTATCCCACATGGGACCATGAGATTCTCAAGGGCAGGGACCATATCTTTTTAAATACTGTATTCCCAGCACCTAACTTATTCCTGGTACACAGCGCACTGTCGGATGAACGAATCTTGGCTTCTTCTCTTCTTGTTGACTTTCCCATTAGAACCTCAAGTTTCACTCTTAAAATGAGACTACTATTTCACATTTGCTAGCGTATTAGCCCTTCTCAAGGATTCTGAAGACAACAGTAAAAATTAACAGGTTGTGGCAGCAGTATCATTATCTTCTGAAAGGGTCAAACTGCTGTGTTTAGGTTAACACATGAATTCAGTTTGCTCAAAACATGAAGAGGACAGGCTTCATCATGTGCCATGGGTTTTCTCTTCCCATGGAGAAAGTAGAGAGGGTATGGAAACAAGTGTTTATTGAATAGCCTGTGCTGGGTACATGACATAAGCTCTCATTTCCCAGGCCTTCCTAAAATTTTTCTTAAGTAGACAGGAGCAGATAAATCACATGGCAGAAAGAAGTTCTAGCTTGGCTGCTCACTAATGTGTGGCTGCCTTGAGCATATGGTCCCCTCAGAGACTTTATCTTCTCATCTGAAAATAAAAGCATCAGTCCAAGTGGTCCCTAGTGTTGTCCAGGATCTAATGTTTCCTTAGCAAACATTATCTGAATGGATTGGCTCTGAGCCAGGGCCTGTACTAGGCATGAAGAATGCAAATAAGATGCAACTCATAGCCTGTCATACTCAGTGGTGGAGAATAATTCTGCTATCCTGACTATACAAGGTCTATTGTAACTACTTAAAGTCAATCACTGATTGGACCTATATGAACAAAGCATGCTCAGTTCAAAAAGAAAAGCCTACCGAGCCTATCATGTATAAAACTTCCTTCTAGGATTTATGGGGATTAGAAGAAGAATAAATTATGGTCCCTGTCTGAATCAAGGCTCCAATCCAATGGAGGACACACTATTCATGCTGCAAATACATTCTATAATTGAAATTTTCATCCATGCAGGAACAGTTTTCCAAGGAACCAGTATTAGACCAACTCAGATTATCTGAAGGATTTTATATTACTTATGATTAAGTTAAAGGGAAGCAGATACTGGGGCTAAATATTTGTCCTAAATGCAGATTGGCTTCACTCACACGAGAATTTTGCAGTGGTTTTGATAAAGTGTGATGAATACTTCCACTGTGACATATTCTTTTACTTGAGGCAGTCAGATCTTAAAGAGGCGTTTACATCTGTCAGGGATATGTTTCATCCAATTTGTATTCTTACAGAATCTAGCCATTGTTTATTTTACCTTGTGTAAGCTAAATCACAGGCCAATGCTATACCGTGATGGGAATATGTACCTAGTTTCAGACAACCATAGACTATTTTCCCCTTTGGCTTATGGCAAGATTCAGAAGGAAGATTTGGATGGTTGTTTGAAATCTACCTAAAATGTCTAAGATGTCTTCAGTGATGATGACTTTGTTAGTAGGAATGGCAACTAATGAGCAAGTAAACCAAGAACAGAAGACACATAGATAATTTTACATCAGTAATTTCAAAGTCCAAAAAATGAAATTGTTTTAAATGAATAAAAAAAGACTTCATTTTTAAAAATTGACTTTGTTTCTTAGAGAATTTTTAGGTTCACAACAAAACTGAGCAGAAACTACAGAGAGTTTTCATATATAGCCTGTTCCCACACAGGCACAGCCCCCCGCCCACTCACTATCAACATCCCCCACCAGACTGGTACATTTTCTAGAATCAATGAACCTACATTGACATATCATTATCACCCAAATTCTCCATAGTGTACATTAGGGTTCACACTTGGTGTTATATATTCTGTGGGTTTTGGCAAATGCATCCACCATTATAGTATCATAGAGAGTAGCTGCATTGCCCTAAAAATCCTCTGTGTTCCACCTTTCCACTCCTCCTCTCCCCAACCCCTGGCAACCACTGATCTTTTCACTATCTCCACAGTTTTGCCTCTTTTAGAATGCTATATAGTTGGATCATAGAGGATATAGCCTTCTCATACTGGCTTCTTTCACTTAGTAACATGCACTTAAGTTTCTTCTATGTCTTTTCATGGCTTGATAGCTCACCTCTTTTTACTGGTGAATAACATTCTATTGCCCACATGGACCACAGTTTATCCATTCACCTGACATATCAGTTGTTTTCAAGTTTTGAAAATTATGAAAAAGCTACTATAAATACCTACGTGCAGGTTTGCATGTGGATGTAAGTTTTCCATTCATTTGAGTAAATGCCTAGAAGTGCAATTTCTCGAGTATATGATAAAAGTGTATTTGGCAGTAAGAAGCTGCCCACTGTCTTCCAATGTGGCCATACCATTTTTCATTCCCACCAGCAATGAATGAGAGTTTCTGTTGCTCCACATTCCCACCAGCATTTAGTGTTGTCAGTGTTTTAGATTTTTACCTTAGATATGTGGTTGTATCTCATGGATGTTTTAGTTTGCAATTCCCTAATGACATGTGATGTTGAGTGCCTTTTTAAAGGCTTGTTTACCATATATTCATCTCCTTTAGTGAGTTGTCTGTTCAGATGTTTTGCCCTCTTTTTAACTGGGCTGTTTGTTTCCTTATTGTTGAGTTTTAAGGGTTCTTTATATATTTTAGCTAATAGTCCTTTAACAGAGATATCTTTTGCAAATATGCTCTCTCTGTATATAGCTTGTCTTCTCTTTCTCTTGAAAGTTTTTTTCTCTGAAAGAACTAAGTAGAAGTATTGAATTTTAATGAAGTCTGGTTTATCAGTTATTTCTTTCATGGACCAGGCCTGTGGTGTTGAATCTAAAAGGTCATCACTTTATTCAAAGTCATGTAGATTTTCTCCTATGTTATCTTTTTGGAGTTGTATAGCTTTGTGTTTACACTTAGGTCTATGATTCATTTTGAATTAATTTTTGTGATGATATAAGGTCTGTGTCTAGACTAAATTTTTTTTGCATTTGAATATCCACTTGTTGCAACAGCATTTGTGGAAAGACTACCTTTTATCCATCGTATTGCCTTTGCTCCTTTATAAACGTAAGTTGACTCTCTTTGTGCGAGTCTGTTTTGGGTTCCTCATTCTGCTCCATTTATCTCTTTGTCTATTCTTTCACCAGTACCATACTATCATGATTACTATGGCTTCATAGGAAGTCTTGAATTTGGATAGTGTCAGTCCTCCAGTTTTGCCCCTTCATTATTGTGTTGGTTATTCTGAGTCTTTTGCTCCTTCATATAAACTTTAGAATCAATTTGCTGATATCCACTGTTTTGGTTTTTTGTTTGTTTGTTTGTTTGTTTAAAACTGGACATTTTAAATATTGTAATATGGCACCTCTTGAAATCAGATCTTCTCTTCCCAGGGTGGTCATTGTTGCTATCTGTTTAATGAATATCTGGAACTAATTCTCTAAAGTCTGTATCCCTTGTTGTATCCACTGAAGTATCTACTCAGTTAATTTAGTAATCAGCAAATGATTGGACAGAGATTTTCTTAGATACCTTCAACCAATCCCTCAGTCTTTGCTGAGCGGCTCTTTGTGCATGTTACAATATGGCTTCAGCACTGCAGCAGGGAATTGATAACTCTGCCTTAGCCTTGATTTCCTGCTTGTGCAGATCATCAAGGTCAGCTAAAGGTGGAAGATTAGGGCCAGCTCAGGTCTTTCCTGGGTATACACACAGTTCTGCACATGTACTTGGCCTTCTAGATTCCTAGGAATACATTGGAACTTTTCTAAGTCCCCTATGGACATCTCATTCTCCCAGATATTCTTTTTAAGCTTTTTGGTTAGCATCTTGTTTGGCTCAACTGTTATTACCATTTCAGGCAACTGCCATGTTGACTAATTACTACTGACTGTCTTTGACAAACACCCTGGGTATAAGCTAGTTTCAGTAATGATTTGAGTCAGGTTAAATAAAGACAAGCGCTGTGAACTGGGGGTTTTCAGGGAATTCCCAGACAGCTCAGATAATGACAATTCTTTGGTAACGGAGTTTTGGGGAAGCTCAAACATGTTCTTCCCTCTCCAGTGGATGCAAGGCTACTAGTTTTCACAGCTACTCTGACGGTGATGCTGTTGATTTTCAAAGCTCCTGAAAAGCTGGGGAAAAGGGCATAGGAATAGGGTGGGTTTGAATGTCACAAAGCTCACTGTCCTTACATATGTTTAACCATTTTTCTTAAATAGACACTTAGTGTTACTTAGTTTGTTGGAAGCCCATATCAATTTACAGCTTTCTTAAAAAGTTGATTTTGACAATATCTGCCAGTACTTTTGTTGATTTTATGAAGAAGTGGGGTTTTGGAGGTTTTCACTTAACCTTTTTCACTGATGTCACTCACTTGCATTATTTTTTATTCAGCTTTATTTAAATATAATTTATATTCCAAAAAATCACCAAAGCATACAATTTGATTAATTTTGTGAAATGTACAGCTATGTAACTATCACCACAATCGTGACATAAAACTTTATTTTTTCAGCTACAGGGTCCTACTATGTCACCCAGGCTGGAGTGCAGTGGCGTGGTCTCAGCTCACTGCAGCCTTGACCTCCCAGGCTCAAGTGATCCTCTCACTTCAGCCTCCTGTGTAGCTAGGACTACAGGCACGTGCCACCATGCCCAGCTAATTTTTTTTTTTGAGATGGAGTTTCACTCTGTCACCCAGGCTGGGGTGCAATGGTGCAATCTCGGCTCGCTGCAACCTCCGCCTCCCGGGTTCAAGCAATTCTCCTGCCTCAGCCTCCTGAGTAGCTGGGATTACAGGCATGTGCCACCACGCCTGGCTAATTTTGCATTTTTAGTAGAAATGGGGTTTTACCATGTTGGTCAGGCTGGTCTTGAACTCCTCACCTCAGGTGATCCACCTGCCTTCACCTCCCAAAGTGCTGGGATTACAGGCATAAGCCACCACACCCGGCTTAATTTTTATATATTTTTTTTGTAGCGACAGGGCCTCTCCATGTTGCCCAGGCTGGTCTCAAACTCCTGGGCTCAAGCGATCTGCCCACCTTGGCCTCCCAAAGTTCTGGGATGACAGGCATGAGCCACCATGCCCAGCCGTGACACAGAACATTTTTGTGACCTCAAAAAGTCCCCCAGTGCCAGCATTTGGCAACCACTCATCTGTTTCCTGTCACTACAGTTTTGCCTTGCCTGAAATTTTTTTGATGAGTGGAATCCTGTAGTGTATGCTCTTTGTGTCTGGGTTCTTTTACTTAGCATAATGACTCTGAGATTCATGTATAGTGTTGTATGTATCAATAGTTAGTGCCTTGAATTGTTGAGTATTCCATTGTATGGATATACCACAATTTTTATATCCATTTACCAGCTGATGGACATTTGGGCCATTTCTACTTTTTGGCTATCTTATGATTAAAGCTGCTATGAACATTCAAGTACAAATCTTTTTACAGCAAAAAAAAAATTATAAAAAGTATAAATCTTTTTGTGGACATGTGATTTCTTTTATCTTGCATAAGTAGCTGAGAGTGGAATTGCTAGATCAAGTACTAAAAATATATCTAATTTCATAAGAGACTGCCAAACTGTTTTCCAAAGAGACTGTACGCTTTGGAAGTTTCAGTAGTTCTGAATCCTTGCTAATACTTAATGTTGTCAGCGTTTTTACTTTAGGTATTCTGTTGTGTAGTGGTGTCTCGTTATGATTTTAATTTGCATTTCTTTCATGACTGATGATATTGAACATCCTTTCATGTCTTCTCTTAGAAGTATCTGTTTGAATATTCTGCCCATTTGAAAATCAGGTTGTTTGACTTGTTACTGAGTTTAAGAATTCTTTAGGTGTTCTGTATATGAGTCCTTTATCAAATACATGTTTTGCAACTGCTTTTTCCAAGTAGAGAAGCAATTTGTAAGGTACAGGCAAACATCTGAGTTTAGGGGCAATAAAAGGACCCAGAGCTATAAAGTCAAATCTACTTAGAGTCTTCAGCTTTAGAAAATAATAAATAAACTTCCTGCATGTGTCAGAAAGTATAAAGCATATTCGAGTCTGTGGTATATAGAAGATGATTCCTTTGATGTCTTGTGTGTGTGTCGTAGATCAAAAGCTTTTCCACAGAAAAGCAGAATGGAGTGTTTTGTTTGTGCTTCCAAACCCTAATGGAAGAACAAGTTCACTAGATAAGTTCATTTTATAAATAACAGGCAATCCTCCCCTAAACAAACCTGTTACAGAGCCACCAAATGTGCAATATCCACCATTTTTTTTCACTTCACACCCACTCTTAGGTAGACATGCTAACACACGTGGAACAGACCAAAGAGACAGGCTGAGAGCCTGCCAAAGATGGTCTCAGATGAGATGATCAGCTTCCAACTCAGCATTGCCTGCTATATCTGACACTAATGAATGCGTAGTCAGAGGGTACATTGGAGGTGGTTGAAAATGAGGAGAGTCATTAAACGTATTTCAGTCGGTGAGCGACGTGAGAAAAAGTTGAGAAATAGAACTGGTTTCAGTGTAAAGTTTTAGAAGTGGTAGTGAAACCAATTAGGAGGCTGATGCCTGACTCTTGATAAACAACGACAGGAGACTGAATTAGGGCCAAAGGAGAGGCAAGACTTCAAAGACATCATAGAGGTATAATTGACAGGATTTGGTGATCAACGAATGTAGATTGTGAAGGAGTAGAGCCTCAAGATGACATTATTTTCTAGTTTGGATGGCCCATTGGTGATGCTCTTAGTCAAGACAAGACAGTACGTAGGAGAAACAGGTTTTGAAGAGAATGCAGAATGTGACTCTGGCCTCAGATGAGATGCCTGGGCTGGAGACAGAGGACTGGGTATCACTTGAGTCTAATTTATGTTAAGATTCTTCAGTAAGGCCATGGAGAGTAAAAAGGGATGGACCTCAGTCTGAATTCTAACAAAAAAATTAATAGTTAAAGGGCAAGTACTGCTTCGTGGCAGGAAGGAGATGGTGTCCAGAGAGATGAGATAATTCATAATCTTGAATGTCAAGGATGAAAAGAATTTCAAGGAATGATGGGTACTAATTTGTGACTATTGCTATTAATAGGTCTTTGCTAAAAAGAAGCCATTGAATTCAATGGTTAGAAATTCATTGGTCAAAACTGGAAACAAGCTGGGCGCGGTGGCTCACGCCTGTAATCCCAGCACTTTGGGAGGCTGAGGTGGGTGGATCACGAGGTCAGGAGATCGAGACCATCCTGGCCAACATGGTGAAACCCCATCTCTATTAAAAATACAAAAATTAGCCTGTGTGGTGGTGTGCACCTGTAGTCCCAGCTACTCAGGAGGCTGAGGCAGGAGAATTGCTCGAGCCTGGGAGGCAGAGTTTGCAGTGAGCCGGAGATTGCGAAACTGCACTCCAGCCTGAGCAACAGAGTGAGACTCCGTCTCAAAAAACAAACAAACAAACAAAAGAAACGACTGGAAACAGCTCAAATGTCCATCAGCAAGAGAATAGGTAACCCAATTGTGTGTCTTCATACTCAGGAACTAAGCTGAATGATTATTGGTATACTCAACAACATGAGTCAATCTCACAAACGTTGTGTTGAATGAAAAAACAGTCACTCAAAAAATACATACTATATAATTCTACTTACACAATGACCAAGAAGAAGCAAAACTAATCTACGGATGATAGAAGTCAGAAAGAGGGGCTGGGCACAGTGGCTCATGCCTGTAATCCCAACGAAATGAAAGAAATGCTGGGTAACATCTTTGAGAGTCCAGCTGAGGGTGAAAATCAAAATGTATTTATTAGCACAGGCTGCCATGATGGAACACCATGACCGAGTGGCTTAAACAACAGAAATTTATTTTCTCACGGTTCTGGAGGCTGGAAAGTTCAAGATCAAGGTGCTGGCAGGGTTTGGCTCCTGGTAAGGGTCCTGTGACCTGTAGATGTCTGCCTTCTCACTGTGTCCTCACATGCAGAGAGAGAGAGGGAGCTCTCTGGTATCTCTTCTTACAAGGACACTAATCCTCTGGGATCAGAGCTCCTCCCTGGTAGACCCCTTTACCCTTAATCACTTCTTTACTCCAAATCAATCACGTTGGACATTCACATATGTGAATGGAGGGCTTCAACGTATGTGTTCTGGAGCGGCATAGTTAGCCTATAGCATGTATAATTCAGCACTGTGATGTGAGTTATTTTCTACCTATACCCAACCACCTGAGATCAGGAGAGAAGATACACGGTTGTGTTGATCCATATTTAGAGGTTAACGGGATAGACTTGATGCAAGGTCAAGGTGGCAAACGATTGGAGGAGATAGTGAAAGTATGGCTAAAATGATCAGCCATGGATTCCAAGAACAGTGGAAAGAGAAGCCAGAAAAGGGCTGGGTTTAGATTAGGGAAAAGGCAGGGATTGGTAGGCTTAGTGGTAGAGTCCTCTCAGGTCAGGAGGCTGGAGCACAAATGGGAACTACTATATAGCATACCTTCTGTGGGTGCAGTACTGTCTTGGGACATAATTGGTTGTTCCTGCAGTTTCAACTTTACTGGAAATAAAGGAGGATTATCAAACTGGAGAGATTTAAATTCATTAGTGAAAGTAATCATCACATTTTTCTTTCCTTTTAGACGACTAAATACGTTGAACAAGTGTGCCTCAATGAAACTTGATGTGAACTTCCAAAGGAAAAAGGTAGGTGCCCACACCTTAATAAGAATGTGGCTATGCCAGTGAATGCCAGGAGTTTGAGATCAATCTGAGCAACATAGTGAGACCCTTGTGTCTACAAAAAAATAATAATAATAAATTAGCTGGGCACAGTGGCTTGTGCCTGTAGTCCCAGCTATCGAGAGGCTGAGTTGGGGGCATTGCTTGAACCCAGAAGGTTGAGGCTGCAGTGAGCCATGATCATGCCACTGCACTTCAACCTGGGTGACACAGTGACACCCTGTCTCCAAAAACAAAAAAGCAACGTGAACCTAAGCAAAATTTTGAAATGCCTGACCATCCATGTGTATTCTCCATGTCCCATTTCATCATAACCACCTAAATAAGTCTATTATAAACTAAGACTGAAATCTATTTGTTTTACCTTTCATTTTGCTTTCTTTTTTTATTAGAGGGTTTGCGTAAAGATGTAAAATATCTCGGTGCTTTATGGTGATCTTTCAGAAGTGTCCGTTGTAAATGTCAACCCCTTATTAGACTCAAATGCTTCACAGCAGTGAGTAGATTAAAAGTTCAGAAAGGATCTGGGGGTCCATGGCGAGTGACTTCTGGCTCATTTTTTCCAGTAGTGTTTTATTTCATGCATGTGTCAAGATGCCCCCACTATCAGGCAGATTCAGCTGATAATGTATGAGGGGGCCCAGGGACGGTGTGACAAGATCCTGAACTCTGGCTCATCTTTCACCATTCTCCCCACTGTGTACTTGTCTCTAGCCACAAGGAATTCGGTTCAGTCCGAAAAGTCACTAAGCTCCCTCCCCATCACAGGACTTGCCATGTGCTGCTTCCTCTTTATGGATAAGACTAGAGATTTGAGTTTTGAAATAAAGCTGTACTTTATTGAATATGTACTGTTTTCTAGGAACTAGATTATGTACTTACCACACATTATCTCATTTAATCCGCTGAGATGAGGCTTCTCTGTTTTCTCTATAAGGAAGGTAAATCTTGAACAGGCTAGGTCATTGCCCACGATCTTGCAGCTAGCGGCGGAGCAGGGTTTCTACCTCGGAGGTGTCTGATTCCAAAACCAAGGCTCCTAGCCAAAGTGCTGTACAGCCTCTCTTTTTCACTGAATTGATTCTTTTTAGGAAATTCAGAATTAGGGTCCTTAACTACTTTTTTCATTTAACATCTCTACTACGTAGCAACTCAAGCCTCCATATATTTTGAAGGATCAGAGAAAAAAATCTTTGAATCAAAAGAAAGTGTTCTTGGCCAGTTGCGGTGGCTCACACCTGTAATCCCAGCAATTTGGGAGCCCAAGACAGGTGGATCATCTGAGGTCAGGAGTTAGAGACCAGCCTGACCCACATGGTGAAACCCGTCTCTACTAAAAATATGAAAATTAGCTGGGCATGGTGGCACACGCCTGTAGTCCCAGCTAATCGGGAGGCTGAGGCAGGAGAATCACTTGAACCCGGGAGGCGGAGGTTGCAGTGAGCTGAGATTGTGCCACTGCACTCCAGCCTGACAGAGAGAGACTCCGCCTCAAAAAAAAAAAAAAGAAAGAAAAGAAAGTGTTTTTATCCTGGTCTACACAGAGAAATCATTAAAGCCAAAGGATTTTAAGTTACCCCTTAGTAACCTAATCTTTGAAAATAACTTTAATCTGAATTTCTGCTGTAAAATAACACCAAAAAAAAAGAAGATCAAATGAATTTTAGTGGACCTCACCTTAAAAACAATTTGGGATTTGAGCTGGGAACCAAAGCTTTAAGCTGAGGAGGTAAAACAGTGAAAAACAATATCCAGAGAAATATTAAAACATGAGCAGTTTGTCCAGGCCAAAGACAAATTTAAAATGTGGGAATAAACCTCCCAACAGCTGTCTGACTGAATAGACCCCTTGAGAAGCATACACACTATTTGAAGCATGAGGGTCAGATGTTGTTTTGATTGGAACACATGGTTCCTATTAAACTGAACACAGCCATGCCTGTGTGTCTAAAGTGTGGCTCCTCAAATGGCTGGTCTATACAGCTGCCTATACCGACCATTAGCTGCACTGCATCACAAAAGAAAATGCCAAAAAACTAATGACATGAGTTGTTTCCACACAGTGGAGTGATTGGATTTTTACCCTGTCACCAGCTTTTCAAAACCCAGAGGCGAGATGGGCTTGAATAACATTTGTTTGGCTCTTTGTGCGTTACCTCCACAAAAGCTCCTCTGTAAATTGGTCACTTCGGTATTCTGACCTTAATGTAGTCTTTATATCGCATCTAGTGGCACACGCCCTTAAAGCCCCTGCTTAGCTATAGGCCTCAGAATGCATGCACTTGAATAAAATATTGCTTTTCATGTTGTAAATTGGAGAGTTATGGCCTGAATTTTCAAATAAATAATGCTGACATGTGGTCTCCACCTACTTATGAATCTCAATAATGACCAGAATCCATGGCCAGATTGAAGCAACCACTTAGGAGACACTGTTGTGACACCCGTTTCTGTGATCTTCCTCTTACACAAGCCATAGACTTTATTTAATCCCTTATTTTACTGTGAAAAAATAGAAAAAAAAATGAATAGGAGCTAAGACTAGGCCAAATGATCACAAATAGAAAAGGAGACTTGAGAATCGAGCACCCCGTGAAAAGCTCCAGCCAACTTCAGTATTTATTTATTTGGAAGAAAAATAAGGCAGCGGGATTTCCTCTAGGTAAGTCCCCATGTTAAGCCATCCAAGAAATAGAAATAGAATCCCCACCTCCAATCTGCAGAATCCCAGACTTATTTAATTCTGCAGAAAGTCATCCCCAAGTAGCTAAACTGTCTGGGGTCACAATCATTGTGCCTTGGGACTGCCGGACCTATGAAAGGGTTGCAGGTGCTGGCTCAGCAGTTTGTAGGGATAGCAAAAGCTGACACAGGGCTTCCTCCCCACCAGGCACTATTCCTTGTCCTTAACTCCATGTCACAGTTGCATAAATTGAAGGGCTTGGCACTTGCCCAAAGCCACACAGAAATAGCAGAGGCAGTACTTGAATCTGGGTAATCTGGCACTGGACTGATCCTCCTCACCTTTCAGAGATATTCAGAGACAAACTGGAGTCTGGGTGAGCCTCTAGCCCTTGGCCTGACACCTGCAAGGGTCTCATGTTTCCTCAGCAATACACTCAATTCACTGTGTATATTGTTTTTATAAGAGGCATGGTTCTTGCCATCTGTACTAAAGTCCACAATTTATTTATTGTCTTCATGGCAATTGTGTTTAATCCTGTAGATTTTGGTGGGCTGACACAAGGAAGAATGTGAAAAGTCCACAAATAGGTGATGATGGTGATGAAGGCTTTTTCATGCCTGGTTAGCCATACACCTTTCTTATACATGAAATGCCACTTCCAAAGCACTGGGAGAAATGACAACACCGCTACCCTCCCACAATACAGTTTCTAACTGTTTTGCAGAAGAGAAAAGGGACCCTTTAAGGATTCGAGATGACCTTCCCTGCCTCTGTAAGAGTCAGGTGGAGGAGTATTCTCGAGCTTAGCTGCACGCCTCACTGGAAGACTAACAACCCAGCCAAGAGCATTTCAGGAGACAGGACACCAGCACTTCTGCCGCCTGCAGCTCGGGCTCTCCACTCCCGCGGCATTCCCAGCGGCCCATTCCTGCTTCCAAACAGGCAGGCCCGGCCACGTAGCTCCAGTTAACGTCTAAATTTCTATGTGACTATGGATGCGTTGCCTTTTGCAGCTGTGGATTCGTGTGGGTTCCTGTTTCCAGTGTAAAGATATGGCCAAATTCCGTCTTTTGAAAAAAGCCCTTCTTTATGGAATGTCTGGTTGGCATCTGTCTCTGAGGAATATATAATTTCAGTGAAGAATGTTCTCATTTTTAGAAAAAAAAAAAAAAAAAAAGCCAAACAGTGGAGACTCATCTAAATTAAAAACACCAAGGCACACACAAAGTAGCTTTTCTCGGGAAAATGTTTCTTCCTCATTATTACCTACAAAATTCGCGCTTGCTCCATGATGACATTGAAATCCCCTGATTAAAGTGTTTATGTGATTCAGCTTCTATTCAAAGTAAAAGCCAGAGACTGAAGACTCCAATTAGGCTGTTTATTAAATGAGGAAAGAGAAGGACACATATCCACATGGGACTCTTACCTTTCCTCTTACCTAGGAATATGTCTCAAGAGAGAAAGAGCAGCTTCCAAAGAAGGTTCTGGTTGAACTTATAATTTTAATAAGGCTCTCTGAAATAATGACCAAAGGTGGAAAGCAACACAGAAACCATGACTAATTGCCACCTTGCAGCCAGCACCTCCTGGCCTGGATGCCGTCGGCATTTCAGAGGCACTGCAGCTGTTGACAAGGGGCCTGGCCCCCCACCCACCCCTACTTCCCACTCCCTTGCACACCCCCGCATCTCCCACCAAATGAGACACCTCCTGGCAACTCCAAAGAGCAGTCAGATGAGAGAAAGTCCATCATTCACTTGGCTGGAGAGTATTAACAGCCTTGAATTGCAAATAATTACATGCGAATGTCCTAAAACTGTAGGGTATTTGAGTTGGAAGGATCTTTGGTCTTATTTTCCAACCTCCCACTCACTCACTGCAGGATTTGCTTCTTAGTGCATCCCTCTCCCTCACAATTTGCTGAGCCACTGTTTATTATAAGCTTCTCAACATGACGAGCTCTTCACATGGCAAGGCAATTTATTTTATTCTACAGACTAGAAAGGCCTTCCATATGATAAGCTAGGAGCTGATTCCTTCTAATCTGGCCCACCTGAACCTAGCTTTTTTCCCTGGTGAAGCACAGAATATGGATTTCCCCATTCACTCAGAAGCCCTTTAGCTCTGTCCTCCAGAACAGGGAATCAGCACACTGCTGCTCCTGCTTTCATAAATAAAGTTTTATTGGATCAATAGCTACGCCCATTCATTTCACAACAATGGCAGAGCTGAGTAGGTGAGAGAGAGAGACCTTATGGTGCATACACCTAAAATTTTTATGATATGGCCCTATACAGAAAACACTTGCAGACCTTTGCTCAATCTAGAACAGTTTCTCAACTGTCAGTGGTGAGTGACTGATTTTCTTATTTTATTTTTTTCCAGTCTGCCACAGACTAAGATACTTTTGTAAAATTCAATACAAATGAATTATTAGAAATATTAATTTTAACAAATTATAGAAAATACAAGGCTTAATGTTTTATTGTTAGGCTCAACTGACACAAAGGTGAGTACTGATAAATATAATCAAAACAAATATAACAGGAAATAATGATGCAGGATTTTTCTCAACCCCACTTCATCAGCCAGAAACTTCTGTGCCTGGCAGGGGCCCCTGCTTCTTTGTTCCTGTCACCCTGCTCTGTGGCCTGTGGCTCCCTGGCTGACCCAGCCCTGCTGCTGCTTCTTGGCGCCAGCAAAAGGAGGGCTGCAGCTTACAACCCCTTTCGACCCCACTGTTCAGTAGGTCCCAGGTTCTTGTCCCACATCAAAGAAGAATGAGGTTACACTGACAATTAAAGGGTGAGGAGGGTGGAGAAGAATTTTTATTGAGCGACACAGCAGCTCTCAGTGGAGAGGGGATGCAAGGGTGGTCCCGAAGTTGGGTGGTTTTCTCCCCTAGTGTGGCTGGGTCTGGGCTTTTATAGGCTCAGAATGGGGGAGTGCCTGCTGATTGGTTTATGAGTGTGCAAAAAAGCTAAAAGAAAGACACCAATCAAAGGTGGGCAAGACAGTGTAAAAAACCAATTAGGGAAAGGTAGGTATATGTAAAATAGAGGAAGGGTGAGGATCAATCAGAGGAAAACATGCCAAATGGGAAGAGAGGTTCTCAATCCAGTCTGTGGGTTTGTAGCTTGACTTTCAGCCTTCAAACTGTCTTTGGCTTGAGGGTGGGGTTTCACCAGGAAGCTGCCCCTATTTGCCTAGGCATTTGACTGCCTCCTGCTTCTATCAATAGAAAAGAATTACAAAAACTGTTCAGATTTTTATTGAAAGTGTGCGTATATGTGATTAATACAAAGAATCACAATTGTGCTCATACCATTTTTGTTGTTCATCTGTCATAACTGAACAAAAAGTTTACTTTAAAAGAGAAATCCCTCAAATTAAATGCCTATATGCACACTTTGAACAAGCACTTTGACTGCAAATGTATAAGATATATATAATTTTTTTTTTTTGAGGTAGAGTCTCACTTCATCACCCAGGCTACAGTGCAGTGGCGCAAACTCAGCTCACTGCAACCTCTGCCTCTGGGGTTCAAGCGATCTCCTGCCTCAGCCTCCCGAGTAGCTGTGACTACAGGCATGCACCACCATACCAGGCTAATTTCTGTATTTTTAGTAGTGATGGGTTTCACCATGTTGGTCAGGCTGGTCTCAAACTTCTGATCTCAGGTGATCTGTTCGCCTCGGCCTTCCAAAGTGCTGGGATTACAGGCATGAGCCACTATGCCTGGCCATAAGATTTTTAATGTGACAACAAGTTTCTTCTTTGTTATCTAAGTTAAGTGGGATTGATAACAATGTTACTCATGGGTAATAATGTATATCTAAAATTCTTTTGTTTGAGTACCAGTCATCGTAGGGAAACCAGTGAAGAAAGGTTTTTTAAGGCAAGTTAAAAGTTTAGGGTATTCCTTTTCACTTACTACTTTAGGGTATTCCATTCACCTTTTATTCAAAATGAGGTAAGTGATGCTATATTTCCAAAATTCATCTTCAGTTCTTCATCTCTAGCCAATTCTTATAATTATAAAGTTATAAATGTAAATTACCTGTGAAACAGTGGATTCTGTACATTATACACTTTGGTTTATGGTAAGCAAACTAACCTTGAATTGGCACTTGTTGTAAATCAGATTGACCACACACCAGTACCATGCAGCTGTCACTCATAGGACTCACCGTTTGAATTTGACTACACCCAGACTGGTCTTTACCCTGTTCAGTAAGACAAATCCACTGATTGTGAGCTCAGATAGCACAGACTTTTCAAATGGTGACAAATGGTTTTACTTCTTACTCTCAATTTCTGTATCTACCTCATTAAAGAGCAAGTTTGGGGACTGGCAGCCCCCTGACCACACTCTGAGTAGCACTGTCTAGAGTTCCTCATTTCTAAATCAAGCTATTAGTTCTTTCAATTGTCCACCCCAGGAGGTTGTGGTTCTTAGATCCTTGGCCATTCTGATTACTCTTCTCTAGAAATGTACCCCTTAAAATGTGGAGCGCTTAGAAAGAACCCATTGTTCCTGATATATGTGACCAGTGCAGAATGCAATGGGCACTGACCTTTTGAGTCTTGGGATCTATGCTCTGGTCATGCATCCTAAGGTTGGTGTCTTTGTTCAGTAGCCATATTACATGGTTAAGTCACATTAAGCTTACATCTGCCAGAACTCTCAAGACTATTAATAGCAGGAAGGGCTGTTGAACTATGTTCGTTTTATCCTGAAGATCCTGTAATTGATTTTTGAAGTTAGAGTCATTATATTTTACTTTTATGAAATTTTATCTTATTAACAGGTCATCCTTCACTTCTGTTAAGCTCTACACACTTCTCAATATTGCTATTCTCTAACAACAATAACTAGTTTCATCTACCACTTTAGGGTTTATATGGTATTTTCACATATAGTCCCATTTGGTTCTGTTGATAAATCATGCTAGACATGTGTTATTATTGTTTTCATTTTCTAACTCTGAAAACTGAGTCTCAAAGAACCCTTAGCAAATAGCCTAATACCATCTTTACAGTTTAAAAACAGGAGTTCCGGCCCATTCAAGTTACTCTTAAAATGATCATAACCTTGAGACATGCTTCCTTCAGTTATTTACAGTCTTTTAGTCACACGCTTTAGAGGAGTTACTCAACCAGTTACTGACAAAACTCTCTGTAGCAAGCTTGTCCAACCCATGGCTCACGGGCTATATGTGGCCCAGGACAGCTTTGGATGTGCCCCAACACAAATTCATAAACTTTCTTAAAACATTATGAGTTTTTTTGGCCATTTTTTAAAGCTCATCAACTATCATTAGTGTTAGTGTGTTTTATGTGTGGCCCAAGACAATTCTTCTTCTTCCAATATGGCCCAAGGAAGCCAAAAGATTGGACCCCGTTGTGTAGCATCTAGCTAGTGAGCCATATTGTCCACAACGTGGGAACCTATTTTCAGTTGTGTTGCTGAAATTCTGATGCTCCATGTCCCTGGTACGTCCATGGTTTCTGAGACAGGAGAATAAAGTTAGTTTGATGTATCCTTTTCTTTATAAACACATCTGACTCCTAGAGATTTCCATTTTACATTTCTAAATAATCACAAACTATTCATTGTTAACCTCAAAAATTATCAAACAGATGAAATCTGATAATCTCTTTTAAACAATCAGTACACTTCCATAAATACCACTGGAGAGTCTGAAATGTGCCTGATGCTCTGCTGGGTCCCAAGTGCGTAAAAAAACCTTAAACTCTACTGCAATGTGTTTTTCATACTGCAGATCATGGCCCCTTGGTAGGTTGTCAAGTGAATTTGGTGGATCACAAACAACATTTAAAAAAATAAAATAGGCTAAACTAGATTAAAAAGTATCAGAATACAAACAAACAAGGATAATTACTTAAGCATAAATTTTTTTTTTTTTTGCTTTAGTATAGTCTGTATGCATGCCCTGAGTTGTGATGGAAAATACATTTTTTGTTGTGTGTCACTATCAAATAGTTTGAAATATCCATCATTAGTGAAAGAAACAGACACAACCATTTCAATACCCTTTGGAACATACCATGATCGTTGTAGGCACAGGGTGCCAAAGAAGACTGGTCGTTTTTTTTCTCTGTTGCATTTTGCTTTCTATTGCTTTGGTTTTTGTTTGTTTGCTTTGGTTCAAACAACCTAAATACTGCAAAATTTCCCTGAGCTGTTTTCCTTTTTTCCCAGGAGTTTGCCACTTTTTCACATGCCTTAGTTGGGCTGTAAATATCTTCCTGTTGGCCAAAGTGAGTATAATAAGCTCTTAGAGACCAGCAGACAGGGCCAGGCTTTCCCTTCCCAGGCCACAGTGCCCAGCTTGGCATGTGTTCTTAACCTAAATAAAGGAGTCCCTATCCAACTAGTATGTGGTGTGCTGGCATCATAACCAGGTTTGAGAGAGGTAGTTGGGGCCAACACTAAATGTTGTAGTTTCTGTTTTAAAATATCTATATTTTCTTTAAAGTCATATCCTTTTTTTTTGTCTTCTCAAAAACTGTCTGCTAAAAGGGCTTTTTCATAGTCCTTATTTAATATCAACTTCTCACTAGCTTCCTAAAATGCAATACAAAAATCCAATAAGTTCAACGTTCAGCCTATCATGGCACCTTGTGTATAAATGACCCTCATATGTCAGTTTTCATTATATCAATCACAGGAAAAGAGGGAGTAGAAAGTACTAGTAGGAAAGTATATTTTGAGTCATCATTCTGGAGTCTTGCCCTTTTTCCACTTGTACAATTACAACTTTCTAAACTCTTTCATCAGAGCTTTATACAACTTTTTTAAAACTCAGACTCATTTTTCACTGTGATCTCAAGCTGTAGGATTCTTTTTTGTTTCTTTTTGTTTCCTTTTTTTAAGAGACAGGGTCTTGATATGTTGCCCAGGCTAGACTCAAACTCCTAGACTCAAAAGACCCTTCCACCTCAGACTCCCAAGTAGCTGAGATTACAGGCGTGAGCCACTGTATTAGTCCATTTTTCACGCTGCTGATAAAGACATACCTGAGACTGGGTTATTTATAAGTAAAAAGAGGTTTAATGGACTCACAGTTTCATGTAAGCAGGCCTCACAATCATGGTGGAAGGCAAAAGGTACATCTTACATGGCGGCAGACAAGAGAGAAAGAGAGCCAAGCAAAAGGGGTTTCCCCTTATAAAACCATCAGCTCTCATGAGACTTATTCACTACCACAAGAACAGTATGGGGGAACCACCCCCACGATTCAATTATCTCCCACCGGGTCCCTCCCATAACACATCAAAACATGGGAATTATGGGAGCTACAATATTCAAGATTAGATTTTGGTGGGAACACAACCAAACCGTATCAGCCACCGCACCTGACTTCTAAGCCATAGAATTCTTTTCTGTACCTTGGCTTTGTACTCGCTTTCACTTTAAACTTGAATGTTCAAGTTTGTCATTTAGTCAAACCTACACGGAAACTAGATTTTGAAGGAATAAACAAGAATAGGAGGATCCCCACAATGATTAACTGTGCATCTGCTTAGGTTTCCTTAAAAACAACACACTGCAAGGTTAAAGGGAGTTAAAGTGGACGCTAGATACATAAAAAGATTAGTAGGCAATTGAACAAACATTGAAAGATACAAATAAGCAAATACCTCTCAGTGAGGGACTGCTGAATGCACTACCTTCTTTATTCTCTTCAGCAAACCTATGAGGCAAGACCCGCTTCAATCTTATAAGTGGCAGAAACTTACTTTAGAGAGGGTAAGTAGACTGTGGACAGTCACCTAGCTCTTAACTGGTATCACTGACACTTGGAACCAGGTCTTAAAACTGAACACCCAGGTAGAGTAAAATAAATTTAATTCAATTCACAAAAAATAAGCAATTATTATGTCCTTGGCATTGGACAGGCTATACATATGAATAAATATGTTTATATGAATAATGAAACAGAGAAACACAGGTCTTGCTCTTTTTTATTTTTTTGAGATAGTGTCTCACTTTGTTGCTGCGGCTGGGGTGCAGTGGTGCCATCACGGCTCACTGTAGCAGGCCCGGCTCTTGATGACTTCACCTGTAACAACTGAGAGTGGAGGCTTTCAAGCAGAAGGCTTCTAAGCTGAAAAAAAAAAATCATATGATTCGATTTGGACTACACTGTGGAAAGCTATTTAGATGGGGAAGATGCTGGAGACAGGGTTTCTCCCACATTTTTACTGTAACAGATCCAGAGAGAGGTGGCAAGGCCTACACTAAGAGAATGAGAGTGAAATTACGAATGAGGGAACAGATTTGAAAATCAGTTCAGAATTAGGTCTTGGTGATGTGCTTGGTGAGGATGAAGCAGGATCCGATGATTCAGTTTATTTCAGAAGGAAATGATATGCTCTAGGTCAAGGTCTGCGCTGGGCCCAAGGCTATGCAAAGCTAAACCAGGCCATCTCTGGCCTCAGGGAATGCAGATGCTCCCCTCTCAGGGGCTGCAAATTCAGGCAGAAACCAGACACCTAGAGTCAATGTGTGAGGCCCAAAGTGTAAGACAGTGCCAAGCCGCGGGGACCCACTGCAGCCACACAGAGGTGTGCGTCCTGCCAACGGCATTCTGACTCGGAGTTGATTCCACAGAAAAAGACGCTCATGCAGAGTAGCCGGATTGGATCACAAATAGCGATCTCCAGAATGGCTCCCTCATCTCTACTTAAAGAAATTCAGTGGTTCATTTTGCTGTTACCTTATCCAGGGAATACACGATAAGAATCAAGTGCAGGGGACTAAAATAAGGAGTGTTAGCTTTGAGATATACTGAAGCTGAGATTCAGATGGGGCAAGCTGGAAATATGGTCCCCGGGGCTCAGTGAAGAGGTTTCTGGAAAGAAGTAAGTGCCTTTTATGGCAGAGTTGAGTTCCTTTGTGAAAAAGAAGACTGCAGGTGCTTTATATTTAGACCGTCTAGTCTGATGTAATTATACCCTCTTTATAATCAGTCAGGGAAAACTTCTTAGAGAGGAAGGAAGGAGGCATTCAAAACCTCTTTGAAAATGGGAAGGAAGAAAGTTTGGCAAGTTGAGAAGGGTCCTCTGGCCACTGGGAGGAAGGGTATGTACAAGACAGTGCAAGTGGTAGAAGGACAGCTTAGAGGTGCCCAAGAAGCTCACACCTGTGCATGGGAGGACAGAGGGGAGGGAGGTGGAGGACCACACAGGGCTGCCCTCAGAGCACCCAGAGTTCCTGCTTCAGCCACGCTGTCTGCTAATGAGCATTTTCCTTGGTGCTCTGCAGGGTGACGACTCCGATGAGGAAGATCTTTGTATCAGCAACAAATGGACTTTCCAAAGAACCAGTCGCAGGTGGTCTCGTGTGGACGACCTCTACACGCTGCTCCCTCGAGGAGACAGAAATGGGTCACCGGGAGGCACGGGGATGAGGAACACGACCAGCAGTGAGAGCGTCCTCACAGACCTGAGCGAGCCTGAGGTCTGCTCCATTCACAGCGAAAGCAGTGGAGGCAGCGACAGTCGCAGCCAGCCGGGCCAGTGCTGTACAGACAACCCGGTCATGCTGGATGCCCCACTCGTCAGCAGCAGCCTCCCACAGCCCCCCAGAGATGTCCTCAACCACCCCTTCCACCCCAAGAATGAGAAGCCCACGAGGGCTAGGGCCAAATCATTTTTGAAACGCATGGAAACACTCCGAGGGAAGGGAGCCCACGGGAGGCATAAGGGGTCTGGGCGGACAGGTGGCCTGGTGATCAGTGGGCCCATGTTGCAGCAGGAGCCAGAGTCCTTTAAGGCTATGCAGTGCATCCAAATACCAAATGGAGATCTCCAGAATTCGCCGCCACCTGCCTGCAGAAAAGGGCTCCCATGCTCTGGCAAGTCGAGTGGCGAGAGCAGCCCGTCGGAGCACAGCAGCAGCGGGGTGAGCACGCCCTGCCTGAAGGAACGCAAGTGCCACGAGGCCAACAAGCGCGGGGGCATGTACTTGGAGGACCTAGATGTGCTGGCGGGGACAGCACTGCCGGATGCAGGGGACCAAAGCCGTATGCATGAATTTCACTCCCAAGAGAATTTGGTGGTGCATATTCCCAAGGATCACAAACCAGGAACATTCCCCAAGGCACTTTCTATTGAAAGCCTCTCTCCCACAGATAGTAGCAATGGGGTTAATTGGAGGACCGGTAGCATCTCCCTGGGCAGAGAGCAGGTCCCTGGTGCCAGGGAGCCCCGGCTCATGGCGTCCTGCCACAGAGCCAGCCGAGTCAGTATCTATGACAATGTCCCTGGCTCCCATCTGTATGCCAGCACAGGAGATCTTTTGGACTTGGAGAAAGATGACCTTTTCCCTCACTTGGATGACATTCTGCAGCATGTCAATGGGCTCCAAGAGGTAGTCGATGACTGGTCCAAAGATGTCTTGCCTGAACTGCAAACTCATGATACATTGGTTGGGGAACCTGGCTTATCCACCTTTCCATCTCCTAATCAGATCACCTTAGATTTTGAAGGTAACTCTGTCTCAGAAGGTCGGACGACACCCAGTGATGTGGAAAGAGATGTAACATCTCTTAATGAATCTGAGCCTCCTGGGGTCAGAGACAGGAGGGATTCTGGTGTAGGGGCCTCTCTGACCAGGCCAAACAGGTAGGTGGCATGCACTTGTGAAATGATTTTTCATCCATTTCATAGTAATTGTGTTCTGTTTATTTCTTTAACAAACATACACAGAGTACTTACTAAATGCCTGACTCTGTTCTAAGTGATGTATGTGATTAGGAATTATTTGAACAGAAGTATGACTTCTGTACAGGTATCATGGTGATTGAATCCATGTGAACTCATATTTATTTGTGCTTATCCTTTATTTTGTTCCTAGTTTTATCCAAAAATATTTTGAGCTTCTTATGTGCAAAGCGTTATACTGGGCACCATAGGCAGGGAATCCTGGATAACCAATACCCAGTTCCTAGGCACCGACTCTTCCCCTGACCTTCCTGTGATGCGTTCATCAAAATGTCTCTTCCCCAAATTTTACACTTTTTTTGCTCCTATAAGAAATTTCTGAGGCCTAAGATGTGTACTCTGCAAGTTTGTTTTTGCTTTAAAGTGCCAATTACAAAGTACATCAAAGCTGACCTACAAAGACCGTTTCAGAAGCACCATAGAAAAATGGCCCTGTGCTGCTGGGTTTCTGGTTGAGGCAAGGGTGTGTCTTGTGGTTCAGTGATGTGTCACCTCTGTACCTCTCATCTTCGGGCTCCATCTCAATACTGAGCAAGATATAGAGTGTAGACACATGGAAGACAATGAGAAAATTTTCTACAGCCCTAGACATTCGACAGCTCTCTCCCTCTCTCTCTCTCTGTTTCTTGCTCCCTGTCTGTATCTCTCTCTCTTTCTCTCTTTGTCTTTATCGCTCTACCTCTGTCTGTCCTCTGTCTATATTGCTCTATCTCTGTCTTCCCTCTCTCTGTCTCTTGCTCTGTCTCTATCTTTCTGTCTCTGTCTGTCTCTCCATCCTCTGCCTCTGTATCTCTTTTTGTCTCATCTCTCCATCTCTCCATCTACATCTGTCTCTCTCTTTTCTATCTCTCTGCTCTCTCTGCTTCTGTCTATATCTCCCTGTCTCCGTCTCTTTCCTCTCTTTCCGTTTCTCTCTCTCCCTCTGTTTCTCTCTCTCTCTCTCTCACATACACACACACACACACTCACTCACACACACACTGTCTCAGCTTGCTCTCAACACTTTGGGAACAAATTTGGAATAAACAAACATAATATTTCCTCTATCACTTATTTAAACCCCCTAATAAAATGGATAATAAGACTTTTTCCAGATTTATCTGACTTGGAAAAATCATGTCCTATGTTTATTCTGCACACTTGTGTCTTCTGTTCCATTTGCTTTGCGATTTTCTTTGCTCGGCTGCTATCTTGATTAGCTGCGTGTACCTTGGTGATGTCCCGTGTTTCCCGCTACCAAGTCCACTTTGTGACTGGCTTCTCTGATGGTCTCTCTGGTAAAGGCGACTCCGATGGAACAGTTTCCAGCTGTCGCACCAGCCCCGGCCGGCCCCAGCATCGCCCCACATCAGCAGCCAGACGGCCAGCCAGCTGAGCCTGCTCCAGCGCTTCTCACTGCTCCGCCTCACGGCCATCATGGAGAAGCACTCCATGTCCAACAAGCACGGCTGGACATGGTGCGTAGCACATTCACCTAGGAGGGGATCCTTGGCTCTAGAGCTAAGTGTGTGATTGCAGAAGCTTCCATGTTTACTTTGTGATATCTGAAAAACCCATTCATTGCCTTCACTGATGATCTCCTGGACATAAGGCATGAGCTCTGCCGTAGCCTCGATGCAGTGGACCCTACAGGAAACATTGCTCTATTTGTAGTTCTCAGTTGGTTTCCAGGGAAGGCAGTCAGGCTCCAAGAAAGGAAAAAGAGACAAGTAAAGGGTGATTAATTGTGAACAGAGGAAATAAAAATAAACTTGCCATAAAATAATCCTGGCAGTTTGCACAGAAACAGCTGTCACTTGTACCTTCTGGCCTGATGCAAAGCTTACCACTTAGAGCATTGATTCATTCAAAGAGCATTTAATTCTTCAAATACATTTCTGCTTTTATTTCATTGGCAAATAGAAACAAGAATATGCAGTAAACCTTGTAATAAGGAATTGACAGAAGCATGTTAGAACTTGAATGTGGACCTATTGTAGATGATTTGGTGGGTTTGAAAAAATACAAAATGTGTCAGTAATTGTTCTATGTTTTATATTATACATATTTAAAAAATCAATGGTGCTTTTATGAAATATTTTAGAAGGTTATAAATTCATGGTCAAATCAATATATGCTTCTGTATTAAAATGTCCTTTGAAAACTACAACTGGCTCTAGAAAAGTAAGATAGAGCCAAGAAATATTGTTCTTCTTTTCTCCCTTCCTTTTCCTCCAACCCCAGCCAGATTTCTTCTTCCTCTTGTAATTTTTAATTTGTTTTGTTTTGTTGGGGACTTTTAAGTGTTCAGCACTTGAGAAATAAGTCTATCACAGTTAAATTGGAAAGTTGTCCACTTGACCTGAAAACAGAGCTACAAATACATTCTGGGAACGTGACTCATGCTGTTTAGTAGCTAGAGATAGCAAGCAGGCAAGGGCCACACAGAGCACAGCAGTGTCCTGTGATTAATGCAGAGAGAATGTTGAATTCACCCCGCATCTGTTGGGTATTCCAACAAAAGCCTGGCTTCCCTCATGCTTGCTTCCAGAGCCTCACCCCACAGTGTGACCCAGGAGGCTTGCATGACCTGGTTTCTGTAAATTCTAGGTCAGTTCCAAAGTTCATGAAGAGGATGAAAGTTCCCGACTACAAAGACAAGGCTGTCTTTGGCGTTCCTCTCATAGTCCACGTCCAAAGAACGGGACAGCCCCTGCCTCAAAGTATTCAGCAAGCACTGAGATATCTACGCAGCAACTGCCTCGATCAGGTAGGGCTGTAACCCCCCCGCTGCTGCCCCACCACCCCCAACCATGGGATTGGATTGAGGGGATGTCAGACTGAGTCAGATCTGCCCAATATCAGGCAAGACATGCCTCACCAAAAATAAAAGGCATTGTGACCTTTATGTAGCAATATTTAATTTGAACAAGACATGTCCTATTTGAGGATGTTTCCTCATTGGCAACTTAAATGATGACCTGGAGTGACTGGGGAAAGTTGACGTTAACAGTTTGTTCCTGGGATGTCTAATTTGCAATCCCTAAAAACTAGAGTTAAGCTATGTACTGTACTGCATTTCCTTTGTAACTATTATTTCAGTGCCACCATTGATTTCACACTGTTCTTTTATCCCTATTATTTTTGAAAAAGAATTAGGTTTTTCATGCCTCCTTTTATTAATTCTTTTTTTTTCCTTTGAAGCAGCATCATGACCAGGAAAACTTAAACCAAACACAGATTTATTTACATCTTTTAAAAATGTGCAAGTAAAATATGAACAAAAGTATCAGCTAAGTCAAATATCCCCTCATTTTATAGAGTTGATTCAATGCTGAAGCTAAACAAAATATTCAGAGATTTGCTGCCTCCGAGACTTTTGGGGCCCACCATAATGGTGGACTGTGATTAAATCCAGAGTGCTGTCCGTCCTGTACTTTACAAAACAAAGGCTTTGCTCCTCCAAATTAACACCCATTAGCTTCTTAGACATTCTGTCCAAAATAAAAGTTGTGTTCTTAATTGATAAATTGCAGCCCTGAATAGTGGGTATATTTCCAGGCAGCTATTCTGTAATAGTCCCTGTTCATCATACTTTTTGATGCCATGCAGAGAATCTGTACCAACCTAAGATTATTTGTACTTTTTATTGATTTACCCTGGTCCTTGGGCTCAGTGGGCAGGAATGAGCTGGCTAGTGATGCTTGTAGAGACCCCAATACTGAGACCACACTTAGAATCAGGCTGGTCTCTTGGTGAACCAGAAATCAATTTTCAGTGCAGAAAAATAGCAGTAACTTCTTCATTTGAAGTTGTCTTTGACTGAACTGAATGTGTGTTCCCCTTTGTCCCTCCTCATTTTTAATTTAGAGAATCTGCACATAACATTTTTCCATATTTGTATGTCATCGCAGAGGGTGGGATGGCTGCTGTCATTGTTGTGAGGATGGCTGTTTAGTTTTGAGAAATGGCCTTAATAGCTTGCCTCTTATTCCCCAGAAATAAGGGTGACAGGCTACTTTTCTAGGGTTCTCTTCTTTGACAGATGCCCCAGCATGAATTGACTTGTGAATCACATCCCAATAGAGTCAGCCAATGAATCTCGTTACTTAAGCAAACATTTTAATTTTTTTAATCTTAGAGGTTTTACTAAGAATACACATTATTCAAAGTTAATGTCCATAGCTATAAACCATTCCTGCCCCCCGTAGCTTCTGAATAATGTGCAGTGCCAATATCATTGCTGTTAGTGGGGCCAGTCTCTCTTTAGAAGCAAAAGTCTTATCAGTAGAGAGAAAGACACAGGGCACCAAAACCTCTTCCACCCCTGTGTCCATCTCAGGTCAATTTTTTAAATCTGGGAGAATGCCAAGATGAAAAACAGTGTGCCGGCAAAGGCTTGGAGGAAGAAGACTCATTTCAAGATATAAATACTGATTCTAAATGTAATTAAAATGAATAGAGCCACGCATCTCGCGTCAGTCACATGGGAGAATCCGTAGGACATCGAAGGGACTTTCACCACAGTCAGTCACCACCTTATAATGCACCCAGTCCTGGCAGGGCTTCCAGCCTTGGAATGTCCCTCCCTTTCCTTGTCAATGTGGTGTGGGAAGCACGCAGAGACCACCTCTCTGGCTCCTGTGAAAAAGGAAGGTGGTAATAGGAAGGAAAAGGGGAGAACTAGAGAAACATAAGGAATCAAAACCTGGCTTTTCCGGAGATTTCAGAGCAAGCAAGAGCTAGTAAAAGCGAATCAATCAGAAAAGCGAGGGGAAAAGAGTGAAAAGCAAGGAGAGCAACACCAAACGAATGTTCTTTCTTCGCCAACAGCACTTCTGTGGAATTGAAAAGATTCCAGTCTGCCCAAGGCCTTGAGATCTCAGCCTCAAAGCTGCAGAAGACGAGAACATCCGCAAATAACCCCTTCTATGCCACATTTTAATAGGAAGTACCACCCCATACTCTCCCAAGGCATTGCCCCGAGTCTCAGGGAGAAGGCTTCCTGCAGTGCGATGGGCCCTTCTCCCCGTGCTAAACACTCGCCTCGCATATAAGCACTCATTGCAGTTGACCCTGCCCCACAGAGCCTGACACATTGCCAGCCTTTTGTCTTCCACACTCCTGCATGCCCAGCAGTTTCTATATGATGCAACAGAGTGTCCATGTTTGCCCTTGCAGCTGGCTGTGGGTGAGATGAGGAAGTTTAGCCTTCAATTATGAACCATTTGTATTCAGACATAGTAGTGTGTAAGAGGAGCCTTGCTTTGTTGTCTGAGCTTTTATTTCTGCCCTAAATCAACTGTGCACAGAATAGATTATACCTATTCCTGATGAATATGAAGTCACCGCAGTGAGAGGCTGAACCTGCAATGCTCAGAATAAGAATCTGCTGCATACTCTTCTTATGAATCTTTCTTTCTCAAGAAAACCAACCTTCCTTCATTAGCTGAGCACATTTCTAAAGAAGAGGAAATGGAAGTCCTGATAAACATCATTAAGTCCCGAAAAAGATTAGCATAAACAGGATGCCAAGAGGGAGATTTAATATTATTCAGATGGAATGTGAATTCTAATGCACCACTCATGCTCAGCCTCTCCTCCTAATAGAGCAGTAAGTTTTAAAAGCCTAATCATGCTGGGAAGACTCTTAGTACTCAGTACAAGTGTCCCTGCCCCCGCTGGCTGTTTGTCACTTTTTCTGTTGCCTGCCTCAGATAAAGTGAGCAGTGCTCTGGGGCTATCCAGTGAAATTATCCTTGAGTCCTTGCTTTTTTTTTTTTTTTTTTTTTTTTGAGATGGAGTCTTGCTCTGTCACCCAGGCTGGAGTGCAGTGGCACGATCTCAGCTCACTGCAACCTCCGCCTCCTGGGTTCAAGTGATTCTTCTGCCTCAGCCTCCTGAGTGGCTGGGATTTACAGGCACGCACCACCATACCCAGCTAATTTTTGTATTTTTAATAGAGATAGGGTTTCACCATGTTGGCCAGGCTGGTCTCGAACTCCTGACCTCAGGTGATCCACCCGCCTCGGCCTCCCTAAGTGCTGGGATTACAGGCATGAGCCACTGTGCCCAGCTGAGTCCTTGCTTTTTCATAGCTAGGTTTTTAGGTGAAAGACAACAGAAAGAAGACAGGAAAACTAGACCAAGGGGACACTCATCACTCGCCTTTTATCTTCAAAAGGAAATGAGAGATCACATACAAGAGAGATGCTTATAAAATGAACTCTGCATTGCTGATGGCCATTCTCCCCTTTCTCAAGAGGGTGGCTGGGCTGAGCTTTAACAGTAGATGACAGCAGGACCTGTTATGCCATTTGTGGGACCAGTGAAAAGAGAAAATGTGGGATCACTTGTTCATAAATCATTGAGAATTTCAAAACCAAGACAGCAGAGCATTAAACTAAGTGTGTGAGACCCTGTGTGATGGCCCAGGCTGCCCGTCCATGGGTGACAGACACAAAAGTGAAGGAAAAACATTATGCCCTCCTGGGATCTTCCTCATAACGAAGCTGAGGGAGCTGGGGCTGTTGCCTGCCCATCCACTGTGATCAGAAGGATGAGCAACAGGGCAGGTATGGTGGCTCACACTTAAAATCCCAACACTTTGGGAGGCCGAGGTGGGCAGATCACTTGAGGTCAGGAGTTCAGGGCCAGCCTGGCCAACATGGTGAAACACCATCTCTGCTAAAAATACAAAAATTAGGCTGGGTGCAGTGGCTCACGCCTGTAATCCCAGTACTTTGGGAGGCCGAAGCTGGTGAATCACCTGAGGTCAAGAGTTCTAGACCAGCCTGGCCAACATGGTAAAACCCTGTCACTACTAAAAATACAAAAGTTAGCTGGGCATGGTGGCAGGTGCCTGTAATCCCAGCTACTCAGGGGGCTGAGGCAGGAGAATTGCTTGAACCCAGGAGGCAGAGGTTGCAGTGAGCTGAGATCGTGCCATCGCACTCCAACCTGGGGGATAAGAGCGAGACTTTATCTCAAAAAAAAAAAAAAAATTAGCTGGGCGTGGTGGTGCACACCTGTAATCCTAGCTACTTGGGAGGCTGTGGCAGAAGAATCACTTGAATCCAGGAGATGGAGGTTGTGGTTGAGCTGAGATCATGCTACTGCACTCCAGCACTCCAGCCCTGATAGACAGAGTGAGACTCTGTCTCAAAAAAAAAAAAAAAAAAGGATGAACAACAGGTTTCTTCTCCATTTTTTATGTGGAAAACTATCTCTTGTCAAAAATTCAGATCAAATCCTTGCTTTGGAAACTTTTTTTTTTTTTTTTTGAGGTGGAGTCTGGCTCTGTTGCCCAGGCTAGAGTGCAGTGGCACAATCTCAGCTCACTGCAACCTCTGCCTCCCAGGTTCAAGAGATTCTCCCACCTCAGCCTTCCAAGTAGCTGGGATTCCAGGCACCCACCACCACTCCTGGCTAATTTTTGTATTTTTTAGTAGAGACGAGGTTTTGCCATGTTGGCCAGGCTGGTCTCAAACTCCTGACCTCAGACAATCCAACCACCTCGGCCTCCCAAAGTGCTGGGATTACAGGTGTGAGCCACTGTGCTCGGCCAAAACTTTCTGAAGAAGAAATGATTATTGGAAACCACTCGTTGCCGTCACAGTGTTTTTCTATGAGGATCGAGAGGGGAAGCTCTTCTTCTGGTCTCAGGATCTCTCTATGCCTTAGAAAGACCATCTTCTACTCACTGTGCCCAGTGGCTTTCCACAGCAACCACTAGAAGCCCCATCCCAAAATGGCTTAAATGACAGGAAATTCATGGTCTCACAAAACACAAACAAAAAGTCAGGAAATAGGCCAGCCATGGCGGCTCACACCTGTAATGCCAGCACTTTGGGAGGCCAAGGTGGGTGGATCACTTGAGGTCAGGAGTTCGAGACCAGCCTGGCCAATGTGGCGAAATCCTGTCTCTACTAAAAAATGTAAAAAGTAGCTGGAAGTGGTGGCAGGTGCCTGTAATCCCAGCTACTTAGTAGGCTGAGACAGGAGAATCACTTGAATGCGCCACTGCACTCCAGCCTGGGTGACAGAGCAAGACTCCGTCTCAAAAAAAAAAAAAGTCAGGAAATAGAACGGTTCCAGGGTTAGCTCAATCATCAGCTCATCAATAGCTTTGAAGAGAGGTTCTTTCCATCTTTCCCTTTGGCCATCTTCAGCTACTATAACTGGAATCTGATTTGAGACCACCTTTTCTTTATTAGGTTTATGAAAGAAAATTTTCCTGCTGTACTTCCAACAAAAATCCACAGAAACCAAAATATATATATACGTCTATATTTCCCATGTCCCCTAGAAGACAAGGCCAGGGCAGGAAGGTTATTGTCAGACTTCGAGGCAGCACAATAAATCCCTGACTACCCTCTGGACATCCTAAGATCTCAGTCAGAAAAAGCAGCTCAGAGCCCACAGCTGGAGAGCTGCAGACATGTCTAAAATAATTAAAATAACAATATTTGCTGAAACGAGAAAGAAATTTGGAAACCAAACAATACAAAGATAGCATCTCTGGGATGTGTGTGTGCACGCACATGACTGTGTGCCCAGAAACAGCCCGCAAGACACGGTGGACAAAAGAGGAACGTGCTCGACAATTTAAACAGAAACACTGTCTGCTTTATTCTTTTTGTAGATCCTGATCAACATTTCTCTGCTGTTAAAAAAGTAGGAATTCTTCTCAAATGGAATAATACCTGCTCATATGAGGATAAATATTTGTGAGTCACACTGAAGTATTTACCTTCAGGGCATCTCGATTATGAGAACTCTCGTACAGCACAGCCAGCCCTGTGGTGTGCACAGTCCTGGGCCTCCTTCCAAAATCAGAAAAGCAGAAGATGTAAACAAATCGGAGATGGATCTCACCCCAATAATCACTCACCTGACATCTTGAATTTTTTTCTCTTTTGACAGTACATGCTTTCTTTCCATGCCCTTTGATGAAATTTGGAGTTGTTGCCAGTTGAAGGAAGATAAATATTGTCTGGATTCTTTGTGGCGAATCATCTAAGTATGGCAAAACTGTGCATTTTCTAGACATTCCAAACTTTAAGAATAAAAAAGAAAGTAACTCATATTTTAAGTGACAATATTATCAGCCTGAATATCCTGATGTGTGGGATTAGAGCGATAAACCTTGGAATGCAAAGAAATATTACTAAGAATTCTGTTTTTATGGCCACAAAAAGTAGCAGTGTATAATTTCCCCTGTGATCCATTCGGCTGACATATACAAAAACCTGAGTATGCTCTAATGGCTTGGAATCCTTCCCCTGCTGTTACCACAATTTAAAAGAATGAGGACTGCTCTCCATTTGTTGCAGCAATCAGGAAAGCCTTTGTCACATACCCGAACTTGGGTGGAGGCCGGCCTGGCACACAGAGTGATCAGTAAGACGACCTGTATTAGGCTTTCCTCCAGGTATAGGGGGGATGAGCAGTGGCTGACACTAGTGGCCACTGTCTACCTGACCAGCCACTCAGGAAGGTTCTACCTTGCTTTGCAGAAGTGGGCCAACCCATGAGCCACTGGGGAATGAGAGCTGTGAAAATTGAGGGTTGAAGCAAATCAACTCCCTATAGGCATTTAAAAAATAGCAGACATATTATTTCACTATAAGCCAGGGTGCCCAGGAAAGTTCAGTTCCTTTTTGAATAGCGGGTAAGTCCAGCACAGAAAGTTCCTCTAGAGGGCCTAGAGCTTAACCTGCCCCACCATTGCAGGATCTTCATTCTTGCCGGGCTCTGCTCTGCCTCACTCATTCTCATTAGGGCCACTCTGTCCTTGATGCCTTAATGCTCCATTTATTCATCAAGTAGGGGAGGAGTCTAGACTCTAAGATGAAAAAGGCATGATATGACAATATCTTGAGGTCTGAAAAAAAAGCCACCCAGGAATCATTCTCACTAGAGCCATAGCTTACTGCATAAAAACAAACAGGTAGAAAAGTAAGTGCCAAGAATTCCAAAGAAGAAAAAGTAAATAAATTCCTTAAATCAAAATATGTACTTATGATATTAGTCTGTTTCATGAACATATTCCCCATAAAACTCTCCCCTGCAGGGGCACTGGATATGGCTGTTTATCTGGGATTCTTTCATCCACGACCCACATTGTTTTCACCAAACCTCCCATTGACCAGACGTTCTCAAAATCCCCATGGCAATGTAAACCCTAAAGGGCAGGGAATTTTATCTGTTCTGCTCACTAATGACACCTAGGAACTCTAAGCATGCCTGATACACAGTGGTTACTTAATCACTACTTGTTGAATAAATGAATAAAATAATAATAACATCTGCAGTGTGATAAGATGTAACAGGTCGCAAAGCACATGCACATCTATTTCCTCACTTACTCTCCACAGTAATCCTGTGAGGTGGGGTTTTATTCTTATCTTCATTTCATAGGAGAGGAAGACAGTGTTCGGGTACTGCCTAAAGTAGCTATACTAGTAGTTCAGCATGTACTAATTGGGAGGCAATTCCAGCTCATCCAGTTCCCTTCCCATGCTTCCTCCTCCTCCTCACAACCAAGTGTGGCCTGGCTGACACATCCCTATGGCTTTGTTTCAGGTGGGTCTTTTTCGCAAATCAGGAGTGAAGTCTCGAATCCATGCCCTTCGCCAAATGAATGAAAACTTCCCTGAGAACGTCAACTATGAAGACCAGTCTGCTTATGATGTGGCGGATATGGTGAAACAGTTCTTCCGGGACCTCCCTGAGCCTCTTTTCACCAACAAGCTCAGTGAGACCTTTCTCCATATCTATCAGTGTAAGTGGAAATAATGAGATTGGTGTTCTCGTGGGCATCCTTCCACTTTAATGAAAATAATTCCCTATAGATTGAGTTTTAATTATACGAATAATACATCAATCCATAAAGATGTATGTAATCCTGCTCTCCTCTACGGAAGTAACTTTTGCTCAAAGTTTGATATGGAAATCCACAAGCCATTTTTTTATGCATTTGAAAATACCTTTTTGACATCAAAATATTCCTTCTCAAAAGAGTTTTGTGTATGATCTAAAACAAACTTTCAATACATTTACAAAAATTTAAAATGAAAAAGGGACACAATAGAAGTTGTTTTATATATAGGTATTTATTAAAACTTATTCAATTTTTTAAAAAAGTAAGCATTTCTTTGGGATATAGGAAATTCAAAGTGACATGAATTAAAATGACAGGAAATAAAAACAAATGTATTTTAGCACAAAGTATCTTCATTGGTGAAAAGTAAGCAAACCAAATCAAGTCTTAAGCTTAAATAAACTTATTTATATTTTCACTTGGATTTTTTTTAATAATGTTAAGTTCTCAGCAAAGCCTGTATAATTAAAATAATCCCTGAAAATAACAATTGTTGATTAAGAAGCATATCCTACTATAAGTGGTTGCAATGGGGGTATTAGAAATAAACACATGGGCTGGGCATGGTGGCTCACGCCTGTAATCCCAGCACTTTGGGAGGTGGAGGTGGTTGGATTGTCTGAGGTCAGGAGTTCAAGACCAGCCTGGCCAACATGGTGAAACCCCATCTCTAACTAAAAGATACAAAAATTAGCCAGGCATGGTGGCGGGTGCCTGAAATCCCAGCTACTCAGGAGGCTGAGGCAGGAGAATCACTTGAACCCAGGAGACGGAGGTTGCAGTGAGTGGAGATTGCACCACTGCACTCCGGCCTGGGTGACAGAGCGAGACTCCATCTCAGAAAAAAAAGAATGAAATTAAACACGTGACTCTTTGCTAGATATGACAATGTTAACATTATGAATTATTTTGATGGTCCAGATCCCAATTCATGGGGGAAAAAAGCCATTTGGCCCATGGACTTTGAGTTTTGAGTTTTCAGCAAAATATGCCTGAAATGGACCTTGACATGGACTTGATTCAATTTGAAGAATATCCATGCTATAGAGAATTCTGTATAAAATGTGTTTAAGGAGTCCATGATACTGCAAACTCAGAAAGGATTGTAATCAGAACCACTTGTGAAAACAGATTAAGGTGGCAACCCACTAAGTAAATATTAGTTTTTCAAAGTAAGTAGATTAAGTTAAGTTAATGGTACAAGTTGCTAGAGCCCAAACAGGGAGTTCTTGATGTTGTTGCTGTGAGAGGTTGAACTACATTTTTCAATTAAGTCTCCCTTATGGTTTGGAAGTATCAGATATGAGTCTTTTACATTTAATCAGTTCTTGGATTAAAGTTGACACTAGTCTAAGGCTAAAGCCACATTACTTTCAAGAAATAAATGTCTTTGGCCCTTTCTGAGTCACAAGCAAGAAGCCAGATCAAAGCAGGCTTTATTTTAGCTGAGCAAACATTTACAGAGCGTGACTTCTGTACTGGGCACCGTGCTTAGCATGGCAGAGCATATGGATGGATGAGACTCACTCTCTGATCTTAAGGATCTTACAATTGAGGGAGATGAGGCATGAACACAAAAAACTCCAACACAACAAATTTGGAGAATTTCCATAGAAAGGTTACAAAGAAAAGTCCAAGGAGGGAGAGATGAAGAATGAGGGCTTCATGGAGGAAGTGACAACTGAAGGCTGAGATATGTGAGGAACACATTTTGGGTACCTGCTCGGCAGATAGCATAAGCAGAAGTCAGGAGAGCCCAGTGTATTCATCTGGCTTGCATGTATGGCAGACATACAAAGTGACACCAAATGACACTGAAAAATGACGCTGGGGCCATAAAGGAAGGACATTGAATATTAGGGCAAGGAGTGTATGCTTGATTCATTAAGCATTGGGGAACCGTCGGGTGTTGTTGAGGGACTTACCAGTTACAGTGTTCTCAGCTGTAAAGACAGAACCAAATATCCAACGAACAGTCATTTGAACAGTCATTTAAACAATAAGTACATTTTATTATCTCACATAATTCCAGAGTTGGGTATCCCGCAGCTCAGTGATGCCAGGGCTAAAGTCAGCCTCTATTGGCTTTCCCTTTAAGGTCACAATATAATTGTCACAACTTATAATTATCACATCTTCACAAAATCACATTCCAAGACAAGAAGAGAGTGACCACGCTTCTCTTTGGCCATGTGTCTCTTTTTATCAGGGTCATACATCTTACAGAAGCTCTCAGCATTTTTCTTGGCCCTCAGGCAGAAGTGGTTTACAGCTTCCCCCTTAAACCAAACACTGGAAAGAAGACCTGGGTTACCAGTTTTGGTTTAGGGCAGCATGGTTCATCCCTGGGTCTGAGGGAGACACCCATTTCCCTGAGTACATTGCAGCTCACACCTGAGCAGAACATGTGTTTTCTTAATGAGGAAGAAGGGAAGAATGGGTATTGAGTTGAGCAGGTGGCCAGCCTTGTATCTGCTACAGGGAGAAAGTCCATCAGCACAGTGTCATTGACCCAGGAATCTGGAAGTGGTGCACAAGAGGCACCGAACTGGACGAGCATGGAGACTCAGGGAGTCAGCATACTAATCAAGGTTCCAAATTACCTGCAGGGACTTCCAGCAGTGAGACTGGAGAGAAGATATTCCATGCATAGACCCTAGAGTCAAAGTTTCCAAACTGCTACTGTGGCAGAGAGGAACGGTTCCTCCTCCATTTCTCCAGAGAAGTTCTGTTTTCAGCTATGCCACTTCTTGGATTTTTGTCAAATGATGAACTAAATTGGAGTGTTGGATGGGTAATGAAAATATTTGAGTCCTACCCATCTGGAGGAGGGAGAAGGATAGAAGAGTCAAAGACAACCATAAGGCTTTAAGGCCTGATGATTGAAAGAATGTGGAAATTGGAGGGGAGAAGGGTTCAGAATCCACAGGAATCTGAATTTGAGGTGCCAGGATCCCCCATATGATTGCAAATTATCCACACTTAGAAATTCAGACCTAGAATCATCCCCTTAGAGCCAGGAAAGGGGCAGGACCCGCAGCAGCATGGTATGTAACAGAAAGCTAAAAGAGCATAGGATCCAAAACAAATGCTGAATTTAGGTATTTGAAGCGTTTTTAGTAAATAATAATAATAATAATGGACAGGAAGTATTTTCTGATGGATAAAAGAACAAGCGGATAGAAAGGGAACTGAGACAACATATAGAGATGACAGGCGACTCTTCAAAAATGATGGCTGGGAAAAAATGTTGGCATGGAAAAGAAGCTTAGTAATCTAAAGTTAAACAATGTATACACACTGGACACCTTACCTAGAGCAGCATATTTAAAACAATTCTGCAGCTCAAGCAAAACTTGTTACACCTCTCACAAGCTTCAGATCATTAGTACCATCTGTTTCTCCTCCACCCTAAGCGAGAGTAAGAAAATGGGTTCACTCTAATTTTAACAAAACGGCTCTTCTCTGTAAACCCCAGGTATATCTTGTGCCAGTACACAATGGACATGGTGGGAGTGGAGACGGGTTTCAGACCACTGAAGGCATGCTCAGGCTTTTCTAGGAACTTGGATTTGCTAATCAGGGCCATAGTGTGGTCAGCCCTGGCATGTGACGTCATGCCTCCTGCATGAGACTGCAGGCGAATCCAGCATCGATAGCCCCCCAGGACCACAAAGCCTGGGGCCAGCCAGGACCCCCTCAGAAGGTCACACCTCAGCCCTTCTGGAACAGCCAGCTCTGAGTTTGTTTTTATCATGCACTCCTGCCAGTAGCAAATATCTGAATGTGTATTTATGTTTAGTAATATAAATATACTGGATGTACTCTAATGTACTATGCACATTATAAAGCACACCCAATCAGTATTTTTAATGGGTAAGAGAAAAGATAAACACACGTGGGAGTGCTAATGATTTCTTCTCACACCTCAAGAGACTGTCAGGAGCACACCTCCCCACCCCTTGAGAATTCAGACACCCTCGTGTGGAGGCCCCTGCTCCAGAACATGGCACTTTAAGAAAGACAACAGTGTTGACAGAAGCAAGCTCCTGACGGTGTCTTTCGCAGTGAGAGGACTAAAGTGATCATGAAATAAACACAGCCACAGGTGGGAGCAGCAAAAGGCAGCACCTATCACTCATTTGGTGTGATTTCCATTTAGTTCCCCTCATATTGTTGGAACCAATTCCCTGGTAAGCCTGCATAACCAGTACCCACTACCACAAGGACCACCCTCAAGGGTAATGGCACTGAGAAGGGCCAGACATCCCCCATAACCTTAGGCTGCCTGGTTCTTCTTCTCCAAGCACAGCCTCCATTTCCATAAACCCCAAGATTATGGAACAGGTGACGCTGGGTCTCCACATGAAGTCAATAGCAGGCATCCTGCAAAGCAAGTCCTGGGAGATTTGTAGGAAAAAGGAAGATGTACAGGCTTCCCCTCGAGAAGCTGGCCCTCTAGGAATGAGGTCAGAGGTCCCACCAGCTCAACACCACTCCCGGTGAATTGTGCAGCACTGGCATCATGGCCTGGCTGGCAGGGGTGGAGAAACGCAAGGCGAGGCTACTGTTCCCTAACCCAGTGGTTTTCAAACCATGTCCCACGGAGCCTTGGGCATCCTGAGAGTGGCTTCCCAAGCTGTCTGTCAGGGAGGATGGGCAAGAGGGATGCCAGGTTGACAGAGTCCTAATCACCAACTTCACCCAGAAGCCTTCTGAAAGCAGGTGAGTGGGTTGATTGCTCAGAATACAGAAAACCAGGATGGTGGTGCCCCTTTCTAAACCCTGCTTGGCCATCGAGAGCGTGGGATCCAAAGTTCAATTGCAAGGGTTGGGACTCAGCTCTGCCTCCCATGAGCTGCGAGGCCTCAGCAATTACTGACTTCTTTGTGCCTTTCCTGCTGTTCTGGTTGTTTTTGTTGATGATGACTCTGGGTGCGTGTTCACACGAGGAATGTGGAGCTTACACAGTGCTTCCCAGCTGGCTCTTTCTATGTCTGCTCCTCCAATGACCTGGCATCCACTTTTCCTCAGATGTCTCCAAAGAGCAGCGGCTGCAGGCCGTGCAGGCTGCCATCCTGCTACTGGCCGATGAGAACAGGGAGGTCCTGCAGACGCTCTTGTGTTTCCTGAACGACGTCGTCAACTTGGTGGAAGAGAATCAGATGACGCCCATGAACCTGGCAGTGTGTCTGGCCCCCTCCCTCTTTCATCTTAATTTATTGAAGAAAGAAAGCTCTCCACGGTGGGTTTTTTTTCTCAGTAACAACAGTAATCCCAAAGCAGGCATTCCCACAGTTCATAAGACTGGATGGATGGATGGATGGATAGATAGATACGAATGGATATATTGGTAGACAGATTATAGATAGATAGGTAGGTAGATAGATCAACGATAGGTAGATGATAGATTGATAGATAGTTGATACATAGATGATAGATGACAGCTAAATAGATAGATGATAAATAGATGGTAGATGATAAAGAGAGATAAATAGATGATTGATAGGTAGATAATAGAGATAGATAATAGATTATAGATAGATAAAATGTGTCTCATGCTACATTTCAACTTCAGGATTTGTCAACACTCTTTTCATAATCAGAAAATCTTGTGAGACACCCTAATTCACGGGGCTCAGATTCATAGAATTATTGAGCTAGCATTGAAGAATGCCAGCTGTGATCCAGAAAGCTTGAGTTTTATGTTGTCTGTGTGAGTGAGGAGGAAAACATACACAAAGTAGTATTTTACAATTTTTAAAAGGCTATATTTAAGACCAAAGCACAGGAGCTTGCAGTTAAGGGGTTTCAAACTTTGGAAAAACAGATTAATTTTGTCCCCTGCTGTTCTTCCTGCCCTTTAGTTTTCCAAGATTTTTCCTTGTGAACTGTCAGACTGTTAGCCTGATTCAGATATCTAAGATATGTGATCATTGTTTTTATTTGGAAACGCAAAAGCCTGGGATCTGGATAGCATCTGGGTATAAACAGAAAACAAAAGGGATGAGTTTGGTATTGTGACAAGCTCGTTGGTGTGGGATCTGCTTAGCACACTCACGTTCAATTACAGAGTCATACAGAAGAAATATGCCACTGGGAAGCCAGATCAAAAGGACCTCAACGAGAATCTGGCAGCAGCTCAGGGGCTAGCGCACATGATCATGGAATGCGACAGACTTTTTGAGGTGAGCAAAAGGCTCGAACCTCCGCCTCCCTAGTAGCTCTTGGAACTAGATAAGACGCTTGGGATTGTTGCTACATTTATGGTTTCTATCTGTTTGTTCCTGATTTTATGACAATAGTATATGTTATAGCTCTGGTGTTTGCTTCCAAGAAAGCTGAGGAGCTAGCTATACAATTGAGGCTTTGATAAAGACACTTGGGATTACCATACTGATGGTTTTTATGCAAACAGTGCATCACCTGCCATTATCAGGTTCAAGGCCAGTCAGCCAATTATGTTCTATTTGATTTTACCTTGGAGCTTGATTAGGTTAAACATCTGTGTGAGTGTGTGTATGATACTGAGGAATCTTTGTTGCTAAGAACCAATGACAGCTTATGAATACAGCCACAGATATGTAAAAGAAGTAAGTGAACCAGACTTGTGGCATACTTTTGTGATAGAATTGGCATTTGTCAATGGGAAAAGTGTGCTAAAAAAGTAAAGCTATTCCCAAGTCATGTTTGATGTTTCCCTTCACAAGTCTGTCTGTTTTAAGTCTTATTCATAGTGGGTAAAGTTGTCTGAGCCCATATTTTGCCAAACTGAATAAAAAGACAGTAAAGGTAAAATAAAAGGGAAGTGAAAATAATAAAGGGGAAGTCATTGCAATGTTTTGAATAATAAATACAGCCTCAGAAACATGTTTGTATTTCCTGACTTTAGGAAGGCCCCTCCCGGCCTTGGCAATGATCTTAGAAAAACATCTCTGGCCGTGTGGCCCTCGGCCCGTGGCTCAGAGCCGGGTTGTGGGTGAAATGGCTTTGCTTTCTTTGAGTCTCGGCGTTTCTTTGGCTCAGTGTGTTGCCCTTTCATGCATCCGTTGGTCTAGGTTCCACACGAGTTGGTGGCCCAGTCTCGTAACTCGTATGTGGAGGCTGAGATCCACGTGCCAACCCTGGAAGAATTGGGGACACAGCTGGAGGAGAGTGGGGCAACTTTCCACACTTACCTGAACCATCTCATCCAGGGCCTCCAGAAAGAAGCCAAGGAGAAGTTCAAAGGATGGGTCACGTGCTCCAGCACGGACAATACAGATCTTGCTTTCAAAAAGGTAATCTCAGAGGATGGAAAAAGATCACCCCCAGAAAGCCACAGCTAACAATCAGACATTTGTTTTTGCATTGAAAACAGCTGCTGTGTCCACAGGGCTTGGCACACACGCGGACAGTTAAGGCACATGAACCATTCAAAGAACTCAGTCCAGAGATCTGTTGCCTATAATCAGAGAGTAAACTATGGAGCCGGACAGCTGGATCCCGGTCCTGTCTCTCCCCCGTAGCTGTGTGATGTTGGGCAAGTCACACACCTCTCTGTGCCTCAGTTTTCCCATTTGCAAAATGGACATTGTAAGAGTACCACTGTCGGAGGAAGGCTAATTTACAAACCAAATGGCTTAGAATAGTTCCTGGCACACAGTAACCACTAGGTGTGTTGGTGATTATTATTTTTATCATCATTATTATTCTTTTAAGCTTAAGGACTAAAATGTTACAGCTGAGGTATGTAGTATCACTCTCAATTTACATAATCAGTGATGGTTTTTGAACACCCAGCAAGGTATGATAGCAAAACTAAAAGCCCAAACAAAAAATGTTGGACCCATATCCCAGACAACCTCTTCAGCTTCTGACGTTGTCTTTCCCAAGGTGGGCGACGGGAACCCGCTGAAGCTGTGGAAGGCTTCTGTGGAGGTGGAAGCACCCCCCTCAGTGGTCCTGAACCGCGTGCTGAGAGAGCGCCACCTGTGGGACGAGGACTTTGTGCAGTGGAAGGTTGTGGAAACTCTAGACAGGCAAACAGAGATCTACCAGTATGTGCTGAACAGCATGGCTCCCCATCCTTCCAGAGACTTTGTGGTTCTCAGGTGAGCCTGACTCTAGGGTTTATGATGTTCTGTTCCAAAGGCAGGACGCGAACTGTAGATGTGAGCACTTCTCCTGGTGTCTCCCACCAAAGTCCAGCCTCCACGGGGAACACTAAGCCGGCTCTTGTTTCCCTCAGTGACATCTGAGTTTTCTGTGTCGATGCCCGACTTCCTGTGTCTTTTCACCCAGCCTACAGCTCTGCCTGGGCTCTCTGATTGCCCCTCTCCTTGTGGAGCACACAGTTTATTAGGCCATAAATATTATTCATTTCCTCAGAGCAGACGGCCCAGAAAAGCTGCTGTTTGTCCGGTTGCACTTTCTGCCAAATTATGCAAATGGATCTGACTGGCTTTTCTTCTGATTTTGTTTTTCTCCCCTGGGAAAGTGTGTGTAACTCTCAAGACTGGAGTAGGTTTGACTTCAGAACTCATCTGTATAACTTCAGATGCTCATAGCTATTACTATGCTCAGAAACCTTGGCACTGCCCTGGAGGTCCAGAAAATCTTGTTGATTCTGTGTCTGCCAAGGAAATATTTCTTCTGATTGATGTAAGGGTTGAGTTCCAGACCCCTGTTCTTGGGGTTTGGAAGGGGATGCTCAACCAATGATAGAAAGTTTGCACAGTAGAGATGCAGTGTTGCATCAGCCAGAACAGAAATTGAGGGTGCTAAAGAACCTGAATAGAAGGTAATTAGATCAATATATCCTTTTTTATTGAAAATCTTGGCAAGCCTTGTCTCATGTCACAGATCAGCAGTGTAAAAGGAACCTATTGTGAAACTCCCAAATGTATATTTAAAACGCTTTCTTTATGAAACCAGTTTTGATGGCAAACTAAAGGTTACTTTTCACATGAGCTCTTTATGACTTGGGAATTGGCCCATGGAACCTTGACTTTTAAAGGTCAATTTTCCCTAAATATATGTATTTATCTCTGCTTCCTTGGGATCCTGCTGGAGAATGCAGGCAGTTTATAAGGGTGGCATATTACCAAAGTTATTAGGACATTAGTCATCTGGTGGAATTAAACTTCATGCTTTCACTCCACAAGTGGAAAGTTGAATAGCTGTTGCAGGATGGCTGCCATAGGAATGGGGCCATGCCATAGCGTGCCTCCTCCCTCCCTCCAGAGGAGGCTGAGGGCCTGAGTCTGTGTGTAGAACCTCCCTCCTTCCATCCATCCGGCAACCCCACCAGCCTGCTATTTATCAGTGCTTCGTTCCATCACGACCACGTGCCAGGCACTGCAATAGGCTCTGGGTATGCCAAGGGAATGCAGCAAACCCCTCTCCTGCTCTCTTGGGGTTTGTATTTCACTGGGGAAAGTCCATAAAAAATAAGAAAGGGAGATGGGCTTACTTATCCTGGGAGGAATAAGATAGGGAGATAGTAAGGGATGGAATTTTAAATAGAATGGTCAGGGCGGGGTCTTGCTGCACTGATTTTGATCCAAGACTTGAAGAAGTGGAGTGGACCATGTGGCCCTGAAGGAGAAGAGGTGCAGCCCTCCACGGGCTAACAATGAACCAGATCTGGTTCCCAACAACAGGAATTCCTTATGTGTAGGATACAAGGAGGTGGAAAGTGATGAGTGTGGTGAGGAGGCACGGGGCTGAGATGCCTCCTGTCTTCAGAGCATCTTACAGTCTAGGCTAGCATGTATGAGGCTGGTCACCTTTCAGGATTGCTGCATTTGTCTCTCATGTCACACCCATTGCTAGCTCCTCGGGAGCTTCCGCTGAGAGTTGCTGGAGATTCTCCCATTTATCCCAACAAATCTCTACAACTTTCAGTCGTCACGATTTATCACATCTTCGTTCATGAAAAGAGTAGTCACAGCATGGAAGTCGCTGAGCATTTGTGTGGGGCTTGGTTATTCCCAAGTTCTTGTCAAGCACATATCACCATTTCTCTTCCTGGTGTAGGAGGACAGGGTGAAATCATGGAGGACATGACTTAGTAAGGGAATAGAATTTGTGGAGTAAATCATGGGAATTCTAATAATGCAATCTATTATGATAGATCCCTGGGGTAGAAAGGGAAGTTAGAGGTTGTTACAGAGATGTTCTCATAGCTCCTGACTCCCATCCACAACCTTTTTTCAAGGGGTAGCCACCTCTGCTTGAATAGCTCTAGGAACAGGGAGCTCACTGCCTCCCAGGGCAGCACATTTCATTTCTGAACAGTGCACATTGTTAGACAGTGCTTCTCTCCTGCACAGAAATGTACTTTCCTATCTCTGCCTTCTGGAGTCAAATCAACCATATTCATTTCTTCTCCCACTCAAGAGCCACTCAAGTATGTGAAGACAATAAGCAGGCCCACATATGTTTCTTTTCCTTCAAGCTAAGCGTACCAGTTCACTTCTCTTTGAGCATGCCCTCCTCCAGGAAGCCTTCTCCATATTCCTCCCGCAGCCCCCTCTATGTGATCCCAGAGCCCTCTGTGCATAATCTTACCAGTGCATTTACCTCAGTGCTTTTAGAATTCTGTTTAGAGTGTCAGTATTTTTCCTCCTGGGCTGTGTATATCTTTATGTCCTTGGTGGCTTCTCAGAGACTGGCATGTCTATCTGCTTAATTGATGTCTGCTGAATGAATCGAATGAGTGAGTTCTAATAATAAACTGTAAAACCACCTCTTCGAGAATGGGCAGGAGCCTCTGCAGCTAAGCAGAGCTGGGGATTCCAGATGCAGATCTGAAAGCTGCAAGACCATTTCTGGCCTCACAGTCCCAGAGCTGAGATCCTTGCTTTGAAATTCTCTGTATAAACTTTACACAAGCTTATGAAAGCCATTAGCTTAATCCAAGTCACTAGCATTGGAATCTGAGCCCAGGTTGTTGGCAGGAAAATATAAACACAAACCTTAGCTCTGTGTTCAGGTTCTTCTTCCTCCCTCAGTCATGACTCTGATGTGCGGATTGTTTTGCTACAGGACCTGGAAAACTGATTTGCCCAAAGGAATGTGTACCCTGGTGTCCCTCTCCGTGGAGCATGAGGAAGCCCAGCTCCTGGGTGGTGTGCGAGCAGTGGTGATGGACTCGCAGTACTTGATAGAACCGTGTGGCTCTGGCAAGTCAAGACTGACTCACATCTGCAGGATAGACCTGAAGTAAGTGCTGACTCCCTTAATGGCAGGCTCAGATCTTGGGAGTCTCAGCTTGTACAGCACATCCAGCAGGGATGTCACCCTGATTTCTTATTTCACTGTATTTGTTTCCTCATTGCCATTAGTGTGCTTTCATAGGTGGATATGTATGCCTCCCCTCTGTCTTTCCCCCTTTCCTGAAATTCTGACATTTCTCCTGCAACTGTTTGTCTTTCTTTATTTTCTGTTTTATGCCTACTTATATTTCTGTCTTTCTCCCATGAAACACACACCAGAAACAGAGCCTGACACATAGTAGGTACTCAGTAAATCAGAGTTTCCCTCTCTTGTGTTTCTTTTTGAGACAAGGTCTCACTCTGTCACCCAGGCTGGAGTGCAGTGGCACCATCAGGGCTCACTGCAACCTCCACCTCCTGGGCTCAGGTGATCCTCCCTCCTCAGCCTCCCCAGTAGCTGGGACTACAGCTGCCCACCACCACACTCAGCTAATTTTTGTATGTTTTTGTAGAGACAGGGCCTCGCCATGTTGGCCAGGCTGGTCTCAATCTCCCAACCTCAGGTGATCCGCCCACCTCAGCCTCCCAAAGTGCTGGGACTACAGACATGAGCCACCGTGCTCGACCATGTATTTCTTTTATGCCTGTCCCCTTTTGCTGCTCCCTCTGGTAGTTCTTTGAGAAGTAAGTAACTTACATCCAACCCCTTCAAGGCATTCATGATGCTAAACCCAGTTCTTGGTCTGGGTAGACAAAACGGAGTTTTCACAGTAAATTCTGGATTTCATCTGAATCTTTTCATTTTACCCCAAGATGTTGGTATCATTTTAAAGCACCTGATGAGTACTCAAATGACAACATGAATACTTAGCAGCCAGGACGTTTTCAAGGCCCCTGATGGCAGAATGACGTCCTGAGCCCCTCAAGGCAGCAGCCCGAGCTGTCTGCAGGTTCACTGGTCATCGGGGCCCAAGGGCAGCCCTGTCCACCAAAACTAATTGCTGTGATTTGGAAACAAACTTTCCCACTTCCTTTCTGATTTCTTTCCCCACAGAGGTCACTCCCCAGAATGGTACAGCAAAGGCTTTGGACATCTGTGTGCAGCAGAAGTTGCCAGGATTAGAAACTCTTTCCAGCCCCTCATTGCTGAGGGCCCAGAAACTAAAATCTGAGTTTTGCCCAGTGTGACATCAAACTCAGGGAAGAGGAAGCTAAAGTGACGAGTGTGGCAGAGAGTGTGCATGTGAGAAAGCGAGAGAAAGAGGAACTGAAGGACGCGGTTAATGCCTAAAAATGGAAACGTTAAGAAGTTGGAATGTTGGAGATGCAAGAATTTCCAAGAACTTTCTTAGCCTTCCTGGAGATGGCTACATCCCTACTAATATAATTTTAAAATGAGAACTTTATATATATTACTTAAAATTAAATGGACTATTCCTTGTGCATTGCCTAATTTGCTATTTAAAGGCTTCTAAGAAGCGTATACCTAACTGTAAATAAATGTATGTATAGCATATGTACATATGTGTGTATATCTCCATCTTTACTGTATATATGTAAAATACCAATTTTATATAGAATTGTGTGTTTTGAAAATGACGGTGTCTGACTCAGTGAGTCCCTTCCTCACACAGTTCTTTCCAAGTGGCTCTGGGCCCCATCTCTCCACTGTCCTGTAAGCTGTGCAGAACCTGCTGCTAACACCAAGGTGTGAACATGCCCTGATGCCTAACCAAAGATGAGTTAACCAAAGGAAAATAACATTAAAGGAGACTTATGTGTTAACGCTTTGTTTCTGCTATTCAAAAACTGAGAGTGGAGATCTGGGATAAAGCAAGGAAATAATAATTACTCCTCCTTAAAGCAAATGGGGGGGTGAGAAGTCATTACCAAATTTAAAGCTAGATGAGGAGTTGCCACTGGGCCCAGTAAGATGGAATTTCAGTGAGATATGGACCACCGGAGTCAGCGAGAGTGACTGAAACAGAAGCGATACCTCTCGCTCCCATGCCCATCACTACAGACCCCAAGTCAAGATGAATATCATAGCCTTTACTTCTTCACAGCCAAAGGGAGCCCCTGTGTTGTCTCAAGTTTTTATAAATACATTTCATAATGTTATTAAATGTCATTCTATTTGACCAGTGGCCTATTTGGTCACAGTTAATTGGTGTTTTCTTATTGCACTGAATTCAACTCCAGACACCATACAAAGGGAGATGATGGCCATTCCGTTCAAATCCTAGATCGTTACAGCTTCAGGGAATTCATATTTTGTTATGTGTAGGATACTCTTAAAATGTAATTCATTAAACTTTTACAATCTGAAAGACAGGGTTTTTAACTAACATGAGACCAAAACTATGTTCTTTGATTAGTTTTAGATAGTATAATCGGGTTTATTAATTCTTCTGTGTTTCTTCACTAGCCAGTCCAAGCTACCTATGCATTTGACCCAACCTTATTTATTATTGTACAGATGAAGCGAATTGACTCCCTTTAGCCAACTGCTAATGGATCGAATGTGCTTTTTATTGTAATTCAACAGCTATAGAGAGAAAGATAACTTATTGTGTGTTTGATTTCAGGGAGAGAGATTTTCTTTGGTCATCCATAATAGAGATTGATAAGATTTAGCAACTGGTGTTGGAGAAAAAAAGAAAAGCAAATGAGTGTTTTCAGGTTTTTTTGCATTATATGCATTTATGTAATGTTTCTGTTATCAGCAATGTGCAATTATTTTATTGAGAGGAATAAAAAAGCTTTCTATGAGTTTGGTATGGTGCGAGGAAAATCTTACAGTTTGAATTATGACCTAGAAATTTTTCATTCCCATATCTACCTAAGAAGGAAGCAGTAAATCCATAATTTACCTTTTGGGCAATGCTTTGTGAGCAAAACAAAGTCACTTCTGCCATAACATCTTGAATTTAACCATATATGCCAGATTACTTTATATGCATCAACAAGATCACCAGTGAAGTTTAATCTAGCTAAACACTGGTCCTGCTCCTGAGATGGGATCCTATGTGTTTGGAAAACGTGATAGGCACACGAGGATGAGTGGCTTTGTATCGCCCAGAGAGGTGCTTGTCCAGATTTCACATGCACATGAATTGCCTGGGGATCTTGTGAAACTGCAGACTCTGCTCCAAGTAATCTGGGCTGGGCCTGAGATTCTGCATTTCTAAGGAGTCTCAGGGATGCCTATGCTGCTGGCCTAAAACCACACTCAGAAACGAGGACCTAGAAGATCCCTAAAACAGAATAAGAACAAATGTGATTGTATTTCTGATTCTCCCTCTCTTCGAATTATCTGACTTTTTTGTTTTTGTGCACATAGTAATCATATCACCGCTGCATAACAACACAGTGCATCTTTTTAAAACAAGGAAAAGGGAAAAAAAGGAGAAAAAACGATGCATCAAGCTTGTTTGTCAAATACCACAGTATTTTATTCATTGTTATCTTGCCAATGGAAATAAAGTATGATATTGCATTTAAATATTATATTTATACCTCATGTATATTTTTACCTCAATTGTTGATATCAATCATCAATTGTAAATAAATAATTGCCAAGGCAAATAAATTTATATATATTAAATATTTCCTATTTTCTATAAAATAGATGTTGATTTTCATGCTTCATCTTTAAATGGAAAATTTGCTTCATGAGGAAGATTTCTCCCAAGATAGCCTGCCATGACTTTGACTCCTTGGTACCATCTGTAGTCAATACTGTCTTCAAATACAAAGAAGTTGTTGTCAACAGACATTCACTATCAGGCTGGGTGCCTTAACCTGGATCTAAGGGATTAAAGTGATGGGTGGGGATTTTTTTTTCTTAAATTTCATTGTCCTTAAATCTAGAAGTTATAATTCATAATTTTTTTCATATTCATAATATTTTTATCAAAGGTTTAGTAAACTCTTTAGCTACATTTTATTTTTGTTAAGTGGACAAGAAATCAAGATATGATGAAATGACTTACAGCCGCACTACTAGACCATGAAAAGTAGCCACAAATGACTCTAAATCTCTTCCCTTCTACCCTTGAAATCTGAGCATCTCTTCTAAATATCAGCCCAGAGAGCCCTTAAGAAAGCCGGGGCTCTCAAACATTCTCAGGCACAGGCTTCCAAAGCCACAGAAGCCCAGAAGACTGTATGCCCCTACAAAAGTTGTCCCAACTCTGCTCTCTTATCTCATGCACACCTTCCCCTCTTACTTGCAAGTTTTGCTTTCATAGTAGGCAAAGGGGGAATTCAATGGCGCTTTTTCTCTTCTACATGAAGGAAAAGAATGTGATGGTCATTCTAGCAGCCGCAGGCTACAGATGTCCTGAGAGTATGGATCATATGAATTCAAAGGTGATTCTTGCTAATTACTCTGATCTCATCACCATATATGTATCAAAACATGCAGTGACTATGTACCCCACAAATATGTACAATTATTATTTGTCAACTAAAAGAACTTTGAAAAGGAAAGAAAAGTTTTTTACATTATTCCAAACACTCTTCATGAAATTCTTAGACATAAAATTGTTCCACCTGTGTCTTTTGATATTTGGTTACAGAAAAACTGGACATATGGTTCCTTCTCAGGAAGATAAATGTAAAGGTTTAAAACAGACCCCAACCAAATGGAGTGTCACATTCTGATACGAACGCAAAGTCAATGTGTGCTGACTGCACAAGCAGTGAATAAACACCTGACCTTGTGACACTGGAATGTTGCAAAGTCATGAAGTTTAAACAACTGATGATGTACAATTTTTGACATTCCATAGGCAGACTATATCCCTTGTAGTTTTTCTTAAAGACAGTGTTTACTTTCATTTTAATAATCCCACTCTTCAGCCTCCTAGATGTCACCTAGTTTATATCCTTCTGGTGCACAGCTGAGGCTCAAAATTCCCAGCAATATTGTATCTCTGCAGAAAACTTGCTTGCATAAGACTTTTATTCACTCAGCACACATTTATTCAACAGTGAATAAGAGTGGGACACAAGTAGGCAGAGGCGTTAATACAAAGAAGACATAATGTGGGGGCAGAAACTGTGATATACAGTCAATTTTCATTGTTTGTGGTAGTTCCTTTCTGTAAAGTTGTTGCAAACACTGAATTAGTGAATACTGAACCATTGCTCCTAGCAGAAATACAGGATTAGGTTCCTGTGAGCCTCAGGTCACAATATTTTTGTCAACCCACCACTACATAACCTTGTTTTATTGTGTTTCTGTTTAAGACACCTTATTTAATATATAGTTCTTATAAGTTAGTTATCTGCAGTATTTCTTTATAATAAAACCCTAGCAGAGAAGGATTTAACATTTCCCTGATGCTGGGTAACATAACTGTAAATTTCTTGGGCTTTCAGCCTCTCAACAGTACTCTTTTTACTACACTTTAAAAATCAGTTGTCATTTTATGAGTCCACAAATTTAGCTGTTTTTCTGTCTTTTCCATAGTTTCTTCATGCACTATAAATATCACTTCAGCACTTTCCAGAACAGCCTCATGTACATATTGGTGAACTTCCTTTTCTGGATGTACTATATTGTTGATTGATTAACAATGAACTCACACCAATAGCCCTATAACTCAAGCATGAACGAAGCTCATCTAACATACATATTTTCTCCATGAGGCATACCCCCAGCCTTCTTGTACTTAGGAACATTAGACAGCACTTTAGTGCAACATCTGGGGGTCATTTGGAAAGTGAAATTACCACCCAAAAGCACAAAAATTTGAAAAAAATGGCAATTAATAGACTGTAAAAAGGGCACATTTATAGTATGTGAGCCGAAACAAGAAGGAAGCGAGCACACTGACCTCAGCTGGGAATGTGCATTCACATCAGTGACTCCCATTTGTTGACACTCTGAAAATGCCCAAAAATGACCATAAAATCACTGCATGTATTGATCTGAGGGTTACAAATAAGTGTTAGTGAGTAGATGAATTCACAAATGTAGAATCCACAAATAATGAGAAGGGTCTATACATACAACACCCAGTGACAGATTACTGTGAATTCTACAAGAGCCCAGGGGAGTCAAAGGACAGGACGTCTCACCTGAGCTGGAAGAGCTTGGCCTTTATCTGTTAAGCAAACTAGAGCCAAGAGGCAGAGAAATGAACTCGCACTAGTTTTGCTGAAAGAGATTTAAAATGGACTTGGAATCCATTAAAACAGACTTGGAGTATTAACAGTAAAACAGACTTGGACTTAAGACAGACCTGGAGCATTACTAGGCACAGGAGCAGGGTTGTAAAGTTACACCCGTCTTTGCCAGTGTTCTTCACCCGTTTCCACATTAGATGTATTAGAGGTGTCTCACCACCTGCCATTCCTGAGCTGAAACTAATCCATGATAACTTCCCTTTCTTTTCATTTTATAACTCACTCCTTTCTCCTATTTAATGTAGAATATTTCAGAAAACTTGGCATTCATATGATTAACCTCAGAGAAGATGCTTTTAAAACCAAAATAACACCTTCGATGCTACACATGACCCGGAGAGAACCAGATCAGTCCAGGTGTTACATGATCCTAAGATGCCAAGAGCTGATAAGATGAGATTACTGGTGAGATCCCCAAGAACAAACCCCAAATCAGCAGGAAAGTTTGGGTTGCCAGGCTCATGCCTCCCTCTCTTGTTATCATGCCCATTGTTTGTCACAGGAGGTAGGCTTATCCCAGTGATGAGTGAGTGCTAAGCCCAAACCCCTCCTCACTGCCAGAGGAAGTCTTTAATCGGCAGAAGCTAAGCTTGAGTTGTCAGTTTGCCTCTGCCCACAACTCCAGCATGGCCAAGACATGGAACTAAAATCCTTCCCATAGGCCAGACTAGTCTGTCCTTTCCTGGCTAGCTGGCTAGCTTGGGCCCCTGAGGGTGCAAAGGAGATGCTTTGGGTTGGTAACCTGAATGACTAGTGGTTTTGTTGAGGATGGACTGGCATGATGAAGGGCAGAGTGATCTGTGAATCCAATTAAAAGACTGTTGTAACAGTCTAGGTGAAAAATGCTTGTGGGCAAAGAAGTGGATAGCTTTTAAAACATATTTCAGAGCTATAATAGAACTAATAAGATCTATATACTAGCTTGTTTTGAAATGGTGGGGGAAAGGAATTATCTCAAAATGACTCTGGATCTTCTAGCTTGGAAAAACTTTGTGGTAAATTATTTAACTGATATAGAGACAAAGAAGAGGAGAAGCAGATTCGTGGGGGGCAGCAGAGCAGGGAGAGAGCCAGGTTAGAAAGGATGGCCAAATGAGCTCTGATCACACAATGCTTGTGGTGACTGTGAACCATCCAGGTGGAGATGCCCAGCAGCATCTGGGCATATATATAGGTCTGTGATCGTTAATTTTGTGTCAACTTTGGTAGATTATGGGGTGCCCAGATTAAACATGGTTTCTGGGTATATCTGTGAGGGTGTTTCCAGATGAGATTAGCATTTGAGTAGACAGAGTCAGTAAAGTATAGTTGATCCTTGAACAGCACAGGTTTGAACTGTATGGGTTCACTTATATGTGGATTTTTTTTGACAAGTATATTGTAAAAATTTTTGAAGATTTGTAACAATTTGAAAAAACTCACAGACCGTGTAGCCTAGAAATATTTAAAAAGTTAGGTATTCATGAATTCATAAAATATATGTAGATACTAGTCTATGTTATCATTTCCTAACATAAAATATATACCAATAAATTATTAAAGGTTATAATTTATCAAAATGTGCACACAAACACAGACTTACATGGTGTCATTTCCAACTGAGAGAAATGTAAACACAAAGAGGCAATATTAAATCACAATTGCATAAAATTTATTGTAGTACATAATATACTACTGTAATAATTTCATAGCCACCTCTTGTTGCTATTTCAGTGAACTCAAGTGTTACAAGAACTTCTTAAAGTTCCATGTGATGCTCATCATCTCCATGTGAGTAGTTTGTCTCTCCAGTAAAATGCATATCACAATAAAAAGTAATCACTTGCAGTTCTTAAGTGTTTTTCAATGTGCAATATTGTAAACCTTGACTAACACCAGGGGACCCATACGAAGTACCACTAGTGATGCTGGAAGTGCTCCTAAGAAGCAGAGAAAAGTCATGACATTCCAAGAAAAAGTTGAATTTCTTGTTATGTACCATAAATTAAGGTCTGCAGCTGTGGGTGCCCATCATTTGAAGATAAATGAATCCAGTGAAAGGACCACTGTGAAAAAAAAGAAAGAAAAGAAAAGGGAATTCATGAAGTTGTGGCTGCAGCTATACCAGCAAGACATGAAAATAGCACTTTTAGTGAAATACCTTTTAATCATATATTGAAAATGTAGCTTTTATGTGTGTACAGGATTGCTACAAGAAAGACATACCTACAGGCTTTAATATAATTTGAGGAAAAGCAAAGTTATTATATGATAACTTAAAACAAAATGAAGGCAAAGGATCTAAACCTGGAGAATTTAATGGCAGCAAAGGATGGTTTGATAATTTTAGAAAAAAGTTTGGCTTAGAAAACGTCATGATAACAAGATAAGCAGCTTCTGCTGACCAAGAGGAAGCAGATGAGTTCCCAGATGTCATTAAGAAAATCATTGAGAAGAAAGGATATCTGCCTGAAAAGGTTTTTAATGCAGATGAAAGTGCTCTATTAAGGAGAAAAATAATGCAAAGGACATTTATTAATATTATTAAGAAAGACAAATAAGCACCAGAATTTAATGCAGGAAGGGATAAGCTAACTCTATTGTTTTGGCAAACGCACTTGGGTTTATGATCAGGATTTCCCATATCTATAAAGCTGCTAACTTCAAGCCTTGAAGAGAAATGATAAACATTAGGTGCCAGCATTTTGGTTGTAAACAAGGCCTAGTCAAGAAGAACTCTTTTACTGGATTGGTACCACTAATGCTTTGTCTTGAAGTCAGAAGTAACTTACCAGTAAGGGATTGCCATTTAAAGTTCTTTTGATATTAGACAATGCCCCTGGCCACCCAGAACCACAATGAGTTCGACACTGAAGGCATCAAAATTTGTCTACTTGCCCCCAAACACAATGTCTCTAATTCAGCCTCTAGATCAGGGGGTCATAAGGACCTTTAAGGCTCATTAAACATGGTACTATATGAAAGGATCATCAATGCTATATAAGAAAACCCCTCTAGAGAGAACATCATGAAAATCTGGAAGTATTACACCATTTAAGATGTTTTTGTTGTTCCAGAAAAGGCCATGAAATACATCAAGCTCAAAACAATGAATTCCTGTTGGAGAAAACAGTGTCCAGATGTTGTGCATGACTTCACCGCGTTTATGACAGAGCCAATCAAGAAAATCATGAAAGAGATTGAGAATATGGCCAAAAAAAAAAAAGTGGGGGGGGTGAAGGGTTTCAAAATCTTGGATTAGTTCAAGAGCTAACAGACACCACATGAGAGGAATTAACAGAAGATGACTTGATGGAGATGAGTGCTTCCAAGCCAGCTGATGAGGAAGGAGACATAGAAGCAGCAACAGAAAACAAATGCATACAGACAACCTAGCAGAGTTCTGCTTATTTAAGACTGCTTTTGACTTCTTTTGCAAGATGGACCTTTCTGTGAAATGGTCACTGAAACTAAAGCAAATGGTGGAAGAAGGATTGATACCATATAGAAACATTTTTAGAGAAGTGAAAAAGCAAAAAAAAAGTCAAACAGAAGTCATTATGTATTTTCATAAAGTTACATTGAGTGTGCCAGTCTCTCTTACCTCCTCTTGCACCTTCTCCACTTCTTCCACCTCTGTCACCCCTGAGACAGCAAGACCAAACCCTCCTCCTCCTCCTCAGTCTACTCAATGTGGAGGTGGTGAGGATGAAGACTTTTATGATGATCCATCACCACTAAATGAATAGCAGATATATTTTCTCTTCCTTATGATTTTCTTAACATTTTCTTTTCTCTAGCTTACTTTATTTTAAGAATACAGTATATACATATAATACAAAATATTTGTTGATTGTCCATTTATGTTATTGGTAAAGCTTCCGATCAATGGTAGGCTGTTAGTAGTTCAGTTCTGGAGGAGTCTACATGCAAATTTTCAACTGTGCAGGGGTGTGGATGCCTCCAATTTCCACATTGTTCAAGGGTCAATTGTAAATTACTCTCCCCAATGTGGTTGAGCAACTTGCAAACCACTGAGGGCCCTAATAAAACAAAGGCAGAGGAAGGAGAAATTTGCCCATTTTTTCCTCACTCACTACTTGAGCTGGGATGTCTCATGCCATCTTCTCCTGCCTCAGACTGGGATCTACATCACTGGCTTTCCACGGGCTTCCAGACTCAGACCAAATTACAACCGCAGCTTTCTTGGATCTCCAGCTTGGTGACAGCAGGTCATGGGACTTCTCCATCTCCAAAATCATGTCAGCTAATTCCTCATAGTAAATCTCCACATATATCTCCTATTTGTTCTGTTTCTCTAGAGAACCCTAACTAATATAAGGTCTGAAACCCAAGGAAATGATCAGTGCCCAAGGCTGGGGGTATATCACTTTACTCACTTAAGTGGTGTCATTCCTGACCATGTACTTAATGATCCAGTGATGCCCAGCCACCCCTTCATGTCCCCAGTGACTACATTGACCTCCCTATCTGGTGGGTCATAGGTCACTGATAGCCTAACTCTCCCGCTAGGCTATAGACTTTTAAGGGCATGGATCATGCCTCAATTAACTTGGAAACTTCATCTGTTAGGACCTTTTCTGCTGCATCATTCTATAAGCGTTTGTTAAAATGAACCAGTTTGTTAAACAGGACATAACAATGATAGAAGTTGCAAATGTCAAGATTTCATTCTTTTTGTGCCTGAATAGGATTCTGTTGCCTATATATACATTTTCTTTATCTAGTAATCCACTGACAGACACTTATGTTGATTCCATATCTTGAATATTGTGAATAGTGCTGCAATAAAAATGGGGGTACAGATATCTCCTCAATATGCTGATTTTATTTCCTTCAGATATATACCCAGCGATTGATAGATCATATGGTAGGTATATTTTTAGTTTTTTGAGGAACCTCCATATTGTTTGCAATGGTTGCTGGACTAATTTACATCCCTACTAACAGTGTATGAGCATTCGTCTTTCTCAGCATCCTTGACAGCATTTGTTATTTTCTTTTTGATAATAGCCATTTTCACTGGGGTGAGATGATATCTCATTGTGGTTTTGATTTGCATTTCCCTGATGACGGGAAGACAAATATCGCATGTCCTCACTCATATGTGGGAGCTAAACAGTGAATCTCATGGAGGTAGAGAGTAGAATGGTGGTTGCCAGAGGCTAGGAAGGGTGTGGAGGGAGGGAGAGATAAAGAGAGATTGGTTAATGGGTAAAAAAACACAGTTAGATAGAATAAGTTCTAGTGTTCAATAGCACAGTAGGGTGACTGTAGTTAACAAGATTTTATAGTATATTTCAAAATAGCTGGAAGAGAAGATTTGGAATGTCTCTAACACAAAGAAGTGATAAATGTTTGAGGTGATGGATATGCTAATTATCCTTATTTGATCATTGCACATTGTATACAGGTTTTAAAATATCACATATAGGACAGGAGCGGTGGCTCCTGCCTGTAATCCCAGCACTTTGGGAGGCCGAGGTGGGCAGATCACTTGAGGTCAGGAGTTCGAGACCAGCCTGGCCAACATGGTGAAACCCTGTCTCTACTAAAAATACAAAAATTAGCCGGGTATGGTGGCGGACACCTGTAATCCCAGCTACTCAGGAGGCTGAGACAGGAGAATTGCTTGAACCCAGGAGGCAGAAGTTGCAGTGAGCCGAGATTGCGCCACTGCACTCCAGACTGGGTGACAGAGCAAGACTCCATCTCAAAAACAAAACAAAACAAAACAAAACAAAAATCACATATACCCCATAAATAGGTACAATTATTATGCACCAATAAAAAAATTGTTTTAAAATGATAGAAGCCATGGAAAGGAAGCCATAAGCCAGGGACACTGTGAAGAGTACTCTAAAGCTAACAAAATCACTTCTATTTTCGATTTTGACTGCTTTGACCCTCCCCATCGTACAGAAGATGGAGAAATAGCTTGATATGGTTTGGATATTTGTCCGTCCCCTCCAAATCTCATGTTGAAATGTAATCCCCAGGGTTGGAAGTAGGGCCTGGGGATAAGTGTTTGGCTTGGCACCCTCCTCACAGTAATAAGCGAGCTCTCACTCTGAGTTCACATCAGATCTGGTTGTTTAAAAGTGTATGGCACCTCCCCTGTCTTTCTGTCTTGCTCCCTCTCTCTTGCTTCCACTCTTGCCATGTGATACGCAGCTTGCCCTATACTTTCTTCCGTGATTGGACGCTTCCTGTGGCCGTCACCAAAAGCTGAGCAGATGTCAGCACCACACTTCCTGTATAGCCTGCAGAATTGTGAGCCAATCCGACCTGTTTCCTTTAGAAATTACCCCGTCTCAGATATTTCTTTATGGCAACACAAGAATGGACTAACACAAAGCTGGTCTTCTAAAAAGTTAACTGTGATTGTTTCTGAAACTAGCACATGCTGAACACCTGTTTACAACAAACAGGAACATTTGCTTCCTTCACGCATTCAATAAACACGTATGAAGCACTCATTGTGTGCTAGATACTTATCTTAGGCATTCAGTGAATAAAAAGATGAATAAAATGAGGGAATAAAACAGACAAAATTCCCTGTCCTCATGGAGCTTATGATCTAGTGGAGAAAGCAGCCAAAAAAAACCTAAATAAATAATTGTCCAGGTAAGCTCTATAGGAAAACAAAAACAAAAGGAAAGAGATGGGCAATGGGAGAGTTGCAGTTTTGGGTAAGATGGTGAGGAAACACCCTACAGAGATCCGATTCAAAACTACACCCTGTCAGAGTTTTCATTTCCTTCCACTCCACTCAAATTGCTAAAACTACACTGGTGGGAATTATCAATTAATCGATTTGCTGATCACCTATGTCTTGTGAAGAAAAAGAAGTTCAGCAACTTAGACACATGCGTCCTCTGAGAACTGTCCTTGCTGATAAAGGACGGCTACATCTTCCCGGGCAGTCAGAAAGCAGGGCCAGCAAGGGATGCACAGATGTGAGAACACCACATGTCCCAGGCCACTCCATTTAATTGTTATGCCTAATGATAATGGGGAAGTCATTGGTTGTCCTGATTTCCAGAAATTGGCATGTCCCAATGGCCACCAGATACTTCAGAGAGTTCTCATATGAGCACTTCTCGTGTGCCCAGGAGCAGGCCCTGTGGATCAGCTTTGTTGTCCTCATCACCCACCCCGTCACCACTGCCCCTGCTGCCAATGACCCTGTCAGCTCACTGCCTGCTGGGCATATCTCCCTTCTGCTCTCTCAACACCGACCAGGCTTTGAGAGGAGACCTGATTCTCCCCTTGACATCTCTCTGTGGAGCTGGTCTGAGTAGGTAGGTATGTTAAATCCCCACAGCACACCTGAGACTAGGCCGTCACTGCTAATAAGACTCAACTAACACACTAGAAGCGTGTTAGAAGTGGAGCATAACTTAAAGCTGCTAATAAAGGTGGCCCCTCTTCGAGCCCATTCACCCAAACCTGGCTTTGGAGGCTCTTATCTATCCGGCCTGTCCTGCCATCCCCTCTATCAGCTCATCCTCCATGCTGAGAAGGAGTGAGCACTTCACCTTGAAGCAAGGGCCCCAGTGATCCCAAGCCCACCTCACTCTAAGGCAGAGTTCCCCCACGTCTTCATAATATGAGAAACATAGAATGTGATGGCAGGAAAAATGTATCACTTCACCTTGGGAGAAGAGCTACTTCCATCTACTTATCTATAGGGTGTGGCTGGACCCTCTGATTCCAGAAGATAATCACACAATGGACTTGCGTTGATTCATTTCCCTAAATCCGGTTACCTCATAGGAAACACCACCCCCTGGTTTCCCACAGGCATAGTCGGAAAGCCAGCCACCACCAGCCCTGCAAAAGTGGGTAGTACTTGTGGCTTCACTGCCTTCCCTTGCTGGGACCTTGTCCTCCCAGCAAGGTAGAGCAAGTTTCTCTTTAGTACCACCCTGTTCCAGAACCCCGTTTCTGTGTGTATCAGTCATCCCACCTGCTGAAACGCTGACTGATGACATTTTAATATGAATGAGTTTCAGACAGAACTATTTCACTACATATTTGCATAATTAAGCCTTTTATCTCTTTATTGGGAATCAGAGGCTTTGTCTCCTGTTACATGGATTTCAGGCATCAGCAGGTAGGTGGGAGCTATTTTTGGAACAATGAACAGCCTGAAATTATACGACCACATACAAAAGCCTAAACCTGAGAGTCGACCTGACCTTGTCTTCTAAGATGATTAGGCTGGGCAGAAGCATTTCTGCCTGCACAGGTCCCTCCTTCTCCTGGGAGGGTGGGGAGCTGCGCATTTCCAGGACAGTCTGGGGAGGAGAAATTTGTCTTGAATTCAGAAGAGCTCTTCCTGGCAGCCTTGCTGACATGACCCTTCCTTCACCTTGTTCCTCTTCTCGTATTCCCTTCTCATGTTCCTCTTCTTGTATTCTTCCGGATTCCCCAAATCCCACCTTTTCTTGTGGAAGAATCCCTAATGCCTTTGTGTTTCAGATTTCCAAGCCCATCAAGCATTTACTGAAGAAATGCCCAAGATTGTGTGTGGTATACACTTTGAGTGAATACCGTAATGCTCAGCTTTGTCAGAAACTTCCTGCCCAAGGAAGACCTCAGAGAATGCCCACATCACCTGACAGAGGTGAGAGCCCAGGGAGAAGGGAGCACATCTCTAAACAGACACAAGCTGAAGATGTTGTATGAGGAAGCACCCAACCAGGGTGCACTGGACCAAAATATAGAACAACTGGATTTTTGTGCTATTGCTTGGTTTTCCTTGTGGTCCTCCAATTTCTCTGTTGCTACCTCATCTACATATTAAAGTAAGAGGAAACAGGCCTAATAATCAATCCTACGATGAGTAGTTAGAAGCCACAGATAAAGAGTCCTGTCTTTCCTGGAGATGGGCAATTCAAAATCACTTGGGAGAAATACACTATCCAGTCATCCGAAATTAAATATGTTCTCTAAAGAGCAGCCACTAGCGGGAAACACCATCATCCATCACCGGCCCCTGCTGGAGCCTCTGTCTGTGAGGCTGAGCCTGGGGCGGCACACAAAAGAACCACAGGTTCCAGAACCATGTTTCTCTTCTAGAACCACAAAAAACAGAATGCCCAACTCAAAAGAAATTGGAAATGGCAAAGGAGGGCACATTTTTATTTCGTTTTCTGCCAGTTTTCAGGGATTCCAGTATAAGCCCACTAGGGTATGCACACAACACAAAAGACATCAGCCAACCCAATGCAAACATCAAACCAGCTATGCAGCATTTCAAACAAAATACAGCCATTATTTGACTGCATTGCTCAATTTTCAGAAGGCTTGTGGCTGTCCTAATCTTCCCCATACATCTCAAAGTTCATACTTTTAAGTCCTCTAGTCCTCATAACTAGATTACTGTACAGGGCTCAGATTATTGCAAAGCAGGCATCAAGCAGAATACTTTTGCATAAAACAAAGGGATTTTAAACACAGTACACACAGCAACAGCTGCTGCTTGGTAGAACTGAATGGGAATGGGAGAGGGGCCTTCTTCCTCTGAGAAGATAGAAAAACACTCTGTAACTTTTGTTCAAGGATTTGGGAGTATAAAACAAACAGCTCGTCGTGTTCCCACATTCCATAGTCAAGATGTTCTGCAGAGATTGGAACTAAACTGCTCAAAGTGACATCAGGAACTATGTAAATCAGGAGGAGAGCCTCTCTGGGGCTATAAATCTCAGGACAAGGTTAAGGTCACAACCCCGGAACAAGGGAATTCAGACCCCTCTTCTGAGAGACTGAGGGCTGAATACTTGCATACTGCTGGACAATAAGAAAATCCTATCAGCAGCAAGCAGGCATGGCACTTTACCAATGAATTTTCCAAGTGGAAATCTGCGGCTTAATGAGGAAGAACCATGGTGAACCAGAACTTCAGATCTAGTATGTTTGTACACATTAGGGGAATCTTTTGAGGCCCTGAATGCTATCTGCTCTTTGTCTTCCTGCCTCAGATCATTACCTACCATACATGGAACAAAATCTCCATTAAGGAAAAAGTGAGCAGACAGCAACAATTCCATGCTGACATGCTCTGGCTCTGTGTCCCCACCCAAATCTCATCTTGAATTGTAATTGTAATTGTAATCCCCATGTGTTGGGGGAGGGAACTCGTGGGAGGTGATTGAATCATGGGGGTGGTTTCCCTGTGCTGTTCTCGTGATAGGGAGTGAGTTCTCATGAGAGCTGATGGTTTTGTGAGGGGCTTTTGCCCGCATTTTCTCCGCGCTTTTCTTCATTCTTCATTCTTCCCCTTCCTGCCGCCATGTGATTTACCATGATTGTAAGTTTCCTGAGGCCTCCCCAGCCCTGCTGAACTGTGAGTCAATTAAACCTCTTCCCTTTATAAATTACCCAGTCTTGGTTATGTCTTTATTAGCAGCATGAGAACTAATACCTGCTATATACCAGGGAATTTTCCTATCTATATATAGACATATACATATACACATGTATATGTACACACATATATCCATATAATTTGATATTATATACAATTTATGTATCAGTCCTCACAAGTCCATACTATTTGTATTTTTTAAAAGAGTAAATTGAGGCACAGAAAGGATGAGAGACTTCCCTGAAATCATCACTCAACTGGGACTGAACTCCAGGCAATGTGGTATTTACTTGTTTGCTGACTTTAGTGAGGAGGGCTCCTCTATGGCAGGACAATGAGATGAACCACCCAGAGTGGAACTCAGGAAGACCCAGGGCAGAATTAGGCTGAATGGATCTTCTAGAGAGTGAAATGAGGAATATAATTGCAAAGAATCTCCATCATGAAGAAAACATTAAGGGCCAGGAGCCTGCACAGCATGACTTCTGATGAGCGCCGGCCCTAAAAAGGTGACGGGGCACATTTGCAGGGACATCTTCCACTTCTTGTTCAGCCATGCAACTTCTGCCCTCCCCAGCACCCCACTGGGAGAGAGAAGATGCTAAGGTGATTCACTGGGGTTCATGGCATTGTTTGCACAGCACATTATTAGCACAGCATTGCCAGGTGTCACACATAGTGTAGCTCCTGTGGGCACACAGCTGGGCCAGTGAGTAAAGCCTCATGTACAGATGAATCTGCCATCCCAGCCCTCTGGCCCATGCAAGCTGAGGAGTGAAAGACTACTTGCCTTTTACTGCAGTTCTCTGACATTTGCACAGCTATTAATAGAGATGTCTTTTGACTCCATTCTGCTATTGTTCTTGTGCATAGAGATTCTTCAGAGCCTAGTGGGAAGGACTGAGAAGAGGTGATCAAGATTTCAGCATTTTGGGGTCCCTGACAGTAATATCTAATGGCACTAAATTATGTCTTCTTTCTTGAAAATTGGGCAGAATACCAAGTACAAATGCAAAAGATGGGCATAGCCTCTAAGAGTGACCTCAGGATGCCTGAAGCCCAAAAATGCATTGAGGTTTTCAGAGACGTTCTGAGGATGCAAAACATTTTTTAAATAATAAAATTAGACTTTTAAAAGCCATATTTATGCAAGAATAAACAGAAGGAAGGAATAGGCTTCTACCTGACATGATATAATGTCAATAGAAGACAAAAGGAAGGGAAAATTATTTCTTATTTATAGCATTCTCATCTTTCCAGCCATAAAAATCTCCCCTGCTAAAAAAATGTAGAAAAAAACTTAATGGTTAAGAGGAAGTGGTGTTTTAAAAATACGTCCAAAAATTATTTGATGCTCTCTCTTCAAGAGGTGGAGCTTAATTTTCCTTCCCTTAAGTGTGGGCTTTATTTAGAGACTTGCTTAACAATAGAATATAGCAGAAATGACTGAGAGTGATTCCAAGGGTGGGTTTTAATTTCTCTTGGGTGGATACCTAGGAGTGGAATGGCTGGACCATATGGTACATTTTTGCTTAACGTTTTAAAGAACCGCCAAACTATTTTCCAAAGTGGCTGCATTATTTTACACCCCCTCCAGCAATGTGTGAGGATTCAACTTTCTCCAAATCCGCCCCAACTCGTGTTATTGTCAGTCTTCTGGATTAGAGCCTCTCGGTGGGTGTGAAGTGCCTTCTCAATATCCTTCACAGTTCTAAACTTTAAGCAAAAATAAAAGTTCCAAGTGATCACATTAAATGATAGAATTCAATTAACTCAAGTTCTGGTTCTTCCTCTTTACAATCACTATGTTGTCCCTGTTTATTTCAAATTGACAGTTTTAAAAAATCACAGGGATTGGAAACTGGAATTGAATTATGCCCACAGCAAAACAGAATAATTCCAAACTCTGACTTACTCTTAGTCTTACTTACTCTTGAAACAAACCCATGTAGCTGAGTCTGCTTGTGTCAAGGACTGACTATGAGGAGGAGGTTCTCTAAATTAACCTCCTTGTTGGCTTTTGAAGTGTTTATTAAATAATCAATAATAAAATGTGCTAATATGAAGTTTGCATGTATTCTCTCACAATTCAGCAGTGACTGCAGTAATTCATCACAACTTAGGACAATAAACTATTTTACTGCGGAAGAATGATTTATCACTAAATTATTTAGAATTGCCAGCTCATAGTGATAATAAAAGGCAGTTCAAAGTTTAGTCGGTGTTCTTAACGTTTTTAAATGATCTCAGGTGATGCAATAATGAACCCTTCCTGCTCATGCCCCAGACAGATGCTCCCACCCCCTTTGTGGTACCCCAGCCCAAGACCATCCCCTCACCCATGGAGGAAGCTGTGAGCATATAGAAAAGCTGTGGCTTCTTACTGACTGGTATGTTTTTTAAACCGGAGGAATTGCAATGGTTTATCACTTTTATAAATTGCCAAGGGACACTGGCTATTTGGCAAGTGGTTTCTTATAAAGCAATGAGGGGAGATGGAGAGCATCTTCCTGCTCTTGCCTCCTAGACCCTCTTCTGAAATCCACTTGGGCCTGGGCTTATCCTTATTTGTGCTCTATCTTGTTTTTATAGATTCCCCCTGTGAATGAAGAAGAGAATGTGCTAAATGAACACAGCTTCAATGTGATCTGATCATCAATAGATTTAACCAAGGAGAACAAAAGAGAAGCAAGTGAACGCATTCCAGTACTGACCAGGGTAGGGGTGGGGGACACTAGGACACCCCTCATACTTAAGCATGCAAAGGCAGTAAACCTTTGAGAGGCACACACGGGGGGCTGAGCAAAAAAGTGCAGTTACCTCGAAATGACAGGACGACTCCCAGTTCAGAATGACGGGAAGTTAGTTCCATAAAACCACAAAGAATGTTCTGCCACAGGGGCAGATGGTCAGTCTTGGAACCGCAGGAAAGGACAAGAGGCGAAAGTTGAAATGCCCGCCTGAGACCTGCCTGGGCCATGGGCTTCCAGAGCCTGGTTCCCTGTCCTTGCAGCTCCCTGGGGAAACAGAGGCCACAGGCGTCTCACCCTTGCCTCATTTAATTCTGTTCTGTGCTCACTGGGAAACCGTCTGATTATGAATTTGCTCCCACACTGGGAGGCTCATAGAGAGAAAATGTGTATGCAGGCTCAGAAACTATTTCTGGATCTCAGAGCAGAGCACCAGGTATAAGCGGGGCTGAGGGGATTGGGGGGTAGACAGATGAACAAAACCAGGACCTCCATACATGGGGCTTCCAGGTCACAGAAAGCATTCTTCCAGCCCCGCCTCCACCCCAGTGCCTCCCTCCGAGTCATCAGGCAATACCTTAGCCAGGCCAAAAGTAGTTTTAAAGAATGTCTCTTTCCAACCATATTGAACATTTGCATGATTGGGCATTCTCAAAAAAAGGAGCCCATAAGGAAGGCAGAGTCCTCAAGAATGGACATCCGAGGGCACACGCCAAGCTCCAGCAAAGGGACTCCTGAACACGAGTGCTGGTGGAAACCACAACCTCAAAATCCAGCTATTTTCAAAGAACTTGTGCTCAGAGCATCATCATGCAAATTAAAATTGTGGTAGCCGTTCTTCTTATTGGTGCATTAACATCTCTGAAATTTAGATGAAGAAGGGGGTCACACAAAGTGGCAAAATTCACCAGGGAGTCTATTGTTGTTATTGTTTAATGTGGCCATTCTTCCAGAAATTACTTTCCCACAATCACCCATCTCTACAGGAACAGAGCTGTTCTGAGCGGCACGCTAAGCACAGTTTCTGAGAAGCCCAAAACCTCAAAAAGACTGTTTCTATTTTAGAGGACAAACTATGAAAGGTTTCTTCTCAAATGTTCCATCTTGAACCTCCACTTTTCCACATTAGGTAAGTATCAAAGTGATTAAATGAATCATTTTCTGTTCCCAATACCAAAAGAAAGTTCATCTCAGTGTAAAGGCAAGCAAGGAGGGAGTTTGATATGAGAGCATTTATTGAAGAAAAGGCTGCAGCACTCCGCGTGAAGTGAAAGGAATGAGCCCTAAGACCTCTCCTACCCTCCCATTCGCTTGGAGAACACTGAATTTGCACTCAAAGGTCTGTATCAAGGGTCATTTAAAAGCTATACTTGCTTTAATGGTTAGTTAAGGTAACAGTGGATTTAAACGAACCATGTGATGTATCAGTGAGGAGAGATGGTCTTTAAAGATCATAAGACTTTTGTCAAGGAATCCTAGCAGATAATGGCCCAACAAGGAGGGAGAAAATCAGGGGAAGAGGGTTGACTGAAGGTAAAGTAGCCTGGAGAAGTAGCAGCACTCCCTGCAGCCTCTCTTTAGTTCCCAAGTGAGTTACATGACCCCCGAAAAGTCTGGAAGATTTGGTTTTAGGGTTTTATTGGCATTCTCAGTAACAAGTGATCACATAAAGCCTTTTACAGTCACAGATCCCTGCTTCCCTTCTTAATGTGCTAAAACTCCAGGCATTAAGGGAAATGCAGCAATTCAGAAGTTCAATTGTATAGATTGCTCTTTTTTTGATTCATTAAAGGACTTTAACATGATGAAGCTGGTATAATAACTGGCAGATATATTAAACTGCCTGGTAAAATGGCTGTACAGCGGCCTCTTCGTTTCTGTGGCACGAACACAACCTGGCAAATGGCGCGCTCAAGAACATGGCGCTCCTGTATTTATTTAACAGGCTGGAAAGATGAAAACAATTCTCCCAGTGTGCCCAGTGGAAAATTATTGCTGGCGGGAGATAGTAGCTACAGGAACAAAAAGGTAGGAAGTCAGGTCTGATGAAAATGAGCTGAAAGCTCCCCTAGCGCCAGCCCGGTGTTCTTTTTAGATTTTATATTCCACAAAGAGAACATAAAAGGGGACCTTAGCATACATGCTCGTTTTTAAAATAATTCTGTTCCCTCCCTCCCTCTTCTTTCTTTTGTTTCCTTCCTTCCCCTTCCCTTCCCTTCCTCCTTCCTTTCTTTCTCCTTTCCTTCCTTCTCTTCCTTCTTTCTTTTCCTCCTTCCTTCCTTGCTTTAACTCTATAACTCTAACTCTTCCCTTTTCTTCCTTCCTCCCATTCTTCTTTCCCTCCCTTACTCCCTCCTTCCAACCATACTAAGTACTCCATGTTAACAACCTAATGTTGTAGACAAACACATACACCCACTAATATACATATACAAATACCTATGTATATACATAGTTTTGTCATTGTTTATTAATATTAGTCACAGAAATGCAGTGTTATACATTTTTCTGCACCTAGATTTTTCTCAGTAAATACATCAAGGAAATCCTAACCAACTGAACGGTTTTGCGGTAATTTATTCTTTTTAAGGGCTGCATAATATTTTATGATAAAGATGGATTAAAACATCTCCCTATTTATGTTTCAGAATTTTAGTTGTATGAATAATGTTATAATGAACATTGTATATATATGTTCTTATGAAATTATATCATTATGTATTTCTATTATTTAGAATAGCTTCCCAGGAATGAAACTGGTTCACACAAGTGTAGTGAATTTTTATTTTGAAAAATGAAGATATAGCCATACTGCAATTTAAAAATGGCTTTAACAATTCACATTTCATTTGCAAAGGATGACAACACCTTTTCCTCTGCATTCTTACCTCTAAAGAGAGTGATAGTGTTATCATTCTATTATTTTTTTGTTAGTTATATGGTTATAAAGGGACACAAATTTGCATTTCCTTAAGCACTAATAATTTTGACATCTATATGTTTATGGCCATTGTATATACTTTTGGGTAAATTATCCACTTATGTCTACTTTATATTATTTGTTGCTTATTAGAAAGAACTCTTGGTGTTTAAAGATGTTAACTTTCATCTATCATCTGTGATGCAAATGTATTTTTAACTCTATAATTTCTCACTGACCTCGTTTCAATCTCCTACAGATTTTGGTTTCTTTTCTTGGTTAAGAAGTCTCTACAAACCCTAAACTGTATGTATAGGCTCCCAGACTTTCTTCTGAAAATTCATTCATTCACTCATTTATCTATTCATTTATTTATTTTTACACTGAAGTCTTCAGTTCCCTGGAATTTATTTGTCTATATTCTGAGAAACAAGTGCCCATTTCTATTTTCTCCTGGATGGAGAGTCAGCACCTTCCTTCTCACCCTGAATTGAAATAGCAACTTCATAATATATTAAAGTTGCATATATTTTGGAAGCTAGTTGGAAGGTCTGCTATTCAATCACTCTAACATGTTTATTTATTTCAAAAACTGTAAATGACTTATGTATTTGATTATAGTGACTTTGCAGTGTGTTTTAATATCTACACTCACTATTCTTTTCATACATTTTATTCTTGGGCATTTAATTTTCTATATAAACTTTAAGATCACTTAATATTATTTGCAAATGGTGTGCTTCTAATTGGAATTGCAATATATTGTGTAATAATATACATCAATATTATATACGTTATATACATATTGATGTATATAATGAATTTGGGGGGATCTAACATTTAAATTATTTTCAGTCTACAGATCTAAAAACTTAGTATACCTCTAGAACTTAGTATGCTGTTCCATTTGTTTGAGTTTTGTTCTCAGGACTTTAGTTTTCTTCACACAGGATTTCTTTGCATTGTATTACGCCACGAATTAATTTTTTCCATTTCCATGTTAGATGGACTTTTGCTGTTGATTATTACATGTGCATATTTTATATGTCCCCATTTTATCAAATTATCTCATCAATTCAAATACTTTTTTTCTTAAGTCTGTTGGGTTTTTCAGGAATACAATAATATTATCAACAAAAATAGAGTTTTAATCTTTCTTTTCCAATGTTTATATAAATCGTTATTTTTAAAATTTTATTTTAGAGATGGGGTCTTGCTATGTTGCCCAGTCTGGACTCAAACTTCTCAGCTCACAGGATCCTCCTGCCTCAGCTTTCTGAGTAGCTGGGACTATAGGCAGGCATGCCCCTCCACACCTGGCATTGACAAATTATTTTACTGCCTTTTCCCACTGCATTTGCTACAACCTCTAAGACAATAGTAATGGTAAGATCAAACATTCTTATCTGATTCCTGATAATAATTGAAGTGATTTTAGTGTTTTGTTGTTTAAAATAATGTTTGCTTATTTTTGTAGTTTTTGTCACAGTTTTTTGTTTTTTGTTTTTGTTTTTGAGATGGAGTCACGCTCTGTCGCCCTGGCTGGAATGCAATGGCTGGATCTTGGCTCCTGGGTTCAAGTGATCCTCCCACCCCACTCTCCTGAGTACCTGGGATTACATGTGTGCACCACCATGCCTGGCTAATGTTTGTATTTTTAGTAGAGATGGGATTTCACCATGTGGCCAGGCTGGTCTTGAACTCCTGACCTCAACTGGTCCGCCCACCCCGGCCTCCCACAGTGCTGGGATTACAAGCATGAGCCACTGTGCCCGGCCCATAGTTAAAAAGGCTCCTCATGTACATCTTTTCATAAAGTTGTTAAGAATAGCTGCTGGATTTTTATCAAAATGGCTTTTCAGCATCAATTGCTATGTTTATTTTTCTGCTCTAATATGTTGATTTAATGAATATATTGCTGGATTTCCTGAAACCCATATAACCTCGCATTTTTGCAATAAACTCTACTTGACCATAGCGCATTGGTCTGTTAATATATTTTGAGATTGCTCAAGCTAAAATCACATTTAGAGTGTTTTTGCATCTAGTAGATAGCATTGATCTTTTTGCAGTATCCTCATAGGGTTTTAGTAATAAGATTGGCTTTACAAATACATTGAGAACTTGTCTATCTTCTTCCTGGTCTTAAATAGTTTAAATCACATCAGAATTGCCCATTCTTTAAGGTTAAATAGTGTTCAGCTATCAAATTATTCAATCCTGTTAACTTTTTCAATAACACATTTTAATAACTTTTCTAATCTCTTCTTGAGTATTCAGTCTACTCAAGTTTTCTACTGCTTCACTCTATGTTAATAATTTGTATTTTCCTAGGAAATATCAATGTTGTCTAGGTTTCCAAGGTATCTTGTTGAGATTAAAGTTTTTGTACGTGGTCAAGTACCTGATCAACTATTTTTGTAAATATTACATGGACACTTAAAAACTGCATGTTCTTTAGTAGTCACAAATGCATACATTGTATTAAATAAATAGAAACATATTGAATCCACTTTGTACTAGATATTCAGGATGGGCTCAGGATAAATAGGTCAACTTTCTCCCTGTCTCCCTTGGCCCATCACCAAACTCTTGTATAATGGCATTCACCACATCTGTCTCCATTGACTGGGTAACTCCTGTCCCTATTGGCTGGGTAACTCCTATTTATGCTTAGGTCTCAGTTTCATGCCACTTCCTTCAGGAAATCCTCCTTAATACCCTAGACTAGGTTGGGGAACAGTGTCATCATGCACAGAACTCTTTTTTCGTGGCACTTTTCTCATTTGTAATAATACAGTTATTTGTCTAAGTAATAGAGTAATGTCTTTCTCTCCTATTACCTAGTAAACTCCAAGGACGGAATAATGTCAGGTTTATCTTAACCTCAAAACATAGTAGAACATGGTAGTGTACCTGGCACATAGTAGGCAAGCAAAAATGTTTCTTACATGAATGACTGAATGAATGAATGAACAAATGGTCTGTTAATCAGAGGAAATATAAATTTGGAAACTGTCACTGGTAATTTTCCACCACGTGGTTGGAAAGTCAGCCTGACGACTGCTGAAACAGACATGCAAGAAAAAGCTGAGTTGAAACATGGAAGAAAACAAAATTTCCTGGCTCACAAGACTATATCAATCTCCACTGAAAGCTTAAATCAGAAGCCCAATTACATCCCATTCCACGGTTTTGTCAAACCTGATGTAGCCTTATAACTCCACTTTTTGTTAAAGCTAAAAACAATAGATTTCTTTAGTCTTTGTCTAATGCTTCTTTTCTTTTTCAGGATCCCATCGGGGATATCACATAACATTTAATCATCATGTCTCTTGGGCTTTTCTTGGCTCTGACAGTTTCTCGTACTCTGTTTGTTTTTGATGACTTCATCATATATGTGCTTATTTTATTCTGTCTAATTTTATGTTTACTTTATGTTCACTTTGGTTTACTTTGTTGTCTCTTCTCCTTCCTTTTGTTTTTTTAACTAGTTTTCAAAAGCTTCTTGTTATTATCATTTTCCTTTTGATAATATTGTTATTCTACTATAATTTCCTATTCTATAAATGTCCCCTCTCTCTAGAAACTCATAAGAAAGCACATATTCCTGTTTTATAATTTAACTAAACAATATGTAACTTATTTCCGTCACCAAGTTCATCTATCCCAATAAGATGAGTCTTTTAGAATATTTTCACTTCTCTATTCTTCTCCACTCTACCTTTATCCAGATCAGAATGAAATCTTGTAAGTGCTTTGCTTCATTTCACTTTATTCTTCCTCCACCCCTAACTTCTAGGTTTTTCTAAAGTAGCTTAGTATTTCATTCCAGATTACTAGAATTGCCTGGCCAGGCACAGTGGTGGCTCAGTCCTGTAACCCCAGCACTTCGGGAGGTCGAGGCAGGAGTATCGCTTGAGCTCAGGAATTGAGACAACATAGCGAGACCCCCATCTCTAAAAATAATCAAAAAATGAGGCAGGAGGTTAGTTTGAGCCCAAGAGGTCAAGGCTGCAATGAGCCGTGATTGCACCATTGCGCTCCTGGTGATGGAGTGAGACCTGGTGATGCCTGGGTGATGGAGTGAGACCCTGTCTCAAAAAAAAAAAAGAAAAAAAGAAAAAAAGAGAATTGCCTTTTCTAGTTTCAGAATTCTCATTTAGGGTCTACTACTGTCATTGGATTTAATTATATGTGCACTGCTGACAACTGTTTCTTTTCCACCTCATGTGCTCCTGTCTTTGTTGGTGGGGTTGGTGGTACTGGGAGGAGGGTAGTACTGGGAGGAGTACTATGGTACTGTTTGCTTACAGTCTTCCTCTAGCAGTTTCCTCTATCCCAGCTGCATAAGCAACCTACTCTGAACTCACTCTGAAACTCAGCACACACACGCCTTCCTCTTCCCCAAAAGGCCAACGGCATCCTGAGTGGGTCTAAGGATCTCAGGTTGCAGTCCTTTTCTCTCAACAGTCAGGTTCCCCTCCCTGATTTCATGTCAGGTGTTGCACATGAAACATTGAATGACACTCTGATTCTCTAAGTCACTGGTTATTTCTGTCTAGAAGTTTATCATATTTTCTTTTTATTCTTGAAATTTAAGAATTTAACAGACCACCTTCAGTGACTGGGTTTGTTGTTGTTGTTTTTTGTTTTTTGTTTTCTCATCCCTTCTGCTTGGAACTTGGTGAATAGTTTTAATGTGCACATTCAGGTTGTTCTTAATCTCAGACATTTTCTTCTTTTATGAGTTTAACAACTGCCTCTTCTCCAACTGTAGCTTTTCTCTCTGGATCTTCTTTTATTCACATGTCAGTTTGTCCAAGAGATATTCTCCAAAACCCTATTATTTTCTCACATGATGGTCTTCTGCTTGTACTTTTGGTCTGTGTTTTTTTGTTTGTTTGTTTTTGTTTTTTGAGACAGAGTCTCGCTCTGTCACCCATGCTGGAGTGCAGTGGCACAATCTCGGCTCACTGCAACCTCTGCCTCCTGGGTTCAAGCGATTCTCCTGCCTCAGCCCCCCCAGTAGCTGGGACCACAGGCACATCCCACCACACCTGGCTAATTTTGTTTTTGTATTTTTAGTAGAGACAGGGTTTCACCATGTTAGCCAGGATGGCCTCAATCTCCTGACCTTGTGATCCTCCCACCTCAGCCTCCCAAAGTGCTGGGATTACAGACATGAGCCACCATGCCCAGCCTGCTCTGTGTTTTTAAATATTAGCTCCAGTTCAACTTCTAGGCTGTAATTGCAAGTCTCCACAGTGACTGCTACTCTCCTTCAATTCATTTACTAGCATTTTTAGCTCAAAACTCATGCAGAAGAAAGTCTTTTAAAAATATAACTGGCACTCTTATGTGTTTAAGTTTGAATCCATTCATTTAAAAGTTTGCCTAGTGTGTTCTACATGTTTTTCCCCTCTGAACTCTGGGGCCCAGGTCTCACTCTTGGAATCCCTCAGATGATGCCATGGAATGGTGCTTCTCAAATGTGGTCTGCAGATCCCTGGAGGTCCCTGGGACACTTCCAGGGGGTCTACAAGATCAAAACAACTTTCATAGTAATACTAGCATGTTATTTGCCTTTTCCACAGTGTTGATATTTGCCTTAATGACACAAAAGCAATGGTAGGTAAAACTGCTGGTTCCTTAGCACAAATCAAAGCAGTGTCACAAAAACGCATCAGCTGTCACTGTACACTTCAAAACCACATCTGGAGAAAGTGAAGAATGAAAGACTTGAGTCGTTTGTAAAGGTCCTTGTAATAAAAGGCAACTCTGGGGTCACCTCCAGCATGGCGGATCCCGGGCTGTCATCTCCCTCTCCCTAATAGACCAGCTCCAATTCTGGAGAAAGACAAGAGGAGGAAAAGAAAAACACTCATAAAACATACCGGTACTTTTTACAAGAGTAAGGACTGAGAAAAAGAAAAAAATTTACTCCTCAGCTTTCCTTCATCTTTAATGTCATCCAACACCTCATGTGCTGCTTTGGCAACTGAAAAACAAGCTCAGATTGTTCCTAAACCAAGGCACGGCCTGGACAGATGCCGGGAGGCAACACCTGATCCCTCTGATTCAGGACACATGCTCAACCCAACCCTGAGCTGACTGTTTTCTCTGCTACATGCCTGTATTCTTCATCAGGGTGAAGGAAGCATGAACTCTTGCTAGAGAACCATAGTCTCCTTTCTTCTAGTAATATAATTTCCTTCTGGGAGCAGGGCTGGATAAATAATTTGCAGGACCCAATGCAAAAAGAAAATGAAGACCTCTTGTAAAAAAAAAAGTGCTATAAAAGGTAATAAAATATAAGAATTTTTCCTTTAAAAATATCTTGTTCCAGGCCAGGCATGGCAGCTCACACCTGTAATCCGAGCACTTTGGGAGGCTGAGGTGAGGGGATCACCTGAGGTCAGAAGTTCGAGACCAGCCTGGTCAACATGGCGAAACCCTGCCTCTACTAAAAATACAAAAATTAGCCAGGTGTGGTGGTGCATGCCTGTAATCCCAGCTACTCGGGAGGCTGAGGCAGAAGAATCACTTGAACCTGGGAGGCAGGGGTTGCAGTGAGCTGAGATCATGCCATTGCACTCCAGCCTGAGCTACAGAGTGAGACTCCCTCTCAAAAAAAAAAAAAAAAAAAGATATATATATATAGTTCCAAAAAAAGTAATAGGAGTAATAGTGATACATGAATAGCAACATAAACATGCATATTTGCAAAATAATATTTTGGTGTTACAATCTTACGTAATGTAATAAGTGATTGTATTCTATTAATGTGGTATCTTGATTTGATTGTGAGATTTTTCTAGCTTACTTGTCTAGAAATATATTAGATTGTCAAAATCTAAACATTTAGCAACTTTATTTTTAATAGATGTATATAATTAAAAGCAACATCAATCACTTTTGCAGATGCAAGATTACAATCAATTTTTGGATAATTTTTAATTTTGAGAAGGATCTTCCTAGGTACGTAACTGTTACTGGAGCCATTGAGAGTATGTTATTGGTTATGAAAACATTACTGGGATTATTTCAGGATATTATATTGGGATACGTTTCTGATAAATTATATCAAAATGTGAGTTGTGTTATATCTAGATTCCTGCAGAACAATTTTTCTAAAAGATTTATCTCTGTACGAATCAGTTTTATGTAAGTCTGAAGTTAACTTTAAATGTGAATTTATACTGTGTTATATCATGTTCTTTTGTTGTTGTTGTTGTTTTCTGTTTTGTTTTTTGGGGCCAGGGTCTCACTCTGTTGCTCAGGCTGGAGTGCAGCGGTATGATCTCAGCTCACCATTACCTCCACCTCCCAGTTTCAACCAATTCTCCTGCCTCACCCTTCCAAGTAGCTGGGATTATAGGCATGTGCCACCATGCCTGGCTAATTTTTGTATTTTTAGTAGACAGGAGGTTTCACCATGTTGGCCAGGCTGGTCTTGAACTCCTGGCCTCAAGTGATCTACCCACCTTGGCTCCCAAAGTGCTGGGATTACAGGTGTGAGCCACCGTACCTGGCCAATACAATATTATATAATGTTATTTTAATGTTGCCTCTGAAATTTCCTATAATTTTCCTATAACTTATGGAGCTGCCATTGCCACCTCTGCTGCTGCTGCTGTTACACATGCTGGGCTGGCCACACCCTTAGAAACCCACCGTACCTTGGACTTCCCTGAGGCACGCACATGAGACCCGGCCAACCGCTGTGTATGCACCCTGCCCACCTGCCCTGGGCTGCTGCTCACCACACCCCATCCATGTGGGCACTGCTGCCTGGCATATCCCCTCTGCCTATGCGCAGGCTACACTAGCCCACAGACATAATCACAAAACACAAGTCCAAAGAGGAAGTCATATTAAGAATTTCAAGACGGTCACAGAAGAACATTAAGCTATGCAATTACACAGGTGACACTGCCATGAAGCCAGCCCTGCCTGGGAGCCCGGGCATAGAGCAATGATAATTTCTGCTTTCCCAGACGCTAGTCACTAGTGGTTTGAATTGAAGTGTTTAATGCACTTTGTATTGCCAAGCTAGTAAGTAATTTGTCTTATCAATCTTCGGTTACAGTCTCTCCTCCTAGAAACAGTAAAGGCTCTGTACAGCTTTCTAAGCCAGCAATTGTCTCTCCTCTTTGTAAATGAGTTGGCTGTCTTTCCTAGGAAACCAATCTGAACATAGCTTTGAATAGTCACTAATGACTTAAATTAGTTGCTGGGTCTTTCTGAGTCCTTAATTTTCTCCAAGAGTTATTAGCTCAGGCATAGAGAAACACCAGACTTATCTAGCCACTGAAATCACCATGGCCATAAATGCAGTTCACAGCGTAATTCAGAGTGCAAGTTCTGAAGCAATCCTGCCTATTTAAATCCTATTTCTACTTCACCTTTCCTACTGCAAGCCTTTGGCATAAGCTATGGTTTGAATGTATCCCCTCCAAAATTCAGGTGTTGCCAATATGATAGTATGAAGAAGTGGGGCCTTTAATAGGTGATTAGGCCATGAGAGCTTCTTCCTCATTAATGGGATTAAGGCCTTTATAAAAGAGGCTTCACATAGCATTCTGCTAATTCACTCTCTTTGCCCTCTACCTTCTACCATGTGAGTACACAGCAAGAAGGCTGCCACCTTGATCTTAGACTTCCAGCCTCCATTACTGTGAGAAATAAATTTCTGTTCTTAAATTACTCCGTCTGTGGTCTTGTGTTACAGCAGCACAGACTAAAACAGCATGTTATTCACTTCTGTATACCTGTTTTCTTGTCTTTAAAATGAAGATAATAGAATATCTTCAAACATAAGGCTTGATAAGTGTTTATTACACTCCAGTTCTAAATAAATGGGGTTCAATCTCTTAGCTTACAGCAGTGATGTTCCTAAGAAGACAAAAATGCTAGCTTTGACTTGCTTAACTCTTTTCTATTAGATGTAGAGGATGTTTACTATTGCTTTCTGAAGGGGTCTGCAAAACAGCAGAAATGGGAACCCAATTCAGCAAGGCCATTACAAAAGTACAGCTGGGTGAAGGCTGCTGCAGAATCAGCTGAGGGTGTGTGTGTGTGTGTGTGTGTGTGTGTGTGTGTGTAGGTAAGTCGGTAGGTATGTGTGTGAAGAAAAGGCTCTGGGTCTGCGTATGATCTACCCTGTGCTTACGTGAAAGGCGGCCCTGGGTGTCCATGTATATATCACCAACAAATACGTGCAGCTTTCATTTGATTACTGGAATTGCTTCCTCTTGTTTACCTGTCAGTTGTCAGCAGGGCTCCAGTGAGACAACACAGATAAGTAATACAGAACAGACCACCTCCTCTTACCCACACAAGACAAAGAGCAGGCATTTTTTAAGTGTTTTGTTTTAAGTGAGATGAGGCTTTTCAAACCTACCTTATGTAATATTTGGTCATGGATTTGAAGTACAAGCCAACAGCAAGGTTCTGTAAAAAGGAATTAGAATTTAAAAAGAAATTCACATTGAAGTTTCATCAGCTTTGCTAGTATGGACTAAAAGGTTAATTCAGGTTAATTCATCAACCCTATATGCCAACAGAAAGGCATGTTAAAAATTAATTTCTTCCTGACAGATTTTATAAAATATATGTGTGACCTGTTACAAGGAAATCAAATCATCAAAAATGATGAAGTTGTAACATTTTGTTAAATTCTCCCATGAGATTTGTATTATAGAATATCTGCAGGTGTCTCTGGCTCTAAAGGAGTGGCCTCTAGAAATGGTCATGAAACTTGTGTCCTACCCATTCCCCTGTCTCCACGGGCCTACGCCTGTTCTGCCCCCCACCCAGGACGAGGCCTGGCTGTCCAAGGTTGTCCCACAGAGTGCTTATCCCACTTTTTGTTGCCTTCTGCACCAGCTGTATTAAGATCTGATGAAAAGCTGAACAAGGAAAAGAGAAACCACGTTGGGATTCAAACCACAGAGGGAATGTTATACACAGAATTGGTTATGCGGTGGGTAATGGAATTGCTGAGAAGCCAACTGGGGATGATAAGGAAACACTAAGAGTAGCAACAGTAGAAAGCTACTACTTCCCCTGGGCTACAGGATGACAGAGGACAGAGGATGTGTTACTGGGCTCCCAGGAGTCAGGGTCACCTGGGAGAGGCTGGCAGTCTCACGCAGTGAGACTGGAGCCATGAAAGAGATTCAGGGCTACATCTCAGACCAATTAAATTGGAATCCCTGCCATCAGTGGTTTTTAAAACTCCCCAAGTGATTCCAAAGCGCAGCCAAGACTGAGAGCCGCTGCTTCGAGTGCCTAGGCAGAATCTGCATTGCCAGATCAACTCTGTTCCAGACTGAGCAGACATGGGGAGAAGAGCTGTGGCCATGCCATCACTCAGGGTCCAAAGCAGGGACCAAATGTACCAATAGATCAGAAAACCAACCCGTTCTCAGGTATCTTTGAAGAAATAACCAAGAACCAGATTTGATTTATAGAACTTTTCTTCATAAGTGACTTCTTAGTAATTGCTCTATAAAAAACTATTTTAAAGAGCCATAATTTTGCTTAATGTATATTGAAAAAAGTGATTAAATATAACACTGTATGCCACTTACAGTAAACCAGTATTATCTAGCACAATCGATGAAAACGTCATTTTGAATATATATAAATTGACTGGAGTAGGATATCCTGCTTAATAACTCTATTAACTTGCACATATTAAGTGTGTGCTAATTATTTGTTGAATGAACTAATCATCAAAGGAAGATTAATGTACAATGTGATATTACTGTGATTTTTATTGTGTTTTAATTCCTTGAAAATTGATAATCTATGATAATACATATAATGAATCTTTTAACGAGAAACAAACATCTTCATATGGTCTTTTTTTAAAACTGACTGAGAAGGCCTTTTAGGATTTTGTACAGCCCTGGGGTAATCACCATGAACACCAATTATCATCATGAATATTGTTAAAGAGAAGTGTGATTGGCAAAATGCCAGATAACAGAGTTCAATTGAGCCCCAGGTAACTGGAAAAACAGTTGACTCCTTTTAACGAACCACCTGTAATAAATTTCTATGCCCTTTTTCACTGGGCATTTATTCATACAAGAAATGCTTATTAGGCAGTTAATATGTGTCCTGGGGAGTAACAAGGCAAATAAGGTCGTTGCCTCAGAGCACTTTATAATCAAATGGAAGGGATTAAACAATCACACAAGTCCCATAGGAGGTGATAGGTGCTAATTCTGTTTAGTGAGGTTTGGGGATGACCAGGCCAGGGGACATGAGAGGAGAGGTCTGAGAACAAATACCAACCAGCTGGGAGTAGGATGCAAAGATGCTCCTGGAAGAGGCAAGTGACGTAATCAAAATGGTGCTTGCCGTAAGGCTCTTGATTCAGTTACTCTTCTAACATGTTAAAAATAAGAAGAAGAAAGCAGATAATTTTGTCATTTTTTTCAAACCAGAAAACCAGTTAGGGATTATTGGAAAAGTCTGTGCAAAGAGTGCAAAGAGTACAATTGCAGCAAGCACCCAGATGAAGGGTGGATGCTGCAAATACCACAGTGAAAAGAATCCATAGAATTTCACACCTGAATGTCTCCAAGGGTTGTTTGGGGTAAATTAGGGAAACAGAAAGGAAGAGCTAATTAGAAAGGAAAGATAGTGAATATTGCCTTTCAGATCTATCTGGTTGAAGGCTGAATAGACATCCAACAAGAGACATCCACCATGAATGCACTAAACAATTCACAGTTTACAAAGTAGTTTTGCTATGATACTGTGTAATCTGTACGCAGAAATAAAACACTCGTGTCACTCGTATTCCAAAATATTTTGAACAAAAGTGTGCATTTCTTGGTTAACACAGTATTCTTAAAGGCCTTCAAAAATAGCAGCGCAAGTCACCTGTATGTGCATCAAACATGTACAATTTCCACTTCACTTTCACAAAAAAAAACCACAATGGTGACGATGATGTCATCCAGGCTTTTAGGTTTATGTTGAGGAAAACTAGATGCAGTGGCCATCATGTGATGTGAGTGATGAGCCTGGCTTGGCACAGTGTAGATTTGTGCTTCACTGTCAAGGGCTAGAGAGACAACAGAGACAATGGAGAGTCTATTTTGCAATTCTATTGCAATTGGGTTGGTAAGAACTGTGGGTGGTAAAAACCCACAGTTTGCTTCATAAGCATGATAGCATTTGATTCTTCTTTTTTCTCTATCTCTTTAGCAGTCACAGAAGTGGGTTCAGTGTGAGAGAGAGCCAGATGATAATAATTTACATCTGGACAATGCTTTTACATTGATAAACTATGTTCTCATATGACATGAACACCCTGAAGCTTTCAAATAGCCCTGGAAGGTGGGTGCATTACAAATGGATGCACCAAACACAGAAAAGAAATGGCAATTAAACCTAGGTCTCACGATGTCTCCAGGTGAGAAAGAGCAGGTCTATGACAGGCTTAGAGAGTTTGTTCCAGAACTATTATTTTTTTCAGACTTCAACCTGCCCAACGCAGCAATCTCCCTTCAAGACTAGCTTCGTTCTGTCTTCATTCAACATATATTTTAAAATATATTTTTAATGATAAAAAAGTTCCAATAAATTTAAAACATTTGTCTCCTAATTCACATCTTGTCTGTTATCAGTAAACATGCACATAATATTATGTGCATTATCATACAGATCTGCTGTTTTTCATTTTTGTTATCTCATATTGAATATACATCACCAGAAGATGTTTGAGCATATAGGATGTTTTCAGCATAAGGCTCTTGATTTAGTTACTCTTCCAACATGTTAAAAATAAGAAAAAAAAAGCAGATAATTTTGACTTTTTTTCATGATTTTTTATATTAAAGTTATTTCCAATTTTAAAAAGTATGGTAATTTAGACTTTGAAGTCTGTTTTAAAAATTTTAAATTGTAGTCATCTGCACCTAAAAGGTCTGTTTCACAGAAAACCGAACACTGCATGTTCTCACTTCTAAGTGCGGGCTGAATGATAAGAACACATGGACACACTGGGGGGAGCAACACATACTGGGGCCCGTCAGGGGTGGGGCAAGGGGAGGGAGAGCATTAGGAAGAATAGCTAATGGAGGCTGGGCTTAATACCTAGGTGATGGGCTGATCTGTGCAGCAAACCAACATGGCACACATTTACCTATGTAACGAATGTGCACATCCTGCATGTGTACCACAGAACTTAAAATATTAAAAAACACGTCTGTTTCAAACAATGATTATGCATTTAAAGTGATAATTTGTTTGTTAGGACATCATGTCTTAAGGTTTTCATTGTGGCAACCTTAAATCAGTACCTGTTTTCCATCCATGGCACTTGTTGCATTCTGACGCTTTCTATGATACCATTTCAGTAACAACAGACTAATAGTTCTTTTCTCTCTGTCTCTTGTTATCCCTATTAGAACAAATTATATCCCTCAATCAACCCAGAGGGCCCTTAGCCCCTTGCTACTCAAACTGTGGTCCACAGAAGAGCAGCATCATGGGCACTCCTGGGAGGCTGTTAGAAATGCAAACCCTTGGGCCCATCCTAGACCTCTAGAATCAGAATTGGCATTTGACTAAGATCCCCAGGTGACTCATATGTGTGTTAAAGTCAGCAACGCACTGATTAGATCACTGGTTCTCAATTTCAGCTTCCCATTGCAATCACCTGGGAGCTAGCTCCACTGCCCCCCAGAAAAACTGACTTCATTAGTCTGAGGAATTTTTTAAATCCCAGGCGATTCTGATGTGTAACCAAGGTAGAAAAGCACTGGTCCTGATTAACTCCCTCTTTTTATAGACAAGAAAACAATGAGGCCCCGTGGGTTAAGGTGACTTCCTCTGGGTTATAAAGCAAATTTGCAAGTAGAACTAGAAAATAGGGGCTCTCTACCTGGTTTAGGTACCAGATACCTAACTGGTACCAATTTGGAATAAATATAAGAGCCTGCTCCACCCAAAACCTGGGCCCAGGGCCTCTGTTGTAGTTCCTGGAAGCTGGCATATTACTGCCTTGCCCTTCCACTCCACTTTCTCAACTCAGGCATGCTCTGACTTTCTGGACACACTTGAATTCGTTGCCTACAGTTCTCCTCTATCCTTCGCTTTCCTCCCTTCCTCCACTGGGCCCACTCCCACAAGCCCTAAAACCATCCCCAGCCTTTTCAGCCTCTTTGTACACGACCTTCCTCGTATCCTGGAGGAACACTCCCTGAGCTTCCCCTCCAACGGCTGGCTTCTCCTTCATCAGTCCTCTTGATGCAAGCTGGAAATGCTTCACTCCTAAGCCCTCGAATTCCGACATTCCTGTTTCTCGTTCAATTGCCTGTGCACTGGTCTTTCTCGCCTTCTTATATTCACTGGATCTGCCCTTGACTACACCCTTCCACAAAGCCCCGTGGTTCTCCATGAACAGGGTGTCAGAATCAGTCGGGAGTGATCCCTTACCAAGCCATGGGTGCTGCCGCCATCTTCCCCCAAAGGCACTTTCGAAAGCGTGGGCTGGGAGGGGAAAAGGCCTGGTCTTCTGCATTTAGCCAGCACATCCCAGAGCATGCAGATTCAGAGGTACTACTCCACTCTGGGGCTCTCCCCAAGGCTGCAAGCCCATTACCTAATTTCTGGTTTCCCTCAGCTCCTTCCTCTCTGTCTGAGTGAACCAGTGCAGCCATGTTGCCAACACTGCTGGAATCTTGCAGCTCATCCTGTCAACATGATGGTCGTAGTAACCCCACATTGTGTTTGTTTTGGTGGATTGTTAGGCCCATAACAGGCACAGGTAAAATAAGGACATTTAACATGGTACCAATTTGGGATAAAAGTTGGTTCAATCTCATCTCGTCTTTTACTAATAAAATATCTCTATCTGACCCATCCATCTTCCTCTAATTATATCTCTGTTGTGTCCTCTCTGGCTTACCACTACTGCCCCCTGTTGATTGAAATGTTGTATTTTGAAGCCTTGGGGCTACTTACCAGAGACTCGTGGTTCTCATAATTTAAAGGGGAAAAAATATGGTTATAAAACCAATATGCCTTAAATGCAATACTGTGACCTTGGAACACTATTGAATTTGCCATCTAACATGTTGGATATAAATTATCCAAAGCTTTGATTCACATGGAAAACCAACTGAAATGTCTTAGGCAAAATTTATGGTCACAGCCATAATTAGACAACAACTGGTATAATATCGAAAGGAAATTGAATTTTATAAACTGATCAATTGAGATTTTAAACAGAAAAAAAGGTCAGTCTATTCCAGCAGTTTATTAAGGAATAATGTTTCCGTTGAAGATAATGTATACAAAATAAATTAGGTCACTTAACATTAATTCATTTTACCATAAAGTAAACATATTGAAAAATTATACTAAAATCAGAAAGTCTACCAGAGATTTTTGAATCTCATAAAAATTAATGAGCCTTCAATTATTTACCAACCAAATAACAAATATACACATTTTAATGTTTTGTCTGTGTCATTAGATTATTTCAAAAGAGCAGATGGTTCAACATATTGATACAGAAATATCTGCTGCCAAATTATCTTCAGAATTCTATCAATCCAACATTTGTAAAATTTGAATCCAAGAAGGTAATTTGGTATTATTAAGTAAATGTGGGGCTTCGTTTTTCTAAATTTAGTTTTACCAAGGGTATTCTATGAAAATGTATATTCAAAGTCACAAATAAAATAACTAGAAGGCTTCAGGATGAATCATTTTGACTGTAATAGTCCCTAGTTTTACATTATTGAGCTCAAAATATCTGATTAACAAGAAATCACATGCACATTAAGGGTAAGTTGTATGAGTCTAGGAAAAAAATAACGTCTGGGGTAGATACCCAAGGTATTGAATATTTCCTATGTTCAGCACTGTGCTAAGATAGACACTCCCATTTCAAAGATGAGGAAACTGAAGTTCACCAAGGATTGCGTTACCCAAAACTACCCAACTGTAAGGTCATTTTGAGCCTGGTCTTGTTCTTCTTTCTCTGCCTTTTTATCTCAATAATATGTAGGTTGAAATTGTTTTCTTCTCTAACCCAATGGGTAAAAAAAAAAAAAAAAAAAAAAAAAAAAAAAAAAAAGCAGAGGTCGGGGGACTTGAGTAGTAGTCACCAAGTCTTTTCTGGTATGCAGAAATCATGTAAAACAAGATTTCACCATATTGTAGGTGTCCTGTCACCATTATTAGTGGCATTTCCACCCTTTGCTCAAGGTTCCCTGTGGGTTTTCTGGACCTCTTTCTCCTTGATATCAGACAATGGGTGTTTAACCACAAAGATATGGAAAAAACAAGTTCCAGGAAATGTCCTACAACCAGCAAAACTCCAACAATATTTAGTGGTTATAAAAATGGAAAAATGCAATGGGTCTGAGGGGAAAAGCTACACATTCTAGGAAACTAAGTATTTGGAGATGACATAAAGGGTTCCTCTAAAATACTGTTTTTGTTTACAGATAAAGAACTCAGCCTGAGAGAGAAAGATTACTGACTAGTTGAAAGACATGTGGATAAGGAAGACAAAAAGTTACAACCTTTCACTTAGTGATTTGTCTGGAGGCAACAATTTAGGACAGCAGTAAGTTTTACTGCCTCTCTACCTAGTAAGACAGGTTATCATTCCTTCCTCTGAATATATAGGATGGAGCTGTGTGGCATCTAACACATCGTCATTGCTGGCTGACAGGTGATCTCTATTAAACCAGTCTCTGGGCACAGGTGATGGCAGTGAGCTAATTCTGCTTATCATTTATTCCGTCATGTATTCAATTAATCAACATTTGTTGAACAATATCATGTAAGAGATACTGCGCTAAACACTGTAAAAAATATACCAGACAAGACATGGCCTCTGCCTTCCCCTCTAGAACCGAGGTCCTCCCATCCAGGATGGCCAACATGCTCCAAATTAACATGTTCCTTTCCAAGTGCAAATTTCCAGCAGCATTGCTCAATATTAAATATTAAACAAATATGCTATAGACCAATCTAATTACTTAGTACCAAAATTACTTAGTACCAAAAAAAATGTGAAATATCTCAATAATGTTTATATCAATTACAAGTTGAAAATACAATATTTTGGATATACTGGAAAGAATAAAATATATTATTAAAATTTATCTCTTCTATGCCTTTTTATTTTTTAATATGACTACTAGAAAATTTAAAATGAAATACATGGCTTGCTTGTATCTGTTGAACAGCACTATCATAAATAATTTAATGGAAAACTTCCAAGGCTCTAATAGAGTCTTCTTGTTATTATTTCAGAGACAGGTCTCATTCTGTTGCCCAAGTTGGAGTGCAATGGCATGAACATAGTTCACTGCAGCCTCAACCTCCTGAGTTCAAGTGATCCTCCCACCTCAACCTCCCGAGTAGCTGGGACTACAGGTGCACAGCACCACGCCCGGCTAATTTTTAGAAGTTTTTGTAGAGACGGGTCTCACTATGTTGCCCAGGCTGGTCTCAAATTTCTAGCCTCAATTGATCCTCCTGCCTTGGCCTCCCAAAGTGTGGGGATTACAGGCATGAGCCAACAGGACCAAGTCAGATTCTAAGTATTGACTGTGGAAGTCAAAGATAAAATGACGTGTCACTAATGAAACTGGAAAACCGTCCTTCCAAAGCAGGGCAAAATGAACGGCGGATAAAAGTCCACCTGGGATCAAAGGAATACGCCGCGAATGCAGGGCGAATACAAGTGTGTAGGAAACAGCCCAGACACACTGGGGAACCACAAGTCGGCCACTTAGCGCCCCTGTAGAATTGGCCCACAAAGGAAGAAGAGGTGTAGGCATTCTGGAGGATGGTTTCTGTATTATATGTACACCAGAATTCATGAGAGGAAAGCATCAGAGAAGAAGACTAGAGTGGAAAGAACGCGGTGCTCTGAGACGCGGTGGAGGAATGAGTGCACTTCGCCCCACCAGGGCCAGGAAGTCCCCGCCTCCAGCGCCGCCGCCTAGTGTCCCGGGGCTGATCCTAGAGGTGCCCTCCTTTCGTTCACCCCAAGCTACCTGCGAAGTTTTACCGACTCAGAGTCAGCATGAGGCGGGCATTAGAAGGTAGCTGGATGGTTCTCAGAGGTCGCTTCTCTTCGCGGCTCTGGCTTCTGTTTTGTCCTTTTCAGCTCTTGTGTATTTCGCTGTCTCATCTCTGAAATTCTCTCTGCTCCACACATGGCCTAGCCTGGGTCGCCCTCCCACCCCTACCATCTTCCAGCCGCGTGGGTCAGGCCTCTTGCAGTCACACCCATTTCTCCACTGCTCCCATCACATCTTAGGTGGCTTAGTCAACTCAAGTTTTTTTAATTACAAAAAAATTAGCTAGCAACCACTCATATGATTATGAAAGAAGGCAAAAAGTTGCAGGCAGATTTATTATTAATATAATACTTTATCAAGGAGCAAAATTACTTCTCTTTACAGTCAAGGAAATTAAAGTAAATGTAGCAACAAAATTATTTTTAAACAACATTCATCAACATTAATAAGAAACTAGTCTAACAAACGGGAACGGTTAAGTTGTGATACATTCCTGTGGTGGAATACTCAACAACTATTAAAAATCATGCTTTTGAAGACTAATAATGACAAAGGAAAGTTTCATAATAAAAATTAATAAAGATACTAACTATATACAATATGATCTATGTAAAATAAAATACGTAGGAAATGTTAATAGTGGCTATTTCTGGGTTCTGAGATTATAGATAATTTTTATTTTTTCTTTGCATATAGTTTCTGTGTTTTAAAAATTTTTACAATGAACATATATTACTCTTATAATCAGAAAAATATATACATAAAATAAACTTGATTCTCTAGCATCCAATTTTAATAAGTCCACTTTAAAATGAATATTACCAAAAGCTTATCTTTCATGAAAAAATCATACCTCTAAAGATGATATATTATATAGTACAGTATATTATTATACACTATGACCCTGTGTCAGTGAGGTTGGCAATGCCTGTTATGACATTGGTTTATCTTGCCTGATACAATATTGACTTATCTATAAAACAGCTCCAGTGTAATAGAGAGACTTCCCTGTCTGAAAATCAGCAAGACTTATTTAAGGGGCATTAAAGGATGAGACCTAATTAGCCCTTTCTAGATATCACTAGCATGTTTCAGCGTGAAAGTTCAAAGTAAAACTAGTTCAAAGCTACTTCCACAGAAGTAGCAGCAAAAACATAAAATAGACCTCAGAGATCACAGAAACAAATCCAGTGTTATTCAGACCAGATTGCTTTTGAACCTATTAAGAATTTGTAAAACTATCAACTCAAAGAAATTACAGTACAGCTAAAGAATAGAAAGTAGTGTCACTGTTCATAGAATGAGTGATTATTTCATCCTTATTCTCTAGGGAAAGGTCATGTCATTCATTCCAAGATCTGCTCAAAAATGGTGTATAATCAGATTAATCATAATGTTGCACATAATAAGCACTTTTTCCTCCTTTCCTCCACCTAGAGCCACTGCGGTATACTGTATTTCACAATTGCTTTATGCTTCCTGAAGAGCCCAATATCACAGGATTCATGTTTGTTTTTCCGCAGATACTTATCAAAAGTTTCCTATGTGCAAGGCCCTCAACAAGATGCCAGTGAGACAGATCCCTCAGGGACACAGGGTTTAGACAGGACCTCAAAAATCATATAAAATACACATTTCCATAATTTGCTCTCCAAGTATGTCATTAACCAGATACATAAATTAATACTAGTATTTGATAGAAGCATTGCTTTCGAAAGGAACATTCCAGCCTAGGACCCTCTGTCGTCTCTCCTGTATCTGCCATCTTCTTTTCCATAGGAAACTAGATTTGACAGAGGGGAAGCCACTAGGCATTATTATGGCAGCTGAGAAATGGTTACTTGGTACATAACTTTCTATTCGAACTCTTGCAATTACTACTTCCAGAAAAACATTAAATTTAGAAGTGGGTGCAGAAGAAAATATTCCTAATCTTGTCATTCAAATTTCTGCACAAATGTTGCATTGGTGTGGTTCCTATTTTTCATGCTTTTGTTAGTGTGTTACAGAAATTATAGTGCCTGTCAGTTTTTTAATCACCCAAAAAGAGAACAAATTCAGGCACTATTCGCATTATTCAATATTTTACGATCACCTATGCCCATTTCAAAACCTCTGTCATAAGCCACAAAAATGTTTTCTAGAAGTCAAATGTATGAAATTTACAGTTTCACAACACTTAGAGGTGCAAATGGTTAACAGCTGATGTGTCTGCATAATTATTTCAAAATGAATGAATAGAAAAATGTTCAGAACTATTTGTAACTTCTTCTGCCTTTCTTCGAGTAGTAAAATATAAGGGAGAGAGAAATAATAGAAGCAAAAAATAGAAAAGCTATGAAAGCCAGTAAAGACTTTCGGGTGTGAAAAAAACTGCACTCAGTACACACGGTGAATTCTTCTGGACAAAATCTTTCCAGAGTTTCTGGGCCCGGGAAACCATTGCTGTCAATAATTTTCCTGTAATGTTTCATGGATGCCTTGGGCTCAAACTGATCTGCAGCATAACGATAGAGGCCAAACCTCGGAGCTGTGCGGTCGTTAAACGAATAAGCAAAGTATCCGCAAAGATTGATACCATCCAGTATGTGGGCTGGAAAAACAAAAGGATAGGAGAGTAGTTATTACGTATTTTGCACACAACACATCACTTTTTTTTTTTTTTGAGACGGAGTCTTGCTCTGTCACACAGGCTGGAGTGCAATGGCACCATCTTGACTCACTGCAACCTCCGCCTCCCAGGTTCAACAGATTCTCCTGCCTCAGCCTCCTGAGTAGCTGGGACTACAGGTGAGCACCACCACACCTGGCAAATTTTTGTATTTTTTTTTTTAGTAGAGATGGGATTTCGCCATGTTGGCCAGGATGGTCTCGATTTCTTGACCTTGTGATCTGCCTGCCTCAGCCTCCCAAAGTGCTGGGATTACAGGCGTGAGTCACCACGCCCGGCCACTTTTACGTAGCCTTCCTGCTGGGAAGTTTCCGATACCATTTAATACAACTTCAGACTCAATTAGATTTCATCAGAAAAGGCTTTATTTTATGTAAAGCCAAATAGGCAAATTATCAAGACAAATATTGAGCTGCATTTAGCAGGGTTGAAACCCAGGGGTTAATTGGATCAGGTCTGCCTGTCCTGCTTGCTTTTGGTCACTTGCTTTTCGTGTGTGTATGTGTTTTTTTTTTTTCCTTTTTCCATGAAGCTGAAGGTTGTCCCATTGTATGCTGAAACTTAACCTTCACTGGCTACTTTACTGATGACATTCATAGGTTACCATGGCAATGGTCACTTCAGTTGTTTTTCCAAGAACTTGGGGCAGCTCCTGTCCAGTTCAAACTAGTTAAGACCACTGACCCTTCCACTGGGCCTGCACAAGTGCCTGAGAGGTGGTCTTTTGACGTCAGAGGGCCCAAAACTCTGCCCTCAGATCATGCTAACACCACCATTTTCTGTGCATGTGTCTAACCTGTTACTTCATTTTCCCCCCCTGCCAATCACTCTTCACCATGCCTTAGACCACCCATTCCCTAACCCATACATATTCCTAAGCCTTGTCTTCAGAGAGGCAGGATTGGAAGTTATTCTCCCACCCCCTCGCTTGGTCCCCTTACAAATAAATCTTTTCTCTTTTGCAAAACCTGTGTCACAGTGATTGATTTACTACACAGAGAGAACAAACCTGGACCTGGTTGTTAAATGGGTGTTTTACATAATTCAATCTACTATGATATACTTGGGTTAAATCCTTTTTTTTTTTTTTTTTTTTTTGAGATGGAGTCTTGCTCTGTCACCCAGGCTGGAGTGCAATGGTGCAATCTTGGCTCACTGCAGCCTCCACGTCCCCAGTTCAAGTGATTCTTCTGCCTCAGCCTCCCGAGTAGCTGAGATTACAGGTGTGCATCACTACACCTGGATAATTTTCGTATTTTCAGTAGAGACGGGGTTTCACCATGTTGGTCAGGCTGGTCTTGAACTTCTGACCTCAGATGATCCACCTGCCTCAGCCTCCCAAAGTGCTGGGATTACAGGCATGAGCCACCATGCTTGGTCTTTTTTTTTTTGAAATAGTGTCTTGCTCTGTCACCCAGGCCAGATTGCAGTGCTGTGATCATGATTCACTGCAGCTGGACCTCCCAAGCTCAAGCAATCCTCCCGCCTCTCCTCCCAAGTAACTGAATCTGCAGGCGTATATGCCACCGTGCCCAGCTAATTTTTGTGATTTTTAGTAGAGACAAGGTCTCACTATGTTGCCCAGGCTGGTCTCAAACTTCTAGGCTCAAGCAATCCTCCTGCCTTGGCCTTCCAAAATGCTGGGATTACAGGTGTGAGCCACCATGCCCAGCAAGGTTAAATCTTTATGTACTGCTTTATGTACATGAAACAGTTAAGACTGCTGTGGAGCCATCCAAGATGGAAGACAAGAATCTAGGCTTGCATAGATCCAGAGTAGGGGCTAGGGATTTCTGGTCTTCTACTTTTAGCTACACTCCTTTATCCTTGGGGAAATGCTAGATATCTCTTGGACTGTTTCAGTGAGGCACAAAATGGATAGCCCTCCATTCCAAGGGTGGCAGTGTGTGTTGATGTTGGAGATTTAATCAAGTGTCATGCCCTCTGGTGACATAACCTTCAGGAGATAGCCGCAGCTAGGGCTCCTTACCTTTGAGAGCTTCGTTTATGTAATTCTGCATATAATACACCCTCAGCTGGTCGTCCTCAGCATGCAGCCCGTCATCGATTCCATTGGATATTATGTACATGGGGAGGTCTCCGTACTTGAACTTCAGCCAGTTCAGCACTTTGCGCAACCCCCAGGGCACTACCGCCACCTGACTGGGGGAGTTGAGCCACGTGATGTCGGTCATTTCTTGCACTTCTAGGTAATCATTGTATTTTATTGGATCTTCTTTTTCTGAGTCTACAAGGATGGTGGTATAATGGCTTAAAGCCAAAAAGTCAAAGGTACCCTGGATTAGCTTTTTTTCATCTTCAGTGAAATAAGGAAGAAGAAAATTGTTTCTTTGGTTCAGCCAGTCCCTCATCACCCATGGATAATCTCCAGAGCCGAAAATGGGCTCAGCCAGCCAGCCAATGTCAAATTCCAAAACTCTCTCAGCCACCTCTTTGTCCTTTTGGGAGAAAGGGCAGGCAGGTTCTATCCAATCAGCCTGCAAGGCTATGGATATTTTCCCATTCTGAGCATGCCTAAACTTTTCATTGTACACATGCCAAGCCAGGGCATGGGCCTTCAGAAGGTTGTGGCCAGCACTGTATGTCATATTCCTTGTATACGGCTCATTCATCGTTATCCAAAGCTTGACGTGATGGCCGAGCTCTTGAAAGCACAGTCGGGCATACTCTGCAAAGGCCAGGGCAGTGTAGGGGTTCTCCCAGGCGCCCTGCCTGGCCAGGAGGCGCGGCAGTCCTTGGTTCGGGGCCATAGGCTGCCACAGGGCCACCACTGGGGTGATGTTGACACGGACAAGCTCGCTGGCCATGCAGCGATAGTACTGCAGGATGGTGTGGTTCACCTGGGACTGGTTACCCAGAGGGAGAATCAGGGCCCAGTCCAGGGAGAAGCGAAAATGTGTAACGTGCATTTCCTGGAGTAAAGCGATCTGGGGCTGGATGGCAGCAAAGTCAACACAGTAGGATTTCCTCTTCTTGGTCACAACCCCATCCACTTTAATAAGCCTTTTACTGTGGTGGACATCCCACAGGTAAACATTCAGGTCGGTAAACTGAGACAGAGTGGTATCTACCTGTGAAGGGCAGAGTAAACATTAGCGTCACCTGGGCAGTCCTGAGGAAGTAATTCAAAGCAATTATTTCAGCAAAACTAGCCAGGAATATGAGCAAAAATAGAAGCCTTTCTAGCTGAGAATGTGAACTATTTTTCATAAATTGTCAGCTCCTGAGGAAGACAATATTCCACTTTCTGATATGCACACTCGCTTTACCCATAGTTCTAACTCTTCAACTGTTTCTTTAATGTGACCCCCAAAAGTCTGGATTTGGTCACTTCAGATGACAAATGCTAATGAGTCTTGCACACTACTTGTCGGTGTTATGTAAGCAGAGTATTTTTGGGTGTTTTTCTTTTAATGTAAGAAATCATTAATGTCATGAGGCTTTCAAATTTAAAAAGAAAAAAAACTAGATGAAAAAAAGAAAAAACTTAAAATGTGAGTGAGTTGGCCAGGTGCGGTGGCTCATGCCTATAATCCCAGCACTTTGAGAGGCCGAGGCGGGAGGGTCACTTGAGGCCAGGAGTTGGAGACCAGCTGGGGCAACACGTCCAAACCCCGTCTTGGCCCGGCATGGTGGCACGGGCCTGTAGTCCTAGTTGCTCGGGAGGCTGAGGTATGAGGATCACCTAAGCCTGGGAGGTCAAGGCTGCAGTAAGTCATGATCACATCACTGTACATCGGCCTCAGTGACAGAGCAAGATCTTGTCTCAAAAAAGAAGATTTAAAAAACTGAGTGAGTTAAGTAAGAAAATGAAAAGATATTTATAATTAAATTGTGCTTAAAATTACGCTCTAAATTGAGGTTTGCTATAGGTAGAGGAAGTGCTAAATAAACATAACTCTTGCCTTTTGTTGGGTTTAGGGTCAGTGACAGAATTTAACAAATTCAATCTGACTGATGGTAGAAAGTCCGAGAGAGAGGCCAGGCGCAGTGGCTCACGCCTGTAATCCCGGCACTTTGCGGGGCCAAGGCGGGCAGATCATGAGATCAGGAGTTTGAGACCAGCCTGACCAACATGGTGAAACCCCATCTCTACTAAAAATACAAAAAGTAGCCAGGTGTGGTGGTGCACACCTGTAATCCCAGCTACTCAGGAAGCTGAGGCGGGAGAATCACTTGAACCCGGGAGGCAGAGGTTGCAGTGAGCCAGGATCATGGCACTGCACTCCAGCCTGAGTGACAGAGCGAGACTTCATCTCAAAAAAAAAATAGAAAAAAAGAAAAGAAAGTCTAAGGAGGGAGAATGTGGAAGGAAAGAACAATATTGTCATCCACCCATAGTGGAATTTTTAACGTAGTTAAAAAATTTTTCTAAATTATTCTTCTGTAACAATGATGATGATTATAGTTCTCAATCATATGCTATAAAATCCTCCCAAATAAAAATTTAAAAAAAGTATTTAGGAAAAGTGTGCAAATTATAAAATCAAAATCACAAAATCATTCCTTCATGTGTCTGCTGTGGAGGGAATGCAAAGTGAAAAATCCAGCTGGAAGATCTGCACCCTAAGCCTGTGTTCCCCTCTGAAATAATCCTGTTAGAACAGGTTCCTTGGTCTGATGCTCTGTATAAAAGCAGGGGTCAGAAACCATAGCAGAGGTTTTGTTGCATTTTACGGGCCTGTTGCAAATGCACTGCTATTTCTCTGGAGAGATAAGTGTGTTTATAAAGAAAAGTCATTAAAAACAGCATGTCAAAGGGAAATTGCCTTTTCTGGAGAATTGTCCCTTGCAGAACACCCACACATGCACTTCCCCTAATGCTGTGGGAATGCTGTCAGAGTATTTTTCCACTGTGATGCACCCCACAAATCATGTTTCCTTAGCTTTGAAGGACAGAATATTTGCACGCTCTTTTGAAGCGTTCAGAGTTTGAAGGAATTTTTTGGATTATTTTTATAGAGCTCTGAGTTGACTAAATTCATAACTTTTTTTTTTAACCGTGATTGTTCCAAAACAACAGCTTTTATTCAGTCCATCTGAAAACAAATATGAAAGACTAGGGTATCATTTCTGGAGGAAAAAAAAAGTTTCTTGAAAATACAGGACAGGCCGGGCATGGTGGCTCACGCCTGTAATCCCAGCACTTTGGGAGGCCGAGGTGGGTGGATCCCGAGGTCAGGAGATTGAGACCATCCTGGCTAACACAGTGAAACCCGGTCTCTACTAAAAATACAAAAAATTAGCCGGGTGCGGTGGCGGGCACCTGTAGCCCCAGCTACTCAGGAGGCTGAGGCAGGAGAATGGCGTGACCTTAGGAGGCGGAGCTTGCAGTGAGCCGAGATCACGCCACTGCACTCCAGCCTGGGCGACAGAGCAAGACTCTGTCAAAAAAAAAGAAAAAAAAAAAAAGAAAATACAGGACTTTTGGGGCAAAATTCCACCTAACCTCCATTAATTTGTTAACTAAGATTTTACTAAAAAAATAAAATAGTGAAGTTGGACCTTTCAGAAGGAACGGCTATTAAAACATGTATTTAGTATGTTATGGGAGAAACTTTCTCCTAACAGGGACCAATGTTAAAGAGGCTCTATGTCCTCACTACATAGTGAGTTCAATATTTATATTAACTATGAGCATCCGTGGTTATGGGAAAACAAACCTCTCAGCCGAGAAAGTGGGTCCAAGTAAAGTGACAATCCATGTGAATGAGCCTAAAGTCAGGTTGTGTGCTTCTTAGGATATTATTTTTCAAGTTGTTCAGGTGAAATGCATGCCTCAAACACTGAAAGTCTGAAATACTAGCCAGGAGGGAAAAGATGAAGTTCAGTGGTTTAAAAATCACTTCTCAGGACTTTAATATAATGTCTTAAAGCTGTAGAGTACTGTTTGTAAGTGAAAACACACACACCTCAGAACTGACATACAAAGAACTTATTTTGACTACGTCAGGTCAGTTAGGGAGTTAGCTTGAGAAGGGTACTGTCAATATAACACAAAGCCTGAGGTGAAAACCAGAAGAAGAAAATAGCAATTGCAGCCTTTCCCCACCAGGGAGCTTCCAGAGAAGCTCTCATCTGCTGTGGGTTTGAGAGTGACTTAATTTTGTGTTTGTTGGGTTCTGCACAGGAGGAGACTGCCAGGAGGAGGGGTGGGGTCCCCAAGCTGATGAGGAAAAAAGGACCGTGTGATCTGAGAGAGAGACCTCTGGGGCCAATTAGTGGCTGACCTTAGGTCAGATTCTAAAACAATAGCTTCTAGAGTGTAGTAGGAAAAGGAATTATCTCCCATCTCCCTTGCTATTCACTGCTATACTTATTGCTTCTGACCAGCGTTTTCTCTTCTCCCTCAAGGAAATAGGATGTACCCTTAAGACTTTCTCACTATTTACCAATTCCCAAAGCCAGCGCACAGCCCCCTGATGAGGAATAGAACAGGAGAAGTAGGGCTCCCTCCGACACCCCCACTCTTGTTCTGCATTCGTTCCCATGATCTGCACAGCAATGCTGGCTGGGAGATTGTGCCGCATACAAAGGACTGAACCTGCCAGACTCAGGCTGCTATCAGAGATCCGTGCTCAGCAGGGAGCAGGCAGAAGGTCAAGAGATAGAACAAGGACCAGGGACCATCCGATCTATCCCCAACCCCAGTAAAGAGGAGGAGGAAGGAAGGCTACGGAGGTCTTCTTCCCTTTCTCCTCCCCTTCTTCCTCACCAGCCTCACTTCTCCCACCTCAGATCCTCTCTGAACCCCACAGTGGAATCCACTCTGAGGAGGGAAATTAGGATAAGGAGATTTCAAATAGCAGGAGGCTGGGAGAGAAGGAGAGAGTCGGGGCAGGGCAGAAAATTGCACACCGAGCAGGAGGGAGCTCAGAAGCCTTTCTCCTGGGCTCACATATCCTGGCATAAAAGATGACACATCCAGTCATTTTTTTTTTTAAGAGACGGACTCTTGCTCTGTCACCCAGGCTGGAGTGCAGTGGCGCAATCTCGGCTCACTGCAAGCTCCGCCTCCTGGGTTCATGCCATTCTCCTGCCCCAGCCTCCAGAGTAGCTGGGACTACAGGTGCCCGCCACCACACCCGGATAATTTTTTTTTTTTTTTTTGTATTTTTAGTAGAGACGGGGTTTCACCGTGTTATTCAGGATGGTCTTGATCTCCTGACCTCATGATCCGCCCGCCTCGGCCTCCCAAAGTGCTGGGATTACAGGCGTGAGCCAGTCATCTTTTAAATGGAAGGCGAGGGTTTAAGTCTGAGACTGCCTGTAAAATGAACTGGGTGGTCTGAAAAAGAAGAATAATCCCAACCAGCAAAAAATGTACTAAGGATGGTGTTAATTTATTTCCTTATAAATAAAAGATTTCAATTGGATATTTACAAGAAAACAGCAACCCATTTCACATTCTTCCAAGTGTTTCCTTTCAAGCTGTGATTTGCAGAACCAATTAATTGGCTACCATAACCCAACATGTCAAAGCCAACTGCTTGTCTATGGACACTGAACTCTGTCTCTGTCTTGAGGGCTATTTTCACACTTGGGACTCTATCAGCAGCAATCCCCCAGCCCCGCCCTTGTTACTTACCACCATGCCCGCTTCACTCCATTGCATCATTTGTGCATACATTGTTTTCGCTCAGTAGACTCCTTTGCTCCTTTGAAAGCAAAGGTTACCCTTACTCATCTCAGTATACCCTCTACCTGCACTCCCCTTAACCAAGCGACCCGAGCAACTAACACAAGGCTTCGGACACACTAGACATCCAATAAGTGCTTACTAGAGTATCCAGTCAAATGCTGGAAAACAAGCCCCTTCAAAATTTAGGAAGTCTGAAAGAATGTTAAGGGCTTACTACTGAGAAGATGCTCAATAAATATTGGTTGATCATTCTGAAGAAATTTCGTATCATTTCAATGACTATTGCTAAAAAAGACATTCTGACCAGTGAATCATTGGATCTAGGGTTTACTTTCTTAGGGTATTTCTGCACATTTGTGGAGCCCACAGTTGTGCCTCTGGAGGACTCTGCCTAATGTTCCTGCCTCAGTCTCAGCAGCACCACTGAAACTCAGAGGCTTTGGAGTTCTGTGTTAGATCCTGTTCATGAAAAAACTCAACTGCCTTAAAAAGGATCAAAAACCACAGTATGAAAAGAGAGTGTTTTATCTTTTTACTGTCTTAATCGGATCTTAAATATTGATATGCTTTAAATTTATTTATCTTTGGATCTAACTTAAACAAGATGAAGATTGGAAGAGTTTTGGAGAGAAGGGTGCAGCATTCCAAATTGTGCCCTTAGTGTACTCATAAGGAATTGTTTTTGGCTCAAAGAACGGACAATGTGCCATGACAATCAGCCTAGGAAGGAAGCACTACTTACTAGTGATAGGGCTTGGTGAGACTGCTGATTGGTTTTGTCAGCTGACTTACTTGAATGTAGTTGTCAACAACTCCCCAAGCAAAGTCACAGGGAAATGTCCCTTCTAGGGGCTGATTTTCAGGTAAAGGAGGGAAGCCATTTTTCTCTATCAGCTTTTGGTAGAACAAGGCTGAAGACTTTGGCAACAACATCTTGTCCTGGCTTAGAAAGTCAACATAGAAGAGTCCACGCCTGATGCTGTAACCTCTGTGCCACTCGAAACCATCCATGAGGGACCATGCGGTATACCCGATGACATCCACCCCATCCAGCTTGATGGCTGCAAAGGGAAGAGGGGACAAGAGCAACATGACCCTTCGCTGGGCACTTGCATCATGGTTCAAGAGCAGCTGAGCGTTTCCTACTTAAATAAATAAAGTGTAATGCTTCTCGTTTGGTAAGCCAATGATTTTTCTTCTTGACGAAAGACTCTAATCAAACCTATATAACTCTACAAATAAATGCCCTCAAAATTGGCCTATCTAATATGTTTTTTGGATTTCTGAGCACCTTGAAAAAATAGTTCCTTATTTATAATAGATATTCTACAGGGCTGGAAAGATGTCTTGTACCACTTTCCATCCTAGACACCCAGCTTTGTGTCTGATGCAATAAATAAATAAATGAAGGCTTTAAAAGCATGATCTATTTATACTATTTTCTCTAGAAAACATGGACATTCCTTTTTCTTTAAAGTGTTTTATTCAACCAAAATAACAAGAACTGAAAAACATGTGCAGAGAGCTAGATATCCTGGGATTTGTTTTATGTTCAATTTAATCTAAAAATCTAGATTAATAACTGAAAGTTAAGTAATTACAAATATTATAACCCAGTTTCTCATTTACAAATGGGTTTTTAAAAATTAATTCAAGTTCCTCAAGACTCCAAATGAGAAAGGTGTTAAATGAATGCATTCTACTATTGCCAAAATGAATGTCTCCATTAGGATTTAAAAATATAAATTCACATCATTTATGTTAGATAATCTTAGAGATTTTTTTCCAGAAGATTTTGGCAGGAAATGAGAACTTTACCCACAATCATACCTTTTAAGGTTTCCATGATGAACTTTTTGAGGTAATACATATATTTGGCATCATCTCTCTTGGTGGTCCCTGAGACAAACCAGCCATTTTCCACAATAAATATTTGAGGATGGTTAAATTCAAGGTCAATCCAGGAAAGCAGTTGCCTCAGGTTGGGAGATTCCAATTGGCGGAACTTCATGTGAGGGTCCAAAAGTTGAAAACTCAAGGTGGGTCCAAAGCAAAGAGCAAAAAAGTCAGCAGTTCCTTTGATGAACTTTTTCTCAGATTCAGTAAAATCAGGCAGAATAGATGAAAGGTTATTCTTCATGCTCTCGGGATAGTCACCATCAATAAATACGGGTTTGGCAAACCAACCTAGTACAAAGTCCAGAGATTTTTGACATTCTTTGATGCTGTGGTCGGTCATTCTTCGAGGATTGATCCAGTGAGAGCTTAGGGCAATGGACACCTGACCTCCCTGAGTGGGACGGAAAGAAGTATTGTAGAGATGCCAGACTTTGGCATGAGCCTATGAAGAGAAAAACCATGGCAAATTTATCTCTAGTTGTGAGGAGAAATGCAATATAATACTTGAATCCCCAAATCAGATTATATCTGTTTCTCATCAAGCCTAACTTAATGACTAACAATATAAAAATCAGCTAGAACCAATACATTATTTCAAAGGTAGGTCACCCCACAGTGAGGTGCTACGGGGACTAGAGTTATTTCCATTGGTCTTTAGCAGTCAGTGGAAAAATGTAGATTCCTTGGGTTGAGTGTGTAGTTATCCACATTTTGAAAAGCTAATGAAATAAAAGAATTTGTTATAATAGCTTACTATTTAATTGACTTTGGATTATGTACTTTTTAATTTACGGGTTTCATGAAAAGAACCAATGCTACATCTGTGATCACACCAGGAATTTCTAAATAGGATTATATTTTTTATCCTGAGACTGGGAGTTTTCAAAATGACTCAGGTCGTTGGAGTTAATTTACTGTTTCATAGTCATCTCTCGTAGCTAAAATTCTAACAAGCAATCTTCTTTCTTCCCAAGAAGAATCAGTACAATAAATTAAAGAACCCACTCCAGCATCTAACCTTGGCCTACCCTCCAGAACTCTGGGACAGTTCTGGTTTCCCACAGACCCAGGGTGCTAGGTCCAAGCCAAGAGCAAAAAACAGCAAAATACAGCTGCAAGGAAATCAGTTGTCCATTGTTAGCATGCAGCCAGGAGTTTCGTACAGCAGTGAAAAGGGCTTTGCATCCATAAAACCAACTTTATACTCCCATAAATTCTTACTGACTTCTAATATCTTATTTTCATTTGTTTCCTTTTTATTTACAAGGAAGAGTGAAAATTATAGGGGTTTTTTCTCCCCTACTTGAAGTGAGTTTCTCTTTCTCTTTGAATTCCTTGATTTACTCTCCCTATTTTCCTACAAATACAAGTGTTGTTTATCAGCCTTTATTCCCCTAACATATCCTCTTTGAAAACTCCATTCAAATTCTCTGTTTGACTCCATATATTCTCCAAAATGATCATGCCAATTTTCATTCCACTCCCTGGGCCTGCAGAAACTCCTTTGTTCATTAAGCCAAACAGCCTCTTCAACATATCCTAAATATTCCTCTCGTGGTTCATTTCAGTACAGGCATCCAAGAATGGCCTCATCAACATTCTTATGGGTTCAGCCAAACATTTCAATGAAATAAGATAGTTTGTGGCTAACTTTTCTTTTTAGTTTCTTGGTGAACATATCTACTATGTTTCATTTCACTAAATGTATTTTTTCACGACCTGAAGCAGCTATCTATATGCTAAGAAGGAAATAGAGAATCAAATGTTGATCAAAAGAATAGTGGCACTTGCTTATGTGGTCTAAGAAACCAGGGTCTTAATCGTGCCACACTTCTGTCAGTTTTATGATGTCTCCTACCCTTCTCCATCTTCCCCATCACACCTCCCCAGGCCTCCCTTCCTCATTGAAAGGAAACCTCATGATGTTAACAGTTAAACAGAGGCTGGGCATGATGGCTCATGCCTGCAGTCCCAGCACTTTGGGAGGCCGAAATCCCAGCACATTGGGAGAATCCCTTGATACCAGGAGTTCACAACTAGCCTGCGCAAAGAGTGAGACCCCATTTCTACCAAAAAATCCAAAACTTAACCAGTCATGGTGCTGTGTGCCTGTAGTCCCAGCTACTAGGAAGGCTGAGGCAGGAGGATCACTTGAGCCCAGGAGATGGAGGCTTCGGTGAGCCATGTTCACACCACTGACCTCCAGCCCAGGTGACAGAGAAAGATATGTCTCACAAAACAAAAACAAACAAACAAATAAACACAACAGTTAAACATAAAATCCATTGAGCAGTCCAGGCTAGTACTCAGCAATTAACCTCTTGAGACCAAAAACCAGGGGACTTTCCTAATTTGACCGCATTTGAGGCCTATGAACAGTCATGTCCTAAATCTACCAGGCACCTTTCTGTAGAATAAGCGCTGAACAGGGAATGAAAGAGTGAAAGCAAACAAAGAATGCATTAATCTCGGTCAGTTTTGCAGGTAGCTGAAGTCATACAATGGAATTTTTTATAATTATAGACCACTCTTCTAACCTTGAGGACTTTAACAAGGCTCAGAGGAGGAGGTTTAGCAAGGACATGATAAATGACCTGGGCCATAAGGAAAGACATATATGGTCTCTGATGGCAGATAAAGTTCCTGCTCCATCACTCTTTTTTGTTTTGTTTTGTTTTAAGACTGGGTCTCACTCTGTCACCCTGACTGGAGTGAAGTGATGGGATCATGGCTCACTGCAGCCTCTACCTCCCAGGCTCAAGCAATCGTCCCACTTCAACCTCCCAAGTAACTGGGACTACAGGCACCTGGCTAATTTCTTTTTTATTTCTAGTAGAGATTAAATCTTGCTGTGTTGCCCTGGCTGGTCTTAAACTCCTGGGCTCAAGCGATCCTCAGCCTCCCACCTCAGCCTCCCAAAGTGCTGAGATTACAGGCATGAGCCACCGCACCTGGCCTTCGTCACTCTTGAGTTGGCCACATTCCTTAATTTGGGCAGGTAAATCTAACTTTCCTGTGCCTCACAGGACTGTTGTGAGGACTAAATGAGACAATTCATGTAAAACTCCTAATGCAGAGTTTGCAACAGTAGGATCTCCATGAATGCGTATCCCTTCTCTCTCTAGAGGATGAACAAACCAAAAGGAAGAATATTGCAGGTGGAGGAAACAACCCCTGCTAAGGAATTCAGCCCACAGTAGCGATGTGACATACTGATAAAACTTGGGGTTTGGAGTAGAAGAGACTTAGGTTTAGATTCCCTACTCCTCTAACTATGACCGGTGTGAGCCTCACTTACTGCTCTGTACAAGTGGGAATGACATCTATTGTCCCGTAGGGACACTGTGAGGATTAAATGACATAATGCAAGTGAGAGTGTCTTTTAAGTAGTTGATTATTTTACAGAGGAATACACTTGCAGCATTAGAAAGCATTTCAGATATCATTTGGATTAACTGCTCACCTCATGCCAAAACCCTGTTGAAACTTATTTGATTACTCTTTACAGCATCCTAACTTGGTGGTCATCCCAGGCATGGCACCGTCTCTAAGAAATCGCTGCAACCCCATGGACCCCCATACTGTGCTGCATGCCCCTCCTCTGGACACCAAGAGTCTCACACATACTTCTCTAATATCATTTACTGCAGATAATGAGGGGCATCCCTCCCCAGAATGAGCTCCCTGTGGAGTTCCCTCACTCCCTCCCTGGCACACGGAGGCCCTCATTGTCTGTTAAACTGAGTTGAACCAGCTTCACCACCTCTTCACGAGCCAGTTCACTCCCTTTGCGGATGGTACATTTGACAGATTAAATATTATGAGGCAGAGTGTGGGAAGGTCGCTATTTAGGATGTTGCAACAAATAAGGATGATTAACAGGGAGATGGTTACATATAGTCTTGCAATGCTTTCTAATTATTCCTGGTATGTTAATCTTATAGGCTTGTTGTCTTAAGATTGGGATTTAATAAAGTTATTGACAAGGACTCAGTGAAGTTATTAACTGTATGGCCAAGAACATTCATCTAAATACTATTTTTAATAGCCAAACATTGAAAACAATTGAAATGTCTAATATTCAAATATGTTTACCATGTATGAATGTTTTAATACATGATAGTATAACTAAAGAAATACCATTATTCAGGATAATGCAAAAGAATATCAATTAACATGTAAAAACGTTTCTAAAATACTCTGAACAGAAAAAGGTTATAAAATAGCAAGTAGAGTTTAGTAGCACTTTGATCTGGAGGGATTTATAACTTGTTAAAACCTGTTTTACAGCAGGATTGTGGGTGGTATAATTCACTTCATTTTACCCATCTATATATTTTTTTCATTTCCTACCATAAACATGTATTGCTCTAGAGATTAAAAAAATAAAATTCAAAAAGGGAAAATGGCTGATAGCAGTTGGATGGCAGGCCTGTTTGATGGTTATTAAAAGTCTCTGCTTCATCTCACCCTGCCCACCTGTTCTCCAACTTGCCCTATGGTCTCTGCCTGAAATCCAAGTCCCAGGCACATTGAACCCCACTTGAAGTTCTAAGATTATCTAGCCTTCCATGCTTTGGAGGTGCAGCTCTCTAAGGTATGTTTTGCCTATTCCCAGTTCCTTCACTCTTACACCCACTTTAAAACTCAGCTTAGATGTCGCCACCTCCAGGAAGCATTCCTTGACATCTTCCCTCTCCCTAGCATGGACTAAATGTCTGTTCTATGTGTTTCTATGATGGTCCTCTATCCAAGACCTTAACCATATATTATTGCATTTATTTAAGTGTCTGGATTGTAGGTGTTTTGAAGGCATTGAGTCTTTTATCTCTCAGATTCTAGCAAAGTCTCTGCAACAGAGCCAGTATTCAATAAACAGATCTAGAGGAATGAAGGCTGGCACTAAGAACCAGATCAAAGGGTCTAGGACAGAAGCAACATTTTTCTGGGCTGAAGCAGGAAAACTCTCTCATAAGCTACTCTGGTTCTTATTTTGCTTTCAAGATCATGAAAGACAGAAAACTTTCAGGCACATACCATTAAAAAATAAATTAGAAGGAATTTTATATGGCAGGCCTCTGAGAATAATACCATATTATCTCATAATGTGCTAATGATCCACTTTGGGGTATAAGTCTCTCTCGTATGTGATGCCCTCCTTGCTTCCTTCTTACCTTCCATCTAGATTTTGAAACATGGAGTCTGAAAAAAATCTAGAAGAAAAATGGATCTGGAATTCCTTCCTACCAACTAGCTAGTAGCCCCAAATTTTGGAAGTCGAGGAAAATAATTTTGGAAGTCGAGGAAAATACTCTGAATTCCACAGAACATATAGACATTTTCTCTTTGGCTAAATTATAAGCTCCCTGTCATTTGCCTATACGTATCCCCCACAGAACCCAACAAAAAGTTTCACACAAATAAGCTGCTTTTAAATGGTGGGTGGAAGGAAACAGGTGATGAGCCTCAGGTCCACTCCAGCTTTCTGCCTTGGGTTGTGTTCTAGGTATGGCTGAGGCAAATGAAGCCCACACAATACACAGCAGTATTGCTGAGCTGAAAAGGAAGAAAGCAATGATGAGGACTCTGAAGCAGGTCAACGTACTGGAGAGAAGAAATCTACACAAAGGAAGGACCTAGAAGTCTGCATGAGATTTCCCAAGGATCCTTGGCTGTCCATGCACAGGACAAGATTTTGTGAGGCTCAGCAAAGAGAAGCAGCCACAGGTCTGGGAGATGAATACCAAAGGTTGGGTAGGTCTGGAAAATATTGCATTTCAGAATAGCCAGAGTAGAAAAATGCAGCTGAGCACTTCAGGCATCCAGCTGAAACTCAGGAAGGTCATTACCTGAGAAGTAAGAACAAAGCAGGAATAGACCAGCTCTAACAAAGACTAAAGCCACATCAAGTAAATCTGGTAATTTAACTTCTTGGCAGAACTAAATACAACACCCTTTAAAAAGAGACAATATTGACCAGGCTTCCTATAATATCTCATTCATAGCACACAGAGCATAATAAAAATCTACTAGATATGTGAAAAAGCAGGAAAATGAAACCCTTAATTAAGGGGAAAAAAAGAAGTATTCAATATCAACAGAAGCCAAGATGTCCCAGACATTGGGATTAGCAGAGGACTTTAAAATAGCTATTATAAATATTTTTAAGGATTTCAAAGAAAAGATAGATATAATGAACAAATGGAGAATAACAACAGAGAAACAACAACTGAAGAAAACATGAAAATTCTAGAACTGAAAAGCGAAATAAACAAATTTTTGAATGGGATTAACAATATTAATTCTAAATGGAATAATAATAAGAATAAATAATGTAATCCCTAAAACTCACAAAGATATTAAAAGGTTTCTCTAAAAAGCCAATAAAATAAGAAAAATGAATTACCAAAAAATCTGATTTTTCCAAAAGATGCAGAAATAAAAAACAAAAAACACATGGAACAAAAAGAAAACAAATAGCAGGATTGTAAACATAAACCCAAACATATCAATAAATATTCAAATACACATGGACTAAATGTTCCAAGTACAAGACAGATGCTATGAAAGCAGATTTTAGGGGCTGGGTGCAGTGGCTCACGCCTGTAATCCCAGCACTTTGGGAGGCCAAGGCAGGTGGATCACGAGGTCAGGAGTTCAAGACCAGCCTGACCAACATGGTGAAACCCCGTCTCTACTAAAAATACAGGTGCCTGTAATCCCAGCTACTCGGGAGGCTGAGACAGGAGAATTGCTTGAACCCGGGAAGCAGAGATTGCAGTGAGCCAAGATTGTGCCACTGCACTCCAGCCTGGGCAACAGAGCAAGACTCCATCTCAAAAAAAAAAAAAAGAAAGTAGATTTTAGAAAAGTAAGTTTCAATTACATTCTGTGTGCAAGAAATATACTATAAATATAAAGTGATCATGTAAAAGAAAAAGAATGGAAAGAGACATATTATGCAAATGGACAGCATTAAAAATCTGGCATGGTTATATTAATAACAAAATGGAGGCTTTGAACATCACTATAATTCACCTAGAGCTAACAGACATATATATTAATAGAACATGCCACCCACCTAAAAAAATCAGAATATACATTTTTCTCAAGTGCACATGATACATTTTCCAGGATAGATCATATGTTAGACCAGAAAATAAGTCTTAATAAATTTTAAACTGTTGAGATCATAAAAAGTATTGTTTCTTACCACAATGAAATGAAACTAGAAATCAATAACAAAAGGAAAACTAGAATATTCACAAATACGTGGAAATTGTTGACACACTCAAACAAGCAATAAGTCAATGAAGAAATCACAAGGTAGATTAGCAAAAGCTTAAATGTGTATATAAAAAACTAACTGAATATGTAACATACCAATACTTATAAATTGCAGCAAAAGCAATGCTCAGAGGAAATTTTATAGCTTTAAATACCTACATCAAAAAAAAAAACAAGATATATCTCAATAACTTAGTCTTCCACCTTAAGAAAATAAAAAAGAAGAGCCAACTAAACTCACAGCTAACAGAATAAAGGAACTAATAAAAATTAGAATGGATATACACAAAATACAGAGCAGAAAAATTATAGAATCAACAAAATCAAAAGTTGGTTCTTTGAAAAAAATCAACAAAACAGACCAACCTTTAGCAAGACTGACTAGAGAAAAAAAGAGAAAAGAAGCAAATTAATGCAATCATAAAAGAAAGTGGTAACTGACCTTTTCTGTATATCATTTCTATAATAAAAAGGATTACAAGAGAACATTATGAACATTTGGATGCCAGCAAATTAGATAACAGAGATGACCTGGCCAAATTCCCGGAAGCACACACATTACCAAAAGTGGCTAAGGAAAAAATACAAAATCTAATCTAGGTGTAAAAGAGATTGAATTAGTAATCAAAAACTTTCAAACTAAGAAAAGCCCAGGACTAGTGGCTTTAATAGTGAATTGTACCAAATATTTAAAGAAGAATTAACACGACTCTTTTCAAGCTCTTCAAAAAATAGAAGAAAGAACACTTTCTAACTTAGCCAATGTGGCCAGCATTATCTTGATACCAAAGCCAGATAAAGCCACCACAAGAAAATAATAGTTACAGATCAATATCCCTTATGAATATAGATGCAAAAGAATGCAACCAAATACTAACAAAACAAATCCAGCAGCATATTTTAAGAATTATACAGCACAATCAACTAGTATTTATTCCAGGAATGCAAAGATGGGTAAACATTAAAAAAAATCGTTGTAATGCATTACATCAATAGAGTAAAGGGGGAGAAAACCCATATGATTATCTCAATTAACGCAGGAAAAGCATTTTACAAAAATCTGAAAGTCTTTCATAATAAAAACACTCAGAAAACTACGACTAGAAAGGAACTTCCTTAATATGATTAAGAAAAGCATTTATGGGCCGGGCGTGGTGGCTCATGCCTGTAATCCCAGCACTTTGGGAGGCCGAGGCGGGCGGATCATCTGAGGTCAGGAGTTCGAGAGCAGCCTGACCAACATCGAGAAACCCCGTCTCTACTAAAAATACAAAATTAGTCGGTGTGGTGGCAGGCACCTGTAATCCCAGCTACTCTGGAGGCTGAGGCAGGAGAATCGCTTGAACCCAGGAGGCAGAGGTTGTGATGAGCCGAGATCACGCCACTGCACTCCAGCCCAGGCAACAAGAGAAACTCCGTCTCAAACAAAAAAACAAACAAACAAAAAATTATGAAAATCCACAGCCAACATTACAGTGAAAGGCTGAGAGCTTCACCCCTAACATCAGGATTGAAAGGAAGATGCCTGCTTTCACTATTGCTCTCTAACATTGTACTAGAAGTTCTTGCCAGAGCAATTAGGAAGGAAAAAACTATCCAAGTTAGAAAAGAAGTAAAACTATCCCTATTCACAGATAACATGATTCTACATATGGAAAATCCTAAAGAATTCACAAAAATCTATTGCAAAAAATAAACGATTTCAGCAAAATTGCAAGGTACAAGATCAACACACAATAGTCAGTTGTATTTCTGTACAATAGCAATGAACAGTCCAAAAAGAAAATTAAGAAAACAATTCCATTTATAATAAGTTCCAAAAGAATAAAATATACACAGGAGTACATTTAAACACTCTCACCATTGCTATTAAAATTGTACTGGAGGTCCTAGCCAGTGCAGTAAGGCAAATAAAAACATAAAAGGCATGTTGATTGAAAAGGGAAAAACAAACAAACAAAAAAACAAACTTTGTTGTTCATTAAAAACATGATTGTCTGTGTAGAAATCCTAAGATTTTTAAAAAAACAGAAAAACTATTAAAACGAATAAGTTAATTTAGCAAGTTGGCAGAATACAATGTCAATACAAAAATCAGCTGCATTTGGCCAGGAACACTGGCTCACACCCATAGTCCCAGCTACTTGGGAGGCTGAGGTGAGAGGCTCCCTTCAGCCCAGGAGTTCAAGTCTGCAGTGAGTGCTGATCACGCCACTGCACTCCAGCCTGGGTGACAAAGTAAGCCTCTGTCTCAAAAAAAAAAAAAAAAAAAAAAAAAAAAGAAAATCAATTGCATTTATATATGAACAGAAAACAAACAGAAAATAAATTTTAAATACAATGCCACTTACAGTGGTACCAAAATCGTAAAATACTTAGAAAATAATTTAACAAAAGATGTGCAAGTTTGCTACAATTATAACACATTGCTAACAGAAATTAAAGAATATGTAAATAAAGAATGAGATACCATTTTCATGGATTGGAAGAGTCAATATTGTTATCAGATTTCCCCAGATTGACCTACTGAATCAACACCATCTCATCCAGAATCCCAATAAACTTTTTGTAGAAATGAATAAGTTGATTCTAAAATATATACAATAAGAACATAAAACAGCTAAAATAACTAGAAAAAGGAAAAACACAGTTGAAACATTCACATTACCTGATTTCAAGACTTATTATAAAGCTATAATTATTTAATATAGGGTGATATTGGCATAAGGATAGACAAATACATCAAAGGAGCAGAACAGAAAATTCCAAAATAAACCCACAGCCAACTGATTTCTAACGAATGCATCAAAGCAATTATGTGGCAACAGGAAAGACGTTTCAACAAATGATCCTTGACAACTGGAAAAGTGTATGAAAAAATTAAACCCCAATCTTGCATAAAAATTTGAGACAGATCATAGATCCAAAGCTAAAAGCTAAAACTATAAAACTTATAGAACAAAATGTAAGAGAATAGTCTCTTTATCTTGGAGTAGGAAAATACTTCTTAGAACACAGAAAGCACTATATAAATATACATATATTAAAATATCTCCCCTCAGTATGTGATTTGCCTTTACATTTCGCTAACATTTGATGAGCAGGTTTTAATTTTGACGTCGTCCAATTTATCAGTTTTTGTTTATGATTAGTATATAATTGACAAAATAATTATATCCGAAATAAATACGTAAGCCTACCTATCAGTAGTAAAAGAAAAATAACTCCCCTTCCCACCATGAGCAAAATATTTGAATAGATATTTCACAAGAGAATCTTCACCAATGCTCAGTAAACACATAGAAATGTCCTCAACATCAACACTATCAGGAAAATGCAAATTAAAACCCCAACGAGCACTCACACCCACTAAGATGCCTACAACTAAAAATACTGGCAACAGGCTGGGTACAGTGACTCACGCCTATAATCCCAGCAATTTGGGAGGCTGAGGCGGGCGAATCACTTGAAGCCAGGAGTTCGAGACCAACTTGGGCAACATGGTGAAACCCCATCTCTACTAAAAATACAAAAATTAGCTGGGTGTGGTGGCACGCCTCTGTAGTCCCAGCTGCTTGGGATGCTGAGGCATGAAAATCCCTTGAACCTGGGAGGCAGAGGTTGCAGTGAGCCGAGATCACACCATTGTATGCCTGGGCAACACAGTGAGATGCTGCCTCAAAAAAAAAAAAAGACTACCAACAAATTCTGGCAAGGACGTAAAACAACGGAAATTTCATACATTGATGGTGGGAGTATAAATAGTACCACCACTTTGGAAAACTATTTGACAGTTTCTTATAAAATTAAAGATAGATTTTCTCTATAATCTAGCAAGTTCATACCTAGGTATTTACCAAGAGAAATGACAACATAAGCCCCCCAAAAGACTTGTACAATATTAAGATAAAACTTACAAATTGATATGTTCAAAGATGCTGGCCGGGCACAGTGGCTCAAGACTGTAATCCCAGCACTTTGGGAGGCCGAGGTGGGTGGATCACCTGAGGTCAGGACTTCGAGACCAGCCTGACCAACATGGTGAAACCCCGTCTCTACTGAAAATACGAAACTTAGCCAGGTGTGGTGGCACATGCCTGTAATCCCAGGTACTCGGGAGGCTGAGGCAGGAGAATCGCTTGGACCCACGTGGCAGAAGCTGCAGTGAGCTGAGATCGCTGCCACTGCACTCCAGCCTGGGGAACAAGAGCGAAACCCCATCACAATTAAAAAAAAATGCTTATAGTAGCTTAAATCGCAATAGCAGAAAACTGAAAACAACACAAATGTCCATTCACAGGAGAATGTATAAACAGTGTGGTTTGTTTATACAATGGAATACTATTCATTAATGCAAAGAGTGAACTACTCTTCTAGGCAGTAATATGGATTAATGTCAAAAAGATTGTGTAGATTGAAAGAACTCAGACACAGAGTACATTCACAGAGTTGTTTGATTCCATTTACATAAAGTCCCAAAATCAGTCTGTGGTGATGGGAATCACAACAGCGGTTTCCTACGGAGGTGAGAATTGATTAGAAGTCACAAAGAAACTTTCTGGGGTAATGAGAATATTCTATATCTTTACTTGGATATTTGTTACAGATATCCATACACATACAGGTGTATGTAGTCATCAAAATTCATCAAATTGCTTATAAAACATGTGCATCAATTTTAAAGATCTATAGATTAATAAATATATAATAGATTAATATCTTAGTCATTGGCAAAGCTATTCAGGTATAGAAATATAATTACCTACAATTTATGTGGCAAGAGAATACTGATTTTCTCCGAAACATAAATTCATCTTTGAAACTACTACAGTAATCTGTTAGTTAAAAAAATATATATATTTAGCTTTTAATTGCAGGGATCATATTCATTCAACAAATATTACACTAGGCACTTTTCTAGGGGATTCAAAATATGATCCTGTTCTTATGGAGCTTACATTCTTGGGAAGAAGAGAGATAACAAATGAAAACAAAGCAGAGAAAGGATAGAAGGTAACAGGGATTGGGATGGGAAGGCAGTTTAGACAGGCAAGTCTTCTTCAAGGAAGCATTGTCTGAGGATCTGTAACAGAAAAAGTGAAGAATGCTAAAAAAGACTGGGACCTGAGATGGGGGTGTGTGGAAGGAGCAGAGAACCCGGAGGATTGGGCAGAGGCGGTAGAGGGTACGGGAAGGGCATTCCAGGCAGAGTTGAGCAAGTGATGAGAGCATAGACTCAGCCAGGCTTTCCTAATTCTGCCCCCTTATTAGCTGTGGGACCTTGGGCAAATTATCTGAAGTCTGTGCCTCTATTTCCTCATCTGTAAAGTAGGGATAGTAATAGCACCTCATGGTTATATCCTTGTGAGGATTAACTAAGTCAATACATGGAAAGCACTTAGAATTGTAAATGCTATGGAAGTGTTTCTTATTCAAGTGTTGTAGTAATGTTTGATTGGTAAGTTCAAAGATACTTACAGTATTAGGTTGGTGCCAAAGTAATTGCAGTTTTTGCCATTTAAAAAGTAATGGCAAAAACTGCAATTACTTTGGCACCAACCTAATAGCTTTAATCACAATAGCAAAAAAACTGAAAACAACATAAATGTCCATTTACAGGAGAATGTATGAACAGTGTGGTCTGTTAATACAATGGAATATTACTCCTTGTTTCCTTGTGACTCTTAATCAATTCTCAACATAGGAGACCACTGTTGTGATTCCCAGTACATAGAGTGATTGTGGGACTTTATGTAAATGGAATCAAACAACTATGTAAATGTACTCATTGTGTCTGGGTAATGATTGATAAGTTTCCAAAAATCAGTGGCTACTACGTGGAAAATAGGATCTAGGAGGACAAAATGGGAGCAAGGATACCAGTTAGACAACTATTGCAATGGTCCAGGCAAAAGATCATGATGGTTTGGACCAAAAAAGATAGTAACAAGTGGCTAGATTTAGGCTATTATTGAAGGCAGAATCTGTAGAACCTGCTGATGAATTGGATGTTACATGTTGCATGTGAGGAGGGGAAGAGGAATCAAGGAACTCAAAGAAAACAAAAAATAAGGAGTTGGGGAAGGGAAGGGATCAAGTTCTATTTAGGTCACAAGTCTAGCTTTCAATGAAGATGCCTGGTACTCAGCTGAGTATATGAAGCTGAAGTTGGAGAGACATGGATGGTATCACCAATCACCCAAATATGTTTCAGGGGTAATACTGAATGGACCGCTTTTTGTTATCTATCATTCATTAGATTTTTTAAAAATTGAAATGGAATAATTCTTAAAGGATTAATTTAATCCTACAAATAATCTTAATTAAATGGACTGAGACCAATGGTGGAAGAAATGAAATGCAGCCCATAAGCAGAAAATAATTCAAATAGCTCATTTATGTCTTCTCCCTATCTAAGAAAAGGGCCCTCCAGATGTTACTTTAGTTCTGAATTAAAGGTGACCGTTTTCAAAAAGGTCAAAGGATTGAAAAAATTTTAGAAGGCACTAGAGATTTATTTTCTTTTTCTTTCTGGCACCCTATTACCTCAACTTCAAGAAGAGTATTGGGATTACATTGTCTGAGGACTTCCTTAAAAGTCACTGCTACTGTGTGGTGTTTACATAAGCATGCCAACTAGCCTGATGTTTGTGCTCGCAGACCAAATTATTTCTCTTATTTCTATCAGCACTATGGTTTATAAGCTGCAGTTCCTTAAGACAGAATTTCAAACAGCCTCCCACAAAACAACCACCTAATAGAACACATAAATAATTTCCCAAAAATAACTATCTACAACTTTATCCACAAAAAATAGCCAGTAGTCTCTGTGTGCAGTTCCTTAAAAGTTGCTCAGGATTTAACCAATGCAAGGGGGCTCATATCTGCTTTCCCTGACACCCAGTTAGACGAATATGTGTGAACAGGCAGCAGCTTGGCACCCCTACCTGCTTTGGACTTCTTAGCAAATCAAATAAGTTGCATTTCTAGCTCTGAGCACCAAGCCTTACAGTCTTCTACAAAGTAACAGGAAGACCAGTAGAATCGCATATAAATGTAAACAGCATCACTTCCCAGCCTAGCTGTTTTGCTACAGCCAGGTCAGTTTCTCATTACTCCTCATCCAGGGCTGTACCTACGTTGGATGCCAACCTACTAGCCCTGAAGTTGCATTCTACTTTTCCTTCATATCCATATCCCTTTCTGCCTTCTGTTCTGGACTTGCCTCTTCTAAGAAGTAGTTCCTAATGAACCCCACTTACTCTTAGTACTATCTTCCCCAATTATCAACTGAAAATTCTCACTTCTTCCAAATTTGGCTCAATTCCCATCTCCCCTGTGAAGTCTTGTTTGGCTCCCCACGTGCATTTAGGCATTCCTTTCCCAATGCACCCCACCCACAAGCAGGAGTAAATAACATGCTTCTTCATAGTTCTTCCTAAGTTGGTGGCTCTTCACCAAGATTGTATTATACTCCCCCACAACAATAAAGTTGAATGGAAACAACTTGAACATCCAATAATGTGGAATTATTCATTCATTTATCCTTTCACTCAAATATTTATTAAGTAACTACTATGGGCCATTTATAATTCTTAAATTAGTTGAAACAACCTAAAGGGCTAACAATAGGGATTAGTTAAAATAACCCAGGAATAAGACATTAAATGAAATAAATTATTAGCAACAAATGATCAGTGTTGATAAATAAATTATAATTTATTAATTTTATGAGCAATAAATGATCACCATGGACAAATATAGCTTATTAAATTACAAACTATAGTTAGCTATAGATAGACCACGTACAGTATTACCTAATTTTGGAATCATATGTACAGATGTAAAATAAATACACATAAGACAGGATTTTAAAGGATTTGTACAGAGATAGCAGTTATAGTCTCTATTGAGTAGGACAGTGGGCATTTATTATGTTCTTCTGCTTCTCTGATTTTCTGACTTTTATGTAACGAAATATGTATTGCTTTTTGAATAAGAAAACACAAATTTTTTAAAACTGGAATTTTCAATTTTGGAAAATTTTCTAGTTCAAATTATTTACTATATTGTTTTTCTAAGTTGATGATGTCTGCTCTGCTTGTTTAGCTGTTTTCATTTTTTCCCCCACAGGATGGATGGCATAGATTGTTCCAACTAATTCAATCACTCACTTTTCAATGATTACTTATTGATTTCCTAATTTCCTATTGTTATACCTTTCAGTCATTCTGATTTCTGAAAAAATTTGTTAGAAATGTTTTAAAAATTCCTGGCATACCAAAATTATTAATACTGGGAAGTCTAGTAACTGGGATTTATTTTTCACCAAATGGTCTAGTTGATTAAATTATTCTCCACCAAAATGTTTTTGACCATGTTGCATTTCATCAAATCATCTGGAACTCTCCCAAAAAAACTGTAAGATCCAAATAATTAAGCCAAATAATTGGACTATCTTTTCTAGCCTGTGCCACCTCTGGGGCAGATGGGTTAGGGGAAAAGAGCCTTTAAAATATCCCCCCATAGTGGACTCTGGCTGGTGCTTAGGGAGGGCAATGGAGTGTCTAAGCATGGAAACTATGATTAAAGGAACAGATATAAGAATTTACCCAACGTGTTGTGAAAATGATGATATCAACCTAATTAGGCTACAGGATTAATAGTTTGTGGCTTTTAGAAAATAAGATTACAATAGACAGTATGGGGCCAGAATATGAAAAGTTTTGAATGTAAAGTTATTTGGATTTGACAGAATAGGTCACAATAGATTAGCATAAATTTCTGAGACAGTGATGATCAGTCATATGCTCAAAATCATCCATTGCAGAATGCATTAGAATGTGAACAGCTGGATGTGGAAAATTGGCAGGATACTGCCAAAATGCAGATACAATTAAGGTTCTGGACAAAGGTGATGACTACTGAAAAGCAAAACAACAGGGCAATCTGAGAGATGTTTGGAAGTGCAGAATAAAAAGAGCATGGTGCATTAGTTACACATTGCTCACATGCTCATGAAGAAATATTATTCGTGAGCTGGGTTGGGCTCCACTGAACATGTCTTCTGCTCTGGTCTCATCTGGTTAATCTAGGATGGTGTTGGCTGGGACAAATGGGACAGGTTGCTTCTGCCCCACATGTCTCATCCTCCAGTGTACTAGCTTGGGCATTTTCTCATGGCAATTGCAGAGAAGCAAGAGACTAAGCAGACACTAATAAGCATTTTCTCAGTGTTTGCCAGCATTATGATTGTTGGCTAAAGTAAGTCACATGGATAAAGCCAGAGTCAAAGGAGAAGAAGGCCAGAGTCAAAGGATAAGCTGAATGGACACCTAGAGTAGAGGACACTGCAAAGTTACATGACAAAAGGCATGGATACAATGAAGAGAGGACAACATTGGGGCCTTTAATTCAATCAGTCTACATCACATTGTAACTCACTAGACCTAGGCATTAAAAAATAAAGTATTAAAGTTGACAGCTCATGCATAGTACACAGCTAGACCAAAAAATAAGTCAGTCTGGAAAGGTGAAGATATTTCTTGCTTTCTGGCTGGATCTACAGGTTCAAAAATCTTTGTTGTTTTTTTTAAAAGTGACGGTTTTGTAGATGGCATAATTCTCATGCCAAGACATTTATTTAGTCATTTATTCAACAAATATTATCCAACACCTATTATATGTTGGATATATAAGTGCTAAGAATACAGAAATGAGCAAAATCTCAAGCTTAGATGTATGCCATTACTTACTACATACTAACACTGATAGAAAAACTGACCCCCAATGTTCCCCAAGACACAATCTAAAAGAAGATATATGATTCCTATATTAAGACCTTTTCACAAGCCCTCAAACATTAGTATATTCAGTATCATAGCATTTTGCTTTCAAACCTTTGTTAAATCTTCAAGGTAAAGTCTACTGCTGTATATGATTGCCAAAACCTTTTATTTTACTCTAAGAACTAAGTTTGAGATTAGATCTCCTTTAGAAATCACATGAAATTATGACGTATGCTACTTTTGAGAAATAGACAATAAGATCAATAATAGGTTTATTTTATTTTGTTTTACTGTGGTAAAACATACACAACTTAAAATTTACTCTTTTAATTTTTAAGTGTACAGTTTGATAATTGTTTTAGTAAGCATTTATTATGAACTATCATACTGGGTTCTAGAGATAGTAAACATAAATAAGGTAAAACACCTGCTGTCATGAAATTTTTACCATTATCCACTGATTTTACAGGAAATCTATAAAAATAAAAGAATACTGTTTTCTCTTCTTGTACTTCAAGTTGAATGACCCAAGCCAGGCCAATGAGATACCTTCCCTGAGATTGTTTTGCTGGAATAGAGACATGTGACTGTCCTATATTAGGAGAGGAAGTGAATCTGGAGTTGCTGACATGGGAAGAGACTCTCTGGGATGATAAAAGCCAAACTGACCCAAGCATAAGTGCATGTGTGTATGTCTGTGTGTATTTCTGTGTGTGTGGTGTGGTGTGTGTGTGGTGTGTGTGCATGTGTGTGGTATGTATGTGGTATGTGTATGTGTGTGTGGTGTGTGTGCATGTGTTTAGTGAGGGAGAAGGAGAACCCACCTTGACAGTAATGGTTACTTTAGTGACAAATACAGTTGTTAACATCTAAAGTCCCTGGAGTTCTTCTTCAATCCTTTGTCCTTGTCGTAAAGTCCCTTTTCTTCCTTAAGCTTGTTTTAGTTAGGGCTGGTCAAATGCAAATATAGAGTTCCTTAATACAAATATAACCAAACTTGAGATTCTATAAGAATCCGTTTAGTTAAAAGTACACTGTAACAACCAGGCAAGACAAAGGTCAGGGTAGTTTTTGAAAATCATGTTGTAATTTTGGAGTTTTGTTACTTAAGATTGTTTTATCTGGACTTTTCCAAAGTAGGTGACAATAAAGGGCTTATTTATTTGTATTTAAATAAAAACTTCCTTCAAATGAAATAAAAAAGATTTCATAACTTACACTGGGTAAATACATCAATAAATCAGAGATTGAGCTTCTTGCTTCATTAATTTATCTGTACAGAACTAATTAACATTAGTTAAATCATTCTATTCAATACTAAATCATGCTGCGGTGAAAATCATTCCAAGTCATTGACGCTAGGTTGTTAACAAAATATCCAGCTTGTGACCAGAATCCATCTAACCCATTAATCACAGAATTATTACTGGAGACACAGAGGGGTTCCAATTCCTGGTTTTTGTATCTCTGTTTTTCTAATAGCAACAAAATGAGAACCATGAGGGAACAGGTAGGGAGGCATAGGCTAGATGAGAAAAAAGAGACAAGAAGATAAGGAACTCAGATAAGTGATGTTTTCCACAAGGTCAGCAAAAGTATTCCATGGTTCATCAGTCAAATAGGATTTTTTCAGTAAACATCTATTAGTATAATTGCCAATAATTCCACAATACCCTCATGAAAGAGCTACTCTCCAATATCAACAAAACTGAGACAAGCAGTTTTTCCTCTATAATGGTCACTTTTATTTTCTAAACATTCTACTTCTGCCTCCTTATCTAATTCTCCTGCTTTAAGTTATCAACAGCAGATGCCAACAGACTCTCCTTGAGACTTTCTTTAACAGGCTCATTTATAGCTCTTTGCTTTTGAAATAACTCAATTCATCTTGCAGTAGAGAACGCTTTTCACCCAAAGAAAAAGTGGCATGTGAGTGTGTGAGGATTTCTACATCATTGAACAGGATACAATTACAGGAAAATGAAATATGCTTTATGGAGTGGTGGATAGCGGAAAGTCATCGGCCTGCTCTTTCCCCCTTCTTTCGCATTTGCCTTTTTGTGGTAGCAGTTTCGACATGGTGTTAAGTCAAAGTTTTTCATAACACAAACTCCACTTGTGAAATCAACCTATGAGTAGCCTCAGCAATTTTGAAAATCAAAATAGAAGAGATTAGGAAATATCACAGTGCACTGCCTGTAATAATGGTAAGTTTTTTCTGTGAAAATTTTGTTTCAATGGTGTATATTCAACATGGAAAATGCCTTTCTTACTATGGGTCAAGATCAAAAAAGTTTGGAACTCACTGGTCTAAGTGGAGGGGGATTTTCATTCCAGAAGTATTTATTGAGCATCTATTGTGTGCCTGGCATGATTCTAGCACTTTGGGGCACAACAGGGAACAAATCAAAGAAAAACCCGTGCCCTCACGGAGATTCCATTTTAGCAGGAGGAGCGACAACCAACAACAAACATAATAAATGTAAATTATAAAGAATGTTCTAAGGCAATAAGTGCTATGAAGAAATAGAGTGAGGTAAGGAAGGCCTGGGGTGCCACGGAGAGGAGATACATTTTATTTATTTTTTTTTTTGGTGGCACTCACAAGAGTCTTTATTTTCCTTTCATTAAATGTGTTGTGATTTTCATCTTTTCATTTACATCTCTACAGAACAAAATCCGTTTGTGTCCCTATTAGGCAAGAATCCTTCCCATCGCTATCAGTTTTCTACAAGTTAAAAACTACCCTTACAGAATTTAAAATGCCCTAATCCATGGTAAGCAGCAAATTGAACAAAGGTGCACTGCCTTCTTCACCCCCAGAGAATGAGGATAGGAGAATGGGATTAACTAGGCAGGCCTGCCTGAGGCCTCAGTCCAGATGGACACCAATAATCCTGCCTCATTTCCAAGTCTAGGAAAATTTTCTGTACAGTCTCCCTTTGTGATCATAAATAATCTCCAAAGATTATATTTTATCACACAGAAAAACCTGGTTTCCTTGAGCTTTAGCCAGATTCATTTACAAATGTTTGACAAGGGGTGTTAATTAACACTCTATAAGCCTCTTGGCTCTACAGTGTACAGCATATTAAATTCAAAGAAACAGCTTCTGTCTGGGGATTTCATAAGGAATCTCAGATTGCCTTTTCAAAAGAAGGCAATCTGAGGGTGTGTGTTCATCTTTTTTAAAAAAAAATGCTTTTATACTAGAGGGTTTGTGTTTGTCTGTTTTTATCTTTTTTAAAAAAATGATCTTATTGGTTCTTCTATTCAGAAGCTAAAAAAACAAGCCCAATAAATTCATTATCACACAGTTTCATCCACAGCACCTGTAAATTTGGTGACTTCCTGTCTCCTCGAGGCCCCCAGAAGTAGTCAGTCTTCTCCGCTGCTCGTAAAGTGGGTTGCTGGAAGTAGAGAAGACTAGTTCCGGGGGCCTCCAGGAGACAGGAAGTCACCAAATGGGGGTGGTTAGAGGTGTGCCTCCTTTGAGAAGGAGCTTGTGACCATAGACTTAAGGAAAGTGAAGGGTTGGTTCTGTGGCTATGGCGGTAGGGCAGGTTGGGAAGAACCTTCCAGGCAGGGAGAAGAGTAAAAAAAAATAATGCCCCAAGGCACAAATGCAAGACCTTCAGTGTGGCTGGATGGCGTGGGGCAGCGGGGCAGGAGTCAGAGTTGAGACAAAATGTGTTGAAACACCTTTGAGAGTGTTTCCAGAACAGGGAACTGCAGCGTTAACTGCTGCTTGATCCCCTGTGACGAAAGGGAAATTTTTAAAACGGCAAGGCTTAAACGTGAAAGGAAAAGATAAAAAGCTTTTTAATCAAATTGTAAATGACATGGTTTTTCACTCTCCCATCTCCCGTATTTCTCACTGAGTAGCAGTAAACACAGGAAACAGCCACGCATAAGTTATACTGTAACTCCTCATAAAGGATCCTCTGGCTTCTTTCATTTTTCGGAAATGAGAATTGTGAAGGAAGAAAAAAGAGAGATCTGAATTGAAATGCACTTTTTCAGGACTGCTATTTGAGTTATCATGTAATGATTATTTCATTAAGCAAATATTTACTCAATAGACAAATTATTATGCTGGGCATCGTGAGGGGTCAAACATAGGTACATAGAATAATTACAGTATAAGTCTGAAAGTGAAAACGCCAGAAGATGGATTTTTTTTTTAATGCAATGGCGATTCAGAGGAAGGAAAGATTCTTTCTTGCTGAGGGAAATCAAGGAAGTCTTCCTGTAGGAGGTAGTTTCTAAACCTTATATTGAAAGATGTAGATCCTGGAGAGACGGAAAAAGGCATTCCAGGCAGATCACTGTGAGCTGGAAAGCCAGTGATGCTGTGGCAAAATGTATTTTTTACAGAAAATAGATGGGTATCTCCCATGCCCCATGATCTTTTACGATATAACCTGGCTGTTCCTCCCATTGGCGGATCTGTGGACCCTCCCCCTTGAATCTGTGGGCATGTGACTGCTCTGATAGAAATGAAGCTACATGATATCAAGAATAAGTGAAAAGAAGAAGAAGAAGAAGAAAAGAAGTCCATACCACTTCCTCCTAGTTCTCTTGGGATGCTTGCCGGGAGGGAAGCTAGTTTCCATGTACAGAGGCTACTAATCTGAGACCACTTGTGTAAGCGAGGCCAACAGAGATGCTCTGGTCCACAGCCAGGCTCAACCGCGGATCACATGTGTGAGCCGTCTTGCATGCCCCACCCCGTTCAAGCTTCAGATGACTGCGGACCAGAGAAAAACTGCGTGGGTGAGCCCTCCCCTAATCCTGACCCATAAGTTTGTAAACCAAATAAAATGGTTATTTAAAGCAATTAAGTCTGGGGGAATTACGCAGAAATAGTAATGGGAACAGATGTATCTGGGTTAGTGTTTTTGTAATGATGTAATGATGACACTCTCAGATGTCAATTAAGGTTAAAGACGTTAGTGGCAAGTCATGACTAACATTCTTGTCCATTTCAGATGCTGATGTGGACGAGGATGGTCTAGGCATTTGCTAGCACACCCCTAGATGTAACCTGTGCAATGCGGGAGGCAGCCTGGAGTCATGGAATGTACACTGGGAATAGGGGTTCAGAAAACCTGAGTTTTGACCCCAGCTCTGACCCTTGGTACCCACAGGAAAGTCAGCTAAACTCTCTGGGTCTCTCAATGAATTTACCTGCCCCAAAATACAAAAAAAAAGGACTCTAGAAATTATCAAGCATTATCCAGTGGTATGGGTTTTTTAAATTACTTTAAATTAATAAATGCATTTATATAGTTTAAAATCAAATAGTACCAAAGGCTTATCATGAAAACAGTAAGCATCTCCCCCAATCCCGTCTCTAACCCTCACTCCTGCTCCCCACTGGCAACCTTTTAGCTCTTTCTTCTCGTAATAACTATCATATTTCTAAATACTATGCTATTGTGAAATTTAATAATTCATTAGGATAATGAGGAGTTAGCTCTTTTACATGCCCCATTTTCTTCCCTTATTTTCCGAAATGTCTGTTCTTATTTAAATCATTGTTAGTATTTACATGAAGATTCCTATATAAATGTTCATTTTAGAGCCAAATAGGGCACTATAACATTTCCCTTTTCTAAACAGCTTTTAATTTTCCCTTGAATAAATAATGACCTCATTATTAAGCGTGCAGAATATTCTATATGTGATTTTTTCAATGTGTTAGTGATTCTCTATCATGTTTTCTATGATCGTATCTATTCTGTTGAGTCTACTTTTTCACCCAGAGCTCTTCCTTCCCTGCTAGAAGTTTCCAGCCTCCAAGTCCAGTTTGGACTAGATGCTGTCAAGAGCTGCTCTCGTCCTGGGAGTTTCCTTTATTTCTTATGGATTGAAACCATACTTTTTCTATATACTATTTCTTCCTATGTATTTACTACAATTTTGCTGGTGCATATCTTCCATTAGCTTCTTAGGAAACATGACACTGAAGGTGAACTTTCAATACCCTTACATGTCTATACATTCATTGAGCTAGGAACTCAGTCGGCTCTTTAAAGTTAAAAGCTCATGTTCTTCAGTTCTGGGGCATTTTATTATATTATTTCTTTACAAATTTCCTGACCTGTATTTCCTTATTCTCTCTTTCCAGAACTTCTATTAGTCTGATGTTGGATCTTTATGAATATCCTTTAAATCTTTTTCCCTTTCAAAAATGTGTTCTATTTCTTTATCATCTTGTACTACTTTTACAGCATTGCTTTGACCTTACTTTTCAAATATTTTACTAAATATTTTGTTTCAACTATTGTGTTACTGATGTTCAAGAATTTTTTATATGTTCTGATGGTTCCTGTTTCAGTTTGTGTATGTGTTTAATTTCCTGCATAATTTATTTTCCCTGGTTTGCTTTTCTGTTTATTTTATTCTGTTTCATGTTGATAGCTTTCCTCAAATGTCTTTCACCAGCATTGTCACCCCTTGCCCTTCTGTTGTACCTGCTCCCTTTTAAGCCTGGGTTCCTGATTATTGCAGGAGACAAGACTCCTGATGTCGGGAGTCTGCATGCCATTCCAAATTCATCATCTCCAAGTGTGGTCTAGCAAAATAATTTGCACTTATGATCATGCAACAGCCATCAGTTACTTTGAGAGATTATAGAAAATAAGGCGCTTGAAGAATGAAAATTTTCTCAACTTTAAAAGGGAAGATAATGTGAATTTCAGAAATAATAGACTCAAGCAAAATTAGGTAATGGTTAACAAAAATGCATCAGTACTATGGAAGGGAAGATAACTAGGAGACAACATGGATTCCTAGAATAAATTTACCAAACTTAGCTCAGAAAATTTTTATTGTATTATATGGTGCTATGATTTGAATGCTTGCCCCTCCAAAACTCATGTTGAAATTTAATTGCCATTGTAATAGTATTAAGCGAGACCTTTAAGAGGTCTCACTTTAGGCCAATTAGGCAATGAGGTCTCTGTCCTCATCAATGAATTAATGCTGTTATCATAGAAGTGGGTTCAATATCTCAGGCATGGGTTCCTTGTAAAAGGATGAGTTCAGCCTCCTTTTGTCTCTCTCTTGCCCTCTCACCTTCCACCATGGGAGAAAGCAGCAAGAAGTCTCTCACCAGATGCCAGAGACTTGCCCTTGGACTTCCCAGCCAACAGAACTGTGAGGAAATAAATTCCTTTAAAAAAAAAAAAAATAGGGCCAGGCGCGGTGGCTCACGCCTGTAATCCCAGCACTTTGGGAGGCCGAGGTGAGTGGATCACAAGGTCAGGAGATCGAGACCATCCCGACTAACACGGTGAAACCCCGTCTCTACTAAAAATACAAAAAATTAGCCAGGCATGGCGGCAGGTGCCTGTAGTCCCAGCTACTCGGGAGGCTGAGGCAGGAGAATGGCGTGAACCTGGGAGGCGGAGCTTGGAGTGAGCCGAGATTGTGCCACTGCACTCCAGCCTGGGCAACACAGCAAGACTCCGTCTCAAAAAATAAATAAATAAATAAATAAATAACCTAGTCTCAGCTACTCTTATAGCTGTACAAAATGAACTAAGACATACAGCATATCTGAGAACACAATAGTCATCTCTGTATGTAATAATCTTGACAGTTGCTAAACATTTTTGTGACATTCTTAGGGTCAAAAAGAAAAGTAGAGTGCAAATAAGATAGTACTGTTGCCACTTGAAAAAATATATTTTAAGAGTATTCATTGGTTCAACAAAAACTTACTCGTTGCTTATTAAGTATCAAATGCTGGTCAATGTTTGAAACATTGATTCATGGGACAGATCGACTTGAGAGAAGGTGACTAACAATATCCCACAAGGTTTATTCATAACCCTATTTCTTTGTAACTTGTTATCATCAAAGGGATGAAAACTCACAAAGGCATTAATCTAAAACTTTGAAAATTCTCCAAAACTTGAATCCAAAAGAGCTCTACAGAGTGTAATGCTATAAATATGTGCTATAACTAGCAAAATTAATATTTAAAGTGATAGAAAAAATATTTATGTCTTTTTAAAATTAAAAATACAAGTAATATATGTTCATGGTTTAAAATGTCAGAACAACTTACAAGAAAAATCACAGTTCCCTGTCCTACATTGCCCTACAATTCCCCCAGTTCTCTCTAGAGGCAACCACTTTTGACTCTTAAGACGTTTTCTTTTGGAATTTACATCTCCACACATCCACACTTCAGGAAGTATCCACTGACTTCCTATTATGCTAGATAAGGGTTTAGCTCTCTTACACAGGCAATTTAGTTATACAATAGTTTTGGGTTTAACCGACATTTGGTATTGACATTATTCTGCCAACATGAATATCATTCACAGCTGGACCTTGTAATGTAGTAAGTAAGACTGTTTTCCTTCTTATTTTTGTTTTCTTTGAAGTTCATAATTGCATTGCTTTTTGATTGGCTCTGTTTTCTTTGGGACTGTGGCTAATTCTTCCCTCAATTTCCAATAGCCTCTCAGCAGAAACTTCCCCAGGGAAGTCACATGAGCCTCCAATATTTTGGGGGGACACACTTCTGGAATCTCCCCCATTCTGCACTGGCTGATCTTAGTCTGCTGCACATCTGACATCATGGGTCTACAGTTCATCATCCTTTTCCTGGGTTAGACCTGCCCTTTCATAGATCCCATGTCTTCCTCCTTGTCTTCCTCATGTTATGTGGCGGTTACCCTCCAATAACTTCCTGAGAAAGGGTTTATGGAAGATTTATTTTTTGGGACTTTGACTCTCATGAATGATTGACAGTTTAGATAAGTATCAAATTCTAGGCTGGAAATAATTTTCATTCCCTTCTCTGAAGGGCACTCCTCACTAGTCTTTGTGATGGCCAAGAAATGCACTGCTCAGTGTTCCTGCTATAAGGAGCACAGTTGACTGAGGCCATCAGTTGCTACCCCTTTGAATCTGCCATTGCAGTTGATCCTAAGATCATGATTCTCATCGGCTACTCCCAGATGACTAAACATGGCAGGGGAACTAATGCAGGCCCATTTCAGCAAGATGTGGACTCCGCCAATGGGCAACATTGGCTCAAGGCGTCCCCATCAGCCTATGCCTGGGTTGTTCTGAGACCCACAGTGCCAACTGAAACTCTTCCCAGCCCATCCTTCTCCCTGCCCACTCTCCTTCATAGTTGTTGGACACACATCATGATCCAAAGGTTCAATGCCTCCCCTAGCTCCTTCCCCTTTATCCTTCACAATTCTTTCCCCAATAAATTTCTTGTACATCTAATCCTATCTTGACATTTACTTCTTTCAGGACTCAAACTAACACAAGAGGGGTTGGGGAACCAGCTCATTCACTTTCTGGAAAGCAAAGAGAATGCCATTCTGAGTGTTGTGTAGGGGCAGATAGTCCCCTTGCACAAATGGTGCTTCAATTGCTAAATATTTCAACAGCAGTAACCTGGGAAATATCCTGGTGGAGAATGTCATTGTAGGTGCAATGATTTAGGCATTCCCTGCCTACAAGGAGATGGAATTGAATGCTTTCTGATATATTGTATTGAGACTCTACAGAGAGCTAATGAGAAACTGAGGGCCAATAACAAACAGTTAAAGGCTCAATATAAGAGCCACAGCCTTCTCTCCTACAGTGGAAGAGTAGAGAAACTTAGCAGCAGGCCTAGGACCTGATAGACTTGCAGAGATTTAGGGATGTTTAAATGCTCAGCCAAGGCAGATCAGTTATGCCAAGGTCAAGGCCCCGGTTGGGGAAACCTGGGAATATTTGGAGCTTACAGAGGTGGCCCATTCTTCCCTAGTAAGAGATAGCACTTCTTTATGCTGAAGAGGCCTCGTCCCTAAAAAGCAACAGGTGCACCCCTCAGGAGCTGACCCGGCACTAACGAGGATTAAATCCTAGTATAACCCACCTGGAGACAGCTGGGCCTGATAGAGAAGAAAAGATACTATATCCCAACATTGCTTCAAGATTGAGCATGCACTGCAAATCCTGAGGAGTAGCGCTGGGGTCCTTGACCAAGGAACTGGAACTTAACACAGGACAAGAAATAATTCATTATCTAGGGAACACTTTCTCCGGAAGTATGTTTTCACGATCCAGCAAGGACCCCAGGAGACGCGGTAAAGTTGCTGCTAGGGTGGCTCTGAGAAGCCTGTAAAAAGGGATGCCCAATGCTGAGCAGGCGGAAATGCCTGACATTGTTGCCCTAACAGCTGATAAAAGAATCAAGAAGCAGAGAGAAGCTGGCATGCAAGAACCAGTATATTATGTGAGGTCAAACAACCCACCAGAGGACAGTGTTTCCCAGAAGTCCCAAGTAGGGAGAAAGAGCATTCACTGCACCCTCAGGAATATGCTCATGGGGGTGCCAATCTCACTGAGACATTCAGTGGGGGCACCGCTCTCCAGGCCAGGGCTGCTGGTAGCAGAGGTGTCACAGAGCTGGGCTTGTTGCCACCCACGGGGATGGTCAGAAGTTGAAATTACAGAGGCCAGATAGTGAGTGGTGCTTAACTGCCAGAAGCCAGGGAGTTATAAAGATGGTTCATAGAGCATGGCTACATAAAAAGTGATGACCCCTTGTACAGTTCCCCGACTTAGCCAATTTTCCAAGCTATAATTCACTGACTGAAGAGGTGCCTAGGTCCCTAGGAGCCAGGACCCTGCAATAACACAGAGGTATGACCCCCCCACCCCATTCTTCCCATTCAATATGAAAATGCATGTCCTCCAGCTATAGGAAATTTTCTGGAATTACTTCATTGTTTCCTTTCCTTTTACGTCAGTTACCTATTGCTGTGAAATAGACCGCCCCCAATTTGGAGAATTGAACTAATAAGAATTTATTTTTTTCCTCTTGCTTCTGTGAGTTAATGGGGTTTGGCTGGGCAAATCCAGTCTTGAGTATGCAGCCAGGGAAGGGACACTGCAAGGGAAAAGGCACTGGCAGGGAGAATGAAGGACAGAGGCTAGAGAGAGCCCAGTCCCACCCATGAACTATACAGTAATCTTTACATACTTTTTACATACTTATTCATACAGAAGAGACATAACATGGGCTGCCTTTTAATAATCATACATCAACATTTTAATAACCAATTAGTATTCCACTGTATAAGCGTACCAACATTCCTCTAACGGATTACCTTAACACATTTAGCTGATGTCCAGTTTTAAAGAATAAACCACCATCAGCGGTAAACTTCCTCTTATCTTTGCACATTGGAGATGAAATTTAATAAGATTGAAAGTTTGAAAATAAACTACCAAAGAGATGACAGGGATGTTTGGCTTCACAGCAATTCACAAGCTGGGGGGAAAAAACCTGAGAGGTTTTAGCTGACTGCAAACTAATTTGAGTCCGCGGTAAGGTGACAGCCAAAATTGTTAATGCAATCTTGGGCGGCATGAACAAAATTCAGTGTCTAACAAGAAATGTAATCGCTGAAGCCTACTCTGAACACCTGGGGCACTGCTTGGTTCTGCACAGCAAATGTTAAGAGAGGCCTTGGAAATTCCCAGGCTTTCTTCTTCAGCTCCTCATCCTTTCCCACCTGACGCTTCAGCCATTCAAAAGACCTCATGCTGTGGTGGGAATGGCCACACTGTCTCACCTGTACTGACTTTGCAAGGGATGTTTCCTAGAAAGGCACAATGCCCTTCTCACTTTGTGTGCCCAGCAAGCCAAGCCCAGCAGCAGGGCCCACTACCTATTTTTGTAAATAAAGTTTTATTGAAACACAGCTGTGCCCATTCATTAACACATTGCCCATGGCTGCATTCATGCTGCAACCACAGAACTGTGTAATAGTTGCAACAGACACTGTAGGATCTGCAAAGTCCAAAACTTAGCCCTCTACAGAAAAAGATTGCCAGCCTCTGATCTTACAAGTATTGCTTTCCCTGACTGCTCCCGTACTACCTCCCCAAAACGCTAACCTATCTCTCCTTTCTTGAAATAGGTTCCTAAGCAAGTACTTATTTCTCTTAAGGCATTTATACATTTTACTGTAATTATTTGACAATTACCTCTCCCCTACTAATCTGTGACATGAGGGCAGGAATCTTACCTTATCCCTCTTTTCTGACAGTGCAGAAACTTGGAAATGGCAGCTCTGGCCAGGAAGGAGTAAAAAGGCCCCCTAGGTTAGGAGCCCCCTCACAGCCCATGCCAGATAGATAGGAGAAAACTGAATCTCTCGTGCAGCCCAAGCAGTATACCTTTGGTGAGCAATGTCCACGCTGAGTTGTGTTTGACTGCAGACAATTTCTGGGAGAATGTAGTTGAGTCGGGAGTGAGACGCCCCTACCACTGTCCCCGCACCTGTGCAGGGCTGGCATAAAGGCCTGATGGGAACAAGGGGACACAGGTCTCTATGGAAGAACTTGGGACACCGAAGAGAGGAAAAGGCAGAGGAAAGAGGACCACATGATGAGAAATCAAAGAGAAGAGAGGACAGGCGGGGAAGAGCAGCATCCCCAAGAGGCTCTGACAGGGCAACGGGCTTGCCTCCCATGCCCCCATCCTCCCCTGCAGCTTTGCAGCCGTCCTCTGGACCCTCACGAAAAGAGCCCTACAAATATGCCTCCTTTGGGAGCCAGGGCTCTGGACTCTCTACAGGGTCCGGCACAGGGAGAACTCCAACCACTCGTCCTCAGTCCTCTGCACCCATCAGCAGGACAATGGTGATGGATGATGAGACAGAGGCAGGTCCCACAGACAACCCTAAACCCTCCCCGCTGGGGAGATAGGTCGACTTTCCCCTCTCCTCTCCTCCACCTTATCCTGAAACGTCAGAAGACAGAGCCACCTGTTCAAAGGTTACATTCATATTCTCAGAATTCAACATTGCACCTGCCTGCCACAGGGTAAGCTCTCAAGAAATGTTCCTGACTAAATGTCCAGTCACCTCCATGTCTTCTTGGAGCAGACATTAGCATGAAGGAGAAAATTCTAGGAAGAACAAAACGTACTGGTCTTTTCAAATATGTGAAAGATGTCTTTTCAAATATGTGAAAGATGTCTTGTCAAAAAGTGACTTGCTTTATTCTTTGAGATTTAGGAAGGCAAAGAGACAGTCACGGAGGAGTCCTGTGCAGCAGCAGGTTCAATATGAAAGAGAAAATCAAGGGGGCAACTTGAGTGGAACTGAGTTCCTCCTGCTTCAAAGGGTCAAGCAAAAGCTAGCTGACCCCAGGAGAGCCACTGTAAGGAGTTCGTCCTGGAGAGAAGTGTAACCTGGGATTTTCCAAATTCCTTCTGATTCTAACATTCTAATTATCAAATAAAATGCACTTATAGATATGGAAATAACATTTGCTTAACCATTATATTTAAAATTAATGTACATCACTGCTTTCAGTTTGAGTATTTTATCAAGCTATAATGATACCGGTTCATGGATGACGTGACATCTGTACTTCAAACAAAAAATGTTAATAAAAAAATCTATTGAAACTGGGGCCACAAAAGTTCAATCAATATTTATCTTTGGTTTAGTCAATATATAAAGTTATATCAGTCATAAACTTTAGTATGTATCTTTTTACCACCAAGCTGGATCCAGAAAGATATTTGATAATGTGTTTTATGTAAAAATACGTTATTTCAAAAATGATTTGATAGTTTTTGGTCAAATGCTATTGAAATAATTTCAAAGAAGAGGCAAATTAAGTAGTTAAGTGAGGCTACCATGTCTAATGCATTTGTATGATTCCTTCTAAACAGCTCAAGAGGACCATTTCTCAAGTATTTTGCTATTATTACTATTATTATTAATGATAAATTTATAGCTCACTTTTGTAGAGCTTTTTGTATTTTTTCAAAACACGTTGACATATATAAGGTGCTTTTAATTCTCACAATATGCCTGGGAGTTAGGCAATGTGGTAGAGCCTGCTGGTTATCCTAAATGATCTGTTCCCATCTGATTTCAACTTAATAGAATCATTCACTGAGCACCCGGCTCCTCAGGGGACAATTATTTGCAGACTCCTTTTGACCATGTGACTGAGTTCTGCCCAAGGGACAGTGATAGGTGCAGCTTCCAGGTCAGGCACTTGAGAGGCCACCTTTTCCCTCTTCCTCTCTTTTCCTGTCCACTGGATGAAATTGGGATATTATGTGCTCTGGAAATCAACAAAGGTCACATAACGTATCTGCCTAGGAAAATCTTTACTGTTCTTCCTCACTCTTTAAAACTCCTTCCCAGATATTGTGTGAGAGCAGACTGCAAGCGCAATATTCCATTTACAAGAAAGAATATGGACACGTTGAAACCAGAAATATGTATTTTACCTCTCCACTTATGCCTTTATTAAAAATTGTATTTCTTTCCTCTGTGCCAAGCACTGAGATAAGCACTACAAATTTTGAAATAAATATGATAGGTAGTCTGTGCTCTTAAGAGAGCCACAACTGAGTAAATGATCCATTCTACCTGTGGTTATTGCAGAATGAAAATATTTGAGTCAAGTCTCTGAAGGGTAAGTAAGAGTTTACCCCAAGATAAAGAGGGGAAAAAGGCATCCTTCAGGTTATCTTCATACTCAGAATACATCAAAATAGAGCATATAAAAGTCACATTCTGCTTATCTGTTTAAATATAGATTTCAAGTATAACTTTGCATTTCTGGAGAAAATGTGGATCTGAGACAATTCAATAAGCTGTGTGTTTTTACTCACCTATTATTACTTGTCCTCCCAGTAAGCATGTATTCTATTCTCCTCCTCCACCTAAAATTTCCTTTATGCCTCAAAAAGACAACATTCATTGAAAGAAAGACAACTTTTGCACAAATTAATTATAATAAAATTCTAGTTTAGAGCAATGATATTTTTGAGAATATAAGATAATTCAGAAGGCTTCTATGTGCAAAAGCCGTGATTGCTACATATTCAGCTGGCACAGTTAATTGTTCATTCATTTTGCACCTGAGAAGGTGCATTGACATTACTTGAATGCATAGTTTACATTTTCCTTCTTTTCTTCAACTCAAAATAATTGGCATTGTTAAAACACTGCTATGATTTTGAAATGATTTGATTAATTCTTTTCCTATTTTAAAATTTTTTCTTGGACTTGACTGTAACCTTCAAAAAACAATGTGTTCAAAAAGGAGTGATTCAAGCTGTTTGGGAGATATTTTAACTATTTCTGACTAAATGCACTATTGAATTCAGTAGTATTCTAAAATTTATATTAACTTTCAATCCAGTTGATTATTCTAGTTATGTACAAAATACATTTTTTTGAGATGGAGTTTCGCTCTTGTTGCTCAGGATGGAGTGCAATGGTGCGATCTCAGCTCACTACAACCTCTGCCTCCCATGTTCAAACGATTCTCCTGCCTCAGCCTCCCAAGTAGCTGGGATTACAGGCACCTGCCACCACGTCTGGTGAATTTTCCATATTTTTAGTAGAGACGGGGTTTCACCATGTTGGCCAGGCTGTTCTCAAACTCCTGATCTCAGGTGATCCACCCGCCTCAGCCTCCCAAAGTGCTGGGATTACAGGTGTGAGCCACTGCGCCCGGCCCCAAATACATTTTAATGAAAGAAAAACTTGTAAAGTATTTCTCAAAAGTGCATAGTATATGTAATTTGAGCATATATACAGTAGACAAATCGCTCATACTAATTACTTGGGGAATAAAAATTCAATCAGCTAACAAAGCCCCTTCCAATATATACTCCTAAAGCTGGCCAGGAGACTTTACCACCTGCCCTTATTCTGAAAACTTCTTCATAATGCTGCATGGTGACTACAGATAGCTTTTAACTGGACATTTTCACAATGGAATCATACATTTGATGATGAACCTTAAATTTTCACTGCAGATGTCAGAGTCTGCCACGTTATGTTTACCTATTTTTCCTTATCAGATTAGGATTTGGTAGTCTCTGTTCCATTGGAAAGTGGCTAGAAAGACTGACAAGGAGAGAAAATTCTAGTAGCATGAGTTTATAAAGGTGAAATCAGGCTATTCGGTAAACCAGAAGCCACCTTCTGAGCACCAAGGGAGGGCAAGATGCCATTTTCAGAGATACAGATGAAGGGAACAGGATTACCCCAGATAGCGAAGGGGTAAAATGGAGACAAATGGTTAAATAAAGGGAAGAGCGCGGGAGGAGGCATCTGAGCAAAGCGAAGTCCTGTGCAGGATGCCATAGAAGGAAGAGATGGCATTCAGGCATGGGGCCCAAGGGAGCGTGTTAGCTGGCTCCAGAAGAACAGGTGGGATTTGAAAAAGCAAGGACTCTGTCTTGTCCACACATAATGTCACCCTGTAGAGCATCCATCATGGCACACTGCAGGGGGCAAGGCAGAAATAAGAACCCCAGCAGTGAGGCTGTTCCCATTACCCAGGCAAGGTTGGATGGTGTCTTGCACCTCCATCGTAGTCATAGATAAGGGGAGAAGTGGTTTGATTCTGGACACATCCTGGAGGTAGGTAGAGCTGCAGGATTTGTTGATGGATTAGAAACAAGACATGAAAAAGGGGAGTAGTTAAGATTCGGGGTCCAACAACTGGAAGAGTAAAAAGTCATCATAATAGAGAAGGGGAAGCAGGGGTTTGGTTTGGGATGTGTTCGATGTGACATGCCCATTAGACATCCACGTGGAGAAGGCGGTTGTCTATGCCAGTCTGATGCTCGGGGAAACCTGGGTGGAGACTCAAAATCTCCAGTCATCGGGATGCAGCAGTATTCAAAGCAATGGCCTGGAGTGAATCTAGACAGAGCCCTGAGCCCTCCACTATTTACAGGCAAGGTGAGGAGGAACAAGCAAAGGAGACTAAGAGGGAATCGCCAGGGAGCTGAGAGGAGAAGCAAGGGAGAGCCAGGGCCTGAAATCCAAGTTGAGGAAGGATTCAAGGGACAAGAAGTGATGGCTTCAACAAACATTGCAGACAGATGGGCTGAGACCTGCACACTGATGCTAATGCTCAACAATGCCCAGATTAATATCTCCTAGCCCTACTTCCTTACGTGAAAGAAGTCTTTTTCACAGGTTCCTTGCACAAATGTTTGCAAGAATCTCAGGCGGTGAGGGGAGTTGAAGGTGGGAAATGGGAACACGTGTATTTCCAACTTGATTCTAATCCTCTTAGAACCCATATACAGAACAAAGACTCAGAGGCACTGCTGGGGCTGAACTCCCCAACTACAGTCCCTAGTGCTGATTTCAGGGGACATTAAGAACTTTGTTTCAAGAGCTGTGAAGGCTGAGCAGTTGGTCTTCAAGTCCGAGAGAAAAGGTGCATCCTCCTGGATTACACTCAAATGAGCAAAGCAGCCTGAGCTCCAAGCTCTTTGTAGGAGACCTCTCTCTCTCTGTCCCTCCTCCCCTCTCCCCTCTTCTCCTTCTCTTCTGTCTCCTCTCTCTCTCTCTCTCTCTCTCTCACACACACACACACACACACACACCATTTTTGCCAAGGCTCACTCCAGTATGAGGAACCCACAAAGAACACCAAGACCTCCATTCTGAGCAGGGCCTCCATTATTTGTCCTGCTGTTTGTTTGTTCTGCCTCCTGTCCTCCAGGCCATCAATGATTCTTGACTCTCTAGGAGGGGTCAAGCTTCCCATCATCCCAGGGGATCTCCTTAGCCCATTTGTAAGTTAGTGGAAACACAGAGGGAGTGAGGGAAGGGTGCTAGCCAGTCTTTATCCTTCACCAACATCAGATCCCGGAACACAACTGGCCCCTATATCTGTACAGCAGCAATATCTAAGCCCCAGCTAAAATGCCCTTTTATCAAAATCTGCAGAATGTTTTATCTTTTTCAGGTAAGCTCAAATTTTTCTATTCTCGCTTCCCCCAACCCCTATATACACACCGAGAAAGGTCATTGAAAACAGAATGAAAGTATCTCATACAACAAAATTAATTCAAGATACTTTCTTTGACAATGGGAACTCGCTTCTAAATAAGATACAAGAATGACTAAACACCAAACCAAAAGAAATGTGAAAGCAAAATTAATACTTTACACCAACTAACAGTTTGTTTGCAACATCAGCAAATGGAGCATTCACCTGTTACTAATTTCCCTAAATACAAAGTCCACTGCATTTCTAGGAAGGATGGTTAGTGTTTGGCAAATTTTTTGTGTAAGCATTGAAAAATATAACTGAGAAGTTAATCAGAGGGCCATGAGTGGGCAAAAAGATCTAAAACATGTTGATTATTTAAAACACCAGAGCACCAGAGAGCACGCAAGTCTTTATCTTATAATAAAATGATCCTATAAGTCACTATAATAACAATTGACTACTTTGTATATGCAAGTTTATCCTAGGGACTCTAAAAATAGAACTTGTAGGATTTAAATCTAAAGTAAAGATTTTATGGGCATGATCTATTAGATCCTCCAGCTGATCCATTTATTTGCTTCCAGTATGAACTGATAACTTGCTTATGTTTTCTTCAAAAAGTGAGACCATTCTTCCCATAGTTTTTCTATCACCAGCCATACACTGGTGGTCTTTAGAGTTTTTCAGATCCATAAAAGGATTGAAAAAGTATAAGAATCACCGCTCTAAAACATCCTTATGAAAAGACATACATAAGTATGAAATCACAAAAATCACAATGTGTTTCCAAACAAATCCAACATTCTTTTATGGCCAGTAGCAGCAAACAGGTTTTGTGGAACTGACATAAAATCTAATTTAGCCATTATTACAACATTACCAGCAGCTCAGAGCACTAAGTCACCTCAATAACCCAGTACTGCTCTGCCCATATTATCTATGGCTTTAATTAAAAGTGTTTAGAAATGGTTTTAGTACTGACTTTGTTCAGAATATGTGGCTGAATTCTAAATTTAAAAATAAGTCTTCCAGTAGGCCCACAAGTGATCAGAATTGGGTACCAAAAGTTGTACATTTAAACACTTTTATTAAAATGTTTATACATGTACATAAAATATTTTATTGTGATACAAAACTCTGTACAAAGTGTACTAACAACTGACATGATTATAAATGAATCCCCAAAACAATGGTGCCTAAATTTGAACACTAAGGAGAAAAAAGGAGGAAGAAATACTTGAGACAACTTTACCATGGCATAGCAATATTTCCTGCTGTCAAAATTAATAAAATATTTTGCACAAGGGTGTTACAATTAATTTTATCAGGCTAACAATGTCATAAGTGAGGAACCCTTTCAACTGTAGAGAGCACTGTGGAAATATAGATGTGGTAGAACAATCTATATCACCCTGCAGTTGTTTCTGTGTTTCTATGACTAGCTTTGTTTGAGATTGTATAAAGCGGTCTTCACACCCCGGTGAATAAGATTGGTGGATGCAGTTCCCTGCCCTGCCGCAGAAGGGACCTCCAAACACAGTTTAAATCTGACTCTCCGGGAGTTGTGTTTTGACACTTTCACAACAGTGTGAACTTGTGCCACAAGCAAGACAGATCTTATTGGATTAACACTGAACTCGTGACAGCTCCAGAGAGTAATGCTATCTGTGCGGCTTAAGAACAAACGTGTTTCTTTCATCCACCCTGCTCATTCTCTTCCTGCAGTTACTCCTAGCAAATCCTCCCCGCCCTCACCTCTAGGAATTCCTCTACACCCAGAGAAAGGAGTTTCTTTCCTCACTGCGGAAACCTATCACCGCTTCCTTTCCACAGATGGACTCCAAGGGGCACTCACTCGTGTGCCCACTAAGGGATTTCTCTCCTAATTCCACGCCTTCCAAGGGAAGTCAGAACTGCTCAGTTTCCCCCGGTGACCACATACACGTGTCCAAGTGAAGCCTCGTCTGGGGGAGACTCAGTTCCCACACTTCCCCCTGGCCCCTGTGGAGGCCCTCTGTCTCCCCTGCGTGGCCCTCCGCCTGGCCCCTCGCACTCACCAGGAGGAGGTTGTGCGCCACCAGGTACCCGAGCCGCGGGCTGCCCCGGATGCCGGGGGCCAGGCGCCCGGTGGCGTAGCCGTGCCAGGCCACCACGTAGGGGTTGTCGATGGTGATCCAGTACTTGACCTGACCGCCGAAGTGGCGGAAGCAGAGCTCCGCGTAATCCCTGAAGTGGTCGGCCAGGGCGCGGTTGGCCCAGCCGCCGTAGGCGTCCTGCAGGCGCTGGGGCAGGTCCCAGTGGTACAGGGTGACCACGGGCTGCACGCCCAGCTCCCGCAGCCGCTCCAGCAGGCGCCGGTAGTAGCGCAGCCCCTCGCGGTTGGGGACGCCCGCGCTGCCATTGGGGAGCACTCGCGCCCACGAGATGGAGAAGCGGTAGTGAGTGACCCCGAGCTCGCGCAGCGCCTCCGTGTCGCGGAAGACGTTGTTGTAGCTGTCGCTGGCTACGTCCCCGGTGGCGGGCTGCAGCGGCGACGGGGCGCCCAACGGCAGACTGGCGTTCCGGGAGTCTCCCGGGGGTGCCAGGGGGTGGTGGGTGAACGTATCCCAGATGGACGCACCCTTGCCGTGCTGCTGCCAGCCGCCCTCGGTCTGGTAGGCGGCGCTGCCCACGGCCCAGAGGAAGCCGTCGGGGAAGGTGCCCTGGAAGAGGCCCGCGGCCTCGGGGGCAGGAGGCCGCGAGAAACGGGCCCAGGTCTGCGCGCCGTCGCCCGGCTCCGCACGCAGGCGGCGGCCGCCCAGGCCCAGCAGCACCAGCAGCAGCGACAGCGACGGCGGCGGCGGCCGCGGGCGGCGCGGCGGGGCGCTGGCGGGCATGCTGCGCGGGAGCCAGGCTCCGGGGCCCCGCGCCGCGCCCCTTTATGCCCGCGCCCCGCCGCGCCCGCCCGCCCACCGCCGGCGCGCCCACCCCCGCTCCCCGGCGGGCTCCGCTGGCAATAATTACCTGCGAGCCGGGACTGCCTCCGCCCTGGCACTGGGGGCGGGGGCAGGGGCGCCGAGGGCGAGGGGTGCCCGGGAGGGGCGCGGCAGCGGGCAAGGTGCGGCAGGCGTCGCCCGCGGACGTCGGAGAAAGGCACCTGTTTCTCCCAGCTCCCGGGAGCCGTGCAGGACGTTTCGTGGACGCTCAGGTTCATTCTCTTTGCCTGCCGCGCGTCCTCTGAGAGCAGCCCTGGAGCGGCTTCGTCGGGGAGAAAAGGCGCCGACCAACTTTCCCCGACTTGGGGGCGGGATCCTGCCGGGCCCTAGCGGAGCGCGCCGCTGGGGAAGCACCTGCTCTCACTTTTCTCCCACTCGGAGGCCCAAAGAAGCTCCGGCTGGACATTGCTGGAGCCAATTAGGGACTGGCCGAAATCCTAGAGGGACTGCCAGGTGGGACAGCCGAGGGGGAACTTCGCCGTGCGCTGAAAGGGATTCCCCCTTAGGTGAGATGCTCGCGGGGAGACGCGCCCACCCGCGCCCCTCTTTCGAGGAAGACAAAGTAGATTTATGGGTTGCGTTGGGACTGGGGTTTTGCTCTCCCTTTTACTGTTACCTTTTAATAATTTCAAACCAGCACTCTATCTTTGATTAGATCTCTCAGAATACCCTGGTGAACTTCAAATCACAGTCGTTGATTGTTCTCCTGAAAAACCAAACACCAAGTTTCCAATTTTGAGTAAATCTCATTCACCTTTATTATCCTTTGGCATCTGTGTTACCTTTCGGCTCTGACTTAGCAGGTAATCTGTGCAAAGTTGTGCGCACAGGTCTGCTGGAGCGGGAGGTCCCTGGGTCGCACATTTGCCATCTGAGCTGTGGAGGGAAAGGGGAGGGAGAATTTAGCCGGAACACCCATTCCCATCCTCTACAATACAATGGAGCCATGACGTTTTTCCTGTTGCCAAAGAGCCCTTTTGACAGAAGTTGCAGAGCCACAGTGTCCATTTGGATGTGGGTAGATAGGATTGTGGCTAACCGAAATACAGTTGGTGGAGACTGAGAAGGTCTAGGCTCCACCTTTGTGATTTGGGGCAGGAAACCTCTGTAAGCCTAAGTTTCCTCCTCTATAAAATAAGGATGTCCTGTCTGCCCTGCCGCCTCAGAGGCTTGTGAAGTCCAGTGAAAAACTGCGCAAAGGTGACTCAAAGACAGAAAGCCCAGACAAGTGAAGGATCTTGCTAATATCCCTACCTCCCTACCCAGTAAGTCGTGCCTTAGTTTCCTCACCCGTACACGTGTGTTGAATGACCAAGATCCTCACAGAGGTGCATCCATTCTCCCCCAGTGATCTATCTTCCCTGCATTATTTAATACAAATTTAAAGGCAATAACATTTTAAATGTTGCAGATGAAGGTGCTTTTATTAATTCCCCTGAAATATAAGCACAAATTTATTCCAGTATTTTATGAAATATTCCCAACTCCAGCCAGCATATATTACCATGATTAGTAAGATTAAGTCTTCAGATTGAAACAGAGTTACTGCCATTCTGTTAAATATAGCATTTACATTTTTTCAATAAATACGAAATAGCAAACCATGACACTTCAGCAATTTTAAAAAATTACAGCACACAACTTCACTGTCACGCTGTCTTCCAGCTAAATTTAAAAAGCTACGTCTACATGGAGTATCACATTTCCCTTCTAGAAGTGAAGATTGGAGTGTCTGTTGGGTTGTAGCTTGTTAAGTTTCAATTAGAAATGCTTCATGGGTCTCATGGAAAATCGCTTAAGCTAAGTATTCATTTATTGATGTATGGTCTGTTTGCTCAGGGCAGATTTTATCTATTGCTATTTTTACTTGACCAGCAGCATTTTTTAAATTTTAAAGCAGTGATTAAAAAGCAAGACCAAGTTAACTAAACGTTTCACATTTGAAATTTGTCTGCCACATAGGCACATGCATCTCAAAGCTTTAAGCATTCCAAGACATGTTCCCAGATGATTGTTCATTTAACCCAGTGATAAAGATTGCATGATGATTAAACTTTATTTCCAGAACTTTCTGTTTATTAAGGTTCTGTTCATGGTTACTAAGTTCTGGGTTCCACAAGTGTGAGACGGAGTCTCACTCTGTCGCCCAGGCTGGAGTGCAGTGGCATGGTCTCTGCTCACTGCAACCTCTGCCTCCCAGGTTCAAGCAATTCTCCTGTCTCAGCCCCCCAGTAGCTGGGATTATAAGGGCACACCACCACACCTGGCTAATTTTTGTATTTTTAGTAGAGACAGGGTTTCACCATGCTGACCAGGCTGGTCTCAAACTCCTGATCTCCTGTGATCCACCCACCTCGGTCTCCTAAAATGCTGGGATTACAGGTGTGAGACACTGTGCCCGGCCTAGTGCTGCTGCTTATTTATTTTGGCTTTATTTTGGTTTTTATTTTTTACAACCACCTTCAAACATCTGAAACTTGGGTTTCAAATGCAAATAAGAGATTAATTACTTGCTGTGCTTTGAACAGGAAGGTGAAGTTATTGATGCATTGAAGAAAAGGACATTGTAAATTTATTTACTGACTTTGATTTTGGTGACAATTTCAACACTGAAAGTTGTCAACAATCTGATCAACTTTTCCTCCATTCTCCACATTCCTTCATCCAGTGCCTTCCCACCTGTTCTCTTTCCTATTGTGTTCCCAGGACGATGGGAGCCTTTTAACACCAATGGAGCAGGAGATGCACTGATTCACATGCACCCAAATACAACACCAACCCCACAAGCTCTCAGCTCACCAGTCACAGACATCACCTTCTACGGACATATTTTTATTTCACTGAGCTACAACTACGGGCAAGGCAACGACGAGCTGTGTGGAGACTTCAAAACATAGAGGACAACCTCTGCCCTCAAAGACAACATCCAACTGAAGAAAGGATCAAGAAAGATGAAAATAAATAAGTTGTTTGATTATGCTGTGTTAATAAATGACCCATAGAATAATTGTCAGAGAAATTCAGAAGAAGAAGAAATTACCCTATTTTGAGTTGTTTGGAAAAGTTTAACAGAGAAAAATATGACAATATCTGGGGTTTAAAGAGTAAAACTCGCACAAAGACCTGGAGGGAAGGAATCAAGAGATGCCAACACTGAAGAAAAAAACATGTTCATAGTGTATTCGTGGTGAAAAGAAAGGGTTTTTGTGCGCAAGGAAGTAATGGACCAAAATGCAGTAGTCCCAGTGCCTAGAATCATGCTGAGCACAAAACAAGTATTTGTTTAATGAGCAAATGAAAGTAGAGTTTCATTTGTCCAGTTAACAAAATACACAAGTATTCCCTGCCCTCCTCTTTTTAAAATTAATTAATTAATTAATTTTTAACAGACAAAAAATTATATATATTTTCATGTACAGCATGTTATTTTAAAATATATACACATTTGTAGAGTGGCTAAATTGAGCTAATAAACGTATGTATTACCTCACATACTTATTTTTTTTGTGGTAAGAAGACTTAAAATCTGGCCGGGCGTGGTGGCTCACACCTGTAATCCCAGCACTTTGAGAGGCCGAGGCAGGTGGACCACCTAAGGTCAGGAGTTCGAGACCAGCCTGGCCAACATGGTGAAACTCCTGTCTCTACTAAAAATACAAAAATTCACCAACATGGTGGCAGGCACCTGTAATCCCAGCTACTCAGGAGGCTGAGGCAGGAGAATCACTTGAACCCGGGAGGCGGAGGTTGCAGTGAGCTGAGATCACACCACTGTACTCCAGCTTTGGCAACAGAGCAAGAGTCTGTTTCAAAAAAGAAAAAAGAAAAGAAAAGAAGAAAAGAAAGAAAAAGAAGAATACTTAAAATCTACTCTGAGATTTTCAAAAATACAATATATTGTTATTAACTATAGTCACCATGTGGCACTATAGATCTCTTGGCTTATTCCTCCATCTAATTGAAATTTTGCATCCTTCAAGCAATATCTCCCCACCCCTCCACTCCCACATCTCATCTTTTGGCAACCATCGTTCTCCTCTCTGCTTCTGTGAGTTCAACTTTTTCAGACTCCACATATAACTGAGATCATACAGTATTTGTCTTTCTGTGCATGGCTTATTTCATTTAACATAATGCCCTCCAGGTTCATCCATGTCATCACAAATGACAGAATTTCCTTTTTTTTGTAAGGCTGACTAGTATTCCATAGTGGATATATGCCACATTTTCTTTATCCATTTGTTTGTTCATGGATACTTAGATTGAATCATTATCTTGGCTATTGTGAATGGTAATACAGTAAACAACACAATGCACATATTCCTTCGGCATACCGATTTCATTTCCTTTGGATATATACCCGTAATAGGAATTAGGAATGCTGAGTCATATGGTGATTCTTTTTTCTTTTTCTTTTTTTTTAAAAAAACCTGGTCTCACTCTGTCCCCCAGGCTGGAGTGCAATGGCACAATCTCAACTCACTGCAGTCTCAAGTCCCTCGGGCTCAAGCAATCCTCCCACCTCAGTCTCCCCAAGTAGCTGGGACTACAGGCATATACCACCATGCCTGGCTAATTTTTCTATTTTTTGTAGAGATGAGGTTTTGCCATGTTGCCAAGGCTGATCTCAAACTCCTGGGCTCAAGCAATCTGTCCGCCTTGGCCTCCGAAAGTGCTGGGATTACAGGCATGAGCCACCATGCCTGGCCATGGTGGTTCTATTTTTAAATTTTTGGGTGAACCTCTATATTGTTTTTCATAATGGCTATATTAATTTACATTCCCACCAATGGCATACAAGGATTTTCTTTTTTCTCTATCTTGTCAACACTTGGTATCTTTCATCTTTTTTTATAACAACTATTGTAACTAGGGTGAGGTGATATCTCATTGTGGTTTTAATATGCATTTGCCTGATGATTAGTGATGTTGAGCATTTTTTCATAGATTTGACCATTTGTATGTCTCCTTTTGAGAAATGTCTACTCAGATCCTTTGCCCATTCTTTAATTGGGTTATTTGCTTTCTTGCTATAGAGTTGTTTGAGTTGCTTATATATTTTGGATATTAAAACCCTTATCAGATGTATGGTTTGCAATTCTGTAGGCTGTCTCTTCAATCTATTGATTGTTTCCTCGGCTGTGCTTTTCGTCCTCTTCTACCCATCTCCCTGCTCGTTACTCTGCTCCAGCCACACTGGCCTCTTAGTTGTCCTTGGAACAAACCAAACTTATTCCCAGCTTTGGCGTCTTTGACTTGCCCTGCCCCATCTCTGGAATGCTCTTCATGAAACCACTTGCCTCTCCTCAGTCAGCTCCCAGACAAAAAGTATATCCTTAACCTTCTCTGCTCTCTCTGTCCAAAGTAGTTACCCCAGTTCTTCTCAACTACAGTACCCTGTTTTAGTTGTCTCATAGAGCCTATGGCTGTCTCAAATTATCTTGTTCATTTACTTGCTTATTTCCTTTATTTCCCATAAGAATGTGAACTCCATAGTAATGGACATATGGCCTTTTCTTTGCGATATCTCCAGTACCTAGGAGATGGTACCCGTCCACTGTAGGTGCTCTCTACGTATTTGTGGAATGAAGGAGTGGATGAATGAACCCATTGGTAAGGGATGGATTGCCCTTCCTCAGGGCCAAAACAGAATATTGAGGATTCTAAAGCTACAACCCGGCTTAGGAAAAGAGCCTGTGATTGATTAGTAATGTCTGCCCTGAGCACAGAAAAGGAAAGTGGTCACAACAAAACCATATTTGACATCCTACATGGGACTACAGTAGGCCACGGCCCAAGCCTACTCTACTGAAAAACCTCAGGAAGAACTGATGTTACGACAATAAACAGAACACAAAACTATGTAACTGTGAATAGCTTACATGCCAACATTCCCCAGTTCTCCCAGTACACCTCTAACAAGCCCAAAAGGGTTAAGAAGGATTAACACTGGAGTTCTGAGCTTCTCTGATCTAGCAAATTCTTCATTCCACAGAGATTTCCAGAACTACCAAATACCAGGCGCACCTTTGTGAAGGACTAGGGAGGCATCAGGGAGCCACTTCCACCCACTAGTATCCTCATTCTTCTTATTTGCAAGTAAGAGAAATGTGGAAGTGATTTACATTCCAAGATTTGAAGTCCAAACCTGTAAGCGCCCAACTCAACTCAGGAACCACTGAGGGTTTTTAACTAGTGAAGTTACAATGGCAAATTGCAGTATGCCTCAACTTATTTTAAGACAGAGGCAATATTAATTAACCAATCTATTGATTGGCAGTGACAGGCAGGATTAATTAAAAGAGGAGATGCTAGAACCTGAAAGACCACTTTGAAAGAAACTACAGTAACCTGGCTAATAAGTTAAGAAAGGCTTATGCCTAGCATGGTGAAAATTGTAAAGAAAAGGAAGGGAAAGATGTAAGGCGATTCAAAAAAAGACTGATTGAACATAAGAGAGAAGAGAAGATGAAAGACTAAAAGATGATCTTAATGTTTTGAGCTTAATTGAAAATAAAAATAAGACTATAGATATATTTAAGTACATTCAGAAGTATAACTAATTTGAGCAAAAGATAAATTCAGTGTTAAATATATTGAATTTGAAGTGTCACTCAAAGATATAAGTAAAGATATTAATCATATGATGGAACTATAGAATTGAAGCCAGGAGGCAGTTACAGCCTGGGGATTTGGACCAGAAACGTTGATACGAGGCTAGCACATAAGATGAGGATATTAAAAAAGAAACAACTAAAAGCCAAGGGCTGAGTCTTGGCGAATGTCTCCATTGAGTTGAATGGGTGGGGTAGAGGAAGAAAGGAGTCCAAACAAAGTGAGCCCACAGAGGAGTTCCAGAAGTCCCAGGATGAAGTGTTTTTCAAACTTAGGAGATGAGTATTTTTAAAAGGGGAGATGATGAAACTTGTTGAGAAAAGACAATTGACCTAGAAGTTAGTTCATTTGGTGACTTTGGAGACAGATTTTTAGTTGTAATGGGGACTAAAGCCAGATTACAATGTAAGTCATTAATGAGAGTCTGTGGGTGGCAAGAAAACAAAGGCCACAGATGTACACTTCTCTGAGAAGTTTGCCAGTGGGAGGAGAGAGAAAGAATGTCACTTGTCGAGTTAGCAGAGTTCAGAGAAAATTTTTTCAAGATGGGGAACTCTGCACATATTTTTGTGCTGAGAAGGAAAGGTTAAGGAAAATGAGAATGGGGAGTTTCGAGGGGAAGATGAAGCAAATAGCCTAACTAGCACCAGCTGTGATCTAAAGTAGCTGATTGTAGACTTTTAGTGTCCCAAGATATTAAACCTGGAACCAGTAAGAAGACCAGAAAAACAAGAGGATGCAGCTGGAATACTGTCATGGTGCAGAAGGGAACATAAGCCAGTGCATCAGGGATGGTGGACAAAAAGCTACTAAAAAGGCAACAAAAAGGAGGTCCAAAAAGACATTAAGACAATTGCAAATAGGTTCTCAGGAAGATATAGTTCTGCAGAGCTCCCTGGAGCTAAAGTAGACTGTGGAGCCACTAGATTCAATTTTTGTTGCTTCTGCATCCTGGGAAATCTGACTGTTCCTGGGTGGCTGCATCTCTTCCAAGTGGAGCAGGAAGCCAAGAGCTTGGATCCTGCACTCTCCATCACCTTCCATGTCTTCCTAAGTAATATCCCGCCTCCATAGCCTGATGTTGATTTGGACACTAACTAAACATGCCCTGACACAAGGCTTCTGTCTAGAACCTGGGAATAGGCTCATCAGGGACACAGGGCATTGAATTGCTGGAGTCAAGATGTTTCTATTCCCTTCGTCTCTCAAAAATTTCCCCAAATACAATGAGGAGAATGACAGACACATCTATTTTCAATGAAACTGAGAGGGGTTAGCATATGGAAAGGAAATGAATATGAATTGCTGGTAAGTGAGTTAGCTGAGGGACATATGAATGAGAAGCAAGATGATTTACCTGACATTCCTCCAGAAAGAATCAAGATCTGAGATACTAAGACAAGAAAGGAGGAGACGGAGGCCTTAAAAATACGAGTTGGGCAAAGTAAATACCCAAGTCTCCAATATGGTGAAAGAGAAATGCCAAATTCAGACTCACTAAAAGACTGTGATCCAATCATAGGACTATAGAATGATTCCCATTTCCCCACATCTTATCACTCCCCACCTAACCACCACATCAGTAGGGCTTCTGTATAATAACAGGGAAATACAGCTAAAGCTTCAGATCCTATTTAAGAAGAAGTCTCTAGGGAAGCCCAAAAACAATACGAGAGACAAAAACAAGGACAGTAAAGGCAATTTTAGCCTCTGATACCACAGCTATAATAAACAAACACAACCTAATTCCTAGCCAGATAAACATAAGCCTCACACTTTTGGGCTTGTCTACCTAGTTCATTTTATCTGATACATCATGTCTAACCTTCAGCCAAAAATTACAAAACATGCTAAAAGGCAAAAAAAAGAAAGAAAGAAAGAAAGAACTCAGTGTGAAGAGACAATGCAAGCATCAGAACCAGACTCAAAAATGTGTTTTTTTAAAAAATAGTTAAGCACTTCTCCAGGGGGGGAATAAGTTGTGTGATAAAGGAAATGTTATTACAGTACACTACTTGGCTCAGCTGTGAATGAAATTTACATACTTATGCTTAATATAAATGTAATAGACACTTCTGATTATAACTCTATTGGGCAATTGCATGAATGATTCAAGAGAACGTGCTGCATGCATTCTATTTTAAAATGTGAAGGTGAAATGTCAAATGAATGAAAAAATAGCTGAAAGAGTTGAAAGGGTTAAAACCAAAGGATTGATTATTTTTGAATTAACCTTTCAACATTGTTTGACTTTTTAACTTGGGTGTAAGTTAAAAGAAGTACATGTCAATAAGTCTTAGTTCAAAGTGCAAAAGGATTATATCTTCCTAAGAGGAGAAAGAAAGAGGTGGGAAGAGCTACCGACAGATTCAGCAGCAGAGACAAAGGTATAGGCAAATATATTTTGAGGTGAGAGGCTGACTGGGGTTGAGGCAAATGACAGGAAACTTAAAACTAATAATTTATATTTTCTTGTATAATAAAAGATTAAGTCAACTGCTGAAAGTAAGCAAGCTGAGTGAGTATGAAGAAAGCAAAAGAGCCTATAGTGAATTTCCTGAATAGTCAACAAAAGGGTATTGAAGCATCACTGAACAGCAGGATTGAAGCTGCACAGCATGCCTTGTTGAAGTAACTGTCTATATAAACCATATTTATTTCAAATACTTTAAACAATATTTCAAGTTGTCTATGTGCTGGTGTTTAAAACTCACAGTTTTAGGACCTATTTCTAACTTAGATAACAAAACAGCTATACTTTTCTTTCACATAATACAAAGGCAAATTTGCTGTTTCTTTGAATACGGTCAGTCTCTTTTGTTGATTAAGGACTAAGGTCAACGGTTCAGAATTTGGATGGCCCAATTAGCATTTGTTGAGCTCATTCTCACAGATTGCCATTCTTGCTGACCGCAGGCTTGAAATTGGTGTCCTGAGTCATCAGGGCCACTGGTTGGAATAATATGTGAATTAATTAATCAGACTGTATCACTAGCATAGAAAATAGCATAAAACACATCCCTCTGCAAATGTGACTAATAAAACTTGGGTGTTAGGGTCTGAACCCCTGACCAAGTGTCAGCAGAGCTGTCTACAAATCCTCACCCCTATGGTATTGATATTGTGCCTGTGCCATTTTTGTCATCTCTCCCTAAAGAGAGACGCTGAAGATCTTATTTTTTCAGCAAGAACCTCCTATGTGGCCCAGCGTTTTGATCTTTATAATTTCCTTCCTAACCTGTGGATCTTGTTGATTCTGGCTTGGTGAGGAGTTTCTTCTTCCTCTTGTCTGCTATCCTCATCTCCTAAACCTTGGCCCTTCATTCATTTCTCTCCTGACATCCTTCTTCTGAGAACTCAACTACTCCTGGTGTCAACTGTGAGAGTGATTCACACATTTAAATCTTTCCAGGCACGACCTCATCCCACACCTTCAGTGCCTGCCTGGTGTCTCCTCTGAGAAATTTCAAGGCTGCATCTCAAAGTCAATACATTTACATTGGCAAAGCACACCATCAAAGAATTAACACAAGAACAATCAAAGTATAAATATGAAAAATATTCAGCACCATTAGTGATAAAAGAAATGAAAATTGTGCAAAAGCAGTTCAGAAAATAGAGGAAAGAATGAAGGAGGAGAGTACACCGATATAATCAAAGCAATCTATTCCTGAAATAAGAATAGTGAAAAAGCAGTAAAATATATTAGGATGTACAAAAACAACTCGAGATACATATGGTAATTTAGCATAAGCTAAAATGTGGGGAAAGACTGATTTTTTTTAAGACTGGGGAAAATGGTCATTCCTTCAGAAAAAAAGAAAGTTTAATTCCAAATTCACATCATACTAACAACATATTTCTAATAAGTAACAAAAATGTTTAAATGCATTAAATACTAGAAAAATGTAGAATATTTTTATAATCTTACAGTAAAGAAAGCCTCTCCCAGCATGAAGCAAAACCAGATAACATAAAGGAAAAGGCTGACAAAGTTAACTGTAATTAAAGATACTATTAATAGAATTAAACACGAGTGACAGACAGGGAAGAAATATTTGTGAAGGGCTAATATGTAAAACCTATAAAGAGTTCCTGTAATTAAAAGATGAAACACAATCCACTCTCTGTGAAACTCATCAAAAGATATGAACAGGCAAGTCACAAAGAAAAAAACAAAAATGTCCAACAAACACAAGCAAAAAAGAACTACCCTAGTGATAAAGAACAAAAGAAAAAATTTTAAAGAGAGAGATAGCATTTTTTATCCAAAAATGGAACATTTTTTTAACATTTAGTGTTAGAGTACAGAAAAATGTGCCTTTATATAATAGTGGTGAAAATGTTAATCTGACAACTTTGGCGGAGAGTAATTTATCATTATCTGGATAAAATACACATACCCATGCATTATGTTTCAGAAATTCTACTTCAAGGACTGTCCTACAACTGTTGCAGCAAATGTCTAAGAATATTTGTGCACAAATGCCCACTGTATCACAGTTTGTAATAACAAACAACAGGGAAATCTCCAATGTATATCAATAGGGGAAAATTCAATCAATAATGTTACAAGTTTAGATTTTCCCCAGAAAAATCTCCTAGTTGAAGATATAGCAAAAGCTTATCTCTGAGGCACGGAAATAGAGGGGAGAATTTGCTTCCTCTTCCTTTAATTTTTACTTTATAAATACTAACTCCTCATCCCTTACCCCTAAGGAGAAAAAGAAATAGAAAGAAAAATGTGGGCCAAATAATCACATTGGGATTAACTCAGTTTTGTAGTCCCAGAGGAGGCAGATGTCAACAGAGATTGATGCTATCTGCATGAAAACAATCACTGGTCTCACTAACTTTTCTTTTCCAACTCTATCCCCCAGAGGAAGTATTTAGTGTAATATGTAGGGAAATTCCAAACTGGAGCCCATAGTCTTACAAAGGCAATGTCAAAAAACAAAGAATAGAGTTAAGGAGTAGATGGAAGTCACAGAGCCAGGGAAGGAAGGGGAAAGAGAAGCCAGGTTTCAGTAAACATTTCCAGTGCACATCCAGTTCCTCTTGGTAACGATGGCATCCAGCACTTGGCGGCAACAAGAGGGAGTGGCTTCCTGTTCCTGGAAGCTCAGCCCCCATTGTGTTTTGAAAAGCATCCCAACCGTTCTATGAGAAACCTAGTATCTGTTAATAAACAAATCCCTTTTCTGCTAAGGCAGCCAGAATGGGTTCTTTCATTTGTGTCTAACAGTGACCAATATACTAACCATATGGCTCTATCCAGCCTGGTACCCCAACTTAATAAAAAACAGCATCTTAGACCTAGAAAAAAGCTTAGGAATTGTATGATCTGAACTCCTACCCATGTAGGAGTCTTCTCTAAACCCCTTATCCCTCTGCCTAAACATTTCCCATAATGGGGAAACCACTGCCTAGTAAAGAGTCTGTACCATTGTTGGACAGTTACAACAGATCAAATATGATTCCTTTTATAGAATCTGCTTCATGGTACCACCCACTAGAGGGTCTTAGTTCTGTCCCCAGGAGCCATAGCGAGCATCTAGCTCAGAGGGGCATTTCATGTGGTTTGAGAGAAGCACTTGTCAGTCCTTCACTCTGCAAAGTGCTCAGTGTATATTGGAAGAATACATTAATGAATGTGTGTCATCTCCCCTTAGGTGCTGTAGCAACTACAATATGATCGAGCTTGTAATTGCACCTTCTTATAAAACCCATTCTTCCAATTCCCCCTCCTCCAACTTAGGAATCCTGAAGCGACACCCAGCCCTGCCCTCTAGGGCTGCAGGGATCTAGAGGCCTGCACAGCACCCTTGGGGAAGGTTGCCCCTGGAGATGGTGTTAGTGGATTTTAATGATCAGTGCCAAAAGGGGAATATAATGGCAAGGGCTGCAAGGTGTTGTGAAATTTGAGATGCCTGAAAAGCAGAAATAGGGAGTGCTGTGAGAGCTGTCATTAGCTCATGCTGTACAGCAAGCTGATGGAAGCCCCATGGAGGGAGAGGTTACAAGGAACAGTGTAGGAGAGCTGACCTGGAGCTGTGTCATCAGATTGGGGTGGAGGGTGCTGTACAACCCAGATCCTCTGGGGACATTAACCACTAGAATGCCAAGTGTGAAGACAGTCTGGCCTGAACTAGAATTAAATTTACAGCAAGCAGGACAAAGCCTGAAATTTATTTACTATTCCAATGGGTAGAAACAAAGCGTTTGTTCATTCATTCATTCAACAAATATTTACTGATCATCTATTATAGTGGGAAGATTAATGCCCTATTATCTCCCAAAAGATATCCACCCTCTGGGATCTGTGAATATGGCAAAAGGTAGAAAGGGACTTTGCAGAGGTGATTGAATTAAGGATCTGGAGAAAGGGTGATTGTTCTGCATTATCTGAGTGAGTCCAGTGTAATCACAGGGGTCCTTAGAAAGAAAGGGGCAGGAGAGTCAGAGCTAGAGACAAAGATGTGATCATGGTAGCAGAGGTCACAGTGATGTGCAGCCATGAGCCAAGGAATGCGGGCAGACTCAAAAGGTGGAAAAGGCAAGACGACCAACTTTTCCTGAGAGCTTCAAGAAGAAACGCAGCCATGCCCAGGGATTTTAGCCCAGTGAAGCTGAGTTTCAGGTTTCTGATCTCTTGAACTGTAAGATAATAGATTCGTGTTGTTCTGGACACTAAGTTCCTGGTAAATGTTATAGTGCTTAGAGGAAACTAATTACATCTGCTCAGTACTGAGCATTTGGCATAGAGCAGTGAACAAAATAAACAAAGTTCCTCCCCTCATGTCATTTACATTCTAGTGAAAAGGAGACAAAAGTAAACAATGGGCATATTAAGTCAATTATTTAATATTTAGTATGTTGGAGGTGATATGTGCTATAGGGGAAAATGGAGCCAGGACAGAGAGGACTATTGAGAGCTAAGGGGGAGCAGGTGCAATTTTAACAAGGGCGACCAGCATGGGCTTCATTGAGAAGGGAGCATTTCAGCAGAGACCTGAAGGACGTGAGAGAGTGAACCATTAAGGTATACACCAGACAGAGGGGCAGCAGATGCACGGGGCCTCCATTCAGAGTTGCCTGACACCTTGAGGATGGGCAAGGAGGCTGTGGAGGCCAGAAGAGTGCAATGGGAAGCCACTGGAGGGCTGCGCAGACGAGCACCCTGAGCTCAGGTCCTTTCTTTTTTTGAGACAGAGTCTCGCTCTGTCGCCCAGGCTAGAGTGCAGTGGCGCAGTCTCGGCTCACTACAAGAGCTCAGGTCGTTTCTAAAGGATTCCCTTGCGTGCTGTTTGTAAAGATGGGAGGTGGAGGTGGGGAACAGGGCAGTAGCCATGGAAGTGATGAGAAGAGGCCCAGTTCTGGATCTACCTGGAAAGTAGAACCAAAGGAGTTTCTGATAGATTAGATGTGGAGGTGAGAAAGAGGAGTAAAGGATGACTCCCAAGTTCAATTAGGAGCGTAGGGTTAAGCCAGAATGTATAACATAGAGCTGCTTGTTAACATCCCACTTAAGAAGTTCAAGGTATTTCCGCAACCATTAAACACGTAAATAAGATACCTTTTTTGCCATTCAAAAAACATAAAAGAGAACATTTTTGTCCTTATAGATCGCTGCCTTCTCACTGTGTCCTCACATGCAGAGAGAGACAGACAGACAGAGAGAGAGAGAGAGAGAGAGAGAGAAATGGCTCTTTCCTGTATCCTCTGATTAGGGCACCAATCCCATTATGAGGTTCTACCCTCAGACCTCATTACCTCCCAAATGCCCCACCTCCAAATAACATCATATTGGGGATTAGGGTTTCAACACATGAATTTGGAAGGTGGCGGCAGAGTGGGGAAGGGACACACAAACATTTAGTCCCCAGCAGACCTTAAATCAGCAAAGTGTCAGTTAAAGTTTAGAGAAAAAGATACTCTTATGCTGCTTATATTAATAACAGCAGCAATCCAGGGACCTAAATAATGTCGATGTTTATTTCTCACTCACACAGTGGTTCATGGAAGGGCAACCCAAGGTTTGTGGTGGTTCTGCCACACCCAGCATGTTTCCAAGGCCCCTCCACCTGTGGTCATTTCTCAGGCAGCAACCAGGGGAAGGAGAATGGCCAGAGTAATCTCCTTAAGAGAAGGATGTAGAAGCAGCACACATCCCTTCCCACGCACCCGGTAATCCAACACAAAGTCATGTGGTCACACAAGGCTATGAGAGAGGCTGGGAAATTAATGTGCAACTGGAGAAGTGAGGGCCAGCTCAGGGCCCAGCTCCCCTTTCATTGGGGTGGCAGCTACGTTTGCAGGTGCTATCACCTGAGGAAAGGGAGAGGATGGGTGTAGGGGAGTCAGCAGCCTCCCCAGGGACATTCCTGGGAGGACACCTGGTGCAGCCTATCTCAAGAGCAACTGGGCAATATGGGTTGAAAATCTTAAAATGTTAAATCGCAGTTTCATTTCTAATTAACCTAAAGAAATAATCATGTGGAAATGCTATGTGTCTTGACTGTTCCAATATCAGCATCTGGGTTGTGATGTACAGTAATCGTGCAAGATATTACCATTAGGAGAAACGGGACAGAGGGAACAAGAGATCTCTCTTTCATCTCTTACAACTGCGTGTGTATCTATAATTATCTCAAAATCAAAAGTTCAATTTAAAAAAGAGAAAAAATCATAATGTGAACATTTAGCTACAAAACTAGCAATTGCAAAAGAATTGAATGGAGAAAAAAAACCAAAACAACCTAAGTCTCCAACAAGGGAGGGTCAGTATAACAAATTATGAACACGATAAAGTACTCTGTGGTTGTTCAAAATGGCATTGTAGTAGGCTATGAATGACAAAGATTTACAACATAGTAAGTGTTTTTAAAAAGAGCAGATCATGCAATTTTAGGTAAAAAACTTATCCAATTTATGCTTTAGCACACACACACACAGCCATATATAGTTAGAAATATATATACCAAGATTTTACCTCTAATGATTTTTTGTCTCATTTCCCTATATTTTCTAATGCAAGAACACAATGACTGTGTGTTGCTTTTATGAATAAGAATATTTTTTCAAAAATGAAAAATATTAAAATTAATAAATTGAATATTTTAATATTGATATTTAAAATATTAAAATTATTCAAAATTAAAATATTTAATAAATTATTTAAAAGTATTAAAAATATTAAAAATTATTAAAATATTTAAAAATTATTAAATTTGCCTACTAATTTAGCTTTCCTGTTCATCTCCATCTTTCTTACAGTGGTGCTAATTTTCTCCCATCTCCAAGCCTATCACCATGGCGTCATCTTTCATTCCTCTGCTCCCCTCCCTGCCATGTGCAATGATCAGATCATGTTGGTTCTTTTCGTGAAACACCTCTTATATTTGTCCCTTCCTTCCTTGAACACCTCTACTCTCAGGTTCAAGCTCTCTAACTATTGCCAGAGCCTCCCACATGGCTTTCCTGCCTTCATTCTTGCCCCACTCCAGTCTTCTGGTGAACCCTCTGAAACCTTGTTTGTGATCCTGCTTGAAAAGGCCTTAAGGAACTTCCTTACGTAAAGGTGAGAGTGCAAGCTCTTTATCTTAGCATTGAGGCCCCTGTTCCATCTGGCCCAATCTGCTGTCCCAAGGGTGAGGGGAGAAGCAACTTCTCAGACATCTTCACTCCCAGCTCTACTGAGAAGTTTTCCCCAGCAGCCGAATGCCACTTCCTAGGTCATGAATGGAGAATTAGGATCAGGATAATACTTTTACTCATATATGACTCATTTAGTCACTTCTCCAAGGGCAGAAGTTGAGTTTCAAAGAATAAACCTATCTAAAAGCATAATAGCAAAATATGAAAGTAGGCACTCAAGGAGAGAAATGAAAACGAAAATACACAAGGAACACTAAAGGAAAGCAGAGGTCGGGGCCAGGCGTACTGGCTCACACCTGTAATCCCTACACTTTGGGAGGCCAAGGTGGGCAGATCACTTGAGGCCACGAGTTCAAGACCAGCCTGGTTAACATGGCAAAACCCCATCTCTATTAAAAATACAAAAATTAGCCAGGCATGGTGGCACATGCCTGTAATCCCAGCTACTCAGGAGGCTGAGGCAGAATTGCTTGAACCAGGGAGGCAGAAGCTGCAGTGAGCAGAGACTGTGCCACTGCACTTCAGCCTGGGTGAGAGAGTGAGACTCTGTCTTGAAAATAAAAAACAAAAAAATTGGAAAACAGAGGTTGGGCGGGAGTCCTCCTTGTTTCTCATTGCCTCGTCCAGGCAGTGATTTCTCCATCTTCCCAGCAACCCCCAGGATTTTAAAGAATGGTAGCATCTGCTGCTCCTGCCTCTTACAACCACATAAACTCCTCCTCAGTCACTGAAGACTTTAGCACCTGGCATGGCCCTTACCTCTCCCACTACTTCTGTCACTCGTGTGATGATCTCAATATTCATGCAAACTCTGTCTCCAACACTCTGGCCCCTCAATTCATCTCTAATGATCCTGGCCTCCTGCCTGCTTTTTCCAGACTCCCGTGTCATACCCTGGACTTTGTCATCATCAGTAACTGCATTGCTTCTAGAATCTCAGCTTCAAGCATTCCACTATCTAATCGCCAGCTGCCACTTTTCCATTGTATTCCCTCTAGCACTTCCTGGAAACACTTCTGCAACCCCACTAGGATTGGTAACCCCTACTACCTTGCGACTGTCCGTCATCCCAACCCTGCTCATGGCTCCATTCCCTCCTTAAAAAGCTTAGATTCCTTTATCTACCATTATAATCGCTGTCTTGCATTTATTCTCAGTGAACTTACCCCTCTCTCTTCCAAATACTAGCCTGGCAAAACCCCAGTCCTAGTTAAATTCAACTCTACCTACTCCTCTTCTACCCCTGAACAGCTGGATAGGACTAGAGACAACACCACCATGCTGATGGTCTCACTTAAATTCATTACCACAAGTCACAGATGGGCCATCAGCACAACCCAAGCCACACTGCATGATTCTTGTGTCCTCTCTCCCACTTTCTAATTTACACCTTCTCTTTTCTCAAACTCCAATCCTTCCTCTCCCACCCCTGCTCTCAGATGCTGACCTGGCTGCATACTTCATTGAGAAGACAAAAGTGTTGGAAAATAAATTCCACAACCTCCCACCATAAATCTATCCATCTTCATGCAGCAGTGTTTCTGTAGTCTGCCTTTCATCTTAGGAAACTGCCCTGCCCCTATCTAGGGTCAACCCTCTTCTTGTTGCTGGATTCTCCATCCCATTCCCTCTTTATAATCAAGAGCTCCCCTCTTGAAATGATCTCTCTGTTCCATTATCATTCTTTCCCTCTCTGCTGGAAGATCATTTCCATCAGTATACACACATACAAACTTGGGAGTGCTATGTGGGAGTGACACCACATCCCCTATATCACCCCCAGCTGCCACTCTTTTAGCAGCGAATCTCCTTGACAAAATGATCTATGTTCTCTGTCTCCAATTCCTCTTTCTGTTCTTTTTCTCTATTAAATTTAAAATGCCTTTATATGCAATATTTGATTTGTGGAAATGAATACAATTGACTCTTGAACAATGTAGGGAATAGGGGCACCAACTCCCTGTGCAGTCAAAAGTCCATATTTAATTTTTAACTCCTTAAAAATTGAATTACTAATAGCCTGCTGTTGACCAGAAGCCTTACTGATATCATAAACAGTGGTAGATTAACATGTATTTGGCATGTCATATGTATTAAATACTGTATTTTTACAGTAAAGTAAGCTAGAGAAAAGAAAATGTTATTAAGAAAACCATAAGGAAGAGAAAATAGATTGGCTATTCATGAGGTAGAAGTGGATCATCATAAAGTTCTTCATCCTCGTCATCTTCACGTTGAGTAGGCTGAGGATGAGGAGGAAAAGGAGGTTGGGTCTTGCTGTCTCGGGGTGGTAGAGGCAGAAGAAAATTTGCATGTAAATAGACCAACATGTTGTTCAAGGGTCAACAGTATGTGAATTATATATGTAAGATGTAACACATACTAATCCAATGAATGCATGTGACCCTATCACTCAAACTAAGAACCGAAAGATTACCAATGGCTTCACTTTCCTCCATGAGTTCCTCCTTTATCTAATCAGGCTATCTCCCAAAGAGACAACCTCATTCTCTCTTGAAACCATCCCAATCATGCTTTTAGTCAACACCCTAAAGTTACCACTGTGGAGATCATGAATAGTCTGTATGTACTAAATCCAATGGTTAATTCTGAGTCTTCAATTTAATCTCTCAGTAGCATTTAACATAGCTTACTGCTCTCTCCTTCTTTATGAAAAACATATTTGAGGCCAAAAACCCCGAAATCATCAGTGATTTTCTCCCCTTTGCATCCCTAATCCTCCAATCCATCAGCAAACCCTGTTGGCTCTACTTTCACAATGCATTCCCAAATCTGATGGTGCTCACCACACTCACCGCATCACCTTCCTCCCAGCCACCCTTAGCTATGTTCTAGACTATGCAACCACCTCATTGATCTCTCTACTTCCATTCTGGCTCCTTGATTCCTCAAGCAACAGCCAGAATGATCCTTTCAAAATGTCAAATTAATTATTTTCCTATTCAGTATCCCCCAGTGGCTTTCCATCATAGAGAAATTCTGAATCCTTCATGTGACCTGCCATATAAGATCGAGACCTTGCCATCCTCTTAGACATCATCTCCTGTCATTCCTCTTTCATGCCATATGAACCCCCAGAATCTTCCTTAAGCAAATCAGACATGACCTCGACCCAGCTCATTGGTAATCGCTAACCCTCTGCCCAAAAATGCTCATCTGTAAATATCTACACAGATTGTTTCTTCACTACATTCAAGTCTTAAGGGTCACCACAAAAAGAGTCCTTCCCTGGCCACAAAACCTCAAATGGCATCCCTCACCTTGTCACTATCTACCCACTTACAGTGACTTGGTTTTCTTTATCTTGTGTTATACCTGCTGGTATACAGCAGGTCTTCAAATAACATCATTTCTTTCAATGTCGTTTCGTAATAATGTTGATGAGAAAAACAAAAACATGGATTCCCAGCCAGGGCCACTGTCTGTGTGGAGTTTGCATGTTCTCCCATGTCTGCATGCCTTTTCTTTGGGTACTCTAGGTTCCTCCCACATCTCAAAGACATTACATGAGATTAATAGCTGTGTCTAAATGGTCCATGTAAGTGAGTGTGCCCTGCAACAAATGGGATGGCATCCTGTCCAGGGCTGGGTCCTGTCTTCCACCCTGAGTTGCCAGGAAAGGCTTTGGCCACTGGCAACTCTGAAATGGAATAAGCAGGGTGGAAAGTAAGTGAATAAATTGAAACTTATTGTCAAATAAAAATTTGCAAAGTCTCCAACAATCATTCAAATGCACAAGAATAAATGGTGAAGTACAAAGGTGCTCCGTAAGCCCACCAGATCTGTGATTACTTTTGAACTGTGTGGTGGCGCAAGGTGCTCCTCATAATTACCGGTTTCCAAACATTTATTCCTTGATTTAATCTACCACCACGCCAACTGCCATCACTCACTGATTCACTTAAAGTGGGGTAAATATCCTATTTGTATTTGTTAATCTTTCTTAAATATATGTAAGGCTCACATTCATTTCAATGTGTAATATAGAAGTGTTTTGACATTTATTTAGAAATTCGTGATCAGAAATGTGCTGTAAAAACTTAATTCTTGCTTATATCAATTAGCCTGTGGTAAAATTGGTTTCGATTTATGTCGTCATTTCCCTTAAAGTAGCGGTTTCCAAGAACCTATCAACAATGTTAAGTGAGGACTCAGTGTACATTCATTTGTTTCGCTGTGTGTTATCTGTCTCATCCTGACAGAATCTAGGTTTTATGAGAGAGACTGAAATGCTCAGTGATGAGTCCTGTTTCTTTGCCGGTGGTGCTTGGCACAGAATAGGCACCTAAATATTTATAGAATGAATGACTTGAGGAACCAGAACAAATCCCTGTGCCAACACAACCAAATATCCTGATGACTACTCAGTGTAAATGTCTCACCATATTTCTGCAAGTAAACCATCACTACTTGTGAGACAACAATTTTTGAGGAAGTATATACAAGATGTGGATAGTTGTCAATGAGTGGTATAAAATTACATGTTCAAAGAAAGTCCTAATGGAATTAAGAGGATAGCACATAATAAGCTAAGAATACAGTATTGTGAGCTGCTGGTAAAACAATGGCCTTTTGGTAGAGGAGGGGAGATGGAAAGTTGATTGATGGGTACAAGTACATGGTTCCACAGAAGAAATAAGACCTAGTGTTAGATCAGTAGGGTGACTATAGTCTACAATAAACTATTGCACATTTCAAAATAGCTAGAAGAAACTAATTCAAATGGTTCTAGCATAAAGAACAGACAAATACTTGGCCAGGCGTGGTGGCTTATGCCTGTAATCCCAGCACTTTGGGAGGCCAAGGCGAGTGGATCACCTGAGGTTAGATGTTCAAGACCAGCCTGGTCAACATGGTGAAACCCCATCTCTACCAAAAAATACAAAAAAAACAGTCAGGCATGGTGGTGCATGCCTGTAATCCCAGCTACTCAGGAGGCTGAGGCAGGAGAATTGCTTGAACCTGGGGAGACGAGATTGCGCCATTGCACACCAGGCTAGACGACAAAAGCAAAACTCCGTCAAAAAAAAAAGAAAGGAAAAGAAAGAAAGAAAGTTAGAAAGAAGAAAGAAAGAAGGAAAGAAAGAAAGAGAGAGAGAAAGAAAGAAAGAAAGAAAGAAAGAAAGAAAGAAAGAAAGAAAGAAAGAAAGAAAGAAAGGGAAAAGAAAGAAAGAACAAATATTTAAGGTGATGGATATTCCAAGTACACTAATTTGATCTTTACGAATTATATGAATGTATTAAATTATCACACATACCCTGCAATTATGTGCATCTATTATGCATCCACTAAAAAAGTCAGTTAAGTGCAGGGTAGGGGGAAAAGCAATGGCCTTTCATTCTGTGTCTTGGTTTTGTCTCTCCAAGGATTCACAGCTTTCTTATGAAGTTAGGGCAGTGATTGGAGAAGAGTTGCAAGGCAATGAATGGACTGTTGAGCATTAGTCCAACCTAGCTCTGGCCGAACGTGCCAGCGGCGCTCATGCTGGGGCCAAGGGTTGGTGTTAGACTTAGACCGATAGGCCGCTGGGCCCCCTCTGAGAGGATCCTGGAAGATAGGGCATGCTAAACCATTCCTTCCTTAAAAGTTCTGTTGATTTTCAAGAGTGTAAAATCTTAAAAAAAAAAAAAAAAAAAATGATTCCAATGGCTTCTTAAAATCATTTTTCAAAAACCTTGATAAAAATGAGGAATATCTCAAGGAACTTAATATTGCATTTCCTCCAGAATTGAATACTGGCAGGAAGTAAGAGCAGGGCATTGCACTGAGCAGACTTTCTCCACTGCTTGGGCCACAGCAGCTACTAGATCCTATTGTTCTTGGTCTTTTTGTCAGCTGCAGCCCTTCCTGGGTCATGTTGTACAACATGAGGAAGGGGGACCACTTCCATTAGCTGACTTCTCACTTTAGCTACAAAAGCCCCCTCAGAGAAAACTTGGCCAATGATGGGCTTCTCCTTTCTCTCCATTTGCCACCGGGATGGCCAAGTTGGTGGTAACATCCCATATTGTCCAGTAAGGGAACGCCTTAGAGTGCTCCAGTGTGTTCTGTGAGGACTAGAAAAGATGTTCACAAATCAGAAGCACATACAGCTTATCATCTGATTGAGGAGACAAGATATGTCCTCAACAAGACAGAAGACACAAGCAGGCCATGCATGGTGCCTCACACCTGGAATCCCAACATTTTGGGAGGCCAGGGTGGGAAGATCTCATGAAGCCAGGAGTTTGAGACCAGCCTGGGTAACAAAGGGAGACCCCATTTCTAACAAAAATAAAAAGAAAAATAAAATTTAAAAATTAGCCTGGTGTGGTGGCATGCACCTGTAGTCTCAGCTACCCAGGAGGCTGAGGCAGGAGAATTGTTTGAGCCCAGGAATTTGACATTACAGTGAGCTATAACTGGGCCACTGCACTCCAGCCTGGGCAACAAAGCAAGACCCTGTCTCTAAAATAATAATAATAATAATAATTGGCCAGGCGTGATGGCATTTGCCTGTGGTCCCAGGTACTCCATGCCACTACCCTCCATCCCAGGCGACAGAGCGAGACCCTGTCTCTAAAGAAAGAGAAGAAGAAAACACAAGCAAGCCTGTACTAATATAACATGCACTGCAACAGAGAGAGAGGGAATGAAAAGCGAGTGGGAAATAGAAGAACGGGATGGCCTTGTTCCAGAAGCTTCACTTGTGAGAAGCCAGTCTCGAAAGTACATAAGTTTATGACCCAGGGAAAGTGTCTAGATGCAGAATTTCCTCCAGAAGAAAGTGATGGGGAAAGGAAACTTGTGGAAACGAAAGTAAGAGAGGGTCGTGTTGAGGATTACAGGCCAGAATGTCTACCTGCCCTCGCTGAGGGTCATAGTGACCACACAGGCTGATCATTCATTCTGCCTGGTTATAAGGAAATCAAATCAGAATTGAGGGAACAAAGTGAATTGATTAAAGCATTGAGTGCATACTTTTAAAAAACTAAGTAATTTATTTTAAGATACACTTAATAATTACTAAACACACTCGAAAATTTACCAAAAAAAGTATAAAAACTTAGTTAATTGCCTGGGTTTTGACGATTAAAGTTTTCTATAAACATCTCCACTTAGATTTGCCATCACCGTTTCACAAGTTGATTCCACACGGCCCTCAGAGTCTTTTAATTAATTTTGCCTACTTTATATTAAAACTGATTATTTGTAAAATTTTCATATTTGATTCAACTTTTTTGCAGATGTTTGTTACTATATAATTACCACCTCTGTGTTTGACAACTTTGTTTTGAAAGAAACTACCCAACATGCTCATTTTCCAACATGACATTTCCATATACCTATATTTTCCCCACTATGTCAAATCCAGATGACTCACACTTATTTGCCAGATTTTTTAGCCTAGATTTTCTAGTCTCTGATATGGATCCCACTTGGAATCTAATTATTAAATTAATAAGTTTTTGAAAGTGGCTTTAAATACTTAAACGAACATAGCAGAAATATAATGTATATGAAAAAAGAAACTAATTAGTCTTAATAAATATTTGCCAAATTGGATGAGTGTAAGGTGTGCCCAGCATGAAAAACTGTATGATGATTTAAAATTATAAAGTTTGCTACTGACTGTTAACACAACTATGTGAGCAGTTCTAAATGCAGCCAAAGCTGTCACCTGGGCTGGAGTGCAGTGGTGTGGAGTAGCTGGGACCGCAGGCACATGCCACAACACCTGGCTAATTATTATTATTATTTTTTTTTTTTAGAGACTGGGTCTTGCTTAGTTGCCCAAGCTGGAGTGCAGCAGCCCAGTCCTAGTTCACTATAACCTCAAATTCCTGGGCTCAAGACATTCCCCTGCCTCAGCCTCCCAGGTAGCTGGAACTACAGGTGTATGCCACCACACCAGGCTAATTTTTTCATTTTATTTTTGTTCTTATTTTTGAGGAAATGGGGTCTCCCTGTGTTACAACTTTTCGTTCTCTTTCTGTAAAACCCATCATTCATTCAGCAAATATTTATGAAATACCTGTTATGTGTCTGGCAACTGAGAAAGGTGCTACATGGAGACAAATAAAGTGAAGCCCAAAGTGTAAGCTCTACCAGTGACGCAAAGGACGACCCCATCTTCTTCTTCAAAACCCAATTTAGCCTCCCAAGGGCAGCTAGGCAGCCTTCTCCACTGCTGATAGTTTCACCTGTATGAGCCTCTCTGAAGTAACAGAATGCTGCCTGGCCACATGGATGGATGTGCTTGATTCCTCTCTCCCATCCCCATTTTAACATGTCCCCAGCTGAACTCCTGAGAGTTCCTTCACAACCCATTTTATCCCCAACCCAGACAGTAGCAGCTCCTTCCTTCCAGTAGCTCAGGCCAAAAGTCTCCCAGTCGTCCCTGCCTTTTTACTTCTCAGACCACATATGCAATCACTCATGAAATCTTTTTGACTCTACATTCAAAAAATATCCAGAATCCAAGCACTTATCACCACCTCCCCTGCCAATACCCTGGTCCAAGCCACCATGCCCTCTCTCCTGGTCACTGCAGTGCTGTCCCTCCTCACTGGTCTTCCCGCTCTGCGCTTGCCCTCAGGCAATCAGGCAATCTGTTCCTAACCTTCTCGGGGGAGTAGGAGCAGCACTCCCAACCTAAAATTGCAACCTCTCACTCCAACACTTTCTGTTGCTCTTTCCTGCCTTATTTTTATCCGTTGCACTTATCAATACCTACATGCCACAAATCAACTTATCTTGTTTAGTGATGGGCTTCCCCACGTGAATGTATATTCCATGAAGACAGGAATTTTTCTGTTTCCTTTCCTACCCCTTGTAGGGTGCCTGACACATGGTAGCTACTGAATAAATAGACCAGTGTGTGTTATGAGGATCTTGTGGGCTTGGTGGACTGCTTTGCTTCCTGGCTCCATCACCTAACTATCTGTGTAACCCTAGAAAGTTTCTCAACCTCTCTGAGCCTCACCTGCAAAATGGAGATAGTAATAGCAACCTTACAGGGCTGAAGGGGAAATTTAACAGGATATTCTATTTGGGGAGATTTAAAGATGATGAACGATAAAATACAGTAATGGATCGGAATTTGTTCTCCAAAAGATAGGTTGAAGTCCTAACCCTTAGTACCTCAGAATGTGATCATATTTGGAAATAGGATCATTGCAGTTGTAATTTGTTAAGATGAGGTCATACTGGAGTAGTTAGGCCCTTCATCCAATATGACTGCTGTCCTTATGAGGAGAGAAGAAGAGACAGACACACAGGGAAAAAGACCATGTGATGATGGAAGCAGAGATTGGAGCCATGCAGCTGCAAGTCAAGGACCACCAATGATTGCCAAGAGCCATCAGATGCCAGGCAAAGGCAACAAAGGATTCCACCTGGAACCTCAGAGGGAGCAGGCCCTGCTGACACCTTGATTTCAGAATTCCAGCATCTATAACTGTGAGAGCATAAACTTTTGTTGTTTAAGCCACCCAGTTTGTGGTACTTTGTTATGGCGGCCCTGGGAACTAATACAGATGCCAGTCATGATTTTACTCCAAAACCAGTTTATCCTCTGGCTTCCCTAGGTTCATTATTGTGACCTCTATCCCCACAGTTATCCAAGCTGAAAACACCTTCAAAGTATCATACGACTTTCCTGATGACATTAGTTGAATTGATAAATAGTGACTTCCACAAACTTTACTGAGTGCTTAAAATGAGTTTTTCCCTGATCTGTGGCGATGCCCGGGCCAAGCCCTTACCCTCAAGGGGCTGGGGGTGCTGGGGGTCCTGGGTGGAGGAAGAGACAGCAAACAATAACCAAATGTCATGTGTGCCAACCTAGGGGTACAAATGAAAATTTTGGGCAACATGATTCCAAAGGTTCTTTCCAGCAGTGATTATTTCATGACTCACTCCTGCCTGGAGTACTCATTAGCATGCACTTTCCTGGGAAATATTTTATGCTACTATTTAGTACAACTTAACTCTCGTATTATTTAATTTTTTTATAAGTTCTAATCTTGTATCCCAAACTAGATTTGTAGTTTCTTAAGGCAAAATCTGTTGTTAAATGTTTTGCTCTTCCTACACCACTGTCTAAGGAATGGGAACTCAGTCACTGTGTGTTCATTCATTATGAATGTCAATTACTTTCAAATAAAGAGGTACGCAGGTATCCTCTCCTCTTCCTGTTTTATCTTCCCTATATACTAAATTTTGGTGATGCAAAGTCATTTATGTCCAGAGAGGCTACTGACAGGATGGACTCCCTTTTTCTGATAATTTCTTTATAAACTTAAGCCTTTTAAAATAAGGTACTAAATAGTATGGGAGAATACTACTATTAATTGAAAAAGAGAAGGTTACAAAGTAGTATACACAAAATATATCCAAATTTTAATAGAGAACATGTGAGAGATGAAGAAATATGTAACTGGAACATTGCAGATGTTACCAGTCTACAGTTATGCTGTCACACTGGTATTTCTATGCCATAGTTTCTGTTCTGGCTTCCGACCTGCAGATGCAGAATCTGCAACTCCCCTTTAAGAGTCCTTCCAAAAGGGACCTTCACGTGTGCTCACATCTCTTGGGTGTAGTCACTGCACGGCTTCCAGCATGTTCTCCTGCTCCTGCTTCCCAGACCTTGCCCACTGCTGGTGAAGGCATGTGAAGGACTGGTAATGCCCAGCAGGGGAGATGCCAATGTCTGCCCTCAGTGGGCTCCACCCCTGAAACCACAGAACTTTTCTCCTTGTGGTATGATTATAAGTTATTTTAATTTTTTCTTTGTTCTTTTGATATTTTCCAAATTTTCTAGATTATTCGTTTTATCATCTGAAAAAAAAGGAAGTAAAAACATCTGCAACAAGTTTGCAAGATAGCCAAGCAGCTGCTATTGTGAACAGCTGCAAAAGAAGTCAGAGAGCAGAATGAAAAAATCACAGGGTGAAGGTGGTGGTCATTGCATTGCAAAGCTGATACACATAAAATGCTGCCGGATATCTCAGGTAAGTTCTAGGAAGTACCAGAATCTGCCAGGGCCGCATCATTGTTTTAAATTAAGAGTGGAGAACACAAAGTGAAACTGACTCTTGATTGGCATGTTGCCTGACGAGATTCAAGATTCACGAAGTCATTTATTTCAGGGTAAAAAAAAAAAATGTAAGCCATTTATGTGTACCAATAGCTTTGGAATTAACCAAAACCTCATAGGCAAAGCCATAGGAATCATCACAGGCAGCCTAATGAAAACATCTGCTGAATAGAGGAAGTTGACCAGAAACTTAATAAGACATCAGACCGTGTTACAAAGAGAACACAGAGTATCAGTGTGGAAAAACTGATAGTGTTGCGTGCATTAATGAGCAAATTATTCTCACTGCCTTTGGTGGGAACACTCTGTCAACAGCAGTGGCTGAAGCATCAAAGGCAAGAGGAGGCAAGTCGAATTTTAGAATAATCATAGTTCATGAAAAAAGTGGCAAAACTAATTTTAATATAACTTTTAAATTAAAGATAATGTGTTCAAATAAGGTGAGTATGAGTCACATTTGTTTTATGTCTCCCTAGAAAATAGGCACCAAGAAATCAAGGCTGTGATGTATATATTAAATAATAATAATTCAGCAAGGTGAGTTTGCTGAATTCAAAAGTGAGTTTGCTTTAAAAGGTATAGAATGACAGTTTCCAAAGATGCATGTACATAAAATTATGTGCAGTAGAGAGAGGAATTTCGTGTAGTACAAGAAAGAACATAATTATACCTGATAAGACAATAGAGATATTTACTTTAAACCTGATAAGAAATAAAACATTTTTTACAGTATATACTCTGTCACATTCACTGTTTGGGCAATTTTTATGGAAAGCCACTAACTGAAATAAAAATATAAAGAAATTTAAAACTCATTTTAATGAAAGTATTTTTCTACAAACACCCAAAAAGGAATAAAAACTATGAAGATGATTACTCTGTATGTACAAAAATTCTAGCAGCTTAGATTCCAAGTGCATTTCCTTAAATTGTGTTATATTGCAAAACAAAAAAGGAATGAGGTAAGAAAGAACAGATGTGTCCAAGAGAAGAAATAATTTTAAGAAACTGCAAGAACATATTGATCTGCATTTTAAAGTAGCCATCTAAGGAAAACAGATAATTTCATATTTTAATTTTCTTTTTTGCTCATCAAATCTGATATAAATACCATCTCCTGCACACAGTAATCTCACATCTATAAAATATTCATGTAGCAGCATTAAGAGGGAATCTCCAAGAATTTAATGTGAGTGAGAATCTAGAACACTTTAAACCTAAAGTGCTTTCCCATGTAGGAAGCACTTGAGATAGTCACCTAATTCATAGCTCATTCTTAATCTGGGCCAGCATGCCCCAGAAGAGGCACCTTGCTGAGCTCAGCACAACTACACTGCTACCTCCAGCTCCAGCCATCCTGGGAGTCCTTCTCTCCTCAGCCTCCTCGATTTTTAGTTACAGGACCTAGGGCAATTTTAGGTGATTCAGACTTGATTTGAGGTGAAGACTCCTTTTTCTCAAAAGGAGCCTTTTCTATTCATTCTTGAACCACTGAAATACACCTGAAGGATGGGCAGAGCACAGACCCCAGCCCCTTCTCATGCCAGAGGTGCCCGGAAGGATTCTAGGAGCAAAGCTGGAACGACCTTGACCCAGGGCAATGAGCTAGACTTAGGAGTCAGTTATTAATTGACTTGAAGTTTAGAGGATAGTTTGTAGGATAAGAACACATTTTCCCTGACTTCCCTAATTCTCTAATGTTCTAAAGTTCTGTACATCCAGCCAGAGCCCCCAGTTTCTGTCTCTAACCCATCCACCTTGCTTGCAGCCCTTTTGTGCATATCTGACCAGTCACCTCTATCCCCCACCATGGCCGTTCCACGTCTTCACCCAAGGCTGCCTAGCAGACAACTAATTTTTTTTTCAGGGACCTTGTCTATATAAACAATGTGATTTTCATGTATTATAAAATGCATGGGCTCATGTGAGGTATAGTGATTTATCAGTGAAGACTTAGAACAATGGGTAGAGAAAAGGCATTTATTTATTTGTACTCGTTTCTTGTCCAATCAGTACTTGTGAAGAGTCATGATCCTGGGTCTTATGTGAGTGAGTCACCTCAAATTAGCATCATTCCGGTGGCCCAATCCCACATGATCCAAGAAAAAAAGATCATGGCAGACAGCAAAGGGTATTCACTTGAGAGGCTGCTCTCCTGTAGTACCCCAGGATAGCCCCATGGGCGCGAGCTCCGAGCTCCTTGGTCATCTGGCGAATCCCTTGTGTGGGGAATGGGGTTGAGTTTTGGAGAGCGCCCGAAAGGGGAGAACCATGGGACCCACAAGAGTCCAATCAGGGCTCACAAGCCCCACCCAAAGAGCACTGCAGCCTCTCCCAGGCACCAGAAGGGTGGCCTTAGACATTTTTGAGGAAGTTGCTTCAAAAAGCATTGAAGTGTTGCCAGGTCCGAGCAAGCACTTGGCGTGTTCTGGTCTAAGACAGTACCACCCTCCTCATTCCCTTTAAGACTGTCTGACCCATTTCTGATTCTCTCTCTCAATAATAATCTAGACCACGGCAGTCCAATAGGAATAGAAAGTGAACCACGTATAAAACTTTAAATTTACTAGCAGCTGAATTTTTAAAATGTAAAAAGAAACAGGTGAAATTACTTCTTATAATATGCTCTATTTCACCCAAGGTATAGTCAATATTCATTGTCCACTGATTCTGTATTTGCAAATTCATCTACTCATAAAAATGTGTTTGTAACCCCAAAATCAATACCTGCAGCATTTTTGTGTCCATTTGCCGACATGCAGAGTGGTGAAAAGCTTGAGTCGCCCAACATGCACGCTCCCAGCTGAGGTCCAGCAAGGCGGTGCGCTGCCTCTTGTTTCAACTCTCGTGCTGTAAGCAAGCGTCCTTTTTAGGGTCTAGGTAGTGCCATGTTTTCTACATTTTTGTGCTCCTTTTTAGTCTCCGAGCATACTGCTGAAGTACTGTCCGGGATTCCTAAGCTGTGAAGGCTCCTAAGCACAAGAAGGCTGTGATGTACCTTATGGAGAAAATACGTGTGTTGGAGAAGCTTCATTCAGGCATGAGTTATAGTACTGTTGACTGTCAGTTCAGTGTTAATAAATCAACAAGATAGATTAAATAAGTTGTCTTTAAACAGAAACATGAAAAACAAAGTTACATGTTGATCAGTTGATGAAAATGTTGTGACAGAGGCTTGCTGTAGGAACCTAGCCTTGTATTTCCTCTTGGAGTGATGGGTAAGTATTCACTAATTCAGTGTTCACAGTGACTTGATAGAACATAATTCACTCCCTGGAAAAATGAAAATAGATTGCATCATCACTTCAACAAGTAATTAATACATACAATTATTAATGAGACATATTACACTTTTTTGTACAAGTCTTTAAAACATGATGTGCATTTTGCACCTAGAGTGCATCTCCTGCATACTGGCCACATTTAAACTGCTCAGTAGTCACCTGTGGTGAGCAGCTACCATACTGGGCAGTAAATATCTAGCCTAAGACTCCGCAAAGGCGTCAATGCCACCAGGCAGAGCTCCTCGCCCACTGCCAGCCACACAGCTGTCCCTCCACAGGGCTCTAGACCTCTTCCTTGCCCTCTCTCCAGGGAAGCTGTCCCCAGCACTGTCTTTCCCTCTTGTATCTGTTTTGTCTCTCCACTGGCTGTTCATTCTCAGTGTATAAATGTACTTGTCTTCCAGTTTTAAAAAACAAAGAAAGAAACGAGGGACTTTAGGTGTTGTTCCAGCTTTCATGTACACAGCACTTCTGAGCATCATTCCTCTGACGTGCCATTTGTGTATCCATCCATCATCTTCCCTGGATAGCCTCAGGGCAGTGGCCATTTTTCTATTTACATTTCATTCAATCAGTAAATATTTACTATATCAAACATCTTCTACGCACCTGGCACTGTGACAGGCCCAAGGATACTGTGATGAGCAAACCCAGAAGTGCCTGTGCCCTGGCGAAACCTACCGACCAATGGATGAGTCAGACATTCAAATAAACCCTCAAGTAAATGAGTAAGTTCAAGCTGTGCTAAGTACTAGGAAGGAGCACATGGGGTCTGAGAACTTGGAACAAGGACGTCTGATCTAGTTTGGGGGATCGGACTTCCCCAAAACTAGAAAGTTGAGCTGAATCAGAGTTAATCCACCAGTCTAAGATCAACTCACCAAAGTGAAACCTTCAAGAATTAAGAGAGTTTATTTCATCACTGAATCTCCAGCACCTACATCAGTGCCTGGCATGTAGTAGGTCCTCAATAAATATTTATGAGCAAATGGATTAACTATGCAAAAAAAAGAGAGAGAAAAAAAGACAGAAGAGAGGGAAAGAGAGCATCCTGATGATGCTAGGAAAATAGCATGTGCAAAGATCCTGTGGCAGGAGGCAGCATGATACATACAAGAGACTCACAGGCCAGTGGGGGAGGGCAAAAAGAGTAAGAGAGAGGGTGGAATGAGATGAGGCTAGGAAGATGGGGAGGAGCATACCATGAATGCATCACAGGCCACCTTAAAGATCTTTTTCTTCAACTTAAGAGACATTGATTTTTAAGGGGGGAAGAGGAACAAGGAATGGCATGAACAGAGTTGACTTCAGTGTAGAGAATGAGGAGGAGAGCTGGGCAGACCAGAGAGTCCTGTCAAGAAATAGATGGCCAGGCGCCGTGGCTCACACCTGTTATTCCAGCACTTTGGGAGGCAGGTGAATTGCTTGAGGTCAGAAGTTCAAGAAGTTCAATACCAGCCTGGCCATCATGGTGAAACTCCATCTCTACTAAAGATACAAAAGAATCAGCCAGCCATGGTGGCACACACCTGTAATCCCAGCTACTCGGGAGGCTGAGGCATGAGGATCGCTTGAGCCTGGGAAGTGGAGGTTGCAGTGAGCTGAGATCATGCCACTGCACTCCTGTCTGGGTGACAGAGCAAGACTGTCTCAAAGAAAAAAAGAAAAGAAAAGAAAGAAAGAAGAGATAATGACAGTAGCTCCAAGTGGGATGGTGGCTAAAGATGGGAGAAAGTGATAAATTCGAGAAATATATAAAAAATAAAACCAACAAGAGTTTGGGAAGCGACTAGCTAAGAGAAGTGGCAGGGAGAGACGCCAAAGATGACCACTTAGTGTCTGGCTTGTGCCAAGCGGATGGATGGTGGGGCATTGTCAGAGGAAAAAATGGAAAGAAGAACAATAGTTTTAGGGGATGAATCATGAGTTTGGTTTTGAAGGTGTTGGGTTTGTGATACCTTTGAAACAGTCAAGCAGTAATAACTGTGCTATGAGTTTGGAATTCAAAGAAGTCCCAGGTAAAGATATGAATTTGGAAGCTATGGTGTAAAATCGTCATTAAGGCCCAGTATCTGGCACATGGTAGGTGTTTAATAAATATTTGTTTAATGAGTGATTTGGGCGGGGGAGGGCCTAAGAATCCGTTTTATTACAACGCGTGGAGTTCATAGCAACTAGGGACTCATAAACAGAAATATCTAAGTATACCTCTAAAGTTCTATTTTCCATAGAAGGTTAACTGTACAAACAATTTAAATAACATTTAATCTTCTCCAAATCCATAACATTATTTTATGTTACAGCTTATTTTTAATTATATTTCTTGGTTTTTAATGGTTTCTGGCATCACTTGAGATAAAAGTTACATTAAAGATGGAATCTCATTTATTACATATCACTTTATCTTATCATCTAAGCACTTAGAAAATACTTTTCTCCAGCAATTAATTTTCGTTTTTCTCTCTGTTCTTGTGGCACATGCAATTTTCTATCTAAAGTTATAAAGTCTCATTATCTTGTGTTCATAAATCAAATTAGGCTCATATACCACCGGAAAGAACATGTTCAAATAAAACGTCTGGAAAGAGTAGAGCCTTAAGAAGTGTTTATTAAATAGAATTGGGTTGAGACCCCACAGGTGTTTTTCCCTTTTGTTTTACTTACTTGTTTATTCCTTTTGATCCTTGCAACCAGTCCCTTTCCACTTCCCTCATCAAACATTCTAGTGCGCTTTCAAAAATTCTGGGCATGAATTCCTCTGAAATGTGCATTTGTCGTTTTGTGTGGATTTATTTTTAATTCATATAAATGGAAATATGATACGTATCTCAAACTGCTTCTTACCGTTTCTGAGGCAGCACTGTAATTTTAAGGTCGATCCATGTTGCTATATGGAAATTGAATCTATTGCTTCTAACCATGGCATGGTTTTCCATGGCTGCTCACCCCCTCACCTTCTACCCATCCCGATGGTGGACATTGGATTGCATCCACAACCTGTTGCCACTGACAGCCTGCAACCAACACCCTTGCACATGTTCCCTTATGAGCCTATAGTGAGAATATCCCAAGGAGCACCCTAGGGTGGAATGGCTCCACTTAATTGGACTGAGTGGTGTCACTACCTCCCAGATGTCTGTCCCAGTCTATTCTCCCACCAGCAGGTAAAAGGGTGCCAAACCTCACACCCTTTCCAACAGGAGCCATCAGCCAGCTCTCTGACTATGGCCAAATTAATGGGTACAAAGGGATATTTCATCATTGAATTGCATTTCTCTTATTAGTAATGCTTTTGAACATCTCTTCATATGTTTACTCACACAGAATGTTTTCTGTAAACTGTCTCTCCTTTACATTGACCATTTTTCTGGTGGGGTATCTTGTTGTTGTTGATATGCAGCAGCAAGCTCCTTGGTATATTCCAGATATTAATCTCTTGTCAGGTTTAGACATTACTAATATCTTACCCCTTTGTGTCACCTGTGATCTATGGGACTACGAATAGTTTATCTTATAATTTTATCCGGAATTTTTTTTTTTTTTTTTTTGAGACAGGGTCTCACTCTGTCTCCCAGGCTGGAGTGCAGTGGCGCGATCTCGGCTCACTGCAAGCTCCGCCTCCCCAGTTCACGCCATTCTCCTGCCTCAGCCTCCTGAGTAGCTGGGACTACAGGCGCCCACCACCACGCCAGGCTAAGTTTTGTATTTTTAGTAGAGAGGGGTTTCCCCGTGTTAGCCAGGATGGTCTCGAACTCCTGACCTCGTGATCCGCCCGCCTCAGCCTCCCAAAGTGCTGGGATTACAGGCATAAGCCACTGTGCCCGGCCTCTGGAATTATTAAATCTAATAAGATAAACATAAACTTTGCCAACAGTAAAACTTGTATTTTCCGTGATGCTTGTTCCCTCTCTTTAAACTAGTTAACATAATTGGTGCACATAGAACTGTCTGACATAGATTAAGCAGTCAATGCATGTCATTGTTATCACTGCTGTATGTAATTTGAGTGTATGTTTCTCATATCTCATAGGAAATTATCTCAAATGACCTAAATAGCATAGCTGCCTTATGATATACCTAAATGATTCAAATTAAGGTCACTGTGCTCTCTTTCTCAGTAAAGATGTTTCAGAGTTACTTAATGATATTATTAGAAGACAAGAAAAAAATAAGAGAAACATGGACCACAGTTCACTACACTGACTCGTGTATGATCTTTAAGGACCTGGGGGTTATTTATAGATGACACAGAAATTACAGGATCTTTAAACTTTTAGAAAGACTGGATGCCGTATGGAAGAATTTCAGTTTCTCTGGAATTATTTTCATTGCTTTCCTCTCTTTCATTGTCACACTTCTGTGTCACTTTATGGTGGCCTTCTATTTCCTTACTCTGGATGGTGAGAGTCACTTTCATGTTAAGGAAGCTCACAGGTGATGTGATCCTTTCCTCCCTTGGAATCCCCAGGTAAATACTGTCACAATTCAATTTCTGGAAACACAGCCAGTCATGGAGGCCTGAGGTACCCAGAGGAAGCTCTTCCCGCAGGCGTTGCTAGTGCTGCCCCGTACCTCCCGGTCAGGACTCCGAGGTCGTAGCATGCCCTGCTCTGCACCTTCTCTATCATGACAGAAACACTTGCAATCATAGGGCAGTCGGGGAAGGTGTCGAACAGAGACAATGACAGACATGCATGTGTGCTTCTGTGAACTGCAGCACGGTTATCTCACCCGGGGCCTTCTGACCATCCCATTGCAGGCTCAAACGGATGTGGGCACAGAACAAAGGGCTTTTTAAAAAATTTTTTTTCAAAGACTTATTTTAATTAATTAAATGTAAATAAGCAAATGAATCGGTTGTGATGTCAACGTCAGGAAATTATTTTGTACCTAGATTTTCTACCTAGATTTCCTATTTCTATAATTCTCGAGATATTGTAATTCAGCAGGAGAGTGGTATCTGATATATATATATATAATTTTTTATTAATCATTTCATTTACCCAGAACTGTTTTCTTCTCCATGCTGCTTCCTTATATACACAGACACACACACACACACACACACACACACACATATATGTCAGCAGACATCCGAATGTAAATTTTCCCTTTACATTTGGAGAATGTCATATGGAAGTTGAGAGATTTGCTAGCATAAGTAGCTAAATAGCTTTCATGTAAACAATAGTTACTTCTCAATTCTTTTCCACATGTCATTAATACCATTTCGTCTAACAAATTTTTAACCACAAGATATTATTAAAACAATTCTATGTTCACAGTGATGCAGTACGATGCCATTCATATTGACGATTTTTTTCCCTCAAGGTTGCACATGTAACCATTTCCTTAGAAGTAAGCATGACTTACCTCCTTTTAATCCAAAAAAAAAAAGAAACTGCTCTGAACAACTAAATGGGGCATTAGTGCTTTTTAAATGATTTTCAGTGTTTTCTTTTTCCAGATTAGAGCACTGTTACCTTATGAATCAAAACATGAAAGAAAGGGTTCAACGTTAGCAGTGAACTTTGTTTTAACACATTGATTATGTTTTCTTAGTGGTTTTGTCAACTTCAGCCATCTGTTGCCAAACTGTGAGGACCACGTATTTCTGTGTAAGTGAAGGAGCAATCCATCTAACCATCACGTGTGCAAGACCAACTACCTAAAAATCTGTAAGAATGGATCAAAGTCAAACTGAAGTCAGAAAACTAACATTTAGCAACTGTCTTAGAAGTGTATTTGCAAACGTCTTTACAGTATGTTATTTGTACTGTGTGACTGGGAATAACCATGAGACTGAATAGATACATTCAGCCTTGTTTAATCTAAATATTCCTTCATGGTTTCTTCAGCCTGTCTCTACTCTACAAATGGAATCCTATGTTGAGCAATGAGCTAGGCCAACCGAGTCTCACCCTCAATCCACAAGCTCATAGTTGGGGCCACTGGAATTCAGTGCTTGACTTAGGGAAAAAATATTGTGAAGACTATGAAGTGTAGCTTCATCAGTTCCCACCTCCTCTTTTACAAGAAATGACCTCAACAACTAACTCATCAGATAAAGTTAACAATTTAACTGTACCACCCACCCTTCTGCAACTTAAGGAGTGTCTTTTTGAAAAAATAAGATGCTTTCACCCAAAGGAATGCACGAATGGAAGCATTTCTAATAGTAGGGCTTCTTTATAAAGAATCAGGATTTCGCTCCTTTGCATTTGCTCACCCTGGCTGCTTGCTTTGTTCGCAGTTAAATGCTTGGTGCCTCAGGATCAGACTCAACTTTTGAATGCCTTTTCTAGCTCTTCCCCCATGCTCTGCCAACAGGCTGGATGCCTGTCTATCCCATCTCATCTTCTATGGCTGTTCTAGAAAATGCATTTCTTTGTTTATAAGAGCTTATTTTACATCAGTGAGTGAAATCACATCGAAGCCTCTCTAAAAGGGCAACCTTCCAGGATTGAGAAAGGATGCGCTGTGCACAGTGCTGGGTGGTGCTTTCTTTAGAAGAGGACAAATCAGCAGGGGCAGGACCAGGGAGAAGCAGGGGAGGTATCCACACCTAGGGTGCAAAATTTAAGGAGGCACTGACTCTCAGTGCCAACTCTACACTTGCGCAACCCTGAAAGTGAGCGCCTCCTTAAATATGGGCCAAGGCCCATCACTCCCCTCACCCTGTGGCTTCACTATCTTTTCTTCTTCTTGCCCCTTTTATCTGTTCTGTTCTTGTAAAATTGGCTTTCCAGGTCATCTAGTTGTAGACCTAGTGGGTCTACACCCTGATACAAATCATTTTAAAAGCGCTAGATGGCAACTGTGGGAGACTCTTTTGACAAATAAAGTGAGCTTCATTGTTTGACTAGAAGACTGGAATTTTTACTTACATGCATTCTTCCTAAAAACTTGACGAAAAGTTGACTGATTTTTATCAATTTTTTCATCCTTCAAAATCACTTCAGAGAGGTTTTTGTTCATTTTCCACATGGCTATATGTGTCACCACCTTGAAATAAAATGACAGATAAAAAGATGTCCAGTAGTCACAGGGCTGTGATGGCCTAGGAGGTCCTGGTCAGTCTGGTGCTGTTCGTCTGCTGCTGCTTGGAGGTGGAGGTGGAGCGAGAGGAAGCCATGTCAATCCACGTGGGCAGGGCAGCAAGTGTCATCCAGGCTCTGTGTTCACACAGTCTTCAAAGCTGGGGAAGTTCACTGGAGGTGAAGAGGGACTATTCTTAGTGCCTAGCAAAATCTCTGGGGCTTCTCCCATGAGTGCCAGCTATTCTGTTTTCAAACACAGATCCAGTCCTTCTGGCCTACTGTGTGCCCAGGAGGCTGGCCTCTCTGTGCGGCAACTTTCCACTCTTGGCCATGACATCAGGTTGGGTTCAGCCAATGGGAGGTCAGAGCATGGGATGAGAAAAAGATAAGGCTGTTTCTCCCACTGCTCCTTGTTTCAGTTATACTCTGACTATGGTTACCTCCTTCTTCAGTGACAGCCCCTGCCGGGTGGTCCCTCCAGGACTCCAGCCCTCCTGGGCGCTGATCAAATGGTTTTTTCTCCTCGCTGCTTCAGACCTCCAGGTGGTAACAGCTTCCTGTTGATGCTAGTTCCTTGAGGATCTTACTATGCCTGGTTAATTCCCTTTATTCTGCCTACATTTCTGTAAGTAGTCACTTTTGGGTTAAACTATTTTGAGTAGAATTCCCTTTCTTGCTGGAAGCCCAACTGAAATAGAAGATGACATGTATTTTTTAATAGCTATATAGAATAAATTGTCTTAATTTCCCACTAAAGAAAAAAGAAAGCAAAGCACTAATCTGAGTTCACCTTACAAAATGTATGAATTCACTGAAGAAAGTAAATGTAAATCTAGGAAAGGAGCTCTATTAGTCACAAGTCTCCAGAGAAACAGAACCAATAGGTTGTATATGTGTGTGTATATACACGCATACACACACAGCACACACACACACAGACACACACATACATGCACACACAACACACACTCACAGAAACACACACAACACACACACCACACACACACAGACACACACAGACACAATACACACACACAACACACACACAACACACACACAGAAACACACACGCGCATACACGCACACACACAACACACAGAAACACACACAACACACGGACACATACACCACACACACACAGAAACTCACACAGACACACACACACACGCAGAAACACAGACACACACACTCACAGAAACACAGATACACACACACAGACACACAAACACATACGTACACACACAACACACACACAGACACACCTCACAACACACACACAGAAACAGACACACACATATGCGCACACACAACACACACATTCACAGAAACACACACACAAAGAAACAAAGACAGACACAGACACACACACACATACAGCAAGCCAGAGAGAGAAATTTATTATAAGGAATTGGCTCGCATAATTATGGAAGCTGACAAGCCCACCATCTGTAGTGTGGGCAGCAGCACTGGAGACCCAGGAGAGCTGGGGTGCACATAAAGTCCAAAGGCAGCCTGCTGGAGAAGTCCCTCTCTCTGGGAGATGCAGGTCTTATTGTTCTATTCAGGACTGTAGCTGAATGAATGAGGCCCATCCCCTCTATAGGGGGCAATCTGCTGGACCTAAAGTTCACTGAATTAAATAATAATCTCATTCAAAAGTACTTTCTAAGTCGACACATAAAATTAACCATCTCCAGAACCTAGATAATTCAATAACTATACAGAGATCCTCAATGATCCAGGGTAATTGGATTGATAAAGAACTATTTTTAGTGTTGTTACGCTACATAGCATCTTAAATTTAGCTAGCAGTTTCCTCTGCTTTTGATCACATGGGGACACATTTTCTTTCTTGATCATTTCATTTGCCAAGACCTGTGTAAAAGAAGTGTTTTCTTGTTCATCTGAGTACAAGGAAACCCAAACATAAAACACCAAAAAAATAGATTTACTGTTTTATATTTGTACCCCTTGAATAGCTCAAGCCAAGAGCCTCTTGACGTTTATGAGTGCCTGGCTCTGGAGTTAAGCGTCATTGTCCTTGCACACGCAGTAGACAACACAGGGCATGTGGCACGTGTGAGTGTCAGTGCCCAGCCCCTGCAAGGCTCCATTCAGTGAGGTTTGGGGCAGGTGAAATGTGCTCTCTCAAGCTCACTAACCATCAGGACAAACATGTATTTTATACTCTAAGTTTATTGTCCGGATGAGGCCCAATGCTTTTAATCTTTGTAATTAAAGAGGCAAGAATGTGTTTTTAATCTTCTGAGTCAAATTTTCTTTTATTTCTTAGGCAGAAAATGACAATTCCCCAAAATCTGCATAGACAAAGAAACTAATCACTCATGTAGAAAACTACATTATGGGACTCTAGGGGCTGTGCAAGGGGTTGGTGGGTGATGGGAAACTTCATTTAAGAGAGAGAAAATGGTTCTCAATTTTAAAAGAAGATCTACATATGAATAGAAATCTCTTCCCTAATGTTTTTTTTCCACAGTGGCTTCCTTTGTTTTTATAGGATTCCGAATACAGTGTGAGGCGTCCTATTATTTTCCATAGCCAAAGCATTGCTGTTATGAGTGGCAAAGCATTTCTTCCACTGAAATGGAATTGATGTTGGCATACTATTTTCTATTAAGAAAATGTTTATTATGTTTATGTTTATTATGCCAGCTCTTTTATACCCATAGGAAGAGAGGCAGGAATATTTAACAGTTACTCTCTGGGGCTCCAAGGCCACAGAGGGGGTTTCATGGGGTAGGGCAGGCAGTGTCGTGATGTTCCCCCTTCTCTCCAGTGGGGCAACTAACTGTTTGTGAAAACACTAATGGATAACACAAATAGCAATGCCCTGATGTGTTACCAACTTGAAAGGGACTGAGATATAGACCCCTTCACGTTGACAAGGCCTGAACTTCCCATGCCAATTCATCCCTGGACTGAAAACCAGAGAAAACGACACTGCTGAGATCAGTGAAATGTCCAGTGACTTTTCCCCAGGGCAGAAGGCCTGCTTGCCTCACAGTTGTATAACAAAAAAGAGGTTGCATCACAAAAGATATACTACAGGCTGGGCGCAGTCACTCATGCCTATAATCCCAGCACTTTGGGAGGCCGAGGCAGGCTGATCATTTGAGGTCAGGAGTTCGAGACCAGCCTGGTCAACATGGTGAAACCCCGTCTCTATAAAAATACAAAAAATTAGCCGGGTGTGGTGGCACACTCCTACAATCCCAGCTGCTTGGGAGGCTGAGGCAGGAGAATCGCTTGAACCTGGGAGAAGGAGGTTGCAGTGAGCTGAGATTGTGCCATCGCACTCCAGCCTGGGTGACAGAGCGAAGCTCTGTCTCAAAAAAATAAAAATAAAAAAAGATATGTTCCAAATATAAAACGCCACAGCCGCTGTAGAAAACAGTGTGGCACTTCCTCAAAAAAAATTAAACATAGAATTATCTATGATCCAGCCATTCCACTTCTAGGTATATACACAAAGGAATTGAAAGCAGGGTCTCGAAGAGATACTTGTACACCCACGTTCCCAGCAGCATTATATTCACAACAGCCAAGAGGCAGAAGCAACCCAAGTGTCCATCAGTGGATTAATGGATACACAGAATTCGGCATATACTCGCTATGCAATCATTATTCCTGCCTTAAAGAGAAGGGAATTTTGATACATGTTGCAACATGGATGAACCTTGAGGACATTATGCTATGTGAAATAAATGAGATGCAAAAGGGTAAATATTATATAATTCTATTACATGAAGTACCTAGAGTAGTCAAATTCATAGAGACAGAAAATAGAATGGTGGTTACCAGGGCCTGGGAGCAGAGGATAGGAAATGGAGCATTAGCATTTAATGAGTACAGAGTTTTGGTTTGGAATGATGAAAAGTTCTGGAAATGGATGGTGGTGATGGTGGCACAACATGATGAATGCACTTAATGCCACTAAATTGTGCATTCAAAAATGGTTTAAATGCTAACTTTTATTTTATGTCTATTTTAGCAGGATTAAAAAAAAAGATATGCTCCAACGGAACCCCCATTCCTGCCCGTACAGAGAAGCTGCTAGCTCTATTACCCCCCAAAAGTTAAAAATCTAAAAATTTTGAAACTGGTCTCCGTTAGGGCCCCACATTGAGGGACTATGTTTCACATAGGCATACTAGAGTTATCTGTAAAATAATTGGATTATATCCATTCTAATCCATAAGGTGATTTTAATCATCCTCAATGAATTCTATTGTTGTCCCCGTGAAATCTCAAGCAGAGACTCTCCCAGCATGGTTAGGGGAAGAGATGAGGACAGGTCAATCCTGATGACTGTCGCACTCAAGACTCTGGACTCAAGTTTGACAGTCCAGAGTTGTGCCCTCTAGAGAAAGATGCCCTGGACACATTTACCTCTGTCCATGAGTACTATACATTTCAACAGTAACTAGCCCCAAAGGAAAGCACTAGAGATTGACACTAAAATTTTAAAAGTTAACACAACATGATAGCACAGCTGCCTTACATAGTCTTATTTTGTAAGCACCGTAGTTGCATTAAAAATCTTGGCAAGATTCAGGAATAATATTCTTGTGTTTGGGTCCACTGGCACCAGAGACAATAGCCATGTGCATGCATGCATGCTTCAACAGATACAAAGAAAAGATTTGGTTGGTCTCTAGGTGGCCTGTTTATACAACGATGCAAGCACCAGAAGCCAAGAAATAATTGTCCTTGTATTCCAAAAACTATCATAATTAGCCATAGCAAATTCGAGAACCACATCTTTCAGTTGTGTCCAATTCAGCCGCCTGCTTACAGATACACCTTATCAATTCCCTAAGACAAACTTTCCTGCTATCTGAAGGCAGGATCCTTAACACAAGAAACTACTGGTTAAGAATCCTCTATTAATAGCATAATATTATGAAAAATGCTATGTAGTGGATGGAAAAGAAAACCCAAGTCAGACAAAATGCAAGTTAGCTTTTATCAACAGTTTATGGATGGAATCCAATAAATCACTGACTGAGATTTTTATTTTCCATTTCACCTGAAGTCAGGAGTTCGAGACCAGCCTGGCCAACATGGTGAAACCCTATCTCTACTAAAAATAGAAAAATTAGCTGGGCGTGGTGGCAGTGACTGTAATCCCAGCTACTCGGAAGGCTGAGGCAGAAGAATTGCTTGAACCCGGGAGGTGGAGGTTGCAGTGAGCCAAGATCGTGCCACTGCACTCCATCCTGGGCAATAGAGTAAGACTCTGGCTCAAAAAAAAAAAAAATCAAAACAAAACTTTTTCATATCCTGATTTCTTTTAGGCTTAATTAAATTTATTTCTGGTCCCTAGAATGTGACTATGCCTTTAGGTGAGCTATTCAATCAACTTCTTTTTCACTCATGCATAATTTGATCTGATTTAAAATTGATTGTCATCTAATTAATCAGACCTAGATAGTGATTCGAGTTCATTCATAAACCAACGCTGCTGAGTTCACCTATTTGGATTCCATATATCCAGGGATTACTCAAATGGCTTGAGTATGATAATTTAATTTGCTGATGCTAAGACTAGAAAATTGTTCCCAGTAAGCTGAAGTCAGGGTTTGTTTTGTTTTATTTTGTTTTTCTCATAGCTCCCTTATGAATTATTTTTTCCAATTTCCCAGTCAAAAGGCTGAACCCACTTATTACAGTGAATGTCTAAACCAGGCGTGTCCAATCTTTTGGCATCCCTGGGCCACACTGGAAGAAGAATTTTGTTGGGCCCCACATAAAATACACTAACACTAATGATAGCAGATGAGCTAAAAAAAAATCATAAGAAAATCTCATAATGCTGGCTGGGCGTGGTGACTCATACCTGTAATCCCAGCACTTTGGAAGGCCGAGGCAGGTGGATCACCTGAGGTCAGGAGTTCAAGACTAGCCTGGCTAACAGGGCAAAACCCCATCTCTACTAAAAATACAAAAATTAGCTGGGCGTGGTGGTGTGTGCCTGTAATCCCAGCTACTTGGGAGGCTGAGGCAAGAGAATCGCCTGAACCCAGTAGGCGGAGGTTGCAGTGAGCCGAGACCATGCCACTGCACTCCAGCCTAGGTGACAGAATGAGACTCTGTCTCAAAAAAAAAAAAAAAAGACTCATAATGTTTTAAGACAGTTATGAATTTGTGTTGGGCCGCATTAGAAGCCATCCTGGGCTGCATGCAACTCACGGGGCATGGATTGGATGAGCTTGGTCTAGACCATCATAATAGCAGCCAGCACTGAGCCCCTAGGAGTGCCACCCTGTCAATTCTGAATTTCTCAAACAATTATTACCTAAAACCAAAATATGTTATTGTCATTCATGTTAATGGTTTAAAATCCCATTTGGGAAGTTATGCCTTAATGCCATGTTCTGGTTTGCTATCTATGTTTTCTTTGACTTTTTATGTTATCATTTGGTCAAGAATTCTGTTTGGAGAATTTGAGCTACAGAATGCAGTATTTCAAAGTAACTTCTACACACCTGATTACTTTACATCAAAAATGGATATTGGTTACTTTCTGGGCACCGGGCACTGCATGAGGCTGTGAGGATTTATGGAGAGCAAAAGCCAACATGGTCCTCAGACCTGTGAGAGACACTGCCCTCAGGCCAAGGGGAAAAGATATGCTTAGGGATTAATTCTTTGAAAGGTGATAAACAAGGCCCTTTCCCTTTTTACAATTTTCGTAAAGTTGTAGAAGATATATCATTTCCTTCATTCATGATCCTATATAATTAAAATATCCTAATGAGTGCTGGGGAAATGACAACTGAATTCTCCAAGTTGTATTTTTCTTCCAAGAATCAATAACCCCTCATTTCTTTCACTCCACATATTCCAGTCTCTCATTCCATATTCTGGAATTCCTATCAGAAGAATCAGCATTTTTTGTTCCATAATTTGGAATATCAAAACCTCCCTTGAATAAGATTTATGTGTAGAAATATACAGCAAGGCATGTGTGTGTACCTTTATTATAACTTCAAGTTATAATAAAGACACCATTCTTGTCATCCTCAGGTTGGCCCAACCTGTAGGGACTGAGCCTGGCCCACTGCCCTGACTCATACAGGCCAATGATTTGGGACTCCTGATGGGTCCTCCTGAGCAGCCAAATCTTCTATCACCTTGAACACATTTGGTGGAGTAAAATATTGCCCAAGTTTTATGATCACAGTGTGTGCAGAATGAAAATGATAGAAAGAAAGAGAAAGGAGGGAGGGAGGAAGGAAAGAGGGGAGTCACAAAGTGGCTGAGGCCAAAAAGAGAAACCTAAGCAGAAGTAGGTAGACCAGAAGTTCAAAAAGTGTGACTGCAGGAAAGGTGAAGAATTACTGCCGCCAGAAGATGCTGGAAGCTTTTGTCCTTCTCCACCACCTCATCCTACTGAAGTTCACAATCACAGGGTCACTAGCAATCTTTTCCTAGCAACGGTTTCCTACTGGCCATGAAGTCATTCATCAGACACCTGTTAAATACCTTCTAGGCCCAGGTGTGGTGTCAAGTAGTTTGATCCTTATTCCTTAATCCCCACAACAGCCCTACGGGGTAGGCGGGAACCATGTAGCCCTGTGCTTCACACAGAGGAAATACTTGACAAATAATTGTTGGAACACTGTATGTTCTCACTTATAAGTGGGAGCCAAGCTCTGGGTATGCAAAGGCATACAGGTTAGTATAGTGGACATTGGAGACTCAGAGCAGGGAGGGATAAAAAGCTACATATCGGGTACAATATACACTACTCCTGTGATGGGTACACTAAACTTTCAGACTTTCACTACTATACAGTTCATCCATGTAATTAAAAACCACTTGTACCCCTAAAGCTACTGAAATAAAAAAAAGTATTAAACAAATGTTTGTTGAATAAGTAGTTTCAATCAAATAGAAAACATGCTGTGATAGGGTACACTGGGGATTCCATGGGAGCTACTAAGAGGAGTATCGGAGCACTCCTTTCGGAGGGCACAAATTATTTTACCTCTCTTTTCCCAGTGTCTCGCACAGAGGGCAGCAGCCAGTGTTTGTTGAATGAATGAGTGAGTGTTTGGATAAATTAAAACTAAGAAAAGCTACCCATAGATAGGCAAATCAGATTCTGTTTCAAATCTTTATTTGGGAGTTTATAATTACAAAAATTCTTTCTTTAAGGCAGATTTCAACTCTGATTATATTGCCATTGCTGTGCCTGAATAAAACATCACAAATCCGTTCTTCTTAAAAACAAATTTGAACCTAATCTGTTAAACAGAACCAGCTTTCAGCAGATTTTTTGTCTTCTCCCCTGCTGCTCTATATCCTGTGTCCACAAACAATGGATGAAAAGGGAAAAAACTCAGTTTAAAATATTTTCCTTGCACAGAAGAAAAAAAGCCAAAAAGGAAGCTTAATGTTTTTTGCCCGACTCATTCTGGGGACAGTTGATGGAATTGGCTATTTTTGCATTTATATACTCACAGCCTTATGTTTCTTGATAGTTTTTATCTCCCTCCCATCAGAATCATCACAAAGTTCTTTACCAATTATACAGCAAAGAAATTATATCATTATATAATGCCACAGATTGTGACAATTCAATGTTAAATAGCAGCCTAACATACTGAAAAGTATAACAGGAAGGAAAAACATTAACAAATGAGCTCATCTAGCTTATTATAGGAAGCAGGGCTTCAAAGTTCCCATTCTGCAGCAACAGCAGCAGCAAACATCAGCTAAGAGGGATGGGTGGATCGAGCACACGCGTAGCAAACAAGAACCTTGAAAGCGGCAGGCTGTGGGCAAACTGAAGTTTCATTTTCTATGTAGCTGACTCAGTCCAGCATGGACTTAGCTTTCCCCTCAAAAGTCCTCTGAGGTCATCAGACTCTGTTAATTTTCTCCTAGTATTCCATTAAAGAATTAGAGGCAGGCAAGGAGTCAAATTTGTAGAATTCGTTATGAAACCGTTGTCTGCTGATGGTGATGGTGCGGGCCTTCCTTGCTCACTGTTCACATGGTTTCTGGCATTTGAAAGCAGGGAAATGTGCTCATCAGAGTGGAATTTTTTTATTTCCATACATGGCTGATTTGCAAGGGGAAGGGGGAACCCATTCTATTACAGAGGTATATTCTGCAAAATACATCTGATGTGTTTCGCAGACACTTTTTACTCTTTAATGTTTGGTGGTCTTTGATTCGCTACCTGAATTCCATCAGCTTCTAACACAGAGTTTGGTCTCTTCTGTGACACTGGCTGCACATGGTTGGATGAAATAGTTAAAGAGACCATATCTAGAAGGAAGATAGCCAAAGCTTCTAAGCACAGTAAGCCAGATTCCCTGCAATAAGCCAGATTTGGGGCCAGATATTTTCCATCCAAAACCATGAAGCAGGTATTCCTGCTCCATTTTATGGGAGAAAACAAAAAACAAAAAACCTCTGAGACTTAGACTAAGTCAACATTTCACAAACTATGGTTCGTAGAGTTCATGAATCCAAATCACCTGGAAAACTTGTAAAATGCAGTTCTCTGGGCCTCACCATAAAACAACTCAATCAGAATATCTAGGGTGGGGCCCTGGAATATGATTTTAGCAAGTCCAAGTGGTTCTCACGTACCAAGGTCTTATTGGATGAGCAGTGTACCCAGGGTCACCCTGCTAGGAAAGGGTGGAGACAGGATTCCCACTTAGGTCCGTGGACTCCAAAGCCTGTATTTTTGCTGTTTCTGAGCTCCCTTCTAACATTCTAACATGTTATGAATATAACCAACTTAAAATATCATAGTAATAATAACAATAGTTTTTTATTGAATACTTAGTGTGGCAGGCCAAAGAATACTTAACACACACTATCCCAGTGATCCTCTCAACACCCTACTGGGGTCAGAATTATTACTGTATTATTATCTATTTTGCATATGTGGAAACTTAAGTTGGAGAAGTTATTTTAATCCTTAACCATCTGTAGCAAAGGTAGTGTTAAGAATTACTTTCAGGAGGCTGTTCGATTTAGTCAAAACAAAGGATTTCTATGCAAATGAAGCTTTAAGATAAATGCCTTTGTTCTCCCTCCCACATAGACAGCCCCTCCTAAACCCATCCAGTGTGGAAATTCTGGAGACTGCACTGGTCTTACTGGAAAGCCTAAGTTCTTAACCATTATTCAGTCCTGCTTCACACATTGAACACCCATTTCTTTTTAGCATAATTATTTCATTTCATTTCAATTCCATCAAATGCTTGTGGAGCATCCAATTTATAATAGGCATGTGCTGAGCCTGTAGGAGATGGGAAGGCCAATTAGACAGAACTTTGCGCTCCTAAACCTCACCACCTAAGGAGATAGGGAAATAGAGACCATAAGTAGTGTAATCAAGATCACAAAACACAAGAAAAGAACAAAGAGGGAATGGCTCATTGTAACTAGGAGAACAGGAGCTCACACGCCTAGCCACTACATCTACCTGTCAACAAATGACCATGAGATCAATGGAGGAAGGAAAAAGGAGAAAAATGTACTTTCTGAATAACAACCTGCAGATTGGGGAAACGTAGCTTCCAGGGAAATAAAAAACACGTCTCCAAAGAGAAGAAAACAGTGGCATTTAAGCCTTCCAGGGTCTGCCTTACATGCATATTTATCAGGTTTGGGAAATGCCTATGAATATTTATGGAGAAAGTAAAGCATGCACAGTGAGTTCACATATATGTATCATATATTTCATGTTCACTTTGGGTCAGGCTTTTAACATTAAAATGAGGAGGAATTCTGCTCATTTATGTCAGAAGGTGAACTACAGCATGCAGAGACCCTTTGTGTGCAGTCTGTAAGCTGGCTGGAACCAGCTTATGGTCTATAGCTGCTTATCAGGAAAGAATGTTTGTAAGAGCATTCTCCTGCCCAATCGGTGCTGCTGGCAGGACCCCTAAGTTAAGGGTGTCAGTTAGGCAATGTTTTCCTAGAAGGGGTTTCTGCCTAACTGTAGGGGCCAGGCGCAGTGGCTCATGCCTGTAATCCTAGCACTTTCGGAGGCTGAGGTGGGCAGATCACTTGAGGCCAGGAGTTCGAGACCAGCCTGGCCAACATGGCCAATATTGTTATATTAATAAATACATATACATACATATTTCATGCTTTATATCAATAGATGAAGAAAAAGCACTTGAAAAAATCCAATATCCACTCATGATTAAAACTCTAAGCAAACTAGGAATAGGGGGGAACTCTCTCAACCTGATTAAGGGCATTTACAAAAAAACCTGCAGCCAACCTCATACTCAATTATGAGAAACTAGTGCTAAAATCAGAAGCAAGGCAAGAATGTCTCTTCTTATCATTCCTTTTCAACACCATGTTAAGCAAATAAAAGGTATACTGCTTGTAAAGGAAGAAATAAAACTATCTTTGTTCACAGATGACATGATTATCTATGTAGAAAATCTGAAATAATTTTAAATAATAAACACTTATAGCAAGGTTGCAGGATACAAGGTTATTATACAAGTCAATTGCTTTCCTACAAAGTGGAAATTGAAATTAAAATACAATAAAATAGTAGAATTTGATAGTTAAAGTGCAATACCATTTACATTAGCACCCACCAAAATAAAATATATACTAAAATAGGTATAAATCTAAATATGTTCAAGATCTATATGAGAAAACTTACAAAATGCTAATGAAAGAAATCAAACAACAACTAAATAAATGGAGAAATATTCCATATTGATGCATAAGAAGGCACCATATCGTCAAGATGGCAGTATTTTCCCCAACTTGATCTATAGATTCAATGTAATACCAATCAATATCCCAGCAAGTTATTTTATGGATATTGACAAATTAATTCTAAAGTTCATGTGGAAAAGAAAAAGACCCAGAATAGCCAACACAATATTAAAAGAGTAGAACAGGCCGGGCGCAGTGGCTCACGCCTGTAATCCCAGCACTTTGGGAGGCGGAGGCGGGCAGATCATGAGGTCAGGAGATCGAGACCATCCTGACTAACACGGTGAAACCCGTCTCTGCTAAAAATACAAAAAAATTAGCCGGGCGTGGTGGCGGGCGCCTGTAGTCCCAGCTACGCGGGAAGCTGAGGCAGGAGAATGGCGTGAACCCAGGAGGCGGAGCTTGCAGTGAGCCGAGATCGCGCCACTGCACTCCAGCCTGGGTGACAGAGTGAGACTCCGTCCCCCCAAAAAAAAAAAAAAAAAAAAATTAAAGAGTAGAACAAATTCAGAGGACTGACACTACCTGACTTTAGTACTTTCTGTAAAGTAATCAAGACAGTAATCAAGACAGTGAGGTGTTGGCAAAAGAATAGACAAATATATTAATTGAAAAGAATAGAGATCCCAGAATTATACCTACACAAAGAGGGTTAACTGATCTTTGACAAAGGAGTAAAGGCCATGCAATGGAGTAAACATAGTCTTTTCAAGTAATGGTACTGGAATGACTGGACATCCACATGCAAAAAATAAATCTAGACACACACCTTACTTACACTCTTCACAATGATTAACTCAAAATGGATCACAGACATAAATGTAAAATTTAAAACTATAAAACTTCTGAAGATAACATAGGAGAAAATTTAGATGGCTTCGAATATGGCAGTAACTCTTCAGATACAACACCAAAGTTATGTTCTATGAAAGAAATAATAAATGATCTGGACTTCATTAAAATTAAAATCTTCTGTCCTGTGAAAGACACTGTCAAAAGAATGAGAAGACAAGTGATAGAATAAGAGAAAATATTTGCAAAAGGCATATATGATAAAGAACCATTATCCAAAATATAAGAACTCTTAAAATTCTGACAATAAGAAAACAATCTAATTTAAAAATGGACAAAAGATCTGAACAGACACCTCACTAAAGCTGTACAGATGGCAAATAAGCATATGAAAAGATGCTCAACATCTTATGCCATTAGGGAATTGCAAATTAAAACAACAAGATACACTACACAACTGTTAAAATGGTGAAAATCAAAACCACTGACAACAACAAATGCTGGTGAGGACGTGGGACAACAACAACTCTCATTCATTGTTGGTGGCACTGCAAAATGGTACAGCCACTTCAGAACACAGTTGGGCAGTTGCTTACTGCAAAATATACTCAACACATGATCAAGCAATTGTGCTTAGTGGTGTTTTTCCAAATGAGTTCAAAACTTATGTCCGCACAAAAACCTGCTCATGGAATACCATGTGATCCAGCAATTTCACTTGTGGGTAAATACACCCAAAGGATTGAAAGCAGAGTCACTTGTCAAGGAATAAGTCATGCTAGGAGAAGAAGAAGAAGAAGAAGGAGAAGGAGAAGGGGAAGGGGAAGGGGAAAGGGAAGGGGAAGGGGAAGAGAAGGAGGAGGAGGAGGAAGAGGACGAAGAGGAGGAAGAGGAAGAGGAAAAATATTTGTGCACACTCGTGTTCATAGCAACATTCCCAATAGCTAAAATGTGGAAGTAATACAAGTGTCTATCCACAAATTAATAGATAAACAAAAAGTGGTGGATACACACAATGAAATATTATCCAGCTTTTAAAAGGCAGGAAATTTTGATACATGCTACAACATGAAAAACCTTGAGGACATTATGCTAAGGGAAATAAGCCAGTCAGAAAACAACAAATACTATATGATTCTTTATATGAGGTATGTAGAGTGGTCAAAATCACAGAGACAGAAAGAATGGTAGTTTCCAGGGACTGGAAGGAGTAGGGAATGGGGAGTTATTGTTTAATAGATACAGAGTTTCAGTTTTACAAAATGAAAACAGTTCTGGAGACTGATGGCAGTGATCATTGTACAACAAGAATATACTTAATACCACTGAACTGTATACTTAAAAATGGTTAAAATGGTAAATTTTATGTTATGTGCATTTTGCCACAATAAGAAAATTTTAACCTTTATGTGGATATTTATAGCAGCTTTATTCATAATTTTCTTGGAAGGCAACCAGCATGTCTTTCAATCAGTGAATGGACACATAAGCTGTGATCCATCCAGACAATGGGATATTATTCAGTACTAAAAAGAAATGAACTATCAAGCCAAGAAAAGACATGGAGAAATCTTAAATATAATACATATTACTAAATGAAAGAAGCCAGTCTGAAAAGGCTACATATTCCAACTATATGACATTCTGGGAAAGGCAAAACTATGGATACAGTAAAAAAAATAAAAATAAAAAAATCGTCAGTTTCCAGGGATTAACGGGGAGTGGCGGATGAATAGGTAAAGCACAGAGGATCTAGAAGGCAGGGAAATTACGGTGTATGATACTATAATGGTGAATATATGTCATTATATATTTGTCAAAAAACCATAAAATGGCCGGGCACAGTGCCTCACACCTGTTATCCTCAGCAGGAGGATTGCTTAATGCCAGGAGGTCAAGGCCAGCCTGGGCAACACGGTAAGACCCTATCTCTACAAAACATTTTTTTTAATATACTTTAAGTTTTAGGGTACATGTGCACAATGTGCAGGTTAGTTACATATGTATACATGTGACATGCTGGTGCGCTGCACCCACTAACTCGTCATCTAGCCTTAGGTATATCTCCCAGTGCTATCCCTCCCCCCTCCCCCGACCCCACAACAGTCCCCAGAGTGTGATGTTCCCCTTCCTGTGTCCATGTGTTCTCATTGTTCAATTCCCACCTATGAGTGAGAATATGCGGTGTTTGGTTTTTTGTTCTTGTGATAGTTTACTGAGAATGATGATTTCCAATTTCATCCATGTCCCTATAAAGGACATGAACTCATCATTTTTTATGGCTGCATAGTATTCCATGGTGTATATGTGCCACATTTTCTTAATCCAGTCTATCATTGTTGGACATTCAGGCTGGTTCCAAGTCTTTGCTATTGTGAATAGTGCCGCAATAAACATACGTGCGCATGTGTCTTTATAGCAGCATGTTTTATAGTCCTTTGGGTATATACCCAGTAATGGGATGGCTGGGTCAAATGGTATTTCTAGTTCTAGCTCCCTGAGGAATCGCCACACTGACTTCCACAATGGTTGAACTAGTTTACACTCCCACCAACAGTGTAAAAGTGTTCCTATTTCTCCACATCCTCTCCAGCACCTGTTGTTTCCTGACTTTTTAATGATTGCCATTCTAACTGGTGTGAGATGATATCTCATTGTGGTTATGATTTGCATTTCTCTGATGGCCAGTGATGGTGAGCATTTTTTCCTGTGTTTTTTGGCTGCATAAATGTCTTCTTTTGAGAAGTGTCTGTTCATGTCATTTGCCCACTTTTTGATGGGGTTGTTTGTTTTTTTCTTGTAAATTTGTTTGAGTTCATTGTAGATTCGGGATATTAGCCCTTTGTCAGATGAGAAGGTTGAGAAAATTTTCTCCCATTTTGTGGGTTGCCTGTTCATTTTTTAAACATTTTCCAGGCATGGTGGTGCATGCCTGCAGTCCTGCCTACTCTGAGGAGGCTGAGAGAGGAAGAGCTCTTCAACCCAGGAGTTTGAGGTTACAGTGAGCTACGATCATACCACTGCACTCCAGCCTAGGCAACAAAGACCCTGTCTCAAAAAAAAAAAAAACAAAAAAAAAAAAAACGTAAAATGTACAACAAGAGTGGATCCAAATGTAAACTATGGACTTTGGGTGATGATGTGCCAATGTAGGTTCATCAGTTGGGATGAATGTACCACTCTGGTGGGGGATGTTGATAACATGGAGGCTGTGCAGGTATGGGGCAGGTGTGCAGGTACATGAGAAATCTCTACACCTTCCTCTCAATTTTGCTGTGAACATAAAACTGCTCCAAAAATAAAACATAAATGAACAATAGAGTAAATGCTATACCTAGAAAGTTAAGAACTATTTTGTCCTCGTTCTCTTGAATCTATTTGTAGCAATTCACTACATTGCCCACCCATTCCTGCTTGAAACTCTCCTGCCTTGGTTTTTTGTAACATGCTACTCCAATTCTCTGCCTCGCTCTTTTCATGTGCCTTCTTTGTCTTTGTTCCTTGTTTTGAGACTTGCTGTAGGCACACCCCTCAAAAGTTCCTAAGCATGTCTCTCTACACACTAACTCCCTCAGGGAACACATCAGCTCTCAATTTCCAGTTACAATGGCTGCTGTGTTTGACGACTCCCAAGTTAACCACTCAGCTCTGAAGTGTCACCAGAACCCACCACCAAATGCCTGCCAGATGTTCCTCATGGAATACCTCCTGTCATCTTGAACCTGCCACATCTCAAGTTCATTGCTTTATTTTCAAAGCCAGCATCTATTCCTGCCAAGAAACACATTTCCCTCTCTGTCTCCTAGGCTTACAGCCATCTTTGATTCCTCCTTCTTTCCTGATCTCCATATGCCATCAGCCACCAAGTTCTGTGGACTCTTCCATCTGTTTCCTAGTTTGCAACCCCACAGTCACCACTAGAAAACAGGCCCTCTCTGTCTTCTGTCAGGCATTTTGCAGGCACCTCCCAATTTCTAGTCTCTCCTCTCTTCATCCATGCTTTAATCTGCAATGAGATCTGTCTTCTGAGGTATCTTTTTGTGCAGTTTCCCTCTGCAACTGGAAGCCTATTTTGGATTCCTGTGTTGAGCTGAGTTGCCCACAGTGGTCTCTTCCCACCATGGAATCCCTCAAAATCCATCACTTAGACCTCTCATTTGGCATCTACCACATCCTGCCTTATATTTGCAGTTATCTTCTTATCTGTGTCTGCACTCCCTTAACTAGATTTTAATGGCAGAATGAGTGTTTCTGGGCTGAAAATGCCCACAAATAGAGTAAGACCCTAACCAGCAACACTCCAGGGGACCTGGCAACTCTTTTGCTTCCCAGTGACTGTAAAAAGCTGTTCACAGAGCACTCTCACACGCATTCACAAGGAGGAATCAAATGTGAGGTCACAAAAGACTCATCTGTCCAGAGGAGGCCATTGGCCATATCAACTATTGTCTCTGTCATCAATTGCTGCTCATTTATTTCTTCACATCCCACACAGCCCTGTTTCGATTTCTTAACGCATTACTCTCTCCACACCCAGATGTCTGTTCCATCCTGGCACAGCTAACGAGTGTACACCTGACAGCCTGCATTTGATTTTTTTGCTAAGTCTCTGTCTCCTCCCATGTGCTGTTGCTGTGCCACTCCTGCCATCAGCCTTGTGTTCATGTAATTCTGTTCCATTGGTATCCACTTTCCTTACCCCTAAACATCTGCGCTATAGGTTGTGAACTTTTACTACGTTTTAAAATAAACAGATGTACATCCCCAAGCAAAAAGCTGTTCACTCGTTCTAAAGAAAGACTTCCTTTCCCTGGGCAGATAACTTCAGCATATAGAGGAAATATTTCTAATCTAAATTCCAATTTAAAGACCTTGTCTCCCAAGCAGTTATCCCTCTCCCCGAGGTGCTGGTCTCCTGGATAGCTTTCACTTTGTGAGCCCATGTATCTGTATGTATGTCCTCATCATCTCAACTGATAAACGCTTGTTCTCTGAGGACAGATCAAGGTGAGAAATCTCATCTTCACCTCACTGCACATTCCAGTTATCCAGCTCCGCTCTTCCCCAGATTGGGAAGCCATCCAGAATGCAGACATCACATTCCATCACAGAGCAGCCCAGGAGACCTCCCCTCCTGCACTCTCCTGGATTCAGCTATAACATGGGTCATCCCGACACTTGAGTGGAGTTGGTCCATCTCTATCAGGCAGGGAAATCCCTGATAGAATTTCACATCTTATTGGGCTGCTAGCCATACTCAATTTTACACACTTCAATTTTAGACATCTGGAAACCCCGAAGTAATGCGATCTTCTGTCACAGAAAGAAGGAAAATATGAGCACATGTTGTGCTGGGCCTGCTCAGAGTTTCAGCAGCAGCACCCGCAAGCCAGGGAGCATGGAGCACCCTGTCTGGGATGTGAGCAGCAATCCCATGTCAACCTTCCTGGCCCAGCAGAATGCTCTCTCTTCAGCAGTATCTCTGTCCTGGGCACCCACAGTGCAAAATCTGTTTGTTTGTTTGTTTTTTGAGAGGGTGTCTCGCTCTGTTGCCCAGGCTGGAGTTCAGTGGTGCGATCTTGGCTCACTGCAACCTCTGCCTCTCAAGTTCAAGCGATTCTCCTGCTTCAGCCTCCCTAGAAGTAACTAGGACTACAGGCACGTGCCACCATGCCTGGCCAATTTTTGTATTTTTAGTAGAGACGGGGTTTCAGCATGTTGGCCAGGCTGGTCTCAAACTCCCGACCTCAGATGATCCTCCCACCTCAGCCTCCCAAAATGCTGGTATTACAGGTGTGAGCTACTGCACCTGGCCACAATTATTTGTTAAAAGTACTTCTGTCACTCCCTCAGTCCCCCATAGCTGTTTGGCATCCACCCAGACCTGTAGAGCTCTATTAGTTGCACTCTTTTCTGAGCCCCTCTAAATTCATCCTTAAATGGGTATCTCTCATATTCAGATACACAGACGGCATACTGGGTCACTTCCAAATGACAACTGCTTCCAAGCATGCATACTGGTAGCTCACTGTCCGTGAACTTGCCATGTCATTTCTAAATAGCATAATCAGTTGTCTCTTACCTCTGAACTTGTGGGTCTCCGCTTCAGAGCTCCACGTGGTTTCCCAGTGTCCTCCCAGGGCTGGGGGGTGTGAACTGTGGCCACTCCTGCTGCCTCCACTGGCCAGCTTGTTCTAGGTTCCTGGTTGGGCTCTGGTCTGACCCTTTGGCTGTGGGGGCTTCAAAAATGCCAACTCTGTAGTCATGATCACCTACCTATTTAATGTACACACACACACACACACACACACACACACACACACACACGCCCTTCAGAATATGGGGTTAGAAGGACCTCAAGCAGTTATCTGAGTCATCTCCCAGCCTTTGTTTATGCGTTCATTCATTCAGTAATTAAACAAACAGTGTTTATTCTACATGATACCAAGCCCTGAGGGTTCAAGAAACAATGAAACTAAGCCCCTTAATGTGGTAGACACTTGTTGTTTGATTTTTTGGTTTCTTTGTCTTTTTGTTGTAGTATGCATCCCTGCTTTGCTGACAGAAGCTCCTGGGGTTTCTTTTGTGAGCCACTTGTCCCCCATTCATAGGCTACAGAGTTTCAAAGAAGCCTGCCCTTTCCCTATCCCCAGCCCACAGGGAGGGATGGACACAACACCCAGTAGTTCTGACCAATCAGAAGCACAGTGACTGACCTAGGACGGTGCTTCTCAAATATTTTAGTCTCAGGACCCCTTTTTACTCTAAAAAAAGATTGTGGACTCAAGAGTTTTTGACCATGTGAATTATATTTATAAATATTTACCATATTTGAAATTTAACCTGAAGAAAGTTTTAAATATTTCTTTATTGTGCTAACCCAATAGTCACATGAATGAGGTAGCCAAAGGGCAGGGATGGAGGTCAGGCACGGCCCCAGCAGCGTGGCCTCCCTCTCACCAAGGCTGATCTGGCCACTGCCCATGCTGAAGGAAATCCTGCCCGCAACACAAATCAACACCAGCCTCCAATATGGCAACTTCCCTCAAGGAAACCAAACAGCCCCTTGGTAGCAAAATGGCCATATGGGGCCCCTTTTATGTTGGAAGTGGCGGCAATTCATTTCAGCAGAACTGATGACATTCTGGTATGGGTTTGCCTTTCTTGCTTGCAGGGCCCTAGCCAGCACTACTACCTGAAGACTCCAGAGTGTTTGATCCACATTCTCACATCCCACGTACCATTGTGCTCACATAGCATCAAGAGCCTTACTTTACAGCACAGGAGGTGAGACAGCAGCCCCATGACCATGAGACCCACTGGTATCTCACATCCTATCCAGCCCTGAAGCTGCTGGCCTAACAGATGGACAGAAATGTCTTCCAAAGGCACAGATGAGGAGCCAATGAGGATGTGATGTCCTGTATGGACAGGGTGCACCCTGCAACACACAGTTTGCATGCTAAGCCTGTGAGCAGCATATAGCACATGGGTCCAGGAAACAACAGGTGGGAGAAGGAATGGCCCAACTTATCATCTTGCAGAAAAGTTTTGCCTCTGGTCCCTGTACCTCTAAGCTCCATAGGTTAACAGTTTCTGGCTCTCAAAGGGGGACACAACTACTGATGGATACAGCGAGAAGCCCGCTGAACTTTCAGCTATGGCTGCCACTGGGCACTCAGGCTCTTTATGCCAGGGGACCAGCAGACAAGAAGAAGATCTCCATTCTGACAGAGACAATAGACCTTGATCATCAGGAGGAAGTCAAGTTGCTGTTACAAATAGGAGCAAGAAGAAATATGTTTGGTACCCAGGTGAACCTATTGGACCTCCCCAATCCTGGCCAATTGTACAGTACATGGACAAGTGCAACACCCATGGCCTTAGAAATGAATGCAAACAAGTGCTTGCATAGCTCAGGGATGAAGGTCTGGGTCTCTCCACCAAGTAAGCACAAGCAGAGGGGAATCCAGAATGAGAAATAGAGGAGGGAGATGATGAGGCAGTTGCAGCCTCAAGTCCAACTACAGCAGTGGTGACTGTGGTTCCCTCCACCAACATTCCTGTTCTAAGTTTTCCCCAGGAGAAGGGGTGCACAAGAGAGCTGAAGGACCTCTTCCCAGTACCCAGATGAAGGAAAAGGCTTCAAAAGGGGGAAAATGTGAGCTGTCGTGGAGACTGTGCTGCCTAACAAGGGCCCCTGCCTGAGGATGGAAGGATTCATTCACCCAGCTGTTAGGAAGATTATCTGATAATAGCTCTTAGCTGTCACCACCTTCAAGAATGACTTTGGCTAAAGAGAGTTGCCTCACCCAAGATCACACCCCTTTCCAGGGAAGCCTGCATCCAATGACAGATCTACCTGGGGGACAACTCGGAAAGGCCATCCCAGCTTTAGTGCTCCCTGTGGGGTGGGCTGAGATCTTGTTGTGACTTCATTGCTGCCCCAATTCTCCCTCTTCCCGATCCTGCTTCCTTCCCTTTCCCCACAGATATCCATTCTAAGAATGCTCCCTAATCCTTTTCTTGAACACAAATCTCCATCTCAGGATCTGCTTCCCAGGGGGAACCCAACCTGCAATGGTACCCCCAGCCCCAGCTGGGCCAGCTGCAAGCTGAGCCACCTGCACTGCTCTGCACACTTCAGCCTAGCCCAGACAACTAAAGGCAGCATTCAGGCGCCTGTGACACTAACTCCAGAAGACTTTAACTAACACTAACACCCACTGGACACTTTCCTTGAAAGATATTCATATGATAAGTTTAAAAGCGTTGTTAACAAATAAGTTGTGAGCAGAGAGGACATCGTGAAAGATGATTCAGGAACTTCCGGTGTTGGTGGTGTCATGGATGAGCAATGCTTTTAACCATGATGGTCCAATTAAAAGGAGAAAAGCGGGTTGGGAGAAAAGATGGGCTTGATTTCGGATTTTAGACCGCTGAGGCTGAAATGATGGGGGATATCCAAGTGAAGATATCTACAAGGCAACTGGAAATTTAAAAACATCGCGTGGTAGTTTGCCTCCAGTCCCTGCAATTCTGAGCTCTGTAGGGTCACAGGTTCTGACTCTCAAAGGGGGATACTTCTGCTGCTGCACACAGCAAGAGTCCCACTGAACTTCCACTGACAGCTGCCACCCAGGCACTTTGGGCTCCTTATGCCAAGAGCCCAGGAGGCAAGAGTAGGATCATCATCGTGGTAAGGACTGAGGATTAGGATCTGAAGGACTTTCTAATGTAGGGGATGGTGAAAACCATAGTCCTGGATGAGAAAACCCAAGAGAATTGCAAGACAGTTGATAGTCCATTTGTCTTCCAAAATCCCCTGCATGAGGAGATGGCAATGCTCTTCTCTTGGCAGCAGTTCCTGATGTGTCACAACCCTCAGCTTCTGGAAGTGTTTCATTCTTTAGAGCCCAAATCCCTCATGAGCTAGTGAACTTGTTTCTTCTCTGGTTCTAAGTTATATAAAACACTTTGCATTCTTAATGATATTAAACTCCCTCAACCTTTCAGGATGAAATAATCTCCTATCCCTTCATTTTTTTCCTCCGCAAGAAGAAAATTTTATTGTAACAAACAGACCTAGATAAGTTAAAAATTAATTACAGGAGACTACTTCAGAATTCCAGGAACCAGTGAAGCTCAACAGGCCACATGCCCAACCTGGATGACCTTAGCTTTTTTTTTTTTTTTTTCCTAGCTGATGTTCTAGTCAACAACCACCACAGTTGATGAGCTTTTCCCAGGAACATGCTTTGCAGAATTCTTGCATGGTTTTATTTCAAACTTGAAAAAGAGAGAAGATTATGTGATCTCTTAAAAACAAAAGTTAAGCTTCTTCAGTAGAAAGCTGGTCTGGTCCTCTTTGTAAGAACTATGAACTGCATCTGGATGGATTTGAAGCAATGCAAGGGTAGTGGTTTATGTGTCATCATAGAGGAGACCAAATGCTGAACTAGAGGCTGGATTCAAACCCCAGCACTCACCCTAAGTGTGTGACCTGAGTCAGCCTTCTTGGTGTGCGTTGCTCACTTTTAAAATGAAAGGATTAAGCTAAATCACCACGGTGGTCTCTTGAAGTCAGCAATTCTAGGCTGTGATGTGTTTCCTTACGGTTTCATATTTCCATGTAAGCTTCCTAAGCCAATCATAAATCCTTCATGGCAGACACATGGAAGTGATTTCCCCCTTTTCCCCTCACGTAACAGAACACATTTGTCCATGACAGTGGTCCTCAAACATAGCTGGATTTAAAAATCACCTGCAGTGATTTGAGATGGGTTATAGCTGCTGATTTACGGATCACTTTCCCAGGTATTTAGATTTGGTCTAGAATCAGGCCCAAGAATGTGCATGTGGAACACATTTCCCAGGTGATTTGAATGCAAGCTGGTCCAGCAACCATATTTGAGAAACGTTATTGTGCATAGCAGGTACAAAATACATATTGAATGACTAACAATGATTCTGATACCCCTCATTCTTCCCATTGTAGGCCACGGTTTATTTTCTGAATGAGGTTCTTCAATATTGCCATCTTTTGAAGTTTTAGAAAGCATTTCCTGGCCGGGCGCGGTGGCTCACGCCTGTAATCCCAGCACTTTGGGAGGCTGAGGTGGGCGGATCACGAGGTCAGGAGATCGAGACCATCCTGGCTAACACAGTGAAACCCCGTCTCTACTAAAAATACAAAAAATTAGGCGGGCGTGGCGGCGGGCGCCTGTAGTTCCAGCTACTCGGGAGGCTGAGGCAGGAGAATGGCTTGAACCCGTGGGGCGGAGCCTGCAGTGAGCCAAAATCACGACACTCCAGCCTGGGCGACAGAGCCAGACTCCGTCTCACCAAAAAAAAAAAAAAAAGCATTTCCTTACAATGAATTGTTGATGGTGCTGATTATTTGAATGGGTAGATGATTTGTATTTACTCTGATTTGTTGTTCTCGTTTTTCTTATACTGTCAAGGACTGGAAATATAAAATTAACTTTCAATAGCTAAGTAATATAACTTTCTCTCATTTTTCATTCTCTAAAACATACTGACAAGTCAGAGAAGCACATTTTAAAGGACAGCTAATATGTGTTCACTTATTTTAAGTAATGCTTCGGCAAAAGAAAAATGCAATAAAATAAAATTATTTTATTTATCGGGTGTTTTCAAAATTAAGTTATGAAAATGGTTTCCTGTTGCCTTTAGGTGATTGGTTTTTTATTTGTTTGTTTTGGGTTCTTTTGTTGTTTGCTTGAAAACTCAAATTTGGAAGTACCGTTCCAATGCAAAATTTTCTAGCACCAAATTTGCTTATTATTTATTTATTTATTTAATTTTGAGACGGAGTTTTGCCCTTGTCGCCCATGCTGGAGTGCAGTGGCGTGATCTCGGCTCACTGCAACCTCCGCCTCCCGGGTTCAAGAGATTCTCCCGCCTCAGCCTCCCAAGTAGCTGTGATTACAGGTGCCCGCCATCACGCCTGGGTAATTTTTGTATTTTTAGTAGAGACGGGGTTTCGCCATGTTGGGGAGGCTGGTCTCAAACTCCTGACCTCAGGTGATCCGCCCGCCTCGGCCTCGCAAAGTGCTGGGATTACAGGCGTGAGCCACCGTGCTCGGCCAATTTGCTAATATTTTAAAGTCTAGCTCGTCACAGCCATGGCTCCCACGCCAGCGCTGAGGAACCCCTGTCGGTGGATAAATTGCTGCCAAAAGACTGAGGAGGAACTGGATGAGGGCGACCACAAGGAGCCAGATGAGACCCTGTCGGAGAGGCTGTGGGGCCTGAAGGAGATGTTCCGGAGAGGGGCCAGTCCGAGGGCAGAGCCACTTTCCATCTCTCCCCTCTTCGTGGCTCAAAAAATGTACTGGTTTTCCAGGGCAGCCTTGTGGATTGGAACCTCTTTCTTCATGATTCTGGTTCTTGTTGTCATCTTTGAGACAGAGAAGTTGCAAATGGGGCAACCGCAGCAGCAGCAGCAGCGGCAGATACGTCTCCGGCGCCACACGGCTGTCCAGAAGAATGCCAGGGGCCCTCCTTCACTTCCTGGAAAGATCTAGATGGTGACTGCTATATTTGAGCTGTCTCGGTGGGAGAATTTTAAATTCAATAGTGTTTGAATTCCTGATTATTTTGATTTTTTTTTTAACTTTGGTACATGGATTTATCTAAACCTGGTGGAGAGAATTCTCCTCACATTGTCTCACAAAGAGAGCTTAACTCGCAACTGTACTCTCCACGCTCTCCTGACTTACTTCTGTCGTCACTCTGATGCCAGAGTGCAGCCATGCAGTGGTTATTCCAGCCCTGGCCACCACCTCCCTCACCCCCCAACTCCTATCAATCAATTGCTCCTAACTGGAAGATTTCCTCACTATCTGATTGTGAGGTAGCAACTGATGCTAGTGGAAGGGTGGTACCCCTGACCATTAACAACTGCTTTAAAAAGAGAGAGAGAAAAGAGCGTGTATACACTATGAAACACACAAAATGCATTACAATCGTAACATAAAGCAGCCACTATGAGTCCTTATGTATGTTGGACAGGAGGGAGGCCGGCTGCAGCTTTAGCCACAAGATGAGGGCTGTGAAGGACAGAAATGCGAGCTCATTTCCTCTGCACATTTTGTCTATTAGAACTGTGTGTGTAAATAATAATAATAATAAAGCCAGTGCTCACTTTTTGTATTTAAATATTAAAAATGAATTCCAACTGAAAGTGAAAATAAATAAATAAAGTAAGCTTGTAAAGCAGTGTTCAGATTTTCACAGCACTAGAACGTTCTGCACGTAAAGGGAATAGTCTTTATAGGAGACAGGACGGAGGGTTGAGGCACTGCCTGGATAGAGCATATTCCAGAGCACGTGGCATGAACTGAGCCCAGGCCACGGTGGGAGCTTCAGCTAGGTGCTTGCTTCCATTCATTCTCCACTTGAGGCCAGAGAAACCAGACTTTGGGGACTCAGGGGGAAAGGGTGGGAAGGGAGTGAGGGATGAAAGACTACAAACTGGGTGCAGTGTGTACTGCTCGGGTAATGATGGGTGCACCCAAATCTCACAAATCACCACTAAAGAACTTACTCATGTAACCAAACACCACCTGTTCCCCAATAACCTATGGAAATAACAAATTTTTGAGAAAGAAAAAAAACCATAAATCTGCCTACACCCCTGTTCTGGGCCAAGCTGTGTCCCCCTCCCCACCCCACCCCACCAAAAAAGAAAAAATGTGTATGTTGTAGTCTAGTACCTCCGAGTATGAGTGCATTTGAAAATAAGGCCTTGAAAGAGGTGGTTAAGTTTAAATAAGGGCATTAGGGTGGGCCTTAATCCAATCTGATAGGTGTCTTATAAAAAGAGAAAGAGACACTCAGGGGTTGCATGCACAGAGGAACTACATCGAGAGAGCACCAGGCAGAGAGAAGACAGCCAAGGAGAGAGGCCTCAGGAGAGCCCACACTGCCAACACCTTGATCTTGGACTTCCAGGCTCCTGACTTTTAAGCCACCCAGTATTTTATTATGGCAGCCAGAGCAAACTAGTACAGTCTCTCTCTCTCTTTCTTTCTGTCTCTCTTTCTCTCTTTCTCTCTCTCTCTCTTTCTCTTCCTCATATACCTCCTATGCACACTGCCACTCTTCCTTAGAAACTTCCAGGTCTCCCATTTCCCTTAAGACAGAGGCCCAACACAGACACCTGCCAGGCCACCATCTCTGTCCCCTAGCCACGCCTGTCTTCCTGTGACAGATCCCTCAATCCTGAACACTGTGAATTACTCCTTCCTCCACTCCCCTCACCTAGTCAGCTTCCACCACCCTTGAGTACCAGCACAAACGCCACTCCTTCAGGAACACCGTTCTGGACACCTTCACTGCAGCACACCTTTCTACTGTAAGCTCTCATCAGCCCCACACATTTCCTTCATGGTACACACAGAGCTTTGGGGTTTTTTAAACTTTTATGTGCATTTATTTATTTCATTCATGTCTGTCTCCCCATTTCAATGTGGTCTCTAAGAGGGCATGGACTTGTCTGTTTTGTTCCCTGGGAATAGAGTTCTCAGGGCCTCTCATAGGGGCTGGCAAAGAGCGGGCACTCAACCAATAATTGTTGAATCAATGAATGACTGTGACTTACACCCACTGCTGGGCATGGGGAAATGGATGGGTCAGAAGGTACAAAGAAAGGGGAAACTAATGCAACTCTATGTGAAGGAGGGAGCTCAGTCAGTGGCATGAAAGCCAACGCTAGAAACATCTGTTTGCAAAATGATCCTCAATTACCAGAACTAGCAAATATTGACTCTGCTTCCTCTCCTGGTATAGACACTAAGCACTCCACCCTGAGCTGGGTGATGGGAGCCCCTGCATTACCCACTCAAGGCACAGCCTGTGACATTGACTATGAAACTGTTTCCTATTACCTCTTTCCTGTCTAAAGTCAAGGTTGTCCAGCACTCTCCACCCTTTGGCATCCTTTGACCACTTACTTGCCTTCCAGCCATTTGTTCTCAGAGCCCTCCCCTTTCTCCTTAGGAAGCAAGTTTTCTCTTCACCTTGTCATTATTCTCAAACCTGGCAGAACATCACAATCATATGGAGGCATTTTTCATAACAACATTCCTGGGCCCAGTCTCCAAAGATTCTGAAGTTCACCCAGCAAAGAAAATATAGTCTGTTGCCATCTGCTCCAAAGTGATGAGCCATACTCTCTTGGACTAGCTTAGTGTACAGTGAATTTATTTGAGTGGTTAAGCTAGCTTAATTGTTTCCCAAATATTAGCCTAGGGATATCAAATTTGATAAACACAGTGCAAGATCCTAATTGTATGATAATAACAAACATTAGTATTGTGGCTTACAGTTGACAGCATGCCTTCTCAGCCTTCTTCTTATATGATTCTCCCCATCTGTGAAGGCAAGGAAAGGCACAACCATGATCCCTCCTTATGGGCAAGAAAACCTTGATGAATTACTTGCCCAGGCTACACATTAGAAATGGCAGTAAGGCCAAGGTCAAACTTCTAAGTCCATGGAGCAGAAATGTGTCACAAAGGCACACCCACAGCCTTTGTCTCTGCCATTAAACCCACTACCTAATTCTTTCTGAATACCAAGTTAAAGCTATTGATGCTAAATCAACGTGGACTAATTGACATACTTTTAGTAATTCTTTCTTGAATGTCTACCGTATGCCGGGCACTCTTCTAGAAACTGGAGACGTAGAGTAAACCAACAGATCAAGCCTCTACCCCCAAAGTGTGTGCCGCTTTCTGACAGCCAGGGCCCCTTTCTGGATGCCCAAGTAGTCATGGCGGTCATGAAATGGATGCTATAAACATCTCTCTCAAAAAGGATTTCTTGAAATAGGTTGTCCTGAGGCTAATACACAAAAAATATTTCACTTAAGCCAAATAACCAGAAACAAGTCTAAAGCATAGTTTTACAACTCTTTTGTAACTCTATAGGAAAATAACTATAAGACCAAAAGACTCAGGAGGATTTATTTTGTTAAATTTCTAGACCACTTGCTACCAGGGTACCTTGTCAGCCCCTTCACCTCTCCCAGCCTCAATCTCCTTAGGTACCTAAAGTTAGAATTACAATAGCGTCCACCCCATCATGTTACTGGAAAGAACAAAAGACTTAATCTCCAAAGCACCCAGGACAATGTCTGGCACACAGTAAGCCAGTCTCTGAAACCCTTATTATTTCCATGCCAGCCATGTGCAGAAGGCATTTCTCTTCACCTATTAATGGTGGATTTCATTTTATCTTCTACTCATCATGTACTCTGAGGTTGCCTTTCTGCCTTTCCTGAGACTCACAATCACTTCCAATTTAATATCCACCATGAATGTAATTAAAGTTCTGTTAGCATCTACCTCTTCTAGACCATTAATGAGGCTGTTAGATAAAATGCAATAAAGATCCCTGGAGCAGCCCAGCAGACATTGCTATTAATCATTGTTTACCTCTCTTCAGTTCATGCTCATACTTTATGGCCATTCCTATCCATTTCTTCACTTTGAAAATAAAAGTAATAACAGTTACTTCAAAGAATTTTGGCAAGGATTCCAAGAGGTTCTGTACCGTGGTGTCAAGCATCACTTCAAACCTCACTGCTGCTGGGGAAAAAGAATAGGTTACATCAGCAGGGAGTTTTCCAGAGAACAGAGTGGTCTCCAATGCTGAGATTCAGTGAGTCTGCCAATTTTTGCTACCTTTGATGGTTTCAGTTTAAACAACACTCTAATCACGAATAATATCTTAAAAAGCAGAAGTACCTGTGGGATCCTCTAACCCAATTTCTGACTCTAATCAGTAAGCCTCTAAAGCCTTGTTACTCAAAATATGATTTCTGGATCAGAAGTCTGTTAGGAAGACAGAATCTTGAGCTTCACCTCACCTAAGGATCTGCTTTTTGGCATGATGATTTATATGTTCATTAAAGTTTAAGAATCATTGCCCTACTTAATACCTTTTACAGGTGATCTGAGACTCAATAGCTTAACAAAGCCATGATGTGTGTGAGTGAGTGTGTGTGTGTGTGTGTGTGTGTGTAGGGGATGATACCCAGGCATTAGAACATACAAATATAATAATATCCTAAAACTTCTTTCCAAAAGCAATAAACCTTAGAAAGAGCTATTCTAAAAATAAAAAGATAGCTCACATGCTGGTAAGTTATCACCTTATTCACTTTGACCTTGAACCAATCCTCTTGATTCGTTCCCCCAACCCCCGCCCTTTTCTGTTCTCTGGGCAACTTGATTTTCCGTTTGTTTTCTAGTTCCTAATTGGAAAATCAGGCACTGCCATGCCAGGAAAGATTAATATTTATCTCATTTTCAATCCGGTCTCTGAATAGGTGGATGTTTACGTGGCAGCCAGGACCTATATGAAGTGGTGGGGTGCCTGGAGACCTATGCATATAGGGGCTTGTAAAACTATGAGTCTAAAGTTCAACCAAAACCAGGGGCAGAGTACGGTCTAGGTTCACTTTTGTTTCCACTTTTTGCACTGCCCTCTGAAAGTTAAAGACTGGCCTGAAGACCCAAAAGATGCCACTGCTTTTTAGTGGCTTTACTGGAAGGATATTCAGGGGAGCATGGAATCCTCTCCTCAATTTCTTTAAGCCTTTTTACAGGCTCATTCCCTGCAAGATGACAACCATAGACTTCCCCTATTCTGAATCCCTCTAAATTCCATTTTGTCTTGAATTTTTAAAAAATCCAATAATTCAAAATCATTACCAGTTTCCCAACTAGCACAGACCATGAGCACAGACCATGTCACATATACCTTTGGAAAGACACCAAAGGACACCTAGAGCCATCAAGGAACTGCGTGTCTTAGAGACTTGGGCTTCCTGAGACATTTTCCTCAAATGTGAAATGGAACTAGCAATAGGGTTACCGTGAGAATTTAAAAAGAAAAAAAATGAATACACAGAAAGTGCTCAATCGGCTCAATAAACACCATTGATTGCTGGACTGCAGAAATCAGATGAAGCCGTATTACCACGTGCCCATCTCTCCTCCCATGGGGAAGCAAGAAGGCGGTAGAATGGCCACCATCATCATGAAATATAGGTCCTGGTTTCCTAGGCATTTGTCAGTTGATTTCTCTTTGTGTCTCTAACGATTTGTATGTCTGTAAGGAACCCTGAAAATGATCATAGAGAGCTGGCTTAATGAAAAGTGGGAAATGCCTAATGTAACAAAAATGACACATTTTCATATTCCTCTTCCCTGAAATGGATGAAATTTCCCTCCAAGGTTTAGGTTCCTTCCTGTATGAGAAGAGCATTTGAACATTACAAGGAGGGAGGGATAGGGGGAGACTAGATACCCGATGCAGACAGTGAAGTGAATGAAATCAAGATAATTAGATGCTGCTGAAATACCTACATGTCTTCTAAAAACCAGGAGAAAACACCGATCAGATGTGGCTGACAGATTGCATCTTGTTGCCTAGCACTAGTCTGAAGTGACTGGGAGTTGCTAGGCAACCCATCCTCCTGGGCTTGGTGATCCAACAAACACTAGACAGATGCTTTTCCTCTGCTATCCTGCTGCCCCTCACAATTTTCTCATCTGTAAGATTCACACCTGATTAATGTTTTCCCTGGACTTTTTTTTCCATTTGGATTGGGTGCTGCGACGTGCAGGTTTGCCTGTGCTCAAGTGAGCCAGGCTGCCTACTTAAAGAATGCCTTGCGGCAAAAAACAAATGGTCCTCTAAAGATTAAACTACATTGAGATTGCAGCCTGAACTGTTGAGTGTAGGGCAGGAATCTGAACCATTTCTTGTAGAAATTATCAAATTACCATCTGCGTCAAAGGCGGATTGGTCTGGTACTGATTGGAGTGCTCTGGACCAAATATCAAAGTCACTCAAGTTTATTCTTATCACCCTAAATAATTTGAGCGAGAGGGAAAGTGCTTTTCCCTAGCAGGGAGCTTTCTCTAACTGCTCACAGGTTTACTACACTTTCCAGCAAATCTGCTCAGCTCCTATGAAAGAGCCAAGTGTAAATATGAATGACTGATAATAGCTTACTCTTACCCTAGCCTACCCTTTCCAGCAGTATTTACATTATTAGGATGCAAGGTAGAATTTCAGGAAGGAGGTAGAGAAAAGAAAATGTTTCTTCCTCCTTTCTTTCCTCATTTCCTCTCTGTTTAACATAAATTGTAACAAAAAAAGTGGCAATCTACTAATAATATTTAACGTTTAGCTGGGCTCATCTCATACTAGTTCCTACTCTCCTGGAACTTCTGATGACAAAAGATGTTAACATATTCAAGCTAATATTGTTGATCATACACTATTAAAAAGAGTGACCTTCTCTAGTTTAGCTAGGTCTGTGGTTTATTGGAGCTTTCTGGGTTAATGGGACGGTGATTTTCATTCTGAGTGCGGCATGGCTATTTCTCCCCTTCCATTTATTTGGTGTTTATAACCTTTCAAAGTGTTTTCACATCCATTATCCTACTGTTCTATAAACCTCTATGCTATGATGCATGGAAGTTAATTACAATGCTTTAGAAGGAAACTGCAGAGCATAGTGGGAATGAATTTTACTCCACAAACTCAGGTGTAAAAGACATAGTACTCTATTTAGAGTAGCTTAATTCTGAATTGAGGCCTCATCCCGGTGGTTTGGAAGAAAATTCAGTATCACTCATGATAGCCCTAGATGCATGAGGCTTAAGAAATAACTGTGAAACGGAGAAAGGGTCCTTTACCTCCAGTCCATAGCAGCTGCTACTGTATTCTCTGATCTCAGCTCATGTGATCCCTTGAAGCTTGTGCTTTTTCATGCAACAGGTGAGGCACAGAATCTGCATCGTGGAGCCCATACTCCTTGAGCACCCACGAGCCATTTCCTCTGAGGATCGTGCCACTCCTCCATCCTCTCATGTGTCCCCTCCTGTCCTGGAGGTGTCATCTATCCTTTCTGTCCCCACTATGCCCTGCCTCCATCAATCTTGAGTTATGTCTTCAGTGGCTTAGATTTTTTTTAAAATGCAGGAGCAATTATTTTCAACTGGTTCTTCTTTTTAGCCCTGCAAAAATCCCTGAGATAAGGAGAAATAACAAAAGTACAACTATCTGTTTGAAACTGTGGGGTGGTGGAGAGGGAAACAGAACATAAACATACATTGAAAGTCTAACACATATATTCAGCCTTATAAAGGAAGCAAATCTGACACATGCTACAACATGGATGAACCTTGAGGATACTATGCTAAGTGAAATAAGCCATCCATGAAAACATAAATACTGTATGATTCCCCTGATATGAGGTATCTAGAGTAGTCAAATTCATAGAAGCAGAAAGTAGGATGGTGGTTGCCAAAGGCTGGGGGAAGAGGGAATGGAGAATTGTTGTTTAACGGGTACACAGTTTCAGTTTTGTGAGTCAAGCTCTTGAGTAGGGAAGAGAAGCTGTCCTCTGAGAACTAGGACAAGGACTCTCTTTTCATTCTATTCCTGTTATGCTTTTGCCCTTACCACTAAAACAACATCAGTAAGTAAGATGTAGGCCTTACTAAACCAGTAAGGCCTACATCTTGCTAAAGACATCATTCAATTCACTGTCCATTCTTGCTTGCTCTCTCAGTGGCATTCAGCAAGGTCAACCACTGTCTCTTTCTTGAATGCCGCCTTCTCTAGGCTGCACATTCATCTGCTTCTCTCCCACCTCCCACATATCATTCTCCATCTCCTGCGTTATCACACCCTCCTACACCAAACCTCTAAATGTCCCACTGACCCCAGCTTTCTGGTCTTGGTCTTCATCTCAATCCATATTCTTCCCTCAGGTGATCATACACTCTGTTGACTCTTAAATGTGTGTTTCTAGCCCTGAACTCTTCCATCAGATCCAGACTTTACACCCAAGTGCCTACTTAACATATTGTCTTAGGAGGTCCAATGAGCATCTCAAAAGAATATGACTAAAACATATTCATTTTCTCCCCTACATCTGCCATCTATCCCCACCCCAAGCCTTATCTATCTTGAGAAATGGCTCCACTCTCTAGCTGATCAGTCCAAAAACCTAGGCATCATCCTTGATTCCTCTCTTTTCCTCGTGCTCAATATCCAATCCATTATTAGGCTCATAGCTCTATTTGTAAAGTAGATCCCAAATCTGATGGGATCCCATTTCTCCCCATCTCCAAGGGCATGATCCTAACCCAATCTTCATTATCTTGCAACTGGATTTCTGCAACAGCCCCTGGCTCCACATGCCCCTAGTCTATCTTCCCATAGAAGCCACATGATCTTTATAAATAAGACCATGTCATTTCTCTGCTTAACATGATAATTACAGTTATCATAACATTCACACTGTCTTACCCCAACCTAGACCTAGAGGGCCTGCATGACCAGCCTGCTGCCTCCTCTGTAATTCACCTGCCTCCAGGTCCCACCCACACACTAAGCTCCAGCCACCTGTCCTGCTTTCAGTCCTCGAACCTGCCAGCCTCACTCTCCTCCAGGGTCTTAGCATTGGATACTCCCTCTGCCTGGAACCCTCTTCCTGTCCCCTCACATAGCTGTCTCTTCTCACCATTCAACACTCTGCTTGCTCAGAGAATCTTCCTGGATTCCAGCTAAATCATCCTCCCTAGTCAGTCAACTTCACATGGCCCTGTTTTACCCATAGCACCTTTCAGCATCTGAAATGAACTTATTTATCTACTAATAGACTATCATATTCCTGTATAGAATGGAGACTTAATGAGAGTGGGATTGTTTTGTTGTTGAACTTGTTCCCTCCATATCCCCTGGAACTATGCCTGGTCTGGTTGACTTCCCCCTTAAGCCAGTGGCCCCCAAACCTGGCTTCTCATCAGAATCACCAGAGATGCTATTAAAAAGAGAGATCCCATGTGACTTTTATCTCAATAGGGCTGTTAAAAAATATATATAGCACTCTGGGTCCTACCCCAGGATGAAAGGTGATGGGGCCTAGAAATCTCTGTTATTTTTGTTGTTGTTGTTGTTTTTGAGATGGAGTCACACTCTGTCTCCCAGGCTGGAGTGCAATGGCATGATCTCTGCTCACTGCAACGTCTGCCTCCCGGGTTCAAGCAATTCTCCTGCCTCAGCCTCCTGAGTAGCTGGGTCTACAGATGCCCGCCACCAAGCCCAGCTAATTTTTGTATTTCTAGTAGAGACAGAGTTTCACTGTGTTGGTCAGGCTGGTCTCAAACTCCTGACCTCCTGCCTTGGCCTCCCAAAGTCTCTGGTTTTAACACTCTCCCATATGGTCAGCCAGACACCATGGGTGTGTGACAGCCATCACATTAGGCCACAACCCATTGAAGAGGGTCTTGAGATCTTGGAAGGACTTTTGAAAGATAAAGGAATCTGTATGAAGTTGCACTGTGCCCAGGACATGGGTGAAGAGGGGAGCCCAAGTTAAGAATAAGAGAGCTAGGTGAAGGCAATGAAGGAAACCACTGTTCAACAAGAAGCCATGGGCTAAAAACAAGAACAGCAACCAGAAACTCATTTCATTTAGGCTAAACTAAATTCCTATTTCAAAGGGAAAGATAGTTGTTTTCTCAATACTTGGGATCCTCTACCTGGTTCAAGGTCTGGGATCCAGAGCCAGGTCTTTGCTCAAGAAGGCCCAGCAGCTCACAGATCATGGACTCTGGGCTGCTCTCAGGAGAGCTGGCCCTTCCACCATTTCTCAGGGTGTCCCCATCAGACTACTTTTCCTGGGGCACAGGCCTCGGGGAGCAGCAGACACCCCATAGGAAGCTCTTGCCCTGAAGCACTGTCTCCTCCAATACTATAGTACCCCTGAACTCCTCACGTTGGCCCAAGTAGACCACAATTTCATGTTCTCACTAACAGAGGTCCCAGACTCCTCCTTTGACCGGCTATCAGAGCCAAAAACAGACATTATGGAGTACTGGTCTCTCCCCTGACTGTGATACCTGAGAAGTTTGGGAACCCCAGGACCCTCTAGAACCACAAGTTTAGAGAACAACTAGGCGACTTAGCAACCTCCTGCACCTCTGTAGAGATGCTGGAGACTTTGAGGGCAGAGATGGAAGTGGGGCAGGTTTTAGGCATCTCATGGTCCCCCAGGGTCCTGAGCACTTGGGAATACCTTGATCACTCTTCTCCATTCGGGAGAAGAGATACCATCCTCCCTACTCATCTAGGCTAGCAATTCACTGAGCTTTTTTTTTTCTTTGTTTTATGTTAGTGAAACATACATAACATAAATTTACCATTTTAATCCTTTTTAAGAATGCAGTTCAGTGGCAGTAAGCACATTCACATTGTTGTGTACCCATCACTAGTATCCATTTCCAGAGCTTTTTCATCATGTGGAACTGAAACTCTGTGCCCATTAAGTAACCGCCCATTCTCCTCCCCTCCCCTAGCCTCTGGTGACTTCTATTCCACTTTCTGTCCCTGTGGATTTGCCTGTTCTAAGTACGTCATATCAGTGGCATCAGACAGTATTTGTTCTTTTGTCTAGCTAATTTCACTTAGCACAATGTCCTCAAGGTTCATCATGCATCAGAATTTTATTCTTTTTAAGACTGAATAATATTCTGTTGCATGTATAGACCATATTTTGTTTATCCATTCATCTATTGATGGAAACTTGAGTTGCTTCTTTTTTTTTGGCTCCTGTGAATAATGCTGCTATGAATATAGGTGTACAAATAACTCCTTGAGATCCTGCGTTCAATTCTTTTTATACCCAAAAGTGGAATTGCTGGATCATATGAGAATTTTATTTTTAATTTTTCTATGGAAAACAGTATACAGCTTCCTTGAAAAGTTAAAAATAGCAGCTGTACCATTTTACATTATCACCAACAGTGCACAAGAGTTCTAATTTCTCCATATTCCCAACAATACTTGTTATTTCTGGGTTTTTTATATACCAGCCATCCTAATGGGTATGAGGTGGCATCTCATTGAGGTTTTGATTTGAATTTCCCTGATGATTAGTGACTTTCTTTTTTTCGAGATGGAGTTTTGCTCTTCTCATCCAGGCTGGAGTGCAGTGGTATGATCTCAGCTCACTGCAACCTCCACCTCCAGGGTTTAAGCGATTCTCCAGCCTCAGCCTCCCAAGTAGCTTGGACTACAGGCATCCGCCACCATGTACAGCTAATTTTTGTATTTTCAGTAGAGACAGGGCTTCACCATGTTGGCCAGGCTGGTCTTGAACGCCTGACTTCAGGTGATCCACCCGCCTCGGCCTCCCAAAGTGCTGGGATTATAGGCTTGAGCCACCGTGCCCAGCCTGATTAGTGATTTTGAACAGATTGTGAACAGATGTGATTACTTGGCCATTTGCTTATCTTCTTTGGAGAAACATCTATTCAAGTCCTTTACCTATTTTTGAATTGGGTTGTTTGTATTTTTGTTTGAGTTGTAGGAGTTCCTTATGTATCCCAGATATTAACTCCTTATCAGATACACGATTTGGAAATATTTTCTCCTCTTCTGTGGGTTGTCGTTTTACTCTCTTGATAGTGTTCTTTGATGTACAAAGGTTTTGATTTTGATGAAGTCCAATTTATCTATTTTCTTTTTTTCTGCCTGTGTCTTTGGTGTCATATCCAAAAAATCATCACCAAATCCAATGTCATGAAACTTTTTCCCTTCTACATTTTCTACAGTTTCAGCTCTTATGTTTGGACCTTGGATTTATTTTGAGGTAATTTTTGTACGTGTTGTAATGTAAGGGTCCAGCTTTGTTCTTTTGCATGTGGAGATTCATTTCCCCAACACCATTTGCTGAAAAGACCATCCTTTCCCTCATTGAATGGTCTTAGCACGTTTTTTGAAAATTAATGGATCGTATATGTCACTGACCATATTTAACCCCGAAATAACAGCACATCACTCCTACAACATGTATAGTACCTGCTATGTTCCTAGCAGTTTGCTAAGAAGAGACGAAGAAAATACAGTTGTAAGGAGCTCAGAATCACACAGAGGAGCTCAGACAGGAAACTGAATAACCACAGTGTGAGGCAGAATGTGATATGAGCACCAACAAAACCCTGGGGGACCCAGAGGGAAGCACAGTTCAATCCAGCAAGGAAGATGTGAGAAGTTTTCAAAGCTCATGGTGGCATGGGAGCTCTACCTTGGCAAATGGATGGGATTTCCACATGTAGAAGCTGGATGAGGGGCAGCAATTTCAGATGAAGGGCACAGCCTAAGAAAGTGCCCAAAGGTGGGAAATTGCCCAAAGGTGGGAAATTGCAGAAGATTGGCTTTGGCTGAAACATGGTTTATATGCAGACGGAAACTGTATAGGAAGAAGGAGAGGTAAGAATGCCCCTCTCCAGCACCTCCGACATCTGCTGATTTGCAGACCCAGGGGAGACTGGGATTATAAGTAGGACTCAGGATATATAGGGAGGGAAAGAGATGGGGGCTGGGTTTCTGCATCCTCTCCCTAAAGGGTAAGCATGGCTGTTGAGTCTCCACACAGTCTACAGACTGATGTCTCAAACTCAGGACCAAAGTCCTGTCCTTAAATATGTCTCTTCCTCAGGACTACCAGAGGCAGGCAAAGCAAGATCTAGCCTAAAACTAGAAGCAAGCAAAGCAAGATCTAGCCCCAAACCAGAAGCAGGCAAAGCAAGATGTGGCTCAAAATTGGAGGCCACTAAATAGTTAAAGCCCCTTGATCCCCAAATGCTGGCTCTGGCCAAGGTCTCTGCTGGGGCAGAGCACAGACAGCTGGGCCCAGGGGCCAAGCAGTCCCTGGTTGTGATCTGTGTGGTCTGGCCTGGAGCCAGCCAGCCAGCAAGAGGCCGATCCACTCACAGGGATACAGAGAGCCTCTCAGAAGCCTCAGTGCTGAATACAGGAAACAGTTGAATGAAGAGTAAAAGAAGCGGCCTCAAAATGCTGTTTCCTCGGAGAGTCAGCAAAGTTCAAAAAGGAACAGTTCCTAGGCCGGGCCACTCAGCATGGGGCTTGGAGACTGGAGAGGGAAGGAATGGGAGTAGTGGCTATGAGCCCCTGTGGGATTGTGGCACATGCATAATTCCTCGGAGGGACACTGGACCTTTGGTCCAGGCTGGCGTTTTTCCAACGCTTATGACCATAACCTAGAGTAAGAAATATACTTTACATCATGACCCAGTAGATATATACACATACCTAATGGAAATAAACATTTCATAAAACAATGCCTTATCCTTGATACATAGGATGCACTCTGATACTTTCTTTCCTGGTCTATTCTGTTGATTTAAAATTCTGGTTGCAACCCACTAAATTCATTTCACAAGGTACCAAGGGGTTACAATCCACAGTTTGAAAAACGCTAACCTAAACCCATCTGAAGGAGTTGTCGGGCTTTTTGGGAGATGGAATACAAACAACATTAAACATTTTACAGGACTTAGGCTAATCAATATCACCCAAATCTCAGATGGAATGTGTTGCAGAAGTGGGATTCAACATTCAACAGTCCTCAAATCCAGATATGTAAATCTCAGGCCTTGCTCTATTAATTCAGGGCCTGTGGACCAAGCTGTTAATGACAATCTCCTTGACCCCACGAGGCCTTCATTCATTCATTCATTCATTTAGTAAACATGTATGGAACGACTACCATGGGCCAGGTTCTCTATACTTGGTGCTGGGAATTCCGAGATTAGCAACACAGGATGCCTGAGTTTAAGGAGCCCACATCCCACAAAGGACGCTTTAGATACTTCTGGCTGCAAGCAACAGAAGACTCACATCAAAATGATTGAAACCACAAGGACATTAATCATCTCACATGGTAAAATGTACTGAAAATTGGCAGTTCCAGGGTTGCTGCACTCAACAATTTAACAGCATCAGCTCTTGGCCAGGGCTCTCTGCATCCTTCCATTCTGCCATCCCAGCATGTTGGCTACTTCTTTAGTGGCCACAAGACACTGCAGCTCCAGATAACACACTTCACAGAGCCAACATCAGAGACATTTAAAGGACCTGTTCTTCTCTTGCAGCTCTCCTTTTTTTTTTTTTTTTTTTTGAGATGGAGTCTCACACTGTCTCCTGGGCTGGAGTGCAATGGCATAATCTCGGCTCACAGCAACCTCCGTCTACTGGGTTCAAGTGATTCTTCTGCCTCAGCCTCCCAATTAGCTGGGATTACAGGCATGCACCACCACACCAGGCTAATTTTTTTGTACTTTTAGTAGAGACGTAGTTTCACCATGTTAGCCAGGCTGGTCTCGATTTCCTGACCTCATGATCCGCCCACCTCGGCCTCCCAAAGTGCTAGGATTACAGGCGTCAGCCACCATGCCTGGCCTCTTATATCTCTTTTTTTAAAGGAGGAGGCTTAACCTAGAAATCATCTAGCTTCCTGAAAGTGTGGACCTCACACTGGCAGTATCTAGTTCTGCCTCCCCTGGGGAGACATCCAGACACTCAGGCCCACCCTAGACTTACACAATCACAGTCTGCCTTGTCCCTGATTCCCAGGTGACTCATCGTCAGCCAGAAGTGCCTCACACTCTCATCCTGAAATCAGTTACTGGCAGGCAAACCAGAACTGCCATGATTGGCTTGGGCTCATCAAGATACATCCCCAGGAGCTGAAATGAAGGCCCAGCCTTCCTTGAAGCTGGTTACCTGAACAACATCAAGATTCCATCAGTAAGAAGAGGCATTAGTCTTGAAAAGCAGCAGCCTGTCAGCCAATGGAGGTGGCAAAATGGGGTTGGATGGAGCTCCTTCAAACCACCATTGCCAGAAAACTATCATTGTTTGATCTGTCTGGTGGTTCCCAGGAAGATCACTCCTAAGGCTGTCTTTTTTGATGTCACTCAGAGCTCACCTAGTGCAGGATAGCCTTTTCCCTGGGAAATTGTTTAAAACAATTAGAGGAAACTGTTAAATATCTTGGCTGCTTGAGGCAAGTGGATCTTAGGAGAGCAACCAGCAGGCTAAGCAAAAAGATTAACAGGAAAAACTGGAGAATTAGATGTCCACAGCAGGCTTAAAAAAAACTCTGATAGATTCCTGGAAGGTCATGTGCATGTGTAATGCTGTGCGTATGCCAAGGGCTGTGTTCTCAGACCGGAGAAGGACCTAAGCTTTCACACTTTTGTTTGACTCTGAGGTTCTGCATATCCAGGAATTGAAATCTAAGACAGAAGTATAAACTGCCTAGCTGAGCAATAAAGGCCTGCCCTAACATGCACACAGAGCCCCTCAACAACTACTAGAAGCTTACTGGTTCAAAGAATCTACTAAAATCTCTGTCCAATATGAAAAAAAAAGAAAGAAAGAAGGGGCGGGGAAAGGGAAAGGTTTTTAATAGGCAGCAAACAATGTGTGCAGCAGGGAAGCAGACACATAAGCAGGTGACTTGCAAAATAGTGCAAAACATGCTATAATTGAGATAGCAGATGTGCCATAAGAGCCCCAAGAATTGACTAACTGCCTTGGGGTGCTGAAGAAAATTTTACAGAAGAGGTGATATTTGCTGAAGTTCTTGAAGGATGAATAGGAGCTTTCCAGCCAATAATGGGATGAAGTGTATTCCAAGCAAAATGAATAGCATGTGTAGGGACAAATAGTGTTTGGAGCATACTTCCCTTCTGCAGCTCTGTGAAATCCTCCTGGGGTCATGATACCATCATTATCAGCTCAATGTGGCTGGCATATTGGATGTGTTGGGAGACAGAGGATGTGCCAGGAGATGCAGCTGGAGAAGTTGGGAGTTAGGCTGTGATATTCTTCAGAGGGCCAAGGCTGTCTTCAATTTCATAGGACCTCCACCCCTCACCAGCTCCTTACTTAGAAGATGTTTCCCAGGAATGTTAACTGTCTCACACAGATCAAGCCACTTAAACCCTCTGTCCTGGGCATTGCACTCATGAGAGACAACAAAGACATTCCTCCATCTTTCAACCCAATCTGAGGTTTACTCTTGCATCCTGCTGAACCAGGATAGAAAGTAGAAAACACTGTCCATCGAACACAGTCCTCATGAATCTCAGCTTCCTCTCTTCATCCCTGGTAGAGAACAGGCAATTGGAGAACATAGAAGATTGGGAACCCGGATATAGAATGACTCCCTGTCTCAAAAGTGATACTGAATTGGGTAGATGGTCAAGGGGAATGGGGACTTTTACATCCTCTAATATTATCCAAATGCTTAAACTAAGTCTTCAGTTAGTCTTCCAGAAATTGACCATTCCCCAAAATAGCCTACCTTTCTCAAGATTGGGTCTATATTTGGAAGCACACCAGTTTCAAACTGTTGAAAATGTTTAGAAACCAGTTTTCACTGAAACTGCTTCATCTAACAAAGCAGAGACTCAAACTCTGCTGCTGAGGAATGTAGGTGCCCTGAGACAGCTCTAATCCCTGCCCATGTCCCTAAATCAAATAATGATCAGCTCTTTTGATTCACAGAGGTTTGTGGAGGGAATAGTTTTCTTTCCCCAAAATTATTTTCTTAAACACTTCTCATGGGTTACTATTCTTTATCTATAATGATTCTGCATCAAAATATATATTCAATACTTGTTAAATTTGACATTTCAAATGTTCATGATGTCTTGCAAATATCCTCCTGATTTCCAGATGCAGCCTCAGCAGAACACATCTGGGATGCATGCATAACCATCCGCCAACCAAAGCATCCCCCACAGGGGAATCGTGTAAACATGATATATTTGTAATATGTGGGTACGTAACAATGTGTAAGAAGCTGTAAACATAGTTATATTTCCCACAAGCAGAATTTTTATTCTGTAGTGGGCTATATTTCAGGTCCTTAAGTTTTTCTTCCAACAAATGTACAACTAAATTCTAAGTCAGCTTAATGAGTATATTATGGGTGAGTATGGGGAATTAATATTGAATAAGATGCCAGCAATTATGCCAGTCACATTTTACACACAATTTCATTCAGTCTTCAACATACAAAGTAGATATTATTTTTCTCATTTTTCTTCTAAGGAAAAGTTTCAGGGAGGGTATCTTGCTCAAGACTGTACAATCCAGTGAGCGGCCAGCCAATGTCTGAACCAAAGTCTTTGTCTTCACAGTGCCTGTTAATAATAAGTAGAGCATGCTCTGCATATGCCACCTTGCCACTATGAATTCTATTCAAAAAGGTTATCAACACAATTTTATCCCATTGAGTGAAAACTGCAACTTGAATGACACTATGCTAGATGATGAAGATATAAAAACAATTAAGACACAGCACTGTTGGGCCTGGAAGCACCCACAATCTGGTGGTGGAACTGTGGAAAGAAGGCAGGAAGCCGTGAGGCAGAATACGACAAATGCTATTCAAAGGCACAAGATGTTCATCCTGCCAGGAATGTTTTCCCACGTTCACACCGTAGTGAGCTCCCTGCTCTTTTAAAGCCCAGGGCCACCTACTCTGAAATCCCTCACAGGCACCGTATCCTCTGCTTCTACCGCATCTGCACAATCTCTTTATCCTACTGTATTAGCTATGTTCATGACACGCCTGTCTTCTGCATCAGACTTCATTTTGTTTTTCAAAAATGATGGTTATCTGACTATAACATCAGTCGTTTTTTTTTTTTTTAAGAGACGGGGTCTCCGTCTGTTGCCCAGGCTGGAGTGAACTGTACTTTCTTAAAGACCAGAGTTGATCAGCTGGTTAGATCATATGATCCTACACAAATATCAAGTTCACTGGGAAAAGTAATTCCTCACAGAGAAAGAAAGAGGGTTCCCAGGTCAAGGGCACACTCAAAGCTTAGCTGTCCCACTAGAATCTCTACACAAGACCTCAAGATCCATTTATAGAAGCATGTGAAGTGAGCTCCTCAATGAAGTTGTCCCATTTTTATCTTTAAATACCCTATACAGAACATTTTTACACTGCTGGTGAGAATGTAAACTAGTATAACCACTATGGAAAACAGTGTAGAGATTCCCTAAATAACTAAAAGTACAACTATCATTTGATAGTTGATTATATTTGAAGTCATCATATGAAAAAGATACATCAACATGCATGTTTATAGCAGCACAATTTGCAATTGCAAAAATATGGAACCAGCCAAATGCCCATCAATCAACAAGTGGATAAGCTGTGGTATATGTATATTATGGAATACTACTCAGCCATAAAAAGGAACGAAATAATGGCATTGCAGCAACCTTGATGGAATTGGAGACCATTATTCTAAGTGAAGTAACTCAGGAATGGAAAACCAAACATCGTATGTTCTCACTCGTAAGTGGGAGCTAAGCTATGAGGATGTAAAGGCATAAGAGTGATAAAATGGACTGGGGACTTGGAAGAAAAGGTGGAAGGGGGGTGAGAGATAAAAGACTGCACATTGGGTTCTGCTTTGGTGATGGGTGCACCAAAATCTCAGAAATCACCACTGAAGAACTTATTCATGTAACCAGACACCACCTGTTCCCCAAAAACGTATTGAAATAATAATGAAAAAAAAACCCTATACACCTAGCACCTGCTTGGTACATAGCAGGTGCTCAATACCCATTTTTTAAATGAATAATTAATAAATGAATTAAAAAACAGCATAATCTTCCATTTTAAATATGTACTAAAAAGAGGGATTATATGGGGGACTGGAGGATTTTCTCATTTGTAAAGAACATTATGTTAGCTTGTTTTCCAAGTTGAAAATAAATTAAAAATGGTAACAAATTAACTCACATTGGAACTTGGACCATGGATCTGAAGTTATGCTCCAGAGGCAAATTTCTTCATTGTTTTTCAGCTTTGTTTCTGGACTTCATAATGTTCCCTGTTTCTGTCATTCTACAGAGGGACACACACAGGATTGCTGAGGATTCCCAGCAAGGAGTCCAGGATCCACTAAGTCCTTCAGGTCCAATGCAAGACTCAATCCTCAGCATCCTCCTGGAGTGTTGCCTGTCCAGTCTCATCTAGCATTACACTACAGTTCTTACTACCTTACACTGTGTTTGCTTATCTTCTGTAGTGTCTGAAAGGCCATAGAGCTTATCTTCTTAGCTATCTACAAAGCTCCTAAAAGCAAAACCTGTCTTCTACTTGTTTTTAATTCACTAGAGTAAATGTGGCTAACATCAGCAAGAACAAGTACAGATACCCAATAAACATTATTGTATGACTAACAATATCTCACATTTTATTGAAAATTCTTATGAACAAATATTAATGTACTTAATGTCATTTGAGCTTTAGATTAACAAGGTACACAAGGTTGATACTTCATTTTGTAGATGAACAAGCAGAAACACAGAAAATAAAAATGATTTGTCCAGAATAAAAAAGAAAAAGAAAAACAGGAAAACTCACTGAATTTGAATTTCAGACCAAAAAGAATTTTTAGCATAAGTTTGGCACTACGCTCTACCACCAAAATGCATGGGACATAATTATACCAAAAATTATTCATTACTTACCAGAAATTCACACTGAATGATGGTCAGTGTTTTCTCTAGCAACCCTAGCCCAAGGTCATATGATTTGTTAGTGTCAAGGCAAGGGGCAATTATTTCGTCATGATTAAAATGTTGACATGCTCATGTTAGTCTACATTTAAACAGAAAACTAACCGGTGGAGGTCAGGAAAAACATAAGTTGAAATGATAACAACCTGGGCAATAAAGGTTATCACAATTTCGAAGCTCTCTAGGAATAAAACAATTAAGCATAAAGTAACTACCAGAAGATATATTATGAGACATTTTAAATTCAGTGAGGGTTCCAGCTTGAGCCCAAGATGGAACGTAGGCAATTCCAGCAAACTTGTGGGGCCAGCCCCAGGAGAACCTGTTTTCCAAAAGACTTGAGAGTCCCAGGCAGAGCGATAACAAGTATTTATTGTTTGCCCACCCTGCAGTGATATAGAGTTAAACAAGACAAGTATGGCCCCTGCCTTCACAGAACAGAAAGCCTAACTGTAAAAAATCCCCCTTAAGGAACCAAGGCAACAGAAGCATCCACTTGGCCAGGTAATCAGACCTCAGAACCAGAGGAGAACGACTATTTTGAGTCTGGCAGTGTTTGTCCTGTGGACTATCCCATGTCTATCTTCATGGACTGCATCCCAGGAACAGAAAGGTTGCAAGGAGAATAAGAGAGAGGCTTCCTTGCAGCCTCTATCATTGAGAGCACTAGCAGCCTGCATTCCCCATGGCTCACAGAGCATAAGATGAACTAGATGGGGACATTTTCACCCTTCCCCACACCTCTTCCTCAGGCTTCAACATAGAAGAGAAGGGAGACATGGCAAAGCTATTAGGGGAGTGATCACTCAGGAATACACACATGAAACCCCAGGAACACTGAAACCTGCCTTGAGGGAACTTTCCAAGGCAGGAGGTGCTGTCAGTAGGTGAGGGCACAAGCTGATCTATCGGTGTTGATATGACCCCCATCAGTGCCACTGATGAGTCTTGGGAGACCTGGCTACACGAGGCAGCTAATTGCACTCGGTTGTCATTCATTGCACTGTGGAATGTCACCATGTCCATTTCAACCTTGACATTACCATGTGGCAGCATACGCGGGCTTCTTAACCTTATCTTCCTGAATTTACACCCAGTGGTTTAAAGTGCTTAAAGCATTTTTCATCATTCTAATACCAGTCATCCTAATTTTTACTCAGCTCTTTAAATACCTTGGCAAGCACATTAAAGGACAAGATGAAATATTAAATTTTCCCAAGATAAGACAACCTCCCAGTTCATAATTCTATATTGCAATAAGCCCTTTACAGAGAAATGTGAGAGAACTTTGAAATTAAATGTAACCAATTCTATCTTACAGCTCATCTAATGAGCTGCTCGGGATTTCACGTTTTCCTTTGCCACTGACACATCTGCCAAGTGATTAAAGGTGCTTTTTGAGTAGCAGAACGAGTGCAATACTTAAGACTTTCCTTAGGAACAAACATAACAAACCCAGGGTAGAGCACATTTTACTTGCTAGTGTTTTACAGGGAGAAAAAAAAAATATTTTATCACACAACAAGAATGTGTTGATTCACCCTAAACTTACAGATTATGCAAAAACATAAAGTCCTTTCCTCATCTATAAAGTGGGGTTAATAGTTTCTTAGTCATGGCAACATTCCAGTTCCAGTCATTCTTTTTTGGATATTTATTTCATTTCATTCTATTTATTTCTATAAATATCTCTAAACATTTTCACTGTCAGATTTTCTCTAACTCAGCTTACCCTTAGGTATAAAATAGTCAAAGTTGCAGTAAAATATGCTTTTTTCATATTAGCACAATTTTTGTAGATTTTTTAGTTAAAAAGTGCCTCAACTAAGTTTCCAAATCTTGCCTCCTACCCCCCAGTTCTCTTTATCTTTCAAAAACCACATGTCTTTTATGAGCTACAGCTCATGAGTTGAACCTCGGATCTGTCATACTTTCAGTGACAACATTCCCCTCTCTCATTCTCCAATAGCCACCACCTCTCTGAACTTCCTCTGCCTTTTGTAAGTCTGCATGCATGATGACCTATCATATGGCTCCCCTTGTTCTAATTACCTTCTCAAATTTTCTCTTGGCAAATACCTCAGCTTTTAGCAGTAAGTTCACATATAAGGAAATAAGAGAGGACACAAACAACTGGAAAGACATTCCATACTCACGGATAGGAAAAATCCATATTGTGAAAATGGCCATACTAACCAAAGTAATTTATAGAGTCAATGCTATCCCCATCAAGCTACCATTGACTTTCTTCACAGAATTAGAAAAAAAAACTACTTTAAATTTCATATGGAACCAAAAAAGAGCCTGTATAGCCAAGACAATCCTAAGCAAAAAGAACAAAGCTGGAGGCATCATGCTATCTGACTTTAAACTATACTACAAAGCTACAGTAACCAAAACAGCATGGTACTGGTACCCAAACAGATACATAGACCAATGAACAGAACACAGCCCTCAGAAATAATGCTGCATATCTACAACCATTTGATATTTGACAAACCTGACAAAAACAAGCAATGGAGAAAGGATTCCCTGTATAATAAATGATGTTGGGAAAACTGGCTACCCATATGCAGAAAACTGAAACTGGATCACTTCCTTACACCTTATACAAAAATTAACTCAAGATGGATTAAAGACTTAAATCTAAGACCTAAAACCATAAAAGCCCTAGAAGAAAACATAGGCAATACCATTCAGGCCATAGGCATGGGCAAAGACTTCATGACTAAAACACCAAAAGCAATGGCAACAAAAGCCAAAATTGACAAATGGGATCTGATTAAACTAAAGAGCTTCTGCACAGCAAAAGAAACTATCATCAGAGTGACAGGCAACCTACAGAATGGGAGAAAAATTTTGCAATCTATCCATCTGACAAAGGGCTAATATCCAGAATCTACAAGGAACTTAAACAAATTTACAAGAAAAAAACAACCCCATCAAAAAGTGGGCAAGGGATATGAACAGACACTTCTCAAAAGAAGACATTTATGCAGCCAACAAACATATGAAAAAAGGCTCATAATCACTGGTCATTAGAGAAATGCAAATCAAAACCACAGTGAGATATCATTTCACGCCAGTTAGAATGGTGATCATTAAAAAGTCAGAAAACAACAGATGCTGGAGAGGATGTGGACAAATAGGAATGCTTTTATACCATTGGTGGGAGGTAAATTAGTTCAACCATTGTGGAAGACAGTGTGGCAATTCCTCCAGGATCCAGAACCAGAAATACCATTTGACCCAGCAATCCCATTACTGGGTATATACCCAAAGAATTATAAGTCATTCTACTATAAAGACACATGCACACATATGTTTATTGCAGCACTGTTCGCTATAGCAAAGACTTGGAACCAACCCAAATGCCCATCAATGATAGACTGGATAAAGAAAATGTGGCACATATATACCATGGAATACTATGCAGCCATAAAAAGAGGATGAGTTTATGTCCTTTGCAGGGACATGGATGAAGCTGGAAACTATCATTCTCAACAAACTAACACAGGAACAGAAAACCAAACACCACATGTTCTCATTCATAATTGGGAGTTGAACAATGAGAACACATGGACACAGGGAGGGGAACATCACACACCGAGGCCTGTTGGGGCATGGGGGGCTAGGGGAGGGATAACATTAGGAGAAATACCTAATGGAGATGACAGGTTGATGAGTGCAGCAAACCACCATGGCAAGTGTGTACCTATGTAACAAACCTCCACATTCTGCACATGTATCCCAGAACTTAAAGTATAAAAGAAGAAAAAGAAAGTAAATAAAATAATGAAAAAGACATAGCATGTAAACAGCAAGCATAAGAAAGATGGAGAGGCTCTATTAATATCATACAAAATAGACTTTAATACAAGAAAGCTTTCCAGAGACAGGAAAATTTTAAGATGTAACAATTATAACTTTATATACACCTAATAACAGAACTCCACAATATATAAAGCAAAAGCTGATGAAACTGAAATAGACAAAAGAGTTCAAGAGTCTCACAGTCCTCTTTCAGTAATAGATAGAACAAGTAGACAGAAAATCACTAAAACTATAGAAAACTTGAATAAAATTGCTAACCAACTTGATCAAATTGACATGTATTGACATTCTACTTAACAACAGTAGGATTGTCAAGTGCACATGCAGCTTTCATCAAGATAGACTATATACCAGGCCAAAAAATAAATCACAATAAAATCTTTAAAAATGAATTCATATGGCACATGTTTATTGACCCACAACAGAATAAAATTAGAGTGCAATAACAGAAATATTTTTTAATTCCCAGATATTTGGAAATTAAGTATTACATTTTTAAATAACCCATGGGTCAGAGAAAGAAGTGACAAAACAACTCAGAAGTATTTCTAACTAAATGAAAATGAAAATGCTAGAAATTAAAATTTATGTTAGCTAAAGCAATGTTGAGAGGAAAATTTATAGTTTCAAATGCTTATATTTGAAATGAAAAAGGCTTGAAATCAATTATGATTTTCCTTCAAGAAGCTAGAAAAGGAACCAATTAAGTTCAAAATAAGTAAAAGCAAATGGGTTAAAAATAAGTAAAAATTAGACAAAAGATAGAGAAAATTAATGAAACTAAAAGTAGCTCTTTAAAAAGATCAATAAAAGTGATACATATCTAGCTATATTGATTAAGAACAAAGAGAAAACACACAAATTACTAGCATCAGGAATGAAGGAGAGGACATTACCACAGATCCTACAGGCATTAAAAAGAGAACAGGCAAATTATCATGAACTACTTTATGCTAATAAACACAACTATATCAATGAAATGGACAAAGTCTTTGGAAGACACAAATAACCAAAACTAACTCAGGACAAAATAGAAAACCTGACTGGCCCCATATTAATTTTTAAAACTTGAAATTGTCATTTTAAAGCTTTTGCATTAAAAAATGTGTGCCCAGAGTGCCTCACAAATGAATTCTAAGAAATATTTTTAAAAGGAAATAATGCCAATCTTACACAAACCCTTTCAGAATATACAGGAGAAGGGAATATTTTTCTATTAGTTTTCTGAGGCTGCTGTAATAAAATGCCACAAACTAGGTGGCTTAAAAAAATGGAAATGTATTCCTTCACAGTTCTGAAGTCCTGAAGTCCAAAATCAACATCACTGGGCCAAAATCAAGATGTGGACAGAGTCACATTCCCTCTAGCAGGTCTGGGATAGAAGCCTTCTCTTGCCTCTTCCAGCTGCTGGTGGTTGCTGGCATCCCTCTGCTTCTGGCCTCATTAACACAAGCTATGTCTACTTGATCACATTGCCTTCTCTTCTGTGTGCCTTCTCCTCTTCTGTCTGTGTGAAATCTCCCTCTGCCTCCAATTTACAAGGACATTTCTGATTGTGTTTACAGACAACCTTGATAATTCAAGATAATATTATATCAAGAACTTTAACTTAATCATATCTGCAAAACTTTTTATCCATAAAGGTAATGTTTAGAGACTCTGGGGACTTGGGGCATCGACAAATCTTTGGGGCTATTATTTAGCTTACCACACTTCCCAACTTATTTTATAAACCCAGTGTTCCAATACCAAAAGCATTCAAAAATATCAAAAGAAAACAATATCACTCATAAATTTAGATATAAAAATTCTTAAAATATATTAGCAAATCAAATTCTGCAACATATGCAAAGAATGATACATTAAATTTGGGTAAGTTTTATGTCAGGAATGGTTGATTTCATGTCTGAAAATCAATATAATTTATCATACTAATACAGTAAAGTAGGAAAAGCTATGATGATCTCAATAGACGCAAAAAAATTGTATTTAACAAAATTGAACAGTCATTCATGATAAAAAATTCTAATCAAACTAGAAAGAGAGGGAAAGTTCTCTAATTTGATAAATAGAATTTGTGAAGATCCTGCAACTGATATCATACTTAATGGTGAAACACTGCATGTTTTCTACTTAAGATCAGTAACCAGGCAAGAATTTTTGCTCCCCCTGCTTCTATGCCACATGTTACTCAAAGTCCTAGTCAATGCATTTGGCAAGAAAGGGAAATAAAGGCATGTAGTTTGGAAAAGAAGAAATTAATCTGTCTATATTTTTAAATAACCTATTATTAATATGTATATATAAAATCCCAAAGAACATAAAAAATGCTACCAGAACTAATAAGCGAATTTAGTAAGGTCACAGGAATCAGGTGACTATGCAAAAATCAATTACCTTTCTGGTTGGACACGGTGGCTCACACCTGTAATCCCAGTACTTTGGGAGGCGGGTGGACCCCTTGAGCTCAGGAGTTCAAGACCAGCCTGGGCAATATGGTGAAACCCCATCTCTACAAAAAATACAAAAATTAGCCAGGTGTGGTAGCACACGCCTGTAGTTATAGCAACTTGAAGGGCTGAGGTGAGAGGATAGCTTGAGCTTGAGATGTTAAGGCTACAGTGAGCCAAGATGATGCCACTGCACTCTAGCCTGGGCGACAGAGGGAGACTCTGTCTCAAAGAAAAAAAAAATCAATTACGTTTCTAAATACCAGAAACAACTAGAAAAAAATTTTTTAAGATTCATTTATAATAACAAAAAAAATTCTTAGGAATGAATTGGATCAAACATATGCAATATCTTTACATTAATAACTATGAAATATTACTGAGACAAATTAAAGAAGATGTAAATAAATGGATAAATGCGCCATATCTGTGGACTAGAAAATTCAGTCTTGTTAAGAAGCCATTTCTCCTCAAATTGACCTATAGATTCAATGCAACCTTAATCAAAATCCCAGCAGACTTATTTGTAGAAAGTCACGAGTTGATTCTAAAATGTATTTGAGAGTGCAAAAGACCTAGAATAACCAGAATATTTTGAAAAGGAACAAAGGAAATTACTGATCTCAAACTTTCTATAAAGCTACATTAATCAGGACAATGTGGTATTGGCATAAATGTAGACATATGAATCAATGGTACAAAAATAGAGTCCAGAAATAGATCCACACTTATATGATCAATTTCTTTACAAAGATGCTAGGGTAACTCAATAGGGAAAGGATAGTCTTTTTAATATGTGATGCTACAAAATTGGATATCCATATGGGGTAAAAAATGAACCTTGACTCTTACCTCACACCATGCATAAAAATTAATTTGAACTGGATGATAAACCTAAATGTAAAAGCTAAAGTAGGATATAATCTTTGTTTTTGTTTTATTGTTGTTGTTAATTTTTAATTTGTTTATTTTAGAGTCAGGGACTCACCCTGCTGCCCAGGATGGAATGCAGTAGTGCAATATGTCACTGTAACCTCGAACTCCTGGGGTCAAGCAATCCTCCCGCCTCATAATCCAAAGTAGGACTAAAGGTGCATGCCTCTACACCAGCTAATATTTTTACTTTTTGTAGAGACAGAAGCTTGCTATGTTGTCCAGGTTTATCTTGAACTCCTGGCCCCAAGTGAACCTTCCACCTCGGCCTCCCAAAGTGCTGGAATTATAGGCATGAGCCACCACATCCAGCCCAGGCAAGCTTTGTTACCTTAAGGTAGGCAATGATTACTTAGATATAACATGCACACAAAAATACAAACCATAGAAGAAAAATTGAATACTCTGGACTTCACCAAAATAAAATACTTGGGCTTATTAAATGGTATCATTAAGAAAATGAAAATGCAAGTCACAAAATGGGAGGAAATTTTTGTAAAACATATCGGCAAAGGATTTGAACTCAGAATATCTCAAGAATTCTGCAACATGACAATAAGTAGATGAACAACTCAATTAAAAATTGAGCTAAAGATTGAATGGAGACTTCACAAAAAAGTCATACTAATGGCCAACGAGTACATGAAGAGATGCTCAGCATCACTAGCTATCAGAGATGTGAAAATTTAAACCATGAGACACCTCCAGCCACACATTAGAATAGCTAAAATTAAAATAAATGGCAATATCAAGTACTGGGGAGGATTTAAAGCAACTGTAAATTTCATGCGCTGTTGGCGGAAGAGCAAAATGCTACAGCCACTTTGGCAGACAGTTGATAGTTTCCTATAAAATTAAACATCCCATATGACCTAGAAATTCCATTTCAAGGTATTTACCCAAGAGAAATAAAAGCATAGGTGCACACACTGTACATGAATCTTTATAGCATCACTATTAATTATAGCTCCAAGCTGAAAAGAGTTCAAATGTCTATCAACTGGCAAATGAAATTCTATTCAGTAATATAAAGGAGCAAACTATGAATATACATGTGATACTAAATAAATCTTAAAAACATTATGCAAGGGGAAATAAGCCAGACACAAAAGGCTGTATACTATATGAGTCTGTTTTTATGTAACTCAATAAAAGGCAAAAAACCTATGACAGAAAGCAAATCAGTGATTGTCTGAGGCCAGAGAGGGAGGTCAGGGTTGCCTACAATGTTGGGGTGATAGAAATGTTCCATATGTCGATTATGGTGGTGGTTACATGGATACACATTAGCCAAAGCTTCTTAGACCACACACTTAAAATGAACAAATTTTACTGTATGTAAATTATACCTCATATAACATAATAAATATAATAAAGCTGTTAAAAATAAAATATATGCATACATATGCACAAAAATGAACCCAATCAGTAATCACAGTGGCTATCACTTATTGAATGTATGTTAAATGATAGCTACTTCACATGCATTATCTGTAACCTCACAGCTTTGCAAGATAGGTATGAAACCTACTTTCCAGATGAAAAAATAAAATATAATAAACTGAGCTGCAGAGATGTTCAGTGACCTGCACACAGTCACACAGCTGGTAGGCGGCTGAGCCAGTGTTCAAATGCAGGTTGGTGTGTCTGCTGCATATGCCCATTTCACTGTCTGTCCCCCGGTTTGGGGAAGCCAGAGTGGCAACAGGACAGCTTGGGGGAGCTTCAGGCCTATAGCCTGAGGCCCTGCCTTGAATGCAGTCAGAACGTAAGGAAGCTGCAGTCCTTATCTGCCAGGCAGCTTATTGAGACCCCAGAGATGGAAACCTCAGAGAACATATGTTTTTCCTTGAGCAGTACACAGGGAATGTATGTGCTTAATCTTCCATTCCAATGTCCAAATTCTGCAGCCTGTGTCTCATCTGTCACAGCAAAAGCTGACAAGACAATTGTAATGCCAGCATCATGAAACGTCCCTGAATTCTTGTGGGGAGATAGAAAGACTACCATTTAGACACAAGAGTGAGGACTAGTGCTTCAGCATCAAACAGAAAGAACACCTTCTCTAAGTGCCACAGGCACTGCAACTGTGATTCTCCCCTTGCTTTGATCTTTTTTCTGTGACAGGAGCGATTCACATTCTACAGCTGAAACTCCTGTAATCATAGCAACCACTAACTGAGCGTTTGCTGTGTGGTTCACACTTCGCACCCATTATCTTATTTATTCAACACAACCAGTCTGTGAAGTACACACAACTATTAGTTCAGTCTTACAGATGAACTGAGTCTCAGAAAGATTAAGATTTCCACCAGGTGTCCAGCCTCCTACACGTCGCTAAGTGCTTTAGGGAAAATGGGCCCCAGCTCCAGCCCTAAGCGGTGTATCAAGATAAGTTTACGCCAATTGTGGTAGCTCCTTTTCCCTTCCAGGGTGAGGCTTGGGCAGAGGCAGTTCTGGCCAATGAGACATGAAAGAAAGTTGGCTGAAGGGATTCTGGAAAAGTTTTCTTGCTAATGCAATGAGAACTTGAGAAGAAATACTTGGAGAACAAAACATTTTTGCATTTCTGCTCCATGTCTGGGTCCATGGCAGCCACCTTGGGACCAAGAGGAGATCCCAGCTGGCATGCTGAGGATGGTAGAACCACACAGAAGGAGAGAAAGAAAATGCTGGGCCTGTGAAGATGCTGCTGAACTTCTGAATAACCACCCCTGCAACTGGCCATATTATTTAAGAGCACTGTGTCTGGATTTTTTGTTACTTGCAGCCTAAAGCATCCTATCTGGTTTCATCCTTTCTCTCTGCACTTTGAGAAGCACCTAATAAAATTAGGCTGTGAAGTTTGTCCTGGCTTTGCTCATTTATTAAGACAATCTGGGTTGCACTGTGATTTTGGACTAATGGTTTGTGATATGATTGGCACTGTTTGTACTCTTCCTGGTATTTCTAACATTCTGCAGCTTTGATGAGCTGCTTACGGAAGAGAATCAAATGCTGTGGACTTCAACCAGCCCTTTACTGGTAACTCTGTCCTTTTGTCTGCTTCAGGCCCCAGGTGCTCTCTTCCACATGCCAGCCCCACATCCCCACACCCCACAACCAAGGGTCCTGTGGCTGTCAGGATTTATCAACTAATCCCTATTTAGGTATTCACTGATCAATAATGTGTTTAAGGTCTGAAGCTTTCCAGAGATTTTGTATTTTGCAAGTAATGTCCAAAATTAGAAAGAAAAAACAAGCTGAACCCAAAAGAATCAAGCTAAGATGCCAGCCCCTGTACGCGCAACCAAGAAAAACGTCCATACAGATCAAACTCCTTAGGACTTGTTCTCACCTTCCGTCCTTAAAGGTCTCTGGGTAACCCCATTTTCTTTCTCCTACTTCAACTATTTTGGTTTCTTCTTTTTAATTTTTTTTTCTTTTAGGGACAGGATCTCACTCTGTCATCAAAGCTGGAGTTCAGTGGTACCATTATAGCTCACTACAGCCTCAAACTCCTGGGTTCAAGTGATCTTCCTGCCTCAGCCTCCCAAGTAGGCAGGACTACAGGCATGTACCATCATGCCCAGCTAATTTTAAAAAAAATTTTATTATTGTAGAGACTTGATCTTGCTATCCTGGCCTGGCTGGTGTTGAATTCCTGGACTCAAGTCATCCTCCTGCCTCGGCCCCTCCAAGTGCTGGGATTACAGCATGAGCCACCATGCCCAACTCACTTGCATCTTAACCAGCTGCTTTCTTGGTGCTGATGGCCCTGCCCCATGAGAGTAAGTCTTCTTAAATCTTTTTAAATCTTGAACTTCTATTTTCATCTAGGCTCCCCACCTTACTTCACTTCCACTGGCACCTACTAACTCCCACTTTCCACAGTCCTGATAAAAATAATAGACCTCTGGGGGCAGCTGAGCAGCCTCTTGAGTCACTTTATTGGCACGGCGGCCAAGATCTCCTAAGACCGTCTTCTCTAGAAGCAGCTTAGCTTGAATTACACCATGCCTTGGGGGACTGTAGCTGCAAGCTGCATCTAGATAGTGGGACTCTTCCAGACTCAAGAGGAAAAAACAATCTCAGCTGGTGCAATTTGTCTCGCTTTGATTTTGTCCCTGTGCTGCATTCCCAAAGGCACCAGCATCTCCAGCTTACCAAAAATGCAGGTGATGGAATTTTTCAATGTTGACTTGGCCTGCAATTGAGACTGAGCCAGTTGTAGACACAGTCCTTGATGTGGCCCTGCTCCTGCTTACTGTCTGCCATCACTCAGTTTACTTTTCTGTATGCCGTGTGTCACTACAGCAGAGGCTTCTACCATCCTTCCTTAGCAATAGAAATCTGATGTTATTAGAGATGTCAATATTACCAACTAAAATACTACATTGTTTGGCCCCTTAGCAATGGAATATGGCCATGTCACCAAGCTCTGCCTTGCCTTAGCCTGGGTTCCCAAGAAAACAGAACCTGACATAAAACTATATGTGCTACTAATTTGTTGGAGAATGCAATCCCAGGAAAGCAGAGGTGAGGGACAGGGGAAGTAAAGCAGGGGAGGAGAGAGAGCCTATATGAGGATATGTTACTAAGCTGGACAGTGCAACTGACTGCTTAATTTCACGGGGCCCCGCCCCAAAAGGCAACTGAACTACTGGAGGTGGGGGCTGGAGGGGAGAAGAGCTTATCTCATTCACACTGACTGCTCTCATCTCCCCTTAGCCAAAGCTCCACCTGTGAAGCAACAACTCATCTGCCTTTCTGGATCATGCTAGCATGGGTGTCACGTGGACTCTCTGTGGCTCCTCAGGTCTCAGCAACAATAGGGAAACCTTGGAACAAGATACGCAGGATGCAGGCAGGAGGCAAGGTGCTGTCGGGCTGGATCAGAGTCCATGCAGGGGTGGCTGAGTGGCCAAGGGCCACAGAGGTGGGTGAGGTCAACAAAAGGCCAGTGAGAGTCGTCTGGAACATGGCCAGTGGTGGGGTGTGACTTCTGGAAAGTTTTTTTAAAAGAAGACCAGCCCCTCTTCCTCCTGCTTCCTCCCTGGAATGGAGACATGATGGCTGCTGAAGCTCCTTCCATCTTGCACCATGAGGTGAGTTTGAGGATGAAAGCCAGCGACCAAAGATGAAGAGCAAGAAGTCTCAAGGAGCCTGGGTCCTTGGCACTGCACAGCGCCACTGGGCTCATGTCATCATCCATCCTTCTAATATGGCAGAAAAAATAAGCTTCTAATTTGCTTAAGGGACTCTCACTGGGTGTCTGTGACTAGTAGCTGAATGCAATATCTAAACGACGCAATCACTGTCTGAAAACATCCTTTTTTGTTTCTCTTTTTTAACCTATGGGCCAATAAAATAACATAAGCCCTTCTTTAAGAGAGGAAAATATGAAATCAGACACAATTTGAACAGAGTCAGCTTTAATGAAACGATGAAGCAAATCACTTGGAGTTAAAGTGCTTTTGTTTATTCCAGTGCTATTCTATAAAATGCCTTGCTCTGTGCTGATAAGGAAGCTGAATTAATGGCTTAGTGAACTAAACAATTTGAAAAAACGATTTGCTAACTAATCAGATTGAAGCAAAGGGCTCAAGTCACATAAATTTGACTCTTCTCTTTCCTCCTTCATAAGTCAGAGGTTCCTTCCCTGCTATCAAATGCAAAGAGATAAGGGCCCTCTTACAAAATTATTTTGCTACAAAGCCCATCTTTACCCTATTAAAATGTATGCTTCCTGTGTTTATGGAGGTCAAAGTTTGTGAAACAATGTTTGAGTTAATAGTGGGAAATGAGGAAACATGGCGAATGTAAGTTTAGGGATAACATAGGAATTTAACTTAATGTTAATTTTTGTGTATATAACTAGCTTAAAATGAACTCACTATTTTTCTTTCCCATTTCCTGTCTTCAGTTGAGTTGTTTGTTTTATACTTACTACACAAATTATAGTTGAACTTTTGATATTTTTAAGGAAGCTATTACTATGTATTAAATGAGTGCTGCAGTTATTTTAACAAGCTGGAATCAAATAATAATGCACCTGACAGGTTGGAAACCCACGTCTATGTGATATTTCATTCTTCCACACTACTTCAGCATCCCCCTACAAGAAAAGCCCTCGTATTTGTATAGAAAATCGCCCTCAACCCCCAAGAATGTCCATTCCCTTACAGGATATCTCTAATCAACTGTTACAATTTTTTCCCATAGGGCCTTCCCACAGATTCATCATTCTTCTCAATACAGAGCTCAGGGTGGCATTCACCAATCAACTGGCATTTCCATGAAAGATGACACCTATTTGCCATCCCTGATACACCTGTGCATGTGTATGTGTGTTTTTAAATCATTAAATTATAAACTGTAAAAGAGAGACATGAGAATACATCCATCTTACTTCACTAAAACTTGTTACCTGAGGCTGCGTGCAGTGGCTCACACCTGTAATCCCAGCATTTTGGAAGGCTGAGGCTGGAGGATTGATTGAGGCCAGGAGTTCAAGACCAGCCTGGGCAAAATAGTGAGGGTCCATCTCTACAAAAAAATTTTAAAAATTAGCCAAGTGTGGTGGCATTCACCTGTAGTTTTAGCTACCCAAGAGGCTGAGGTGGGAGGATCGCTTCAGCCCAGGAGGCCAAGGCTGCAGTGAGCCGTGATAGCAACACCGCACTGCAGCCTGGGTGACAGAGAAAGATCCTGTCTCTTAAAAAATAATTTTTTTTAACCTGACTTATCAGAAGATGATCCAGCTAACCCATCAGTACTTATGAACAAGTTCTATAGAAATATCCATCTCCAGGGGCCTCTATTGTGCCCCTCAGACCAGTCCGTAGCTGATTACTGTCCACCGACTCTAAGGCAGAGTCCACAACCACCATAATTGTATGCAACTCCTAACATATTTGTTCACAAGGTTATTCAAAATGTAATGTGTTTATGAATAAATAGGCATGGCCAAGAATCATACTTGTCCTGTGAAATACTTACCTGAGGAGCTCAGGCCTAAGGTTTATCAGTAAGGAAACCATTGTAATCTTGGATGGAATATCCAAGAAGCTAAGAGGCCCATTCTTATTTTGTCATAGCAAAGAGTTGCCCCGTAAAATAGGAGAACAGATTCCATTTTAGGGCCAACCTTCTGCGGTCATGACCATAGAACACAAAATGTAAATAAACTGGCAGTGTTGCCAGGCCTCCAGTCGCAGAGGTCCCTCAGCATTCTGAAAGTGATTGATTTCAATCTTTCTGTAGTTCTTCATCAAGCTTCAGTTTGTTATTGTGGTTGTTGTTTCTCTAAGCGTATAATACCTTTCCAGGGCAGGAGTGGTTTAACTCAACAGTATGTTCCGGGATCTAGTCACAAAAATGAAATCTACAAATATATCAGCATTGGACCCTGGAATGGATACAAAAGGGTCAGGGAGCCTCCTGGAGTCCATTAGGATCTGATTGTCCCCAGCCCCCAATCCACTTCATACATCAGTAAACATGTCCCAAACAGACAAGTCAGTGCCCACTCAGGGTCTCCCGACTCAATCGATTCTAAGTGCTTTCCAAGATACTTCTCATGTTTTTAAAATGAGGTATAAATTGAATAAAAATCTCAATGGGCCTTTTCCAGTTTTAACTTCATGTGTGCTGCTTTAACTTGAAAAGAATTTCTTTCCTCCTATTTGAGTCTTTGAAACTAGAAACAAAGGGGGTGTTACCCAAGTTTTCCAGGAAAAAATGTGATTCAAGAAGGGGTTGTATGTATTATCTTCAGAATATGAGAATGTACACAACACATATTACACATACGCATACAAAATACACACTAACACACCCACAATTATTGTGAACAATTATACACTATGTTTTCATATTTTATATATGCATGTGGCTGTATATGAATATTTGAGCTTTTTTAAAATGTCAGAACACAGCTTTTTGGTCATCTTTTTGGCATTGGAAATGGGCATTTGGCTCAGCCTGAGGGTAAGGCTGGTCCTCCCCAGGGTGAGATGCAAACCTCTTCCTTGAAAACTGCACTTGACCAGAGTGGAAAACCTGCAGCCACTCAGTCTTCACACAGCTGGAATTGTTCTTCCTTTTCCCAGCGACGTCTGCAAAATGAGCGCCAGGCCTCTGAGCACCACCGTGCCTGCCACCCCTGTGGGCCCTTCCTCCTCCCCACAGGGCCCTCAGGACACTCCTAAGTCAAAAGAAGACCCCTGAACACCTCGCAGGGAAGTGGGGAGGCAGAGTTCAGGACACAGCCTACCGTCTGTATCTGATAATATTGGGTGGCATGCAGGCCGTGGTTACAAGGCACGTGAGACAAGCCAGCACACCAGGGTCTTCACTTTTAGTCCTAAAGCCAATCATCCTCTAAAAGGGGACCCTCATTCCCTGAGAGACTGCTTGTCCTTGTTTAGTCCTGGTATTAACTGAGGTCTGACTGCTGGGAAGGCACATCTTCTCACGCCAGGCTAGCTCGCGTTCAGTATGGCTTCTCTCCTCCAGCCATGGACTGAATCAGCTAATTATTTCCCATCATAACCTACCCATTGTGGGTAGTCCAGGGGTCCAGCAGCACCAGATGTTCACCCTGGCTTGACTACAGGAGAAAACATGAGGGCCTCCCCTCCTTTTCCCGCAGCATAAAGGGAGAAACATCCGCAATGGCTCTTGATCCTTTCAGGACCCCTCAGCACCCCACGGAAAAAAAGTTGCTGCAACATTTGTAAAGTCTCTTCCCTTTAGAGGAACTGCCTTTGGGTACTAATAATTTATGCATCATTCTCTTTGCAAGCACATACTTAAATAAACACACCAAAAGTGGGAATTAGAGCAAGAGAGACAACCCCAACCCCCATAACCTCCCACCCCCACACCCCCACCCAACCCCCTTGTCTGGAATTCTGGCTTCTTGTCTAATTTGTTATTCTTAATAAAAAATTACTCACAGGAAGAGTGAATACCAAGACTCTCCCCTTGGGTTGGTTTTAGTACTTTTTTAATTTGACAGATAAAGCAGTTAGCAATTCAAGAGAGAGCTGAGCAGTTTCGATTCCCTCACCCACTTTATTGATTCATAACAGTATTCACATTTACACAGTTCATGGTATTCTGAAATCATTTGTAAGCCCTTAGTTGTTATCATCCCTCAAGGGTCACCTTGCTTTGTAAGCCAACAAACACCATTGTAGACAGGAAGTGAATAATTTAAAGCGATAGAGTGAGTCAGAAACAGAATCAGAAACAGGAATTTTGTCAGTTTTAAAATTCTGGGGCTATCTACTATGTAGACTTGGAAGGATAGTCAGAGTGGTAACTGGGTGGGGAGTTGACATGCATGTGACTCTTTATAATCAGGATGACAAACTTCCAGCAAAATTATGAATTTTGCCTCACTGTGAATCATTCATTCATTTATTCAGCAACCGTGGGCTGGGCACCTACTCTGCACCAAGTACTGTGTTAAATACTAAAAATGCAAAAGTACATAGTCTAATAAAAGAAAGAGACATGAAGTCACAGTGACTTTGAAGTAAGCTCAGTACCTGCTATAAGAGAGGAAAGAAGCTCCCCATCTATCCTCTTTTATTGAGTGGCTGGGACTCGCAAATCAAAATGAGAAAAGATTAACATGAGGAAAAAACAGAATTTATTTATATATGCAATAGATGTACTCATTGGAGAACAGTGATGAGTAACTCAATGGGATGTTAGAATGTGGAGCTTATATACCATCTTAACAAAAGGCAATAAATTTATGGAGAAATGACAAAGCAAGCAAAAGGGGATTGGGACTTCTAGGGGTGGTAAATTGTGGAAAGGTAAATATATGGGGAAAATTAATGGATGATAAGAGTTATTTTGGTAATGTTTGTTTGTGCAGACCCAACCTGGTGCCCTCTTTGTCTCTAGTGATAATTGTCGTTTCTCAACTCTGGATATGGGAAAAGGAAAGGGGAACAACTTCACCAAGGGAAATTCATATTCTGCCTTAAGTTAGGAAAAGGGAGGATAGAAAGCTTTTCCTCCATTTGCTGCTTCTCAATCACCTTCAGCTTAAAATTATTCTTAAGCCAAAGTGGCATCTTCAAGGTTGGCATATTCTGATCCCCTGCATTGCAATCTATTCATAGTATTATGGGAACAGCCTTAGGAAGACTCAGTTCTCCCTGGGGGAGGAAGAGAGTGGTTGATGAATATTCTCCGAGGAAGGGACAGTTGAGCCAGTCATGGGCAGTAAGTTTTTTAAGTAGAAAAATGAGGGAAATACATGCCACGCAATAAGAACTACCTAAGCAAAGGCAGAGCAGTGTGTGAGAACTTGGGCCACTGGGCTATGTTGTGCGGGGAGGGCTACTACACATCGGGAACCAGAGTAGGCTCTTGGGACACAGGACAGTCTCCTGGCGGTGGGTGGTAGGCAAGGAGTAAGAATGAATGAAGACAGGCAATAAGAAGCCAGAGAGGAAAAAGTAATATTGCAGAGGGCTGAGAAAAGATCAAGAAACAAGAAAGGAACAGCAACTAGTTTTCTGACCCTTCAGAAAGAGTTAGATTAGGGAAGAAATAAAAAGAGATTCTGCTGACTCTTTCTCCTACACACACAGCTGGCCTCAATCCTGATTCTTTAACAAAGCAAAAAAGGAAATACAATAGCATCTTCTATCACCTCTTATTATTGAAGTAGAATTTAATTTTTAAAAATATGATTCATGGGGTAAATTACTACTTTCCATTTTTCCAAGAAAACCCATTTTAGAGGTTGACCTTGATTTCTACCTATTCAATAAAAGTGAATTTTACTCTACGCTGAAATCCCTAGGAAGCAAGCCAAATGTGTCCCACTGCTCATCGTTGTCAAAAGTGACTGGGCTAATGATGCATGTAGAAGAGAGAAGAGCTGGATTTGCATGCCATGTTCTCATCACAGTTTGTTTTGCAGACTCTAGGCATATGGGGGAAAAAATGTTTTTAAGGAAAATAAGTGATGATGTCCCTGGCTGAGTTTGGTATAACTTAGATCTGTGCCTGCATATTCCAAACAAGAAGGCTAGTGTGGTAAGAGCTTAGAAAGGATGGTGGCAGCCAGAAAGGAATCAGAGTAGACGCGAGGGGACTCTGCAGATTGTAGGAGAGAGCCATGTGGATGTCTGGGAAGTGATAAGGAGTGGGGGGAGTCAAGTTGGAATCCACAGGACTTGCTTGAGGATTGGGATGTGGGTGTGAGAGAAAGGGAAGAACCACTTGAGTCCTTTGCCAACCCTCCCTCTTCTGCCCAACTTTAGGATATGGAAAGGGCCATGGGTCTCTTCTCTTCTCCATGCACACACTCTCTAGAGGTGATTCCATCTTATCTCAGGCTTTACGTACTACCTGTGTTCCAAACTGAGACCTGAATGCCTTCTTGATAGCTCCATTTGGATACATAATAGTCCACCTCAAATACAATATGCTCAAATGGAACTCTTAACCACTGGTCCTCACCCCACCATGAAGCCTCCTCCTATAGCCTCCCTTGTCTTGGTTAGAGAGGCCCTATATACATGGTTAAGAGCACAGGGTTCTGCATCTAGCCTGTCTGGGTTCAAATCCCAGCTCAGCCACTTGCTGGTTATCAGACATTAGACAATTTGCTTAACATCTCTGTGCTTCAACTGTAGAATGGAGGGATAGTAACGGAACCTGCATGCTATGGTCTGAATGTTTATGTCCCCCAAAATTTCCTCTGTTGCAATCCTACCTTCCAAGGGGATGGTATTAGGAGACAGAACCTATGGAACATGATTAGGTCCATGAGGACAGAGCCCTCATAACCAGGATTAATGTCCTTATAAAAGAAACTCCAGAGAACTTGTTTCCCCTTTTACCATGCAAGGACACAGTAAAGGCACCATCTATGAACCAGAAAGCAAGCCCTCACCAGACACTAAATCCACCAGCACCTTGAGGTTGGACTTCCCAGCCTCCAGAGCTGTGAGTAATACATTTCTGTTGTTTATAAGCCATCTCCTGTCTATGGTATTTTGGTATAGTCGCCTGAACATGCTGAAACACTACATCATGGCATGGTTGTGAGGATCCAATGATTTAATCTTTACAAAATACTCAGAACAATGGCTGGCACATGGTGAAGCCCAGTGTATTTTCTACTATGTTTATGCCACTATGCCCAGTTGCTCATGCTCTGAAATCATCCCTGAAATACCATTCACTCAAAAAAAAAGAGGTTTGTCCAATAAAAGTAAAATTATGTCTCAAGAGGGCTACACCCATTATGTAATTATTATCTAGTTATGTGAGTTAGGGCAATGGAAAGAGCATGTTATTTGGAATCAGATAAAAACTGATTCCAAATCTTCCTTCTACTGCTTACAATCTGGTGTCCTTGGAAAGCTATTTAAAATTTCTAAGCCTCAGAATTCTCATACTTAAAATAGGAAAAATATTGTGTATCCTTCAGGGTTCTTGTAAACTTTAAATAGCATAATGTATATAAAGCTTCAGCTCAGTGCCAGATAATAGCTACTATTATTAAGATCAAGGATTTGGCTTTCTGAGCTTCAAAGTAGTCTTGTAGCATCAAAAAAAAAAAAAAAAAAGGAAGCAATTGACAATAGATTCCTCTCTAAAAGATCCATTGGTCATTTGGGAAAACAAAAAGGCAAAAGCCTTTTGGGAAGCCCCACACTGCTGCCAGAGCGAGGAGGCAGCCTGGGACTGTGACATGGGCCAAGGTAAGGGTAGTGTGGGAGACAGTCAAGCCTCCGATTACAGGTGCCATTTCCCAGGGGTCACCTTAGTCATCAGCCCAGACCCCAGGGCCAGGGCACACTGTGAACCCATTTTCAACTGTCTGCCTCCAGTTCTCAAGAGCAGAACAAAACCATTAGTGTTTAATATTTAAACAAAAACCTTTTATTATTAGTCACTTTAAGCCCGAGTGATGATTATTAAAACATAATGGATAGGGTCTTATTTTTAAAGCTTGATTTTTAATGACGGAGATAGAAATCAGAACTAAAAAAAGATTGAGCTCCCTTGTTCTCTAGAGAGTGTTCTTTCTTCAGGTCAGAGCCTTGGGGAGATTTCCTGGCTCCTCTAAAAGCTGGAGCTGCCTTTCTCACCCCAGAAATCTGTCTCTTTACATATGTAGGCAGAAGAGTGTCCCCAGGAAGAACCTGGACACTTCCCACATGGCACACTAGGCTGACTTCCCACATGTGGGAACTTAGGGCCACGGCCAAGGTAAGAAGCCAGTGCTGCTACCAGCCGCCAGCCACAGCTCCTGAGCCCTCGGCCATGGGACATCTGACCTGCCCTGTGGCAGACGACTCCAGGTACAGGGTCCCAGGTATTTGGAATAAGCTTATATTTTTATGGCTGGTCACTTCTGGGGGGTTTTGTGAAGTTGGTTGATTCTTCTTTATTTACTAGGACAACAGAGCCTGCTCCACACACTGGAACCAGAGGTGGATGAGGACTGAAGGAGGAAGAGGAGAAGGCAGAGGGCCTGGCCCAGCCTCTTCACTCCGCCGACCCTTGCAGGTGTCAGTTCAAAGTCCTGAGTGGAGCTCCCGGATGACTGCACAACCAGGGGCCAAGCAGATTAGCCGACTCCAGTGGAGCAGGCTAGAGACCTATAACTGGGAGTGGGGGAATCCCTTGAATTATAAAATCAAAAAATATAAAATTCCAGGCCAGGCATGGTGCCTCATGCCTGTAATCCCAACACTTTAGGAGGCCAAAGTAGGAGAACTGCTTGAGCTCAGGAATTTGAGACCAGCCTGGGCAACCCCATCTCTACCAAATAGATAATATATGTAATATATGTATAACTTATACATATAAATATTATATATATGTTATAACTGTACTCCTAGGAGTTATATATATTACATATAGTTTTATATATATATATTTCTATATATAGAGCTACATATATATTTTATGTATAATAGTTTATATATTATATATAACTCCTAGGAATATAGTTATAACATATGTACAGTTGTTATAACATATATACAGGAATACAGCTATAACATATATAAATATATAACATATATTACTATATATGTTATCTATCTGTAAATATTATCTATATATTACTATATATGTTATCTATCTGTAAATATTATCTATATAGAGCTATATGTGTGTAACTGTATTTTATATATATGCATAACTCCTAGGAATACATTTATAACACATATGTATAAATATAATATATAGTTTTATATATATATAACTGCTAGGAATACAGTTTAATAAGTCATGTGCATGACATGTGAAGAAAATAAGAAAATTCTATTGAGAAACATAAGATGTTTGACTGCAGGGAAAACTACATCCTCTTTTTTAACATGTACTATATATTGTAAAAATAACAATTCTTTGAAATAAAACTAAATTTAATGCAAATCCAAATCAAAAATCATTTGGGACTTTTTTCTTTGTTATGGAAAAAAATTTATTTCAAATTTCTTCTGAATGAATAAGCATGCATAAATAGCCAGGCAAATTAATGAGAGAGCATTTGTCCTATTGGATATTATAAGCATACAAGTATAAACATTAAACCATTATATAATAACAGAAAGCCCAATAGCACAGAATCCATAATTCAGAAACAGACTCATGTGTGTGTGAGAACTTGATATATGATCAAGGTGGACTATCAACAAAATGGGTTGGATAAACTGACTAATCATTTGGAAAAAATAGAAATAACAAATCTCTATGCCCAAATTAAGCTTCAGAAGGAGCAAATACCTAGACATAAAAATATACATTTTTATTAAAGTACTGAAATAAAACTTAGGTAATTGATTTATAATCTTAGCACACAACTTTTTAGATGGTCACTTGACCCTATGTATTAGTATTTTAAAGTTTGAATCAACAATTCCATTCGTGGGATTTTTTTTCCCCCGAAGCCATAATGGGTCAAGGTGACAGAGAAAGATATACAAGTCTGGTCATTAAGCATTTTTGTAATGGTGAAAAATTGGAAACAACTTAAATGTTGATTAAATAAATTATAGCATACCCATACAATGAAACCCAAACAGCCAATTAGAATAATGATATATCACCACACTGATACTCCATTGCCTGAGCACTGTTGGTAGGAAAGCCTGCTCCTGTTACAGCCCTGACAGCAGTTTATGTCTATGCCTGCTGATCCATCCTCACCAACACCAGGGGGTGTTGTTCACATGCTTGTTATCTAGAGCTGTCCTTTCTGCCCATCAACAGACAGTTCTGCCCATGGGCACAGGCAATTGGTCTCAACTGCGCATGGTTTGCCCTGTAATGCCCTCCAAATGACCAGCTGAAAAGATTGATAGTCTAGAGCAGAGGACCTGCGGCACCTGATCCACAGACCAGACAGTTAGGAGGCTTCTTTGTCCTCCCAGAAGTGCAGGCAAAGTTTTGGTGTTCATCAAATGAGTGATCAATGACAGGTTATCACACCTACTGCAAAAATATATGGCACTTCCCTCTCCACCTCCACAGTGGGCTGTGAAAATTAATTGAGTTCAGGCTGTGAAAAACTTAAGCTGCTACATGAAATGCAAAATCATTAAGCTTCAGAGATTGTAACATTCTGCTTGTGGCCTTGGGACTGAAACACCAGATGTCATGCCCAATAATGACTTCACTTTTCATCCAACTTCAACAACTCAAGATTGAGCGCATTTTGGGTTTTGACCTTGCACTGCTATACTGAGATTCAGCAGAAGTTAACTACCCGCAAGACTCCCTCCAGAGAACTGAGGCCTCAGGATCATCTTCAACACCTTCACCCAGAGTACGGAGACAAAACCCTTGCCACATAGACCTGCCACACCACAATACCAGGTGGAGATGCACCGTTGCTTGAGTTGGTGAGTGAGAAGGGCCATTGCTTGTGTTATCTGAGGGCTGTGGAGGAAAGAGAATTAGGTAAGTTCATTTAGAACTAACTAGAACACTTTTCAAAAAGATGTCTCAGTGTGGGGCATAGTTAAGACATATATTTCAGAGTAATCATCTCCAAATGAGTGATTTTTGTTTTCTTGCCTATTTCCTGATTTACTTGAGTTGTCCTGGCTCAAGGAATAAAGAAGGCATTTATACAATAAAAGTGGTGTGAGTCACCCTTTCTAACCTTTAAGATTGGTTTTCAAACTGTTAAAAATTCTTGTAGGTCCACCAAGAAAGTTGCCATAGAAGCCTGAAGTTACGACAGCTTATAAGGAAGTGGTTATCGATTATGACGGATGGAGAAAATGTAAGCTGCCTATGTTTCATTCAGACTCATACTAGCTCTGGTTAGAGAAATCAATTAAAAGGAGGAAAAGATGAGGAAGTTCTGCAAAAATAAATTCAAGGGTCAACTAGCAGTGGATAAAGACACAACTATGATCTCTGTGACTTCTTTCCTCTTTTATTTGACATTTTTTCACTTCCGCATGATAAAGAAAATAGAGACATGGCATGCTGGAAAGAAAACTAAAGCTATTTCTTTAATGAAGTCCACTAACCTCGGAAGGAAGACTGAAGTATTCTTGTGGCTTCAACAGACAAATGATAGTAGCTGCTAAGACAGAAACTGCTTGGAAAGACTATTGATTTTAGATTCAGAGAAAATGAATAAGGAAAAGTTTAAGATTGATGAGAAAGGTATACAATGTGCTACGAGAATTTTTTCTAAAAGTCACGTTTAAAAAAACGAGTTTATAGTGGATTTTAGGTTAAATTCCTTTAATAAAGGGTTACATGTTTCCTGACTATGTATAAGAAATTCATGAATGTGACTCTAAGAGACTTGAATAAAAGGACCCACATGTCTTTTGCCCTGTGATGGCCTGCCTAAATTGCAGGGCTATAAAAAGGAAAACCACCTTTAAAAGCTTCAACCCTAAGTTGACTTTATCTTATAGAAGAAAGAATTTCATGTGTATGCTAAATATATACATATAGCATATAATGTATATATAATTTCCTGATAAAATCTTCTGTTTTAGTGTACTTGCATCTGGGTACATAACCTCCCCACATCTCTTTGGTATTCTTATTTGTTCTGCTTTTCCATTTTACATATTTTCCCCAAGTGCCAAACATTAATAAAATTGCTAGCATTGATTATTTTTCCTTCACTAATACATCCCTTTGAGCCTATTTCCCCAGAAACAAATAACTAGAGACAACCTATCCTTTGCTGACACATGAAAATCCTATAATTGCAGACAGGAACAAAGATTCTAAAGGAAGTCTCTGTCTTCAGTTCTTAGATTATTGTCCCCCCATCTTCTAGCCCTCCCCTCATCCCCATTCATCTGACCCCTGTTCTGTTGTGACAGATTGTTATAATAATGACAGTGAATCATGGCTTTCTGGGTCTATGTCCCTTTGATCCTTCCATTAAAAGATGGAGTCTATTTCTCCACCTCTTGAATCTGGAAGGTCCTTGAAACCCACTTGGACCAATAGAATGTAGCAGAAGTAGCACCATGCAAGTTCTAGAGGCTAGGTCTTAGGACCCTGAGACCACCATGCTGTGAAGAAGTCCATTCTGGTCTATTGGAAGATAAGAGACTGTGTGAAAAAGAACAGAGACACCCCATCTCACAGTCAGCACCATCTGCTGACAGTAAGTGATACCATCTTAGACCCTCAGCCCCAAACTCCCAGGTGACGACAGCCAGTAAGTGAGCCCAGGCAAGACAAGTAACAGAACCACCCAGATTTCCAGCCCAAGGATCCTTAGAGATAATAAATCACTGTGCTTTTTAAGCCACTCAGTTTTAGGGTGGCTTGTTATACAGCAATTGATAACTGGTACATCCTCCAAGAAACTATGTCTTGCAGAAAGAGTTCTACAAAAGGATGAGAAATAAACCATAATTTAACCTCCTTCCTTTGATCTACTCCCACCCCGGGTGCACATTCTCCTGCAGCCTACATTCTGGAAACATGCCATTAAACATTCATTCTTTGGAGGAGCCTTTGTTCTGGCCTGTCTCTTAAATTATTGAAGAATTCCTCTTATGTTCATTTTTCTGCCTGTTAAAAACGTTTGAGGGAGGGAAGAAGTAAGATGGCTTAAGTTGAACTCCTAGAAGGCAGAGGCAAGATACTCAAACATCGTTTTGTATATTCCCAGGATAAAGCCCTGAACAGTAGGCACTGAATAAACCTTACTTGAAGATAGCAATAAAAGGGAAGGCCACCATCAAAGACATTGGATCACAATCTTATTCAGTACATGCAAATCATCATGTACTTTGTATTAAAAACCAAAATCTTTTAAAGATCAGAACAGCCAGAGGCAGAAACAAGATTGGGTTGTAATACTTTAAGGCTACAGCAAGATGTACATCAAATAGATTCTGCTACATTTTCAGCAAACTCCCTTTTCAAATATGAAGTACATTAGTAATTTGCCGTGAGGGGGAAAGCAAATCATAACAGCATCTTGATGTAAGAGGAAAGTACACTTATGGGGAAAGTGCTGGACGTTTCTTTCAGTGAGGAACTACGTACAGGATTCAGAATTCCCAGGATTTGAAAGTTGTGCTGCAGAAGCACCAGTTAGAACTGAAAATCTCCTGGGTTCCTTTAATAATACCACAAACCAAAGTGAACTAAACTTCTGGGAGGATTCTTCTGAGCAAATCCATGTTTCATAGAACAAAATCAAACATGCACAGCTTCCACCTAAGTTCACCAGATTGTGCTGCACACATGATGAATAATTCAAAAGTAACAGACAAGTGATTTTTGTCAACTTTATGGCCTTGGTTCGTTGTTTTGTTTTGTTTTGTTTTGTTTTGTTTTGGGGTTTGCTTGTTTGTTTGTTTGTTTTTTGAAATGGAGTTTTGCTCTTGTCGCCCAGGCTGGAGTACAGTGGCGTGATCTCAGCTCATTGCAACCTCTGCCTCCCGGGTTCAAGTGGTTCTCTGCCTCAGCCTCCCAAGTAGCTGGGATTATAGACATCCGCCACCATGCCCTGCTAACTTTTTGTATTTTTAGTAGAGATAGGTTTCCACCATGTTGGGCAGGCTGGTCACGAACTCCTGACCTCAGGTGATCCACTTGCTTCGACCTCCCAAAGTGCTGGGATTACAGGCAGGAGCCACAGCACCCGGCCCTATGGCCTTGGTTCTTTATCAGTCTACTAGACTTTGAATGCTAAACCAAACAAGGAGGTCACACAAACATCTAGAAGCAGTATTCAAATCTAGACCACTATTGAAATTGGCTTAGTCCAGTTGAAATCAACTCCAAGTTTAAATGACCTGAGTCAGGAAATTATTTTGGGTAGCATTTCCCAGCAAGGTGGTCTGATGAGTGAGATTTGCTGTTATTATGTTGTTGGTGCTGCTGTTACTGGTTTATGTTTTTTGTTTTGTTTGCTTTGGTTGTGTTTGGTTTGGTTTGGTTTGGGGCTTTCTTTCAGTTGGTCTTAATGTTCAGAATTTTTTCTGTGCTGCTGCCAGATGTTAAGTGATAGTTGGCTCCCCGACAGCCTGCATTCTGAAAAATAATAAAACATAGGCCACCAGAGGTATAAAATAAATAAAAACCACAAAACCAAGTTTGTTAACTTTCCAGGCAAGGAAGCACACACTAGTAAAGAAATTCACTGAATAGTTAGCAGAGAGGGGGAAAGTTAGGGATTTTTCAATCTAGAAAATGAGGGCTCACAGATTAGGGTTTGAACACCAGCATTGCAGGTGGCCCCAGTGAACCCAAAGGCCTGAACCCAGTTGGCTCAAACAAATCCAGTCATTCATTGGTCAAGCAAGAGTCTTTGGTTGGGCCTGTAGGGGTTTTGTGTTTGGGTCCATTTCAGCTGCTTAGAATGGGTTAGGAGGAGACACAATGTTGATTTTGATATCTCCTAGGGCAAACGTGGCTGAAAGTGGACATTTTTGCCTTGACAACTCCATCTGCTCCTCCTCTATGAAAGCTCCATCCAGGGCCAGGCGCGGTGGCTCGTGCCTGTAATCAACACTTTGGGAGGCCAAGGTAGGTGTATCCCCTGAGGTCAGGAGTTCGAAACCAGCCTGGCCAACATGGTGAAACCCAGTCTCCGGTAAAAATACAAACATAGCCAGGCATGGTGGTGCATGCCTGTAATCCCAGCTACTTGGGAGGCTGAGGCACGAAGAATTGCTTGAACCCAGGAGGCGGAGGTTGCAGCGAGCCAAGATCGTGCCATTGCACTCCAGCCTGGGCAACAAGAGTGAAACTTTGTCTCAAAAAAAAAAAAAAAAAAGCTCCATCTATGACAAGGGTGTGCATTTGGTGGTTTGTCTCCCTTTATAGTCTTAAGCTCAGTGTCCTGGAATTTGGCAGTCATCTTTGGTAAATGTAAAACATGTCTACGAGTAAATGTAGTTCACATGTTCAAGGGGTCTCCAATGCCCTGCCCTGGTTCTGCTCTAGGATTAGCCCTTCTTCCAAATTCCACTTTTATCCAACATGCCAGGATCCTAGCTTTGAACTTCTCTTTGAACAGCAAATAGTAGCTGGTAAAAAATACTTTTGTATGATTACATCAGACAATTGTGACCCCCTCAGAGCAATCGTGTTCCCCAGAATTCTTGGTAGATTTTAGGAATATTGATGTGCAAATGTCAAAGAATGCTTTCACAATGTAGCAGATGATGGAGAAAGGGAGGTGGGATGATAAAGAAGAGAGAATAGAAGTTAGGAGGAAAGGGAAGAAAAAGAGCTTAATGAATATCATTGTGGTGAAGCACAAAGAGAGATGAAAGAAAAATGGTATGGGAGAAAAATGATAGCATTGAATAAACCTAACTGAGCCAGGGCCGTATGTGACCAGAAGGCCAGAGAGAAACAGCAGCAGCTGGAGAAGGCTGCAAAGCTAAGCAAGTTCATTTTGCACAGTCCGGGCAGGAAAATGCTGTTGGCTAGAACAGAAAATAACGTGATTTTTCCCCTGCTGATGCATCTCTGGGATCCTGCCAAGGCTCTATTCTGCAGAACCAAAAACTAAATAGACTAATTTATTCAGATGTGTTCCCTTCGTTCTCTCCCTAGAATGGTTTAAACCTGCCCAGGATACCAGAAATTTCTGTGAATTTGGATGACAAGGCATTAGCCAGCATGTTTCTCTCCCTCCCACAACACCTGCTGCTAAAGAGGAAGCATTTGCCCCTCGCATGCAAATCGTTTTTTGTAAATGAGGCATCTAATGAGCACTCTCATGGAAGTACCCTAGAGCAGGTAACACTTACATGAGGCACAAACTCAAAAATGAAAAAGAAACTCATTATCTGCAAGCCCAGACCTAAGCATTTGCTATAAAACCACCATTCTCAATCTTTTCCTTGAACGTAATTAATAGTTCCCCAAAATCCTCTGTGAATATTTGCCCAGCTATGGCACCCAGAGCCCTTGTTGTAAGTTCAGAATCAATGTTAGAACTGTAAAAACCTTAGAGATCATCCAGGTACGTGCCTTCTTCTCTCAGAAGAAGACATTGCAGCCAAGAGAGTTGTGCGAATTACTCAGGGTTACACTACTAATTAGGAAAAGGTCTCCTAATTCTCAGTACAACATTCATTTCACTGCTCTATGACTCACATCCTGACTTATCACCCACATTCTCTCCTCCACCTTCATCATGTCCCTTGCCACTGAAGAATTCATTTTTCTGCCACAACAGAAAATCTAACAGACAGTGGTTAAAACCATAAAGATAATTCTTGTTTCCTAGTTGAGAGGCTGGATGTAGGTGGCCCCAGGATTTGTCTGCTGCTCAACGATGTGATCAAGAACTCAGGCTTTTCTCATCCTTCTGTCTGGGCACCTGCAGTGTGCAAATCCTTCATCTCTGAACCTGTGATTTCATGGTGACTGGATGGCTTCCACAGTTCCAGGCATTATGTAGTCATGCCAGTGCCCAGGCAGAAAAGAAAGGGATGGGCAGAAAAGGACTTTGCTTTTGGATCAGGGAGGAAAATCTTTTCCAGAAATAAGATTTCCTTTTATTTCTCCTTGGCCAAAACTAGATTCTGTGGTCATCCGAAGCTGAAAGAAAACCTAAGAGAGAAATTATCTGGCAAATGGTAACATTGCCATCATTAAAAAAAAAACAGGATTATGTCACAAGAAAGAAAGGTGTGTGGCTGTTAGGCAAGTATATCAGTTAACTACATAAAAAAGACACCAGAGAAAATTATCTCTAAATATGCTGGGTTAACTCAGGAATAGAGATAAGACTATAATCTGGAATGCAAGAAATGGCAAGCCACCAATGCATTCAGTGAGGGAAGGGTAAGGGGACTTTTATTAGCAAAAAAACAGATTTACACAAGATGCTTAGAAACAGAGTTCATTGGTTCCAGAGGTTTGAAGCCAGAGTTCTTGTCAATTCATTGGTGGAGATGTCATTACCGAGCAAATGTTCTTTCAAGAACATGTTATGTGAATTACCGCAGTTCTAAAGAATGTCTGGTGATGAACCTTATCAAAGCAGGAGATGCATGAAGGACTCCAAAGGTTTTTAGAAAGTCACTGGAAATAGTTCTTATCCCAGACACATAAGCATGAGCCTCCTCTCCATCTGGCCTTCCAGCTCTATTTTGCCTGGGTCTGACAAAAGTGATTTCATCCTAGTATCTGCAACTCTCACACTAACAACGTGCAACAAACCTCCTCCAAAACTCTGTGGTTTAAAACAGCACCCATTTCTCTGAGTGTTTCTCTGGGACATAGAGGTCAGCTGATACCACTGAGCTCAGTCGAATGGTTCTGCTGCTCTCAGCTGAATTTGTTCAGAGAACTATAGATCACCAGGACATCCACACAGAGCTAGGCTCTGCTCCATGTGTCCCTCCTACTTCTGGACCAGCAGGCTACTGAGGAATGCTCTTATCATGGTAACAGCCCAGACACAGGAGTGCAAGCAGGATCATAGAGGGCCGCCTACGGTCTAGACTCATGACCAGGACACTGTCATCCGCCGTCTCATTCTATCAGCCAAAGCTAGTTGTATGGCCAAACCCGAAATCAGGGCTGGAGAAACCTACTAGTGGGAGAAGCTGCAAAGTCACCTGGCACAGAGTGTGGATCCAAGGAAAAGTGAGGATGTGGCCATGCATAGTGACTCATGCCTGTAATTCCAGCACTTTGGGAGGCCAAGGTGGAAGGATTGCTTGAGCCCAAAAGTTTGAGACTAGCCTGAGCTACATGGTGAAACCCTGTCTCTACAAAAAATAGAAAAATTATCTGGATGTGGTGGTGTGCACTTCTAGTCCATGCTGCTCAGGAGGCTGAAGTGGGAGGATCACCTGAGCCCAGGAATTGAAGGCTGCAGTGAGCTATGATCATCACTACACTCCAGCCTGGGTGACACAGTGAGACCCTGTCTCTCAAACAAAAGAAAAAGAAAAGTGATGATGTGGGGCCAGTGATGTGATCTGGCTCACTAAGCAATCAACGCTGTGTGCTCCACCTTTTTTCATTCACTCCCAATCACCCTCCCCAACCGCACTCACTGTGCTTTCCTTTTGCTTCCTTCTCTACTCTCCTCCACCACCTCTATCACCAATTTTTTTCTTATATCTCTGTTCACAGTGGGGTGGCCTTGGAAGTTCTTGGTGGAGAGTGAGTGGATGTGGGATATAGGGTGCTGTCAGCACTAAGTGGGGTGCTCCATGGCCCCTGCAACCAGGAGCAGTGTTCTCACCCAGCAGTGGAGCTCTGCCTTCCCACATGTGTAGGGACAGTAGGAGGAGTGTGACCTCAACGCCTGGCTCCTCCCAGACTCGGGCCTGAGCCAATCCTGCTGGTGTTTCCACCATGGAGCCTGCCAGAGGCCTCAGGAATCTTACATGACTGTGCCTGAATGCAAATGGCCAAGGAGGCTTTTCAGACACAGCGTCTGTTTATCTGAAGGCACTTTGGCAGTGCTGCCGTCCCAAAGCCCCGACGCATGACCCAAACCTTGGATTAAATCTGCGCTTCATTCCTTCTCAGTGTGCATTTTAAATGAGCACTCATGAGGAAGTCGTCTTTTGCCTGCTTTATAGGCTTTACTCTCCGAAAAACAAATTGATACTGAATGCAGCCTGCTCGCCATTTGCTTACTTGCCAATTTTAAAGAGTGTATTCTCTAATGAATACATTAGTAGTGTGTCTGTGTTTTCAACAGAAATGGTGGAAATTGAGGAAGACCTTCAGAGTGAGGGTGGATTTCTGATGAGCCCTACAGACCAGCTGGATTGATGATCCTAGCTTTAGTCACTCCTCTCCTCCTTTCTTGGTTCAGTTTTTCTTGCCATAACCTCATGTTCACAACTAGTAAAGGGAACAAGGTCTTCTCAGCCCCAAACACAGGCTGCCTCTGCCAAGCCACACAGGCGATGAGCAGACACACCACACCAGGGAACACATTTGGAACTTTTTTCTGTTTCATTTCCCTTTGATGGCAAAGGATGGCCTTTGATGCCAAACTACTGGAGGCTCCATCTGAGCAGAGGCTGGCTTTAGATGGCTATTCAACTAAAATGAGAAGAGGCAGTGGGGCTGTCATGAGGATGTTCTTCAGTGGAAGCCAGGGGACCTGGATTCCAACCCCCATTCCTTCTGTCCCTAGAGGTGAGACCTCAAGCTTGTCATTCATCCTCTCTGAGCTTTTGTTTCATCATCAACATACAGGCTTGCAGCCAGAGAAAGATCCTCAACATTCATTTTTCACATGACTGGCCAGATGAGCAGTGCCTTGAGGCATAAGCCACGCAAATGTCTTCACTTTGTAAAGTTGAGCAACGTAGCTCTGAAGAGCACTGCTGGTGCTTGAATGTGTCCAGCATTGGGCACTCTCCACACCTAATCAATCCTGGTATAATTCCTTCTACTCTGTTGTGGAGAAAGCATGGCAAAGTCTATAAGTAGTCAAGACATTGTGAGATAGTCTTTTTAGCAAATAGGTCAGTAAAATCAATCACTAGTTTGTTTCAAGGGCTGGTGCCATTCTGGGACAGCTCATGGAGGCTCAAAGACCGGGGCTATTGAGAAAGACCGACAAGGTCTTCTCTGGTGGGGTTTATGTTCTAATAGTGGGATATGTGCCATTAACAAGCAATTAAATAGATGCTAATTTCAACTAGTAATAAGTTTATGAGAAGTGGAACAGTGCTATGGACTGAACTATGTCCCCCCAAGTTTCTATGTTGAAGCCCTAACCCCACTGTGATGATATTTGGAGATTGGGCCTTTGGGAGGTGATCAGAGTTAGATGAGGGCCCTTGTGATGGGATTAGTGCCCTTATAAGAAAAGATACAAAAGAGCTTGCTCTTTCTCTGGCATTTAAGGACACAGCAAGAAGGCAGTCATCTACAAGCAGGATGAGAACCTTCACCAGGGATCCAAATTAGCCAGCACCTTGATCTTGGACTTTGCAGCCTCCAGAACTGTAAGAAAAATAAGTTCCTGTTGGGTAAGCCACTCAGTCTGTGGTATTTTGTTATGGCAGCCTGAGCTGACTAATACAAACAGAATTATTTGATAGAGAGTATATGGGCGTAGGAAAAGTCTCACTGAAGAAGAGGTTTTGAGCTGATACCTGAAAGACAAGGAGGAGCTGAGCATGCAAAGATTTGGTGGTAAAATATTCCATCCAGGAAGAGAAACAGAAAGTGCAAAGGCCCTGGGGCTTCAGGAATGATGCAGAACAAAACCAGGCAGTGGGGCGGGAGCACAGAGACAGGAGAAGAGTGTTAAGAGAAATAAACAAAAGTCGGATTACTTAGGCTTATAAGGAGAGAATATTTCTGGAAGGACACATAAGAAACTGTTAACTGTGGTTACTTCTAGAGGATGGAATGGTGGATAGGATCAGGAGACAAATAGAAAATTTTATTTTTTGCTATCTACCCCCTGACCATTTGAATTTTTATTTAGATCTTATATTAATTTTATAATAAACAAATATTTATCATATGCTCAAATATAAGGTGACCCCAATACCACAGGATCCGGCTTTTAAATAAAAATACCTAAAAAATAAGTGTTTTGGCTAACTCAAATACATAACCCTTAGGGGTGTAGCAAAAATAGTCAAATATCTGCTTAACATATTTAATGAACTACTCATACTGTTTTTTAAATATTGCTTTTTCTCATCTCTCATTTATGCAACAACTTTATCCAAACTTTTATATTTCTTGATCATCAGGGTCAATTTCTAACAAATGACTTTTGAGTCATCTAAGAATTTTCTGAGTAGATTAACTTCCTGGTAATATGTGTTGCTTGACACATGGCACTGTCAGAGGGGATTTATCCCAGGCCTCAAGTAGCCATTCACATTATGTTAGGAGAGAGCCTTTCATTTTTGTTTTTTTAATCTTATAGGTGCACGCGGTAGGAAAAATAATGGCCCTCCAAAGATGTCTACGTGCTAATCCCCAGAACCTGTGAATATGTTAGGTTACACAGCATAGGGGAATTAAGGTAGCAGATGGAATAAGGTTGCTAATCAGCTGACCCTAAAATATGGAGATTATCCTGGATCATCCAGGTACATCTAATGTAATCACAGGGGTTCTTCAATGTGGAAGAGACTGCCGAAGGGTAGGTCACAGTAATGTGATACGAGAATGACCCAACCTACTCTGAAGATGGAAGAGACAGCCGTGAGCCAAGCGTACAGCCTCTAGGAGCTGGAAAAGGCAAGAAAAGGGATTCTTCCATAGAAACCCCAGAGGGAACTCAGCCCTCTGGACACCTTGATTTTAGTCCAGTGAGATGCTTTTTGGACTTCTAAGCTCCAGAACTGGGGGACTAATAAGTCGGAGTTGTTTAAACCATTGCGTTTGAAGTAATTTGTTACAGCAACCATGAAAATAGAGTAACGCAATGCATAATCTTGATAATAGAGTAACACAATGCATAATCTTAATGTTCTTGATTTTCACGGTGGAACCACATCCTATATCACTCTACTAAGTAATTTTTTTTTTTTTTTTGAGACAGAGTCCTGCTCTGTCACCCAGGCTGGAGGGCAGTGGTGTGATCTGGGCTCACTGCAGCCTCCACCTCCCAGGTTTAAGCAATTCTCCTGCCTCAGCCTCCCAAGTAGCTGGGACTACAAGTGTGCGCCACCAAGCCCAACTAATTTTTGTATTTTTGATAGAGATAGGGTTTTGCCATGCTCGCCAGGCTGGTCTCGAACTCCTGACCTCAAGTGATCTGCCTGCCTCGGCCTCCCAAAGTGCTGAAATTACAGGCGTAAGCCACTGTGCCAGGCCTCTAAGTGATCTTTAAAGGGCTTACTTGAAACAATATTGAAGCCATGCTATTATGAAGCCATTCCTCCTAGGATCAATTGGTAAAATTTATTTAATCTCTCTCCAGCTCTCATTCTATCAGATGACTCATATGTGCCTAAAACTAGAATTAAAGGAGGTTATTTCGGGCTAATGCTCTTTTCAACAAAGAGGAGAAAAGGTTGTTGTTCACAATTATATAATTGAGTATATGCCCTGAAATATAAGAAACTTTTCTTATAAGTGACTCTTTTCTGAGAATAATTGTGAGGGCAAATCTTACTTGTAGCAATTTTTGTTTATATAGTATTATAGCATAATTTAAATAGAAATGTTTTGGGCCCACCAGACTGCCATCCTGGTTCCTCTCTAGCCTGCTGACCCTGCCTTTCTTGATATATATGTCAATTGAATTGCAGTGCTACCCTCGGTTTACCAATGTCTCTTATTGGAGTATCACTGTTTTGCCTCCCAGGAAACCCTGGACTCCTTAGGCTACAGGTTATACCTAGAGCTGAGGTGGCTTTGCCTCAGCCACTCAGGAAACTAAGTCTTATTTTACACACTTCTTCTGGGATAAAGGGACCGCTCACCCTCCAGTAGCATCTCCATCATTTCTTCCCGGGAGGTCTGTTTCTGTGCATTTGTCCACTGATGCACACAACAGAAGAAGCTGGCAACTTCTCTCAAGTGAGAGAAGAACCCAAATTTAATTTCTGGTGGGCCATCTTCTGGTTGGCCAGCTGTTCATCGTGTAAGAATTATTTACAAATAACTTTGTTCCCTCCTCTTGACTGTAAGTTACTGGATGTTGGGTGCAGTGTGTCTCCCTTTCCTATCAATAATATTTATCGTGCTCTAGATACTTTTGAATACATTATTTCATTTTATCCTTACAGCCACCTTGGGATATAAGAACTAATATCCCACATTTTATAGATAAGGGAGAGGAAGTTCAACTGAAGTTCAAAGAAGAGAAATAGCTTGTACATAAAAGCACATGGTCAGTAAGTAACAGAGCCCAGATCTGAATCAAAGTTTGTCTTACTCCACAATCAATTCTCATTGTATGAGACCTAATGTTTGAAGGTGCTATGCTAAGAAAAAGAAGAAAATGAATTACATGATCCCAGGCATCTTGTGCTTGTTACGTACAGAATTTAGCTCAGGATGCTTGGTATGTGTTGGTTTGAACTATAAGAAATTGCCATTTTGTAGATTAAAAATAGTCATATCTTAGAAATGTTTATGGCCACAGTGGAAGGTCTGTTGAATTGGAATGAATAGTAGTCATTAGGTTACAGGGGCTTTGTAGTCTGACTAGCCAGGTTCAAATCCTTCCTCTGCCACTTGCTAGCTGATCTTGGGCAAGTTATGTGACCTCTCTGGGTCTTGGTTTCGTCATCTATAAAGTGCGGATAATAATATTACCTACCTCATAGGAGTGTTGTGAGGATAAAAGGGGTTACTATTTGTAAATCACTAAATAGGCTGCATGACACACAATAAGTACTTCATAATAAATATTAGCTATTGGCATTACTGCTGCTACTCATCCTCCTATGAGCTATTGGCATTAGTGTATAGGAGTGAACTAATTCTACATTTGGGGAGTTGTGGTAGCTGGGAGAGGGGTGGGGGTGGTAGAGAACAGGAAAGGATAGCTGAGCCATAAGAACAACAGAAGCTGTAGGACGAGGACATTTATTATGACTTCCTTGACCATTTCACTAACCACCTTCTTGGCCCCAGAGAGTAAGGCTGGAAGAGAGAATTCCCATTTGACCCTTCTTTCTTGGCCCCCACCTCTAGAGACCTAGGAAGATTTCTTTCTTGCCTCTCCTTTAGCTCTTATCTGATCTTACTTGAGCACAACAAAGACAACTTGGCCATCATGAGGAAGCAGAGCTCGCAGGGAATGGGCGTTTGGACTGAGGACCTTTGGGAAGACTACTGCAAAGCCGCTTGCCTCACCCTCTCAGTTTGCAAAAGCTTGGAGGCTGGGACACCTGCCCAGGTGCCAGGACTGGGAAGACAGGTGGGGAAAAGAAGCTGCTTCATCATTTACCAGTGCAAGACCAGACAAGAGCAACATGGATTCGCCTCCTGGGGCTGCTTTAACAAATCACCACAAACTGAGTGGCTTTAAACCACAGAAATGTACTTTCTCACATTAGAGAGGCCAGGCTCTCTCTAATGGCTCTAAGGACAGCTTCCATTCCCCTTCCTAGCTTCTGATGGTTGCTGGTGGTGGTGGAATGGTGTGTGTGTGTGTGTGTGTGTGTGCGTATGTGTGTGTGTGTCTGTGTCCCTGTTTTATCTTCCTATAAGGACACCAGTCGTTGAATTACAGTCTATCCTCCTATAGTATGACTTTGTCTTAATTTAACTAATTACATCTGATCTGCAAAGACCCCATTTCCAAATAAGATCACATTTCTTTTTTAGTCCTTGTAAATTGACAAATTATAATTTTATAATATACTAATGGAGTACAATATGATGTTATAATATATGATGTTATAATACTGGTATGCAATGTGGAATGATTAAGTCAAGCTAGTTAACATATTCATCACCTCAGATATTCATTTTTTGTGGTGAGAACATTTGAAATTTACTTTTAGCAAGTTTGAAATATACATTATTATTAACTATAGCCACAATGCTGTGCAATAGACCTATTAAACTTATTCCTCCTCTCTAGCCGAAACTTTGTAGCCTTTGACCAGCATATCCACATTCTCCTAAACCTGCAGCCTCTGGGAACCACCATTCTACCCTCTGCTTCTATAAGCTCAACCGTTTTAGATTCCATATATAAGTAAGAACATGCAGCATTTGTTCTCTACCTGGCTTATTTGTTGTTCTCTACCTGGCTTATTTCATTTAGCATAAGGTCCTCCAAGTCCATCTATGTTGTGACAAGTGATAGAATTTCCTTCTTCTTTAAGACTATCATTCTATTATGTCTATACACCATATTGTCTTTATCCATTCATCCATTGATGGACACTTAGATTGTTTTCACATCTTGGCTATTGTGAAAAGTGCTTCAAAAAACATGGGAGTGCAGATGTCTCTTTGACATTTTTATTTCAAATCGCCAAATCAGGTCACAGTCTGAGATCCTGGCTGGGCATGAATTTTGGGGGAATACTATTCAACTCAGTACACACAACAAACATAAAACACAGTGTTGATTTTCCAGCTGCTTCTTGCTCCTTAGAATGAACACTGCAGTGTGAATCAGGCCTCAATTCAGAGGGGGCAAGAGAGTGTGAGAGGTGGAGAAACCCTGGAAGACAAACAGAAGCTGCAATGACAAGGGCCACAGTGACACTATTTGTCAGGAGCCACATACTAAGAACAAAGGCAGGGGAAAAGTGGGAAAACAGGCAATGAAATCTATGTCCAAACTGAGAGGTGTGTACACAGGAGCTAGGTGAAGACTCCTGGAAGAACCAAAAATGAGAAGCTACAAGAATGGTGCTTAATATAAGGATGGCCATTCATTTATTCATGCATTCATCTGCTCATTCATTCATTATGTGTCAAGTACATCCTCATATTAAGTACCACCTTCCACCACCATTACTAGGCACTGAGGTGACAGAGACCAATTGCTACCTAATGGAATTGTGTCTGTTTGTCTTGGTGTCCTTGTTCTCTAGCTGGAGGGTGAGAGGAGACACTGAAACATAACAAATAGTCCCAGCAATGTTTGATAGTATAAGCATTGTACTATTTAGTACAAGTACAAAAATATATATTGGATATAGAGGTTCACAGGCCTCAAGCCTGTATGCTATCCATATGAGGGGCTGGTAAGCTGACATGAAATTGAACCCCTGTGGAGTTTATGGAAGAAACTCCCTCTTCGGCAGGGTGTGGCTGCTCACATCTGTAATACTAGCACTTGGGGAGGCTAAGGAGGGAAGATCACTCGAGCCCAGGAGTTCAAGGCCAGCCTGGGCAACAGAGCAAGATCCTGTCTCTAAATAATAAAATATTAAAAAACTAGCTAGGCATGGTGGCATGCGCCTGTGATCCTAGCTACTCAAGAGGCTGATGCGGGAAGATGGCTTGAGCCCAGGAGTTAGGCCAGAGGTTGCAATGAGCTCTGATTGCACCACTGCACTTCAGCCTCACTCAAAAAAGAAGAAGGGGGAGAAGGAGAAGGAGAAGAGGAGGAGGAGGAGGAAGGAGAAGGAAGAAGAAGAAGAAGAATAAAAAGAGGAAGAAGAAGGAGAAGGAGGAAGAAGAAGAAAGAAAGAAAGGAAAAGAGAAATCTTTTTTCAGTCCTTTAAAAGCTCATTCCCCCAGCAAGACCTATTACAGTACACCTGTTTACATACCCATCTTCCTCACTATAGTGTGATCCTCTCTCCAAAGAGCGGGGGCACTCCCTTATCCCTGTTTCCCTGACAGATCCTAGCAGAGCATGGGGCCCACAGCTAGCAATCATGTTGCACCTATGAAGACTGTCTTTCATAAAAGAAAATGTGGCATCAAATAAGACTTGCTTTGGTCAATGAAATGTAAGCAGATTGACATTTCATTTTCCAGCATATGCTTTTAGAGTTAGTGCACAATTTGTCACATTCTCTTTTTTCCCTCTGCAGTGTTGACCACCTGTTTCAGATAGTGGTTATTTTATCAGCCTGGGTCCCTGAGAGAGGAGATATGTAGCAGAGCCCCCAGATGTCTTGCGACAGACAAGTCATATGCGTGAGAAATAAGCCATTGTGTAATAAACCACTAAGATTTGGGGCTATTTGTAATCACAGCCAAACCTATTCTACATGACTCATTTGCCAATGTTCTCTTGTGAGTTGAGTTGCTTTTCTGAATAAAGGTGAATCTAAGCCATTAATTGCACTCTATTTAGTTCATAAAACATTTATCAGTCACTCACTATAAACAGAGTACTATACTAAGAGCTAGGGTCACAGAAATGATTAAGATGTAGTCTGTCCTCATGGAATTCCCAGTCCAAGGAGTAAGGCAGCAATGTTCCTGTATGGCTGTACAGGATGTTAAAATAAAGAAATATTTATATATAATTGGGAAATAGCACTGACCCAAGATGCTTAGATGTCTCCTCCATTCTGCCTCAGCTACCCCAAACCCTCCTCATGCACCCCATCCCCCGCCCAGAAATGCACACACACACACACACACACACGTGTGTGTTTATTCATTTTCTGTGTGCATTATTATGCATACCTTAGACCTGACAACCCTTCACTTCTAATTATTATGCAACATGGTAAGTCCTCCAATGGGGCATTGTTCTGACTGTTCTTCCTTTTCATGTAGAATGAATTTTTGCCCCCACCATATCATCCAAACTTGTACCATGGAACCACTAACATTTTATTACTTTTCCTTATTTCCTTGCCTGTCTTTCCCTCTAGATCTAGTGTGTGCCGTGAGGTCGGGAGTTATGTTTTATTCATCTCTGTACAGCACGTGGCACAAAGTATCACAAATAAGATGGCTCTGGGTTTGTGGGGGAAGAGTGCCCAGGACAGAGGCAGAGAGAGGAAGGGCTAAGGAATGAATCCTCCCAAACACCAACAATCACAGAGTGGAAAGACAAAGAGGAGGCAGCGAAGGGGACCAAGATGAAACAGGGAGAGAAATAGGAGGAGAAGTAGGAGTTGGAGTTGCAGAAAGACCAAGAGAGAGGAAGCAGGGGCAGGCCAGTGCCCCACAGCAGGTGCAGCAGAGATGCCCGTCAGGTAGAGGGTTGAAGGTAGGCAGGGAAGCCGGTGTTAGGGACATCAGATTGACGTTAGGAAGAGCAGTTTAGTCATTAGTTGGGAAGGAGAGTAGGGATCCAGATGACAACTGGTTGAAAAGTGAATGAGAGGTGAGACGGTGGAGACAGTGAAAGTTTGGTGCTAAAGTAGAGAAAACAGCCAGTCAAGAAGTGAGAGAAGGGAAGGCTGAAGGAGACATTTCTGCAGAATAAGAAAAACCTGAATATGTCTCGTGCCATTTGTACACCCGACCCAGACTGTAGACTTCCATGAAATGGTCAGGATTGGGGTAGGATCTGGACATGAGAACAACACACACTTTGCCTGTGTTTGGGGCTCAGATTCACAGCCTTAGTCCTGTTGGTCTCCAGCTCAGATGAACACATTTCTGAGCTCCTGGCTTCCTCTTCCAGGATGCTCATCTAGGAGGAAGAAAAAAACTCAGCTTCGGAGAGCTGCATCTGCAGTGTCGCTGATTGGTCTCAGATCTAGGGGCTCCCATGGGTTAACCATAATGATAGCTCCATAGTTAACTCTGCTCGTGTTTCTGCCCGGCTTTCACAAGACCAACACTGCCTTACTTCCGCATCTCATATCTGTATTTACGGGGTTGTAATAAATGCAATTTTTCCAGTCATGGCAACAAAATGTTCCTTAATATTCTCAAATATTCCTTTTTAAATATCTCCTCTTCTGGATCCTTTGGTTCTTTAAAACTTTTGAAGTCCCTGGAGCAGGTGTGTTGTCTCTGGAGACACTGGAGGCAGGGGGGAAACTTCTGAAGGAGAACTGCCCTGAGTTAGGGGTTATGTGCTCTGTCTTTAAGTTCCTTGGCTGACAAACCTCCTGTCTTTGAGGAAATGCTTCAGTCAGTTTTCTCCAAACAGCCTAGAATTAGTCATTTCTTCCCATTTAAGATGATATACTATTAAAGCAATCTCCTAAGTGATTACTGAAATTATTCAGATAGAACCACTGTGATAACACATTATAGGCATGTTACTTAGCAACCAAAGAATATAGGCACTCTTAAAAATTAAGACGGAAAAAGTGAGGAGACATACTTCATTCAAAACCAGTTTTACAATGATCCATAAAAGCCACCAGAAAATCACTGTAATGAATAAGGTAATGGCAACAAGATTAACTTTAATTACGTATTTAGACATCGTGCCCAAGCTCTTCAACAAGCGTCAGTAGGAAGATGAGCAATGTCCCGTCTTTCGCAGCAGAACTGCCCATGAGTGGCCAGAGCCACAGTTCCGTGAGGTGCGGCCAGGGCGGAGTTTCCAATCGCCCCCTGGCCTTCTCAGCATCCTCATCTCAGTCTATACCTGACTCTTCCCACTGTCACCTCTACCACCACCCTCTACCACCATGGGTGGGGCTGCCTCGCTGGATCTCACTCAGCCCAGGTACTGTGGAGTGAGTCTGTGACTACCATCACACCCCAGAGTAGCCAGGGAGCTCCTTGGGTCATAGGCCAACAATGTAGGCATTATCTCGGACAGCTGCTTTACTAGTGGTGCCCTGGTTCAAAAGGGAAAATAAGAATACAGCGTGAGGCCTGCGTAATACAGCCAACAGGCAGACAACTCAAAGCTCATGCCTCGCTGGTAGGAAGCTAGGAATGTCAAGCATTCAGGGTTGTGTGTGTGTGTGTGTCTGTGTTTGTGTGAATATAATGGATTAAAAACCTACTCTGTGCTAGACATTATAATACCAAATGCATTTTACTCTAATCCTTTCAATAGCCTAGCAAAACAAACAATTTTACACCTGTTAAAATTTTCTTTTCTTTTGAATAATTGTAGATTCACAAGATTACAGAGAAACGTACAGGGAAGCTCTGCCCACAATTCCCCTGCTCCCAATGCTGAAATCTTACACAACTGTAGCACAATAGCGCAGGCAAGAAATTAACATTGGTATGATCCATAAACCTTATGTAGATTTCACTGGTTATGTACACACTGGCCACACAGAAATCCAAAATCCCAGTGTGGGGCACCTGTTAGAGTAGGGCCTAATGAAAGTCCGTGTTGGAAACAGCTGTGGCCCAAGTCCATGTAATTGTAGGGCCAGTGGGGCTGTGGACCTATGTGGTAGCTCCATCCCCAAATCCAGATGTATTGTACAGCAGAAATAGGTATAACAGAGTAACTAGCAAAATCTCTACACTCATTTCCTAACCTGTTGAGTGAAGGCTAAATTATGGTAGGAAGAATCAAGTGGAAACCCCAGCAACTATCCTCCTCTCCCCAGTGCTCACTCTCAGCCAAGGTAGAAAAGCAAAGGCAAAACACATATTTGGAGGGATTGAGAGATTAGTGCCACCATCAAAGCCCCAAGAAACAAAGTGATGGTGATTCCCATCACATCCCTAATTTATCACACTTTTGCCTAAAACAAAGGTCAGTTGGGTTATGAAGAATGACCACAGATCATCAGAAATAAAATCCGATGATGATAATGACAATCAAAGCTGCAGTTTCATTTGTAGCATCTTTATTGCCAGGGCCAACATTTACTATTACCTGACCCCTGACCCTCAGGACTAAGTCAGCTTTATCTACATAGCTTGGAGGGATTGTGATGAACTTGATATCTCACAGAGCATCATACTGGTCCATTATATTGACGACATTATGCTAATTGGTCTTATGATCAGATCATATTAAGGATCCTAGATGCCTAAGGAGACATGTGCATGCCAAAGGCCAGGAGATAATTCCCTGTGGAACTTCACATGGGCCTGTAATATTGAAGTTTCTAGGGGTCCAGAGGAGTGCAGTGTGGCGGGACTTCCCTCTAAAATAAAAGCCAAGTTGCTGCACTTTGCACCAACTACCACAAAGAAGGCATGATGCTTGGTGGCCCTCTTTTGTTTGGGGAGGCAATATATGGCAAGTATGAGTATATGCAATTACAGTTCATTTGCCAGGAAAACCATAAGGCTGACAGTTTAGAGCTTAGCAGAAATCAAAAAAGGATTCTTCAGCAGGTTGATGCTCTGGTGCAAGCTGCCCTGCCACTTAAACCTTATTACCAACAGACCCAATGGAAAGTGTCTGTGGAGCTCCACTGGGGTAGCTGGCAAGCCCCAAATGCTCTCCTCTGCTGACAACTATTCTCCATCATAAAAGCAGCTGATGTCTGGCTGCTGGGCCCTGGTAGAGGCTTTATGCTTCACCAGGGTATACCAACTTGACTGTGCAACCCAACTGTCCATCATAAGTTAAATTCACCAAACCACCAAGTCAGACATGTACAGCAACTTTCCATTACAAATTGGAAGTGGTATATAGGAGACCAAGCCCAAGCAGGTCCAGAAAGCATGCACGAACTGCACCAACAGCTGCCCCTCACTGCCATGACTCCAGCAGCCACTGCTCCACCACCTCACCCTTATCCATACCTGTGACCTCAGGGCGAGTCCCCTATGTCCAGTTAGCAGGAAAAGATAAAGCACAGGCCTCGTCTACAAATGAATCCTCATGGTGTGCAGGCATGAGCCAGATGTGGATGCCTTTAGCACTACACTTTTAAAGATGGCCCTGAAAGGCAGTGATGAAGGCAAATTATCCTGGTGGGCAGAACTTCAAGTGGTACATCTAGTCTTCTACTTCATGCGGAAGGAGAAGTGGCCTGAGATACAAATCTGTAATGACTCATAGGCAACAGCTAATGGCTTGGCTGCTTGCTCACAGACTTGGAAAGAATTGAAAAATTAGTGACAAGGAAGTCTAGGATAGAGACACATAGTTGGCTCTTTTAGAATGAGCGTGTAACACAAAGATGTTTATGGCTCATGTATATGTCGGCCAAAGACACTCCTGACAGAGGAGTGTCCTAGTAGCCAGGTGGAAAAGAGAGCCCATTCAAAGCCTGTCAGTCAGCCACTCCAGGGCCTGCTCCATGGAGGCTGTGCATGCTCAACAGCACGATCTTCCTTCACCACGTCTGATCTGGCCACCACGACTCCAGGGTACCCAACGCCCCAAACTCAGAGGCTAACGCTGAGTCCCCAGTATGGCACGATCCCCTGGGAAAAACAGTCAGTGCCTTGGGGAAAGGATAACATTTTGTCTTCACATGAAGAGATCCATTAAAAATATGAATTTGCCTCCCTCCTCAGCACTTCCACCGACACCTATTCTTAGATGTAAAGAATGTTTTGTCAGCCAGGCATATGCCGGTAATCCCAGCTACTTGGGAGGCTGAGGCATTAGAATCGCTTGAACCAGGGAGCTGAAGGTTGCACTGAGCCAAGATGGCACCACTGCACTCCAGCATGGGCAACAGAGCAATACTCCATCTCAAAAAAGAAAAAAAAAAAGAGGAATACATTGTCCATTTTTAAATGCGTAAATATTTCAGCCCTAGTATTTTTTAAAGACTTGTTATTTGCCTCTATTTTTCAACAACTATTTCTACAAGATAAAACTCATTAAATACATTGTCTCTATGATTATTTTAAGGTTTCACCAAAGGTAGGGACTGCAAATCAAAGACCTTCTTTCAATACAGAATATAGACTTACAATTAAAGTAAAAACTTCATCAAAAAGTTCTTCCTGCAATTCGATATATTCCAAGGTGCAATTATAGTAACTCAAAATCAAATTTTAAATATAGTTTGAATTCTCATTGTTTAATTTCTTGTGTTTTTCTCTTGCCTTTTATAGAGGTGAATTCTAATGCCTTCCCAGGCAAGCTTTTCTCTCAATAATTACAATTCATCAAAAACTTCAAAAGCTGAAGATTTTGGTGTGTCATCCTTTGAGTACAATAATTAAAAACTTCCAGCTGATTTTAAACAAACTATAACCCAAATTTATCAGAAGCATAAATAGAAAATTCAATGCCCTTGTAGAACACAAAGGTTGGTTTACAAAGTCATTCTTCAAAGGCTCAAGCATAACTGAACTCCAGCTCATAGTTGGCAGTGAAGAGAGAAAGCATCATCTTTTTAAAAAAAAGTTACAAAAGAAAATGTTGTAGCTCAAATACTGCAACTGTGATAAAGTGTATATATTTGTAAATTTTGACAACAACAGCTTCTGTTTTGGTTAGTAAAATGTTTTAGCTTATTTGAATAAAATTATAATCATGTGTATAACAATTATTCACAGATTTATGCCTCATAGGCTCTTATTTTAGTAAAAACATTGCTTTGACCACAATAGTTGGTCCTATCAAAATTTGTATTTGTCATTATCACCATAAATATAACTAATTTTATAACTATAAATATCTCCAATATCAAACTTTATTTACAATAACTTTATTACAATAATGTTCCCTTCAAAGAGCGAACTTCCAAAAGCTTTATTTTGATTCCATGAAGCAGATGAAAAACACAAACATTATTGGAATTAACTAACTTCAATTTGAAGGCTCTAAGGACATTGATCTGAATCCATCTTCATTTACCTGTTTACAAAGTTCTGCTAATGTCATGAAAATATAAATAGCTATCATTTCACTTTCTATAAATGAATGAGAAAATTTGGAATTTCAAATGAGGAAGATTAGTTTAGAAGACTAGTTATTTGATCTAAATGAAAAATCATGATTAACCAAGTATGTGTAAAAGCACCTTCTGCAACTGCAGGTGCTAAATTGTCATCTTTAGGCACAGTCTTCTTGAAATAATTACCAATTTTTGAAGCAGATGATGAAGCTTCTTCATGAGATTTTTGTCTTCTGCTTTTTATGTGGTCAGTGAGGCAGAATAGGGTCTGGAGACAGGCAGCACTTCAGCTTTTGATTGGTCACCAGCCCAGCCTTTATTTGCACAGGGGGTAACTTCACTTCAGCCTCCAATTGGTCATGGGCCAAGTCTTCATTTGCATAGAGTGTAACTCCACTTCAGCCTCTGATTGGTCACGGGCCAAGCCTTCACTTCAGCCTCCAACTGGCGGCAGGCCAAGTCTTCATTTAAACAGGGAGTAACCAATAGGAAATCTCTAAAGGGTACTTAAATCCCAGAAAATTTGCAACTAGGGCTCTTGAGCTTCTTGCTCCAGCCAGCTCCTGCTCTGTGGAGTGTACTTTCACTTCACTAAATCTATGCTTTTGCCTTCCATTGCTTGGTTTGTGCATTTTGTCCAATTCTTTGCTCAACACACCAAAAACCTGTACAACTCCTAGTCAAGATCTTCCACCAGTAACAGTCAGTAATATCATCATGGGCCCCCGATGGGTGGTAAATGTTGACAAACATTGGCAGCAAGTTACACATTCATCATCAACTTTTTTAAAAAGTAAAAATGTATTAAAGTTTTCGTTAAACATAGACCACCATTTTTGTAGATTTTTGCTACCAAGAGTTTACCAAAAACAAATAAATAAGCCAGGCACGGTAGCTCATGCCTGTAATCCTAGCACTTTGGGAGGCCAAAGCAGGCAGATTGCTCAAGTCCAAGAGCTAGAGACCAGCTGGACAAGATAGGGGGAGCCTGGGCAAGATAGGGAGATCCCGTCTCTGCAAAAAACTAGCCAGGCATGATGGTGTGTGCCTGTAGTCCCAGCTACTCAGGAGGCTGAGGCAGGAGGATTGCTTGAGCCTAGGAGGCAGAGGTTGCAATGAGATGTAATTGCACTGCTGCATTCCAGCCTGGGTGACAGAGAAAGACCCTATCTCAATAAATAAATAAATAGTTGTAGTCGTTTAACCATAAAATAAATGATAATGCCAGAGTATTCAGACTACTTTTCCTATTCTCCATGGCAGAATAGCACAGCCTCTACTTCTATAAACATTTCGTGTAAACCTATCTTATAATCCCACATTTCTCAATGACCACAGTGACCAGCAGCCTAGTGGCCATAGCACAGGCCTCTGTCCAACTGTGTGGTAAACCAAGTGTCTGATGAGGGCAGTAACATTGAATCTATCTTCCACCACCATCTGAAATTGGATGGAGTTAGCCATCTCCAGCTAGTTGCATCTGAGCACACCTTGTTTTATCAACAAACACCCTGCACGGTCCTTGAAAGAGAACATTCCATCTAGAAGTGGGTCATTGCTGGTTGCCTTTCACATTAACCACATGCTAAAGAATTCTGCTCACTGCAGGTGTGTATCCCACACTTCTAGATGAGAGTATGGTGGAAGCTGGAAATACAAAGTGGAAATCATCTTGGTTGATGTTAGTGCAATTATTAATAATAATAGTTTGTTTAAAAATCAAAAATCTAGAACAAATGATTACACTGAGCAGGACACCAGCAAAATAGTCATAAACTGGGACAGATCCATGAAAACTGCTATTGTCACCCTATCAATGGGGGAATTTATACTGGAAAGACTGACTGTCACCCTTAATCAACACTAGCAACACTAAAGATGGAACAGGCATACGTCATGTGCCTCCTGTGTGCTGTAATATGAAATGTGAAGTACCACCTATGAAGTTTTGCTGTTAAAAATTAAAAAAAAAAATCTGAATCAAATCAACTTCCCTGGCACTTCCAGGAATTGTGATGGACAACTTAAATGACACCGCAAGAAAGCAAACAAACAATTCTAGAATATGGGCATTCTGTGGGAAAACTATCTTGGTTTCTTCAACAAGTAACTGGAATTAAAAAAAACATATGCAGCAGGAGAAACAGGGAAACAGGGAAACTGCTCTTGGGTAAAAGAGACAGTAGATCCAATTACCAAATATAATAAGAGGATCTTATTTAGATCCCAGTTTAAATAACCGACACTAAAAAGCCATTTTGAGGCAATCAAGATGTCAGAAGGTACCAGGAATTATTGTTACTTTTGATGCAATCGTTGTGTTATTTTTTAAAATGTTCTGTTTTCATGAATTTCTGCTGAATTATACGGTGATGATATAACGTGCTTTCTGAGATTTGCTCTAAAATACCTCAGCAGAGAACACATGATGGACAAATGAAGCAAGTGTAGCACAATCATGCTAAGTCTAGAAACTGGGTATTGGATAGATGGAAACTTATTATACTATTAATATGCATAGAGCATGAATATTACTTTATGCATAATGTAACAATTGATATCATTGATTACATTTATGATTATTATATTCATGTAACAACTAATATAATATAATTAATATTAAAATGTAATATTAGGCCTTATTATACTATTCTTTCCACTTTTATGCATATTTTATATTTTGTCTTTGAAATTAAAAGTTTAAATGTTGAATAAGGTAGGGCAAAGAATGTTTTAAGCTCTCCCTCTATTTTTCAATCAATCCATTAGTCAATGCTGCTTCAGTTAATCAAAGAGCCAGGATTCTTTCAAGACAGCTAGAAGAGATTTTGAATGCTATCACTACAAAGAAATGATAGTGTTTAAAGTGTGCATATGGTAATTACCCTGATTTGATGTATACAACTACACATGCATTGAAACATCACACTGTACCCCATAAATATGTTATTATTGAGTCAATTATAAATTTTTTAATTAATTTTTTTCAATAATAGCAAAGATTTTACCAATTAGTTAGACTGTAATGTTTCTATTTTATCACCTGCTGAAAGCAATGGAAACCACTTTTCCTTCATTTTCTTCTTGTTACAATTACAGTTAGAATGTGTTGTTTGCTATCCATTTTCATTCAGGTCATTCTGGGTTTTAGCTGGTGGGCATTCATATTAGCTTCTATCACCCAACTTGGCCTTATAAAACCCAGCTAAGATGTTGGAAATGAACTGAACTTCCTGGGCCATCCCACGATGTTTTACCTGCCCCATCAATCTCTTTGTTGTGGGTTCTTAGGGTCTGATTGCCTTTATTTAATTTATTAAAGGCTTCCTTCCATCGACAGCTCTTCCCTCTGACGTCTCTGGCCATGGGCTCCCATTCTGTATTCTGTGAAAGATGGTTTCCTGACAGCTAATGTCCTTGACCAACATGTCCAGCTTTCTTCTCTCTGCCATGTGTCACGTCTCTTGGTCTGACAAACGTCACTTGCCTGCTACCAGATCTGTTTCTTTGGAGCCCACCCATTCTACTTGTCAGTCCTAGCCCATTCCATCTTGGTCATATAGGAAAGACGATATTTGTCTGGGTGTTTTTTTGTTTGTTGGTTGGTTTGGATTTTTTTTGAGACAGAGTCTCACTTTGTCACCCAGGCTGGAGTGCAATCTCGACTGCAACCTCCACCTCCCGGATTCAAGGAATTTTCATGTCTCAGCCTCCTGAGCAGCTGGAATTACAGGTGCCCACCACCACGCCTGGCAATTTTTGTATTTTTAATAGAGACGGGGTTTTGCCATGTTGGCCAGGCTGGTCTTTAACTCGTGACCACAAATGATCCGCCTCCTTGGTTTCCCAAAGTGCTGGGATTACAGGCGTGAGCCACTGTGCTGGGCCATTGTCTAGATGTTTCTAAATCTGCAAGGTTTTATTATTTTCCATACTCTGTGCATTTGCATAAAATCATCAGAGGCCAGAAATATTGTTTCCAATCATTTGGCTTTTTTTTTCTTTTTTTTTTTTCTGGAAGCACATGTAACTCCTCTCTTTTTAGTCTTCTAAATCACCTAGCAGTCTTCCTGATACATAGCAGATACTGCATAAATATTTTTGCAGCGAAAATATTATATATGCCCACCATTCTGTAGCATCCAGGATTAGAAATATTTTCTATTTCTCCCCAGTAAGTGCTTATTTAAAGCTATTAGAATCCAGCTGGGCAAATCTCCCACCAAATACAGTCTTTCAGGTCTATTGAGATGCATTTTATTCTTCAGCAGGCTCTTGCATACCCCCACCTCATCTCCAGTATTAAGAGCCAAAGTTCAGAAAACTACCACTAGCTGTGACTGTAATCAAGTTACTTAACTTCTCTGTGCCTTTGTTGAGGAACTGTAAAAGAATAATCATGTCTACCTCATAGAAAATCAAACAAGCTGGTGAATACAAAGCACTTAAAACAGTGCCTGACAAATAGTAAGTATCCAGCAGATGTTAGCACATATTATTATTACTGGAATCACTAAGCTGTTACTGCCTTGACACTGGTTGTTTTCATCTTTGACTGACATTGAATTTTTTTTAATAGCAAAGAGGTGTTAAGGTAATGAGGACAAAAAATCCAAATCCTGAATACGAAAGCAACATTAGCAGAATTCCGGGACATGTGCCAACAGACCAGCAGGCAGCACCAGCATTTTATCCCTATTAAAAGACTTGTTCATCTACAAAGTGATGCCTGCAAGCAGCCTCTGGAAGCAGCTGTGGGTTAGTCCTCTGAATTTAAAGGTTATTTGCTGACTGGGACATCCTGCCCACTCAATAGTTAGGGGAAGGAATAAAGAGAAGGCCTATAAGACCAGAAGAAAGCACCTTTAACTTGTCTAAAATGAAAAATTAAATCACCCCTTTCCCTGAATGTTATTTTCCAAGATAGGAAGGATGGGCTGAAGATGTTGTTATGCCAAAAACCCAGTGCCAAGAATGAAAAGTTTTGATATGCACATTAAGAAAAATGTGTAGGAAGGTGAGCCTTCCAGAAATGTGGCTAAAAATACTCAGGACCAGACTCAGAACTGAGACAGGACTTAGAGGTCATCTCATTTATTTCCATTACTTTACGGGTGAGGAAACGGTCCCAGTGAGATTAGTACTGTACCAAACCCAGATCTCCCCTTTTCCCATTTTAAGCAACCCCTGATGGTTCAGTTAGACCAAAGGTACACTATTCAAATCATAGTAGAAGAGGCAGATACTCTATTAAAGACCTAATGGACAAAAATATCCTTTATAACTTTTGGAAGAATGAAATAGAAAAATATAAACCAACATATGGAATATAATAAAGAAAACATGGAAAGACTCCTCCCAAACATTACCCAGTATGAATGCTGCCAGAGAAAATCATTCCTAGAATTTTCATATGTATCCCAAATCATATAATTTCCAGCAAGTCCTTCTCTTCACTTCTCCAGGATAAACTTAGTGGACTCCAACTTACTGTCATCATTTCCAGTGTTCTTTATTGCTTCCAAAATCCTAGCCAGAGGTTTTATTCACTGTGGATGCCCTCTACCAAGTCTGAGAGCTAAGAAGGGCATTGAGAAGAGGTGTGGAGCAGAAGATTTAAAGATATAGTCATTATATATAAGCTATTTATTTCAAAGGGGCTTAAACATTTGATGGATAGGTGGATGGATGGGTGGGTGGGTCAGTGTGTTTCAAGTTTTTTGAGAGGTCCTATAGCATCCCGGTTAAGAGTACAGTTTCTCAAGTCAGAATGCCTGATCTTAAATCCCAGCTCCATAATTTTTTGGTTATGTGATTTTGGGTGGGGTACTTAATCTCTACATATCTCAGTTTCTTTTTTTTTTTTTTTTTTTTTTTTTTTTTGAGACGGAGTCTCACTCTGTCACCAGGCTGGAGTTCAGTGGCGCAATCTCAGCTCACTGCAACCTCTGCCTCCTGGGTTCAAGCGATCCTCATGCCTCAGCCTCCCAAGTAGCTGGAATTACAGGCACACACCACCACACTCAGCTAATTTTTGTATTTTTAGCAGAGACAGGGTTTCACCATGTTGGCCAGGATGGTCTTGAACTCCTGACCTCATGATCTGCCCGCCTTAGCCTCCCAAAGTGCTGGGATTACAGGCGTGAGCCACCGTGCCCAGCCTATCTCAGTTTCTTCATCTGTAAAATAGGTGTGATGGGGAACTTAACTCAAACTGTTTTGAAGATTAAATGTGTTAATGCACATACAGCCCACAGAAAGTTCTCTGGCATACAGCAAAGATGTCATTAAACCTTCGCTACTACTATCCAGTGGTCACTCCTCTGGCAAACACAGTTATCTGGAAAAGTGCCAAAGTAAACCTTTCAACAAAACCTGGGCACCACGTCTTGGCTGCTTAAGTCATAGACAAGCTTCATCTTGTTTTACAATAAATTCTAACAAGTATATCTGCTCTCCCTGTATAGAAAATTAAAGTAACAGGTAATTGTCTTCCTCCAGATGCCAGCCCCAGAAGCAGCTCCATAATTACTCATGCAAACTATTTTTGTGGAACACCTGCTGTCTCCATAGCACAGTGAGAAGACCAGATATTTTCCGTACTCCAGGAGGTCACAATCTGGTAGAGAAAACAAGTTATACACAAATGCGTAGGTGACACCACAAGAGTTAAAGAAGCAAGTGCAAGAGCAGATTGGGTGTGTTCCATGTTAACCAAGCAACACAGAGGAACAAGTGTTGCTTCTTGGTGTAGGGAGGCCCATGGGCCATGGTAGACAGGAAGCTAGAGCTGCCAATATACAGACAGGAGGAACCTCCACTCACACTCCAAGATGAATACCACTAGGCTGCCAAAAAATTAAAATGATGATTTTTGGAGGAAGACATGCATACACAAACCTGTGTGTGGAAACCAGACATAAACCCACAGACCATCAGTCAGTATCACAGACAAGGCTGCATGAGTCACCATAGGGTTCCTTTATGGCTGTGTCTCCTTAACTGGGGGCACTGGGCCTCCAAGAGCACCAGGATTTCTTCCAACTTTCCAAGCTGTGAGGCCCCACCTCTGCAACTGTCAGCTTCCCCTGCCCTGCCGTGGCTCTTCCTAAGACTGCAGAAGCCTATCATGAATGCACATTTCCTAAACTGTAGACTCATTCCTTTAATAACTCTTAATGTCAATTTAGCCAGCACAGCCTGTGCAGCAATTTATGACTGAGTAGGAGGCAGAACAAAGTTGGGCTAAGCAGGATGAGTAAGCTTTCCCAAGCCTCCCTTCTATTAGCTGGGTTGGCAAGGGACTTGGTGAAGGCTTTAAAACTCGTATTGAAAATGACTGCTTTTTCCAGGCTGTCCGCGCATGGTTCAGCCATTTTGTAATGATTAGCAGGTCTGTCTCACCTGCAAAAAGTTTGCAATGGTCACTTTCCTACTGGGGTGGTTGGCAAGAGCTGCCCAGAGCTGGTCCCCATGGGGACACTCATGGAAGTGGCCCTGCCATCCTCAAAATCCCAGCGTCTTTTCTAAGAGGCATCAGAAAACAGTCTTGCACTTAGAGTCAGAAAGACCATTGGTCATCAGCCTGGACCCAGGGTCTCTGACATGAGGCTATGCTTAAAAGCTGACTCTTAGTTGCCTGAATATGCTGGAGAAGGGCCCAGGCCTATGGCTCTGGGTTGGTCAGCATCCATGGTCTAGTCTGTCCAGGAAAGCTACAGGACTTTCCACCTCCCTCCCTCACTGCAGGGGAAATGGTCCATTTTTAAGACATTTACCTGAGATGATCCCTTGAACATACTCCTGGTCTCTTAAAACTTGGCCCGAAAATCACTGAAAAAAATTATAGAAATGAAGGAAATCTGTGTGGAGTGGAGGGGAAGCTGGAAGCGAAGCACTGCCATTTCTAAGTAATTTGGGTTGGAAAGAGAGGAAGACATTGGAGGACACTGTTTCTGGAAAACCACTCAAATGGGCCATTTGGGTATGTAAATATCAAGCCAGGACCATAATTGGAGAAGAGGCTTTTGAGACACAGCTGTGGTTCTTGAGACTGAAATGCTCTTTGTGCTCACAAAAAAATATTATCTGCATGTAAAGTACACTTTCTACTCTATACATTGAGTTGCCTTTGGGGAAATTTTACTTCATTTTATATTTTAAGAATGGTTTGAGTCATTTTTATGCAGGAAAATTGCTGTTTGTTCTTGGGTTGATATGCATGCTTTTGTTTAATCGGTGGCTGTCAGAGAATTGGGGATGAGGCTCAGAAGCTAAAGGAGATGCTCTTGAGAAATGAAATGAAAACTCAAACACCAACCATGTAGCTTCAGAAGTCTGGAAGGGGCCACGCTCTGCGGTTTTGGTTGGACTATTCCTGCACCCCAGGAATGGCAGCTCTGAGAGCTTCAGAGACAGGCTTCTGGTGAGGACATGGGTATTCTCACCAGGGACATCATCACGATGGCTGACAGGGACACTCGACAGCTTCCTGGACTGTGTCATGAACCAAAGGAGCCAGAGCCTTGAGAGACAATCCCTTTGGCAAAGTCATTGGCATTATCACCAAGAACATATTGGCCAATTCCAGCGCTGTGGATGTTGACTAGAACGGGAGCCAGAAAGGGAGAGAAAGAACCCAAATTCTGGAATGCCAACTTGGAATCAATCACTCAGAAATAATTGGTATCATCTTTGAGGGATGTTAAGAACTTGTGGGCAAGATGATGGCCTAAGGTTATCATTTGTATTCCCAACCTGGTGAAACTTATGCCAGCTCTGTTGTCTTTGAAAAGGCATATCTATTCCCAGTTCTACTACTAATTGCATATGGCTTTTGTTAAACTGCCTTAGATATTTGAGTTCTGTTTTTCAGTTAGCCCCGGGTGATATTTTTCCACTTGTTCTGGAGCCTGAAGGTAACAGGGACTAGATTGCCTTCAGTGAAGGAAAAGGAACTGTAGGGGTCTATTGCCAGGAAACATAATTCAAAAGATGACGTATGATAAAACAGAATGGGACATATGAGTAAGAAACCCATGCAAATGGAGAATAAAGGTAGAAAGATTGTAGGAAACTATCTCATCTGGATTCTCCCAGACACAGACTCTGAGACAAGGATTTGAGCACAAGTAGTTTATTTGGAAGTCACAAGCAAAAATTGCAGAGAAGTAGAAAAGTGATACAGACAGGAAAAAGTGGCAAATAAAGTGTGCATATTAAACCAGCTGAAACAATGGGCAGCTACCGAGTAATCCCACAGGAAAACTCTAAGAAACTGCAAATTACATGCCTCAAAGCTATCCTACTTGACTGATGAAGGACCTGGGGTATTTATACATTCACTTCTGTCTGCCTTTGGGCTGAGGGCTGATCCCAGAGAGCTGTTAATTCCCCAGTATTTCCAGCTTGCTGGGCAAGCAGGCAGAGCAGCTTTCTGCACTTGTAGGAAAAGTTCTCTAGCGCAGAGAAGTAGACACTGGGAGTTGAAAGTCATCCAGAATGCAATGAAATGCTAGGATTCCAGATAGGTGAGCAGGGCACTAAGAGAGGCTGTCACAGTCCAGCCCCTGTACCACTCAGATCCACTTGTGCCGCTTTTTTTTAAGGCAAGGTCACAGGGTCCTACTTCAACCATCGGGTTCCCAGACCTGTGTATTCTACCTATGAGAAAAATGTATACTAGTCATTGGTTTAAAGTATTTACTCCATCTTGAAGAATGGTGTCCCATCCTTTCTGGGTATCATCTCTAAGTTGACAAGTAATCTGCACCTTTAAGAAGCCATCCCAACATTCTATCAGGCCAGCCACTTCTGAATGATGTGGAATACAGTAGCACGAGTGGAGGGCAAGGTCATGTGTCCATTGTCACATTCCTTCACTGTAAAGTGGGTCATTTAGTCTGAGGTGGTATGGTGTGGGATCCCATGATGACAAATCAAAAAGACTGAGAACCTTTGTAGAGTCATTCTAGCTGAAACACTAAAGGCAGGAAAGGAAACCCATACCTAGAGTTTGAAATCATCCCAGTAGAATGACTCAGCATGCCTTCCAGGATGGAAGAGTCCTAATGTAATCAACCTGCAACCAGATAGCTGGTTGGTCTCCTAGCAGGTGATTCCATATCAAGGAATCTAGCTACTATCATTGTTGACCGTCAGAACCATCAGCAGCCAGTCTTGGCTGCTGACAGTTCGGACGGTCAGCAATGATAGAAGCTAGATCAGCCTTGCAATTAATCCCATGTTCTTGGGCCCATGCATAGCCTCTGTCTCCACCTCCATTACTAACATGCCCACAGCCTCATTATGCAATAACTAGGGTGACCAAGGAAAGGGTCCACACTGATTTCCGCTGAATGCATCGTCGTACTCCCTTGGTTGTTCTGTGCCTCCTGTGCAGACGATGCTTCTCATTGGCATTGATGAGAACACAAAGGTCCTCACACTCCCCTAGATGTATCACACATCTCTTATTTAGACATCTTGTTTCTGAGCTTCCAATCTTGCCTATCCTAAGCCTCTGGCTGAACAGCTAAGTCATTCAATGCTGCTTATTAATCTGAGTGTTTCTTTACCTCAGACTTCTCCCTCCACATAAAATTGATTGCCAGGCATGTTATTCTAAGCTCTGCCCACTGGGAGAATTTCCCCTACCACTGTCTTTCAGAGCGATCACTGAGCAGAGCTGTAATGTAGCAACATACCAATTGTACCAACTCATTGAGCTGACCCACCCATGAACAAGGTCCAACACTTTTCCTCCTTCATCAGCTGGTCCTAGGGAAGCACCAATAAGACCATAGTGCAGACACTGGTGCAAAAGAGATAGGTGTACATAGATATGGACGATTTATTCTTATAACTTGTGTTTTTCAGAGATGCCCAGGTCCCAAATGTAATAATTCCATGGTATGATGGGTTGCTGCTGCACCTGTCTGATTTGGTAAGTCTGAAAATACCCAAGATATGAGGGAAGACTCCAGCCACTTGCTGTCACAAGGTCAGTTGTTCAGTCTATACCAAGGCCCAGTAGCATGCCAAGAACTGCTTCTCAAGTGCTGAATAGTTCTGTGGTACAGATGGCAAGGTCTTGCTCTAGAACTCTAGGATTCTGCCCTGCAAGCCTCCCAGTGATGTTTGTCAAAGACACCATAAAACATTCTGGTACACCATAGCTACATCATAGAGCATCAGTTTGCCCCAGGCAACTGGATTGCTAAAATTTCACTAATCTGAGAGGCCCCTGGATTTTTTAGATTTATTTCCTATTTTCTGATGTATGGGTGTCCTAACAGGGCATCCAAAGTATTTGCCGCCTGCTCCTCCAGATCTAAATTAACATGTCCAAGATCGAAACACCAGCAGATTTGGTGTCTGGTTAGGGTTCATTCCTCATAGACAGCACATTCTCATTGCATCCTCACCTGGTGGAAGGGGCTAGCTAGCTCTTTGTGGTCTCCTTCATAAGGGTACTCATTTCAATCATGAGGACTCTGCCCTCATGACATAATCACCTCCCAAAGGCCCCACCTCCTTATATCATCACCTTGGGGGTTAGGATTTCAATATATGGATTTGTATTGGATACAAATATTCAGACAATAGCAAAAGCATAGTCTTGAAATATTGGATACAAATATTCAGACAATAGCAAAAGCATGGGTCTGAGACATGGCAAGGAATGTATCCTGCTGTCCATTACAAGTAAATTTAAACTGCTTCAGATCCTTCCTCTTGATAGAAATTGAAAAGCACGCATTTGCCAGATTGATAGCTACATATTAAGTGACAGAGGCTGGGCTAATTTGTTCAAGTAAAGATACAATATATACACAACTATAATTTGGAGCTACCACTCGATTAAATTCACAGCAGCCGTTGTCAGGCAGATGACTTGCATGGGGATAGGGTCAAGACAACCATCCCTGCAAATCTCTGGGGCAGGGGTTGGGGCAGCAGTGGATACTAATTTTTGCCATCCCACCAAAATGAGACTTTGTTTTTGACTTATTATCTTGGCTGGAGATGTGGGAATGGGTGGGGGTCATCTCAGAGGCCTCCACTTGGCCTTCCCTATGAGTCAGAGAACCACAAGTAAAATAACCAATCTGAGGCTTCTGTCTACTAATATATCCATTTACATTATACGCCCAAGGACCAGGGAAATGACCACAGGTGGGTCAGTAGACTCTGGACGAGTTGTGACATGGGCTTGGACTCTGTCTATCAGCAGACTTTCAAATGCTTCAGATCTGATGGCCAGGGGGAGGTGGATGGGGCTATGACATACTAGATTTCCTAGTGTTGTGGGTCTGCTCTGGGGGAAAATAGCTGAGAAAAACCCTCATGTATAGGAAGCATATTTGGGCATGATCTTGGAAACAACACCTATCAGGGAATTAGATAGCAGACCTGGGCAGGGAAAGAAGTTGAACCATAAAACAATTGCAAGAGAGGCCCCAGCAGACACCACAGGGAGCTCTGAAACGCGGAGGGCCTTTCATAGATGTCACCAATTGAGGCCACATTGTCTGGCCTTCGAAACATCACCTTGACCCGTCATTAACTGTGGGCTTCACCCAGGGCAGGCGTCAGCCAGCAGCCAGCAGCAGCCAGCAACCCTAGCAGCTAGGAAAATAAGCTCTTCCGTCCCAGAGGGGGCATCTGGGTGACCAGCACAGACTCCACTATAGTGCAGCCCTTGTACTGCTTGTATTCACTTGACTTGTATAGTAAGTTTACCCCCTCTGGGAATAGCTCCTTTAGGATTCTGAATGTTAACAGGACAAACTACAGTCCCAGCTGCTGCAGGTTGTCACAGACCCCAAGTGATATTCATGATTTCCTTCCTCTACCACCCATTCTACATTTCCCTCACCCTAGACTAGTGTGTCTGCTGTTCTAGTGACTTGCCTGGTGGAGTGAACCAGAACTTCCTTCCTAAGGGGTCTGAGTCCTAGTCACCATGGCTTCTCAGGACTTGGCCTCTTGCCACTGTCCTTATCCATTTACTATCAAAATTGGGCAAAGTCTGCCAAGTCCAGGCCCCAGAGCCCTTTCTCCTCCGGACCCCACTCAAAGCTGGAAGCTTTCCACATCCTCCAATCAATGGGTCTGAGCATTATGCCCAAGTGTGGACTATGCTTTCTCCACACACCCAAAAGGCCAATCAGGCATTGTGCTTCCTTTCTACTAGTGGAAGGTACAAGAAGAAATAATCCATTCTTTATTTTGGAGGAATATCCCGGCATGCCTCAGACCACTGGACCTCTAACATTTCATTGCCCAGGTGGCCTCTGAAACCTTATTGGGTTTATCTTTTACCCTCTGGAGTGCATGTGTCTTATCAAGGCCTCCTACATACTTGCCACTTCTTGCTCATCAGTTCAATTAACGTAATTCCTCAGCATACTAGACCAATATAATGTTTTCTAGAATGTCCAGATAGTCTGGGTCCCATGGGACTATATTATGACAGAGGGCATGAGTTAGCATAAAACCTAGAGAAAGACTATAAATCCATACTGTTGTTTGTCACACATTAATGCAAACTGCTTCTGGTATTCTTTCCTGAAATGGAGAGAAGACAACACATTTGCTAGATGAATGGCCATATTCCATGAGCCAGAGGCCATGTTCATCTACCATAGTAATGATACTACATCTAGCCCAGTAGCTGTAATTAGGGCTTTAACCTAGTTGAATTGGTGGGAGCCCACTCCTGGGATCCAGTGTAGGAGACAGTCAAGTGAGCAACATGTACACATGAGGGGGTAATCACTTGCACATCCTTTAGATTTTTTTAACTAATTTCTTTATGTATTTGTTTTAGAGACAGGGTCTCACTCTGCTGCCCAGGCTGGAGTACAGTGATGTGATCATAGCTTGCTGCAGCCTTGAACTCCTGGGCTCAAGTGATCCTCTTGCCTTAGTCTCCTGAGTAGCTGGTACTACAGGTAACCTGTCACCATGCCCAGCTAATTTTTTAACTTTTTTTGTAGTTCACTATGTTGCCTAGGCTGGATTCAAACTCCTGGCCTCAAGTGATCCTCTCATCTCGGTCTCCCAATGTGCTGGGATTACAGGTGTGAGCCACGATGCCCTGACCTTAGATCTTTAAGAGTGGCACTATCTCTACCATTCAACCCCAGATACAATATGATTTTTGTTTTACTATCTTTGGGGACAGAGTGAAGATTCAGCGGTTTCCACTGGGTCTTCCCCACTATATTAGCTTTTTCTTTGAGACGGAGTTTCACTCTTGTCACCCAGTCTGGAGTGCAATGGCGCAATCTCGGCTCCCTGCAACCTCTGCCTCCCGGGTTCAAGCAATTCTCCTGCATCAACCTCCCGAGTAGCTGGCACTACAGGCACCCACCACCACGCCCGGCTAATTTTTGTATTTTTAATAGAGACGGGTTTTATCATGTTGCCCAGGCTGGTCTCGAACCCCTGACCTTAGGTGATCCACCCTCCTAAGCCTCCCAAAGTGCTGGGATTACAGGCGTGAGCCACTGCGCCTGGCCTATATTAGCTTTTATAGCATAGTTTTGGGCTCTAATGTGGGAATTATTGAAACTACCAAGTATGTGGTAGTTTACATACTACCATACTACCATATTTGAATGTGGACACACATTCAAATATGTGTCCAGGAACCAGAGAAGTGACCACCAGGAGGGAGCTTGGGTTCGATAAGAGAGCCATGAAACAAATCTGAGCCAGGTCTCCATTCACTAGCCAGCCTCCATAGGTCCCCACTCTCATAGGGTGGCCACGATGATGCTTCAGTTGCAGGTACCAATGACTCAAAACCTGTGTCCAACAGTCCTTGAAACAGCTGGTTATCCCTTTCCATGGTGTACAATTACCCAAGTAAATGGCCATAGGTCCCTGGAGGAAGGAGTGGGAGACTTATCATATATACTTGCTGTGGTGTGGCAGGGTTGTTCCTCCTGGGGACCCAGCCTCTCCTTCAGTCAATGGGCTCTAGGCCTGAAAACTGGTTCAAATGAGGAAATAGGGCAAGGGATTACGCTGTTTTATTGGGGCAGCTGCCTTCAGCCTCATGGTAATCTATCCTTGATTTCTTTTACTTGCTTCAGTTGAACAATACCCTTGTTGGCAGCCCATCTCTCTTGCCCATAGGACACCATGTCCCATTACTCATCTCTATAGCTCAGCATCACATGCCCATGAGGCGGCTTTCAACTTTGATGCTCATTAAAAACGTTGTGCCATCTGGCCTCTGTTATTCAGGGTCTTATCCGCATTACTATCAAGGAGCCCAGTTATTTAACAGAATTGCCTACCAGCAGCCTGGGTGGTGTCCCTCACCCTTGCATTACCTGTCTCTTTGGTAAACATGGTGTCCCCTGGGATTGGCTGGTGGGTTTTTCACCTTTGTGTAGCATGTTAACTCTATCCTGCCCACTTCTCTACACCTTTTGGTCTTAGACAGTGGAAGAAGTTCACTGTCTGCCACAGCAATTCTGACATTTCTACTTCATTTTGTTTGGACCATCACTTTTTCCAAGCTTCCACCACAAGCCATACTAGCACCATGTCAGGGTGCTAAGTCCTTATCCCTAGAGAATGCTAACATATCAATAAACTTTCCCTTCCGAAGTGTGTGTTCTGCCACCCTCGAACCATTCCTCAGAATCTAGTGCCACATAGACTTTCTCAGCTCCTGCCAGTAAATGTGGAGGACCCGTGGCTCTTTCAGTGAGTGCCTTTCCTCCCTAAACAGAACCAATCCTTATGCAGCCAGATTGGCTTGACGCTTGAACCCATTATTCATCTGACAGCCTGGAGAGGAGGTGGAAATAGATCCTGAGAGAAGTATACATTGTATTGCAAGGCAGAGGTCTCTTCATTATGTTTAAGCAAGGAAGGTGCTAGCCTTTATCAGGCTTCAGTGGGCTACTTCTGCAGGCCCAGAAGATTCAGGGAGATGTGGGAATTCACTATTCTCACAGGAAACATGCATGTCTTTAGAATTTCTTTTTTTTTTTCCTTTTTTTTTTTCAAGAGACAGTCTCGCTCTGTCACCCAGGCCAGAGTGCAATGGCTCAATCGGCTCAATGCAACCTCTGCCTCCCGGGTTCAAGTGATACTCCTGTGTAAGCCTCCTGAGTAGCTGAGATTACAGGCACCCACCGTCACACCCAGCTAATTTTTGTATTTTAGTAGAGATGGGGTTTCACCATGTTGGCCAGGCTGGTCTCGAACTCCTGACCTCGTGATCCACCCTCCTCGGTCTCCCAAAATGCTGGGATTACAGGCATGAGCCACCACGCCCAGCCTCTACATTTCTGATAAATTGTGTTTCTCATGGAATTTGTCCTTTTTAAGTTACCATGTTTTTTGCATAAAGAGTTTCATAACATTTCCCTTAATATTCTTTAATGTCTATAGGATCTGAGATAATATTGCCTCTTTCATTCCTCATATTTCTGAATGAATATATATTTATCATTATGCAATGTCTCTCTTCATCTCTGATGATATTTCTTACCTTCAAATCCACTCTAATTTTAATTTTATGCTTACTATTGTATGGTATATCTTTTTCCATCCCTTTACATTCAATCTTTGTGTCTTTATATTTAAAGTGCATCTTTTGTAAATAGCACATATTTGAACCTTATTTTTCATATAGTCTGACAATATCTTTCCTTAACTGAAATGACTAGCTATTTACACTTAATATAATTACTGATAGGGTTGGTTTTAAGTCCATCATATTGCTATTTGTTTCCTCTTTTGCTGTGTGGTTTTTGTTCCTCTGATCTTTCTTTCCTATTTTATCATAGGTTAACTGCCTATTTTTAGTATTTCATTTTAATTCCTCTTTTTTTAGATATACCTTTTGATTGCTCTAGAGATTATAATATTCATCCTTAATTTAGCTCAGTTTACTTAGAGTTAAAATTTTACCACTTTACATGGAAATGTAAAAATTTACAACTTACAACTAGGAAGACGGTCCCCATATACTCCCTTTCTTTGTGCTATTATTGTTATATTCTTTACTTCTACATATTTTATAAATGACAATACAATATCCTTTTTGTTTTAAACACTGAATTGTCTTTTTAAAAAATTAAGGGAAACAAATAGTCTTCATATTCACATATGTAATTTCCATTTTAGGTTTTCTTCATTCCTTCCCATAAATCCAAATTCCTCTCTGGTTGCACTTTACTTCAGTCTGAAAACCTTCCTGTAACATTTCTTATGCAGGTCTCCTGGTGATGAATTCTCTCAGCTTTTATGTGAACTGCTTTTATTTCACATCATATTTTTAAAATATTGCCATTAGGTATAAAATTCAATGCTAACGGGTTTTTTTATTTCAGTTTAACATACTTAAATTTGGTAGGCTTTTTTTAAAAAATCCTGATTGGGGTCTACTAAGCTTCTTGGATCTATAGGTTGAGTTTTTCACTAAATTTTAGAACTTTTCAGGCATTAATTCTTCAAATATTCCTCAAATATTTTTTCTTACCTATTTTCTCTCTTTTATACTCCTGGAGCCCCCATTACATGCATGTTAGATCACTCAGTATTATCTCCTGATTCACTGAGACTCTGTGTCTTCTTTTCAGTCCCTTTTCTTTATGTTCTTAAGATTAAATAATTTTTATGGATACATCTTTAAATATACCAACACTTTATTCTGCAGTCTCTAGTCAGCTATTGATCCCACACAGTTAATTTTTACTTCAGATATTTTTCTTATAATACTATAATTTATATTCAGATCTTTCTTCTGGTTTCCATTTCTCTACAAAGATTCTCCATCTGTGCAGTTATTACAACCATCTTTTCCTTTAATCTTTGAACAGAGCTATAATAGCTACTTTAAAGTCCTCCTCTGTTCATTTCAACATCTGTGTTATCTCAACAATATGTTTAAATGAACTGTTTTTCATTTCTTGACTATGGGTTACATCTTCCTGTTTATTCACATGTCCAGTAATTTTTATTGTAAACTAGACATTGTAATGCAATGTTATATGGAATCTGTATTATGTCATTTTCTGTTAAAAGGTGGTGAATTTTTTTCTGGTATGAAGTTAAATAACTGTTGGCTTCTTTTATCTTGTTAGGTTCAACAAGATAGTTTTAGTTTAATTCTGTTAAGTTGTACCTTAGGCAATTCAGGCTGCTATAAAAAATTACCATAGACTGAGTGGCTTCAATAACAAACATTTATTTCTCACAGTTCTGGAGGATGCGATATCCAAAACCGGGGCACCAGCAGGTCCAGTGACTGATAAGGGCACTCTTCCTGGTTTTCAGACAGCCACCTTGTTGTATGCTCACATGGCCAAGACAGAGATTCTCTTTCTCATGTTTCTTTCTATAAGGCACTACTCCCATTCATGTGGGCTCTATCTTTATGAGCTAATTACCTCATAAAGTCCCCACTTTCTAATATGATCACACTGGGGGTAGGATTTCAACATATGAATTTGGGTGGGAGAGGGGACACAAACGTTCAGTCTATAACAGGATAGGTCTAGTTTGGTTTTGCCCTTAGTCCTAAGACATAATCTTATGCTAGGGCATGGTTCTTAATCAATGTGTGGCCTCTCTTGAGTCTCCACTTATTGCCTGAGACACTCAGTATGGTCTCCCCACTCTGGCTTAGCTAGAGTTTCCATGCCTCCTAACACTGTGGCACATCTGGTATCTCTCTCTAGCTCTCAGACATACAGTAGCTCTCAGTTTGACTTGTGGAGTCTTGCTATGTGTGTTAAATGCCAGCTCTTAGCCACAGACCTATGGTGAATTCCACACAGAATTCCAAAGTTTCCATCCTACACACTTCCCTTTTTAGGTACCCTAGTCACCAATTTCAGCTGCTTTAAGAACCAATTCCAGTATCTGCCATCCCTGCTCAGAAAGACTGCTACTATGCTTGGCTTCTGCCTCCCTGAAGCATAGTATGAAAAGTATTCCCGGTTAGAGAACCAGGAAGAATGTAGGGCTCACTACATGTGTTCCCCTACTCTCAGGGATCACAGTCCTTCTTTACCTTTGTCCAGTGACTGGAGGTAATTGCCTTGTATATTCTGTCTAGTTTTATCATTGTTTATGGTGAAGGATAAGTCTCATACAAATTATTCTGTGTGGAATTGGAAAAAACTACTTTAAAGTTCATATGGAACCAAAAAAGAGCCCGCATTGCCAAGTCAATCCTAAGCCAAAAGAACAAAGCTGGAGGCATCACACTACCTGACTTCAAACTATACTACAAGGCTACAGTAACCAAAACAGCATGGTACTGGTACCAAAACAGAGATATAGATCAATGGAACAGAACAGAGCCCTCAGAAATAATGCCGCATATCTACAACTATCTGATCTTTGACAAACCTGAGAAAAACAAGCAATTGGGAAAGGATTCCCTATTTAATAAATGGTGCTGGGAAAACTGGCTAGCCATATGTAGAAAGCTGAAACTGGATCCCTTCCTTACACGTTATACAAAAATCAATTCAAGATGGATTAAAGATTTAAACGTTAAACCTAAAACCATAAAAACCCTAGAAGAAAACCTAGGCATTACCATTCAGGACATAGGCGTGGGCAAGGACTTCATGTCCAAAACACCAAAAGCAATGGCAACAAAAGACAAAATTGACAAATGGGATCTAATTAAACTAAAGAGCTTCTGCACAGCAAAAGAAACTACCATCAGAGTGAACAGGCAACCTACAACATGGGAGAAAATTTTCGCAACCTACTCATCTGACAAAGGGCTAATATCCAGAATCTACAATGAACTCAAACAAATTTACAAGAAAAAAACAAACAACCCCATCAAAAAGTGGGCGAAGGACATGAACAGACACTTCTCAAAAGAAGACATTTATGCAGCCAAAAAACACATGAAGAAATGCTCATCATCACTGGCCATCAGAGAAATGCAAATCAAAACCACTATGAGATATCATCTCACACCAGTTAGAATGGCAATCATTAAAAAGTCAGGAAACAACAGGTGCTGGAGAGGATGCGGAGAAATAGGAACACTTTTACACTGTTGGTGGGACTGTAAACTAGTTCAACCATTGTGGAAGTCAGTGTGGCGATTCCTCAGGGATCTAGAACTAGAAATACCATTTGACCCAGCCATCCCATTACTGGGTATATACCCAAATGAGTATAAATCATGCTGCTATAAAGACACATGCACACGTATGTTTATTGCGGCACTATTCACAATAGCAAAGACTTGGAACCAACCCAAATGTCCAACAATGATAGACTGGATTAAGAAAATGTGGCACATATACACCATGGAATACTATGCAGCCATAAAAAATGATGAGTTCATATCCTTTGTAAGGACATGGATGAAATTGGAAACCATCATTCTCAGTAAACTATCGCAAGAACAAAAAACCAAACACCGCATATTCTCACTCATAGGTGGGAATTGAACAATGAGATCACATGGACACAGGAAGGGAAATATCACACTCTGGGGACTGTGGTGGGGTCGGGGGAGGGGGGAGGGATAGCATTGGGAGATATACCTAATGCTAGATGACACATTAGTGGGTGCAGCGCACCAGCATGGCACATGTATACATATGTAACTAACCTGCACAATGTGCACATGTACCCTAAAACTTAGAGTATAATAAAAAAAAAAAATTATTCTGTGTGACTAGAAAATCAAATCTCCTGTTTTGCACGTATTTAATTTTTAAATATTTACAGCCCGATGAAATAGATATTATCATACTTACTTTACAGATGAGAAAATTGATTCTCATAAATCACAAATAACTTGCCCCAGATCACACAACTAATAAATGGTAGACTCATAATTTAACTCTAGATCTTTCTGATAGCCAAAGCCTTGGATTTACCACTATATCAAATTTCTTGGTAGGGCCCTGATGAAATAGTGGTATTTATACTTCCTTTTAGAGGAATGTGAAGATCTATCTTTATTCTTCATGCTCAGGTCTTCATGAATTTTCCCTTATGTAATTAGAACTTATTTTTAAAGAGAAACAGTTTACTCTAAAGGGTCAGAAATAAATAAGTTATTTTAAAGCAGCAACAGCTTCCTGTGGGACAAATAGAAATATCAGAGAGCTTCCATGGGGAACTCCCAAAGCATTTTTGGCTGATAGTTAAACTGTTAAAGTGAGGGTAATGGCTGGAATGTAAAAGATCCAGAGTTGAGAGATGGTGAGCAGGAAGCGAATTCAGATGGGAACCCTAAAAGTACACGGAGAAAGATGAATGAAATAAAACTGGAATCCCAGAGGAGGAGTATGAAAGTACAAAGGCAAGTGAGAGAGAATTCTAGAAGAGTCAATAAAGTGATGGCAGCTGGATTGTTAGCCTTAGTGAAGCTGCGACCATAAGTCCAGCAGAGCCAGAGGCTGAAAGTCTTTGAGAAGGGTACGAGGGCCTTCAATTGTGATCTCTGCAGCAAAAGAACCATCACCCCCTTGTGGTGATAGGACCCCTGCTTGCATCCCAAAGCCAAACCATCTTGGTCAGGGCTGAATTAATTTATTATTCTATCTTTTTTTTTTCCAGAGACAAGGTCTCACTCTGTCACCTAGCCTAGAGTACAGTGGCATGATCATGGCATACTGCAACCTCAAACTCCTGAGCTCCTCGAGGGATTCTCCTGCCTCAGCCTCCCAAGTAGCTGGGAGTAGAGGCATTAACCACCATGCTGGAGTGTTTGTTTTTTTGTTTTGTGTTTTTTTTTTAGAGATGGTGGTCTCCCTATGTTGCACAGGCTTGTCTCCATCTTCTGGCCTCAAGCGCTTCGTCTACCTCTGCCTCCCAAAGTGTTGGGATTGCAGACATGAGCAACCATGCCTGGCCTATTATTCTTTCTATAGCACATATGTTCTACACCAGTGGTTTTCAATCCTACTGCATGTTAGACTAATATAAGGAGTTTTCTAAAAGCCCTCAATCATGGGTCTTACTCCAGACAAATTAAATCAGAATATCTAGGGGTGTGGCCCCGATACTAATAACATTTTAAAAGCCCTCTAGGAGATCCTAATACATCTTCAAGGTTGAGACAACCCCTATGCAAAATTATCAGGAAGAATCCCCTTGCCTGAACATTTATTCTTACATTGAAAATATGGCTGCTGGGTTGAGGACAACAAGTTGGACAAGGAATCAGCTCAATCAGTTTCAAATAGAACACGATGTGTCTTCACCTAGACACCTGTTGTATTAGGGTTCTCTACAGGGACAGAACTAATAAGATATATATATATATAGGGGAGTTTATTATTAACTTACATGATCACAAGGTCCCACAGTAGGCTGTCTGCAAGCTGAGGAGAAGGAGAGCCAGTCCAAGTATCAAAACTGAAGAACTTGGAGTCTGATGTTCGAGGGCAGGAAGCATCCAGCATGGGAGAAAGATGTAGGCTGGGAGGGTAGGCCAGTCTCACCTTTTCACATTTTTCTTCATGCTTTCTATTCGCTGGTGGCTGATTAGATTATGCCCACCAGAATAAGGGTGTATCTGCCTTCCCAGTCCACTGACTCAAATGTTAATCTCTTTTGGCAACACCCACCCAGACACACCCAGGATCAATACTTTGTATCCTTCAATTCAATCAAGTTGACACTCAGTATTAACCATTACAACTGTCAAAAGCTATGAAAATATCCCCTTCACCAATGTGGAAAATATATTTTAAAAAATAAGGCCTGGTTTCTGCCTTTACGATTGAAAAAGTGAGACATCAGTAGACAAGCAACAAAAAGATGTATGTGCCAGATGTACATTACAGCAGTCTCCTCTATTACACCATATGTGTGCTTCTGAAAAACCTGGGGTTCTACACAAGTACACACTAGAAATAACAGACCTTGGGGGAAAAGGGTTAGGTGAAAACCATTCAAGAAGTATATAACTTTGCATCTAAACCACTTACAAAAAGAGTAAAAATTCTAACAAAATTAGGAGCATAGTTAAGACCCTCCCAGCATTTGCACCCAGAATTAGCCAATTAATCCTGTGCAGTGTTCAACCCAGGGATACCATGATCTCCTTCAAGATGTAGATTCTGGATGCCATTTGTTTCTTACAGAAATCTGTTTTTTATAATTAAACATCAGATCTGGAATGTGGCTTTCTTTAACAACCCATTGTCTTAACACATGGGTAAATGTCTTTGCAGCTTCTTCATCAACACAGCTTCACTAAACACCTAAAGGTACAAAGAATAGTGGTGCCTGAGGTCACCAAATGATGAGGTTTGGCTGTGTCTCCACCCAAATCTCATCCTGAGTTGTAGTTCCCATAATCCCCATACATCCTGGGAGTGACTAGATGGAGATAACTGAATCATGGGGGCAGTTCCCCCATTCTGTTCTCATGATAGTGAGTTAGTCCTCACAAGATTTAATGGTTTTATAAGGGACTTTCCCCTTCGCTGATTTTCTCTCTCCTGCCACCATGTGAAGAAAGACGTGTTTGCTTCCCCTTCCACCATGATTGTAAGTTTCCTGAGGCCTCCTCAGCCATGCTGAACTGTGAGTCAATTAAACCTCTTTCCTTTATAAATTACCCAGCATTGGGTATGTCTTTATTGGCAGCATTAGAACAGACTAATATACCAAACTAGCCACTACTTGCACTAAAGGAAGGCACTTCTATAGATCTTTGGCTGTTTCCTTAATGTCTTCATATATTGCTCTCTAATTATGAGAAGGCATGCTCTTGATTTCTGGAAAACATTAGCATACTGAAAAAAGTCACAGGGAACTATCACAATTCCTCAGTTGTACTGAAATTACTTCCTATTTCCAGTAACACTTGAAGAAATTCACATAAAAGAAACCAGTGTAGAGCAGGATGGACTATATCAACAAAACTCTCTGAGTCCTAAAGTGGAAGCAATGGCTTCCATCGGGAAACGAAAAAGGCTTCAGGGAAGAGGTGCCATCTCATTCAACCTTGAAGAATGAACAGCAATTCAACAGCTGCATTTAAGTGGAAGGCCTTCCACAAAGGATAGGAGAGAAGGGAGGGGAGCCAGCAGCAAGCCCAATAACAGACTGAGGCCAGAGAGAAGAGAGACGTGAAGAGTATGTGGAGGCTTGAACTTTATCCTGTGTGACATGTGGAGTTTTCCACAATTTGGGGGCAGAGGGTGACATGATTGAAATATAACAGCAGCAGGCAGAATTGACCAGAGAGGAGACAGAAGAGAAAAATGAATTCTCAGGAAGGCATTACCAATTATTCTGATAGAAACCTGTTTGGGCAAGGCAAGATGTCAAGACTCACCCCTTCACTTACACCCAATTTCCAGTGGAGCTCAAGTGATCTGCACATGAACTTGAACTTGACACACTGGTGCTTGTGCAGACTAAAAGGAACCATCCAGCAACCTGACATTCACTCTCCTCTCCTACAGCCCAGAAATACCAGATTGCAGTCTGAGTGGAAAATCCACTTTCTCAATGACAGTCCATAAAATATAAATACTATATCCACACTCTGAATAATGCCCCGCATGGTCAGTCCTGAGCCTCTGACACAGCACGCTCTGGAATGCAGGAGTGCCAGAAGAGCAGCAAGCACTTGCTCAGGGACCCACCAGTCCCCTTCGAGAACAAGGATTGCTAACTGCTCCACTTCACATTTTGGCAGCACCTTCCTCTACACTTAGTATCACATTTCACCAATTCTAGAAGGCACCCTCTCAGAAATATGATCCAGTGACTTGGGATCAAAGGACCATCACTCATCAAATGGTCAGCAACTAACTTCTGGGTTCTACCCCGAATATGAAAGACGGAAAGATCTGCTTATTGCTGCCCTCAAAGAGCTCCTGGCCTAGTGCGGGAAACAAATCTACAAACATAATTATCACCCAGTATTATCCATATTATGCTGCCGGTGCTTGCCAAGAGCTCACAAGGAGAGAATGGTTAATCTGTGTGAATGACAGAAGCCTGCGGAGGATGGGATTGACGTCATCTCAAAAGGTGAGAGCAGGAGTCTGCATGCAAGGTAGGGACCCTTTCCAGAGCAAAAGCCCAGAGGCAAAGGAGAGGATCCAGAGGCTGGAAGCAGGGAGAAGCTTTCCTTTGACTGATTTACTTGAGAGAAAGGCAAGAGATGAGATAAGCAGGTAGATGAAGACAATGAAGCCATGTGTATTGATCTTCTAGGGTTGCTGTGATGAAGTACCATAAACAGAGAGTGGCTTAAATAACAGAAATGTGTTGTCTCACAGTCTGGGAGCTAGAAATTCAAGATCAAAGTGTTGGCAGGATCATGATTTATCGGAAGGCTGCAGGAGTGATTTCTTCCTTGCCTCTTCTTAGTTTCTGATGGTTGTCAGCAATTCTTGGCCTTCCTTGGCTGGTAGACACACCACTCCAATCTCCCACTTTGTCTCCACATTGCCTTCTTTCCTGTGTGCCTGTCTCTGTCCAAATTTCTCTTTTTTGTTATTGTTTGTTTTCTCTGAGACAGTGGCTCGCTCTGTTGCCCAGACTGGAGTGCAGTGGTGCGATCATAGCTCACTGCAGCCTCAAACTCCTGAGCTTAAGTGATCCTCCCACCTCAGCCTCCCACAGAGCTGGAACTACAGGTGTATGCATCTGATTTATTTTTCTTAGAGACTGGGTCTCACTACATTGCCCGACTGGTCCCAAACCCCTGAGCTCAAGTGATCCTGTCACCTCAGCCTCTCAAAGTGCTGGTATTACAGGTATGAACCACCATGCCCAGCCTCCCTTTTCTTATCAGGACAACAATTGTTGGACTAAAGCCCACCCTAATCCCCTATGACCTCGTTTTCATTTGATTATATCTGCAAAGACTCTATTTCTAAATAAGGTCTCATTTGCAGATATTGGGCATTAGGTCTTGAGCTTACCTTTTGGGGACAAAATTTAACCCATAACACCATGTTAAGAAGTTTAGACTTAATTCCACAAGTGTAGGGAAATGGAATAGGTTTTCCATAGGAGATTAATATGCATATCTAGACTTTCCCATTAGAAAGACCACAATGATGTTAATGAGCAAGATGGATGGAAGGGGAGGGTGACAGACTTGAGGCACGAAAACCACCTAGAAGGTGAGGTGGTCATTCAGGTGAAAAGGTTTTAGGAGGTGGTTTCACTTATCCAGCATAGAGGAAAACGTGCTGTATGAGAACAGTAATAATGGAATCAGACAGGAAGGAAGGATATGAGAGGTACAAAAGAAGCCAAACCAACTGTCCTGGTAATTGACTTGGAAGTAGGGGGCAAAAGAGAGGAGACAAGGTTGACACCAGGCTTCTAACTTGGATGACTGGGCAGATGCCACTAACCAAGGGCGCAAACACAAAAGCAAACAAGCTTGGAGAAGCTAGTGAGTTTGGTTTTGAACATGTGGAGTTTGAGGTTTCTGTGTGATCACCATGTGAATATGCCCAGTAGACAGGAGTGCAAGGCAGGAGCCCACGATAGTGTAGGAGCTGGAGATGTGTATTGGGAGTCACCAATATGCACAAAGCGCTGAGATTATAGGCATAACCATGATAATTCAATCAGGAGAATAAGTGGGGTGAAATGGAAAGTGGTATGTAAGGAGATTCCTGGACAACACTGAGTTTAAGAAATAAGCTGAGGAATAAGAGTACATAAAAGAGGCAGAGAAGGAATAATCTAATTGGTAAGAGGTGATCCAAGAAAGAGAAAGAAGTCACAGAACCAAAGTGACCCTGGGTCTAATCAGCTCGCCCTTGGCATCTCACTCCCTGCTGTGTTATTCTGTATTACAGAGGCTAAAAGACTAATAGCTGTATTTTCAGACTCCCTTGCAGCTAGATTCTATGTAACTTAGGTTCTACCGATAAGATATACCAGGAAAGTGGATGGGAGACAAAGGCCTTCCTTCAGCCCTAGAGCTGGCCAACAGGCAAGCTCTAATATATGCCAGTGTGGCAGAGGCCAGATTCTCCTGTCTAGGCACTGGCTTTGTGAGCCTCGGTGTCTGTGAAGGTGGCAGTGATGATCACAGCAATTTTCTTGCTCTGATTGCACCTGCAGTGGTAACTTTGAAGCTCTATCCTGGCAGTGGCATCCCTACTTCTGCTCCTGCAGCTCTCCCAGTGGCTTTGCAAGCACATGATTCCCTGTATATCTATGACAGACAACTTGAGGAAAGAAAACTACCTAGAAGGTGAGGTGGTCATTCAGGTGAAGAGGTTTTTAGGAGGTGGTTTCACTTACACAGAGGAGAGGAAAACCTGCTAGATGGTATTTCCTAAGAAGAGTAACTACAGAAGAAGCTTTCTACAGCTTGCACTGCCTTCTGATGGATACAGTAAGATGAAATGCTGGAAGGAATGAGGCAATCTATGCTATTCCATGCTATGATAGTCCAGTATGACAAGAACTGGGAAATCCCAGAAGCCCCCACTGAATTTGATGACAAAGTACTCAGTGACAAAGTGGTCAGTGAGAGTGATTTCCATAGATTGGTGAGGGCAAGATCTCAACTGTTGTGGGATAGGTAAGTCAAGTAGAGGGTGAGGTAGCAGAAACAACAACTGAAGCTTTTAAGATGGTTGGCTGCAATGAAGGCTAGTTGGAGGAAGATATAGGGCTGAGGAAAGATGTTTAAGACAGTCAAGATGTGTGCCTGATTATATGCTAAGGGGCAGAAGTTGCTGATAAAGGTGAGTGTTCATTCACTGAAATAATGGAATGTGCTAGAAAGTGAGTTGGAGAAATAGACTCAAGGCTGCTTCTAGAACAATACCCAAACCATTCTGCAGAATTATCCTGCTGAGGAAACCACCATCAATGTCACTGTTAACCACCAGGCACCAGAAACTCGGCCTTCCTGTCCCTGACATTGTCACCAGCACGGAGGCTTTTCCAGATGTTACCAGAGCAGTCCTGGAGAAATAGTTGAGAAGGTAGCACAGCTGAAAAAGCTCATTATTTTCTGAAGCAGTAGGTAGCTGAGAAGGCTCCGTATTGTCTCTTAAACAGTCTATTTTAGTCCCTCAATCTCTAGCTATGCTCATTTACAAAGACTCCAGGTGGGCCGGGAGCTTCAGGACCCTTTGCCATCATCAGAGGAAGAGAAGGCCTGCTCAAAACCAGAGCGACCCAGAACCAGCGACTCCTGTGACCTTCAGATCATTAACACGTCATTATAATATTAAAATCCCCACGTCTAGAAGAATATGGCCGCCATTTCCTGAACATGCCCCCTAGGAAGGATCATGCTCATGATCTGCGCCTGCGCGTCTAAAGTTCCTCCCTGCACATACAAACCTCCCACCCCCTATCTAACTCCTTAAAATTCCCCAGCTCCTCACAGCTCCGGGAGGAGGAGGTGTCTTGGGAGCAAGTGCTCACTCCTCCTTCTCTAGCCAGAGAATAAATCCTGCTTGCCTGTTTTCCCCAATTGGATATTCTTTCTTTCCAACCAAGAAAAAGCAGGGAAATAACTCAGTTTAACGATGACAAAGAGACGAGGCAGCCTGCATAGGATGAAGGAGCTGAAGATACAGGAGAGGATCACGCTCCTGGAGATGACGGATGAGGGCAGGGAGGTCTGAACCACAGGTGGAGTAACTAGCCTTGGCTGGTAGGAGAGACAGCTTTCATTTGATGAGCCAGGAAGAGGAGGTGTGATAATAATAATAGTGATAATAACAGCAAAGACAAGAAGGCAGAGGAGCCGCAGCAGTGATGGAGTCTATTTGGCAATGTCCAGATTGTACATTAAATATACAGCTAAATTAGTTGCCCTTAGTTGGTGTTTCTGGTGATTGATTTGCCCCTTCCACGAGTCGCTGAGGTATAATTTGGGCAGAGCCTTACATCCTGAACCCAGTCTCTGGATGAAACTGCACCTGCCTGACACCTAAATTGGCATGTCACTATGAGCCAGGAAAAAGGGTGAAAGCTGTCAGGCTTTTTTAAATGAGGGAAGGCCAGGTCTCAGAACCCTGAATTTGTTCTAATGGACTTCTCTGAACAGAATCCCACCAAGGGGCAGTGACAAGCAAGGGGTGGATCTCGGGACTCTCCCTGTGCTCTGGGAAGAAGCTGCAGGCTGTGTTTAGAGCAGAGGCAGTGGAGGGCATTTCTGCTCCCAGGCCCACGGTGCCAGGGGCACCCTCCTAGGGGCCAAGAGACTGGCTCTACTCTAAAGCAGATACTGTGGTTGTGGGTCCTTTCTATTGAAAGAAAAACAAAAACTCAAAGGGCCCAGCACCCTCTACAAATAACTCCTTACAGAAATCCTAGCTTCTACCCAAAATGTTCCACAGAGAGGGCCCCCTTCCTGCAGGATCTGCTGCAGGCCTCTCCCCAGGCCTGGCCTGCACCCTTCAAAGCTCTGCTCTTCCAGCCTGACCCAGCTCACTAGAGCAATCCAAGGGAGCCCAGACTCTGCCCTCTTGGGATGACCAAGTCACTTGGGTTTTTTTAGGTTATTTATAGATTTATTAAAGAATAATAATAAAAATGCCACCATCTTGTAATTCTCAGCAATGGCTCAGACCTAATTTTCATCACAAATTGTTTTCCTGGAGCTTTGGAAAATGAGCCACGTGAAGACTGGGTTATTTATTCACATGAGCACTAGAAACTCTTCATGCCATTGTTCCTCAAGGAGTCTTGATTGCTTCTGCGGAGAGAAAGGTGTATTAAAATGACCCCGGGGGGGACACGCTTGACTTTGACCCCTGATGGTCAGCCCAGCATCCTAGCAGGCAAGGTATGGGAGGAGAATGATGCCTCGGCAGAAGGAGCCTGACCCAAGGGCACAAAAATGAAAGAGAATCTCATTTGAAATTACCAAGGTCGCCGACATCAACAAATAACTCCCAGTTGCCTCCCACTCTTTTCAAAAACTCATCTAGTTTTTCTTAAGCTTTGATGAAAAAGTTGTCTCCCTAGCGGCTCTGCATGACTGATGGGCAGACCTCATCCTTTATACCTGCAGTGGAATAAAATTGGCTCTCCTCGACGAAAGACAGCCTGGGGTGTGGGCAGGCCCTTGTCTTGCCACCTCTCCCCTCCCCCCGGTGTTCCGGAGGGGCACACAGGCTGGCAGAGTCTGATGTGAAAAACTGCTCAAAGTAATTGCTGAATTGAATTTGAATAAGTTCCACCATATTCTTCTAAAGTCACCAAAGATGGTCCAATTCAAAGACAAACCTCGGGACTCTAGGACTCCTAAGCTAGTGCTCCCCAAACCCTGCTGCTCAAATTGTGGCCCACAGACCTGATGCTTCCCCTGGGACTTCATCAGACATCCAACAGCTCAGGTACCATCCCAGACCTTGGAAACCAGAAATCCCACTTCTAACAAGAGCCCCGGGTGGTCTGCAGGCATTTAAAGTGCAAGAAGAAATACTTTAGGAAGGCTGCCCTAGACCTCTGGAGCACAGGTCCACAGCCTCAGCACTGGGTCACTTCCTTGGTGTCTACACGGCACTGCCTTCCTCAGCTCAGGCTGCCATGAGCAAATACCACAGACTGGGCGGCTTCAACAATAGGAATATATTTTCTCACGGCTCTGGAGGCTGGAAGTCCAAGAGCAAGCTGCAGCAGGATTGCTTTCTTCTGAGACCTCGCTCCTTAGCTTGCGATGGCCTCCTCTGGCTGTGCACTCACCTGGTCTTTCCTCTGGGCGTGCACCTCTGGTGTCTCTGTGTGTCCAAATCTCTTCATCAGGAAACAAGTCAGATTGGATCAGGGACCCCACCAAGAGCCTCATTTTAACTTCATCACCTCTTTAAGGCCCTATCTCCAAATACAGTCACATTCTGAGGTACTGAGGGTTGAGGCTTCCATGTGAATTTAGGGGAAGACATGATTCTGCCCATAACAAGCATTTACCACACCAGATGCTGTGCTAGACCTGAGGTTACAACCATGAAGGAGACAAATGTGGGCCCTGCCCTCATGTGGCCTGTAACTCCTCACTGACCATGACTGCTTCTTGTCTTGGCTGCCCTGACCATGGCGTCAAACTGGCCTCTCACTCATTGTCATTTCCTGCAGGTCTAACGGGCCTGAGTGGTCTACACTGACCACTTCCCCAGCACAGAGGAGAGACAGCTAGTTCCCTCACTCCTTGGCTGGGGAGAGTGTGTAAGCCTATGTAGACATCACACAAGAGGAAGATCTCCTCCCCTATGAACAATGGCTTTCCCAGCTTTCCAGCTTGGCCAATTCTGTCCTACAAAGCCAAGCATAGACCAGGCTGAGTCTTGCTTATCATATCCACATGCCCAGCACACACCTGGTGTTCACCTATTCACACATCTTGCACTCCTGAGCTCCAACTCTGGCCGGGCTCTGAGAGTGAGCAAAGCCAAGCCCCGGCCTTATGAAACTTATAGATGATTAGAGAGTCATTAATCAAAAACCCACATGCTCTCACACATTTACCCAACAGATATTATCCAGAGTCTACCCTGTGCTAGGCATGATTCCAGTCACTGAAGACACAGTGGAGAAGAAAACCAAGCCTCTGCCCTCAGAGCTTATGTTCTAGAAGGATGCAAATGTGCCTGCTGGTTCATAAAGGAAAAAAGTCCAGTGCCACAAGAGCACCTAATGAGAATCTGACTCCCTCAGGAGTCAGGAAAGGCTTCCCTGGAGAAGTAAGCATCTTCCTATCTGCCCCCGCCTTTTTTTTAATATTTTAAGATAACTTTTATTGTAGAATAGTCTTAGATTTATTTTTAAAGTTACAAAGATCATAATAGAGGGTTCCTGTACACCCCACACCCGGTATCTCTATTGCTAACATTAACATATACATTTATTATAATAAATAAAATGTATTGATACATCATTATTTAGCTAAAGTTCATGCTTCACTACATCATATCGAGGCTACATAATGGCAACATGAGTCATGACTGTTGACACTGACCTCATCACCTGGTGGAGGTAGTGTCCATCAGCCTTTTCACCGTAAAGTTACTCTTTCCCCACCTTTCCAAACAGTACTTTTTGGAAGGAAGTCACTCTGGGAATCCCACACTTAAAAACTTAAAAGAGTGGGGAGTTACGCTCCACCTTCTTGAGGGTGAAGTAGCTATACCAATTACTTGGAAGCTGTCTGCACAGGAGATATGTCTATTCTCTCTCCTCGGTATTTAACTATATAATTATTTATTCACTATGGACTCGTGGATATCTATTTTATGCTTTGGGTTATACATTGATTTTGTTACTCAAGTCGTCCCAGCTTTGGTTATTGGGAACTCTTTCAGTCGGCTCCTGTGGTGCCTTGACACCCTCACCCACCCACCATTGTGAGATTTCTTTTTCTTCTTTACTTTCTACCCCAGTCACAGAATCAACTGTTCCTCCAAAGAGCCCTGGTTCTTTTACTGGAGAATGCTAGTAGAAACCAAGACCTGGATTGCAGTCCTTCATTGCATCGTTCCTTCTGTTCATACTATGGATTCAGCTACTCATATATTACTCCTCCTTTAGCACAATTGCCTAATTGAGTATGAAATTTATTTTACTTATTTTTTTCCCTTGATGAGAAGAACAAACATCTTTTTGATATTTTTAGAAGCTACTTATTTAACTGGAAAGAACAGTGAGACTATGAAAATGAACCTCCTATACTAGTCTGGAAGTTTCAGGTCTTAATATAGTCAATTAAAATAGACGGCTTTGTACATAAAAGTATGCATAGGTCACTTAGAAAGATATGAAAATGAATAATAACTTAAAACTCCACGAAAGATTTTATGACCAAAAGAAAAAAAAAGTTGAAGTTGTTTCAGATTTCAATTAAAAGATGACATTTGGAAAAGGGAAAAAAAGGAAAGAAAGAAACCAAGATCAGAGGCTAGCTATGCTCATCGCTACTGGGGTGTCATGGTTTCTAAGTCTTCCCAGATGACAGAGCAAGGGGGGATGCATGTGTACATAATAACCCTTGTTTATACACACAACTATAACTATTCTAGATGTATCCATTTGTACCTATATTAAGCTAAACATGAGTTTATAATTGTGTCTCTAACTCTAATCCTATACCACTTAAATCCTTCTAGCTTTCCCTATTTTTCCCTAACTTTTATTTTAAAAATTACAAGCCTACAGAGAAGTTGAAAAAATAGTACAAAGAGCAGGAAAGAATATAGGATATACTATTCACTTAGATTCACCAATTATTTTGCTATGTTTGGTTTGTTGAAAGAGAGAATTTTTTTTCTTTTGGCTGAAATATTTGAAAGTAAGTTGTAGATATCACGATGGTTTACCCTTAACACTTCAGCATGTATTTAATAAGAACAAAGGCACTTTCCTACATAACCTCTATTCCACTAACATCCCTGAGAAAATTAGCAATCATTCTATAATATCATCTACTGTAAAGTTCATATTCAAATCTCCCCAGTTTTCCTAAATATTTTATATTTGTTATACTCATATCTGAATTTTATATACTCATATACTTATATGAGGATATAGAGTTCATGTTCAAATTTCCCTGATTGTCCTAAATATTTTATATCTCCTTGGATTTTGTTTGTTTGTTTTATAATCCAATGCGAGTGCACATTTGCATTGGGTTAAATCATTTTAATCTCTTTTAATCACTTGAGTCTTTAGTCTCCTGTCTTTTTTGTTGTTGTTACTTTATTTTTCATAACATTGACTCTTTTGAAGAATTCAGCCAGTTATCTTGTAAAAATTCTCATATTCTGTGTTTATCTAATATTTCATTATTATTAAATTCAGGTTAAACATTTTTGGCAAGAGGACTTCACTGGTGAAATTGTGTTCTTCTTATTGATGAACTGGGAGGTACACCATGTCAGGCTGTCTCCATTAGGAAGGCTAAATGAGATCACTTGGTCAAGGTGGCATCCACCAGGCCTCTCCATGTAACAACATATCTTCCTCTGGTAATATGAGATGGTCTGTGGGGAGATCCCTGGAGACCATGTATAGCATTGTATATATGTGTGTGTGTGTATATATATATATATATATATATGAGTTCACAATTATGACTCCAACTATAATCCTATACCACATAAACCCTTCTTGCCTTCCCTATTTTTCCCTAACTTTTTATTTTGAAAAATTACAAACAGGAGATATATACATATATTTCTCAATAACCTTTCCCCCTATATGTGTGTGTGTGTGTGTGTGTGTGTGTGTGTGTGTATATATATATATATAGTTTCTCCCTATATATATATATGTTTCTCAATAACCTTTCCCCCTCTGTGTGTGTGTGTGTGTGTGTGTGTGTGTGTGTGTGTGTGTATATATATAGTTTCTTCATATATATATATATATATATATATATATATATATATATATATATATGTTTCTCAATAACCTTTCCCCCAGTGGTTTCAGCATCCATTGAGGATCCATAGCTTGAATCAGTTACTATATCAGCAGTTGCAGAATGGTCTTTGACTAATTCTATCATTCCTTAGAATTAATTCAATTATTCATGTATGATTAGCTGGTTCTCTTCTAGGAAGTAAATTCTGAAGTAAAAGCTGAAAGATGAGTAGGTGACATGTGCCTGCGGTCCCAGCTACTCAGGAGGCTGGGAAGAGGATATTATGTAAGCCCAAGAGTTTGAAAACAGCCTGGGCGACATAGCACGACTTCATCTCTTTAAAAAAAAAAATTAAAGATGAGTAGGCCTTGACCTAGTAGATGGTCAAGAAGTGATGCATGTGCAAAAGCTAATGCATTTGCAAGAGAAAAATGGTGAATTTGAAAGACTGGGGAAAAAAGACCAATGTGCTGCCATGCAAGAAGCAAAGAGTGGTATGTAAAAATGAGGCTGGAGTCCTAGGCTATAGAGCTCGTGGGGTCTCCTAAGCCATATTAGGACATTTGATCTTTATATTAAGAGCAATCGTGAACCATTACATACTTTTGAGCACTAGAGTAACCTGATCAGATTTTAATTTTTTAAATATTATTCTGTCTGGAGGGTGGAGAACTAATTTGAGTGAATGAGGAAAGAGGGGAAATCAATTAGGAAACCACTGTAGTAATCCATGCAAGAGGTAAGGTAGCTCGAAGTGTAGTAAAAGAATTAAGAGACTACCAAGAAAGCAAGTTAACAGGCTGGATAATGGATCACATATGAGAAGAGAGAGAATGATTTCATGGAAGCCCAGGGAAGAGGTTGTTGAAGAAGAAGTGGGGGCGTCAACTGGGTTGAACGCTATTGAAAGCCAGTAAGATGAAAATAAAGAAGTTACGTTGGATTTAATGATGTGGTGATCTTGATGAGAGCTGTTCAGGTTGATTAAAGAGGGCTGAGTCATGAATAAGAGGTAAGAAAATGGAGATGTGAGTGTAAGTCATTCTTTGAAAAAGTTTGGCTTTTAAGAAACTTTCAAGTTTCTCTTTTAAGAAAGAGAAGCAGCTGGAATGAATGTGGAATCAAGGCACTGTTGGGAAAGTGTTTAGTAAATATTTGTGCAATTCCAAAATTAATCTGTAAAAAGAACCTGAGTAATAGCACTTTGCGTAACTATAAAACAATAAATACAAATGCACTGGTTTGCTGTTAACATTGGGAAGACAATGCAGAACAATCTGTTACTGAAGTGGAGAAAGAGTCCTACTGTTTGCTGGTGAGTCACACACAGAGTCAAGAAAGCATTTTGAGCAGTAGAGTAACCCAATATTTAAAATTATATGCAGCAGCTCTTTCCTGCATGCACAAGTTCCCTCCAGGACATTTTTGCATTCATTCCTGCAGAGAGTCCTAGCTATATCCCCAATCTAGGACCAGGTTTTATGAAAAAAAAAAAATTTTGGTTTGGCTGCTGGGTAGTGGTAGTTTGGTTTGGATTATATGGGTAGTGTAAATTTACTACCCAAAACTCGGATGAAACGTGGTCTTGTGGTTATGGATTTGGGGGAAGGAGGGTCTCTTTTTCTCTACTCAAAGACAAACTAGCTTCCTTTATCTTTCTGTGCCAGTGCACAGATTTTCCTACTCAAACCTTTTGCTGAGGGTACAGCCATTTAAGCATCTGGATTAAAGGAAGGGTTTGGCTCATTTGAAGCTCTTTTTCATCAGCTCATGGCCTCAAGTCCTATTGCCAAATGAACATTAAAATCCAAGTTCCTGGGCTACAGAGACCGACAGCCTTCTTTGCCCTCCTCTGTCCTAACCCAGGTAATAAACAAGAGCTTACCATTCTGGTTTTTAGTTTTCTCTCTGTTTCTAAAAGCAAGAGATTTATTCTCTTTCACAAAAAGCTAGCTAGTCATTCAAAAAAAAAAAAGGACTATTTGCTATATTGTTTCCAGAATTTCTGGGTATTTGCAGAAGGATTTGAGATTTTCTAGCTCTGCATATTTCTAGAACCAGCATGTTTATTGAAACAGGCCTGTTCACTCCCTGCCTCCACTTCTTCCCGTTCCTTTCAGTTCCCAAGGGTGACAATCTGGCTTTTGCTTTCCTCTCTCTGAAGCACTCCATTCTAATAACACAAAACCGTACACACCAAACTGCTCTCCCTGCCTGAAATGCACTTGTACCCCTCTTGACCTGTTTACTGAATTCTTAGCTATCCTTTAACCTGCAGGGCATATTTCATCTCTCTAAGAAGCCTTTCCTTTGAACCTCTATAATCCCACAAATCCTGGTGGTTTTCCTATCTCACTTACTATATTATAATATAATGATCTCTTAGTGGTTCTCTCCCCGCTGTAAGGTACTTGAGGTATGGGACCATAATTTACTTGTCACATCCCTGAAGCTAACATAGTATCTGACCCACAGTAGGTGTTAAATACATTAGTTAACCAAATAAATAAACACAGATCAGTTCCGTAATGATTGCCTTTAAAAAGTTTAACAATACCCCCAGACACAGGAAAGCTCCAGTTCCCTGGAAAACATTTATGCCAAACCATCATATGGGGAAAAAGAAGGTAGTATACAGAGCTCAGAACACTACACCCCCGGGATAGATGATACATTGTGCTCCCTCTCCCTCACAGTGGGCAGTCTGAGATAAGAAAGACATGAAATCTGACTAAACGGAGTGTTCAAAGCCCTCCGATGAATTACCATAAGGATGACTACAAAGCCTCAGCCTGTCATTCAAGGTCATCCAAGATCTAACAGCTAGTCTATCTTTCCAGTACTGTCTTCTGCTATACAGACCCTCAGTCACTTCCCTGAAATTACTATGCATCTCATATCATCCTGAACCACCCCTGGACCCTACCTCCCTAGTCATGTTACGTACAAGAGCTCAAAAAGACATGATATTGTTGCAAGCATACTGTTTATTCATTTTACTACTTTCTTATTTTATGAATTTTAGGTACATATAAAAGGAAATAGAATGTATTTAATTTTGTTACTCTTGGCTGTAATAAAATCTCTTGCTCCTTTTGCCTACGCGACCATAAACTTTATATTAGAGTTGGCTCTCCATCTGAGTCACCTCCCACACCCCACTCCCACGGCTCAGCACTAAAGGAAAGAAGAGAGGGGAGGAAAAGGGGCTGATTTTCAGGTCTAGCATGGCTCAAATGACAGGGTCATCTCTGCCTTTCCCCCACCCCCCTCCACACCAAAGTCAAGGACACTCACTGGTAAGCTCCCTGATTTACGGTACCCCAGAGCAACTCTGTTCCTGAGATGTCACCTTTCCCAGGGAAATTTGCTATCCTGTTGAAAAGGTTTGGGATGAAATGATTACTTCGGAATAAGTATGTAATTATTTTTGTGGTCAACTGAGACAACTTCGCATGGGAAATAAAAGCAGATGTTGCCCCAAAAAAGAACTCAGTTTGGCAGATGCAGAAGTATGGCGGGGAGAGAACATACCCTGCCTGGCTAAGTAATTGCAAACAGCTGCTGGGCTGCATAGAGCTCAGACTGAGAAAATGTCACCGCAGAAAGCAATATTTGTGCCTCATTGGTCCCACCCCTTCTTGGTACAGATGAGGAAACTGAGGCCAGAGAGGAGGTAGGATCAGAACCCTCATCTGTTTCTTTCATTCCAGGATTGCTTTTTCTGAAAAATGCAGAAAGCCCTTACAGCCCAAAGAACTGTATTCTTTGGATTTCTCTACAAGAAGAGTGGAAGTTATAATTGTCCAATATTCTTAAGCTATTGAGAAGTCTGTGAATTCCATTAAACCATTAACATCCCAGAGTGTCTTCTGTCCTCCATATGACTATGGAGTGCTGAACACTGAGCCCCGAGCACTGAACACTCAGCATCGAGCACTGAGTACTGAGCACCATGTCAGCCCCCAGGCTCCGGAGCTTATCAGCTTCCCTGTGGAAGGAAAGTGATCGGTCAATGGATCCTGCCAAGTGCTCCAGCTTGAGTGGAACATGCCTCAGTGCTGCCAAAGATTATAGATTTCCTCTACATTCAGAAACTATTCAGAATATATTTTCTGGTCTCTATTTATAGTTTGTGACAGTCTCCATATGCCAATAGTATCCTGAGTTTATTTCAAGTCCCTGGAGTATTCCAAAAAGAATTCTGTTCCTCCCGGTCTTCCCCCAGCTTTTCATCCGAGAGGAGAACCCAGGCTTAGGTAACAGTCTCCTGCAAGAACTCAGCTTCCTTCTCCTGCGTGAAGGCTTTCCCTCTGGCCCGAGATATAATTAGTCTCTCCTTCCTGCGGGTTCCCAGAGCACTTATGAAACCTTTATTACAATACAGTGTTCCATGCCTTCAAAGAGTTGCAGTCCTCACACCGACTCCTCCACTAGACCCTGAGAAGCAGGTGGGAGGGGCTGAGTCATGGCATCGTTGGACCCCACGGAGCCAGTACATCGCCCAGGACACTCAAGGTGCTTAGTAGCAAAAGGTCTGAAGACAACGGTGGAGGTGTCCCCATGAGTCACTGTCTCTCCTCTCCCCACTCTTCTCCTGGTCCCGCTTTCCACACTGTTCCCTGGGTCCCAGGCTTCTTCCACATCCACACACCTTCCTCCCAAGACTCTGAATCAAGGGTTTGATGAGCACATGCTCCTATGGGATGGTCTAAGCCTGTGTTTCAGGCACTCATTGCTTTTCCCACCTTGGCCATGACCCTGACCCACCAGAGATATTTTAGAAATTGTTTTCACAGATGATGAGAAAGAGAATCATCTTCATGTTCCATCCTGTTTTAAATACTTCTAGGCTCACAGATAGACTTCTAGGCCCTTCAGAAAGCTCTTTGAAATTCAAATCCAGGGGATCTGGAAGGTTCCTAGAAAGCAAACTCTGGGGTGAGCAGGGTTTCACAGCTGAGTGGAGCAAGTGTTTTGTGTAAGAACCAATTTAGGGCTGAAAGTCCTAGATGTATCTGCCTTTTTTTTTTTTTTTTCTGAGATGGAGTCTCACTCTGTCACCCAGGCTGTAGTGCAGTGGCACGATCTCAGCTCACTGCAACCTCCACCTCCTGGGTTCAAGCAATTCTCCTGCCTCAGCCTCCCGAGTAGCTGGGATTACAGGCATCCACCACCACACCCAGGTAATTTTTTATATTTTCGGTAGAGATGGGGTTTCACCACGTTGGCCAGGCTGGTCTCAAACTCCTGACCTCAAGTGATCCACCTGCCTCAGCCTCCCAAACTGCTGGAATTACAGGCTAGAGCCACCGCACCCAGCCTGTATCTGCTTTATTAATTAGAGGAATGCCCAGGAAGAAATCGCCATCATTTTTCTGCTACACATACCTACACACAAAGTGCATATCTGGGCCAATTTGAGGAATGACACCATAGATGGCTTTCTCACCTTCCTGTCATTTCTTCCTGAACTGTGGAGTAAGCCATGTGCAGTCGGGCTATAGGCCACTCAGCCCTGCTGTAACAGAGTTTCTAACCCCAGCCAGACTCACTTGCATCTGAAAACTGTTCTTCCCTGTGCTCTGTGTTTCCAGCTGCTGCTTTTTCTTTACTTACTGGTAGTTAGGGACTCTAGAATTCTGCTACAGAATCCTGCAGTCTTTTTGGTAGGTTTTAGAGAACACAGTGAATTAAAAACAGGTTGTTAGGAAAAATGGTCAAAGACGGGGAGAGAAACTGGAACACCCATTTCCCTAGACGTGCTAACCCTTTATCACCAAGTTGTCTCAGAGTTAGAGGCGCTGCGGCTCAAATGGTGCCCAGGGTACTCGTCTTTTATAAATAGCCTCTGCTATTGTTAGGCGCTGCCAAGGGAGAGAAACTGCTCATGTTCGGTTTGTAAAGAATTAGGGGCCAGATGTGGCAGCTCACGCCTGTAATCCTAGCACTTTGGGAGGCCGAGGCGGGTGGATCACTTGAGGTCAGGAGTTTAAAACCAGCCTGGCCAACATGGTGAAACCCTGTCTCTTTTAAAAATACAAAAAAGTTAGCCGGCGTGGTGCTGGGTGCCTATAATCCCAGCTACTCAGGTGGCTGAGGCACGAGAATCACTTGAACCTAGGAGGCAGAGGTTGCAGTGAGCCAAGATCGCACCACTGCACTCCAGCCTGGGTGACAAAGGGAGACTCTATCTCACAAAAAAAAAAAAAAAAAAAAAAGAATTAGGCTCCTTTTGAGAAGTAGACTGTTAGTTCTGGTGATAGTCGAGTCAAAAACATTCTAAAGAATCAACTCAGCATTAATTTCTCCCTCTCCCTTCTTCACACATGCGTGCGCACACACACACACTCCCCCCTCACTGACGAGACTATTGTCTTTTAACTGGAAGAGCTACCAGAAGCTTTTTTTTGAAAAAGCAGACATAAGAGGCACTATGGAGAGCAAATCATTTGTCAAAGTTAAGCAATGATTACATGATGCGCACATTACACAAGGAAACTTGCCTGACAAACCCCGTCGCTGGTGTCCAAGCACTGAGCAGCACCAGAATTAAGAATAGCAGTGGCCAGGCCTGGTGGCTCACACCTGTAATCCCAGCACTTTGGGAGGCCAAGGCAGGCAGATCACAAGGTCAAGAGATAGAGAGCATATGACCAACATGGTGAAACCCCATCTCTACTAAAAATACAAAAATTAGCTGGGCATGGTGGCAGGCGCCTGTAGTCCCATCCGCACCTGTACTCCCATCTGCGCTCTGGAGGCTGAGGCAGGGGAATCGCTCGAACCCGGAAGGCGGAGCTTGCAGTGAACTGGGATCGCACCACTGCACTCCAGCCTGGTAACAGAGTGAGACTCCATCTCAAAAAAAAAAAAACAGGAATAACAGCTCAGTGAAGTGAAGAGGCAGAAGAAGATGAAGGAAGATTGTACTTATTCCAGGAGTACAGTCCTCAATCAAAGCCTGATCTGCCTATGGAGTTGGAGTTGTGAAGCCCTAAGTACCTATTTCTTGTTAGTGTCCTGGTGTTCCTCTCTCTAAACACTGCTGACAACATGAATATGGTCTTATCCTTCACTATTGCCCTCACCTAATTGTCACACTCTTATTTGCATGATGAAATATGCACGAAATACAATGCTATAAAATGTTATTCTCCTGCTTTCTCCTGGTCTCCAATATGCTAGGCTCTTCTAAAAGGCTTCTGCTTCTGCTCCTGCCTCACGGTCTCCCCCCAGGGCACCCCACTGAGCTCTAGTTTGCCTGTGAAAAGCCAGAAGCATGGCATACAGCAGATCTGAAGTCACCCCTGCCTGCCGTGGATCAGAAGGTAACGTGTCTCCTGTTCCCCAGAGACCTGCCTGTCCATGCCTGGGAAGTTAAGTTTAATGACCAAAGAATCACCCCTGCCCACTTTCCCCTTCATTTTTAAATCTCAGCCCTCCCAGATGTGTGTCTACAGTATGTGCTCCATAGATATTTCTGGCTCAGGCTGCTGATAACGAATTCTTGAAAGAGGAAATAAATCAGGTCATTCCTATAGGGCTGCTTGGTTCACTGCAAATATGACTAATTAGTTCATAAATCAAGCAGAGCCAAAGGTGAGAGCACCTTGAATTTGGATCTGAAATGTTTGCACAAACAGGAGGAGGTGGACATTTTCTGCCCACTCTGATGCCACAGCACATTTCCCCCTGAGCTGTGAGCCTCCTGTCATTGAATCAATGTCACAGATTATTTGAGTCACACTCAGCAAAAGGCTGCAAGGAAACTGTGAATCAACAGTTCCGCGATGGAATTACAAAAAGAGTCAGATTGTCAGCAAGGTCATATCTGCTTGACATGCACTGTTCAGTGAGTGGGAACAAGCCTGCTGCACAGGAGGTCCTCACAGAATCACGTGGGCCAAAATTGAAGGTCCCCCACCTGCACCCCAGTGGGGTAGCTCACTCATGAAGGTAGAAATGGTCTGTTCTGTGTATTTGGACATCCGCCCGCAGCTGGCTGGTGCCCACACGCAGTGGCTCTTCAGTCCCATCACCGAATTAAGACCCACACTGGGAGCTCCAGGGGACATGCACCATTGGGCCTCAGGCCGAGCAGCTGATGCCTTTTTATTATAATCTGCTCTGTCCTTCTCATTGTGCTTCAGTGCCCTAAAGAAAAAATAATTATGAGATATGGTCGCAGCTTCCAGTTTAATTGGGAAGACAAGGCTAATCCATGAAATGGCAGAGAGAGAAAGACATGAGGCTAATTGCTAAATATTGCAGCACAGAGTTGATTGTCTGTGGGGAATCAGAGGAGATGGAGACAAGAAGTGAGAGACTCACTCACTTATGCTTCAGAGTCTTTGCATGTGCTGTTCCCTTTGCCTGGCGTGCTTTTCCCATCTCTTCATCTAGTTAACTCCTATCCTCCTCAGGGGTTGCTTTCACTGCCTACTTCCTCAAGGTACCTTTTCTGATCCTCTATTGAGTCTTTTCCCCCGGAGACTTTGACACAATTTGCAGTGTTGATTTGCTTTGTGTATTTGCTACTTTCTCTCTCTTCCTGCTGGACTATTAACACCTTGAAAGCAGGGATAAGTCAGTTTTGCTCATCGCTGAATTTCAGACCCTCAGCACAGAGCCTGCACACAGAAGGTGCTCCGGTGGGATCTGCCACTGAGCACAGGTGATACAGCTTGAGCTGGGCTTCCAGGAAAGTACAGGATTTGTATCCCCTCAGGTGAGATTTCAACATGAACACCTTTTTTTTTTATTTTTAAAGACAGGGTCTCACTCTATCATCCAAGCTGGATTGCAGTGGCAAAATCATAGCTCACTGCAGCTTTGAACTTCTGAGTTCAAGCGATTTTCCTGCCTCAGCCTCCTTAGTATCTGGGAATACAGGTGCCCACCACCACCCCTGGCTAATTTTTTTATTTTTTAAATTTTTTTGTAGAGATGAGGTCTTTCTGTGTTTCCCAGGTTGGTCTCGAACTCCTGGCCTCAAGCAATCCTATTGCCACAGCCTCCCAAAATGCTGATGACAGGCATGAGCGACCACACCAAGGTGAGCAGAGACCTAAATGTTGGCATCAATGAGGCATATGTGTGAGTGGTGAGGAGAGCACCCTACAGGGTAGAAGAGACAGGGGGGAAGGCAGGACTGTGAAAGGGGGTGGATCTGGGAGGACTTTAGAGACAGGCCAATGTTGACCACCAATGGAGGAGAAGAAAAGAGGGAGCCACTGAAGGGCTGTAATAAAAAGAATTGCCGGCTGGGCATGGTGGCTCATGCCTGTAATCCCAATACTTTGGGAGGCTGAAGCAGGTGGATCACCTGAGGTCAGGAGTTCAAGACCAGCCTGACCAACATGGCGAAACCAGTCTCTACTAAAAATACAAAAAAATTAGCTAGGTGTGATGGCGTGTGCCTGTAATCCCAGCTACACTGGAGGCTGAGGCAGGAGAATCGCTTGAATCTGGAGGTGGAGGTTGCAGTGAGCCAAGGACATGCCATCGCACTCGAGCCTCGGTGACAAGAGCGAAACTCCATCTCAAAAAGAAAAAAAAAGAAAAAAAAGAATTGCCTAGAGAAAGTGATACTGAAAGGTTCCTTTGGCATCTTGTTTGGAGGAGGAAGCCTCTGGAAGCAGAGGAGCCCGATGATGCAGGCCCACCCTGGGAAAGAGGAAGGAGCTTTCCACCTGGCAAAGGCCTTCGTGGCAGACACTCCTAGGACCAGCACAAGGAGAATGAGCAGGACCCAAGATGTAGAAATACAGATGAGGGAGCAGGAGTGAGAAGGGCTTCCAAGCCTACAGACTGGGTAGATAGGGACTGAGAGGCCAAGAACCGGGGCAGGGGGATTAGCAGAAGGAGCTGGTCAGGGAAAACTAGGGTGAAGGTGATGAGTTCAGTCTTGATATTCCAGCGACAAAAGTCATGGCATATTGTGAAAGTTGTCAGAATTGAACTGGAGTCACCAGTGTTTTTTGGGTTATTTGGGTTTTTTTTTTTTAACAGGAAAAGGTCTTTATTAGAAGAGAAAATTTTTTTCTTGGCATGTAGACTTTTTTCCCTTTCAAATGATCAGCTCTTAATGGGATTTTTCCTCCAAAATGGCAGTAAAAAGGAGTATTTTTGCCATTTTGATAAGACATACACCATAAACAAATGAGTGCTTGTGACCACACAAACGTTGGCAGGGAAGCCTCCTTTGTGGGGTACTGCAGCCCAGAAAGAACTGTATGGACCTCAGAGAGCCTCCCACACTGTTTCTCCATTGATATGGTTTGGATCTGTGTCCCCACCCAAATCTCATGTTGAATTGTAATCCCCAATGCTGGAGGTGGGGCCTGGTCAGAGGTGATTGGACTTGGGGGGAGGGTGATTTCTCATGGTTTAATTTCATCCTCACTTGGTGCTGTCTTCATGATAGTGAGTTCTCATGGATCTGGTTGTTTAAAAGTGTGTGGCACCAAAAACAAAAACAAAAAAACCCTGACAAATAGAGCCAGGGAAGGCTATGATGAGAGGATTCTCATACCTAAACGCCTGATAACAAAAACTATCTCAAAAAACTGCAAAAGCCACAACTTTGCACAAAGACCATCACAACCTCACACACAAAAATATACGTCTTTGAGGACATCTGCCCAGCAACCGCCTGTGCAACCTCAAACTGGCGTCACCCTTGTTATTGATCCTTGTACCCAAGGATAATTATCTCAAAACAATTATGTAATCCTCCTCATTTTTCTTTAAAAACCTTTCCCTCCTTTACCTCCCTGGATACACACACAGTTTGCTAATACACCTCTATTCCCATTGCAATGTCCTACTCCGGAATAAATATATTTTTCTTCTAGAGAGCTTCTCTCTGTTTGTTATTTAGATTGACAGTATGTATTAGTTATCTGTTGCTGTGTAACAAATTATTTCAAAAAATCCGTGGCTTAAAACAATACCCATTTATTATCTAACAACTTATGTGGGTCAGGAATTAGCTGGTGCTTTTGTTCCAGGATCTTTCACACAGCTGTGGTCAAGGCATCAGCTGGCACTGCGTATTCATCTGAAGGCTCAGCTGGGGTTGGGTCCACTTCCAAGCCCACTCATATGGTTGTCAGAATTCCATTTTTCATGAGCTGTTGGCCTGGAGACCCCAGTTCCTTGCTGGCTACTGGCCAGAGGCCACTCTCAGTCCCTTGCCATGTGGGCCTCTCCAACACAGCAGCTGCATGGAAGCATGCAAGCCAAGGAGGCCACACAGACAGTCTTCTAGCAAGAGGGACATTACAATCTTTTGTAACCTAATCATGGAAGTGACATCTCTCATATTGCCATATTTGTTAGAAGCAAGTTACTCAAAGGGAATATAATCTTACAAAGTCATCAGTACCAGGAGGCAGGAATCATTAGGGTCTATCTCAGAGGCTGCCAGCCACAGGGTATTTAGAAATGTGAAATTGAAGTTTGAGAGCAAGGGAGAAGTCATCTAAATGTAGATGAGGGTTAATATTATCAAAGGAAAGAGTATTGTGTGTGTGTGTGTGTGTGTGTGCGCGCGCGCACACACAATACTCTTTCCTTTGATAATATATACAAACACACACACACACACACATACACATACACACACACAAAGAGTATCCCTTATCTGAAATGCTTAGGACCAGAGATGTTTCAGATTTCGGATTTTTTCAGATTTTGGAATCTTTGCATATACATAATGAGATATCTTGGGGATGGACCCAAGTCTAAGCACAAAATTCATTTGTTTCATATATTCCTTTGTGTGTAGACTGAAAGTAATTTTATACAATTTTTTAATAATTTTGTGCATGAAACAAAGTTTATGTTAACATGAAACAAAGTTATGTTAAGTCCTTATGTGTGGAATTTTTAACTTGTGGTGTCATGTTGATACTCAAAAAGTTTTGAAATTTGGATTTCAGGTTTTCAGATTAGGAATGCTCAACCTCTAATGTATATGTGTATGTGTGTGTGTATATAGATACACATATATATATGGACATGGAGGATCAGTCACATTTAAAAATAAGAATAGGGAGGTAGAGAATAAATAAAATAGGGAAAAGGAGAACCTAGGGGATAATTCAACAAATCCAAGAGACCACCGCTTCCTTTAAAACCTAGGAGGGAAGTCATCTCCTCCAGGGAGCCCTCTTAGATTGACTGGGACCTATCTAATCCTCCACTAGTTATTCACTCAAAAGAGCCCAAGAGTCTATTATGTGCAAAGGCTACCGAGTGGAGAGGGACCTAACAGAGTCTCCAAGAAGCTTAGAAGTTAGGGAGTAAAGATGAATTGGTAAATAACTTTTTCAAGATGAAAAGCAGAAGTGACATGAGAGTGTTACACAGAAGAGACAGGAATCACCGAACTTCATGGTGGGAGACACGGCTTCCCCTGGGAAATGAGACTGATGTGTGGGTCAGGCTGGTCTCTAGTTTTCACTCCTGTGAATGTGCCACATTGGCTGGGGTCCCAGAACAGTGGGCATGGCTCCAGTTTGTCTCCCCAGCTGGGTCATGTAGCCGAGCTAAAGCACACCCAAGTTTTCCAGGCCTCTCCTACCTTCCTAGGGGGCCTGGATGGTGGCTTGCATGCCTCAACTCCCTGGAACTGCCTGCTGAGGGCAAAATTTCCTCTCAGGCGGTCGAACCAGCAGAAACACAGATGTAGCAGACCACCTGAAAGTAACTGCAGCATTTAGTGACATGTCTTCCACATTCTCAAGTCATTCAGCTCTTAGCAGACACAGGGCTGGATGGAAGCAGTCATTTTGTTCCCCTCGTTGGTCAAAAGATGCTTTTGATGAATCATTTCTTTATTTAGTTTTTAGATTGCATTCCACCTCAGGGGGAAAGCTCTCCAAATGAAACCGTTCATAAGACCAGGTAAAACCGCAGCAACTTTTAAGGCTATCCCTGAAGGTCAGCCAAAAGCCAGATCTCAGATTTCATTTGGAAATCTGCCAGAAGGGATGTTCTTGGATGCCGCGTGCTACCCACAGGGTCTTCCTGCCTCTCTCTGACAAGCCCCCTTGGATACTGCCTTGAAGAAAACAGTTTCTGGAAGTATAAGAAGGAGTACAATTGGTCGGGCGCAGTGGCTCACACCTGTAATCTCAGCACTTTAGGAGGCCGAGGCGGTTGGATCACTGGATTCAGGAGTTGAAGACCAGCCTGGCCAACATGGCGAAACCCCATCTCTACCAAAATATACACAAAAAATTAGTTGGGTGTGGTGGTGCACACCTGTAGTCCCAGCTACTCAGGAGGCTGAGACAGGAGAATCACTTGAACCCAGGAGGTGGAGGTTGCAGTGAGCCAAGGTCATGCCACTGCACTCCAGCTTGGGCAGCAGAGTAAGACCCTGTCTCAAAATAATTAATAATAATAATAATAATAATAATTTAAAAAATAAATAAATAAAGGCGGAAAACTGGACAAAGGAAAATAGCCATCAAGGGTCAAATTTCCCCTAAGAAAGGGTTTTCTGCTGACCAAGGACAGGATAAGGCAAGCACTCCTCACATTTCCACAGAGGAGAAAGGCGGGGAGCAGCTTGCTCTAAGCCTTAAGCAAAGTTGGGGGGACCACAGTGTGACTATCCCTAGCAAAGCCAGCCTCTGAGCTGACCACTATTATGACCTGCTCCCCATCTGCCGCTTGGAGGGACACTATTAGCAATTGGCAAGTTGCCAGTATCCCATTTATTGGCTCATTAATAATTCCTCTGGGCTCCCAAAGCAACCATTTGATTCCAAATAGATCACAAAATTCGCCACTGAGATATCTTTACCCTTTCTGACATTTCATGAGAGCAGAGGCAGAAATTCACACCGGAGAGTCTGGGAGTTGATACTGGAGACAGGGTTAATGTTCTCCTTTCCCCGAATCTACAGGGGCCTGGTTTGCTCTAATCTGCCTCCAGGAGGTGAGCCACCACCCTGGCTGGGCACTGCTCCACTTGCTTATGGTGGTACCTAGGGCCTTGCATCTCAAAGTGTGGTCCCCAGACCAGCAGCACTGGCACACCTCAGAAGATTCTTAAAAAAGCAGACTTTCAGGCCCCATCCCAGACCTATGGAATCAGATCCCGCATTGAAATAAGACCCACCCCACCAAGTAATTTATACACACCCTAAGGTGCTCTAATTTATTTGTAGGAATAAATGAATTTATCCCAAGAAAGTAATCAGATGCATGCACAGCTTGCAGGTACCCATGGGTTGAATGCGTCATTGCTTAAAAAGACAAAAACTGGGGCAGGGCCTGATGGCCCATGCCTATAATCCCAGCACTTAAAGAGGCCAAGGCGGTGGATCACTTGAGGCCAGGAGTTCAAGACCAGCCTGGCCAACATGGAGAAACGCCGTCCCTACTAAAATACAAAAATTAGCCAGGCATGATAGCACACACTTGTAGTCTCAGCTACTCAGAAGGCCGAGGCAGGAGAATGGCTTGAACCCAGGAGGCGGAGGTTGCAGTAAGCCAAGATGGCGCCACTGCACCCTAGCCTTGGGAACAGGGTGGGATTCTGTCTCAAAAAAAAAAAAAGGCAAAAACTGGAAACAAACCAAATGTATTGAAGCAATATTTATTTGAGTGCCTTCTATGTGACACTCAGAAAATAAGAGCTACAAAACAGAGACAGTCTTAAAAATATGGTTCATTTGGGGGGGATGGAAAATTGCATAGCCATTTTTTAAATACCTCTTTAAAAAAAGAAACCAAAACCTACTTCTAAAAGTAGAAGTAGGGCCTCTAAGGCCCTATTTCCTGCCTTCCAGGTTGGCTCAATTATTGTGACTGTCTCTAGGCAAACAGTTCGTGCAGGCTGCTAGGCTAAGGACATTTCCCTTTGCTAAACAAACAAGCAAATGCAGACAGGGCTCAGCTGCTGTAGCACATTGGAATTGCTTGTGAAATGAATTAAGATCCATTTCCAGGGCTGTGCTGTCTGAATGTAACTGCGGGCTTTCACCCCGCCCCCACCTTTCCCATCCCCCAAGGTATAGTCCACTCAATCTCAGGGGCACATGACCCTCTGGTTGTGATGTCCAAGGTGCTCAGTGGATTTACACGTCACTGTGTCCATTATTTTTCCTAAAAGGAAGACAGCTTAGATAAACACCTCCCTTTAAGTCAAATGTAAGTTTGTTCAACTACAGCCACAAGAAGGATAGCAAATTCCGGAGAAGGACCTTCTGGAGAACACAGCAATATTATCTCGCTGGCCCAGGGATGGGTTTGCAACTGCTCTCAATGGCTGCCGTACATCATCGCTTCACTGAGTATTGTCCAGGCAGAGCAAAGTCACTCAAGCAATACTTCTTATAATCAAGGCAAGTGGTCAGCGGCTGCCTTAAAAAAAAAAAAAAAAAGCCTGGAAATACAGTCCCCAGCCAGAGTAAAGATCCTCCTCTGCGACCTCACAGCCCAGCTGGATGGGACCCTGCAGCGCTCTCACCTCTCTGCTCAGGAAAATGTGGCTGCTGCGCGTCTCAGCCCAGCCGAATTTGATCTTGTGGATTTCATGTCTAATCTCAGCCTAGATTACTCGGGCTTGTTTGGCCCGCTCTAGCATGCCTGGTCTCTCTATTCTCTCTTGATTCTCTCCCATCCTTATTCATCCCTCACTCATTGATTGATTTAATTCAACAACCAAGCCCCCTGCTGTGCTGGATGTCAGATGTTCTAGGTGTGCTCAAATGAAGGCCCTTTTCATTTTCCGGAGGAGTTCACTTCCCATGTTGGGAGACAGTAACAGGAACAAATCAGGCTGCCTAGGTGTTCACGATGTCACCAATATTGGGAAGTTACATTTTGTAATATTTTAATAAAAATAGCTTTTCTGAGCCCAACCCCCTCCCACCGCCTACTGATCTTTGGCTCTTAGTTTCTGCGCCTTCCAAATTCCCTCCTCCATAGCTCACCTGGCCTTGAGGCTTTTACAAACTGCTCTGGCCTGCATCCTGGATCTCACTCTAGAAACCACTCTGCTGGGGTCATTCCGGCAGAGCACCCAGCTTCCCCTCTCTCTGTGGCAGAAAAACCTGATTCTCTCCCACTTTGTCATGAAAAGTCCCTTCCCTGCCTGCGTATCTCTCCAGCTCTTGCCTTATAAGTTAGAAGGCTCATTGGGTTGACTGCTAACCAAGCGCCATCTAGTAGAAGACTCCAGGTTTTGACAGTGCAAATTACAGTCTTTTAACGGGATCAGATTCTCAGGCCCCTCCCCCTCTTAATAGCACCTCTGAGCAGAAAGATGCAGTGGAGATTTATCTCATTTATGCTTTGACTCATGACACACATGTGCATGCACGCTCACATATCTTCATACACTCATTTACACATGCACTTACATACACACACATACATAAACACATACATACATACTCACACTCATGTACACACACACACGCACTCATGCATATGAACATCTTCTAGAAGGAGGAAGCAAATTGTGTTAGGTTTCTAGTCTTTCCCTTCCTGCTATAGACAATTGCAATGCAAATATGACAAATGATACAGTCAGAAGCAGATTTATCCTGAAGATAATGAAGCTTAAGCAACTGGGCTCTTTACTTGCACCAGACTGGTTCCTGGGGTGGTCTAGGTGGGGAGTGGAAGTCAGGTTGCAAACAGGAGGCATTTCTGAAAATGTCCCTAAAAATATCTCTGAAGAATGAGACCTGGATATCTAAAACTCTAGTAGTTTTTGTGATTTCTTTTCTTATGCTAGATAAATATTTGCATTCCTAGCTGCTATATGTGAATGTCTGTACCCCAACCCCCCACACATCACATTCACATGGTGAAATCCAATCCCCAAAGTAATGGTACTTGGAGGTGGGGCCTTTGGGAGATGGTTAGATCATGAAGGCAGAGCCCTCACAAATAGGATTATTACCCTTATAAAAGAAGCCCCAGAGAGCTCTCTTGTCCCTTTCACCTGCGGGGACACAGTGAAAAGACAGCCATTTATGAACCAGGAAGCAGACCCCCACCAGACACCAAAGCTGCCAGCACCTCCATCTCGGACTCCCCAGCCTCCAGAACTATGAGAAATAATTTTTTTTTGTTTATAAGCCACACAGTTTGTGGTCATTTGTTATAGCAGACCAAACAAAGAATCTAGCCAATTTTCAGCCAGGCGCTGAAACTCATACCTGTAATCCCAGCACTTTGGGAGGCCGAGGCGGGTGGATCACTTGAAGTCAGGAGTTTGAGACCAGCATGGCCAATATGGTGAAACCCCATCTCAACTAAAAACAAAAAAATTAGCCGGGCGTGATGTCACATTGCCTGTAGTCCCAGCTACTCAGGACGCTGAGGCAGGAGAATTGCTTGAACCCGGGAGGCAGTGGTTGCAGTGAGCCAAGATTGCACCACAGCACTCCAGCCTGGGACACAGAGCGAGACTCCATCTCAAAAAAAAAAAAAAAAAAAAAAAGAATCTAGCCAATTTTCTATTTGTGATTTTATATTTTTTGCTTAAAGAGGCTCCCCCAAATTATATTTGCTTCAGCTGCTACAAAATCTGAACTTATTCCTTTTTGCATTAAAACAGGAATTCTCAGTCTTGCCACTGTTCACATTTGGAGTTGGATAATTATTTGTTGTGGGGGCTGCCCTGTGCACTGTAGGATGTTTAGTAGCATCATTGACCTCTACCACTAAATGCCAGTAGCACTTTCCCCTACCTCCTTGCCAGTTGTGACAACCAAAATCTCCAGACATTGCCAAATGTGCCCATTTGAGAGCCACCATCATAAAAGGTTACAAAAGAAGCTATAAAAGAGGTTACAAATGGCTATAAAAGCAGAGGAAGAGAATCAAGATGGAGAGGTGAGTATGAAAGGAGGGACAGGAGCTTTGGAAGAACAGAGATGTTGTGAAGAACATAGTGAGCACTGGGTCTAGGGAAGACAAGGAAGAAAAGCAATAAAGGAATATGTGTAGATACGTAGTCTGGGGTGGATGGGGGAATCCCATGGCATAAATTTTATTAGGAAAGGTAATGAATTTGGTTTGACATTTTGTGTTAGGTACCCCACGGGGAGGGATATATAGGAGGAGTTGTATAGTAAGTTGATGGATATGGGGATCAAAAGAGAAATCAAGACTGAAGATTAATACATAAATTTGGTCCTTGTCAACTACATGGAAATTGAAGCCATGAGAAAACAAATTTTTGCTTAAAGACAGTGAAAAAAGCCAAAGACTAAATTCTAGGGAACATGAACTCTGGGTGGGAAGAAGAGAATCAACCAGTGAAAGATACTAAAAAAGAGTGGACAGATTCTGGCTGAAAGCAAGTGACCCAAGGCAGTAATTCAAATCTGCAAGAAAATAACAAAGAGCAACAGTAAAATAATTATGCCATTATAAAAGACAGTTTAACTGCAATTTTTTTCTCCTTTCTTCTCTTCACTGATTTTAAAAGCAATTGTATATAATAATATGTATATAATATACAAAGGGCCTTCAGAAAGTTAATGGGAAAATAAAATTAAAAGATAAAAACAAAAAGTATAAACTTTACCTTTCAACATATGCTCCATCAAGCTCAAGACAACTTTGTAAGTGATGACACCAATCATTTAGTCCATCCTTAAAGAACTGTAGTCCCTGGTTAGTGAAACATGTCCCTACTTGAGAGCCACTTTTTTACACTATAACTAAAGAAAAGTGGGTGCCCTTTAAAGACTTTTTTAAGATTAGGAAACAAAAAGAAATCAGAAGGAGCCAAATCAGAACTGTAAGGTGGATGCCTAATGATTTCCCATCAAAACTCTCTCCCCAAACTTCCCTTGTTTGATGAGAGGAATGAACAAAAGCATTCATAGTAGTTGAGAAGGACTCTGGTGAAGCTTTGTGGGCACCTTTCTGCTAAAGCTTTGGCTAGCTTTCTCAAAACACTCTCATAACAAGCAGGTGTTATTGTTCTTTAGCCTTTCAGAAAGTCAACAAGCAAAATACCTTGAGCATTTCAAAAAACTGTTGCCATGACTTTTGCTCTGATTGGTCTCCTTTTACTTTAACTAGGCCACTTCCAACGCTTGGTAGCCATTGCTTTGATTGTGCTTTGTCTTCAGGATAGTACTGGCAAAGCCATGTTCCATCTCCTATTACAATTCTTCAAAGAAATGCTTCAGGATCTTGATACCACTTGTTTAAAATTTCCATCGAAAGCTCTGTTGCCTGCAGCTGGTGTGGGCACAACAGTTTTGGCACCCATCAAGGGGAAACTTTGCTCAACATTAATTCTTCCTTCAGAATTGTGTAAGCTGAACCAACTGAGATGTCTGTGGTGTTGGCATTATTTGTAGTATTATTGTTAGTTATCTTCAATTGGTGCATAAATTAGGGCACCAAAAATTGATGTGTATAGTCTGCACCATGGTCTCCATCTTCAACATCAACTCAAACTACATCCTATTCAGACATTAATAAAACATTAATACAAGTTTATTTTGGTACAAAAAAAGTTTGAAACCTATGCATAGTTTTTCATAATATTCATTTTCCATGAATTTTGTGAAGACTCCTCATATTATTGAACCCATAACATACAGAAATGTGATATCTATATTAAATTTCCATAATGTAATGTATTTCTGTGTAATATATTTGTCAATGATAGAAAAAAGGAGGCGGGTGGAAGCAAAGCTGTATAAAAATGATTACAAATGATAAAGTCTTTATAGCAATATATTGTTGGGCTTGTAATGTGAATAAATGTAACACGTATAATAATAATAATAATGCAAAAGAAGGGGAAGAGAATAAAGCTAAACAGAAGTAATGCTTCCATATCTCACTAGAATTAGCTAGTGTAAATCAGAGGCTGATTCTGATAAATCAAGGTGAATATGGTAAGTGTTAGAGATACCAATGTAAAGAAATTTTTTAAACACAGTGAAAACCTAATTAAAGAAACATAAATATATCACTGGACAATATTTAAATAATGCAAGAGAAAGTAGTAAAGAAGCAATTGAAGAATAAAAGACATGAGACACATAGAAAAAAAGTACAATGGCAGATGTAAATCCAACTAGAAACATTAAATGTGAATGGATTAAACAATATAATCAAAAGGCAGAGACTGTCAGATTGGATTTTTAAAAATCCTACTATATGTTAGCTACGTACCTGAGACACACTTTAGATTAAAAGATACAAATAGATTGAAAGTAAAAAGATGGAAAATGATATATCATACAAACGGAAACCACAAGAAAACTAGAATGACTATGCCAATATCAGACAAAACAGACATGAATATTTTATAACGATAAAAAGTTTCATCCATCAGGTAGATATAACAATTATAAACATATATGTACCTAATATCACAGCACCAAAATATATGAGGCAAAAACTGTCAGAAATGAAGGGAAAAATAGACAATTCAACAATAATAGTGGGAGAGTTCAACACCTCATTTTCAATAATAGATATAACAACTAGGCAACAAATGAGAAAAGAGATAGAAATTTGGACAACACTATAAATCAGTTAGGTCCAGCAGACATCTATAGAACACTACACCCAACAACAATGGAATATACTTTCTTCTCAAGTGCACATGGAACATTCTCCCATATACACCATATGCTAGACCATGAATCAAATCTTAATAAATTCAAAAGAATAAAAATAATATAAGGCATATAATCTGACCATGATTAAATGAAATTAGAAATCAGTAACAGAAAGAAATTTAGGAAATTCACAAATATGTGAAAATAAGAGAATACATTTCTCAATTAAAAAAAGGGTCAAATAAGAAATCAAAACAGAAATTAGAAAATACTTTCAGCTAAATGAAAATGAAGACACAACATGCCAAAACTCGTGGGATAGAGTGAAGGCAGTGATTTGAGGGAATTTTTAACTCTAGATGCCTATATTAAGAAAGAAGAAAAATCTAAAATCAATAACCTAACCTAAACGTCTACCTGAAGACATAGAAAAAGAAGCGAAATAAACCAAAATCAAGCAAAACTAAGGACATAATAAAGATCAGAGCAGAAATTAATGAAAGAAAATAATAGAAAAATAACAGACAAAATCAATGAAATCAAAACCTGGTTCTTCAAAAACATCAAATAAATTGATAAACCTTTAGCTATATTGACCAAGAAAAAAAGAGAAAGAAGACTCAAGTTACTAGAAACAGAAATAAAAGAGGGGACATTACTGCTAGTCTTACAGAAATAAAAGGGATTATAAAGGAATACTACAAATAATTGTATGCCAATAACTTGGATAACTTAGATGATTAATGGACAAATTCCTAGAAAGACAAACTACTGCAATTGACTTGAAAAGAAATACAAAATCTGAATAGATCTATAAGAAGTGAATAGATTAAATTAGTAATCCATAAACTATACACAAAGAAAAGCTCAAGCCTAGATGGCCTCACCATTGAAATTATACCAAACATTTGAAGAACTCAAACCAATTCTTAACAAACTCTTAAAAAACAGAGAAGAGTGCAGTGGCTCACGCCTGTAATCCCAGTACTTTGAGAGGCCGAGGCAGGTGGATCACTTGATGTCAGGAGTGCGAGACCAGCCTGGCCAACGTGGCTAAACCCTGTCTCTACTAAAAAATACAAAATTAGCCAAGCATGGTGGTGCACACCTGTAGTCTCAGCTACTCAGGGGGCTGTGGAGAGAGGGTCGCTTGAACCCGGGAGGTGGAGGTTGCAGTGAACCGAGATTGAGCCACTGCACTCCAGCCCAGGCAATAGAATAAGACTCCATCTCAAAAAAAAAAAAAAAAAAGAAAAGAAAAAGAAAAAAACCTAGAAGATGAGGGAATACTTCCCAACTCACTTATGAGGCCAGTATTACCCTGTAACTTACTTATGAGGCCTGTCATCAAAACCTATGAGCTATGTTAAAATCAAGAAATTTTCCCCTAAAAGATATCGTTAAGAGATGAAAATGCAAACCACAGAGTGGGAGAAGTTCCTTGCAGTATAAATATCCAGTCAAAGACCTATGTCCAGCATACACAAAGAATGCCTATAACCTGTTTTTAAAAGACGGTCAATTAACAGAAAAAATCCTGGGCAAAAGATTTGAACAGGTACTTCACAAAAGTAGATTTCCTAATTATGGCCTACAAACATATGAAAAGGTGCTTAACTTCATGAGTTATCAGGGAAATGCAAATTAAGATCACAATGCAATACCACTACATATACATCAAAATGGCTAAAACAAACATTACAAATTATTCCAAGTGCTGACAAGAATATGGAGCAATGGGAACTTTTATTTAATGTTGGTGGGAGTGAACTGATACAAGCGCTATGGAAATATTTGGCAATATTTACTAAGTTGAACACATATATGGCCCACGAACCAGCAATTCCACTTCTAGGTTTATTATACTCAACAGAAACGCATATATATAGACCAAAAGACACATACATGAATGCTCCTAGAAGCTGTATTTGTATTAGCCAAAAATTGGAAACAACCCTAGTGGATAGACAAATAAACTGTGGAATGTTCATACACTGGAAAATAGCAACAAGAATGAACAGTTATAACCCATAACATGAAAGAATCTCGCAACCATAATACTGAATGAATGAAACCAGATATAAAAGAGTACATACCGTATGATTCCACTTACATAAAGTTCAGACTCAGTCTATCTTTCTAGAAATCAGATAGTGGCTCTCCGTGGGGAGGGGAGGGTGACTGAGACAGGCCACTAGGGTGGGGGCGCTGGTGAAATTCGATTGCTCACTCTGAGCACTGGTTACACAAGTGTAACACAGACACAAGTGCTGTGTCTATGCATTGAGGATTTTGTATGTCTCTGTGTTGGTTATGTTTCAGTAAAAAGTTTTACTTTTCAAAGTCCCATATGCTAAAAAAAGAATAAAAAACCCAAATGCAAAAATTAAACTGAAATGACATAAAATCCAGGTCCGTAAGTGGCCCCTAACCCTTGCACCATCTGGCCTGGCTCTCTGACCTTCATGGCCTGCAGAGCTCCCCTTGCTCCCTAAGCTTGGCGACACTGCCTCCTCATTGTTCCTCAGACATAATAGACAGGCTCCCACCTCAAGGCCTCTGCCCTCACTTAGGGGTTTCCTCCCCCAGGTAACCCACACTCACTCACTGAGGTATTCAATTCTACCCAAATGCCGCCTCTTCAGAGAAGTCTTTCTGACCATCCTGCTTCCTATGACGTATCACTGCCTGCTATGATGGTGTTTCCTGCCCCTGCTATAATAAAACAACATGTGGGCAGGAACTTTTTCTATTTTATTCCCTGTGGTGTCACCAGTGCCTAGAACAGGGATTTGTTGAATAAAGAAATGAATGAAACTCTCAGTGAACGATGATTTCTTATTCATTATTGCACTCCCCCTCCCTGCCCCGAGACTACCCATAACAGATGCTCAATATGTTTAATTGCTTTGGAGCTGAATTAAGAAAATTGCATTGCCAATAAACCGTTCCGTGGGGAGACCACAACGCCTTCTGTGGACAGTATATGCTTGTTACCATTGCCATGCCGTGCTCTGAAAAACAAGGCAAAGCTCTTAAGATGTGCAGTTAGGCTGTGTATCCCTTTCTCACTTAAAAGACACAAAGCCAGCCATAAGAAGACAGATCGATGCAATGATTCAATATTGCTGTCACCTAAGGGAGTAAGAAAACAACCCTTTTGTTTGGTTGCGAGTTTCCTGCAGGGAAGAATCTTGAGTGATGGGGGAGTGAGAACACACTGGAATACTTATTTGCCGGATGACACCGGCTGCCTCAACGCCCATGCAATATTAACTCTTGGTGTCTCCAGGAGAAATGACAAAAAGTCCGTTTCTCACCATGACACTCGGTGACTCACCCAGCTTTCTTTATGTGCTGCATCACAGGTGTAAGTAAGACTTGTGGAAAGAGGGCTGATGAAGGTGCGTGCAAGGCATGTGGCTGCAAAGGCCACCTTATTCACAGCATTCAGACCCAGCAGAGGCTGACAGTGGCTGACTCACTGTGTGTCCTGCAGGGGAGGTGCTGGAGATGGAACTCAGCTTCTCAGGAATCTGCAGGTCACCCAGCAGGCATAACCCTTGCCCAGAGGAAAACAGGAGCAGGCCTGGGCCCTGACTCTTCCTCCAGGGCAGCCTTGGGCTCATGGGGAAGGAGCCTCCTCCCCAGCCACCCTTTCCCTACACCAGCGATGCAGAGAGCTCCCCACTCCTGCTGTTCTAAAACCTGCTCTGTGAAAACTGAAACTCACTCACACTGAGGCAGACATGCTGATAATAGCTTAAAGAAGTTTTTCATCTAAGGCCGAGACTGTAAACCAAAAGTAAAATTCTAAGAGGCCCAATTATCAGAATGGATCCCTCCTCTTGGCCAAGGGCATTCCAGAGTTAACCTGAAAATCTAGCTCAGGCCATGATGAAAGACGGGGGTGGACACGCCTCATTAGATCCCCCCAGCATTAACATCAACACAGACCTTAGGTCTGATGGGAAACATTTATGATCTAGTTTCTCTGGAGCCTGCTACCTAGAGGCTTCATCTGCATGATAAAACCTTGGTCTCCACAACCCCCTGTCATAACCCAGACATTCCTTTCTACTGATAATAACTCTTCTCTGCCAACTTCGAGTTGTCCCACCCTTCCAGATCAGATCGAACCAATGTACATCTCACACGTATTGACTGATGTCTCATGTCTCCCTAAAATGTACAAAAGCAAGCTGTACCCCGACCACCCTGGGCACATGTTGTCAGGACCTCCTGAGGATAAACTTTCTAAATTGATTGAGACCTGACTCAGATATTTTGGGGTTCACAAGACAGTACAGATTTCCTTGGGGAGCCTAATTGAACTCCTCATTTGGTCTCTTAAAATTATGTCTCTATCTTATTTATCTACTTTTACTGTGGTCCCATCCTTCGGTTTATTCAGACTCAACATTTGACACTTTTAACCTAGGACATGTCCAAAGTTTTACTCATTTTTATATACAGTATGGAAAGCCCGGTGCCAGGTATGCATTCCTCACAAACACGTGCGTTCCTCCTCTCCCTGACACACAGTCGAAGCGCTAACTGTGGGCTGACTTGGTGCCATGCTCATCTTCCCATGGCCATGACAGGGGAAAATGCAGTCCCCACCCAACTGGTGTCACTCTCAACCACCTCCCTCACTTCAAAACTTTCCATGGCTTCTCAGAGCTAAGGAGAATTGAACCCAAACATTCATCCTGGCATTTAAGGCAAATCCCTCAGAATAAGGGCTAGTTCCCTGTCCCCATCAATGCCAAAAATGAAAGGCTTAGAACTGGAGAACGAAGGACAAAAATTCAGATTCAAACCTTTTTTTTTTTTTTAATGGAGTTTCACTCTTGTCGCCCAGGCTGGAATGCAGTGGTGTGATCTTGGCTCACTGCAACCTCCACCTCCCGGGCTCAAGTGATTCTCCTGCCCCAGCCTCTTCAGTAGCTAGGATTACAGGTGCCCGCCACCACGCCTGGCTAATTTTTGTATTTTTAGTAGAGACAGGGTTTCACCATGTTGGCCAGGCTGGTCTCGAACTCCTGACCTCAGGAGATCTGCCCATCTCGGCCTCCCAAAGTGCTGGGATTACAGCCATGAGCCACTGCGCCTGGCCTAAAATCTGTTTATTTCTGTACTTTCCCTGAAATTTTTTAATTTGAAAAAATATATCTGGAATTTTTAGAAAAATTAATAAGATGTTTAGGGTAAAATATTCTTAATTACTTATATTTTTGTATCCTCCAATTGAGCCTTAAATGGAAAGATTCACATTAAAATATTAATAGAGTAAGAGGCAACTTTTGAAGGAGGCTTATGGCATTGGTTGTGGTGATGGTTTCACAGATATATGGTGTACTGCCTTTGCAAAAATTATAACTAAGGAAATTATGACAGTGAAAGAGACCAGACCTAACTGACTCCACCTTGCTTCGAACCTTTAAGCTGCCCTTGTTCATTCCTGGGCATAGGCTGAACTAATTTTGGGAAGAAATTCAGTTCATGGTTTGACTCTGAAACAGAATTGATAATAACCCTTTCCCAAAAAGTCCCCCTTGTTGCCTGGGGACCAGTCTGCCTTTGCAGAGGAGACAAACAGTGTTGTTTACTGTTTGCACTCAAGCACACACACACACATAGAGAGACAGAGAAAGAGATTGAGAGAGAGAGAGAAAGAGAGAGAGAAATACCAGAAATTTGTCTGGTAAGAAATTCTTACCCTTTTTGCCTGCATACTAGGTTTCCAGGTTCCCCTTCTCTGCAGCTTCCAGAAGAACGAAGCGGCTTTTGATGACCCAGTTCCCTGTGCCATAGCTATAGAGGTCAAACCACTTTATAAAAGAAAATCACTCTTTTCTCTTTTACGGAACCGTAGGCAAAAGATTCTTATTTTTGCAAGATGCTGCCCAGCAGGTTGCACGGGGAACCGAATTAACATTTTTCATCCCAGCCGAGGCAAAATACACGTAACAAACCAGACACTAGTCACCTCGTTCAGCACCCAATATCTGGCAAGGCTCAAACCGTCTCCTGTTGGTCCCTGTTGTCTTTAATCCACTCACAGTGGGGAGAGATAACCTCCCACCACAGACTCAATGGGCATCTTTAGGCAAGATAGAAGAGCAGTCACCCTGAGTTAGGCCTGCTGGACGTTCGTTCATCAGCAATTCCTTCAGGGTTCCCCTCCGCACATATAAACACACACACACACACACACACACACACACACACAGAGTAAAACGAACAGAAGGCCTTCAAGACACAAATTCCAGAACCAGTTTCAAACCAAGAGTATTCCTCCAAACAAGTCCCCTATTCTCTGTCCAATAAGACACCCTGTAACAGGGCTACAGCTATGGACACCTATAACGGGGCTACAAATAGACAGCTCATGATGGGGCTGCAGACAGATACCCCAAGAGGCTACCAAGAGACAACAGCACCTCCAGAGAGGCCAACATCTGGAGAAGAAAGGGGCTGTGGGCAGCGCCTACAATACTCAACAAATCAGACACCCCCCCATGGGGCTACAGAGAGACACCCTGCAATGGGGCTACAGACAGACACACCCTGTGATAGGGCCAGTTATGGGATGTTTCCCCAGGACTATTTCTCCACTGCAATTAAATCCATATACGTTGGGTCGGCAGTGCCCCATGGATGGAGATGGTAGCAGAGTCAGCCCCCAGTTCAAGAGAACTAGGCAGCCACTTGGGCTGGCCTCTGGATCTATTGCCAGAGAGGGGCTACCAAACCATGGTCAGGTAACCACAAGGGCAATCCCGGGAAAGCCCCCAAATTTGTAACCACCCAGTGGGTTCACCTTGCCCGCTGCCTAGACAGAGCTAATTTATCATGACGGGGGAATTTCAGTGAAGAAACAGTAATTCACACAGAGCCGGCTGTGTGGGAGACCAGGGTTTTATTATTACTCAAATCAGTCTCCCTGAGCATTTGGGGACCAGAGTTTTTTTTGTTTTGTTTTGTTTTTTGTTTTCTTGAGACAAAGTCTCCCTCTGTCGCCCAGGCTGGAGGGCAGTGGCACAATCTCAGCTCACTGCAACCTCCATCTCCCAGGTTCAAGCAAGTCTTGTGTCTCAGCCTTCTGAGTAGCTGGGACTACAGGCATGCGCCACCACACCTGGCTAACTTTTGTGTTTTTAGCAGAGACGGGGTTTCTCCATATTGGCCAGGCTGGTCTCGAACTCCTGACCTCATATGATCCACCCACCTCGGCCTCCCAAAGTGCTGAGATCACAGGTGTGAGCCACCAGGCCCGGTGTAGGGTTTTTAAAAATAATTTGGCGGGTCAGGGTCGAAGTGAGGTTTTCTTACTGTCTTCTGTTCCTAGGTGGGGTTGCAGAACTAGTTGAGCCAAATTACCAGTCTCCATGGTGTCAGCTAATCCATCAAGTGCAGGGTCTGCAAAATACTCAAGCACTGATCTTAGGTTTTACAATAATGATGTTATCTCCAGGAGCAAGGTGGGGAGATTCAGACTCCCGGAACCAGAGGTTGCACGACTCCTAAACTGTAATTTCTAATATTGTAGCTAAATTGTTAGTCCTGCAAAGGCAAACTTGTCCCCAGGCAGGAAAGAGGTCTTTTCAAGAAAGGGCTATTATCAATTTTGTTTCAGAACAAAAACAGTTAAGGAATCCATAAACTGAATTCCTTCCCAAAGTTAGTTCAGCCTACGCCCAGGAATGAACAAGGACAGCTTAAAAGTTAGAAGAAAGATGGAGTCAGTTAGGTCTGATCTCTTGCACTGTCATAATTTCCTCAGTTATAATTTTGCAAAGGCGATTTCAGTCATCCCTCAATATCTGAGGGGGATTGGTTCCAAGACCCCCAGAGATACCAAAACCTGTAGATGCTCAAGTCCCTGATATAAAATGGTATAATATTTGCATATAACCTAAGCACATCCTCCCATACACTTTAAATCATCTCTAGATTACTTATAATACCTAAATGCTATGTAGTTACTATACAGCATTGCTTTTTATTTGTATTATTTGTATATATTTTCTCCAAATATTTTTGATTCGAGTTAGTTAAATCCCCAGATGCAGAAACTGTAGATCTGGAAGGCTGATGGTACTCATCTCCAAACTCATCAGATTGTATACATTAAATATGTACAGGTTTTTATATCTCAATCATAACTCAAAAAGTGGTTTTTTTTAAAAAAAAAAAAAAGAAAGGTTTTGCATAAAATTGACACAGATATTCCATCTGAATTGGAGTTGAGTTTTGCCCAACATTCCTTACCACATTGTCCATGAAAAATCAACTGTTTGAGAATATAAATGTAATATTTGCTTCCAAATACCAAGAAAGATAAGGATAAGAATTTATTAAGAAAGATAAATAATTTGATCATTAGTTTTTTAAAGGCCTCTAAATGCCATGAGGAAGCACAAGCAAATCCCTGTAAGATTTTAGGGCAGGAAGGGATGATTTCAGGATGAGATCATCAGGGGAGACTCCAGGTGGTGATGAGCCTTTGAGCTGGGCCCTGAAGAAGAGGACGGATTTCCATAGGCAGAGACGAAGCTGTAATAGAAAGCGTCAGAGGCAGAGAAAAACCAGAGCAAAGATCGCCCGGGAAGAAAGTGCATTCCAGGGACACAAGTCATCACAAAACATCCTTCGGGACAGAGTTTGTATGAAGCAGTAGCATATGACAAGGCTCGAAAGGGAGACAGTTTTGCAAAGCCCATAGAGTTGTCATATTTCATCAAACCTAGGGCACCATAGATTATAAAGCATACCATTATGTTATGTCCCAAGGCTGCCAATTAAACTATGACAAGCATTGACTGTAAGAGGCATCCCCACTTCGAATTGCTCAAATGTACCCAAACGTGTCTTAGAATTGACAAAATTCAGGAAGTGAAGAGACTGGAGCAGTGAAGTGGGGACAAGAAGGCATAAAAGATATTTTAATAAAGCAAGCTTGGTTGGCTTAGGATAAGGAGAATTTGCTCTTATACCACAGCCATGAGCAAGGCAAACGTCTGTGGGAAATGGGACCCTAAAATTTCAGCATCCCACTCACAGTCTGTTAGCACCATGGAGAATGGCACCACTGCCCTGGGGCTGTGCAGCTTGACCCTGCCTTCTCCATCCTGCCCCAACTGTAGCAAACGTTTCACAAGCGCCTCTGCCGGGGAAGGAGAGGGCGAAAGCTCAGAAGCACAGTCTGCTGTCTTCTCCCCGGGGCGACAGTCCACGTCTCGAGAGCGCGCCGGCTCCCAGGGCTCTGCTCCCCTGTCTCACTGTGCACGGCATATGAAAACTGAAGAGGACAACGGGCTGTTTCTCAATCATGCATTTCCTAAGAGAACCAAAGGGAATTTCTTCTATTTTCGTTCTTATAATTTAAAAAAAGGACCTTAGAGTTCTGGCTTTGTAGCCCAGAGAAACCTATGGATTTAATCATCAAGAATTATCAGTAGACAGAAAGGGGTAGTTGTGGACCTTAAGGTTTGACCAGAAAACACCCCGTCTGAGCCCCCACTACCCCACTCACCCCCCAACACACACATATACACTCATACACACACATACACACACACATATACACGTGCACACACATAGACACACACACGCACACACACATATACACACACACATATACACGCACACACTTACCCACTCACACACATACAGGCACATGCATACACACACAAGTACACACATACACATATTACATGCATATGCACATATAAACACATACGTATCACATATATACACAAATACATACACATATACACATGCATGTTACATATACACACACATATACATACACACACAGTGAGACACTTGCAGGTGAAAAGCAGGTATTCTTTTTGGTTCTGAGATGTTAGGTGTCAGGAGATTTTCAGTAATAATCTGGAAATGGGTGATTTTCAATTTACTTTATGCAAGTTTTCTCCTGGCTATGCATTTGTCTACAGTGACATTAGAAGCAGCAAACCAAGGACTTACATGCATATTTCATTAGTAGATAATTACATTCCTTATAATTGGTTTCTAAATCAGACCATTTCACACAATTATGGTGTTTCCTTTGCCTATTCAGTCAATCAAAAAGATAGTAAGAAAGTTCTTTGTTATCAAAATGGCATACTCTTAACCTCTATTATGGACTGCAGGAGATAAACAAAAATAAAAATACAACAATTTTGCATACATAGAATACTCCTTGTTAAAATGCATCCTAGATACAAAAGAACGAAGGAGAACACTACAAAGATGTTTCTAAATATATCCAGAGTAACAAAATGCCAAGAGGGGAATTTGATAGTAGGGGCAGATTTTTTAAAAAAATCAATAATGAAGTCATGCTGTTTAAATGCCAAAATCATTTTTCACCCAAATGAAAAAAGAAAATTGGGCCATAATGACAGCCGCAAAATAGCTCCTAACAAAGGAGCTACAGGAGCCTGTACTTGGAAAAATCTAAGTGTATTTATTCCTGCATTGATTCCACAAACATTTCCTGAGCACTGTGCTAGGTGCCGAGGACAAAGCAGTGAGTAAAACAGTCTCAGCACCACTGGAGCTTCCTGCTCACCCCAAGCTCACACACAGGCACACACTCACACACTCATACATTCATACACACACACACACGACTTCATGAGCCAGCACACTGGTGGCGTGTGGAGAAGTTCTCAGCAAGGTGGTGTAAGGCAGCAGTGAAAAAGCATAATTTGTGTAAATCCCACCTTTACTAAGTAACCTTGGGTGACTAGCTAACTCTTTGTGCCTCAGTTTTATCGTCCGTAAAATGGAGATAATTCAAATACACCTACTCACACAGTGTTGCAAGGATTCCACAAATTAATACACGTAAGCACCTAAAACAGTGCTTGGTGTAACATAATCAGCACTATAAGTGTTAGCTCTTACAATATTATCCTTTCCAGCTTCTTCTCAGCTCTCCTCCAGGGTGTAAAAATGCTGGCCTGGAGCTTCCTAGGGACCCGCTGGCCATTTTTAACTCTCTCCAGTCCTCTGGGCCCACCCGCAATGACTCCTGGGTGAAAACTCTAAAGCCCCGGCCTTGGTCAATGGCAGGTGCTCAATCCATGTTATTCTCACCCGCTTTCTACTTCTTCCTTAAAATACTGCCACCTCCCAACAGCAGCACAAGGGGCTCCACTGCCAGGATTTCATCATCCCTCCATCCCCATTTGGGGACGGGAGACTATGTTCATCGATAGAATTTTCTTAATTTAAAATTGCCCCCACTCACGCCTGTAATCCCAGCACTTTGGTATTATATAAATGATTTATAAATGATATAATTCAGATGTCATCATTTTCCAGACAGGTTTGAGGGCCACTGTTGAAAGGGTGGTGATGGATGTCAGGGGTGTGGTTCCCGTGGGCATTTTGTGCTGCAAAGGAAAGAAGGAGAGGAAGAGTTAGGAAAAATCTGAGATTATGAAAAGCAGCAACATTTGGGGGTTGTTTGAAGAAGTGAGGAAAATTTTAGGGATCAAAATTTTAGGGACAGGTGAAGCTGGCGGGCGTAATAAGGACTTCCAAAATGCCTTTACCAGCCACAGCAGTGGCCAGTGCTCAGAAAAGGCAACCAACGCTGAGCAAGGCTGCTGCCAAGCCCCAGGGATGAACCGCTGGCGAAGGTGAAATGGCCTCGAACAGCCAGGGGGACTTGTCTATGTTCCAAGCTCCCTCAAGGGCTCCAGGGGGACTCCTCAGCCGGTCCTCATCCCCCTGCATCCACCACCCAGAGAGGACACAAAGACACAGCAAAAGCGCCCTGCCCGAAGGATGAAGGAAGAAAAGAATGAAGTTGCAACTTTACGGCATTTTGCTCTCAGGATCCAGTGTAGACCGTTCAGCTTGTTCAAAGACAAAGCTTGAGGTATAGAGAGAGTAAAAGAGCCCATAGGAAATGCACGCAGCCATGCTTTGAGGGCTCCCTGCAGAGGCTTCCCGAGATCAGGACACTGCTGTGGATTTGGAGAATGTCGGGTATTGGCACACCGGCTCCCAGTGCCTGCCTTGGGGCATTCACTTTGTCCTTCACCTTGGCACAAGGCACTCTGGCCTCTGGCCACTTTCCTGCCACCAAAGGTTCATTGTCCCTTTAAGTACCACCCAGCTTCCTCTAGTCCTCAAGGCTGCCGGCTTCATTTGGCCCACCACGCCCTGCTCCGGCCACTCTTTTCCCTACGCTACCCCCAGTTCTGACCCATGCTTCGTTTGTTTCTCAGCTCCTGTTTTAGTCGAGGAATGAAATTGAGACTTTTTTTTTTTTTTTGAGATGGAGTCTTGCTCTGTTGCCCAGGCTTGAGTGCAGTGACACAATCTCGGCTCACTGCAACCTCCACCTCCTGGGTTCAAGCAATTCTCCTGCCTCTCCTGCCTCAGCCTCCTGGGTAGCTGGGATTACAGGCGCTCGCCACGATGCCCAGCTAATTTTTGTGTTTTTAGTAGAGACGAGGTTTCACCATGTTCCCAGGCTGGTCTCGAATTCCTGACCCCATGATCCGCCCACCTTGGCCTCCCAAAGTGCTGGGATTACAGGTGTGAGCCACCACACCCAGCTGAGACTCTTAATTAAAAACAATTAAAAACAAACAAGCAAAAAAACCCCATGGCTTTGTACACCTAAGTGGGTCTTCCCACCCTAGCCCTTTTGCAGTGACACTCTTATTCCAGTGATGCTGCACTTGCCTAAAGCAATGTCAGCTGTCCTCTATGGATTTGCCTTCACATGTGTATCAGCCACACAAAAAACCATGCATCTCCACGGGGCACAGTGGCTCACACCCTTAATCCCAGCACTTTGGGAGGCCAAGATGAGTGGATGACCTGAAGTCAGGAGTTCGAGACCAGCCTGGCCAATGTGGCAAAACCCTGTCTCTACTAAAAATACAAAAATTAGCCAGCGTGGTGGCAGGTGCCTGTAATCCCAGCTACTTGGGAGGCTGAGGCAGGAGAATCTCTTAAACCTGGAAGGCGGAGGAGGTTGCAGTGAGCCAAGACCATGCCATTGCACTCCAGCCTGGGCAACAAGAGTGAAATTCGGTCTCAAAAAAAAAAAAAAAAAGAGCATGCATCTCATTGTGTTGTATCAGAAACAAACTCACCCTAGATGGATGCAAAACAAAACAAAAAGGCACTGCACTTGGAATCCAAAAACCTGGCTTTTTGTCTTAGATTCGCTACCTGCTAACTTTGTCAGTCCAGACTCAAACACACGAGGCCTCTGGCCCTTCATTTCTGAAGGCAAATAGTATTATCTGCTCCCATTTGGAGGATTTTTGTGAGGATCAAATCAGTAACTATATAAGGAAGCACATGTAATGCCACAGAGAATCATATTAGATTTTTTTAATATTTTAAAAATATTTTTCTCTCCTCTTCTCCCAATTCACTTGCCAACTGTCTGCTCACTTCTGCTCTTTGGAGAAAACATTCATACATTCATTCATTCATTAAAGAAAGATGTATTACATCCCCACTATGTGCTTGGAACACAAAGATAAAATGCATTCACTCTGTCCTCAAGAAGCCCATAGAAGAAAGAAGTAGGCAGATAGGTTTGTGAATGGATGAATGACTAACGTAGTAAATCGATGAGTGAGGATTGAATGAGAGTCTTAAGAAAGGTACCTACATGTGCTAGGACGTGTCTAGTTGTGCAAATGTGTGTATGAGGGCAGGAGAGTCAGTGAAAATTTTAAAAAGAAGAGAGATGATAGAACTGAATTTATTCTTTTTTTCCAGCTTTATTGAGGTATGATTAACAAAAATTGTGTGTATTTAAGGTGTACAATGTGATGTTCTGATATATGTATACATGGTAAGATGATTACCCCAGTCAAATCCATCACTTCTGGCCGAGTATGGTGGCTCACGCCTGTAATCCCAGCACTTTGGGAGAAGAGGCAGGTGGATCACCTGAGGTCAGGAGTTCAAGACCAGCCTAACCAACATTGTGAAACCCCGTCTCTACTAAAAACACAAAAATTAGCCAGACATGGTGGTTGGCGCCTGTAATCCCAGCTACTCAGAAGACAGAGGCAGCAGAATTGCTTGATGGGAGGCGGAGGTTGCAGTGAGCCAAGATCATGCCATTGCACTCCAGCCTGGGCAACAAGAGTGAAACACCCTCTCAAAAAAAAATAAAAAATAAATAAACTAAAATAAAATAAATCCATCACTTCACATAGTGTCCTTTTTGCGTGTGCCTGGTAACACAAGATCTACTCCCTGAGAGAATTTCAAGTGTACAATACACTATTATTAGCTGTAGTCATTGTGCTGTACTTTAGGTATCCAGAACTTATTCATCTTAGGACAGAAAGTTTGTACCCTTAATCCCTACCCCACCTGTAATCACTCAGCCCTGGTAACCACCATTCTACTCTCTGTTACCATGAGTTCAATTTTTTTTTCCTAAGATTCCACATGTAAGTGAAATCCTGCAATATTTGTCTTTCTGGGTCTGGCTTATATCACTTAGCATAACAACCTCATGTCAATCCATGCTGTCACAAATGTCAGGGTAGCTTTCTGTTGGCTGAATAATATTCCATTATATATACAATGTATATGTATATATAAAATGAAATATGTATACACACACACACTACATTTTCTTTATCCATTCATCCACTGACTAATATTTATGTTGTTTCCAAATCTTGGCCTCTGTGAATAATGCTGAGATGAACATGAGGGTGCAGATATTTCTTCAAGATAGTAATTTCATTTCCTTTGGATATATACTCAGACGTGGGATTGTTGGATCACAGGGTAGTTCTATTTTTAAGCTTCTGCGATATCTCCACGCTGTTTTTCATAATGGCTGCACCAATTTACGTTCCTACCAAAAATGTATAAGGGATCCCTTTCCTCCACATCCTCACTGACACTTAACTTTTAATGTTTTTGTAATAGCCATCCTACAGGTATGAAGTGACATATCATTGTGGTTTTGATTTCTATTTCACTGATGATTAGTGACATCTTTACATATACCTCTTTCCTATTTATATGTCTTCTTTGGAAAAATATCTACTCAGGTCCTTTGCACATTTTTTATTGGGTGATTTGGCTTTTGTTACTACTGAGTTGTATGAGTCCTCGTGTACCTTAAGACATTAATTCCTTGTTGGAAACATGGTTTGCAAATATTTTTCCCATCCTATAGGCTGCTTTTCATTTTGTTGATTGTTTCCTTTGCTGTGCTTTATGTACCCTTTGTGACTTTTTAGTTTAATGTGGTTCTATCTGTTTAGTTTTGCTTTTGTTGCCTGTGCTTTTGGTGTCAAATCAAAAAAATTCATTGCCAAGACTATTATCAAGGAACTTTTCCCGTATGTTTTCTTCCAGGAGTTTTACAGTTTTAGGTCTTACCTTCAACTCCTTACTCCATTTTGAGTTGATTTTTGTGTGTGTTGTAAGATAGAGGCTTGGCTGGGCACAGTGGCTCACGCCTGTAATCCCAGCACTTTGGGAGGCCAAGGTGGGCGGATCACAAGGTCACAAGATCAAGACCATCCTGGCCAACATGGTGAAATCCCATCTCTACTAAAAATACAAAAATTAGCTGGACGTGGTGGTGCACACCTGTAGTCCCAGCTACTTGGGAGGCTGAGGCAGGAGAATTTCTTGAACCCGCAAGGCGGAGGTGCCACTGCACTCCAGCCTGGCGACAGAGAGAGACTCTGTCTCAAAAAAAAAAAAAAAAAAAAAAGATAACGGCTCGATTTCATTCTTTTGCATGTGGATATTCCATTTTCCCAGCATCAAAATTTATGAAAGAGATTATCCTTTCCTCATTGTGTATTCTTTGTGCCTTTATTGATAATTACTTTACTGCATATTTATGGGTTTATTTCTGGGCTGTCTACTCTACTGGTCTATACGTCTGAGGTTTTTGGGGGGGGTGTAGTAGTAGCATATTGTTTTGATTACTATAGCTTCATAACATAATTTAAAATCTAGTTTTGTTCTTTTTGTCAAAAGTGTTTTGGTTATTTGGGGTCTTTTGTGGTTCCATATCAATTTAAGAATTTTTTTTTCTATTCCTATGAAAAATGTCATTGGAATTTTGATGGAAATTGCATTGAATCTGTAGATGGCTTTCAGTAGTATGGCCATTTTAACAATATTAATTATTTCAATCCATGAACATGATGTCTTTCCATTTATTTGTGTCTTCTTCAATTTCCTTCATCAATGTTTTATAGTTCTCAGTGTACAGATGTTTTGCCTCCTTCATTAAATTTACTCCTAAGTATTTTATTCTTTTTAATGTTATTATGAATGGGATTGTTTTCTTAATTTCCTTGTTGGATACGTTCTTGTTACTGTACAGAAACACTACTGATTTTTATATGTTGATTTTGTATCCTGCAACTTTACTGAATTTGTTTACTAGTTTAATAGTTTTTTGATAGAGTCTTTTTATTACTTTCTATTACTAGTTGATCTCATCACTTGTTATTGGTCTGTTCAGATTTTTTATTTCTTCAGAATTCTAAGTAGGTTATATATACCTACATGGGTACATATAGAAATGTACCTGAAGAAATCTATCCATTTCTTCTAGGTTATCAAATTTGTTGCATATAATTGCTCAGAGTAAACTCTTATAATCTTCTGTATTTCTGTGTGCCAGCTGTAATGTCACCTCTTTCATTTTTGATTTTATTTATTTGAGTCTTCTCTTTTTTTCTTAGTCTAGCTAAAGTTTTGTCAATTTCATCTTTTCAAAAGCCCCACCCTTGGTTTCATTGATCTTTTTTTTACTGTTTGTTTTTCTAGCCTCTATTTCATTTATTTCTATTCAGATCTTTATTATTTCCTTCCTTCTGCTGACTTTGGGCTTCTTTTTCTCTTCTATTTCTAGTTTCTTGAAATGTAAAGTTAAATTATTTGTTTGAGATTTTTCTTTTTTCATAATGTAGGCATTTGTCACTATAAACGTCCTTTGTAGAATTGTTTTTGCTACATTTCATAAGTTTTGGTGTGTTGTATTTTCATTTTTATTTATTTCAAAAATTTTTTTAATTTCCCTTTTGATTTCTTCTTTGACCCATTGGTTATTTAGAAGTGTTTTTACTTTCCATGTACTTGTGAATTTTCAAATTTTCTTCCTGTTGTTGATTTTTAATTTCATAGCATTGTGGTCAGAAAAGATATTTGATAAAAATTCATTTGTAGCCTAACATATGATCTATCCTAGGAATATTCCATGCAAGCTTGAGAAGAATGGGTATTCTGCTGTTGTTGAATGGCATGTTCTGCATATATCTGCTTAGTACATTTGGTCTAAAGCAAGCTTGTCCAACCCACAACCAGCAGGCCACATGTAGCCCAGGATGGCTTTGAATGTGGCCCAACACAAATTCGCAAACTTTCTTAAAACATTATGAAATTTTTTTGTGTGATTTTTTTTTAGCTCATCAGTTATCATTATTGTTAGTGTATTTTATGTGTGGCCCAAGACAATTCTTCTTTTTCCAATATGGCCTAGGAAAGCCAAAAGATTGGACACCCCTTGTCTAAAGTGTAGTTCAAGTCCAATGTGTCCTTATTAGTATTCTGCCTAGATGGTCTACCCACTGTTGAAAGTGGTGTATTAAAGTCATCTACTATTATTTCATTGCTCTCCATTTCTCCCTTCAGATCTCTTAATATTCGCTTTATATATTTAGGTGCTCCAGTGTTGGATGTGTATATATTTATAATTATTATGTCTTCTTCATAAATTGACCCCTTTATCATTACATATTGACATTTCTGTCTCTTCTTACAGTTTTTGACTAAAAGTCTATTTTGTCTGATATAACTACCTCTTCCCTCTCTTGCTTTCCAGTTGCATGGAATATCTTTTTCAACCTATTTGTATCCTTAAAGCTAAGATGAAACTCTTGTAGACAGCATATTATTGGATCTTATTTTTTAAATCCTATGTCTATTGATTAGAGAATTTAATCCATTCACATTTAAAGTAATTATTGATAGGCAAGAACTAACTATTGTCATTTATTGTGCCAAGAGGTCCCTTTGGCCAGAACCTCCCCTATAATCTTCACTAATGCTCACCTCAGCTGACAGAACTGTAGAGAGGTAGGGGTCCTCAGTGGCCAAGGCTGCAGGTGTCTACAAAGACAGCAAGGGCTTATGGGGTGGTGAAGGATGCTGGGGTCTTCCTGATCTCTTCTCCCACAGGTGAAGTTGTGACAGATCCCTCTTGAAGCCAGAGCCAGCTCACAGGCATGCTCATGGTGGCAGTGGCACTACTGTCTGGTGTGCAGCACCTGTGAAGTATCCACAGGGCCAAGGTTGGGAATTCAGGTACTTGTGGAAGAACCATGGCCCCTGGGTTTGAGGCAGCAGTGGCACTGGTGCCTGGGATGCAGGCGCCACCCCCTCCTCCACTGCAGTGTTGGAGATGGTGTGCCAGGAATGGGTGTTAGTACAGCAGCTGAGGAGCCAGGGTCTGGGGCGTGGGCTACAGTAGCTCCAGGGTCTAGAATGCAGTCTATAGCCCACCATGACAGCAATTCTGTTGTCTGAAGCACTACTAAAAAGTCCAAAAATAACAGCTGCTGGCAAGGCTATGGAGAAAAGAGGATGCTAATATACTGTTGCTGGAAACATGAATTACTTCAGCCAATGTGTAAAGCAGTGTGGAGATTTCTCAAGGAACTTAGAGCAAGCCCATGACTGGGTATATATCCAAAAATAAATAAATCGTTCTACCAAAAAGACACATGCGTTCATTATGTTCATTGCTTCACTATTCACAATAGCAAAGACATGGAATCAACCTAGGTGCCCATCAACGGTGGACTGGATGAAGAAAATGAAGTACATATACAGCAGGGAATACTATGCAGCCATTAAAAAGAAGGAATTCATGTCCTTTGCAGCAACATGGATGCAGCTGGAGGCTATTATTAATGCAGGAGCAAAAAACCAAATACCACATATTCTCACTTATGAGTGGGAGCTAAATATCGGGTACTCATAGACATAAAGATGGCAACTATAGACACTGGGAACTAATACAGGGGGAGGGAGAAGAAGGACAACAGTTGTAAAACTAATTATTGGGGACTATGCTCACTACTTGGAGGATAGGGTCAACTATGAACCCCAAACACCAGCATCATGCAATATACACAAGTAACAAACCTGCACATGTACGCCCTGAATCTAAAATAAAAGTTGACTTAAGAAAAAAAAAAGTATCACCTCTTAAAAGGTGCTACTTTCATGTGAGCTAGATATTTGAATTTTGTTAAGGGAGTGGGATTGGTTTTTTGGTTTGTTTGTTTGTTTGTTTGTTTTTCTGAGAGTCTCGCTGTGTCACGCTGGCTGGTGTGCTGTGGCTCACTGCAGCCTCAACCTCCCAGGCTCAAGTGATCCTCCTATCTCAGCCTCCCGAAAAGCTGGGACCACAGGTGCACACCACCATACCCAGCTAACTTTGTAGTGAGGGGGTGCTCCTTATGTTGCCCAGGCTGGTTTCAAACTCCTGGTCTCAAGCAATCCTCTTGTCTTGGCCTCCCAAAGCACGGGGACACTGGGATTCCAATGTGAGCCACTGCACCCAGCTGAGCTGATATCTGAAGGGTGACAGGCAGGCATATGAAGAGCTGAAGCTCTAGGGAAAGAGAGTTCCGAGCAAAGGGAATCACAGGTGCAATAGCCCAGAGGCAGAACAAGTCTGGGGTGTTCTAGGGAAGAGAGACTATAACTGGAGCTGGGGGCCAGGGAAAGGAGGAATAAAGTGAGGTCTGAGAGTAGAAAGTACCAGGTTGTGCAGGGCCGTTAGGCCATGGCAAAGAGTGTGAATTTATTCCAAGTGCAGTGGGAAGCCACTGAGGAAATCAGGGTAGGGGTGAGAGTGACAGAATCAGATCTGCATTTTAAAAATATTAAGTCTTAAATCTTTCCCATTTTTGTGGATTTATTAGTAAAGCCAGGAAACATGTTAAAAGGCTATGGCTGTGCTTGCCTTGGCAGCACATGAACTAAAACTGGAACAATACAGAGATGAATATGGCCCCCTGTGTTAAGAGCCTGCAGCTAAACGTGCTTTTTCTGATTCCAGAGCCTATGCCTTTTCACCTGTTCTGGAAGATGCAGCTCCTTGCAGGTCATTCCAAAGTAAAAAAGTTACCGCCCGTTTATAAGTATGCTAGAGAACCGTTCTTCAGAGAGGGCCATTTTCAAAGTGCTGGCCAAAAAATGTTACTCTTATTCAAAATCAAAAGAATAAAAACTGCTACACAGGCAGGAACAGGTTCTTTTTGCCTCTACCTTTCAACATGATCAATGTAATATGCTCAAAAGTCCGCAAGTCTCATAGGTACTTTCTGGTGAGTTCAAAGATGGCTGACTCTGCTGCACAGAGCAATGTTGCTTGACATTTACAGTACTGGCTCATCTTTGCAAACAAATCGACATTGCAGTTGAGTTGAAGTGTCCATGGCACGGTTGTCTGCATGGTGTTGGGCTGTCTAGGCTGGCTCTGATCCTCTGGATATAAGAACGTGCGTTTTACATGGGACCAGAAGATCAAGATAGGTAAGTCCTGCCAACTCATGAAAGGCCATCAGTCCACAAGAAAGGGCAGAGAGCAGGGTAGGAGTTCAGGAGAAAGGCAATCTTTAAAGTGTCCTTCACTCCTGGACCAGCCCAAACTATTCTGGGTATTTCTTTTCCTTTTTTATTCTTTTTTTTTCCAGTAGATGATACAGCTTTGCAATGCAATCTTCGCTGGTACAAAAGCATACTTGTGTGTTGCTGAGCCTGAGTGATGTACTATATGGGAAAACCACCAGTGCAAAGAAGATATTAATTCATGTACACCCTATGAAGCAATTTCATGCTTTTATAAGTTTAATGTTATTACAATTGGGTCCAGCTTTTGCTGTAATTCTTTTCTCAGAAGGGGCATTATAATGTGCTGTCTAGGAGCCTATTTTATCCCGTAGCCGTTATAAGCTAACTTAACTACATTAAGATCACGTTAAGAACGTATCTAGTAACATAAAAGAAAATCAAAACTAAAAGCAGGAAATGCTCTGGATACTGAAATTTACCATTAAATACATGGCCACCTCCTTCAGCAAACACACACATACACACACTGCAGGGGACTGTTACTTCCATTTCATCAATAAACTGAATAATAAATTCAGTATTTCCAATAAATTGAAAAGTGAATTATAATGAAACTGGGTATCTGTTCCCCCAAAGGTTGATGAGTACTCACTTAGAAAAGGCCACTTAGTTCGTCCTCTGTCTCTAGAGAGAGTTACTCCATTTCTAAGGATCTCAGTTTCCATCAGTAACCTGTACTCATTCAGTCAGCCTTTGCTGAAGACCTACTACGTGATTCTCAGGCCCCGTGGGGTCCCTGTCCCACCTGTGCCGCAGTAGACATGCAGTAATGAGTGAGCACTGCCGGCTGCAGGAGCTGCAGAGATGCCCACTGGAGTGTCCCCCAGGAATGACACACATTGCATTTCCCTACAACAGAAGATCCAATTCAGAAGTTTTGTTTTTGTTTAATTAAAGAAAAAAGATGCTGAATACAAAGCACCCTTCCTGTGGCTAAAGCAGGGATGCAATAGAGAGGCAGCTGATTGCAGGTCAGAGACTAGAAAGGAGCAGCAGGTCCCAGGAATGGGTGTTGTTTTGTTTGTAAAGCCATTCCCAGGTTATGTGACACTAGCAACAGCCCTGGGTGGTTGATTCAGTGAACACAGATCGAGAGTAAGTGGAGGCCAAGACAAATGACAACAAAGTCTCAAAAGGAGGAAGCAACTTGCTGGGCGAGATCAGCACAGAACAGCACTGCTCCCACGTCAGGGAGCTCACAGAGGAGCAGGCTGGACAGGATCCACACTGACGAAGGCGCCCTCCAGCTCTCTCATGAGAGAGATGGAAGGTGACATGTGAACCCCGCTGCATCTTATTTATGGTTTGCTGTGTCTAATTATGGTTGAGAGAGTATGTGTGTGTGTGTAACATAAACCGCAAAGAGATCTTATTTCCTAGTTTGGGTTCTGTCACATTGAAGTAATTTTTCTGTGACTTTATAGAGTTCTGTGGTTAAAACCCATCCAAGTACTGTGATAAATAACTGCCTGACCTGGGGGACCTGCAGGGGACCCTGGTGATGGCCAGCTGTGCTTTTCTTTTCTTTTCTTTTCTTTTTTTTTTTTTTTGAGACAGATCCTCACTGTCTCCAGGTTGGAGTGCAGTGGCACGATCTTGGCTTACTGCAACCTCCGCCTCCCGGGTTCAAGCAATCCTCCTGCCTCAGCTTCCTGAGTAGCTGGGACTACAGGTGCACACCACCACATCCAGCTAAGTTTTCGTATTTTTAGTAGAGACAGGTTTCACCGTGTTGGGCAGGATGGTCTTGATCTCTCGACCTCATGATCCGCCTGCCTTAGCCTCCCAAAGTGCTGGGATTACAGGCGTAAGCCACCGCACCTGGTCTAGCCCTGCTTTTCTAAGATAACCCACACAGCTATAAGTGTCAAAAGGGGTGGTTCCCATTGGTCTGAACCATGGTAGGTCGCCATGGTACTAGATAGGATGCCAAAAGCACAAAAGAAAAGATAGGTAAACTTCATTAAAACTAACAACTTTTGTGCTTCAAAGGACAACATGAAGAAATTGAAAAGACAATGTACAAGACAGTAGAAAATATTTGAAAATCCTATATCTAATAAGGGACTTATAACTAGAATATAGAAAGAACTCTTACAACTCAACAAAATAACCTAGTTTTAGAATAGGCAAAGGACCTCAATAGATATTTCTTGAAAGACAGATAAATGATCAATGAGCCAATGAAAAGATGCTCAACGTCGTTAGTCATCGGGGAAATGCAAATCAAAACCACACCGAGACACCACTTCACATCCACTGAAATAGCTATACTCAAAAAGACAGACAATAACAAATGTTGGTAAGGATGTGGAAAAATTGAAACCCTCATACATGGATAGTGGAAATGGAAAATGGTGCAGCCAGCACTTTGGGAGGCTGAGGTGGGTGGATCATGAGGTCAAGAGACCGAGACCGTCCTGGCCAACATGGTGAAACCCCGTCTCTACTAAAAAATACAAAAAATTAGCCAGGCATGGTGGCGGGCGCCTGTAGTCCCAGCTACTCAGGAGGCTGAGGCAGGAGAATGGCGTGAACCCGGGAGGCGGAGCTTGCAGTGAGCCCAGATGGCGCCACTCCAGCCTGGGCGACAGAGCGAGACTCCGTCTAAATAAATAAATAAATAAACAAACAGTTTGGCAATTCCTCAAATTGCTGTGACATGTGACACAGCATTTCTACTCTTAGGTATACACCCAAGAGAACTGAAGACACTTGTCCACATAAAGCCTGTAAATGAATGTTCAGAGCAGCCTTATTCATAACAGCGACAATGTAGACAAACCAAATGCTCGTTAATTAATGATGGATAAACAAACTGTGGTTCTGATAGACTGAATAGTGGCCTCCAGTGGCCCTAACCCCTGGAACCTGTGGTTGTTATCTTATATGGCAAAAGCACTCTGCAGATGGGATCACGTTAAGAATTTTTTTCCAGTCAAGGTTTTATTCCGCCACCCAAGCATGGAGTGTAGTGGCGCCATCTTGGCTCACTGCAGCCTCAACCTCTGGGGCTCAAGCAGTCCTTCCACCTTGGCCTCCCAAGTTGCTGGGACTACAGTTGCATGCCACCACACCTGGCTATTTTTTTTTTTTTTTTTTTCCTTATAGAGATGTTTCCCAGTATGGTCTTGAATTCCTCAGCTCAAGCGACCCTCCTGCCACAGCCTCCCAAAGTTCTGGGATTACAGGCATGACCCACCATGCCTGGCTACCTTGAGGACCTTAAAAGAGGGAGCATATCCTGAATTATCCAGGTGGACCCAATGTAATCTGAAGGGTCCCCATATGAGGGAGGTAGAGGAGGATTTGACTACAGAACAGAAGGCAATGTGACAACTGAAGCAAAATGCTACATGCTGGCTTGGAGGATGGAGGAAGGAGCCATAAGCCAAGGAATGCCAGCAGTCACTGGGAGCTGAAAAAGGTGAAGAAATGGACTCTCCCCGAGCCTGTAGAGCAAGTATGGCCCTATTGACCCTTGATCTCAGCCAAGAGAAATTGATTTCAGACTTCTGACCCCCAGAACTGTACGGCAATAAATGTGTGCTGTTTTAAGCAACCAATTTTGTGGTAATTTGTTATAGCAGCCATGGGAAACTAATTCAGTGGTACATCCACACAATGGAAGTATTGATACAGGCTATACAATACAGATGAATCTTAAAAGTATTGTGCTAAGTGAGAGAAGCCAAGCACAAAAAAACATGTATTTATGATTCCGTTTATATGCTATATTCGGAATAGGCAAATCCATAGAGACAGAAAGTAAATTAGTACTTGCCACGGGCTGAGGGAAGGGAAAAGTGAGTATGAGGTTTCTTCTAGAGGTGATAAAAATGTTTTGCAGTAAAACTGGTGATTAATGCAGCATTTTGTGAATATACTAAAATCCACTGAACTGTACATTTTTCAGAAACTGAACTTCATGGTATTAAATGTTCTTAAAAAATCAAAAGCCCAAGCTCAACATAACAAAAATTACCTAGGACTAATTGAACTAAATGAACTGTTTTCATTATGATTAATATTTTATTTGAATCTACATTAGAAAAAAGTTATTCTTAATCTATCCTTCACCCTCAGTTTAACAGATTATAATCTACTCACACACTAGAATAAAGCACTCTTTACCTAGTATTTTGTCCCAGAGGAACTGTCAAAATTCAAAAGAAAAAAATCCCACGAGCGATCTTCTCCCATGAGATATAAATTGTAAGCTAATATGTCATCAAGACAATTTTAAAATAACAATTTTGTAGAGTATGACATACATTCATTGGCCTTGTCAACAAAACAATAATAACAAAGATTAAATAATGTGGATAGTGCCCTTTTTAATTTATTTTTCACTATGAAATTTTCTATTTCATAAATTTAAAAAAAATAGCTAAAGAAATTGATATAGCTTATTCACCACTGGGGGGAATTAATACTTATGATCATTTCCCTTTCTTACCAGAATATAATTGGGTATTGCCTATGCCAAAAGTTCCTTTTAATTAGATGTGATAAGCTCACTATTACAGAACAAAGCCTATATTTTACATGTGGGAATGACATCTACAAAGTCTCCCTAGGAAACTCATCCACTAGATGACTTGTGATATTAGGACTCACAGACAGTAAATTCATTTCCTAGCAGGCCAGAAATATTAACAAATATGAGGATCTCAGAGAAAATAGTGCTAATAACAATGATAAAAATTATTCTCACACATATAAGAAATTTACCCCTCTGGGAACTGTGCAAAGCCTCCAGAAAAAAGTTCATTCTAAAGCTTCAATATCATGTGGCTCTAGCTTTGTTAGCCATACCAAAAAAAAGGTATTTATTTATTAGTTAACACCTCTTATTATGTCTATATGAATAAACTTGTGAAATAAAACAAGATAGCAGTTAAATAGGAGCCATGATAGTTTTATTCCTCTTACCAGTAACAGGTGAGGGCATGGGGCATACAACTCTGGTCATTGAAATACTAAGAAAAATCTGGTGGTTGGGGAGGGCAGTACAAAAAGGGTATTTTTTTTTAACAACAACACACACACACACACACACACACAGGAAAATCCCCCTTCTGCTGCTGACATGATCACAATAACATGTGATGACTGAGCTGCTGCAGCCATTTTGCAATGATGAGGACAAGCAAGGATGCTGAGACGTTTGAACTTGGATTATTACTTTACCCACCCCGGGTTCTCAATGATGTGTTTAGTTCATGAGTCAGTCAACATTGGAGCCAGACTTCTTGTTATATGTGATACATCTTCTTTTTGTTTAAGCCAATTGAGTTGGGAGTTTTCTTTTTCTTGCAGCCAAACCAGACTTTCTACTAAAGACCTCAGTAACTATTCTACTACCACCAAGATTCTGGTGTTCAGAGCATGCAAGCCAGGTAAACAGCACCAATAATAAAAGTGTCCTGGACATTTATACATGCTCTTGGAGATTTTACAAAAGATAAATATGGATATAGATATAGACTTAAAAGGAGAGAGTGTTTCAGGGTACATATATGGCATTAAAATAGTGTGGCCCAAAAGACAGCCGCTGGATCCAGGTAGAAAAGATTCCCAGCATCTCCAGGGAACAGGGAAGAGGAAAGGTGAACTAACGAATGATCCCAAGGGTCATGGTTAGAGGAAAAGTTCTGACGAGAAAAGTCATGCTACAGAGAGGCATCTTCGGAAACATATAGCAGTTCATCCTGTGCCAAGGTCATAGGTGACATGAAGCTGCACTTCTGTAATGCATGACAGCGTGATACAGCCCAAAGCCTGAGGTTCCCACATGGTATAACAGTTGCACGCCTCAAGAGAGCTGACTGCACGCTGAGTGCCCAACGGCAAGAAGGTGAAATGTAGACATATTCAGCAACAGTTGGAGACATCCGCCCATATCATTTTTCATCCACAGGGTTGAAGAGCAGAGAGTGATTCAGAGGGACACAAGTGGGCATCTAATGAAGAGAGTTGCCGTAGGGCTGCCTCTCAGCACAAGAACAATCTTCTTTTACATGACATGGTCATCTCATCTACCACTAACAACCCTAGCAATTCTTCTGTATTTGTATGTAATGAATCCTTTCTCAGTTTTGTTTCAGGGAAATCATTTTTTTCTTACTGGGAAGATACATTACAGACTACCAGGTCTCATCAGCCATTTCACACATAAGGAAACTGAGGCCAAAAAAGGTCTGGGGAATTTTTCAGGATCTCAAGCCAGTGCTAGAACCTCCATCTTTTCACTCTTTTTTGTTGTTGTTGAGATGGAGTCTCACTCTGTCACCCAGGCTGGAGTGCAGTGGCACGATCTCAGCTCACTGCAAGCTCTGCCTCCCAGGTTCACGCCATTCTCCCGCCTCAGCCTCCCCAGTAGCTGGGACTACAGGCGCCCGCCACCACGCCTGGCTAATTTTTTTGTATTTTTAGTCGAGATGGGGTTTCACTGTGTTAGCCAGGATGGCATCTTTTCACTCTTAATCCATGGCTCTTTTCACTGCCGTAGGCTTTCCACTCAAATATACTCTTGTTCCCAATAAACATAATTTTAACTTGTTTTGCCAACAAGTCATCTTCTTGATATTTTGAATTTGAATTTGAATTTTATATTCAAAGATGCTAACAACTCTACTTCTAACCCACTGGAAATTGGTTTGGTTCCAGATCTTTTTCCTTTCTTTCTTTCTCTTTCTTTCTTTTTCTTTCTTTCTTTCCTTTCTTTCTTCTTTCTTTCTTTTTCTTTCTTTCTTTCCTTTCTTTCTTTTTTTGGTTCAGCAATAGAGCAAAGAATAAAAACCTGATAATTAAACACAAGGCAGCTAAACCTAACAAAAGCTCTAACTAGAAAGAAAAGTGTATTCTCTTTGCTATCCTCTCATAATGTCGAGGTCTTTAAAACTGACTTTGAAGGTTCAAAACCAGTTTTACTATAAAAAATATTCACAGCAATTATTCCTATTAACAGCAGGGTTGTTCTTACCACACATAAATTATTTGTAATCAGAACATTAATTCTCTAGATCCACAGAGATTAGACAGCAATCGATGTTTATATCATGTTGATACAAACCTAATAGTATTCTAATAAGTAGCCCAACAGAGTTCATGTAATTAACCAAGCTGTTGCTTTCTGCTAAAATCTAAGGATGTCTCCAGACTTCCCGTGGTAAAAAGTTTACCTTACAAAATGCAAGTTTTAAACAGCCAGCTATAATTGTTTGAATGGTGAGATTGCCATTTCAGAGTTTCAATGTATTGATCTGACAATCTCATTTCAAACTGACCTAAGAAAACTGAACTCTGAAAGGCCATGTTGCCTGTTGAAGACAGTAGTACATCCTTACATTATAGGACAACAAATTGCAACGATCTCTAAAAAATGCTTCAAAACTTTCATATTTAGATTATATTGTCTGACATAAGTGACTATTGTTAAGGTTTGACAACCATTAGCTATGCAGATATTTGCATTATTGAATTAAATTGGATCTGCATAGTTTGAATGGAATGATACCCTTAAGCTTTTGCCTTCGGCATCAATTAATGTGTGCTCAGTCTCTCTTGGGGTCTGGCATCACATTATGTTCTCTTTATGTGTAAATATATTTAGGAGCAAATCAAATACCACTTTCAATTTTCAAATAAGCTTACTCGGTTTATAATTAAATTTCTCAGAGCAGTTTGTCAACCTTGGCATTTACACATAAAACACTAACAATTGTGTAAAGATTCTTAAGAGATTTGTTTAGAATATGTTGAGTTAAGAAGCACAATACCAGAGAAAGGGAAAATTAAAACACTGAAGTAGTCGTATTTACATCACAGCTCTGAGAACAAAAGCAGTACAGCAGAGCACACCCCAGCAGAAGTGATTCATGCTCGCTCAGGCCGAGGCAGAGTGAGGGAGCCATAGGGGAGAGAGAGCATGGAAACCAAGGCCAGCACAATATTCCTACTAGATGGATGGAGGGAGATGGGAAGAGAGGGAAGCAGAGCTAGATACAGAGAGAGAGAGAGAAAGAGAGAGAGAGAGAGACAGAGAAGGAGACAGAGTTAAGACTAATGCTGGCACTATAATCCAGTAAACAAAAATACATCCTTATTCTCTCAAACAGAAATATAACCTGGGTTGTGGATATAGATGAGGTCAGAAGATTGACTGTCACCAAGTACCTCAAGGCATTTCCAAGGGTCTTACTCTTTATTATTATTTTTTTCTCCAGCTTTATTGAGGTATACTTGACAAATAAAAAGTGTATACATTTGAAGTGTACAATGTGATATTTTGATATACATATATATTGTGAAATGGTTGCCACAATCAAGCTAACATATCCACACCTCACCTAGTTACTCGTGTGTGTGTGTGGTGACAACACTTGATCTCTGCTCTCTTAGCAAATTTCAGTATATATAATAACAGTATTATTAACCATAGTCACCATGCTGTTTAGAAGGTATCTATCCCACATAACTGAAACTTTGTACCCTTTGACCAGTGTCTTCCTACTCCTCTCTCATCCATCCCCTGGCAACCATCATTCTACTCTCTGCTTCTCTCAGTTTGACCTCCTAGATTCCACATATAAGCGAGATCATACAGTATTCTTCTTTCTGGGTCTGGCTTGTTTCATTTAACGTAATGTCCTCCAGCTTCATCCATGTTGTTGCAAATGGCAGGATTTCCTTCTCTTTTGTGGCTGATTAATACTCTATTGTGTGTGTGTGTGTGTATATATTATATATAATATACAAGTATATACTTATATATTATGAATAATATATGTGTGTATATATATATACACACAATAGAGTATTGATTGCATATGTTTGTATGTGTGTGTATATATATGTATATATAATATATATGTATATATCACATTTTCTTTATCCATTCATCCATCAACAGACACTTAGGTTGTTTCCATATCTTGGCGGTTATGGATAGTGCTGCAGTGGGGGTACAGATATCACTTTGAGATACTGATTTCATCTCCTTTGAATACATGTCTAGAAGTGGAATTGCTGGATTATATGGTAGGTCTGTTTTTAATTTTTTGAGAAACCTTTATATTGTTTTCCACAGTGGCTGTGCTAACTTACATTCCCACCAACAGTGTGTATTCCCTTTGCTGCACATCCTCACCAACACCTGTTATTGTTTGTCCTTTTGATAACGGCCATTCTAACAAGTGGAAGGTGCCGTCTCATTGTGGTTTTGATTTGCATTTCCCTGATGAATAGTGATGTTGAGGACCTTTTTGTATACCTGTTGGCTATTTGTATGTCTTCTTTAGATAAATGTCTAATCAGCTCTTTACCCATTTTTTTTTAGTTGGGTTGTTTTTTGTTTGTTTTTTGTTGTTGTTTTTTGTTTTTGCTACTGAGTTGTTTTCAGTTTCTTATATATTTTGAATATCAACCCCTTATCAGATCTATGGTTTGCAAATATTTTCTCCCATTCCCTAGGTTGCCTCTCTGTTTTGTTGGTTATTTTCTTTCCTGTGCAGAAGCTTTTTAGTTTGATGTTGTCCCACTTGCTTATTTTTGCCATTGTTGCCCATGCTTTTGGTGTCACATCCAAAAAATCACTGCCCAGGCCAATATCAAGAATGTTTATCCGTACGTTTTCTTCTAGTAGTTTAGTTTCAGGTCTTATGTTTAACTCTTTAATCCATTTGAGTTGATACTTTTATGTGCTGCAAGATAAGGATCCGATTTCATTCTTCTGCATGTGAATATCTGGTTTTCCTAGCACCGTTTATTGAAGAGACTGTCCTTTCTCCATCGTGTGTTCTCGGCACCCTTGTCAAAGATCAGTTGGGCATATATAAGTGGGTTTATTTCAGGGCTCTCTATTCTGTTCCAATGGTCTACATGTCTGTTTTTTATGCCAGTATCACACTGTTTCGATTAGTGTAGCTTTAAAATCAGGAAGTGTGATGCCACTAGCTTTGTTTTTCTTGCTCGAGATTGCTTTGGCTAACATTCTCTTACCTGCTCTTGTGGGTACACAGGATCTAGTCTCACATGACACTCCCTGGGCACTGAGCCTCTACCCAGCAGAGTTCTGTTGGCATCTAAATTGTCCAAGGGGCACTGTCACAGGGAAGAGGCATGAGGACCACTTCCCAGACCTGCACCCTCCTGTTAGGGCATCCTGGGCCATCACTTTTACCTCGGAGACCTCACAGAGCACTCGCAGCTCTGCAAAGAGGGAGAAATGGCTGCCTTTTCTTTTTAGACAATATTCAGTTAGAGGTGTTCCAAATCAGGGCAGCTTTTACCCCAGAGACTTGTGAGGTTTTTAATAACAGACCTTTTTCTGTTTACTTACACGCCTCTCTCTCTTCAGGTCACAGATGTGGGCTAAGAGTGGATCAAGTGAGAGAAAAACTGCAAGGCTTACTCAAAATGCCTCTTTGCTTTTGGAATCCTAGGCCTTGATGTGGGGGTGGAGGAGTTGGCTCCTTCTTCCGGTGGAAGGGCCTCAGGCCCTATTGTACTGAGCTGTTGTAGGCTGCCCTCCCCATTCTACCCACCAAAGCCACTTCATGTGAACAATTATATCTGAGTCCAGAATTAAAGCAAGCATTTTTCATGTGTATCTTATTTAATGCATTTAATACATAAACAAGAATATATGTAATGTGTCACACAGCATAATAATAAATGAAATGTCCATTATTAAGCCATGAAATGTAAGCAGCAGAACAGAAGCACTACCATTGCTTCTACCTATGTACTCCTTTTATATCCCAACTTTGTGATCCCACCAGGTATAACCTTTCTTGAATGTTAGGTTTTATCATTTCCTTACCTTTTTATATATACAGATACAGAGTCATATACATATACACTTCTATGTATATATAGTTTTATAACGTATGTATCACTAAACAATATAGGGTTTCATTTTGCTTGTTGAACTTCATAAAAATGTCTCTTTAGCTATGTAGTCTTCTGAAACTAGCTTTTCTCACTCAGCATTCTGGTACTAAGATTCATCCATGCTCACTCATTTTCACTATTTCGTGAACAGGGTTGTATTAAACATTCTTTTATGTTTCATGATGCTCATGTACAAGAGTTTCTCTAGAATATATACTAGAAGTCGAACTGCTCTGTCATAGGATATACAAATGTACAGCTTTACAAAATGATGTCAATTTGTTTTCCAATGTACCAATTTATATTCTCACTAGTGCTTGTGAATTTCTTTCATTTCCATCATTTCTGAAGCTCAGATTGGCAAACTTCTTAATTTTTCCAATCTGCTGGGTATAAAATGATTTCTAGTTGAGATCTAGATTTCCCTGATTAGTGATGAGGTTGAGCGTGTTTATTTACCATCTGTGTTTCCTCTGTGTGAAATGTCTGTTCAAGTGTTTTGCCTATTCTTATACTGGGTTGTCTAGTCTTTGCTATACAGGAGTTTTTGCTAACACTGGATGTTAATCTTTTATCAGTTATATGTGTTGCAGTTGTATCCCAGATTGGGGCTTGATTCTTCCCTCTTTTTATGATGTCCTTTAATAAACAGAAATTTTTTAACATCAATGTAGTCAAATTTAATATTTTCTTTTATGTCTTAGTTAAGAAATCCTTATCTATCCCAAGGTAATAAAGATATTGTCCTCCATTTTCTTCTAAAAATTTTCTTTTCTTTTTTGAGACAGGATCTTGCTCTGTCACCCAACCTGGAGTGCAGTGACACAATCACAGCTCACTGCAGCCCTGACCTCCTGGGCTCAAGCAATCCTCCCACCCCAGCCTCCCATGTAGCTGTGACTACAGGCATATGCCAGCTAGCTAATTGTTTAATTTTTTTTGTAGAGATGAGTCTCACAATGTTGCCCAGACTGAAAGTTTTTGTTTTGTTTTGTTTTTGAGACGGAGTCTTGCTCTGTTGCCCAGGCTGGAGTGCAGTGGCACGATTTCAGCTCACTGCAAGCTCTGCCTCCCGGGTTCACGCCATTCTCCTGCCTCAGCCTCCCGAGTAGCTGGGACTACAGGCACCTGCCACCACGCCCGGCTAATTTTTTGTATTTTTAGTAGAGATGGGGTTTCACCATGTTAGCCAGGATGGTCTTGATCTCCTGACCTCGTGATCCACCCACCTCGGCCTCCCAAAGTGCTGGGATTACAGGCGTGTGCCACCGCACTCAGCCATAACTTTTAAAATATTTATTTTCACACTTAAGCCCTTAATCCATTGGGGATTTATATTGATATATGGTGTGAAACAGAGATACAATTCCATATTTTTCTATGTGGAGAGACAATTGCCCCAGCACCACTCACTGAGCAGTTCCTTCTCCACCACTGATCTGCATCGTCCTCTCCACCGTAAGTCAAATTTCCAAAGATTGACAGGTCCATTTCTAGACTCATTAATTTGTTCCATTAGTCAACTTTCTATCCCTGCACTACAACGTATTGTCTTAATTAGCTAAGTTTCATCCCAAGTCTTGATAGAGGAACCATTCCCATCTTTTTCTACTTCTAGATTGTCTTGGCTAACCATTTTTCTTTGTTCTTCTACCTAAATCTTAGAATTGTTTATCAAGTTTCCCGAAAATACAAATGAGATTTGTATTCAAATTGTTTTGAATTTGGGGACAACTGACATGTTTTTGTTATATGATTCTTCCTGTCTATTAATATGGCATATTTCTAGTTTACCTTTTAAATGTTTTTAAATGTACCATATTATTTTCTCCATTATTTGGCAATTTTTCTTAGATTTATTGCTTGGTTCCTTAGAATTTCTATTGTATGTATATATATACACACACACTATATATATATACATACACACACATACATACACAGTATATATACAGCTTTATTGATGTATAATTCATATACCATACAATTCACCCGTTTAGTGTGCAATTCAATGGTTAATTCACTAGTTAATTGCCTTAACTAGAGACTAGATGTCCTTTTGCAAGACTTCTTTGGTGGTGACCAGAAATGACAGGAGAGGATGATGAGCTACTCCTGGACAAGAATGCTGATGAATGCGTTCATCCTCCCACTGCACAGCCATTTCTCCTAGGCCTGGGTAGAACAGGCATTCGTCTTGGTGGAGTTCTTCCTGGAGATTTCTGCCTTCTAGATATGATCTTGATTGGGATCTCTGGCACCATCTAAGTTGAGGATGAGAAGCTGAGCAAGATGTGTGGGGGATCTTGATTTGGAAAGTGACTGAGATCTTGGTGGGGGGTATTTTCCTTTTTCTTTTCTTTTTTGGGAATTTTTTTCATTTAATCTTCTCCTAGCTGTGGCTCCATGTTCTTGAGCTCAAAACAGCTCTACTACTCATTGACTGACCTTTAAACACATACATCTGTGAAGGAAGCTCCCTATTTGAAATCCTTCTGCCAAGTATAAACCACTTCTTTTTTTTTTTTTTTTTTTTTTTTGAGACAGTGTCTCACTCTGTTACCCAGGCTGGAGTGCAGTGGCACAATGTCGGCTCACCACAACCTCTGCCTCCCGGGTTCAAGCAATTCTCCTGCCTCAGCCTCCTGAGTAGCTGAGATTACAGGCATGCACCACCATGCCCAGCTAATTTTTGTATTTTTAGTAGAGATGGGGTTTCACCATGTTGGTCAGACTGGTCTCGAACTCCTGACCTCAGGTGATCCGCCCACCTTGGCCTCCCAAAGTGCTGGGATTATAGGCGTGAGCCACCCCGCCTGGCCTCAAACCATTTTCTTTTAAATTAATTGCTGTAGAGAGGCAGATGAGGTTACTGAGCCGGAGAGACTTACATTCAGATCTAGCCTTGCCATTTTCTGTGTGGCCCTTTGCAAAATTAACAGAGTGTTAGGTGCAACTATTTCAGTTGTCTCAGAGTTTTGTCTAAAAGTCCACGGCAGAACAAGCGTTCTGTGTCCCATGAGCCATATGGAAGATGGAAAGCACCTACCAGGACACCTAAGAGACCTTGAAGCTTGGGTTCGCATGCTCAGGCTGGCAGGGAGAGGACAGACACCATGTTCCACTCTCTACAAGTCAAGCGGGGGAAGGAAGGGGAAGAAGGAAGGGAAGGAAGCTCAAGTGGTGTTCAGGAGTTAGAGGCACCGGGGGAACCAGGCTATGAAGGTGAGAAGAAGCCTGTCTGTGGTCACCCAGGAAAACCATGGGACCTGTAACATCCCCTGGTGGGAACGAAGGGAGTGGGTTTGAAGTGACAGGGAAGGGAAAAAAAAAATGTCGTTTTCTCCTTGCTCCCTACTAAACTTGGGACTTGCAATAAGCCTAACATATTTACTACTCAAAACCCAATGAGACTCAGTTTCCTCATCTGTAAAGTGGAGATAAGAATAGTAGCCATCCCACAGGGCTTCTGAGGATTTGAGATAATAATAACGAACTTAACATGCAGAAGACACTCAGTTGTATTTGTATGTAGTTCTATGTAGTTTCTTCCCTTCAAAATTGGAGTATTGTATTGTAGTAACAGTTTTATTACTGGATTAAATCATAAGAAATTGCTAATATTCAGCCATTTTGTCATACGGAAATGGCAATCTCCTATCAGGTGTCTTTTTCATATTATCAAATATCTTTGAAAACATAATTTTTAATGACTGCATCTTGTTCCATCATATGAATAAACTCTGATTTACTCAGTTCTACTTCCTGTTCTATATATTTAGGTTGTTCTAAATTTTTATTGTTTTCTACAGGCTTCTAACTAGAACATAGGTCATTTAATGAAATCTAAAATAATGCGTTGTGTAGTGTATGCATCATAGAATTTTCCAGAAGTGCTAACGAATATTTTCTTTCTAACCCACACGGCCTCTATTAGTCTGCCCTCGACGCTCTTGGCCCCCACCCACCACCACGCAGAGCACTGGGCTGGCCCCTCCCTCTGCTTCTCTCCAGCTTCATTGAGGCTTTCCTGAGAAACACGGGAAGTGGGGTTGGAGGAGCCCAAGGCTCTGGGTGTAGCCATAAAAGAATCTTGCCAAAGCTCTTCTTACCAGTACATTGATGTGGCATAATTACTGAGGTGCACTCAAAATCCATGTTTCTTCTTCTTCTGTTTTCCACTCTGGTTATAACCTAGACATTGGGCGGGGGGTGGGGGGGTGGGTATTGCCCTAACCTCGGAAAGAGAGCAAGCCCATGCCCTTTCTCACCGCTACTAGATACACAAAACTCTATGGTTACTTGAAGCCATCCATCTTCAGTTCAAACTTGAAATGTTTGGTCCAATATATTAACGAATACTTCACTCACCTCCCTTCCCTCTGCCCTCCTCTATCAAGCTAAGGCTGGCAGGTGGTTGGCCTGCTTTGGGGGGAAGATGTGCTGTTTTTCTCCCTTCCTACCCACATCCACAATGTCTGAAAGCCATTTCTGAAGGCTACATGGCAAATCCAGAGGGTGCAATAAGGAAGGAATAGAGATCGGGGAAAGAAAGCTCCTACTTGTGTCTTGGTGGTGGGCAAGCTCTCTGAGCTGGGCAGATGCTTCTGGCAGATTCTTTTCCTCTTAGGCTTTTCTCCCCTGCTGAGCCATCTACCCCCCATGCCCTTTCAGAGTGGCTCTCCTTCAGTCAGCCACTCTAGAATTCCCTCTTAATTTTGGAATCCCCCACAATTCTGAGCAGTCCTCACCCTAGAAGGCCACCCTCTTGGACAAAAATCTCTTCAGTGACCCCAGGCCTTCCTCTTACCCAGATTCTACATCCACTGCCCAGGATCCAGGACTGTAGACCAGCCAGGCCAGCAGAGGGGAGAGTAGCACTTCCCAGGCACTGCCCAGACCGGCTGCTTTCCCTCCACCTTCATGCCCACCCCACCCCCACTCCTCTCCCCTGACCCCTCAGATCTTGCTAGGTAGGCCAGGCAACAGGATGCTGAACAAGCCACTCAGTACATTATGGGTGGGGACTGGGGGGCTCACAGCACAGCATTTTTCCAATATATCCTCTCTCCCTCTCCATACAGTCAGCTACTTTACATCTTCCCTTATATGGAAGATCACTTACATCTTCTCTAACCAGTTCTCAAACCCATTCACACTTTGCCATGAACAATCATAGCCATGTTTGGGTGGCCTGCCTTTCATTTTGTCCTCTGCTGGCTGTGGCTCCACGTCCTTGAGCTCTAAACAGCCCTGCCACTCACTCACTCATCTCTAAACACATACATCTATGGAGGAAGCCCCTTTTTTGAAATAATCCTTCTGCCAACTAAATAAATGTCTTCAAATGCAAACCATTTCCATTTAAGTTCATTGCTCTTTGTATTAGAATTCTCCAACTTTAGGTGTTTTGTTTTTTTGTTTGTTTGTTTTGAGCAGGAGTAGGGGAAAGTTGTCTGCCAGTAGACAACTTTACAGGGCAGAGGGATTAATTACTTCTGTCGTACTTTCCTTTTTATTCAATTATTGTAATTGCAAGCAATACTTTTCCTTCCTACGATCTTCGAGTGTATTAAAGTGTCCGTGACGCATGAACTGAGGGTAGCAGTGAAGTTCAAGAAAGAAAGCCACAGGGAAGAAGGCTGCCACTGGGATGGGACAGGAGCCAAGAGTCAGGGGTCAGAAAGGCCAACATTTCCAAAGGCTACGGACAGCACACAGGACAGAGGGAGTGAGGAATCAGAGGCCAGGCAGGGAAGGAGGGACACGCAGCTGAAGGAGGCAAGCCCATCTATTTCCGGTCACTCACCTGTGGCCGACTAAGTCCTCCAGGGAGCCACACCACTGCCACTGGCACTACTACTTAGAGAGGTGGAGTCTGTGCTCTCAGGCAAATGACAATCAAGCATGAATGTAGAATAAATTTATTTTCAAACATTCAAGTACTCACAAAATTTACTTCCCATAACCCTTTCTTAAGAATGTACTTGAGGATGACCTCCAGCAAAATAAGGAAATAATCTAAGAGGAAGACGTGAGATGTAGGAAACAAACAGTAGAATCTACCCAAGAGAAGGAAGGTCACAGAATGAGAGCTGTGCATCGGTCCTGGAACAGAAAGACAGAAAGCTCCAAGAGCCAGGTTCAGGGAAAAGCATGGGTGGGGTCGGGGTGGGGGTAAGGATTCAAGAACATACTATCCTTGAGAGTTTGGGACACTTCGTTACAGGCCTTTCCATAATGTTTTATTTTTTCAATCATGTTTATATATTACTTTATACAAATTATAATTATCTTAATAAAAAATAAAACACTACTGGTGTGACTTAACAGTCCAGATGCAGCCACTGAGTCAAGAGAGAAATGCTTTGTATTTGGGGGCCTTGTTAACGATACTTGCAATGTGGGTTAGGGTTAGACTAATTAGATGATGATGCAATGATCTAAATATTGGCTATTAAGATAGAAACAGGCCAAGCACGGTGACTCACACCTGTAATCCTAGCACTTTGGGAGGCCAAGGCAGGCAGATCACCTGAGGTCAGGAGTTTGAGACCAGCCTGACCAACATGGAGAAACCCCGTTTCTATTTTAAAAATACAAAAAATTAGCCAGGCATGGTGGCACATGCCTGTAATCTCAGCTACTCGGGAGGCTGAGGCAGGAGAACCACTTGAACTCGGGAGGCAGAGGTTGTGGTGAGCCGGTATCGCACCACTGCACTCCAGCCTGGGCAACAAGAGCGAAACACTGTTTCAAAGAAAAAAAGAAACAGCTTGCAAGCAGGAGACAAACTTTAAAATGAAAATTAAAACTGTATTTTCAGCTTTAGTTAGCATATATATTTATGTCATTATAGCAAAGAAAATATTTATAGTCTGGTTATGAGGCCAAGAGGCCTCCAAGGTTCTACTTCAAGCTCTGTCACTAACTTATTGTGTAACCTGGAAAAATTCCTAACTGCTGTGTTCTCCAGTTTCAACATTTCTAAAATAGGATTCTTTTATTTGTATTGAATATGTATTGACTGTCTTCTAGTAGACCGTGTGCTGGACCCTGGGATTGCAACAGAGAGCAAACCCCACTAAGCCATATTCTAATGGAGGGGCAGACAATAAGCAAAATGTGAACATCTATTATAGTGTGTACCAGAAGCGGGTGAGTGCCATGCAGAAAAGTAAAGCATAATACAGTAGTAAGGAGTGCTGGGGTAGGGGATGACATTTTAAATCAGAAAGTCAGGAAGGCCGTGTTGAGTCAGAAACATCTGAGTAGACTTGATGGAGATGAGAACAAGACTCACCTACACCTGGGTGAATAACATTCCAGGAAGAGGAAATACTACATACAAGCACTATGACAAGGAAGGAAACTTGCCTTGTACGTTAGAGGGGCAGCAAGGAAGCCTGGGGGCTGAAGCACAGCCTGTGAGGGGAGAGTAGGAGGCGATAAAGTCAGAGATGTGACGGCGACCAGGTCATACGGCCTGTGAGACCACTGTAAGGACCTTGGCTTTCATTCCAATGTTGATGCATTGGGGAATTTTAAGCAAAAGAGACATAGGACCTGAATTCCATTTTAAAAGGGTAACTCTGGCTGCTGTGTGGAGAAAGGGCTCTGGGAGACAAGAGAAGAAGTAGACAAACCAGGTAAGAAGCTTCTGCAACAATCCTGATGTTATGGGTTGAATGTGCCCCTACCCACTCAAATTCATATATTGAAGTTTTAACCCCCACTACCTCAGAATGTGACTTATTTGGAGTTAGTCTTTACAGAGGTTTTAAGACGAGGTCATTAGGGTGGGCCTTAATCCAATATGACTGGTGTCCTTATAAAACGGGGAAATTTGAACACAGATACACACATAAGATGATATAAACAGACGCATGGAGGAGATAGCTATCTACAAGCCAGAGAGAAACCTGGAATAAATCCTGCCCTCAGAAGGAACCAACGCTACCAGCACCTTAATTTTGGTCTCCAGAATTTCCGGCCTCCAGAATTGTGAGCTAATAAATTTCTGTTAAGATATCCAGTTTGTAGTAGTTTTTATGGTGGCCCTAGCAAACTGATAAACCAGGTAAGATATAATAGTGGCTTGGATGGAAGTAGCAGTGGAGGTGGTTAGATCCTGGATATATTTTGCAAGAAGAGTCAACAGGATTTCCTGACAGATTAGAAAGGATGTGTGAGGGAAATGGAATCGACTTCATGGCTTGCGCATGAATAACTAAAATAATGAAATTGCTACAGATGGAGATGGGGAAAGCTGAGGTTGGACCGGGTTTGGAGGTGGGCACGGGTGGAAAGCCCAGGAATTCAGTTTTGGATATGTTATTAGAGATTGAATCAGGGATGATTATGACACAATTAATTGTGAGAATCAAACGAATTCAGTACATATTTGTTACATGTTTACTATGTACAAAGCACTGTGGCAGTTTTATATAGTATTCTTTAAATGTTTAAAAGTCTCTGTTTTATAGAAGCATAGGTGACAAGTTGTATGATGCTCCACCTCAAAATGGTGAAAACACTAAAACTAAGAAGTGGCATAGGCTATGCATGGGTTGGCCATAAAGTAATCAGAGTTTCTTTAATGGATTGTTAATTTCCTCTACAGATAATTTCATAGCTGTAAGTTAGCAAGATGATAATGACAAGTCATTACAGTTAATACTCTGAGGTATTCATTTAGAGTCATATGCTCTAGTGTGACTGGTTTTCTCAGTCTTGTTACTATAAAGATATGTATGCTTTGTGGGCTCAAGAATCAGAAAGATCTAAATCCAAATTCTGGCTCTGACCCAAGCCGTGTGAACATGGCAAGTTACTCTCCAAGTCTTGGTTCCTTTATCCGTAAAATGGTGATAAACATACCTCATAGGATTGTTGTAAAGAGTAATTAAGCGACACATATAAAATGCTTACTCTAGTGATCAGTTCACAGCAAGTACTCAATTAAACTATTACTATTCGTTTCTCATGGTGCTATAGGAATTCCGGTTGAAGCGAACCACTATCACTATATGGTCAGAAAAAAATATAATGGGACAAACAACCCCTAGGCTAGGACTTAAAGCAGAAGGGATATTTGCACAGGCAGCAGAGACCAATGCTTCTCAAGTTTTAAGGTGAATTTCAATTATCCAGGGATCTTACTGAAAAGCAGATTCTCAGGAGGTCTGGGGTGGGCTGTGAGATTCTGCATTCTTAACAAGCTCCCAGGTGATGCCCATCCTGCTGCTTGACCCACACTTTGAATACAAAGGGTCTAGATCACTGACAAGCAGAATGATGTAAGCCAGGACTAAGGGTGTAGATATACAGTGTGTTGAACGACAGGTACAGTCAGTCTGGCAGAAGTAAAGTTAACAGAAAATACCATGAAAAAGTTTGGAAAGTAGGATGAAGCCATATTCTGGCAGGCTGTGAAAGGCTTGTTGATTTTATACTTCATTGTGTAGTAGACAGCTGTGAGCGGGAGAACAATAGCTTGGTGGAGGTCAGGGAGGGTGGCTCACACCTGTAATCCCAACACTTTGGGAAGCTGAGGCAGGACTGCTTGAGTCCAGGAGTTCGAGAACAGCCTGGGCAACATAGTGAGACCTAGTCTCTACAAAAAGTACTGAAAAATTAGCCAGGTGTGGTGGCACACACCTGTAGTCCCAGCTACTTGGGAGATGGAGGTGGGAGGATTGCTTGAGCCCGGGAGTGCAAGGCTGCACTGAGCTGTGATCGCGCCTCTGCACTCCAGCCTGGGTGACAGAGCAAGACCTTGTCTCTAAAAAGAGAAAAGAATAACCTGGTAAGACAGCATCTTCACACACTCTGGTATTTATCTGTACAACACATCTGAACAAACAGGGGCTGAAGATGAAGAGGTCCGAGCAAGACTGCTCCAGTCAGGGTCCTTTCATCTGGGAGAAAGTGAAATCCCTTCAAACCAGTTTGAATAACAGGAAGTGGGGAGGTGGTTACTGCAAGGCCACAGTGCTCAGAAGGTGCAGGGGTGGATTCAGATCGAGGCCACCTCTTTCTCACGTAATCTCTAGGGACTTCTCTTCTTCTTTCCACACATCTGCTCACCCACCTTTGTCCTGCAGCAGGCTTTCCCTTAAATTCCTCTCACATATGGCCCAGAGTAGCCCGTGGATTTTTTATTTACTCTCCATGACTCACTGGAAACTTGTCTGTGTCTTTTAATTCAAATTCCTACAAGAAAATACAAACAGGTCACACAATACATAGGTCATTGTGAACGGGCTACTCTTCTCTGTGAGGTAGGATCAGAGGGAAGACAAGATCATGCAACTCAGTAGAGGCAATGTGCCACAGCAGATTAAAAAGGCTGTGGGCAGGTACCCCAATACATGTATGTTTAATGGGAAAAAATGTTCAAGTATAGTTTATCCTTAAAAAAAAAAAAAAAAGGCATCTCCTTGTTCCTCCTCATCCAGACTTCTCCAAATCAGCCTCCACTATCTCCACTTCCTGAACTCACATTTGCTCACCCCACTGCAGTCTGGCTTCTGCCTTCTTTTCCCCCACCCCAATAGTGCCCTAAGTCTGCACTATCAGAAGTCACCTGTGATTTCACAAGTCACTAAATACCAAAAACACTAACGTCAGTGTCTCTGTGGCTCCAATTCTGCCTTGTGTCAATAAGTACAGGGAATCTAGTTTCTCCACCAATATGCCCAAACAAATCCAATCACATCAAATATATCAGTTTGAATGAGGTAGTAATAAGGTGAGATTACACAATGAACATAATTTCATTTGACAAATTCTTTCCTCTGACATTTGCCTTTACTCAGTTTGTTCCTCTCCATATTCACCAAGGACAGCTCCTAGCCCCTCTGAAAGCTTGAAGCCAGCTGATCCCCAGAATCAAGGTTCAGTATTCTCCAACTTGAATGGTGATCTCACAAGAGGGAGTTCTCATCCCATACTCCTACTAGTGGAGAAGTGTCACCTTGCGGTTTCTTCCTGCACCATCTGCCAGATATGCGTGACTGTCCACTGTCCAATCATCTGAAGGTTCCTGTAGGCTGGGGGCTATCGTCCCATGAACAAGGTGAACAGAGATCCCCAGGAGCCAGCTTAGGCTCCAGTCCCACTGAGATCTAGGCGCAGGCTGATTCCCACAGAGGTCAGCTATGAGTTAAGTACAGCTCATAACTTCTTGGAGAATTCAGAGTCCAACCGTATTTAGGGAAGACTATTTATTCTCCTATTACGGTTTAGATTTGTTTTCTGGTAATAACAGGTATCCCTCAGTTAATGGCAACTCCTCTCTCCAGTGCTTGGGCCAGGTGCTTTCTCTCACAGTTCATACCCAATATATCAGCAAATTCTGTTGGCTGTACCTTTAGTATATATCCAGAACCCAACCACTTTTCACTACATCCATTACTACCATCCCATCCATCAAGGCCATTCCAGTCACAGATAACCCAGATTAGCACAACCGCTTCCTTGTCTGCCTCAGCCCTCCCCCCTCACACTAGCCAGAGGATCGTTTTAAAATGGAAGTCAGAGTATATGACTCCTCTCTTCAAAACCTCAGGTGGCTTCCCATCTCACTCAAAAGCCCTATGGCTTTTGCTTACAGTCCTTGTAATAGTCCACAAGGTCCTACATCTGTGCTTCCACGCCCCTGACTTCATATAAAGCTCTTCCATCTTTACTCCATTCTAGCCACACTGGCCATCTTGGAAAATACTAGCAATGGCTAATATTTTTTGAGCACTTACTCTGTGCCATGTACTTCTTTAAATTTACTTAATCCTTCAGAACTGAGACTCTGAGAGGTTATACAACTTGCTCAAGGTTACACAACTGGTAAGCAGCAAAACTGAGGATGAAACCCAGAGTATGGCTGCAAAGCCACAGTCTCAGCCATATATATAGTATAGCTATATACTGCCTTTAATACGTATTTTTATTAGAGCTACTTTCTAAATATTTGTCATTTTTTCCCTTGATCTGAGAATATTTTTTAAAATTCCAGGTAATTAGATATTTCATTTTAATTCATTTTTAATTTTGTAATTTGAGATTCTTTTGGCTTGATAGCCAATTTCCATACGACTCAGTTTCTTGACAAGGTGTATTGTTTCAAAATTACAATATTTAACATCTCTATTAGATCTACCTTATTTTAATCCCTTATATACTTTGATATGTGACTTTCTGCACAATCAGTTTTCATCTTTATCTCATCATTAGTTCTTTGAGCTCTTTTTCAGAATTCAAGTTCTCTAATTTATTTGCGAGTATGGAGAATGTCTGAAGTCTTTCCTGGGATATTCTTTTGATAGCTGTTTTTTTCTTTTGTAGGAGGGCAGAGATGTTGGGTTGTGGTAACTATTCATAGTTCCCCTGCTGATTCCTTTTTGCCACTAGTCGCCTTCTGAGGATGGCAGGTCTATCTAGGCCCTCTGTTTACAAAATCCATGACATTGTAAGAGATTGGCCACCTGAAACAGCTGGTAGCTTCAACTTGAGTTTCATGATACAATCTCACTGAGGAGTAGGGGGCAGATCCCATCCTTAGTTTTTGCCTTGCCTCTGTAGAGTATGAGGTAGGCATGGCTGACAGTGAAGCCTGTCATGGGTTCTCTAGAGACCCATCTGTTGTTTCTCTCAGCTGAATTCAGTCTCCACCTGCAAGTGGATTGTGCAGCTGTATTTTCCTTGGTGATTTCTCACTTCAGGATTTGAAGGCTAGAATGCAGAAAGTGCAGTGTTTCAATGAGATTTCTCATCAATTCCACACCCTTGTCACTTAAGATGAATGAACTGAGTTACTGCAGGGGTGTCCAAAATGTGTCTTGGGCCCAGTGGAAGCCCTTTAATCATCTTTGTCACACCTACCAGAGGATCTTCGAGTGTGTTTTTCAGGGTGGTGACGCTTTCAGAGAATTCATTCTCGAGCTTCAGAAGTCTATCCCAATTTATTTTGGTTTTAGTCCAAAAATATTTGGTGGATATTCTTCCTACTTTGTGGTATAAACTTAGGCTTTCTCCCCACTCCCCCTTAACTGAAGTTTCCTAGTTATTTAAATCCTCCTGTTTTCAACAGTTGCAATAGCATGGAAAGTAAAATGTCTTCTGGTTTAAAAAGTGAAATAATCAGGACTCCTTGATAGTCTATATCCCAGGTAATTGAAAAAATGATGTATCACAATGATGATGGTGGGTAGAAGGGCTGTAGTGGGAACAGAAAAGGATGATGAAGTCACAGGAAATACAAATAATCAGTAATTAGTCCAGGCACAGTGGCTCATGTCTGTAATCCCAGCATTTTGGGAGACCGAGGCAGGAGGATGGCTCAAAGTCAGGAGTTTGAGACCTGCCTGGGAAACACAGGGAGACCCTGTGTCTATGAAAAATATTTTTAAAAATTAGTTGGGCATGGTGGTATGCACCTGAAGTTCTAGTTACTCGGGAGGGTGAGGCAGGAAGATCGCTTGAACCTAGGCGTTCAAGGTTGCAGTGAGGTATGATCATATCACTGTACTCAAGTCTCGGTGACAGAACAAGACACTGTCTCTAAAAAATAAAAATAAGTAAAACAAATAATCAGTCACCAGAGATCATAATTAAAGTCCAGAAGTCAGTAAGGGACACAGACTGGGAATTACTCATCAGAGCTGAAGCTGCAAATAATTTGTCGCACAAATAAAGTTTATTTTTTCTCAGAGTCACAGTATTTAGTCTTATCTACAGTGTAATCAAGTTGGGCCATTTAAAATGATAAGCTCTAGTTTAAGAGGTCAAAAGCAGCAAGTAAGGCAAGAAGACACAGAGCTTGGTCTCAGAATCAGGTCTGGATGAGATTACAGCCTAAGACATAATAAATAGGAATCAAAACAAAACCAGTTGGCAAGATGAACTGCAGTTTAGGCAATGGGCAAAGGTCCGATATTTGAGAGCCCATAAGAAGTGGATACTGGAAGATGGTAACATGGCTTGGATATTCTCCACCTCTGACTCATATAAATTTCAGTGAGATATATCTATAGCTACATATCTGTATCATATCTCTGCAGTTAATGTTTTCTTTAAATACCAACTATTACCCTCTTATCCATAAGTGGGCAAGGATCCCCATGAACTGAATTCGTGACATATGCTTTGATAACTAAAGGCTAACAATTTTAACTGTTATTTGTTATATGAGGTAGGCATGGCTGACAGTGAAGCCTGTCATGGGTTCTTTATGCTTTACAAAGATTTTTCACACACACCATATTTTATTTGATTGATGACACTCGTTTTTAAGAGCTATTTTTTGCCTATTTGATAGATGAGGAAACCATACTGCAGACAGATAAATGACTTGCCTGTGATCACACATCTATTACATTTACAGAGCCAGCAGAATGAAGGCTCCATCAGCTATTTTACACTTGGCTTTACATCTGGAGTTAACACAAGTAATAAACACATCTACACCAAAATAAAGTGGCGACTATTTTCCCTATAAATGTAATATCATTCAAATGTACATGGGGAGGAGTAAAAACTTATAGAGCATGGCAAATCTAAAGTTACTGCCTAAGTTTAGGTATGGTCAGAAGTACCCTTGAGGCCGGGCACAGGGGCTCACGCCTGTAATCCCAGCACTTTGGGAGGCCGAGGTGTGCAGATCACTTGACACCTCATCAGCTCCTGACAACTCCTGACAACTGGTCAGGAGTTCGAGACCAGCTGGCCAACATAGTGAAACCCCATCTCTACTAAATATACAAAAATTAGCCGGGCATGGTGGTACACGCCTGTAGTCCCAGCTATTCGGGAGGCTGAGGCACGAGAATCGCTTGAACACGAAAGATGGAGGCTGCAGTGAGCAGAGATCATGCCACTGCACTCCAGCAGTGATACAGCAAGAGTCCATTTCAAAAAAAAAAAAGTACCCTTCAGAACAGGTAAATTTATAAAATATTATTGCTTCCTTGCAAGATTTACTTCATTTTATCTGCCTCATACTTATCCAATCATACTATATGTTGTTGTGATGATTAAAGAAGATAGTAAAGTGAGATCTTTCAAAGCAAGTGTTTTTAAAATCAGTGTATATTAATGATATGGCTCTACCAAAGTAATATGTCTGTTATCTATATACATACATATTTTCTCAAGGGATAATAAAAGTACAATTACTATTGTATAAAAGTCAGTACAATTATTTTTTACCTTTAAAAAGAGGACAAAAAGCCAATGACTCTTACATTAAGTTGCAATGCCAATTAAGTAATGAGTGAAGAAAAACCACCAGTGAAAATAAGGGGGATAGAGAAAGGTAGGAAGAAAACCCTATTAGAATAGTGTCACAGAGGCCAGTAAAAAGGAAGGGATATACAGAAGTCATGAATAGGACCTACAAAAAAGGACGGGATATAGTCACTGACACTCTCCAATAATAGGTCCAAAAAATGAGCTGCTCTCCATCTGGGGTGGCTAGCAGAAGCCCTGAGGAACTGAAGTGACTCCAACTTATGAGATGAACAGTAGTAAAATAATGACACGCTGTAAGATAACAGCCTTTTAAGAAGCAGCTCAGGAAGGCTCAAAGATGATGGATTGAATACAGGTTTATGAAACTCTTGTGCCCCAAACCAAACAGGTTAAGAATAAAACCTAAGTGCTGGAATCAGGGAGGGACACCACAGGATCAAGACAGAACAATGATTACTGGCAACTACCCTCCCTCATAAAATGATGGGAGATAATATAAAAACACAGAAACATACTAGATAAATCCGCAATGATGAGAAAAAGAAACGTACAAATCTTGACAAATTCTGGGGAAAAAAGTATATCTTGAGAAAGAATTATAGCCCAAAGCACATGCTGGAGAAAAGTGTTGCCAGGGTAAAGCTGAGATGTGGAAGACAGCTGGCTCTAAAATCTCAAAAACTCTAAGACTTCCTGAAGAAGAATAGAGAAAATGGAGGAAAAAATAAGTAATAAAAATAGCTAAATGCTGTTTTTGAATCAGATGGAACACAAAATGACACAGGGAAGTTGATAAAAAGGAGTATCATATACTAATAAAAAGCATAGCAAGATTAAGACCATAGAATTCAATCAAAAAGCATTAAGGAGAAAAAAACAGGTATTTAATACTGCTGACATGATACAATGCATCAAGAATACATATCAGTCATAGGACTCCTCACATCAAAACTTTGAAATACATAAAGTAAAAACTGATACAAATACAAGGAGAAATATTCATAATCTTTATGGGAGACATTAACAAAACCATCTACCCTAAACCAGAAAGTTTGACAGACAAAACAAGATATAAAAATTTAAATAACCTAAATTAACAAGCTCAATCTAAAATACAGATACACACAAACTGTGAATAAACCTTCTTTTCAGCATACATAAAGACACAGAAAAATCTCTCAGTAATACAGACAACCGAAATTATACAAGTGACATTCTTGGCCCATAAATTTAGCTACGTAAGAATAACAAAAGGATAATAAAATAAAAAATACGCCCCTCCCTTCAAGCCTATCCCCACATTTTTTTCCTCTTTTGGGAGGAAAAAAAAAAACACTAGGCTTAATAATCAAAACTAAAACGACAAACTATTTGGAAATGAGCAAAAAGTGGAACACCACCAAACAAGACCTATGTGATATAATCAAGAAGTACTTATAAGAGGAATGCATATATTAGAAAACAAGAAAGACCAAGATATACGTGAACTAAGCATTCAACCCAAGAGACTAAAAGAACTACTAAGTGCAAGTGAAGTTGAAAAAAGAAATGAGGATCACTGCAAAAATTATAGAAATAAATACTCAATAAATAAAACCAAAAGCTGCTTCTTGGAAATTTTTAATGATTCCAATGATAAAGGAAAAAATGTTGACAAAAAACTTAGACTCAAGAAAAAAAAATAGAGAGAGATGCTGCAGAGATTTACAAAATAAAACAGCCTATGTTAAAACTTTTCCTAACAAATTTTCAAACCTAGAAATGCATGATTTCCAAGGAAAAGATTACCAAAATTGAGCCAGGTAGAAGGAACAATCTGGCTTAACCAACCATGGAGCAGCTAAAAAGACAATAAAAGTTTCAGCTCCTAAAAAAATCTACTAAGCACCAAAGGAGTCACACAGTTTTTAATAAGATGAAATGGAGACTAAACTAGTGTTCTTATCCACCAACAACAAACAATTAGAAAGGTACTTTTAAAGAAAGTTACAATGTGCAAGACTGTTATGAAGAAAATTGTAAAACTTTATTGATAGAAAAAGAAGCAAGATCGATTACAAAGAGACTGACCAACTAACCAGCCATATTCATAAATGGGAAGATTCAACATCATAAAGATGGCCATTTTCTCCAAATATATATTTTTAAATTCGAAGTAGTTCTAATAAAAATCCTAAAGATTTTTCCCCAGAATCAGGCAACATGATTTAAAAATTCTTGTAGTTATAAAAAGACAATAGTCAGGACAATTTTGAAGAGTATTAATAAGGAGATGCCTTACTATAAAACTACAGTAAATATACTACATACATAAGCTAATGCAATAGAAAAGGAAGCCTAGAAACAGATCTTAATCTGTAACTGCCTGCATTTAGTATATGGCGGATAGAGCACTGTAAGTCAAGTAGAGAATAAACTATTCAATAACTAATGATACTGAGGCGAATGGCTATCCATTTGAAAAGGAGAAAATAAGATCCTTAGCTCACAACATAAATACAGTTTCAAACTGATACAAATCTAAAAATGAAAAGCAAACAGGAGCTCTTATACATTGCTGGCGGAAGTATAAAGTAATATAACTACTTAGGAATGCAATTTGGCAATACCTAGAAAGCAGAATATCCATATTTACTAAATTCAACATTTTCATTCAGAATAATTGTTTATGAGACAGGAAGAATGCTTACTTTCGAACTGCTTATAAAAGTGAAAGTGCAAACAACCTGATTATCTACCAATAAGAAAAATGATTAACTATGATAGAGAAATGGATTAACTGTTGTATATTCAAACAACAGAATGCTTTACAGCAATTAAGAGGAATTAACTACTGGATGTAATCAAATCTAAGATAACATCGATTATAAGGTACAGCATTATTCTGTCATTAAGAAAATGCTGCCAATTTTAAGACACCACTGATTTAGGAAGCATCCCAATTTTAAAAGATGTTATATTGTGAAGAAATGGAGATCAACAAATGTCAATATGGCTATATTTCAAAGACACGGTGTTGGGTGAAAAATAGGTTTCAAAATGATAACTATGATGTCTTTTTTCCAAAAAATTTTAAAAACACGAAATAGTCCTATGTATTTTAAATACACATAAGTAAAATGAAGATGAACACATGCATGAGAATGATACACATTATTAGGATAAGACAAAAAAGGGAATGCAGCTTGTGCACAGCTTTTTTATATGTTAAAAGTGAGCTTATCTTCTCCACCAAGGGACAGAGACAAATCAGTCACTCCACAGTGCCTGTGACACACACAATTATACAACATTCTTCAAACCCAAGAAACGCAGCTTGCTAAACGTTTCTGAGATCTTATTCCTTACTCACAGGAAGTGGGTAGGTGTGCATCTGTGTGTGTGTGTTGAGGGGGAGAACTTAATGCTAACTGAAACACAGCAACGTTGGTATCTTTTAAATTTGGGAAATGAGATCATGAATATCTATTAATGAGATAATCAATGTCTGCTGTATTATTTCCTGCATGTCTGAAACACTTTTTTACTTAAAATTTTAGAAAGCACCAAATAAAACTTTTAAAAATTCTATTATAATTTCAGGAAGCAAATAACTCCTACACTACATAAACGTTCATAGAAAAATACAAACAACTCTCCAACTCATTCTAGAAGGCTAGCAAAACTCCTTACATCAATACTGGAATAATGCTAGTATGATAAATTATAAAGCAATCTCAGACATGAGAATACTAAGTAAAATGTTAGCAAACTGAATCTAGTAGCATGACCAAGCTGAGTTAGTCCTATCAAAGCAAGGATGGTTCTATATATGAAGTTTATTAATATAATTCATTAAATTATCATATATTTTTAAAAACATAAACTTCCATACAAACATGGAATTCAACATATATTCCAGATTTTATTTTTCAATAACCCTGATTAGAACTAGATACTTTCTTAAATTAGAAAAGGCAGAATGCTTTCTATTTAACTATGCTCTGGAGGAGCCAACCAATGCTAATTAGACCAGAAAGACATTTTGTATACGTTTCAGAACAATATAAAATAATACTGACAAAACAATTTGCAGATCGTATTATCCATCTGACAAATCTAAGAGAATTAACTGAAAAACTATTAGAGTTCAACAAAGCAGCTGAAAACAAAATAGCAGCTGGGCTCAGTGGTTCACATCTGTAATAACAGCACTTTGGGAGGCCAAGGTGGGTGGATCAACTTGAGGCCATGAGTTCGAGACCAGCCTGGCTAAATGGTGAAACCCCATCTCTACTAAAAGTATAAAAAATTGGCCAGGTGTGGTGGCACACACCTGTAGTCCCACTTACTCGGGAGGCTGAGGCACAAGAATTGCTTGAGCCTAGGAGGCAGAGGTTGCAGTGAGCTGAGATTGCTCTACTGCACAGAGCAAGACTGTCTCAAAAGAAAAAAAAAAAAAAGAAAAGAAAGAAAGAAAAGCATAGCAGCTATACCAATTAGAAAATAATGGAAATAGCAATGTAAGCAATAATAATAAAACCCATAAAACATTTTAAAAGGTGCAAAGCCTATTCTTATGAAGAAAATAAAAACTTTATTGAAAGGAAGGCCTTAAAAAAATCTATCTCAGTGGGAAGACTCAATACTGAATAAGCGAAAATAACAAGAAGAGCCAAGGAATGACCAAGACATTTTTAAAATTAAGACTTTGAGAATTTTTGGACCAAATATAAAAACTTATCAATATAGTGAATTAGATATTGGTACAGGCAAAAGATAAAAATTAGAAAAAGAAATCAATGAAATAAAATACAAAATATGAAGGAAGAATTAGCTAAACAAGAGTGACCCATGATGCAGAGCTTCGTGGGGCACATTATCCTAAAAGCGATGGTAAATTATTGAAGAGATATAAGGTTTATATTATTTGCTACTGTTGCTGCTGCTGCTGCTGGGGGGTAGATAAAATCATGGTACTTCACAATCTGGCTACATTATGAAAATGAATTTGAGGTGGGGCAAGAGTAAATGTGAGACCAACAAAGAGGCAAAGAAATGATGAGAACTTAAGGGAGACCGGTGGAAAAAAGTAGAAAAACTCAAGGGATAATCAGGAGGTAAACTCAACAGGATTTGATGACAGACTGGATACAGGTGTAAGGAACAGGAGTCAAAGCAAATTTCTAGATTTGCATTACTAGGTGGATACTAATTCCATTTTCAGACATACGAAGATGATCAGATTTGGGAAGGAAAGGTTATTCATTTAGTTTCAGAAATGCTAAATTGGAGGTATTATAATAAATTTCTTAATAGTTACATGCTTTCAGATTTTAGAAATGCCAGATGATGTAAAATGCCTACATTTTTTTTTTAGAAGCTGTTTCCACCTTCAAACAGAAATTCACATAAAGGACTGGAACCCAAATATCCAAAGCACCCAAAGACTATGTAAATATTAATAAATCACATGCTGAAACTGATGAACCCTGACACCAAATATTTTATCCTGAAGAATATGTCCCACCCAGCTTCCTTCATATCAGTAAATGACACCACTCACTCAGTTTCTCTGGCTCAAAGTTTAGGAGTCATCTTTGATTCATCTCCCTCACGCTTCCATATCCATCAGCAAAGGGCTACTAACTGTAACTTCAAAATACATCATGAATCCAAGTACTTATCACAATTTCTATCACTCTTATTGTGAAATGAACAAATTGTCTAGACTACTAATATAATTTAACTAAACTGGGGGGCTTCTATTCTTACACTCTATTAGCCATTCTCATCAATAGCCAGAGTAGTATTTTTAAAAATTAAAACAAACCTTACCACTCTCCTACTCAAAGCCTACAATGGATTCCCATCAACTTTTGAACAAAATTACCAAGAGACATCATAGGTGTGATCTGGCTCTTTCTTATCTCCTTTCTATCCTACCCCTTCCTTCAGCTTTTGCTCAATTCAACTCCAGAAACATCAGCCTTCTTGAAATCCTTGATGCACAAAGTTCATTCTTGCTTAAGGACTTTCATACTTATTCTTCCCTCTGCCTGGAATACTCTTCTCCCAGATATTCATAAGGCTTGATGCCTCACTTAATTGAAGTCCATGCTCAGATGTTACCTTCTCAAAGACGCCGCCTTTGACTACTCTGTGTCAAATAGCATTCCTGCTGGGGAGCTGGGCGGAATAGCCTGAATGAAATCTCCTGCAGGCTTGCTGTGCTAGTCTGTCATATAATGCATGTCTTACCATTAAGACATTTGAAACAACCAGATTGAGTCTAACTAAAGTTGCAACCCAGGCTCAACTCTTGAAGTCATCAATCTCTAGAATGCCTAAAAGAAAAAAGGGCAAATCTGCTCTTGGGAGAAAAATCACATCAACTTCAATCCTTTAGTACTTTTAATTCAATGTCCTCAAATAAGAAAAAAGTTACAAGATCCACACAAGGAAGGAAAAAATGTGACCAGGAAAAGTTTGATGGATGTTCAATAGAAAAAAGAGTTAAAAGAATCAGATCGACAAATGATTGAGAAGTTGTAGTTAATTGGTAAAGATTTGGACTATATAATTAAGAGAAAAGGGGAAAAGATGAGTAAAAAGAGACTTTCAACAGAGAACTGAAATCTATAAAATATTATTAACTGGACATTCTAGAACTGAAAAATACAGTCTTTCGTTTGTTTGTTTTAAAGACAGAGTCTCACTCTGTTCCCCAGGCTGGAGTGCAGTGGTGTGATGATTTCAGCTCACTGCAACCTCTGCCTCCCAGGTTCAAGCGATTCTCCCACCTCAGCCTCCAGAGTATCTGGGATTACAGGCGCCCGGCTAATTTTTTTATTTTTAGTAGAGACAGGGTTTCACCATATTGGCCAGGCTTGTCTTGAACTCCTGACCTCAAGTGGTCCGCCCATCTCAGCCTCCCAAAGTGCTGAGATGACAGGTGTGAGCCACCACACTGGCCTGAAAAATACAGTATTTGAAGTTAATAACTAATTGAAAAGTTAACGGGAAGAACAGACAGCAAAAGAAATCTGAAGATGGATCAACAGAAATATCCAAAATGAAGCACACAGAGAAAAAGTGGAAAGAACAGAAAATACACTTAAAGGCAGATGGGATACAAGCAATCTAATAGATTTATAATTGGAATGTCAGAAAGAGAAAATAGTGTAGAATATGTGAAGAGATAACAGCCAAAAATGTTTCAAAACTGATGAAAGACATCAACCAGTCAGTAAACTCCAAGCAAATTAAATAAAATGAAAATCATACCTAGGCATACCACAGTCAAAGTGCTGAAAACAAGAAATTTTAAAAAAAAAGAAGAAAAATGAACTAAGATGATAGCACATAATGATTCTTAAAAAAAGAACAGAGCAAAAATGGAAAATCTATGGGTAAATATGAGAACATGACTATTCAACAAGGATACTGTAGCATTTTTATACTGAAAATAGACAACAACTTTAGCACAAAGGCTAGAGAGGCAGATACAGCTGAATTGTTTTAAACTTTTTGCATTGTTCGGATGGTGGCAAAAGCATTAATCACAGACTATAATAAGCCAAACATAAATACTGTAATTCTAAAAGAATAACACAATCAGGTTTAACTAAAAAGCTAATGGAAGAGATAGAATAATAAAAAGCACTTTAAATGAGCCAGAAATAGGCAGGAAAGGAGAAAATAAAGGAGAGACTGGCATAAAAGAAAATAAATAGCAAAATGGTAGATTTAAAATCAACTATATAAGTAACTACACTAGAGCTTAAACACTATTAAAGAACAAAGATTCTCAGATGAAAGAACAAAATCCAAGTATAAAATGTTTACATGATACACATTTTAACCATGAGAACGTAAGTATGTTGAAAATAAAAGGAAAAGTTTTATCATGCAAACAATAGCTGAAACAAAACTGATATGGCTACATTAATATCAAGCAAAGTAGATTAAAAATATTCATAAAGATACCAAGTGACATTTTAAATTATAAACCATATCACTTCATCATGAAGATATAACAATCCTAAACTGTATGTTTCAAAGTATATAAAATAACTTCTCCACCTATCATTAGTACTTTCTATCCTGCTTTTCCTTTTTTTCACTGCATTTTTCACAATCTGACATCATATATTAATTTTTTTTTTCTTATTCACCCACCTCTAACATAATGAAAGTACCACAAAAGCAGGGACTTACACTATCTTGATCACACTTTATCCTCTGCAAAACTGAGTAAAATTTTTGAGTGCCTGGCACATAGAAGGCACTCAATAAATGTTTGCTGAACGAATTAATAAAACTGCTACTGGCAACTTATTTATTTAGTGCTTATTTTTAAAGTTTATATTATACATTTATTTTGTTCAGTTACGCAATTATTCAACTTAAATAATACTTAGAATTCTCTGTCCGCCAACATTTTGCATGAGAAGTTTAAACAAAAGGTTTGGAAAAAGTTACTGAGACGTGTTTCCACTTCATGAAACAAAGGCTCCAAAATTAAAAATCATCAAATGTGCCTTTCTCCATTTAGTATTTAAATATATATGTTGATTTACATACACAAAATAATACAACTGTATTAGCTTTTATGTTTATTCAACTTCACAGAAATCCAAAAATGTGTCTGAAAATTGGTTATCTATTTAAATAGCAATTGTTCATTATGGTGACATAATACTATGTGATGGCAGAGATATGCCTAATTTAAACAAATTCTTAAATTCCTGACATTCTTACAAGTGGACAAAAGGAAATCTTAAAAATCAGACTTACAAGTTATAAGAAGATATAGAAAGCAATTTAACCTTTAATACCTGGAATAAGTTTTACAGCCACATTTGTAATTTACATATACAGTGAAGATCACTGAAAAAGCCTCCTGTTGCACTGCAGCAAGAAATTTTATTATAATGTAGATTAAACAAATTTGCTACAGAGTGCAGCAAGATAACCTCACTGAGGAATAAGATTTTCATAATGGAACTTGTTACAGGGAGTTAAATATTTTCTTAATGTTATACAGTACATATTTTCAAAATGAACATTATCACTGAAATAGTTTGCTAACAATTGTTAGCAATTAATGTTTTATACACACTTAATTTTACTGTAAAGTATGTGGCTCTCCAAATCTTACTACATGAAATGTTAAGCTTAAACGTAAGATAATCCCCTAAGATGGAGACTCAAGACATCAAAACTTTGATCATTATTGCACCTATTTTTCTACACAAAAAAAAAAAAAAAGAAAGAAAGAAAAGAAAAATTTACATCGTAATCCACCCAAAAAAAGAACAGACAGGTCGTAAAATTACAGACTCATTGGCATTGAACATAACAAAATCTACAATGAACATTTTTTTGTGAACTGCTGTACAGCATTACAAAAATGTGAAATGAAATTTGCTTAACTATAATCATGCAAATAAAAATCCTTCACAATCACTTTTTCGTATGTTTTATAAAATGTTCTTAATATTTCCATAAACATTTCTGGTGCAATTTAATCAATGACAAAAATACAAAGCTATTCCTTATTCTTTATGTTATAGATTTTAAAACATGCCTTTGTACTGCTGAAACAGAAATTATGTGTTTGGGAGAACCGAGCTAAGGAAACATTTCAAAACCAATGTATGTTGATCCCACCTGAGCTGCTTTGATATATGACAGCCTCTCATAATTACTGGTGTCACTATTGTTGTAAATGAAGAATAGTTGAATATGGAGAGATTAAGACACAATTCAAAACACTTTTTAAAAAATAAATGGCTGTTTCATAAACACAAACAAATCTTTAAAAGAAAAATAATCACATCAATTGCAATATACATTGGCAAATAGTAAAATGTCATTTTCCAAAATAGTAGCTTCTTTATTATATGCCCCATCTATTATAACCAATCTTGGAAATATATCTTAAACATAATGGTGTATCATATGAAAATGTTCCACTATTCAATGTGATAAATTTAATAAGTTAGAATATGATTTTTTCCCCTCTGGTGTTAACCATGAAAAAACATAACAGCACCTAAAATACTAAAATGAAATTAGGTAAGCATTAAGTAGTAACCTATATGTTTTGGTTCAAAATACAGTTTATACAACTGTATAAAGGATACTGCCTTAAGTAATTTATTTCTACATTTTGCAGATTACAATGAAGAAAAAAAAAGACCTGCTCTAAATCCAAATAAATTTCCACTTCTCCCAATCTGGACAAAGTGGAATTTCATTCAAAGTTCACAAGACTGTGACAACTACAGTAGCTGATATACTTGGATATACCACTTCTACGCTGCCCCCACCCCCCAGAATCAATTTTTTGGCTCCAAAATAAAGTACAATAATAAACTCTTGATGAAAAACTATGTTATGGGGCAATCTATCATATACTATGGCTAAATATGAATTTACAGAAAACAGCACATCCCATTTTCAGCACTTTTTTTCAAAAACATGCAACTCACTATAAAATACAAAACACTTGGCTTTCAAGAACAGCTTTATAAAGACACACTGCATCAATAAAATTTTTTCTTTCTGATTAACTTTACACTGTTACGGAGAACTGGAATATTTCTAATGTGTATATATCAGGTTTTATATTATAGTGTAATTTGCATTTTCTGAACATAACGTTCAAGAGGAAATATCTATACACAATAACATTCTAGACTATTAAAAACTCATTCAAATTACAGAATTTTATTGATACAGTAGATTAATAAAAACTGAAAGGATGATAAAATGGGATAAAGAATTCAGTACATTATTTTATAACACACTCTTTAAAATTAAAATACTTTAAATCTTTCTTCTTAAAATTTTCATTGCCATGAAAGGCCAGAAAATTCTGGGACAAATCAATACTGAGGTGTAAAGTAATCCAAGAACTTCAGGACTATTTCACAATTTGCATGGTTGTCCTCCTATCAGAGGCATCCTTCTGGTGTAATGGCAGACAATTTAGCACCTCTGAAGATTAAGGGTGCCCAGGAGTAAACACTAGGTAAGATACACAAAGGGAAGAGACCATTTAACTCTCCAACAAATAGTGACATCAAGAAAATGACACCAATTGTTGAAAACAAATTTTTTTTCACAGTAAAATTGCAGAGAATACAAATACAAACACTGACAGATTACTGCTTAAGATCTATCCTAACAAATTCTTTTCAAATCAATAGATCCAATAAACAGTCGGGTACTGTCAGTTTAAAGCCGCAGATAAAAGCTATACAAGCACTTCAGAAATCAGAAACATTAAAAAAAAGAAAAAAGATATTTACAAGTTTCTTCTTTATGTCTACATAGCCATCGCACATTACACTTTCACAAGACTCCATAGTCAATGTTACCATGTGTATGGCTAAAGCATGTGACCACAAATGTATGGGGTCACCAAAGTAAGGTCCAACTGTCCACTCTTCAGCAGTCCCATTTTGTGCATCAAAGGCTTTATTCAGCCTCAAGCTTGACCAAAAAAAAAAAAAAAGATTTTTCCAAAGCTTTCACAGAGAAAGTTATTAATTACATTTGTTCATCGCCGTTCCCTTTTAGCACTTCGCCGCCGTACCTTAAAAGGAAAGTCACCAGATGCTTAATTAAAATGGGTATATGTGCATAAGATATGCAGTAATCATTTTTAACTAATCTTTATTCTCATTTGTTCCTGATTTTCTTTGCTTTCCTTTCCCTGAAACTTTTTATCCTTACTTTCTGCCCTGGCATCACATATTTAGACCTCTATAACATTTGATCCCTTACAGGCTCACAGACTTCCCCAGAACAGTGAAAGAAAAAAATTATTTTACTTTTCTATCTAATAATTTTAAAGAGAAATGAACAGAAGTCAATGTCTACAGCAAGAAAAATAACTCAAACAGATTAATCATCTTTCTACTTATGTTTCCTGTGGTAAATGAAAACATTTCACATTTATGAACTTACATTATCTTTCTGGGAAAGCAGTTACTGAGTTTGGATCTTAACAATTATCAATACAGTAAAATAACCTAAAATTCAAACATATTATCATTTGCTGACAAGCACTAATGAAAGCATAAAACTTTAGTTCAAAAAATGTCAATATTAACAATAGGAATATAAAAGAGGGTTTTAATTTACATGTAGTTTTTCTCTGATGAAGACATCAATCGTTACTGACTCTTCAGACTTACTTTGATGTCCTCCCCAAAACCCTTTAAGAAACAAGCCAAACTAATTTGAGGTCACAATTATGCATATTTTCCTGTGTACTTAACTCGCTTATTCACAAATATGAATCCTGGTACAGATAGGAGTTCTGATTCCATTAAACAGGACAGAACAGCAGAGACCAATTCTGAGACTTGATTATAGAGCTTGGGTTTCTCAAACAAAGATAGGAGAAGAGCTTCTACTTAAATGTATTATGTTTTTTCCTAAGAGAAATATCTGAGTTGTATTAACTGGTAAAGTTATTTATTTATTACTTTAAAAGTCAAGAAGGGCCGGGTGCAGTGGCTGATGCCTGTAATCCCACCACTTTGGAGGCCAAAGCAGGCAGATCACTTGAGGTCAAGAGTTCGAGACCAGCCTGACCAACATGGTAAAACCCTGTCTGCACTAAAAATACAAAAACTAGTCGGGCACAGTGGCATTGGCCTGTAATCTCAGCTACTTGGGAAGCTGAGGCAGGAGAATTGCTTGAATCTGGGAGGCAGAGGTTGCACTGAGCCCAGATCGTGCGCCACTATACTCCAGCCTGGGTGACAGAGTGAGACTCTGTCTCAAAAACAAAAAAGTCAGGAAGTAACACATACCTACTTTTGCAAAATAAGTATGTATTACCAATTTTATGAATTCTCATTCAGCTCAAACTTCAATTCCAAAGGCTGATTTTATTCTGTGTAACTAACTTCTAATTTCTATTATGAAACCCAAATAGAAATACCAAACGGAGAGTTGTAAAATATAAACAACAGTATACTTAATGGGTATCAGTGCCCTAAAATCAAGGTACAACTTACATGCTTAAAGTGTCAATATTAGAATGCTGTACATTCAGTTCAGACTTGACATTTACATTCTCATTAAGCTACACCTATTTGCTTAGTTTCGGGTTTCCATAAAAGATGTTCTCCATTATCCAACCTGGTAGATAAAATGATGCTATGAACTAATGAAGTAAAACATATAAATACTAAACAAGTACTAAATGATCTAACCAAACATTTACTAACTCTTTTTATATCCCACACCACTCACAGAAACTTTGAACACATACATTTACTGTAGAAACTTCCTCCTCCTCTGTTTCTTCCTGTGGAATATCATCGACAGGAGAGCTACCCTGAAACACATCTACTTCTTCACTTGAATCATTTTCCTTAGTAGCTGCTTGTTTGGAGCGTCCTACACGGCTAGAGTAAAACACATGTAAAACACAATGAACGTTCCAATCTTTCAGTAGATTACCTCGTTAGAAGAAATGTTTCACGTATTTCATCGTCATATCATCTTTACCCTCAGTTACTTTATGAGACAAGAACATTTCTTTAATATTCTGAATCCTAAACCAGCATTTAATCATAGAATGTTACATATTATCTACCAAGTAACAACAAAAAAATGTGACTGAGAACATACCATAACCTAAAGTCTGCTCTTCCTTTCATCTTTCCTAACACAGTAAAAGGCATCTATGTCTACTGAGCTGCTCAAAGCAGAAAGGAATTCTGCTTTGAATATAGTGTACCTGTCTTTGTCTGGCCTTATAGATTCTTATGGAGATCTCAAATCCATTCACTTCTCTCCACATCTCCATTGCTACCACCTAATTCAAACCATTCCCATCTCTTGCCTCTTCTCTTTACAAAGTTATCTTTTAAAAGTACAAGAACAGATGATGTTACTGCTCCCTACTGAGCTGAGAATAATTTTGTAAACCTCCTTAACAAAGTATACAAGGAACAGTAGATGGTCCTTGCCTACCTGTCCACTCTCATCTCTTTCTGCTCCCCAACTCCCCACAACTACAATCCAACAAACCCTTGCCTTCCTTTAGCTTTCTGATTTTGCCAAGTTATTTTTCACTTCAGAAACTTCAAATATAGTGTTCATGCCACCTGTTCTCTGCCTGTCTAGCCCCTACTATTCTCAAGATATCAACTCATTGTTACTTTTAAAGAAAAAACTTCCTCACTCCATTAGATGGTGGAAAACAAGAACCACGAGCCCATGAAAACAAGTACCACGTCTGTTTTGTGTCCCTAGCACCTAGTACTCTCTGAAACACAGGAGGCATCAAAAAATATGTAATAGAACCATCTAATCAAATGGATCCCTCTTGATAAATCTTTATTTTTTAAAATTAGAAACATAACATCACTTCTATAAGCAATCCAAAATATGTATTTTTTTAACTCACGCTCGAACCAAACAATTTTTTTACTTGGTTTGGTTTTTCGAGATTAATGAAACTATAGAAATAACATGAAACATAATGACAATCTTTTTCAATTTCACTGAGGTCAGAACAAGAAAAAGAAACAAATCCTAACATATGTTAGTATACTAGCTCTAGAAAGAGCTTCCCAGTGAAAGGAAGATAGGCTTCCAAGACAGACTACAGAATCTTCTTCCATATCAATTTTTTTTTTTTTTTAAGAAATACTTGTTTGGTTTAGAACATTCATAGGACTTGTGTAATTTTAGGAGAGCACAATAATCATTTAAACCCTGAATTTTATGATGTCCAAATATAAACAAACTAAAATTATGAGGTTTGTTATTTCCTTGTTACATCATTCATGTGTATTTTATTAAATAAAGGATTCCTTAAGAATCCTTTGTTTAGAAATAGTGATTTGGTTGAATCCAAACACATTTATAAAGCTGCCACAAAAATGTACTTACCTTTACTTTTAACCTGATAGAAAAATTACATGGAAGATGGCATGAAGTACTGGCTAGACACCCAGGCAACTTTTCCTCTTCCTGTGGAATACACAGGAATAGGAAAATCTCTAAGATAATTGAGTATTTAATGACAGTACATTGGCAACTCTGAAAAGTCGAGCCATGATGTAATTATGTATGGGTGGGATTACTCTCAGAAAAAGTGTTAAATTTCTGACTAATAGAAGACATGCTACTCTATTTCCACTCACATAACTAAGGAGAAAAAACACTGTCAGATCTGCAAATTACAGCAGTGATACTCTGGTGACACTAAAATTTGAGGTACAGATTCTTACTGTACCTCTCTTATAAATGTGTTTGTGTGAACATCTAAAACTATATACATGTTGATGTAGATAAATGAACTGGGTTAGAAAACAAACAAAATCAAGATATCAAACACTTGAGACCAACATGTGTTAATTTCTATGGATATAATTTTTAAAAAATGGTACCTGTTACTTTCCTACTACAAGTTCAAAGAATAAAAGCAGAAGCATAAGACCTATTTTCCTTTTTTTAAAGGAAAAGGTGCTAATGAGAAACATTTAAAAAAAAAATTGTAGTGTGGAATGACAAGGCAACCTGGTCAATGTGTGGTGATTATTTAAAAATACCTTATGATTTCTTTAGATATCATAAAGTCTGTATAGGAAATAATATACTATTTGGTATTCATTTATGAAGATTTGCCTGCACCTGTAAAAATGTACAAGATAGTTTATTGAGATATCAATCACTAAGGTAAGTTTATAAAAATTTTATCTTACCTAGTGTAATGGGGCTAAATATATGGAATTTAAATACAGCAATATGTATGTTTACAAATTTAGGAACTTTTGCAAAATAATTTGAAATTGGTTTGAAATGTAATATTTACAACTTACACATTTTTTTTTGGTTGTGATGGTGATGGCGTTTTTGATGGTCTTCCTCGTCCTTTCTGTGGTGTGGACTGTGTGGATTCAATTGCACTAGATTCAGGAGATTCTGCTCTGCTTTGGGGAAGACCCAAATGTGGATAGCATCAAATTATGATTTATAATATAGTAACGAAACAGATGCAGTTTAGAGTTACACATGCTTACCTCTGCTGTGCTCTCCTTGACACTCGGTGCTGTTTGCTTTTGGACTTCTGTTCCGTATTTCCACTTTGTCTTTCTTCTTCTTCCTCCTCCTCTGGTGCTGGAGGTCCAGATTTTTTTTTGCTTCCTTTTTTAGAAGTTTTCATTGTTGGCTCTTCTTTTGGTGTACCTCCACCAAGAGGTTTTGGTGGTCGGCCTCTTTTACCCTTTTTTGGCGGACTATTCTGTTCATCTTCATTTTCTAATATATCTTCTTTGAGCCTCTTTTCCTCAGGCCACTGCTGTTCATCAGATTCTGAAGCCGTATGGCCTCTTTTCCGACTTCGCTGACTGCCTTTAGGTTTCTGTTCCTGTACCAACTTAGTCAAGTCATCCATACCTAATTTCTCCTCCTGTTCTGTGACGGGCGTTTTTTTCCTGCCTCTAGGCTTCTCCAATTCAGACTAGGGGAAAAAAAAAATCACAATTTATGGTTATGAAATTGTGAGTATACATATTTTGAGGAATGAAACAAAAAAATCTGTTATCTAATGTTGTCCTAGATATGTACCTAAAATATACAGCTCTTAAATACACCAGAACTGTATTTATTTGCTTTTATTATAGTTTTTAATTTTAAAAACTTATCTGGGATAAAAGGGTACATTTGCACTCTTACTTTTCAGCTAGAGTGTCTTAAAAGGAAACCTCTCAAGATCAGTATCTTACTAAATTATAAATTTTAGTGAAGAGCTATCTCATTAAAAAGAGCATTATAAATTCAGTGCTTGGTCCTAAATGACAACTATACTAAAGTATCTGTTTGGATAGTCAATTTAAGTAATTCTAATTTTACCACATAGTGCGTAAGACATAAAATATTAACTATATGACATGCTTACAACATCATAAAAGAACTATTATTTTACAAATGGAGGTTGCAAGATACAAAAGGTAAACATATTCATCATTTATTATAAATTTTGGAAACACTTCTGAATTAGAAATACTGCTTCTTTCTAGGTATAACTAACTGATTAACAACAGAAACAACAAAAAACCAGTGGCTTTCACATTTAAAATAAAATCCTAGTCTATATTCAGAGAATCTATATGTGAACCAGCGTGAAGGCTGAAGAAATTCTCCAAAGACCCAAGAATAAATTGTATGTATGAACACTTATAATACAAAGTTAATTTCCAAAAGTCTGCGCAATTTATATTTTCAAAAATCACTGAAAACAACAAAAACTATCGAATTATCTGTAACTTTTTCTAACTTTAAATTGAGCTTCCTGTATGTGAACTGCCTAATTACATCCTTCGTATTGTGTCCTTTGTCAACTTTGACTACTGCGGTGTTAGTGGGTTTTCTCTATATTCCTCTATGCTTTTGTGTATGCCTCTATGCTTATTTTTAAGTGTTATTTCTTTATTATTAATATTATCTTTTATTATTTTTGAGATGGAGTCTCACTCTGTCACCCAGGCTGGAGTGCAGTGGCACCATCTCTGCTCACTGCAAGCTCCGCCTCCCAGGTTCACGCCATTCTCCTGTCTCAGCCTTCTCCCGAGTAGCTGGGACTACAGGTGTCTGCAACCACGCCTGGCTAATTTTTTTTTTTTTTTTTTTTTTTGTATTTTTTTAGTAGAGACGGGGTTTCACCGTGTTAGCCAGGATGGTCTCAATCTCCTGACCTTGTGATCCGCCCGCCTCGGCCTCCCAAAGTGCTGGGATTACAGGCATGAGCCACTGCACCCAGCTTTTTTTTTTTTTCTTTTTTTTTTTTTTGAGACAGAGTCTCGCTCTGTCACCCAGGCTGGAGTGCAGTGGGTCAATCTTGGCTCACTGCAACCTCTGCCTCCCGGGTTCAAGCGATTCTCTTGCCTCAGCCTCCCGAGTAGCTGGGACTAGAGGCATGTGCCACCATGCGTGGCTAATTTTTGTATTTTTAGCAGAGATGGGGTTTTGCCGTGTTGGCCAGGCTGGTTTCAAACTCCTAAACTCAGGTGATCCGCCTGCCTCGGCCTCCCAAAGTGCTGGGATTACAGGTGTCATTGCACCTGTCCTTTAAGTGTTATTTCTTACTTGCTTTGGACTGAATTGTGGCCCCCACCACCAAAGAAAAAAATTGTATGTTCAAGCTCTAATCCCAATGTGACAGTATTTGGAGATGGGGCCTTTGGGAGGTATTTCGTTGAGATGAGGTCATGAGGTGGCACCCTCATGATGAGATTAGTGTCCTTATAAGAGGAAACATCAGTGAGCTTGGGTGCCTTTCTTCTTCCTCCCACCCCACACCTCTCATGTGAGGACACAGGAGAAGGTGGCATCTGTAACCCAGGAAGACAGCCCTCATCAGGAACCAAATCTGCTGGCACCTTGATCTTGTACTTCCAGCCTCCAGAACTGTAAGAAAATATAGTTCTGTTGTTTAAGCTACCCAGTCTGTGGTATTTGGTATTTTATAATGGCAGCTTGAGCTGACTAAGACATTATTGTGTATTGTTTTAGAACAGAATGTGAGATGAGATTCTAAACTGGATTTTCCACTCCCAAAGACACATCCAACCATTTCAGAATCAATGATTTGTAGTGCTTCCTTTATTTTATATGTTTTGAACAAGAATAATATTTCTGGGCTATCATAACAGAAGCACAATATTTTACTAAGTATAATTATGTATCTGGTAGGGCTGAACCTACCTTTATTTCTCCTCCTTTTATATTTATTTATTCCTCCACATAGACTTGAAACAAAACCATGCTGGAATTTTGCAATTATATATTCAGTTGAAAAAAACTTTCATCCTTTTTTATTCCTTTCTCCTATACAAGAACATGGCCTGTCTTCTCTCTCTTCAAGTCTTCCAGTTTTGAGATTTTCTACATATAGGTCCTCCCTATCTCAGTTTTGAGATTTTCTACATATAGGTACTCCCTATTTCTTTTAAAGGTTATATTTAAATCTATGAATCTGTCAATCAGTCAATCTATGTTTGTTGTTGCACTGGTTCTTGTGATGAAGAAAATAATCCCTTTTCCCCTAAATGTACATCTGATACAAACCAAAATTATCAGAGTAATGTTAGTTACAAACATAAATATATACATAGGTAGGGATAGATTTTCAATTGCTTCTTTTATTTTTCTAAGATTACAAAAATAACAATTGGTCAAACATTCTAGAGCAATTTTTAAAAACAGTGGTGACAGCAGGTTGCTTGTTTTGTTCCTGATTTTTAAAAAGAATGCTTCAAGTATTTTGCCTTTAGGAAGAATGGCATTGACTACTGATTTAAAATAGACAAAACTTTTAGCACATTAAAGATGTATCCTTCTGGTACTAGTTTACTAAAAGTTCCTATTTGTCAAGAACGGATCTTAAGTTTTATTTATGTCCTCTTGGCATGATCTGAAATTATTTTGTTTTTGGTTTTCCCTTTGGTTTATTTAATATACTATCATAGTAAAAGATTTGGTAACATTAAGCTATCCTTACATTCTAAGGAGAGGGGAAGATCTATACATGACTGGATTTAGTTTGTTTTATTTATTTAGAGTTTTGTGCACAAATTAAAAATTAACTGTTTTTACTCAAAGATAAGAAGGTAAAAGAAATGTTAAATTAGAACTAAATTTAAAATGTCACTTCTTATTTTAATTACTATAATTCTTTTTGATGTCCAAAGATCTAAAAAGGTAGATGATTTCCTTTAAGCTCTGGAAAAGGTTGGTGGTAAAAAGAAAACCCAATGTCTACTTTCTTGAGAATACTAATCTAGTTTCCTAAAGCACCACTACTTATTTCTTTTTCATTTTGCATTGCACTGTTTTAAGAACAGAGGGAGTATAAAACCGAGGTTAGAAGCAAAAGACAGGAAAATATTTTATTTATAAAGCTAAATATTTAAATACAAACGTATATGGAAAATAATTCCTTTGCTGTGAAATTTCAATGAGAAGCTGGTAACAAGCAAATGAGACCGTGCTCTTTCATTATAATCTACTGGTCTTTAAATTCAACTTGTGTCTCATAATACTCATCTCTCTGAGGGCACTTCAGTCAAAACTAGCTTATTAATAAGATTCTTCTAGCACCTCTAAAACTGGACCTAACGTTACACATTATCCATGCCACAACAAATAGCAAAAGGCCTCCATTACAATCATACTAATAGGTCTCAAGAGCTCAAAAATTCAAAACAGTTCTATGAAAAATAGAGTAGACTTTGTTCTGTACTATCCCAAAAGGTAAAAGCAGATGCAAAATTTATAGGATAACAGAATATTAAGAATTAATAAAAACCATGTTTCCCAACTTTTGGGGGATGGGAACACCAAGGTATAAGTGTAGTACACTATAGGTGTGGGTATGAGTGACCTAGTTGACTTTTCCAACAAATGAAATACATCATGAGCTCTCTGCTTAAAGCATTTTCAACGTGGTGACCAGCTCTCATTAATAATAAAGGAATTTCTGCAGTAAGTGAGAACTAAGAAGACATAATACCTTTTCCAATTCAAGGATTTTCTTCTGTAAATCCAGATAACAAGATTGTTTCCAAGCTAAGTGATCAATTCTTAATTTTGCTCATGTGAAAATTTTAAACAGCCAATAAACATCGTAACTTACAGTATACATAGTTAGAATTCAATAAAATTTTAGAATAATTCTTTCACAGCGGGCAGTATGGCTCAAGCCTGTAATCCCAGCACTTTGGGAGGCCAAGGCAGGCAGATCACCTGACATCAGGCGTTTGAGACCAGCCTGGCCAACATGGTGAAACCCCGCCTTTAAAAAATACAAAAATTGGCTACGCATGCTGGCACATGCCTGTGGTCCCAGTTACCCAGGAGGGTGATGCAAGAGAATCACCTGAACCCGGGAAGCGGAGGTTGCAGTGAGCCCAGATCGTGCCACTGCACTCCAGCCTGGGCGACAAAGTGAGACTGTGTCTCAAAAAACAAAACAAAACAAAACAAAAAAGAATAATTCTTTCTAAATGGAAATAAACACTCTGCCAAAATAAGTTATTGGAGAAACATGAAAATAAACTTCTTGGCATGTGTAATGCTGGACTCGTGGAAGATGGGCAGTAATATTTTAGAGAAAGTAAAAGTAATTATTTCTTGGTTAACCTCTCACCTCTCTTAATCACGTAGATTCGAACATTTTAACTTTTATTATTATGATAACCATAATCAAAAGTCGTAACAATGAAACAGCAGCAGCAATTCATTTTGGCTAAGTCACTTACTCTGATAAAGCTTACCAGCTAAGTATCCATAATTTACATACAGATAAGAAAATTGATTCTGATAGCCTAATTAGTTATTAAGGAAATGATCTGAAGCTGAACTGTAAAGTCAAAACAAACCCAGTTAAGTCCATTGAGTTGTGTTAGAAGACATAACTGTATTTTGTGTCTATGCTAAAACTTAACAAATTTGTCTTAAAACAACACAAACTGTCTATCATACAAGTTATCATTTTATCATTTCTATTAAGATTTAAAAACTGAACAAGGACTTGACGAGAACTATAGCATTTTCTACCTTTAACAGCAGCTTATTTAGTAAAAGGCTCAAGAAATAAATTAAATGAAAGAAGTTTTAAGGGTCCTCATTCCATTCCCCTTCTCTAAGGCTAAGTCTAAATATCCTATGTTAACAAAAACAACAACAACAACAAAACCACAAGCAAATGAGGAAAACAATACAAAAACCAAGCAGTTGAGTATGCAACTGGCAAGTCTAATACCAAAAATCTGAACAATTGAGATTACTTATCACATTGATAAGAAGCACAGATTCTATATACTTAAATTACATAGAGGATAATTATAAACTCAGGTTTGTGGTTAAAACCACTAAAATAAAATAAAATAAAATGTAAATTTGATAGTCATGTTAACTGGTTTCAGTGTAAACATTACTAAGTAAAATTATCATTAATATTATTATAAAATCAATGCAAATATCTCACCCTTACAAGATCAGAGTCGTCTCTCTTGTCACTTTTTTTCCCCGGCAAAGGTGAAGACATTGTGTAATCTTCATTTTCACTGTGATCCATTTCAGAACTATCAAGCCTTTTAATACAGACATTTGTAATTGTTATTACAATCAAATAACCTTACAAGCTTTTTCTGTTCCTAGTGTAGCTTTACAGATTTATGGAAAAAATTTCGTTCTTTTCAAAAATGAATCAGTTTCATTCTACCATATTTGGTACCAACTCAACAAGCAATGAAGCTCATTTAATTTAATATAGTGAGAAAATTTTAAAAATCAAAAATTTAAATCTAATATTTTTCTAAGTCTTTTTAAAACCTAAATTCTATTTTGGGGTCAGATCATAGAACCAATTAAAACTTTTCTCGTTGGCAGTTTAGCTTGGTCTACACTGCAACCTGCCCTGGTTCCTTACCCTATTCTATTTTTTCTTCTCTCTGTAGCATTTAACACCCTCTAACACACTATAATTATTACATTTATTACGTACTGACTGCCTTCCCGTTAGAATATAAGCATGAATCTTGTGTCAATCAATTTTACTTACCAATGTATGCCAAGCACTTAAATCAGTGCCAGGCATAGAGTTGGCATTCATATAAAGGTCCAGGCCTCTGTCCTGGGTGGTCTCACCTTTATCTAGTTTTTAAAACTATTTATATGTTGTTGAACTCTAAATCTCAATCTCTGGTCCAGCTACGCTGAGTTCTAAACTCACATATCCAATTGTCTACTCAACACTTCACTTGAAATTCTAATAGGCACCTGATCTTTAATGTAGCCAAAACAGTTATTTGAACACTCTTCTTATTTCCACTTCCCCAAAACACATACATACAAACAGAGCCTGTTCTTCCTCAAGGCTTCTGTATCTCAGTAAACGGTACCACCATCTCTCCAGTTATTCAGGTAAAAAGCCCAGGATACACCCTTAAATCGTCCCTTTCCCTAACTGTTCACATCTAATCCATTAGAAAGATCATCTGATCTATCTAACATCAAAATAAATCTGAGGGTGGTCGAAAGGCAGTGAGTTATTCTCAACTGATTGCTCATGGTTAGTTAGACATCAAACTCCTTGTTTTAACTCACTCCTCCCTTCTCACTACTGCATTTCACTACTCTTAAAAAAAAAATCTGAAATTTGACTATTTACCATCTTCTTCCCTCTTCATCCCTGCCATAGATTATGATTCGCTGACTCCTAATTGCTTTTTCTACCTCAATTCTAGCTCCTCTATAGTACATTCTGCACAAATCATCAGGGCAATTTTTTTTAAAAACCACAAATGAGATTGCTAGACTCCCTGGCAAATCTTTCAGTTGCACTTAAAATCAAATCCAAACTCCTTACCATGGTTTACGAAGTCCAAACATAATCAGACTACCTCTCAACTTCCTCTCATAATTTTTCCCTCATTCCTACTCTCCAACCAAACAGGTTTCTCAAATATACCTACTTCATTCCCCTGCAAACAGTCCCACTAAACAGACGGAATTTGGAAGAAAAAAATAACAAAACAGATTGGTCAAACATTGAAAGAAAGTTTAAAGAAAACTATATTGAAAAAGTATAAATTAGGATACTTTTGTGTTGAATAACAAATGGATGATAAGGAGAGGGTGAAATTATACTTGTCTTGAAAGCAAACAAGGGAAGCCAATTAAGATCTCTGAGCAATGAAATAACATCACGACAGTAGTATTTTTAAAGGATTATCTAGCAGTGATACAATATACACAATTGAGAGGAATAAGGAAGTAAACTAGTCAAATACGACAATAATTAAAGAAAGAAAATGAACTAAATGATGACAGTAAAAAGAGAAGTACAAAACATTGCACAGAAAAAAAGTTAGCAAAACTTAGCAACTGAAAAAATATAGAGGGGGGAAGAGTCAAACACAATTTCGAGGCTTTCTGCCTGGGTGAATTAGATCATCTTTGATTATAATAAGGAATTCAAGGAGAAAAACCAGTAATTTAGAAAATGAGTTGATGGAAATGTTTCTGGTCATGTTAAATATGAGACCATTTGATAGAAAATGTCCAACTGATATAACTAAAGGGTCACTTTGGTATTAGCCACTAACATGCATTAATACAGGAATCTAGAACAAACAAAAGCTATAAATGCAATTTCTTTTATTTCTATCATACTATATATCATTCAACAATTTATTCATTATAAGAAATTTGGTAAGATTTCATAGAATGTCACCTACCTTCTTTACTGATTGGTTATCAACAATGAAAAAGACAGTACAGTCTTTTAATAATAACTTGGCAAAAATCAATAAATAGTGGCAGTTTAGCCCTATACAATGCTCTGTGCTAACAAATCGTGCCCTAAGCACTTATGCTAAAACCAGTGAAAGGATGAATTAATTTTCCTTTTGTTTTTCTCAAAGAATCATTTTAAAAACTCTTCTTTAATGAGCAAAGGACATGAACAGACACTCCTCAAAAGAAGACAAATGGCCAACCATTAAAAAATGCTCATCATCGCTAATCATCAGAGAAATGCAAATCAAAACTACAACGAGATACCGTCTCACATCAGTCAGAATGGCTATTACTAAAAAGTCAAAAAACAACAGATGCTGGTGAGGCTGCAGAGAAAACAGAACGCTTATATGTTGTTGGTGGGAATGTGAATTAGTTCAGCCACTATGGAAAACAGTTTGGAGATTTCTCAAAGAACCTAAAACAGAACTACCATTTGATCCAGCAATCCCACTACTGGTTATATACCCAAATGCAAATAGATCATTACACCAAAAAGTCACATGCACTCATCTGTTTAATGCAGCACTATTCACAATATCAAAGATATGGAATCAACCTAGGTACCCATCAATAATGGACTGGATTAAAAAAATGAAGTTCATATATACCATGGAATACTACGCAGCCATAAAAAAGGATGAAATCATGTACTTCACAGCAAGAAGGCCACAGTCCTGAGCAAATTAACACAGGAACAGCAAACCAAATACTGCATGTTCTCACTTATAAATGGGAGGGAACATCAAACACACATGGGTATACACATGGAAACAACAGACAATGCGGACTACTGGGGGAGCTGGAGAAAGGAGGATGTGGGCTGTAAAACGACCTATTGGGTACTATACTCACTATCTGGATGCAATATACCCATGTAACAAACCTGCACATGTACCCTCTGTATCTAAAATAAAAGTTGAATTTAAAAAAAACAAAAAAGCAAAAACACACTTTTAAAAAAACGAAGTTTATATATGTACGTGGTACTATACAAATAAATTCAAATGATACCAAAAAGTATAAAATAACCTCCCTTTCTATACTAGGTTAACATAAATACTGTTAAGATTTTGCATATTCTTCAAAAAAACTTTCTATGCATATAAAAACAAATGTGAACATTAATCTGTTTTCAAAACTTAAAGATTCCATAATGCTGCTTTATATACTTTGCCTTTTTCACTCAATAATGTATTGTGGAAACTCTTCCATACTAACTCAGACCTCATCATGTTTAATGACTATGTATTCCATTGTATCATACACCATAATACAACAGTTTTACAATTGCTACACACTGAGGTTGGAAACTAGTTTATGTGTACTAACACAGATTACCCCCAACAAGCTAAAGAATGAAAGACTAAGACAGAGCACCCATCCAAAATGAGCAAGCAAATAAGTATGAACTTGTGACTACCAATGTTAAATGGAAAAATTAAGTAATACATTACTTTCCATTTACTGACATGAAACATTTTGGATTATATTATTTCAGATCTCATAGCCTTGCTGGAATCCTTAAATGTAAATTGTGGCATTTCTTTTGCACTTACCTCCCCTTTATTCTTCCAGGAGAGCTTGGATTTGAGCTGCTGCTTGCATTGCTTACAGTTTCCATTCGTGATGATTTGGTCTGAGATTGCTTGCCTGCTGATGAAAGTGGCTTGTTAACAGCTCCTAGAACATTGGTTGTTTTAGGCTGAAATGAGAAATGCACATCTCTTTTTATTTGGTTAAAGCCAAAAGAAAGTTACGTGTAAAGAACCATAAATAACATCTCTCTCAAAGTATTTACTTACAAATCATGAAAAATGTGTCTATCCTTAAGCAAAGTAATAAGTATAAACTAAATATCACTTGAACAAATTAAAAACTATACAGACAGCATAACAGTTGAATTTCTTAGTTATCTGGAGAAAACGGCTTACATAAAAAGTGAGAACAAATGAAATGAATAATCAACAATGAAAATAGATAATTAGACTCTTGCCATGGAAAGACATAAGAATATGCTTTTTTGGCCGGGTGCAGTGGCTCACGCCTGTAATCCCAGCACTTTGGGAGGCCAAGGCGGGTGTATCACGAGGTCAGGAGATCGAGACCATCCTGGCTAACACAGTGAAACCCCGTCTCTACTAAAAATACAAAAAATTAGCCAGGCGTGGTGGCAGGCACCTGTAGTCCCAGCTACTCAGGAGGCTGAGGCAGGAGAATGACTTGAACCCAGGAGGCGGAGCTTGCAGTGAGCCGAGATGCGCCACTGCACTCCAGCCTGGGCAACAGAGACTCCGTCTCAAAAAAAAAAGCCTTTTAAGATTTTTTTTATCTTGATATTAACCTAAGAAGTCTAAGAATCAGGTCTCCTAGGACTTTATTACAAGCTAAAAAGTAATTTGTGTATTTCAGCTTGTGTATATCTAGTAAATATAATTATTTCTTACTAGTAAATGTAAGATCGTTAATTCTTATATTTTCCAGCTTGAAAATATAAATTTTTGAAGAAATACAAAATAACACAATTTTGCCAATAATCACTCTAAAATAAGCTACCACATAAAAATTAAAATGATTCTCAAAACATACTTTTCCAGGAGTGAAAAATGATTTCATTTCAGGAGGCAGATAATTTTTGGTGTTACTGAAATTCTACAACCAAGAGAAAAAGAAGTAGTCAGTGAATATTAAAACACTATCTACAGGTGGTTCAAAAGCCAACAAAGCAAACAGCAGTTTTTTTATTTAAACTAAATTATCATATGAAACACAAAATTTCAGTCACTGATTTTAACTACTGTAATAAGGTTAAACCAACCTCATGCCAACTCTAATATTAACAAAACATATTTGAGCTCTAACATGTTAGAGCTCTAAGAGTGCATCAGAAAACACATGCTTCTTTAATAACACCCTTCAGGGGAAAGACCACATGTACATATTCCTATTACTCTGCTCACACCAACGTGACAGCCCTTTTAGCTACTGAGCAATCCTACAGGCCTGTTCCAAATCTCTATACACTGGTAAGGTCTTAACTGGCATTTTGCTTTAAAAGCAAAAAGAGGATAGTGGTTATTTCCAGACTCTGTTACTCAATATGTTCAGCTAAATTACGAGGAATTAAATAAATAAATTATAAAGGAGTAAGAGGGACTGTGGGAAACACTTTTTACATCTTATATCACACTCGAGTTTTTGGAGCATGGTTTGGTAACACTCTTGTAGTATTCCCAGGGTCTTAGGCATGTTCTAGTGTCTGTTCTCTGCTTGTTTCCTCATACCAATTATAAATCCCAATAAAGGGCTTTTAACTTCAGACTGTATCTCTATCAGCACTCTCCTTCCCATTTTGAACAATGGCCATTAATTCACAGATTCACATGCTTTGATCACATTTCTACCTGCGCTCTAAGACTGTCTTAAAACTGAACATAAACACCAGATCATCCTAATATCTGAACCTTATGTGTGTCCTCCAGTTTGACTCATATTCTGGTTCTGATCTTAAATCACATTCTTAAGACTCACAGCAATTTTTCCATGATCCTTCCTGATCTTCCTACAATCCAGTGCTGAGAATACATTTTATTTCAACTTACACAAACAAATTGTAAAGTAACTACCTTGTCAGGTTGAGTGAAGAAACGAGCTGGTAGTACCGGGTCTTTAGGAGATTCCAAACTGTATGTAGTACTCTTTGACATGATGATATTCATGGCAACATCACACACAGTGTACAGTTTCTGCAATAGTATATTTTTAAAAACACAGATACTTAAGCTGGCAATCTAGACTCTGTAAACTAGGAATAATTTCAGAACATGAATCCAGTCTGAATAGCAAACTAATGAAAGCAACAGTCTGTGTAAGCATCTTAGCTTACACTACTGGTTTTGCTCATTTACTTGTAATAAAATTACTGCTAATTCTACGTAATTCTAATTACTAATAGAAAAAATTATTTGATGCTATCTATAAATACTACAGAAGTTTCATACTTTACACCTAAATTTTTAAATCAATATGGAACCATAATTATTTACAAAGAATTACATACTTCATTCATTTTTGCATCATCTGGTCCTTGGGCATCTTTTGTTTGTTTAATATTTTCTACCATCTTTCTGATAAAAGCGTGACTGTTATTTTCATTTTTAGCCATTAATATTTCCAGAACAAACCAAAGACATCTAAAAAAAAAAAAAAGGAAAAAAGAAATATAGAAGAAAATCATCCTTTGTTAAATATAGATACAATAATTCTAAATATAAATATAACAAACCTAGATAATATAACTCCAGGAAGAAAAAAAAAAAAGAAACAGTTACAAACCAGCAGGGAAAAAGAATATGTCATACAAACATATAAAAACAGGTCAACAATGCAGATATGAGCTTATAAGATCCCTTCTTAAAATCTCACCAGATTTCCAAGGAGGCGGGTTAAAGGGGAAACATAAATGGTAGAAAGGATGAAGTTATCTTAACCCTCAGCTATGACAGGGAGTTAAAGACTGTCAAAGGAATAGTGGGGCCACGGATCAAGTGAGGCCTCAGATACTCAAGACTGACTACAGTCCTGATGGGAACTCTTCAAGAGAATATAACTGCCTTATTAAATATGAACAGTTAAGAATATTCAATAATAGAGAGAAAAAGTCAAGATTGACAATTATAAGCATTGTCTTTGCTTAAAAAGGGAAAAATTAAAAGAAAGCTTCAGTAGCTCAGTTTTAAACTTAATTACGTAAAACTCTATTCAATACAAAATGAAAGTGTTTTGCCTATGTATTATAGAGACAGAAAGGAACAAAGTTATAGTTGATACATAGAGGAGAAAAGTAATGGGAGAAGGAGGAGAGAAATGTGAAGCAAGGTATTATTCTAGAACAGAAAAGAAATAACCTTTAGGAACTTAGGTATAGGATAAGTTCTTCTGAAGTGGCTCCCTGATAGAATGGAGATTATGCATGGCTACACTGGGGCTACTTAGAAATATAACCGTAAGTGTCTAGTAAATTCCAAAGGATGTTTTATTTATTTTTAAAAACCCAATGTTCTCAGAAAGAAGTGGCTAGAAGTTTTCAACAGTTTTAATCACTCTAACACAAAACTAATTTTGATAGAACTAATTTTTTTTTTTTTTTAATAGAGACAGAGTCTCACTCTGTTTGCCCAGGATGGAGTGCAGTGGTGTGATCTTGGCTCACTGCCAACCTCCACCACCCAGGTTCAAGCAATTCTCCTGCCTCAGCCTCCCAAGTAGCTGGGACTACAAGCACGCACCACCACATCTGGCTAATTTTGTTGTACTTTTAGTAGAGACGGGGTTTTGCCATGTTGCCCAGGCTGTTCTGGAACTCCTGACCTCAGGTGAGCCACCCGCCTCAGCCTCCCAAAGTGCTGAGATTACAGGCATGAGCCACCAGGCCTGGCCGAACTAATTTCTTATTTTTTAAAAAAGGAAACTGCAGTGGGAAAAAAAGGGCATTTTTTCCTTTGCCATGAGAATTCATCATTAATTTGATTTTATTCTCCTGAGGCTTCTCAAATTATTTAACTATAAAATACTTCTAAAAATTAAGACATTAAGAAACATTTTAATATAATAGGAAACTAAAGGCATCATAAATTAGTTGATTAAAAATCCCAATGGTAATCTTTTATTGTAACTGAACAAGGACCAGGGTCTCGAGCTTATTTAAAGAATTATGCTGGTCTTAAAGATTTCTCTAAATATCACTATATTCCTATTCCCCACCCAGGCATGTACAGTGTTTTCAGTCTTTAAGCAATAATCTTTGAAAGAATTACAAATATTTTAAACTCTAGTTAGAGAATCACCAATTAAGTAATAAGTAGGAGTAGTTCCCCAGTTACGAATTTGGCCCATTGTTAAAATTAGACCATTCTCCTTCTACAGAGGAAGATAGTTATTGCAAAGAAAAATGTGCTTACTACATGAGTAAAAGCAAGATGATTAATTGACCTCACATGAAAATCTACACAGTTTCAGAAGGAAGAAGGAAAAGATAAGAAATGGAATGGAAATTTTAATGAATTACTTCAATAGAAAAGGAACACCAGACTGGTACAGAAACATAACTATAATAATTATGATTAAGTTTTGGGAAACTACATTAAAAATGTAATATAAAGAGATGGTATGAAAAAAGAAAGACAAGAGAGCAAATAAAGAACCTTAAACACCTAAGAAATGAAATACATCAATAAACTAATTATAATTGAGATCCAATTATCAGCATTAAGGAGAAAAAATAACTTTCAGAAAATATGAAAATGGGATGGAAAAAGTCTTACTCTTTAACATCTTTAAGTTGTTCAATATCCTGTACTTTGACATAATCTGGGTCATGTGCCAAAAGGTGAATTGTATATGGAACAACATACTCTGGTAGAAGAGACAATAATTTTTCTGAAAAAGAAAACAAACAAACAAACAAAAAAAAACAAAAGAAAAAGCAAAAAACAAAACAAAACAAAAATATCCAGGTTAGAAAACCAAATCTTACATACTCTTTCTTTCGTACTATATTTTCTGCATCCCAACAGTTCACCACAATGACTTGAAGAAAAATATATTGAAATACCCTGTGTTGAGGTACATGATAAACAGTCTATTCATTCATCTACCATGTTCAATATTGAAATGGCCTACTAAATACACCATGGGCTGAGGCTACAAAAACAAATATTTCAGTTTTAAAATACGTAAGGAAAAAGTGACCCAAACAAACTATATTCAAGAGTGAGAGAAAAAACATCTATTTTTCCTATTAGAAATGACCCTATGTTTAACACTCTCTTGTAAGCTGCTGAGCAAAATAAGTAACATCTAGTATTTTTCAGAGTCAATATGGAACAACAAGAGGTTGATACTAATTGTAACAGAAAAACAGAATAAAGGAACAGACTTAAGAGTTTCTAGGGCATTTTAAATAAAGAAACAGCTATTTAGTTTAAATGCAATTATTTTTGTATGTTGGCTGAGATAAACATATTCTGTTAAAGAGGTCAGAATGGTAATCCTAATTGGTTTAATAAGGGGTACACATAGACTGGGACTCATATTCTGGACAATTTCCATTTATATTTCCTATTTGCCAAATAAAAATATAAATTGGATGTTTTAACCTCATGTATATGTGTCAATAAAGCATCAAATTTTCTTTATTTCTATTGCTAAATCTACAGAGAACAGTTTGTGTGTAACATCATTCATTTCAAGGCCGACGTGGAAAGAAAAAGGTAACACAGTTCAAAATCTGGTGAAATTAAAATTAAATTCTATCAAATATTTATTGACTGTTTACTATGTTCCAGGCCTATATTAGAATCTAAAAATATAAAGATGAGTAAGACTAGGTAAAGAGCTCACACTAAAGCATAATCAGAGACAGAAGCTACACTTCAATGTGAAAGGTGCACCAAAATAAGAATGGCTAACACATACTGAGCACTTCTTTGGGCCATACATTATGCCAGGCACTGTATGTAATTTTTTAAATTCTCACAACAACCACAAGCAATCAGTATAATTATATCAATTTTGCAAATAAGGAAACTAGGGCACAAATGATTAAGTAATCTGCCAAAATACGACAGGTAAACGGCAGAAGTGGGATGTGACTGCAGACCCCTCACATTTTCCAGCGTAAGGAAGGAAAAAAAAAGAAAGAGGGTCACAGTGATGTGGTAACCCCAAAACTGTATTTTAAAGCATTCAAAAGGTGTCAACCATGTTCCTTGGTTTTGTTCATTGTTTGTTTGTCTGGAAACAGGAGGCAATTTCCAGATAGAGTTGACAACAGAGAAAAAAGACTGTTACACAAATTTCAAGTAATCGAAAGTAAATGAAACACAGATTTCATAATAGGGAGCAGAAAGAAAGCTTGAAACTCAGGCTGAGAGCAAACTATAAAGGGCTATAAGGTGTTTCAACTTTATCCCACAAGCAACAGAGAATCAACAGAAATTTCAAGTAAGGGACTGATGTGATCTAATCTGTTTTAGAAGGATAATTTTGATAGCAATGTGATACAGCAGGCAGTGGGTCAGAGGCACAGGAACAATTACAACAGGGAGGCAATGTATACAACAATCCAAGTGAAAATATAGCAAGGTAGGAGAGTAGAAGATAAATGTTCAAGACATTTGGAGAAAGAATTAACAGAATTTGGTGACGGATGAGAGGAGGGAAAAAAGGTATGAATAATGCCTCTGATTTCTGAGTGAGATAACTGGATGGATTTTAATGCTGTTTGTTAAATCATGGAAGTCAAGAGGCACACCAACTAACCTCAATGGGGTAAAGTGAGCAGATGAAAAGTAGGCACGCAAACACCTGATATTAATGTCAGCTACAGGTGAGAACAAACAACAAAGATCAAAGTCTTGTACTTTTTTCCAATTAAAATAAGATAATGCTCAATCTATATAAATGTACAAATTTTACTATTCTGTTAAAAGTACCTCCAATGTCATTGTTTATTTTCCTTGGCCATTTAGTCCTTTACATAAACAGATATAGGTTGATATTTAAGTACCATGCATTTTTTAAATGACCTTCATATTAAATGAAAAGCAGTTATTGAAAAATGGTAATAAAAATTGTTAATCACAAATAATAAATAACAGTAATATCATATATCATGCTATATTCTATAAAACTGAAACTAGCAGGCTGAAAAAGTATCCTTTCCATTTTCTTATATGCTTACCACTAACAGCTGCATGCTGCTTCAGATACTCCCGCCTTACATTTATATTTTTCACCAAACATTGCCTAGCATGAGCTCTTCTCTCCTTTACAGGATCTTTTGCACAAAGGGCACAGATTGCCATATACTCAAGTGGAAGCCGTAAACGGGAAAGGCCTTTGTGAAGTTTCTGGGCAAACACTTGTCTTACTTGATAGCATTCATCCTGTAAAGACACAATTATTCCAGATATTATTCAAATGGCAGCAAAGAGTAACAACTTCAGATATAAAATTTGCTATTTTAAGTAAAGAGTAAACAGTAGCAAGTTTATCTACAATAATTGCTTCACTGCTCACAAGAGTGAGATGTTGTGACTAAAGTTCATTTTGAAGCTGCAATATTCATCTGGGCCCTAATAAGTACCAGTTAGATGTGTTAGAAAACAAACATACTTTTAAAACAGAAAAAAACTAGTAAATATAAATCTGCCCTAACTTAAATAAGATACAAAAATTAAGGCTTAAACACCATCTCATATATATCTTTTTCATTTACTGGGCAAGATAAAACTGCCCAATTTATACATTTTAGTTCTGTCACTGAAAAAAACTATTCATATTAAAATGTACAACTCTAGCTGGGCATGGTGGTACACACCTGTAGTCCCAACTACTCGGGAGGCTAAGGCAGACATAGCAAGACCCTGTCTCTTAATAAAGAAATAAAAAGCACAACTCTGAAGGTAAGGATTACTAATCCATTTCAGAAACACCAAATTATTTTGACTTCTATACTTAAACCAGGCTGATTATTACCCGTGTGCCTGCTTAACTCATACTACTCCCCTCTCCTAAACTACCCACCCCTAGTCTCCTAGCTAACTCCTACTTATCCTTAAAGATAGCTTATATATCAGACAGAACGCAGTGTGTAATCTGTATCCAGCACCCACCTCTGTGCTCTTAGCATTCTGTACTTATCTCCAGCATAGCATTTAGTATAAAGTATTAAAATGATTGGTTTAAATGTCTGTCTTACCCACCAGTACTTGTTCCTTGAAGAAAAGAATTATGTTTTTATCTCTCTAAGCCTAACAAAAAACCTGGCACATAGATGATCAGAAGTTTTTCTGAACGACACTAGCTCCCCCTTATCAGTGGAGGTAGAGGATACATTCCAAGACCCACAGTGGATGCCTGAAACTGAGGATAGTACCAAATCCTATATATATTACGCGTTTTTCTATATATAGATACCTATGATAAAGTTTAATTTATAAATTAGGCACAGCAAGAAATTAACAGTAACTAATAAGATAGAACAAGTATAACAATATACTATATAATAAATGTTATGTGAATGTGGTCTCCCTTGTTCTTAAAATATCTTACTGTGGAAAAGCAAAACCAAAGATAGGGGAGACTACTGCACAGGGAAAAGTTCAAACTTTTCTATATGACCTACAAAGACCTTCATGATTACACCTTACACTCCACCAATTAAATAAGGTATGGTGTGTTTCTTACTATTGTAACAATTTCTTCATCTAGAATGATCATTTAGTTTATCTTCCCCAAAAATCTTGGTCATAACATCTCATCCTTATCTTTAAATCCTTATTTTAAAATCTTCTTTCATTTCATTTAAATTTCAGTTTATCAAAATACCAAACATCTAGTTTTACAGAAGTAGTCTAAACTAAAGAGCTTCTGCACAGCAAAAGAAACAAACCATCAACAGAGTAAACAGACAAACTACAGAATGGGAGAAAATTTTTGCAAACTATGCATCCAACAAAAGTCTAATATCCAGAATCTCTAAGAAACTTAAATAAATTAACAAACAAAAACCAAACAACTCCATTAAAAAGTGGGCAAAGGACATAGACACTTTTCAAAAGAAGATATACACACAGACAACAAGCATATGAAAAAATGTTCAACATCGTTAATCATTAGTGAAATGCAAATCAAAACCACGAGATACCATCTCATACCAGTCAGAACGGCCATTATTAGAAAGCCAAAAAATAATAGATGCTGGTGAGACTGTGGAGAAAGGGGAGCACTAATACAATGCTGGTGAGAATGTAAATTAGTTTAGCCATTGCGGAAAGCAGGTTGGTGATTTCTCAAAGAACTGAAAACAGGACTACCATTTGACATAGCAATCCCATTACTGGGTATATACCCAAAGGATTATAAATCATGTCTACCATGAAGGCACATGTATGTATGTATATGTTCACTGCAGCACTATTCACAACAGCAAAGACACAGAATCAATCTAAATGTCCATCAACAGTACACTGGATAAAGAAAATGTGATACAGATACACCATGGAATACTACATGTGCTTTTTGCAGCAATATGGATGGAGCTGGAGGCCATTACCTTTAGTGAATAAAGGAACAGAAAACCAAATACTGCTGTTCTCACTTGAAAGTGGGAGCTAAACATTGAGTACACATGAACACAAAGAAGAGAAGAACAGACACCAAAGCCTTCTTGAGGGTGGAGGGTAGGAGGGTGAAGATGGAAAAACTACCTTTTGGGTACTATGCTTATCACCTGTGTGATGAAATAATCTGTACACCTAACTTCTGTGACAAACAATTTACCTAGATAACAAACCTGTACATGTACCCCTGAACCTAAAGTTTAAAACACACACACACACACACACACACACACACACACACACACAGAGGGAGGCCGGGCGCAGTGGCTCACGCCTGAAATTCCAACACTTTGGGAGGCCAAGGCAAGTGGATCACCTGAGGTCAGGAGTTCGAGACCAGCCTGGCCAACATGGTGAAGCCCTGTTTCTACTGAAAATACAATAATTAGCCAGGTGTGGTGGCAGGCACCTGTAATCCCAGCTACTTGGGAGGCTGAGGCAGGAGAATCGCTTAAACCCGGGAGGCAGAGGTTACAGTGAGCCGAGATCACACCACTGCACTCCAGCCTGGGTGACAGAGCAAGACTCCATTTTGGGGGGAGGAGGGGGGAATTAGCTGTAGGGAGGGAAGGGGAAGAAGCAGTCTAGTTTTCACAGAAAGTTATCTACCCTCATACTCCACGAAACAAAGTTAACATTAACTCACCCCGCCCTCAGTATCAGTCCCACAGAGGAGAGGAGTCTCCGTTATAGATTTACTATGAAAATACCCAATTACAAACTGGGTAAGTAAAAATCCACATATCACAAGCGTATTCACAAATGAACAGGCCATTCATTAAAATCCCAATCAAGTCCAGGTTTTTGTCCCTCTCTGACTAATCATTCAGGATGCAACAATACAAGACAAATTAATTGCAATGTCAATCCTTGAAGCATCACACAAGTAGCAGGTTTTCAAAAAGTCATCAAAGTGATGTTAGAGAACTGTGAAATCATAGGCAACTCCACTAACATAAATAACAACTGAAGAAGAGAAAATTAACAGGAATGATGACACACACATAGGTACTTCAAGAGAATCATGTGAATAAATAAGTATAAAAAGCGCTACTGGGAACTGAGGAAGTCTTCAAATATTTTTCTGCAAAGATGATTATCCTTTTGACTGGTATTACAAAAGTTAAATGTGAAGTAAAGAATAGAGTAATACAATTTTATCTGAAAAAAATGTACCCTCAAAAAAGCAAACACTGGATATAATTGGTTAAACATAAGAAAAAAACAGATGGTGTCTAATACTACAAATGTCCCCGCCCCCCCAGATAAAGTTCCAATCAAAGCTTTTATTCACTACTGACTATAAAATTAATTTTAGTCTGCAGCTTAAGTAAATTCACTTTTAGTAGCCTTTTCTAGTACAAAGTATCTCAAAACTACCATTAATACCATGTAATTAGTTTGTGTATCTCATTGTATTATTGATACATCTCTATTTTCTGTTCTCCTAAGAGATTGTTAGCTTCTTTGGGCTATAACCATGACTTACTCATCTTTGTATTTCCAGAACTTAGAACAATGTACAGCACACAGAAGTACAGAGTAAATCTTTCATGAACTGAATTCCAAGTTCTAAAATATCTAAGTAATTATTAAATTATGTTAAAATTCATATTGTTTTATTAAATTTCTCCAAATGTACTTTCTGTTCAAATACATAACAGCAGCCTCCCAGATACAATACTGCATTTAAAGAGCCTCAAGAAATAAAGTACATGTACTAAAGCGCAAAGCATAGTCCTGTACGTATCAGAGGACTGCAGATAAAATAAAAGACTCAGAGCAAGTTTTGTAAAGAAGGTTGTGTCTGAGCACTGACTTGCAGAAAGGGTTAGGTTGGATGTGTGGAAATGGGAGAGTAAAGAGAAAATTAAAGGCAGCAAAGTACAAGGCACAAAAAAGAAAAAAAGCTGTTCAGCTACATGAAATGAGGTTAAGTAAAGGAGAGTGTGCTCAACAAGATTTTTAAGCGTACATTTGGGTTAAAATATTAGAGGGGCTCAAACACCAGGTTGTAAAATACGTGCAGTTGTTTTTACAAGCATCAACCCCCTAAATATTTTAACAGAGGAATGACATGATCATAACTGTAATTAGGGAAATTTACCAACAATAAAAAAGATTCCCAACAGTCTTGGTGAGAGCTAATGATGATTACAGCAATAAGAATGGTCAAGAAAGTAAGAATAAAAATTATATAATGGATATCAAAGGACAGAATTATCTGTACTTTGCAACAAGGTGCAAGGACAAGCCAAGAGTCAAATATAAACCATGCTTTTAGGTATAAGAAATGCCATTCAGATTTATTTAACACTTATATAGGCTCTTCATGTCAAGAAAGAATAGATCTGTGAACTACTATATTTAACACTTACATAGGCTCTACATGTCAAGAAAGAATAGATCTGGGAAATATTATAACTCTCAGTATTATATTCACAGAACATAAAAGTATAAAATTTCTGTTTAGCACTTGAAGTAGGACCCGAGTCTTGAAAAACCTTAACGTTGCTGATGTAATAGTCACTTACATAGATGATGACATGGCCAAAGAAGACTGTGTAAGTGAAGAAGTTGATCCTAGACAGATCCTCACAGAAGACATACATTTAAAAAAAAAAAAAAAGAGGAAGAGCCAGAAAATGTAATCAGATAAGTAAAGCAACAATCAAGAGACAGAAACCAAATAAGACAGTTTTAAGAATAAAGAAGCAATGAGTTGTGTCAAATATAATGAAGCCCAGTATCACTGGACTTGAGGACTTCAACAGGACATTTCTGGAAAACAACAAAGGCAAATGACAAAATATGAACAGAGAAGACAGGATAAGAGAGTAAGAGAGACAAAGATAGATTATTCTTTCTTGAGGTTTGGAGGTTTAAAAAGAGGAGATGAGCATATGATTTAAAGGAAGAACAGATTACAGAAAAGCTTTGCTTAAAATAGGGTAATTTGATATGTTTCTAAGTTGTGAGAAGATGCTAGTAACTGATTTTTAACCACTGACACATGTTCCATAGTCAAGATAATTCCAAAGCAATCTTAAAGTTTAGGCCATTTGAACTTTCACCTTGGGAATTTGGTGCTTGAGGTGGCAATGTATAACAAATATTTGCTAGAAAAGGAAGTCCTTAGAAGTCAGTAACTGTGGATGCTTTTTACTTAGAGTGGACATTTACCTAATGGCTGGCACATACTTCTTATATACTGTTTCAAATAAAGTCCATTTCTTGTATTTGCATACTTTGTGTTTTTTAAATATTTCCACTTCAATAATGATAGCAGCAAATGCTCTAAGAAATGCCATACCAAGAACCTGACAAACAGACTGCAGGTCTTCCCAATTTAATAAAATAATTACATATGTTGGTTTCTTCTAAGAAACGTGATAGATGCTTTTTAAACAATTTTCAGTTTCTTTTAAGATTATCTCCAAAAATTAAGTGGGGAAACTATACCAAGGAAGTTATGGGCTCCCCCCAAATTTTTTTTTTTTTTTTTTTGAGATGGAGTCTCGCTCTGTTGCCCAGGCTGGAGTGCAATGGCACGACCTCGGCTCACTGCAACCTCTGCCTCCTGAGTTCAAGCAATTCTCTGGCATGAGCCACCACGCCCGGCCGAAATAGCTGTTTTTAAAAGACTGAAGTACCAGTCTTGACAAATCATTTGACAAAAATGATTACAATTTAAAAATAGATGACTGTTTGTGTCTAGAGAGTTATACATAAGTGGCAATTTAAAAATATGTACTAGAATAAAGGGTGGGGAGGAAGAATTGCAATGATCACTGAAGTAAATTCTTAAGACTACTTGGAAAAGAAGAGAAAAACTAAGTGTAAAATAACGAAATTATTAATGAAAAACTCATACTGAAAGTATTTTATTTACTAATGTGAAAGTCCCTTTTACTTTTCTCAATGATGCTAAAGACTTCTAAAGCGGTACAGCCCAAATATAAAGTTACTCTAACAAGAAATCCATAAAACTGTAATAGGAATCTGAAAGTTTCACTGCTTATAATCTGAAAACTTAACTCACTGAGTAATAAGGAATGCTTCTAACCTGAAATTAGTTCTATGTCATGTCTTTATAAAAGTATAAATTTCGATACTGTTGTTTTCCTTTCAGGAACTGAACACATACAGTCAGTCTTCCTTATTTGTGGATTCTATATTTAGGAATTTGCATACTCGTTAAAATTTATTTGTAACACCAAAATTAATACTTGAAGCAATTTTTGGGTCATTTGCAAAGTAAATACACAAAGCAGCAAAAAATGTAAGTAGCCAGATGTGCACATTCCCAGCTAATGTCAAAGAAGGCAACACTGTGCCTTCTTGTTTCAGCTTTCATACGTAAACAGTGTCCTTTTTGAGGTCTATTCAGTGCCACATTTTTCACAGTTTTGTGGTTGATGTTTTTGTTATTTCATGATGAAGTACTGTCTGGTGTTTCAAAGCACAAGCATAGCGATGAACTGCTGTCTGGCGTTCCAAAGCACAAGAAGGCTCTGATATTCCTTACAGAGAAAATGTGTGTGCTAGATAAGCTTTGTTCAGGTATGAGTTACAGTGCTGTTGGCTGTGAGTTCAGTTGAGACAACTATATATAATAAATAGTCTTTAAACAGAAACATACATAAAACAAGGCTGTATATTAACTGGATGATGAAAATGTTGTGGCCAGGGGCTTGAAGGAATCTATTCTGTGAGTTCTCCTAAGAGCAACTGTTCAGTATCTGCTAACTGAATGCCTGTGATAACATTATAGAACAAAACTATTACAAAGAAGAAGATCAACTGTACTATGTTAGCAACCCAAAACTCAAATGACAGTTTCAGAACTCTGAAATGTTTCTCATGCATAAATTTTTCAGAAACAAACAAACCATACACATTCAAGATTTTAATCTATGTATCACAGTGGATGTTTTTCCTTCCTAAAAGTCAAAGACCTTCAAAAAGTAGTTGTACACAGCCATTTCCTTACGTTGATAGCTAATGCACATAGCTGATATTGTTCTAATGTGATGATTTCATGGTAACAGGGTTCTTGTGCCAGCTTCACAATAGCACTCCCAGCAGCAAGTCTCAGACGTGACATATCTGGTTTACTGAAAAATGAGTAGAATGAATATAGATTAGCATTTAAAATATTTGTACAAAATCTTCTGTACATCTAATTTTATTAAAAATTCTGGCACAAAAAAGTTTAAAAAAAAATGCTGTGATCTGAATGTTTGTGTCCCCCAAAATTCCTATGTTGAAATGCAAGTACCTAGGAGATAGTATTAGGAGGTGGAGCCTTTGGGGAGGTGATTAGGTCATTGTGGGAAACCCTCATGAATGGGATTAGTGTCTTTAAAAAGTGGCCTGAGAGGGCTTGTTTACCGCTTCTGCCATTTGAGGACACAGCAAGAAGTCAGCAGTCTGCAACCCTGGAGAGGGCCCTCACCAGAACCCAACCATGCTGGCACCCTGATCTTGGATTTCCCAGCCTCCAGAACTGTGAGATATAAATTTCTGTTGTTTATAAGCCTGGTATTTTATTACAGCAGTCTGAGCAGGCTAATACAGAAAATAATTTAGCAATACTGAACACCATATTATGCTCATTTAACTTTGGAAGATGTTGTCTAATACTACAAAATTCTTCTTTTAAACATAAGTCAATGCTAGTGTCACTCAAGTCATTTAATTCCCTCATTCTAAATAAAACAAGTCTTAGTCAAGCGTAGAAGAAATCTGTCTGTATGTTTAGTTGTTAGGTTTTACATATTCTACTATGGATTTTGTTGGAGAAATGTTTATATATAGATGAGGCACCAAATATGTTCTAGCTTGCTAATAAATCAAACACAACTACTGTGCTAAGCACAGAAGAAGAATGAAAGCAGGTGTGGTGAGGAAAACATTACTATTCCTTAGCTAGAATTCAACTTTTCAAATATTACCAAGAGGCTCTTTTTAAGTTCAAGGAAAGACAACTGCTAAAATGAAGCACAATTCATAGAATTCCAGACTAGTAAATACATCTAAACAATCCTTCCTAATATAGTGATATATTAGCTAAAATAAAGGGGATCTTGAACAAATATAAGGAGGGAGAAGTTGTAACTCCTTAAATAGAACCCCTTTGTAGCTCTATAGTAAAAGATTGTTATTCAACATCCATGCAACAAATCTATGTCTATTGTGTACATATAGCACTGCGGGGTATTTAAAATAAAAGACAGTCTTAGTTTTCCAAGACTTAATAATCTAGTTGGCCATGTAAAAATATTGACTGGATGCTAGCCAACATTAGTAAGTTTCTAAAGTTGTAGGACTTCGTCTCAAAGGTGTGTCTCATCCCATCAACAACAATATTCCAAGTAGCTATTAATCAGTAAATCATAGTTCTTAGTGCAAAAAGTATAAACCACCTGTTGGATGTTTTCCTCACAGATATGGATAACAGATGCTTCCTGTGTTATCTATCCTTAAAATTTCCCATCTGGACCAGAGGTTTCTATTTAACCTCGTAAACTTTTTTTGTTTTGTTGTTTTTAGCTTTATTAAGCAGAGGAAACTTTTCTTGAAACCAAATCTTACATAAAAGTTTAAGGTGTAAACACAAAAAATCACTTTTGCTTAAATAGGAATGCAAGCTTCCCACTTAAGGAAAGGACAGAGACCCCCACCTACCAACTCCCAAGACTCCACCTGTTATGTCTCTACCAGAAAAAATTCTTATTCCAACTCTAGGCTGCCCCTAAATATTCCTGAATGTCATATGGGTTCCACAAAACACAGCATAAGTGACATTATATACTGGGTATTATTCCAATTACATTCGAAATTTTAATACATATAATCCTTACATAAACTCTATAAGGAGATACTATTGTTATCCTCATTTTACAGATGAAGAATCTAAGACACGTAGAAGTTAAATAACTTGCTGATAAATAAAAGCAGCTGATAAATGGTAGAACCTCAGTTTGAACCTGTGTAGTGTGTCTTCAATCTGCCTGAATGTTGTAAACCACCAAAGAACTTTGCCTCTCTGATGAAAGTTTATATAGCTGAATATAATTGGCCAAATAAGAAATATAAAATAATATAATTAATAAATTGATTTATAAGGCCAAATGTATTAACACTGAGGAAAATTTCTTTACCAGGCTGAGCTGATCAATACAAAATTATTTCAAATTCAGTAAAAATTTTAAATGAAAACATACTTATTATTTGTAACTCCTAAACATTGGCATATATAAATTAGGGGAACAGAGACATGAAAACAGAATAGATTAATTAGAATAAAAGAAAGTAAACAGATACAGAATGAATAGCTTACCAAGTTTTTTTTTATATGTTTTGTTTGAGAAGGATGTGCTTCTGTTAACATTCTATGCAAAGAATACAGTATAAGCAAAACATACAAGGAGAATACAGTATAAGCAAAACATACAAGATGGAAAGGCAGAAGGCAGCTGGCAGTCATCTTTGTATGTTTTCTTATTAAAGTCTTTAGATATATTAAGGAGCACAGAGCTATTCTCCTATTTTGTATTACCAAGGAGGGGCACCAAATGGCACTTGGTTTACACAGAGGACAAACGTTAAATTTTAACTAACACTGACATAATAACCACCATTATCATCAATGCTTCTAATTATTATGTGCTAAGTAGTGTTTTAAATGCTTTAGGTATACTAACTTATTTAGTTATATCATAACAGCTAGATGAGCCAGGTACACATAATTATTACCTCCTACTTCCGTGGGTAAGGAAACTGAGGGACCAAGAAGTTAAAGCAACTTACTGAAGTTCACCTGACTAGTAAGTGGTGGAACCAGAATTTGAAATCCAGGCTCCAGAGTCCAGTAGTTTTCAATCACTACACTGTACTTACTACATCTTTCAAAGAAAATAAAATAACAAAAACCAAAAAAGTGTGCTCATTTTCAATAATTTACTTCAGGTACATCTTTAAAGTATGCATTTATTTATACTTCTGGAAATAGATTCAATAAGTTGCCTTTCACCCAATCTGTTCTTTCCCCTTACATATTTAACAAGAATGTAAAACATCAGTTATTGACTGGTACACTCACACTTTCATACGAGATATTCTAAAATGTAAGAATCTATTGTTTAAAATATTTACAATGTATAACAGTACCCTGCACCAGACATGTGACCGCCACTGTAAAATAACCACTGTACAAAAGCATATTCCAGTAAAAATATATGCACATGTACAAAGCAATTCTAATTTAAAAAAAAAAGAAAAAGAAACAGCACCATTGAACAGTTACACCAAGAGCTGAAATATTATGCAATCCAAAGAACTGTGAAATAGTAATTGCATACCTAATTTTCCCCTGTTCTGTCAAGTCTCCATCACTATGCAATATTGTTGTTAGCAATCTTAAGGTAGAAGTTCCTGATTTACTGTGATTATTTTTCATTCCAAGTAGCCATCGAACCATCATTTTAATAGCCTGAATCTATTTAAGAGACAAGTCGACAAATAAAACACTGGTACATTTTGAAAGAATTTCTGTATCAACTTTTTTTAAAAATAAAATGTATTTAATGGATGCTTTTTAAGAAAAGAAAAAATTCTTTTCTGTATATATGAAGATAATCTCGAATGTTTTAAAGATGTTTCAAACATCCAAGAAAATGGCAAAAGAATGATTTGACTAAAGACTAGTTTGTTCTTTGCTGTTTTAAAATGTTTCCCCAACATATATTTGATCCTGTAGAACATACAGTAAAATCATGCTTAACCTCTCTAATCAGAAAAGTTAAGTTCCCAACTACAAATTACATTTAATCTTTTCTGCCTAAAAAATGATACCACTCATATTTGTTCTACATTTTATGATTATGAAGTATTTAAAGTATTTTTACACCCATTACTTCCTTTAATGTTTCCAAGAATTCTTTTGAAGAAGTACATATTACCTCTTTTTAAAATGATGTACAAATTATCTTTCACATATTAGCTCAGCTTTTTACAGAGCTAAGGCTCAGATGCTAAGAGGGTCTTCGATAGTGTCTGGCTCACGGCAAAGACGGAAGATCTCTTTCCTGGCCAGTTGGTAAGTATGCCTACCAACTGGTAAGTTGGTAAGTGGCCTACCTTCTAGTCCAGTGCTGCTTTCAAGTATACAAAAACTGCAGCTTGAGACCAATGCCGAGAAAAACAGGTTTATACTGAGACTCAAAGTATCAAGCATCATTCATTGATGTAAAGGTGGGGCTATTGTACAAGTCTGCAAAACTAGTATCATAACCTCCAGCTAGAACAATGTGAAAAGGTAGTTCGTAATACGAACTATAAACAAATACACACACACACACACACACACACACACACACACACACACACAGACTGAAAGGGTTTATAAGAAATTACAGCTAGAAAATAACAATATTTAATGTATGTATTTTTGGCCTTCATATCTTGGTAGTGGATTGACATGAGGTCTACACTACAGGCCATAGATGGTTTTAATAAATCAAGAGTCTATACCAATGATGAGCAATCTTATAAAACTCCTAATTCAATAAATTATAGGCTGAATTTTTTAAAAATAAAAAGTTTTATTAAATCCCATGGAAAAGATGAATAGGCTTAAAATCTGAACTATCATCTTTACAGAACAGAGGAAAGTCCATAAAAACTAGCACTGCCTTTTGCCATCAGGGAAACAGCTTTCAAACCTTTTTTTCTCCTCAAATTAGATTATGTGCAGCTGTCCACAAAATCCCAGCTTTCTCATTATTACCCTATAGTCTCACAGCACATAAGACATCATACAATAAATGTAAATACTTGAGTGACTTTAATATCTTTCCAATAGAAATAGAAATTTTAATACCTCAAATATTACAATGTGGTGATTATATTAAAATCAATAGATCTATGCACATTACTCACTTTGACCATTGTCTCAGGAGATACTTCTTCATCTGGAACCCAAAGTTTAGTTGTCTTTTTCCCTGGAAGCTAAAAATAAACGAGAAAAAAAAAAAAACCAGGGACTTTAAAATGTAAATATGAATTCTTTTCAATTAGCACTTAGAAAATGAATGAAATCTGTACCTTCTGCAGTGACATTTGTTATATATGACTAAAGTACTTCATCTAACCCTATTTACTTTAAAAAAAAAAAAAGGTTGAAAGGCATACCTTCACTAGCGCCTATGTACAGCACTTATAGATCCATCACGACTGGTTCTTTCTAGGTCTGTGGTGGGACTAACTCTAACTTCTTACACATCACTCCCTTATTTAGCCCCTTTTGAGATTCAATTATTTAATGCAAGAACTAGGATTTTAAAAAAACATGGAGCCAAAAGGTGTAGCTCTTAAACAAGAAGAAAGGTATAAAAAAAAAAAATCTTGAGCTGGAGGGGTTTTGTTTTTGTTTTCAGCACAACTCCAAACTAATCCTGAGGTGATCATGTGCAAGTACTAGCAGGTAGGTGTTTACAGTAGTAACCAGGAAATTAAAATAAGATGGCAAAAGAGCTGAACCAATCTTGGAACACTTGAGATCCCATTTTTTACCCTCAGGTCAAAGAACAGGAATTGAATATCACCTCAGGTAACCCTCTGGTAACAAAACAGGTAGCCCCCAACATCTAAAAAGGCAAACTCCCTCAAACACAAAGAGCTACAGATTCACACACAGTTTATAACTCATTTCTTCCATTGAGAAGTGCCTTCAAAGTATGAAGTAAAAATAATGAAAAAGGAATCACATTAGGCACCTTGTGATGAAATTTCTAACTAAGGATGTCAAGATCCCAAAAGCTTCCATAAAGAAACTACCAAAAAGGAATAAAAGATTAACTTCAGATTTCTCAGCTGCAAGACCAGATGCCAAAAAAACAATGCTCTGAATTTTCAAGTGACTTGAAACACAGAATTCTAATATCCAAAAAACAGTACTGAAGAATGAACACTAGAATTCAAGACAGAAAGCTTCCAAATTACAATCCATGTTGAAAGAATTACTCAAAGATAACACTATTTAATTCACAAGAAAAAACTAAATTAGTATAAACTATTACAAATACAAAGAAAAATGAAAACAAAAACCTTACATAAATAAGAAACTATCAGATACTACCAGAAACAACAGAGACTATCAGGTAGATTTATAAATAATAAAGCCACAAAAGATACAATAAAAACAAACAACATAAGAAATCTGAAAATTATGGGATGGAAAAATATACCAGTCAAGATGAAAAGCACTGAAGAGGATATGGACTTAAATGGGATACTGATATATTTTATCTTACAACACCAAATAAAATATAAAATTCATGAACATTTACACAACTAGCAGAATAACATCAAAATAAACCAGAACCAACATGATTAAAATCAGAAGATTGAATACTTCATCACAGCAGAATATGTGAATATATCTCTTTCAAAAACTGGTAAGTTAGGATGAAAAAGGATAAATACCTAAAATGGAAGTAAATATACAGAAATAAAATATGCAAGCATTAGAAAATAATCAAAGCTGGCATTCTTTATAATTGACAAAATTAGAATTTAGCAAGAAAGATGGATATAAAATCAGAATTACCAAATAATTCACCTTATCAATCATAAACATAAAACATAATCTTAAAAACTTTATTTAGTGCCTAACATAAGTTGTGTGAGAGAAATTTAAAATTTTTCTTTTTAGAGAAAACTATAAAACATTAAGGAAAGACATCTTGTGGATGGGCAAACGCATCAGTGGAAAAGAACAGAGGCTCTATAGGAGACATGAGTGGTAGCACTGCAGATTACCAGGAGATGGTAAGATATTTAATAAACAGTGCTGGGAAATTTGGTAACCCTAACATGCAGCAAAAATGAAATCCTTATATCACAGCATACAAAAAAAAAAAGTAAATCAATTCCAGATGGATTGATTTTTGTGTGTGTAAAAAAAGAAAACCTTCAAAGTTTTAGAAGAACATATGGGAGGCTATTTTCATGACATTAGAGTAGGAAAAGATTTCTTAAATAAGATGTAAAAAGTATTAACTACCAAAGAATAATGATAAATACAGCTACATTAAAAGTAATAACTTTTGTTCAGGCCAGGCGCGTGGTGGCTCATGCCTGTAATCCCAGCACTTTGGGAGGCTGAACTGGGTGGATCACGTGAGTTCAGGAGTTGGAGACCAGCCTGGCCAACATGGTGAAACCCCATCTCTACTAAAAATACAAAAACTAGGTGGACATGGTGGTGGGCGCCTGTAGTCCCAGCTACTCGGGAGGCTGAGACAGGAGAATGGCTTGAATGTGGGAAGTGGAGGTTGCAGGGAGCCGAGATGGCGCCACTGCACTCCAGTGTGGGTGACAGAGTGAGACTCCATCTCAAAAAGAAAAAAAAAGGAATAACTTTTGTTCAAAGGATCAAAGGACACAATAAAGGAGTGAAAAGACACACATAAATGAGGTTTTACACACTTCATGATGATACTATAACATGTACCAGATAAAAGATTAATATAGGTACAGATTGCCTATGGGAAAAAAACACCAAGGGGAATAAAAGGTAAAATACATCAAAAGGGAATTTCAGAAAGTAGGCAACATGAATGGTGACTAGACACACAAACTTAATTAGTAACCACAGAAATGCACATTGGGACTATAATGAGCTATAATGAGATACTGTATCTATTAGATATTTTCTCCCAACAGTGTATAATAACATTATTGTCAGATTTCTTAATAGAAAAATAAGTTTTAACAAACATTATAAAAAATGACTTAAAAAAAGTGAAAAGTTAAATATGTCTATATACCGTGATTCATCAACTTCACTCGTAGGAATAAAACCTAGAGAAATTCTTGCTCATATGTAGCAGGGGGCTTCAATAGAAACATTCATAGCAGCACTGTCCGAAAGAGTAAAGAAATGGAAATATTCCACAATCTACTAGAAGAATAAATAAATTACGAGATATTTTCCACAGTGAAATTATAGAGTAACAAATGAATGAACCACAGTTAGATTTAGTAACGAAGATTATTCTTAGAAACAAATGTGGAGTGATAAAAGCAAATCCTCCAAGACTATACAGGGTATGATATAATGCTTAGAAACCTCAAGAACAAGCAAAACTAAACAAGTATGTGGTAAATTTTGTTGCTGTTACAGATTAACCCAAGATTCAAGAGAGTAGATATTAGGGACAAGGAGGAAGTAGAAAGGATTGAAGAGTAATAAAACTCTAAGAACTCTAAGGAACTAAGAGTTCATAGGTGTTCATTGTATTATGAAACATGTTATACAAATGTTACATATATTCCTTTGTACATATCAAATATATAATAAAACAAGACAAATTAATGGATTAAAAATGGTGAGCAGTTCTGTTTCTGACAAGATGTGACTAGGTTGTTTTGAACCAATTTTCATACTGAAACAAACGGAAAGGCTAAACAAAATATTTTTTAAAAATCAGTTTGAAGGCAACAGACAGCTACCAAAGCAGTGAGAATTTGCAGGGCAAAGTTTCAAATAAGGAGGGAAAGCAAAGATTTGAGTCTGGCACTGAGATTAGTTTTTTCACACAGACGATTAATGATTCTGAAAGTGAAAGGGGGATAAGAAGTTGAGCAAAGCTTTCCTGTCACAGAGCTAGAAGAACAAGATTAAGAATCCTGAGCCCATTAAGTAAAGGCCTTGTTAAACAACCTGGACTTCTGGGTGGATCCCAGACAAATATACTCTAGACATAAGGTGACCAGAAAAAAATAATAAGCTTGTCCAAAACTGAAGCCAAACTTCCATTTTCATTGGATGGAAGTGATCTGACGATAGCTTAACTGCCTGATAGAAACAAAAGTAAAACTCTGGGAAGAATATAACCACATCTGAAGCCTCACATTATCTCAACAACTTTTCATACAAAAAGTCTATCACTCAATCAAAAGCAATATATGTACAAGGTAAGATTTGACCAAAATTTTGAGAATAGACAAAAGTTACAAGAGATCAAGATGATAAGCCTAACAGATACAAACTTCACATAATTAAGATTTTTCAAGGATTTAATGACAAGCAAATTCTGCAGCAAAACAAAGAGCTATGTTTAAAAACTATAGAATTACAGAATTGAAGTATGTGTATATATGTGAAATTAAGAATTCAAAGCATGAGCTTTAGGTACGACTAGACAAAACTGAAGCGAGTGAACTCAAAGATAGGTCAGAAAAAAAACAAAAACTGAAGCATGAGGAGGCTGGCAGAAAAGTACACAAAAGTGTGTCACACAGCTAGGTCACAGCAAAAAAACAATGTACGTTTAAAGTGTGTTAATAGAACTGCAGTAAGAAAGGAAAGAGAATATGAAACAGAAATCGTATATGTAAAGATAATGCCTAAAAATTATTTAAAGTTTGTAAAAAACTTTAAGCTATATATACAAGAAGAGCTCTAAGCCCCAAGTACAATAACTATAAAGGAAAGCATACCCAGACACATCATAGTAAAACTGGAAACCAATGGAAAACAGAAAAGACAAAAACATTCACAGCAAACAGACAGAAGACCTTCAGAGGAACAAGACTGTCAATAAACTTCAAGAAAAAAGAAAATGGAAAATAGAATAATATATTCAAATCACTGATGGGGGAAAATACACCAGTCTAGAATTCTTAACCCAAAGAAAGCATCCTTTAAAAAATTAAGGTAAAATAAAGATCTTTCCAGACAAACAAAAACTGAGAAAATTCATTAGTGGAAATCCAAACTAAAAAAAAAGTACTAAAGTAGTTCTTTAGATAGAAAGAAAATCATTACATAGAAAGGAATGAAAAACAAAAGGAGAAAATATGTTGGCAAATCTAAATAAACATTAACTGCATAAAATAACAGCAGTAATAGAACTGGGTGAACAAGAGCACAAAAAAGCACCAAGGAATAAAAGGAATTAAAGTATTTTGAAGTTCCTTGTGCTATACTGAAAGTTCAAAGCAGACCAACTGACACTGGCCTTTAATAAGTCCAAAGTCCATGTTGTAATTTCTAGGAAAACTACTAAAATAATAGCAAAATGTAAAACAGACTGGTAAAATGAAATAAAAATATTTAATCAAAAATAAGAAAAGAGAAAAATACACAACTGACAGGACAAACTGAAAACAAAAAATCAGGTGGCAGATTAACCCAGATATCACTACTTATATTATGTTTACTTTTTGGAGGAAAAACTTTATCTCATGTTTCTTTTAATTCTCCAGAGAACCTAGTACAGTGCTGTCACAGCAGATACAAAATAACTGGAGACTAACAAAATCATTATTTCCTCTCCCAATGTTTTTTCGTTCTCTCCCAATGTAGGGAAAAGAACAAGTTTATATAGAAAAAGGTAAAACTATAATCATGACAACCATACTATGAGCTGGTTTACCAATCTGCATATTTTTAAAAATAGATGTCCTGTCAAAAATTAAACCCCTGTAAATCTGAAATAGATAGCATCAGGTTATATTTTATATTTATCAAGGAATGTATTTGAGGTCATATGCCTATTCTCAACTAAAAAGATGTTTCAAGATGGTTTTGCTTATAATGGAGACAAGGCTTATTTTTTTTAAACAGGAAAACCTAAAATCAAGGCAGTCAAATGGAAGTATTATTGATATCATTTCACTTCTTTCCTTGTTGGATAAAATTGCAAAAGTTAACATTACAAAGAACATGAATCTAAAAAATATAAATTACCCGATCATTCATGAGAAGATCTTTCACAATGAAAGTAGCTACCAAAGATTTCAAAGGAGCAGCAAATTGATCAGGTGCAAGGAGAGCAATATGACCAATAGTAACCAATGGTGTTATGAGATGTTCCAGGTTGCTTGGATCTAGGCTCTTATGCAGAGGCTGAAAATGAGGGGAGGAAAATATATTTCAACTCTACACATATACAAATAAACTGTTTACATATTTCATTTTCAAATTACAAAATTTATTTTGTAATTTATTTTGTAATTCAAATTATAAAAACTACAAAAATTTCAATAAATATACATAGTATAAGTAGTAACTCAAGATTACATTTAGACTTCTATAGGTTATCTATGTCCAGAAGGCATCAGGTTCAAACATTTTCAGTTTTGCCCAATTCAGTTTAGAGGTAGGGTAAAGAAACATTTCGACACAGACTTCATAGCATATAGTTTATGACCATATACATGAATGTGTTAGAGACTGCTAGGGCTCACCAATATCCACTTCAATTTCCTGGGCATAAGGATGACTCTACTTGCAGCTTCCTGTGCAGTTAAGTGAGGATATATGAATGAGTTCTGGTCAAGAGAGTGGGAGTAAAATGAAGTATGCCACATATGCACTGAGGTAGGTATGAGCAATATGTCTTCTCCACAGGCTCTACTCACTGGCTGGCTTGATGCCAAGGATCCAGTGGGATTTAAAGAGAAGTCACTAATCAGAATGAGTCTGTGTCCCTAAGCCACTGATTAGAGGGTCATTCAAACACCCACTAGACTTTTCAGAAGCAAGAAATAAGCTTTTACTACATCTAGTCACTTGAATTTGGGGATCTTCATTATAGCACCAAATATTAAATACCATAACAAATAAAATGATTTTTTGTTATTCTGATAGGAAACCCAACCATTAATATGCATTTTACCATGATAAAAGAATGAACAAGCTCTTCAAATACTCATATAAAATGATATCAGAAATATATTGTTAAGGCCGGGCATTAACAATTACAGATTACATCTGTAATCCCAGCACTTTGGGAGGCCAAGGCAGGCAGATCACCTGAGGTCAGGAGTTCGAGACCAGCCAGGCCAACATGGTGGAATCCCGTCTCCGCTAAAAATACAAAAATTAGCCAGGCGTGGGGCATACGCCTGTAGTCCCAGCTACTCAGGAGGCTAAGCCAGGAAAATCACTTGAACAAGAAAGGTGGAGGTTGCAGTGAGCAGAGATCACGCCACTACACTCCAGCCTGGATGACAGAGCAAGACTCTATCTCAGAAAAAAAAAAAGAAAACAAAATATATGTTTGTGTGTGTGTGTGTGTGTGTGTGTGTGTTTTAATTTTTGAAATCAGAAGGGTGACTAAAATATGCCATTGGCATAAGGAGAGAGAGGGAAACAAAATATGCGTGTGTATGTGCATGCATGTGTGCACGTGCATATTTACATGCCCTTACTTGTATATGAATAAAATATCTCTGGAAAAGTACGTTTAGAAACTACTAACAATGGCTCTGCCTCTGGGAAAGGAAACTAAGTGGCTGGGGATACATGGGTGGGGGAACTTTTCACCGTATATTCTTTTTTGCATCCTTCTGATGTTGAAACAAGTGAATTTATTTTCTATTAGACATTTTAATGCCACATTTTAATGAAAAACTGGTGCTCTATTCTCCCACACTGAACACCAAGAATTGTAGGCTTGAAAGGCCAATACAAAACTGTTCTTTCCCAACAAATTAGGGCAATGTGAGGCTTCATTTAGTCAAAAATACATTTAAATGAGTTTACTTCTTGCTATTCTTGAAGACTTCCCTCAGTACTTCCATTGCACATCTTGCCAGCCTATTGTTCATATTATAAACAAAAATATCATAGTGTAGTTTTTTCAATTAGATTATAAGTTTGGTAATTTTCCATAACAAAATCATTTCTAAAAAGCAAAATTAATGGCCAGGCCCTAGATTAGTGGAACCTCAAAAATGCCAGATATTTCTAAGAAACCTTTTCTCAGGAAGCCAGCCAACCAAATGCTACATAGGAGGAGGACTACAGAGGTTCTTGTAAAGATAAAACAGCAGATACAATATCAAAATGAAAGAACTACTCTGAAATTCAACTTATATCAGTGTTTCTCTCATCACTATTGAGAGGAAAAGGAGAGCAACCAAAAAGAAAACTTTCCTATAAATTAACATCAATTTATTGAAGCCATTCTCATATACAAACACAGACTACAGAAAATACCGCCATCCCCAAATACACAAAAATTAAATTATCTGCTATCTACAGGAAAGATGGTGTTTGGAGGATATACTACTTTTCTTTCTCCTTCAGGTCTTTAACATAATACATGAAAATATGACAAAAGTACCAACTTTCTAAAACAAAGATATTAAGTCCAAGTACTTATGTCAAGGAGCATCAGAATAATTTCTAAATTGTTTTGACTCTACTCAAGGCTCTTGAACTAAAATTACAAAGTAGGATTTTATGAATTTTCTGCTTAGCTTTTATTTGCACTAACAGTGTTAGTGTTAGGTTCTAATTACAATAGGCAGCAATAAAATTGCAATGCCTGGGTAAAAGTTATTTAGAATGTGGATAAAATAATATAAAATATATATTGAAAAGACACTTTATATCTGACACAAAATTAGGTCAGTCATAAAACTATAAACTTACTTTATATTAACAATTAGTACTGATTTACAAAACCTTACACTTCAATAGTTTCTCAAACAGAATTCAAATTTTTTGATCCTACAAATGAAAGAATAATCATCTGTTACCTACTATCTGTAACTATGATTTTATATGTAATTACCTGTTAACAAAAAATAGTCTCCAAATACAAATATATAAACCAATGTACAAAAATAAACAATGCTTGATTTCTGAATCTGTTATCATTAAACATTTGAATACTCAGATATTTTCATATTTTAACACTTATCAATGTTGATTTTACTGATTCAAATTCTGAAAATATATTACAAAATGATGCATCACCAAATGTGAACATTCCATAAAATCATCAATATTTGTTTTGTAACTATGACATATGAAATAAACAAGAAAATTTTTTTCTCATTACCTCAAATATCTGTGCAAACTGGGTCTCTTTACTAGAAAATATCGCATGGATACAATGAATGGCATATTTGGCTTGACGGGGGGGTCCTTTTTTAGATTTGTGATGTAAAACAGGAAGCAAGGCTCTATTAAAAAAAAATCAAAGAAAAACAATAAACCAGAAAAATCAACAAGACTTCTGCTAGATACTTTAATATTTGTATTTTTAAGTAATGATTTACAAGGTCAGAAAAAGTCACCAAGATTTACTCAAACTCACTTCCAAAGGCCTATGATTTTGCTTTATAAATATTTATATTAAAAATGTAATCCAAATACAAATGTGGTGTTTTTTACTTTTTATTCACCAATAGCAAACACTAACAGGCTGGTGACTCACACTCTCCTGTTAACGCCGCTCCCAACAGGCCTCTCTCTTTTTATTCTTACTGCTATCATTCCAGCTAAACTTCTGCCACCTTACACATGTATGAAACTGACACTGTCTCTTCTTTCTCAAGTCTCTGCCTCTTCCAATTCACCTTTCATTTTGTGCCAGAGCAAACCACAAAAAGGAAAATCTGATTAAACAATGCTTATTAAGCAATATTACATGCCAGGGACTATTAAAAGGCTCCAATATTTAACTTGATGCTACTAGCATTTTAGGGACAAGATAAATTAACAAAATAAATGTTATGTTAAACTGTGAGAACTGCTACAGAGAAAAAAATTTTTAAAGATGGAGGATAGAAATAGGAAACAGGGAGGGAGGTATAAGAGAATTACAATTTTAAACAGAAGATCTCCCTGATAAAGAAACATGTGAGCAGAGTTCTGAGGGAGGTACTGAGTAAGTCATATAGCCACCTGGAAGAACATTCATGCATCGTATTATTTCATAACTCAAACATTTAAAACGAATACCGAATAAAGGAGCTCTTAAACTATTATACAAACATCTCAAAGCAAAAGAAACTTCCATATCTTCCTCATTGCCTGATACCAACCCAGTGCTTATCACACTAAGAGTAGAGTCTCACAAAAGATACCAAAGGTGAAGTATCATTAAAAGAAATATATTCCTAACATGTAAAGGCCTAAAAATGGAGAATGAAGAGACCAACAAAAACACAGAAAAACAGGCAAGACAGAAAAAGGTAAAACATTCTTTAATATTATACTGAATGGGCAAAAGCTGGAAGCATTCCCTTTGAAAACCGGCACAAGACAAGGATGCCCTCTCTCACCACTCCTATTCAACATAGTATTGGAAGTTCTGGCCAGGGCAATCAGGCAAGAGAAAGAAACAAAGAGTATTCAAGTAGGAAGAGAGGAAGTCAAATAGTCACTGTTTGCAGATAACACGATTGTATATTCAGAAAACCCTGTCGTCTCAGCCAAAAGACTCCTTAAGCTGAGAAACAATTTCAACAAAGTCTCAGGATACAAAATCAATGTGCAAAAATCACAAGCATTCCTATACACCAATAAAAGACAAACAGAGAGCCAAATCATGAGTGAGCTCCCATTCACAATTGCTACAAAGAAAATAAAATACCTAGGAATACAACTTACAAGGGATGGGAAGGACCTCTTCAAGAAGAACTACAAACCACTGCTTAATGAAAAAAGAGAGGATACAAACAAATGGAAAAACATTCCATGCTCATGGATAGGAAGAACCAATGTCGTGAAAATGGCCATACTGCCCAAAATAATTTATAGATTCAATGCTATTCCCATCAAGCCACCACTGACTTTCTTCACAAAACTAGAAAAAACTACTTTAAATTTCATATGGAACCAAAAAAGAGCCCATATAGCCAAGACAATCCTAAGCAAAAAGAACAAAGCTGGAGATATCATGCTACCTGACTTCAAACTATACTACAAGGCTACAGTAACCAAAAAAGCATGGTACTGGCACCAAAACAGATAAATAGACCAATGGAACAGAACAGAGGCCACAGAAATAACATTACACATCTACAACCATCTGATCTTTGACAAACCTGACAAAAACAAGCAATGGGGAAAGGATTCCGTATTTAATAAAGGTTGCTGGGAAAACTGGCCAGCCATATGCAGAAAACTGAAACTTGACCCCTTCCTTACACCTTATACAAAAATTAACTCAAGATGGATTAAAGACTTAAATGGAAAACCTAAAACCATAAAAAACCTTAGAAGAAAACCTAGGTAAAACCATTCAGGACATAGGCATGGGCAAAGACTTCATGACTAAAACACCAAAAGCAATGGCAACAAAAGCCAAAATTGACAAATGGGATCTAATTAAACTAAAGAGCTTCTGCAGAGCAAAAGAAACTTATCATCAGAGTGAACAGTAAGTAGCCTACAGAACAGGAGAAAGTTTCTGCACTCTATTCATCTGACAAAGGGCTAATATCCAGAATCTACAAGAAACTTAAACGAATTTACAAGAAAAAAACAACTCCATCAAAAACTGGGTGAAGATGAACAGACACTTCTCAAAAGAAGACATTTATATGGCCAACAAACATATGAAAAAAAGCCCATCATCACTGGTCATTAGAGAAATGCAAATCAAAACCACAATGAGATACCATCTCACATCAGTTAGAATTGCGATCATTAAAAAGTCAGGAAACAACAGATGCTGGAGAGGATGTGGAGAAATAGGAACGTTTTTACACTGTTGGTGGGAGCATAAATTAATTCAACCATTGTGGAAGACAGTGTCGCGATTCCTCAAGGATCTGGAACTAGAAATACCACTTGACCCAGCAATCCCATTACTAGGTATATACCCAAAGGATTATAAATCATTCTACTATAAAGACATATGCACACATATGTTTACTGCAGCACTATTCACAATAGCAAAGACTTGGAACCAATCCAAATGCCCATCACTGATAGACTGGATAAAGAAAATGTGGCACATATACACCATGGAATACTATGCAACCATAAAAAAGAATGAGTTCATGTCCTTTGCAGGGACATGGATGAAGCTGGAAACCATCATTCTCAGCAAACTAACACAGGAATAGAAAACCAAACAACACATGTTCTCACTCATAAGTGGAAGTTGAACAATGAGAACACATGGACACAGGGAGGGGAACATCACACACCAGGGCCTGTTGTGGGGTGGGGGGCAAGGGGAGGGAGAGCATTAGGACAAATACCTAATGCATGTAGGGCTTAAAACCTAGATGACAGGTTGATGGGTGCAGTAAACCATCATGGCACATGTATACCTATGTAACAAACCTCCACGTTCTGCACATGTATCTCAGAACTCAACGTTTAATTTTTTTAAAAAAGAAGACATATAAATTACCCTAAAATGCATGAAAAACTGTTTACCTTCACACATTTTTTTAAAAAACTATAACAAGAGGACTTCTGCTTCAGATTACAATGGTGTAACTAAGACTATTTACTCTCCTGCCTTAAATGCCCAGAAGAGATAAATATGCTAAAGGTTTCAGACACTAGGGAACAGGTAGCAGAGAAATGTGATCCCTGATAAATGAGAAACAAACTAGAAGAGCTTTACTGCCCAGCTTATCGCATGGAAGTATTAAATAGTTTCTAGGCTGTAGTACAAATGACCCAAATAGAGCCTGGGTTGAGGGAGATAAAGATGAGAGTTCAGGGAGGCCAAGGAAGCTCTGATTTCTAGAGCACAATACCAGAAAGGAAGGAGTTACAAAGGGAAAGGCAGCATGAGCTCTGCTAATCTGCAGAGGCTATCCCTGAGTCTTTGGCTGGATAATGATCCTCAATCGTGTTAGGAGGAAAAACTACCTGAGACCAGGAAAAGGACCATGGAAAGCAGTAAGACAAAAAATTCCCTCAACACAAACAGGGCGGTTAATTACTCATTCCTACTAGACATAGTAGAAAGCCCTTATAATATACAACCTGGACAAAAATTACTCAATAGAAACAGACCCAAAAATGACATAAGTGATAGAATTAGGGTAGACATTAAAAGAGCTGTTACAAAAAACACTATGCTACATAGACTCAAGAAGTTAGAATAAATCAGGAATGCAGTGCTAGAAATGAAAAATATAAAATATAAAAAAAGATATAAAAATATAAAAAAAGAACACAAATAGAATTACTAAATATAAGAAATACAATAGAAATGGAAAATAAACTGATGGAATTAAAAGCAGATTATACACTGCAAGAGAAAAGTATCAGTGAACTTGAAGACACAGCAATAGAAACTATCAAAATAAAATGAGAGAGAAAAAAGGGCAAGAAAAAAATAGTAAGACAGCAGCTGTGATCTATAAGACAGTATCAAGTAGTCAAAAATACTTGTAATTGGAGCCCCAGAAAACAACAAGGCAGATGGAGAGAATAGATTAAAAAAAAAAGTATTCAAAATAATAATGGCCAATTTTTTTCCAAATCTGATTAAAATAACCTTAGAGATCCAAGAATCTCAATAAACCTCAAGCAGAAAAAAGATAAACCATTTCAAGGCATATTATTATTCATTTGGATAAAAATTAGTGAAAAACAGAAAAATCTTAAAAGCAGTGCAAAAACAGAGGAACAAGGATTGATAGAACACTTTTCATCAGAATCTGCAATCCGGAAGATAATGGAGTGACATCTTTTAAACATTAAATGAAAATCACTGTAAACCTAAAATTATATTCCAAGCAAAATTATCTTTTAAAAATGAGGGAAAAATAAAGACTTTTTCAGACCAAAAAATTCACTATAAAATTCACTATAAAGAGAACTATACATCAAGAAATATTAAAAAGAGTTCTTCCAGAAGAAAAATGATACCAGATGAAAATATGGATAGACATCCAACAAATGAAAAGTGACAGAAATGGTTATTATGTGTGTAAAAGAAATTTGTCATTATTAATTCGAGATACACTAGAGTAAAAATATCAAGAACATATTATGGAGCTTATAACATATAAAAACAAAACATAAGACAACAAAACTTAAAAGACTGGAGGAAATGGGCATGGAAGTATAGTGCTGTAAAGCTTTTACACATTAGTATAATTTTATTGGATGTAGATAAACCAATAGTAAAGATAAAATCATAATACTTGATTAATCTCAAGGAAAGCAGACATAAAGAATAGAAGAGGAAAACTATCAAGATGGTAGCTTTAAACCCCACCATATCAATAATTACAGTAAGTGTAAATGCTCTAAGCACTCCCATTGAAACAGTTTGTCAAATTGGATTCAAAACAACCAATATAAAAGCAAACAAGGAAACAAAAAACAACAACAGAAAGACAACTAGGACATTTATTTAAAAATAAATAAATAAATAAACTTTTTCTTTAAGGGTGTTGCTCTATTGCCCAGGCTGGAATGCAGTGGTACAATCATAGCTCACTGGAGCCTGAAACTCCTGGGCTCAAGTGATCCTCCCGCCTCATATTCTCAAAGCACGGAGATTTACAAGTGTGAGCCACCATGGCCAGCCAAGAAACTCACTTTAAATATGAAGTCCCAGGAAGACTAAAAATGGAAAGGAAAAATATATGCCTTACAAACACTAGGACCAAAGAAAAGCACAAATGGCTACACTATTCTCAGACACAAAAGCCTGCAGAACAAGGAAGATGACCAGAGTTAGGAAGAGACATATTTCATAACAACATCGTCTACTGGCAAGGCTGTGGGGAAGCAGACACTCTTACATACTGCTAGTGAGAATGCAAAGTGGTGTAACCATTATGGATAGGAACACAGTAATACCTAGCAAAATTGTACATGCATTTACTCTTCTATTTCTAAGAACTGCTCCCAAAGATAACTGTCAAAAAACACAAAAGGCGCAAATACAAAGCTATTCACTGAAAGACTGTAATACTGAAAACAACCCAATGTCCATAAATAATGAACTGGTTAAATAAATTATGATACAGCCACACAATAAATGGGGATCTCTCTATATTTATATGAGATAATTGCCAGTGCATGCCATTAGAGAGAAAAAAGGTGAAGAAAAGTGTATATAGTTTATCTTATTCATTTTATCAAATGTGCATACATATGCAGACAGGTATGTGCACGGAAGGGGGCTTTTTTTTTTTTTTTTAAGTTTATCTACAGGGAAGAAAGGAATAGGTTAGAGGATTGAGGATTGGACTTCCTGAAATTTATCTTGCTTCCTTTAGATATGTTTAAAGCCATTTAACATTTCATATAATTAAAAAACAAAATTAAATTTTAAAAGAGCGACCTCTCAAAAAGAATGAAACAAATGAACAAGGGTATGTATCCATGTGCTAGCATAACCACCCAAAGAATTATTATTCCAAATAACTTTAAAATGGGAATTTGACTGCAGATCTCTAATATGATACATGCTAAATAAAAAAAAGAACTAGCTAAAAAAGTAAAAGACTACTTTTAGGAATCATATTGGTGGTGCTACTGCTATCATGAGACTGCTATGGATGTATTATGAGATAAAGCAATTGAGTTATTATGTAATATTATAGTGTTGTTATCCTGTGCCATGAGGGAAAAAAGAGATATAAATGTAAAATTGAAGTTCAGTAAAAACCATGTAATCCTGAATTTGAACTGTAAGTATCCGTATAAACAAACATGAATTTCATCTTTCAAAAAAGCTATGTCTACTGAATTATCATAGAGTCATGACTTATACATTAGCAATTAGTACCCACAGGACTCATGTTGTAATTTCTTAATACCATTCCCATTAAAAGGAACCAGAGCCCCTCGGAGAATTGGCCAATTCCAGGTCTGGGGCAGAACAAGTGCAAGATAGTCCTGGAATATCCTGTCATACAAGATAGCAAAGAAATTACAGAGATTATTGGGATTGTTTCAAAGGACTCAGGGACTAACTTGAAGAGGCTTCCAAGATTATACACGGGATAATCTGGGCATCAATGCATGTGATCACCATAACTGACTGAAACACAAATATGCGTAAACCCGTTATGATTTTTTTAAAAACGACACTCAACTGGTCACCTTTGGAGGACACTAGTCCTCTTTATTTTGAATACTACTAAATAACATTCAAAAAATCAAGCATTTATTCTGCCTTTCCTAAACAAATATAACACTGGGAAACCAAAGAATCGATAAGAATTTGCTTTTTACAAAAGTATTCAGCTAGGAAATGAAGAAGAATGACAATAAGAATATCAAGACTGACTACTAATATCAACAGCTGCAAACATCATAAATAGAGAGATGGCCAGCTATTATGAGCCTCCTGACAGGAAAGCATACAAATCTTATAAAATAGTCCTGTAAAAATAAAAAAGTTGAACCAGAATCCAATGAGGTCTCTGGATTCAGCCATCATTTTAGAGAAAATAAAGAAATATGGCCAGGCACAGTGGCTCACACCTGTAATCCCAGAACTGTGGGAGGCTGAGGTGGACAGATTGCTGGAGCCCAAGAGTTCGAGACCGACTGGGCAACAAGGTGAAACTCTGTCTCTACAAAACAACATAAAAATTAGCCAGGCATGGTGACATGCGCCTGTAGTCCCAGCTACTTAGGAGGCTAGGTGGGAGGATTGCTTGAACCAGGAGGTCGAGGCTGCAGTGAGCTGTGATCGCACCACTGCACTCTAGCCTGGGCAACAGAGCAAGACCCTGTTAAAAAAATCAAAACAAACAACAACAAAGAAGAACCTATCAAATTATGTCTAAGGGATAAAATTAGCAAAAATCAGTCTATGGGAAACTCTTCAAGAGAAACAACCTGATTCCTGCTGCAAGCAGAGTGAGAGCTAGAGAGAAAGCCCACAAGAAACAAGATACTTAAAAGACACAGCAACCAATCACAATGTATAAATCTTACTTGCATCCTGAATCAAACAAACAATTTTTGAGGAGGAAGGGTGGCTTGAGCCCAGGAATTTGAGACCAGTCTGGGCAACATAATGAGAGACTCCATCTCTACAAAAAGTTTAAAAAAAAAAAATTAGCTGGATGTGGTGTCTGTGGTTCCAACTACTGAGAGGCTGAGGTGGGATGGTCACTTGAGCCCAGAAGTTCAAGGCCGCAGTGAGCTACGATCTGACTACTGCACTCCAGTCTGGGCAACAGACCAAGACCCTGACACAAACAACAACAACAAAAACACATTTTTTGAGAAAACCAATTGGACATTAAGTTATTAGTGTTAACTGTGTTTGGGATAAAGATATACAGATGAAACGACAGTATCTGGGATTTGCCTTCAAATATAAGAGGAGCAAGGGAGTGTGTGGAGGCACAGAAAAAATAAAGCTGGCTGTAAGTTTATTCATTGTTAAAGCTGGTTGGTGAATACCTGGGGATTTGTATTCTCCCTACTTCTGTATATGTTTGAAAATTTCAATAATATAACGTGGAAAAAAATTAGTATAACTAAAACACTAATCTTTTAGTCTATGGTCTGTGGTTTCTTTGTGAAATAAAAGATTATTATTCTGTGGTTACTTCAGTAACTAAACTTCATAGATAAGACCTATCTTCTCATAAATCAGATTTGATAACACAAACACCTATAATCTTTCCCCAATAATCAAGAGAAAAATTATTGTTCACACTAGCAGCAACTTTAGCTGAGATTTTTAAAGATAGTTATGTGAAACCTTTAGCTCATCCAATATTTTACATACTCAGTTATTTTAAAAGAAAACAAACTGAAACAATGAACATAAAGAAAAAATTTTAAGAATTCTGCAGTACTAAGTCAATGAAAATAAATAACCACCTATGCTGACTGCTTTTCCTATTAAAAAGAATTTCTTATTCCCTCATTAAATTGACTTTCTACCTTCAAGTTCAAGTTTTTTCCTTGATAACAATCATACCAATATAGAAAATGAAAAATACATTCAAACTGAAAAATACATGAAACCCTAAAGAAAAAACTCAGCATCTCACTACCCTGAAACAATACTGTCAACATTTTGGTGAACACTCCTAAAATTTCTCTAGACATATTATTATACAGACATTAATAAGTAAGGATATAAAATACACAGTATTTGGAAACATTTTTTTCAACCAACAATGTGTGTAGAACCTCATTTGTCAAATATTGCTAAGCACTATTCTTTTTAACAGTCACATAGCTCTCAGTGTATGTATAGTGTATGGCTATACCAAAACTAATCTCATACTGATAAGCATTTTAGATTTAAAAATTTTTAAAAACACCTTAACAACAATACCATGAATATCCCTGTGCTGGCTGTTTACATACTCTCTCTGAGCTTTAAACCTATCCTTTCATAATCTGCTCAGAGATCCTGAAGCTGTAAATCTGCAAAGAGCTGGTTTCCTATTAATTTCTTCCACTGCAAGACACTAGAGCTTCTTAAGGCGTTCTGAGCAGTAGTTTCACTGCTCCCCAGCAACAGCCAGGCCATGCCATACTTTGGCAGTCTGTTGGGTGATACTGACAGGGCTCCTCCACCTCTTAACATTACTTCTTCCCAATTATCCCACCAGCTCTAGAGGTAGTAGCTGCTTCCACCAATTTGTATCCCTGAATTACCAATGCAACATTTTTCTCTTTTGTCCTTTAAACATCTGTATTAATTTGTTTAAAATACAGTCATACATCACTTAACAATAGGGATACATTCTGAGAAATGCATCACTGGATGATTTCATTGTTGTGAGAACATCATAGAGTAAACTTACATAAACCTAGATGGTATAGCCTACTCATACCTATATGGTATGACCTATTGCTCCTAGACTACAAACTTGTACTACATGTTACTGTACTGAATGCTATATGCAATTATAACACAGTGGTAAATATCTGTATATCTAAACATAGAAAAGGTACTGAAAAAATATGGTGTAAAAGATAAAAGTTGCTCTCTCTCCCTCTCCATCGTCTCCATCTCCCGCTTTCCACGGTCTCCCTCTGTTGCCGAGGCTGGACTGTACTGCCGCGATCTCGGCTCACTGCAACCTCCCTGCCTGATTCTCCTGCCTCAGCCTGCCCAGTGCCTGGGATTGCAGGCGTGCGCCGCCACGCCTGACTGGTTTTTGTATTTTTTGGTGGAGACGGGGTTTCGCCGTGTTGGCTGGGCTGGTCTCCAGCTCCTGACCTCAAGTGATCTGCCCGCCTCGGCCTCCCAAGGTGCCGGGATTGCAGACGGAGTCTTGCTCACTCAGTGCTCAATGTTGCCCAGGCTGGAGTGCAGTGGCGTGATCTCGGCTCGCTACAACCTCCACCTCCCAGCCGCCTGCCTTGGCCTCCCAAAGTGCTGAGATTGCAGCCTCTGCCCGGCCGCCACCCCGTCTGGGAGGTGAGGAGCATCTCTGCCTGGCTGCCCATTGTCTGGGATGTGAGGAGCCCCTCTGCCCGGCCACCCAGTCTGGGAAGTGAGGAGCGCCTCTTCCCAGCCGTCATCCCGTCTAGGAAGTGAGGAGTGTCTCTGCCTGGCTGCCCATTGTCTGGGATGTGAGGAGCCCCTCTGCCAGGCCACCCAGTCTGGGAAGTGAGGAGCGCCTCTTCCCGGCCGTCATCCTGTCTAAGAATTGAGGAGCGTCTCTGCCTGGCCGCCCACTATCTGGGACGTGGGGAGCGCCTCTGCCCGGCCGCCCCGTCTGGGATGTGAGGAGCACCTCTGCCCGGCTGCCCCGTCTGGGAGGTGAGGAGCGTCTCTACCCGGCCGCCACCCCATCTGGGAGGTGAGGAGCACCTCTGCCCGGCCGCCACCCCGTCTGGGAAGTGAGGAGCGCCTCTGCCCGGCCACGACCCCGTCTGGAAACTGAGGAGCACCTCTGCCCGGCCGCCCCATCTGAGAAGTGAGGAGCCCCTCCGCCCGGCAGCCGCTCCGTCTGGGAAGTGAGGGGCACCCCCGCCCGGCAGCCACCCCGTCTGGGAGGTGGGGGGAGCCCTCGCCCGGCAGCCGCCCCGTCTGGGAGGTGGGGGGTTCCCCCGCCCGGCAGCCACCCCGTCTGGGAGGTGGGGGGCGCCCCCGCCCGGCAGCCACCCCGTCTGGGAGGTGGGGGTCGCCTCTGCCCGGCTGCCACGTCTGGGAAGTGAGGAGCCCCTCTGCCCAGCCACCACGCCGTCTGGGAGGTGTACCCAACAGCTCATTGAGAACGGGCCATGATGACAATGGTGGTTTTGTCGAATAGAAAAGAGGGAAATGTGGGGAAAAGAAAGAGAGATCAGATTGTTACTGTGTCTGTGTAGAAAGAAGTAGACATAGGAGACTCCATTTTGTTCTGTACTAAGAAAAATTCTTCTGCCTTGGGATGCTGTTAATCTATAACCTTACCCCCAACCCCGTGCTCTCTGAAACATGTGCTGTGTCAACTCAGGGTTAAATGGATTAAGGGCGGTGCAAGATGTGCTTTGTTAAACAGATGCTTGAAGGCAGCATGCTCATTAAGAGTCATCACCACTCCCTAATCTCAAGTACCCAGGGACACAAACACTGCGGAAGGCCGCAGGGTCCTCTGCCTAGGAAAACCAGAGACCTTTGTTCACATGTTTATCTGCTGACCTTCTCTCCACTATTGTCCTATGACCCTGCCAAATCCCCCTCTCCAAGAAACACCCAAGAATGATCAATAAATACTAAAAAAATTTTAAAAAAAAATAATAAAATAAATAAATAAATAAAAATAAAAAATAAAGATAAAAGTTGTACCCCTGTGCAGTGCAGCTCCATCATAATCTTAAGAGACTACCATATACATCTGGTCTATCGTTAACCAACGCACCATTATGCAGTACATGACTTTATACCTAGTATAGTTTGTTTCTCTGACTGAACCCTGAACTATATGACAGATTATGTGCACATCTTTTCTAATTATCTCTGGGATAAGTTCCTGAAAGTGCAGAGCCAAAAACTATACACATTTTAAGTTTGCATATATTACCACGTTACCAACCTAGAAGCATAGCATCATTTTATACTCCCACCAAGACAGCATTGTTGGAATGCTAACTAATACTGGTTGCATCACATAATTGCTTATATTTGTATTTCCTTGATTACATAAGCATCTTTTCATGATTTGGAAGGCTGACAGGACTTCCTGCTTATAAATTTCCTGTTCATTCTCTTTGCTAGTATTCTACTATGAGATTTATATTTGTTATTCCTTCATTAAGAATCTTTAATACATTGCAGCCAGGCACAGTGGCTCACACCTGTAATTCCAACACTTTGGGAGGCCAAGGCGGACAGATTACTTAAGGCCAGGAGACAGAGACCAGCCCCGCCCACATGGCAAAATCCAGTCTCTACTAAAAACACAAACAAAAAAAAATTGCCAGGGGTGGTGGCACACGCCTGTAATCCCAGCTATTTGGGTGGCTGAGACACAAAAACTGCTAGAACCTGGGAGGCAGAGGTTGCAGTGAGCCAAGAGATCAAGCCACTACACTACAGCCTGGGAGACAGAGTGAAACCCTGTCTCAAACAAAAAAAAAAGGGGGGGGGGTCTTTATACATTGCAGGTATTAACCTTTTCTAACTAATATATACTGAAAATAGTTTTCCAGCATATCATTTGTGTTTCCAACTTATTTCATGATTTTGGCTTTTATCTAAATAGTGGTTCCTCACCCCCACTAAAATAAAAGGGCAGAGAGACTTAGCCTGTCCTCTTTATTACAATGTCCTCGACACCTAGAACTGTACTGTACACCTAGAACCATACCATACATGGTGGGGCAGGGAGTGGGGGGTAACACATAGATTTTTTTGCAACAAATGAATTTTTTAAAAATAATACAATCCAGGCCAGGCATGGTGGCTCATGCCTGTAATCCCAACACTTTGGGAGGCCAAGCTAGGCAGATCACCTGAGCCCAGGAGATCAAGACCAGCGTGGGCAACATGGCAAAACCCTGTCTCTACAAAAAATACAAAATTTAGACAAGCATGGTGGCATATGCCTGTAGACACAACAACTTGGGAGGCTGAGGTGGGGGGACTGATTGAGCCCAGGAAGTTGAGGCTGCAGTGGGCCATGATTGAGCCACTGCACTCCAGTCTAGGTAACAGAGCAAGACCCTATCTCAACAAAATAATAATAGTAATAATAACAATAATCCAACCCATCAATATTTCATTCATGACTTGGTATAAGTGTCCCTTCCTCTACAAACAAGGAAGTTATAAAAATATACTGGTTACTAGTATTTTAATTCATGTTATATACTTAAACCAAATCCATGTTATACACTTAATGCAATAATTTGTCTTTGATTCTTCTGGAATATATGTAAAATCAAAGTAAGCAGTCTATTTTCCTTTCAAAACTGCTTGCTAATTATTTACTAGGTAACGTACCTTTTCCTGACCAATGTATTTGTTAAGTATTATATCCCCCCATCCACCATTATTACAGCATTGCAAATTTCTTGTATACTTTACTTCTAGGTCTTCTGATGTTTACTCCCATAATAATGTAAATGATTGTTGGTTATATACAGAAAACTTTGGATTTTTACATACTCATTTTGGCTACCCCATTTTGAGTAGTTTTTCGGTTGATTCTCCTGGATTTTCCAAGAAAAATGAAAGCTTCTTCCTTTCCCACACTTGTATTTCTTATTTTATATTCTTACATAATTACACTAGCTAATGCTTCCAAAACAATGTTAAACAATAGCAGAGATAGTGTGGTATCTCACCTTGTTCCTGCTTTTATTGGGAATGCTACTGGTGTTTTACATGATGCTGCCTATTGGTTTGAGAGATATTAATTATGTTATGAAGGTACGGATTCCTATCTTATTAGATTTAATTAGAAACAGACTGATTTTTTTGGCCAGGCGTGGTGGCTCACACCTCTAATCCCAGTACCTTGGGAGGCCGAGGCAGGCGGATCACAAGGTCAGGAGATCGAGAGCATCCTGGCTAACACAGCGAAACCCCGTCTCTATTAAAAATACAAAAAATTAGCCGGGCATGGTGGCGGGCGCCTGTAGTCCCAGCTACTCGGGAGGCTGAGGCAGGAGAATGGTGTGAACCCGGGAGGCGGAGCTTGCAGTGAGCCGAGATCATGCCACTGCCCTCCAGCCTGGGCGACAGAGCGAGACTCCGTCTCAAAAAAAAAAAAATTCAGAAGCCCTTTCAGCATCTATCAAAAATGATCTATTGTATACCCTTTTCCCTACTTATATAATAAATTGTAAACATAAATAGTAGGCTTACTAATATTGTACCAACGCTCTCTGTATACTCCTAAAATTAACCATGTTTGGCCATAATATATTCTCGCTTTATTATTTAAATTCTCTTTTTGCTACTATCTTGCTTATACAAAAATCACATATTAGTAAGATTTGTCTTAGCGTTTTTTTTTGGGGGGGTGGGTGGGGAGGATATCTTTTACTAGGTTTTAGTATTCATGTTAGTTATCCTGGCTGTAAAGAAAATGAGTGCTTTCTTTTCTATACTCTGAACAATTAAAAGAATTAGAATTCCTGGTTTCTTATAGATTTGAAATATCTCCCTCAAGACACAACTTACATTGGTGCTTTTTTTTTTTTTTTAATTTATTGATTTATTTATTTTTTTTTTTTTTTATTGATCATTCTTGGGTGTTTCTCGCAGAGGGGGATTTGGCAGGGTCATAGGACAATAGTGGAGGGAAGGTCAGCAGATAAACAAGTGAACAAAGGTCTCTGGTTTTCCTAGGCAGAGGACCCTGCGGCCTTCCGCAGTGTTTGTGTCCCTGGGTACTTGAGATTAGGGAGTGGTGATGACTCTTAACGAGCATGCTGCCTTCAAGCATCTGTTTAACAAAGCACATCTTGCACCGCCCTTAATCCATGTAACCCTGAGTGGACACAGCACATGTTTCAGAGAGCACAGGGTTGGGGGTAAGGTCACAGATCAACAGGATCCCAAGGCAGAAGAATTTTTCTTAGTACAGAACAAAATGAAAAGTCTCCCATGTCTACTTCTTTCTACACAGACACGGCAACCATCCGATTTCTCAATCTTTTCCCCACCTTTCCCCCCTTTCTATTCCACAAAACCGCCATTGTCATCATGGCCCGTTCTCAATGAGCTGTTGGGTACACCTCCCAGATGGGGTGGTGGCCTGGCAGAGGGGCTCCTCACTTCCCAGTAGGGGCGGCCGGGCAGAGGCGCCCCTCACCTCCCGGACGGGGCGGCTGGCCGGGCGGGGGGCTGACCCCCCCACCTCCCTCCCGGACGAGGCGGCTGGCCGGGCGGGGGGCTGACCCCCCCACCTCCCTCCCGGACGGGGCAGCTGGCCGGGCGGGGGACTGACCCCCCCACCTCCCTCCCGGACGGGGTGGCTGGCCGGGCAAAAGGGCTCCTCACTTCCCAGTAGGGGCGGCCAGGCAAAGGCACCCCTCACCTCCCGGACGGGGCGGCTGGCCGGGCGGGGGGCTGACCCCCCAACCTCCCTCCCAGACAGGGCGGCTGGCCGGGCAGGGGGCTGACCCCCCCACCTCCCTCCCGGACGGGGCGGCTGGCCGGGCAGAGGGGCCCCTCACTTCCCAGTAGGGGCGGCTGGGCAAAAGCGCCCCTCACCTCCCAAACGGGGCAGCTGGCCGGGCGGGGGGCTGACCCCCCCCACCTCCCTCCCAAACGGGGCGGCTGGCCGGGCGGGGGGCTGACCCCCCCACCTCCCTCCCGGATGGGGCGGCTGGCCTGGCGGGGGCTGACCCCCACCTCCCTCCCAGATGGGGTGGCTGCCGGGTGGAGACACTCCTCACTTCCCAGACGGGGTGGCTGCTGGGCGGAGGCGCTCCTCACTTCTCAGACGGGGCGGCTGCCGGGCGGAGGGGCTCCTCACTTCTCAGATGGGGCGGTTGCCAGGCAGAGGGTCTCCTCACTTCTCAAACGGGGTGGCTGGGCAGAGACACTCCTCACCTCCCAGACGGGGTCGCAGCCGGGCAGGGGCGCTCCTCACATCCCAGATGGGGCGGCAGGGCAGAGGCGCTCCCCACATCTCAGAGGATGGGAGGCCAGGCAGAGACACTCCTCACTTCCTAGATGGGATGGCGGCCGGGAAGAGGCGCTCCTCACTTCCTAGATGGGATGGCACGCCGGGCAGAGACGCTCCTCACTATCCAGACTGGGCAGCCAGGCAGAGGGGCTCCTCACGTCCCAGACGATGGGCGGCCAGGCAGAGACGCTCCTCACTTCCCAGACGGGGTGGTGGCCGGGCAGAGGCTGCAACTCTCGGCACTTTGGGAGGCCAAGGCAGGCGGCTGGGAGGTGGAGGTTGTAGCGAGCCAAGATCACGCCACTGCATTCCAGCCTGGGCACCATTGAGCACTGAGTGAACCAGACTCTGTCTGCAATCCCGGCACCTCGGGAGGCCGAGGCTGGCGGATCACTCGCGGTTAGGAGCTGGAGACCAGCCCGGCCAACACAGCAAAACCCCGTCTCCACCAAAAAAATACGAAAACCAGTCAGGCGTGGCGGCGCGCACCTGCAATCGCAGGCACTCGGCAGGCTGAGGCAGGAGAATCAGGCAGGGAGGTTGCAGTGAGCCGAGATGGCAGCAGTACAGTCCAGCTTTGGCTCAGCATCAGAGGGAGACCGTGGAAAGAGAGGGAGAGGGAGACCGTGGGGAGAGGGAGAGGGATAGGGAGAGGGAGAGGGAGAGCTACACTGGTGGTTTTATTAGCGAATAATGTTTCAATTTTTTTATAACTAGAGTCTGTTAGGTTTTTGTCTTTCCTCATCTTGAACTTATTTACATCATTCTTAAAAATCCAGGTTTTCAAATACATTTACATAGCCATATCTAAAAGTTAAATAATTAAACTAAAATGATAGGCAAAGACAAATCAGAGATATACAAACAAAAAGGAAACAAAATCTAGATTTAGAGGGCATAAGCAAAACTGAGTTCCAGACGGAAAAGCATAAAACTATGTAGACAGGGTAACCTCATGATAAAAAAGGGGTGGTACATTTACTGAGTCCTGTATACTTAAGAATATCCTTCATTTGCCCCTACTTAAAAGTAGCTAGGGCTGCCTAGGAAATTCTTTAGTTATACTGTTTTTTCCATCAGAACTCTCCAGCTGTTGAATCATTAACTTCAGAAATTGTGTGTGGTTTGAAAAGAAGTCAGCCAGCTTCATTATTTTCCACTGCGCTGACCTAACTATGTTGCAGGAAGTCAGGGACCCCAAACAGAGGGACCAGCTGAAGCCATGGCAGAAGAACATGGATTGTAAAGGTTTCATGGACATTTATTAGTTCCCCAAATTAATACTCTTGTAATTTCTTATGCCTGTCTTTACTGCAATCTCTAAACATAAAATTTGTAAAGATTTCATGGACACTTATCACTTCCCCAATCAATACTCTTGTGATTTCCTATGCCTGTCTTTACTTTAATCTCTTAATCCTGTCAGCTGAGGAGGATGTATATCGCCTCAGGACCATGTGATAATTGTGTTAACTACACAAATTATATAGCATGTGTGTTTGAGCAATATGAAATGTGGGCACCTTGAAAAAAGAGCAGGATAACAACAATCGTTCAGGGAATAAGAGAGATAACCTTAAACTCTGACCGCCGGTGAGCCAGGCATAACAGAGCCGTATTTCTCTTCTTTCAAAAGCAAATGGGAGAAATATCGCTGAATTCTTTTTCTCAGCATGGAACATCCCTGAGAAAGAGAATACGCACCTGGAGGTATAGGCTTATAAACAGCCCCCCCAGGTGCGCCTGTCTCTTATGGTTGAGGCTGCAGAGCTAAAACAGACTCCAGTCTCCCATAGCGCTCCTAGGCTTATTAGGAAGAGGAAATTCCTGCCTAATAAATTTTGGTCAGACCGGTTGATCTCAAAACCCTGTCTCCTGATAAGATGTTATCAATGACAATGGTGCCCAAAACTTCATTAGCAATTTTAATTTCGCCTCAGTCCTGTGGTCCTGTGAGGCTTATTAGGAAGAGGAAATTCCCGCCTAATAAATTTTGGTCAGACCGGTTGATCTCAAAACGCTGTCTCCTGATTAGATGTTATCAGTGACAATGGTGCCCGAAACTTCATTAGCAATTTTAATTTTGCCTCTGTCCTGTGGTCCTGTGATCTCATCCTGCCTCCACTTGCCTTGTGATATTCTATTACCCTGTTAAGTACTTGATGTCTGTCACCCACACCTATTCACACACTCCCTCCCCTTTTGAAAATCTCTAATAAAAACTTGCTGGTTTTTGTGGCTTGTGGGGCATCACGGATCCTACCAATTTGTGATGTCTCCCCTGGATGCCCAGCTTTAAAATTTCTCTCTTTTGTACTCTGTCCCTTTATTTCTCAAGCCGGCCGCCGCTTAGGAAAAATAGAAAAGAACCTACATGATTATCGGGGCAGGTTCCCCGATATAACTAGTTTTTCTTGATATTTGTGAAATCACTTTTGCAATCCCTGAAAATTTAGCAAACTGCACCAGTATATTTTCCAAAAATGAGTCTTCACCTCCAGATTCATATTTTAAATCATTCAGAACAAATTTATTATTATTTTCTTGAATATTTTCCATTTCCCATTATTCTACTGTCTTCTCCAAAGATGTCAATTATGGTTTTTCACTATCTGCAATTCATTCCCTTTAACTCCATTTTTTCTCTCCAATTTCTCTATATTCTATGCAGATTTCCTCAAGCCAAATCTCTAGCTTACTGATTCCATCTTCCACATTGTTTATTCTGCTCCTTGCTACTTATATTAAATTATATTCTATAGTCAATATCCTTAGCTCTTTTTCATGTATTACTTCATTTTTGTTATCTTTTTTCTCTCATGTCATTTGCTGTTTACCTTCCTTGGCAGCTTAAATAACTAAGACAGTTATTTAAGTATTGCTTATCAGTTACTTTGGAATGCTAAGATATTTACATAGGTTTTGTGTTTGTTAACTTGCTTATCTGTATTCTGTTAATTCATCTTTGAATAAGAAAAATTCTCTCTGGCTTTGCTATTTAAACAAAAGTATAGTTAGCATCTCCCGGATGACTGAACACTTCTTTAAAAAATTAACATCAAAGCTCCCAACTCAGGCTACAGTTGCTTCATCACCTGGCTAAGTAGCATAGGAATGAGAGTTAGGACTAAAGGTAGTAAGTCCTTTTTCTCTGTGTAATTTATCTCCAAATTTGTTAAAACTCTTACAAGGATAAGAACCAGTCACTTGAGCTATGGGTACATCACATGTTATGACAGGATCCTCAGTTTTGGCACATCTAACTACTTTTAGGGGAGTCAGACTCCTGAGAGACAAGCTGAGACACAATGGAACTCATATAACTCATCGTTATGGAACCCCATAACTCATCTTCATTTTTTGTTTAATGGGTTAAGCGTATAATTTTCTTCTGTTCCCGTAAAGTTGGTAAAAAGATATTTCCTTCATGATTTTCCTTAGTCTTACCTCATCACTAAACTTTGCTCTTCCTGGTAAACAGGTTGACCTAAAGAAAAATACTATGACCACAAAGCCTCTCCTTTAGTCCTAGTACAGCTAAAATCAGGTTTTCTTTCTTTCTCTTAAAGTGTGTCCATATAGCAATATCCTCCCTCTAAATTAGCAAATAATAGGACACTTACAGTACACTGCCAATACATATCCCTTGTCAGTGCTCTCACTTTCAATAGAGTCTTAAGGGCACATCTGGTGCCAATTCTGTCCAGTTGGTGGTAGCTTTACTTAAATACATTTTTCTTTAGGTTCTTTTTAATTATTTTGATGAATTCAAGGGAAGACAGTTTAATCAACATTCTCTTAACTATATTATTTTTCCTCAAAATCAACTCACCCAATTTAATAATTTAAAAAATTAAATCTACATACATAGTTTATCTCCTGGAAGAAATTATTATGAGTTATTTCATCAACAACAGTGTGTGCACACTGCAGGAATTCAGTATCAGCTGAGTTAATTCTCCTCATGAGAAGTATCTGAAATATATTCAGTATATAAATCAAATATTTTAAATACTTCAGTTCCATATTAAAGCAATACATTTTAAAATGCTCCATGTACATTTTAAAATGTCCACCTTTTGACCCTGTTCTTGTGGTTCTACAAATATATCAAACCATGTTTCTTTAAAATATAAAAGTTACTAGGGAAAAACAATCTAGAATGAAAATAATAAAACCTCCAGGGAATAAGCCAAATTTGAACTTTGTCAATGCTCTAATTAGAAAAGAAACTGCTGTAATGGATATCGCACCATAGGCACTGGAGCCAAACAGGCCTAAATTCAAATCCTGGCTCTGTCACTTGCTAGCTGTATGACCTGGGTCCATTTACCACTTGAACATTAGATTCCTCATTTGGAAAACTAGGATAATAACCGCACTTCACTGAATTGTTACAATGTTTAAATGAGACAGTATAGTAAGTGGGCATTCAGCAAATGGTATACTGTTATATACAGTTTATACATAATGAGTGGGTATGTATACGTACTACATATGTGTGTGCGACAAATACACACATACACATACACATACATACAACCAAACTCTCATCTCTGATCTGACTAGGAGAGCCATAGCACCATCCAAAGGGAAGCTTATGCTCTGGGATTACTTAAAAATTAGAAGTCAAGGCCAGGCGCGGTGGTTCATGCCTGTAATCCCAGCACTTTGGGAGGCGGAAGCGGGCAGATCACTTGAGGCCAGGAGTTGGAGCCCAGCCTGGTCAACATGGTGAAGCCCTGTCTCTATTAAAAATACAAAAATTAGCCAGGTGTGGTGGTGCAGGCCTGTAATTCCAGCTACTCAGGAGGCTGAGGCAGGAGAATTGCTTGAACCTGGGAGGCAGAAGCTGCAATGAGCCAAGATTGCGCCACAGCACTCTAACCTGGGTGACAGAGTAAGACTTCAAGTCAGTTCCAAATAATAAGGTTTCTTACTCTTGCCAGAGAGACTGTTATAAAATTTTAGTAGGTTTCTATTACCATTTAAATAATTGCCGGCCAGGCACGCTGGCTCATGTCTGTAATCCCAGCACTTTGGGAGGCTGAGGCGGGCAGGTGATATCACCTGAGGTCAGGAGTTCAAGACCAACCTGGCCAACATGGCAAAACCCTGTCTCTACAAAAAATTAGCCGGGCATGGGGGCGTGTGCCTGTAATCCCAGCTACTCAGGAAGCTGAGGCAGGAGAATCGCTTGAACCTGGGAGGTGAAGGTTGCAGTGAGCTGAGATCACACCACACTACACTCCAGCATGGGCAACAGAGTGAGGCTCCATCTCAAAAAAAAAAAGAAAAAAAGAAAATAATAATAATGCCTTTGTTCTATTTATCAGCAGTTTCTAGAATAAAGTACACATGAACAGAAAGGAATAACAGAAATTATACCTGAAACTCTAATTGCGAGCTAGCTTTACTCCCAGTCTCTTTCTAAGGAAAAGACCCATAGGCAATTCTTCTCCATATAAAAGCATGGTACCCCAATCACAACTAACCAGACTAATGGGTAAGCCAGAAGTGATGAGGTAGAGGTGAAAGCAACCACCTATGACTACGCCAGTATCAGAACCACCTATTCCATCTTCTCTCCAAGAACTAGAAGAAGAGATATACATAGAGAAGTAAGCAGTGCCATGTAAGAAATGAAGATTTATTCTTCTGATTATAAAATCTTGAACTATGATTATCCCAGGATAACAGCTCAATTTGCAATTATGGGAAATACTGGAACACAGACAAAATTGCACTGCTGTTAAGGTAAGTATTCCATGCTTCTCGACTTCCCTGTGTCAATTAAAGCACTGCTTCCGACTTTTTTTTGTTTCAGCCCTAAATCACAGAGGAAACTAAAGAATATTATGGATAGTCCTGATGAAATTCCTTTGAAACTTCCCATCATACCTTAAATTCATATGAATTGTTTATTCTATGCCATAATATACCAGGGACTATCTAACTGATGCATCAGAAAGACATGCCATGTTTATCCCCCACACTCATGCATCTTCTAAAATACCAATCAAAGCTTTCTCCCAGGAAAGGAGAATCTAAACTGAACATTACAGACTTAAGATAACCTAGACAGTTTTTCCTCAAAACTTGAAAGATTCCCAATTATTGCATAAATCAAGAAATAATTATGTTTCTGATGTCCAGAATATTTTTGAAAATAAACTCAACTCACGATCTGATGTGTGGAAAATCCTCTTCAATTTTGCTTCCTGTGTTTTTGAAAATTTGTAGTGCAGCTTCTGCTACTTTTTCATCATCCATTTTCAGACAAGCCAGTAATGATTCAAATGTTTCAGCAGAATGAAATGAGATGGGATGTGTAAATGAGAGTACCTATAAAATGAATCATAAAAATGATTTGTAAAACTTTTTCATCTTTATAATACAAATCCAAAATATTACATATTAGAAATACTATAAATCAAAGTCTATTAAAAAAAATTATGTTGACCAAAATCTGAGAGCACTATAAATAAAATTTAAAACATACTCAACTATGTAACAGAAATGTTCCTCTGTAGGAAGATTGTATGATATAATGAAGTAATTTCTTCCAAAATTAAATTACATGTTAATATAATTTTAATCAAAATAATTTAGATTTTGATTATTGTTCAGGTTTTTTGGTGGGGAATGAGAGGAGAAAAGGGGACATGAAGAGAGAATTTAACAAAACATCTCTCATCTTCTCAATAAACATCATTAGCAGAGACTGAAGAAGAGGAGAATAAACTAGACTGACCAGACAGTAAAAAAGTCTATAAAGTTCCAATGTCCAAATCACAATGGTACGAACATTAGAATAATCATGAAACAGAAAATGTAAGGCAGTTAAGTAGACTCTAGAATATATAAAAAATTAGATTATATAAATTGTAAGAGATTACAAAGAAGTCAACAGAAAATAAATAGTCCTGGGAAAACTGAATAGCTATTGGGAGAAAATCAAATTAGACCCCTTGCCCCCACAACACACTTTCAAAATAAATTTCAGATGGGTTGTGTTTAAGATTTTAAAAAATAAAAACAACAAAAACCCTCTGTATAAGATAGGGTTTTTTAAAGCATAAAATAAACAAAAGGAATCAAATGTGGAATGTAAAAAAAACAGCACACAGCAGAAAAATATACTAAGTATAATGCCACATTTATAAGTTTCTAAAATAATCAAAATAAGCAACATGTTATTTAGAGATACATACATAGATGATAAAACTATAAAGAATATTGAAAGAATAATAAATCCAAAATTCAGGACAATGATACCTGGTAAGGGGATGTAAGCAGGCAAGAAAAAAGACTACTCAGGGAACTTGAACAGTATTTTTAATATTCAATTTAATTTGACACTCTATTTACTTTTCACTTGTATTCACTTGGTTACTACACTTCATAATTTACATATAAGAGAATACATGTTTGTACATATATCAAATATGTCCCAGGAAAAAGCAAAGGAAATAAAAAGCTTATTTAAATCAGTTTAAAAAAAAACAAAAGATAGAGATGTCAGTAGATGTATGAGCAAAGGATAAAAATGACCATAGGGAAAACACAAATGATTAACATATGGACCTCACTAGTATTAAATATGCAAATTAAAACATTATTTTTGCTTATCAGATTCGCAAATCTTTTAAAAATGTATTATATTCCATATTTTGAAGGTTAAAAAGACGGGTACCTTCACATACTACTGATGGGATTATATATCGGTAAAATTTCCCTGTACAGCAATTTAAATATATATTGCTCCAAGAATTTTGAAAGTGGTCACTCTCTTTAACTCAGTAATGCTCTCCCAGTTTTCTAAAAAATAAGATATTACCAAGAGATCTTACATAGAAACATTCACCTTAGTGTTGTTTGTAAGAATAAAAGTAGAAAAATCAAAATATTCAACAATAGGAAAATACTAGTGATACAGAGAAAGGAGAGTCCCAAAGTGAGGATTAGCCCGCAAGGATTCTTGGCTTTGCCAAGGAAAGAATTCAAGGGCAAGCCAGTGATAGGGCAGAAGAAAATAGCTTTACTGAAGCAGCAGTCTTACTGCTCCGGAGGTGTTACATACACCTCTATGACTGCTTCTGCAGAACAGTACTACCCCATAGGTAGGGTGCAGAGAGTTGTAGCTCAGGGCAGTTTTACAGTAATATTTATACCTACTTTTAATTATATACAGACTAAGGGGGCAGTTTATGCAGAAATTCCTAGGGAACGGGGAGTAGCTTTTGGGTCATCAGGTCATTGCCAAGGAAAGGGACAGTAACTCCGGGGTATTGCCATAGCAATGGTAAACTGACAAGGCACATTGGTGGGCATGTCTTCTGGAAAGCTGCTTCTATCTCGCCCTTGTTTTAGCTAGTCCTCAATTTGGTCCTGTATCTGAGCTCCGCCTCTGGAGTCCAGTCCTGCCTCCTACCTCGGTAGGATAGTATGATGCCCCAAATATGGGCTAATCACCATTTCAAAAATGTTTATTATTATTTTTACTATGAGCTAGGCATGGTGCTAAGAAATTCATGTACAAGCTTTAACGTCCTTTGCAAGACAAGTACTTTATTATTATCTCGATTTCATATGAGGAAATGAGGCAAGTAATGTGGTCAAAGGCAGACAGCTACTAGATGACAGCCAAAAACCAGATCTGCTTTAGACACTCTTAAAAAAAAAAACTCTTGAAAAACACCGAGAAAAATGCTTATACTTTAATAAGGGAAAATAGTTAAGGATACAAAATTGTATATTCAGTTTGATCTCAATGATCCCAACTATGCATTTGTTGAAGATTAAAAGGAAACAAAAGAAACTAATGTTTATGTATGATCAACCTATGTTTTTTATAATTTTATATATTCTAAAGTTGTCAATAATGAATTAATATTTTTACAATCAGTAAAAGACAGAATATTTTATGAAACAAAAAAAAATAAGAGTTTTAGAAAGAATTTGGCTCATTCTACAGCAGAGTTGTACCTTCTTTGCTCACTAATGACACCCTGAATTATACTCCACTATTTTAATATAATTAGTACTAGGCTAGATTACAGCATTTAAACCCCAAAATAATCAGATTACATGTAAGAATAAATATACAACTTCTAAATCATCTAAAACAACTGAGAAAATTTTACTTTGGATTATACAAACTTAAGAAGAAAACATCAAGAACAAATAATATAAACTGTATATGTTAAACAGATATCTAATTAGGCACTTAATTTTAAATAGATACTTACCTTAAGCAGTTCAAGACCTGCTCTGATGGCTTGATCAGTTGGAACACCCTCATCTTCATCATCTGCTGTTCCATCTATTGATTTGTTCACTTGTTTAATAAGAGCACTAAAATATGACCAAAAAAGTCATTTTTTCAAATGTTACTAGCAATGTCTAAGAAAAATAATCCTGTGTTACATATATGTGCACATACATATATACATATCCGAACCAAATACAAATTTGATATAGCTGGTTTTTAACACTACTGCAAAACAACTATAGTATTTTCAGATGCTTCTTTTCAAAAACAATTCTTTTCCCTTGCCCATTCAAATGAGGTCAAAATGTTATTCAATTTGCTCTTTATTAATGCTATCAATATCTTTATCATCTTTTCCATGGCAGGTCTGAGCCCAAACACATAAATGACAAATTATTTTTAATTATCTAAAACTGATCACTAGTCCAGTAAGTAGAACAATATACACAGAAATAAAAAATGATAAAGGAAACATTAAGCACTTCCAAACCATTTACCAAATATTACTGTGTGTCACGCACAGCTGTCAAAGTCAGAAATATACCTAGGCCTCCTCCTAAAAGGTGTAAGAATCCTAGGTAACAGACATACAATAAAACCTCATTAGAACATCAGAAAAGGAACTACAATAGATCAAAAGGAAACATGATGTTTTCAAGCTTTCTTCTAATAAAAACAAGCTTATGTTATTTTATTTATTTATTTATTTATTTATTTATTTATTTATTTATTTATTTTTGAGACGAAGTTTCACTTTGTCACCCAGGCTGGAGTGCAGTGGCGTGATCTCGGTTCACTGCAACCTCCGCCTCCTGGGTTCAAACAATTCTCCTGCCTCAGCCTCCCAAGTAGCTGGGATTACAGGTGCGCGCCAACAAACCCAGCTAATTTTTGTATTTTTAGTAGAGACGGGGTTTCACCATGTTGGTCAGGCTGGTCTCAAACTCCTGACCTGAAGTGATCTGCCCGCCTTTGCCTCTCAAAGTGCTGGGATTACAGATGTGAGCCACCACGCCCGGCCAAGCTTGTTATTTTAAAATAAACATCTGTACCCAGGCACAGTGGCTCACTCCTGTAAACACAGCCACTTAGGAGGCTGAAAAAGGAGGGTCACTTGAGGCCAGGAGTTCAAGACCAGCCTGAGCAACATAACGAGACCCTGTCTCTACATAAAATTTAAAAAATTAGCCTGGCATGGTAGTGTGTGCCTGTTGTCCCAGCTATTTGGGAGGATCACTTAAGCACAGTAGCTTAAGGTTACAGTGAGCTATGATGCACCACTGCACTCCAGCCTGGGTGGCAGAGTGAGACCCTATCTCTAAAAATATAAATAAACATTTGTAATGCATTGACAATTATCTAAAATAATCATTTATACTGATGGGTATGTATTTGTCCTTTTTATAAAAAACACCACCAGAGACAGAAAACATACCAAAATACAAGAAAATTCAATTATTCAATGTTCCTTAAAATGTTTAGTAAATATGCTTCTACGAAAATATTATATATTCAAATTTAAGGTCAAGTTAGGAGTTAAATATATCTGTCCCCATTATAGGGTCCCCTTAAATTGATCATCTCTTTAACAGTTGGTATTTCTGAGGGTGTTTTCTCTTTTTCTGCTCATTTTCCCTAATCAGCTTATTCTCTTATCTCCAACTATTCCAAATACAAATCTTCAATCTGAATCCTTTCCATATTTTCAGTAGCCCCAAGATTTTTTAACCTAGATATACGCAGGAATGAAAACTATCACATTTCCAAAAGTAAACTCATTTTCTTCCACGACTGAGAGTATGAAGCTCTCAGTGAAGTGAAGCAAGTAAAAAATAAGTTAACAAACACATTAAAAAGATCATCAGAGAACAAGATGGACTACAAAAAAAGGCCACAACAAGAAGAAAAGTTCCATAGCCAGGGTAATTAGGAAAGGGATTTCTGAGGAAGGACAACTGAACTACTAACAGCCAGGTATACGAAAATCTATGGGAAAGCACCTACCTGAAAGATCAAAGAAAATCAACTGAAAAACTATTTTAAAATACTAAGAATTCAGTGGAGTAAAACAAAACACTCAAAAATCAATAGCACTTTTCTGTATCAGCAAAAACTACCTAAAAAAACAGAGAGGGGAAATCTATTCACAATAACAAGTCAAAATATAAAAACATAACTAAAAAGTTGTAATGTACAGAATCTCTATGTCATTTGGTATGGGACAAGATTCCACAGGTACATACTAAGTCTCATATGGAAGAATTAATTAGTGCTTAGGAACAGCCAATAAATTTTACGGAAGGAGGGATGAAAGAACTTCCTCTAATGTATCACAACCTCAGAAGACTAAAGAACCAAAGGGAATCCAGCAAGGATCCAAACCATGTAAGAATTTACGCTATAATAAAGGAACACCTCAAATCAAATGAGAATCAATTTTTCTGTAAATGGAGTTCATACAACTATCTACCATGTGCCTTTGAAAAAGACTGGGTCATCTCTTCTCAGCCTTTTGGCTAGGATCAAGTGTAAAAAGGACTGGGTCAAGGCCGGGGCACAGTGGCTCATGCCTGTAATCCCAGCACTTTGGGAGGCCAAGGCGGGCAGATCACTTGAGGCCAGGAGTTCAAGACAAGCCTGGGCAACACGGTGAAACCCCATTTCTACTAAAAATACAAAAATTAGCTGGATGTGCTGGCACATGCCTGTAATCCCAGTTACTTGTAAGGCTGAGGCAGGAGAATTGCTTGATCACAGCAGGTGGAGGCTGCAGTGAGCTGAGATCAAGCCACTGCACTCTAGCCTGGGCAACAGAGTGAGACTTACTCAAAAAAAAAAAAAGACTAAGTCTCTATGTCCACCTTACACTAAATTCCAGACTAATTACAGATGTAAATGTAAAAAAGCAGAGCTATTAATATGATACCAAAGGCTGAAATAAACCACAAAGGAAATGACTGACATTTAATTATACAATGTAATATTTATTAATTGCAAAGAGATTTAAAAGGTGATTCAACTGGGTGAACAGCCTTGTTTTATAAAGCATTCTTATAATCAATAAGAAAAAGACAATTTCACTGAGTCCCTATGGAAAAATAAAAAGCATTCTCCAAAGGGATAAAATTAGCCAAGACATAAATGAAAAAAAAAGTTCAACCTTATTAATAATTGCTCAACTTTTCTATTTGAAACACAAAAATTTTTTTTAAAGGGTACATCTCTTCATTCACCTATAAAATGACAAATATTGAAAAGATTAACAGTCACTGTTGGGAAGAGTCAGATGAAATGGACATTCACTGACTACTATAGGGGACTAAAAGTAGAATTTTTCTGTACAGTGTAGTGGTTAACCAAGTGGGCTCTAGAGACAGACTTCCTAGGTTTAAATGCTGTTTTCCACACTCCAGCAGTGAGAAGGTTACTCACCCTATGTGCAATTTACTGCTCTTTATCTGTAAAATGGGAATAATAATAGTTCCTATCCTTGGAGAAAGAAGTTAGTTAAAACATAAATTCTTAGAGTAACACCAGGCACATTATAAAGCACTAACTGCTACTTGTTCTTATTGTTTATGTTTTGACATACCTTCTAGATCACTATGACCTTCTGATTCCTAAAGCCAAGATCTATTCCTGGTTTTCAGTCTCTTTGTCCACAATATACTTTACTTCTGAAAACCTCCTCCATCTTAACTCAAAACATTACAATAACCTAGTCTTCTTACATTTCTACAATTTCTCTACTGTAAAAAAAATTTCCAAAGTTCTGTCTATGATCTTTTTACTTCTTTCTATACAATCTGAGCAGATTAATCCATTCTCATAGTTTCACATTAAACTTGATAGGCCTTGATTTTTTTTTAATTGTTTGTCATGTACAAGTAGGAAGCACAACCTCTCTCACCTCCTTCAAAAACAGTTCCTTTCATTCTTTTCAAGGTACTACTATTCTCCACATCATTTGGACTTGAATCCTAATATTTCTGGTTCTTCCTTGCCTTTATTCCCCATACCCAGTAAGCTGGCAATTTTTTAGGTTGTTGTTTTAAAATTTCCTTCAAGTACGTTGTCTCCTTTCCATTCCACTACTAGCCATAGACAATTAAAACACCTTGGCAATCTATCTCTTCTACTTCCCTCCTCCTAGCCATCATCTCAATCATCCATAGTTCTCAACAGATAAAGTAAAAGGAAGCTCAATGTTAAAGGCTTTCACAATCTGCTCCCCATCTGGCTTTTTAAGGATCATCTCATAACAGTTTTATATGATGCCACATTACACTATAAATAGATGGCAATCATTTTCTAAATATCCCTTTTCTTTACTATCAAATTAGCTTAATTTATGTTAACCTCAATGGCAAGAATGGCACTTCTATAAAAACAGAATCTTACCCATTCTCCCCTCTTAGGTGAAATATTATCCCTTAGAGATATCCTCTTTCAATACTGTGAACTCTATTTGCAATAATCTTACTGAACTACAATATAATCTCCTGATTTGAAATCTTTATTCCACTACTGACAGAAGGTATAACAGCACACTATGCTTTGCCAGTACCTAAAGAGTACTGCCTTGAATAGAGAAGGCATGAGATTACTTACTTAATAAATTTGTCTGATTCAGAGTCTTCCTCTTACAAATATAGAGGCTTCTACTTCTTGTCTTGCTTTTTAAACCTCAGAACTACCTCTTCAAATGAAAACCGATACAAGAGGAGTCCAAAGTGACTGACAGGTAACCAAAGTAGGGTCTCTCTATTTGCAAGGGGTCAATGACCAAAAGCTACGCCCAATGCCTTCCCCAACAAAACATCTCCAACAGGGTTTGAGCATAAGATGAAAAAATCATTAGTATTATTTATTTTAGATTATAATATATACCCCTCAAAGAACACTACTGATGACTAACTAGTAAGTCAGTATGCGCTATATATATTGTATAAGTACTTTATTTTTTCAGTCAGAGGAAAACATTTTAGGGAAAGTTTAAAAATAAAAAAACACCTCTTCCCACATTTCACAAAAGGGAATGCAGAGATAAAAAGAAATGTTTCCAACTTCTCACAGGTAGTATCAAAGCTGAAACTTTAAATGAGAGTTGTTTTAAAAAACAACATTTTCAGTTCTCAAATTATCTGTGAAAATGTATCATTTGTTCCTTTGCAACAGATTCACCTAGTTTCCCAAGGGTATAAATAAAATTTATTTATATTACCTAAACTATACAAGTTAACAAAAACAAAGAGTGTCTGGTATACCGTTAACAGATAAAATTAGGCTTAGATTGACAATTTCTCACACAATTTGAACCAATCCTTAAAATTAAGATAAATAACAAGAATAACAACAAATATACAGGTACAGATGAGTGTATATATATATATATGTGTGTGTCTGTGTGTGTGTGTGTGCATATACAAATACAGGTATATGCAGAGGAGTATATACAGAGGAGTACACAATACACACAGATGTGTAGCTAGATATAGCAGGCACTCAACAATGACTGATTCCTGAATGTACACATTAATGAACAGCAATGAGAACTTAGTATTTTATATACAAATACCTGATAGATTCGGTATCTATGTGCACAGGTGCTATCCTCTCCAAGAGAAACTTGATCATTTCCAGGAAAGGATTTGTAGGCTGTTTGGGGTTGCCCAACTTCTTAGTTATTTCACGCTGTAATACAGATTATTTCAGTATTACAAAAGTACATTTAAACAAATCATTATGTTAAAATATTAAGAACCAACAATAATTAAAACCATGTAGTACTGACGCTGGAATAAACAAACTGTAAGAATTGAACAAGCCCAGAAAAAAAGACTGAATTAAGGATTTAGCATATGAAAAAGGTAATATTTCAAGTAATCAGGGAAAAGGTAGACTAGTCAATACACTGTATTGAAATTACTGGATAGACATTTGGAATAAAAACAAAGTAAGGTCCCTGTCTCATATATTACATCAAAAATATTCCAAAAGAATAAAAATACAAATGAATAAAACCAAGAGTCACTGGATGCACAAACTTGAGGAAGTAAAATTATCAGAAGAGCTTGTTAAAACTATAGATTCCTGTATTTAACTCTGAAGATTCTCATTTAGTTGATCTGGGGTGAAGTCAAGAATCATCTTTCTCTAAAAAGCATTTCAGAAGGTACATAGGTAACAGATTAAGAATCACTGACAACAATAAATATTTTCATTGACTTATAACAGAATAGGATTTCATAAGCAAGACAGCAAAGCCAAACACCATGAGGAAAATACTGACTTACCTAAAGATAGAAACTATGGTATGTAAAGAACATAATAAACAAAAAGAAAGGGTAAACTAAAACTGACAGAAAATTATCTGCAACTTAGCAAATGCCATATGACAAACTCACAAATCAGTAAGATAAATACCATTCTATAAAACTAGGCAAATATTATAAACACAACTTACAAAAGAAATATGAATGGCCAATAATCCCAAGGAGAAAAAAATGGTCAGATGACTAGTGACTAACAAATATAAATACTATCAAAATAATTGTGTTTTTCTTTGTTTTTACTTGGGTTTTGTTTCCAGCAATGATACTGACCAATATTGTTGTGTGTGAGAAAATGGTCACTCTCATTACTGGTGATTAGCATAAAATTAATTCAGTTCTGGAGAACAATTTGCCAAAGCATATTAAAGGCTTTAAAAATGAGCTGTTAGCCCATGCAATTGTACTTCTTAGAATTTATCCTAAAGAAAGAATCAAGACTGTGTAAAAATATTAATTATATTCTTCTTAATAGTAATCAAAAAGTAGGAAAAAATCTAAATGTGTAACTTAGTGGACTACTCAACAAATTATAGTACATGTATTCAGTGGTATGCTATGGAGCTATTAAATACTATAAAAGACTAATTAATGAAAAAGTAAAATGTACAAAACTGTATGTATAATATCTCATTTTAGAAGGACATACACCACAATATTAACAATTGTCTCTATAGAGAAATTATAGTTTATCTGCATTTTTATGTGACATTTTTCAAATTTAATATAATGAATATAAATTACTTTTATAAAAGAGAGAAACAATAAAGAAGATTTGGGGGCTTTTTCAAACATCAGCTCTTTTCTCTCCTTACCACACAACCTTCAGCCTGCTTGCAGGAGCATGTTGGACTAACAAGTACTTCTAACTGCTTTCTTATTTTCTCATCATCTTCTAACACCTGTGTGAATTTCTTCATGAAATCCTGAGCCTTACCAGGATCAGGTAAATTTCCTTAAAATAAATTAAAGTTCAATTAAAATCAATTTTTTTTAATTCTTAAAATAATAATAGGTCAATATTTTTCATTCCTTTTATTGCCTTAAAATCCTTACGTACAAATTCAGTTTAGTTTAACAAAATAAATTGTGAAAAACCTTCAACAGTCAATTTTCACACATAAAAATATATTTTCTAGAAATATAAAACAGGAGCATTGTGAAGGGACATATATGCAAGGAAAGTCTAAAATGGCTACTTCTAAGTAATCCCTTGTAATATTTAAAGGCATCAAATGTCAACCTGAATAATGCCAATTTTATTACTGTCCCCTTGAGCTTGTTGCATACATTGCTCTCTTATAATTTAAGAGATTAATCACTAAGTTTTACCTTTAAGAACTATTTTCCTGTATTTCCCTGTTTATCATTAAACCAACCCAGAGAGTTTACATATACATGCATGTATCTAGCAGTGATATATACTGAGCAACCTATCCAGGTGTTACTGCTGGGTAAGTCATTACTGCATGGGAAAGAATGAGTCTTTGCAGAATCAAAAATGATTTTTATACTATTCTGCTAATGTGTCTATGTATCAAAATACTTATGAAAGCTAATAAAACGTTGACTGTGGTATCTTTTTTGCCTGGCTTCTTAACTGTTGCAGAGAGCCAGACTAGAATATAGCATCTCCAATAACAGAAATTGTAAAATGGAACTTTGGCACTTTGTGAGGCCGAGGCAGGAGGATCACGAGGTCAGGAGTTCAAGACCACCCTGGCCAAGATGGTGAAACCCTGTCTCTACTAAAAGAATACAAAAATTAGCCTGGCGTGGTGGCAGGTGACTGTAATCCCAGCTACTCGGGAGGCTGAGGCAGAGAACTGCTTGAACCCGGGAGGCGGAGGTTGCAGTGAGCTGAGATCTCGCCACTGCACTCCAGCCTAGGCGACAGAGTGAGACTGTCTCAAAAAAAAAAAAAAGAGAGAACTCTGTGGACTATCGAAATAGTAGTAGAAATTCGAGTGAACCCCAAAATATGAACATAGTAAATGTAGTCTTCAAGTTCACATATAATTCTGAAATCCCATTTTATGTCTTGGTGAGATATTTAAATGACTTAATATAGTTAAGAATCTAAAAATATATTAATCCTCCTAAATACTTCTGTATGACCTTTTCCTGTTTCTGTAATAGAAAAAAATCTGCAAGGAAAGAGAACCACATTATAGTACAACAGATAAACATGATCACTTATAGAAGATAAATGGAATGTTTTTATAAGTTTACATAATAAGCACCTGAGGGCAAGCTGGAAAACTGCTAGTGCAGCACTTCGCAATCTGTGTTCCAAAGACCACTAGTAGTTCAGTGGAGTTTAACAGTGTTCAGGAAAAGGTATTTTTTCAAATAATTTTGGAAAGTGTTATTTTACAGCCCCTTCATAATGGATGGGCATCATAATAAAGGCTACAATAAGGCCTATTATTTCAGAAAAAAAAAGCAAAAGGGGGTAGGGAAAAGAAGGGATAAAGAAAACTCTTTCAATTTAGCATTCTATAAACATATATGACAATGAAACCCCTTTTTCTCACAATATTATTAACAACTGCAGGATACCAGCATTCCTTGAAAACAGAATCTGGGAAATATTGAACTCACTGGAAGAAAACTGATAGGGAAAAAAAAAAAAGAACTTAGGGAATGATCTCTTTTAGGAGACAGTATCCATAGCCAAACTATAAAAAGGTGATAGGCCAGGCACCGTGGCTCACACCTGTAATCCCAGCACTTGAGGCCAGCAGTTCAGCACTAGCCTGGGCAACATAGGAAGACCTAGTCTCTTAAAAAATATATTTTTTAAATTAGCTGGGTGTGTTAATACATGCATGGAATCCCAACTACTCAGGAGGCTGAGGTAGGAGGATGGCTTGAGCCCAGGAGGTCAAGATAGCTTTGAGTTATGATTGTGCCACTGCACTCCAGCCCTGGGCAAAAGAGCAAGATCTCACCTCTAAACATCAAATTAATTTTTTTGTAAAAGGACTAGCACAAAACAACTTGCTTTAGCAAGTTACCCAGGGGACTGGAAAGTAGTTTTCCCAGGACAGAAGAACATTTTGGTCTTAAAGTTCTACTCATTCTAATATTCCCATTACTTAATCCAAAAACCAGTGAGTTAGGTTTACTGTTATCTTCAGTGTCTTAACATTACTTTCATACACATCTTGGAATATTTAGCATCTCAGATCCATCTTAAGATCTCTTCATTATCACCAAGTGGAAGTTCAGCAGAAGTATTCCTCCAGGTGTTTCTGATTATCCCTCTATCCATTTGCTATACACAGTGACCTCTGAGGTGGGAGGAAAAGCAAATGACCTGCAAAAACAGCAACTTTTCCCTACTTTTCCACTGAACAAAGGAGATGTTCCACATAATCCTTTTGCATTTACTGTTAAATGAAATACCATTTTACTTAACATCACCTAAAGCAAAAAAGCAAATTAATATTTTTTCAAAGAAGCTGTTACGTATGTAGTTATTAGGTATATCCTTTATATTTTGGCTTGGAGTGAATTAGCTTCAGTCAGTCACATTAGAGCAAGCAAAACCAAACACAGATTCAGTTTTTATAAGTTTACATGATGATTTCAATAAACTCTTAAAAATAAATTTATGTACTAAATCCTTTCTCCAGCTCTAGCTCATGTAAGACACTAAAGAAAATTTAAAATTCCTATATTATCATAGCCTATAACAAAACTGCATGAAACACTTAAAATTATAAAAAATGTTCCAATAAAAATTACATTTTTATACAGATTTTAAAATAACTTACTTGTAATAACCATCACTTTTGAAAATATGGCCTTGACACTGGCATCTGTCTGTAAATCACACAAAAAAATGCAAAATTAAAATTCCCTAACAAGAAAACTTCATCATACTCTGCAAAAAATTAGACAAGCATAACCCACTAAATGCTGCAGACCCATGCTCTTACCACTACTGTCACCTTCTTCATCTATTTTTATTAAACTCTAGATAAACTGGACAGGAGGTAGAAGTAAACTCCTTCTCTACTTTAATCATGTCTTCCCTCACCCTGTTGTGTTAGCCTCCAAACAGAAATCAGACAGCTGCACTACATTTTGTAACAGGTACGTATTTTGGGGTTTTGTTTTTTTTTTTTAGAGCTGAAAGAACAGGGAAAACTCCTACAATGTTTAGACCTGAGAATTATAAGGCATGGTCATGAAGCTTATGGGGAAGACACTGGAGAAAGACAATTAAGATGTGACTGACACGTAAAAAAGACGTTTCTAAGAGTGTTAGTTACGGGTTGCATCAGGGAAGTGTTATTTCAGTGAATTAATTCATTACATTATACCATATGTAATACATTCATGTACTACTGCATGTAAAGTCATGTATAAAAGACGTTTCTTAGAGTGCTAATTATTCACTGCATCAGAGTAGTGTTATTTTAAAAACCAGAAACAAAAAAAGTCATTGAGCAAGTGTATTTAAAGTACTGAGCTAAATAAACATTGAACTGAAAGCAATAAATCAAATAAATACACAAAAAGACCATCCCTATTGAGAATGAGCTTGCTAAGAGGAACTGAGAGTTAAAGCGTAATAAAGTTCAAGAATTAATTCCCAACTATTTGGAATTTAAAGCATCTAACAGCTGTCTAGAAACATGTAAGATTTCTATTGTTGCTGTTTTATTTGGGGGGAACAAAGCGGTGCTGGGCTATCCTCCTCCATTCTGTTACTTTTTCAAAACCATCACACATGAATGAGAACTCCATCTTTACTGTGGATAACTGGGTAATTATTTTAAGACAAGCAAAAAGAAAATTCCACACTGTAGAAAAGAACTAAAACATTCTAGCTGAATTGAGACTGTATCTAGTGATTTCATGTATGACTCAGCAGGAAAGTCTAAGACCCTCCCAATTTTTAACAACAGGCAAAATGAAGAAGCTCCAACTAAATACATAAATTTTAGAGGAACAGTGAGAATCAAAAACAAAGTTATATTTGATTACAATCTCACACATCATGCTGTTCAACATATGATTTATACACTTAACATACTACCTGGATGTTATTATGATTTCCATAATGCCTAAACACAAATAATTTTATATACATGTAAGTAAGAACATCTTAAAATTTTAATAAACACTCTTACATCTCTGGCCAGAAGGAGGTAAATATACAGAGCTCCAAGTAGCAAAGAGAGGCACTTTATCCAGAGATTATTAATGAAAACACACTAACTTACATTATGACACTAACTGAAACATGCTTATTGGCTAAACATACTAATTTAACAGGGTTTAAGAAAAAGGACAGCAAAATCACTCAGTTTTAAGTCATTTATTTTCAAGGAAAACATATTTTAACAGGTTCGATAAACTCAATAATCACAGAAAAAAGGTTATGTTCAATAAAACACAAAGAGGTCATTGTTAACCTATAAAACAAAAATACTACTCAAATGTGAGCTTCAATTAGGCAAAAAAGGTGGTACAAAATGTCTTATTACTAGTGATCTGAAGGTTTAAAAAAATAGTGAGAGGGTCACTATAAACCACTCAAATGGTGTGAGTTTTTTGATTTGTAGAGCAATTGGTGAATTTATGCCTAGGGAAAAGGTGAAAGTTTTCACCCCTTAGATGAAAACAACACTGCTCCATTGACCTCTGTCCTATGAAGTGTATGTGTGGAAGGGAGATTGAGAAAAAGCACTCTAAACTGAAAAAGAAAAAAGAATACTCTTGTTTTCCCTGAAGGCAATTTAAAATGACCAGGCGCACTGCTTTTTAGATGAATTATGCCTTTTACATGTCTACATACAGCATTTCAATGAAAAAAAAAAAACCCTAGAATCATTCTAAATGATTGATAAAAGATAAAATATGATACATCCAATGGATGAATACCATCATTACATTATAAATACTAGGTAGTACATTAAAATCTTCATAAATATTAAGTAAAAACATCAAGATACCTAACTTTAATTACATAATTATTGAAACTTTCTAAAACCACAAGCATATACAAAAAAGTAGGGAACATCTTAGAGTGGCAACATAAAGTGCAATTTCTTTCGATTTTCTATGCTTTCAATAATGCTGAGTTATTGTTACACCTTTATTTTAAAGCTACCAAAAAACTTTGAGTACACAGACCCACACTCTCTGTAATGTTGGGTATTACCTTTTGCAGATATAAACATTTATCACTTTCTATCTAATAAGTTTCTTAAAAATTCAGAGTTTTCTAAACAAGGAATCCTAACTTCTACAATCAGAACTTTTGCAAACAGAAAGAATTGTTTAACACATAGCAGCAATGGTAAATAGTAATTAAAATACATGTGTTTTAAAAAACATTGAAGGAAAAAATTCTTACTTACTTTGGGTTGCTTAATCAAGTCAAGCAAATCCTTTACTTGATGTCGGAGCAGATTTTGACATTTCCACATTTCATTCAATGCTCTGAAAAACACAAACATACACATTTAAATAACAAAACAGAATAAAAATCTTTCTAGAATATTACTACTATATAATTTAAGGTTCAAATTATAAAAGGAGATGACAGAGATGAGATGAAATTCACAGGACTAAGCAACTGATAATGTGTAGAGGGAAAGAATGGAATCAAATATAACACAGCAAGATCAAAAGAAATAATCAGTGGTCGAATTAGGGTAGGAATTAACTGGAGAAATTATAAATTTGAGAAATAAAGGAATAACTGACAGCGTAAGGTGTTGTAGCAGGAAGGATGAAATGGAATCAAAAACATAAAAAGAAGAATTAGTTATGAGAGAATGGGGATACTTTTTCTTAAGACAAATCTTATTTAAATTGTAAACAGTCTGGAATTATTTATAAGTGAATATTTTTATATGTCAAAAACTCTGATGTTCTCTTAATAGTTGTATTGTTCTCAGGCAGAAATTTAAATCTAAAAAAATCATACAGGTACTCGATATATAAGCAACAATATTGTATTATAATGTCGTTTAATATATTATAATATATAAATAATATTAACATATAGAGAATAATTAATGAAACACTTGGTTACAGATTAGAGCCACACAATTAAAAATTTTTAAGGAAATCTCCAAAAACAAGGAAAACTTTTCATCAGTTTGTTTTCAATTATTCTACACTTCTATTAACCTCTATTACCATACATATGAAGCACTGCCAAAAAGCAGTAACACAGAGGCATATAAGAAACTCTTTTTCTTTTAATAGACAAAGAACATCGTTTAATATTTTAATTCTGCCCTTTAACAATATGTTTGAAAAATGCCTTTGGATTTTTTAAAGGAGATAAACCAGTTCAAATTTGGGACACCTGAATTCCTTTATAGTAGTCACGTCAAAATGGTACTGGCAAAAGCAACATTATTAGGACATTTTCATCTTAGAAGTTATATTTTAAATAGCTATACTTTACTAATTTAAAGTTACTAAGTTGTATAAATTTTCATAAGCACAGTTCAAGAATATAAACATTGAAAGCAAAATGTTCATACTCCAGAGGACTAAAAATCTAACAAGAGTTGTAAGATTAAAATAATTTTCAAAGAAACGGGGTAGTCATTTGTAAAATTACTTCTGAACTCCAAAGTCAATGTATTCTCTCTTTCCTATATGCTCAATCATTCTAACTTCTGAAAGGCCTAGATTTTGAAGCTTACTTTCACTTAAAATAAAAGGGAAATTACTCATTAAAGATGAAATGTCAAGCTATTTTAAAGCCCATTATAAACCTGTTATGGCTATAGCTTAAATAAAATAAAAAAGTGACCATCTCTAAGAACTTGTATTATAACATGTTTATAGGAACTATCCTTTCAAGTATTTTAATAAAATTGTATTAACCAGCAAGGCAATCTGTGCCTGTTTATTGCCTTTATAAATAATTCTCTAAAAAAGGGAAAAAAGTTATACTAGGAAAAGCAGTATTACAATAGGAAAAATCTCTATTTAATATTAGTCTGAATTGCAGTTCTGTTGCTAAGCAAATGTAAGAACTCCAGTTACAGCCTGGATATTCTTATATTTGTTACCTGACATTTTAAATAGACAATTAGTTCCCACAAATCTCCTTGTTACCAAACCACAAGTTTGCAGCAACTCAAAGAAAAAGACAGCTACCATCAGGTTTTAGTCAGTGGCCTGTCCAAATGTTGAAGAGGACCTGTCCTCTAACCTTTAGCTCCCAACTGACAAGTCACCCATCGGACTCTATCTCAAAAAAAAAAAAAAAAAAAAAAAAAAAGGCTTTTTGGACGCAAACTTGTTTAATAAAAGAGAAGATCACAACAAAGACCCCGATACCATCTTCTACTACTGTCGCTAATAGGAGTTCTGGGGAACTTGTGAGAGGTGGAAGTACACACTGTTCTCTTTTTCAATAATCAAGATATTTAGTTTACTTAGGAGCTTATTCAAAAACTGATTCACATAAAAAGTCTGAAATCTAAGAAATACTTTGTCTTCCCCAAAGAAAAGTAGTCAGAGAATAAAATATATGGCTCTTTCAACAAATAAGAGGAATTCTAACCAAACAAGTTCTTACCAGGAACATGCCTGACAAGCAGCTATTTTTAAGTCCCTTTCAAATTAAGTCAAAGTCATATATTCAAATGACTTCAGGACTAGAATGTAATTTAAATGCATAAAGAGGAACAGGTGTTGCAATACGTAGTAGTGGGGAGTGTGGTGAAATCAGAACATTAATGGACCATAAAACTATAAAAGATCAATATTACCTGCATTCAGGAAAATTAAAGATAAGAAAATTTGATACTCATAAGATTAGGAAAAATTTAAATGTCTGATAATACACAGGAGGACGTAGAAATCCATAAACCACTGGTAGGAGTATAAACTAGTATAATCATGTTGGAAAACAATTTGACACTAGTTTACAATGATGAAAAGGCACATAGAAACTCCACTCCTAGCTATATACTAGTGATTATGAACCTTGGTTGCCCATTAAAATCTCCTGAAAGGCTTTTCTAAAAATCAGACTGCCCAGACTACACTCCGGACAAATGAAGTAACTATCTCTGAAGGAGGGACTTAGTTGTCAATTGTTTAAACCTCCCAGGGTGATTTCAATAAGTAGCTAAATTTGAGAATAACTCATATTCATACCTCAGAGAAACTCTTGCATGTGTATATTAAATTGAAAAGTATTTACAGCAGCATTATTTGAAATAGTAAAAAAATAAAAAAGGAAGTAATGCAGACATCCATTTTCTGCATTGACTCAAATTTCTCATATCAAAATAATGGAATAAGATCATGGATTAATGAAATAGTGCAATTCTATAGCACAGTGAAATGAATGAGGTACAGCTATGTATAATATTATGACTGAATCTTGGAAATAGAATAGAAAAAAAGACACACAACACTGTATACACAATTGTTTCTTTCATAAAGTTCAAAAACAAGCAAAAATATATTACTGAGGGATACACATATATACACATACATATACATGTATATGTTAAAAAAAATTTTTAAAGGAAACAAGAAACAAGGGTAGAGGTTACCTCTGGGAGAAGATGAATGGGAGAAAAGTTTACAAGTTGGGTAATAGATTCATAGGTATTTTTACTTTATTACTATGCTTCATAACATATATACGTGATTTCTTTATTATTACATAATTAAAAAGGTAATGGATTTTGGAGAAAACAACCACAGATAAATATAAAGTACTAAAATACTGGTAAGTATAATAGTTGGTCAGCTAATTATAAAAAGCTGGTTAAAATGAAAATCATCTAAAAAATGATATATATGTACCCTAAATATTTTATCTTAAAACAAATAAATATCCATTCATTCACCAACCATTTTTGTAGAATCAAAGCCTTTCCTTTTGAGTACTGGTCCAGATTGGAATTTACTTTTAACTTTTCAATGGCATTATTTTTCAATATATCTCTTGTGAATGGCACTGTTTCACTTTTGAATTCAATCAAATATACTTATCATTTAAGTGATAAGTGATATCTGACATGTTTAGTTTTATAACAACTATACTTTGTGTATTTATTGTTATTTTTCTTGTTTTCTATTTTGTTTCTGGTATTAAAGTTTTCATTAATTATTTTTTGTTCCTCTGTGTTTGGAAGCTATACATTTTAACTGCTTTCAGAGGTGACTGTTAAATGCCCACTTATAACATAGTTAGTCAAGATGTCTGCCCTCACTAACATGACAAAAGAACCTTGGAACACCTTCATACTCATTACTTACCTATTACCTTACATGCTGTTATCTGATAGGACCCACCTGCAGTCAAAATTTTTCACAAAGGCATCAGGCATCAACCAGTCAGAATCATGGGCAGTGCAAGAAGGTCCTGGAGACATTCCAGCCCTGCCCAGGCATGGTAGGACCATAGGAAGGAGGATTCCAGGGACACTCAGGAAATCTCACATAGTACTGCAGTGGTGTATGGTACTGGCTAAATATTGGCCTACATGCTACCTACTTTTTAATCCACACTCCCACCCCTTGCAAATAAAACTGTATTATTACTGTTTTTACAGTCCTTTATTATTTATATTTATAGAAGTGTTTCAAATTCTTGAATCTTATTACTTCTTTATAGATTTAATTTCCTTTCTTACCAAAATAAGGTTATTCTTTAGTAATTTTTTCAAGTAGGACTGGCAAATTCTTCATTTTTGCTTAAAAGTGACATTTCATTTTTACTCTTGAATGACAGTTGGGCTGAGTAGAGAAGTCTAGATTTACTATGATTTCCAATAGGTAGTTTCAAATATGATATAAATACCATATTTCATCCAATTTAAGAGGCCATCAATTAATTTTGCCATGAGAAAAAGAGCCACCAATTAGGCTATGACAAACCAACAATTTTAGGATGTATTTCAATTCCAGAGAAAAGTTTACAAGTAATAAAAGTAAATATGAGAGTAATGTATTTTACTACGTGTAGTGGAAAAAGAACAAGCTTTGGAACCAAGCAGGATTGAGTGCGAATCCTGGCTCCCTCTTATTCCTTGTGTGATTCTGTGGAACTTAACATTTGTGTGATTTATTTCATCATATGTAAAACAGGAAAAATGTCACTTAAACCAGGGTTGCCAAGCTTTTTCTGTAAAAGGCCGGACAGTAAATATTTTAAGCTTTGTGGGCAATCAGATCTCTCTGCAACCTACTTTTCCACTGTAGCACAAAAGCAGTTATACATAATACAAATTCCAGTGCCTGAAATACAGCAGGTAGGAAAAAAAAATGTGTATTTCTCCCCTCTACAACCTTGTCCTCACTATTTCTGTATAAAACATAAACAGAAAATATAATTATTTCCATGGAAGAAATGAAGTTAAAAGTCTCATTAAACAGTGGTACAAATGAAAATTACATACAGCCCCTTAGATCTCTCAAATTTCTCAACATTTAACCCTTAATATTTGTAAACTACATTTGCTGGAATACTAAGGGTCTACATTTCCTAAAACCTAAAGCAAATCTCTAAGACTTCAATTTCCTAACCCTTAGTATGATTCAATTAGACTAGCAATGTCTTTTCCATGTCTAACACACCAATGCCACCTTACCTAAACACCCAAAAGTACTTTCTGAATGACATGCGGTAATAAAAATATATTTGTGCTTACTCTTATGTCAAACTATAACACGGTGCTGCTCAGGCTATGCAGCACAAAATCTGCAGCCTACTGCTCTCCACCGTAATGCACATCAGTACACCAAGTGAGAATAAAAAGGTAGTATTTTCATAATATGAATGTTTCTAATGCCTTAAGGAAAACAAATAAAAAAGAATAGGTACATCAACGTTTCTTGAGACACCAACAATATGAATAGAAAACTCAAATCCTAAAAGATTTCATGTCAATCAGCTCTATTTTTCAATTGCTTGTAATGGCTTAGTCTCATGTTTAAAGTGGTACTTTCTGAAAAAATAGCCAAGTACTACGACATAACCCTTTAAACAATGTTTACACTACATAGATTACATTTTAAAATACAGGTGTTTGTAGTTTCTTTTCCATAAAATCCAATATATTGCAAAGGATGAAAAGAACAGAATTTGATATTTGAAACATACTTCACAGCATTTAAATCCAGTGTGGCATACAAGTAATATAAGCATTTCATCCGTTCTGTAGTTTCTAAATTGTGAGGAACCATGTATTGAGCAAAGATCCGTTCAACAAGTAGTCTACAAAAAAGCAGAGAAGGCATTGTATTGATTTTTTTCTAATGTTCTAAAGTTGTATATAAAATTCTAAAACTATGTAAAGAACATATATTAAAGAAGTTCCTGCCGCTCTAAGTGGAAATGAGATTTCCAAATCAAAACCTTCTATCTGTAGATAGAAGGGGACCAAAACAGGATTTAGCTGGATGTACTGAAAACAGCCCTACACCCAGCTAAGACAACTACCATCTTCAGGATGTTGGGCACATTATGTACCAGGGATTTTTTCTTTATCTGTATAATACAGAGTTTTAAAATATGCCAGGTCCTTTCAAATGCCAAGTTCTAAATTTCTAAGTCAAAACTAAAGAAACTCTTAAGATTCTTTTGCATTTTCATAGGCATCATCATGAAAACAGACCTGGCTAAAAGTACTAAAAAAAAGTCCTACAAAATCATAATGTAATTCTTTGTGCACTGATGCCATACCCTCAAGAAGTACAACTTCAATTTTATAAAAACAACTATAAAGTTTCATAGATAATCCAGTTTTTAGTATCTATGCCTCTTAAAATTTTAGTGTGACCTGCTTCTTAATTTTCTCATTCTGATCTGCTACAGGCAAAATCATTTGGTCTCCACTAATAACCTATCAAATCATTTCAGACTATAAGCAGGATTTAGAGCTCTATTAACTAATAAATGACTGCAGTCCATACAAGATCTAATCTTAGCCTGGAATGGAAAAAATATTAAGATTATATTCAGATAATGTGTTTTTTATATAAATTTATAAACTGTTTTTTAGCCTTCAGTAGAAATTGTTTTTAAATGTGTAAAATTCAACAGCTTTTTAAAGTTTTCTTTGAAAAAAATTAATGAAGATCCTTGTAACACAATTACCTATGAACTAAAATTATAACTATTACACATACCTATTTTTAGATATGACTGTTCAAATACAGTATATGAAAATGGAACGTAAAACCTGTACCCATCCCTAAAGTTATATGTACATTACTGCTTCATTTATGGCTTGGGTGGGAATGAGCCCAGTCACTCACTACCATTACCTTGCACTAAAAACTGAGGAAGGAGTGTAAGGTCATAAAGAAAATAGTTTGCATAAAACAATAAATCAAGTTATATAACATTCAAAGTCACCAAATATTTATAGTGTCCTTAACTTACCGATCATCAATACTATTTTGATAATATATATGTAGCAATTTGTCTTTGATCCATGCTATCTGTTTTGCAGCATCTTTTCCAGCTGCTGACTGTAAAGCATATTTCTTATAAATTTGGGCAAGTCCCATCATGGCTTCTTTGCGTACTCTCCACTTAAAAACAAAAAGTTTTATTTATAATGTAAAAAGGCTTCCATTATATAAATTAAGGAAAGTCTAGTTTCCTAGTTTTGTGTTTTCCTTCCCTTTATACATTTTTTTAAGTCTCAGATACTAAATATCAATTTATAATTACTACATTTATTAAAAAAAAACACAACTATCACATAAATATTTCTACCATGTAAAGTATGGGAGAAAAATCAACATGTGTAAAGAACTTTAATGCTTTAATGTCTTAAACCTATCATCTATGCCTGAAAACAAAAGCTAATCATACTCTACATACTGTGACTTAAAATTGGTGAGAAAAACAAGCTACCAAAATTTTTGTTCATGCATTTTTAGAGACAGGATCTCTGTTGCCCAAGTTGGAGTGAAGTGGTGCAATCACAGCTCACCAAAGTCATGAACAACTGGGCTCAAGCAATCCTCCTACCTCAGCCTCCAGAGTAGCTGGGACTACAGGCATACAATGCCACACCTAGCTAATTTTTTATTTTTGTTTTTTGTAGAAACAGGGTCTATGTTGCCCAGGCTGGTCTCGAACTCCTGGCCTCAAGCAATCTTCCCACCTCAGCCTCCTAAAGTGCTGGGATTACAGGCGTGAGCCACTGCAGCCAGCTCAAGAAACCAAACATTAAAAGACAAAGACAGAATTAAATGGATAAACCCCCATCCCTCATAATTTTTTTCTAATTGTGGTCTATATTGAGCATACTTACACTATTACAAATAATAGTAATTAAGATGTATTAAAGGCATATATGATATTGGCTTTATCAAATGCTGAATGTAAAAATACTTATCAGTGGTCCATTCTGTACATCTGGGACTGAGTTGAAGTATAAGGGAAATGTATTCAACTTTTTTTAAAATAAGTGTATATTTGTTACAGTGCATCTGGCATTAATTATCTTAGAATAAGTTCATTCTTTAATTTTACATAAACACAGCACTGTAATCAAAAGGAAGCTGGTAATGTTGAAAACATCATGAATCTGCAGAGATTATTAATTTTTTCCTTCGTGGTCCTTTTTCTTTTGCTATGGTCTGTCATTCATAGCAACAAATTATTCCTTGGTTTTTCTTTCACTTAATTACAGTATATTAAGAATAGTTCTTATCTCATTCATCCACCAACTACATATTGAAATAAAAGACTTCTACAGGTCTTATAAGATTTCAGGCCAGTCATGGTGGCTCATGCTTGTAATCCTAACACTTTGGGAGGCCGAGGTGGGAGGATGGCTTGAGACCAGGAATTCGAGACCAGCCTAGGCAACATAGTGAGACCCTGTCTCTAATAAAAAAAAAATTGGCCAGGCATAGTGGGATGTGCCTGTAGTACCACCTACTCAGGAGGCTGAGGTGGGAGGACTGTTGGAACCCAGGTCAAGGATGCAATGAGCCGTGATGGCACCACTGCACTCCAGCCTGGGTGACAAAGGGAGACTTTGTCTCAAAAAATAAGTAAGACTTCAATTTGTTTATAAAAAGTTTGTATCTCTAACTCCCCATGTTGTATCTAACTCTTAATTCCCTCTTCTTCAAAGAGAATTTAAAGATACATCATATTCTAATATTACCAAGAACATGTATATAGTCAATTATTTTTCAGTGCTCAATTTTTATATGAATGAACCAAGCAACCATACAATATAACATGATGATCAAAAATATACATTATGATCCCAACAATACACAAAAACAGCTCAAATTCTAAGTCTAGCTGAGAAAAAAGGTATTTAGAAGGCTACTATCCTATGAACAATGCAAATATCCTTTCCCTCTTCATGCCTTTTGGCCCTTTTCACTAATTAATACCACAACGAAATATTCAATAAAGATTAGTCTAAATTTATCGGTTAAAATAAATTGTTCTGGATACCTATAGATTTGAAGGGAAAACCATGTGCTTCTTGCCCATTTATCCTCCACGCACAACCAGCATTATCAACGAGAGTATTAAACAAGGGAGATGGCATGATCAACCCGTTACAATGTTTTTTTTGAGACGGAGTCTCACTCTTGTCACCCAGGCTGCAGTGCAGTGGCACAATCTCAGCTCACTGGAAGCTCTGCCTCCCAGGTTCATGCCATTCTCCTGCCTCAGCCTCCCGAGTAGCTGGGACTACAGGCGCCCGCCACCACAGCCAGCTAAATTTTTGTATTTTTAGTAGAGACGGGATTTCGCCATGTTAGCCAGAATGGTCTTGATCTCCTGACCTCATGATCTACCCGTCTCAGCCTCCCAAAGTGCTGGGATTACAGATGTGAGCTACTGCACCTGGCCTACAAAGTTTTAAAGAATTTACCTAGTCAAAGATATTCCAACAACCAATAGGCAGGCCTCCCACTTTCTTTGATAATTAGCACTTAAATAAGTCAAAAAGTCTCATCCTTCACCAAAATTACTCTTATGCCTAAATGAGGCTTAGATGCCATTATGGCAATCAGGAGGGGAACAGAATGAACATTCATTAAAGTATTTCCTGAGTGCCTAATATATTCCATGCAGTATGAAACACAAACATAACAAGATACAGTCCTCTCAAGTTCACTGATTAATGAGTGGAGCTAGTGGGTACTCATTCAAAAAAGCTGGCTTGAGGACACAGAAAATAGGCTAGAAGCATGGTGCTCTATCGGGTTTAGCTTTGCTAAGTTGAAAACATCTTTCATTTTCTATTCCATGTTGATTATAATACAACCAGCTAGACAACTACCAATTCATACCCATATAACAACAGCCCTGAAAGAAGAAAGAAAAAGAAGAGTCAACAACATAAGAGAAGTTGTATCTCAGGCCTTTACAAAAGTCCCTTATCATTAACACTGGTATACAGGATAAACATTGACTACCATTAAGAGCTGTCTTATCTTCAGGATTAGAACAAATATCTTTAATGAAGAAAAACTGATACAATTTAATGTAACAGAAAGTAAACCTCATAAAGGTAATTTTAAATATTAAAATGCCTCCATACCCCTAAAAAAGGCTAATTATATTTAAATATGTATATTTAAATATATTTTCAAATATTGTTAAACTTCAAGTATTAAAAATGAAAACTTAGTAATAATTATTTATTCATACTTACTCGTTTGTCTAATGTTCTCTCTCTCACAAAATTAAGTAAGTGATCATTGACCAGAAGAATATCCTTTTTAGCAGCTGTAACTATTGACACAATAACATCATGTCTAATAGCTTCCTCAGGGTCATGTGACCTCACTTTAAGATACTCTGAAAGATAACATTTTATTACAGTGGAAATTTTAATAACTAAAATATTTTTAAAACACTGCATGATACCCTTGAAAATAAGCCCTAGCAAAACAATACCTACATAGAAGTTTCAAGAAAATTAAGAGCCCAGAAAGAAAGGGAAGGAAGAAAGAAGATTAGTTCTTCAGTCAAAAAAGAGCCTTGACATCCAATTGAGTAATAACAGCCTCCTCTCCATTTGGTAGATTGATAACTTGATTAAGAATTCACTAACCTGGCCAGGTGTGGTGGCTCATGCCTGTAATCCCAGCACTTTGGGAGGCCGAGGCGGGCAGATCACTTGAGGTCAGGAGTTCAAGACCAGCCTGACCAACACGGATAAGCCCCTTCTCTATTAAAAATACAAAATTATCCAGGGGTGGTGGCACATGCCTGTGATCCCAGCTACTTGGGAGGCTGAGACAGGAGAATCACTTGAACCCAGTAGGGAGAGGCTGCGGTGAGCGGAGATCGCATCATTGCACTTCAGCCTGGGCAACAAGGGCAGAGCTCCATCTCAAAAAAAAAAAAAAAAAAAAAATTTTAAAGGCCAGGCGTGGTAGCTCACACCTGTAATCCCAGCACTTTGGGAGGATGAGGTAGGTGGATCACTTGAGGCCAGGAGACCAGCCTGGCCAACACGGTGAAACCTCGTCTCTACTAAAAATACAAAAAAATTAGCCAAGTGTGGTGGCACACAGCTGTAGTCCCAGCTACTCGCGAGGCTGAGGCAGGAGAATCGCTTGAACCCAGGAGGTGGAGGTTGCTGTGAGCTGAGATCGTGCCACTGTACTCCAGTCTGGGTGACAGGGCGAGACTGCCTCAAAAAAAAAAAGAAAGTTTTTTAAAAGGGACAAATAACAAGAGAAGAGATCACAACAAGAGATCACAGGCAAGAGATGTGTCAACAAAATTTTGGCAGATGGACAACAAGTAAATGTCACAGGACAAAGGAAAAGGATGAAACCCAAATGGGAAAGAAAACAATACACAAGCTTATTTCCAGGAAGAACACTGAAAACATTTAAAATAGTTGAAGAACCTATAAGAATGGTTAAAAACAAAAAGACTGAAAACACAAAATGTTGTCAAGGACGCTAAATGACTGGAACTCTCATTCATTGCTGGTACAAATGTAAAACAGTATAACTAATATGGAGACTGTTTTCACTGTCTCTTATAAACATGTATCTACACTATGACCAGCAATTTAATTACTGTTTTCAAAAAGAAATAAGAACATAAGCCCACAGAAATACTTGTATAAGACTATTCACAGTAATCACTATTAATAGCCCCAAATCAGAAACAACCCAGATAACCATCAAAAGAAGTGGGTAAACAAATTATGGTATATTCATACAACGGAATAATAATAAAGAATAAATTAACAAAACAGGATAAATTTCAAAAACATGTTATGTGAAAGCAGCCAGATCTCTCTCCATTCCCCACCCTCAAAAAGAATAGTACACATTGTATGATTCAACATATATGAAATTCAGAAACAGGCAAAACTAACCTACAGAAATAGAAACCAGAAAATGGTGAGAGAACTAACTGGAAGGGGATACAGGGGGACTTTTTGGCATCATGGAAATTCACTCTCTTCAAACATCAAACTGAACACTCAGGATCTGTATATTTTAAGCTAATTACACTTTTTTTAAGTTAAAAAAAAGGAAACTGTAGAACAGACTCTGATATTTTCTCTAAAATATGGATAAATCTGAGTTAGCTGTTCAGGTAGTCATCCAAATACCTTATCAATTAGGATTCACAGAGCTTTCCATATACCCCTGTGGCAGAGAATAATTAAGTGAGAAACTTGTGGAGGCATGTTATCTCTGTATGTCATATCCAAACATTTAAATATTACAATATATACTACTTTATTATAAATGACTTCCCTTTTGTTTCTCCTGTATATTACAAATAGGGCAATTAATTTTTTAACTTTTTAAGTGGATTGTTTTATCTATTCATTTTATTTAAGGATCTCAAAGGGAGAATTACAAATTATTTGCTTAAAAAGGGAGGTACTGGGTCTGATAAGGTTGAGAAGCACTACAGTATAAGGTTCACACGGATAAAGTGAAATGATCCTGCTAGTCAGGAATGAAGCTGGAGAAACGTAAAATGGAACAGGGTATATGGGGTTTAAAAGAAAATAATTGAAGATGTGATTGAAACTACTAAAAAAAAAAATCAAAGCCTCACTTTTTTTTTTTGAGACTGAGTCTTGCTCTATCGCCCAGGCTGGGGTGCAGTGGCGCGATCTCTCGGCTTACTGCAACCTCTGCCTCCCAGGTTCAAGCAATTCTCCTGTCTCAGCCTCCCGGGTAGCTGCGATTACAGGTGTGCACCACCACACCCGGCTAATTTTTGTATTTTTTAGTAGAGGTGGGGTTTCACCATGTTGGCTGGGCTGGTCTCAAACTCCTGACCTCAAGCAATCTGCCCGCCTCGGCCTCCCAAAGTGCAGGGATTACAGGCATGAGCCACCGTGCCCAGCCTCAAGCCTCACTCTTTCAAACAAAAGCAAGGATTGCTTTATTACTCTTATACTTTTATCACTTTATCTAGCAGTGAAAACCTCTGAAACCTGCCATCATATTTCAGCTAGGGGAGAAAGAAAGAATCTTCTATAGAATGAGATACCGCAAGCCCTCATCTGTAACAACAGTGAGTAGAAGTTAAAAAGCAAGAAATGACTGACTCTAAGGCTACTGGGAAACAGGAGATGGGAAGCCAATATGAGCCTAAGAAGGAAACGTATACGTTGGCAGGATATTTCCAGCACTGCCTCTCTCCTACTCAGTCAGTATAAATCCTTTGCGGCCTATGTAACCTAACATGACAGCAAATTCAGTGAAAGAGAAATTCTATTTAGCCATGTACAAATCAAATTGGTGCACACTGCTACACATTATCAACAGCAAAAAAGCAGGGGTCTGGTTTTACTTAATAACTGAAAAACATGATTTAAATATTTCAATAAAAAAAATTCAAAATCAGCCTGGGCAACAGAGTAAGACCCTGTCTCTTAAAAAACAATTTAAAAATCACAACTAAGCAACCAACTCAATATACACTACACTCTTCAAAAGGCATAGGAACTAGCAACAAGAACTTCTGGATCTTAAAACAAGGAAGAGAAGGAAGGACTGGGTGAAGGCTGTTTGAGAAATCCATCAAGGAGATTGCCCCTATTCCACACCAAAAGAAGTCTGGAGATAAATACTATAATAAAAATATAAAACAGTAGCTCTAAACTGGGGGACCCCAAACGGTTGAGGGCATGGATACCATACCCAAAAGGGGATTATGTGACAACTAATCTGAAATGTGAATGCAGAAACCCATCATTCTTTTCCCAAACACATTAGTAACTCACCTTTAACTTCTAGATAAGATACTCTTCTATTAGAAATTTGACAGGATGAAGAGGAAGTATCTAAACTAAGGGCTCCCCAACAAACAACTCACTCTGATCACCCAAAAGTGAAGTTCAGAGTTGACAGACCCAACCATGTACTCAGAGTGTTCCAAATAGTTTACAGCTTTTTATTCAGCCCCCCACTCTTAATCATGAGCAGACAGCCACAGATTGCCAATCATTTGAGGAAAGCATATACTCAGGGCTTTCCAAACAGCTTTTGATTTAGCCCCCCCACTCTTAATCATGAGCAGACGGCCTCGGATTGCCAATCATTTGAGGAAAGCCTTTAACATGGAAAAAAAGACAAAAGCAAATATAAGGTGAAAAAAACAAATAGCAGATACAGACATTTTGGAAGAAAAAGAAAAATTCCCCAAAAAACTACCTACCATTGACACTCTCAGAGAAAATACTGTATTAGCAACACAAGAAAAGGATGCTAAAGAAAAAGGAACATCCAGAGAAAAAGGGAAGGAGAAAGGGGAGGTGTAGAAACAGACACACACACACACACACACACACACACACACTCACAGACGAAGAGGAAAGGAGGGAAAAAGAAGGGAGGAGGATGGAAGGGGAGAGCAAAGATGGGAGGAAGAATGGATGGCCCTAAGGTCAATGCTGTAGAGCAGAAGCTCAGAGCAAGCTGTCTAAGCACTGCAAATTTGAGTAGGAAATCAGAAAGCTCCAAGTGGGATGTCTCCCAAAAAGGATGAAACTGGTAAAATATCTGCTGTTTTATTCATTTATTTATTTATTTTTTTTTTTTTTTTGAGATAAAGAGTTTCGCTCTTGTTGACCAGGCTGGAGTGCAATGGCACAATCTCAGCTCACTGCAACCTCTGCCTCCCAGGTTCAAGCAATTCTCCTGCCTCAGCCTCCTGAGTAGCTGGGATTATAGGCGCATGCCATCACACCCAGCTAATTTTTGTATTTTTAGTCGAGACGGGGTTTCATATTGGTCAGCATGGTCTTGATCTCCTGACCTCAGGTGATCTGCCCACCTTGGCCTGTGCTCGGCCTGAAGCTAGAATTTCTACAGCATAGTTCCTACATAGGTTGGAAGCATCTATGAAAATGTCTGTCTCCAGGAACAATTACTAGTTTCTTAGTTTAAGGACAATTCTAAACTTATTTTAGACATTTGGATTTGAACAGGTCTTGACTTTGACTAGATTATAAGACTAATGTTCTTCAATATTTTAAGAACTTAGGTGAGTCATGGTAAACTAATTTAACCAAGGCAGAAGGACAGCTTGAGTTCAGGAGTTCTAAGCAAGCTTGGGCAACATAGCGAGACCTTGTCTCTATTTTAAAAAAAAAAAAAAAAATCTAGCTTCAGAGAACAACTTCCATGACCTTAAACTAAAACAAGACTTCACCTACCACCCCCGAAAAAAGGGGTTTTTTTTCCCCCTATGAAACTTATTTTTTTCCACTGAAGAGCACGTAAGAATATTTGCTGTTACATATATATAGTACCTGTTAAGTCTTTTGCTAAATCAGGATGGTTCATGAGACAATGGCTAGCAAATTTCACACATTCCAGGCGGATTGGTACATGGATATCATTAAACCTGATAAAATATAAAAGCACAGAGTGAGCTTCAAAATAAGAGAAACAGACATGTGTTAAATCTGTACCCAATTTACATTTATCTAATTAAAGAAAAAACAGTTTATGAAGGAAAATGCAAAGTAGAACCAAACCATTTTACAAAGTTTCTGATATACATGTATGTCTGAATGCTCTGGAAACTCTATACAAACTAGAGCAATCTCCTGTGAGAACTATGTGATTTTAAGGAACCTGAATAAACCATATACATTTGGCTCAAATATAAGAATGATAAAAAAGTTCCTATCAACGTTATACTCTCAAATACATCTATTTATGCAAGTGTGCATATATAGTTCATAGAAACATCATAAATCTCAAACTATGTTTGAAAGAAAACTTTCCCTAAAGTATTCCCTTTTAAATATAGGGCATTCACTAATGTATGGCAGATCTCACACTAAACCCTACAGTATATTACATGAATCTAAAAGTGTACCCAAATTACTACTATCCAATTAATCATCACCATTATTACACTGCCACTAACGGCAAGGCCACTTTTTACATTACATCTGTAAATATGTATGTATCCCTAAAAAGTTAAAATTCTTTGGTTGATATGTCACTTAAGCCTCAAATCTTTTGTTTTCCCTCCAACTCTTTTTCCTGTAATTTGCTAGAGCAACTGCTGTATATGTGTATGGTTTTATTCCATAATTTAGATTTCGCTAATTGTATCATTCTGATGTGAATTAACAGGCTCCTCTCTCTTCTAAATCCTGTAAACTGGTAGTTAGATCTAAAAACTTGATTATATTTGGGTCAATTTTTTTTTTTTGCCAGACTACCAAAATACCATAGATGGCACTGTGTTCTTCCATCAGGAAGCACATGATGTTTAGCTGTCTCTCAACCACTGATGTTCCGTCTGTATACATTACTTTATCACAGAATGTAAAATAGTAATTTAAAAAAATTAAGTATCAAGAACATTAAAGTGAATCCAAGATTTTTCCATTCAATATTTTCATATGTCTTAATTCTATGAAATCTAAAGGCTCCCAAATCTTACATCATTCAACACCTAAGAAACTAAAGTTAGCATTATAAAGGAGTGGGAAAAAGTCTTCAAAACCAGCACCAAATTACTCATAAAAATTAGAAAAAAAAAAGCATATGCTCTATGAAGTATACCTCCCCTCCCAAAAGTTATAAAATCTAGCCTCTGGTCCCATACAGCTTCCTGAGTGTTTTGAATTCAGGTACTCAATCCTATATACGTTATCATTTCTCAGGTAAACATGCACCTTACAACAATTAAAAATAAATATACTAAGACGTCTTTTAAAAGACTAACTCCTTAAAGTTGGTATTATTTAATACTGTGTAAGTTTTATGTTATTAATATTAAAAGGAAAAATTACAACATAATAGAAAGGTGACATATACATTTACATTAGGATTTCTCCAGCTAAAAACCAATAAAATACATCCCAGCTAATCCAAGTCTTAATTTAAAGATATAATAAATATATATACAGTAAAAGTATTTTTGTTTTAAAATATTAAACTTTAAATTAAGTTGCATAATTTAAACTGATATTCTTTCCTACTGTCTAAAAACTTTCCATTGTATTTAAAAGAAAAAAGTTGGCTTAACTTGACTGACTGAACGTAATTATTGAGCTAAATAAGAATCAAGAAATCAGACTGGAGATCTGAAGCTTAACAAACACTTATCACAACTTATATCCTCTTTTAACAAATCAGAAAAATGAGACCAAAATATTAAATTTACAGTAATCACTGACAGTTTTCATTAAAATGTAAAGAAAGTGGTCATACCATTGCAAATATTTCAACACAAAGAATATAAAATCAGGGCCTTTAAATCTTTTTTTTTTTTTTTTTTTTTTTTGGAGACAAGAGTCTCGCTCTGTCGCCCAGGCTGGAATGCAGTGGTGCCATCTCAGCTCACTGCAAGCTCCACCTCCCGGGTTCAGGCCATCCTCCTGCCTCAGCCTCCCATGTAGCTGGGACTACAGGTGCCTGCCACCACGCCTGGCTAATTTTTTGTATTTTTAATAGAGACTGGGTTTCACCGTGTTAGCCAGGATGGTCTCGATCTCCTGACCTTGTGATCCACCTGCCTCGGCCTCCCAAAGTGCTAGGATTACAGGCATGAGCCACCGCGCCCGGCCAGATCTTGTTTGTTTATGACTTAACTGCATTATTTGTTATGAGAATAATTTGAGGGGAAAAATTCTCTTTTTTTCTGAGTCAGAGCGGGTTTCGGCCAAGGCACTTGTCGGGCTTTTAATATTTCAAGGTCAGGGATGAATACCTCTCACAGAAAAGTGACATACACAAACACACTCAAAATTCTGCAACCATTTCAGGGATTTTATGCATCATTCAAACCATGCAAGGAATCCAGGCCATCATTTCCTTTAACTGAGTAATACAGAAGGAAGTTAGGAAGAGAAATATAAATAGTCATTTCTTTATTCACTCTGTGAATACTCTTATCCTGTCAATATCTCCAAACAACCTAATTAATTGTAATTAATTTGTAGAGAGGCTATATCTCCCAAAGACGTATTTTCAGTTGGAATTAATCACTGCCTTAAAGTAATAATATTAACTTCATGGTCATAATACCATAAGAGATAGCTTTAAAATGTATTATCTTTTAAAAATTACTGAGGATAAAGACTAAAAAGAGTAAATATAAATATAGCCAGTCATTAACAACTTTCAAAACTTTCAACATAAAAAATCCTTCATTTTTATGATTCCAGAGAACACAGTTTAAATGTGGATAATGTTTCTTAAAAAAACGGTCAGTAGAATAATGTATTACTTTTAAATGGGAAACCAAAATCATATACCTGCCCAAGTAGCACTGCCAAAGTGGCTTGTTTTGAGAAGCCAATTCTGAATCCTTTGCCCCAAACATTTTTGCCAGTAGTTTAACAACTTGTAGGCGCTCCTCATTATCATTGCTCTAAAATAAAACACAATCACAGCTTTAAAACCATGCAGTAGATATTCAGAATAAGGCTGCCCATTCTTTGCCATAATTTCCCTGATGCTCCAATTCCACAGAAAATCTTTCATGAACTCTAAATGAAAAATTACATAAAAATGCTCACTATACTTTTCACAAAATTAAATGTCATCATAAATGCTCTAATTATCTCAAATTCCATTAAAGAAGTACCTTTCATGAAAATACATCTTTAAAGTTTGTTCCAATGTTAGAGGCCCCTCCTACAATTAAAGTTTATTTCTATTCAGAGTTAAAATAAAAAATGAACTCTTATAAAACCTACCCAGGACCCTTGAAAAACTATGTGTGGTTTTTCAGAACAGACACTGACAGAGGCCAGGCCTACAGAAAACAGAAAACTCTGTGTGAATAAACTTTTTAGCTCTATTAGTATGTGCTACAGTCTCCCAGTAAGACACTTCATCTACACAGACCAGATTTCTAAAAGGAGCTCAACAGTAAAAAGAGGCCTTAAACCTGTGAAAACTCAAATTTGTTTTATATATTATATTGGGGGCACCCTAAGGATGTGAACTCAATTTTACTATTGATTTTGGCACTTCCAACAAATGACTCAATGGATAAGTGAATGAGCCAGTCACAATACTAGACTTGAACATAAAGTGTGGGAATTGGGTATATCAAAAGGCACTGATATTCAAGGTGCTATGGAAATGTCACTACACAAATTGTTTTTAAATTTTAAACCAATGCCACAACCTGCCATGCCAAGAGCCCCGACAATATGACCTAACTCATCTCTATTATTTCTTTCTTTATTCGTCTAAGTAATTATATCTCAAGCCTGGCTGTACATTAGAATCATCTCAAAACTTAAAAAAAAAAAATTAAAATAAGAAGAACAAAAAAAAAAAAACCTCTATTCCCCAAAACTCGGAATCAGCTAGTCTGGTTCAGTGCCTGGACAGCTATTTCTTTAAGGCTTAACAAGCAAAGATTCTAATATGCAGCCAGGAGTGATTTAAACTTACTTTATGCTATCTTCCAATTATAATTCTTTGTGTTCCACAAATTCACCCGGAACCTTCCTACCTCTATATGCTTCTGCATGCTGTTTCCTTTGCTTCAATTGTACGCTGTTTGTATCTCTTATGACACTTATAATATCTGGCCTCATATTAGATCTGGATTTTTTTTCCTCTTCCTCTCATACTAGATGTTAAGTTTGCTGAAAGCAGGGATGATAATTTCCTTATTTTTATATTTCTCATAGTGTGTAGGAACATGCATAGCATTTACTCAATATTTTTACTTCAGAAAATCATATAAACCAACAAATAATTAGAGGTGTGGCTACCTGCTGCCTCACCCAAATCACTAACCACATTAAAAAGGGGACAGGAAGGCCAGTTAATTGAATGGCTCATTTGAGAAATATACCAAAAACTACTCCAGAATATAAGAAGAATACTTATTTACTGGCTACTTGGGGTGTTCACATTACCAATGTGGACTGTTTTGTTTTTGAAAGAAAATCAAAAATTTTAGACACAAACATCATTTAAGAACTTTTCTGGGTCCACAAAGATTAATAATTATAACCAGCTTTACTTAATTTTATTGTAATGATTTGAAAAAGAAAACTATATTGTCCAATTCTGCTCAATTTTACAGCATAATTTAATGTCAAAACAGTTAGGAACATGCTACCAAAAAATTTCACTCGGTCAGGGGTGGTGGTTTATGCCTGTAATGTCAACATTGGGAGGCCGAGGCAGGTGGATTACTTGAGGTCAGGAGTTTGAAATCAGCCTGGCCAACATGGTGAAACCCTGTCTCTACCAAAAAATACAAAAATTAGCAGGGGTGGTGGCACAGCCTGTAGTCCCAGCTACTTGGGAGGCTGAGGTGGAAGAGTAGCTTGATCCCGAGAGGCACAGGTTGCAGTGAGCCAAGATCACACCACTGCACTCCAGCCTGGGCAACAAAACAAAAAAAAATCCTGTCTCAAAAAAATAAAAAATTCACACAACTATATAAAAAGCAAACAAACTTTCAACATAGGCAACATGAGATAATATGCATAAAGGGAAAGCATTTCACACTATGTGGATAAAAAACTCTAAACTATTTTTATGGCCTCAGTGGTCAAAGGAACTACTATAAACTGTGCCTTGAAAACATAAGCTTGATGTACAGCTAAGACTTCAAAAGTTAGTCAAATCCTAGAATTTATCTGGAAAATGTCTGGAGGAAAATACCATCTTGCTAATCATTTATTAAACAGTTACTATCTGCTAGGCACCTGCCAGGCACTAAAGATTCACAAACAGACACGGCACAAATACGTGAAGAAATAATAGTAATACTTCCCCCTCATCTCTTACATTCAGTTAAAACTACTGTAAAAATTAAAAAGCTATAAATAATGCTCTTTGCTAATAACTTGGTTGGTAGAATCATATTATTTTTACAAGTTACCTTTAATTTAAATTCAAGCTGGGGTAAAACAGAGAGCAGCAAATGACTATCAATATTGTAGAGCTCCAAAATTAAGTCAAAGACATGCTCTGACAAATCGCTGATAGATGTTTTCCCAAGCATCAGAACCTGATTAAAAAACTTTTGAGGAGAAAGAAAGCCTATCATTAGTAGAAAAACCAGAGACAAGTTGAATGTTTTAAAATCTTATTTGACCAAATTCATCATTATTTTATACAAAGTCAAACTAGGCATATCAAAATATTTTCTAACATTATATGGGAAACCAATATAGGCTACATGAAAGATAAAACATGGAATCCATCTTGTATACAATAAAACAGACTGAAACATTTCAATAAACATTCTACTTTTCAAATATACTCTGCTCCCCATTATAATACTGATTATATTCTATCCTATATTATTTGTGCATATTTCTGGATGGTTAATTTTATGTGTCAACTTGACTGCATTAAGGGATACCTAGATAGCTGGTAAAGCAACGTGTCTTGGGTGTGTCTGCAATGATGTTTGCAGAGGAGATTGGCTTGTAGACTGAGTGGAAAGATCTGCCCTCAGTATGGGCAGGCATCATCCAAATAGGCTGGAAGGCCCAATAGAACAAAAAGGCAAAGGAAAGTGAATTCACTCTCCTCTGGGCTGGGACATTCATCTCCTATCCTTGGACAGCAGAACTCCAGGTTTTCCTGCCTTTGGACTCCAGAAATTGCACCAATAGCCCAGTCCCCTGCTAGGTTCTCAAGCCTTGCCTTCTGCCTCTGAGAGTAACACCATTGGCTTCCCTGGTTCTCCAGCTTGCAGACAGCCTACTCTCGGACTTCTCAGACTCTGTAATCTCATAAGTCAATTCCCCTAATAAATTCCCTCTCATACATATACATGTGTCTCTGTGTGTGTGTATACATACACTATGTGTGAATATACACACATATATGTATATGTGTGTCTGTATATACATACACTCACTCAATATTGGCTGTTTCTCTAGAAGACCCTAATACAATGTCTTAATCTCCCAAGGGTGAGGGATAATAGCTTGTTCACCTTAGTACATATGGAAGAAAACATCATCCCATAGATACAGCCTTCTTACATTTTCATAGAAGGCAATTCTATGTTTGAAATATGTAATTTTTTATTTTTGATGAAAAACTACCTCTTCCTAATCCTTTGTCTTCTTTTACATTCTGATGTGTACATATCTACACGGTTTACAACACTAATTAAAATCCAATTAAAAGCACACACAAACACAAGGAAAATCCAAATTTAAACAATTTTTCCCTACCATATAGCTAGCTCTAACTAGTTTCCACACTCAGATCATTTATCATATTACTACTGAAATTGGCAAAGATGCATGGCATAACTGTCAAGTTTCTTTCTATATAAAATCTTCCAAAAACATAAAAAATTAACCAAAAGCATACCCTGCCATGTATCCTCAATGGTTTCCTGAGTCTCAGCGGAGAAGGAGTCAAGGATTCTTTATACCACACAAGCTGCCCTAATCTCTTCTGTGACAGTTAACACACAACTGGCTTAATTAGGCTTTAGCTTTCTATACTGAAAGTACAGAGTGGAGGATTTCATATTTCTATGTCTTTTCTGCTTACTTTTACTTCTTGGGTTGTTTTTATGTGACTTTTTTAGGTCTATGAATCAGACCAGACTACCTAGCCATGAAGAAAGAAGAACAAATTCTATTTTGCTATTCTTTCTTTTTTGGTTTTAAAAAGAACTTGTTTGTCCTTCCTATTTATCAATTTTATGGGAAGAGAATTTCATGACATCAAAGGTTAATTTCTTATTCAGGCTGAAAATAAAGTGGCTTTTTTGCTTCCATTCACAAATTTTCTCCTGCTTAAAAAATAGTAAAACAAGTACTATTTACTTAATAAATAGTATATTCCTTAATAAAGAACAATAATCCTTCCCAATCTCACCACCCAAGTGGTCAAACCATCATCATCTTCTTCTAACAGTCTGGGAAAAACTTATTTGAAAAATTAAGGGAAAAAAATCATTCCCTGGTTTAATTTCTCACAAATTCCATAAAAAAACACATGTATTGAACACTTTTATAATCTCCAAAAAGGCAATGACCAAGTTGGTCTTCTCCAATGTGTAAAAGCCTACCTAGCACAGTGCCTGACACAGAGGAGGCATAGAATATATGTTTGGTAAATGAATAAAAAATATGCAAAAGACAGTATGATACAAATATGGGTAAAACAATCCAAGTCCTTCCTAAGAGGTGAAAATTTAGTGGAGGTAGATTTAGATTTGATTAAAATATTTCCTTCCAAAAATTCTTTCATTTACAAAAGCGTAGCTAATTACATACTACAAATTAATTTTTTTGTACAGCAAATGTCTCCTAATGAAAGATGTCACCAGTCAGTAATAAATTCTACCTTACATTTACATGGCTAATTTTAATTACAAAATATTTCACATTAAATAACACATTCTCCACCACCACCCAAGCATTGCAGGTGCAAAAACAGAGGCTCAGTGGAATTAAGCAATTTAACCAAATTTTACCTATTCCAACAAGGATTGGATGTACTTTTTTCAGTCCAACAAAATAATTTTTTGCCATATCCTAAAATTTGTGATAAAAAAAGAACTGGTGAAAAATAACATCATTAAGAAGTGATGCGTGTAGGAAATTTTTAGAATTATCACCATGTACTTTTTGTTCTTGATATTCCATCTTACCTTTTAAACAAATATATATGTACTGTTTAGCTTCCTGGATTGTTGTGTTACAACAAATTCTATTTAAAAAAAAATAACCTAGGCTGGGCATGGTGGTTCACGCCTATAATCTTAGCACTTTGAGAGGCCAAGGCAGGCGGACTGCTTGAGCTCAGCAATTCAAGAACAGCCTGGGCAACATGGTGAAACCCTGTCTCTACAAAAAGTTTTTTAAAAAAGGAAAAATTCACCAGACATGGTGTTTCATTCCTGTAGTCCCAGCTACTCAGGAGGCTGAAGTGAGAGGATCACTTGAGCCTCAGAGGCAGAGGTTGCAGTGTAACAAGATCACACCACTGAACTCCAGCCTGGGTGACAGAGCAAGACTCTGTCTCAAACAACAACAACAACAAATTTTAATACATAAATAACCTATACCACCACAGTGATTTCTTAAGTCTTGATATGTAAGAAATACTATCGAATAAAAAAAAAAAAGAATGTGTCTGTATGTGTGAATGAAAAAGAAAAACAGAAGAGAGAAGTGGGGTTATTATCTCAGTATCTTACTCCTATTTTTAATTGTTAATTCTCAACTAGGAGGATGAGTAAATAATAGCTGTTTTAACTGTAAGTCCAAAAGGGCTAAGAATGATTTCTAAGACTGAACTAATTTTACCCTACTACAAGACGATTAAGTCCACTAGAAAGTGATTTTACATGTAATTATAAAGGTCTGAAATGGAAACATAAGTAGACAAAAAGGAACTAAAGGGAGGGAAAAAGCAATTCTTATTTTCTAGCTAACCTTCAAATAAGGCAAGGAACAAGAAAACAGGGAGAAATAAGAAAATAGTGGACAACGTACTGAGACAAAGTATATAATTCAATGTGTACTCAGAACACTCTGGCCCCTGCTCCCCAGCTTTTGATAAAGACATAATATGAAAGTTTGGGGAGTTCATGGGGGAAGGATTCTATTTCTGCAAGCAAGAACAACAGGAAATTAACACAAGGTATAAGTGATAAAGAAATGTTTTTACCTTGATGTATTCTGGGATTGTTAAAAATATTTCCTCAGCCTTTTTTTCTTTATTTAACTTCCATTATAAACATTTTCAAACATACAAAATTTGAGAGAACAGTATAACGAACCTAATCATCTAACTCTAACAAGTATCATCATTTATTGTGGGTTTTTTCCTTTAATTGCCCCAATCAAATATTGATTTTCCCCAATAACAGTAGAGATATCAATACAGTATAGCGTTCTTTTCTTATTTTTATGCCAGAAAAAGAAATCAAAATAAGATGTGTCCCCCCTCCCCTCCAAAAAAAAAGAAAAAAAAAAACTGGCTTGGCAATATGAGTTTAAATAAATGGCCACCAGGAGGAGCTCACCTAGTGTGCTCTAATGGCCCATGGAAATAGTCATTTAGAAGTACTTGAAGCAAGGGAAAAGGATAATTACAGAATGTTTTAAGTCTAGGTCTACACACTTCAAGTGCCACTAAGCCAATGATGAAAAAACTCAATCCAACCAATTTATTTCAGCCAGTACCCGTAACTTACAAAACTGCAGAAACCAGTATTGGAAGTTCCCTGAAAATCTTGGAGCAATTAAGATAGATTACAGATTTGATTCCACAGCTTCTGAAAGTTTACCCTTCAAAACAATTTCTTACAAATTAAATTAATTTTTCCAAATCATCGTATGCTTGGGATTCTCTAAGGCTATAAGCCAGAAACAAAAGCTGGAATTTATTAAGTTACTGTTTTATGAAGTAGTTAGTTTTCAAAGTACATCTTTTCATGATATATTTCATACACTGACTTTAAATTTGTGTATACTACAAGAAAAACTCTCCCTCAAATTTTAGGAGAATGCATAAGTAATTATTAAAGGCTTTCTTTCTTACTTTACTCAGGAATGCAAATTTATATCCTTTACTTGTCTGGAGGTGAGTGAAACTGAAAAGCAGGTGGAGGGACTGAACTGTTACACAATTCCAAGGGCCACCATTAACACTGTACTCTACATTTGTATTCCAGGAGGCACCATTCACACAGAATATAATATGAATACTGCCACCTAAATCTGTAGAACTCAAAAGAACTGTGGAGAGAAAATAAAACTTACCATAAACTTCTGTCAGTGAACCTAGCAGCTAAAAAATATTTCTTCTAAAAATAAATACAAGATAGTCAACCATAAGTAAGTAGATTTGGGGTGATACTGAAAGGTCTCATTTTATTACAATTGTTCCTTTTTTCCAGAAAAGATAGATTTATATGGAATCTACCCCAGGAATAGCAATAGATAAGCAACTTTTACTAAATCACTACTGCCATTCATACTTGCCTTCAATTTCTAGGTCTTAATATTAGTTCATATCTTCTTCTTGTACAAATCAATTTAAGCTCCAAAAACCTGTAAGCAACGTCTCTGAATAATGAAAAGTTCCATATGTTTTATCTAATTACATTTAACTCTATTTCTATCAGTAGAAACAAACAGAATATCTTGCTAACCAAAATAAAACTGTTTAAGTTCTCAGGCAATTTGAAAGAAGATAAAAGAACAAATAGGATGAGAGCAAGCCTTCCAAAAAATATAAAGCAAGAATAATTTTAAGAAGGAGAAAGAAAATATATTACTTAAGGGTTAAAACAACACAAATTTGTTGTTTTTAAAACTATATACTATCTGATGAAATTTTGCTTCTAGCAAGTCTTTAAATTTTCAGTTTAATCCTTCTGACAACCAATTACAAGTAAGACTTACATTGGTAATATATGGCTCAATAGCTTGAGCTGTCCTCTTCAGTAAAGCCTTTGCCAAATCATATGCTTGCTTGTTTAAATTCTGAAAAACATAAACAATATCTATATTATATATCTCTAACTATGAAAAGCAAAATATTACCTGTATTCAAAATGCTACTTGAGTAAATGAATGAAAAAACTAAGACTCAATTGGAATAAAAGAGAGAAGGCAAAACCACTTTTCTTTTTTTAGGACTAACTGGCCTACTGGATCTAAGATTCCATCCACGTAAGGATAATTATATTCTCTTCCTATTTTGTTCATAACATAATGTAAACCACACAGAAATGGTCAATAAATGCTTATTAGATAGAGTCACTCTAGATCTAGTCCCAAAATCAATTCAGTTAAGTACAAATACAAGCTGTTCCACTTCAGGTCCAAAAAACACAAAATATCCTAAGAGAATGAACTATGTTCTAGTGTGGGCAGCGATGGGCATCCCATAGGCGGGGAGGGACAAAGGAGTTTTGGGCAGCTGTAAAAAAGCAGATTACTCAAACACATTTCAGAGCACAGGTAAGTCAAAGGATACAACAGGAAATACAACAAATAGTAAAGTACGGGCGGAAGATAACAAGAAAAAACATCATAAGAAGCTATGTTTCTAAGAGACTTTGATAATGATACAAGGAAGTAAAGATAAAAAATGGAGTCACTACCCCAGTTTAAACATATTCCAGAGAACAGGAACACTGTATATATCCTTAAACTCACACTCTTTACTCAGCATATTTTTAGATTTACCTGCCTTAATGCTTGTATTTTATTATTTCATTCATACTAACTGCTGTTTAGATATACTAGATTCTTTACTGATTGTCCTATTCATTGACATTAAATTATATGTCTTGTACAAGTCTCCTTGTGTAAATGAGAAGTAATTTTCTGTACATTTTATCTTTGCCATTTTTCAGTTAGGCTGTTTAGTCTTGCTTTTATTTATTTTTATATTTTCTCCATAGATTCTATGGACTAAACTTTCATCAATTATAGATGTTTCTTGACTTATGATGAAGTTACATCTCAATAAACCCACAGTAAGTCAAAATGCATTTAATACCCCAATAAACCATTATAAAGTAAGTCAAACCATTAAGTCAGGAACTGTCTGTACATGTATAACACACCTTAGTCTATACTTGTCTTTTCACAATATTTATGGTGTCAAAGTATGGAGACTTTTTTTCATTTTTTTTTTTATGGATATGTAACAACTATGCTTATTCTGGGGATACATGTGCTATTTTGATACATGTATACACTGAATGATAGTCGAATCAAGGTACCTGACATATCCATCACCTCAAATATTTATGTTTTCTTTGTCCTGGGAACATTACAAATCTTCTCTTTTAGCTATTTTGAAATATAAATTATTGTTAACTATAATTTCCCTACTGTACTATCAAATACTAGAAAGAGGATGGGCACTGTGGCTCACACTTGTAATCCCAGCAATTTGGGAGGCAGAGGCAGGTGGATCACCTGAGGCCAGGAGTGCGAGACCAAGCCTGGTCAACATGGCAAAACCCCGTCTCCAATAAAAATAAAATCAGCCGGGCGTGGTGGCGGATGCCTATACTCCCAGCTACTTGGGAGGCTGAGGCAGAAGAATTGCTTGAACCTGGGAGGCAGAGGTTGCAGTGAGCTGAGATTGCACCACTGCACTCCAGCCTGGGTGACAGAGTGAGACTCCATCTCAAAAAACAAACAAACAAACAAATACTAGAAAGAACTATGCCTTCTATCTAACTGTATTTTTGTACTCCTTAATTTCACTTCATTCCTCCCCTCCCCAGTTCCTTTCCCAGTCTCTGATAACCACCATTCTATTCTCTACTTCCATGAGACCTTTCTTTAGCCCCCACGAGTGAAAACATATTTGTCTTCCTGTTCTCATTTTATATCACTTTACAAAATAACCTCCAGTTCCATCCATGCTGCCGCAAATGACAGAATTTCATTTTTTTATGGCTGGAATAATATTCCATTGTATACATATACCACAATTTCTTTATACACTCATCCATTGATAGACACAGTTCAATTCCATATATTGGTTACCACAAATAGCTTTTATTTTTAATGTAATCAAATTTATCAGTCTGTTCTCATACGGCTTTGCTCTCTATAGCTTTCTTAAGAAATTCATTCCTATCTTGAGGTTGTAAAGATGTTTATTTTCTTTTTTTTTTTTTTTTTTTTTTTTTTGAGTCGGAGTCTCGCTCTGTCGCCCAGGATGGAGTGCAGTGGAACAATCTCAACTCACTGCAAGCTCTGCCTCCCGGGTTCACACCATTCTCCTGCCTCAGCCTCCAAAGTAGCTGGGACTACAGGCGCCCGCCACCACGCCCAGCTAATTTTTTGTATTTAGTAGAGACAGGGTTTCACTGTGTTAGCCAGGATGGTCTTGATCTCCTGACCTCGTGATCTGCCCGCCTCGGCCTCCCAAAGTGCTGGGATTACAGACTTGAGCCACTGTGCCCAGCCCCCAAAGACGTTTATTTTCAAACAAAATTTTAAAAACTTACTTTTCACATTTAGACCTTTATTGCACCTGTAATTTATTCTTATGTATGGTCTAAGTAGCTAATTTTTATTATTTTCCATATAAGTGCTAAACTGTCCTAAAACCATTCATTAAATAATTTCTTATTCCCCCTTTGATAACTTGTAATACCCACTCTCTCTCAGCTTCTACATAAGGATGCCTTCATTCAGAAATTCTCCATTATTTCCATATGTCCCTTTGTCTATCACTGACTGATTATAGCCAAAGGGACACATGAAAATAATGTCAAGATTAGGTCCCTGTTTTCTTATTCTTCTTCAAAACTGTTTGGCTATTATTGGTCATTTGCTCTTTCACATCAGTTTTAGATTCATCTTGTCAAATTACACACAAGTGCACATGCTATCACTTTCTTTTTTTTTTCTTTTTCCCTTTTTGAGACAGAGTCTCACTTGGTCACCCAGGCTGGAGTGCCGTGGTGTGATCACAGCTCACTGCAGCCTTGACCTCCCTGCAAGCGATCCTCCCACCTCAGCCTCCCAAGTCACTGGGACTACAGACATGCGTCACTTGCCCAGCTAATTTTTCTAGAGACAGGGTTTTGCCATGTTGTTCAGGCTGGTCTCAAACTCCTGAGCTCAAGTGATTCCCCTGCCTCGGCTTCCCAAAGTGCTGGGATAATGAGAGAGAGCTAGTGAGCCTGGCCTCGGTTTCTATTTTTGATTGAATTATTGATCAGTATGCAGAAGATTGACATCATTATGATACTAAGTCTCCCCTTCCATAAACAGTAAATCTCTCAACATATGTAAGTCTTCTATTATGCTTTTCAGTCAATTATAACAATTTTCAACATAAAGGTGATACACATTACGGTTAAATTTCTAAGTACCTCACATCTTTGTTAAAGCTACAAATGAAAATTTTTTGAAATTATGCTAGAAGGTTTTTGTACCTTATGTCTCACAACCTTCTAGAATGTTCTTATATTTTCTATAAATTTGTCTGTACACCATTTTGTGTTTTCTGCACAATCATATTTCAGTTCAGTTTCTTCCAATCCTCTTATATTGTATGTCTTGTCTTATTCCACTAATATAACACACCTACTATAATGAGGATTAAAAATAGCATGCTTAAGATATGGAACCAATCTAACTGTCCACTGACTGATGAGTGGATAAAGAAAACATGGTATATATACACCATGGAATACTACTCAGCGATAAAAAGAATGAAATAATGTCTTTTGCAGCAACTTGGATGGAGCTGGAGGCCATTATTCTAAGTGAAGTAACTCAGGAATGGGAAACCAAATACTGTGTGTTCTCATTTATAAGTGGAAACAAAACTATAGGTACACAAAGGCACACAGAGTGATATAATGGACTACAGGGAATCAGAAGGCAGAGAGGGAACAAGAGACAAAAAACACATTGTGTACACATTGGGTACAATGTACACTTCTCAGGTGACAGGGGCACTAAAAGCTCAGACTTCACCACTATACAATTCATCCATGTAACCAAAAACCACCTGTACCCCAAAAGCTACTGAAATTTCAAAATATATAAATAAATACAAATTTTTTTTAAAGCATGTTTGCCTTTTTGCCTGAACAGAAGCAGTATTTTTACAATGTTCCTCACATCAAAGAGAATGCTTCAACATTTCACCATTAAATACTGTATCATACATATCTCCTTATCAATTTAAGTTCTATTTCAAATTTGCTAAGTTATAAATTACAATGAATTGTATCCATCTTTTTCTATATCTATTAAAATTTGTCTTTCTCTTTGATCTATTAAACAAGTATCTTAGTCTATCACTAACATAATGTTAATCCATCCTTGTATTCCTAAAATAAAGCCAATTTGGTGATTATCAATAGTATTTTAAATCATTCTGGAAATTACTATTTTATATTGGGAATCAATTAGCCTTTTTTTTTTTTTCTTGCTTGGTTTGCACCTGGTTTCCCTAGGAAGATTATTCTCTGCTCATAAAATGAGTTATGGAGTAGTCCTTTCTATAATCTGGAAGTGTGCTGAAAGTTAGGAATATTTGCCACTTAAATAATCAACAGAAATCCCTGGTAACGGGTTTACAGGTTCTTTTGTTGTTGGTTTGAGTTCTGCTGCTGTAATTATTTTTGCTGCTATTATCGTTGCTATTGTTGTTTGAAAAGAAGAGTTTTGTTTTATAGGCAGAGTTTTTAAAACCAACTAAATGTATTGGTTATAGGCTATTTGTCTTGATTTTCTCTCAAGACAAATTTGCCAGGTTATATTTTCTAGGAATTTATTCTAATTTCAAATATGTTAGCATAAAATATTCCTCATGGAATTGTCTTTTGATCTTTTTCATGTCCATTGTTTCTCATTTCATTCTAAAACTGTACATAGACACCATTTCCTTTTTTGTGATCTAGCTTTCCAAGCATTTGCTTATTTAAAACATTTTTCAAATTACTAACTTAGGGTTTTGATGGAATGTCACTGTGTTTTCTATTTCACTAATTTCATTTATTCACTACTTTCTTCCTTGTATAATTTGTTTATTCTCATGTTTTTATTACTCCTTGAAATGTACATTTAGCCATGGAGTTACACTTAAAAGTGTATCCTGCAAGTTTTAATATGTATCACTTAATTATCATTTCTAAATATTTTAACTGCCATTATGACTTAATGTTTTGTCAGATTACATGCTTGCTATTAGTGGTTTTGTGTTTCAAATCCTCAATATTTTTATAAACTCAGTTTACCTGATTTATAATCACTAAAATACATGTTAAAATGGAACACAAATAGTGAATTTGCTTCTTTCTGTTAATTATGCTTGTTATTAAATTAGTAGTTTTGTTTCAAATCCTCAATATTTTTATAAACTCAGTTTACCTGATTTATAGTCACTAAAACACATGTTAAAATGGAACACGAATAGTGAATTTGCTTCTTTCTGTCCGTAATTCTTTCAATTTGTGCTTTATATATTTTGAGCCTGTGTGCACACAAGTTTAGATATCTTCCTGGGTACTGAATCTTTTCTCATTATATAAAACTCTTCTTTATCCATTAAAGACTACTATGTCTAATATAAGCTATCTTGGTTTTCTTTTGGTTTATATTTGCCTGGCAAGTACTTTTCCCATCCTTTTATATTCGACCTTTTGTGAGTGTGTTTTATTTGTATTTCTTAGTAAAAATAATCACCCAGATTATGTTCAATCCAATCTGAGAACCTGTCTTACATGGTAAATACAGGTCATTTACATTTACTGTAACTCTTCCTTTTATTATAATCCTTAAAATTTTAACATAAATGGTTCATTTAAAGTTCAAACTTAATAGCTCCAAATACTCCTGATCATCCCAGGATCATATCACTTACTAATTCCATTAAACCACTCTATTTTACATAAGATTCATTTATTCTCTAACACTGCAAATGAGAAGTCAGTAATCAGTTTAGCATTCATTCCTTGGTAAGGGCCATGCCTTTACATTCTGGGTGCTTTATATATGATTTCTCTTTCAGTATTCCACAATTTCAGGATGGGCCTGGACAAGGATTTCCTCTTTTTATTTTTTTTTTACTCTAGTCATGGTACTTTTTCTCACTAATCCATAAATTAACGGCTTTAACCAATTCTGGAATATTTCAAGCTAACTTCTACTTGAATATCATCTCTTCTCAATTCTCCATTTGTTATTCTGAAATCACTATTAAATATGTCAGACCTTACCTTTCATGTTTCATCTCACTGTGCCTGTATAATTTCCTCACATCTATCCCAGTTCTCTAAATATGTTTTACATATAATTCAATCAAGGTTTATATTTTGGTGGTCATTTTTCTTTTTCTTTTTCTGTTTTTTTTTTTTTTTTTTTTTTTTTGAGACAGAGTCTCACTCTGTCACCCAGGCTTGAGTGTGCAGTCGCACAATCTCAGCTCACTGTAACCTCCACCTCTCAGGTTCAAGCAATTCTCCTGCCTCAGCCTCCTGAGTAGCTGGGATTATAAGCGCATGCTGCCACGCCTGGCTAATTTTTGTAATTTTAGTAAAGACAGGGTTTCACCATGTTGGCCAGGCTGGTCTTGAACTCCTGGCCTCAGGTGATCCACCCACCTTGGTTTCCCAAAGTGCTGGGATTACAGGTATGAGCTACTGCACCCAGCCATTTTTCATTGCTAATGAGTTTTTCTCCTAATTTTCTCCTTTAATATGTCTAGTTATTACATTTTTTACCTCTTATCATTACTCCTTTCAAGAGTATTTATAATTTTTTTTAAAAATTTTGTCAGAATGTTTTATTCAGTGTCATTCACTAAACTACAAGGAGCTATGCAAGTTATGCAAAGGGCTGCAAAACAGTAATTGCCTTGAGAAATTTCCACCCTAAGCTAAATGGACTAAGCAAAAGATTGAATCTATAAGTACTTGGTGGAAAGATTCCAGCTCCTGTACTTAGAGACAGGAAGTTTGGAAGATCCTATGATTCTAGTTTCTGGAAGTACCTACAGGTCCTCTCCCTACAACAAGGCCAAGGAGAAAATGTTTAATCAGGAAGGGTGGGTTTATTTTCCCCAACAAAGTCTTCTCCACGACAATCAACGGATGGAGGCCTCAGATGCCTCTGGTAGTCAGCTGCTCAGTGCAGAAAGCCAAGCTAGATACTCGATTTGTGTCTAGGAGGGTTTGTCTTGGCACAGTTGACAAGTGGTTGAGGGTTCCAGAGAGCTAGGCTGAGAGTCCAGTCAGGCACAGCCCATTTGAAAGGCTTAGCAGGTCTCCCCTGGGAATTCAGTCCTCCTCCCTAGGGCATTCTGTGGCTGGATTCATGACCTCTGCCTTCTCACCTGAGCACACAGGCAGTAGAGCTTGTGGCATCAGGCCAGGTGTTCATTTGCCCAGCAGAAGTCACTAGCTGGGCCCCAGGCTGATTTTTACAGCTCATTTAATAAAATGGATTAATGGGGATTATAACTAGATGTGGGCACCAAGGTGAAGGAGACGATGGGAAGAGCCTCTGCAGGTCTACTTGCCAGCTTCCCCCTTCTCTCCTGTGGTCACCAGAGGCAGAAGTGAGGCTGGGCTGGGTAGAGTCAGGACATGGTGGGCTGCATTCAGAAGGTGCAGCAGGAAGGAGTGAGGGGTGGGAAGAGGAGCAAGATGGCAGCTGACTAGGAACCCACAGCACACCAGGACCTGTAGATTTTATTTAATAAATATATTATCTGAATTTCTGAACTCTAATCTTGCTATTTGTAGTGTCTGCTAAGTTTCAGGATTCAGAGACTGTTTTCTTTAAGAGTTTGGAATTTTTGAATTATGAGATCATTTTCACTGAACCATTATTCATGTCAGTCTCTACACTGAGATTATATCTTGCCAGAGAGGTCTTATATTTGCACAGATAACTACACTGGTGATTCCTGTCCTCCTCTCCTTAACCCAAACCCCTTCTAAATAACAGAACCGTATTTCTAACTGAAGATTCAGTCATTTTCTAAAATCAAAACACAAACACACACAAAAACATACAAACATAACATCTTAATTAATCACGCAGGCAAGAAACACTGTCACCAACATATCACTCCTCTCCCATTTAGTAGAGACTTCCCTTTAAATTTCACCAGTCCTCTCTATCTACATTATCACTATCTTTTAGTTATGGCCCTACTTGGTTCCATCTTCTGACAAGTAAGTTATGTAACAGCATCTAAGTAGCTACTACTAACTCACTCCCTGAAATACACTCCATATGCAACTGAATTATAACAAATATGTTATTACATGAAATCTACAATTTCTTATTAGTTATTAAGTGTATCTTTTTATTACACATTAATCACAATAAATATGTATTAATATAACTAAACCAACAGATTCTCTAAAAGATTAAAGCAGGATAAACCATATTTAGAACCTAAGCACAAATTTTAAGCCTTAATATTAACGGGCATTAGACACATTACAGTATACATTGCTACTCACCTTATGAGCAGGTACCAGATTTACTAAAACCGTATCCAAAAGCTCCTGAGACACTGTATCACCTTCACAAATAATAGAGCTCATAAGGTCTACCATGTGCATATGGACTTTCTGATTGTGGCCATTGCTGCAATTCAAAACAGATTTTGTTTCAATTACAACTGAGATATACAGGATTTACTCTTAAGATGACACTGACAAGCATTATGCTTTACAAAAATAATACTAAAATATTAAATAAAATTCTATGTATATTCATTTAAAGCTTCCCTCTCTCCCACATCATACAAAAGTATACAAATTATATTTTTACACTACATTTCTTAGATTTTTCCCTAATTTTTAACCAGTCTCACAATCAAAAGTAATTACATCAAAAGCAACTTCAGTTCTGCCTTAAATTCAGAAAATTGAATTGCTCTGAAGTTAATTCCAGTAAATAATTTTAAAGCATACACAAAAAGCTCAAATAGCCATATGCATTAAGAAGTCAGTATGTATGTTTTATAGACAAATAATGCAATCCAAAAAAATTTTACACTGGCCTTATGCCACTCCTCTAACCAATAATTACATATAATACAAAATTAAGCTCTATTCATTTTTGAAACATGTATAAAAATAAAGTGTGTTAAAAGTTACATCTCTCAGCCTTCTAATATTCATTGTAACAGTTTATGCAGATTCACCTACAAGTTCAAAATTTGTTACCTTTTTTTAATGTTACATACTTAATAAAATAAACTTACTTTATAACTGAAAATAAGGTTCTGTATAGCTGGGTGAAAATTTCATTGCTATCTTCTAACTCAAAGCATATGTTATATGACTTGACCCAAGCAATGTTCTAAAAATAAGGTGTAAAAAAGTGAAAGTTAAGCATTTTGATTATTAAAAATATACAAACAAAAAAATCAGTTTAAAATGTCATCTCAAGATACAAGATATTGCTTACCTCAAGTAAATAAAAATACCTATTGAATTGTGGGCTCTTTGTATCCTCTAGCCCCTTCAACTGTCTTGTTATAAACATAAATATATCCTTAAATAAAAAAAGACAAAGTGCCATTTAGATTATGAACGCTAAATGAAAATAACCATGAAACTCCAAGAGTTTATTCAGCACTCATGTGTACATATCATAATAAACTATAAAGAACCAGAAAAAAATTTTATTTGGCTAAAATTTTTTAAAAGTACACCTTTATATGAACAACATTAAATATCTTACTATCCTTCATAGGAAAACAGTAAATCATTTGCCATAATCTTAAAGTCAAAAAACTTCATCTTATAGCAAAAGTTAAACAAATAAACCTGAAAAGTGAGATAGCTAAAATTTATGCTATTTTTAGAATAAAAAATGTTGCAATGACTGAGAGCTGATCAGGTTTCCTGGAACAGTAAAATATATGGTAATTAAATAGCAAGAGCAGTTTAGGAAACAATTTTTTTTAATTGCCAAATGACAATACAATAGATACCACAGAGAAGCTTAGACTCTTAGAAGTCAACTTGTCAAGCTTCCTACCAATCATTGTAATTACCTGCTTTTCCCCATCTTTCTAAATCTATTCCCATCTCATATTTTTGACTTATTACTATATCTGCATTTGTATCTACATTTGTATAAAGCAACCACACAATCAAGTCTGCATAATAACCAGCTAACAACATGATGACAGGACCAAACCAGCACATACCAATATTAACCGTGAATGTAAACACATTAAATGCCTCAATTAAAAGGTGCAGTGTGGTCAGTTGGTTAAAGAAGCAAGGCCCAACTGTATGCTGTCTACAAGAGACTCGTTTCATATGCAACGACACTGATAGGGTCAAAGTAAAGGGATGGAGAAAAATCTACCAAGCAAACAGAAAACAGAAGAAAGCAGGGGTTGCTATTCTAATTTCAGACAAAACAGGCTTTAAACCAACAATGACAAAGAAGAGCATTACATACTGATAAAGGGTTCAATTCAACAAGAAAACCTAACTATCCTAAAAATATATGCATCCAACAAAGGAACACACAGATTCATAAAGCAAGTTCTTAGAGACTTATGAAGAGACATAGATAATGACACAATAATAGTGGGAGGCTTTAACACTCCACTGACAGAATTAGATTATTGGGGCAGACAACTAACAAAGATATTCAGACCTAAACTCAGCATTTGACCAAATGGGCCTAACAGACATCTACAGAACTCTCCATTCAAAACAACAGAATATACATTCTTCTCATCTGCACATGGCACATACTCTAAAACTGACCACATAATAAGCCATAAAACAATCTTCAGCAAATTTTTAAAATGTGATTCACCACATAATGATGACCACATATGTTGAAGTTGACAGCCAAATCAAGAACAGAATACCAGCCAGGCACAGTGGCTCAGCCTGTAATCCCAGCACTTTGGAAAGCCAAGGCGGGTGGATGGCTTGAGCCCAGGAGTTCAAGACCAGCCTGGCCAACATGGCAAAACCCCATCTCTACTAAAAATACGAAAATTAGCCAGGCATGGTGGCATGTGCTTGCAGTCCCAGCTACTCAGGAGGCTGAGACAGGAGAATTGCTTGTACCCAGGAGGCAAAGACTGTAGTGAGCCAAGATTGTGCTACTGCACTCCAGCCTGGGTGACAGAGCCAGACTTTGTCTTTTAAAAAAAAAAAAAAAAAGCCACAAAAAGAATAAAATACCTAGGAATACAGCTACCCAAGGTGGTAAAAGACCTCCACAACAAGAATTACAAAACATTGCTCAAAGAAACCACAGATGACACAACAAATGGAAAATCATTCCATGTTCATGGATAGGAAGAATCAATGTTACTAAAAAGGCCATGCTGTCCAAAGCAATTTACTGAATTAAATGCTATTCCTATCAAACTACCAAGAACATTCTTCACAAAATTAGAAAAAACTACCTTAAAATGTCTATGGAATCAAAAGGGACCCCAAACAGCCAAGGCAATCCTAAGCAAAAAAAAAAAAAAAAAAAGAAGCTGGAGACATCACATTACCCAACTTTAAAGTATACTACAAGGCTACAGTAACCAAAACAGCATGGTACTGGTACAAAAACAGACACATACAACAATGGAACATAACAGAAAGTCCAGAAATAATGCTACACACCTACAACCATCTGATTTTCAACAAAAGCACAAAAACAAGCAATGAGGAAAGGACTCCCTATTCAATAAATGGTGCTGGGATAACTAGCTAGTCATATGCAGAAGACTGAAACTGGACCCTTTCCTCAAACCACATACAAAAATCAACTCATGATGGATTAAAGACTTAAATGTAAAACCTAAAACTATAAAATCCCTGGAAGATGACCTAGGAAATACCATTCTGGACATAGGACCTGGCAAAGATTTCATGATGAAGATGTCAAAACCAACTGCAACAAAAACAAAAATTGACAAATGAGACCTAATTAAACTAAAAAGCTTCTGCACAGCAAAATAGAGTTAAGAGACAACCTACAGAATGGGAGAAAATATTTGCAAACCATATATTGAACAAAGGTCTAATATCAAGAAGGTATAAGGAACTTAATTAACAAGCAAAAAACAATCCCATTAAAAAGAGGGCAGGCCGGGTGCAGTGGCTCATGCCTGTAATCCCAGTACTTTGGGAGGCCAAGGCGGGCAGATCACAAGGTCAGGAGTTCAAGACCAGCCCAGTCAACGTGGTAAAACCACTCTACTAATACAAAAATTAGCTGGGCGTGGTGACGGGCACCTGTAATCCCAGCTACTGGGGAGGCTGAGGGAGGAGAATCACATGAACCTGAGAAACGGAGGTTGCAGTGAGCCAAGATCGCACCACTGCACTCCAGCCTGAGCAACGGTGTGAAACTCCATCTAAAAAAAAAAAAAAAAAAAAAAATATATATATATATATGGCAAAGAACATGAAGAGATACTTTTCAAAAGAAGATGTACGTATGGCCAACATGCATATGAAAAAATGCTCAACATCACTGATTAGAGAAATGCAAATCAAAACCACAACAAGATATCATCTCGTACCAGTCAGAATGGCTATTGTTAAAAAGTCAAAAAAAAAATGACAGATGCTGGCAAGGTTGCAGAGAAAAGGAAGTGCTGATACATCACTGGTGGGAATATAAATTAGTTCAGCCATTGTGGAAAACAGTTTGGCAATTTCTCAAAGAACTGAAAACAGGACTACCATTTGACCCAGCAATCCCATTATTGGGTATATAACCAAAGGAATATAAATCATTCTACCATAAAGACGCATGTATGCATATGTTCGTAGCAGCACTATTCACAATAGCAAAGACATGGAATCAACCTAAATGCCATTCAACAGTAAAATGGATAAAGAAAATATTTCATATACACCATGGACTATTACACAGCCATAAAAAATGAGATTATGTCCTGTGCAGCAACATGGATGCCACTGGAAGCCATTATCCTAAGCAAACAAATGCAGGAAGAGAAAACCAAATACCACATGTTCTCACTTATCACCAGGAGCTAAACATTGAGTACATATGAACACAAAGAAGAGAACAGACACCAGCATCTTCTTGACGGTGGAGGGTGGGAGGAGGGTGAGGATCGGAAAACTACCTATTGGGAACCATGCTTTTACCTGGGTGACAAAATAATCTGTACACCAAACCCTCATGACATGTAATTTACCTACATAACAAACCTGCAAATGTACCCCTGCACCTAAAACACAATTTTTTAAAAAAAAAGGTTACTTAAAACAAAAAAAGTTACTTTGATAGTAGTACTGTGGAAAATATGTTCTCTATGAATGAACCCTTCCTGGATTGCTGAAAGAGTACACACGCCATATTGACCCTATGTAGCGATGGAAAGACAACAGTCACTTATAACCTCACCAATTACTGCCTAAACATGAAGCCAACTGTATAAAAGGGGTTTGCTGATGACAATAACTAACTGAAAGTGGAAAGGTAAGGCTCAAATATCACAATTTTCTAATCTGTATACAACACTACTGTAGACAAAATATATAGACATACAGATATACGAATTTGCCGCTAATCAAGACGAAGTGAAATCTCTTAAATATTTAGAAAGCACCCTCAAAGTCAGTAATTTTAAGTACTATCCCCCAAAAAGAAAAAAGAGGCATTTAGAATAAGACTCAAAAATTCATCAGAAAAACCAAATACTTAACATTTTTCAGCTAGGGAATAATGCACAAAGACCCTAATTTCAGCTCTTTTACAGTCTTCTCATAAATTGTCCTGTTAGAAACAGAACAGATATGTAGCTATTCTTTAGGGAGAATTTCTCGTTACCCCCAAAGCCCTGAAATAGGTCCTTGATTATGCAAACTGAAAGATCCCCAAGAGAGATAAATAAATTGTACAGTAGCAGTCTTAAGTTAGACTTCCTCGTCATGAGAATGCCAACAAGACATCTAGTACGGGAGAGCCACAGCCACTATCAAACAAATGGAATCATTCCTTAAACCAATTAAGTATCTCCAAATGAGAAATTCACATTTAGAAATCAAGCTAGTACCTGGGTATACAACTACATGGACCAGCTCATGTTATCTACTTTAAGTCTCCGACCATTCTCAAATCTTACAATTCAATACCACCTTTAAATGACAAATATTGCCCTCTACCTCCCTCATCCTAAGATTCTTTCACCAATCAAAATTTAAAACAAGCATGCCCAAAACAGGTTGCACATCCTCTACTTGAATTGTGGTAGACTTGATCAAATAAGCACATTCCTCACTTCAGTTATCAAGAACTCCATGAGTCCAAGAACCATGCCTGGGTTTTTTTCACCACTGTAAATCCAGTTCCTGACACATAAGTAACAGCAAGACTTATTAAGTGAAATAAATATAAATTGCCTGCCATTTTTTCACACTGTGGATTAATAATCTTTCTATGGACTCATTCTCTAACCCATAGTTTCCACAATTATCTTTTTTTTGTTTTGTTTTCTGAGACTCTCGCTGTGTTGGCCAGGCTGGAGTGCAGCGGCGCAATCTCACTCCATCCCCCACCTCCCAGGTTCAAGTGATTCTCCTGTCTCAGCCTCCACAGTAGCTGGGGTTACAGTCATGTGCCAACACAGCCGGCTAATTTTTGTATTTTGAGTAGAGATGAAGTTTCACCATGTTGGCCAGGCTGGTTTCGAACTCCTGACCTCAGGTGATCGGCCCACCTCAGCCTCCCAAAGTGCACAGGTGTGAGCCACCGCACCCAGACTCCACAATTATCTTTTATTGTTGCTGTTTTTAATTCCTACCTGATCTGCCTTATAAACATTCAGTATCTTTTGCACAACTCTAATTACTTCATGCTTTCTACCAGCATTTTCCTAAAAAGATTACTCGTGCTATTCCCCTTCTCATCTTTTAAAGATTTTGCATTTATATAGTTTTACTTACAATTACTGTAACCAAGTACCACATGTCTTTTGTACCTTTCCATTAAAATTTTGTTCACTGAATCTTTTTTTTTTTTTTTAATAGAGATGGTCTCACTCAGCCCAGGCTGGAATGCAGTGGTGCCATTTTGGCTCACTGCAACCTCCGCCCCCCGGGGGTTCAAGCACTCCTCCCACCTCAGCTTCCCAAGTAGTTATGGGATTACAGGTGCACAGTACCACACAAGGCTAATTTCCTTTTTTTTTTTTTTTTTTTTTTTAAAGTAGAGACAACGCCTTGCTATGTTGCCCAAGCTGTCCTCAAACTCATGAACTCAAGTAATCATCCTGCCTCGGCCTCCCACAGTGCTGGGATTACAGGCCTGAGCCACTGCGCCTGGCCTGTATTTTCTTCATAACAATGTATAACACAATTTATAACACAAATATAACAATTTATATCACACCTTCCATTAAATAAATGAGGATTATATATTATAAACTCATGTTTATACTAGGTATTATGTTTTAAATAATGGCCATGGTCTTCAATATGGATTTTCAAAAGTGAAAAGGAATTGCCCCCAAAATTATAATGAAAGAAACAGAGCTAATGATGACATGATATAAAAAAAATACACACTGTATTAATCTACTTCTTAACCTCAAGACCAGAAAGTTTTTCAAAAATAAGTTCTAAAAAAAAAAAAAAACATTAAGTTTAGCAAAAGATTACTGTAGCTAATGTCAAAGAATCCAAGGAAATCATCTAAATACCTTAACTCCCATTTTAGTTAGAAAGATAAATCAAAGTATCGGTCAATCTTGGAGTTATTTAAATCAGTACTTGCCTTTAGTTTATCAGGGGATGTGTAAGGAGCTTCAGGAGCATAAATCCTGAAAATATCAGCAAGGCAGCAGGCTACCAGTAAGCGAACATCTTTATCAGGATGCTTGAGAAAAAAATCTGAAGCAAGATGTAAAGCTAGGTTTAAATAAAGCTCCTTTTCTTCTTCAGAGTCCTGGTCCATATCCATAAAAGTTTTCACAACCATCTATACAAAAATAAAAAATCAAATAATGAAATGCTCCATGTAAAACTACAGTCATGTGAAATAAAGGTCATGTTAATTGCTAAGGTTAACTTCAAATGAATATACTTTCATTTTTCTGCAGAAAGTCTCTATTTGAGAGAACACAATTCTCCTAAAACTACAAAGTAAACTTCTATTTAAAAGACTTACTAAAATATTTTTTCATTTACCCAAAATATCTGCTAACCAGATTTTTAAAGATTAAATTGCCCTTATGTAGTAGTCATTATTGGAAGAATTCCAATAGAATATTTGTGGAAACTTCTGGTCTCACTTGTACAACTGGACTAAAAGGAGTATGTCCTTAAGAATACCATCTTTTTTAAAAATAATATTTCTAATCCTTTCATGAGAAGAAAAAGTATATGCCTAAAGAAAACCCTAAGATGACAATTTAATTTTCCATTTAAGTCATTAAACCACTCCAGTCACATGGTTTTATTTAAGAAAGGATGTCAAAGATGCATCCCTCAACACTGAAAAGCTACTATGAAGTATCTACCACGGCATCCAACAAAATATTTCTTGTGTGGCAGTAAAAGAGAATATGATGTGGATAATTCATTAATTCAGTTGCACATGTGAGTTAAGACAAAGGAAGCTAAAAGAAATGGTTCTTTTTTCAAAAATATTTCTATAAAAGGTGAATAGAAAATAGAATGGTATACCATGAATTCTCAGAAGAGCTTTCTCTGATTTCAATATTAGTAATTACAATGATGATCTCAGTCTGCACTATTCCTACTTTAAATGAAACAAAATTGCCTAACTTGACAGGAACTGACATTTAAATACAACTCCAATGGAAAGGTGACCATCCAGCATCCACTAGGTGGTGCTGCAAATACTAGGCAACAAGTGGGGCTGGCCACAAAGTATCAATGTTAAATGTCTTGGTCCTTTATGCTGCAACGATTTCCACTTGCCATCCAGCTAGACTTCTGAGTAACAAATGGCTCGATTTCTACTGAATTCTCAGAGCAGCTGTGGAAAACACTGCTCCTCACAGAGCAGCCTCTCAGTTCTATTATGCCAGATACCAGAACCAACAGTAGACTAATCCTTGCAACCTGGCACTACATTTAGATTAAGGGTATGATGTCTGGGTCTTTTAGCTTTTTTATTTTATTACTTTTAAGATTTATGCTTTGATTGCCTATATGTTTAGGAAAAACCACAAAGGGTAAAAAAGAACTGCATGCATGTAACTATTTATTTCTGTAGCTCTCTTAACAAAAGATAAGAGATTAAGCATATTTTGAATAAAATGTTACAGGAAAAAAAATTTTATAAACAGTATCACCTTACACGTTAACAAATTGTTATAATGTATAAAACTTACATGGGTATTTGTACATATCATCCTACATAATTTTTTCATATTTTTCTAAGAAGGAGGATGCTAAAAATGGAACTATAAATTAGGAAAATAAATGAGAAAAAAGTATAACTGGATTACTGCTAGACATAAATGTCTACAAAATAATGAAAGCATATTACAAACATTAAATATGAGTACTGAGGCAATCATTCCACCAACAATAACCACAAAGTTTGTTCAAGGTCCAGAAAATGGGAATTCCTCACTACTGTCTACAACTCAAATGCTGTTATAAAACTCATTAATAACTCATGAGTCCTCCAAATTAGGAAAGAAATCTGAGAAAATAACATCTCTAAAAGACACTAATGCTGATCAGTTTTAAGTGTAGGCTCTGAGTTCAAGATTAGTTTCTCAACAAACAACAGGAATGCTCACTTAGTATAAACAAATATAAGGTAATAAATGTATTAGTTTCTCTAAAAATGCAATAGGTCAAGAGAAGGTAAATACATAGAAAATGAAACATGTCATATATAGAAGGGATTCATAGCTTGACTATTCTTAATAAAATACACACCAGTTCCCAACTAGATAAAATATCCACCTATTAGTAAATTTAATCTGCTCAAAGATGATTTTCCTTTGAATAAACATCTGATATCTGACATTCTGATACTTTAAGTATAAACACATACATGTACAATATTAAGACTTTATGTGAAATTTATGATAGTATTAGCATCTTTTTCTCTTTATAAAAATTCTATACACCATGTAGCAATAAAGAAGAGTATTTGTTTTTAAGCCCCTGGATCTTCAATGATTAATTTGGGAACATTTTTCAGCCCTGACATCCAGATAAATAATAATATATCAAGCAACATAAATATCTAGGTAGATACAACCTCGATCGGAAATGCTCAAAAATAAAGACCATCTAAACTAACTAATAGACCAGCTTAACATTCTCCTTGAACACTATGCTTCTTTATCCATTTTAACAATTACAGAGATCACCACCACCCTAAAGGAAAAGGTGAAAATATTATTCAAACACATATGAAGAGGCCCTAGCCTCATCCATAGAAGTTCACCAGCAATCTTGATTCATTACTACATGTCAGAAGCAGAGGAAGAAGCTTAAAGTGAAGCCCTTTGACCTACTTTGAAAATAACTTACAAGAAAGTAGTACACAGCCTAATTACTCAGTATAAAGACCTAAAACTCCCTTAAAGTGGTTGTCTTTAGAAACTATATAGAAGAAAGGAGACAACTTTGTATAGACAATAAGGAATATGAGTATTGTAGACTTGTTCTTTATACCCAAGTATAGGAGATCCTAGAAAATCTAAGCTTCACCTAATTGCTGTCCCTTTAATCATAGCCAAATAATCCCCACTGTACCTTATATACTCTACTCCCTTAGATCTTTTCTATGCCATTTGCTGCTTTGCTTTGCTTTTTTAAGTTACCCCAACAAGATACATTATAGCCCCATGTGATTTCCACAGGGGACCTCTGCCCTACACAGATGTAAAAAAGAATAGAATTTTACTCACCTTTAATCGTCTCACCATCTCCTCTTTAGATATTTTATCTGATATTTCCTTGACCCCAGGCGGATATGTAATTTTTCCATCATTGGTCCTAGTCTTTGAATGAGCCATGACAGAAATATTTCTACCCCTGAAACAAGAAAACTATTAGATGCAAACCAAAAAATAGATATAAACATTCTTAACAAACATAAATGGTAACCTTCCCCACCAACCAAAATTTGTAACTACCTCCTAATTTATAGTAATTTACTTTACCATTTAATGAAAATCACTCTATTGAACATTTCCCCAAATTATTTTTAGAAAAACAAAACTTATTTTTACTTTCATTTCCTCAGTGGCAAGCTTTGTTATTTGTCCTAACCCTCCAACTAAAAATAATAATAATAATAGTAAGCTAGAGAAAAATAAAAAATAAATACTTTTTAAAAGCACCACAAAGTACTCAAACTAAAACCTAAGAGAAAATAGGAATCCAGGGAAGTAAGTGGGAACACTGGGACATTATAGCTACTTATACTCTGAAAGCATTTTTCATTTCTGACAAATGTGGGATTCAGTTTTGATGGTCTTATAGGGCAAGGGGAACAGAAGTAAATCTGAACATATCAAGGCAGACAGTCAAATAGGAAACTCTCCTGACATTAATGTAGGCCACCACCCTACCCAAAGAAGATATACCTGCAAAGGAGAGGGTAAACTAGAAATGAACACCTCTTTTCCCCAGCCCCACCCCCTAGAGGGAACCGCTGAGAAGGCTGCCTTGGTGCTAAACAGAGAAAGGCAACATGAATACAGGGAAGGAACAGGTAATTAGTTTTGGCCATGGGCCTGCACACTTGCTGGGGCTGACATGACCTAAGTGGCCCAGAGAATCTCAAAACATGAACTCACAGACCCCTGGTTAATAACAGCCCCAAGCACCTAACATAAGTAAATCCAAGTCCTGCCTAGAGAAGGGTGCCTTCATCCTAAGTATCAAAGAATCCCCACTATGATGTTTCTAGAACAATGAGCAAGTATCAAGTCAAAAATAACCAAGCAACTATGAGGGAGAACCAGCAGAAATACCACACAACAAAAACAGACACAATTTTTGTGTCTATCAAAGACTGTAAAACTACTATAATCTTAAAGAAATAAAAGACAATTCCAAAAATATCTACAGGAAACAAAAAAAATTATAAAGACTAAACTAGAAGATTTTTTTTAAATAGAACTTCTAAAAATGAAAAAATACAATTACTGAAATTGAAAATTCAACAGGTCAATGTATTCGCAGATACGAAAAACCATTAAAGGCCAGGTGGGATTGCTCACGCCTGTAATCCCAGCACATTTGGGAGGCCAAGGCAGGCCTTTTGAGCTTAAACTTTGAGCTCCAAAGTTTAAGAACAGCCTGGGCAACATACCAAAATCCCATCTCTACAAAAAATACAAAAATCAGCCAGGTGTGGTGGCACACCCCTGTAGTCCCAGATACTCGGGAGGCTGCAGTAGGGGAGCTGCTTGAACCCAGGAGGTAGAGGTTGCAGTGAGCTGAGATTGCGCCACTGCATTCCACCTGTCTCAAAAAAGAAAGAATGAAGTGAAAGAAAGGTCATAAGAAATTATCCGGAGTGCAACACAGTGAAACATACACCTGAAATACATAAGGATAGAAAGGCCTAAATGTAGCCTACAATTCATGGAAGTTATAGAGAGAGAAGAATGAGAGATTCACTCATGGGATTCATGAGAGTACCAGAAGGACTAGATTGAAGCAGAGGCCAAATACCTACAGAGAATATCATAAAATACCAACCTACAAATTCAGTAAGCCAAACAGGGTTAAATTTAAAATAATAATAATTCCAGAAAACAAACAAAATTTAGAGCACACACAGTACCTTGAAAGGAATAGCATTTAAACTAACAGGTGACTTCTCAACAGCAACAACATAAGCCAGAAGACAGCAAAATGTTATCTTCAAAGCAGAGAAAGAATATAACTGCAAATCTAGAAGTTTACAACCAAGGAGTATAATTTTTAAGTGCAGAGTAAAATAAGGGCAAATTAGCCAAATGAAAACTAAGAGGTGTAAGTATTTATATATAAAGTACCTACAACATTGCTTAGCACATACTAAGTACTATATGTGTATGTAATATACACAATCAGGTTAAAAGAAAAGATTTTTAAATTTCAACATAAACACCTTAAAAGACAATGAAAAAAGTGGATACATGCTGAAAGTAAAAGGATGGAAAATTATGTCATGCAAACACTAAAACCCGTTAAGCTAAATATCAAGTTAAAAAAAAAAAAGATAAATAGGCCCCAGATTCACTCTGTGGTATTTACTCAATAGAAACGTATAGTTTGTCCACCGTAAGACATATAAAAAAATGTTCACAGCAATACCATTCAGTTGCCAAAACAGAAAACACAAATGACCATCAACACTAGAATGAATAGCAATTTGTAGTATAGTCATACAATGGGGGCAAAAAAAAAAAAAAAAAAAAAAACACAGCCATGAGAGAATAAATCATTGCCTCACACAATAATATGGATTAACATTACAAACATCTGGATGGGCATGATGGTTCACATCTGTAATCCCAGCATCTGGGAAGGCTAAGGCAGGTGGATCACTTGAGCCCAGGAGTTCAAGACCAGCCTGGGCAATACAGTGAGACCTCATCTCTACAAAAAATAAAAATAAATTAGCCAAGCATAGTGGTGTGCACCTGTGGTCCCAGCTACCCGGGAAGCTGAGGTGGAAGTCCTGCTTAAGCCCAGGAAGTCAAAGCCACAGCAAGCCATGATCACACCACTGCACTCAAGCCTGAATGACAGAGTGGACCTTGTCTCAACACACACCACACACCACACACCACACACCCACACACCCACACACACACATCAAAGTGAAAGAAGCCAGACACAAAACACTACATAAGAGTATGATTACATTTATAAGCTCGAAAACAGAGAAACCTAATCTATGACAGTAAAAGTCAGGACAGTGATGTTTTGGGAGACAAATGTTAACGGAAAAAGGGGTGAAAAGATACTTCTAAGATGCTAGTTACACAAGTATTTTCACTTTGTGTGAAGTCATATAGAGCTAAAGACATAAGTTTTACACTTTCCTGAATGTATGTTATACTTCAACAAAAAGCTTAACAAAACAGATAACAAGAAAAGCTCCAGACATTTACATTTTTTAAAGCACTTCTTAATAATCAATGAATCAAAAGAAAACAAGCGTAGGATCAACAAAGTCAAAAATCACAGGTCAATCTTATAAATTTGATAATATAACATTTGAAAATGTAGATAAAGCTGAGAAACTACATCTTATTACCAAAACTAACTCAAGAAAGAAAAAAATGATTAAGAAACAAAATCAATCATTAACAGATCTTTCCACAAGGAAAAATATCCAAGTCTAGATGGCTTTACTAGTGAGTCCTGTCAAATAAAGGAAGAAATATTTCCCATGTCATACAAATAGTTCCAAGAAATGAAAAACAAGGGAATCCTTCCCAACTAGTTTTAAGCAACTAATTAGCATAACTCTGACAACAAAACCCAATGAGAACTATCAGAGGCCAGGCACAATGGCTCCTGTCTGTGATCCCAGCACTTTGGAAGGCTGAGGCAGTAAGACTGCTTAAAGCCAGGAGTTCAAGACCAGCCAGGGCAACAAAGCGAGATCTTGCCCCTACAAAAAAATTAAAATGAATAAAAAATTAGCCAAGTTGAGGTGACAAGATCACTTGAGGCCAGGAGTTCAAGGATGCAGTGAGCTATGATTGTGCCACTGCACTCCAGCCTAGGCAACACAGTGAGAGTCTGTATCTGAAAAAGGAAAAGAAAAAAGAAAAGAACAATCAGAGAAAATAAATCACAGACAAATCTTAATCATAAATGCAAAACTCCTAAACAAAATATTAGGAAACCAAATGCAGCAATATATTCATAAGTGTTTATCCCGGGAAGGCAAGGTTAAATTCATCACATCAACAGGCTTAAAAAGAAAATCATATTTAAATTATATACTAAACAGATTTTTTCAAATCTCAATAAATTAAGAAAAATTTGGTAAATTCAACAACTCATGACTGTAAAACAAAAACGAAACAAGAAACAAGTTTAGTAAACTAAGAATTGGGTGAAAGTTTCCTTTATCTGAGATAAGTAGGATGCTATAAACACCCTACAGCATAAATAATGTTTACTGACAATCCATTAAAAGCTTTGTGTTCAGGAACTACAGGAACATACCTACTATCATCACTTTTTTTTTAATTTGACACTGCAATAAAGATGCTAATCAACAAAGGAGGGAAAGAAAAAGAAATAAAGGGTATAAGGATTTAAAATGAACCAGTCGTTATTCACAGATGATATGTTTACATACATAAAAACTTCAAAAGGATTTACAGATAAAACATGTGAATTATTAAGACTGAGTTTAGCAAGGATGAAAAGTAAAAAACATCAATATAGAGATGTTCCTCAACTTACAATAAGGTTACGTCCCAATAAACCCATTGTAAATTTAAAATATAGTTAAGCCAAAAGTGCATTTCTATCATATGTCAAGAAACATACCAAATGTGTATTGCCTTCACACCATCATAAAGTCAAAAAATTGTCCTAAGTTGAACCACCATAAGTCAGGGACATCCATAACAAGCATAAGTCACCAACAGGTAACAACAGGTAACACAAATACTTAATGGTAAAAGACTAAATGCTTCCCCTTTAAGATCAGAAACAAAGAAATGATGTCTACTCCCAGCACTTTTATTCAATATAATGCTAGAAGCCCTAGGCAGCACACAAAGAAACAGAAAATAAAAAGCATACATATTGGAAAAGAAACTGTCCCTACATCCAGACAACATGATTATCTACACAGAAGATGCCAAAGGAATCTACAAAAAATAAACTACTAGTTCATCGACGTTCCAGGATACAAGATTAACATCCAAAAATCTGTGTTCCTCCTGTGCATAGTCATACATCACTTAATGATGGGATACATTCTAATAAATACGTTGTTGGGGAATTTTATTGTTGTGCAAACATCATACAGTGTACTTACACAAACCTAAATGGAACAGACTACTACATACCTAGGCTATATGGTATAGCCTATTGCTTCTAGGCTACAAACCTGTACAGTATGTTACTGTACTGAATACTGTACACAACCGTAACACAATGGTAAGTATCTGTGTATCTAAATGTATCTAAACATAGAAAAGATACAGTACAAATACAGTATTATAAGCTTATGGAACCACCATCATATATGCAGTCCATCACTGACAGAAAAGTTGTGTGGTACGCAACTGTATATGAAAAAAAGTGGTAGCGATAACAGGAAAGAGCAGAGAGAATACAATAAAAAGTTCTGAAGACACTTTCATATCTAAGTTTTTTAAAAAGGACACTGTACCTATATTTCACACCATATACAAAATGAATTCGAGGTACAGTAACAACTTAAATATAAAGGCAAAGTGTTAAAAGCTTTTAGAATATGATAAAAGAGAATAGCTGCATGACTTCAGGTTAGGAAAAACACTAGCAAGAACCAAGTTCATAGTTACATTCCTTCAACCAAAGAAGATACTCAGCCAATGCCTAGGACAAAGCACTCCAGGGAAAGATTGATAAATGGATTGATAAATGTGATAAGCTTCTCTTCCACTGAGTCTGGAGTGGAAGAAAGTCTCTCTGCCTTATTTCAGAGACAAAAGCTGTTCATGATTCATAAAAACAAATACATGAATATGGCCACAGACCACAGCTATACAATGTAGACAGAGTGACCTTGTAAAATATACTCATCCATGTAACCAAAAATTTATCAAGCACCTCATATGCAGAACACAACAGCAGAAACTACAGAGCAAAACACGTAAAATGGGTCTCAAAATCCATGAAGAGAAACAGACATTCCCCTAAATAAGTGAATCACAGTTGATTCTGAAATTATCCTAACAGAAATAAACAACAAGCTTGGAAAAAATAAGACTGAAAGAAAAACCACTTTTGTAAGTGGACAGGGGTAAAGTGGTAATAATACACAGAATAAAAAGACAGAAAAAAACATTCTGAATAAATCTCAGAGAGCAAATTTCAGTTACTGGACCAGAAGTATGACTGAAGGAAAAGGTGGAAGGAAGTAAAGGGAGCTAAGACGGAAAAAATAAAGAGACAACAAAGAGGGAGGTTACTCAATTTGCACTTCAGTCTTATGAACAGCATTGTAAGGAGAGGTTTGAAACACCTCTGTGAATATACACAGGTTGTTTTTCCTATGAGTAAAACATACTGGCCCTTGTCTACTAAGCAAACTCTATAGACCTTAAAGTCTCATTTTAACTTTTTCTGACCTCAACCAGGCAGAGCTAGGCTCCTCCCCTACAGCTAGTCACACTTTGAACCTACTACAATTAGCAATTATCACATTGTATCTATTGTACTTATTTCTATCTTTGTCTCTCCCACTAGACTGTAAGCTCCTTAAGAAAAGTAGCATATAACATTTATGCTAGCATCTATCTGCTAGCATCTATCGCAAATAGCTACTATCAGTAGTAGGCACTCAGGAAATAATGAATGAATGAACGACCAGAACTATTCGAAGAAATTATGGTTACAGCAAAAAGTAGAGCTAGACACAGGAGAAATTAAAACAAGTTAGAAAACTACTGCAAAATTCCAAGAAAGAAGTAATGAGGAACTGACTGTAGGCAATGACTACAAAACAAGAAAACTGATTCAACGACTTACGAATGATTATACCAGAGAAGCAGAACATGATTATAAGATTCGAAACCTTTGTTCCTAGAAGGCCATTTATTTAAATATTTATTGAGAATTTGCTTGGTGCAATACACTAAGTACTAGGAATACAATGATGAGCAAATGTACAAGAAAGAGCTCTGCCCTCGTTGTAATGGAGATGGGGGAAAACCCAGAGAGAGAGATTAAGTCTTGGGAAAAATAAAGTTTGCTCTAGAAGGCAACTGTAGATTATACATCTAAAGTTCTAGAAAAAAAGTGTAAAATGAGAAAATATTTTTAGAACAATTTATTGTTCATGCTTTATGGGTTTACAAGATGAGTAAAGAAAATGAGTAGGGTGAGCTGAGATACCAACACTAAACCTTAATGAAATACCTATAGTGATTGGGGTGGTGGGAGCCCACAGGGGAGATAAAGAAGGAAAACAGAAGAAAGTCAAGAAAATGGCTTTAGAAAAATGAGAGTAATTGTTACAAAAATCTACGGAAAAAATGTTTGAAGATGAAGGGACGATATATAGTGATATTACAAAAACCTAGGCAAAAATGTTTGAAAATGGAGGGGTGACATATAGTGATGATCACCCTCAGTGAAAACATACAAAATGACTTCAGCAAATACTCCCTTGAACTTGACAGGATATTTGAGAAAAAAGTGTCCAGAAAATGATGGGAATGAATACCAAATTACGAGATAAGAAAAAGGTGAAAAGAAAAAAGAGGAAGCAGAAAAGGAGCAACACAGAAGAAGAGGGTATCATTAAGTCAATGAAAAACAGGTATTGATACAGAGCTGCTCCTTAAACAGAATGTCAAATAAATGATTTGACATATAATAGTTCCTTTCATCTTTGGGGAATCTCAACCATTCACTATTAAGGTAGAGCAAACAAAAAATGAAAAATAACTGCACTTAGAAAATAGTCATATAAAACTGGCCTATATCAGACTCTATTTTATAAACTATAGTATATTACAGAAAAATGTGATTTTTTTTTTTTTTTTTTTGAGACGGAGTCTCACTCTGTCACCCAGGCTGGAGTACAGTGGCGTGATCTCGGCTCACTGCAAGCTCCGCCTCCCGGGTTCACGCCATTCTCCTGCCTCAGCCTCCCGAGTAGCTGGGACTACAGGAGCTCGCCACCACGCCTGGCTAATTTTTTGTATTTTTTTTAGTAGAGATGGGGTTTCACTGTGTTACCCAGGATGGTCTCGATCTCCTGACCTCATGATCTGCCTGCCTCGGCCTCCCAAAGTGCTGGGATTACAGGCGTGAGCCACCACACCTGGCCAACAATGTGCTGATTTATGAGTTTCTCCATTTAAAAAATATAAACTTTAAATTTACCACCAATTAATAGTAAAACTATAACCTAGAATTTCCCTTCTTTCAAAGGGTTATTTGAAACAAGCATTTTCAGAAAACAATTCAGTTCAAAAATTATCATATGCATATTATTATATTTACATTTTTATGTTCAGCATGAACAGTAAGCATAAGAAAATATTCTAATACTAGGCCATGCACAGTGGCTCACGCCTGTAATCTCAGCACTTTGGGAGCCCAAAGTGGGCAGATCACCTGAGGTCAGGAGTTTGAGACCAGCCAGGACAACATGGCGAAACCCCGTCTCTACTAAATATACAAATATTAGCTGGGCATGGTGGCGCATGCCTGTAGTCTCAACTACTCAGGAGGCTGAGGCCAGAGAATCACTTGAACCTGGGAGGTGGAGGTTGCAGTGAGCTGAGATCGTGCCGTTGCACTCCAGCATGGGTGAGACAGCGAGATTTCATCTCAAAAAGAAAAAAGAAAAGAAAATATTCTAATACTAAAGTTTTTTTTTAAAGTTCAAATAAAATGATCATTAATTAAATATATGAGAATCTTTTAATCACACTGAGTACAAGAAAAATCAATGAAATGGTCATTCTTTAATATTATCAGACATAAATAAATGTTCATAGATGTAACTAAACAAGAGACTGTAGTAAAAAATATGTAAGATATTTTCACTGAATAGAAAAGGAAAACAAAGTACTGACTAAAGAGCAAGAGCAATCATAACAATAAGCAATCCTATTTTTTAGTTGATTTAGGCATCCAAATCAACAAATAAAGACCGGCATCTGCCAGTTTCATGTTGATTTTTCTTAAAAATTCACAGTCACAGAAATCAAATCAAACCACTACTAGAATCCATACTGGGCCATGTTAATTTAAAGCTGTTTTTCCTTCTGGGATTTCACTCCAGGTTTGAGGTGGAATTCAAAGGAAAACATAAGATTTTGTAAAGAGTCTGATATAACTACAGAAGGCAGTCTTCGCCACAACTGCTACCTCTTGCAACCAGCAGATGGTGCCCTCCATAAAGACAACTCTTCAGTACACAATAATTAAACAGTGTAAGAAGTTTAGCTTATTCTTGTTGAGGGACAACCAAAAATCTAATGGGAGTTTTTCCTACGAGAAAAAACGCTAAGTAAATTATGCTATTCTCCCCTAAGCATACAACTTGAAAGCCCTGTTTACATATTTTCCAACTGTTTAAACAAAAATCTGCCTTTTTCAACATACAATTTTTTGACTAATCTACCATGCAGTTTGAATTAATCTTTATTAATTCAAAATCAGTGTATTTATGTTATTCCTTATTTGTTCTGGTAAAACAGTGACGGTGAATACTTTAGGAAGTTCTTTTAGAAACTGGACCCTTTCTTTGAATACATATTTTTGTTAATGTTTATTTGTAAAAGGGCAAACATGGTCACTTGCCTACATCATTTTTTAAGGACCATCAATGTTATGGAAGATACTAAAGTTTAACTGGCTCAAACAGAAAAGGAGCCCCAGGCCCTGGAATATCTCGACCTGCATCAGTTTCTAACCGCACAGAAAGTGTTCTGTTAAATCTCTTTAAAGTAATTCTTGTATATTAATAGTGATAATATCTCTCATTTATTGAGTGATTAGTATTTCTCTGCTCAGTAGTCAACTCGATATCCCATTGTGGGGGGTGGGGGGGTGGATAAAATTACGAATTTTTCTATTCACGTCAAATCTCCAACACACATTCTTGTACAACGCCGCCCCCGCCCCACGCCCCCATGTAGACTGCTGTTGCTTCATTGAGAAAACAGAAGCGCCATCAAACGGAAACCCTCAGCCTCTTATTACCCAATTTACATGCCTATGTACATTTGCACCCATTCCCTCCCTTCCCTCCTTCCCCATTCCTTCCTTCCCTCCCTCTTCCCTAATACCAGAAAGGAAATAGCCCTCCTCACATCAAAACACTAACCCCTTCATAAGCACACAAAATCCCATCCTCTACTCAAAGACTTTTACTTGATTAGTTATCTCCTCTTTCCCCCGTATCAGCATCCTCTGTGTCTACTAGATACTCTCTCAGCATTCAAATATATTCTGTTATTGGATGGATGGAAGGCATTCAGGCAGGAAGGGAAAGAAAATACAACATACCTGTTTAGACTACAAATACCTCCCCTGCCTCAGGTATTGTCCTCTCTCCCAAATTACCTTCACAGACAAGCTTCTCAAAGAGTAATCTATACTATCTACTTTCAATTCCCATTCACTATTCATATTAATCCAACCTGGCTTCCAAAGAGTTCCCCACCCGCACACTCCACCTCATCAGCAAAATGCTTTTGCCACAGTCACTAGCAGATTGCAAAAAATGACAACAAATTTTTCCATTCCTTGTATCTACACCCTTACAATGTGACTTTGCTGCTCCTCCCATCAAGAAATAAAAGTGTTTTTTCAGACCTAGAATCTGAGATGGCGTTATGACTCTTTTAGGCAATGGGACATTGAGAAGTTTAGTAAGTGTTTGTGCTCTGGGTTAGCTTACCTACTGCTCTTGGAATTCTGCTATGGAGATGTCGGCAAGTCCAAGCTATCCCAGTGGAAAATTAGAATGTATATGCACAGAGGCACATTGTCCCAGCCATGGTCATCATGAACAAGCCAGCCCTAACCAAATCACCAGGTGACCACAGAGGCATATCTGTAGATGCATAAGCAACCCCAGCTAAAATCAGCTAAGCCTGGTCCAGATCAGTAGAACCACCCAGATAAGCCAAACCCAAATTGCCAATATACACAATTGGGAACAGTTGTTTTCAGTAAGTCAGTCTTCGGGTGATTTGTTATGCAGTAAAAGCTAACTAAAAGTCATCAGTTGACCTCTATGTTGCCAAATCAAGTGAACACTTTTCTAATCCTTATTTTATTCATCTCAGCAGTATGATACACAGTTGACCGCAGCCTCCTCCTTGAAACATTATTTTCCTTTTGTTTCTTCTAGTAACACATTGCCTTTTCCTGATTTTTTCCTACCTTACTGGTCATTCCTGTCTCCTTTGATTTCTCTTCTACTCAACCTCCAAATATCAGTTAACTCATCAGAGTTCAATTCTCTTTTTACTGTTTATGTTCTTCTCCCAAGGCTTTTGCCCTAAGCTTTCTTTTAATACATACTCCATAAAGATCTCTCTTTTCAACTCCAGTCCGCACATACAATTGTCTACTTAACATTTCCACTTGGGTATTCTCAAAGATACCGCGAACTCAAGATACTCAAAACTAAACAAAATGTCTCCCAATTTTTTTCTCCCTCCAAAAAAATCCTCATTCTTCATTCCTCTCCCTCTTCAGTGTGTGTTGCCTTCATGTACCCATTTCTTCCTCACAGTTTTCTGGGAATGAAGCTTGGCAATTCCCTTTCAATATTTACAATCAACAATCAAATCCTATAAATGCTACCTTGCAAAATGTAAATGAAATCATTTACATTACTTCAAAATGTAAATGAAATCATTAGCCATTACTTCACCACAACATAAATCTACACCACATCCAACTCATTCTTCAGAGAGCAACCAGAATGATCTTAATAAGCTAATCTCTTCATATCACTGCCTTACTTAGAATTCTTAAATAGGTTCTCACTGCCCTTCGAATAAGTTCCAAATATACTAATCTGACCATTTGCTCATTACACTCCAGTCACATCTCTATTCCTTGAAGACACTAAACCAAGATCCTTCTGTCTCAGGGTGTGCTATTCCTTCTGCTTCAATAAACTTTTTCTCTTCTCTAGCCCTCATGCCTGGCTAACACTGCTCTTTCAAGTCTCACCTGTCAATCAGGGAAGCTGTCCCAAATCTACTCAGTCTAAATAAAATCTTGACTGCATGCTCTCACACCACCCCTGCACTTTTGCTTCAAAGAATTTATCATAAATGTAAATACAAATTCTCTAATGTGTTTCCCCTTCTGAACTGTAAACTATATGAGAAAAGTTTAGGGATCCTAATTTGTTCACTGCTACATACCTAATGCATAACACAATGCAGGTTAAAAAGCAAAAGCTGAATAAATGTTCTTACTAAGATGAACTATATAATTATGCCCATTTATAAACAAGGAAACTGAGGTTCAAAGAGGTTAAATAACTATGCTAAAGTTATCAACAACTGAACTTAAATTGAGCCATATCTGATTCCAAAGCCTATGCCCTTAACCTAATGGTTTTCCATCTCTGGTGCACTGCTGAATCCTCTAATAATCAGACCCAAACACTTCCATATGAAAAAAGCTCCATGAGGAAATTTACATGCCAAGTTTAGTAACAAATGCCTTAACACTACAATATAGTGCTAATTCTGCCTACTATCTCTGTAAGCATTTCTGATACTTCATATACGTAAGCATGACAGCTTTAATTTTTTAAAAACAGATCATGGTTTTCAAAGCTCTTTCATGCACACATTTTCCTTCAAAATTCTATAAAAGTAGGAATCATCCCTATGTTACAGATGAAGAAAATGAAGTTCAGAAAGCTGACGAACTCGCATACAGTCACCCTGTAGTAAGTGGCAGAGCAATGACAAGAGGTCAAGTTTTCTCGTTTTTACTTCAGGCTCTTTAGGGAATGCTGAATTGGAAATTAAGAATCAGAATACTAGGCCGGGAGCGGTGGCTCACGCCTGTAATCCCAGCACTTTGGGAGGCCGAGGGAGGCAGATCACAAGGTCAGGAGATCGAGACCATCATGGCTAACACGGTGAAACCCCGTCTCTACTAAAAATACAAAAAAATTAGCCAGGCGTGGTGGCGGGCACTTGTAGTCCCAGCTACTCGGGAGGCTGAGGCAGGAGAATGGCGTGAACCGAGGAGGTGGAGCTTGCAGTGAGCCGAGATAGCACCACTGCACTTCCAGCCTGGGCGACAGAGCAAGACTCTGCCTCAAAAAAAAAAAAAAAAAAAATCAGAATACTAAAAAATCGGAGCAAACTGAACAGAAACAAAAACGTTAGCCCAACCAGAAACTCAAGGCACAAAGATATTTTAGCTTAATTAGGCGACTACAATGGCACTAATCAAAAAGGCCAGGCCAGGCACAGTGGCTCACGCCTGTAATCCCAGCACTTTGGGAGGTTGAGGCGGCCAGATCATGAGGTCAAGAGATCAAGACCATCCTGGCCAACATGGTGAAACCCCATCTCTACTAAAAATACAAAAATTAGCTGGGCGTGGTGGTACGCACCTGTAATCCCAGCTACCTCGGAGGCTGAGGCAGGAGAATCACTTGAACCCGGGAGGCGGAGGTTGTAGTGAGCCAAGATCATGCCACTGCACTCCAGCCTGGCACCAGAGCAAGACTCCGTCTTTAAAAAAAAAAAAAAAAAAAAGACAGGCCAGGCATAGTGGCTCACACCTGTAATCCCAGCACTTTGGGAGGCCAAGGCAGGAGGGTCACTTGAGGGCAGGAATTCTAGACCAGCCTGGGCAATACAGTGAGACCCCCCCATCTCCACAAAAAAAAAAAAAAAAAAAAAAAAAAAAAAAAAAAAAAAAAAAAACGTAATTGGCTGGACATGGTGGTGCATGCCTGTAGTCCTAGCTTCTCAGGAGGCTGAGGCAGGAGGATGGCTTGAGCCCAGGAGTTCAAGGCTATCATCAAGTTACTGCACTCCAGCCTAGGTGACAAGAGTAAGGCCCGGCCTCTTTAAAAAAAAAAAAAAAAAAAAAGAGGCAGTAAGAAATATTGCTGAGGTTGTGAAGAAACTGGAACCCTCATATTTTATGGGAATGTAAAATGCTGCAGCCATTTTTGAAAAACGTTTCACAGTATCTTAAAAGGTTAAATGTTGGCTGGGCACGGTGGCTCATGCCTGTAATCCCAGCACTCTGGGAGGCCGAGGCGGGTGGATCACAAGGTCAGGAGTTAGAGACCAGTCTGACCAAGATAGTGAAACTCCATCTCTACTAAAAATACAAAAACTAGCCAGGCGCAGTGGCAGGCGCTGTAATCCCCGCTACTCGGGAGGCTGAGGCAGGAGAATCGCTTGAACCCTGGAGGTGGAGGTTGCAGTAAGCTGAGATCGCACCACTGCACTCTAGCCTGGGTGACAGAGTAAGACACTGTTCTCAAAAAAAAAAAAAAAAAGTTAAATGTAAACTTACAATATGACCTAGCAATTCCCCTTCTAGGTGTCCATCCAAGAGAAAACCTATATCCACACAAAGACTTTTACCAGAATATTCATGGCAGTATTATTCATAATGCCCAAAAACAACAAACAATCCAAATGTCTATTAACTGGTGAATGGATAAACAAAATGATACTAATTGGAATAAAAAGGAAAAAAGTACTGAAACAAAAGTGAATCAACTAGATTCTGTGCATGTACATATACATGTGCACATATTGGTGAAGGTGTTATAAAAGAAATTGGGACCAGTTAATCTAAGGCTTTAAGTCTCTGATAAGGAGTCTGGTCATTATCACATAAGGCAGTTGTCATTTTTTTTCTTTCTTTTCTAAGAAATTTAAAGAGAAATGAGATTTGTATTTTAGAGAATTTCCAAAGACAAAGACATACCAGCTAGAACACAGGAAGACTGCAGGAATCTATGAGGGACTGCAAGAGGCTCACTGAAGCAGTAACAGGAAGCTCTGAACAACTGGAAGATAACATAAGAGTATTTGAAGAGAGGATATAACAGAAAACAGGAGAGAAGTATAGTTTAGTAGGAGAAAAGAGATTGAGACAGAAGTAAAATCCAGGAGGCATTGCATAACATTACAATGTAGCTCTTTAAGATGACAATAAAATGGGCATAAAAGTACCACCCATATTGATATGTAAGGACCCAATGTACCATACTGTATACAGGACAAATGAGAGTACAACTATTAATTCTACCTCATTAAAAGTAACACAGTATCCATAAAGATAAACAAATATTCAACAAATCTGCTTACAAAGTTATGTACCTTGTAAATAAAATATTAATAATGAGTAAACTGGGGGAGGGGTTATAAGAAAAATTAGGATGTCAAGTCCACCAAAAAGTTTAATTTGATAAGTTTCTCAATAAATTTCCCTATAATGGGGAAAACTTAACAAAATCATTATAGTACATAAACACTTGATATATTCCTGAAAGACATTAGTTTTGAGGGACTGCATACGGATTAATATTACTAAATCTAATCTGAATCTAGTCTCACTGATTACATCTACCTTATATGCTTCCTGGCTAAAATCAACAACTTTGTTTTGTGACAGTGTTGTCCAAACACGGATAGCTGGTTTTGTTTTTGTTTTCTTAAATAGTTTTATTAAGACAGAATTCACATATCAAATAATTCATCTTTTAGAGTGTACAATTCAATAGTTTTAGATCTAATACTTTTTTTATGTAAAATATATGTAACATAGAATCTACCATTTATAAATGTACAATTAAGTGACATTATTAATTATATTTACAATATTGTGCAACCACTACCATTTCCAAAACTTTTTCATCACCCAAAACAGAAAGAAACTTGTAACCATTAAGCAATAACATCCCATGCCCTGTTTTCCCCAGCCCCTGGTAACTTCTACTGTCTGTCTCTATAAATTTGCCTATCCTTAAGTGCCTCATGTAAGTAGAATCACAGTATTTGTCCTTTTCTGTCAAATTTCACTGAGTGTATTTTCAGGTTCATCCTGTTACAGCACTTATCAGAGCTTAAATTCTTTTGAGTAGCTGGGACCACAGGCGCGCGCCACCACGCCTGGCTAATTTTTGTATTTTAGTAGAGACGGGGTTTCACCATGTTGGGCAGGATGGTCTCGATCTCCTGACCTCAAGATCCGCCTGCCTCAGCCTCCCAAAGTGCTGGGATTGCAGATGTGAGCCACCACGCCTGGCCCAGAGCTTCAATTATTTGTATGACTGAATATTATATGTATATACCACATTTTGTTTATCCATTCTTCTGCTAGTGGACACTTGGTTTCCATTCTTGGCTACTGTGAACAGTGCTGCAATAAACACTGCTGTACAAATACCCATTTCAGTCCCTGTACAAATCTTTTCAGCACACAGCTAGCAGTGGAATTGCTAAGTTTATGGTAACTTTATGATTAGCTTTTTGAAGAACCACCAAACTGTTTCTCACAGCAGCAGCTAGCTACATCAGCAAATGAGGGCTCCAATTTTTCCACATCCTCTTCAACAGTTATTTTCTGGTTTTGTTTTTTTATAGCCATCCTAGTAGGTATGCAGTGTAACCTCATTATGTTTTTGATTTTCATTTTCCTAATGATTAATGGTGTTGAGTATCTTATGTGCTTACAGGTCTATTTGTGTATCTTTGGAAAAATGTCTATTCAAGATCATTGCTCACTTTTAAATTAGGTTGTCTTTTTGTCATTGACCTGTAGTTCTTTATATATTCTGGACATTAAATCCTTGTTAAAGATATGACTTGCAAATATTTTCTTCTGTAGGTTGTGTTTTCATTTTCTTATGTCCTTTGATGCAGAAAAGTTTTTAATTTTTATAAAGTCCAATATATATTTTTTATTGTTTGTGCTAATAAATTCAGGTTCATAAAATTCTACTCCCATATTTTCTTCTAAAAGTATACAGGCTTAAATCTTACATTTACATCATTGATCATTTTGAGCTCATTTTTATCTACTATGTGAAGGAGAGGTCCAACTTAATTCTTTTGCATGTGGAAATCCAGTTGTCCCAGTGTCATCTGTTGAAGATATTCTTTCCCTCTTTGTTTTTAATAAGAATATCCTGGTTCCTCCTCTAGAAATTTTGATTCAGGAGGTGTGGGGAGAAGCTTCAGATTCTGCCGTTTTTAAGGAATGTCTCAGACAATTCCTATGGTCAGACAAGTTTAGAAAACAGTTTAGAACACAACTTCAGGTGCTCAATTCATGTTGTAAAGAAGCCAAAGAACTTTTTTTTCCCTTAAATCCTGGCTTTGCCTTCAGATACATATTCCTGGCCTATACTATATCCAACTGACAACTTAGGTAAGAACTCCTAATTTTCACAAAAAACTGTCAACTTTACTGCACCTTTGATCTCTAAAACATTGGGCTCTGCCAAAACAATACAATCAAACTTGCCACAATACAGACTCAGATCATTCATTCTTTCAACAACAAATATTTATTGAGCACCTATTATATCCCAGGTACTGTTGACTGGGGAATATAACTGTAGGAGAAAGCCAAAGATTATTGTTCTCGTGGCATAGCTTATATTAAAGTTGAAGGAAAACAGACAACAAATGTCAATGTATGTGTTAGATAATGTGAAATGTTAAGAAAAATAGGGGCCGAGCGCCACGGCTCACGCCTGTAATCCTAACACTTTGGGAGGTCAAGGCAGGTGGACTGCTTGAGCCCAGGAGTTTGAGACCAGCCTGGGCAACATGGTGAAACGCCACCACTACAAAAAATACAAAAAAATTAGTCCCAACTAACTGGGAGGCTGAGGTGAGAGGATCACCTAAGCCTAGGGATGTCGAGGCTACAGTGAGCCACGATCCCACCACTGCACCCCAGCCCAAGCAACAGAGTGAGACCCCATCTCAAAAAAAAAAAAAAAGAAAGAAAAAAAGAATCAATAGAGATGGCCAGGTGTGGTGGCTCATGCCTGTAATCCCAACACTTTGGAAGGCCAAGGCAGGTGGATCACTTGAGACAGGAGTTCGAGACCAGCCTGGCCAACATGGTGAAACCCTGTCTCCACCAAAAAAAGAAAAAATACAAAAATTATCCGGCCATGGTGGTGCATGCCTGTAATCTCAGCTACTCGGGAGGCTGAGGCAGGAGAATGACTTGAATCCAGGAGGCGGAGGTTACAGTAAGCCGAGATGGCGCCACTGCACTCCAGCCTGGACAGAAGTGAGACTCCGTCTGAAAAAAAAAAAAAAAGTAAGGAAGAGAACTGTTTTAGCTTGCAAAGACTGGAAAGGACTCTATGACAAGGTGACATTTGAGTGGAAACCTGAAAAAGAATGATGATAAACCATGCAAATACCTGAGGGAAGAATACTCAAGACAGAGTGAGGCTCAGAGATTTTAACCTTGCACTATCTACTACCCAACTACTATCAAAAAAGACCAGAGAACAATTATATTTCTGAAGGATTTTTTAAAGAAATCCCATTCATCACTTCCTCTACATCAGGGCTTCTCAACCTCAGCACTCTCACGTTTTTTGCCAAAAATTCTTTATTGCAAGTGGAGGTCAGGGTGCACCTGTGCATTGTACAATGTTCAGCAGCATCCCTGGGCTCTACTCACTAGATATGAGGAGGGCATGCACACCATCACCATCCCCAGTTGTGACAACCAAAAATGTCTCCAGACATTGCCAAGTGTCCCCTGCAGGGCAAAATCACCCCACACTGAGAACTACTGCTCTAGGTCTGTTCTTACACTCAGATTCCACATAGGAAACCCATAAATGGTCTTCAGGAGGTCTATGAACCATCTATAGTCATCTAAAAGAGTATACAGAGTTTGCATGCATGTGATAATGTACATTCTTCTGGGGAGATGGAGCAGAGCTTGTGGTGTATTCTCTAACATCTATCGTCAAAAAAGAAAGTTAAGGAACACTGCTTCTAATATCTCAAGGATGTGAAGAACAATACCTGGAAACTCCAAATTTGAGCTATACTTGTCTTGGCCCCTACATTCACTTTCAGTTAGTTGAATGCAATTGGGTATCTTCTTTCTTTTCTTTTTGGCTTTCATTAAGTAACCCATTAAAAGCCTATAAACTAGTCACTGAATTTGCTGAAAGATGTTTTTGGAAAATCATCAACTCTGATTTTATTATCATCCATATTTTTTAACAAATGAAGAAAACTGGGACAAGAGAAATTCGCTGATTTTGCCCAAGATCAGAAAGTTCCCAAATGGCAGAATTAGAACTACATCATACCTGCTTACATGGTTATATGGCTGGAAATGGCCACAGAGGCACACTCAACTTCTTGGTTTATTTCAAAAATAAACTATAAAAGCCCTGTAAGCAAGGTACAAAACCAATAAATCAAAGGGCATAAGATGAATAAGAAATATCAACCATAAGATAAACATTGTCTAAGAGCTATTGAGGAGAAGTGAAGCTTTATGTGACATCTGCATCCTCGCTGAAACCTAATGGGTCAGTGAGTAATGTAATGGATAACTCCAACAAGGATAAACACAGAAGTGAGTTTTAACCACCCCTTTTTATCCCTCAATGCAAGCCAAAGTACAATTCAAAGTACTTAAAGTATGATTCAGTAGAAAACATTCTACAAGAATTGTAGCCAACACAAGGTATCCAATGTAGCCAACACTCGGTATCCAAATATACAAGAAATGCAGCCAACACAAGGTATCCAAAAAGCCAGTGATCTCAATGTCTGGTTTGACCTAGAAAAAAAAGAAAAGGTTAAAAAAAAAAAATCGAACAACTCGGAGCAATGATTCTTCAAACTTATTTTAATCATGAAACAAACTCTTCTAACCAAAACATTATAACAATGTGCAATATATCAAATAGGTTAAAAGAGAGCTGCTCTGGCTGAATTGAGTGATGGGTATTCCAATACCCCCAACTTCTCTTGTCAAGAAAGTTCACAGAGAAAAATTTGAAAACCGGTGATCTGTCAGATGTTACTGGAAATGTGAATTATTACAGCCTTTCTGAAAAGATTTGTGTTAATACCTATTAAATTTTAATGACACATTCCCTTCAACCCAGCAATACTTCTCTTCCAATTCTCACAGGAATAAAAATGTCAATATAAATGTACTAGAATATTTATCTTAGCACTGTTTAAAACAAGTGGAAAAAAAAATCTGACATCGAAAAGGGAACAACAGCTACATGAAGTGTGGTAAATCTTTACCATGGAATATTATGCAGTCATTACAAAGAAAAAAATATAACAGTGTTAGCCAATAATATTAATGTACTAACGAGTGGGAAAGGCATTATACTCAAGTGTGTATGTGTGTGCACACGTGTGGGTTTAATAGTATATTTGGTAAAATAAACACCAAATATAACATACACCAAAAAAGTACCTATTGGGCAATAAAAAACACCAAAAAAAAATCTACATAATTAAATTAATGGGAAGTATAGAGCATAATTTTTTTTTTTTTTTCCCTGAGATGGGAGTCTCTCTGTGTCGCCCAGACTGGAGTGCAGTGGCACGATCTCGGCTCACTCCAACCTCCACCTCCCAGGTTCAAGCAATTCTCCTTCCTCAGTCTCCCAAGTAGCTGGGATTACAGGCACCTGCCACCACATCCGGCTTGTATTTTTTGTAGAGACGGGGTTTCACCTTGGCCAGGGTGGTCTCGAACTCCTGACCTCAAGTGATCCACCCACCATAGCCTCCCAAAGTGCTAAGATTACAGGCGTGAGTCACCACACCTAGCCCAAAATTATTTGTATTATTATTGCAAATACGTAAAAATGGAATATAGAAATGATTTGAGCTTGGGATGGAAGAAAGGATACATCTCTTGTAGATATGTTATTTCAAAGTATTTGTAATAAAGTATTTTTTAAAAGCAATCCTTAAAGAAAGAAAACTAATAATCTATAGGTATTATGGATTGCCTATCCTTCAAGGCTGTTCTCTATTAACATTTTTTTCCCTTAAAACTGAACTTTAAATAAAGATTGGGCAACAGATCTATTCTAGATTATATACTCTGGCAGGAGCCAAGAGAGTAAATATTCTGAAATGTCAAAAGTGCTTCTGCTTTTAACAAGAATACAATCATACAGTATCACCCTCTTTCCTCCTCCTTCTCCCCACTAACTTCTCTTTCTCTCCCTTCTTACTTTCTCCTCCACCTCCCAGTGTAAGATCTCAAACGGTATGCAAGAAATCAATTAGATGACCCAACTCTCATCTCTATCCTCATCCCACCTTCCAGATCTAAAACTCTCAATTCTATTATCTTACTATATCATGTACTTGCAGTTTTTGGCAATCCTTAATACTTATCACTCCAACAATATTATATAATCTGTTCTTTACAGATTCATTAATGCAATTACTAATTTGCAAATTAATTTTTCTCTTTTTTCCTTCATTTTCCCAGGAAAACAAATCACAATGGAAAGAACTGCAATAAAGAAAATGGTTCTGCTAGAAAAAAGATATTTCTTTTCAACCCCCTTGCAAACATAAAAAAATTTAAAAACTTTCTTCCTAAAAAAGAGTAAAAAAAACCCAGGAAATGAACTACATATTTTTAAAGTACCATTCAGAAATAAATTATAAAGTATATACTGTCTTGTGAGATGCAAATAACTCAACAGAGCAGCTTTGTACAAATATCTATAGCTAATTCTACAAAGTTGACTCCATTTTCTCTTCCATAAAATGTAGATAGCATCCATCTGCTTAATTACTGTACAGACTGTAAAGCACTGCACCTGCAGTTATCAAACTGTAAAACAAGACATCTCAGAGTCCCCTAGATATCACAGCAAATTCACAGGCACTGAGGGATATTTTAAGTTCTCAAGGAAAATACAGCTATTCTCAAGATCTGTCAGACACCAGGTAAGCTTATCAGCTCAAGGTAGTTCCACTTGAACATGAGATCATTGTTCTACCTTCTTTTTGAAGGTAATATTATCTTTGAGAAGCTAGGTTTTGGGACAGCTGATGTGATAAAAAAAAGTGCTAGATAGAAATCAGTGGAAAACAGGAAACAAAGGTGGCAGTGTTCAATCTGATTCCAAGACTTAAGAACTTTGCATATGCCCAACAGGCACACACATCAGATCAGTAAGCATATGTCACTATTTAAGCATAAAAAGGGAATGTTTTTATTTGATTGAACATATAATTCTTGAACCATAAATACTTATTAGGCTACTTGTATCTAACTAAAACAGAACTGTTATGTATTCTATTTTGGCTCCATGAAAAAATGATGAGACACTAAGGACACCATGAACAGAACATTTGGGAATGTCTCACTGTACATTTATAAGAGATTCCAATAGATGTAAGTTGCACAATTGTACAACATCTTTACTCTTTCTTCACTGCAGACAAGGCAAAGAAAATAAAAAAAAAACAGCAAGACTGAAAACATGTCAAAAATGAGTAGGATGGTGACAGGAGGCTCATGATCACATTTTGTTCTAGAAAAGCAGGAGGCAAAACTAAAGACTGACTACAATAATTAAAGAAGAAAAAATTCCCAAATGTTGCCTATTTAATGGTTTATTTAAAGACAAGGTCGAATTCAGCCTTAAAACCTTGATTATCTAACAATGGTTTTCCAATACACTTTAGCAGATGAGCCCTCTTTTCAAGCCAAATCTCCCCTAAATTCTAGTTACAAAATACAGAAAAAGCAAAGTTCTGTTTGTAGTTGAGGAGGAACATAGGACCACGGTCTGGCTTATCTCCCTCCATACCTGTAACTGCATTCACAGGGGCCTCTAGCACTTCAACAACTCAGTAGGGAAGGGATTATGGTGCCCCAGACCTTCAATTAGAGCAGCTCAGCTTTACAAAGCATCTCACTTGAATACTGGTCTGGGGCTGGGTGCAGTGGACCACGCCTGTAATCCCAGCACTTTGGGAGGCCGAGGCAGATAGATCACTCGGGGTCAGGAGTTCAAGACCAGACTGGCCAACATGGCAAAACCCCATACCTACTAAAAACACAAAAATTAGCCAGGCGTTGGTAGTGCGTGCCTGTGATCCCAGCTACTCTGGAGGCTGAGGCACAAGAATCGCTTGAATCCAGGAGGCAAAGGCTACAGTGAGCCAAGATCTTCCCCACTGCAATCCAGCCTGGGCAACAAAGCGAGACCCTGTCTCAAAAAAAAAAAAAAAAAGAATACTGGTCTCAGCTGCTTCACAGACTAAAACCTAGGACAATGCATTTCAAACTTTTTTTTTTTTATTGCAACACAACCCAGTATATAAATATGCTCAGGAAAAAAAAATGTCTCATTAAACAATATGCTTCTTGTGTGTACTTCATTCTGAGGTTTTCTACTTTAATTAAAACCTGATTTACAAACTCTAGCCTAAGAAATTATTTCAATGACTTCTCAAAATACCTGAAATTAATTAAAATAAAATGAAATTCCACTTATACACAAAACCCCATCAGGATAAATCAAGTACATCAGGAGACTCAAATAGTCCAAAAGAGGTGCACAAACTGAGAATCACAACAGGTTATGTAAAATTAAACATTAATACAGAAAAACACAAAAGAATTTTTTTTTTAATTTTTAGTGCTGTCACAATGAAATGTGCAGAGATTTGTATATGTAAAACTAAAATAGGTTAGCCAGGCATGGTGGAGCATACCTGTAGTCCCAACTACTCAGGACGCTGAGACAGGAGGATCATTTGAGCCCAGGAGTTCAAGGCTGCAGAGAGTTATGATCTTGCCACCTCACACCCTTTAGTCCCAGCTACTCAGAAGGCTCAGGTGGGAGGATCGCTTGAGCCCAGATGGTCAAGGCTGCAGTGAGCTGTGATCACGTCACTGTACTCCAGCCTGGGCTACAGAGTGAGATCTTGTCTCAAAATGAATGAATAAATGAATGAGCGAATGAATGAAAAGGAAAAGCTTAAAAACTGAACATCTTTTTCCAGTAATATATATATTAATACTGTATATCCTGAAAGGCCCAATAAATCCAGCAGAAAACTGTTATCACATTGCTGAGCTCAAAAAAGTAAGGAAAATCTACCAGAACCTACCGACACCCAACCTTCATTTCCACACTCACCATCTGTCTCTTATCTGCACAAAAAAAGGGTAAATTGAAACCTGAACAGTAAGTAGTATGCACTTGGAGATGCAAAAGGGCAAATGTGCATATTAGCATTTGCCCTTTTGCCAATTGAGCTTGGACTCTAGAAAGTTCCCAGGTAGATGACAAATCCTATTTCTCAGTAGAAGCAATTTCTCAGTAGAAGCAAACTGAAATCTTCTGTGGAGTTAAAAAATTCCTCAGTTTAGGCACCCAAATTTTCCACATACCAAGCTCAACAAAACATGAGTCCTTCCCAAGGACCAACAAACACATAAGAAAACCAAACACCAAGAGTGATTCACGCCCCAATGAATTCAGATATTATAACCTCATTGCCAAAATACAAAATATGAATGTTTAAACTTTTAAAAATGAAATCACAAAATCAGCAAGCAACAAGAGGCTGCTGAAAATAACAAGAGACTGAACAGTAATAAATACTTTAATGAAAAGTAACTGTTGATTTCAAAACCTCAATGGACAGGTCAAGCAGATTAAACACGACTAGTTTTACAAAAACCAGTAACTGAAGAAACTACCCAAAATGCAGGGCCAAGAGACAAACAGATGAAAAATTTTAAATGAAATTAGGAGATGCTAGAGGACAAAAAGACAACTCTGATATCTTAGTAAAAGAAAATAAAGAAAAAGAAACTCTAAACATGAAAGCAAAATATAAATACATAATAGCATGTATAATTTGGGGGATAAAAGGGAGAATAAAATGCTAGGCAACATCAACATGGAAGTTGGAAGGGGAGTGTTGACCAGATTGGTAAAAGGGCCTTTGTGTCAATTTTGCAAAGAGCTAAGGAATTAAGTATACAAGGCAAAATTTCAAGTGTAACAATTTTTTTTTTTAAAAAAAAGGAATAGCTTGGCCAACATGGTGAAACCCCATCTCTACTAAAAATACAAAAATTAGCTGGGCGTGGTGGCACACGCCTGTCTTCCCAGCTACTCAGGAGGCTAAGGCAGGAAAATCACTTGAACCCAGGAGGTGGAGGTTGCAGTGAGCCAAGATCACGCCACTGCACTCCAGCCTGGCGAGAGAGCCAGACTCTGTCTCAACAACAACAAAGCAAAAAAAAGGAATAGATTATAAACTGTAATTTCCCTAACAGAAAGAAAAAAGAAATGGATTGTGGAAAAATGAAAGTAACTAAACTTTTTTTAAAACTAAAAAAAAAAATGCAAGCAAAGAAAAGGGAAAAATAGGGCAAAAAGAAAATGAAATTTATAACAATCAGAAAGGTGGGTATGAAACCTGCCTTGCGAAATTATAACAGTGAGAGAAATCTAACATAACTGACTCCATCTTGCTTCTAACCTCACAAGCTAATTGCCTTTGCTTATTCCTATACATAGGTCAGACTAACGATGTTACTATGTTTATAGTTTAAAGCAAGGAGGATAATAGTCCCTTCCCAAGACTAATCCACCCCTCCTTGTTGAGGGACTAAAACCGACTTTGTATAACGAACACAAGGCCACAAGCTTAGAATTATGGTAGGGGCCTCAATTCTACTAAGATATAAGGATAAACAGTAACCAGTCATTGTCCCCTAGCCCCCTTTTTTATAATTACTTGCTGATCAGGAATCATGTAGCCAGTGGTCACAAGATGTGTAACTTCTCCAATTGCTCTTATAGATAACATCACTACTATGAAACCTAAAACTAGTGTTTGAGATATTTTTCAGACTTTGAATTCTGTTCTACCAACTGATGCCACACAGGGCTGGTGACCCATACCAAGAAAATGACTAAACTGGTCCTGTAACCCTCACCCAGGAACTGATTCAGCACACGAAAACAGTTGACATCCCTGTGATTTCATTTCCAACCAAACCAATCAGCAGAACTCGTTCCCTAGACCCCTGCCTGCCTGCCAAACCACCCTTAAAAACCCTAGTCTCCAAATTCTTGGCAAGGCAGATTTAAGAACTATCTCCCATTCCCCTGACTCAGCTGCCCTGCGACTAAACTCTTTCTCTGCTGCAATACCTGTTGCCTCAGCATATTGGTTTTTTCTGTGCAGCAGGCAAGAACCTCAATGGGTTGTAACAGGCACCTACATTCTCATCAGACCAAACAAATTTTTAAAAACAAAGAATTTTAACACATACAGAAGCCATCACAAAATGATTAAAAGATTCAAATTATCAGAAAAAAATTAATTTATATCAGCTATTAAACAATATGAAAATAATAAAAACTGATAGACCCGGAGGGACAAACCAACATGTCCACCGGCACAGTACAAGTTTTAACACATCTTTTCCACTACTGATAGATTATATACTAGAAAAACTAGTAAAGACATAAGAAGACTTAAACAAGGTAATTAACAAGTACGTTTTGTTGGTCATTTATAGAGCTTTGTACCCTTACACAGTCTTTTCAAGCACACATATAACATTTACAAAAACTAATGACAATCTGGTACTTAACCCATGTCTCAACAAATTAAAAATAATCCAAATCTCACCCACCACATATTCCTGACTAAAATGTAATCAAGTCAGTAAAAAAAAAGAAAGTCATTTCCATATGTTAGGAAATGTAAAAACACTCAAATAATTATAATTGAATAGTAAAGAAAATAATACATATAAAACTTGTAGGAATTAGGAAAAGTGGTATAGAAAGGGAAATTTATAGCCTTAAATGTTTATACTGAAAAGAAGAAAGTTTAATACAAATAAGCTAAGCATCAAACTTAAGCCAGGAAAAGAAATGAAGAATAAAATGAGAATGAAATCAAAGAACAGAGAAAGAAGATAAAAAAGAGTGGAAATTAGTTAATTAAATAAGAGAATGCATCTAAATAGCCCAAAATTAGCAGGTCTCTGGTGACGCTGATCAAGAATAGAAAAAAAGAGATTAACATTAGGGAAAAAAAATGAGATGTTAAATACAGAGATTAAAAGAAATATTGAAAGAATGATAGATAAAGAATAGTTCAAACCAGAGACTGGCAAACTTTTTCTTAAAAGACCAGACAGTAAATGTTTTTGGCTTGGGGCTCATACCTTCTGTCATAACTACTCATCTCTGCATTTATAGCACTAAAGCAACCAGACAATATGATTAGGTGTGGCTATATTCCAGCAAGATTTTATTTAGAAAAAGAGGCAGGCAGCCTGTGACAGGCCATAGTTTGCTGAGTCCTGCTTTATGCCAATAAATGTGCTATTTTAGATGTTATTTCCTAGAAAAAAAAATGTAATTAACAAAAAATTATTCAAGAAGAAATGTAAAACCTGAATAGAGCAGTAATCATTAAAGAAACTAAGTTAAAATCTTCCCAAAAAGAAACATCAGGCTTGATGAGCTGTTCCAAATTTTGGAAGAACTGTCTCCATCTTACACAAACGATTCCAGAACACAGAAACAAAGAGAATACTTTCCACCTTCTCCTCTTTTTTTTGAGACAGGGTCTTGCTCTGTCACCCAGGCTGGAGCGCAGTGGCAAAATACTGGCTCACTGCAACCTCTGCCTCCCAGGCTCAAGCAATCATCCCACCTCAGCCTCCAGAGTAGCTGAGATTGCTACAGGAACACACCACCACGCCCAGCCAATTTTTTTATTTTTTGTAGGGACAAAATTTTGCCATATTGCCCAGGCTGCTCTCAAACTCCTGAGCTCAAGTGATCTGTCTGCCTTGGCCTCCCAGAGTGCTGGGATTACAGGCGTGAGCCACCGCACCCAGCCATTCCATCTCTTTCAATGAAACAAGTATAAGTTTGACATGAAAACTCATAAACATACATACACAGATTAGCCAGATAACTTCAGCAATGTATTTAAAAAGACAACTCTACCACAGCACTAACAGAATTTTCCACAATAATGGAAATGTTCTGTAATTTCTGTTTTTCCATTATAGCCATAACCACAATTAGCACTTGAAATGTGGCTAGTGGTTACTATGTTGGCCAGTGTAGCTATATCCCAACCAAGCTTGGTTTACTCTAATAATGCAAGGTTGGTTTATTATCAGAAAAATTTATTATTCACCACATCACCAGATAGAAAGAAGAAAACTATGTCAACAAATGTAGAAATCAGTACCCATTTGTTAAAAATAACAATAAAAAGAAAAGCTTTACCTGACAAAGGTTATCTACCCAAAACTAACACCACCATTCTTCATGTTGAAACACATCAAGCATTTCCTCTAAAGCTAGAAACAATCAGAATCCCGTTATCACTACCACTTTTTTTTTTTTTTTTTTTGAGACGGAGTCTCGCTCTGTCGCCCAGGCTGGAGTGCAGTGGCACAATCTCGGCTCACTGTAAGCTCTGCCTCCTGGGTTCACGCCATTCTCCCGCCTCAGCCTGCCAAGTAGCTGCTGGGACTACAGGCACCTGCCACCACACCCAGCTAATCTTTTGTATTTTTAGTAGAGATGGGGTTTCACCATTTACAGGATGGTCTCGATCTCCTGACCTCGTGATCCGCCCGCCTCGGCCTCCCAAAGTGCTGGGATTACAGGCGTGAGCCACCGTGCTATCACTACCACTTTTTAACAGTTACCAAAGGACCCTGGCCAGCATACTAAGAAAAGAAAAAGAAATCAACAACATAAGGATTGGAAAGAAACCACAGTCTCATTATTTGCAGGTGATAGTACTGTCTATACAGAAACTCAAAACATTAGTATTGTGAACATTAAAACTTAGCAAGGTGGACCAAAAAAATCTGTTTCATTTCCACATACCAGCCAAAGCAGCTGAAAATGTAATTTTAAACAAAAAAGTTTATTATAAGATACATTTTAAAAATCTAACCAGGGCCGGGTGCATTGGCTCATGACTGTAATCCTAGCACTTTGGGAGGCCGAGGCGGGTGGATCACCTGAGGTCAGAAGTTAGAAACCAGCCTGGCCAACATAGTGAAACCCTGTCTCTACTAAAAATATAAAAATTAGCTGGGCGTGGTTGCGGGCCCCTGTAATCCCAGCTACGAGGGAGGCTGAAGCAGGAGAATCACTTGAACCCAGGAGGCAAAGGTTATAGTGAGCCAAGACCACACCACTGCACTCCAGCCTAGAGGACAAGAGCAAAACTTCATCTCAAATAAAATAAAATGTTTAACCAAAGATGTCTCAGACCTATGTGGAGAAAATTATTACATTTTGGGGGCCACGTAATGTTTCAGTCAACAACAAACCATATATAACGGTGGTCTCATAAGATTATAATAGAGCTGGAAAATTCCTATCATCTTGTGACATCATAAACCATCATGATATCATACTTTATTTTTTGAAATAAATTTAACATAGCCTAATTGTACAGTGTTTATAAAATCTATGGTAGTGTACAGTAATGTTCTAGGCCTTCACATTCGCTCACCACTCACTCACTGCATCACCCAGAGAAATTTCTAGTCCTGCAAGTTCTATTCATGGTAAGTGCTCTACATTTTTTATCCATCATATTTTTACTGTACCTTTTGTATGTTTAGATATGCAAATACCATTGTGTTACAATTGCCTATGATATTCAGAACAGTAACATGCTGTACAGATTTGTGGCCTAGGAGCAACAGGCTACACCGTATAGCCTATGTACACCCTGCCATGTTCACATAGTGAAGAAATTGCCTAACAAAGCATCTCTCAGAATGTACCCCTGTTGTTAAGTGACATGTAACTCTACTATGTCTATATCATAAAGATGCTCAATATCATAAAGATGTCAACTCTCCCCCCAACAGGGTACCTCAAAGACCTTACCACCAAATTTTTAAATCATTTAGACATGCAAACAGCCAAACAACTTCTGAAATACAGGGTAGGGGTATTTGCCCTGCCAGACAGTGAGACTTGTATAAAGCTGTAATAATTAAGGAAGTGTGGTATGACGGTGAAGATAGACAATTAGGCTGCAAAACAGAATTGAGTCCAGAAACAGACTCACATGTATATGGAAACTTGACTATGAGAGTTCGTTCTGCACATCACTGCAGAAAAGATGGACTCTAAAAAATGAGGTTGTGACAACTATCCATATGGCAAAAAGTAAGTATCAATCCCTGTTCCACTACTGGTGGGGAAAAAAGAAAAAAAGCAACCCCAGTGGACTGAGATGAAAGACAAAGCTTTAAAGCAGGAAACTATTTTAATTACCCAAGTTTGAAGAGATGACTTCTTAAACAAAAGTAAATATAAATAAATACATGAATGCCCATATAAACCATAAAAGATCTTACTACATTAAGACTATCTGTTTTTCACAAGACACCAAAAAAAGTAAAATTATTAACTTCAACAAAGGAGAAACTAGGGAGAAGGTATGTGACCTTCTCCAGGACCACCAGTGGATGCCCAAAACATATACTACTGAACCCTATATACACATTTTTTTTTTCTACACAGTAATGGGCCAGTAGTATTACACTGGACGGGTAACTGGACAAAGGAATAATTCACATCCTGGACAGGATGGAGCAGAATAGCAAGTGATTTCATCATACCACTCAGAACAGTGGGCACCTTAAAACAGCAATTGTTTAATTATAACAATTTTCCATTTAGTATTTTCAGACCATGGTTGACCACTGGTAACTGAAATCACTGAAAGCAAAACCTCGGGTAGGACCATTGTATCTGTAACTCACAAAACTGATTTTTTTTTAAAGTTAGTGAATTCAAGTTAGTAGAATGTGTCCCCTCCAAAATTCTTGTGTTGAAACTTAACAACCAATGTTATAGTAGTATTGAGAGGCTGGGGCCTGAGTGCTTAGGCCACGAGGGCTCCTCCCTTATGAACAGGATTAGGCCCTTAAAAAAGCAGCTCCTGGCAGCCAGCGTTTGGCTATCTGGCCCTTCCGCCTTCCTTCCACCATATGAGAACACAGCATCATTCACCTCTGGAGGATGCAGCCCTTACCAGACTACACAACCTGCTAGTGCCTTCATCTTGGACTTCCCAGCCTCCAGAACTGTGAGAAATAAATTTCTGCTCTTTATAAAAAATTACCTGGCCTTAGGTATTTTGTTATAGCAGCACCATGGGACTAAGTTAGTAATCAGAATATATAAAGAACATACATAATGATGAAAAACACAACCCAACAGTAAGATTAGCAGCACACTGCAAAAGAAGAAATATCCAATAAACACTTGACATGTTGTACCCCTCTCATTTGTAATAAGAGGAATACAAATTAGGACCACATTGAGGATTTTACACCCACTGAATTAGCAAAAACTGAAACAGGTAATGCCATTATTAAGCCAGATAACAGCAAGGGAAACAGAAATGGCACAGCTGGTTTAAACTACTCTTCTTTAACCCTTAGGGTTCACAGGGACCAGCCTCCTCTGAATCAAACGGGCCCTGAATACCTGTAAAAAATCTTGAGTTATATGTGCAAGAAACAAGTGGGAGAATAGCTACTGAATAAAAACAGCATTTGCCACAGTGGTCTCTTCCTTTCCAATATTTACATATCTTATTTATGTCGTATTGTTCTGTTCCCAAGATATCCAAAACAGTATGTCTGTGTTGTAGATATGTATGTGGCTGCCTCTCCCACAATCATTACACCTCTCTCTCTGATAATGTAACTACAATAAAATTTAGGGAAGTACTAACAAGCAACTCTGTAAGTAGGTGCTAACTGGTGGCCAAGACAGGATAATTTCATCACCCTAGATTATATTAAATAAATGGCTTAGGATAAAACAGATTTAAGCTGATTGGGATACGGCAATTCTTCTAGCCAGAGGTTATTTATTCAGAGGTGGTCTGACCGTAGCTCAGAATTTTGGATGAGACACATAATATGGACATGATTTCACTGTCTCACTACTGGGAGAGCTCTCTTTTGCATATGAGTTCTCTACGCAAAGACTGTCAACGTCAGAGAAACTATTAATAGATGAATTACATTAATAGGTAAAAGAAGAAAATGCACAGGATCATCTAAATTAAACTGTTCATTATTCCTGACTTTAATCCCTTAGAGAAAATCAGGAAAAGAAGGAAAATTCTTTACTATGATAAATACTACTTTTCAGAAATAAACAGTAAACTTACAAACACTAGGGCATTTCCACTAGGACAACTGAAAAATGAGAGTGTTCGCAATATGTTAGGATTCTTGAATTGTTAAGGAACAAAATTTTGCAGTTCAACTACCTTAAACAAATTTTTTTTTAAAAGGCTATATTGTCTCAGGTAAATAAATAATCCCAAGGTAGAGAAGGCTTCAGCATGGTTCCAACAATGTTCTTGGCCCAATTTCTGTCCAATTCCCTTGGATTAGAAATCAGACAATGGCAACTCGGGCTACATTTTCTTGTATTTATATGCAGACATAGGCATAATAGCAAAATACTGAAAATACCTACATGTCCTTCAATAGAAAAGTTATATATTTCTTGGTAACATCATAAAATGGTGAAGCATTTTATGTGCTGGCTCAAAATCCAAAATGCATCACTAAATTGAAAAGGCAAAATAGTATCCATAGTATGATCCCATTCGTGTTTTTAAAGTATAAAAAAATTTTAAAGAGACGGGAGGGGCCAGGCGCAGTGGCTCACTCCTGTAATCCCAGCATTTTGGGAGGCCAAGGCGGGTGGATCACCTGAGGTCAGGAGTTCGAGACCAGCCTGGCCAACATAGTGAAACCCTGTCTCTACTAAAAATACAAAAAATTAGCTGGGTGTGGTGGCGGGTGCCTGTAATCCCAGCTACTAGGGAGGCTGGGGCAGGAGAATCGCTTGAACCCAGGAGGCAGAGTTTGCAGTGAGCCAAGATCGCGCCATTGCACTCCAGCCTGGGCACCAAGAGCAAAATTCCATCTCAAAAAAAAAAAGAGAGAGAGAGAGGAGGAAAAATATCACTTCTAGCTTAGCATCTTGATGTATTTCCAAAACCCAACATATAGCTATGTTTCATAGTATCAAGGAAGTCTTTGACTTTAGGCAAGAATTTAGACACTATAAAAAAATTTCAATATTCTGAAAACAAAAGTCTACTCTGGATTGATGAATTATTGCACTAATCACATAATAAAGATTAAAACTAAAATTCACAGAGCACCTATTGCCAGGGACTATATAAGTTACTTATATGTACTTTCTATGATTTATATTTCCAGCAACCATGAGATATTTTATATCCATGCTTATTAAGAGAAGCAACATGTCCAGAGCTCACATGGTGAAAATACTTGTATTTGATACAGCTGGAATTTAATTCCAGATGTAATTCCAAAATTCACACACTCTTCATTACACCATGATGACTAGAAGTTCAATAAGTGTCTCTAAAGGGTACAGACTTTCTCTTCACTCATTATAAAAACGACACAACTAAAAATTATAGAAAAGGCAAAATATAATAAAGTACAATCGATCCCAGTAGGAGCCATCTATTCTTGATGATTCAATACACATGCTTTATATAATAAATTATGATAGGTATACATTTCACTTTTGTATACCAGGGATCTTCCTAATCACTCTATCAAAATTCTGATTCCCACAAATCTCAATTCAGCTTTGGATAATATAATTTTGCAATTGATGAAAAACTATCTGATGAGTAACTGAAAATAATGTATAAGAATTTCATAACAAAAGTACCAGGAGTATCCCTGCTTACTCTACTACATGCAACAAGATAGACAAACCTCATAAACATGATGTTGAACAAAATAAGTCAGATACAACAAACTATATATAGATATGAGTCAATTTATATCAAGTTATAAAATAGACAAAACATGCTATCACAAAATCAGGATAGTGGCTACCCTTGGGGTAATAATAATTGATAGGGGGCACAACGGAGGTGGTTCTGTGGTGTCGGTGATGTTGTCTCTTGATCTGAATGCTGGTTACATAAGCATGTAAAAATTCACAAACCTGTCCACTTATAAACTTGTGTTTACTTTGTACACACATCAAGAAAAAGTTACAAAAGGGACAAACTCAACTAAGCTCAATCAATCTCTACTGGAGAACTTTAAATAATAATAGTCTCAGAGAAATATTCACAAGACTTCCAACAGGATTAAGAGGAAGATACAAGAAAATCAGTCACATGAGTAGGTACAGTGGAAAGAACCTGACATTTGGAGTCAACAGCCAAAATGTTTTGACTTGAGCCACTGTCACCTTAGACAGCTCACTCAACCATTTTGAACGTTTTTACGTTTGTAAAATAAACCTGGCAATAAGTAATATCTACTTTGCCTGGTTCATACATCATAAGAAATTAATTATTAGATAAATATTTGAGACAGATGAGTAAACTATTGAAAATCCAATGTGGACCAGGCCCAGTGGCTCATGCCTGTAATCCCAGCACTTTGGGAGGCCAAGGCGGGCAGCTCACTTGAGGTCAGGAGTTCAAGGCCAGCCTGGTCAACATGGTGAAACCCCTTCTCTACTAAAAATACAAAAATTAGCCAGGCATGGTTGCAGGTGCCTATAATCCCAGCTACTCTAGAGGCCAAGGCATGAGAATCGCCTGAACCCGGGAGGCGGAGGTTGCAGTGAGCTGAGATCACACCACTGCACTCCAGCCTGGGTGACAGAGTGAGACTCCGTCTCAAAAAAAAAAAAAAAAAATTCCAATGTGAATAATGTGAATCCCCGCTGATTTTCTTGCTGAAACGGATAAGCTCATCCTAAAATTCACATGGAAATTCAAGGAACCCAAAATAGGCAAATGAAACTTGAGAAAAAATTGAAAGTTGGAGGGCTCACAATTCCCAATTTCATAACTTACCCCAAAGCTACATTAACTAAGACAGTACAGCACTGGCACAATGAGATATACACCAATGGAACAGAACAGACAGCCTAGAAATAAACTCTCATATTTACAATCAATTGATTTTCCAAGGATGCCAAGCCAATTTAATGGGAAAAGAACAGTCTTTTCAACAAACGGTGACAGAACAGGTTATCAACACGCAAAAGAATGAATGTGCATGCCTACTTCATACCATATACAAAAATTAACTCAAAACAGACCAAAGACCTAAATATAAGAGCTAAAACTATAAAATTCTTAGAGGCAAAAACAGAGATTTAAATCCTTACAACCCTAGATTAGACAGCATTTTCTTAGATATGACACCAAAAGCATAAATAACATAGCAAAAACAGGTTAAACAGACATGATTAAAACTTACAACTTTTGTGCTTCAGAAGCTACCATCAACAAAGTAAAAAGACAATTCACAGAATGGGAGAACATTCATACACATCATATATATGATAAGGCACTTGTATCTAGAATATATAAAGCTTTATTACAACTGAATAGTAAAAAGATGACCCAATTTAAAAATGGGCAAAGGATATGAATAGACAGTTTTCCAGAGAAGATATACAAATAGCCAATATACAAATAAAAAGATGCTCAGCATCATTAATCATCAGGAAATGCAAATTAAAACCACAACGTGATACCAGTTTACACCCACTGCAATGACTATAATCAAAATGACAGACAATAAGAAGTATGGGCAAAAACATGGAAAAACTGAAACGCTCATGCACTGCTGGAGGGAATGTAAGATGATGCAGTAGCTCTGGAAAACAGTCTGGCTTTTCCTCAAATGGATAAACATGGAACTACCATGTGATCCAGCAATTCTACTCCTATGTTTATACCCAAGAGAAAGAACATATATGTCCAAACATAAACTTGTACACAAATCTTCAAACAGCATTATTTATAATAGCTGAAAAATGGAAATAACCCAAATGCTCATCAAACTGATAAGCAAAATGTAATACAGCCATAAAATGAAATATTTGGTAATAAGAAAAAATGAAGTACTGATACATGCTAAAACATCAGTGAACTTTGGAAAACTGCGCTGAATGAATGCCACTAGTTACAAAACACAATATGATTTCATTAATACGCAATGTTCAGAATAGGCAAAACTACAGACAAAAAGTCAGTCAGTGGATGCCTAAGGTTGAGGGGTGTCGATTTTGTCCTGTTGTAACAGAATACCACAGTCTGGGTAATTCATAATGAATGAAAATTTATTTGGCTGACAATTATGGAGACTGGAAAGTCCAAGATTGAGGGGCCAGCGTCTAATGAGGGTCTTCTTACTGCCACATAATATGGTGGAAGGCATCACATGGGCAAAAGAAAGAGAAAAGGGCCTCCCCTTTTATAATGAATCCACTCCTGTGATAACTAACCCATTTCCGCAATAGCAGCATTAATCCATTCACTCAACCCTCAGGATCTAATCATCTCAAATTAGGTCCCACCTCCCAACACTGCTGAATGAGGATCAAGTTCCCAACACATGAACTTTGGGGAACCATTCAAACCATAGCAGACGGCATTGGCTAAGAGGTGCAGGGTTTCTTTTGAGGGTAATGAAAACATTCTAAAATTGATTGTGGTGATGGATGTACAACTCTGTCAATATACTAAACCACCGAGCTGTTCAGCTTTTAAATTAGTTAACTATACGATATGTAAATTATACCTAAATAAAATTGTTCTTAAAAAAACAATGTGGGCCGGGCATGGTGGCTCACGTCTGTAATCCCAGCACTTTGGGAGGCCGAGGTGAGTGGATCACCTGAGGTCAGGGGTTCGAGACCAGCCTGACCAACATGGTGAAATCCCGTCTCTACTAAAAATACAAAAAAATTAGCTGGGCTTGGGTGATAAATGCTATAATAAAGGCATATACCAATACAGGTAAAGATTCCAGGTGTCTGAATACATGTGCCCTGAGGTAAGGAAAACTCCCTGAGAAATTACACCAGTTAAATCTTTAAAAAGATGCACAGTCTCCTGAGGGATGGCCTACGTGAAGGAAAAAAAAAAAAGATGCACAGTCTGAAAGTCTGCCAACAGAACAAACCCAGGCAGATTTCATATGAAATTAAAAGTACTGAATATGAGAGTATTCAATAGTTTCATATAGCCAGAACTCAGAAATTCTGTTGAAAAGTAAAGATTCTGCTGGAGAGGGAAGCAGAGACAGATGTATCAGGAACCCTGAATGATCAAACTTATTTTTTCTTGCAGACAATGGGAAGTTAACAAAAAGGGGGGCGGGGGCAGTGAGAACCAGGCACCGTGGCTCATGCTTGTAATCCCAGCACTTTGGGAGGCTGAGATGGAAGGATCACTTGAGCCCAGGAGTTCAAGACCAGCCTGGGCAACAAGGTAAAACCCCGTATCTACAAAAAATACAAAAACTTAGCAGGGAGTGGTGGCACGCACCTGTAGTCCCAGCTACTCAGGAGGCTGAGGCAGGAAGATCACTAGAGCCCAGGAGGCAGAGGCTGCAGTGAGCCAAGATCATGCCACTGGACTCCAGTCTGGGCAACAGAACAAGACCTGGTCTCCAAAAAAAAAAAAAAAAAAAAAGTTTTAACCAAAGTAATAAAATGATCAAATGTCTTTCACAGAAACTGTTTTAACAATTACTGAAGGATGGAGTAGAAAAAGACAAGACTGGAATTGGGAGACCAGTTAGGAGGCTACTACACTAATGAATGAAAAAATAATAATAAGGACCTTAACTAAACCAAAAGCAACAGGCATAGAGAAGAGAAGGGTTTGGGATAATAAAAGAAGTAAATTTAGTGACTAATTGAAGAAAGAAGAAAACAAATCAGTGAATGAAAATGAGAAATGAGGTAAAACATCAGATGCTGATTTGGGAGTAACATATAAGGGAAGCCATGGAAATGAATGACTATGCAGAAAACGCTTAGAAAGGAGGTTGAAAAACAAAAAAGACAAAATCCTGTGGGATAGTTTTTCTCCAAACTGAAATGCCCCTATTTGTGATCAATTCACATAAGTAAAATTCATAATTATTATATTTGGGAACTTAAACCATAAAGATTAACACTACTTTATGAAAAAAAAAAAGATGGCTCTAAAAAGGAAAGTGATAATTTCAGCCTCACTTAAACTTTTCAATAAGAAAGGTTTTAAAAGGTTTGAACTAAAGGCAGCATGGTATAATACTAAGAGGAGAGGAATAACACTGAGTACCTACCCAGTGCTCAAAATTCTAACCACTTAATACGTATTAATTCATTTCATCCTCACCAAGAACTCTGAGGTAAGTAATCTCTTTCCTAGAGAGTGAGGCATAAAGAGGTTAAATCATTCACTCAAGGATGAACAACTAGTAAGGGGAGAGCCAGGACTCAAACACAGTGAAGTTCCAGAGTCCACATTTTTAACCACTATATATCTCTCAAAGGAAAAAATTAGATTTTTAAAGCAAAAAAAAAAAAAAATTTGGTTCAAATGTTGGATCTACTACTAACATTGGCACATTGGTAACTTTTAAGCAACTCTATCCATCTCCTCAAGTGTAAGAAGGAAAAGATCACAGTATTACAGGATTATTATGAACATTTGGTTAGGAATGCAAAATATCAGAGTAACTGTTAGTGTTACTAACAATCATACTTAACATTTATTGAGTACTTACTGGAATACATCAAGACATTACACCTTAAGCACTTTACATAGGGTATTTTATCTAATCCTCAAAATTGTCTTTCAGAGAATATCATTAGAATTAGAACTCAATCGCTAACAGCAACCTGTCCCTTAACTTATTATGCACTTTCTTATTTATACGTCTTCAACATTTTTGTATTGGGCTCCCTTAACTTCCCAAGTATTACCTATACGTACCTACATTGATTTGTATTAACTCACTGTCATTCTCAACTGATGATCTAATCCACTGATACATAAGACACACCACATCATCTGCCAGCTTATATGCATCTATGCCCATATACTCTACCATCTCTTCATGTTACAAGAAATTCTCAGTGCTCTTAAATAAGCCAACTCTTACACTAGTTAATCTTTTCCTACTGCAGGACATTGCTCCAGCAATTCTATCATCTCTTTCCTGCCTCCATCAACTTTTTTCCTCTATTAAATTTTATTGCCATTAGCATAAAAAGGTGTTCTCATTTTTTTGTTTTTTTTTTTTCTTTTTTTCTTCCCATCCCCACAATTTTAGCCTCTGCTAGAGATCTCAGTTCCCAAGGAAGGAATGTTTCCACCAACGGATGCAGCAATGGTTCCATTACTGTAAGCTGAGACTGCCACCCAGCCACTTTGGACTCTTCATGACCAACAAAAGATGAAGATTACAGAACTGACTAGAGTGACTGATCTCACTATCAAGGGGAAACTGGGTTGCTACTACACAAGGGGGCTAAGAAAAAGTATGTCTGGAATGTAGGAGTTCCTCTGGGACACCACTTACTATTTCCATGGACTATGGTTAAAGTCAGTGGAAACAATCCAGGCAAGACTGCTAATGGTCCAGAATTACAGAATAAATGAATGAAAGCAAGCAAGCAAGCTTGGTTCACCCCACCAGGCAAGAAACCACAACTAACTGAGTTGTTAGCCAAAGACAGAGGGAACATGGAATGGCAGTGGAAGAAGGTAATTACAGATAACAACTACAAGCACATAACTTGATGCAGAAGTAAGAACTCTAATAAGTATTTTCCTCTTAATGTAAAAAAAAAAATCTCTGTATATAATTAACCAATTTATTCTTTTCTCACCTTTTCTACAACAATCTAATAGTAGCTAGCCTCATATTTCAGTATCTAAATTAAATACAAAATGTGACTTAGGTAAAAGAAAAATTAATCCAACAACGGATAAAGGGATTTGGAGCCTCTCTTAAGGAGAGGATTTATGTGTTATTTGAACTAAGGATAGTTGCATTATGCACAGCAAAAGTACAATTTTCCAACCACCTTTATTTGCAAATTAAATATGATTAAAAGAGGTGTGTATGACAAGAGGGTGAACTGTGATGGCTTTGTATTGTATCAACCTAGCTAGGTAGCAACTACCCTTCTCTAAATTCTTTTCCATGAATGGGTGTGAGTTAGGGTTCGCCTCAAAAGAAATTTCCATGAAATTTAGAAGACAAAAGTGAAGCAGTAGCCACATTTGTGTTCACTAGGTCAACATAAGATAAGCATTGCCACTTTCTCACATGTTGTCATAGATCTTTTGGTTCACCTTCGGTGGCACAGGGTAGCAACTGGGCTCACAGCTCCTCCAGTGCCTATCAAATCTCGTTCTCCAACTTCTCCAAATAATCCTGGGACCAGTTTGTGTGCAGTTCCATGGTAAAGTGTGCCATATCTACTGCCCACATCATCAAAGTTGCAGGTTCAGAAGCAGTGAGACAACAATGCAGGTTCAAGTTTGAGCTTATGGGTCAGCTCACTTCCATGACTTCCAAATCTCTGTAGGTTCCAGCTTAACCATGATCTCCCCCACTTCATGTCTATCGTCCCTTCCCAACTGCCAGCCCTAACAACTTCAAGTCTAGCACCAGACTCAGAAGCATACAAACGCTTCCTACAATTCGTTAAAAATATATATATCAATCACTGTAATAAATCTCTTAAACACAATAATTTTGCTTCTTTAATCAAACCCTAGCTGACAGAGATGGAAGTGTAATTTAGGGTTAGACTACTATAGAAAGCGGTGAATATGTCCACCTGTCTCCTCTCTACCTCATATAACCCCAACTAAATTTTTGCAACTTTTTAAAAGTCAGTTGGGGTTATATCAGGTAGAGAAGAGGCAGGTGAACATATTCAGCCCTTTTGTGGTAATCATGCACTGGCTTTCCTTCCATCAGCAAAAATACTTAAGAATTTAACTGAAGATCCCTCTTCAAGATGGCCAAATAGGAACAGCTCCAGTCTAGAGCTCCCAGCATGAGCGACGCAGAACACGGGTGATTTCTGCATTTCCAACTGAGGTACCGGGTTCATCTCACTGGGGCTTGTCGGACAGTGGGTGCAGCCCATGGAGCAGGGCAGGGCATCACCTCACCCGGGAAGCGCAAGGCGTTGGGGAATTCCCTCTCCTAGCCAAGGGAAGCCATGACAGACAGTACCTGGAAAATCAGGACGCTCCCACCCTGCTACTGTGCTTTTCCAAAGGTCTTAGCAAACGGCACACCAGGAGATTATATCCCGCACCTGGCTCAGCGGGTCCCACACCCACGGAGCCTCACTCACTGCTAGCACAGCAGTCTGAGATCGAACTGCAAGGCAGCAGTGAGGCTGGGGGAGGGGCATTCGCCATTGCTGAGGCTTGAGTAGGTAAACAAGTTGGCCGGGAAGCTCGAACTGGGTGGAGCCCACCCCACCCCAGCTAAAGGAGGCCTGCCTCTGTAGACTCCAACTCTGGGGGCAGGGCATAGCTGAACAAAAGGCAGCAGAAACTTCTGCAGACTTAAATGTCCCTGTCTGACAGCTTTGAAGAGAGTAGTGGTTCTCCCAGCACAGAGTTTGAGTTCTGAGAATGGACAGGCTGCCTCCTCAAGTGGGTCCCTGACCCCCGAGTAGCCTAACTGGAGACACCTCCCAGTAGGGGCCGACTGACACCTCATACAGCCAGGTGCCCCTCTGAGACAAAGCTTCCAGAGGAAGGATCAGGCAGCAACATTTGCCGTTCTGCAATATTTGCTGTTCTGCAGCCTCCACTGGTGATACCCAGGCAAACAGGGTCTAGAGTGGACCTCCAGCAAACTCCAACAGACCTGCAGCTGAGGGTCCTGACTGTTAGAAGGAAAACTAACAAACAGAAAGGACATCCACACCAAAACCCATCTGTACGTCACCATCATCAAAGACCAAAGGTAGATAAAACCACAAAGATGGGGAGAAACCAGAGCAGAAAAGCTGAAAAATTCTAAAACTCAGAGCACCTCTTCTCCTCCAAAGGAACACAGCTCTTCGCCAGCAATGGAACAAAGCTGGACGGAGAATGACTGTGACAAGTTGAGAGAAGAAGGCTTTAGATGATCGGTAATAACAAACTTCTCCGGATGTTCAAACCCATCGCAAAGAAGCTAAAAACCTTGAAAAAAGATTAGACGAATGGCTAACTAGAATGAACAGTGTAGAGAAGACCTTAAATGACCTGATGGACTGAAAACCATGGCACGAGAACTACGTGATGAATGCACAAGCTTCAGTAGCCGATCTGATCAAGTGGAAGAAAGGGTATGAGTGATTGAAGATCAAATGAATGAAATGAAGCAAGAAGAGAAGTTTAGAGGAAAAACAGTAAAAAGAAACGAACAAAGCCAAGAAATATGGGACTATGTGAAAAGACCAAATCTACATCTGATTCGTGTACCTGAAAGTGACAGGCAGCATGGAACCAAGTTGGAAAACACTCTTCAGGATATTATCCAGGAGAACTTCCCCAACCTAGCGAGGCAGGCCAACATTCAAATTCAGGAAATACAGAGAACACCACAAAGATACTCCTCGAGAAGGGCAACTCCAACACACACAATTGTCAGATTCACCAAAGTTGAAACAAAGGAAAAAATGTTAAGGGCAGCCAGAGAGAAAGGTCTGGTTACCCACAAAGGGAAGCCCATCAGACTAACAGCAGACCTCTCGGCAGAAACTCTACAAGCCAGAAGAGAGTGGGGGCCAATATTCAACATTCTTAAAGAAAAGAATTTTCAACCCAGAATTTCATATCCAGCCAAACTAAGCTTCATAAGTGAAGGAGAAATAAAATCCCTTACAGACAAGCAAATGCTCAGAGATTTTGTCACCACCAGGCCTGCCGTACAAGAGCTCCTGAAGGAAGCACTAAATCTGGAAAGGAACAACCAGTACCAGCCACTGCAAAAACATGCCAATTGTAAAGACCATCAATGCTAGGAAGAAACTGCATCAACTAATGAGCAAAATAACCAGCTAACATCATAATGACAGGATCAAATTCACACATAACAATATTAACCTCAAATGTAAATGGGCTAAATGCTCCAATTAAAAGACACAGACTGGCAAATTGGATAAAGAGTCAAGACCCATCAGTATGCTGTATTCAGGAGACCCATCTCACACGCAGAGACACACACAGGCTCAAAATAAAGGGATGGAGGAAGATCTACCAAGCAAATGGGAAAAAAAAAAAAGCAGGGGTTGCAATCCTAGTCTCTGATAACAGACTTTAAACCAACAAAGATCAAAAGAGACAAAGAAGACCATTAAATAATGGTAAAGGGATCGATTCAACAAGAAGAGCTAACTATTCTAAATATTTATGCACCCAATACAGGAGCACCCAGATTCATAAAGCAAGTCCTTAGACACCTACAAAGAGACTTAGACTCCCACACAATAATAACGGGAGACTTTAACACCCCACTATCGATATTAGACAGATCAAGACAGAAAGTTAACAAGGATATCCAGGACTTGAACTAACCTCTGCACCAAGCAGACCTAACAGACATCTACAGAACTCTCCACCCCAAATCAACAGAATATATATTCTTCTCAGCACCACATCGCACTTATTCCAAAATTGACCACATAGTTGGAAGTAAAGCACTCCTCAGCAAATGTAAAAGAATAGAAATTATAACAAACTGTCTCTCAGAGCACAGTGCAATCAAGCTGGAACTCAGGATTAAGAAACTCACTCAAAACCACTCAACTACATGGAAACTGAACAACCAGCTCCTGAATGACTACTGGGTACATTTAACGAAATGAAGGCAGAAATAAAGATATTCTCTGAAACCAATGAGAACAAAGACACAACATACCAGAATCTCTGGGACACATTTAAAGCAGGGTGTAGCGGGAAATTTATAGCACTAAATGCTATAAAAGAGAAAGCAGGAAAGATGTAAAATTGACACCCTAACATCACAATTAAAAGAACTAGAGAAGCAAACATATTCAAAAGCTAGCAGAAGGCAAGAAATAACTAAGATTAGAGCAGAACTGAAGGAGATAGAGACACAAAAAACCCTTCAAAATATCAATGAATCCAGGAGCTGGTTTTTTTGAAAAGATCAACAAAATTCATAGACTGCTAGCAAGACTAACAAAGAAGAAAAGAGAGAAGAATCAAATAGATGCAATAAAAAATGATGAATGGGATATCACCACCAATCCCACAGAAATACAAACTACCATCAGAGAATACTATAAACACCTCTATGCAAATAAACTAGAAAATCTAGAAGAAATGGATAAATTCCTGGACACATACACCCTCCCAAGACTAAACCAGGAAGAAGTTGAATCCCTGAATAGACCAATAACAGGCTCTGAAATTGAGGCAATAATTAATAGCCTACCAACCAAAAAAAGTCCAGGACCAGATGGATTCACAGCCAAATTCTACCAGAGGTACAAAGAGGAGCTGGTACCATTCCTTCTGAAACTATTCCAATCAACAGAAAAAGAGGGAATCCTCCCTAACTCATTTTATGAGGCCAACATCATCCTGACACCAAAGCCTGGCAGAGACACAACAAAAAAAGAGAATTTTAGACCAATATCCCTGATGAACATCGATGCAAAAATCCTCTAAAATACTGGCCAACCAAATCCAGCAGCACATCAAAAAGCTTATCCACCATGATCAAGTTGGCTTCATCCCTGGGATGCAAGGCTGGTTCAATATACGCAAATCAATAAACGTAATCCAGCATACAAACAGAACCAGAGACAAAAACCACATGATTATCTCAAAAGATGCAGAAAGGCCTCTGACAAAATTCAACAGCCCTTCATGCTAAAAACTCTCAATAAACTAGGTATTGATGGGACGTATCTCACAATAAGAAGAGCTATTTATGACAAACCCACAGCCAATATCATACTGAATGGGCAAAAACTGGAAGCATTCTCTTCGAAAACTGGCACAAGACAGGGATGCCCTCTCTCACCACTCCTATTCAACATAATGTTGGAAGTTCTGGCCAGGGCAATCAGGCAAGAGAAAGAAATAAAGTGTATTCAATTAGGAAAAGAGGAAGTCAAATTGTCCCTGCTTGCAGATGACATGACTGTATATTTAGAAAACCCCATCGTCTCAGCCCGAAATCTCCTTAAGCTGATAAGCAACTTCAGCAAAGTCTCAGGATACAAAATCAATGTGCAAAAATCACAAGCATTCCTATACAGACAAAAAGAGAACCAAATCATGAGTGAACTCCCATTCACAATTGCTTCAAAGAGAATAAAATACCTAAGTATCCAACTTACAAGGGATGAGAAGGACCTCTTCAAAGAGAACTACAAACCACTGCTCAACGAAATAAAAGAGGACACAAACATTCCATGCTCATGGATAGAAAGAATCAATACTGTGAAAATGGCCATACCGCCCAAGGTAATTTATAGATTGAATGCCATCCCCATCAAGCTACCAATGACTTTCTTCACAGAATTGGGAAAAACTACTTCAAAATTCATATGGAACCACAAAACAGCCCACATTGCCAAGACAATCCTACGCCAAAAGAACAAAGCTGGAGGCATCACACTACCTGACTTCAAACTATACTACAAGGCTACAGTAACCAAACCAGCATGGTACTGGTACCAAAACAGAGATATAGACCAATGGAACAGAAAAGAACCTTCAGAAATAATACCACACATCTACAACCATCTGATCTTTGACAAACCTGACAAAAACAAGAAATGGGGAAAGGAATCCCTATTTAATAAATGGTACTGGGAAAACTGACTAGCCCATATGTAGAAAGCTGAAACTGGATCCCTTCCTTACACCTTACACAAAAATTAATTCCAGACGGATTAAAGACTTAAATGTTAGACCTAAAACCATAAAAACTCTAGAAGAAAACCTAGGTAATACCATTCAGGACATAGGCATGGGCAAGGACTTCATGACTAAAACACCAAAAGCAATGGCAACAAATGCCAAAATTGACAAATGGGATCTAATTAAACTAAAGAGCTTCTGCACAGCAAAAGAAACTACCATCAGAGTGAACAGGCAACCTACAGAATGGGAGAAAGTTTTTACAATCTACCCATCTGACAAAGGGCTAATATCCAGAATCTACAAAGAACTTAAACAAATTTACAAGAAAAAATCAAACAACCCCATCAAAAAGTAGGCAAAGGATATGAACAGACACTTCTCAAAAGAAGACATTTATGCAGTCAACAGACACAGGAAAAAATGCTCATCACTGGCCATCAGAGAAATGCAAATCAAAACCACAATGAAATACCATGTCACACCCGTTAGAATGGCGATCTTTAAAAAGTCAGGAAACAACAGGTGCTAGAGAGGATGTGGAGAAATAGGAACACTTTTGCATTGTCGGTGGGACTGTAAACTAGTTCAACCATTGTGGAAGACAGTGTGGCGATTCCTCAAGGATCTAGAACTAGAAATACCATTTGACCCAGCCATCCCATTACTGGGTATATACCCAAACGATTATAAGTCATGCTGCTATAAAGACACATGCACATGTATGTTTATTGCGGCACTATTCACAATACAAACACTTAGAACCAACCCAAATGTCCATCAAAGATAGACTGGATTAAGAAAATGTGGCACATATACACCATGGAATACTATGTAGCTATAAAAAAGGATGAGTTCATGTCCTTTGTAGGGACATGGATGAAGCTGGAAACCATCATTCTGAGCAAACTATTGCAAGGCCAGAAAACCAAACACCACATGTTCTCACTCATAGGTGGGAATTGAACAATGAGAACACTTGGACACAGGGTGGGGAACATCATACACCAGGGCCTGTAGTGGGGTGAGGGGAAGGGAGGGGAGAGGGATAGCATTAGGAGATATACCTAATGTAAATGACGAGTTAACAGGTGCAGCACACCAACATGGTATATGTATACATATGTAACAAACCTGCACGCTGTGCACATGTACCCTAGCACTTAAAGTATAATTTTAAAAAAAAGACAAGGATTTAAAAAAAAAAGAATTTAACTGAAAAACATTGTTTTGAATGCATTCACTTCCTAAAGGAGCAAGATCAAATATTAAAACCTAACTTCTTACAGTTACATTTACATTAAAACAAAACGGACAATGTTCAAATTCAAAAGAAAAATCAACTTTAATAAATGCATTTAAACTGCACTGTCCCTTATACTTGTGCTGGCAATACAAAATAACCAACTTATTAAAAGATGTATGTGCCATCTCTAAAACCAATTCAATGTAGTTCCCTCTTGAATATACCTTTTCTTTAATCTGCTTAGCTAAAGTCAGAGCCACAAACAAATATTTGTAAAATGATCCTAAAGGGTCTTTTGGACTTGAGCTGGTCCTACCTAACCATTTAAAGATAAATGTCCAACAGCCCTATCTATTTTTAGACAGAAGCAGTTGAGACCAACAATTACATTTTAGTATTTTTTCCTCAGAGTAGAAATATCAAGAGGGGTAAAGGTCAAAGACAGCTGAAAAATGATATTTTCTTCCAGTATCACCTGGTACCATGTGTCCCACTGCTGTCTATCAGGTTGCTGCCAATAAAGAGGAAAAGAGACAACAGTAGAAATATGGCTATCCCTTTCACCAGCCTTCATAAACATTCATTAGCTCTTAGCTTTCCATCAAATAACCTATTCTTATCAAGTGTATGTGACTGAAACAATACTGAGTTTCTATCTTATTCTAAAACAAGGTGTGTATTAAGTTAGCAACTGTGTTTAACGCCCAGTTTAAAATGAATGAAAATGAGTGTGAACAGTTCTGGACATGGTGGAATAGAATTCAGCAAACTCACTGAAATAATCTTTCCACAAATAGCAATTATAAACCCTGGGAAAAAAAATACTTTTAAAGAATGACTTGAAAACAGAGGAAAGCAATCAAGAGCAAGTAGAAACTGGAGATCTGATCATGAAAGAAGGGGAAGTATAGTGGAGGAGATTCAAATTTGTACAGCATTACTCCTGAGGACACTCCCAGTTTGCAGCAGCATAGGGCAGATAGAGCTCAAGCAGAAAGCTGTTTTATTCAAGGCTACAAAGTGGCTAGAAAATCAAAGGGAAAATTCAAAGGAGAGAGCTACGGTAGGGAAGCCTCAAAAATATAAAAATATAAACTCCTTCAAATTATTTGCTGATCCCCGAACTTCATATGCTCAGGGAAGATTCCAAGGATCCCAGAAGAAAACAACAACTAAAAAGCTCAAAGAACTCAGCAGCAATTTTAGCTGCTGTCCACTGCGGAGAACACATGAGCTTTAAGTTTGGACAAGTGAGAAGGGCTTGGTAAACACCTCAAATTTTTTTGTTTTGTTTTGAAGACGAAGTCTCACTCTGTTGCCCAGGCTGGAGTGCAGTGGCACGATCTCGGCTCACTGCAACCTCTGCTTCCCAGGTTCAAGTGATTCTCCTGCCTCAGCCACCCAAGCAGCTGGGATTACAGGCGCCTGCCATCACACCGGCTCATCTTTGTATTTTTGTAGAGACAGGGTTTTGCCATGTTGGCCAGGCTGGTCTCAAACTCTTGACACCTCAAGTGATCCACCCACTTTGGCCATCCAAAGTGCTGGGATTACAAGCATGAGCCACCACGCCTGGCCAACGCCTCAGACTTTCTATAGACCCATCTTAAAACAGAAGACCAAGGTTCCAAAAATTCAATATAATCAGCCACTAATTTTAACATTCATCAAGGGAAGATAAAAAGAGTTTAGAGATATGATGTATCATATCCACTCTACAACAAAAATTTTGTATTTATGAAATGAAGCAGGAAAATGTGACCTACTATCAAGGGGGAAAAAAGAGTCAAAAGTCCATTAATACAGACAAAGGAATAAACAAGGACTTCAAAACAGCTATTATGAATACATTCAAAGACTTAAAAGAAAAATATGGTCACAATGGGGAATCTTGGCAGATAAATGGAATTTTTTAAACAAAATACTGTAACTGAAGGGTGCATTCACTGAAAACAGGCTTCACTGCACATTAGATACAACATTTAAAAGAGTCTCTGAAAAACAGAGAAAAAAATTAATACATACTCATGGACCAATTTTAAACAGAATAATGTGTAAGCAGAATCTCAAGAGGAAAAACAGAGGAATGGGGCAGAAAAGGTTTTGTTTTTGTTTTTTTTGAGACAGAGTCTCATTCTGTCACCCAGGCTGGAGCACACTGGCACGATCTCGGCTCACTGCAAGCTCCGCCTCCCAGTTTCACACCATTCTCCTGCCTCAGCTTCCCAAGTAGCTGGAACTACAGGCACCCGCCACCACGCCTGGCTAATTTCTTTTTGTATTTTTAGTAGACGGGGTTTCACCATGTTAGCCAGGATGGTCCAGATCTCCTGACCTCATGATCCATCCGCCTTGGCCTCCCAAAGTGCTGGGATTACAGGCATGAGTCACCGCGCCCGGCCGGTATTTTTTAAGTAAGGTCTAAAATGTACCAAATTTTGGGAAAAAGTATCAACTTACAAATCAAATAGGCCAGGTGTGGTAATCCCACGCCTGTAATCCCAGCACTTTGGGAGCCCAAGGCGGGCAGATCACAAGGTCAGGAGTTCAAGACCAGCCTGACCAACCTGGTGAAACCCCATCTCTACTAAAAATACGAAAAATTAGCTGGGCATGGTGGCGTGCACCTGTAATCTCAGCTTACTCGGGAGGCTGAGGCAGGAGAATTGCTTGAATCCAGGAGGCAGAGGTTGCAGTGAGCTGAGATCACGCCACTGCACTCCAGCCTGGGTGACAAAACAAGATGCAATCTCGCAAAAAAAATAAAAATAAAAATAAGCTCAGCAAACTCCAAACAGAATACAAAAACAATTCACAAATTCAATATAACTTTATCCTACTCAATATGAATGTTATATTTATATGACAATAACTTTCAACATCAAATTGTTGAAAGTTAAAGAAACAATGGAGACCAGAGAAGAATAAAATGACATCTTTAAATTGATTAAAGGAAAAAAACTGAGGCTGGGCGTGGTGGCTCACGCCTGTAATCCCAGCACTTTGGGAAGCCGAGGCAGACGGATCACGAGGTCAGGAGATCGAGACCATCCTGGCTAACACAGTGAAACCCCGTCTCTACTAAAAATACAAAAAATTAGCTGGGCGCCGTGGCAGGCGCCTATAGTCCCAGCTACTTGGAAGGCTGAGGCAGGAGAATGGCGTGAACCCAGGAGGCGGAGCCTGCAGTAAGCCGAGATAGTGCCACTGCACTCCTGCCTAGGTGACAGGGCAAGACTCTGTCTCAAAAAAAAAAAAAAAAAAGAGAGAAAAAAAACCATCAACTGAGAATTCTATATCCAGCAAAAATATCCTTGAAAAATGACAGTAAAATATAGATATATTTAAAGTAATGAAAACTGATGCTATTACTAGACCTATGCATTATGCAACATTAAAGGAAATTCTTGGTGGCATGTGCCTGTAGTCCTAGCTACCCAGGAGGCTAAGGCAGGAGGACTGCTTGAGCCCAGGAATTTGAGGTTACAGTGAACTGGGTACACCACTGCACTTCAGCCTGAGCAATACAGTGAGACCCTGTCTCTAAATAAGTTAATAAAATGGAATATTTAAAAACTACAATAATCTCAATAAATACCAAAAAGGAGAGAGGGTATCTGACAAAATTCAGCACCCATTCATAATTTAAAAATAAAAATCCTGGCCAGGCGCGGTGGCTCACGCCTGTAATCCCAGCACTTTGGGAGGCCAAGGCAGGTGGATCACAAGGTCAGGAGTTCGAGACCAGCCTGGCCAACATAGTGAAACCCCATCTCTACTAAAAATACAAAAAAATTTGCTGGGCGTGGTGGCGGGTGCCTGTAGTCCCAGATACTTGAGAGGCTGAGGCAGAATTGCTTGAACCCGGGAGGTGGAGGTTGCAGTGCGCCAAGATCACACCACTGCACCCCAGCCTAGGTGACAGAGTGAGACTCCATCTCAAAAAGTAAATTAATTAATTTGATTTAATTAAAATCCCAGTAAACTGGAAGGAAACGTCTCGTCTGATTTTCTTTTTTTTAATCTACAGAATATCCACTGCTGACATACTACTTACTGGGGAAAGACTAAATGCCTTCCCCCTTAAGATCACAACAAGACCAGGATGTTCACTCTCATTTAAAAAAAAATTCATCATTTTAAAACATATTTTATGTTAACACTGAAATTAATTTTCTTTTTTTTTTTTTTGAGACAGAGTCTCGCTGTCGCCAGGCTGGAGTGCAGTGGCACGACCTCTGCTCACTGCAACCTCTGCCTCCCAGGTTCAAGCAATTCTCCTGCCTCAGCCTCCTGAGTAGCTGGTACTACAGATGCACACCACCATGCCCAACTAATTTTTGTATTTTTTAGTAGAGACAGGGTTTCACCATGTTAGCCAGGATGGTCTCTATCTCTTGACCTTGCAACCCCCGCACCCCCTGCCGCCCCCCCCTCGGCCTCAGCCTCCCAAAGTGCTCGGATTACAGGCATGGGCCACTGCGCCCGGCCTCTTTCTTTTTTTTAAAGAGACAGGATCTCTCTGTGTTACCCAGGCTGGACTCGAACTCCTGGGCTCAAGCAATCCTCTTGCTTCCCAAGTAGTTGGGACTACAGGACCATACCACTGCACCCAGCCACTCTCACCATTTCTCTTCAATGTTGTATTGAAGATCCCAGATGCTGCAATAACATGTGAAAAAGAAATTAAAGGGCCAGGCACACTGGCTCATGCCTGTAATCCCAGCACTTTGGGAGGCTGAGGCAGGAAGATCACTTGAGCCTAGGAGTTCAACACCAGCCTGGGCAACATGGCGAACCCCATCTCTACAAAAAATACAAAAAAAAAAAAAAATGAGCCAGCCATGGTGGCACGTATCTGTAGACCCAGCTACTCAGGAGGCTGAGATAGGAGGGTGGCTTGAGCCCAAAAGTTCCAGGCTGCAGTGAGCTATGATGGCGCCACTAAACTCTAGCCTGGGAGAGTGAGACGCTGTCTCAAAAAAATAAAAAATAAAAAGAACTCAAAGCACAATCCATAAAACAAAAAGTTGATTGACTGGACTTCATCAAATTTTAAAACTTCCACTCATCAAAATACTGTTAAAAAAAAGATAAGGCAAGCTACAAAACAGGAGAAAATACTCTTAATACTCTGATCTGACATAGAATTTGTATCGTGAGTACATTAAGAATTCCTGCATATCAATAGTAAAAAGATAATCCATTTTTTAATGGGCAGAAAGCTTGAAGAGGCATCCTACGAAAGAAAATATACTGTCAACAACCATGCAAAAAGGTGCTCAACATCACTAGATATCAAGGAAATCCAAAATAAAACCACAATGAGATACCCTTCCACACCCACTAGAATAGCTAAAATTAAAAAGATTGACTAACCAAGTGTTGGTGAGGATGTAAAACAACTAGAACATTCATATATTCAGGTGGGAATATAAAAAGGAAAACCACTTTGAAAAACTAGTTTCCTGTAAAGTTAAACACACATATGCCTACAAACCAGCAATTCCATTCCTAGGTATTTACTCAAGAGAAATGAAAACACACACTTGCAAAAAGATCTGTATAGGCCTTATTCATAATAGTCAAAAACTGGATTCTACCCAAATGTCCATCAACAGAAGATAAACTGTGAAATATTCCCCCAATGAAATATTACTTAGCAATAAAAACTGATACATCCAACCCCATGGATGAATCTCAAAATATGTTAAGCAAAAGAAGCCAGATACACAAGAGCACACACTGTATGAAGATAGAACAAAACTAATCTACATTTAAAAATCAAAGAGTGTTTGGAGGCAAAAGAAATTGAATGGAGAGAGCAACAAGGAAACGTTGTGGGGTAATAAAAATGCTCTACATCTTCTTGTGGTTATTGGTTACATGTGTATAATCATCACACCTCATCAAAGTGAACAGCTAAGATCTGCACATTTTACTGTATTTTAATTACACCTCAATAAAAATAAAATTTTATATTTCTAAATAAATCTGTGAGCTTAATATTGTATTAATTTTCCTTGTCTTGGGTTGTCACATATATGTTTAGTATATATACATTATTACACATATTCAATAAATATTCATCATCTACAATGCGCTGAAATCTTTGCTAGATCCCAAAGTAACTGCAAGTCCATGGCCTCAAGAAGCCCACCTCGGCCTCCTAAAGTGCTGGAATTACAGATGTAAGCCACTGTGTGTGGCTGCCAGCATTTTCTTTTATTTCCTTATAGGTCCTTTGAACCCCCCAAACAATGAAATGTTCTAGCATCCTATTGTTAGACCCTTTGTCTCTGTGTCTAATTGATAGTTCTCTGCTTATTAACAGCTCAGTTTGGTTTATTCACGTGTCCAAAGTTCTCCTTTTCATCTTCTATTCAGGACCCAATAGGAAGGTTTTTCCAATACCTAACTCTTCTTTTAGGGAATGCATGGTGGTTCTTTCTCCTTCTCACAGACTCTGTGTATACCTCTATTGTGGAAATCCCATGCTATGTGTTACTATTTGTTTAAGTATGTGGTTCCTTCTACATAGTTGTGTTTTGAAACCCCCAGAAGGATATAACATAACATTAACATATATAAACTTTTGTGGGAGTCTAGGAATGAGGCAAATGGGGAAGGAATGAGAGGTTTTTTATTGTGTATCTTTTTCCTTTTTGCCGTCTTACTTTTGGAGTATATATGTGCATATAATTTAAAATAATAATAACCTTTAAAAATACTATATCAGAATCAACAGGATTTGGTAACTTATGTAATGTGAGAGTTAGGGGAGATGGAGAAGTCAAGATGACTCCCAGGTTTCTAGCATGATGATAAACCTAGTCATGTCATCCCCTACAACATTTTTTTTTTTAAGAAAGAAATCTGTTATTAATCAAGGTACAAGTTGGAAAGATGTTAAAGAGTAAGAGAAGGTAGATCAGTTTGGGATATATTGTACTGGAGGTGTTGTGTCCAACAGTGCACTAGAAAAAGAAGATGGGAAATTCAGGAGAATGGTCAGGGGACATAGTTGTTACTAGAAGCCTTGGAGAAGAAGACACGTATATGAGGCTAATTTATCTAGGAATTACTTATTCTGTAAGACCAATTAACAGGGATGAAACCAAGACCCACAGAATAAACTAAAAAAGCAACTATATCAAAACGACAGCGTAAGACCATATATTGGTATCCTTTTCATACAGACATCAGGCTCTCACTAAAAGATTATTTACTAATTTAGTCCCCCAGGTTCATAACAGATTAGAAACATCAAAAAAAGGTGTAGGAATAGCTTCCAGAGGCAATCATCTGGCAGCAGCATGAGGGTACAAAAACAAAAACAAATAGTTTAAGACTTCAAAAAGCATTGCATTCTTTACTCTTCATTAAAGCCAGAAATCCCATCTTTCCATCATCTAAGACTTGGTCAAAATGGTTGCTCCTTCAAGAATTTTTTCATAGTTCCTGTACTCTCAGAGTAACATGACTAATCTCCATTTGTCAAGTTTCCAATTCCAAATATTGTATTGAGCCCTTCCTGAAGGCACTAACTATACTCTGGCTTGTTTTATAAGTATTTTTATACCAGCCTCTTTCCTCCCACTTGAATATACATCTCTTGATTGAGTATCTTTCATCTTTGTATCTCTAGCCAGCACTGTGCACCACATCCTTGCACAGTATGGAAGTATGCAAACATCCATTCAGTAATTATCCCATTTTTGCATTCTCTAAAACTATGTAAATGGACTTTGCCACACAGTCTCCCTGCAAAAAGTTATAACTGCTTTTTTACTGTGTACTTACATTTTGGCACCAACCTAAGCATTTGACCTGGCTTATCCCAAACACTAAAGAAATAAGGGGTGATGGGAAGTGACAGCTAGTAGGTTCGGGGGTTTTATTTTTATGCTTTTTAACCAGCATATAATTGTACATGTTTGTGGGTTACATGGTGATACTTCAACATATACAATGTGTAATGATCAAATCGGGGTAATTAACATATCCATCACTTCAAACATTTATCATTTATTTGTGTTGGGAACATTCAAAAGCCTCTCTTCTAGCTAGTTGAAAATATGTAACAACAACACAGGTTTGAACTGTGCAGGTTCATTTATACATGGATTTTTTTCAGTAAAAGTTACAGTGCGCCTCCCTCTCCTGCCTCCTCTTCCACCTCCTCTCTCTCTTCCACCTTGCCACCCTCGAGACAACAAGACTAATCCTTCCTTTTCCTCCTTCTCCTCAACCTATTCAACAGGAAGACAAGAAGGCTGACGACCTTTACGATGATCCACTTCCACTTAATGAATAGCAAATATATTTTCCTTCCTTATAATTTTCTTAATAACATTGTCTTCTCTCTAGCTTGCTTTAAGAATACAGAATGGAGGCCAGGCGTAGTGGCTCACACCTGTAATCCCAGCACTTTGGGAGGCCAAGGCGGGCGGATCACCTGAGGTCAGTAGTTGAAGACCAGTCTGGCCAACATGGCGAAACCCCGTCTCCACCAAAAATACAAAAATTAGCCGGGCGTGGTGGCAGGTGCCTGTAATCCCAGCTACTCCAGAGGCTGAGACATGAGAGTCGCTTGAACCCATGAGGCAGAGGTTGCAGTGAGCCGAGATCGTGCCACTGCACTCCATGTGTTAACTGACTGTTTATGTTATCAGTAAGGCTTTCAATCAACAGTAGGCTATTACTACCAAAGTTCAGAGAAATAAAAGTTATATGTGGAGTTTCAACTGCACAGGGGTTGGTGCCCCTAACCCCTTCGCTGTTCAAGGGTCAGCTGTAGTCACCCAGTACAACACTAGAACTTATTCTTCCTATCTAGCTAAATTTTGTAGCCTTTAGCCAACCTCTCTCTATCCCTTCTCACCTCTTGAGGAGCCCCCATAATATTCTCCGTAATGGCTCTACTCATTTACATTTGGTTTGGCGTTTTTCACAGAAGACAAAAATGTTCCAAAATCAGACTGTGATGATGGCTGCACAAACCTATGAGTATCCTAAAAAATAATGAATTGTGTATTTTCAATGGATTATGGTATGTGAGTTGTATCTCAATAAAGCTGCTTTTAAAAATGAGGTTTCTGCTGTTAGTCCCACTGTTCAGATTAAGAAGTTGAGATTTAGTAAGATTAGGTAATTGCTTGTTTAGCTAGAGGAGATAAAAACCCAAGCTGTCTTGACTCTTAAGTCTATATGCTTAAATTAACCACCATGCTCTTCTGCATTCCTTAGAAAGGGACCCCACTTATCAAGCATCACATCCTGATATATCATAGGAGCATATATTGTGATATATGCTCCTATGTTCAAGTCTTAAATGCCAGTGACCTTCCGAATTCCAACTACAGCTATAAAGACTTGACCTATTTATGTTACCCCAGAAGGCTAGGAGAGTCGAAAGCTGAAAGGAATAGTACCAAAGAGACAGAGGGGGAAAAAGTGCTCAAGAGCTTCTACTTAGGCCAGGGCGCAGTGGCTCACGCCTGTAATTCCAGCACTTTGAGAGGCCAAGGCGGGCAGATCACCTGAGGCCAGGAGTTCGAGACCAGCCTGGCCAGCATGGTGAAACCCTGTCTCTACTAAAAATGCAAAAAATTAGCCAGACGTGGTGGCGTGCACCTGTAGTCCCAGCTACTCAGAAGGCTGAGGCAGGAGAATCGCCTGAACCTGCCAAGGCCGAGGCTGCAGTGAGCCGAGATCACACCACTGCATTCCAGCCTGTGCAACAAGTGCGAAACTCCGTCTCAAAAAAAAAGAAAACCAAAAACTAAGCACACCTCATCTCTGGGGCATTTGAAATACCCAGGTCCAGGCTGCCATGCCTGACAGGAAAAGAGGAGAAAACCAAATGACAGTATGAATAAAAATGAAATGATAGTTGAAGGTGGGAGGGAGAAGTGATGAGACAGGATAAGCAGATGGTACAAGGTGGGGTTGACTCTATACAAAATTTATTTGCCCTGACTCTCAAATCTCCCTTCCTGTGTGTCGCTTCAGCTTCTCTTCTACCTTATGTTTACACCAAGTCAAGGGCTTTCAATACTCTCATACTGACCCAGAGTTGTTCAAAGCCAGGTGCTGTAGCCTCTCCATTCAGAGCATTGCTCCCCGTCAAGGTGCCATGAGCCCCAAAATATTTTTCCTCTTCTTAAAGTCCCACTTCTCTCAGACCATCTTAGCTCTTAGGTAAGGGTGAAGGTAGGTGGTGGGGGCAGCAAGTAAATTAAACTAGCATTAAACCACTTGATTAAAGAATATGTTGCAAATGGCCTCCCCCTAATAAGCATATAAACAAATGTTTACCTTCACTCACAAAGAAATACAAACCCAAAACAAGACAAATTTCATATATCAAATTGGCAATATAGTTTTTTAAAGTCCAATGTTGGTAAATACATGTCACAGGCATTCTCATACGCTGCTGGTCAATGTAAACTATTACAACGTAGTACTACTCAACAGGAGTCAGAAAAAATAAATTATGTTATAATAAAATATTCTTATTATTTCTTAATTATGTTGATCTGTATGTGCCAGTATGAAAAGAGCTTGTGACTTAACTAAGGAAAAAAGTAAATCACAGTTAAAAAATAAAACAGTAGGCCGGACGTGGTGGCTCATGCCTGTAATCTCAGCACTTTGGGAGGCCGAGGCGGGCGGATCACGAGGTCAGGAGTTTGAGACCAGCCTGGCCAACACAGTCTCTACTAAAAATACAAAAATTATCTGGGCATGGTGGCACACGCCTGTAGTCCCAGTTACTCAGGAGGCTGAGGAAGGAGAATCACTTGAACCCAGGAGGTGGAGGTTGTGGTGAGCCAAGATTGCCCCACTGCACTCCAGTCTGGGCAACGGAGCGAGACTCCATCTCAAAAAATAATAATAATAATAAAATAAATAAATAAAATAGTAAATTACAGTACAACAGTATAACAATACTCTTTGTACAATTTTTTTTAAAGTAAACTTTTAAGAAACTGTTAACAGTGGATTACCTGTGGGGGGAGGAAAAAAGTAACATTTTTTACTCTATCATTAAATTTTTTTTTTTTTTACCATATACCTGTATAACTTTTAACTTAAAATACACAATTCTTTAGGTACTCTATTCCCCTAATAGAGTACTTAAGGCCTGCAACTCTCACCCCTGCAATTTGCCCAGCATCTTGCCCCTGCAACTTGCCCCTGCAACTCTCACCCCCACACCCAACCCAAAGCATCCCATATCTGAAAGCTAACTGAAACTACCTGGTAGAACTTCAGCTACTAAATAATATTTTGGAGATATGGAGCTTTCCTTTAAAATATCTTCAATTACTTCCCTAAAATCACCTCTGAGGAGAAAGAATCCTATCTTACCTAAGGAAACACAAAATCTCATTTCTTTTCAGGTCCCTAACCATCCTCTTCTAGAGAAAGACAATGGTCTTGGTTATAAGAGCCCCTCCTTCTCCTTATGGGATCTAATCTTGGCTAATTTCACTCTCCCACATAAAAAGAGCAACCTCAACTGCCACTGAAAAGGAAGGAGGGCCTGCTCCTTCGGAACTAAGTAACAGCAGAGATCCTACTCTCTGGTCTGTCTCAGCTCTCATCACCTTGCTGTGGATGGCCAACCACTACTCTGCACTTCTATAGGACAGGGTGTCTTCAGTCCTGTTTAGTGCATCATCCCTGGTACTGTATGTATATGGAAGTTTTGTACCTGTTCATTTTAATTGAATCAGGTAATTATCCGTCAAAAAAGAGAATGGCAGGCTAGTGGAATACTTTTAGTCCTTAAAAAGATGCCTCAAAATAGTTTCTTACTTTAATCAGTCTTTCCCCCAAGCCTGTTAGCTTTTATGTTTTACATAGCTAAACCAAGTATTTTTAATTACTACTTATTATTAATGTCTAATTATTAGAACACAATGATTATACTTTTTAAACCTCAAAGGCTTTAAGATTTGAACAAATAAATTTTATTCATCTAAGTTTTATTATCATGATTTTTTCACTGTGCACGATCACTCATGCCAGCTAAAACAATTACAGTCTCAACACAGCAAATTTATTCTTAATTCTGAACTAATTAATGAGAAAGGATTCTAAAACCTTTTTCAAGTAATGGGGGAAATGGTTAGAATCAAGTGGTTGTAACAGAACAGTGTGAGGAAAGGGCTTCTTACCTCTACTCTCCAAGGAGTCAGAATTGCGAACCATTTGGCAGCTTCTTAAAAAGTAAATACACTCTCAGAGAAACTACTGGGCTTGTTTTTAAACTAAGTATTTTTGGAATCTTTAACATTCCCGAACAGGAATACGAAAACCAAGTAAAACGCCTATTGTAACTAGAAGTGACAGATGACTTGTGTAGCAAACTGAGTTTAAAAATGAAAAAATACACGCATACTCATGCACGCACTATATCTTGTAACAAAACAAAGGTCAATACTAACTTTCCCAAATTACTCTTAGAAGTTTCACAAAGAATAAATAAATGCCATGTCAAGTAATGTTACATAAAGAAAGACGGCTCCCGGAGACAGAGACCTACAAGAGGCTATCTTCTGAGACAACCTAAATGGACTGAATCCTAAACAGAAATTATTAAAAACCAGACGCTGAAACAGACGGCTAACCACAAAACTTTATTCTTGGTTAAATGAATAAAAAGGTGAGAAGGGGATGGAGGGTAATGTACTACCCTGAATTTTTATTAATAAATATTGCTAAATCCTGAATAGAACAAAAAAAGACAATGGGGAAACTTCTAAGCTTCCAGGATATCTTAAGGGCTGCCCCAGTTCCACCACATGAATATGACTGTGACCTCAGATAAATCAATGAAATTAAAATCTGAACCTAATTTCTCATGTATAAGTGAGTTGGAGATCATCCTTAAGTTTTCTTGTTGCTCTTTAACACTAACAGAGGAAACACAAATGTATTCTTTTCCAATATACGTTATATACAGTCCATGTCATTCAAGAGTCCGTATGCCAAATCATACTGAGCACTCCTGTTAGTTCTAAGGCAGTCTCTAAATTTCCCAAGAGGTAAAGCAGAAAGAATACAGCTTCCCGAAATATTCCTTCCCCACAAAGTTTTGGGTATTTTCTACCATTGCACCCCTCTCCAGGGCAAGCCCTGCCTAATACAGAGTATCACTTTATCTTAGGCCTAACAAATTATTGATAAAGCCTACTGCTCAAAATGTTACTTCGTTAAACAAAGCTGCAGAACAATTTAAACAACTTTCATCCAACAGCCAACTCGGTAGAATCTTATTACAAATAAGCTTAATACAAACATCTCCTAACAACAATCACTATCATCACCACATCTCTCTCTAATATGGGGAGAGGGGAGAGACATAACACGAGAGAACAAAGCCTACAAGAGTAACAAAAGCTGCTGTAAAAGAAAAGTTAATATAGGGAAAATCAGCCTTAACCGAAACAAGGAGAAAAGAAAAAAAGAAAAAAGGCCAAGACAAACACTACCTTCCCATTTAAAATATACCTTTAAGTAAACGCCAGCTGAGAAGAGAACAATTTTTAAAACCATCAGAAAAAGGAGGAAAAAGTCACTATTTTGGTAATTTTTATAAAGTCTAAAGTGCATCTTGTTAGACATATTTGTAAATGTATATTAAGTACAAATTTTATTTATAAGGAATAATGTTCTTAAGATGTGTTTTTACAGTTAAGTTTCTGAGACTAAATCTATCTTCACATAAAAGTTCCCATGTAATTTTCACCTACATATTCAGCACTACAAATTTTAATTAGGTTTTCTGCTATCACCATGAGATACAAGATTAATTGTTGCACGAACTGACCTGCATACACCATTGAATACTCATTTTATTGTCCCTAAAGATGCGAACATCTCAGACATGTGTACTGCATGAAGAGCTGTCTTTCAAGTCCATATTTGTGGCTTTTAATTACTTTACCTGACCACTACATGAGTTAATATAAAAAACGTTCTGTCTGGGAACTCGGGATGTGTTAACTGAGAACAATGACTATACTGCCGTTCAAGCATTGGGTAATTACGATTTATTTACAGCTCGCCTCCTGTATGTAAACACAACTTGAGTTTTTGAAGTTCATTAGGAAGATAGTATAGGATTACCCAACTCTCTCCACACCGCAGACCAACCCTCTAAATTAAGGCTATACCCAAAGTTTTCGAAACTATTTCATCAACAGGGTAGGATCAGTCTGGGCACCACTGCCCATCCATCACCTCTTATTAAAAGTACGAGAAGCACTTTCTTCGACATAAAAAAGGGTTAACCCTCGCTGGGGGAGAGAGGCTGTTGAAGACGCGCGTGGAGTGGGTGGGTAGCTGCTCTACCAACCCTTCCCGGAGCTCGCCCCGTCCGCGGCAAGGAACGCAGCAGCCTGCAGCTCCGAAGGCGAGGGGCGGCGTTTCTGGTTTCAGTCATTCGTCCAAAATAACTGTCGAGCTACTTAAGAGTTAGCTTTCACGTCTCTACCAAAAACCAACAGCAGTAGCAGCAACAACAACAAACAAGGTTTTTCTCCGGACCGAAAACTTTTAAAGTAACATTAAAATAACAGTGTAAAAACAATAACGAGTCACAATTGCACACCATTTTCCCCGCCGTTCCTTCTGAAAGGAAAGCTAGAACCCAGTTGTGGCCTGGGAGGAGTCCCTCCACGCCAGTGCTGGGCTCTTCCTCAACTGGCTGCTCGGGGACCACTCGGGGTGGCGCGGTGAGCGCGATTTCCCTCCGGCGAGCGGCGAGGGACAGTGCAAAAATGTCACGCTCAGCCCGTCCCCTGGCCCGAAGCGGAGGCCAGGCGGCGCGCGGGGACCCGGCGGCGGGGGCGAGAGCGCCCGCGGCCCCGACCCGCGGTCCCCGCCCGCCCCTCGCCCGGAAGGGGGAGAAGCCCGCCCGCGGGAGGATTCAACAGGAGCACCGCGCCGCCCGCCTGCCGCCCGGGAAACAGCCGCCGGCCGGCCGGGGCGCGGGGGGAGGGGCGCGGCGGCGGCGACGGCGGCGGCGGGAGGGCGCGGGCGGCCGGGCGGCCCCGAGACCCCCGCCCGCGCGCAAGGTCACCGCCCGCCGCCGCCGCCGCCCCGGCCGGGATCAGAGCGGCAAGTTTAATTTTCCAGAGGCTGCGGCAGAACCCGCGGCGTGGAGGCGCGCGCCGGCCGCGGGGCCCTCCCCACCCCCACCGCGCAGCCGGCCCGCGCCCCGCGACCCCCGCCCCGGGCCACCGCCAGGCAGCCACCCGCTGCAGCCCCCGATGCCGGGAGGCGAGTCGCGCCTGGCACCCAGGCGGGCGGCGCTTCAGCCCTGCCACACACACGCACACAGCGGCAGTGGCGGCCGCTGAAAAATGGAGCGCCGCAGCCAGAGAAGAGAGACATTTTCTTTCCGTTAACTGAATTGTTTCCTACCTCCGGGTTGCCGACTCGCTACTCCGCTCACTCCGGGGCTCTCCGGGATCCGCCGCCGCCGCCGCATCCAATCGCCTTCTCCCCCCCCCTCCCCTTCCGCAGCCAGCCCTGCCGTTCCTCCTCCTCTCCGCTTCAAAATGGCGCCAAGCGCTCTTCGGCGGCTGCTCCAATCGAACCGCCGCGGACAGCACCCGGGGGCAGGCAGAGCGCGGCATGGGTGCGCAGCGCCCCCTGCCGACCAGACGGCCCCGAGCGCGTCCGCCCTCCGAGCTCCACCCCGCCCCGTCCGCGCGCGCGCACGTCCCTCCTCAGCCCCGCCCCGTCCGCGCGCACGCAACCACACGGGCACGCCGCCGCGGGGCCCGCGAGAAGGGCAGCTGTCAAGGCGTCCACTACTCTTGCGGCTTCCTAGACCTCTACCGACAAAAACCACACCGATTGTTACGTAGCCCTATCTTTTTAGATAAAGGTTGGGAGATTTTTTTAAACCCTGACATTCAGCACAGGTGTTGTGATGGGTAAACAGAATTGGTATTATTAACTACTTTGCTCCTTACTTGTTAACTCTGACCTAGTCGTCTCGGAATGCCATACAAATAGTTTTCCTACACTTTACGTGTTATGTCTTTATTAAATCTCCCCGCTTTCCTAATTTGAGGAATTGTTTATAGGTGGTAGGCTGGCGGAGACAGAGTAATTGAGCCTGTGACGAAGCATTCCATTCCTTTGGCAGAATTGTCCTTATTAGAGGAAGAAATCATCTGGAGACCACAGGGACACATTCCAGGAGGTGGGTCTCCTCCCCTCTTCACCTCTAAGGGATGCCAGTCCCTCCTGCAGCTGTAGAGTGGGTTTAGCCTGGTCACCACAGCAGATCACCTACCTTGCGGGAAGGTTTCCTCCCCAGCCGGGTCCCTGCCAGAGCTGAAGAAGGGACTTCCTCCTCTTTTTACTTTAATACCATCCCTGCTGTAAGGAAGTTTCCCCTGATATGATGTATTTGGTTACTAGAATTTTGTTCCAGGGAGAATTTGTTTCAACAATGAACAAGCAAAGTGTGAATGAATGGATTACAGTAGGATACTTATCAACTGAAACAAAAGAGAGGTAATGCTGATATATAAACTAATGCTACTGTGTTAGAAAAGGTATGTACATCGGTATTCCATCGGACCCGGGCACCTAGAGATACTGAGACCTCTTCATTTCCATTTTTGTGGGATTCGCTGGACAATTCCGCCTCAGTCTCCTCCAGTGCTTGCTAGACCAATATGTTGTGTTACTGTATTCCTGTGTCCAAGATTTTGCCACTGAATACTCCAGGTTCTACCCATTTTATACATTCCTCGATGAAGTCTACTATGAGTTTTTTCTGCCCTCTTTTTAAAATTATCTCAGGAATTTTCTTATTTTACATCGTTGTTCCATCAACATAAATCTTGTATGGGAGAGTAGGATGTCTAGATCTAGAAAAACCTTTCCTCTTTGGTTGTTTTTATTATGTTTTTTACTTTATTTTCTTCAATTCCCAAACCTCCAAAGCCAGGAAGCCAGAAAGTTTCAGAAGAAAGCCAGGATGAAAGCAAGAATTTTTTTTTCTTTTTTCTTTCTTTTTTTTTTTTTTTTTTTTGAGATGGAGTCTTGATCTGTCGCCAAGCTGGAGTGCAGTGGCGCGATCTTGGCTCGCTGCAACCTCCCTCTTGAGTTCACGCAATTCCCCTGCCTCAGCCTCCCAAGCAGCTGGGACTACAGGCACACACCACCACTCTCAGCTAATTTTTTGTAATTCTTAGTAGAGACAGAGTTTCACCATGTTGGCCAGGATGGTCTCGATCTCCTGACCTCGTGATCTGCCTGCCTCAGCCTCCCAAAGTGCTAGGATTACAGGCGTGAGCCACCATGCCCGGCTAAGAGTTTTTGTATAAATTATTCAGTGCTCTTATCCCCATTATTTGACACCTGGAAGCCTCAGTAAATATTTTGTTGGATGTATGAATTGTTTAAGAATGTCACTCTACATCTTGTATATGGCAGTGAGTCCTGAAAGGGCTGAAGGTGTCACGTCAACTTTGTGAGCAGTTTTGCCAGTTTCACCATTAACCCTCTCTCTTATAAAATGATGCCTTGAATTTCAATGAGGCCCGGAATACATATTGCCCACGTTAGGCTGCTAACACCACAGGATTAAGCCCAAGAAAAGAGTGGGCAGAAAGGAGATAGCCTTCAAAATAGCTACATTGTAAGGGTCAATGGGGCAATTACCATTAGGACAGACAGAGGAAAAACCCTAAAGCTTTAATGAGGCATAGTTTCTAACAAAAGGGCATACTTTTATATGACTGCAAGTGGCTTTACAGAAATCAGTAATATAAACCTTCATTTAAAACAATATTGTTTGGGAAAACTAAAATCTAAAGTTGATATTTGAACAAAAATAATCTTCTGTGTTTGGGATTTTTAAAAATAGCCAAGTTGCAATTCATTAGGAGCAACATAACACAACATTGTTTAAGACAGTTTAAGAGTGTGAACCATTCAAAACTCAGTTGTGAATGCTTTCTACACCAAGAAAGAGAAATTATGTGGGAATTATGTCCAAATGCTGGTTTTATACAGAAATGGTTAGGAGAATTGTCTTTGATTATGAATAACCACAAATGTAGTTCCCACCTCTACTAATTTTACTTTGTCACTATAACAAATCATCACAAAGTTGGTGGCTTAAAAGAGCACAAACTTATTGTCTTACTGGAGTGCAGAAGTTTGACAGGTATCTCGCTGGGCTAAAATCAAGGTGTTGTCAGGGCTGTGTGTCTTTCTGGAGGCTCCAAAGGAGAATCCCTTTTCTTACTATTTCCTTCTTCCAGAGGCTGCCCAGATCCCTTGGTTCATATCCTCCTTCCTCCATCCGCAAAGCCAGCTCCATGGCGTCTCTCTGACCTGCTTTTGTCACCGCAGCTCTTCCTCTGACTCCCTCATCCACTTTTAATACTCTTGTGATTATATTGGGCCCACTTGGATAATCTCTAATTTAAGGTCCATTGATTAGTGACCTTTATTCCCCTTTGCCATGTAACATAACATATTCAAAGGTTTGGGGATTACGACATGGATATTGTAAGGGGACCATTATTCAGTCTGCCACATCACTCATATTTGAGTTACCTGGGCTTTTTTTAATAGAGTCCAAATTTGAGGTTAAAGAGGTTAGCAAGTTGAAAGACATCAGGAATGCACACAATTAACCTGGACAGTCCTAAATATACCCCTATGGCCCCTACTGCATTTTGAGTACAGCCTTGCTGCACTACAGCATGGTTTCCAAAATATGGTGAAATGTTTATCATATTATACATAGTAGAGCACACTGGGCAGCTAATTAGTAAATGATAAGACTGGGCCCTACCTAGACAAACATTACCGGTTCAGCATAATTCAAGGTATGTCCCAAAGGCTAGTCAAGACAAAAATATGATCCCTGTTAGCCTGCAACAGTGCTGAAATTCCCACTAGACTAATTTATTGGGTTAAGGCATTGGATTCTCAGAAAACATGTTGGAATGTGGTTGTGTTACTTGAAAAAGTTAGGCAGGGCTCGGTGGCTCACGCCTGTAATCCAGCACTTTGGGAGGCCAAGGCAGGTGGATCACGAGGTCAGGAGTTCAGGACCAGCCTGGCCAAGATGGCGAAACCCCGTCTCTACTAAAAATACAAAAATTAGCCAGGTGTGGTGGCAGGTGCCTGTAATCCCAGCTACTTGGGAGCCTGAGGCAGAGAATTGCTTGAACCCGGTAGGGGGAGGTTGCAGTGAGCGGAGATCGCACCACTGCACTCCAGCCTAGACAACCGAGCGAGACTCCATCTCAAAAAAAAAAAAAAAAAAAACACTAACCCATTCATATCCATTAGGAGAAACTAAGCCCAACAGAAATTAGCTTTGTGATATTTTAGGCATTAGGCAAACTGGTGAGGCATTTTGATAAACTCCAAGCCCCTGAAGTTGATCCTTCATTCATGACATCACTACTGCTGAAAGATGGTATACGGGCTCTTTTCCTTCACCCTCATCCAAGACTCAGCCCCTGGTGCCTCAAATTTCTCCCTCCACAATTAATCCCCTGCATGAGGCACTGTGCCCATCCTGTGATCCTCTTTACAATGCAAATATTCCTGAAAGGATGCCACATTCATCTACAGTCCCAGGGCAGCTGTTCTTAACTCGAGTGGAGTGGAAGAATACCAAAATCATCTGGGAAATTTCTGTAAACTAGATCTTCAGAAACTATATTGGAATATGTTTGATACATCTAACTTTTTTAAAGAGTTCCAAAGATAGATGTCAGAAATTTTTACACAAAATATCGTAGCTTGCATTATCATCCAAAGAGAGATTTGGGTTTAAGAAAGCATTTATCATCAGTTCAACTTCTGGAAATAATAAAGAGATATAGAACCAAGAGCAATTTCACTTGAAAAGTAAGGAGAATGACAAAGGAGAATTTAGACTGCTGCTTTGAATATTTGTGCAAAGGCGTATAAATTCCTTCAATATAATATGTTTCACATATATTCACATGCAATCACTAATCAATGTTATTTACTTTTGCGCTATTTGAAAAATCTACAGGCCGGGCATGGTGACTCATTCCTGCAATCCCAGCACTTTGGGAGGCTGAGGTGGACAGATAGCTTGAGCCCAGGAGTTTGAGACAAGCCTGGGCAACATAGCAAGACCTCCCTCTATAAAAAATAAATAGTTAGCTGGGCATGGTGGCATGCACCTGTAGTTCCAGCTACTCGGGAGGCTGAGGAGAGAGGATCACTTGAGATGAGGAGAGGTTCCAGTAAGCAGTGATCGTACCATGGCACTCCAGCCTGGGCAACAGAACAAGATTCTGTCTCAAAAAAAATTTTTTTTTAATTTAAAAATCAGCATTCCAGTGTAAGATGGCCAAAAACTCCAAAACAATTTTTCAGTTTCACGTTTCTGTTCTAGGCAAGCAGCCTGTTTTTGAGCATAGGGTAGTAGCTCACTCTATATGGAACCAAGTTTGTATCACCTCTTATTCCAAGTAAATTGACTCCTAATACTTACTCTTCATGGATACGTAGGAAGCATACTTTGCTCTAACACAGGAATTCTATTTCTTCTGGCTGTCTCATTTAGTTAAAACTTGATATTTAAAATTAGCTTTATTCAGCAGCCAGCAGATGGAGCTATTGAAAAATGTTGACATCTCCATTCTTTTTTATGAAATAAAACTGGTTTAGAGATACACTTTAATTTTTTGCTGTGTAAATAATCTGCCCATTATAGAGAAATCTGGAACTGCAGTTAAGATTAAAAAGAAAAAAAGATCACTCATAATTATGCCACCAGAAAAATTTACTTATAATGCTTTGATATGTATCAGTCCAGAACATATTATATTCATATATTTAGATTTAGATTTGTTTTACAAAACATAATGTTTTATAATATAAAATTTGCTCCTAAAGGCATAGAAATCTCCAAGGATAATATTAAAATACTTGCAACTGTACAGGACAGGCAAGGACCAATGACAACAGATACTGGCTGTAGCTTGAATAGGACCACATATGCTGCCTGCTGTGTGAAGCATTAACTCTTCAATTAATGGATGATGGGCAAGGTCTTGGGGGCAGCAGGGAAGGGTTTGGGTGCCCAAGGAGGAAGGGGTAGGTTCAGGGAACCAACTGTATAGCAACCTTATAGAAGTGTTTCATTATTTTTAACATCCAATACAGCCACAATAATAAATACCAGGTGAACTATCAGCTCTAGAAATCTCTGGAAGAATATACAAGTTTACACAAAGGTAGAGGACTTCTAGATGGGAATCTAGGTGACTTGGGAACAAAGGTGAGAAAGAAATCTGTCACTGTAATACCTTTGATACTATGAGCATGCATTTAATATTTTAAAAATAAGTTTTAAATAAAATATCATAAATAACTTTCTGGTGAATAAATACACATTGATATTATTATTTTAGTGGCTATGTAATACTATTTTATTGTGTAGTTATGCTATGACTTATTTAATGAACCCCTATTGTTGAGTAGTTCAATAATGAATTATAACACACAAAATATATTTAAATCCATGACTCATAATATAGCTTAAAACTAAAAACATTCGGCCAGGCACGGTGGCTCATGCCTGTAATCCCAGCACTTTGGGAGGCCAAGGCGGGTGGATCATGAGGTCAGGAGATCCAGACCATCCTGGCCAACATGGTGAAACCCCGTCTCTACTAAAAAAATACAAAAATTAGCTGGGCATGATGGCACATGCCTGTAGTCCCAGCTACTCAGGAAGCTGAGGTAGGAGAATTACTTGAACCCGGGAGGTGGAGGATGCAGTGAGCCGAGATCACGCCACTGCACTCCAGCCTGGAGACAGAGCGAGACTTCGTCTCAATAAATAAATAAATAAATAAAATAAAAAGAAAAACAATCACTGTTGGAGGTTGCTAATGAACCATTTCATTATTTTTAAAACTGACAAATAAAGGAAAGAATCAATCATTTATCCTGCCTGCTCTGTACAGACTGTACCAGTGGAAAATCAAATAGTAATCTGTGAACAGAAGTAGTCCAGCTAACAAATGAAGAAGGAATGTAAAAAGTAGAATATTATTATTTTTAAAACCCTAATGAAAATAACTGATCCAGACATTGAACGTAAGTACCTGCTGGCATCACAAAGAGAGAGAATAAAGCATTAGATGTTCACTGACAGAGGAATACACCAGCACCTATGTAGTCATCTTGCCATAAAAATCTAACCTGAATATGAAAGAGCCTCTAGATACAAGTATCAATTTACAAGAAATACATAGGAACATGTTTTGGTTTTTCACACAAATAAATTCCAAGGAAGAAATAAATGAGGGATGGAGGAGAAACCTAAATATTAAAAGAGATTAACCAATCAGTCAGTTGCAATGTGTGTACCTATTTGGACCCTGAGTCAAAAAAATAAACTGTTAAAAAATAAATTGTGACATTTATAAGACATTTGGAAATTTGAACACTGGTTATTTAATGATATTAAAGAATTATTGTTTGTTTTTTGCAATAGTAGTACAATAGGTATGTTGAAAAATTTACTGAATACAAAGTCTTCTGTTTCTTGATCTAGCTATTAGTTACTCAGTGTGCTCAGTTTGTGAAAGTTTAGAGAGCACCACATTTTCTATATGAACATTATAATTCAGTATAAATTTGAAAATATAAATGCAAATGATAAACATGGCATATATAATTTTTTTAGAAAAAAAGAAATGAAGTGATATAATATCTAGGATTTACTTCAACATAATATAGAAAGGGAAAAAAGGTATATATGAAAAGGTATATATAAAAAAAGGGTATATATGAAACAAGATTTACCATGAGTTGATAATTGTTGAAGCTGGGTGATTGTAGTAGTTCATTCTCATGCTGCTAATAAAGACATACCTGAGACTGGTTAACTTACAAAGGAAAGAGTTTTAATTGACTTACAGTTCGGTATGGTTAAGGAGGCCTCAGGAAACTTACAATCATTATGGAAGGGGAAATAAACACATCCTTCTTCACATGGTGGCAGCAAGGAGAAGTGCCAAACAAAAGGGGGAAAAGCCCCTTATGAAAACATCAAATCTCATGAGAACTCACTCACTAGCAAAAGAACAGCAGCAAAAGGGTAACTGCCCCCATGATTGAATTATCACTCACCAGGTCCCTCCCACAATACATGGGGATTATGGGAACTACAATTCAAGATGAGATTTGGGTGGGGACATAGCCAAACCATATCATTCCATCCCTGGCCCTTCCTAAATCTCGTCCTCACATTTCAAAACACAATCATGCCTTCCCAACAGTCCACCAAAGTCTTTACTCATTCTGGCATTAACCCAAAAGTCCAAGTCCAAAGACTTGTCTGAGACAAGGGAAGTCCCTTCTGCCTATGAGCCTGTAAAATCAAAAGCAAGTTAGTTACTTTCTAGATACAATGGGGGTACAGGCATTGGGTAAATATGCTTGCTCCAAATGGAAGAAACTGGCCAAAACAAAGAGGCTATAGGCCCAATGCAAGTCCAAAATTCAATAGGGAGTCGTTAAATTTTAAAGTTTTAAAATGATCTCCTTTGACTCCATGTCTCACATCAAGGTCACAGTGATGCAAGAAGTGCACTCCCACGGCCTTGGGCAGCTCTGCCCCTGTGAATTTTCAAGGTACAGCCCCCCTCCAGGCTGCTTTCACAGGCTGGTGGTGAGTGTCTGTGGCTTTTCCAGGCACAAGGTGCAAGCTGTCAGTGGATCTACCATTCTGGGGTCTGGAGGATGGTAGCCCTCTTCTCACAGCTCTACTAGGCAGTTCTCCAGTGGGGACTCTGTGTGGGGGCTCCAACCCCACATTTCCCTTCCACACTACCCTAGCAGAGGTTCTCCATGAGGGCCCCACCCCTGCAACAGACTTCTGCCTGGATACCCAGGTGCTTCCATACATCCTCTGAAATCTAGGCAGAGGTTCCCAAACCTCAATTCTGGTCTTCTGCATACCTGCAGGCCCAACACCATGTGGAAGCTGACAAGGCTCGGGGCTTGCACCTCCTGAAGCAATGGCCTGAGCTGTACCTGGGCCTCTTTTAGCCATGGCTCGAGCTGCAGCAACTGGGACACAGGCTGCACAGAGCAGTGGGGCCCTGGACCCAGCCCAGGAAACCATTTTTCCCTCATTGGCCTCCAGGCCTGTGATGGGAGGGGCTGCTCTGAAGTTCTCTGACATGCCCTGGAGACATTTTCCCCAATATCTTAGTGATTAACATTTGGCTCCTTATTACTTATGCAAATTTATGCAACAGACTTGAATTTCTCCCCAGAAAATGGGTTTTTCTTTTATATTGCATTGTCAGACTGCAAATTTTCCAAACTTTTATGCTCTGCTTCCTTTTGAATGCTTTGCCACTTAGAAATTCCTTCCACCAGATACCCTAAATCATCTCTCCCAAGTTCAAAGTTCCACAGCTTTCTAGGGCAGGGGCAAAATGCCAACAGTCTCTTTGCTAAAGCATAACAAGAGTCACCTTTGTTCCAGGTCCCAACAAATTCCTTATCTCCATCTGAGACCACCTCAACCTGGACTTTATATCACTATCAGCATTTTGGTCAAAGCCCTTTAACAAGTCTCTAGGAAGTTCCAAAGTTTCCCACATCTTCCCTGTCTTCCAAGCCCTCCAAATCTCTAGGAAGTTCCAACTTTCCCACATTTTCCTGGCTTCTTCTGAGCCCTGTAAACTGTTCCAACCTCTGCCTGTTACCCAGTTCCAAAGTCACTTCCACATTTTTGGGTACCTTTACAGCAGCGCCCCACTCCCGGTACAAATTTACTGTATTAGTCCATTTTCACACTGCTAATAAAGGCATACCTAAGACAGGGTAATTTGTAAAGGAAAGAGGTTTAATTGACTCACTGCTCAGCATAACTGTGGCGGTCTCAGGAAACTTACAATCATGGTAGAAAGAGAAGCAAACACATCTTTCTTCACATGGTGGCAGCAAGAAGTGCCGAGCAAAAGTAGGGAAAGCCCCTTATAAAACCATCAGATCTCATGAGAACTCACTCACTAGCATGAGAACAGCAACATAGGGGTAACTACCCCCATGATTCAATGACCTCCCACCGGGTCCCTCCAATGACACGTGGGGATTATGAGAACTACAATTCAAGATGAGATTTGGGTGGGAACACAGCCAGAACATATCAGTGATAGACACAGGAGGGTTTATTATAGTATTCTGTCTACTTTTATATATGTTTGAAATAGTCTGGAGTAACTAGGTTTTTTTTTTAAAGTATACAGATTTTAAAGTTTTGGCACATCTTCCCAAAGTGTTCTCCAGAAAATTTATACCAAGTTTTACCATACGGGCAGTGTAAATCAACAACCACACACAATCAGTACTTTTTTTTTTTTTGCTTTTGTTTTTTTTATTATTATTATACTTTAAGTTCTAGGGTACATGTGCACAGCATGCAGGTTTGTTACATATGTATACATGTGCCATGTTGGTGTGCTGCACCTGTTAACTCGTCATGTACATTAGGTATATCTCCTAATGCTATCCCTCTCCCCTCCCCCCACCCCACAACAGGCCCCGGTGTGTGATGTTCCCCTTCCTGTGTCCATGTGTTCTCATTGTTCAATTCCCACCTATGAGTAAGAACATGCGGTGTTTGGTTTTCTGGCCTTGAGATAGTTTGCTCAGAATGATGGTTTCCAGCTTCATCCATGTCCCTACAAAGGACATGAACTCATCATTTTTTATGGCTGCATAGTATTCCATGGTGTATATGTGCCACGTTTTCTTAATCCAGTCTATCTTTGATGGACATTTGGGTTGGTTCCAAGTCTTTGCTATTGTGAATAGTGCCACAAGAAACATACGTGTGCATGTGTCTTTATAGCAGCATGATTTATAATCCTTTGGGTATATACCCAGTAATGGGATGGCTGGGTCAAATGGTATTTCTAGTTCTAGATCCTTGAGGAATCGCCACACTGACTTCTACAATGGTTGAACTAGTTTACAGTCCCACCAACAGTGTAAAAGTGTTCCTATTTCTCCACATCCTCTCTAGCACCTGTTGTTTCCTGACTTTTTAAAGATCGCCATTCTAACGGGTGTGACATGGTATCTCATTGTGGTTTTGATTTGCATTTCTCTGATGACCAGTGATGATGAGCATTTTTTCCTGCGTCTATTGGCTGCATAAATGTCTTCTTTTGAGAAGTGTCTGTTCATATCTTTTGCCCACTTGTTGATGGGGTTGTTTGATTTTTTTTTGTAAATTTGTTTAAGTTCTTTGTTGATTCTGGATATTAGCCCTTCGCCAGATGGGTAGATTGTAAAAACTTTCTCCCATTCTGTAGGTTGCCTGTTCACTCTGATGGTAGTTTCTTTTGCTGTGCAGAAGCTCTTTAGTTTAATTAGATCCCATTTGTCAATTTTGGCTTTTGTTGCCATTGCTTTTGGTGTTTTAGTCATGAAGTCCTTGCCCATGCCTATGTCCTGAATGGTATTACCTAGGTTTTCTTTTAGGGTTTTTATGGTTTTAGGTCTAACATTTAAGTCTTTAATCCATCTTGAATTAATTTTTGTATAAGGTGTAAGGAAGGGATCCAATTTCAGCTTTCTACATATGGCTAGCCAGTTTTCCCAGCACCATTTATTAAATAGGGAATCCTTTCCCCATTTCTTGTTTTTGTCAGGTTCACACACAACCAGTATTAATGCAATTTTATAGAAACATAATTTGAGATAATGCCATCACCAATAATTTTAATTTAAAAACCAATTAGTTTGAGCTTTTGCATAGTACAATATTATAAAGTAAAATGTAAAGATTAAAAATTATCATACGATTCTTTCATTAAAGAATACTGAGTGAGACTGGATGCGGTAGTGCACGCCTGTAATCCCAGCACTTTGGGAGGCCGAGGCAGGCAGATCACGAGGTCAGGAGATCGAGACCATCCTGGCCAATGTGGTGAAACCCCATCTCTACTAAAAATACAAAAATTAGTTTGGCATGGTGGTGCACACCTGTAATCCCAGCTACTTGGGAGGCTGAGGCAGGTGAATAGCTGGAACCTGGGTGGCTGAGGTTGTGGTGAGCTGAAATCGCACCACTGCACTCCAGTCTGATGACAGAGCGAAACTCCATCTCAAAAAAATAATAATAATAATGCTTAGTGAAATAAATCTAATTCTAATATCTAGGGACAACCAGAAATAAATTAGAAAGAAGTGTAATTACAAATATGAGTCAGCACCTCAAAGAGAACAGACCTACCCAACATATGAGAATACAAACAGCACATCTACACACAAAGACACTGTAGGGTTGTGTAAAGAGAGTGGATTTTGATATAATATGAATTTATTGCAAATGCTACACTATGAAACTTTCAACTACTCAGTTTAATCATCTGTACAATCTAAATGATAATATTAACCACTTTTCAAAGATTTTGTGATAATTGAAATATTATATGTAAAGTTCCACATACAATTCTTGACACATTATAGTCACTTAATAAATGGAAATTAATATTAAGTTTTATAAGTGAGTAATTTTATCTTCTATAAGAAACCTCTTAAAAATAAATCAAAGGTCAGATGCAGTGGCTCATGCCTGTAATCCCAGCACTTTGGGAGGCCGAGGCAGGAGGATCTCTTAAGGTCAGGATTTTGGAACCAGCCTGGGCATAATAGCAAGACCTCGTCTCTACAAAAAATTTTTTTAATTAGTCAGACATGGTGACATGCACCTGTAGTCTCAGCTACTCAGGAGGCAGAGGCAGGAGGATCCCTTGAGCCCAGGAGTTTCAGGCTGCAGTGAATTATGATTGCAAGACTCTGTCTCTAGGGAAAATAACAATAACAATAAACTAAGACTGGCCAGGTGTGGCGGCTAACACATTGCAGGAATGAAAGGACATGAATGACTATGGCATATTAAGGACAACTGTGATGGCATTTGTGTACTAGAAGATGATAGGAAGAACAACCATAGGCTGGACAGAGCTAGGTTAGAAATGGGACTCCAGACTTAGTAGGGATATAATCTTAGAAGATTTACTTAACCTTTTTAACCTCACATTCCTCATTTATAAAATATTTTTAACATTCTACTACAGAACTCTCTCATTTCTCTACATTGAGTAAATTCCTAAATGAAAACCTGACCAAGTGATTTCCTGGCTTTAATGGCATCCAAGTGCCCTGGGGATAAAGTAGTCTCACTTAGAAACATTACAAGAACTGCTAATGATCAGGCATTTGCTAACCAGCACAACCTCAAATTTAATTTTCCTTCTTTTCACATGACATTCTTTCCCCCAATCCCTGATGTGGCTTCAAGTCCTTTGAAAGACCAGATCACTAGACAGCCACTACCGAGTAATTCCAGTGGTACGTGAGATGAAATCTATTCATGAACATGGTTTGAGGTGTTGCCTTCTCTGACCCCACAAGTCTGGGTCAGGTGCCATTGGTACATACTCTGATGACACCCTAAACTTTCTCCAACATAGGGCATTTGTATTAGTCAGGTTTTTCCAGAGAGACAGAATCAATAGGACGTATATACAGTCACCCCTCAACCAAATGCATATCAAAAATATTCGGAAAAAGAAAAAATACAATAACAACAATACAAATTTTTAAAATACAGTAGAACTATTTACACAACACTTACATTGTATTAGGTATTATAAGTAATCTAGATATGATTTAAAGTATATGAATTATGTGTGTAGGTTATATGCAAATACCGTAAGATTTTATATAAGCGACTGAGCACCCTTGGATTTTGATATCTGCAGGGGTCCTGAAACCAATTCCCCGTGGACATCAAGGGATGAAAGAAATTTATTTTAAGGAATTGGCTTACCTGATAATAAAAGAGGGTAAGTCCAAAATCTGCAGGGTAGGTGAACAGGAGGGACATCCAGGGAAGGGCTTGTGTTGTTGCAGCCCTTTGGAGGCCACCCACTGGCAGAATTTTTCTTGCTGGGAGTGAGGCATGGGATTTGGGGGTGGTCCATCTTTTGTTCTATTCAGGTCTTGATTTCATGAGGCTCACTTACATTATGGTGGGCAATCTGCTTTACTCAAAATCCACAGATTTGAATGTTAATCTCATCCAAAAACACTCTCATAGCAACATCCAGAATAATGTTTGACCAAATATCTGGGTATTGTGGCCCAGCAAAGTTGACACCTAAAAGTAACCATCACAGCATGTCACACTCCATTTTTATTGCCTATGTATTTTCCTAAGCCACTCTCTAGATTGCAGTTCTCTGAGAGCAGACTCTGTGTCTATTTTACAACATTATATATACTATACTTTGTGCAGTGCCAGGAACATAGTAAGCACTAGATAAATATATATTAAATACATTTATGGTCAGATTTTAAGAAAATAACTTGAGTCATCTTGTGGAGAATGGGCAACAAAATAAAAGAATGGCAGCAGATCATCGATTTAGGAAGCTATTCTAATAATCCAGAACAGAAATGATGAGGGCCTGTGTCCATGTTTCATCCTGACTGAACCCATAGCTGGAGTCACCCCAGAAACCATAGCAGGGGAATACCCACAGGTGAGTGCCCAAAACCATCCTGAGATGGGTCTGGTTGGAATTCTAAAGCAAGAAGCAGCCGGGCGCAGTGGCTCACACGTGTAATCTCAGCACTTTGGGAGGCCCAGGCGGGTGAATCACCTGAAGTTGGGAGTTTGAGACCAGCCTGACCAACGTGGAGAAACCCCCGTCTCTACTAAAATTACAAAATTAGCCAGGCGTGGTGGGGCATGCCTGTAATCCCAACTACTCAGGAGGCTGAGGCAGGAGAATCTCTTGAACCCAGGAGGTGGAGGTTGCAGTGAGCCAAGATCACGCCATTACACTCCAGCCTGAGCAACATGAGCGAACTCTGTCTCAAAAAAAAAAAAAAAAAAAAAAAAGCAAAAAGCACTAGATGCCAAGGTGATCGATCCAAAGCATTTATTAGGGGAACTTAGAAACAGAAGGGGTTGCAAGCTGTCCTTGTTGGGACAGGGAGATAAGGGATGTTCTCCCAAGATATGTCTGCAACTAGGGCGTTGGGCTATGGAGTTTATGTGAGAGTTTAAGGAATGTAGCTCAGGGCTAGAGCTAGTTTCTTTCAGTGTTTTGGGCAAGAACTTAGATACCTTTCTCAGTGCCTGCAAATGTTCAAGGCCCCAGCTTGGGTTCAAGCCTATAGGGGAAAACATGCAGCTGTCCAGGTCACTTTATATTTCTCAGTCAGGACAGAAAAAGAAGTGAGGGAAACTGGGGGACCGTGCACTGTAATAGCAGAGAAGAAAGAACAGAATTAGAAGTGATAGATTAGATGTAAGGAGTGAGCAAAAGTCTAGATGTTAAGTTTGGGGATTGGGGAATTAGATAGGTGGTGATTGCTATTGTTTGGATATGGTTTGTTTATCCCCCACCAAATCTCATGTTGAAATTTGATCCCCAGTGTGACAGAGATAGGTGAAGAGGCCTAGTGGGAGGTATTTGGATTATGGGGTGGATCCTTTATGAATTGCTTGGTGCCTTTCTAGTGGTAGTGAGTGAGTTCTAGCTCTCACAAGACTAGATTGGTTCTCTGGGGAATGGATTAGTTCCCAGAAAGTAGGTTATTATAAAGCCAATACGGGTCGGGCACGTTGTTTCATGTCTATAATCCCAACATGTTGGGAGGCCAAGGCAGGAGAATCGCTTGAACCTGGGAAGTGGAGGTTGCACTGAGCCAAAATCACACCATTGCACTCTAGCCTGAGCAACAAGGGCAAAACTGTCTCAAAAAAAAAAAAAAAAAAGTTAGCCAGATGTGGTGGCATGCTCTTGTAGTCCCAGCTACTTGAAAGGCTGAGGTGGGAGGATGGCTTGAGTCCAGGAGGTGAAGGCTGCAATGAGCCGACATCATATCACTGCACTCCAGCCTGGCTGACAGAACCAGACCCTGTCTCAAATAAATAAATAAAACAAAATTAGCTGGGTGTGGTGGTATGTGCCTATAGTCCCAGCTACTTTGGAGGCTGAGGTGGGAGGATCGCTTCAGCCCAGGAGGTTGGAAGCTAGAGTTAGCTGAGATTGCAACACTGCACTCCAGCCTGATGACAGTGAGACCTCTCTCAATCAATCAGTCAATGAATCAATTAATCAGTGGTGTTGGGAAAACTGGATATCCAAATACAGGATGAAATTAGACCTTCATCTCACATGATATTAAAAAATCAACTCAAAATGGATTAAGAACTTAAACATAAGACCTGAAATGGTAAAACTACTGGAAGAAAACATACGCTTAGCCAGACATGGTAGTGTGCACCTGTAATCCCAGCTAATCGGGAAGCTGAGGCAGGAAGTTCACTTGAACCTGGGAGGTAGAGGTGGCAGTGAGTTGAGATTTGCCACTGCACTCCAGTCTGGGCAACAGAGCAAGATAAAAAAAGAAGAAAGAAAGAAAAGAAAGAAGGAAGGAAGGAAGGAAGGAAGGAAGGAAGGAAGGAAGGAAGGAAGGAAGGAAGGAAGGAAAGAAAGGCAGGCAGGAAAGCAAAACATACAAGACAAGCTCTTCGACATTCGATATAGTTTGGATGTTTGTCCCCTCCAAATCTCATATGAAATGTAATCCCCAATGCTGCAGTGGGGCCTGGAATATGGGGGTGGATCCCTCATGAATGGCTTAGCACCATATCCTTGCTGATGTGTGAGTTATTGCTCTGAGTTCATGGGAGAACCGGTTGTTTAGAAGAGCGTGGCACCATCCCCTCTCTCTCCTGCTCCCTTTCTCACCATGTGATATGCTTCTCCCCTTCACCTTCACCATGATTGTAAGCTCCCTGAGGCCCTCACCAGAAGCAGATGCCAGCACCATGCTTCCGGTACAGCCTGCAGAACCATGAGCCAAAATAAACATCTTTTCTTTATAAATTACCCAGCCTCAGGTATTTCTTTATAACAACGCAAGAACAGGCTAACACAAAATTAGTCTGTGCAATTATTTTCTTGGATATGACTCGAAAACACAGACAACAAGAGCAAAAGTAGACAAATGAGATTACATCAAACTAAAAAGCTTTTGCACATAAATGGAAATAACTGGGTGAAGAAACAGCCTACAGAATGAGAGAAAATATTTGCAAACCGTATATCTGATAAGGGGTTATTTCTGAAATATATAAATAACTCAAACAACACCATTATAAGAAAACAATCTAACTAAAAAATGGGCAAAGATATTTCATAAAAATAGATTTTCTTAGAGGATGACATACAAATGGCCAACGGGTGTATGAAACAATGCTCAGCATCACTAATGATCAGGAAAATGCAAATCAAAACAGCGATGAGATATCACCTAACACCTGTTGTAATGGCTATCATCAAAAAGACAAAAGATACAAGCAGCAAGGATGTGGAGTAAACAAAACCCTTGTATGCTGTTGGTAGGAATATAAATTAGTACAGCCATTATGGAAAACAGTATGGAGTTTTCTCAAAAAGTTAAAAATAAAGCTAACTTATAAACCAGCAATTCCACTTCTGAGTATACACCTGAAGGATGTGAAATCAGTATGTCAAAGAGATATCTGCACTCTCATGTTCATTGCAGCATCATTCACAATAGCCAAGACATGAAGCCAACTTAAGTGTCCATTAGCAGATGAATGACTAAAGAAAACATGGTATATGTACACAGTGCAACAGTATTCAGCCTTTCCAAAGAAGGAAATCCAGGCTGGGCACGGTGGCTCACGCCTGCAATCCCAGAACTTTGGGAGGCCAGTGGGTGTGGATCACCTGAGGTCAGGAGTTTGAGAGCAGCCTGATCAACATGGTGAAACCCCATCTCTAATAAAAATAAAAAAATTAGCCTATAGAAAATGATCCTATCAATTTCGAGTGTGTAACCACTAAGGATAGAATGGCTAAAGGTAAGAACTGTATATATGATATAAAGAAAAGATAGCTTCAAAATATTGGTAAACTTTAAAAAGTAATTTTAATTTTGCAAACATGAATCATTCCAAGGAGGGAAGAAAGCAGGAGGTCCCTAAAGAAACCATATGTAGGCCCAGAGCAGTGGCTCATACCTGTGATCCCAGCACTTTGGGAGGCCGAGGCGAATGGATCACAAGGTCAAGAGATCAAGACCATCCTGGCCAACATGGTGAAACCCTATCTGTACTAAAAATAAAAAAAATTAGCTGGGAGTGATGGCACGCACCTGCAATCTCAGCTACTCGGGAGGCTGAGGCAGGAGAATTGCTTGAACCCAGGAGGCGGAGGTTGCAGTGAGCCGAGATCGTGCCATTGCACTCCAGCTCTGGGCGACAGAGCAAGACTCTTGTCGTGGAAAAAAAAAAGATGAGGTCTTTCTCCATCACCCATGCTACAGTGCAGCAGTGGAATCATGGCCCACTGCAGTCTCTACCCTCCCGGGCTCAAGCTATTCTCTTGCCTCAGCCTCCTAAGTAGCTGTGTCTACAGGTGCACACCACTATGCTTGGCTAAGTTTTGTAAATTTTTTTAGAGGTGGGATTTCACCACGTTGTGCAGGCTGGTCTTGAACTCCTGGGCCCAAGTGATTCTCCCACCTTGGCCTCCCAAACTGCTGGGGCTACAGGCATGAGCCACCGTGCCCAGCCCACATAGTTTCTTAAAAAAAAAAATCATACCTTTGGTCTATAAAAAAAAAATACATATGGTTTCTTTTCTTTTTCTTTTCCTTTTTTTTTCTTTTTTTTTTTTTTTTTGAGTTGGAGTCTTGCTCTGTCGCCAGGTTGGAGTGCAGTGGCACAGTCTCGACTTGCTGCAACCTCCGCCTCCTGGGTTCAAGCGATTCTCCTGCCTCAGCCTCCTGAGTAGCTGGGATTGCCGGTGAGCGCCACCACACCCAGCTAATTTTTGTATTTTTAGTAGAGATGGGGTTTCAGTATGTTGGCCAGGATGGTCTGGATCTCCTGACCTTGTGATCCGCCCACCTCAGCCTCCCAAAGTGCTGAGATTACAGGAGTGAGCCACCGCACCTGAACTACATATGGCTTCTTTAGGGACCTCCTGCTTTCTTCCTCCTTGGAATGATTTATGTTTGCAAAATTAAAATTACACTTTTTAAAGTTTCCCAATACTGGGCCAGGTGTCGTGGCTCACTCCTGTAATCCCAGCACGTTGGGAGGCTGAGGCGGATGGATCACCTGAGGTCAGGAGTTCGAGACCAGCTAGACCAACATGGAGAAACCCCATCTCTACTAAACATACAAAGTTAGCCAGGCGTGGTGGCGCATGCCTGTAATTCCAGCTACACAGGAGGCGGAGGCAAGGGAATCTCTTGAACACGAGAGGTGGAGGTTGCAGTGAGCTGAGATTGAGCCATTATACTCCAGCCTGGGCAACAAGAGAGAAACTCCACCTCAAAATAAATAAATAAATAAAAGTTTACCAATACTTTGAAACCATCTTTTCTTTATATCATATATATAGTTCTTATCTTTAGCCATTGTACCCCTAGTGGTTACACACTCAAAATTGATAAGATCGTTTTCTCCTGGGTTGTCATCACTTTCTGGTAATCATTTGCTCTTATTGATGACTTGGTTGTACCTTTGAAGCAAGGCCCATGGTTAAAGTTCATGTCGTTTCTTCTAGCCCTTGTTCCATTCTGATAGATAGGTGTTAAGAATGGACCCAAGCAAGTCTGGGTACGGTGGCTCACGCCTGTAATCCCAGCACTTTCAGAGGCCGAGACAGGTGGATCATGAGGTCAGGAGTTCAAGACCAGCCTGACCAACATAGTGAAACCCCATCTCTACCGAAAATATAAAAATTAGCTGGGTGCGGTGGTGGGCGCCTGTAATCCCAGCTACTCAGGAGGCTGAGGCAGGAGAATTGCTTGAACCCAGGAGGCAGAGGTTGCAGTCAGTTGCGCCACTGCACCCCGGCCTGGGCGACAGAGCAAGACTCTGTTTAAAAAAATAAAATAAAATAATGAACTCAACTCAATTTGGCCATTTGCAATTACTGAGTTCTTTTTTGCCATAAGTAGCCATATATATTTAGGGGTATAGGAGGGATGTAAGGATCTTAGCCACAACTTTGCTAACGGATTTATAAAGAGAGCAAATCTCAGACTAAATTCTGCTACATATGCAGACATTTGTTAGCAAACTGGCATGAAACAGAGAAACAAAAATTACAAACTTGTTTTGTAAGCTCAATGAAGGCCCAACTTTGTCCTTCAAATGTGCTCATCACGACTTGCACGAAAAGTTCATTGTAACCAACACAACAGAGATGAATTCAGTTACTTTATAGATGACAGGCAATAGGAATTCTCCAAATTAGTGGCTGATATGGTTTGGGTTTGTGTCCCTGCCCAAATCTCATGTTGAGTTGTCATCCCCAATGTTGAAGGAGAAGCTTAGTGGGAGGTGACTGGATCATGGGGTTGGATTTCCCCTTATTTTCTTCTGATAGTGAGTGAGTTCTCATGAGATCTGGTTGTTTAAACGTGTGTAGCACCTCCCCCTTCGCCCTTTTCCTCCTTCTTCAGCCATGTAAGACATGCCTGCTTCCCCTTCTCCTTCTGCCAGGATTGTAAATTTCCTGAGGCCTCCCAGCCATGCTTCCTATACAGTCTGCAGAACTGTGAGTCAGTTAAACCTTTTTTCTTTATGGGGGGTTGAGTGAGAAAATTAACTTATGCCTTAAAACTTTTTATAATTTTATTTCATGGAATGGAATTAAATTACCCAGTCTAAGGTAGTTCTGTATAGCAATGTGAGAATGGACTAATATAGGGGTGGAATACAAACTTTATCAGAATAAAGCTTCATACCACTCCAAAGATGACCCTTTTAATGCAAAGGTGAGGATTGTTTCTGTATTTCTGCTTATTGACACAACTTTCTATATATATCTACACTTACATCTTGAACACCACTAATTTCATCAACAAAACCTATTTCTAGCATCCCAAATGCTAATTACAAAACTCTGTGTTGATCAGAGCTAAAGTGGATGTTGTAGTCACCTTTGGAATTTGGCCTTTTTTTGTTTTTTTGTTTTTTTGTTTTTTGAGACAGGAATGTGGCCTTTCATTAAATGTTAGCTAACTATTGCTGAAACACATATTCCTAATTAGGACACAAACCAGTCTTAGAGTGTAGATTTAAACAAACACACACACTGATATCACATTGTTTATGCTAGAAACTGGCATTTGGGAAAAAAAAAAAACTACAGTCAACTTAGAATGGGTCATAAGCAAAGCCCCAGTTCATTTGTCTGCCTGCATGACTTGCATTGCATTGTTCCCAAGATGACACCAGGAGGAATTTTGTAAATAATAAAATGATACTTTTATTTCCTTATTGTGCTTAGTGTACTTGTTTCTGAAAGTGACAGTGTGAGAAAATCCTAAGCAGAGAAGTAAGACAGAAGTGAGGGGGAATCCTAACCAGTGGTGACAGCAAAAAAGGTGACAACGTCAGAGATGGATTGGGGCCCCTAAGGCAGAAGTCGGTTTCTCAACTTAGTCCAGGCATTGGTCAGTCCAGGATTAGATGTCCTCACAAGTACGCTTTCTGGTAATAGGCATCATTTCCCCCACTCATCTTTCAGTCCCTCTTCACAGGAAAATCAAGACTTTACAATGGACATGGAGTACCATAGTTCACACAAATAAAACTATGCTAAAAATACGTGGAAGAAGAAGGCTGGGCACAGTGGCTCATGCCTGTAATCCTAGCACTTTGGGAGGCCAAGGTGGGCAGATCACCTGAGGTTAGGAGTTTGAGACCAGCCTGGCCAAACCCCATCTCTACTAAAAATACAAAAATTAGCTGAGTCAGGTGGCATGTGCCTATGATCCCAGCTACTCCAGAGGCTGAGGCAGGAGAATTGCTTGAACCTGGGAGGCGGAGGTTGCAGTGAGCCAAGATCACGCCACTGCACTCCAGCCTGGGCAACAGAATGAGACTCCATCTCAAAAAAATATATATATGTATAATATATATATATTTATATATAAATATTTTATATATATTATATATAATATATACTATATATTATATATAATATATAGTATATAATATATAGTATATAATATATATTTATATAATATATAGTATATATTATATATATATTTATATAATATATGATATATTATATATATAATTATTATTTTTATATTATATTATTATATTATATATTATATATATTTTATATATATATTTAAATATATATATTTTATATATATATTTAAATATATATAATATATTTTATATATATATTTAATATATATATTTAATATATTTAATATATATATGCAATTATTTTCAGCGAACCCTAAGGGAGCTCTTTTTAAAACAAAACTATCTTGATAACAAAGCCACACAAATTTTTATCTTATTAATAAAGAAAGTCTGCTTCTGGTAACTTTTGTACCTTGAACAGGAAACTGGGCGGGGGGATTAGAAAATTGACTTATGCCATAAAACATTTTATAATTTTATTTTGTGGAATGCAATTAATTCCCACAAATTTTTATTGATTCTGTGCATGAAGCCATTTATGCTTCTAATCAGGAATTGGAGAAATAGCATATTTTTTGGCTGTTTAGTGTCAAGGTCATTTGAAATTACATTTTGCAAGCAATTTTTCAGAAGAACTACTCAATATATTTGCTTTAAAAATGTAAGTATATGACTTTAATAAAAACTCATGTGTGACTTTAATGGCTTCATTAATTTTCCATCAGTGATGTGATTTATTGATTTTTCCATTATAAGGATTTGTGCTTACTATTCTCTAAAATCTATGTTTAAAAATAATGTTTCGTTACATAAAGATGACATTTATTTTTTATAAACTAGATATGTGAAGCTGATTTTATTTTTTAACTAAATCATTGTCTAAAACTGCTGAGCAAAAAGTGATATGGGGATTATTTAGCAGTGTTTTTCCTATTTAAAAACTTCTATTTTGTCGAGCACAGTGGCTCACGCCTGTAATCCCAACATTTTGGGAGGCCAAGGGGGGTGGATCACTTGAGGTCAGGAGTTCGAGACCAGTCTGGCCATCATGGTGAAACCCTGTCTCCACTAATAATACAAAAATTAGCCAGCATGGTGGCAGGCGCCTGTAATCTCAGCTATTAGGGAGGCTGAGGCAGGAGAATCACTTGAACCCATGAGGCAGAGGTTGCACTGAGCCAAGATGGTGCCACTGCACTCCAGACTGGGCAACAGAGTGAAACTCTGTCTCAATTAAAAAAAAAAATATATATATATATATATTATATATATATATATTTAATCAAAGTGACATGCTTTCATCAGAGAAAATGTGGAAATACAGAAAGAATAAATAAGTTATACTACTTGAGTTAGCAATGAACACCAAATCTGAGTAGATTAAGCAGAAGGGAGTTTACAGGAAGGATATTAGAGGACATAGAACCCAGGATCTGCTGGGGACCCAGGGTGAGAGTGAACTGATGCCAGTGTTGTGTGGGAATGGCTGGCTACAAGAACCATAGCAACAGAAACTACATCATCAGAAAAACCCATCAGCAGTGCAATGAAGATTCCTTGCAGTAAATATCTTTGACCATACTTACAGCCTTGGGACGTTAGATCAAGATTCAAAATGCTAGGAAAATACTTAATTATCCAAATCATAGGTCATGTGCTCATAACACTGGCTGTACCAGGGAGAGGAAAATGGTGAATCTGATCCCTTCAGCTTTTGTTGTGGCACTGCTCCCACCAACACTACCTACAATGGGTATTCTCTACCAGGAAAATGGGGATTCTCCACCAGGAAGATGGGTATACTGACAAGAAAGCTGGCATTGGATTGGATACTAGAAATTATCCAATTCCCACCCCAAAAAGACAAAATCCCCTAGAGACATGTTAAAAAGTGTCATACCTAAGCTTACCACTCAAAGAAAACTTAATTATTTGGTAACTTTCTTTTTAGGGCTTTTCTATGAATTTTTCTTCTACATACATAGCTTAGATCATGGAATCCAAATACAATTTTTAAAAATCCTACTTCCTTCAAACACCAATGTAGCATAAGCATTTATTTTTCATGGGATTAAAATGTTGATAGTCATTGTTAATAGTCAAATAATTATCCATAACACATATAATAGTAAACTTAAAGCGTTTACCTACTGTTGGAAATTTAGATTGTTTCTTTTTTTCTTTTTTTTTTTGTTTGTTGAGACAGAGTCTCATTCTGTCACCCAGGCTAGAGTGCAGTGGCACGATCTTGGCTCACTGAAATCTCTGCTTCCTGGGTTCAAGCAATTCTTCTGCTTCAGCCTCCTGAGTAGCTGAGATTACAGGCGCCTGCCACCATGCCTGGCTGATTTTTGTGTTTTTAGTAGAGACGGGGTTTCACCATGTTGGCCAGGCTGGTCTTGAACTCCTTACCTCAAGTGATTTGCCCATCTTGGCCTCCCAAAGTGTTGGGATTACAGGTGTTAGCCACTGGGCCTGGCTGGGAATTTAGATTGTTTCTAAGGAAAAATACCTCTGTAGTTATTGGCACAGGAGTTGCAGATCAATTTTTTCAATTGACTATTCGTTGTCTAGTGAATCAGATTCAAGCCCAGCTTCACGGTTGTGTCTCAGTTCGGGCTGCCATGACAAACATACCACAGACTTGGTGGACTAAACAGCAAACATTTCTCACAGTGCTAGAAGCTGGAAGTCCAAGATCAGGGTGCCTGCAGACCTTTGTCTGGTGAGGACCCACTTCCTGGTTGGCAGATGGTGGTCTTCTCACTGTATCCTCACAGGGCGGAGACAGAAATCACCTCTCTCATATTTCTTCTTATAAGGGCACTAATTCCATTCATGAGGGCTCCACCATTATGACCTAATTACCTCCCAAAGACCCCACCTCTTACTACCATCACCTCAAGGATTAGGATTTCAACATATTAGTTTGGGGGGAACAAAAACATTCTGCTCATAACAGCATGCAACCAAAGCAGTTGCACAGGGCCTGGTCAGAAGGGTGCCACACTTGGGGCTTGTTAAGTTAAATTTAGCCTAACGCTGCCTCTATACATATTTGAAAGGTTTCTCCCTACATAGCAGACTGTAACCTAACTGGATGTATAAACAGACTGTAACATATTCTTCTTCCAACCACTGAGTTTTGGCCAATCAAAGGTGGCCAACTGTTCAAACTGGGTTCACATAAGGCAAAGGCAAAGCTGTAACCAGTCTGGCTACTTCTGTACCTCTCTTCCATTATCTGTATATCACTTCTTTTCCTGTCCACAAATCTTCTTTGACTATGCAGTAGCACTGGAGTCTCTTTAAATCTGCTGTGATTCTGGAGGCTACCTGATTAATGAATCAATCTTTGCTCAATTAAACTTTGACAAATTAAATTTGCCTAGGATTCTTCTTTTAACAGTTGGTGTCGGAAGTGGGATTCAAAGTAGAGCTTCTCTCAACCCTCAGGAGAACTGAGTGACCAAACAAGGTACCTGCCAGACTCATTCTGTCCTCCCTCTAGAAACACCTGGGTAAGTTCTCAGATTCTGAAGCTCCATGAATTTGTGTTTTGAGCTATCCAAGTTTGAGCTGAAAATTTTTTTTTATCTGAACTGGGTTCAGAAGTCACAACAAAAATTGGGCCATGTCCAGGTGTTACCAGAAAGGGGTCCTGATCCAGACCCCAAGAGAGGGTTCTTGGATCTCACACAAGAAAGAATTCAGGGTGAGTCTATAGAGTAAAGTGAAAGCAAGTTTATTAGGAAAGTAAAGGAATAAAGAATGGCTCCTCCATAGACAGAGCAGTGGCATGGGCTGCTTGACTGAGTATACTTATAGTTATTTCTTGACTATATGTTAAACAAGGGGTGGATTATTCATGATTTTTCTAGGAAAGAGGTAGGCAATCCCAGGAACTGAGGGTTCCTCCCCTTTTAGACCATATAGGGTAACTTCCAGATGTTGCCATGGCATTCGTAAACTGTCATGGTGCTGGTGGGAGTGTCTTTTAGCATGCTAATGTATCATAATTAGCATATAATGAGTAGTGAGGATGACCAGAAGTCACTTTCATCACTATCTTGGTTTTGCTGGGTTTTGGCCAGCTTCTTTACCACAACCTGTTTTATCAGCAATATGTTTTGCACCTAGGACAGTATGTACAAAGGCCCCAGAGTGACAGAAGTGAGGCCAATTCCATTAAATGAAGGAAGGTGAGTGTGAAGTTGAAGCACCAGGGTGGGAAGAGAGACAAGAATTGAGCATGGAGAGGTTACACCACGTAAACATTTTTTTTTGGGGATTTGGCATTCGGCAGTGCATTTTTTTTTTTTTTGACAGAGTCCAGGCTGGAGTGCAGTGGCGTGATTGCATCTTGGCTCAATGCAAGCTCCGCCTCCTGGGTTCACGCCATTCTCCTGCCTCAGCCTCCCAAGTAGCTGGGACTACAGGTGCCCGCCACCATGCCCAGCTGATTTTTTTGTATTTTTACTAAAGATAGGGTTTCACCATGTTAGCCAGGATGGTCTTGATCTTCTGACCTCATGATCCGCCTTCCTCAGCCTCTTAAAGTGCTGGGATTACAGGTGTGAGCCACCATGCCCGGCCGGCAGTGCATCTTTTAAGCATTACATCTGTGAACATGTTTCCTGAAAAAAAAAAAAAAAAAAAAAACCAGAAAACAAAAGAATAGAAAAGAAACAAAGTCTCAAATCAAAGACCCCAGCCTCCACCTTAAAAAAACTAGAAAAAAAAAGAGGGCAAATAAAACTTATACAGAAGAATGGAAATAATAAAGATCAGAGTGAATATTAATGAAAACAAAACAGAAGAAAATTAAAAATCAACGTAATAATAGCTAGTTCAGTAAAAGAGTTCAATGCAATTGATAAAACTCTAGCAAGAAGTCCATTAGAGGTTCTGGTTAGCGCAATAAAGCAAGAGAAAGAAATTAAAAGGTCTCTAGCTGTAAAGAAAAAATTAAAACTATCTTTATTCATAGAGAACATGATTATCTATGAGCAAAATCCTATGGAATCTACAAAATGGAGCTAATAGCACTAATAAGTAAGCTTAGCAGGGTTGCAAGATAAAATAGAAACATATAAAAATCATTTTTTTTTCTAAGACGGAATCTCGATGTGTGCCCCAGGCTGGAGGGCAGTGGTGTGATCTCAGATCACTGCAAGTTCCCTTTCCTGAGTTCAAGCAATTCTCCTGCCTCAGCCTCCTGAATAGCTGGGATTACAGGTGCATACCACCATGCTGAGCTAATTTTTTTGTATTTTTAGTAGAGACAGAGTTTCACAACGTTGGCCAGGCTGGTCTTGAACTCCTGACCTCAAATGATCCTCCCACTTCAGCCTCCCAAAGTGCTGGGATTACAGGGGTGAGCCACTGTGCCCAGCCTCAAGTGTATTTCTATATAGTAGCAACATTAAATTAGAAATTGAAATTTAGGCAGGGTGCAGTGGCTCACACCTGTAATCCCAGCACTTTGGGAGGCCGAGGCATGCAGATCACGAGGTCAGGAGATCGAGACCATTTTGGCCAATATGGTGAAACCCCGTCTCTACTAAAATACAAACAATTAGTTGGGTGTGGTGGCACGTGGTTGTAATCCCAGCTACTTGGGAGGCTGAGGCAGGGGAATCACTTGAACCCAGGAGGTGGAGGTTGCAGTGAGCTGAGATCACGCCACTGTACTCCAGCCTGGTGACAGAGCAAGACTCCATCTCAAAAAAAAAAAAGAATTGAAATTAAAAACCAAACCATTTAAAATTACACGAAAATATAAACTAATTAGGAATAAATTGGATAAACAATATGTAAAGTCTGAGTGCCTGAAGACTATAGAACATTGTTAAGAGAGATTTAAAAGGCCTTAAAACTCAAAGATATATACCATGTTAATAGATGAAAAGACTTGATATTTTTAAGATGTTACTTCTCCCCAAATTGATTTACAGATTTAATGCAGTCTGAACCCAAATCCCAGTGGATCTGTTTTATAGAAATTGACAAATTGATTTTAAAATTCTTATGGAAATGCAAAGGACCTAGAATAGCCTACATGACTTGGAAAAGAATGATATAAAAGGATTCATATTACTTGACTTCCAGAGTTTATTATAGAGCTACAGTAGTCAAGAAAATGAGAAATTGCATACGATGGATAAATCAATAAAACAGATAGAGATTCCATAAAAAGGCCCATGCATATATGGTCAATTGGTTTTGATGGTTTCAAGGACAATTTAATGGAAAATAAATAATCTTTTCAACAAGTGGTACTGAAACAGTTGGATATCCATATGCAAAAAAAGTAAAATCCATAATTTGCAACATATACCAAAAAAGCTCAAAATAGATTATAGACAAAATATAAGCCCTCCAAATACAAAACTTCTGAAAGAAAATATAGGAGAAATTTTTATTTTATTTTGGTATAGGCAAAACTTTTATAGATTCAACAGCAAAAACATGATTCTAAAATAAAACAATTGATAAGTTAGATTTCATCAAAATTAAGAGATTGGTTTTTTAAAAATGGATACATAATAGATGTGCACATTTTCAGGGTACTCATGATAATTTAATACATTCACATAAAGTGTAAAGGTCAAATCAGTATATTTAAGACACCTATCACTTTAAATATTTGCCATTTATTTATTAGAGGCAGGGTCTTACTATGCTGCCCAGGCTGGACTCAAACCCTTGGGCTCAAATGATCTTCCCACTTCAGCTTCCCAAGTAGCTGGGGACTACAGGTGTGCACACTGTGCCCAGCTCTGTCTTTTCTTTGTGTTAGAAATATTTGAGTTATTTCTTCTTTTCTTTTCTTAGTCTATGCTGGGAGGAAATTTTTGACTTATTTCGTTTTAGCTATTTTGAAATGTGCAATAGATTATTGTAAACTATAGTCACTCTACTGATCTATCGAACACTAGGTCATATTTTTTCTGTGTGTTTGTACCCATTAATCAACCTCTCTTTATCTCCCCTTTCCCCCTACAAGAAATTCTGTTCTTTGAATTTCTTGACACTGTTAACAGAATGAAAAGGCAAGCTACAGCCTGGCATAAAATATTTGTAAATCACATATTTGATCTAGAATGTGTATCCAGAATATATAAAGAACTCTCTGAACCCAATAATAAAAGAATAACCAATGTTTTTCGAATGGGCAAAAAATTTTAATGGACACTTCACCAAAGAAGTTATATGAATGGCAAATAAATACATGAAAAGATACTTGTCGTCATTGGTCATGAGAAAAGTGAAAATTAAAGTCACAATGAGTTATACTGCTACACATCTGTTAAAACATCTAAACTTGAAAACAGCAAGTGCTGGCAAGGATGTGGAGCCTCTGGAATTCTCATATATTGCTGGTAGAAGGGTATATAATAATATGGTAAGAGTTTGATAGTTTCTGAATATTTTAAATATACAACACCATATGACCCAGCCATTTCACTCTTAGGTATATGCCAAGAATAAATGAAAACATATTAACATATACAAACAAATATTTGTATAGAAATAAAAAAGATTATAATGACTTTATTTGTAATAGCCTCAAATTATAAGCATCCAAAGTATCTATCAATAGATGGATATGTAAGTAAATTGGCATGCCATACAATGGAAGACTATTCACCAATAAAAAGGACTATTGATACGTACAAAACATAGATGAATCTCAAAATAATACTTATTTTAAAATTTTTCTTTCTCCCTCTTTTCAAAGGCATTGACAAAATAATTTTGTGGAATGAAAGTCTGCCGAAAAGAGTACATACATTGTGATTTCATTCCTCTTAGATTCTAGAAATTTTTATTTGTTTGTTTTTGTTTTTGTTTTGAGATGGAGTCTTGCTCTGTCGCCCAGGCTGGAGTACAGTAGTGTGATCTCGGCTCACTGCCACGTCCACCTCCCAGGTTCAAGTGATTCTCCTGCTTCAGCCTTTCGAGTAACTGGGATTACAGGCGCTCACCACCATGCCTGGCTAAGTTTTGTATTTTTAATAGAGACAGGGTTTCACCATGTTGGCCAGGCTGGTCTGCCAGCCTTGGCCTCCCAAGCTGTTGGGATTAAAGGCGTGAGCCACCATGCCTGGCCTAGAAAATGTTAACTAATATATAGTGACACAAGGAAATCAAGCCAGTTGTGGTAGCGCACACCTGTAATTCCAACAGTTTGGGAGGCCAAGGAGGGATGATCCCTTAAGCCCAGGAGTTTGAGATCAGCCTGGCAACATAGCAAGATAGCGAGACCTGGTTTCTAAAAAAAAAAAAAAAAAAAAAAAAGGCCAGGTGCAATGGTTCACGCCTGTAATCCCAGGACTCTGGGAGGCCGAGGCAAGTGGACCACTTGAGGCCAGGAGTTTGAGACCAGCCTGGGCAACATGATGAAACCTTGTCTCCACCAAAAACTACAAAAATTAGCCAGGCGTGGTGGCATGTGCCTGTAGTCCCCAGCTATTGGGGATGCTGAGGCAGGAGAATCTCTTGAACCTGGGAGGCAGAGGTTGCAGTGAGCCAAGATGGCGCCACTGCACTCCAATCTGGGCAACAAAGCAAGACTCCATCTCAAACCACCCCCTACAAACTAATAATAATAATAATAATCAGGTGTGGTGGTGTGCGCCTGTAGTTGCAGCTACTCAGGAGTCGAAGGTGGGAAGATCACTTGAGCCCAGGAGTTTAAGGGTTCAGTGAGCTATTATTGCACCACCGCACTCCAGCCTGGGTGACAGAGTGAGACCTTGTCTCTAAAATAAATAAAATAAAATAAATCATAGACTTTAAAATACATGCAGTTTATTATACAGTTTTATTAACTCTATGAAGTGAAGTTTGGTCCATCTTATCAGCTTCATACCTTCCAAAAAATTCCTCAAAGTGTCTGGTCCATCCATGGCACCTGATATTGGTTAGGCTTTGTGTCCTGTGCTGTTCTCCTGATAGTGAGTGAGTTCTCTCAAGTTCTAATAGTTTTGTAAGGGGCTCTTTCCCCTTCGCTCGGCATTTCTCTCTCCTACCACCTTGTGAAGAAGGTGACTTGCTTCCCCTCCACCTTTCACCATGATTATAAGTTTCCTGAGGTCTCCCCAGCCATGCTGAACTGTGAGTCAATTAAACCTCTTTTGTTTCTAAATTACTCAGTCTTGGGCAGTTCTTTACAGCAGTGTGAGAATGGTCTAATACAGCATCATCCCTGTTTTCCATTTCAAACTGGAAGCCAGATGCTAGATTTTACATTCACCTGAGCTAGAGATCCCTGTACAGGATTCTCCAGAAACTAAATTCTTCATGTAATATGTTTATATTGAGTTGTGGAAGATGTAAAGTTAGGCAACCATATGTGTGTTTGTGTATATATAAGATAATACATTTATTTATTTATTTATTTATTTTAACTTTAAGTTCAGGGGTGCAGGTGCAGATTTGTTCCATAGGAAAACTTGTGTCTTGTGGGTTTGTTGCACAGATTATTTCATCACCCAGGTATTAAGCCTAGTACCCATTAGTTGTTTTTCCTGATCCTCTCTCTCCTCCCACTCTCTACCCTCCGGTAGGCCCCAGTGTGTGTTGTTCCTCTCTATGTGTCCCTGTGTTCTCGTTATTTAGCTCCCACTTATAAGTGAGAACATGCATATTTGGTTTTCTGTTCCTGCAATAGTTTGCTAAGGATAATGGCTCTAGCTTCATCATGGTCCCTGCAAAGGACATGATCTCATTCTTTTTTATGGCTGCATTAGTATTCCATGGTGTATATGTACCACATTTTCTTTATCATTGATGGGCATTTAGGTTGATTCCATATCTTTGCTATTGCAAATAGTGCTGCAATAAACATACACATGTATGTGTCTTTATAATAGAACAACTTGTATTCCTTCAGGTATATACCCAGTAATAGAATTGCTAGGTCAAACAGTATTTCTGTTTTTAGGCCTTTGAGGAATTGCCACATTGTTTTCCACAATGACAACCATATTTAAGATATATAAGCTCTAGAGTTTAAAAACCTAGAGCTAAGGTTTCTAGCTCTAGGTGTCCAGCACTGGGTCTTTCTGCTTTCATGTGTGTTTTATGAAAAGGCTGTATATGCAAATTGACCTCCAAACATAGAAGGAGCCAGTAAACCAAAGAAGGAGGCAGACAAATCCCACTTGTTATAAGGTGATTTCATTTGGGAACTTAGGGACAGAAGCATGGTCTTAAGAAGCTGTGAAACAGGTAGATCTCCACACCATTATCCCCCAGAACCAGGGATTATACACCATGAAGAAAGGCAGGCGTATAATTTGATCAAAAGGCAGGATTTATGGTAGGCATATGTTCTTACACAAAGAACAATAGATAAAATGGAAATTTGAGAGGCATTCCAGGGACCAGGGTTAATCAGAAGTCAACATGGTGGATTAGCTTCCAAGATGGAGTCACTTTAGCCTCCACACTATGACTCCTCCATCTATATTTCCCTTCCTGTTTATTTTGGGAAATGTCTCTCTGCTGACTTAATGTGTCCCCTCAGGAGTATGCTGCAGATGCTTGAGCAGTGAGCAGTAGCCTCCCTGTCCTAGGGTTATTGTTCTCATTTACTTTGTTGTAACATTCTACTGCAGTGAACATGTCCATTGTCTCTTGAACAAACTTTCTATTTCAGAGGACTATAAGGAAGAGAAAAATGCTGCATCACTACATGCCACAGGTGTTAGGCCTTGTACCTGAAGACTCATGGCCTTATACCTGAAGACCACCTATGGAGGTGGTCTTACTCCACATTAACAGGATGTTTCAGTTTGAGAAACCTCACCCTTGTTATCAGTTGATTTTGATTTATTCCCTTAGCTTGGCTAGGTCTCTAAAACTGAAGGAAATGAAAGATGAGTGAATCTGTATGAAACATGCAAGAACACTTTTTGAAGGTTCTCAATGATGAGATGGGCGTGAGGTGCTCAAATGGCATTTCAAGATGGGTGCTCATGCATGCAATCTGATGAGCTCTTGGTTATCTCCATGCATAACCATACAACTCTAGTTTCTTGTTTCTGGGATGGTAGGTGGTTGTGGACTGTATATGGGGACATTGAAAACATGGCAACAGCAGCAGCATGAGTGAGTATGAATAAGTGAGGGGAATTGTGAATAAGTGCTATGCACCCCAGATAAAATTAGCACAAGCAGGACAGAGTGGGAGGGGAGGATTTTTTTTTTTACTTTGGATATGCTTAGTCTTAGGGAGTGGATTCTTCCTCTATAGGCAGTTGGGAATGTGAGACTTGAGCTTATAAAAGAGAACAGAGCAGGAGATAAATTGGTTGTCAGTTGTCTAGTGCCTGGTGATGAGTAAAGCCATAATTGAATGAGATGTTTGGTTGGTGGGGAAAGTGGGAAGGGAGATATGGAATGAGAAAAACAGGAACCTCAGAACTATATTTTGACTTATTTGTAAGAACAAAAGATTAGAAACAACTTAAACCATCATCAATAGAGGACTTACTAAAAACAATTATGATACATTCACACAATGGAATACTGTGCAGTAGTAAAAAAGAATGAGGAAGTTCTTTCTGCATGTATATAGGATGATCTTAGAGTTACATTGTTATTTAAGAAAAGCAAGATGCTTAACAGGATGTACTGATGCTACTATGTGAAAAAAAGAGGAAAACAGCACATGCATATTGTACATTTGAATGTGTATATATACAGACGTACAATATGTAGGCATATGCATATACATATATAAAATGTCTCTGGAAGGAGCACAGTTGCTTTCAGGAGAGGCTGGGGTAAAAAGGGACTTTTCACAGAATATCCTTTGGTATCTTTGAGTTTTAAATGACATGAATGTGTGTATATATATTTAAATATTAAATAAATAAAAATTTTTAAAAGATTAAGCTTGCGTGTGCCTCTTGTCTTAGTCTGTTTGGGCTGCTATGACAAAATACTTTACACTGGGTGTTTATAAATAATAGAAATTTACTTCCCATGGTTCCAGAGGCTGGGAAGTTCAAGATCAAGGTACCAGCAGATTCAGCATCTATCAAGAGCCTGTTTCCTGGTTCATGTATGGTGCCATTTAGCTGTGTCCTCACATGGTGGAAGAGGTAAACAGCTCCCTTGCACGTCTTTTATAAGGGAGCTAATACCATTCATGAGGACTCTGCCCTCATGACTTAATCGCTCCCTAAATGCCCCACTTCTTAATATGATCATATTGATGATTAAGTTCCAACTTATAAGTTTGGGAGGGGACATATTCAGTCCATAGCACCTCTGTTCAAAGATGAGGGAATCTAGAGATCCACTGCACGGAGTAAGAAATATGAAGATAAGTGCAGTGAAGTGACTTAGAAGGGAGAGTCAGAGAGAGGAGGCAGTGGTGGTTGACCCTGTTGTTTGGAGTGATAAACGCTGTAGAAAGATCAAGCATGGGGATGATGAAGGAAAGGTCATGGTGAAGAGGTGAGGGTGAAGAAGAGAAAAGTGGCTGGGCGCAGTGGCTCACGCCTGTAATCCCAACACTTTGGGAGGCAGAGGTGGGTGGATCACTTGAGGTCAGGAGGTCGAGACCAGACTGTTTAACATGGTGAAACCCCATCTCTACTAAAAAAAAAAAAAAATTAGCCAGACATGGTGGTGGGCGCCTGTAGTCCCAGCTACTCAGGAGGCTGAGACAGGAGAATCACATAAACCTGGGAGCCGGAGGTTGCTGTGAGCCGAGATCACACCACTGCACTCCAGCCTGAGCGACAGAGCAAGATTCTGTCTCAAAAAAAAAAAAAAAAAAAAGAAGAAGAAAAGAGAGAGAGAGAGAGAGAGAAAAGCCATGTTCCCAAGGACATTATCTAAAAGGGAAAGACCAACAAACAAACAAAAAAATAAATAATTAATTAAAAATTAAAACAAAAAACCCACAAAAATCGGGAAAAAAGTCGGGGGGGAAAGGCCTGTTTACTTCATGGAGGAAAGAAAAGTCTATGAGCAATATCTTTTGCCTGGTTGTGTTAAATGTCTGTTTCCACCCTTATAGCTGTGGAGAAGAATGTGGTGAAGTGTTCTAGAAGGTAGCACCAAACCTACCCACTATGACCTCCTCAGCACATCCACATCTCTGTACCCACCAGGATCCCCTACAGCTCATCCCATAGTAGCCAGAAAAGTTCTGGACACATTTATAATCCTTAAGCACCCATTGGTGTTTTCTTGTGACAGATTTTTGTTTTGTTTAATTTTTTTTTTTTTGAGATAGAGTCTCACTGCAATGCCCAGGCTGGAGTGGAGCACAATGGTGCGATCTTGGCTCACTGCAACCTCCGCCTCCCAGGTTCAAGAGATTCTCCTGCCTCTGCCTCCCGAGTAGCTGGGATTACAAGCGCCTGCCACCAAACCCAGCTAATTTTTTTGTATTTTCAGTAGAGATGGGGTTTCACCATATTGGCCAGGCTGGTCTTGAACTCCTGACCTCAAGTGATCTGACCGCTTTGGCCTCCCAAAGTGCTGGGATTACAGGCATGAGCCACCATGCCTGGCCTGTTTTATTTTTGAAGTAGTGTCTTGCTCTATTGCCCAGGCTGGAGTGCGCTGGTGCAATCACAGCTCACTGCAGAGTCCCTCTTGGTCTCAAGTGATCTCCCAACAAGCCTCCCAAGTAGCTGGGAATACAGGTCCATGCCACTATGCCTGGCGAGTTTTTAAATTTTTTGTAGAGACAGGGTCTCACTCTATTGCCCAGGCTGGTCTTGAACTCCTGGGCTCAAAGGGTCCCCCCACTTTGCCCTCCCAAAGTGTTGGGATGACAGACGAGCCATCACACCCAGCCCTTGTGACAGCTTTGATTTTCATGTAAAGGTGTACCTGCTGTCTTCCTTTCTCCATATTTATTATACATGCACTATATGCACTATAATCCAAAAATCTTATTTTATTATAATTTAAACATCCCAGTAAATATTCAAGATTTTAGTATAATTGTTACTTAAAATTCATAGTACATAGCATTTTATGTGCATTTTGCACAAGTATATTACTATGGAGATTTTTAGCCCTGTGGCAATAAAAAATATTGCAAAAACCTCAGCTTCTATAATCTACATTCATAAATGATGGGTTCTCCACACAGAAAACTTTAAAATAACTAACATATAGTTTGCCAGACACTATTGTAAATGCACTACATATTTGATTCATTAAATCTCCTGAGCAGTCCTGTGAAGTAGAACTATTATCATTTCCATTATACAAGCTAAAAAACCAAGGCTCAGAAGGGTTTTGTACTTTGCTGAAGGTCATATACCCAGTAGGAGGAAGAGCCTGAATTTGAATCCAGGCAATCCGCCTTTGGAATCCACACTTTTAGCCATAAATGATACTGATTCTAAACTTAAAGTAGAAGTATGTCTTGCAGAGAATAAGTGAATAAATATAACTTTAGGAGGATTTGCATGTGTTCATGTTAAAAATAGTATAATAATTTTCATCCAATCACTATAAAACAATGCTATAGAATAGAATTGAACTTGTAAAAATGCATTTAATATATTCTTGTAACAAGTCAAAAATACAGAGATACATAAAGAAAAAGTTAATCATCTCCCTGCCAGTCCTCACTGCACTAAACTCCTCTCGAGGCAAGCTCTGTTTATGTCATGGAATGTCTACTTCCACATCACTGTTCAAGTTTCTACAAATATGTATACACATATATGATGTTTCTTCTTTGCTTCTTCTTTTCCTTTTCCTCCTTCCTTTCACAAAATGAGATTACACCATACATTTGCCATTCCAGTCCTTTGGTGCTGGGAAGTACATTTCACCATGATTTGATGACCAACTTCTTTGTAGAAATTCCCTCTTCTGATACTTGTGTTGGGCAGAAGTCAAGGACAAATGAGGCCTGCACACCTGACAACCTGGGCCTTCCAGCGGAAACTGACAGGGCTGAGATAATCCTGTGGCCATTGCTGTGGGGGCACTGTAACTGCACAGGAGAAGGGACATTGCTGTGACACTGTCGAAATGTGAAACCTCTGGAATTGTCCTCTTGGTACATTTTGTTTCCCCTATAATTGTTAACAGGAAAATCCATAAAACAAAGACACTTGTGTATTTACCCTTTGGAGCACGGTTCTCTGAGCTGAAAATGGGGTGCACGTTCAGGAAGCCAGCCCAATTTGTGGTGTCCAAGAATGGGCTGGAAGAAAACCGTCATAAGCTTGTCTTTTGATCAAATGAAAATACTTTTCATGTTTACTGATGATTGATAATTTTTCCTGCTTTTAAGATTCTCATTCTCATGACATTTAAGGAAAAGTGTGAAATTCAATTCTTAAGAGTAACTTATAACACATGCCTCAAGGCAAAGCCTCCTTGAACAGTGTTTATCTTCTTTACTGCTAGGAGTTGGAGGCGGCTACACTCTGTCAACCATCCTGTGAAGTAAAATATCAGAAGAGACACCAACATCACTGCCTTAAAGACAGTAGAACCCCAAGATTTCCTGGACTGGGCAGCCTCCTTATCCCCTTATCCAGGAAAGTTAACAGAAAAGACACGTTAAGAGAAGAAAATATTCTCTAATAATCTCTGCAGCAATTTTTTCCCCAATGTTTTCAGCTAAAAAAAATTGTTAAATGTAATCCTTTTTTTTTTTCATTTAGTTTCCTTCAAAGAATTTTCTTTCTATTCAAGTACTTGAAAATATCTATTTTTCTATTACTGGATCTCCCTATCACTATGACTTTGTAAAAAAAATTGGGTAAAATACACATAAAAATGTTAACATCTTGATCATTTTTAAGTATACAGTTCAGTAGTGTTAAATACATTTCACATTGTTGTGCAACCAATCTCCAGAATTTTTATCTTGTGAAGTTGAAATTCTGTACGTATTAGGTAACAACTTCCCATTTCCTCCTTCCCGCAGTCCCTGGCAACTACCATTCTACTTTCTGTTTCTATAAGTTAGGCTATTTTAGGCAGCATTTGTCTTTTTGTGACTGGCTTATTTTACTACAATGCCTTCAAGGTTCATCCATATTGTGGCATGTGATAAGATTTCCTTCCTTTTAATTTAATTTTTGATATAAGGTCTCACTCCATTCCCCAGCCTGGTCTCCAACTCCTGGGCTCAAGTGATCCTTGTGCCACAACCTCCCAAAGTGCTAAGATTTCAGCATGAGCCACAGCGTCTGGCCTCCTTCCTTTTTAAGGCTGAGTAATATTCCATTGCATGTTAATAGCACGTTAGGTTTACACATTCATCTGCCAATGTGTCCTAGGGTTATTTCTACCTTTTGTCTATTGAGAATAATACTGCTATAAATGTGGGTGTTCAGATATCTCTGTGAGACCCTGTTTTCTACTCTTTTGGGTATATACCCAGAAGCGGAATTGGATCACATAGTAACTCTATGTTTCATTTTTTTGATGATGCACCATGCTATTTCCCACAGTAACTGCACCATTTCACATTCCCACCAATAATACACAAGGGTTCCAATTTCTCTACATCCTCACCAACACTTGTTATTTTCTGGGTTTTTTAAAAATTTTATTTTGATAGCAGCCATCCTAATGGGTGTGAGGTGATATCTCATTATAGTTGTGATGTCTGCTGAGCATCTTTCCATGTTCTTATTGGCCATTTGTATACCTTATTTGGAGAAATGTCTACTCAAGACCTTGCCCATATAAAGACATACAAAGACCATGGGCAAGTATGACGACATAGTCAAGACCTTGTGCATTTGGAGATATTTCTCCAAAGAAACTATACAAAATTATATATATATATATATATATATATATTTTTTTTTTTTTTTTTTTTTTTTTTTTTTTTTTTTTTTTCCTGTCATCCAGGCTGGAATCCAGTGGCATGAGCTCAGCTCACTGCAGCCTCTACCACCCAGGCTCAAGCAAATCCTCCTACATCCCACCTCAGCCTCCCAAGTAGCTGGGACTACAGGCACGCACCACCACACCCTGCTAATTTTATTTTACTTTTTTTGTAGAGACAAAGTGTCTAAGTTTCACTATGTTGCCCAGGCTGGTCTCAGACTCCTGGGCTCAAGAGATCCTCCTGCCTTCCCTCTGAAAGTGCTGGGATTACAGGTGTGAACCACCACGCCCAGAGTTGTCCATGTCTTAATCAAATTGTTTGTGTTGTTGTTCTGTTGCTATTGCTGAGTTGTAGCAGTTCTTTATACATTCTAAATATTAACCCTTTACCAGATATATGATTTGCAAATATTTCTTCCCAAATTTCCATGGGTTGCCCTTTCACTCCGTTGATTGTCCTTCAATACACAGAAGTTTTAAATTTTGATGTAGCCTAAGTTACCTATTTTTTTTCTTTTTCTTTTTCTTTTTCTTTTTGAGACGGGTCTCACTCTGTCACCCAATCAGGAGCGCAAAACAGGGTCTCATTCTGTTGCCCAGACAGGAGTGCAGTGGCACGATCTCAGCTCACTGCAAACTCTGCCTCCCAGTTTCAAGCGATTCTTGTGCGTCAGCCTCTCAAGTAGCTGGGACTATAGGCGCCCACCACCATGCCTGGCTAATTTTTGTATTTTTAGTAGAGATGGAGTTTCACCATGTTACCCAGGCTGGTCTTGAGCTCCTGAACTCAGGTGATCCACCCACCTTGGCCTCCCAAAGTGCTGGGATTACAGGTGTGAGCCACTGTGACCAGCCCCTGTTTTTTTCTTTTGTTGACTGTGCTTTTAGTGTCATATCTATGAAATCATTGGCAAAACCAACATTATGAAGCTTTTCACCCAAATTTTCTAAGATTTTTGTAATTTTAGGTCTGATACTTAGGTCTTTGATCTATCATTTTTTTATTGTGGTGAAATAAACATAACATCATATTTATCATTTTAACCAGCTGTAAAAGTGTAATTCAGCTGTTGCTATCACTTTTTAACTCTTGGGATCTCATCCTTGGGGGAATAAATTATAAAGTTTTGGTTGTCTGTCATCTAAGCAATGATAAAATCAATCATCTATCAAATGTGAACAGGTTATGCCTTTTAGGATGGTAAGGCCATGACACCTCAGATAAAGCAAAGCAGCCAAGAGCACAGACAGATAGCCCTAAAATCTTCTGCCAAAGCCCCATCTCTCTTCGTTATTTTTATTGTGAGCTGACCACGCAAATTTATTAACCCAATTCTTATGATTATTTTTTGATAGACAACAGTTGCCTTCAGTTGTTAGAATCAAGTAAAAAAACCTTCTCCCGGCAACTTTGAGAGCAAGTTTCTGTCTCACTTACAGATATATCAAACATTTTTGTTTAGCAAGCAGGCATGGAATAGCTTATAGAGCCTACTTAGTAGTAAGCCTGATGACCGTTCTTTGTCCTTTTAGTACTCTGACTACTATGTTGCATGAAAGGTTCTTTTTAGGCAGATGTTATAGTTTTCATGGTTGACATCAGACAACCAGAATTCCTACTGACTTATAGTTGAATGTCATCTCAACAGGTGTGGGCTACAGTCTTCATTCTGTTCTTATCATTTGTTCAGTAAAGGGAGGGAGTGTCTCCAAAATATTTTAACTTGAATACCTTTAATTTCACCAGTGAGAATCCATTTCTTATGTCCTTCATGATATTTACAAGCCATTAGTTTTGAAAAGTCATTTATGACATTAATGAGCAAAGTAGTGTTGATGGAGGTATAAATAGCTAAAGGGGTGGTTGTAGTCCCTCTGGAACACAGTCTTTTTGATATAAAGCTAGCTGACTCTCTCCTGCTCCCCATATAAATGACTGATTAGAATGCTAGCTGCATCTACCATGTGCCTTTAACACACATTTATATACGATATTGTCTATATAAAAAATTATGTATCTGTTATATTACAGACGTCATAACAATCTCATAACCATGCTATAAAAAAACCCACTTCTTACTCACAGTTAAACCTTACTTTAATGAGGCTTCCAACTCCCACCATGCCGTGGAAACTGCCCTCACTAATGCCTGCTGTGAGCTCCTCACCTCCAGTTCCTTGGATTCCTAGTTGTCCCCCTCTCCCTGGGGCATTTAACGCTCTTGGTCATCACCTTCTTTTTGATACTTTCACCTCCCACCTCTCTGTTCTTTTTTGCAGGTTCCTCTTCTTTCCTGCTTGTTCAATATCGATGATCTTGAGAATTTTTATCTCAGTCTTCTAGTTTTCTTAGGTAATCTTCATATTCTCCTTGAATCAGTCTGGCTAAGCCTAAGGCTTCAACTAGTTCTTCCACACTAAAAACTCCCAACACCTCCATCTCCAACCCCTCTCTTAAATCCAGACAAATCCCCAACACTACCATTTGGTGATCTTCCAGGCAAATAATATGTACCATGTACAAAACTGAATTCATCAATACTTATCCCCCTTTACTCACTACATGGCCCATTTCTCTTGCTAGCTTTTCTTTTCCTACTTAATGACACCATGGACTTAGTCCATTTTGTGTTGCTATAAGGGAATATCTGAGGCTGAGGCTGGTTAATTCATAGAGAAAGGAAGTTAATTTAGCTCACATTTCTGCAGTCTGTACAAGAAGCATCTGCACAACTTCTGGTGAGAACTTTTGTACTGCATCAAAATACAGCAGAGAAAGTCAAAGGAGGAAGTGGGCACATGCAAAGATAGACCAAACCTCAGGGGGCATCCTGGCTTTAGTTATTTATTTATATATTTATTTATTTATTTATTTATTTATTAGATGGAGGATCGCTTTGTTGCCCTGGCTGGAGTACAGTGGCTTGATCCGGGCTCACTGCAGCCTCTGCCTCCCAAGTTCAAGTGATTCTCCTGCCTTCACCTCCTCAGTAGCTGGGGTTACAGGTGCCTGCCACCATGCCCAGCTAATTTTTGTATTCTTAGTAGAGATGGGGTTTCACTATGTTGGCCAGGCTGGTCTTGAACTCCTGACCTCAGGTGATCTGCCCACCTTGGCCTCCCAAAGTGCTGGGATTACAGGCATAAGCCACCGTGCCTGGTGCCACCTCAGCCTCTTAAAGTGCTGGGATTACAGATGTGAGCCATCACATCAGGCCTCCCAACACCATTTATTGAAGAGACTGTCTTTTTCCCTATTAAGTGTTGGCTATTTGTATGTCTTCTTTTAAGAAATGTCTGGTGGGGCTCGGTGGCTCACACCTGTAATCCCAGCACTTTGGGAGGCCAAGGCGGGCAGATCACGAGGTCAAGAAATTGAGACCATCCTGGCCAACATGGCGAAACCCTGTCTCTACTAAAGATACAAAAATTAGCTGGTCATGGTGGCACGTGCCTGTAATCTCAGCTACTCAGGAAGCTGAGGCAGGAGGATCACTTGAATCCAGGAGGCAGAGGTTGCAGTGAGCCAAGATCATGCCACTGAACTGCAGCCTGGGTGATAGAGCAAGACTGTCAGAAAAAAAAAGAAAAAGAAACGTCTAACTAGATCCTTTACCCATTTTTTTAAATGGGATTGATAAATCTTTTTTGTTTTATTTGTTTGTTTTTGCTGCTGTTTGTGTTCCTTGTATATTCTGGATATTAGTTCAATTAAGTCCCACTTGCCTTTTTTTAGTTTGTCCCCTGTGTTTTGAGGGTTTAGCCATAAAATCTTTGCTTAGGCCAATGTCCTGTGGTGTTTTCCCTACGCTCTCTTCTAGCAGTTTTATAGTTTAAGGTCTTATGTGTAGGTTTTCAATCCACTTTGAGTTGGCTTTTGTATATAGCGAGACATAGGGGTGTAGTTTCATTCTTCTGCATATGGATATTTGGTTTTCCCAGAATCATTTATCAAAGAGGAAGATGGCTTGAGCTCAATGTATGCTCTTGGTACCTTTGTCAAAAACCATTTGGCTGGCCAGGCGCAGTGGCTTTTGCCTGTAATCCCGGCACTTTGGGGAGGCCATGGCGGGTGGATCACTTGAAGCCAGGAGTTTGAGACCATCCTGGCCAACATGGCGGAACCTTGTCTCTACTAAAAATACAAATATTAGCCGGGCATGGGGGCATGTGCCTGTAGTCCCAGTGACTTGGGAGGCTGAGGCAGGAGAATCACTTGAACCTGTGAGGTGGAGGTTGCAGTGAGCTGAGATCACACCACTGCACTCCAGCCTGGGTGACAGAGCAAGACTCTGTCTCAAAAAAAAAAAAGAAAAAAAAAAAAATCATGGCTGGCCATGGTGGCTCACGCCTGTAATCCCAGAACTTTGGGAGGCCAAGGCAAGTGGATCACGAGGTCAAGATTTGAGATCAGTCTGGTCAGCATGGAGAAACCCTGTCTCTACTAAAAATACAAAAATTAGCCAGGTGTGGTGGCGCACACCTGTTATCCCAGCTACTTGAGAGGCTGAGGAGGAAAATCGCTTGACCCCAGGAGCCAGAGGTTGCAGTGAGCCAAGATCATGCCACTGCACTCCAGCCTGGGCCACAGAATAAGGCTCTGTCATTCTGTTTGGCTATGAATACATAGATTTATTTCTGGGTCTTCTATTCTGTTCCATTGGTCAATGTGTGTTTTTGTTTGTTTGTTTGTTTGTTTGTTTTTTGCCAGAGTCTCCTTCTGTCACCCAGGCTGGAGTACAGTGGCAGGATCTCAGCTCACCACAACTTCCGCCTCCCAGGTTCAAGTGATTCTCCTGCCTCAGCCTCTTGAGTAGCTGGGACTACAGGTATACACCACAATGCCTGGCTAATTTTTGTATTTTTAGTAGAGACGAGGTTTTGCCATGTTGTCCAGCCTGGTCTTGAACTCCTGACCTCAAGTGATCCTCCCACCTTGGCCTCCCAAAGTGCTGGGATTACACGCATGAGCCACCGTGCAGGCCAATTTGTCTATTTTTATACCAATACCATATTGCTTGGGTTATTATAGCCATGTAATATATTTTGAAGTCAGGTAGTATGATGCAAAACTTTGTTCTTTGTTCTTGTTGCTCAGGATTGCTTTGGCTCTCAGGCTTTTTTTTGTGATTTCATGAGTTTCTGTATTGTTTTTTTCTATTTCTGTGAAAAAATATCATTGCAATTTTGATAGAGATTGCATTGAATCTGCAGATTTCTTTGGGTAGTATGTTCATTTTAACAATACTAATTCTTCTAATCCGTAAGAATTTATTTGTGTCATCTTCAATTTCTTTCATCAATATTTTATAGTTTTCAGTGTACAAATCTTTCACCTCCTTTGTTAAATTTATTCCTAAGTATTGTATTGTAAAGATCAATGCATAGGGGTAGAGTAAGGTGAGTAGACACCCCATTTTAGGTCATTGTAGCTATTGTGAATGAGATTTTATTTTTCTTCAAATATTTCATTGTTAGCGTATACAAATGCTACTGATTTTTGTATGTTAACTTTGTACCTTGCAACTTCAGTTAATTTGTTTCTTAAGTTATGGCACAATTTTGACATATCAAATATTTTAAGCTGAAGTATCTGAGAAATGGCAGGTGCAAGAAGGGCTCTTTGACCTTCTCCTGAGGCAAGTCATAAGACTCTCATGTGAGAGATGCCCTTCCTCTTTGTGGAGAAAAGGAACAACCTTACTTTTGAAAATACAGGGACACCAACAGGAATGTAAACAAGCCTGGCTAATTTCCCCCAGTTTACTACACTTAGCTCATACCTCCTTCGTCCTATCACATTTTTCTATGACTCCTCTCTTCATCAAACCTTGTATAAAACACTCAGGTTTAACTATTTTTTCAGGTCTTCATAAACTTATGAAGGTTTCTATGTCGTCTAAAACGTATGTTAAATAAATCTGTATACTTTTCTTTAGTTACAGAGTTTCAGCTGAGAACCAAAGGGTAGAAGCAAATTATTTTTCCCTCCCCTACAATATTCCACCCTAAAGGAGAAGGAGCAGAACACCCTATCTTAGTATCTTTGTGCTCCTACAAAAAGTAGCACATTCTGCTGGGCTTGGCAACTCATGCCTGTAATCCCAGCACTTTGAGAAGCCAAGGCAGGAATATTACTTGAGGCCAGGAATTCAAGACCAGCCTGGGCAACATAGTGAGACCCTGTCTTTACGAAAAATACAAAAATTGTCTGGGCATGGTGGTACTTACCTGTAGTCCCAGCTACTACTTGGGAGGCTGAGTGGGAAAGGTCGTTTGAGCCCGTGAGGTTGAGACTGCAGTGAGCTGTAATGGCACCACTGTACTCCAGCCTGGGTGACAGAGTGAGATCCTGCCTCAAAACAAACAAACAGACACCCTAGCAGAAGTGGCAAAAAAAAAAAAAAAAAAGAAAGAAAGAAAAGAAAAGAAGAGAAAATAAAAGAAATAGCAGAGACTGGGTAATTTACAAGGAAGAAAAATTTAGCCTGGGCAACATGGTGAAACCCCATCCCTACAAAACACACAAAGATTAGCAGGGCATGGTGATGCATGCCGATGGTCCTAGCTACTCAGGAGGCTGAGGTGGGAAGATCACCTGAGACCAGGAGGTTGAGGCTGCAGTGAGCCGTGCTTGTGCCACTACATTATAGCCTGGGTGACAGAGCAAGATCTTGTCTCAATAAATAAATAAAAATAATAACAAATAACAAACTTATTTCTCACAGTTCTGGAGGCTGCGAAAAACATCAGACAAATCCCAATATAAGAGCATGCTACAAGATACCTGATCAGTTTTCCTCAAAATTGTCAAGGATGGCCAGGCGCTGTGGCCCACACCTGTAATCCCACACTTCGGGAGGTAAGGGCGGGTGGATCGCTTGAGCGCAGGAGTTTAAGACCAGCCTGACCAATATGGTGAAACCCCGTCTCTACTAAAAATACAAAAATTAGCCAGGCATGTTGGTGGGCGCCTGTAGTCCCAGCTACTCGGGAGGCTAAGGCAGGAGAATCTCTTGAACCTGGGAAGCAGAGGTTGCAGTCAGCCGAGAAGGTGCCACTGCACTCCAGCCTGGGCAACAGAGCGAGATTCTGTCTAAAAAAAAAAAAAAAAAAAGTCAACGTCATCAAAAATAAGCTTAAGATATTAAAAAATAAATTTAAGAAATTGTCGCAGCCAAAAGGAGCCTAAGGAAACATGATAACTAAATGTAAGGTGGTATCCTGGATAGAACCCTTGAACAGAGAGGGCATTTAGGTAAAAATGAAGGAAAGTTGAATAATGAATAAGTTATATAACTAATATATAACTGATATGTAACTTAATGTTACATATTATATGTTATAATAAGTTATAACAAATTAATGTTAAAGTATCAATGTTAGGTCATTAGTTGTAACAATGTAAGAGGTTAGTAATAAGGGAAACTGTGTGTGTGGGGGGGTGGGTACATGGGAACTCTACCATTTGCTCGATTTTTATGTGCATTTAAAACCATCCTAAAAATAGTCTATTAATAGTAAATAAGTAAGGAGAGCAATGGAGTATAACCCCCTGAAGAAAAGGAATCCATAAATTCATACTGATAGTGAATAAATAAATAAGTAGGGTTCTGCTCTATAGCAGCATCTGGATTGACAAATGTGGAAGGCTTGAAGGAGGTGGGGAAAAAAAATCCCGACATTTATGGAATCTGAACCATAAGGTAAAGTTTGATTAGGTGCAGGATATTTGCTTCGTCTCAAAGTTTAACCTCACAGATTGCTTATTAGTTTTTTGTTGTTGTTGTTTTTTGGTTTTTGGTTTTTTTTGAGATGGAGTCTGGCTCTTGTCACCCAGGCTGGAGTGCAATGGCCTGATCTCGACTCACTGCAACCTCCGCCTCCCGAGTTCAAGCGATTCTCGTGCCTCAGCCTCCCAAGTAGCTGGGATTACAGGTGCCCGCCACCATGCTCGGCTAATTTTTGTATTTTTAGTAGAGATGGGGTTTCATCATGTTTGCCAGGCTAGTCTCAAACTCCTGCCCTCAGGTGATCCGCCCACCTCAGCCTCCCAAAGTGCTGAGATTACAGGTGTGAGCCATCGCGCCCGGCTGCTTATTAGTTTTAAGGGGGAAAATATGCCATGGAGAAACAGGACAATACCTTGATGGGGTGACAAAGATTAATATTATCTTATAATTAGTATAGTGTGCCTGCGGATGTAACACACTGAGAACGCCACAACCTCACGTAAATGTGGTTGTTTCAAAGTAGGATGCATGAGTTTAATTATGAGGAGACAAAGGTCGTAGTAGAAATCTGTATTTGAGATAGATTTCTTTCTGAGAAGATGGGTTGCTTTGGTGAACACTCTTGATCACAAGGCTGTTAGTTAAATAATCAAATGTATATATTCCAGACTGTAACTTTAACAACAAATGAAATTGTTATCACGTTGGGGATGGAAAAGGGTACATATCCATAGAAAGAATTATTTAAATATGAAGAGATGGTAAGTTTTCCTTGCAAGGACCTGAAATTATGGGGGATGGGGAACCAATGGAGGGAGGAGGGGTTGGAGAGGTGGTGGGAAGAGAAAAGGAGCCCTCAGTTGAGGACTGCCAGTTGTTTGGTTTGTATTTATTTTTAATGCAACAAACACTTACATAGCGCTTATTCTTACCAGGAGCTCGCTGTTCTACTTGCTTTGCACGTATTGACTCTTTTAATGGGAAAGCTCAGTGATTGGTCTGTATTTCCAAAAACAAAACAAAACAGCGACCTGACACTAAACGATTTTGTTCATAAGTATTTTTATCTGTTATTGGGGACCTGCGCCCCAGTAATTCTGTCCTTCCACAGAAAAGCATGAGCCTAAAATTACGTCAGGTGGTCTTTCGTAGAAACGACCGGAATGCAAATTTGTGGTACCAACTGTGGAGTTCCGTTGGAAAAGTCAGCTGGTTGTCTTCTAGAAAGCTCTAAGAAGCATGCACTGAGAGCCGATTATACATCTATTGGGGGGCGCCAGTTTCTCAAATTCCTTTTTCCTTCGGGGGTGAACGCCAGAGGAGGTCGCTGCTTTCTTTTAACGAAAGTTGGTGTTTTTAGATAACTTCCCTGCTCCAGATCTAGGAACTAATTCCGGTCTACTTTTGTTGCCAAATTACTGCGTTTGTCACGCCATGGATTCTGGGAGACCTAGTCTCCGTGCCGTGAGGTTTACGGAGCCGGTGTGAACGTCGGACTTCAATTCCCACAATGCCTGGCGCAAACGCCTAGTTTTGGCCTGGGTAACCGAGAGGTGACCGCCATCTTGCGTACGGAGGTGAGGTTTGTTACCGCGATTCTGAGAGGTGGGCTTTTAGTCCCTCCAGACCTCGGCTTTAGTGCTGTCTCCGCTTTTCTTTCACCTTCACAGAGGTTCGTGTCTTCCTAAAAGAAGGTTTTATTGGGAGGTAAAGGTCAATGCGTAGGGGTAGAGTAAGGTGAGTAGACACCCCGTTTTAGGTGAGGGTGGGGCGGTGGTGGTGTTTTTCGCTTTCACTTCTTGACTGGACTGTTTAGATTAGCTGTAAACGTAGACGTAAGCTCTGTGTGAACTTTTGCGCCTCAGAGACCTCCAGAATTCCTGGACAGGACCTGAGCGTGTCTGCACTGGGACAAAAAAGCTGGGTGACGCACTTTTGCCCGGGTCGCTCACTCTGGAAGTCTGGAGGCATGGGGCTCGGATAGTGTATAGATCACGCGGTTTATTAACGCAACCCGGTTGCTTTTCTTCGGGACTTTTCTGACACATTTCGAATGAGGAAAGGAGAAACCGAGAGGAGGCCTTTTGGCGTTCTCCGCAGTTGTCTTCCTCCAGCTCTGTGGCCTGCTTGCATCATTCTGTAGTTCGCCTTTTTGTCCATTTCTCTTTCTCTCGTGTTAGGAACACCAGAGAGTGGCACAACGAAGAATTGGGTGGAATAGGCCTCTGGGCTGTACTTTGAGGTCCCTAAGGCATTTCAGGGGAAGTAACCGCCCCCCCCCCCCAAGACGGGGTCTCCCTCTGTCGCCCAGGCGGAGTGCAGTGGCGCCATCTCGGCTCACCACAACCTCCGCCCCCCCCGGGTTCAAGCGATCCTCCCACCGCAGCCTCCCGAGTAGCTGGGACCACAAGTGCGCGCCCCCATGCCCGGCTAATTTATTGTATTTTTGTTAAGAGACGGAGTTAGGCCATGTTGCCAGGCTGGTCTCGAACTCCTAAGCAGCAATCCGCCCGCCTCAGCCTCCCAAGTGCTGGGATTACAGGCTTGAACCACTCTGCCAGGCCTAAAGGGAAGCAAATTTTATCTTCGTGATAGATTATTCGGAAAAGATGAACGCTTTGAACTTTGGGAGTTGCCAGATTTCTTTATTATACAAATTTCCGTTATCATCATTACAACTTAAGTTATCTCTTCCCCCCTTTTAAATGAACACACTATACCCATTTAGGAACCTCTTTTATGCTAACTACTCACAGTTAAGGGTCTCCAAAGACTGGCACTTCAGTTAATCTAACATTTGGATGCTAAGGAGATTGGTTGTCTGAGGTTTGGGAGAGAATTGGAGCTATTTACTCTCAAAAACACAGTGGTTTTAAGTAAGGAAAGCTTAGGATGCAGTGTATCACAGCCATTTTGAGTATGTGTTAATTTGGTGTTGGCGGTTTCACTCTCCTTTTAAATACACAATTGTGTATCTATATCATAAAAATATATATTACTGATTCAACTTTACAGACATACTTAAATCTTTTAGGTCTTCTAAATTCAGAAATGGATCGTTTAAAGTTGAGAGAGATATATATGTATATATACATATATATATATTTTTCAAAAAGGATATTCAACGAGATCCCTCCCATAAACCACCATGTTGTGACTGTACTTAAATAATAAGTGGTTATGAAAGTGACTGGTATTTTGGGAAATTGTTACCATTAAATATATCACAAATTTAAATGTCTTTGTCTAATTTCTTGTTTTTGAAGAAAATTTTATTTAGATTTTTAATATATTAGCTAGTAATTGTATGATTTATTTATTTCTCAGATGTCTTATGGTGAAATTGAAGGTAAATTCTTGGGACCTAGAGAAGAAGTAACGAGTGAGCCACGCTGTAAAAAATTGAAGTCAACCACAGAGTCGTATGTTTTTCACAATCATAGTAATGCTGATTTTCACAGAATCCAAGAGAAAACTGGAAATGATTGGGTCCCTGTGACCATCATTGATGTCAGAGGACATAGTTATTTGCAGGAGAACAAAATCAAAACTACAGATTTGCATAGACCTTTGCATGATGAGATGCCTGGTAATAGACCAGATGTTATTGAATCCATTGATTCACAGGTTTTACAGGAAGCACGTCCTCCATTAGTATCCGCAGACGATGAGATATATAGCACAAGTAAAGCATTTATAGGACCCATTTACAAACCCCCTGAGAAAAAGAAACGTAATGAAGGGAGGAATGAGGCACATGTTCTAAATGGTATAAATGACAGAGGAGGACAAAAAGAGAAACAGAAATTTAACTCTGAAAAATCAGAGATTGACAATGAATTATTCCAGTTTTACAAAGAAATTGAAGAGCTTGAAAAGGAAAAAGATGGTTTTGAGAACAGTTGTAAAGAATCTGAACCTTCTCAGGAACAATTTGTTCCATTTTATGAGGGTCATAATAATGGTCTCTTAAAACCTGATGAAGAAAAGAAAGATCTTAGTAATAAAGCTATGCCATCACATTGTGATTATCAGCAGAACTTGGGGAATGAGCCAGACAAATATCCCTGTAATGGACAAGTAATACCTACATTTTGTGACACTTCATTTACTTCTTTCAGGCCTGAATGGCAGTCAGTATATCCTTTTATAGTGCCCTATGGTCCCCCTCTTCCCAGTTTGAACTATCATTTAAACATTCAGAGATTCAGTGGTCCACCAAATCCACCATCAAATATTTTCCAAGCCCAAGATGACTCTCAGATACAAAATGGATATTATGTAAATAATTGTCATGTTAACTGGAATTGCATGACTTTTGATCAGAACAATGAATATACTGACTGTAGTGAGAATAGGAGTAGTGTTCATCCCTCTGGAAATGGCTGCAGTATGCAAGATCGATATGTGAGTAATGGTTTCTGTGAAGTCAGAGAAAGATGCTGGAAAGATCATTGTATGGACAAGCATAATGGAACAGACAGGTTTGTGAACCAGCAGTTTCAAGAGGAAAAGTTAAATAAATTGCAGAAGTTACTTATTCTTTTAAGAGGTCTGCCTGGTTCTGGGAAAACAACATTGTCTCGGTAAGTAAAGGATACCAACTGAATACTTGGTAATTCATTATTTAAAAATTATAAATGATATTTGTCGCCGGCTGCAGTGACTCATGCATGTAATCCCAACACTTTGGGAGGCCAGGGTGGACCAGTCACTTGAGCTCAGGAGTTTGAGACCAGCCTGGGCAACATAGTGAGACCCTGTCTCTAAAAAATGAAATAAAAATGTTAGAACTATAATGATACTTGTAATCACTGACAAGTGCTTTTATGTTTCTAGTAGAAGAAAATCTTTAATTTGCTACACTTGAGAATAGCATCTGACAGTGTAACTATTTAAAAATCTTTTCTGATAGAAGAAAGGAGAATTGGCATATGTTTATATTTAGATTCTGCTAAGGGCTTTAAAAATAGATAACACTACGTATAATTATGGCAGTGATGAAAGCAAATGCTACTTGAGAACTGTCCTGGCCTACCCTTTTGAGTCAGCTGTTCAAGGAAAGTTGGACTCAGTGTTAGAAAATTTGAGTTTTTCAAGTTCAGTTGGAGGTGAGAAAAAGAGAAAATTTGGGTATTGACTCAGTTATTTCCCTTTTTCACCTTGGGCAAGTTTTGCTCTCTGTTAATGGAATAAATGATACTTACTTTTTCTGGAATTGGGAATCAAATGAGATGACCCAAGGAAAGGAATTTTGAATGTGTTGAGCACTGTGCCATGTTCATACCATTGATTGGCAGAAGGAACCCTTTTTTGATTTCTTAAAATTCAGGAGTTTGAAGTGAGTAATATCTGAATTGGTGTTAGAACTGTTGGTGGTTTATTGTATTACAAGATATTTCAAATTCCTTTTTTTGTTTACATTTTTAAACTATTGATGCACTTGAATATGTTTATGCAGTTGTGAAAAAATAGTGTAAAGAAAGCAGTACAAATTATCTTGAGTTTATATAAGATGATTCAAGATTTGTGCCGGACAAGGAGAAAAAGAAAATTTGTTGATATCTTTGGGTGAGGATGGAGAGGTCCAAGAAACCATTTTGCAAATGTTTTATATTACTAACAAGACAATCTAAACCTAAATAAACATCTTTTTCAGAGAAAAGACACTAGAGAAAGATTTAATTTGTGATATTTCAAGCTAGATTATAAACTGTGATCTTTGTGAATGAATTAATTCATTCCAGAATTAAATTTTGGTCTTTGTATTTTGATTCCTTTTACTTTAGTGAGGATTTTGTAGAGAAGATGAAATTTCACCTCTATAATAATAGAAGTTAGGAGTGAGGTCTCACAAACATGGGCTGTCTTCTAGATTTGGGATATACCATCAGAGACAATAAATAACTGAAATTTGGAAACTGGATAAAAGAGTCTGCTAGTTAGGACCACTTGACTAAGAGTGGGTATAGAAGAAACCTAAGGAAGAAAAGTTAGATTTGAGACAACATATTGGAGTATGTTGAAATTAAAGGTGAATAAAGTAGTGGAAATTCGATAGAATTTAAAGGAGACATTGTAGTGGGAGATGGTAGAGGTGATTAGATATAATATGTATATTTATTTGAAAAATAGATATATAAGAATGAAAGTTGTATGTAGTACCAACAAGTACCATTCGTATTATGATTCACAATTTACAGAGTATTTTCATATATAAAAATCTTGTGCAATGGGTTGTTTTTTCATTTTATAGAAGGAGCAGAGGCTAAAGGAAGTTGAGGTTAAGTGATTTGGAAGTTACAAAAACTAGTAAGAGCTCAAACTAGCAATAAAATTATAGTATGTTTTTCCCTTGCCTTCACTGTAATGCTTAATGGTTGTGTAGTCTTATACGTGACTCCTGACTTCAAGGATCCTGGTCTGTACCTCTTTAGGTCAACACGTTTTGAGTGAACTGGTGTTGGTTATTTGGAATTAGATATAAAGTCATATATTCTTTGGTGAGGAATGGCTTCATATAGGAGTTCACATTCAAAACAAGCTTTGACAAAATAATAGAGTGAAAATTGGTAGATCAGAGTTGAGCTGATTGGAGGACCAAATTAAAAGACTGGCTGGGCATGATGGCTCACACCTGAAAACCCAGCACTTTGGGAGGCCAAGGCAGGCAGATTGTTTGAGCCCAGGAATTCAAGACCAGCCTAGATAACCTGGGTATCCCAGCTACTTGGGAGGCTGAGCTGCCGAGGCTACAGTGAGCCATGATCGTGCCATTGCTTTCTAGCCTGGGTGACAGATTGAGACCCTGTCTCAAAAAAAAAAAAAAAAAAAAAAAATTAGTAATGCTTATGTTTGGTATGTGGTAATGAGTGTAGGCAGTTGGATAGAATTCATATTCTTTGGAGGTAGTGTTCAAGTCCCCTTCTTACTTAATTTGGTCTTTGCCCACATCTCAATCAGCATGTCTCTAACATTGTAAGTATTCAAGATGTCGGATGATATTCTGAGAGAGAGAGACAGTAGGCCATAATAGCCTTGGCCATAGTTTTGGCCCATAGGGTGTTTATGGGTAGGATAGCCCGATAAAGATGTCACTTTTCCCCCTAATTGATTTATAAATTCAGTGAAACTTTAACCAAAATCCCAAAGGAATTTTTGTATGAATTTGAGAAGCCTATAAAGTTTGTTTGGTATGTAACTATAACAAGGACAGTTTAAAAAAACGAGACTTATCCCACCAGCTATTAAAATTTAGAAACTACTATAGTTAAAATTTTGCAATTATTAGCAAAAGAACAAATAGATAAAATTAGAGAACCCAGAAACAGGCTAGGTGTGGTGGCTTACACCTGTAATCCCAGCACTTTGGGAGGCTGAGGTGGGGAGCATCACTTGAGGCCAGAAGTGTGAGATCAGTTTGGGCAACATAGACCCTGTCTCTATTTTTTTTTTTTTAAAAAAAGGCCGGGTGCCGGTGGCTCACCCCTGTGATCCCAGCACTTTGGGAGGCTGAGGCAGGTGGATCATGAGGTCAAGAGATCGAGACCATCCTGGCCAACATTGTGAAACCCCATCTCTACTAAAAATACAAAAATGAGCTGGGCGTGGTGGCATGTGCCTGTAGTCCCAGCTACTTGGGAGGCTGAGGCAGGAGAATCGCTTGAACCCGGGAGGCAGAGGTTGCAGTGAGCCGAGATCACACCACTGCACTCCAGCCTGGGCAACAGTGCAAGACTCTGTCTTAAAAAAAAAAAAAAAAAAGAAAAAAGAAAAGAGAATCCAGAAACATAACCTACATATAAAAGAATTTAATATTTGATGAAATGACATTTTATATTAGTAGGGCAAAATATTCAATACATGGTAATAGGATATTTGATTGTCAGTCTGGAAAAATATTTAAAGCCCCTATCTTAAATCATTCACAAAAATAACTTCTAGATGGATAAAGGACTAAGAGTAAAAACAAAACCAGCAAGGAAACTGGAAGAAAATAGAGGTTTTTAAAAGTAATTTGAGAGAATGAGTAAAACAGTGGGATCTTTCTTACCCCCTAATAAATGAAAAGTGAGGGAATTTAAGAAATTAGTTTTTTGTTGTTATCATCTGTTTTACAGATTATTGTGGATATTTGCAATGGTAGGCTGAATAATGTACCCCTCCAAAGATACTCATGTTTTAATCCCTAAAACCTGTGCATATGTTGCGTTAGATGGTAAATTGGATTTTGCAAATTTGATTAAGGATCTTGCAATGGGGAGGCTGTCCTGGATAACTGGATTGGCCCAGTGTGATCACAAAGGTTCTTAATAAGAGGGAGGCAGGAGGAATTAGTCAGAGAAGGGTTAAGACCAAAAGCAAAGGTCAAGAGAGAAGATGCTGCACTGCTGGTTTTGAAGATGATGGAACATCCCATAAGCCCAGGTGTGCAGCTAACCTTTAGAAGCTGGAAAAGGCAAGGAAACATATTCTGTAGAGCCTCCAGAAGGAACACACGTCTGCACACACTTTGTTTTTAGCTCAGTGAAACTGATTTTGGACTACTGACCTTCAGAACTGTAAGATAAATTCCTGTTGTTTTACGTTTGTGGTGTTATAGAAGTTACAGAAATGAATATACTTACCGTAGTTTAGAGAGAGATGGGAGGAGACTTTTTTTTCTCCCTTCTTTTGAAGGAGGTAGGTCTCCTTAACTCCAGAGGAAAGACTTGTCTTTCTTCATATAGGTCCCTTGATTCTTAATTCAGGGAGTGTTTAGAGATTGAATTACCCCAGTAAAGTAGTCTCAGGATAGGAAGTATATAAAGGCACTCAGTAGATAAGGAGGAAAAGTGTTCATGATGTGTCAGTTTTACTTAGATTTTGTATTTTTCTTGAAAATCACTTGTAAATGCACATGAAAGTATTAAAGTAATGCTCAGTTCTTAGAAATTTAAAAACCAAACCATGAAAATGGACTCTCTTGTAGGCCTTGTTTTGGGAACAGATTCTCTTGGTTTACTTGTTTCTTACGTGAGAAATTATAAGTATAGAGTACATTGATTACTCAAGGCTGTATAACAGGTTACCCTAAAACTTAGTTGTTTAAAGCAACAAACATATATTGCCTCGTAGTTTCTGTAGGTCTGGACTCTGGTTATAGTTACCTGGGTGCCTTTGGTTCAGTGTCTCTAAGAATGCTGTGATCAAGATGTTGGCTAGGACTGTTTCTGGTCTGAAGGCTTGATTTGGGAAGGATCTGGTTCTAAGAGCTCTCTCAAGATTGTTGACAGGACTGAGTTCCTTGTGAGCTATGTTGGATTGAAGACTTCAGTTCCTTGCTGGCTAGAGACTGGAGGCTTCTCTCATTTCTTTGCTACTTGGCCTCTGTCCATTCACAAGACAGCTGATTTCTTTCAAAGTGAAAGAGAAAGCATGCAAGCTCAAGTCTAAGACAGAAGCTACTTTTTTTTTTTTTTTTTTAGTAATCTCCGAAGTGACATCCCATCACCTGTATCATATTCTGTTCCTTAGAAGCTAGGGACTAAATCCAAGCATACTGCAGGATAAGAGGATGCAAGGTTGTGAGTACCAGGAGGCAGGGATCATTGGAGGCCTTTGGTTTTGGGGTCAAGGAGGTGCTTTATCTTAGTTCTCCCACTACCATCTAACTTGCCAAAATTATTTCTTCTCCTGGATTAGTTTATTATCAAATTGGCAGGCTTTTATGAGGATTAAATGAGGTCATAGATTTATGTAAAATGTTTGACATAAAATAGGCTCTCAAAAAGATAGCTATTGTTTTGAAAAAATAGAAATCAAGTGGCCAATGAGCCCAGATTTGATTTTTTTAAATTAGATATTTGACTTACTCACATTTCTAAATTTTGACATTCTGAGAATCCATTTTAGTACCTGACTTGAGAGTTCTGACAGTCTAAGAATTTTGAAAATACTGATGTTCTTAAATAATTTATTTTTGCTTTAGAGGCTTGATAAGACATTCAGATATTCCTAGATTCATATAGGTGTTTTTTTAAGTCCATAAAATAAAGCTTCATGGTTTGAAGTAATTCACGGAATTTGAAAAATATGCATAAACAGTCTATGCTGCCTGGGAGGAAAAGTCTTTTCAAGTTAAACTTATTTACTATAGTTATGATTTATATATTTAAGAAAATGTTCTTTATAGAGATTTGTTCATATGTATTGTTGACTTGTTTTAATGATATAAATTGGTGTATTGCTCCCCCACCTTTTATTTTGAGAAAATTTAAACCGTTTTTTAGATACAAAAAATATGATTGTCATGTAGAATGATATTATTAACATCTTAAAAATCACCTGTGCCGGGCACGGTGGCTCACGCCTGTAATCCCAGCACTTTAGGAGGCTGAGGTGGGAGGATCACCTGAGGTCAGGAGTTCAAGACTAGCCTGGCCAACATGGTGAAACCCCATCTCTAATAAAAATACAAAAATTAGCCGGGCGTGATGGCACGTGCCTGTAGTCACAGCTACTCAGGAGGCTGAGGCAGGAGAACCACTTGAACTTGGGAGGTGGAGGTTGCAGTGAGCCGAGATCACACCACTGCACTCCAGCCTGGGCAATAGAGTCGGACTCTTGTCTAAAAAAAAAAAAGAAAAGAAAAGAAATGACCTGCTAATAAAGTAATAGAATGGAAAAAACAAAACAAAACGAAACAAAAAAAAAAACAAAAAAGGAAGCATAAAGTATCTAGACAAGGTGTTATCTGGATTTCTGGTACTGTTGAACATAATTAGATGTCACATGATCAGTTACAATCAAAATCTCTTTTTGGGTGATTGAGTTTTGCTTTAGAATGCTAATATCATGGCATTTTCATATTCTAGGTTATCTGTATAAGCAGTAAGATGCCAAATATGTCAGATAGACATGTTTTGGATAAATCATGGCTGCTTGAAAAAGAAATCCAACTCCAGTCTCCCAAAAAGCAAACACACAACCCAACCCATTAATTTACATTTGGTTTGTCTGAAGTGATTTGAACTGTAATTCTGTAAGTGGAAATAGAGGTTTGTGCAAAAGTAATCACAGTTTTTAATTGGCATTTTAATGGCAAAAACTGCAATTACGTTCACACCAACCTATACATACTTAAATTGTTTTCTTTTGATACAAGTGATTTTATAAAATACACCACTGGCCCTCCATATTTGTTGATTCCACATCAGTGAATTCAACGAACTTTGGACTGAAAGTATTTGAGAAAAAATATTGCATCTGTATTGAAATGTACAGACTTTTTTCCTTGTTATTTCCTAAACAATACAGTATAACAACTATTTACATAATATTCACATTGTAGAGTATTAGGTATTATAAATAATCCAGAGATGAGTTAAAGTGTATGGGAGGATGTGCATAGTTTATATGCAAACAGCCATTTTTATATCAAGGGCTTGAGCAGCAAGTGTGGTCCTGGAACCAATCTCCCATGGATATTGAGGGAGAGAACTGTATATGATACCATTATAAGCTGAGGGATGGAGAGATGACACTTGTCATCTTAATAGTTTAAACCCTTCCTACTATTTTTTTAGTGAGAGGTAAGTAAGCTTGAATCATTCCAGGCCAATATTCTTTTACTCTCAATTCCTTCTATTAATATACCACCTTCCATCCCACCAATCCCCTCAAAATTATACAGTGATATCCAAATGCCTAATGGTTCAAGGAGAGGAGAGAAACAACAAAATACTCTCGTTGTTGTTCTTGGATCCAAATCATTATCTTGCTGCATTTTCCCTATCATAGCACACTCCCAATTTCTTTCATGAGTCATTGGTAATGAGAGTTCTGAGTACTTGTTAATCTTGCTGTACTTGTCAATTTAAGGCAGTATCGTTTTCAAAACAAAGCTTGATTATCATTGACCTGAACTGAGAGTTTTTTATTTAGTGTTTAATAATTTCATTTAACGACTTAAGTTCTTAAAAATTTAAAGTTTGATTATACTTTGGAGGATCACAGATTGTTCCATAACCTTAAGCCTCCAACTATTTCCGACTTTCACTAGAGGATCATATATGCTTCATGGAAATGAGTTTATTAAAGCTGTCTAGAGTCACATATGGTTTTTTCTAAATGAATTGCTTGCTTAGGCTTACTTGCTTTTTAGGTTACCTGTTGCACTAGATTGAGGCAAATAAAAATATACTAAAGTGAAAACATGGATAATAGTTGATATAATTTTGAGATTGGGTAAATAATGTTTTAAAAAGTTGCAATACAAATGCTGCTTCAAAAAGTTTTTGTTATGGCCAGGCACGGTGGCTCATGCCTGTAATCCCAGCACTTTGGGAGGCCGAGGCAGGTGGATCAAGAGGTCAGGAGTTCAACACCAGCCTGACCAACATGGTGAAACCCTGTCTGTACTAAAAATGCAAAAATTAGCCAGGCATGGTGGCACATGCTTGTAATCCCAGCTACTCAGGAGGCTGAGGCAGGAGAATCACTTGAACCCGGGAGGCGGAGGTTGCAGTGAGCCAAGATCGTGCCACTGCACTCCAGCCTGGGCGACAGAGACCATCTAAAAAAAAAAAAAAAAAGAGTTTCTGTTAGCATCTGTAATTGTGTAGATTTAAGTGTAAAGTGATTTGAAATCTGAAATCTTTGTAAGATTATTCAGCTCTTGTGCTGGTCTGTTCGTGATATACTTTCAGGTAAGTATCAGAAATCCATTTAATAACCTTTCCTGTGTGATTTATTTCACTTGGTTATATTTATTTCTGATAGTTTATTTCTGATGGTTATAGATTTTGTAAATGGCACCTTTATGATTTCTTTTATTAACAGAATTCTGCTTGGTCAGAATCGTGATGGCATTGTGTTCAGCACTGATGACTATTTTCACCATCAAGATGGGTACAGGTATAATGTTAATCAACTTGGTGATGCCCATGACTGGAACCAGAACAGAGGTTTGTTTTGGGCTAAGTGTCCCAGGATAGAATATTTGGCTAGGAGTCAAAAGACCTAGATTTTATTTTCAGCTTAGGTTTTTACCAGCTGAATGACTGTAGGCAAGCCGTTTAAATAGCTTTGAGACCTAATTTCTCCATCTGTTAGAGGTGGTGATAATTATACTTGCCCTACCTGATCAGGGTTTTTGTGAAAAGCAGAGAATTTAGATAAAACGCTTTGTAAACTGTAAATAGTTTATCAGTATAAGCTGGTAAAATAATAGCAGCATGGGATATTTTAAGAGGCTTTATTTTATACTTGATGAGTAAATTCAGAGAACTTTGAATCTGTACCATTGTTATGTAGTCCCAAAGTTATTTCCCCGAGAATAATGCTAATGTTTTCCAAGGCTTAATATACTGGTTGTGAATATTAAAAGTTTTTCTCATTGATATTGCTCTACAAGAAACCTACTTAATACATTTTTTAGCGGACATGGGTCAATTTCTGTTTATCATTAATAGGGGTTCTTAACCTGGGCTACACTTTTGAATTTCTTGGGGACTTTAAAAAAAAGCAAAAAAAAAAAAAAAAAAAAAAAAAAAACAGACAAAAAGTGTGCCTGGCCTCAGCCTTAGATATTTTGGTTTCATTGATCTGGGGTGGGGCCTAAACATTGATACTTTTTGTTTTGAAATTTCTCCAGACGATTCTGATGTATAGTCAGAATTGAAAACTGTTGATCTGAACTATAAGTAAATACATATGCTATGTTATTTTAAAAGAATGGATTGATGATTAAACAAATAGCTTTTATTATGAAAAATTTTAAACAGATTAAAGAGACTGTAATGAACCTCATAGACCCATCACCCAGAATTATCAGGTATTGAGATTTTGGTATATGGGCTTTTATCTTTTTGTTTGTACCCCTTTCTCTTTTTAAAGCAAATTCTAGACATCATACTTTATACATTTCAAAATAACTTTTTTACTAATCACATCTTTCACTTCAGTGCCGTTATCACACATTTAAAAAAATGCCAGTTCCTTCAGATCATGTAACCCAGTGTGTAATTGAATCTCCTCTGTTGTTCGAAAAAATCTCTTCACAGTTATTTTGTTTGAATTGGGATCCAAACGAAGTCCTCAAAATGCATTTTGTTTTATTTAATTAAGTTAATCCATAGCATGTTCCTTCTTTTAACTCTCATACCATTAACTTGTTGCAGAAACTATGTTGTTTGTCCTGTAGAAAGTTCCACATGCTGTAGTTGTCTATTTGCTTCTTGGTGTTAACCGTTTAACTTGCTCCTCTTCTTTGTTTTCTGTGAATGGAAATTAGCTCTAGATTAGAGGCTTGATTAGGTTCAACATTTTTTTTTTTTTTTTTTTGGCAAGCAGATATTTGGTTGTCCTGTTCTTAGTAATGGTGAGCTTAATCAGTAGCTGCACAGGGACAACCTCTTCCCTCTGTCTGCTGTCAAGTTCCCTATTAACCTTATATCTGATGGTTTTATCCAATAATAAATTGTTTCCTGAGTCAGTTATTTCATTCAGAATTGCAAAGTGATGATTTTTAGTTTAGTTATTCCTTCCATGTTTAATGGAATTCTTCTGTAATGAAGAACTTCTCTCAAAGCTGCCAACTAGGGTTGCCCTAAAGTATAATATATACAAGAAAAATAGTAATGCTTTTCTTTTTAATTGTCAAATACAGTAAGGAATTTCAGTGAGGATGTTTGTGTGTGTTTTAGAGATGGGGTCTTGCTTTGTTGCCCAGGCTAGAGCGTAGTGACACAATCATAGCTCAGTGCAGCCTCGAATTCCTGGACTCAAGGGATCCTCCTGCCTCAGCCTCCTGAGTAACTAGGACTACAGGCAGGTAGCTGGGACTACATACGTGTACCAGCACACCCAGCTATTTTTTAAAAAAACTTTGTAGAATTTTGAATGAGCCACAGTGCCTGGCTGAGGATGGTTTCGAGTTAAAAGTTTTCACGCTGTTACAATTTATAGTTTCACAAGAATGTTTAAACATCAGATAAGTTTGATCATAAGACTGTTTCCTAGTATTTATTTTATAACGCTCTAGAATTTCTCCAAATATATTAGAGGGTGGCATAGCAGTCTAAAAAAATATTAATTTTTTTATTTTTTTAATGCCATAGAACATTTTTGCTCAAATCAAATAATGATGGTATTGCAATTCTGCAAATGTTTGGAGTTACTGGCCTAAAGGTAAGGGGAGCAAGATTAGTTGATAAGTTGAATGAATAGACAGGGCAGAGCCAGTATACCTTTGGTGAACTAGTAAGTTTATTTGCGTGGGACATTTTTTTTCTCTTTGCAGTACTGGCATAGCTGGGTGCAGTGGCTCATGCCTATAATCCCAGCACTTTGGGAGGCCGAGGCGGGCAGATCACTTGAGCCCAGGAGTTAGAGACCAGCCTGGGCAACATGATGAAACCCCATCTCTACAAAAAGTAGAAAAATTAGCCAGGTGTGGTGGTGCACACCTGTAGTCTAAGCTACTTGGGAGGCTGAGATAGGAGGATTGCTTGAGGCAGGGAGGTCAAGGCTGCAGTGAGCTGAGATCATGCTACTGCACTCCAGTCTGGGTGACAGGGCAAGATTCTGTCTCAACAAACAAACAAACAAACAAACTAGTACAGAATATTTCATTAAAATGTTTATGTCATTTGAATTATGTTAATTATACTTCCTAAATGGAATAATGGTATCTTATTATTAAACCAGAATAATAAATATGAACTTGAATATATTTAAATGCTAGGCACCATTCTATGAAAATCTGTCTGCTTCATGTTTATTATTGAAATAATCTAAATTAATTTTAGAACACTTAAAATCGAAAACATCTCCAAAGTGTAGTTCTTCTCTTTCTAACAGTATGATAGTTCATTTGTTTAAGAAAACTATTCCCATTATTTGGGTATTCAAACATGTTTTTACTTAGGAGCTCTTTTTGCATGGAATGTACTAGACTATGGTATTGGATGATAATGGAAAGAAGATAATCTCCCCATTCGTAAAATCAGAAATTTATTTGATCAATAAAACTTCTTTTCTGGAACACAACTCCTTGGATGTGTGAGCCTATCAGACATTAGGAGAATAATTTTAATAAGCTTTTGAATGGAAGATTTGATCACTATGATTAGAGACGGAGCAGTGGGAGATGATAGTGTCTTGGTGCTAGCACCAAGCTAGCACTAATAGATGATGGCACCTATTTATGACCCAAATTCTAAATTTCTTTTGGTATTTAGAGACATCTCCCAAATATGTATTTCCCCATAGTGATTATTCTAACTGACCTTTAGCATTCTGTCTGTCCTAGACATCTGTATAAATGTTTTCATTCTGTTGAACTTAGTGGTTTGAATTCTAACTCCTGAGAAAATTTCCACATCTTTGCATTTTGCTTCAGGCTTCTTTTCCCCATAGTGTAATGGGGAACAAGAGGTGTTTGGTTACATGAGTAGGTTCTTTAGTGGTTATTTGTAAGATTTTGGTGCACCCATCACCCAAGCAGTATACACTGCATCCTATTTGTAGTCTTTTATCCCTCACTCCCTTCCCACCCTTTCCCCCTGAGTCTCCAGAGTTGAGTCATTCTTATGCCTTTGGATCCTCATAGCTTAGCTCCCACTTATGAGTGAGAACATATGATGTTTGGTTTTGCGTCAGCCTTTTAATTTTTTTTTTTTTTTTTTTGAGACGGAGTCTTGCTCTGTCACCCAGGCTGGAGTGCAGTGGTGCGATCTTGGCTCACTGCAACCTCCGCCTCCCAGGTTTAAGCAGTTCTCTTGCTCAGCCTCCCAAGTAGCTGGGATTACAGGCGCCTGCCACCATGCCTAGCTAATTTTTGTATTTTGAGTAGAGATGGCTTTTCACCATCTTGGCCATGGTGGTCTTGAACTGCTGACCTTGTGATCCACCTGCCTTGGCCTCCCTAAGGACTAGGATTACAGGTGTGAACCACCATGCCTGGCCTTTTTTTTTTTTTTGAGACAGAGTCTCACTCTTTGCTCAGGCTGTAGTGCTGCGGCGTCATCTTGGCTCACAGCAACCTCCACTTCATAAGGTTCAAGTGATTCTCGTGCCTCAGCCTCCCAAGTAGCTGGGACTACAGGCGCATACCACCACACCTGGCTAATTTTTTTATTTTTAATAGAGATGAGGTTTTGCCATTTTGGCCAGGGTGGTCTTGAATTCCTGACCTCTGGTGATCCACCTGCTTTGGCCTCCCAAAGTGCTGGGATTATAGGTGTGAGCTACCACACCCAGCCTTGTGACAGTGATTCTTATCTCATAGTGCAAAAGATGGCATTTGGATGGGAGATAATAGTTCAGAAAAGTTCCATTCTACAGCAACTCACAATTTGAGGACCATAGTTCTAAGAAATATCCACAAAGTCAGTTGAACTATGATTTTTAGCTACTTGGCATATAAAGTTTTGCTGGTAAGTAATGACTTAAATCCATAACTTTTCAAAAACATAAGCCTTACTTCAAAAGCATTATTTGTACATTGTAGAAAATTAGAAAATACAGATAATCATCTGCGGTAACTTTCCCAAAAAAGAGAAAATACAGATAAAATATTAAATGAAAATATTCTTACCACCTACAGGCGACCAATTTTAATATCTCCATAAGTCTTCCCCAGCTCTATCTTTTGACTTAAATAGGATCATATTTAACTATTGTCTTGTAACTTGCCATTTTCATTTAATAACCTCCATCCTTCCGTGTCAAAATAATTTTTCACCTCTTCTCTTACTTAGTCTATATTCAGATGTAAATTGTTCATCTCTTATATTTCCCATAAGTGAAAGTTAGTCCTAGACTTGAAGCCTTTATTAGCTGTAAGTTCAGCAAAATGCCTTTCAGAGCCAGTTTGTCAAAGCCAGCATCCAGTCTGGAGAATGCACCTGGCATATGGTTGTGTCCTTTAATTCCCTTTCAATCTAGTGGAGTTCTTTTTTTCATGATACTGACTGAAGAGATTGCACAGTTTTGGTTTTAAGTACAGAGACGTAGTACATTTCTTAATAATAAATGTTTAACTTTTGTGTGTTTTAACCTAATTTGTTTTTTTATTTTTAAATTTATATTTTATTTCAGCAAAACAAGCTATCGATCAGGGAAGATCTCCAGTTATAATAGATAACACTAATATACAAGCTTGGGAAATGAAGCCATATGTGGAAGTGGTAAATATGAAACATGAGAAAGTTTTTATTTTTTATTCTTGTCAATTTTTTCACATTCTAAAATTTTGGCTGGTTGGATCTTGATTATTAAAACATTTGTCCTTTGTTTTCTAAAGAGGTTTGTTGGTTTGCTTAGTTTTTAAAAAAATTGTGAATGATGTTTTTTAAGGAACATGTTCATCTTGTTAATTTTTGTTTGTTTTTTTGAGACGGAGTCTCGCTCTGTCACCCAGGCTGGAGTGCAGTGGCACCATCTTGGCTCACTGCAAGCTCCGCCTCCCCAGTTGAAGCGATTCTCCTGCCTCAGCCACCTGAGTAGCTGAGATTATAGGTGCCTGCCCCCATGCCCAGCTAATTTTTGTATTTTTAGTAGAGACAGGGTTTCACCATGTTGGCCAGGCTGGTCTCGAACTCCTGAGCTCAGCCCATCTGCCGTGCTCAGCCTCCCAAAGTGCTGGGATTACAGGCATGAGCCACCACGCCCAGCCTCATATTGTTTTGACTTTCCTTAAGGATAGTAATCTTAAGGAATTACTATTCCTTGAGAATAGTAATCAAAATTTATCCGGTTAAATAGTCTTAACTGTTATAAACCATATTATTTTATAAAGCGTCATTTTTCTTGGTCGAGCAAGTGTATAGTATTGTCGAAATGAAATTTAACTGTCTGCCTTCTTTTTACTTTAAGAAGTACTTCTCTGGGTTTTTGTTTTCTTCCTTTCCTTTGTGTAGGCCATAGGAAAAGGATACAGAGTAGAGTTTCATGAACCTGAAACTTGGTGGAAATTTGATCCTGAAGAATTAGAAAAGTAAGACACTCGAATTTTTATTGAATCCTTAACTTTTCTTCTTTCTTTTGTGAATTCTGACATCCTTTCACAGTTTATTGAATACAAATGTAGGTTCAGGAAACTGAGGGTAAAATGTGAGGACCTTTTTTCTCTGGTTTTTGGCTAGGCCACTTCTCTGCATTGTCCTTCTGCCTTCATCTCCTTCTCATTTTAGGTCCCATCAACTTTTTACTTTGTGCTTTCATGTTGCTCCCACTTTTCTATCTTTTCAACTACAGGACCGTAGTATTATACCAAGATCCTTGGAATCAATGTGTTTTGGAATTTAGGTTTTAGCAATTTTTGAAAGGTAATATAGTGCATATACATCTAATCTTAACTCCCTTTTCAGAGTTTGGGGGAGCATGTTATAATCAAACATCTTAATATTTCTGCAGCAAATCATGACTAGTCAATTCAAGTAAATAACAAAGAATCTGCATAATGTAAAGTCAATTCTGAGTAAGTTGTTCTGCCAAATGAGTACAGATATGGGTAGAGTTTGCTGCCAAATGAGTCAGGGAGAACTGAGTTTTCGCAGCTTAACCAGATTTCAGTAATTGTGGTGAGAGATTGTGAACTTCTATTTTCAGTCCTAACTCTTCCATTTGTACCTATCTTTACCTTTTCCCTTCATATCACTGTGTTTCCTGACTGTTATTCCTTTTTTTTTTCCTTTACTTTTTTTTTTTTGAGATGGAGTCTCGCTCTGTTGCCCAGGCTGGAGTGCAGTGGTGCAATCTCAGCTCACTGCAAGCTCCGCCTCCCAGGTTCATGCCATTCTCCTGCCTCAGCCTCTCCAATGGGTGGGACTATAGGTGCTGGCCACCACTCCCGGCTAATTTTTTTGTATTTTTAGTAGAGACGGGGTTTCACCGTGTTAGCCAGGATGGTCTTGATTTCCTGACCTCGTGATCTGCCCACCTTGCTCGGCCTCCCAGAGTGCTGGGATTAAAGGCATGAGCCACCACGCCTGGCCTTTTTTTTTTTTTTTAACTTTTATCGTCTTCCTCGTCCCCACCTTCCCACCCGTTTTTAGGTAACAACTTTATTGCGATAAAATTCACGTACCCTTACAATTCACCTATTTAATTGCATACAATTCAGTGTTTTTCTGTATATTCACAGAGTTGTGCAACCTTCACTCCTCTTTTTTTAAACCAGTTTTTCCCCTTCTACCTCAGTTTGCTTCAAGCTGTTACTCTGTGTATGGGGTCCAACTAATTTACTTCCCTCTTGCCTTTCATTCCTTTGGCTACTTTCTTTTTCTGATTTGTATGCTGTGTGGTCATGTATAGATAGACAAACAGATTAGTATTAGTATCTGATATTTTTTGCCTGCCTAGCTGTGTGTGTGTATCATACCTGAGGTGGAAGAGACAGAAGCTTAAAAATTAAAAATATTTGAGTAATGCTGAATAAATGAATGATAAAATGCTATGCAGTTATGGCTTCATTACATTTTTGAGGAATTGTTAAAATTTATTATTTTCTTAATATAAATTTACCTTTATATAACAAAGCCAGTTTAACTGATACCTGGTGTAGCTTGATTTTTGAAAAGGATTGATTGAATCATAAATATTGGCATCTTGTGGATTTAGTCTTTTTTTTTAAATTAAAAAACATTTTTTGAGACAGGGTCTACTGCTGTCACCCAGGCTGGAGTGCAGTAGTGATCTTTTTTTATTTTTATTTTTTTCAGACAGAGTCTCATTTTGTTTCCCAGGCTGGAGTTCAGTGGGGCGATCTCAGCTTACTTCTGCCTCCCAGGTTCAAGCGATTCCCCTGCTTCAGCCTCCTGAGTAGCTGGGCATACAGGCACCTGCCACTACGCCTGGCTATTTTTTGTATTTTTAGTAGAGACGGAGTTTCACCATGTTGGTTAGGCTGGTCTTGAGCTCCTGACCTCAAGCAATCCACCCACCTTGGCCTCCCAAAAGTGCTGGGATTACAGGTGTGAGCCACTGCACCCGGCTTGCAGTGACGATCTTGGCTCACTGCAACCTCTTCCTCCTGGACTCAAGCGATCTACCCACCTTGGGAGTAACTGGGACTACAAGTGTGCACCACCACCATGCCCAGCTAATTTTTTTTTTTTTTTTTTGGTAGAGACGGTTTTGCCATATTGCCTACACTGGGCTCTTGAACTCCTGGGCCCAAGCATTCCGCTGGCCTCAGCACTGCACCCAGCCAGATTTAGTCATATCTTGCCAATTTTCAACTTCATCGCATTTTTTCTTCTATCTTTTTTGCTTTCTTTTCTTATCTTGAATGTAAACATCAGCATTGAAAAGTAAACATTTCTGGCCTTTTTCCAAGATAAATAAATTGGCATTTGTACATCTAGAATGATAAATGTAAAAATATGTTTCCTGTATGTTTTGTCATGTCCAGGTCAAGTTACAGAAAACTATGAGGGTAAAATAAGTTGTCAGGAGTTCTTTGAGGGTCCAGAATAAATTTTAAACCACTTTTTAGTGTCATATAACCTCACATACAGAAAAGTACATAAATATAAATATATAACTTAACAAAGTTCTTACAAGATCAACACACGTTTAGCTATCACCCATGTCATGGGAGCATTGCCAGCATCTCAGAAGCTCTTTGCATTCCTCTTCCCAGTCACAGTTACCTTTTATTCTCTAAAGGTAGCCATTGTTTTGCCTGGGTAATCATAATCTCTTTTTTTAAAGTTTTGCCATAATATCTTTGGCCTTAATATCATAGTTTGGGGGCAGGGGCAAGGTTAAAAAAATACCATAGTTTAGTTTTGCCTTTTATCAAAGCTTTATATTATGTATAATACATATATATATGGAATCCTACAGTTTATATACATTGTGTCTAATTTATTTCACTCAACATTATGTTTGTAAGAGATGTTCAAATTGTGTCTGTAATAATAATTTGGTGTTGCCCATTTTAAAATGTGATAGCAACTGTCATAAATAACTTCTAAAAAGTGATATTTTACTTCAATTTTTGCAAGTCCTAGAAGTCCACTCAATCTTTCTGTAATTCTTAAAACAGTATTTCATAATCTTTAATTTTGTTATTAACAAGGGGATATAGTCAGCAGGCTCAGTGAATAGGTAGTTCTATGTGAAAAGGATGTAATTAACATTTTTCTGTGATATATGGAATCTTTATACCTTTTTAAAATATTGATAAAAACATTTGAGTTTTTAATAAGTCTTTTTACATAAAATGTGGACAGATGAAATATATATTGTTTATTTACAAAATATTATTTAGAATTTGTGTGCTTTTTCTCTAAAACAGTTAATCTCTAAGCCTGTACATTCTGCAACAAAGATTTACAATCCTTTTCTTTTTTGTTAGGAGGAATAAACATGGTGTGTCTCGAAAGAAGATTGCTCAGATGTTGGATCGTTATGAATATCAAATGTCCATTTCTATTGTAATGAATTCAGTGGAACCATCACACAAAAGCACACAAAGACCTCCTCCTCCACAGGGGAGACAGAGGTGGGGAGGCTCTCTTGGCTCACATAATCGTGTCTGTGTCACAAATAATCATTAAATTAGCTATTTTCAGCTAACACATTTGTTGTTGCACTTGAAAAAGAGTTAGTGAGCCTGTCTTGGAGTTTAAGTAGTTTCAAATAAAAAAAGGCTACAGTGCCTCACAAAGGATGTTCCCAGCAAGTTGTTTAAATTCCCAGCAAGTTGTTAAAGTGTAAATAAAAATATATGAAATTGTATTTTAAATGTTTTTATATTCTCTTGTTGTAATACTCTTGGCTGTTATGGAAGCACCTGAGTAATAGAGTGGTGGGTAGGAGCTAGGATGTTTTTCTACAATCGAATTTTAAACTAATTTATCTATTTTATAGACACTATTGAACAGTTTTTTAATAGTTCATATCTAAATCTAACTTTTCATAAAACTTTACGGTTTTTCCTTCACTACCTTAAATATGCAAGAAATACTGACTTGGTATAGGGTACCTTAGTTTTCTCTATTCATTAGACAGGTAAAATTATATTTCAGCTGATTGATCTGTGTGACAAAATTATTTCTTAGCTATAATCAGCACATCACTTAGTTCAAACAAAATTCCCCAGCAAATGTTAGATAGTAGGTATATCAGTCACCTGGGGAGTTTTCTTCATAATATGCATATTCATCTTGTAATGCATACATAGTTATCATCCTCCTTCTCAACCCATCTCCCTAACCCCACATGCTTGCCAGTTCTTGAAGGGATAAAGTGATTCTAATAATGTTTTACTTCTCTCTGTTCAATTTAATGTGATATAATTCTAGTATAAAAATATTTTGGACAGTTGCTTAACATGGTCATAAGAGGATTTGTACTATAGAATATCTTCTAGTACTAATTTTTCTGTAGAGCAAATTATATTTCTCTCACTGGATAGTTTTTAGATGTGTTTCTTCATATAAAATTAAAAACTGAGATGGAATTCATTTCAGAGGTCTTGTCATTCATCCCCTGCCTTCAAACCAAGCTTTACCTAGACTAACCTAGATAATTAAGCATTTCTCTTTGCAACATGAGGAAAAAAACACTACTACTTCTCTTAATACCATTGTTACCAATGTCTTCTGAAGAATATTTCTTCAACAGTTTTGATTTACTTTTTTGATTTACTCTTTTTAGGGGAAAAAAAACCCAGCTAATTACAATGCTGTCTTAAAAATTAAGCATTATGATTCTTTATATGTTTTACATAATATTTTGTGGCCTTTAAGCTTTCTCCTAAACCAGCACATCTTGAATCCCATAGTATTTCTTTGTTTTAAAACCTTTTGCTATTCCTTTCAACTTTAGATATTCTCTCACATCTTTATATTACTTTTTAAGTTGTCAGGCCAAAAACTAGATTCACTGCTATCAACAAGGTCTTTGTTACATTGCCTTTAGTGAAATAAGAATATGATTTTATTTGTACTATTCAGTGCTGTTAACATTTGAATGAATATTACCTTTATCTTGTTTAATACGTGTGTTTGTATATATTTGTTCATCTTAACTACGATGTAAGAATATGCTAATTCATGTTTTGTGTGTAAATGTATATTGTATACATATACACATCTTCATCTATGTTTTCATATATTCTTTTATTTCAGAGTAATACTTGTTGGTGTTTGGACTTGTGTTTCTAAGTATTTTATTCTGTAGATTAGCGCAGTTTGAAAATTGTACAAAAGGATTTCATTTTGGGACAGGTGAAACAACTCTTAGGTAGACTATATGTCCCTTTCTTTCTGTCTGTCTTCATAAACTTAGGAGTAATAGTACTATAAATTTAGCTTTTTGGCCGGGCACGGTGGCTAACACCTGTAATCCCAGCACTTTGGGAGGCCGAGGTGGGCAGATCACCTGAGGTCAGGAGTTTGAGACCAGCCTGTCTGACACAGTGAAACCACATCTCTACTTAAAATACAAAAATCAGCTGGGTGTGGTGGTGTGTGCCTGTAATCCCAGCTACTTGGGAGGCTGAGGGGGGAGAATCGCTTGAACCTGGGAGGCAGAGTTTGCAGTAAGCAGAGATTGCGCCACTTGCACTCCAGCCTGTGAGACAGAGTGAGACTCCTTCTCAAAAAAAAAAATTAGTTTTTTTAAAATAACTTTTACATTTATTTTTGGAAAGTAGAGTATTACCTTTGGGAGAAACAGATTATGAGGAAATATGTTCATATTAAGTTTATTTTAATTTCCAGATTTTATTATAGACTTGTCTTCATCTCCTAGTTCTGACTACTAAATAATAATCAGTTAGAGATCATTCGTCATTACCAATTAATTTTTTACATTATAATGTTAGCCAACTACTGTTGCATCACAGAGTCCAAATAAATAAATAAATCTTACTGAGGCTGGAAAGCTAACATTCTTACTCAGAATTAAACAAACAAGGTCTTGTCCTGCTACGTGGGCTGGATGGAGTGTGGTGGCGTGATCATAGCTTGCTGAAACCTTGAACTCCTAGGCTCAAGAGGTCCTCCTTTCTCAGCATCCCAAGTAGCTGGGACTTCAAGCATGCACTGCCACACCTGGCTTATTTTGCATTAAAAAAATTTTTTTGTAGAGATGGGGTCTTGCCTTGTTTCCCAAACTGGTCTTGTACTCCTGGCCTCAAGTGATCCTCCCAAAGTGCTGAGATTACAGGCATGAGCCACTGCACCAGCTTTAGTGATTTTTTTTTTTTTTTTTGAGACAGAGTCTTTCTCTGGATCACCCAAGCTGGAGTACAGTGGCATGATGTCAGCTCACTGCAACCTCCACCTCCCAGGTTCAAGCGATTCTCCTGCCTCAGCCTCCCGAGTAGCTGGGATTAGAGGCACTCGCCACCATACCTGGATAATTTTTGTATTTTTAGTAGAGACAGTGTTTCACCATGTTGGCCAGGCAGGTCTCGAACTCCTGACCCCAGGTGATCCGCCTGCCTTGGCCTCCCAAAGTGCTGGGTGGGATTACAGGCATGAGCCACCACACCAGGCCTAGTTGGTTTTTTTAAAGTGGAAAAACAGTTGTTTTCCTAAACATTGTGGCTAATTTTAATTAAAAACAGAATGGAGGAATGAATATGCAGTGGAAATACTAAAATCACTGTTTAAAGTCATTGCTTGGTGTTTAAAAATCTATAAAAATGTGAAATTTACAATTTTTCATCAAAATTCTATTCAGACAGTCTTTTTTGGGGGTTGGGGTTAAGAGATGAGGTCTCTTTCTGTTGTATAGACTGGACTTGAACTGGTCTCAAGTGATCCTCCTGCCTCAGCCTACCTGGTAGCTGGGATTACAGGCACCCAGCCAGGTATAATGTTAGTGGAATAGACCCCTGCTGCTATGCCCTATTCTAACCATCTCCATCACAAATAATTAAAGTGGATATTAATCATATTTACCTAAGATGGAGTACATCTTAGTTAAGTAGAATACAACTTCTAGTTTGGTTCAGTAAGATTAAATTGTATTTATTTTTTTGTTTGTTCCATAGGTTTAGTGCAGAAGTTACTTTTTTGTGGTAAATGAATTTATGATTTTTTATGTTTCATAATTTTAGTGAAAATTCTTGTGTGGTAATTAATTTGAACTTTTGATACTGCTTTTTAACCAGGTAATCTTTATTTTCAGTATTTATCTTTGTAAAAGATAATGTTAGCTTTTTTATATTTTTGTCTGTTTTAAAAGTAAGATTATTTACAAAAGACTGAATTTTTTTAATTGTTGGAGTGGGTGATTTAAGTATTTGAACTTTGCTTATCTCTTGTCTAATTAATACAGATTCTGGAATTTTCCAGTTTTACGTATAGATAAGTTTTGAAAGTATGATTTAAGAGGATATGAAATGTTTGTATTGGCTATACTTGAATTTTTTTATTGCAAAAATGTCTGATTTTCTGAGACTGGTTTTCTAACTATTTATAAAGAAAATTGGTTGTGGTCTCTTTGGAAAATGTAGAAGAAATGTAGTTGTGTGTTCTAGTGCCTTGGCCAGATAGGCTTGCTAGTCTTTATTGAAGTTTAATGTATTCTGACATGAATACAATAACTAATAAGGGCTAAAGTTGTATTGTTGTTGCTTTTTTTTTCTTAACATTTGCAATCCACATTGAACAGTGTTTTATAACAAAATCTTAGCTTATGATTCAGAATAAATAATTCAGAACATTCAGAATAAATAATTTGGTGGCAGCAGCAGGAGTTAAGTTAGTGATTTTTTAGAGTTAAGTTTTAGGAGCTACAATTTATAAATTAAAAATTTTCCTATTAAAGTTACCAGCTGTGTCTTCGTGAATTTTCTGAGGAGAGATTGTATTAAGGGATTAATGAATGTTTGGTGATAAGACTGGCATACAAATCTTTATTTTTAAAAGGTATCATTAAAACAGTTGGCTTCCCTGTATGTATACTGTATTTCCTTCTTACACAGTCCTTAGGCTGGTAAGAAGTAGTAGTAAATTTCTTGAAATAGACCCTAAAAATATAGGGATTAGTGATTGTCTTATGTGTCATTTTGATTCCTTTTTTACTTTGCAAAGCAGTATTTAGATTGATTCAATTTAGTTGATTTAAATTGCCAAATATGTTAAGCCTAAGTTTTCACTTTTGCATGGTTTGTAAGTTTCAGAGCAAACCTTGAAAAGCTAATGATTATGATTATTGGCAACTAAGTTCAGAAAACATGTAAAAGAATGGCTACAATTTACTCTCAATAATTTAGACTACATTGAGTGGTGTAATTTTTGTAATAGAATATACATGTATGTAAGCAGTAATTTGGAAGATCTCCTACAGAAATTCTTTTTTTTTTTTTTGAGACGGAGTCTCGCTCTGTTGCCCAGGCTGGAGTCCAGTGGCGCGATCTTGGCTCACTGCAAGCTCTGCCTCCCGGGTTCACGCCATTCTCCTGCCTCAGCCTCCTGAGTAGCTGGGACTACAGGCGCCCGCCACCATGCCCGGGTAATTTTTTTGTGTTTTTAATAGAGACGGGGTTTCACCTTGTTAGCCAGGATGGTGTTGATCTCCTGACCTCGTGATCCACCCGCCTCGGCCTCCCAAAGTGCTGGGATTACTGGCATGAGCCACTGCGCCTGGCCAGAAATTCTTAATGTATTATCACTCTATGCACAAGAACAAGAAGAAGGAGTAGCACAAATAACTTTGGAAAGAGAGTCTCAACAGTAAATAGTTATTCTAGAAGCTAAGCTGTATGTATTGAAAAGTTTTGACTTTTTGTATATCCAATAGAAATTTATTTAATCATTCATAATCTCTTTTTCTTCCTTCTCCTTCTGACAAATTCTGTTCTCTGAAAAATAACCCTGTTACATTCCAGTTGTGGTAATTGTAATAATTACACATTATAATTCACTTCCCAGAATGGAATATGTTAACTTCAGTAAGTTCTCTTAAATTTCAGTGTGGAAAAAAATAGATGATTTTTCTGTAGGATGGACACAGGCACAGTCTGATCCCTAATCTCAAAACTAGACACAATTGCATTAGCAATTGGTGAGTAACTGAAGACTTCACATTGAAGTCTTGGTTTGGTTTTTAATATTTCCATTTCCTTTTTTTTTGTAATTGAACTACTTTTTGTAAATTAATGGGAAGATTGAAATACTTTGAGAGGAGCTATTGGGTTTGCCTCTCAGTTTTGCTAGTAACTAAGGGAAAAAGAATAATGTGGTTTTTCATGGTTGAAATTGTGTTTTAGTAGAGTCCATTGAAATATACTTTATTATTTGGATTATTTTCTTATTTTCCAGTTTTAACTGTTTTCAGATGGTACATGTAAAGTTAAAGTTTTATTCTTGGTGTTAATTTTCAGTTGGTAATTATAATAATTATACAGCTTTCAGAATATCTCTTCATTCTGAAAGAAATTCTGAAGAGTAATTCTGAACTCTTCAGTTTTTTAGTGTAACAAAATGAAAGAAAATTTACTCAGGAAGGGATTGTGGGTTCTTTGTTTTCCTTTTTTTTTCTTCCGTTTTTCTTAATCTTAGAAATCATATTTCTTTTTCTTTCATAGTCTTTTCTTGTGTACGTGTTTTCTTTCACTCTATTCATTTTTTGCTCAGCTATCCTCCTGTAACCTCATAACATTCTTAATGAAGATGATGGGATGGTAAGTGTCTGGCAAAGCGGGAGATAATATCTTTTTCCCTCCTGTATTCTACTGAACTCATTGTTCCTTCTCAGCCTTACTTAATCAAGTTAAACTTATACACCACAGCTCTGCATTTAGTTTCCTGACCCTGTGGGTTAGGTAGAATTTAGATACGAAAATGGCTGGAAAGATTTATAAAAATCTATTATGTTAATCATTGGTGGGGAATCCATAACATGGCATAGAACTTGAATGTATGGATTTGAGAAAAAATATTTACATTAACTTAATTATATGATGATGGATGCTAATTGATAAGCAGTAGGTTGAAATTCACTGTTACATAATTCACTATTATGTCATGGTTGCTGGTTGCCCTTAACTGAATGATTTTGAAGGAAAGCTGATAACTATTTTGAGTTAAATTTTTACAAGTGGTTCCTTATATGGTGCAATGCCGCTGCAACAAACAGTAGGAATTTTGTAGCAAAAAGTCTTAATAGTATCCATTTAAATAACTGCTGCTTATTTAATGCCCATCAGTGCTAGGCCCCCATCTAAATGTGATTGTTACAGTCATTAATTTTCACAATTCTACAATGGCTTTAGAAAGAGGAAACAAAAATTTAGGTTAAACGACTTACCTAACATGATTTCTCTAGTAAGAGATAAAACTGTGATTCAAATCTATGTTAGACATGTATCTACTGTAACCCTGTATTATTTTTTTTTAACCACATAGTTATCTTTTTTTTTTTTAATTTGGTGTTTTTCCAAGGTTAAAAAGAAATTCCAGTGAAGAGTTGATTCCATCTTTATGGTATCTTTATTTTTTAAGGTTATAAGGTATGTTGATTTATCAGGAAAGTTAAATGAAGAAATCTTCAAGAGGCCATTTATAATTCTGTTTTTAAAAGTCAAAATTGAAAAGAGTTGGGCCAGGTGCAGTGGCTCACGCCTGTAATCCCAGCATTTTCGGAGGCCGGGTGGGTAGATCACCTGAGGTGAGGCGTTGGAGACCAGCCTGGCCAACGTGGTGAAACCCTGTCTTTACTAAAGATACAAAAATTAGCTGGGCGTGGTGGCATGTGCCTGTAATCCTAGCTACTCAGGAGGCTGAGGTAGGAGAATCGCTTGAACCTGGGTGGCAGAGGTTGCAGTGAGCCAAGATGGTGCCATGCACTCCAGCCTGAGCAACAGAGTGAGACTCCATCTCAAAAAAAAAAAAAAAAAAAATTGATAGAGTTTATACTATTTAATGTTTAAATGTTTTCTGTAAATTAAACATCAATAGACTTGATAATCATATTTTAGGAACATTTTTTTCCATTGAATTATTTACATATACTGTTGTACTGTAAGGCTTTAAATTAATTTTAATATTTTATTATTTTAATTAGCATTTGAAATGTATAGTGTTCAATAAATGGATTGCTAAATTATGTTAAGTTGGATTTTTTTAACCCTAATTAATTTTCAGGCAGTATTTCCTAAAATAAGTCAATACTACTTGTAAGTGGTTTTACTTACTTTTCTTTTATGTCCACTTGTTACGTAAGTATGTTAGTAGTAGACATCATGGAAATTACATAAATTTTCCGAATATTTGAAGAATTAAAGGAGCTTTTTCTCTATAATAGGAACTTTTTATTCTTTTATGGAATTTTAAATTAATTTTCTGAAAGAACAGTAAAAGAGACAGTTACTTAAGTTTGCTTTGTAAATAACTTAAATTTTACAAGGAAAATCTTGAAGTACAGAATTCTTACTGTTGGGTATTTGCTTTATTTTGTTTTAGTCAACTTAAAAAAATTGAAGAACTGGGTCTTGTTTGGTTTCTCTTAATTCCTTAAGAGTAGTTTGTGTTTTTTCTTCATTGTTCTAAATGTTAGAGTTGGAGTTTTTGTTTAGAATAGAAAAGTTGGAATTTTTGTTTAGAAAAGAAATGTCATTGGTTTTATGAATAGATTAAGATAGTTTTCAATTCAGGAAACTGGTAAGCAGTACATAAGGGTATTGAGATTATAGGAATATAGTTCAATGTAACCCTTGGCAGAGATGCAGTTAAGACATTTATCTAGAATATAAGTAAATTGAAGTATTTATAGGAAATGTGATAAGAGTAATGGGCTAGACATTTTGAAAATTAAAACCAGGGATCTTGTTATCTTTGGATCACTACTGTGTCCTAGGAGCTTTATTCTTTACTAAGAATCAGTAACTGTTTTATTCGATATTAGGCACAGTCTTCTCCCTAAAACAGTCAACAAACTTTTGATACGAAGGAAGCAGTAATCAAAGAAGAGCAACGTTACAGGGCAGTTTGTAATAAAAGTTGAGTACCCCTATCTGAAATGCTTGAGACCAGAAGTGTTTTGGAGTTCAGATTTTCTTTTGGATTTTGGAATATTTGCAGAATACCTACTGATTGAGCATATCTAACCTGGAAATCCAAAGTGCTCCGGTGAACATTTTCTTTGAGCATCATGTCAATCAATGCTCAAAAAGTTCAGGATTTTGGAGCTTCTTGGATTATGGGTGCTCAACCTGTATAGGAAACGTGGAGATGGAGCATGAATCAGTTGTATTTGATACTTGCTGGGGAAAGGATTTCCAGACCACCAGAGAAGAAGGATCACCCATTTAACTTGGTGTATCCAGTGCCATATCAGAGCCTTTTCTTCCATTTTAACCTCACCAGTAGTCTTTAGATTTGTGGTTTATGATCAAGAAATTAAATCCTAGAATACAGATTAGTAGAGCAAAGTTGAGGCTTTTGATTATCTATTTCTTTTAAGGTTTTTCGCTTTAACACTTTACAGAAGAATTTCTAGACTGTCTGAGAAGAATACTCCAGGTATTTGTCCCAGTCTTAAAATGGTTCAACAAAAAGTTCATAATCACTTTTTAGAACCCTTTTCCCAAAGAACTGTGATCCTACGTGTAACTTAAAAAAAGAAAACACACAAATGCTTGCATCTTTTTTCACATATTTATCTGTATTCAGCAATCAAGAATAGCTGGTACTGATGGATATCTTTACATGATTTTTCGTTATTTATCTGAAAATAATATATATTGGGTCATTATTTGGCTTTTCAACCTCAGTAATTCAGTAACTTTCTTTCAGTTAATTTTGTTGACCTGTTTTGGACACTTTTCAAAATATTCTTAGCATGATTTTACTGGGAAGAACACATTATTACAAGAGTTAGGCAGTCTGAGTTCCACCTCCATTTGTGTCCATCCTCTCTCGTTTGTTTATTGAATGCCTTCACCTGTGCTCTGAATTGCATCTCTTTCCTTCTCAGGAAATTTTATACATTGTCAATTATTCCTTCTCTCTAACTTCAACCTCGCCTTCTTTGCTGAGTCTGACCCATCAACAGTTAAACATGATCAAGTCTTCCGATTTAAAAGTCCCTCTTTCTTGACACAGCTCATTTATAGCCAAACTTCTTTCTGAAGAGTAGTCTACATTCATTTTCTTTTTCTCCCTCACTTCTGATAATATTGAACCAACTCCATTTTAGTTTCTGTCCCTATCATTCCTCTAAATTGATTAAGGTCTCCAGAATATTCCTCTGTATTTACGGGCATTATTCACTGCTCTTCTTATTTGACTACTCAGCAAGCATTTAACTTTTGATCAGTTTTTCCTTAAAATACTTTACTTGGCTTCCTTGACATCATGGTTTTTGTTCAGATCTCTGTGGTTATTTCTGTCTCCTTTGCTGCCTTCTCCTCTTGGTCCTTGAATTTTAGAATTCTTCAAATTTCAGTTCTAGACAATCTTCTGTTCTTACTCTTAGCTTTCCCTATGTGGTCTCATCATTTCTCATGTGGACATAGTAGTCTCCCCACTTTTATTTTTGCCACCTTACAATTTTATCCACAGAGCAGCTAGAGTAGTCTATAAATTCTTTTTAAAATACGTAAAATCACTCACTGCTTAGACACTACATAATCTAGTCCTTGGCTGCTTCTCTGACCCTGTCTTATACCAGTCTGCATTTACTACAGTCCATCTATACTGGCCTCTTTGAACTGTTCTTCAGATATGATAAGCTTGTCCTTGCTAAAAGCTCTAACTGTTATTTCTGCTTGGAATGCTCTTCTCGTCTACTCTTCCTATGCCTAGCATTTTCTTAATGTTTAGGTCTCACCTGAGATGTCACTTTCACTGTAGTACTAGTAGTTGATGTTACTACTGATTCGTTGGCAGTATTCCTGAAATAGAATATAGGATAAATGAGGACATGTTTATTTTGTTCACAGCTGTGTCCACAAAATCTAAACAGTGCCTGTAGTACTGTAGGAGCTCATTAAGTAGTCGGCTGATTGATTTTTGTACCTAATGGTTCTATTAACAATATTGACCCCCAAATGTATTTTCTTCATAACCTTCTCCTCTGAACTCCAGTCTGTATATTTAACTGTCTACCTGACATTTCCACTTCTAAGCTTAAAAGCTCCTCCAATTGAACCTGTGATCTCTTTAAATCTGGGACTCCAGGATTTCCTGCCACAGTGAATGGATTTACCTTTTATCTATCTCTGTAAGCTAGAAAGTTGAGAGTCTTCTTCAATGCCTTCTTTCCCCCTCATATTCAATCCATCAAATGGATTCTATGGACTTTGCCACCTGAATATCTCTTGAATCTGTTCCTACATTTTAAACTACCATCATTTGATGGATTTTCACACAGTGAGTGTATCTATATAATTAATACCCAGGTCAGGAAATACGATATTACTAGCACCTTAGAAGCTCCTTGTGCCCTCTCTCTGTCAGAGTGATCTTTTTAAAGGGAAAATGTGATCATGCTTAATGCCTTTCAGTTGCTTCCCATTGCTCTTAGAATAAAGACCAGAAATCATAATGTGATATTTAAGATCCTGGATGATGTTACTGTTTTTCCTATGCAACTTCATGTTTTTTAAATTATTTTTCTCACTTTCTGTATTCCAGCCCTGATAACCACCTCTCAATTCCTTGAATGTGGTATGCTGTTCCCTCTTGCTAAAAAATTCTATGTACACATACCCCTTCCGTTCTTGTCCTTCAGATTTGAGCTCTTCAAAGTTTTCTTGGACATAGCAAGCTTGATGAGGTCCCAAATACATCTTATGTGCTCTCATATGCTTTATTCATTTGTATATTATTATTTCCCTTATTTTTAAGCTAATGAGTCAGGTATTACACCTGTTTTGCTCACTGTTGCTTGGTCATCAGCTAGCATGGTGGCTGGGAAAGATTAGTATTCAATATTCATACAATAAGTGAATATGAGTAGTTTGGGTTTGTTATGGGATGAATTATCCATCCCCACCCCCCACTCCCACACACAGACACCCAACTGATACACTGAAGATTGAAATTCTAACTGTAGAACCTAGAATGTAACTGTATTTGGAGATGGGGCCTTTAAAAAGGTAATGAAGATAAAATGAAGTCATATGGGTGGACTCCAATTCCATATGAGTGGTTTCCATTAAGAAGAGATTAGGACACAGACACACAGAAAGGTAAGACCATGTGAAGACACTGGAGGAAGATGGCCATCTACAAGCCAAAGAGATCTACAGGCTTTAGAAGAAACCAACACTGCTGACACCTTGATCTTGGACTTCTAGAAGTGTGAGAAAATAAATTTCTGTTCTTTAAACTACCCAATCTGTGATACTTTGCTATGGAAGCCCTAGTAAACTTATATGGATTTTGGTATTGGGAAAGTGGGGTGCTGGTGTAATTAATACCTAAAAATGTGGAATTGGCTTTAGAACTAGATAATGGGTAGAGGCCAGAAGAAGTATTTGTTAGAAAAAGCATAGACTGCCTTGAAGAGATTGTTGGTAGACATATGGATGTTGAAGGTGATTCTGGTGAAGCTTAGAAAATAGGAGAGCTGTTGAGAAAGCTTCTGTCATCTTAGAGGTATACATATGTCACCTTGAATAAATATTGGTAGAAATATGAATGTTAAAGGTGTTTCTGGTAGGAACTCAAACAAATGAGGAATATATTGTTGGAAACTGAGGGAAAGGCAATGCTTATTATAATGTGGCAAATAGCCAAATTGTGTTTTGTGGAAAGTGGATGAACTTACAAAGTGATGAACTTGAATGTTTAGCTGAGATTTCTAAGCAATGCATTAAAGATATGGCCTGGTTTCTTCTTGCTGCTTAAAGTAAGATGCAAGAGGAGAGAGAGAAATTTAAGAAGGAATTATTAAGCCAAAAGCAACCAGAGCCTGAAGATTCGGAAAATTCTCAGTCTATCCATATTGCAAAAATTTAGCATGTTCTGGAGGGAACATCAAAGTTGTTGCAAGACAACCATTTCCTAAAGCAATTAGGGATATGTGACTTGTGGATCCAATCAGCCATCTTGGCAGCAACTAGCAGAAGCCAGGATAGAGATGGGGTTATACCTATGGAAATGCTGCTGGCTGGTACCGAAGGGAACAGAGGGATAAAAATGAAGGAAGTCTGTTGGATTTCTTGAGATTCTATAAAATGGGTCAGTAGAGCTATCTGGCTGTGAACATGTGTTCTTCAAGAAGAGGGAAGAATGACCCTGAAGATGATTGAGAAGGCAAAGGGGCTACTATTGCTACCACAGGACCAGAGGGCTCAGGCCTGAGGAGTCAAGGTAGGCTACTTCTTAGGGCTGAGGGAGGTGGGCTACCACACTGGTGGGCTCAGAAGACAGGGCTGCCACCCCTGTTAGGTGGGAAGATGGAGAATGAAGCTGAAGAAGATTATTCTTGAGCCTTAAAATCTAATGGGATTTGCCTTTATACGTTTCAGACCTGCTTAGGATCCATCACCCCTTCTTTCTGATTTTTTTGGAATAGGAATGTTTATCCTATGCCTGTCTCACCAGTGGTGTATTTTGGAAGCAAATAACTTGTCTAGTTTCACAGGTTCATGCTGGAGAAGAATTTTGCCTCAGGGTGAAACCTTGAGTATGCCTGTACCTGATCTAAATGATATTTAGATGAGATTTGGGGCTTAGAGTTGATACTGAAATGGGTCAAGACTTTGGGGCTGTTGGGATGGAGTGGATGTGTTTTGTGTCTGAGAAGGACATGAATTTTGAGGGGCCAGATGGCAGAATTTTAGAGGTTGAATTGTATGCTCTCCAAATGTATATAAGTTAAAGTCCTAACTCCTAGTACCTAGAATGTGACCATATTTGGAGATGGGGCCTTTAAAAAGGTAATTAAGATAAAATGACGTTATACATATGAGCCCTAATCCAATATGAATGGTGTCTTTGTAAGAGGTTAGGACAAACACAAAGGGAAGATCATGTGATGACACTGGAGAAAGAAGGCCATCTACAAACTGAGGAGGGAGGCCTGAGAAGAGATAAACCCTGTGGACATCTTAATCTTGGACATCTAGCCTTCAGAAGTGTGGGAAAATAAATTTCTATTGTTTAAGCCACCTAGTCTTTGGTACTTTGTTGTGGGAACCCTAGCAAATAAATACGCAGCTCTTAACACTGGTTAGTTGAGAAGCACTTTGGAGACATTTCCTTCTTTTCTGCAGTTCCTTTGTGTGTAAAGTTAGGGCATTTGCCTTAATCAGTGGTTCTTTTAAGTTTTAGGTCCTAATTCATCTGTTATATGTTGTTTCGAAAAATTTTTGGAGTTTTACATACATCAGGGGACCCCAGGTTCAGAATTCTTAGACAAGACTCTTTTTTATTTATTTATTTTTTAAGAGAGTCTTTTTCTTTCACCCAGGCTGCCAGGCTAGAGTGCAGTGGCGCAATCATAGTTCACTGTAACCTTGAACTCCTGGGCTCAAGCAATCCTCCCAGCTAATTTTAAAATTTTTTTAGAGCTGGGATCTCACTGTGTTTCCCAAGCTGGTCTCAAACTCCTGGGCTCAAGTGATCCTCCTGCCTCGGTCCCCCGAAGTGCTGGAATTACAGGTATGAGCCACTGTACGTGGCCATGACTAAGTTCTAAGGAAGCTTTACCTTGGTTTTGTAGCTTACGATCTATTAATGTAATTTGACTATTTGAAGTGAAAAAGTTGATTGTGTGAATTAATGATGGAAATAACTTGTTTGTCCTTTACACTGCCTAAAAATTTAGCTTTTTAAATTTTAAGGAATTGTTACCTAGACTTGCATTGAACATTTATTGCACCACTTTTACATGCTAGTGGTGGAAATATAAAAGTAAATAAAGTAAGCCTCCTACTCTTGAATATATAGCTTTATGAAGGGAAGATGGTGGGAACCCAATGGCTCTTCTGTAGAATATGGATTAATACTAGTCTTGCTTTGTGGGATTAACACTTCTGAATGCAGGGACTGTGTTTTTATATCCTTAGGGTCTAGCTCAGTATTAAGCACCTAAAAAAAGCTTGATTTGTGTTTGAAGAATGAATACCCCCAGAAATTATTTCTGCTGGCAGCTTTAAGAAGCAACACTGAGATTTATAGTATTATACTTTAAATTTAATTAAATCATACTGTGTTCCGTGTTTTGAGGCAGTAATTAGTGCAATATAATTTTTTTTTTTTTTTTTTTTTTTTTGCTACAGAGTCTTGCTCTGTCACCTAGGCTGTACTGCAGTGGCATGATCTCAGCTCACTGCAGCCTCCACCTCCTGGGTTCAAGCGATTCTCCTGCCTCAGCCTCCCGAGTCGCTGGGATTACAGGTGCCTACCACCACGCCCGACTAATTTTTGCATTTTTAGTAGAGATGGGGTTTCTCCATGTTGGCTAGGCTGGTATCGAACTTATGACCTCAGGTGATCTGTCCACCTCGGCCTCCCAAAGTGTTTGGATTACAGGTGTGAGCCACCATGTCTGTCCAAATATAAATGCTTTTAATGACTTCTAGTATTCAAAGCTTTCTGAAAATAGAATGTGTTTCATCGAGAAGTATATAGTGAGTTGCTTGATACTGGTGTTCACGGAGCAATGGAGTTCTGTGCTTTCAGACTGCCCCTTAGAAGTATCAGGGATTGTTGTAAAGAGCAGAGGGAGACAGAAACCGCTAATTTAGTACAACACAGAGTTTGAAATTGCAGAATTCGAAGTTAAGTTGCAGTTTTGACTGCACTTGATCAAGTCACTTAATTTTCTGAAACTTTTCCTCATAATTAAATGATTATGCCTTTTTAATCTACAATGTAGAGTTATTAGATGGATTAAGCAAGATGAATATTTTAGAGTTTCAGCTGAAATAGTTCTTATTTTAGTCTTATTTTATAAAGCCGTGGAATTCTGTGATTTTTGTTTGCCTTTTGATGATTTTACCTCTTTTGATAATACAGTGAAGATGAGCAGAGATGGAAACAACCCAGTTTTATAGTAGTTAGCAATGCTGTAATAGGCTGGGCTCACACCTGTAATCCCAGCACTTTGGGAGGTTGAGGAGGGTGGATCACATGAGGCCAGGTGTTCGAGACCAGCCTGGCCAACATCGTGAAACCCCGTCTCTACCAAAAATACAAATAAAAAAATAAAAAATTAGCTGGATGTGGTGGTGCATGCCTGTAATCCCAGCTACTTGAAGGCTAAGGTAGGAGAATTCCTTGAACCCAGGAGGGCAGAGGTTGCAGTGAGCCGAGATCGTGCCACTGTATTCCAGCCTGGGCGACAGAGCAAGATTCTGTCTCAAAAAAAAAAAAAAAAAAAATGCTGTAGTAGGTCTAGAAGGATAAAGTTTGATTTTTTTCATTATCGAATTTATCAAAGATATATTCCTCATTGGCATAGATGGATTAGTCTGGAATTGCTCAAAACAATTTGTTATGATACATATCCCTTTTTATCATGAATACTGGCAAGGTTTTCTCACCTATGTTGCATAGACTGTTGGTATGATCTAATTATGTTGATATTTCCTTTTTTTTTTTTGAGACAGAGTCTCCCTATCTCTCACAGAGATGGAGTCTCGCTGTGTCTCCCAAGCTGGAGTGCAGTGGCGCGATCTCGGCTCAATGCAAGCTCCGCCTCCGGGTTTCATGCCATTCTTCTGCCTCAGCCTCCCGAGTAGCTGAGACTACGGGTGCCCACCACCACTCCCGGCTAATGTTTTTGTATTTTTAGTAGAGACGGGGTTTCACCATGTTAGCCAGGATGGTCTCGATCTCCTGACCTCATGATCCGCCTGCCTCGGCCTCCCAAAGTGCTGGGATTACAGGCGTGAGCCACCGCACCCGGCCGATATTTTCATTTTTTTACTGGCAAATTTGGTATGATTAATTTCACACAGCAGTGTATTGGGCAGCCCACACAAACCTATTTCTTTAAAAGAAAAAAAAAAGGTTTTTATTTTGTTTTAATGTCAAGCTTAATGTGGCAAGTCTTTTTCTCCTCTCTCTCGGTTTTCATGGAGACATTTTCCCCTTGTTTCTCATACGTAACATTATGTGTAATGTTCATGTGACAGTGTGATATCAGCCTATCTGTAGTTATGTGAAACCATTAGTTAACTGCATCCTGGGCTCCTGTGAAATGACTCATTCAGAATGGGAGCATCATTTTGAGGGGATGTCAGTTTTCTGTTTTCACAATAGTTAGAAAAGTGGGCCAGGTGCAGTGGCTCACACCTGTAAGCCCAGCGCTTTAGGAGACCGAGGTGGGCAGATCACTTGAGGTCGGGAGTTCAAGACCAGCCTGGGTAAAATGGCGAAACCTCGTCTTTACTAAAAATACAAAATTAGCTGGGCGTCGTGATGCATGCCTGTAATCCCAGCTACTGGGGAGGCTGAGGCAGAAGAACCGCTAGCACCCAGGAGTTGGAGGTTGCAGTGAGCCAAGATCATGCCATTGAACTCTAGCCTGGGCAACAGAGGGAGTGAGACTCCATCTCAAAAAAAAAAAAAAAAAGAAAAGACTAAAGTGACAGAGTTGTCATAAGACTCAGTAGACAGAAGGGAAGAGGGCACATGTTGGAAGGCACAAGACGACATTTATAATATTTTAAGATACTGTTACATTTTTTATTTTTAAGAATAATAGTACTTTTTTTTTTTTTGAGACACGGTTTCCGTCTGTCACCCAGGCTGGAGTTCAGTGGCATGATCATAGCTCACTGCAGCCTTGGACTCCTAAGTTCAAGCAGTCCTCCTATTACAACCTCTTGAGTGGTTAGGACTACAGGCATGTGCCACCATGCCTGGCTATTTTTTTTTTTTTTTTTTTTTTTGTAGAGACAGGATCTCTACAGGCTAGTCTTGAACTCCTGGCTTCAAGTGATCCTCCCTAAGTGCTGGGATTATGGGCAAGAGCCACTGCACCTGGTGACATATTCTGAATTTTTAGTTATGTTGTTCTTCCTGGCTTACTTTTTATTTTCTACTTTTAAACTGAAGTAGAAGTTATTTAGAAACAATTTACTTATAGAGAAATAATTTTATTTGTAGACAGGATAGGTAGCATTCAGTAGAGAAAGGAAATGAAAAGCAGCTCATCAATAGTTAAATAATTGTTCAAGCAAGATGTGGATAAGTTGCTATGTTATGACACTGATGTGGAACTTCCAAGAAATGTGTTTGGTCATATGAATTCTTTTGGGAGCAAGGTAGACCGCTAAGGCACCGAGCCTATGGTAGATCTCCAGGGCTGAAGCTCAGGTGGGCATCATACCCAAGGCAGCAAGCAGTGAAAAGAGCCACAGTAGAACCCAACTAAAAGTCTCAGAAAACACCAAAGGTTATGCTTGGGAAAAAAGTTCAGTCAGCAAATATTAGACAAGGGCATGGTAAACTGGTAGAGTCAGTAGCCAAGAACTAAAATGGAACTGAGTAAGGTTAGGTGTGTAGAAGAATGATTCTAGAGCATTGCCATGAATGGTGTTGGGATATGTGAGGCTTGTTTTAGTGGCTGTTAGCTGTATGGTTTCTTGGTGAGAGATGGACTGATTTAAAGGTACAGAATTGGACTATAAGCTTCCTGCCTGCCTTCCCAGCCCTGAACAAAGGCTTTATCTGGATTGTCCTTGGTCAGATAGAGGGTGGGACAGGAAGAAGTAAGCTTGGGTAAATTTCCATAGTTTACTCTGACTCTTTATGCCCAGGTTGTGTGTGCTTAGCCAAGGTATAGAGCAGAGATTGGAGTCCATGCAAGAACAGTGTGAAGAATATGATAGATGTAAATTGGAAATGAGAGTTCATGAGATTGACTTTGAATAGGCCCAGAAGAAGACTTCTAGCTTTTGGCGATCATGAGAACATTGTATAGAAAACAAATGAGGCTTCCTTGCTGCATTGACTTTACCAATGTATATAGGAATGCTTTTTTTTTCCCTTAAGTTTTTAAGATGTATCTTGACCCTTGGGACAACCTATGCAGTTAATGTAAAGAAGTGCTTAGTGTAGTAAGGAAGTAACAGATGGAAGCCATAGTTACTAGGGATGAAATGATATTTTCTGGTTGCAGAAATATGAACCAGTAGTGAGAAGAAGTAGTAAAATTCTGTTGTCTGCATGAATGCGTAGCTGTGGGTTACTTTTCACCGTTCAGTTAATTGAGTGGTAGTCAGTGAGTGAAAAGTAGAGGGCCAGGTTCAAGGAAGGCTTCCTATAGGAGTTGGTGCCTAAGCCTAGTTTAAGTCAGACTTAGCAAGAAGGAAGGAATATGGGAGAAGGCCTGTAGGCAGTGGCAGCTGAATAATCAAAGGCTTAGAGGCAAGAAACGGTAATGTATTTATTCATGCAACAATATTTCTTTTTTAAATTTTAATTTTTTTTTTTTTTTTTTTTTTTTAGACAGAGTCTTGCTCTGTCACCCAGTCTGGAGTGCAATGGCACAATCTCTGCTCAGTGCAACCTCCATCTCCCAGGTTCAAACGATTCTCAGCCTCCTGAGTAGCTGGGACTGCAGGTGTGTGCCACCCTGCCCAGCCAATTTTTTTGTAGAGTTGGGGTTTCACCATGTTGCCCAGGCTGATCTTGAACTCCTGAGCTCAAGTGATCCACCTGCCTTAGCCTCCCAAAGTGCTGAGATTATAGGGGTGAGCCACCATGCCCAGCCAAAAGATAAATTTTTAAAAAAATTCCAGTCCATCATAGTCTGATACTTTAGTAATGTATAATAAAGAAGTGATTACTAGGTCCGGGTGTGGTGGCCCACACCTGTAATCCCAGCACTTTGGGAGGCCAAGGCAGGTGGATCACTTGAGGTCAGGAGTTCGAGACCAGCCTGGCCAACATGGCAAAACCCCATCTCTACTAAAAATACAGAAATTAGCTGGGCATGTGATGCACACCTGTAATCCCAGCTATTCGGCTGAGGCACGAGAATCATTTGAACCCAGGACACGGAGATTGCAGTGAGCCAAGATCACACCACTGCACTCCAGCCTGGGCAACAGAACGAGATTCTGTCTTAAATGAATGAGTGAATGAATGAAGTGAATTACAAAAAATTTTAAAATACAAACCAAATGTTTTGTTAAATTCAACAGACATAATTATGTGTCAGCTGCATGCAGTGGCTCATGCCTGTAATCCCAACACTTTGGGAGGAATTACAGGGACCAGGAGTTTGAGACTAGCTTGGCCAACATAGTGAAACCCCATCTCTACCAAAAAATATAAAAATTAGCCAAGTATGGTGGCATATGCCTATATTCTAGCTACTCAGGAGGCTGAGATGGGAGAGTCGCTTAAACCCAGGAGGTGGAGGTTGAAATGAGCTGAGATCATGCCACTGCACTCCAGCCCAGGTGACAGAGGGAGACTCTCTCAAAGAAAAAGGAAAAAAAATTACTGTGTCTAATTTCTATAAAATTTTTTTTTTTACTTATTCTCAATTTCTGTACTTGTGGATCAGTAGCAAACTTCATGGACTGGCATCAGTATGAATGACATTTGAGTAGCACTGTTTGGTGTGCAGCATACTAGAGTAGTGAGAGAAGGAAACATCTGTGGACATTGTATCAACTGGGAGGCCACCGAACATTTTGTCATGTTTGTTGAATAACTTATGCAGCCTCAGGCAGCCTGTCAGGGCAGTGGTGTGGCAAAGCCATAATATTTGTATGGGGCTCATTCTACTGAGAGGCATATCTGCTGTTCTGATAGTGTAGTCTCCTCCATTTTTCCTCCAGCACTCTGCTCTTTGGGAGGCACTGCAGGGTGGCTGTGACTTTGGTCAGGTGTAGCTTATGTTTGGCCATCTCTTGGTTGATCCAGTTTATTTGTCTTAGTTTCAGTGATGGCCAGAGGGTTACAAAGGATTTGGAATGGAGCATGTCTCAGGGTGATGTGAACTCTGTTGTTGCCTGGATTTCCAGATCATGTGACAGAGAATCAGCTGGATCATTTCAGCTGTCCAGGTTATCAGTTAGAATAAAGTTTTTAAAAACTAAAATCTTGGGAGCAAGGAGGCCTCTCTGATGTAAAGAAAGATGAGTAGACTGGTTTATCCCTTCTATGCAGTTAGTACATGAGAGTACCCTGGTCCTTTAAGAGCCAGAGTTCTTTGGGGTTTTTGTTTGTTTTCCCCCATTAAAAAGCACTAGCATTTATTAGGGGAAAATGAGGTTCTCCTCAACTCATGTTTTCCCTCTCTGTATTGTGGAAAATCTGAACCTCACTCTGAAAGTGAATACATCCATTTGAAAGGGATGGCAGGTTACCAAGAGTGTCATTTAATGAAACCCCTCTTTTTCTTGACCAAAAGAGACCTTGTTTTCTTTGAGAAGCAGGAGTTCACTTTAATTTTTATGAACATCTCACACCACTTCCACCTAACCCTACCTACTGTAATATGGGCTGGCCTGTCAAGTCTTGGGCAAGAATAGTGATAAGATGCTATCAGGTCAGAACCCATATTGTTAGAGTAGCTGAAAGATTCAGGAGTTCTTATTTTGAACTCTTGCATGTAGAATCATTACAAGATGTCTCTTAAATGCAGTTAGAGTGAGAGGAAAGCTGGAGCTGTGGGTGGGGAACATGTCAGAGGTGGGGCTCAGCAGGAAGTGGGACCAGTGCCTGCTGGATGTGGTAGATAAGTACCGGTTTTGGATTAGGGATTGTTTTCTCACTTACCTTCTTTAAAAAAAGAATGTGGCCATTAGCCTTTGGTTCTGGCATGGCATTAGGAATGGCTTATTCCAGCAGTCAGCATGATTTCCAGGTTCCATGTCTTCTACATGGAAAACATGTCAAAGGACAGGAGCAGTGACCACCTGACAACATCGCAGTGGGAGGAAAAGAGAAATCATGTTTATTCCTCAGGAATGCTGAAGTACCCTGGAGTAAGCTGTCATTCTTATTATAACAATGTTATTAGTAATGCTTTAAACTCCAGCACACTTGTTATGTATTTGAAACCAAGTCTGTTTCTTGTTTTGTATTTTCTCTCTGGAAATTGTAAGGCGGTGGTCTTAAATACATTAAACAAAAATAGGAAAAAAAGCAGTTAAAATTTGATGGCATATCAGCCAGCTGACCCAATTCTTGGCACAGTCAACAAGTATCTTTGATTTGTTTTCAGCAGGGCTAAGTCATCAGATATGTCAGAAGGGGTAAAAAAAAAAAAATAAAAAATAGGTAGCTTGGTTGCATATGCCTTTTTTCAGAAGTAATATTTAAATTATGTAATAGTTGGTGTGGTGGCCCAGTCTGCCAGCTAGCACATTGCCCTTCCTGGCTGCCTCATTCAAAATTCTGGGCAGGCTGCAGTTCCCACAGGTAACCAACCACATGAAGGCAACTCTGGGGAATCAGTGGTGAGTAGTCACAGCCTCGGAGTCAAAAGGCACCGGCGGGGTGGGGTGGTTCATGCCTGTAATCCCAGCACTTTGGGAGGCTGAGGCAGGCGGATCACTTGAAGTCAGGAGTTAAGACCAGCCCTACCAATATGAGGAAACCCCATCTCTACTGAAAATACAAAAATTACCTGGGCATGGTAGCAGACACCTGTAATCCCAGCTACTCAGGAGACTGAGGCAGGAGAATTGCTTGAACCCAGGAGGCGGAGGTTGCAATGAGCTGGGATCACGCCACTGCACTCAAGCCTGGGAAGCAGAGCGAGACTCCATTTAAAAAAAAAAAGAGGCAGCGGGCATTTGCCTGATGAGGTGCCACTGCCACTGGTGTCTCCTGCTGGGTACCAGGCCAGCTCTGGCAGAGGAGACATGAAAGAACAGGAACTGGATTCAGTAATCTGGACTGGCTAGTGCTATATCTGTTACTTTCCAGACCCATTTGAGTTGCCCCACGTCTGGGTGGGAAAGGTAAGAAATGCACAGCCTAGTCCTTGGGAGTATCTAGAAGAATCCAAAGGCATTGTCCAGAAGGTACAACTTTGGGGGCTGGGGGTAGGGATTGACTGCGTGGGTACTAAACAGAATAGAGGCTGGTTACTGTGCTAGAGAAGGAACCTATGGGCCCTTTAGGGTGCCAGTCCTTAACCTGTTGATGGGTTACTAAGGATCCTTGAGAATATGCTGGGCTACAGGATTAGGCAGTGGCTCAGGACACTATTTGCCAAATGGTAAGAAGAATTTCAGTATTTTAACAAACTTTGAGGCCGTAAGAGTATACTGGCTGAATGTTAGCCCTTTGAAGTCTGAGACTCATGGATTCTTGAGTATCCATAGCAGTTTGTGCATAAGAAAGCTGTGCAGTTTATTCTGATTTTTTTTCTGGGATAGGTAGAGTCCCAGAGAGATTGTATTCGCTGGAGCTAATTGGAAGCTAGAATTTACACCCTCTATCTTTCCTGGGTACAGGGAATAGAGTGTGACCTCTCACTTGTACATGTTGAATTAACAACAGATGTGTTTCTATGTCTGCCAGTTTTAGGGAGAAGTCTGAAGACTTGTGCAGAGGAGGTGGGAGCAAAGGGACTTTGTTGAGGTTTTGGCCAGCCAGATTATTGATAGAACATAGGTCTTGGAGAACACAGCTAGGGCAGGATATTCTGCTTGGGAAAGTTATGGAAAAATGCAGAAGAAATGTTCAAGCCAACGACTTTAGAGAACCTGGGTTACTCTGTCACCCAGGCTGGAGTGCAGTGGCGCGATCTTGGCTCACTGCAAGCTCCGCCTCCCGGGTTCACGCCATTCTCCTGCCTCAGCTTCCCGAGTAGCTGGGATTACAGGCGCCCACCACCATGCCCGGCTAATTTTTTTGTGTGTTTTTAGTAGAGACGGGGTTTCACCGTGTTAGCCAGGATGGTCTCGATCTCCTGACCTCGTGATCTGCACGCCTCGGCCTCCCAAAGTGCTAGGATTACAGGCTTGAGCCACCGCGCCCAGCCTAAAGATAGTACTTTTTTGTTTTCTCCTGTGAATGAGGTGCTATTTATGGATATTCTGGATTCTGTCAAAAATAGTAAACAACTTATTGGTTTCTATTTGATGGTATTAACATGCTAAAAAAATGGTGTATTAGGGCTAAAAGGGATTTACAGGATATCTCCTTCAAATCTCACATTTTATTTTTATTTTTTAATTTTTTAGACCGAGTCTCACTCTGTTGCCCAGGTTAGAGTGGAGTGACGCAATCTTGGCTCACTGCAACCTCCGCCTCCCAGGTTCAAGAGATTCTCATGCCTCAGCCACCTGAGTAGCTGGGATTACAGGCGTACACCACCACTCCCAGATAATTTTTTTTATTTTTTTTTATTTTTAGTAGACATGGTGTTTCACCATGTTAGCAGGCTGTTCTCAAACTCCTGGTCTCAAGTGATCCGCCCACCTCAGCCTCCCAAAGTGCTGGGATTAAAGGCGTGAGCCACCACTCCTGGCCAAATCTCACATTTTATAGATGAGGAAAGCGAAATCCAAAGAGATAAAATAACTTACCGCTTACAGTCAGTCAATAGAAGGACTAGGACTAGCATCCAGGACACCTGTCTTTTAGTCATTTCTTTGCTGTCCCAAAAATCTAAGTATTATAGTGAGTAACATTAGCTTGCAGTTTTTAATAGTTCATCAATAAGTCTGAATCCTTGTCAGTTGCCACACTGGCTACCCAGAAAATTTCAGGCAGTTATATGCCTCAGGCAGTTATATGAAGGTTTATTTCCTTCTTATACATTAAAAATAGTGTGAAACATGATTGAAAATACACTGTTTTAGTCTCTTGATTTTGTATCCACTTTCAACATTTTAATATGAAACCTTGACAGAGACTTTGCTGTAATTTTGGTCTTGAGGGGCGGGGGGACTCATCCAACTCACAGTACCCAGCAGTCTGAGTTCTTCAGATAGGCATAAAGAAACGAGAAGTTACATAATTTTTGTTGAATGGGTATGGTGATGTTGGCAAATGATTAAGCCTAAGAAAAACTGTTTGTGTACCAGTTTAAACCATGAATGTACTGTAAATAGGTTTTGTTGTTGTTGTTGTTTTTATTTTTATACCGCTGAGAGTCAACACTTAATTCTTGGACATGTGCAACATAATGATACACAAATAGATAGAGGCATGAGAACTGAATCAAAGAAGTCAGAACTGAAGGACAGCCAGAAAATGGGTGTGAGCTATCTCTTAAAAAAGGAAAAAAGAAAGAGACTGGGCACGGTGGCTCAAACCTGTAATCCCAGCACTTTGGGAGGCTGAGGCGGGTGGATCACCTGAGGTCAGGAGTTCGAGAGCAGCCTGGCCAACATGGTGAAACGCCGTCTCTACTAAAAATACAAAAAAATTAGCTGGGTGTGGTGGCAGGCACCTGTAATCCCAGCTACTCGGGAGGGTGAGGCAGGAGAATCACTTCAACCCAGGAGGCAGAGGCTACAGTGAGCTGAGATCGTACCACAGCACTGCATCCTGGGCGACAGAGTGAGTGAGACTCTGTCTCAAAAAAAAAAAAAAAAAAAACAGAAAAGCTACAAAACATTCACACATTTTGTTGTTTTCTATGTCTCTGTATAAATGATGAGCTTTAAAGTTAATCCTCAATTTTAAATATACAAAATTTTTAATTTGTACTTTTGATACCATGCACTTTTGGAAATTTTTTATTTTTTGAGAGCATGATACTTATTTCTTACGCTCATGTTTGAAAAGGTTTAGAAATGTGGTTGCTAAATTAGTTTTAAAACAACAACTGTGACTGTTTTACCTGTGTCCAACATGTTGAGAACTCAAAAAGTAGTAAATCGGGCTGTCTTAATAGTGCGCCTGTTACTAATGGAATTTACTTAAAAAGTAAGTTTGCCATATGAAAGGGTATTAATATCCTTTTCAAGCATAACATACAAATGAATTTTCATCTTAAATATATTAACTTCTGATAAGAAAACAGATGCTAGGCCTAAAGATATTTGCTACATAGGAAAAATGATTTTTAAAAAATTTGTCTGGGGTGCCTGTAGTCCCAGCTACTCGGGAGGCTGAGGCAGGGGAATGGCGTGAATCCGGGAGGCGGGTCTTGCAGTGAGCAGAGATCGCGCCACCGCACTCCAGCCTCGCCGACAAAGCGAGACTCTGTGTCAAAAAAAAAAAAAAAAAAAAAAAAAAATTTTGGTGTTTTGGGATGTGTAGAAAATAATATCTTTTAAAAGTGCTAAATCCTAAGTTCATAAGAGTGATGCACATATGAAATTATGCACAGATGTCATCTATCTCATTTCAGGCTTAGGACAAGAAGCAAAATTAAACAAGTTACGTAATATAACATTTTTCTTTTCTGATAGTTTTCAGAAAGTCATTTGTTGCTTTTCAAGTTGTCAGAGTTAGGCCTTTGTGGGGAATATATGAAAAGACTTTTCTTACAAAGGAAATCTTTTTTCTATGTATGCAAATTCCATAATAACTCACCAGTTCAATTAGGAAGAGCTTCTGGTGAATAAATATACTTTTTTCGGCCGGGTGCGGTGGCTCATGCCTGTAATCCCAGCACTTTGGGACGCCGAAGCGGGCAGATCAGGAAGTCAGGAGATCGAGACCATCCTGGCCAACTTGGTGAAATCCCGTCTGTACTAACATACAAAAAATTACCTGGGCGTGGTGGCACGTGCCTATAGTCCCAGCTACTTGGGAGGCTGAGGCAGGGGAATCGCTTGAACCCGGGAGGTGGAGGTTGCAGTGAGCCGAGATTGCGCCACTGCACTCCAGCCTGGGCGACATAGTTAGACTCCGTCTCAAAAAAAAAAAAAATATATATATATATATAATATACATATATAGTTTATACATATAGTATATATAATTTATATATAGTTTATATATAGTATAGTTTATATATAGTATATATATAGTTTATATAGTTTTTTCAGTTTTTATTATTATAAAAACTGTTGATTATTGACATAACTACTTTGTAGCCTAGAGTTCTTTTGGTGTGACCAGCCCATCAAAAGGCATTATTTATAATTTCAAATTACTAGAATTTTTCTACATCCACATAAATTATTTTCCCTTTTTGTATTTCATCTACTTAGTATAACAGGAGCAGGATAAGTCAAAGTAATAATGGTAATGCTGAGATCTGTGAACCTTTGTAATTCATCATGAGCATGTAATAGTTTTATAATATATGTAAAATATGCATGGTAAGCATGATGAAAAACATTGCAATAACCATGCAGGAAGAGTCATTTGAGACCTCCTCCAAATAGCAAAAAATTACCACCCTGCCCCTTTTCCCTTCAGAATCTCAGAACTATGGATTTTCTCTGGGTTCTATTTCGGTTTTTTCTTTTCAGGTTGAGAGCCACTGTATAAGTCTGTCTTAAACCTTGGAGGCATTAGTAGGTCTCAAGGCTCCTGAAAAAAGTATTTTTTTTTTTTTTGCTTTAATCTGGGTGAAAAATGAGGATTTACTCTAATTACAAAACTAAACATTGTATTTCCACCCATTTGTGTAAGTCAGGGATCCCTAACCCCTGGAACTTGGACCTGACCTGTTGGGAACTGGGCTGCACAGCAGGAGGTGAGCGGTGGGCAAGTGAGCATTACTACCTGAGCTCTGCCTCCTGTCAGATCAGCGGTGGCATTAGATTCTCATAGGAGCACAAACTCTATTGTGAACTGTGCATGTGAGAGATCTAGGTTGCTGCACTCCTTATGGGAATCTAACTAATGCCTGATCATCTGAGGTGGAACAGTTTCATCTCCGAAACCACCCCCAAAAAGGTTGGGGACTGCTTGTGTAAGTCACCAAATACTCAGATAAAAACAATAGCTTCGGCCAGGCGCAGTGGCTCACGCCTGTAATGCCAGCACTTTGGGAGGCTGGGGCGGGTGGATCACCTAAGGTCAGGAGTTGAAGACAAGCCTGGTCAACATAGTGAGACCTAGTCTCTACTAAAAATACAAAAATTAGCCGGGCATGGTGACAGGTGCCTGTAATCCCAGCTACTGGGGAGGCTGAGGCAGGAGAATTGCTTGAACCTGGGAGACGGAGGTTGCAGTGAGCCGAGATCGCGCCACTGCACTCCAGCCTGGGTGACGAGAGCGAAACTCCATCTCCAAAACAAACAAACAAACAAAAAAACAAAACAGTAGCTTCCACTGCCCACCTAGTGGGTAAAATTATTCATTCAACGGCACCTACTATGTCACAGGCACTGTCCTATGTAATAGTAGGCAGACAAAACTTCACAAGCCGAAGATGACGAGTAAATTATATGGATGTTAGAAGGTGATAAGTATTAAGGAGAAAAAGTAGGAGGAGGAGGAGAAAGAGTGCTTTGCCCAGGGTAAGATTATGTGTGTAGGGGAGGGGGATGGAGGGGAACTGGTTGCAGTGTTAAACAAGGTAGGGGTCAATATGGGCTTTACCTGAGAAGGTGACATTTGAGCACCTTAGTTGTCCTAATTTTGGCTTAAACAATTATTAAGAGAATTATTGCACAGCATAAAATCTAAGCCTGATCTTTTTTAGTGTTTATTATATGATAACATAAAATTATATTTAGCTGTACATTTTTCTTAGTGAGCAGTAGGTATCTGTGAAGCAATGTTGCCAATGTATTGTGTTATTTCTTAGCATTGGAAATGAACTGCAAGTTTTTTTTTTTTTTTTCAGGAGGGGAATTGACCAAATCTTGGTGATTAAACTAGATTTGTAATATTACAGGATGAACCTTTTGATAGAATTGGAGTTAATGTTAGAATATTGAACCGATTTACCTTCTTAATCGTAGTTTATATGCGTACAGCAGTGTGATCTTGTCAAGGGGAAATAAAAACTCTTTTCCATATTTGAAGCAATCACACTGAAGTAATGAGAAGGTGTTAGAAGATTTGAAAATTAACTAGTTCCTTTGAGGAATTTAAGTTTCAGGAAAATGATGTTTTTATAATCTGTATTCTTAAAATATATGCTGCTTGATCTCCATACATTTTTTAACAATTTGGCTAAGGATAAATATAATGAAGTTAGTTTATTTAAGGATAAGGTAGATGGTAACTTAGGACTTAGCAGTTGTTATTGTTATTACTGGCAATAGTTAACTTTAAAGCACTATTATGTCAAAGTAAAAACAGCGTACATGACAGAAACGGAAAAATTCAACACATCACACTATAGTTCAAATTGGAATTATTCTAATTCGTAGCTGATGAGAATGTAGTGAAGTCATCAAATAAGAAAGTCACCAAATAAACTTTTTTAGAATCTGGGAGTTAATAATTATTGTTAAGCCTTGTTAGCTAGGACTGAATTTGCACACAGGGTATTTCTGTTACAGAATATGTTTGTTTGTTTGTTTGTTCTGAGACAGAGTCTTGCTCTGTCACCCGGGCTGGAGTGCAGTGGTGCAATCTCAGCTCACTGCAACCTCCACCTCCCAGGTTCAAGAGATTCTCCTGCGTCCATCTCCTGAGTAGCTGAGATTGCAGGTGTGTGCCACCATGAGTTTATGTTTGTTAATCAAAGTTTATACTCAATATATAGGTGGATTTATTATTCTAAAGTGGAGCTTAAATATTGAGAAAACTTTAAACACATTGATTTGTATATTTTCTTTTTTTGCCTAATTTCTTTACTGAAGAAAATATTTGGAGTGCATTTATTTATTTTTTCTATTACAAAAGTAGCACATTCACCACACAGATAATCACAAAGAAACCAACCCCTAAAATTTACCACCATTAACATTGTGCATATTCCTGTCTTTCTAAACATGTATATGCACATATGTTTAAATATATAAATATACAAACACATATACATACCTTTATTAAAATTGTGGGATGATAATTTATAATTTAAATGTATAATTTTATTTTATTTTCATTTCAACTTGTATTTTAGTTACAGGGAGTACATGTGCAGATTGAGTACATGGGAATATTGTGTGATGCTGAGGTTAGGAGTATGGATTCCATCACCTAGGTCGTAAGCATTGTATTCACTATGCATCCTCATCCCTCTACCCTCTAGTAGTCCACAGTGTCTCTTGTTTCCATATTTATATCTATGTGTGCCCAGTGTTTAGCTCCCATTTATAAGTGAGAACATGCAGTATTTGGTTTTCTCTTCCTGCACTAATTTGTTTAGGATTATGGCCTCCAGCTCCATCCATGTTACTTCAAAGGACATAATCTCATTCTTTTTATGGCTGCCTAGTATTCCGTGTTGTATATATACCACATTTTCTGAATCCAACCTAACGTAGCTGTATAGTATAATGGTACAGAACATAAAATTTGCAATCAGAGAAACTTGGGTTTAAGCCTAGTTCCATGTGTTTATTAATTATGCAAACTAGGCCTCTATTTCTTTATCTGTTAAATGGGGATGATGATAGTACACCTCTTATTAGTCCGGCGTGGTGGCACATACCTGTAATCCCAGCTACTTGGGAGGCTGAGGCAGGAGAACCACTTGAACCTGGGAGGTGGAGGTTTCAATGAGCCAATATTGCACTGTTGCCCTCCAGCCTGGGCAACAAGAGCGAAAACTCCGTCAAAAAAAAAAATCAAATAAATTTTAGTTAATATAGTAAGCATAATTATTCAGAAAAATAAAGAGCTTGTAAAAATGCTCACAACATAGTGAAATAAAAATAAGAAATGATTCATATTTCCTATATGCCTGCTATGGGGAAGATATTCGTTATATATAAAATCTCACCTAATCCTACAATAACCTCTTTCTTTTTTCCTCTTTTTTGAGATGGAGTCGCGTTCTGTTGCCCAGGCTGGAGTGCAGTGGCGCGATCTTGGCTCACTGCAACCTCTTCCTCCCGGGTTCAAGTGATTGTCCTGCCTCAGCCTCCCGAGTAGCTGGGATTACAGGCGCATGCCACAATGCCTGGCCTGAATATTTTATCTTCTACTTTTTTTTCTTTTCTTTTTCCTTTTTTTTTTTTTTTTAAGACAGGGTCTCACTCTGACTGGAGTGCAGTGGTGCGGTCACGGCTCATTGCAGCCTCAACCTCCCTGGGCTCAGGTGATCCTTCTACCTCTGCCTCCCAAATAGCTGAGACCACAGGTACATGCCACCATGCCCAGATAATTTTTGTACTTTTTTGGTAGAGATGGGATTTCACCATGTTGCCCAGGCTGGTCTTAAACTTCTGGGCTCAAGCAATCCTCTTGCCTCAGCATCCAGAGTAGCTGGGACTACAGGCATATATCACCAAACTGGCTGTAGTCTCTGGCTGATTTTTAAAATTGTTTTAGTGATGGGGTCTCACCATGTTACCTAGGCAGGTCTGGAAATCCTGGCCTCATGTGATCCTTCTTCCTCAGCCTGCTGAGTAGCTGGGATTACGGGTGCGGGCCACTGTGCCTGGCTTCTTTAATTTCTTGCTTGCTTTCTTTTTATTTATTTACTTGTTTTTGAGATGGAGTCTCGCTCTGTAGCCCAGGCTGGAGTGCAGTGGCGTGATCTCGGCTCACTGCAACCTCCGTCTTCCGAGTTCAAATGATTCTCCTGCCTCAGCCTTCTGAGTAGCTGGGTCTACAGGTGCATGCCACCACGCCTGGCTAATTTTTTGTATTTTTAGTGGAGACATGGTTTCACCATGTTATCCAGGATGGTCTCGATCTGCTGACCTCATGATCTGCCTGCCTCTGCCTCCCAAAGTGCTGGGATTACAGGTGGGAGCCACCACACTTAGCCAGTTTATTTTTATTATTATGTTATTATTATTATTATTATTTTGAGATGAAGTCTTGCTCTGTTGCCCAGGTTGGAGTGCAGTGGCGCAATTTTGGCTCACTGCAACTTTTGCCTCCCGGGTTCAAGCGATTATCTTTCCTCAACCTCCTGAGCAGCTGGGACCACAGGTGCAAGCCTCCACACCCAGCTAATTTTTGTATTTTTAGTAGAGATGGGGTTTCACCATGTTGGCCAGGCTGGTCTTGAACTCCCGACCTCAGGTGATCCACCCGCCTCACCCTCCTAAAGTGCTGGGATTACAGGCGTGAGCCACCACACCCGGCCCAGTTTATTATTTTTAATAGTTTTTAATTACATCCCTATGAATTTTCTATGTATGAGATCCTATTATCTGCAAATAGACATGTTTTACTTCTTTCTTTCCAATTTGTATTTTAGAATTTTTTTTCTTGCCTAATCGCCTGTGGTGTAATGTTGAATAGAAATGGTGAGAGTGTACATTCTTGTAGTCTTTTTTCTGATCTTCAGAGTGAAATATTTAGCCTTTCACCATTAAGTATGATGAATGTGGAGTTTTCGTACATGTTTTATATCAGATTGGGGAGCTTCATTTCTGTTCCTAGTTTATTTTGATTTAGGTGTTTGTTTGTTTGAGATGACATCTCTGTTCGCCAGGCTGGAGTGCAGTGGCATAATCTTGGTTCACCGCAACCTCTGCCTCCCAGGCTCAAGCAACACTTCCACCTCAGCCTCCTGAGTGGCTCAGACTACAGGCCCACATCACCACACTCAGCTAACTTTTTAATATTTTTGTAGAGACAAGGTCTCACTATATTGCCCAGATTGGTCTTGAACTCCTAGGTTCAACTGATCCTCCCACCTTGGCCTCCCAAAGTGCTGGGATTACAGGTGTCAGCCACCATGCCCAGCTCTTAGTTTTCTTCCTGTTTCTAGTTTGTTAAGGATTTCTGTCATGACAGAATGTTAGATTTTGCCCATGTTTTTTCTGCATCTTTTGAGATGATGATGTGGTTTTTATCCTTTGTTCTACTGATATGGTTTATTACATTAATTGAATTTTGGATGTTAAACTAACCTTGCTTTCCTGAGATAACATCACATTTGGTCACAGAGTGTAATCATTTTTTTATATAGCTAGATTTAGTCAGCTATTTTTTTGAGGTTTTGCATCCATATTCATAGGAAATATTAGTTTGTATATTTCTGTTTTTGTGTGATGTTTTTGGTTTTTATATCAAAGTGATACTGGCCTCATAGGCTAAATTGGGAAGTATTCCTTCCTCTTCTATTTTTAGAAGAGTTTCTTAAGAATTGATATTCTTCTTTAAATGTTTGATAGCGTTCACCAATGAAGCCATCTGGGCCTGGGCTTTTTTGTGTGTGTGAAGTTCTGAACATCTTTTAAAATCTAGTTTACCTCCTTTTCCAACTGTTCTTCATTTACTTCAGGAACTCTTCTGATTTCCTTTTTGTGTGGGTAAAAAGTAAATGACTTTAATCTTATTTGACAAGAATAATAATCATGTTATACCATTTTCAGTAACAAACAAAATAACAAGGAAGGTGAGAATAAAGGAAGGAAAGAAAACAAATGACATATTTCTAGTGAAATTTTTTGAGGTTAGCCTGTGACTATAATAAAATTATTTTGTAGCAGTGTACCAAGATGTCAGTTTGCACAGCTCTGTAGAAAACAACTATTTTGTAAGTTGAAAATTTTCTGCATTCTAAGTATTCTTTATAAATGTGTTCTTATGCTTTTAATTTTATGGCTAAAGGCTATTCATTTTGTGGCAATAATTTAGTTATGAGGTTATCTAAGTAGAAATAATTCAACATATTCTAACAGTATTTCATATACTTAAGATGAAGGCAAGATTGTATTTTCTAGCTATTTTTTAAAAAGAATTACAGCCGGGCATGGTGGCTCACACCTGTTTTCCCAGCACTTTGGGAGACTGAGGCTTGCGGATCACTTGAGGTCAGGAGTTCGAGAACAGCCTGGCCAACATGGTGAAACCCCATCTCTACCAAAAATACAAAAATTAGCTGGGCGTGGTGGCGCTGTGCCAGTAATCCCAGCTACTTGGGAGGCTGAGGCAGGAGGATCCTTTGAACCCGGGAGGCGGAGGTTGCAGTGAGCCGAGATCACGTCATTGCACTCCAGTCTGGGCAATGAGAGTGGAACTGTGTCTCAAAAAAAGAAAAAAAAACCTACCCTAGATCCATTTTTAAGAAGCAAATGACTTTATTAAAGATGAAAAACCTTTAGCTATATTTTTTCAAGTTTATGTTTGCAGTTAAATGCAACTAATAGCACATGATACTGTTTTTCTTATTTTTAATTTATTTTTTATGTATTTATTTTTTGAGTCAGGGTCTTTCTCTGTCACCCAGCCTGCAGTGCAGTGGCATGATCTCGGCTCGCTGCAGCCTTGACCTCCTAGGCTGAAGCAATCCTCCCACCTCAGTTCACCCTCTAGTTAACTAGGACTACAGACGTGCGCCACCACACTTGGCTAATATTTGTATTTTTTGTAGAGATGGGGTTTTGCCATAATGCCCAGGCTGGTCTCAAACTCTTGGACTCAAACTCTTGGCAGAAGCACTCCTTCTGCCTTGGCCTCCTGAAGTGCTTGGATTATGTAAGTTGTAAACCACTGGGCCTGGCCCCGACTGGTTTTTCTTTTCTTTTTTTTTTTTTTTCTTTTTTAGATGGAGTTTCGCTCTTGTTGCCCAGGCTGCAGTGCAATGGCGTGATCTTGACTCACTGCAACCTCTGCCTCCAGGGTTCAAGCGATTCTCCTGCCTTAGCCTCCCGAGTAGCTGGAATTAACAGGCGTGCACCACTACACCTGGCTAATTTTGTATTGGTTTTCTTAGACTAAGACATACACAACTGCTGAAAGTGAGCCTGGTAGTATCATTCCCGTCTTGTAAATGTATTATGTAATGGTGAGGGATGTTAGCAAAAAAACAAAACAAAAAACTGTAGCATAAAATTACTAAATTATTATTTTAGAAATTAGTTTTTTAAAAGTAAAAAGTAATCATGCAATGCTATTATCCATTCCTGCTCTACCCCCATACAGTAAGTATAAATAAAGATCATCTGCCATGTTCCTGTCTTTCACCGTGTGTTAGTCTGGATGCCAAGATGTGCTGAAATTTAGTGATGTACAACCTACAAAAATCAATTGTATTTTTATACACTAACTAGTTTTACTAAGTAGTTATAGCAGGAAATATTCTGAAGCTTACCTTAATAGCTTTAATGAGGAAATTTTAGATAAGAATATAGAGGTTAAAATAGGTTGAAGAGAAATATTCTGTTCATCAAAGGCCACCTGCGTTTTTTTCTTTTTTGAAAGTGAAATGGCCCTTCTCTGCCCTTATCTGTAGCATATGAACTTGACTTAGTTTTCCAGTTGCCCTGATAGATTTGCTTTGCCCATCTACATTTTCCCACAGTACTTGCTTCAGTTGAACCCATTTGTGAAAATACTAGTTGTGAATTATAGCCTCTGGCTAAGTGTAAGAAGAGGGTTTCCCAAGTTAAGATTTCGTTTGACTAATAAACATTAGTGCTGGGCTGTAAGTAAACTAATGGACCAAATATAATGGCTACTGCTTCAGACATCAATGTTTAAGTTTACCACATTAGTGAAATAATTGGATGAAAATTCATAGACATTGAAAAGTAATTGAATTTAGAGCACACTAGAATTTAAAAAGTCTGAATAAGTATGTCTTAGTTTGAAATACAAACAAACTAGTAGTAGATAGAATCAAATACCAATGCAAAAGGTAATATTGTCATATGAAATTAGTGTAAGAGAAATTTAAATTTTGTAGCCAAAACAAAACACCTAAACATTCTTAACAGATGAAATAACATGAAAACTTTTACCAAATGGTGTCTTAGTTTTGTAATCTTTCCTGTTATTCTCTGGGATTCAGAGTAGAAGCAGTCTTTTCTCTTTCACCTACTGATAGGAAAACTATATGAAATATGACTGTAAAGAGTCTAAGGCCAGGCACAGTGGCTCATGCCTATAATCCCAGCACTTTGGGAGGCTGAGGTGGGAGGATCACTTGAGGTTAGAAGTTTGAGACCAGCCTGGCCAACATGGTGAAACTCTGTCTCTACTAAAAATACAAAAATACAAAAAAAAAAAAAAATTAGCTGGTCATTTAGTCCCAGCTCCTTAGGAGGCTGAAGTGGGAGGATCACTTGAACCCAGGAGGCAGAGATTGAGGTGAGCCGAGATGGCACTACTGTACTCCAGCTTGGGCGACAAAGTGAGACTCTGTCTCAAACAAGTCTAATTACAAGTAATCAGTTTAATTATAATCACGCTAGGTATGTAAACCCCACTATAACAATTCATTGTATACAGTCAGCTAAAATAAATATATCGTGTCATCTTAAGTGTAATGACAACCTGATAAAACAACTAAACCTAGTATGAATAAAAATTTATTTAACAGATAAGTATTGATCACCCATTATGAATCAGGCATTGGCTAGCATCCTGCAGGGTATTGCTTAAGTTTTGTATGTCTTTTATTGACATTTTACATGCAATATTTAAGACATACAAAAAAGATAAGCATAAGCCAATGGTGTTCATTTATTCGTAGGCCAGCTACATAGTTGAAAGCCCCCATGTACCATACACCCTGGAAGATATAGGCAACAGAGTTCTGAAGGTTTAAATTATATATATTTACATGAATATATACTTAAATTTTGAACTGTAGAATACTGTAAAATTCATTACATAAAACAAAGACAGTGTAGGCAATATTTGCGTCTAGTTCCCAAGGCTAGAATATGACAGGGTCACCATCTGCATTCAGATACAAAGTTCCAGAAACTGGACTAGACTGAGTCAGGTATTTACAGAATAAGAGTTTGAATAATAGTCAAGAAGGAAAGCTAAACAAAAATCAGGAAAACTGGCCCTGAAAATAAGATTTGAGGTGTGAATTAAAGCCATAATCTTATAAGCCAGAACCAGAGGCTTACCCCTTTTTTGAATCATGGACTACTTTCAAAACCCAATGAAATAGTTCCTCTTGCCTATAAACAGTCCTTGTAATAGTCCCTCTTCCATTAAAATTACATACATGTACATACGTATACTACTCAATTTGGGGGAGTTCAAAGATCCTCTGAAGTCTTGAGTATCTGTAAGTGAATACTGGTAATCAGCTTGGGGTGGAGAGAAAGTGATTTGAGTTAGAGACTAAGTAATGTGAATGAGTCTGAGACTACTTTATAAGGTGAAAATAGGATGATAGTGTCAATCATTGAGCTTCAGACTAGTCCACAGAAGAGTTTAGGAGCCATTGCTGGCAGATAGTGGGAGGCTGTGTACGTGGAGCTTTGACTATGCACTCTCTTCAACCACAACACTTCCCTCCACTTTCACTTGTTTATATATGTGGATTTCATTTAAAATTTTGATTAATAGATGTGTTTTAATCCTAAAGATATTTAGGGGACTTTTAAAGGCAGAACACAATCTAAAAAGTGCAATCCTTTTTTTTTTTTTTTTTTTTTTTTTTTTTTGAGACAGAGTCTCACTCTGTTGCTGAGGCTGGAGCGCAGTGGTGTGATCTCGGCTCGCTGCAACCTTTGCCTCCTCGGTTCAGGTGATTCTCCGGCCTCAGCCTCCCGAGTAGCTGGGGTTAAAGGCATGCACCACCATTTCTGGCTAATTTTTGTATTTTTAGTAGAGAAGGAGTTTCACCATGTTGGCCAGGCTGGTCTTGAACTCCTGACCTCAAGTGATCTGCCTTCCTCAGCCTCCCAAAGTGCTGGGATTATAGGTGTGAGTCACCGTGCCTGGCCTAAAAATTCCAATCTTTAGGTTCAGAAAACCTTTCTGAGTTCTATTAACTATACAGTCTTGGAGAAATCACACTCTATGAGTTCTTCAGTCTATAAAATGAAAATAGTAGTAGCACAGTTGTGGATTTGAACAAGATGATGTTTATGAAAGCACTTTAAAAGTTGTGAAGCACAATCTAAATGTTATTTCCATTTTCAGGTGTGACTGAAGAAATATCAAATGTTTCCTAGTAAGACAGCAACTCAGGTGAGATGGAAACTCCAAGTAATGATATAATGGATCTAGCGTCTGATTTTCTAAGATTAAAATTATGTAGAAAAAAGTCTCTTTATTGTTGAAGAGACTTTAAATATGATGCCGTCCAACTAACTAGTAAGTGCTTGAGTTCTCACTAAAATTCCCTGTCAAGTGAACTTTTAATCTGGACTCTTTATCTGATATTACTTTCCTTCTGCCTGGATTTCACTCTTTACAATTGCATTAAATGAGGTTCTCCAGGTCAAATCTCTGTTTTTGTTTCTTTGAAAATAAATATATTTATTTTGCTCTCCTCCATGAACAATATTGTCAATAGATATAGAATAGTAGGTTGACAGTTCTTTTCTCTCATTACACTGAAATTATTCCACTGTCTTCTTCCTCAGTTGTTTCTGATAAGAAGTCAGCTAGAAGTCTAATTGTTGTTCCTGTGAAGATAGCCTGTCATTTTCTGGCTGATTTTAAGGCCTTCCCTTTGACTTTAATGTTTTGAAGTTTCATTATAATGTGTCTAGGTGAGGATTTTTTGTGTCTTTATCCTATTTTGGATTTGCTACATTTTTTTTTAATCTGTGGGATGGTGTATTTCATCAGTTTTGGAAATTTATCAGTGATAAATCTCTTCAAACATTGACTCTGTCTTATTTTCTCCTCTCTCTCTCTCTCACTCTGTGTCTCTGTCTCTCTCTCCGTCTCTCCCTGCACTTCCCTTCTCCTGAGGCTCCAGTTATATGTCTGTTGATCTTCTCATTCTCCCTTCTGTCTCTTAATCTTCATTTTTTTATCATTTTATTTCTTATTGCTGCTTTCTGGATATTTTCTGCAGATGTCTTTTTCCATTTACTAATTCTTCCATTAGCTGTCCTTAACTCACGACCTTGTTTGTTGACAAGGTTTTTTTCAGTAATTAATATTTTTTCATATTTATACATTTTGGGGATCCTTTTTTTTTTTGCTTCTGAAGAAAAAACAAAATTTCATTGTTTTAATAATTACTGGCGGGGCGCAGTGGCTCACACCTATAATCCCAGCACTTTGGGAGGTCAAGGCAGGCGGATCACGAGGTCAGGAGATCGAGACCATCCTGGCTAACACAGTGAAACCCCATCTCTACTAAAAATACAAAAACAAAAAAAAACAAGATTAGCTGGGTGTGGTGGCGGGCGCCTGTAGTCCCAGCTACTCAGGAGGCTGAGGTGGGAGAATGGCATGAACCCAGGAGGTGGAGCTTTGCAGTGAGCCGAGATCATGCCACTGCACTCCAGCCTGGGCGACAGAGTCAGACTGCATCTCAAAAAATAAATAAATAATAAATAATTACTTCAAGATATGAAAACATTGATAACTAGATTTCCTTCACATATTTATCTTGGCATGTAGAGTACATATGGCCTATGTTACCTTTTCAATAATATCATAACGTTCTTTTTTATTTTTTTTTTGAGACAAAGTTTTGCTCTTGTTGTCCAGGCTGAAGTGCAGTGGCATGATCTTGGCTCACTGCAACCTCTGCCTCCTGAGTTCAAGTGATTCTCCTGCCTCAGCCTCCTGAGTAGCTGGGATTATAGGCACCCGCCATCATTCCCAACTAATTTCTTTTTTGTATTGTTAGTAGAGATAGCGTTTCACCATGTTGGCCAGGCTGGTCTCAAACTCCTGACCTCAGGTGATCCATCCACTTCGGCTTCCCAAAGTGCTGAGATTACAGGTGTAAGCCACTGTGCCTGGCCAATAATATCATACCATTTTTCTACCCTTTGAATTCTGTCTTGTACAGTTGTACTCGCTTTTTTGTACTTCCGAAATCACCCATTATATTCATTCTCAGTTAAATCTCTATACACAACACAGAGAATTCTCAGACCTTCTGTGGCAAAATATTCCAGATGGGTTAATGTCTCCTGAACAAATAGAGAATCTTCTGAAAGTCTCTCATAAATCACTCTATCAGCCCCTTTGCAGTAGAGCCAGAGCCGTCCCATAAGGGTTCAGACAATTAGAGACATTCTTTTTCTATTACTAGAGAACTCCAGGACATTAAGAATTTCAAAAGCATTTTTCTCCCGTAGCTTCTGTGGTGACAGAGTATGGTGTTCTTGTATAAAGAACAAGCCATATTCTTTTGCTCCTTTCACTAAAGCTGCTTTGGCTGGGGAGGAAGCCTGGTAGATTATATTATTTCCATCTCTCAGGAATAACAGTGTGGCACACAGATAACAGGGTAAGAAATTGCGTTATATAGTTTTTTGTGGGATGACCATTCTCAAAGTTCTCCAATAATTTGGGGTCATTAAATTCACAGGACTCTAGGATGGAAGAAGGTGTCTGACCGTAAATTACACCTGCAGTGGTACGCTTCTTAAATGTCATAATATTCCTGTTTTATTAGAAAATAGATGTTTTACCTGCCCAAGTTCTTCGTTGAGATTGAATGTTCTGGCCATGGCGTAGACGTTATTTACTTTATAATGCATATCTTCATTCCAGTGTATAAGCTGGGCCTGAATATATTTCACAATTTTCCCACAGCAACCAGCAGACTAATGGGGATGAGGTTCTGGTACAAGATGATGAACACCAGTATGTCAGACAATGACTTGGGAGCTGGAATCAAGGACATGACCAAGAGCAGCAAGAACAAAAGGGAGACTGACACATTGATCACTTTCTCAACCTTTGATCTCTTGAGAGGTGATTTGACGGAATTCTGCATGAATTTTGTTTCAAATCCAGTGCAAACAACTATGCCAATAATCCGCTGAGTATTTCTCAGCTGTATACCTCTTAACAAGACCTGGTCAGGCCCAATTGGAACAGAGCTTTTACCACTTAGGCTCAAGGTTCCATCTAAGCTAAGAAATGACGATTAGGTCTATTTTTCCAGATAGGCTGAACAAACGGTTTTCTGATTGCATTCAACCTGTTTCTGGCAAAGCCTGCTGTAGCTTTAGATCTGTCTCTCCATCCAGATTAGGCGTTGCTATATAACAATCAACTGAGGTTCACTGGAAGACATCAGGACTATGTCTGTAGGAAGGAACTCTCAGTTCTTTGTATTAACTATTTTGTCTGCCATATGTCATTTACAATCTTCTATAACCTCTTTGGTCCCTGAAATCAGAGGCAAGAGAGTTGTATATTTTCCTGTTGGAGACACATCTGGAATTTGCTGCAATACATTAATGAACAAGAAAGCATTGGCAGGTTTGGTAAATTGCAGATACAAAAACTCAGGGAGAAATGACCACATGCTGTACTTGGCCGTGCTGATGAAGTTTTTGCAGCAAATGGTTCTTAAGGGGGTCATTGATGTAAATGGTGCAGCCTTTTAGCCCTTGTAAGCCTTGCATAGTTCATAGCCAGGGCATCCTCTCCTCCACCTTCTGACTGCCCAAGGAGAAATGAGTAGATCTCAGACTGCTCAGCTGGTGTATGATAGTGGCAAGAGTACTATTGGTTACACATTCAAGTTCACTGGTAATCCCCTCAGGCAGAGCTCCCTGGCACAAGTGCTGGGGCTTGGTGTTCCTCTTCACTAAAGGCATGGCTCACAATCGTATGATAGTTGACTGCGGGTTGCAGAAATTTCCTTCAAGTAGCATCACTACTTTGGCTCAGTTATCAGTAGTAGTAACAGCAATCAAAACTAAAATGGTCTGTGTTCCCGCCGGGGCTGCACTCGAGCCCCATGGTCCTGCCACACCCACCTTGCACCACACTGCCAGGGGTACTTTTTCAACTTTATTTAGTTATTATTTAGAGTTTCTTATTCCCTACAGTCAGTTTAGAAGTATCTTTATAAATAGTGAATGTGGTTATTTTACATGCTGTATATCCACAGTACTTCAGGTCTGTTTTTGCTGTTCCTTGTTCATGGTTATATGTTTCCAATGTATTCTGTTATTTTTTGCTATGAGCTACTCATTTTTCTTGGAATTTTATTTGTATCAGTATTTTTGAGCCCTTGGATAAAAATAGATTTCTCCAGCAAGGATTATATTTACTTCTGCCAGGTGCCTGGCAGCAGTACCAGCCTGAGATCATTCTAAATTACTGGTCTGCAGTTTTCTAGACTAGACAGAGAGCAGCATGTGAGGAATGGGTTGTAGTTCCAGATCCTTAGATGTGATGTTCCCTACCCTAATCCACTCAGCATCAGAATTCCACGTAATTTATTTTTCCTTGCAGTTTTGGTTGGAGGGTAGAGATAAGTTTCTGTTCACTTTTAGACAAAAGCAAAGAAGCCATTTGAGGTCTCAGCTTTATTAGAGAGGGAATTGTTATTGGCCTGCTCCCTTACCCTGTTAACTTGTGCCCACAAAAAGCCCTAAGTTTACAAAAACCCTGAAGATCCAGTTCATCTGGTTCATCAAATGTTTTCAAAGGCGGCTGAGGTCAGCTGACCCTTCTGGGTTCCTGCCTTCAGGAATCCTGGGAATTCTGTAATTTTTCAGAAGCTCATCAGTGCATTTAGAAAATATTTTGAAAAAATGCTTAATCCAGGATTTAGTTGTTTGATCCTGTTACCTACTTACTACATTCCTGGAAATGTAATTCTCCTCAATACCATTTTAAGGTATCCAGATAGACAGAATTGCATGAAATATTTCACCTCTAACAAGATATATCATGCCTTTTGTGTGAGAGATTCTTGTTCTGTCTTTCCTGCCCTTCTCCCTTTGCCGTATTTTTCTTCTCCCTTTGCCGTATTTTTCTTATCTGTCTTCAACTTATTTTCATTGTAGTATATGTGCTTTCATAATGATATAGGAGGTAAGAAAGTACTTAGGCAGATAGTAGGGATATGGGAATCCTCGGTAAGGCTTTCCTTTTTAATGAAAAGCAGCCCCAAATTATTTTCCTTTCTAACGAAGAGCTGCAGACATAGATACTGGCAGTCGTGCCAATCATGTTCAAGATGGAGGCTCCATCTTCCCTTCTGTTTGTCAGCCACGTGTACAGAAAGAAGCAGACAACGTGGCACTGATCAACTGGAATGTCCATTTGCATAATAAGATTAGGGTGGGGTAACCAGCCTTCCCTGTGCATTATGTAGACGTCATACCTGATTAAACCAATCTATGAGCCCTATGTAAATCAGACACCGCCTCCTCAAACTGGACTATAAAACTTGGCACATTCGTGCTAGCCAATCCTTTTTCTGTTTGGAGACCCTCTCTTGGATGACCTGCTTTCTCTGCATGAGGAAGCTTTCTCTCTCTCTTCTTTTTCTATTTAACTTTCTGCTGCTAAACCCACTCCTCGTGTGTGCCCATGTCCTGAATTCTTTCTCAACCTTGACCAGAAATCAGGGTATATAGCCCAGACAACGGAGCTGTTTCAGTAAGCCACCATAAATCATTTCTTAAGTGAGTGTGCAGATAAATAATTTCTTTTTAATCTACATTTGCTCTGACCTGGGCAAGAACAGACTGAGGGCATTTATCTATAGTGCTGATTCTCAGCACTTTTGAATATGAGAATGCTTTGAAATGACAAATTTTAACAGTTTCTGCATGGTGACAGTATAATTTTAGTGTCCAGTGATGAAAAATATATAATAGAATGCTAAGTGACACTTTTTAATTAATCATAACCTCATCTATATAGTTATGTATAATATTAACACAGGTATATGTGACAGGTATTCAGTCTTTAGACATTTTTTATGCACATATGGATGCATGGATCATGTACAGTACTCCATTGTCAGCGGCCCACAGGAAGAAGATACTCTTTCAGATAATCCTTTAAATGCTACTTAAGTTTATTTAACTTTTTGTTAGCCATGTGACTTTTTTAAATCAAAGTAAATATAACACCACTAGCTCTTTTATCACATGGTCTATGGCTAAATCACATTTTTATTTTAGTGCGGTGGCTGGGGTGGAGTCTCACTCTGTTGCCCAGGCCGGAGTGCAGTGGCACGATCTTGGCTCACTGCAACCTCTGTCCCCCCAGGCTCAAGTGATTCTCCTGCCTCAGCCTTCCGAGTACCTGAGATTACAAGCACATGCCACCATGCCCGGCTAATTTTTTTTTTTTTTTTTAGTAGAGACAGGGTTTCACCGTGTCGGCCAGACTGATCTCAAACTCCTGACCTCAGGTGATTCGCCCACCTCGGCCTCCCAAAGTGCTGGGATTACAGGCGTGAGCCACTGTGATAGGCCGCTAAGTACATTTCTATCATATGTATTTGTATAATTGACCGTGACATTTTGTGGATTTGTTTGAATTTTTCCAACTTTTTATTAAGGAAAATCTGATATGTAAAGAGAAGTTAATATATATAATATAATGGTAATAATAAACTGTATATGCCTTCTACCTACATTCAAAATCATTAACATTTTGCCATATTTGCTTTATAGATATATGTATATATGAATATCTATATAAGTTTACACATTTATTTACTTGCAGAACTATTTGAAAATAAGTTTTAGATAAGACCTTTCACTCCTAAGTGAAGGCATTCCTAAAGAATAAAGGCATTTTCTTTCATAACCATGATACCCTTATTATATGCAAGCAAATTAACAAAAATTCTATAATAATTCAAATTTCTGCCATTGTCACAAAACTATTTGTAGTAAGCAGAATAATGCTTCCCCTGTACCCAAAGGTAGCCATGTCTTAATCCTCTGAACCTCTGACTATCTTATCTTACATGGCAAAGGGGAATTAAGGTTGCTCATCAACTGACCTTAAAATAGTGAGATTATACTGGATTATCTGGTGGGCCCAGTGTTATCACAAGGGTCCTTAAAAGTGGATGATAGAGGCAGAAAAACAGAGTTAGAGGGAAACGTGACTATGGGAGAAAGGCACAGAGAGAGACAGTGTTGCTGGATTTGAAAATGGAAGAATACAAGCCAAGGAATGTCAGTGGCCTCTGGAAAAGAGACTGGAAAGGACAAGGAAATGGATTCTCTCATATACCTTTCAGAAAGGAACCTATCCCTGCTGAAACCTCGATTTTAATCCAGTAAGACCTATTTTGGACTTCTGACCTATAGAATTATAAGATAATAAACTTGTATGATTTTAAGCCACCAAATTTGTGGTGACTTGTTACACAGTCACTTATTACAGCAGCAATAGAAAATGAATACACTGTTTTTTATAGCTTTATTTTTTTTCTCCCCAAACTAGGATCCAGTCAATGTTCACACCTTGTGTTTAGTTGCTTGTTATCTTTGGTTGTTTTTAAAAATAAATTTGATAATGTATTTGATTTAACCTATCAAAATATTATTTCAACATATAATAAATATTTAATTTTTTTTTTTTTTTGAGACGGAGTCTCCTTCTGTTGCCCAGGCTGGAGTGCAGTGGTGCGATCTTGGCTCACTGCAATCTCTGCCTCTTGGGTTCAAGTGATTCTCCTGCCTCAGCCTTCTGAGTAGCTAGGATTACAGGTGCCCACTACCTTGCCCAGCTAATTTTTTGTATTTTTAGTAGAGATGGGGTTTCACTATGTTGGCCAGGCTGGTCTCGAACTCCTGACCTCAGGTGATCTGCCCACCTCAGCCTCCCAAAGTGCTGGGATTACAGGCGTGAGCCACCGCGTCTGACCAATATTTTAAAAATTATTAATAAGTTATTTTACTTTTTAAAAATCATACCCTTTGAAATCCAGTTTAGACTTACAACACATCCCAATTCAGACTAGCCACATTTCAAGTGCTTAGTAGGTACATATTAATAATGGCTATTGTATTTGATAGTGCTCTACATATTTGGGAATTGCTTTACTGTCTAAAAGGCAGTTCTAGCAGGAGGGATGTCTGCCAGGCTATTTTCACTCTCATTGAAAGTGCTGGCTAAGAGTGGCAGACTAGGAGTCAGGAGATGGGTTCCTCACCTAGGCTCAGCTAGCTTCATCTCACGGGTGTGACCTTTCTGGAGCTTGATTTCTTCATCTTCAGAATACAAAACTTTGAATAGGCCATATTTGAGGCCGAGCTCTAGGCCAGGTGGCATATCTGTTACTCTAGGGAGGAGCTTTTCAGGTGTTTTGGATACCTTTGCTTTGATCAGTGCCAGCAGGTGATGAACGTGCCTTCCTTGGTCAGCTGTTTAGACTTCCCTTGAGTGTGAGGGGAAAAAAAAGAAACTGTTCTTCATGCTTACCAGTGGCATTATATATGAAGAAAAATAACCAGCACAGCAAAAAGGAAGTGTTGCACTTTCAGCCACTGATTCTGCAGTACCAAATAAGTAAGAACCAGAAAGTGGAATCTTCTTAGTATTGACGTTTCTCTCTCTCAGTGACTGACTCAGCATTTCTCTATTTTTTTAGACTATATTTTTAGGACAGTTTTAGGTTTATAAAAAACTTGAGCAGAGTACAGAGAGTTCCCATATGACCTCCTCTTGGTCACTTGTGATGTGAACAGTCCTCCACCTTTTTTTATTAATCCGCTCTTTACGATGTTGTCTTTGTTAAGAGTTCAGGACAGTTGTCTTATAGACCATCCTATTTTTCTGGATTTATCTGATTGTTTTCCTCATGGTGTCATTTAACATCTTCTAGCCTTTGCATTTCTTGTAAAGTGGAAGTTAGGCCTAGAGAGAGGCTTGATTAAATTCAGGTTAAATGTTTTGGGCAAGAATAGTTCATGGGTGATGTATTTTTATTCTTCTTAGATATCGTTTTGTGAGGTTGTGCTGTCACACCCAGTGTCAGTTTCCAGCCTATGCTGAGGTCTGAAGGGAGTGGGTGGATGGGCGACAAATAGCTGAAAGAACACTCAAGGGGCTGTAGGCAGTGAGTATGGCTTTATTCAGCAGCTCTTTCATTAGCAGCTCACTCACACTAGCTCTCTCATCAGCAGCTCTCTCGCAGCAGCTCTCTCACACTGCTTTTATCTTGGCTGTCAGCTCCAGCTCTGCAGCTCCTGCCACTCCCACACACAGCTGCATTCCCTGGCCTACAAGGCAGGCTTTCCCTTACAGGGTTAGCAGCTTAACTCTTTCTCTGGGTGCAAGACGAGCCGAGCCTTGGCTCCCCCTTGTCCGCCTACAAGATGGACAACTCTGGCTCTCTCTCTGTCTTTCTTCGGGTGCGCCCGCACAAGCCCTGTGCACGGTGACAGCAGGGCAGTTATACCTTTCTCAAACAATACTGGCTCCGAGCCCAGTATGAGCTTACACAAACAGGTTATATAACAAGTGGAGTATGCGCCTGCACCCTAAACTCACTGAGTCATTCTGGCCCAGAGGTCCACCTTGGCCTATTCCTTGACCAGAGCACATCCATATACCTTACATTTCACCCTCTAGGCCAAGAGAGATAGGTTTTGGGCACAGAGGCCCAATAAACACACATAGGCTTCATACACAAGCCTGACACATAAGCTTTGGGCATGCAGGCCTGATACACAGGTTTGGCACATAGGCCCCAGGTCCAACACATACATAAGCTTCTGGACACACAGGCCCGTTACATACATAAGCTTTGATAAACTGCCTAGCTATTAGTACAGATTACTGTAGGTGTCACCTCCTTGTTGATCATCATTCACATTGCACTGAGTTCAGCCCATTGGCTACTTTGCCTGCACCTGGTTTCAAACCATATGGTGTCAGTACTAGGCTAGACTGTGACAGCAATCCAGGCAGCAGTAGCACCCCAGCTAGACCTATCTGTGTTCCCTGCCCTATTAAGAATGGGAGGATGTTCTTCCTAACAGTGAAGGCTTAGGGTCTAGGGGTGCTTCAGGCCCCATGGCCTTATCTTGCATGAGGACTACAGGTGCCAAGACCTCTTGTAACACTGCAGCTAAGGTACTTGTACTCAGCATACTCCGCTGTTCTAAGGAGGTGCTACACTTTGCTAAAGTGGATATCTACGCCATCCCATTCTGGGGGCTTGTTACCTATTAATGCACCCATCCCGCTATTGGGTAAGTCATCTGTCCTGCCATGCTCTCATTAGCCTGAAGGGAAGCATATATAGCTGCTAACTGCTTCCCTATCAGAGTATGAGAGCTCAGCTCCCTTCCATAGTTGGGACTAAAAGCATACTGTCACTCCCAAGTGCCTCATGCATTGATATAGGCCCTAGCCAAAGCTATCTGTGGTCACATGCACATCCAGCTTAAATGAGCACCCCTGGTCAACTACCCATAGGGCTTATGTCTACCGAATAGCCTGCTTGGCTATTGGAAAAGGCTGCCTCAGTTTCATTATCCCAATCCCAGGCAAGAGGGGCATTCCCGCTTTTAAACCTGTAAAAGAATCAGAGGTTAGCATAACATCATTAATAAGACTATGACACCACCGCAACACTGTGAAAGTCCATTGTCGCCCTCCCATGAAGGCAAACTGTTCCTGGCTGTCTGGAAAAGAAGTCCCAGTTCCATTGTCAAGCGGTCCATCAAGTCTGTGACAGACAGCACAGCTGCCAAGCTGTGCAAAACATCCACCCCCAGAATGCATTCAGGCACTGGGGAGAGATACACAATGCATAAGCAGAGAGCCAAGCGGCTGATGGCAAGGTGCAAAGATACAGGTCTCACTTTCACTGACTGGCTTTCATAGCCATTAATTGATGCAGCCCCACCCAGAAACTTATACGTGTTCAGGGACCAGTGGATTGCCAAGTCCACATGTGGCTGCGGTGGTCCAGTGTCCCTCTGAGCAAGGCACCTCAGCCAGTTCCCTTATCAAACAGAAAAGTCTTTACACTTCCACTTGACTGCAGCAGGTACTCCCTGAACTGGAACACTTAGGCAGGACTGGGCTGTACAGTAACATCCTTCTCCCAATTGAGTTGCACCAAGTCTATACTTGACTTTCATCGTCTGACAGTCTCTGGTACTTTTCTGGACCAGCATCAGTCCACACTTTAAAAAGCCAGCTTCTCCATCTTGGAGGCAGAGCAGGAAATGTGTCAGCTCCTTCGTCTCAGAGACGGAATATCAGGCAGGGAGGGGACCCCCCAGACGCTGCCGACATTAGTTGCCTAACTCCCACAACTCAGTGGGGGTGGGGGTCCCTAGGCCTACCTTTGGGGCCCAACAGCTGCTTATGCTCTATTTTCTGGCAGACCACTGGGTGAGCCTGCAACCAAGGTTCTTCCTCCTCCCTGCGCTGCATCCCACAGGGACTGGGCATGCATGTCCTGCTCATGACTGTGCTCAGTCATAAACACCCATCTGACTCTGCTGACAAAAGTATGTACTTTCTCGGTGCTGTGCACTTCTAGGTGCTTCAGTTCCATCTCCACACTCACAGGGGACCTGTCCACTGCCACCCATGTCTCCACTGGAGCCCATCCATGCAGCACAGCTGCCACCAGTTACCACAGCCCATGATGCAGCCACATTGCCGACCTGGGAGTCTTGTGGGCTGAAGACCCATTCATCTCATTCTGCCGAGGACTACACCAAATGTCAGGTTCAGGGTCAGGTTCCAGCCCATGCTGAGGTCCAAAAGGAAGGGGTGAATGGGTCACGAATGGCTGAAAAGAACACTCGGGGGACCGTAGCAGTTGAATATGGTTTTATTCAGCAGCTCTTTCATCAGCAGCTCACTCACACTAGCTCCTCATCAGCAGCTCTCTCACAGCAGCTCTCTTACACTGTCTACCTTTATCTCAGCTATCTGCTCCAGCTCTGCAGCTCCTGCCACTCCCACACACAGCTGCATTCCCTGGGCTACAAGGTTGGCTCTCCCTTACAGGGTTAGCAGCTTAACTTTTTCTCTCTCTGGGCACAAGCCAAGCTGGCTCTCCCCTGTCTATCTATAAGACGAACAACTCTGGCTCTCTCTCTTTTCTCTGGGTGTGCAGGGCATCAGCAGGGCAGTTATACCTTTCTCAAAGAATAGTGGCTCCGAGCCCAGTATGAGCTTACACAAACAGGTTATGTAACAAGCAGAGTATGCACCTGCACCCTAAACTCACCGAGTCACTCTGTCCCAGATGTCCAACTTGGCCTATTCCTTGACCAAAGCACATCCATGTACCTTACATGTGCCCATCACTTCCAGTATATTGGAATACATTTGGATCCTGATTCTGTCATATCAGCTGCTACTCCTTTCTCTCATTTGAAAATCTGATAAAGTACCTCTTTACTTTTGTTCTTCGCTTTACCAATGAAAATATTGACAGAACAAAGGAAAGAGAGTATCAACTCTTTGGCTGCCTTATCTTACAATGTCTGGGACACAGTAGCACTCAAATATTTGTTAAAATAAATTTTCACTGCTTTTTTCTTGAAATTACCTCTTCCTTCAACTTATAAAATATTCCTCTTTTCATATCCTACCCTTATTTTAGTTTCTTTTTTTTTTTTTGTCTCTTTTTGCACTAATGACCTCTTCAATGTTGTTTCCAATGTTCTATTCCATTCTCTCATCTTCTTTCTTCCTTAACCCTGAGGCCATCTCAAATGTGACTTCAATCCCACTTCTTTGCTGTCTCCTGTAACTTTTTCTTTAGCCCCTACTTCCTACCTGGGATATGAATGCATATCTCTCATTGCCTGTTTGACATTTCCACTTGTGAGTTTAAGGGCCTCCTGAAACTGAGCATATCTAAAAGCAAATGCATTATTTTCCTTTTTCTATTTTTTTGAGACAGAGTCTTGCTCTGTTGCCTATGCAACAGAGCAGTGGTGCAATCTCGCCTCACTGCTACCTCTGCCTCCCGGGTTCAAGTGATTCTCCCACCTCAGCCTTCTGAGTAGCTGGGATTACAGGCACCCGCCACCATGCCCAGATAATTTTTGTATTTTTATTAGAGATGGGGTTTCGCTATGTTGGTCAGGCTGGTCTCAAACTCCTGACCTCAGGTGATTCCACCAGCCTTGGCCTCCCAAAGTGCTCGGATTACAAGCGTGAGCCACCATGCCTGGCCTACGTTATTTTTCAATTTACTATAGCCCTCAAACAATTTTTTTTTCATTGTTACCTATATTAATGTTATAACTAACCTAGTGGTTGTCTGGATCTTGATTCTTTTGTCTCTAGAATAGTGCCCTCTGTTGGCCAGGCACGATGGCTCACGCCTGTAATCCCAGCACTTTGGGAGGCCGAGGCAGGCAGATCACTTGAGGTCAGGAGTTTGAGACCAGCTTGGCCAACATAGCGAAACCCTAAAAATACTCTACTAAATACATCTCTACTAAAAATACAAAAATTAGCTGGGCATGGTGGTGCTCGCCTGTAGTCCCACTTATTCAGGAAGCTGAGGCAGGAGAATCACTTGAACCCAGGAGACGGAGGTTGCAGTGAGCTTAGATTGTGCCACAGCACTCCAGCCTGGGTAACAGAGGGAGACTCTGTCTCAAAAAAAAAAAAAATGCCCCTCTCTCATAATAACAACCAATTTCCAAGACTATAAATTCTACTTCCAGTGTCTTTCAAATCAGCTAGTATTTCTTCATCTTCACGTTATCTCTAGCAGATATATTTTTAATAGGTTAAATCATATGAAATTGTTAATTCTTAACTATTTTTGATCTATGAGAATGGCCATTTTATATCAACCTAATAATTTATCTAATTTTACTACATCAAGTTTGTGTTATTTTATCTACAAGGATATTGATAGAGATTATTTAAAATGCCTTACTAAAATCTCTTATCTGCCAATATTCAGGACTTTATCAAAGAAGGAAATGAAGTAACTTTCAGGTCTTAGTGTGAATCTATGTGAGTTCTTAGGGAAGACTCCCTTTTCTACTTAAAAATATATTTATTACAACGTGTCATATAAAAGAACATGTAAGGTGCAGCTATTTGGTTAAAGACTAATAATAAAATGGATATCTATGTTACCACTACCCAGGTTAAAAAATAGAAGATTATATATAACTAAGAAGACCCTTGCTAGTCACAGGCCCTTCCTTTTTTCCTAAAGGAAGTCACTATCTTGAGTTTTGTATTTGTTGATCCCTTCCTTTTCTTTATAGCATAAACCCAAACAATATAGGGTTTAGGCTTGCCAGTTTTGAACTTACTATAAACTCAATCATGGTGTGGGTATTCTGTTACTAGGTTCTTTTTTTTCTTTTTTTCTTTTTTTTGAGATGGAGTCTCTGATCTCGGCTCACTGCAACCTACACCTCCTGGGTTCAAGGGATTCTTGTGCCTCAGCCTCTGGAGTAGCTGAGATTACAGATGCCTGTTACTATGCCCAACTAATTTTTGTATTTTTAGTAGAGATGAGTTTTCACCATATTAGCTAGGCTGATCTTGAATTCCTGACCTCAAGTGATCTGCCTGCCTCGGCCTCCCAAAGTCCTGGGATTATAGGGGTGAGCCACCACGCCTGGCCTCTGTGACTAGCTTCTTTTGCTCAATATTGTTTTTTAGCCATATTAATGCAGATATTAGTAGTTCATTTATTTTCACTACAATATCATATTCCATTTTATGAACATAGTATAATTTGCTTATTCGATCTATTGATGGATAGATGGGTTGTTTTCAGATTTTTGCTACTCTGAAGAATGCCCTGTAGCCATGTGCTGGAATTTCTTTAGGGTAGTAGTTTTTAAATTGTAGGATGTGACCAATTAGAGGGCCATAAAATCAATTCGGTAGATTGCAACCAGCATATTGAAAAATATAACAGTCTCACATACCTAGCAGTTAATAAACAAAACTAGGCCAGGCGTGGTGGCTCACGCCTATAATCCCAACACTTTGGGAGGCCGAGGCGGGTGGATCATGAGGTCAGGAGTTCGAGACCAGCCTGACCAACATGGTGAAACCCTGTCTCCACTAAAAATACAACAATTAGCCAGGAGTGGTGGTACGCACCTATAATCCCAGCTACTCAGGAGGCTGAGGCAGGAGAATCGCTTGAAGTCAGGAGACAGAGGTTGTAGTAAGCCGAGATCATGCCATTGTACTCCAGCCTGGGTGGCAGAGGGAGACTTTGTCTCAAAAAGAAACAAAACTAAAATAAATATGCATTTTCCATTTTATATATGCATTATAGTTTTACATATGCTTTTACAGTGTGCATTACATATACAGTATATTATGGGAAAATATTGTTTTGTGAAACTCTTTTTGTGGCTGTGTGTATGACTGTGTGTATTGAGAAAGGCTATAAAATAAATTTCTTATTTTGAGTAACAGTCAAAAAAGTTTTAAAGTTGCTATGTTCTCATTGTGGGTCCATCAATATGGATTTATAAATCATATTGGGGTTACCTAAGAGTAGGATTGCTGAGTTTTAGGGTGGTAACCTGTTTGGTTATTTTACATAATAATCATAATGTTTTCCACAGTGATTGTGCTTTTTTATACCCCCACCAACTGTGAAGAAGAATTTTTTCTAGATTCGGGCTGGGCACAGTGCCTCACACCTGTAATCCCAGCACTTTGGGAGGCTGAGGCCAGTGGATCACAAGGTCAGGAGTTTGAGACCAGCTTGGCCAACATGGTGAAACCCCGTCTCTACTAAAAATACAAAAATTAGCTGGGCGTGGTGGCAGGCACCTGTAATCCCAGCTACTCTGGAGGCTGAGGCAAGAGAATCACTGGAAACCAGAAGGCAGAGGTTGCAGTGAGCCGAGATTGAGCCCCTGCACTCCATCCTCGGTGAAAAAACAAAACTCTGTCTAAAGAAAAAAAAAACAAACAAGAATTTAGATTCTTGTTAACACTTGGTATTGGATGATTTAACAATTTTGTTAATCTGGCAGACATGAAATTTTATCTTATTGTGGTTTTAATTTGTATTAGTTTTATTACTAATGAGGTTGGTTTTTATTTCATGTATTTTGGACCATTTGTATGCCTTTTTATGACTTTTACTTATTTTGCTATTTAGTTATTTTATCTGTTATTGATTTGTAGGATTTCTTGATGTACTTTTGTCAGTCAGTAGTCTATATCTAGTAAGGAAGAGAGAATACACTCTAGATATTTCAAATAGGGGGATTTAATATAAGGAATTGGTTAGAAAGTCATTGGAATGGTTGGAGAAGCAAAAAGTGGATAAGTTTCCAAAACCTTGATATATGCAAGAAGCTGCAGTTATTCCTAGTGCTAGAAGAGTGAAATAGAAAATGAGGTTACCCAGAACCCATGATTATTGTGCTGTTGAGGCTTCTCCTGTTGGACGTGAGCTTTCTCAACAGCAACTCAGGAGCCTTCACTTGTCTGTTGCAACAACTCTGTTGGAATTGCCATCAGAAGCCAGAAAAAAACACAAACATATTTTCCCCCTCTCACCTCCAGTGTCCTACCAATAATTTCTATTGGTAGAACCTAGGAAATGAGCTGGCAAGAGAACCTGCAGCAGGGATTATAATTAACATCTTCATTTGTAACAATCCAGTTAGAATTTACCAACTTAGTTTCAATTACATACAACAACTTTTCTCATATATCTCTGTTCCCTCCATTCTATTGTTGTTGTTGTCACAGATTACATCTTTATGCATTGTGGTCCATCAGTATGGATTTATAAATATTGTTTTATGTAGTTGTCTTTTAAATCATGTGGAAAAAAGACTTACAAAGCATATATTGACTTTTATATTTACCTATGTAGTTTCCTTTGCTGTTAGTCTTTTTTGTTGTTGTTGTTATTTTTTATTTCTTCCCATGGATTTGAGTTACTATGCAGTGTCCTTTTATTTCAGCCTGAAGAATTCCCTTTACCTTTTTTTTTTTTTTTTTTTTGGTCATGGGCAGGTAGGGCCATTCTACTAGTAGTGAACTCTCTTGGTTTTTGTTTGTCTGGGAATATCTTAATTTTTCCTTCATTTCTGAAGGATAGTTTTACTGGATATACAGTTCATGGTTCACAGTATTTTTCTCTCAGCACATTGAAATGTCAACCCACTGCCTTCTGACCTTGGTAGTTTATGGTGAGAATTCAGCTCTTAATCCTAACACTGATCTCTTATAAGTGCCCCCTTTTTTTTTTTTTTTTTTGAGACCAAGTCTTGCTCTGTTGCCCAGGCTGGAGTGCAATGGAGGGATCTCTGCTCACCGCAACCTCTGCCTCCCAGGTTCAAGCGATTCTCCTGCCTCAGCCTCCCAAGTAGCTGGGATTACAGGCGCCTGCCACCATGCCTGGCTAATTTTTGTATTTTTAGTAGAGATGGGGTTTCACCATGTTGGCCAGGCTGGTCTTGAACTCCTGACCTCAGGTGATCTGCCTGCCTTAGCCTCCCAAAGTGCTGGGATTATAGCCGTGATCCACCCCACCTGGCCTATGTGCCCTTTCTAATCTTCTAAGACTCCCATTATGCTTAGGTTGGTGTACTTGATGGTGTCCCATAGTCTCTTCAGCTCTTCTCCACTTTTCTTCATTCCTTTTTGTTTGTGACACTTAGACTGCATAATATCAGTTGCCCTGTCTTCAAATTCACTGTTCTTCTGCCTGCTCAAGCCTGCTGTAGAACCCCTTCTACTGGATTTTTTATTTCAGTTGTTACACTCTCCAACTCTAGAATTTCCATTTGGGTCTCTTTTGTACTTCCATCTCTTTTTGTTTGTTTTTGAAATTTTTTATTAATGTGTAATATTTGTATATTTTATTTATTTATTTTTGAGACAGAGTCTTGCTCTGTCACACAGGTTGGAGTGCAGTGGTGCAATCTCAGCTCACTGCAGCCTCCGCCTCCTGGGTTCAAGCAATTCTCCTGCCTCAGCCTCCCGTGTAGCTGGGATTACAGGCATGCGCTGCTGTGCCTGGCTAATTTTTTTTTTTTTTTTTTTTTTTTTTTTTTTTAGTAAAGACAGGGTTTCACCATGTTGGCCAGGATGGTCTTGATCTCCTGACCTTTTGATCCGCCCTCCTTGACCTCCCAAAGTGCTGGGATTACAGGTGTAAGCCACTGCACTGGCCAATATTTGTACATTTTAATGGGGGTATTTGTAGTATTTTGTTACATGCATAGAATGTCTAATAATCAGTCAGGGTATTTAGGGTATCCATCACCTTAAGTATTTATTTATATGTGTTGGGAATGTTTCAAGACCTGTCTTCTAGCTATTCGGAAATATAAATACGTTGTTTTTAACTATATAGTCACCCTACACTGCTATGAAACATTGAAACTTATTCCTCCTATCTATAACAGTATGTTTGTGCTCATTAACCAACCTCTCTTCATCCATTCCACGCCCCACCCACTCACCCACACACAGACCCTCCTCAGCCTCTGGTAACTATCATTCACTTTCAACCTCCATGAGATCAGCTCTTTTAGTTTCCATGTATGAATGAGAACATGTGATACTTGTCTTTCTGTGCCTGATTATTTCACTTAACATGACCTCCAGTTCCATTCATCTTACTGGAAATGACAGGATTTCATTATTTTTTCTATGTCCAAGTAGTATTTCATTGTGTATATATACCACATTTTCTGTATCCACCCATCCATTTATGTACACTTAGGTTGATTCCATGTTTTTGCTGTTGTGAATAGTGCTGCAATAAACATGGGGGTGCATGTATCCCTTTGATATAATGATTTCCTTTCCTTTGGATAAATATCCCAAGGTGGAATTGCTAGATCATATGGCAGTCCTGTTTTTAGTTCTGTGAGAAATATTTATACGGTTTTCAATAATGGCTGTGCTAAATTACATTCCCAACAACAGTGTATGAGAGTTCCTTTTTCTCCATATCCTCCCCAGCATCTGTTACTTTATTTTTTTGTCTTTTTAATAACAGTCATTCTGTGGCCAGGTGTAGTGGCTCACACATACAATGGCAGCACATTGGGAGGCCAAGGTGGGAGGATTGCTTGAGCCCAGGAGTTCAAGACCAACCTGGCAACATAGTGAGACTCTGCCTCTACAACAACAACAAAAATTAGCCAGGCATGACGGTGCACACCTGTAGTCCTAGCTTCTCAGGAGGCTGAGATAGGAGGATCACTTGAGCCCAGGAGTTCAAGGCTGCAGTGAACTATAATCACACCACTGCCACTCCAGCCTGGGCAACAGAGTGAGACCCTGTCTCTAAATAATAATAATAGCCATTCTAACTGGGGTAGAATGATATCTCATTGTGGTTTTGATATTCATTTCCCTGATGGTTAGTGATATCAACCATTTTTTCATAGACCTGTTGGCCATTTGTATATCTTCTTTTGAGAAATGTCTATTTAGATCCTTTGCCCACTTTTTAATGAGATTGTTGTTTTTTCTTTGTTTTGCGTTTGGGTTGCTGTTGTTTGAGTTCTTTGTATATTCTGTATATTAGTCCCTTGTCATAAGATTAGTTTGCAAATATTTTCTTCCATTCATCAGGTTGTCTCTTCATCCTGTTGATTGTTTCCATTGCTGTGCAGAAGCTTTTAAATTTAATTAAGTCCCATTTATCTACTATTTTATTTTGTTGCCTCTGCTTTTGAGGTCTTAGCCATAAATTCTTTGCTTAGACCAATATCCTGTGGTGTTTTCTTCTGGTAGTTTTATAGTTTTCGATCTTATGCTTAGGCCTTTAATCCATTTTGAATTGATTTTTGTATATGGTGAGATTTGACTTTTCTATAGGGGTCTAGTTTCATTCTTCTGCATATGGATATTCAGTTTTCCCAGCACCATTTTTCAAAGAAGGTGTCCATTCCCTAATGTATGTTCTTGGTGCCATTGTCAAAAATCATTTGGCTGTAAATACATGGATTTATTTCTGGGATCTCTATTCTGTTCTATTGGTTGATATGTCTATTTTTATACCAATATCATGCTGTTTTGGTTACTATAGCCTTATAAGTCAGGTAGTGTGATGCTACAAGCTTTGTTTTTTATTTTTATTTTTTGTTCATTTGTTTGTTGTTGTTATTTTGCTCAGGATTGCTTTGGCTATTCACACTCTCTTTTTGGTTCCATGCAAATTTTAGAATTGATTTTTTTCTATTTCTTTGAAAAATGTCATTGGTATTTTGATAGGGATTACATTGAATCTGTAGGTTGCTTTGGGTAGTATGTTCATTTTAATAGTATTAAGTTTTATAATCCATGAGCATGGTATGCCTTTCCATTTTGTGTGTATGTGTTATCTTCCATTTTTGTGTGTGTAGGTATTATAAATGGAATTGCCTTTTTCATTTCTACTTCAGATATTCCACTGTTGTATATAGCAATACCACTGATTTTTATATGTTGATTTTATGTCTTGCAACTTTACTGAATTTGTTTATCAAATTAAGAATTTTGTGGTAGAGTCTTTAGGTTTTTCTAAATACAAGATCATGCCCTGTGCAAACAAAGACAATTTGACCTCCTCTTTTTCAATTTGGATGCTTTTTATTTCTTTCTCTTGACTGATTGCTCTGGCTAGGACTCTCAGTACTGTATTGAATAGGAGTGATGAAGGTGAGCATCCTTGTCTTGTTTCAGTTCTTAGAGGAAAGGCTTTCAGCTTTTCCCCATTCAGTATGATGTTACTTAAGAGTTTGTCATATTGGTCTTTTTTATGTTGAAGTATGTTCCTTCTGTGCCCAGTTTTTTGAGAGTTTTTATCATGAAGGGATGTTGGATTTTGTCAAATACTTTTTCTGCATCTGTTGAGATGATCATATGGTTTTGTCCTTCATTCTGTCGATGTGATGTGTCATGTTTATTGATTTGTGTATGTTGAACCGTGTTTGCATCCCTGAGATAAATCCTACTTGCTTATAGTGTATTATCCTTTTGATGTACTGTTAGATTCCATTTGTTCATATTCTGCTGAGGATTTTTGCATCTGTGTCCATCAGGGATACTGACCTATAGTTTTCTTTTTTTGCTGTGTCCTTGTCTGATTTTGGTATCAGGGTAATCCTGGCCTTATAGAAAGAGGTAAGGACAATTCCCTCCTCTTCATTTTTTTTGGAATAGTTTTAGGAGAATTGCTTTGGGTAGTATGTTCTGATCAATGAGCATAGGATGTTCGTTATAAGTTTGGTAGAATTTAGCAGTAAAGTTATCCAGTCCTGGGCTTTTATTTGTTGGGAGAGTTTTTATTACTGATCCAATCTCATAACTCATTATTGGTCTGTTCAGGTTTTTTATGTCTTTTTGATTCAATATTGTAGGATGTATATATGTCCCAGAATTTATCCATTTCTTATGGAATTTCTACTTTGTTAGCATATAGTTTTTCATAACAGTCTATGATGATCTTTTGTATTTCTGGTGGTATCATTGTTATGTCTCGTTTTTCATTTCTGATTTTGTTTATTTGGATATTCTTTTTCCTTGGTTAGTTTAGCTAGTGTTTAATTTTGTTTATCATCTCAAAAAAAACACTTTTTGTTTCATTAATCTGTTGTTTTGTCTTTTTTTGATCTCTGTTTTTTTACTTCTCTGATTTTTAATATTTCTTTTCTTCTATTAATTTGGGGTTGGCTGTTTTTGCTTTTCTAGTTCCTTGAGGTGCATCATTAGATTGGTTATTTGAAATCTTTCTAGTTTCTTAATGTAGGCATTTATTGCTATAAAATTCCCTCTTAGCACTGTTTTTGCTGTATCCCACAGGTTTTTGTAGTTTGTATTTCCATTTTCATTTGTTTCAAGAAATTTTTTGATTGGCATCTTAATTTTGTTGACCCAAAGGTTGTTGAGGAGCATATAGTTTAATTTCCATGTGTTTGTACAGTCTCTAAAGTTCCTCTTGTTATTGACTTCTAATTTTATTCCATTGTTGTCTGAGAAGATACTTGATATGATTACAGTTTTTAAAAAATTTGTTGAGACTTATTTTGTGGCCCAACATGTGGTCTATCCTGGAGAATGTTACGTGTGCTGATGAGAAGAATGTGTATTCTACAGCTATTGGATAAAATGTTCTGTAGATATCTGTTAGGTCCATTTGGTCTAAAGTGCAGTTTAAATCTTATGTTTTTTGTTAATTTTCTGTGTAGGTGATCTATAAGGCTGAGAGTTGAATGTTGAAGTCCCCAACTATAATATTATTGTTCTAGAGTCTATCTCTCCCTTTAGATCTAATAATATTAGCTTTATATATCTGGGTGCTTTGATGTTGGGTGCATACATATTTAGTATTATTATATCCTATTGCTAAATCAGTCCATTTGTCATTATATAATGACCTTCTCTGTCTCAGACTTAAAGTCTGTTTTATCTAAGTATAGCTACTCCCACTTGCTTTGGGTTTCCATTTGCATGGAATGTCTATTTCCATCCTTTACTTTCAGTCTGTATGTGTTTCTACAGGAGAAATGAGTTTCTTGTAGGCAGCATGTAATTGGGTAATTTAAAAAATCAATTTGGCCGGGCACAGTGGCTCACGCCTGTAATCCCAGCACTTTGGGAGGCCGAGATGGGCGGATCATGAGGTCAGGAGATTGAGACCATCCTGGCTAACACGGTGAAACCCCGTCTCTACTAAAAAATACAAAAAAGTAGCTGGGTGTGGTGGCGGGTGCCTGTAGTCCCAGCTACTCGGGAGACTGAGGCAGGAGAATGGCATGAACCTGGGAGACGGAGCTGACAGTGAGCCGAGATCATGCCACTGCACTCTAGCCTGGGCAACAGAGCAAAGTCTCTGTCTCAAAAACAAAACAAAACAAAACAAAAAACAAAACAAAACAAAACAAAAAACAAATCAATACAGCCAGTCTGTATCTTTTAAGTGGAAACTTTAATCCATTTACATTTGAGGTAATTATTGATATGTAAGGACTTATTCCTGTCATTTTGTTCATTGTTTTCTGGTTGCTTTGTATATACTTTGTTCTTTTGTTTCTCTTTTATTGTTTATCTTTATGGTTTGGTGGTTTTCAATAGTAGTAACATTTGAATCCCTTCTCTTTTTCATTTTTGTGTTTGCTCTACCAGTGAGTTTTATACTTTCATGTGTTTTCATGATGGTAGATACTGTCCTTTCACTTCCATGTATAGGACTTCTTTTAACGTTTCTTGTAGTGCCAGTCTAGTCGTGATGAATTGCCTCAGTTTTTGCTTTTCTGAGAAAGACTTTATCCTTAATTTTTGAAGGATAACTTTCCTGGGTATAGTATTCTTGGTTGATAATTTTGTTTTTCTTTCAGCACTTTGAATATATCATCCATTTTCTCCTGACCTATATAAGGTTTCTGCTGATAAATCCACTGTTAATCTGATAGGAGTTCCCTTATATGTAACTAGATGTTTTTTTCTTGCCATTTTCAGAATTGTCTCTTTGACTTTTGACAGTTTGGCTATAATGTGCCATGGAGAGCTTTTTGAGTTACATCTATTTGGGTTTCCCTGAGCTTCCTGTATCTAGATGTCTAAATCTCTTGCTAGACATGAGAAATTTTCAGCTACTATTTCATTAAGTAGGTTTTCTGTGTCTTTACTCTTCTCTTTACCTTCTAGAACTCTCCAAATTTGTGTATTTAGTAATTTCATGATGTCCCATATGCCAAGTAGGTTTTGTTCATTCTTTTTATGTATTTATGTATTTATTTATTTAGTTAGTTATTGGTTTGATTTGTTGTTGTTGTTGTTTTTGAGATGGAGTCTCGCTCTGTTGCCCAGGCTGGAGTGCAGTGGCGTGATCTCAGCTCACTGTAACCTCCACCACCCAGGCTCAAGCAATTCCTGTGCCTCAGCCTCCCAAGTAGCTGGGACTACAGGCATGAGCCACCATGTTGGGCTAAGTTTTTGTATTTTTAGTAGAGATAGGGTTTCGCCATGCTTTGGCCAGGCTGGTCTTGAACTCCTGAGCTCAAGTGATCCACTCACCTCAGCCTCCCAAGGTGCTGGGATTGTGGGCATGAGCCACCACACCCAGCATATATATTTATTTTTTAACTTTGTCTGACTGGGTTATTTAAAAAGACTTGTCTTTAAGTTCTGAGATTCTTCCTTCTGATAGCTCTAGTTTATTATGGAAGTTCTCAAATGTATTTCTTGTTTCAGTCATTGAATTCTTCAGTTCCAGGATTTCTGTTTGGTTCTTTTTTATGATATCTATCTCTGGTGAATTTCTCATTCATATCTTGAATTGTTTTTCTGATTTCCTTGTATTATTTATCTGCGTTCTCTTGTATCTCACTGAGCTACTTTGATTATCATTATTTTGAGTTCTTTTTCTGGAATTCCATAAAATTATTTTCCACTGGAATCTATTGCTGAAGAATTATTATGTTCCTTTCGAGTTGTCATATTTCCTTGTGTTTTCATGTTTATTTTTTCCTTATGTTGATATCTGCACATCTGGTATAACAGTCACATCCAAATTTTTGGCTATGCTTTTATAGGGGAAGACTTCTTCCTAAGGATGTATCTATGGTGTTGGTTGGGTAGGACACTTTAGCTTTTATTCTGGGTGCATGAAGTCATGCAGTTTCCATATGATTTCTTCAACTGTAAACAGCATCTGTGGTGTTTGTGGTTTTCTCAGTGGATTAGGCTGAGTTTGTTAGTGGAAGTTGTGATGAGGTTTACTGTGGAAGGGGATGCAAGTCCTCAGTCCTCAGGCCCAAGTGGTGGCACTGACAGGCTGAGTGTGCCTATCCTTGGGCCTCTGGGTGGCATATATGAGCACCAGTGTTAGTGGGTCCCAATATGATGATTCTTCAGCTTCTAGGCACTTGCTCAGGTGCCAGGAGTAGCAGCAGTGAACCAGGTAGGGGGATAGGTTCTTGGTCTCCTGGGCAATGTGCTTGTTTGGGTGATGGCAGTCGTGGTGGTGGGACAACCATCAGGCTCTGAAGTAGTATATGTTTGTGTTAGCATTGGCTGTGACAAGCTGGGTGGGCCAGTCCCCAGACCTCCAGGTGGGACATTTGAGTGGGTGCTGGCTGTGTTGGTAGTGGCAGACAGGGTAAGCCTGTCCTCAGACTCTGAAGAGGAGTGCGGAGATCCCGCCAGTGGTGGATAGGGTGGGGCAATCCTCAGGCCCCAGGGTAGTGGGCTTGGGCACTGGTGGGGAGGCAGTGTTAGGCTGAGCAAGCCTGTCTTTTGTAGTGCCAGTAGTATGCTGAGGCACCAGCTGTAGTGGGCAGGGCAGGGTGAGCCCCAGGCCCCTGGTGGAATGCTTAGGTGGTTGCAAAAGTGTTGAGAGTGCGGGGGTTTGGGACAGCTGAGGGACCTGTCCTCGGCATGTGCAAGTGTGCTGTGACCTTGCTGCTGAAGAGGGCGGGATTACTGCCTGTAGTACGTGCTTTGGCCCCTGCAGCAGCAGTGGCAGCTGCAATGGGCAGCGGCAGAGTCTGATCTCAGGGCTTGTGCACATGAGCCCTGCTGCTGGGAGAATGGGGTTGCTGTCTGTGGTGGCTGCCCCAGGTAGGCAGTCTCAGGTTCTAGAAAGCACACACTTTAGTTCCCTTTGTCCTGGGGGCAGCCTCCCCAGTGTGGTACACTGCGCATGCCCCAGGGTGCCGCACACTATATGTGCTAGAGTGCTGAGTTCCCTGCTACTCCCCTGGGTTTAACCAGCATTGTGCTGCTACAGCCCTCTGGATAGATGTGGGGGGATATTTCTAGTGATAGCAGCATGCAGTATGGCATGGACTAGGCTCTCAAAATAGTGTCATGCTGCTTTTGCTTAGGAGTTGTAGGACAGTGGGACCTGGTGTGAGCTCCCTCTCTGGAGCAGTGCTATCAGGTCATCTCCAGGCAGCTCCCTGCAGTAGTCTCAGGGCTTACAAGGGTCGAGGGGTTTTCTCCTGGCCCAGGTTGCAAGAGTCTGTGGTCATTGACCCTTTCTCTGTACTGGGAAGCTTCTCTGGGCTCCCACCTGATTCCAGCTGAGCTGGTAGCCTTGCCTCCTGCTCCTTCTGTGCCTTAGGTGTTTCCTATAATTTCTCTGTTGAATTCCAGTGTTCTCTCTTAAATGCTCTATTCAGAGTGTGATTATCTACTTGTTATTTTGAGTCTTCTTTATGGAGGAGGTGAGTGCTGGATGCCTCTAGCCAGCTGTCTTGAAGCCCCTCCTTCTAACTTCCATCTATTTATTGATATTAATTATTTGGTGAGACATTGTTCTTATTTGTTTTTAGTTCTTTATCCATTGTTTCTTTTAGCATATTTAAAATAGTTAACATAAAGTCTTTGTCTAATAAGTCCAATGTCTAGGCTTTGTCAATGATTGTTCCTATTAATTTCTTTTTTTCCTGTGTATAGGCCACAGTTACTTCTTTGTATGTCTCATAGGTTTTGTGAAAATTAGAAATTTTAAATAATATAATATGGGAAATCTGTAATCATATTTCACCCCCTCCCCCCCAAGGTTTGTTTCTGCTCCTTGTTGTAACTGTTGTTTGTTTAGTGACTTTTCTGCACTAATTTTGTAAAATCTATATTCTACTGAAGTCTTTGTTCCATTAGTTTAGTAGTCAGCTAGTGATTCAACAGACGTTTCCTTAAACATCTGGAACAACAACATCATCATCATCAACAAAAATGCTCCATCTTTGTGTATGTGTTGGGATACCTTCTACACTAAGGCTGTTTATAATTCTGCCCTTGTCTTCATTTCCTGCTTGTATAGAGTCTGGGTGTCAGCCAGAAGCAACAGCTTTTTTAGGTCTTTTCTGAGCATACAGCCTGACTTGGTTAAGTACATGGCCTTCTAGATTCCCAGGAATATGTGGGAGCTTTTCAAAGCCCTTATTCCCTAAAATGCCTCACTTCTCATCTTTTCTTCTTAAGCTTTTTGGATTATCTGTTGTTTACCCCAAGTGGTAGTTATGCCTTACCCCAACTGACAGTGGCTAATTCATTTGCCTTTAAATATATTCCACAAATGCCCCCTACACTGGGTAGTTGTGTTTGTCCTAGGAAAGTTTTGAGTTAGTTAAAATAGGCACAAGCCCTTTGAGCTCAGAGTCACCAGCAAGGTCAAAACAACCACAGTTCTTTGAGAAGAAGGTCCTTTCTGCCACCCTTGGTACTAAAAATCTGTACTGAGAAAGTAGGTTGTTGTCTTCAGGGCCAGTATTAATCTGGAGAGCAGTAGATGGGGCCAGAGTAAGTAAAAAACACTACAAAGAGCTAGGCACAGTGACATATGTCTATAGTCCCAGCTACTTCAGAGGCTGAGGCAGGAAGATAACTTGAGGCCAGGAGTTTGAGGCCATAGCGTGCTATGCTCAATTCTGTGAATAGCCACTGCACTCCAGCCTAGGAAACATAGCCATACCCTGTCTCAAAAAAACTTAAAAAACTAACAAAGATTTCTTACTGAGACTCAGCTTTTTTTTTTTCTCTTGATTAAACATTTTGCCCGGTTGCTGTAAACCCTTGATCTGTCTTCACAGTTCTGATAAAGTTGATTCTGACAGTTCTTTCCTGTTTAGTCACTTCTGTTGTGAAGGGATGAGCTTTTGGAGTTTGTTACTCAACCATTTTTGCTGACATCACTCATTAGTTGACTTTTCTTTTTTTGAAGACAAAGTCTCCCTCTGTCACCCAGGCTGGAGTGCAGTGGCGAGATCTGGGCTTACTGCAACCTCCGCCTCTTTGGCTCAAGCACTTCTGCCTCAGCCTCCCAAGTAGCTGGGACTACAGGCGCCCACCACCATGCTCGGCTAATTTCTTGTATTTTAGTAGAGACAGGGTTTCTCCTTGTTGGCCAGGCTGGTCTCGAATTCCCAACCGTAGGTGATCCACCTGCCTCAGCCTCCCAAAGTGCTGGGATTACAGATGTGAGCCACTGTGCCCAACCAAGAATAACAATTTTTTTCTTCCTTTACAGTCCTTGTATCTTTTCATTATTTTCCTTTTCTATTTTGTCTGATATATCTTTCATGAATACAGAGGGACTATACAATGTTGAATGGAACTGGTGATAATAGGCATTCTTGTCTTGTTTCTGATTTAAAGAAACGTTTTTAATATTTCTCATATTAGAAATTATGTTTATGATAGGATCATAGTACTCATTGTTAATTAAGGAAGTTCTCATCTATTCCTGGTTTACTAAGAGTTGTGTGTGTTATTTTTAAATAGTAATGGATTTGAGTGTTTTAAGTACATAGATAAAAAATAAATAAAACAATTTCTACCACTATGAAAAAGCTTTTAGATGTGTTTTATCCTTTAACCTGCTGATGTGGTTAATTATATTAATGGATAGTCTAGTATAATTGAGTCTTGCAATCTTGAGATAAACCAGTTAAATCATAATGTTTTGTCTATTTTACACATTACTGAAGGTAGTTTGTGATATTTTATTTAGGGTTTTTGTATTTAACTGAGACTAGCCTGAAAGTTCTCATTTTTGTGTAACTTCCTGGCTCTATCAATCTATGTTAGCATTTTGAAAAAAAGCTGGAGGTGCTGGCTGGGCGCAGTGGCTCACGCCTGTATTCCCAGCACTTTGGGAGGCCGAGGCAGGCGGATCACCTGAGGTCGGGAGTTCAAGACCAGCCTGACCAACATAGAGAAACCCCGTCTCTACTGAAAACACAAAATTAGCCAGGTGTGGTGGCACAGGCCTGTAATCCCAGCTACTCGGGAGGCTGAGGCAGGAGAATCACTTGAACCTGGGAGGCGGAGTTTGTGATGAGCCAAGATTGCACCATTGCACTCCAGCCTGGGCAAGGAGAGTGAAACTCCATCCCAAAAAAAAAAAAAAAGAAAAAGAAAAAGAAAAAAAGCTGGAGGTATTCTTTCTTTTTCTTTTCTCCGGAAAATTATGCATATGATTGCAGTGAACAATTCCTTGAATATTCGGTAGAACTTTTCTGAAAAGTCACCTGAACTTGGAATTCCCTTGCTGGGGGGAGAAAAACTTAACCTTTATTGTTTTACCATTCTAGGACTACCCAGGCTTTCTGTTTCTTTTTAGTCAGTTTTAATAACTTGTGTTTTTGGCTGTGTGTGCTGGGCCTGTAATCCCAGCAGGAGGATTGCTTGAGCCCAGGAGTTCAAGACCAGCCTGGGGAACATAGTGAGACCCTGTTTCTTAAAAAAAAAAAAAAAATAGCTGGGCAGCTGGGCATGGTGGCACATACCTGTGGTCCCAGCTACATGGGAAGCTGAGGTGAGGGGGATCGCTTGAGCTTGGGAGCTCAAGGTTGCAGTAAGTGGTGATTACACCACTGCACTCCAGCCTGGGCAACAGAGTGAGACCCTGTCTCCAAAAATAAATTAATTAAATAACTTATATTTTCTAGCTAAATTTATAAATAAATGTATAAATTACATTTCATTTAAATTTTCAAATTTGTTGTTATAAAGTTATTCATATAATTAATCTTTTATCTTTTAAAATTTCTCTGGATCTGTAATTGTGCCTTCTTTTCTATTTCTAATACTCATTTCCTTTTTTTTCTTCCTTAATCTCACCTGGGGGTTGTGTTTTTTATTATGCTCTTTCTTCTACTTAAAAGAATATATGTGTGTATATATATTTTTTTCTTTTTTTAAATACGGACAGAATCTTGCTATGTTGCCCAGGCTGGTCTTAAAACTTCTGGCCTCAAGCAATCCTACCACATCAGCTTTCCAAATTGCTAGGATTACAGGCATGAGCCACCATGGCTAGCGTCTTCTACTTTTTCGAAGTTTATTCTGCTCTTTTTTTCTGTAACTTCTCCAGTTGTGTGGTTGACTCATTAATTTTGTGTCTTTCCTTTTTAATGTGAATGTTTATGCAAATATCCCTTTAAGTATCACATTTTAGGCCAGGTGCGGTGGCTCACACCTGTATTCCCAGCACTTTGGGAGGCTGAGGCAGGCAGATCATTTGAATCCAGGAGTTCGAGACCAGCCTGGACAGCATGGAGAACACGTCAGAAAGAGAGAGAGAGAGAGAGAGAGAGAGAGAAGGGGATGGGGTGGGAGGGAGGGAGGGAAGGAAGGGAAACAAGGGAAAGAAGGGAAGGAAAGGAAGGAAAGAAAAAGAGCCAGGCATGGTGGCGCTGCTGTAGTCCCAGCTACTCTGGAGTCTGAGACAGGAGAATCACTTGAACCCTGGAGGTAGAGGCTGCAGTGAGCTGTGATCACATCACTGCACTCCAGCCTGGGTAACAGAGCAAGATTCTGTCTTATAAAAAAAAAACAAAAACAAAAAAAGCCGGGCGCAGTGGCTCACGCCTCTAATCCCAGCACTTTGGGAGGCCGAGGCGGGCAGATCACAAGGTCATGAGATCGAGACCGTCCTGGTTAACACAGTGAAACCCCGTCTCTACTAAAAATACAAAAAATTAACCGGGCATGGTTGCAGGCGCCTGTAGTCCCAGCTACTTGGGAGGCTGAGGCAGGAGAATGGCCTGAACCTGGGAGGCGGAGCTTGCAGTGAGCCAAGATCGCGCCACTGCACTCCAGCCTGGGTGACAGAGTGAGACTCCATCTCAAAAAAAAAAAAAATCACTTTTTATATATAATTTTTTTACTGTTATTCAGTTCTAAGTATTTCCATTATAATTTTTCTACCTATTCATTTTTCCATGTTTACAATTTTTTCCAAAAAATTTATTGTTACTAATTTCAAAGTTAACTATATTATGGTCCGTACATTAGTAATTCTTTGAAATCTGTGGAGGTCTAGCTTTATGGCCTAGTTAATTTCTATAGATATTATATGTGAGCATGAAAAGAATGTGTTTTCACCAATTGTTGGATGTGGTGTTCCATATTAGTGCACTCAATCATTATTATGCTAGTTAAACTTCTGTGTCTTTGTCTCATTGTTCTATCAATTACTGAGAAAGGTGTTTTAATCTCTGAGAAAGATGGTGAATTTATCACTTTGTCTATATATGGCCACTTAGTTTAAAAAAATTTTTTTCCACTTCCAATCATTTGCAATTACATTAAGTAAATTACATTTTTGGAGAATTTTCCAGTTCTTCTAACTCAACTGTTTGTTTTAAGTAAATCATAAGTATCACATTGCCACATTCTACTCTTGAATTGCATCGTGGGAGTCTCAGTGAAATTTATAAGATTGCTTTTGTTGTTGTTAATACATAATAAAAATAAGAGCTGCCATTTATGAAGTACCCACTATGTGTCAAGCATTGTGCTAGGTGCTTTATTTATAATTAAAGCCCTCGTCTCTAACATGATTGGGACAGAAAGCTGGTTAGTTCATTGAAAAAAATTGTTTAAAGAATTATTATGAAATGATACATACTTTAAACATTTTATTTGAACTTAAAATACATGTTTTTATATGTATTTATTCAGCAATTTTTATGTATAATTTTGTTCAGTGCAGTTTAACTTTTTTCATGCATAAACCACATCTGTAATGTGTAGTCAAGAATTTCTAGTTTCTGTTGATATAAATTGGAAGTAGAACCCAAAGAAATATTCAAAGCAATATGAGTGCATAATCATAGGTCTTTATTATTTTCAACCAAATTTTATAGTTATGCTGCCTATTTAACAGCTGTTTAGCACTTCATGTTTAGTGAGACAAACTACATAATTATAGTAAAAACTATTATTGGCATAAACAGACTTGCGAATAAACCCATCTGACTCCTTATAAATATACAGTTCTAAACAGTGACAGCAAAAGGGTGCAGTTACACTGGAGAGCAGCCATCTAGCTGGGAGCATTTAGTGTGAGTCATTAATATCAGTCATTGTACAGAGGCAATGGAGAGAATCAATTGATCTGCTCTATCAGTTGAGTAGAGGTTATTTAAGAGCATCTGTATTAGTGGTCCTTACAACAACTTTGCAAGGAGGGGTATTTTCCTCATTTTGGAAAGACATGATTTGCCCAAGATCCCACTGCTAACTGAGGGATCCCACTGCTAGCTAAGGCCTGGACTTCGCTATTACTGAGCCAGGACCAGGACCTGGGCCTCAGTTATTTCAACTGGTCATTCCAGAAAGCCATGAGACCTTTTATCATCTGCATGTGTTTTAATCTCAGATTTACTTCATTTATTGCCCGTTATCATAAATTAGTATATAGGATTCTGCATTGGGAAATGTTTTTTTCTGGCCCCCCCTTAATTATATTTTTTCATGAGGGTTATCACTTACCATGCTTTCCACCCTCCCTTCCTGCTTTCTTCAGCTTTATCTGGATGCTCTCTCACCTTTGTCATCAGGTCACAGTTCACTTGGTCAGATTAGCTTGTATCTGAACAAACACTTTCTAATTCCTGAGAGGTACACTCCATTGCTCCCTAGGAGCTTGGATTCTAAGCCATCATCTAGAAAGCAAAATCTTACTCATCATAGATGTGTTACCATTTGTTCATTTCTTATTTTCTTCTTTCTTTTAAAAGCTACATCCTGTGCCTCTAACTCTTGTGATTTCCTCTCCATGACTAACTTTTATTTAGTGATTTTTTTTCTTCTAATGGTACCATTCATTCCTAAATGAATCAGCACCAGTGAGATCACATTTAATGATCCTTGACACAGCTTTGATGAGATTCTCACACTTTCTAGATAGATGTTTCTAAAGAAAATGCATCTACTGATTAGCCACATTCAAGCAGAAGTTATCACCACCACCATCACTACCAAGTCTCTTATTTCCCAGGGGCTTCACAAGTCACTGTTATTGGTTTGTGTTTCCTTTCCAGAAGGCCATGTCCACTGTTTCTGAAATGAGGAGGGTAGCTATATAGAGCTCCAGTGGTGCAGAACTGGTACATGTCTCTGGCACTTCACTGTGGAGTCAGATTTTCATACCTCTTGGCATTGTGTTGTATTTTCAGTTGGAATTCTAATCCTTAGAGATTCCTTTGATTAACTCTTAGCAAACTGCCTTAATAAATTGCCTGATCTCCCAAACTCTGATAGTTTACTTTTTAAGCCACTTTATTCTTTCATGGTCCAGTGTTTACTTCTCTGCAGGCATAGTGGGTTGTTAGCATTAGCAGGTCCTTCCCTAGAAAGCAGACTTAGGAGAAAAAAAAACAACGAAAAAAAGACATTAGCAGGGTCCTTATTATCCTTTTCTGAAGCAGCTGATTGTAATCTGCTTAGAAAACAAAGCAACTCTTGGGGAGTATTAGAGAAGCCCTCTTTTTTTTCCACTTTCTGAACTCTTTTTTAATGACAGATTAGCCTATTCTGAGCTGGACTTTGAGGGAACTGATTTACCAACCCTCTCTCCAAACCCATATCTTGCAGACTTTTATGTTGCAGTAAGTAGCCACTTCATCCCTCTAATTAGGCCAATATCCTTGTACTCATACTTGATTCTTATCTTTTTCCTCATACCCTATATCTGATTTATTTTCAAATCTTGCTTATTTTTCCTTCAAAACAGTATCCAGAATGTGATCCCTTCTCACTGCCTCCACCCCATGAGTGAATTAACTCCAGGAGGAGTCACTTGTGCCCATCTGTTGATCTCAGCTGTGGGCCATCTAGTCTGGCTTTCCCATTGCTCATATGGAGTCTTGACATGAGGGCAGATTAGGGAGAGAGATCCTGCTCCACAGTATCTCCTCTCACTTCCTCTTGTTGTTTCTTTTTTGATTTGATCCAGAGAAAGGAGAGGCAACAGAAGAAAAGTGTCAAGATACTATTAAGTTAGTGATAACAGGAGTCAGGGCCCAAGAACTGCTCTCATGAAAAGGACTCAACCCTTGCCAGCTGAGTATCTTCTGTTTATGCACATGTGAGGGTTTGAAAATGAGAGGAGGAAGAAAAAGAGAGAAGGAAATGTTTTGTACAATTTTCTCTTTAAATCGAGAGGCAGTGTTGCATAATGGTTAAGGAGTGTGGACTTCAGAGCGAATCAAACTAGGTCTGAACCTGCCACTAGCCATGTGACCCTGAGCACATTCTTCAACTTCTCTGTATATCAGTTGTCTTTGTAAGATGGGGTTAAAACTAGCCTTTGCCCTTACTTGATACAGTTTTGAAGATTAGGTGAATTGGTACATGTAAAGCAATTAAACAGTCCCAATACATAATAAGTGTAACATCTTTTTTTAAAAGCCAATTTTCCAAGTGCAATTGTAGACCTTAGTCTTTCTGCTGGTATATGGAATTATAAACATTTTGGTGATGAAGTGTGTTTCAGTAACTGCATTTCCCTAGATTAGGGCTCTCTTTCTTTGTACAGTAGAGAGCTGTTCTGAGGGACAGTGACTATACATTAAGTGCATTAAACTCCACAGAATCACCAGTGCTGCAGTGAGTCTCTTACGTCATTAGTATTTTACCATTTAATCGAATGAATAACGCAACAACAAACTCTATTTGTTCTTTTTCTCCTTGCCCTGCAACAGGATGGTTCACATTTGAGTAAAGACAGGGGAGTTTGTTTTCAGAATGACATACTAGTCTGCAGGATGAATTTCATAACTGACATTGCACCTTGGACTGCAACTAGGACTTTCACTGGAATCAGGTAGAACTGGCCATGAAGGAGAGTTACAACCACAGATAGCACTCTTTACTCAATATCCTTTTTATAGAGGCCCCATCACAACTGTTTCTAGGTACATTAGTGTTCCTTAGAGTATTTTCTAAACCAATATCTAGAAATGTGTAAACAAGGGCAGCAGCAATTAGTGACAAAGAACAAGATTTTCATGTGTCCTACCTATTGAAAATTGCCCAGCATATGGAATAAACCAGGCTAGTGGCTGGGGGTAGGTTTAATCTCATTTGTCCAATGCCCAGCCAATCAACTGACTATTCTCTTTTCCGCATCATCTCTTTCTTCTTCCAGGTTTGTTTGCTTGCTTTTCTATTCCTCTGTCCTGGATTTTTCCCTCAGCGGTGTCAATTGTCCTTCCTCTACTACATTTTACTAAGTCTTCATTGTCACCTTGACCCTGACTCTGATTATCCAGGGTGAAAGACAGGATAACTAGATCTTTATATTCTAAATTAGAAAATTTCCTAAATCCTCCTTTCTCTCTTAGGATCAAATATTGTCTTCCGTTAAAGGGAGCTATGAACTTTCAGTGTGCTGGATGAAACACCATTGTTCTTTTGGGTGGGATAATTTTTCACTGGGCATTGCAGGATGGTTAGCTTCCCTGGCCTCAGGCCCAAATGCCTGATATTGGTAATGTGTGGTAACACATTACCAGTCATTCTGACCACCAAAAATGCCTTTACACATTTCCAAGTACCCCACAGAGTAGTAGTGTAGTCTCTGGTTAGAACCACTACAATCTGGGCAATTAGCAGCATGCCACTCAAATACCGGACTCAACAGCTCATTATCAACCATTCTTCATGTCTAGAGGAAATCTAGCTATTAAAGTCACTAAATTTGTCCCATTCTGAAACAGCCACTTCTTAATTTTCAAAATCTAAGATGTTAGGAGGTCCAAGATATTTACTGGTAGGTTTTATGTATATAGTCATGCACCACATAACAAAATTTCAGTCAACAACAGAACATATATATGACAGTGGTCCCATGAGATTATAATACCATATGTTTATGTACCTTTTCTAAGTTCAGATATGTTTTTATTTATTTATTTATTTATTTATTTATTCAGTTGGAGTCTTGCCCTGTGGGCCAGGCTGGAGTGCAATGGCACAATCTTGGCTCACTGCATCCTGTGCCTCCCGGGTTCAAGTGATTGTCCTGTCTCTGGCTCCAGAGTAGCTAGGATTATAGGAGTGAACCACCACGCCCAGCTAATTTTTTTGTATTTTTAGTAGAGACAGGGTTTCGCCACGTTGGCCAGGTTGGTCTCGAACTCCTGACCTCAGGTGATCCACCTACCTCAGCTTCCCAAAGTCGTGGGATTACAGGCGTGAGCCACCATGCCTGGCCTCTAGATATGTTTATATACACAAATACTTACTAATGTTTTATAATTGCCTACAGTATGCAGTGTAGTAACATGCTGTACAATTTTTCAGCCTAGGAGCAATAGGCTATATTATATAGCCTAGGTGTGGTGTAGACTACATCATGTAGATTTGTGTAAGTACACTCTATGATGTTAACACAGTGATGAAATTGCCTAATGACACATTTCTCAGAACATATTCTTGTTAATACATGCTTATATATGAAGTATTTTCTTTAAGGAAAATATTAGGTTTTTATAAAGTTATTTATGAAATGATTATATGCATATTAGCTTTAACTTTCTCAAAGTGTACTCATTTTTAATGTATAGGATTAAAATATCTCTTTTTAAAAGTGATTTTAAATATAGTACAAAGTATGGCCAGCGCAGTGGCTCATGCCTGTAATCCCAGCACTTTGGGAGGCTGAGGCAGGCGGATCACCTGAGATCAGGAGTTCAGGACTAGCCTGGCCAACATGGTGAAACCCCGTCTCTACTAAAAATACAAAAAAATTAGACAAGCGTGGTGGTGGGCACCCATAATACCAGCTACTTGCGAGGATGAGGCAGGAGAATTGCTTGAACCCGGGAGGCAGAGGTTGCAGTGAACCAAGATCACACCACTGCACTCCAGCCTAGGCAATGAAGCGAGACTCCATCTCAAAACAAACAAACAAACAAAGAAAAAGTACGTGCACACTTGAGAGTCTCTTGTACTAAAGGTTTTTAAACCTGCACATGAAGAGTATGATGTTATAGTTTGCTTATGTTATACATGTAATTAAGTCATACATTTTCTTAATTCTTTAATATTTCAGAGAAAGAGTTTTGAAGAAAACTGGGCATAGGCTCAGCAAAACCAAACAGAAGAGGAACAGAAAAAGAAACAAAAAGCAGAACAGTCAGAATAGAATCATGGAGGAAAACTCATTAGAATTCTTAAGTGATCTTACACCGGGAGATCAGGACCCATCTCAGAGTGAAGAGGAAGACATTGAAAAGACCAGAAGAGAATCAGAATATCCCTTCATTGATGGTCTACAAAATGAAGTCGGAGATTTTGTGACTGGATATAAAGAAAAAAGATGGAAAAATAAAGATCCTAAAGACAGTTTCCAAAACGTTATGTCTATAGTTGAATTAGACAACACACCAAAGAATTACCTCTCTAAGGAAGGTGATAACTTGTTTGTAAGTTTGTTACTGAGGCCAAATGAAATCTCCGTTACTTGTCCAATACTGACTCAAAACCTTTCCTGTGTAACAACTGATGACTGCTCTGGCATGAAGGTAGAAAAGCATATTAGAAATAGGCATACCATAGCATTAGACACCCAGGACCTTTCTGCGGAAACTTCATGCTTATTTATGAAGAAGAGAGAAATAGTAGATAAAAATCTCTCACATGAACCCATTCTGTGCCATCAACATGGAATCAGAATGTCAGATAAAGTTTTAAGAGAGGAACAAGTGTATACAACTAAAATCAATCACTGGGCTTTTTTCACAACCAATTTATCTGATGAAGATTTACAGCTGGGCTCTGACAGACAGCCCTATTTTGGTAGCTGGCCTGCAGGACCTCATAAGTTTATATGTGAACAGAGACCAAAGAAAGATAGAGCATGTAAGTTGGCTGGTCCTGACAGCAGGGGGCAATGGATTCAAATGATCTTCACTTCGGTGGCAGCATCAGAACCAGGAAACAATCCAGAAATATTGACAGACAAACTACTGATAGGAAATGAAGATTTTTCACCTCCACCTGAAACTATGGATTCATTCATAGAAACAAACCTCTTCAGAAGCTGCTTACCTCAACCGGATATACCAAAGAATGCCTTAGAATCAACAAAAAATAAGAAAAGGAGGAAGAAAAGGATTTTCAATTTGGTACCAAATTTTGACTTATTAGGACAGAGTCGTATCGGTGTAAAAGAAAGGGAGAAATGTGACCTGTTAACAAAAAACCATGGACTAAAAATTACTTTGGGAGAAGAAAAAGATAGAATTTCAGAAAGGAACAGTGAAGAGGAGAATAAACAAAAACTTATGACCTTTGATCATCATCCATTGTGGTTTTACCTTGATATTATCAAAGCTACCCCTTTAAATATTGATGGACAGCGTTATTCTCATTGCCTGTCATTTAACAGACTAAGGTGCTCTGCATCTTTATACAAAAATTATATTCCTTCTTTTGTGCTACATAATTTATCTAGTATTTGGAAGCCATCTTTTACAAACAAGAAACTGTTTTTGACTTTCGAATCTCAGACAAGAGTAGGTAATAAACTAAATGATGCAGGGTTTATTTCTCCAGAAATTTTACATAGTCATCCTGATACTTCGTGCTCTTTGGGAGTCACTTCTGATTTTCACTTTTTAAATGAAAGGTTTGATAGAAAGCTGAAAAGATGGGAAGAACCTAAGGAATTACCAGCTGAGGACAGCCAAGACTTAACAAGCACTGACTACCGTTCCCTTGAGCTACCATTATCACAAGGGTTTGCCTTTCAATTAGTAAAGCTTTTTGGATCTCCAGGCGTTCCAATGGGTAAGTTGTTTTCTTTTGCTAAAAGTAAAAGATCCAGTTTAACATATGTAAGTAATTCTGGAGGTGTTTCTACCTGGTGGTTAGTGATCTCATGCAGTTTATTAATCTCGTGATGCTTTTCAGCAGTGAGTGAGGATCCATAGCAAACGGTGCTTGATCTTCAAAGTCCCCACCCTTTGCTGTCGGTAGTCTTCATGTCTCTTTCAATGTCTTTGAGAACTTAGAATACTTGGGCTCTCAATTTCAATAGATACTGGGAAGAATGGAGGATGAAGCAGGCAAAAAGGGATTATGTAATCAGTAGAGATAGGCTGCTTTATTTATCGCTCTGTCTCCCAGGCTGTAGCGCAGTGGCGTGATCTCGGCTCACTGCAAGCTCCGCCTCCCGGGTTCACGCCATTCTCCTGCCTCAGCCTCCCAAGTAACTGGGACTACAGGCGCCCGCCACCACGCCCGGCTATTTATTTATTTATTTATTTATTTATTTATTTATTTATTTTGTATTTTTAGTAGAGACGAGGTTTCACCATGTTAGCCAGGATGGTCTTGATCTCCTGACCTCGTGATCCGCCCGCCTCGGCCTCCCAAAGTGCTGGGATTACAGGCGTGAGCCACCGCGCCCGGCCAAACCTTTCTACTTTCTTTTTTTATATTTATTTATTTATTTATTTATTTATTTATTTATTTATTTATTTATGTTTTTGAGAGGGAGTTTCGCTCTTGTCGCCCAGGCTGGAGTGCAATGGTGTGATCTCGGCTCACTGCAACCTCCACTTCCCGGGTTCAAGCAATTCTCCTGCCTCAGCCTCCTGAGTAGCTGGGATTACAGGCATCCGCCACCATACCCAGCTAATTTTTGTATTATTAGTAGAGACAGGGTTTCACCATGTTGGCCAGGTTGGTCTCCAACTCCTGACCTCAGGTGATCTACCCGCCTCAGCCTCCCAAAGTGCTGGGATTACAGGCCTGAACCACCAGGCCACCAGAAAAGAAACTCTACTTTCTACCTTTATTTTGTTTGACACGTGGCTCTTTCCTTTCTCATTCACTATTATAGCTCCCAAATACAACATTAGTAAATGGCAGATTGCAAAGATTACATGAAGGAAAGATATCTGAAATAATTGAATTTACTTTTTAAAGGCAGTCTGAAAAGGATACTGAAGGGATGAGGTGGAAGCCTGACTAGTTGACTTAAAAGCTTCCTTCAGGCTCTTAAGGTTGTTATTTTGGGGCTGGATGTGGTGGCTCACACCTGTAATCCTAGCACTTTGGGATGCTGAGGTGGGATGATTGCTTGAGGTCAGGAGTTTGAGACCAGCCTGGCTAACATGACGAAAACATGCCTCTACTAAAAATACAAAAATTAGCCGGGCGTGGTGGCGTGTGCCTGTAATCCTAGCTACTTAGGAGGCTGAGGCAGGAGAACCACTTGAACCTGCCTGGGAGGCAGAGGTCGCAGTGAGCCGAGATCACACCACTGCACTCCCAGCCTGGGTGACTGAGCGAGACTCCCTGTCAAAAAAAAAAAAAAAAGATTGTTATTTTTGGAAATGAAAAAATCTACATGTGAATAAAACGAGCAAAAATATGATTTTTTAATATTCCAACTAAATTTCTTTTTGGGCCGGCCACAGTGGCTCATGCCTGTAATCCCAGCACTTTGGGAGGCTGAGGCAGGTGGATCACCTGAGGTGAGGAGTTCGAGACCAGCCTGGCCAACATGGTGAAACCCTGTCTCTACTAAAAATACAAAAATTAGCCAGGAATTGTGGCACATGCCTGTAAACCTAGTTAGGAGGCTGAGGCAGGATAATTGCTTGAACCTGGGAGGCGGAGGTTGCAGTGAACTGAGATCGCGCCACTGCACTCCAGCCTGGGTGATAGAGTAAGACTCTTTCAAAAAAAAAATTTTGTCTTAAATCATAAGCATATATAAGATAATGTCTTTATGATATTTATCCCAGCTTTTCCTTATCTGTAACTCAATAGCTGATATTTTCTAGTGCTGTTCCTTGGGGACAGAAGCTGTAAGACTCAAGAGGCCAAAGCTCCAATTTTTGCAGTTCTCCTGTATCTTCTGTTGTTCTATACCTCTCAGCGTTCCTTGGGGACCCATTTCGTCTCAAAGCTTGTCATCCTGAGTTTTTTAACTTGGCTCCTAAGCTTCTGATGTTCCAGATAAATTTGGTCCCACAGGTGAGACCAAAGATTGACTAAGTCCTAGGGCCAAGGAGTCATAATTATCAACCTGCTTTTGGGGCTCTGGCATCATATTTATCATATTTGTAAACTTTGTGAATAATTACATCTTGACTATTTGCTGTAATTTTTCTTTTTCCTTTTCTTTTTTTTTTTTTTTGAGACGGAGTCTCGCTCTGCCACCCAGGCTAGAGTGCAGTGGTGAGATCTTGGCTCACTGCAACCTCTGCCTCCCGGGTTCAAGCAATTCTCCTGCCTCAGCTTCCCAAGTAGGTGGGATTACAGGTGCCCGCCACTGCGCCCGGCTAATTTTTTTTTTTTTTTTTTTTGGATTCTTAATAGAGATGGGGTTTCACCATCCTGGCCGAGCTGGTCTCCAACTCCTGACCTCATGATCCACCCACCTCGGCCTCCCAAAGTGCTGGGATTACAGGCATGAGCCACCACGCCCAGCCTATTTGTTGTAATTTTTCTACCCGCCTACTAACACCAAAGAAACATACCAATTTTTTTCAAAGTAAATGCTTTTGCTTTCGGGAGCTTTAAGTGATAACTGAAGACATTTTAGTTCTGAGATCGTAGTCCAAGGTCCATATTCTGAAATTGTATGTAAAATTTTGGGGGTTATTTTGTGCCATTTTTTTGGGGAGAAGTCCATAGATTTAATCGGCTCCTCAGAGGGGTCTATGATGCAAAAAGATTAGCAATCACTGCCTTAGAGGGGCACCAGAATGCATCAAGACACTATTGTGAAAAGATTCTATGCCTCGCTTACCTTGAGTGCATGATGTCATCATAATCAACAATGATCAAGCATCCGTTAATTAAACTTCAGAAAGCTTTTTAAAGGAAATAGACCTCATTCATCAACTAGCTTACCTTCTAAATTGGGAGACAAGACTAACATAAAATAAAATTAGTGCATATAGAAAATATAAATGATAAGCTTATGAATATTTTATGAGTGACATTAATAGTGCTAAAAGGATTGTAGAAGAGAATTTGAGGTTATAGTTTTCTCTGGAATGCCTTACATGTGGAAGTGCATTATAAGCCGTGTTTGTACAAGGGAAAAAGAATGTAGCTTGAAAGAAAAGCAGAGGGAAAGAATTTCATATTTGGAAATGGCATGTACTTGAAAGAGATAAAGAGAAAACCATAAGTAGAGGCTACGAAGCGATTTGTTTGGCTAGATTGGACGAGCCAAGCTCATGGTCAGTGGCCTTGCAAATAAGGCAAGAACTCAAATGAATCCTAGTATTGGAGTCTGGATAGTGTTTACTAATTGAGATCTGAGACAAACTCCAGCTTTAGACATCACCGAAATATCTTTAAAACCAGACTTTTAATGGTATGGTGAATTAGAGATCAGGTTTGCATGTCTTCACAGTTAGGGCAAAAATCTGTGTGACATTAGAGATGAGATTAGGTCTTTCTTTCTTTCACAGAATCCTTGTTGCCTGATGACTATGTGGTTCCCCTTGACTGGAAGACACTAAAGATGATCTACTTGCAATGGAAGATGTCAGTGGAGGTATATATGTGTGTGTGTGTGTGTGTATGTATTTTTGTTGTTGTTGTTGTTTGAGACGGAGTTTCATTCTTGTTGCCCAGGCTGGAGTGCAATGGCGTGATCTTGGCTCACCACAACCTCCACCTCCTGGGTTCAAGTAATTCTCCTGCCTCAGCCTCCCTAGTAGCTGGGATTACAGGCATGTGCCACCACACCTGGCCAGTGGAGGTATATTTTTATGGCTTTCAAATAGAAACCACTGTTCTATTCTCTACTTCTATGAGATTAACTTTTTAGATTTCATATATGAGTGAAATCATGCAGTATATATTTTTCTGTGTCTGGCTTATTTCAATTAACATAATTTCTTCCAGGTTCATCCACGTTGTTGCAAATGACAGGATTTCATTCTTTTTTATGGCTGAATATTATTCCATTGTACAAGCTATGGTGTTCATTGCACAGCAGGGTGATTATAGTTAACTATAGTTAACAATAATGCATTATATATTTCAAAATAGCTAGAGGAGAGGATTTTAAATGTTCTGACTACAAAGAAATAATAAATGTTTGAAGTCATATGTATGCTGATTACCATGATTTGATCATTACACAATGTACACACGTATCAAAATACATTGTGCTCATAAATATGTACAATTATTATGTCAATAAAATTTTTTAAATTATGGAATAAAAAATAAAATTTATCAAACTTGAGAGAAGTGCTACATACCTTAAATTAGAAAAAGGATATATATGGATGGGGATGAGTGGATAATATAGGCATGTTTTCTTTCAATTAGTCCAAAGAGAAGGTTACATTTAATTCCCTAACTTTGTGGAGGAATATACAGGTATAAGGACTCACTGGGGATGACTAAGGTGCCCACTGTAGGTGAGTCCTTTATTCTTCATTACATCTTTTCTCCTGTCCGGCCCTCAGTCTTACCCATTATGATAGAGTAACAGCTACAAATTAGATGTGTAGTTACTTGACTTGGAAGCACCTTCCTATTGTTGTGATCTGTGGTCCACAGTGACAGACGTAACTATTCTGAGGGCTGTTCATTTTCCAGGTAGCTGGAGGAGGACTGGCTTGGAAGGTTAGAAGGATGATAGAAAATCTGGAAAAGCCAGTACTTCACCTAACCTAGTGGGGGTGGCTGGGGTTCTGTTCACATTAGTTGGTTATTATTTAAATGTGTCCAGAGGCAATGCTAATGGGTACATTTTGAAGTGAATAGTAAAATCAAAATTTAGTGAATCATTCTAGAACTAATAGTTCAGGACAGTAGGTATTTCTTAACTGTTCTCATAAACACCTCTATGGGCAAAGTAGACTCATTTCGTCTGTCCATTTAATAAAACCAAATACATTTTTCCTCATCTTCTTGTTTCTCCTTATTCCCCATGGAGACATTATTGCCACTTAAAACACACATACACACACACAGAGCAATATTTTAAATGTTTAAATTGACATTTGTGGCCAGGCGTGGTGGCTCATGCCTATAATCCCAGCATTTTGGGAGGCCAAGTTGGGTGGATCACTTGAGGTCAGGAGTTCGAGACCAGCCTGGCCAACATAGTGAAACCCTGTCTCTACTAAAAACACAAAAAAATTAGCCGTGTGTGGTGGCACTTGCCTGTAATCACAGCTACTTGGGAGGCTGAGGCAGGAGAATCACTTGAGCCCAGGAGGCAAAGGTTGCAGTGAGCCAACATTGTGCCACTGCACTCCATCCTGGGCGACAGAGCAAAACTCTGTCTCTAAATAAATAAATAAATAAATAAATAAATAAATAGATAGATATTAGATATTTATAGGTGTTTTCTTTCTTTCTTTCTTTCTTCCTTTCTTTTTTTTTTTTTTTTTTTTTTTTTGACAGTCACACTCTCTCAGCCAGGCTGGAGTGCAGTGGCGTGATCTCAGCTCGCTACAACTTCTGACTCCCAGGTTCAGGTGATTCTCCTGCCTCAGCCTCCCAAGTAGCTGGGACTACAGGCATGCACCACCATACCCAGCTAATTTTTGTATTTTTAGTAGAGACAGGGTTTTGCCATGTTGGCCACGCTGTTCTCAAACTCCTGACCTCAGGTGATCCACCCACCTCGGCCTCCCAAAGTGCTGGGATTACAGGCGTGAGCCACTGTTATATTTCTTTTGTCATTTTAGGAGTGTCCCTACATGAGTAAAATGACAGTGCAAACTTAACTCCAATGCCAAATATTAATATTTTATGTATTTTAATTATAATTTCTAGAAAAGACAGAAGAAGATTGGTTGAAAAATGAAAATTCCTTGAACTGTAAGTATGACTTATTCTAGAGACCTCTGTTTGATCATAAAATAGTTAATCTTGACATTATTTGTTTGTAATAGCTCATATGTATTATAGCACGACTGGAGAGTAAAATATAAAAAATGAAGTTTGTTACCATAGCAACCTTGTGTGCTATTATACATGTGATGTTTTTATTTCCTTTAAGTGTAGATCTTTTTTGAAATACAGCAAAGCTTAGATTGTTGCTCCCAAATTTATTTTCCCACTTTATTGGTTAGAACATATTTTATAACATTCTATCAACACACAATTTATGAGACATTTCCCCCCTTGGGTTGGTATGTGATGAGGGCTGGGAATTAGGGGTGTAGGTTCTACTTAAATATTAGATTCTCTAGGAAAAGAGGTAAAACATATAGACAAACTCATGTTATATTTTAAACTTATCAAGCTGACATTAAAATAAACACATTGCATTTTTTTTCAAATGCCTAAATTATGAAATAAACACAGCTGCTACGATTTCAGTGCATATATGTCTGCATTTGATAAGAATTGAATGCACTATGCATTTACCATACGTTTTTTCATTTTAACTTATTTCTAAGAATATTCTAGTTTCCATTTCTCAACTAGAAAGACATGTATACCCTGTAAAAATGTTTTTTGTTTGTTTTAATCCTGCTTCCCCTGAAAGAAGAGGAAGAACTGAAGATTTGGGAGAAGAGTTTAGAGATTTGCAGGGGCCACTAGAAAAATGTGGGATAAATATGGTACAGGAGGAGATGAGAGACAATGAGGAATTCCAGAGGAAGGAAGTGAAGACATTCATTCAATTATTCAGCAAATGTGGCCAGGTGTGGTGGCTCACGCCTATACTCCCAGCACTTTGGGAGGCCGAGGCAGGCAGTTCACCTGAAGTCAGGAGTTCGAGACCAGCCTAGCCAACATGGCAAAACCCCGTTTCTACTAAAAATACAAAAATTAGCCAGGTGTGGTGGCAGGTGCCTGTAATCCCAGCTACTTGGGAGGCTGAGGCAAGAGAAATGCTTGAACCTGGGAGGCAGAGGTTGTGGTGAGCTGAGATCGCCCCACTGCACTCCAGCCTGGGTGACAGAGCGAGACCCCACCTCAAAAAAAAATTATTCAGCAAATGTTTATTGAGGTGCTCATGTCAGACACTGAAGATATAGCAGTAAAAACACCCCTGCCCTCATGGAATTTATGTTGTAGGGATTTGATTTAACACCATAGCATGTTGGGCAAGGACTTGGCTGAGTGAGCCTCTAGCCTACCTCTGACTGAAGTTAGATTATAGTGAGTGAAGTTCCCCTAGATGGCCCCAACATGAGGAGACACCAGTACAAGCAGCATGCAGCAAGCATGGATATATTTTCCTGTGGCCAATTTCAGGAGTCTTTTCTGTCTGCTAAAATTGGTAGATTTGTGTCAAGGACATTTTGCAACCACAATTTTGATTTTCATGATGATCTCCCACATGTATCCTAAACTGTCGGGTCTTCTCACAGAGCATTCTGCCCTTAATTATTATTTTTTTCTTTTTAGGGAATTTTATGAGTGCTATAGCTATGTGCAGATTTTTTTACTATTTTATTGAGAAAGGGCATCCTGTTTTATGTTTGGCATTAAGTACTGACCAGTCTGTCTCAAGGGGTAAACAGAAATTTAGAAACAGGGAAATAGCAGGAGAATCTGGTTGGCTCTGGGAGCCACAAGTCGGTGCCCATTTACAAATATTCTCCCTGCTGGTTGCCAGGGTGTTTAATGTCATGGCACTCCTTTACGGCAGTGGGGCAGGGTGCTAGGAAGAGGATGGGTCCCCATCTTAAGGCTCCTCCTGACTAGCTGTGTGTGACCCTAAACAGAGGACCCTTCTCAGAGTCTCAGTTTCTTAATTTGTAAAATTTTTATCTTTTAAATGAGGATTAAATGAAATAACTTTGCAAAGTTATTAAATGAAAAAACTGGCCGGGCACGGTGGCTCATGCCTGTAATCCTAGCACTTTGGGAGGCTGAGGCTGGCAGATTGCCCGAGCTCAGGAGTTCGAGACCAGCCTGGGCAACACGGTGAAACCCTGTCTCTACTAAAATACAAAAAAAAAAAAAAGAAAAAAAGAAAATTAGCTGAATGTGGTGGCACACACCTGTAATCCAAGCTACTTGGGAGGCTGAGGCAGGAGAATTGTTTGAACCCGGGAGGCGGAGGTTGCAGTGAGCTGAGATCGCACCACTGCACTCCAGCCTGGATGACAGAGCAAGACTCCATCTCTACAAACAAAACAAAACACAAAAAACTGTGCAAAGTATGGAGCCTAGTGCCTGAAAAATAATAGATTCATAATAAGAGTGAATTCCCTTCCCCTAAATACTGCCTTGGATTAAAGCATTGCCTTTCTTTTTTTCTTTTCTTTTCTTTTTTTTTTTTTTTTTTTGAGACACGGTCTTGCTCTTGTTGCCCAGGCTGGAGTGCAGTGGTGCAATCTCAGCTCACTGCAGTCTCTGCCTTCCTGGGTTCAAGCGATTCTCCACCTCAGCCTCCCAAGTAGCTGGAATTACAGGCGCCCGCCACCATGCCCAGCTAATTTTTTTTTTTGTATTTTTAGTAGAGACGGGGTTTCACCATGTTGGCTAGGCTGGTCTGAAACTCCTAACCTCGTGATTCACCTGCCTTGGCCTCCCAAAGCGCTGGGATTACAGGCATGAGCCACCGTGCCCAGCCTTTTTTATTATTATTATTATTTTGAGATGGAATCTTGCTCTGTCGCCCAGGCTGGAGTACAGTGGCTCACTGCAACCTCCACCTCCCAGGTTCAAGCGATTCTCCTACCTCAGCCTCCTGAATAGCTGGGATTACAGCCCGCCACAACACCCAGCTAATTTTTGTATTTTTATTATTTTAGAGACGGGGTTTTGCCATGTTGGCCAGGCTGGTCTTGAACTCCTGACCTCAGGTGATCTGCCCACCTCGGCCTCCCAAAATGCTGGGATTACAGGCGTGAGCCATTGTGCCCAGCCAAAACATTGCCTTTGAAATGCTCTCTGGCAAAATAGAAATTGTGTTCTTTAGGAGAGGAACATATTGGCCCAGTAAACATGTTAACACATTTGCATGAATTAGTGCATTTATTTTTAATTTTTTGTAATGTACATAGCTGGATCCTCAGGGAATGGGATCTAGAACAAGTTTCAGCTGAAGGACAAGGAGTTGGGAAATGTCAGGGAACAGGCTCTTGAATGAGGCAGGACTAAGCAGTGTAGACTGTGGGGACAGCTGTGAAGTCCTGGATGCCAGGGGAGTGGCATAACTCAGGAAGTAAAGGCTGGGAACCTGAAAACAAACTGTTCATGTCACATGTTTTCTGGTCTTGTCTGGGCTTGTGTTTGCTTGTAGTTGAGTTCTGCTGTCTTCATGGTACTGCTGAAGATCATGATCACGGAGAAAAGTCAGAGTGCTCAGTGCCAACCCAAGGGATTCTTTCCAGAGACGTACCCGTTGGATACCAAAATTAGTTTGGATAATCTGTTCAACCATTCTTGATAAGTTATCTGAATAATAAAAAAACTCAACAGAGGAGGTAACAATTTGAACATTTTATTGTCTAATTTGAAGATGTATGCCATACTTTGTTTGATAGAAGAAAGTAAGGCACAGAAAACTTGAGTACCTTATTTTTAAAACTGCATTAGGATTAAAAGGTTAGCCCCTATATCCAAGTATTGGTCTGAGATCCCATTTCTAGAATTCTGAAATCCAAAAAGCTCTGAAAATCAATAGTTATTTTTCCAAATGTATTCATTGTGGTAAAATACACCAATATAAAATTTACCATCTTAACCACTTTTAAGTGTGTTATAAATACATTCATGCTACCATCACTAGCATCCATCTCTGGAACTCTTTTCATCTTGCAAAACTGCAATTCTATACCCATTAAACAATGACCCATTCCCCTTTCCCCCTTCCCCCTTCCTCCTTCCCCCTTCCCCCTTCCCCTCAGCCCCTGGCAACCACTGTTTCTGTTTTTTAAATAAGTTTGACATTAAAACTAAGTTTGCAGCCAAACCTGACCCAAATACAAGCTGGGCACCGTGGCTCATGCCTGTAATCCCAGCGCTTTGGGAGGCTGAGGCAGGAGGATCACTTGAGCCCAGGAGTTTGAGACCAGTCTGGGCAGCATGGTGAAACCCCATCTTTACAAAAAATACAAAAATTAGCCAGGTGTGGTGGCACGCGCCTGTAGTCCCAGCTACTCAGGAAGCTGAGGCGGGGATGATCGCTTGAGCATGGGAGGCAGAGATTGCAGTGAGCCAAGAAAAAAAAAATACCTGACCCCAAAAGGTAGGCAATTAATTTTACTCCTTATTTATCCCACTTGGAATGTATAAAGTATATTCATATATTTCATTGCAAACATATTAATGTGTTTAACTACAGAGGTCTGCGCCACACCCCACTGGGAATATAGGATAATATACAGTACTATTACCTTTAAACAACAAACACTTTCTGAATTCTGAAGTATATCTGACCTCTACAATTTTGGTTAGGGATTGTGGGACTTGTACTATACTAGAAGTTACTAATATTATTTTTTATTCTGTTTTAGTTTAGTTGTACTTAATAAGCTTAAAATATGAAAATTCATATTTACAAAATATAAATTAAGGAGTGACTACGCACTATTCAACATGTAGACATCAACTTAATCCCCATTTGCAGAAAGAGAGCCCCGGGTCTTATCTTACCCTACTTCTCCCAGATCTTCTGTCTAATCTTCTCGAAGGAGCAAACCTCTAGGCCTGAGGACGGGCAGGCAGCTGCTTAGGGTATGGACATTTGTTTGTTAAACAGACTTGCAACTGCCCTTCTGGTGTAGAGCCCCACCTCCAAATCTTCCAGTTTCTGAGATTTAGGGTTTATGCTGGGTAATTTGTGTTGTTTCTTGGCTGTCTATAAATCAGAGGATTTTTTTTTTTTTTGGCCGAATCAATTAACACTTGGCCTTTTGCTCTCCAGTTTCCAAAAGCTCTTCCTTCACACCTTCTTACTTTTCCACATCTTGTTAAACAGTGATAGTTAGAGAAAAATTTCAATGTTTCTTCATTCGCCAAAAATGGTGTTTATAAGATTATTTTCTTTATGTCCATGACAGTAATGGTTTCTAGTGCAGCAAAGTGAGATCGTGCTGGCTGTTTATGTTACTCCCTTACATTATCACTATCTTGTTCAGCCTTATTTTTATTTATTTATTTATTTGTTTGTTTATTTTTGAGATGGAGTTTCGCTCTTGTTACCCAGGCTGTAGTGCAATAGCGCGATCTCGGTTCACCACAACCTCTGCCTCCCGAGTTCAAGCAATTCTCCTGCCTCAGCCTTCTGAGTAGCTGGGATTACAGGCATATGCCACCACGCCTGGCTAACTTTGTATTTTTAGTAGAGACAGGGTTTCTCCATGTTGGTCAGGCTGGTCTCGAACTCCCGACCTCAGGTGATCTGCCTGCCTCGGCCTCCCGAAGTGCTGGGATTACAGGCGTGAGCCACCGCACCCGGCCTGTTCAGTCTTCATTTTTAGTAAATCCCAAACTCAGGATTATCTTTTAAGAAAATAGTTTAGGTTCATATACAATTATCAAGCACCTTCTGAATATCAGGCTGATATTGTGTTACAGCCTGGGCTGACAAAGATAAATAAGACACTATCCATGCCCTCTCACTTCCTCTAGTGAGAGGAAACAGATACCCAAACAGTTTACTTTAAACTGTGGTTTTGAGGAATACATTGGGAAAAATAGAACTTGTTGACTAGTTAAATGTCAACTAAAGAAAAGTGAAAGGACAGTGTGTAAGATCGTCTCCAGGTGCTGCTGACCATGTGATCCTCCTTGAAACTCCCTCCCTGGGCTTCCCTGCATCTTTCAGTGTTCTGTTTAATTGTTGGTCATTCAATCGTCCTCTCCTTTGCTAGATCCACTTGAGGGCACAGTCCTTAAATGCTGGTGTCCTCAGGACCCCTTCCTCAGCTGTCTTCTCTCTTCTCTATCTCCTTGTAGGGGAAAGGATTTCCAAAGCTCTGAGCTCAGCCACCTCTCCTAAGGAACACACTCACGTTTCCTGGCATCTGTTAGATAGCTCTACTTGCCACAAGCCCTGTGCTGAAACCCCTACCCACAAAGCTGCGTTGTCTTCCTGCAGCTGCTGCCTGGGACCTCTTAACAGAGGGAAATGGAAGTGGACGGATGCTTATGCAGCCCTGTCCAGTAGGAATATAATGCCAGCTACGTATGTAACTTAAACTCTCTAGGAGCCACAATGGAAGATAAAAATAAATGAAATTAATTCTAATAATATATTAACCCAATATACCCAGCACACCATTTCAACATATAACCAATATAAAAAAATTTTTAATATCTTTTTTCATACTGAATCTTCAAAATTCACTGTGTATTTTTAAAATTTTACTTTATGTTTTTTAGGAGACAGGGTCTTGCTCTGTTGTCCAGGCTCGAGTACAGTGGTACCATCATAGCTCACTGCAGTCTTGAACTTGCTGGCTCAAGTGATCCTCCCACTTCAGCCCCCCAAGGAGCTAGGACTACAGGCACACACCACCACAACCTGGCTAATTTTTGAATTTTTGGTAGATACAGGGTCTCACTATGTTGCCCAGGCTGGTCTCAAACTCCTAGCCTCAAGTGATCCTCCTGCCTTGGCCTCCCAAAGTGCTGGGACTACAGGCGTGAGCCACTGCACCGGGCCCGGGCACAGCGTGTTTGCAGTAGCCACATTCCAAGTGCTCACTAGCCACATGTGACCAGTGGCCCCCATATTAGCCAGTGCAGGTTAAAATGAAAAAGGTAGCATGTGAAGCTGGGCAAATTATGATAGGATACAGAGATTGTGTCACTATTTTTACGATTTATGTATATTTTCTGTTCCTTATGGGTTCCCTCCTAATATTTAGAGGTCTTTGAAATTCCATTGTTTCTTAGCAGTGCTGAGAAGAATGAGGAAAGTATTCTTCCTCCACGCTGGGAATGGATTTTCAAGGGAGAGCAGCTCATCTCCCACTCCGCCCTATCCCATCCCTAGAGGGAAATCCCAAGGGGAAGGGGAAGTTCTCAGCACAGAGCCCCTCCCCACTTGGATAGTCCCTTCCTAAAAGCTAACTGTGAAATCTCTGGATTTTGTTTTAGAAGGAAATCACTTTTTTCATAGTTGCTTTTCACAATTTTAGTACCTTAGCTGCCAGAAATAGAATTTATTACTTTACAATAATTATTATAGCCAAAGCCACCATATATTCTGCATTTCCCAGGATGGTGTCAGTTTTGAATGTTGTTTCTTTCAGGCAGGCATGGTGAATTTTGGTTCAGAAAACAGGATCACTCTGTCACGCTCTTGAGGGTGAACTGTTGGAGAGTCACTGTGGTGATCAACCAATGGGTACTCCCTAGTTCCTGGAACTGAGAACTTCAGTCTGGATACTTCTCTATAAATGGTTTCGGTAGACTCTGCCACTTTCCCCGGGGATCTGAAAGAGTTCTCCAAGAAGCCCCCACTTCTCAGGCGGCAACAGGGCAGGTACCTGGGCGGTAGCCCTTATGCTACTGTTCATAAATCAATCTGAGTTTTATGGGTGCTTTTTCTGAGGAAGGAGAGATTTAAAGTTATGTAGCGGCAACAAAGCTTTCTAATAATATTTTTGGCAGGCTGCTAAAGAAAGATGAAATAAGAAAAGATACAAGCCCTGGGAGAGTGGTGGTAGCCCTTGGGACGCCAGCCAGATGTTGGTGCTCACAAATCGGGGGAGACAATGGCCTTTACTGTTGCCATTTACAATGCCGGGCAGCTCATTAATCATCAGCTAAAATGATTTCACTTTCAGGGTCTAGGCAGGTCGGGGCTGGGGTTGGGGAGGGCTGTGGCAGGAGGCCTGGCTTCCAGGCCGGGGAAGTGTCCCAGAGACCTACTAGACGGGGCCCCTCCCCTCCACTGCTCAGGGCAAAGGGCACCAGGAGGCGGAGCGGGGGTCGAGGTGGGAGTGGGTGCGTCACCCTTGTTTTCCGGGCTGTGAGTCTCCCAGCGTCCCCAGCTTTCCAGGTAGGGACGCCCCCTCCCACGCAGCACGGTTCCGGCGGGTGGAAAGGAGGGGCTGGGCTCCCAGCGCCCGCCCCTCTATCCATCACATGGCCGGAGAGTCACAAAAACAACAGCTTTGGCCAAGACCGTGACTTCAGTAAAGGGAACCCGGGGCTCTCGCAGCCAGCCCTCCTGCCCATGGAGGACAGTTTCCTTCAATCTTTTGGGAGGCTGAGCCTCCAGCCCCAGCAGCAGCAGCAGCGGCAGCGGCCGCCCCGGCCGCCCCCGCGGGGGACACCTCCTCGCCGCCACAGCTTTAGGAAACACCTCTACCTCCTGCGAGGCCTCCCGGGCTCCGGGAAAACTACACTGGCCAGGTAATGACAGCGGTCTGGGCGCCGGTGCACGGGCCCGGGGCCACCAAACGCCCCGGCCGAGCGCACCCCTGCCCCAAGCCGCTCCCGGGCGCCGCTTGCGCCCCCGCCGCGGGTGCCTGCCGCGGCCCCGGCCCCAGCCCCAGCCCAAGCCTGAGCCTGGCAGCGCGGGGAGCCCGAGCCGCCTCCCTCGACCCCTGAGGCCGTTGCCACCCCTGGCGCCTGAGGGCGCGGGCACGGAGAGGAGGGAGCTCGTCCTGTTTGTTTCCCGCCGCGCTGTCCCGGGGGGGACGGATTCCCGTACTGCGCCTCGCGCAAGCCCCAGCGGCCCCGGCCCCTTCCCCGCCGCCGTGCCCCGCCTGGGGCCAGCCGGGCCGAAGCAGCCTTCACCGCCCCCAGCCTCCCCAGCCCCAGGTCGGGAGGGACTCTTCTTCGGGAAAACCCGGTGGCGACTGCAGAGAAAACCGCCGGGCCCCGCTGGCGCGCAGGCGGCCGCTACAGTGCGTCAACAGGCGCTGTAATCCGAGCGCATAAACGAGGGGTCCGGGGGTGGGGGCCCGGGGCGGCCGTGGCAGTGGCCCGGGGCTGGCAGCCCGCTTTGAAAATCTGGCGAAGTCGGGGAGCCTGCGTTTGCTTTGGCAGCTGCGAAGGCGCACAGGTGCACGGGGGCGGGGGGCTGGCTGGCGGCGCCACCACCGACCGTCACTGACAGAGCCTCGCCATGGGCGCCCAAATTCGTTCACTTGCGAATTGCGTAAGCGGCCCTCCGGTACCCAACCTCTGGGAATTACGCGGGCTTGTGCCTGTGGCCACCTTGCTAGGCCCCACCGCTCCAGCCTGAACTCCCACCGCTCCCTGCCTTGCGCTTGATGTTCCAGCAACTTCGAACTGTTTTTATCTCCTGTAAACCAAGCCGCTTCTCTCCTTGACGCTGGCCTTCCTGCCTGGCTTGCCCTCCCGCCTTCTTTTGCCTTTTAAGACCGGGCAGCTATCCCACCCCGCCAGTATATGCCCCTCTTCTGGGCTCCTTGGCTTCCTGTTTATACCTACGTGACTGTGCTTACTTTTTTGCACATGGTTTTTCTTATCCTTCTGTAAGTTTCTTGAAGGTAGGAGCCATGTCTTACCCTGCCAAGCACATTGTCTGGCACGTAGTAGCTGTTCAGTAGAGGAAGTGGTCCCTTTCCCTCAAAGGGCTTCCCGTCTCACTGGAGAGATAAGGCTAGCCATGGTACCAAGGAACTGCCGAAGAATCAAGGTGATGGACAGTCACGTGCGGATTTCGATGGTGCCGAGATAGTGACCTTAGGAGGAGGGACAGCCTGGGGAGGTGCTCCTGGTTGACTCGCGGAGTAGAAGCTTTTGGCCAGAATATTGCTACATTTTCACAAATTGCAGGGACATGTGACTTCTGGAGGACCGTGGGCACCCTTTCCTAAACCAGGGACACATTTCAATAGACCCTCTCTGGCTCGCTGGGGAGGGGAGGTGGAGGACAGAGGCAGAGTCGGGGAGCCTCCTTGGAACTCAGCAGTTGGTTATTTTGTGATACAGTCATGGTGGGTAAATCTGTTACCAACCAAGTATCTTCTGAATGTCAAATCCTGTTTAATTTCACTTTCGCTTTGCTGATCTGTGGCCTGCCTCATACTGAGTGTCAAAGAGACACTGAGTGTCAAAGAAGGAAGTAAACGTCTTTGGCCAGATTTAATTTCTGACTCTGTTGGGAAGCGAAGTAACATGATGGGTGCAAGATACACAGAATGGAACATCAGGGGCTTGGATTCACATTCCTCATCTGTGAAGCCAGGGCGTTGCCTGAGTGGTCCTTAGGGTCCTTTCTGGCTCTAACATTCTGCACTTTTAGGATTTTAATTCCTGATTGACATTTGGCTAAGCAGAAGACACCGGATGAGAGAACACCTATTACAGACCATCTCTCTCTCTCTAGGGACGACTGGAGTGAGCACTGGCCTGGGAGTCTGAAGATTGTGCCTTCAGACCTACTTCGTCACTTACTAGCTGGCGACTTTGGTCAGTCATCTAGTTTTTCCGGGCCTTATGTTCCTTACATGTGACTACTAAAAGGCTACTAGATTATAGGATTTATTAAAGATCCTTCTGACTCTTAATTTCCAGTGGTCAGATTAAAAATAGTTTGCTAATAATGGCTATGTTAAAGAGCTCTGACCTTGGAGTCAATTTATGGCTCCACATCCAAGCTCTACCATTCACTAGTTTTGCTTTTCACCCAACCCCTCTGTGCCTCGGTTTCCTTTTCTGTTAAATGGGGATATCTGTTCTGTTTGCCTCTGAGGGTTTTGTGAACATTAAATGTGTGTGGGAGGACTTTTTAAACTTAAAGTGCTATATACATTTTAAGAGGTGTTAGTTACTGCTCCGTTGTTGGTCAGCTGAGATAAATCTTCAGTGTTCCCTGGATCCTGGCTCTGGAGTGAAGAAGGTAGCTTGGCAGTTGACTTTGAGTCCTCCCGTTTCGCTGGGCATTGGCAGTTCTGGGAGCAGAGCAGCCTTGGCATGCCATGGGGTGGATTGTGTGTTTATAGAAAAGTCTGGGACGTAAGCGAGGAAATGGGCCACAGCTCAGCGGAAGGGAGGCCGGTGGTGAGGATGGAATGGTGGAGAGGCAGGCTCAGGTGTGGCCCACCAGGAGCTGCCTTCCCCACTTTTTTGGGAGGTAGGGTGGGGAAGAAGAAAAGAGCAAATTGTTTAAAAATACACATGTATATAGAAAATAGTAAAACTGTAAGGTTATCTGTGTGTTGTTGGATTCTGGGAAATTCACATTTTCTCTATTCTCTGTATTTTCCAAATTTTCTATAACGAATATGTATTTCTTAGAATAAAAATTTTTTTCTTCAAAATTTGGAGGAAATCGCTTTTTACAAATGTGGGTTCATCTTTTTCTGCTTAACCTTTTTTCTCATTTGATTAAAGAACTAATAAAAATGTTTTTGAAATTAAGATATGTCTTGTCTCCCAAATCAATGTTAGATTTCTGTGCTTTTTACATGTTTTCATAGTTTGAAGTGGATGGAATGTGGAAAAACATCTATTTAAATTCTTTGAATTTATTTTTTAAAAGTTGGAGTTTTAACTGATTAAATTTTTTGAGCACATCAAAGTACTGACAAATTAGCATGTGCCCTAAATCTGCTTTATCACCCGTGTTTCATTTAAAAAGCATATTACAGATAGGTTCTTACCACTGACCTATAAGCTCTACTTCCAGGAATTCATCCTAAGAAATAATTGGAGGGTGGAGCGGTGGCTCATGCCTGTAATCCCAGCACTTTGGGAGGCCGAGGTGGGTGTCCACTGAGTACTTATAAGACCTTTAGCACTTGTTTAGGGAAGCATATGCCAAATAAGCATATGAGAAGGCGCCTGCCTGGGATTAACCAATGGAAAGACATAATCAGCCCACTGCTGTGGGTAAGGGCCAGTGGGGAGTGGCATCTCAAATGCTGTTGGTGGTGAAGGCTGGGGAGGCAGTGAGGAGGATGAAGGCTAATTAGGGAGAAAGGATCTTCTCCACATGGAGACGGTTCTTGAGCTGGCCTTGAAGATGGGAAGGAGGTGGCTGAACGAAGGAAAAGGAACAACAGCCCGACTAAGGAGATGGAGGTGGCAGAGAGCTGGGTGTGCTCCCGGGCTTGATTGAAGTGAAGGCTTCATTGTAGTAAGTGTATTGGTGAAGTAAGCCCAGGACCAGATCATGGAGAACATTAAAGGCTGAACAAAGGAGTAGAGAGCTGTTGTCAGAAGAAATAAGATTCTAATGCCAAGACCCTTTCATTCTCAGCAGATGAGCCAGAACTCTCTCTTTCACAGCTCAGCTGACAAACTCACCTGGAACTGCACCTGTCCTTTCCGCTACCTCAATGAAAGCATCCATGGGTGAACCTCTGTGCTTTCCACTGTGTGTGTTAAAATGCCTTCCGGTTTTGACCATTTAAACCATTTTTATATACAATCCACTGGCATTGTATTATGTGGAACTACACTCACAATGTTGTACAACCATTACCACTATCTATTTCAAAAATTTCTTATCACTCCAAACACACTCTGTGCCCATTAAGCAATAACTGCCTATTCCCCACTCCCCCGACCCCGGGTAACCTCTCAGCTACTTCCTGTCTCTATGCATTTGCCTCCTTTACATGCTTCATGTAAGTGGATCATATGGTATTTGTCCTTTTGTGTCTGGCTAAATTTCATGTAGCTTAATGTTTTCAAGGTTCATCCATGTTGTAGCATGTGTCAGAACTTTACTATTTTTGTATCTCAATAAAATATTACCTTGTATGGGCATACCACTAAAACATCCTTTTTAAATGAAATTGCCATAATAGAGGGTAGCCTTTCTTTGTTTTTTCATGGTCTTATTTGAAAAATTAAAAGTTGTCAATCTTATTTCAGTTCCCCAGAATTTTTTTGAATCTTTACATTTCAATCAAAGCAAAGTCAGGGGAACCACCCTGTAGTACATGTTGCATCCTTTGCAATGTTCTGGTTCCTTTTGGCACCATCACAAATGGTTTGTAACATGGATTCAGTTAGGCTCAAAGGATGCCCGCTGACAGCTGTCTTTTCTCCTTATTCATATCTCTGGATAACATGGAATTTTCCATCATGAGAAGTACCTTTTCATTATTTCTTTTCATTATAGAGCCTTGCACAGAAGTGAAAGGATGCTTTTCTAATGTGATGCAATGGTAAGGCGGAGATGGGGAGAAAAGTATACTTTACAACCAGATAAGCAGTGGAATGTGAGAAACAGTGAGAACAGGGGGCCAGTTAAGTTGGCTAAGTAGTGAGTAGTTGGACCCCAAAGAATACTCTGCTCCACAGTGCTCCTAGCCAGCAGGCCTGGACTGTGGTGTGTTTCTTTATGAGGCCAGGGCTCTCATTAATAAAAGCAAGCTCACAATAGAATGTTTGCAGCATTCCAACTCTGTGAATATAAAAGTGGAGGGTCAGACAGGTGATATATCAAATCTTTAGTCATCTAGGTCTACTTGGAAAATGACTACTAGCTTTTTGTATTTTTCACAATTTTCCTAAGGTGGGTCCTAAATCTCCTCTCCTCACTACCGAGAGTCCTTGTCCTTACCCTCTCTCTGGAGGCTGGGATGAATGAGGACTTAAAAGCTGTATCTGTTTAACAAAGAGTGCAAATATACAGCGTGGTATGTGCTTGTTCTTGCTCATTGGAGAGGCTGTATCAGGAAAGATTGCCCAGCTATACAGGAGATTCACCACAAACACATTCCTGGAGCTGTTGGAACAATGGAAGAAGACCCTGCTGAACTGGGGCAATCCGATATTGCAGGTGTGGATTATGACCCGAGAGGAAGTAGAAATGGATGAAGGAAGGAAGAATAGGGGAAGAATACTTTCAAAGGAAAAGTTCAGGAGATGTATAGGAACTCCCCTGGAGTTCATCTGGTCTGAGCCCAAGACACTGAGAAGCTAAACATCTTGATCAGGGTCAAAGGGATGTGTTCTCCTATTTCTAACAGCTTTTTTTGTGTACCCCAAAAGAAGAGGCCGGAAAGGGGGTGATCTCGTGAAAGGGTAATGAGTTTGGTTTTGATCTGTCGTATAATGAAAAAACAAGAGCCTTATAAGCGGGCTAAGTTAACCTGGATTTCAATTGTCAGGGTAAGGAAGCTACATTTTTTGTTGTCAATATTAATGTTTCTCATAATATAAAAAATATTACTCACCAGGGAATTTATTTTCTTTATTAACGTACCATTGAGGGCAATGGGAGGAAATGAGATTTAGATTTTTAAATACGTTTCCATATTTATCCTGGTTATGATGTGTTGGAGAGAGATGTGGTAGTCAACTTCCAACTCCCAAGCAGGTCTAAAGTCTCTTTCTCATCTGCTCACATGTTAGGATATTTATAAGTCAATGCCTTAGTTCCTTCATGGCAGTTTCATGAACCTTCCCCTACATAATAGCACCCGCCTATGGCCACTCAGTCTCTGGATGAACCCAATAAGAATTTTTTTTTAGTCACGCCAAGTTATCTGAAGATACTGAGGCTCTCTGGGATTAAGGAAATTTTATAATAAAGAAAAATTAGTCTGCCTTCCAACTGTTCCTTCATAAGGCAGATCATATGTATGGCTTGGGGAGAAGGCTGTTTTTATCAAGGTAAGAGTCTGGGAAAGGGGAAGGGAGAAATGGGGAAAGAAAAGCCAGCACATGGTTACTGCTGACTGTCTGCCCGGCCCTTTTTGGACACTGGCTTATTGAATCTTCACAATAACCCTGGGATGTAGTCATTTTTATTTTATAGATGAGGATTTTAGGATTGGAGAGTCACACATTTGAGAGACTCAGGGGATTTCATAATACACCAAGTGATCTTATATTACTAGGGAAGTTCATGGACAAACATACCTACATCCCTTTCACAATTATTGGGGAGTCCTGCTGAAGTATGATTGTATAGCCAGGATTGTCCAGCACTCTTTCCCCACAGATTTTAAGGATATGCTGAAGAAGAAAGAGGGCCTGAAAGGGACTTTCATGCTACCATTTGTTGCCTTGTACCTTGGCTTTCTTTTCTTCTTGGCATTGGTACCACTGACGTATATTTATTTATTATCTATTTCTTTTACTAGAACGTAAGCTTCATGAGATATGATGTAAATTCCATGAGATCAGGAACTTTATTCTGTCCAGCTCCTAAAAGAAGGCCAGGCACATCACAGGCCTTTATTCAACATTTGATGAATGCATTAGTTCATGAAACGCAATGTGAGATGCCTCCTAAGATGTGGAAGCTTGGATGTCAGCATGGCTCTTGAGTAAAGAACGAAACCAAAGGGCAGATTATTCACATAAAGAGAAATGTAAAAGAATGAGGCTGGGCATGGTGGCTCATGCCTGTAATCCCAGCACTTTGGGAGGCTGAGGCGGGTGGAATCACCTGAGGTCAGGAGTTCGAGACCATCCTGGCCAACATGGTGAAACCCCGTCTCTACTAAAAATGCAAAAAATTAGCTGGGCATGGTGGCAGGTGCCTGTAATCCCAGCTACTTGGGAGGCTGAGGCAGGAGAATCACTTGAACCTGGGAGGTGGAAGTTGCAGTGAGCCGAGATTACGCCATTGCACTCCAGCCTGGGCAACAAGAGCAAAACTCGGTCTAAAAAAAATAAAATAAATAAAAAAGAATGAATGGGATATGGAGGACAGACAAGGGGGAAGAAAAGGAAAAAACAGAGCCACTCATTCCAAAGTTCTCAATTCGGTGCATAAGAAAATGATTCCTATTTGTTGCAGGTGAAAATGTTTGATGTGCCGGCTCCTTTACCTCATAGTTACAGTAAGAAGAAATTTAAAAATTGGGATCAAAGATGCAGCCGCCTTCCCATTTAAGCAGCACAGACAGCCCAAAGTGACAGTTTTCCTGTACAGTTACTCTTCTGTTATCTGTAACTGATCTATGACATTTTGGGAAAAAACAGCCAAAAAAAATTAGTACTGAGGTAGGTGTGCCTGATTCCTTCCCCAATTCTGCTCATGACTGAACCAACAGAACACAAACACAGGTGAAACCTGCACAGCTGTGAGAGCCTACAAAAGTTCACATGCAAGATACTTAAAGGAATTTCTGCTCAATAGAGTCTGTGGGACCACACTGACAAACGAGAATGAGGGCTCTCTGGGAGCCTGGCTTTGGACCTCATGAACATGGTCTACTTTGGAGGTATGAGGGGTAAAGGTAAGAGAAGTAGGGCAGACTGGGAACTGTTCCCTGAGTCCCCCTAGCCACTGTGGCTTGGGGACACTTGAGGCTAGCAGTGATTGAGGCTTGGCTCTCCAAGGACAGGACTTGGCCCTGGTGGGGTGGGTGGCAGCACTGCCCAGGTTCGGCCACACCTGGCCTCAGGGGAGGCTGCCCATGTCATCTATAGCTTGGCTCCCTCCCTGCTCTCAGGCTGCTGAGCCATGGAATCTGTTTTCTATCTCCCAGTTTAAAGTCCTCAAGAAGAATGTCAGTAGCATTCAGAGGAAGTGCTGGGATCCAGGAAGAATCCTCTCCGTCAGTCTCCTTTAAGGGTTGTATTAGTCTGTTCTCATTCTACTAATAAAGACATACCCAAAACTGGATAATTTATAAAGGAAAGAGGTTTAATTGACTCACAGTTCAGCATGGCCGGGGAGGCCTCAGGAAACAACTTACAATCGTGGTGGAAGGGGAAGCAAACATGTCCTTCTTCACATGGCGGCAGGAAGGAGAAGTGCTGAGCAAAAGGGGGAAAAGCCTTATGAAACCATCAGATCAGCCGGGCGCAGTGGCTTATGCCTGTAATCCCAGCACTTTGGGAGGCCAAGGCAGGCAGATCACCTGAAGTCAGGAGTTCAAGACCAGCCTAGCCAACATAGTGAAACCCCGTCTGTAAAATACAAAAAAAAAAAAAAAAAAAAAAAAAAAAAAAAAAATTAGCCAAGCATGGTGGCAAGCACCCGTAATCCTGGCTAGTCAAGAGGCTGAGGCAGGAGAATCACTTGAACCCGAGAGATGTAGGTTGCAGTGAGCTTAGATTGTGCCACTGCACTCCAGCCTGGGTGATCGAGCAAGACTCTGTCTCAAAAAAAAAAAAAAAAAAAAAAAAGCCAGATCTTGTGAGAACTCACTATCATGAGAACAGCATGAGGGTAACTGCTCCCATGATTCAGTTACCTCCCATCGGAGGTAATTCCCATGACGTGGGGATTATGGGAACTATAATTCAAGATGAGATTTGGGTGGGGACTGCCCCTGGCTCCTCCAAAATCTCATGTCCTCACATTTCAAAACACAATCATGTCTTCCTAACAGTCCCCCAAAGTCTTAACTCATTCCAGCATTAACTCAAAAGTCCAAGTCCAAAGTCTCATCTGAGACAAGGCAAGTCCCTTCTGCTTATGAACCTGTAAAATCAAAAGCAAGTTGGTTACTTCCTAGATACAATGGGGGTACAGGCATTGGGTAAATACACCTATTCCAAATGGAAGAAATTGGCCAAAACAAAAAGGCTATAGGCCCCATGCAAGCCCAAAATCCAGCAGGGTAGCCAAATCTTAAAGCTCCAAAATGATCTCCTTTGACTCCATGTCTCATATCCAGGTCATGCTGATGCAAGAGGTGGGCTCCCATGGCCTTGGGCAGCTCCACCCCTGTGGCTTTGCAAGGTACAGCTCCACTCCTGGCTGCTTTCACAAGCTGGCATTGAGTGTCTGCGGCTTTTCCAGGCACAAGCTGCAAGCTGTCAGTGGATCTACCATTCTGGGGTCTGGTGGGCAGTGGCCCTCTTCTTACAGCTCCACTAGGCAGTGCCCCAGTGGAGCCTCTGTGTGGGGGCTTTGACCCCACATTTCCCATCTGCACTGCACTAGCAGAGATTCTCCATGAGGGCACCACCCCTGCAGCACACCTCTGCCTGGAAATCCAGGCATTTCCATACATCTTCTGAAATCTAAGTGGAGGTTCCCAAACCTCAGTTATTGACTTCTGTGCACCCACAGGCCCAACACCATGTGGCAGCTGCCAAGGCTTGGGGCTTGTACCCCCTGAAGCAATGGTCTGAGCTGTACATTGACCCCTTTTAGCCATGGCCAGCCAGAGCTGCTGGGAAGCAGGGCACAAAGTTTCAAGGCTGCACACAGCAGGGGGGCCCAGGACCCATCTCATGAAACCATTTTTCCCTCCTAGGTCTCCAGGCCTGTGATGGGAGAGGCTGCCATGAAGTCCTCTGCCATGCCCTGGAGACATTTTCCCCATTGTCTTGGTGATTAACATTTGGCTCCTCGTTACTTAGGCAAATTTCTGCAGCTGGCTTGAATTTCTCACCTGAAAATGGGGCTTTCTTTTCTATCACATCATCAGGCTGCAAATTTTCCAAACTTTTGTGCTCTGCTTCCTCTTGAATGCTTTGCTGCTTAGAAATTTCTTCAACCAGATACCCTAAATTGTTTCTTTCAAGTTCAAAGTTCCACATGTGGATCTCTAGGGCGGGGCAAAATGCCACCAGTCTCTTTGCATAGCAAGAGTGACCTTTACTCCAGTTCCCAGTAAGTTCCTCATCTCTGAGACCACCTCAGCCTGGACTTCATCGTCCATAGCAGCATTTTGGTCAAAGCCATTCAACAAATCTCTAGGAAGTTCCAAACTTACCCACATATTCCTGTCTTCTGAGCCCTTCCATTAGTTCCAGTCTCTGCCTGTTACCCAGTTCCAAAGTTGCTTTCACATCTTTGGGTATCTTTACAGCAGTGCCCCATTCTCTGTGGTACCAATTTGCCGTTCTCACACTGCTAATAAAGACATACCCGAAACTGGGTAATTTATAAAGGAAAGAGGTTTAATTGACTCACAGTTCAGCATGGCTGGGGAGGCCTCAGGAAACTTATAATCATGGTGGAAGGGGAAGCAAACACATCCTCACATGGTGACAGCAAGGAGAAGTGCTGAGCAAAAGGGGAAAAAGCCCCTTATAAAACCATCAGATCTTGTGAGAACCCACTATCATGAGAACAGCATGAGGGTAACCATTGCCATGATTCAATTACCTCCCACTAGGTCCCTCCCATGACACATGGGGATTATGGGAACTACAATTAAAGATGAGATTTGAGTGGGGACACAGCCAAACCATATTGAGGACGAACTGAATCTAAGGTTTGGGTAAAATTCTCATTGTACAAAAATGAGTAAATAGAAATTCTCACACAGCTTGGGACTCTATAAAAAAGTTTGCCAGCTGGGCCTGGTGGCTCAAGCCTGTAATCCCAGTACTTTGGGAGGCCAAGGCGGGTGGATCATGAGGTCAGGAGTTCGAGACCAGCCTGGCCGAGATGGGGAAACCTCGTCTCTACTAAAAATACAAAAATTAGCCAGGGGTGGTGGCACGCGCCTGTAATCCCAGCTACTCGGGAGGCTGAGGCAGGAGAATTGCTTGAACCCAGGAGACAGAGATTGCAGTGAGCCGAGATCATGCCATTGCACTTCAGCCTGGGCGACAGAGCAAGACTCCGTCTGGAGGGGGGTGGGGCGGGGAACAAAAAAAAAAGAGTTCGCATAATTAGGCTAAAAGAGCGTCGTATTCAGGAGCCATTAATACATTCACAGATATTTACTGAGCATCTCCCATGTGCCTGGCATTCTTCTAGATGCTCAGAATGGAGCAGTGGACAAAGGAGACAAAAATCCCTGCCTTCATGGAACATGTATTCTATCAGAGAAAAAAAATTCTCAAGGAAAAAAGGCAATTTTAGCATCTGCTCTGCTCTGTTCTCTCAAAAAATAAGCAAAGGATTTCACAGGTATGCCACCGGAGGTATATATCCCCAGGAAATGTCCACATACACACAAGAGGTAGGCATAAGGAAGTTCACTGAAATTTGTTCATGATATGGAAAATTGCAAATAAGTATCACTAGAGAAAATACATAAATAAATGTGGTTATTTTATAGCGCTCAAGCACAGCAGTTTAGTGTGCGGCTCTGGGGCCAGAAGCCTAGGTTTTAATCCAGTTGTACCACTCGTTGGCCCTAATTTCTTTGTCTGTAACATGGGGATTGGGGATTCATAGCAGTGCTTATCTCCCAGGTCTATTTGAGCATTACGTAAAAAATGTAAAGCCTCTAGAATAGTGGTTAGCACACAATAAGCACTTAATAAACATTGGCTATATTTATTATTTTGCTGATAATGGAGTACTATGTAGCAGTTAAAGAAAATGGACTAAGTCTATATATCAACATAAATAGATCTAAAAAATGTAATGCTCCTTCATTTTTTAATTCAACAAGTATTTATTGAGTGTTTATGTGTTCCACACAGTGTTCTAGGTACTTGGGAATCATCAGTGAACAAAACAAAGATCCTGCCCTTGTGGACCTTATGTGCCAGAGGTAGGGAAATGGATATAACCTCTAAGGAAACCGTATGTTAATTTAGGCGGTGATAAGTGCTGTTGAAAAGGGGAGAGAGAAGCACGGTAAAGGTTTCTGGGAGTGCCAGAGTTAAAGTGGGGGTTGGTTGAATTTTAAGCCAACAAAACAAGTATGAGAAAATGTTCATGATTATGAGCTTTAGGTGGTGTGTATGCAGGTGTGTTATTATTTCTTTTGTCTTTCTCTATATTTACATTTTTTCTAAAAAATTCCTCTCTATGATATAAAAGATTAAAGAAAAACTCCTGATTAGGAGTCTAAAATACGAAGGAAGTTGGTTAAGAAGCAGAAAATTAAAAAGGAGTTAAATGATATATAAAAGAATCTAAAGTAAGTGTTAGAATTTTAAAGTATATTAGAGATAAGCAGAGTCACAATGCAGAAAATCAAACAATAATGTAGAAGACAAATGTGAAAATAAATATAGCCAAAAATAACCAGAGTAAATACAACCAAAGCAACAAATAAAGATATCATAGAACATATTTGACTTGAAGGCTCAGAAGTGATTAAAAAAATAAATTAAATATCTAGATATATCCTGGAAAGACTGTTGCAAAAGCTGTTAGTTAACTACCCTTTCTTCTTTAGCAAGCACACTTTGTTGGGTGTGGCAGTGTGCCCAACTATAAAACTAGTTTTCAGGGCCCCCTTGCCTCTTTGGCTGTGTGGAACATGGAGGTGCAGCCTGGCCCTGCAGTGGCCACTAGGAGGCCCTCTGAAGAATGGAAGCCTCTTGCTAAAAAAGATGCTAGACTCCTGGGTCCATGTTGATCATGGAGTTGTGACACCAGCTCTGGATTCTACCTCTGTCTTTTTACACACAAGATATAGACATTTTAATTTTATTGAAGCCACCACTGTTAGAAATCCACTAACTGGGGTTTCTGTTCAATGCATGTGAACCCACTTTGAACTGAAACCTAAATTTAAAATATTAATGCCTGTGGGGAAAAGATTGTAGTTCAGTAATTCTCATCTAGCCTGTTGTCTTTCATACGAAGACAACAGAAAGGCTTTCTCAGATCTGCAAGAGCTCACAGAGTCTGTAATACCCATGTGCCCTGAGTGAATAGACCTGAGGTAAGGTTCTGGCAGCCCCACATGCAAACGGTAGAAACCCAAGCCAGTTTTTAAGCTCTTGAAGCCCTAGTTTCTTTATTTGTAAACCAAGTAAAAGTAAATGATTTACTTCATAAAATTGTTATAAAGGTTAAAGGGACAGAATATATGCCAAGCTCTTTGTTCACTGCTTAGTACTCTTTTAAAAAAATAATAGAATTTATTGGAACAACCAATCTTAGCCAACCATGAGAGGAATCACAAACAAGAAGAAAAGAAAGCCACTGCACCCCGCTAAAATTTAGACTTTTAGAGATTATTACAAACAAAATTAAAAAGCAATTGCTGTACATAATAAAAAATTGACATTCAATAAGAAAGATAAACCTCCTAATAAGGAGGCTTTATTCACCAAAGGACGTGAAAGTGCAGTTCACCAAAGAATATCTCTAAATGATCAGCACACACACACAAACTAATATTGCTGATAATTAAAGAAGTAGGGACAAACTAAATGCCTAACCATAGACCATTGGTTAAGCATTAAATTATTAGTTAAGCATTATGTTATGGCACATCCATAGGAATAAGTATGCCATATCATTAAAAATCATGTCATAGAAGAATATTTTATAAGGTGGGAAATAATTTGCTATGAAAAAATGCTTGGTTAGGCCGGGCACAGTGGCTCACGCCTGTAATCCCAGCACTTTGAGAGGCCTAGGCGGGTGGATCACCTGAGGTCTGGAGTTCAAGACCAGCCTGGCCAACATGGTGAAACCTCGTTGCTACTAAAAATACAAAAATTAGCTGGGCATGGTGGCACATGCCTGTAATCCCAACTACTCAGGAGGCTGAGGCAGGAGAATCGCTTGAACCCAGGAGCTGGAGGCTGGAGTGAGCTGAGATCGCGCCACTGCACTCCAGCCTGGGTGACAGAGTGAGACTCTGTCTCAAAAAAAAAAAAAAAAAAAAAAAGCTTGGTGCAAACTTGGTGTACTCTACATGATGTTCCTCTTCATGTAACAAGAGATAAAATGAAAAGAAATTATATATATATTTCCAGTCCTGGAAAGAAGACCAAAATGTTAATAATTATTTGTAGATGGGGGAATATAGGAACCTCACTCCTTTTTTGCACTTTTTTTGTTTTGTGATCAGAGAAATAGATGTAAAGATTGCTGAGGGAAATGTTGGAGAATTGGATCGGTACATGGGCTCACAGTTTTGTCCCCCATATTAGTTAATATTACAAAGGAAGCAAGATACCTTTCCAGTGGAGAGGTCTGGCTAACACCACCCTTTAGCCAAGTGATCGAACTTAGCATTGAATTTAGCATGGTGGGACAGACTGTCATTATGTGCAATCAGAAGTACACAAACATCACCTCTGTACTTTGCTTTTAAAAAACATTTAATCTGGGTTTAATCACTAGGAAACAACCACACAAACCCAGAATGCAGAACATTCTCATACCAACTAGAGAAACCAAAACAGCATGAGGACAGTTCTAGATTCAAAGACGTTAACCAGACATAATAACCAAGTGCAGTACTTGAAGCTTATGAAAAATATTCTTGAGACCATTGGGGAATTTTTAAAAATTTAAATTTAAAAACCTAACATTAGGCCAGGAGAGGTGGCTCATGCCTGTAATCCCAGCATTTTGGGAGGCCGAGGCAGGTGGATCACCTGAGGTCAGGAATTGGAGACCAGCCTGACCAACGTGGCAAAACCCCATCTCTACTAAAAATACAAAAAAATTAGCTGGGCATGGTGGTGGGCGCCTATAATCCCAGCTTCTTGGGAGGCTGAGGCAAGAGAATTGATTGAACCCGGGAGGTGGAGGTTGCAGTGAGCCGAGATCGTGCCACTGCACTCCAGCCTGGGCGACAGAGTGGGACTCCATCTCTAAATAAACACATAAGTACATAAATGCATAAAAATAAAATAAAATAAAAACCTAACATTAGCTCTTATGAATTAATCACTCTTTCAGGCTCTTTCAGGATGACAGGCCCTGCGGAGTGAGAGCCAGCCCCACCAGATGTGTGAAGGACCTTGCTTAGGGCACTCTGCCTTAATTTTTTAGATGCAATAATGGTATTGTGGTTATGCAGGGAATTGTTCTTATTCTTAAGAGATACTTGATAAAGAATTTAGGAATAAAGTATCGCGATGTATGGAGTTTATCTTTTTTTTTTTTTTTTTTGAGACAGTTGAGACAGAGTTTCGCTCTGTCACCTAGGCTGGAGCTGGAGTGTAGTGGCACGGTCTTGGCTCACTGCAATTTCTGCCTCCTGGGTTCAAGTGATTCTCATGCCTCAGCCTCCTGAGTAGCTGGGATTAAAGGTGTGCACCACCAGTCTGGCTAATGTTTGTTATTTTTAGTAGAGACGGGATTTTGCCGTGTTGGCCAGGCTGGTCTCAAACTCCTGACCTCAAGTGATCCGCCCGTCTTGGCCTCCCAAAGTGCTGGGATTACAAATGTGAGCCACCGCGCCCGGCCTGCAATTTACTTTCATATTGTTCTCCAAAAATATATATAGGAGAGACATAAACTAAGGCAAAATGTGAACATCTGGTGACCATAGATGAAGGGTAAGCAGCGTTCAATATACTGTTTTTCAACTCATTTCCATAGGTTTGTGTATTTTCTAATTAAAAGGTTGTGGCGGGAGAAGTTCAGGTGGAAATAAAAAGGAGAGGGCAAACTATAGGATAAATGAGACTTAAGGGACATGGCAACCAAATACAATGTGGGGATCTTGTTTGGTCCCTGTTGCACGCACACCAACTGGAGGAAAACACTGATGAGACAAGCAGGGAGACTAAACACTGATGGAGTGACTGATGCAATGAAATAGGAAGGACATGAGAGAAGACTGGCCATATGTTGATAACTGGTCATGTGTATATGAGGATCGAGTATATTATTCCATCTACTTTTGCATGCTTGAAAATTTCCCTAGTAAAAAACTGGGCGTCAAGTTAAAATTACATGCAATGTCTGACTTTCTCAGTGAGTGACTGACTGGCTGAAGAGATATCTAAATATATCTCTATGGTTCTCTATTATTAAATAAAGAATTACACAAAAGAATAAGTTGTGAAATCAAGATTAGCCCCTGAGTTTCTCTTATAATAGTGATTTTAAATGAATTTGAGCGGGGGTTGTGGGAGGTGAAGGTTATATGGAATTAATTATCTTTCTATTTTTTCCCTTTTATTTTCATTCTCTCAATTTCCCTAATGCATGAGGCTCCTGACCACCATAAAGATAGAACTGGGGCTTAACCCTCATCACTTCTGAAGCTGATGGAATGGTATTTATTGCTTCCACTTAAGTTTGAGAATCTCAAGATTGTCTATTTAATCAGTTCTTTATTTAGCTAGTAGAGTTTTTATTGTCCTGCCTATTCAACATGCTACTATGGCTGCTAGTGCTAATTTAACATTTAGGTGGAGATAAAACAAGTTTTGAAGTCATTCAGGAAGATCATACAGGCCAAAAAAAAAAAAAAAAAAATCCTTGGCCTTAAAGGTGAAAAACACCCTTAGTTTTGTCTGCCTGTTTGTTAGGAAGAGTATGGAGGCCACAGTCAGATGTGTCTCAGGAAATGATGGATGGTGTTCTTGCCCCATAGTGATCCTGAGCCATTTAGCTTTTACTCTAAGGTAAAATTTTGTGATTAAAAGGGCAGTAGTGTTATGTGCTGTTTTTGTTTTCTAGAAGGAAATAGGATTCAAATAAAACAAAACAAACAGTGAATTGGATACTCATGCCTTAAAGTCTTTTTAAAGGAAATATTATAAAGTATTAACTTCCAATCAATAATATAAACCACAAAGAGGAAAACAAGAGCAGATAAGGGTATGTATATGAAAAGAAAAATTCAAGTCTGAAAATGTTCAAAAACCAAAACAAAACTTGTAAGTAGCAGACTTAATAGGAGAACAAATGAAACCAGATTTAGAAGGGATATCAAATCGGGACCTGAAAGAAAAAAAAAATCTTGGATTCAGTTACCATGGTTGCTTAACTTAGTGTACAGAGGATAAGGGAAATACATTATACACTATTATTTAATCTCTGAACACAACTTTCATTATTTAAATAATATTGATGAAAATAACTTTAAAACTGTACAGTGTTCACAAATATAAAATATACATACCTGAAAATGCATCAGTGCTACCCTTAGATTTTTGTCCTGTCTGTATAATTGTTTGCATCAGAGGTTAAGGTTTGGACTTTCGATGTGCGTATCTTTAAAGAAGTCGAATAACAGACATTCATACGGAAACTATGAGCACTGGTTCATCAAGTCTTCTTTATACTTATCCCTTCCTTCGTGTCACTGGCTTTATCTGTACTAGATTTAAAGTGGCCACATTTTCTTTGCTCTTCCTTCCATCAAGAAGTCTACTTTCCTCGCCCTTCAATGTGGGCCAGCAAAGTGACTCGCTTTGACCAAAAGAATGTGCTGGAGCGCTGGTGAGCAGCTTCTTGTCTTGTTCTCTTTAAATACCGCGGTCTGTGAAGAGACCTGGGTGAGGCTCTTTCAGAAGGATGACAGGCCCTGCGGAGTGAGAGCCAGCACCACCAGACGTGTGAAGGACCCTGCTTAGGGCACTCCGCCCAGCCCCACGTAGTCAGGTGACGCAGCTGCCGCAGGGACCCCGGGCAAGGCCCGCAGATCGGCCCACCTGAGCCCAGCCCAAATTGCCAACACAAAAGAAGTTCATTCCCGCGCCCACACAATAGACTTCCCAGCGTCTGAGAACTATCCACCTTATCCCTTTTATTTTCTATTCTGCCTGAAACACTCCGCATGTCTCCGATGATCTTTGCTCCTCTGACATGGTTTCTGGACCTTGTATGTATTTGATCACTCTTCTCTGGACACGTTCAAGCTGGCCAAATTTCTCTTTAAATTGTGTGGCAGTCAGATTTGAAAACAGTGTTTCAAAGATGATTTGCGTCTTTTAACCCTTAGAGTCTTTCTGCTTTTCCCTGCAGCCCCTTCTCCCCTACAAGCCCTCCAGCACTCGCTTCCTCCTCTCTTTCCTGCCCGTGTGCTCAGCCCCTCCCCCAAGAGGCAGCAGTTTTCTCATCCCTCAGGGACCAAGTCAAACTTGCATCACTCCTTTGCATCACTTTCCCCGGCTCCTGACCCTTTCTCTCAGCGCTTTGCTGGGCCAGCTTTTTCCTCTGTGCGCTGCGCTGGCTGTGCCAGGTCTGACTCCTTTGGCTGGGCCATGAATTCCTTGAAAGCAGCTACTTTCTTTCTGTACCTTAACGCTTCACCTGGCATTTGGCACATGTTAAGTGCTCAATAAATGTTTAATGGGTTGGATAATTAACTAATATTCTTTCGGTATTAAAGTGTATTATCTACTGGCCCGCATTTCCCCGCAAAGCTACCAAGGGAGACTGTCAGATTCCTGTTTAAACAAACATAGTATGTCCACTGAATTTCCTGGTTTGCCACTGTTTAGTTCATTAAAAAAGAAAATGCATTTGGTTTGGAATTTCAGTGATCTATGCTGCCTTCTTTTTAAATGCTATCAAGCTTCTGAAGAATTTTGACAGATATTTAGTTACCATTTCTGGAATGTATATTCACTCGTTTTTGAAAATGGAAGCATTTTACTTTAGTTTTGTCTTTCATCTCCCTCTTAATTCACCGCAGTATCTCAAGGACTACTTGACATGCGCGCTCCGATGTGTTTATTACTGTGGCGTAGAAACAGTCTGGGTTGGTCAATTTGGCCTCATTGTTATTATAACACCATTTTACTTTTGTAAAGTGCCTTACTGGGTACAAAATGTTTTTTCATACTGGCCTCATTTCAGTCTGATTAGAAGCTCTGTTTAATAGGTAGGGATAATTATCTGTGTTTTACAGTTGAGAAAACAAAAGCTCCCAAGCCTGTGGGGGCACCTGAAGTGCTTACTCATCTGTGGCCCCAAGGCCTCATGTTTGTTCTGTTCTTCCTGGATTAAAGATCTTTCTGCTCCATGGAGAAGACCAACAGCAAAAAAGACATTGAATAGCTTTGCTTTCTCTTTGCATTTCCTGCCCTTGTCATTCTCCAACCTTTTTTCCTCCGATTTTTAAATATCTTCTTATTCTGAGCATGGCCATGTGACCATATTTTCTGTTTGTTGGCTGGGTTTGTTTGTCCTCAGTTTTTACAGATGCGGAAAGGAAGCTCAGACACGTCTCCAGTTCTTGCGGAGCATGACATCCACCTTCTGCCAAAAGATAGTACGAGCAAGGATTCAAGTGGAAACATCTTCTCTTTGAAGTTCTTTTGTGCAGAACTGAATAAGCGTATTCATTTTGTTTTGGTTTTGCTTTAAAGGGGAGCTCCATGGTGGTGTTTCTTTTTGCTGTGATATTTCCTACTTAGAGTGGTGGAGGGTAGGAAGGTAGGGGACAGTGGCTCTGTCGCTTTCCTTCTCCTGTTGTGCTTTTCTCCCATTTGGCTCGGGTCATCATTAAAACATAAATATGTTACCTGATAAAGTAGAGCACGTGCATCACTTCCCCACATTTCTCACTAGAATTAGTTTCTCAGATGGGTCCTTACAGAGAACAGAGCTCCAAGGAAATGGGCCAGCTCAGAGTTTAGGGGGCCGAGGGAAGGGCTGCAGCATGGGGGTCTGGCACCCATGGGCAGGTCTTGGGCAGGGGCACTGGTGCCTCGGAGAGGAATGGGCACCGGGATTGGTGCCCAGGAAGAAAGACAGTCACCAGGCCTGCGACTTAGCTTCAGTTTCTTCTTGAGTCAGTTCTTGCCGCTACAGAAGGCAGCGGCAGTGACTGTGCCTCTTAGTTTCAAGGACTGGCAACACACACTGCTGCCTCTCAGCCCTCTCCCATCTCCTGCTAAGGAGTGATGCCTTCTAGACATAATAAACATCTCTCTTTTGAAACTGCATTTTAACAACTCCAAACCTGGTGGTCTCAGAATTATAAACTGCTAAATGTTAGAGATGGAAGGAGATTATTTCTACTGAGACTATACATATATTTAAAACATCTCTCTCTCTCATTTCTCCACTTTCCAGACAATTGCAGCATGACTTTCCCAGGGCCCTGATTTTCAGCACGGATGATTTTTTCTTCAGGGAAGATGGTGCCTATGAGTTCAATCCTGACTTCCTGGAGGAAGCTCATGAATGGAACCAAAAAAGAGGTGACAAATTCCTTCCCAAACTCCTGGGAAACCCTGATGTGCACATAGATTGTAGCTGCTGCAGAATGAATAAATTTTATGGAAGGAGTTTAACCGAAAGTTCTGCCAATTTTTCCCCCAAAACAGAACACCAGAGCATAACCTCCTTAGATTCCAGAGAAAGAAAATTATTGATTGATAGTGGGCTCTGAAGTTGTGTGATGAGGAGATGAGGGCATCCTGTAATAAAAATGACGAATAGAGATTACGCTCACCTTCCCTCTGATTGTTGCATGTTGTTCACTGTTATGTAACATTGTGTTGCAGCAAGAAAAGCAATGAGGAATGGCATATCCCCCATTATTATTGATAATACCAACCTCCACGCCTGGGAAATGAAGCCCTATGCAGTCATGGTAGGAAGAAGTATCATTCTGAATTTTCAGTTATGGACATTTTGTGAGAAAGTTGAAGCATCTGTTCTTTCCTCTTTTTCTGATGTTCCATGATTTCATATTTGCTAACAGTGGTTCTCCCAGGGAGAAGGTAACGAGGTTTTATTTTAGTGTTTCTCTGCTGTTCAATGGCTGAAGTTTGCTGAGATGCTAATCTCACTTGAGGATACAATTTAAAAATAGTCCTTGGCAAATGGTCTTTGGTGTGAATCCTTGATAACTTTTCTGTCTTAATTACTTTCCTACGGCAAGGCATACAGAGAAGCACCCACCGAAATGTTCAGATCAATACTAATACTGAATTAGATGGCGCTCGTAGTGGAGCTACAGGTCACAACAGGACGGTTCTGCCTCTGGTGAGCCGGGAATTTCCACACTGTGTGCTGTTGCTCCCTGGGAGTTCCAGGGCAACAGAATATTTTAGTCTAAAGACAGATTTAGGGCCAGGTGTGGTGGCTCACGCCTGTAATCCCAGCAATTTGGGGGGCCGAGGTGGGCGGATCACTTGAGTCCAGGAGTTCGAGACCAGCCTGGCCACCATGGTGAAAACCCATCTCTACTAAAAATACAAAAATAGCCGGGGCATGGTGGCGGGCGCCTGTAATCCTAGCTACTTGGGAGGCTGAGGCAGGAGAATAGCTTGAACCTGGGAGGCGGAGGTTGCAGTGACCTGAGATCACACCACTGCTCTCCAGCCTGGGTGACAAGAGTGAAATTCCATCTCAAAAAAAGAAAATTAAATAAAAAATAAAAACAGATTTAGGATTAACACTGTAACCTTATTGAGATGGTAGAATGCAAATATAAATAAAAACAACTCAGCTCTCATTGTCAGAATAGCAAAGAACAGTACGATGCCTGTAACAGTGTGCACATTATCCTTTAATTGTGAAGTCTATTTGGTCTTTTTTCATACATATTCCATCTCTTGTGATAATGTTTTCATTCCCTATTGGGTCTAGAAAGGAGGAAGGATCCAGAACCATAAAAATGGGGCAGGAAGGCCGGGTGCGGTGGCTCATGCCTGTAATCCCAGCACTTTGGGAGGCTGAGGCGGGTGGATCACGAGGTCAGGAGATTGAGACCATCCTGACTAACACGGTGAAACCCCGTCTCTACTAAAAAAAAAAAAATACAAAAATTAGCCGGGCGTGGTGGCAGGCGCCTGTAGTCCCAGCTACTGGGGAGTCTGAGGCAGGAGAATGGCGTGAACCCGGGAGGTGGAGCTTGCAGTGAGCTGAGATCGTGCCACTGCACTCCAGCCTGGGTGAAAGAGCGAGACTCTGTCTCAAAAAAAAAAAAAAAAAAAAAAAAAAAAGGGGGCAGGAAGCAGATAGTGGAGTATCCTCCTCGCATCATGCAGAATCCCTACCTGGTTAATTGTGAAGTGAATAGGTCCAGACTGGGCTCACGATTTTAGGCTTCTTTTTACATCTGGGGCTAACTGGCATACTTACAGGTGTGCTTTTCTCTAATGATCTTCATCAGTTCCACTTATGCCCAGATTGTGGGGCTTTGGTGAATGTAAGGAAGAATGAGCCCCAAACTTGTGGTTACTTCAGTTCATGTCTAGTCTACTTGGGCGAGAAATGAACAGGCACGTGAAGAGTCAATTGAATGAAGGCCATCACTTAAAACCAAGACTTAAGGACTAACTGACAAGCAGCCTAAGGGAAGTCATTTTACTTTTTGTTTTGTTTAGAGAGAGAGTCTCGCTCTGTCTCCCAGGCTGGAGTGCAGTGGCACGATCTCAGCTCACTGCAGCCTCTGCTTCCTAGATTCAAGCAATTCTCGTGTGTCAGCCACCCCAGCAGCTGGGATTACAGGCGTGTACCACCACGCCTGGCTAGTATTTGTATTTTTAGTAGAGACGGGGATTTGCCGTGGTGGCCAGCCTGGTCTCAAACTCCTGAGCTGAAGTGATTCACCCGCCTCGGCCTCCCAAAGTGCTGGGATTACAGGTGTGAGCCACCGCGCCCGGCCTCATTTTACTTTTTATCTTCTGGATATGTATAATCTTTTTCAGCCATCCTCAGCTATTAATTCGACTTAGAAATGAGAGGTTTCCGGTTGTGTTATTTAAATCCTTCCCAGTTGAGAAGCGCCCATCTCAAGAATGAAAAGGAAACCTTTTTGCTTAGCTCTTTCCACTCTATGTTTTATAAACACAATAAATTATAGTGATAATAGAAAATTCAGTTTGAGATAAAGTAGTAGTCAATTTATGAATGCAAAGAATATTTGGATGTTTATAAGGAAATTATAATAGTTTTCTAAACTCAAGGAAATGGGGCCCAGAGCATTGACCCAAATTGTATTGCATAATGGGGAGAGCTACTTTTGGAAGGAAGATGATGTGAAGTATGTGACTATCACTTTTATTTCACCAGTTATGTTCCTATGGTACTCCCACTTTCTAAAGGAAGGCATGAGGAATAGGACAAGGCATCTGACAAGTAAATCTACAAAAATCCCATAAGTGACTTTGAGACGTCACTGAGTTCATTCATACCGGTGTTCAGGACGTTTTAAACTAGCTCAGTCATCTATTTTTAAAGATGTCCAAAACAAAGAACCTTTACAAATTTCCTACATACTAGATAAAATTGAGCAAAATTTATCATGGAGAATTATGAGAGTGGCTAAGTATGGGAATGAAACAACTGCATTTATTGTGATAAATTAAGGCATTGGATTACTGGTAAAACAAAAGGAATTCTGAAAAGATTTGTAGTAAATGTTAAATGGCAGCATAAACATTCCCAAACATACATACTATGTCTTCAATGTTTTATGTACTTTTGAAAAATCAGGCACTTGAAAATAACTATGAAGTTATATTCCGAGAACCTGACACTCGCTGGAAATTCAACGTTCAAGAGTTAGCAAGGTACTTCTTTGTTTTTCTAGTTCCTCATTATGTATCCTGCTATTTTCAGGTATTTCAGACCGAACAAAAGAATCTTTTCAGGCTGGAAATGGACATGGTAGTTTTCAGGCCAGAAATGGTAATTCTTGGAAATTGATAACTTTGGAATTATTAATGTGAAGACTTTAGTTTTGGGTCAGTTTTCTAATATAATGCTAAATGCTAAATCTTGGCTTGGACTTGGTCCTTTAAAAGGATGCATTTAACATTCTGCTAAAATGCTTCTTCATCAAGGAACATTTAAAAGCACTTTATCTGCATGGGACTGCACATGTCAATGGTGTTTTTGCATTTAGGCTAAAGATCTTTAGAGGTTGAGCAGTCTGCGATTCATTTATGATCTAGATGCTGCTTCTAATTTATAAAGCAATAAATGTTCAAATAATACTAACTTGTTGATTGAATGCATGGGTTCAGATATTCTCTGTCTGTATTATTTGATAATGTCATTGACTTAAAATAGCCAGTGAGGTAAGAATTTACTTCTTAGGAGTAAGGCTGGTTCCTCTTATGGTAATAGGCAGATAGTGTCTTCAAAGTGGATCTGTGGACTACTCCATCAGAATTGCCTCAGGTGGCTATTAAAATCCGAGTTCATGGACCCCATTCAGTAGTTGGAATCTCTGGTAATTATATTTCTAACTATATCCCCAGTTGATTCTTCTGCCCACTAGAATTTAAGATTGTTTTAATAAGTATCTCCTAGAAATATATCTCAGGGACTGATTAACATAAGTAGATAGATATATGCATGACATTAACAGGCAAATGTATGATTTTTTAAAAATCTCATGGTGTTCTTTTATGTCTTGAAGCACGTAATTGAGAGGACCAGAAACAAAGCATTTCTGAAGCTTTAGCTCCTTGCTAGCCTCAGGGTGGTTTGGGGGTGTGCAGGGCAGCATGAAAAACATGAGTGGAGGCTGAAAGAGAACTGCTGAACAAGATGTTTGTTATGCTTTTGCCAGAGCTAGGTCCTGAGAACAGGGACTGCAATATCTGCAATACTAGAGGACTTGTAAAATATAAGTAACTCATTGTGGTATCCTGCCTTAACTAAATGCATTTTTTTTCCATGTAGAAGAAACATTCATGGTGTCTCAAGAGAAAAAATCCACCGAATGAAAGAACGGTATGAACACGATGTTACTTTTCACAGTGTGCTTCATGCAGAAAAGCCAAGCAGAATGAACAGAAACCAGGACAGGAATAATGCATTGCCTTCCAACAATGCCAGATACTGGAATTCCTACACAGAGTTTCCAAACCGGAGGGCCCACGGTGGATTTACAAATGAGAGCTCCTATCACAGAAGGGGCGGTTGTCACCATGGATATTAGAGGCCTATCTTACAGCCAGGCAGAATTTTCCTAAGTCAGTTTCTACTTCAGTTTTTGTTATTTTTTGTTGCATTTTAGTCAGAGCTCCAATTCCAGTGTAAATAGCTGAACTCAAAAGTTTCTGAGCAAAGTCATTATATTCACTTTCTTCACCAAAATTTGTTAAAGTGCTTCTATATGCATGGTCTGATGCTGGGAATTCTGCAGATTTGAGTAAACAGTCTCTTTCTCTAGGGTAAGAATTTGAAACCAAAACTTGAGAACACACCCAAGAATATATTTACATAGGTTCATAGATGAAATAAAGTGTTTATATTATATATAAGCTTCAGTACCATTTGCTCTGAAGTGATCTATTTATTTTTTCAGGAAATTCATCTCCATCGGTAAAGTTGGGAAGGTGGAGAGAAGTGGTGGGGGGGCATTGCTACTTATCAAAGTGCCATTGCTACTTTGATAATCTATGTATCTAAAAATGTGAGATGTGCGACTCTTATGATACTGATTTTCCTTTAATGTTAATATGCCAGAAAGCATACATCTAAGGGAACATTGTCCTTCAAAGTAGACACTTTGGGAAGTTATTTCTTTATTTTAATGATGTATCATTGTTAAAAATGCTGTCAAATCCTTAATAGCTACAGGAGCTACTGAGGGAAATCAGTGTCATTATTTAAAGTCACGCCTTGTGTTTTTACTACTTTATTCAGCAGGATTAAACCTGAATAACTTTTGGCTGTTGTGCTAATAGTGTAAATAAAATAAGCCTGCCTTCATAAAACACTAACTTTTAAAAGGAATAAACGACTTCTAAAATTATGCCTATTAACATGTGTAATTAGTCGGCAGCTCAAATGTTTGGGAGTGCAAGAAATTAGGCACCCCAGGATATAGGTCATACAGGGATATATAAAAGCCATGCTCATTACAAAATGAGCAGTTGATGTTTTATGTGGCATTAAGACAATCAAGTCCTCACAACTCTGGAATGTCTTCTTATACTGATGCTGAATTTATGAATCCAAATTAATTTCCAACAGGTTGGAATCAGATTTAATGTGAGATCATGATAGACAAGACCACAGAGGACGTATGCTCTATTTCTTGTTGGCCAACAGCTTCTTTCTAATGTTCTGTGAAAAATTATTTTAAGTGTCTTATATAATGGTGCTTTTATGGTTATTAAAAATTGTAAATGGTATCACATTTATATGGATTTGTCATTGGATCTTTTTTTGGTTCAACAATAAAAAAATTTAATTACCTAAATGCCAAGAAACTCAACAATATACCAGTTTTTCTGTATCACAGGCTTATTTACCAGTCTTTTTTTTAATAAATAGGAATCGTAAAGGTAATGACAAAAGCAGCCTTATAATTTAGTTGCTTATATATTTGATCTGTGTACATGAGACTGTTTTAACGTTATCTGACACTACTGAAACCTGCTCGACATCTCCATGACTACCAACACCATGTGTAATGTTTTCTTCACTAACATTTTAAAAACTGGTATCTCCTTTGAGTAAGTTTGGCTGACAATAGTAAATCCCAATGAATCTAAGGTGTTATCAGCTTTGCTAACTTCTGTATCTCCAAGCACAACATAAAATAATCTCCTAATGATCTACTTAATAATGCTCCCATTTTCCAGGCCCAGGTAGTCCTGGGTATCTTGGTTGATAGGGTGGTGGCATAACCAGCTCAATATGGATGGCTTGACTCGTCTGGGCTGGTAGAGGGGAGAAATGTCAGAGAGCTCAAAGTGGAAATTACCATCCTTTGATTTCACATGAGCGGTTCAAAGGACCAGATTCAAGCCCTCCTGACTTGGCTGGCTCCCTGCTTTAGGGTTTTTGGCTCACTTGGGTTAAGTGAGTGACCACTATGGAGAAGTGGCTCTGGGTTACATAACTTTTCTAGAGCTCTAAAGAATAGTTTCCTGGCCTATTTAATGTCTCTTCTTTCCCTAGCTGACCCCTGAAATATTTGGTTTGTAAACCATAAAAATTGATTAAATGCCATCAACTTTATCCCCTGTAGAAGTGATCTGTTTTTCAACTCCCATGGCTTCTGATTTGTGTAACTCTTTGAACACCCAATATTGACTTGTATTGTGTTCGCTGTTTGCATCATTCATAGAACTGGCAAATGCTCTTTATGGGCAATAGGGTCTCATTAAATGATTGCTGAATAAATAACACAAATTTTTACCATTATCCCTTATGATGCAGTATGTTGACTTTGTAGTCATTAAATTGTCACTTTTGAGGGGATAATATGCACATATACTCAAGCTTCATATTTTGTTTCATGTAGCTTGGATGTTATTTATAATTTATAAAAAAGTGTGCGCATTACATATCTATCAACATAATGGGTGTTCTACATGAGAACAGACAATAGCAGTTGTACCAAGGATTCAAAAAAGAAAAGGTTAAATTCTTGTAATTTTTTCTGTTCTCCTGTTTGAAACCCAAGTTTTATTCCTTGTTCTAGAGTGGATCACTGCAAAATTAGGATGTGAAAACCAAACTGTTTTAGAAACAAAACAAGTCTCATTAATAAGACTTGCAGAATACTTAAGTTACAGGGAGTAGCAAAATAGACAATTTTGTTAATGCTTTTTACAGAACAGAAAAATCATGGCTCAGAGTTATGGAAGGAAACAAGTCAATTTTTTAAAAGATTTATTCTTGGCTTTAAACGTATTTATAATTAGATTTGAAAACATGATATTATACAGACATTTAAGGCATTAAAACATCTGATTTAAGACCTTCTCCATGCAATTAACTCCCAGTTAGAAATGTTTTATCCCTTTTCTCTATTAAACCTAAGAAAGTAACAAATATTGGCCGGGCACAGTGGCTCACGCCTATAATCCCAGCACTTTGGGAGGCTGAGGCAGATGGATCACCTGACATCAGGAGTTTGAGACCAGCTTGGCCAACATGGTAAAACCCAGTCTCTACTAAAAATGCAAAAATTAGCTGGGCATGGTGGTGCGTCCCTGTAATCCCAGCTACTAGGGAGGCTTGAGGTGGGAGAATTACGTGAACCCGGGAAGTGGAGGCTGCAGTGAGCCAGGATCATGCCACTGCACTCCAGCATGGGCGACAAAGCAAGACTCCATCTCCAAAAAAAAAAAAAAAGGACGTAACAAATGAGAGTATCATCTTAAATTGAATTAATCTTCTGCTTTTGTGGTAAGTTTAAAAGGGCATAGGCTCTGGGTCCTGTGATAGCGCTAAAAATAAAGCAGGCAGAATCAGTGCCAATTTGAAAGCAAGATATTTTCTCAAGTTTGAGTTTGGATGACCATTTTGTTGAAAAAAAAAATAAATTAACTATGAAATCTTCTGATTTAAAGTATTTGAATTTTTAGTTGAAGTAATTTAATTTCAGAGATCACACTGGAATAGTAAAAAGGAATTAGAGTTACACTGAGGGTTCTATTTTTCTTATAATCATGCTGACTTAAGGATGAAGAATTGCTCAAAAGGAAACACCACTCTTCATATTCATCCTGACTTTTGAACAGGATGGAACTATAGCAGAACCAACATATTTGCATTAAGGAGAACTATTTCATAGTGAGTTACCTCTAAAAAAAATCCCCTAAAATAGTAGCTAAACTAAAAGGAATTATCTGCATCAAAATAACTGTACTAAGAGACCTCATTCCATTTAATGACACAATCTAAAAGAAAATGGTATGTTTATTTCACTTGTAAAATAATACTTGTAGTGATCAAATCCAAAGATTTAAAAGATTTTCTTTTCCCCTTTTTTTTTTCTTTGTAAAGATGGGGGTCTCCCTATGTTGCCCAGGCTGGTCTTGAACTCCTGGCCTCAAGCACTCCTCCCACCTCAGCTTCTCAAAGTGTTGGGATTACAGGCATGAGCCACCGAGCTCAGCCAAAGATGTTTTTCTTGATTAGTTAATAAATTACATTTAGTTTTAAGATATGCAACTGAAGCAAAAGTATACCAATACGGAATCGGGCAAAACGATTTTTGCCCGATACACAAACGCTGAGGTAAATTTGAAACTAATTTCTTTTCTCATTGTGCAACATAAGTACTAATGTGTGGTTTGAAATTATATTCCAGTCTTATAAACTGGAAAGGTTAAGCGTCAATAATTTATTGTCGCCTTTGCAAATGCTTAGATATATTTTTTAGTTGTAATTGTGTCCTGCTTATTTTTCTCACATTCTTCCGTACTGGCCTGGGAACTCTCCTGTTCTTTGATCAGAGATGTAGTACAACGTCGTTTCAGTCTGAGATAATCTTCTGAACTGGTGGGAGCAGTCCTAGTGGATTCACTGACAGATATAAATTGTTTTTCTCCTGTTGAACCAGACAAAAGAGCTTGGGTATTTATCAATGCAAGTTCTTCGTCAGCTATTGAATTACTTTCCAAAAGAGAAATTTCATTGAATTTTTTAAATGGAGTCATCTGAGGAGAATTCAGTTCTTTTTTCTTTATGGGTGTTTCGTATTTGGTGCCACAACTCCTTGGTGGCTGAAATGCCTTCTGTGCAGCCGGAGAAACAAATGTACAAATGGGACTAACAGGTGGAGGTAAAGGCAGTCTACTCAAGAAATCCAAGGCTCTTCTCTTTTTGCAGTTCTTTTGGTCATCAATCTCTTTCTCCCCTTTACAAGACTTTGAAGTCATCTGGGCTGAGACAGGTGTGGAAACAGACTTCCTTTTGGCCATACAAAGTGATAAAGGACTTTGATAATATATCTCACAATTAGGAGAAGACATCTGATAAAAAAATGAAAACGTAGCCTATCATAATTATGTAGTAACATAAAAAACTAAATCAAAGTAACTTTTCATTGAAAATATTTAAGCACGCAAATATTACACACAGTCTCCCTCCCCTAACTCCTAATAGGTTAGGTGATTTCAGTTCACATTATTCCTATTCTAGATGAAAGTAATTTTACATAAGAACATATAAAATGACATGAAAAGGAAGGAAGATGAAGAATAATCACAGTAAAAGATAAAAAAGGAGGTAGGGGACGTCACTTATGCTTTAATCTTTTGTTTTTTATTATTAACAGATTAAACAAAGATAAATATTTTAAAGCCATCTTGAGAACACACACTATCTGGGTTCTAATACCTACTTTTCTAGCTTTGTGACCTTATTAGGCAATTGCTTAACCTCTCTCTATGCCACAGTCTCCTCATCTACAAAATCAGGATAATAGAGTCAAGTCCTCACTTAACATAATTGATAGGTTCTCGGAAACTGTGACTTTAAGTCAAACAATGTATAGCAGGTCTTTGAGCAATGTCATTTAAATCTTCAACATCATTTTGTTAGAACAGTGATGAGAAAAAAAAATGGTTTTGTTATACATCACTTCCCTTAAAATCAGTTTCCAAAAACCTATTGACAATGTTAAGTGAGGACTTAGGTTTTATCTCATAGGGTTGTTATGAGGATTAAATGAGTTAATATAGATACCCTTAGCAAGTATTAGCTATTTAAGAATCAGCCATTAGCCAATGTTAAAGACTTTAGCTTGATTTGCATCTACTGTGATTTAACCACTTAAATAGCTTAGAAACAGCTTACAAACAGCTTAGAAACAACCCTAATTGTATGGAACAGTGAAATAAATGACAAAAAACACTTTTCAATCACATGTAAATGAAAGCACCTGTTTGGAAAGTGTGCACCCAGAGTTTCATATCTTGCTTCAATAAATAAAATTTCTAAATAACTATACTTACAGGAGCCACATAACAACCACATTTTCTAATTAAGTTTAATTACATTTTACCATGTTTACTAGGTATACAACAGAATATACGATGGCCTCCATATATACTTCTTATAATATTCCTTGAGTTTACATTAACTTACCAGAAGCTTGTTTCCTGTACCAGGAATGATTTGAGCAGTGTACGGCCCTGAAGTACAGTCTTTAGTTGGGGTGGACCACTTGGGATCATTTGCATGCAGTATATGCATAAGCTTGTTTTCTGCTTCATTGCAAAGTATGTCAATATTCTAAGAAAATAAGTGGAAAAGCTGCTTTATAAATTGCAAACCCACATATTTATGTTTCCAAAAGTATTTCCTTTAAAAGCAGAAATGAAAAGTTTGGACCAAAAAAGAATGAAAAACCCTAAATGTGATACCAATTGTCAAACATGCCGATGCAAAATTACAAAACCAGTATCAGTGATTTAGGGGAATCTAGCTGATAGGGAGAGGGGAACAGAGAAAAAGTATGTGTATCTGAAGGAAAGAGATCTTCTCTGTCATCTAGTTTAATCAGCAAGCTGTCATATGATCTGGATTGAAGCTGGAAGATTGGGGCTCAAGTCCTAGCTCTATTTACTACTTAATAGCTGGGAATCATCTCACATCTATAAAGGTACTTCTTTGGTTAGAGAAAAGAAAGAATTGCCTCACCTACCTCACGTCTGTTCCAAGAATTAATTGAAATGATTTATAGGTTAAACTACATGAAACTGTTGCTTGAGAAATCACAACTGGTCAAATATCAGCAATTTCATATGGTTTAACCTAATTCATGACAGTATTTTGTAAAACTTTAAAATGCTGTGTAAATGACAGTTGTCTCTTCAGCAGGATTAGTAAACTGCCTTTGAAGACGTCTCAGAGAAAATGCGGGCTCGGTGGCTCATGCCTGTAAACCCAGTACTTGGGGAGGCCAAGGTGGGCAGATCACTTGAGGCCAAGAGTTCGAGACCAGACTGCCCAACATGGTGAAACCATGTCTCTACTAAAAATACAAAAATTAGCTGGGCGTGGTGGCACGCACCTGTAGTCCCAGCTACTTGGGAGGCTAAGGCACGAGAATCGCTTGAGCCCAGGAGGCAGACACTGCAGTGATCCGAGATTGTGCTATTGTACTCCAGCCTGGGGGTGACAAAGCAAGACTCTGTCTCTAAAAAAAAAAAAAAAAAAAAAAAAAAAAGAAAGAAAGAAAAAAAGAAAATGTGGGGTGTAAACAGTAGATATGCTGTATGGGAACTAAATAATGAATACAACTCCCACCCCTAATTTAGAAACTAGATATAGCAGAGTGTTATTCATTATGCATAGAGTCTCTAGGTAAAATGTCAACACAGCTTTCTTTATACAGCTACTCTAATGCTTTTAAAATATATTTTTATATAAATTCTGAATAACACACATTTCAAATATTAAACTACAGAATTAAGAGGCTTATTTTTTGTGTATTCTTCACTAGTTACCAACTCATGAAATCTCAAATTTTACTGGGAAGCAGCATTGCATAGCAGTTCCTAGTCTGGGTTCTGCATTCGATGGCCTAAGTATGAATCCTAGTTTTACTAACTTGGCATTTGACCTAAGGCAAGCCATTTAACCTGTTTCTCACTGATAAAATAGAAAAACAGTTCCCTACCTCATAAGGTTGTGGGAGAATTAAATGAGAAGCTTAGAACAAGGTCTGACACATAGTAAACACTCAATAAACACCAGCTAATATTATATAATGTATATATAGATTTAAGCAGAAAATGCATACATGATCTAGGGAAAATAATATCAGTGTCTCTTATCTGGGATTAAATCAAGTCAAAGAAATATAATCTGTATAAAACACTAGATATGGAGTTTAAATGTAAACCTGTAGTCTCTATATTATTAACTAATCACACTGCTGACTGCTGCAAACCACAGATAACTCATATTATTCTTGTAACCAATTTCCAGTTTGCTTACAAAGTCTGCATTTCTGAACATCCTTCTCACAATTTCTCCTAACTCATTTCCCTTCAAGTCATTCTTCTCTTTCTAGTTGCTGTCATTTCCCCATTCCCCCATCTCCTGAGGTTCATGGGCAATTAATATATGATTAAACTTTACCTCACATACTACCTCAACTATCCAATTTGTATAAAAGCTATTTCCTTGATACTGGACTGTCAAAATAGAAAAATACCAAAATGTGTGGTGATGCTGAAAAGTAACCTTACCTCAACAGTATTTTTCATTTTGTTGAATGTCTCTTGAAAGTGGCCCTCTTTTGGACTAGCAGAAAACACAGAAAAATCTCCAGCAAATAAAGTAAGAAGGCCTGATTTGGATTCTGGTCGCCACTGGAGGTTGCTTGCAGCAATTAACATATGAGGCTTAATAATGTCCTCATTAAGGTCTATCCAAAACTTTATTGCCAGTAAATTGTAACATTCGTCTGACAAATAGACGAAAGGGGCAAGTCCTAGAATGGAAAAAAAAGAAAAGAATGTTATTATAGATGTGTTAGATGAATTTTAAGATGCAAGAAAGGAAACTCTAATATGCCTATTTATTTTGGTATATGCTAATAATAAAAGCAAATCAAAATAGCTGAATTTGGCGAAAGCTCAGGTTTTCCAAAATGACCTGTTGCTTACAGTGCTAAAATTTCAATACCAATATGACAACACATTCTTTTACTGAGGTCATGTGGAAGCAGGTATACGCACACATTGCTAACAGGAGTACAGATTTGTGCAAGATTTCTGGAGATAAATTTGGCAATACCTAGCAAAGACACATATCCATTTACCTTTGCACCCAGTAATCCCATTTCTTGTACTCCTCTCTGAAGATAGACCTCTAATAATAGTAAAATACACATGAACATAAAGTTCATGAAAACACCTATGAACAAGGTTACTCACTGAAACATTATAATTATAAAATATTGGAAGCAACTTTTATTAGCTCATATACAGGATAGAGTTGGATAAACTGTGGTACATCCAAACAATGGTGTACCACGTAGCTGTAAAAAAAGAGTGAGGACGATTTCTATGAACTGATCTCCAGGACAGTGTTGAGTTAAAAAAGAAAAGCATAAAAGAAAGGCTAGAGTATGTTCCCCTTCTTATAAGGAAGAAGGGAATATAAGAAAATACACATGTATCTGTTCATTTGAGCAAAAGAAATCAGGAAGGATAAACTCAGAAACTAAAGGAACAGGGTGTGAGTGGGGGAAAAAGGAGGATTAGGATTGGGACTGCAAGGATAAGGAGGAAGTGACATGAAGTATATCTTTTTGTACAGGTCTGACTCCCTAGAACCACAGTGATACTTCACATACCCAATAAACCAACCAACAAACAAATCCAACTAGACATGAGGGAATCCAAAATGGAAGACAAACATTTCCCACCTCTGTCTGCTGAGAGGGCCTGGCAGTACTGATGCCTCCACAGTAAAGTAATGAGCCTATCTAGCAACCAGATCTTGGATCTAAACACCATTTTCTACTAAAAAAAAGAAGCCAAGAGAAATGGCTGATTCCAAGACTAGGGCAGGGAACATATAAGATGAACTTGGAACATCTTGTGATGTCAAAAAATAAGGAAGTGTTCAAAAAGTGAAGAAAGCTGGTTGAAAGAACACACGAGTCCATATGAGAAAGCTCCTAATGGTCAAAGCTAAAAAAAAAAAGTTAAACAATAAAATAATGAAGGTACCAAATTTTAACCTGCAGAATAAAATAAATGTTCTTGAGTCCATACTGATATAAATAACCAAATAAATACATTGGTGGAAAGGGCACAGCTTTTCCTTATAGAATTCCAATTAATGTAGAAGGAAAGAAAGGGAGAAAAATCATAATTAGGCAAATACCACAGTAATCATTGTTGCAAACAAAATCAACTGATGAATGCTAGTTTGATGTGAAATAGGATTCAGTCTCAAAGAATCTCCCTCAAGATATTTATTAACTACAAAGAAAAAGGAAGTTATTGTACAGAGGAGAAACCCAGCAGATTATCACCTTAATCAAGTGATTAAGATCAGTATCATTAACCCCTTGATATGATGTACTGAGAAAGACACATCATCACTTCAGTGGTAGTCTTGCCAGAAATGCATAACTTCATCCTAGTCATGAGAAAACATCAGACGAACTCAAATTGAGGGGAATGCTACAAAATAATTGATCAGTCTATTCAAAAACATAATGATCATTATCAGTCTATTCAAAAGCATAATGATCATGAAAAAGAAGACAGGAAGTATTAAAGACTGGTAGAAAATACAGGGGAAAAATGACTAAATGCAATTTGGGATCCCAGAACAAAAAAGGGGAAACAGGGTAAAATACCTTAAACTCAAACAATTTTTCAAATACATCTACAGTATGGGTAATAATTATACCACTATTAACTTTCTGATTCTAATTGTACTACGGTTATGCAAGATGTTAACATTAGGGGAAGCTAGGTGAGGAATATTTGGAAATTCCACGATTTTTGCAACTTGTTTAAAGGTCTGAAATTAGTTCAAAATAAAGAGTTATAATTTTTTTTTTTTTTTTTTGAGACGCAGTCTCACTCTGTGGCCTAGGCTAGGGTGCAGTGGTGCAATCTTGGGTCACCGCAGCCCCCGCCTCCCGGGTTCAAGCCATGTTGGCCAGGCTGGTCTTGAACTCCTGGCCTCAAGTGATCTGCCTGCTTTGGCCTCCCAAAGTGCTGGGATTACAGGCATGAGCCACTGTGCCTAGCCAAGAGTTATAAAATTCTAAAGTGAAAGATGGGTAGGTGCTATCCATTCTATCCTGGGATAAACCAGGATAGAACTGAGGCTAGGAAAGCTGGAGTTGGAAGAGGCACTAAGCATTTAATTCTACTCTTTATACTTTATTGTTTTTGTTACTCTGAGAATTATGTATCCGTTGTAAATAACAGGGAATGGAAATGTCATTCTCAGATAAGGATTTGTTTATTCTATTGCAAATGATGGTTCATCTTTTCTTTCTTTTCATTTCAAATTTATTTAATGGATCTTAATTTTAAACACTGCTTTTAAAGAAATTATAAGTTTCTCAAGCATGTTCCATTTTCTAATTTTGGAACTTGCCTCTAATTATATTCAAAACTTGATGATAGTACTGTCCTTCTCCCAAATGTCCTTTTTAAATATATCTTGTTTTCCCCAAATATAAAATACATGTTTATTGAAAAACATTTAGAATACAGAAAAATAAAAAGTAAACAGTGTAGTTTCCTCATTGCACTTTTACGTAAGTGGAGGTTTCCATGTCTGGATCAAATTCCATCAAAAGAAATGGAAGCCTTATTTCTTTAATTATCATACAACTGATAACAACTGGAAGAATTTTTAGTGTAACACTTTTAGAATCCTACACTAGGTAAATCTTCACAAGACAAAAGGAAAAGAAGAAACTTATTTTGCAGCTTTGTGGTCTGGCCTACTCTGAACTTGCATAGAATTCTTCAAAGCTTTTAATTCCTTTTAGAAAATGTCACTGAAACAATAAAGGACTTAGCAATTTATAAAACCACTGTCACCGATTCCACCTGGAGTGGATGCCATGGTGCGGGTGCAGATCCCCTTCAGGACCAAGGCATGTGATCCTCCAGCTTCTGGGGAGAGCTAGCTATTGACAACTCACCTCTGAGTTCCCTCCTGGACTTGCCCTCTGTCGAAAGGCATTGTCTTGCTTAAGGCTATGCCCCTCCCTGGAGGAGCCAGTATGCAAGGACTGGCTCTTGCCTCAGGCTAGCAAGACTCTGAAGGGCCACCCAGCTCCAGAAGTCCCTGTGGGACTAACTGAACCTTTCTTCTTCTTCTGCCCAATCCTGCTGCATTTGCTTCCTCACAAGTGCTGTTCCTAAGGGCATTTTCTAATCTCCTACATGAAATCTGTAAGTCTGTTTCCCAGGGAAACAGGCTTTCCCCAAAACAAATCTTTCCCAACCTAAGAAAGGTTCTCGTTTAATTAACTCATTATATATCACAGTGTTTCTGTAATACAGTAACAAAGCATTAGATTAAAAATACAGATGTCCCTGTTTTAAGCCCAACTCTCAAATGTTGAGTTTGCTTTTGTTTTGTCAGCATGAAGTATAAGAAAGAACCTAAGAGCTTTAGGGCCTGAAAGTATAAGTTCAAATCAATTTATAGCATTGTGACCCTGAGCAGGCTACTTAACCTCTCTGAGCTCCAGTTTCCCCATCTGTAAAGTGGGATGATAATAGCAAATGAACAGTGTGACTATGAGGACCGTATGAGATGCTGCATACCTGGAGTTTTCAACAACTGACCCCTGCTTCAACCCATTATGTCAGAAGTGGAAGTAGAAATCCAAACAGAGTCCCTGTCCTTGAAGAGATCATTGTATTACTGAGGCTAGTAGGTGGCTTATTCAGAAGTGTACAGGTAGGATCATGGACCATGTGACAAGTGCTGAAACAGCCAAACCAACAAAATGCTTCAAAAGCTGGAGGAAGGAGGATCTAACCCAGACTGTAAGCATCTGACTAGGGAGGTAATACTTGAGCTGAATAATGAATAGGACAAATTCATCAAGAGGGGGAGAACAAAAGAGCATCTATGCAAAACAAAGAAGATTTTTAAAGGTAGGAAGCATTAAATGTTATCATGCATCAGGAATATGAACTTGTACAGTTTGTTTTATTATTATGTTTTAAAGTAGTTTTTTTTTTAAATTTAGTTTTTATGTTTATAGAGACAGAATCTCACTGTTGCCCAGACTTGTCCCAAACTCCTAGCCTTGCGAGCCGCCTCAGCCTCCCAAAGTCCTGGGATTACAAGCATTAGCTACTGCGCCCAGCCTAAAATTAGAGTTTAGCTGACGTGTGTATGGTGGTGGTTTAAGGCAGGAAGTTGAATGGTTTTGGGGGTATACAAAAGAGTCTGGGTTTCATTTTCTAAGGGACAGGGGACCACTGAAGATTTTAAGCTGGGAGGCATCATGACTAGATCTGGGTGTTAAAGACTTCTGGTTTAAGGTGGCTCCTTGAAACTTTCTAATAGAACTTTAACACTTAAAAACAAATTAAATTTTAAAAAGGAAACATTCACCCAAAATCTACAAACGTGGAATATCATGATATAAAATTTAAAATCTGGTGATTAAGAAACAGAAGATTATGGATAGAACTAAGCACAGGAAGGCTCAGAGTCTAATCTCCTTCCCCAACTAAACTGGTAAAATGACATTTTTGAGAATTCTGTTATTCCTAAATCTGAAGAATCTTTACCTTTTTCTTCTTCTGAACAGAAATGAGAAAAAACTGCCAGGGACCAAACAGGTGACCAGGACTGACTGACATAAGGAAAGGTTCCAGGATGTTACAGGATACATTGTGACTAATTCCCAGTACCTGTGAATGCAGCCTTATCTGGAAACACAGTCGAGGACAACTTATGATGGGGTTATGTCACAATAAACCCGTTGTTAGTTGAAAATGCATTTAAATAGGGACACATCAATTGGAATGATGACAGATTTCTCATCTAAAACCAGAGGCCAGAGGGAAGTGGCACAATATTTTTCAAGTACTGAAAGAAAGAATTATCAACTACAAATTCTATATCCTGAAACAATTCTCAAGGAATAAAGGAGAAATAAAATATTCTGAGATGAGAGAAAACTAAAAGAATTTTCTCTAACTCAAAAATTGCCTAAAAGAAATTGTTTAAACAGAAAAGAGAAGATTAAAGGAAGACTCTCAGAGCATCAGGACTGAGGACAATAGGATGGAGGAAGAAACAATGGAAAGAGTTTGAGAAATGGACATATACGATAAGCTATCATTTCCTCATGCAGTTTATAAATTATGTTTGATGACTAAAACAAAAATAATAATACTATGATATCCAAGAAAATAGTATTTAAAAGTAGGGAAGAAAAAGGTCTGTATATGGTCACTATCCAATCCCTTTCCCTCCAAAATCAAAATGAAAGCAAAATTCTCACACTTCACTTAGAGTGGTAGAATATTGATACTAGTAGACTGCTGTAAGTCATACATGTATGTTGTAACACCTAGAGAAACAACTACAAAAATAATACAAAAATGCCTGAAAACACTAAAAATAAATCAAGATGGAATCCTAAAATATATTTAAGTAACCTTCAGGAAGGCAAGAAAAGAGAAATGGAGGAATGAAAAGCAGGAGAAACAAATAGAAAACAAATAATAAAATGACAAAGTTGAATGCTGGCATATCAATAATTACCTTCATTGTAAGTGATGTAAATATCCAATCAATGGACAGAGATTGAAAGAGTGGATAAAAATTTATAACCCGACTATTTGTTCCTTATAGGAAACTCACTTTAAATTCGACAAAGGTAGATTAAAAACAAAAGGATCGAAACAGATATACTCTGCAAACATTAATCAATTTGACTTAATTGGCTTTCCTTCACGTGGCAATAAATGTGACTTTCAATCTCAAAAAAAAAAAAAGAAAATGCATTTAATACATTTAACCTACTGAGCATAGAGGTTAGCCTAGCCTATCTTAAATGTGTTCAGAACACTTATATTAGCCTACAGTTGAGCAAAATCATCTAACGCAAGGCCTGTTTTTAAAAAAAAAAGTGTTGAATATCTCATGTAATTTATTGCATACTGTACTGGAAGTGAAAAAGAATAGTTGTAAGGTACTCATGTTTTGTTTTCAGACCATTATAAAGTTGAAAAATCCTAAGACACGCTGGGCATAGTGGCTCAAGCCTATAATCCCAGCACTTTGTGATGCTGAGGCAAGCAGAATGCCTGAGCTCAGGAGTTCAAGACCACCCTGGGCAACATGGTGAAACCCCAGCTCTATTAAAATACAAAAAATTAGCCGTGTGTGGTGGCACGTGCCTGTCGTCCCAGCTACTCGGGAGGCTAAGGCACAATAATTGCTTGAGCTGGGGAGGCAGAGGCTGCAGTGAGCTGAGATCACACCACTGCACTCCAGCCTGGGCAACAGAGTGAGACCCTAACTCAAAAAAAAAAAAAAAGATGAGGTCATATGTGTAGGGTCCAGCCCTATGCGGCTTAGCGGGTGTTCTCGTGTGCGGAGACAAGAGATTGTAAGAAATAAAGACACAAGACAAAGAGATAAAGAGAAAACAGCTGGACCCAGGGGACCACTACCATCAAGACGCGGGAGACCGGTAGCGGCCCGAACGGCTGGGCTTGCTGATATTTATTGCATACAAGACAAGGGGGCATGGTAAGGAGGGTGAATCTTCTAAGTGATTGAAAAGGTGAAGCAATTCACGTGATTACAGGATAGGGGGCCCTTTCCTTTTAGGTAGCCGAAACAGAGAGGGAAGGCAGCATACGTCAGCGTTTTCTTCTCTGCACTTATAAGAAAGATCAAAGACTTCAAGACTTTCACTATTCCTTCTACCGCTATCTACTACGAACTTCAAAGAGGAACCAAGAGTACGGGAGAAGCATAAAAGTGGACAAGGAGTGTGACCACTGAAGCACAGCACCACAGGGAGGGGATTTAGGCCTCCGGATGACTGCGGGCAGGCCTGCGTAATATCCAGGCTTCCACAAGAAGCTGGTGGAGCAGAGTGTTCCCTGACTCCTCCAAGGAAATGAGACTCCCTTTTGCGGTCTGCTAAGTAACGGGTGTCTTCCCAGACACTGCCGTTACCGCTTGACCAAGGAGCCCTCAAGTGGCCCTTATGCGGGCGTGACAGAAGGCTCACCTCTTGCCTTCTAGGTCACTTCTCACAATGTCCCTTCAGCACCTCACCCTATACCCGCCAGTTATTCCTAGGTTATATTAGTAATGCAGCAAAGAATAATACTAAAAGCTAATGATTAAGGTTTATAATGATTGCTAATTGTCCATGATCATCTCTATATCTAATTTGTATTATGACTATCCTTAATCTAACTATTTTCTTTATTATACTGAAATAGTTTGTGCCTTCAGTCTCTTGCCTCGGCACCTGGGTAATCCTCCACCCACACATATGGGCAGGCTCTAATATAATGACTGGTGTCCTAATATATGGGGAAATTTAGACACAGACATGTACATTGGGAGACCACCACCTTACAATGAAGCAAAGGTGGAGGTGAGACATCTACAAGCCAAAGAATGCCAAAAAATGCCAGCAAATCACCAGAAGCAAAGAGAGAGGCAATGAACAGATTCTCACAGCCTCAGAAGGAATTAACCCTGCCAACACTTTGATCTTGGATTTCCAGCCTCCAGAACTGTGAGAAAACAAATTTCTGTTGTTTAAGCCCCCAGTCTATGGTTCTTTGTTATAGCAAATAAATACACGGCGTTACTCACTGAACTGGGAAAAATGATCTAGAACCAGAGACATCTTCCAGGGATACATACTGTATCATGAATAGAAACTCAAATATCCAGCCCTCACACTGTAACTAAGGGGGGGAGAAATTAATCTTGGATAAATAGAGAGTCAAGAATTACACTGGGTCATGGCACCGACCTTCTCACTTTATTTTAGTGTAAGTCCAGTATTTTGTTTCCTACAAATCTACCTAACATTTTTTTTCTGCTTCATACAAATGGTTTTTCTTACATGCACACACACATTGATTCATTAATTATTGAATGCAACTAATATTTTATCAGATTTGAGTAACTGTTCAATAATTACATCATTACAGTGAATTACATAATATGTTTCTGAAAACAGCAAGCAGAAAAGATGATTATCATTTTTTCTTTATTTTGAGATGCAGTCTCGTTCTGTGGCCCAGGCTGGAGTGCAGTGGTGCGATCTCATTTCACTGCAACCTCCGCTTCCCAGGTTCAAGCAATTCTCCTGCCTCAGCCTCCTGAGTAGCTGGGATTACAGGTGTGTGCCACCACCCCTGGCTAATTTTTGTATTTTTAGTAGAGAAGCGGTTTCGCAACTTTGGCCAGACTGGTTTTGAACTCCTGACCTCAGGTGATCCACTCACCTCAGCCTTGATTAGCACGTTAACAGAAAATCAAATGAAATATGAAAGTGGTCAATATTTGAGTGCCTAAGGACCCTGTCCCACAGAGTTCTAAAACTCAGCAGCCAGTCTCAGGGCCCACTCACAGTACTCTAGAGCTTCATTCATGTTTCCTTTCAATTTGTACAGAAACCTAAGGAGGCTTAAGCTTTCCAGGTCTAACGCATTTCTCTGAAGTTTCCTTAAAACCAGTTTCTCCAAAGAATTGACACTTTTATCCCTTGAAAATTATGCCTTTTTCTATTTTTATTGCTTTTAAATAACGGATAATTGCACTGACATCAGATTTCTTTTGAAATTCCTGAAATCTACCATAGTGCAAATATATGTCTTGCATTATTTCTTCTACCACTGGTTTCATGCACAACACTTTTTGAAAAGTGTCTTCAGCTTTTCTGTGATTGCCTGCTTCTATATACTTTCCTGCCAGTTCTATATAGGCAACCTCAAATGTGGGCTTTTGTTCCACAGCAGATTGAAGATGAAATACAGGTGATCTTATCATTTTGTCTACCTTTTCTCTGTTCTGCCCTCTAGGCTGCTTGTTGGTAGCTTCCTTCATTTGGATCTTTTGTGTCCTGTCACAAAGCCCTATATGGTGATGCAGGAAGGCAGAAGTGGGAGTTGCCTGCAAGGAGGTTTTTAAGAGCTCAAGAGCTTCATCCACAAAGTCTTCTCTTCAGTAAGAAGAGAAGACATATCCAAAGACATATCCAAAGACAAAGGTCTGCATGGACGTATTGGCCAGAGCTCCTTCAAAGTACTTTTCTCCTTCAGCTTCCTGTCCTTCATCCCAAAGCTTCAGGGCAAGAAGAACCTTACTATATCTATCATCTACATTTAGCCTGACAGCCTGCCTTAGGGTAGGCAAAGAAAATGACTTGTGATCCCCCGTTGCTAATTTAAAGCCATCCAGGCGACAGGCGGTGATTTCATACCCAGTGTTGAGTTCAGGGTTTTCAGCAGCCACTGCCAGATCCTTTTCAAAGCAGGCCTTGGCCTGTTCATAATTCTTCCCTCCACATTCCAGCAAGGCCCGTTCTTCCTCACAGTCCATCTCTGGACATTCCATTCTGTGACAGAAAGGACTTGAAAACTTCTTGCAAATGTTCTCTACCTTGTCCAGGTAAGTCTGGGTTTCTGCCAGTCTGCCCATGTGGTAATACACCCAGGCAAAGTTGCCCCAGGTTACCAGGCTTCTCAAATCTGATTGGCATCTTCTTTCTGGATTAAGTCTTCAGCTTCTTTCAAGTTCTCCAGCACTTCCTCATTCTGGCCTTTCGGGTGTTTCACATAGGCTAGTAGGTTGTGTATTGTGTATTCCCACACTGTATTTAGTCTAGAAACCCAATCTGGTCCAAGACTCTGTTTTCCAAATCAGGCATTTCATCATCTTTAATTGATACCTCCCATGTAAAGTAACATCTTAACTGCTCCAGACTATCCTTGACCTGATGATCATCAGCATTTTTACTCATGGTTGCTGTGAATTAGGCAGCAGTTCTGCAGTGGTTTAGCCGGACTCCTCTGACATCTAGGCCTCCTCACTTTTTCTTCTCCCACACACCTTGCCTTGGGGCCAAGAGCTGATCTGTGTCAGTCCCCATAACAAGCACAGGCTCCCCCATAAATATATACACCTGCTATAAACACACAAAAATTAAAACATTTAAAAAAGGCAGCACAGGCTCTCAGTCATGCCAAATTCCCTGGATTCCGCTTCCAGGCTTTGGATGTGGCCTTTCTGGGCACCATCTCCTCCTACCTCTTCATCTCCTCGAATCCTTTCAATGGGGCCTCTGGAACTCAGTAAGATCTCCACTACCGTCACCCTTTCCTGCAGGTGCTCTCATTGCCATCTTGTTGCAACAAACCTGGTTCTTGTCTGCCTGTACAGTTGCCCCTGCAGACCTTGTGCTACTGGAGGCTGAGATGAGGCAGATGTCTTCCTCATGCTTCATTGCTGCTCCTCCCACTCTAAAAACACTCAGTTTTGAACCTCGTGTTATCAGACTGTCATTCATTACTGTTCCTTGCTACAGGCATCCATTGACCCTGGCTCACTCATTGCCTTTCATTCCTTGAAGATTTTAACTCATAACTCACTGTCATTCTGTCATCACGATGGTCATGTTTCCTGGAAATTTCAGTATCCTCACAGGCAATCCTTCCAATACTCTGTTGCTCCCAAGTTCCTTGTTTTCTTCCTAAATGATCATGTCCTCTATTTTCCACTGGTAACTCACTGCAATGGACATACCCAAGACTTTTATTTCCAATAACTCCATTTCCCCCAGAATCTCAATTTGAAGTACCTCCTTCTTCAACCACCTACCTTTGATCTGCCCAGTTCACTCCCTCTAAAACCCTAACTCAAACCCACCGTGACCTACAATCAGCTTTTCTTATCTCCTGTTCATTGATCCACGTCTTCTAATGTCTCTTCTTTGCTCTGCATTGTGTCCAAGGTCAATTATTTAAATCCTCCTTTTGCATATACCCCCAAATTCTTTGCCCTTCTTGCTTTGCATTACTTACCCAGCTAAACTACAGACCTGGTTAAATTCTACTTTCCAACTACTTCATGCCCACACCATCAGAGCTGAACACGGTTGAAAAAATATCACACAACAACAATATATTCATGAACATTAAACCTCCAGTGGGCCCTGGCAGTCATGATGTGTTTACTTAGTCCATTTACTCTACCACTTTCTTAGATAATGATTTCATGCCTTTCCTCTTCTCTCAAACCTTCAACACCCTTTTCTTTCTCTTTTTCTTTTTTGAGACGGAATCTCCCAGTCTGGAGTGCAGTGGTGTGATCTCAGCTCACTGCAAGCTCCACCTCCCAGGTTCACGCCATTCTCCTGCCTCTGCCTCCCGAGTAGCTGAGACTGCAGGCGCCCGCCACCACACCCGGCTAATTTTTTGTATTTTTAGTAGAGACGGGGTTTCACCGTGTTATCCAGGATTGTCTCCATCTCCTGACCTCGTGATCCACCCACCTTGGCCTCCCAAAGTGCTGGATTACAGGCGTTAGCCACCGCGCCTGGCCCCCTTTTCTTCATTCTGACTCTCAGCTGATGATTTTGTGCCCTGTTTCAGCGAGGAAATAGAGCAATCAAAAGAGGTCTGCCACAAGTTTCCTCTTGTATATCAACTCTTCCATTGGTATCTATACCTACGTACTTTACTTTTTTCCTGTGATTACAGATGAACAGTCTCTCCTGCTAGCTAAGGCCAATTTCAACAGAGCCTCTAGATACCATACCACACAGTATCTGAGAACAGTGCCCCACAGCTGTTCCTGTTTTGCTTCCATCTTGCATTTTACCTTCTTTATTGGATCTTTCTCATCAGCATACAGTATCTCATCAGTATGCTATTAGCACTTTCAACTGAAAAAGCAAATGTTCTCTTGATCCTGATTCCCCTTCTGGCTACTGATTCATTTCTCTTCTTCTCTTAAAGCAAAAATCCTTGAAATGCCTATATTCACTATCATTCCTCCTTTCCCTCCATTTCCTTTGCCCCACTTCAGTCCACTGAAAGTGCTCCTCCACGGTGTTAAAGCCAATGATCAATTCTTGGTCCTCACTTCATTATCAATTCTATGAAATAGCATTTGGCAGACTTAATCACTCTCACTACTCGACAATTCTTTTTTTCTCTTGGCTTTCAGCATACCTCACTCCAGTATTCCTCCAACCTCTCTGGCCATTCCTCTGTTTCTTTTACTGATTCCTATATTTACATTTATATTTCCCTGCTTCTAAGTATAAAAGGCTTCAATCAGGTCTTGGATCTCTTCCCGTCTCTATCTACTCCCATGCCCACAGTGACCTCATCCAGTCTCACGGCTTTAAATGTCCCCTGTATGACTGGCCGGGTGCAGTGGCTCATGCCTGTAATCCCAGCACTTTGGGAGGCCAAGGTGGGTGGATCACGAGGTCAGGAGATCGAGACCATTCTGGCTAACACGGTGAAACCCCGTCTCTACTAAAAATACAAAAAAATTTGTAGTAAAGACTCCCAAATTCATATCCAGCCATTCCTCTGAACAGATTCCTATGTAACCATCAAGTAGACATTTCTACTTAGATGCCTAATAAGCATCTAAAACTTAACTGTCTAAAACTGAGCTCCTGAACTTCCCCACATACTTGCTTTTCTTGCAGTCTTTCCTTCTAAGTGGCAATTCCATTTTTCCCAATGTTCAGACCATCCTGCACCGTCCCCCTACCTTCAAAATACAACAAGAATCTGACTGCTTCTCACCACTTCCATTGCTTTTGTTTGGTTCATCATCTTTTGCCTAAGTGCTTGAAAGAGCCTCCAAATGGCTTGTTTGTACTCTTGTGCCCCCTACAGCCTATTCTCAACACAGTGGCCTGAATGATTCTGTGAAAACCTGTCAGACAGTGTCCCTCTACCTGGAATTTTCCTGTGACTTCCTGTCATCACAGGAAGTTACAGTCCACACAAGGACCCCCACACGACCTGGCTCTTCACTGCCTCTGTCCCTGGATGTTACTTCTCACTCTCTGGTCTCTGCCAATGCTTCACGGCACACTAGGCATGATCCTGCTGTACTGCGGCCTTTGTAATTGCCTGGAAAGCTTTCCCCAGATGGCCACATGCCTCACCTCACTCCCTCAATTCCTTCAAGCTTCACTCAAATGTCAGCTTTCCAGGGAGGTCTCTCTCCTCACCTCTCAATCTAAAATTACATCCCTCTCTCTTCTCTGACATTACCCCCTTACCCACTTAATTTTTTTTCTGAGCACTAAAAAAACTATACACATGTATATTACTTATTTCTTTGTTTGTAATCTCCCTCCCCCAACCTCATAATGTAAGCTCTATGAGGGTAGGGATTCTTATCTGTTTTGTTAATCGCTATGTACCCAGCACTTAAAACACTGTCTAGCACATAACAGTCATTAAATAAATATTGATGAATTAAATGAACAAAAGTTATCCACCTTCTATAATAACAATAAAATGTGTGAAAAGAGTCATCCAAATATGACCAAGATGAAATAAAATGGCATGGGAACAATGTGGCTTACTAATATAATATAGTCAAAGAAAAACCTACGAAGCACTAAAACATAACTCACCAAACACAAACACATTTAAAAAATAAGGAGAAAACACAGCAAAAGAGAAAGAGCAAAACTCCTAAGAAAACAAAACTCAACAAATAGAAGAAAATTCTTGAATTCTTCACAACAGATTCATGCTATTGAACTTAGTAAGACCATATATTCAATAAAATAAAAGCTTGACTCTGGCCAGGCACGGTGGCTCACGCCTGTAATCCCAGCACTTTGGGAGGCCGAGGCTGGTAGATCACGAGGTCAGGAGATTTAGACTATCCTGGTTAACACGGTGAAACCCCGACTCTACTAAAAATACAAAAAATTGGCCAGGCTCGGTGGCGGGTATATGTAGTCCCAGCTACTCGGGAGGCTGAGGCAGGAGAATGGTGTGAACCTGGGAGGCAGAACTTGCAGTGGGCTGAGATAGCGCCACTGCACTCCAGCCTGGGCAACAGAGTGAGACTCCATCTCGGGGAAAAAAAAAAAAAAAAAAAAGCTTGACTCTGAGATAATAAATAGCCCTGTACAATGAAAAGTAGAGTGTATGGCTAAGGAAATAAATTGAGGACACCAATATAACATCACAATGGGATAAACACATACACCAGAAATAGTAAGAAAACATAAATTGCAGAAAATAAAATTAAGGACAATTTCTATAAAATTAAGTACACAGACTAGGATGTAACTTGTTACCCTTGAAATAATATAGAATTGAGAGAATTGCTTTTCATGAAAAATCAGAGGTTCAAAGAGGCTTACTTTCAGATCACTAGTTAGCTAGCAAATTTGCCAACTGGTAGCTCCAACTAATCATAAGAGATTTTAAAAGACAATGTTTTTTAAAAGAATCAATAAAAAAAATTAACTATATTGTGCATTACCTGTTTTTTTCACAACAGAAACGACAAATCCTATTAGGTCCACCTCAGAACAAGATGGCTGAAAGTCTGGATCTAAAAATTTGCTGAAGTGAAGGGGCTCCCGTGGCTGGTAAATCTGAAATAAAATTTCATCTGAAACCTACAGAAAACAAAACAAAAATTCAACATATGGAGATTCCATAAACTAACAAGCACTTATCAAAACTGAAAAATTACAATGAAAGGTTTGTACCGGTAGTTGTTGATACTGAGTTTTTTTTGTCGCTGCTAACTGTATGTTAGCTCTTTCAGATTTACTTTTAGATTTTGAAGTTGCAAGATGATAAATTCTGTATCTCTTTCCTTCTGTTAACAGAGAATATAAATCTGATGATGGACGCCAAATACTCAGTATAACTGTTTGGAGAAAGATGAGAAAGATGCAATGGAAGAAGTGATTATCATTTAAATGTTTGTTTCAAAATAAATACAGATCCTCTTTTATATTATCTCTTTGTGGGCATTAGTAGTGGATTTTGCTTCTCTGATATAAACTAACTTTATACTTTATCTGGATTTATAATCATTTTGTTAGTAAGGTCATTTTTTAAGTTAATAAAACTGATAAAAACAAAGCATTTACATACTTACCTGAATCTTTTTCTTTTTTTGAATAGCTTACAATACGCAACTTCCACACGGTTGTGACATCCCTTGATAAACCTTGTTCCTTTTGTTCAGCAGATTCCATGGCCTTCCTAATTTCCAACTGGATCTGAGCTTGTTTCTTATCATTCAACATTTGCCTGTGATTATTCAAGGCTCTTAACTGCTCTTCACTGAAATAACCCTGTGACCATTTAAGATATTGGAATAAAAAGCAATCAGAACAAAAAAGTTCCATCTATTGTAACTAGATGGCTTTAAACAGGACAAATACAACAAAATTAGAGCTCATCTTAAGGGTGTGGTTAATGTAATCAGTTTCTCACATAATATTCTCAGGTGCCTCAAACTATTAATAATTCTATTTCCCTACGGCAAAAATGATCCTCCAATTATAAATGTACTCTAATAATCATAATCATCACCAACTACATTACAGATGGCTAATATCTGAATGCTCATTATTTTGAGAAATAGATCTATGTGTAGTAAATGTACTAATTCATTTAATCTTCACAACAGTCCATGGGGTAGGTAATATCATTGTTTCTGTGTTGTAGGTAAAACTGAGGCACAAAGGGGACAACTAATTTGCACAAGCCACATAGGTAGTAGAGGTTGGCCCTAGAACCCTCATTCTTAGCCCCAGGAGTATAATTCCATTAACTTTGAAATAGTAGATACAATTTAAAACAGATATGTACTAAACATACTTTTATGTTTGCCTCTACACTTCTGTCCTACTCACTTTAGCAAATTTCTACTTGTACCTCTTGGGAATCTTACCCAGTGTAACAAAAATAAACAGATAAATCAATAAACAAATAAAATAGGAAATGGAATTTAGACATGTAACATACCAGACTGCTGCTACACTTTAGGATATTATACATCTTAATATCCTAATCTCTACCGGGAAGGGAGATTATCTATACTGAAAAGGGAGACTATCCAATCTCTGTATCTTAATATAGGTATAGAGATTCTAAATATGCAGGCAGTGTTTAAACAATTTTGTTGTAAAACCTGATTTCAAAAGGCCATCATTCAACATTGTTACTGAAAACAAATTCTAACAGGACTGTTTTAAAAATGGATGCCTACGTTCTCCTCAAAGAATTACAAAGATAACTTTAATAAAGTCAAATCTCATAGACTCATAGGCACTTAGAACCCTAAAGATAACCTACTCTTAGGTTTTCCCTTGATAGAAGGTGGAAATGAGGTCCTAAGAAATAAATACATCACTTGTCCAGTTACAGAGTGGCTGGGCAAGGCCCTACTCCAACTCTTATTCTGCCCCCTTATGTCCAGACAAAAAAATATTGTTAAATTTTGTGGATGAAATTAAAGCTATCTTCATGATGATTCATAGAATGCACAAGCTTCAACAAATAATATTATAAAAGATAGAGGCAAATAATTTTTCAAGAAAGAATCATAAAGCCTTCATTTTCAGACCTGCAGCAAGTATACTCACAGGTTTTAAAACCGGACTCACTTCTCACAGGGAGAACCCAAATTGTAACATTTCGGAACAGGAGGGAATTCTACTCAGTATAGCACTGCTTACATTACTGATGAAATATTGTTTATTTTGTAGTCCCACTATTTAAGAAATTTAAGGCTATATTCACAAGATTTACTAAGTCATCAAGTGAATGAAATTAATCAATTAAAAACAAGTAGTTTTGGTAAAATATTTGCTCCTTCCTCCCTAACAAACTAATCTTAGAATTTGAATTTTTTTTTAGCTATCTACCTGTCTAAAAATTTAGGAGGTAGTTTAATATATAAAATTATGTTCTAATAATAGTAACTAACATTTATATGGAACTTTTATATAGATTATTTATTTGATCCTAAAACAACATTTTACGCCCATTTAATAGCTTTTTTTTTTTTTTTTTGAGACGGAGTTTTGCTCTTGTTGCCTAGGCTGGAGTGCAATGGCATGACCTTGGCTCACTGCAACCTCTGCCTCCTGGATTCAAGCGATTCTCCTGCCTGAGCCTCCCGAACAGCTGGGATTACAGGCATGTGCACCACGCCTGGCTAATTTTGTATTTTTAATAGGGACGGGGTTTCACCACGTTGGCCAGGCTGGTCACGAACTCCCGACCTCAGGTGATCCTTCTGCCTCGGTCTCCCAAAGTGCTGGGATTATAGGCGTGAGCCACCGCGCCTGGCCAGCTATTTTATTGTCATTTACTTTGCTAATAAAATGAGAGTGCCACGATTCTAAAGCCTATGCTACTTCTAACAGTTTAGTGCTTCGGAAACATTTCTACCCAAGTACCCTTAGGGTAGAGGATTATCAAGTACACTCCAGGAAGGACTTGAGAAACAGCTAAGAACATGGAAACTAAGCCATTACTTTGAAGATATTTGTTTTATCTTAAAAATAAAAAAGTTTTTTTGCTTCAGAGTACAGGAGGGACAAAAATAAAACAAGTTTTGCCTGCATTTTAAACCAAATTTAATTAATATATAAAATTCTAGAACCCTCCCATCCTCTACTCGGTATATAGTTGAAAACATACCACCACACTCGTCTGGCACATCACTGAAAATCCCAGAAATGTACACATCCCTTTTGAGAAATGCAGCATTTCAACATACTCCTTCCTGTGATGGCCAGAGAGTCTAAAACAGCTTCTCACCTTGAATAATCATCAAGCCTCATTATATGTCCTCTTACTCTCTCACCTCAAGGTAAGCTGGGTCTGCTGCATTCTTCACTGCTTCATAAAGCTCTGCACCATCTTGCAAAGCACGAACTTGCTGTCTTGTTAGTGCACGTGATGGTAAATATGGTTTTGTTGTGTTTTCTAAGAAAACAAAAGGATTATTAATTCACTAAACTGTAAATTCAAAAGCAACTAAAACTAAAGAACCAAGCATAAAACACCCAAAGAAGGGAGATTTAAAGATAAGAAACTATATAACTGCTAAAAGTTTTTTCTTTTTTTTTTTTTTGAGACAGGGTCTCACTCTGTCACCCAATCTGGGAGTGCAGTGGTGTGATCTCGGCTCATTGCAACCTCTGTCTCCTGGGTTCAAGTGGTTCTCCTGCCTCAGCCTCCCGAGTAGCTGGGATTAGAGGCACATCCAACATGCCCGGTTAATTTTTGCATTTTTGGTAGAGACGGAGTTTCACCATATTGGCCAGGCTGGTCTCAAACTCCTGACCTCAAGTGATCCACCACCTTGGACTCCCAAACTGTTGGGATTACAGATGTGACCCATGACACCTGGCCTGCTATAAGTTTTCCAGGAAATTTTGAAACCAGTGTACTCATGTTTAAAAAAAAAAAAAGTCATACAGAGTTTAATTACAGTAATATGTGAGTTAACATAGGTATATTTGTTTTAATGTATTTCACTTCACTGAGTTTCATAGATACTGCATTTTTTTAAAAACACAAATTGAAGGTTTGTGGAAACTATGTTGAGCAAGCCTACTGGCGCCATTTTCGCAACAGTATGTGCTCACTTCATGTCTCTGTCACAGAGCTCTGACAGAGATGTATAGAGTGATTAATGTTATTTTCATGACTCCTAACACAATATCCATTTTGTGGCCCATGGATCATGGAGTCATTTCAACTTTCAAGTCTTATTATTTAAGAAACATGTCTTGCCGGGTACGGTGGCTTACACCTGTAATCCCAGCACTTTGGGAGGCCGAGGCGGGTGGATCACCTGAGGTCCGGAGTTCGTGACCAGCCTGACCAACATGGTGAAACCCCGTCTCTACTAAAAATACAAAATTAGCCGGGCGTGGTGGCACATGCCTGTAATCCTAGCTACTCCGGAGGCTGAGGCAGGAGAATTGCTTGAACCTGGGAGGCAGAGGTTGCTGTGAGCCAAGATCACGCCATTGCACTCCAGCCTGGGCAACAAGTGCGAAACTCCATCTCAAAAAAAAAAAAAAGAAACATGTCTTATAAAGAATAGCTGCCATAGTGATTTCTCTGATAGATATGGGTAAAGTGAATTGAAAACCTTCCAGAAAGGATTCACCATTCTAAATACCATTAAGAACACTAGTGTTTCATGGGAAGTCAAAATATCAACATTAACAAGTTTACCAGAAGTTGATTCCAACCCTCATGGATGACTTTGGGGGGTTCAAGACTTCAGTGGAGGAAGTAACTGCATATATGGTGAAAATAGCAAGAGAACTAGAATTAGAAGTAAAGCCTGAAGATGTGACTGAATTACTGCAATGTCACAATAAAACTTAAATGATAAGGAGCTTCATACGATTTGGCTCTGTGTCCTCACCCAAATCTCATCTTGAACGGTAATCCTCACGTGTCGAGGGACGGACCTGGTGGGAGGTAACTGGATCACGGGGGCAGTTTCTCCCATGCTGTTCCATGATAGTGAGGGAGTTCTCACAAGATCTGATGGCTTAAAAGTGAGAGTTCTCCCTGTACTCTCTTTCCTGCCACCTTGTGAAGAAGGTACTTGCTTCTCCTTCATCTTCCACTATGATTGTAAGTTTCCTGAGGCCTCCCCAGCCATGTGGAACTGTGAATCAATTAAACCTTTTTCCTTTACAAATTACCCAGTCTCAGGTATTTTTTATAGCAGTATGAGGATGAACTAATACAGATAATTGTTACCAGGAGTGGGGGACTGCTATACCGATAACCTGAAAATGTGGAAGTGACTTTGGAACTAGACAACAGGCAGAGATTGGAAGAGTTTGGAGGGCTCAGAAGAAGACAGGAAGATGTGGGAAAGTCTGGAACTCCCTAGAGACTTGTTGAATGGTTTTGACCAAAATTCTGACAGTGATGTGGCCAGTGAAGTCCAGCCTGAGGTGGTCTCAGATGGAGATGAGGATCTTATTGGGAACTGGAGCAAAGGTCACTCTTGCTATGCTTTAGAGCAAAGAGACTAGTGGCATTTTGCCCCTGCGCTAGAGATCCGTGGAATGTTGAACTTCAGAGAGATGATTTAGGGTATCCTGTGGAAGAAATTTCTAAGCAGCAGAGTGTTCAAGGTGTGATGTGGCTTTTTCTAGAAACACAGTCATACATGTTCACAAAGAGATGGTTTGAAATTGGAACCTATATTTAAAAGGGAAGCAGAGCATGCAAGTTTGGAAAATCTGCAGCCTAACCATGAAGTAGAAAAGAAAAATCCATTTCCCGGGAAAGAATTCAAGCCAGCTGCAGAAGTTTGCATAAGTAACAAGGAAACAAACGTTAATAGCCAAGGCAATGGAGACAGTGTCTCCAAGGCATGTCAGAGATCTCCACAGTAGACCCTTCTATCACAGGCCTTGAGGCCTAGGAGGGAAAAATGGTTTTGTGGGCTGGGCCCAAGGCCCCACTGCTCTGTGCAGCCATGGGACATGGCAACCTGTGTCCCACTTGCTCCAGCTCCAGCCATTGATAAAAAGGGCCAAGGTACAGATCAGGCCATTGCTTGAGAGGGTGCAAGCCCTAAGCCTTGGTGGCCTCCATGTGATGCTGGGCCTGTGGGTATGTAGAAGACAAGAGTTCAGCTGTGGGAGCCTCTGCCTAGATTTCAGAGGATGTATGGAAGTGCCAGGATGTCCACACACAAGTCTGCTGTGGGGGCAGAGCCCTCATAGAGAACCTCTGTTAGTGCAGTACAGGAGGGAAACCGGGAGGGAAACTGTGAGGGAAATACGGGGTTGGAGCCACCTCCCACAGTCCTCAGTGGGGAACTGCCTAGTGGAGCTGTGAGAAGAGGGCCATCATCCCCCACTGACAGCCTGCACTGTGCAGCTGTCACTCAATGGCAGCCCATGAAAGCAGCTGCAGGGGCTGTAGACTGAAGAGCCAAAGGGCAGAGCTGCCCAAGGCCGTGGGAGCCCACCCCTTATATCAGCATGCCCTGGATGTGAGACATGGAGTCAAAGGAGATTTTAGAGCTTTAATGACTGGCCTGGGTGCAGTGGCTCACTTGAGGCTAGGAGTTATTTTTATTATTTTTTTTTATTTATTTTTTTGAGACAGAGTCTTGCTTTGTTGCCCAGGCTAGAGTGCAGTGGTGTGATTTTGGCTTACTGCAATCTCTGCCTCCTGGATTCAAGCAATTCTCCTGCCTCAGCCTCTGGAATAGCTGGGATTACAGACGCGTGCCACCACGCCCAGCTAATTTTTGAATTTTTCATAGAAACAGGGTTTCACCATGTTGGCCAGGCTGGTCTTCAACTCCTGACCTTGTGATCTGCCCACTTCAGCCTCCCAAAGTGCTGGGATTACAGGAATGAGACACCCCACCCAGCGAGGCTAGGAGTTTTAAGACTAGCCTGGCCAACATGGTGAAACCCCATCTCTACTAAAAATACAAAAATTAGCTGGGCATGGTGGTGCACACCTGTAATCCCAGCTACTTGGGAGGCTGAGGCATGAGAATTGCTTGAAACAGGAGGCGGAGGTTGCAGTGAGCCAGTATCTCTCCACTGCACTCTAGCCTGGACAACAGAGCAAGACCCTGTCTCAAAAAAAAAAAAAAGATTCATTGATTGCCTGGCTAGGTTTCGGACTTGCATGGGGACTGTGGCCCCTTTGTTTTGGCCAATTTCTCCCACTTGAGATGGGAACATTTACCCAATGCCTGTACCCCCATTGTATCTTGGAAGTAAAGAATTTGCTTTTGATTTTACAGGCTCATAGGTGGAAGAGATTTGTCTTGTCTCAGATGAAGACTTTGGACTTGAACTTTTGAGTTAATGCTGGAATTAGTTAAGACTTTCGGAGACTGTTAGGAAGGCATGATTGGTTTTGAAATGTGAAAAGGACACGAGATTTGGGAGGGTCCAGGGCAGAATGATATGGTTTGGCTCTGTGTCCCTACCCAAATCTCATCTCAAATTGTAATCCCCATGTGTTGAGGGAGAGACCTGGTGGGAGGTGATTGGATCATGGGGGTGGTTTCCCCCATGCTATTCTTGTGCTAGTGAGGGAGTTCTTATGAGATCTGATGGCTTACAAGTGGCAGTTTCCCCTGCACTCTCTCTTCTGCCACCTTATGAAAAGGGTACTTGCTTTGCCTTTGCCTTCCGCCATGATTGTAAGTTTCCTGAGGCCTCCTCAGCCATGTGGAACTGTAAGTCAATTAAGCTTCTTTCCTTTAGAAATTACCCAGTCTCAGGTATTCTTTATAGCAGTGTGGGAACAGATTAATACAGAGCTGCTTCTTATGGATAAGCAAAGAAAGTAGTTTCTTGAGAGGGAATCTAGTCCTGGCGAAGGTGCTGTGAATATTGTTGAAATGACAACAAAGGATTTAGAATATTACATAATATTCTGATAAAGCAGAGTTTGATAGAATTGACTCCAATTATGAAAGCAGTTCTACCATGGATAAAATGCTATCAAACAGCATTGCATGCTACAGAGAAATCTTTCATGAAAGGAAAAGCCAATCAATGTTGCAAATGCCATTGTCTTATTTTAAGAAATTGCCACAACTGCCCCAACCTTCACCAACTACCACTCTGATCACTCAGCAGGCATCAACATTGAGGAAAGATCCTCCACCAGCAAAAATATTACAACTCACTGAAGGCTCAGATGATCATTGGCATTTTTTAGCAATAAAGTGTATTAAGGTATGTGCATTGTTTTTTTTAGATACAATGCTACTACACATTTAAGAGATTATGCTATAGTGTAAACATTACTTTTGTATGCTCTGGGAAACCAAAATATTCGTGTGATTTGCTCTACTGTAATATTTGCTTTATTGCGGTGGTCTAGAATCAAATCCACAGTATCTCTGAGGTATGCCTGTGAATGATTTCATATTCATTTATTTATGAAAATAGTATGATCTAGTGATAATTTTAAGCAAATAAAGCATAAGGAGCAATATTTCTGCAGATAACTATAGAACTGTAAGTTCTATAGGACATGTAACTTATAGTTCTATAGGACATGTAAATTACATGTCCTATAGAACATGTTACATCTATATAAATCATGAGGAAATGCAGAAAAACATAAAATCTTCAGCAACAACAAAAGGGAGATACGAAAAAATAAAATTTATGTCATATAAACATCAAAACACCATGATTTTTAATATTAAAATTGACACCACAATAGGTCCTAGTTCCAGGCATAATAACACATGAAAGCTAATAACTACCATGACAAAAATGCAAAAGCCACATCATATAGGTAAGAATTCAGGAAAAATATTACAAATGGCTTAGACCTGATATTTCTGTCCCTTGTTGCTATTCTTTGTCTAACACCAAAAAAGAATACCCTAGATACTAAAAAATAAAGTCAATTTACTACTCAAAATAAAAACAATTTACTCATTAAAAATGTTAAATTCAAAGTCTCTAAGACTTTGTTCTCATATTAGAAATAACAATGTGTACCATATAACTAATTTTACCTTCATGTTCTTCAAATTCCTCCTGAATTTTAGTGAATAAGGCTTCTAGTCTCTTTTGTTGGGCCTCCACATATTTTGCTGCTTCCTTTTCTTCCTCTCTTTCATTGCGAAATATGTATAATCCAGATGATGTCTTCTCCATCCACTGTAATAATGTGTTACACACACCAAAAAAGTCACATATATAACATTCAAGTTAATTGTATCAGGCCAGGCACAGTGGCTCACATCTGTAATCCCAGAACTTTGGGAGGCTGAGATTAGTGGATCACCTGAGGTCAGGAGTTCGAGATCAGCCTGACCAACATGATGAAACCCCTTCTCTACCAAAAATACAAAATTAGCCAGGTGTGGTGGCTCAGCTACTTGAGAGGCTGAGGCAGGAGAATCACTTGAACCCGGGAGGTGGAGGCTGCAGTGAACCAAGATCACGCCATTGCACTCCAGCCTGGGCAAGAGACCGAAACTCCATCTCAAACAAACAAACAAATTAATTGTATCAAAAGAAAGAAATATATGGTAAGTTTCAAGAATACATCATACCTGTATAGGGTATGCTCTTTGAATAATTACATCAACACAACCAACATTTCCTCCATCACTGAAAAGCGATGATAAGGGCAGAGGAAAAGGTCTAGGGTCAGGAAAGAATCCAAGTTTGGTATACCAGCGAGCAGGCCGAGTACTGTTAGCAGAAATCTGGACAAATTAATAAATATATTGATTTAGTAGTTAAATATGTATTCAATTCTATTACAGATATCATAAGAGTTTTCATTCTTCTAGAACTGCCTTAAAAATATTCACTTTAAAAAGTCTTAGGAAGATTAGTAAGACAGTAAATAAGTAAAAAACTGTATAAAAGTGAAAATATTTTCACAATATAGTACTTCTCAAACATATTGTTTATACTGCTACAAGTTCTTAATGCTATTTAAATGTTTCTATTAGAAAACAGATAAAAGGAACTTCGATTTAAACATAATAGTTTAAAATACACTTATTTACCCAAGCTTCCTCAAAAAATCTACATGGACAAAGGCAACTAGAGAGAATAGGAAATGAGGTATCACCAAAATTTTGGAAGCTAAGAATTTGTGGAACAAGTAAATGACAAAGCAGCCTGAGAATGATTATGGCTAATACAAAAAGCAAATATTCATCGAACACTTACTAAGGTACCTGGCATGGTGTTAAGCGCTTTATGTATATTAACAATTAATCTTTGGCCAGGCAAGGTGGCTCATGCCTGTAATCCCAACACTTTGGGAGGCCGAGGCAGGCGTATCACCTGAGGTCAGGAGTTCGAGACCACCCGGGCCAACATGGTGAAACCCCGTCTCTACTAAAAACCAAAAAAGTAGCCAGGTGAGGTGGTGGGCGCCTGTAATCCCAGCTACTCGGGAGGCTGAGGCAGGAGAACTGCTTGAACCTGGGAGGCAGAGGGTGCAGTGAGCCGAGATTGTGCCACTGCACTCCAGCCTGGGGGACAGAGCGTGCCTCCGTCTCCAAAAAACAAACAAACAAATTATCTTCACAATAATCTGAAGACTCATCTCCATTTTACAGACAACGATAAAACTAAAGTATATGAGAAACTACACAACTTGCCCAAGGTTATTCAGCCACCAAACTTGTTGTAAGGAGTTAACATGAAACAAAATAATTAAAGGAAAACACTCAGAAATTGGAGGCAACAGGTACCTGTGAAGGCAGGAGCATATGGTGGGGCTGAAAATAGGAAGAAATGGTTGACATTTTGTACAAACGTAGTTGAAACACCAGATTTTCTTTCCTATCCCAAGTAGCCAGGTGGCTGTCTCTCCCTCATACTAAAAAAGAACCCAGGACCCTATTCTTGCTGCAGCATTAAAAAAAAAAATGCAGGAGACTTTATTTTCTGGAGGGCTGAACCATACATATCGTGGACTCTGGAATACTGAGCAGACGCAGCCAGGGTGGGGGTGAGATGCTATTATTGAAAACAAAACTGGGCCGGGCGCTGTGGCTCACGCCTGTAATCCCAACACTTTGGGAGGCCGAGGCGGGTGGATCACAAGGTCAGGAGTTGGAGACCAGCCTGGCCAAGATGGTGAAACCCCGTCTCTACTAAAAATAAAAAATTAGCCAGGGGTGGTGGCAGGCGCCTGTAGTCCCAGCTACTCGGGAGGCTGAGGCAGGAGAATTCCTCGAACCTGGGAGGTGGAGGTTGCAGTGAGCCGAGATCGCACCACTGCACTCTAGCCTGGGCAACAGAGCAAGACTCCATCTAAAAAAAAAACAAAAAAAACCAAAAAAAAAACAAAAAAACAAAAAACAAACAACAAACAACAAACTGAAATAAAATTCTTACACTGACAATGAGTCTCCCTATTAATTTCCTTACTCTGCTCAGCTCTCAGAACAGTCACTGATATTTGAGGGTCTCCTAGTTAAAAACTAAATCACTACATTACTACCCTATGAGCTGACAAGCCTCACCTCACATACAACTTCTGGATCAGTGAATGATCACCATTGAGGAAAGTCTCTAACCAGAGAGACTCAAATAGACAAAGGTTTTCATTAAAAAAAAAAAATGCAGGGAGCAGAAAAAACGAAAATGAAAATAAAACATTAATCATTAGCTTTAGAAAGATGAGAAGATACTGTATCTATGAAACAAGAACTGAATGTCACAAAAAAAAGAAAAACATTTAGGGAATAATAAAGGTCTCTTGAAAATTATGTTGGTAGACACAAATTCACTTTAAGAACTAGAAGAAAAGGGCTGTAATCCTTTTCTGGATTTACAGGCTCAAGCCTGTAATCCCAGCACTTTGGGAGGCCAAGGCGGGCAGATCACGAGGTCAGGAGTTCAACACCAGCGTAGCCAACATAGTGAAGCCCTGTCTCTACTAAAAATACAAAAAAATTAGCCAGGTGTGGTGGTGGGTGCCTATAATCCCAGCTACTTAGGAGGCTGAGGCAGGAGAATCGCTTGAATCCAGGAGGCAGAGGTTGCAGTGAGCCAAGATCGTGCCACTGCACTCCAGCCTGGGCGACAGTGCGAGACTCCATCTCAAAAAAAAAAAAAAAAAAAAAAAAAAAAAAAAAAAAGAATTAGAAGAAAAGACAACCCTAATTTGAGGGTTGCGAAATGGTTATATTTTAATTCTATTATTCCTTATTTGTTGAAACATTTTTATAAACAGAAACTTCCCCTCATCTACTTGAGGGTCCCAAAATATAGATCATATAAGAGAAGAAAGATAAATGCTTGATTTTTTTCTCCTTTTACCTAGTTTTTGTTGTTTTTCTGAGGCTGGGTCTGGCTCTGGCTCTGTCACCCAGGCTGAAGTGCAGTAGCACGATCTCAACTCGCTGCAACCTCTGCCTCCTGGGCTCAGGTCATCCTCCCACCACGGCCTCTCAAGTAGCTGGGACTATAGGCACATGCCACCACACCTGGTTAATTTTTGTATTTTTTGTAGAGATGGGGTTTTGTCATGTTGCCCAGGCTGGTCTCATACTCCTGAGTATGCCCACCTCAGCCTCCCAAAGTACTGCAATTACACGCGTGAGACACTGTGCCTGGGCTTTAGTTTTTAAAACAATGAGAATAGAAGTTATCATTTGTTATGAATTTCAATTTTTTGCTGTTATTATCCTTTTTTTTTTCTTTGAGATGGAGTCTCGCTCTGTCACCCAGGCTAGAATGCAGTGGCACAATCTCGGCTCACTGCAACCTCCGCTTCCTGGGTTCAAGCAATTCTCCCTGCCTCAGCCTCCCAAATAGCTGGGATTACAGACACCCGCCCCCAGGCCTACCTAATTTTTGTATTTTTTAGTAGAGAAGGGGTTTCACCATGTTGGCCAGGCTGGTCTCAAACTCCTGACCCCAAGTGATCTGCCTGCCTCGGCCTCCCAAAATCTTGGGATTACAGGTGTGGGCCAGTGTGCCCAGCCTGTTATTATCCTTTCTGATGCTCAAATTATTTTATCTGTGATCAGTAAGAATCTATTCTATTACACTCCTAAGTCCTTTTGACATGACACTAGTAGTGTTTGATGCTTAGTTTTTTTCTGGTATGTCAAGACTTTCCAGATTCATATATTTCCTCCTCTGAATCTGGAATCAGCCATTTCTTCAAGACACCTTGCATCCTTTTAAGAGAAAACAGTACTTAGAAAACAGTCTGAGAGCTAGGGTTACTCACTACTACTGGATTATTCCTTTTTTTTTTTTTTTTGTTCTTTTTGATAGATGAAACCAATAAGCATATTTTTTTTTTTCTTTGAGACAGGGTCTCACTTTGTCGCCCAGGCTGGAGTGCAGTGGTGCGACCTTGGCTCACTGCAACCTCTACGTCCCAGGTTCAAGTGATTCTCCCACCTCAGCCTCCACAGTAGCTGGGACTACAGGAGCATGCCATCATGCCTGGCTAAGTTTTATATTTTTAGTAGAGACGGGGTTTCACCATGTTGGCCAGGCTGGTCTTGAACTCCTGACCTCAAGTGATCCATTCACCTTGGCCTCTCAAAGTGCTGGGATTATAGGTGTGAGCCACTGTGCCCAGCCAGCATGTATTTTTTAAAGATAATATAGATCTCGAGTTCATAATGATATTTCCAATACAAATGCAGAACCACAAGTTTTCTTTTACTTCAATCTCACATCTGCACCTTTCTCTGATAAAAAGATCCCTGTTCTCTATAATCATATAATTACTCACATACAACAAATATACGTAAAAGAGTATACACATACAACATACTTCACATCCACTATAACTTCAGAATAGGAATACCAACACTACCACCAGCAATATGATTACTAACAATAGCTTAAGATTTTGTTTCATTTTATAGTTGTTGTTGCTATTGTTGTTCTTGGGGTATATACCACTAGGGACATAAAACATTTTTTAAGTTACTTGAAATACTTTCTTGGTATGATTATGCTCTAATTGAAAACACACTTAAGTTCTTTGCTTTCATTTGACTTTCTAAATTTTTAGGAATTGCTTTTTTTGTATTTTGTTACAAAATTATGTAAAAATATTTAAAGACAAATCTATAAAACATGGCATATTAATAAAGAATTAGAAGAAAAAAATTAAAAACCATCCCAGAAGTTAGAATAAAAAAAGACAATCAAATAGAAAGTAGGAGAAAAGACAAGAAAATTATAGGAACAATATAGGAGGCCTAGTGTCCAAACATCAGGAGTTCCAGAAAAAACTAGAGAAAAAAATGGAGGGAAATTATAAAAGAACCACTTAAAGAAAATTTTCCAGAACTCAATGAAGGACTATGTGTTTCTAGAGTAAGTGCCAGTAAGCATCTGGGCCAAGAATTAAAGGAAAAAAAAAAGTTAAAAAAAAAAAAAAAAAAAAAGACACCAAAGTACATTACTGTGAAATTTAAATAACAACAAAACAGGCTGGGCGTGGTGGCTCATGCCCGTAATCCCAACACTTTGGGAGGCTGAGGCAGGTGGATCACCTGAGGTCAGGATGAGACCAGCCTGGCCAATATGGTGAAACCCTGTCTCTACTAAAAATACAAAATTTGGCTGGGTGTGGTGGCAGGTACCTGTAATCCCAGCTACTCGGGAGGCTGAGACAGGAGAATCACTTGAACCCGAGAGGCGGAGGTTGCAGTGAGCAGAGGTCACGCCATTGCACTCCAGCCTGGGCAACAAGAGCGAGACTTTGTCTCAAAAATAAATAAATAAATAAAAATAAAGACAAAACAATCTTAACTTCTTAAAACCAGAGCACATAATGAATGACTGAAGATAAAAACAGCACCGCAGGCCAGGTACAGTGGTTCATGTCTGTAATCCCAGCACTCTCGGAGGCTAAAGCGTGAGGACCGTTTGAGCCCAGAAGTTCAAGACCAGCCTAGGCAACACAGGGAGACCTCATCTGTACAAAATGAAACACTCCAGCCTATGTAACACAGTGAGACGTTGTCTCAAAAAAAAAAAAAAAAAAAAAAAAAAAAGAATGCACTGCAATTAGCAGGAGCTATGCTAAAGAAGATAAATGAAATGTCTTAAAAATTCTGAAGAAATTATTTCAACCTAGAATTCTATATCCAGCCAACCTTACCCTAAGATATCAAAAAGCTTGCATGCTCCTTTTCCCAACAAGCCTCTGAGAGTTGTGGGCCCTTAAAATTGGGGGAAAAACTCTAGAAAGATGACATGGAAACCAGGAAATGGGGTTTCTAACACAGAAAAGAGGTAAGAATAATTTACAGAATGAGAGCTGTATGGCACACATAGAAAATGAGCACTTCAGAATGGAGTAAGCATATGAAGAGGTCCAGGGGTTCTCCAAGAAACAGAAATGGAACCAATGGAGAAATTTTAACATATTGGGCAGGATTTTTATAGCTCCTGTGTAAGGACACAGAAAATTAAGAGAAATGAAAAGGACAGTTAATAACTTCATGGAAAGCAGTAAGCTGTAAAGAAAGGAAATGTGATCACAGTCGATTAGGTATTAAATTGCAAAAAATATTTTTCAGTCATTATAATGTATACACTGAATACAGATTTCACTAAAAATCATGCTGTATTAGTAGAGGGAAGATGGGGAAGAGGGTAGAGAAATATGTAGCAGTGTTGGAGTAAGACAATGAAATCCTCATTTTCCATAGCAGGAAGTTAACGGTTGCTGTCTAAACTGAAGAGAGAAAGAAGACAGCAGTACAAGCTAAAAAATAGTCAAACAGACTGGAAACGATTGCCTCTTGGGACCATGAATGAGGATGGGGAGGGTTGTGCTAGCAACTGCTTTTTTTTGGTTATATGTCTTATATTACTTGAGTTTCCAAATTATGCACATGCATTGATTTGATTTAAAAAAAAACAAAAACAAGAAAATGAAAGCCACTGCAAGCTTGATGTTCTAAGCAACATAAAACAAAAGACTGTTTCAGCTTGATGGAATGCTTTCAGTAAAAAGCAATCAATCCAACATGGAACTAATGCCAAACAAAATATATCTTTACCTTAAAAATGTTTAATTTATAAAACATTCTCTTTAGAGTGATCCAGAATACCACAGAAGTAAATTCTCTGCAAGGTTACCTCTTAAGTGAATCTGAATGTACAATATTATCGGTAATTTCAGATAGCAATACTGCAGACCATTCAATATGACAAAGAGTCCTGTTATGTAGTTTAAAATCTACATAGAGATAAAAAGTGTATCTATTACATATTTGAAAAGTACTAAAATGTAATTCTCTAATCCAGAGTGGAATAGGGATCTGATCAAAGCAAAGCTATGAGAACAAGAGGGCAGCAAGCTACAGATACCAAAATCAAATGGTGCAAATTTATTTTGCTTTTTAATTGGAAATGCATTATTTAAGCTCAAGAAAGATCTCTGGACCTCCCAAAAACTGCACAAAAACTTTAACTGTCTGAAGAATATGCTTTTTATACTAAAATTATCAGTACATCTAAGAAATTGAGCATCCTTAGTAAGCATTTAAAATTTAAATGTAAAACTTCTAGAATTTAACTGAATCAATGACTGATTTTTACCAAGAGTGCAAATTAATTTACCTTTAACATAAGAGATTCTGGGGCTTCAAGAGGTGTACAGGCATCAGGAGAGCCCACCAGTTCTGCTCCATGAAGAATAATCTTCTGACCAACTGTCAGTCTGCCATTCTTTAAGACAGCTAAGAGGGGAGGATCTAACTGGGCCTTAACAGCATACCACCCATCTGTAAGTTCAATAATGGCCACTTTTTGGGTATCTGCACTACTAGTTTTATTGCTAGAAGTTTCAGATATATTTGCGCTCAATGAAATTATGTCAGAAACACAGAGAACAAGTGTTTTTGCAGCTGTGTCATCCCTTTCCATTATCTTTTTTATAGCCGATCTTCTGCTTCTATCAATTTCCGTATCATATCTAAAAGTGAAAACAAAAATGCATATTTTAGGAAGTGTGACTCTAGAATTCCACTGTTTAAACAAGTCACTGAATAACTGAGAATAAAAACTGAATTTATCTAAGAAATACTGAGAATTAAAAATTTTGTAGCTAGGAATATATTGTTTCATATTGTTAAAATATCAATTATTTTTAAAAAGCAAAAAATAAAATGCAAAAATGCTTTATTAGCAATCCCCAAATAGTGGATCAAATTAGTAACTCATATTCTTCTCATACATCAAGAGGTTAAGGAGGGGGTGGGGAAAGAGGGAAGCAAGCAATGCATGAATGTGTGATCTCTCTTAAATGGGGGCTAGGGATGACAGGAGAACAGCAGTGTGGGATGGCAACTGTCACTGACAACTGGCTTGTGCAACATTTTGACATGGAAGTCACAGACTACACAGAAACCTTAACCATACTGCCGTATATGATTACGTAATGTAATGCTTTAAACTTGCCTGTATTTTAGTTGAAGAAGCACCCTTTCTGGGCTTAGGCATCTATTAGCAAATTCCTTAGGAAAGGCACATTCCATAGCTGCCAGTTTCCATATGATCCATCTATAGTGATTATAAACCCAAATTCTAGAAATAAGCTTTGGATCCACACCTGGAGTGTCACACAGAGCCCTGAACAAATAAAAGTAGAATATTATCATAAAAACCACATAGGATGATACTGAATTCAACAACTACAACTATTCTCTGTACAAAAACTACATTGTTCAAGATCATTAAGTTTTTATGAGTTCATATGATCTACAATATAATTTCAGAAAATTATTTGACATGTATCAAAGTATCATACTGATAAAAACTTCATTGCTGAGCATGGTGGCTCATGCCTATACTCCCAGCATTTTGGGAAGCTGAGGCAGGAGGATTGCTTGAGGCCAGAAGTTTGAGACCAGCCTAGGCAACATAGTGAGACCCCCACATCTCTACAAAAAATAATAAAAAAAATCAGCCAAGAGTGGTAGCTCACATCTGTGGTCCCAGCTACTTAGGAGGCTGTGGTGGGAGGATTGCTTGAGCCCAGGAGGTTGAGGCTGCAGTGAGCCATGATAGTGCCACTGCACTCCAGCCTGGACAAGAGTGAGACCCTATCTCAAAATATAAAAACAAAACAAAAAATTCCACTTAACAGTCAACAGAATGATTTCAACTCATATTTGTTCCTGAAAAATGAGATCCTTGATTTTAAATAATTATATTTTAGATTATTTTTCTTATGAAAGAGATTTTTTTAGAAATCACGCCTGAGAACTGCCTTTCTTAGTCTTGGTGCTCTCTTTGATCCTGTCCCCTCTGTTCTCAAATCTCTAACTCCTCCTTTCTCATTCATACTCTTAGCACTAAGACAACAGAAGTAATCAAAAGAGAACTTCCATAAGCTCCCACCCTCATATCTATCCACTCACAGCATCTGTATCCCTACACTTTGCCCTCTTCCAAGCATCTGCATCCTTACACTTTGCCCTCTTCTACCATTTGTGCACTAGCTCCTACCCCTTGCTGCCTACAAGGCCAACGATCAGGAAATGCCTCCTCTCTCTCCTGCATCATCAATTTTTTCCCTCTCTACTGAACAATGTGAATCAGCATAAGAAACGGTTTTTTTCTACCTTAAAACAAGCCAAAACTAAGACTCTTTGATCCTACTTCCTCTCCAAGCAATGTCCCTCTCTCTGCTTCTTTTTGGCAACTCCCAAAAGAATCGACTGTATTCTGTGTCTCCAATTCCTCCTCTTCAACTGCTCTTTAATTGCATTCTAATCAGGATATCACTCCACCAATCTATTGAGCTATTTTTAATAACATTAGTAATGTCTTCTGCAGTGCTAAATCCAGCGGCCAATCTCAGTCCTCATCTTACTTTACCTATTAGAAGCAGCTTCCACAGCTGGTCATTTTCTATTCCCTAAAATTCCATCTTCATTTGGAATGCAACACCCCATTCTGCATTTATTCCTAACTTTCTGGCTGCTCTTTCTCAGTCTCTTTTTCATGGCCTTCAAGTCCATCTATATGCCGATGACTTGTGAATTGATTTATTTGGCCTATACTTTACCTGTGTATAGACTTCCATATCCAACTGCCTACCTAACATCTCCACTTGGCTGTCTACTATTACATCTCAAGCTTCAAATGTCCAAAACCAAACTCTCCATTTCCCTCCATCTTTGGTCTTCTCAATTCTAGTAGTTACATACAACTCTATCCTTCCAGCTGCTAAGGCCAAAATCTTCACAGCCATTCTTATTCTCCTCCTCTCTCACGTTTTATATCTAATCCTTGAGCAACTCCTAATAGTGCCACTTTCAAAATACCCCAGAGTCCAACTGCTTTCCACCAATTCCACTGCCACTTCCCTGGTCCAACCAACCACCTCTCACATGTATTTCTGCAATAGCTTAAGTGGTCTCTGTGTGTCCATCTTTGCCCCTCTCCTCAACAAACAGCCAGAATTATTTTTTCAAAAATAAGTCAGATCAGGCTGGACACAGTGGCTCACACCTGTAATTCCAGCACTTTGGGAGGCCGAGGAGGGTGGATCCTGAGGTCAGGAGTTTGAGACCAACCTGGCCAACATGGTGAAACCCTGTCTCTACTAAAAACACAAAAATCAGCCGGGCACGGTGGTGCGCGCCTGTAGTCCCAGCTACACGGGAGGCTGAGGCAGGAGAATCGCTTGAACCTGGGAGGTGGAGGCTGCAGTGAGCCGAGATTGCACCACTGCACTCCAGCCTGAGCAATAGAGTGAGACTGTCTCAAAAAAAAGTCAGATCATGTTACCCTTTAAGCCTTCCAGTGGTTTATTCAGTAAAAATCGTGCAGAGTAAAAGGTAAGGGTCTTACGAAGGTCTATGAGGTCTTCCTTTTGTATCTCATCTACTACTACTCTTCTCCTGCCCACTCTACTCCAGTTGCACTAACTTCCTGTTCCTCAAATACTTCAAGCATGCTCCCCTCTTAGAGGCTGGGGGTCTTTTGCTAGGATAGTCCTATGCTCCCTCCTTTTACTTTAGGTCATTTATCAAATGTAGCTGACTCAGTGAAGCCTTCCTAACTACTTATTAGATTAAAAATCGCATCTCCTTGCCCAACTTTCTCTGCCACCTTTCCAACTTTATCTATCTTTATAGTATGTATCTTCTTCTAACATACTACACAATTCACTTATATTTCAATATTTTCTATGCCTTCCACATAGAATGTATGACTCATCAGGGCAGGGACTTTTTTGTTTTCCTTTATTATCCCTAGTACCCAGAATAGTACCTGGCACATAGCAAGTGCTCAATAGAGATTTGCTGAATTATCAGAAAAAACTAACGAAAGCCTCCACATTTCCACTTAGACTACAGGGCAATCATTCTTAACTTCTACCTTATGCAGTCTATTTAGTACGAGAAAATAATACAACCGTTTAACCAACTTTTCTTACTGGAATCTATAAGCAGATGTTTGTTATATAAGATACGCAAGATGTAAACAATATTTCTGTTTTTAAAAGTTAAAACAAAATTCAGGAAAAAAAGTTTTATCACTTTTCCAAAGCTATAAATTTTGGAAAGATGTACAGAAATTTAAAGATAAGGATGCTGAGGAAATAAATCCCATCTTTTGCCACTGGCATAATGTAATATATCTCTGATAACAAAAAGCTTTAAATTATGTTTCTGTAAAAACTACAATAAAAAGAGGTTATATAGTTTCTAAATTGTTGCTGTTTTAGAGCTCTGAGATTTTCTAGTTATTTGGCATTATTGATATTCAAATATTTCTGTTTAACTTTTAGTGTTTATTTATATTTTGTATCCATTAAAATATATAATGAAAGAAAACATGAAGTAAGTGTGTGTCGGGGGAGGAATCTACCATAAGGCCATTTCAAATTTAACTTTCTTTTTTTTTTTTTTTTTTTTTCTTGAGATGGAGTCTCACTGTTGCCCAGGCTGCAGTGCAGTGGTGCAATTTTGGCTCACTGCAACCTCCGCCTCCCGGGTTCAAACGATTTTCCTGCCTCGGCCTCCCAAGTAAGTGGGATTGCAGGCGCGTGCCACCACGTCCAGCTAATTTTTGTATTTTTAGTAGAGATGGGGTTTTGCCATGTTGGCCAGGCTGGTTTCAAATTCCTGACCTCAGGTGATCTGCCCACCTCAACCTCCCAAAGTGCTGGGATTATAGGTGTGAGCCACCGCACCTGGCCTTTTTTGAAATAGGGTCTTGCTCTGTTGCCCAGGCTGGAGTGCAGTGGCGTGATCTTGGCTCACTGCAACCTCCACCTACTGGGCTCAAATGATTCTCCTGCCTCAGCCTCCCGAGTAGCTGGGATTACGGGCATGCATCACCATACCTGGCTAATTTTTGTATTTTTAGTAGAGCTGGGGTTTCACCATGTTGGCCAGGCTGGTCTCGAACTCCTGACCCTCAGGTAATTGGCCCATCTTGGCCTTCCGAAGTGTTGGGACTACAGGCGTGAGCCACCGCGCCTGGCTGGGCTAATTTTTTAATTTGTTTGTAGAGATGGGTTTTCACCATGTTGCCCAGGCTGGTCTCAAACTCCTGTGCTCAAGAGATCTGCCCACCTCAGCCTCCCAAAGTGCTGGGATTACAGGCATGAGCCACCATGTCTGGCCCTCAAATTTAACTTTTTTCTTTTTTTTTTTTTTGAGATGGAGTCTCACTCTTATCGCCCAGCCTGGAGTGCAGTGGCTCAATCTTGGCTCACTGCAACCTCTGCCTCCCAGGTTCAAGCGATTCTCCTGCCTCAGCCTCCAGAGTAGCCGGGATTACAGGTGCCTGCCACCACGCCCAGATAGTTCTTGTACTTTTAGTAGAGATGGGGTTTCGCCACGTTGGCCAGGCTGGTCTCGAACTCCTGACCTCAGGTGATCTACCCGCCTCGGCCTCCCAAAGTGCTGGGATTACAGGCATGAGCCACTGTACCCGGCCAAATTTAACTTTATAAATTGGGCTATATTTATAAATGCCTAAGAAAAATGTCCCAAATCAAGAAAATCCAGTTCATTAAACCCCAGGACAAACAGCACTTTTCAAAAGACTTCTACAGAATGCTTAACCATAATGCACTTAAAACAATTAAATGCATAAAAATTTGATTTCTAGCCAACTTTTTAGTTCGAGAGACAGTTAAGAGAAGAAAGAGGGATGAGGGAATACATAAAAGTTAACACACAATCTTTTTGCATAGAGTACCTATAAAATTCTTCTTTTCCAGCCTTTCCATCATTGGAGGGTATGAGCCATCCACCATCAGCCAACTGTATTCCTTTTCCAGTCCATAAACTTTCCTTACCAAAATAATCTTCAGTGTGAAACTGAAAAGACTCTGCATTTTTGCTGTTAATTTTTATGCAATGTTTAGAAACGCCATACGTATACAGCTACACAAAATAAACACACACAAAAAAGAAAAACAATTTAAAGTAAACATGTATCACACAATAAAAACAATTATAACAAACCAAAACTGAATTTACCAAAAATTTTCATTAACTACTAGAATCTTCACTACAAAAACATTTAAGTTATTTACTAGAAACTAAAAATTTTAATGTAATATAAATGATCCATACATTCCACAGTCTGCTGTACCTTTTCCACCCCGTTTATACGCCTCCTGCTAAATCTGCCATAGGAAGGTACTGTGAGGATAAAAAAATGTGATGTTTTACAAAATCTCTTAAGTTCAAAAACTTAGATGGGAAACAAAAGGGAGAAGTTTAAGTATTTTAGGGAATGTGACCTCAGGTGGTCAGATCTGTACACAGGCTTGGCTTACTTTCAAAGTGCTTGCTTTCACCCCAGGATATCTAACCCAAAGTGTCTTTTTGTTTGTTCAGAGTTTGACTCTGGAGTCAGACTCTTTGCTTTGGAATCATAGCACTTCCACTTACTAGTTAAGTGACTTTGGGGCAGTTACTTAACCCTCTCTATGCTTCAGTTCTCTCATTTGCAAAATGGAAACAAAGTAACAGTGCCTTTCTTTCAAGGTGACTGTGAGGATTAAGCAAGATATACCTAATGCATGTGAAGTGCTTAGAAGAGCATCTTACACCTAGAAAATGCTCAAAGTTAGCTATTAATGTCATCAATATTATTTTCACCTCTCCATTGCCTAAAATTCTACCTAGATAATATTGGCTTAAGGAGAATCCTCTTTGGAAAATATAAATAGCTCATAGAAGGTTCAGGGCTATCAGTTATTCACATTTGAATATCAGTAAGACTACTTTAACACCTAGCTGAGAGCATTTACAATGACAAAATAAGAAAGATTTGAAGGGGGAAAAGAAGTAGTAATTTGGAAGCACAGATCACTTTAGCAGGATGAGGCAGGCCTAGCAAGGGGCCAGAGGCTGCCACTGCAGGCTAATTAGAAAATATGATGATTTCATTCATCCATTCCTGCACTAATGTGTTCATTCTTTAAACAAAGCCATTTGTAGATACTAGTTAATGAAATAAAATTACACTCTGTCATAAAAGCCATCAGTATTGTAGACAAACACATACCTGTTTATGAGAACACGCAGAGGGAACTTGGCCTCCTACTGCTGCTTTCAGAGAGATTCGAGGCAGAGTGGATGTTTTTGCAAGATACAGACTGCCTGGCTGTGGAAAGACGCGTTGCCTTTGTTTCTTCTTAATTCGCATATCCTGTATATCTCTGGCATTCTGAAGACTTGTAATTAAATCTATCAAAGAATAAATACTTAGCAAAAATAAAATTGAAATTTAAAAAGCACAACCCCTGGCCAGGCACAGTGGCTCACGCCTGTAATCCCAGCACTTTGGGAGGCTGAGGCGGGCAGATCATCTGAGGTCGGGAGTTCAAGACCAGCCTGACCAAAATGGAGAAACCCTGTCTCTACTAAACAAAAAAAAAATATATAAAAGTAAAAAAAACACAAAAGTAGCCAGGTGTGGTGGCACATGCCTGTAATCCCAGCTATTCAGCAGGCTGAGGCAGGAGAATCACTTGAACTCGGGAGGAGGAGGTTGCGGTGAGCCGAGGTTGCACCATTGCACTCCAGCCTGGGCAACAAGAGCGAAACTCTGTCTCAAAAAAAAAAAAGCGCAAGCCCTGTTTTATAAAATTATACATATCAATTTCCTCGAAGTTTACATGCTCTCCTTTTCTCTAAAAAGGGTACCCCTTTTAATTCTTCATAAATGAAAGGATGTTTCAACTTGTAAAGCTGTATAAATATGAATATCTTTACTATTTTTATCTCTTTTTGAGACAGAGTTTTTCACTCTTGTTGCCCAGGCTGGAGTGCAATGGCGCGATCTCGGCTCACTGCAACCTCTGCCTCCCGGGTTCAAACGATTCTCCTGCCTCAGCCTCCCAAGCAGCTGGGATTACAGGTGCCTGCCACCACGCTCAGCTATTTATTTATTTATTTATTTATTTTGTATTTTTAGTAGAGACAGGGTTTCACTATGTTGGCCAGGCTGGTCTTGAACTCCTGACCTCAGGTGATCCGCCCGCCTTAGTCTCCCAAAGTTCTGGGATTACAGGCATGAGCCACCACGCCCGGCCCTATTTTTATCACATTTTAAAAAGAAAATTAGTAGCATGATAGAAAATATATTCCAGTAACAGCAGTCCTAGATTGTGTGTCTAATTTTTTTTAACAAGTCCACAAGAAGTTATCTTTGAAAGAAACATTAGAATAATTTAAACCTAATCTTTGGATTTAGAAAATCTAAAACATTAAAAAGGGCTTTAAAATTACCACCACCAAAGGGGGAAAACCATCAGGACATTATTTAACAACGGAAATATCTAACTGAAAGGCAAAAATTCATCACACAAATTGTCATACAATACCTAAAGGTTCTTCTTCACACTTTGTGAAAGTTACAGCTACTGCTTGATTGGAGTTGTTTTTGTTAAACTGATGAATCTCATTGTCATTAATCTTATTTTTACTATCATCAGAGCCATGTCCATCAATGTTTTGCTTTTGTCTGTTTTCCTCCAAGTTAATATTCCTAACACACTGTTCAACTCTGTGAAAATGTGATTTAGTTTTAAAAGGTGGAACAAAGACTTTGGTTGGTCTGCCTGTAGTAATCAAGTGTCTCATTTTTTCATTTCTTGTAGCAGAAACTTGATAAAATGGATGTCCTGAAACTGCTAAATTGCTTGAAGATTTTTCCAAAGTCAGATGTTCATACAAATGAGATTTAGACAGAAATTCTTGACCAGGTGCGGTAAAATTTGGATTCTGTATCTCTTGACGTTCCTTAGTTGTGCTGCAATGGGGAGAAAATATATAAGTTTATTGACTAGTACACATATAAATATTTAGGAATATGCCTTTGTTGCAGACCCTCATTTGCTACATGGTGATACTATTCTGGTAACTGTTTTGTATTCACCATGGTTGCCATTCCAAAACAATATCACATTTTTCAAGGCTAGCCTTTGACTTTACAATCTACCTCACATAACACATAATAGAAGAGAGTCTGTCAAGTGTGGACCCTCTCAGTGTGTCCCCTCTAATTCCATCATAGTACTCCTTACCTCCTTCACCAGGGAAATGTCTACCCATCCTCTTCTCTCACCTTCACATCTTCACCTGAACTCTCTACTCCGCCTAATACCTCAGTCTCCACAGGAGATCCCCTCTTTCAATTATCCCACCTCGCTCCCTTTTCTCTCTTCTACCTATTTATACCTTTTTTAAAGTGCCCTTTTTATTTAGCCCAAAAATCTTGCCTACCTTTGAAACTCTTATTTTCTCACTCACCTTTATCTCTGCCTCAAGCTAATACTCACTGTTACACTCCACAGTCAACCTTCTTCAATAGGTAATGTAGCTATTTTCACTTCCTCAATCTCTACTCAATAAACTCTCATTTCTCCCACTACTCTACAGAAACTGTTCTCAATAAAGTTGTTAATGACCTCCCAGATGCATGTGGGATGCACGCAAACTCATTCTACTCAACTTTCCTAATAGCTATGACAGTTTACATTTTCCTTCTTTTAAAATTCTCACCATCACTGTACCTCTTTCATCTTTTACTGGTTTTACCTCTTCCTGATTCCTCAAAAAAAGTCTCCAAAACTGGATGTCTTCCTTAGACACTTTCCCTTGCTAATGTGAGTCATTTCCATTGCTTAAATTATCACCTAACAATGAAAATATCCTTTATCCTCATGCCCGATTTTTCTCCTAGGGTTGTTCCTACATTTTACACTACATATAGCATCAGACATCTGTACCTTGATGTTTCACACTCATTTCAAACTCAACATGTCCAAAAGTGATCATCTTTCTCAGCATACGTGGTCTTCCTAATACTTGATATCTTGTTGAAAACCCCAGATTTCCTTTTACCAAACCCTGGATACCTGGAACTTGAAGTTGTTCCTTTAGTTATCCGTTCGCCCATCCATCAACTATTTAATGAATTCCTACCAGGTGCCAGACATTGTTTTGCTGGGGAACACGGTAACAAAATTTTGTTTTTGCATGTATATTTCAGTGGAAGGAAACAGACAAACAAATATGTCGATTGGCCTAGACACAAGTGTGCCTGGAGCAAGGAGAGCAAGGGGAACATTAGAAGGTCAGACTGGAAAAATAGCAAAGCAGCCAGATCATGAAGAATCTGTACACCATGACAAGGGCTTTTAGTCTCTACTCTGAGATGGCACACCACGGAATAGTTCTGAGTAAAGAAATGACATAATCTGTCTTATGTTTAAAAGGATCCCCCGGCTTCTTTGTTGAGAATTCACTGTGTATTGAGGAGTAGGGAGGTAAGCAGGGGGACCAGTTCTACTGAAAGGACTGACTAGACTGGGTTCAGGAGAGTACTCAAAGAGATAAGTGAAAAGAGGAGGGACAATTCTAATGAGTTGGGCTTTAAGAGAAGAAAATGGACTGTTGAGATTACTTAAGAAAGGCTGTTCTTTTTAAGATGAGAGATGTACAACAACTGCTTAGGGTGATGAGAACAATCTATTAGGAAAAAAATCCATGCAGGAGAGAGACAAGATAATTGCTGGAATGATTTCTTCAAACAGGTGATCTAGATGAGATCTAATGCACAAGAATGAATAAACCTTCTGTCCCCAAACTTCTATTGATTGATCTTTTAATCCTTTCTTTTTAAATATTCAGAATATTTTTAGTATAAGGAGTTTGCCTTGTAGGTTATGCTCAAGATATCTATTTAAATCTAAGTGGAAATAATTTGCCAGTCTCAACTTATCACTATCTGGCCAAATCTACTGAATTTCTATCTCAATCATTCTCTACCCTCTACCTCCTCTGCTAGGTTAAGACCTGTATTTACTAATCTCCTTGCAACAGTTTTGCTTTGGTATACTTCTAAAACACCAATCTTATTTTGTTCCTCTTGTTAGAAACTTCCAAAGACAGCCTATCACCTACCTAGGTTTCAACTTATCAGAAATGACATACAGGAAGCTTCCTATTTGGTCCTAACCTCCCCATTTCTTTTTGTTTCCCTCTGTCCCCCAACCAAATTCCAAGATTTGGAATGCCATCTTTAACCAAGCATTCTTTACATTCTGTCTGAAGTACTTTTCCCATTGAGCAGTCATGTGATTAGCTGATAATTTTTCTATGTTCTTAGATCACTTTTTACATCTATTCTAGAATTTATATTACATTATAATTCTTGTTTTCATGTCTGGTTCCCAGGCTAGCAATCTGAGTTAGACTTATTTATCCTTATATCTTTCACTATAGTATATATTAGGTAGTTTGAGCAGGTACTTTAACAAATGTTTGTTTGTTAAATACATTAAACTATTCTCCCATTTTACACATAAATTAAGGTAATACACGGGTAAATACGTATTTCCTTTCTTATTTAATACAACTGTTTTTGATAAAAAAAAAAGAAATGAAAAAAAAATCACCTGGCTTTCTACATATGTGTATGTGCAGCCTGCTAAAAAACACATTCCAGAAATACAACTCAGTGACTTCAACAATTCCACAATCAGGTGTTTTTGAAAAGGTAACATTAGGCCTGGTACAGTGGCTCACGTCTGTAATCCCAGCACCTTGGGAGGCCAAGGTGGGCGGATCACGAGGTCAGGAGATCCAGACCATCCTGGCTAACACGGTGAAACCCCTTCTCTAGTAAAAATACAAAAAATTAGCCGGGCATGGTGGCACGCGCCTGTAATCCCGGCTACTTGGGAGGCTGAAGCAGGAGAGTCGCTTGAACCTAGGAGGCAGAGGTTGCAGTGAGCCAAGATCGTGCCACTGTACTCCAGCCTGGGCGACAGAGTGAGACTCTGTATCAAAATAAATAAATAAATAAATAAAATAAAATAAAATGTAACATTAAAATAATTTCAATGATATTTTTAGGCTTAAAAATTTATCAGCTAGAAAAGATTTTGCAACTACTTTAAACAGTTTTAGATGATTTTATCATATTTATATGTCTAAGTGACATGTTTCTTCTTGACTTTTTCTCTTGAAGTACCCCTACAGAAAATGAAAATTCAGCTCTGTCAACACAGCTTCTACCTTACTACACACACACTCTTGCCTTTCATCTTCCTAAATTACGTATTTAATTCTACTGTGTCCGGAATTGGTTCCTTCTGGTGGGTTCTTGGTCTTGCTGACTTCAAGAATGAAGCTGTGGACCCTCATGGTGTTACAGTTCTTAAAGATAGTGTGTCCCGAGTTTGTTCTTCCTGATGTTCAGATGTGTCCAGAGTTTCTTCTTTCTGGTGGGTTTGTGGTCTTGCTGACTTCAGGAGTGAAGCCGCAGACCTTCCCAGTGAGTGTTACAGCTCTCAAAGATGGCACGTACAGGGTTGTTTCTTCTTCCTGGTGGGTTCGTGGTCTTGCTGACTTCAGGAGTGAAGCCGCAGACCTTCGTGGTGAGTGTTACAGCTCATAAAGGTAGTGCTCACTAAAGAGTGAGCAGCAGCAAGATTCATTGCAAAGAGTGAAAAAACAAAGATTCCATGGCATGGAAGTGGAGCCGAGCGGCTGCTGGGGCTGGCTCAGGTGGCCAGCTTTTATTCCCTTATTTGGCCCCGCCCACGTCCTGCTGATTGGTCTATTTTACAGAGTGCTGATTGGTGCATTTACAAACCTTTAGCTAGACACAGAGTGCTGACCGGTGCGTTTACAAACCTTTAGCTAGACACAGAGCGCTGATTGGTGTGTTTACAATCCTTTAGCCGGACAGAAAAGTTCTCCAAGTCCCCACACGACCCAGAAGCCCAGCCAGCTTCACCTCTCACTATCAATGTTCAACATTTACATTACGGCTAAGTCAGTATAAAGTATATGTAGTATTAATAGGCAGTATATTTTATTTTATTTTTTTATTTTGTTGTTTTTTTTTTGAGACGGAGTCTCGCTCTCTCGCCCAGGCTGGAGTGCAGTGGTGCAATCTCGGCTCACTGAAAGCTCCGCCTCCTGGGTTGATGCCATTCTCCTGCCTCAGCCTCCCAAGTAGCTGGGACTACAGGCGCCCACCACTACGTCTGGCTAATTTTGTTTTGTTATTTTTAGTAGAGATGGGGTTTCACCATGTTAGCCAGGATGGTCTCGATCTCCTGACCTTGTGATCCACCCGCCTCGGCCTCCCAAAGTGCTGGGATTACAGGCGTGAACCACCACACCCGGCCATTAATGGGTAGTATATAAATAGTGTACTTCCTTTACAACTTTTGCTTTCTCTTGAGTTAATTTTTAAAATCTGCTTATTTTCTATGTACTTACTGTTTATTCACATCTAAACTCTTAGCTATATATATAAACCTCTTTTCATTCTGTTCACAAATTATAGTTTTTAAAAAAACATTTTTTCTTCTCCTTGAATAATGTTTCTTCTAAGTTGTTTTCATTAATGTGTTTTTTGGTTATTTTATTTTTGCTTTTTCTGATGTCTCATAATCTTTGGATGTCTGTTTATAGTTAAGAGTGAGGGACCAAAAGGCTGTTTTGAAGCACTTGGTACAAAGATAGAACTTGTTGACTGCAAGCTACACAGTAGCTTGATTAAATGGAAACTTCCACTAGTGAAAACTTAGCTGTCTATGTTCTGGAAGCTGAGTGGTGGAAAAGGGCTTGGTGAGGGGAGATCCCAACATTCAATATGCATATATTAACTTCTTCTTGCTTTCAAGTAGTTGCTTCTGCCTTCAACTGTGCCTAGTGTGTTCACCTTCTACTGTATCCTCTCTGGAGAATAAGCCTCTGGTTCTTTTCATAGAGCGGGCAGGAGACAGTTGCCCAGCTTCATGAGTATTGCTGCTGCTGCTTTTTTTTTTTTTTTTTTGATGTGGGGTCTTGCTCTGTCGTCCAGGCTGGAGTGCAGTGGCGCAATCTTGGCTCACTGCAGCCTCCACCTCCTGGGTTCAAGCAGTTCTCCCACCTCAGCCTCCTGAGTAGCTGGATTACAGGGGCATGCTACCATGCCGAGCTAATTTTTGCATTTTTAACAGAGATGGGGTTTCACCATGTTAGCCAGGCTGGTCTCGAATTCCTGACCTCAGGTGATTCACCCGCCTCAGCCTCCATGTGAGCCACCGTACCCGGCGAGTATTGCTTCTTAAACATAATTTCAACTTATTCCATTTTGGCTCCCTCCTTCTGCACCACCCAATTCTAAAGATAAGAAATGAAGCCACCAATTCCTAGTCTTTTGAGACCTGAGTGTAAAATCGTTGGTTCTCTGCTGTCCCCACCACCAGCTTTCATTCAGTTTCCTTCTGCATGCTTTGAGAAATTTAGTTACTTTGTTATTTCCTATTTTCCTTGTTTTTTTTTTGTGTGTGTGTAAGTTTCTTCAATGATGTTTTGGTAAAAGTTTGGAAGGCAAAGAAAGGATATGAGTATGTTCAATTCACCATCTTTTTTTTTTTTTTTTTTTTTTTGAGACAGAGTCTCACTCTGTCACCCAGGCTGAAGTGCAGTGGTGCAATTTTACCACAACCTCCACCTCAAAGGTTCAAGCGGTTCTTGTGCCTCAGCCTCTGGAGTAGCTGGGATTACAGGCGTGTGCCACCACGCCTGGCTAATTTTTGTATTTTCAGTAGAGATGGGATTTTACCATGTTGGCCAGGCTAGTCTCGAACTCCTGGCCTCAAGTGATCTACCCACCTCAGCCTCCCAATGTGCTGGATTACAGGTGTAAGCCACTGTGCCTGGCCTCAATTCACCATCTTTACTAAGAAGTTTCCTAATACATTAAAACATGCAGGTACTGCTTTATTTTTATCTTGAAGGCAAACTCTTCCAAAGTCTCTTATCTTCTTCAGTTCCAAAGTAGTCTAGCTGCCTTTCTAGACTTAGCAACACAGCTACTCTGGGATCTCCCTTCAATATCATCCTGAAAGCTCCCTTTGCCTCTCTTCTATGTTGAATTCTTATTTCTTAAGTCCTATACCTTCCTCCTTCTTGGTGTATGCATTTGTTTTGGTTAGTTTCCTGAGAAAAGCGCACAAGAGATCTTTTAGTACTTCACATCTGAAAAATGTCTACCCTCACACTTAATTCAGATTCTAGGTTGGAAATCATTTTCTCTCAGTATTTTGAAGGCACTTCTCTGTATTATATAAGATCTACAGTCTTCTAGATTCCATTGTTGATAATAAGAGAATTCATACTATTATGGCTTGAAACAATTTGAAACCTAACTTCTTGGTCCTCTAATGAATTTAAGGTTCCTGTCTGCCTCTATTATTCTAAAAATTCACAAGGATGTGCCTTACTGTGGGTCATTTTTACTTGTGTGCTCACTCAGTGGGCCCTTTTAATTAAGGAAACTCATGTCCTTCAGTACTAGTAGAACTTTTAAAATTATGTATTTATTTTAAAATTTCTTTCTTCATTTCTCTTCTGTGCCTTCCTTCTCAAACTCTGTATTTTCAGATGATAGATCCACAGAATTGACTTTTCATACCTTTTTTCATTTTATTCTGTATTCTGGGAACTTTCATGATTCTTCCATTATTTCTACTGAGTTAATTTATTTGTGCTATCATATTTTTAATTTCTAAGAGCTTTTTATAGCAACTTGTTCTTATTTTACGGCCATTTTTTCTTTTCTTACCTGAGAATATTAGTAGGTTTTTATGAAGTTTTCATAGTCGATTTCCTCTAGGTTCCTTTCTGCTATGGATTTTGTACTTTGGTGACTATGTTTCATAGTAGCTTTCTTCCAATGACTAGTTATCTTTGACTATCTTTTCTTATTTAAAAGTGAAGCACTAAGTAGCTTCCTGGAAGCTCTGTGCATGTCAACAGTTAACTTCCTGGTCTGGTGACTGGCTATACTGTTTCATCTGAGTATCCTCAACTGTCAGTATTTTTTGGTCTTTTCTATTGGGTCAGGCATATTCCCTAGGAAAAAAAAATCTTCCAGTCTCATGCCTAGAGGGCCTGCATTTGGGAACCAAGTGTGGGAAGGAGCTAGGTCTCACTGCTTGACATACAGATTTGTATCTGATCTTTCATTTTAGTATCTTTCCCTCAATTGTGCCTGGTGTCCCCTCCCTCCAGCCCACCTTCAATTCAGAATCCTCTCAATTCATCTTTTTCAAGAACAACCTTCTGATTTCCTGGCAGAAGAAGGATAACCGCCTATTTGCAGTGGGGGAGGAAATATAGATGTTTCTTAAAAAGAATTTCAACTAATCTTCCTATTTTCTACTTCACCTTCAGAAGTACCTGTTGCTGCCAATTTGAATCTTTTTCAGGTTTTTTAGGGGAAAGCATCTCTGTTTGCTCTAGTGTCAGGTTTTAGCTTTCTCATGCTTACTAAATCCTTTATGTTTTTGGCTTCCAAACTTTTGTTGTTTCTTCTCATCATTGTCCTTGGGAATTATACATTAAAAAAACTATCTTAGTACTTTTTTAAAGGTTTAGAGAGGAGAGATAAAAGGATATTTTTAATATCTGCAATCTTTTTGTTAACTGATTCGGAGCAATTTCCTTAATTCCTCTCAACCTTAGTACTTCATCCATAAAATTAGAATAAAATCTGTCTACTTTACAAAGCTGTCATAAAATTAAAAAATAAAATAATGATATGAACAGCACTATAAAATACTACCAAAGTATTTTATAAATTTTATAAAACGGGAAGTGTTAACTTCTTAACGTTAGTGTCATTATTTTTAGAAATGTTCATTTATAAAAACGAGACTTTTCTCATACTGTATTAGAATTTAGAAAAATTTAAACATGTCTTACCGAAAGGGTACACAGGTAATCGGCTCTAAAGAAACATGATGCATAAACAATCTTCGATCTTTTATTGTGCCTAGGAAACAATTATTTTATATTACATATTAGTTAAAATCTAAGAGAATATCCATGTTACTGTAAATACACAAAAAATTTGAGACAATTATAGGCTTTACAATTTTCAGTGAATGTAACAGATGCTCAATAAATGTTAACTATGAAAATAAATTGATTCACAAATTGATAATGACTATGCACCAAATAACTCACAGTACAAGCATACAACAGAAATCAGCATAAATTTAGTCAGTTGATGTTAACCATCATAACTCAAAGGTGTTAGCTAATTTCTGATGCAAATACCAAATTTAAAATTTAGTCTTATGAAGGTTTAAAAGCTAAGCTTTAGATATTGTTCATTCTCAGTATGTAACTGGAACCTAATTAAATCTTCAATAAGTCCACTAGTTGGAAATTGGTTAAATAAACTAGGAAACACTGACACAGCCAGATGATCAACTACTATGTAACCACAAAAAAGAATGAGGACGATCTCTATATACTCATTAAGGAGTCATCTCCAAATAATTCTTAAGTAAACAACAACCAATAAACAAGGTGCAAAATGGTGTATATACTGTATCTTTTGAGTAAGAAAGGGTAATGAGTATATACATGTATTTGCTTATTTTTATTAAACAGAATCCTGAAAAAAAAACACTAAAAAAGATTACCTATAGTAAGCAAGAGGTGGGTGAATAAAAACTCTAAGTATACCTTTTTGTAGTTCTGATGAATGAACTATGTAATGTTTTATTTATTCAAATGTAAAATTAAATAAGAAAAGACAAATCCTAAAATTGAAAACAAATGGAAAAAAAGGAATGTAACCTAATTATCAAATTGGTAACCACATCCGGAAGAATTATTTTGAGTGACATTTGAACACAGTATTTTGACTAAACATTCTTAATAATATATGGGTTGAGTATCCCTAATCTGAAAATCCAAAATGGTCACAAACCTGAAACTTTTTGAGTGCCAACATGAGGCCAGTAGAAAATTCCACATCTGACCTCATGTGATGGATCACAATTTAAATTGTCTTATGCAAAAATTATTTAAAATATTGTATAAAATTACATTTAAGTTATATGTATAAGGTGTTTATGAAACTTAAATAAATTTCGTGTTTAGACTTGAGTCCTATCCCCAGATATCTCATTATGTATTGTATATGCAAGCATTTCAAAATCTGAAAAAATCTGAAATCTGAAATAGTCCTGGTCCCAAGCATTTCAGATAGGGATACTCAACCTATATACTCTAAGGACAAAAACTGCAAACAATTCTTACATTTTCCTTAGTAGTTTTATTGTCAGTAGTTAATACTGATATTGTAAATTTAGATTATTATGTATATATTATAGGACAATGATTCTCAAGAAATGATCAGTGGAATCCTGTTAGGTATCTACAACCATTTTAGGGAATCCAAGCTGTCAAAACTGTCTTATTAGTAAAATGTTATGTATGTCCTTTTCACTGTTGATATTTGTACTGTTGGTATATTATGCTTGCATACTTCAGTGCGTTTCTCAAGAAAACACACTTAAATGATTGAGTTGTGAGCTATACTAGCTATTTTTTCATGAAATACCTTTTACTTGAAAGAATAACCAACAAACTATAGTTATTCAGACTTGGGTATTCGGCAGACATCTTTTCAAAAATGAATGAAAATAAGCTTGTCACCTACAAGAAAAATAAGTGACAATACTTATTGCCGGGGAAAAATTCAAGCTTTTAGATGAAAATCAGAATTTTTGGGAAGCTTGTATCTGGCTCTGTAAGCTTGACAGCTTTCTACTACTTAAACTTTTCTGATCGGTAATGGCATCAATGAAAGTGATTGTTTAATACTGCATAATAAAACTGTCAACTTTCGGAAGATCCGCATAACTCAGTGAACTCATATCTTCCAAATGACCAACGCATAATATTACTAATTTTAACATTAATCAATTTACATTTCTAATATGGTAAATATCAATAGATATATTCCACATAAACAAATGCTCTTTTAGGTCCTCAGTAATTTTTAAGAGTATAAAGAGGTCCTTGATTAGGCACAGTGGCTCATGTCTGTAATCCCAGCACTTTGAGAGGCAGGTGGATCACCTGAGGTCAGAATATTATATACCATACCTATAGAGGGAGAACAGATATAAATAAAAAGCTAATTTTACCATCTGGAGTGCTTTTTGAAGCCTTTAAGGATTTTTCTTGATTTTCTATTATCCTGTCAAATTCATTTAATAAGTTTCTTTTGATTGAGGGTTCTCCTAAAAAGAAATATTTCATATATGTTTTTAAGGCAAATAATATCAGTTTTATTTCTCAAAAGTCTATAGACCATTTTTTTAAAGCTAAAGTATTGACTCTTTAAATGTTAAACAAAAATACTTACAACAAATAGTGACCTAATGTTTGAAAGAGTAAAGTCAGTCTTCAATGTCAATTACATTTTTGTTCTGTTTTGACCACTTTAAAACACCACTATTTAACAGGGTCTAAACAGGATAAATCCTAAATAGGATAAACAGATGCTACCAGATACCACAGATAAGCTACTTTTTGAAAAACTGACACTAAATATAACTCTAGGTTTACTGGCAATAAGGCCTAACAAAATTTCTTCAAATAAACTTTTTCTCTCTTTTTTTTTTTTTTTTTCAGCACGGGGGCAGCCATTAACTGAAGGAGTAATTTATTATGTAGGTCCTTGAATTAGAGTTAAGAGGCTTTTTACAATTATCAAATTACATTAAAGTACTAGTAATAGAAACAATTCTTATTTAAAAATTCTACAGAGGCTAAGAGGGTAAGATTAAACCATAATTCAAGGTAGGCATTTCCATGTCATGCTGAGATAATATATAACAGGTACTTTGCTTTTTGATGCTTTATTACAGGGAATAAATTTGTATAATTTAATAAGTAAAAATGTCCATGCAAGGCTTTAGGAGGTGTTAGATTATTATAAAAGTGGTTTAATTGTTTAACAGTGACCTGTACTGTTCCAGTAACCAGAAGCTGACTAAGTTATACACTTATATGTTACAGAAATGAGGGAAATTAAGTAGTAACACCGTTGAAAGCATTTACAAGTCTGAGTTATTGTTTTTTTTTTCCCTAGGTGGAAAGTCAATATACTTCAGTATGCACAAGAACAGAATGGGTTGCTATAAATAAAGCCATTATTTTCCACAAAAGAATTACAAATATCTTTAAGCATATATACCTCAGAATTTCACACTAAAGGACAGCAAATAGTTTAAGTACTATAAACGTACTACTTTGTCCATAAAGTAAATCCTATATTGAATGTGACCTGGACAACACTTGATTAAGTAAATCTGTATCCACCAGAATGACTTAGGGGCAAAAGGCACTTTTTGAATGAGGAGACTAACTTCGGTGTCTCTCTGTAATACATGGGGTCTAGACAGGAAGAGTTCTAATAACTAAAATATTTTTATGAGTTTATAGGTTTTTTAAAAAGGAACTAGTTATTTAAGATTATCCACTGAAATGTTGGAGTTTTGGCATTTGCTTTAATTGCAACTAACAAACAGATTCAATTATTTAAGATTATTACCAGTCAGATACACTAATAGAAAAAAACACACACAAAAAAACAAAACCAAATACATACCTAATATAGGTATGTATAAGGTTAACCTAATGCAGTCATTTGCCACATAATGACATTTTGGTCAACAATAGACCACATATGCAATGGTCATCCTATAAGACTTTAATAGTGGTCCCATAAGATTTTTTTTTTTTTTCAGATGGAGTCTTGCTCTGTCGCCCAGGCAGGAGTGCAGTGGTGCGATCTTGGCTCACTGAAATCTCTGCCTCCAGGGTTCAAGTGATTCTCCTGCTTCAACTTCCCTAGTAGCTGGGATTACAGGCGTGTGCCACCACCATGCCCAGCTAATTTTTATATTTTTAGTAGAGACAAGGTTTTACCATGTTGGCCAGGCTGGTCTCAAACTCCTGACCTCAGGTGATCCGCCTGCCTCAGCCTCCCAAAGTGCTGGGATTACAGGCATGAGCCACTGAGCCCAGCCCCATAAGATTTTAATACCGTATTTTTACTGTACCTTTTCTATGTTCACATACACAAATGCTTGCCACTGTGTTAAAACTGCCTAGAGTATTCAGGACAGTAACATGCTGTATAGGTTTGCAGCCTAGGAGCAATAAGCTATACCATACAGCCTAGGTATATAGTAGGCTATACCACCTAGGTTTGTGTAAGTATACTCTATGATGTTCCCACAATGATGAAATCTAACAATCTATTTCTCAGAACATATATCCCTGTCAAATGACACATGACTGTAGTTGAACTAAGTTGTTAGATATATATACATTTAAAAGGGAAGTTAAAATAGTCCACATAACATTAAGATCAAGATACCATTTACTAACAATACTGTTTTTAGATCACTTCCTAAATGAAAAAAAGGGAGCAAGCCAACACTTACTGAATGCTCTCTGCCTACTATATGTCAAGTTCACTGCTAAGTGCTTTAAATACACTTTTTTTTTTTTTTTTTTGAGACAGTCTCGCTCTGTTGCCCAGGCTGGAGAGCAGTGGTGTGATGTCAGCTCACTGCACCCTCCACCTCCCAGGTTCAGGTGATTCTCCTGCCTCAGCTTCTGGAGTAGTTGGGATTATAGGTGCGCGCCACCACGCTTGGCTAATTTTTTGTATTTTTAGTAAAGATGGGGTTTCACCATGTTGGTCAGGCTGGTCTCAAACTCCTGACCTCAGGTGATCCACCCACCTCGGCCTCCCAAAGTGCTGGGATTACAGGCATGAGCGCCACGCCCAGCCCTCATGGGAGGTGTTATTTGCATTTTATAGATAAGGAAACTGAAGCTATGTAAGTAGTGTAACTAAGTAGTATATATTACCCAGTAAATGGTATAATCGGAAACCAACTTTTTTTTTTTTTTTGAGACGGAGTCTCGCTCTGTCGCCCAGGCTGGAGTGCAGTGGCGGGATCTCGGCTCACTGCAAGCTCCGCCTCCCAGGTTCACGCCATTCTCCTGCCTCAGCCTCCCAAGTAGCTGGGACTACAGGCGCCCGCCACTACGCCCGGCTAATTTTTTGTATTTTTTTAGTAGAGACGGGGTTTCACCGTTTTAGCCGGGATGGTCTCGATCTCCTGACCTCGTGATCCGCCCGCCTCGGCCTCCCGGAAACCAACTTTTAAAGTTCATATAAGTCAGAGTCTGAACTTGCTATGTATATGAAAACAGTTAAGTTAGTATTATGCAGGTTTTGTTAAGAGTTTCAAATTTTCTAGAGAAACTCAAAACTTTTTAACAGTAATTTCTCAATTATTATACTAATAATCTTTTTGAAAATATATTGAGACCCTTAAAACATGATTTCTTGGTATACAGATTCAGAGATATCGAATCTGTATACCAAGATATCAAATCTGTATACGAATACTGAATCTGTGTATCTGTATATCAAACCATACTCCCCCAAACTGACTACACAAAAATGGCTGAAAAGACATAGTTTATAACACTCTTAATTGTTAGCATACCAAGTCTACTGAATAAACACTTTAAAAATAGTGATTGGCAACACGAAAGGTAAAAATGAACACTTACCCACTAAGATAAGGGGCTCTCCTCTTCTTTTTCCAATTCTTGAATTTGACAAAACCATTTCCTCATTTTCGGGACATGTAAAAAGAGAATGTGTGGCATGACTTGGCAGTTTAGAATCTGTCAGTTCATCATCTTCCATAAAAGCTTTAGCAATTTCTACTGCTTCTGTTTCAAAGTAGTTTTCTGAATCTTTGGAGTAAGTAGAACAAACTTCTATATTTGTTTTCACAGGAACATCAGAAAAAGTTTCAGTTTTACCAATTTCCATTTTTACGTTTTTAGGTGAAGCCTGTTCTTTTCCCAAAACATGAATGTTCTCAACAAGTGACACTTTGGTTCCTAATACCAACTGTTGTTTGTCTTGTTGAAATTGAGAGAGATATGGAGAAACTTTAATAGAGTGATTATTTTCTGAAGAACCACCTTCAACATTTAAGTTATTTGATAATTTAAATTCTTTACTGCAGGTTTTTTCCATTTCTGAGTTTACACAGTGCTCTGGGTTTCTCTTATCAACACGAGGAAGTATTTTTGATACATTTTGTCTAGACGTAGGTGAATAGTGAAGACTATGCTCAGTTCTGATTAAATCAAATTCCTCTAACACTCCCTTAACTTTGTGTAAGGAACTTTCTAAAATGGAAACTTGCTTTCCACTTGCTGTACTAAATCCAGAGAAAGCAGATGAATTTACCACATTATATGAAAAGCCTTTTTGGGATATTAAATGTTCTGGAGTACGTATAGCAGTATTTTCTTCTCTTGTGAGCTGGTCTGAATGTTCGTTACTTTTAAACAATACTTTGGAAAAGACTTGCTTGGTACTATCTTCTATTTCAGAAAACACTTGTCTTGCGTTTTGTAATGAAGCATCTGATACCTGGACAGATTTTCCACTTGCTGTGCTAAAAATCCCACAAGTATTTGCAGATGAGACTGACTTATGAAGCTTCCCTATACTACATTTACATATATCTGAAGTTTCCAAACTAACATCACAAGGTGATATTTTAGAAACTTTCTCCAATCCAGACATATTTTGGTTATGTTGTAAAATTTCTTCACTCTGAATGTCAGCAAAAACCTTATGTGAATGCGTGCTACATTCATCATTATCTAGAGAGTTATGAAGAATATCCTCTGAATCATCCAATGCCTCGTAACAACCTGCCATAATTTTCGTTTGGCAAATTTTTGATTTATTCTCGTTGTTTTCCTTAATTACTTTACTGAAACTGTCTGTAAATATGTCTTTCACTTTTTTAATTGTTTCATGTGAAACACAAACGATTTTACCACTGGCTATCCTAAATGCAGGTGGCCCTACCTCAAAATTATTACTATTAGATATGGACAATTTAATGGCTGCATTTTTATTTTTGCAGGGTGAAGAGCTAGTCACAAGTTCCTCAACGCAAATATCTTCATTTACAGTTTGTGGGTATGCATTTGCATCTTTTACATTGGATATTACTTTGGAAAAACTAGTGTTTTTTTGATCTTCAACATTCTTCAATACTGGCTCAATACCAGAATCAAGTTTATTTTTTGAGAGATATCCTGAATCATTATATACCTCATCAGAATGGTAGGAATAGCTGTTAGACATGCTACTGTTACTTAAATAAGTATCTTGTTTTTCGGAGAGATGATTTTTGTCATTTTCAGCTATAGTACTGTTTGAATTATTTTCATACAAATAATTTCCTACATAATCTGCAGTATTTATTCTTTCTGGTTGACCATCAAATATTCCTTCTCTAAGCCATTTTTTTGCTTCAAGTAATGAAGTCTGACTCACAGAAGTTTTTCTACTACAACTTGTGTAAAAAGCTAAGGCTGAATTTTCAATGACTGAATAAGGGGACTGATTTGTGTAACAAGTTGCAGGACTTTTTGCTGTTTCTTTTTCTACATTTTCATGTACTTTAACTTTCAAAAAGATACTTTTTGATGTTTTGAGATTTTCAGTTTGTCTACATAAATTATCACTTAAGAGCTTAGGTGGCACCACAGTCTCAATAGAAACAAGGTTTTTATCATTATTGAGAGAATTCTGCATTTCTTTACACTTTGGGGCAGCTGTGATCTCAATGGTCTCACATGCTAATTCAAGGTCTTTACAGGCCTCTCTGTACTTTAGGGTCTTTGCCCATTGATGGCTAAAACTGGTGATTTCACTAGTACCTTGCTCTTTTTCATCAAAAAGGTTTTTCACTTTGTCCAAAGATTCCTTTGCAATTTTAACTTTTTTCCCGCTAGCTGTATGAAAACCCAATAGAGTAGGTTCTTTGATCTTTTCATCACGTTCGGGTTGTCCCTGGAAGGTCACTAGTTGATTTCCAGTACCAACTGGGACACTTTCTTTCAGTATTTTGTGTTTAACTATGTCTGTTTCCTCATAACTTAGAATGTCCATTTTGTTCTTTCTTATGTCAGAATGTAATTCAGAATTTAAGGAAAAGTTATGCAATTCTTCTGGTTTCTGATCAAAGAAATTTACAATTTTATTAAATGACTCTTTGGCGACACTAATATTTTTCCCACTTGCAGTCTGAAAAAATGTATCAGAAGTCTCAAAATCTTTTATATTTTGCTCCGTTTTAGTAGCAGTTAACTGTTCTTTATTTGAAGTATTACCATGACATGCTTCTTGAGCTTTCGCAACTTCCAAAAAAGTTAAATCTGACAAATCTTCTTTAATCTGAGTGTTTCCCTCCTTCATAAACTGGCCAGATAATTTAAGACATATGTTGTGCTGATCAGTAAATAGCAAGTCCGTTTCATCTTTATGAATACAAACAGTATCATTTTTACTTGAATCACTGCCATCAAATTCTAAGTTATGAGAATTTCTACTGGCAGCAGTATATTTGTTATCTTCATTTTCAGTATTTCTCTTGTAATTTTCAGTAATTTCTTCAACAAAAGTGCCAGTAGTCATTTCAATATTATTTTGTAATATCAGTTGGCATTTATTATTTTTTTCACTTACAGTTTTATCATTATGATTTTCTATCTTAAACATTGAAACAACAGAATCATGACATTTACTTGAAGATAAACTTATTGGATGTACCTCTGCAGAAGTTTCCTCACTAATATTCTCAATATCACTAAACAGTTTCACAGCTTTTTGCAGAGCTTCAGTAGAAACATTCAGTTTTGTGCCATGAGCAGAATAAAAGCCCCTAAACCCCACTTCATTTTCATCTGTTAAATAACCAGAAGCACTTTTGTTACAGTCATTTTTCAACAGGCCAGCAAACTTCCGTTTAATTTCAACTGTACCTTCAAATTGCTTGCTGCTGTCTACCTGACCAATCGATGGGGCATTCATTATGACATGAAGATCAGCATCTCTGCATTCCTCAGAAGTGGTCTTTAAGATAGTCATCTGGTTTTCAGGCACTTCAAATGTACTCTTCTGCAATATGTAGCTTGGTTTTCTAAACTGAGTAAATTCAAACTGACTTCCTGATTCTTCTAATATAGTAGAAAGTTCTGTAATTTCTGCCTTTTGGCTAGGTGTTAAATTATGGTTTGAATTAAAATCCTGCTTGGAAAATAACATCTGAGGGGTTATATGACTATTTTTACAATCAGAAACAACTACACTACTCTGTAAATGTGCAGATACAGTATTAATTGACTGAGGCTTGCTCAGTTTCTTTTGATTATCTAATGCCAAGGTATTTACAATTTCAACACAAGCTAAACTAGTAGGATATTGTTCTTCAATATCTTTGAAGAACATTTTGCTCTTCTTAATGTTATGTTCAGAGAGCTTGATTTCCTTATTTGAAGCTGTTCTGAAGCTACCTCCAAAACTGTGATTTGAAATTGGACCTAAGAGTCCTGCCCATTTGTTCATGTAATCATTATTTTTTTCTGGTATTTTATCTATATTCAAGGAGATGTCCGATTTTAAATCTTGACCTAGAGTCATTTTTATATGCTGCTTTACACTATTTTTGTTCTCCTCTGCAAGAACATAAACCAAATCTTTTTTAATTGACACTTGGGTTGCTTGTTTATCACCTGTGTCTCCATATAAAACCATGGTAGAGTTCTTGAAAATGGGTTCGTTTACACAAGTCAAGTCTGTTTCATGAAGTTCCTTAGTATTTCCTAAAGCAAGATTATTCCTTTCATTAGCTACTTGGAAGACAAAATTATTCTCATTGTCTGAGAAAAGTTCTTCAGAGTCTGGATTGACAGTTATTTTTGAAATTGAAGTAGTTTCTTCTTGATTTTTTTGGATTACTCTTAGATTTGTGTTTTGGTTGAATTGTACCTTTCTTGAAGGTGATGCTACTCTCATGTATTTTTCAGGTGGCAACAGCTCAACGTTTTTATAATTTTCATTTAAAGCACATACATCTTGATTCTTTTCCATGGGAATATTTTTGGTTAATTCAACATCAGATTCATAATTGTTACCTTTGAGCTTGTCTGACATTTTGTATGATTCTTTGCCTCTAGAAATCATGACTAGGTTTGACAGAACATCCTTGGAAGTAGGAGTTAAAATAAGAGTGCTGGCATTTTCATGATCATATAAAAGACTTTTCTGGGATTGAAAGTCAGTATCACTGTATTCCACTTTTGAATGTTGTACTGGGTGACATGCTGCAGCCAAGACCTCTTCTTTTATATCTGAAACTTTTTTGCTTTTTGGATCATTTTCACACTGTCCTTCCTGCAGGCATGACAGAGAATCAGCTTCTGGGGTAATAAATAACTGTAGTTTTTCCTTATTACATTTTGCTTCTTTATAATCAAGATCCTGAGAGATTACTGTATTATTAGAACATGTTTCATTTCTAGAACATTTCCTCAGAATTGTCCCAAAAGAGCTAGTTAAGGACAAAGTTGGTTCTTCAGAATCATTCTGTGAACAGCTTCTTTTCACAGAAGAATGCAATAAACCTAAACATAAAAACACAAAGTGACAAAATTAAAGTACCATCAATCACATTCACTAAATATTTTTCACTAAGTTAAAAAGGTAGTGTTTGGGCACAGTGGCTCATGCCTGTAATCTCAGCACTTTTGGGAGGCTGAGGCAGGAAGACTGCTTGAGCCCAGGAGTTCGAGACTAGCCTGGGCAACATAGTGAGACCATGACTCTATGAAAAATAAAAATTAGCTGGGTGTGGTGGTGTATGCCTGTGGTGCCAGTTACTCAGGAGGGTGAGGTGCAAGGACTGCTTGAGCCCAGGAGGGTGAGGCTACGGTGAGCTGAGATCACACTAGTGCACTCCAGACTAGGTAACAGAATGAGACAGTCTCTAAAAAATAAAAATAAATAAATTAATTAAAAGGTAGTGCTCAAAACACAAATTACATGAAAATAACTGAATGTCAAATTTAAAGCAGAAAGAATCCTAAATATGCTCTATTTTTCAGTTATTACATTTTTTAGCTCAAGATAAATTAGACCTAAGTTGTTTTTTTAATAATAGTTACCAACTCAATCAAAATTAGTATCTAGGTCAAGGAAGTAGCTAGCTACCATAAAAAAAACTCAAAGTAATTTTTATTGGAAAATAAAATTGAAAAAATTTCATTGCTGTTAATACTGGTGTGAACAGAAAAGCAAGGCACAGAAAAGGAATTAGAAAAGTAACAATTTTCTTAATTCTTTCACATTGAAAAAAACAAAACCACAATTTTTAAAAACAGGGTCCATATACTAACAGCCTGAAAGATGATCTAATCTCAACGATAAAGGCAAATGAGTTCAACTGCTCTGTTAAATTTCTTGACCCTCTGAATTTTCTACTAACCAGTTCTTAATTGCATTTCATCAGTGATCACATGTATTAGCTTTTTTTTTTTTTTTTTTTGAGATGGAGTCTCGTTCTGTCACCCAGGCTGGAGTGCAGTGGCGTGATCTCAGCTCATTGCAACCTCCATCTCCCAGGTTCAAGTGATTCTCCTGCCTTAGCGTCCCGAGTAGCTGGGATTACAGGCACATGCCACCACATCTGGATAATTTTTGTTTTTTTTCATAGAGATGGGGTTTTACCATGTTGGCCAGGCTGGTCTTGAACTCTTGACCTTAAGTGATCTGCCTGCCTTGGCCTCCCAAAGTGCTGGGATTATAGGCGTGAGCCACTGCGCCTGGCCTATATTAGCTTTTTCATTGGCTTTAACTATGATATGCATAGTATCAAACATTTTCCTCTAAAAATTTAACCCAAACTTCAAACAGTTCTGTACTGTGGTCTCACCAACTCTACTATTCACTGAGCTATTCACTAAAGTCTTCTCATAGGGAGATAAAATCACTTTGTAAACATACAGTTTAGTTGCTAAGTGAACTGTTGCAACAACAAAGAGGACAGAGTTACACCACGGAGATGCAGAAATAGAGCAGTAACAGTATGCAATCTTTAAAATATTTAAGAAAATTATGTAACAACAGCAGCAATAAATCATTATTTTAGAACTGGCCTACATTAAACTTAGCTAGTATTTCCTCTATTTAAATTTTTTTTTTCTTTTTTTTTTTTCAGGGACAAGGTCTCATTTTGTGGCCCAGGCTGGAGTGCACTGGTACAATTTTGGTTCACTGCAGCCTCAGTCACTTGGGCTCAAGTGATCCTCCTGTCTGAGCATCCTGAGTAGCTACAACATCAGAAGCATGCCACCATGCCTGGGTATTTTAAATTTTTTGTAGAGATGGGGTCTCGCTATGTTGCCCAGGGTGTTCTTAAACTCCTGACCATAAGTGATCCTCCTGCCTTAGCCTCCCAAAGTGCTAAGATTACAGGCATGAGCCACTATATCTAGCCTATTTTTTTAACATGCTTTAGAGAAAATACATAGTAAGTAGCACCACATATTTATATGAGTTGTCCAATTTGCATATAATAAACACTTTTTAAATTAAAGCAGGAATTAGCTAGCCAAGCTCTGAATGTTTATGAGTCAAAAACTGTCTCAAGTTGTTGGCTGGAATGTAAATTAGTTCAACCGTTGTGGAAGACAGTGTGGCAATTCCTCAAAGACCTAGAACCAAAAATACCATCTGACTCAGCAATCCCATTACGGGGTATATACCCAAAGGAAGATAAATCATTGTATTATAAAGATACATCCACCTGTACATTCACTGCAGCACTATTCACAATAGCACAGACATGGAATCAACCCAAATGCCCATCAATGATAGACTGGATAAATAAAATGTGGAACTATACACCATGGAATACCATGTAGCCATAAAAAGGAACAAGATCACGTCCTTTGCAGGGACACAGATGGAGCTGGAAGCCATTATCCTAAGCAAACTAATGCAGGAACAGAAAACTAAACATCACATGTTCTCACTCATAAGTGGGAGCTGAACAATGAGAACACACGGACACAGGGAGGGGAACAACACACACTAGGGTCTGTCAGGAGGTGGGGGTGTGTGGGGGGAAGGAGAGCACCAGGAAAAATAGCTAATGCATGCTGGGCTTAATACTCAGGTGAAGGGTTGACAGGTGCAGCAAACCAACATGGCATACGTTTACTTATGTAACAAACCTGCACATCCTGCACATGTACCCCGGAACTTAAAATAAAACTGTCTCAAGAGTGATGGATATACACAAACTATGCAAACTTATCTACCATGTTTGAGTGACCTGATTCTAAACACTGGTAATTAAAGACCTAAACAATCATGTATACAGATGATGCCTAAGATTAAATATAAGATATGAAGATTTTAAAAAGCAGAAAAAAACACAGAAGGAATCGTCATCTATAAAACTATATGTACTATTTACAAAAAAAAAAAGACAGAGGTACCTGAATCAGCATTTGCAAATGTAAGTGGTGCTTCAAAAGCATTTGCTTCAAACTGGGCTGAACAGTTAATTAGTTCTGATTTTTGGTCTTTCGGTATTTTTTTTCCTTTATAAGATGTTTCATCATGTATAGCATAAATAAACTTATTTGTTTTCTTTTTCAAAGTGGATATTAAACCTGCATTCTTCAAAGCTACAGAATTCTGTGTGGTGGTGGCTGGCCAGCTTCCATTATCAATTAAATTTGGACATAAGGAGTCCTCCTTCTGTGAGCAAACAGTATGTATTTCCAGTCCACTTTCAGAGGCTTCAGTTTCTTTTTTAAAGTTTGGATCAGTCATATGACCTGAAAAACTTGCATTGAAAGTCTCTTTAGGTGATTCTCTTATTCTGAATATAGACTTTTTGATACCCTGAAATGAAGAAGCCACTGGAGAAGTTCCAGATATTGCCTGCTTTACTGCAAGAATGCAGTCTGTATGAGATTCAAGATGCTGCTCTTCATCTCTCTTATTTACCACTGTTTCCTCATTTAATGGCTTCTCTGATTTTGGTAGGCTAGAAATACGTGGCAAAGAATTCTCTGAAGTAAGAAAATCTTTCTTTCTTTTGTTCTCTGTGTCTAATAGGTCTTTTTCTGAAATATTTTGGTCACATGAAGAAATATGCAATAGGGGTATTTTCTCCATCTGGGCTCCATTTAGACCTGAAAGGGTTAGTTGAGACCATTCACAGGCCAAAGACGGTACAACTTCCTTGGAGATTTTGTCACTTCCACTCTCAAAGGGCTTCTGATTTGCTACATTTGAATCTAATGGATCAGTATCATTTGGTTCCACTTCAGATACAAATGAGTATTTTTCTTTCACTTGGTTTTTAGATTTTTCACATTCATCAGCGTTTGCTTCATGGAAAATTTTTTTCCTAGTCTTGCTAGTTCTTACTTTTTGTAGATTTTTTGTTCTACATTTAGAAAAACATAATGAAAAACTATCTTCTTCAGAGGTATCTACAACTGTTTCATATACTTCATCTTCTAGGACATTTGGCATTGACTTTCCAATGTGGTCTTTGCAGCTATTTACTTTAAATGAATTCCCTGATGTTTTTCCAAATCCTGTTAAAGTATAAAACAGAAGCACATTAATATTTTATAAGCCATATAATTTATATTATTCTCACAACCTTTCTCATAGAAACAGTTTATGTAGAATGTGCTAAATATTACATATCAGTATTTAAAGGGTTATTCTGAGTACTTGGCATTTTATTTTTCGGTCAGTCACCCCTTCTCCTGTTCTTCTAGTAAAGCCTGATTCCCCTGATTCCAATGAACCTAAAGCCTTTTATTCATACAACAATCCCTAAAAACCTTTCTTTAGCAGTTCTACACAATTAAAACTCACCTAATCTTACTATATATACAATTAAATATTCTAAGACCTATCAAAACAGATGTTCCAAATCAATTCTGTGGCCCTATAACAAGGGTAAATCTGATTTTACATATGCATATACATACGTACATGATACCACACAGACAAAAACAGATATCAAATCCTACACAGTTATACAGACATACACACATACTAAGAAAAATGCAATATTCCATGACCTGATTAGGTAAACTATGGTATATCTAAACCACATTTACTTTCTAATTAGAAAAAAAAAAAGCTCAGATTTTGTTAATTATATATCTTATTGTCTCTGAAAATTTTCAATAGGCTTTGTTTTTGTGTCACAACCACATATTAAATAGTACTGTCTTACACAGTATTTAAATACTGTCATCGAAATCAAATTAGTTTCTCTTTTTTTCCATTGAGACACGGTCTCACTCTGTTGCCCAGGTGGGAGTGCAGTGGCACACACACAGCTCACTGCAACCTTGACCGCCTGGGCTTAAGCGATCCTCCCACCTCAGCCTCCTGAGTAGCTGGGATCACAGGCACACCAAGTTAGTTTCTACTCTCAATACTTTGAGATAAAATACTACTTCAGTAGTCAAGAAAGGAAAGGTAATATATTTTCTCTTTAAGAAAAGAGGAGCAATCCTTCAATGGTGCCAATTAAAAAGAGTAGTTCAGGCTGGGCATGGTGGCTCACGACCATTTGAGACCAGCCTGGCCAACATGGTGAAATGCCATCTCTACTAAAAATACAATAGTTGGGCATGGTGGTGCATGCTTGTAATCTCAGCTACTTGGCAAGCTGAGGCAGGATCGCTTGAGCACGGGAGGCAGAGGTTGCGGTAAACCGAGATCACGGGTGACAGAGCAAGACTCCACCTCAAAAAAAAAAAATCAAAACAACAACAACAAAAAAACCTGTAGTTCAACTAAACAGAGGACTTACCATGACTTGCAGCTTCTCTTTGATTTGTGTTTTCACTGTCTGTCACAGAAGCGATAAATCTATCATTTTTCTTCAGACTTTCATCATGATTGGAAAAATAGCTTTTCACATTCTGCAAAAATTATAGTTTAAAATCACTAGTATAAAAACTCTCAATGCACATATAGTAGTAGTCCCCCCTTATCCATGGTTTCACTTTTGGTGATTTCAGTTATCTGCAATCAACCTAGGTCCAAAAATTTTTAATGGAAAATTCCAGAAGTAAGCAATTAGTAAGTTTTAAATTGTGTGTCATCCTGAGTAGTGTGATGAAATCTTGCACCACTAGGATGTGGAAATCTTAGGAAAGGAAAATGGAAATGGAGAAAAAAAAACTTGCACCATCTTGCTCCATCCCACTTGGGACATGAATCATCCCTTTGTCCAGCGTATCCAGGCTGTATATGGTACCCACCTATTAGTCACTTAGTAGTTGTCTTGGTTATCAGATCGGCTATTGTGGTACCACAGTGCTTGTGTTCAAGTCACCCTTATTTTACTTAACAATGGCCCCAAAGCACAAGTATAATGATGCTGGCAATTCAAATATGCCAAAAAGAAGCCATAAAGTGCTTCCTTTAATTGAAACAGTGAAAGTTCTCGACTTAAGGAAAGGAAAAAAATTGTACTGCGACATCTATGGTAAGAACAAATCTATCTGTGAGATTGTGAAGGAGAAAGACATATGAGCTGGTTTTGCTGTCACACCTCAAACTGCAAATGTTGTGGCCACACAGTGCACCATAGAAGTAGAAAAGGTATTACATTTGTGGGTAGAAAACATGAACAGGTTGTTTTGATTGACAGCTACATATTACGCCAGAAAGCATAGAGCCTAAACGAAAACTTCAGTAAGGGATCCCCTGAAATGAATGACACCAAGCCATTTACTGCAAGTAAGGGATGGTTGGTTACACAGATTCAAGAATAGGTTTGGACTGAAAAATATAAAAATTACTGGAGAGGCCACATCTGCTGATGAAGCTGCTGCCACATGAGTACAGAACAATAAGATATTTTGAGACAGAGAGACAACATTCACATAACTTTTATTACGGTATTTTGTTATAATTGTCCTATTTTATTATTAGTTCTTGTTAATCTCTTACTGTGCCTAATTTATGAATTAAACTTTATCACAGGGTATGTGCTTATAGAAAAAAAGATTATAGGTATATATATATAAATACTACACATTTTTAATATATATATATAGGGTTCGGTACTATCTAAGGTTTCAAGCATTCACTGGGGGATATTGGAATGTATACCCCATGAATAGGGGACTACGGTATATATTGTATATATGCAACTTTAACAGAGAGACAGCAGAGTTTCACAGGAAGTTAAAATCACATATAGGACCAGGTTTAGAGACTTTCTCAAAGGCTTAGATAAATTACAGATTAGGAAATTAAAAATGTAAGATAAATAATTTAACAAGGCATTCCAAAATTGTTAGCAATTTCAACAGTCTAATCAATGTCATATTTACTTACAGCAGTAGTATCATGAGGAAATACAGTTTCAGATGCTTCTTCATTTCTGACTGTAAGATAAAAATTTATGTGTATTGTATATTATCACTAGAATGCAAAAACTTATTTTTTGTCAGACATCAAAAAGCACATCTACTATTTGATTACATGACACATTTGAAACAAAATGAATTGATTCAAGTACTTAAGTATAGTAATTAGAAAGGTCAATCAACACAGTGAATAAACTATACTTACTTCCTTAGTACTACTCACAAGGTGGTAAGATATGGCTTGGTGATCATTACTTTATGGTAATACTGTCCACAATGAGTTGGAAAGTCAGATGATGCTGTGAGGTTATGACTTAAAAGCTAAAGCTTGGAGACTTTAGCATTCATTTAGACAACACTACAGCCTAAAGGCATACTATATATTAAATACATATTTTCAAAATGATTTTATCCATATTATTTCATCTAAGCAACAGAATAGGGTTAACTTACTCCCAGCTAAAGAGGAATCAAAACAGAATGCTATTTTGCTAGAATAAACAAAATGTAATACTGGTTTGGGAATAAATTAAGCTCAGGCTTTGAGTACAACCTAGTTTTTTAAATACACACACACACACACACTTTATGACTGCACACACACATGGGCACACAAAGGTTAAGTAAAAAAGTTTTACAAAACAAACTTTACTGTGTGTAGGACTTCTGGATAAAATACAGGACACCTCATTAAATTTGAATTTCAGATAAACAATGAATAATTTTTTAGTGTTAAGTATATCTCAAAATTATTCGCTGTTTACCTGAAGTCCAAATTTAACTAGATATATTGTATTTTTTATTTTCTAAACCCTAACTACATGTGATGTACTCAGAATTTTCATTTCATTTAAAAAGAGCATATACGACTCACAAAATAAGTTTCACAACTATGAACAGGTCATAATCTGCAATTTGAGAAACAATGATCTGGCCCAGTATCTTCTTAGACAAAAAAAATGTGGCTGAGACAAACGAATCACTTGAGGTCAGGAGTTCAAGACCACCCTGGCCAACCCAGTGAAACCTCCTCTCCACTAAAAATACAAAAATTAGTCAGGCGTGGTGGTGGGTGCCTGTAATCCCAGCTACTCGGGAGTCTAAGGCAGGAGAATCGCCTGAACCCAGAAGGCAGAGGTTGCTGTGAGCCGAGATGGTGCCACTGTACTCCAGCCTGGGCAAAAGGGCAAGACTCCGCCTCAAAAAAAAAAAAAACGAAAAAGAAAAAAGAGAAAGAATGTTGGTGAATATTTACTTTTTTTCCCATTATTATCCAATCTTTCATGTTTTGCCTATAAACTGTGATGCATTTGTTTAGATGAACTTCCAAATACTTGTTTGTACTATAATCACATTTATGTACAGACATTTCTTTAAACTTGTATGTTTATTATCTCATAAAAATAAAAAAGAATGGTCACAGGTGGGTGTGGTGGCTGCTTGAGCTCAGGAATTTGAGACAAGTGTGGGCAACATGGCGGGACCCATCTCTACAAAAAATACAAAAAAAATTAGCCAGGACTGGTAGTATACTGGTGGCATGGTACCTGTAGTCCCAGATACTTGGAAGGCTAAGAGGAAGAAAGATTAATTGAGCCTGGGAGGTTGAGGCTGCAGTGAACTGCGACGGTGCCACTGCACTCCAGCCTGGGCAACAGAGAAGAACCTTGTCTCAATTAAAAAAAAAAAAAATAGTCACAACTTTTCAAATACTAAGTCATGATTAGCCAAATCTCAGCTACTCAGAGATTTTTAAGTAGTTTTATAACAGGATTTTTTTTTTTTTTTGAGACAGAGTCTTGCTCTGTTGCCCAGGCTGGAGTGCAGTGGCGTGATGATCTCAGATCACTACAAGATCCGCCTCCCGGGTTCATGCCATTCTCCTGCCTCAGCCTCCTGAGTAGCTGGGACTACAGGTGTCTGCCACCACGCCCAGCTAATTTTTTCTATTTTAATAGAGACAGGGTTTCACCACGTTAGCCAGGATGGTCTCGATCTCCTGACCTCGTGATCCTCCCACCTCAGCCTCCCTGTCACCCAGGCTGGAGTGCAGTGGCACAATCTCGGCTCACTGCACCCTCTGCCTCCCAGGTTCAAGCAATTCCCATGCCTCAGCCCCCAGGTAGCTGGGATTACAGGTGTGTGTTACCACACCTGGCCAATTTTTTTATTTTTAGTAGAGACAGGGTTTCACCACGTTGTACAGGCTGCTCTCAAACTCCTGGCCTCACGTGATCCACCCTTCTCAGCCTCCCAAAGTGTTGGGATTACAGGCGTGAGCCACTGCAACCAGCCTACAATAGGAAATATTTCTAGATCCTAGTAAGAGAAACTGTGGTGAGACTGCAAAGAGTTTACAGTTTAATGAATGGATAAATATTGCAGTTTATCACATAGTTGTGTAATTACACTTGTGGAATTTAAGACCTCAATTCAGTACTACTGGCAATACAGACCTTAGAACACATTTAAGTAGAGAAAACAAAAGCTTATTTAATGCTGCTTTAATGCCCCAATTACCACAATCATTTGTAAAAAGAATTCAGTCACACCAAATACTGCCTCTTAAACGCTTATATAGGCCAGTAAAGGAATATTTGTAAGCTATTCTACGTTAATCACATCGTACTAAAACATAATGCTTGACACCACTGGACTACCACTAAATGTATTTGTATTTATTCCAATCTACACTTAATAGAATAAAATTATTGTCAGTTACTAACACACTTATCAAAGACATTATCTAATATTTTCTTTTCATATTTCCTTTTAACAGAAGTATTAGAGATGACAATTATCAACCTCATCTGCTCTTTCTTGTAAATACACATTTGCTATTATTACCTATGAGCACAGTAGAACTAAGGGTGGGTGGTGTAGCTAAAGAACTTGACCAAGACATATCAGGATCCACCTCAGCTCCTAGACTTTCAGAAATATGTTTTGGTGTCTGACGACCCTGGGAGGAAAGAAAATAGTTTATTTTTTATAGAAATGCCCTGATCATTAAGGATATTATTTTTTCATTCACTCTTTATTTCACTTAACGTTTACTGAATTGCCTGTATGAGGCAGAATGCTAGGTACAGATTTGTAAATCTCAGGGCAAAGGTATAACGCTATTGTCAAATTCTCAATTACTAAGTCATAAAAATAAACCAGGTAGAATATTTACCTTCACAAACTTTGGTGTATGAAACAAACTCCCACATACCACTGGGGGTAAAAAAAGGGGAAAATTGTTAAGTTTTATTTTTATTAACATTTCTAGTATTCTAAGAATAAAAAGCATTGTTTTTAATCATACCTGACTTATCTCTTTGTGGTGTTACATGTGTACATTGTAGAACAACAGGACTAAAATAAAACAAAGCAAATCCCTTAGGTTATTTTAAAAAACTGGCAAAAACTAGTTTATCTTATTTTTAAAAGAAGATTCTCATTCATATAAATTGTTGGAATACTACTTTTAGATATTTTATATTACATTTTAAAAAGTAAATCTCTCATGAAGCATTAAATAATCATCAAGTGATGTTTAAAATGCCAACACATATGTACTCACAAATTTCAGCTGCTGGAAACCGTGTATTTTAAACTCAAAAATTTTGTAAAGTAGGCCGGGCACAGTGGTTCACGCCTGTAATCCCAGCAGTCTGGGAGGCTGAGGCGGGCGGATCACGAGGTCAGGAAATCGAGACCATCCTAGCTAACACGGTGAAACCCCGTCTCTACTAAAAATACAAAAAATTAGCCGGGCATGGTGGCGGGCGCCTGTAGTCCCAGCTACTTGGGAGGCTGAGGCAGGAGAATGGCGTGAACCCGGGAGGCGGAGCTTGCAGTGAGCTGAGATCGCACCACTGCACTACAGCCTGGGTGACAGAGACTCCATCTCAAAAAAAAAAAAAACAAAAAAAAAATTTGTAAAGTAAATCATATTCTCTCCAAAGATGAAAAGTACACAATTTATTTTAAATTGATAATTCAAGGACTGACTTACTGCTTTTCACCACTGTTATTTTTGTTACTTAAAAAATCACAGAATATACAGAAAACCAGCCAATTCAACATCACAAGAACAACAACTTACATGTTTCTAATGTAAAAACTATTCTATTAAAGGACTCAACCTAAAAGATTATTTAAAAATGTAAGATCTTCTACCAGGCTCTTAGCCAAAATATTAGCATAAAAATCAGATTCATCTTTATAGAACAAATATATGTAGGAAAATGTTTCATTTAAATATTTTAATATAATAGCTTCATCATACCTTTCACTAAGACAAGAATTTAGAAGTGGACAGGAAACATCATCTGCTTGATCCATTTTAGTTTTCACTGTGCGAAGACTTTTATGTCTACTATTGGGAACATTCCTTCCTGAAACAGTACAATAATTCAGTGAGAATGTATATACTCTGGATTATAAATTTGCATTCTTTGGAAGTGTTTAAAAACAAAAAGTCTCCTCTATACTGGGAATGAGAATGTATAGGGAGTTGTAAGAAGAGGTTTTTCAGTTTGCTGATTACCCCCCAAAAAGGATGCCCCGAGCACAGTGGCTTATAATTTGAGGGCTCTGGGAGGCTGAGGTGGGAGGATTGCTTGAGGCAGGAGTTCAACACCTGCCTGAGCAACAGAGTGAGACTCTGCCTCTACAAAGAAAACGCTGGTGTGGTGATATGCCTGTAGTCCTAGCTACTTGAGAGGCTGAGGCGGGAGGATCACTTGAGCCCAGGAGCTTGAGCTATGATCATGCCACTGTATTCCAGCCTGGGAAAAGAGCAACATCTTGTCGCTTTAAACAAAAGCAGAAGGAAAGAGAAAAAAGGAGTAAGGGAAGACATTTACTGAAAACCTACCAATGTACCAGATCTGACAATATCACTTGTGCTAAAAACCTTTCAAGATCTTACTTTTCAAGATCAAGTCAAACTCCATAGTATGAAGGCCTTTCACAATTTACTTAATTTCTTCATTTTTAATTTTTGTGGGTACATAAGAAATATATATATTTATGTGACAATTTACTTAATTTTTATGATGCCATTCTTTTACAGTCTACTTTTTACCCATACCCAACCATTTGCATATCCTGAAAGAATGTTTTCTTTAACCTCTAGGACTTTGTACAAGCTGTTTCCCCTTCTTTGCTTTTCTTGACCTGGAACAACTCTTTCAGGCTTCCATTTAGAAACTACCTCCTCCAGAAAACTGTAGTGATCCCTAAGGTAAGATTAAGTGTTTGCCCCCCTATGTGTTCCCTGAAGAGTTTGATCATACACTGTTCTTTTTCCCCCTACTAGGCTGTGAGCAATCTGAGGTAGAGATTTTGTCTTATTTGTCACTGTATCCCTAGCAACTACAAAAATGTCTGGTATATTAGTCACTCCTGAAATATTGACTGGATGAATAAATTGGATATAATTAGACAAAGTGAGTTGCAGACAGTAATACATAATTTCTATTCTTATTGAACACATCCATTTTCTAAGAAAATAATGTTCAGAGTTTCTAAAGCTATAGGTGGCTTTAACAATATGAAATCCAATTTACAGTTTTTCAATATTTCTATTTTCTGTATTAGAGTAGATTATATTTGACTCTCCAGGGCATTAAGTACTCATATGGTTCCAATAGTTGATGGTAACTACAAATTTGGCACCTGAGTCACTTATTATTACTCTTAGAAAATAGTTGCTTCGGTTGGTCCTATAATCTCTAACTTAGCTTTTGGGAAAAATAAGCTCTATCAATGTTACTAAAATAAAGTGAAGACCAAATTTAAAACTGTTTGTAGCAGCCTAAATAAAATGTCTCATTATAGTCTCATTTTTCAAGTTAACATGGACTAGACATAATCACTAATAAAGCAAATGGATGTGTAACTTAAAAACCCCACTTCAACAAAATATCCAACCTCCTTCTCTAATGAGATTTTTAATTAAAGATACTAAAAAGTAGCTAATTCTTGAAAGAAAATTGACTTTAAAAAATAAAACAGGCCGGGCATGATGGCTCACGCCTGTAATCCCAGCACTTTGGGAGGCCGAGGCGAGCGGATCACGAGGTCAGGAGATCAAGACCATCCTGGCTAACACAGTGAAACCCCGTCTCTACTAAAAATACAAAAAAATCAGCCAGGTGTGGTGGCGGGTGCCTGTAGTCCCAGCTACTCAGGAGGCTAAGGCAGGAGAATGGCGTGAACCTGGGAGGCGGAGCTTGCAGTGAGCCAAGATCACGCCACTGCACTCCAGCCTGGGCGACAAAGCGAGATTTCATCTCCAAAAAAAAAAAAAAAAAATTAAATAAAACAAACAATGAGGTACCACTACACACTTGTTAGAATGGCTAGAATTCAAAACACTGACACACCAAATGCTGGTGAGGATGTGAGCAACAAGAACTCTCATTCACTGCTGGTGGGAATACAAAATGCAACAGCTACTTTGGAAGAAAGCTTGTAGTTTCTCATAAAACTAAACATACTCTTACTATATGATCCCACAATCGTGCTCTTTGGTGTGAACCAAAATGAGTTGAAAATATATTCACACACAAACCTGTATGTGAATATTTATACCAGCTTTATTCATAATTGCCAAAATTTGGAAGCAATCAAGATGTCCTTCAATAGATGAATGGATAAACAAGCTGTGGTACATCAATACGATGGAATATTATTCAGCATGAAATCATTAAAAGACATGGAAGAACCTTAAACACATATTGCTGTTGGGAACTGGCCCCAAAACTGGCCATAAACAAAATCTCTGCAGCACTGTGACATGTTCGTGATGGCCATGACACCCACGCTGGAAGCTTGTGGGTTTACCGGAATGAGGGCAAGGAACACCTGGCCCACCCGGGGCAGAAAACCGCTTAAAGGCGTTCTTAAACCACAAACTATCATGAGCGACCTGTGCCTTAAGGACATTCTCCTGCTGCAGATAACTAGCCAGACCCATCCCTTTACTTCGGCCCAGCCCTTTATTTCCCCTAAGGAATACTTTCAGTTAATCTATAATCTATAGAAACAATGCTTATCACTGGCTTGCTGTCAAAAGGCTGTGAGACCCCTGATTTCCCACTCCACACCGCTATATTTCTGTGTGCCTTTAATTCCTCTAGTGCCGCTGGGTTAGGGTCTCTACAATCGAGCTGGTCTCGGCATATTGCTAAGTGAAAGAAGCCAGTCTGAAAATGCTATATTCTGTATGATTCCAACTACATGACATTCTGGAAAAGGCAAAACTATACAGACAGTAAAAAGATCAGTGGCTGCCAGGGGCTCAGGAGGAGGGATGGGTGAGCAGGTGGAACTCGGGAGATTTTTAGGGCAGCAAAATTATTCTGTATAATGCCATAATGGCAGATATACGACATTATACAATTTGTCAAAATCCATAGAACCATACAAAGGGTGAACTCTAAAGTAAACTAAGGAGTTCAGCTAATAATAACACATCCATTTTAGTTCAGCAATGAAAAGAAACTCGGCTATTTAAAAAAAAAAGTTAAAAAAATGAACTAGGTGAAAAAGAGTTAATTACCAAATAAACATTTCCCAAATAACCTGAGGATCTCATTAATAAGCTGAAGAATGGTAACAGAAATGCCTATGATTTAATGCAAAAGGAAGGACTGCTGAGAGGCAGAAACAGCACAATTCCTCATAGAACTTTAGGAATAATTTTTTAAAAAATATTACATGTTAGAACTGAACAAAACAGGTTGAAAAACACAGCTTAAGTCCATTACTCTTACTTTTCAATACTGAATCTAAAGTAAACGTAAAAGCAAAAGGTCTCAAGAGACTAGTCAGCAGATTTATGTATTACAGCCTTCAAAAAGTTAACTCCTTTGCAGTGAGTTGAGAGTGGCCTTATTAATTCCTTACTATCCTTCCTTGGTTATAGATCAATTCTAGCAGGTTATGATTAAAGAATTAACCATTTGACCTTAGGTATATCTTTCAAGATTCAGCAAAAACTGCTTTATGGAGCTTTTTCTGACCAACCAGAGATGGCTGCTCACTTTTCATGCACTTGGTACATGCTCTTATAACATATCACACTAGTGTATTTATTTTTATGGAAGCAACCAAGATGTGCTTACAAGACGTGCTTACGAGACTGAGTACTTAGAGGTCAAAGGACATCTTATTCATATTTGTATCCTTAATGCCGAGCAGGTTGCCAGACACAAGTAAGCACTAAGTATTTGCAGAATGGATGACTCCCTTATCCATTTCTATGACTGTTACTACTGTGTTCTGCATATGCTTTGCCCTGTCATTTGTTCCTTTTTTTGAATCCTCCATATCTAGACTACTGCAAGGTCCTATAGTTTTATGTTCCATATTTACTTTCACTGTTATTACTGTAATTCAGGCACTTGTCTCTATCACCTAGACCATTACACATCCCCTAACTGATCTTCCTACCTCCAGTTTTCTCTTTCTATAGGGATCATTCAGGTAGTTTAAAATGTAGACTCATGGGCATCATTTCCAAAAATTATAAATTAAGAGATTCAGAGTGGGGCCTGGAATCTGTCCTTTCAATGAGCAGTCTAGAAGATTCTAATGGCACAGACATGACATTTTGAAAAACGTTATCTCCAAAGACTGCTGTTTGATCATTAGGCTTTCTAAAGCAAATAATACTAATACTCACTCTACAAATATTTACTGAATCCTATGTATACCATTTGGTATCCAATAACATACATGTAAATATTTGCCCATTACCTATATTCCCTTTGTATATGCACTCCCTATAGCCATGAATTTCTTTCAAAGCATGTATCACACTATAATTGCTTATGTATGTCTCCTTCACTAGAAGCTCAACGAGGGCAGACAGGAAGTATTTCTCAGAAGCAGAAATAAGCCAAGATCTGAAAGACGAGCACGCAAATTAGCTAGACAAAAAGTAGGGAAAAAGTAGGTTGTGGGTAGAGGTAACAATATGTTTAATAAAGAGCCAGAGAGCATTGTGGTTTTGGTAACGAAAAGAAATTCAGTAGGAATGAATGGCAAATGAAGATAGGTGAGAGGATGAATATGGCAAGCTGAGCCAAGAGTGTAAATCAGGGGCCTGATCACAAAGGAACTTGAAAGCCATATCAAGTTTAGATTTTGCTATAAGGACAAAGGGAGGTGATCTAAGGTTTGACACAATAAGTAGCATGATGAAATTTGCATGTGATTTCTCTGCTCACCAACCAACCAAACAAATTCAATTTCTTTAGCTTGGCATTCAATGCCTGCCTTTAGTCTGCCTTTTTGCCTTGTCTATTGGTCCCTTTCAGACACAAAACAACCAAAGCCAACCTGAATTACTTGCTATTTCCTGAACACACTACATATTCTTCCTCATGTTGTTCCCTCTGCCTAGAACATTATCACTCTACCACATCTTCAAATTTCTTAATCTCTCACCTATCCTTCAAGGTTTAGCTCAAAGGAATAATTGCCTAACTTTGCCCAATACTATTTGCTCTTTCTTCTCAACTCTCATTATACTTTTTTATATTTTTCTCTTAGCACATACTACATTCAACCTTACACTATACTTTATCTGTGTACTCTTTATTCCCCTTACTAGAGATTAACACTCTGAAGAAAAGGGAAAGTTCATTACTTATGTCAAGTAGGTAATAATTATTTGAATGACTGAATATATAATCTTATTACATAATTGCTTAGAAACATGCGGCACCTACGCCAGGGAAACTCCTTCCAAATCATGATACTTATAGTATATCGGTAAAATAATCTCTGTCCTCTGTGATAGCTTGCAGAAATATAGTTTAGTTTAATTAACATCAAAACAAGTCCTAGGTTTTTTTGGCATAAGAAAGACGTAATTCAGCAAATCTCAGTTGGCAAATTTATCAAAGGAGGGATGAAAGAGAACATTTACTAAGTACCTACATTATTTAATTTAATCCAAACCTATGAGACATTATTTTCATCGTCTCCATTTTTCGAGTGAGGAAAAAGAGGCCAGAGAGACTGATTTGCCCAGCATGACACAATTAATGAATGAGCTAAGATTTTAACACAGGTTTGCCTAAATTCCTAGTTTGTAGTTCTCCCCAGTCTACCATATTGCATTACTTACCTAAGTCTAATTTGAATTTATCTAATTCTTTTACAGGAGATTGGTACAGCGGCAGAGTCAGCCCTTGCTCTTTGAATATTATTGGAGTTGAAGCCAGCTGATTATAAGATGGTTTCCTTTGTGGAGTTTTAAATAGGTTTGGTTCGTAATTGTTGTTTTTATGTTCAGATTCTTCTGCAGGTTCAGAATTATAGGGTGGAGCTTCTGAAGAAAGTTCTTCAAACCAATTAAGACTTATTGGTCCTAAATCTATTTAAAAAAAAAATCCCACCTTAGTTTTAACCAGTGACAGACAAATTTGTGACCCAGAACAGTTAAAGATCATAAGGAAAAAAATGCTTAAGATCTTGACTATGGATTACTTTTGTTAAGGCATATTAATTAAACAAGATCATTAATCCATTCTCTTGCGAATCTATAGAAAGGTGTAACAAGAGTTCACAAAAGTTACAAGATGGCATTTAACTATATTATTAAAAGCTGTATATATTAGCTTTTATTTTCATTTAAATTTTATTTATTTTCTTATTATTCATGGTTCGGAATCAAAAACTATTCACATTAAGAATACATTCCACGATAAAATTCGGCCAGGTGCGGGGGCTCACGCCTGTAATCCCAACACTTTGGGAGGCTGAGGCGAGCAGATCACGAGGTCAGATCGAGACCAACCTTGCTAACACGTTGAAACCCCATCTTTACTAAAAACACAAAAAATTAGCCAAGCATGGTGGCACACGCCTGTAGTCCCAGCTACTCCGGAGGCTGCCACAGGAGAATCACTTGAACCCAGGAGGCGGTGGTTGCAGTGAGCCGAGATCACGCCACTGCATTCCAGCCTGGGCAACAGAGCAAGACTGTGTCTCAAAAAAGAAAAAAAAAAAAATACATTCCACAGATAAAATTCAAAAAATTCAAATAATTCTGAAGAGTACTCAAGATGTGGCAAACTATGGGTATGAGGAACATGTGGACTCTCACATAAAATGGGAATTCTCTCTTAAAGGGAAATGACAAATTTGTATTGTGAGCTATTCATCCTCTACCATTACAGTTCAAAACTACTTTCATAATAACGCTATGGAATCATTTCCCTTTTTCATGATGTTGACATTTGTATCAACAGTGCAAAGATGATGCTGGGTAAAACTGCTGGCACATTTGCATGAGTTATGGCAGTGGCACCAAACTAATACTAGTAGCCATTATATTCCTTACCACTGAGTGTCCTTGTTAAAAATAATAGTAATAATAATGCCAGTTTAATGTAAGAATGTCCTAATGAAGCAGTAAAAATTAATTTCGAAGCTCAATGCTTTAGCACTTCTTTTAATAATCTCTGACAAAATAGGAAGCATACATAAAGCACTTCTGCATACTGAAGTACAATACTGCCTAGAAAAGCACTCATGTTGAGCTGTGATCTGAACAAGCAATTTTTTCAATGAAAAGTCATTTTTACTTGAAAGAACAGCTGACAAAGTTATTTCAACTTAAATAATTTGGTAGACATTTTCTCACAAATCAATGAAGTGATCTTGTTGCTGCAAGGAAAACAGTTTGTTGTCAATGACAAAATGTGAACTTTCAAATGAAAATTAGAATTTCCAGTGGCTCATTTCTACCCAATCTTAAAAGACTTTTCTGACATCCATGGTGGTATTAATGAATGAGATTTTTAAAATAGTTTAATGCAATTTATCAATATTTGGAAACTTTGTATAATTCAGAACACCACTATCTTCCAAATAATCACTGCATGATGTTGCGACATGGGAAAGACCTATGGTATATCTATTAGATCTTTGAAAAATCTATGCAAAGTACAAGGAAAAATACCAAAAAGTAACTGAAAACTATTAAAATATTCCTTTTTTCAACGTGAGGTTAATTTTTTTTCACATACTTCTACCAAAATAACAGATTAGACACAGATAAGTGAATCCAGCTATCTCTATTTAGCCAGACATTAAAGAGAACTGCAAAAATGTAAAAACTATTCCACTCACTTGTTTTCAAAAAGTTATTTTTCCTAAGAATGTTGTGATAATATGCAATGGGTTAGCTTTCATTATTTTTAAGTAAATTAACTTTAAATTCTTAGTTTTTTGTTTGTTTGTTTGTTTTGAGACAGAGTCATGCTATGTGGCCCAGGCTAGAGTGCAGTGGCATGATCTTGGCTCACTGCAACCTCTGCCTCCAGGGTTCAAGCGATTCTCCTGCCTCCACCTCCCGTGTAGCTGGGATTACAGGCACGCACCACCACACGCAGCACATTTTTTGTATTTTTAGTAGAGATAGGGTTTCACCATGTTGGCCAGGCTGGTCTCAAACTTCTGGCCTCAAGTGATCCGCCCACCTCGGCCTCCCAAAGTGCTGGGATTACAGGCGTGAGCCACCACGCCCAGCCTTAAATTCTTAGTTTTAAATTTCTAATATGGTAAGCTACATAAACAAAAGCACTCCGGGGGTCCTAGATCATTTTTAAGAGTATAAGGAGTACTGAAACCAAAAAGTTGGACAACTTCTGCCATAAAGTAACATTAATGCTTCTGATTTGTTAGTAATTGTTCCTACTGCTAGTCAAGGGGCCAGTTTCCTCTTTATCCACTAGACGTTCTATATTTATCATGTGGTTAACCTGCAAACGATGATTATGTTGTTAACTGGATTTATACACACATAAGGAACAGTTTATGGTTCTAAGCAACACTGTGACGTACTGGGTTTTTAGCAAGCATTTTTTAGAAAACACTTTCTCGGTGTAATTTATAAAGTTATATAAAATTTGTCAATACCTGCTTTGTTGCAGCGTGTCTTAAAAATTTCAAAAAATGTTGGCCTCTCTTTGGATCCAATAGGCATTTTTACCTACGATATTCCTCCAATGCTTGGTAAATAAGTCTGCAAAACAGAAGACCAAAATGCACTTACACAGGGATGCATTCCTTATTATGTGACTGAGGTAAAACTCAGAAGCGCTGGAAAATTTGTTTGAATTCTAATTCAGTCCCATCTCCTGGAACGGTAACAGCTTACTGTGAGGATGGGAACATTTTACAGCTGTGCTGTCCAAACCGGTGCCACTAGCCACATTAAGCACTCGAAACGTGGCTAGTGCGACTAGAGAAGAGGATTTTCATACGATTTAGTTTCAATCACGCTAACCAGTGACGCGTGGCTAGTGGGGACAGAGGGCTCCAGTTAGAGACCAACGCCGCCTGGTAATTCCCATCAGCATGTCTTCGGAATACAGCAATTACCAGGGGCTTAAGTAAGGCAAATACAGCGTGCCCAGCAGCTGTAAAACACTTCCCCAAAACAGCAATATTCCGTTAAAGTGATCGTGTTTCCAAGAAATTTCAGATGGCGTCATCTGGGACAGCTGGGAGGGAAGTTAAGTCTTGAGCTGAAGGCGGAGCCCAAAGGCCGGGCCGGAGGCGGGAAATGGAGACCCAGGGAAGGGGCGGGGCTCGAATTTGCTTGGCGAAAATCTGCCTTCGGGCAAGGACCTTTCTCTCAGGCATGGGTGGGGGTTGGCAGAGACAAAAGGGCAAGAAGCCGCGGCAGCGACCCGGGGCGTGAGGCGCTCCCCCGCCACGCTGGACTGGGACTGCGGAAGACGCGCTCGTCCCAACCCACTACCACCACCACTAACCCGCTCCAGAGGTGCAGTTCTTTTTTGGCCGGAGTAAGCTGACAAAAACCGCGCCGGTCACAAATCTGTCCCCTCACGCTTCTCCCGGCGGCGACCCACCGCCGCAAAAGACACCCGAGGCGCAGCAGAGGCGCAGCAGTGCCACAGCGGCTCCGCCTCTGCCGCCTAGTTTCAGAAGCTCGCGCCACAAGCCCGCGCTGGCCACGTGACGCCGTGACGCGACACGCAGCACACGCACCACCCGGAAGTCAGGCCTGGGTGGGCCGCTGCGGGTATTTCTCAGTGTGGCGAAAGGAAATTCCTTGTCAGGCATCCCAACCGTCAGTATCTGACCGAATAAAGCGGGAGCTGGAGTGTGTGTTCTCTTCTCGCTGACCCTTAAGAGTCCCAGGCCACCCTGCTTGGAGGGGCCGCCCCTATGCCTACTCCAAGTCCCCCATCCCTTTCTTTTTGCTCCAGCTCATGTTTGGGTGGGCGCCCTCGGGACACGACCTGGGACCTATGAAATACCTTTGTTCTGACCTTAAAAGGGATGTTCTCTCAAGACCTGTTCCCCAAAGCGAGCCGATCTTACAAAAGCTTAGAGTGGTCGGTGTGTGGTTGTGGATGACTTCACTTAGTGGTAGTGGGCGGGGCTGTTATTTGAAATCAGAGGATTTTAGTTCCAGTAGCTGTTCTGCTATTGGGTAGCAGGTGTTCAAGACCTCCGAGCCCGTTTCCTTGCTTGAAAAATTGTGAAACCCATCTTAACTCGCTCATGAAGTGTGAGGTACCTTGCTCCGCAGGGCTTGGTAGTATCTTTTGCTTTTTTTTTTGAGACGGAGTTTCGCTCTTGTGGCCCGGGCTGGTGTGCAATGGCGCAATCTCCGCTCACCGCAACTTCCGCCTCCAGGGATCAAGTGGTTCTCCTGCCTCAGCCTCCCGAGTAGCTGGGAATACAGGCATGGGCCACCACGCACGGCTAACTTTGCATTTTTAAGTAGAGACGGGGTTTCTCCGTTGTTGGTCAGTCTGGTCTCAACCTCCCGACCTCAGGTGATCTGCCTGCCTCGGCCTCCCAAAGCGCTGGGATTACAGGCATGAGCCACCACACCCGGCCCATCTTTTGCATTCTTAGGATTCGGATCACCTGTCTTCCTCGCAGGCTGAACTGGAAGACCTGACTTCATCTCCGAATTCGTTGGTTCTGTAACATGCCTAATACAAGGCTGAATAGGGTTTGTTGTAAGACCTACAAAACCTTCAAATGGATTCAGTGAGAGTTGCTCCCATGGGGGCCTTGCTGCTTCCAGAAGGTGCTTGAGCAGTAAACAGAAGCAACCTTGGATTAGGAAAAGGGTGGGCTCCGCTTGGTTCCTTAGGGACCATTTTAGTTTGATAATCAGTAATCCTTAGTTGTAGAAGGAGGCCTTACTAATGCAGATAGATTCTAAAGCTTTTGCTCTAAGTCTAATTCGCAAAGAAATACGTCTGTGATCCTTACTAATAACAGCTGCCACTTACCAAACATTTTATGAGTTAGGCATTCTGCTTTGGGTTTTCAAGCAATACCATGTTTAATCTTACAGTAATCCTGTAAATTGGTCAGTATTGTCAGATGAGGATACTGAATCAAGTAGTTAAGTAATGTGCCTGGTAGTAAGGCCCAGGTTTGAATTCTAGTCCATTTGACTTCATACACTTAACTAACCTGTGATTTATTTACCCTATAAATCAGAACAATATGCTTTGTCCCCTTTTTGTGGGGGAGGGGTGTCTCACTAGGAGTGGACTAATGAGAACCCGTGGCATGTCACACAAGTCTCAGAAATAACATTTTCTGTCATTTTATACAGCCCCCCATACCTTTATGTTTCTTGTTCTCTTTGTACCAGGGACTTGCAACTTATTAGCTCCACCATAATAGACTTTCTCACCTATTCTCTTCTAGTGCAGCTGCTCAATTTACTATTTGTATTCAATTTACAATATGCTTTAATTTTTCTTAAAAACATTATTTCCAGCTGGGCATGGTGGCTCACGCCTGTAATCACAGCACTTTGGGAGGCCAAGGTGGGCAGATCACCTGAGGTCAGGAGTTCGAGACCAGCCTGGCCAACATGGCAAAACCCTGTCTCTACTAAAAATACAAAAATTAACTGGGTGTGGTGGCATGTGCCTGTAATCCCAGCTACTTGGGAGGCTGAGGTGGGAGAATCACTTGAACCCCAGAGGCGGAAGTTGCAGTGAGCCGAAATCATGCCACTGCACTCCTGCCTGGGAGACAGAGCAAGGAAACTCCATTTCAAACAAGCAAACAAACAAAAACCCAAAAAACCATTATTTCCTAAAAGTTGTATATATTTAATGTGCACAACATGTATATGTACACAGTGAGATGATTACTATAGTCAAGCAATTAACATATCCATCTGTTCACATAATTACCTTTCTTTTGTGTGCGGTGAGAGCACCTGAAATTTCTCTTTGAAACTTTTCAGTATAAAATACAGTATTGTTAACTGTAGTCGTTATGCTGTAAATTAGATCTCTAGACTCATTCATTCTACCTAACTGTAACATTTTAGGCTCTGACCAGTCTCTCTCCATTCCCCCCAACTTCCTGTCCCTGGTAACCACCATTCTACTTTCTGCTTCTATGTATTTGACTTTTTCAGATTCCACATATCAGTGAGTTTATGCAGTATTTTTCTATCTGGCTTATTTCACTTAGCATAATGTTCCCCAGTTTCACCCATGTTGTTGCAAATGGCAGGATCTCCTGTTTTTTGTTTGTTTGTTTGTTTGAGACGGAGTCTTTCTCTCTCTGTTGCCCAGACTGGAGTGCAGTAGTGTGATCTCAGCTCACTGCAACCTTTGCCTCCCGGGTTCAGGTGATTCTCCAGCCTCAGCCTCCCGAGTAGCTGGGATTACAGGAGCGTGCCACCATACCCGGCTGATTTTTGTATTTTTATTAGAGGCAGGGTTTCATCATGTTGGCCAGGTTGGTCTCGAACTCCTGACCTTAGGTCATCTGCCTGCCTCGGCCTCCCAAACTGCTGGGATTACAGGTGTGAGCCACCGCGCCTGGCCAGGATCTCCTGTTTTAAGGCTGAATAATATTCCATTGTATAAATACATGCCACAATTTCTCTATCCATTTTTCTGTTAACAGACACTTAGATTGTTTCCATAACTTGGCTATTGTGCATAATGCTACAACGAACAAGGAAGTGAAGGTATCTCTTCAGGATATTGATTTCATTTCCTTTGGGTAAATACGCAGTGGTGGGATTACTGGATTATCTGGTACTTCTATTAACTTTTTTAAGGAACCTTCATACTGTTGTCCATAATGGCTGTACCTTAAAACATTATCTAACATTACCACATTACCTTACAAAGGATCTTTAGAATGGTCACTACAGGAATATATGAATTAATCACTAATTAAAGCATATGTGTGAATAAGCTGGAAATGAAAAACAGCTTTGAAAAAAAGATTCCCGAACAGTGAAGAGGTAGGGAAAAGCAATTAGGTAGGAATCAGGTGGCAATTAGACATCTGTAGATAGAGCTTCTCTCCCTCAATCAGGGTAATAAGCAGCAGCTCCCATTAGAATCTGAAATAAATGGAGAAGCCAGGAATGAATCTGAACCAACCTGATGAAGAGAAAGAAGGGGCGGATGAAGGAGGAAGGCAAAATAAGGACCCAAACAAACTGGCTAGGATATTAGACTGCGCCTGAGCACCTGAGAGCGGATGGAGCGCTTTGTCCGTGTTCCCTATGGCTTGTACCAGGGTTATGGGAGCACAGTGCCTTTGGGCCAGCCTGGACTCTCAGGGCACAAACAGCCCGACTGGAGGCAAAATATGGGTCCTCCCACTTTTCTGGCCAGGCCAGGGCTGCTGGTGCCCGCGAACGCCCCTGACTACTGCATTGACCCTTACAAGAGGGCGCAGCTTAAGGCCATTCTCTCCCAGATGAACCCCAGCCTGAGCCCGCGGCTGTGCAAGCCCAACACCAAGGAGGTGGGCGTGCAGGTGAGCCCGCGGGTGGACAAGGCTGTGCAGTGCTCTCTGGGGCCTCGCACCCTCAGCAGCTGCTCCCCCTGGGACGGCAGAGACCCCCAGGAGCCCCTGCCAGCCTGTGGGGTCACTTCGCCCGCCACCGGCCGCAGGGGCTTGATCCGCCTGCGGAGAGATGGGGACGAAGCGGAGAGCAAGGCGCTCCCGGGCCCTGCGGAGGCCAGCCAGCCGCAGCCACCATCACGGAGGTCAGGAGCTGACAGGCAGGAGGAGCCCGGGCAGCTGGAGGAATCGGGGGAGAAAGACGCCCCGTGCCCTCAGGAGACGAAGAGCAAGCAGGTGCCTGGAGACGCCGCCTCCGAGCCGCTCCGGAGGCCCAACTTCCAGGTAGATCCTCTCTTCCCTCTTCTTAGTCCTCGACCAGCCTCATCCCCTCCCTCCTTTTCCATCTATGGGGGCAATAAGAGCAAAATCTTCTCTCTCTTCTTCCATGTACTTGGTGAAGGAGAGGGAGCTCTGAAAATATGTATATCACGTGGCCTGTATGTTTGGTAAGTTTTGGGTAAAATAGGTGCCAACCCAAACTAAGCCTGTGAAAACCAACAGTCTGGCAACCACTGCTATTGGAGAATTTGGAGACGAAGAAGGGCTTCGAGTCTGTAATACATGAAATCAGACTTTCGTTTTGGGAAGATTGTGCCGGTAGCATTGTGGAAAATGGATTGGAAAAGTACAAACGACAGCAGCAAGAAGAATCCCAGAGTAATCTTTAAGAGAGATGAGAAACTGAATCAATGCCGTAGTCTTGAGAATAGATACAAGTGAGGTTAAAGAAGTCATTTTTTTTTCCTTATACAAAGTCATAAAGAAGGATCTGGCTTTTTTCCCCTTGCATGATGGTAAAGTACTTTTCTTCTTTATTTTCAGTTTTTGGAACCAAAATATGGCTATTTCCACTGTAAAGATTGTAAGACCAGGTGGGAGAGTGCTTACGTGTGGTGCATTTCTGGAACGAACAAGGTAAATAAAAAGAGTAGGAGGTGAGAGGAGGATGGGGTGGGCACGGATGGTAAGCGGGGAAGAATCTGATTCCTGAGGGAGCATGGCTGTCATAGTCCTGTCTTGATCTTGGTGGCATCCCCCGTGCCAGGTGTACAGGAAGTGCTCAGTGAATGAATGGAACTGAATCGGACTGTCCACCTGGGTTTCCGAACCATACTCTGGCGTTATATATGACAAGATGTCAGGTTACTTAGATGAACTTTTGTTCTTGTCTACATTGGAAGTTTTTCTAACCGTTTTTTAGTTGGTATGCTTGGAACAGGTCTGGGCCTTAGCGCTAGGAAATTTCCACTGTTTGTCCACAAGGTGGGGCAATAAGTGAAAAAACTTACTGTAAAGATTTGCCTGTAAGAGACTTAGGCTACGCCTAAAGTTTCTTTTGCCCCCTTCCTAATTTAATTGCCAACATATTAGGACTGGAAAAGGCTTCACATTAAATTCTGCATTTCTGCATTTTCGTGAATCCTGTAGGCTCTGGTCATTAGAGACCCTCGTTTGAGAATGAGAACAGCAGGCTGCCCCTAAGGCTTCCTCTTCTTTTCCTTGCCCTGTGCACCTCGTTTTGCAACAGTCTACGTGGCCCGATGTTATTAACCTCCATAAGCATTTGAGTGTGAACGCCCTGTGCTGTCGCATGTTTAGAAATTGCCTTACTGGCCAAAGGACTGTGGAGAGAGAGGGCAAAAAGGCATTGAGTTCCGGATGAAAACTTGATTTCTCACACTAGCCATTTACTAGAGACCTAGAGAGTGAATAGATTTTTAAAGTTGAAGTTGAATTTACTTCCTTCTCTTGCCAGAAGAAAAATGAGTTTAATTCAAACATTCCAAGGCACTAGGATACAAAGAACAAAACACAGGACTTGTTCTCAAGGAATTTATTTTGATACGAGTGATGGAAACAAAATGTAATTTGGCAATACGTGCAGTAGCATCCTTCTTCATATGGAAGCAGTGCAGAGATAGCACAGGAAGGAGGGTATTAGCTCTGTCTGAGGGAAGACAGCTTGATGTCCAAGCAGGATTTGAAACAATAAATAGGAGGAAGAGTTCACCAAGCAAGGCAGAGAGAAAATGTGCACAGGAAATTGCACAAAGCCTAGAAAGCAGGTGGTATTGATGGGTAACCACAAGTAATTTAAAGTGTAAGCCGGGAAATACTGAAAAATGAAACATGTAAGAGCTAAAAGATAAGGACAAAAAGTATGGCAGCCACTTCCCATTGAGTATCTACTGTGGTACTTGGTGTACATTATTAGGGAGTTCTCAGAACTATGGAAAAAGTAAGTATTAATCGTATTATTCTGGCTGGATGCGGTGGCTCAGGCTTGTAATCCCAGCACTTTGGGAGGCCGAGGTGGGTAGATCATTTAAGGCCAGGAGTTTGAGACCAGCCTGGTCAACATGGCAAAACCCAGTCTCTACTAAAAATACAAAAAATTAGCCGGGTGTGGTGGCGGGCACCTGTAATCCCAGCAACTCAGGAGGCTGAGGCAGGAGAATCGCTTGAACCCAGGAGGCGGGGGTTGCAGTGAGCCGATTTCCCACCATTGCACTCCAGACTGGATTACAAGAGCAAAACTCCATCTCAAAAAAAAAAAAAAATGTATTCCAATTTTATGGGTAAGGAAAATTAGATTCAAAGAAAAAGTGATTAATAAGAACTAGTACACCTTGAAACCCCAAGGGTAGAGGTTGGTAAAAGCAAGATAAAAGGCAAGGCAAGGGTAGAAGTTGGTAAAAGCAAGATGCAATGGATTACTTAAGAACTGGGAGCCTTTGCAGGGTGTGGGTGTGTATAAAAGCTTGTATTAAAAAAAAACATATTTCTCTTTAGGTTTATTTCAAACAACTCTGTTGTAAATGCCAAAAGAGTTTTAACCCTTATCGAGTAGAAGCAATCCAATGTCAGGTGAGCATATGGAACACTTCCATTGTGTCTATGTTTCATTACTAAAATGAAGCCTCTGTGACAAAATGTTAGGATTTGATAGAGTTGGATATTGGTATGTGAGTGTTCTGTATGTTTGAGATGTTACATTTTAGAACAATGAAAGCATAAATTCTAGTTTGCATCTTTTTTGAAGGGAAAGAGGGGAAGATTCACTATTTCAAGTTGCCTTATGGGGTGTGTTTGTTTTTCCTCTGACACCCTGGGCATAGTTAGAATGTAGTAATGTAAAAGGTGACTGCTGTTAATTTTTTACTACATGCCAAATTTTGAGATAGTGCTTTACATGCATTACCTCCTGTCATCTAATCTTTGTGGGAGATGTTATTCCTATTTTATAGATCTGAAAGCTAAGTTCAAAATAACTTTCCCAAGGTTAGATGGATAGTATTAGAGCTCTGACTGGATTCTATGGTGTCTCCAATGTTTAGAAATTCACAGAACTAGGTGAGATCCTTAACTTGCTTTTTGTAATTGATATGTTTTTTAACCTAAGTCCTTAGTTAAAAACATTTCTTCTTTTTCTATAATTAGTAGAAATAAATAGGCCAGGCATGGTGGATCATGCCTGTAATCCCAGCACTTTGGGAGGCCAAGGTGGGTGGATCACAAGGTCAGGAGTTCGAGACCAGCCTGGCCAATATAGTGAAACCCCGTCTCTATTAAAAATACAAAAATTAGGCAGACATGGTGGCAGGTGCCTGTAGTCCCAGCTACTCGGGAGGCTGAGGCAGGAGAATTGCTTGAACCCAGGAGGAGGAGGTTGCAGTGAGCTGAGATGGCACCACTGCACTCCAGCCTGGGCAACAGAGCAAGACTCCATCTCAAAAATAATTAATTAATAAATTAATTGACATTTCGAAAACTAGCTTATAAGTGATTCATCCTCTAATTTTCTAGTCTGACATTCTTTGATGATGATGTTCAATATAACTACTTATTAAACTGGGTTTAAATGTATTTTCTTTTTTCTCCACCCCTTTTTCTTTTCTCTTGTGTTCGCTTGAATTTTTTTTAATATTCAATATTCCTTTCTATCATTTTTTAATGTCCTTTTGATGGTTACCATAGAAATAACATGACTGTCTGACTTGTCAAAGTCTAAATTGTTAATCTTGCCTTTTTTTTTTTTTTTTTTTTTTTTTTTTGAGACAGACTCTTGCTGTGTCACCCAGGCTGGAGTACAGTGGTGCAATCTTGGTTCACTACAAGCTCTGCCTCCTGGGTTCAAGTGATTCTCTTGCCCCAGCCTCCCAAGTAGCTAGGACTACAGGCGCCTGCTACCATGCCTGGCTAATTTTTGTATTTTTAGTACAGACAGGGTTTCACTATGTTGGCCAGGCTGGTCTCAAACTCCTGACATGATCCATGTGCTTCGGCCTCCCAAAGTGCTGGGATTACAGGCGTAAGCCACTGCGCTCAGCCTAATCTTGCCTTTCACAGACAATGCAATGACTTGAGAACACTCTAACTACATCCTAACTTATATGCTATTATTGTATACTTATTTTACCTATATTTAAAATTTTATAAGATTATTGTGTATAGTCAGTATTCATTTAGTTTTAGCTATACATTCTTTCTGTTATTCTTTGTATCTTCTTGTTTCTAGGGCCACTTTCCTTTGACTTGAACTTTAATATTTTCCATAGTATTGGTCTGGAGGTGACAAATTCTATTTTGTCCAGATATCTTTTTTTTTTTTTTTTTTTTTTTGAGATAGAGTCTTGCTCCATTGCCCAGGCTGGAGTGCAGTGGCATGATCTTGGCTCACTGCAATCTCCACCTCCTGGATTCAAGTGATTCTCCTGCCTCAGCCTCCCTAGTAGCTGGGATTACAGGCACATGCCACCACGCCCGGCTAATTTTTGTATTTTTAGTATAGACAGGGTTTCTCCATGTTGGCCAGGCTTGTCTCGAACTCCTGACCTCAGGTTATCCACCTGCCTTGGCCTCCCAAAGTATTGGGATTATAGGCGTGAGCCGTCACGCCCAGCCTTGGATATCTTTTTAAGAGATATTTTCGCTGGGTATATATAGAATTTCTAGGTTGGAAATACTTCTTTCTGCCCTTTAAGGATCTGAATTTCATTGTTTCTATGAAACAATATAGCTCTTATTGCATCTCTTTTGAAGTAATCTCTTCTCTTTCCCCTTCGTAAATCTGCTTACTTCTCTCTGCCTTGGTTTTTCAGCAGTTTTACAATGATGTGCCTAGTTGTAGTTTCTTTGTAATTATCCTGCTTGAGCTTCATAGTGTTTCTTGAAACTGCAGCTTAAAGATTTTCATTACTTTTGGGAAATTATCAACTGTTATCTTTTCAAATGTTACTTCTGCTCCTATTCCTTCTTTCTTCCAATTACTCATACTAGACCTTTGCACCATATTTCTTTCTGTCTCTTATGTGCTTATCTATATTTTCCATGCTTTTAGCTCTTCTTGCTTTAGGCTGAATATTATCTACTAAACCATCTTCCATTTGTATTTCTCATCTCAGCTCTTTTTAATCTGTGATTAAAACATCCATTGAACTATTGATTTTATTTGTTGTATTTTTCTGTTCTAGAATTTTTATTGCTTTAGAAGAAAACTTCAATTTTTTGCTGGAAATATTAGTTTTATTTCCTTGAACATATTAGCACTTAGTGATTTTAAAATCTGTGTCAGAGAACTCCATTAACTCAATACCCTGTGAGTCTATTGCTGTCCTCTTGGCTTTCAAGTATGTTGTTCTGTTTCCTCACATACAGTACCTGGTTATTTTTGATTGAGTGCTAGCTATCACATGTGAAAAACTATAGTGAGAGTAAACAGTCCCAGACATCAAGCTCACACCTATTTCTGGGTTTTCATCTCTAATGCTCTGATAATTTCTCAGTGATCCAAACAGTTATTTTTAGCTCAGCTTTTCTAGTCATCCAGGAGGCTTGGTTAGAATTACCTAATCCATCATTTCCAGAAGCAAAAATCAACCTTTAGGGTAAATCCTTATTTTATTGAGCCTTTCTTTGTAAGGGTGTTGTGAGAATTAAATGAATTCATGTATATAAAGTGCTTAAGAGAGTGCTAGGCACATAGTAAACACCATGTGAGTATTACTTGTTAGAATTTTCTTACAAGGGCTGGGTGCAGTGGCTCACGCCTGTAATCCCAGCACTTTGGGAGGCCGAGGCGGGTGGATCACGAGGTCAGGAGATCGATACCACCCTGGCTAACATGGTGAAACCCCATCTCTACTAAAAATACAAAAAATTAGCCGGGTGCAGTGGCAGGCGCCTGTAGTCCCAGCTACTCAGGAGGCTGAGGCAGGAGAATGGCGTGAACCCGGGAGGCGGAGCTTGCAGTGAGCCAAGATAGCGCCACTGCAGTCCAGCCTGGGCAAAAGAGCGAGACTCTGTCTCAAAAAAAGAAAAAAAAAAAGGAATTTTCTCATAAGGAGGCATATTCTTCAACAGAACAGTTTATTAAATAATGTTTAAGACTGCATTTAGCAGAATAAAAATGTCTATTTTCACAATATAGAAAGGTACATCTTGGCCAGGCATGGTGGCTCACTCTTGTAATCCCAGCGCTTTGGGAGGCCAAGGCGGACGGATCACCTCAGGTCAGGAGTTCAAGACCAGTGTGGCCAACATGGTGAAACCCCATCTCTACTAAAAAATACAAAAATTAGCTGGGCATAGTGGCGATTGCCTGTAATTCCAGCTACTCAGGAAGCTGAGGCAGAGACAATTGCTTGAACCCAGGAGACGGAGGTTGCAGTGAGCCAAGATCTCACCACTGCACTCCAGACTGGGCGACAGAGCGAGACTCCATTTCAAAAAAAAAAAAAAAAAGGTAAATCTTGACTTATTCCATGTGGCTATGGGACATGTAGAAAATAGAATGGCAGGGTTGGGGGGATGGAACCAGGGTACTGTACCAGTTTCCATAGGATATTAGTTTTAATTATTGGAAGACAGAAATGAGATAATGGTTGAAAGAAACTATTTTAGATCCTAGTAAAGATTGGGCACATCGAAAAGAAGAAGAAAAGAAACATTTAGTTTCCTCCAGAATACCCTTCTCTCCCAGTTTTAACAACCCAAAATATATTCAGACATTGCCAGATGTCCACTGGGGTTGGAGATGGGGGAGTAAAATCACCCCTGGTTGAGAACATCTGCTCTAGTCTTTTTTAAATGTTCATTTTATTCCTACCCACTGCCACTCACCCTGACCTGCCTACAAATCTAAACATCTGCAGAGTGAAGAAACGCTATAAAACTCTTGACTTATTTTTTTCTCTTACATTATGTTGCCTTGACTGGTTCAGCTACAAATGTAAAAATCTACATAGGGAAGAAATTCTACAAAACTCTTAAATTCCTTTTACATTATGTTGTCTTGATTGGCTCTGCAGTATTCTCTTGAATATCTTCTGTGATCATTCATCTTGAAAAAATATCTGACATTTAATGTGATACAAGTAATTTTGTACAACTTGGTCTTGGCCTTCTCGTAGGACTCAGAGGATGAAGGTTTCAGGGATAGGGTAATAGGGAGAAGTACTGTGATTTGAGGGTTACATTTGAAACACTAAACTGATCATTTAGCGTCCAAACTCTTCTTTGTTTCCTAAAGACCTGCTCAAAGTCTCATTGTTCCTGTCCTCAAAAGAAGAGACACATTGATCTAAGGAGGCCTCATCGACAGGAACTGTGTGGTCGCTGCAAAGACAAGAGATTCTCCTGTGGCAATATTTACAGCTTTAAATATGTGATGTGACTTGTACAGTGTGACTTGTAATGGACCCCTGAGCTCTTCTTGTAACTTACTGTGCTGTCTTCCTTTTTTGCAACTTGGCTCTGACCTGGCATCGGAAAATGGCTAGGCTTTTGTACTTTTTGTAGATTGTGTAACAATTGTACAATGTGAATAGAATAAAATAAATGCATGTGAACTAGACCATGAAGCCACATTAATTGGTGATCCTAGGGTAAAAACATCAATATATGGCATTGGGAAATGGTAGATACTGTCACTTATATGAAGGGGAACAATGAAGAAAAATAGCCATTCTTTTGACAAATTTTTATAAGTCGGACGTTCTAAGCACTGGTTCTAAGCATTATATATAGAGATGATGAAGGGGCAAGGTCCTTCCTCCAAGTATACACAACTATAGCAAATGCAGAAGCAGCCTTTAGCATGTGCCATGCATTGCTATTACTCACTACAGCACCCATATGAAGTAGGAGCTATTATACCTTCTCATAGATGAGGAGATAGAGGCACACAGAGGCCAGAGCAGAGTGCCAGGATTTAAACCAGGTAGAGTAGGACTTGCTCCATGCTTTCACAATTACATTTATACTTCTCAAGTTCAGATTGTGATAAATGCCATGAAGGAAATAGGGTGCTATGATAGAGTAACCTTTTAGACACGTTGGCTGGGAAGAGGTGACATGAGATTGAGACTCGCAGGATGAAGGGAGCAGGGAGAAGATGGTTTTGATCCAAGGGAACAGCAGGAATAAAGGCATTGAGGGGCTGAGGAATAGGAGCCCCCTGGGGCTGATGTGGGACATGAGGCTGCAGAAGACAGGGCTCTGATCACAAAGGATTCTCAAGGCCATGTTTAAGCAAATGACAGCCCATGAGGGGCTTTCAACAGTGCAGACACATTCTCACTTCAAAAAGCTCCCTTTAGCGGGAGACCAGTTGTGAGGTTAATGAACACATGAGCAAATTGATGGCTTGGACAAGGGTGATGGCCAGGGAGACGAAGAGAAATCCATGGGTTTAAGATAATGTTTGAAAATGTGCAGGGCTGGCAGTGGAAGATGGAGGAAATAAACAATGACTCAATATTGTGCTTTGAGCTGTAGGGTGAATGGAATTGAGAGCTATACCAGGTAGGAAGCATGTTCTGGAGTCAGGTTACCTAATTGCAAATCGTGGGTGCTGTACTTACTTAAGAGATAATTTTGGGCAAGTTACTCTCTACCTCTCAGTTTACCTATCTGTAAAATGGGGATAGTGATAGTCCTCACACCATCAAGAGACGAACTAAAGGAGTTGAGGCATGTTCATCACTTAGAATAATTAGTGCCTGTCACTTTGAGGGCTCAATACATTTACCTCTTATTTTAGTGGAGCTATTTAGTGATGTGGGGATGGGCTTCTGTTTTCAACATAAGTTTGAAGTGTTGGAGACATCCAAATGGTAGATGTCATGTAGCCTATTGGGTATATGTGTCTGGAATTTAGGAGATAAGTCAGGGCTAGGGATAGATTTGGAGATAACAAGTAGTTTTTAAAGCCATGGGCCTGGATGGAATCACCTGCACCAAAATCTCACAAATCACCACTAATTAACTGACTCACATAACCAAATAACACCTGTTCCCCAATAACCTATGGAAATAAAAAAATTTTAAAAATTAAAAAATATAGTTTCATAGAAGCAGGAAAAAAAAGGGAGTACAACACAGGGCTCTGGGGTGTACCAACACTTAGAGTAATGATTCTAAAACCTTAACATCCCAGGAGTCATTGGGTGAGCTTGTTAAATGAAGATTCTGATTCAGTAGGTCTGGGGTCTGAGACTGCAAATCTAGGAAGCTCCCAGATGCCATCAATGCTGCTGGTTCCCCAGACTATACTTGGAGCAGCAGGAACTTAGTGGTTAGATGAAAGATGAAGTTAAGAGGGATAGGAAGAGGATGACGAGATGAAAATGAAGATTAAACAGTATTTCCAGAAGGTAGGAAAGTCGACTGAGTCAAATCCTGCCGGGAGGTCGAGAAAGGTGACGACAGGTCCATTGGATTTGGCAGCATGGAGGTGATGGGGGAGGTTGAAGAGAGAAGTTTCCTTGGAGTGGTGTGGACGGAAGCAGCGTTAAAGTCCAAACAGTGAACAGAAGTAGTACTTCTTAGATGTTTTGCTGTAAGAAAGCAGAGAAACTGGTGATAGCTAGAATGGCATTTGGGGAAAGTGGAGGCGCAGAGTATGTTGGCATATTAAAGGGAATCGTTTAGAGAAGCTGATGGCAGAGCAGAGAGGGGAATGTCTGCGGGAGCAAAGCCCTTGAATAGGCAGCAGAGATGGGGTCCAGAGCGCCAGTGGAGCAATTGGCCCCTGAGGGGAGCAGTGATATCCCTTTGATTATAAAGGATGAAGCACCTAGAATATAGGGCTAGTTAAAGATAACTTTATATTTTTGGTGGGGAAGGTGAGACTCATTTGTTTACTCAATGAATTATGAAGCAAAGCCATCAGCTGAGACAGGTAGGATGCTGAGGAGGGAGGAAAATATGAGAAATAACTCTCTCAGGCATTAGGAAATTGAAATGATCAGGAAGGCATAAGTGTATTACAAGATTGTCTCATAGTGTTGAGATTTGAGATTTTCTTGGTTGTAGTTGCATACTAGTAATGTCACACTTCTAGTAATGAAGACACTTCTAGTAGTGAAGATATGACTAGAAATGTAACATTACCAGTGTCATTGTTAGTGCGACACTACATGTGTGACTTGCATTCTAGTAATATCTTCATCCTACTAATGTCACACTTCTGGTGCAGGTGTGGGAAGAGTCAGTTTTAGGTTCAGCCAGGCTTGGGGTTTAACCAGCTGAGTAAGACAGGGGTAGGGCATCCCTTGTGAATGTCAGCAAGAGAGGGATTATAATGACCCATGGAATTTAAACATGCTCCAAAGAAGAGTAAAGACCTGTGAGGGCCACAGACTGATATTCATGATGGGAGAATTGTCAGAGGGGTGGGGGCTGGAGTAAAGGGGAACTGGGAAAATTCCTGAGTAGGGGGCCTGAAGGTGGGATTCTGGAGCTGGTTCACTTACTGCTATGGATCAGGTTTTGGTATAGCCAGGAAATTGGGTGGCTAAGGTAGAAAAGAGTGAAAATGCCTGGAGGTAAGAATGTTAACAGGATGAGAGGGAAAAGATTTCATACAGGTTATACACAAGACTCCTGAAGTCCTGGAAACGACATCGGAAGCTGGGGTGAGCAAGAAGCTCTAGTCTCTCCGATGAATAAGGGGCAGGAAGCAGGAGGGCTTTAGGTCACCAGTTCCCAAGCGCGGTTGCAATTCAAAATCATCAGAGGAGCGTTAGAAAGGATTTACGGGATCCGGAGGGGGGCCCAAGCCTCAGAATTTTTAAAAAGCTTCCCCAGTGCTTCTAATGCAGCTGAGGGTCACAGCCACTGCTGTGGATGACAGTGATGGAGTTGGGGAAGGAAGTGGCTAGTACAGCCAGGTGGCAAGAATTTCAAAGTCTCTGGGCTTTTCGAAATAGAGATGAGGAGAGAAGGGTTGGACATAGTAAAGGGGACCGGGAGGAATCTCTTTGTTCTCCTGGCCGAGGAGCTCCTGGAAGTTCGCACCAGGTGGCCCAAGTTCTTGGAATCTGAAAATTGAATACAATATCTATTCAAGTTTGCTGTTAAAAGAAGGATCTGGATTACAGAAGATGGTGACAGAGAAGGAGGCATCTGCCAGGAAACTGATCTGTAAGTGGATGCAGTAAATTCTAGTCACTCACTCACTGTGACCTCAAATAGGAAACAAAGTTACAAAAAGATCAATGACAGATTTGGGTAGAATTACTACACCAACAGCCTACGTGGAAAAACAACTGGGGGTGTGCTTTAGAAGAAAGAGCACTTCGCTATATAGGAAGTTTCTCCTAGTTCAGTGTCTTTCAAAGTGGAGTGGCTGTTACAATGCTGATTTGAGGGATCCTGCGCTGGATTTACCAAACTGGTCTCCAGAGGGGTCAACCTGAGGGATTCTGCATTTTTGACAAATACCCTGGGGTGACTCTTAGGTCTAGAAAGGAGAAAGCAATGTTCCAATCTTGGCAGTGGATTAGAATCATCTGGGGAAACTTAAACAGCACTGGAGTTTGAGCACAGCTTCAGACCAATTACATCAATTAAGACGAAGGCTGAGCGTTGGGGTTTTAAGTCCCTGACATGATTTAATGTGCATCTGAAATTTTGAGCCCATTACCTACACTCTAATTTTTATGAGAGATCCCAGTCCCGGCTGGACAAGACAGGGGAGTATCCTACTTTTTTCTCAGGGGCTTTAAATGCCATATGTGTGTCTTTAGCCCAGACTTTGCTCCTCAACAACAGACTCACACATCCACCTGTTTACTCACCATCTTGTCTTGGATATCAGACATCTCAAAGTTAACATGTCTGAAGAATAAATCTTGGTTTCTATCTCCCAAACATGCATTCCCGCATCTCAGTTAGTGGAAACTCCATTCCTCCAGCTGTTTGGGCTAAACTCTCTCCCATTCCACGTGTCATTGGTAAGCCCTGTCAGCTCTAGCTCTGAACTATTTCCAGAATATGCCCACAACTAATCATATCCCTTGCTAGTACCCTAGCCCAAGCCAGCATCGCCTGGTGACTGCACTGTTGCCACAGCCATCTCTCTAGTCTTCCTGCTTCTACCTCTGCCCATCTGCAGTCTATTCTGCACATAGCAGCCAGAATGATCCTTTAAAAAAATTATTTTTATTGTGGTAAAACATATATAACATAAAATTTACCATTTTAAAGTACACAATTCATTGGCATTAAGTACATTCACAATGCTGTATAACCACCACAACGGAACTTTTGTTATAGAGCTTTTCTTCATCGCTATGAAGGAGTAATCCTTTTAAACATAAGTCACAGCATGTCACTACCCTGCCCGCAAACATTCAGTGGCTTCCCATCTTGCTCAGCAAGGGACAAAGTCCTGCCGTGGCCCACAGAGCTTTTGGCTGTCCTCTCTGAACGCTCTCTTCACTCATTTCACCCGGTCATTGGCTTCCTTGCTGTCCCTTTGACAAAGTGACCCTGCTTCTCCTTCAGGGTCTCTGCATGTGTTTTTTCCTTTGCTGGAATGCTCTTTTCCTTGGATATCCATTGTATCCTCACTTCATTCAGATCTCTCCTCAGATATCACCTTATTAGAGTGATAGCTAAGATAGCCCTGTCCACATTACTCACTGTATCCGTTTTGTTCTTCATGGCACTAATCATCACCCAACGTAGACAAGTACATCTTCCTCCACTCAAATGTAGGAGCCTCATGGGAACAGGGACCACATCTGCCTTGATAGCTGCGGTGTCCTCTAAAACAGTGCCTAGCCCAGAGTGGGCATGCAATAAATATTTGCTGAACAAAGAAATATCCTGGGTCATGATAGGTATCCAAATATTAATTGATCTCAAACAAATGCATTGAAAACTTTAAAAACTAGTTTCATTGAGATACAATGAACATACCCTAATACTCACCTATGGACACGAATTTTTTGTTGTTAAGGCAGGCATCAGGAAGCACGTGTAAGCTATTGATGTAAGCAGCCTGGAGGTACGCTTATTCTTTCCAGAATTCTACAGTTCACTGAAAAGATCATTGTTTGTTAGGACTTAGAACCAGAAGAGCCTTGAGACCTAACTCTGGATGTTCACGCATGTGTGTGATGCCTACAATTAATTACAGGCATCTTTATTTCACAGTAACATCGGCACATTTTCTTAACATCTCACCGATGTTAGATGGGTTAGAGGTGGGAATGACATTCACGTGCCTCTAAAAATGTGCAGTGCCTTTTCTAAAACACTATATTTGGAGACTATAATTTTAATCAAGTGATGTCTAAGTTACAGAGCGCCTGTCTGGATTGCTTTATTCTGCAGGTGGATACAAAGTGTATCATGTTTCAGTGCTAGAAAACAGTGAGACACAAGGAGGCATCTTTCTTATCACTGAGGCATCTGTTAAATATCTACCCTTTCCTTTGGTACTTCTACTTCTTTGTATCCCTGGGGAAGGCAATTAACATTAATGCTTCTGTAACAGAGGCACAGAGCAATAGCCGACAAGATTTGACTGGTAGATCTAAAGTTATTGCTGGGCTCTGCTGGCGTGGGGCTGCATCCTACACAATTTTTCCCATCTCCACTTAAAGTAGAGGAGGTGAAGAGATAGAGGAAAAGTAGAAGAAACCTTTCACATTAATACATCTCCTTTTAAAAATAAAATTGAGAAAAACACAGACCACTGCTTCCTATGTTAATATCTTGGATTGTAATGTACTGTTGAAATCCTTTTTTTTTTTCCTTCCCTTTTTAAGAGTAAACCATCACGGTGGTTCTCTGCTGGGTAAGAAGCCATGGTAGAAAACTCAGTTCATGACGAATCTGTTCTTTCTACTGTGGCTCCCAACAAAACTCTCTGAAAGTTGTCTACTGTGGTTAGCCACAGAAACCTTTATTTTATGATATTTTTCAGAGAGATCATGATTCAGTTGTTTCTACAAATCATAGCAAATCATCTTTCAGGCAAGTTGAAAAAAATAAATCATCAGAAAAATATGTTTTCAGCAGTCCAGAAAATTATTAAAATCTAGTAGTTGCATCTGTAGCAACTACTAGGATTTAAAAAAAATCCTAGGTTAGGCTCTCTTCTATAGAATACTCCTAGAATATTACTGCCAATGATTCAGTAGCCATATGCTAGTAAAGCAAGCTATATTTGTTGGTCCATGTAAAATATGAGTAGAAAGACGGCATAAATGAGATTGTTACATGTTTCTCCCTGTGTTCCTGGGGGATAGGTGTTGGTGACAGAATTACAACTCTACTACTTTTTCCTGCTCACTATAGAATTAACTTCCAAATTTGAAGGATGACAACCTAATTATAGGTTATGGAGAATTAGAGCTCTCACTTTTTTCTGATTTTTCTCTTTGGTTGATTACAGAGAATTGGTTGAAGCTCACAGTTTTGATGCCAACTTCCAAAGAGATAATACTTACCTCCAGCTTCACAGGGCCATGCATGGCATGACCCCCACGGGTGCCATTCAGATCATACATGCGAGGGGTGCCCCTTGGGGTTATTACTTTGGCAACCCACATGCAAAACTTCATGTGTGCCCAGGACAAACATTTTCATTAACCAGAAATAAAGTCCATGGTCAACGTGTATTTTGTCTTTTTTTTTTTTTTTAGTCTAAAGAAAGTTCTGAACAGAATATCAATTAAGCTTACATCACAAAAACTTTAAATGTATTTACAGAGTGAATAAGTTACATAGATAAACTCTGAATATGTTTCTGCAGTGCAACAAGTTCACATGCACACATCTAACACTTGACAGCATTAAGTTTAAGGAGAGAACTTAAGAATGGCCCTTTACATATATATTACACATAAAATATGACATCGAAGAAACAAAGTAACAACTCATATTTTACCTTTATGATTCTACTTCTGACTATCCAAACAGATATTAAAATATGCATGCCTGACAGGTGAAAAGACTTGGAATTTATCTTGTGAATAGTTTTCTCTACAAAACGGCAAAGTTAATTAAAATTAACACTCATCCTTCAGCAGTATAAATATGCTCATAAAAGCAACCTTCTAGTAAAAAGCAGCCAAGATCCTTAAAAAGAGTCTATCTGGACCATTTTTGGTGCAAAGAGATCCAGGGCTTTCAGAAACAGTAGCCTAGCAACATAAGAAAGGTACTTCATAGCAGCTCCTTTTAGATACAGTAATTGTATTCAAATTACAGTGTACATTACATTGCAGTCCATTTACAATTCCCTTTTCACATACACAGGCTGTCAGCTTTTGACCATCTTACAGTTTTCAGTGGCCAGCTTCATTTTGCCTGCCCCTTTCTCAGCCCACGAAAGAAAGGAAAAAGAAAAAAGAAAAAAGAAAAGAAAATGGAACAAGACAGGGAAAGAATATACATGTTTGAGAATATAAAATTTTTTGAGTGAAGAAAACATTGCACTTTTGCCAATCTAAAATTGTTTCTAGAAAGGAAGGTACTGTTCAGTGTAGTCGGCTTTGGTATGCAACGGAAGTCACTTCTTCAGTAGCGAGTTGCATATGCTCGGTCAAATGTAACACATTTGTGCCACACAGCATGATGAGTGGAGTCTGTCCAGGACGTTCTAAGCTACCTTGGTTCTTATAGTATTGCTACACGTTGGAAGTTCTGCCATCCTCTTTAGAAAAAGCCCTACAGGTAACAAGAGGGAGAACAGTCTGTCCAAGCCTTTTGAAGGCCGAGAAGACACTGAATGACGTTGCCCCAGCATGGCAGCACTGCCAGTTTGGAACCCAGTGGGGACAGGAGGCTCCTGTCAGAGACTAGTGCCAGAAACACTGGAGTCTGGAAGAAAAGTAGTGAGGACTCGGTAACTCTGGGCCCTGCGGATCATGTCCCGGATCTCCATGTTCAGCTCCATCAGCTTGGTGCAGATCTCGGTCAGGCTCTGGTTAGACCCCACCAGGGCATAAGTACCCGTCTGTCCCAGAGTTTGGTGACGGAAATAAATATTCAGTAGTGTCTGGACCTCATCATCAGAACTGCTTCCAAAGATGTCATTGGGCCACAGACTTCTGCAGTCAAAAAGAACAGCACAGATTAGAGGCACTATTAGTCACAAAGTTGGGAGCTTATGAGTCTTCATTAATATAAGAGTATTACTTTTTAAAAAGGCTTTATTGAGATGGAATTCCTGTATCAGGTAATTCACTCATCTAAGGTAAACAATTCAGTGGGTTTTAGTATCTTCAGAGTTGTGCAAACATCACCATAATCAATTTTAGAATATTATTTTGGTAAAATATCAAAAGTATAAAAATATCAGAATGGAATCTGACACTCCTAAAACATTTACCTTATTTGCTATAGCCTTCTGGTTTCAATGAATGTGAATACAATATCAGAATGTAGGGGCAAAACCAAAAAGAATATATTCAAATGTTAGTTAAAAATTATATAAAGGTATATTTTGAAGTGCTTCAGCATTTTGTCATTTTAGGGACGACAAATGGCCAGAACCAACACCAACACTTTCAATATGTAGTGTTCTGAAAGCTGAGTGTTTCTGGTTTGGCAGCAGTAAAGATCTGAGAAGAGATCTGTAAAATATCTAGCCTTCCGTAGTGGGCTAGACTCCAACCATGACAGAGTAACAACCAGGTGTGCATTTCCTGCAACCACCTCTAAAAGAAATAGCAGAGTCACCTGCACTCCCTGATCTGCCGCAAAGCTTTGCCGAGTTCGTTGTTCTTCAGGCACTCCAGCATGGACTGGATGGCTGCTTCAGTGGACGTGAAGGTGGGCTCGGACCACGCGCCGTCTGAATAGAGAGGGTCAGCTGCAATGACTGCACTGGCTTCCTTCAGGTGTTTCTTTAGGTCACTCAGTTCCCTGGACATATTCAGCAGCTATTTAAAAAAAAATGTTTTTTAAACTATATTTAGGTGCTGGGGGAATTTTACATCCCAAAAGGAAAAAAAAAGGATCTTATGGGTGTGGTTAAGCATAAGCTTAATACCTTGGTAAATTCAGATAGGATAGATGACATTGTACTCCATGGTATGTGTAGGGGATTGTGGAGTTGGATGCATTGAGTATGTGTCAACTGCTGAGATGCTCTCCTTATAGAAAAGGTTAAGACTTCATTTAAAATGTGTTCTATTTAAGTTAGACTTAAATAGGGAATAAATACAGAAGGAAAGAGTACAAGAGATCAGGCTCAAGAGTGAGTAGATCTGGGTTCAAATGCCGGCTCTGCAGTGTACTGTAGGAAGATGGACAAGTTAACTGACTTTTATGTGCCTCGGTTTTCTCATCTGTGAGACTGAAGATAATAGCCATCCTAAAGGTTTATTTTAAAGATTAAGTGGAAATAATATATACAAAATGCTTAGTACAGTCCAGCACCTAAGTGCTCAATTAATGTAATTGTGACCATGGACGCTGTCCTAATAATAAGTTTTTCTCACTCTTGGTTCCACACCATGGGAAAAAGCTGAAGACACAATTTTGAGGAGATAGAATAATCTTAAACTAATGTTTGTATTAATGCTACAGCAGTAAAAGATATTTTCCCTCGAAGTTACTGGAACCAAAGGATCCAGAGTGTTAAAAAGTAAAGATTAAGAAAACCTGTGTCACTTCTAAGTGTCTCAAAATATACTACGGAAGATGGTTGTTTTGCAATTTGATCTCAAGAGCATTAAAAAAATTGGCATAAAATTAAAGGTTTTTTTTCCTCTTTGTAATGCAAGTTGATGATGCCTGTTTACTTTGGAAAGTTATTTATTCAACAGCTTTGCTTTTCCTCTTCATTCCCAACTCACTCACGGTACAAACAATAAAAAACTGAAGCCTTGAAGGATTATTTTTTCTTGGCACACATGCCTGTTAAATGCAACTACCTACTACAGAAGTAGGTTTAAAATTTAGTGAAATAATCTTTTAAAACAAGATATTAGAGTATCTTAATTTTGTTTGTAGTTTTAAATTTGAAAGCAAATTTCTCCTTATTTTAAACCTAGATAAGTTTTAAACATTATGTGTGTATATATACATTATTTAAAACTTATGTAGTATTTAAACACTGTGTGTGTACCTACCCATATGAATACACACACCAGGTATACCTTGGAAATATTCAGTTCTAGACATCTGCAATAAAGTGAGTCATGTCAATTTTTTGATTTCCCCATGCCTATAAAAATTATGTTTACACAATATTGTAGTCTAAATACACTAAGTCTAAAAATATACATACCTTAATTAACAAACACTTCAGTGCTAAAAAATGCTAACAATCATCTGTGCCTTCAGTGAGTAATTATCTTTTTGCTGGTAGAGGATCTTGCCTTAATGTTAATGGCTGCTGACTGATCAGGATGGTGGTGGCTGAAGGTTGGGGTGATTGGGGCAATTTCTTTAAATAAGACAATAATGAAGTTTGCTTTATTTATTTATTTATTTATTTATTTATTTATTTATTGAGATGGAGTCTTGCTCTGTCACCAGGCTGGAGTGCAGTGACATGATCTCAGCTCACTGCAACCTCCTCCTCCCGGGTTCAAGTGATTCCCTTACCTCAGCCTCTCAAGTAGCTGGGATTACGGGCACGGGCTACCATGCCTGGCTAGTTTTTTGTATTTTAGTAGAGGCAGGGTTTCACCATGTTGGCCAAGATGATCTCAATCTCCTGACCTTGTGATCTGCCCACCTTGGCCTCCCAAAGTGCTGGGATTACAGGCGTGAGCCACCGCACCCTGCCAAAGTTTGCTTTATTGATTGACTCTTCCTTTCATGAAATATTTCTCTGTAGCATGTGACAGCATTTTATACACCTTGGAACTTCTTTCAAAACTGCAGTCAATCACCTTAAACTCTGTCACTGCTCTATAAACTAAGTTTATGTAATATTGTAAAACTTTTGTTGTCATTTTGACAATGTTCTCAGCATCTTCACCAGGAGTAAATTTCACCTAAAGAAACTTTGTTTGGGCCGGGTGTGGTGGTTCATGCCTGTAATCCCAGCACTTTGGGAGGCCAACGGGGGTGGATCACTTGAGGTCAGGAGTTCGAGACCAGCCTGACTAACAAGGTGAAACATCGTCTCCACTAAAAATACAAAAATTAGCTGGGCATGGTGGTGCGGGCCTGTAATCCCAGCTATTCGGGAGGCTGAGGCAGGAGAATCGTTTGAACCTGGGAGGTGGCAGTTGCAGTGAGCCGAGATCGTGCCATTGCACTCCAGCCTGGGCAACAGAGTGCAACTACATCTCAAAAACAAATAAACAAACAACAACAACAAAAAAACTTTATTTGTTCATGCATAAGAAGCAACTCCTCATCCATTCAGGTTTTATCATAAGACTGCAGCAATTCAGTCACATCTTCAGGTTCTACTTCTAATTCTAGTTCTCTTGCTATTTTTACCACATCTGCAGTTACTTCCCCTACTTAAGTCTTGAGCCTCTCAAAGTCGTCCATTGGAATCACCTTCTTCTAAACTCCTGCTAATGTTGATATTTTGACTTCCTTTCACGAATCATGAATGTTCTTAATGGCATCAAGAATGGTGAATCCTGGCGGGGCACGGTGGCTCACAGTTCACTTTGTGGGGGCCGAGGCAGGTGGATCACCTGAACTCAGGAGTTTGAGACCAGCCTGACCAACATGGCAAAACCCCATCTCTACTAAAAATACAAAATTAGCCAGGTGTGGTGGTACATGCCTGTAATCCTAGCTACTCAGGAGACTGAGGCAGGAGAATCGCTTGAACCTGGGAGGCGGAGGTTGCGGTAAGCTGAGATTGTGCCATTGCACTCCAGCCTGGGCAACAAGAGCAAAGTTCTATCTCGAAAAAAGAAAAAAAAAAAAAAGAAAAAGAAAAAGTAAAGTTTATCTTGACCATGTGGCAAATAAAAAAGAAAAGAGTTGATTCCTATTATCTGACAACTTATAATTGAATAGAGGAAAACTGGTTGTGAAGGCCTACTTTCTTGAAATAAGCATTTGAAAGTATAAAGTCGTATAGTTTTTTCCTTTTTTCAAACTGAGTAATAAAAAAATGGTAAAATGGTTGTAGTTTGTCTCTTGTGGCTCTTCCTCTTCTGCTCTTAGACGGTGAGGTTTCCCAGGCTTCATCCTCACTTCTCTGCTGTCACTGGCATGGTTTAATCGACTTCTGCTTGTTCACAATCACATCTGTCCTTTTGTTCAGATCTCTCCCCTGACCTCACGTCTAACCACCTGCAAGAGGTCAGTCGCCGTTTAAGCCAGGTCTTGGTCCAGTATGCAGCCATTGACTAGCCGGCAGAAGGCTTGACTGTCTGGACACAGCATCGCCTCAGTCCTTCTTTTTATATCCCTGTTTCAGCTTTGGTGCTACTGGTCACCTGGTTTCTATAAGATGGAACCTGAGTCTCATCCTCTCCTCAACTCTTCTTTCTCCTTCATCCCCCCATTAGTTTCATTGATTTTTTTGTCCCGTGTCTCACATTTCCTTCCTCCTCTCCATACCTAGCGCTTCTGTCCCAGTTCAAACTCTCTCCTTCTGTTTGAACTATTTCAGCAGCCTCATCACTGGTCTCCATGTCTCTGTTCTAGCTGTCATCAGACCCACCCTCCGCATAGCTGCCAGAGAGATCTACCTGAAATACTCCTAGGTGCGGCATGTCTTATGATCTCGCCTTTACCCCTCTCTCTTCTGCCTTATCTCATAGCTCTTTTTTGGTGCACCTTCTATTCTAGCAATACTAAGTAGCTTGTAGTTCCTTTCTCTTTCTTCCCATCAGGCTTATGGCCATGCTCTTTGTTCTTATTGGAATGCTCCTCCCTCACTCCAACTCACCCTCTGAGAGTCCATTCAGGTGTGGTTTCCTCCAGCAAGCTCTTCAGTTTCAACCTTTCTTACCCCTAGGCAAATGAGCCGTTAGTCCTCTTTGCTTCTATAGTATCCACTATACAGCACCATTATTCCACTGACTACATTACAGTAGTATTTCTTCATTTGTAGAAAAATTTTGGCTCACTCAGCAGTAATATGTTTAAGTTATTTTATTTTAAATATTTTAAAATATTAAAATATCCTGGTGCTAAGCAGGGCAGGGAAACTGAAGAGAACCAAACACATCATACAGACATTTCCTTCTTACCTCAAGGCAAAGGCAAGTATGAAAAACTAATGTAAAGAAGAAAACCCACACACATGGAAAGTTTTCAAATAAGGATGCCCAGACCCAGGGCCAGGATCAGGGAGATGCAAGCAAGGCACCTAGGCCGTAACCCACAGAAGGTTCCTTCCTACACGCGTTCTTAAATTTTGAGGCACCTCACTTTCCATACCTACTCCTGACTTTGCTTTTAAAAATGAGAATAGAAATACATACAAGACATGTTTATTTCAGAATTGTGTTTGAGCAAAATAATTATGCGGGAATAAAATCACTTGGGCAGTTATAAAAGGGGTGGAGTGAGGAAGAACAAAAGAAATGGTTTTTGTGGTGGGACGTGGGGTTGGGAAGCGTGTGGACTCACCTCTGGCATGGAGCTAACTTCGTGCACCTGGCCGATGAGCTTACAGTAGGACTGAAAAAGCAATAGCAGCTGGAAGTGTAGCTTATATAATCTCTGACACAGTTCCAATTGCTAAAGAGAGAAATTGCATGGGAAGAAACAGTTATTGTTAAAGATCATTCACATATAACTAGTGAAATCTCAATGGAGACAAACTTTTTTTTTAAATTAAGAAAACATAACCAGCTGTTATTCCAAATAAAACAGAAAAATGAAATACAGTCATTAAATAAATACCAGTGAGAAATCCACGGTATAATTTCCATTATAGTTTGTGTAATGGATGACTAATTAGAGAGTAGCACCTATAAAGGGACTGAGTGAACAACCAAATTTCCATTATATTTGCCAGTTAAATACCTACCAATTATAGCTGAGTGGTTGTCTTCATTTTTATAAGCTATAAATTATTTTTAAAAAGAAAAATTTCCTTTTATTAAAAGTATATTTGAAAGGCAAAACATTAAGTAGTTCTAGGTGTTAAACTTATAAATTCTGTAGACGCCTGGGCTTGTGTAAACCTAACAGTCAGGCTTACTGATGATCCGTCTACTCTGTGCTCAGTAAATACTTGTTGAATTAAAGAGAGATAAAAAGGGACCAAAAATGCTTAGAAAAAAAGAAATTATTAACACATTTGAAAATTTCTGTGGAAAGGACATCAAAAAGTAATCATACACGATGGCCCTTGAGCCACATAAATACCTCTCGAATTTAAAATGTTTCAGGGTCACATTTGTGCCTCTGTACCCTATAATTTGTTCATTACACAGCTTATGTATAGTATGAGGGAAAAATAACAATTCCAATGCCAGTGACAAGACTAGTCTTTGAGCTGTACCCTCTACACTTTGCCTATTTTATTCCAAGAATGAGTTTGCTCCCAGGTAGTGAGTGGATGGGATTCTGTGAAAGGAAAGGAACAGCCTTTGCTCAATAGAATTTCATGGCCAGCAGTCACCAGTGAAAGTGGATTAAATATGTGGTTTAAACTAAATGTTTCACTGTTCAGTTTTCAAATGGGGTAGGATAAATACGGCCTTTCTTTTACCAAGGACTACAAAGAATGCAGCTCAGAATCGAGAGCTTCTAAGGTGACTTAAAACTGTTTCCTCCCATCTGTTTAAGGAGAGAAATCACAAGAATTTAGGTTTTAGGAAGAATATTCTATTGGTATTATTAACAGACTTTTGATCCTAAATCTTAAAAGTTACTAAAATTCACGCTAAGACTATGCTGAATGGTTTCCTTTCTCTTCCCAGCTCTTCCCTGCTCTTTAGGGGAAAACCAATTCTGCCTAGATTCTTTGATCTCTCAATACTGGTAACAGGCCTAAGATTAAAGAAGCAGCTACACTGACTAATTAACTCAAACTGGATGTTTGGTTGTTTTAGTAAAACATTGTATTTTGTGGTTTTTAAGCTTCTCTTTAGAGAAACCTTTAAAACTCTGGTATAAAAGATAACTGCCAGAGACTTGCAAATAAATAAAAAAGTATTGTTTAAAAACAATATTACCTTCACAATTTGGGTGAAACCTAGCTATGAAAACTCTGCCTTTCCTAAGTGCCAAATCATGGTAATTATTACACAAAATATTCCACTGATAATATGATAATTCATAGCAATGTAAGTTTCTACTTTGGGGCGAAAGCAGCCCAGAATGCTACTAATAAACTGCCATGTCTTAATCTACCAAATAAAATAAATTAAAATGAGAAAGGGAGAACATGCTAAGAGATGTAACAGTAACGGTAAAAATAGGCTTTGTTATGGGTCCATGCCTAAATGGACAAAGAGTATGAAAGAAAGTTAACTTACTGCAAGAGATTCCATTTGCTACACAGCAAGCATGGCACAGGAAACAAAGGAAAGGAAAGAAAGTACAGGGTCAGTGTCTGCATGCAACAGAAAGCACGGCCCTTTTCCAAGAGCAGAACCACCAGCAGTATTAGCATTGCTCACCCAAACTTGATAAATGTTGCAAATGTCGTACCCATTCAACATGCATAGCGTTCCAGTTAAAAACAAGCTCTAATGGGAAACATATCACTGAAAAAACATAATGTTTACGTTTTTAGGTTCTCTGATTAATCAGTTTAGATTTTGTCAGTCAGTTTTAGAGACCAAAAATCAAAGCTTTTATTGCTTGAAGATTTTAGCGTATAAGTGTGCATAATATGTGAACACAGTAAAACTGAGAGGAAGCCAGCTTAGTTATTTGAAGAATTATAGCCCCAAACAAATTAGACTATTGCTTTGTATTAAGGCAGAGTCTTTAATATGTTCAGTTTCATGTCTGCTAAACTATGACCTTCCAATTAACATTGAATATAATGAACAATCTACATGGTATTTTCTTTAGTTGGATTGCCTTGCACATTGAGAATATTTTATAGGACTGCTATAATTTTTAATTTCAAAGGACTAAACATTGTATGCCCTCAAACAAGTGTGAGATATGACAGGTAATTTTCTTGCATTTTACTTTTTATAACAATTTTTTCTCCAATAGACAATTTCTTTCTTTTTTTTTTTTTTGAGATGGAGTCTCACTCTGTCGCCCAGGCTGGAGTACAGTGGCACGATTTTGGCTCATTGCAACCTCCGCCTCCTGGGTTCAAGCGATTCTCCTGCCTCAGCCTCCTGAGTAGCTGGGATTACAAGCGCGTGCCACCACGCCTGGCTAATTTTTGATTTTTTTTTTTTTAGTAGAGATGGGGTTTCACCATGTTGGTCAGGCTGGTCTCGAACTCCTGACCTCTTGATCTGCCCGCCTTGGCCTCCCAAAGTTCTGGGATTACAGGAATGAGCCACCTTGCCTGGACTCAATAGACAATTTCTAAAAGTAATCTACAACTAATAGTTAGTCTAAAATAATGAGATTTGTAACTGGGCCATGTTCAACAGCAGCTACCATCTTTTTTTTTTTTTTTTTTTTTTTTTTTTTTTTTTTTTGAGACAGAGTCTTGCTCTGTCTCCCCAGGCTGGAGTGCAGTGGCGCGATCTTGGCTCACTGCAAGCTCCACCTCCCGGGTTCACACCATTCTCTTGCCTCAGCCTCCCAATGTAGCTGGGACTATAGGCACCCGCCACCATGCCCAGCTAATGCTTTTGTATTTAGTAGAGACAGGGTTTCACCTTGTTAGCCAGGATGGTCTTGATCTCCTGACCTTGTGATCCGCCTGCCTCGGACTCCCAAAGTGCTGGGATTACATGCCTGAGCCACCGCGCCCAGCCAGCAGCTACCATTTTTTGATGTCACCATATCATAGAATTGGTTTATGGAAAGTTTGGGTATGCAGAAAGAGATAAGTAAAACTTGACAGAATGTATTTTTTTTTAAATCAAATTGACCATTCCTAATTATGCATCAACATATCTGGTTCTGAATTTTCAAAATATTTAAGGACCTAACAGTTTCTAATCCAATAAAACCCCCTTATTTTAAAGCTCTTTCAAAAAGTATCTGAGTTATCATCGGTTTAGTGTATTGTACTTGAAAATAAGGTACAGTAAATAAGAACAAATGAAACTATCAACTTATTAATTAGTATCGACAAATGTAATTAAAGGACTGCCACCAACAAGCCCTACCCTATCCTCCAAGGGTCTATTCTTCCCATACTTATCACTTGCTTATCATGTGGGGTTGGCACATTGATGCATATTATATTATGTTTACTAAGTAGTTTTTGGGACCCTGGCCATAAATTTCTTTCAAAGTTTGGAAGACAAACACCTGTAAGCCTCTGATGTGGAGACTACACAGCTTCAGGTGTTTACTATTCTCAAGAAAACTTTACATCTAAAGGTTTCTAAAACCAAACTTTCTGTTCTGAAATACAATGTCATATAAAATAGTCACACAGGGAGAGTCTTAAGTCTATATAGCCGCAGAATTTCCAGTGCGAAGACTTTTTGGACAACATCAAATATGACTGAAACGTTTAGTATGCAGTTTAGGAAGTAAACATTTGCTACTATGGGATTTACTTTTCAGAAGTGTGAAATGAAGCAAGTGCTGAGTAAATTACAAGGTCTTGTGTGAAGAAAACGGCTTTTTATTGCTTTCCAAAACGAGGTTATAATCCAAGGAGGTCATCAAATCAGTTCAAGTAAAATCTTTTCTGTTCAATAAAGGCAGAGGAAACTTTTCGACTCCAGCTTGGTGCTAAGGAATTTCATTGTCAATGAATTCCTCCCACTCAGCTCTCAGGGCACAAAACAGTGTTTTTCTTGGGAGATGGCCAACTGTGATGAATGCCAGTTCTCAGGATTCTTCCTAAACGTTCCTTTTTAGGTAGGCTAGTTCAGGCTTCCTTGATATTTATTATCTCAGAATCTTTTTGTAGGCCACAGGCTGGGACCTAGTTTGCATTTAGAGTTCCAAAAAGAGTGAAAAAAGCCTTTCTGGGGGGCCATTTTATGGAAATTATTAAAATTCCCCTTGTCCCACCGTCCCGTTCTAATGTTTTTCTGTATCCACATTCTAAAAATAATCCCTTGAGAAGTCTTTATAAACTTATCTGTGTTTTGGCAGCTTTAGGTTCTTTTGAACATGTGGGAATGTCCTTGTTTTATTTAGTCACGAGGATTTTCTTCAAGCCCCCTTCCTGCTCTCCTGATATGGCTTGATTTATAAAATTGGATTTAGAGGTATGTTTTCTCAAAATGAGGAAACAAAAGATCAAGAAGCCAAGATGTTAAGAATTTATCATAAACAATTGAGGAATGCATAGCTTTTAAAAGCCCAGAATAATTGAACTCCTGCTGATCGACAGTAGCATAGCCATATCTGGGTTCTTTCTTCTGTTCTCAGGTGGATTCTATGCTTATGACATAACCAGTCAGTAAAAATCTAAGAAACTTTTGATATGAGAGAAGATGAACCACAGTGTACTATAGTAGCTATTATTTTCATCACATTTAATCTCCAAAAGTCCTGGGTTTAAATTAATGAGATAAAATTTAAATAACCTAGCCTAATGATGAAATCTCCTAAAAGTTGGGAATAGTATGTACCCACTTGTTGCTAATAATGCTTGGGCCTGGCACATTGATGGCTATGGCATTATCTTTGTTAAGTAGTTTTTTGGACCTTGGTCATAAATATCCCTCAAAGCTTTGAAAGATAAATACACCTATGATACAGATTACACATCCTGAGACATTCACTTTTTTCAAGAAATCTGTAAGCTATCTTCAACAGACATTTCTTTAGCCAATATGAGAAAGAATATGGCTTACAGAGGAAAGACTGATTGACTATATCTGAAGGATGATGTTTAATAGATTATAACTTAATTGGAGAAAAGTCTTGTCTTGTTTAACACTTAACTTGTTCAATTTGTATAAGAACAGAGGTTGTAGGCTTCTCATTCATAGATTATGTAGATAGAAAATATATAACTGAGAAGGTTAGTGTCCAAAAAGACCCTAACAGAATGATGATTTGAATATAAGAAGATGAAATGTAGTAGGGCTAAATATAAATTATTGTACTTGAGTTCAAAGAGTCAAATGTTCAAGTAGTGCTCAGAAATATCTGTTGAATTATGAATGCATTAACTAAAATCAACAATACATCATATGGAAACATCTCCAGCTTTTCTGGGGCCACCTCTGCAGAACTGGATGATAAATTATGTTAATTAGCTATAAGGGGACTAAAGCCACTGCCTGCAGAACCCAGAGTCGAGAGGTCTGCAGACTTTGTTCCCTGACCTCCATTTATGTTCACTTAAACCTTCGACTAGTGGTCACTCCAGAATGAATTCCACAAGAGATGGAGAGGTTGGTGGAAACCAAAATCATTAGTTGGAAATGCTGATTTTAAGTCATGAAGAGATTTTTCTCCTTTTGATGTGTGCAGGCTGAGAAAACACTACTAAAGCAGTGTCCGCAAATGAGTAAAGTGTTCTTATGACACAAGCAAATCACATGCCTTGATTTATGTCCTATTTAGTGTATGCTGCACAGAGAACTGGTATTACTATCACCAAGAAGCCCAAATCATTGACTTATAATGGCTGTCTTTAAAAAAGAGCCCCAAAATATACTTCCCAAATATTGGAAATAAATTGCTTAGAAACATGGTTTGTTTTGAACATGCGCTGAGAATTTTCCTCCAACATATCCCTCAGAAAGTGAGTTCAGCAGACAGGTGCTTGCATATGCAGAGACGCTTCTTGCATATGCAAAGAATAATACTCTTTCCCGTTTTCTTTTTGGAAACTCAAGCCCCTTCTATCTAGCTTTATTCTTCATTTTGAGGACTTAGGTACAGAGAAATATTTTTCTGTTATAAGAAAAGCAATAGGCCAAACATCATGATGACTGGTGCCTGGCTCTTGCATTCAGTGTTAGGAACTCACTGGGCAGCAGGGATGGTGGAGAGTCCATATAGGGCAGTCTACACTTAGTGCTTGCTCATTATTGTCACTGAGGAAGGCAGGCCCAGTGTTGCTAGATCTTCTTATTCAGAGACACCAGGAATTCTGTTTTGAGTGTGTGTGTATGTGTGAAAGTTTTTTTCGTTGTTGTTGTTTTGTTTTTTTTTTTTGAGATGGAGTCTTGCTCTGTCACCCAGGCTGGAGTGCAATGGTGCGATCTCAGCTCACTGCAACTTCTGCCTCCCAGGTTCAAGAGATTCTCCTGCCTCAGCCTTCTGAGCAGCTGGGATTACAGGCACCCACCACTGTGCCCGGCTCATTTTTGTATTTTTAGTAGAGATGGTATTTCACCATGTTGTCCAGGAAGGTCTCAAACTCCTGACCTCGTGATCCACCTGCCTCACGCTCCCAAAGTGCTGGGATTACAGGCGTGAGCCACCACGCTCGGCCGTATGTGTGAAAGTTTTAAATTTTTAAATGCAGGGTCAGTTAATATTGTGCAAGCTTAACACAACATGTCTGTGAATTGGTTATAGTTCACAAGCCACCAGTGCATAAACTTTCTTTGTTATACTTAGGTCTACAACTTTATGTTAAGAATAGAAGAAAAACTAGAAAAATAAATATTCAGCACCCAACAAAGATATATATTGTCTTTCACAAACAATTCTATAGCAATCCTCACTTAAATCACCTGTTAAGAATGATTAGGAATTTTCTACTGGCAAAGACCGGACCAGACTGGGTAGGGCTTGGGGGTTGAGAAGCTTTCATATGCCTGTCTGTACACTGTCACCATCTCTGACAGACTGATATCTTTATTCAAGAATTTACTTTGCTAGGTTTAGTCGGGTAAGCACTAATCCTTTCATGAAGTGCACACTTCTTTGAAATAGAACAGATATGAGTAATAATTATTGGTATATTCATATTGCTATTTATATCCTGACATAGATTCTGCAAGTTATAAGTTCACTTATCCCCATTCTACCTGTCCCCAGGCAAGGGTGTGCTCAGAGTAACTGGCAACATCAAATCATTCCAGAAGACAGAGAACCTGATTACACAGGAGTGTTGGAGAGAATCACTTAGAGGTAAGCTAAGCAGTGCTCTGAGGCCAGACATTTGTTGGGTTTTGTTTTGGGTTGGAGGCCAAATGGTAGCTCTAGTCAGCAAAATTATATCTCCACATCTCTAGATATAAGATCTTAATATTTAAGTGGAATGACACCATCATTCCTCCTCAAGGCCTACCTTTTGTGTGTAAGGACTCAGTTTTCTCTCACAGCCCATTTCCGGCCTTGTCGAGTGTTAACCTATGATGGGAACCGAGGCTGCCTGATTTGTGTACTCTGCATGGTGCCTAGCCATGCCTCAAGGCTGGTGGCATTAGAAAGTGTGAGGTTTGAGCTGCATGCACAGTGGCCAGACTATTTCCAGGATCTACTAACCAATTAAAACAGAGAATAACTGTAACCAAGTATCCAGACGACTTAAACAAATCTCCCCGCCTTGCCTGACTTACTAGGATTGCCAACTTCTTTTGTTAGGTGGCATATAATTTGCCTTCCAGATCAACCACAGACTCCAGAATTGTTACACATGTAGGCCTGGAAGCATCTTCCTCAGGACATCTGGTCACTGCTTGAGTTCTCTGGTTACCAGTGTGTCCATGAGCCATTTGGAAATATTCTGAAACACTGAGCTAATACTGACAATGGGGCCAAAGCTTGGTTGGTTTTTGCAAAAACATTGGAAACACCAGACTCAGAATTTGCCCTTCCATCATTCCGTTCCTAGTAAATCCCACTCTCATCCCTCTTGGGTGTTTTATGCATCTTCCCTCCTTATTCATGCAGATTCCTAAAGCCATATTAGACATTTAGACATATGCTGGGAATTATTCTTGAGTGTTTTCCCATGTGTATGTTTTGCTTCCAAAATTAAGCTAGAGAAAGTGTGGACAAATGGAAAGAATATGGCCTTTAGACTTTGCCTCTCAGCTTCAGTTTTCTTAGTTGCAAAATGGAAAAACCCTTATTTCAAAGGACTGTTGTAAAGGATCAAATGAGATTACGTGTGTACAGTACTTGAAAACATTAGTTTCTTCTTTCTACTTTTGTACTCTCAAGCCTTTATAGTAATGCTAACAGAGTTGTCACATCTAAACAAATGAATAAATAGGTGAACTCTATTTTTTGAGTCCTTGGGTTTAGTAAAAACATAAGAAAAGAGAGGGAGAGGAATAAGTACTACAAAATAGAAGCAAAGAAAGAGGTGCACGAATAGGAAATGAGTAAAAACAATAAGCAAAAATAAGATAAACATTTGTTTGAGGAAGGTAAAGAAGAACCAGGAAGAAAGGAGGGAGCAACTAATACCAAGTAAAACAACTTAATAGAAATAAACCACAAGCACAACAGAAATACGTATTTTAAAGTTGGAATGTTTGGGAAATAGGATAAGTTAACTGGAATTTCTGGTTATCCTTAGGGTTAACCCGGAAGCTATAAAGAAACAAACAAATAAATAATAGATTTGGTTTCAACTCTTGTTCATAAAAGTCTGCAATGTATTAATGTGCTTTCCTGTCTGAAGTTCTGTTACAGAGAATATAACAGAATTTGATGATTGAGGACAAGTTTTCAGATAACAAGTTGTTTTTTACATACTACTATACAAACTATACTATGAGCTGGATTCGATTTGTGCTCAATGTAAATCCTAACCTGATATAACTGTTCTCTGGACTGCATTTGTCTTAACAGCAGATTATAGTGAAGGGAGGACTGGGCTGGAAAGACAAGCCATGAGTACTACTGGGTGGCCATAAAATCTGAAACCTAGGTAATACTTCATTTTTTAAAAATATATTACTTCTGGGATATGCTAACGGCACAGGTTATTCAGTGAAAATCTAAGTCACAAATCATCTGAGACAGGACATCACAGATGCATATATAGGGATTGAGGGAAATGCTGGAGTTTATTGTGATTTTTGAACTGTATATTCAATTCTGTTTGCTTATGGGAGACATTATGTAAGTCATTAAACACTTATTTTAAAAATATATGCAAACTAGTTATTATTTGCCTATGTTGACAGACTTTGTGTCCAAGCTGCATCTCTGCCTGTCACTTCTCAACCATGGAGCCTTGGATAAGTCAAGCTGTGGTGTCTTCAGCTATAGAACGGGCAACTGCTATGGCCCTGCTTCCCATCCAGAGAGAGCAAATGACTTAAGGGGTGTGAAAGTGCTCTGTAAACCATAAAGTGAGATATAAATGTGCGTCTTCAAGAAGGGCAGCAATGTGGAAATGCAACCTCTACTTCAATGCCCTCTTTAGAAATTTCTCAGCTTTATAGTTTGCTTTTCAATGTCTGATCTCTTCACTAAAACTTATCAAGGGGCTTACCAAGGGACTCAATCAATGCTGGCATGGACAATGTTACTCTCAGGACTGCAAACTTGCTCAATAACAAATACCAAATTGGAATGGAACCACTGGTGTTTGGTTGAAAATGTTCACTCCAAACCTCTGACCAGAAACCAGACTTTACTGGATTCTTTTTACGTAATAAAGTACTGTTTCTAACACAGGAAGATGTTTTCAGATCCTCCAGAGGGTGTGCCATGTAAAACACTTTTCCAGTAGTAATGACATAATTCCGAGGTAAAACCTTCTCTCCCTAGATGGGGCAGCAGCCTCCTAAGTTCCCTGAACCACTCTTGCCACTTTGAGCTGTTTCCACAGTAGACAGAGTGGGAGAGCCTTGATCTAATCATCCCCACTGTTAATCCTTTTCAGTTGCTTATTATTGCTGTTAAACACCAAAGCCCTGCATGGGCTTCTTCTGCCAACTTCTCCAGACTCTTCTCAACCTTTTCTCCACAGGGCTTTCGGTGCTTTCAGCCACATGGGCTCTCCTTGGTTCTTGGAAAGGCCTGGTTCCCCTGCCTCCGGGCCCTTACGCAGACTACAGGCCCACTCCTCTTCATCTCATATTTTAGATCTCTGCCAAGATGCTACTTCCATGGAGAACCCTTCCCAGAGCCGCCCTCCCCATCGGATCAGGCAGCCTTGCTCTGTGATCTCTCAGCTTTCTGTTCTTTCCTGTCCTTGATGGTCCTTGTTGCAGTTAATAGCTGTATGACTGTTTCATTAATGTCTGTCTCGCTGACAAGATCAGAAGCTCCACAAGAGCAGAGGCCTTGTCTGTTGCTCATGAGTGTGTCCTCCATGGGGCCATACAGGAGGCACTCAATATGTAACTGCAGAATGAATGATTTTCATCCATTCTTACTCTGTCCTTTAATTTCCTTTATAGTACGGCACACTGGACTGAGGTGTGTAGCAATTCTAAATGAGAAAATCTGTTTTAGAGTGACTGCTGAAAGGTTGAGAGAAACTTCCTTCATTAAAGAAACTAAGTGGTTCAGTGAAGAATTAATGAAATTTGGCCTTATAATCTGAATTAAGAATAAATTTATTAGGAAATTATTAGTATAGTTAGACAGTATCCAGCAAAAAAGGTTATTTTATACCTCTACTTTTCCAAAACGAAGAAACCTCCCCACAAATCCCATCAACACACAGTCATGCTGGAAGGCATTCTGTCTTACTCTGTTGGTTTCATGTAAATGTTTGGGGTGACTCATTCCGCCTCTTCTTTTCTCAAGTTCCAGGCTTCTTGGGTAGACCAAAACTAATACACAATGTTAGAGCACACAAGAGACCCATTCTAACAGGCTTTTATTACCTTTTCTTCGGAGTCCCCTGGTTGACAGGTAATTACTCCATCTCTTGATCCCCCTGCAAATGTTGCCTTACAATTTGCAAGCCACTGTCAGAAAGAGAGGGAAAGACATAGGTAAATTCAGCAATGTTCTGAGAACATTTTTGGTATAATTCCATTAGGAAAAAATTCATTAAAGTTCTAATAATAGTAAAATGAAATTGTGCTGTAATGACTTTTTGAAAAGGGTCGTATTTGGGGGTTAAAGATGAACTGTTGGAAATTAAAAGTATCTGTTTATATGGGTTCAGTAATGGTCATCTAAAAACACAATTTCAATATTATACTGTGTTGCCCTAGGGAATGGTTTCACCACACTGTTTCTAATTTATGTGTAAATGAATATATATGGCTAGAAATCTTCCATACAATTGGGGTTAGAAGACAGGACCAATACTTCCTCACAGGCTGGGTGATTCTGGTCAACATGACCTGACTTGGACACACCTACTTCTGTCATGCTGCGGTGGCTGCATCTGCTATGGGGCAGATCTCCTTCACTATAAGAAAGGCTATTATGGTAATAGCTCAGCTACTGAGAGATCCTGCTAGTCTTAAGCATCTGGGGTAGTAACTAACACAGGTGTGAAAGGGAACCTTTCAGCAGAAAACAATGAGCACTGAGGAACTGAAGTTCACACTTGACATTAAAGGCTAGATTAGTTCACCAACCAGAATAAAAAGATTACTTTTACTGGGTGATGACTGAGAAGCTGAAAAGAGTGGCAGGTAAAAGGCCACAGAAACAGAAGACAAAGCTAATTGTTACGGTGGAGAGTTTGAACTCTTGCCCTTGGGCAGGTCAAGATAACATCAATAACAGCAATAGCAATAAACAAACCCCAAACCATAACTTTACAATGAACATTTTCTTTCTATGTGGCATTGTGCTGGTCAGTTTACAGATATTATTTCTGTTTTCAAGGCAATATCATGATGTGGTTAAGAGCGTGGGCCTTTGAATCCCACAGCTCTGGGTTTCAATCCCACTCTTCCAGTTCCTAGCTAGCTAATGAGGGTAACAATAGCAACTCTCAGGGTAGTTGTGAGCATTAAACGATATAATTTAAGAGATTTAACTCTTAGCAGATTGTTGGACACATAAAAAGGACTCAGGAAATGATAGCTGCCATGACTATTATAATTGTTATATCTTCACAACAATCCTGCAAATTAGTTATTATTACCAAGGGCTTACAGATGCTGCATCTGAGATGAGAGACGGCAAGTCACTTATTCAAGGTCACTAACCGTTAAATAACTGAGCTGTGATTTAAACTGAAGTCAATCTGACTTCAAAACCCTTGCTTTTTCTATAGTACCTGGCATACTATAGGAAGGGCTTAATACATACTACATACAATTAATTATTCTTATTATTGAACCACTGACTTCTCTGGGCCTCCACCTGTGCATCTGTCAGAAAACAGGTGGCTTGCTTGGATGGTTTCTAGATCACTCTGTCTCTAACATTTTGTGATCTAGATCTATGAAGAAAGAAAAAAGTAAAGAGCAAGAGCTGAGGCCAAGAGAAGCCCTGGGGACTGGCAGACGCAGCCTCCAAGAGTGGCTAAGAGAACAGGGAGGAGATCTGCCACAACTAGTTTTGGGTGAGGCTAACACTGGAAGGAAATAATCACCAATTTCAAATATCTGAGAAAAGTTGTAACTTTGGTAAGTAACATATCAAGTACATACCCATTTTTTTTTCCAATTTCTTGGTAGGGCTAAAAGTGAATGCTGAAAAATTTCTCTTTTGTAGATACCATTTGTAATATAATTAATATTGTATACAGTTCTACCACCATTAAATTGGAATTGTAATCCTTAACAAAGGAAAAGATGAAGTCTGAAAGTCTTAAGTTAATCACAACCCCGCCCAAGAACTCAGAGTGGTTGGGTTCATTTGGTTTTAACTGACTGCATATGCATAGAAACACAAAAGCTTACAGAGAGTGTGGCCTCTTTCCTGTTGTTGTAGGTATCCAAATATTCTTGCAGTTCTAACACACTGAACTTGAGCTTGTCCAGAAGTCCACATGAAAGGAGCTAAAGACAGGAAAATAATTGGTATTAAAACTAGAGAGATACCAACACAAAGGCATGGCTACACAGAAAACAGAAGTATATTTAGAAGTGCTGTTAAGGGGTACAAGTGTCATCCATTTTAATAAGCTGTGAAATTTGGAATTTTGCTCAACTATCAGCTGCAATTACAATTGAATCCGAGCTTGATAATGCACACCTCCTATGAAAACGTCCATTCTTTCCCATATTAGTATAGGCAGATAAGACATACCAAGTATTTCATAAAGGCCCACACTAAGATATGTTTTCCATTTTATACACGACTTCTACTGTCATCACCCAATAATACTCCAAGCAGTGTGAAGACAAACCTCCAAAAAGACTTTCAAACTTATTTTGTATTTAATCTATACCTTAAGTCATTTAAGACAGAATGACTTTTCATATTGTATTCTTTGCTATAAGACAGCCACCAAACAGATTCTTGGAAGGACTTGACTCTTCAGAGACTTTTAAAATCAAAGCACATCCTCACTGGTTCTAAACCTCAGTAATTACTGAGCATGTGATGATTCTGTCATATCATGGGGGCTAAAAAAAAAAAAAGGTATCACACAACTCCCACCCTCCAGGAGCTCGTCAGTCTCGCATGGTTAGAGTTCCATGTGTAAAGCCATGAATTACCGTCAGCCAGAGACTGTTTTGATTATCCCTTAAACTCATCATTTGCAGTTTGAGCTGGGCAAATCCAGAGGGCAATAACTCTCTGTTAGAGACTTGGGGGTGGGGAAACTGATTGACATGTTGCCTCTGAAGACCCATCCGACTGGGCAACCTGGCATCATGGGCACCGGCTAGGTCAGCTCCAGGAGGTTATCTGACCATATATGCACAGCTGTCAAAGTCAGAGTCATCAGAGATCAGTGCCAACGATGCAGACGGAGCAGAGGTGGTGGATTTTTCTCCTTATTCTATGAAATAGCCCTGCCTTGGCCTGGACTGGCCATATGCAGTATTTATATTGCAGACCTTTGAGAGTCATATCACAATACAGTGCTGCTCACAACACTGAAGGTATCTTTATTTTTTTATTTTTTGAGACAGAGTCTCGCTCTGTCGCCCAGGCTGGAGTGCAGTGGTGTGATCTCGGCTCACTGCAAGCTCTGCCCCCCGGGGTCATGCCATTCTCCTGCCTCAGCCTCCCGAGTAGCTGGGATTACAGGCGCCTGCCACTACACCCGGCTAATTTTTTTTTTTTTTTTGTATTTTTAATAGATACGGGGTTTCACCGTGTTAGCCAGGATGGTCTCGATCTCCTGACCTTGTGATCCGCCCACCTCGGCCTCCCAAAGTGCTGGGATTACAGGCTTGAGCCACCGCACCCGGCCAGAAGGTATCTTTAAAACAAACCACAGCGCAAACATGCTACCCTGAAGTTCTGCACTGTAGGTTGCGTAGGCCCTTCACTGTCAGAGCAGGACTGGGATACTCACAGTCTCGGCATCCACAAAAAGTGTAGGACATTCAGAGCAGGAGGTGAGCATCTGGGAAGAGCTGACAAATTTGGATCCGATTCCCCGGAGGTTATCTCCAAGGTAACTGGCTGCATCACAGGTTAGGAAGCAGAACCTTTTCTGAATATTCTGCAAGGCAAAATAGTGACCATTTGTAAAGGTCAAGTTAAACTTATATATGATAAAACATATTTTGGGGGAGGGGTAGCTTCTTTTTTTATATTCCAATTACATTAACTGATTTTTTTTTTTTTTTTTTTTTTTTTTGAGACAGAATCTCGCTCTGTCGCCCAGGCTGGAGTGCAGTGGCGCGATCTCGGCTCACTGCAAGCTCCCCCTCCCAGGTTCACGCCATTCTCCTGCCTCAGCCTCCCGAGTAGCTGGGACTACAGGTGCCTGCCACCACGCCTGGCTAATTTTTTGTATTTTTAGTAGAGACGGGGTTTCACTGTGTTAGCCAGGATGGTCTCGATCTGACCTTGTGATCCGCCCGCCTCGGCCTCCCAAAGTGCTGGGATTACAGGTGTGAGCCACTGCGTCTGGCCCTGATTTTTTTACTTGACATAAAAATTGTATATGTTTACTGTGTACAACATGTTGTTTTAAAATATGTGTATGCTGTGAAATGGCTAAATTGGGCTAATTAACATGCATTGCCTCACATTTTTTTTGGTGGTGAGAATACTTAAAATCTACTCTCAGCAATTTTCAAGAATATCATACACGATTATTAATGGAAAAAACCCTACTTTTAAATCTTTATAAAAATATCGCATGAGAATGGGTCCTTAGGGTAATGGGGGAGGGGAGCAGAATGAATGTTTATGTTAAATCAACTAAGTAATCATTCAGTGTGGACATTTCTTCCTGAAATACCATTTCCCAATGCGTGGATGCTTGTGCAGGTTGAGTATCCCTTATCTGAAATGCTTGGGACCAGAAGGGTTTCGGGTTTTGGATTTTTTCAGACATGAAATACTTGCAGATACATAACCACTTAAGCATTTCCTTTGAGTGTCACATTGGCACTCAAAAAGTTTCAGATTTTAGAGCATTTTGGATTTTTGGATTTGGGATGCTCAGCCTGTATAATCTTTTTGACCAACACTGTTTTTGTTTTTGCTGTGGTTAGTGCCAGTCAGAGTCTGAGTTTTCCTTGCGTGTTTGTCAGACTGGTGAAAAGAGATTACTTCAATGTGGACAAGATGAAAAAGGTCAAAAGGCGTAACTCTTTTCTGCTTCCCAAGATCAGAGCTCCTTGAGACAGCACGGAAACTGTGCATTTGAGCCTCTGAAGAGTAAAGTAGTAAATGCTGAATGGGACCTCTCTTGCTCTGAGGGCACGTCTGGTCAGGTGTCTCAACTGAGCCTAATTCTGTCTTAGAGCTTAATGTACATCACTCATTAATCCTCATCACCGGATGAACAATCTGAGGTTAAGAACAGTTAGGCCGGGCGCGGTGGCTCACGCCTGTAATCCCAGCACTTTGGGAGGCCGAGGCGGGTGGATCACGAGGTCAGGAGATCGAGACCATCCTGGCTAACACGGTGAAACCCCGTCTCTACTAAAAATACAAAAAATTAGCCGGGCGAGGTGGTGGGCGCCTGTAGTCCCAGCTACTCGGGAGGCTGAGGCAGGAGAATGGCGTGAACCCCAGGGGGCGGAGCCTGCAGTGAGCCGAGATTGCGCCACTGCACTCCAGCCTGGGCGACAGCGAGACTCCGTCTCAAAAAAAAAAAAAAAAAAAGAACAGTTAAATGACTCGCTTAAGGTCATGCAACTAGTAAGTGAATGAGTAAGGACGGGTCTGACTCCAAAGTTTACAATCTTTCCATAATCTCGATTGCTTCCTAAGGTTACTGCTCCTCCTACACTACCTGAGGGGAAAAACAAAAAACAAAAAACACAATTAAGAAGAATCTGATTCACTGTGCCTGCGTCAGTGCCAAAACAAGAACACTTTTTTGGGAGGCCGAGGCAGGAGGATCACAAAGTCAGGAGTTCAAAACCTGCCTGGCCAACATGGTGAAACCCCGTCTCTGCTAAAAAAAAAAAAATACCAAAAAATTAGCTGGGCACGGTGGTGTGTACCTGTAATCCCAGCTACTTGGGAGGCTGAGGCAGGAGAATTGCTTGAACCCGGGAGGTGGAGGTTGCAGTGAGCCAAGATCGCGCTACTGCACTCCAGGCTGAGCAACAGAGAAAGACTCCGTCTCAAAAAAAACCAACAAAAACCAAAACAAACAAACAAAAAAACACTTTTACCCCCCTGAACTTCTAGTGCACAATGTTTTTTGTTTTGTTTTGTTTTTGAGATGGGGTCTTGCTCTGTCACTCAGGCTGGAGCACAGTGGCACAAACATGGCTCACTGTAGCATTAAAGTCCTGGGCTCAAGCAATCTGCCCACCTCAGCCTCTCACGTAGCTGGTATCACAGGCGTGTGCCACCATACCCAGTGACATTTAGGGGATGTAAATTCAGTTTTGTTTTCTTGTGAATTCCATCACACATTATATAATTTGGTGACATTATGTGACACATGATGATGACATTCTCACATATGAGTAACAAGAAGAAAACACAATGACTGAGACACTTGGAAAAATGTCCATACTGTACCGACAGAAACCATTCCCTTGTTTTTAAAACCAAATTATTTTCACAGTTACCTCCTCCCTACCTCTTCCAAAATCCAACCTAACACGGAAACATTGTATTCACACTTACAGGGAAATGTTGGGAAACAGTAAACACACATTGTGAGGAAATGACAAATGATTCATAACAGGCAGAAAGCAGGTCTGAAATGTATTTCATTTCCAGCATATTTTAGTAATGCCTATTTTGCTTCAAGTATTACTTTCATATAGCATCTGATCAGGGTTGAGAAAGTTCTCAAGTATAAATGTAACATTAAAAAGCAAAATAGGAGGTATGCATTTTAAAAAATTATTATATTATTATTATTATTGCAGATAAGCTCCATAGGGTGATTGATTTAATATATTGATGAAAAAGAAATTCAAATCCAAATGAGTCCCCCCAGGGCCCATGCCTGGCCCCACCTTCCAGCTCATTTGCATTTTAATTTTTAGTACTTTCTTCTCCCTCTTTCCACAACCACTTTGCTCTCTGGACAGTGGATGCTGTGAAACCTGAACCCACTGCCTTGCTGCTGGAGTGGCGAAAGATCCTAGAGAGTTAACTGTTACCAGACAACAAATGGCACATCAGCCCCTCTCAGGGGAAGGGGTCATCTTCTGCGAGGACATTGGATGGGATATCTGAGGCCTTTCACTCCTATAGCCACTTTGTTCTCTTTAGGTCTCTCTCCTGCAATCTGAGTATTCTCTCAGAAGTTGCTAGAGAGTCCCCAGTGGAGGTGGCTCATGGTGTGCAGGCAGGGCTGCAGAACTCTCTGTGGTGGGCAGTCAGTCACTTCTGGACTGTCACCAGAGGATCCAGTCTCTGTGGCGGGGCCAGGGCCACAAAGAACATGCCAATGACCATAGGGAAGAGCAGCCAAATGGGAGCAGCCAGCCTGTGCTGACGGCTTGCTAGATGCATGGCTTGAGGTGTTTCTCCATGTGAGCTCTCATAAGTAGTCTTTGAAAGATAAAACTCATAGACACTGTTTTCACTTCCATTGTATGATGGAGGACACTGAGGCTTGGAGAACTTAAGGACTGTCTGCAGGCCTAGCAGGCTAGTAAGTGGCCAGAACTGGGATTTGAACACAGGTAGGTTCAAAGGCTAGTCTGACTTCACTGTACTCCTTTTCCACCTGGAAATCACCATCCCATACAACTCTTTTCTCTTTATGTCTCACCAGCATCTCAACTGGTGGGTTGCCAGGTGCCAGGCAGGTAGAGGGTGGAGAAAGAGCCTCCCTTCTGCCTTCCTCATGCTACCTGCATATCTGGGTAGGTGGGAGAGGAAGTCAGGCTGAATGGTGGCCGCAGCTGTGGGCCATGGCTGACCTGTCGGTCTTGGTAATGAACCCGCTGGTCTACTGACATGAAGTTAGAAGCTGTGTGTTTAAGGTTTCCATTTATTCTTCCTACATTTACTGAGCACCTAGTGTATGTTGCAAACTGTCAGAAATCAAGGTGAGCAAGGCACTGTTTACCTGCCCTCTTCACGGGAGACAGACACCAAAACAAGTTATTATCATATAGAGTCACAAGTGTAACGGATGCAAGTACAAAATCCCGAGATGCCAGGGGAAGGGAGAAAGAAGTAACAGAAGGCTTTACTAACTGAAGTGACACCCAATCAGGGCTTTGAATGTAACTGGGAGTGTAGCCCAGGGACAAGGGGAGATGACCGTTCTAGGCAGAGAGAAAGTATTGTGCAGGACTGTCAAATTAAGCATGAATAATCCAATAACTCTAATAAAAATGACCATAACAGCCAAACTTAAATATATATTATTAATCATTCTTTAAAAATAGCTTTTAGAGGTCGGGCGCCGTGGCGCATGCCTGTAATCCCAGCACTTTGGGAAGCCAAGGCAGGTGGATCACCTGAGGTCAGGAGTTTGAGACCAGCCTGACCAACATGGTGAAACCTTGTCTTTACTAAAAATACAAAATTAGCTGGGCGTAGTGGTGCATGCCTATAATCCCAGCTACTCGGGAGGCTGCGGCAGGAGAATCGCTTGAACCTGGGAGGTGGAAGTTGCAGTGAGCTGAGATCGTGCCATTACACTCTAGCCTGGGCAACAAGAGTGAAACTCCATCTCAAAAAAAAAAAAAAAGCTTTTAGAAAAATATAACTAATAAGTTGCTTTGCCTCTCAATCCTTAACATTAAATTTACCTCAAATAGTAGCTTTCTGGTAGTTTGCCTTAAAATTTCAATCTGGTTTAATGTTTAAAGTATTTCTAGAATTCTTATCTTTTAGCAGCCAATTGTTTTCTGTCTTAAGCCTAACATCTCCTCCAGCCCCAAGTTAATCTCAGACATGACATTAATTTACCCATTCAAGTTTCTACTAGGTTTTCAGTTAGAGTAAATTGAAGAAGTTGAAAGAGCACTACAAGTAAGACTCCAAGTGAGCTAGTCCAAGTAGCTATCTGCACTACTGGTATATAATTCTCCAAAAATGGATTATAAGAAGGGCCTCCAGGCTCAAAAGCAGAGTTCACTTTTATGTTAACTAAACATATGTCATCCTGAATTTGAAATTATTTAACTTAGATTATTTCAGTTTTGCCTAACCTTCTGCTCACTAGAATAACAGATTAATAAGTTATCTTTTTTTTTTTTTAAAATGGAGATGGAGTCTCACTTTGTTGCCCAGGCTGGAATGCAGTGGTGCGATCTCAGCTCACTGCAACCTCTGCCTCCCAGGTTCAAGTGATTCTCCTGCCTCAGCCTCCCGAGTAGCTGGGATTACAGGTATGTGCCCCATCACGCCTGGCTAATTTTGTATTCTTAGTAGAGATGGGGTTTCACCATGTTGGCCAGGCTGGTCTCGAATTTCTGACCTCAGGTGGTCCTCCCACCTCGGCCTCCCAAAGTGTTGGGATTACAGGTGTGAGCCACTGTGCCTGGCTGATTGGCCTGATTCTTAAGGGTTACTAAGCAGGAGGCACCTTCCCATACCATAAAAAGAAATTGCAATGTACAGCAACCTGCTGCAATGCCATTGACCTCAGAGCTGAACTGAGGTCAAGTGACACTGGCTACTGAAATGCTGAAATGATATTTTAAGGCAGATTTACCTATGGAGTCTCCTACTCCCCAAGACTTCTTAACAACCCATTTAAGAGGGACATAATTTTAGTTTTGCACTTTTGATATATCATTCCTTATTTTCCTGCCTTTCCCGTCGGCCATGGCTCTTCCTGAAGGTGATTAGAGGGCTCCTTCCCTCAGTCCAACTAAATTATTGTCCGTCTTCCATGAGCTACTCAACAGAACTCAACAGCTACACAAGTTTAACTAGATTCTAACTGTTCTGTCTGGTCATTCATTCAAAATTCAAGTCTATTCAAAGTTGGAACTAGATAGTTCCTTTCCATTTTTTTCCTTTGCATTATCCGTGGGAGTTCTGTCTAATGAGTTATTAAAAATATGCTTAAGAAAATGCTGAAAGAAAAGCATTTTTTATTATAGAAAAACAGGAAATTGGCCAGGCATGGTGGCTCATGCCTGTAATCCCAGCTACTCGGGAGGCTGAGGCAGGAGAATCGCTTGAACCTGGGAGGCAGAGTGAGCTGAGATCATGCTACTGCACTCCAGCATGGGCGACAGAACAAGATTCTGTCTCCCCACCCCCCCAAAAAATAGGAAATTGAAAAAAAGTAAAAAGAAGGAAATAAAAAACACCCCAAATATCATTACCGTGAAAAGATACAATGATATTCTGGTGTATAATTTTCATTATTTTCTAGGCATTTTAAAAAAAGGAATACTAATCTAGATATATATATATATATATATATATATATATATATTTTTTTTTTTTTTTTTTTTAAACTAGCTTTCTCTTTAACTATAATATGGTAACCATAGTTCCACATCAACAAATCTTCCCCTACAACCTCATCTTCGTAGCTTCCAGGCCTCATTATTCCCAGCACTGCCATTTTCACGGTCAATATCTGCTTCAAGCTCAGACATAGGTCTAGTTAACTGCAATGGCCTTCAAAGAGCTCTGATGTTTCTTCACAGCAAGGCATGTTTCTCTCTTTTGCCACCTCCTCCCCCTGCCAATTATTTGATGAAATTTGGAGGACAAAAGTTTACAGAAAGATGCATAGAGGAGTTAATGGGAAGCAGTCATTGTAAGTATGTTATGAGGTAACAAGCGAGATTTAAGCGTGCCCACACATGAGACTGCCACAGAGAGCTGTGTGCAAGATGCTAGGGTGTCTGGCTGAGGGATTGGAAGTGGGGTTGGAATCCCACCTGCACTCTGCTGGCTAGGTGTGGTACTGCACTCCTCTGGAGGCAGGGACATTCATTACAGTTTGCACAAAGACACTATGGACAGTGGGGCTGTGGTTCACACGGGAGAGGCAGTAGTTAGACTGGCCTGATTCTTAAGGGCTACCAAGTAGGCGGCATGTTCCCATTTCATAAAACGAAATCTGCAGTGCACAGCAACCTGCTACAACAGCAAGAATGACTTTTCATCTGTTCAAAAGCAACTCAAGGGAGTAAACAAGTGTTCACAGCTATGGCTGGCATGCTAAGGAATTCATAGAGTGGGAAATGAGAAAAGACAAGGAAAGGAAAGATAAAAATAATAAAAACAAAAGAGAGGTAAAGGGGGGTGGGATGGAGGATAGGCCTGGCAGAAGATTCCCTTAATGGTCCTGATGTCATGGCTGCTGAGGACTGGTGATGTCAGTAACACCAAGAGATGCAGGAATGAAAGGTACTTCATGGCAGCCTAAATCATCAATACCATGTTTAGAAGGATGACAAGATTAAGGGTAAATAGAAGAAATTTCAAAGTCAGAGGAAATTTAGGGGTGTCTGGAGGAGAAAATACAGTAGTATAACCCCAGAACAGAAGAACAACCTCTCCTTAAATTCAAAGTTACCCGGCTCCCCTTAGAAACTAAGTCCTCTGCACTTTCAGTGAGCACACATACCTTAAACAAGGAGGAGAACACATGAAATGTATACACAGCACAGGAGCCATCTGAGTCACACATAAGCTGGTTGATGTGGCTGCGCCAGGCCTCCTCGGCATCGTCACAGGCTGCGGGCTGAAAGGCGGCAAGGATGGCTGAGAAGAAGGGCGAGGGAGGGGGAGAGACTCCCCTGTCACCTTCTCCAAAGCTGGAAAAAATGAAAACGACTATGTCAAGAAGTGATGTCCTTCTCATCCTATACTGGGTTTTATAAATTCTCACCCTGAGAGTCAGCAAAATGAGGTAGCTATTCTACCCACTCTTCCTTTTGAAGTTGCTTTGGGGACTTGGCTTTCATTCAGCAGTCACTGTGATTCTTTTTGGTCTGTTTGTTTGTTTTGAGTCTCGCTCTGTCGCCCAGGCTGGAGTGCAGTGGCATGATCTCGGCTCACTGCAACCTCTGCCTCGTGGGTTCAAGCAATTCTCGTGCCTCAGTCACCAGAGTAACTGGGACTACAGGCGTGTGCTACCATGCCCAGCAAATATTTGCATTTTTAGTAGAGACAGTATTTCACCATGTTGGCCAGGCTGGTCTTGAATTCCTGGCCTCAAGTGATCCACCCAGTTCGGCCTCCCAAAGTGGCAGGATTACAGGTGTGTGCCACCGCACCTGGCAAGAGGTCACGGATTCTTTCACGATTCGAGGAAAGAGAATTTGCACCTCTAGAATTTCTGGGATTCCTCCATTTCAGATTCCCTTTCTATAGACTTGGTACTTCTTTTAGCCTTCAGCAATGCCTCTCACTTTCACAGAGGCTATGCCCCAAAGTAAACCACAGTCCTATGCTTTGGCAGTTTCATTCTTCATTTTTCATTATGAAAAATTATATAAATTTTGAATCTTCTAATTTTTCCTTTCTGGAGGGAGAGTATTAATAAATGCATATGCACAAATGCCTGGAAGACAAAGGTGGAGGGAGACAAGGAAACCAGAGATACGCAGGGAAAGTGAGACAGAGAGGCAGGAAGAAAGAAGAGATAATGAATAAAAATGAAAGGTCAAATTCTTCTCTAGGTGTTACCTTAACCTTTTCCTTTGATGGACAGACATTGCTCACTGTAACAGAAGGCCTTTGTCTAGCATATCAGAAGCTTTTACTTAGTTCTTATTTTCAACTTTCAGAAGAGTAATTTTAGGATCTCAACTTTCTTTTCCTGAAGTAGATCTGTAGCATTATTATTTGTGATTTATTCTAGATGCTGGATTAATCTAACCTCTGGTGTTTATCTATTTCTCTTCACATTTTTTTTTTCTGTTTCTATATCTCACTAGTCTCAGAAATATCAGCCACCAGGCCAAAAGACACCCACTTAAAGAGTAGGTATTTCCTATATAAAGAGCCTCTTGTTCCAGGGTTTTAACTCCAAATGGAAAGAACTTATTTCCAAGGCTTGCCAAGTGTTGCTTATCTTCAAAGCTTACAAGGTCTGGACCATGTTTCCAGGCTCTTCCTTTGCTTTTTACGTTGCTTTCTGGCCTTATGAATTCATATGTAAGTGTTCTTTCTTTGTTCCACACGAGGCCCTATAATGGGATTGGATGACTCTAACTCAGCTGAGAGCCTGCCATGATATATGTCACTTTGGAGTCCTTTATTAGGATGTCCCAGCAGTGCAACTGTGACACTTAACTTGAGTGTGAATGCCATATAATGTACCATGCACATTCACACCACTCACATCAGCCAAGGGCTCCATTACCTCGCCAGGGTAAACTGGTCCAGTGCCCGATTGCCTTTTTCTTCCCCCTCAGTCATGTCCAGGCTAAAGCTGTCGCTGCATTCAAAAGCTGCTGGGAGTTCATTGATGGAACTAGAAAGATCATCCTCATGCACGGTGGTGTCCTCCTCCTCACGAACAGCTTCAGCCTGGAAGAATAAAAAGACAAAAGAATCCCCCAATGTGTAAGAAAACATACAGGACAACCTGTTCAACTAAGGAACAAATAAGAGAGACTGAAATGCTGATGGTGATAGAAATGGGGACATTTGTTTTCTAGCTACAGTATAGTCCGTTTCTAGGCTGGACTCAGGAATTCTCTGAAGTACTGTTCATTCTTTATCTTCTTTTCAATCTCTTCCATAATGGTCCCCAAAGGGGCTCTCAGTAGATTTTCGTACTTGGCCCATGCTTATAGGGTATGAACGCTAAACTTGGAAAAGACCATCAAGACCTCCAATCCAACCTCCACATTTTGCAGATAAGGAAACAATGCTCCACGTGGGAAAGGGACTTGTCTAATATCAGGTCCATACTTAGAATTGGAGCTGGGACAAGAAACACTTCTTTTGGATTCAGAACTCCTTCCATTGTCCAAACCCAGCCTTCTAAAGCAAGCCTATCCAGAGTTAATTCTCTAACATAGAACCCCTTTACCAAGGGAATGTAGAATCATCAGGGCCTGGCGCAGTAGATGCCCAGGATACCTGTGGTATGCACGAGTGATCCAGAGTCCTTCCCTGAGCCTGCTGGGTTGCTCGGTCTTTCCATATAGGGGATCCTCTAAGATCCATTTGCATGTATGCTTTACCCTTGAGAATACCCTCCACAGATAACAGATATGAGTATCTGCTCTTACCTGACTACAAAATGTGGAATGAGCAGGACAATGAAAGGGCTCTAGGGCAGGCAGAACCAGGATCAGTGAGAGGCAGGAAAGAGACACAGCAAGTAAAATGGAAAAAGAGGCTGGGTTTGGGCCTGGGCCAGGGGGAAAAGGAGGACTGATTGTTCTTTAGGAGAGGAAGGAAGGCAACTGGATTACAGATCAGAAGGGAGAGGAAGAAAGATGTACATGTTACAGTGAGTCATTTTCTTAAAACAAAAACAAAAGCAAGGCAAAATAGAAGTGTATATGAATTAGAGCTTTATCTCAAGTTAACATCTGTCCACTCAGTGTGTAAATATATATATAAAATATATATATTATACTTTGACTCTAGAATTAATAGGGAAAATTACCAGGAATGGTAAAAATATATTAGGGAAATAAGATATCTCATGTCTTTGGAGGAATTGCTGGTAAATACTGAGTTTGAGAGGTTTATCCATATTTGCTTTTTAAAACTACAGTGCTGCCAATGAGGCTGGCCACTGGTGCCTGGTCTAGGTTATTAGTGTACATACACTTAATCCATTAGAGAAGGGATGAGTCCTTATTAAAATACATTTTATTTTCTCTAATATCATAGCTTTATCAAACACTGCAGAAATGCAACTTAAGTGAAAAACAGGGATAGCTCTTCAGAAATGGGACTCGACTTTTCCTTGGTAGGATGAGATCTATTACGTAGGTATTACTTTTTTTTTTCGAGATGGAGTCTCGCTCTGTCGCCCAGGCTGGAGTGCAGTGGTGCGATCTCAGCTACCTGCAACCTCTGCTTCCCGGGTTCAAGCAATTCTCTGCCTCAGCCTCCTGAGTAGCTGGGATTACGGGCACCGCCACCATGACCGGTTAATTTTTTTGTGTTTTTAGTAGAGACAGGGTTTCACCATCTTGGCCAGGCTGGTCTTGAACTCCTGACCTCGTGATCCACCCGCCTCGGCCTCCCGAAGTGCTGGGATTACAGGTGTGAGCCAAAGCGCCTGGCCTTAGGTAGCACTTTCTATGAGAAATCTATATGTTTTTAGCATTCAAAATAGAAAAATGGAGAAAATGACCATATTGACATTGAGAAATATCAAATGCACATATATTTTGTGATTTTTTTCTATGAAATTTAATTTCATAATCTTAGAATTTTAACTTAGACAACTTTTCTTTCTGGGCTTTTTGTTTTTTGTTTTTTTCTTTTGGCTAAAAAAGAACTCTGCTAATTCCAAGAATCCTGATTGTAGTACCTTTGCAATGAGGCAATCTTAGAAATAATTACTATTTAAGCTTCAATATTTTTAGGTAATTGTAATTTGGTGATTGCCCTTGGTTTAAAGCACATAGATTTTCCTAGATTTCTGATCTATTTTTACTATGCTATCAGAGAATATAGAATAGCCAATATTATATTTTTCCATTAGAAATGTCAGAAGGAATATACTTTTATGAAATTTTTTCGATTTTATTTTTTCTTTTGAACTTGCACAACCATAACCAAACTCATGATAGACAGTGCTTGACTCTATCTTAATGGTAATAGATTATTTTGGTATTTCTACTATAAGGAAATACAATTCTATACTGATGGGCATAGATGTGGGCATAGCATGCAAGTGGATGGTTTTCAGGACATTTTAATAAAATAAACTTTAAATGAAATATACACTGTTAGATTTTTTCTAATTAAGAAAATTACATCCATTAGTTACTTTTCTCCTCACAGACTCTGGCAAGAAGAGTTTTGTGCGAATCTGGCATAAGACTGTGATTGACATTAAAAATTCTGATAGTATGCCAAAAGGCAAGCACTGAATCAATGTACAAATTGTATAATTGTTTCCTACAAAGGAAAAAATTCCCCAAATATGTGCATACACCCACACCTCACTTAGCATATTGTTTTATAAAATTCATGACAAAGATCAGCAGTTTCCCAGTCACAGCCATCTCAGACATACACCACTGGTTTTGCCATCCACCAGCAGTGTTCATGCAAAATGTCTCATTTTAAAAAGACCTCAAATCAAGTCTTTCAGCCAAGAAGATGGCTGCTCAAGTTTGTGGGGGTAAAACAACTTCAAAACATAGGCTCAGGTGCACAAACTTCTATTATTTTAAAAAAGAGAGAAAGAAAAAGATAAAGATAGTCTTTCTACTTGAGACCCCTTAAGAATTCTCAGAAAATTGGAAGTGTTTTTTTTTAAGGGTTTTAAGGGAAGTACAAATCATCATTGTTAAAATCTCTTCACCTTTGAACCCTCAGAAATCTGCAGATTATTCATATCAGGCAAGGAAGCATCAAAGCTGGACATTCTGGTGTTAAAGGAATGAGGTTCTGCAGGGGTCGAGTCACAGGCTGTGGTGAGCAGCTCCATGGGATTCGTCTCTTCAGAGGGGGAGAGAGTCATGATCTGTTTAAAAAGCAAAGGAAATTAAACATAGTATGAAGTTCCCATTCTTTAAAAGCTCCATTTATTCTCTAGTTGTTGGTTAATACGTCTTAATTTTTTAACTTCCACATTTCACCATTATTGGGCCTTAAACATAGCAGCTAGTAATCCAGGTATTTTCAGAAAATCACATCAAAATGTCTGTCATATCTCCACACTTTAGAGATCTGGGGAATTTTTAAAAAGATTCCAGAATCATAAAAGGTATTTGGGAAAAATCTAGGCCTTAACAGATCTGGTGGCTTTCAGGGTGAATCACATGGACCCCAGTCTTTGTTTCCATCTGCAACCTACAGAGAAGACTCTGCCAGCTAGAACCCGTATGACACCACCTGACAGTTCCGATTTTAGTTCAGCAGCTGTGGAAAGTTTCCTTAGCTGCAACTGGAAACTGTCCTCCTGCATTAGTTACAAAAAATAAGCCTCCCAATTCTTAGAGTGGGAGAGCCGCTACTTACTAGGTCTGAGTGCTCCAGGATCTGGCTGGCTGTGAGGTCCTCCTCCTCGGATGATTCATCGGAGTCCTCATGGTGCATTTTATTCAGGCTAGGAGTGCTTCCTGACAGTTGGCGCTCCTCCAGAATCTGCATATCACACTTATCCAGGCTGTCCAGAGAACGTCTGCGCACTCCCCAGTTGAAATTGTCCATACTCTCACCCTGAAATCACACCATCAGCCGGTTTTTTATGCCAAAATCCTCTTGCACTCACATGTTCACACATTCAATTAGTCATAGCTTGGGAACAAATATTGTCATTATTAACTCTTAGGCCCTCATCGACTTTGGTATCAAAACTTTTGTTTACCCAATGTGAAAAGTAGTAAAAGCACACTATTTTCATGTAAACTCATGTGAAGTCATAGGCAGAAATGATTACATACTTTTCTTTGGCATGGTGGGTAATAATTACATTTTTTAAAAAGTTGATTTTGGTAAACACTACCAATGATCTGTGTTTTCAAAAATCTGTAACAAAGAGACCATTAGTATGAAAACTTCAAAAGAGGTGTCACCCACTCCCACCACCCTGAGGTCGGCCCCTGTTTAGTACTGTTTTCAGAAGGAGAAAAAAGTAGGAGCTATGCTGCTTGTAGCACATTCCAGAATCCTTTGGGTATTTAGTGGAAGAGCATTAGGTAAACATTCCAGCCTATTTCTGCCACAGCAATTTTCACAGATACAATGCAGAGTTAAAGACTATCAGAGCAGCTGGGCAAAGTCTGATGGATCATGCACTATGCAGAGGCCAGAGCAGCAACACCTTAACTTTTGCTTTAGGCTCATCTTTAAATAATTGTCCCGGTGTAGAAAATTGTTAATTTCACTATGTTGGCCAGACTGGCCTTGATCACCTGACCTCATGATCCACCTGCCTCGGCCTCCCAAAGTGCTGGGATTACAGGCGTGAGCCACCACATCCAGCCTATTACTGTTTTTTTGTTTTTTTCTTTTGAGACAGAGTCTTGCTGTTGCCCAGGCTGGAGTGGTGCAGTGGCGCGATCTCAGCTTGCGGCAACCTCCACCTTCTGGGTTCCATGTCAGGCTAATTTTTTGTATTTTTAGTAGAGACAGGATTTTGCCATGTTGCCAGGCTGGTCTTGAACTCTTGACCTCAAGTGATCCACCCGCCTCGGCCTCCCAAAGTGCTGAGATTACAGGCGTGAGCCACTGCACCCGGCCCCAAATATTATTGTTGATTTGTATATTTTGAATTACCGAGAACTAGCTTAAGTGGCCATGTAAGTGTTAAAGAAAGCTTTTAGTTGCATTCAGACTTTCTCTACAAACCATCAGTTAATAAATAAGTGTATTTGACTAACATAACTTTTTTTTTCTAGAAATGGATTTGGGTTTTATTTTTCTTTCTGTTAGGAATAAAGGAAGAAAAATATTACTCAGCTGACTGATATGCAAATTTTAACCTAAACAAATGATCTGACAAAATCTAGTACAGAATCTTTTCATTTACTGGTAATTTGAAACACTGCCTGATGGTTCATTGGAATAAAATAAAACAACTTTTTCTGATGAGAGCTCAGTGAACAACATAATATGAGAGATGTGAGTTACTGTTAAACTTATGAGCATTATCATTTATTAATTTCCCTCTGTTTTAAAGCAGAGGGTCGTGTCTGTCTCCTAGTGAAACAAGCTTGCCATTCTCACAGATCTGTCATATAACAGAGGCATAGCTTTTTCAAAGTCTGCTTGGGCTATTCATGGTAGAAGGCAACAGGCACAAATCCTAAGCACAATCTGGATAAGATATAGAAATCATCATTATTCATCCTCACATATGATATTTATGATTGCTCTTAGGGGTGTTTGATTATAAAAAAGAATGCAGACTCAGAATATTGTTTCTAACATCCAGTATCTGCTATGATAAATTACCACCATATGTTTTTTTCTTTTTTTTTGGTAGAAAATGGCTAACTGTTGTACTGGGATTTTAAAAATAGCCACAGCAGTGAGAAAATAAAACAATATATGAAAGAGGCAAAAGTTCTGGGAAGAAAAGGAAAATCCAATGTGTAAAGAAAGGAAGAAAATACAGAAAAATCAGAATACTAACTATGCAGAGTAAAAAGAGAAGAATGTGAAAATTATAGGGACAAATATACAAACACAAATTCAAAAAACTGACTCTCTTGTGCCAAATGACTGGAAGGGTTGGATGAACTATCTTAGGCAGCGATTCTGGAGGTCTCCCACGCTGCACTTGAGACAGAACCATGAGCTTGCAGAGGAATACAGACATCCAGGTGGGAGAAGGCTATACCAGGCACAGGTCACTGCTAGTGCTGATTTGGCGGCAGCTCTGGTGAAGACCTGAATCAATCAGGTGTGAAAATAGGGAGGCAGGGAAAGCTGTTCTTGGAGGAATAAGGTTTGGCTGTCTTGCTGGAAGGTGTAATATCTCCATTAGAAGCAAGGGTGTTGAAATGGTTCCCCTGGTGGTGGCTGAGAGGTTGAGATGATGGAACAACATTGCAGTCTGGACCCAGGTAAAGTCCATGGTGATTAAAACTCAACCAGGCTTTCTCAGCATGGCCCTAGTGGGAGACCCACCCTCCATCCTTCCTCTCCCCCAAATGTCAGATTTGTATTTTATGTTACATACAAAGTGAAAAGTCAAAGCAGTTTCCTACATGTGAGAAAATGCAGAGGATGGCTAGTCCAGATGAACACTCTGTATATGTCAGTTCAAACTTAAAAACCACTGAGGGTTTACACTGAGATGGGAAAGTATTAATGATTAAACATTCTATAAATGTTAGAAATACTATTTTTTGACACTTTTTTTCATATTGGAACTCTGTCAAACAAGAATTATTGTTGAAGAAATTTGGGTGCATTGTGGTCAAAATATACTCCCCCAAATGTTCTACTTAGAGTAAGTCTGATATACGTAGATAGAGACTGATCATAGGTCACTTTGCCCAGGATGATCCCGGTTTTAATGCCTGTGGTTTGGGTATAAATATTATTAGTACCCCCTTTTACTTTTAAAAGGGCCCTGGTTTGGATGAAAAGTTATCTAGTCACTACACAAAGATAGAGATAGCCTTTAATTCCTGGGGGAAAAAAAGATTCAACTGAAAGTATGTATGGTATATAGTTAGATGCAAATTGTTAATTTCACTTTTTTTTTTTTTTGAGACAGAGTCTTGCTCTGTTACCCAGGCTGGAGTGCAGTGGCATGATCTTGGCTCACTGCAACCTCTGCCTCTTGGGTTCAAGGGATTCTCCTGCCTCAGCCTCCCAGGTAGCTGGGATTACAGGCGTGCACCTCCAGGCATGGCTAATTTTTATATTTTTAGTAGAGACAGGGTTTCGCCATGTTGGCTAGGCTGGTCTTGAACTCCTGGCCTCAAGTGATCTGGCACCTCAGCCTCCCAAAATGCTGGGATTACAGGTGGGAGCCATGGTACCCGGTGATTTCAGTTTTAATACAAGAATTTAACAATAAAACCCATCCAGTTGTGCAACCACTTGATGAGAAATGATAGGATTGCCATAGATCAGATTTGAAAACTCCACTTCTCTGAGATATAATCATGCAACTTTCAGAACTAGGCATATAAAGGTTTTAAAAATGTATTTACATTTTAGAAAACATTTCCATACTAGAGCAGCCAAGAAAAATACCTCTTATATCACACACCTAAATGGAAATATGCACGCAAATAAGCATATATATTCTGGAAGGGAGGAAAAAAGCAATTATGTTGTTATAAATCTGCAAAGATGCAAAACATCTACTAGCATATTTGAATTAAAAACAGCATCATCTTACCTGAAGTTCCTGGGTAGCAGATTGAATGAGCAGAAAAACAAACAAAAGGTCTATTTACAATGATTATATTAAAGATACTCAAGAACATTTCTCTTAGTGTTAACACAACATTAACCAACAGTGCTAACAATATACACTTCAGTAGGTGCACCTTAAAAGAAAAGGTAAATATACACTAACTCCAAAGAGAAAAATCAACATTAAACATCAGAAATTCCAAATCCTTTGGCTGTGGATGATAGAGCTGGGATAACAAATCATTATTACAATTTCTGAAATAGCTTTCTACCTCTGTGACAACTTTGGTCTCCTCAACACTTTTTTGGAATGCCTAAATATGTATTCGTGAGAAAACTGTTAAATGTTATGGAAACATGAATGAGGGTCATCAACTGGAAATAAAGGTGGCATCACCTGAGCCTGTTCACAAAGCTAAAAGTGTTTGTGATCATGATGCTTACTGTTCATATGCAATTAATAGCAAAGACACAACACCTTTTAAAGATTCTAAAAAGTTCAAGGGCAAACTCTTGCAGATATCACTCAGTAAATTCTGAGACCAATGAAAAGGAATAGATATGACAAAATGACTTGTCTTTCTTTTTTTGACAACTGTGCTTTGATCTAAACGCCAAGTATGCCTAACTTTATCAGATGAAGATATACTAAAATTATTCACCAATGACAGTACAAGGAGACTCACATTTACAATGCCAACTATATGCCTGACACTTTGCTAGACACTATACATTGGTTATTTTATTTAATCCTCATGTCAGCTCTACAGGCAGGTAGAGGTTGAGTATGCCTTATTCAAAATGCTTGGGACCAGAAGTGTTTTGGATTTCAGATTTTTAAAAATTTTTGAAATATTTGCATATACATAATGAGATATCTTGGGGATGGGACCTAAGTCTAAACATGAAATTTGTTTATGTTTCACATACACCTTAAATACACAGCCTGAAGATAATTTTATACAATTTTAAAATAATTTTGTGCATGAAACAAAGTTTTGACTGCATTTTGACTATGACCTGTAACATGAGGTCAGATGTGGAATCTTTCAGTTGTGATGTCATGTTAGTGTTCAAAAAGTTTAGGATTTTGGAGCATTTCAGATTTTGAATTTTCAGATGAGGAATGCTCAACCTGTATTCTTATACCCACTTAATAGACAAAGAAGTGGAAAGCAAGAGGAATTGCATCCATGCTTAAGGTCATATAGCTAAGGTCAGTGGCAGAGATGAAATTCAAACCTGGAGCTGTTGGACTCTGAAGTTCAGGCATCTTCACTCTTCTACTCCAAGAATGCTAGAATCCCTTATTGTGATTTTATTGGGAAGTAGCAAAACATTCTCAAATGCCTTATTTTATTTGGATAAAATGTACACTCTCAGCCCCGTGAGTTTCTTCTTCTAAATTTTTTTTTTTTTTTGGACACAGGGTCTCACTCTGTCATCCAGTCTGAGTGCAGTGGTGCAATCACGGCTCACTGCAGCCTTGACCTCCTGGGCTTAAGCGATATTCCCACCTCAGCCTCCCGAGTAGCTGGGACCACAGGCATGTGCTATCACACCTGGCTAATTTTAAATTTTGTAGAGACAGGGTCTTGCTCTGTTGCCCAGGCTGGTCTTAAACCCCTGGACACAAGTGATCCTCTAGGATGCCTCAGCCTCCAAGAGTGCTGGGATTACAGGTGTGAGCCACTGTGCCCAGCCAGTTTCTTATAAAATCTTAACAATGAAAGATAAAATAATCACTGTGATTTTTTAGTTATTGCTGGCTAGGACAATAAAGAGAAGACCAGAAAAAAAGGTGTAGTATTCCTTATTTCTTGTCCCTGAAAAACATTAGTATAATATTTATTTTTAAGTAACGGGCATCCCAGATTTTTCCTTCCTTTATTTTGATAGAAACTAAATTTGTGAGCTGTTCTGAAATTGTGTCGGATTACTTCGCTTTACATCATTCCTGCTAGGTCGTTTCACATAACATTTTTCTCTGGCCGAGACAGGAAATGATGCCTCTCTTGCTTCATCCGTTTTTTCCCTCCCTTGTATAACTTCCAGAGGGAAACAGGTGTCCAAGCTTGAATTTTAACTGAAGAGCAAACATTAGGTCAGTTGTCAGATCAGGGAGCTGGTCTTTTGACACTAGCTGAACTCTGAGCTCTGTCTCAGAGACATTTTTGAAAGTATTCAAAACAGTTGTATTTTGCTTTAGACTTAAAACAATCTTCACTGCATTCAGTGAATGCTTTCTCTATCATTTATTATGGATCACAGAAACCTGCAATACTTTTTATTGGTTCTTAAGCAATTCAAGGTGAAAATTAAGCTGGCAGTTATTTTAAGGATACATGATAGCAGTGCCTTTATACTGCTTACGGACCGGATCTGCTCAACTTGTTTTCCAGGGAAAGAATTGGTGAAGAACACCTTCTTTATTCCGAGGACATGATTCTCTCCTGCTGGGGCAGACATCCAGGGTCATCAGTGGGCCAGGAAGGACAAAAGCAAAGGGCTCTTTGGCTTCAATTAGACATAGGCGGGTTGGTCAATAATAAAATCCTTTTAGGGAAGGTAAGCAGCTACTTGAAGCATCATTTCCCACAAGCCTGTAGTTAAGTAAGGAGGTGCCTACCTACTGCAGGAAATCCTAAACTTGGGATCTAGGCCTGCCTCTTCAATTGTAGGACTAGCAGAGAGTCGTTTGGGAAATCTGGTGCAGTTAAACATGAGCTTGACAACACCATGAGCCCGGTTCCGAACGAGGCACCTTTGCATCATCCAGTCTCACTTAAGTGAACTGAGTTTTGATCCCATGAGGCAAAAGACGGCCTCTCAGGTGGAACATGCCTCTAAGCTACTGAAATGAAGGTGACTGACAGGTGATGCTCCTCCTCTCAATACCTGTTTTTGCAAACATGATTCATAGCTGAAAGTATCTTATTACCATGATTATCATCCAAAATAAATGAATCTGCATTTGCCCACTGAGACTTGAATTTGGCTGCTCCAGTGTCTAGAACACCAGCCACCGAGCTAAGCAGAGCAAAGAGCTCTCTTGTGTGCATTGCATTTTGTTTCCAGTTCTAACGATTTCATCAAGCACAAAAATGTTTGATCCCTCAGGCTCTGGTCTCATGTTGTAGCAGGCAAGCTTTGAAGGAATTGAATTAGAGAAACTTCACATTAGAAATGATTAAATGCTTAGCATATTTTACCCAGGTACCAGTGAACAGGCTAAGAACTGAAATGTTTTTTGTGATTTTTTTTTTAAGTCCAGCTTGGGACTACACACACACATACAGTCTTTGTGTGGTCATTAAAACTCAGGTCTTTGCCGTTTAGAAATAACTTGGCAGCTTTTGCCGTGGGCTCAGACAGGAAGGGTGTGGTAACTTTTGCCAAAGTTTAGCTGCTGTACTTTGAATAAGTTGATTCAAAATAAAGTTTACAACTTTCCAATTAAAGATCTTGTTACAAAAACTCATTATTTAGCAGGTAAAAAGAATAGTTTCATTAGTCAAGGAAAAGGGTGCGGGGATTATTTTTACAGAGAATACACCGTACCTCTCCATCCTCCAGCTCCACATCTAGGAAGTCGAAGTCTCTGAAGACTCTAAACTGCTGCTCGCTGTTTGTGTCATCCATGTTCTCCTGCTCTCGGGCACCGTCCTCAGAAGATACCAAGCTTGTCTGGTGCTCAAGCAGATCCAGATCCCCACACGATGAAAAAATCACCTGCGAATCAAGAGTCCTCTCCTGAGAAACCGTTCTCCCTTTGGTTGTTTGTGCTACGAAAAATTGTAATTGGCTCTTCATAGCACCGTATTTCCAGTACACACCTAATTCCTTCAGTGGGTATTTTTAGAATGTTCTTTTATTATTTATGTTGGACAGGTGCCTTCAGATTAAACTCGTGGCAAAGACGCAAGTTCATGCACCAGGAAAATGTTCAAGAATCACGTCGCTGCTTTTTAATGGATGAAGACTGTATACTACCTGTGTGTGTGTGTGTATGTGTGTGTGTGTGTAAACTGGAGCAGCCAGGAAAATGTTCCACTGTTTCTGAACTGATTAGAGTTAGAAATTATACATGTTTACACACATATATCAAATACACATAAATAATATTTTAAGGACTGATACCAAGATATATTATTGTAGAATGAATGTGGGAACAAAGGATTTAACTCTTTTAGAGATAAACAAGCAATTGATAAGAAATAAAAAAACAGAAGCCAAAAATTACAATACTTGTCCATAGAAGAGTAGGTGAGTAACCAGGCCCATAACTTATACTTAAATTCCTCTCCTGTAGGTTTAAACAAAATAAAACATTTTTTTACTATTAAAATCTTTAGTATGTTAATGTTTTAAGATTAACTTCTATGTTTAGGTTCTTTTCACTGACCCATTTTGGTAGAACTTGGTATATAATAAACTGTAAATGAGAGTAAATGTTTTGCTATCCAGCCTCTACTGAACATAGATAGATATTAAAGAAAATTAATAGTATTCTTTGTATAACCATTATAATGTCTTAGTTGTCCTTGAAAAGTAGGCAAAATCATTTATAAGAATTTAAATACGATAAACATCTCTCAAAAGTAGAAAGAATGAATGGATTTCAAGTGTACTTTTTTCCTCTAGTGTTTAAGAATAGTATATGATGCATATGATAGCCTCTCATTATAGCACCTGACACACAGTTTTACATAGGGATTGCAAATGGGTACATGAGATAAAGAGCCCTGAGGGCTAGTCAACTAGTCAGTGAGAGACGAGACATGAGATTTCTGATTTCCTCAGCTGAAGGCTGTCTTTCCTAGTTAGTGCTGCTTCTCTTATTTGTAATGTACTCCAGGTAAATATTTTAGCTGAAAAGGCCTTAGCACAGGGCAGACAGGATGAGTCTGAAGGAGAAAGTGCCAACCACAATGACGATAAGAAGTAGGCCTTGTTGGCAGTGCTGCAATGCAGAGGAAAAACATACTTGTGTCTCTTCACTGTGGGCTAGGAGTCTCTATCTGCCTCTGCCACTGTCCCCTCTGTCCTAAATATTGTCACAGGAGCCGCAGAAAACCCACTGATCAATAACACCAAAAAAGTGACTTAAATGGAGGCCCAGCTTAGCTGATGGCTGGCTGGGGTGCTTTCCCAGACGATAAGAAATATCACTTTGTACTTTAGCAAGTATTTATGAGCCTCTAATATTTCACCTGCTCATGAACTATGTGTTAGTAGATCCATTTTGAAATTTAAAAATAGCTCCACCGAGAAATGTGTTTGCTAATTCTTACTTCAGTTGAGAAATTAGTTTGTTATTTCTTTTTCATAAATAATAAATATTCTGTGATACAGGTGAAACAAAAATACCTGGTGAAACTAGCAGACACTTCTATTGTTTTTGTTATACTCCCATACCTAATTCAATTTTTTCTAAATTTTATAAAAGCTTCCAAAGTTTACTTATAATTATTCAATCGTCCATTCATTCAAAAGCTTGATGGTATGATTTTTGTTTTATTCTTAGTTTTTTATTGTAACATCAGTGGAAGTTTATATGCAAAGAAACATTATTTTCATCTTTATTGTATGTGGGTAAGATAAGGACATGAGAGTAAGAAGCGTGTGTACAGAGAGTAAAATTATATCCAAGAGATATGAGCATATATGTCATACATGGTGGTCAGTGGAGATTATCATTTACGTTGTAAGACATTCTGGGCATATTTATAAAAAAAAAATCCAATAAATTAAAAAAATGAAAAGAAACAGTATTCACAGACAAACGAGCAAACAGCCAGCAAGATCTTTCATTGTTTCTGAACTCAGTGTGATTAAAAATCATGGTGTGGGGAGAAATAGTCCAGGGGTTTGCTCAAGACGGTGGCTATCATACTTGTCATTCACAGTTGAATCCTCTAAATTATATGACCAAAGGCAAAAACAGACCAATGAAAAAGGAGATATGACACCAAAATAACTATGACACATGACAGAACTTACTGATGGATTTTTGCTCAATCCTACTTCTTGGCCACACAGAGAAAGGACATGTACCAACTTCTCTTTTGTTCTCTTCTGGAAAAGAAACACAAGGCAGGTTTCATTATGGGTTCCTGTGAGCAAATCTGCTCTAATTTTCTAGCCACTAGCCATACAGGGCAATAGCACTTAACGTATAGACAGAATGAAATGTAAAATACACAAAAGTATGAAAAAAGAACACAAATAGCAATTAAAAATTGTTAAATATTGAAAACATGTTGAAATAATATTTTAAATATAGTAGGTTAGGTAACATGTATTATTAAAATTAATTTTGCCTGTTTTTCCTTTTTTTTTAAGGGTAACTATTAGACAATGTAAAATGAAGCTCACATTATGTTTCTGCTGGACAGTGGTGATCTAAGTTATCCCAAGGGGTGTATATATGTGTGTATGTGAAAATAAATCCCTAGGTTCTTTAAGGAGATCTATCACTTCCTTTGATAATCTTTTCTTATATGTTAAACTTTCAGTATTAGCAAGGCTTTCCTTACACTTTATTAAGTTACAGCATGAGTCTCTTTTTCTCAAATAGAAGAATACTTTCTGTAGAATGAAAAAATTCATTCGTTTTAAGCCATATTAAATCTTTCTTAGTTTCTTCTTCCTAAAGTTAAACAGATTCAGTTCCTTTCCTTCATAAACCTATTTTCCAGCCCCTTGACCATAGGGATTCTTCTATAAACCATTACATTTTTCCAGTGGCAGATAACCCAGGTCTCAGAATGATTGGTGAGTTGAGAATTTTTAAAGCAATCTTCCTAATCTCTTTAAAATGATTCTCCCCCCTTTAATCTGATTTACGGTTTGTTATGTGGAAACTGCTAGGAGGCCAATGCCACTCTTAGATTTTTCTTCTTAACGGAACTCAATTCACTGCATCCTTCTTTCCAAATTATAGAGGGGACAGACACTCAATATGGTGTCTGCTCAAGGTCAGAGACAGGAGGACTTTGAGGTTAAGGAATGGCAGAAGACTCGCTAAACGATTTTCCTAAGTCTTAGTGGTCATTTTACAATTCTGGGAAGGAATCAATGTAGAGGAACACATTGGGCTGTATTTTCTTCTCTCTTCCAATGAAGTTTTCAGCTGAACACTCACTGAGAACCTGCTCTGTTGCAGCCGGCACTATGCTACATGTTCCATTCCCCTAACCTTTGAGAGAGAAGGTGAGTCCTCCTGGGCACCCACTTTGTCCTTCCCAGCACCCACTTCACCTTCTTCTGGTAACACTGTCCCTCTTTTTATCTCGGAAAGGCTCCATTCCCACTAAGTGAGGCTATGCCTCCCTCGCATGTCCTGCAAGATCTTTCAGAATTGCTAAGGATGTCAAAAGAGGAAAGGCCTCTGTCGCTCTGAAGTCATCAGAGCCAAAGACCATGTAAACCTGGAGCTGCCAGAGGTCATCTGGGCCTCCCATAGAAAAACCCTGCCTGAGAATGAAGTCACTGGAGGGGAAAACAAGGGCCAAGATGTTGGGAAGGGAAGGTGGGGACAGTGAGGAGACAGCCTAAGAATCCAGTTTCTGACATCTGTGAACTAGGAGCCAACTGTGCTTGAAGCCAAGATGAGTAAGTTAATAAGTTTCTTTACCACAGAAGGTAATTTTTCAGTGGGTTTCTGTAACAAGTCAACAGAAGACCCCTGAATAATGCAGAAGTTTTACTTGACAGGAAGCCCAATGGCATCTCTGCTATGCTGTGATGACAGAACTACAGAGAATCTGGCAGCAGTACCCCCGCCCCTTGCCATCTGCATGGCTCAGCCCGTGCATGGACACCATGGTTGAGGTGCCTGTTCCGTGGGCAGCAGACAGGGTGGTCTTTGGGTGTGCAGCCCTATCAACCCTTTGGGAGTCCAAGTGCTATAGAATTGGTTGGGAGAACTAAGGATGTGTTGTTTGGCCTCATTAGGAGAGTGGCAGAGGGGCAGAATTTCTGAAGGGCTGCCATGTGAAAGAGAGACCAGATTTTATTTTCTAAGCCTTGAGAGAACTGGAACCAATGGATAGAAGCAGCAAAGAGTCAGACTTCAACTCAAGGTGATGAACTGTTCAAAGAGCAAATGGGTTCCTTGGAATGCCACAAGACCCCATCCCTGGAAGTGCTGAGACCTATATGGGCAACCTTGGGATGGTGAGAGGGAATCCCTTATGACCCAGCCACATGGACTCAACAGGTCCCTAAACTCCCTCCCAGGACTGTGGGTCTAGGATTGCATACCTGAGAATACTGGGGCCTTTTCCAGCTCACTGGAACAAGGACGTTGGAGTTGGAGCCTGAGGAAGTGGAAGATGTGCTCCGGGTGACGGCCATGGCCCTGGGCTTCCCATCACGCCCAGAAGAATTCTGCAGCTCATCATACCGCCTCCCGATGATTGGAGTCTTGAGAAGAAGACAAACGCACATTATTCTGTCTCAATGGTTTTGTGATATATGAAACCCTTCTCCCCAGAAGCAACCAAGAGCTGCTTATTTGATTAAAAATCAGATTAGAGAAGTTCAGTGTTACAAGTGGGCTCATTTTCTCAACATGCAAGTACACATTATGAGTCGTTTTTCATCTTCAACATTTCCTCCCCTCTTTAGCGGCAGAAAAATGCAACTGCTTGTTCTTTAATATGCTTTAGAAACCACTGACAAAGGGAAGCAAAACATGCAGGAAACCAAATAGTCAGTTTTTGATTGTTTAAACTTGAAAAAAATTTCATATAGTTAGAACAAGAGACCAAAATTCCTTTCCCTCTCCCAACTTTTAATCATTAATCTTTATATACTCTCAATTATTTAAAAATGTATTTAACTTATTTATATCTTTTCAATTATTCAAATGACTGAGGTCAGGGCCAGGTACTTGGGCAGCACTTGAGAAATTTCACTTCCTGAGAGCTCCAGAGTGTGGTGGCTGCATAGGCAGCAATTCGCAAACTCAAGCTCCGAGCAGGCCTCCTCTGCAGACACCAGCTCATGGGCTTGACCTCGGCAGTGGCAGAAACTGTCAATTTTACACCTGGCTCCTGAGACCCATCATTCTGGGGCAGTTCTGGGTCTCTGGAGCATGCTGCTAACCAGCTGCATGTTTTTTTGTACCTCTTTAGAACACAACAAACTCAAATTGCAGAGAAAAAATAGCTTTTCCCCCTAGCCAGGTTAAAAAAAATGTGAAAATGGACCAAGATTAAATTGAAACCTTAATATTATTTACATATTAAATATAGATGCAGGTGTCACAATGGTAGCAAATAGTATCTCATCCTGAATACTGAAATGATGAAAGGTCAGTGAGGACCATTGTATAAAAAACCCAACTTGGATATGACCTACATAATAGTGCAAGTAAGTTCCATATAAGCACACCAGGTTTATTTCTTTTTTTTTTAATATACTTTAAGTTCTGGGGTACATGTGCAGAATGTGCAGGTTTCTTACACAGGTAGACATGTGCCATGGTGGTCTGCTGCACCCATCAACCTGTCATCTACATTAGGTATTTCTCCTAATGCTATCCCTCCCCTTGTTCCCCACCCCGTGATAGGCCTCGGTGTGTGATGTTCCCCTCCCTGTGTCCATGTATTCTCTTTGTTCAACTCCTACTTATGAGTGAGAACATGCAGTATTTGACACCAGGTTTATTTCTTAGTGAATTTATTCATTCAGCAGAGTTTTGGAAATATTTACTAGTGATCTACTAATGCACCAGATGTTGTACTGAGCCCTGGTTATAAACAGGAACAGAGTACAGTTTCTGCTTTGGGGGTTCATGAGTCATGGGGTAAGAGATGTGAAAGCAAAGTTATTTTATACCTTAGACTTCAATATAAGCCTCCCAAATATTTGTTCATGGACTATCAGGTAAACATGACTACTTCCTGTCCTTTCTTTTCTTCCTGACTCCTTAGCTTGGGTCCCTAGTCTTTTGCTCCTCCCTCTCTCTCCCCTGCCCGCTTCAAGGCAAGAATTTAGTTTTACTTGTTTAAAAAATAGTGTGGACTGGGGAAGCAACTATAAAAGTGGAGTCTATATTCCTGTAAATTTCGGTCATCTGCTGAACTGGCTGTCATTCAGGGAGAAACATTGTGGATATAAAGACATGACCATTGTCAGATAAAGAATGAGTGAAGGTCATGGTTTAAAATGCTTATGATCGTTCCATTTTTAAATACCTCTTTTTAAAATCATTTTTTACATAACTGAGGCTAGTTTCTATTTTTAAAAGCTGCCAACTGAGAGTCCCAGTGAATATGACACTCAATGGGTTCTTTAAAAAGCAAAACCTAATTTAGCCCTTAGAAATCTTCATTTGAAATAACTGTCAAATAAGTCTTCTTTTTTCCAGGCAACTACTTTTGATCTTTGCTACTACAAATTCATGCTAAAGTTCACAGAAATAGTTAACATAGCTAAGTACCTCCGAAATATCGAAGTGGAAGTCCAGGGTTTTCCCAGGTAATTCCTTGGAAGCACTAGTCCACACTCGATGTATTTCTATTTTTGAGAGGTCACTGTGCTGGTATGAAGGTAAAACAAGGCTGGCTGACCGAGAAACTACCAGCTTCAAGATATTCAGAGCTTCTCTCCAGTGAACACTCTGCAGGAAATAAAACATTCAAGGGTTAAAAATAATTTAATTTTTTTAAAGCTAATGTATGTCAGAATGACCAGTGAGAAGCTAGTGACCAGTCAGAATTCACTGACTTAAAACAGCGCAGCAGGTTCCATGAGAAGTAAAAGGCAAATGACATAAAAAGACAATGTATATATAAAAGGAGCTATGTTTAGGAGACAAACAAAAAAGACCAATTTTGTCCATTTCAGCTAAATTAAATTCTTATTAATGAGGTACCATTATGGTAATGAGGCACCTCCTTAATTTGAGGGAAAAAAAAAAGCTCCCAATGCATTTTATGACACTGACTGTTCAGTTCACTCTTTCTTAAAGTTCTCCCCACCCTCCGGTTTCCAGTCTTCTTGGTCCTCCTTCTAGTTCTCTGGCTCCTCCTGCTCCATTTGCTTCCTGGGTACCTTGATCTCTGTCTTCAGCCCTCTTTTCTTCTCACTTCTTGTCTTCCTCATTACTTAACTCAGGAATCTGGAAGCCCTTCTTAACCCTTTCTTTCCCTCCCTCCTGGTAATCTGTTCCCTCCACGGCATTCCTGCTGGCACTGGCTCAGCGGCACCCTCTTGGGCCTTGCCTGGACTATCTCAATGGCCCCTTACTGGTGTCTTGGCTTGCAGCCCTTAAGTGCATCAGATCCAGCTAGAGTGATCTTCCTAGAACTCTTCAGACCAAGCCACTTCCCTGACTAAACTCCTTCACAGACTCCCTCTGGTGGACAGGGTGGAGTCCACACTCTTTGAGCATGGCCTGCAAGGGTCATCTCCCCCAGGCTGCTGCTGGAGTTCCCCAAACTTGGCAAGCCCTCTCAGCCTCTGTGCCTTTACTCATGCTATGCCCTCATCCTTGAATACATTTCCCCTCCTTATTGGCATGTCAAATTCCTACTCTTCATTTAAGACTCAGTTTTACCATCTTCGTTTCTCTGACAACCTCCAATCAGACTGTGTGCCGCTCCCATAAAAATATTAGAAACACAGATAAACAAATTTGATGAAAGTTGTTATTATTATTTTTTGCCTGGACTTTGCAGTCAAAGCACATGAAATAAAACATCTATTAAATTCTGCGCAAGGGAAGCCATGGTTTAAATGTGAAATAAGCTACTATTTGAGTTAAGATAAAAAGTATCAGACGTCGCCCGCAGGCCTAAGACAAAATGGACAGCCTCATTAAACAACAAAATGGGGCACACATTCGTAGAAAGGTGTCAACTGACCACCTGTCTCCTGTGAGTGAAGTGAGAAACTGTTAACTGACTGCCTACCCTATGTGGTGTAAGTATGATGCAGCAACGCCACTTGAAAAATGCTTGGAAGTCACTTTCAGCATCAAATAATTTCTGTAAGTAATTTGGTGAAGTAAAGATGGAAAGGAATGTCTAAAATTTATACGGTATATCTTCATCAATGAGCTTCCAGAGAGAACCTAGCATTTGCCCTTGAATCCTACAAGTTACAAAGTACATTCCAGAGAAGAAATAGACAAATACAATATAGAGAAAAGGATGTCTATGCTCTTGAGCTAGGCGCTCTCTACTTAACCCCATCGTGGCCCTGCACTACTCCCATGGCCTGGAGCCTCCCTGCTTTAGTCTGTGGTCATGTGTTTTAGATTAACTTCCAGGCTCTAGAAACTCGTCCTGGTGTGTTTGAGCTATCTTTCCATCTATCTATATTCCTATCTTCCTATTTATCACTGTTGGCCGGGTTGGAGTGCAGTGGTGTGATCACAGTTCACTGTAACCTCAACCTCCTGGGCTCAAGGGAAACTCTCTCCCCAGCCTCCTAAGTAGCTGGGACTATAGGTGTGCACCACCACACCTTGCTGATTTTTAAAATTTTTTTTATTTTTGTAGAGATGGGGTGTCACTTTGTTGCCCAGGCTGGTCTTGAACTCCTGGCCTCAAGCGATCCTCTTGCCTCAGCCTCCCAAAGTGCTGGGATTACAGGATAAGCCACTGCACCTGGCCTTGATATTTATTTTTATTTTCATTAAAATAAATTGTGTTTCTGGTCTTCTCAGAGTACGGCTTTAAGAATCAATCTGGGCTGGACGTGGTGGCTCATGCCTGTAATCCCAGCACTTTGGGAGGCCGAGGCGGTGGATCACGAGGTCAGGAGTTCGAGACCAGCCTGGCCAATATGGTGAAACCCTGTCTCTACTAAAAATACAAAAATTAGCCGGGCGTGGTGGCACACGCCTGTAGTCCCAGCTACTTGGGAGGTTGAGGCAGAAGGATCGCTTGAACCCGGGAGGTGGAGGTTGCAGTGAGCCGAGATTGTGCCACTGCACTCCAGCCTGGACAGAGCGAGACTCAGTTTTGAAAAAAAAAATCAATCTGTAGCTGTTTGGAGATGTCCAAGTATCCTGCCAGGGAGGCTGCCTGGTACAATAAAACAAAGACACTGGCTTTGGATCCAAATACCAGCTCCAGCCTTTACTAACTGAAATCTTGGAGCCAGTCTCTTGGTTTTAAAAATATACATAAAGACTGTTTATTATGGAAATATTAAAATATACACAGAAACCGAGAGACTAGTCTAATGAATCCCTTTGTACTATTCATCAACTATTCACATTTTGTCATCTTGTTTTATTTATCCCCTCAAACAAATGTTTTTTGTTTGTTTGTTGCAGTATTTTCAAGTATATTTCTGCAAGTTTCTTAACCACTCTTCAACTCTAAAGTGACAGTTTTAGCCTTTGAATAATCCTTCACATGTTGAAACACCGGGCCTAGAACCCGGCACATGTGAAAGTTCCTACAGTTCCTTGTCCCCTCTCCTTCTCTGAAACGGGATAAAAAAACCAAGACTCTGCCTCTGCCCTCCAAGTCAGGCGTGTGCTTTCAATACTCAGCCTGTGGCCCCAAGAGGCGGAAATGTGCCTTTTAAAGGCACCGGAGTGTGCCGGGGTCTTGTGCTCTCATTCTCTTCAGAATACTACTCAGGGTGTGGCCAACTCCCACTCTTAACTGCCCTGGCTGTGCCATGGATGTCAAGGAATGAATGAGTGGCCTGGCACCCAGATGGTTTTGTAGCCAAGCTACAGGAAAAGCCTCCATCTTTTTAGAACGACTGGTTGCTTAGTGAAGTTATCCAAGTACTCACTTGCACATATTTTTCAATTGTCTTCAGAACTTCCACATTGAACTGTTTGACAGGAACGACAGAAAGGTCCATGTAGCTGAGAAGACTGTAGATCACCTGGAGCAGGGGCTGCTGCACACTAGGGAGGCCCTTCTCCAGCAGCTGTGGGGGCAAAGTGCGGCTGGAGTCAGTCACACACCAGATCTCCGTATGGAAGGACCCGTGTTTTCCAACACATTTAGGATTGCACATTTCCTTTTTATTTTTTATTTTTTTAGGAGATGGGGTCTTGCTATGTTGCCCAGCCTAGTCTCGAACTCCTGGCCTCAAGAGATCCTCCTGCCTCAGCTCGAAAGTATCTGGGATTATAGGCAAGAGCTACCATGCCTGGCTTGATTGCACATTTCCTTAGGAGGGGAAATAAAATCCTAACTATGAAGAACTGAAGATATTATCAAAATAGACTATATCATGTGTGGAGGTGTAAATATGTAAGTATAAAATTCACATGAGGAAATATTTAAAAACACCTAAAAGGAAAGCATCAGACACCAATTATCAAAAATTACAAATTCAAACAAAAGATAAAATCTGTCAGTTATCAAACTGGCAAAGATTAGAAATTGATAATACTCAGTATTGATGGGGAGATAAAGAAATGAGTATTCTTACATATCAGTGGAAATGTAAATTGGATAGTTTGGCAAATAAGATCAAGAGCAATGAAGAGGTCCATAATCTTTTGACACAGTAATTATACTTTTAGGAATGTTTCTCAAACCAGAGATAGACATTAAGATTTATGTATAAGATTTCACCATAGCATTATTTATAATGGCAAAAAACATACACAAAACAAGAAAGCTTTGTAAGCAATTCAAGTATTGAACGCTAGGGAAATGGATATATAAGTTAACAGCAAACTGTATAATGAAACGTCATGCAGTTAATAGAATGACATTTTTAAAGGCAGTGGAGGATATCAGATAATATTAAGTGGGAAATGAAGGATACACAATTGTCTTTTTAATAGATGATGCCAATATTGACATGAATGTGTGTGTTACATAGAAATAACATTGGAAATAAATTTTAAAATGTTAGTATTGTTTCTCTACAATTCTGGGTAATTTTTCTTTTCTTTTTAAAAACTTTCCTGCAACTTCCAAATTTTGTTATGAATATATACTGCTTTTATAATCATAAAAAATCAATGATATTGACCAAAAGGAAAGCAAAATAAGGAAAACATATATGTGACAGACATCATGATAAAAGTTTACTGTTTAAGATAAAAAGTTGATAGAGATGATCCAACTAAATGTTGAAATTACACAATATTTACGGAGTGGTTAAAACATGAGGAAAGAGCAGGGCGCGGTGGCTCATGCCTGTAATCCCAGCACTTTGGGAGGCTGAGGTGGGTGGATCACCTGAGGTCAGGAGTACAAGACCAGCCTGACCAACATAGTGAAACCCAGTCTCTACTAAAAATACAAAAATTAGCTGGGCGTAGTGGTGGGTGCCTGTAATCCCAGCTACTCGGGAGGGTGAGGCAGGAGAACTGTGTGAACCCAGGAAGTGGAAGTTGCAGTGAGCCAACGTCATGTTGCTGCACTCCAGCCTAGGTGACAAGAGCAAGACTCTGTCTCAAAACAAAACAAAACAAAACAAAAAACATGAGTAAATAATTATGTAAATCTATAATGTGGAAAAATGAATATCTTTACTAGAAAGAAAATACATAAAATAGTTCAAAATTATTAATAAAAAGTGTTAAATTAAAAAATAAATGGAATGACAAAATTTAGTGGGGATACAGGAAAACAAGAATATTTATACACTGTTTATAGTATTACAAATGGGGGGATCTTTATGAAGACCAACTTCTCGAATATGTTGAAGAACTAAATAACATACCCACAATCCATGCCACAGGACTGAATAATTCGACTTCAGGAAATGTAGAGTCATTTGATATTATGTGATAAAAGGATTTTGATAAAATCTATTATTACTTGATCAAATTTCAAATATCATTTGATAAAGATCTACATAACAAGACCATTTGTAATGGAAAAAATTATGAACATTAGCAACAAAAGGGAGATGGTTAAGCAAACTGTGTTACCTTAACCTGATAGACTTCCAGAGTTATTTAAAACAGCACTCTGTGCGCTACCCCAACACATAGAAATATACACACACAGTTAATAATAAGTGAGCAAAGAAGGTTCCAGGGAATACCACAGTGACACAAAATTATATGTATGTGCATAGCCAAGACCTGAAAGAATGTGTAATTGAAACAGAAGTTAATATATATTATATACAGTGGGACCTTGGTTAAGTTCATAATAAATTTTTTGGTGACAATTTTGTGATAAGGGCTGAACAGAACAAATTAGATAACCAATTTTTTTATGGGTAGTAAAAAACACATAACATAAAATTTACCTTTTTAACCATTTTTTTAAAAAGTGTATCAATCTACTTTCCAGACTGCCAGAGTACACTGATACACTTTTTGGTTGTTACAGAAGTACTTAGCTTGGCTAATAAAATCTTCACAAATTCTTTCCACCTGTTTTCTCAAGTACATTCACATTATTATGCAACTATCACCACTATCTACCTCCAGAACTTGTTCATCATCCCAAACTGAAATTCTGTACCCACAAAATAATAATTCTCCACTACGAACTGCCCTGAGTTCCTGGTAACTACTATTCTACATTTTCTCTATAAATGTGCTTAATCTCTGTACCTCATATAAGCAGAATCTTGTCATATTTGTCCTTTTGTCCTCTGGCCTATTTCACTTAGCATAATGTCTTCAAGGTTCACCCACGTGGAAGCACACATCAGAATTTCTTCCTGAATAATACTCCCTTGTATATATATGCTACGTACAATTTGCATTTTTGAAACTTCTTATGGTTACTGAGCCAGACAAATGTTACCTCCTTGCTATCTACACTTCACCTTATTTTAAAGGAGGCAAGGTCTGCCTTTGCAAGCAGAACAAATCAGTTCTCTCAGTACTACTTCTGTGCTGAGGTGTGTGTGTGCTTGCTTAGTTAACTCTTGCAGGGACAGGTATGACCAGATGACTATTAAAACCAGCAAGGTGGTACTTATGAGAGGTTCCTTAAAATGTCAGAGATGTGGATGTGGAAATAGCAAGTGAATCCTGGGCTGCTGACAGTCTGAACACAGGTCACACATTACTGATCTGTATTGCAAGTCAAAATCCTGCACGATCAACTATAAATGTTGATGGATGGGGCATCTCTCCTCTGCTAGGTAGATGCTTTCAGGCTTGTGGAGCCTTTGAGAAAATGGCTGATTTTTAACCTATCTGGCATCTGGATTGATGATATAAATAAAAGAAAAACTAGGATAGATTGTCCTCATCTCTTCTGAAAGGTGCTAGTGATAGCTATGAATGCGTATCACAAAGGAAAAAGCAACACTGAAAATGCTAAAACAACGTAGCGATTACCAGTCATTTGCCTTATAGATTTCATGACCTTGTGTAATAAACTTGTTGGAGACTGAAGATGCTAAACGGAATACATTTCATCTCTTGCCCAACAATATTCTATGTATTTCTAGCACCAACGTACACAGAGGTCAGTGTAGGGTTTGTAATGAATATACTAGAAACACGTTGGTATGATGACAAAGTACCATTCCAGTTTTAAAAACAAACATAAAAGGCGAGAATAAAGTTTATTTCAGAATGTATGCTTTGATAATTAGATCAAACAACCATTAAACATATCAAGCCACAAGGTAACTCCTTAAATAAGATTTGAACACCCAGCGTAATTAGGATAAAAATTTCTGATCTGTGCCGTGTACTGACAGGTGTTACCATAATAAACAGAAGGAGTTTAAGCTTTGGAGGCAGCTATATCTAGGTTTAAAGGCTGACTCTGCTGCTTTAAACTTGTGAAAAATTATTTAACCTGGCTGAGCCTCAGATCTGTATGATATTATCTACATCACTGTGCTGTTGTGAGATTTTAAAATGATTCCATTAGCATGTATTATAATATTTAATAGGCACACACTATATGGAAGTTAAGAGTATACTGAGTGTATTATCAATTTTATGCAAATAATTTACCCTTGGAAGCTATAATAGATTTTATCCTTCATTTCAAAGCTTACCTCTGGCAGGGAATGGTGGCCCACGCCTGTAATCCTAGCACTCTGGGAGGCGAAGGCAGGAGGACTGCTTGAGCCCAAGAGTTGAGATCAGCCTGGGCAACATAATGAGACCCTGTCTCAAAAAACAAAAAAAAAAAGCTTACCTCTGCCAGGTAGGTAACCATATTCAAGGTAATGTCAGCATATGCTTCATGAAGGTATCGACAGACCACATTGACCCACGTGGCACAGTCCCTCGTGTAGCTGTGCGTTTTATAAAGAGTCATGACATGTGCAAGATTTGAAAGTTTGGGGTTCTTCTCTTCTAAACAAACCTTTTAAAATAAAAAAATCAATTAGGAATAAAATAGCCCAATGAATAGGAAGAAATGTTAGCAATTTTACTATAAGCTCTGGCCATCTGGAAAGTAGATTGATACACTTTTTGGTAATTACAGGAAATACTTAGCTTGGCTAATATAATTTTCACAAATTCTTCCCACCTGCATTCTCAAGAATGAAAGCAAGCAAGACAATTTGCATCAGCCACCCCTATATTTCCATTACTGTGATATTAGTTATTATTTCCAGTTTTTGAGAAAATCACTGCCATCTCTGGGCCTTGTAATTTGCCTGACACTAGGGCGTCCTGAAGGCCTCTATGGATCTGCCTGAGTGTGGAACTGTAACTCATACCTGAGCAATCCTTTCGGCTATATCCTTACAGAACTGATTGGGATTTTCAAAATGCTGAATCAGCTGAGGCAGGAGACACAAGACATTCAGTGGAAACCCTGGATTAGAGAAGATACAATGGAGATAGCTGAATATGGTATATTTTAGCTGTTAACAGTGGGAAGGCATGTTACAGATTTTTATACTGAGGTGATGCAAAAGCAGTTTTTTGAATCAGCTTAAACATGATCTAACACAAAATCTATGAAAAATGCACAACCACAATTGCACCAGTTACAAAGAAGACAGTAAAGTAGATCTGCGATTTTAAGATGCAGTGATTATCTTGCACTGGACTATTGTGAATAAGGATGGCTGGCCCAGATGTTTTTGGCGCAGATTGAACTGAGCCAAACTGAGTACTAGTTTGAAATTTTTATCAAAAAAACATATTTTAAGAAAAACTGGTGTGAGAGGACATAGGCCAACCAATTTAAGTCTTAGTCATGTAATTGAAAAGACTCTTTAAAATAAGGAATGGCTTAGTCCCTCTCTGTTAAGCGATAGCTTCATGAAATGAATTCTGGGTCACATGCCATGGCATTAAAAATCTGGTTTGTTGGCTGGGCATGGTGGCTCACACCTGTAATCCAAGGACTTTGAGAGTCTGAGGCGGGTGGATCACAAGGTCAAGATATCGAGACCATCCTGGCCGACATGGTGAAACCCCGTCTCTACTAAAAATACAAAACTTAGCTGGGCGTGGTGGCGTACACCTGTAATCCCAGCTACTCCGGAGGCTGAGGCAGGAGAATTGCTTGAACCTGGGAGGAGAGGTTGCAGTGAGCCGAGATCACGCCACTGAACTCCAGCCTGGCGACAGAGCAAGACTCTGTCTCAAAAAACAAAAACAAAACAAAACAAAACAAAACAAAAAGACATAAATGAAAAATCTGGTTTGTTGATTTGGGTTAATTCAAAACAAGAGGAAACCAACAGAATTTCCAAGAAGAACAAAAAGCAGAAAAGCAAAGAAAAAAATAAAAGATTTAGGAGTTAAGAAAAAAAAATTTTTTTTTTCTGTACGAGAGCAATGGAATAAACTAACAGCACCTGCAGTTTGATCTGGAAAGCTAAAAAGAAATCGCTAATATCTTAAAAATAATTTTGGCCCCTTTTATGCTACTGCCTTAAAAATATTTTCTATAATACAGATCATTGAGATTTACATTATATAGAATTTTATGAGAAAAAATAAACTACTCCCAAGGAACCATTTTTAAGCAGAATTGTTAAAAGCAGTAAGTTCATATTATCTTATTGTACCAAATGATGAACACAGTCACCATCAGAATTGAGACAGGGTGAACGAGGCTGGCTTTACCAATAGCGTGGGATGCATCCACCATGGATATTTTGGACACTGGTGTCAGCAGACTGAAGAGCTGCAGGGTCAGGTCTGTGGTGGTGAGGGATGTGAATCCTTTCAGCAGCAGCTGCTGCAGCCCGGAGAAGTCGGCCCACTTCAGCTGTGCCTGGAGTTTCTCAAGCTTTTCTCGGTTCTCAGCCTTATCGAGTGGCATATGTGCCAGTAGTCTGCTCAACAGCCTTAAGGCCATTAAGTATTCAAACTCAAAATCAGACTCCATCAAGGCCACTGTGACCCAGAATATGGTGGCCAGCAGGTTGGTGGGATGGTTTATGTGGGATGGGTCCGTGAGACTGTCCTTCAAGGAGGATGAGCTTCTGGTTTTTGAGGAGAGGCCTTGTTGGGTACAAGCCTGAATTCTGTCCAGTGTGGCACTTCGAGGTGGGTCAGAGGATCGGTCGATGACACCAAACTTCTTGGGCACAGAGAAGCTTCGTTGATGCCGGCTCCGTTCGGCAGTTGCGGTGTTGCCGCTGGTGGTTCCCGGGTTCATGTTTAGTTGTCCTGTGCTCTTTCTGCTTGCTGTTAGTTTACTGCTGGAGCTTAAATCTGGTGAGGAAGAGCTGGGTATAAAAATAAATAAGTTTAATAGGATGCCAACATGTGTCACCAAAAGCCAGTCCTTTCAAGTCCACTGAGAAACACTGCAGGAGGGAAATCATTCTTTAGAAATGCCACTTTCTATTCATTTATTTTTCCTTATCTTTAAAGCTATAAAAAACAAAACAAGAGAAACCCTCATCAACAAAACAAAAAGCCCAATACTGACTGCTACTTCTTGAAAATGTAGAGGAATCAATAATTGGCCTTAAAGTTTACTGATATTTCATTTATGTTTTGCTTGAATTTGGGTAGGAGTAATTATGAAATAAAATGTACCTGATAGGTATAAGCTTCAATATTCTGTTAACTGACTGATAAGGAGAACAGAAATGGGAATTATGCTATCCAGAAAGAAGCTGGTAAATGTTCATGTCAAAGGAAATTTTTGGTACTTACCAAAATTTAAGAAAAATTATTTCTAAGTCTATGCTGAAAAGGTAAAACTCTTTGTCAACATTCTTGCTATATTTTTACTGATTTAGATAAATCTTTATGTTAATATAGATAAATATGTGTGATGTTTGTAATCATACCAAAATTATCCATAAAAAATGCTCAACTTAAAAATAAAACAAGGCCCAATCGGATACAAGATAACATTACCGACTCAATTTCAAGCAAGATGAGCTCAATAACACAAACAGAATATAGAGTCGTGAATAATTTGAAATGAATTATTAAACATTGGCAGGAGCAAAAAAAAAGATACTGAGGTAGGAATTTCTTTGAATGAAGTCAACATTTATTCCAACTGTTTTTATGGCAACAGTTCAGAAGCTTTGTATATATTCATTTAAAAATAATATTTAGCTTTTGCTTCTCTTTACCAATGTAATAAATAGGATAATTATTACATAAAATTTGGAAAAATACTCAGACAAAAAAAGAAATGAAAAATTATTAATATTTTATCATTCAGAGATAACACTTAGTATCTATCTTCCTGATGTTTTAAAATACTTATATAATGTGTGTGTGTGTGTGTGTGTGTTTGTGTGTATTATGACTTCTTTTTTAACTTAAGAAAGTATTACACATACTTTTTCAGGTCATAAATATACTTCAAAAACTAGATTTTTTCTTTGTACTTTTCCTAAAGTCCAGCATCTCCCAAATACTCCTGTGCAGTATACTTGATGTCAAAGTATCATTAAGCTGATTCTCACCGGGACAATACAGTTAGGAGGTCACTGTTCTTCAAGCAGTCAGACAAGTTATCCACAGCCGCCTCCAAGGTTAGGAGCGCTTCCATTACATAACCCTGCCAAACATGCAAAGATAGCATTTTGTATTGCTTGTAACCATTGTTAATTTCCTAAGATAAATTTAATTAATGTAAACTGTATTCCAATAATGTTATTGCTGCTTTAATTTATGAAGTCTAAAATAAGCTTTAAGGGCCACTTAGGAAATTCAGATGGCTTAGGAGTTAGCAGATAATCATACAAATTTATTTTCCTATGTCTAAGAGCCTCAACAGATCACTTTCATTTGAAATTCAACAGCGAGGGGTAAGCATGACCCTCTGCTGAGGGGAGGGTGGGCATTTGAAATACAGAGTGGCAATGTCTGAAAGCCACAGATCAAGAGGAGAGGTACAGGAAGAGCTGCCTCCGTGGTGTTTTAAACAGCACCTCTGATGGCTGAAAGAAGGAAGCAGGTAGTGTCTGTAGGTGTGCAGGCTTCCTCAGATGCAGGAACATTTCTTTTTTTCTGAGATGGAGTCTCACTTCCGTTGCCCAGGCTTGAGTACAATGGCACGATTTGGGTTACTGCAACCTCTGCCTCCTGGGTTCAAGTGATTCTCCTGCCTCAGCCTCCTGAGTAGCTCGGATTATAGGCGTGTGCTACCACGCCTAGCTAATTTTCGTATTTTTAGTGGAGAAGGGGTTTCACCGTGTTGGCCAGCCTGATCTTGAACTCCTGGCCTCAAGTGATCTGCCCGCCATGGCCTCTCAAAGTGCTAGGATTATAGGCTTGAGCCACTGCCCAGCCAGGAACATTTCTGAAGGGAAAGAAGGACTTGGCCGGAGCCAGAGAGCTTGTAATGCCAGCAGCTCTCAACCTGTTCAGCTTCCCAATCTCTGGGCTCTATCTTGAGGGCCTCCTTGTGGCAGTCACTCTCCATTCCTTCTTCAGCTCTTCTCAGTCTACTGGAGACTAACCATAGAGAGAGAGGTAGTGCTTTGGACAGATACAGTGGAGGTCCCTGCTCTGGGTAGGGAGACTGTATAACTGCATCCTAGGTTGGCAGCCAGAAACCCCAAACTATACAAAATAATCCCCTGGCCGCCTGCCAAATAAAACCAACCACAAAAACAACAAAGAAGAAGCCACCAGAGGATTTCCAGTTGTTGGCTTATATAAAAGAGATAATATCCACTGAATTTCTAGAACAAGGCTCCTTGGAATAATTTTTGTAAATATAAAAGTCAACCTCTAAAATTGAAAAAATATATTGTACATGTCCAGATGGCTGGAATAATTGTTGACAGAAGAAAGGCTCAAAAATAGTTTACACCTCATTGAGATGAGAGAGCTCATCCTTCACGAGCTCAGTGGTCTTCCCTTCCATACCTGAATCTCATCTCCATGTTCTCCTATCACCTCCACCAATCTTGAGAGAAGGTCAGATAAGGCATGTGCTGACAGAGGTTGCTTGAGGGCCCGGAATATCTGGAAGGACCGACCAGCATAGTGCCTTGAAGAGCTTGCGAGGGCTGTCTGCAATGCAACTTCACTCAACTGGTGCTCCAGATGGAAGCCTAGGGTAACAAGAGCCACAGAATAGGTCAGTCTCTACTCTACATGCTCTGGGGCATCAAAGTTACCTCTAAGTTTAAAACAGGCTAACGGCACAGGGCTACCTTGTAGTGGTACTTATTTACAAGTCAACCATTTTTTTTTTCTCTTTTTGAGACAGGGTCTCACTCTGCTGCCCAGGCTGGAGTGCAGTGGCATGATCACGGCTCACTGCAGCCTCTACCTCCTGGGCTCAAGTGATCCTCCCACCTCAGTCTCCCAAGTAGCTGGGACTACAGGCATGTGCCACCATGCCTGGATACTTTTTTGTGTTTTTTGTAGAGATGGGGTCTCACTATGTTGCCAAGGCTGGTCTTGAACTCCTGGGCTCAAGTGATCTGCCTGCTCTGCCTTCCTAAAGTGCTCAGATTACAAGCATGAGCCACCACATCAAGCTTTTTTTTTTTTTTTTTTTTTGGAAACAGGGTCTTTCTTTGTTGCCCAGGCTGGTCATGAACTCCTGGGCCCAAGAAATCCTCCTGCCTCAGCCTACTGAGTTGCTGGGATTACAGGAGTGTGCCACTGCACCCACCTCATTTTAAAATAAAAACAAATTCTGAATAAATCTTAGGGAGGTATAGTGTAGTAGAAAAAGGCTTTGGAACAAGATGGTCCTGGTATTGAATCAGAGGCTTTCTAACTCTGGGAAAGGAATTTGTTCTCCATGAGCCTGTTTCCTTATCTTTAACTTGTCTCGTACAGTTGTTGTGAAAATTAAACAACTTACAAAGTGCCTAGTATAGTGTCTGAAACATAACATAGGTTCACAAATGTATTCTTATTTATTACTCTGCTATTTTCACATATTATTCTTCTGTACTACTTTTTTTACATAGAATACTCTCCTTTTTTTGTAAGTTTGTTAGAGTAGAGGAAATTTCAGAAGAGAGGAAAGCTGTTAGTGGATCTATTCAACTCAAAACACAACTAAGGCCTGTGCCAAAGTCTTTGCTTTATTGATATGCAGATATTGAAGTGTAGATACTGTGAAGAAGGCAGCCATAATTTAAACTTTTGCCTGAATATTTGTTTTTCCAATTGTACAAAGGTAATCTCAGTAATCAGAAAACCATTTGATCAGATGGGAATGAAAATGTAAGATAAAGCTCATGACTGAATTCTAGGTCATTAAATTATATACTTGCTGTGCCTCTCTGTAGGGAGAAAAGCAGACTACAAGGGTAGGAGGACTGAATGAAAACAGAGACTTAGGCTGTCTCTATGACACAGAGGCTCTGCAGCACATTTGGCTGCTACATGAAAGTGGGCCAGAAGGGATAATTCAATGTCATTGCTCTTAGTTGCAGCTTGGCTACTTGACCCTAGGGACAAATAGATTATACAAGAAAATGTTCCTGCAGAGAAAACAGAGGGTCCTGGAAAATTGACTTCAGACACATTCAGGGTAGTAAACGTAGGATTAAACCCATGTAGGCTGCTCGTATCTTATGAATGATGCTTCAAAAAAGCTTTTTATGTCTTTATTTTGTTTATCAAAATAAAGGTTTGTTTACTTAACCTATTTTTTTTTATATGTGGAAGTTAGGTACCCTGGCAAATGATTTTGTGATTTTATGTGTGGAGATTAGGTACCCTGGCAAATGATAAATGTGATTCAAATGAGCAAATGCTCATTTAAATCACAATGAACCTGAAGGCTAGAACTGTACTAGTAGGACCTCAGACTCCACCATCACAACAGTGTCCTTTGAGAAAAGGAAAAGGTTTCTTTTTCTTTCCAGCCACACAGTGAATCTATACTTCCCAGTCTTCCTTGCAGTTAGGTGTGCCCAGGTGCCCGAGTTCTGGCCCATGGGATGTGGAAAAAAACCCACTGGATACCCCATTTAAGCCTGGGGTGTCAACTCATCCTGAGGAATCCTCTTCTCACTCTCTCTTCTTCCACCTGCTGGCTGGATGCAGAGGGCCCAGCAGAGGCCTCAGCCTAGGGGGTGGCACAGCCTCAGGCTGGAGGGTCCTGAAGCACCTAGCGGAAGGCCACCTGCCAAACACCTGCACTGAACTGTTACAGGACCCAGGAATAACCTTCTGTTGTGTTAAGCCTCTGAGCTCTGGGGGCTGTTTGTTACAGCAGCTATGCCGCCCTGACTAACACGTGTTTCCAGGAATACATTGTGTATGTATAGAGAAAACAGGCCAAAAGCAGGGATGTACAAGGAAATCAGAATCAGTAAAAATTGGTCAAGGTGCAAAAAGACTTAGACTTTATGCAGCCTGAAGTACCCTCCAAGAATTCAGCATAAGGCATTTATACATTTTCTCATGTTTATTATTTTCATTCAATCCAAGATTTTAGATTAATTAATGGTTTACATACAAATAGTAAACTGCTTCCTTCAGTCTGTGTTCAATTATTAATTGGCTTTTGAGGTCCTCATATTTTAAACAAATTCCAAAGGGGAAACTCAAAACTAGAAACGGAAGTCTATTCCTAGAAATGACTCTCCCATTTCGGTCTGTCAGTATCTTTTGTTTTTTAGTAAGTGTCCTCTGATAATGAAAAGATATGTGGCTAATCCAAAATGTTTCAAACTGGGAAATGTGCTAATTACCAGAGCAGCTGGAAAAGCCAGGGAGCTGGATTTAATATTGCCAGCCTGGTGTGAGGAAAAAAAGGTAGAGATGGTTTTACAACATGTTGAGAAACCGGATTTAAGTTTCACACACAAATCAGCCCAGGCCAACTTGGACCTGAAGGAATTCAGCAGAAGGCAAACACTTAAGTATCATAATGCTAAAGGAGTCACACTGTATTTAGAATATTGAATAGTCATCTGCACAGGAATTGTTAGCAAAAACTTTTAAAGCCAAAAACATTTTATCACAATTAAAAAAAAATTGTTTGACCATTCAACCAGCCATTTAACCAGACTATTTTTCATTGTTGAGACTGATGAGAGTCAATGAGATTTATTCCTCATAGCCTTCTTTAAAGAAAATGTTATAGGCACAGTTTAATTCTAGTAAGGTAAATGAAAGAAGTAGAACAAGTATGTTGGGAAAATTATTTGATATAGCATAATGCAAATATACACGGCATTAAATACCATGCAGTTAGGCAGCATCTGAACAAGCTTCAGAACTCCCCTGTGAATATGCTCGTGCTATGGATGTGGAGTGCAGGACCGTTTTAAGGCGCTGTAATCATCATATAGAGACAGTGTCCATTACAGAACAATGCTGAAAGAGGGATCTGTGCAAATAAGATGAAGTACCTGATTTGGAATCTTTAAATACAGATACAACGTGACGTAGAAAATTAGTGAGCTGTTCAGCACTCTTTGAATTTTGATTTTTAGGTGTGATGTCTTCATGGCACCAAAGTGGACCAAATGCCCTTAAACAAAACACACAAAATGTCAAAAATATAACTGTCATTTTGCATTTTTAAAACTACACATACAGTCCTGACTCCAAACATATAACATATTTAAATTTTTTGCAATCTATGCATCTGACAAAGATCTAATCCCAGCATCTATAAGGAACTTAAACAAATTTACAAGAAAAAAAACCCATTAAAAAGTGGGCAAAGGACATGAACAGACACTTCTCAAAAGAAGACATACATGCAGCCAACAATTATATAAAAAAAGCTCAACATCACTGACTATTAGAGAAATGCAAATCAAAACCACAGTGAGATACCATCTCACACCAGTCAGAATGGTGATTATTAAAAAGTCAAAAAATAATAGACGCTGGCAAGGTTGTGGAGAAAAAGGAAGGCTTTTACACTGTTGGTGTGAGTATAAATTAGTTCAACCATTGTGGAAGACAGTGTGGCGATTCCTCAAAGATCCAGAGACAGAAATACCATTCGACCCAGCAATTCCATTACCGAGTATATACCCAAAGGAATATACATTGTTCTATTATAAAGACACATGCATGCATATGTTCACTGTAACACTATTCCCAATAGCAAAGACACGGAATCAGCCCAAATGCCCATCAGTGACAGACTGGATAAAGAAATATACACCACGGAATACTGTGCCACCATAAAAATGTACAAGATTATATCCTTTGGAGGGACATGGATGGAGCTAGAGGCTATCACCTTAGCAAACTATATATACACCATGGAATAGTGTGCCACCATAAAAAGGTACAAGATTATATCCTTTGCAGTGACATGGATGGAGCTGGAGGCTATCACCTTAGCAAACTAACGCAGGAACAGACAACCAAATACCGCATGTTCTCACTTATAAGTGGGAGCTGAATTGTGAGAACACATGGACACATTGGGGAGAATAACACACACTGGGGCCTACTGGAGGGCGGAGGGTAGAAGAGAGAGAGGATCAGGAAAAACAACTAATGGATACTGGGCTTAACATCTGGCTGGTGAAATAGCCTGTACAACAAACCCCCTTGACACACGTTTACCTATGTAACAAACCTGCATACCCTGCACATGCACCCTTGAACTTAAAATGTGAGTTAAAAAAATATTTTAAACAATTTTATGAATTATTTTGGAAGTACATTTCAGTCTTATAAACCTTATCAGCATAGTCAAAACACATCTAATTTATAGAGTCATTTTAAAATGTTTTAAATTAAATTCATTTACAAAATTAAAACCTCCCAATTCACCAGAACAGTGCTTGGCATATCATAAGTGCTACATGTTTGTTTGTTAAGTAAAATGATATCAAATGTTAAGTGAAATAAAGATTTAGACATGGACTCAATTTTCACATTTTAGCATTTGCAGAGATAAGGCTTTTATCAGGATCACATCAAGCTGCAAATACCGTACAATCAAACTGAATACACAGCCTCTGTCATCTACTTGGTTTTCAACAGTAAGAATGGAATGGAGCCAGGTGGGAGAACTTCAGAGGAGAGTTATTCCAAACACGTGGTACTGACAGATGGTGAGTGGTGACAATACTTTTCCTTTCCACAAATCATGCGGGTCTCTGAAGTACCCTGTATGTGCAGGCATACTGTATGTAGGCACCATCAGCTCCTGTCCTAAGCTTCCTGCACATTAAATCCCACATTAAGTTGAGAGCTGCACAAAATAACCTGAATCATGAATTGTGGAAAGAAAATACTCTTTTTTTATTGTTTGCATTAATTGATGCATTAGCTGAAGAAAGCAAGATCACATGAGATATTAGATAACACATACACAGAGTAGATTTCCAGGACTTAACTCACTGAGAAAGGGGAGCATGCCACCCAGTCACAAGTAAGCATGTTTTACACAACTACCAGACCGCAGGGTGTTAGAAATCCTGAAGCCTTACAAGCTAAATGGTTAATAAGAAGAACCAGAAGACCTAACCAGTACCACTTGCAGTTTTTCTTGGTTTTGATTTATTAGTTTGATTCCTTTCCTATTATGCTTCCTATTGTTTCTGGTTTCTGACTGCCTTTTACAAATGACTCTTTGGACCAGATGAACAGACAATGGTCCCCTTGGCAGCTGCTTCTGGGTTGATCATGGCTAATATCCTTGATTTCCAGAGTGAAGTTCTCTGCCAAGTCTCAGAACTACTAACCCCTGGCAGCTCTGATAGATGGCTAAAGGCATGCTCACTGTGGGGCACTACCATCTCCTGCCTCCATCTGCTGCATCATCATTATCCACAAAATCCCCTTGCCCATCAACTGTCACATCAGTGGGATCCTAGAAACTGCTATTGATGTCTGCCTTTCACAAATTGTAATTCTCTGTATCTCAGTGTCTGTTCACACAGACTCCAGCAGTTGCAATTGAGAAGAGAAACAGGACTTTGTTAGAACCCCAGGATCACTTTTCCATCTGTGTGGTTTAAAGCGTTGGCAATTTTCCGAAAGACCAACCTGCAAACAGCAGCGGACTCCTAACCCCTTATTACCTGGTCGTGAGAAACTCAATGAGCTTGTTTGCCTTCTCATCTGTTTCAGCAGCTGTGTCCACATCTTCTACCTCCTGGGTCATCTGTGGGAGGTTTCCACTGCTGCCTCCCAGACTGATGCTAGAGGAGGTGGAGCTTGAACTAAGCCCTGAGTCAGGCACCGGGGATGACTGGTCCTCTCTCAGGAAGTCAAAGCCACCTGGTGGGAGAAGAAGGTCAAGGAGGGATGTACTAGGCAGTGTGCTTGTCAGCATGCTTAATGAGGTCCACAGAGGAGGGCAGGGAAGTGTGGAGTTATTTAAATTCTGGGGAGAAAATGGTTGCTTTCGGCTGTGGCTATGATTAAATGAGACTGACAGTTTTTCTTTGTTTAGGAAATCAGTTGCACTGCTGTGTAAATGAGTGTGTATTTGGGAATAGGAGGTGATCTGCTGCTTTCTACTCTGCTATTTTAGTTGATACTTTCTATAAAAGGAAGGTATGTATGCGTGTTTGTATGCATGCATGGACCAGGCAAACAACCAGTTCAACTGTAACAGTTCATCTACTAACTGTGCTCTTAATAAATTATTCCTGGGTATTAGTCTTCTTAAACATGTGAAACGGGCTGGGCGCGGTGGCTCACGCCTGTAATCCCAGCACTTTGGGAGGCTGAGGCGGGTGGATCACAAGGTCAGGAGATCGAGACCATCCTGGCTAGCATGGTGAAACCCTGTCTCTACCAAAAATACAAAAATTAGCCGAGCGTGGTGGTCGGCACCTGTAGTCCCAGCTACTCGGGAGGCTGAGGCAGGAGAATGGCGTGAACCCGGTGGGTGGAGTTTGCAGTGAGCTGAGATCGCGCCGCTGCGCTCCAGCCTGGGAGACAGAGTGAGACTCTGTCTCAAAAAAAAAAAAAAAAAACCATGTGAAATGATACCCTGTTTGAGGATACCAGTCACTTAATGGCTGGTTACTTTTACATAATATTTTTGAGTAAATGTGCCCAGAAGCTTTAGTATTATGTGTATATTGATATATTTTAATAGAATATGTTTTATGGTATTCAAAGAAATATGGCATAAGCAAATACTGTTTCTTCATTATATACTTGGTTGACATTCTATACCTCTGGGTAGGCTGTGGGTTTGAAAATGTATATATGCAACTATCCCTTTTCCCCTATTTAATAATCATAAAAAGTATGTAGTGCTGGTGTGTGTCTGATAGATATACTGAATTAGAAGTGAGGAGTCCTGGGTTTGAATAACATTTCTGCCACTTATAGTGTAGCCTCAGGGAATTTATGGAATTCTCTGTATCTCAGTGTTCTATTATAATAAAGTCAAGACAATAATTTCTGTCACACACATTTTTAGTGTGTATTTAAAGCAACTATAGTTGAAACTAGGTGCTTAATAAATATTTATAAAAAAAGAACATTTCCCATAATCTTTGTACACCTATTCCCTGTGTCCTGTAGAGCCAGTCACTTTAGCTATCTACTGTTTGTCTTGCCTATGAATATTGTATGCGTTTTTGGTAAATCTTCACTTTAAATCATTTATACCATATCAGTGGTATAATAAATGCAAAACTGATTACACAGAGATACCCAACTTATCAGATATTACAGTTTTCTCTGCCTAACATTTAAGAAAGTACATTCTTATCCTCAGGACTTAGAGCAGCTAGAACTCTTCAGTTTAAACATCTACAGCAAAGGGAGTTTTGTGTTTCTAAGAGGCTATTGATAGGTTATTTTCAATTAAGTGTAGCTTGGTTCAAAGTGAAGTGCTTAAATTGAGGTCAGTAGGCCTTAGGTCTTAGAGATAATGATGATTTCATATTTGTTTTCCAAACAACTATGTTAACATCTGTTAGAAGCCAATACAGTGGTGGGTACAAGTGATAAATAAAAGGTGCACCCTTTTCACAGTAATGCAGAAAGCACACAGTGACATGTGAAATGTCGCACCACAGCTGGCGCCAATGCAATGTGTAAAATGAATAGGTAAAAAAAAAATTAGTCCCTGAACTCTGTTAGTTGGTAATCTTCATCATCATTTTAAGATATTTTAAACGTTCTGGTTCTAAATGAAAACCACTATTACCCGTTTTCATGAATGGCGTGACATGGCAGAGTAATTTCTTTGTCTCAGTTAATGCCATCTGTTCCTATTTCTAAGAATTTTTTTTGGTTTCAAAACAGCAATGGCTTTTAACAGGCTCCCACTAATGGTGTCTTCAAGGAAAAGGTCAATCATTCAAAAGTGAAAATTCCTTCATGGGCACTAGAAGGCACACAAGTGATACATCCGGCACCTTGGCTGTGACCTGCTCTCAGGCAGTAGCAAGGGTCACTATTTTGTGTGTTCTCATCCTTCGGTGTTCTAGACTGCTGCTCCTGGCCAATGGGCACTTACATTTCCAATGCATCAGGAGGAACATATTCAATGGGGCAGCAATCATATATATAACCAGGAAAAATATATTTCAAATATTCAATAATAAAGAAAGCTTTTGAGAGGCAAGTTCACATCAAGTGAAATGGTGTGTATTTATTGTACTGTTGATTTACCACGTGGAAAGTTGGAGGTCATAGCATGAGAGAAGTTAACTTGGGCTCCACTGGCACCCGCAGTTAGTTATCTCTGCATTTGTAACTGTCCTAGGCTCTCTACCAGTCCTTCTCTGTTACCTGTATAGAGATATTCAGGTTGGTAGGCTGGCTGCACGGTTAGAGTCTTAGCTTCACCCATCTCTCGGGTCTGCAGGAGCACGGAAGCAATGGAATGGAAATTGCTGTTGCAAGAGAGGGCAATCAAGAGGTGAAGAAGCAGTTTTTTGCTGTGTTCAAAGACTTCAGGCCGGTAGTGGTCTAAACCTGGAACAAAACAGTAGAATCTAAGTATAAACAAACGTTAAGCTCGTTTAGATTCCAGGGATAGTAAAGATTCCAGGATACTCAGGAGGAACATGTTAAAAGAATGTTTAGTTTTCTTTGTTATTGTTTGGGTTACCAACATACAGGAGTTGGGCTTAGGAAAAATAAAATGCTTTATTTCTTAAGTAAAATGTTCTCATAAAATGCTGATAGATGAACTTTTCTTGACCTCTCTGTAGCATTTGATGTGGTTAGCATTCCTTCTTCTTGAGATGTTCTCCTCCTTGGATATCCCTGTTACTGAAAGATTCTAATTTTATTAGTCTCTTTCTTACTGAATTTCTGAGTTTCCCTGGCTGGTTCCCCTTCCCATTTTTGCTCTACAAAGCTCAGGGCTTGGCCCACTCCGTCCTATATCCTTTCTTTTTATACGCTGACTATGCCTCATAGCTTAAAATTTACCATTTCAGCCGAAGACTCTCAAAAAGGCCCAACTTATTTTGGATATATTTGTAGATGTGGCACTAGTGAGAAACCACTGTATTTACATGGTAGAAATAGAGCAATTTCAAACAGTGACCAAGTAGCTGACATTTCAGAGCAGATGTCACAAAAGGGCAATGAAAAATGGTGGAGATAGAATATTCCCGAAATGAGTCAAACAGGATGTCAATGTGAAAGGAAATCTCTACGGATTACTTCTGTATATTTTTAACCCGATTGGCTAGAATGCCTTTTAGATCCAGTCTTACCTAAGAAGACAGCATGAAGTAATAATGGTAGATGAAGCGCCCAGTCTTCTCGTACACTGTGATCCACCACCATTTCAGTCATAAAAATTACAGCAATATTGCACCTAATCAATGAAATAATGAAATTAATGCAACTTCTGAAGGGGATGGAAATACTAGTAGATCATTAAGTTACAGTACAATATAACTCTTAAGTGTTTTTAAAACATTATATAAGGCTCTTATTCGGGGGAAATAGAGTTTAACTTGTAACACAGCATAGAGCTCCACAACAATAAGAAACATTGGTTGAGCTAATCACATAAAGGAGAGTCTACTAGCCACTAGGCAATAAGAGCTAAGGGATGAAGAGAAATCAAAGACAAGGTCCCTCTCATCAAGTTGCTTACAGTCTAAAAAGCATCACAGAATGCATGCCCATATCCAGATTACATCAAGGAGAAATTCAAAGGTCACAGGCAGCTTTGAATGTTGATTAACATTTGACCAAACTCTGCTAATATGCTGGAAGCTGACAGTCAAATCAGGCAGGATCCCACTGATTGATAAGATAATTTAATGTGGTGGGACCTGGACTAGGTTTTTCTCTTGTCATAGGTAGAAAAGTCCAGTCAAAGCTAAGATTTCCTTCTCCCCACACATGCTGCTCACCTGTGGAGTGGCCCCCGGGGAGTGATGGTCTCCGGGAGATAGTCAACCAGGGGGGCCCAGCATCCTCCAGTACAAGGCATCGGTAAGGGCTGCGGCTGCTTGGTCTCTGTAATAGTCAGCAACCAGCCCGTGTAGGGAGAAATTGGATCATCTGGAGGGTGAGAAAGACAACTGTGCTTTATTTTCAGGGAGAGGAGACTTGTTTTCTCTACTTGATGTTTTCAGAATAAATTTTAAAAATGTATGCTTGTAAAAATAACTTTATTTTTCATTTTTAAATTTTTTTTAGGGACAGGGTCTCGCTGGCACCCAGGCTGGAGTGCATTGGATTGATCAAAACTCACTGCAGGGCTGGTTACAGTGGCTCATGCCTGTAATCCCAGCACTTTGGGAGGCTGAGGTGGGTGGATCACCTGAGGTCAGGAGTTCAAAACCAGCCTGGCCAACATGGCAAAACCCCACCTCTACTAAAAATACACACACACACAAAATAGCCAGGCATGATGGCACGTGCCTGTAATCCCAGCTACTTGGGAGGATGAGGCAGGAGAATCGCTTGAATCTGGGAGGTGGAGGCTGCAGTGGACCGAGATCATGCCACTGCACTCCAGTCTGGGCGACAGAGTGAGACTCTGTTTGAAAAACAAAAACAAGTCACTGCAGCTTCAAATTCTGGGGCTCAAGAGATCCTCCTGTCTTAGCCTCCCAAGTAGCTAGGACTATAGGCATGTGCCACCACAGCTGGCTAATTAAAAAATTATTATTATTATTTTAAATAGATGGGGTCTCAACATGTTGTTCATGCTGGTCTCGAACTCCTGGACTCAAGTGATCCTCCCACCTTGGCCTCCCAAAGTTTTGGGATTACAGGTGTGAGTGCCTGGCCAGAAATAACTTTCTAATGATTTCATTTGGTGAGTATGAATTACATGATCAAATGGGTGAGAATTACTTGTTTGGGTAACTACTTGCATAGTTATTACTTGGTAACTAATTTATAATTATTCATTATAAAGCAAAGCAGAATACAGATATACGAAAAGAAAAACATTAAATCGTGTTGAATTCCCATCTCTATGAAAATTTGCTTTTCCTCCAGTCTTCCTCATCTCAATAAAGCACAGTTTGGCCTGGTCGCGGTAGCTCACCCCTGTAATCCTAGCACTTTGGAAGGCCAAGGCGGGTAGATCACTTGAGGTCAGGAGTTCGAGACCAGCCTGGCCAATATGGTGAAACCCCATCTCTACTAAAAATACAAAAAATTAGCTAGGGGTGGTGGTACACGCCTGTAATAATCCCAGCTACACAGGAGGCTGAGGCAGGATAATCGTTTGAACCCAGGATGTGGAGGTTGCAGTGAGCCGAGATCATGCCACTGCACTCCAGCCTGGCTGACAGAGCAAGACTCTGTCTCAAAAAAAAAGCACAATTTCATATTTCCAGTTTGCTCAGGACAAGAGACTTAAAGTCATCCCCGACTTTCCCCTCATATCCCATACCCAAATAATAATCACAGTGATGATGACGATAACAACAATAATAAAAATCATAACATTAGGAACTAGCACAGAGGGCTTACTTGATGCCAGGCACTGGCCTATGCATTTCACATATTAATGGCCCAATGATAGGTATCTATTTTATCCCCATTTTGTAGAGAAGAAAGTGAGGTTCAGTAACTTGTCATCCACATATTCAGAGAGCTCTGCCCTCAAAACATCTCCAGAATCTGAGCACTGTTCTCCATCTTCACCACTACTTCTAGACTAAGCCACCATCCTCTCTTGCATGGGCCACTGCAATGGCCTCCTTAACTGTCTCACTGCTTCCATCCTTGTCCTGCAGTCTTCCTCATCTCAATAAAGCACAGTTTTGGCTGGTCGCGGTAGCTCACCTCTGTAATCCCAGCACTTTGGGAGGCCATGGCGGGTAGATCACTTGAGGTCTGTGTTCCACAGAGCAGACAGACCAATTCTTGTAAAACAAGTTCAGTAGTGTCTCTTTCTCTGCTCAACACCCTCCAGCGGCTCTCCACAAATCCACACCCGTGGCCTTTAAGGCCTTACAAGGTCTTCCCCCTCCATGTTCCTCTCCTGGCTTATCTCCTACCAGCGCACCCTTGCTCACCCCACTCCTAGCTTCCTTGCTGTTCTGTGATCAGGCTGGGCCCCATACAGCCTCAGGGCCCTTGTATCTGCTGCTCCCTATGGCTAGGATGCTCATCTGCAGACAGTTGCATGGCTCACTTCTTTGCTTCATTCAAGTCTCTGCCCTAATATCACCTTATTACAGCAGCTTTCCTTGACTACTCTATGTAAATTGACCCCCAACCCCAATCACTTTCTACCCTGCTCGCTCTGCTTTAGTCCCTCCCCCTCCACCCATGGATCACCAATTCACCAGCACCACCTCCCTCCCCAACTCTAATGTAAGCTCCAGGAGAGTGGGGACTTCTTCTGTTCTGTTCATTGTTTTCTCCCTACTACCTACAATGGTGCCTGGCACATGGTAAAGCATCAATAAATATTTGTTGAATGAATGAACGTCACAATATTATCTTTAAAGTAAGTACAGGCCAGGCGCAGTGGCTCATGCCTGTAATCCCAGCATTTTGGAAGGCCCAGGCGGGTGGATCACTTGAAGGCAGGAGTTCAAGACCAGTGTGGCCAGCATGGTGAAACCCTGTCTCTACTAAAAATACAAAAATTAGCTAGGTGTGGTGGCACACACCTGTAGTCCTAGCTACTAGGGTGGCTGACGCAGCAGAATTGCTTGCACCCCAGAGGTAGAGGCTGCAGTGAGCCAAGATCGTGACATTGCACTATAGCCTGGGCTATGGGTGAGACCCTGTCTCAAAAACAATAATAAAAATAAAATAAAATAAGTACAGCAACACTTTCCATGTTTATTTCTTATCATGCTCCCAAAGCAGGCCAGCAGCATTTAAGAAGAGCAATACAGGTGGGCACAGGATTTAACCCAGGTATTTGGCTGCAGACCAGCTGGTTTATTCTTGGGATCAGTTTATGTATTAAGAGGAAGAACATACTATGTCGTCTTTAGGCAATTTTATAATAACATAATTTTTCTTTCCTTCACTTCTGCAAGGTAGTGTGAAGTCATTGGTTTGATGCTGCTGGTCCAGTGTAGAATGCTGGCCTTAACATTTACAGAGCTGGTGGAGGGGTGTCTTCCTGTTGTGACAACTGAGGCTCTGAAGGAGGACAGGCATCAGAAAACCAGAACCAAGAACATCCCACTTTTCATGGGATGTGGCTAAGAGGGTTTCAGTGGAAAAGGTCAGGACTTCCCTCAGGAAGAGTGACTACTGGCTTTTTCTAATACACTGACAAGTGAGCAGCCAGAACCCTATAATTCTATGCCATGAAGCTTGGCCACAACAATTTTAGCCTGGAAAAAATTTAAAGCAGATGCACTAGTAACTCATCTCAGTTCTAACTCTCAGCAAATTACCTACAAGTAACTTACTTGCAACAAATTAACTTCTCAGATAATCATCCAGGATAAGTCAGTTGCCAAATGTACTGCTAGGTAACTAGCTACTCTTCAATAAAACTTGAAAGGGAAACAAAAAGGGAGAATATTGAAGAATTAAAAAGTAAATTGTGAGATTTCTGTTAGGAAGGGATATGTTATTCTTTGTTTCAGTGATGTTTTCAGATATATATCCAATCAGCCAAAATGTGCTGAGAGGAATTAAGGTGGCCTAAACTTAAATTTTTCTGTCCTCAAACTTTGGGTTACCAGATATTGCCACAGTAACCAGACTTTTCTTGAACCAACTCTCCATTTCTCAAGTACTACTTTCCTCATCTCTAAAATCTGGTGCCTTCTAGAAGTAACGGCCTATGGTACTGAGATTTGACTATTCAGTGTTTGGATGGTACAATCCCCTGAGGGGACACACAAAGGAAGGAAAACACAAACAGCTTTATTTTACTTCCTATTGACAGCTCTAGTGAAGGTTTTATAGGGACATAGCTGAAACTTAACCTACATTAGAGCATGATAATTACATATGGATTCTAGACACGCCTTCCATTAGTATTTTAATGGTAGAGAACTGCCTGTCTGTGCATTCAGAAGTAGAACAAGGGTAGCTGAAATGTGGCCTTATTGGAACTACCTAGTTCTTACCTGACATTGCACATTTCTGTAAAAACAAAACAATTCAAAACAACAATTCAAAGCACCAACTTACGAAATGAACTTAACTCATGAAATGTCAGTATATTTACAATTTCTGACAAAAAAGAATAAATCCCACAAGATACTGATTCCCTTAGCAAATCTGAAATGTCACTGGGAGCGTTCTTTGGTTTCAGAATTTCTGTAACTTGTGACCAATTAATACTCTGTATCTGCTCAATATCTACAGAAGCTGTCCAGGGCTTAAACAAAATCAGTAAATGCACTGACCTTTTTGGTTTTCCCAACTACCAGAAGAAATTCCTGTCACAAAGCTAACTCCCAGGTTAGCAAGGCTTTCAATAGGCTATGGAGACTATGCCATTGAGAAATTCAACATAGGAACAGATCCTATCCTGAGTGAGCAGCATTTCAAAGCTTCAAGGTTAAACCCACTCGCAAGATAGGTGGAAATGTTGAACCGCCAACATTTGTTTTCGCCCAGGCTACAGTGCAGTGGCGCGATCTCGGCTCACTGCAAGCTCTGCCTCCTGGGTTCACGCCATTCTCCTGCCTCAGCCTCCCGAGTAGCTGGGACTACAGGCGCCCGCCACCATGCCCGGCTAATTTTTTGTATTTTTTAGTAGAGATGGGGTTTCACCGTGTTAGCCAGGATGGTCTCAATCTCCTGACCTCGTGATCCACCCGCCTCGGCCTCCCAAAGTGCTGGGATTACAGGCGTGAGCCACCGCGCCCAGCCAACAACATGTGTTTTCTAATGGGACTATGACTTAGTGTATTTTCCCCAGCTGCATCACCAAGAAAAAATGTCAAGAATATAAAAACACGGCCGGGCGCGGTGGCTCACGCCTGTAATCCCAGCACTTTGGGAGGCCGAGGCGGGCGGATCATGAGGTCAGGAGATCGAGACCATCCTGGTTAACACGGTGAAATCCCGTCTCTACTAAAAAATACAAAAAATTAGCTGGGCGTGGTGGTGGGTGCCTGTAGTCCCAGCTACTCACGAGGCTGAGGCAGGAACATGACTTGAACCCAGAAGGCGGAGCTTGCAGTGAGCTGAGATGGTGCCACTGCACTCCAGCCTGGGCGACAAAGCGAGACTCCGTCTCAAAAAAAAAAAAAAGTATATATATATGTATATATATAGAAACACAGGAGTGGATGGTAGTTTGAATTTTTATAATTTTGATTTGTCCATGGTTTTTTCTTTTTTTTTTAACTTTTGAGGATGCTGACTCTATGCTCATCTGCATAGGTGGATTAAATGGTTACTTAATATCTATAGGCCCTTTTAGTAATCAGACCAAGAACAATCAGAACACTCATTTTCCATCCTCTGACCACTTGCGTTCCGTCTGAAAGCCCACAGCCTGTTGGTACTTACTTTTATCTTCATCGTAGGATCCTCCAGAGCTATTGCTGTATCTTGACTCGAGGCGAGTGTGGGCTCTGATGACATTACTAAACCTTCAAATACAAGAACAACCAGAATGAAATATTAACATGTGTGCATATGCGCTTTTTTTTTTTTTTTTTTTGAGTTGGAGTCTCACTCTGTCACCAGGCTGCACTACCGTGGTGCGATCTTGGCTCACTGCAATCTCCGCCTTCCAGGTTCAAGCAATTCTCCTGCCTTGGCCTCCCAAGTAGCTGGGATTACAGGTGTGCACCACCACACCCAGCTAATTTTTGTATTTTTAGTAGAGACAGGGTTTCACCATGTTAGCCAGGCTGGTCTCGATCTCCTGACCTCGTGATCCGCCCGCTTCGGCCTCCCAGAGTGCTGAGATTACAGGCGTGAGCAACTGTGCCCAGCCTACGCTCTTACTCATAAACTGACACTATGATTTAGCAGTTGGTTTTTCAGCTGCTAGTTGCCAATGGTGCTTTTCTTAAAGGAATGCTGTAAAAATTGTACCCCAAACATTTCTTGTTTCCTTGAGAGGGTCAGTGGTCACTCTTGCTCATAAGCACAAGTCCAAACCTTGAAAAGATAAAAATTTTAAGCCTAATATTTCAACTGAACTAGAAAATGGTAACATTTGCTTTGGAAAGAAAATGGGCATGATACTGAATAACATGATTCCCTTATTTACATAGCCTGACACACAGTAGGTGGTCAATAAATATTTCCTGAATGATTAAACAACTCAAAGTACATAGAATGGGAAATACACAAAAATAGCTTTATAATAAATCTTGGACTTTACCCAGAATTAAAGTTTCTCTTAAAATAGTTTGAGAGTGTTCAGGGAAAGGTCCTAGTTGGGGAGTAATGTCACCAGAAAGACTCTCTGGTCTGGCCTCTCTTGTGGCTTGTTAAGAAGTAACCCCCACCAAAAACAAACAAAACAAAAACAAAAACAAAACAACAACAACAAAGAAAATAAAAATGTTGAAGTATAGTTAATTCATAGACATCATCTTATTTAATCTTGCTCACTCATCTTTGAGATAAGCATTATTTATTCTACAATGAGGAAACTGAGGGGAGGCGAAGTTATACACCTTGTCTAGTGTTGACCGCAGGGAGGTGGCAGTGCAGGAGGCCTTCAGTGCCATGCCAACTCCCTGCGTGGAGCTTTAAGGCTGAGCTCTCTCTCACTGGCTCTGTAACCATGGCCAAGGCCTCTACCTCCCTGGGGAACTTATTTCCACAATTGCAAAAAGGGCATCATAATAATACTCTGTCTTTTATTTAATTAGGGTTATTTGGGGGAACAAAAGAAAGGATGTTTGAGAGTGTTTCCAAAACTGCAAGACACTGTCGGACTATAAGGTATTAGTTATTATGCTTCTATCTAGGATTTCTAGAAAGAAATCAATAGCATATTTCTCAAACAGAGGACTACAAGGTAGGGCAAGGGTGTGGTTCAGGGGCAGTGTGGGCAAAATGGTATGTCTATATTTATTTTATATAAAATGATACACAGCAGGTTTTATCAACTTAATATATATGTAGCCAAAACAAAGAACTAAGGCTATCTAGAAATACCTGGAAAACTCAAGCCAAAATAGGTGTGTCCCTCTACATTACTCACCGGGTATTCTGACTTAACTCATAACAGATCAATACTCTATTTCTTTTGGGGACACTGGAAGGTGCAGGGCTATTGCTGTCCTTACTAATGTGTGGAGAAAGAGTAACGTTTCAGCAAAAACTCCTGGATGTACCATTAAGATGCCCATCTTGTCCCAGGTGTACAACCTTAGGGCACTGCATCAGTGATTTGGATTTGCTGAATTACAGAAATGTACTGTAATGAGCTTGGTTTCATTCACTTTTTAGATATTTGCAACAACATTTCCCCCATCCTGACAGCTATCTTTTCCCCAGTAACTTCATACCTCAAACCTTCTTCACTGTTATATCTTTTGGGCATTTGTGAATCTATAAGAACAGAATATCTAAGACATTGGCTTAGTTTCATACAAATCGGCCAACTAAATCAGACTGGTATTTATGAAAATAAACTGGAAAAAGGACAAACTTATTACCTTCTGAAGAAGTTCTTTAATCATATTTATGCTGATAAATGCAAAGTGATAAACAGCATCTGCTAGGCCCAGACATCATTCAGAAAGGAACAAAAGCAGGGTGATGAAAAAATGGCACATCTGCAGGTTTCCGTCGGGTGGAGAGCGCCACAGCACTTCCAGCTACCATGAACTGTGCTCTATGTCGGGTTTTAAATTGTGCCCTGGAGGGCCTGCACCCGGAAGAACTACAGGATGGATGACAACTCATCTCTTTTCCCTTTTGAGTTGGATTTAAAGGGGTGCTGGGTGGAGTTTATGAGGCTGGAATAAAGGGGAGGAGCAAGTCCCTTCCAGACTGTTCTCCTTGTTCTGGAGAAGACTGAAGCCACAGTGTAGCAAAGTGTATGTCTGGCAAGGAAAAAGTAAAAAACTGACTCCCAACTGTAAAATCTGTTATTTTCCTTTGCTTTTCTGGGTTGAAGAAGCTTATTTTGGGTCTGGTCCCTCAAAGAATTTCAAGGATTAAGTAGAATCTTTGATGTCTTTTAACATCAAAGGTACATACCTTAAGAAATACCTCATGAAAATAGCTCTGATAAGAGAAAAATTAGAAGGATGAAATGTTCCCCTCAGTTTTACCTTGTTGATTTAGCTCAAATTAATAATACTTAGATAACTGATAGTTAATATATATTTGTGTATATCAACACTATCAATTTAGATAGAAATTATCTCTGTTTCAACATAGACCGTTCAAAATTTATACAGGTGAGGTTTACTACTTTAGCTTTCTATGAAAAATCCCTTTGTGGGCATATAAATTTATAAAAATCTTTTATTAAGATTGATATATTGAAAATACTTATGGCTGGATGCAGTCACTCATACCTGTAATCCCAGCACTTTGGGAGGCTGAGGTGGGAGGATCAGTTGAGCCCAGGAGTTTGAGACCAGCCTGGGCAACATAGTGAAACTCCGTCTCTACAAGAAATAAAAAAATGAGCTAGGTGTGGTGACACATGTCTGTATTCCTAGTCACCTGGGAGGCTGAGGCAGGAGGACTGCTTGAGCCTGGGAGGCTGAGCCCGCAGTAAGCTGTGATTTTGTGCACTTCAGCCTAGGTGACAGAATGAGACCCTGTCTGAAAAACAAAAACAAAAACTTATGAAGATTTTTTCTGCATACTTTAAAAATTGCTATAAACTACTCTTTTAATAAATATATGTTGATTTTGATGCCTAGTAAAATAAACTATATGAAAAATCTTAGACTTAGGTGTACTTTCTGTTACATTTTCTGATAGTTTTTAAAAATTTTTATTAATACACAATAGATGTACATTTTTCAGGGTAGATGTGATCATTTGATACAGGCATTTAATGTGTAAATATCAAATCAGGGTAATTGGGATATCCATCATCTTAAATATTTATTTTTTCTTTATGCTAGGAACATTCAAATTATTTTCTTCTAGCTATTTTGAAATGTTTCATAGATTACTGTTAACTTGAATAGCTTTTTTTTAAAAAAATTGAATGTTATAAAATTTGCTTTATTTTTCTTTTCTTACTTTGGCTACTGGGGCCTCAAGGTTAGGTTAATGTTAAGTTGTAGTTTTCCTTAGTCAGGAATTAAGACACCAACTGTCTTACCCTCCCATTAGCTTGGCACATATTCTTTTACTCTTGTTTTAATGTTCTTTCACTTAAGCTATAAGGTTTGTTTGTGCTTTTGTCAGTAGGAACGGCATTATTAAATATTACTGAGTCACATCAAAGAACCATTAATCTAGTTGTAAAGAACATGGTGCCAAGGCGGTCATTTTGTCCAACTCCATGGTGCTTCCCTCAGCCCATGGATATGGTGCTTCCCTCACAATGGATATGGTGGAAGAGATGCCTCACTCCTGAGGTGTGTTAACACAGCAGCCTGGGGTGGTGTTTCTGAACAACACTGTCTCTGTAGGCTCTTTGCCTATAAGGACTGTAAAGAAAGGAGTAAATTGCTGTCCTCCAAGATGGGTTACTGAAAGGGTAAGGGAAAGCGGACTGGTGGTGGTTGGACAGCTTATCCACCTCTGGGGATATGACATTTCTCCTATTTCCATTCACTTACCAAATAAACACTTTAAAATGCCTACTATGCACAGCACAGTAGACTAATCACTGAGGATAGAAATATGTGTAAGACGCGGGTGTCCAATCTTTTGGCTTCCCTGGGCCACACTGGAAGAAGAACTGTCTACACTAACACAATAGCTGATGAGCTAAAAAAAATAAATAAAATCACACACACTCAAAATCTCATAATCTTTTAAGAAAATTTATGAATTTGTGTTGGGCCACATTCAAAGCTGTCCTGGGCCGCATGTGGCCTGTGGGCCGCAGGTTGGACAAGCTTGGTGTAAGAGATACGCAGTCTCTCTGTGTTCTCTAGGAATTAAAATCTGGTGGTTAAGTGTGTCTGTAAGCACCCATATATCAACATGACAGGGATTACAAGGAAGGAAGGGTGATAAGTAGACTGAGGAGAAAAAAGGATTTTAGGCTGAGGGCACAGCCTACTTTCATAGAAAAAAAAGAATACAGTAGACAAATAGTGTAGGTGCTATATGGGATCAACGGAATAGTGGTGTCCATTGGGAGAGCATATTCATAGACATATGTTTGCACATATATGTGAATATGATCAATCAATGTTATAGGTAGATAAATATCAGTATAAAAGAATCTGACATGTATGAATATGTGTGATATATATGGGTAGATAATTGCATCAGGCTTTCCAATGACCAGCAGAGATATGGTGACAGAGCAGGAGTAAGAGCTAAACAAGAAAATCTCTCTTGAAGATGTTCTGTGATCTTGATATTAGAGAGATTACTGGCTTCTTAAGTTCAAAGGCACCACTAAAACCTCTAGGCAGGACACTCAGAACTCTGGCCCTAAACAGGCCTTTGTAATGAGATGGTAATACATGGAGATCTATCATCTTTCTACCTCAAATAAAATTCAGACAGGAAACTCAGACAAAACAATAAATGATCAAGAATGTTATAGTCTAGTGAGAAAGTAAAAATATCTTTAGAGAAATACTGTGACTTTTATCATGAGGTAGTTTTCCAAAGAAGGTAATATTAATAGCAAATATAGATTTTAAAAAGTAACATGCTAATTAATAATCTTGTACCTTCACTAATATGTGGAATATAAAAACCTTTATTCATTCCTGAGAAAGAAATAAAAGGCTTTATTAGAGAACTTCAAAGGACAAGGTCTATAATTCGTGATCTGCTGGGTTTGGGCTTTTAGTCTGAAGGGAAGCCCGTATGGATGAGCATCTGCCTGAAGGTAACACAGCTGCCCAGTGATGCAGTGAGGAATCTGGCTGGTGCCTGAATTAGGGAAGGAGCCTTCAGAGCCCCAAGGGCAGGCAGCCCTGTGCCAGGTCATCTCCACGCCAGCCCCTACTGTGCCCCAATACACATGATGAAATCCTCAGGATGCTCAGGAAGCACTGTGGGCTTACTGGGGCATTTTGGGCTAAGTGAGTTATTTTCACCACTGGATCCCCTAAATTACCTTTAATATGAATTCATGAGCATCTCATCCTTTTTACTAATTTCTTAAGTAAAAGGGCTCCCTCATTACCTTTCACTATAAAATGCTCAGCTGAAGCACCGTGAGGATCATCCTAATTTTCATTTTTTTTAAATTGAGTTTTGTTTTTCTCTCCTGGTTTGTCTCCCTGCTCTTCACAATCAACTGCAGGAAAGAGTGACTCTGATTTGACTACTGATGAGTAGTTCATAGGCAAGGCAATAAGAAGGCTGAGATATAGGGGAAATATTATTATTAAAGAGCTAATGTGGAGGGAACGGAGACTTTTTTAGCAGGAAAAGATAGTGTTTTGGTTAACCAAGACAGCACAAAGCAAAAGTAAAATAATAATAATCATGTTTCATAGAACTCATCTCAAGATGACTACTCTATCCCTAAGAAATTATTCAACTATCAGATTCGAAAATTTCACATGGCAATTCTAATTCCAGATGGTCTGTGTCCATTAGCAGAACAACTCATGGTTTTTACTAAGCCCTGAGGTATGCGAAATTCCACCACCACCAGAACAACACCCTTCTTAATCTTTCTCTTCTCTGACTTTGCACAGAAATAACTGTTATCTTTAGGGATATACTGAGTAGAGTTGGAAAGTAAGTCTGAGTTTCTAAAAACAAAGAAGGATTTTTATGTACGTGTAAAATTTATGAAACTCCACAAACCTGTATTGATGTCTATGTATAGATTATTGCAGAACATTACACTGGATATTAAGTCAAATTTGTGTACCAACCTTTCATCAGATTCTTTCAATATCTTGTTCTCCTCAGCATCTGGGAAATTTTCCTGGCCAGCAACCACTGTATTGCTGCTAGAGGTGGTTCCTGTAGATGGGAATGGAAGAAAAACACTTATAAAAAGATGCAAGCTGAGGGGTCAAGCTCAAGTCTCAAGTAATTCCAGGGAAAGATTTCCTGTAAATTCTTATGTTTGGAAGATTTTTTACATCTTCTGCACAATCTCAGACATTCTAAACAATCTTCCAAGCCCACACCACTGAAATGAGAGAATCGTAGACATCTGTTATGGTCAAACCAAATTCCTTAACTCTCGTAAAGCAAGCCTACATTCTTGAAACCTCTTCTTCCTGGCCACTTAGGCAATGAGCTTATTTATAGTGGCTGGCCCTGCTGTTGGCTGCTTTAGTATTTCTGGGTCCAGGAGTTACTAAACTAATGCTAGTGAAGTAAGGCCAAGCACCTAGCACTTCTGATTGCTGTGCTACTGCTTCCCTGTAAGAACACTGCTCTGGTGGCAGGGTGTAGGGCGAACAGAGGAGACAGTAGACTCAGGGAGGAGAGGAATTGGAAGGCAGTTACTGCATGAGGTCAGCAGAAGGGAGGCAGACTTCAAGGAATTTGAGGAGGATGGCATATATTTCATGAAAGGTTGCTGAGACACCAATTAACCAAAAGTGATAATACTTTTGGGGGGAATTTTAATCAACGCTGAAGGAATATAGCCAAGGGAGGGTCCAGATACAAGAAGGGGGATCCAGAAATGAGATTCCTGAGTGACTGCAATGTCCTGGCTGGGATCGGCTGAAATACAAAGTTCTGTGATGGAGGATGCTTGAGCCACAGATTCTCAGTCATCTTTACAAGATCATTTCATTAACCCTATGATCCCTAAGAAACTCAGTTATTCTCTTTTTTTTGAGATACAGTCTTGCTCTGTCGCCCAAGCTGGAGTATAGTGGTGCAATCTTGGCTCACTGCCACCTCTGCCTCGTGGGTTCAAGTGATTCTCCTCCTGCAGCCTCCTGAGGAGCTGGGAGTACTGGCGCGTGCCACCACATCCGGCTAAGTTTTTGTATTTTTAGTAGAGACGGGGTTTTGTCACGTTGGCCAGGCTGGTCTTGAACTCCTGACTTCAGCCTCAGCCTCCCAAAGTGCTGGGATTACAGGCGTGAGTCACCACGCCCAGCCCATGTCTCAGTTATTCTTAAGCCATCTCTTAACTGAATGCACACACAGGAATAAGAAAAAAGTAACAAACACATTCTCATATCCTTTCAGGAATCTACATGAAGGAAACCCCAGGGATCTGTGACCAGGTGTCTGCCCGGTTGCTCTTCTTACCTGAGGCTGCTGCGGAAGCCTTGCTACTGGCCGTGAAGCGGTAGAAGGGCGGGTTGTCACAATGCTGGACGATGGGGTTCACGGGCTCTGTCTGCTGCAGCTCAAAGAGAAGCTCTTCCATGGTTTGAATGGTGTTGTTACGGCACAAGTATATTGCCACTTTTTTAATCTGAGAAGGAAAAAAGAAAACAAGGGATGTTTCACAGAGCCTAGTCCACAGGAACACTAGGCCAGTAAACCTCTCATTTAGATAAGTTGTCATCATGCAGGAGCTGTCACCGTGATAGCTAATCTTTGTGCTATCCTAGGATGGACCAAGGACTTGGATTAAAATTCACCTCTCTTCATCGGCACGTCTGATAACAGTGTGTTCTTAAAGCCCTTACCTTTTCTAATGGCTAAGTTTTTAAAAGTTACTTTTGAGGTACGTGAATTCTATCTAAACTGAAAACTTGCCATCAAAGTTCTCATCTTCAGAAATAATTTTATTTATACAAACCCTGGGGAAAAACTGCTAGTTATTTTTGTTTAAAAAGGAATCCAGTCCCCTGCTATTCTCTTCTCCCCAAGAAACAAATGAGTTTTAGCTGTTTTTATGGTTTTAAATTTTAAAAATAACTCTGGATTAAAGCTCCACATTATTGCAGGCCTCATAGTCCAACCTGAGCCCTGCAAGCTGCAGTGAGGCTTATGTGGACTCAAGGCAGCAGGAAGACATAAACCTGTCACAAAAACAACCAGCACAGAAATGCCAATTGAGTTTGGGTTTTAAAAATGCTGTCATTCTGTTGATCCTATCACTTTTAAATACCAACTGTAAATATCAGACATTTCAGAAGGATTTCTCCATGCTTACTTCTCTCTTCTACCACTTGAATTTGAAGAGAAAAACCTGCATACTCTGCTTTCTTATTCTGTTTCAAGAGCATCAAGATGTAAACATGAAACATTCTTATTAGTAATAATACAACACTTTACTTAGTGTCTCTTACATAGTAGGTCCAATGTTTATAGAAGGCAGCTTTCAGTAACTGCTAGAAAAATATCCACCTGCTATATCAATAGGTTTCTGCGTCCCAAGGCTCAGAGTAAGGAGATGACAGAGGCATCACTAGCACACATAGCCTGTGTCTAGGGGGCAGAAGGGAACTTTTATGTAATATCTGGATGAGCTCACAGGAGATTCATGTGACTAACTGGACATTTCTATTTTAGCTGGAGCAAAGAGCACATTCTGACTTGCAAATTGCACATGGGAGTCCCTGCAGGAATAATCACTCTTGAAGGGCTGAGAGACACTTACATAGGGTAGGAGAACTGTGTCGCTGCTGACCCCACAGAGGCTAATCAGGAACTGCAAGGTGATCCTCAGGTTGTTGCTCCATTTCTCATTGTTGGCTAAAGCATTCCAAGCATTTTCCATTTCTGGCCCAGGAACTTCATCTCCATACTATAACAAAATAAAAACCGGCCCAAGAGATGTGTGAAAACTGTAAGGACGCAAAAGGTTTGACTGAAAGTAGTTTTGAGGGTCATGACCGTCTCAAAATCATAAGAAGGGGTAAACATGACCATTTATCAGAAAGATGCCATCTTTCAGTAAACAGTAGTTAATAATGCACAAATCAATCATGCATAATACCTATTCATGTGAGTTTTTTAAATATTAGGCTTATTTTTATTTTTATTATCATTCTTAAAATTGCTGTAAAATACGCATAACATAAAGTTTACCATCACCACTATTTGTAAGTGTACAGCCTGTGGCATTAAGTCCATTCATATTTCTGTGCAACCATCACCACTATTTATCCCCAGTCATGTGATTTTTAAAGGAATCCCATTTTCCCCGGGGTTTGACTAACCCAGGGTTTTTTTCTGATGATGGAGCCATGCTATTTGAAGCACAATTCCTCTGAGTTTACCTTGGCCGTCATGTACATGAGGTTGTTCAGGACCAGTGACGTGGCTTCTGGAGAGCCCCAGCCATTTCCTCTCAGCCCGTGAGAAGCAGTCACGTCACCTTCCCGGTCCTTGACTTCGTCCTCTGGGCTGCTGGGGCTCGACCCCGGGAGGAGGAGCCTGCTGTCCACCAGCTCGATGTTGTGCAGCCAGGGCAGCAGGTAGGTAAGCATGATCTGGCGCCCGTTGGGGTGTGTTGTGGGGAATCGCTGGCTTACCTCTAAAGAGAATTGCAGTGACAGAGAGTCATCCATACCTTATTCCACCAAAATAAATGGAAATTCAAATGCCAACTTGCAGACTGAACAGTGTCCTACGTTTACAAAACATTTTCACATACAGGAGCTCCCCAAGGCCACAGAATGATAAAACCAAGGCTTGTCTGCAAGCTTGTTGCTCCACATCTGGTGCGCTGTGCAGGAAAGTGTATAGCACTGTGGGGCAAGCACAGGCTTGGTAAAAGTGGAGTGAGTTCAAATCCACTGCTAGCGGAAGATGTATATCAGAGGGTGGACAAAATAAGGGACTTGGAGTTAGAAGGGCATGTGTTCAGATTCCAGATCCACCACATACTAGTGGCATGTGACTCTGGGCTAGTTACTTAACATCTCTGCTCCTCAGTTCCCTTGTCGGTAAAATGGGACTGATAGGGCCCCACATCAGGCTACTGTAATGACTAAAAGATATAATCATAATGAATGCAATGTGCTCAGCACAGTGCCTATCATCCATCAGGCTTTTATAAATTGTGGTTAGGATCAGGCTAACACCAATGATTACCTTTCCACTGACCCAGTGTCTTACAAAGTGTCTTCCATGAAACATTGGCTGTTAAAAAGTGACATGCGGATCTCTAGGAAGAATAAACCCACTTTGCAGAGTCGTCTTGAAAACTGCTAAGCATGTGGAAGGTGCCTGCCAAGGGCTGTGTGTCCCCTGTGAGACACGTGAGTCCAAACAGTGAAGCCCTAGGTCTGGTCCAGTTATTTCACCATTACTTTCTCTCAGAGCATTTTGGCATTGTTTCACTGCCAGCAGCATTTAATTTTATAATCCAAATAAACTTTCTAAGATAGAGAAGCACAGCATTATGTATATGCAGTAGGCTCCGATGTAATCTCCTATCTCTCATATCTAGAGAAGAAGGTATTTTATCCTCAGGGAAATTAGAAAGCTTGGTCTCATACAGGTGTTATGATCCAGTGTGGCAATGCAATCTCGCTTAGAGGGCTCATGGCTGCTAAATAATAGAACACAGATGCCAGGAATTATACCAAGATAATCCACGGGATCTTCTGAAACAGCAGCTTTAATCAATTTGGCCCTTTTCCTAAAATTAAAATTATAATTTTTTATTTTGGAGACCATAATGTTATATCACAATAATCAGACAGTGCTAAGCTATTATGTTTCATATAGGTCAAAATTTCAAAATTTACTTGATTTCTACATTTATGGATGTGACTGATGTATGTGACTGTTATGTCACATACTCAAATCCTTATAAAGTCAGAACATTCATTTGTCCCAAGGTACGGGGCATTTTCTAGGTGCAAGCCACTGTGCTAGACATGACAAAGACAGCAAAGACTGACAAATGATGCAGTTCCTGCCCCTAAGAAAGAGACTCAGACAAATTATGTTGACAAATCACTCTGGGGCAAGGGAAACAGTGACAAATGAAATCAGAAAGGCACAAACAGAGTGCTTTGGGGGTTCGGTGGTGGAAAATGACTTCTGGGTGCAAAGACTCAGAATAGTTTTATGGTGGGAGAACTATTTAAACTCCACTAGAAGGATCTGGACTTTAAGATGGGGGAAAAAATCCCAAAAACAAATAAAAGAGAGAGCAGTTATTCAAAAGACCTATCTTTTGACAATGGTATAAAAATCTATGGACTTTTCGGAGCAAAGACTTATGCATTACATAATTTGCTTGTTTATTATGTTAATTGCATTTTGTCTGACAGATAATAGCACCAAGAGGGTAGGGATGTATGCCTGAGGTATCCCAAGCACCCAGGTAGCTCCTGGACAGTCAAGGGTAGTTCCCTTTTTAAAAGGGAACAAGAAAAGAAAAATGCCATAGACATGCAAATAGCCCTCTATTCACTGCTCCAGAAATATTTTAAATAAAATGTGAGACCACATCAGTGGGATGCTCTTGTTCAGTGGACCTGAACAATTTGTCTGGCCGTTTACAATAATTAGGTCACTTGAAATTACAGGCAATAAAAATTTCACCACAGGGTTTATATTAAAAACAAGTGTTTGGAATCTATTATAACCTCCTAATTTTTCTGTGTTATTTTTAAAAAGTAATTTCCCCTAAGCTAAAACAGCCAAAAGGTAATTCTTCAAGGAAATGTAGGTTGAACCTGCTTGCAACTCATAGGAGCCTCTGATCTGGTTAAACTTGCTGGACTGTTTCTCTCTTCTCTCCTGAACTGTGAACCACTCCCACTTTACTAGCATCTCCCTCTCAGCTAATAAACATGCTCCAATATCGCTCATCCTTAAAACTCCTCCTCTGACTCTGCACCCCACTGGAGGGCCAGCCTCTCTTTCTACATTCTTTCTCAGCCAGGCCACTGTGATCTGGCTTCTGCCACTACCTCCCTGCAGAAACTACTGACAGTTACCAATGAATCTCGAAACTCAAGAGAGTCATGTTCAGGTCTTCTCTTCTGGGATCTCTCTACTGCATCGGAGGCTGTGCACTGCTCACTCTCTCCTTCTAAATCTCTTTTTCCTTTATGTTTCCATGAAACCCTTCTCCTGAGTGTTCTCCCTCCATTCCTTCTCACCCTTCTGCTCTTCCTCGGACCAGTCTGCAAAAGTGGGGGTGTCCAGGCCCTTTCTTCCACTCTGTGCTCTCTCCATTCCTGATCTCATCCATGCCCGTGGCTCTAATCCCTTCCATCCTTCTGTGAGTTGCTAGCACTGACCTCCCTCAGTTCAGGCTCATCCATACAGGAGGAAGTCCAGCAGAGGCATACACTCAACATCCTGGGCTGGGCTCCTGATCTCTGCCTTGCACCAAACCTTCCCCTCTCCCTGTATTGGGTTTCTAGGAGGGTTATCATCACTGACCTCCCTGATATCACAGTAGGCATTCTCTTCTGTGCCTCTGCTTGGCAGCTTTTCGCTCTGGTTTCTCCCCTCCAGTCTCATTGGGCTGTCTTTGTTCAGGCCCTTATCATTTATTATTTCCTCCTTGGACTATTGCCATTGTTTCTTAACTATCCTCCTCTCTCCAGACTGGATGTTCACTAATCCACCCTCCACACTGCAACCAGGCTTTTAAAAATGCATTCTAATCTTGATACTCCCTCTTCTCGTTTGCAACTCATCAGTGGCTTTCAAAACCCCAGCAGCTTGCTTGGATGCTCTCTCTGTTTACAGAGCTCTGAAGGGGGATTCAAAAAGCACATATGGAAGATTGCTGGCCTACAAACCTTGTAGTGTACACAAGGCCTTCCAAGATAATGATTTTGGCCTCTGCATCTGCCCACGACCATCTCTAGCTTTTCCTGTTCCTGCACGTTATGTTACCTAAACTGACCTCTATATAATCCCCCAATTACATCATGCTAGTTTATAACTCTAAGCTGATGCATATGCAATGGTCTCTTGCTCTGTAATGTCTATCAACTACTTGTCTGCTATGCAAATTTCTACTCCTTTCAAACTACAGCTTAGACATCAACTTCTCTCTGGGAATTCTTTTCTGATATTCCTGGCCCAATAATTGATTAGTCCTTCAGCTACTGTCTAATACATTGAGCATTTTTCTTTTTTAAAAAATTGCATTTGCTATACTGTATCAAAATCATTTGATCGCACACCTTTTTTTTTTTTTTTTTTTTTGAGACAGAGTCTCGCTCTGTCGCTCAGGCTGGAGTGCAGTAGCACAATCTCGGCTAACTGCAACCTCTGCTTCTTGGGTTCAAGTAATTTTTGTGCCTCAGCCTCCTGAGTAGCTGGGACTACAGGCATGTGCCACCATGCCCAGCTAATTTTTGTATTTTTAGTAGAGACAGGGTTTCGCCATGTTGGCCAGGCTGGTCTCGAACTCCTGGCCTCAAGTGGTCCACCTGCCTCAGCCTCCCAGGGTGCTGGGATACAGGCATAAGCCACTGTGCTTGGCTTGATTGCATATCTATCTTTTCTGCTAGACTATGAACGTTTGATGGGAGAGACTTTTATTTCCCTCTGTATTTCTGAAACCCAAGCACAGTGCCTAGCATGTAGGCAGCAAACAAATCTTGGGTGAAGTGCATAAAAATAAATTTTAGTTTTGCAAGAAGAGAATTAATTTACTAAAAAGGCTTTTATTGGGTCTCTCCACTGTTTCTGGTATTACACAAAGAAGTGACTAACTCTGCCTCAGGTATATGGAGAGGTCTGCACAGTTGAGGTGGATGTTAAGTTAGATCTTCTGGAAAGTTGAAGTTAGGAAGAAGGGGTGAGGGCCATTCAACAGCATGTACAGAAGCAAAGATTTACAAGAGGACCTGGAATGTTGGTCAAAGATTCAGTAGGACTGGAGTAGAGGATTCTTGAATGAAAAGGTAGAAAGCAAGTTTAGAAAAGGAGCTTTTTTTCCCCTGCCCCTTGGCTGAGTTCTAATTTTATAGCAATGGCTTTGGAGGAAGACAGATCTAGATTTAATTCTGACTTGGTTGCTTCCTAGCTATATGGTCTCGAGCAAATTATTTAACATCTCTAAACCTTAGTTTCTCATCTCATCTGTAAAACAATGATGATGGTGGTGGTGGTAGTTGTGATAATTCCATGCCAGGACTGGGCCAGCTGCTTGGTTTTCATTAGATCACTTTAATCTTCACATCCTATGGGGTAGTCATTACTATTACAGATAAGGAATGTAATTTAGAGGTTCTGTGACTTGCCCACAGTCAAACAACTAGTGAAAGGTTGCCTGACTCCAAAGCCTCTGTTCTAACCACTGTACTATACCAGGGTTTATAAATATTAAGTGATAAATGCAATGCACATAAAGTACCTAGCATGGAGGCTGGTACCTACTATCCACTCACTAAATGTAGGCTGTTATCAGCTATTTTTAGGACAACTGGGCAGAGAAGTTTGAGTTAAGAAGTGCTGGACATATTTGGCTTTGCATAGTGGATGGACTGCCACATGGAAGATAAACTGTAGTTAGGTAATGCAGAGGCAGGGAAGGACTGAGGAAGATCTGGACAAAGCAGTGGTGAGGTGGTGATAGAGATGGAAAAACAGGATGAATTCAAGAGGCCAAAGTCTGTCTCTTGGCAAAGTGCTACGTAAGCTTAGGCAAGAAGTTAGGTGACAAATGCATTTTTTTTTTGAGACAGAGTCTCACTCTGTTGCCTAGGCTGGAGTGGAATGGCATGATCTCGGCTCACTGCAATCGCTGCCTCCCGGGTTCAAGTGATTCTCCTACCTCAGCCTCCTGAGTAGCTGGGACTAGAGGCGTGGGCCACCATGCCCAGCTAATTTTTGTCTTTTTTGTAGAGATGGGGTTTCACCATGTTAGCCAGGCTGGTCTCAAACTCCTGACCTCAGGTGATTAGCCCTCCTCGGTCTCCAGTGTTGGGATTACGGGTGTGAGCCACCACGCCCGGCCTGACAAATGCAATTCTTTAGCAATTCTGCATTACCTAACTGCAGTTTATCCTCCATGTGGCAGTCCATCCACTATGCAAAGCCAAATTCACAAAAACTATTTATGAAGATTGTAAAGAATATGCAAAAATTCAAACTTTCAACAACTTACATATGTAGCAAAATACAAGCTACAAAACACCACCACTATCACAACCACCAAACAACTTGCAGCAATTATATGTGTTATAAATTACACTGTTCATATTTAGCTTTTGTGGGATATTAGTTTCTTTGGGAAATTTATATATATAATGTATGCAGAAGTTAGTATTATTAATCTAAGCACCTTGCATTTGTCATATGTATGTTTATGCCTACACTGCTTTAGATAAAGAAATTTTTTTCATTTAACAATTATAGAATTTACTTTCATATGTAACTGGATCTAGCCCACAGTAATTCTGACCTACAAACTTAGCATCACTAATTATCACTCTAAGATTTTTTTTTTTTTTTGAGACTGTCTCACTCTGTTGCCCAGGTTGGGGTACGGTGGCGCAATCTCGGCTCACTGCAAACTCTGCCTCCTGGGTTCAAGCGATTCTCCTGCCTAGCCTCCTAAGTAGCTGGGATTACAGGCACACACCACCAGACCTGGCTAATTTTTGTATTTTTAGTAGTGACAGGGTTTCACCATGTTGGCCAGGCTGGTCTCAAACTCCTGATTCAAGTGATCTGCCTGCCTTGGCCTCCCAAAGTGCTGGGATTACAGGAATGCGTGGCATCGTGCCTGGTCATAACTCTAAAATTAAACTAGAATTTAAAAAGAAAAATTACTTAGAGCAAAGAAATGATCACATGTCATTATTAGAAATGATCACATACGTCATTATTAGAAATGATCACATATGTCATTATTGACTATTGCCTGGTACCTGAGAAGAGGGGGAGTGTGAGCTCAGGGTACATCCTGGCCAGCTCACATGACAAGAGGGCAAGTGACACGCTGTAGAGGGGTGGCAGCGGGCCGTGTGTTCCATAGAGAATACTTCCCGGTCTTTGCTCAGCGACTTTCTTTGAGTATACAAAAAGCTTTGCTTCAAGGATCTATAAAGATGTAGGAAAGTAAAAAAGTAGTATGAAAAGCATTAGCTGGATATCTCATGAGCATTTGTATTTAACAAAGGTTAGAAGTAACAAAATTAATTAATTCCCATTTAAAAATAGAATTAAAGGTAAAACATCAGTTTAATTAGTATGTTTACAAAAGATTATATAGTTACTTTCTCACTCTTCATAGCCACAAATGATATGCAGAAATAAACAAAGGCCTATCAATAAACAGCTATTAGGTAATCAACTACCATTTCTATTTTCTGTACTCAAGGATGGATATTTTCTATGCCAGTAAATGATACGTGCCTGCATGAGCTGCATGGAGATTTCATAAATCTCTCTGTTGGTGTCAGAGGCCTTGAATAGAACAAGGTTTAACAATGTCACTATGTCGAAGGGATAGTTCCTAAAAACACAACAGAACAAAACAAAAAAAGCATGGTTTATAAGACAGAGTGGCTAGATTGTTACCTCTTAAAATTCTAGCTGGCATGCTGACCTCGGTCACTTATTAGTGACATTCTTACCCCCGTCTGGCCATTTTTTGCTTCCTTCTTTTGCTATTTATCAGTAGATAAAGGAAAATGACTTTATTTTGGTTTAAAATTAAATACTGGGACACCAGGATAAAAGAACACAAAAGTCTATCTGATGCATAAATACTGGGACACCAGGATAAAAGAACACAAAAGTCTATCTGATGCAAACGGACTTTAATGACTTTAATGCAAACCAACAAGTGAAAAAGACAGAAAAGGATACATGTACTAAATTTCTCAATAGCTCACCAAATCAATATTTTCATTTGATTCTTCTAAATTTATTAAGTGCCAAACAACTATCAGGAACAACATACAAAGTACCAATGATACAAAGATAGCAAGGCTGGTCCCAGTCCTTAAGGAGGGCTTACAGTTTAGTCATGGAGACAACCTGTACAGTCTAGTTCTGATGAGTGTTGTTGGAACATCCACAGCATGCTACGAGAATCCTGATGAGGGACACCTACATTAGATGGGGGGTAGAGAAGTCTTTTCTGAAGAGGAAACAAGTAAAATGGGTCTTGAAGCACCAGGTGACATTAGCCAGGTCACGGAAGGGGTAGTACAGGAGTGTTCCAGATAGAGAGGACAGCATTTTGAAAGATTACAAGAATGAAACAGCAAGATATCTATTGTAAAAGGGAAGAATCTTTGTGTAGTAGACTGAATAAAATAAGTAGAGGAACAGAAGGAAGCGAGGCTAGGCCAGTAGGTGGGTTCAGAAGATGACCAGCCTATGGACTTCACCCTAAAGTTTCAGAGAAGCACTACAGGATTTGCCCTGGGGAGGGGGGCCACGGCATTCACTTTTGAAGAATCACTCTGGCTGCTGTGTGGAGAATGGATTGTATGGGGCCAAGAGTGGAAGCTATTACAAGAATGCAAATGGGAACTGATGAGGGCTGGAATTAGGGCAGAAACAGTAGAGACAGAAGGAAGGGAGAGATCTGAGGAACACTAAGGAGATAAAATCATCAGGATTTGGTAACTGACAGCATGTGTGGGATGGGGGGAGAGGAACACAGAATAGATTATGTGGCAATTGGCAGTATAACCATATAGAATAGAGAGATTAAATCCATTTTTTTCTTGCTATGTAATTCTATTTAAAGATGTTATCTTTTCACCATATGTATTTTCTTAGATTATAGTGGAAAAGAAGTCGTAAGTAGAAAACTCCTGGTGAGTTGAACTTTTTCTTCTCTCTCTTTTTTATTTTTGAGACAAGGTCTCACTGTTGCCCAGGCTGGAGTGCAGTGGCATGATCATGGCTCACTGCTGTCTTCACCTCCTGGGCTCAGGTGATCCTCCCAACTGGGCCTTCCAAAGTGTTGGGATTACAGGTGTGAACAACTGCACCTGGTTGAGTTGAACTATTAAACGGTTTATATGTAGAAGGTGAGTTACTGCTATTTATTTTCAAACAAACTTCAGGAAGAAAAAGATAGTTTGAAGGTGAAAAAACATATTAGTTGTTTTTCCTTGGGAATCTTTTTTTTGATTCTACATAATTACATTATCTAAGAAGTTCTGTTTTAGAACAATCACTGCTTTGGTTTGAATGTTTGCCCCACCAGAACTCATGCTGAAATTTAATCCCCATTGTGGCAGTATTGAGAACGGGGGCCTTTAAGTAGTGACTGGGTCATGAGACTGCCCTCATGAATGGATTAATCTATTCATGGATTAATGGATTGATACATATCATAGGAGTGGGGCCAGTAGCTTTATAAGAGGAGGAAGAGAAGCTAGCATGTTCAACTCTCCTGCCATGTGAAGCCCTGAGCCATCTCAGGACTCTGTAGAGAGTCCCCATCAGCAAGAAGGCCCTCACCAGATGAGGCCCCTTGACTGTGGACTTAGTCTCTATAACTGCAAGGAATAAATTGCTTTCTCTATAAATTATCCAGTTCCAGGCATTCTGTTATAGGCAACAGAAAACAGAATGAGACAATCACCTTTCTAGAAAGGCATGTCCTACTATGAATACATCCCATTTTACATTAAGTTCAGTGAGAAATTATACACATGAAAAAGTTTTTCTACTTTTAACATTACTCAAATATTAATTTTTATGACATGAATATATTTTTCTTCTAAAAGATTCAAGCAACACATAGGGCTACAGGGTCCGCCCTGAAGATGGTTCACTCACAGGGCTGCAAGTTGGTGTTGCTTGCAGGTAGGTGAATAGAATAAAATGTAGAAGTATCTCATGTCCTTTCATTCTCCCAATTGTTAATCTTATCCAAGAGGCAATTACTGTCAACATTTTGATATTTCAGCTGTCTTCCAAGTCTATATACAGACATTTGCATCAAAATACTCCTTCAATGCACAGGGTTTTAAACATAAATGTGATTACACCACCTGTCTGTACTGCTTGATGATCTGCTTTTTCACTGAACTATAAGGCTCACTTCAGTCTTCCTAATAGCTGCCACATATTCCATTCTAGGAACATATCATAAACAACTACTCTTGTAATGCGTACTGTGGTGTGCCACCTAGATCCTTCTTTCAGGATGGAGGCACTCAATCCTCCAGCTGAATCCTTGATCTGAAGCCTTCTCTGGGAACTGCCTTCAGCCAGAGGTTTGCCTAGGTCAAGGTCATATCTGTTCCCCAGCAGCAGCCCCAGTGGGAATGACTGAGGTTTCTTTTCTCTTCCCAGTCCTAATTCCTTCATTTCTCCATAGATGTTGACCCCAAGGGCCCACCCTAATAAATGTCCTGCGTTCAAATATCCATCTCAGTCTATTTCCTGGGAAATCCAACTTTTGACACGCATTGATAGATATTTAGACTGTTTTCACTTTTTCATTATTATAGTGCCACAAACACCAAATGTGCTGGCCTTTCTTTAGAAAAAATTCATAGAGAGGTCATGCAGGGTCAAAGGGCACACTTAAAATTTTGGTACATACTGATATATTGCCATCCAAAATAGGTTTATTAATTTTTACTCCAAAATGTTTATTTTTCTGTAACTTGTATTTTTAAATAAACACAGTCTAAGTTTGGTGGGTCTGATGAAAAACTGGGGAACTACCGCCAGATGATGGTGGTGATGATGATGAGTGCAAGAATGATGTTGAATGATGGGTGACACTGATGTTATTATGTGCTTACTTTGTGCCAGGTACTGTGCCAAGACCTTTACTTAGATTTGTTATTTAATCTTCACAACAAGCATGCAAAGCCTAGAGAAAAGTACTTGCTTCAGGTCATGTAGAAGTGGTGGAGCCCAGACTTCTAGATAAGTCTGACTTCAAAGAATTCAAGCTCTTACCTACAATGCTCTCAGTCTCCTAGACAGCCCACGATAGTGCATTTCATAGCCAGTGAAGTTTGGAATTGTTACAAATTGCTGTATCTTGGAACAGACCTTTCTGCCTATAAAAGTAGAAAGGAAACTCCCTTCTGAGTGTTATAGTAGCAGAGATGCTTTACCTATGTCTCTGTCTTCTGACACTGGAATCTAACATTAATACATTTATATATATACAAATATACATATATATGAGCCAAATATATTGCTGGATCGCTGGAGATTTAAAGGCAGGAAAGGGGCAGACAAAGCCTCCCTCTTACTAGGCAGGGCCATGCACTTGACCTTGTAATCAGAGCATTTATTTTGTTGTTGAAGAATGAGCTATTAAATTCATAAGCAACAACACTGAAAGGAATAACAGATCCAGAAAATGAAAGAAACCCAGAGGAGGAAACAATGAGAGAGATTTCAAATAAGCAAAAGAGTACAAATAAAGTATCTGTACTTAGATGTTGAAAACAGGCTGAGAAATGGAATCTTATACCTTTCAATATTTAATTATTCAGCATAGGCAGAGCAAGGGTAAAAGATAAAGACAGCTGTGATCATACCAAATAAAAATCAAATGATAAAATAAATATGGGAGGTAGTTGAGACTCAAAAAGTAAACAAGAAATAAAACTATCTAGAAGAGAGGAGATGTTGAAGAATTTGGGAAATGTCCGCTACTCTGGCTTACCTAGTACTATGTGACAAAGCTCAAGATGGCTCTGAGGTATTCTGAAGAGAAAGATTTTACTGGTTAATTGAGGGGATTACTTCACAGCTGTTCTCCTCCAACAACTATTGAATAACATTATTTATGGGGTATTTACCATTTGTTAGGCCTTAGGCCAAGAGGTTGTTTTTGTTTAATCATTACTCTAACCCTATCATCAGCCCTATTTTACTAGTGGGTAGGCAACTGCAGTAACTTGTTCAAGAACACACAGCTGCTTGATTAGAGGTGGAGTGAGGATTTGAACCCAAGATGGTATGTTTCTGGAGCCCAGATTCCCAACTCTGCTCTCCTGAAATACTCCAGATGGATGGCTCACATAACCAAATAGGGCTATTTATCATCAGTTAGGGAGTGTGATTGGGATTTATGAATCATAAGCTTTGCCTGTCTTCCTTGTTGATAGATGGATAATATTCCCTGAAGAAATAGGCATTCACTTTTAAGAATTCAAGTTTGCTAGGCCTGACTTAAATTAGGAAGATTTACAGAATGTTAACTTAAAGAAAAACAAACATACAAACAATGCCAACAAAAACCACCACCGAAAATAAATCCAACAAAATTATTTAAAAATCAACACTTTGCACTTTGTTCTTACATACAATTCTAAAATATCTATTAAACACGTTTTAAAAGTGTGTTGGAAGGTAAAAGTAAAAATAATGAAATTCTTAAGTATTTAATTAAAATGTGAGGAGAATTCTGGTGCGTTAAGCTAGTGATTGGAAATGGCCTATATTCTTAATACACAATTTACCTTGATTTATAACCTTGGAAAGTCATTTAGTTTCTTTCTCAATTTCCTTATCTATCTTATTCTAATCTCATTTGGAGTGGGGGAAAATTAATTAGGACACACACAGAAGCCAAATAGTTATTTGAACTAAAGCTGCCTAACAAGTAAGCAATTTTTTGTACTAAATTATAGTAGTGAGCTGTATCTAATAGCATTTAATCAAATATATTAACATGTTTTATGAAAAATTTTGCAAAATTAATACTGCCAGTTCTACCATCACTTTCTATCTTTATCCTCATTTCCTTTGGTCCTATTCAAGTTCTGTTCTGACTTTCTATCTCCTAATATCACCAGAGTCATAGCATGGCATAGCTGTAGAGTTTTGACTAGAGAACAGTAAGTTCACAACACATGCACACACACACACACACTCTCACACTCACACACAGTCCTTTACTGCTGGAAAAGTAACCAAAAAGAAGGATGTAGAGAACCATTTTCCCCATTGCCACAGCTAATGAACACTGATACATTAATTATGCAAAAATGGCAAATCCTCTTTTCTAAAGCTAAAGTAGAAAATTTAAATCAACAAGAACATTTAAAAAAATTTAATCCTTTAGGTATTTTAAAGTCAATTATGAGTGGTTTCTTAATAAATAAATGTACTTATAAACTGTCATATTCCTCTACAAATAAATCCAGGATATAATCATTCCTATTTGAAAAGGAGGAGATCATTATTTATCTTACAAGAATTCTTTGCTTTAGAAAATGACTTGTAGGAGTTACTGTGTAGATAACTTGTTTGAGAAACTTAAAATAAAATTCAGTTTGCATATGACTTTTCAGAAACATATTTCATAAGGTCTTCAGTTGCTTTTTAGAAGCAAACTTACAGAAGACAAATCAAGCAAGAGCTGAAAATATCACAATTGGTTTTGTAAAAAAGTACTGCAAACTCAAGCACAATGACTGCTCAAGCCTCTCTGGAGGCCTGTCTAGACTACACAGGCTGAGAATTTATGTGGAAAGAGCAAATTTAGGCAACAGCTGAAATTTTAAATTCTGAACATGCCCTGTGTTGAGAAATGGCAGAAATGCTGGTCACTATCTGGACAGTTGGGTTCAAGCTATTGTATTCTCCTGCCCTCTGCCCTTCCTTCAGAATAGATGAGTGTCATGAATGCAAACAGATATGCAATATTTGTCTAAGAAACCAAGATAGTGTACAATGATGCCTTAAAAAAATACTTGGAACATAGCAGGTTTTATGACCTAATATTTTTGTGACTAGAGATATTATTGAAATTGAGACTATGTTGTTAAATTTATTAAGCACTTATTTGTGCTCCCTAAGGAAAAATACCTAGATTTATTCAGAGAAATGCAGTGTAATGTTTTGTGAGATGTCCATGCAATGCAATAAATTTGATTAGGATAGCTCAAGCCAAGTTCACTGGGAGAAGGGCAGCGAAGAGGTGAAACTTATTTTTGTCAAAGAAAGAAGCCCAAGCCATAGATTCTAAATATATTTTTTAAAATCAAAGGGTCATGTGAACAAAACTTTATTTTTAGAATGTTGAAATATCTGAAAATTTAAAAAAAAGCACTCTGGACAAAGAGATTTTTGTAACAATGTTCCTTTGGTAATGTCCTAAAGTATATTTTTTAGTAATGCTTATAACAGGAAATAAAACTTGATGGAAAATCAGGCAGTTTAGGTTATATTCATTTGCTCTAACTTTTATGCATATTAAAATCTATAATAAAAACTCTACTGCTGAAACCTTTAGATATGAAATGTTATCTACTATCTTTATAAAAGAAAGATAAAAATTTTAAGGAGAAACTTGTCTCTCTAAATAGCATGTTCATTTTAGGTTTATTGAAAGTAGACGTCTTCCAAAATACCGCTTTTACTAACTTAGACCTCTAAGAGATTGGAATTTAAAACTAATTCACTTTTATTCTCTTGATCTGGTAGCTCAAGATAGCTATTTAAAGTGCAACATTTAATTAAAAAGGAAAATTGACACTCTATATGAATATTTTCAAAAATAAACGAGCTGGTTTCCCTCAATTTTTCTGATACATAAGCTTTCTTGGGAATAGCTTATGCAACTTGGAGAATCTTTATTAACCCTTTCTTGGTAGCTATGAACTTATTTCAGCACATAAATCATGCTGAATGGCTACACTGAATAACTAATTTATATAACAAAGGCAATGGTTTTAAAAGTGTAATCTATAGAACCTTTGGTATCACATTTTCTTTTCTTTTTTTCCTTTCTGAAGTTTTGGGTAAAGTGAGTTTAAAAATTTTAGGCCACTTCCTGGGTTTGGTCTTCTGTAAAGATGGCTGATGGGCTATAGTTCACCCTCGTTATAAACATTTCTAGACATTCCTTTAATTCCTATAATGTATCTTCTTTGTCATTTTCAAATCCTGCTGTAATACCTGACTGTGAATTTCCAGGCAATTAAAAAGAAAGGTACTATAACAACAAATCATTTCCTGATAAAATGAGAAAAACCAATGGAACTGCAACCTTACAGGGAGTAGTTTACCTGCTGGGGACATACAGAACATTTTATATTCTCATAGAACTTACTTTGCTCATATAGTTGCAAAACAGCTCTCCGTCATTCATATCACAAAAAGTAACCCTAAACATACTTGCCACTCATCACTGCTTATAAAAATTCGTACCTGCTTCCACACACAGTTGCTATGGCTTTGAAGCAGCCAGATGCAAGTTGGTAGGAACCTGTGTAGCATCGGTCAATTGCCCAGTTAAAAAGATTTATTTGGTCAGGATTAAGTTCCAGTAGCAAGACAACAACTTCGCAGCCAAGTTGATGAACCTGAATACATGGAGCAAATCAATATTATTCCCATTTGATGAAAGAATGTTCTAGAGAAAGATACAGATAAAGCTTAGTCAATATAAACTGAGTAAAATGAAAGGGAAGACCGAGCTTTCATTTTGGTTTTTATGTCATATATTCTTCAAGAGTATAATGTCGTAACTGAAAACTGAAATGTATACATTAAATTTGATCATGTAAGTCTGTTACATAGGGTCCATCTATTCTCAATTTTTACCTCTGGAAAGGAGTGGCTGGGCGTGGTGGCTCACGCCTGGAATCCCAGCACTTTGGGAGGCTGAGGTGGGTGGATTACCTGAGGTCAGGAGTTCGAGACCAGCCTGGCCAACATGGTGAAACCCTGTCTCTACTAAAAAATAGAAAAAATTAGCTGGGCGTGGTGGTGGGTGCCTGTAGTCCCAGCTACTCAGGAGGCTGAGGTAGGAGAATCACTTAAACCTGGGAGGCAGAGGTTGCAGTGAGCTGAGATCGTGCCATTGCACTCCAGGCTGGGTGACAGAGTGAGACTAGGTCTCAAAAAAAAAAAAGGACGAAGACTTTATTGGCAATTTTTTTTGCATTTAAAATATTTCTGAAAAATACACGTATTTGGTTTAAAAAATCCAATATACAAAAGGGTATCCTCTATGTATTAGCTCAGAGTATTGTGGGGGATCATTTGATGTTACCACCGTGCATGCAGAGTGGCCACTCACCTAAACATTTTGATGCCAGTAGGAATAGTGATAATTATAGTGGCAGATGTGAAGTATACTTGTGTATCAATGTCTATTCCTACTACAAAGTCTCTTAAGGAAAAAATCAGAGGAAATATGATTATGAGGATTGGTTACTAAATATACTTTGTGAAGCTTAGTGGCCTATCTTTCAAAAAGAAATACAGTCTCAGTAGACTCTTTTTAATCAAAGTTTTTTAATTAAAAAATCATACTAGATAGAATTAATAGGATGCTGAATCGATGATGCCTGAAGCTACTCTCAAATACTAGATGGTCAGTGAATATGCACATTTGTCCAGGAGAAGCCTGGTGCCTAGAGGTTACATATGTTACTTTCTTCTCAGAAAGTAACATTCTGGCCCAGAGTGGTGGCTCACACCTGTAATCCCAGCACTTTGAGAGGCCCAGGCAGGCGCATCACTTGAGGTCAGGAGTTTGAGACCAGCCTGGCCAATGTGGTGAAACCCTATTTCCATTAAAAATACAAAATTAGCTGGACATGGTGGTGTGCGCCTGTAATCCCAGCTACTGGGGAGGCTGAGGCACGAGAATCACTTGAACCCGGGAGGCAGAGGTTGCAGTGAGCTGAGATGGCGCTACTGCACTCCAGCTGGGGCAATGGAGTGAGGCTCTGTCTCAAAAAAAAAAAAAAAAAAAAAAGTAACATTCTGGTGCCTCTTCTTAAAGTTGTTCACTCTTCTTGTCAGTTGAAACCAGGTGGAAAAGGCAAGATTCTGGCTTCTTCATGTTTTTTTACTTACAGGGTTTGGGCCTAGGTGGGAGTGATATTCTAACTGGATGGTCAAACATCTTCAACCTAGTTTCCCCCAACTCGCTTTAAGTAATTAGCAGCAGATAAAAGCTGACGATATTATTGCAAATGACTTAAAATAACATGTCTCTACTAAAAATACAAAAAATTAGCCAGGCGTGGTGGCGGGCGCCTGTAGTCCCAGCTACTCAGGAGGCTGAGGCGGGAGAATGGCATGAACCCGGGAGGTGGAGGTTGCAGTGAGCCGAGATCGCGCCACTGCACTCCAGCCACTGCACTCCAGCCGGGGGGACAGAGCGAGACTCCGTCTCAAAAACAAAACAAAACAAAACAAATAAACAAACAAACAAAACAAAAAAAGTCATTAAAAAGTTAGACTTGAGAGAAGAATCAAGCTTTTATTGTACTTTAGAAACTTATATTGAGGTATAAAATACACAGAAATAGTATACAGTTCCTATGTATATCATGAGTCATTTTAACACCCTCCTATGATCACCACCAGGTCAAAAACCAGAATATTACCAGCACCACTGAACCCTCCCCTGGGCACTCTCTTAAACACCAGCCTGTCTTTCCTACCCAGGAGAAACCACTATCTTGACTTCTAGCACTACTTGTTAGTATGGGCAGTTTTTGAGGTCTATATAAATGGAATTATATGGTATATAATTTTGTCTCCTGTGGCTTTTATTTGCATTTCCCTCATGCTATAGACTGAATGTTTGTATCCCCGCAACCTCCAATTCATATTTAAATCTTAACCCCCAAGGTGGTGGTATTTGGAGGTGGGGCCTTTAGGAGGTGATTAGGTCATGAGGTGGGGAGCCCTGTGAATGAGATTAGTGCTCTCATAAGAAAGACCCCAGAGAGTTCCCTTGTCTCTTATGTCAAGTGAGGACACAGCAAAAAGACTGCTGCCTGTGAACCAGGAAAAAGGCCCTCACCAGACATAAATCTGCCAGCACCTTAACCTTGGAATTCTTGGCCTCCAAAACTGTGAGAAATAAATTTCTGTTGTTGATAAGCCACTAGTCTATGATATTTTGTTATAGCTGCCTGAATGGACTAAGATACATGATTATTAATGAGCTTGAGAATGTTTTCTTATGTTTACTGGTCAGTTAGATAACCTCTTCGGTGAACTGCTTAAGTTTCTTGCTCATTTTTCTATTCAGTCTGTATTTATCTTATTTATTTGTAGGGGTCCTTTATATATTCTAGATAAGAACCCTCTGCTGACTGTGTGTTATAGACATCTCTCACTTTATGGCTAGCCTGTTCACACTCTTAATGGTGTCTTTTGGTGAATAAAAGTTAACAGCTCTTCCTCAGGGTTAGTAATTTTTGCATTCTGCTCAAGAAATCTTACTGTAACCCCAGGGATGAAGATATTCTTCTGGATTCTTTTCTAGAGACTATTATTTTAGCTGTTACATTTAGATCTACAATCCATCTGCAATGAATTTTTGTAAAGTGTGAGGAAAGGATCAAATTTCTTTTTCTTTCTTTCCTTTAGTAAGGCTATCCAATTGACCCCAAATTACTTATTGGAAAAAAACCATTTTTCTCATAGCTCTGCAGTGCCATCTTTGAAATAAACCATGTATGCATATACATAATACATGGGTAATTTTCTGGCCTCCCTATTCTACTCCATTGGTATATATACTTATTCTTGGTCAGTAGTTCAGTGTTTTAATGACCATACGTTTATAGTAAGTATTGGTTTCTGCTGAAGTCAATCCTCTCACTTTGATTATAGTGTTCAAAGTTATCTTAGCTATTTCTGGTCTTGAAAGGAACTTTCAGTTGTCACAAATATCCTGCCCGGATTTTGACTGGAATTGCATTGTCTCCATAAATCATTCTGGAGGAGAACTGACTTCTTTACAATAGTGAATCTTCCTATTCAATAGCATGGTATATTCTTCCATTTATTAGATGTTTAATTTTTCTCACTAATGCCTTATATATTTCTATGTATGAGGCCTTGCACATTTTTGTTAGGTTTATTCCTGAGTGTTTAATGTTAATTCCAATGTTAATTCCTAATTTTAAAATGCCATTATAAGTGGCATAATTAAAAATTTATTTTTCCAGCTCCCCATCGTTGCTGTACTGAAATATAATTGATTTTTAATTTTGACCTTTCATATGGCAACCAGGCTAAATTCACTGATTAATTCCAACACTTTATCTAAAGACTTGTTGGAATTTCCTACACACACAATTGTGTCACCTGTGAGCAATGAGTTTTATTTATGTTTTATTATTCTTTATAATCCCTTCTTTCCTACTGCATTGGCTAGGATCTCCAGTATGATGTTGATAGAGGTGGTGACAGTAAGCTTCCTTGGCCATTTTAATCTCAGAGAGAACACTTTCAAATTAACTATTAAATATGATGTTTACATATTTTATATTAAATATGGTGCTCATAGGGTGTTTTTTTTTTCAAGGTGCCTTTTGTCAAACTAAGGATGTTCTTTTCTATTTGTAGTTTTGCCAGGAGTTTTTCTCATGAATAAATGTAGAACTTTAACAAATGCTTTTCGTACATCTGAGATCATGTTTTTGAGATTCTGTGAATATAGTTAATATGTGAATGAACTGACAGACATTTGAATATTAACCAACCTTACAGTTCTTCAATAAACCCAATTTGACCATGGTAAATCATCTTTTTTCTATATCATTAAATTCAATTTTCTAATATTTTATTTAAAGTTTTGTATCTATGTATTAGAGACAATCTCATGAATGAGACTGCCTTTTAATTTTCTTTCTTGCTACAACCTTTTCTTGTTTTATTATCAAGGTTATTCTGGTTTCACAAAATGTACTGGGATGTATTTCCTCTTCATCTGTTTTCTCTTCAAGAATTTGCATTGAATCCATGCAATTTTTTCTTTAAATGTTCAGTGGAATTCATCAGCAAAGCCATCTGGTTTTATAGTCTTCTTTTTTTTAACACTTTAAAGAAAGTCACTCTCTCTTTCTTGATTGAACTTGCCATGGATTTATGATTTTTTTTAGTATTGTAACAAATTCAACTTTTGGTTTAGTGATCACTACCATTAATTTGTTTCTCTTTCATTAATTTCTACTCTTATTTCTATTATTTCCTTCATGGTACTGTTTTTGAGTTTGATAGTCTATTCTTTTTCTAACTTCTTGTGATGGATGTTTAGGTCATTGATTATCCACCTTTTCTCTCTTTAATATGAGAGTCTTCAGAAAGCTCATGGAAAATGTATATTATGAAAAAATTATGCATGGATTAAAAATTTTTTGCACCAAAATAAACTTGTGCTAACTTGTTATAACATGTCTGAACAGAATTTAGTTTGAGGCACTAAGAAGGAGAAGACATCAGTTTGAAAAGAGCCGCTATCAGAGTAACATGAATCCTGCTGAAATTGAAGCAAGTACAAATATCAAATTTATAGTGAAGCTTGGGTGGAAGAATAGTGAAATCATTGCTGCTTTAAAAAAATGTATGGGGCAATTCTTCCAAAGAAATTAGCAGTTTACAAATAGAAAACCTGTTTTAAGATGATGTTGAAGATGAAGCCCACAGTGGTAGACCATCCATACCAATTTGTGAGGAAAAAATTCACTTAGTTTGTGCCCTAATTAAAGAGGACTGACGATTAACAGCAGACACAATAACCAACACTACAGACATCTCAATCTGTTCAGCTTATACAATTCTGACTGAAAAATTAAACTTTAGCAAATGTTCCATGTGACGGGCACCAAAACTCATCAGCAGTAGACAAGTAGAGTTTTCAATGAAAATTTTCAACAAATGGAATTAAGATTCTATAGATCTTCAAAGAATTGTAACAGGAGATATAACATGGCTTTACCAGTGCTATCCTAAAAACAAAGCACAATAAAAACAATGGCTACCAAGAGATGGAAGTGGTCCAGTCAAAGCAAAAGTGGACTATTCAAGAGCAAAGGTCATGGCAATAGATTTTTGGGGTTCTCAAGGAATTTCGCTTGTTGACTTTCCAGAAGGCTAAAGAGCAATGACATCTGCTATTATAAGAGTGTTTTGAGAAAGTTAGCCAAAGCATTAGCAGAAAAATACCTGGGAGAACTTTACCAGAAAGTCCTTTTTCACCATGACAATGCTCCTGCTAATTCTTCTCATCAAATGAGGGCAATTTTGCAAGAGTTTTGATGGGGAATCATTAGGCATCCATCTTACAGTTCTGATTTGGCTCCTTCTGACTTCTTTTGGTTTCCTCATCTTAAAAAAATCTCTAAAAGTCACGAATTTTCTTCAGGTAATAATGTAGAGAACGTGGCATTGACATGGTTAAGTTTCCAGGACTTAGGTCTGGGATGGATTCTTTAGGCATGGAGTAAGCAAAGACTTCGAAAAATGTCTTAACCTTGATGGAGATTATTAAGAAATAAAGTTTATATTTTTAAAATTTTTATCTTTTAATTCTATTCTCCCACAAAACTTTTTGAAGTCCTCTTGTATATGTGTTTAAGGCTATGCATTTCATTCTAAGAAAGGCTTTACTTACAGCCCACAAGTTTAGGATATAGTACTTTCATTATTCTTCAGTTAAAAATATTTTCCAGTTTCCATAGTAATTTATTCTTCAACTCACTGGTTATCAGGAAGTATTTTTTAAAATTATCTTTTTGTTATTGAATTGAATACCAACTTAATGCTACTCTGATTAGAGAACATAGTCTCTATCATTTCACTAATGTGACCTTTGTTGAGATTTGCTTTATGACCCAGCTTATGGTCAGTTTTGATAAATGTTACTATCTTTTTTATCTTGATGTATCATAGCGTAAAGCAAACAACACATAAATCTATACTTGTGTGGCTGATGTGTGAAGAGGTATTGTGAACAATGCTTACACATCTCAGTAACTCAACTGAGGCAGAACACAGAAGACATTCAAAAACAATGTATTTTTGCCTATACTTACTCGTAAATCTTGACAAGCCAGAATGTTGTCAAGCCATTTATATAGGTAGCCATCTGGGGAAAGGCCCACATTGTCAAAGACAGGGCCACAGCACAGTACTGCTGACATTGCCTGATGATAAAAACACAACAAGACATGGAAATGAAACTTGGAATGATCTAATGGTATCCAACTGACTTTATAAACCATAATTGTCAGAATTATAAATGATAAGGGCCCTCTAAAGACACTTATTTCCCCATGATTTTTAAAGCATTCTTTAGTAGCTTTAATAAAAAATACCAGATTCCAAATTTGGCTCTTTTCATAAGAATTAAAAACCCATAAGTTTACCTTTGTGGACATTTAATTTTATAATTATAACAACTCTTTATGATCAGAGTAAGTATTCAAAACCAAAAAACTATTTTGCAATATTTAAAATAAGCTTTCCTTCAATGTTTCAAGTGAATTCTGCTTATAAGATAAATATAGCTTTTCGAATTTTGCTTTTACGACAAATATTGGACTAACGTATTGAACTGAGACAGTATAAAATATATGAAAAGTATGAAAGTAAATAATTATAATCCTTAATCAAAGGTAAATAAAATGAAAAATAAAAACTTTAGTTCCTCTAAAGGGGTGGGTGGAGGGATAAATCAAGGGAAAGTAGGAGAAGAGGAGATCTTGAATAACTTTGCAATTGGCAGGTCCAACTGACTATCAGGGCCATAGTTTAAATTAGTTCCACCGAGGCAAAGGTAATCTGAGAGTCAGCAACTTATGTTCTGTATGACAGAGCTGATATACAGTTAGTTTTCTGAAGGAAATTAGGCTGTAAAGGAGTCATGCTTCTGAAGATTTTGAATAGTCCTAGTTGGGGGGAAATTTATTTCTGGCAGTCTTCTAGGATAGAAGGAGATTAAAAAGGGAATGTCGCTCTGGGTAGATTTTGAACCTGAGGTGATGTCTATTTTTTTCTTTTTTAGGTTGAAAGTTAATTGACAAGACAGCTATATAATGGGTAAATGAGCAAAAATATATGGTTCCCATACAGGAGAAATATGAGAAGAAAATGGGAGCTTAGAAAAGCTATGTACGTGTGTGTCCATGTGATTTTTTTGTATGTGCGCTTAGATTTTATTCTATGATATTGTATTATTTATTTTAAGCTTATTTTTAAGGCATGGTTATTAGTTTAACGAGAGAGACCATCCATCTGACTCAGTCATTCGTGAGTACAATATCACCTACTTTTAATGCACAATACTGATATCTTGTAATCTGATGATTTCTGTCACTGTAACGATCCAGAGGAGTGAACATAATGCTGAAGGGTCCTGCCCACTGGCTGAATAAGATGAAAAGGTGGTGCCTCAGACTTTGCTGGGGGAAGAGAAATCTTCGGTGGTGAACTAGGGAGAAAAACACACTTAGAGGTTATAAGACTGGACATACTGTATATCGCTATTATATATATTTCTTACATTTTGAGGAAAGGAACCACTTCATTTTTTAACTACAGTTTTCTTTAGGCAATGAAACATGCACTTAAAAAGTCAAGCCACATTTTCTTTTCTAAGTGTGCACTCTTCCTGTCCTCACGTTGCAGCCAGCAGCACCTTGACTCAGAGTGGGAAAGAAAGATCAAAAATAGGACCTGCAGAGATTTTTTTCTAATCAATACCTGGGAAAACTGCAACACTTCCCACTCAGCTGCTGCTTACATATTAAATGTTTTTTGACTGCTGCCCATCTTTAAGAGAACTCGGAAATAGCATAGACTGTCTATTTCAAACTCACATAGGTACTTCGCTTTAACTGAAGAGGTAAACTGAAATCTTAATTTAGGGTCGCTGAAGATGAGAAGGATTGGTAAAGAAGGTTATTAACATCAAAATAGCGAAAAGCGGAAATATTAGTTGATAAGGGGCTTTTTGTAATAATATCAAAAAATTTAATTAGAATAATTTTTTATAGCAAACTAACCAGATATTTTATTTTCTATGTTCTATTAGAATGAAGATGTTTCATACCCATTTGCTCTGTGAAAGATAATTTTCTCCATAATGTAATATTTAATCAAATGTAAAATATATTAAGCTTTATAGAATTACATTTAATGTGTTGGTAGGGTAGAGTCAGAGAGAAGAAATATTGCTGAAATTACCTGTTCACAGATTAGTACAGAGACAATGTGAAAAAAATGAAGCCTGTGTGAATGTTCCTTCTGAATTACTTCCTTCCTATGGAAATCACATCAGTTCATTTTCAGATGGAAACCAAAACAAAGAATAGAAATGACACACACAAAGCCAAATTTAATACTTATCATTCCCCTTCCAACTCTGTGCTGAGTAATGACAATCTGTTCTCATATATATGTCCTAGTATCTCGAAGTAAATAAACTTCACCATCCCAGACCTGCATAAAGGCCAGTAGGGTTAAAGACGAAAGCACCGTAATAAAGAACACGAATGGGCTTCCAAGCATGAATGGTAATTTCTTGTAACGGATCACCGTACCTGGAACACACTGAATCAAGTTGGCCACCATTGCACTAAAATGTGCCCGGATATCTTTAAGAATTTCAACTTCTTTGTCATTTTCAGCTTCTAGGAGCATGCGGGTCAAGTCCACATATTCTAAGAACAAAGCTCCCAGGGCTAAAGTATCCCGCTCTAGGGCTCCATTTGTGCTGGAATAAAGGAAAATGAAACTTTTAGATGATCAGTCTTTATGTCAAAGTAATACAGGCTTCATGAAAACTAAGATTCACTGTCACAACTCACACACTAAAGTTGTTCCTAACCTATATGCAGTGTAAAGAAAATATGAAAAAAGAAAAAGCGAGTTTTTGGATTTTTCTAAGTTAAGGGTATTATATTTAAAAACAAAGAAAAGACAAAAGAGAGAGACAGAAAGAAAACAAAAAGATCAGTCTGGTGAGAAGAGAGCAACTCGGTAGAATTCTGATCCTACCTGTCACTTATTACACCAGCATCAGCCAAAAGTTCAAAAATTCGAAGTAGTTGTAGCCTTAACAAGTCTCGCCGTTCTCGGCGTTTCTTGTTCTGTGTAGAAAGAGGTAGTATCACTTACAGACACAGGCAAAACAATATTAACTTTGTTTTAGAAAATGGTATTAACAAAAGGCATAATCTAGTCATTTTCAATTTTCTAAGCATAAAAGTCAGCATACATTTTTCTTTCTTCCTAATCCTCAGAGGAAATGCTTGCTATCTACAGGCTGTAAGAAAAAAAAACATCATAAGTGGGTCAGTAAATATTAGGTGGCAATGTTGAGAACCAACAAGCCTCATTTCCCAGATGCTCCCAGTGTCTGCTGAAAGGCAGAAGCATCTCAAACCAGTGAAAGGGGCAGGGGACATGAAATAATCCCAGTTCTGGTCATGGAAGTAACACTGTTTGTTCTTATTCACACTGCTGAATTTCTGTTATTTCTTTATTTTTACATTTTATTTATTTATTTTTGAGATAGGATTTCACCATGTCACCCAGGCTGGAGTGCAGTGGTGTGATCTTGGCTTACTATAACCTCGAACTCCTGGGCTCAAGTGATTCTTCTGCCTCAGCCTCTCGAGTAGCTGGGACTACAGGCGTGCACCACCACACCTGGCTACTCTAGTAGCTGGGACTACAGGCATGCACCACCACACCCGGCTAATTTAAAACATTTTTGTAGACCTAGGTCTTGCTATGTGCCCAGCCTGGTCTCAAACTCTTAGCCTCAAGTAATCCTTCTACATTGGCCTCCCAAAGTGCTGGGATTACAGGCATGAGCTACTGCACCTGACCTAATTTCTGCTATTTCTTGTATCATTGCTACTATATGAGAAGCCTCCTTTTCTAGGTTTTTTTTTTTTTTTTTTTTTTGGAGACAGAGTCTTGCTCTGTCACCCAGGCTGGAGTGCAGTGGCGTGATCTCGGCTCACTGCAACCTCCACCTCCCAGGTTCAAGTGATTCTCCAGCCTCAGCCTCCAGAGTAGCTGGGACTACAGGCGCGTGCCACCACGCCCAGCTAATTTTTGTGTTTTTAGTAGAGATGGGGTTTCACCATATTGGCCAGGATGGTCTCGATCTCTTGACTTCTTGATCTGCCCGCTTTGGCCTCCCAAAATGCTGGGATTACAGGCGTGCGCCATCGCGCCTGGCCCTTTTCTAGTCTTATTATTATTTTTATCCTGGTACATTATAAGTTCATCCTTTTCAGAATTCACTTCAGGGAAGGTGATGCTAGGGAAAATGCCTCGTATGCCAGATGAAACAAATTACATTCTTGGCCATTCAACTCCTTGTGAAAAAACAAGCAAACACACAAAAACCCAAAATTCAATTTTAACTCAAACCTCCTGCAAAAGAATGTAATAGTTGACAAACATGAGTATTTTAAGTTGTTTTGCATTTGTATGTTTAGGACATAAAATCTATAGAACCATTTTATACTAAATAATGAAAACTGAAAAATAATAAAAACAACAAAAGTTAAAATATAAAGATTCATTTGTTAAAAGGTGTTAGGGGTTTGTATTCTTTAGGGGAAATCACTAGGTTTGATTTAAATTCAGATGATTGTCCAAAAAACCAAGCCTTAATTTTTTAAATTCAAATTCTTACCTCTGGTCTTCTTTCCAGAGCTTCTTTCATTAATGGATGAAGTTCTTCTACCAATTCTCTGTGGAGGAAAAAGGTCAAATTTGAAATTCATTGTTTTTGACACCAAACTTGTCACTAAATACTCTATATCCATTTAATCCCAAATCACTTGCTTTTTACACTTTGCTTCTGACATCACAATCTCCCTGATCTCTCCATTTCCCAATCACGTGCTAAGCTGGAAACAGGTATTGGCCTATACTTTGTATTACTGGTCTTAATTCCAGTGCTATGCATATAATTCTGGCTTAAAATCTATTTGTTGACTTGATTTTGATTTAATGTTCTGGAGATCTCTATGGCAAAAAACAAACAAACAAACAAAAAAACAAAACCCTATGTGAACAATTAAACAAACAATATTTTCCAAGTATTTGCTAAATTCAAGCACTTTACTGCAAGCTATGGAGCTCAAGATAAATAAAATTGAGCCCCTGTACACAAGAAATTTTCAGTCTAATTAGTGGAAAAGAGATGGGTGCAATTACCACAGTGCTGCATTTGGGATCTGTGCTCCGCAAACTGACTTACAGTTGACTTTAAAACAAAGCCTTTTTTGGATTTCAGAACTAAATTCCTTTATTTCCACTATATAATAAATAAAAAATTCTGTATGGCAAGTACTAAAATTGTGAGATTCCCATCAAAACCTTTTCTTTTATGTAGTAAAAATGTAAGTCTTGATCACAGTATATATCTTTGTTCTGATTATCTCCAGTTCTCAACATTACACTTTCTAATCTAATTAGTTCTCTTCTTCAAGAAATAACTTCTGAATTGCTAGGTCAAAAAACAGACAAAAAGATAAGATGTAGCTTGTTGTCAGACTAGTATGTAGGTATTTTGTCTGTAGTATGCCCAAGTTTGAAAACCTTGTACTTTCTGGTAGGATATTTTGTTCTATTAAACATCACTAGCCAGGAAAATCCAAAGACAGGAAGATAAACTCTATGACATTCCATATCGAGAGACAGAAAGCCTGGGTTCTATTCCTGATTTCTCCAATGCAGACATTAGAATTTCTTCATCGAAGAAATGGGAATAACATCGATAATTTCCTCCACTTTACAGCTACCATTTAACAAATATTTACATTGTGAATATTTACATTTAATATGCCTTCTCAATAAATTTATGAGATGGATTCTCTATACTAACATTTAAAAAATTAGACAGATACACTTATATATTTTTATTTATTATGCCAATTTTACAGTTGAGAAAACTGAGGCCCAGAGACATTAAGTTTTCTAGACTCATGAGGCTAGTTGGTTGCATAATCTTACCTGCCTCCAGAAGTATTTAGAGGTCTATATATGCAAAACAATCTTAGATTCTTCAGGTAAGAATGTTGGGTAATTTCAGGGATTGTTATTGTTATCTCCTTGTATTTCTTTCCTTTTTTTTTTTTTTTTTTTTTGGTGACGGAGTATCACTCAGTTGCCCAGGCTGGAGTGCACTGCAACCTCTGCCTCCCGGGTTCAAGCTATTCTCCTGCCTCAGCCTCCCGAGTAGCTGGGACTACAGGTGCACACCATCACGCCTGGCTAATTTTTGTACTTTAATAGAGACGGGATTTCACCATGTTGCCCAGGCTGGTCTTAAACTCCTGACCTCAGGTGATCCACCCACCTCAGCCTCCCAAAGTGCTGGGATTACAAGCATGAGCCACTGCACCCGTCCATCTCCTTGTATTTCTATATGATATTTTGTCTTAATTAATTAACCAATAACTAGTAAAACTCTGGTTAACTGGTAACCTACGCAGTCAGAACCCACAATTACTTCTTTTAAGAATAAAATCTGGGCTGGGCGTGGTGGCTCACGCCTGTAATCCTAGCACTTTGGGAGGCCGGGGTGGGCAGATCACGAGGTCAGGAGTTCGAGACCATCCTGGCCAATATGGTGAAACCCTGTCTCTACTAAAAATACAAAATATTAGCCAGGAGTGGTGGTGCGTGCCTGTAATCCCAGCTACTCAGGAGGCTGAGGCAGGAGAATTGCTTGAACCTGGAAGGCGGAGGTTGCAGTGAGCCAAGATCACGCCACTGAACTCCAGCTTGGGTGACAGAGCGAGACTCCATCTCAAAAAAATAAACAAACAAAAGAATAAAATCTGACTCTAACCATAAGTAACTTAGATCTTTTTCAATAGCCTCTAAAACATCTTATTAATCTTTATTTTTCAAGTAGGGTTTCTCATAAATGCTTGGAGGTTTCTCATTTCTATCTACATGGAAAATTTTGTTTGCGATTTTATTTGTCTTTATAGGGTTTTGTTGCTTATCTAAAGTCATCAGAGGCAAACCAAACTAACATTTTACAATGTTTCTTTCAAAGGCTTTGACAGTACTTCAGATGGAATGATTATTTGATTGCAAATGTGAATAAATAAGGAATCCAGAAAGCAGGTATATGGTTACATTAAGGCAAAGAAAGTGCCCTATAGAAAGATCAATGAAGCCGGGCATGGTGGCTCACGCCTGTAATCCCAGCACTTTGGGGGGCTGAGGCGGGTGGATCACTTGAGGTCAGAAGTTCGAGAACAGCCTTGTCAACATGGTGAAACCCCGTCTCTACTATAAATACAAACATTAGCTGGATGTGGTGGCGCGGGTCTGTAGCCCCAGCTACTCAGGAGGCTGAGGCAGGAGAATCGCTTGAATCCAGGAGGCAGAGGTTGCAGTGAGCTGAGATTGCGCCACTGCACTCCAGCCTGCGTGACAGAGCGAGACTCCGTCTCAAGAAAAAAAAAAAGAAAAAAAAATAGAAAGATCAACCAATGGAACTGAACACATTGGAAAGGGTTTTATCAATGCTTAACCTTTGAGAATCTGTTGGGTAAATGGCTGATGAGCAGACTGTTATTATTTTGATGTGATAACCTCTGAACAGTCTGGCCAACTGGGATTGATACTGAACTATCTTCATTTTTAGTTGTCTAAAACAAAGCTTGCCAGTGAAATAAAATCTGAGAGGTAAAATCAAAGTTGCAATGACTAAAAGTGACAGGAGAGGCAGTTGCAAGGAATGCTTGTTACATGCACATCAACCAAGACGATGTAGTGGGAAGTCACACAAAGCCTATAAACTCTCTGGGCACACGCCAACACACAGACTCAAATCTGAGTTAATAAAGGAACTACAATAGCAGCAGCATGTATGAATTTAGAACAACTCATTAAGACTACTGTACCTGAAAACAAGGGAATTTGTTCTTCCAAATCCTAAAACTAAGGACTCTGTGATCTCAATGCTCTCTAGTCTCATCAAAGGCACCAACTGCTTTAACAGAACTCCCACCGATGGGGTGCCTATGGCCTGAAATAAGTTGAATACAAGTGAAAAAGAGGTAACATGGTAACTGATGGTTCCTTTAATCAAAGGATGATCCCATTATAACAGTTTCAAAGTACTGAACCATATCCCAAGGCACTGCCATCATTTCAGGAAACACACACACACACACACACACACACACACACACACACAAATTTAATACAGCAAAATGAATGCAATTCTCACCTGGAACACAAATTCTAAAGAAATTTTTTTTATAACGGTCTTCTTTTTAAAACCATTTAAGTCTATAAAGCTATCTTTAACAAGATAATTTATTTAATCAAGGCATGATTTAAAGGTGAATACTCAGTGAGGAGTGAAAGAAATGTAGTGTGGTGTTGTAGGACACAAACCAAACCTCAGGGCACGAATAAATACAAGTCACTCTATGGTCTTAAGCAGGTTTCTCAACTTTTCTTTATCTTTGGTTCCCTGCTTGTCAGGGAGGAGTAATAAATTATTCATATAAACACTCAATGGAATTTAGAAATGTGTAGGATGAAAATCTGATCCCATAATACTCCAGATGGCAGGCACAGTGCAATTTGCACTGTGAACTCTAGACAAACAAGCTAAAAAAAAACCTTACAGAATAATTCTTCTGAAGCATGTCATGTCACCTTGTTATCGTAGCTCACTGTACCATCAGGTGTGGTCGCCATTATTTCTGGAGTGGAAGCTCTTAAGTGTCCTGGGCTCATAATACTGGGTTTTGCAACTCCAAAACAAAGAATTAGGTAATTTCTCCACAAAGTAACATAGTTGTCTCCGCTGCCGGCAGTGCTGGTTTTCTTGGCATTAATTGGGCTACTAGAAATATGGAGTCGAAAACAAGAGTGAAACTAAGTTCTGGATTTTAAATATCACTTATTAAATAAAGATCATAGGAAGTACTCAAATAGAGTTGAACAACTGTCGATTAAGAATGTTATTCAAAGAGTATCTGCATTGGATGAAAAGTCAAACAGAAGAACTTTAAAGTATCTTTTACCATTAAAAGTCTGAAATTATAGACTTAGACAATCATACTGATTATTAAGGCAAAAAACCACTAGCTTTAGACAAAATTTTTTTAATGTTTTTACTCAATGTTAAGAATTCTCTAGTAGGAAGTTCAGAAATTGGGATGATAACATCCCAATCTCTTACACAAAATGAAAATTTAAGAGGGCAAATGGAAAAACAAGAGGGCAGAGGAAAACACAAGAATCCCTTACTTTGGGTCCACCAGAGGCATCACCGACTGGAGCCGAGTGAAGGCATAAGGCCAGGCATAGCTGAGGGCTGTGGGGCAGTGCTTGGGTAAGTTCTCCTGCCGGAGGAAGCTGAAGAGGCAGAGGACCCAGGGGTCTTTGACAGACTGTGCAAATATCCAGACATGGGAAGGGCTTTTCACATCATAATGGCTATTGACCAGGACTGCGTTCCATTCCACCAACCACTGCAGATCCACATTGTGGGTGAGTGGTAATGTTGCCTGTAGGTATAAGAGGTAGGTTGTAAGTTAAACCCGAACTGAAGTTATCCATCCTCATCAAGGCTCAGCCTGACTACTCATTCTTGCACAGTGCTTTTGCTGAGTGCACTGGGCTGGCTTTGAATCTGAAACACCAATCCTGCACCTACCACATTTGACCTTGGTGTGTGGTCATCAGTCTTCCTATGCTAGATGATAAGCAGCTTAAGTGCAAAATTTAAGAACCTGGGTCACATTTTGACAGGTTTATTGCCACAGAGCACTGTGCATCAATACACAGAAACTGTTCACTAATTATTTGTTGAATGAATATATGACAGTAAATTTAAACTGAAACATGGATTCAGTATTTTAAAATTCTGAAAAGTTATTCATCTCTGAGATTCACAAATGTGTTTTTATCATTGTAATTAACACGTTCTTAAAGCTATGATCTTCTCTATCTTTCCTTACACTGAAATATCTTCCCTTTGATTTAGAGAGATGGCTAAGCACAATCCCTTTTATGAAGGACATTCTACTGACAGTTTTTGAGATAAGATATCTACGTATTCTTATTTATTTATTTATTTATTTATTTATCGAGACAGAGTCTTGCTCTGTCACACAGACTGGAGTGCAGTGGTGTGATCTTGGCTCACTGCCACCTCCGCCTCCCAGGTTCAAGCGATTCTTGTACCTCAGCCTCCCCAGTAGCTGGGATTACAGGCAATCGCCACCACACCTCGCTAATTTTTGTATTATTTTTTAGAAGAAACAGGGTTTCACCATGTTGGTCAGGCTGGTCTCGAATTCCTGAACTCTAAATGATCTGCCTTCTTTGGCCTCCCAAAGTGCTGGGATTATAGTCGTGAACCACCACACCTGGCCAAGATACCCACATATTCTTGCCCTATGATAGCAAGCAAAAATAAAAATCTCTTGAAATCTCTTGAAAGATAAATATCTATATTAGTAAGTTCTTATATTCCATTTTGTTCTCTTTTAAGTCTAGATACCAAAGTTCAGGGGACATCAATTTTCAAATAATCTAGCTATTGTGCCAAGAGAGGACACTGCCTTTATGTTTGTTAGGCATGTAAAATGATGAATTAACTGTTGGGTTTATGAGTTCCCATGGGTAAGAGTGTTATAATTGTGGCCTCAATGGTCAATAGGCTGTAAGGGGCAGAGCTGGAGCTACAGAGCCTGAGAGATGAGATGGCAACATAGGCTCTGCCCAAAGCCTGTGACCTGAGAAAAGTACTGAACATCCCAGAATCTCTGTGTATTGAATTTATGACTTGGGAATTATAATGCTGATCTCACCAAATCTTTCAGTGAATTACATGAAGTAACAGCTGTAAAAACACCTGGCACAAAGCAGTCACTGCTTCTCCCATTACTCTCTCCCCGTTTCTGTATATCTTCCTAACTGCAGTATTGCTGAGCTGGTTACCCAGGTTAAGATTTTGATTTTGGTACACACAGAACAAAAGCACATGAACAAAATATAAAGTGTTATCTGTAGGCAAGTAGGATACGTACATTAAACAAAGCTTAGTATTCCATTCCATGTCAGAACAATTTGAAATTCTAAAAGAAGTAGGACTATTTCACTATTACTGTTAAGGTCTGCAGTACCTGGCTTATAGTTTTAGTGTATTATTATTATGATCATAAGCAAGAACAGGGCCACTAAAAATAGGAATCTGTTTTCAATCAAGTTAGAAAAGGCCATGAAGAGCTCTGAAATGTCTTCAGGTTTTGTATACATTTATAATTATCTGACAAGTATCTGCACATCAGGCATCAGCAACATCAGTAACATGGATTCTGCAAGGAGTCTCAGCTCTGCCCTGCCTCCCTTCAGCTATTTAGCCCAAATTAATCCAGGTCCTGTTATTATACTTTTATTTTTTAAAAGTCAGATAACTAAAATCAGTTTAAATTTCCCTTCTACACTTGTTCAGGAAATTGAAAGTTGCCAATGTGCTTTTAAAAAGGAAGAATGTATTTGTGTAGCAGATAAAGCTCTCCTAGGTTCAGAGTCCAAACCTGGGGAGGAGAGTTCGAGAGCCCAGACTTGACCCTGGGCTTTAAAACTCTCCTTTTGTGTGACTGTGGACTTACCCCTTAACATTTTTGAGTTTCAGTAACTGTGAGAATCAAATCGAATAATAAATGTGAAAGCACTCTGTAAACTATAAAGTACCACATAAATAGAAGTTACATATTAAGTACAATATTAAGTGTTACATATAGTATTAAGTGATAAGTACAATGAAAAAGGCAAAGTAATTTTCCTTAAGAATCCTGAGCAATTCTTAAAACTGTTGTTTAAAAATATTATCTATATTCCTAAGATCCAGATTTTGTGTGAAATTTATCTGAATGTCTCTTAAATTAACATCTGAAAAACTAGTCTTATCTTCATAAGTACCTTTGGGTCAGTTTATTAATCTGACATAAACACCCAAATTATTCCACATAATTTTTCACTGACTATTTTAGATAGGTCCAGAGCTTTTAAGAGCCATTAATTGGAATCAAATGTGTACTTACTGAATCCGAAACTGCTACATGAATAAAACTTTCTAGAATGGAAGAACTTAGCTGATCCATGACATCAATCATCGGCCTGTCGTCATCCTGTACAAAGGGGAGGCGATTACTCTCTATGGGAAAATGAATCCTCCCCACCCACCCCACCGCCTTCGTCTGATACATGAAGCAGAACAGCTTGTGAGATAGTGATAAGGGTTTTCTCACAGAAAAGTGAGTGCCCAGAGGGTGGAAGGCAGTGAGTAAAACTCCTGTGTTTCTGAGCTTCATCTTTCAAGTTTTAGTGGAAGATAATTAGAGCTCCAATTTCACATTGTACTGAAAAGACATATACCTGAATTTCAGACTCATACATGTACATGAGAATCTACCAGTGCCATACATTATTCACTACAGTGTTCATGTTATTAATTTCGAGGAGTAGAAATTCTGCAAGAATATGCTTTGTTAGACTGCTAACTAAAATGCTACTTATTTTAAGTCATTGATCTGTTAAAATAACTGATAAATTGTTTACTGTGACTGAATTTTAGTCCCAAAGAAACTAGACTGACCACACACTCTTTGTAGTATCTACATAGTATGTAACTATTTGATACAAGATGCAAATTGGAAAGGGCACGAGAGAGTATCTTAGTGAAAATTCTATGTGAATAATACATAAATGAATGGATTCATTTATATATCATAAATTTATAAATTAATTCATCCATTCATTTATATATTATGAACAAAATATATGTAATGAATGTATAAATGAATATTCATTTATTTATATATTATATATTCATTCACCATCCCTTATGGAGAAATTGGAAAATATAAAATTATTTACTCAAAAGCCTTATAGAAAAGCCTTGGGATGTCTCTATTTCTGTGTGAATGACAGTGGTTTAAAAAAAATTATGGCTGGTCAAAGAAAGCAACATATGAGGAACATCTTTGATGCAGTCTAGTGGATTAGCACTTAAGAAGTGGGGCGTTAGAGGCATGTGTATATATCTGTTGTTGAATTTTGGCTCTGTTACATTCTAGCTGTTGATTTTGCAGGAGGCAGTTAACCTCTCTAAGCCTCAGTCTCAGTATCTGTACAATGGGATAATAACCAAACCAATCCTTAGGTTATTATGAGGGTCAAATGAGATATTATTTATAAAGCACTTAGCACACTACCTGACACATACATGGTAATTATTATTATCATTACTTTCATAATTACAAACTTGATGAAGGTTTGCTAAAATATAATATGTCTTAGAGATTCATTTACCAGATGCCAGAGATGTGGCCCTGAAATACATCAGAAAGCTATCTGAAGAAATATGAACAGAAAAGACTGTGAAGTTGAAAATATTTTATAAAGACAGTGACTATGTCAAGTGTTACAAAACCAAAGTAGTTATTTTTAAAAGAAGAAAACAGAAAGTGGTAATTTTCTAAAGAAATATATGACATGAAAAGCTGGTCCCTCTTTCATCAAATTATGCATTTGGTTTGGCCACCCATGCCAGCTTGCAAGATAGCAATAAGTGTTTTCTCTGAACAAGGTGTATGGCATTTAGCCAAATGTGGGGTGTTAGCAGGCATTGATCATGCTTAATAACTGGCTTCCTTCTCCCATTTCAAGAGGACGTGTTTTTTGTGATGCCATTTTCTACCATCATCAAGATTAAACATCTTTCAATTTGCCAAACTCTTTGGTACCTTGATCATTTCAAATGAGATATATGATTTTTCAAGTTTATTCTCTAATATAAAGTAATAATATCTTCTTAATTAGATATGTGCTGAACACTGTGAAGGAAATGATTCATAGCCTAAATTAATCTTAAAATTCTTCACTTCTTAGCAAAGTAATGTCCCTGGAGAACTGGGATTTGTCTTTTCTATTGCTTTTAGAAAATATGACTTACATCTAGTAGATCAAGAATGTTATTACAATAGTTTAAAACCTAACAATGAATGAAACACTACATGTAACATAAAAGTACCTGAAATAGTAATGCATCATTTGTAGTTTTTAATCTAAATTTCAGAAGAGTTGAAAGTAAGAAATGGAAAAATTCAGAAGACTAATCCATACCTCAGGCTGCCCCAGGGCAATAAACAACGCTCGAATTTCCTTGAGTATTAAAACGGACAGTTTGCGTGTGGCCACCTGGAAACTGCAGAGTAAAACCAGAGCAAAACCTTCTACAGCGTGGAGTACACTGCAGTGGGGACCTCGTTCCGACTGAATTCTGTGACTGGAGCCATTTGCGATGAGCTGTTATGCAATAAGAACAACATTCTGTATTCAGCGAAATAACAAAGGAAGAAGAATACACTCATGTTTTACATATTTTTTGCACATTTGACCTTGTAAATATTAAAATAAATGACCATGGTTTAGAACCAGACATGTCTATGAATTTATTATTATTCATGAAATATCCTAGATCCCCTTCTGTCTTTCAGATCAATTGCTGCTGCGGAATACCATCAACCATCTGTTACTTCTGATGAAAAATAACTCTTCAAAGGCTATTAATGTTGATAAAAACACAACTCCTTTCATGTATACCACTTGGTATTACACTGTATATACAATCAAAGTGGCCAAAGTTGTTATTTAAATTCTCCATAGACTTTTGGATACTATTGAATCGAATTTTCAAACATTTACTTTCTATTTCTCCTTGCTTACTTGTTTGTTAGATTCTAATCTAGGTTTTGCACAGCTCTGTGATGGATTCTGAAAGTTCCCAATCCCCAACCAAGTGAATCTAAAGTAAAAGCAAGCCAGTCAACAGGGAAGTTTCCACCTTCATTTTTGTTTTCCCCTTACAAGCATATATAACCCTTGCTTTTCTACCTATCGTGTTGGCATGTCTACAACACAGGGAAGGGAGAAGGAGCTGAATGTCATCTCTGGGGTTAGCCTCTAAGGAATCCCAGCTGTTCCCCAGATGCTACTATACTGCCATGAGCCTCCACAGTCTTTAGACTCTCAGTTACACTCTTCTCCAGCCAGACCCCTTTCTCCATCTGCTCATTGCCAATGCCAAGTTCCCACCACCCTGGTTCTCCTCTGACAACACTCCTCCTCAATGCGCTCTGCAAAATGTTATCACTACCTTAACCATTTAGGACTGAGACATGAAAGGATAAAGAAACCACAAGACTGCACTGTCCTCTCCGTGGATATTGAACAAAGCAGCCCATATGTTTCTGGCTAAAAATAACTAGTGGACAGCTGACTTTTATATACCTATATCCACATCCATATCCATATCAATATGTACATCCATATCTACATCCACACCTGCACCTAAACCCACATCCACATCAATATTCACATCCATATCCACATCTACATCCACATCAATATCCACATCTACATCCACAACCCTATCCACATCCCTATCACATCCACATTTACATCCAAATCCATATCTACATCCACACCCACACCCACATCCACGTCCACATCAATATCCACATCCACATCTATATCCACATCTACATCCACATCCATCACATCCATTTATATCCACATCCATATCCTATCTACATCCACACCCACACCTACATCCACATCCATATCCACATCTACATCCTTATCTATATCCACATCCATATCACATCCACATGTATATCCACATCCACATCCTATCTACATCCACATCCACACCCATATCCACATCCACATCTACATCTGCATCTACATCCACACCTACATCCACATCCACACCCACATCCAGCTCTAAGTCCCTGGCCTGTAGTCATTTGTTCTTACAAATAGATTTGCAATCATACTTCTCTGAAAAAACCAATTTCTATTCCCTAAATAGCCTTGTGAATGTTCACAAGTCTAACCTGATGTGGAATATCATGCTCTGAGTTTCTTGGTCACAATTTATGCCAGTGGAAGAACTAAGGCCCACCACCAGGGAGGAAGTTCTTAGGTGGCTGGAAGTAAGAATTCTAAAGGTTCTAGACTGCCACTCATTCACATATATGAATAAAAGAATATAAATTCAGCCGGGCATGGTGGCTCACACCTGTAATCCCACTACTCTGGGAGGCTGAGACGGGAGGATCACTTGAGGTTGGGAGTTCGAGACCAGCCTGGCCAAGACGGCAAAACCCCAATCTCTGCTAAAACTACAAAAATTAGCCAGGTGTGATGTTGTGCACCTGTAATCCCAGCTACTCGGGAGGCTGAGGCATGAAAATCACTTGAACCAGGAGGTGGAGGTTGCAGTGAGTCAAGATCGCGCCACTGCACTCCAGCCTGGGCAACAGAGTAAGACTGTCTCAAAAAAAAAAAAAAAAAAAAAAAAAAAGAATATAAATTCATGGGTAAGGTGTGAAAATCACCTCTGAATTTCTGATTTTGTTGGCTTGTTCATAGACTTTTCCTTGTGTCTGGATGACTAGTTTCCACTGGGTGAGCAGCTGCAGCAGCAACTTCAGGGACGAATCAAGGAGTGTGTGATGCATATCATTTACTTCCCGGAGCAGGAAGTTGGTAAAGCCAAATAGTACATCTTCCCTCCAATCTGAGAAGTCAACAAGTAAACCCTGAAGAGAATTTTGTGCAATATGTCGCAATTCATCATCCATATGAATAGAGAGCCTGTGAAACGAATAAAGGAAAATAAAATCATTTACTTTATTAACTGGTCTTCTAGAGCTAACAAGGATTAATAGATATTAATGTATATCTCTTCTACTTGAGTCTGAAAATGGGTCTCCCTTATTTTTTGCTTAGTAAATGACTTACATAAATACCTTTAAAAAACTTCTAATTTGGCCAGGCATGGTGGCTCACGCCTGTAATCCCAGCACTTTGGGAGGCTGAGGCAGGTGGATTGCCCGAGTTCAGGAGTTCGAGGACAGCTTGGCTAACACGGTGAAACCCCGTCTCTACTAAAAATACAAAAATTAGCCAGGTGTGGTGGCACATGCCTGTAGTCCCAGGTACTTGGGAGGCTGAGGTAGGAGAATGGCATGAACCTGGGAGGCTGAGGTTGCAGTGAGCCAAGATCGTGCCACTGCACTCTAGCCTGGGCAACAGAGTTAAACTCCATCTCAGAAAAACAAAACAAAACAAAACAAAACAAACTTCTAATTTTAGAATTACTGAAGTGCTGCAAAGATAATACAGAGTTTTCCGATATAGCGTTCTTCGGGCCTCCCCTAATGTTAACATCTTATATAACTACGGTACACTGATCAAAACTAAGAACTTAATATTGAGATGAAGCTATTAACTACTTTACTCAGATTTCACCGGTTTTCCAATGATGTCCTTTTTCTGTTTCAGAATGCAATCCAAGATACCACACTGCATTTAGCTGTACTGTATATGAACACTTTTTAATACATCACTGGCTACAGAATAATAAATTAGTATCGAATCCTATTCTTAAGGATGAGGAACCTGAGTACTGGAGAAGCTAAAGGACTCATCCAGAAGCTCAGTATAAATGAACAATCAGAGTCAGGCCTGTGGTCCTAAATCGGTTTTGCTCCTTGGGATATCTGGCAATGTCTGGACACATTTCTGGCTGTGCACCTTGGGGTGTGGTACAGGCATTTCTCTAGTGGGTAGAAGCTAGGGATGCTGCTCAACACCCCAGAATCCTAAGACACCCTACAGGACAGGTCCCTGTGACAAAGAATTTTCTGGCCCAAAATGTCAATAGTGCCAAGGTTGAGACATTTTGAGTAAGTTAACAGAATTCTAGTGTATCTGTGGTTTAATCTAGAACAACACAATAATATTAAATCTTGACATTGGTAGGATGGATTACTGCTAACATACTGCTTTACATATTCATTCATTTATTTAATAAGCAAAGGCTTTTAAGAGAGACCCTCCTAAGATTCAGTCATCACATGCCCTATGTACAGCACTTAGGATATGGAGTTCGGTGTGGCTGTGTCTATTGGGTGAGGTGCCTGCAAGAGTGAGGTGTGAGACAGTGCTGGAGAGGAAGCAGAGGCAGCTCAACTGAAGGGTCTTTGGGCCACTCAGGGAGACAACACAGCAGGGAAGGGATTCAGAGTGTGTACTCTGGAGTCAGAATGCCTGGATCAGGGTCTTGCCTCTGTCACTTATTAGCTACGTGACTTCAGGCTAGTCACTTAATCTCTAAGCCTCAGATTGGTAAAATGGGGATACTAACTGTAACTGCATTCCATAAACCTGTCGTGAGGGTCACTGAATGATCCATGTGCAATATTTAGCACTTCACAGAGCACAGAGTAAGCACTCAGTAACGTTAGCTATTATTAGAAGAAAATGAATTGTATCCTGAAAGTTATAGGGAAAGAAACATGATTAGATTCACGCTTGAGAAAAGAGAGTCAGGCAGGAATAGGGAGAATGTCTTGGAGAAGAAACAAGGCACAGACCATCTAAGAGGTCACTGCAATGACTTAAGCAACAAGTGGTGAGGGCCTGACCCAAAGCATAGAAGTGTGGTGGGGCAAGGGCAGACAGAGGCCAAAGATATTTAGAACTCAGTAGCCTGGAGGTGTTCAGTGGCGGAACATGGCAGAGTCAATGGGGGCTCCCATACCCAGGACAGATATTATCACCAACAAATACAAGACAACATTGTCGCCCAGAGTGGTTAAGGAATTTGCTCAAAGTTAACAAAGGGAAGAGCCAGGAATTCAATTTAGGACTTCTAATCTTTAATCCAAAATACTTCTCACAAAACAAGCCTGACACAAGTCACCCCAGTTATCACTCTCAGATAGTATTTCAAAAGTTTGATAAGATAAGCAAACTCTTGTCTTATTTTATAAAGCATAAAGTACACCAATTGGTCCAGTTTGACAATATAAATCAGGTAAAAAGCTCTTTAGTTCACAGATTTACACTGAGCCAGGGAATATATTTACTGTCTCAAAAGCATGTAAAGTTCTACACAGACACTGAGAAGGAAGATCTAAGCTAATTTTTCAGGGACGTCTTATACAATTAAATCTACAGTTCTTCAGTAGTTGCTGAAAGAAGAATGAGAAGGCTTTAACCTGGGCTTCCAATCTAGAATTGTCTAAAACAGAAGTTTTCAAACTTTCTTTATATTTCATTCAGCAGCATATCTATCTTTTTTTCCAACAAAAGTTTATATAGAGCTCTGTGGTGGTGAATTTTATGTGTCAACTTGGCTGGGCCTCAGTGCCCAGATATTTGACTGACATTATTCTGGATGTTTGTGGATGAGATTAACATTTAAATCAGTGGACTTTGAGGAAAGCAGTTTTCCCTCCCTCATGTGGGTGGGCCTCATTTGACCAGCTGCAGGACTGACTAGAACAAAAGATTGGACTCCCCTGAGCAAGAGAGAATTCAACAGCCTTTAGACTTCATCTGCAACACTGGTTCTTCCTGGTTCTACAGCAGACTGTGTTTGGATTCAAACTGGAAACTTGGCTCTTCTGAATCTCTAGCATGCCGGCCTTCAGACAAGAATGGCAGCACTGGCTCTCCTGCATCTCCAGCTTGCTGGCCCCCCATGAAGGTTTTGGACCTGCCAGTCTCCATAACTACATGAGCCAATTCCTTACAATAAATCTCTTTCTCTCTATATACATCTTATTGTTTCTGTTTCTCTCTGGAGAACTCTAATACAAACTGCAATATATAGATACATAAAGCCTGAGCCACTCTGGTTAAAGCTGGGGTAAAAGGCCTGAAGCCCACCCATCTGGGGAGAAAACACTCCTTCACTCGCCAAGCAGCTGAGTCATCTCTGCAGTCCATGGTTTGAAAACACTAGTTTATGAAAAGCACTTGAAGTCATTTCCCCATCTTATGTTTATTATTCTAATTTACTATATTTATACCTGTCTATGGACCTGAAGGTCTTAGAAAATAAGCTTCCACAGATAACAAGCCACCGTTTTTAGGACAGGTAATAGTTTAGTAACCAGGAATTGCAGACACTACATAAATGTTAACTGATAGTAATGACAGTGTTCATAATTTTGTGTCTCCCACAAAATTCATATGTTTAAGTCCTAACTCCCAGTACCTCAGAATGTGACCTTATTTGGAAATGAGGTCATTGCAGATGTAATTAGCTAAATTAAGGAGAGGTTGTGGGCCCCTAATCCAATATGACTGGTGTCCTTATAAGAAGGGCACTTTTGTAGACAGACAACACACGTGGATAATGCCATATGAAGATAAAGGCAGACATCAGGGTGATGCTTCTACAAGCCAAGGGATGCCAGAGTGCCAGCAAACTACCAGAAGCCATGTGAGAGGCTTGGAGCAGATTCTCTCTCATAGTCTTGAGCAGGACACAACCCTGCTGACACCTTGATCTTGGACCTCTAGCCTCCAGAAGTGTGAGAGAATAAATTTTTGGTGTTTAGGCCACTCATTTTGTGACACTTTGTTACAGCAGCCCTAGCAAACCAATATAATCATGAAACCAGACAAGCACCAAGGACGAAAGCCATGTCATGGTCTATTTTCATGAAGCCTTTAAGTAAGGGCCAATACTTTCAGCTTTCCAAATGAGATTGATTCTACTCGTCATCTAACTTTGCTCTCACGCACAATTTGCAATCTAGAATCTGTTTTAACTTCAAACCCACAATGCAGGATCATTTTCAGGACTCTTGGAGCCCCAGGGCAGTGTAGTCCTTGCTATTCTTGGTGGCCATGTCTCTTAAAATGACAGTGTTTACATGCTCTACCACTGAAAGGCTCAAAAATATTCCTGGAGGAAGAAGACCAGGGAGGGGAAAGGGCTTCTGGGATAGAAGGCTCAGCTGGTTATAAAAGTGGAATGTTTGTAGAAGAAAAAGGCCCAGCTGCCACAGAACTGAGACTGAATGGAAATCACCTATCAAGACGAGTCTGTGGGTAGTAGGTGAGGGGTAAGGGGAAGAAGCTGTGAAGAGGACAAAGCTCCCTCCCTGTGTCTGTCCCTCGAAGCATATAAGCAGAGGGCTGCCTGTCAGATACAGTTGCCATCTCTTCCACTCAGTTCTTCCTCATTTTTACTTTTGTTAGATTTTGACCAGATAATCAAGATCTTGTGAAACACATGGGATTTTACATTATAAAGCGGGAAAAAAATAGCTATCTAAAAGGGAAAGGAAGCCTTGGAGTTAAATGAGAAAGATGTCCAGCCATTCTGACTACTCAGGAAAGTAGCGTAGAGCTGGCCTACAGATTTACAAATCCTATTAGATCTCCTTCTCTAGCAAGGATGAGGGTGGGGGACAGCAGTTCCCCCAGCTGGGCCATCTTCATAGAGAAACTAGACCAGGAAAGAAAGAACAGGTCTCAGCTGCAAATTAAACAGACGCAGTTATAATTTTAAAAACTGTCCTTTGAGAGAGTTTGGTGGCAACAATTAAGAGGGAACAGAAAGACTTTAAGAGAAAGCAACTTGAGAAGATGTCTGGCTAGCTTGGGGAACTAAGGCTAAATTTCTGAAAAGCTGATTTGGCTCTCAGAAGCCTAAAATAAAAGAAACCAGTGTTGCCAATACCAGTTGCAGCTGCCCCTCCCAGGCAGCTGGGATCAGGAGCACTAAGCAGGCCTGGCATGATTCTCACTGCTCACGTCAGAAAGCGAATGCATAGCTGTATTCTGCACAGGCCACGTGTGCCACTGCCAATGGTCCTGGGCCCTGTCTGCGGTGATGGAGAACAAGTGAGTGGTGTGATCACAAGGGCACGTGCTGCTCAGACAAGGGTGCTACTGAACAAGTCAGGACATGTCATAAAATGAGGAAATAGAACTTGGACAAAGCTGCCTTCTTTGTTGGTCAGATCAGAAATATGACTTTTAATGGAAAACACTTGTGTAAGGTAAGCTTCAGATTCTGATGGAATCAGCTTAGTAGCTTTTAATAATGTTCTTGTACAGAGATACATGAAAGAAAAGGGGTGATTTCAAATTCACAAACCATATCCAGAAGAAAAGATAAATTAGGAGAAACATCCTCCTTTGAACTAGGCAAGATAAGCAAAAGCTTATTAGAAAGAAGTGCCCCACAATGTCAACAAGGGCCGTGGAGGAAGAAACACTGAAAGTGAAGCCCAGCAGACAAGGATTTCCAAAAGAAGGAGCTTGAGAGAGGTGGACTGTTCACCACCAGGGTAGTTCACCAGAAGGGGTGGAAATTTCTCCTTGGAGGCTATTAAAGAATGAACCCCCATCTATCTACAGTGGTTCGAACTATATCTCAATTAAAATACAGAAATATGACTAAGTGAATTATTGAGGCAATATATACAATTGAGACAAGTTCTCTTTCAGCTACTCCAAACAACTAACCACTTTCCACAACACAGGCATATGTGGAAAAGGGAAAGCAGAATAAATGTTTAATGATTTTTAGATACCCTAGAAGACTGTGGAATCTGTGTATGCATTATCTTAGAAGTTTCTACAAATAATAAGGAAACACCACATAAAACGTGTTTATTATTTTGCATAAAACCAATGACATTTGGAAAATTCTATAAATTTGGGCAATCAGATTTACCCTTCTGAAATTCAATGTCCTTATCTAAAAATAAGAATGAACATGTGCCCAGCTTACCTAACATAATGTATATGAAATGCATTGTATAGCACGGTGTATGTTCTTTGAATGTGAAGATATCTAAAAATAATAAACTAACATTTGCTGAGAGCTTTGAAAGAGGAGGGTGAATACTCAACAGCAAGCCCTTGGTGCATGCAAAGCACTGCAGGAAGTGACAAGGAAAGGAGCCTGTGGACTCCTAGTGAAAGCTCCCTCTTGTGGTCAAATGACAGAGCAGGAACTATCTAGGAGAGGAGAACGAGAGAAAAAGATGGCGGCTGCCAAGGGGAGACAGCTGCCCTTTCTATCTGGAGAATCCTCAGGGATCCAGACAGCTGAGCAGGCCAGGCTCTGCAGAGAATGGGAAGGAAGCACCCCCATGGATCTCACCACAATGTCAGGAGGGCCTGTGAAGCTTCCATGGAGCCACATGGAAAGGTTCTCACACTTGGCCATATTATGAGCTGGCTGAGCAATACATGTAAAGTCAAAAATCTAGTAGCTTGAAGAAGGCAGTTTTCCAGCTTCGTTGTATACACTGTTGTCATGTGCAACATACTAATATGTGTCTGAGGTGTAAGTGTCTGTGGTATTCAGCCATTACTCAAAGTGCAGGAAGGGCCTGGGAGCAGCTGTGTGGGACACACAGTTGAAACTCCTTACAGGGAACTGAGCTGGGAGGGATGGACAACCTGCATGAACACTGCCCTTATTTTACCAATTATGAAAAAAAACAAGGTTTTAAATAAAAAGTGTACCACGGATGAGACTGTGAAGTGTCAGAAATAACAGGTCTCACTCCTCTCTGACTAGACCATATATTATCTCAGGTCAATTGAATCCGAAGGCAACTGGACTGTGGGGGTATAAAGTAACTGAAGACTTCTTGTGTGGCACTTGAAACCCACATTTATTGCTATTGAATTACTTCACTTTTGTCCTCTGACCCTCTCAAGGAGATCTGAAGAGGGTCATTTTCTCACAGGTTAATAGGACTCTATGTGCAGGTCGCTTACTCTAGTTATCCTTCCCCCTGAGGAGAACAGCCTCTGGCTTCTTTTGAAGCTTATTAAAAAGGTCCCTTCATGGGTTTCCCATATAAGTCCAGTCATTTCCTTGATTTCTCCCTAAGACTTAGACTCTCAGGAATATTTATTTGTTCTGTTCCCTCAGAAAAAAAAGAAAAAAGAAAAAACAAAAAACAGCATCCATTGCTTTGGGCTTGGTAAGAATGTAACTTATAATAAACAGGACGCACTATAAATAGCACTAGCATTCCAACCACATCTGACAGAATTCCCTCCCAACACGCCTGGCACCATGGTCTGGGGGTTTGGGCGTCACTGGATTGGGCTGTCAAGGTGATTCCAGAGGTAGGAGCCTCCCACTCAGACTTATAGCAAAATAGCATTAGAGACTTTACCAGAAAGAGAACACTGCATGCCATTCAAAAAACTTGGTACTTCAAAGGCCTCAGTGTATATAATCACCAATTAGACTTCTATTGAATAAAGTGAACTTTCCTTCTACTTCAATTTAACTGAAAACTTTTTCCCTGCAGACGCCTCCTCTCTCTAACCACATGTCTTGTCATCTAGCCCTCGCAACAGTCCTGAGGTAGGCAGTCTCATTCCAATTTCACCAAAATTTTACCATGGGAAAAGGATAGGCTTGAGGGTTAAATAATTTGTCCGGATCATGCAGGTAGTAAAATGGCAAAGGAATGAAGGAAATGAAGTTCAGGCTTTTAGAGGATTGTTTTCTTCCCATTCTCGTGTCCTGCTTCCTCCATGTCTGTTAGATGGTGGCCGTCTTTGTCCAGACAGTCATGAGGCCTTGGAGAGGGGCTTTTCGCTCAGCCACCTGTGCTCTGGGGAAATACACGTCTCCTGGTCATGCCACCCTCTCCAATGCTGTCCACAGCAAACTGACAGGCTCTCCTTTATGTTTTCAGTAGCTCTAGCCCTTGTCTCACAGCTTTTCTTTATTCTCAGTCTCTGCCCTCATCCCGGGTGACTCAATATTAGCATGGATGACCCTTACAGTCTTAGTCTCTCTTTCCCTCAGCTTCCCCCAGCCCCTAAATCATCGTGTTCATTATTCTTTGGAAACCCACTCTTTGTTCCTCCACAGGTCTTCCCCTTGCCCTGAACTGGAAAGCCCTTTTTGATCCAGGATTATTTTTTCCCATTTCTCTCTGCTTTCCTGCTTCCAGGGAATGTACTCTTCACTCATATTGTGGTTGCTAGGTCTCAAAAGTTACACCCTAAGTGTGGACTGGAAGGAAGAAGGATCCACGGCTGGAAGGCTGCTGATGACAGCAGAAAGAGACTACAGGGCTGGGTGACATTGGCAGCCAGAAGGTGGAAGGCTGTGGTTAGAGAGCACAACGGCTTGAAATCATGGTTTTGAAGGTAACAGACCTTCAGGAAACCTTCACATTCAGCACTGTTCTTGTGCTAGTGGTGTCAGGAAGGAGGAAGGGAGTGGCTGTGTCCAAATGCAAATTAAAGAATGGGAAAGGGCAGTAGTTTCTAAAAGCTATTACTAGATAGCAAGAGGTAATCAACAGAGGGACCCAAGCTGGCTGCCCACGTAAGAGAGGACCATGACCACAATAACCAGGAGGTGCGGGGCTCCACAGGGACACTCAGAGCCTCAGGAGGCCACCAGATTATGTGCAGCCATGTGGGGTGGAAGTTTGGGTTATTTATTTGAATATTGATGGGAAAGGTGCTCTCAGAAGGTGAGAGGATGTGAGTAAACCAGGCTATGTGTAATGCATCATTCATTCAGTCAGCATGACTATTTGTTATCCTTCTCCAGGCTTTTTAAAAATTATACCATAATCAGATTATAGAGCCTAAATTGACATTTTTTGTCATCTTATTCGCCAGCTTAAAATTTCATCAGTCCAAATGCCTCAACAAGTACTTAAGATTAGCTGAAAATCTACCTCTTCAGTCTTATTTCAATTTCCTTTCATCATTGGGTTTGTAAACTATTTTCTCTTTTTTCCCTCCAAACCAATGACTTTTGTTCTTCCTCATTCCACACATCCCACGTGTCTAATAATTTTGCTTTCCAAATTGCAGTTAGGTTATGTCACTTTTGATTTTTAAATTAAAGACATGCATAACTGTCAACTGGAGCTCCAGATCAACATGAGATAACTAAGCTTACTAAATTATAATAAGATAATTTCACTCAAAGAAAATAAATTTTAGGTTCTCATTGGATTGTGCATTGGGAAGGTGATAAATATGATTTGGGGCAGCTTTCTGAAGCACTATACTAAAACTAGTTAAGGATATCCACGACCTGCATTCTTGTCCCCATGGGGGTCTGTGGGCCTCAGATTGGGTATCAGACTCCGAATGAACTCTTTTTTGGCCAGACCCATCTCATTTCCTGGTTCTACCTCTGTGCCTTTGCTCATGTCTCTGCCTTTACCTTTCTGAACTCTACCTTCCCTTCGAGAGGAAGTTCAAGTTCCACCTTCTCTCAGGAGTTATTTGTTGCCTTCCCCAGTCCATAGTAATCTCTTACCCACGAATCATGTATTGTATATTTTTGTGCCATTAGTTTGCACAACACAGGCTTTGGGTTGTTAGCGACCTTACGTGCTTACGTATTTGCTTCTAAGTTGGATTTTAAACCCCTTGAATATGGGAAAAATAATTTTTAAAAATTTGTTTTTTCCTGCCCATACCCAGTACCTCATTTGGTAAATATTTGTTAATTGTAAACTACCATTCTATTTTTTTTTCAGGAGTCACAACAAAGGATCGAAATTAATTTTGGCCAAATAATATTCTCACCTACCTAGCCAGTAAGTCAATAAGTTCAAGTTTTGACATCCCATCAGGAAGCAGTCGAGGAATAGCAGCAACACAGGTCCTGAAAAGATCTATTTTTGGCTTTCTCTCACCCCTAGAATTAGAAGACAAAATTTTAAAATAGGTCAAAAAGCTGTGAAAATAAAAACAAAATGAATTAAGTGCATGAACAAAGACTAGAATCCATGCCTTCTGAGTCACAGCCTGGTGTTAGCTCCATATTACTCTCAAATGTTTATGCCCTTTGTAGCTTGACCAGTTCTAATAAAACTTTAAGTAATTTAAATGTAAGACAGAGGTATATATCTGAAAAGAAAAATGCTGATATCAATAGTATTTTGCCTTGAATTTGCCCTTTAGTTGGGTCTAGTCCAGTTGCATTTAAAATACCAGAATCACAGAAATGGCTAAGTACATCCACATGAAGAAATGTATTTCATTCAGCATTTAAAAATGGAGTATATATATATGGAATGGTGCCTTTTGTAATTGTGATATCTAGCAGCTTCTCTCCCTGATGAGTTATGCTTCTCCCCTAGAGCTCTTTGTCCTGTTTTTAAAAATTTAAGTGCTTCCAAAATAAATCTTTCAAAATAAGTAAAATTCTGAAATGTATATAGTTGTGCACCCATTTCTGACTTTTAAAGTGATACCGATGGGCCTCACCTCTATGGAGATTTCCTTCTCTATTTTTAATTAATTTCTTGAGAATATGAATGTTTAATGATAATTAATGCCTTCTGCATTCTGTTGGAAAATGTGAAGGAGAAATATATATTTTGTGTTATTTCAATTTTTAGTTGTTTTAATAGGTAACTGTTAGATTTTTAACCACTTATTTTATCTGTAACCTTTATGGAATAAACTACCCACCAAAATCTTTCAAATGACCCAAGTGATAATATATAACAGCATATCTAAAGTCTGATGACTTAGTCTTCTGAGCATAAATATAGAATCAGTACCAAATTAATGTGATCCAAGGACACAAGCACAATAATGAAAATGCAAAATAGCATAAAAATAATTCCTTTTTGGAACAGTAACTGTAGTCAGAATAGAAATGCAACTAGCAGAATCAATCCTCTGTGTAATCTAAAGATCATAATCAAGCAGCAATTTTGCTCTGTGACATTACCTTTTATTGTGCTTTTACAAGTTTGTTAAGAATTAATAAAAAATTGTTTATATGAAAAATAAAACACATAATATGTTGTCTTCCAAAATAATCTGCTTTTGTGGGCAGTCATAAGATTATTTTCTTAATAATCTTATGACTTTTGTCATCCATAGAGCTTTTGCACGAGCTGTTGAGGACCCTGGAGAAGAGGAAGCAGTTGCACAGGGCTTTCCAATCAGCCAAGGAAAGAAATGTTTTCAGATATCCTCAATAGCTGTACAGTGTTAGAGCCTAGAGATCTCTTCTAATTGTTCATTTGTAACACAGTGAGTAGTTTAAACAGTTCTACTAGTTTGCTCACCAGATGTTTTTAACAGCTGGGATTATTTTTATATCTGTCGGAAAATGGATGACCTTGCCTGGCCTGAAGTGTAAGGGCGAACTCTGCCAGACTTCCAAGATGATAAAACAAGCCTAGATTAGAAACTAATTGCTGCATGATTTCCTCTTACTACTGCAGTCTTTGCTGTCTGGCCTTTTATGGGAAGCATATAAATCCCCAAAATTATATAATTAAGAAAATATATTAACAGATGTTAAAATTATTATTTATTATTCTTTACTTGTTATTTTCTTTCTTCCTTTCTTTCTTTTTTTGTACTAGCATGAACCACAAAAGGGATATGGAATAAAGACTGAGCAACACAGAATGTTCAATGTTCAAGTTCTTACCCTGCGTAGGGCCTGGGAAAGTGGTGGCCCAGCTTCAAATATCAACTCCAATGACTGTTCCATTAGTGTTGTGTGGGCCTCCACCCTCTTCTCCTAAATGCTTATATGATTCCCTAACATTTCTCTTCTTCCTTATTTTTTTTTTTTAAGAAATGATGCAATGAGTTATTTAGGAATCTGCCTTGAATTCTAGCACGAAAAATATTTCTAGCCCTATCTGGAGGTCTTAAGATGTTTGAATAGGAAAAAGTAAAGAAGAACCTTAGAAAAAGTTTGAACATTGATTAAAACATAAATAAAATGTTTACATTTAAACATGTACCTTTTTATGATTTTGAATATAATGTTTTTGTCCTGAACCTATCTTATGATGCCTATTGATTACGAATATGGTTGTCCTTTAAAGCTCTTTTTTTTTTTTTTTTTTTTTTTTTGAGGAAACAGCTATATGCATTTCTTTTTGTTTGTTTTTGGAACAGTTTCACTGTCGCCCAGGCTGGAATGCAGTGGTGCAATCTTGGCTCACTGCAATCTCTGCCTCCCGGGTTCAAGCAATTCTCCTGCCTCAGCCTCCCGAGTAGCTGGGATTACAGGTGCACGCCACCATGCCCGGCTAATTTTTGTATTATTAGTAAAGATGGGGTTTCGCCATGTTGGCCAGGCTGGTCTTGAACTCTTGACCTCAAGTGGTCTGACCGCCTTGGCCTCCCAAAGTGCTGGGATTACAGGTGTGAGCCACCATGCCTGGCGTAATGCATTTTTTATATCTTCTACATTATAAATTGAAAATGGCTTTAATATATGCAAGAAGTATGGAAAAATGAGGTTGAAAGTTTATTGATAATCTGGCAATTTGTGAGGTAAGAACTAGAACTGTAGATAATATTTTTAACGTTATTAATCTTGGTCAATATAAATTCTGCTATTATTTCGGTTGAAAAGTCTAAAGCAACATCATCTCATACTATTTAAATCGAGTAATTGGTGAGCTGCAGGATAATATGCATTGTATTATCCCACTTTTGTGGGGAAAAGGAGGTATGTATACACATACATTTGTATTGACATAAGGAAAGGTCTGGAAGGAATCACATTGATCCAAGAAACGGCTGCAGATTTCATGTGAGGCTCTGAGGAGGCTTTTATTTTAACTTTAGATTCTACCAAATACATATTTTAAATAATTCTGCATTTTTGCCTTTGCTTTAATCACGAGCACATGTTACTATCACAAAAAAAAATGCACACCACAATATGAATCTCTCTATATAGGTAACAATCTTCAGATTAATTCTTATATTTGCAGTTGAAAATGATGGATGACAGAAGAAATTTACCTAATTATATTTTTGGAAATTATGCCACAGCTATCAAATGTAATTTAATTCATAGCCCAACAACACAGTCCAAACTTTCTTAAAATATAGAATTATAACTTAATCCTAGTTCCTGCCATAGTTAAACAAAAACAGCAAATGCAAGTTCTAATTGTCAATCTAGATCTTCAGATTTTGAATAAGAATACTTGATTTGAATACATTTGAAGCTACGCATGCTTTCTTAAAATGCTTTCTGTGATGCAGTCTGTGATACAATCACACAGAAACTATGAAGTAGGAACTGTCACGAGATGTATAAAGATGGAATGTCTGTAAATTTGGGATGTCACTATGTCACATGAGTTGTGATGGTGCCTGGGAACAAAATGCCATTTCTGAAAAACATGGACTAGTGGGTCATGGTCCTCATTTTCTAACTTACTGACCTAGTGATACTTGAGATATAAATAAAATAGATCAATCACAGATATGACCTTATTTTTATAGTTAATCAAATACTGTGAAGGTTTTTTTTTAACTATCTTTACTACTTTTTAGAACCCTAAGAAGATGAAAACAAAATACAGAATAAATGAGAATACTCTCTACTTGTGTTTTCTGGTTAATCTTTCACTGATAACTTAGTCTTTACTGTACTCACGTGATCATGTCTTCCGGTTCTTTGTTTAACATCTGTACATTAGTCAGCATCATACACCTTCCTACTTCTTTATCAAGGTGCCTTAAAATGTTGTCTACAGCTTTTCGTACTTGAGAGTAATATAAGGACATGCCTGAAAAACATGCATTATAGTTATACCTTCAACTGAATCTATCAAAGGATATCCTGATTTATTCATCCTCTATAATATTTTTTACTGAAGACCTTATGAGTCAATGACTTCCTTGAGCAAAAGGGCTGTCTGATTCAATCTCATCTGCACAGCTTTTAGCATAGTGCCTTGCACTTAGTAAGTGTTCACCAGATAATCATTTTAATTCAATGTATAGGAATTCTAATACTCAATTGGAAGTATTTTCCAGAAGAGTTAAAATAATAAGAAAATACAAAATTCAAATTAAAGCAATTTGAATTTTAAAGTTTCTAGTTAGCATAAGAAAATTCACCATCATTAGTGATTATGTAAATAAAGAATAATTCTCATTGGGGGTTAGGACTTTAATAACTCCATATGGCCCTCTGAAATATATATGTGAATTTTTTTAGTAAAATAAAATAACTTCATATTATAAATTTAAAAATGAAGAAAAACATATTTTAGCTATATTATTTTTATTGTTCTCATTAACTACAGTGTTGATGTCCCACACTGGAAGACGAATGTGTATACGAATTATACAAATGAAAAGTAAATACCTTTGTATTTAAAATTTGTACCTTAGTGAAATAATTATTCATGATTATTTCTCATGCATTACATCTGTTTTTTTTTTTTTTTTTTTTGAGATGGAGCTTCACTGTTGTTGCCCAGGCTGGAGTGGAATGGTGCGATCTTGGCTGACTGCAACCTCCGTCTCCTGGGTTCAAGTGATTTTCCTGCCTTAGCCTCCCAAGTTGCTGGGATTACAGGCATACACCACCATGCCCAGCTAATTTTGTATTTTTAGTAGAGACAGGGTTTCTCCATGTTGGTCAGGTTGGTCTCGAACTCCCAACCTCAGGTGGAGTTTCGGCCTCCCAAAATGCTGGGATTACAGGCGTGAGCCACTGCGCCCAACCTATTACATCTTTTAAAAGTCATTTAAACATTGCATAACTAAAGAGAAATATTTCAAAGCAAAAAATTTCCTTGTGTGTTTCTCTCAGGTCTGTAGAATCCAGTAACTATCTTAATAAAGTTTGTAGTAGGTGTCTACATTTGGATACTTGGTAAGAAATGAACAAATGCCAAAAACATCTCTTTAGATAAGATAGTTAAATTAGAAAATCATCTCATGTAGTCTAAATCCACAATATAACCTGATGTGTGTTGTGAGATTTGGCATGTTTAAAACATGTTAAACTAAATTTAACATGTTTAAATTTAACTAAAGAAAAAAGAAGGAGATGAATGAATGAATTGATGAACAGGATTATTTAGCAAAGCACACAGATGTCTTGGAGACTTACTGAAAAACGTAGTAATCATTATTAGAGGCTTTAAAAAGACCATAGATAAAAGTCTAACATTTAAATGCCAAAATATTTACCAGGAAGTTCTAAAAAGTTTAAAGAGCAGTAAAACAAAACACAGCATGAATCAATCAAAACAATTAATGTTGGAATGTCTTATCATCTACTTCTATAAAGATTTTTAAAAACTGCATCTCACTAAAGATAAATATCTACTGGTCATTTTAAGGGCTTAATAAGGCTTAGTTCTTATGCACTTCTGAAACTCACCTATCATTTTGGCTTCCTCTTCAGTTAGTGTTTTACTCAAATATGTTTTCTTTACTCTTAACGTGTTTCCTGAAGGAAGAACGGCTCCTGTAACCGGCATGGGAGGTTCCCCATCTTTCTGCTGCAAGCTATCAGCTATGACCAAGAATGCCCGTAAACCAATGTTCATTCTCTGTAAGAGACAATATTGTCATGACAAAAGGAAAGGCCCAATTATTGTAGTGGAATACATCCATAAGTCTTTCAGATAGTTAAGACTGAATTGCATGTAGATGAGTATGAGAAAATAATTTAAAAGCCACAAGAGTGTAGAGCAATCTTATGAAAATTAAGTTTCTGTCACTGTTTTTTCTTGTTGCATTATAAGAAAACAACAGGGGAGATTTCACCGACTGTGGAGGGCATGTTTGAGATGGTCATGTACTATATTCTGTTGAGGGGAATGCTGAGTGTATCTCTAAAAGATATGCCTCATCCTCTGGATGCAACTAAGGTAAACTGAGGTAAACAAGGGCTCATACGTCTCCTGGAAGAAGGGAGGCACCACATGTGTTAGCTCACAAAGATTGAATGGAAACACCCAGGGTTCCAAATGGGAACCATAAAATGAACATCACCCGCTCTCAACTGCACGTCCTGACTTCTGATTTACAAAGGCCAGCAAGTTTGAGAAGAAATTTTAAAAATTCAATGCCACAGAACCTGTTACTGATGAAAACACATGGGTGTGTAAGAAGAAATGTGATTGTGGGCCAGATTGATCTTCCTTAGGCTCAGGTATGGCACAACTTTGGCCCTGAAAGATGGCTTAGTAAGACAGCAGCTCTCCCTAGTGCTCGTCTTCAAAGGTCAGAAGTTACCTAAACATCTGTACTCCATTAAGCAGCCATGTGTGAAACATTTACACCAATATTTTTAAAACTCATGAAGTAGTAAGTTCCCCAAGTATACTACTACCTATGGAAGAAAATAATGACGATTACTAGGACTGATGAAAATAATTTAGTTACAATGTATTGAGTCCCTAAAATATATCCAGCACTGCTCATTAACTTTCATCCTTAACACAGTCATATAAGGAAGGTATTCCCACTTTACAGGGTAAAGTATTCTCATTTTTTCAGGTGAGGAAACTGAGGTATAGTGGGAAGCTTTGCATCTAAATCTGGTTTGCCTGAATCACCTATTTAGTAGAACACGATTACATTTTATAACATAAAGTAACATAGACTTCTATTTATTTTAAAATTATTTATTCAAGCTTTAAGGAGTTATCATAATTCAACCAGGATTTGCTAAATATTTCTCTGGCTCATTTATAAGCAATTCAATGTGTACTTTATGATTTTTTGGCCTTAAATTATATGCTTTCTCCATTTTCTAGAATGAAAGAATATTACTTTAAAAAATAATCCGTGTATCGAAGCCCATTAGTTCCCTCTTTTGATAGTTCTTTTATGAGATGTTTCTAGGCTTGTGTGTGTCTCTCAAGACACAGCAATGTTGTGGATAAGAAAATAAAATGGTCAATTCAGCAGATGTAGTACTAATATAATAACTGTGGGATGACATATGTGGTCAAGCCTCAATTATTTGCCAGTGGATTATCCAATTTAGCAATCATCCTTGTCAGTTCTCTAAGTTTTCCTTTTCCCGGGACAACACTAAGGGCAGAAATAAGATGGGATAGTTTGGTACACACATTTTGAAGTTAACTTCAAAAATAATTTATGTTTTTTTAAGTTTCATATAGTTCATCACAACTCTCCCTTTTATTTGTCTGGCCTTGGAAAATTACTTAACTTTTCCATGTCCAGGTATCTGCTTCCTTTCTGTAAAATGAGGACAGTAATACCTATCAATCATATAGGGCTATTGTGAGAATGAAAGAAAATGTCTGAAAAGCTGCTGCTGGCAAATATCTCTTGTAAGCCAGAATCCCCACTCTATTTTTTTAAAAATCAGGTTTATTGAGATATAAATTACATGTACTAAATGTCTCTCCTTTTAGTTGTACAGTTGTTTGAGTTTAGAGAAACATACATAGTCAGGTAACCATCAACAGAATCAAGATCCAAAATATTTCCACCATGTCCAGAAAGTCCCCTGTGCGTTTTTGCGGTTAGTCTTCTCTCCTAACCCTAGCACCTGACAGACATTGTTTAATTTCCACATTCCACCTTTTCAAGTATGTGATATAAATTGAATCAAATAGTACATAGACTTTATATCTTGCTTTTTTCACTGAGCACAATGCTTTTGAGATGTTATTGCAAGTATCAGCAGTTTGTGCATTTTTATTGCTAAATAGTACCCATTGTATTGATGATTCACAATTTGTTTAGTCATTCACCGGGGTTTGGACATGAGTTGCTTTTTTATTTTTAGTGACTTTGAATGAGGCTGCTATAAATGTTTGCACAAACGTTTGTGAGCATGTGTTTTGATTTCTCTAGGAAAAATATCTTGGGATGGAATTGCTGAGTCATATGGTTAAGTATACGTTTAATCTTAAAAGAAATTGCCAAATTTTTCTAAAGTGGTTGTACCTTTTTGTAATCTCACTAGAATAGTATGAGGTTCTAGTTGCTCTTTATCTTCCCCAGTACATCTCGTTTCGGTTTTAAATTGAATTTCCTTAATGACTAATGAGGTTGAATGTCTTTTCATGAGATTATTAGCCATTTGTGTCTCTTCTTTGGTGAAGATGCTGATCCTTCTGCCCATTTAAAAAATTGGGTTATTTTCTTATTATTGAAATGTGGGAATTCTCTATATATTCAGATGGAAGTCATTTGTCAGATATGAGTTTTGTAAATATTTTCTCCCAGTCTGTGGCTCTCCACTTTAACTGTTTTTTGAAGTACAGACATTTTTAATTTTGATGATGTTCAATTTATCAACTTTTTTCTTGTATAGTTTATGACTTTTATGTCCTAGAAATTTTTTCCCACCTGAAGGTCATGAAAATCTTCTTTTCTTCTGGAAGATTTATAGTATCAGATTTTACCTTTAGGTTTATGATCCATTTTGAGTTAATTTTTGTTTATAGTGCAAATTATAGGCTGAGGTTCAGTATTTTGCAGGTGGATATCCAATTGTTCAGCACCATTTATTGGAAACATTATCTTCTATCCATTGAATTAACTTAGAATCATTGTTGAAAATCAATTGACCCTATATGTGTTAGTCTATTTCTAGATTTCTAGATTCTCTATTCTGTTCAACTGGTTTTTATATTCATCCTTCTGCCAATACTACACTGCCTTGATCACTATACAACTTTATAGTAAGTCCTGAAATCAGGCCATGCTACTCTTCTAATTTTATTCTTCTTTTACAAAATTATGTTGGTTATTCTAGTTCCTTTGATTTTCCATATAAATTTTGGAATCAGCTTGTTGATTTCTACAGAAAAGGTACAGAGATTTTAATTGGGTTTATTATTATTGAGATTACAGTTTAATCTACATAGATCAATTTGGGGACAACTGACCTCTTGTTGTTAACAGCGAGTCATTCAATCTACAGTTATTTCTCTTCACTATTTGGGTCTTCTTTGATTTCTCTCAGGATTTAGTAATTTTCAGTATTAAAATATTGCACATATTTTGTCAGCTTTAGTGCTAAGTATTTTGTTTTTCAGTGTTACTGTAAATTGTTCAATTTCTAATTGTTCATAACTAGAATATACTGATTTTATTTCTCTTGTATCCTACAGACTTCTTAAAATCATTTATTAGTCCCAGTAGGTTTTCTTTAGGTTCTTCATACATAAATAATCATGTTCTCTGTGAATTAAGACAATTTTATTTCTTCCTTTCCAATCTATACGCTTTTATTTCTTCTTCTTGCCGCTAGCACTACATAAGACCTCCGACTTCAGGTTATTTTAGGTCAAGGAAAAACAGAGAAATTGATGACCAAGAAACTCTTCTCACAGACCAGCAAGTCTTCACGACGATGAGGATGGATATAGAAGGTCATTCAGGTGTGCACTAAAACAAGACAATTACCTGGAAATTTTGAAGAGTTGAGTGGTGGTGCAGCATAAAGTTTACAGTAAGATAATCCTTTAGATCTCCAGGCCTTGTTCCACAAGCTACTTCCAAAATATTATTTAAGACCCAATCTGAACTTGTTTCCCGAGAAACAATGCCCTACAGCATGTTTCATCAAGTGTATGACATCTGCTTCGCAGACTATGCTGTCCTCCCGTCTGCTTTTGAGTGGGGTTATGGGTATGCCTTTGGGCTTATAATTACCAACTACTGATAAATGAATTATTCCATAAATCTACAAGATCACGAGAAATGGAAGAAGATAACCAAATATTTACTCCTATTGGTATATATTTTTTTTAAATCACAGTTCCAACTGCTCTACACAGAGAGGTTAACTAATTACGCACTGACTGAATGAGGAGTTTGAGAAAAGAACCAAGAATACATTTTATAGACAGTGATAATGATGGTAGTAGCTTTTAACATGTCCTTTTTAGACAAGTAATCCAGTAATTCTGAGAAATGACTGCTAAAGACAGTAAAGCCATGACTGCTAAGAAATGAATAATGTCTTGAGAACCTTCCCAGCAAGAGAAGGCTCTTCACTGTACAGCTCTGGGCCTCCTTCCAGCCCAAAGCCTCTGGTTTGGCACTGGCCCTGCCCCCTCCCATTGGCCCAGAGACCCTGGCTGCAGCCATTCCAGAAGCCTGTGAGGTCACTGGACACCAGACAGAAACTCCCATTTTTGGACTTTTTGTGCTGTTCCCAGATACGTGGCAACCTTAGTATCAAGAAGAGAATATGGGGTGTGGTGGGAAGGAGCATGGGACTAACAGGGACCTGGGTCCCCTCTGCTACTAACAAGCTGCCAGTCTCCAGCCTCCAGGCCCCCTTCCTCACTGACAGAATGAAGGAGCCAGGTGATAATATAGAGATGACAGGAACTCTCTATGTATTTGATTTTTATGGTGTGCAGTCTCCTCTCTCTCTCTTTCTTCCTTCCCTTTTTTTATCTTAAGAGTTTGTAATGTACTCTTCCTAATATCACAATTCTTCTGCGAGTTGAGGTAGAAAGGCATTTTGTCCTTTTTACTGGTGAAAAAGCTGCAGTTCATAGAGGTAAATGTCACACAGCTAGGAAAAGCAGCAGAGCCTGTGGCAAGTGGCAAATTTGGCTCTGCTGACTTCTGGTCCAGTGTTCTTTCTACAACCTCATAGAAAAAGAGGCAGTGTGCCAGGCATACTTCTGTTGGCTGACAGTGTTTTTAAAAGTTTAAAATTATATGTGCTGTTCATGTGCACAGCCTCCACTGCTCCATGTTGTGTATGATGCCCACTGTATACTCATCTCCACAATCTGCCTGCCCTGGAGTTGGGATGCTGTCACAGAAACAGATGTGCATACATTATTTATTTAATTTCATTGTTTTACTATTTTTATTATTACACATATTTGTTCTTCTCTATTTCATCACTTCCCGATGCTAAATTTGTTGAACAGTTACAAGTAAAAGCACTGACTTTTCTAAAATAAAACAACCTAACTTTTAGTGATGAATTATCTTTTTGGGCAAGAATTACTTTGTTTTACAAGAACAGAATATGGTAGCACATCAACCTTTCAACTAACCGTTTCATTCTAAGTCTATTCATCCAAAATTTTACTTCTGAAATTCCACCATCATCTGAATTTGGACATTGACAGAAACAAATAGAAGACTTTGTGAGAAGACATCCCTCATCCCATTCTCCAAAGCCGCAAAGCAAAGGTATGGCTCCGGAAGACATGCTCTGTTAGAAGTACATAAAAGGATCATTCATACCTCTGGGTTGAGACTGAATGCTTTTGCTGGTTTTCCCACACAAAGAAAATCGAAAATGATTTCTTTCATTGCAAAATCTAAACGTTCCTGTAGTAAAAACAAGAACACAAAATGAAAGTGTTAAAATATAAACTCAACAGAAAATGGCTATTTTCATCAATATGCACCAAGCGAACAGGTGGTGGCTAAAAGAGGAGGGGCACTGCTCAGTTTTGTGGCTTGCAGAGAACCTGGAGGAAGACCATGCCCATCTGAACCGAGGGTAGGGCTGCTTCTGTTTTGTGTGGTGTGCAAGGAGGCCTTCATTATACAAAATATGTAATTGGCCTCTAAACCACAGTATGACTAATGACAAAAGACCCCCCCCCACAAATCAAATAACCAAACACTTGGGGTATCTGGGCTTATAAAGAATGTGAACTCTTCCTACTTGTACTGTACCTCTTTAAAATGTATTTTTAAAGAGATCACTGCAAAATGATCATTTTTTTCTATTCTCTAACATTAAAAATCCTTTGGCTCATAGTATAACAAGTAATTCTGCATGTGAGACATGTAATCAACACATAAGATATATTAAGGTTACTTAATATATCAGGGGTGTATATATATATATAGTATAACAGGTATAATATGCCAGGTATATATATAACAATAGTTAATATGTATAATTAATATATGTAAAAATATATCAGGAATATATAACAGAAATATATATATCAGGTATATATAAATAATTAATATATATAATTTTTATATATAAATATATCAGGTATCTGTGTGTATATATGTGTGTATATGTACATATTTATTTATATATATAAATAAAACAGGTTCATTTTATACAACATATTCCAGAATAAACAAAGCACATTCTCAGTCACATGATAACTACATGCAGAAAAATTACATTAATTCTTTCACCTGCAGAGCAGGTAATGTCCTTTCCCTAAGTACAAATATTACAGAACTATTTCATTGCACCAAACTCAAAGAGAGCTATCACTGTCAAATCATCTGTGAAGTAGCAACTGAACCTTACACTTTATATCAGTATCAACTGTACTTCAACAGTACTTTCATGCCCATTATTTCCTTTTAAGCACACAATATTCTGAAGCAAGCATTTTTATCCCCATTTTACAGATAAAGACACAGAAAAAAGATGTTCTCTGACTTGTTTAAGGTTATAGAGATGGCTCATGGCAGAGGCTGGACTGGAATAATAGTCTTTTCCTGTTCCTCTGCACAAGGAGGTCAAAGTTGGGGTAAACCCATTTACTCACAAAGTGTTTTGAAAAGTAAAACTCCTGGGCTCAAATAGTAAATTACATATTAAAAACTATGTTTAATATTACTGGACCTGTTTTTAAGTCATTAATATACACAAAGCACTTAGAACAGTTCTTGGCAAAAGAGTGCTTGATAAATGCTAATATTCCTATTAAATTCTTTTTCATAGGTTGAAAGAACATTATTATTTATTCCTCAAATTTTGCTAAATTGTTCTCTTTTGGTTTTCTCTGAACGCCAGACCCTTTGCTTCCTCTTTACTTGTAGAATCCAGAGCAGAGAAACAGGAAAAAAACAGAGGTGAAGAGTCAAGACAATCGTACTAATTCACAGACTTTGTGACTCAGATGAGCCACTTAAACTCTGTCTCTGTTTCTTCATTTATCAGATGCTGAAAACACTTGACATACTCAACTCACAATTTGTTTTGAAGCAAAAGAATAGGCTGTGTGTGAAAACACTTTAAATCTTTCACAGAAGTCTAAACACGTAAGATGCTAATTTAGACTTTCCGTCTTTTAGTACTTCATAAGAAGGAGGCTGGCTGCTGAAAAACCATCAGAAGATTCCCACCACCGGAATCTTCTCCATTACCTGGGCAATGAACTGGATGATTTTCACAAAGATGTTCAGAGGCATGTCCCTTGGTACCACACCGCGGGACCCTTTGGGGAAAAGTGTTGTGATGATGGTTATAAGTCGGCTGAAAGATAAGGGGGAAAAGAGAAAACAAGCAAGATTGGCTGAGCTCCAGTTCTTTAAGGGAAAATGGCAGATATTTCATCTTATCTAAGAATCAGAGAGAATTCAGAAAAAGAAAACAAACCACCTCACCTCTTTCCATTAGCATAATTACTCTATGAAAAGTTTTTCTGGAAAACTAAGAGCAGTTGGAAAATTACAGCTGCTTTTTTGTTAAAGTGGCAAATGCAACTCTGGAAGTGGAACTTGTTGATCCTGGTAGAGGCTGGAGCTTTTGTAATGGGTGTTGAGCCAATGACTATGGAAAGCCTGAAAATGTTCCTTAGGACTTAGATCTTTTAGAAACTGTCAGCTTTGAATAGCTTCTAGTTGAGTTAGCATAGGTAGTAATAAAAGAAACACCCTCTGCAGTGGCTGAGTGATATGGTTACCATTGACACAAGCCAAATCTTACCTCTGAGTAGCTGTGTTGCTTTCACATTTAATTCGAATCATGTAAACCCAAAGTAATCTGTAGAGAGATTCCAGTGCAACTCGAGCCATCTTGGGATCTTTGTTCTATAACAGAAACCAAGATGTAAGACTGCAGATGTAAATAGTGAGGTCTGAGGTTCTAGAGATGGCTCTTATCTGCAGGCCTGGAAAAGGCAAGCTCCAGGTGGATGGCTGGGTACTTATGAGACACATTGCATCACCTGGGACTTACAGAGTATTGGCCTCTCAATGCTCATAGGATAAATCATCCATGAGGAGGCATATAAACGGTGGGACAGATTAATTCTGGGGGAAGCCATGTCATTTTCTCCTTTGCCAAGATGAGTACTCAAGAGGTTATCTTCTCCCTCCAACCCTAGGGAACCCAAATTCTTTAGCACCAATATGAGAATCAGTCTGTTCTTTTTATTGTTGATTATGTCCTTTTAAATCCTTACTGTTTTGATTCTCCAACACCTCTGCCCCATCCCCATCCCATCTGATTACCCTCCAATATTTATTGAGACTAATGTGTACTAGGTACTGTGCTAGAACCTGAGATGCAGAGATAAAAGATAATCCTTTCCCTTAAGATGTTCACAATCTATGGGGGATGGGAGTCAACTCTACAACAGTATGAAAAACTGGTAGGGACAGAAGCAAGAGGATAGGAAGAAGGGCAACATATGGCAAACTCAAGGAATGGGGTCAGGAAAGGATTCCAGGTGCAGATAAAAACTCAGATGACTCATGCCTGTAATCCCAGCACTTTGGGAGGCAGAGGCAGGTGGATTACGAGGTCAGGAGTTCAATACCAGCCTGGCCAAGATGGTGAAATCCCGTCTCTACTAAAAATACAAAAATTAGCTGGGCCTGGTGGCGGGTGCCTGTAATCCCAGCTACTTGGGAGGCTGAGGCAGAGAACTGCTTGAACCCAGCAAGCAGAGGTTGCAGTGAGCTGAGATGGCGCCACTGCGCTCCAGCCTGGGCGACAGAGCGAGACTCTGTCTCAAAAAAAACAGAAACAAAAACAAAAACAAACAACAACAACAAAAAAACTCAGATGAACCTTAAATCCATTTTTGTTGTACTCATTCATAATGCACACACATTTGAGCTACTATGCTGAGCCTGCCACAGTTTGTGGCCCTAGATACTTCGAAAGGTGTAAAAAAAAAAAAAAATGGTGGGAGGGAGAGGTTTGTAGGCAGAGGCAAGAGCACATGGAATCTGAGAGAAATGGAGGAGCAGAGGGCTCCTGTTTTGGAGCCTGGGAATCCTTTGTATGCTGGTGAAGGGCCAGTGCAAGGCCAGGTGAAGGAGCAGTAGGTGGTGAGGCTTGAGAGGAAAGCAGGGGCTACATGAGGCACCTTTCATGAGGAGAATAGGCTTCTCATGATGGTGACAGGCAGCCAATGAGATCAGAGAGACCACAGAGGAAGTCCAATGTCTGCAGCATGGGGAATGGAGCAGAGGCAGGGAGACCAGCTGTGGGCACCCAGGCATTAACAAATCAGTCAGAGGCCGGGCGCGGTGGCTCACGCCTGTAATCCCAGCACTTTGGGAGGCCGAGGCGGGTGGATCATGAGGTCAGGAGATCGAGACCATCCTGGCTAACAAGGTGAAACCCCGTCTCTACTAAAAATACAAAAAATTAGCCGGGCGCGGTGGCGGGCGCCTGTAGTCCCAGCTACTCGGGAGGCTGAGGCAGGAGAATGGCGTGAACCCGGGAAGCGGAGCTTGCAGTGAGCCGAGATTGCACCACTGCAGTCCGCAGTCCGGCCTGGGCGACAGAGCGAGACTCCGTCTCAAAAAAAAAAAAAAAAAAAAAAAAAAAAACAAATCAGTCAGAGAGGGGAGTGTGGGTTTCATCATCTGTGGACACTTCATTCCTCCATTCCTTACTTCTGACTCTCACTCCATCCTTTCAAACAATTTTATAGATTTTGTCCACAAAATTTCTCTTGAATTTGACATCTTATCCATTCTCATTTCCTTTGCTATAGCTCAGGCTCCCAACACTGTCATCTGGACTGCTGTAGTACCCTCCTAACAGTCTCCCTAAGTCAATCCCTGCCCCGATGTCTATCTTACACCGATTATAATCCTTTCTATATAGAAATCACAGAATCGGTAGTTTCTCTGGTGCCTGTGGGATCAAGCTAACATTTCTTGGCCTGGCATACAAGACTAGTCAGTAGCTGGCTCTAACCTATCTCTTCTGCCTCCCATCCTGTTACTCTCCCGCAAGCTTTGTAAACCCTAGCTAGGCCACGTTCATTCTATTTCCATGATAGAAGTGTCCTTCCACCCCCATTCCTGAATCTTTCTTTTCTCCCAAGTGAACCCTGTTCATTTTTTATAGTGGGCTTGGATGTCCTCTCCTTTGTGAAGCCTTCTCTGTTCCTCCCTGATGCCTTCAATTCCAGCCCGTTAAAACTAATTATTTCCTCCTGAGTGTCCCCTGACTCTCACACATACATCTAGCATAGCCCTTCCACTCCTTACCTATGGGGAGATCTTGTTTAAACATCAGTTCCCACATAAATGATAGGTTCTCTGAAAAAAGGGGACATTATTTACCCCTAAGATCTATTAAAATTTCTGCTGTTCTGCACGGGGTCAATGAATGTTTGCTAACCAGTCTTTCAGTGTCTTAACTTTCTGATAGGTCTTTTGCCTTTATGTTACTTGTCTGTCTCCATTTATTTAGTCATATGATTCTCTTTTCTTCTTAGTGTAGATAATTTAGGTACTGATTTTTATAGAATTCGTAATTGTTTAGAAATGATCTGGGATAAAGTTTATCTTTAAACTGTTACTGAATAAAGATGTGTGGTCATTATTCTAAAAGTCTAAATTTCCATGTACATTTAGGTCTGTTCTACATTTCCTTTTGTTCTACTAGTCTGTCTATTCAAGTACTAATACAACATCATTTTAATTATTCAGGTTTTATAATGTGTTAATATCTAGTATGGCCTACTTCATATAGTCCATTGCTTCTTTTTTTAATTTTTAGCGGTTTCCAAGATGTTCTTGCGTGTTTATTCTAGATGAACTTTATAGCTATTTGTTTAGCTTCATGGAGAAAAAAAAACCTGGCTTTTTAGAAGCACACATTTATGTAGAAGTTTTTTTTTTTGTTTGTTTTGGTTTTTTTTTGCCTGTTAATATAACAGGTAAAATTTGTCAAATGTTTTAGTTACTTAAAGGGGACTTGAAACTAGTAAAGCTGCATTTAAAATACTCGCTCATTTAAAAATTTCAGAAATTCTGACTACTCGTCTTCCAATTGGTCCAAATCAGCAAATGCCTATGGTGTACTTACATGGTGGTTAAAAGCAGACTCCACACACAGACTGCCTGGGTTTGAATCCATCCTTGCCTTATAATTTATTAGCTGTGTGGCCACCTAGAGAAAGCATTTTAATCTTTCTGGGTCTGATTTTCCCTGTCTGTGAAATGCAGATGATAATCCTACCTCCATCACAGGAATGTATGAGAGTTAAGTGAGTTAATGCACATAGGGTACTTAACACTGTACCTGCCTGTAGTATTATTATGTAGAAGACACCTGCCATCAAGCAGCAAACAAGGGAAATGTAGCCCCTGCCTTTAAGGAGCTTCTCTTCTAGTAGAAACATCTTTTCCTTTGTGAATTTCCTTTTTTAAGATATATATAACAGTTTATATTTGCATAGCATATCATTTGAAATTCTTTCATATTCATAATCTCTCATTGTGTATCATGATGAGGAAGGCAAGTATCATCTCAATTTCACTGTAGACCATAACCGAGATCTCTAGTTTAACTGATTGACATTAGTGTCTTCTGTTTCAACTTCAACTTCTTTAAAATATTTGTCCTGTCCCTCCTGTCTACCATTTTTCTAGCATCTTATTGTGACTAATATTCTTTCACTCTTAAGAACATTTTTGAGATTATTTTTGCTTCCATATGCACTGAAAAGCAAAGTAGCAAACTTAGGTTTTAGTTTGTTTTGTCTGTGGATTATGTACTGTTAATTGGTTTTTAGCATTTCAAGATGATATCAGATCATTGCAACTGCCTCCTAAATGGATTTTCTGGCCTCTCTTCCATTCTTGCACAAATGATATTCTTGAAAATACAAACATGTTTTTTTACTTTCCTGCATTTAAAGTCCTTAAGAGGCTTCTAATCACCTACTGGACAATGTCCAAATTTCATAATATAGCACATGAGGGGCCTTTTGTGACCTGGCTCCCTTGTACCACTTCCTGCCTCTGCCTTGTGGTAGGTGAACCTTGCACTGCAACATCCCTTTTGCAATTCCCTGCATGCCTGGAATGCCTTCCTATCCTTGTCTACTTGGATAACTTCAATTAGGTTACATCTCCTCTTACTACATTCCCCTGCCCCTCTACTCCTGTCCCAATCCTCTGGAGAGGCTACCAAGCACCCCTGCTCTCTGTTTTCTAGGAAACAGACATCCTTTACTTGAATGTTTCCTACCAGACAGTGAGTTCCAGGCATTCTGATTTGTTCATTTTTGTGTCCTCAGTGACTACCATACAGCAGGTTATATATTAAAAACAAAACCAGAAAGTATTCAAAATCAAAAACAATCTGAGTAGTAGCTGAACAACTTGATGCATAAACTAGATTCATTTGTACAGGACCTATATGAAAGACAAACTTTGCCATGTAGGTGAAGCTAATTTTCATATTATAATGACAGTAATAAATATCTTGCACTTGTATGGAATTTTGGTATTTCAGATGTGCTTTCACATAACAAGATGTCAATTGAAGGATTTTATAAATGAGGGAAGGCCCAATAAATTGCTCAAAGTAAACGACAGTAAACCAGGTTAGTAAACGACAGCTGGGATAGGAATTGACTTAGGCTCTAATAAGTATTGTTTTCTCAGAAATTGGAATGTATGTATTACATGGTGCTTGCCAGGGCAGGTATTTTATTTTAATCAATGCTGCACTTATATTAACTCATTTTAATTTTCACAGCAATGTATGGAGTAGATTCTAGGCACAGAGAGGTCAAATAACTTACCCAAGGTCACACAGCTAATAAATGACAGTGCTAGAATCTGAACCTAGGCAATCTGGCCTCAGTGGCTTTAAAGCATTAAATTTTCCACTTCACTTTAATAGTATGTGGAGGCTGCACACATATGCTATTGGTGCCTACTCTACTTGAAGACAGCACTTCTTCTTCTTCTGTCTTTGTATTTCCTTAGCAGCTAACAGAATAGGTGCTTGATGTATATTTTCAGGATGCAGACATTTCAGCATATGTCTCAAACCACTGATTTCTGTGTCAAAGATACTTGCTTCAAGATCAAAAAAAACCATTCTTCTGTTGGAATCTGCATCTCCCTTAATTAATTAACCAATAATTAATTAATAGTATGCATTTATTATGGCTCTGAGGTTCATTGATACAATTGTTCAAGAAACTAGTGGGCTTCAGAGTAGATCTTCCCTGGACCCTCTGCATCTCACCTCACTGCCAGTCACTGACTTCATGGAATGTGTCAGCCTATCTAATAACATGCCTACCTCCTTTAAATTTTGCTTTTAATTAATTTAGTTAAAACAATTCAGAGTTAATGGGAACAAGTGGGGACAAGTGAATTCACTGATAACTTGGCTGGTGATGCAATCAGTGGTATAGACCAATGTTACTCAAGGTCCGTCAGCTGACTATTTGCACCAAGTCACCTGTGCTGCTTATAAATATGCAGATTCCTGGGTTGCACCTTAGATATTCTGAACCAGAACCTCAGAAAGTGGGCTTCAAGAAGTTGCATTTATAACAGGCTTCTGTAGGAATTCTTATGTATGTTAAGGTAAAGACCTAGTGAGACAGATAATTTTAGTCATCTACTAATTTTGTTATACTTAAAATACCTTCCAGTTTTCTCTTCCATTTCAAAGAGAAAGCCATCTAAGTAAATCTATTTCTTTGTTATATTTTGCATATCACAGCAATACTTTACATCTTTTTGACATTTCTTTTTGATACTTGAATCAACTTACTTTGATTATGATTCACCGGGTTTGATGACTGTATATTATCCAAATAACCTATTGCTACAGTTTAGGATAATCTCTAAAATTATCATAACAACATTTTTATGGCAATTATTTTTCTATTGAATGGTTGGATAAATAAGGCATTCATGGAAAATAACGTGCTTGTCATCTTATTATTAATTTTTACGTCCAGTTTATGTGCATTATTGGAATCTTTGAAATGTGCCTTTATTTTTGTAGATCTGAAACAGATTTTCTCAAGATTATAGAAATGAGATTAATAGTAAAGCGGAATAACTACATCTTGAAAATTAATAATTAAAATAGCTATACTATACCATTTAAATTTGGTATTTAAAAGAGAAAAGTAGTCATTTTAAAATAAATGCCATATATTTTAATTAATTCAGGCAATGATTGTGGAATCCTTAATATATTACTCAATGTCTCCATTTACAAGATAAAGATAACATTAATAAACTTACTATTATGTGAAAAGTTGAAAAAAGCATTCAAACTTCATTGCAATTATTACATACAAATATTGAAGTGCTATACACAAGCTTCATCAAATATATTTATGGCAACCACACTTGTTTTGAGATTTTTCTGGAAATCAAATACCCTGCTTGTACCTCCCTTGCCTGCCTTCCCTGAATGCGTCATTCTCAATCCTAATATCTATTAGGTTTTCTTTAGAGTAGTTATCATTATCTGTTTTTTTTTCTTCTCATGTATTTATTTATTTGCTTGTTGGTCTGTCTCCTCCACTAAATTACAAGGTCTAAGAGACCAGGGAGTGCTACTGTCTTACTCATCACTTATTCCCAGTACCTAGAACTGTGCCTGGTAGACTACTTATAAAGAATTGTTGGCAACTGACGGAATGGATTTAAGTCCTAGCATAAGTACTCCCTGAGAAAAAAGGAGTATTCTTTCTCATTCTGTACTTTGGTTTCTCCAACTTTGAAACTAAACTGAATCATGTCTAACCTTCAGATGCAGTATTGCTATCTGAGCAAATATTTGGAAATGCATAAACAACATTCATGAAAGCATAAGGAAACTCAGTGTAGCCCGTGGCATTGCCATGATACCCACAACAATGTATAGGAAGCCTCTACCACTCACCTGCTCATAATGTATCTCCAGTGAATGAGAGCTATTATTATTATTAATCAAATAATTCATGTGTTTCTTAACCTTTGAGGTTTCTTTTCTGTTTTTGTTTTTTTTTTAATAATCTGGGCCTCACTGGTATATTATATTCATTTTTATAAAATATAAGAAATTTTTAAATTCTCCCAATTCATTTTATTTTGAAGGATAAGAAACTAGCACATAGTATTATGAACATCATTTCATTTAATTTTTAAATTTTTAATTTTTTTCTCATCTGCAAATGGTGACTCAACATTTTAAAAGTACTATTAAATCAAGTTCACAAAGCATATTTCCTTTTGTCAGAATTAGGTGTTGTATGGCAGATGTGAAGGGAATGCATTTTTTTATAGCACAATATGTTCAGATTCTGACATAAAATACATAGAAGAAAAAAGTATTGGTCACCACGGACCAAGAGTTCCTGAAAGATGTGAATGTCTCAGTGAAAAGGTGCTATACATTTCTCATCAATTTATAATGGAATATTACTAATAGATGCTTAAGTTAATTAAGTAGAAAAATTAAAGATTTCAAGTCTGTGCTCCCAAAGCAACCTGCTTCTGACTGACTAATGCTGGGAATAAACCAGGGCACTGACATTAAGTGAGTGTTGACCCTGAGAGCTTGTTTACATTGAAAGTGGGCAGGTTTTCACGCTCACGCACACTTCTGCTCTGCTCTGCCACACTGCCCCTTGATGGCTCACCTCTACAGAATACATCAAAGGTGGCTACCAAAGGTCAGCATGTGGGATTCAGGTGCGAAGTTCACTATCCTGAAGCATCTGTGGCTGGGGAGGGGTAAGGAAGGCAGGGAAGGGTGCAGAAAGGTGCGTCGGGGAAGGGTTGGTTTGGTGGTCACTTATGAAATGGTAGAATTGGCTCTAAATCCCATAAAATACTGCAGCAATTCAAGACAAAGTATATCTTTGAAGCTGTGTTAGTTTTTTCTCAGGTATTTCTTCCTTACTAAGGACTCAAGAGGTTTGGAAGGTTTTCTGAATATTAATAACATTTTTTAAACGGTCCATTCAAATCCCTACTAGGTTTAGTTCTAAATATATGCAATACAATTTTATTTCATTTTTATCTTATCAAGGATATTTTTATATCTTTTAGCCTTGACGTAGTGAATTCAAATAGATTATTACCCATAAAATAAGACATCATTGCCTTTCTGCCTTACTTTGCCTAATTATTTCTTTCGTGATTCGTGGGGTATGTGACCTTTATAACTCTCAGAGGTATCTCCCTGCTCCTACCTTTTACATCCTTCACTGTCTGCATCACGCATTTTGAAACTTCATTACATATCCTCCAATGAAATTCTAAGCTTGTCAAGCACAGGGACTCTAGAATAATCTAGTTTTTATAGAATTGCCTTCCCCACTCCTTCCCACTTTCAGCACCTTCCCTAACACCTCACATAGTGGACACTACATAAGTCCCTGCTGAACTGAATTCTGGAATGTGGTTCAGTCTCTATAGCATTCACTCTACATCCTCTTTCTGGCCTTACTGCCTCTTAGAAATCTTAGTGCTTGAAAAGTTTGCACAGGGATATACTGTCAGTGCCCAGGCCTGCTCCTCTCTGGGGTTGTATATAACCCTCATATTAAATCTTTCTGGTGGGGTTTGACTAGAGCTGTAAGCAATATTCTAACTTTGAAGTAATTAAGTTCCAAAGTAAGATGATCTGCTATGTTTCAAAAACAAGTTCAGACAAAAAATTGGGGTCTCTGTGGCCACAGCAATAGATTGTCATGAAAAATATTATTTTAATTCCAAGCAAAAACCCATACACATTAAACATAGAATATACAGAAAACTGCACTATAAGCACTCTCAATAATTCCCCTCTCTGTTTTCAATAAAGTGACTATTTCCTATCTGTGTAAAATGTAATAGAAAAAAAATTTAATGAACTAACAGCTGGATAACTTGAAAGTGGACCAGTTAACAAATGACACTAGGCTACATGTTAGAGCTATATGGCAGATCCTCAAAAAAAAAACAAAAAAACAAAACAAAACAAAAAAAACAAACCTGAAAGTGGCCTTTATGTAACACTTGATAACCCTGAAAAGCATTTCATTTTTTCAGAGTACTTAAAAGCTTAATTTTCTATCCACTGCTATTATATTTCACTGCCAATTTGAAGAAAATGAATGATTCTAATCTTGGATTTCACAATCAGCTTTTAGAGCCAGCTCCTAGTTGGTGCTTAAAACAGCTCTAATGCAGATTATTGTGTAATTATGGTAAATGCCAAAATAATATAATTAATCTTAACTACTTCACCAAATTAAAGCATCATAGAAAAAAAAAGGTAACGTGTATAAGCACATACAAAATTTTGTAACTAACTATATTCTTAAAATTCAAAAGCAGCTAATATCAAACTGGTAAAAGAAATTTAATCACATCTTTGGACACAACCAAGAACAACTGTCAAAAATACATCCTATTTGCACTTATGTTAGGGATAGTTTTCATTTCACTGTCTTTTATCAATAGGTTACTAAAACTTAAAACATGTTCACCACTTTTAAGTTATAAAGTCCATTTTAAAGACCCAGCACCTGTGTAGCAGGTGTATTGCTGGAAACAGTGAATGCTTAGGACTGACTGCCATGTGGCTTGAACAGGATACCTTCAAGAATCACAAATGACAGTGACAAGAAAGAAGTGCTCTCTGTTGCTAGGTCAGTCCTTCCACAGACTGGAGCTATCTGAGCAAAATATTTAGAATTTTGCTCAGATTTTGCCCCAGAGACATTCTTCTAGACTGGAGGGGATAGAGAAAGGATGGGAAGGTATAAGTGAGCTTCTGAGATCAATTCACATGCTTCTATTAGCTGAATGTGGCCCTTATTCTATTTTTAAATCATTTAGATAAAATGTGACAATGGATGCATATAAAAGAACATTTAATTCTACTTTTAAAGTGATCCTTGTTAGAACAGATTTATTTTTCCCAAATCTGAAGTGATTTATCTTATTCCTAGTCACTTTCTAAAATTGACTATATTTAATAAGAACTCTTATTAATATTTTTTCATTATTCCACCAGTATAGGACAATTCCCCTGGCAAACATCAGGAGTCACTTCCAGAAGCACATCAGCCAGCCTAAAAACTACTGTAAATTTTTTAAAGAGATCGTTTTTGAGCTGACAAATACTAACTTTAAGGTTGGACAAGCAGTTGTTGAGGAAAATGTGCCACCTGTTCAGGAACAGCTGCTTCTGACTGACACAGAGCAAACAGGTCACCAGGGGGTACAAGGCCTGAGGAGAAAGGAGAGGAGGTCACAGGATCATTTATATTTCAACAAACCAGGTAACATACATTCTCTGTACCCACTACCTTGCCATCTCCCTCGGGGGCCCTGTGGGCAAGAAACAGGACACTGTGTAGCACAACAGTGCCCAGTGGATGCAGGGCACTGGCGCGCATTTCACAAACGCTTTCTGATAATGCTGGGGATGGAATAACCAAGAATTATGGATAGCGTGTAATAAAATGAAAGAAGTTTCATGTATAATAATGCAGAAATCTGATTCAATGATTTAGACTTTACTTATAAAATTTAAAAACAAACTTACCATCTTAGATCACTCTCTTAATCTCCAGAAAAAAAAGCAGGAAGGCACACAGATTTTGAAAATGTTATTGGCTTTTTTGCTCATAGACATCTAATAATTTGTCCCTATCTTAGAGGTAGTTGTCTATATTTTCTTTTGCATGCAACCTTCTGGTAATTAAGGAAGATTCCTAAAAGAAGTGTTATTGCATTGGTAAACTCTACCAAGACAAATTTAACCACAGGAGGAATTTGCTTATGACCAAATAAACAGAGGTGCTACTGTGCTTTTCCTGCCTAACTGGGCCAGCTTCCCGCAGCAACTTGAGAAGACAGCAAAGGTAATGAACAGCCACCGAAAAAAATCATACATGCAGAACCCATCACCATTTTGCTAAGCCAGATGTAATAGACCTTTATGATTCCCTCTTAATCAAGGGCCATGAAATAAAAATGTAACTGGCTCATCTGTTAACTTGAATTAACAAGAAACAACTGCCCACAATGCTTAACAGTTCATTAGTCGTTTTTTTTTAAATTAACTTAGTTTTAAAGGGACTTGGAACTACTGCTACCATTGAGTGCAGCTCTAATGCTAGTCAGTAATCTAAAAAATATGCATGCAGTTAGTCACAATGACCACAGAATGTAGACGAATGAGCAAATTTGTCACCACTACCAGCAAAGCAACCCTAAGTACCTGCTCAAATCATGGTAGGGATGCTCATCCTTTGGAGACTAGCATAAACCATGCCAGTAACCAGATCCCTAAACAACTTGCTTCCTCCTGACTTTCACATTACAGCTGTTACATCACTCGCCGATTCATAAACCAAAGCTTTATTCACCATAGCGGGTAAAAGGTGGTGGTAACCTAAAAGATTTTCTATACTGCTCTTCAGTACCGAAACCTTCCCAAGAATTATTTTCCCAGCCTTCAGATAATCCTTCCTATGGGCAACTGTCTATTTCCCAACTCCTTTTCCTGCCTGTTTCCATTTTGATCCTAGCATCCAGATAGAAATTTGCCAGGGCAGGCTCCTGGGGATTGAGAAGAGAAACTGTTATTATAAACTTTAGCCTTCAGATTGGAAAAAAGTTCTCAGAAATTAAAATAAAAATCAAGTTAAGCCAATCTTGAAAGTAAATAACAGACTCCTTAGGACCAGAGGGTCATCTGAGGTGATGCGGTCTAATCCCCCTACATGAATATCATTCAATCATGGTCAATACAAAAAGCCAGCTTCAGTTTCAAATGCTGCCTCTTTTTGAGGGAGCTTTAGGTACTTTTCCTATCTGTGGAGTCCTTAGGATCCTCAAACAGATTCCTGTCTAGGAATTTTAGTCTGTGCAGTTTTGTTTGTGTTTTCGATTTTCTCATAGTTACTAACCAAGGAATGCTTCTTTCGAGAAGAAAGTTCCAGCGTGGTGTCATACAGGCTTTCCACAAAATTTCTAAGGCAGGGAACATTTACTTCATTTTTAACAGCCTGAAATAGAGATGCATGTGAATATTATATTAATAAAATTGTTGATTTTGTGATACAATTTGAAGGAGTTTTTAGAAATGAAACTCACAGCAGCAACTGGAACAAGTATTTCAACAAAAAGCCCAGCCAAGGCATGCTTGATATCTTTGTCTTTGACCTCGAGGAAGTAATGTGCACATTCCTGGGAAGCAGAAAAAGAGTATAGGGAGGGAGAGTAGGTTGAAATGTACACATAGAATGTATTTAAACAAGTTTCAGTAAGTAGCTCTTAATTCAATCATGTATCAACAGAGCATATTCCATAGTCTATTAAAAATCACTGGATTCAAACATTTGTATTGAAATTTGTATGTTTGCAATGGCCTCAATGACATTCTGCAAGGCTGGTTTTTTCACTCTTATATTTCAATTCACTATTCTAAAAGGACAAAGCATCTCTAACCAGCAAGCACACGTGTATCCACTGAGTCACTGGTTGATTCATTCAGTCATTCACTTCCAATACATTTCTATTTATTACTTAGTGTGTGTGTTAGGCCCTGGGCTCCTAGTTAGCCCACAAACACAGATCCCCAGGGAAGGTAAACATGGGAAGAGAGGCAGAAGACATCGAACTTATTTTAGGCCCTATGCCTGACAGCCTCAGGCACAGAGCTGTTTACTTGTTCGCTCTGACATTTTAGGTGTGTTTATTATTCACCTAGTTTCATAAGCAAGTCAGGAACGTTTCCCTCTCCCACCTCAACAAGGAAACCTTTAGAAGGGTTCCTTAAGAAAGGACACTACTGCCAGTGGACTGTTGTCATATGTAAGGGTGTTCTTGGTTGCTCAATGACTCATTCTGTAGGAAAGTTGGCCTGCCAACATTTTTTTTTTAAACAAAATGTCAACTTTTTTAAAAGGAAAGTTGGCAGAATTCTGCCCACCTCTCTCTCCTTCCTGGCCTTATTGGTAGTAACTTATTGTGGTCTATATCAGGTATTGTTTTCATTCAAGAGTCCAGGGCAGCCAGATGCCATGGCTCATGCCTGTAATCCTGACACTTTGGGAGGCCAAGGCAGGCAGATCGTTTGAGCCCAGAATTCCAGACCAGCCTGGGTGACATGGCCAAACCCTGTCTCTACAAAAAAATACAAAAATTAGTTGGGCATGATGGCGGCACCCGTAGTCCCAGCTACTTGGGAGGCTGAGGTGGGAGGATCACTTGTGCCTGGGAGGCAGAGGTTGCAGTGAATCAAGATCATGCCACTGCACTCCAGCCTGGGTGACAGAGTGAGACCCCTGTCTCAAATTCAAAAAAAAAAAAAAAAAAAAAAGAAAGAAAGAAAGAAAGAAAAGAAAGAGTCCAAGGCTAAATATAATAACATGTTAATATCTACACTGGCTATTTCCCTTTATTTTCTGTTGCCATTGGGAAGATTGCCAAAAACAATCCCTAAAGTCCTCATTCTATCAATATCATATTAAGACCTCAGCTCAAGATAGGCAACACCAGTACGGGAAGTCACTGAAACAGCTTTCCTATACAGATGAGCTCTATAGTTCCCAGAATAGTCATTCTTTTGCTACATTATTTTGCATAAGTATGTAATACTCTCTCAAGTCTTAATTCATGTATATAGATAAAGGAATTATTAATATGAGAGTGGGATAAATAATAAAATATTTAACAGTTACTGAGTGTTTGTCATGTGCTAAGAATCCTCAGAACCACTCTCTAAGGTTAGTGTCATTATCATCACCTTGCAGATAAGGGAAGTGAGGATGGGAGGGGTTAAGTGTGACTGGTCAGGTCACAGAGCTGGTAAATGCCAGAGCTTGAATTCAAACCCGAGAAGTTTGATACATAGTCCCCCCAATATATAATAGTTTTATTGTGACATAATTTATGTAGTATGCAATTCACCCATTTAACATATACAATTCATTGACTTTTAGTATAATCACAGTTGTGCATCTGTCACTACTGTCAAATTTAGAACCTTTTAATGACACCCAAAGGAAACTCTACCCCTCAGCAGCCATCTGCAACCTCCCTATCCACTCCCCATCCCCAGCCCTAGATAACTGTTAGTCTACTTTCTGTCTCTATGGATTTGCCTATTCTGGACATTCCATATAAACAGAATAATATAATACATGGCCTTTTGTGTATGGTTTCATTCACTTAGTGTAACATTTTCAAAGTTCACCCATGTTGTGGCATGTATCAGCTTCACTACTTTTTATGGCCAAATAATATTCCATTATAGGGATATATCACATTTTATCTATCCATTCATCATTTTATAGACATTTGGGTTGTTTCCACTTTTTGGCAACTATGAATAATGCTGCTATGAACATTTGTGTTCAAGTTTTTGTGTGGACATATATTTTCATTTCTCTTGTGCATATACCTAGGAGTGGAATTGCTGGATCATACGGTAATTCTAGGTTTTGCTATTTGAGGAACTGCCAGGGCCAAGCTGTACCATTTGTGGCACAGGCTGTGCCAAAGTGGCTGTGCCATTTTGCACTCATACCAGCAGTGTGTAAGGTTCTAATTTTTCCACATCTTCACCCAGAATTGTTATATTTTTGACTATAGCCATCCTTGTGGGTGTAAAATGGTACAGCCTATATTCATAATCCATACATCTAAACCCTCTAGTAAGGTCATCACCAAATTTAATTCACAGCAGCATTTTAAAAATTCCTTCAAATACCAAAGTTTTGTAAACTCTAAGAGCTGAGTATTCTGTTAAATTCTCCTTAGCAGCAATTCTTTTGTTATGTACCATGATGGGCACTGGGCAATAAATATCAAACCTGTATTGTTTAGCTGAGTTTTTAAAAATTAAGATTCCTTTTTATAGTAAGAATAAAACAGATTTCTTTATTATTTCAAGTCCTCATGCCTGTGAATGTCAATGTAGCCAACCCAATGCTATCAATTTTAAAAAGTAAAAATCAGTTATATTTTATTCATAGAACAATATGTACCAGTGGGTGAAAGAGAAAAAAGTCAGCAAACAAGCAATCCCACTGTATACTCTCCTCCAAAGATATATGAAAGTTGAGAAATGAAATTATGTGCCCGCAACTGTACTATTTGGTTACAAAGGACTTCATGAATTATTTAGACAGTAGAATGTTTCTCCGTATTGACAAGTAATTGGCTTTTCATGTTCCAGGTTCATCATTTTGAGGAAGGGAAGTGCTCAAGTTGAGAGCACCTTAGCTCTCCTGCCTAAGACATTACCTGCATAAACTGAAGAGAGGCCTCAAAATCCTCCACTGGATACATCTTAATTCGAAAGAATTTCATGCCCATTATTAAGCTGATAATGCTTTGAACCACATATGGGTTCTGCTCTTTGTGCCGTAATTCTTTTAGCTCCGCCATAAATTTCTTCTTTACAGCAGGGAATCTAAGAAGATAACATAAGTGGTTTATCAAATATTGGGTAGGAAAGTCCCTGTAATGGGGGCCTCCAGCATCTGGGAGTGATTGAGCAGAGCAATGGAATCCTTTAAATCAGTTCAAGTACAACAGCCATGATTTTGTAAGGATTTGGTGTTTGGGATTTGGCAAAGGATCCAATTTTCTTCTCCTTTACCCTTCTTATACTGTAAGATGCTCAACATCTTCATCAGGCGAGGGGGCAGATCCCGGTTTATTTAGACCTTCTCAAAATGGTCTAGCTCTTAAATTGAGCATCACAAAAAACCCCATTTCCTCAGGCTTGGCCATTTTCAACACAGTTGCAGACCCCAGAGCCTGAAGTATCAAATAGTGAGTCTATGAGCAATAACATACTAGGTTAGTGATTTCTGACAGGGACAGCAAATGATATAAGGATTTGTATTCCAAATAATGCCAAGTATTCTTGTAATTCTAAAGTTTTCTGTTATCATTTCCTTTATAGTTGTAGGATAATGATTATTGAAAAATATATTTTTGGGTTAAAAAATCTAGTAATGGGAGGCCGGGCGCAGTGGCGCTCGCCTGTAATCCCAGCACTTTGGGAGGCCGATGCGGGCAGATCACCTGAGGTCAGGAGTTCGAGACCAGCCTGACCAATATGATGAAGCCCCATCTCTACAAAAAATACAAAAATTAGCCAGGTGTGGTGGCACGCACCTGTAATCCCAGCTACTTGAGAGGCTGAGACAGGAGAATCACTTGAACCCGGGAGGCAGAGGTTGCAATGAGCCGAGATCATGCCATTGCACTCCAGCCTGGGCAACAACAGCGAAACTCTGTCTCAAAAAAAAAAAAAAATCTAGTAATGGGAAAATTTAAATTATATCTAAAAGGTAAAGATGAATGGGCTGTCTATTATATTCATGGAATTTTACAGTTTTATCTGATAAGTGCAAAACAAACAAAAAGACACAGTCCAGTCCCTGTCCTCAAAGTATTTGTATTCGAAAGTAAAATAATACTAATTACAACAATATTATCATCCATGTTTGTAAAAAGAACAGATCTTAAAGCTAAGAGAAAGCAGAAGCAGATCTTCAAGTACCTAAGAGTAGAGAAATGTACACATAGAAATTGTCCATACCACTAAGTCTGACACAGCTGGTTTGTCTATTCACCAAAAAATACACACACACACACACACACACACACACACACACACAAACACTTTCCAAAGAAAACAGTCTAAGATTTATTGTATTTTGTTTTCTGAGACTATTAGCCTGAGGTTCCATGAAAAATTAGAAGCAAGCCTTGATTAAAAATGGTAATTGTTGCTGGGTGCTGTGGCTCAAGCCTGTAATCCCAGCACTTTGGGAGGCCGAAGTGGGTGGATTACCTGAGGTCAGGAGTTCGAGACCAGCCTGACCAACATGGTGAAACCCGGTCTCTACCAAAAACACAAAAATTAGCCGGGCGTGGTGGTGTGCGTGAGGCTGAGGCTGGAAAATCGCTTGAACCTGGGAGGCAGAGCTTGCAGTTAGCCAAGATCACGCCACAGCACTCTAGCCTGGGTGATAGAGTAAGACTCTGTCTCACCGGAAAAAAAAAAAAAAAAAAAGGCTGGGGGAGGTAATTGTGATTATAGAAATGAAAGGTGAACTAATAGAGTCCCGGAAGTTTGGAACAATTCTTGAGACCTTAAAGCAGAAATTTCAGGACAAATAAAGTAGGCAGTAAACATAGAGACATTGTTTAACCAAAGGCAGTACAGGGGCTGGTGGTTGGCAAGTGGGGCGTGAGGGGATTCTCAAGTGCTGGCAATTTTCTAGTTCTTGGCTTAGGTGGGGAGGTAACATGGTGTCCATTTTATAATACTTTGTTTAACTGCCTTATGGATTTTCCTCTATGTTTGCTACATGTATTTCTTAATAAAAAAGATTTTTAAAAGGCAATAGAGCAGAAAATATAAATAGCTTCAAGAAGATTTAGACAACTTATGAATGAGATATTCCCTAATGGGTTATTAGCATCGCTAAGAATATTTCAGGGTATTTTCCTAATCTTCGGTGGCATTTGGTGGACTTCTACAGAATACCCAATTTCAAGACAGCACCCCAAACTGGCCCCTTCTGACATTTAAATAATACTATTAGAATATGGTAGAAAATATTAGCTGTGTTTACTTTATAAGTAAAATTTCATGGAGATTAACTACAAAATGGTATATTAATTTTTCAGATTAGGAAATTAGCAAAAATTAAAATAGAAACTTTATTAAATTTACAAAAATCTATTTGGTATCAGCACATTCTCTGGTCCTACCGCAGACCTACTGTTAGGGCTGAATTGTGTGCCCCTCAAATTCATATGTTGAAGCCTGACCCTTCTGAGATCGAAATGTGACTGTATTTGGGCATACAGCTTATAAAAAGGTAATTAACTTAAAACAAAGTTATTATCATAAAATGGACACCATGTAACCTCTCCAGCTAAGTTATTAAGTTAAAATGAAGTTATATCTCTGTGTGTGTCTCTGTACTCGTCTCCCCTTCTTATAAGGACTCCAACATGACTGGGAGATGAGTAGAGACACACACACAGAGAAGACCATATGAAGACACAGGGAGAAAATGGCCACATACAAGCCAAGGAGAGAGGCCTCAGAAGGAATCAACCCTGCTAACACCTTGAGCTTGGACTTCAACTCCAGAACTGTGGGAAATAAATTTCTGTTGTTTAAACCAATTAGTCTGCAGTACTTTGTTATGGCAGCTTAAGCAGAATAATACACCTACTGAATCCGTAATTCCAGGGATGAATAATAATTTGTGTTTAATAAGCTCTACAGGTGTTTCTGATGTGAAAAAATTTGAGAAACACTGGTGTAGACTCAGAATAACAATAACAAGAAATATCTGTAAGTGGTTTTACATTTTAAGCGATTATACCATTTCACATTTTGATCCTTAACAATCCAGTGAATTAGGCAGTGAATGCATTTCCAATTAACAAATAAAGAAACAGATTGGAAGACCACAGTGGCAAAGAAGAGACTCAAACCCAGAGCTTCTGATATAAATTCCAGGAATTTCCATTACACCGCAGCTGTCTTAGACAGTGGTAATGGTAACATGTAGTCTCTGCCCTCTCTAGAATAGTTTATAGTTTAATTAGGAAGATAAAACAAGGTAGCACTGACCATGAGCCATGTGAATCACAATAGTAATAATTTACCGGGGGCCTACTATGTGTTAGCACCTGCTGGACACTGTCCAGACCTTTCTGATCTTCAGGGAGTTCAGATGCACCAGGTTCCATCACTTTCTTATATTTCACACTGACTATTTGGTGAATAGTCAATCACTATTCACTATTAAATAGTGGCTTCAGGGCATCAGAGAATGAAGGGGCTATTCTCATCTGCGTAATTAATTAGAGAGGATTTCAGAGGAGATTTGAGCTGGGGTACAGGTGAGCAGAGGACATTCGGTAGAGATGGATAAAAGGTAGGAAGCAGAAATGACCATGACTGTCAAGCAATGGAAGTGATACTTTAAATCAAGATTATAAAAATGCAATAACCCCAAACTGAATTTTAAAAAATTGTATTTCTTTTCAAATTATTTCCAGATACCAAAATAACTATGGTTTTAATTTTTAAATGTATGAGTTTAGAGAGAAAAATATTATAGTTAGAGTTATATAGTTTTAAAGATGACACGATACTAAGGAAAGTTTGTTTTCCAGTTTGAATCCATGACTAAAATAAGGAGAGAGAGAAAAAGGGAAGTTATTTGCATAATTCACTATTTCAATATTCTCATGAGTTAGTGGCTAAAAGTTTATTTATTTCTCATTTAAAAATAAATACGTCTATCTTTTACTTTTTTTTTTGAGATGGATTCTTGCTCTGTCACCCAGGCTGGAGTGTAGTGGCACGATCTCGGCTCACTACAACCTCCGCCTCCCGGGTTCAAGCGATTCTCCTGCCTCAGTCTCCTGAGTAGCTGGGATTACAGGTGCGTGCCACCACTCCCAGCTAATATTTTTTGTATTTTTAGTAGAGACGGGGTTTCAACGTGTTAGCCAGGATGGTCTCGATCTCCTGGCCTTGTGATCCGCCCACCTTGGCCTCCCAAAGTGATGGAATTACAGGTGTGAGCCACCGCACTCAGACTTTTATTTTTAAAAGTCCCAAATGATATAAACATGTTACTTAGCACAAAAGCCATCAAAAAATCTATTTGCATTTAAAATCTATTTTCTCTTAAAGTGACTTTAAGAAAAAAAAATTTCAATGACCTTTCCTTTAGTATTTCCTGTTTAGTATTTTATTTAGTAAATACTGTAACTCAATGATTACTTAGTCTTTGGTATACTATAAAATTCACATGAATATAAACTTCTGCTTTAAAATGTATAGTACATATTACAAAAATGAGTAAATGAACATATAAAGATAATATCGCATAAAGAGAAAGTAGTTTAAAAATCTATGATTCTTAAATGAAGTATTATTACTATTTAAATGAATCTACCAGATTTTGGCCAAAGTAGTTAAATTTGTTTTAACTGACTTTCAAAAAGTCAATATTATGGGTGAATAACACTTATTATCAAAATTCTTTTCCCTAAATGACAAGAACTAAACAGCATCATCACTAGTAAGACTAAAAATAGTGATTCTGCTAAAACTCAAATTCCAAAGTAAGTACTAATAGCTAAAGTCATAATCAGGAAAATATTTAATAAGCATTATCATTGGGAATGAGACATATAATCTAAAATTAGAATTATTACATTACTCAACTTTTTTAAAAAAGATAATCACACTATACCAGATAAGCAAACATTCTTTCTCCCACCCTGGGAATGAAGGAAACAGTACTTTTCTAAGGTAACAATAAAGTAATGGTCCTGGTGTACTTATGAGAAAGAAGTAATGTCATAATTCATGGTATGATACTAGTTTAAGTTTATACCATCTATCCATCAAGGTTAACTACATATAGACTAGTTGAGAACACATCAAGGGCTATTGGAGTCTGTGTTTACTGCAAGAGCAGACTGGCCAAACGGTTCACTAGAGACTGGAAAGTACTGGAGCACTGTCCAAATGGAGGCATTTCTTACACCCTACTACCGCAGAATAGGGACAAATACTGACATCACGAAAATAAAAAAAGCCACCATTGGCAAGCAAACACTGACTTGGTGGACCATAAATCTTACCTAAAATGGAAATTCCTACAAGCTTAGAATATTGCTCAGTTATGACAGTGTTTCTCAACTTATTCACAACCAACTCAGAATCACAGAGCTAAGGAAGGTCATTTGACAGTAACCAATATTATTGTTATGCATAATTCACAAAAACTAAGGAAAACACAAAGTCATTTTTGGATACTGAAGTTTCCAAATGACAGCTGAAAGTTTATGTTGAGATTTTCAGGGTTTGACAAATCAGCAAGTATACATGTTAATACCTCATTTTTCCCAATCTTTTCTAGAAATGAGGTAGATACACGATTTGCTGGATAACTACAGCTTGTCCATTTAAAATGCTAATGCTTTCATTACTCAATTGCAATGGAAATATCTCCAAAATGCATTACACTTTTTTCTTAATGATTCATGAACCACAATTATTTTAATAGGCTATAAAACTACAATATAGCCTCATGCAAAATGGCCCAGATCACTCTATTGTTTAATTCTTATGTATGCTTTGGCCAGTTTCTTTCCTTTCTGTTGCCACCAGCGGTTGAGCTTTATTTCTCAATGGCATCAGTTTATCATCCTCTGGAAGTTCCCGTTCCTCCTTCGAACACTGATGTGTTATATATTAAAAAAAATATAGTCAGGATGAGTAGATAAACTGGATTAGATTAAATAAATTATGCCAAGGAGTTAAGGGGTTCTATTTCCTGCATTCTGGTCTATGTTTTGGCCAGGTAAGATTGCTAAGTGCTTTTTAAAATTTTTGTTTTTTTGATAAATTGTGTAATTTCCATGCTACTACGTTACGAAATTCAATCCCTTGAAGATAAAAATCTCTTTCTGAGGAAGGATTGCATTTCACAAGGATTGGAGCATCACTGTTGCTTTAAGCTGACCTCCTGGCATGAATTCACATTATGTCTCTGGTTCATTTTGCCTAACTTAGGCATTCGGGATCTTGCCTGATTTGCCTCAGGGTTGGACAAAATGAAGCTGGGTAAGTAGGGTGTGACATCACTTTTGGAAGAGGTATATTGTTGCTAATAGTCTAACGCAATTTTGTTCTTGCCTGCTAAGTAGTGCTATGGGGCCAGATAAATTTAGCAATGAGAATTTCCCCCCTGACTTGTTTCCATGACAGAGTCTGGGACATTTTTAGCTCAGCTGAATTAAGTAAGGTCTATAGTAAAGGGGACATTCTAGAATGGAATTTTCCCACTGATAGATGATATATTGTAACCACCCACTCATGGGCTAGAGAAAACAGAACTTTCAAAAGTGATAAACTTCCTTGGAATATTTAGGCAGAGAGAAATGTAATCTGGTCACCCCATTTCTTTGATGCAACAGTATGAAACCCATGGACTCTAGGTAGGATCTGGCCCAAGTGCCAAGTAAAAAAGATAATTGATACCTGTCTTGGAAGAGCTTTCTATTCAGTTTCAGAGATGGGGCACACATGGCAAAGAGCCCTACCTAGTTCCTTGTAAGCTCAACCCCAACTTCCCTAAATTAGGGCTGGAAGGACAGTGAAAGCACGCACGTTCTCATGGTAAAGGGTTCTGGCATTCACTTACTTGGCTTGTGCCAACACTCCAATGACTTCTGCATACAGGTCTGCCACAATATGCATATTGCCAGTGTTGGGACCAAGGTACCTAAGTAGGGTATAATTAGACAAGTTAGGGATCCCTGGTCATCGGAAAAAAGCAAACCACTGATTTAGTTTTAAACACCAACTTCAACATTCTAAGGTGAGAAATCATCTTACCCTTCTTTGTATTTAAAGTGCTTGAAAGCCAAGTTAATAACATCATGTATTAAACTGTCTATTACAGGATGAAGTGGAATCTGAAAAAAAAAGGTGGTTCTTAACTCAGAAGGGAATATTAAAGAACAAATCGGTACAGTACTTCCAATAACTATATATGACAATCAATAGCAATCAATAAACATAAGTCATATAACCCAGTATTTGGAATTCAGAAATAATTTTAAAAACTTAGACTTTTACAACCTAAGTAGTTTTTAGATCAATAAATATTATCTAAAAGTAACAATAAATTAATCACCTACCTGTTTCAAAACTTCTATTAATACTAAAGAAAAAATAAAATCAATGGCGAGGTCCCGTCTTTCCATTAAATAATCTCGCTGTTGTTCATCGCTGTAAAATTTAAAATATTTACATTAAAGCACACTGAAGGTATTCTCAGAGTAATACAATTCATAAAAAATCTAGGACTCCTCCCTAATAGACTGCAAAACCCATTTTTAAAATTATATAATTGCACTGGTAGATACATGCTAACGTTGGCCGGGCGGAGTGGCTCATGCCTGTAATCCCAGCACTTTGGGAGGCCGAGGCGGGCAGATTACCTGAGGTCAGGAGTTTGAGAACAGCTTGGCCCACATGGTGAAACCCCGTCCCTGCTAAAAATACAAAAATTAGCCAGGTGGCATGGTAGCCCATGCCTGTAATCCCAGCTACTTGAGAGGCTGAAGCAGGAGAATCGTCTGAACCCGGGAGGCGGACGGAGGTTGCAGTAAGCTGAGATCATGCCACTGCACTCCAGCCTGGGAGGCAGAGCGAGACTCCATCTCAAAACAACAACAACAACAACAACAACAAAACATGCTAATTCTCTGTGTGCTGCAGTGGACAAACATTGGATTTGAAGTCGGAATATTTGACTTCAAATTTAAAATTTTCAATGATGTTAACTTGAGTAGTTATTTGTGCGTCTATCACCTCACCTTGTGGTCTTTTCTAAGGTAGCTTTCAACTCTGCAATTCTACCACCTGTAAAATGTGATAACAACTTGAGACAGGCTACCATACCAGAGGTGGACATTGAAAGATCTCGTGAAAGGAGCTAAACAATGTAAGGAAACAAGAAGGAAATAATATGATCACCAATTTGAGCAGGACTGCAGGGGTGAAGAGGATCGGCATTACCACTTTTCTTTTCTTTCCCTGTCCCTTTTCTCTTACATTTTTTGCCACTTGAGACTTAGTGAAAGGAGGAATGAAGAAGTGAAGGGGTGGTGAGAGAGAAGAGTAAAAGGCAGAAGGAAGAAGAGGTAGGAGAAGCAAAGCAGTCATTTGTGCTCATTTAAAAGTTAGAAGCACGTGGTTGTGGTGACTATGGCCTTATAGTATAATTTGAAATCAGGTAGTGTGATGCCTCCAGATTTGTTCTTTTTGCTTAGTCATGCTTTGGCTATGTGGGCTCTTTTTTGGTTCCATATGAATTTTAGAATTGCTTTTCCTAATTCTGTGAAGAATGACGGTGGTATTTTGATGGGGATTGCATTGAATTAGTAGATTGCTTTTGGCAGTGTGGTCATTTTCACAATATTGATTCTACCTATCCTTGAGCATGGGATATGTTTCCATTTGTTTGTGTTGTCTGTGATTTCTTTCAGCAGTGTTTTGTAGTTTTCCTTGTAGAGGTCTTTCGACTCCTTGGTTAGGTATATTCCTAAGTATTTTATTTTATTTTTTGCAGCTATTGTAAAAGGGGTTGAGTTATTGATTTGATTCTCCGCTTAGTCGTTGTTAGTATATAGAAGAGCTACTGATTTGTGTACATTAATCTTGTATCTGGAAACTTTGCTGAATTCTTTTATCAGTCCTAGGAGCTTTCTGGAGGAGTCCTTAGGGTTTTCAAGGGAAATGATCATATTGTCAGCAAACAGTGACAGTTTGACTTCTTCTTTACTTATATGGATGCCCTTTATTTCTTTCTCTTGTCTGATTGCTTTGGCTAGGCCTTCTAGTACTATGTTAAAGAAGAGTGCTGACAGTAGGTATCCTTGTCTTGTTCCAGTTCTCAGAGGGAATGCTTTCAACTTTTCCCCATTCAGTATTATGTTGGCTGTGGGTTTGTCGTAGATGGCTTTTATTACATTAAGTTATGTCCCTTGTATGCCGATTTTGCTGAGAGTTTTAATCATAAAGAGATGCCGGATTTTGTCTAATGCTTTTTTTTTTCTTTTTTTTTTTCTGAGGCGGAGTCTCACTCTGTCGTCCAGGCTGGAGTGCAGTGGTGCCATCTTGCTCACTGCAAGCTCCGCCTCCCGGGTTCACACCATTATCCCGCCTCAGCCTCCCGAGTAGCTGGGACTATAGGCGCCTACCACCATGCCCAGCTAATTTTTTGTATTTTTAGTAGAGACAGGGTTTCACTGTGTTAGCCAGGATGGTCTCGATCTTCTGACCTTGTGATCCACCCACCTCGGCCTCCCAAAGTGCTGGGATTACAGGTGTGAGCCACTGCGCCCGGCCTGTCTAATGCTTTTTCTGCATCTATTGGGATGAACATGTGATTTTTGTTTTTAATTCTGTTTATGTGGTGTTTACAGCTAACTGATCTTCGACAAAACATACAAAAACATAAAGTAGGGAGAGGGCACCCTTTTCAACAAATGGTGCTGGGATAATTGGCTAGCCACATGTAGGAGAATGAAACTAGATCTTCATCTCTCACCTTATACAAAAATCAACTCAAGATGGATTAAGGACTTAAACCTAAGACCTGAAACTATAAAAATTCTAGAAGATAACATTGGAAAAACCCTTCTAGACACTGACTTAGGCAAGGATTTCATGACCCAAAACCCAAAAGCAAATGCAATAAAAACAAAGATAAATAGCTGGGACCTAATTAAACTAAAGAGCTTTTGCACGGCAAAAGGAACAGTCAGCAGAGTAAACAGACAACCCACAGAGTGGGAGAAAATCTTCACAATCTATACATCTGACAAAGGACTAATATCTAGAATCTAAAATGAATGCCAACAAATCAGTAAGAAAAAAACCACCCCACCAAAAAGTGGGCTAAGGTCATGAGTAGACAATTCTCAGAAGAAGACATACAAATGGCCAACAAACATATGAAAAAATATCTCAACATGACTAATGATCAGGGAAATGCAAATCAAAACCACATGTGATACCAACTTACTCCTGCAAGAACGGCCATAAAAACAAAAAACAAAAAACAAAAAAACCCGTAGATGTTGGCGTGGATGCAGTGAACAGGGAACACTTCTGCAATGCTGGTGGGAATATAAACTAGTATAGCTGCTATGGAAAACAGTGTGGAGATTCCATAAAGAACTAAAAGTAGAATTACCATTTGATCCAGCAATCCCACTACTGGGTATCTACCCAGAGGAAAAGAAGTCATTATTCGAAAAAGATACTTGCACATGCATGTTTATAGTGGCACAAATCATGATAGCAAAATCGTAAACCAACCTAAACGCCCATCAATCAATGAGTGGATAAAGAAACTGTGGTATATATATATGATCGAATACTATGCAGCCATAAAAAGGAATGAATTAACAGCATTTGCAGTGACCTGGATGAGATTGGAGACTATTATTCTAAGTTAAGTAACTCAGGAATGGAAAACCAAACATTCTATTGATATGTGGGAGCTAAGCTGTGAGTATGCAAAGGCATCAGAATGATACAATGTGGGCTGGGCATGGTGGCTCACGCCTGTAATCCCAGCACTTTGGGAGGCCAAGGTGGGCGGATCATGAGGTCACGAGTTCAAGACCAGCTTGGCCAACATAGTGAAACCCCGTCTCTACTAAAAATACAAAAATTAGCCAGGCACAGTGGTGCATGCCTGTAGTTCCAGCTACTTGGGAGGCTGAGGCAGGAGAATCACTTGAACCTGGGAGGTGGAGGTTGCAGTGAGCTGAGATCATGCCATTGCACTCCAGCCTTGGTGACAGAGTGAGACTCCGTCTCAAACAAACAAACAAAAAAGAATGATACAATGGACTTCGGGGACTTGGGGGGAAGAGTGGGAGTGGGGCGAGGGATAAAAGACTACAAATATGGTACAATGTGTACTGCTTGGGTGATGGGTGCACCAAAATCTCACAAATAACCACTAAAGAACCTACTCATGTAATCAAATACCACCTGTACCCCAATAACGTACGGAAAAATAAATAAATGTTTAAAAAAGTTAGAAGCAGAATCAGCACTGTCAGAAGAACAGGAAGGCAGTCCCTCTACCCCATTTTCTGCTTGACTAACACACTGATTGAGGGCTCATTTGGAATTGAACAAAGACAGATGAAATTACTGCTGGGCTCCTTGGCACAAGAAGTGGCCTAGAGCACTGACTCTGGTGTGGAACAGTCTGGCATAAAATTATGCCTCTTCTATTTATCGGCAATTTCTCCATCTACAAAATGTGAATAATAGTACTTACATAATAGTTTGAGAAGATAAAACATGTAAAGTATTTAGCATAATTTCCCAAACACATAAATGCTCAATAGTATATATTAAATAAAACCAATGAGGAGGGATGACAGGATTTAGACTTGCCAGGAAGATCTTTTCAAAATAAATCAAGACTATTTTAAATCTGGAATGTTTTTCTCTTTAGTCAAAAGGGAATAAGAAGAAAATAATGTGATATTTAAGATATAAAGAAGACCTTCTGGAGTGCTCTGTAACTTTGAGCAAGTCAAATTAAGGCTGGTGGATGACAGAACGCGTTAAGAAGGAACTTGCATGTTTATCTTTCAAGGAGTAAATGTATCAACAGAGTAGGAACTCATTCTTTCAGGATCATTTATGAACAGCCCTGCCAGGAGAAAGAGCTGTGAACAAAACCATCTATCTAAAGTCCTTCAAGACCCACTGGAACTAGTAAGCGGCACTGCGAGCTGGGGGAAAGGAAAATCTATGCAGCTGCATTAAAAAGGAGGGCACTCAGAAATCAGGCTTTATATCCATTATATTATAGAATAAGGAGACAGGAAGTTGGAAAGACCAAAAGGAAGGAGAACTCCCAGAGATGGCCAGCAGCAGTAGAGAGAGTATTTTTGTGCTGGATGCTAAGGGTCTTTACAAGTGGCCAGAGGAACCTGAGAAAGTAGCAGTTCTTGGCAGAAAAAAAAATGTAGACCTTTGATTCTATTTTATTTAATAAGCCAAATTATGTTTTCAAATCAAAGTAAGACATATACATTTCTAATAATGAATTCAACTTTATTGCTGGTTTGCAGTCTAACTGCCAGGAGCCAGAGACATTTGACAGATTTATTTGGCAGTCCAAATGCTGATACTGTACTAATCTCAGAAATCACAACCCAATGTGCATCCCTGACATCTATTTTCAGTAGTTTATGCTCCTCCTTAAAGTCCCCCCAACCTTTTTTTCCTAGTAGCAGAAACTCACATTTAGCTACACCATACCCTAGAGAGCTTCATTCATTTGGCTGTTTTCTAAGCACATTTTCTCTCTTATTTTAAAAATTCAAGCATTAACTAAAATGCTACTAAGTCAAATTTTACTGTCCTGATTCTTTATCTGATCTCAGTACTTACTCTGATCTCCTGAAAATAATCAGTAACACAATTTTAAAAACTATAATTTTTAATCCATAAAGAAATCAATTCATGAAAAATCTAATTTCAGCAACTAAATTCTGACAAAACAGAGGAACAAAACTAAAACTCAATTCAACTCACTAAAAACTGTCCCACTCCCTGCCCCTGGGAAGGTTTAATATCTGTTCATAAGACAACATGTAATATGGAAAAAATAATAAAATGATCCTTTTAATTTCTTAATCACATGGTCTGAACCATTTTTCAGATAAACAATTTAAATTCTATTTTTAAAACCTGATAAATTAAAAAAATATTCATGAGGAGAGGCTGCTAATGGGTACAGGATTTGGGGGTGATAAAAATGTTCTGAAATTAGAGTGGTAATGGTTGTACAACCCTGTAAATATACTAAAAACATTGAATTATATACTTTAAAAGGGTGAATTTTATGGCATCTGAGTTATATCTAAAAATTCTAAAAATTTCCTTCTTCACTAAAAAAAATTCAATACGAAAAAGTTATTAATCTCTCTCCCAAACAAAATTATATGATTAAATCTTGCATAAATTCAAGCACATTATAAAAGCAGATTACAAATTTTGTTGAAGTGTAACATGGTAATGTTACAATTCTTCTATTTCAAAAGAAGTCTTTTGAAACAGTATTAGGACTTTCAAGAAAAATGAGAGAAATAAATCATTCACAAAAAGTAGTTAATGTCTGATTTTCTGGTTGATTAATTTCAGTTTACAGACTTTAAAAGTATTTTTTTAATTGGAATAATCCATTCATGTGGAGAAATCTAACTACTTTTTAAAATAATCTTTTATTTTTTTTAAAAAAGGTAAGTGTATTAATCTTTCTTATATTCACTGCCTTGCTATAGGTTGACTAAACATATGAAATTATATGTGCTTACCTAAAATTTGGGGAGGACACACATTAATGAGAATCTTAAGTTTTACAGATGCTGATATGCTCCTGGAGCAGCAAGTTCCATTTTTCAAACCCACAGGAAGAAGGGAACAGAGAATAAATAAACAAAATACTCAGCTGGAAGGAGGAGTTGGAGATGGTGTCACCTAACTTCCTTGTTTTGCTCACAAGGAGGCTGAGGTACAGAGAGGCGGGGAGCTGCCCAAAGTCACATGGCTAAATAGTGGCAGCGCCAGGACTACCACTAACGTCCAGTCCAGCGTCCTTCCCACTACAGTACACTGAGCACTCAAGGTTACTGGAACGAGGACTAAAATATCTTGGCATGTCACGCAAGGCCTGAAGTCAGCATTCTGCTTTGGGTGTAGACTCAGTGGGAGAGGGCAGAGGAAAGAAGCTGGCAAGAAAGTGACCTGTGGCCCTTCACACCTGTCTCCACCAAAGTTGAAATAAAGCTGTGTATGAATTTTCAACCCGTGACGGCTGGCAGTGACTCGGTGCTCCAAATGGGTTACCTGCTACAGACACAGGGCCCCTGCAGCACCTGCTAGGCATCCTTGTGAAGAGTCAGGAAGACCCAATTGCCTTGTAACTCTAATTTTGATTTATGTTTCCTGAAAACAAAACAAAATAAAACCATGATCCTTACACAAAAGAAATGTACCTTTTTGATTTATTGCTTGTTCTTGGTCTGTATTCATGTGATTCATCCTCAATGCCATTTTGCCTTTTATACCAGTCAAATAATGTACGTAGAATGGAAGGCAGGCAGTACTCAGAAAGGGAGCTCATTGAGCTGATGACCTATGGAGGAAAATGCAGGTGATTAGAACACTGGTAGCACTGCCAATTACTGAGAAACTTTTTATTTCACAAGTAACCCCAAGCACTACTCACTAAAATATTTTCTTCCGTATCACAGTCCTTTCTTTCATAATCTTTATTAGTACATTCCCAAGAGCCTGTCTCTTAATGGTGACAAATGTTCCCCATATAAGAATAATTTTGTAGTTCAAGAAAGTTAATTACTTTGACTCCCTTTCATTCTAGAAATCAGATGTTAATTGCATACAGGTTATTCATGGAACTGCAAAGATATTATGTTCCCACGTTCATCTGCCTAAAGTAGATGAATGCTTCTTCCGTCCTAAAAATGTTTGTTGTATAAATATATGAATACAGTTACATTAATAATTTACATGATATAAACAAATCTGCCCCCATCACCAAATAACCTAAGTGGTAATAATAATGTATGGTTTTGGACAATAATTATTCATTCATTAATTTGAAGTATGCCCCAAATTAGACTCAAAATATAAATGGGCAGCAATAATTTACCCCCTGTTACATTAAAGGCAAACTTCTCCCTTTTTCTTTAAAGAACAAATGTGCCTTTGGTAGAATTGTTATTCTAATTTCCTTATCTGGAAAGAGTCCTGATTTTTTAACTGATTACTATAAAAAAACACTTCAATCCATATCTCATTACTCTATGCAAAAGTTTCCACAAAATGCCTCATAAATTTAAGTATAAAACCTAAAAATATAAAACTCCAAGAAAACATAGGATAAAACCTTTGTGACTTTGTATTAGGCAAGGATTTCTTAGGTACGGCCCCATAAGCAAAGTCTATGATAAAATTTCATATAATGAAACTCTTCAAAACCAAAAACTTCTGCTTTTAGAAGAATTCAGTTAAGATCGTGATAAGGGACAAACCACAGAGTGGGAGAAAATATTTGCGAAACACATGTCTGACTAAGGCCTTGTCTCCAGAATATGTAAAACTACAATGAAATGGGTTTTAACTAGCTAATCAACAAACTGTATAAGCAAATTATAACGCCCAGAGTTGATGAGCAGTGATAAAGTGGATATATTCATATACCGCTGATAGAAAAAAACAGGCATAACATCTCTGGAAATACATATCAAGAACCTAATAAAAATCATTCCCAAGAAGGCCACTCTTAGAATTTATCTCAAGTCCATAATTAAAGATAAGTAAGAAGGTGCAGGACAGCATTATTTATTATAGCAAAAGGATGGAAACAACATAAATGTCCAACTACATGTAAATGCTTAATAAGATGTGGAATTTGGTGTGGACTATTTTTGAAACCATTAAAATCATATTTTAATATAAATATAAAAATATGACATGAAAATGTTCATGATATGGTAAATGAAAAAAATGAAGAATCATTTAATTGGTATGATTCCAATTTGTTAGAGATACTATGTAAGTATACATATGCAGAAAACAGGACCAGAAGGAAACATACTAACATATAGAGTGCATGTGAAAACCAGGGGTTCTTAGGTCAGATCACTAGAGGGAGAAGGAGGCTGGGAATTTAAGAGAAATGAAGATGAGAGTTTACCTGGGACTATTTTAGAAAGGGTAGAAATTTGAGATGAGACCCAAGAAAAAAAAAAGCAAAGACTCAAGGTAGAAAAAGCCTTTAGTAATGAAGGTATAAAGTAACTGTTGATGATTATCACAATTGATGTGACGAAGGTTTTGAGTGAAATGAAAGAAGAAATATCTGACTGGTATGAAGACTTTATTTTGCCAGAGTGAAGGAACATAATGCTGAAAATTTTTCTTCTCTAGAAAATGAGAAGACTCTAAAGATTTTTGAATAGGGACATAAGCCCATACAAATTGTGTATGGGGAGGCTGAATCCCCCAAACAGTGGGGTGATGTGGAGGCAAATTCACACACATGCTTGAACTGCATGAGGTGATGGCAGTGATTCCAGGCATTCTGTGATCTCGGCCTGAGAAGCAGAGATGGCAGAAGAAATGGAAATCCTTAGTTAACTCACAATATTTCTGCAGTTAAGCAGGCCGGGCTTCACTTCCTTTTATAAAGCAGGAAATGAGAGCAAAGGGAGCTAAAGTGCTTTGTGTCAATAGGATTTTCCACTGTCACCTTTAAAAGAAACCTTAAGATTGAACAAAATATTTATTGCTTTCTTTCTCACATTCTACCACTTCATAGCCTACTTCATGCTGTCTCTCCCATAATGATGGTTATATGTACACATACAAAATTGTACATTATCTTTAGTTATGAGTTAATATAAGGTAAAAATAAATAGGCTATTGCATTCAGCCTGCCCTGTTAACCTAGTCAGCATAAACTTTTTAAAACTGAAGAGCAATCTAATTATTTAAAGAGTCACCCTTCCCTTGACTCTAGTGAAATCCACAGCCAAGACATATTTTTCCTGCTGTGGTCATGAATGTAACAGCAGTAACTTTTCAGAAGAAAGCTAATCATGATGTGGCAAGGTAGTAATTCACTAATTCTTTCTAAAGTTATCCCAACATGAGAAAGGATATTTACTTTCCGAAGTCACCAACATCTAAAATGTTTTGAATTGAGAAATGAAGGACATTCCTCCCATTGAAGAAAAAGGGATCAGAATTCAGAGTTTCTGACTATAGGATGACTATCTTAATTATTACATAGGTAACGAAATTTCAAAGCATTACAGTTATATTTCAATAATTTAAAAATACTTGTGTAAATCTGCCGAATCTAAGGAGACATGATGACTAAACGTTCATGTGGTATGCTGAATGGTATCTTGGAACGGAAAAAAGATATCAGAGAAAAAGAAAGGAAATACAAATAAAGCACAGTAGAGTTTAGTTAACAATAATGTGCATGGAAACTGCACCCCCTCCCCAACAGCTTGCCCTACACATCTCTTCATCTATATCCTTTGCAATCTCCTTTATAGTAAACCACTAAAAAAGCCCAACACATAAAACAATAATGTACCTATGCTGGTTTCTTAGTTGTGACAAAAGTACCATGGCAGTGTAAGATGCTATAGCAGCAGGGGAAACTGGCAACTGCCTGAATTATCTTTGCAACTTTTCTGCAAATCCAAAACTATTTCAAAATAAAAAGTTTATTCAAAAAATACTTGTGTGGGATATTTATAAGTTCCAATACTCACTACAGACCCATAAAAGAGATGGAAACTTACGTTTGACTCCTAAACATCTCTGGGCAATGCATGCAATGTTCCGCTACCTCATGTATGTGGAACCCCCATTCTCCATAGAGAACTTCCACAGTGTTCATCAGACTTCATCTATAATAATTTCTTAAAATATTTTTTTCTCCCCCATTAAAAAGTCACCCTGAATCCATTCTTGGTGTTAGATCTACTGGGCATACTTTCCATGGCAAAACACTGAAACCATCTTAGAAGGGATGAAAGGTCAGCATGGGGTGGATGTGTGTGTTTTTCCATCTTTCTGTTACTGCCCTTCTGAGCCCAGGCTTTCAGGAAGGAAGGGTGGAATTTGCAAAGACCTGGCCCTCAAAGCTCAGGAAGGGAGGAAGGTCTAGCTGGCTTCTTGGTTACTCAACTCCTTCATTTACGGGAAGCAGAGCCAATGGTAAGATGAATTCTAGCTCTGTGCTCCTGATGAAAGAGGGCAGGCCCATTTACAAAGATGTTCTTGTTGCATTTAAATGATCATATTCTTCCACCACAGATGAGCTAGTGAGCTAGGTACTGGGCAGCATGAAGAGATGAAGTGCACAGAATCACAGGACTATTTCATACTTGTGTTTTCTTTTTTGGGGGGATACAGAAGAAAACTAAATGTACTTTGTAAATGTTTTAATGTTTACTTTGGCAGTTTATGTATAAATAGGCCAAAAGAGACTGTTATGCTGCAGCTAAGACATTGATTTTTCATAAGCATTTCATTATACTTGTTAAACGCAAAGAAGGAAACTTTACATATAAGTGTTTGAATAATTACTCAGTGGAGTCATTCCATATTTTATAGTAATAAGACTGGCTTCTCATAAATGGAACATTTAATGAATAACTTTAAAGTAACTGCACTGATGGTTTAATTTCTCTAACAAATTCAAGTGGTCAAGCAACTCTGAGGGCCACGATACTCACTGTGTAATACCATAAAATGCTGATATCTTAATTTCAAATGCAATTTATTTATACTTGATCACATATCATACTATTGCTAGATTATAGTATTTGATGAGTAACGACAAAGATTTAAGAATAGTTTCATAGAAAAACAATATCATAAAAATCTATACATTAAATATTTTTTTTCATTCAAGTTAGGAAAAGATTCTTTGATTTTAACATCTTAGTTCATTTCATAGAACAGTGTTCCACTAGAGAATAATTAAAGCAATGCTGACTAACACTAATATAAATCCAATGCCAGTTAAATTGTTTTCACTCTTAATTGCTTACATTCTTCATCTGCTTCCTTTTCCGGAAAATTACTACTACCAAGATGGTAGAAAGTGATTTTAGCTCAGTTATAGAGGTGTGAATATGTTTAACCATGTGTTTCCTGTTTACAGATAGTATTTTAACATATTAAGAAATAAAGTAAACGGTACATAAGTACACAAGTACACAAAAGTATGTAAGACATAACATCTGGAAGAAAACCTTAACTGAAGTTACTTAGAATGTTTGGGCAAATGATCTGCAATTCACGGATATGACACTAGTTAAGAATATAAGTCACATTCAATTGCAAATAGTTACAGCTTAATGTTCTCAGAACCCAACATGTGAGACTGACCACTCACGTGCCATGTTTTCATAGTTTCTCTAGTGTATGGGATGATCAAATGGTCTTGGGTTCAAGTTACAACTCTGCCTCTTATAGCTGTATAAGCTTGGCATGCCACCATTTCTCTGATGCTTTGTGTTCTCAGCTGTAAAATGGGACTAAATACTTACCTCATTGGGATTTTAAGAGGACAAATGAGATGCTATAAAACGTGGGGCACATAATAAACCTTCCAAAATGTGTTTCCTTCTTTCATTTCCAAATATAGAAAGAGGAGCATTAAAAAAAAAAGACAAAAAATGACTGTGATGAGATCACAGGCTAAGTTAATAACAGAATAAGTAACAGAATTTGCTGTCAGGATTTTATTCACCAGAGCTGAAGAAATGTCACTTTCTAAGTATATTGTGGGAACCTGAAAAGCCCCACCTATCCCGTGTCCAAGCACAAACTCCCAGGGTCTTCATTAGAACCCTTGCAACTTAGTTTGTGTTCCCATTCTTTTCTGACTCCAGCAGATGTAAATACAAAGCCTTTTGCCTGGCGCCTTGCAAATGCTTGCATTAGAGGTCACTGAGCAATGTCTGTCCTGCATTAGACCCTTGAGAGAAAGGTAGCAAACATCTGGCTCCCTGAGTTTGCTGCAGGCAACAGCTCACTTCAAAGCCAATGAGAAAGGACACTGAGGATAGTAACTCATGACTATTCTGGAATCAGAATCAATCAATTGAATAAAACCAATTAACTCAGGATCCTCAACCACTCTGAGAAAAGTGTTGAGTCCAAATATAAGTGGGTTGTGACAAATGGACACAACCCTCTGCAAGAAGGCACAGTGTGAAGCTCCTGTACTTCATTTGGTATAAGAGCGTTCTGTAAAACACATGTAGCCCTCATATGATCCTGCTCTCCCCTTTCTCATCTAATTCTCAATTATCTGTCCTTCTTCCTGACAGATTCTCAATCACCCATGCAATGCTGATGCTTCCTCTTCCTGCTTCACTGCCAACTCTCTTCTTCTCTTTCTCCTTCTTCTTTTTTTGAGATGGAGTCTCACTCTGTTGCCCAGACTGGAGTGCAGCAGCACAATCTCGGCTCACCGCAACCTCTGCCTCCCAGGTTCAAGTGATTCTCCTGTCTCAGCCTCCCGAGTAGGTGGGACTACAGGCACACACCACCACGCCCAGCTAATTTTTTTTTTTTGGTATTTTTAGTAGAGATGGGGTTTCACCATGTTGGTCAGGCTGGTCTCAAACTTCTGACCTCAAATGAGCCACCTGCCTCAGCCTCCTAAAGTGCTGGGATTATAGGAGTGAACCACTGCATCTGCCCCCAACTCTCTTCTTGATCCCTGAAATCTGATTTCTGTCCTTGCCACATTATTGGCACCTTTATTTGAAAAATCAGCAGGGACAATTCAATGGCCAACCAATGGCCTTTTTTGCAATAATTTCCCTTGAAGTCTCCTGAGCAAATGACAGTATTCACCAGGTTCTCCTGGAAAGGATTTCTTCCCCAGAATCCTATGATGTTGCCCTGTCTTAATTAGCTTCCTGTACTTTCTCTTATCTTCTATGCTGTTCCTCATGAAATGCCAAAGCATAGTAGGACAATTCATCTGTGACAATAAGGATCTGAATTCTGATTGCTCTGACACATGCTCCTTTGCAGAGTAATCAGACTTTATTATGCAAAGAGAAAATAACTTCCACTTACTGTATGAGACTGTTTTAAAAGTTGAAATAATACTTCAAACAGAAAAACATTGTACAGCATACAATTTTTGGTATTATTTAACACATTGTATGTTTATATCATCATTAAATACTACATAAGCAAAGGTCTAAAAGCCAAGGGCAGAGCAAATCAACAAGCAAGCATTTGCATGTAGCTGGAAGGTATGTGAAAGAATATTCGTTTCTGACTTCATTCATCAGCTAGAATTTTCATTTCTGAGAGTAACTGTATCTAGTGGCTGTCATTAATACAATCTCCAACAGGTAAGGGTCACAAACTCCCTCAAGTAAGAGTTATTTTGGAGTGTTGCTTTTTCACTTTTAAAAATGGGCTAATTTGATCATCACCCACCCAGGCCCACGCTCATCACGGTTGGATGAGTAGTTCTTTGTTGTTGGCTATTGTTTCTTTGGAGAATCTGAAATAAAATGCTGTGGACTTTTATTGTAAAAAGATGTCTGTACAACGAAGAAAACCACTTGAAGGTAAAATGGTGAGCTCACATGCCTTTCATTCATAGATGCTCTCCACAGATGCCAGATAAGGAACTCATCACTGGTTCCATGATTATGTTCTAGCACGCTGCTTTGTTATTTAGGTGCTACCAATCATAATCAGCCACTATAACTTAGCTTGTGAAAGTAAGCTTCAAAGTATTTAACATTAGTCCATCGACTATGAAAATGCACTCTACACATCCATGAATAGCCATTGCAGCAAAAGCCTTCCTCAAAGCCACTTCCAGTGAGCTCCTAGCTGCTAACCTCCAGTTCTTCCTGGTCTGCATCTTCCGTGATGTCCCTGCATCAGCTGCTGTGATGGGCCATCCCTGCCCTAGAGAGCACTATCTCTAGACTTCTCCCACTTTCCAAACTACCCTTTTTCTAGCCATTCTTTTGTAGATCCCACCTCCTGATACTAAACTCTTTATGACGTTCTTTACTTATGTGCTCTAGTCTCTATCAGTGTTTGTTGAGTGACCACATAATAAACTGAACCCGTTATTTTTCTTGAGATATTTCACCTTCCCTGAAAACTCAGTATGCATAACGGATTTACAGCCTTCTCTTGTCTTCTGCCCCCAAGTATAGTTTCCTCTGCTTGAAGAGCTCATAGCCCATAGAAAATAATCTAGACCCCTCAGCACGGCTCCTACTACCCACTGCAATGGGCTCAGTCCACCTTTCTACCCTCATTCCCAGCACTCTGCTCTTTTCACCTTCAACTTCTCCTTTGTCTGTGAGACCCCTGCTGCCTGGCATACCCTGGCCCAATTTGTTCATCTGGATAAAAGGCTTATTTTAAATGTCACTGCTCCTTGGTTGCTTCTTGTAGCACACACTTGTGTACCTTCCTAGCATCATTAACTCCTCCTTTATCTGAGTTCCTAGAGCACTTGATACAACCTCTATTATAGCGTTTACATTGCCACTTTATTTGTGTAGATAACTGTCTTCCTTCTGGGATTGAGAATTCCTGGAGGACAGGGCTCTGTCTTATTCATTTTTGTGACTTCAGCACCTTGCACAGATCCTAGTATGTGTCAGGCACTCATTGTTTGTTTAATTGAATGGAAATCGCTCCAAATCATGCTTAAAACTACAGTTATCCTTTGTTTCTCCTTTTCTCAACCAATGTTTATCCTTTTTATATAATTTTGCTTATAATCGTCCTTTCTTATAGTCTCACTGCCTCCATTTTAGTTTAGGCCCCTTTAGCTTAGAATCTTTATCAATGCCATGTTCCCCAAATGCCTTAGGTCTCTTCATTACTGCCTTCATGACCATTGTCTCCTTAAGGCTAACATCAAGTTGACAACTTGATACTGGTATGCATACAGCCCCATCCCACTGGCATTAAGATCTTCCACAATCTGATCCCTTTCTACCTCTGCCGCCTGATCTCTTTTTTAACTTCTGCCAGACTGTAGGAAATGTTTGTTTACAATGGAAAACTAAAGCATACCTCTCAAGGGGTTATCTGATTCTGAGTCTATGGGGGCTCTATACCTGTCAATGCCTTTGAGCTATTTTAAAATTGTATAAATGGTAGATACCTGATAGCAATGCAAAATAATTCTTGTCTATAGACATGAAAAACTGTCCAGTGAAGGTTCAGTGGACTTCCCTCCCCCACATGAAAGAAGCCAGTTTTGCCTCTGATTGCATTCATTTCAATGATGATTTATAAATGTGTCTGTTTTTTGGAATTTAACTGGTTGTAACATCCTGCACTAATAACAAGTTAAATAAAATGTTTAATACAGGTTCATTTTATATCTCTATGTGAGTCATATTTTTGCCTGTTTTTGAAGATTATCCTTTAACAATACATGCCTTCTGCATCAACTAAATTGATCAATTTCTAGGTTCCTCAAAGATAACTGATAGTGTCATTTTTCTGTTCAGGACCTTTGCATAAAATGTTCCTTTCTTCTGAAATTTCCTATCTTCCTCATCATCAACACTCAGCAAATCCTATCGATTCTACTGCTTTAGGCACCTGATAAATCTTGTTCTCATCTAGAAGGCATTTTCTAGCTAGGCAACTGGTCCTGAGGCATGTGTCTTCTGTCCCTGAAGTCTCAGCATATTTACTGTCCACACCATTCATGTGGCACTTCTTACACATGCAGGCCTATGTCAAGGCTGGTTGTGCACTGCCTGACCCTCTTCCAGATCTGGAGCTCCTGGAATGTGAAACACATGCCTGGGGACCACATTCTTACATCTCTTTGTCTCATATAAAACTTTGTGTGTATGTATATACATATACACATGCACAGTAAGTGTTTGCTAAATTACTTTATTACCAGAACGATTTTTAGTTCCTTTTACTCGCTAAGCCCTGACAGTTACTATAGTAATTTAAAATAAATAGTGATAGTATATACATCTTCAAATGCTGTTGGAATTCTCTTCTGCCTTTATTGATTCTTGTTACTGGTATGACTTTATCACTAGCATGGACCAGAAGGGATAGCCCATACTGCTCTGAACCTCTGCTGCCTGCTCCATGAAGGCCTCCCTGGCTCCTCAGGGCAGGGCGAAGTTTGCTCTCCTGAGGCTCACACCCGCTTTAGCTTACTTACTAGTCTGCGGTTATCATTTATCTGATTGTAGTTCTATTTTTCTCTCCAACGAGACTCCAGTGGTGGGGCCTCTAGGGCAGGCACTATGCTTCCTTCCTGTTTGTTTCCATGAGTTGGCATAATGCTTGGCACATGGTTGCCAGGAGGTAGGTGCTGTATAACAATGGAAAAAAACTCATATTCCTGAAGTTTGTGAAAAGTGAAATTCTGGAAATGAGGGCACAAATTCCTAGTTCTCCAATGTGTAAAGCATTCACTAGTATATTTCTCCTACTAACACTGAGCTTTAAAAATCCTGTTTAGACATCTTGTCATTTATAAAATCTTTTTTCCAGGTTTCTTCTTTATTTTTATTTTTTATTTTTGAGACAGAGTCCCACTCTGGAGTGCAGTGGTGCAATCTCAGCTCACTGCAACCTCTGCCTCCCAGGTTCAAGCGATTCTCCTGCCTCAGCCTCCCAAGTAGCTGGGATTACAGGCACGTGCCACCACGTCTGGCTAATTTTTGTATTTTTAGTAGAGATGGGGTTTTGCCATGTTGGCCAGGCTGGTCTCCAACTCTTGAGCTCGGGTGATCCACCCGCCTCGGCCTCCCAAAGTGTTGGGATTATAGGCGTGAGCCATTACGCCAGGCCCTTCCAGGTTTATTCTTACAGAGTTGGAGTGTAATTAGGTTAAATTTAGAAATACTAAACCAATAAAATTATGAGTGTAAAAATATAAAATATAAAAGAAAACATGAAGTTTTAGCTTCTAAATATATATGTATATTTAAGTTCAAACTGGAAAACTGGCAAATTTGAGGAGAAACCCACAGTGGGAAAGAAAGAGGTACAGAACTGTAAATAGTTCTACTTTGGGCATTTTGGCTAAATATCTAGTGGATACATCTAGCTGTTACCCAATAACAGGTTTTCTTCTTTTTCTTTTCTTCTTCCTTAGGTATAAAATACCCCATTTTTAGACGGACACATAGTCACCCAAAGTAAAATTTCTCCACCTTTCTTATAGCTAGATGTGGCCATGTGATTGACATCTGGCTAATTGGATATAAGTAGAAATGGTATATGCTATGTTGGAAAGTTTTGTTTTTTGTTTTTCTATAATTCTTTTTCCATTTCTCCTTCTGGCTGCCTGGAATACAGATGCAATGGCCAAGCTCTAGCAGCCATACTGGACTTTGAGAATGTAAGCCATACATAAGAAAGAAAAAATAATCTTGCTCAAGAAGATTTTACTTTATTTGCCATTTGTAGCCAAAGCTAATCATAACTGATAAAAGATTTTAGATCCTTTACCTGCTGAAAACTTCCCTCTGAACTCTCATCAACCTAGTTTTTAGAAACAAAGATTATGGAGTAAAAAGCACAGGCTGTATTGTCAGAAACAATAAATTACAGTCTTGGCTCCTTCAGGTTTTAGTCATATAATATTGGGAAACTTCTGAGACTCACCATTATTATCATCTCTATATTAAATATAATATCATAGTAAATATAATGTTATATATCCTATAGATATATTTAATATTAACATAATAGTGTATTAATATTAATACAATAGTATATTTAATGTTAATATAATTTAACTTAATATTAATATATTATATTTAATGTTAGTATAATTTAATATTATATTTAATATTATTATATTATATTTAATATAGAGATAATACCTTCTTGGAGTTGCTGGAAGGACTGAGTGATGTCAGGTGAGATAATATGAGAAGGGGCTGGGTAAACTATAAAGTATTACATGAATTTTTTTTTGCTTCTATTTCTAGCAAGAAGAAAATGAATCATGGGCTGGTTAGGTAGAGGAGTAAAAAGGGCCATTCAGGATTAGTCAGTGAAACAGTAGATACCTAGCTCTATATACCCTGTTGTTCATGCCAGTGACATTTAGAAGAAAGAACTTGATACAAATATCATTTAAACAGGAACCAACTGTATGTTGTTCAAAGGATGCACTTAGCATAGTACCTATCACATATAAGTACTAAATAAATGCTATCTCTACTATTACAACTACTCCTACAATTATAGCAATGGAGTCTGAACCACTCAAGGTGGCATCTCCAGCATATTCTTTTCCCATAGACAGACTTCTGTGGCAACCCAGATTAAAATCCTACTGTTTGGAATAAAACTATATAATTTGAATGTTTAATGCCAAAGGACTAAGAGACCTTGCTATATTCATGGCCTTACCAATGGAACTGAAATTCTTATAGTTTGTTGGTTGAAACAGCAGATGAGCACTGTTTTAGTGCTGCTGAGATTGGTAATTGATAAAGAACAAAAATGTACTCATCACAGTTCTGGAGGCTGGGAAGTCCAAGATCAAGTCACCAGCAGGTTCACTGTCTGGTGAAGGTTCGGTCTCTACTTCCAAGATGGCTCCTTGAACACTGTGTCCTCACATGGAGAAAGGACCAAAAGAGAGGAGCTCCCTCTGTCAAGACCTTTTATAAGAGCACCTAACCCCATTCACAAGGGAGGGGCCCTCATGGGAAAATTACCACTTAAAGGCCCTACCTCTTGATACTATCACATTAACAGCAGCTGAATTTTGGAGGGTACACATTTGAACCACAGTAAGCACCTTCAAAAGCTATTATGCTTTGCCAACTTTTTCCCCACTGAATCTACAGGTGGACCAACCTTAGTCAAGTTTCTCTATGGCTTTATATTAGTCTGTTCTCACGCTGCTAATAAAGACATACCAGAAACTGGGTAATTTATAAAGGAAAGAAGTTTAATTGGCTCACGGTTCTGCATGGCTGGGAGGCTGCACAATCATGGCACAGGGGTGAATGAGGAGCAAAGTCACGTCTTACAATGGCAGCAGGCAAGAGAGAGCATATGCAGGGGAACTCTTCTTTATAAAACCATCAAATCTCATGAGATTTATTCACTATCATGAGAATAGCATGGGGAAGACTGGCCCCCCATGATTTGATTACCTCTCACTGGGTCCCTCCCATGACATGTGGGAATTATGGGAGCTACAATTCGAGGAGAGATTTGGGTGGGGACACAGCCAAACCATATCAGGCCTGAAAGTCTTGCTATCACTTTAAAACTGGACTACATTTTGTGGCTTGTCCTCTCTCACAGTTCATTTGTGAGTTTATGATGTAATGATCAGAGGACAATCCTATGTGACCTATTTGAAAGTTCTTAGTGACCATCTTACTATTGGTTCACACTTAAAGTGTCTTTAATACATAGAGATATGTTACAGGGCAGGGCTTCTCAAGCGTTAATGTGCATGTGAGTCACCTGGGAGTTTTGTTAGGTGGCGGATGCAGCAGTTCTGGGGCCAGGCTAACAGTCTGCATTTCTAGCAAGCTCCCAGGTGATGCTGATGACACAGATCCATGGACAACACTTGGAGACGCAAAGTTAAAAGTGATATAGCTAATTAAGTGACAAAGGTGGGATTTAAACCCAGGTTTGTCTAATTCCAAAGGTCATGTCTTTTCCACAATACTGAGATTCAGAAATAGAAAGCTGAGTAACAAATAAGAAATTGTGTTTAAGCCTAGTTATTTGGGATTACTATTATCTGCAAAGTTAAAATTTAGAACGATTTTCTCAGAGGATAAAGAGAGGTACATTAAGCTGGAGAAAAATGTTTTTGAAGAAAGGACAGTGATAATTTAATAAGATAAAGAGACAAAGAATATAAAATAGAGTGGAAAGCTAATAAAAGACAGGTGATAAGTATGTACATTTTTTTTTTTCGAGATGCGGTCTCACTGTTACCCAGGTTTGAGTGCAGTGGCGTGAACTCGGCTCAATTGCAACCTCCACCTCCTCAAGTGATCCTCCCACCTCAGCATCCTGAATAGCTGGGACCACAGACATGTGCCACTATGCCTGGCTAATTCTTTTGTATTTTTGATAGCAGCAAGGTTTCGCCATGTTTCCCAGTCTGGTCTCGAACTCTTGGGCTCAGGAGATCCACCTGCCTCGGCCTCTCAAAGTGCTGGAATTACAGATGTGAGCCACTGCGCCCAGCACTATTTATTCTTTTTTTTTCTTATTATACTTTAAGTTTTAGGGTACATGTGCACAACGTGCAGGTTTGTTACATATATACATACACATGTGCCATGTTGGTGTGCTGCACCCATTAACTCGTCATTTAACATTAGGTATATCTCCTAATGCTATCCCTCCCGCTTCCCTCCACCCGACGACAGGCCCTGGTGTGTGATGTTCCCCTTCCTGTGTCCATGTGTTCTCATTGTTCAATTCCTACCTATGAGTGAGAACATGCGGTGTTTGGTTTTTTGTCCTTGTGATAGTTTGCTGAGAATGATATTTATTCTTAAAAAGCCACAACTTGCCACATTTCCAAAATGGTAACCCCAAACATCATATACCGTATTCACCAAGGGTCTCTGACCACCTCAGCACCTGCCAGGTGACAACAACAATGGACAATGTGACAAAAGAAGATAGTGCCATGGCACAAAGAGATGAGGCCCATCTTCCATTTCACCAGCCTTCTGGAAAATGGCTAGCTTGGCTGGCAACAGAGCTAGCCCAGAGCCACGCCACCGTTGCAGGGCTGGCTGTGAGCATAAACCTGTGAGGTCTCCTTCACAGAACAGCTCATAAAATAGAAAACAAAGGATTTTGTCTGTACAGTCATGGTGTTTCTGGATCATACAAGTCTAAATTTGTACAGCCAGGGAGACTTCCTCTGGATTTCATATTAAAGGCAGTTTCAAAGCCCGACAGAAAGTGTACACCCTGTGTGGTTTTCATTAGACCATAAAAACACCGTACTACCACAAGCCAGGGAATATCTAGCAGTATTTTGTGTCTGACGTTGGCACCAACTGAGGTTTTTGAAGAACATAATGTCCTTTTTGTCATTAACTGCAAAAGTTTAGGAAACTTCACAAACATACCTCCAGCCTCCTTGGATGTCCTGTTATCCATCATTTTTAAACATGCCTAGGGCCTTCCTGGTTACTGAACCAGAATCTATCAGATCCTGATTTCATATGTTTATTACCTACTGTTTAGAGTTGAATGTTCTTTACTAGTCCTAACCTATTTTCAAAGGACTTACCTTGTATTTATTCTGTCTTAAATCATTTTGTTCATGTATTATTTTCTCTATTAGAATCTAAGATCCTATACTGTTTTATACTTATTTTGAGGTAGTATCTTTCTCACAAGACTCTGAATTCTTGAAGACCTAAAAGTTATCTTAGATTTTGTATCACCAGTACCTAGCACAGCGTCAAGCAAATAGTAGGCCTTCAAAAAAATGTTGCATGAAAACAAGAATAAGCTCTAGTGCAGAGATCTGATCATCACATAGTATCATTCATTTAGAAGAATCTCAAGTTTTTAAACGAATGGAATTTCCTTTAAACTCTCTTTTCTTGGTTTCTTTAATTCTGATATGTAAAGATTTAGGAAATAATCAATTGAAGACCTACTCATATTATCCCAATACTTTCCAGTTCTTTTTGATTCTAACCAATAGACATTTACTGAACAGCTATAAACCACAACCATGAAAACTGCAGGGTACAGTTCTTAAGACCACATACCCATATACTTTTTGAGGATGTTCATCCATACAACAATAGTGAGCATGCAGACCTTGCCTTGCGTGAATGCTGAAATAAAGGAAAACTAGTATATAACATATATATCACATACCTGATCAAATTGGGGGTCTTCTCCACGTTGCAGAGATTTTGTCAATGGCTTTTCCTAGAAAGAAAAAGAATATATGCAAGAATAATTATTAGAGTCTCTTAAATAGTATAAAAGAAATGCCATTATTGTTCCATTTTTTCTCACTCATTTCTCTCATTATGGAATCAGGAGGCACCAATTTTTAAATGAGTGAGGTATTCTCCCTTAGGTATTGTAACCATAGTAGTTATGTTTGATCATTACTGCCACGACTCTTGCTATTCATCTTAATACATGTCTCTTTGACCAAAACATTAAGAATCTGATACTTAGGGAAACTCAAAACTACAATGAGATATCACCTCATACCTGTCATAAGGACTTTTATCAAAAAGACAAAAGATAATAAATGTTGGCAAACATGTAGAGAAAAGAGAACTCTTGTATATTGTTAGTGGGAATGTAAATTAGTGGAGCCACTGTGGAAAAAAGTATGGAGGATTTTCAAAAAATTAAAAATAGAACTACCATATGATCCAGCAATTCAGCTTCTGGGTATGTATCCAAAGAAAATGAAATCAGTATCTTGAAAGATATCTGCATGCTCATGTTAACTGCAGCATTATTCACAATAACCAAAATATAGAGTCAGTCTAAGTATCCATCAGTGGATGAATGGATAAAGAAAATGTGCTACATATATATACAATGGAAGACGATTTAGCCTTAAAAAAGAAGGAAATCCTGTTATTTTTGACAACATGGACGAACCTGGAGTATTATTATTATGCTGAGTGTATAAGCCAGGCACAGAAAGACAAATACTGCACAATCTCACATAAACCTGAAATCAACAAAAGTCAAATTCATGGAAGCAGAGACTAGAATGGTAGTTACCAGGGGCTGGCGAGAGAGGAATGAGAGGAAATGGAAGATGTTGATCAAAGAGTACAGAGTTTCATTTAGATAGGAAGAATAAGTTCTGGAGAGCTACTGTATAGCATGGTGACTGCAGTTAATAATGTATTGTGCTATGGCCTCAATGTATCCCCCAAAAATTCATACGCTGAAACCTTCAAGGTGATGGTGTTAAGAGGTGGGGCCTTTGGGAGGAGATTAAATCACGAGGGCAGAACCCTCCTGAGTGGGATCAGTAAGAGGTCCTAAGGAGCTTGTTCTCCCCTTCTGCCATGTGAAGATGCAGCGGGAAGGCACCATCTATAAAGAAAGGGGGAACTCACCAGCAACCAAATATCCCCGTGCTTTGATCTTGGACTTCTGGGTATCCAAAACTCTGAGCAGTAGATGTCTATTGTTGATAAGCCATTTATTTTATAGTAATTTGTTATAGCAGCCTGAATGGACTAAGATACATTGTATACTTGAAAACTGCTGAGAAAGTAGATTTTTAAATGTTCTCATCACAAAAAAAATTTACGTAATGTGATAGAAATGTTAATTAGCTTGATTTACTCATTATACATATATCAAAACATCATGTTGTAACACCATAAATAAACTTATTTGCCAATTTTATAAAAAGAATCTGATGCTATAAGTGGTCCTATGTCTTCAATGGCAACAACATAATAAAAACCGTAAAATTTATTTGAAAAATTTAATATTTATCTTGGGATTTGACAGATAATAAAAAGTCACGGCCAGGTGCATTGGCTCACGTCTGTAATCCCAGCACTTTGGGAGGCCGAGGCGGGCAGAACACGAGGTCAAGAGATGGAGACCATCCTGGTCAACACAGTGAAATCCTGTCTCTACTAAAAATACAAAAATTAGCTGGGCAAGGTGGTGTGTGCCCGTAATCCCAGCTACTCGGGAGGCTGAGGCAGGAGAATTACTTGAACCCAAGATTGCTCCACGGCACTCCAGCCTGGTGACAGAGCAAGACTCCATCTTAAAAAATAAAAATAAATAAAATAAAATAAAAAGTTGAAAGCAATTCACTATTCCAAGTCCCTAGATTTAGAAGCAAAGTAAGGTTTATTTATTAGACTGGTACTGAGGGAGAACCTACCAATCATACATTTACTAGGTGTAACTGGTGAATTTGGGGCATGTGATTTTTCTTGCACCACATCTAGTTCTCTGCAAAAATAATATCAGTAGTAACAAGAGTCTACTACAGAAACAATTCACCTTAATTATTACATCTTTGTTTACATTAGGAAGCCTTAACTGATCTTCCAGCAGAGCATTTTTTTTTCAATTCAAAGAGTTTAATTCAGACATTATTGACATTTTGAGAACTCCAGAAAATGTAACTCAAAGCAAGACCTCAGTTTTCCAAACTGAAATTTCTGAGGAAAATATTCATCATGAATAGTTTTCTGTTTTCAATGCATTTCAGAAAGAAATTTTTACATATCTGGTAGAAGGATTTGAAGTATCTATTGTAAGTAAATTAATTACATGGGAAATGTTCATTCACACAAAGGAAATAGAGCTTTTATGCTGACTGTATTATACGTTTTCAAAATCGTATTTCTTTGTGCTCTTTCAGAGAGCTTTTTAAAACTCGGACAACTTGAATTTTTAATTATAGAATAATATATATTGCTAATTCACCCTTTCCAAAATGACTCAACTCACGCGGTATTGCTTTTTAAGCCTCCAGCAGAGCATTTTATGTTACTTACCCTTATTTGTGTGTGTGTATGTGTTAGTGTGTGTGTATGTATGTGTGTGTGTATATATATATATCTCTGTATTTTAGATGAATACACATTTTGAACCTGTATATATATACATATATACACATATATATATGTCTTTGTTATGGAAGTTCATTCTGATCCAAAATTTGGTTGAGGATTAGAAACAATGCAAAAGTTATATATCAAAAAATATTAAGTTTTACTTTGGCCAATGCAGGTTCCCTAGCAAGACTCCATTTATATGTACCTGCTCACATAGACCCTCTCACTGTGGGTCTAATCATTTCTCCAATCCTCTCCTCCACTCACAAAGATGATCTTACCTAAGGCATATACAAGCCCCACCCCTGCCCCAACTGTCTTTGTTCTTGAAGAAACGCACATGGTGGTCTTATCCTGCAAGTCTGAGGTTTCACCAAGAGCCTTACAAATCAACTACTCTGTCTCCATTGCAAAATATACAGGTTCAAAATGTGTATTCATGTAAAATACAAAGAATACTGTGTTCTTATGGGTAACATTTTCTGTTCAGAGTATACTATCTAGATATAATGAATAGATACTATATGTTTATTCATCACTCAACAGTGACTGAGGGTTCACAATGCGTCAAATGCTACATGCCGGGGTGGAACACTGAAGAACACACGATACACACTACTGGGGAGAAGAGTCGAGTCTGAGAGGGGAAATGTGGTTAATTTCCTCTTATGAGTGTTGTCTCTACTTGTTCATTATTCAAACCTCAGCTGAACTATCACTTCTTCAGGGAAGCCCTTCTCTGAGCCATCCCCTAACACCTGGTGTCTCTCCCTGTACATGCCTGCAAAGCCTCATGTATTTGTCCTTTCACTGACCTTACCATAGAGTAAAGTCACATCACAGTCATCATCTTGTGCAATTACACATTCATGAGTGAGGCACCGAGCACCATCCCTGCTAGGTGGCAGGCCCCAGAAATGAAGCGACCTCTGTTTCTTTCAACACTTAAAGTCACAGGACAGAGCATGGCTCGCCTGACATGCAGCATTCCACCTGATATGTAGCATGTGACATGCTGTGAACCTTCAGACACTGTTGATTGATGAATACATATAGTATTTATTCATTATATCTAAATAGTATACTTTGAACAGAAAATGTTTGTTTACCCATAAAAACACAGTATTCTCTGTATTTTAGATGAATACACATTTTGAACCTGTATATTTTGCAATGGAGACAGAGTAGTTGGAATTTGTAAGGCTCTTGATGAAACCTCAGGCTTGTAGGTGAGACCACCATGTGCATTTCGCTTGGTGCTGGCTACGCATTTGCCAGATTAATAGAAGTTCTAGGACAGTGGTGTCCAGTTTTTTCAAATATGAAAATCCCTTTATTTTCTGTGTATATGTCTTGTTTTAAGTTTTAAATTTTTTTAAAAATACTCTTTATTGTGGTAAAATATACATAGCAGAAGATTTAGCACTTTAAAGTGTAGAAATCAGTGGCACTAAGTACATTCAAATGTTGTTCAAACATTATCATTATCTATTTTATGAAGATTCCTTTTAGTTCCAGAAATGTTCAAAAACTTCTTAACCAACACACACACACACTCCAAACATATAAGATAGTAATTTTATTTTAGAATCTATTGTTTAAAACTATACATAATGACAGAGAGCTAATACTACAGCTCCAATGATACTTTTAAATGGTTCTGGGCCGGGCACGGTGGCTTATGGCTATAATCCCAGGACTTTGGGAGGCCGAGGTGGGCAGATCACCTGATGTTGGGAATTCGAGACCAGCCTGGCCAACATGGTGAAACCCTGTCTCTACTAAAAACACAAAAATTAGCTGAGTGTGGTGGCGGGCACCTGTAATCCCAGCTACTAGGGAGGCTGAGGTGGGAGAATCGCTTGAACCAGGAGGTGGAGGTTGCAGTGAGCCAAGATCATGCCACTGCACTCAGCCTGGGGCCACAGAGCAAGACTCCATCTCAAAAAAAAAAAAAAAAAGGAAAAAAAGGTTCTGTACTAGAGTAGCAAAAATACTTCTTTTATACATACTAGAAACATGGGAATACATCTATATGGGAGACCTTAAAACTCAGACAAATGATAACTCAGCACACCTGTGGGTCTGTAGACCCCTACAACAACTCAGGAGTTCACATAGTGGGAGCACAGAAGGCAATCCTCTTTCACTACTACCTAAAAGAAGATCCTGCCACAGCGGGGAAAGAAAGGTGACTGTGTCCACCCACATCCCAAAGCTCCCCATACCTACCTAAAAGTTATTTTTGTCCCACTACAAATTAGATGGGAAGCTGATAAACATGGTATTTTACACTTACACATTTTTGCATACATATGAAGGAAACAACATATTGTCAGGCTCACTTTCTCCAATAAGCAAAGTTGATATATATATATAAGTTGTTGCTATACATAAAAGTCAAGTCCATTAGCTAAGAACTTGGGGTCAATGCTGCAATAAAATAACATGCTAAGTTGCTAAGTTTTCCTTAACTATTTTTACACAAATATACTATCTTTTTTTTTTTTTTTTTTTTTTTGAGACAGAGTCTTGCTCTGTCACCCAGGCTGAATGGCAGTGGCATGATCTCAGCTCACTGCCGCCTCTGCCTCCTGCATTCAAGAGATTCTCCTGCCTCAGCCTCAGCCTCAGGCTCTGGAGTAGGTGGGATTACAGGCACGTGCCACCATGCCTGGCTAATTTTTGTATTTTTAGTAGAGATGGGGTTTTACCATGTTGGCCTGGCTGGTCTCAAACCCCTGACCGCAGGTGATCCGCCCACCTGGGCCTCCCAAACTGCTAGGATTACAGGCGTGCCACTGCACCTGCACACAAATATACTGTCTTAATCATATTCTTTGAAGACTCAGCTTAAATGTCATTTCCCAGATGAAGCCCCCCCCCGCAGTTTTCCCTAGCAGAGTCACCTGTTAGTTGTCACACAGTACATTATTTGCACCTATTCTTGTTAGCATTCCCACCATGTTGTAACTTGTCTGTCTCCTCCATACCCCTAGTACACAGTTGGAAGTTATCAGGGTGTGTTAAATGGCTGACTATAACTGTATGCATTTGGAAAGATAGCTTTGCGAACAGAGAATCAGGTTCACATTTTAACATTACCAAGATTATCTTTGCATCAACATAGATTTTATCAGTGAGATGAGACTTGAGAGTACACCTAGGGGACAGAATACCATAGTAGCTAAAAAATAAAGAGAACAAAAGATGAAAGGAAGAAAGGGAGAAAGGGAAAGAATATAAGAAAGAGGGAAGAAAGAAAGGATGAGTGAAGAAATAAAGACAGGAAGGAGGGAAGGGAGGAAAAAAGGAAGGAAGAAAGATGGAAGGAAGGAAAGAGGGAATAAAAGGGAAGAAAGGAAGGATGGAGGAAGAAAGAAAAGAGGGGAGGAAGGATAGAGAGATAAAAAGAGAGGAAAGGTTAGAGGCAAACTTGCTCCAGCTCAGAAGAGAGCCATCTGAATACAAGGGAAAGATCCGTAAGTCTCAGGCCTGCTTCAGAAAAGAGACCTGTAAATCTAAGACCTCAAAATATGAAATTAGTACAAGAAAACATTGGGGAAAATCTCCAGGACATTGGTCTGGGCAAATTTTCTTGAGTAGTACCCCACAAGCACAGGCAACCCAAGCAAAAATTAACAAATGGGATCACATCAAGTTAAAAAGCTTCCACACAGTGGCCAGGCAGGGTGGCTCACGCCTATAATCTCAGCACTTTGGGAGACCAAGGTGGGTGGATCACGAGGTCAGGAGTTCGAGACCAGGCTGACCAACATGGTGAAATCCCGTCTCTACCAAAAATACAAAATTAGCTGGGCTGGGGGCGCACGCCTGTAATCCCAGCCACTTGGGAGGCTGAGGCAGTGAATTGCTGGAACCCAGGAGGCAGAGGTTGCAGTGAGCCAAGACTGCGCCACTGCACTCCAGCCTGGGTGACAGAGTGAGACTCCGTCTCAAAAAAAAAAAAAAAAAAAAAAAAAAAAGCTTCCATACAGCAAAGGAAACAATCAACAAAGTGAAGAGACAATCCACAGAACAGGAGAAAATATTTGCAAACTATGCATCTGACATGGATTAAGAACCAAAATATACACGGAGTTCAAACAACCCTATGGGAAAAAATCTAATCATCCGATCAAAAAATGGGCAAAAGACTTGACTAGACATTTCTTAAAAGAATACAAATGGCAAACATGAATATGAAAGGTGCTCAACATCACTGATCATCAGAGAAATGCAAGTCAAAACTACAGTGAGAAACCATCACACCCCAGTTAAAATGGCTTATATCCAAAAGACAGGCAACAACAAATGCTGGCAAGCATATGGAGAAAAGGGAACCTTCATACACTGGTTGGTGGGAATGTAAATTAGTACAACCACTATGGAGAACAGTTCGGAGGTTTCTCAAAAAACTAGAAATAGAGCTACCATATGATCCAGCAATCTTTTCCAAATACTGAGAGGAAATCAGTATTTGGAAAAGATATCTGCACTCCCACATTTGTTGCAGCTCTGTGCACAATAGCCAAGATTTAGAAGCAACCTAAGTGTCCATCAAGAGATGAATGGATAAAGAAAATGTGACACATATACACGATGAAGTACTATTCAGCCATAAAAAAGAAATGAGATCCTGTCATTTGCAACAACATGGATGGAACTGGAGGTCATTAAGTGAAGTAAGCCAAGCACAGAAAGATAAACATTGCATGTTCTCACTTATTTGTGGGATCTAAAGATTAAAACAATTGAACTCATAGACACAGAGTAGAAGGATGTTTATTAGAGGCTGGGAAGGATAGTGGGGGGTTAGTGGGGAGGTGGGGATAGTTAATGGGTAAAAAAAAAAGTTAGAAAGAATGAATAAGACCTAGTATTTGATAACACAACAGGGTGATGATAGCGAATAATAATTTAATTGTGCACTTTAAAGTAACTAAAAGAGCGTAACTGAACTGTCTGTAACACAAAGGATAATGCTTCAGAGGATGGACACCCATTCTCCATGATGTGATTATTATGCATTGCATGCCTATATCAAAACATCTCATGTACCCTATAAATATATACACCTACTATGTACCCACAAAAAATAAAAATAAAAAATAAAGAAAAGAAAAGAGAACTGTAAAGGTATGCTTCTGCTTGCAGTTCTACTGCAGCACACCAGTTGCATGAAATCCAAGATCTACACATTCAGATATCCTGGTTTTTAAAGAGCATTAAATAAGTAGTAAAGCAAAATTAGCACAGAATACACAATGGGTATTTAACCAACAAGTGGAAACTGATTATGGCAAAGGAAGCTCAAAATAATGATGCCATTCATCAAGTAAGAACAGTATACTTCAAGTAAGAATAGAAAGACTTCGTATACTTTAAAAATTTGTCTTTGTTCTATATTTTGGTACAATTTTATTTATGTACTGAAGTTTCATGAATTGAATTGAATATGTTTATTTTCACAAAATCATTCTGAAAAAGCATAACTTTGGGGTGATGGGTCCCTGAAAGTTCTTAGCTGGCTAAAGCTGAAGACCTTAGGTCTGACCAGATGCCCCAGCTCACTGAGTGACAGTGAACAAATGAGGACCTGGGGCCCTGGGAAAACCCAAAATACTGAGACTTGGCGCTGAACATCAGTGGCTGCTCACAGCACAAAAAAAGTGAAACCCAGACATTACGTCCCTTCTGATGGAAGAAAGCAGTATGAAATAGTCTTGACTAAACAAACAACAAGCTCAAACCTGAATCTAACCAGGCCTTTCTATCTAATTTCCAATTTTTAGGAAATACAGGGGTTAGAGGAATATATTACGTTACGCCAAAAAGATGTAATCAGCCACATCCAGACTGAAGGAAAGAGCGGGAAAGAAAGACGTTTCCTCAATAAATAAGTTTTGAGAGGGTAAAAAAAAGAGAAATGGAGGGGGAGTCTGTTGATTTCTTTAAAAGTCTACTGCAATGTGTGGACCTTATTTGGATCCTGACTCAAATATTTTGTTAAAAGAAAATATGACATTCATGATACAATTGGCAGTTTGAACACATGGGAGATTTGATGATGTTAAGGGATTGTTGTAAGTTTTTTAGATGTAGTAATAGTATTGCAGTTTTGTTTAGAGAAGAATTTTTTTAGAGATACATATGGAAATGCTTAGAGATGAGATGATTTTGTTTCTAGTATTCACTTCAAGTAATATCAGGGGAAGGTTCAGGGAGTGTGTAACGAATTGGCTATGAGTTGATAATTGTTGAAGATGACCATTAGGTTCATTGTGCTATTCTGTTTGCATATGTTTACGTTTTAAATTCTTTAGAAAAAACAAACAAACAAAAACTAAAAACAGGAGGTCGTGATGCATCACTTATCATCACTGTTAAAATCTTACAATGTCTCGTTTTTAAAGATGACATAAGATACTCTCAAAACTTATTCTAATAGCAATTCTCCAATTTTTTTGATCTTTTCCTGGTGGAGCTATAAAACGGACCACTGTTCATTTCTCCCCATTTGCAGACTGGATTTGGGTGGCCAAATCTCAGAGATACCTCACCTGCTGCGTGAGAAGTAAGATGTAGTCCTCAGTTCGCACTCTGGGTTTCTCTTTGAGTTTTCTCCCTCTGAATCAGAGACTACTGCTGTCCCAACCCACGCAAGGGGAATTTTCTCCTGCGCTGAAGAATTCTGCAGGAGTTTCAGTATTTCCATAGGAATACAGCTGTTTGTGCTTCTCACACCCTGAGGAGTTCCAATCTTCCCTACTCTCAGCTTAAAAAAATACAGACTTTAAACACTCCTTGTGTCCACATCTAACTAAGAAGGGCCGAGGAAAGCCATCGCCCTCTACCTTAATTTTCAAACAATTTTGGTGTACACGAATTACATCTTCACTTCACAATCTTTTCATATCATACATCTCTGTAATCTTTAGGAGGAAAGAAAGATGGCCAGACAGACAGGCCACAGTCACTTAGAAGTCTAGAGGGAGTCTGATATATCAAGACGTGTTTTATTTGAGGTATTATACAAGGGGTCATTTAATACAAATAACTTTCTACTTCTAACTTTTTAGTGGCCTTCCAAAATTTCAAGTGTGCTCCACACAGGTAAGATTTCACTAATCTAGAAAGATCCAAAGTATTACTGCCCTCAGAGATATTTCTTTTTTAAAAATGTGTTTACATTTAAGGGGTAGAAGTGCAGTTTTGTTACATGGATATACTGCGTTGTGGTGACATCTGGGCATTTAGAGAGATTTCAATGAATGTGTTTAACCCAGCAATGCTATTGGAGTTAATATGAGATTATTCAATTAGTTAAATATATCACTAACCTTGCTTAAGATGCTATTTTAAAGTCTTTTAATTATTACAACAGTGGATGTAGCAGTTAAGGGTGTGGGCTTTGAAATCTGAGAGACCTGAGTTTGAATCCTAGGTCCTCTCAACTTATGGCCCTTTCTTAACTTCTCTAAGCTTCAGCTATCTTTTAGAAAAAATGAGGATACACATAATCAGTTGAGGGTTTTGATATCAGCAGCAGTGAAATTTTATAATATAAATGTCTGGTCTTAGTGGTTAATAAAGAATTTCAGAATGGAACTACCACCATTAGGATCTCTCTTCTTCACCAGAACACGGGAAGATGCCTAGTGGTGAGCTTCCTCACCCCATGTGGTGGCACCCTTCACAGTAGAGAGCTGTGGACCCAACTGTGAAAATGCACCAAAGCGTTTTGTTCAGAACTATCTACACCCAGCCGCAGGCACTCTACTTCGTATGAACCAAAGAATAACGGGGTCCCAAATGTTTTCATGTCTGACATCTTTTTCTCATCAGATCTCATTTGTGCCAACTTTGACTCAAGTTTGGAAAAACATCTAAAGAGTGAGCCTGAAGACTCACAGTTCTGAATACTGACCATTACTCCCCAAATGACTTCCCCATCATGAGGGGTAATCGGCACCCCACTGGTGTGATTAATCTTGAAGATGTACTCTGGTCATGTCAATTGACTGACTGCATGGATCACTGGACTTCTGGTGGAAGACTTAGCCCCCTTGATAACCTGCCTCAGTTTGTAAAAATGGACATCACCCTATGACATCCTGAGTAGGTTTCTAATAACTAATGAGAAATAGTCAAAACCCTGACAAAACTTCTCCCCTTTTATTCCATTTAGTTATTAAAATGAATTTTCTTAAGCGAAATAATAAATGCTGCCTTTCACCTAAAATACTGGGGAAAAAGAAACAAAAGAGAATGATACAGAAGACACAGCACAAATAAATCCAAGGTACTATCAGGTAAGATGCTGCCCAGTACCCTATGCTATGAAAACTGAAGGCAGATGTAAATCTGGAAGAATATGTTGGCACTTTTTTTTTAAGCAAAATCTCTTGAGATAATCTGTCCTATTTGCAGTGGTTTTGCTCATTTCAGTGGAGCCTATTTCTCTGCCACATTTAACAACCCTAAGTACAAATCCATTATTTGAACAGTGGAAGAGAAACTTCACTTAAATTCAGCTACAAAGTTAATCTTCATTTTAATTGAACAAAAGAGCAGCTCTCATAGGCATTCTTTAAAAAAGAAAAAAAAAAGAACTACAGCAGCTACTAAGAAATGTAAGATACAACCTTCATTTGTTTGTTTCTGGGTAACTTTCTATTTTGTTGGTCTTTTCAATTTTATTTGTCCCAATATACCCCTCTAACTGTGCATGTTATGTTCACTCAGTAGACTTTCAGTGTCTACTACAGTGTGTGTGGATGGATCTTTTCCTATCTCCTTCAGGACATGGCTCCATCAGCCAGCTCCTCAGTGACCCCTGTCTTCCACCCTTCCCTTCTCTTCGGTCTTTCTCTCAGCTATCAACATGCTTAAACCTTTTCATCGTAGTGCCTTCCTTGACCACACATCCACCTCTGGCTGTGGTTTCCTTTTTTTTTTTTTTTTTTTTTTGAGATGGAGTCCAGCTCTGTCGCCCAGGCTGCTAGAGTGCAGTGGTGCCACCTCGGCTCACTGCAACCTCCGACTTCCGGGTTCACGCCATTCTCCCGCCTCAGCCTCCCGAGTAGCTGGGACTACAGGCGCCCACCACCACGCCTGGCTAATTTTTAATATTTTTAGTAGAGACGGGGTTCCACCGTGTTAGCCAGGATGGTCTTGAGCTCCTGACCTCGTGATCCACCCGCCTCGGCCTCCCAAAGTGCTGGGATTACAGGCATGAGCCACAGCGCCCGGCTGTGGTTTCCTTTCTAACCCTCTTCTCATATTCAGTTCTCCAATGGGTGGTCTACACTTCCTGTCTTTCTTTCCTCTCCTATTCAAAATGTCTTCAACTACTTGCAATCTGGCCTTTCTTTCACCACTAAAATTAGTCTCCCTAGGGACCCCAGTAACTTTCCAAATGGCAAATCTGGTGGCCATTTTTCATGCTGGATCTTTTAGCTGCAATGTTCACTCCCTTCTTTCCACTTGAATTGCCCTCCACCTCCCATCTGTTCTCCTCCTACTTCTTAGACATTCCTTCTTCTTTTTTTCTTTTTTTGGAGACAAGGTCTCACTCTGTCACTTAGGCTGGAGTGGAGAGCAGTGGTGTTAACACGGCTTACTGCAGCCTCATTCAAATGGTCCTCCCACCTCAGCCTCTGGAAGCACAGGCATGTGCCACCACGCCTGGCTAATTTTTTTGTTTTTATTTTTTGTAGATAGAGATGGGGGGTCTCACCACGTTGCACAGGCTGGTCTCAAACTCCTGGACTCAAACAATTTTCCCACCTCAGCCTCCCAAGGTGCTGGGATTACAGGTGTGAGCCACTGTGCCCACCAGACATTCCTTCTCTGTGGCCTGCATAGTCTTTTCCTTGAATGTTCACATTCTTCATGGCTGAATCATCTTGGGAAAGCCTACAGGAATATTCCAACCCCCCTGCCTTCAACCTATGTGATTACAACTTAGGAATTGAGTAGAAATTCCCAAAAGCATCAGGAAATATTATCAAATAGAATATTGTGTTTTAAGAAATTTTAAAAGTCAGAATATACTAGATATGTATGTAAGCAACAGTAAAAATACCTAATAAAACAAGTCTTATTGTTAGCATGACCGTAGAAATCAAAATTTGTGCCGGTTAAAATTGCTACAATGCTATAGTAAAACTTGCTATTGCTGAAAACTGTACTGATGATTTTCAGGAATGTCAAAATGCAAAATGTTGTGTGGAAACACAGCAATATTACATCACAGTGACCTTAAGGAATGAGCCATTGTTACTTGGTATTATGCCATTATTATTGAACGTATTTTTATTGGTATTTTCTGTCACTCTAAAACATATACTTCCAGATGATCTTTTGTTTGTATTAAAAAGGATGTCTTTGTAAATAGTACAAAGAACATATCATCAGAAAAACTAGACCGAAATGAGGAATTACCTTTGTCTGGTTTTGTATTCTCAAAAAAAGGAAACTTCGATAATCTCTTCATAAAGTCACCAGAAATAAAAATAAAAATTATGGCCTTATCCATGAATGAATTGAATTGGATACTATTAAATTGAAGTAAAAAGCCCTCTGATATTTTTTATTACCTGGTGATATTTTCACATCATTTATTTGCTATAAGGTTCAATCAAACTATGGTGGTGTATTAAATTTCATTTCACATCTGAAAAAGTTCCATTTAGGAGCCACAGAAGAAATGTGTTTCATCTACATGTCTCCAAGCATACTCATGATAAAGAAAACAAACTTATGAGCTCATCTGAAAGATCACCTCATTCAGCAGTTAAATTGAATCTTTTTAGCTACTAACAATGCTATGTTTCTGGGTTAGGGTGAATTTTCAAGTTTTTGGTGAATGTCTTTATAGATTATTTAAGGGACGTTCCAGGCTAAGCTGTTTTGCTAAGAAACAGCTATTTTAAAAGTTATTTATTTATAATTTGAAAACTAGCCAGTATGTTGTCAAGTGTGATATAAATATTCCCTATCTGACCAGCAATGTTTTAGTCTCTTTTCAGGACAGCATTGCTTTGATTCTATCACTACACTCAACAGGGAGCTACATGAAATTACTTTTACTCTATATTTCCCTTATTTGGTCTGTTGAAGCAACAGCAGCCTCTATTTAAAGAGGAGTTTGACCAACAAGACTAGCTGATTATCCTTCTGGGAAGCTGACTGGAATCCACAGTGCAGAAAGACATTAAGGCTGGCATTTCTGCTATTTACACATCCTTAGTCAACAGACATGTAACCTTTGCTTAGTATAGGAAGATTGGCATGTAGAGCAGTGCAGAAAAACAACCAACTTGCAAATGGGCATGATAAAATATTATGAAATATCATATGGCTGAGGTTAGTAAATGGTGATAAGCCTATGAAGATGATTAGTAAATTACAATCAGTTTTATGAAGATCTGCCATATAAAGATCCAAACTTAATTAGAGGTAGTCATTCTGTCCTTTAGCACAGCAGAATTTCCAATTCACAAATTACTAAAATACTAAAAAGGGTTCCGGATGAAAGGATCTGATATTTTCTGATATCTAGAAGTCTGCACACACATCACTCATGTGAATGAATGAAATACAAGACTATGGATGAATGTTCAATCTCTAGATGGCCCAGAGGTGAAAAAACCTCTTTTACACCTAAAAATAGGGTGTATCCTAAATTCAGTCTCTTACTTCTCATCAGATATGGTCTAAAATCACAAGAGGAAGCTGGGATGAGTATGTATGTCACTTGCCAAAGGACTTGCTTACTTAGACCCACAGTCCCGTTCATCAAAATGACTAGAACCATTCATCATATACCATCTGTTGGTGGTGGGCCACCAGTGTCCTTATTACAGCACAGCGTCCTACTTAACTTTAGGGGTAACAGGAGAGTTGTCCTGATGCCAGCTTTGTAACATCAACACACAGGAGGAGTTGGAAGCCTCAGACTCTGGGCCAAGGAACAAAGGTATGTCAACAACGTTACTGCCTGAACCTGGAACAACACTAGCAAGCAGTAATGCTGTCATTAGCTAATTGCCTGGCCTTTCAGTGTTTGTGCCGGCTGGCCATGACTGATGTTCCTACAGGTTTGTTCTTAAGCATGACATATTTCATTACAGATTCATGATGTGTGATGCAATAGAGTTTGGCATCCTGGATTCTTCAGACTGTGTACCCCAAGAAAATAGTTTGTGTTACTTTGAGTTTACTTCTTTCATGTTAGCAAACCAGCTAGATCATGTTCTATTATTTTTAAGCCTCCATTCCAGCATGACACAGTTAGCACCTTTATGAATTATCACTCTGTCAGCCCACACCTGTGCTCCTAACTCAGCACAGGGGCAATGTCTAAAATATCCTGCCTGCATCTTGTCCGTTAACTATTTTGTGAACAAGGCTACTAAGGCTCAAGCAACCTCAATAATGAAAATCCCCATTTTCACTCATCTTTCGTCATAAAAAGTGTTTTTGAATTCCAGGGTGTTGGATGAAGATAAGCACAGCTCTCATTCTTAGTCTCTGCTGAAGGACAAGATTAAAGTTAGATTTTTTTTTTAAGTCAAGTAGACTTAAAAAAAACTTTTCGTTTTTCCAGGTTTCAAAATCAAAACACAGTAAATTACTTTCTTTCTGAGTAATTCTTTGTCAGGCAAGTTAGAATTTCTTTTTCTTCTTCCCGATGACATTTTATGCTGATAGACTAGATCCAGATGGAATTCCTGGCCCAATCCCCAATTTAGCTTCCACTGCAGCTCCTGGAAGGGACAATGGGAGATTAAACCTGGACAGACTCACTAATAAGTGAGTTTAAACCCAGGGATTTAAACCCAGGGAATTTAAGAGTTTAAACCCAGGGGTTTGAGAGTGAATGCTGCTTTTATTTCATTTGTTTTATACACTAGAGTGAAAATGGCCTGGCTGCTATCCTTTCATAGACGAGAAAACAATGACAGATCACACGTAGGTGACTTTGCCAGAAGCACAGGTTAGTGGCAGGGCTATAATAAAAAACCAATTTTCTTGTGTATTGGTCAAGTTATAGGGAGGGGCGTGGACAAAAGCCTAAGAAGTGTGATTGAAAATTCTTGAAATTTTCTAAACTTGGTTTACTTAGCTGAGTAATCCAGCCTTTCATATTTTGGGCTGCCTGGCCATTATGCGGTTCTTATTTTTTTCTGAGACCCCTACTCTCAAGAACCAATGAAATTTCCTCTTTGAAAGCCTTTGAAAACCCTCAGAGGCGGACTTACCTCAAATCTCTGGTTTTACCGCCTAGGTCTTCACAATTCACACCTGGGTAGGACTCAAGTATTTTGCTGGAAATACAGTGAGATCGTTGGGGGTGTTGTCTTCTCTTAAGTACTTTGTTTGCCTCTGTCATCTCCCAAAGCATGAGCACCTGGAGGGCTAAGACCAGGTCTGCTGAAAGGAGCTGTGGTTGTGTCTCTGTCAATGCCATGGCAGAGCTCAGGACAGGCACCTGACAGTATTGATAAATGGCAACAGGAGACAGTCAAGTCCCCTGCTCAAGCCTCCATTATGTTTGCGTGAACACAAAGAGAGGAAGCACCAGGCTGACTTCTGAGGAAATATACCAGAAATTCATCTCAGCCCTCCAATGAGGATAATGAGGAGGGTGGTGATGAGGACAAATGAGCATCTCCTACATGCTCAGGAGTGTATCAGGGGCTCCACACACTCCCTCTAATCCTCTCAACCACCCTGTGAGCTGGGTACTGTTACTTCCATTTTGCAAATGAGAAAAAAAGGAGGTTGACTGGCTGGTCCAAGGTCACACAACACTAAAGAGGTGGAAGCAGGAGTCAAATCCGGATCAGTCAGAATGAAAAGCTGTTTTGTCTTTAACTTTATCTCTTTTGTCCATTTGATCTACAAAGTCAAAATTGATAGCAGCACTTGAATTCAGAAAAACTGGAGAGTCTTGTTTTTGGAAAGAGCTTACTGAGAAGGTAATTGCCTGTGACTACAGTAATAGATGCTATATAGACAGACTCATAGAGAATGAGAGCATATATTCTGATACTGTGTCTGATCACTAAGAGTCACCCGTTGCTGGAGTCAGTGTGAGGAGAAGGTGACCATATCAATGAATAAAGAGGTATCCTTAGATGCCTGAAAGTAGGAGGCTGAGAATCAATGCCTCTTGTACTCAGCACATTTTAGGGCATTCATCTGTGCAAAGAACAGAACATAATCTATTATTATTAGTTTATTAGTTTAGAGTTGGCAAGATGACCTCTGGAAACACACAGGTTCCAATAAAGACATTCTTTTCAAGCTATTATATTAATGTTTCATTCATTCATTCAAAAAGCATGTACTGTCCATGATACGCAAACACTGTCCTAAACATGGGGACATGGGATATGTGTGTGTGTGTGTGTGTGTGTGTTTGCATGTGTGTATGTGTCAAGATGCATCCCACACAGATATTGCCTCCAAGGAACTTATAGGCTAACACATTGCTTCTTCAACTTAAGAGAAAATCTCTGCCCCTACCCCACCACCATAAAAAATACACTATGGTCTGGTATGCACATGCACAACTGAAAGTATCATAAAATGTTTACCCTTAAAACCTGTAATATATTCTGGTATTTACTAGTTTAGTCTATACTAATTACTGTAATTCAATGAGGACAGAATAGTTTGCAAGACAGAATGATACAGTAGCTTAGATAAAGTAAAGAATTGCAGATACGTATAAGTTGTTTTATCATAAGCATGATTGTGTGGAGATAGCAGGGAAGAAATCAAGCCAAGCTTTTCAGATGATGAGATTTTGGATTGGGCCTTAAAGGGTAGGCAGAATGAGAAGCTGAGTGGCATTCCAGGAAGAGGGGTCAGCATGCATAAACGCATGGTGGCAGACAAGAAACCTGGGTTCATAAAGGTATGTGGTGGGAGTAAGATCAGTTTGGGCCAAATCAAGGAGTGAAAAAGAATGAAATGAAAGTTTTGTGCAAGAAATGTAATGGACAGGGTTGTATTTAGAGAAGATTCACAGATGAGATCAGAGGAGGAAAAATTGGTGACAGGCCCCTTATTCTTCCTTTTATTCACCTTGAGGACACCCCACCTCACCATGAGCTTCAGGGAGCAAAGGCCAACTCTGGCTCTATCTGCATGGAAAGCAAACTGAGAATTCTGCAGAGGACACAGGCAGGACGATGGGCTCAGATAACCCAAAAGCTCACACGGAGTAAGTGCTTGGAAATATTGAATGAAATATAACATTTTTGTTTTTAAAAAAGGTATAGAAATGAGTTCACAAGAAAGGAAAAGGGAAAGGAAAAACAGGAGGGAGTGAGGTAGCATAGTAGCTATCCAGGGAGAGGACTGTTTGTTTCATTATCCTAGAGGCTTTCTTTATTGTCAACTGGGGGATAGGAAACAGTGATGTGGGCCCTGAGAGGTGGGACATAGAAAATAAGATGCCTTACATAAAGTCTGGTCCTAAACAATGGACTAGAGAAAAATCTATGCACCATTAAAAGAAGATGAAACGATGTTCCCAGTGGTCTCTGGTTGAGTTCTATGTAAAATAACAAGAAAAAAAAATTCACATCCAAGAATTTGAAACCACAGGCCAAAGTCTTACAAGTTTGAGATATACAGTTGTGTCACCTTCTAGGTGCAGAAAGTAACCAGATATTTGGCCCCGGACAGCAATAACTCTGGGCAACAGAAGGGGCAAAAGCAAAACCGTGCTGGAGAAACACTCCCACAACCGTGGATGCAAGGAAAACTCACAGAAAAAGAGGCTCAATGAAAGAATTCACAACAAAAAATTTCAAAGTACATAAAAAGAAATCCATCATGGGCAAGAATTAGCAGGCACAACAAACAGAAGAGTTAGCAGACACAAGAAGTAGTGTTATAACAGAACAATAAAGACACATTCAAGGTGATTGAAGACATAAAAGCAAAGTTGTAATCTTAAAAAAGAAACAAAATACAATGAAAATAAGAAGCCTAAGTAGACTTTCAAAGAGAACTAAATAGCACTTCCAGGAATAAAAAATATAGTCATCAAAATTAAAATTCTCAATAGGTAGGTAAAACAGGTTATATAGCCTAAGAGAACATTAATGAATTGGAAGACAGATCTGAAAAAACTACTCAGAATGCAGAAGAGACAAAGAGGTGGAATAATAAAAGATGGGTAAAAAGATATGCAATGTAGCATAAGAAAGTCCAATTTACATCAAATAGAAGTACCAGAAAAAGAGAAGAGGGAAAATGGAAAAATGATGACATTCATATAATTAATAGTTAAGAGTTTTCCAGAATTGATGAAAAGATATAAATCCTCAATTTAAGAAGCACAAGAGTCTCCAACAAGAAAATAAAAATAAATGCACATCCAAACACAGTGTAGTGAAACTTCAGAATACCAAAGACAAAGAAAAAAACTATAAAAGTAAACAGGGAAAAAAGTAAAGAACCCACAAAGAAATAACAAATTCACTACAGACTTTTCAACAGCAATGATAAGGCAACACAGTGAAATAAAGATTCAAATGTCAGAGGGAGAATGAATTTCAACTTAGAATTCTATTCCCAGCTGAACCATCACTGATAAATGAGGGAGAAATAAAGACATTCAGATGAACAAGACTGAGTAATTTACCACCCACTGATTCTTACTTAAAGAACTGAAAAAGATTCACTTTGGGAAGAAGAAAACTGAGTTCAGAGGGAAGGAGGAGGATGCAAGAAGGAATTGTATCCATTATTTATTTTCTGCAGTTTTTATCTTTTGAAATAAAAATATAAAAGAGACACAGATGACCCCATTAGCTTGTTTAGAACACTTTGCTTGGGAAAGGTGAAATAATGATAAGACTGGACAAGAACAAATGCTATTAAATGTCTCCATGAAGCAATAAAAATAGAATAAAATTATTGACTTATCCATAAATATTCATGAATATGACCTGAGCATCTTTTGGGTACAAAGAGCCATTCTGCAGAACAAGAGAAAGATATTTACAAAGAAACAAATCTAAAATTTGTTTTGTGGAACATTTTTATTTCCTGTTTTTTTTTTTTTTTTTAAAGTTGGCTATCTGGATATTGCAAAGTCATAAATAAAACCTTAAGCTTTAATTTAAAGTTGTACATAATCTGCTCCACACAAGCTAATGGGTGTGAAATTCCGAGTTAGTCTTTTAAAAATAAAACTGAAAAATACAGATTCCTGAGTAGTCCCCCAAATAGTAAATCTATACTTCCAAGTTTTTGAAAATTACCTTTGCCATCCCCATACAAGTCGTATTTAGTTAAGAATAATAGAATACAATTTTGTGATTTGATACAAACCCGCATAAATTCAGGGTTTTAAAGCATTCAATGTCTTTGTAAAAGAAGCTAACTCAACAAGAGAAATAGTAGAGGACATTTAATAGAATTCACCTTAAGTGTACTCTACATACATCAAAAATAACACCTCTTGTTGCAGCTACAGGACAAAATGCCAAATGCCCATTCACACTTCTAGAATCAGCTGACAAGCCTCTGAATCCATTCACATTTGCTGGCCTACAAGTAGGCAAAAATAAGGACAGAAAATTACTAAGCATTTTTCAGCAGACAAGAAAAGAATATGACACAGAAGCTTACATTTCTGCCAAAAAATCAAAGGGGAATAAAAAGGCCAGAGGTAGTGGCTCACGCCTGTAATCCCAGCACTTTGGGAGGCCAAGACGGGAGGATCACCTGAGGTCATGAGTTCGAGACCAGGCTGGCCAACATGGTGAAACTCCGTCTCTACTAAAAATATAAAAATTAGCTGGGTGTGGTGGTGCACGCTTATAGTCCTAGCTACTAAGGAAGCTGAGGCACAAGAATTAATTGAACCCGGGAAGCCGAGGTTGTGGTGAGCCAAAATTGCGCCATTGCACTGAGGTCTGGGTGATAGAGCAAAAAAGTCTCTTTTTATAAAAAACAATAATACTAAAAACTGATTAGATTCATCTCTTCAGCTAAAAACATCAAGTGTGTCTTGTTGGCCATCAACACCCAGAAGAATCCCTCACTCTAAGCACATAAGGAAGATTTCCTTATGACAAGAACTTACACTTAAAAATTTTTTTCTTGTTTGGGGACATTTTAGTTGTTTCATAGAGAGGAACAAAAATGTCTACTTCTATTAAAAGAATGCTATGGCACATGTACATTTTTCAGATCTAATCCTTATTCCAAGAAGAAAAAACAAACTCCACGCAAACAAATTCCAACCTGAGTTAAGAGGGAAAATGTTAAATCCAAACTATTTTACTTCACAAATTCTTAAAAAACAGTAAACTATTATTTTGGAAACATGGATGGTTGAAAAGGTGTCAGGACCTAGCTGTGTAAGCATCTCTTTGAACTTTTGTACAACTTCACAGCTCCTCAGGAAAATGCATTAGGATACACAATTTCAAAGAGACTAGACCTGTCATTTTTGCACTTTTCTAGGGCTACAGGGTGAAATGAATCTTTATTGTGCCTCACCACTCTCTCTTTAAACTGACCCACATCCTCTGAAATGGAGGTAGCTTCCCTCCCTCCACCAGGGGAGGAGTCTGGGTTGCCTCAGTGTCTCTCAAGGGGTTGGAGGCTCCAAGGGTCAGCCCTGTTCTGGGCAATGGGACTTTGGATACTTGAGGTGGCTGACTCAAGTTACAGGAGAGTCCTGTGTTGGTTTAAGAAGTTAGCAACAGTATCTGCAACAGTGCCTCTACATGAAGAGGACCGTGCAAAGACTGACAATAAAGTATAGAGGGGTTCAGATGTGGGTTCTGAAGCCACCTAGTTTGAGTTTAAATCAACACTGTGTGACCTTGAGTATTTACTTAACTTTCTCTGTGCCAACTTTCCCCATCTGTAAGCAGGAAATAAATGCTATCTACCTAAGGTCATTGTGAAGATTAAAGGAGGTAATAAGTTGTGCACAATGCCTAGTACATAGTAAGTACACCACAGATATCAGCTATTATTAGTAGTAAGAGGAGCAGAAACATAAAAACATGAGTGAATGGAAATAAAGGTCCTGTAGTAAGGATGAGTTTAGATGATTTAAACTGTAAAAGCAAGAAACATTTCCCATAATTATGGAAATTCAATAAATGAAGAGAACTTTATGAACAGAATGGATAAATATAACATCCACTGATACAATAAAAATTTTAATGTGCAAAGTTTGTAACTTTCAGGTAAACACACTTAACAAACATTCTTGAATTCTGATTCCCAAACCTTATGTTGTAATTCTTGTAAGGGTCATTTTTAACTGATGATGTGCATCATCTATTACATATTTTCAGAGATGTGTATTACAGGCTTAAGAATATTGTATTTAATTATTTTAAGTTATTATTCTGCAAAGCAAACCTCTGATTATCTTCTTATTGCCCCAGTAACCTCACAGGAGGTACAAAGTCGCCCTTCACAGAAACAGCTGCGTCACTCTGAATTCCTTTCCTTTTCTTTTATGGTGTGTGGCCCTGCCAAGGTTAGAAAACAAGTAATCTGAATCTACCAATTGCGCTTCCTTCCTTCCTGACTGTCCTTTGGAGAGATTCAGTGCTCTTTAGAGTCCTATTAGAGCAATCAATGTAAGGCAGACTCATGCCTGCCTTATTTTCTAGCAGAAGCATCTGCAACTGAAGACACTCACATCCAAGGGCATCATGTGTCTAATGAGGGAACTAAAGGTAAGTCAGTCAAGAATTTATAGCCTTCCAAGTTTTAGAAATGGAAGTGGTATTTCTGAACGACTCATCAAAACACTTTCTCTGACAATATGGTACCAAGGCCTTAACTTCTCAAACTCGAAGTCCACACAGCCACCTGAACAAAATGATTTTTCTTGTCATCTACTTTAAAAACTGGACAAAAGATTTTGCCATATATATATATGAGATATATATATATCACAGAGACTCTGAACACAATTTTTCTGTGATTGACACTTCTTTGATACTTCTTCTTGTTAAATTAAGCTTATTAGTCCAAAATGCAGCAGTGAAGCATGCTACTGAATAGTATTTGCTGAAGATCGTTTTAAAATCCTCAACACTCAAATTGTTTCTCTTAGATCAGGGAACCTAACTATTATCTTTAAAACATTACCTATGATATTAAAGAACCTTTACAAACCAGAGGAAAAGCAATCCATCTTTTGTTATAGTGTTTAAATCTAGTATATTCAGCATACAGATGAATTTTCAAAGAGGCAGTTTCCACGGCATGTACTCACCAGGGGCTCTGCCATAATGATACGAATCTTGCGTTCAGCCTGAGTGGTGAAGTTGACAAATAAACTTTTGAGGACATATTCTCCTGGTTTACTGTCTGGGTCCACATTGATGGGTAGCATGGTTGGCGGCCCTTTCTCCCTGTGCGTGCCAGAAGCAGGTGGAACCGGAGGCTTGATGTAACCGTTGCCAACGGGAGAAGCTGAAAAACAGAATGGGCATTCTTACTGGCTGATAATAATGTCATAAATATTCAGATGGACTGTGTTAAACCATAAATATCAGGATATGAATCATATCAAGAAAGTCACACTTAATATTATAACCTGGCCTTATTCTTTGGAAATGGTGTCAGAATTTTATTATTTTCATTATACTATGTTTGTGTTATACCACATTTGATCATCTCAAGATTCTAGTCACTACATTGCTTTAGGTAAATTATATTGGAAGCTCATAATATAGCTGATCAATCTTACAATACTTAAGATGTTTTTGGCTTATTTTTTTGGTTCTACGGAAACAGCAGTCCCATTTAGAAAATGGGTAGAAAACATATATGGGAAAAAAAGTGATTTCTTGTCCAGGTTTTCCTCATGGTCAAGAGCTCTCTGTGTTCTGTGCTTCATTCTAATAATGGAAAGGACTCTGGGGTCATTCCTTCCAGAAGTCTCCAAGAATCAATTTTTAGAAGCCAAGCTGGCTCTTGCTCCAGAAAGGGACACACCTCTTGAAAGATACGAGGCTCAGGCAGTGCTCTGTTTGCCGTCCAAGGTTTGGGTTTAACTTTTCACTTTCACCACCCTTTGGCTCAAGTTGAGACACCTCTGTGCTTCCTTTATAAAATATGTTGATTCCCCACTAGTACTATATCTTCAACAGAGTCAGCTATTAAAGCTCCTGATGAGTGGCCTCTGTTCAGAATGCAACAGAGTCAGACACTGTTTTAATTAGATAGTTGCTAAACTTTTTTTGAATTCATAAATGCAGTTTCAAGTCTCTACTTTTTACAGTACTTTGATATGTTAAATTCTACCACCCCTCCCACACAAGCCCTTGTAAGATGGTCAGTTATTAATATCCAATGAAAGAAACGTAAGAGCAAGTGGGCTTGGGATAGAGGCATTGGGAATGCTGAGAACAGGAAGCGTATAGTTAAACATAAGTATTTAGCTTTGGGTAACTGGATATGGAGATTAAGGGAAAGAGTCAAGTAAAAAGTGGGTTTGCAGTTTGGACACTGGATGCGACATCAAGAGAATGGTGGTGTCATCAATATTAAAGGCAAAACAAAGTTCTTTCTCCATGAAAGTTGGATACTCTTTTCATAACTACAAATAAATGTAAGGCTTCTCTTGCCTTCTTTCTGTCTCAAGCCAAGTTCTGAGGAAGCAATATAACGTTTTGTTTATTTTATTAAATTACAAACATGTCCCCATTGTTACACAGACGACTCTCCCTCACATTTCCTACCCTTCCTTTGTAATTCATTTAACCTGACATAACAGTTGAGGAGCCCCTTATATCTGAACGGTCTTTCCAGATCTCAGCTACCACTAAACTGTAAGACTATGGCCTCGCAATTCCAAAAATATAATAAAGTGTCTTGCATATTATCTCGTTTCCTTTCCATTCCCCCTGGCCGCATCCTATCCAAGCCCTTGGAGACCTATGGCTAGATTATTTTAATAACTTCTTTGCGGACATTATTTCATCTGTTTTCCATATCAGACTAATCTTTCTTTTGCATGGCTTTAATCATAACACTTTTCTGCTCAAAACTTTCAATAGCTCTCAATTACCATCATCCAGCCTCAGCACCCTGGCTTGGTTTTGAGGGCCTTTAGTAGTTTGCCTCCACACCCTCACCCAAGTCCTGCTGATGCCCTCATTGGCCTGTGAGCACACTGGCTTCACTTATTCTTCCTTCTTTCTTTTCTGCAGCTCCTTTCCATTCTTTTCTGCCCATCTCTTCCTCCTCTTCTTTCAGAGCCACTTCTAGTCTCATCTCCGTAACACCTACCTCCACTAGGCCAGTCCTCACTGATCAGTTTGCTTTACAAGAGTTGAACATTTAACCCAAACTGTTTGGTGTTTTGCTTTGTCGTGTATATCCTACATTACCTATGAAAGGCTCAATAGACTGCTGCTAAGTAAAGTAATTATTGATTGGAGACAAGGTTTTTGTCTAGGGTCGGCCCTGTAATTAAACCATATACTCTTCTAGCTATATCTCCTAAAAGTTCCCTAATAAGACTGTAGACTCCCAGATGTCATACAAAGTTCTTTGCACAGATAATACTCAATAAATCTCCTTAAATAACTAACTGAAAATGTCCCCTGACTTTATTTCTGCAGGTCTTAAAGGGATTCCTGGGAATAGGAACTACATAAGGAGATGCAATATGTCAGAGTCTTTTAAGAAAGGATGCAGTAGTTGTGATAGAAGAGTCATTAATTAAATGGTACCGCAAGCAGTTCACTAAAAGGCACTATTTATTCCAAAGGGGCATATTGAAAATCAAGTGATGAAAATGAGGTCCTGGCCACTCCTCTGCTTCACCTCCTACTTCCCCAGTGCAGGCACCTTGTGGAAGTAGGACACCTCCCCAACACCAGCTTAGAGAAGGACATAATGTCTCAAGATATCTTCCTCAGGTATCAAAGGCATCATGCCACAGAACCAGAGACTGGGATATAAACCTAAAATGTCTATTTGGAGTATGACTTTTTATTATCTTTGGGTTTCCACAGGATTTGATCCATTTCTAGATGACAGCAATAATTGGGTTGATATAATATATACAGTTATTGCAAGACAAGATCCATAATTGCATGACTCTGGGGCCTAAAAGTCTTAACTACAGTGAAAACATTTTCATGAGAGTGACCTCTGACAGTCCTCCTACAAGGCTGCATTTTGAACTAGAGAGATGAAATTCAGATACCAGAAAACCTCTCAGACAAATCCTCCATTTAAACAGCTGAAGAGCCAATTCACTGCTATCATAAAAAATATTATTCACCTGAACTTCAAAGCCAGACATCTTTGTGAATACAAATGTGATATTGAAAAAGATAAAACTATATGAACAGCCTTACTGAGCTGGAACTATCCTAGCCCAGCAGAGCCCTGTACCACAGCAGAAAATGATTCAAGGTGGGGTGTCACTCATCATTCTGAGTTTCAAACACAGATCAGCGTAGGCATCTGGAGATGCATGAAAGTTAATGGGGTAAGTGTACTTGAACTAGGTCCACTTCCAAGTTTCAGTAACCCTCTTCATCCTACCCTAATTAATTCATGGCAAATCCTAGCCTCAGGATAATTTCAAAAGTAAACATTAGGACATGGCACCTTTCAATACTTGAGTTATTTGGTGACAATATAGTGCAGACCAGGAAACTCATGTTCCCCGGTAGTCAAATTTGAGTCACAAAGTCCACACTAGTGTAAATATTAGAGCATTATCATTAGAAAGAAAATCATCAGACCCTCTCACAGCATTTGCTTGCCCTTAATCTATACATAAGATAATTTGTCTAGTTTCTAAATTCACAGTAGTCTGGAAACAGAAAATTACAAGGGAGGGGTGTAACTTCTATGGGTAGAAATGCTAGTAGCAAAAGAAGAAACAAAATTGCATAATTTAGAAAGCTGCCAGAACTTAAAAATGCAGTTGGCTGAATATGACAGTCTCACAGGCTTGAGGGCTTTGACTGCTGTCACAATTTATGTTCATTATGATGACCTTAAGTCTCACAGAAAGGTAAAAAAGGTGGGAAAAAGACTAATATAAATTTCCAAAGGTTTCCATTTCAAAAAGATAAAACTAAAAAAACTTTTGGTGTATAAAAGGGAAAAATTTGCTGCCTCTAAGAATTTAGCTCTCAAGAATTAAATCTATTCCTTCATAGGTCTGATTTTTAACTGAAATTTATTTTTGATTGAAAAAACAAAATAAAACATGGATTCAGTACTAGCCACACTGAGGCACCATTTTCCAGGTTTGCAAATGCAATGACTGAATCAACTTCTCTCTACCTGGGGTGCTTTCCTTGCTTTTTACCCAGTCCTGCAAGCAAATCCTCCTACCTTTCAGGGTCCAGGTCAGTATGGTCTCCTCCACCTGGCTTGGTCTGGGCCCTGCCTGCCAGTGCCATCCAGCTGCCCCAAGGGTCAGCCTTCTCTTCATGCCAGGTCTCTGGAAATAGGGATCTCTCCCAATGAAAGGATCCTGACAGAATCTTTATCACATCTTCCCCATCCAAATACTTGTTGAAGAAACAATTGTTCCTGTTGCTTAATTTGTTGTATTAAAAACCCCCATTAAAATTTTTTGCATATAATGACTTTTTTAAAATCTGTTTTTATTTATTTTTAATTGTGGTAAAGTAGACAAAATTTACCATCTTAGTCTTTTTCAAGTGTATGGTTCAGTGGCATCCATGTGATGAATTTTTTAGCTCCAACTCCATCTGCCTTTATTCTCCTTTCCTTCGTCCTTTCTATCGTCATATAACAGCTCAATGTCTCTAAAAAGTCATTCAAACCAGTGCTCCTGTGGTGGGGGCTGGTGTGGAGTGGAGGAGAAGAGCATTACTTTTATATATTAATTAGGTTTCTAATTATTGAATCCGTTTGAAATTTGTCTTCTCTTTATATTTTCTCATTTACATTTTAATCTTGGTTTTAACACGTTCTAATTTTTTTCTCCATTGCCTTCTTTTGTCTTAAATGAGTTTTGTTAATGTTCTTTTGTTATTTTTATTCCAAATTCTGTTCCTAATTGATTTTGTTGGATGACTTCAGGAAGTGTTTTCCCGTGTTCACTGGGTCTCTATCTTTTATATTAAGCAGGGCCCATTCCTTAAATTATGAGAAGTCTATTTTATACTTTTAGGGCCCATTCATTTTCCGTTTATTAAATCTATTTCGGACTGCATATCTATTCAGACTGATGATCTTTTTGAACATGACTGACTATTTTTCCCCCAACTTCACTGACTTATAGCTTAATTTTTAGGCTGGTTGCTCTTAGCTGGTTTAAATCTTCAGTACAATTTCCCTAAGTTACCAACATTTCCAGGACAGACTACCCTCCTAACTGTAGCACCAATATAAACACCTCCACAGCTCATAGTTCAGCTACATTTTTATTATAACACTGAAATGAAATGAGCGTCCTCATATAAGAGCCCTAGAGGCTAATGGTGGCGTAGATGTTACAGGAAAGCAACTGGTTTTCTCAATCAGATTTTCAGAGAAGTAATACCATCTTTCATTAGAAGCTATTGTTCACTGACTTACTCATTCATTTCAACCAATACTTATTTAATGAGTGACTAGGCTTCAGGCACTGTTCCAGGCACTGGGAAGATACTGGTGAACAAAGTGATAGTTCCTACTCTAATGGAGCTTATGTTGTACTGAGGTGGGGTAACATAACCAGCATTTCATGTGCATACACACACACACACACACACACACCCGCCCACATACACACAAATACCACACTGTCAGACTACAATAAATTCTAAAAGAACAAGGAAAAATTAAACAGAGTAAGTGGCTAGAGGGACCTGCTCTTCTCTATCTGCCTACAGGCATTCAGGTGCTACAGTCTGGGGCTGCCGCAGGAAGGAATGAACACTGTGTGTATTCTTGGTGTCTAAGAAAATCCAGGCACACATGGCTCGGGCAGAATCTGTTTTCCTGATCCATGCATTTGGCCTGCCCCATATCTGTGTGCCAATTCCGGTGGAGATGAGAATTTTAACCAGCCTGTGAAGGGCATGAACTAAAATGCCCAATGATCACACTGCTTTCCCATCTTCCTGTACAAAGTACTCCATTCCTCAGGAAGCAGAGATGTTTGGCCTGCTTTTTCACCAACTTGCAAAGACAGACAAGCACAGAGCTAATTTTTCAACACTCATTGCTTTTACTGCTGCTCCCATTACTGGAATTTTACCCAGAGTATTTGAAATAAAAAATGGCTTCCTTTTTCTTTTAAGTGCTCCTGGGATTATATGTGGTAACCAAATATTCAAAGTAGAACTCATCATAGAAAGGTGATCTGATTAAACAACTTAACTTTATAGAGATCAATGTAATCTTATCGTTCAACAAAGGAGTAAATTATGAGATTTCTTTGTTCATGGTTGTACATAAATTATTCTTTCTGCCAGTTCTCAATACTTCATTCATTTTTCAGGTTCTGAAGGCAAACCCTGTTAGTAAACAAGAGCTGGGATCTTTCTTTAGAATCACACTTTCCCTCTCAAATGCCTTTTCTCCTAAGACTTAATTTGTTTACCAGCAGTACAGGAACATTTCATAAAACATAAAGGGTGATGCAGCTTCTTTGCGAACATGTCACTCTGTGTATAGAGCAATAACAAATTGTCCATTAAAGCAAGTATGAGGGAACTTAAGAAATGGCATGTAAAAAGGTACTGCAAATACTCAAATGGCCAGAAACCCTGAAAGTCATGTAAAGTAAATTGGGATAAAAAGAAAAAGAAACAACCAAACAAGACAGAAAGAATTATTTTCTTCTGAAGAATATTAAGAAATCAAAAATGTTGGGACAAAAAAAATCAATAGTTTCAGCAACACAAAAAGATTGCTTAACGAAGTGATAGATGATTCTTAAATAATTACTTATTTTAAAGTGGGCCAAGAAAAGAATATCATGTAAAAAAAAATACCGAAAAACAATTTTTGCATTGGAAGAAAAGTATAACCAAAGGCAAGCTTAATTAATTTCTGATTAATTTCCATAAAATTCTGATAATGTGAAATATTCCTCCCATTTTTATGGATTATATACATTCCTCCTTTCACTTACACTTTAATTCTCCTACAGTTCTCACATTGTGTTCCTTCAAGTTTCAGAATCTACATGATATCTCCAGACGAATTAGTATCTTTAATTCTTAAAATAATCCTAGAAGGCTAATCTCCCTTTTACAGATAAGACCATGCAGATTCAGAGAGGTTAAGGGGCTTGTCCCAGGTTACAGAGTGGTCAACTCAGGATCTGACCCATGAATGTGATGACGTTATCTTTTGAGCTTCCCATATCGCCCTGTCTTTTATTTTTTAAATATATTTTTGTGTTTTTAAAAAATAATTTTTATTTTATTTTGTTAACAGAAGATCTACTCTCTTACCAAATTTTTAAGTGTATAATATATTATTGTTAGGCTATACATACAATTGTATAGCAGATCACTAGAGCTTATTCATTTTGCTTAACTAAAACTTTATATCCACTGATTAGCAACTCCCAATTTCCCTGTCCCCCTGCCCCAGGCAACCACCATTCTACGTTTGGATTCCATGAATCTACCCATTTTAGATACTGCATATACGTGGAATCATGCTTGTATATTTAGAAAACCCCATCATCTCAGCCCAAAATCTCCTTAAGATGATAAGCAACTTCAGCAAAGTCTCAGGATACAAAATCAGTGTGCAAAAATCACAAGCATTCCTATATACCAATAACATACAAACAGAGAGCCAAATCATGAGTGAACTCCCAGTCACAATTGCTACAAAGAGAATAAAATACCTAGGAATCCAACTTACAAGGGATGTGAAGGACCTCTTCAAGGAGAACTACAAATCACTGCTCAATGAAATAAAAGAGGACACAAACAAATGGAAGAACATTCAATGCACATGGATAGGAAGAATCAATATCCATGAAAATGGCCATACTGCACAAGGTAATTTATAGATTCAATGCCATCCCCATCAAGCTACCAATGAGTTTCCTCACAGAATTGGAAAAAACTACTTTAAAGTTCATATGAAACCAAAAAAGAGTCTGCATAGCCGAGACAATCCTAAGCAAAAAGAACAAAGCTGGAGGCATCATGTTACCTAACTTCAAACTATATTACAAGGCTACAGTAACCAAAACAGCATGGTACTGGTACCAAAATAGATATATAGACAAATGGAACAGAACAGAGGCCTCAGAAATAACAACACACATCTACAACCATCTGATCTTTGACAAACCTGACAAAAACAAGAAATGGGGAAAGGATTCCCTATTTAATAAATGGTGCTGGGAAAACTGGCTAGCCATATGTAGAAAGCTGAAACTGGATCCCTTCCTTACACCTTACACAAAAATTAATTCCAGACGGATTAAAGACTTAAATGTTAGACCTAAAACCATAAAAACCCTAGAAGAAAACCTAGGCAATACCATTCAGGACATAGGCATGGGCAAAGACTTCATGACTAAAACACCAAAAGTAATGGCAACAAAAGCCAAAATAGACAAATGGGATCTAATTAAACTAAAGAGTTTCTGCACAGCAAAAGAAACTATCAGAGTAAACAGGCAACCTACAGAATAGGACAAAATTTTTGCAATCTACCCATCTGACAAAGGGCTAATATCCAGAATCTACAAAGAACTTAAACAAACTTACAAGAAAAAAAAAAAAAACCCATCAAAAAATGGGCAAAGGATATGAACAGACACGTCTCAAAAGAAGACATTTATGTGGCCAACAGACGTGAAAAAATGCTCATCATCACTGGTTATCAGAGAAATGCAAATCAAAACCATAATGAGATACCATCTCATGCCAGTTAGAATGGCAATCATTAAAAAGTCAGGAAACAACAGATGCTGGAGAGGATGTGGAGAAATAGGAACGCTTTTACATTGTTGGTGGGAGTGTAAATTAGTTCAACCATTTGGAAGAAAGACTGTGTGGCGATTCCTCAAGGATCTAGAACTAGAAATACCATTTGACCCAGCAATACCATGACTGGGTATAGACCCAAAGGATTATAAATCATGCTACTATAAGGACACATGCACATGTATGTTTACTGCAGCACTATTCACAATAGCAAAGACTTGGAACCAACCCAAATGTCCATCAATGATAGACTGGATTAAGAAAATGTGGCACATATACACCATGGAATACTATGCAGCCACAAAAAAGGATGAGTTCATGTCCTTTGCAGGGACATGGATGACGGTGGAAACCATCATTCTAAGCAAACTATCACAAGGACAGAAAACCAAACACTGCATGTTCTCACTCATAGGTGGGAACTGAACAATGAGAACACACGGACACAGGGCAGGGAACATCACACACCGGGGCCTCTTGGGGGGTGGGGGTCTGGGGGAGGGATAGCATTAGGAGAAATACCTAATGTAAATGATGAGTTGATGGGTGCAGCAAACCAACATGGCGCATGTATACCTATGTAACAAACCTGCACGTTGTGCACATGTACCCTAGAACTTAAAGTATAATAAAAAAAATTAGTGGAATCATGCAATATTTGTCCTTGTGTGACTGGTTTACTTCACTTAGCATAATGTCTTCAAAGTTCATCTGTGTTGTTGCATATGGCAGGATTTCCTTCCTTGTTAAGGCTGAATAATATTCCATTGTATGTATATACCACAGTTTCTGTATCCATTCCTCATTCGCTGGTATAGTGGTATCACACCATTCCCAGACTGTCTTTTAAAACAAATCAGCTGCCTATGTTGAAGACTGTCCCCTTACCCATAGGTTTTGCTCTGGTGTAAGCTAGTTTTGGGACTTCAGGGTATGACAAAATACAACATAAACGTTGTAATTTGGAGAATGGGGTTTCCTATGATTAGAATAGTTGTATACTTTCCGGAAAGACTAATATATCCTTAGGCCATGAAGGTCTCTCCCTCTGTGTTCTCTGCCCTCGTGAATGAAAATGCACTTTTTAGCCGTTAGAGGGACTTTGGGAAAGGCTAGGAGTACGAAAAAGAATTGAACATATGGGCCAGGCGTGGTGGCTCATGCCTGTAATCCCAGCACTTTGGGAGGTCGAGACGGGTGGATCACGAGGTCAGGAGATCGAGACCATCCTGGCTAACACAGTGAAACCCCGTCTCTACTAAAAATACAAAAATTAGCCCGGTGTGGTGGCGGGTGCTTCTAGTCCCAGCTACTTGGGAGGCTGAGGCAGGAGAATGGGCGTGAACCCGGCAGGCGGAGCTTGCAGTGAGCCGAGAACAGGCCACTGCGCTCCAGCCTGGGCGACAGAGCGAGACTCAGTCTCAAAAAAAAAAAAAAAAAAAAAAGAATTGAACATGGAGGATCCATAAAAATATATGAGATCTGATTAATGACACACATACCTTAGAAAGACCTAAAGACTATTCTTTCCTAGATACATTGATGATATAAATTTTAACTGCCTGTTATCCTAACAAAGAGCAAGTCTACTTGAAGGCACAGTTCTTTGCTTACTTCAGTCTATGTTCTCTCAAAACCATTTTTGTCTCTGGTCTCCCCAGACTGAATACCTTGGAGAGAGTGAAGCAGTTCAATAAAGAGAAAGTTAGCAACAAGTGTCTGCCCTGTTTTCTTTTCTGTCTTCCTCTGCCTTCCAGTATTTTATCTGAGAGATATGACAGTAACACTTCAGTGATTTCCTTTATAAATGTCTGTCATCTGCTAAGATGCGATTACATGGACGTTCCCCTGATTTTCAAAGTAGGTACTGTCATCAGAGCCTGAAAGAATGTCTGCCAAGATCCGTGCGCAAAGGAAGATGAGGTTACATTGACATTTCAAGGTCCTTTCTCACCAAAAGGAGATCGAATAACCTGCTAGAGGCAGGATAATCCTGAATTTCAACTTCCTTTTTCTCCCTAAGAGAAGTGACCAACTGCTCTCATTCAGGTGTCCTTTGCTGGCTCTTCTCCCTTTTTTCATTTTCTTCTCTTTTCTAATTTCTTCTTCTGCTTGCTCATTTTATGCCGCAAAATATCATTAATGTGAACTCTACAAATTCAAAATGTGTAGATTATTTGGACAAGACCTTGAATTTTTAAATCTTAACTTCAAAAAAACATCTGCTGACTTACAATTTGAATTACTGGTGCTCAGTCTTTAGCACATCACAGTCACCTGAAAGGTTGGACACCTCTTACCCCAATTCAGTGTCAGAGTCTGGGGTGAGACTGGAGAGTCTGCATTTCTAACCAGTCCCCAGGTGATGCTGGTGCTGCTGCCCTGGGACCACACACTGACACCACTGATGGAAATAAATAGGAAGGAAAAGGAGGGCAATTTAATCAGTTAATAAAATTGTTTCTAATCTTATCTGCCTATAGAAAAACTGATATGCTTCATTAACTCCAACAAAATTAACATTTTGTAGGTAAAATATAGTGGAAAGAACACTGAACTCAGAGTCCAAGGTCTAAGCTCTAATGTGGCTCTCAGGTGACCTTGGGGAAGGAACTTGGACCAACTGGGCTTCAGCGTCCTTACCTGTTATTCTTAAAGAGGCTAGGTTAGATTGTCCTTTCAACCTCTACTATTCTATGAAATATAAAAGTATGCCCTGAAAATGTATGAAAACATCATTTGTTCAAAATCTCTGCAGTTCAAACACTTAACAATTAACACTTGCCTTCCCTTAAATTATATGAATTAGGGAGATTCTATCATCTATCCTCTCTACAGAGTAAAGCTTGACAAATAATCCTGACCTTTCCAGTTGTATCTTCACTTCTCTGGTTTCATTAAATTTTAAGCCTGGAAACTCCCTAAACTGCAGGCAGACAGTGGGGAAGCCTGTCTTTATTCCTACCTGTAAACTCAAGACTTTTGTTAACATTAAGAAAAAAAAACGAACTGAAAGTCTGACTTGTGTCTAACCTAACCCCGCATTAGGCCTAGTCTCTGTTCTGGGCCACGCAGTAGGTGGACACTGGGGAATAGGTGGCATTTGACCCAGGTCTTAAAGGATAGGTAGGATTCTGATACGTAGGGAAGAGAAAGGGGCAACTCGGGCAAATGGAATGGCATGGCAGGTACAGAGAGGCATCTGCCAAGTGTCTCTTCTTACCCCCTCCTCCTGTCACCCTCCTACCACACATCCTTGGTCTTAGTATATCTGTTCAAATTTGTCTTCACCAAGGAACTGCAGAGTCCTCAAAAACAAGACTATCTCTTGTCTTTATCACCAGCACTTAGCACCGTGCATGGCACAATTAAGTAAATAACTGTGCTCACTTAATATTTGTGGACCTGAACCCAACCAATTCTATAATACAGTATTTGCTAGATGAAATAAAGAAGAGCATATATGAAAAACTTAATAAACTCTTAAGTCCTGTAAAAATGTAGGTTTTAAAATACTTATTAGCATTAGAACTAAGGTCTTAAATGGCAAACCAATGAATGTGAACTTTATTTTGAGGGCCACTGGGAGCCAGTGGGTTTCTGGAAAGAATGCTGATCTCATGTTGCTGTGTAAATTGGGAGAAAAAGCGGCTGCTTGGAAGGACAACACAAACTAAAAGATGACTGCACCTACCATGAGAAGACTAATGAAGGCAGGAACCTGTCTGGTGCCTGTTAAAACAGAAAAAAAGATCCTACATCTTACACAAACAGACCTGCACTTGTTATGATGATTAAGGTGCTGAAGAAGTGGCTTTAGAACACTGACTCTAGAAGCTTTCTCAAAATCCCCAACCTGTGGCAATATATTGGTCAGAGTTCTTGTACCTACACACTGAAAACTGTTAGGGATGTATACCTGGGAGTGACACAGTTCTATTCTATCATAGTAATGGAACAGAAATGACTTTGGAGTATAACCTATGACCAGGGGGAACCATATATTGCCCTGTGACCACATTCATCATGCTTTCAAAACATTAGAGCTAATGTGCATTCACAAGAGACAATGCAGATACAGAACAAGTTAATGTTACCACCATAAGGAAGCAAAATAGCTAATCCAGAAGTAGGTTCGTTCTATAGGAAAACTGTACCAGTTTCTACAGGTCAAGGGAAGAGATAAAACAACCAAATGTAATACGTGGACCTTGTTTGAACCCCGATTTAAGCAAACCAATTGTTAAAAGACCTTTTAGGATTATAAAAAACTTGAGTATGGACTGGATATTAGGTGATAGCAAAGAATTACGGTCAATTTTATTAGATGTGATAATAGTATTGTGGGTAGATGAGAAAATATCTATATTTCCTAGAATGCATACTGATTATATGGGGTTCAATGAAATGATGTCTATATTTGATTCATAATACTTTAACAAAGAGAAACAAGGGCTGGGCACATTATCTTATGCCTCTAACCCCAGCATTTTGGGAGGCCTAGACAGGACGATCACTTGAGGCCAAGAGTTTGTAAACAGCCTGGGCAACACAGTGAGACCCCATCTCTACCAAAAAAAAATTTAAAGGTTAGCTGAGCATGGTAGCACACATCTGCAGTCTTAGCTACTGGGAGGCTGAGACGGGAGGATCGCTTGAGCCCAGGAATTCAAGACTGCAGTGAGCTATGATTGCGCCACTGCACTCCAGCCTGGGCAACAGGGTGAGACTCTCTCTAAAAAAATTTTTTTGGTCGGGCGCTGTGGCTCATGCTTGTAATCCTAGCACTTTGAGAGGCCAAGACAGGAGGATTGCTTGAGCTCAGGAGTTCAAGACCAGCCTAGGGAACACGGTGAAACCGCATCTCTACTAAAATACAAAAAATCAGTCAGGCGTGGTGGTGGGCACCTGTAATCCCAGCTACTCAGGAGGCTGAGGCATGAGAACTGCTTGAACCCGGGAGGTGGAGGTCTCAGTGAGCTGAGATTGTGCCACTGCACTCCAGCCTGGGCAATGGAGTAAAACTCTGTCTCAAAAAAAAATTTTTTTTTAATTAGAGTGAAAGAATAAAGGTACAAATAAACCAAACATGACTAAATCTTGATAACTGTAGAATTTGAGTGATGGCAATATGTTACATATTATCCTAATTTTTTCTCCTTTTGGGTTTAACACTTCATAATAAATATTTTTTAAAAGATAAGACTCATTTATAAAAAGTTTCCTATATTTTACAATGGCAATAATAAAGGAATGCCATCTTAGAACCTCAATTTGAAAAATAAATTACTATATTAAAGAATTGAACACCATCTGTAATTCAGGTTCAATCACATAGGTTTGAGTAACTGAACTGTCTGCATAACTGAATGTTGGCCTGAGTATTTACAGGCATAACACACAGCAAGGATGAGTGGAGGTGTCATTTACATAGGCATCTTTTATCATATGACATGATTACGGCCCTTTCAGAACTATTTTCGCTTCAAAAGACTATGAGTGTGATCAATTAATCAAATCATTAAATAAAGAATTTTCATTAAGACCTTAGTATAAGGCATTCTGCAAAGTTCTGTGGAGAATATGAAGATAGATTCAAAAAGACAGCTTGGAAGATTTTTAAAGTTTAATCTATTCAGTCACAGTATGCCACTAGGTTGAACAGCCAAAGGTTGAACAGCCAGGTTGAACAGCCAATGGATGAGCACACGAATTTAGGAGAGTATTCATTCACTAATTTGTTCATTTATTCACATATTGACTATTTACTGAAGGCCCAGTGTACTTGGGGTATTGGGCTATCTGCTGGGGGAACAAAATAGGCATGGCTCGTAGCTTCACACAGCTGACAGTGTGCAGGGAGAGAGGCATGATAGAATAAAAACACACAGGACTATAATTGCAAAGTGAGAAGTGCTACAATGGCTGCTGCAGGAGAGATGCAGGGGGGACATATCTGTGATTGTGGGGGTTGGGGCAGGACTTTGGGATAGTGACACTTAAGCTGAGAACTAGAAATAACTGTTGATAGAGACAGTCAGGGAAACCTTCAAAGTGGAAGAGAACTGGGGCAGAGGGGTTGTAGGAATTTATGAATGGTGGGGGGAATGTGGTGATGGCTCACATGCTCACTTCCTTCTAGGATTATGAGAGTCTGTTCTGGCCAGCCACTCCTTGGTACTCCCCTCTGCTAACAGTTTGTATCATCTTTACTGTCATCCAGGGTTCTGGCTGCCTCTTGACATACTATGACATATTATATACGCATTTCCTATCTGTCTCCCCCACTACACTTAACTGCAACAAGGGCAAGGAATTTGCTTTATTCGTCCTGTAGCATCACCTTCTAGCACAGTACTAGGCTTAATATCAAGTACTCAACAAATACTTAACTGCTTTAAGGAGTAAGGAAGTGTTAATATGTACAAGGTCATGCATTGTCTCCAGCTTAGAAACCTTACATTCAACCCAAGACTCGCATCAGAACTACCAGAAGAGCTCTTTCTGCAACAAAGCAATACTCTGACAAATAAAGCGCCAATTATGCTCAGGAGTAGAACAGTATGTCAAGGATGACAGTATGTCATTTCTGCTGAGAACGTGACTAAGGGTATGTTGTGAATGCCTAGCTGTTGGAATCTTTAAAGCAGAGTTCGTTAAAGTGCAGATTCTGGCCCGTTACTGGATCATGAAAATAATTTAGTGGGTGCCGACCAGCCTGATTTTGATGAAATAGAACAGAAAACAGGAGAAGAGAAAAATAGCAGATTGGTGGCATCCTGCACAGTGAGGAGGGAAGCACTGTTTCACAAAGCTGTTGTTTTCAGACTCTGTCTGTGTCTACAGATATGTATGTGTGTGAGTTCTGGGTCACAATGCAAAGTGTGGTTCTTACTGTGGGTCATGGTCAAAAGGCTCTGGAGGCTAAGGAGCTAGTAGTATTTCCCATACTGTTATCTGGGCATTAGACTGAGCCCTGCCAGAAACGACAAACCAGCTTCTTGAGCTATTTTATTAGAATCATATTTAAGTCAAACACCAAGGGCAAGAGAAGAACACCATGGTGATGTTTTCTGCAGCTGAATTGGCAAATGCATTACACAGGGACCCAACATAAAGGGACACTGAAGACTATGCAAACTGGACGTGGTGGGGGGTCTGCCAAAGACAGTGCCAGCAACTGCCATCTTTTGACAAATAAACATCGCAAATTAAAGTTATAGCTGTTCCCCGCCAGGGTCCCCTTGGGGATTACATGATGCAGAGGGTGACTTGAAGGACAGTCTAATCTTACAGGTGTCTTTGTTAATATAATATGCATTATACTATAAAATTATATACCTATACACAAGTACAATATACATTATAGTATGCATTCTATTATAAAATATATACACATACATATGTATATACTAATATACATATGCATATATATGCATATGCATTATATATGCATTATAAAATATATGTGATGGTATATATATGCCATTATAAAATACATATGGTAACTATATACAGTTCCAAGATCTATATATAGCAAGCAAAGGGCTTCTAGTACAGTGTTTACAACAGAAGCTCAATAAACATTTATTCAATGATGAGTTAAGTGAATAAGTGAAATCTTTTTCAGTCTTGCTGGTGTTTGATTTTATCAACATGTAAATATTTATTAAATTCTTGGCTCATATGGGCTTATTCATTTAGATACCAGCTCATTTAAAAAATATTTTAGGTTTTATTAAATTCTTAGTTATGGAAATGTACAAAGACATAAAATTCACTTAATACATGCTCACCAGAAATTTATAATCTAAGATGGTAATAAATCTACCAATTCACAGAAGCAGATTAGTTGTTTCTGATGCCTTTATAGTAAAGTTTAATACCTAAAACTTTACTAACTGTACTATAAAGTTAACTTCACTATAAACTTTATTATGAGCAAGAAAGGCAATGAGTGAAAAAGGAGTCAACATGTTCATGAGACTGTGGGAGTGGTCTGTTCAGCCAAAATACACTAACGGTCAGTAACATCCTCAAGGGATGCCATACAATAGAAATATTTAGCATTTCATATGAGTCCTATAATGATGCAACCTTTTCCAAATACCTGAAACCATAAATTTAATCATTTATCTTGTATGCTTGTTATACACTAAAAAAAATTCCTTGGGAGGAAAAAAAAAGTTCCTTAATGCACGCTTTATAAACCACAAAAGTAAGGGGTAAAATAATGACTAACAGGATTTTTTTTTCCTAGAAACAGAAGGCTATCATATGTAAACTTCTAGTAATTTCATTAGAGATAGTGCAGTGGAATAATTAGCAAGCAACTCAATCTCCCAAATCTTTAGTAAACAAAATCTTTCTCCTTGATTAGAGCAATATGTTGTGCCTTTACCACTCACAAGTTAACTTCTCCTACCTTCACTAAAAAAAATTAAAGAGCCGATATCCAAAATGCATGTAATTAACTCTGTGTCATGGATGTTTCCTCTCACTAGTTTTTTGGAAATGTTGTACAATATTGCTTAAAATGTTATGTTAGAACTAATGTAACTGTGTTATTGTCTGATAAAGGAAAAGCAGTGGCATGCAATTTGGACCCATTTAATGTCAGTTAACATACGGTGTCCTGTTTTTAAATTTATAAACAAAAAGGAAAAATATTTTATCTTTTACATGTTGAACAAGGCTAAGCCAAAAATGAAGAAAAAAACTGCTTTTAGGCCTACTGCAATGTTTAAAACAAAACAAGTAAGGGCATTAACATTAATATTTAGAAGAAATCATGCATAAATCCTACTTCTACTATAATATTAAATATGATGCTATTAATTATTTTTCAAATATATACTAGCTGTTTTTACAGAGCAGCAATTTTACTGCAGTGTCATACCAAATCTTTTAGTGAAAGTTAAGTGCACAGAAAAATTCCATTGTATCCTGGCTGCCTGTTCCACAGGCTCGTATACAAAAAGGACATCTTGCCTCCAAAATATAACAATCTCAAATGTAACACCTCAAGCATTACTCCTGTCTCTGAACAATGGCATTATAAGTAAATCCCTGCAGGCAGATGCAACTGCTACCTCCACCCCCATCCGCTGAAACCTTTAGAAGAGTCCTCCCATACTCAGCATTTAACAACCAGTTAGCCACTCCACACATATTAACAGCCTTTCATACCTACCAAGCCCTTTTATGAAGCTGATCACACAGGATCGTCTCCAACAAGCAGTTGTAATCTCCATGAGCCTGAAAAGAAACCCAAACTAACAGTCTGGAACAGCTACACAGACCATGTTCCAAAGCCAAAACACATAATGATGGGCTCCATGGTCCTGTTGCTCACTGCCACCATAAGTGTCTCAGCCACAATGCAGGGCCCTTATATTTTTGGCCCCAGGTGTATTTTTAGTCAGGTGCTAAAGACCTACAGTAGAAGACAAACTAAAACAGGCCTTCCGTCCAGGGCAGACTGTTCATACCAATGGGACAATTTTTAGCTGCACAGTAAGACAGTGACCTACAACTCACAGAGTGCCCGTATGTCTATATTTATCCACAAGAACATACTATACTGACAGATTAGTAAAGCTGCTCAAAGCACTCCAGGAACATGAGCCCGACCCACACAGTTTGCCATAAACAGTCCATGCATAGCAAATACACACGCTGCCCCCTGGATCTAACGGGCTGGGGTTGTGTTCCTGTGATTCAAGAAAGGTAGGAGCAAAGATAACACAGGGTGAGTGATAAACTGTTGCTCTGGGAACTAGGGGCTCTTGGCCATGAATACAAACAGCTTTCAACAGCTTACATGCTTACAGACAAAACCAACAGCAGAGAATCTGTATTTGAAGCCAAGAGTCAGCGAGAAACCATACACCCTTAAGGAAAATGAAACACTGAACATCTGTTGACATAACTTGCAAAGAAAAGTGATTGGATTCAAATCTATAGTTACATGATTTTAAAAGACACAGCCTAAACTGACTTGTTAAAAACTTCATTTATAAAACCAAGATGGAGCCAATATTGGAGAATGTTAAGTGTTCTGCCTTCAAAAGAAAACAGGTTTAGGTTAATGAGGTTGAGAAGGAAAATGCAAAGTTACTTAAAAACAAAAGTGTAACGAATTGATCTTTCTATGGGCATTATTTCTGAGAGAAGAATTCTATGAGGGTCAGTGAAAATTTATTTCAGCTGTGAAGAGACCGAAACCCAAGTAATTTTCTATTCTTGATTTACTCAGGGTAAATTGAAGGTTTTCTTTAGCAATATAGGTTGTAATTACAAAACAGCATGGAAGGAGAATTGACTGATGAACTGAAACAATTCACAGGAAGAAAGAAAATGTCCAGTTTACCAAAATGAACACTTAAAGTGATTCTGCTGAGCTAAACACCAGCAAAGATGCCCCATGCTACTCCTGCATTTTACACATTCAGGGTTTAGAATGCCTCTGTAGAGTTGACAGAGGTGAATATGTGGTATTTGGTTTACATTTTACTAAAGGAAGTCAAAACCATTAAAAGACAGTAGTGTGCCTATGGAGTTATCTGTGTACAGACAGAAGAGGGTAAAGTCCTTCTCATTCTGTATATAACTAGGAATCCAATGCAGAGGGGAATAATAGACATGGGAGATTCCAAAAGGTGGGAGGGGTGTGAGGGGATGAAATACCACCTACTGGGTACAAGGTACACTATTTGGGGGATGGGTACACTGGAAGCCCACACCATTACTACACAATATCACCATGTAACACAACGGCACGTGCACCCCTAAATCTATAACAAAAAAAAGATGAAAGAAAAAGAAAATGGAATTCTGCTTCACTATCTCATTAGTGTAATACTACATTCTCTATAAATTTTTTTTTTTTTTTTTTTGCTTCCTAAGTTTCTGAGACAGTAGTGCACAAATCTGTGAATGTAATTGTAGAAGTCTACAATTTCTCCTTTTAATTCTGTCAAAAGTGGTCAGGTGCAAATAAATCCATGTTGATTATAAACAAATAAATAAATAAATTGGAGTCCAGACCCAACTGAAAATTCGCACTTTGTCATCCTCAAGTCTCCAGTGCTATTATTAGACTAACCTCTCAAATGATGTGACTGTCATTCAACTAAAAGAACATTACTTAAAACAGCCTTGTAGGAATATGAAAAAAAAAAGTATCCTCTTCTTTCCTACTTTTTATAGATACTAAGGGAAGTGAAGAGAAAAAAAGGTAGAAAAGGAAGCTAACATTTGAGGGAAGGAGGACTGACCTTGATTCTGATCCTAGGTTAGGCACTTTCCATGTATTATTTCACTAAGTCCTCACAGTAACCTTATAAGGTAAGCATTACCATCTACATTTTAGAGTCAATGAAAAAGAACAAAAATAAGGTTGCTCAGGGTCATTCAAATACAGGTTTATCAGACTCCAGTGTCACTACATTTATTAATTTTTATTCTAGTGTTTTCCTTAATATGATTGAGACTTCTAAACAATGGCAGCCTTAGAGTATTTGTCTTTGTATACATTTAAGAGATGCCTCAAATAATGTATACATATTTTTTTTTACCCAGATATCCTGCATATCCAAAATATAGCTGAATTCCAGAGTGCAGTCACCTTTGGTGCCCTCCACCTCACCTGACTATCCCCACTTGAAGCCCATGTTCTCCTATATTAGACATAATCTTGTTCCTCCGTCAAATGTATGTTAAATTAAAAGCAAAAAATCATGGACAGGTGAAGGATCCTAAGGTCAGGCATACTGACAGTGTAAGTGACAGCTGTCAGCTGATGGCTGATATTAATAGAAAAATCAGAGAACAAAAACACAAAGCAGACATAAAACTTAGAAAGCAAAGCAGGCTACAGATATTTTAGTATAGAAAGAGAATGCCTTTCACATTTCAAAAGCCCTGAAGGTATCCATATATTATAAAATCTCTAATAATTAATATTTACTGATGATCTGAATTCATTTAGATGTGGTTAAATTATGATAGCATTTTATGCAACAGATACAGAGACAGTAAAATACTTTTTAGAAAAAAACTGTATTCAAAATTATTAAAATGATTTGCTATTTCCAGGGCTAACCTTCATGATTAGGGGAAGTTTACTTATAGGTTGTTGGCTCCCCGATGATTCCAAAAAAAGTCATATATTTTAAACTATATTAATGTAAACTAAATTTAATAAATAAAATAAACTGGATTGTTGACTTAATTGATAGTTTCATAACAACCCTCAAATATTAATTGAATGAATGACTTTAAAGTTGATGCTTCCTTTTTCTTTAACAGTTAATCTAATATTCATAAAAGTTTCCTTTCTGCTTCTGTGTGGCCTGATGGCAAGACGGTAAATTTTATTTATTTATTTTTTTTTGAGACGGAGTCTCGCTCTGTTGCCCAGGCTGGAGTATAGTGGCGCGATCTTGGCTCACTGCAAGCTCCGCCTCCCGGGTTCACGCCATTCTCCTGCCTCAGTCTCCCGAGTAGCTGGGACTACAGGTGCCCGCCACCACACTCGGCTAATTTTTTGTATTTTTTAGTAGAGACAGGGTTTCACCGTGTTAGTCAGGATGGTCTCCATCTCCTGACCTCGTGATCTGCCTGCCTCAGCCTCCCAAAGTGCTAGCATTACAGGTGTGAGCCACCATGCCCGGCTGACTGCGAATATTTTTAAGTGCAAACGAAAGGTGAACCCAATGCATCTACCTTCACGGGCTTAGAATCTGCAAGGAAGGAAGTTCCTGAGTGTGTTTAGTTTACCTTGTTGCTTCTGGGAGGACTGTTCTTAGGCTACCGGCCAATAGCTACTTATTAGCATAAAGGTTAGATCATACAACTACTCTCACTAAATGTAGCCTACTAGGCCAGGTGTGGTGGCTCATGCCTATAATCCCAGCCCTTTGGAAGGCCGAGGTGGGTGGATCACCTGAGGTCAGGAGTTTGAGACCAGCCTGGCTAATATGGTGAAACCCTGTCTCTACTAAAAATACAAAATTTAGCTAGGTGTGGTGGCACGTGCCTGTAATCCCAGCTACTGAGGAGGCTGAGGCAGGAGAATCACTTGAAACCGGGAGACAGAAGGTTGCAGTGAGCTGAGATCCTGCCACTGCACTCTAGCCTGGGTGACAGAGTGAGAGTCTGTCTTAAAAAAAAAATAAAAAATAAAAAAAAGTAAAAATAAATGTAACCTACTGGACTCTATCCACCTACTTTATTGTATAGTCTCCCCGCTCTATTTTACTATGGGAAGCAAGAAATAACTTTTGCACATCAACTCAAGAATTTTTTTCCAACTTACAGGAAAAGTCACCATTTAAAATGATCATATTGTAACCCTGCCTATTTCATTCAAAACTGTGAAGTGAGAGGATACACTTGCTGGTGATGATTCTTATTTTTTTCATAATTGGTCTTATAAACCCAACATTTCTCTAAACTGAGGTTTTAGAACCTCAGTTTATCAGTGAAATATTTCAGTAATAAAATGGTCACATTTTATTTGTATGAGATACATACATGTTAGTCTTCCTAGCAATTCAGTAAATATAAGAGTTAAAATATTTTCACAGAAATATGGCAATTAACAATAGATGCCAGTGCCAAAAGGATTATGTATTTTCACTATTTTTCAGTGATATAACATAGTACAGAATATATTCATTCACTTGTATTAACAAAACTTTCAGAGACAAGGAGCCTCTGAGGCTGTGTTTAAGGGAGGAACCAAATGGAGCACAACATAAGCAAACATCACCTGCAGCCTGGCCTCTTCCCTGTGGAAACCATAATAAGGGCAGGGAACCCATAAAAGATAATGTGTCATTGTGTTGGGAAGTACTGGCTATTAAATAGGCTTACAGTTGTAGGTAGCATTTGCCAAGCATGTCATTACCTAAAGACATATCCAGCAAACAAATGCAACCTGAAAATGTGTATTAGGAGGGCCACTAGGAAAATACTGGTTTGTTTTGGCACAGGGTACCTCTGACAGCAAGCTACTGGTGAAGCAGCATTCTACTAACCAGGTGTATGATACTTATTGGGCACAGACTGTGTGAACCTATACAGAGGCTCACTTTAAACCTCCAAAGATCACCCATTCTCTGATAAATTGCCAGGTATATTCCTTTTTTTTTTTTTTTTTTAGATGGAGTCTCGCTCTGTCACCAGGCTGGAGTGCAGTGATGCGACCTCAGCTCACTGCAACCTCCGCCTCCCGGGTTCCAGTGATTCTCCTGCCTCAGCCTCCCAAGTAGTTGGGACTACAGGCGCATGCCACCACACCCAGCTAATTTTTGTATTTTTAGTAGAGACAGAGTTTCACCATATTGGCCAGGCTGGTCTCAATCTCCTGACCTCGTGATCTGCCCACCTCGGCCTCCCAAAGTGCTGGGATTACAGGTGTGAGCCACTGTGCCCAGCCTACCAGGTGTATTCTTAAACCCAACCTTGGAAAGAAAAATCAGAAGGGATTCTATGTTAATGAGAAATATTCTGGAAGGTATACTAACTTAAATGTATTAGAAGTACACTAAATGTTCTTTTTCCAAAAAGTTTTCCTGATTTCCATTACTCAGCTTATAGGTACCCCCAGTTCTATATGTGTAATTCCTCATTTGATCTTTCTGTTGCCCTCAGTCTTTTAATTATACTGTTTTGAAGGATTATTGCACAGGTTCTGTTTCTTGAGTTGAACTCAATTATTTTTTGGAGAGGGGTCTGACAAAATCCCAAAGTTTACCCAAAGATGGAGAGAGCTTTATAAAATGTACAGACTCAATGGCCTCATGAAGACCTACAGAATTTGAATCCCTGGCAAGGCTAGAATTTGTCTTTTTAAAGGTTCCATAAGTGATTCCAATGTGTACCCAGGTTTGGAAGCTACTGATGGCCCTTGGGAATATTTAATAATAAAAGAGAACAGAGTATTTAGTAAACCATCCTCCCACGTAGAGGAATCCATAGGAGGGTTTAAAATAGTTTCCATCTTAGGCCAGGCATGGTGGCTCATTCCTGCAATCCCACCACTTTGGGAGGTCGAGGTGGGAGACTCTTGAGCCCAGGAGTTTGAGGCCAGCCTGGGCAACATGGCAAAACCCTGTCTCTACAAAAAACACAAACATTAGCTGGGCATGGTAGTATGCACCTGTGGGCCCAGGTACTCAGGAGACTGAGGTGGGAGGATGGCTTAAACCCAGGAAGGAGGCTTCAGTGATCTATGATCACACCACTGCACTCCAGCCTGGGCGACACAAGACCCTGTCTCTAAATAAAGAAGTAAATAATAAAATAAAGAAATAAATAGTAAAACAGAGCTCTCTAGCTGGTAACCTTGTATCTATAACTCAAAACATAATGAAGAATCAGGAAGTTAACCAAAAGAACTTGGGGTTTGCTTTTGCTGTGCTTCATTGGTTTCTTATCTTTTATTTTCTTTATTTATTTATTTATGTATTTTTGAGACGGAGTCTCGCTCCGTCGCCCAGGCTGGAGTGCAGTGGCGCAATCTCAGCTCACTGCAAGCTCCGCCACTCGGGTTCATGCCATTCTCCTGCCTCAGCCTCCCGAGTAGCTGGGATTACAGGTGTCCACCACCATGCCCGGCTAATTTCTTTTGTATTTTTAGTAGAGACGGGGTCTCACCGTGTTTGCCAGGATGGTCTTGATCTCCTGACCTTGTGATCCGCCTGCCTCGGCCTCCCAAAGTGCTGGGATTACAGGTGTGAGTCACTGCGCCCAGCCTGTTTCTTACCTTTAAACAGCCTCAGGGGTTTCTCTGAGGAAACTAACACATTTCTCTGCCCCAAATAGGTGTCAGAAATCTACGTACTTGATATACATAGACTAATGCAAGGTCTCACTTCAAGCCCAACTCTTATTCACAACCCAAGCAAGTTTTATTTTTTTTTGGTCTAGTTTTTAAACTCCTAGCAAATTGAATGCAGAAAATCAAAAGACAAGATGTAAAAAAATGATCACTTGATAAATGCATAAATTCTAAAAAGCATTTATACAATTAATAACAACAAAGCAAGTGGTGCCATTTAGTTAGTATACCTCCCAGAATTCCTTCACAGTCCCTGTGAACATTTCCTGAATAGTCATACAGAACAACAAAAAAAAAAGGGTGTGTTCAAGATGACATCCTGTTAACAGTAAAGGATAAACACTTCTGCAGGGTTTTCATATTTTCGTTCAAAACATCTAAAAACTTATAAAAATTAACCTGACAATGGGAGTTCAGTTCTGAGTGACTTGTTCACTAGAGGCACGGTTAGAATGAAAGTAAACAACTATTTTCATTTAACAAAGCATCTTTTATTGTTTTATTTTTAATTTTTTTTGAGAGAGAGTCTTGCTCTGTTGCCCAGGCTGGAATGCAGCGGTGTGATCTCAGCTCATTGCAACCTCCGCATCCTGGGTTCAAGCGATTCTCCTTGTGCAGTGAAGGAGCATAGAGAAGGCACAGAGCCACACAACCTTTTACTACTAAGGCCTCTTTGCCTAATATCCTCATCCCCACAACCTGTTCTACCCAAGAAGGAGACAACCTAGTCTAGCTCATGTGTTTTTCCATATTTCACCTTGTATTTTGAGTTGATTATATTTTTGAGGATTAAAAAATACAGCCCAAGAAAGGATCCTCCTTCAGGGAAGACTCTTAAGTGTCCAAAGTGCATCAGGGACGCATGTGCACTTAAATGAGGCCAAGTATGGACTCTGTGGCATTATGGACCTGTAAGTCCATGTTCATAGGCTGATGTTGCCATTAACAAGCCGTGGGACCTTGGAAAACTAACACAGTCTGGGACCGAGACAGTTCGTCTGCAAAGACGATGAAGTCAGGTGTATACATAAAGAAACAGCAATTGTCCTGCAGCATTTTAATAGTATCTATACATTCTTTAGGCCAAGTAATCTAGAGAGCTTCATTCAAAGGATATGTCATAAATCTAGCAGGCCAAATGATAAGCTGAGGAGTGTCAGAAGTCATTACTAAGCATAGTCGGTAAGAGACAACTCCCAAAATAAAATCCAGTCTAAGAATGTCATTATTTTATATTATAAAATAACTCTTCTGTCTAAGACTGGGACTTTCTGAGAATACTATTTGAAATAATTCTACCTTTGTGTTCTAATACAGTAGCTATTAGCCACATATGGCTGCTTAGCCCTTGAAATGTGGTCAGTGTTACTAAGGAACTTAATTTTTTTTTTTTTGAGATGGAGTCTCGCTCTGTTTTCCAGGCTGGAGTGCAGTGGTGCGATCTCAGCTCATTGCGACCTCCGCCTCCCGGGTTCAAGCGATTCTCCTGCCTCAGCCTCCCGAGTAGATAGGACTCCACGCCCACACCACCACACTGGCTAATTTTTGTACGTTTAGTAGAGACGGGGTTTCACCATGTTGGCCAGGCTGGTCTTGAACTCCTGACCTCAGGTGATCTGCCTGCCTCGGCCTCCCAAAGCACTGGGATTACAGGCATTAGCCATCGTGCCCAGCCAGAAACTTAATTTTTATTTTTATTGTAATTAATTTAAATTCAAACTTAAAAACTGACACTTTGTTCAGTTATTGGAAATGTTTTAAGTATGTTTGGACAAATCTGCATATATGAAAGTACTTTTTCAACTGTAAATTTTATTAAATACAAATACAGATCAAGTGTTTTGGATAAATTTGGTATTCAAATTTAAATATGTTGATGGTGTAAAACACACACTGAGTTCTGAATTCCTCAAAAAAAGAAGGTAAAATATTTTATTAATAGTTATGCTGATTACATGTTGAAATAACATTTTAGATATATTGAATTAGATAAAATAAATTATGAAAATTTCAATGCTTTTAAGCTCTTTTTAATGTCGCTATTACAAAACTTAGAATTACATGCATGCCTGGTATTGCGTTGGGCACACTGCTTTAGACCAATTAACGCTTTTTATAAAACTTAGACACACAGGGAATAATTTTGCAGATAAACATGGAAAACTATTCAGAAAAAGCTAGTGTTGTGTCTTTATGGATTAGTAAATGCATGTAGTCATATATATTCACAAATAAGTTATTAGAAATACTGGTTTATTGTTTCAATAACATTTATTGATCACTTCAAAAAGTATCAGGCCAGGTGAGACTGGGAGGTGGTCACCTTTATGTCCACTCTATAGAAGAGAACACTGAAGTAATTTGTCAAAGACAGCACACTCAATAAATGCCAGGAAAAAGGACTAGAATATAGCTTTTCCATCTCTGGAGTTTGTACTCTTCCTGCTATACCAGATTGCCTCCTAGAAGTTGAGCAGCAAAAGATCATAAAAGAGATTTCTGATATTAAATACTTCTATATGGCACCCAAATCTATTACAAAACCAAAAATATAAAACTGACTAGGGAAAAAATTTTTAAACATCTTAATCTTCCTCTAGCTCTAACCATATCATCCATGTTATGATTGATCACACATTGTCTTGTGCTAGCTCCTATACTGACATCTTCATTCTTTCTGAATATCACAGGGATTTCCACCTTGCCTACTTCTTTGTAGAAAGCACCTCATACTTCGCAAATTATCATCGCTTCTGCTGCAGTGTTTTGTACACAGTGGGTCCTCAATGAATATTGGTTGATTTGTTGAAATCTTTAATTTTTTAAAACCACATCCATGTGAGAAGAAAAGCTGGTAAAATTGAATTGAAAAATTGTGATTTCCTGATACAAACTTGCATTAACAAAACCACTATTTTGACATAGAGTACTCCTATAGCAGAATCATTTCATCTTGTAAATAGAGTATACTCGTCTCACAGAGTTAGCATCCATCTGAAAACTCAGGAGTAATTCGGGTGCTGGGGAAAACAAGCTCAATATTTAAGCAGAAAGCTAAACTGGCAAATGTCTGTAGGGTTTTTTGTTGGGCTTCTTTTTCATTCCGGTAGGTAGCTCTTTAATTCCCTTCCATCTGCTCTTGCCAGTCATCTCACCACTCCCTTCCTCTGCTTCTTCCTCTCCCAACTACACACTTTTTGCTTGACATGTCTTTTCCCTCAATCCTGCCAACCCATCCTCTCCTTCAAAGACCTTGTAAAAGTCCCACTTATACCACAAAACCTCCCTTAACCAAATAAAAGGGAAACGGTCATTTTCCTCACCCAACTACATCCTGGGATAAAATAATTTTGAGCTCCCAAATCAGAAGGAAACGGAAATAATTAAGTATGTATCTACATGAATGGAGTTTTATGGCTGTATAACCACTCAGATTAAGTTATTACCTCTATTCTCAACCATATTGGTATAGATTTGTTTCCCTGAATAATCCTCATTGTTGCTTTTCAGAGTCTGTTGACATGTTATGTTGTAAGGGTCTTCCTAAAATGCGTATGTGGTGGATATAATTAAAACTTAATTTTAGGTCTCTTTATTTTGCAATATTTATTCAGAGAACTGAGAGTGCACAAGATAGTACAGGTGTAAGGTTTACAACCTGTTGTTTCATTATGAAGAGTTAGGTGCACCTCTGTCTTACTTTCTTATGTGATGACTGATGTGATGCCATCATGTAATAATTGTCACCAGAGTACTCTGTGGCATTCTGAAGTAGTCAGTGTCATGCCCTGTCAGCCCATAATGTTAACATGACTGCTAAAACTTCCTCACATAAGGGTGGGGAGGAGGCACTGGGAGAATCTGATTCAACTAGCCTAATGGGATGGAGTTTGAAGTGGCATAAGAACAGCAAAATATGCTTTCAAAAATTCCCCTAAGATTAGGAGACATTTTCTCCTAGAAGGGTTTATTATGCAACTATACATGGCCCAGGAAAGCACACTGCTATCCCTGAAGGATAGAAAGAAAGGTGAAACAACTGCTAATGCCTGTGTGTCACTGCAGGACCAAGCCATATATAATTCTGAATATAATAAAAGCACCTGACAGAGATCATCTTGAACTTGTTTCTTAAGAGGTGTTATCTTTGGGAGCTTTCATGATGCCTTTGTTTTCTATGAAAATTACACTATATTTTTCCGAGAGATTGTCATATGTAAAAAGTGCTTAGACAACTTAGATGAATTGATACTCTAAAACTATACCGAAGTAATCCAACAAGCTATGCAGTATCCATTAGGTATTTGTTTGACATTTAAATGGTTTAAGGTCATGTGGCCATCTAAAATGTGTGTTTCCTTGAAAAACAAAACCAAAGAAAATCTCCGCCAATCTATGACCTGGGAATAACTATAAAATGAATGTATAGGGGCTTTACATAGCAGCTATACAACACCACTGTGTTAATTTGGAATATTAAATCAATTGAGTATCGTCAAGAGAGAACCCCGCCATCACCTTTTAACCTCAACGCAAATATTCTATTTAAAGAGCATATTGTCTAGCTGAGTATAATTTTAAAACACTGTTCATCAAATAATTGCTTCTGCCTATTTTTTTTAAAGCAGCTTGCTTGAGCTACATAATCATGCATGTTTTTTATCATACATTAAAATGAAACACAGGCTGGACCCAGGGAAGATACCAAACTCTGACAATTCTACCCCAGACAACTGGCTTGAATCTGTTCCCTTCTATCTAACTCCTCTGCTACTACTTTATTTTGAGTCCTTGTTGTCTCTTTCCTGGGTCATTCTCGCAGTGATTGTCCCTACCTCCATTCTCAGTGCAGAGTCCCTGAATTTGCTGGGATGTGATCATGCTGTTCCCTGCTTAAAAACCTATGGGGTTGGGTGTGGTGGCGAGCGCCTGTAGTCCCAGCTACTTGGGAGGCTGAGGCAGGAGAATGGCGTGAACCCGGGAGGCGGAGCTTGCAGTGAGCTGAGATCGTGCCACTGCACTCCAGCCGACAGAGCAAGACTCCGTCCCAAAAAACAAACAAACAAAAAAACCTATGGGGTTGCCCACTGTTTTCAGAATAAGACCAGACCTTTCGGCAGATCCTTCCATGCTCCCTGTCATCTGACCCAACTTGCCTTTGTATACACAATCTGTCACTCCTTCAGGGAACTTGGGATCCAGTTGTCATTCCCTCAGGCACCTCCCCAACTCCCTGCAATTGCTCAGGTTCTTCCCTCTGCCTTTCCCCCTCTTCTCTGTAACAGTCTTCATGTTCAAATGTCACAGTCTCCATGGAACTATCCCTCAGCCTCTTCCCTCCCTCTTAAAATGATGAATCACTTCCTTCTCTAAATGATTATTTAGGTCAGTGTCCCCAGGTCCCAGCACAATGCCTGGCATGGGCAGAGCACCTATTTCTGTTCTCTTGCAACTTCCTTACACCTTCCCTTTCATCAAAGTAGGCTGTCTTTGATTGTGAAGCCCAGAGAAGGCAGGAGCTGGGCCTGCTGAATCACTGTGTACTCTATGTACCACAGTACCCTACACATGTAAGCATTTAATAATTGGTAAGAAGGGAAAGGGAGGACTGTTTATTGACTCTCAGGCACTTCCTGAAGCTTATTCAGGCATGTCCAATTGGGGCAGCTATTTGAGTACATGCACCTTAATCAAGAAGATAAAATCTTTATATTCAGATTTTTTTTTTCTAGTAAGGCCATCAGTGTCTCCAAATAAATATAAAACAGCAGCATTCCCCACGTGGAAAAAGACCTTGTGAGTAAAGAATTAAATTAGCTCAGCAGACTTCATTGAGCATGGTTTCCTTCCAATTTGGCAAAAGTGCCTAGAAGGTATAAAAGTAAGTTAAATCCTTGTAACATTAATGACATTTAGGTAAATGTAGGAAAAAGTTAGTATTTTTACAGATAGCAATCCTTGACAGTGCTGAATGATTTAAAAATAAACAAACAATTTCTCTCTGAAATGTTTCCTCAAGTTGGCTGATCATTATACAAATAAAACATCATTTCACTCTACACTTTTCTTTTCATGGACATATCTGCCCAGAGTTCTGTGAACACAATGGTACAATTTAGCTTGTTGAACTCACTCAAACAAAACAACAGGTGAGGGTTACAGAGGAAAGAGACTTCAGAGCTAAGATTAGATGCTGAGTTCCTGCTTGGAATAAAAGATAGAAAGATCCCAAAAGACAAAACACTGTTACTGCTTGCTGGGTGCTCATCCACTGAGGGGCGACATGCTAGCAAAGTTTAGGCACAGACCTCCCACACCCACTCAAGAGATTTTATTCACTCATTCAATATTTAACAGATTATTCACAGAGCCAATGTGCCCTAAGATGTGCTAGAGGGTAGAAAAATGAAAAGACGGTTGATTCTTAGCCACAGAGGGACCCAGACAGGTAAAGCAGTTACAGAATGCCACTGTTGCTACAATGGAAGTATGTAGAAAGGGTAGGGGAAGGGGAAGTGGAAGTGGGTCAGTTAGAGTGAAACTCATACACACAGGATAAGAGTTTGGTCCAAATCCAAAAAGCTCACGCTTCAGGTTTAATTCACATAAATGCTCACAGAAAATGCTGTAACTGGGCCGGGTGTGGTGCCTCACACCTGTAATCCCAGTACTTTCGGAGGCCGAAGCAGGCAGATCACCTGAGGTCAGGAGCTCGAGACCAGCCTGGCTAACATGGTGAAATCCTGTTTCTACTAAAAATACAAAAAAACTAGCCAGGAGTGGTGGTGCGTGCCTATAATCCCAGCTACTTGGGAGGCTGAGGCAGGAGAATCACTTGAACCCAGGAGGTGGAGGTTGCAGTGAGGCGAGATCATGCTGTTGCACTCCAGCCTGGGCAACAAGAGTGAAACTCTGCACCCCCCCCAAAAAAAAAGAAAAGAAAAGAAAAAAAGAAAAACAAAAAGGAAAAAGAAAACGCTGCAACTGTAGCATACGCTAATGCCTTGTTATATTTTCAGCCATCATACATAGCTCTGAATTTAGAAGGAACACATTCTATCTTGGATATCTTTAGATGGTTAATTTTCTGAAGTTCCAGAAATGTACTTTGCTACCAAAATATCCTCTCTAGGGAGTGGTAAAGTTCAGATCCTCAAGTCAAGAAGATGTCACAAAAAAGCTCCAAGACTCTTTGGTTCCTGGTCATACTGTCTTGGCAATGAGCCAACATGACAAAACCATTAACTTACAGAGGGATTTAGACAAGCATTAATTAGGCAAATTACTAATAACAATGGCTACCATTTATTTGAGCAAGTACAATAGTGAATATGCTAAACACTTCATAAATGTCAACTCCTTTAATTGTTATGGCTCTAGGAGTAGGTATATATAGATAAACATATTTATTTAAAGAGATATACATGATTATGTAGCTCTCTCTCTCTCTATATATACATATATACCCATATACAGCTCATACACATCAGGTAGAGTCTCTTTTTTAGGAATCAGAATTTAAGTAACTTGCTCAAGGTCACATAGCAAGTATATGGCTGAGACAAAGCACATGATCGTAACAGTCCCAAATTGCACAGAAAAAACTCTTGTTTAGTCAAAAGTAAATCAAATGAGCCTACATAATTTCTTTCTATATTTTGTATTACATAAAAATTAATGAATCTCGTGGTCAAAAAGGCAGAAAAATTTAAAAAGAGACAAAAACAAAGTAAAACATCATGGCTTCTCCGTGTAGAGAAAGATCCAAGATTAAGAGCAACAATTCTGTGTTGCTTTGTAGTGTGGGTATTGAACCTCTCCTTACATGGAAACACAATAAAGAACTAGGTTTGCATAAAGGGCCTTTTATCTTTGTGTCATGTGACCAGTGTTGCATCATTTTCCTCTGCAGCAGGATTCAGTGAAGAGTGTAATTCACTTCTGTTTTCAGCAAGAAAAAATAAAAGCAAGTTAACACAAACGGGCTGATACTCCTGGCTGACTCTTCCAGACTGTGTTAACTTTCCACTTAAAGTAGAGGAGATGGAGGCTTGGTCTCAACTTCTGAGCTCACATAACTTTGCCAGCCCCAGCAGCATCAGGCTAGGGTAGATCTTTTGGCATTAACTTAGCACTGTCCACAAAGAAGATAGATTCTAACCTTCTGTCTCTTGCGTGGGTCAATAGCAAGAACTTCAGGAAAACACAGAGCTGAATAAATCAGCTGAGTTGTCATCTTGCAGTATAAAACACAGGCCAGTCAGACATAGACTGAAATGGAGAGGGATGTCCTAGGAACAGTATCCACAATTTATCTCTATCCTTTTCCCAGAGCCTGAAGAGCATTTTCATTCTCCTGGCCCAAGAAGTGACAGTCTCTTAGTCACTCCCTAAAACAAGGGCCTTGTTTGGCAGAACAATATGATATTTAAAGAGCTCATTGGGCCAGTTTGATGGCTGTTGTTTTGTGTACGAGGGACACTTGAGAATTGTTGAGTGGGTCTTCCATCACTGGAGTGTGTACACTTCATAAGTAGTTGTATCCTCTGCCTGAGCTCATTTAATATATTAACCAGAGCATTATACTTAGCTTTTGGTCTTAACTTTCAGCAAGCCTTTCCTCAATTTCTACATTATGCCTTGTCAAATCTAGCCTGTTTGAATCTCGCCAGCATAAAAATATAGAGTAGCAGATGTTATTCCTTTTAACTTAAATTGTGTTTGTAGTACCACAGTAATACTCCTACCTCATCTCTGGCCAATGACTGTGACTAATACTCCAATGATATCACTGGTATTTAGATTATAGGCTACAGGTCAAAGATTCAGTCCATTTCTGCATCCCACAGAACTCTTGAATCTACCAAAACAAATGGCTTGCATATACATCGCCAATGAAATTAATTTAGATGATCACTCCCAGTTCACGATGAAATTTTAATTATTCAGTGTGCTTGCAACCATTGACACCAAAAGCATTTGTCATGCAATCCCTGTCTATGGAGGCTGATGCACAATTACAAGAGTAAAAAGGTGGAGATCAACGTTCAAAGCTATGGGAAGGACTTCTAGGAAAGACTGTCCTGGAAAGGCAGTAGCAGCAGATAGCCAGTGAGAAGGAATTGTGAGTGCTCCAGATGGGAGGTGATGCAGACCTGGAACCAGGCCTTGGCAGAGGTGATGGTGACGAAGATCCAGATGTGGGAGATGTCATTCGAGGAAGAAAACAAGACAAGTTTTAGCAGCAATTTGGATGAACAACAATGAAGGGTTGAAAAAAAGTCTAGTTTCTTGCCTAGGACTGACTAATAGCGAAATTCAGCATTACTGATGAAGAACTAAGCCCTATAGGGGTCCTGGAGGAGAGAGATGAAGTCACAGGTTCAGCAAGTTGATAAGAAAATATCCTATTTTGGAGATATATATCAGCAATATGGGGAAAAAATAGTGAAAATTGGCCTTAGGGGCCAGCGGGTATAATAATGTACAAATAACAGTCACTCTTACCCACATATACACAATTAACATTGCATGGGATTGATTACTGGTCATATTTTACTGCAATTATTGATTTATATAGATCTTTTTCACTTGACACTCTTCTTTTAAGGGCAGGAACTTGGCTCAAGTTCAGCTTAAAATCATCTCAGATGATTGTTCTGATTTTGTTTTTCAGCCACCTACACAAACTATGTCCAAAGGCTGGAAGCAGCAAGTCTATCAGGGTGGCAAAAGATGCATTTCTCTTATTTCCAGGAAGAAAATCCTTTCCAGAAGTTCCCCCAGCAACTGGGATAGCAGTCAGAAGCTTGCACTGAAGGCCAAGCAAGCAAGCATCTGGCTCTTTCAGATGTTTTGGTGGGAAATGAGCAGAGGAAAAGTGGGGCGGGAGTGGCTCTAACTGGGCTGCCAACAAGAAGAGAGGCTCTAGAGACAGAAGCAGATTGGAATCTGGGCACCATCACTTACTGATTGTGAATGTCTCTTATTTCTTTATTAGCATTTGGTTTTTATTCTACAAAATGGTATTTGCCTCAATAGGATGTAAGGAAGTTTAAATGAGAGAGTGCTTAGCACTGTGGCTGAAACATGGCAGTCCTTCATGAATGCTAGCTATTCTTATTTAACCATTGCGATACCTAGCTTAGGGAGGCTGTAAATAGGGAAAGTGAGTCAGTGATAAAGCCCTTTCAAATTAATAGCTAAATCTGAACAATAAGATTAAAATATAAACCTTACTGGAAAATACTGTTATTTCCACATGAAATGGAAATATCTGAAAACAGAAAAACATTTTTTTCTTTTGGTATCTAAGGGAAATATTAAGGGCATTTCATCTACTATTGTTGGATAGCATTAAACAAATAAATATTGAACTTGTTAATTTTAACCTAACAGCATAATTCAATAGACCTACATATTCCTTTTTTTTCTTTTTTTGGTCTTATTTTAAAATTAAAATTTATTTAAAAACAAAAGAGATGGGGTTTCACTGTGTTGACCAGGCTGGTCTCAAACTCCTGGCCTCAAGCACTTCTCCCATTTCAGGCTCCTGAAGAACTAGGATTACAGGTGTGAGCCACTGTGCCTGGCCTGGGTATAATCTTAAGGGGCTCAAGTGATTGATCTAAAAATATTATTTCTTATAATTTGCTTTCTTTTTTAAAGCAATAGAAAGACTCCATTTCTTTTTGAGTGAGTATAATGAAGAAAACATGAGGAAGTGTTCCTTTTTTGAAACTGAAGGCAAAGCAATACAGAATTTTTTGGTGGGGGCTACTTTCAAGACTTTGCCGCTGCTTTTTGACAAATATCTCTGTGGTAACTTGCTAGGAAGTACATATCAATATAACTCTACTCCCACTAGAGGTTCATCAATTTCACCTGCTGGTAGCCAATATCTTTATCTTGCCAATGACGATGAGAGGCCACATAATATAGTGTTTATCCTAGAGTCTAGGTTGGAATCCTAGCTCCATCACTTACAAATGGTTCCTTCATCTTTCCACATGTGTAAAACAGTGTCATGGTAAAGACCAGAGGAAATGATACATATACAGCACTTCATGCGGCTCTTGACACTTCATAAGTGCTTATAAAGATCAGCTATTATTATTGCCCTTAATGCAATGCTATACAACAACAGATGTTGAGTTTCTAATAATAGTCATCTACCGTGATATGGTTTGGCTGTGTCCCCACCCAAATCTCATCTTGAATTGTACTCCCATAATTCCCACATGTTGTGGGAGGGACCTGGTGGGAGATAAGTGAATCATGGGGGCAATTTCTCCCATACTGTTCTCGTGGTAGTGAATACATTTCACAAGATCCGATGGTTTGATAACCCATTTCACTTGGCTCTCATTCTCTCTCTTGCCGCTGCCATGTGAGGTGTGCCTTTCACCTTCCTCCATGATTGTGAGGCCTCCCCAGCTACATGGAAACGTAAGTCCAATAAACCTCTTTCTTTTGTAAATTGCCCAGTCTAGGGTTTGTCTTTATCAGCAGTGTGAAAACAGACTAATACATACCATTGTAGTTTTTACTTAATGGCACTATTAGTTGCCTATCATTCTTCCTTGGTACAAGAATCTCTGTTTTGTTCAGGTGGCAGGTATAAGTCCCTTGTCTCACAAAAGGTGTACCCAGCCCAGTGCCAGGGCCTGAACCATGATTCATCTAAGTCAATTTGGCTATTCCATTCAACTTTGCCAGTGACTGGTCTAAGGGTAGGCATATGACCCAGTTCCTATCAGAGAGAAGCAAGAGGAAGTTTGCTGAGACCTTTATCAAAATAATCTTCTTGTTACAAGAAAGCCCTAACCTGGGCCTCCTTCCTTCCTGACTTAAGTGAAGCAAAGATATTTGGAACTGAGGTGGCCATCCTGTGATCATGTAGTGTGACCAGTCCAGAGATTGGATGGTCTAGGTCTTTGAGCTTCTAAGCCCACCTGGAACCTCCCATCTCCAGGCTGTGGGTTGGGCAAGCTAATTAACAGTCCCATCTCCAGGCTGTGGGTTGGGCAAGCTAATTAACAGTCTTTACTCTTTCAGCCCTTATGAGGTTATTCTATCATTTATAGCAAAAGTATACTAAAATGGCACCCATTTCAAATTACTAAATGGAAAAAATATGTTCTATGTAATAACCATAACACTGAACCTGTGAGTAGCATGTTACTGAATTCTGATTAGTAACAAGGGATTTAGAAATGAAAGTCACTGATTTCAAAATCCTACAGTAATCATTTCCAGTTTGTATTTTTTTCTCTCTTCTCCCTCTGATTCTTTTCCTTTCTTCCCTCCTTCCCTCCCTTCCTCCCTTCTTCCTTTCTTCTTTTCATAAAGTGGTTGACTAATGGTAGACAATATAATTTAAATGTCCACTCCTCTTCCCCTCTAGAAAGTGGTGCTAAGGATTGACATGGTTAACAAAACAGATAACAAAATAAAGGAAAAGAAGCTAAGATAAAATGGATTTTTTGATATTTAAAATGTGCTAGAATCTTCATTCTCACTTATAATTTTGATCTTTCTTAAAGTTCAAACATTTTAAATTGTTAGTTGAGAACAAAGTAGTTTACTCTGCCAGATGAAAATGGGCCAGGTTTTCAAACACCTTCAAAAATTGATCTCTCAATTGGCATGAACTAGGATTAGCTTTCCTGTAATGATAAGCACTGGCGGTTTCTTATAAATGAAACATAAAATCAGCAGGCAAGACACAAAAACATCTCTGATTTTCCTATTCTCTCGCAGCTGTATTCAATCAAGTAAAACAGAAGCGAGACAGGTTGTCTTGCACCCTCAACCTGGAAGAGAAGCTGACAACAGGCCTCAGGGCCACCACCAAATCATGAGGAAAGTGAAACAAAACACTCAGTGTGTGACCCTCAAAACTCCCTAAGGAAGCTGAATTTCTCATTAAGAAAGTAGATGACTGGCTGGGCACAGTGGCTCATGCCTGTAATCCCTTGAGGTCAGAAGTTTAAGACCAGCCTGGCCAACATGGTGAAACCCCGTCTCCACTAAAAATACAAAAATTAGCAGGGCATGGTGGCGGGCACCTGTAATCCCAGCTACTCGGGAGGCTAAGGCAGAAGAATTGCTTGAACCCAGGACGCAGAGGTTTCTGTGAGCCCAGATTGCACCACTGCACTTCAGCCTGGGCAACAAAGCTAGACTCTGTCTCAAAAAAAAAAAAAAAAAAAAAAAAAAAAGCAGAAGATTAATTTTAGGGGTGTTAGAACAAGTGATACTATAGCTAAGTCCATGTTGTCATTCAATTGCAAGCCCTCATTTTTAGGGGAGATTTGTTAAACATGTAGTGTTCATAAACTAAAAGTTGAAAAGCAGACTTTTTTAAAAAGAAAAACTTCAATTTGTCTTTTAATTGGTGCTCTTACTTGTAAACACGAGTTGTAAACTCACTGGTTACAGTCTGCTATGTTCATAGGCAATCTGTTCACCTAGAGCAACTTTTTCGTTTTAAAATTCTTTAATGCTGTCACAGAGCTTTCTACCTAAGCTGTAGGCATTAAGTAAAGGTGAACCAAAGATGTTTCAGACAGATTTTCTAACAGCCTCTTGCATTCTTATGACCTTTCGTATTTCATCATGGGTTAACTGAAACATGATATCTACTGAAATGTAGGAGAGTATCCTTTAGCTGTATCATCATATATTTAAAAACCTTCAGAATGCCAGCAATTTCCATAAACACCATATCTCACTTTATAGAAAAAAAAACATGCCTGTGTCCAGACCAAGAATACTGGCACTTCATATTGGAGACAATCCTGTTCAGATTTACTGAGTTAGATATACAGTGATTTAACTGCAAAAAGTAACAACAGAAAGAACCTGATAGGCTGTGTAGTGTGACAACTTCTTCTTATTCAGAATACTGAAAAGCAAGCCAGTCCAAGAAGCTGACCAACCTTAGAAAGTTAGGCTTGAGATCCAGCCACCAGTTATCAGTCAAGTTCAATAATGTACAACTCAGTCTCCTTCAGTCTGGCTTTAATGGTGCAGGAGAAATAACTGATGAATATCATGATGTTTACCGAAACCTCATTTTTCAGTGGAAGTATTCAAAACCCTTCACATTAATCAGTGACAGACAAGTGTCAGGTTTGTTCCTTTCGTATAAGAAAATGAGAGAATGAGAAAGCCAAGGTCACACACAGAAAAATAACAGAAAAACAGAGAAGAAAAACCCAATCTTGTATTTATACAGTTCAAACATTTTATTGATTTGACTTACAAAATAAACCATCTTATTGATTGGCCAAATCTCTCCTGCATAAACATAACATTCCAATGGAATTTTACCAAAGTATTGCCCTAGTTAATCTAATACCCTATTCTTTTCATGGCTGCCAAAATACATATTTACCTATTTAAGGCTAAACTCAAAGAAGTTGGCCTCGTGTTTCTTAAGCATAGGAAAAATTTTTAATGTAAATTTAATTGTATATTTCCATAATGTTGTGCTTATGGCATTAGCTGAGAAATCCTGGAATTGCAAAGCTGTCTTCCACTGCTAAATTACTTTGCACTTTGCAATTGATTAAGAACAGCAGAAGCAGTCAGAGTTGTATATCAAATTAGAGTTGATAAAAGCACTTAATGCAGATTTGAATGCCTTCTCAAAAAAGATTTCAACTCTCTTAAATTGACATGACAACAAATTCTTACAGCAGCATAAAAAGTATTAGCTGAAATGTTATGGCTTTGGCTTAAATTTCCATCTGCAGCTCATCAAATGACTAAACAGTAGAAAGGAATTAAACCAAATCAGACTCATTACAGAGTCTGATATGCTGGCAGAATATAAACTTTCACTGCTTAGCATCTGGAGTTTTGGGTGACTAACATTTAAATGCCTGTGCTTGTATATTCTGTGAAAAATAGAAAAGTGTAAGAATATAGGTGAGATATCTGATCATTAAATTTAACTTACGGAAATATATAATTTATTTTCTCTCTCACACACGTATGGGGGGGGAGGTGGGAGAGAGACAGAGAGAGAAAGAAAGAGAGAGAGAGACAGACAGACATAGCCCTTCTCTGTAATCACCCAAGTATTTTGAAGAGTGAGAGAACCACTCAGGATGAAAGACAACTGGCTTTAAATTTGTCCCATTGCAAAATTCTGATAAACATGGCAACTCCTCTTCACATTTTTCTAATGTAAGGAATGCCTGTCTGAAATGCTTGCTGCCCCATATTCTGAAATCTGGTCAAGTGTTCCAGGGTAAATAGCTTACATTTCCTCTTCTCCTTCAGCCATCTGCTAGAAGAAATATTTGAAATTGTTCTTACAGACCATTGCCTGTACTTCTGATGGTTCTCTGATGTAGTGAAAGTACAAATCCATAAAGTTAAAGTCAACAGAATCTATCAAACACATTCTCCCACAATAAAATTTTCTAGGGCCTACTCTGTCTCTGAAACATCATTGGATACCTCTCCCTAGGATCCCTGAAGTCCTGGAAACTTCTGCATTAATGTAACTGAATTCTGAATCGAACAAGGAAGGAAAGGAAGCTCTGAGAGCCTGGATGAAGGATCCAGGTGGGATGCATTTATGAAGCTCCCAAAACAAAGTGTGTGTTGTGCTTAGTTGATGCTCAGTAAACAGGTATTAAATAGTGCTTGCCTTGCTTCTCTGACACTGTTGCATGTTGGAGCAATAACCAAGAAAAATTAATGCTTAGGTAGTAAGATTTGCAGTATAATCCAGCACTGAAAGGTAAGTAAAGATGGTCTTATGGAAAAGCCCATTCCCATTGTTTCTCCAAGCCTAGAAGATGCAACCTTTTCAGCTCAAAGAAAGAGAAAGCATTCTCTTATTCACATAGCTGGCAGTTCAGTGATGGAGCAATGTTAAAAGGAATATGATGAATGGCATCTATCAAATGAAAGACATTAGTATGAAAGAAAATGAGGTTAAGTTGTGTCTTATCTTGTTCCACAAATGCCATTCGCGTTTCCAGGAACTGGTTACTTGCTAAATCTTCTGCACTGGGGTAGTGTGCAAATGGTGGATGGTTTCCAGAAGGCACCGCACTAAGAAAAATTATAAATGTTTAAATGTTTAAAAAAGAGGACTAAGAGAAATTCTAGGGTACAAATAAATTCGGAAAATCGTAATACATATGTTTTTGGACAGACTTACCTCTGTATTTCTTAAGTGATAAATACCAAGCTATATTGCATTTTTTAAAAGTTCTACATGAAGGTAAATACCATGGACGAAGATTATTATTTGTTCATTTAAATCTGATCTGAAACTTCTCAAAATATACCTACATGATGCCATGTGGGTATCTCATGCCACACAAACTGAACTTAGGAAGAATTAAGTCTTATTCTAAACCAGGAGCATTTAAGAAGAAACTAGCTAATTAATACTCAGTGCATCTCACTCGTCAAATGAGGTAATGTGTTTGAAGGTGCTGAGCAAACTACAAAGCACTAAATAAATGTAAGGTTTAGTACCAGTAACAGAACCTGCATAAAAAGCTTATATCTTTGTCTATTAGTCTACAGAACAGCCCCTAACATAGTAAAATGTCATTTCTCATTAGCCCAAACTCACATCTGACACCAGTTCAGTGTTAATATCACATAAGACTCAGAAATATGGAAGTTACTAATAAGACGATTAGGATATATGTAACCTATTTGACTCCTTAAACTGTACCCAAAAGTAAACTACTGAGTCATGGGTATTAAAATGTTTTGAAACAGCTGTCTGTTTAGGGTAGGATAGGAGAATCTTTGCATGTTATATCAGTTGAAACCTCTAAATATTGGCAACTTTCTCAAATGTCTCAGCTGTTCTCAGATTGTAAAATTATCCGGGTCATCTCTTCTTGCCTACTGCTGTTTGCTTTTCTCTTTCAATTCTTGTTGGGACTTCATCAAGCAGCATTCAAGAGCAGGCAAGTAAGTCAAAATTTATCTTGGTGCTGCCAGTCCTGTACATGATTTTATGATGGAGCAGGCCAGAGCTATCAAGTAAATGAGATACCTGAATTATAGATAGATTTCCATTATCCCTGGAAATATTCTCCCTGATCTCACTGCTAAAGACAATTAGTGAATTTGCTACTGTTTCCTAAACAGAAAAACAATATATCAGAGAACGCTCAGCAAGGCAAGCAAACTACCATTCTAAAGTAAACATCATTCATGCTTTTTTATTTACTTTTGAAACTAGGGAAAATACACATAAAATACTCCTAACAGAAGAAATGTGCCTTATTACTATAATCCTATTTTGTGAATGTCTATATACATTTAATCAAATGATCATAGGGCACAGAACTGTCTATGTATTGTTTGCAATAGACGGAAAAGACTTGTGAACACTTAAGGTCTTTCAAATAGGCCTATGCTGAGGGGATGGTGCTCTCCAGCACGTGTGTGTGTGTTTGTGTGTGTGTGTGTGTGTGTGTGTGTGTGTAAAACAGAGAGAGAGAGAAACAGAGAGACAAAGAGCAGGGAGGGAAGGAGAGAGGGTGAAGAAGGCTAAGAACTGGCAGGGACATCAGCCAACAAAACTAAAAATGAAAGTACCTATAAAGCACTAAGTTCCTCACAGTGTTCTTTATCCTTTGGTCCTTTGAGTGATTAAAACAAACAATGCAATTATCACCTGGACTGGGGGAGGGGTTTATGGAGCTTACTACCATCCTGGCTTTGAGCAAATCTCTATCTCAAGTCCTGATTTTTTTTTTTTTTCATCGAAAATGTGCATGACACTTAAACTCACAGGGTTATTGGAAAGAGTGAAGATAATAAACAGAGTGGTCATATGGCGTCCTTTGCTGAGGGCAGTCCCGGTTTGCACCCAGTGTCTCAGCATAATTATTAACTTTCACTCTCCAAAGTGTCACAGTTGGGAAAAACAATTTTGTGGTTGCCCTCTATATAAATCATGGAGCATAGTATTTTATACAGAGTGGCAGTTATTGTTATTCAAGAACTGTTCATGCATTTGAATGGGAAAAAAAAAACCCTCTGATTTGTCTTAATCATAAGCCCAGGGATAGATCCTTTCTATTTTGAGAACATGGATGTTGATTTGGGGTTTTATTTTTCCTTAGAGCTGTAAACTACGTTAGCAGAAGTGACCCCGTGGCCTTAGAGAGGGTGTGGATGGGACACTGGAGTAAGTCTCCTTCTAATTGCCTGGAGCAGTGCTGGGTACTTCCTCTATTTAAAGAACCCAATTAAATATGCTTGCACTTGATCTGTACCCCTTTGCTGGATTTAGGCAACTCAGTTAACCTTCTTAGTTTTCCACTTCTTTCAACCAAGTCTATACAGAGGTTAAAACTGAAATTAATTTTGAGATTTTCTTAAGCTTTTCTCATAGTGTCCTTCAGGTACACTTGCAACATAAACAGGCATCAATAAACACTGCTCTGCAGAGAATCTGAGATGTTTTCTAACCTCACTTGCACATGACTTTTCTCTTTGGCCCCAGAGCTGACCTCATACTAACCAGTATTTCTAGGTTGAACAGATCCTGGGCTTATCACTACAACTTAACTCACTACAACATACCTGAAAAATGCTGAATCTGATGCTCCTAAGTGATGCAAGATTTTTCTACAGCAACATTAGACATTTCACAATGCACACCAACACCTTCCTACTGCAAAGAGATTGTTCAGTTCCCCAGAGCAGTTCATTTGTCAATGAAATTCTAAATATGCGAAAGAGTTAATGGGCATTCAAAAGTTTCCCTCGATGGTGTAGCAAGATTTGCCATATGTTATAGGAAGGATTCACACTGCCCTGGAAAGAGCAAGGTGTTGAACAGATTCTGAATGTACCTTCATTCATTGGGCCCTGTGTGTTCATCAGGCATCCTGGGGTGGACAGAGACACAAGGACGCCCTTTAGAGCTTTCAGATTAGTGTGGGGGCTCACACACCAGCTCTGTGAAATGGTATACAGCAAGCCCTTCTCTCCTGGAAAATAGCTTGAACTATCCACTTTAAACTTGTTCTCTAGCAAACCTAAGAGGCCAAAGTGACTTTCTGCCACTAAGAAAATTCCCAGACCAACTCCCAAGCTGCTAGAAAGTATGCACTTAGGGTAAGTGGGATATTTTAATAGTAAGTGAGGTAGAAAGTTAAAGTAGTCAAGGGGTAAAGTTAAAAATGTAAATCTGGGAGAAAAAAAACCAGCCCAAAATAACCAACTAATTTTGACATTTATTTATGTAGTTCTCTTCTCTAGAGTGTAGCAAGTGTTGATTACTCATAAAATAACCCACTTTGGATGCCAAGGCTAAGGGAAGACATGGTCTACATCCGATTTGAAGTGGATTTAGAAGGGAGGAGGGCATTAGAATACATGAATATTATTTTAATGCTTATTGGGCATTTACAATGTGCTAGGTATTGTGCTAAGTGCTTTACATCTTAATACCTCATTTACTCCTATGAGGTACCCATTATTTTTGCGTACATTTTACAGATGAGGAAACTGAGAGTGATTACTTAACTGTCCGAAGCCATGCAAGTGCAGGAGCAAGAGATCTGAAGCCCATTTGGCCCTGCCATTTTTACATTCTAGGTAAGCGAGGCCTTATTAGGAGACTGATGGGTGTACAGGCATGAATTTGGGAGCATGTTAGTTAAATACAGAGGAGAGTGAGTAGATTAAGCTTGGTTGGCTGGAGCAGAAAAACATGAGAGAGGATGAACGAGGAGCTCAAAGAGGGTCCTGAGTGGCTACCACTGACACTCAGAGGCAAAAGGGAGCTGGGGAGCAGCCTTTGACTGTGAGGACACCACTGGAGCATTCCAGGTTAAACTGAGAAGGGCATGTGGAGGCTGTGGCCATGATTAACAAGGGGCCGCAGCCGTGAGAACCACTAGACAGCTGGGGAAAGGCTGGATAAGAGCAGGGAAGAGCAACAGGACAGACATCCAAGGGGACAGGAAAGCCTCCATATTCAGGTCTACATAGGACATTTTATTTCCAGACATCAAGGCCATTTTAATTCCCACCTCCATTCAAATCAAAGGGCAGCATGACAGAGTAGACGTGCCGATAAAGAGGAGAACACCAAAATGAACATCGAATGAAAGCTAGTACATCTCACTAGCCAGCGACTGATCTATTTATTGGCCTGTGAATTCTTTGGAGGGGACTAATATATATATAATTACATTTTCCCCACAATGTGCCATTTAAAAAAATATGGAAAGCTTTACCTGGAAACGCTTATGGAATTACCTTTCTTCTAACACCTTGCAAAACAGCCAGTCATAGTTATAGAGTTTGTTTTATTGCTTTTTAATTACTGCACTTTTGTAAATAAGCACCACCATATAATTAAGAGGCTGAGTCTCCATTCAGGTATGTGGGCAGACATCCTCACCTCTCAAACTTGTGAGGCCAGGCATGCGCGTGCAGGTGCATGCAGGTGCAATTAGCCGCTTGCCTCATGGTGCATCCTCTCAGCCAAGGTTACACTGAGTATGTTGAGCCTTAGGGCTTCTGTTTCTACTTTGCCTTCTACACAGACAAATTCCTTTCTCTCTTTGCTGCTCAAAATATGTAAAACTTAGCAATGAGAACTATGCTAGATTGTAAGCAGGTTAGTGTTGTAACAAGCTTAAAGAAGATAAACAAAGTATATTTCCTCTTCCTCTTTCAAGAAAGGACTGAAAAACATTCTCCCCCTCAAAAGAATGCTGGAAAGCCACCAACTTCACTACTCTGAAATAAAAAAATTAATATAGTGGGCAGGGACTGTGTCTTATTCACCTTGTGTAGCCCCACAGCCTGGCACATAGTAGGTATTCAATAAATATTTGCTGAATGAATTGGAAGAATTCAAAATTGTATCACAGATATTCTCAAAGTAGAAATGAACAGTCATTTTGAATCATTTCCTGAAGTATGTATGTGGGGAGAGGAGTTTAGGAAGGGTGGAGAGAATATATACTTTATCTAGAGTGATTTGAAAATAGACAAGGGGAGAGAAATTTTTAAAAGAAATCCCATTGGCCTCAGTATTGTCACAACATAATTTTCTATTTAATGATGCAATGACAAAAATTGATGGAAGAAAACAGTCTGGTCTTGGAATAATCAAATATGTTTAAAAACCACGTACTGATGTCAACTCAAAAGTGAGTTTTTTCAGTTATTGGAAAACTGCTCCATAAAGAACACTGTATGTCAAATTCTTTTCATTAATCAAAGAGCAGATAGACAAAGGAAGATTCATCCTTGAGTGTAAAGTATTATAAAAATAATGAGTCCAAGTTAAATGATTTATAGCTATGACAAGTAAAGAATGCTGTTTGGGCAACAGTATTACTCCCAAATGGCTTCCCACTTGTAGAAAAACAGCTTCAGACAAGCCCCATAGTGTATACAGTGGTGCAAAATGACCTGGAAAAAATGGTTTCTATGGATATCATTTAGAGATGCACATCCCTGAATACCTTAAGGCTGAAGGTACTTTAGCTCTTTTCCTCAAAGCAATTGCAGCACAGGTTCTCCTGCCCAGGTTTTGTTTATATAAGAACAATCTTGGCCACAGGTCATTTGTGTAGGAGACAATTAATCACTAGCTCTTTGAGCACAGGTAGGTTAATCAGTATGCACATAATACAATATTAAAATTTTCACGGGGAAAAAATTTTTTTATTTAAAACAATAAAGCATCAGTAATACCTGCTGATCTTTTATCCAAAGCAAGTACAAAGGCTGTTAGTGAAATAGAGAAGACTTTCTTTTTAAACAGTTCGGAAAATACAAGGCATCATTGATCACCTGAAGGCCTCATTTTAATTTGATTCCAGATCCACGGCAGCTTAGAGGTTGTCTTTTTGAAATAGCGTATTGCTAAAATCCTTATGTAGGTCAGAAATGGAACTTCAGGAGCCATCATATTCTGCTATCCTAATAAATAATTAGGGTCAGAACCTCACTTGTTTATGTTTCAAAAAAGCACAATATTTGGACTATAGCAAACATCAGGATTTTTAAAAATTCAAATATTAAATGGCATTCAGAACATCATCCACATGGAAGAGGGAGAGATGAAATAAATCTGCAGATGCCTCTATATACAAAAAGGATGTCCTAGGTTTTGGACTATTAAATACTTTTCTTTCTTCAGACAATACCCTAAAAAAACAATTACAAAGTACTCTGAAACCCTGCCACACCCCTTTGATTAAATCACACTTCACAAAATATTTAGAGAAAGCCTGAACAAATCAAATAAACATCAAGGCAGGAAATGCAGCCAGGAATGCCTGATCCTGAGCTCCCCCAGAGTCTGAAGGGCTGCCTCACTTGAAAATTTAATCAAACACAATCTACTGTAATTCCATTGCAGCCTTTGCACTTAAGGAAAGCTAGTTCAGTCTCTGACATTTTGATTTTCACAGCAGATGGGAGCAAAAAAAGAAAGAAAGAAAGAAAGAAAAAGAAAGAAAGAAAGAAAGAAAGAGAAAAGAAAAGAAAAGAAAAAAAGAAAAACTTCCGCGGCTCACAAACATATGTGTCCAGTTGAGATTTTCTGTCTCCAGCCTTATGCAACATCCAGCAAACAAACAAACAAAAAGGTTATTTTCTATTACTCACTATTACTCCAGGATTTCAGTAAATATTTGATACTGATCTCAAAGAAGCCCGAATCCTGCTGGCTGGCCATGTCTGCGGCATACAAAGAGGCTGGGAGGACGGGCAGCGGCCGGGAGCAGGTACCGGGCGTGATGCGCCTGTCACAGGTTGTGATGTCAGCGCGGGGTCAGGCGCCCAGAGGCAGCTCTGCGGATCCACCTCCGGCTCCGGCCGGGAGTGCTCATCTAAAGGACACGGCGGAGCAGAGAGAGATGCTCGGCCGCTCCTCCTCCTCCGGGTCCAGGACTTGCTTCTTATTTGCTGGACGCTGATCTCCCTGCAGCCCTCGGAGGCGGCGGCCGCGCTGCTTTCATTTCGGGGCTGTCATCACCAGAAACGCCGGCTGCCGGCCGCCCACCAGCTCGGCTCCAGCCAGGTACGCAACCGAGGAAGACCCCACCTGAACTGGGATCGGCTTTCTTCTGGGAGGGAGGGTTTCTAGGCCGGCCTCCCTGACGCGGTGCAGGCAGCCTCCGGCCCACACGGCCGCCGCGGGGCTAAGGGATGGGCCGGGAGCGCCGCCCCCTGCCCCTGCCCACTGTCTCAACCTGAGCCGCGGCTCAGTCTCCGCCTAGGCTGCGGGAGGAATTTCCCAGCTTCTGCGGATCCTCTCTCTTCAGCAAGGCTTCCCGTGAGCGGCCCGGGTGTGCTCTGGCTGCTGCTTCCCCTTGTGTCTGTCCCTGAAATAAACACAACTGCAGCACGCTGCGGTAAGCAAAGCTGCAGCCTTGCATCTGGTTGCAGCGACGTTTTGAAAAACCCCATCCGTCAGCCTCGTTGCAGTAAAGAGACTCAACAAGAGGACGCTTGTCTGGGCTTTTTCTTCCCTGCCTTCCACACGCATGGTGGTATCTGCATTTTTACTTTTCCCTCCCAGAAATGCAGTCTTTTCAAGGGGCATCGGAGCCCGAACGTGTGCACTCTAAGGGGACAGTACACACTGCTTAGTTGGCTTGTTTTTGTAATGTCACACACTCCACAATGGATCTTATTCTCAAACCTCTCATTTCTAAGACTCACTAAGCCCAGTGAAGCTTATTTTATTTGTATGAAAAGGATAAGAAGCAAAAGCATTAGATTCCTTGCTCTACAATGGCTCTTGATTTCATGAATTCTTGATATCAGGTGTCCTGATTTTGGTTAGCTTTGTTTCACATTATCATTTAGCTTGACCAGGGGATTAAATAAGAGTATTATATTTTAATAATGACAGGTTATGTTGGAAGAGGTGGGATTTGGCCAACTATCTCATAAACCACAGGATCCTTCCCAAGTCCCAGTACATTCATGATTAATGTTGTCTAAAAAACAGAAAAAAGTAATAAACCATGTTAATAAGTATTTAACATAGCAAATGTTGGGCTAACTCCCCAAATCAACACACAAACAGGACTTCCTAGATTAACAGTTCATTTTAAAAATGGAAGGGAAAGACTACAATGTACTTTTATTGTTAGGACAAAGAATTTTTAAAATTCAACACTAAATAAAACTTCTAGAACTATGTTCTGAAAGGCCCTAAGATACTTCATCAATACAATTAGTTTTTCAAACTCATTACACTTACCCAAATGGCAAGCACTCAATCACTCAGATTTCCAACTCCACTTATACACTTTATTCTGATGAAATCTCTCACCAGATTGACTTCTTTTTAATTCATGTGCATACTAGAGTTGCTGAACTGATTTTATCACTTGTACTTTGAATGTATGGATTCTAGGTAAAATAAGACCCAAAGGTTTTACCTTGAAACAATTATTATATCTGAAAATAAATTTCATACCTACGCCCATCTGATGCTTGCCAAGACTCAGATGGCAGTGAATGAACAGGTAGGCTGCACAGTGCCCTGCGATTAACGATGGCATGGGCTCTCAAGGCAGGGCCCCATGTTCGCTCCTGGCACCAGCCCTTACTAGCTTTGAGCCCCAAAGTAAGCTATTAACTTTGCTAAGCCTTCGTTTCCTCATCTGTAAAATGGGGTTGTACCTTCTTCCTATAGTTGTTGGAAACAATAAATAACACTATGTATGAAAGGGGCTCAGCATAGTATCTTGCCCATAGTTAACACTTCATTAAATTTTAGCTACATTGATTTTTTTTTTTTTTTTTTTTTTGAGACAATCTCACTCTGTCGCCTGGGCTGGAATGCAGTGGTGCAATCTTGGCTCACTGCAACCTCTGCCTCCCGGGTTCAAGCGATTCTCCTGCCTCAGCCTTCTGAGTAGCTGGGGTGACAGGCATGCGCCACCATGCCCGGCTAATTTTTGTATTTTTAGTAGAAATAGGGTTTCACAGTGTTGGCTGGGGTGATCTTGAACTCCTGACCTCAGGTGATCCACCTGCCTTGGTCTCCCAAAGTACAGACATGAGCCACTGCGCCTGGCCCATTCATTCTTATTATGAATCCTTAGTGACTCTAGAATAGAACTTTTTTTTAAAAAGCTAAATACTTTTTTTTCTTTACTCTTTATGTGGTTTAAAAGATATATTACTTTTGAACACCAGTGGTAACTATTTGGGGAGAGCAAGTTGGAGACATTTAAAATCAGTTGCAATAAGCAAACATGCTATTGTATATTGTTACTCAAATATATAGAGATTCTCTCTGTTGACTTTATTTTAAAAAATTTTTAACTGGCTTTTTAAAGTTTTCAATACTTAAATACATAAGTTTTCAGTATTTAACTACTATAAACATACTAACTTGCTGAGAATGCCACTCATATATATTTCAAGGGAAACGGTCATAAAAATGTAAATGCTACTTAGAAAATAATGTTTTCAATGCCATCTAGCTTTCACTGTGAAGAGTGAATCAGCATCTAAGAGCCCAGTTTCTGTCTCTTAGAACCTGAAATCTTGTCCAGTGTATGCTTTTTCTTCATTCGAGTACCTTTAAAGAGGACATATATTGTAAAAGAACAGAAAAGGGCTTTTGTTTTGTTGAAAGGCCTGCAAATCAAATAGAATGACACCCGCTGCAAGCTGAGTTGAAACATTTATCCTTTTGTCTTCTCTCTCTCTGGGGGGGCATAAAAAAATTAGTCAGAAGAGGCACCTGGACAGAGGTACTTTAAAATGCAACAGTAAAATCTGAATGTGTTCCTGGCTTGCTAGTGACTTCAGTTATGATTTAAGAGGACCTAAAGCTATCTCAGCTTTCATACCTGTAAAAATGAGGGATCCTTCCTTAAAAATATTAGGAGAACATACAATGAATTGTCAAGCATGGAATTAGGCATAGATGTTGGGGACTGAGTGAAAGATAACAGGAAAAGTGGAAGGCCTTAGAAAATGGTATCAAAGAGTGGGGAAAAAGTCGGAAAGTGGCCTGACACAAGTGATGACACTAAATGACACCATCTACATTTGTTGAATATAAATATTGTAGTTAAAAAAATATATATTTTTATATTTAATACTCACCTCAAACCTATGAAGTAAGTACTATTATTAGTCCCATTTTACAGATGAGAAAATTGAGGCTTAAGGAGGCATAAAATAAGGTCAAACTCATATAGCTAGTAAAATTTAGGTCTATTTTAGACCCTGAGTCACTTGTCATAACTTTGTTATTTATTTATTTTTTTAAAAATCACAAGCAAGGTGAGAATCATGGTTACCAAGTTCTTTAGAGAAAGCTCAGGAAGAGGCTGGGCACAGTGGCTCATGGCTGTAATCCCAGCATTTTAGAAGGCCAAGGCGGGTGGATCACTTGAGGTCAGGAGTTCAGGACCAGCCTGGCCAACATGGCGAAACGCCATCTCTACTAAAAATACAAAAATTGGCTGGGCGTGGTGGCACCCGCCTGTAATCCCAGCTACTTGGGAGGCTGAGGCAGGAGAATCACTTGAACCCAGGAGGCGGAGGTTGCAGTGAGCCTAGATTCTGTCACTGCACTCCAGCCTGGGCAACAGAGCAAGACTCCATCTCAAAAAATAAAAATAAATAAATAAATAAAAGTTCAGGAAAGATGCTAAGGTACTCCCTAACACAGCAGAGGCGCTTCAGGTCCCACTGACTCTCCCAGCCTATTCACTGTCTTCCTGCCTGGCTTTGTCCTGGGTGATGTATTCCCTGGGGACTGTAACCAATTCCAAGAAACCAAGAGAAGAATGCCTTTATTTTTTACATTAATTTGATTCATTATACAGGCAGTGGTCTCTACAAGGATGTCTGACCTAGAGTGGAGATGGGGTGACTGAGGATGGAAATCTAGTCTGAACTCCACTCTCCAATTTGGCAGGTACAGAGGTGGCAGTGGGCTGCTTCTACCCTGGCATGGGTCTGCATCAGCCCAGGACTCAATCCAGAGGAAGGGGTGCCTATTTTTTTTTTTTTATCAAGATACCACATGGGCTGGTGGTAGCTCTGGGTGGTCAATGGGAAGGAGGTGGTCAGAAGGAGTGACCTATTGGTCACCTATGTACCTATGTCCTAGCAAGCCATGTAGCAGAGTGGGATGAGGGTGGTAAAGGATACAGAGACTATATCTCATAATCCATGGCATTTACTCTCCTCCTGTCTTGATCCCAATTATAACCATCTGTCCCGTCTCTCCCTCCAGAAGACCTGTGTCTTACTCAGCTTTGTGTTCCTTACATCTCTGTAGCACACAGTAAGTCCTCATGCAATAAACATATGTTGAGTGAATAAGTGAATGAGCAAGCTTGTCATGTCTGACTGTTATCTGCTGCCTGTGGGAAAAAAATGTATAAGAAATGCAATTTTTTGTTTTAATTCATACTTAGTTTACTCTTTTTTTAAAAGCATTTTGAAAATTTTTTTGAGGCTAAATTGTGTGGCATTCAAAAAAAATGTGGAAACAAAGCCTTGCAAACAGTCTGGATGCATGCCAACATCAAGAGCCATTACCTAATGATTTTAAAGCATCTGATTGAGTTGATTGGGTTACGATTGGAATCCACCCCCTTTTCTTGTAGACGGATACACGTGGGTACACATGTGTAATTACTGTCACAGAGTGACATGTACATTCATGAACAGAATGTGTTAGGCAGAAATGTTTCACTAGCATCCTGAAGAAACAAAGGAAAATCACTAAATGCAAGAAAATAATTGCTTTATCAATTTTTGATCAGCAGTCTCAACTTCCAAAAAAGCATGAACTATATTATATTCCCACTATTATACATTGTATCTTAAGAACAGCTCCAAATCAAATTAAGCATCCCCTGAATTGAGATAGAAAGACAGCAGTTACAATCAATGGTGATGAGTATGGAAAAAGGGTTTTGTTTTTCTTTAAACAGTAGAATAAGAGGCTTTTTAGAGATAACCTAAAGGACAAAGTGTTGAGATAAATAACAAACTTCTCTTTTGACCTATTTTTGATGCATGATTTGGACGGATCTATCCCATCCTAAGAAATATTAGAGAAAAAATATGAAATGATGCCACACAATGTCCATGTGGTAAGCATCAAACACAATAATCATTACCTTAAAAAATCCAACCCACATATATAAATCTTCACAAAAATAGATTCAGCAAGTTTTGAAAAACATTTACTCCATTACTATCCACTGCAAATAATTTTTTTCAATGAATTGAAATACATTTAAATTTTTTGAATGCAACACAACTTCATTATAGCAAAGCTTGTTGTTGTCCAGATTCAAACATAAACAAGAAAAATCATGTCTTCTAAAATTGTTATCATTGAAACATAGCAGCAGAACTCATTTTTTCTTTCCTACTCAGCTCCCCTGCGAAGGGGTTTTATAAGGAACCCAGAGCCAAGACAAAGGAATCAGGAGGAATTCTAGCACAATGGGAAGCCCCTGAAGGGTTTAAGCAGAAGACAATAAAAGACTCCGAGAAGTGGCAGCAGGGAGTGGAGGAAAAAAAGCCTGGAATTTACCCTGCTTTCTGCTCTGCACATGGAATGCCCCCTCCATGTGTCCATTGTCATCCAAGGTGTTTTGACAGGTCTAGAGTGGGGTAAAAGAATGGTATTTATTCAGGCCTAATATTGAGGCTTGGGGCTGGGCTGTATATCAGAGGGCATGCATAGACAAAGCTGAACAAAGGGGCACACCTACTGGGCACCTGCTGGGCACTTCTCTAAAAGTGGCACTGAGACATCATTAGGATGAATTAGAACTAGGGCACCAGTTAACCCGGGCCTGCATGCTAGTGAAAGGAAAATTGCGCCTCTCCCTCAACCCTGCTCCAGACAACTGAATGGTGACTTCAAGAACAAATATTCAGGCTGGGTGCGGTGGCTCACACCTGTAATCCCAACACTTTTGGAGGCTGAGGTGAGTGGATCACCTGAGGTCAGGAGTTCGAGACTAGCCTGGCCAACATGGTGAAACCCTGTTTCTACTAAAGATACAAAAATTAGCTGGGCGTGGTGGTGGGTGCCAGTAATCTCAGCTAGGAGGCTGAGGCAGGAGAATCGCTTGAGCCTGGGAGGCAGAGGTTGTTGAGATGGTGCCATTGCACTTCAGCCTGGACGACAAGAGCATAACTCTGTCTCAAAAAAAAAAAAAAAAAAAAAAGAACAAATATTCAAAGGATATTAATTAGAAGGGGAGTGACATTGTAGACCAGACCATGCTCCATCATATAAAAGCTGTATTGTTGGCAAAGTTGTTGAGCATCTCATGGCCTCATTTTCCTCGTCTGTAAACTAGTGCCTTGTCACACAAATCTGTTATGAGGATTACATGAGTGCCTAGGCAGATGACAACTGTTATGTAGCAAATCTGTAGTGAGAAATGAACCCAGAATATGCAGCACAAAATGCCTCCTTAACTCCATAGTCAGGTTAGAAAAAGAGAAGAGAAGGAAAGAGGAGAGAGAGAACCTGTCATCATAGAGAGATCCCTACCCCCAACCCCCTCTGCTGGCTACCAAGGTAAGGTAGACCTGCCCACAAGGCTGGAAGTTTCGGAAAGGTAAAGAAAGTCTAAACACATGCACATACAAACACTATTACTTAACATTTTAGTAATATTAAGTCATATAACATTTGGTGCCCAGGGTAAACTTCCATTTGATTAGAGGTTCCGGTTAGGTTAGTATCATCTCAAAATTTACCTAATTTAGTCTTCTCATCAACCTCTCAAAGTAGTGTCTGCATATTTGGATATCATTAACCTGTAGTCAAAACCAGGAGATGTTGTGGTTCATACATATTTTGTACACATAAAGATTCGACTTCAATTTCTGCAGAATAAGGTCATAGCACACTTAGTATTTAATGTATTTAAAGACATGTATGCAAAGAGAAAACATGACAGCATTTACCTCATGCCCCTTAGCATGAAAGCATACAACACTAATGATAACTTTATTATCCTATTTTTGAATATCACCAGCAACCTGAGAAATTATTTACGTTCAGATACAAACAGGTCAAATATAAATGGCCACAATAGGAGCCAACTATTAATACATAATTATAAAATATTAAGTCCCTTCTGAAGAAGCAAAAAATGGCATTTGCGGCTGGGCACGGTGGCTCACGCCTGTAATCCCAGCACTTTGGGAGGCCGAGGTGGGTGGATCACCTGAGGTCAGGAGTTCAAGACCAGCCTGACCAACATGGTGAAACCCCATCTCTACTAAAAATACAAAATTTAGCTGGGTGTGGTGGCGGGCACCTGTAATCCCAGCTACTCGGAAGGCTGAGGCGTGAAAATTGCTTGAACCCGGGAGGTGGAGGTTGTGGTAGGCCGAGATCCTGCCACTGCACTCCAGCCTGGGTGACACAGCGAGACTCCATCTCCAAAAAAAAAAAAAAAGGCATTAACTTTGCATATTATTATTTACCAAAAATGCAGATACATAATGCTTAACAGTATAAAAAACAATTATATTTATATCAGTCGTCATCACCCTTTAGATTCGCCATCTACAGGAGAACTAAGAAAATGCTGGTTCTTCCCTGTATGAATGATAATCTAGCAAAACAAAAAAATAGAGCATTCTCATAGTTGTATTAAAGTTATTGGGTGATACTCCTATTATTTGGTGATAAAAATTAAATACCTTTTATGGCTAGAGTGAATATTCCCACCAATGTTACCAATCTGATACACAAAAATAAATAGTAGGGTTTAAGTAATAAGGGAAAGATCAACTTTTCCTTAAGATACCATTTAATGTACATAATTATTAAAACCTATAATTTTCAAATCAATGAAATTGAGGAAAACTAGAAATTTTGGATAGTTTTTTAGCGCATGCTACTTAAATTTTACGTTTTTTTCCTTCTAGGTGCTAAAATTTTTTCTTTCTAGGTATGACCATGTTTATAGTTACCTATTAGCAAAGGTTGAAGGGCTGGGAATCAGGAAACTCATGATTCTGCTTTTTATTTTGATCCCGATCCTATAACCTTGGACATGTTATTTATCTACTAAAAGAAGAACACTATTTCCCATCCCCAAACTGCCTCATCTCTTAGGGCAAGCCAATCTTTGGTTTTCTATACCACTGGGAGGAACCATTGCATAGGAAAAGCAGAACACTGGGTAATAAATTATTCTGTGTAACTCTTTGGCAAACATTATTTAATTTTTTGGCAACAGATTCACCTTCTTGGTTATGTTCTAATAAAGCTCATGTCAAGAGTATCCATGAAAACACACACTGTCTACTGGCAGGAGAAGCTGACATAGGACCAAAAAATAATTGGGGATTAGAAAGCGATAAATCAATATAAAAACGATCAAGCTGTCTACTGTGAAATTAATGAAGTAGTATCAAAGTGCTTTGTTCAGCTTAGAGGAAAAGCAATAGAAACTATATAACTAGACAATTCTTGTAAACCAGGAATAAACAATAGTCACACGCCAGGTTATTACAACTGAGATTAAGGACAGTGGTCTAAGGAATTAAGGATATGTTACAGCATCACTTCATTTGGAACTACCACTTTAAAAAGAAGTGTATACCTCACTGAGCATCACAGATTTCACCTTCAAAGACTTCAAAATGACCATCTGTTCATGGAGCTGTCTGGTACAGACCCCAGGTTTCTGCCTTTTAGAAGATGGTGGTCTAAGCCCGACAACAGTGGAGCAGAAAAACCCATACATCACCTTTCCTCCCACAGACGATGTTTAACCGTACAGTAGTAGAAAATGTGACTCTGAAGGAGCAAGTATATTTTAGAGGACAGAGAAAGTCTTACAAGGCGTGTTTTTAGAAAGGGTGGGAAATCACCACCCTCCTTTGACCAGACAGGCAGGGCTTTGTGTAGGAGGGTGGGGCTGTCAGAAACTGTCTGAATGATGGAAGGCAGCAGCTTAGCAGGCTAGTGGGAAGAGCGACTCCAACTGCACGGCTCAGCTTAGGAGGCAGAAGTGAGGTCAAGAGTAATGATCTTTGCAGACCGTCCACAGGGGTGAGATCACTCTGAGAAGCCCAAGGAAACAGAAGTGGAGGGTCATGATTCTGACCCTCAGTGTTAGCTGTGGAGAAACTCAAGCTCATGGTCAGATAAACCCTGCTCCACCCAGTAATGGCCTCAGTGATCCACTTATGTGTTTGACCTATTTCTTTCTCATTTATAAGGTACACATGATTCTGCCCTTTACATAAGGTTGTTTCATGATCTTAAAGGAGATTATGTAGATGAAAGGGCTTTGTATTCCCAGGATGCTAATGTTAGATTCTCAGGGCTCCCATCAGTGTAAGAATCAGACAAATAAGAGGGTGAGTGGTCCCTGCTCAGCCCATCGCCCTTAAAGACACATGCTGGCACCTTCCCTCATTGTAATAGCCTGCTGGACTTTTAGTTTTGGGTTTAGGGACATGCCAGGGGTGTCCTGCTGTTTAAGTGGCCATTCATCAACTCCAGGAATGTGCTGGTGGTTTGCCTGAGTCTTATCCAAATGCCACTCTGGCCTTTGGATAAATACAGGATGGGTGGCAACTGTGGTCAAATTACTACTCCACCCTACCACAAGCCTTATTTTCCACCTTCTTTGCTCCTCAAGGGAGTTTCCCCTTTTTCTTATCCTTTAAAATTATTTTTAAATATTTATTTGTCTATGAATTCTTATATCCTTACCTTGGTATATGATTTTCCCATATATAATTTATATTTTGTGTTCATTACAACAAGGGGTAGCAGAAGCATAAGGGAAGGGACATGGACATGGGCCTTCACCAGACTTCTGGATGAAAGATGAGATGACTAGACAATTCCAATAGTGAGAAATGTATTAGGAAAAAGGCTGAATACAGAATAAGCACAGCAATATGCTCTCCTTTGGCTTTATATCTACACTTCCAGAGGAGGAAACTGAAATTTATCAGGGTAGGTCCCGCAGCAGAGTAATGACAGTAACAGTAACAGTGATTACTACTGGTCCTGTGATAACAACAAGATTGGAACTCCGATCTGGTGCTAAGCCAGTGATGTCCAACAGAAATGCAATGCGAACCACACACGCAGTGTTCAATTTTTAAGTAGCTACATTAAAATAACCAACAAGCAGGTGAAATTAATTTTAATAATCTGTTTTGTTTAACCCAATATGCCAAAAATCATTTCAATAATTAATGAATATAAAAAATATTAGTGAGACATTTAATATTTTTTGTACCAAATAGTTGGAATCCAGTGGGTATTTGACAGCACATCTGCATTTGGACTAGCCACATCCATCTTGCAGCCATTGTACACAATATTGTACACAATAGCTACAAGTGGCTAATGGCTCCCTTATTGGACAGTGTAGTCTAGCATGTTCCTAAGTATTTTTGTGCCATGAGCCCTTTTGGCAGTCTGGCGAAGCCCATGAGTTCCTTCTCAGAATAATGTGTTTACATGAATAAAATGTGGAAGACACAGGGTGACAAAGAAAGCAATTATTTTGAAACATAGTTATTCAACTATTTAAAAAAACACAAAATTGTGGTATCGTATATACCTGCTTCTTCAAATGGTGCTTTAAATAACATTATCCAGAGGCGTAATAATTATAAGAAATTTTAAATAAAAGAATGATCATAAATAATATTTCAATATGCCTAAAGCAACTGTAGTGATGATGAAAATATCTGTGACTTCAACTGATAGCAAATTAACTTTGAGTTGTGGAGTTAATTTGGTGGGTCAAACCAAGACACTTTCCTAATGACATAGAATAGGAGGGAATACATTAGAGGGCATCATTCACAGTCAGGTTGAGTACTGTTTCATGAAACCTCTGTTATATTTGTATGTATACATACACACGGTTAAATACTGGGTTGCAATGTAAAATGTACTTTATATTGCGAGTCATGGTTTTAAAAAGTTTGAAATCTTCATACTCTGCTAGTGAGAATGCAAAACGGTTTAACTACTATGGAAAGAATCTGATGGTTCCTCAAAGAGTTAAACATAGAATTAGCATACGACCCTGTAATTTCACTGTGTACACATGCCCCAAAGAAATGAAAACAAGTTATCAAACAAGTATATGTACATGCATGTTCATAGCAGCACTATGCGTAATAGCTCAAAGTCTTCAATGTCTATCAATGGATCAATGAATAAACGAAAGGTGGCATATATATGTAATGGAATATTATTAATCCGTAAAAAGGAATGAAGTTTGGGAACATGCTACAACATGGATGAACCCCCAAAATGTTATGCTAATTGAAGAAGGCTGGATACAAAAAGGTCACATATGGTATGATTCTATTTATAAGAAATATCCAGAATAGGTAAATCCATAGAGACAGAATGCAGATCAGCTGTTGCCAGGGGCTACGGGGAGTGAAGAACTGGGAGAATCTGCTTAATGGTGAAGGGGTTTTTACTTTGGAGTGATGGAAATGTGCTGGAACTAGATAGAAGTGGTGGTTGTGTAACACCACGAATGTACAAAATGTCACAGAAGAGTCACCTTAAAATGGTTAATTATATGTTGTTTCACTGCAATAAATTATTCTTATTTTTTAAGTTTGAACGCCTTTGTTCTAGAGGGTCTTTCCATTTGTAGTGTACTCATTTGTGGTGCTGCTACATCCCCACCTAGTGGTAGAGGCACCTTCTGTCTGGACTCCAGGACTCAAGATGCCTGACTGCTAGGAGACCACTTTCATATCACAGCGTGAGTTCAAGATCTGAGGTAACACCTAGGCCCATGCCTAACTGGGATGAATATTTCGTGTCTAGACATTGACAATGATAACCGTCAGTCACCCTGAGCTTCAGGCAGGAAACAAGGACAGTTTTAGTCCTGGCCCTGATATATTTCTCAAGTTATGGAATCTTTCTGGGATTGACTTATCTGTCTATGAAATCAAAACAATACTCCCTACCACAAGGTTATGGTAAAGGTTAATATAAGGTAGCATAAGAAATGCATCCAATACCAGTAGATGCTCATAAAATGTTAGTTCTGTTCCTCATCCTTCCTGATTTCTAAAGATACTTGGTATGAACTTAGGAACCTCCAACAATATGCATCCAAGGGGGCTCCCCCAACTTCTGACTGTCACTGGAAGAAAGAAAAAGACTCTGGGTGTCCAGAAAAAAAGTGGCAGGGACCTGGAGTGATTATGAAAAGGAGAAGACAGAGTACAAGCAGAGAACCCAGGACAGAAACTCAATATGATACAAAGTCAAGCGACAAAACAGCAGCAGGGACCTGGTGAGCACCAGGTATATAGAGGGGAGGGAAGAGAGAGGTAAAGGGTCCAGCAGACATTCTCGTTATTGCCACGAATGCTACCTGAAAGTGACAGAGACAGACAGACAGACACAGACACACACACACACACACACACACACACACACACACACAGAGAGAGAGAGAGAGAGAATACCAAGAAATACAGAGAGAGAGAGAAAGAGAGAATACCAAGAAATACATAAGGCAAAAATATTTGGATATTTTTGCAAGTGGGCTTGCATGAAAGATTCCAACTTTACAACATGTTCCATAAAATGAAATGGAAGGCTCTAAACTGTGAGACGTGGTTGCAAAAAAAAAAAACCAGAAAAGACGGACACCAAATCATGAGTTTTTCAAATGATGAAGCCAAAGGGAATAAGCAACTCAAAGGGTAAACATGGGAGGAAACAAATCACGAAACTAATTTGAAATCAAATAGCGTAAAATTACCAGAGCAGAAAGCACTTGCTCCCACGTCAGAATATTCAGGATTTGTAGGAAATTCTATAACGTGGTACAATTTGACTTTGGAAAAACACGGGAACAAAATCAAAACAACATTCTTACACCCTTCTAAGAACACTGGCAGGGTCAACGGGGAGGTGGTGAGTGGAAAACCCCACAGGCAGGTCAGGGAAGCAGACCTCCCCACCAGGCCTTCCTGGGCCCAGCAAGCATCCCTCACTGCAACAGTCATTTCTGCCCTGTGCACTCCACAGCCTTCCTGCTTCCCTCCTCCCATCTCGTTCTCAGGGACGACCCTGCCTCCTACATGGCACCGGATAGGAAGTCCCATTTTTCTGCCATCAAATCCACAAAGCCACCTTTGTCCCCTCTCCTGACCCTGTTTCTGCCTCCTGCCCAAGATTGTCACTCCTATGGGTCTCTGGCATCTTAACCTTTCCCTTTCTATAAAATCTTTCTTGCCTTTATGAAAACATAGCCAATACCTCTTGTCTTACAAGCAAACAGAAACAAAACAAAAACCCTTATCTTATCCCACATTTCCTTCCAATTCTGATATGGTTTGGATTTGTGTCCCCAGCAAATCTCACGTTGAATTGTAATCCCCGTTGTTGAAGGTGGAGCCTGGTGGGAGGTGATTGGATCATGGGGTAGATATCTCATGAAAGGCTTAGCATCATCTCTCTTGGTACTGTCCTCATGATGGTGAGTTCTCATGAGATCTGGTGGTTTAAAAGTGTGCAACACCTACCCCCTCACTCTCTCTTGCTCCTGCCATGTTAAGGTGCCTGCTCCCCTTTTCCTTCTGGCATGATTGGAAGCTTCCTGAGAGGTCCCCAAAAGCAGAAGCCACTATGCTTCCTGTATAGCCCACAGAACCATGAGTCAAACTTCTTTTCTCTATAAATTACCCAGTCTCAGATATTTCTTTACAGCAATGAGAGAATAGACTAATACAAATTCCTAGCCTACCTTCCTGACTTCCCAATCATCGCTTAATGTCTCAACACAGCTGCCTTTATACGCAGCCTTCAGTTCCTCTTTCCACTCCTCTTCCCCCTTCAGCCCACTTCAGGCTGACTCCTTGGCCACACTTCCACTAAGGTGACCAACAGCTTCCACTTAGCCAGTGGGCTCTTCTCAGCCCTTAACTGAAACGGCATCTCCGTAGCGTTTGATATAGCTCCACACCCTTCTTCTTGCAACTCTCTTTTTCTTGCTTCCGTGACCTTACACTTTCCTGGTTTTCCAGGTGTGGCATTGTTGGTTCCTGCCTAACTCTTCAGTCTCATCTTGCACCTTCCCTGCTACCCAGGACTCCTGCACCTCAGGGCTCAGCATTGCTGTTCCACCTGCCTAGAGGCCCTCCTCTCTTCCCTTGGCTAAATTCTATTTGCCCTTCATCCATCTAAGTATTGCTTCCTCAGAGAAGCTTTCCCTTAACTCCGTGGTCTAAATCTGGAGCCACAGTTGACATTTCTTATTGACACAAATACTTTATCACAAATTATGCATTTATTGTGCAGCTAGTTTTCAATATGCTTTCTCCCTGTTTGGACTATCAATTTCACTAGGTACATTCTATGTTTATTTTGGTCACCATCTTACTCCTATGTTCTAGGACACAAGGGGGACACAATAAACACAGCACATGTTATGCGGGGCAGGGCATTCCTTGCTGCTCTTGTTCACTCAGGTTGGGAGAAATCAGCTTGACAGATTCAGCGGCAACCAGCAGCAGACAGCTCTTTCCTCATGTTTAGTTATTTCGCTTTTACTTCGCACAGCCAAGTTTCTTAGAAACTTCTCTGTCTCTCCCTCCTAATCCCCTTCATTCCAACTTACTGCCATTCCAGCACATTGGGAATGAGTGTGTCATAACTACCAATGCCTAAGCCCTATGGAACTTTCCAGTCCTCACCCTACTTGGCCTCTTGACAGCATTTGGCATTACTGGTCAAGTCTTCTTTTTTGAGACGTTCACTTTACTTGGCTACTGTGACATATGTCTCCTCTGTCCTCCTACCTCTGTGACTATTTGGTCTCTTTGCATTAGGGGCTCCTTCTCTATCCCTTCCTGCAATGGCAAGAATAACTCAGAACTCCATATTCAGCCCCTTTCCTTCTTATATATAAATATTGCCTAGGATGAATCATCTGAACCCACAGCTTCACCTATTGTCTGACGTTTCCCAAATTACTTTTACACCTCAGACCTCTCCATGGAAGTTCACATCCATATGTTACCTCTTCACATCTTACTGTCCACCTCAATCCGGATACTCCTCAGGTACCTGAAATTCAACATGGCTTCATCTGAGCTAACCACTTTCCTTCCCCAGTTCTTACTTTCTCCTTTATTGCCTGAATGACATCATCATTTTCTAAGTCACTCAAGTTAGAAATTCAAGACTTTTCTTCCTTCTCATCTCCCAGATTCAAAGACTCAGCAAGCCCTGTTGAATCTACCTCTTAAAAATTGCTTGTATCTGTTTTCTCATCCTCTTTCCTACCATCATTCTATTACTTAAGGTATTTGTAATACTTCACTTGGATCAATGCAATAGCCTTCCTATTGGCTCAGTCCTCATGACTCCTGCCAGATTGTTACAACATTTCTCAATCCCTTTTGAGATAAAGCCCAACCCTTGGTTGCCATACAAGACCCCTTTCCACCTCTCTAACTTCATGCAACCCTGTGCTTCAGCTATAGGGAACTGTCTGCAAGTCTGCCAAAACACCAGGCTGTGAACTACTGTTAGGTCCTGCACTATACATTCTGCTTTTCCTTCCTCTTAATTCCAGCTCTAACCCTTACCCATTCTTCTGAGAAGCTCTGACTGACTTCCCCAGGCAAAGTGAAATACCCTTGCTTTGGGCCACAGTAGTACTTGTTACCTGATCTTGTGTTTGTAGTTTACTTCTCTGTCTCCCCACTAAACTGTAAGCCCCTTGATGGAAGTGGAAGGCTGAGTCTCTCATTTCTGAATTACCAGCCTCTAGCATAGTGCCTGGTACATAACAGATTATAAAACATGCTAGCTGAATAAATAAAGTTAAGTATAAACATGAGGTTTATTTTTGTGGGTGAGCTCAGAAGCATTGGGTATGACAGCATCCCTTTCAATATATTAAATATATAAAATACAATATTCTTTTGGTATGTATCTGCCAAGTGATTTTTTGTAGAAATCTACAGAAAGAGTGAAACAATTCTTTCATACAAACCAAAGGCTAGCAATCACATGACAGTATGGAATATTGTGTTTTTATTAAAATATCTAATCTAAGAGATATAAATTCTAGAGATTAATTTTGAAATCTTCTGTTACTAACCACAAAATTTCCTTAAATGCCGTATGTTCAACCCGTAGAAAACAACAAGGCAGACGCAGGATGTATCCATGAATCTTACAATGCCCTCCAAACACTTGTCAATGGTGAGGCTTAATTTTACTGGAACATGCTTACCTAGCTGATCATTCATGAAAGAACAGCTGCAGCCAAGAAAGACTTTATGTCTTACTCTGAGGTTTTCTTTTCCAAAAAGGAGCTAGCTATCTCATTAACACACCTTCACATCATGCAAAGGTCCACAATGTCTTTGAATTTCCCACATGGAGAAACTGTGGCATTTAAATTTGATGGTTATGGTCAAGGAATGAGTTCAGACATTGTTCTTGTTTTTGCAAACTTTCTTCTGAGGACCAACTGAGGTTATATCAGAGGCATTTCTTCAGAGAGTCTAGCCATGAAGCAGTTACAGTTTTATTCATTTGCTCTGGGTGGTGGTTCTTCTTAAACCCTGAGTCTACTATGTTATCTGCTGTGGTAACCAGCAGGCTGGTGGACAGGCACAGCCCCGCTGGGATATTGGAACCATTGGAACCACACAGACAGCACAGGCTGAGCCATGCCCACCCTGCACAACATCGCCTGCACACTCTGCTCCTGATAGGGCCACCACTTAGGGCCTGATACATGTAAACACTTGGAAGCATGAGAAGTGTTCGCTTTGTAACAGAAAAAAAATCCCGATATTTCTCAGGATGCATAATGCCCAGAAATAGGCCAAGAAGAGCTCAGGGCAAGCCAACTATGTCTAAAAACTGAACTGGCCTCAGGAGGTAAACTCACCCCAGGTTTTGCTTATTAAATCATTCACAACTAATGGGATAGCTCCTGCAGAAGTTAGATGTAGGTGTGAGGGAAGTCAGTAAAGAATTTGAGTTCTTATCCAAATTTCAAACTACTCTGACCCTTACCCAACTCCTATGCTTTACTTGGAGGATGAAAATAATAGCACTTGTAGGACTGATTGCTAATAACAGGCTGCATAATAGATTACAAAGGGGTTTTGTATCAGCTAAACTACTAACTCTCACAGGCTCACATTGAAGCACAAAAAGGTATGTCTCAACTTCTCTCCCATTTCATTAAACAAACGTGTGTGTGTATAGGTATGTATATATATCATTCACACACACACACACACACACACACACACACACACACACACACACACATCCTGGGGTTAACTCCTTAGCCAATCAAGAATGCAACCTTAGCAGTATAAAAAACACCCTTTTCCCATGTATTTTTAGTTAACAACCACAACAAAATAGGGCAAGTCTAGCAAAGAGCCATCTGGTTCTTTGTTACACTTTCTGAAAGGCAGCAGTGTAGAATAAGCGCCAGCCCCACACCAGCCACAGCGGCCTCCTTGCTTTTCCTTGAGAAGACCCAGCCCAGGGCCTTTGCATTTGCTCTTCCTTCTGCCCAAACTTCCTCTCTCCAGGTATCCATATGGTTTGCTCTTTCTCTTTCTTCAGGCTCTGCCTATCAATAAGATGTTCCCTGACCACCCAATATAAGGCGAAATTTCCTTCCCCTGTCACTGTGACTTTCTTCTGTTTCTATATTTTATTCAAAGCATATTTCACTCTCTGAATAATACATATTTACATGGTCTTAGTCTCCCGCCCTCCCCCACCAGAATATAAGATCTGCGAGGGAAGGAGCTGTGTCTATTTTATTCACAGCTGTAATTTTAGCACCCAGAACAATGCCTAGCATGTGATAGGTGTTTAAGGAATATTCAATAAATAAATAAATAAATAAATAAATAAATAAATTTTGTTGCGATTTAACTTATTCTGTGTTATACAAAAATGTGTCAAATTAGCAAGTAAATTAACGTCAAATAATGTCTACATTAGCAAATGCTTACAACAGTACCGCTCTGCTGATGAACCTTGACAAGCTATGGTCCATGCTAAATTAAAGGTCAAGTTTGACTGCCTCTGAAAACATTTCATTTTCTCCACTGCTCTGGATGGGTAACCCTGTGATGACCAAGGGTGATGTGCCTGCTGGATGATTCCAATCCCCAGTTCTCTAAATTTGATTAAACTCTCCCTACTCCAACTAAAAAGAGAATCAGCTCAGTGGACTGGCAGCTGAGAGATCTGGAGTGCCTCTTACCCAAACACTGCGTTCGATGGCCAAACACAAACGTGGGAACTGTCTATGTGGGAGACCAGTAGAGCCAGGGCAGCAAGTACAGAATTGGCCATTAAAGCCAAGGATGCCCAAGGTAAGGAGAAAGAGGGCATCACAGAACTGGCCTGGGTAGGTTCTGGCCTTGGACTCACACTTTCCAGGTGATTGGAGTGGGCCTACATGGGCAGGTTAGATCCATGTGAAAGGAGCTGATGAACATCACCTTGGATCCTCGGCCCTGCAAAACGTAGGCATTCTGGTTTGTAAGTGACGTTCTTTCTGGTTAGATTGAGAACAACTTCTATTTCCCCACATTATGAGTGAAATACTTTAAATGAATTTGACCTTTTAAAAATCATCAGGCAGACAACTTGAAAGGCCTTTTGTGATCAATGTGGTACAGCCAGAGGAACATTTAAGACTCAGCTGGTGAAATAGAAAACTTAGCAGTGGGCAGCATTAATCTTGTTAATATTTCCAATAAGAGTCTCACTTTATATATGCTGGCTAGATCTTTATCTATGTGTAGCTAATGGATATTACTGTTAGCTCTAGGACAACAATGGTACTGTTCTGTCCCGTTAGGTATTTTTATTGATGACTGGGATAAAGCCAGAGGTGTCATATTTATCACATTTAGGAATAAAGTGAAGGATGAGGGCACTAAAAATAACAAATAACAGCCAGGATCTCTTCTATAAATGGTTGGGGTAGGGTGGAATAATAGGCCAGATATATTAAAAATAATGTTTTATTTCAGGGTAAATGCCAAAATGCATACCCCACCAAAAAAAAAAAACTATCAAGAGTAGGATGTCTCTTCTACTATTTATCTGTTCATTCACTTTATAGTACATCTTACAATTTGTAATTATATATTTGTTTGCTCATTTGTTCACTGACAGCCTTCACTAATGTATGTTAAGTTCCAAGAGACAGGGACAATGTCTACTTGGTTCCCTGCTGTATCCCCAGTGTGACTAGATAAAAGAATAAATTATGCAAAGGATAGGAGAAGACAAGCCTAAAAAAACAAGCTGTGTAGAGACTTGGGATTTCTCATAGACTGCAAGCTCAACATCAGTCAACCATGCTGGGACTATCAAAGGTAAACTAGATGTCTAGAACATGGGATGGGACCATCTTGCCTGGTTATATTCATGGAATTATCCTCCCACTTCTGTGGGTTCCAAAAGACAAGGGTTATGTGTTAGGGGCTGACTTGTGCCCCCCAAATCCATATGTTGAAGTCCTAACCCTCTGTACTCAGAATGTGACTGTATTTGGAGACAGGGCTTTTAAAGTAACAACTAAGATAAAACAAGGTCATTAGGGTGGACCCAATCCAATATGACTAGTGTCCTTTTAAGATGATTAGCGGCCAGGTGTGGTGGCTCACTCCTGTAAATCCCAGCACTTTGGGAGGCTGAAGCAGGTGGATCAACTGAGGTCAGGAGTTCGAGACCAGCCTGGCCAACATGGTGAAACTCATGGGTCCCTGTAATCCCAGCTATTTGGGAGGCTGAGGCAGGAGAATGGCTTGAACCTAGGAGGAGGAGGCTGTAGTGAGCCAAGATTGCACCACTCCACTCCAGCCTGGGTGACAGCGCAAGACTCAGTCTCAAACAAACAAACAAACAAACAAAGGAAAGAAGATTATCACACACATACAAAGAGCATGGGAGGACACAGGGAGAAGACGGCAATCTATAAGGCAAGGAGAGAGGCCTCAGAAAGAACCAACCCTGCCAGCACCTTGATCTGGGACTTCTAGCCTTCAGAAATGTGAGAAAACAAATGTGTGTTGTTTAGCCAAACAGCCTGCGGTACCTTGTTATGGTGGCCCTAGCAAACTAATACATAGGAACAACTGTTTCACCAACCAGGAGCGTACATTGAAAACCAGGTGACTCGAGAGGGCAACAAATACTTTCTTCAAACACCTAAACAATCATTATGTGTAAGGAAATATAAGGAAAAGCTTTCTAACAAAATAACACATCTGAAAATGGAATGAACTTGATATATAATTTACTTATTTATTGAATGTATTGTTTACTGTCTGACTCTTCTGGGTAGGTGTAAGCTCTACCAGATCAGACACAGTAAACAGGTGTTCGGTAAATATGTTGAGTGGATCAATTTCCTCTGGAAGTAATGATTTTCCTGTCATGGGAGGTATTTAAGCAGAAGCTGAACACATCTGCCATGAGGATGTTATTGAGAAGCTGCATGCACAGGGCACATGGTTAGGCTACTTCAAGGTCCTTTTTCAATGTTGAAATTTTCTTAATCTGGTTTTACTTTTACTTATGAATCAAATATAGGTATTCCTCACAGAAAAGGTCTACATGTTCATAGAACATGTTCACAGACCTCAGAGAAAAGGTCTAAATTTGTTCTCATCTAAAGATTCTATCAAAGTTATCAGGGCCATACACTTATATTTTGCATTTTCCCAAGCTTAATGTGTTATCCATCCATTGTACCTTCTAACACCTGAGAAAAAATAAATTTTAAGTAAAATTGACTACATATATTGTTTTCTTAAAGCCAACCCATTTCAGTTTATTTATTTATTTTTTTAAAGGAGATAGATGTTTCTTCTGGTTCCATTTCTATTTCTTAGGTCTGTTTAATTTACAGCATGAGCTCCAAGAGCTGAAGACTGTGGAGTCTTAATAAATGTCTAAGATGAATAATTAATAATCTTAAAAATTATCATCATCTTCCTATACTCCCGAGAGCAGTGGCAGATGGTGAATTCTGGCTGTGCCTAATTCTAGCTGTGCCTGTGGCTGCCCATATATCTTTCAATAAGCCAGCATTCAAAGAACAGAATGAAACTCACAGGAATCTCATGAATTCTGCTGTTGTTATTCCAAAGGTTCTTTTGGCAGAGACCCTGAGCCAGCAGATGAGCTGTATACTTTGTCACAGCAATTCAGTTAAAAAAAAAAAAAAAATCACCAGACGACCTCACAGCAGTTTAAAAAAAAAATAGGCCTGTCCTTGAATACGAAAGAGTAAGAAAGACAGGACACCCTCCAACTTCCACTCCAATGAAGAAGATGAGTTCCAATGTTAATGTTAAGATTTTAGGTTTTTCACATAGCTCTGAAATACTGAGGATTACAATGTTCAGGTAATTAAAGAGCACAAACGTTTTTGGTAAATACAATTTCTGTTTCATAATTCACTTTGGCAGATGTTTAACATTTGCCTGCTCCTGCAAACTTTATTTTCAACTTGCTAAAATTCTGCCATGTGCCAAGAGCGATACTACATATGGGTCTATTATGGCAACTTCTGCAACCCAACATATGTCTACATTTGCAGTACCTTTGTTCATATTAGTTGTGCCTCCAAAATATTTATTGTCACTCTAAATAGAACCAAAGAAACTATTAACATTGGTTGACAACTAGATTTGGAAACTTGGCTATGAAATAGATTATAATAAATCAAACATGTTTATAATTCCGGAAAGAAGTGATCAATAGTAAAAGGCAAACTGTGTTGAATAAATCCTAATCGTCAAATTTCCCACCCAACTTCCACAGCCTGCACTGTGAGCATGAAGGCATTGGGAAAAATGCATTGCAAACAAAGTGGAGTTGCTAGGAACAGGGTTATCTGTTTCATCTTTACCTTCGTCATTGGGCAGTCAGCTCTAGGCAGGGCTGGTACTACACAAAATGTTACTTGAGGCTCTGGGTCTCAAGCAACGTTCATTATTCTGTCCAGTGATTTCTGAACTGTTATATATATCATTTTTATTTTTATTTATTTATTTATTTATTTATTTTTGAGACAGAGTCTCGCTCTTTCACCCAGGCTGGAGTGCAGAGGCATGATCATAGCTCACTGCAGTCTCAACCTCCTGGGCTCAAGCAATCCTCCCATCTCAGTCTCCCAACTAGCTGGGACTACAGGCATGTGCCACCATGCCTGGCTAATTTTTTTTCAAAAATTTTTTGTGGCAACCATGTCTCGCTATGTTGACCAGGCTGGTCTCAAACTTCTGGCCTTGAGTGATCGTCCCGCCTCAGCCTCCCAAAATGCTGGAATTACAGGCATGAGTCACTGCACCCAGCCATAAATCATTTTTAGAGGGGGATTTGAAGGAAGGGGTTATCCTGCACATTGCAAAGGATTGAAGCAACACTAGCATGGCGAAACCACACCTGATTCGGATTCAGAGGATCTATGGTCAAGTCCAATCTCACTGATGAACCGGCTGGAAACTCTGAGCATGTCACTTAAGTTCCCTATACTTCAGTTCTTGCTCATATAAACATAAGAACATTAATAATACATACCACTTAGGACTGTAGTAAAGATAGAGACAGTATAAATGTGTAGCATGTAGGCATCATAATTATAACATCCTTATACTAATGATAGTGTTTATTGCATGATTGCTAGGTATCAGCAGTCACTGTGCTGAGTACCTTTCATGCATTATCTCACTTAATCCTCATAATTTTACGAGTATTTTATCTCTATTTTATAGATGAAGAAACTGAATTTAGAGAATCCAAGGTCACTCATAATACATACTTGCCTGATATGATGTAATTTTTATGAGCTTTAATGGTTCTATGACTCAACACAAATTGTACCTACTCTTAAAGAAGTTAAATATCTTATTTTAATCCAATAAGGGACCTAACATCCATTAAGTGCCTTCTTTGTGCCACACAATAGGCTGTTATGACACTTAATCCACAGACCTGTAGTGTGTTTATGGGTAAGGTATTACCTCCATTTTAAAGATGGGAAGACTGAAGTGAATTGTAGTAAAGTTATTGCCCTAGGTGGCACAGCTATAAGTGACTCCTGATTCCAATTCAAGCTTAGCTCTCCATGTGGCCTTCCTTTAACTCCATATTCTCATCTATTCTAACTTTAGTTAACTGAATGAAGGCAATAAAAAATCATAAAATATAATAGTAAAATGATACAGTAAAAAAAGATAACATTTTCTCTTATCTAAATCTTGCTTTTTGATACTTGCATGACTACTAAGCATTCAATCCAAAATCTGGCCGTGAACATTTTATTTTTACTGACACAAATAAGTAAAATAAAAAACAAACCTCTGAAGAGAATAGTTTTTTAAAAAGGTATAACATAAGATTAACATCAGATCTTTTAAAGTTAATTTTGGCCAAAACAAAATAATCTTTGAGTCTGGCCCTCACTCTGCCAACCAACTTTCCTTACATTTTTCCCCAATAGCCATACTCTTCCTCCTCCAACCCACCATCATCCCTGGCCACTGCTCTGCTGCCTGTCTTCCACACCTATCATGTTAACTGCCACCTCTAAACCTTTGTTACATTTTTCTCCCTTTGCTGAGGATGTGGTCCTCTTCACCAGTTCAAATTCCACCCATCACTTAAGATGAGCTCAAGTCCTATCATTCCATGAGCTTTCTGACTATCCTGATTACTCATTATAATCCCTTCCTTGGACTCTTACTGTATCTATCAACATCACTATTCCACATGGCACTTAGTCATTAGCTTTAATGGTTCTAGATGTTAGTCCATCACTCCAAATGGATGACAACACCCCAGGGGATGGAGACTGTCTTTATTGTTTCTCTCTGCCCTATTGTACCAAGAAGCTCCCAATAGTTTTGTAACAATGGAAAAGCATAATTTTCTTTAAAGGAGAAAAAAACACACAGTCTGTAAATGCTGCTAGCATCTCTTTTGTTACATGTTATTTTTAAATGATATCAATAAAAATTTCAACACACAAAGAAAGATAACCTGCTCCAACTAGGCATAGATCACTAGCTATGTTCTAGGTTTGTACAATCCAGCATTTAATAGCTTAACAGTAATATTTTAACAATGAAGTCTGATAACAGTGGTATGTATTACTAATTAAAATATCAGTTCCTTTGAAAATAGAGGAGATTGTTCACGAGCTTTTATTTATTCAACAGACCAATCACCAATATATTGCCTGACACTCTGTTAGATCCCCTTGACACAGTAAGATACACCTTGGCCCTTGATAGGCTTATGATCTAGTAGCAAGACAAATGATGATCATTCAATATGAAGGTGGCTATAACATAGATTTCTACAATAATTATACTCTTTAATAAAGCAAAATCACACTCATTACAAAGCAGCCTCAATGTTCTATAATAGTGTTTCTCACTGTGTAGGCTTTTTCAAAATTTGTGGGGTGGTTTTGTCATCCTAGTGATGGGGGAGGGTGCTACTGACATTCCATGAGCAGAAGGCAGAAACTGCTTGATGCCCTGCAAAGTGTGGCGCTCTCCTGCACAATGAAAAATTGTCCCACATCTCACCTGACTTTCAAATACTCCTCCTTGTCATCCTTGGAGATAAAAAACTTACAATGATCTAAGTCTGGAAGCTATCTGTTTTACATATAAAGAAAATATTTTTGCCCAAGTTTAATGTCTTTAATATTTTCAAGGCATGCATTAGCATGTAAGTTGAGGAAAAACTGTACTTGGTTGTGTTTGAAGCTTTAACAGCAACTGACCATCAATTTGGGAAATTATAACACCTGGGAAATTATACAGGGGAAATTATATAGGGCATCACCTGGCCCACACCTGGCCCATACCTGTGACAGTCCACCTGGGGCTGAGGAGGCGGTGCATCCATGGTGGCTGTGTGAGAGGTACACACATCCTACTATCTCAGCATGCCTCCCATGTAATCGTGTCAGAGTACTGATGGGTTGAAATTCAGAGTAGTTTACTGTGGATTACTGTTCTTACCTTTCTCTTGTATCCTAAAGATAGGGATTTAAATACATATATATTTTTAAAAGTTATATGTATAGGTGAGTTGTATTATCTTTGAATTCCACTTCAAGACAGTAAATGAGGCATGCCTAAATGTTACAAAAAAAGGAAGTAGGTCTAATAGGCTGAAAATATTTAGCTCTAGGCTCTTCAAAGAAATCTAAAGACAAAGTTCCTAAAGAAGCTGTTATAGTCAGCTTGAGAGGGATGAAAAAATTCAATCAGGAGAGGAGTCAGGGAATAAGAAGACATGACAATTTATACTATGAAGACATATTTATTAAACAATAGGAACCCAAACAGGCTTAAAATATATATTTGCCTTCAAGAGTTTGCAACACAACTCTTGAAGGCAAATATAGAACTGAATATGCAAATATTATATGTAGTTTCTTGCAAACTAAAAGTAATCTGACACTAAAACCCTGAATTTAATAGAGAAGGTATTCCCATTTCATTTAATTCTCAGGGGACAACTCTGATGGGCCACCAGGCAGATTGCAAGAACAAGGCAGTAACATTTAAGAAACAGATTAACTGAGGCAGAAAGGCGCTAAGGGGATAACTGAATTGATTCATCATATCAATATCAAAATTAAAATCATATTAATATATACTCAGTAAATAACTATAATGTTGATTCATTTTGGGTGCTTCCACAATTCTATTTTAAAACAATTTTACAATAAGAATACATAAAAATCCCAAGCATTTGAAAGGGAAACTGTTTGTTTTAAATAAAGGCTCTGCACATTTGTTATTTTGAGGTACATCACCTTGGACTTCAGGATCAATATATGATGTTAGCATAGGGAAGTTTAAGCAAGAATTGAGCCACATTGAAACTCATGGCACTTTAGTAAGACTAAATAAAAACACACTGGCTAGGCTATAAAATCTGACAAATTAATAATCTGAACAAAAACTACAGCTCAAAAAATTATTTTATTGGGAAGGAAAACACTAACCCACAAAAATGGTTCTTTTGGTGTATCACCAGCTAAAAGACTTTTGTTCACAAATATTATTTTGTACACAATATTAACCCTATTTGTAGAATATAACATGTCTGTTTCTTAAGAGACTAATACAATTTTGATTCCTTCCTCGGGGAAAAAAAGATGTGACTGAGTTAGAGAGGTGATCCATCCTTTGGTTGTCATTTTTTATCTCTTTACTGCATAGGTTTGGGTTGCTTCAGGAGTGGGAGCATCCTGGCCTGAAGTGACACTGGATTCTTCTTGCTGCTGCTGAGTGGAGCCACTCAGCAACCTCAATCTATGCAACTAGGCCACTCTGTCCTGGACCTGCCATGACACTCACGGACTTTTAGGCAATGCAATTTGATTTACTGTGTTCTTAAAGTGTTATTATAACTGAACCATGTAACCTACATTCTTGAACATTCTGGAAGAAAAAGTGGCCTACAAGGGAGAGCTTATTATTATGCCCAGATAAGGTAATCATAAAAGCCAGGAAGCATGTTTCCTCCTGACTTCTGCTCTTAAAATAATCTCTTTTACATGATCAAGAATTTATCTCAAAACGTTCCCATATACTAGGCTGAATAAGGATGTCAGCGCAGCCCTAGTAGAGATTCCCAACTAAATTCTATCTTAGTGCCAAGCAAGAAAGCTCTCTAGGATTGTTTTTAACGGTGTACTTTCCCCCTCCTCCACAGGAAACACAAAACTGGGAAAATATCTGTCAGGAAGCAAAATAGAATCTAGATATTTTTAAAAGAATCTAAAAGTAATTCTTTTTTTGAAAGCCCCAACCATGGCAAGGAAAGAAAAGTAATTCTTTTTCAGAACAGGACAATGTAATTTCAAGGAAAAATATAATTTAGGTCTCATTTTTTATTAAAGTGGAATTATAAGGTATAATTACACTGACAATAACATCTGGTATGAGGTATTGCATTATAGTTTAACAAGCACATGACTATATATTGTCTCATTTAAGATTCATAATACCCCACTGGAGTTCTAAGCAGCGAAAAAATTGGACCCATTCCACCAATTAAGAAACTGAGGCTTTGAAAAACCAGTTCTGCCACCGAAATGGGCAGGAGAAGGCAGATATCAAGGTGAAGGTTCATCTCGTACAAGTGAAGGGCCAATGACTACCCTTTCAGAGTGCTAGCCTGTGACATGCTCCCATCATACCGTCAAAGGCACATGGGGGCTCCAGGCACAAACTCAGGTGAGCACACGCTTCCTGAGAGGTATAGTAGTGAGAGGCACCAGAGTACAGGGCCTGGAGCCTGGACCCCAGGTGGGAATCCTGCTAGGCTACAGCCTTGCCATGTGACTGGGAAGGTTACTGCACCCTCTGAGCCTCAACTTTCTCTTTTTTTTACTTTTATTTTAGGTTCGGGGGTACACGTGGAGGTTTGTTATACAGGTAAACTCATGTCACGAGGGTTTGTTGTACGGATTATTTCATCACCCAGGAATTAAGCCCAGTACCCAGTAGTTATATTTTCTGCTCCTCTCCCTCCTCCCACCCTCTGCCGTCAAGTAGACACCAGTGTCTGTAGTTTCCTTCTTTGTGTTCATAAATTCTCATCATTAGCTCCTGCTTATAAGTAAGAAAATACAGTATTTGGTTTTCTGTTCCTGCGTTAGTTTGCTGAGAATAAGAGCCTCCAGCTCCATCCATGTTCCCATGAAAGACATGATCTCAGTTTTTTTATGGCTGCACAGTATTCCATGGAGTATATGAAATACTATGCATTTTCTTTTATCTTCATCATTTTCTTGTCTTTTCATCTTTATCATTCTCTTTATCCCATCTGTCATTGATGGGCATTTAGGTTGATTCCATGTCTTTGCTATGTGAATAGTGCTGCAGTGAACATGCGTGTGCATGTGTCCTTATGGCAGAATGATTTATATTCCTCTGGGTATATACCCAGTCATGGGATTGTTGGGTTGAATGGTAGTTCTGCTTTTAGCTCTTTGAGGATTGCCATACTGCTTTCCAGGGGCTCACCTTTCTATAAAGTGGGGTATAGCAATAATATCTATGTCAGTGGGTCAATGTCGTGGTTATAAAGCACACAGTAAAAACTCAAAAATGCCAAAGATTACTGTTATACCTTTGCAAGTACCAGAAAGCTCTTTCATTACCAAATTTATTTCTAATATAAAAAATAAAATGACTCAGGCCTGTCATGGCTGAGCAGAAACAAGGATTTCTGGGGAAATGGTCTGATTATAAATTAGATTAAGAAGGGACAGGTGCATGCACAGATGATGGGGTTTTACACTACTTTATGCATTTACGTTCTGGACACAGGCCGAGAGTTACTGGCAAAGGGAAATCAGTGTTTGCTCAAGGAACAAGTCTCTACCATAGAGCAAGCCAGCAGAGAGAAAGGCCTGGGGTCTGAGGGGTAGTCACAGATCCTGGCTTCTCTTGCATCACTGAGGCATGCCTGCAACGGACATCTTCCTCAGCCCTTGACACATTGATTTAGTGAATGCATTAGATACTTGGGCAGATTTAAACAAACAAAAAAAATTTTCTGCTATTTCTTCATATTCTAATGCCCTTTTTGAGATCCCAGCTTCTGAGAATAACTCTCAAGACCAACTTTCTCATAAACCGTGGTTAAAAAAAATCATTTCACTTATAATTTACCTTTTGCATTTTTTGTGTGTTCTTAAAAAAAATCTGAAACATCCCATCTAACATTACGTTGTTGAAACTTTGGTGATTTCTGTATAGAGATTATATGAGTTAAAAAATAAACTTTTAAAGTTTAAAAAAGTTTAAATAAAAATAAACTTTTAAACTTGTGTAGTCCATATTTTCTTCAGTGGCATTGGTTATAAGGCTATTGGCAGTTACTTCTACAGAATTTAGGTAATTAGAGTCTAGTGCTAAAAAAGTACACATGTGGCCGGGCCCAGTGGCTCACACCTGTAATCCCAGCACTTTGGGAAATCGAGGTGGGCAGATCACTTGAGGTCAGGAGTTCAAGACCAGCCTGACCAACATGGTGAAACCCCATCTCTACTAAAAATACAAAAATGAGCCAGGTGTGGTGGTGGGCGCCTGTAATCCCAGCTACTTAGGAGGCTGAGGCATGAGAATCACTTGAACCTGGGAGGCGGAGGTTGCAGTGAGCCGAGATTGCACCATTGCACTCCAGCCTGGGCGACAGAGTAAGACTCTGTCTCAAAAAAGAAAAAAAAAAAAGCACACATGAACATGTATTCCCTCACATTGGAGCTCACTTCACCACCACAGATAATAAGCATAAATTTAGAGTTGTCTCTTTTAAGTCTGTGTCCTACATCCTGCAGGAGAGCTCTCTATGGCAAGGGTTGTCTTTTGCAAGTCATTTATATTCTAGTAGCACCAGCGGTAGTTCTGCACTCAAACCTCCTGCAGTGGCTCTTCCCCCTCATGCCAAGTTCATGACTGTATCTAGAGTTCATGTGTTTGCCCCAGTGAGGAACACTAGCCATGGTCCAGGTCCTGAGAGCCAAGCCTCACAGAATCCTTGGCAACAAAGAATTCCACCACTACCCCTTGGACCCTAAAAGTGGCTGTGATGTCAATGTCAGCATTTTGGTTTTCTCTTTGGCTCATGCCATCCACCCCAGTTCTCGAGGGCACCAAAATACACTGCTGAGGCTGGCAGGGCAAGCAAGCACTTCACTTCCCAGCCAGAACAACCAGGCCATGGGAGGTGACAAAACCATCACAGGCCCCTGTCACCACCACCTGCCTACACTGATGATAAGCCCCTTCCAAAGCTAATCGGTTGCTCACTCTTTTGGAAGAGTTGAATTCCTCCAGATTGCTCCAGGCTTGCAAATCTCCCAGGGGTTGTACAATGCACAGGTCTCAAGTCCCAAGCAGCTCCCAGCCTCAGGGAGCTTTATTTTCTCTCCAGCTGGGTAGGTGACACCTAGTGGTAGCAATTAATAAAACTCCCCAAAGGAGAGGATGTTTGAGGTCACTGACCAGTGGTGGAGGTGAATTTCAAACTCCAGTTCTATGAATCTGTGCTCATTCCAGCCCTTCACTCTGTCTATAAGAGATATGATCCCTAAAGGGCTTTATATTTGCAATGCATTTTCTTATACATGATATTCTAGGCATCTAACAATAATCCTAAGAGGTGACAGTTATTACACAATAACATTATTGTGTAATATTGTGTAATAACATATTATGAAAAAATCTCCTTGATTCTTTCACTTTCTCTCTTTTTTTTTTTTGAGACCCTGTCTCTTCTTTTTTTTTTTTTTTTATTGATCATTCTTGGGTGTTTCTCGCAGAGGGGGATTTGGCAGGGTCATAGGACAATAGTGGAGGGAAGGTCAGCAGATTAACAAGTGAACAAAGGTCTCTGGTTTTCCTAGGCAGAGGACCCTGCGGCCTTCCGCAGTGTTTGTGTCCCTGGGTACTTGAGATTAGGGAGTGGTGATGACTCTTAACGAGCATGCTGCCTTCAAGCATCTGTTTAACAAAGCACATCTTGCACCGCCCTTAATCCGTTTAACCCTGAGTGGACACAGCACATGTTTCAGAGAGCACAGGGTTGGGGGTAAGGCCACAGATCAACAGGATCCCAAGGCAGAAGAATTTTTCTTAGTACAGAACAAAACGAAAAGTTTCCCATGTCTACTTCTTTCTACACAGACAGGGCAACCATCCGATTTCTCAATCTTTTCCCCACCTTTCCCCCCTTTCTATTCCACAAAACCGCCATTGCCATCCTGGCCCGTTCTCAATGAGCTGTTGGGTACACCTCCCAGACGGGGTGGTGGCCGGGCAGAGGGGCTCCTCACTTCCCAGAAGGGGTGGCCGGGCAGAGGCGCCCCTCACCTCCCGGACGGGGCGGCTGGCCGGGCGGGAGGCTGACCCCCCCACCTCCCTCCCGGACCGGGCGGCTGGCCGGGCGGGGGGCTGACCCCCCCACCTCCCTCCCGGACCGGGCGGCTGGCCGGGCGGGGGGCTGACCCCCCCACCTCCCTCCCGGACGGGGTGGCTGCTGGGCGGAGACGCTCCTCACTTCCCAGACGGGGTGGCTGCCGGGCGGAGAGGCTCCTCACTTCCCAGTAGGGGCGGCCGGGCAGAGGCGCCCCTCGCCTCCCGGATGGGGCGGCTGGCCGGGCGGGGGGCTGACCCCCCCACCTCCCTCCCGAACGGGGTGGCTGCCGGGCGGAGGGGCTCCTCACTTCTCAGACGGGGCGGTTGCCAGGCAGAGGGTCTCCTCACTTCTCAGACGGGGCGGCCGGGCAGAGACGCTCTTCACCTCCCAGATGGGGTCGAGGCCGGGCAGAGGCGCTCCTCACATCCCAGACGGGGCGGCGGGGCAGAGGCGCTCCCCACATCTCAGACGATGATGGGCGGCCGGGCAGAGACGCTCCTCACTTCCTAGATGTGATGGCGGCCGGGAAGAGGCGCTCCTCACTTCCTAGATGGGATGGCGGCCGTGCAGAGATGCTCCTCACTTCCCAGACGGGGTGGCGGCTGGGCAGAGGCTGCAATCTCGGCACTTTGGGAGGCCGAGGCAGGCGGCTGGGAGGTGGAGGTTGTAGCGAGCCGAGATCACGCCACTGCACTCCAGCCTGGGCACCATTGAGCACTGAGTGAACCAGACTCCGTCTGCAATCCCAGCACCTCGGGAGGCCGAGGCTGGCGGATCACTTGTGGTTAGGAGCTGGAGACCAGCCCGGCCAACACAGCGAAACCCCATCTCCACCAAAAAAATACGAAAACCAGTCAGGCGTGGCGGCACGCGCCTGTAATCGCAGGCACTCAGCAGGCTGAGGCAGGAGAATCAGGCAGGGAGGTTGCAGTGAGCCGAGATGGCAGCAGTACAGTCCAGCTTCGGCTCGGCATCAGAGGGAGACTGGGGAGAGGGAGACTGGAGAGGGAGAGGGAGACGGGAGAGGGGGAGGGGGAGGAGGAGGGGGAGGGGGAGGGGGAGAGGGAGAGGGAGAGGGACTTTCTCTTGATAAGAAATGATGCAGTAGGCAGAAATTATAAAGCTGCTCCCCAAACATGTCCTGCTCTAATCCCTGGAATATGATGAAATATCATCCCAGGATCATTTTAGACAGCAGAAATGATCTTAAAATACGGAGAGTGTCCAGGTGGGTGTCATCTAATCACATAAGCCCTTAAAGGTAGAGAGCTTTCTCTGGTTGGTGGCAGAAGAAGGAAACAGAGGGACCTGAAGCATTAGGGTCACTGCTGGCTTAAAGGTGGAGGGGCCACATGGAAGAAAGGCAGGCAGCCCCAGGAGCTGTCCTATGACTGAATATTTGTGTCCCTCCTCTCCTAATTTATATGTTGAAACCCTAACCTCCAATGTGATGATATTGTCAGATGGAGCCTTTGGGAGGCAATTAGGGTAGGATGAGGTCATGAGTTTGGGATACTGGTTTGGTGGGATTAGTTCCCTTAGAAGAGATACCAGACAGCTCTCTTGCTCCCCCAACCCCTCCAATGTGAGGACACAGCCAGAAGGCATCTATAAGCCAGAAGAGCATCCTCATGATAATGTGACCATGCAGGCACCTTGATCATAGACTTCCAGTCTCCAGAACTGTGAAAAAATAAATGCCTGTTGTTTAAACCAGCCTGTGGTATTTTGTTATGGCACTTGAGCACACTAAGACAAGCTGACAGCCAACAAAGAAAGAGGGACCTCAGTCCCACAACTGTAAGGATATGGATTCCTCCAACACCCTGAAAGAGTCTGGAAATGGATTCTTCCCCGTAGCCTCCAGGTAAAAGCCCATCTGGATCAAAACCTTCATTTTGGCCTTGTGGGACCTTGAGCAGAGGATCAAGTTTTAACCCATGCCTGGGTTCCTGATCCAAAGAAAACTGAGATAACAAGTGGATGTTGTTTTAAGTGGCTAAATTAGTGGTGATTTGTCACCAATAATAGAAAACGAAAGCCCCAGAATCAGGACTCCATCCTTTCAAACACACGCGCATACGCGCACGCACACACACACAGGCACACACCCCATCCTATCCTGGTACTAAAGGGCTACTCTGAGCTAGTTATCACATTTCCCTCCTTTCTGGTTATTCCAGTGGCCACTCACCTACTTCCTGCTCTCATTATCTTTATCTGCATTCTTATCTGGCTTCCCTCCTTCAGTCTCCCCACCCTTTTCTCTAATCCTAGGCAATGCTGCCAGATTCCATTTCTTAACATAGTTCCAAACACCATTCTCTGGAACAGTGCTGCTAAGAATAAAGTTTTCACCAGTCCAGGGTATTAAGAAAAATAAAATAAAATAAGGAAAATGCTGTGAGTTTATATAAATATTATATTTATATATAAATATATATATGTAAAGCTAAATATTTTACATTTGAAGAACTTTTTTTCTAACTTTCCATGGTAAGATGATCTTTTTCTATGAAATGACAATTATGGTTGTAGTAGGCTGCAGCACAAATGGTCACAAATTTGTTCCTGTTTGTGTGTCCCTTTGCAATGTGACGTAGTAGCTCCTTTTGTCAAGAGGAGGAATCTATTTATTTACCTATTGAATCTAGGCTAGCCTGTGTTACTTGCTTTGACAATGCAACATTAGCAAAGGTGAGGTAAGGACTTGAAAAGGGCTTGTGCCCTGAAATTTTCTCTCTTGCCACTGGGAACCCTTGACCATTATGTGAACAAGCCCTGGTTGGCCTCTTGAGATCAGAGACCCTCTGAAGAGAGGCCCCAGCCAACCTGGCTGCCCAAACTGAGGGTCCAAATGTGTGAGTGAGAGTATCTGAACTGTCAGGCTCCAGGTGAGCAGGCCCAGACAGAAGGGCCCACAGGAGGTGGTGCTGCTTTAGGGGTGGTCCCTTACGTAGCAAACTGATACAACATTAGAAGTTGATATGCAGTAAGGTTGTTTTTTTTTTTAATGTTCTTACTTAGAAAACTAAAAAGTGAATAAATTCTTTGTCCATCCTTATACTTTTCTAAACATTTAACTGCTCCAGGATTTTTTTCTTTTTCTTTTTTTTTTTTTTTTTTTTTTGAGATGGAGTCTCACTCTGTCTCCCAGGCTGAAGTGCAGTGGCACGATCTCGGCTCACTGCAACCTCTGTCTCCTGGGTTCAAGTGATTCTCCTGCCTCAGCCTCCTGAGTAGCTGCGATTACAGGTGCGCGCCACCATGCCCGCCTAATTTTTTTATTTTTAGTACAGACGGAGTTTCACCAAGTTGGTTAGGGTGGTCTCGACCTCCTGACCTCATGATCCGCCCACCTTGGCCTCCCAAAGTGCTGGGATTACAGGCGTGAGCCATCACACCCAGCCTTCTTTTTTTTTAAATCCTGGAACTATTGCCTCATGTCTGTCTCACTCCAAAGGCTCTGAAAACTGCTCCACAGAGGAAGATCTGCAGGCCTACTTATAAAGAGACTTTTCTGCTTGATAAACAATAGCTGACCATGGAAGGAAAGCAGAGAAGGATCAGAGCGGATAAAGCTGAGTCTAGGTAGGGGGAAGTCATGGTTGAGGGCAGGAGGGTCCAGGTGAAAAGATCTGTCAAGAACAGCCAGGAACAGTAGGGAAGATTAATTCAGCAAGATTTATCTTTCTTGCTCTTTTCTAGTGAGGACACCTGCTGGCCCTTTGCCTCTGGAACTTCTTTTCTGGGATAATGTTTCAGTCTGTCTCAAAGATTCTACTTACCGCCCCACAGTCACCAGGTCTCCCATCCCTATCCACTTTCCATCTGCTCTTCCAGTGTGAGCATCCCTCAATCCAACATTTAGCAGTTTTGGACACTGCCAAGCCAGAGGTCCAGGGTCCTAAACACTTTATAGAGTGACAGTGGCTTGCACAGTGTGAATATGTATGAAATCAGCCTGAAGCTACCCTCTGAGCGAGGGCAGTGAGGTCACCCTGTTATTGTACAGCGATTATAGAGCTAGCTCAGGTGCACAGGAAGTATATGTTTTAAAAGGAATAACTTAGTTGTTTGCTTAACCATATTTTCCTGATTTTTATTGGATCAAATTTTTCCCCTACTCATTGCCAATTCTACCAAACTTCACCAAATTGGAAACAAAAGATGGAATTGGTAAAAATATGGGGAGGGACTTTGCTTCTGGTAATATGGAGAATAGGTATATAAACTGACCCTCCCATTGGAAACAATTTAGCATTCTGGATAAAATATTTAAAGTATCTTAAATGCACTGATGAATTTTAAGAGAGTAAATAGTTCTTAGGCCTAATACCTGAATGAAAGAACTCAGAGTGAAGTGGAGCACTGCAGCTGACTTTCTCTCTGGGGGCATTTGCTCAACTGCAGGAACTTTAGCTTTGATTGTCAAGACCACACAGTGTGCAGGTAAAAAACCTAGAGATTGCCTCCAGGTGGAGAGTCATCTAATAAAATTTCCTCTCTAGCATAAAGTTAAGACTGCAAAGGGCTACACCCTCGGTGTAAGTAGAAAATGACACCCACCCCCACACTTACAGCAGATTAAAAAAAAAAGAGTTTCAAATCTAGTTGATGAGCAGAGAGAGAAAGAATCATTGCTGATAATTTGGACTCATAAGCCAGTCCTCATGTTAGTTTGGAGCTCAAATTCACGCTACTTAGGTAGTCCAAAGTATCTCAGGTCCCAAATTTGATTTTGAGTGGTTCTTGACTGGTAGTGCCTTTAGGCAGTCCTGCTAGTACAAACAAATGCAAAATGGCTCTGGAGTAATACATCTTTGTCCTAGGCTTAAATAATTCACACACATAAAGTTCCCCTACCCCCCCAAAAAAGAGATATATATATGTAGTTCACACTAAAAAACTAACTAGTTAAACACACATGGAAACAAGGCACCATAAGGAACAATTAGCAGAAACAATAGACTGCAGAAATAGAACCCTCAAGGATTCTGGATAATGGAATTACTACATACAGACTCTAAAATAACTGTACTTACTATGTTTAAAGGAATTAAAAACGGCCAGGTGCGGTGGCTCACGCCTGCAATCCCAGCACTTTTGGGAGGCCAAGGCGAGCAGATCACCTGGGGTCAGGAGCTTGAGACCAACCTGGCCAATATGGTGAAACCCCATCTCTACTAAAAATACAAAAATTAGTTGGGAGTGGTGGCGCATGCCTGTAATCGCAGCTACTTAGGAGGCTGAGGCAGGAGAATTGCTTGAACCCGGGAGGTAGAGGTTGCAGTGAACCCAGATCACACCACTGCATTCCAGCCTGGGCGACAGAGTGAGACTCCGTCTCAAAAAGCAAAAAAAAGAAATTAAAAACAAGTTCGAAAATATGTGCAAGGAACCAGAAATGTTATAAAATATCCAAATATGTTAGGAAAGAAACAAACTTCTAGAAATAAAATTTAACAATTGAAACTAGAAATTAAGTGGACAAATTTAATAACAAATGCAACACAGCTGAAAGAATGAATTGGCGAACTGAAAGCCTATCTGAAGAAATTGTCCAAAATGCACCACAGAGAGAAGAAAAATAAGAATGAGATTAACAGACACAGAAGATAGGGTGAGAAATTCTTAATTATCGTTCCGGAAAACTAAAATTGACATTTGACTTATTGAGAGGTGAAGCCAGCTGGACTTCTGGGTTGGGCAGGGACTTGGAGAACTTTTCTGTCTCACAAGAGGATTGTAAAATGCGCCAATCAGCACTCTGTAGCTAGGATTGTAAAACGCACCAATCAGTGCTCTGTGGCTAGCTAGAGGTTTGTAAAACGCAACAATCAGTGCTCTGTTAAATGCACCAATCAGCACTCTGTGGCTAGCTAGAGGTTTGTAAAATGCACCAATCAGCACTCTGTAGCTAGGATTGTAAAATGCACCAATCAGCGGTCTGTGGCTAGCTAGAGGTTTGTAAAATGGACCAATCAGTGCTCTGTAAAATGGACCAATCAGCACTCTGTAAAATGGACCAATCAGCAGGACATGGGCAGGGACAAATAAGGGAATAAAAGCTGGCCACCCCAACCAGCAACCGGCTCGGGTCCCCTTCCAAGCTGTGGAATTTTTGTTCTTTCATTCTTCACAATAAATCTTGCTGCTGCTCCCTCTTTGCATCTGTGCCACCTTTCAGAGATGTAACACGGACCGCGAAGGTCCGTGGTTTCATTCTTGAAGTCAGCAAGACCAAGAACCCACCAGAAGGAACCAACCCCAGACACATTATTACTTGAAAATTCCCCTAACTATGCCTGTCAATTAAATTGAACTATGAACAGAAAATATTTATTCTGTGAAAGAAATGGAAAAAGAGAAAGATTGACCCTCAGTGTGTAAATGGATACAAAATTTGCTGCTAGGTGTTCTGAGAAGGACCAAACAGAAATACCATGCCTTGAAGGCTCACCATGGTTACAGGATATTTTTTGCTAGAGTACTAGTAGTGGGAATAACAAGAAAAGTGGCTGGGCACGGTGGCTCATGCCTGAAATCCCAGCACTTTGGGAGGCCGAGGCAGGCAGATCACCTGAAGTCAGTCGTTTGAGACCAGCCTGGCCAACATGCCAAAACCCCGTCTCTACTAAAAATGCAAAAATTAGGTGGATGTGGTGGCACGCTCCTGTAATCCCAGCTACTCGGGAGGCTGAAGTGGGAGAACTGCTTGAACCTGGGAGGTGGAGGCTGTAGTGAGATGAGATGGCGCTACTGCACTCCAGCCTGGGTTGACAGAGTGAGGCTCTGTTTCAAAACACACACACACACACACACGAAAAGAGGTTGAAGAATTAGGTCAGATAGACCATCTTAGGCTTGAGGGTTAAAAGAGTGGAAATTACATATGTCAATTCTTAAAGTATCTCCTTAATCACATCTGTTAGGATGGGTACATTAAAAACAAACAAACAAACAAACACATAGAAAAAAGAGGATGTAGAGAAATGTGGACTCTTATGCATTGTTGGTGGGAATGTAAAATGGTGCAGCCACTATGGAAAACAACATGGCAGTAAATATTAAAAACAGAATGACTTAGATGATTCAGTAATTCCACTTCTGGGTATGTACCCCCAAAGAATTAAGTCAGGTCTTGGAGAGATATTTAGACACCCATGTTCATAGAAACATTATTCAAAATAGCCAATAGGTAGAAAAAACCCAAATGTTCCTGAATAAACAAGATGTGGTATTATCCTTAAAAGGGAAGGAAATTCTGACACATGCTACAACATGAATAAAGAATAAACCTTGAGGACATTATGCTAAATGAATGGGCCAGTCACAAAAAGACAAATCTGGTATGATTCCACTTATATGTGGTATCCAGAATAGGTAAATTTGTAGACACAGAAAACAGAAACCATGGTTGCCATGGACTAGGAGGCAGGAGGCAATGGGGGGCTTAAATGGGTAAAAAGTTTCAGTTTTGCAAGATAAAGAGTTGTGGAGATTGTTTGCAAAACAATGTGAATATACTTAACACTACTGAACTGTACACTTAAAAATGGTTGGTCTGGCATGGTGGCTCACACCTGTAATCCCAGCACTTTGGGAGGTCGAGGTGGACGGATCATTTGAGGTCAGGAGTTCGGGACCAGCCTGGCCAACATGGTGTAACCTTGTCTCTACTGAAAATACAAAAATTAGCCAGGCATGGTGGTGCGCCTATAATCCCAGCTACTCGGGGGGCTGAGGTGGAAGAATTGCTTGAACCTGGAAGGTGAAGGCTGCGGTGAGCCGAGATTGTGCCACTGCACTAAAGCCTAGGCAACAGAGAGAGACCTGGTCTCAAAAAAAAAAAAAAAAGGTCAAGATGAGGCCAGGCACGGTGGCTCATGCCTGTAATCCCAGCACTTTAGGAGGCTGAAGCAGGTGGATCATTTGAGTCTAGGAGTTCCAGACCAGCCTAAGTAACATGGTGAAACACCATGTCTAAAAAAAATACAAAAAAATAGCTGGGCATGGTGGTGCATGTCTGTAGTTCCAGCTATTTGGGAGGCTAAAGAGGGAGGATGGATTAACTCCAGGAGGTCGAGGTTACAGTGAGTCGAGAAAACGCCATTGTACTCCAGCCTGGGTGAAAAATTATGTATATTTTACCACAATTAAAAAACATGTCTCCTTAAGAATTGTTCTGAGAATAATAAGAAAAATAACTATAATTTATTGAGTGGTAACTGCATGCTTGAATATAACTTTGATTTGGACTTCACAACATCTTAAAAGGTAAAGTTTAGTCCACCATCATGTGGACATTATGGCTTCAGAACAGTGAGGCTTTGAGAGCTCAAACACCTTTTTCAAGCCATGTGTCTAGTAGCTGGAGGAACTAAGATTCAAATCCAGTTCTCTAGATTGCAAAAACGCTAGACTGCCTCAGGGAAATACAAAAAGTAGTAACTTTTGAGGAAAAAAATGTAATCAATGCTGGATTTGAAGTCAAAATCCAGTATTGGTATGAACCCAACTCTGCCACTTATAAACATGTTTCATAGTAAATTACATAACCTCTGAGAGTCTCAGGTTTTTTTATTTGCAAATTGGAAATAGTAGTACTATCTGACTCATATGCTTAGTTTGATAAATAAGACAATGCATATGAATGTCTAGTGTGCTACACAATTAGAAAACAACATTCTTACTATTATCGTCTGTAACTCTCGCATGTTCCAGCATACTGGTAGACCTATTTATTGTAACCAACGATATTCCAAATATTCTAAAAATAATGGAGGAACTATAAGTACACAAAAGATAACCTAAATGCAGAAAATTCAAGGTAAAAACCTTTGGCCAACCAATACAGTAGATGAAAAATTTTTTTTTGTCCAAGCTAAGTCTGAGATTACAACATTCTTCCCCATTAACTCTAGGGTCTGGTAAAATCAGCATACATAAGCAATAGTTAAGTTGAAAACAGAATGCCATGGAGAAAGGGAAATTTACATTCCAGAATGCACTTTACTGTGTCAGGTAAGTTTCCACATCCTCTAATTACCATTGTCCAAGTACTGAACCTAAAAGAAAGTATTACCCTCTCATGACAAGTATGTTAAACATCACTAAAGAAAAGAGCAAAACTGCAGGAAGTGAATTGAAATTACATCACAGAAATAATAGAATTTAAATTAAGATATACCATTATGCTTCTATTTTTCAAAATAAATTTCTATTAATCCACTCGTCAACAGAAGAATATTTATATGCAACCAGAGATTAATTTGAGAAGTATTCAGCATTTCCCTAGGTGATGTCGTTGTCTGTTAGCAAACACAGTCACCTTTGCTCATCCAGGCTTTATCTCTTTGAGAAATGGAAGTTCTGGCCTTTGTTTTTCTCATATTGTTCTGAATCCAGTCCTATGTATTTTCTTCCCTTCTTTGGTACCTATGTTGTAAGAGGACAAAATATGTTCACATGCCTATATGTAGGCTTTCTGAAGTTTTGACCCATATGCTGCTTGTTCTCCTGTTTTGGCTGAATCCCCTCTCCCATGACATTCTGTTTTGGTCACTGTATGCTTCACAGTTAGAGATGCAATGAACTGGAAAAAAGAATTTGAATGATCCCACTTCAGACTGTATAGTCTTTTAGCCACTGTGTCTGTGAAAAAGGCATATGGCACCATAATGGCTGATTATAAATTACTTTGAATTATTCAATAGTTGAAGTAAACAATATTGTATTGATGAGTTTTGAATAGGTCTTCAAAACATCCTGAAGTCACTTATATTCTCTTTTTTTTTTTTTTTTTTTTTGAGACAGAGTCTTGCCCTGTCGCCCAGGCTGGAGTGCAGTGGCGTGTGATCTCGGCTCACTGCAAGCTCCGCCTCCTAGGTTCAGGCCATTCTTCTGCCTCAGCCTCCCAAGTAGCTGGGACTACAGGTGCCCACCACCATTCCCAGCTAATGTTTTGTATTTTTAGTACAGACGGGGTTTCACCTTGTTAGCCAGGATGGTCTCGATCTCCTGACCTTGTGATCCGCCTGCCTTGGCCTCCCAAAGTGCTGGGATTACAGGCGTGAGGTGCTGCACCCCACCATCACTTATATTCTTACCTGTTCTATTTTAGTCCATTCAGGCTACTATAACAAAATACCACATATCAGGTATCTTATAAGCAACCGAAATTTATTTCTCCAGTTCTGGAGGCTGGGAAGTCCAACACCACAGCAGTGGCAGATTCAGTCTGCTGAAGGCTGCTCTCTGATTCATAGACAGCGATCTTGTTGCTGTATCCTCAAATGGCAGGATGAGTGAGGGATCTCTCTGGGGCCTCTTTTATAAGGGCACTAAATCCAATCATGAGGGCTCCACCCTCATGATTTAATCACCTCGCAAAGACCCTACCTCCTAATACCTTCACATTGAAGATTAAGTTTCAACATATGAATTTTGGGGGGACACAGTCAGTCTATAGCACCTTCCAAACAGATGTAAATAAGAAACCATAATGTCGGCCGGGCATGGTAGCTCACGCCTGTAATCCCAGCACTTTGGGAGGCCAAAGCAGGCAGCCATGAGGTCAGGAGTTTGAGACCAGCCTGGCCAACATAGTGAAACTCTGTCTCTACTAAAAATACAAAAAATTAGCTGAATGTGGTGGTGGGTGCCTGTAATCCCAGCTACTTGGGAGGCTGAGGCAGAAGAATCATTTGAACCTGGGAGGCAGAGGTTGCAGTGAGCCGAGATTGTGCCACTGCACTCCAGCCCGGGTGACAGTGCAAGACTCCATCTCAAACAACAAAAACAACAACAAAAAACCATAATGTCAAATATCTTTCACAACTGAAGGTAAGCGTTCCATCTTGGGGAACTGGTTCTCCAAGAAACTGGTTTCTTTCCAAGCTGGAGAACTTTTTTGGGTCCACAACCTCATCTTTGTATTCCTAGAACTAAGCACAGTGCCTGATGTATTTGTTGAATATTTGTTGGGAAATGAATGAATATATCAGGCCAAGAAATGACAAAGTGATAACTGTTTGATAACATGCAAAATAAGTTTTTTCTTACTGAGATATAAAATATTTATGTGGTGCAGAAAGACATAATATCCCCTGGGTAGGGGAGAAATGAGAGGTCGAGAGAGTTATACAATAGGTCTGTTGTTCAAAAGCTCTTCTTCTCCACACAGGGGACCCATTAAAAATTGGAAAACAGTAGGGAGGCTCCTCAAAAAGCTAAAAAGCAGAACTGTCACATGATCCAGCAATCCCACTGCTGGATATACAAAAAGGAAATCAGTATTTTGAAATGTGTGTTCCCATGTTTATTGTTTCACTATTCACGACAGCTGAGATATGGAATCAATAGATATCCATCAACAGATTAATGGATACAGACAATGTATATATACACAATGGAATATCATTCAGCCATAAAAAGAATGAAATCCTGTTATTTGCAGCAACCTGGCTGGATAAAACCAGAGGTCATTGTGTTAAGTGAAATAAATCAAGCACAGAAGGACAAATATCTCATGTTTTCACTCATACGTGGGAGCTAAAAAAATGGATCTGTTGGAGGTAGAGTAGAATGATGATTACCAGAGGCTGGGATGGGATAGGGTAGGAAGAACTGACAAGTTGGTTAAGGGGTATAAAAATACAGTTAGAAAGAAGGAATAACTTCTAGTATTTGATAGTATAGCAGGAAAATTATAGTTAACAATAATTTTATGTTTCAAAATAGCTAGAAGATTTATAATGTTCCCAACACAAAGAAAAATGTTTGAGGTGATGGGTAGCCCAAATACCCTAACTTGATCATTACACACTATATACATATATCAAAATATCACATGTACCCCCCAAATATGCACAACTATTACATATCAATAAAAAATTTTAGGCTGGGTGCAGTGGCTCACGCCTGTAATTCCAGCACTTTGGGAGGCTGGGTAGGCGGATCACCTGAGGTCAGGAGTTTGAGACAGGCCTGGCTAACATGGTGAAACCCCGCCTCTACTAAAAATACAAAAAGTAGCTGGGCAGGGTGGCGTGCACCTGTGGTTTCAGCTGCTCACGAGGCTGAGGCAGGAGAATTGCTTGGACCTGGGAGGCGGAGGTTGCAGTAAGCCAAGATCATGCCACTGCACTCCAGCCTGGGCCACAAGAGCGAGACTCTGTCTCAGAGAAAACAAAAAAAACAAAAAAAATTTTAAGAAATTCCAGACTAGCATCTTTCTACTGTTTCTAGGGAGCAGATAAGGAAATTGCAATGACACCAGGTGGCTGGAAGATGGCAGGGAGCTTCATGTAGAGGGGCTGGAATGCCACTGAAACTTTGTATTTCTGTAGGCTTTGTATTTGTGGGAAGCAGAGGGCCATCTGTGTTGTTTATGGGACTATGAATACGCATTGGAACAATACTTGAGGGTCAAGTAAACATTACACTTTATTTTTTCCAATTAAACCTGAGTCAGAACTAGCTTTTGCTCCCACTGTTAGTTCTTGGTCTCTGGTGTTCCCTCCCCTTCCCTTGGGTAATTTGAGGACCAGTGGTTTTCTTTGACAGTTCCAACCAGATGTTTGCCAGGCTTCTAGCTCCTGAACAGGGTTGAGCCCTCACTGCTAAGATTTTTGTTTTGTTCTGTTTTGTTTCCTCCAGTGAGAAGAAATTCACGTACATAAAATTAATCATTTTATATTAAACACTTCCAACTAAGTCCTCTGGCCTCATGGTGGCCCCACATTGCTGCTGTTAATCACTTTGCTGTCTGATATTGTTCCTCACTGTGAAAGTCAATCTTACTTGTTCCTCTTTCTGCCTAGAATGGTGGGACATTTTGAAGTGAAGTTCCTCACATTAATGCCACCTCCTTTACCTGAAGCTGGCCTCAGATGTATTCCCTTTGCTCAGCCTCCCAAGGTTGAAGCTACAGTGCCTGCCATTCAGAGAGCCTAAGCCCTGTTCCCCTTGAGGTCCTGCCTCACAGCTGGATCCAACAACACTTGGAATCCAGAACCTGCATCTCTGTTCCCTAAGCCCATGGGGATCAACGGAGTAAGGTTCACCACTTTCCATTTCTTTTCACCTCACCCTCTACCCAAACCATCACCTTCATTCTATTCCTTTTTGACAGCTCATCAGGAAGAGTGCCAAGCCTTTAGGACCCTCCTCCCCTCCATAAAAGAAACCACTCTTTTTTGAGTGTTTGAATAGCCCATTGTTCCATCAATAAGTCACAATCTTTCCTCCCGAGTTAATCCATCCTCATCCCATGAAAAGGACAGACATGAAGTCTTTTCATCATGTTAGAAACAAACACAGGCACATACAGCACAGAAGTCTCAACTGTTAATTCACTAGCCAAAGCCTTCAACGAGATAATTTGCTTTACTAGATTTATGTAAAGGTTTCAGGTCATTTCTTGAGAGCTTTTGATAGGGACAGTAAATTGAGAATACAGGTGTTAAAGTGGGATAATGGAAGCTTCATTAGGGGAAAGGGTACACAGTGGGTGACTTCGGCTTGCCAAGTAGTAGGTACTGAGTGAGTGCAGGTCCATGCACATGGAAAGCTGGCATTCTGTTAAATGCCTGAGGCAAAAAATGCAGAATGCAGCACTCAGCATCTTATCTACGTTCCATAAACACAAAAAGAATAAGATCACATGGAAAGGCAAAAGGAGTCACAGTATTATTCCAGAATGCTATGCCAAGCCTTTCTTTTACATTTCTGATTAGAAGGCTACAAGAAACCAAGAATTTAAATAAAGTGTTCCATTTCTTATTTCACAGATGGCATCTCACATTACATCTTCTAATTCACCTTGAATTTGCATTCTCCCACAGGAACCATCAGCTTGAATCTAGAGACTGACACCAATTTTTTAGTTGTAGGTACACTGAAACGACTGTGAAGTGTTTCCTTTATGCGGGACCATTTGGACAGTTTCAAGGAACTCTGGATCCATTCCACCATCAAAAATTTCTTGTTTAATATAATGAGTCAAACTTAGTACTGTGCCAATTCATCATGTAGAAAAAAAATAAGATTTGGAGCTTTCAAGAGGCGCTTCCTACAGCCATGAAGAAAATCTTCCCTTTGGAGAGGGTAGATTAGGAGGTACCTGGCAGGGCAGGTAACTTCTGAGTCTGTCTTGGGAACGTAGCCCAGCACAGACTCGTAGGCATTCTCCAAATTCAATGCTTGTTTGTTCAGGTGCCCTCTTTTACTGTATGCATCCCACCTGGCCTTAATTATCTTTTCTAGTAGGTAAAAGAGCAACAAACCAGCCCTTTGCCTTCTCTCAGGAACCTCTGAATCCTATTCTTCCTCCATAGCATTCTTGTATGTTTATCCTTTGACAACATTTTTTTCAGTGTTAGAACATTCTGAATGAGGTTGAAGGTGGAGAAAGAATCCGCATGTTAAAGAATCTCGTGTACTTGGGTAAAAACCCAGAATATAATTAATGTACTCTAACACTTTTAATTTTTTAAGGATGTTTTTGTTCTTCATAACACAACATCTTTTATCTAAGCACTACATGATCAGGTGATAAGGTCTCAGTTTCATTTAAGTCATTTGACCACCTTGAATAGTGTATTTCTTTTGAACAGTTTCATTTATTATATGCTATATTATATATAACTGCATATATAGTTATATATATATCTATCTTATACTTATTAGTCCATTTTCACACTGCTGATAAAGACATACCTGAGACTGGGAAGAAAAAGAGGTTTAATTGGACTTACATTTCCACGTGGCTGGGGAGGCCTCAGAACCATGGCAGGAGGCAAAAGGCACTTCTTACATGGCAGCAGCAAGAGAAAATGAGGAAGATGCAAAAGTGGAAACCCCTGATAAAACCATCAGATCTCGTGAGACTTACTCACTACCATGAGAACAGTATGGGGGAAACCGCCCCCATGATTCAAATTATCTCCGACCAGGTCCCTCCCACAACACTTGGGAATTATGGGAGTACAATTAAAGATGAGATTTGGGTGGGGACACAGAGCCAAACCATATCATTTTGCCCCTGGCCCCTCCAAATCTCATGTCCTCACATTTCAAAACCAATCATGCCTTCCCAACAGTCCCCCAAAGTCTTAACTCATTTCAGCATTAACCCAAAAGTCCACAGTCCAAAGTCTCATCTGAGACAAGGCAAGTCCCTTCCACCTATGAGCCTGTAAAATCAAAAGCAAACTATTTACTTTCTAGATACAATGGGGGTACAGGCATTGGGTAAATACAGCTGTTCCAAGCAGGAGAAATTGGCCAAAACAAAGGGGTTACAGGGCCCATGCAAATCTGAAATCCAGTGGGGCAGTCAAAATCTAAAGCTCCAAAATGATCTCCTTTGACTCCATGTCTCACATCCAGGTCATGCTGATGCAAGAGGTAGGTTCTCATAGTCTTGGGCAGCTCTGCCCCTGTGGCTTTCCGGGGTATAGCCCCCCTCTTGGCTGCTTTCATGGGCTGGCACTGAGTGTCTGTGGCTTTTCCAGGTGCACAGGGCAAGCTATCAGTGGATCTACCATGCTGGGGTCTGGCCCTGTTCTCATAGCTCCACTAGGCAGTGCCACAGTCGGGACTCTGTGTGGGGGCTCCAACCCCACATTTCCCTTCTGCACTGTCCTAGCACAGGTTCCCCAGGAGGGCCCCACTCCAGCAGCAAACTTTTGCCTGGGCATCCAGATGTTTCCATACATCTTCTGAAATCTAGGTGGAGGTTCCCAAACCTCAATTCTTGACTTCTGTGCACCCGGAGGTTCAACACCACATGGAAGCTGCCAAGGTTTGGGGCTTGCACCCTCTGAAACCATGGGCCGAGCTGTACCTTGGCACCTTTTAGCAATGGCAGGAGCTGCTGGGACACAAGGCACAAAGTCCCTAGGCTGCACACAGCATGGGGACCCTGGGCCCAGCCCACAAAACCATTTTTTCCTCCTAGGCTTCCAGGTCTGTGATTGGAGGGGCTGCTGTGAAGACCTCTGGCATGCCCTGCGGACATTTTCCCCGTTGGCTTGGGGATTAACATGGCTCCTTGTTACTCATGCAAATTCCTGCAGCCAGCTTGAATTTCTCCCCAAAAAATAGGTATTTCTTTTCTTTTCTTTTTTTGAGACAGAGTTTGGCTCTGTTGCCCAGGCTGCACTGCAGTGGCACACTCTGGGCTCACTGCAACCTCCCACCTCCTGGGTTCAAGCGATTCTCCTGCCTCAGCCTCCCGAGTAGCTGGGACTATAGGCACCCGCCAGCACGCCAGGCTAATTTTTGTATTTTTCATAGAGATGGGGTTTTGCCATATTGCCCAGGCTTGTCTCGAACTCCTGGCCTCAGCTGATCCACCCACCTCGGCCTCTGAAAGTGTTGGGATTACAGGCGTGAGCCACCGCACCGGCTGGGTTTTTCTTTTCTACTGCATCATCAGGCTGCAAATTTTCTGAAATTTTGTGCTCTGTTTCCCTTTTAAAATAGAATGCTTTTAACAGCATCCAAGTCAACTCTTAAATGCTTTGCTGCTTAGAAATTTCTTCTGCCAGTACCCTAAATAATCTCTCTCAAGTTCAAAGTTCCACAAATCTCTAGGGCAGGGGCAAAATGCCACTAGTCTTTTGGCTAAAATGTAACAGGAGTCACCTTTGCTCCAATTCACAACAAGTTTCTCATTTCCATCTGAGACCAACTCAGCCTGGACCTTATTGTTCATATCACTATCAGCATTTTTGTCAAAGCCATTCAACAAGTTTTTAGGAGGTTGCAAACTTTCCCACATTTTCCTGTCTTCTTCTGAGCCCTCCAAACTGTTGCAACCTCTGCCTGATACCCAGTTCCAAAATTGCTTGCACATTTTTGGGTATATTTTCAGCAACGCCCTACTTTATTGGTACCAATTTACTGTATTAGTTCGTTTTCATGCTGCTGATAAAGACATACCCGAGACTGGGAAGAAAAAGAGGTGTAATTGGACTTACATTTCCACATGGCTGGGGAGGCCTCAGAATTATGGTGGGAGCGAAAGGCACTTCCTACGTGGTGGTGGCAAGAGAGAATGAGAAAGATGCAAAAGCAGAAACCCCTGATAAAACCAACAGATCTCGTGAGACTTATTCACTACAATGAGAACAGTATGGGGGAAACCACCCCCATGATTCAAATTATCTCCTATTGGGTCCCTCCCACAACACGTGGGAATTATGGGAGTACAATTCAAGATGAGATTTGGGTGGGGACACAGAGCCAAACCATATCACTATATATATTATATATATAATAACTATATATTATACACATAGTTATGTATACTACCACAAAATTTTATTTTCACTGGGGACAGGTGAAAGGACTTTCTTGTACATATTGAATAGTACAAATAAATGTTAGTATACCTGCTAATCTATAAGGTCTAAATTTTTGATATATCTATGGGAACTTTAAAAATCCAGAAAAACTTCTTTTCTTTCTTAAAAACAAAGGCTAGCTTTGGATATCAGAAAACTAAATACGAATTCCTTTTTATACTTTGTATTTCTGTTGCAATATACCTAACTGTCTAGAAACAAAAGCGCCCCTTGCAGAATAGGGAGAGATTGATCATAAGGAAATGCAAAAGAGAAAAGTACCTTAATAAAGACTGTTCTTACTTTTTATACAGGATGCAGATTGCTCCATTCTACTCTTCTACTTCCACATTAATGGAGTATCTGCTAAATGCCAGGCACTGGGCTTTGTGCCAGGGACACAAGATGTGGTTTGTGTCCTCAATGAGTCATAGTCTAGACCTGTACTATCCAGTATGGTAGCCACTACGTCCTACGTGGCTATCGAGCATGTGAGATGTACTGTGTAAAACACACATCAGATTTCAAAGACTAAGTATAAACAAAGAATGTAAACCATCTCATTAATCATTTTTATATTGACAACACGTTAAAATAATAGCATACTGGACATATTGGGTTAAATATATTAAAATTAATATTTCCCATTTTATTGTGGCTATTAGAAAATTTAAAATTATATGTGTGGTTCACATTATGTTCCTAATGGACAATGCTAGTCTGGGGATGAAAGACACATAAATAATGTGGTAAAGACAGTGACAGAGGTAGCTGTCATGGGAGCAGGAAGGGATTCCCATCTCAAACTATATAGGGAAGGGATGCGGGTGGGCGGTTGCTGGTATTAATTAACACTTCCTGGAAGGGTGACACATGAGCTTAGTCTGGAAGAATAACTAGGAGCTAGGTGAAGGGACTGGGACAAGGAAGGCATTGCAGATAGAGCAACATGTGTTGTATCTGTCACTCAGTATTTGGCATGTAACAAGTATGCAATATATGGAAGCTTTTACAGACACTGACAGGAGACACAGCATGGAGGATGAAGGGAACTTAAGCAGCTCTGGACCAGCAGTGGGGGATTTGGGGCTTTATCCTGTAGGTGGTAGACAGATGAAAGTTTTAAGAAGGGGAGTAAGATTTTCGCATCAGAGAACTCTGCCTGGCAAATGATGGAGCAAGAGGGACAAGGCTGGAGGCAGGTAGATGAGTTAAGTGGCTGTTGCAAAAGATCAGGTGAGAAATGATGAGGGCCTGAACCAGGTCAGTAGCAGTGGGGATCCAAGGAGGGCAGAGCGAAGGAATATTAAGGTCTGTGCAAAGCCCAGCATCTGGAACAAAGCTTGCACTTATAAATATCTACTGAATGGAGGAGGGAAGGATTCAGAACTGAGGTCGGAGTACTAAATTCCTCACAATATTTTGTGTCTTTCTTCTCCATCACTGAATCTTATTTTTAAATTACAACAAACATGAGTTAGAGGGAATAAAAGCCTAGTATAAATAAGAGACAGTAAAGGAATACCCTGGGACTCTGAGTTCAAGTCCTCATGACCCCCACAAAATCACAAATGAGCACCCTAAAAAAACTACAAATGTGATCACGAAAATGCTGCTATTAGTCTTGGAGGAATTATAACAAAGGGAAGCAGTGGTAAATTCCAAAGAAAGGTAAAAGGCATATCGTACAAACTGTAAAACTATAACATGAATTTTATTCTTTGTTCACATTCCAGGGCAAATTATAAAACAAGTAGTTTTTAAGAACTTTGAAAGGAAATCAACAATCATTAGCAACCAATAGTTATTCTTTATATCAACCTCCTTTCATATCCTGGTAGAATTACCAGATTAAAAGACAAAAAGAAAATGTAGTAAGGAATTTTATAAAAACCTTTTATTAAACTCCCATAATCTAGAAAAATATAGACTTCTTACTTAGAGGGATTCATAATCACATAAATGAGTGTCTATTATGTACCTTACACACAGACAGTTCTTGGCAAATATTTATCAAATGATTGAGTGAATGATTAACCATTACCAGTTTCCCCAGGCAGTTTGCTCCACATCCTATGTTCTAATAGCACTAAAGTTTATATATATATCACACATCACATTATAATTATTTTTATGTGTCTGTCACTCCCACTAGAACATCATAAAATTCTCCTGCCAGAGTCTTATTCATCATTTGTCCCCAGGGCCCAGCACTGTGCCTAAAATAGCATGGTGCTCAATTAGCATTTGTGAATTAAATAGAAAGAAATAAACAGAACGGATACATTCAAAGCTAAGAAAGGTTGATAATAAAGTACTAAACTCTCTTTATAAACATTAATATGGAAGAACTAACCCTCCAAAGGAAATATAACCTTGAGCTGGATGAAGATAATAAAGAGTTCACCAGTCATTTTGGCAGTGCTCAGACCAACCACATCTGGAGTGATCAGTGCCATATTTTAAGAGGGACCTTGAAAAATTGAGGCCCAAGATACTGAAAAGTATAAAAACAAGCTCCTAGAAAGAATGATTTTAAAACTGAGAAATATCTCGTTGAGAAATCTAGAAGAACCAATATGCAAAGCGCTGTTATCATGAAGAATACTCAACTTCATGTGCCTTCAGAGCAAATAACTTGGTAGATGGTATGGGTAGGTTAATTTGATTGCGGTATGAGAAAAAAATTCCAACAATCACAGTTGCTCACTTATAGAATAAACTGTTTGCAAAGAAGGGATCTCTTTGTCTTCAAAAATTTCCAGAAGTGGTCAAAGAAGCATTTAACAATTCACCAGAAGTATTGGGGCATCACAGCGGGCTTTCTTGGGATGGAAGAAAGAAGAGCTGAGGCCACCACCCAGTTTCCTTCAAATGCATGGCTTCCACAGCATTATTCCTTCTAATGCATGATTCTGTTATTGCCTTCAGTTTATATACTTCAAATTTCCATTACATGCACTGTGTACTCTACCTTAAAATTCTTTCTTACTTTTACTTTGACTAAGCTGTTTGGATCTACTTCATTCTATGCAGCGTTTAACTATCAATAGGAATGTTAGCTTTCAATTACTCCTTTCACCAGTAGATGTTGGTTTGTTCAAATTTAAGTGCTCCCCTAGTTTTACAGTTAAATTATTGAGATAAAAAAGCTGTCCTCTTTTCAGAAAAACATGGCATTTAATTGCCATCCTTCATCATACCTCCATCTAAATTTCTTTTCCTGCTTTTCCTCTTCATGTCTAGCTACACTCTAAACAAATGTCACATCTTCAGAATTATCTTCATCAATTAAGCATTTAAATGTCCTTAGTGTAGGCTTTTAAGAACAGAAATATATATATGAGTAAACTAACTCAAAATATGATTGGCTAGATATTATATTTTTATCTGTAATTTTTGTTAGAAACTGACTATTAAGTACAATGTCTTAGACAGCAATTTTTTGTGTGGAATGATTTCCAAACATAGCTGACTTCCTCACATTTTCCTTATGATATCCATTTGAGCAAAGAGAAATAAATATAAATACCATTTCTGAAGAAACTAGACGGAGAACAGAAAAGTAAGCAACCATATTGCAGTGACTAACTGGAATACGAGGCAGAATCCAATTCAATAATATAGAAATAAATCAAGAGTTATAATGGGCTTGTGGTTTATTGGATAACAGTGGATTTAAAGGTCTGAAGGTTTGAGATCTTCTGTTTCAGAAACATAATAGAGCAAATAACTGCCTCCTGTATAGTTCCATGTCACCTTGCTGATCTCCACCAGAGCAGTGCTCAGACGTATATATTCCTAGGAACTGTGTTCTTGTCCACTTTGCAACCCCAAAGTGGAAAAGAGCCCCGCCTCATGTAGGGCTTGGAACATTGGAGGTGCTTAACGATTGTTGAATGAATACATGAATAAATAAATGGACCTAGAAGCAGGTCAATGGTATGGTGCATGGTGGTAAGGACGAAACAAGAGCAATAGATGCCTTGATAGTTAAACTAGAACAGAGATGTTAAAAAGTTAATGTCGGCATTGAACTACTGCAAAGACCTGAAGAAAGGAATCTAGAGGAAATCGAATGGCTTTCAGGGAATAAGGAGCAGGTTACTCAATCCCTAGCCTAAGTCCATAAGGTGAAAGCAGTCTGTCTATAAAAAACAAGGAGGCACCGATATGTACCAGGCTTCCATAACATTTGGGCCAGTACTAAAGGAAACAAACTTAAAATTGGTTGTATTTGGAGAGGAATTTGATGAGTACATGCTCTTTAGAGATGGACAAGGACTTACGGTGTCATCTCATCTCACCTCCACAAACCTCCAGATGAGGAAAACTGGACCACAGGGTCTGCGATTTGCCCTACGTCATAATGACATTTTGAGGCAGAACCATGATTAGAATCCAGATTTCCTGTTGCTTGGTTTGGATGCCCCTTCAATTCTTTACCCATCCTCCAAAAGAGAACCCCGATTACAACTCCTGCTTGACGAGGACCTTAGAGGCTCACCTTTCCCAAGAATCTCAGGATACACTTATACATCAAGGTTTCCTTAAATTTTCCAGAATTACCTGCCAGAATTATCTCACCAAACAGTCCTTTTAACAGACCCTTTGTTTTCCATCACACTCAGTTTTCCTAAGCCTACGTTTATCCCCAAAGCAATATAAAATGTATTTCAAAGTATTTTCTAAGGGAGAAATAGAACTGTTCAGCACTACTTTTAGAATAAAATAGGTGTCTCAGTCATGGTTTGAAACTAAGTGCAAACCTCTGGGCTAGGAACTGGGAGCCAGCAGAGGCTCTGCTGGTGATTCTGGAGCTCTGTATGGGTAAATCCCACATCATGCAACTCCCAGCGGGAAGCTGCTAGGACAACCTTGTGACTGTGTATCTGTGTGCGGCTACAGGTGGTGGAGCTCAAGGAATGTGTTATCTCCCCAAATCTCATAACAACATATTTAATCAGGAAGAATTTGAAATTACTCAATTGTATTCCTCGTTTTGGCTAAAAGCCACTGAATACTTCAAGTTTACTGGCCTTAAAACAAGTATGTGGACTGCAGGAAAGCATGAGGGACATTGGAAAACACAGGTGGAACATGGTCCAGGGGATGGAGTTCCAACCCAGAGTTTCCAAAAGACAAAATGACTCTGTGAGAATAGAATGTTTTGGGTGAAACTTAAATGGGATTTCTAGTTTCACTCTTCCGGTAATCAGTCAGGATTCAACTATCTTGACCTACAAAGTAAATTACTTATAATTAAAAACTTAGAACTAATCTTGATTAAGGAGTGGATAAGGGCAAAAGAAGCATTGTCAAGAAAGAAACACAAAATGCCCACTACTAAGAAAAAAAAAATGCAAACTTTTGAGGTAATTTGCTAAAACTTTCATGTTCACTTATTAAGCAAATAGTTTTACTCCATGATCATACAGGTCTTTTAAAGAAAATATCTACCGTCACTTTGGAGAACTATTTTTTTTTTTTCAAAGAAGGAAATGAAAGGCTTTTTTTTGTTGTTTGCTTTTGTTTGTTTATTTGTTTGTTTGAGACAGAGTCTCACTCTGCCACCCAGGCTGGGGTGCAGTGGTGTGATCTGGGCTCACTGCAACCTCCGCCTCCCAAGTTCAAGCAATTCTCCTGCCTCAGCCTCCCAAGTAGCTGGGACAACAGGAGCATGCCACCACACCTGGCTAATTTTTGTATTTTTAGTAGAGATGGAGTTTCAATATGTTGGCCAGGCCGGTCTCAAACTCCTGTCCTCAGGTGACATGCCTGCCTCGGCCTCCCAAAGTGCTGGGATTACAGACGTGAGCCACTGCGCATGGCTGAAAGGTGTTTTTATAATAAAATTGCTAAAAATTTTATGCGGTATTATGCTAACATTTAGTTAATGCTATTGTAAAAACTTCTGTCAAGTACTAAACACTTGTCTCATGTTACTACAGTTCATCACAATCATTGAATCTTACAGTTAGAAGACAACTGAGGAAACTGAGGCCTGGGGGGACTCATTATTCTAGATAGAGGCCCTGATGCACACTGACAGAAGGCACAGTCTTACCAAAACGTTAAAACCAGACTTTAAAATACATGAGGTAGTGGATATGTTAATTAGCTTGACTCAGTCATTTCACGATGTGTATGTGTGTGTGTGTATATATATTTTTTTATATAAACGTACTGTTATACTCCATAAAAATATGAAAGAAGTTTTATTTGTCAATTTAAAAATTAATTGAAAAAACCCCAAAGTATAAAAGGATTATTATAGGCAAACGTTTGGTTTATGAAAATGAAGTTAGAACCTCTGGTTTCTGCAGTGTTGTGGAATACGTAACATGAAAATCTTCCTGTTAAAATCACCCAGATACATGGGCTGAAATATGGGACACCATTTTTAACATGCATAGCTAAGTTTTTAGAAAAGGAGAAATTACAGGGTTCCAGAAACGACCCAATAATTGAATACCAGTGAGCACATGAGGTGACACCATGGTGGCCCTGGAAGGAGAGGCTGGCAACAGTGGCTAGTCTTGGGAACCTGGGAGCTTCAGTTCCAGGCTGACTGGAGACAGGAAATAAGGCCTTGGGCTCATGGCAAGATATATTTTTGTCAATAAATATGTATGTGGTGGCCAGGCATGGTGGCTCACGCCTGTAATCACAGCACTTTGGGAGGCCAAGGTGGGCGGATCACGAGGTCAGGAGATCGAGACCATCCTGGCTAACACGGTGAAACTCTATCTCTACTAAAAATACAAAAAAATTGGCTGGGTGTGGTGGTGGGCGCCTATAGTCCCAGCTACTTGGAAGGCTGAAGCAGAAGAATGGCATGAATCCGGGAGGTGGAGTTTGCAGTGAGCTGAGATGGCGCCACTGCACTCCAGCCTGGGCAACAGAGGCGAGGCTCTGTCTAAAAAAAAAAAAAAAATATATATATATATATATATATATATATATATATATATATATATATATATATATAATATATATATATATAAAATAAAATAAAAATAAAAATAAAAATTAAATAAATATATATGTGGTAAAAATATGAAGGGACATGAAAAAGTTCATGGAAAAATGGGATTAAAAGATGAAAATTTTAAAAATGCAAACTTTATTTCTCAATATAAGCTCTATCAAGGTCAAGATACTTTTGCAAGTGATGATTTCAGCCATTTAGTCAATCCCTAAAGAACTGAGGGTCCGGGGAATTTGACCATGTTAATGCAGTCTTCTTTACATTAGTAACTGAAGAAAAATGGGTGGTCTTTACAGATTTTTTTAAGATTAGGAAAGAAAGAAACAAGCAAAAAATCAGAAGGAGCCAAATCTGGACTGTAAGGTAAATGCCTAATGATTTTCTATAAAAACTCAAAAAATTGCCCTTGTTTGATGAGTGGAATGAGCAGGAGCATCGCCATGGTAGGAAAGGGCTCTCTAGTGAAGCTTTCCCAGGCACTTTTCTGCTAAAGTTTTGGCTAATGTTCTCCAAACACTTTCATAATTGACAGGTATTATTGTTCTTTGGCCCTCCAGAAAGTCAACAAGCAAAATGGCCTGAACATCCCAAAAAACTGTTGCCATGACCTCTGCTGTTGACTGGTCTGCTTTTGCTTTCACTGGACCACTTCCACCTTTTGGTGGCCATTGTTTCTTTTCTTTCTTTTTTTTTTTTTTTTTGAGACAGAGTCTCACTCTGTTGGCCAAGCTGGAGTACAGTGGCACGATCTCGGCTCACTGCAACCTCCGCCTCCCGAATTCAAGTGATTTTCGTGCCTTGGTCTCCCGAGTAGCTGGGATTACTGGCGTGAGCCAACAGGCCCAGCTAATTTTTGTATTTTTAGTAGAGACAGCGTTTCACCATGTTGGCCAGGCTGGTCTGAAACTCCTGACCTCAAATGATGAACCCGCCTCAGCCTCCCAAAGTGCTGGGATTACAGGCGTGAGCCACCGCGCCTGGCCGGTAGCCACTGCTTTGTGTTTTGTGTTTAGAATCAACTGATAAAATTCATCCTCTTAAAATTCTTTGAAGAAATGCTTGAAGATCTCGATGCCACTTGTTTAAAATTTCCATTGAAAGCTCTACTCTTGTCTGCAGCAGATCAGGGTGCAATGGTTTTGGCACCATCAAGTGGAAAGTTTGCTCAACTTTAATCTTTCAGTCAGAATTGTGTAAGCTGTGTAAGAGGAATCAATTGAAATGTCTATGGTGTTGGCTATTGTTTGTGCTGTTAATCATTGGTCCTATCCAATTAGGGCATGAATATGATTAATTGTTTTTCTTCACAAATTGATGTGGATGGTCTGCTGTTGTAGGCTTTATCTTTGACTTTGTCTTGTCTCTTCTTAAAACACATTACCCATTTGTAAACTGTTGATTTGTTTGGAGGCATTATCCTCATAAACTTTTCATAAAGCATCAATGATTTAACCTTTCTTCCACTCAAGCTTCAGTATATATTTGATATTTGTTCTTGCTTCATTTTAGCAGAATTCATGTTGGTCTGACAGGGGCTCTTTTCAAACTGATGCCTTATCCTTCTTAGTGTGTCAAAATCTGAAATCCATGCATAGTTTTTTTCATAATACACATTTTCCATGTACTTTTTAGAGCCCTCTTGTATAAAATACACTTCATAGGAATAAAGTATACCAATGTCAGGAGACAATGGTTATTTCTTGGGAGGAGTAATGGGGAAAGGATGGGGATAGAAATTTAGCTGTATATGTGAGGTGAGGTTTACTTTCTTAAATATTAGCATTTTTCATTTTGAGGGCTGGTGTACAGCTATCTATTGTAATATTTTTTATTTTTGGAGTGCTTTATAATTTTTTTTAATTTAAAGAAAAAAACTGAAGCTAAAAAAAAATCACAAATAAGAGAAATTTATTTTATACATTAAAGGGAAAGACATAGCCATTCTTGGGAGAATCAAGGAAGTTGGTACCCCGACCCAGTGATAAAGATCTTGGAGGTCTATGAGGGAATTGACAGGTTTTTAAATTTTTTTTTTCTTTTTGAGATGGAGTCTCGCTCTGTCACCAGGCTGGAGTGCAGTGGCACAATCTCAGCTCACTGCAACCTCCACCTCCCGTGTTCAGGCGATTCCCCTGCCTCAGCCTCCCGAGTAGCTGGGAGTACAGGCACAGGCCACCAAGCCCGGCTAATTTTTTGTATTTTTGTAAAGATGAGGTTTCAGCATGTTGGCCAGGATGGTCTCGATTTCCTGACTTTGTGATCTGTCCACCTTGGCCTCCCAAAGTGCTGGGATTACAGGCGTGAACCACCGTGCCCGGCCAACAGGTTTTTTCTAATCAACATTCAGGCTTTATAAAATCGAAGGTGCAGTTCAAATAATGGAAGAGTGGAAGATCAAAAAGAAATGCTCTACAGGAAGCTCAGCATTGAGGGAAATCCTTGAATATGAAATGACAATAGAGTAAGGAGGTGTCTTCAGCAGATCAGCATACAGTGAGCTGGGAGTGTTGTTGTTATTGTTGTTTTTTAGTCTTGGCTTTTCAAGAGTTCTCATCCAGCATATGCAGTATGTAACAGCATTTTACTGAGTCACATACACGCATGTGCATGCACCTGCACAGACACACACGAACACACAGAGCCTAACTGGAGTACACTAGCTCTAAGGCAAGGGACAAATTAGGATTCTAGGATTCCTATCAAACTGTAATTTCTATTTTATTCCAAGTTAGTCTTCTAAAAAGATTTCTAGGCAGTCCTTTGGAAGCCAAGTGAGAGTTTCAAAATAAATTTCACATGTTTTAAAAAATGGCAGGATCTACTAAAAGACAATACTTCAAAATCCCCATGTCACAAAATCTGTGTCTATTTATGTGTTCTATAATGATAATCTACCTAGGGGTACAAAAGAAACCAGTATGAAAAAAATGAGACTACCCAAAGAAGGAACTAAGGTGTCAACAAGTGGGAAATAACTCATCAGGTCTGTAAGGAATTCCAGAAAGCAATCAGAAATACTGGTTCTTTCCCTTTCTACTGTATTTTTAATGAGTTCCTGCCACACCTTATTCCTATTTTTCCTGCTGCTCTTTTGCTTTTGGGTAAGGTTATGCTTCCTGTGTACTTCTCTCCCCCATCTTCTTACCTATTTTATATCTCTTACTCAAGGCACTGTTTGGCCATAGGTGATCTCTGGATTTTCTCCCATGTGAGTACTTCTTACTGATCACCTTACACCTGAGCAATTATGTATAAAGCACCAGGCAAGGTAAATCACTCTGTCCTCATTTCACATGAGAAACTGAAGCTATGAGAGGTTAAGTCACTTGTCTAAGGCCAGACAGTATGCAAATGATAGATACAAGCTCAAATATTTCTGATTCTAAAGTGTGTGCTCTCTACTATACTTATGCCTTCATTTAACAAATATTTAGTCAGCACCTACCATGTGCCAAGTACTGTGCTAAGTGCTTGACACACAGTGTTGAACATGAAAACAAAAATAGAAATGATCTCTACCCTCATCCAGGCAGCAGTCTGCTCTCTGAAATGTTTCAGAAAGCCTCAGTGTAAAATGGCTCTGGAGCCACCTATGCCAGAAAGCAGACATCAGTGACACTAGCTGACGTTTTAATTCCTGAGATTTCCAGCGTAAAGTCCTCCAGAACCACCAAAACAATGTAGGCAAGGTTTTCACACTGGGGCTCCTCGCTCTCTTCCACACAAACCTTTCATGATATCATGGTCCCTTTTTGACGATATCTGACTTTCATTTGTGACTATGATGGACACTAGTTTTCTCCAGATTTTTTCTGTATTATAATGTGAAATAAACTATGGGTTCTTCCTCAGACTGTACTCTGGGTTGTTGGATCTGGGGCATTTCCCCAAGGCAGATTACCCAGCTAATGAAGGTCAACTCAAGGACTCATCACAATCAATCTTTACTTCTTCATACAGCACCTCTAGAAATTACAGAAATAGTGTTGAATGTCTGGGCTCTGGATTCTTTTATGGTTCAATAATTAGCGTGGCTTTCATTCTGAAATTCCTTTATGAAAAGTGAAGGAAAAGTCACAAAAATTCCCCATACACACAAATATTTTCATCATAACATTGTTAGAGAGAAACAAATGTCCAATAGCAGGTACTTGGCTACAGATATCAACTGACATGGAATATTATCACACCATTAACTATTATGGTTATGGAGACAATGCAGTAATGCAAGTATGAATATAATATAGCGTTAATATAAATATTATATATACATATACAGGAAATAAGAATATACTTTAAATGTGAAAAAAATAATTGAAGAAAATGAACCAAAATATTCACAGAGTTGTATTAAGAATTATGTAGTTTTTTTCTCCACTAGCACTAAGAGTATAGTAAAAGACAGATTTGTAGCTATTCCTTCAGCCTTCGTGATTTCAACACATTTTTATAATAAGCAGCCATATAACTTCAAGTGTAGCCTGACTGTAAAGGGCCCAACAAATCAAAGGTTGAAATCTGCCTGCATAGTGCTGTCTTGGTCATTTTAACTCTCTTTGCCTCCATTTTCTTATCCACAGAACAAAGAAAATAAAGATATCTATCTCAAAGGTTTATTTGAAGGATTAGATGAGTGAATATTACTAAGAAGCCAACCACCGTGCCTGGCACACGGAAAGAAGTTGGTGAGAGTTAGCTGTTACTCGTGTATACACATGGCAGTATGCCATTTACAGATCAGGATGCAATCATTCATTCATCTGTCCATGTATTCATTTAACACATGCTCACTGAGTCCTGCCTAGGTGCCAGACAATATTCTAGGTGTTCTTAATAACAAGGCAAATTAGGTGGTACTTATCCTCAAGGACCTCACGGTCTAATGAGGGACACAGGCAAATGACTAGAACGAAGATGAGAATGAACCTTAGAACCAAGGTTGGCAGAGGATGCTAGGGAGTACTTTGAAGGAGACTTAACTCAGCTTGGATCCCAAGGCATCTTCCCAGAAGGGCTCACACCTAAGCCATGTTCGGAAAGAGTCTTGGAGTTAATTAGGACAAGGAAGGCATTGGTGGAACAGGGAAGGAGGAAGGACTGCACCGAGTGGGGAAAGGCACCCGAAGGTGGTGAAGCCCATGAGTCTGGGAAGTCAGCGATCACCTAGATGGCACCTGTGTCAATTACATCAGGACTTCATGAGCAATCTTATCATCTGAGCCAGGCCTTTTATGAGATGAGGCTTTACAAGGCAAAATTATTATCTGTGTCTGTGCATGTCCATGTGTCATCTCTTAGAAATGCAGTCCTATGCTGTTCTCGAGTCAAATCTCTGAATAATACAATATCACATGTTAAAATAGATTGAAGCATCACCCAGTGAACAGCTGTGTCTTCTAGCTATCAGGACTTTGCCGAACAAAAATATCTCCATGTGAGTAAGAATGAATTATAATAAGAATTCCATTTGTATTTTGTCATTTTTATTGTACCAAAAAATATGTCTTTGTTACTTTCTCTATAGGAGGTGACATTTTGCTGACATATTTGGCTAGTTCACAAGATAAGAAATAAGACTCAGGATATGTATCACAGCAAAAGGATGAGGAGAAAAAAACTAGATGATTCTACTTGAAATTTTTATAGCTTCTGTTCTTCTTGAAAATAATTCAAAACATATAACAAATCAAATACACCACTGTGGAAAATTCCATTTCTTGGTGGTGTGGGAGGGTGGGGTGTGACATAGAGGAAAGAGCCCAGGGTATGCTTGTACTAACTGCTCACATCACTCCCTGGCTGGAGGCCTGAATTATCCCAAATTCTGAGCTTTCACATTTTATAAACCAATAGATTTTTATCCTATCAGAATGGAATATCTGCATACATAATTACGATCTTTTAAAATTTGATGCATAGATCATAACTCTTGCATTATTTATTAAGAGTTAAATTATCCTGATTATTCTAAAAATAATGTTACTAGAATAGGTTTTAAAATTGCTCGTTTCATTCTTTAAAACCTACATTATGATTTGTTAAGTTAGATATACAGTCCATATGAAACAGCAGTTGCACGAAAACTTACATTCCCTAGTATTGATAGCAGTGTGAATCTTAGCCTATGCAAGCATGATTTTATAAAACGGTCAGTGCCTTAATGGGGAAAAGGGGGCTATTTGAAATTCCTTTTTCAATTTTCCTTTCATAAACTCTACTTACAACATTTAAACTGTCATCATGAATGCACATATATATTTACATGGCTGTAAATCTGTCAAATTAGAGCCATTTGGAGAAGATTCTCACAGAATTCTTAAAAGGTCTCAGAGTTGATAACAAAACATTGGCTTGAGAGCTAGGAGACTGAAATTATTTTTATCACTTTACTCCAAATTTATTGAATAGCCTGGAGCCAACCAGAGTGCAAAAAGTGACCTTGCACACTGCCCAATTTAAGGGGAATGTTCTGGGAATCAGATAATAATTTTAAGATGCTTGGGACAGTTGGTTTGAGAGAGATAAACAAAAATGCAAACAGCTCCTTATATAGAACCTGTCTAATGTGTATTATTACTGAAGCACAGGAGTTAAAAAAAAAACCCAAAGATTTAAAAGATTGTTTTGTGCTTTCCCTATTCTTCATTTCAGTGAGTAGCATGATCATCCAATAAACTGCATAATCTAGATACGTTGGTCAGAGGTAGATATATTTAAAAAAAGAAATTAGCATTTATTAGTTACCTACTATCTACTAGGCACTTAAATGTGTTATCCTTTTAGCCTTCACAACCATCCTATTTTATAGATGATGAAACTGAAGTTCACAAAGGCTAAGTAACTTATCTAAAATCACAGAGTTAATGGAACCTATTCGTCTATTTCTTTATTCCATATCTCTTCCATCTTCACATCCCTGGCCAATGCTTCCAATAGACTACTGAATCTTTGAATTGCACCTTCTGAGTATTTATTGAGTATGTACTACTGTCTTAGTTTAAGCCTTTACCATTTCTCGCCTAATCTAATATGTGAGGAGTTTCTAATGGTTTCTTTGGTTCTGAAGTTTATTATTCTTTTTGTACAAGAGTATTTAGTCTTAAGAGTTATTTTATTCTAAACACAAAACTGTTTATGTCATTCTCATTATATATCTTTCTTTATCCCTGATTTATGAGTTACTTATGAGCAAGGGTAATATCAGCAAGATAGCAGACTAGAAGCTATAGGCCCTCATTTCCCTATAGAAACACTATATAAAGAGAAACCCAGGGACCAACGTAGCCTTGTAGGAACTCTAGAAACCAGTTAAGAAGCTGCAGCAACCAAGTGAGTACCTAAAAAAACAAAAGAACACCAAACTTTTGAGTCCCATTGTTTTGACAACAGGACGTTTTGTCACCTTACTCCCCAACATAGCACGGTATACCACCCAGTCCCACTTCCTCTCTCAGGGAAGAAGAAAAAGAGTGGAACTTGCTTGCAATCTTATGGCTTGTCTGGCAGCTGTCCAAGGGACTGGTTTCTGTTTGACCTGACTAGGAGCACTGAAGGGAGTAGTAGCATAACTTAAATATCAATTGAAGGCTGCTGAAAGTAGTGGCAGGAGTACTGGGTTTTGAGCTGCAAGGAGATTGCACCTGTGGGCAAAATATTATGGGCAGAGGAATACAATATAACATCTAAGGCCCTGAGAAGAAGCAGAGTGAGACTCTTAGAGAAATTACAGCATTTAAAGCATCTGTGTATAGAGGGAAACTGGAGGGGAAAGCACATGTGCCGGCCCTTGGAAGAGACATTTCCAGAAAAAATCTGAAAGGACCTTGAGATATCATGAGAAGCTGATTATTGGAGGTCTTCCCTTGCATAGAGCCAGTCTGCAAAGACTGGGAGAGGAGGCTGTTCTTTCAAATGCCTAATTTTCAACAAAAGGTCACAAGGCATACAAAAAAGAGGGAAACATGGTCCACTCAATGGAACAAACTAAATCTCAAGAAACTGACTCTAAAGGAAACACAGGCCTTGGATTTAACAAAAACTTTAAAACAACTGTCTTAAATATGCTCAATGAGCTAAAGAAGAGCACAGACAAGCAACTAAATAAAATCAAGAAAACGATGCATGAACAAAATGAGACCGTCAACAAAGTTTTTAAAAGGACCAAACAAAAATTGTAGAGTTGAAAAACACAATAACTGAGATGAAAAACTTGGTAGAGGCTGGGTGCAGTGGCTCATGCCTGTAATCCCAGCACTTTGGGAGGCTGAGGCGGGTGGATCACAAGGTCATGAGTTTGAGACCAGTGTGGCCAACATGGTGAAATCCCATCTCTACTAAAGATACAAAAAAAAAATTAGCTGGGCGTGGTGGTGCATGCCTGTAATCCCAGCTACTTGGGAGGCTGAGGCAGAAGAATCACTTGAACCTGGGAGGTGGAGGTTGCAGTGAGCCAAGATCGCGCCATTGCACTCTAGCCTGGGTGACAGGGAAAGACTCCGTCTCAAAAAAAAAAAAAAAAAAAGGAAAAATTATTGCTAGAGGGGTTCAACGGCAGGTTTGAACATGCAGAAGAATGAGTAAACCTGATGATAGCTTATTTGAAATTATTATCTGATTAAGAAAAGAAAAAGGAGTGAAGAAAAATAAACAGAAACAGAGGAATTTATGGGACACCATCAAGTGGACTAATATAGGCATTATGAGAGTTCCAGAAGGAGAACAGATAGAGAAAAAGACAGAGAGCTTATTTGATGAAATAACAACTGTAATCCCCGTGGTGACCACTAGGAAAATAGAATATACAATAAGAAAATGAGAAGGCAATCAAAACATGTCACTACAAAAAAAATCAAGTAAACACAAAAGAAGAAAGGCAAAAGGGAATGAGGGACAAATAGCTATAAGGTTTACAAAACACAAATAACAAAATGGCAATAGCAAGTCTTTATCAGCAATTGCTTTAATTTTAAATAAATTAAACTCCCTAATTAAGAGACATAGATTAGCTTAATGGATTTATAAAAAACTGAATCCAACTATATGCTGAGACTCATCTTAGATCTAGGAGGGACACACAGGTTGAATGTGAAAGAATGAGAATAGCTACTCTCTGCAAATAGCTTCAAAAAGAGAGCAGTGGTGGCTATATTAGTACTAGACAAAAAAAGACTTTAAATCAAAAAGTGTTATAAGAGACAAAAAAGGACATCCCAAAATATAAAAGGATCAATCCACACCACACCCCCCCCAAAAATATAAACATATATGTACCAAATAACAGAGCTCCAAAAAATATGAAGCAAACACTGATGGAACTGAAGGAAAAAACAGTTAGCTCTATAACAATAGCAGGAGACTTCAATACTTATGAGCCAGATCTAGACCAGTGCTTGGCAGGTAATAGGTACTCAAAAAGTGTTTGCAGAATGAATAAATGATTTATTGCATGATTCTATGAATTACAGTCATGAGGAGAAAAATGTGGAGCAAAGATCAGGACAATAAAAATTACAAGTATTACTAACACAAAAATGAAGATTAGATAAGGAAAGATGATCTTAGTCGATGATGGAAAGGTCAAAATTAGTATTCAGGGACTCCTTGGAAGAAGTATTCATTTTTAAAGATATTTAGAGAGATAAATAAAACATCACATTTAAAAATAGCATCCATGGGCTGGGCATAGTGGTTTATGCCTATAATTCTAGCACTTTGTGGAACCAAGGTGGGAGGATCACCTGAAGCCAGGAGTCAAGACCAGCCCAGGCAACATAGTGAGACCCCATCTCTACAGAAAAAAAAAAAAAAAAACCAGCGTGGTAGTGCACAGCTGTAGTCCCAGCTACTCAGGAGGCTGAGGTGGGTGGATCACTTGAGCCCAGGAGCTTGTGGCTGCAGTAAGCTACAATTGTGCCACTGTACCCTAGCCTAGGTGACAGAGCGAGACCCTGTCTCTAAAAAAAAGAAAAAGAAAAATTGTGCACATGGCTTATATGTTTCTGGGTATTATCCCTATTGTATCTACACATTGATATATAATACTAATAATTTAAATGTGAAAGTAACATAGGCATAAATAATTGTAATGGGAAGCACAGTAGTTGCTGTTAGGTGTTGAAGGCTACCTAACTCCAAAGATTTAGTGTAAGCAGAACCTTCAGGTGCTCCTGCAGAAAAACCTAACTGGGCTTCACTTCTCTGAATGACTGTTTAACCTCATACAAGTGAAAGTGGCTTCAAATAGAACTTTTCCAGTTCACTGCAGTCACCCTTGGAAACTGCAGCATGCATAAACAAAACTTCGGAGACTGGGAATTCCCCGATAAGAAAGGAAGTCAAAGTCAGTAAAATTAAAAGGGTTTGTATAGCATTTTCATGGGGCCTTTACTACTTCACTTTTGGCAGATACACCTGGGTGTCTGGAAGAAGCTATTAATGAAAACAAATAACGATTAAATCCTTCTGTGGGCTGATTAGTGTTGTTGTAACAACAACAAATATTGTTTTGCATGAGCAAAAATGGTAACTCCAAATGTGGCCAGACATAAGGAAATTGTGGCAAAAGTCAGAAGAGAGGTCAGGAGAGAAAGTGTGAGTGGATGAAGATGAAGGCACTCCCCTTGCCAGAAAACAAAGCATCAGTCTGTTAGCACTATCTTTACACAAAAATATCTAGTATTTGATAGCATGACAGTGTGACTACAGTCAATAGTAATTCAATTGTGTGTTTAAAAATAACTAAAAGAGTATAACTGGATTGTTTATAACACAAAGGATAAATGTTTGAGGTGAAAGATACCTCATTTACCCTGATGTGATTATTACACATTGTATGCCCATATCAAAACATCTCATATACCCCATAAATATAAACATATACTATGTACCCACAACAATTAAAATTTTTTTAAAAAGAAACTTTTCCCCTATCGTAGTGTCCACAGTCACAATGGATCTTCATGTCTTTATCTCATTTCTTGTTCTCTGGTAAACAGAAAGATTCCTGTTTAATTGATAAAGAACCCAAGGGTCACAGTTCACACAATTAGTAGTCTTTTGTTCTCCAGATCCAAGAGATTTTGTTCTTTTCTATCACTACATTTTGTTTTTCTTTTAAAATTTACATAATTAAATAGCTAGGTTATTCTATATGTATATGCTTTGGAGTTCTCATATGTTGCCATGACTCTTTTTCTATATAATGAATATTGGGTAAATTCCCCTTAAAGAAATAAATCACAAAACAGATTAAACATTTAAGTAGGAGCACTTTTTTTTTACATTCCCCAGTAAAAATTAAAAGTAAACTAATTTATTTCTTCTAAGTAAATAAGCACAAATATTACAACTGGAAATAGGCAATAACACTAAAACTCTGGGGCTGGAAACATTTGCAATTAGCCCAGGAGGATTTCTTTACAGATAACCAAACTGACCAGAGAGGTCAGGTCACGTCATTAGTTATAAAGCCTGGATGATGAAGCCCAGGTCCTAGAGTATTTTCAAAAACAGTGACTACTTCATCTTTAGAAAAAAATACACTCACTCCGCAAAGAATCTATCTCTAAAAAGGAACATATTTTTAAATAAGAAAAAGAAAAAGTAATGTTTGATATTCATAGCTAATTATCTTTATTCTAGTCACCCAGAGCACAACCAAGCCTTCAGAAGATGGCATCATCCCACCTGGGATTAAAAGTGGCACCACACCCCAAATGATTAATGTAGAAATACATATTTGATTACGAACATGACAAGTCAGGAAGGCTAGACCAGCCAGGAATAGGTATGGGAGCAACTGCTATTAAATATTTAAACAGCACTGATGTACAATAAGTACAATGTGCCAAACATGTAAAGTCTTTGGCCTAAGGAGTTTGCTGTCAGCTGTAAAGCTGGTTATTCCAGAGATATCTGTTATGTTGCTTCATTTGGTAAACAATCCATTCCATACATCAAAAAGCCATCGTTCAATAAGCTTTCTTAGGGTTAAGAATTTACACCCAATTATTTAATGCAAAATTTGTATATACTTGTCACCATATTAATAATTTTAGGAAATTCACTTTTATTTTATGACAAGTTTAAGATTATCTCTCCTTGTTGAGTCTCTTTTCATCCTTTGTATTTTATTCTTCTATATTGTTGCACAAAACACAATTTTGCAACTATGGCATACATAATGACACCAGCAAAACTAAAGAGAATTAGAAAATTTTGATTTTGTAAATGTGTGTTAGACAAGAGAAACTGTCATATAATCATAGCCAACAATATATGCAGAAGCAAGATAAATTGGTAAATAATACTGACTCAAAAACATTATGCAACTTGATTGGCGCATGAAAAGCCTACATCATCTTTATCCAAAATATAGTAAGGAAAAGAGAAGTGAAAACAGTGATGCTTCCTTTGATGGAAAATGATTTTATTTAGCTCAGGTGAGGTACATAGGATATTGTATATTTCTCACTTACATAAATCTGTGTAGGACTCAAAGTAGTTAATAAGACAACAGGGATATCTTAAAGCAAAAGTAAAATAGCAAGAATCCAAGTGATAAGGGCTTGGAGAGAAGAGAGAAAAATAATATAAAATTAATACTAAGGAAGACTATTGTTTCTTAGAAAATGATTTAGTTCTAAGCATGTTTCCAATGGCTAAGACAGAGCAGGCAGTTCAGACAGATAGGCTAAATATTTACTCATTCATTCATTCATTCATTCTTCATTTATGTGATACAGTTTTCTACCTTCAGAAGGCTTGGAGCCTGGGTTGGGGATGGCAATACAAATACATATGTACAGACTTAAACACCATAATACCATGATGTACAAAGACCTGTGGAACAAAAGGCAGAATACAACTAAATCATGTGGGGGTGGGAGTGTGAGGGACAGTTTGAGAGATATGATGACATTTGAGCTTAGCCTTGGAATAGAATATGAGTCAGAGACAAGCAAGGTGGGCAAATGAGGAAGGCTGTATGAGAGCATAACGCCACTGGAATGCCATGAGGGTCAGAGAGCAGTCCATGGTGTGGTGTGACTGGAGTATTGTGCAGAGAAGGATAAGGACCAGGAAAGAAAGCCTTCCATCTGTGCATGGGGCCAGACTGGGAGGGCTCCTGAGTCTTCAATGCCGTGCTGAAGAATGTGGGCTTGATTCCGAAAAAAGCTTAAACATGAGAGAGACACTATCAAGAAAAAAAAAAAAAAAAGGCAGATTGTTACAGAAAATCTACCAGTGGATGAGAGAACTACTTCAGGAATGCAGTTCTAGACTCCAGGAGTCTTTAGGATGGTAGACATTCCTGGGATCAGCTATTATTTTTATCCCACTTTAGAAGGAAGAATCCAGGGCACACTAGGTGGGTAAATTATTAGTTAGATTCACACACTATTAATGGAAGGAGGAGAATATAACATAGTTATGGGGATGAAGGGCATCAGCATTTCCTGAGCACCCACTGTGGGCAGAAATCACTGGATACATGTGTCAAGGAAAGGAAAAAAATAGAAAACTTAGCTCTTCTATTCAAAGAGCTAATAATTAAGACAGAAAAATGACAGAAGCGTGCCAAAAGACAGTAAACTTCTTAGGAATAATACAGATATTTATTTATTCACACAAGAGTTGATATCTTCCTGAAAAGCATACATCTCATTTTTATAAAATGAATAATTTAAAATGCATTTATATAAGGAAATTTATCAATTCATAGTATGGATAATTTATACACTTGATAATCACCCTCCAATCAGTTTTCTGATTTTTTGTAATTAAATTATTTTTCAAAAAGGACAAAGCTATAATGTAAAATGAGTTGCAAAAAAGCTACCCTCATTGAGTAATGCTGTTACTCAAATTAACATATGAACTTATCACAAACTATTAATTAATAAAAATATAAAATAATGTGGAACTCTGCTAACAAGATAGTCTTGCTCACTGATCCTTTAAGTTCCCTGGGTTGTCCCCAAACAAGTTTTATCTTCTATGTCCCTTAACTAAACCAGTCACTGTGCCTGTTCAAGTGAATACAACCATTTTCATAGCAAGAGAAATCCTCTTAAGACAGGAGAAATATGAGTCTTATCCCTTCCTGATGAGTGTACCAAAGTTTTAATTGATAGAGCTTCTAAAAAGAGCATGGTCTTTGGTAAGCAAGATAGTCTGAGCAACAGGATGATGCAGGGATGTTTAACTCCAATCACCATGCATATTTTCCAGGGCTCTGTTTGGACTAAGGTTTACCGTATATGCAAAAGAGAAAAAAAATGCTCTCTGGACTCCAACTGCCTTCTGCAGAGGATGAGTCTTGTTAGACTACAGAGTTTCTCAAAGAATAAGCTGAAGATCCCTCTAACAGAATCAAATCATGACTATTAAAAATACATATTCCTCAGCCAACCCCAAACCTGATAAACCAGCATCTGAAATTTTAACAAGATTTGCAGATGGTTCTCATGGACCCTTATGATAACCATGGGCTGAAAGGGAGCAGTCTCAGGTGGTCCTTTGGTTTATGAGGGGTACCTTGATTGGTTTCAGATGTGCAATGATAGGTCTGAAGAAGGGCTTGGGAGTAAGGCTGGAAAGAGCAGATATGCTCTATATGATCGAGGAAGAAGAAAATAAAATTCTGGGGACATTACGGTAAAAAGAAATTTGAAAGGAAAGATGGAAGAGAAGGAAAAAAGAGCCATCTTGATGGCCAGAGGTTGAATACTGGTAGAACACGCTTTAAGAAATCTTGAAGGGGAGGGTGGTTGAGAGGGCTTTTCAAGAATAGGGCCCTCTGCTGTTAAATCAAAGTTGTTTGTGCTGAATGAATATCTACTTCTGGAATTCTTTTTGTCTCTCCAGACATCCAGTAGAATCCACTACACATACAGAGGCTTTTATGATTGGGTTGAGTTTTTATTTGCAGAAATCAAGGCAAGAAGGTGAACTTCATTTCTGAACCCACACACAGTACAGAATAGAGACAATATCCGGGAAAAAAAATCATAAACGACCAAAAAAGGAAAAACAAACAAACAAAACATTCACAGGAGCAGAAACTTAAGCACAAGGACCCATGTCCCTGAAAAGTTATAAAAATCTTTGGATTGAGCCTGAGACTATGTATGGAATGGAAGCTTGACCAATCTACTTAAATTTTAAGAGCAAAGTGCTCCCAGATGCCATGTGGGTTATATGAAGTCATATGATCTTTTCCTTCTACTACTCAACAAAACAAACAAAAAACAAATAAAATGACCTTCTACATATTCAAACTCTTGTGCTTAGGAGAAATTTGGCTTTGTATTTGTTTTTAAAATTTGCTTTATTAGAATCTTTTTTCCAAGGCAGTGATTATTTCTAACATCTCTCTTTAGAGGTGTAGTACTTACAGTTAGACACCTTTTTAAGCTGAGGACCACATAAAATAATAGGGTGACATCTTTTTCAGGGACTAAATTGAGCCCTGACAACCTACAAAAGGGGACCCACTTCCCACAAATGAGTAAAGTATTTTACCCATGACAGATGCAGGCCCCCAGCTGCTCCACAAGCATATTTAGGCCAAGTCTACTGTTTCCATTCACTGCCCCTTTAATTAGAGGTTTCTTAATTGATTTTTAAATAAGAATTTGGTTATTATCTGTGTGGGAAAAATGATGCACTTTATTGTTCAACTACTAAGATACATAGTAGTAATGCTGCTTTTGGTTACAATTTTTTTTAACATGAGAATGGAATAAACTTCAGAGAATATTTGGTAAAGGAGAACTTAAAGCTAAGAAGTTGCAATTTTTCACCCAGTTTCAAATTTGTTCTCTTAACTTTTAACAGATTGTTTTCCATACGCCTCAGTTTCCTCATTGTGAAATGGGAGTTGTAACAAATCTGTCTGTGAGGATGGTGACCATTTGGTAGACCCTTACCTTTCAAAAGGAATATTTCCTGAGACATATTCCTCAAAAAGGAATGTTTAGGATCCTGGTTTTCTCCTGGATCACATCTCTGAGGAGAATCACATTTCCTGTGTGTTTCCTTCAGCTAGAGCTATAATACCTTGAACTAAAATCTCCTCTTTTGCACCTAATGGCTATTTTCATCAAAGAAAGACTTTTTCTCTCTTAAGGATGGACTGCAAAATAAAACCAGTTGAGGTCTTGATGCTGTGCACTAGGCTAAGGCTCACCTGTGAGTAAGTGTCTCACCAAGTCTGACTGACGTGTATTTTTTAATTCACACACCAGCCCTGCCCACCAATATCTGGTGCACAGCAGAGGGCATGTGGGTATTTAATAAACACAGGTTGATGCATGGATTGCTGGCCTCTGGACCCACAGGAAGGTGTGGGTATCATTTTCTTCTCACTTTTCATGCATACAAAAATGACCCAGAGGTTCTTAAACTAGGTTTCTGTGATGATCTCATGAAGGATGATGCTATAGAACATTACGGGAATCAGAAGACCCTCCATGTCAACTGTCTTTGTAGGTCTACAGTTTTTCATCTGTAAAATGAGTGCACTGAATTTGATGTTCTCTATTTCTTTCAGATCCACAATTCATTGATTCTTTGATTCTCCACTGTGCTCACTGCCAAGTGAGTTATTTTCTTGTCTAAGTTCTTCAACAGCATAACCACCATGCACTTTTTGAAGCTTGATCTATAAACAAAAAATAGTAAATCCCCAAGAATCAATCTTGGCACATCTTATGTAAGATTAATAATTAGGAGGGAAAATAAGAAGGAAACTTTTGAGGAAATGCCATAGGCTTTCCAAGATGCCCTATCATTGATTAAAACAACAACAACAACAAACTGAAATAGCTCATTGATGTCCAGGCTTGGTAAGATCCAAGCTTGAAGAATCTATGTGACTTAAAAAAAAAACATGTAATTCTATAATTCTGATAATTAAAATATTTTAAAAGTGGAGTATACATCTCATCTAATCATATTCCTTAAAAGCTGACTACAGAAATGTTGCCACTGGGATGAAATTCATGGCATTTCAAATGTTATAACTTTTATATAAAGTCCTAAACGATACCATAGTTCTATTATGCAGCATTTAAATAGATGTTATGTGCCACTCCATTCAGCAATGAGTAACATGCAGCAATGTGGCACACTGAGGTTAGAATTGCAGAGTACAAGAGATTAGGGGTTCATAAACATTCCAGTTCGGGGTTGGGGCAAAATTCTAGTCAGCTGGTTAATGTGCATTTTGTGTACAACTTTTATGTATTTATCTATTTCATAGCATTTGTGAATCCCAAACTTCCACATTTAAAAGAAACAAAATCATAAATTGCTGCTTTGCTATAGCTCCTGAAAGAATGTAGTGAATTTTTGAGCAAATTTTTACCTACTTCTACACACCGTATTTTCACACATAATGAAAGTAACTCACAATGCTGGACTTCTATCTGAACATCAAAATGGCATATATTGGCATAATGTCTACCTCTGCTGCCCAACTACAACAGAGCTAGATCCTAACTTAATTTTAGAGCAATAACAGGTAGACTGCCCTAGGGAGGCCTTTCAAGGAGAAGTGCAACAGAAGGAGTAGCCAGCAACTCTTAAAAGCCTCAATCTCTCTCTCCCTGTCTCGTTCTCCACTTCTACCCCAGCCAACATCCCTATAAAACCTCCAAAGGCAGCAGTTGGTTAGAGATAAAAGAGTCTGTTGTTGTTTTGTGGGGAGAATGAAACAGAAACCTTCGATTCTTACTATCTCATTTCATTCAATCTTCTGTTAATTCATCATTATTTTCAATGTTTGGGAACTTTCAAAGAACATTTTATTTTATTTTACTTTATTCATTTATTTTTTGAAATGAAGTCTTGCTCTGTCACCCAGGCTGGAGTGCAGTGGCACAGTCTTGGCTCACTGCAACCTCTGCCTCGCGAGTTCAAGCAATTCTCCTGCCTCTGCCTCTCAAGTGGCTGGGGATTACAGGTGCCTGCCTCCATGCCCAGCTAATTTTTGTATTTTTAGTAGGGACAAGGTTTTGCCATGTTTGCCAGGCTGGTCTTGAACTCCTGACCTCAGGTGATCAGCCTACCTTGGCCTCCCAAAGTGCTGGGATTACATGTGTGAGCCACCGTGCCCATCCCAAAGAACCTTTTAAAGAAGGAACCCTTACTCATCAAATCGGCAGTGACTCACTCATACTTCCCTTCCTTTTAACCATCTAGGTGACATTTAAGGAACATCCTCATTTCCCACAGGCAAGCACCAAACCCAGTTTCTTATCTGCAGTTTATCAGTTATCTAGCCCTGTGTGTATCAATCAACTTTTCAAAATAAAAACTACTTTACACTTTACCTGCTGGAAGATATGTCTGTGGATATAGGTGCCACATTACTTTATTTCTGCTGTTTTTTTCTCCTCCTTCCTCTTCTTCCTTCTTTTCTTTTCTTTCTCTTTCTTTTCTTTCTCCTTCCTTCCTTCTCTCTCTCTCCCTTCCCCTTCCCCTTCCCCCTTCCCCCCTCTTCTCCTCCTCCTCCTCCTCCTTCTTCTTCTTCTTCTCTCTCTCTCTCTGCTAAGCATGTTATTTCTGGCATGGAGTTTTCTTTCTCTCCTTCCACCACCCCTATTTGTGCAGATTTTGAGTTTTCATTCTCAGTAGCCTCTTGAAGGAAATCATTCTTGCCCATTTCCCTTCCTCCCACACACCTGTTTGTGCATGTGGGAATGCCTGGTGTGGAAATCAGGAAGTGATATATTGCCAATAAAATGGCTTCTATCATTACTATAAATATTAACTTAAGCATAGTTAAACATACAGTTTTCAGTCACCTACTTTTTGTTGAAGAACTGAACAGCTTGAGTATATTTGAAACAGCAAATTTCTTTCTAATTTAGCAGAAAATAAGAAAAAATACAAGGCCATAACTTTGCAATGTTTATAGTTTTCCAAAACTGCCTTGCCTTTTGTTTAAATAACTATATAGTGATTCATGGCATCCTTATTATAAATAATCACATTTCGAGAATATTTCTTTTGAGAAGTTTCCAGATTGCTATTTGTTTCATATGGATGTGATTCAGTAACAAAAGAAAATATGTAGCTATAGTTTACCCTAATTCTGAGTAATGAAGTTTCTGTGCAGCACTCAGTATCACCGATGATATTCATTAACTCTTCTTCATTAAACATTTCTATATTTTATAATATCATCTGTATTGTTGAGAGCTTTTATTTTTAAAAACCTTGAAATGTTTCTCATTCATCCAACTTACTCTAATCAGCTGCCTCTAACAGGCACTGTTACCATTTTAAAAAATTCATTGTTGCATGTTCTCACTCACCTGTGGGAGCCCCCCCAAAATTTGAGCTAATGAAAGCAGAAAGTAGGATTGGGGGTATCAGAGGTTGGGAAGGGCAAGGGGGAGGGAAGGATGGGGACAGGTTGGTCTACAGATATAAAATTACAGCTAGATAGGAGAAATGAGTTCTGGTGTTCTGTAGCACTGTAGGGTGAATGTGGTTAATTATAACTTATTGTACATTCTCATAAAGCCAAAGCTGGGTGTGGTGGCTCAGGCCTGTAATCCCAGCACTTTGGGAGGCCAAGGCGGGTGGATCACCTGAGGTCAGGAGTTCGAGACCAGCCTGACCAATATGGTGAAACCCCATCTCTACCAAAAATACAAAAATTACCTGGGTGTGGTGGCGTGCACCTGTAATCCCAGCTACTTGGGAGGCAGAGGCAGGAGAATCACTTGAACCCAGAAGGCGGAGGTTGCAGTAAGCCCAGATCGCGTCATTGCACTCCAGCCTGAGTGATAAGAATGAAACTCCATCTCAAAAAAAAAAAAAAAAAAAAAAGCTAGAAGAGAGAATTCTAAATGTTTGCAACACAGAGAAATGATAAATGTTTGAGGTGATGGATATGCTAACTACCCTGATTTGATCAGTACTCATTGTATATATGTATGGAAATATTACTCTCTATCCCATAAATATGTACAATTATTATATGTCAACTAAAAATAAAAGGAAAAAAAAAAGATGGTTGAGAGGCACAGAGCGAGTCCTAATATTTTACCCTATGGTGTGAGCAGGATTTAGAACAAAGACCGTAATATGGGTGTGTTTGGACCTCTGCACTCTGCAGTTCTGGTTTTTACAGTTATGAGTGGGGACACAGAGGCACTTTGCATATGATGAAACTCAAATTACAGGTTCCTCTCTTGCCAGAGAATACACTAAACTTCGAGGGTGGTAGTGGTTGGGTGGGTACGTGGAAGGGGACTGGATTGCAAGGGGAAGCAACAGAGGTCTGCCAGGCATAGCTGCCTCCTGCTTCTTACACGTGAAACTTAGAATAGTTTACAAATAAACTTTGATCTTTGAAGATCTTTTCCACTTTCTTTAAGTCAGTAGTTCTTGACCAGGGGATGGGACAACATCAGATGAACCTGGGAAAATGTTCACACTGCAGTTAGATGCCTGGCCCAGTGTAGACTTGGTAAATCACATCTCTTGGCCAGTGCCTGTGGATTTTGGAAAACCTCCTCCAGAAATTCAGATTTGCACAATCGTTTGAAAACAACAGCCCTAAATTGGTAAGTTAATATTCCTTTTGTTATGCAGGGGCTCCAATGTACTCTCAAAAAACCAGAAACTGTTCCTGAGTTGGGACTTGAGGAGGGATATTTGACTTATGACCGTTTGCCACTTAGCTGTTTTTTAGAGTGTGGAGAACAGACATAAATTACAAAAAGCATACAAACCCCCAACTAAGAAACCCTGATGTGGAGGACACCTAAGGCCCCTGGTACTTTCCTGGAGGAAAATACATCGTTGCCAATTAGGGATTCTCTACCAGATGACATAGTGTCAGTATTGCCATTAGCTGGTGCAATAGGGAAGCTTAAATACTGATGTCAATGAAGCAGGAAAACCCAAATTAAAGCATTCTGCTCTCCTAGCAAAAAATTAGATAGGAAAGCAGATTACTGTGTATCAGTGTCTTAACAATTGTTGAGTCCTTGTACCGTGTTTTGCACCCAATACACATGCAACAACATAGTTTAGATTTTTGTTGAATAGATGTAGTCTTTCTTAGGTATACCTTTAATTTTCCTTCGGCATCTATTTTGATACTTAAAACCTAAAAATAGTGTATCTTGAAATTGCCTCTTTCTTGCTTATAAAAATCAGTTACTCTAAAGCTTTATTCAGTATTAATTATTCATTAAGATGACTTTAGTCTGTCTTAAGTGTCAAGGTGGGAGAGAAGTTATTTGATAGCTGAGAGAACACACCAATAAATCTAATCTAGTGACAAAAATACACATCTTCTTTGTTGTTCCTCCATCTATGTGCTTTGAACTCCCAGGATGTTCAAGGGTACATTGACAATCAGTTGTTTAACTCAAAAGAATGAACACCACTTAGGATGGAAATTCTAAACATTAAAATAATGACTGAAAAATACTTTGACCATTTTTTTTTTTTTTTTTTTTTTTGAGATGGAGTCTTGCTCTGTCACCCAGGCTGGAGTGCAGTGGGGCCATCTCGGCTCACTGAAACCTCCATCTCCTGAGTTTAAGCGATTCTCCTGCCTCAGCCTCCCAAGTAGCTGGGATTACAGGTCTGCATCACCATGCCCAGTTTGTTTGTTTTTGTTTTTTGAGACAGAGTTTCGCTCTTGTTGCTCAGGCTAGAGTGCAATGGCGTGATCTCAGCTCACTGCAACCTCCGCCTCCCGGGTTCAAGGGATTCTCCTGCCTGTCTCCCGAGTAGCTGGGATTACAGGCATGTGCCACCAAGCACGGCTAATTTTGTATTTTTAGTAGAGATGGGATTTCTTCATGTTGGTCAGGCTGGTCTCGAACTCCTGACCTCAGGTGATCTGCCCTCCTCAGCCTCCCAAAGAGCTGGGATTACAGGCGTGAGCCACTGAGCCCAGCTCTGACCATCTTGTAATGAGAGTTTTTACGTTCATGTCACCAAAAACTATCCATTTCATCCCATTTTTTAAACCTCTATTCCCAAATCTATATTCTTCCAGATTATAAAAAAAGATGGAGGTATAACAATTAAATACTTAAGCAAAGATTCCTTAGGTAGCTACTTTCCCCCAAATTATTTGAAACAAAGAACGTTGGGTATGGCCATTTCTTTTGTAACTGAGTAACTGGATGGCCACTATCCTCTCAAACACTTTTAAAAGCATTACTTAGACAGACAACTACAAGTGCTTAAAAAGTATTACTGGAGTATACTGAGTAAATATTAAATTACACAGATATAAAAATATTTTCATAGTCCAGATATGAATATATAATTAGAGCATTATTTAGGAATGTGAGAGAAAATTATGTGGAAGCTCTCAAATCTGTAACTACACATTAGCTATAGAGCAACAATTGAAAAGGAACTGCTTTTAGGCCACATCTCTTCAAGTCATTTCTCAATATACTTATAAGGCAAGTCTTGAATTCAGAACCCTGTTTTTTGATTCTTTTTTCATGACAAGGAGAAAAATCTAAAGTTGAGCTATAAATCTAACATTTTCTGCTCATACTGGGCTCACTATCAGTCCCTACATAAAGGTAAAAACAGTTTCCCCCTTGCTAATAAATCATGCACATAAATAATATAGTATTAGCATTCTAGTTTTCCTTAAAAGTAACCAGGTTACCACTAATAGCTTCATTAAGTTTGTTTTCGTCCCTTTTTTTTTTTTTTTTTTTTGCCGGTCTCAGTTTTTAATTGTGTCAGGGCCTCATGCACGCGGGCACACACACACACTCAGGCCAGATCTTGTTGAAAGCTGCGATGTCGACACTCTGCATACACTCTTCAAACTTGGTGATCTCCTCCTCCAGCAAGTCTGTCCCCACCTTGTCCTCCACCACACGCTGAATCTGCAGCTTCCAGATACCGTAGCCCACGGGCACCAGCTTGGAGGCCCCCCGCACCAGCCCGTCCGGCTGGATGAAGCGCACACAGGCCTCCAGGTGGGCCGTGTCCGTCTCATCGTCCCAAGGCTTGAAGTCCAGCAGGATGGAGGACTTGGCCACCAGCGCGGGCTTCTTGGCCTTCTTCTCCGCGTACTGCTGCAGCCGCTCCTCATTGGTAATGCCGCAGCTGTGTTGCCTCATTGTCGCTGCCAAACAGGTCAATGTCATCGTCCTCGTCATCCTCTGCTGGTGTGGCTAGCTTCTTGGCCGGGGGCTCCACTTGGCGCATGGGAGACATGTGCTGGGTCTGCGGGGCTGTGGCCCAGTGGCCGGGCAAGCTCTTCTCCAGCACGTTCAGCCAGGTCTCTCTGGTTGTCCACTTCCAGACTGGCGATCCGGACGACGAGCTCGCTGTGGTCTCCGCTGGGGCCGCTAGACGCCCCTGGGCCTAAGCTTCCGGCCAGGGATTTCGGGATGTTCTCTCTGGCTCTGGCAATATCATGGAGGATCATGCTGGCCTCCTGGAGGGAGGCGCCGGCCACAGGCCCGTTCATCTGTTCGTAGAATCTCCTTTCTGCATCGCCATATTTGAACTTGTGGAACCAGATCTTCTCACCTACTAGAAAGTTTGTAGCCATTTTTCTGACGCCAGCCAAGGACGCGGCAACCAGGGAGCAGGAATCGGGGGACGCAGGACGCCTAAGGAAAGGGTGTGTTTCCGTCCTTTTTTAGAAAACGAAGCAAAACAAAACCAAAAACTCCATCCTCAGTAAACTTGTCCAATAAATAAATAAATTTTATTTATTGTATTTATTTATTGTAAATAAATAAAAAGTAAACAGGCTATCTCAGTTTTTGTTAATCAGTATTTTTAAACAGGAAAGGCCATATATATCAAATTTTAAATAAAAATGTGTTGACACTCAAAGGTTTTAAAATTTAATCTCATTATTTAAGTAAATTACTTTCAAGTGGTGAGCTCATGTACAACATTATATATAAGCTTTTTTTTTTTTTTTTAAATCAGAAGTTCATTCCAAGATTTTGTTAAAGAAAAGTTGAAGGGCTAAATTTCCAAAAGCAAGGTTTTAAACAAACAAAATTAGGTGGAGACATTCAACACAGTAAAGCTACCAGTAAGTTTATTAAACACAGACATTGATGTTTCTAATATTGTACAATTTTCAGAGGCCTCACATGACAAAGCCCTTAAGTTTAATGATTCACTTTGAGAAAATACATCTATATTGACTACAAAGAAGGGTTTCTATGTCATCCTTTTTAATGAGAAAGTTAAAATTAATGGGTGTTTAGCAGTGTCTCAGTATATAGAATTTACATTAGCAGAGGGTCTGATTAGCAACTTTAGATAACTTTCCAACCAAGAAGAGTTGCAAAAGGGTTCCAATTGCATCTACCACTCACACATTCAAAGAAAAAGTACTAATTATGAAAAAAAAAACCTTTAATGCCATCAAGGAATAAGAATAGTACAGTCAACCTCATTTGTGTATCATTTTGTAGTTATGCATTATCTCATTTGGGTTTAAGACAGCTGGTGAAACTGGTGTTTGCATTCCCATTTCACAGATGAAGAAACAGGTTCTGAGAGAGCCAGTGGCTTGTCCCAGATTACATGTTTAGTAAGATGGGGGATCAGAACATGAAACCAATTGTGAAGCAGATACTGACTTTGTGAAATCCCTGGGCTGAAGTCCTCTCATGAGAGGAAGTGTTCAAACTCTTGTCTCTGAGGCTCCCTTGACTCTGGCCTTGAGCAAGGCCTGCCTGAGAAGCAGCTATTTAAGGAAGCTGCGTGACCAGATGGGCAGGGGTGTGGCCAGCTGAGTGGCTGTGACACACTTCTTGCACATCGTCTGTCTTCCACCTTGCCTGATGACTTCACCAGCTCTTAAGCACCTAACCCTGTGGTAAGTGTTGTGGGGAATACCACGGTGTAGGAAGACACTGTTCCTGTCCTCACAAACTGTAACCACTGAGCCCATTTGCAACCTAAGGCCACTGAATACAATCTCAGGAGGCACTCTCTTCATAGCACATGTTTATGGATGCCCTGACCATAAGTTCTGCATGTCTCCTGAAGGCCCCACTGAAACGTCATCAAACACACCTGTCTGCAGGCTTCCAGAATGACAGAATTCTAACAGAGAACATAACACTTAAGGAGACACGCCTAATCACAGAGTGCCTTCACTGTGCTGTGATGAGGAGGCTCTGAGGAGGGAACCCAGACCAGACCCCCATCTCTACAGTTCCTTGACAGAGGCTGTTTACCCGCAGGAAGGTCAGAAAGCATCTAGCCACCATTGTTCCTATGACTACCTTATGTTTCCAATAAAAACCTACATGCAGAAAGAAAACAAATACAGCAGTCTAACTTTAGAAATGCTCAAAATCCATTTAATTATAAAAATAAAATAATTTTAAGTAAGTTTTTTAGATTGTGGATTTGAGAAAAAAAAAACTTGTGTTTGGAATAGAACTTTGACTTAAAAACGAGAAGCAATGTTAGCCTACATGCTGGTGTTCCTGCTATGTGAGTCCTGGCCAGGGCTCTCTTTTCCTCTTGGTCGTGAACAGTCCTCATCACACTTGTCCTCTGACTAAGCAACAAGGAAGTACCTGGAGCTGCCTGTTTCCTCCAAGCAGATGGTTCCTTGCTTTTCACAACAGATAATTGTAAAATCAGCATGATAGTATAAGAACTAGCTGATTAAACATCCCAACTTGTTGGTTTAAGAGTGCTGAATGAACAACCCATCACACATGGTGCCTGAGCCCCCCTTTTTTCCAGGTGCAGGGTGAGATGTTCATTTTAATCTGATATGCCTGTGGGCATGATGTGTGTCAGGACCACTTCTCTCTCTCCCTTTTGCTTCCTTAAACCAAGCTAGGCCCACTGCTATGAACTCAGCTGCTGGAGTTCTTTCAGAAGGAACTAGAAAACAGGCTGCCTGTTTGCTACAGAGGCCTAGACTCTTAAGGCCTGGTCTCTTAGGACCCTCAGCCAAATAACTCACACTAACATTCTATTGTTGAGGCTTTTTTAACAGAAAACAAAATGTTAGTTTAATGTTTTTATATAAATATGACTTTAAAATATATTGGTTTCTTCTTTTAAGATTCGTTGCTGTGACCACGAGGGTCATTCATTCCTTTACTCTGGAGATATTTATTGAGGTGTGCAATACGCAAGGTACTCTGCTGGGAAAATTCTTTCCCATCAGCCTAAACCAGAAACTGTCTGGTTTTCTGCTTTCTTTCCAAGGCCTAGAATGGTTCCCGGCATATAGTAGAATCCTAATAATGAATGAATGACACACTAAGATAAGCCATACCTGCATTTTCCCCCAGCTAGGAGTTCAGATTGTTATAAAAATCAGTATAAAGACCTTTCCCTTTGGCAATCTCTATCTACCAACTAATTCTTTCTTGGAGCCAGAATCAGATAGGCTCCACAGAGTTGACACAGCTTCATAGCAAATCAGTTAATTAACCACTAGATGTTGATGGGATACCTACTTTGCGCAATTTCCCCCCTCCTAGACAAATGAGCCACGCAAGGAAGCAACTGAGATAGTCTCTGCTTTTCAGAGAGTTTTCATACAAACATAAAGTTACTATAATGCATCCCTGAGGTCAAGGAGGTGGCATCAAGGAAAACTAAAGGAGGTCAGAGGAAGAAGATAGAAGCCTAGGATTTGGCCTTTAACCAGCGGAAGAATGGAAGAAAAGGCATAACAGAAATGCAGGGTGTGTGTGTGGTATGTGTGTCTGTATGTTGGGAGGTGAGGGAGAATGCCACAGACAGAGTCTGGGAGAAGCCAGAGCACACAAGGTATACCAGGAGTTAATTCCATTCAGTGTGATTTGAGTCAATTGAATAAATATTTATTGAATGCACACTGTGTGCCTGGCATTGTGATAGGTACTAGGTATACAATGGTTAACAAGACTGATATCATTCCTGGGTCACTGGCAAGTGGGAGATACGGAGAAGTAAACAGACAATGACAATATAGTGTGATAAGTGCTATGATAGGGAAAAGTCCAGGTGTTATGAGAAGGATGCAGAAAGGACCCAACCCAAACACTGGCATCAAGAAAACTTCCTGGAAGAGGGGATGTCAAGTTGACCCCCAAAGCCAAGGTAGAAACTGGTTGGGTGAAACTGTGCAGGTAGAGTATACAGTACTTACACTAGAATTGCAAATGTGAAGGACCATGAGGATCTGAAAGTGGCTGAATTTGTTGAAACACAAGGGGAAGGAGGGCTGGAAAAGAGGCTGGGGATGGAAGCAGTGGCCAGAATTTGCATCTCTTGTACTTCATATTAAAGAGTTTGGACTTCATCCTAACAGCAGTGGTAACCTTGAGGAATTTTACGCAAGAGAATGAAACAAGTGGATGTGCATTTTAGGTAACTATCTGCAGTGTGAGATGGCCCTAAAGGAGCAATGGGTAAAAAAAAAAAAAGGGTAATATGCAGTTAGATCCTTGAAGTTTTATCCTTAACACAATGTAAGAACAAAATGATTATTTTGTGAATGAAGTGATCAGTGAATCAATCAATAATTTGGTGCAGGATTGAAAATACAAGACTTCAGGCAGAGGATAAAGTTGTCTGTATGTATATAAGGGTCAGAGTGAAAGCTGATTGGAACACTGACATGTCTTCAAGTCTTGAATCTCATCAGACAAATGATAACAGTTGACAATGGAGTAAAGTGGAACAGAGTAGAAACAGCTTCAGTGTTGGAGTCAAAAGACCAAGGTCTGAATCTTAGTTTTGATGTTTATTAATTTTGAGATGTGCCTTAATTTCTCTGACCATTGGGTTCCACATCTATTATGCCTATTCTTTACGTGCCACTGCGTAGCTAGAATGGGAATGGTTATCACAATCTGTGTGCATTTCTGTTTTCAGGTGGTACGCAGGCACTGTGGGAAAACTGATGGCCCAGTGGAGTTTCTAAATCATCCACTGTAAAAATCAGTCAGTTAGTGAAACCTGCCTGACTGAGGGTGGAGTCGTGGTTTACATAGCGGGGATTTAGAAATCAAGTAGCCAGTAAGTATTGCACGAAGTTTGGGCAGGTGACTCTGTAACTTGTCCACTGGAGACCCTAGTGGAGAGGTTGGGAGAGGGGTGGGAAACGCCCCTCTTCTGCTGCTGCCCCTAAGGAGAGTACTGGGCACAGAAAGAGCAGAAACAGGTGGTATAGTTGAGGGGTCACAGGGGTCAGTGAGGTAGCTTGGAGAACATACACAGGTAGTTAAGGACATAGTCTAGACTGGAACTCACCTCCCTGAAGTTGAGTGCTCTTTTCACAACTCCACCTTGTCAAATTAATTATGTCAACTCAAGATCTTAGAAAGGACAACTTATGTAAGATTCAAGCCAAGAGGCCTTCTCATAAGTTTGTGGCTGTAGCTACCAGCCAGGGCCAGATGACCTTATAGAACGAGAGGGCAAAGCAGGAATGCTGGCTGCAGGAGTGAGGCATTCCCCTGGATCCAGTTGTTTGGAAAGAAGAAGGCCATGAAGTATGGGGGTGGGGCTATGTCGGTGGTGGCAGAGAAGTGCAGGATGAATTATAAGGTACCTGAATCCAGACATAATTAACCAAAGAATAATGTTAAGAGAAGAAAAAGCAAAAGGTGAAGAACTGCTCTGCAAGAAGGTTCTGGAAGAAGGGCTAGTGAACCAATTCATCAGAAAGTACATCATACCATGTAGTTTTAGGAAACACAGCAGGCCTGAGCTCCTTGGTACCCTTAGGAGATCCAAGCGAACAGGCAGAAAGTGACTGTGCTCTGTGAAATACTTCAGGCACCCAAATGCTCCTCTTTCCAGCACTTTTCATACCATCCCCCTCTCCTTCCCCCTAACACACTCACACACTGACACCTTCTGGCCCACTCCAGGCTGAGTTTTGCTTCTTTTCTGCAGAAGAGTGTGACACTAGGGCAATATCACTGAACTGAAGAAATTTATTAAAATAGCTTCCTTAAGAAATGTAATTTTGAGTCCCACATCTCTAAATCATCTTTATCTTCTCGCTTTCCAAAAGCAGTATAAAGAGTCAGCTGTTTTGGGTAGTCCATATAATTTTTATGAAGTAAAACTCGACTAAATTATTTTTTGGCTTCCTACATTCATAGAGTTAGCCCTAAGTGTTGGGTTAACTCTATGAATACAGAAAACCAAAAAATAATTTAGTCTCATCTGTCCCCCATAAAGAAGGCTCCAATAAATCGATCAGCCATAACAAAAAGGCCACTTTCAGTTTTTCCTGGAAATCCCAAAGCAAATAGTATTGAAACCAAATTGGCTATATAATTCATATAATTTATACTCTCCAGTGATCACTTAGCTCAATTAAGGTTCGCAGTCACAGGTATCTCTGACAATCTACGTATCTATAATATGCACACATAAACATCTGGGGCAGACATCAGAGTCCCTTTATCAAGACTGAAATCCATGTCTCCTGTGCTCTAATATATTTCACCATCCACACTGTTCAGTTGAGCTTTTTACTACAAATGGTTTTAGGCTCTGATGCAAGACAGGAATTTGAAGCATGCATTGGAGTGTTTAATGGTGTTAATTTTTGGTGCACACAAACATCAACTTCACTCAACAATCCAATAATATTGCAAAAAAAAAAAATGCCAGAGAATGAAATACATCAATGGAATTCTTCAGGATTGCAAGCAAAGTAGTTCCACATTCCTGCTGATGCCAACAAATAATAAAATAGCTGCCTATTTACAGGTCCTTAAAGATGTTACAATCAATAAAGAAAATAAAACGAAGAAGATAGTGTGCTTTCAGATCAAACAATTATTCTTTTATATTCAGACATGTTTATTTACTTAAAGTCTTCGAATGTAACCCAAGTTAATTTTAAATGAACATCTGATTGTAACAAGGGAAATATAATCTGTGTGTGTGTGTGTGTGTTTGGTTTTGTTTCAATTGGATGGTATAAATGTAAACAATTCCTACCTGGAAATATGGATGGTCTCTTCTTCGGGTGCCTCAGGTGAATGGGATCCAAGTTCTTAATGTTTCTTTGAAGTCTTCCTCTAATGTCATTTCCTATGAGTAGTTCAGGTGGCAGGCTACTCCTTCTTGATGATTTATAATCATTTTGAGATGAATTTAGTTTGTTCTTCGTTCTGGAATATAAATTGCTGTCATCAACTGCCATTGTGGGGGATACATTAGCGACTCTGAACAAAAATCCAGAAAGCCAAACCCAGCGGCAGCCACCGTCACAGCCACCGTTGCAGCCACCGCCGCCGCCCCAGACTCTGATGTTCTCATGCTTTACCCTGCACTTGTTTGGGAAGCTTAACAAGTTGATAGGCGTGGACTTTAACAGGTGTAGAATTACTAAGTAGCCCCTCCTTTCTACAGTTAATAGCACAGGGGAGGAGAGATAAAAAAAAAAAACCATCAGTTGGCAGAAGACTGGGGAATTTGAACAGATGTGACTCAGAGTGGATGGTAACAAAAGTGGTGTAATGGTTGCTGCATGAAATTTCAGCTTCATGGGTGCAACACCATAAAGCAAACACAGTTCACTATTCAAGAATAGATGCCTACGTAAATTACAAGTCTAATTTTTTGTATAATTTCCCAAACTCTTACGGATTTTAAACAGTTTTGGGGAAGCATTTTTACATTCCCTCATACCTTTAAGTTTCAAGCTATACACATAACACAGAACGAACATCCTTCTTTAGTCAGTGTCTTATTTGGCTGGCCGCCAACTGGAAGTTGGCTGGAAGAGGGAGATGAGAGATGACTGGTGATGACCAGGAAGGAACTGGTTGTGGGCGTGTGTCAGGCAGCAGTGCTGGGAACCCGCTGTTGCTTGCCACCCACCCCTTCCATCCTGTGCTCCAGCTGGCAGATAGCTTCTCCAGAAGTTCCTACTGCCTGGCAGTGGAGTCAGAGGTCTAGAAAACAAGCCTTAGCCATAGAAGTAATGACAGGCCTCCACTCACAAATAAAAAGTCAACGTTATTATCCTTGCGGGGATTCTGCCTAGCTTTAAACTAAAATGGTCAATGGGTTTGGTGGTCTAAGAAAAACCAGCATTTCTTCACTCAAGATTCCTGCTTGTCCTATCATCCAGCTTCTTTCTCTCTCTCTCTCTCTCCTGGATTTTGCATTTTTATGTCCTTTGCTCCCTTCCCTCTTGCTCTATGTATGTGGAAATGTTCTGCACTTTCTTCCTTAACTGACTGTGCAGAAATCATCACTCTATAATTCATCTTCCCCAGCCATGCTGTGCTCCAGCTGGCAGATAGCTTCTATGGCCATGCTATGCCCATGTCCATCAGCAATCTCTCTCTGTCACATACACACAACACCCCTTTTGTGTTCTGTCTGGTTGCAATGTGAGATGAGATTTGCCTTTTCCCTTCCCAGTGCCTGGAATCAATAGATACATAACATTATAAGGGATTTAGGGGTCATTTCAGAAATCACTGTTTATTTTGGTTTCCTAGATGCTAAATACGTTTTAATATTTGTTGATATTTAGGAGCTGGTTCTGTTTACCAACTTGAGAATATACTTCCACACTAATACAAGTTTTGTTCTCTTTATGCCCTTTCAGCAACAGGTCTCCAAACCACAACAGATTTTCTGGAGAGAAAAGCATTTTTCCTTACAAGTATGCCCAATTGAGAGTTACCATTATAATCTAGCAATCATAACTATAATTATAATCCAGCAATCATATTTATGTATTAGATTATTAAGTTATTTCACCAGTTCTGAGAATCATCTGCACCACTTCCCTCCCAGGACCTAGAATAACTTTGTCAAGCTGAAATGTACCATGAACTTCAAAACAATGAGTGACTTGTATGAAACCATTTCTAAAAGCCCATGAGACTGCCTGAATCTCCCTCACCCTAATGATAATACATTTTTTCTAGTAAGGAAATATAAAGTAAAAGCATTTTTTAAAGTTTGAGATAATGATATAATAGGAGGAAAAAACATACATTCCTACAACCCAAACTTCAAGAACAGTGTTTAATTTTCAAATATAAAGCAAGATAGAATCCTAGGCACAAAAGATTGGGTGCTAACTGGGAGAAATTCATCAATCAGGAAAGCAGAAGCTCAAACTATTTGGTGAGTGTGTCTTTCTCAATCACACTGTTACCATGGGGCCAACATAAGAGCATGTATGAGATTAAATAGAAGTCTCTAAGGAAAGGTGTTATTATCACACAGAGTGTACACCAGGTATGTCTGCATAGTGTGCCTTTGTCTTTAAGAGTCCCGCTGAAAACACAGAATGAAGTACATATGCACCTGGAATGCATTATAATAATAGCCATCATTTACTGCGTGCTTAAAACTGGCCAGATTCTGTGCTAAGCCTTTGGCATGCATTACCTCATTGATTCCTCCTAATCACCCTGTTTATAGATGAAGATGCTGAGACAGAGTAAAACACATAGGAATTAGAGGAGAGAAGATTTGAACACGGGTTTTATCTGACTCCAAAGTTCAAGTTCATGCCTTAAACTATACCACCATAACAATTGTTAAATGTGTGTAATATCTAAAAGGAATTAAAAGTCTTTCTCTACTTTCCTAAAAACAATTATTGGTTTCAAGCAGATTCTCACTGCATCAACTCTGTGAAGGAGTGATCTGGCTCACTTAACTAGGTTTGCCCTATGTAACAGTTGTCAGGAGGTCTTTGAGGTTCACAGAATGAAAGAGAAAAAGCAAGAAAATTCAAATTTTTGCCAGAGTATATTAGAAAGTAATTGCATTCCTACTAGTATCCATGTTGACGCATTTCACACTAAAATGCATTTTAGATAAAAACATTATGTATTCCTGACATTTAAATTATGATTAGGAAAAAAAATCCTCTACCCTATTTCAGAAGTACATCAAGTCCTCTAAACCTCTAAAAAGTAAATGACCTAAGAGAGGCAAGAGAAGTTCCCGATGTGTCCAACTTCATCTCTCTCCTGCCCAACTCATTTTCCCCTCATAGAGAATAGAAACAGATGGGGATCTAGCTCATTTAATACACTTCTTTAATGGAGAAAAGTGAGAACAACTTCAATTTTCTATTGTTCAAGTATTAGAGCAATGTAAACAAGGAACAATTTTTATTTATTCAAAAGTAGTATTAAATCTGTGAACATGAAAAAGTAAAGTAAATCATTCTTTCAAAATAGTTAAATTGGCTGCCACATGAATGACAATCAACCACAGAACATTTAGCTTGGTTTGTCTACATGAGAATATTTATAGATTACAATGTTAAGTCCATCTCTCCTTCTGTATAGCAACAGCCAAAGTGGAATTTTTTTTTCAGGTGGTCAGAAGAACGATGAGACAGGCTTTGGGCTAAGAGGAATTTCAAAACTGATAGTATAAATAAATAATTTTAAATACATAAATGGACATTTTCTGTTTTAATGACCATTATTATCATTATCATCATTTTTGAGACAAGGTCTCTATCTGTCACCCAGACAGGAGTGCAGTGGCAGCAATCATGGCTCACTGCAGCCTCCACCTCCCAGGCTCGAGCAAACCCCCCACCTCAGCCACCTGAGTAGCTGGGACTACAGGTGTGCACCACCATGCCCAGCTACTTTTTGTATTTTTTTGTAGAGATGGAGTTTCACCATGTTGTCCAGGCTGGCCTTGAACTCCTGGCCTCAAGTGATCCTCCTGCCTCAACCTCTCAAAGTGCTGGTATTACAGGCATGAGCCACCATGCCTGGCTGACCATTATGTTTTTAAAGATCTCTATTCTCCTATGAATCCAATATACTAATCTCTTTTGAATTATTTTATTATCCTTCAAGATGCTGTGTATTTTATATTAAATGGTGTTATAATATCATGGAAATTTTATTCTTCTTGGTTAGACTTTAATCTTCTTTCCCTCAGATTGTTCAAACAGTCTGTAGAAAGACATTTACTCACTTTGTAGCCATGCTTTCCTTGTGGATTTTGGTAGCTTTTTTTCTGTAGAGATGGGGGTTGCCTAGGCTGGTCTTGAACTCCTGACCTCAAGTGATCTTCCTGCCTTGGCCTCCTAAAAGGCTGATATTACAGGCATGAGCCACTGTGTCCAGCCCTATTGGCAGCTTTTAAATAGAACTGAATTATTTTGCTTGTTGTGAGATAGCTGCAATTATATTGAGAACAATACAATTTTACAACCGTCACCATTTTTCTCATTGTCACCTTCATAGAAATGGTCCGCCAAGAAGATTTTAGGCCGGTATGGATTTACCAAATTAATTCCAAATCTCAATCTGACCCAGCTATACTGCATATCCTGCAAACATTTCTTATTTTTGAACTCTATTCAGTTTTCAACTGAGATGACCTACTAATCAGTGGGTTTGCCACTAGGAAAAAATAACAGTATAGAATATCAGGATGATGGATATCACCAAGTCAAACAGGTCAACTGACTTCTCCCTCCAAAAGGTCTTGTTGCCAACACATCTTTGCTCAATATGGGTAACAATGTTTGCAGTATTACCTGTGGTATGATTATGGCTGAGGAAATCTTTTCTTAGATCCTAAAAATACAATGTGGATGTTCAGTATCTCATTGGCTCTCAATAGGAATGAACACTAATGATAAGTCTTCCCGTTACAATTCTCTGCTCCCTTGGCTTCCATGACACTATTATTTCTCATTTGTCTTCCTATGTCTCAGGTCCCTTCTGCTCAGATTCTTCAGGGGCTCCTTAAAAAGTCTGTTTTCCTCCCTCCCTCTCTTTGGCAGGCCCATTTATTGAATACCTGTTATGTGTCTGGCACCATGCTATGTTCAAGATCTCTATTCTTCAGAATCTTTTCATCTAAAAAAGGAGCAGAACAACAATAAACAAATTATTGCAATACAGAATGACTGCTCTGTGCAGAGGTGACACGAAAAAGTGTTTCAGTCTTCTCTTCCTGATGGAGAGAGGGGATGGGAAAGGGTTCTCAGAGGAGAAGTAATAAGTTCACAAGGCAGATGAGTGGACCCTGGGCAAAGGCACTAAGGTGTGACATTAGCACCGAATGTCCACAGAATGGCAAATAGAGCAATCCTGTGCCAACACAGGACCTTACCTCATGCAGAAGTATGGATGCTGGAAAAACAAGATTGGACAATCTGAGAAAATAGAGAGCTGAAGGAAAAACAATCAGTGGTGTTATAATATATATTTTAACACCATCATATATCAGACATCTTCCAGATAATAATACAGACTTTGAAAAAGTCTGCATTAAAAATTTGGCTGTAACCTTTTAAAACAAGTTGGTAATTCCTAACAAAATTTAAAATTTTCTAGCTCCAGTAAGTAATCCTTCTCCTAAACCATCTTTATTTATTCCAGAAACTGTGATAGAGGGATTTGCTGAAGCAGACTCTTAACACAGTTTTTAAAGTCACGCAGACTTTATCTTTTTTAAAAAGCTTCAGAACCAGTTTTTACTGGCTTGAAATCTAACTTCATTTACACTTGCATTCTTCCTTGCTCAAATGTGCAAGTCCCAGCAAAATGCCAGTAAATGCCTGGCCTTTTCTCAAATTAAGGTAAGGTGTAAGGGCGCATTTTTTTTTTCTAGGCTTGTGTGGCTCTCTTTGGTGAGAGGGTACAAAATAAAGAAATCTCCCTCTCTACACTACCCCTGACACACCCACATGGTCTATGAGAGGAAGTACTGTTAGTTTATGTCTTATTCTTCTGTTTAAGGGATTGAACTAAAATTTGCATTCATAAAAGAACTGAAAAATTTTATTTTTTGTGTGTCCAAATACTAGGACAGTGTTTAACTTCAGAAATGCGGTTGCCAGAACCAGGCTGTCACGTGCCCACTGTAACTGAGCCGGCTGCTGCATCAGTGGCTCCACCATCTTTAGGCATTCTCACCTACGGTTTCAACTTGCATCTGTGAGCTGATGATGTCTAAGTCCAAGCTCCCCCCCTACTTCTCCATAGTGTCCTAGATATCTATATTTAATTGCATACTATTTCCTGGTGGAAACTCAGCATGTATAAAACTGGTTCCTCCAAATGTGCAGCTCCTGAATTTCTGTATTTTTTATTTTACCAAAATGGCACCACATTTACCCAGTGACCCCAGCCAGAAACCTTGGAATTATTCTGTCCAAATCATGTCATTTTTACCCCTTAAACATCTTTTGATCTGTGTCTTCTTCCTCACCCCTGCTGACACTGACCAGTGGCAGTATTCATTATCTCATTCTTGAGTTATTGCTTCAGACTCCCAACAGGTCTGGCTACTTGGAGGCTTAGTTCCTTAAGCATTCTACCTTTGACATGGCACTTGGCCCTTTATGTCTTAACTAACTACCTCTGGTTAGCCCATTTCCCTCTCTAAAGACACTCAACAGAGTAAGAACAAGGAAACTTCCTCAACCTAATAAAAGACATTTACAAAAAGCCTGCAGATGATATAATACTTGATGAAAGACTGAATGCTTGCTTTCCTTTTAAGATCAGGAACAAGGCAAGACATCTACTCTTGCTACTTCTATTAACATTGTACTGAAGGCTCTATATGGTGTTATCAGTCAAGAAAAAGAATAAAGAGCATCCAATTGGATACAAAACTGTATTTGCAGATAAAATAATCATCTATGTAGAAAATTGATGGAACCTATAGAAAAGTTATAAGAACTAATAAGTGAGCTCAGCAAGGCTGCAGGATATAAGATAAATGCACAAAAATCAATTGTGTTTCTATACTAGCAATGAGAAACAAAATTAAAATGTTTTAATGCCATAAAAATATTAAATATTTAGGAATAAATCTGACAACAGATGTGACAGATATGTCTATTGAAAACTAAAATAATATTACTAAAAGGAATTACAGAAAATTTAAGTAAATGGAGAGATATATTATGTTCATGGGTCAGAAGACTCAGTATTGTTAAGCTATAACAAAACTGATCTGTGGATTCAATGTAATACCAGTCAAAATCTTAGCAAAAATTTTTTTTGGTAGAAAGTTACAAACTGATACAAAAATTCAAATGGAAATGCAAGGGATCAAGAATAGCCAAAATGACACTGAAAAAGAAAAAAGTTGGAGAATTAATACTACTGATTTCTGTGGGCGTGGTGGCTCACGCCTGTAATCCCAGCACTTTGGAAGGCCAAGGCAGGCAGATCACCTGAGGTCAGGAGTTCAAGACCAGCCTTGCCAACATGGCGAAACCTCGTTTCTACTAAAAATACAAAAATTAGCTGGGCAAAGTGGCCCATGCCTGTAATCCCAGCTACTCGGGAGGCTGAGGAAGGAAGAATTGCTTGAACCCAGGAGGTGGAGGTTACAGCGACCCGAGATCATGCACTCCAGCCTGGACAACAGAAGGAGACTCCATCTTAAAAAAACAAAAACAACAACAAAAAACCTACTGATTTCAAGACTTGACATAAAGCTACACTAAAGACAGTGTGGTACTGGCATAAGGATAGACAAAAAGGTCAGTGGAATAGAACAGCAAGTCCAGAAATGGACCCATAAATAAACAGACAACTTATTTTTGACAAAAGTGCAAAGGCAATTAAGTAGAGAAAAAATAGTCTTTTTGATAAGTTGTGATAGAATACTTGGACATCCACATGCAAAAAAAAAATTAACTTTGATCTATACCTCATACCACATGCAAACACTAACTCAAGATGGACCACTGGCCTAAATGTAAACTCTAAAACTATACATTTTCTAGAAGAAAATGTAAGAGAAAACCTCTGATTCATGGAAGGCAATTAATAAACTGGACTTTATCAAAATTAAAATCTTCTGCTTTTTGAAAGACACTGTGAAGAGAATCTAAAGATAAGACACAGACTGGGAGAAAATATTTGCAAGGCATTTATTTAGTAAAGAGCTTATATCCAGAATATGTGAGGAAATCTCCATGCTCAACAGTAAGAACAAACAATGCAACTAAAAGATGGGCAAAATACATGAGCAGATACTTCATAAAAATGAAGAAGGCAAATAAGTACATGAAAATGTGTTTGGCATCATTAGTCATTAAAGAAATGCAGATTAAAACCATGATGACATACCACACCTACCTATTAGGATGGCTAAAATTAAAAAAGACTGACCAAACCAAATGTGGAGCAACTGGAATTCACATATGCAATGGTAAAATCATTTCAGAAAAAAGTTTAGAAATTTCTGAAAAATCTAAACATACACCTACCATATAATCCATCCATTCTACTCTTAGTACCTACTCAAGAGAAATGAAGGCAAAGACGTGTATATTATGTTCATAACAGTTTTACTTTTATAATAGCCAAATACTGGAAACAGAATGTCCATCAACAATTGAAGGAATAAACTGGTATATCTATACAATAGAATACTATTTAGCAATAAAAGGAAAGCTACAGCATGGATGAGTCTCAAAATAATTAGGCTGAGTGAAAGAAAGCAGACCAAAAAGCTGCATACTGTATGATTCCACCGATACGAAATTCTAAAAAATGTAAGCTAATCTTCAATGACAGAAAACAGATCAGTGGTTGCCTGGCGATAGTGGTGGAGGGACGGGAGTGGGGGATTACCAAGACACTGGATGAAATGTTGAAGGGGTGGTGTTGGATTCATGTCTCAAAAAACAAAAAACAAAAACAAAACAACTTATCAAATTGTATAAATATGTGCAGTTTATTATATGTCAATTATATGTAAATAAAACTTTTTTTAAAAGGCAGTGCTACACCTTCTCTCAGTGCATTTGACCAAAGATTTGGAAATGGATTCCAGCTAATATAATTTTTTTTTCTTTGAGACAGGGTCTCACTCTGTCACCCAGGCTGGTGTGCAGTGGCATGATCATGGCTCCTTGCAGCCTCGAATTCCTGGGCTCAAGCAATCCTCCTGTCTCAGCCTCCTGAGTAGGTGGCACCCTAGGCATATGCCACCATGCCTGTCTAATTTATTTTTATTTTTTTGTAGAGATGGGGTGGCACTATGGTTGCCCAGGCTGGTCTTCAACTCCTGGTCTCAAGCCATCTTCCCACCTTGGCCTCCCAAAGTGCTGGAATTACAAGCATGAGCTGCTATGCCTGGCTCCAGCTAATAAAATTAATAAATAAAAGTGAAAATAGTTCTTCTGATTCTATCACCTGCATGAACAGTGAGTGGAAAATATACATATGCCCAAGAGTTATGTGAGTCTTTCTCACTCTGACAAGGACTTTCTTACCCTGAATTATGTTTAAGTTTTAATTTATACACTGTAAGACTCCAAGAATGTCAGAAAGAATGTCTCCTTTGACATTTCTAGGTAACACATTCATTGTTACAGTGAGTTGCCCAGAGAAGGTGCTCAACAAACATTAGAGAAAGAAGGAAAGAGTAAATGAGTGAAGAGGCAAAATGGAGGCTGGAGGGGGAAGCATTTCTTGACAGAAAGAGTTTCCTCACAAGCTACCAACAAAAATTGTGAAATATTTTAGCCCAAAGAACTTCAAGATCAGGATAAATATTGGTTATCTTAGTTGGTTTAGGTGCCGGCTTACCACACACCGAAGGGCTGGACAAAACGAAAAACCTGGAGATTCTTCCCATGCTTTCTGATGCCGCTGACGTTCTTCAGGCTCTTCTATCCGAACCCTCCAGAAGGAAGTGCAGCAAGAATACCTTCAGTAGCTTTGCAGTTGAATCTCATGTTGCACTGATTGTTGAGGTGATGCCCACACATTTAACGAAAAATACTTAAAATGTCCTTGTCATCTCCTACATCAAGCTAGCTCTATTCTGTGCAATTTCAGGTATAGTCAGAGGAAAAATGTTATAACTCATGGCCATTTAAATGCCAACTTGGCTTTGGGGTTGGCGTTTTTCATAACCTCACGTATACAGGAGTAAGATAGTTTCTCAGAAACTGGTATTAAGCAAACAAAAAAACAGTAATAATACAGATTTAAATATGACAATTAAAAAGCTTGATGTTATGGACAAAGAACACTACACCCAAAAATACTGTCTTTTCAAACTTATTTAGAACAACAACAAAAAAAGGGCTATGTATTAGGCCATGAAACAAATCTCAAAATACCAATTTGTTTTATGTTGCCACACTATGTAAGGCATTCTTTTACCATTACTCAATAAAACTGAAAATCAGTATTAAAAATAGCAAAAAATAAAAAGATTCTCTCTGAATCTGAATAAATTATTGTGCATTTCCTCTGGCCAGGTCCTATGCTAGGCATTTCTCATGCAGCATTTCATTCACCCTCGTGAGTGTGGTACTAACATTATCTCCATTAGACAGTGGAGGAAACACATTGAGAGGCCGAGAAACTACATCAGGTAAATAATTTCCACAACACCTATTCCTCCATTCACACCAACATCTATAAAATATACATTTCCCCGTTTATTCCTTGTTTTCCAACTAATTCCAGGCGCTTCCTTTTTGCTTCTGCCTTCCATTTCCCTGGTTCCTTATCCACAAAGCATCTCATGTGTCCCCATCCTGATTTCTAGGCCATTTTCTTTGATACAGGGAAAACAAAATCAAATGAGGGATTTCAAAATCAAATGAGGGATTTCAAAAGGTGTCCTTCCAAAAAGCAGAAGGTCTTTCTACCTTCGAGAGTGAAAAAGGAGTCACCATTTTCTTACCTCTGCCCAGGAATTAAATTCCAATTCAGGATTCCAAATGTGCCTACGTAGTATACAAGATTTCAGAGTCTGGCCTATTTGCTTGCTGGGGAGTACTAGCCAGCCACAAAAACACGTGGTCAACGCTGGGAACTGCCTTCAACAGTAAGGTGGGCCTTGATATTCCACTTCAATTCTCCCAGGCTCTCCTATCATCTCAGATGAATCTACCCATCCATCTATTTATTTTTTATCACTCTCTAGATAAAAATATTTTTATCTTATTTTATTTATTTTATATCATATTCTAGAAGCTAGCAAAGGCCCAAATATCAAAAACCAAACTTCACAGATGCCCAATCAACACTTTTCTACCCTCATAAAACTAAATATTTGTAGTATTATGATGAACAGCTGAAAAACAGGATCTTAAGAAAGCTTTTAAAGCAGATATATTTTTGGGTTTTTTTGCCCAAATATATACTTATCTTACTCATTGTATTAATACTATTAGTAGTTAGGATTCAAAGGGAGGCAGATACTTTCATAGCAACCACATCTTTTAAAAAATCTATATTTCAGAAGCTTTTTAGCTGTTTTTTTTAAATTCTCTCTTTTAGTTACATAAGAAACACATGGTTGTTGCAGAATATTTGGAAAGCACAAAAAAGTAAATAAAAGGAGTCAGAAAACATTTTATAACCTCACCAATCAAGACAACCACTGTCTATATTTTGTCATATTTGCTTCCAGACCATAGGCTTTGTCTTGCCATCGCCTGCCACCCAGATTTAACCTCAGTGCCTGTTCTCAGCCAAAGGAATGAATTCATCCATGTGAATGGCATCATGGGGATGGGAGGGGCTGCCCAAGTGAGATAAATGAGTGATGTTGTAGTGTAAGAACATAAACGGTGGTAAACACTCTGAAAACTGGGGTGAACATCTCTCCTCTAAAGGGGCAGTGGCTTTCCAACACCCAGTGGACTGTGGCTCTGGAGGACTGAAGCCCCCGATTTGTCTCAACCTCTAATTTTTAAGAGAAACTTGTAACCTGGATTTTTATGTTGAAATATCTTGATTTGTAAATGTTGGCTTTAGGTTTTTAAAAACACTATGTAGGCCAAAGAAACCAAAATTACATACTAGTTGAAGCCTCTGACTTAACCCACTTCCTGAGGCCACATAGTCAGACTTTCACAAAACTTCTGCAGTGCCTTAAACCAATTACCCGCACCCCCCAACACCACCCCGAGATGGAGTCTCACTCTGTCATCCAGGCTGGAGTGCAGTGGCATGATCTCAACTCACTGCAACCTCCCTCCTGAGTTCAAGCGATTCTCCTGCCTCAGCCTCCCGAGTAGCTGGGATTACAGGTGCAAACCGCCACACCCGGTTAATTTTTGTATTTTTAGTAAGATGGGGTTTCACCACGTTGGCCAGGCTGGTCTCAAACTCCTTGCCTCGGTTGATCTGCCCGCCTTGGCCTCCCAAAGTGCTGGGATTACAGGCATGAGCCACCACTCTCAGCCAACCCATCATCTTCAAATAGCAGATTTGTGAACATCCAAGTCTCAGAGGTGTACCCAGGTGAGAAACATCTATAAAATTCTGCAAACAACTGTCCTGTCTTGGAGACTGACCATGCGAGGAAGCATGTCGAAGGCTCTTGAATTTTGCAGCAAAGAAGCAACCCTGTTTACCTTTGTTTGTTCAACCATCATTTTCCAAACTTAGTTGAATATAGAACTTTCTTTCCCCTTTTGTCTACATAATAACTATTAGTATTCTTTAGCCTTCATGTTCTGCAGAACACACTTTGGGAAGTTCTACTTTAACACAAAACTGTTTCCCTAATGGCCATGTGAGCCTTGTGGTAGGCCATGAGAGGAGAAACTAGAACAAGCTTTATGATGCGCCTTAAATTCCTGCACATCACGCTCCGTGGGCCCCCTTTCCCTGCACATAGAATAGGTCTTCATGCTACGTAACCAACGCATATGGACCACTTTTATATGCTAAAGAAGGTGGGCTAATCTCAAATAACTTATATGAGACTCAGGAGTCTGATATAAGCTAAATGAATTGTCTTTATAATTGCAATTTATACAGGCAAATAAAGAAATAAATTTTCACTCTTCTGGCATATGCCAACTGTTGGAAGAGGGCAAATGAAGTCAAAATATAGTTTACATTTTTCTACAGGTTGTCCTCAAACTAGACAGAAAACAACCAAAAGTTAACAATGTTCTCACTAAATCAGTAATTACTGTGTTCTACACAAACCTGTATTTTTCGGGTTGTTGAACAAGTTTCTCCACAAAGGATCAACTATCACACCACCTTGATGAAATGCTATCCTATTAGGGAGGTCAGTTTTTTCCATGATTGCTTATGGTTTTATTTTGGTCTTTATGAAGATGAGGTTTGACTAGCAATTTGATAAAACTATTTTTGTGGCTTTCCATTTTCCACAATAATTCCTCTAAAATTCTCAAAAGAATACCTCAGCTTAAGCTTCCATGTCTTTGCTTTCATCCGACCTTTATTTTCTACCTAGTAGTTATTGGAAAGGCCAGGTATTTAACTGTGGTTTATCTAAACTCCCTTTTCTAAGTCAAGATATAGTTCTTAAGAAGTTTATGGTAACACGACACTTAAAAGTTCTGTTAAATTTAAGAACTTTGGAAAAACTAGCATGGAATTCTCCATGTAATTCATACTTGAAACAAAAATATAATATTTACCAACTGTGACAAATGTTTCTTCTTCTGCCATTCCAGGATAGGAATCATAACAAAATTATTTAAATCACTTAATAAGGGAGTTCCATGTATTATTTGGAGGGTAACACACATACACACACATACACACACATCACACTATACAGATATACATATGAAGCTTCTTTTCTCTAGAAAATATCTACAATATGCTGGGAGTGGTGGCTCATGCCTGTAATCCCAACACTTTCGGAGGCCAAGATGGGAGAATAGAATAGCTTGAGTCCAGGAGTTTGAGACCAGCCTGGACAAGATGGTAAGACCCCGTTTCTACAAATAAAAAATCAGCCAGGCATCGCAGTGCATGCCTGTGGTTCCAGCTGCCCAGGAGGCTGAGGTAGGAGGATCCGTTGAGCACCACTGGTCGAGGCTTCAGTGAGCTATGATCGCGCCACTGTACTCCAGCCTGGGCAACAGAGTGAGACCCTGTCTCAAAATAAATACATAAATTGGAAAATCTCTACAATTTAACTTCTACTTTAAAATATCAAAAAGACTTTAGTGAATGCCCAGCTCTAAAAAGAAGCAATATACTGTACAGTTTCGTACTTCCTAGGGGGAAGAAAACAGCTGGGCAAACACACTAACAACGCTGTTAGAGTTGTGGGGCAGGGGTATATTAAAGTGACTTCATTAGATACCAGAAGATACAAGGGGCGCTGACTTCTTGTGAACATTCTTTCTTTCCTCAGACCAAACAAGTCAGTCATCTGAATCTTTTTTTTTTCATATCCTGTAGCTGTCAAACACTCTTCCTTGACATGAATCCAAAGCTGTAATTTTCTACATGAACCACTCGTTTTTCGGAGGAGGTGTGTGATTTTTGGTTTATGTTTTGTCTACATTCCTTGCAAACGCCCCTTCTGATGCAATGTTTCACAAAATACTTATTATACTGATCCCTAGTGGAGGAGGGAACAGTACACACACACACACACATAAACACACATACATACACGTGTGTGTATATCTATATCTATATCCATGTCTAAGCAGCTTTGGATTTTTAAACAGGTATTGTTAATTGATGGATAAATTTAATCAACCTCTGGGTCTCCATTCACAAGTACTGGCTGTGAGTTCCTCAAATATATATATAATTCTCAAATCTACTTTACTGCCTCAAATTTGGGCTCCTACATCCAACTCCCTGACATTTCCATCTGGATACTCAGGATCATCCAAAACTCAACATAACCAGGATTGAAATCATCATGATCTCTAAACTGCTCCCTGTCCTGCATTTTCGTGGCCAAACAAGTTTCTAACTTGGGAAATCCTTCTAAATTTCTCCCTCTCATCACCACTATACGCAATTACTGCTAACTAGGTGCTGCCAATTTTACCTCCTAGAATTCAGGACTTCCTCTATTCCTACCACCCTTGTCCTAATGCAGGTCTCCAATAACCTTGCCAGGATTCTGCAACAGCTTCCTCTCTGCCTCTAGTGCTCTCCCTCCCAAATATATCCTAAATTTGGTGCCAAATGGCTCCATCTAAAAGGCAAGTGGTGAGTTCATGCTCCAGTTTAAATTGTTTCTAAGGCTCCCTATGGGCTACAGGTACAAATGCAATGTTAGCTCTATTTCCATATCTTGGTATGACTAAGCATTTCCTCTGTGACTGCCAGTTTACCTTTTTACAGTCATCTCTGTTCAGCAACTCAATTGCATGCAGTTAATACCCAAACACTGCCCACCCCCAGTTGTTTCTCAGTCTGTGCCTGAGTTCACGTTGCCACCTCCTCCTGGAATCCTTTGCTAACACTCTGCTCACTCCTTAATTCCCTTCCCTCACTTTCTGCACTGCATAATCCCCTCCCAATTTCTCAAGCTCCATTAAGAAACCATTTTGGCTCTCTGCAGCTGAGTCCGTTGCCATTCTGTGCTCCTACCTCACTCTATACAACTATCTGCCACTATTTTTTAATTATCTGCTTCCATGTCAGTCTCCCTTGCTGGGATGTAACTCTTTTCTTCTTCATCTTTGTATATGTAGTGCCTGGCATACAATAAATGCTCAGTAAATGTCTGTTAGACTGTGGAACTGGAGCCACATCCTCCTGAGTTGCTGGGGCTGCCTATGCCTTGCCAGGTGCATGTGCATTCTTGCAGAAGGCACCCAGGGCTAAGAGTAAGCTGGATACAAGGAGAATTGTGTCTTCTGACCCCTCGCAAGCTCTAAAAACAATCTGGGACTTTAGAAGTTATATTTTCATGCACTTAACCAAACACAAATACCTAACTAGTTGATATCAGCAGAAGAAAGGAAGTTTAGAGAAAGAAAAATAGTAAGAGTTCAGGACCAAATGAAATATTCAGGTAAAAGGCTGATATGGAAAGATAAGGCTGGAATACTTGACCCTAACCTTGTAAGGCTGATTTTCATGATGCACAAATGGCTTGTGACTCTCAACAACTGCTTTGGTTATCTTTCAAAATGAGAGAGTGCAAAAACAAAATAATGAAGAAGTAATTGTTCTTCTTGTTAATTATACAAAAAAGGGGAAGAAAGGGAAGCAGATTCCAGTACCATTTCATTCAACTGACATTTCTAGAGTCTAGATGATAAAAATAGATTTGGACAATGACAACAGGCCCATTCCAAGGCAAAAGGCAGGATTGAGGAAGGGACAGGCTTTAATTACAGCAAGAGGAAGAGGGCAAGCAGGCAGGTGGAATTGTGGGAGCCAAGGCTCTACTGTGTGCCACAGTGAATTGTGCCTCCCTGTGAACCCCATTTCCCTTCTATGAGCGCTTGCCCCTAACACACAACCAGGGCACATGGAAGTACAAGCAGGATATCCACTAAGGCTGGGCAGTTGCTACTGGGCTCTTTCATGTATCAGAAATATAACTCCAAGGTTGGGAGGTAGGAATAAAAAACTGGGCAGAGTTTCTGAGCTCTAGGAATTTATAATTGAATGAACAAAGGACAATAATGCTATCTGGCCAAATTAATTGTCTGGCTACCATAAAGAACAGACAGAGAATACCTTGACTAAGAAATGGGTGGGGGATGGAAAGGAAGAGAGATGAAATTTCTACCATGTGTTTCATGAATAGTTTAAATAGAGAAATGAATATAAGTAAAAAATTAGTGAACATAATTTGTGCCAACAAGTGATTCCTTGTTTGTACTGAATTTCGTAAATGCAGCTGACTGTACTGTCTGCTCTCAAGTTCAAAGGGTTATTTATGTGCCATTCTGCAGGCAGGATAAAATGCAATACTTTAGAAGCCAAATTAAGAACATTTACTTAAGATTATGTACTACTTATATAGCTTCTAAAACGCTACAAAATTTAAAAGCTATAGAAAATTAAAATAAAGCTATAAAATGTACATCAGTTTTCAGGAGGAAAAGAGTAGAAATGAATATACCCAGACTTTGTAAGATAAATTGCTGGGTGCCGATGTGTTTTAGCATCATTTTTGTCTAATCAGTAACAAATCAATTTATGGTATGACTAGAAGGAAGAACTGAAAAGCAGCTGCATTTTTACATGGGAGTCAGCCCTGTGAGGAAGAAACAGCCCAGGGAGTCCCTATTGCTGGAATCCCACAATAGGTTAGTCAGATGCCTCAGAGTTGTTTTTAAGATTAAATAAGATATCCTGCAGAAAGTGCAGCTCAAATTGCCTTGGGACTTAATACTTGTTAAGTAAAAGCAATTTCTTATTCCCTACCCTTTTACTTTCTAATAGTAAATCAAACTACACAGAATAGCCCTGGAACAAAAAATTCACTATGTATGGTGAGTCAAGGAATGGCTACTTTTTAAAGGTCTTATAGAGTTGTTATTTGGCCTCTCAAAGAATGTCTATGTAATACTGTGATAAAAATGAAAATTAATAAGAGATAATAAGCTGCAAAGCGTATTTTAATCTTCTGGGAAACAGCTGGCATCACACTGCATGAAAGTAAACAAGGCATTATCTTAAACCTTAAAACATTTACCGTCTAGTATTAAATTGCTTTTGTCTATCAGGCAGAGGAAAGAATATATACCTTGAAATCAGAAGATCTGGGTTTAATTCCAGATTCTGACATTTATTAGCTGTGTAATCTAGGGTAAGTTACTTAACCTCTCTGAGCTTCTTTGTTTTCATCTTTAAAGTAAGAGTGATAACATTGGCCATGCGCGGTGGCTCATGCCTGTAATCCCAGCACTTTGGGAGGCCGAGGCAGGCGGATCACGAGGTCAGGAGATCGAGACCATCCTGGCTAACACAGTGAAACCCCGTCTCTACTAAAAGTACAAAAAAAATTAGCCGGGTGTGGTGGCGGGTGCCTGTAGTCCCAGCTGCTCAGGAGGCTGAGGCGGGAGAATGGCATGAAGCCGGGAGGCAGAGCTTGCAGTGAGCCGAGATCGCGCCACTGCACTCTGTCCTGGGCGAAAGAGCGAGACTCCAACTCAAAAAAAAAAAAAAAAAAAAAAAAAAAAAAAAAAAAAAGAGTGATAACATCAACTATACAGGAAGCGGTTAGGGAGGAGTAAACAAAATAATTCTTGTGAAAGTCCCTGGGCACAGGGCTTCACACAGAGCTGGCCCTTAATAATCATTGGTTCACTCTGAATTTTTGTGAGCTGCATGGAATTTTACTGGTAACTCCAGGTGATAAGAGTAAACACTTATTTTCATGCAATGCATAAAAATAGAAGTAAAAACATATCTTGAGCATTATTCTATACAAAATGTAGACAGCCCAGACAAAACAGACACTTAAAAAAGGGGTAAAATTATTCCCATTATCAAACATTCCTCATTGTACAGAAAGATGTTTCACCACAAGGTTCCCTTGGGTTTCGGGCTCTTGCACTGTGTGTCTATGTGTGTGTGTGTGCACATGCACGTATGCATACATTTGTATGTACATGTGTACACATTCACATCCATCTTTTCATACCTTCTTGATGTAGCAGATCACCAATAAGTGGTGTTAAATTAAACTTTTTATTTAACCATCACAACCCTTAATAAGTAGAAAGGAAGAAAAACCTCATTTTTGAATCCATGTCTACATTACTCCTTTGTTCACTGCCCGCCCACTTCACCTTTTCACTAATTCAAGCCAGGGCAAGAAAGGAGAAACGCAGGTCACGCTCTTGCAGGCAGGCTGTGCTGCACTCACTCCATTTATTCTTCTCCTCTCCCTGCTCCCACTGCTCAGCTTATTGGCCTTGCTCCGAGAACTCTAATTCAAGGAGGTGGCAATCCTTCCCCTAAGTGGCTCTGGGGTGAAAATGCAATCAGGTCATGATGGAACAATGGCATGTGGGTTGGAGGGGCGTGGTTCTCACTGGAAGCACGAGTGGGAAAAATGAGGTCCTCTCCCTGGGAACTCTGGCTTAGAGCTGGGCAGCTGAAGTAAGGTGCTGCCCCTTTAAGACAGATGCCCTGAACCCTACCTGAATCAATAGAAGGCTTATTTATTCACCTTGTGTCAACACAAAGTAACCTCTGTTCCAGAGAAATATAAAAAAATAATAATCTGCTCTAAAAGCACTTAGCTGGTTACTTTATGTCCTAGCCACTCCAGGAGTTTCCCAGACTATAACGGCATTCCCACTAGAAATGGTCTCCTTTTACTTCATTCTTGTGTTTTTTTTGGTTAAGAAGCCAGCAGGAGCGGTGTAGTGAAAAAGGAGGGCCAGGAAAATTGTCTGGTCTTTACTTTGGTTCTGCAACTAGTTAGCTGTGAAACAAGCCTTTTAACCTGTTTGCATTTTGAATGTGGAAAACAAGAGGTTTGCGTTATATGATTTTGACAATTCCCTCCAGTCCTCAAACCTTTGTGATTCTATGGGACACAACGCAAAATTTTGAAGCTAAGATTTCTGTTATTAAATTAGAACAAATTAAAATAAGCGAATTAAATATATGATTTAAGATGACACGGAAATAACGTTAAGTCCAAAGAAAATGGGGAAGAAACTATTTAAAAGAGATATAAAACCAGAGATTGGTAAATTAAAAAAACTGTAGAACTGATGAATCCAAGAGTTGGATCTTTAAAATAACAACAAAAGATAAAAACTTCTGGCCGAGCGCGGTGCCTCACGCCTGTAACCCAGCACTTTGGAAGGCCGAGGCAGGCAGATCATTTGAGGTCAGGAGTTTGAGACCAGCCTGACCAACATGGTGAAACCCCGTCTCTACTAAAAATACAAAAAAATTAGCTGGGCGTGGTGGCAGGCGCCTGTAGTCCCAGCTACTCGGGAGGCTGACGCAGGAGAATTGCTTGAACCCAGGAAGCAGAGGTTGCAGTGAGCGGAGATTGTGCCACTGCACTCCAACCTGGGAGACAGAGCAGACTCCGTCTAAAAAAAAAAAAAGTAAAGATTAAAACTCCTGCCAAAGGTAAAGATTAAACCTGAGAGAAAGTACAAATACACTACTTTGGGAATTAAAAAAGGAGATGTAGCCATAGATGTAAATGAAGAACAATACATATATATATATATATATACACATACATACATACACACACACATATATATTCTATGTTAGCAAATTTGATAAATTTTTAAGAATAGATAATCTTATAGAATGTTATTACCAAATAACTAAAAAAATTTTTGATGTCCCAATATACAAATAATTATGAACAAAATTGTATCAATGATTTAAAAATATAACACAATTTCCCCAAAGCCACTAGTGTCAAATTATTTTACAAGCAATGTTAAGAAACAAATACTTCTATATTACTCAAGTTATTTTGGAGGATAGAAAAAGATGGAAAATTCCCAACTCACTTAATAAAATTCACATATCCTTGTACAAAAAGCAGATAAACACAGTGCCAAAAACAAGCAAAGCATAAACCTACAGTCTGACATTACTTAGAAGCACAGATGCAGAAATCCTAAATAAAATATTAGTAAATCCAGTGTAAAGAGAATTCAAACCCAGGGGACACACATTATTATTTGTAGGTAATAAGATTATTTACCTAGAAAATATAAAAGAATCATAAAAACCTATAAAACCTAACAAAGACAGATAAGGTAGGTATACAAATAAAGATCAACTGCTTTCCTACCTATCAGCAAAAAAAAAAAAAAAAAAGGAAAAAGAAATTCTGTTTCGACTATTAAAAAAATGAGAAATATTAAAAACCTAACACAGAACAAGAAATCTGTGGAACCTATAAAAACAAAAGTACTAAAAGATGTTGCTGAGAGACAGAAAAGCAGACTTAAAAAATAGAGAAAACATCTATTCTCTGCAAGTTAATATATAAATCAGGTGGATTTCCAATAAAAATACCAATAGAACTTTTCTGGGAGCTTGACAAAATAATTCTAAAACAATTAGAGACATCTAAATGGCATTAATTTAATCAAAGGATCAAAGTTAACATCACCAGTACTGGCACAAACCAACATTCTGTTTGACATGATCTAATAAGGACACAGCATTGTTATTATGATATTCCTGCCAAAAATGCCAAAGTTGAATTTAATCACAAGAAAACATCAGACAAACCCAAAATGAGGAACATTCTATAACTGGCCTGTAGTCTTTCAAAATGTCAAGGTCAAGAAAGACGGATAATGAGGACCTCCTGTTCCATAATAAAGGAGACTAATGAGACAATACGACTAAATGAAATGTGTGATCTTGGATGGGATCCTGGACTTGGGGGGTTGAAAGGAATGTGGTGGTGGTATAAATACCTATACAGTACGTTATTGGGACAACTGACACAATTTTGAATATGGACTGTGATCAGATGTTAAATTTTCTAAACTTTTTTCTAATTTGGAAAATGTATTGCAGAAACAGAATATCCTTGAACTTAGGAAATACACATTGAAGTATTAATATTTAGAGCATCTGTACTGCAGCTGTATCTGCAACTGACTCAAATAGCTAAAAAAAAAGTGTGGAGACTGTGTGTGAGCATGCATATGTCTGTGTGAGACACAGAAACAGAAAGGGAAGGAGGATGAGAAAGAGACAGCGTGAATGATAAAGCAATAGGGTAAAAGGTAAATAATTGGTGAATCTGCGAAAAGGATATAGGGAAGTTCCTTGTAACATTCTTGCAAGTTGTCTGTAAGTTTATAATTATATCAAATACCAAAGTTACAACAACTACACATATATGTAAAATATATACATATACACATACGTATTTATAAAATAAGAGTGGCCTATACTCCTAGGCATGAAAATATGTTTTAATAGCATAATAATTAAGACAATATGGCAACATAAATAATCAAAAAGGTTAAAGAATAGAATAGAAAGTGCAGAAACGGATATTACTAAGAATTCAGAATAGATAAAGCTAAAATCTCAAGTTCATGAGAAAAGTCAATCTTGGGGGTAGAGAAAGATTTTCAAAGTATGGCTACAAAGACAGGAACCATAAAGAAAAGGATTGGTAGATTTGACCATGTACATAAAAAAAAAGTCTGGCAATAAAAACACCATCAACAATGTTAAAAGACAAACGACAAAATAAGAAACATATTCACAATATATATGACGGACAGCGGGTTCATATTCTTAAATTATAAAGGCTAACAACATAGTTGCTAGTATTGTTCCTGGAAAATTGTAGATGCTCAATACATAGAGATTTAATTAATAAACAAACACCAACAGAAAAATAAGCTAAGGTGATGAACAACTAATTTATCATCATTCAAGAGATGAATTAATAATAACCTGTAAACATATGAAAAATGTTCAGCCTTAATAATGATCAAAGGAATGTAAGAAAGAGATTTTTCACTGATTGGATTACTAAAGATATAGATTCATATTTATTAACATCTTAAGATGTTCATGAACTCCCTTCCCCTTTCTCTTGGCCAACCCATAGTCATCTGTTAGGTCTTCTTTTCCAAAGCCTTTGCCTGATTATATTCTCTCATAGTATCTCGTACTTACAGCTTTTCTCACTCACCACAACTTAAAATAATTATGCCTCTAACTATTTGATGATGTCCCAGTTTGGGGTCTTCCAAAGCAGGGCTTGAGAAGAACCTGGGTGCAGGTGGTTTAATTGGGAGGTGATCCAAAGATATGGGAGTGAGGGAGTAGGGGATGAGACAGGGATAGGGGAAAAACCAATAAAAGGTGACTGAGCAGTTTAGTCTGTGGGTGCTGGAGCTCACTCCTGCTGCGGTCTTCATGAGGAACTGTGTAAACAAGCCTGCGAACTGTCCTAATGCAGGATTGGGGGCTGGGACATTTCATTTACCCACTTCATATACCAGCTCCCAACTCCACTTGTTGAGAGTTGCTTCTGGGATGTGATTGTGTTTGAGCAAAATGAGCTTGTGAGGTATCAGGAAAAGTGAGGCAAAAACATGGAGATGTTCTTTGGTGTGTGCTTGAGACATGAAGGAGCAGCGTTCACAGACTGACAGCAGAGATTATCCAAGGGGGATGGGAGGCAGGGCAGACAGCAGTGGCTATGTAGATCTCTCAGGGATCCCAGCTCAAAGTAAGGGCTCAATAAGTATCTTTTAAATGAAAAATAGCTTATAAAATATTATATTTTACACAATCCCATTTTTTAGTAAAAAGAAGTGAATGTGTGTGCACACACATGCAATATGTATTAAGTGTATAAAACAAATGGTATTGGAGAATTTAAAAAAATAGAATGAAATCATTATCACTATTTTAGAAAGATAATTTTAATGGAAACATGGGTAAATAAGTGGTGGTATTCAGAGAAACTACTTATGGGTCAGGCTTTGTGCTACGTATTTGCATTCTTAAAACAATGCTGTTGTGAGCCTCTACTTCAGGCCTTCTCCATTCCACACCTGTGTTCTTCCATCACAGCACAGAGCAGCAGGGAGGCATTAGAGAGAGGCTGGATGCAAGGAGACCAGTTACAAGGCAATGTGTAGTTTAAGATGACCTGAGATTGGGACAAAGACAATATAGATGTAGAGAACTAAACAGATGAAAAAAAAAAGAGAGAGTGAGAGACTTTATAATTAGGATACAAAACTAAATGACAGGCCTGGAGGGTCCTTGGGGGAGAAGCCATGCTATGACAATGGAAGAGGTCAAAGATGATCCCAGGATTTCTAGGATTTCTGGCTTGAGGGACGAATGATGCTATTAAGTAAGACAGAGGAAAAAGTTTGGAAAATACAGATAAGTTCAGTTTAAACTATGTTGACTTTGAGATGCCTGAGAGGCAGGATGTGGAAATATTCAGGAACTACTTAAGAGTTTAGAGTTCAGGAGAGAAAGAGCACTGGAAATTATGCAGGAATCATCAGCGTATGGTATATAGATGATAGCTGAAACCAAAGAAAATAGGATTGCCCCAAAACAGGGCATTTAGCATAGGAAACAAAGTTAGGGTAAACCCAGTAAACAGCAACATTTAAATTAAAAGAAGGCCAGGCACGGTGGTTCACGCCTGTAACCCCAGCACTTTGGGAGGCTGAGGTGGGCTGATCACTTGAGGTCAGGAGTTCGAGACCAGCCTGACCAATATGGTGAAACCCAGTCTCTACTAAAAATACAAAAATTAGCGGGGGGTAGTGGTGGGTACCTGTAATCCCAGCTATTCGGGAGGCTGAGGCAGGAGAATCACTTGAACCCGAAGCGAAGGTTGCAGTGATCAGAGACCACACCACTGCACTCCAGCCTGGGCGACAGAGCAAGACTCTGTCTCAAAAAATAAAAATAAAAAATTAAAAAAAAAAAAAAGGAAAGAGAAAGAGCAACAAATAAATTAGGGGAAACTTAAAGGTAATATACGCATGGAATTCAAGAGAGATTTTTTCAAGGAAATGATTTTTAAAAACCCAAAAAAGGTTGGGCACAGTGGCTCACGCCTGTAATTCTAGCACTTTGGGAGGCTGAGGTGGGTGGATCACTGGAGCTCAGGAGTTCGAAACCAGCCTGGGCAACAAGGAGAGACACCCGCTTCTACAAAAAGTACAAAAAGATTAGCTGGGTGTGGTGATGTGCCTGTGGTCCCAGCTACTTGGGAGGCTGAGGTGGAAGGATCACTTGAGCCCTGGAAGTTGAGGCTGTAGTGACCGTGATCATGCCACAGTACTCCAGCCTGGGTGATGGGAGTGAGACCCTGTCTCAAAAACAAAAACAAAAACTAAAAACAAAAAACACACCTTAAAAAGTAAAACACTATGTGGACTCACTGGGCATTGGGGTACCGTCCTCTCTGAACTAGAGGGCATCCAAAAGAACATTCCACTGAACTGTAAACTGCCTGAGGGTGCGAACTGTGCCTATCTTGTCTACTGTGGGACAGCATAGTGCTCAGTCTAAAAAGTACTCAGTTTACTGAAGGAAGACATTAATTTGAGCTGGACTGTAATAATGCCAGAGCCTAAACCAAAAACATGTCAGCTGATTGAAATAAAATTCCCTTCTTTGGCTCCTACATTTAATAACGGTAGTGGAGCGACACCTCCTCTTGCTGTTTGGTCTTTCTAATGATGTTTTCTAGTCTTATTTTCTTCACCCTATTTTACTACCTTATTTATGTTCAGAGGAAAGATGTTCTTTCACTCAAATGGCTGTGACTCAAAGTGCCCAGTTGACATCAGCCCACATTGTTAAGAAAGTAAGACTGTTTGATTCTTTAAATTCCAAGGGGATGGGAGTACAATGAAAATATTAATATTAAAAATAATTTGAAATAGAAAGAAATTAACCCTGAAAGTATTCTAAATTCATTCTTCCTTCTTTTAATAAGTCTGCTGTCTCTTCTAAGCAGACTGTGGAACCTCTGTCAGTAAGTTTATATTTTTTTTAAACCTTCTGTCATATCACAAGTGACTTAAATGTCTTGTGGTTTAACGACAATCTTCCCTAAATTTAGTTCAGTTTTTGCAAAACTCCATCAAATAATATGTAAGGCATGAATCTGATAGTTCGAAGACAGCTCATGCTGCCTAAGTCAAATAATCAGTAACTTAGATTTTTTAAAACTTCAGTTTACATAGATAAGGGTTTATGCTAACCATATTAAACCATCTTTAATATGGTCATTACCTTTCTACTCATGTGAAGTTCACAGTAAACAGCCCTCACAAAAGGTACCAAGAGTCATTTTTTTCACCTTTTGCCCAGTATTTATATGGCAGTAAATATAACTACAGTTTGAAGAACCAAATAGAGAAACGAAAGGAAGAACAAATTCATCCTGAGGAGGAAACATATGACCACAAAGATTGGTTTGGTTGTGACAGGATGCTTTTTGGACACTTGCCATGATTTTCCCCAAGTCGATTCTCTGTCTTGTGATATGCCTGAATTTGGGAAGGAAAGGCAACCAGATTTCTAAAAATCTGAATGTGGGTGCTTGCCTCCTACAATTCAAGTTCTTAAAAACACTAGTGGCTGTCTACTCTGGGTTAGATGTGCAGGAGATACATTTTTAGATTATGAAACTTTACAGTTAATGCGAAAACCCTAAAAAAGTCATGGAAGAGAAGGAGCTTGTAAGTTTTCCAAAATAAGCTTTGAGTGTTTAGAACTCTTTTTTGCTTTTTCCATCTTCCAAAATTTCAATTCTGTAGACAACTGCAGCTCATCCCACTGAGAAGTTTGGCAGAACAGTGTATAGCAATATTCCAGTTGGCCAAATGTAGCACAGAATTATGTGTTAAGCTATTAAAAATAAACTGAAGAATATGATAGCTCATTTTTTTCCTTCCATCAATATAAAGGGGAGGTATTTGGAAAGAGGAAAAAGAATACAGTAAGAATGTGCATCTTTTGGAGAAAAAAGAATGCGTAAGGAATGTAACCTTTTATCTTAACTCTAGCTTCTCTCTCAGTTATTTCTTAGTACCTGCTAGTCTCCTCTTCTGGGGTAAACTGCATAGTTAGGCATAAATTGCTAAAGCATTTTAGGGTACTGATCTGTACCACTTCTTTTGAAACTGTGTTATTTTCAGTACAGAATTGCTTTTCCACTATGGTATAGGAAAAAAAATCTCTGTATACTTTTCACATTTTCTCTGCTTTTGCAACAACGTTGTTTAGACTTAGGTTACAGCCTTCTTTCAAATATTTGGTGCTGACATTATACAAAGGACATCCTACTGAAAATAAATGGCATTCACTTTAAAGTCTAAATTTCTTTTCTTCTTGTTTTCTAATGGTATAGACCACTTACCTTATTTTTCAAACTGTAATTCAGCTCCTATCATCTCACACACTAGGAACAAACCAGCATATATTCGAAGACTTCTTTCTACTCAGCAACCTGAGAAATGTCATTCCAATCTTAGTATGATTCAACTCCAACCTTAAAATATTAAAGCTCTACTCCAATAGCAAATGGAAATGCCTGTGTGATGTCAGCCCCACATTTTACAATTTACAGGCTAGATTCTTGGCCTTTCAAAAGAAAAATGTTCACCTGTGGAACAAACACATACTAAAATCAGCAAGTATTTATCGAATGACTATTTTGTACAAGGTGATGTGTTGAGGAAAGTGCATTAAGCTACTAAGACATAGTTCCTGTCCTTAGGAATCTAACGTCTATACTGGAAGATACAATATAAAAGTGTGAGCATATAAATAATGAACCAAGATTTCAGTGACACTTCACAAGATGTGAATGACAGTTCAAAGTGTGGAAGGGCTAGCATCAGTTTTAAGATGAATCAGAGATAGTAGGTGCTTTCTGGGTTGCAAGTAAAAAATGATTACTTCATTTTGAGATGGGCAGGAAAATATTAATGGAAAACACTAACCAGGATCTGGATGTCAAAGAATGGATAGGAGTTATATTGGCAGAGAAACATGAACAGAACGTCCTGGAAGTGGCAATGTTGGAAGCTAAAGTGTGGAGGTCAGACAGGACTTTAGGCCATTCCAACTGCTCACCTTCTGTTCTCACTGTCTGTCTACCTCTTCATGTTAGTGATGAGGAAAATAGTATGTCTTTATTTAGCAAAGAATTCATTTTTTTTTGTATAACCAGATATACCAGAACTAAAATAAATTGCTCCAAAATAGTTGTGTACGAAACCACTGGCTGCCATTAAAGTTGCCTTAATTATAGCTACTAGTTGCTCAGTATAAGAAATAGGCATATTTATAGAAAGAAAGTAGTCCTAAATTCAGAATGACATGGTAAATGTTGCCTACAATATCTGCTTACCAGTACCCTTTCTACCACCACCTCTGTGAGATGGCAGAACTGTCTGTAACTAAGAACAGGTTAGGCATTGATTTGGTAGAAAGCTAATGATTCCTACACTTATGGTGCTTCTCAAACTTTTATGTACATAAAAATCAGTAGAAGAACTTGTTAAATGCAAATTCTTTGTTTTAAGTCTGGGGTGGGGCCTGGGATAAATAAGTGTACTTATTTATTCTGATTATTTATAATGTCCACCTTCCCACTAGGATGTAAGCTCTAGGAGAGCAGGGAACTTTGTCTATTTTGTTAATTGATGTATCCCAAGCACCTAGAACAGTGTCTGGTACATGCGAGGTGCTCGATCATTATGTGTTGAATAAGCAAATGGCGTTGCCTGAAAATTCCCACACTAAGTGGGTAAGGATCTCAATTCCCACTTGGAGGGGTTAGTCTTGCTCAAGGGACACTGCTGAGTCTTTAGAACTGAGAAAGGTCTGCAGCAGGCATAGAGGTGTCCAGGTGTCCAGAGGTTTGTACCAAATCATTTTACAGTCACTGCCTTCCCCACAGGGCACAGCTCGCCTTGGGATCCAGCCTTCACTTGCCCAACACCAACAGACATTAGGATTGATGTGGCATGGATTTCAGCCCACAACCCAGCTCCCTGTGACTCTTCTTGTCCACCAACTGTGATGCTCCTGGGTTGTTCATGCCTGTAGCCTTGCGCCCCACCCCTATCTGACCAAGTCTTCATCCAAATTCTGCTTTCTTGAAAACCCTGTATAATTTGTCTTGAGACTTGAATTTCATATTATTCTGATTGTTGGCCTTCTAGGCTTTGGCAAAGTTGAAATAATTAGGCACTGACTTGGCATCTAGCCCCAAATCACACTGTTACCCTATGAACTCCTAAATATCGTGAGTCTTGGACCTCCCACTAATGTCACAGAGTTTTCACGCAATTGCACAAGTATCTGTGAGGCCTACACCTTACATCTTCATAACTGAGGAGGCTATGCTTCTTTTCATACCCAATTAAATTTTTTCCTGTGTATTTTACATTCATGTTCTTTGCCTAATTTTGTATTAGGCTGTTTCTATATCTTATAGATTTAAAATATATTCTAGATCCTAATTATTTATAAATTATACACAATGCAAATATCTTCTCCCATTATGTTGCTTAACATTTCATTTTGAACAGACACTCTTAATTTTATGTAGTCAGACTTGTCAATTGTGATTGTGCTGTCTGTATCCTGATAAATCCTCCCATGAGATTTTGAAGATATTTTTCTTATGCTTTTGTTGTTCCCACTGCAAACCAAAAATAAAATCCAAAGCCCCCTGACTTAACACACCCCCTCTGGGGAAAGGGAAACCTAAACAACTGAATTCCTAGCCCTGATGGGAAGGGGGCCAGGACATGCCTTCTTATACCCTCCTTCTTTTGGAGTGTAGGCACAACTGACCAGCACTAACATTAAAATAGAGATTATAAGACTGACGAAATAGACTCTTTGGCAATAAGATACCAAATTCCAACCTGACTCTAGTATAGCATCACAGGACAGATAGCAGACCCTCAAGGAAATAAAAATATTTTACCACAAAACATATGTCTTTGCTATATTTTAAAATGGTCCTGCAAAGTCATCCTTTTTGGGGGAAATTTTGCATCTGTAGAGAATTTCCATTAATGTAGCTATGCCTTTCATGGATCTAGGAGAGATTAACCAAAAGTCTGACACCTGTTAAAGTCTGAAAAAAAGACATTTACCATCTATTCTCCCTGAAGCCTGCTACCTCGAGTCTTCATCTACACAGCAAGAACCCTGGCTTCCACAACCCCTCTTATCTTAACTCCAGCATTTCTTTCTACTGACTTTATGCCTTTACCTCAATCCTTAACATTTTCAACCAATAGCCAATCAGAAAATCTTTGAATTCACCTGTGACCTGTACCCACCCCAACTTTCTGGACCGAACCAACATACACCTTACGTGTATTGATTTATGTCTTTGCCTGTAACTTCAGTATCCCTAAAATGTACAAAACCAAACTAACCTGAACACTTTGGTCTCAATTTCTCAGGACCTCCTGAAACTGTTCCCTGGGCCATGGTCACTCATATTAGCTCAGAATAAACCTCTTTAAATATTTTACAGAGTTCGGCTTTTTTATCAACACCATTTAGCTTTTTAAGCCCTGTGGAATGTATTTTTGTATGTGGTATGAGGTTAAAAAATACACACACACACACACACACACACATATTTTTTCATATAGAAAACCAAATATCCCAGCACCATTACTGATTATCAATCATTTCCCCTACTTGACCTGCAATGTCAGTACCAAGTAGCATGTATCAGGTTTCTGTATATGCATGAATACATTCTGTGCTTTCTATTTTGTTTGGTCTATGTTTCTATCTCTGCACCAACACTACTCTGACTCAATTATTATGGCTTTAAAATACATTTTGATATAGAGTAAGCTTCTCCAGATAGGTCTCCACACACGTTTTAAGTATTTCTTTTTCATGCTTTCCGTACAAATTTTAGGATCAGCTTGTAAAATTCCACACTCTCACACACCCACACAAAACCTACTTGGAGTTTGATTGGAATTTTATTGAGTTTTAAAATCAATTTGGTAAAAACTGACATCGCTATTGAATCTTTCTGAGAGTGGTGTATCTCTCTTTTTATTTGCATCTTAGTTTATGTTCTTCAGTAATATTTTATAATTTTCTCAATAAGGACTTGAATATCTTTTCGATTTATTCCTAGATACCATTTAGCTTTTGTTATTGTGAATGAGATCTCTATTTTCCCCCATTACTTAAAACTTTTGTTGTTGTTGTTGCCAGAAGGCTTTAGATGCTTGCGGTTGATTGTGTCTGGCAGTTTAGATGCACAGCTTCCCTAGGGCTTAGCGGCAAGGAGCAAGTCAGTACTTTCTTCTTTTTCAGCTTCTTTAGGAAAGTGCATGCATTGGGGTGCCTTCAGAGATCTGCCTGACGGATCCTTCGGGCAAGATTTTGTATTGCTTGCTTTTGAGCTCATGGTTTTCCTTTGGTGAAGCTGGTGAGGGAGGCTCACAGGGGGAAAGGGCATCAATCATTTTTAGGGAGCCCATTACACCCAGAGTTCGTATTATTAGCCTCACTTCAGAGACTAGAAAATAAAAGAGATGAAATATCCTTCCCAAAGTTAGGAAGTGGTGCTCACTCATACCCAGGCTTCTCTGACCCGGAGTCCAATGCTCTAACCTGTTACTACACATTTCCTTCCAAATACTGCTTTTCTCATAAGAAACTGAACCAGGCCTCAACAGTGTGAACACAGGATTCTACCAACTAGACCACCAGGGTGGCACCAGTGTTCATCCAGAAGCCCAGGCTAGACACAGGGGAATCATGTATTTTACTTTCAACAGTCAATCAACACTGAGTCCTGCGGAATCTGCCCGCTAAGTAGCTCTCAAATGCATTATCCTTTCTGTATCTCCCCTTCATCTCTCACTCTGACAGCCTCCAAGGCCTCCCACCTCCACCTCTGCCTATCGCCTCACAGCAGGGTGATCTTTTTGTTTAAAAAATCTGATCTTATCACTGGTATGCTTAAAAACTTCCAGTGCCTCCCACTGCAATGAGAATAAAACCCACCTGCTTTCTGTGACCTATTAGGCCTTTAGAACCTCTTTGCCGCCTTCTTCTCTCACTTCATTTCCTACCATTAGCTTCTTCTTCACTACCCTTTAGCCTTTTTCTCTGCCAAGCTCATCACAACTTTAGGGCCTGGGTCCCTGCTGTTCTCTCTGCCCAAAATATTCCTTTACCAGATCTGTACATCGTTGCCTTCCTTTCAGGTTTCAGCTTAAATGCCACTTTTTCAGAGAGGGCTTCTCTTACCACTCCACCTAAAGAAAGTGCCCAGCCCGCACCTGCCCCTCCAAATTGCTCTCCACTGCATCCTCTGGTTTATTTCTTCATATAAATTACCACAATACATGTTAATTTTTTTTCCTAGTGAAAAAAAAATCTACCTGAAACACAGTTTTGGGCCACTCTTTTTGCATTTCTTTGCCCCACAGCTTCATAGAATGTTTGGCTGTGGGGAAGGATGACATTTTTTTAATTGTGGGAAATAAAGATAACAAAATTTACCATTTTAATCATTACTAAATGTACTATTAAGTGGCATTAAGTACATTCATATTGTGCAAACATCATCACCATCATGTCCTCAGAGTTCATCCATGTTGTAGCATGTGCTGGAACTTCCTTCCTTTTAAGGCTGAATAATATTCCATTCTATTGTATGTATACCATATTTTGTTTACCTTGTTATGGACACTTGGGTTGTTTCCACCTATTGGCTGTTGTGAAAAATGCTATTGTATTAATTTTAAAAATGTGTTTACTTTCTATCTCTCTTCACTCAAATGTAAGCTCCAAAAACACAGAGACTGCATAGAAAAGCGCCTGGCTTCTGGCAGAAATAGTATGAGCCAAGTGCAATGTTATGAGCTGTGTAATATAATAAGCTAAATAGTTATACTTGATGAATGTAAAAAAATTAAGGAATCCTTTCTCTAACGGGTCAGTAGCATCTCTCAGCTGGATGACTGCAGGACAGTTTGTCTGATCTCCTTTCCTCTCATCTTGCAACTTTTCAACCCACTCCTCCTACTTTGACAAAAGTGATCTTTTAAAAACATAAATATAACACTCTTCTCCTTAAAAAACTTTCAGTGGAGCCGCTTTGTCCTTATAATAAAGTCCAAACTCCTTGCCAGGGCTTCCAAGAACCTGGTGTCCTGGCCTGGCGTGCCCACCCAGCTTCAGCTCAGAGCCAGCTCCATGCTGAGTCTCAGCCAGCTTCTTACAGTACCTTGAATGTGGCATGGTGGTGGCTCATGGACTTTTCTAGATGCTGGTCCTTCTGCCTTAGACATCTTCTGCCCTCTCTTGGCCTGTTTCTATTTGTCCTTTAGATTTCTTTTTGGACATTACTCACAGGAGAAGCCTTTCCTAACACTAGGAGTCTGGGTTAATTGCTTTTCCTATGTATTCTCTTACTGTACTTAGAGGAATTGCCTGTTTTTTTTTGTTTTTGTTTTTTTTTGTCTTTGATCCCTTAGACTGTAAATTCCATGAAGACAGGGACTATGTCTCTCTTATTCACCACAGAATCTCTGGTGCCTAGCACAGTATCTGGCACTTACTAAGCAAGATCTCAACAGACAGTAATAAATGGATGTTTAAGCACTATTGTGTCCAAACAGAATCCAGCAATATTATGTCTTAAGTGGTGTCCAGGCATTTATATATAGCCTGTTGGACACATGTGGCCCATCTGAGTTCTTTGAAAACATTTTTTAACCTAATTACCTAAATACTTTAAATGACAGGCCAAATGGAGCTTCACCATCTGTCCCTCATAGCACTGTGAAATTCACTGTCACCGGGTGTCACCCAGATAGGCAGGGAGCAATTTGTAACTATTATTGAAGCTTCATGTAATTAATTACTTAATTTTAAGCTGATCAAGTTTAATTCCACTAACATTACATCATGAAACTGGGGGAGCTACAAAATGTAATTGAAAGGAAAAAAATAGATATGAAAAAATTATGGGCAGACTTTTTCCCTGAGGCAGCCCAGAACTTGGAGAACTGTAGCAGTCATGCTAACGCATATTGAGATGAAATAATGTGGGCTGGGCAAGGTTGTTTCATTACAACCAAATCAGCAGTATTAAGAAAGAATCTGTCAGCAGAGGTCAAAAGGATTGAGAGAGGCAAAACTAGTCACTGTGTCCACATAAACAGAGGAGAGAGCACCAAATCTGGGGACTTGAGTCATCTGGCTACCCACACCTGGATTTATGTTCCCATGGCCCACAACTGAAAAGAAAAAGAAAAAAAAAAAGAAAGGGAGGAAGGAAGGAGGGAAGGAAGAAAGACACACCCCTGCAGTTCTGTTCATTTTATGATTTTGCTTTGTGGTTTTGGGATAACCACCTTATAACCAAAAAGCTCCATCTGTCAAGACTGGGCATAGATTTTTAACTTCCTATATTAACCATAAATAAATCTGTGTTGACATTTATAGAGATTTAGAATGTCTACCATCTTAACTTATGATGCTCATCACTTAATGATCTTTATGACCTGCCTCATGATAATGAAAAAACTGAACTAGGGATTGGTTAAATGCAATATATCTGTCTAGACAGTGGAAATCTATTCTGGCTCCCCAAAATGATGGTGTAGATCAGTGACTGGAATATGAGCATTCAGATGCTTGTGAAAATACAAATTCCAGAGCCATAACCCTGGAGATTCTGAATCTGCAGATCCAGCCTGGGCCCTAGGAATCTGCATTTTGGCAAGCATTCCCCAGGGGGATTTTTATGCAGCAAGTTTGTTGATAGGAATGATCATTTAAGATCAATACTTACTAACATGGAAATGTGGAGATTATTAAATGAGAAAACACTGGCTATAAAAGTGTGTATAGTCTAATCTCAGTTTAAAAATACCTAGATAGGTAGATACATAGCAAAACAGATAAACATAGAGGTGGACAGAAAGTGTTTGGAAGGATAGGCACTAAGGTAATACCAATAAACTGTTGTAGGATTACAATGTTTTTCAAAAAGTATTTTTCTTATATGTATTTTATAATTTTCTACAATACATTTACACTGATCTTGGACTAATAAATAGATAATTACATTAAAAAAGAAATATTTACTGACTTCCCAATGTGCATTGAGCATTAGGACTACAAAGTGGAATCAGGCCATGATTCTACCTTGAGAACCTCAGTCCCTAGAGGGAAACAGACAATTTCCCAGTGTACAGGGCACAGCATCGAAAGATCTGTGGCATCCACCTGGATGCAGCGCTGTGAGAAGGCTGAGGACTTGAACCCTCGCTCTCCCTGAGGCCGCCCAGCCATAGCACTGGACATTACAGCAGCACTCTCATCTGGCTGGACCAGAGCTGGGAAAGGCTGGAACAAATACTGGTCATATTGGGGATGAGGAATGATTTCCCCTCTGAAAGGCTGTTTTTGTTTTTGTTTTCTGGTAAAAGAACACAAAGAAAACAACCAGAAAACCCAAACCAATACACACCACAACATGAAAGACAAAGAAATAACATAAAAACAATGCCCTTTACAATGCGAGATGGGACCTCCCTGTGGAAAGATGAAAAGCAGATGCTTGATATATTGCTGCACATGCATTTGTGTCATCTCTCCCTTTCTGGCCATGGTTATTCTGCTATAATTTGTTTTCTGCTGAATTAGATCCTACCCCATCCTTCAAGCTCAGCTAGTTCCTTCCATTTCGCCAGTCTCCCCTAACCCTTCAGTCACATAGCATCCCCATCCTTTAAACACATAGTATTTTATCTGATACACATTTGCAAATTTCATGTCTGGTATGTGTGATTTATATCTTAGATTACGTAAGTTGTCTTGTGAATTTTTTGTGGTTTTGGGGTTTGATTTTTTGTTTTGAGACAGGGTCTCGCTCTGTCACCCAGGCTGGAGTCTAGCGGCACGATCACTGCTCACTATAGCCTTGAACACATGAACTCAGGCAATCCTCCTGCCTTAGCCTCCCAAGTAGCTAGGACTACAGGCACACACCACCACACCTGGCTGCTTTTAAAATTTTTGTGGAGACAGGGTCCTGTTATGTTGCTTAGGCTGCTCTTGAATTCCTGGCCTCAAGGAACCCTCTTACCTCCTGAAGTGCTGGGATTACAGGCATGAGCCACCACACCCAGCATGTGAATATTTGGTCACTAAGAGCAATTTTAGGCACATACATATTAAGCATTCTATACACACTTTTCAGTAAATTATGTTGAACAAAAATACCTCTGATTTTTAAGACAGCTTAACACTAGAAAATAAACCTTCTAGCTACACTAAAATGGTTGCTTATTATTAATAAATGCCAATTTAATTTTCTAACTTTTTTCAGCACTTCAAATTTTTGCAGCACTGCCACTTTATCCTGATACATTCATATGTTTTATTTTAAATTCAACAGTAGACAAATACTGATCAAATGCCCAAATTCTGTGGTTCTAAAAGTTTAGAAATAATTCACTTCCTCTATTATTCATTTCTAGCAGACTAGAACTACTAAACATTTTAACACACGTGACTGTCTCTTGGGAGAGGACAAAGTCACAATCTAAGAATAATAATGTGTTTTCCTTAAAAAAAAAAAGTCTAAGAGGAGGACTATTGTTAGAATTTCTTTTCTAAAATTCAGCATGGGAATAAAAGACCTGCTTTTGAGAAGATGCTGACTGTAATGATAAATAATAATAAATGTTTGACTCAAATCATAAAGCTATATCGTATAACTTCAAATAAATGTCTTCAAGACAAGGTAGTGTATTATTTTAAAAGCTTTAATTTTTTAATAGCAAAGCTAAGAGAAAAGCAGAGGCACATTATAACATTACTCTAGCGCCCTCTGGTGTCCCACGTGCAGCACACCTTTTTTAGTTCATCATTTGCTGTTTCTATAGCTATTTGCAAAGGAGCATTTTGGGAAACGACTAATGTGTCTGGAGAGGAATGCCTCATTAAAGAAAACCAAATATGTGAATCATACAACATCTTACAACCAAATGATTTGCTAATTATGCCCATACATACTGTTTACCTCACTCTGGGGAGCTGGAGTTGGCATTACGCTTATTAAAGCCACACAGGTAAGCGGAGTTGATTAAACATGAGGGCTTGAAAAGGAAATATCTGTAATACTAGCCAATGTTTGCTTCGTAGAAAATTTCCATGGGAAGCTACAGGTGATGTGATAAAAGCTGGATGTTTAGTGGATACCTATCATTATTAAACCTGTTTTGGTTTAAAAACATTGCAAAATTTAGATGAGTGAAAATTAATTGTCACAAGTGATGTTAGTCTTTGTGGGTCAGAAATGCAAATATGCCCCTTTAAAACGCACACACTTAAAACTGACTCCATATTGAAAAGTCAACTTAACCTGAAATATTAAAATAATAACTGCAACTTGTAAATATTATAAAACAAAGGATAAGAGCATGTAAATTATAAGTAGGCATAAAGGAAAAACAAAAACCCAAATAACTCCACTCTAATATGAGTACCAATCTCTGAAAGAAATATACCCAAATGTTAACAGAGTTTGTATTAAAGTAATAGAATTGTGTCTAACTTTTTACTTATGCTAACTTCACCTATTTCCTTTTGATTCTCTCTTCATCATCTAACCCCAAATCCCAAGTGCTAGAAGCAGCTGTCCTCATTTCTGGCTACTGTTGTCCTGTCTTTTTCATTGTCACAGCTGAGAAATTGACAATTTATGTAATCCAGTTCATCTGCTTAGCAACAGGAAGGGTGGGGCTCAAAACAGAGGAAAACTACCCAGTAGCATTTGCAATTGTGAAATGAGAAAGGAAGAATGGGGAATTGGCTAAAGGTCATGTAAGTTATCTCTGAGGGGCTGAAAAAAGAGATCAAACTATTTTCAATTCTAAATCTCAAAAGGATAAGTCAGAAGAAATGTTCTATATTCTTCTTAGACCTCTATAATTACAGTCTTAAGATTGCCACGTGATTGAAATGCCATAAATAGTGCTTCACTGACAAATAAATACAAAGTTATTTGCTCCTGAATCTCTAAATGTGTCAATTTTGGGCTTGGCCTCCGAAATTGCCTTAGGGAAACAGTGTATCTTAGCTGAGAGTCAGATAATCCCATGCAAATAGGAGTTTCAGCCAGGTGAGAACCCATAATACAGCTACTCTGAGCACGAATCGCACTCCTTGTCCTGCTGTACTTCCCATTTTATCTTGCATCAGTAAAAAGGAGGAAAGAATGGGAAAAGAACTGGAGTATCACTGGAGCAGTTCTTAGTACTCCAAGCTTTCCATCTTTGTCAGAACCTACTTAGAGTTTGGGCTACAGTCTCATCGCATGAATGAGGACCCAGCAGTGGTAAGAGCATAAGGGTCATGTCACCAAGTTGCATTAAACTGCCATGTATCTCATCAGAAATTTATCAGATTTACAGTGCCATCATGTCTCTTCTTTATGGCGGGCTTGATCACAAATTCAGAAGAAAGGAGTTTCACTGAAACGAATCGGCCAAATGATGTGTTTCAGTTTTATTTTCTCGGTTAGTCCTTAGAAATTTGGCTAAATCAGCCAAGACCTCACCATAAAATAAAAGAGAAAATGTCGCTTATTTCCCATTTAACAGATTTTCCTGCTGCTTAAATTGGTTTATTCATTTGTTCAAAATGTGTTTTTTGAGCACCTACTACGTGCAGTGTTCCAAGCACTGAGGTTATTGTGGTGAATAAGACCACAGGACCCCTGCTCTCATAAGCTGATAATATGATTATGTGTGAGCACGCACACACAAACTAAAAAGGAAAAATTAATAGATGCATAAGAAAATGTCGAATAGTACAACAAATACATCACAGAGAATTAAGGCATAGTAACATGACAGAGAGTCACTGTTTTATTAGGCTGGTGCAAAAATAATGGCAAACCTGCAATTACTTTTGCACCAACCTAATAGGCTGGGTGTCAGGGAGACGTCTATGAGGACAGAATGAGGCTGAGACATGAATGTTAAGAAGAATCTAGCCACGCACATATTAGGTTTAAGAGCATCCAGCCCAGAAACAACACATGCAAAGGCTCTATGGTAGGAACATGCTTGGTGTGTTACAAAAATAAAAAGTAAACTGTTTGGTTGGGGTGTAAAAAGGGAAGAGCGATGCAAAATGATATTGGAGAACTAGACAGGGTCCAGATGATGTAGGGGCTTCATAAACCAGGCAGAGTCTGGATTTCATTGCAAATGAGATAGGAGGCCATAGGGGTATTATAAACGGGGAGGAGAGTGTGACACATTATTATTATTATTTTAAAAGATCATTGCTGTGTGAAGAAGTGACTGAAGGGAGACAAGAATAGGAGGAGGGAGACAAACCTGGGAGGCTCTTACAATAGGCAAGGGCGAGAGCAAACAGTGATTAGGACTGGAGTGTTGATAATGGAAATGGAAAGGATTAGATAGATTGGGATCTGTTTGGGAGACAGGTTTGATAGGACAGACTGAATGCAGAGTGTGAAAATAAGAAAATAATCAAGAATAAGCCTTAGTTTTTTTGTCTGGATGTTGGATGTTGGTGCTACCTACAGAAATGGGAAACCTGGGGGAGGAACAGGTATGTGATAGAGAATCAACTTTTATTTTGGCCAGGTTAAACCTGCAGTGTCTCCAAGATGTCCAAACAGAAGCATTTAGGACTTGAGTTGAATATTTTGGGGAGAGGCCAGGGCCAGATATATAGATTTGGGTATTACTAGCACATGGAATTGGAGGAGATGACCTCAAATATAATGAAGAGGAGGGGTATTGGGACCCAGTGTCTTGGGGCTTTCAGTATTTAGTGGTTGGGCAAGGGAGGAGAAGCTATCAGAGAAGATAGGAAAGAAAAAGCCAGTGGAGTATAAAGAAATCAGGTGTATGGTACCCAGAGAACAACTGGGGAAAGTAGGGAGGTCAATGGAGTTAGTTACTACCAGAGATGCCTTAGTAAGGTATGAAGAGAAGGGTGACCAGGGAGATGGACAATATCACTAGATTAAAAGGAGGAAGGTGTCTGCGTAGAAGCCGGGCAACTGAAATTCAGTCCAACACCATGAATACCCACGGTACATACTTTACATACATAATCTCCCTTTCGTAAGTTCTAAAATATCTTTTCACTATTTACAGCTCATGTCTTTTTTATTTCTATAACCAAGCCACCTAAACATGCACTTAAATATTTCTAACCTTATGAGCACATGTTGTGATACAGACATTCAAACTTGGCTTTATGAATAATATTCTTTGCCTTGCGCTTTCTTTCCTACTTTTTCTCACATTATTCAAAATCAAGGGCAATCAATGCACAAAAATATTCAAATCAATTAATTGTTACCCTTTGTAGAAAACACTTGCTCCTGATAAGAAACATGAAACCATTGGCTAAAATAAAGTTTGGTGATTGTCTCTGGGTTTCAATGATTTGAATGATAAATTACTCCCCCGTTGCTGCAGGAAAACAGGATTAACTTTGTGAAGATTTGCAATTGAAACTTAACGTTGGAAAAGGCACTGTTTCACCCCAAAATTCTTATTATTTCTTTTATGTAGACAATTTTCTTTAGATATTGGACAATCTCCACGTTCGAAGCCAGGGAAATTTGCATTTTGTGTAGCCACTGAGTTGCGTAGCTGGTGGTAGCTCCCTTTCTGCCCCGGAACACGAGAAGAAAGACAGGCAGGCTGCGTTGTTATTGTTATTGCTATTGCGACCATTTAAATTTTCCCACGACAGCTACATTCTAGTACTTTGCAAGCAGCAATAATACATCTATTCACCGTTTTCAGTGCTGAGGGAGGGGAGCAACATTCCCAACCGCCGTGACTGACAGTCATGCAGAGCTGCCAAATTTGAGCAGGAGGAGAACAGAGATGAGAATTCAGTTTTTGACAGAGAAATAAGTTAGTTAATAGAGCTCATCTCAGAGCAAATAATAAAAAACTTGACACCTGGCTAAGAAATGAATCAGAAGACTTTCTAATGTTTTTCTTTATTGCTCTGGATGAAAAGCCTTAAAAACACACACACACTTGTTTTGAAAGCTTACTCTAAAAGCACCCTTTACTTACACAGTATTTTAAAATCTCATTATTAAGTAAGTGTAGAGTAAAATCAGGTGTATCCTGCATTTCCTCAGCTGGCATTTTCTTTTCTTTTCTTTTCTTTTTTTTGAGTCAGGGTCTAGCTCTGCTGCCCATGCTAAAGTGCAGTGGTACAATCATAGCTCACTGTAACCTTGAACTCCTGGGCTCAAGCCATCCTCTGGCCTCAGCCTCCCGAGCAGCTGGAACTACAGTCACCACACCTGGCCCTCAGCTGACATTGTGTAATGCTACCAGGAATTCCATGTAACTGATATTCTTAGGCCTTGAGGCAATTGAAGATTCCAACAAAAAAAAAATAATGAAACCTCACATTTACATGAAGCTTTACAATTTACAAAATATTTTAATACATATGGTTTCAGTGAACACTGAAATCCGCTTTGGGAGGTGGCCATCACGCTCATTCCACAGATGTGAACACTGAGGCTCAGGGAAGCTGGACGGTGTGCCTGAGGCCCATGATTATGAACAGTGCTGGAATTCAAAGCCAGACTCTCTGACTCTGACTCTACTGTTTTTTAGCACCATGGCACAGCTCTGTAGCATCAAGAAGATAAACTGTGCAAAAAGTTTTATGCTCGGTTTATTGTATTTCATCCTAGTTGTTTGACAAGGTGGTAATGTGGGTTTTGAGGATCCAAAGCTCTCTACTGGTTAAGTGTGTGATTGTGGGAGGTCATTTCCCTTTGTACTTCAGTTTCCTCCTCTGTTAAATGAAACACTCAGACTAAAGACTCTTATAGGTCACGAAATTTGAAATTATATGAACCAGATCACATTACTGCCCAAGATATTCTGTTTGTCTACAGTGCTCATACCATACATTAGATTTCTCTGTGTGTTTTGGGGGGGGCACAAAAATTTCAGTCACACTGAGTAATGCACTCTAGTTCAGCTTTAAAGTGAAAGCTCATTAAATTAATTTGTGTGTTCTTTGGGAAATTATAAAATAACTGAGTTTGCCCAGTGTTTCCCATTAGACTAACAGATTCTGAAAGACATTAGTTTCTCTGTAATTCCCTATTCAGTTATCAAATATCAACTAAGTATTTAATGTATATCTGGGGGCATAGAGGTAATTATAAAAACACAATTCAAATTTGGTTCATGAAGACTTTATAAAGAATAAAATTATTCGTTTAATGTATTTATTATAAATAATAATAACCAACCAAGGTGAAATGACTGAAAATCAAGGAGAAGCTGAATTGGTGTAAAAGGCTGTCAGGATCAAGTAGGCATTTAGTTAAAGTGCAAATTAACAAGCAAATGTTTGGTCTACTCATGCTGAGCGCCGCAATGAGGAAAACATACAAGAAAAAGGACACTTATGTGGCTGCCTCCTTTTCAGTTTTCCTAATTATAAGAGTGTGAATTGGTAACTTTTTTCAACTAGTTCACCTGTGTGGATTTCTAAAATAATATAGGTAATTTCTCAAGGGCAAGGGTCAATTTTTTGTGAGTAATAAACTGAAAACAGTGGATCTGATTTTTCTACCCAGATTATCAAAAAATCTCAGAATGAAAAGCAAGGCAAAGTGAAGCTTCTTCTTAAGAGAGCTGAGAACAGCATTTCTGAGTATAGGAAAGAAAGTGCTCTTAGACAGAAAAAAAACCTGAAGAGGTTGTTGGTGAGGGAGAGACAATTGTTGGGGTGAGATTCAGGGGAAAGATGCATTAGTTTAATGTTTAATGTGCCGTTCTCTTGATATTTGTGGTTCTGATCAATCAGACATTTTTGGAAGACCAGCCATGGCCAGACACTGGAGTGGGAGGGGTGCGGTGATGGGGATGAGACGCCATGGGCTGAGAGTGCCCTGCATTCTGCTTCTGGTTTCCACCAGGCTGATGCATTTGGCTGAGGCAATCCTGGGGACACAGGGACCCCCAGCACCAGCACATGCTGGGCATAGTTTGTCAGGTGGAGCAGAGCTTTCTTTGTGGAGAGCTAAGTTGTTTGAACAGGTTCAAAATAATGACTGTGGCTTTGTTTAACACTCTATGGTATAAAATTTTTCTAAGAGACCACTCAATCATGCCTATTTTAAGAAATAAATTTTTATCTACTTAGGCCACTCCAAGCAATAAATCTCCCAATATGTAATCATAAGTAAATATTTATAGCTCAGTTACTTAATATGACATGTTTATAAGAAAAGCTTTCGAAAACCACTGTGGGTTTTGAGGCTTCCTTGTTCCAGGAAGACAGGAAAAATGTCAAGAGAGGAGCAATACAGTAATTAGGCGATAAATCTACAGAAATCAAACTTCTTAAAAAACAGACATAATAATAACTACCATATTAGTCAGACGTGTTTTGAGTCTGGATCTCATTTAAAGTTAAAGGCCATCAGAAATCCACAGCCGACAACGGGTATATGGGATGGGGTGAGGGATGGTGCTTTAATGAATAAAGGAAAAGACGACCAAACTCCCAGACCTTGGGAGGAGAGTCCAGGTCTCCAGGGGCCCCAGTCACTGGAACTAGACTTTCGGATGTGGCATTCTCACTTCCTTCTTGACAATGTAGACAGGCCTTGTCACATGGAGGAGAAGGCATGGCTCTGGGACCACATGCCAACAGGGAGAAAATGCTTCTGTTTCACCAGCCTCAGTTCAGAAATTCTCCAGAGAAGGCCTGGGTTTGGTCTGATTTGGGTCAGAAGCTCCACTCTCAATCAATGGCTGTGGCTTGGGAGGAGTATAATGTGCTTGGCTTAGGCTAGAGTATACCTTCCTCCCTCTAGAGCCACATGACCTGAAGACTGTCTTGGAAGAAAGGTGAGTAACAGTGTGGGAAGATAAAATAGGAAATAACCACTACAATGATCATTTATGAAGGCTCTATGTGGGCCCACGTTCTTCTTTACATGTATAGTTCTGATTAATTGTTCTAACAACAATGTAATACCAGTTTTATTATACACATTTCATAAGTTGTAGAAGAGTTAACTAACTTTCCCAGTGTCATACAAGTAGATAAAGGTGTGGTTGGAATTTGGACCCAGAACTATCTGATTTGAGAGCCTAAATTCTTCCCTTCCACTAAGTCATGCTCCTTTTTTTTTTTTTAAAGGCTGTTATGTTGACTTCACCTAGATTTAACAAAGATAGAAAATATGTGGCATATATATTTCCACTCCCAATTACCGCACCCATGCAGACATTACTAACTGATCACAGACCCAGAATTTTCAGCACAGTGCTCCAGTCACCAGAGACTGGCACATGAGTTAATCCTTGCATGTAACATGCACAACTCAGACAGTCTATACTATGTTCTTGTGATTCTGAGCAGACTCACCTTCTTTAACTACTAACCAAAACCTAGTAATCTTTCAGCAATTTTTGAGCATGATACCAATTGATAATTGAGGCAGAAACAAAGAAACTGTTAATGCCTTTTACCAGAATGTGCAAAACTGCAGGCAATGGCAATACTTTATTTTGAAAAGCATGTAACTACAGGCCTTTGGTACTGCTCGCTGACATTTAGAATTTCATTAATGTGCCTGAATAAGAAACAGTTATGGAATTTTAAGAGAGACTTAGTGTATAAACTAGGCCAATAATTTACTTCAAATGTGAAGTTTTGCTTGGTTTCTCATATCCATTGAGCCAAAAAGAGTTATTCAATAGAGAAGTATGAGACTAACATATGGCTAAGGCAGAAAGGCAAGAATGGAATTAAAAAAGAATAGCAAACGGATGAGAATACTGTCCTGGAAGGAAAGGCACCCATTCAAGCTTTAATGGTATATAGGAAGTGAGAAAAGTGAAGAAGAGCTGGCAATTGGATTTGTGTGCAAAGTCTGAAAACAACAACACTCTAAAATTACTAAACCAATACAGAATGTTAAGATTTTAAAATGTCACTTGAACCAAGATTAGCATTATTTTCCTTAAATGGACTTGAGCCTAATGAATATATTTATTTAACCATGAATATAAGTTCTGTGCCATGGGATTAGAACTTTCAAATAAATCAGGAAAAACTGAGGAAGTGGACAAAAATAAGTGTAATAAAATCTGCTTACCTCTTCTTTTGGTCCACTTTGCTCTATTTTTTAATGGAAAGCTATTTTGCTGCCAGTCATGTTTCTATTCGATACAGATCAATTTTTATATTCTCCCAGAGTTGTAATGTGGAGTGTAATACAGAGGTGGGAAGTATAAATATACTTAAAGAATACATACTTATAAATATACTTATAGAAAATATAATTTCTATAAGTCAAACAGAATCCAGATTTTTCTAAAAAGTCTTTGCAATGCTAATGTATCAGCAATGCCTAGGTTAGTAAATATCTATCTGTTCAGCTTATTTACTCTTTTTATCATGAATTATTTTCTCTGAATAATAAAAACCATGTATTTGTGTGTAGAAGCATTTAAACTTCATTTATTTGACAAGTACATCTTTTACTAATGAAAAGTTCAGACTCATCAGGACATCCTTCTTGGTGCTGCATCCTCTTGGTGCCTCTTTTCTGAACTGCTCCCACCTGCCTGTGCTTCTGATGCCTGGCCACATGCCTGCCAACTCTGCCTCATTGTCATTATCACTGCCTCCTCACTCCTAACTCCCTAGCTGAAACACACACAGCCTAGGGACACAATTTTGGAAGAGAATGGCATCATCCAAAAGACTGGCAGAATCCCGATATCAAAAGATGTGATTATGAAGAAAGAACCAGAGAGATGCCAGCAGAAGGACTTAGCCTGGCTTTGAAGATGGATGAAGGGGCCGAGAGCCAAGGAAAGTGGGCAGCCTCCGCAAGTTGGAAGAGTCAAGAAAAAGGATTCTCCCCGAGAGTCTCCAGAAAGGAATGCGTCTTTGATCCCAGCTGAGTGAAATCTGTGTTAAACTTCTGATCTAAAGAACTGTAAGAAATACATTTGTGTTCTTTTAAGCCACTAAGTTTGTGGTTCTTTGTTACAGCAGCAGTAGGGAAAGAATATATCTCCTGTCATGTATTTGTGTGGGGAATACCTTTCTCATGCACAAATCATGTCTGGTCATCATAAATTAAAAATACAACCAAATCTCACCATAACTGTATTAAAGAAAGAGTTAAGAATGATACTCTTCTAAACAAAAATGTAAACCCTGAAGACAGGGCTGTAGAGAATCTTTGGTATATGCATTTTCTCACCTCTGTCATTAATAATTTCTTACTCCCTTTGTTAAAGGCCTCTAAGGAACTTGCTGCTGTTATCCATCACAGATTTATTTCACACTCTTCATATCACTGCCTCTCTGTTCCATTCCCTCCAGTCAGCCTTGTCATAGTCCTACCTTCCTCCCTGCATTGTCACTCATGGGTCAATGTGCCTGGGCCACTTCCCTCCTTGGTGCCAACTAACTTGCCTTATTCACAGTTTAAGCCGGCACCCACATCACAGTCTGCGTTTCCTCAGACTTTTATTTGCTGCAGAGAGTGGTAGAAGAAGGCCGGGGTCGGAGGATCACACCTGTAATCCCAGCACTTTGGGAGGCTGAGGTGGGCAGATCAACTGAGGTCAGCTGTTCGAGACCAGCCTGGCCAACATAGTGAAACCCTGTCTCTACTAAAAATATAAAGATTAGCTGGGCGTGGTGGCACACGCCTGTGATCCCAGCTACTCAGGAGGCTGAGGCAGGAGAATGGCTTGAACCTGGAAGGCGGAGGTTGCAGTGAGCCAAGATCATGCCATTGTACTCCAGCCTGGATGACAGAGTGAGACTCCATCTCGAAAAAAAAAGGAAAAAAAAAAAAAAGAGAGAGTGGTAGAAGAAAGCATCCTAAAGAGGAAGGTACCTATTATATGCAGAGGTAACCAATGAAATTTGAAGGGAAGAGGCTGCAATGTGGGTGACATCATCCTCCTTAGAAGGAATGCTTCTAGAGCACCAGAAGGCCCTTTCTCTCTTGTCATGGTGTTTTCTGAGTTCCAGAGTTCATTTGAGCTTATAATTGGCTGCAGGTATGCATCTATCTGGGGCTGCACACACTGAGGAAATGAAAGAGACTGTGTCTTTCTCAGATTCATGTCTGTATTGCATCAATTACAGTGCCTTCCACAATCTTAATAAATTCCATCATTTAGCCTATAACTTTGGTGTTATTGCTATATCTCAACGACAACACATTTTCTAAGAACACACAGGCAGGCTGCCTGGCTTCAAATCACAGTTCTGCTACTTACTATCAATGTGAACTTTGGGCAAGTTACTTAAGCCCTCCCATGCTTTAATCCCTCTATTGATAATAAGCAAACCTTCCTCAGGGGTTTCCTTAGGATTAAACGAATTATATGAAAAGCCCTCGTGAGTGTTTGGATTATCATTATAATTTTCTTAAATATCTATACCAAAGAGTCAGCATCTTTTCTTGGCAGGATGCAGGGGCAGGCAAAGTGTGGGCTTCCATGTCAGGCTGTCTGGGTTTAATGGCAACTATACCACTCACTAGCTGTGTGGCCTTGGGCAAGTTATTTCATCACCCTGGGCCCACTTTTTGTAATTAAAAAATAAAAAAACACTAGGAGCACTTTCCATGTATAGTTCTGAGAATTAAGTGGCATAAGTCATGTAAAGAGCTAATAGTGTCTGGAATATTAGTAGATATTCAATAAATATTAATTTTAATTAGGCATCAACAAATGCCCCTTATTCATTGGAGAGCACACAATTTGTGAGTGGTTTTCTCACAGTCCACTGAGAGAGGAACATGGGCAGCTGGGCTCTCTCCACCATCCATGTGGCTGGCAGAAGTAGGATGGGATGGAGAGAGGTAGGTCTTAGGGTCCCTGCCCTGGCACAAGCACTTCCAGTGTGAGGAGAATGTGAGTTCCCAGCAGCATCAAGGAGCTGTGGATGGGATCTGTCTGAGCATAATGAAGCCATTCCCAACCTTCCGGCTTCCACGTTTCGCAGGTGCCTCGACCTCTAAGCCCTTGGCTGCACACTCCAGCGTGAAGCTTCTACAGTGAGTTCTTCCATCTGCCTCAGTGCAGAGACTCTGCTTTGGATTTTGAATTTCAACCTCCTCTCCACAAGCAGCCCCTTTGGGCACTGTCAGGATGTGTCGGTCACCCAGCAACTCTAGAATAGCCTTGTCACAGAAAGGGTGCCATCTGCTATCTCGGCCCCAACTCCAGGGCAGCTCTCTACCCTGGACATTCTTCCTGCTGCTCTCCACACCATCTTGTTATCAAGAGCCACGTGGGGAAGCCAGAAAAACGTTATTGTCCTTTAAAGGATGTGATGTGCTAAACCACAAGTTCATGTTACTGCTCTGCAATGGAGCTGACAACCAATTTATAAGCTAAATATAAGACAAAGACACCCTGTATACCCAGAGGAAATGAGCTGACTTGCCTGTGGTTTGCCTGGGGTTCATGGAGCACCCAGTAGGTGGTGGGCCCTCAGTTACCTTGGGTAATGGATCAAACACTGCAGAGTGAGTGAGGAAGATGGACTGGACCACGTATTAAAATATTTATAGGATGTTAAGGGAGACACTCACTCCTTTTGATCATCATACTTGAAAACATTTTCATTTGTTACATATAAAATGGATTAGACTACAGAATTCTGTACAAGGACAAACTGACCATGCATAACCTTCCATCCACTTTCTCCGACGGAGAAAACACTTCACCGTTTTCTCCACCGTCCAATTTCCGTCTAGGTTGTTGGTCTCACACACTCCTCAGTGTAGCAGGCTAAATAGTAGCCCCCCTAAGAGGTCCAAATCCTAATCTCTGGAATCTGTGTCTATGTTACCTTAACAGCAAAAAGGACTTTGCAGATGATGTTAAGGACCCTGAGATAGGAATTTTATTCTGGATTATCTATGTGAGCCCTAAATGCAAGCCCAAGGGGCCTTGTAAGAGGGAGGCAGGAGGGTCAGAGTCAGAGGAGATGTGATCGTGGAAACAGAGGACAGAGTCTATGCGGCCAGGAGCCAGGCAATGCAGTTGGCCTCTAGGAGCTGGAAAAGGCAAGACAAGGATTCCCCTACAGTTTAGAAGGAACACAGCCATGCTGACCCAGTTGACTTCCAACCTCCAGAACTGTAGTAGAAATTTACATTGCTTTAAGCAACTAAATTTGTGGCAATTTATTACAGCAGCCATAAGGAATAAATATGCTCGTGGTAGAAGTATGCAGGGCATTACGTACTGTCTGTTGAAAGTAAAATGTAAAGAAATAATAGATGTCAAAATAACAGATAATGTTAAGCAGCTACTAATCCATGTAGCATTACAAATAAAATAAAAGTAATGAGGCTGGGTGCAGTGACTCACACCTGTAATCCCAGTACTTTAGGAGGCCGAGGCGGGCAGATCACTTGAGGCCAGCCTGGGAGTTCGAGACCAGCCTGGCCATCATGGTGAAACCCCATCTCCATCTCTACTAGAAATACAAAAACTAGCAGGGCGTGGTGGCACACACCTGTAATCCCAGCTACTCAGGAGGCTGAGGCATGAGAACTGCTTAAACCTGGGAGGCGGAGGTTGCAGTGAGCTGAGACTGCGCCACTGCACTCCAGCCAAAAAAAAGTAATGACATCTAGGTTAAGGTTTAAAGTCTCCAATAGTCAATATTAGTATTTAGGGAACTTTTAAAAAATTATGTCTGAATGGGTACAAACATACAGTTAGATAGAAGAGATAAAACCCAGTGTTCAATAGCTCACTATAGGGTGACTATAGTTAACATTAATCTACTGTACATTTCAAGATAGCTAGCAGAGAATAATTCCACTGTCCCTGACATAAAGAAAAGACAAGTATTTAAGGTGATGGATACCCCAATTACCCTTATCTTTATATATTATACGACTGTATCAAACTGTCACATGTACTCCCAAAATATGTACCTCTATTATGTATCAATAAAAAAACTATCAATTTTTTTAAAAACTATGCCTGATCTCAGGATCCAGTGGTTTATATCTTACCATTTTTCTGCTTGTTATGAGTTACTTCCACCTTATTTTTCTTTATTTACATTATTCTCCTTTTATTCACAAGGTCAAAGTTTGTGGTCTAAAATTATCTCTTTTTCTTGTCTTAGAGCCATGCCCTGTGGGGAGAAAGCTCGGCTGTGGTTTTTAGCTCCCAGGAGTCCCATGAGGCTACTTAGTTAAGCAGCTGTGAAGGCTGCTTTCTTTTGAGGGTGGAGTCCCTGTTTTCATGGTGGGAAACAGCTCTTACTCCCAGGGCTATTCAGTGAGCCATCAGACAGCCTTGCTGCCTCCTCTGCCAGGGACATTCTTTTCACCAGAACTGTCAGAGTCACAGAGTGGAGCCTCCTCAGCCCCTCCACGGGAACACAGACAAGGACTAGGGTTTATGGGCCTCACTTGGTGGACAGTGTCATTTCAGATGTGTGCCTGCTGAATAGTGAGTCTTTTAGAACTCAGGGTCATAGGGGCTGGGGATAGGGAAGAACCTTCCTAACAAGATTGTAATCCATTCTTAAAATGTAATTTTAAGAAGTTGGAATGTAAATGTAAATCATAAGTTACCTTCTGATTTTCTTCCAGTCAAAATTACACAAAGACACCTTTTCTTCAAGCTCAGCACTGAATTCCATTTAAACCTTGACTCGAGTAAGTACAAAACATTTTCCCTAACTTGGATACCCTTTCTCCTGCCCATTCTTCAAATATCAAATCTTTAAGGATGTTTCTCTGATTGATCCAGTTCAGAGAGATCTCTCCCACCCCTGCACATCTCTAATTTGTTTTCCCAAGTTTCCAATAATTTATAACTCCAACTTAAAGTCACAATCTAAAAGCCTTAGATAAACCAAGTGCTTGGATCTCAGATCACTTTTTCCCAAAGAAAAATGCAGTAGCTAATCACGGCAGCCACAGTGAGCTGTGCAGGCTGCACACTGCAACTTCAGCAGCTTGCTCTATTATCACTGACACTTACTAAGCGCACGACATGTGCAAGACACTGTACTATGAATATCATGAGGATCACTTGGTTCCTTCAGTCCCCATACAAACCTTGTTATTTTCATTTTACAGGTAGGAATATTGGGGTTCCTTCTGAAAAGAGGTTAGGTAAATTGTGCAAATTCACACAGCTGGTACACATGGATCCCATCTCAAACCCAGGCCTGTTTAAATTAATCATACTAGGCACTTGGAACCAAAGAACTTAACAGTAGGGAGCAATGCTGTGGCAAATAAGGCACAAATAGTAAAATTTAAATATGCAATTATACCAGTCCTTTATACTGGTCTGATTTATATAATTATACTGAATTTTATTAGAATTCAAAGTGAAATTATAGATGAGATGTTGCCCATAGAAGGATTTGTCTTCCAATATTGAAAGATCAATACTAGGTTTCTAATCTGTATACCTGCTTCAGAACAATTCAAAATGAGAAAGAAAGCAAAGAATAAAATATATTCTATGTGAGTTCCTCAAATAAGCCATCAAGGAACCCAAGTATTTACAAAAACTCTCTCAAAGATGCCTATCACAACTTAATCTCAATTCTACCACTCCATGAATTATTTGACCTTTTGAGTAGTTGTTGTAAAATATAGCAAGGATGATAAAGGTGAGAACTGAGGGTAATACCACGTCATATTAAATGTAATTTGATATGGCAGGAAGCTTAATCTGCACAACAAAAAGGTTTATAATTTATGGTGGCTAAATGGCTGATTTAACATGGTGCTTTTGTTCATTATTTGAAAAACTACTGGGAATTAAGACTTTGCATAGAAATGCAAATTCCTATTCTAGTGTTGTTTCTGGGAAAAAAATCATACTGAATGTACCTCATTTTATTTTTTTTCCCTGCAAATATAATTTGCTATAACTTTGAGTACCCCTTGAAGCAAACTTTTGTAAATGTAAATGCCAATAAAATCTATCACTTGACTTTAATATCTTTTGGAGGTATTTTCATTTGCTACTCTCTCTTACTGTACTTTTTGATATCTATTAGCCCTTACTTCTGCTTCATTGTGATTTTTTTAATTCAAATGTCTTTTTCTCCTATCTCCTGAGTCAGCTATTAGATTATGAATTTGTCAAGTTTCTCAAGGATCCATCTTTTATGCAATTATTCACTAAATATCAATAATCTTCTATGTAACAAGCACTTTTCTAGACCCTGTGACCAGTATCCCCAGCCCTAACACAGTGCTTAGCTTAAAAAGATGCTGTATAAAATTTACTGAACAAACTAATATTTCTTACCATGAAAATCTTCTTCAGAAGAAGCAGAAAGATTTGGATAAATATTGTCAAAAATAACATCCAGTTATTCATGAAAATTAGAATGTTTCAGAATATTTTATTTAATACAACATAATCTCACCAAAGGCAGAGTGAAAAATGCTCAGTGATGTCCTAACAAGAAACTGAAGATGCACCTTTAGAATATATTTGCCATTCTGAAGATGTCCAGAAGTGGGCAAAAAGTTCCATGTTGCATGTTGTTCAAGTATGACACTGTTTATGATACTGCTGACTTCCTTCACTGGATCTTTTTTTTTTTTTTGATGGAGTCTCGCTCTATTGCCCAGGCTGGAGTGAAGTGGTGCAATCTCAGCTCACTGCAACCTCCACCTCCTGGGTTCAAGCGATTCTCCTGCCTTAGCCTCCTGAGTAGCTAGGACTACAGGCATGTGCCACCACATCTGGTAATTTGTGTATTTTTAGTAGAGACGGGGTTTCACCATGTTGGCCAGACTGGTCTCGAACTCCTGACCTTGTGATCTGCCCACCTCAGCCTCCCAAAGTGCTGAGATTACAGGCGTGAACCACTGTGCCTGGCCTCTCCATTGGATCCTTGATATACTTAAACCTTAATTAGTTTTTTTTTAAATGTTACTAACTCTAACACCTGGTTACACAGGCTATGAAAGCCCCTTACTATAGTTCACTTACTCTCTCCCCCACCTAGGCTAATCAGAAGCAATATCACTGATGGGCAGCACTCATGAGCCCATCTTTGGACACACTGATAAACACAGAGCATGTCAAATGGCACTGTTCTGAGATCTCTGTAAGAATGTTATCTTTCTCATGAGAAATCATCCACTATCTAATTTTCATGACTACAGAGTAGAAGTCATTCAGCAGATACTGAAGGCTGAGCATGAACCATGGGGCACTCAACCACTCCAAGGATAACACACACATGCTCATTAATACTACTAATATTGTAATTGCAGTCTCTGTTCCTTTTCTGAGCTATCTAGATCTCTCCAGGAACCAGCAAATCGTTTATCTCAGGTGTTGTGAGGACAATTATCTATCCTGCCAGGAGGGCCCATTAATGACATTAAGTGGTTCTTTTGCTTGTATCCATGATTTAAAAAAATTTTTAATTAAAAAATACACGTAAATAGGATGAATTTCTTATGTTCATATTATGTTTTCTGACAGGCATAGACAACATAATTAATTATGCTTTACATATGGAAACAACAGATATTGATATTGTATATAATTTTCTCCTTATGCAATGAAAATAATTATAATATGTGTAATTTTGAATTACACGTATTTGAAAAGAACAGTGAACACTTTTATACTATTTTATTAAACACTGCAAACAACATGGTGTTTAAAATAAATTTAAGCAGAAATTCTTGCTTCTATGTTCTCTCTCAAAAGCTAAATGGCTGATATGTCAGATGTATGATCTCATAATGATACTGAAAAGTAGAAAATAACAGCCACCAGTTTGTTTCTTAACCTTCATATAGAGTTTCACATAAGTAAGGGAAAAAGAAAAAAATTATTTTCAGAATCGGCTGACATGCAGAATTATCTAAGGCCACTGAAACCTAGTATTAATGTATCAGTTTCAGATTAAGATTTAGAAACATGGTGCAACATTGCCAGTGAATTCTATAAGATAAAGTACAAGAGGAGCTGGGCTGGTGAATAATTGATATGTGCCTAAGATTAGAAAAGCTAATTTACAGGCTGTTCCTGTGCAGTAGGCACTATGAAGTCTCAAATGAGCAAGTGAGAGGCCTGACAGCACAACATGCAATTTTACAGTCTTCTGTGCTAGTTTTTGTTTTTTGTTTTTTTTTTCGAGACAGAATTTTGCTCTGTCGCCCAGGCTGGAGGGCAGTGGTGCAATCTTGGCTCACTGCCAGCTCCACCTCCCGGGCTCATGCCATTCTCCAGCCTCAGCCTCCCGAGTAGCTGGGACTACAGGCGCCCGCCACCACGCCCGGCTAATTTTTTGTATTTTTAGTACAGACGGGGTTTCACCCTGTTAGCCAGGATGGTCTCGATCTCCTGACCTCGTGATCCACCTGCCTTGGCCTCCCAAAGTGCTGGGATTACAGATGTGAGCCACTGTGCCCGGCCTCTTCTGTGCTATTAATCATAGAGACCCATGTGTTAGAGAGTGAAAGAGCAGAATGGCCTTCCATGTTAAATTATATGGGTTATATAACTTTGTTAATGAGACAATAAGACAGTGACATGGTGCTCAGGGTCCAGAGCCTTTCCATGTGTGCATCTCACGGTATACTCATAGCTGCTTTGTACGACACTTTATAGATGCGGAAATTGTGCCTCATAGAGCTAGCGGCCAGGCTAAGGTCACCTGGCTGATACAGAGCACAGAATCCAAGCCTTCTGCCTCACCTTCCCCTGGGAAATAATCCCCTTTCATTAATTTGCTTTGGGGATGTTTTTGTATCAATCTTTACTTTCAGACAAACAATACTTTTGATGCATTCAAAACACAAAGCCTCTATCTCCTTCACTTCCCAGCTAAATAGAGTTCTGTTCAATTCCACGAGCAAAGGTATGGAAGGTGTCTTAGAAAGGTATTATCTTCCTTTTATATTTTATGTAGATCAGAAGACTTAATAAGAAATGTAGTTCATAAGAAATTCATCTTCACCTGCTTCTGCCTGTTAGACTACACTCATTTGTCACAGTATTGTCTCAGGACATAGAAACATGCTGAGTAACCAAAGACAAGCCAATGGGGAATTAAGAATGCATATCCAACCCAAAGCCCTGCCACTATCCTGAGGGATTACAAAGCTACACAAGCTTATATGCCAAGTGTCTATTAATATTTAAGCACATAGGAAAGGGCTGGAAACCTGGCACTGCTGCATTCCTTTTCATTTAACCTCCTTTCAACTCTGGGTTCCGTCTTAAGGAAATGAATTACTGTATCTGATAGCAATGTTCTCCAAATGCGCTAGGCACTGACAGGAGGCTTGGCATCTAGGAGAAGGCCTCATAGCCTTTCATTTGTGCATGCTATCAGCAGCCATAAGTGGAGTCACATGCTTGAGTGCCTGGTGCTTAGTAGAAAATTTAACTGTTTCCTCATTTTACAAACATTTTATGGTCTGTTCACTGGCACCTCCGAACAAGGAGTTCAGTAGTAAAAAAAAAAAAAAAAAAAAAAAAGGCCATTCTTCAACATTCCTAAGCATTTTTAGGCCTCTCCAGGTTGACTGTTCTCAAGGAATATGTAGGCAGACGACTGACTATCTGCAAAACTCACTCAGGCAGGGCGATGTACCAAAGCACTAGCATGCATTATGCACTGCTACAGGCATGCACTTTGAACAGCAGAAATACCACGTTAAATTGAGCAACATCTTGAAATAGCAACAGGAATTATTTTTAATATGATATTCAAGTGGGAATGATAAAATGCCATTTATCTAATGTCCGTGTATCGCTATTTCTGTTCTTCCCCTCAGTCATCTTGCAAGAATGAAAAAAACAAAGGGCTCAAAGATGGCACTACCAGTCTGGAATGCATGACTGGCTTTAAGGGAAGAAAGATGCATCTGGAAGTTAGAGAAAGGGAAGCAGAATCCAAAGTGGCTGAAGGAAGTAGTGACAAAGATGGCATAGCAGGGGCGTGAGGAGCCTCCTGAGCTGCAGCTTTCAACGTTTGCTTGACTGTGATCCACGATGAGACCTGCTTTCTACACAGGGCCCCAGGACCTACGGGATACATGCAAATGGGTGACCTGTGTATGTGCATGGATGGATTTACATAAATACAGACTTATATAAACAGACAACTGAAAAGTTTCATGAAATAACACTTAGCCATACTAGGTGTAAAGCACTCATCTTTCTATTTTGAGACTGAGTCTCACTCTATGGCCCAGGCTGGAGTGCAGTGGCATGATCTCGGCTCACTGCAACCACTGCCTCCCAGGTTCAAGCAATTCTTGTGCCTCAGCCTCCCAATTAGCTGGGATTACAGGTGCCCACCACCATGCCCAGCTGATTTTTATATTTTTAGAAGAGATGGGATTTCACCATGTTGGCCAAGCTGGTCTCGAACTCCTGACTGACCTCAAGTGATCTGCCCGCCTCGGCCTCCCAAAGTGCTGGGATTACAGGTGTGAGCCACTGTGTCCAGTCTTGTTCCACTACATTCTCTTTCTATGTCATTAAAAATGATGATTATACCCCACCAGTGGGTCACAGTCTACCATGTGGAAATCAGTGCTTGCAGCACTTAAAGTTTCTATTTATTATATTAACTCTAGAGGCTAAGTGTTAGATTATGACATTGTTCATTCTTTGGAAAAGAAGATTTTATACATCAAAAATTTATATATAGTCATCCCTTGGGATTCAAAAGGGATTGGTTCCAGGACCCCTGCAGATACCAAAATCCACAGATGCTCCAGTCTCTGATATAAAATAGTGTAGTATCTGCATATAACCTACGCACTTCCTCCTGTACACTTTAATTCATCTCTAGATTATGTATATTTAATACAATGTAAATGCTATGTAAATAGTTGTGATACTGTATTGTTTAGGGAATAATGACAAGAAAGAAAAGTCTCAACATGTTTACTACAAACACATTAAAAAATCCATTAAAAAAATAGACATTCGGCTGGGCATGGTGGCTCATGCCTGTAATCCCAGCACTTTGGGAGGCTGAGGTGGGTGGATCATGAGGTCAGGAGATTGAGACTATCCTGGCTAACATGGTGAAACCCCGTCTCTATTAAAAAATGCAAAAAATTAGCTGGGCGTGGTGGTGGGCGCCTGTAGTCCCAGCTACTCAGGAGGCTGAGGCAGGAGAATGGCATGAACCCGGGAGGCAGAGCTTGCAGTGAGCCAAGATCGCACCACTACACTCCAGCCTGGGGAACAGAGCAAAACTCCGTCTCAAAAAAAAAAAAAAAAAAATATATATATATATATACATATATATATACGTATATATACGTATATATACATATATATATACGTATATATATGTATATATACATATATATACGTATATATATATATATATATATTTTTTTTTCAATCCACAGTTGGTTGAATCCACGGATGAAGAACCCAAGGATACACAAGGCCAACTGTATGTGGAAATTTTAAAAATATTTTTCTGGCTGGGCACGGTGGCTCATGCCTGTAATTCCAGGACTTTGGGAGGCTAAGGTGAGCAGATCACTCCAGGTCAGGAGTTCAAGACCAGCCTGGTCAACATGATGAAACCCTGTCCCTACGAAAAATACAAAAATTAGCTGGGTGTGGTGGTGTACACCTGTGGTCCCAGCTACTCAGGAGGCTGAGACAGGAGAATCGCTTGAACCCGGGAAGTGGAGGTTGCAGTGAGCTGAGATCATGCCATTTCACTCCAGCCTAGGTGACAGAGCAAGACTCTGCCTCAAAATATATGCATATTTTTTTCCTGCAAATATTTACTTATAATCAATTTATATCAATAATAATTTCCTAAAAGAGATGAATAGAAATAAAAAGTTAATGTACTTGGAAGAAACTTGTGGAACTCAATGACAAGGATTTCCCCCTTCACTTACAGGCAAACAGACGATGGCTTACATGACCATGCATCTGGGTCGACCCATGATCTGAGCTCAGCCCTGCAGATGACCGGAGGGGCTTTACTCCCTCCCTTATATGTGCCAACATTTGGAGCTCCACAGGCCTAGGAAGAGTTGAGTGGAGTCTTTCTCCCATGCCTCTAGTCGCACCCACTAGATTACTTGGAAGCAGAGAGATCTTTTTGAAATAAAGTGATCTGAATCCCAGTCCCTTCCCTCTCAAAGTTATTAACATACCTTGGCAGAGGCTAGATGGAAGAAAGGACGGAGGTGCCTAAGGGAAGAATCCCCCTGAAGGCAGGAGGAGATGGGACCAAGGGAACTGCCTCTATACCAACGGCTAGACTTTCAAGGGTGTATTAGTCTAGGTCCATGAAGTGCTTTATTCTAGAATCTGCTCCAAGGCAGATGCTGGTGGGCAGCAGGATGATGCTCTCAGACAGTGTAGGTGAAATGAGATAGCCAGGCAACTGGTGCCCTTGTGACAGAGCTCTTGCCCTTGAGGAACCACTGCAGCCTGGGGGAACCAGCAGGACCTGGTCCAGTGCTAGTGCCAGTGAAGCGGCATTGGCAGTTGAAGTGGCCGTATTGTGCCACTTCTCTGTAGTCTTGTTGAGTTTCAACAAGTGGCAAGACTGGACCTCTGTCTTCAGCCCTGGCAGTAATGGAACACCAGGACCAGCAGGGTTGAGGGGTTCTTCCAGAACCTCATCTCCATGGGACGGTCAGGGCATTTAATTCCCTTAGGACATGGTCGCAGGAGCAAGAATGTTATCACTCAAGGGGCCAAGGCAGCCTGGCTTTCGGAACTTCTTGGTCTCCAGCCTTTTCCAGCAAATACAACACAGAAGGAACCATATCATTTTCCTTTTAGGGAGCAGTATGTGACTCTCTGCACCAAGGTGCATGGACAACATTACAGATTTGCTAGAATCTTTGCTATGCTGACAGAGGCAGGCAGGGCTGGTGTCAGCAACATCTGGGCCAGCTGCAGATTGTGCTCCATTAATAGCACAAACATCAAGACTGACTTCAAGACAAAGATGAGCACCTTTGTGATTTACTGAATTCATCAGGAATGGGTCCCAAGTGGTGGTATTATGACTGGATGGCCTGTTTAGGGTTGTACTTTGAAGAGTAGGGGTACACTGCTTGTCCCAGTGAACCTGGAGTCTCTAGTTTCTTTCCTTCCTGTTTTCCCCACTGATTCATTTATTAGCAAATATATATGATTAATTATGAACAAAATACTGTCACCATACAGCTTAGACTGAGTGATTATGAAATGATTAAAGAGAAAAACAGAAAAACCTTGAGCAACACATCCAGAAAAATGTTTATGGGTGGAATGTGGGAGGAATTATAGAGTTGAGTTCATCCTCAAAACAGCTCTCTTCTGCCAAAAACTAGATCAGGATATGAACTTAAATCCATTCTCATTTGTCAGAGCCCAAGAAACAAGATTAGAGAGAAGCAGCCTTACAGAGAGGGAAGAGGGAGTCACAGACAGAATAGAAACAGAAAGGGAGGAGAGAGAGAGAGAGGTGGGGGTATTCTTGGTGCAATAAACAGCTGCAGCAGGCATCTCACGGAATGTTTTAAAATCCATGTGGTGTATAAATTGATACAATACAAGAACTTCAAAGCAAGCTAATGACGACTAGATTCTTTAAAGTCTGAATCTGAAGCAATGTGAGAGGGAAGCATCTCAGAAGCCTGCCATAAAGGATGCAAGGAAGCTTCAACTCTGCCACAAAACGAATGAGACCTGCAGAAAAGGATCAGCAAATGTGAACCATAAACAAAAAGAGTTCTGAGCAGACTGGGACACTAAAGAACACTAGGACAGTAAGGGATGGGGACTTGAAGGAAGAGACAGTCAGTGTAAGGTGGACCATGATATGTGATTTGCCTATTATTAGGGGAAACATGATTCGGTCTGTCTCAGCTAGGTCTTTACTTTTCTTTAGGAAATCTGAGTTAAATTCTACAGGTAGTTTTATGCATTCCCAAATTCCTATTGAGGTACAGGTGCTCAGACAGGGCAGATCTGATCAGAAACATCCTGGCTTTTCCTTGTCTGAAGGACCATTACATATGGTGCTGTGGAAAATACACCAAAGAATAAGAAATTGACTCTATCTCTATCCCCCGCCCCACACTCGAACAGGAAAAGTGAATACTTTATATAAATGACAACAATAAGATGTTAAAACCAGTAAGCCCCATAAAAGAAACATAGATAAAGCACTGTGAGAATTTGGAACAAGAGCAAATGATTTCTGGCTGGAGATGGAGGCAGGGAGAATTTTGAGGGCAGAGGTTTTGTAACCAAGAAAATGTAGTGCGAAAGCTAAAAGCCTGGGCTTTGGAGCAAGAAGCTTGGACCTGAGTCTGGGCTCCTCCATCTATTGGCTCTGTGACCTCAGGCAATTCACTAAACTTCTCTGAACCTTAGTTTCTGCAATTGGTAAGTGCAGCCTGGAACAATGAATCACTCAAGGGTTACAAGTATCCACCTCCTGAAAGGACACAGACCCATGCACCTGATAGGCATGCTCAATTAGCGTTAGCTGCGATTACTGTTATTACAGAGGAGGCATTTGTCAAGCCTAGCCCCAGAGGCCATGGATGATTTTGGTTTGTGAGATGAGGGCAGGGCTGTGACAGACAAAGCTACTACAAAGCCATGGGATGAGAGGGTATGTGATGTCGCTGTTCTCTCATCTGTCCTCTCCACCCTCTTGCCCTGTTAAAGCAAATGCAATGATCTGGTTGGAATGAGAAGTGCTGTGTGTCCTTACATGACCTCATGGCAGCTTGCTCCTCCCGCATGTGTGAGCATGTGTGAGCAAGGGAGAGGGGGTGAGGGGTGAAGAGAAAAGGCTTAACATATTCCACTCTTTGTGCACACGGGCATGCAAGTCTTTAGTGAGATTCCTATTATGGCGGTGCAGCTCAATCGGCCGATTCCCATAATGCAAAATTTAATATGCACTTTACGCTTCCTGTTTTATCTCTGGGCTCAAACAGGAAATAAATGCTCATTTGCATAGCATCCCCTTTAAACCTACACACTGTGACCCTATTATGTTGGAATCTGACCGGCAGGGCTCACTCTTTCCCCCCAAAAAGTTACAGGCTTAGAACAAGTGAGTTTAAAAAGCTAGAGTCCCTCACATTCCAGAATCATGTTCTTAGAGCCTTCCAGTCAAGTTACAGTTTCAAACGAGTGGGAGTTTCAACAAGGCGACTGCTATGATGGCTATCAACCTGAAGAGACTGTGATTCTGTGAGTTTGGAAGTTACCTTGTGAGTTCAGTTAACACAGATATGTCATTTGTTTCTGAAGGACATGTGATGTCAAATTAAGATGTCTCTTCATTTCTCTACCTTCCCCCTCCCCTCCCCAAAATATAGGTCTGGATAATAATCAGAGCAATTAAGAGTATTTCATGAAGACCTTGAAGGCTTTTAATTCAATTCAATTCATATTTACTGGGTGTGCATTATGTGTATTTAGGTCATGAATAGAGTCCTGCTAGGGATACAAAAGTGCCCATGATGGCCTCTAACCTTTCATGTTTTACAATCTATTTGCAGAGACAAGACAATTAAACACATAAAACAAGATATTACTATGCAACACTGTGCCAATCACTTAATCTTTCTGTGCCTTGGTTTCTTGATCTATGAAAAGATGAAGTTGTTTTACCTCATAAAGTCATTGTGAGGATTAGCTGAGCCAGCATGTGCAAAAGCCCTTAGAGCAGAGCATGGTGTGGAGTATTAACGATTAATTATTGCTATCCTAGTTGTCAAGAGGATTCAGTTTTAATACCTCAGCATGGCACACACAACCATTCTGCAGACTCATCTCCCATTGCTCCTCAACAGATACCCAGGTGCCAGCCATATCGGACCAGTGCAGTTGCTTTTCTTTCCTTACCCTGAAGCAACATGGCTTTAGAGGCTGACAGACATGGGTTCGAATCACAGTTTCACCAGTGGATAACACATTAATAACATAACTCACACTTTTCACACAAATGTTTATTTGTCTGTCTCCTCAACATGACTTGGAGCCTCTTGGAGGCAGAGACTTTTGTTTAATTCATCTTTGTACCCCAGAGTGCCTAGTGCTCTGAAATTTGCTCAGTAAATGTCTGTTGAATGAATGAATGAATGAATGAATGAAGTGCACTGCTAGTAGCAGGAACATCACAGGGAAGTGAAAGCACAGGGGTGTGAGGGTCTGGCTGATGTGTGTAAGGGAGTCTGAGGACTAATGTGAAAAGCTAGGTGAGAAGCATGTTACTGAGAATCATGCATCCCAGGCTGGGTTCAGGATTCAAAACTGAGAGCAATGGAGAGTCAGAGAAGTCTTCCAAACAGGCCAAGAGTAATGAGGAGCTAAGCCAAACTACTGGGCTGACTGCAGGAGGGGAAAGAAAGGGCCAGGTCTAGGAGACATTGAAGAGAGAGACAGTAGAAGTTGGTAATTTGATAGATATGGAGGAAAAATGGAGTCATTAACTATGAAGTGAATGACAGTGTCAGGAGAAAGTTTATGGAGAAAGTTGAAGAGTGTTCTTCATAATAAATCTGTTTTGTTAGCAACGCAGTTCTTTAAAAACTTTCTTTCCATTTATAAAAATAACATACTTCTATTCTGGAAAATTTGGAACAGGCAGAAAAGTATAAAGAAAATTAAAATTACTTGTAATCTGGCCATCCAGAGAAAACTGTTTCTAACACATTGCTGATTTTCATTTAATCTTTTCTCAGTGCATACACATATATTTAACACTGCTATACCATTGTTACAAATTTATACAATGACACATTATACAAGGTGCCAAATTTACATTGAACACATTTTAATAAATATTTCCATTTTAATATTCTTCAAACTCCTAATTTTTAATGTCAGCAATAATGTCAGTATTGGTGAACCATAATTTATATAAATAACTCCTTATAGTTGTTCATTTGGGTGATCTTCAATTTTTCACTACTACAAATAATTTTGCAGTGAACACTGTGGTATACAAATCTGTACTGGCATTTCTAATTATTTTCTAAGGACAGGTTCCTATAAATGCAATTACTGATACTTTTACACATTACTTTTACATATTTGAAGTTATTAGCACCTGTTACTAAATAACTTTCCAGAAAGGCTGTATCACCTTATACTCCCTGTAATTTGGCCAGAATTGAGGGTTACCTTATAAAAACAACCAAAAAACCCAGTTTAATAGTAGAAACTGTCTTGATCCTATTCATCTTACATTAGTTTGCATTTCTTTAATTACTAAAAATGACCCATTTCACATTTGTTAGCCACTTACATTTTTTCTTTGTGAAGAAAAATCATACCTCTAATCATGTCTCTTGCCATTATTTTATTAAGATAGTAAGGTTTTTAAATTGATTTGAAAGATGTATTTATATATTGTATTAGTGTGTTCTCACGCTGCTAATAAAGACATACCCAAGACTAGGTAATTTATACAGGAAAGAGGTTTTTTTTTTTTTTGTTTTTTTTGATGGAGTCTTGCCCTGTTGCCCAGACTGGAGTGCAGTGGCGTGATCTTGGCTCACTGCAACCTCTACCTCCCGGGTTCAAGCGATTCTCCTGCCTCAGCCTCCCAAGTATCTGGGATTACAGGCACCCACCACCACGCCTGGCTAATTTTTTGTATCATTTAGTAGAGATGGGGTTTCATGTTGGTCAGGCTGGTCTCGAACTCCTGACCTCGTGATCTGCCCGCCTGGGCCTCACAAAGTGCTGGGATTATAGGTGTGAGGCACTGCGCCCGGACGGGAAAGAGGTTTAATTGACTCACAGTTCCACATGGTTGGGGAGGCCTCACAGTCATGGTGGAAGGCGAATGAGGAGCAATGTCTCGTCTTACATCGTGGCAGACAAGAGAGAATGAGCTGAGTGAAGGGGGAAATCCCTTATAAAACCATCAGATCTCATGGGGACTCACTCACTATCATGAGAACAGTGTGGGGGAAACTACCCCCATGATTTAATTATCTCCACTGGGTCCCACCCTTGACACGTGGGGATTATTATAATTCAAGATGAGATTTTGGGTGGGGACACAGCCAAGCCGTATCATATGTTAGCCTTTGTCTATCACATTTGTTGCGAATATTTGACTAATTTGTGTTTACATGTTATCATATTTTTAACATGTAGAAATTTTGTATGCAGTTTCATTTATCAATGCAGTTAAATGTATCTATTTTCCTTTTGCAATTTTTTTCATTGCTTTTATGACTTTATGCTTTCCTCAAGCTAAGATTTGCTTCTCACCTATATTTTCTTTTTTATTTTTATGGTTTTCTCTTCTGCATGTAACTCTTTTAATCTATCTTGAATTTATTTTAGTTAATAATGTGACATAAGGCTCTCAAACAATGGGAAGAAACTATCTGTAAGTAGCAACTTGCAAGCCATTGAGCTGTGTTCATTTTTAAAACATGAGACTGGATAAACTGGGCCATCTACAATTTAGAACTAATATAGAATCTTGTTTGCATTCTTGGTCTCAAGATAACGTCCTCTTCAACAATAAAACTTAATACACCATGTGACAGAAACTAAGAGTCTTGCTTTCCTAACAAAGCAAATCTCTAGAGAATGGAAATAGGAAATGCTTGTGCCTTTTTCTCTGGTTGTTGAAATCTGGTAACTCTGAATAACAGACATTCACATAGTTACTAAGCCAGGAAAGGTCACTGAAGATGCTGTGCTTCAGGGGGTGGTGCTGCCTCTTGAGACTAGATACCCTATTGCACTTGGGATTCTCTTCCCACCTCACTTTACTCTGAGAGGAAGACAAGAAGAATTGGACTTCTAGGGCATTTCAGCACACATGGAAGACGATGAAATAAAATAATCATCATCATATAGATAACAGAAAAGTGAAACAAATTTGCTCAGTGGCTGAGGCAAACTTTTATATTCAGTTGATCATTTTAACTGAACTGGGGAATCATATTGCTGGGGTTCAACAAGGCTCTTACACATTTGCTACATTACTGGAATGTTTTTAAAAAAAATCTCAATAACACATTAATTCCCCAGCATATAATGAGTTTGGCCCAGATTAATCTAGGATATATATTTTTCCCATACATATTTAATTTTATCATGTTAACCTTACTGGTCAGTTGGTTCCAGAAGACAGGACTGGATGTGTAGGGGAACTGAGGGGCTAAGATATCACGTGACTTGTCAAGATAAGGGTCTACGGGTTCCAAGCGTTAAGTCCTTCCTTTATTATTATGCTACCTCAAAACATACTATGAATAGCCTGGGATAGTTTTAAAAGCTCCAGACTACAATACTGTGACCTTGGATATATCATTTAACCTTTTTGGGTTTTTAAAAAACATCATTTATTTTTAATTGTGGTAAAATACACATAACATAAAATTGCCACTTTAACGATTTTTAAGCATACAAGTCAGTGGCATTAAACACTTTCACATTGTTATGAAACCATCACCACTACTCATCCACAGAATTCTTTTCATCTTGCAAAACTGAAACTCTGTACTCATTAAAAAATAATTCCCTGTTCCTTCTCCTCCCAGCCCCTGATAACCACCATTCTACTTTCTGTCTTTATGACTTTGACTAGTGGAGGTATCTAATAAAAGAAGAATTATACAGCAGTTTCCCTTTTGCCAGTGGATTTTTTTCACTTAGTATAATGTTTTTAAGATTCATCCATGTTGTAGCATACGTCAGAATTTCCTTCCTTTAAGGCTAAATAATATTCCATTTTATGTACAGTCCACACTTGTTTATCCATTCATCTGTTAGTGGAGACTTGGGTTGCTTCCACCTTTTGGTTACTATGACTAATGCTGCTATAAATATGGGTGTACAACTATCTCTTGCTTTCACTTCTTTTGGGTACATACCCCGAAGTAGAATTGCTGGATCATATGGTAGTTCTAGCTTTAATTTTTTAAGGAACTGCCAACTGTATTTCCATAGTAGCTTGTACCATTTTACATTCCCACCAGCAGTACACAAGGGTTCCAAATTCTCCATATCCTTGCCAAACTGCTTCTTTGGGTTTTATGTATCACCTACTCATCCATTCAAGTGCTGGAGATACAGTGTGGAATAAGACAGATTCTGCCTGCCTTCAAGAAGACCGCATTAGGGACTTTCAACAACAGCTTTGGTGGGATGAATGTTAACAACGGGGGAGAGGTGAAGTAAGCTAGAGCAATGAAGTACTTTATCCTAGAGCTTTCCAGCTCTGCGTTCTACGGGCACAGGAAGGTGGTAAGGGCAACCACTGAGTTGATTCTAATGTGGAACCCATTCCACAAATTCAAAAATATGTTCAAACACACTGTATTTGTGAAAAAGGGGATCCTTTATTATCCTTCACCGAACCCAATACAGCTTGTTAGACGAGTCAGAAACCCTTATATGGCTTAAAATGTGAAATCCTGGGAACAGAGGCCACAAACTGGCAACCCGAAGGCCAGCATGGTATGATGTTTACATTAGTTGCCAACACTTAAATATCAAGAATAGGACTCCGGATTTCTGGCTTCAGAAAATCTGGCAGCACTAGGGCTAAGGCAGGAACTGGCTGGGCTGAGAGCAGCCCTGTGCATGTAGAAAGTGGCAGTTTGCTACAGGTCCCAGGTGACCTGTTTCAGTCGTTTTCTTGCCTGCTTGGCCCTGTGAGTCTTTGCTTCAGAGCTTTGAAGTCCAGCATGGTAATTGCCAGTACATGTGCTACTGAGCACATGAAACACAGCTGAATTGAAATGTGCTGTACATGTAAAACGCACCCTGGATTTCAAAGACTTAGATTTTTTTTTTTTTTTTTTTTTTTTTGAGACGAGGTATCATTCTGTCACCCAGGCTGGAATACAGTGGTGGGATTTTGGCTAACTGCAACCTTTGCTTCCGGGGTTCAAGCAATTATCGTGCCTCAGCCTCCCAAGTGGCTGGGATTAGAGGTGTGCACCACCACGTCTGGCTAATTTTTGTATTTTTTTTTTTTTTTAGCAGAGATGGGGTTTCACCATGTTGGCCAGGCTGCTCTTGAACTCCTGCCTCAGCCTCTCAATGTGCTAGGATTACAAGTGTAAGCCACTGTGCCTGGCCAAAAAAAAGGTTTTAATTCCATTAATAATTTGTTATATGAATTATAAGTTAACATAATGTTTGACATATATTGCACTAAAGAAAATGTATTAAATAAATTTACCTGTTTCTTTTTACTTGTTTTAATGTGTCTAGTGGAAAATTTAAAATTATATATATGGCTTACATTATAGTTTTATTATGTAATGCCACTTTAGGGCTTCTTCTAACATAGACTATCTAGAACTTTCTCCCCATAAGAAATTATCATTTGAATTATGTCTTATTAATTTCTTCTTATAATGCATAACCACATATTTCATTTATTAAGCAAGAAAACAAGCCCAAGGGAGATATTGATCATTTAAATAAATTGTAGCTCACATGAAAACATCTGACATCATAGGCCTTATATTATCTTAAAACACATTTATTCCTCTCTGGTGGATATACTAATATAACATACCTGAAAACACTGCTCTGAAACTTTACTACCACTCCAATATTTAACTCCTTTTTTCATTTAATTAGTAATCTAAGGTACTTGTAAGTTACTTAAGTTTTTCACATTTGTTTATGTCACTTAATGCACTTTAAAATGAAACCTAATCCATTCATATAAACCCTCTTCACAATTCTTTTTGCTAAAGGCTTAAAGGCTGCTAGCATAATGAGCATTTCATAGTGGCCATTAGTCTACGATTTTATTGGATACATTACCTTTTAAAAGTCTTCTAACTTAATTAAATAAGTGACTGACTGTTAAAATTAATTTCCAGCAGGTATGAGACAAACGACTCTAAGCCAAGAAAAACAAGGGAACCATTCTAATTGGTCTTTTGGTGTGTGTGACAAAGACAACCGCCTAAATTACTACTATTTTCTTAGCAAATGAGATGCATTAAAATTAAATGAGATTTTAATTTTAGATGTATAGAAGTCATAGATGTGTAAGCTGAAACATACGCTTCCAGATGACATTCACTCAACACATAAGGTTGAGGAAATTAGGTGTTCAATTCAAGTATGACTGAAAAGGAAAACACAACTCTGAAGCAAAACTGTGTTGAAACTGCATTTTCCAATTTGCATATTTACTGACATAATCCATCTGGCAATTGTATGGACTTCTCACTCTTGCTTATCAATGTAACTATCTGAGAAATTCCTGGGGTGGCTTCTAACTTCACTGGGACATGACAGAAGTTTGTCTTTCTTTGTCTCCTTTTATTCTCCCTCCTCTCTCTCTTCTGGCCACCTGTTCTTTCTCTTATTCTACCCACCCCAACACCTCCAAGTTTCTTCCAATTTCACCTGTTTTTATAAAAAATATTTTTATTATGATTCAAATAGCCTGATGCCACAAGTTCTAGGGCCATACATTATTGCTAAAGAAGGATCACTCTATGTAAATCTGACTTTCAAGCAAGTAGATTTCCAGTGTGCATACCAGGGGCTCATTCCACTAACTGTGAAGCTCTCATTAGAGGTGTTTCCATCTTGATCATGGGACACAAAAGGACATCCTTTATGAAACGGGTAACAGGACAGATGAAATGATGGCACAAGGTTAATGAGGCCTAGCTCTGTTAGCAGAAATTTCATGCAGTAGTGAAAGAGAAAAAGCAACCCATCAGCTTATTATAGGCCTGGGGAAGTCTTTGTTACTGTAAAACCCCATGATTCTTCCAAGAGAAAATTGTATAATAAAAATGATGTGGTAGGATATACATTGCTAACAAATCCCTAGACATCTTTTAAAATATTTCCACTCTTCCATCACTTGAGCTACCTTTTTTTTTTCCCTGAAATACATATGCTAAAGTCTAGTTATGCCAACATAGCTTCTTTCTTTAATTGCCTGCCCACTTCCATTCACTGACATTTCACAGGGGCACTTAGAACTCAGTGTATCTCATAGACTGAAGAAAGGCTTTAAATAAATCACAATTGGCCAGGCACAGTGGTTCATGCCTGTCATCCTAGCACTTTGGGAGGCCGAGGCAGGTGGATCACTTGAGGTTAGGAGTTTGAGACCAGCCTGACCAACATTGTGAAACCCTGTCTCTACTAAAAATACAAAATTAGCTGGGCGTGGTGGTGCACGCCTGTAATCGTAGCTACTTGGGAGGCTGAGGCAGGAGAATCACTTGAACATGGGAGGCGGAGGTTGCAGTGAGCTGAGATCATGCCATTGCACTCCAGCCTGGGCAACAAAAACAAAACTCCATCTCAAAAAAAAAAAAAAACATAACAGCAGTGATGAAACAGGCAAGATTGCCTTGCACATGGCAGCATGGCAGGAACTATGTTGGGTTTTCCTGTGCATTTCAATAAAAATGTTTATGTCTCACTAAATAGGAGAAAGAAATATTTTAGACACCTCTCAAAACCTAAAAGCTCACTAAATTCAGAGCTGAGAAGGAAGCATGGCATGCCTTTATGAACTTACACATCAGGAGAGTCAACTATTTTCTGAAACATGAAGCTGGCAACAAGAACACAAGAAAACCTTTGCTCTTAGTTTTAAAAATAATGCATATTCCCAGCTGCTTCCTCCTACCTGACACTCAGTAAAGATTCTAAAAATTACTACCTAAAAGTTCTATCTGATTTTCATTTGTGCCAGCATCAGCTCAATATCTGAGAGCATTTTCAGGATTGAGATTCAGAAGGAGCCTTTGCAGACAACATTATCAGGAAGTAGCTACTATTAAGTCTTGACTTTATTAATCCTTTTCTATAGTGAATACTGACTCCAAGATGTTCCATGAACACACACAATTAAGTGCAGTAAAACAGCAATAATGAAACTAGTAAGAGACATGCAGGAGTCGGAAAGAGTATACATTACTAGGATATGAATATTTCAAATGTATATACAGTCTCTGCCAGTCTAAGAAAGCAGTAGCACCTTGAAGTTCTTGAGAGAACTGCTCTAGTGCTCAGATAAGAGTGACTGGTAAATACAGTAGTAAGCATATTGCTTGCAAAAATAATGTTTACCATAGTGTCACTCAGGAAATGGGTTGAACAAAGGAATAAAAACGCCTAAGGAACTTACGAGGGTTGGTACTCAGAAAAGCACAGGACCCAAGTTCACATCCTCAATCCACTTCCTTAGATACATGACCTTGATTAGTCCCTTAAACCATAAGCCTCAGATTTTCTTATTGGTAAAATACAGATAATATCATCTACCCCAGAGGCAACTTATGAACATTAGGTTATATAACATACATCATGCCTAGCACTTACGGGCACTCATTATGTTGCTCATGTAAGGAAATCTATCTTGTCCATGCTATTTATTTCTTCTTTTATTATAAATATAGAAATTGGAGATTATGCTGAGATCTCACATAATCATCAACTCCAAACTGTGCATAAATTAATGAGATTTCTGCATTGATTATAATAGCAACAACCCAAAGGCTAATTATATTTATCCCAATCACTTAATAATTTTTCTTCTAATGTATTTGCAGTCATGTTTGAAGGCAATGTTTAGAAATAACCCACTGCATCTAGACTATGTATCTTCACTCTCTTACCACTAGGTACTATATACCGTATCTTTAATTTGGAAGCAAATCTAGACTTTTTTGGTGAGCAGGGGCAGATTCAGAAACAGATCTGATAATATAAAAGATAAACCCTGATGCACATGAATACTGATGTCTCAAAGCTTATGTTTCCACATAGGTACAGGGTTTTTCCTCATCAAAATAAATCTCACTTCCATGATCTGAAAATTCCACATTTAGTTCTGAACACCTCAAATTTGAACCACAGGCTCCTATGGAAATTACATCTCAAAGTCAGAAATGTTAGAAATGCTAATAAAGTTAGAAATGTTACCCTCGGGATAGCAGCTTGGTCCTGGGTTTCTATGATATCTACCCCACCTCACATGGTCTAAGGCTAAAACTTAATTTCACATGAAAAAAAAATCACTGGAAAAGCTTTCCATTGCCTTTATTTATTTTTTAAGTAACTCTTAAAAAAGAAAAGCAAAAATGTGTTTTAATAAATAAGCTCAGATATTATCTACCCAGAATTAGCTCTCATCTGTAAGCTAACATGAGCCTAGGGGCATTACTGACAACTTTACAATCATTTACAACTTCCATGTTGTACAGGAATGCACAGGAAAAGCAGGGAGACAATTTGAGAATCACTTCCAGACAACTGAGATATAGCTTTAAATATAAGTGTACATACATATATGTGTATACACCCATCCATCCATAGAACACACACACACACACACACACACACACACACACACCATGCTTTCTCTATATATGTATTTTTTGAATGGATTATTTATCTAGCTATCAAACTACTTATGATCTAGTCTCTGTGTGTGTGTGTGTATTTGATCCTTTCAAAATACTGTGCATACACACAATTAGGTCTCTTCATAAGTCAACCATTGCATCGAGTTTCAGGGTTAGCTACTGCAACATCAGAATCCCAGATTCCTTTTCCACTCTGGTCCACACCCAAGGGTAATGCTAGTGGTCTTTATCTGACTTAGCTTCAAGTTTCCACTGTATCTCAATTCCATTTGTTATTCAATCTGCACTCAACTCAACTACATTTAAGCTAAAATTATGAGTATATTTGGAAATACATTCAGCCATCGATCATGATCACGATTGAACACATTATACTTTGAAAACTGTCTTAGCAATATCCATACTTTATTTAGCATAGAGAAAAGAACTCAATGCAAATTATCAAACTATGAATTTGGATGCCTTTATTATACCTTATATCAAACAACTGTTAAAATGTGTTTAAGAAAACATTTACCAAAAAAGCTTAAAATAATAAATGGCTAGTGTCATGCAAATTTATCTCTGATGCTCTAGTATTAATTAGCCACACAACTTAAACTTTTCAATGTAGGGTATATGTGGCATTTGTTGACATTTCACTTGAAGCCCAGATTTTTGTTTAATCCTTTGAAAAGCAGATCAAGAGCTATGCCTTTCATTAAGTAATGACTGAAAACTATTTAAAAATAGGGTTGATTCCTAAAATAGGATTTTTCCATTTGACTGGCAACAAAAGGTCCCTGTAGATTTGCCTATACTGGCAAGGAAAAAATGAGTCTATTTTGGAGTTAATATTTCAAGTGGGCTTTCGTTCTGCCAACACCCTGAATTTTCAAGTATGGTACTAAAGCAGAAATGTTTAAAACTCATACAACAATATATTTGTGGAGTAAGGATTAGAATATCATAAATTGGTTACTATTTAATATATCTTAAATTCCATTAATTCTATTAATGAGAGGCAACCCAGTCTAGGGATCTCAAAACTGAGCTAGACGTTACAGACTCACATTCTTGTTCTATTAAGTAATGCACACACACATATGCACATACATTTATAATATTCAACTTGGGCAGATTAACTAATGTTGCAAAATTATTAATGCCCTGACATATGTCAGAGCATACTAATTAAACACAAAGACAAAAAAGTGCAGGAAATATTTTAAACCTTTCATATCATCAATTAAGAATGTCACTTTCTCAAACTAATTTTCATAAAAGCCTCTTTTGAACCAACGGCTCTTCCTGATAACACTAACTTCTTTTCCTCCCCTTTAACAGAAACCTGTGATATATTCTGTGATAATCAGCATTTTCTTCTCTAGTACTTTACTGAATTTTTAAATAAAATTTTTTTCTTTAATTTACCTTTATGTTTCTTAATTAAAGTCAGAATTTGGCTTCTTGTGAACAATGCTAATTGCCTCTATTATACCTTTATCCTCATCAAACTCTGGGTGGATTTTTTTAGCTGAGACTTTCCTCATCATTGAGTCTCTCTCCTGGAATTTTATCAATGGCTATGCCTGTAGCAGGACTTCCCACTAATCTTTCCAAGTGCATATTCAAGGCAGGCCATTTATAAACTTAAACTCACTAGGAGGCTCATATTTCAGATCCTCAAGGAACCCACTGGTCTAAAGATCGAATGGAGTTCCAGAATCCACTCTAGTAGATTATTCTATACGGGAATCAAAATGCAAAGCAAACAGAACCCAACACAAAACATCCTACCTGGAATGCAGACGGAGCATCCGTTTCAAAAATTTCTTGGGGAACTCCAGGTTGCAGGATTGCAGGGAACACTAAAAGATGTTCTGGACCCTCTGACTTCCCTTGTGAGTTTAGTGTAGACATAGCCTTAAGGACTTTACTTCCTCTTGCTTGTGTGAATTTCAAAAAGTAAAATAAATTCCACTGTTTGTCTAATTGTCAAACACTAATTGCCTTTTTTTAATCGATTACCTGTACACAAATTCTATCATCCACCTTATGTTCCTAGGTCCCTGGTTCTACTGTCCACCCCAGATCTCTTCATCCTGTGGAATCTTGCCTCTCTACTATCTCTGCAGCATCTTCTCTGAGGCAGCTCATCAGCAATTCAAATGTAACTTGACCAAGATTGTTGTCTGCAATTTACCAGGACTTTCCCCCAGTCTGCTCAGTCTTGTCGTCTGACTCTTGCCTTTCTGATTCTTGTCTTCCTCTAACCCCACTCTCATTGATTTGCCTCTCTGGCCACAGAGCCTCAATTCTATTGAAGACATATTTTCATGCAAGGTTCTACAATATTCTTAAATAACTTTCCACTCTTCTGGAACCTATACAAAAGAGAGGGGTCCTGCTTTTCTGATCCCTTAGGGTGGCATTAAATACCCTACGGATACAAAGTCAGTGCAATTCTATGTGTAACTGGCAGGCTGAAATGTCTTTTCCACCCTTGGGTTTATTATACAAGTCACTGTCTAATTACCTTGAACAGGAGAAAGAACACCTGACCCTGCAGTAGAAACAAGGCAATTTGTGTCTCATGTTTTACATATGATGATTTATAAATACAACTGATGTTATCAAGTAATATTCTACTGCACAATGTTTAAATCCCCTGGCATGTATATTCCAAAGAAATAACACTCACAGAGGAGAGTGAACAGAGGGTTCCAATACCCCAAAAAGTATCTCCAGCAGGAGCAAAACAGGAAGAATATGCACAAATATGGACAGTATGGCCTTTAATAATCCAAATGTGCCTATTCTTGTTGAAATTTAAATTACAGATAATATGGCATTCCTGGAAGGTTTTGAGAAAGACATGAAACAGGTTTTTTGTGAACTTAGATCAGGAGTGGGTTGGCAATCTAAAAACAGAAGAGAAATAAATTAATGTCTAAATGATGGAAACTTGATACTTACTTCCCCAAGTGGTGAATTCGCTTTGAACTTGTCATGAGAACTGGGTTCACTTCATATTCCTCTATTCTTTATATCGTTACAGAAATCTTTAAATGTGGTAAGGATCTTCGAATTCATTTATTGCAACTCTCTTGTTTTACAAGCACGAAAACACAGAAACACATCAGGCAACTCCCTCACCAAGACCATAAAGCTAGGCAGGAGCAGCAGCGAGCTTAGAATTCAGGGCTCCTGGGTGTCTGTCCAGCATTTCCTCTATCGCCAAGGCCTGTTTATGTTCTGGGAGCCACCCTATTTGTATCTCAATTGTGACATTTCTGCCTTCTATTCCAGCTTTGCATCAACAAGGCCCTCTTCTTTGAATCTGTCTGTCTATATCTGTGTCAATCTATCTGTCTGTCTGTCATTTTAATTTTAGATCTGGTACCTTTTCCTGACTTGTGAAAAAGGTGATTGGGCATACCCAGACAACTGGTATGGCTTGGAGAGAGGCAATTGATTCCTTTATTCTTAAGTCTTGTATATGTGGAGGGATCTATAGGTTAGGATTTTGTTGTTGTCCTCATTATCCATTTTTTGTTTCAGGCCACCTTCCTGAACTGTTTAAAGCAGCCATTTTCTAAAATCCACATATATCCCTGCCACCCCATCTGGGGACTCCTACTAGGGATATAATTTGAGAAGATAATCTTCTTATCGCTTTGATCATATTTCACACAAAGTATTCTGGGTTGATTTAATCATCTTGGTTTCTTGATCCCAACCTGGAAATTTCTCTTCTGCATGGAGTTAACCCCTTTATTTTATTTACTCACTCCCCTTCCCCTTTGACAATATCATTACTGGGCTGAGGAGGGTCACTTGGAACAGGTTAACTTCCTACTTTTTATTCCCAGATGGAACTGCTGAGCTTCCAGCTGTATCCCTACCACCTTGTAAATCAGTTTCCATTTCGTTCAATCACTTGAATTTTTTATCATAATGCTTCCCTTTTTGCATTACATTATCTTTCTCAGTATGTGTTAGTTTCAATGCTTTGCTTTTATTCCTCACTCATTAATCATCTCTCATTTGACTCAAAGCCATACTCCTTCCCAAAGCTTCTCTCCCTATTCCTTCCCATTGTTAACATTCTATGGTTATATTTGGATCAAGTTTCTGCTTTGCTGGTGATGTTGATCATTTCAGTAGAAGTTTGCCGTTCACTTGCTTGCTTCAGCATCTCCTGCACATTTTAGATAAGATAAACACACTCTCAATCTCAGTAGTGAGGCAAATAACTTCTAAGCCATCCCTACAAAAGTAGACATGACATGAATATAGGTGTGCTGATGGCTGGAACATGACCTCAGCTCAGATGGGACCTTATGATGCAGGACTGGGCTAGATGTGGCTATGTGGGCTTGCTGGTCTACCTTCCACTGTCCCACCTTGGTGTGTAATACAGCCCTGGGTGCCATGTTCCACATGCAGTAGGTCCTTAGTTAATACGTGCTGCTGCTTGTTGTGGCAATTATCTAGTAGGGGATCTCTAATAGTATCTCCCCACCCCAAGCATAATTGACCACTCCCTCCTTTAAGCCACCACTGAAATATGTTTATGATTCCATTATTGTGCTCCTAACATTTGCAACCATACACATTTCCTCTATCCAACTAAGAGATCCTTGAGTATCTGATTCATATTTGGATTCCCATAGTTGGGGCTTACCAAGTGCTAGTTTGGATATTTGACCTTTCGAACTTCATGCTGAAATCTGATCTCCAGTGTTGGAGGTGGGGCCTAAAAGGAGGTTTTTGGGTCATGGGGTGGATCCCTCATGAATGGCTTGGTGCCATCCTCGTGGTTATGAGTTCTTGCTCTGGCAGTTCACACAAGAGCTGGTTGTTTAAAAAGAGCCTGGCACCTCCCTCTCCCTCTTGCCTCCTCTCTCACTTTGTGATCTCTACATGTTGGCTCCCCTTCCACCATGAGTGGAAGCAGCCTGAGCTCCTCCCCAGAAGCAGATGCTGGAGCCATGCTTCTTGTATAGCCTGTGGAATTATAAGTCAAATAAACCTCTTTTCTTTATAAATTTCCCAGCATCAGGTATTTCTTTACAACAGCACAAGTGGACTGAGATACCAACTGATTAACAATGAGACGTCTATTACTTTCCTGGAAAAGCTCCTTTACTCCTAACCCGGGGCCTCAATGCACAACTTCCATTTGGTAATGTTAACTTTGTTCATAAATACACAGTGTGACAAACTGCTGGGAAATCAGAATGGTCCAGGGCTTACATTTTCGTGAGTGAAATACACTTTAGAGGATTTGTGCCACATATCCAATACAACTAGAGAATATTTGCAGCATGGCTCCAATAAGTGTAGCAGTTGCCCTGGGAAGGGGTGGAAAGGAAGTTTGTAAACTAAAGCAGTAACTCCTTTCTATCTCCAATAAGTAGGCCAGTCAATTGTAGGCATACAGTTGGCATATGGATCAGCACTGAGAGACGCACATCTGTCAACTAGAGTTCTGTGTTATCAGCTACACCTCTGTCGCGATCCAGCCCTTCAACGGCTCCATTAAGACTGGGCTCTTAAAGAAAAGTGAGACTAGGGAAAGGAAGGAAAGGGCCAGGAATTAGGCTGCTTGGCTGAGGGAAAAATCCAAAATAAATGTCAACATCTGGACCTTATTTCAACTGATCAAATGGCATGTATTTAAGACAAGCTAGTTTTCACCTCCACTGCCCATCTCGGCATACCTTCCTCCATATCACCAAATTGGCATTCAGCTTTTCTACATCACTGTCTTCTATTCATTTGTCTAGAAATCTGACTTGCCCACTGTACTTGTGAGATACTGGAGGTTGCCTTATTATCCCTAGTCCAGTGTCTGATCTTGTGGGCTCTCAGGGAATGTTTGTTTAATGAATAAAGGCTGTGTAGGTGCCCTAATAATAGCAAACACTTAGCAGTACTTCCTGTGGGCCAGACTTCATAAATATTAACTCATTTAATCCTCATTAACACAGATACTGCTCTGTCTCTCATTTTATGAATGAGGAAACTGAGGCACAGACAGGCTAAGTAACTAGCTCTAGCTCATATAACCTAAGCAGTTTGGCTCCAAAGTGTGTGTTCCTATGTTTCCTCTCTGTTTCATATATTTTAAGTAAAAATAATGTCTTTAAAGTAAAATGTTCCCACCACCCCAAAAAAGGAAATAAATGTTCCACTATGGAAGGTAAAGAAAACTATACAATTACTAAAAGTAACAGGACTTTTAGAATTTCTATGACAATCTATGGAAATAAATATTGCTGGCAGCCTTGAAACAGCCCAAGTATTTCTCTACTGCTTGGAAGAACCTGTAGATTTATTTTGTTTCTGCCTTTTTATAGATTTCATTTTTTCTTTTTAGTGTAAGGACTCTAAATTTTGAAATATGATTTTAAATGTTTACATATTTAAATTATTTGCATTCTCATCATGGATTTGCATATACCTTAACATTATCTATGAAAATATAGCAATAAATATAGCTTTGAAATATTTCAGGATACTTGAACCTAGCGTAAAATTTCAAACAGTTTATGCTTAATGTCATATTTTTTGGAAGACTATATAATCACATTCATTTTATCCGAGTACAGCAACTTTAAATCAATGCATTGTTCCCCTAGGGTCACTATGTCTCCTAAGCATAAAGAAATACACAATCTCTTGTATCACTATATCTAAAATGTATTTGGAAATATATTATCTTTCCATATTTCAAAAAGAATATTCATCAATAAAGTAATGCTTTCAAACTTAAAGAAGTTTCAGAAGATTCATGGTAAGAAATATATATTATATTATAATTCAGTACATACATGGGTATATATATTTATTTGTGTATATTTATTTTTTGCAAAATATTTAACCTCACAACACACAATGCACTTTAATATTTTTACTATATTCTATCTATTTTTTTAAAAAATCGTTGGGGGCTGGGCGCAGTAGCTCACATCTGTTATCCTAGCACTTTGGGAGGCCGAGGCCGAGATCATTTGAGATCAGGAATTTTAGACCAGCCTGGCCAAGATGGTGAAAACTCATCTCTATTAAAAATACAAAAATTAGCCAGGCATGGTGGTGGATGCATGTAATCCCAGCTACTTGGGAGGCTGAGCCATGAGAATCATGTGAACCTGAGAGACAGAGGTTGCAGTGAGCCGAAATGGTGCCACTGCACTCCAGCCTGGGTGACAGAGCGAGACTGGGTCTCAAAAAAATAAAAAACAAAGTTGGCCTGGACTCATTAAATTGATTTTCTGAACCACTGATGAGTTATTAATGGTTCATGATCTGTAGTTTTTCAAGACTGAAGAGGTAGACTCCACATTTTCTGTCTTTGATCCTGGAAATGCTGGGTTACTCTCTTACTAGTGGGTCACCACTAGTTATAAGGAAGATCAGCTGTGGCCTCAGGCAGCCAAAAGAGGTACCACATCAGTGTGGGGTACACTTACTCCATTTTCTAGGGACAATGACCTCTTGATTAATTACTTTGCAAATTACTCATTAAAACTTGGCTTTGCAAAGTTAGTCCCTGGTCCAGTTTTTGCTGCCAGATTTCCTGTTTACACTGAACTCAGTATGTTAGGTTATTGTCCCCACTGAGAAGTACTTTGGACAAGGAAAAAAGGTGAAGCCAAGCAAGAAACAGATTCCTAGCATCATTTCCTGGTGTGCTTCAGCAAAGAATTCATGAACAGCAGGTGAAGTCTGGAAGCCTCCTGCAGATGCTAAAGTGACCAGCAGCATTTTATAGCAAATGGTCCAGAAGGTTAACATACTGTGATTAGTCCGCACTGGTTTCTCCTGGCAGGCTCTGACAGTGCAGCCCACTGGTCACTTGAGAGATCTCTCAGAGAGGGGTTAAGATGAACATTTTCTAGATTCCTAAACTAGGAGGCAGAGGTAAAGCACTCTTGAGCATGCACTGATGTATATTTTATCCTTCCATAATCATATCTTCCCCCCAAATCATATGGATATGGATGTCTGCTTCAATTAAATTAGCTACTACAGGTACATTCATGTTCTTCATTTTAGAGTTAAGAAAAGCTGCAATAAGCAAGAAATTTTTCTTGGAGGGGGAAGCATGGCATGCAAATGATTAGTTTCTCTCTCTCTCTCTCTCTCTCTCTCTCTCTCTCTCTCTCTCTCTCTCTTTCTCTCTCTCTCTCTCTCTCCTCCCTACACCACTCCCAGGAGGATTATAGACCAACCTTTTTATCATATAGTTTTTTTTGTAAAGAGGCCACCCATTTATATACTGGCGACTTGGCTTCATCTAAGATGAAGTGCAGTTTTTCAGCTGACACCAAATAGCGTTTTGCAAACCACCACAGTACACAATTTAGGGTGGTTCAGTGATGTCTACCCTAGCATCACACACTTCAGCCATTAAAACCATGAATCAATATTAAGAGGTACCAAACTCTGGTCTTGGAGTCTTATCAATATGTATGTAACCCACCAGGGAAATTCTATGCTACCCAAGAGAGCTGTAGAGCTTAATTTTCTTTATGTCTAACAAAATCAGCCCTGCTTGATTCCATTCCTAAGAACAAGAAAACAACTTTGAACCTTGTGCAATTGAGTACTTAATTTTATATAGTGTTCTTTGCCCATTGTTTTTTCCACGTTCACCCTCCGTCTTCAACAGCCTATCAAGGGCTGGTATTCTGTCTTGAATTTTTCTTGTGTCATTTCCTACTACCCTTTATTATGCCTCCCCTTAGGCAAGAGTATATACCCGACTCCTAGACCCTGACCAGCTGATTTCTGGGCCTACATAGTATATGCTAGTAGAGAAGTAATTGGACTCTTGGATGGAAGCATGTTCGAAGAATAGGGCCTTGAGGTCTAAGGAAACTTACAGTCTTCTAGAATTACACATCAAACAACTAATAAAAGTTGTCTTTGATCCATTAGAAAGTCTTACAAAGCACTGTTTGCAATACTGTAATATCAAGTTCAAGAGAATATTAATAAAGATTATTAGTAAGAGACTATCAGGCTATGGGATTTAAAAAATATTTTTAGTAAAATATTTTTAGTAAACAGTATTTTTTGCAGCAGTTAATTTGTAAATGCCTTAGGACAGCATGTTGGCCTAAACATAAAACCTTTACAGCTTTACAGCACTATCAGGTTTTGTAATTCTCATTTTGAGACACACTATCATGCACAGGAAATCACACTGAGTATCTTCCCTTCAGATATTCTGGGTAGAAGTATTTACTGGTCATATTGGTAGAAAATATAACACATTTCTGTGGGCTAAAAAGTTACTACATAAGCACTACAGGAAAACCTTTCCTGTGTCTTATGTCCCAAAACACAATTAACTAGTATAAAAGTAGAATATTCCCCAAATGAGAAAACTCTATAAATCATTTAATTTTATTTTTCTGATACTCACGCTTAAATACATTTTCTTCATTGAGCAAGAAAGAAGACAATAAGCCAAACAAATATAGCAAATATAGAGGTAGAGAAAATAAGCCCCACATTTTTTCTAGTACCTGGATTTGAATATTATATTTCTAATTATAGAATCATAGGCAAGGCTGTTGAGTCTGGAAAGAAACATTAGTGAGAAGAGATCATTTCCTGGGTAAAGTCGAGTCGATCATTTCCTAAAGTATCATTAATCTTTCTTTTTTTTTTTTGTCCTATCAAGACATAAAATGTGGATGCCTTTTAGTTTAATGATGCAAGCTTCCAGGTAATCAAATTAGAAATGCAGAAACACAATACATGGCCCAGTGTTGATAAGCCAGCCACAGTCTAGCCGATTACAGCATCTTCCTTGTGTAATTTTCAGAATCATTAGGATGCTACTTACACACACACACACACACACACACACACACACACACAAAATCATTCTCTGCGGTTCAATTCCCCCTCGCTGCAGATCTCATTAAGACAGTATAATCTAAAACCACACATGATGAAATTATCATACCCATCAGTAGAGCAGACAGAGTGGTGCTCTCTAACTGCTTTTCCCTGGCTAACAATAATGATGGCAGAGCATTCACGTCACTCTTGCTCTGGGTATAGCTCTTGCTGACCTATTGATTTTTCACTTCATCTGAACGGCTTATCTAAATTCCCCAAGCTCCACCTGGATCAGCTAAGTGGCACTCACTTTCAAACCCAGAGCCTCATGGTTTTCTACTCAGCCCCCAAAAAGAAGAGGCCTGCCCTTCCAAAGGAAGCTGTGGCTTGGCAATGAGTTCACCAGGGAAGCTGGCTTCTCCAATGTGTTAGAGACATTTTCATTCAGACGTTTAAATGAACGTCTCTGCATATGGAGTGATATGTAAGAAGAGTTTTTACTCCAGAACAAACTGTAGCGGATTGAACTGCTGTATCCTTGGGATCTATGTTTTTGCTTTCAACTTTTTCTGAATGACAATTGTTTTAAAACACTCAGACCCAAGGCACTTCAAAGCATTCATGAGAGAGTTCAGAGACAATTTAAAGATAATAAAGCCTCAGGCCTGTAATCCCAGCACTTTGGGAGGCCGAGGTGGGCGGATCACGAGGTCAGGAGTTCGAGACCAGCCTGGCCAATATGGTGAAACCCCATTTCTACTAAAAATACAAAAATTAGCAGGGCGTGGTGGCATGTGCCTGTAGTCCTAGCTACTAGGAAAGCTGAGGCAGAAGAATCGCTTGAACCCAGGAGGCGGAGGTTGTAGTGAGCCGAGATCGTGCCACTGCACTCCAGCCTGGGCGACAGAGTGAGACTCTATTTCAAACAAACAAAATAACAACAACCACAAAAAATAAAGCCAAGGCCTCCATTCTCCTTTTTCCATCACTATCCCAGGATGAGTAACCAAATTACCTCAGATAAGAGATAACTAAATTAGTTATTTTTATAACAAGGGCCTACTATGTGTTAGGCACAGCTCTGGGCAGTTTACCTACTCTCTTATTTTCCCCTTTCAACAAACCTTGAAGTAGGCATTATAATCTCCATTTTATAGATGAGAAAACAAAGCACCTACTATGTGTCAGGTCCGGGTCAAGTGCTGGGATTGAGATTAGTGATCAAGCATAGAAGCAAAGGTCTGGACTTGTCCGACCCTGGTTCTACTGCTCAGCAGTGTGATTTATTCCTTCTTTACTGCTGTGCACCTGACCTCATCAATGTAGGGGCCATACATTTAAGAGAAGGATGGGCAATCAGAAACAAGCCTGGGTTTGTCTACAGCACCACACCCATACTGCTCAACTGCCTTCCACGTCAGCCTCAAACCAAGTGCTCATACTGGTGGCCACCATGTGGAGGGTCTGCCTATCCTCACCCACTATTAAAGTCAGGTCTAATTGGGCAGATATATATTTTTTTTATTTCTCCTAATGCTATCCCTCCCCAAGCCCCCCACCCCCCACAACAGGCCCCACTGTGTGATGTTCCCTGCCCTGTGTCCATGTGTTCTCACTGTTCAATTCCCACCTATGAGTGAGAACATGCGGTGTTTGGTTTTCCGTCCTTGTGACAGTTTGCTCAGAATGATGGTTTCCAGCTTCATCCATGTCCCTACAAAGAACATTAACTCATCCTTTTTTATGGCTGCATAGTATTCCATGGTGTATATGTGCCACATTTTCTTAATCCAGTCTACCATTTATGGACATCTGGGTTGGTTCCAAGTCTTTGCTATTGTGAATAGTGCCGCAATAAACATACATGTGCATGTGTCTTTATAGTAGCATGATTTATAATCCTTTGGGTATATACCCAGTAATGGGATCGCTGGGTAAAATAGTATTTCTAGTTCTAGATCCTTGAGGAATTGCCACACTGTCTTCCACAATGGTTGAACTAGTTTACACTCCCACCAACAGTGTAAAAGTGTTCCTATTTCTCCATATCCTCTCCAGCACCTGTTGTTTCCTGAGTTTTTAATGATCGCCATTCTAACTGGTGGGAGATAGTTTCTCATTGTGGTTTTGATTTGCGTTTCTCGGGCAGAGATTTTTACACAGTCATCCCCAGGGATTCTTCCTCATGAAGTGAGGGAGGTGTGTAGAAGTGTTATTCTGATAAACACCAGGGAAAATGAACTTATAAACTATTGGATAATATATAATCAAATGGAATGATAGTTAAATAGGAAAACAAAAATAATGCTCTGTGAGCAAACCCAAAAAGGAATGGGATGATTTCTAATTATCTTGTGAACTTGGCTAGTAGAGAAAAGCAAATAAAGATTTCGGTCTAGAATGGCTTGAGGCCCTAAATCACCTGGTTTAAACCTGCAGAAGAATCAGTTTTGTTGAACAACTGCCATAGCTCCAGATGACTGGCATTCATAGAGGAAAAAAAAAATGCCAAAAAGGCTACTAATAATTCTAGTCTGGCACTGAAAAAAGAAAAAAAATTAAATGCTGCTCTAGGACAAAAGAGGAAGCTGCTGTAGTAACCAGACTTTTCTACAAAACCGAAACACGTGTTCACCTAATCAAATGGCTCCTAATAAGCTATTTATAGCCACTGTCACCACAGCTATATAGAAGTTTTGAACAAGAAAACTATAGGTGTTTGTCACAGGCAAAAATGGATCTGCTTGCAATGCCCAAATAAATATTGTAAAAGATGGAATAAAAAATGGAGATATTGTCTCCGTTCCATGAAAAAATTTTTTTCAGATTGCTAAGCATGTACCAAGAAAGATTATTTCTGTGGACACACACACACACACACACACACACACACACACACACACACACATCACGTCTTTAAGTCTTTAGTACATAGCCAGGTCCTTATATCTGGGAGACGTATAACTCTAAATGTACCTAAATCTCTCTCTAGTGACTGAAAAGTTATATTTACATTTGGAGTGATGTGAGCTCTTCAAAACTCCCATTTTATTTCCCTTTAGGCTCTTGTTAATTGCATTATTTTGTCGCTCATGTTATTTACAATATACAATATACATCAAGCTGAGATTTTTAACAAAGTACAATTAATAGACTGACTTCAAGTAGAGTTGTATAATGGACTTTGCACACATAGTTGCTAAAGGGTTCAAACCTAAAAATTGTAAGGTATATTTTAGAAATTTACCAATTTCATTGTAATGGACCAGAAGCTATTTTTTAGCCTAAGCCCATTTTAAAAGGAATTAAAACCAGTAAGTGTCATTGTCCTAAATTAAATGTCAATATTAACTCCTTTATTATTAATAAAAGTGTAGCATTCTTAAAGTGCTCTTTATAGCATAAGAGAGGTGTGGAGCCACCCAAGTAACTACAGGAAATAGCTGTATATTAAACGATATTGTGGCAGGTATGAAAAGTAACTGTGACAATTTGTGGAGTTAAAAGTTTCACAAAAATTGGAGAGAATAAGAAAGCAAGCATACGCATCTGGGGTAACTTAGGTTAATGGACAAATGGTTCCACATACATAGGTTTACAGCCCTGGAGGGCACATCACCATGTTCACACAGATGGCCCAAACCATCCAGAAAAGAGAAAGTTCCTGGCAGCCCTCTCTGCTTCAGAAGACAGAGGAGTGTGTCTTCATTTTAGAAAGATTACCAACAAAGTGAGAGCTTAAGCAATCTGAAAAACTAACCTATTGGGAACATATTCGTTCCCCTACAACAGTGGATAAATGAGGCTTTGTTGTACTTGTGAAGTGGTACATGGCAGACTAAAAAAGACGTGGTTATGTCTTTTTTTTTTCTTAAGAAAAGGAAGCATAAACCCTACAAACAATGCACTAAGCTATTGCTAATGCCAAAGAAAGTGCTCTATTTGTAAACAGAAGAATCTGTTTGGCACTTAAGCAGTAATGGTTCAGGATCATCTGCAGGATAATTAAATTAACATCCGTCATTCATCACTTTCTTTGGCATTGGTTGGTTAATCCTCAATGAAGACATTCCTTTCAGTGAAGCATACCCTCTTATTTAACGTGTGTTCAAGTAAAATAGAGACCACCTTGCGAAGTTTTAAAAATAAGTAAATCCATCTACAAAAATTCAGAAACTTTACTCAAGTTCACAGATAAAACTCATCAGCAGAACTGATAGGTCCAAAGCTTGGCAGAAGGAAATTTAGCCAACAAAACAGATGGTGTAAAATAAACTCACTTACACTCTGCCTTCCAAAATTAGGTTGAGCTTTCACTCTAATACTGTATTAAGACTAATACAAAACTTTCAAAAGTAAAAATTTTATATATTTCTTTTCCCTGTATGTCTATTGGGTCAATTCATCATGGACAGCATGTGATGTGATAAAGGACAGTCCTTAAGCTCTCAAAACCTAACTGCATATGGAACCGGACTTAATTACCACTTGATTTCCTTTTGATTTACATTATTTCAGACCAGTCATTTTTACAAAGGAGATACTCTATGTCCTTCAAGCATCCATTCTTTCCACAGACCAATATCAATGCTCTTGAGGAACTTATATTCTGAGTGAAAAACAAAATAAATGTCATCAATTCTCACTGCACTTACGATCTGAAAGAACATATATTTTTTGAATGACTGTGTTTGTTGGGTGTATTTTAGAATTTCAGAACAAAGAAGGTGTATTTGGACCTATGGCTGTTCAGAATTATAGCCAAAGTTGTGGGCATATATGCCCACTGGAGACAAAATAATAAAGATCTGTTCACAAAAGTTAGATGGCAGCCCAGTTCAACCATTTGTTAGGCAATTTGGTGTCATCCTACAGCCTTCAGACCATGCTGGGAGTGGGCAGAATCACTGTCCGTGCTGTTTGGCCTCACCATAGCAGCCTCCCTCTAATTTTATGGTTTCTAAGATTCACTGGGTGCTACGGACATGAAAAAGTTTGGGTTTAAAATGTTTTATTTCCCATGGTATCTAAACTTTGGAGTTGGGGACATCGCCTGAAATTTCCATCTTTCCAGGAGCAACTTGAGTCATAGTCAGCAAAGAGGCTAAAGAGGAGAAAATCTAGAATTGTGGTTCTTAAACACTTGTTACTCATGGATTCCTTTGAGAATCTGATGAAAGATACGGACTGTCTTCAGAAGAAAGAAAAGGAGGATGGGAGGGAGGAAGGGAAAGTAGAGAAACGAAAAGAAAAAAGCACACACACATGTAAAAAAAATAGGCATATTTTTTACAAAGATTTCAAGGGAGAAATCACTGATGTCCTGAATCTAAACCAGGACCCAGATAAAATCAATGGTACTGTGGTCATTTTCCCCAGGCTCTTGTTGGCTTTGAATTGTGTTTCTTGTTTTCTAGTCCAGGGTCCAGCTGGCGTCGCTCCCTTGCTGGGTCAGTGGGCCTGGGACACTTTGTTGGGTGGAAGACAGGAGGAGGGCACAGATTCTGGGCTCCTGCTCTTTCTGCCTGCTAATCAACAGTCTTCGGCACTCAATCCTGGCTGAAAGCTCAGGAGGCTGTGCCAGCTTCGACTGTCTTCTACTAAACGAGGGTAATTCACATATAATTTCTTTTCAACACTTCCAGTGTTCCTTTCCAGTGCTAAGGACATAATCCAACAAGAAATCAAGTTCCACAGTTTTAGTAAAAAAAAAAAAAATTAAAAGTGCATATTATAATGCATTTGTGTCCAATTGACATTTCTGACAAATACTTCAACTGTTTAACAAACACTGAGGAGGAACTGAAAACACCAACAAGGCACTCATCCAATTTGCACTAGCCTGTAAGTGCTGGCAAACATCAGTGTCTGCGAAGGCTTTTAATGTTATTGATAGTTTATTCAAATAGGCTGGAGCGGTCCTCCGGGGCCTGAATCACCGCTACCTCTGAGGAATAAACCACTTATAAAGCAAAGACAGAGAGAACGTGGTCAGAAATGAGTGCTTTGCAATGCCTAAATCAAAATGGCCCTTCTATGATGCATCTGTGATGTAACCAGAGGGCAGTAACCCTTTCTTATAGTTACAACCCAATTAGCTCCATGAGGGCCTTGAAAAGCACAGAATGACTTCCTTTAAGGAAAAACAGTGCTATTTTAGAAAACTTTAACAGTGTGATGGTCACAGAAAATACCATGATCTTAAGGTTTGTTCTTTCAGATACATCCTATGGTCTCACCGAGAGGACAAAAATATCAGGGAAATAAAAAAGACATAGTACAAAAGTAAAGAAAGGGGGAGAACAGAAATTGAAGCACTGAAAGAAGATTGGATCTGGCAACTGAGACTTTATGTTGGGGGAGGAAGAAACTGGTAGAGAGAGGGCTAAAGAGGTGAAGCAGCAGCTCCTCGCTGGCCGGGGTGGAAAGGAGGCTTGACTGCCACAGATATAGGTGGCGACTAATGGGCTCAAGGCTCAGTGCTCCACAGTGGGGAAGGTAAGAGAATGAAAACATTTGAGGCTAGAGAATGACAACTTTGGTTTTTAAATGTGTATACATATACTATACACACATTGTAATATATAATTATACATAATACACACATTACACATATGTATATATTTTTTGCTTTTTTTGTTTTCTTTTTTTGCAGGAAGTTGGGGATAAGATGGAAGCAGACTGAGGAAAGAACAGGTCAAGGTAGTATAAAAAGAAAAAGAACATCAATTAGTTGAAACATGTTTGAAGAGCTTTGATGGGCTTTTGGAGAACCTTGGTAGCAAAATATGTGTTTTGGGTAAAATATTTGAATAAAGAACCAAGAAGGAATAGTGTCTGATTCCATTGGTATACAACACCTTGCTTCATACTCATCACACACAGTTCAGTATGGTGGTTTCAGACTGACATACTCAAGACACACTGGTCTGCCTGTCCCTCTGGCAACCAAATTTTGGCTACCTCATTGTTCATTAGGCTCTGAATCAGGGCCTGATCGGGGAAATAAAAGAAGGAAAAAACCTGAACCAGTTCATTTGTGAGCAGATCCAGTTAAAAGATTGATGGGGAGGAGATTTGAACTATCATGAAGTTTGGTTATTATCTGTGAAATTAGGTTTGGCATGTTGGCTCCCAAGAGAAGCAACAATTGAGAGCCAGCTGTAGAAATGGCAATTACAGGATGAAGAGGGTATCAGCATTTTGAATGGCAGTTTTTATTGGCAGATGGGCTTGGTTTTAAGAGGCCAGTTAGCAGGGTTGTGTGTCTCCTGACATTCATCTCTCAGAAGATGCAAGGCAAAAAAAAAGGTCATTTGCACTTCCATGTCAGAACCACCAGGATAACTCGGAGACCCCTTTTAGATCATGAAAATAGTGGGAGGCTCATGATGACAAGACTACCGGGCAGATGTAAGAGTCCAGATATAGAGCTCCCTCTTAGCAGGTAGACCCAAGCTTCAGCAATTTGACAACTCCATGAGGCAAGGAGTATGCCTTATGTAGAGACAGAAAAAGTCCTTAGCCTAGGGACTGAGTAGGGGGTCTTCCAGTATCCCAAAACACAAGAACCAAGGTCTGATGCCTTTAATCTATGTAAAAATCAGTATAATGATTTACTATTATGGAAAGATAGTTGGGATAAGTTGTCCTATGTGAAGAAAGCAGCTTATAAAACTGTATATTAAATAATTCAGTTTTTGTAAACAATGTTACAGGTGAAAAAAGACACCTGGGAAGAAATAAAACGCAAATAGTGATTATATTTAGGAGGTAGGATTGTGGATCGTTTCCATTTTCTTCTATTTGCTTACCTAAATCTTTACATTTTTATACACTGAACACATTGCTTGAATAGTAAAAATATATTTTAAAAAGGTATTCATACAAAAAAATGCATTTAGTATATTTTAAAATGTGTTAATCAGGTGTCACACACCTGTAGTGCTGGACCTCTGAGAATAAAAGAGCAATTTGGACTTCTAAAGCTCTTAGTGGCTGCCCCAGGATCTCTTAAGGAAAGATCAGGAGGACACAATGTAGGCTTCACTGCCTACAGTATATTTGCAAGAATGTTTAAGATCTGCTAACTACTTAAGATCTTATGGAGCCTGTAATTACATACACTCTATTTTGTCAGTGCATGAATAGTAAACTAGAGGTTGCCTATGGTTTTCTTCTTATTTGATAAGATAATACATCCAAGACTCAAAGGACAGCAAATAAAGATGATAGTTCCCCAATCTTGGCACCAGAGTGTTGACTGGAAACTTTCCTTGTATTCTACTTTTGGCGGATTTAATTCTGCTGTTCTGCTGAGTGGGTGCAACTTTCTTCAGAGAATAAGGCCACTCTGTGCTCTGCCTCTTTCCTTTGGAAGTGCTTCCTTTTCCACTTCTGCTTCCCATTCGTCTAGCCACTTCATGTAAGGAACAAAACACAGGTCCTCATGGAGAAGACAGGGTTGTAGACTGGACTTGTGAGGGTCAGTAAGGAAGCTCCTGTGAATGTGTGATGTTGAGCGGCTAGGGTGGGGTTGGTATCATAGTAATGGACATGGCTGGGCTAAATCTAGAGATAAAAATGCCTGTGACTTTCACTAGATTGTTACATTAATTTCCCAAAGCAACAATAACAACTGTAACTTTAATGCACTAGATGCCTTACACAGATTATCTTGCAAATTCAGAACAAACCTGTCCAGTAGAAATGAATAGACCTATTTTACGGACAAGGAAGCAAAGGTAGAGGGATGTGAAGCACATGCCATGGGCATATAATGTACACCTACATAAGCACATAGAAACATCCAGTTATGAAAACAACATAGAAGCTTGCTTTCATAACAGCTCATCATTAACTTCTTTTTCACTGAATGGAAGAGTTTAACTCAAAAATGAGTTTGTAAGCACATATCAAGTGCTTAAATACATAATTCTGAAGACACTCTGGGTTCTCCTAGCTTCTTCACTGACTATTAGGGTGACTTTGGGAAAAATACCTCACCTCTCTGTTCTTCAGTTTGCTAATCTGTGAAATAAAGACAATAATGGGGTGTACCACGTGGGGGACTACTGTGGGGATGAAATGATATAACGAGAGAAGGTAAAGCCCCCAGGGGTGATCCCAACCATACAGTCTTCAACAGTCATTGATTCTCTCCTCATTCTGTGGATGAGGGAAAGCAAGTCCAGATGAGCGGGAGCTGAAGATCTTTCCATTCTAAAATCATATGCAATATAATATAGCTATGACTCCAGGGACTTCTTAGCCCCTATTTTGATACTTTTTTTTTTTTTTTCCCTGACGGAGTCTCGCTCTGTCACCAAGGCTGGAGTGCAATGGCGCGATCTTGGCTCACTGCAACCTCCGCCTCCTGGGTTCAACTGACTCTCCTGCCTCAGCCTCCCACGTAGCTGGGACTACAGGCACACACCTCCATGCCTGCGTAATTTTTGTATTTTTTTTAGTAGAGACGAGGTTTCACCATGTTGGCCAGGCTGGTCTCGAACTCCTGACCTCAGCTGATCCACCCACCTCAGCCTCCCAAAGTGCTAGGATTACAGGCATGAGCCACCATACCCAGCCCCTATTTTCATACTTTTGATAGACAGAAAAGTCATTCTTCATTTCCATGCACTATTCACAGAGTTTTAACCTCCAGCTCTCACAGAAGTAAGAAAAACAATGCTGAAGTGAACATTTCTTAGGGATTGAGACTGAATTTCAAAACCTTAATAATGTTTTGGATAAGTGTGTTTTCAAGAGATACAACTAAGGTAGAGACACTGTCTAATGTGCTACCATTGTCTCTGAGTGACCAGACTAAAGACTTCTGTTGAATTTATTTCTACTGTCTGGAAAGGCATCAATGTAAAATAAGAAAATCCTGATATTTAATTCTGTCTCAGTGGGTTCTAAATAAAGTCCCTACAATTTACCTTCTTTAGTAGTGGTTCAAGGATTGTTATTGTTATTTTTGTTTTACTAGTTCAACAAATGAAAAAAAAAGAGTCAGTGGACACAGAATTTCAACTTTTCAAATCACATCTGATTTTTGTCAAAGCACAAGATACATCTTAAAGAGGTGGCAATAAATGTGTATGTTTTGTGCTCTGGATCTTCCATTTGTATTTCCAGGTCCCAAATGTCTGCTCACCTCCCTCAACCACCATGAACCAGATTCTGAGAACTCATGCCATATATCCCATATTCATCTCAATTCCTTACGTATCTTCCACAGTTCTCATCAGCCATGTTTTTATCATTTTTGTCACTTTCCCTTTTAGAATTATTTTACTACATTTCATTATTTACATGCTTTTCAGTTTTCTTCATTCCAATGCATCTGTCTTTTGTAAGATGTCATAAATATTCAGAAAAAAATATTAACTGCTTTCACATCTGGGATAAATACATTACTTTGTTTCCTTTCTTTCCCCACCTCCCTGCCCCCTCACACCAACATTTAACACTAAGGCCTATCTGAAATTTATTGGACTATTTGGTTATGACAAAAAGTATATTATTCTCTTTCTTACTGTTTTTACTTCTTAGAACTGCTATTCTATTGGTCTTGCAAACTTCATTAAATAATTGATCTTTTCTTCAAAGCTCTATTGTTCATTTGTATGTTTTAAATTAAGTTCACTAAATAATCTAAATATGGAATTTCTATTTATTTTAATCTGTCTAGTTTTCAGTCCAATATCATAGAATTTTAGTAACAGTCACTTGTAATTGATATTTTAATTTGTTAAGGCCAGTTTAACTTCATGGCTTCTATTCATTAAAAAAGCAGTTTTTATATTCTTGATTCTTCCTTCTAGATCATTTAACTATCAGATTATAGAGTATTTTGTAAGGACTTTTATTCATAATTTATAGGAATCCTTAAGCCAAAGAAGGCTGGGAATTTCTGTGTCAACCAATCAACTAACATTTTAAAATTCAACCAATATACATTAAGCTCCTACCACTTGCAGGCACAATGCTAGGCTCTAGGGCTAAAAAGATAAGGAGGGAATGCCTCTTCCCACCCCTATCCCCAAATGAGTGCAATTCAAATGCATGAAGGTTAAAGCTAAGATAGAATGCACAAACTTAGAACGGCTCCAGCAAGGCTCTTCACCTGCCCCCTCTACCCACCAGCCTCACCATTATGCGCTTTCACTTATAAGTATCAACATAAACGAAAGGCTCCAGGAAAGCAAGGGCCTGAGAGTATTTCTGCATAGATCTCATTTGACTAAATACTCCACATGTATACGGGCCTTATTTGTGTATGGAATTGGAGGTTAAAAGACATGAAAGCCTGGATTGAAAAATTTGTCTTAAGAGACATGCTTCACTGGGATGGATAAAGCCAATGATTGTCCTGACCAACCTCAAACCCAGTTCAACACCATTAGCCAGGCAGAAATGTTTTGCCAGCCATTTGAGGCTAACACTGCCACTTTAATTAAAGAGTTATGATGTCAGTTTGGAAACACAATGGGAGAGCAGCTGTGCTCCAGCAATACATTAATACAATTTCCATCAACGTGGATAAGCTCCTACACAATGCAAAGGAGATGTGCGAAAAGTTACAAGGTGAAAGCAGCTGTAAGGAGAGGGCAATCTCAGAGTTTCTGCCGTGAAGGAATTACTCTTCTTAGATTATTAGATTGACCTCTTGCTTATGCTTCCATTAATATTTCTTAACGTGCATGGTCAAGATTCTAAGTCACAGGACTTTAAAGTTGCTATAATCATTAACCAACCACATAAAGAAAAGTCATGAGGCTGACCATAGCAATAGGTCATTCAATTTACTTAGCAGTGAGCCCTAACACTCCCACCTTCATGCACTCCTGCCATTCATCGTGATAAGTAGTGCTTGAGTCTAAACCCATGTCCATCAGAGTTAATACAGGTACATTTTAAATGTTCTGTGACTAAGCTTGCCACTAACACATATTTTGTTAATTACCTTCATGTAATTCTCTCCAGTATCATTACTTCGTATGTGTGTATGTATCATCTGATCATTTGATTAATACTGACATGTAGTCAAGAAGAAAAGTATGTTTCATGCTATTTTGAGTAACTTCCATTTAGAAGCCTACTCCTGAGCACAAAATTTGCAACACACAATTCACTTTGCAACTCCAATATTTACTCTGAGAAACACCCTTTTAAAAAGATGCATGTGGCCTTCATGTTTACTTATTTTTGTTGGTATTCCAAATCCACAGTGGATAAGGAATTACCCTAGACATATAATCATCTTGTACATTTTAAGACCTTATAGCTAAAAATGTATTTGCTTAAGAGTTCACTAATGTTTTGTTGTGTGTGTGTGTGTGTGTGTGTGTGTGTGTGTTTTTGTTTTTTTTTTTTTTTTTTTTTTGAGATGGAGTCTCACTCTGTCGTCCAGACTGGAGTGCAGCGGTGCGGTAGGCTCACTGCAAGCTCCACCTGCAGGGTTCACACCATTCTCCTGCCTCAGCCTCCCCAGTAAGTTTTTTTCTTTTTTTTTTTTTGAGATGGAGTCTGGCTCTGTCGCCCAGGCTGGAGTGCAGTGGCGCAATCTTGGCTCACTGCAAGCTCTGCCTCCCGGGTTTATGCCATTCTCCTGCCTCAGCCTCCCGAGTGGCTGGGACTACAGGCGCCCACCACCACGTCCTGCTAATTTTTTTGTATTTTTAGTAGAGACGGGGTTTCACCGTGTTAACGAGGATGGTCTTGATCTCCTGACCTCGTGATCTACCCGCCTCAGCCTCCCAAAGTGCTGGGATTACAGGTGTGAGCCACCGTGCCCGGCCAGAGTTCCCTAATGTTTTAAAAGAGTCAAGTGTTTTGCCTTTTTTGTCCTGAGTGGGGTTCATCCTTCATCTGGGGATCCTTTATGTAGTGTAGGTTTCTCACTTTTTTCTTTTTCTCAAGATAAACACTGCACACCTGACTACAATATCTCAAGAACTGAGTGTTAGCATGGTTGGACCATCTGGCACCACAACTCAGATTTAATTAATGTTTACTGAATACCATGTGTCAGAGCCCGAACTAGGCACTACTGCACATTTGGCTGAATACCCCATGTGTACATAGGCTTAATTCATTAGTTGACCATTTTCCAAAAATCCCCATACATCCACCATGAATTTTATTCTCTATATTCTGATGTTTTGACCTCTTGGGACCTTGCTGGCCTGGACGGACTGCCCCTCCCAGGGTTAGCCAATGCCTGCAGACGTAAGGGACTCACCTGCAAGCGCCTCTCCATATGCAAACCAACAAAGAGCCCACACCCCACCAGCTCCCTTATCAGACTCATACTCTGGAGCACTATTCTCCTTCCCTAATCACCCCAGGGCCACGTAGCAGACAACTAGAGACAGCCCTGTACCGCAGAGCCTGCTAAAATGATGCAAACTAACCAATTCTGAACCTGCTTACCCTGCTTTGCTCATTCCTTCCCATGGAAACCACCGTAAGGCTCTTGCCCACATTTCTTCTTGTTCCCCCTGCCTCCTGCCTGATCCTGCTGCTTCCCTGTGTGCCCCCTGCATGGCATGCCATGCTGTACCTCCGGTTTCTAGGGGACTCTTGAGTATAATAAACTTCCTTTATGACAGTCATTTCTGTGTCTGCATGTTTTACCATACCTGGTTAAAACAAATCCTGGGTACTATTAAAACACCCCACATAATTATAGAATTGGCAGCTAAGATTATTTGGGTTTTCTTTCATCCCACCCTCTACGCTCAGTAAACAAGTTTTAAACTTTTTGTCGTTTACATTACATTACCTTGTCTGGCCCACGTTAACAATACTTAATAAAAGCACTTGTAAGCTCCTTTACTGAATAACCAAAAAGATTTAATTAACCATTATTTTCTACTATATGAAAGAGCAAGCTCTAGCTATCTACCATGTCGCTTCACAGCACCCACCACCATGCCACACTGCTTCACCGTACTTGGGGACAGGCAGTAATGACACTCTGCCCACATCATCTTCCCCTAAGCTAGCAGGCTGGAACCCACTAGCGACCTCAGTTCGTAAGATACGTGTTCAGAGGTCCCACATTTCACTGGATTGGAAGCTGGGTGCGTCTTTGCAGGTCTAGCTCTTACACTGAGTGTGGGGTTATTTGGGCTATGCTAATTGGCTTTAGATCCTGGGACTGCTTCAGAGAGGGTGCTAAGCTAGTTTCTGTGCCATTCCTTCTGCTGGCATCTTCATCTAGCATCCTGTCCTTGGTCTAAAAGTGCGCTCTGCCTGAGCAGGCGGCAGCAGTGAGGAAGCAGAGGCACTGGCAGATGGAGATCTGTGTTGCCCAGCAAGGTTTCTTTCTCTTTTCCTTCATAACATGTCAAAATGTAAAGACGGCCATTTTGGGGGTTAAAAAATGGACTCTAGGGCAATGTACCTAAGTAGATATATATATTCTTGGGGATGTATTTCCAAGCAAGGTCACAAGCACTGAGTTTCTGCTTCAGAAAGGCCTACAGACACTTCTCTGTTAATTCTGGTAGATGTTAAATGTACAATAGGACAAGTATGTAAAATTGGACTAAGTATAGAGTTCAAGAAATTGATTTTAGACCATACAACAGAACCAAGATGTAAGTTGTTACGTAATCCTTCAGTGATCAAGATGAATAAAAGATATAATGGAATTTCTTCTATCCTAAACTAGCTTTGTAATGGCATATTTGGAATAGGACCCTGTAAATTAAATCAAGGACTGCTTCGCCTTTTTCAGGTTTGGCATTCCTGTCAGTGTCATAATTTTAAGAATATGTATTCTAACCAACAGGAGGGTAGCGAGCTTCTCAATGTGTCTCCACGGCTTCCATGGAGGATATTTACTCACTAATTCTACTAACTATTTTATTGAGCAGGTTTACTATGTAAAACAGACTGTCCTAAGCAATTGGTATATAGTAGAGAACAAAAGATAGAAAAAGTCCTTGCCCTCCTGCAGCTTGAAGTCTAACACCATGAATGACTGTATGGATGAATGAATACATAAAAAATGTAATCAGGTTAGGGATCATGAAACTAAGTGAACACAGATTACCATATTTCATTGATAAGATTACTTTTTCACATTTTAACATCCCTGAAATCAAGATATGTCTTAACATTTATGGTATATTAAAATAACTGACAACTTGGCAGTACTCACAGCACAACTGTCATGTCCCTGCACGTGCATAAACTTGGTCACAGCTATTCATTTTGTTTTCACTTCTACTGAGTTATGGGCATTGTTGGCACTGCACGTGTTCTGTTTAATTGCCACTGAAATGGTTTTCAAAAAGATTACACTATCATTTGGCACTGCAAGGAGACATTACTGTGTATGCATGAAGGCACCAAAACAGCAGTGTGACATAAACGTTCTATTACTAGAGGAAACATTTGTCTTTGTTTGGCATTTCCATATCATTTTACAAAGCAAGATCCAAATGCTTTACCAGACTGAATAAAGAAACACAAAAGTTAAAGAAGCTATGTTACAGTTTGTTACTGAGATTCATGCAAGTGAACCGTCACACCCCAAGCAATGCTACCAATAACACTGACAGGAAAATGTACCGAAACCCAAGGAAGAGATGACGGAAACTTGAAAGCAACGAGACTAGTGTGACCTATTCATGCCTTATCATGGAAGAATATCCTTAAAGTGGAGTGTCATAATAAAATTGGCAATATTTTCTCTTTGTGTACAGCAGAAAAAATAATGCTATGTCTTACAACTGATGGCATTTTTAATTTGATGAAATATAGAAATAAAGATGGATTGCTAGTTAATAAGAAGTTTTAGAAAGAGAACAGCATACAGAGTGGAAGTTTGTTGATTCTGGACAGTTTTAAGTTAATAAGATATTGCAAATGCACAACTTTAGAAAAACTACAATTTCAATAATTTGGCATAGTTTTGCAGATCACTAGCCACTTAAAAAAGTCTATTCACTCTTATTTCTAACAATGTTTTGGGAACACCTTCTATTCTGACGTAAGAGTGTGATAAGAAAGCCTCATGTTCTTTCCCAACTTTAGTTGGTGCTACTTTGATTTTTGGCAGTTTAGAGATATTAGAAGTGAGGTGCTGGATCTGTATTCGAAACTCAAACCTTACTACTGCTACCAAGAATGGAGTGAAATACTTAGACAGGAGGGTCCATTTGAAATCTCAAAGCATGCATATGGGACTTTGAGATTCTTAGCACGAGAGTAACATGAGTAAAATGCCAACTATAAGGATACGTTTCCAGGCAGCATATGGTCACAGCTCAAAAATGAACTTTTTTTAAAGCTTACTACTGCAAATTATTTTAGAAGCAGAGACAGTTAAAAATCATACCAAGGAAGAGAACACACACACGTACACACACACACAACTCTAGGGAAGAGAAATTATAAAACAATGGATGTAGATTATAATAATTTTTTAGGCACAGCTTCAAAACTGTCACAATTGTGACATCAGTTTTTGATACCATTCAGCCAAGCAACAACTACTTTAACATAGAAGTGAGTATCAAATTAGGAATAGGCGTGTGGCTACATCCATCACCAAGACAACAGGTGTAGTTTTATATGGTGAACACGTATTTCAATAGTGTTGAAAATAGACTGCACCTTATACGTGGTATTTCCCACTATGCAGAAGGCCTGCTTTCTGTTCCTAGGGCCCTGCATGGAGAATTCAGGGATTCCCTGGAACTAATACTATTTTCCCCAGCGACTTCATTTCAGTCTTTCCTTTTAGGTAGCCTGGCCCGGGTCAGAAATTCTCTGACAGTTGGTACAAGAGAACGAGTGTGCCAGTGTGAACGCTGCAGGGGATGTGTTGTTGCCAACTGATGGAGTGTACTTCCATATGCAGAGCTAAAATAGACTTGGATGGTTGAGAAGATAGAGACTGCTCTTTAAGTGCCAGTACGGGAAACACTTGGTTACCTGTCTTCTGGGGCCGACTTATCTGAAAGAATGAGGTGGGTTTACATGTTTGGATATTTCCATCTGATTTATAGGCTGGGGATGGGATGGGGAGAGTCTGGAGACCGCCAGTGTTGCCTTTCAGTATACATGTACACAGTGGGGGTTCCCAGTGGGAGAAAACACTCTGTAAAGGGGTCTGATGCACCAGGCCAGTAGAGATAGCATATGTTGCCACTGCATTACAATAAGGGCAACTCTCAAGAAGAACTGGGAGACAGTATAGAGCATGGGCAGGGAGTCAAACAGATCCAGGTTCAAATCCTGCCTCTATCACTTACTTGCCCAATAATCTTGGCAAAATTACCTGAACTCTTTAAATTCAAAAACAGGGAAACTAATAATAATACCTCCTTAGAGTGATTGCAAGAATTAAAGTATTAATATACGTCCACACCTAGTAATGTGTCTGGTGAATAAAATGTGCTCAATGTATGGACACTACTGTGTCACCACTAGGGAAATTCCCTTAAATGTAAATGTTTTTACAGATACGTTTTTTAGCATGGGGTAAATTATATGGACCACAAAATGGCCTTGGCTAAGGCGTTTTGAGGGAATTATGAAGTTGTCTTATGGTAGGAATACATCTTGATAAGAAAGGAAAAATGTAAATGTGAGCATCCACGTGTGATCAGTGAGAATGATGCAGAATTTAACATGCATTTTTTTAGATTTGCTTAATGGCAAGACTATGCGATATCTACCTCTACCTGTCACTACCTCTACCCTGAGCCGCTTTATGATAGATGTGTTCCTACAAACTTGTGTAAAACTCAGTTTTAACTCTAAGCATCACTTCTCTGCACTGGAGGAAGTTTTGTAAAGCAAATAACCCCCACCTAATCTATCTTGCTTTGAAGGCTGAAACCTTCTCCTATCTTCGAGTGGACAGGCATGTGTTCTGTATTTTTTTGCACTGGGCTATCACCCTGAGAGGTGAGCCATAACTTCTACCCACTTTGGTATGCTCCACAGCACCCTTTCCAAAACTGCAAAAGCCAACTGAAAGTATGGGCAATAAGAAAATATTAAAGAATCGACAGAGTAATTATTGGCACCTTGAACACACTAGTGTTTGGGGATGTTTAATTAGATGGCAAGGTAGATTTAATTTTTGAAGCTCTTAGATCATAGATCTTGGTCGAGTCCATTCTACGGGAAGATAACAAGGGGGCATTGACTACCTGCTGCACTGTTTTCAAGCAAAACCCACACTGGGCGGGCTCTGGGTGCCATCTCCACAAAGCCCCCTCCCCAAGGGGGATTCTTCCACAGGGGAATTTTCTCAAGGAAGGTCCCGTGTCAGGAATGCTGCTCAGGTACGGGTTCCCACGTGCCCACACGCAGGGCACGGGCTCACACGGCAGGGCGGGCTGCCTCTTTAAAGGCGCGGACCTCAGGGACCCCCGAATTTGGCTCCTCAAGTCTAGGCATCAAACTTTCTCCTGGAACAAAACCTCTTTCAACCCACATGGAGGCAGGAGGAGGACGGAGCCCTGGGATGCCATCAGCGGCGGCCCGGAGACAGCGCTCCCACCCCCGCCCGCTTCCCTCGGTCCCCACCCTCTTCCTCCGAGGGAAGGCGGCCCAGACCGCACAGCCCCGCCCGGCCCCACCCACCCACTCCCCGGCAGCGAGCCCACAGCCTCACAAAGCTACCTCCCGGGCGCTGCGGTTCCCCGGGGCGAGGGGCAAGCGGGGCTGGGTACCTGAGGAAGAGGCCAGGACACCGGCGCCCAACGAGACCCACAGCATCGCCCCGGCGCCGCCGCCGTAGTTGCCACCGCCGGAGGCTACTTCGCTGCGCCGAGCGCTGGAGCCCCGGGAACCTGGTGCCGCCACCGCCTGCGCTCCCTGCGCTGCGCTGCGCTCGCTGCGCCCGGGCTCTGCTGCCCGGCGACCGCCACGGTCAAGCGGAGCCCCGCCCCGTGCGCGCCGGGCGAGCTGCGGACCCTCCAAGGACGCGCCGCCACCCCGATTGGCTGCGGGAGTCACTGGCCCCGCCCCTGCTCGCCGCGCTCCTCCCACGCCGGGGGCGCGCGCTGCTGGCGGCCCAGAGACTGGCGGCTTCTCCAGGGGCGTCGCGGGAGGGTGCGGTCCGCGCTGGGCGAGGCTTCCTGCGGGCACCGGCGCGCTCGGCCTCCGCTCCTGGGCGCTGCAGTTCTCCCTCTCCTTGCCAGCCCAGAGATAAATAGACGGCCAGAAAGAAAAGAAAAAGAGAAAACATCTCTAGAGCTCTGCGCGGGGAGGGCAGTGGCCGCGGCAGCTGTGGTGTGAAATCTTATTTGTATAAATTCGTTTCTCACGGAAGCCCAGGAAAGGCTGTCTAGGGTGAAGCACTGGAATTGTCACCAAGGCTTTTTTGTTTTTGCTTGTTTTTTAACCTGAAGGTGTCCTTACACACCTCTAGACTTCTTTATCTTATGAAGAAACTAAATCCAGTTAAACAACTTGTCCAAGGTCATAGAGCTGGTTACAGATTGATTCTGTATTTCAATGCTAAATCAAAGCTGCCTCAGCGTTTATTTCTTTTCTGTCCAGAGAAGAGTTGCATTCTCATATGTAATGCTATGTATACTGTATAGCAAACAATCAATTAAAAATATAGAGATAGAAAGTAGATTAGTGGTTGTTGGGGTGGGAGGGCTGGGGAGTGATTGCTAATGGATGGGACTCTCTTAGGGTGATGAGAATGTTCTGCAATTTGATAGTGGGAATGGATGCACAGCTCTGAATATTCTAAAAACCACTGAATTGTACATTTTAAAGGGCTGAACTTTATGGAATGTGAACAGTATCTCAATAATTCTGATGTTTAAAAATGTATTGGCCGGGCACGGGGCTCACGCCTGTAATCCCAGCACTTTGGGAGGCAGAGGCAAGTGGATCACGAGGTCAGGAGTTCGAGACCAGCCTGGCCAACATGCTGAAACCCCGTCTCTACTAAAAATACAAAAATTAGCCGGGCATGGTGGTGCGTGCCTGTAATTCCAGCTAGTCGTGTGGCTGAGGCAGGAGAATTGCTTGAACCCAGAAGGCGATGGTTGCAGTGAGCCGAGATTGTGCCACTGCACTCCAGCCTGGGTGACAGAGCAAGACTCCATCGTGACAATAAAATAAAATATAACTGTATTAACACTTGAGCCCGGGTGGCTGAGGCTGCAGTGAGCTATGATGGTGCCACTGCACTGCAGCCTGGGTGACAGAGAGAGACACTGTTTCAAAAAAAAAAGTATCCAGAGTGATGGTGCTGTGGGGAAATCCACATAAACACATATTTGGAGTATGTCACAATTCTTTCTTTGTGGGCAGAAATTCTGACTTATGTACTAGCATCCATCCATTCATTCAACAATCCACATCCATGTTTATCAAATTACTCTGACATGGGTACAAAGATAAATAATGCATGATCTCTGTCATCAAGGAGTTCCCAGTCTATTGAGGGGACAGTTTATAATATAATAAGGTGTCACTCTAGGGAGGTAAACGAAGTGCAGGTTTAAGGTGCTAAGACAATCATAAAGGGGCTGAAGGATGTGTAATGTTTCAGCAGTGGCCAAAGTGGCTGAGTGTGAGAGGTGTGACAGGAAGTGAAGCTGGACAGTTACAGGACAGAGTAGAACTGTGGACTAGAGCTCAGTTAAAGAGGCACAGGCTAATTAGGAAGTAAATTTTCTATTCCTTCTGGGTCATTTCTATCCCTGGTGTAGTGTGTGATTTTGGTTAATGGTCTCAGTCATCATCATATAAGCAAACAATGGTAACACCAACTGACTTTTGTTTCTACCTTTGTGGTATGTATAAACGGTTTTTGTGCATTGCCTCCTTTGAAGCTCAGAGAGGTGAAGGGGTTGTGCTCAAGGCTGTATGTCTTCTAAGAGACGGAGGTTGGATGAAACTCCATCTACTGACCTTGGATCCTATATTCTCAATATTGTCAACCTTTTGAGTTGTAAAGCTTCCTTATAAGTGCAAAGAACTCTTGAGCTAAAAAAGCTCTCTAAGCAGTAGCAAGTGAAACCTGTTTTTTCACTTGGAGTCTTTCTGTGTTTTGATTGGGAGCTAGAAACATTACAAGCCCTAGGGAAAAAAACTTAGCTACAAGTCTTAGCTCTTCAATTGAGTCTGTTCAACAAAGCCCTGGATTCCAGGTTTCATAAAAAGTGACTCTACAATGTAAAAACAGGAGGCTACCTACTTCTATTGTCAGTATACAAATGTCAGCATACTGAGGGCACCTTCCTTTACATCCATTCATCCTTCCATCCCTCATGGGATTATAAACACCTTTTGAACACAGGTACAGGTGAGCATTCCTAATCAAAAAATCCAAAATCTGAGATGCTCCAAAATCTGAATGTTTTTGAGCACTGACCTGATGGCATAAGTGAAGATTCCATTCCTGACCCTATGTGATGGGTCACAGTCAAGACACAGGTATACAACACACAGTTTACTTAGTGTCCCCAAGGGAAAGAAGACCCCTGCATCAGCTGTGATATTTTTTTTCATGCACATGCAGATTTCCCTATGCAGGCACACCCACATAGGATAATAAAATGGCACATGTGCAGGCTGGACTCTCCAATGGCAGGTTCCCCACGATGCCCCACATTGGGTCAAGTGCATTGCTCACTGTGTTTTTTTGTTTGTTTGTTTGCTTATTTTCTGCTCCATGGTATAAAAATATTATTTAAAATGTCAAAAGGGCCTGGAGATACCCCATGGGTAACAATGATAAGAAATAGAGGAAGCATTTATGTTAATCTATAGCACAGAAATATTAGTTGTTGGAGAAACTGGACAGGGTGTGTGAAACATCTTACAGAAGAGAATGGGGTAGGAATGACCATCATATATGACCTGAAGAATCAGAAGGATACACTGTTGAGGTTCTATGCTGCAAGTGATGAATAGAAGTTAATGAAACATGGGAAAACATTGCATAAAGCTAAAAATGCAGATTTTGATCATGTATTGAAAGAGTGGATGTGTCAGCTTCGCAGTGAACACATGCCACTTAATGGTATACTGATCATGAAACAAGAAAAGAACTATTCATGATGAACTGAAAACTGAAGGGAACTGTGATATTCAACGGTCTGAAGAAATTTAAGAAAAAACACAGCATTAAATTGTTAAAGATTTTAGTTGTAATAAAGCATCTGCTGATCATGAGGCAGCAGATAAAATTTTTTTTTTTTTTTTTTTGAGACGGAGTCTAGCTCTTGTCACCCAGGCTGGAGTGCAATGGCGAGATCTCGGCTCAGTGAAACCTCTGCCTCCCAGGTTCAAGCAATTCTCCCCAGCAGAGAAATTCATTGATGAGTTTGCCAAGGTCATGGCTGATTAAAATCTGACGTCAGAACAAGTCTGTAATGCTGATGAAACATCACTGCTTTAGTATTATTGCCCCAGAAAGACAGTGACTGCAGCTAATGAGACAGCCCCTACAGGAATTAAGGATGCCAAGGACGGAATAACTGCAGGGATGTGCTAATGCAGCCAGCACGCATAAGGGTAAACTTGCTGTGATAGGCAAAAGCCTGCATCCTTGGCTGTTTTCAAGAAATGAATTTCTTACTAGTCCATTATTATGCTAACAAAAAGGCATGGATCGCCAGGGACGTCTTTTCTGACTAGTATCACAAACATTTTGTACCAGTGGTTGGCTAGTGCTCACTGCAGAAAAGCTGGACTCAATGACTACTGCAAGATATTGTTATTCCTTGACCACTGTCCTGCTCATTCTCCTGCTGAAATTCTCATAAAAAATATCATTTATGACATATACTTTCCCCAAAAATGTGACTTCATTAATTCAGCTATGTAACCAAATATCAAATGAAGAGTAATTATAAGAACACTTTCTTGGAAAGCATACTAGCAGCACTGAACAGAGGCATGAGAGTAGAAGGTTTTTAAAAGGAGTTTGGCATGAAGGATGCTGTATATGCTGTTTCCAAGGCTTGGAACACAGTGACTAAAGACACAGGGCCAGGCACGGTGGCTCACGCCTCTAGATGACATGGTGAAAATGTGTGATGGGCTTATTTGTTGAAGGACTAGAGCAGGGTGCACTCATAACAAAGCAAGAAATCATGCCAGTTATAAAATCAAAGAGAGACTTCTGGACAAAAACCAATGCTAATGAGGCAGATGACTCCAGAGGAAACATTTTAAAAAGCCACCTAGCAGAGGCCAGGCGCAGTGGCTCAAGCCTGTAATCCTAGTACTTTGGGAGGGCAAGGTGGGCAGATCACGAGGTCAAGAGATCAATACCATCCTGGCCAACAAGGTGAAACCACATCTCTACTGAAAATGCAAAAATTAGCTGGGCATGGTGGCGGGCACCTGTAATCCCAGCTACTCTGGAGGCTGAGGCAGGAGAATTGCTTGAACCCAGGAGGTGGAAGTTGCAGTGAGCCGAGATCGCGCCGCTGTACTCTAGCCTAGGCGACAGAGAAAGACTCCGTCTCAAAAAAAAAAAAAAAAAAAGCCACCCAGCCAAATATCTCCTTATCCCTAGAAGACCTACTTCCTTGTGCCTCAACTACTTCTGATGTTTCTTCTCATTTAAAAAAGTAAAATATAATGTTTGGTAACCTTTAAATCAAAATACAGCACCATACGTGGAGACTGAAAGCCTACTGTTCATCTGTTGTTGCTTTTTTTTTTTCTTTTCTTTTTTGTTTGAGACAGCGTCTTGCTCTGTCACCAGGCTGGAGTGCAGTGGCACAATCTTGACTCACTGCAGCCAACCTCTGCCTTCCAGGTTCAAGCTATTCTCCTGCCTCAGCCTTCTGAATAGCTGGGATTACAGGAGCATGCCACCATGCCCAGCTAATGTTTGTATTTTTAGTAGAGATGGGGTTTCACCAAGTTGGCCAGGCGAGTCTCAAACTCCTGATCTCAAGTGGTCCACCTGCCTCGGCCTCCCAAAGTGCTGGGATTACAGGCACAAGCCACCACACCAGGTCTGTTGCTGCTGGTTTAACAGCTGATACAGGTATTCTGATGATGCTCCTGTGCTGCTTAGTTACACTGAACACATTTTTTCTAACTGTAATAATGGTAAATCTTTTTTTTTCTGTTAAGTACTTATGTGTGAATAAGTGTAAGAAAATGATTGCTTATCAGTAGCATATAAATTAAAAGTCAGGAATGATGGTGATCCCAAACAACCACAGACTGTCCATGGTGGCTGAGATAGTGACAGCTTTACTTTCTGATGGTTCAATGTACACAAACTTTGTTTTATGCACACAATTCCTAAAAATATTGTACAAAATTGGCTGGATGCAGTGGTTCATGCCAGTAATCCCGGCACTTTGGGAGGCTGAGGCGGGTGGATCACTTGAGGCCAGGAGTTCGAGACCAGCCTGGCCAACATGGTGAAACCTCGCCTCTACTAAAATTACAAAAATTAGCCGGATATGGTGGCACGCACCTGTAGTCTCAGCTACTCAGGAGGCTGAGGCACGAGAGTCGCTTGAACCCAGGAGGTGGAGATTGCAGTGAGTCGAGACTGTGCCACTGCACTCCAGCCTGGGCGACAGAGCAAGAGTCAATCTCAAAAAAAAAAAAAAATTGTACAAAATTACTTTCAGGCTGTGTGTATAGGTCTAATATGAAACATAAACAAATTTTGTGTTTATATTTGGGTCCCATCCCCAAGATATCTCATGTATACGCAAATATTCTGAAATCTGAAGAAATCCAAAATCCTAAACACGTTTTGTCCCAAGCATTTCAGATAAGGGGTACTCAACCTGTACCGTGTTTTGGTCATTTCCTTGCTTCCCCTCCCCTTACTTGCATTCTCATCCCTATCCTTACCCCTCTCCCTACCCTCTTTCCACTCTCAGTAGGCCCTCAATGAATGTTTGTTAAATGTCCAATGTCATGTTAGCATCAGAAAGGGAATCATTTTTTTTTAAATTCTAATTGCCTATGGTGATGACATACATTATGAAATTTGGATATTAATTGGCCCATATAGCATATGTGCTCTAGGGCTTTGGGACATAGTTATAAGAACATTAGAGAATTATATTAACACTTCCCACACTTTAATAAGCTGTGTATTGAATTCTAAATCTAAATGCCTGGAATTTAAAAGTTAATCTCATTCTAGGAAAGCAAAATATTAATATTTTAACAGTAAAGACACTAAATACTTGGAAGCAGAAGAAATTTAATATTCATTATAGAATTTTTAATCCCTGAGGAGGTAATTTACTATTGATTTTAAAGGTCTTTGAAATCTTTTGTAAATCTTCCTTGTTTCTTTTTCTTTTTCAATATCTTCTCTTAGGCTCATTTTTTTTCTCTTTCACAGGTTTCTGATAGCTAACACCTCAGCATTACAATTCTGTTTTCCATAAACTTCTGTGCAGAAATCTGGGGAATTCAAAAGAACTGGGGAGTGCTGATCTCCCTGGAGTCTGAAGCCTGGAGAAACCATCCAGAAGGCTGAAGCTATTCATCTCAAAGGAGCAGATGTTGTCCCTCCCCAAGGAGTTATTATGGGTTGGAAGAAATGAGAAAATGAATATAAACAAGTTATTCTGTGAATGTTATCAAATATGATCAGCACCAACCAAATAGAGCTCTAAATGAGTAAGTATTCTTTACTGATAGAAGCAAAAGCAAATGAACATTATACTTTTCTAAATACATTCAGAAGCAAATAATTTGAGCAAAAGCACAGACCTAATTGGGTCATATATGATAGCATGGGAAAACCGTCCTGGAGAAGTAGAAAGTGTGTTGCTAGGTCAGCTTAGCTGGTTGTCATCCATCAACTCTACCCCCTAGCCATGGCTTTGCAGACTTCTCTAGAAGGCTTTCTCCTTTCCCAGGTGGCTAGGCAGAGTCACAGAGACAGTGATCTAATGTCCCTTAGGATGCTTATGGGACCTGTTTCTATGGGTGCAAAGCCAATCAAGGATAGGACTGGAGAGGAACCAAAATGCTTTCCTGCTGAGCTGTCTGCTAGATCCTGGTATTTTCAATCAGCTAGCATGGGGTTTCTTGCTGTTTTAGGACAATCGATTTACCTTATGGCTAAATTTCAGGAAAGGAACCATTCCAGCAGATAGCGACCACAGAAGTGGTAGCCTGATGAAAAAGAATAATTTTGGGTGTTGTATAAATGTAAAAACCATGAAGTTTTTTAAAAATAAAAAAAATTCACTTGCATACACTCTCTTTGAAAAGTTAGTGGGCAGCTATTTGCTAGCTGAAACAGAAACACTTGATTATGTTGTGGATGAGTAGGGAAAACGTCGTGCTGGAGGTGGATTTGGAGCTGACAATAAAGGATGAATGAGGATCAATAGTCTGAGAATGAAAGGGGAAGACAGACATTCCCTGTTGAATAAAGGGCACCATGAAAGTCACAGGGTGTAACAATGTATATATGTTTCAGGAAAAAGCAAATGGACTCAATGTGGTTGAAATGTGGAGAGGATTTTGAGAGATGAAGCTTGAAATATAGTTGACCCTTGAACAAGGTGGGTTTGAACTGCAGGTGTCCACATATGCACAGATTTTTTTCAACCAAACATGTTGAAAAATACAGAATTCATGGGATGCTAAGCCCACATATACTGAGGGCTGACTTTCCCTATCTACCTTCCACAGAGTATGCACAGGTATACATGGGAGTCCTGGAATCAATCCCCTGCATGTACTGAAGGATGACTGTGTATGTTTCTTTTAACCTAAACTTCCTGTACTAACTCTGCCTTTGTATATTTCCAGATTCCTCCTGCCCCAGAAAACTAGATATGTACTTAAGAGAGAAAAGAAATAAGCTTGAAATATTTTAGCAGTTACCATAGAGAATAAGAAAAAAAATTCATATTATATGCAAGGAAAGTCAAGCATGATATATAATTATTCAGAATCAACCACTAAAAAGGCTCTTCAGTAAAATAAAGAATAGTTATCCCGAAGGCAGTGATTGATTGTTTTGACACTTAATTGGGAGGACAGCCAAAAATTTAGGCTAGGATTATAGCCCTTTCCTTTCTTTTGGAAGATTTCATAGTGATTATTCAGAGAAGTTGATGTTCACAATTCTAGTTAGCTTGAGTGATGGTAAAATAAAATAAAACAAAACCCTATGGATGCATGTGTGTAAAGAAGATTGACATAAAAATCATGATCCATTGTTTAATAAATGACTTGAAGCCTTTTCTTGATGTAGCTAAACTCTCAAAAATGAATTTTGGCCAGGTGCGGTAGCTCACGCCCGTAATCTCAGCACTTTGGGAGGCCCAAGTAGGTGGATCACCTGAGCTCAGGAGTTCGAGACCAGCCTGGCCAATATGGTGAAACCCCGTCTCTACTAAAAATACAAAAATTAGCTGGGTGTGGTGGCAGGTGCCTGTAATCCCAACTACTTGGGAGGCTGAGGCAGAAGAATCATTTGAACCAGGGAGGTGGAGGTTGCAGTGAGCTCAGATCATGCCATTGCACTCCAGCTTGGGCAACAAGAGCAAAACTCCATCTCAAAAAAAAAATTTTTTTTAATTACCCTTTTTAATTTCCTAACACTTTTTGTTTTTGCCTATTCACTAGACTAGTTGAAATAGTTTCATTTCTTTCCTTTACTTTTTTATTTTTCTGTCGCGTGACCTGTAAGAATGATATTCCATGGCACCAGGAGTGGTTGAGACTGAAGTCACCAAGGTATTGATCTCTGAAGAATCCTGAGGGGTGAGTGCTCTAGGGAGATGGGAAAAAATAAAAGTGAACCCCAGTTTTCTAAAGCAAAAAGCGTTCATTTCTGCAAAGTAAGACTGATGAACCTGACAATGATTCTGAGTGAGGGTCTAGAATGGGTTATTCAAAGTTTGCTCCTAATAAAAAGTGAAGACCAAGAATCCAGCAGAGATTGTTGAAGAATATAACGTCAGATCGTCCAGAAACTTATTAGACTAGTGAATATGTGGCAGAGACGGCTAATTGTTCCCCAATAAACATTCTCCCCATCTTTTTATTAAAAGCACCCACTGAGTTTTAATTGGGAGCATGATGGCTTATATAGAGACTCCACTTTCTGCACTCCACTGTGGCTGGGTGTGGCCACATGACTAGGTTCTGGCTAATGGGGTGTAATAAGGAGCCATCAGTCTGGTCCCTGGATTGCTCCCCTCCACTTTCTCCTTCCTTGTTCTGCAGTCCAAAAGTGGTGAGGGAACGTCAACCAAGCAGTCAGAACAATACCCAGGGGATGGTGGAGCAACAGCTTAGAGGGTCCCTGAGTCCCTGGATGGCCACATGAAGAAAAAACACCTATCTCCCCCCAGATGCTGTATGTTAAAGAGAAATAGGCCTGCATTTTATCTGAGCCACTGCATTTTTAAGTCTCCATGTGATAGCAGCTTAGGTTATATCCTAATCAAGAAAACGTGTACTTTAGTAAGTCATTTGCTTAGGTCTCTTATGATGTACTTCTATACAAAGAGAAGAAATGTGTGCAAGAAAATTACATGAATTTGTAGCTGGAAGAATAATCTTACTCCAGTTGTCCTGATTAACCTAGGTTTGCAAACTATAGCCATCAGATAGAATTTGACCCTGCATTTTGTTTTCAGTACAGAATGCTTAAAAAAATTACAGTTTTTTGAGTGCTTTTAGGACAGTATGTACTAACCACAGTTCTCAGTGTCTTACTCCTGCCTCTTTGTTAGTTTATTTATTTATTTATTTTGAGACAAAGTCTCACTCTGCTGCCCATGTTGGAGTGCAGTGGCATGATCTCGACTCACTGCAACCTCTGCCACCCAGGTTCAAGTGATTCTCCATAGAGACCAGGTTTCACCATGTTGGCCAGTCTGCTCTTGAACTCCTGACCTCAAGTGATCCACCTGGCTTGGCCTCCCAAAGTGCTGGGATTTGGGATTACAGGCGTGAGCCACCACGCCCGGCCCTCTTTATATATTTCTTTCTTTCTTTCTTTCTTTTTTTTTTTGAGACAGTCTTGCTCTGTTGCCCAGGCTGGAGTGTGGTGGCATGATCTCGGCTCACTGCAACCTCTGCCTCCTGGGTTCAAGTGATTCTCCTGCCTCAGCCTCCCAAGTAGCTGGGATTACAGGCTAGTGCCACCACGCCTAGCTAATTTTGTATTAGTAGAGATGGGGGTTTCATTACATTGGCCAGGCTGGTCTCGAACTCCTGACCTCAAGTGATCTGCCTGCCTCAGCCTCTTAAAGTGCTGGGATTACAGGCATGAGCCACCGCACCTGGCCTCTTTGTATATTTCTGTTCCTTGCTTGGCTTCTGAAGGCAATTGAGTTATTAGAGTAATAGACTATGCTGCTGTTCCAAATACCCCTGACAATATTGTGGCTTAAAAATGAAAGAAGTTTGTTTTTCTCTCACCTAAAAGCTGTAGGTAAACATTCCCAGTCAGTAAGTAGCTGTACCCCAAATGGTCATGCAGAGCCTTGGGTTCCTTCCAACAAGTTGTTCCCTCATCTTCAGCTGGTTGTTTGCATGATTGTGGATGAGTCACAATGAATGACTCCTGCTGTCAGGAAAGGAAAGCAAATTAAACAAGCAAACATGAGGGAGGCATGGACCTATTTTAAGTGTAGAGTTTGGTGAGTTTTGATGAATATATACACCTGTGCAAGCACCACCCAAATCAAGATCTAGAATTTAGGTTGTCAACTTCTTTTTTAAATTCGTTGTTTTGCTGAAGATACTTTGCCCCTGAATTTGTGGATAGCATTAAGCCAAGAAGAATAACAATCACGTTGGGTAGCATGAGAATCCAAAGGCATCTTAAGAATCCAGGGACATGAGATGAATATAATTTAGTGGGGGTAAGTGCAAGCCTTGCCCTTGAGTTAAAAAATCCTGCTATAAAGACACATGCACACGTATGTTTATTGCGGCATTATTCACAATAGCAAAGACTTGGAACCAACCCAAATGTCCAACAATGATAGACTGGATTAAGAAAATGTGGCACATATACACCATGGAGTACTATGCAGCCATAAAAAATGATGAGTTCATGTCCTTTGTAGGGACATGGATGAAATTGGAAACCATCATTCTCAGTAAACTATCGCAAGAACAAAAAACCAAACACTGCATATTCTCACTCATAGGTGGGAATTGAACAATGAGATCACATGGACACAGGAAGGGGAATATCACACTCTGGGGACTGTGGTGGGGTGGGGGGAGGGGGGAGGGATAGCATTGGGAGATATACCTAATGCTAGATGACGAGTTAGTGGGTGCAGCGCACCAGCACGGCACATGTATACATATGTAACTAACCTGCACAATGTGCACATGTACCCTAAAACTTGAAGTATAATAAAAAAAAAAAAAATCAACCTCAGGCTTGGCAGTGTTGGCTCAGGCCTGTAATTTTAGTGCTTCAAGATCAAGGTGAGAGCATTGCTTGAGGCCAGGAGTTCAAGATCATCAGCCTGGTCTACATAGTGATGCTACGTCTCCACAAATATTTTTTAAAATTAGCTGGGCGTGGTGGTGTGTGCTTGTAGTCCCAGCTACTCAGGAGGCTGAGGTGGGAGGATTGCTTGAACCCAGAAGTTTGAGGCTGCAATGAGCTATGATTGTGACCAGCCAATAACCAGAGTGAGACCCTGTCTCAAAAAACAAAAGTAAAGAAACCAAAAGTCAAATTCACAAGGTAAAGAAAAACATGCAAAACAAATGTGTAGCTTAATAAATCACATAAGAGAGTATTCTTGTAGCTACCACTCAGCCAACTAATCAAGAAATGGAACATTTCCAGCCCCCACTGTTGCAATCACAGCTCCCTCATATCTGCCTTAAGTAACCACTAGCCTGACTTCTAATAATTACTTCCTCACACTTATTTATAGTTCTATCACCTAAATAAATGTTCATCCTTAGATATTATCATTGAATCTTCCCCATTTTATAATTTGATACATCTTTTTTAGTCTACAGATTCCTTTTCTTTTTTTTTTTTTTCTTTTTTGAGACAGAGTCTCGCTCTGTTGTCCAGGCTGGAGTGCAGTGGCACAATCTCGACTCACTGCAACCTCTGCCTCCCGGGTTCAGGCAATTCTTCTGCCTCAGTCTCTTGAGTAGCTGGGACTATAGGCACGTGCCACCATGCCCAGCTAATTTCTTCTATTTTTAGTAGAGACGGGGTTTCACCATGTTAGCCAGGATGGTCTCGATTTCCTGACCTCACGATCTGCCCGCTTCGGCCTCCCAAAGTGCTGGGATTACAGGTGTGAGCCACCACACCTGGCCTACAGATTCTTTTTCTATTCCTTTACTTTCTTTACAATTTTTCTATTGCTAAACTGGCACTTTTTGACCAATAGAGTTTCCCACAGTTGTTGACTGCATAATACTCATTGTTCAGTTTAACAGTTATCTCTGTCCTCATTATTGCCTGCAAATTCATAACTGGATTCAGGTACTTGATCAGACTCAGGTTTGGTTCCTTTGGCAAGGAGGTGCTAGTGTTCTTTCAGCAGGAAAAATATATTATCTGGTCATTTCTCTTTTTGTGGTTTCAAGCACTGTTGATATGTAGGGCCTAAATCTATTAATTTATTAAGGGTTTCAAAATAGTAATATTACATTTTGGTCATTGTTGGTTTATTGTTTTACTTGTATTACTTTTAAGAAGGTACACCTCCTCTAATCTATAATTTGATTATCATAAGTATACAGTTAATATAATTAAGGCAAATAAATGTACAGTTAATGTAATTAAGGTAAAACAAATGCTTGCATTTTTATTTGCCAGTCTTTTAAGAAAATTGTTTTCCTAATATCCTCCAAAGGTGACTAGTTTCTTTGATGGCATTATAAAGTCTTAAGTTTAAGCATGTTTAATAAGTGCAGAGTTAGGCAGTCCCCAAGACCACCTTCATTTCTGACACCAACCACACTGTTCAGGGGTTTGCAAGACCACCCTCCTTGCTGATACCAATTTCAAGTCTAGGGGTCCCCAAGGCAATCTCCGGGTTTGAGAAATTCACTGGAAGGACTCACAGAACTCAGTGAAGTCTGTTATACTCACAGTTATGGTGTATTATAGCATAGTGATATTCTGGAAGGGGTCCAGATTAAAGTCAGTCAAAAAAGCAGCACATAAATCAGAGTCTAAGTAAGCTCCATGGGTAGATCTTTCATTTGTCCTCTCCCAGTGAAGCTGTGGACAGTGCTACATGCTTCTAACAGGACTATCACTTTCTTCTCTTCTTATGAGGCCACTAATTTCACCATGAGGGGCCTACCCTCATTATCTGCTCTAACCCAAATTGCCTCCCAAAAGCCTCATCTCCAAATACTATCGCACTGGGGATGAGAACTTCAACATATGAATTTTAGGGGGACATAAACATTCAGTTCATAACATGGGCTGTATAGATGGGCCACAGGTGGTTATCAACTCCCTAAACATTTATATTCGAAGTTTTATATGGGTTTGTTCATTTTCCTAGTAAGAGTTTTGGTTCTCATTGAAATCCAAAAGAGATTACTAACCCACATTTTAAAAACCACTTTCATAAATTATGAGCTCCTCGCAAAAGGGAGCACATCTTACTCCCCCTTTCAATATGAGGATAAATGAATGAATAAATGTTTCTCTTTTTTAGAAGATACAAAGTAAGAAGAATGATTTGAAAAGATATAAATTTTTCCTTCTTTTTCTATTACTGTTTTATATGATTTTCCTGGAAATTCGAGTTTGTGGAACAACTGTGAGTTTATTTGCCATGAAAATACAGAACCAGCTGTAGAGAATATGAGAAGTGATGGGCGTGGGGGGTACTGAAAATAATATATAGTATGTATGTGGGCAAATGGAAATCTTGCAGGCAAGCCAAGGACAAGAATTTCTGCCATCTTTTCACCTTTAAGAAACTTCAATTGATTGTCTTGGTCCACTAAATCTATAGCAACTTCTTTACTTCTTCCAAATGATGTCATTCTAATGATGGAATAAAACTAGAGGTGCTGCAACATTAATGATTAATTCAATAAAATGCAAAGCTGTCTCAGGACAGGCTTGGGGTCAGGGTGAAGTGTTTCAGATTTGAATCATCTTAGCTAGCTTTGCAGATTCAGTTATTTCCAGCTAGCACTTTTCTGCTTTCATTAGATTAAAAGACATGTGACTGCCGAAAGAACCATGTATATGCTATATCCTAAAACGCAACTGCAGCATTTCCAGCTCTAGGTAGGTTCCTGAAGCTTTGTGTTCTGCACCCACGGCCTTCAACATGATTCAGAGCTGGGACTCATTGAATTTCAAGAGCTGTAATAAATTAATCCTCAGGAACATTAAAAATAGATAGACCAAACTCTGGAGCTCTGCTGAGAAAAATTACATGTATACTTGTTGGCTAGGCAGCCTAGAGGGCTCATGAGGGAATTGGCCAGAAGGGAAAGGCCTGTGGAGGCGAAAATCAGTGCAGCATTGTCCCTATATGAGCGCACAGTGTAAAAACCGCTAACAGCATGTTTCTATCTTAACAATTTATTGATCTGAAATCAGGTTAACTCAACAGCCTTATTTATTTATTTATTTATTTATTTATTTATTTATTTATTTAGAGATGGAGTCTCACTCTGTCGCCCAGACTGGAGTGCAGTGGCACAATCTCGGTTCACTGCAAGCTCTGCCTCCCAGGTTCATGCCATTCTCCTGCCTCAGCCTCCTGAGTAGCTGGGACTACAGGCGCTCACCACCACGCCTGGCTAATTTTTTGTATTTTTTAGTAGAGATGTGGTTTCACCGTGTTAGCCAGGATGGTCTTGATCTCCTGACCTTGTGATCCACCCGCCTCGGCCTCCCAAAATGCTGGGATTACAGGTGTGAGCCACCGTGGCTGGCCAACAGCATTATTTTTATTTTTATTTTTTTGAGTTGGAATTTTGCTCTTGTCGCCCAGGCTGGAGTGCAGTGGCACAGTCTCAGCTCACTGCAACCTCTGCCTCCTCAGTTCAAGCCATTCTCCAGCCTCAGTCTCCTGAGTAGCTGGGATTACAGGTGCCCACCACCACGCCCGGCTAATTTTTGTATTTTTAGTTAGATACGGGGTTTTGCCACGTTGGCCAGGCTGGTCTCAAACTCCTGACATCAGGTGATTTGCCCACCTCGGCCTCCCAAAGTGCTGGGATTACAGGCGTGAACCACCGCGCCTGGCCTCAATAGTCATTTTGAAGGCAGATGGATAAAATGCAGCTTGAGGGGTATAGACAGCCAAGAAGAGGGAGCATTCCCGTCTTGGTTGGGATTTAGTGGTTGAAAGTTTGTAGTTAAGTGTGTCCAGGTCTTCTTAGCATCATTGGGCTGAATTGTCCTTGGCTTCTCTCTTGCACACAGCCCCTCCTTTGCTACCCAGTGGACCAATGGTGGTCTGGCAGTGGCTTGACAGTGCTTGGAAAGTTACTCTAAGGAAGTAGCTCCCTATGCTTCAGGTTTGCACACAGATATGAGACCTTGTACATTCCTTGTGATATATTTATGTATTTCATTTTTTTTTCTGTGGACTATGTATTTCTAAATGATGTATTTCTGTAATTGCCTTTTCTAATCAACACCTACCAAGTTCTATAGTAAGAGGCTCTAAGTATTTTATAGTTAAAGCTTCTGATTTGAGATCATGAAAAAATGCCTACTAAAACCACAATAGGTCAGGCACAGTGGCTAGCACCTGTAATCCCAGAGCCTTGGGCCAGGAGTTTGAGACAAGCCTTGGCAACATAGTGAGACCCCGTCTCTACCAAAAAAAAAAAAAAAAATTAGCCAGGCATGGTGGCACACACCTGTAGTCCCAGCTACTTGGGAGGTGCAGGAGGAAAGATTGCTTGAGCCCAGGTGTTTGAGGCTGCAGTGAACTATGATTGCACCACTACACTTCAACCTGAGCCACAAAGTGGAGCCTTGTTTCTAAAAACAAAACAGGCCAGGCATGTTGGCTCACGCCTATAATCCTAGCACTTTGTGAGGCCAAGGCAGGCAGATCACTTGAGGTCAGGAGTTTGAAACCAGTGTGGCCAACATGGCGAAACCCTGTCTCTACTAGAAATACAAAAGTCAGGGGGATGTGGTGGTGCGTGCCTGTAATTCCAGCTACTCGGGAGGCTGAGACATGAGAATTGCTTGAACCTGGAGGGCGGAGTTTGCAGTGAGTTGAGATGGAGCCTCTGTACTCCAGCCTGTGCCACCTGGGTGACAGAGCAAGACTGCATCTCAAAAAAATAAATAAAAATAAAATAAAATAAATACTAAACTAAAGCACAACAAATTATAAATAATTTTCAAGAATATGCCTAAAATATTAAATTATAAGTTCTGAAGTGCCAGAGAATCAACAAAATTTATCATTTCAATGAAATTTGGAAATGATAAACATTTAAGTATTATAAATAAATAAAAATAAAATTCTCAATACTTCTTCCCTCAGAAGAAAGCTGGGTTTAGATTTGACTGTAGACTAAAGATGAAACTGTAATGAGTGGTGAATCAACCATAGCCTGATATGTCATGGACCAGATTAATGTGTCAATTCATTTAATCATAATCTACTTATATATCAGAGCATGAATTCAAAATCTTAAAGTAATGTATAATTACAGAATAAATTATTTTTTCAAAAAATAATTTTCCTAAAAATAAACGTGAAAAACCTTATCTAAAGCAAAATATATTTATAGCTGTTCATTTAGGATGTATTCTAAAATTCCTAGGGACTTTAAAACAACAACAAAAATTTTTTTTTCTAGACGGAGTCTTGCTGTCACCCAGGCTGGAGTGCAGTGGCGTGATCTCGGCTCACTGCAACCTCCACCTCCCTGGTTCAAGCAATTCTCCTGCCTCAGCCTCCCGAGTAGCTGGGATTACAGGCGCCCGCCACCGCACCCAGCTAATTTTTGTATTTTTAGTAGAGGTGGAGTTTCGCCGTCTTGGCCAGGCTGGTCTCGAATTCCTGACCTTGTGATCCGTCCGCCTCAGCCCCCCAAAATGCTGGGATTACAGGCGTGAGCCACCGCGCCCAGTCAACAAAAAATTTTTATATTTATTTTTTGCTTTATTATTTAGCAATTGTTCTTCATAGATTTAATCTGTACAATATTAAGTCATCATTCTGTTTCTGCAAACATACCTTAGCAAAATGAGCTAAGTATTATATAATTAGGGAACAACAATATTGAACTCATTCATAATAGTTCTTTTTCCTGTATTTCTTCAGAAACATTAAGATAAAAGAAACTTGGAGTTCATTTTTACTATAATAATTTCTTTGTTAGTCAGTATTTCTGGTAGACTTATATTGCTAAGACATCGAGTTCTAGCTATAGAAGATGAAGGCTAAGCTACTCAAGTTTAATATTCTTTCATCATATAGTTCTTCCTCTAAATTGGTTAAATCTAAGTATTATTCCTATGCAATCAAATAATGCAGACAGAATTGAAAATATAATTTTGATTTTGAAAGAGTATGCCTTTGATTTTTCTAGAAAATGAGATATGCATATCTCTAGGATGAATAATGTCCAAGTATGCATTTAAAATTCTTTTAGATATTGATTTTTAAATCATATTTCAGAAACCATGATAGTTATGCTTACAAACACAATCACAGACATCTCTGTAGAATTCAGTAATAGCTTTTGGACCAGAGAAATAATGTACTTCATTTTAAAACCAATTTAACATCAGCTATCTACGCACTCATACATTTGGATTTTCAATGTTTGATTAATAGAAAAATACATGGAAATAGTCTTACGTGACATTCTAGGAAATTAAACTTTTCTAAGTCATTTATTAGAAAAGAGAGACCAAATCATTAATCTGGTTTAATTTTATAGTAGTCATTAGGAGCTACTTACACAGTTGAATTTTCCTTAAAAATGTTGTTTCTTAATTGAAAAAATACTCAGATGCTAAGTCTAAAAGATTATTAAAAACCATACAACTTATTCTCTGCTTTGTAAAAATTGCGTCATTAGTCAAGACTTTTAAAAAACTTGAATTATTTCTTTCTTGCAATTGATGATTATTAATTTTGAGAAACCGATACTGAGCAAAAGCGAATAGCATGCCTATCTTGCAAAAACTGAAGCTATTGTTTTTATTTTCCTAAGGCTTGCATTTTAACGTTCTTTTCTTTATACATTAATAACTCAATGAACAAGCCCTTTAGGAATGAAGTTTCATTATAACTCATTTGACTGATTTCAGACATATACATGTACATTAATCATGTGAAGCAGAGGTCCATGCATATGCTAATAGGAGATAAAAATATCTCTTTCAGCCGTGTTCACATATTACATCTACATGAGGGGCAGGCATAAAGATCATTCTGGAATATATGAAAATTGGTTAAATATGTCTCCCCAATCCCCATCCTTTCATTTTCTTCTCTATTCATTTCGCTGAATGGAGTGAATGACTTTTTGCTTTTAATCATTTTGGATAGTTAGGACTTTTGGGGAACATCAGAATGATATGGGCCTTATATTTTCCAATTTATAAGAACAAAAAGAGAAGGAGGAAGGGGATTCTTGCCTATATTGATTTTTATGCTGCAGGAGCCCTGGGAGCTCTCAGTGTGCACATGCCAACACACCCAGTAAATGAGCTGGTAAGCCTGTGTTGCTTGTAGTAGTATTTGAACTTCTCAGTGGTGCTTTCCCACTTAACCTTTATAGCGTCTCCGTATGTCCCGCCTCACTTCCTGGAGCCTTTCTCTGCCATTCTTCACCCTGTCTGAATGCGAGCTGTGCTTCTCACAGGAGACTGCTGCCTAATGTCACTGCCAGTCAGCTTCCAAACACCACAGGCAATATCACTCTTTTCACACAGCTTCTACCTCGGAAAATACAAAACTGAGGGAGTTTAAAAGCTGCACAATTTTTTTTTTCAATGTGAAAGTTAAGATACTGTAAGTGTCTTTGAGTACTTATACTTACTACTTATCTCTTGGGTGATACTTAGCACTTTAATGCATAATTTTTCTCCCACATAGGGCACTTCTCTTTTAATTTTCTCATTTTGGCAAGTTCATCTTTCAGAACTGCTAGATCACAGGAGATCATCATTGACAGACACTGAAATCCTCTTTGTTCTAAAGCCAAGTATACGACTAGACCAATGAGAATTAAGGAGACCTGAAAAGCTTTTGGTAAGATAGCATCAACATTCCCAGAACTTGGCAGGAAGGAAACTAGCAGGTGAAGACGTCCATTTCAAATGATTAGGGCTGGGGAGGGACCTCCTCAGGGTGAAAGTGGCCTTTCTAGCAGTTATCTCTGCTCCCACAACCAGCTGGAGTCTGGGCCCCCTCAATTGTCAAGTCCAAAATCTCCACCATTACACTGATGGAGAAATGGTTCCCACAGACTATTTGCCTTTAGAAGGTTATTATTAACATGCACATGTTATATATTATCTGAAAGCAGCCTGTCTCCACCCAGCTTCTTTCTGTAATACCAGTTGACCTCTGAATTAGCTAAATTAGCCTTTAAATACTAATAGCGGGAAAATCCATCAACTATAGGGGTGCAGTATGGGTGGGAAAGAAGTATACATCCTGGGTTGGGGGGTGAAGGCAAAATAATGATACTGGATCAAGCAGGACCAAGGTAGAATTTCAACCATAATAGGTCCATTGCCTGATGTTCATGGCAAGTCAGTACTCCAAGACACCAAGTTGCAGCGGAGAAAGAGGTTTAATCTTAGTTAGGGTCACTTAAAACCTCAAATCCATATCTCCATGAGGAGTTTAGGGCAAGGGTTTTTAAGGGTTTTGGGGTGGGCTGAAATTTGGAGATCATTGATTCATTGAGGAGTGCACGGTGATGTCATGGCACAGGGAGATGAAGAAACTGCATTATCATGTAGATTCAGTTCCTATGTGGAGGGTCACTGGAATTGGGGATTTGGAAAAAAACCTCTTAAGCAACTCCTAAACGAAAGCCTTATGATTCTAACGTCAGAGATCCTATCTATAAGAACAATGGGCATACAAATTAATTTTTAAACAGATTCTAACGTCAGAAATCCTATCCATCAGAAAAATAGGAATGCAAATGATCAGTATCTAGTGCTACCTGACTTTCAATTACAAGGAAGTGGGCCAAAGTGCAGCTTGATCAGTGGTTAATTATAGGTCTTTCCAGAATTTTTGTTAATCCTGTGAGGATGGCTTCAGGATAAGGAATTTTGGAGGCCAAGAACTTCAAGGGGAGAAAACCTTAAAAAAATTGCAAGATCCTAAGGGAAAAAGAGAACAGAGATGAACAGAGAGGGAAAGAGAAGAGCTGCTTGTTTCTGGACCCAAAGAATTGTTGAAGGGCAACTGAAATTTAATTGTGATTTTTGATTAATAATGTATTTTTTAATTCTTTTTTTTTTTTGCCCTCAGAAAATCAGGCAGAAAAGAATGTGTTTTTATTTTATTTTTATTTTTTTCAGATGGAGCCTCGCTCTGTCGCCCAGGCTGGAGTGCAGTGGCACAATGTCGGTTCACTGCAAGCTCCGCCTCCCAGGTTCACGCCATTCTCCTGCCTCAGCCTCCCGAGTAGCTGGGACTACAGGTGCCTGCCACCACGCCTGGCTAATTTTTTGTATTTTTAGTAGAGATGGGGTTTCACCGTGTTAGCCAGGATGGTTTCAATCTCCTGACCTCATGATCTGCCTGCCTCGGCCTCCCAAAGTGCTGGGATTACAGGCGTGAGCCACCGCACCTGGCCAAGAATGTGTTTTTTAAAGTAAATTTAAATGAGGAGCTCAAAGGTCTCTGAAGGTTGCTGTAGGTGTAGAGGCTCTTATTATATCTCTTAATTTTTCTCTCATAGAAATTTACTAGTAAGTGAATTATTACACTAGTCTGAGACTATTTCTCTTCCAGAAAAAGAGGAAGACAAAGATAAATAGGTCTTTTTGATTTTTGACAACTCCTTATGAACCTTTAGGACTCACATTCTCAGCCAAATATGAGACTAACCCAGAGAAGTATTTTGCTAGAGTGATCTGAATGGTTTAATGCTGAGAAGAATGGATTTAAGAAACAGGCAAAGAAACAACAACAACAACAAAATACAAAACAAACTCTAGAATCTACTGACTAATAATAAAATATCTAATGTCTTGCACTCTATAGAGTGCTTTCCCCAGACACATATTATCTCATCTGAAGTCCTCATGACAACAGCTCTGTGAGATAGATGGGGAGGAATTGTTCTTGTCTTACAGATATTTGAGGTTCATAAACAATAAGATGCTTGTTCAAGACCACACTGCCTCTCTGTGGCTGATCTGAGACTTGAACTAGATCTTTCAATGCCCAGTGTAAGATTTATATTCCACTTCTGCCCAAAGCCCTGGCAAACTTACATTTTCTTTATGGTACGTCATAGGAATCTTCAGAAAGCAGACTCAGAGACAGAATTTAGTGTTCAGGGAGTATTGTGGAGTGCCCTTGGGATCAACACTTGTGGAAGGGAGAGGGCAGGAGCTGAGCAGGCAGAGGGAGAAGTGAGCTGGAATACAGGAGCAGCAGCCTAGGCCAACGCCATGGAGAGATCTGGAGTGGAGATGACCCATCAGAGCTGCCATGCACTGGACTGCACTGGGCCAAAATGGCTGGGCCCACTTCATCACTGAAAGCCAGCTGCCCCTTTAGGAGGGCAGCTGGGACTAGTACTTCATTGAAGGGCCATGCGGTGGGTGGCACATCTCTGTAGCCACCACAAAGAACAAAGAGGAGGTAAGGTTGTGACTCATTCTGCTTAGCTTCCAAAAAAAAAAAAAGAAAGAGTCTGTAGTCATTTTAAGGTCAGTTAGAAGCTTCTGAGAATGCTTGCTGATAATGGCTATGTAAAAACAGAAAACTAGTTTACATTCTGCAGATCTCACCATTGTAGTCTCAGCATTGCTTATCTACATTCCAAAAGAAAAGAGGCTAAGCCTCTTTCTGAACAGGTGTTAAAGAAGAGTCAGAATAGAAGGCATTATGCTCAACATAAGCATAAGGCATACCAAGAGCATAAGGCCTGATTCCATCATCTGTGTCCCTAGAGCAGTACTTCTCAGTCCTAATGGGCCTGTACATCAGCTGGGGATCTTGTGAAAATGCAGGCTCTGCTTTGATGGGTCTGGGGGTTGGGCCCAAGATCCTGCATTTGTATCAATTTGATGCTCTTAGTCCTCTGGCCACATTTTGAATAGCAAGGCCACCCAGTTTCCTCATTCTAACTTGGTCTTCTTTGACCCAGTATCTTTATTTTGCCTCTACTCCACAAACCAGGGTGAGAAATTTATTCTCTCAAAGTTGTGGAGGCTAGAAATCCAAAATTATGTTGTTGGCAGAGCTATGCTCTTTCTGAAAGCCTTTAGGGGAGGATCCTTTTTTGTTTATTCCCCTTTCGGGTAGTTCCAGGCATTTCCTAACTGGTGGCAGTATCACTCCAGTCCCTGCCTCCATCTTCCTAAATATTTGGGAAGTGCTAATCAAGATTTCTAAAAATGGCCTATACCTTCTGACTCTTGATCCTTTTATTATGCTCTTTGCACTGTGTTTTGCTCCCTTTAGTGAGCCTGTCTCTTTCACCCCAAACTTCTCCAGAGCAGGTGTTACAGGAAAGGGGTCCCAATCCAGACCTCAAGGGAACATTCTTGGATCTCCTGCAAGAAAGAATTCAGGGCTAGTCCATAGAGTAAAGTTTATTCAGAAAGTAAATGAATAAAAGAATGGCTAGTCCATAGACAGAGCAGCGCTGAGGACTGCTGGTTGCCCATTTTTATGTTTATTTCTTGATGATATGCTAAACAAGAGATGGATTATTCATGCCTTCCCTTTTTAGACCATATAGGGGTAACTTCCTGACATTGGCATGGCATCTGTAAACTGTCATGGTGCTGATGGGAGTGTAGCAGTGAGGATGACCAGAGGTCCCTCTTGTCACCGTCTTGTTTTTGATGGGTTTTGCCCGGCTTCTTTACTGCAACTGTTTAAACAGCAAGGTTTTTATGACCTGTATCTTGTACTGACCTCCCATCTCATCCTGTGACCTAGAATGTCTTAACTGGCTATAGAGCCCTCTCCAGGATTGCTGTGGTTTGGTGAAAATGCAGACCTCTCTCTTCTGCTGTGTGTTCTTTGCTGGTAATTTAATGACACTCTGGTATTTTTGCTAGATAGAGATTGCTGATACTTTGGTTAGTGTTATAAATTTCCAATGTGCTTTAATTATAATACTTTTTATCAGTGATTTAGAACATAATCTTCACTCTTTTTCTTCGAATCTCCTCTCTTCTCTTAGTCCCTGAAGCAAATTCTGCCAAATAAAAGACTGCCGTTTGCTCAGCCACCTGGAAGTCCTTTCTAAGCCTAGACCAGAATTCTGCCCTCTGATGTGTCCCATTCTCGGAGCAGATTTTACTCCCTCATGTCAGTCACAGTCAAGGGTTTGACTTCACTTCCTATTAACCCTGTTTATAGCACCAGGAAGAAGGATATCAGACATACTCTTTCTTTTATGAAAGTCTAGTTTCACTGCAGATTACCCAAAAGTCCTCTATATGGTACATCACAAATTTGTAAAACAATCTTATCTGAATCTCAGTGTCTTTCTCTAGGCAGGGTTTTTATATTGTTGGATATGTTTTATTAACTGTTTATAATTTACACTTTCTAATGTGGTTTTGTGTACAATTAGATGGCAAGGAAGAGAATGATGGCTATGGGAAATTTATGGATACATCTATGCACATAAAGGCATCTTTCTCTATCCCGTGTAGCACGATCACAGCCATTTAAAACCCTTGAATCATTCTGGGTAACTAGATTGTGATTTTAAACAGCTCAGAAGTGACATTTTATGTATTAATACAACAAATAATTATTGAGTGTCTACTATGTGTTAGGGACTGTCCTAGACACTCATCTACCAGCCTTAAACTTTTAAATGATCTATTTTTCTAACACCTTCTACTTTTCCTTTTGCTTTATCCGTTCGATAGTACTCTGACGTGAATCTAACCTTTTCTTGGCACTGTGGGGCTGGAGACAACATGATGGGTTGAAAAGGCACTGTGTTGGAAGTCAAGAGAATTGGACTCTAGCTTCAGTTTTACTAAAAATTATTTGTGGGACCCTACATATTTCTTTTCAGGTTGTTTTATGTAAAAGTTCCTTGTAAACTGTAGAATGCCATAAACATTTAAAGCATCATCATTATGGACATTCATTTTAATACGGATAATAATACACATATTTCTTCAGTATCAACTAAAATATATGGAATTGTTTGCCCTTTGCTAAATGGACCAAGATTTCAGAGCTTTTAACATGTGTATATATGTGTTTATGAAGCAAGGTTGGGTAAATTGCGGATGAGGAGACTGGAAGAGACTCACCACTCTTGCAGATGTATTCTGGAGAGAGGTAGAGTGAATTTTCATACTGTTTTCCCTCTATTTTCAGAAAGACTTGTAGGGATAAGCTGTCTTTTAAAAAAATGTGATCATGCTAAAGGAAAGCCTGTAATTTTAAAGCTTTTCCTTTTGTTTCGTGCAGTTAAACAATAATGACCTTGAATAGAAGGCCCTTTGTTTAGCAAAGAATTCATATTTTGGATATGCAAGGTAGACCTAAAACTTAGTTTGAGGCAAGGGTGAAGAACAAAACTATTCTGCAGAAGGACTAACAGGATTTGGAGGTAGGAGACTGGCAGTCAGAGTAAGTAGAATGTGTGTATGTTTGTGTGTGGGTGTGCACCTGTGCCTAAGAGAAAAGCCCAGGAAGATGGAAACAATGTAGGCCTAAAATAGAGGTGGAAATGGCTGAACGAACTTTTAGAATATTTTATTTAAGTATTAAACTGTAATCCTTCATTAGCCTCAACTATCAGTACAAATCTACCATAAATGGTAGCTCTGTGTTCTTAATGATAATGGGGTTTGAGGAACAATGCACCCCTCCTCTAAGACTCCCTCTGCTATGCTGATGTGTTGGTGGAAGGAACATATTGAAAGAAGACTGAGGCAGTTAAGGCTGGCAGAAGCCCAGAGCCAGGGATCAAGAGAGAAAGAAAGATGCTCGCAGAACAGGAACTCATTTAGCCAATTGTAAATCCCCTGAAATTCCAAAGAAATACTGAAAAGACTTCGTACGTTATATGCTATATGTAAGGTGAGGGCTTGAGTCATCTACATTTTAATTTTAAAAGATGACATGATCACATAAAATATTATGAATTAATATAATCAATAACAATGTATGTACTGACAAAATTAAACCGATAAATCATATTTACATATGTCATATTTACACAAGGTCTTTTTGAAAAAAGGACATATTTACATTATGTCCTATTTACACAAGGTCTCTTTTTTAAAAGAACAATTGTTAAAGACACAAGATTTTAAAAATATTTTTTTTCTCCTCTACCAGAGGTAAGTCCTTTCTTGAAATAGGAGTATAGTCATGCACCACATAACAAAGATTTTGTCAATGACAGACCAGTATTTCACAGTGGTTCCATAGGATTATAATGCCATGTTTTAGCTGTATCTTTTCTATGTTTAGATATGTTTAGCTACACAAATACCATTGCATTACAATTGCCTACAATATGCAGTACAGTAATATTCTGTACAGGTTTGTAGCCTAGGAGCAATAGATTGTGCCATATATCCTAGATATGTAGTCGCCTATCCCATTGAAGTTTGTGGAAATAGACTCTGTGATATTTGCACACTGATGAAATTGCCTAACAACACATTTCTCTGAATGTATTCCAGGCTTTAAGTGATGCATGACTGTATATCATTACCATGTATTGGATATATACAGGATATATCATTTTGTGTATTTTAAATTTTTAAATAGATGATATATTTGTACACAATCCTTTGTAACTTTATTTTTAATCAATATTATGTCTTGACATTTATCTAATTTGATACATAAAATCATTTTAACTGTTCTATGATAATTGATTGAACAAACCATAGTTTATTAATCCATATTCCTACTACAGGACAGTTATTTCCACTTTTTTTTTTGAGACAGAGTCTTGCTCTGTTGCCAGGCTGGAGTGCAGTGGCATGATCTTGGCTTATTGCAATCTCTGCCTCCCAGTTCAAGCATTCTCCTGCCTCCGTCTCCTGAGTAGCTGGGACTGCATGCGTGCACCACCTCACCACTTTTGTGCTATTACAGTGTGGCATTCTATATATATATATATATATATATATATTTTTTTTTTTTTTTTTTTTTTTTTTTTGAGACAGAGTCCTGCCCTGTTGCCCAGGCTGGAGTGGAATGGCACTATCTCGCCTCACTGCAACCTCCACCTTCTGGGTTCAAGCGATTCTCCTGCCTCAGCCTCCTGAGTAGCTGGGATTACAGGTGTGTGCCACCATGCCTGGCTAATTTTTTGTATCTTTAGTAGAGAAGGGGTTTCACCATGTTGGCCAGGCTGGTCTTGAACTCCTGACCTCGTGATCCACCTGCCTCAGCCTCCCAAAGTGTTGGGATTACAGGTGTGAGCCACTGTGCCTGGCCACATTTAGTTTTTTAAAACCATCTGGAATTATTTTAATGTATCCCACAAAATCAGAATTTTATTTAATCTTTTTTTTCTATATGGATAATCCATTGACTCAGAACTACATATAAAGCAGCCCTTCATTTTCCCATTGATTTTTCCTCCAATATCCTAATGTGAAAAATATCAAACATACAGCAAAGTTAAAGTAATTTTCTGGTGAACTCTTGTATCTACACCACCTGGATTCTGTCATTAACATTTGCTATACTTGCTTTATCAAATATCTATTCATCAGTTCATCCTTCTATCCATTTACCAATTTTCCCTGTTTTTCATGCATTTAAAATTAAAATGCATGCATGATATACTTTCTCTTAAATATTATAGCATGCATATGTTAACTATAGTTCAATATTATTTACATTTTTAAATTTTCAGGTAAAATGTACAAGCAATAAAATGTAAAAATCTTAAGCGTATGTTTGCTGAGTTTCGGTAAAGGCATGCCCTTCTGTAGTTCAAACCTTTATCAAGATTAGAATGTTACCATCAACCTGGAAAGTTTCCTCATATACGTTCTCAGTCAATTCTCACATAATCTACTTAGAATTAATATTGCAGAATTTCATATGAAATGCAGAAATCTTGCCTAGGTTTATTAATTCTGCTGGGGTTTGCAAAGCTTCTTGAATCTGTCAATGTATGTCTTTCACAGACTTTGGGAAAATTTTGACCATTGTTTCTACAGAGGGCTTTTTCCCTTCATCTTCTCTCCCTCTGCTTCTAACACTCCAGTTACACATGTGTTAGCTCTTTTGATATTGACCTATAGGCTCCTGAGGCTCTTTTCATTCTTTTTTTCTACCTTTTCTTCATATTGAATAATTTCTATTGCTCTTTCTTCGAGTTTGCTGACTCTCCATGCTACTACAGTTTCATCCAGCACATTCTTTTTTCTTTCTTATTTCGGAGATTGTATGTTATAAGGGTGAAAAGTAGTCTTCCAGAAGGTATCTACATAAATCTCTAGAACATTTGAATGTTACCTTATTTTGGAAAAAAAACCCAGTCATTTCAGATGTAACTAAGTTAAAGATCTTGAGATGAAGAGATCACCCTGGATAATCTGGGTGGGCTTTTAATTCAATGATAAGCAATTTTGTAAGAGACACACAATGGCGATTTGCCAGACAGAAGAGGAGAAGGCATTGTGAGCACAGTGGCAAAGATTGTAGTGATGGAGCCGTAGACAAGAAATGCCAACAGTCATCAAAAGCTAGAAAACACAATGAAAGGACTCTCTTCTAGATCTCCAGAGGAAGTGTGGCCTTGCTGACACTTTGATTTCAGACTTCTGGCCTCCAAAACTATGAGATAATACATTCTATTGTTTTAAGCTAACCAGTTTGTGATAATTGTTACAGCAACCACAGGAAAGGAATACATTGTATTTTTTAGCTCTACAATGTCCACTTGGTTCTTTTCCTATAGTTTCTATTTCTCTGATAGGGTTCCCTATCTTTTCATTCATTACCAACATATTTTCTTTTATGTCAAGCATAGTTATAATAGCTTCTTTAAAATTATTGTCTGCTAATTCCAACATCTGAGTCACCTTAAGGCTGAGTTCTTTTGATTTGTATTTTCTCTTGAGAATGAGTCACACTTTTCTTGTTCTTTGCATGTAGAATAATTTGAGATTGTATTCTAAACATTGTGACTGTGATTTTATGGAGAGTCTGTATTCTGTTCTATTTTTCTGAAGATATTGAGTTTAAAAAATTAGACTCAATCTGCAAATGGTAGATTTTGTAGTACCTACTCAGCCATTACCTTTTCTACTGATTTTTAGGCTTTCTGTTATATACCAAGATCCTCTATGTAGATCTGTTTTTAGGTATGCTATTCTGACCCAATGGATTATTCATCAGTTCTTTCATCATTACCACATAGTTTTAGCATTTGCATAGTAGGTTTTTTTGTTTTGTTTTGTTTTTTTGAGACGGAGTCTTGCTCTGTCTCCCAGGCTGGAGTGCAGTGTCACGATCTCTGCTCACAGCAACCTACGCCTCCTGGGTTCAAGTGATTCTCCTGACTCAGCCTCCTGAGTAGCTGGGATTACAGGCACCCACCACCACACCTGGCTAATTTTTGTGTTTTTGTAGAGACCGGCTAATTTTTGTATTTTTACCACGTTGGCCAGACTGGTCTTGAACTCCTGACCTCAGGTGATCCCCTGCCTCAGCCTCCCAAAATGCTGGGATTACAGGCGTGAGCCACTGCAACCATTCTGCATAGTAGGTCTCAATGCCTAATGAAATGATTTCCCCTTGATATTTTTTCACAATTATATCTGCCATTCTTGACTTCTTGTTCTTCCATATAAGTGAGAGTCAGCTTTTGAAAATTCTATACAGTTTCCAGTTGGGATTTTGATTGGAATTACATCTTTTATTATTTTCAACACATTTCCATTTTTTTTTTTTTTTGTAGATTTGGGGTCTCACCATTTTTCCCAGGCTGGTCTCAAATTCCTAAACTCAAGAAATACTCTCATCTCACCCTCCCAAAGTGTTGGGATTATAGGTATGAGCCAGCACCCTTGGCTAAAGTTTCAATTTCTATCATAAGGTCTTGAATATCATTGCAATTTGTAATTTCTTCCTGGATATCTTATGATTTGTTGCTATTATAAATAGTTCTTTTATTAATCACATTTTCTAAAAGTTTGATTTGATTTTACTTATTGATTTTATGCCTAGCAAACATACTGAACTTTCTTTTTAATACTAATAGCTTATAGACTTTCTTAAATTTTTCTATTGAATCAATTGCATAGTCAATGAATACTGAGAGTCTTATTTCTTTCTTTTACTTATTTTTAAATCTTTATGTATTTTTTTCTGTTGCTTTTTGTATGGCCTGAGACATGCAGCACAACTTTGAATAGCAGGCCTTCTTGACTTATTCGTGACTTGTGAAGAAATGGTTGTAACACTTCCCATTAATTACATTGTCCTAAAAAATAACACTTTTATCATGTCAGGAAACTTTGCTTTCTTTAGAAAGAAAGTTTGTTACTTTATCTTTCTGTCTCTATTCTGTATGGTTTCCTCATGTCTACTTTAATAATGTTCTCTTCAGCTGTATATAATCTGCTTTGTAAAGTATCCATTGAATCATTACTTTTAATAAATATGTTTTTTATTCAAGAAGTTCTTTTTTTCCCAGCTTTATTGAGCTATGATTGACAAATAAAAAAATAAATATCTTTCAGGTTTATAACATAATGCTTTGTGCATATTTATTGTGAAATGATTACCACAGTCAAGCTAATTAATATATACAGTACCTCGCATAGTTTCCTTCAAGTCTGCTGTTTCTTTTTTATTTTCTGTCTGATCTATCCATTGTTGAAAATGAAGTATTGAAGTCTCTGCTATTATTATATTACTGTTTGTTTTTCCCTCAGCTCTGTTAATATTTGCTTTGTATGTTTAGGTGCTCTGACTTTGGGTGCATATATATTTATAATTGTTATAGCCTCTCGATGAATTGACCTCTTTACTATTATATAATGTCCCCTTTATCTGCTGTGACAGTATTTGAGTTAAAATCTGTTTTGGCTCACGTAAGTGTAGCCACTCCTGCTCTCTGTTGTTTACTATTTTCATGGAATATACTTTTTCATTCCTTCCCTTTCAGCCTATGTTTGTTCTTAAAGATAAAATGGGTCTCTTGTAGGTAGCATATAGTTGGATTAAAAGAATCCATTCAGCGGTTCTATGTCTTTTGATTGAAGAATTCAATCTATTTACATTTAAAGTAATTATTGGTAGGTAAAGACTTTCTATTGACATTTTATTCATTGTTTTCTGATTGTTTTGTAATTCCTTTCTTCCATTCTTGCTATCTACATTTGTGATATGACTTTATTTTTGGAGTGTTATGCTTTGATTCTTTTCTCTTTATCTTTTGTATATCTGCTATAGTTTTTGTTTGGTTTTGTTTGGTGTGGGATTACCATGGGGCTCCCATAAAACATTTTATAGTTATAGTAGTCTATTTTAAGCTGGGAACAACTTCATTTCAACTGCATGCAAAAGCATTACACTTTCACTTCTCATCTCCTCACATGTTATTTTAATGATGTCATAATTTATATACTTTATACTGCATATATTCATTAATCCTTTATTGTAGCTATGGTTATTTTTAATACTTTCATCTTTTAATTCTTATACGGAAGATAAAAGTCCTTTAAACACCACTATTACAATATTATTCTGAATTTGACTATATTCTTACTTTTACAGTGCATTTTATACTTTCATATGTTTTCATGTTTTAGTTAGTATTCTTTTGTTTCAACCAGAAGGACTCCTTTTAGCATTTCTTGTAAGGCAGGTCTTGTGATGATGAACTTCCTCAGCTTTTGTTTGTCTGGGAATCTTTATCTGTCCTTCATTTCTAGGCAGCTTTGCTGAGTATAGTATTCTTGGTTGGCAGTTTCTGTCTTTTAGTACTTTTATTATATCAACCCACCCTCTCCTGGTCTGCAAAGGTTTTGTGAGAAATCAACTGATAGTCTTATGGAAGTATGCATGTATGTGATGAATAGCTTTTCTCTAGCTGCTTTCAAAATTCTCACTTCATGTTTTACTTTTAAGAATGTGATTATAATATGTTTTGGTGAAAATCTCTTTATGTTTAATTATTTGGGGTTCTTCAGGCTTCAAGGATCTGAATGTTCATTTACGTGTCCAGATTTGGGAAGTGTTCTGACATTATTTCTGTAAAAATGCTTTCTGTTTATTTTGCTTTCTCTGTTCTTTCTCATACTCCTATAATGCATACATTGGTTCAGTTGATGCTGTCTCATAAGTCGCATAAGCGTTTTTCATTCTTTTTTTAAACATTTTTTCCTCTAACTGAATAATTTCCCACAATCTGTTTTCGAGTTCACTGACTCTTTCTTCTATTTGATCAAGTTCTGCCACTGAAGCTCTCTATGGAATTTTTTTAGTTCAGTCATTGTATTCTTCAGCCCCAGAATTTATGTTTGACTTTTTATCGCTTCTATCTCTATCTCTTTGGTGAACTTCTCATTTTGTTCATATATTGTTTTCCTGATTTCATTTAGTTGTCTGTGTTCTTGTATCACTGACTGAACTTCTTTAAGATGATTATTTTGAAATATTTGTCACATAGTTTCTAGATCGCGAATTCTTTAGGGTCAGTTACTTAGTGCTTTATTTTGTTCCTTTCTTGGTGTCAAGTTCCCCTGATTATTTGTGATCATTGTGGATTTATGTTGGTGTCTGTGCATTTGAGGAAGTGGGCGTCTCTTGCAGTCTTTGCAACTGACTTCAGCATGGAAAGCCGTTTACAAATCAGCCTGTCCAGGGATTCAGGCTGGAACAGCTGGCGAGGCCTATGAGCAGGTTTACTGCTGGAGTCCTTGGGTAGGCTGCCTTGGTGACTGATCAGTGGGGACTTGGGCCTGATACCTTGGTCCATAAGACATGGGCCTGGTTCTGGGGCAGTCCTGGAGCCTCCATATGTGGAAGGCGTTCTGGAGCTGAGGTAGGCTTGTATGGAGTCTGGGTGCTTGGGGGACTGGGGGTGCTGTGCAGCTGGCCTGGTGTTGGAGTGGGCTTGGAGCTGCAGGAGCTGGGCTGGCTGTAAGGTTCTTTGGGGCTGGTCTAGTCCTCTGGTCTGTGGCAAAGTTGGGTACTCACTTCACTCTCCTTCCCCCACACAGAGGGTATCTCCCTCTGTGCATGCTGCACAGGCTTGGGTCATGGGTGAATGATATGGGTAATATGAAACAGTCTTTCCTTCCCTCTTCAATGTGTCTTTTCTTATTTCTGTGTTCCACCCAGGTGCCATAATCTTTCACCTGGGTTCCTTAGCTCTTGTGAAGGTATCTTCATGCATGGATGGTAGTTCAAACTGATGTTTCTTTGAAAGGTAAGTGCTGAAAACTCCTATTCTGTGCTATGTTGTTAATGTCACTCCCAGATAATCTTTTTTTAAGGCATTATTCACAGAGTTGTGTTCATTTTATGGTTTCAATTTCTTTTGTAATTCTTAAATATTCTTAAAGAATGTATTTTGTAGATTTTATCAGATATTTCTATTACCTGAAGTTTTTTGTTTTGGTTTGGTTTTGGTTTTGATTCTCATTATCATTTTTATGTGTTTGTTGAATCTCACTCATGGTAGATTATTTCCTCATGATTTACTAATTTGGGATTAAGAATTCATCCTCTGTGAGACGTTACCTGTGAAAGTCTATAAAGGCTAATATAAGGATATAACATTCTGGACTAATATAAGGATATAACATTCTGGGAGGACTGAGTTGGGGATATGTGTTTTGGAGAAGATTATGTTTAGTTCTTCCAATTACAACAGAGGTATCATATCCTAAGATAAATTTTTAGGTAAATTTCTTGGCTTGGGAGTTTATAGACCACAGAAAGTCTAAATTTGTAGTACAAATCCAAATGAATGTCACACACACACACATATATACACACATATTCATGTATATGCATACATACTTTCTTAAAATATCTGAGCTTAGAAATAAGAAAATAGGCCAGGTACAGTGGCTCACGCCTGTAGTCCCAGCACTTTGGGAGGCCGAGATGGGTGGATCACTTGAGGCTAGGAGTTTGAGACAAGCCTGGCCAGCGTGGCAAAACGTCATCTCTACAAAAAATTCAAAAATTAGCCGGGTGTAGTGGCAGGCGCTGTAATCCTAGATACTTAGGAGGCTAAGGCATGAGAATCACTTGAACCTGGGAGGTGGAGTTTGCAACGAGCTAAGATCATGCCACTGCACACCAGCCTGGGTGACAGAGTGAGTGAGACTCCATCTCAAAACAATGAAAAATAAATAAATAAAATAGGAAAATAATCTTGCTAAAATTACATGTGAATTATAGAAAAATGGGTTCTGAGTAGATGAGGATCTTTGTGATGATTGAAATTTATGAGATAAAGACATATCTATCACTTGTTGAATAATTAATTAGTTTCAGGCTATGTGCTAGAGTATATTTGTTTACTTAGGGTAATTTTGTGAAGTGGTTATTATTTTTTATATTTTAAAGATGAATAAACTGAGAAGAAATGGTAGCATCAGGCTATGTTACTCAAAAGTCACCTCTTACTGAATACATTCATTGCTGTTTCTCCTCCTCTAGTAATAATTCTCTCACTTCCCTGATTTATTTTTTCATTTAGAACTTCTCATCCTCTACTGTATTATAAATTTTGCTCATTTTCCTTTATTATTGTTTGTCTCACCTACTCCCCAAGAATGAAAGCTCCATTTAGACAGGTTTATGTTTTTACTGTTATATTTTTTTATCACCTAGAATATTTCCTCGCATAGTGGGCACTCGATAAATATTTGTGAATGGATGAATAATTCAAATGAGATGCTCTGTGCTTTTTTTCTATACACATCTTGCTTCTAAACTTTAATTTATGAATCTGCGACAACTGTTTGTCTTTAGTTCCTTAAAGTCCTTTAAAAATAGTGGTTTTTTTTTTAAGTCAGCTATGTTCTGAGAAGGTGAGGTTGCCAAATAAATTAATTCCAATGTGTGACATGGTTCTGTGTATGTTTGTGTCTGTGAAAGCAGGCACTTGTGAATAAATAATGCTTGACTTCCAGCAAATTAAATGCTATTTGAAAGCATATGGCAATATATAAAGTACTGTTCAGGTGTGATGTATTGATACTATTATTATGTTGCTATATGAGGGTTGTCAGCCAGTTAGACCCATGTTACCAAGTTAGGGCACTTATAGCAAGCTGAAAGCATAAAAATGAATGTTATCAATCAGTTTGTTTTCTTATGCACTCAATATAAGTGTCCATCTTACTTTTGGCCTCCATCTTGTCTTGACACTGCCTACACAGAGAGAGGCACAAACACTGCCTACACAGGGAAAGAGAGAGAACAATAGAAATATAGAGGTAGGACAGAGACCAGGAGGCAAGAAAGCAGACTTAGAGGGATAAAGAGGTACATATGTGTGTTCATGTGTGTGCATAGTATGTGGTGAGAGAGCAAAAGAAAAAGGGTCAGAAATGTCAGCAAAGTATTTGAAAGAGAGAGTAGGAAGAAGAGTAGAGAAAAAAGATATTGCAATAAGAAAGAATGTGCTATGAATAAAATTGATAAGACTGATAAACATGCAGGACTTAATCTTTGAAGTCAAATCTACAGAAGTTCTACAGTTATCTTGCTATGGTCGTTGACTTAGTCTGTTTGTGTTGCTGTAAAGGAATACCTGATGCTGGGTAATGTATGAAGAAAAGAGATTTATTTGGCTCACATTTCTGCAGGCTGCACAAGAAGCATGGCACCAGCATCTGATTCTGGTGAGGGCTTCAGTCTGTTTTCACTCCTAGTGGAAGGCAAAGGGGAGCTGGCCTGTACAGAAATCACATGGCAATAATGGAGGCAAGAAGGGGAGGGAGGTGCCAGAATCTTTTAACAAAAGGCTTCTGTGAGAACAAATAGAGTAAGAATTCACTTCCTCAAGAATGGCACTAAGCCATTCATGAGAAATCCACCCCCGTTACTCAAACTCCTCCCATCAGGCCCCACCTCCAACACTGAGGATCAAATTTTAATATTAGACTTAACAGAGCCAAACAAAACATATACAAACCATAGCATTCCACCCTTGGCCGCCAAATCTCATGTCTTTCTCATATTGCGAAATGCAATCATCCCATCCTAATAATCCTGGAAAGTCTTAATTTATTCCAGCATCAACTCAAAAGTCCAAAGTCTCACCTGAGACTCAAGGCAACTTCCTTTCAGCCATAAGCCAGTAATATCTAAACAAGGATTTTACTCCCAAGGTACGATGGTGATACAGGCAGGAAAACAATGGTGGTATAGGAAAACAATCCCATTCCAAGAGGGAGAAACTGGCCAAAAGAAAAGGGTAACAGGCTTCCACACAAGTCTGAAACCCAGCAGGGCAGACAATAATCTCGAAATCTCCAAAATCATATCCTTTGTCTTCATGTCCCACATCTTAGGCACAGTGGTGTGAGGGGTGGGTTCCCAAGGCCTTGGGCAGCCGCATCCCCAAGGCTTTGCTGGGCAGAGCCCATGTGGCTGCTTTCACAGGTTGGAGTTTAATGCTTGTTGCTTTTTTAGGCTGAGATTGCATCATGCTGGTGACTCCATAATTCTGGGGTCTGGAGTGCTGTGGCCCTGCTTTCATGGCACCATTAGGCAGTGCCTTGGTAAAGTGCTCTCTGCAGGGCTCCAACTCCACATTTATGCTCTGCATTGCCTTGGTTGAGTCGCTCTGTGGGGGCTCCACACCTGCAGTAGGCTTCTGCCTGAGCATCCATACTTTTAGATACATCCTCTGAAATCTAGGTGGAAGGTGCCAAGCCTCCCCAACTCTTACATTCTGCACACCTTCAGACTTAACAGCACGTGGAAGATGCCAAGGCTTCCAGCTAGAGTGGCAGACCAAGTAGCATCTGGGGCCTTTTGAGTTGTGGCAGAGATTCAGGGAATATACTTCAGAGGTCAGCAGCACCTCAGGCCATTTCCCCAAAACCATTCTGTCCTCCTAGGCCTCTGGAACTGTGATGGGAGGGGTGGCCTCAAATGTTTCTGAAATAATTTTTGGGCCTTTTTCCCATTGTCTTTACTATAAGCCCCTGGCTCTATTTTATCCACACCGATTGTTCTAGCAAGTGGTTGCTCTGAAGCATCTTTGGATTCCTCACCTGAAAATATTCTTTCCTTTTTGAACATGCAGCCAGACTGTGAACTTTACAAATTTTTATGCTCTGCTTTCTTTTTAATGATAAGTTCCAACTTTAGTTCATTCCTTTACTCTTGTGTCTGATTGTAAGCTGTTAAAAGCATCCATGCCACACCTTGAATGCTTTGCTGCTTAGAAATTTCTTCTGCCAGATACTCTAAGACATCACTCTTAAGTTTGGCCTTCCACCAAGCCCAAGGGGACAAACACAATGCAGCAAGTTCCTTGCTAGGTGTAACAAGGGTGACTTTTGCTCTAGAGCCCAATAAGTTTCTCATTTCCATCTGAGACTTCCTCAATATTGCCTTTTCTGTCTATATTTCTATCAGCATTTTGGTCACTACCATTTAACCAGTCTCTAAGAAGTTCCAAACTTTCCCTTGTCTTTTTTCTTCTTCTGAGCTTTGTAAACTCTTCCAACCTCTGCCTATTACCTAGTTCCAAAATGGCTTCCACATTTTCATGTATCTTTATAGCAACACTCCACTCTTCAGTACCAGTTTTCTGTTTTAGCCCACTTATGTTGCTATAAAGGAATACCTGATGCTGGGAAATTTATAAAGAAAAGTGGTTTATTTGGCTTACCATTCTACAGGCTGTACAAGAAGCATGGCAGCAGCATCTGCTTCTGGTGAGGAACTCAGTCTGCTTCCAGTCATTGTGGAAGATGAAGGGGAGCTAACCTATGCAAAAATCACATTGCAAGAGTAAAGGCAAGTGGAGGTGCCAGACACTTTTAAAATAAGCAGCTCTTGTGGGAACTAATAGAGCAGGAACTTACCCACTTGAGAGAATGGCAATAATCCATGCATGAGGGATCTGCCCCGTAATCCAAAGACCTCCTGCCAGATCCCATCTTCAACATTAGGGATCACATATCAACATGAGACTTGGTGGGGCCAAACAAACCATATTCAAACCATAGCAGTTGTTTTCTTGAGGTGTGACTTTACCTGCCCTTGGAGATGATCTTGTTAGATAGCATGTCTGGCTCCAGGTGGTTTCACAAGGCTCATTTGTTGAATGAATAAATGAATGAGTGGATGACAACAGAATTTTAGATGATTGCATTTTGGAGGGATTCACTTTCTTGAAAATCTTATTACTTTTGAATTATGTATTATGTCCAACCCTTTTCTTATTGGCTTACAAAGAGCAGGGCTGGGTAGAAATAAGAAATTCAAAGGAGGTGAGGAACCAAGAATATCTAAGGGAGAGCATGAAATGCAGAAGATCGGACAATGACAACCAAAAGATTTTCTGTTTCAAAGCAATGGAATAATACAGCACTCTAAGGTTATTGCCTGTGACATAAAAACAAGGAAGATGCATCAATTAATACCACTGCCTCAAACAACCATCATGTGAATTGAGATTTTTTACTCCACTACTCAGTGCTTCTTCAGTAGGGTCTGTGAAACTTTTCCTTAAGATCACCTTCTAGATTTCATGCTCTTAGTTGACATGTTTGTGCCTTATGATTTGGTCCAGGAAAAAATAAAGAAAAAATAAGAAGTTAGGAAATGTATATATGGACCCACCAGGGTTCTCATCTCCCCTCTCCAGCCTGGGCCACTTATTTATTTTAACCTTTTGGAATTTTCTATCCTGTTTAATAAAAATCCCCCCTCCCAAATTTAGGTGGGTCTTGAACCCATTTGTTAAATATATAAAAATCTATTGCTTTTAGATGCATTTATGAGAATAGCCTATTTTCATCAGGGAGGATAGAATTTCAACAACTACATTAGTATATAAACATATATAATTTTTTTTTTTTTTGAGATGAAGTTTCACTCTTGTTGCCTAGGCTGGAGCACAATGGCACAATCTCGGCTCACTGCAACCTCCGCCTCCCAGGTTCAAGTGATTCTCTTGCCTCAGCCTCCCGAGTAGCTGGGATTAACAGGCGCCTGCCACCAGGCCTGGCTAATTTTTGTATTTTTAGTAGAGATTGGGTTTCACGATGTTGACCAGGCTGGTCTCAAGCTCCTGACCTCAGATGATCCAACTGCCTCGGCCTCCCAAAGTGCTGGGATTACAGACATGAACCACCGCTCCCAGCCATAAATATTTTTGGGGCAGGGTTTCACTTTGTCACCCAGGCTGCAGTACAGTGGTACCATCATGGCTCACTGCAGCCTCGACCTCCTAGGCTCAGGTGATCCTTCCACCTCAGCCTCCTGGGTAGCTGGGACTATAGGGGGTGGGCACCATGCTGTCTAATTTTTTGTATTTTTTTGTAGAGATAGGGTTTCACCATGTTGCCTAGGGTGGTCTTGAACTCCTGGGCTCATGCAATCCACCCACCTTGGCCTTCCAAAGTGTTGGGATTACAGGCATGAGCCACCGCACACCTGCCTCAACAAAACTTATTGTATAATTTTTGGATCAGATTAAAAAGCGAGTGTCAAGATTTAGTAAGAAAAGTCAAAATAAGTTCACTCTAATTGTATTTATGTTTTTAATAGAGATTTTTACAAATGAACTTATCTATGACAGCTGTAGACAGGTTGAAGTCAGGGAGATCTGTATGGAGGGCAAAGATCAGGGAGCCAAGAGTAAATCTCCAGAAATTTCTACATAAGTTTAAGGGCCAAGAGGAGAAAGGGAAGTTCATAAAGATGTGAGAAAGAAGAGCCAGGGAAGTGGTTCAGAACAGAAATGAATGGTATCCTTCATTCCAAGAGAGGAGTTTAGAGATTGAGAAAATGGACATCAGTAACTAATTCTCCAGGGAGGCAAAGTAGCTGAGGAAAGGCAAATGCTCACTGGATTGTCGTCCTGGCAACCTTAATGAGGACAACAGGCTCCCACACAAGTCTGAAACCCAGCAGGGCAGACATTAATCTTTAATGTGGTGTGGTGGTGTGGTGAGTGTGGAAGCCACATTCAGTTGGTTGAGAAGTCAAAGTGAGGTAAGATGTTGATGACAAAGAGCTTATCATTATTTCAAAATGTTTAGCTGTAAAGAGCATTTGAGAACAAGACAGAAGCTATAAGAAGGTGTCGGGTGGTAGGAATGTCTTTTTAGGTGTGAGAAATGTGAGCATTGAGAGCTGAGGGGAAAGAGCCAGTAGAGAGGAAGAGAAGTTGATGATACACAGGAAAGGGTGTGTTGCTGATGGTGCAAGACTTGAGATAGGCATCAACCTTGGTTAAGAACCACATGTTCTATCCTGGTTCTATGGGGAAATTAAATAGTTATCTCTTTATCCTACAACACTTTTCCCAGGAATATACCCACTCATACATGCTAGACATTCCCGTGCATTTACGTCTGGTTTAGAGAATAATGTAGGCAGTAGTAGACCTACACTTATGTGAAGAGACTAGTCTGTGATCTGTGGTAAAACGATTGCATGTTAATCTTCCTGATCTCTGCATTCCTAAATTTTGCTAGCAATAGGTTACCTAATTTTTACCTGGTGCTTACTGTTGTTCTTTGGTTAGCTGCCATGGTTTAGAAAAGCTTCATTGTCTGAGGTTTGCTTCAGCTTTCTTTTCACAGCAGAATGGGGTCCCGTAAGCCTCCCCTCAAAGGACTGGTTTTCTGAACATTGGTGCCCTTTGCATTGACTCTTCATGAACAATGTGTAATATCCCAGGGGAATTGAGAATGGAATGATCTTTGCACTTGATGTAAATTTTTAAATGCTTACCACTTGGACCTTCAGCATGTGGTTTTATCCACAAAACGGATTTTGACAGACAGGGGACCAGTCATCTGTTTATGTGATTTGATCTTAAGGAAACTCTATTACAGATAAGGGAAGAGATGTAAAGATATTTGTCTGAGGTCATGTAAGCAGTTGATGGTTGAACTAAAACTACAGCTCCAGCCCCCTGCCTTTTGACCTTTATTTCCTTACCTTAAATGTGTGTTGCCTATAGCAGCAAAGGGTATGGTTTCCATTAAAAATAATTGCTGAATCAAACACCCTAGCATCACGAATTCAGAAATTTGTGAAACCAGTAAAAGCATTATTGATTCTCAGGTGGTCTAGAAATAATTTTTTCTTATATTGAAGCCACTTATGAGCTTATAACTCAAAATAGTTATGAGTTTGCTTAGAACTTAGAGGTAAGAAATGTCACCATGGGCTTCAGACAGCAGAAGGTTCACATTTCTGGATGTGCAGTTTTGTAACTTGGCCTTATTCTTCCCAATTTCTTCATTTTTAATTTACTTCTTCCGTATGCGGGATGTGGGGAAATATCCTGAAGACAATTCTAATGAAATACGTTGAGTAATAGGTTCTATTAGTTTATAGGGCTTTAGGAAGTATTTCTCAAGGACTTCGAAGTCTCCTACTGAAAAGCCCTTTAAAAAGAGAATAGTCTAATTTCATTTAATTTTCCTGGCTCAAAAATGAAAATGATCATTACTAAATATGCATCTTACATCCTGCATAAACAGAATGTCAGAAAACTGATATATAGGCCGGGTGCGGTGGCTCACGCTTATAATCCCAGCACTTTGGGAGGCCGAGGCGGGCGGATCACGAGGTCAGGAGATTGAGACCATCCTAGCTAACACGGTGAAACCCCATCTCTACTAAAAATACAAAAAATTAGCCAAGCGTGGTGGTGGGCACCTGTAGTCCCAGCTACTCAGGAGGCTGAAGCAGGAGAATGGCGTGAACCCAGGAGGTGGAGCTTGTAGTGAGCCGAGATTGTGGCACTGCACTCCAGCCTGGGCGACAGGGTGAGACTCCGTCTCAAAAACAAAAACAAAAACAAAAACCTGACATATAAACAGGCAAATATATAAGCAGATCTTTGTAATGGCTCTCCCTTTCTTTATTCAACAGGGTAAGGGAATAAGGAAATACAAATTCTTATCTTTAATTAATATTTTGTTTCTTGAGTGAAGTTGTCTAAGGCAACTTTGTAAGTGCCCATTTATGCTACATTGAAAACAATGAAAAAGGAATGTGCCTTAAAGTATTTCTGGTTAATTTTGGAAGATATATTTCTGTCAGCTCCCCTTGGGCCATTTATAAAATAATAGGTTAGATATGATTGGTGACACTCTATGGTTTCTCCTTTCTATCATGTGCACTCTCGGGAGCTCTGTATTGCTTACTAACTTGAGGATGGTAAGGTAAGTCTTTACCTTGGGTGAGATAAAGTCTTGAAAATGTAGCATGAGCAAATCTGTAGCAAATCACCAAATATGAATTCAATCTGGCAGCAGAGTCATCCTTAAGAGATAAACCTTGGGGTGATGGGCCTGCTTTTGTGGCTTCATGATGCCATGGAGACCTGCTGAATGGAGCTGTGGAGCTGGGGTGTAGGGTAGGGTTGGGGAAAGGTGATAGTGCTACCTGTACATAAAGCTCAAATAAATATAATTTATCCTGAAGCTCCTGACCATCAAGAGGCATTTCAGCAATTGCAATGGACATGAACTCTTTTGATAGAATAGTTTATGTCGATTGCAATTTCTGAAATAGCCTACTGAATTAAAAAAAGCTATGAAAGCTATGAACAAAAGCCTCTAGGATGAAGCAAAGTTATGTAAACTATCTTATCAATGTCTAACACAAATAAAACACATACCCTTTTTCTGTACACTCGTCTGAAGCTCCATATTGATTTTTGGGGGTATTTTTTTCTTATCCTCTTCAAGACATCAGTCATATACAGATGCATAGTTAGGATGTGGAGCAGATGATTTGCCCACACCCTCTCCCACTCAGAGATGGCACCGTCTGTGGCCTCTGAAATTCTGCAGTGACATTTAATTGATGCTTAGATTGTCATGGAAAATGGTTCATGGACACAGGTGATATTTTCATAACCACACAGAAATACCATGTTTAGAAAACAGGCTTGGCCTAGCACAAAAGTTCTCACTCAATCCACATTAAAGACTATTATTTACTAAAATAATACAAATTTCTAATGGTTTTCTATTTGCAGAGCAGTACAGAATAAGACTATAAATTACCAAGCTATCAGATATGAAGTTCATGCTATTTGTTGGCATGTTGCTGACCTATGTAGAGCTCCCATTTTTCCATACAGCTGCCACCTTCCCCAAAGCATCTGGTTGCGTGCCTCTTCTCATGCCCACTCACTGCACTACAGTAAAGTGCGGGCTCTTACATGGTTCCCAAAGACTTGGTTCATGGACCACGGATGATGCTTTTCAAGAACGGGAGACACACATTGGTGCTAAAATTACAATACCCTAGGCTCAGGGTCTACCCCTTATTTATGCTCCTGGTGTTAGAAAATGTATTAGGAAATAAATCGTAAGATGATCAAGGACTGGCAAAGACATCTGATAAAATGTCAGCAAACCTGGAAAACAAGTTAGGAAGCAATTCATCATACTGAAGAAACAAGATGGAGAAAAATTTAAAGCCATAAAGGAAAGGGTAGCATAGTCAATGAGTGGGAACATTATTTCTAGAATCCTAATGAAAATCTTTTATTATACATGAGAAATATCTTACTTGATCAAAATGAATGAACTCACGTTATGATTTTAGTCAATAGTGAGTAATAACAAGTAAATTACCAGAATGGCTGAGACCCATAAACTCTGAATTTCTTTCTCTTCTGGATGCTACTGGATAAAGGGTGTCCATTTAATATGTAATAGGAGGTATTGTGGTGGTCTTAGTCAGCTGCTTACATTTTATCTCATTAAAGGAACTCAGAATGAAGTGAACAGTGAAGAAATTAAGTAACTGCCTCATGCTGTGGCAAAAGGGGAAGAGAGAAAAATATAGGATGTGTCTTGTGAACTGAAATGCTGTGTTTCCTGGCTGTATTCTTTATCAGGAGAAACATGCTTAACAGTCAACAAACCCCATCCATGGTCTTTGTTAAGCTTAAATTAATATATGGACAAGTGCAAAATATAATTTTATTTACCCAGTTCTCATTTTCACATATAATTTTTTTCAGTTTCGTTTTCAAAAAACCACCCCAAACTTCATTGCTTTTTTGTTAAAAACAATGAGAACAAAACCATTGTGAGTATGCAAACAGTCCCAAATAAAACCATAATTCTTGAATCCCATTTAACACTTCTTATCTGCATATTTTATGAAAGCAGAACTTGCCAGCAATAGGGATACTGCTCTAAAGAAATTATACTTTAAGAATATTAAAGTGTACTTTTTAGCAGTGAAAGTGTCCAATTTGTTTGTGCCCTGGGCAACCTTCAGAAAAATATCTTAAGAATTCATCTCTTCTGATATTAAATAAAATCCAAAAGGCAAATGGTATGAGGCTTCATCAGTGTGACTCTCTGGTCATAGGTTAGACATGGTAACCTGGTTGGAAGTTCTGTTTTCAAAGTGGCTACTCCACCGGCCTTCACAGAGGAGGACTTCGGGTAGATGAATATTTTGGAAATCCTTTGCTATCAATCCAGCAGGATGCTGATGGTTTTATTTGATATTGAAAAGGCAAGGAAAGAGTTGTTAGATTTCTGTTATTATGGCCACACTGGAATCAGATGTTGTGAGTGTTTCTATTTCATGGACAGTGCAACCCGATGTGAAAGACCACACAGTGCCAACCTGTGGTCATTTGTTGGTGGGTTGTGTTGATTAGCTAGAGATCAGCTGCACCTCAGCCCACTATACACGAATTCACATGTGCTTTTCAGGCATGTGGGGTGAGGAGAGGAACCTTTGGTGCTGTCCTCAGCATGGTTGGTAGATAGTACAGCTGCCATTGGAATGCAGTGACAGGAGCCATTCTGCTGTGCTCTCTGTGCAGAAAGGCTTGCCGTTGGTAAAGATGAAAAGCATTGCAGATGTCATCTTCCAAAAGCTGTCCCCTGTTTTAGGTAGTCCACTGAAAGTCCAGTGATCCAAAATGATTGCTAGGAAACTGGTTTCATTATACTGTCTCCAAGTGTTATTTTGTTCAAAACCCCAAGTTTCAGGGAAGAGGAGTCCTCTATCCACACAATGGATGTAGATAAACTTTTTTTTTTAATTTTGAAAATTGATTTCCTCTGATGTTTGTGCAGCAGCTGTTTCAACTTGTCCTTAAAAAAGTTGGTTGTGAGAGTATAGAGGATTGGATTCAAAGCACTGTTAACTGGAAGGAAAAAAATCACTATCCAGGAAGTCATTGTGTCTGGAAAAGGAAGCAAAGTGTGAAAAAAAAGTTGAAGTTTTAAATAGACATAAAATACAAATAACACTTTGCAGTCAATGCTATTTATGAGAGGGAGACATAGTACATTTTAAGTTTTCTCTCACCTGAAGGAAAATCTTTGTTGGAAGAGCACAGAAGCTATGAATTCAAGGTCTTAACGATTTAACTTTTCTGAGTTTCAGTAAATAATGTGAAGGTCATTGTGATATTAACAGGAAATATGTGAAAACATTTTGTAAACTATAAATTGCTATATAATGCATTTTTTCCTATTTTATCACCTTCCTTTATAGGAAAATAAAAAAATAAAGAAATAATCTTTAGTCAATAGAGTGAGGTTCACAAAACTTCTGGTCCCCTGGACCAAGCCAGATCTGACCTTGGTCTTAACTCCATCCAGTTCTCAAAGCTTATTGCCCTGCCCTGGTGTTCTGGTTATCCTGTTATCCTATTAAAAGCTTTGAAGAGCAAAGAGGAATGCATTCCCTAAACTTGATGAAATTCTCTTGTGTGCAGCCCTACAAATGCTAATAGAATATTCAGGGAAAGAGGTCACAAGAAGTTCTTTGTGAGGTGAAATTTGGAATGATAGTGTCCTTCCTGAGAGCATCATTTCATTTGCTTGGTTAGCACAAAATGCATCTTTCCCTTTACACGTGGCCTGATCCTGTGGCCGGACACTTAGCTAGGTTGAGTGTGAGCGAATCACTTATGCTTCCTCAACTTCATCTGCTCTCTCTGTTAAAGGGGGCTGGTGATAACTTGCTCACTGAATCCAGCGGGCTGGGCCAGAGTCAGCTCTGCTGATGTGCTTTTTTGGTACTAAGACTTGAGATCCTCAAACCTTACCACAGGACGCTACTTCCTCTCACATCTTCACAATTTCAAGGAACTCCCCATTCAGGTGAAGAGGTGGCTAGTAAGACCCATGATGCTTTCTCTCATCATCCTCTGCTCTCCTCCTTCGCAATCTCATAATTTTTTTTATCCTTCAGCCACTGTTATTTTGTTCTTCTCTTGACCCTGCCTTATTTCTTGTATCTTTCTGTTCTTCCTCTCTATGTCTTCTTCCTTTTCCATTTCTTCTCTGACTGCTTATCTGACCTTCCTTCTTCTTTTCCTTTGATCTCTTTCCTCTCCTTTTCTATATTTACCTTCCTCTCTTCCTATCCTATCTTCTCTTCCTTGTCCTTATTTTTTAACTGAAAGGAATATGAAAGAAAAAAATTATGTTTTAGCCTGTCTTAAATTAAGTTTTATATTATTTGTCCCTAATTTAAAAAAATTAGACAATCTGAACAGTTAGTGATTGAAGAAAAACAAAATAAGTGGCCTTTTTCTGTTGTGCCCACAAAGGGAATTGTGATCACGAATCCCACCCCAATCTCACAGAAAAACAATGCCTGATAGTGCCTGCTTTCAATTAGGCAAAGGCAAATAGGCCACGTAAGTTCCACTCTGAATGAAATCAGGCATGTTCAGGGTGGTATGGCCATAGACTTAAGTTCTACTCTGAATGAGACTTCTTTTTGTTTTTGTTTTGTTTTGTTTTTGAAATGGAGTCTCACTCTGTCGCCCAGGCTGGAGTGCAGTGGCACGATCTCGGCTCACTGCAAGCTCTACCTCTTATGTTCATGCCATTCTCCTGCCTCAGCCTCCTGAGTAGCTGGGACTACAGGCACCTGCCACCATGCCCGGCTAATTTTTTATATATTTTCAGTAGAGACGGGGTTTCACCGTGTTAGCCAGGATGGTCTTGATCTCCTGATCTCGTGATCTGCCCACCTCGGCCTCCCAAAGTGCTGGGATGAGACTTCTTATAAGATTAGCAGCAGCTGAGTTCTGAGATAGGCTAACTCTGGCCTATCTTTTGGGTGACCCCAGGTACTGTCAGTGGCATGCCATAACCAGTAAATGCCAGACTTCTTGGAGGGTGGGGACAGGGTTGGTTTAGGTCAGTGAAGGCAGCATTTCTTACAACGCCATGGGAAGCTGGGCAAGCGAGAAGAAGCTTTGTCAACTGTGATCATGACATTTTTCCTGGTTCCACTGAGGTGTTCAAGACAAACCTCAGACTATTGAACTATACATGTAAAGAAAGACTGGTGTGTGGCTCAATAATGTTTCCACAAGACAATGTTCTACTCTTCTAGTTCCCTTCATGGGGGTATTTACTAAGCTTATCATGATCTGAGGTGTCGTAGACTCGCTGAGGATGATGAGTTCTGCTGCCATGTGAGGACACAGCAGAGCGGACGCCTCCTGTGAGGCAATGAGAAGGGCTCAGGAGAAATCAAACCTGCTGACACTTTGATCTTGGACTTCCAGCCTCCAGAACTGGACGTCCTTTGTTATAGCAGTCCTAGTGGCCTCATACAGACAGAAAAAGCCTCAAAGAAGATTAAAACAGGCAGGAATTTGAGGGACCATCTAGAGGTAGTCTCATTGAGGTGAGGTGAGATGGTCTCCCTGAGATCACTCAACAAGTCAGTGGCAGGGGCAGGAGAGGAACCCAGGACCTCCGCCTTACTTGTTGCTGGGTCCTTCTTCCACCACACTAGGCTGCGTCCCCCTACAAGTGGGAAAGCACATCAAAAGGTGTGGAGACGGGGTCAGGCTTGGTGGTTCACGCTTGTAATCCCAGCACTTTAGGAGGCCAAAGCAGGGGGCAGATCACTTGGGGTCAGGAGTTCGAGACCAGCCTGGCCAACATGGTGAAACCCTGTCTCTACTAAAAATACAAAAATTAACGAGGTGTGGTGGTGCACTTCTGTAATCCCAGCTACTCGGGAGGCTGAGGCATGAGAATCGCTTGAACCAGGGAGGCAGAGGTTGCAGTCAGTTGGGATCACACCACTGCACTCCAGCCTGGGCAACAGAGCGAGACTCCATTTTTTTTTTTTTTGAAGAAAGTGTGGAGACAGTAGTGGGGAGGGGGTTGATGAGACTGATCCCCTATTCCATCACTCTTGGACCAGCTCACCTTCTTTAGTTGACTAATCATTTACTCAAAAGCACTATGTGAAAAACACTGTGGAAAATGCACAGAAGAATAAGACATACACGCCTCCCCAAGCTTATCATCTGAAGGACACAATGGACACACTAAGAAATAGTGTCGCTATGAGGCAGTTCACATGAGGCCAATAAACCTGGTGTAAACAAACCATCATGGATGTTTAAGCAACTGGATTGCATGAAAGTGGGGTGAGAAGAGATCGAAAATGGCACTGCACCATAGAAGAGGGAGTATTTGGGTTGAGCCTTGGAGGATGGGAAGTGGTGTTTAGTACGCTAAAATCTTAGAAGGTGAAAGTATAATCCAGGTTGGGGGGACAGCTTCAGGAAAGGCTGGTGTCTTCTCAGAAAAGCATAGAAAACAAAGCCCAATCATTCCAGTGGGCCTGGATCACAGTGTACGAGGGTGGGAGGTAAGAAATATTATAATGCTCATCCCAGCACTTGGACTTTGTTCCATGAGCAATGGAGGCCAACGGACACTTTTGTCCTGCTGAATTTGAAAGGTTAGGGTGTAAAATTGAGATGTCCAGGTAGCAGTAATAGATTGGAGGCTGTTCATCAAGTGAACAACTGTGACTATTAACATTTAATTATCTCTGTTCTTCACGTGCAACTGGGTCTCCCCACATGACCTCCCACAAAACCCTCTTATGGCTTCTTCTTTCACCACCCAGCAAAGGCTTCCAAGTATTCAGCCCTGACCTGATCTCCTTCCTAATTTTCACTTTCGTATCCTACACGGCCTGAGGAGCATCTGTGCCATGTGGAGACAGAACTGATAGCTTAAGAGGATGTTGTGAATGTTGTGTGGTATTTTGCAGCAAGATATTTGACATAGCCTCACAACTGAGTGCACAGGAGGGACATAGGTTGTTACAGCTGTTTATCGTCTGTGCATTCATCACTCTTTCATAAGGGCTATCAAAGTATCAGGCATCCTGCTTGACACTGAGGAGTCAAGATGTATAAGACACAATTACTGTCTTGGATCAACTCCCAAGTAGATCTGCTATCGGCTGGAACAGTAGGTTGACGATGATTCCAAACTATTTTACTGAGAGTTAGGTTAAAGCCCTGGGTGGTGGCCCCTAAATAGCTGTGATCTCTAGATTCCAGAAGGGGCTTCAGATGAAATTCTGCTAAGGAAAGGTGATTTTCTCTGGTTGAAGTAGAGGTGTGTTCAGGGAATTTGGCCTTTTGGAGGAGACTCTTTCAGGAAATATCTCGTGCTCCGCAGAGCCCAGCATGACATTTTATGGCTAGGACCATGGAATAGAATGGTGGTTCTAGCCAGATGAGTGTGCATCAGAATCACAGGGGAATTTTTACATAACATCCATCTATAGGTTTTAGCCTCTAGAGACAAAACAGTCCCGGGTGGAACCTGGGCATGTATATTTTGATTGTTTTATGCATACTCCTAGTGAAGAACCAATGTCTTGCTCAGATAGAAGCAAGATACTCAGACTTAGTTTCTCTGTAGCTCCTGCTTTTTATTATTCCTGGTTGGATTGCACCACTACTCAGTTTCTATTTTATAATACTGATTATAAAACATGGAGGGAAATAACTTTGTATTGGTTTTTATGAATAATTTATTATGTGTCCTAGACTCTGGCCTTGTCAAAAGAAGGACGTAAGAAGGCACGATGTATTATACTTGGGAATGATAGAAGAGACTGACCTGGTATTTCCACCCGGAAGAGGGAAAGGATTTTAACTACAAATACAGGAATCCAGCAGATGGCATCAGAGAACACTATAAAAAAGAAACGATTTGCAACAGCCACCTCTCTTCCAAAACAATTCCTTACTTCTGTGGTCTGCAAGGCGGTTTTTTGAATGGAACAGAACATAGTAATATAGGAAAACACAATGATGAGAAAAGCCAGCAAGTTCACACCTGTTGGGAAAAGCACACTTTTAACATCTCAGGCGTAAAAGTCAACAGTAAAATTACTGTGGTACAGGTTGAGTATCCCTTACCCAAAATGTTTGAAACCAGAAATGTTTTGGATTTCGGATTTCGGAATATTTACACATTCATAATGATATATCTTGGAAATGGTTCCCAAGTCTAAACACAAAATTTATTTATGTTTCATATACACCTTATACACATAGTCTGAAAGTAATTTTGTACAATATTTTAAATAATTTTGGGCATGAAACAAAGTTTGCATACATTGAACCATCAGACAGCAAAAGCTTCAGGTGTGGAATTTTCCACTTGTGGCATCATGTTGATGCTCAAAAAGTTCCATATTTTAGAGCATTTCAAATTTTGGATTTTCAAATTACAAATGCTTAACCTGTACTTAGATGTTAAATACAGTGCCTCTTCCACGGGCACTTCCAGGAAGCATTCTTTTATATAAGCCCAGTGGTGTTAGGTAAAACCCAGGTTCAAGGGAATAAAAACAAAGAAATTGGGTTCACCAGATGAAAAAGAGATTTCAAATACATAAACCCTTATGAGGAATTATAGACTTCTAAAATTCAGATCTAGGCATATCATGAAGTAAACTCTAGCTCTTTTAAAGCATGAAAAGAAGCTATTTTTGTTTTCAGCTCTCTGCAGATTCAAACCTTAAGGGATTACTGTAATCATATGCACATCTCAAAAAATAAAAACAACCCCATTTTCTTATCCTATAAACATGAATAATAAAAGAATAAAAATAAATAAAAATAATTTTAATAAATGAATAAAATAACCTTGGAATTTATCATGAATATAATTGTCTGAGAAACATTATTCCTAATGTTTTTGGTCTTAAGAATAACACATAGTTGGGAGGCCGAGGCGGGTGGATCATGAGGTCAGGAGATCGAGACCATCCTGGCTAACAAGGTGAAACCCCGTCTCTACTAAAAATACAAAAAATTAGCCGGGCGCGGTGGCGGGCGCCTGTAGTCCCAGCTACTCGGGAGGCTGAGGCAGGAGAATGGCGTGAACCCGGGAAGCGGAGCTTGCAGTGAGCCGAGATTGCGCCACTGCACTCCAGCCTGGGCGACAGAGCAAGACTCCGTCTCAAAAAAAAAAAAAAAAAAAAAAAAAAAAAGAATAACACATAGAACAAAAATGTATTTTTGTTTATTTTTCTTCATGTTTCTTACAGTAAATTAAACTACTGTGGTTCAGAACCTTTAGACTAATTTTATTAAAAAAAAGAAAAAAGTTAAAAATTCAACTATGTGAATTATTCTTTTGGGCCCAAATATATTCACAAGATTCCCACCTAACATCACTATTACCTTTCATGCTGACTTCTTAGTCACTCTTTGCTTTATTCTTGCTGTCGCTAAAATCCTGAGTGATCATCTCATTTCTCACAGTGAAAATAAGACTTGCATATATTTTCAAAGTTGTTAAAAAATATGAATCTGAACCTAGACTGTATGTAAGATTGGTGAAGTCTAGGGTAAAAATACTTTAAATTCAAGGTGATCTGTTATTTTTATCCAAATCATTTCGTATTCAATGAAATCATAGTATAAAGCCATACGGTAAAATTTTATAAAACTAGTTGTCTTAGGCCTCTTTCCAAAAAATTTAGTTAAGCGTAAAAGATAATCACTCTGTTAGAAAATGCTCCCCTGCCCCAAATTCTGATAGCAGACTTACAGAAAGGATCAAAAGTGTATGTTCTAGGCTGGGTGTGGTCACTCACACCTGTAATCCCAGCACTTTGGGAAACCGAGGTGGGCGGATCGCTTGAGGTCAGGAGTTTGAGACCAGCCTGGCCAACGTGGTGAAACCTGGACTCTACTAAAAATATAAAAATTAGCGGGGCATGGTGGTGGGCACCTGTAATCCCAGCTACTTGGGAGTCTGAGGCGAAATAATCACTTGAACCTGGGAGGCGGAGGTTGCAGGGAGCCGAGATGGCGCTACTGCACTCCAGCCTGGGAGACAGGGCAAGACTCTGTCTCAAAAAAAAAAAAAAGTGTATGCTCTAAATGCACGATAGTAATATAAGAAAGATGTTAACAATAGGGGAAACCAGGTGGGGCATATGTGGAAAATTGTATTATCTTTGCACCTTTCCTAAAATGAAAACTATTTTCAAATAAAAAATTAATTAAAAATTATGTATTCTTATATTCTTCAAACAGAAAAAAAATTGTACTTTAGAGCTCTGGGACTCTTCCTCTCATATGCAAATTGATGATGATGATGATTTTGTGAGTGTGTGTTTGTGTGTGTGTGTGACGATCTCTTTGTCTATCTGGAATATATCCCAGATACTTAACTCCTTTGGGCCGAGCTCCATGCCTGCATGGTATGCTCCACCAAATGAGTTTCTTCAGTCCTTCATCTTACCCTGTTCCCTGGCTTTGAGCCTGGGAATCCACTATGTCTTCCTGGAACACAGACCCCACCCCACCCTCCTCTGCCTTCGCTTGGCTAATACCTCCTCATCCTTTGGGCCTCAGTTTGAATTCATTTCTTTTGGGAAGCCTTCCCTGTTACTCAGATCTGGGGCTCCTAGAACATTCTGTACTCTTCCTTGATGGCATTTATCAGCCTGTGTGTGATGTGAGGACATGTTGACTTGTCTGCCTCCTCCTCTGTGGTCTGTAAGGCCTTTGAGGCTGGATCTGTTGTTTCTCCCGTACCTAATATAGTATATAGTGCACAGCCTATAGTGAGTGCTGAATAAATGCCTATTTGAACAATGCATGTCATGGTGTGTGTGTGTGTGTGTGTGTGTGTGTGTGTGTGTGTGTGGTGTGTGTTTCAGGGAGAGTCTCTATTAAGTGCACCTATGTTAGGAGTAATGAGGGAATGAATGATAAGGAAATACAAAGAACAGCCTGTAATACTCTGGATCCTGGGAATGACATATCTATGACCAAATAACTACCAAATAGGGTAGTGTGTGAGGGGTATTACTAAAGTGGTGCAAACTAAATGTTCTGTTTTTCAGAGGAGGAAGAGAAGGAGTAATGGAGAAGAACTGGGCATGATGGTTAGGGTCATGTCATGATGAGTTTTAAGTGACTAATTTAAACTTGACCTTGATAGTACTAGGGAGCCACTGAAGGTCTCTGAGTGGAGGTGTACACAGTCCTTTTGATAGTCAGAGAATATAACAATGGTAGTGAATAGATAAATGAGAGGAAGGGGAAGGTCCCAGAGGTTACGAGACCAGTAAGGGATAAGGTAATAATTCAGGGTTGAGGGAGTAAGGTTTCCAACTAAGGCAACAGCAGTGGGTAGAGACTGGAAGGAGCAGAAGCAGAAGCAAATTTTGAAGAAAAAGAAAGGACAGAAGAGCTTGTTGGCTCCTTGGATGGGAAGAAAAGATTAGAAGAGAGAGTCAAAAGAAGATCGCCCCAAAGAGAGGATATAGGAAAGGCCTTAATTCTAAGCAGGAGGGATACATATTAGAAAATAGAAAAAAAGTGTTTTTAACTTTAAAGGGCTAAATTTGTCATTCATTTCTAAAGAACACAGAGTCTTCTTTTACAATATTAGAAGGAATTGAGAAAACTGGAAAGGAAAGAGCTTTATTAAGCACCCTTACATTGCTGACTTAACAGCTGCATTTAACAAAGGCAATAAACCTTCCTGGTATTTCCATTCAGATATCTCTTACTTGTCAGTTTCCTGAGTTTTATTATTATTTACTTAACTCATAACTAGATTGTAAAAAAAAAAAAAAGAGTTTAAATAACTTGGTAGGTTTACAGGATGAGGCACTAAACTGGAATTCCTTCAGCTCATAGTCATTTCATATAAACATGAAATCAAAGGATCTTATGGATAATAAAAATATCATCCAGAGATCCTGGTAGTATGTCTTTATTTTCCACACTAAATATTGTCTAATAAAAAGTTTAATAAAACTTCAATAAACACAATAGTAAAAACTTTTTTGTGTGAAAAAGGACACAGTCTTGACTATGTTATCTCACTTTCTGAAACAAACAAATCCACCTTTGCTGAAATTTAACGTATTTCTAGCAAAATTATGTTTTTCCAGGAAATGAAAAAATATAATTTACCTAGGAAAATTCCAAGAGAATACCCTTTGCTTCCAATATCTTCTGTTTGGTCATAATAAAGTGGGAAACATACTCCATTTTTCCCATAAAAGTTTCCAAAATAATCCTTATTCCAAAATGGAATTACAGCTATTAAAAATCCCGCCATCCAGATGCAAATGAGGATGACTGAGGTCTGCCGTTTTCCAGGTCGAATGTTACTGAAGGGGAAGACAATGACCAGGAACTTCTCCAAAGTCAAGTAGGTCAGTAGCAGAACAGAGACTTCGGTGGACAGCATGGCCAGGAACCCCATGAGGCGGCACTGCACGCTCTCCATCCACAGCAAGGCATACTTCTGATACTGCCCTCGGTATTTTATATCGAAAATGCCAACAAAGAACAAGTAAACACCCATCAGGCAATCAGCACCTGTGGAAGAATTGAAACAGTGTATGTCATCAGTTTCCAATGTCCCTGTTTTAGTTTTCTGATTAAGTCTATTTCCAGCATTTTAATTTTCTAATTAGATCTAGTTCCTTTCATCTTATATCAAATGAACTAATGTAAACATCTGAGTACCAAGAAGCGAGTGGACTTAAAAATCTGTAATATTTCTAAAGTACTACACTATGTTTTTATTTTGTAGTTTAAAAAAATCGGAATGGGAATTTTCTGGAAGGAGGAAGGACTAGTTGTTAAACAGTTAACATATAGTATCTTCATAGTTAATAAAGGGAATCATTTTCCAGGCCTAATGAGCATAGGTATCATTGTAATTGAAGTTCAGATTAGTTTTATCACCCACAAAACTTTATAATCTGTCACTTGACTCATTGGTTGCCTATTAGCCCATTCCCAAGACATACTCCTGAGAGCAGGCCACTGTAAGGTCATACAACCTAAAACAAAGCCACAAAGAGCCAGAACTTTTATATTTAGAAAAAAAAATGTGCCCAGGATGTATAATTCACATTAAATGCCATTTGTTGAAAGCCAATAAATACATATATATGTCTAGTGCACAACTCACAGAAGATATCCTTAATCTACTTATACTGGAAACATACTTACAACAAAGGATTTTGATGGACATAGCGTGAGTTGTATTTTCAGCTTTAATGAAAGATCTCATGCCAATGACAAAAAGATTTCCAAAGCAGGTAATGAAAGCTATAACCCAGACAAATATTCTGAGGATATTGTTAGCCAAGAGGTCCTCAAATGAAGAAATGCCGTCCGTCAAGGGCATACATATTCGGACATGGGGAGCATAGGAGCAGTATCGAAAGTTTTTGAAATAACTAAAGTCAAAGGGAAAAAAAGTGTCACTTTGCAGCAATGATACAGAACCTACAGTTGCAGTCCTATCGGGGCTGCAACTCCATGCTAGGTATACAACTTCACTAGGTTTGTTTATTTTTGTTTAGTAGTGTTTATATAATTAAAGAGTTCTTCATGAAACACTAGGCAGTATCCTTTTAAAGATGAGGAACCTAAAGAACATAGGAATTCAGTAACTTGGATGAGGAGAGTTTGGGAGGACATGAAAATTTGAAATCTCAGGGGCTGTATGTTCCCTGGTCACATTGGTTTATTGATTATTCTGTAAGGTATTATGAAAAGTGGATTATCCTTGTCAAAGTGATCTCCAGCAGACTTTCAGGGGCTTGGGCTTGGGATGGGAAAAGCCTATTGTCGCTCACCTAGAACATTTCTGTCTTGTCCTGAGTTTTAAACACCGAGGTCTACTGACTTTAACTAGCCTCCTCTTCCCTGACACTGGCAGGAAGGGAGGACCTCTGACACTAGGAAAATGCATTCTCACTGGATCTGGGAAGAGAAGCAGCTGCCTTAAACACAGATTTCTTACCAGGGTCTGGAAGGAGTTAGTTTCTATGGGAAAATAAGTTTGTTTGTGGTCAGTGGGCACAAGGCATCTGGAAGTGCTGGAATGGGTGAGGTCATCTGGCCATTGCCATCCCTCAAACCTGTGTGTTTAGAATTTTCTCTCATAAAACTTGCTCTATTTTTATTCGTTTGCTACTTCTTTCAGTTCACTTTTCTGCTCTTTGCTGTCAGTTTAATTCATTTTTTGTTATTTCTCAATTCAGTTTCTAGACCAAGGCTGCCTGGTATCAGACCCCTGGCTGCCTGCACCACCTCGCCTCTTGCCCTGCAATGCTTACTCCACCCAGACACACACCCTCAGACAAGCCATGCTCATGCCCTACTCAGAGCTTTGCTTTTTCTTATGCCCCTGCCTGGAAGATTCTTCCCCTGGATACTGCCAGGGCTGCTTTCTCCCTCCGCTCAGGTCTGCTCAAATGTCACTTCACTCCAACTTCCATCCACCCCACCTCAGTGGTAATCCTCAATCCTCCTTCTATCCCTTACCTTGCTTTATTTAAATTTGTAGCACTTATTCACTATTTACTCACTTGCTCCTTTACTCTCTGGTTCCCAAAGCTAAATGGAAGCTCTCAGGCACAGACATCCTCTCTTTTGTTCATCTTTATGTCCCTGGTGTCTAACGCAGTGCCTGGCACGTGTAGGTACTCAACAAATACTTCTTGGATCAGCAAGTGGATGATGAATAATTTAGCACTGGGTGTGTCAGGAAGAGAAACAGGAGGCAATTCTTGCCTTCAAGTAGCTTACAGTTCAGCTTCCTAATATCTGGCATCCAATTAAAGGAACCTGAACTATAATGAACTCTTTTCTTCTCCTTCCCTGGAGTCCCTGGCACACACATGGCTTGACTTCTTGGTCCTTTTAGGATTCCATTATGTCTGCTATCTTCAGATAGAACCGTCTAGCATCTCTCAGTGGTTCAGGGCCCCCTTGCGCTGTGACCACACTACTCGTTGTCAGGTGAAAGGGATTGGGGTGACAAGGTGGGGATGTTTCAATAAATAAAGGACAAGGAATATGAAAGAAGAGTAAGTAGGTTACTTAGTAGGGAAGTAACTAAGCTAATGTGTTTTCTCTTAATTGTTGACCTGTTCTTGACCTTGGCCTGAGGTCTATATTTAACACAGCAGTTTCTCCATCAAGTTCTAAATAGTTTGAATTTCTCTATACTAAGAAGACCCCATATCCTGCCTACAACAAGGAAATGATACCCTCATTAAACATTTATCTAATAGTGCCACAGAAGAAAATGAACAAAACCATGTGGAAATGCATCAAACACTTGTCTTTTAGTAATCACACCTACTGCACAGACATAAACAAAATGTTCTCCCAAAAGAGCACCTTCACAGCCACCATTTCATCCACTTGCTGTACCCAACTTGTAATCTTACATTGAATTCTCCCTATTTTTGTAGATAACAATGGTTAATTTTTGAAGTCATGAACACATAGATTACACAGTTGATAAAGAAATAATTATGAACACATATATTAACACAACTTACACAGTGCACTTTAGCCAAATATACTAAAGTGACTTATCAAAAACTACTATAAAGATTAATTACCTCCATTTTGTAGTGCACTTAGTAACAGTAACAACACCTGGAATTTATATAGCACCTTTCTTCCTAAGGGCTCAAATCTTAGAGCAGCCGACTGCTCATTCATGAGAGGTGAATTAATGTTTCCAGGTCGCCTGAGTACCATTTAGCCAGTGACTTCATCTTGTGTAATATGTGGCATTCTGGTACCCTGATCTCTTATTGGGCCTCAATTGGATAAACAGCGTGTTTCCAGAGAGAAGGGTCATTCATGTCGGCACATCATAATATTGAACTCTATTTGAACAGGGACCAAAGGTGACAAAATTAAAAAGTTCTCAATAAAATGACTTTTGTTGCATAGAAACACATTGCAGTGATACATTAGACAGTTTACAGGAGATAATTTGAAGCATTTTACCATGCTTCCTCCTCCATTTTTTATACATACGTACATGTGAGAAAGATTCTTCATGGGTTGAAACATTCGTGTGTTTATATTTGGAATCTCTATCCTTTCCAGGTCTCTGGAAAATACACACGATAGGTTTAATGGTGTTGAGATGAAACGTTTTAATAATTGCATTCTTCATCATATCCGAAATATAATGCTTCAAGATCTTATGTTACCAATGCAGATTAGAATGAAAGTTTTACAGTACACTATCTTAGAAAATGGCTGTTTCTATTTATGCCTCCTGCAGTTTGGCGCTGATTGTGTCATTTCACATGCAGAATTACATTCTAATAGAACATATTCATTCATTTCTTTGATTTAAGAATGGCAGTGGTGATTTGTGTATTATGAAATTGGCTCTGTAGTTTGATTTTATTAATATAAGTAATGCCATAGGAATTAGAGGGTTTAATTCAGGAGATGATCTTTCCAACCGGAGAGCATCACTGAAGTGAGTTTTGTGAGAATCTGGATTTAAATATGATCATTTCTTCCTGGCCTATGTGTCTTTAGGATGGAAAACCATGAAGGTAGCAAGAGGAACTCCAATTCAGGAGTCTTCTAAGACACCAGTGGTATGTCTTAGAATTCCTTTAATTAAATTTAAGTTAAATTTAATTAAATTCCTTTAAATCCTTCAGGCCCCATAAAATGTCCTCAAAGGGATCCAAGGATCACTCCTGTTCTCTTAGTTGACCTCAATGCTTGCTTCTACAAATGTGGACACTTTGAAGATCTCTTTAGGATGGTATGAATTAAGAGCTGCCATGTTCTTAGGAAGCAGATGGAGAGAGATAATCTAAAAAGACAGAGGCCTTTTGCTTTTAATGTTTATTTTGAAATATGTCTGATTCTCACTTGGTTTCTTTTTGACTAATCCGAATAAAGATTTCTCAACATGGTTCTGAGTTTTCCTTTGCCCAAGGAGTTCTTGCTTTTTGGAAGTCAAAAATGAAATCTGGGAAAGCTGTTATACTACTGAGTAATTGCATGGCCCCTCTAGCAGGAGACTCTAAGCCCTTTCTAAAAGTTTAATTTTCCTTTTTTTTTTTTTCTCTCTGGCTCTGTCCTTGACTTACACAGTTTTAGCTTTATGTGGATTCTGTGATTATTTGATTACTAACCTATAGCATCCTGAAGAGCAGGGGCCACTGTATCCCAAGTGCTAAAACAATGCTTTGTGTAAGTTGGTGGCTAAGATATGTTTGTGAAATAAATGGGTAAATGAATCACAGGAAAAAAAGAAAGACTGGGCAGGCACGGTGGCTCACGCCTATAATCCTAGCACTTTGGGAGGCCAAGGCAGGTGAATTGCCTGAGCTCAGGAGTTTGAGACCAGCCTGGGCAACACAATGAAACCCTGTCTCTACTAAAATACAAAAAAAGTAGCCTGGCATGGCGGCGTTCGCCTGTAATCCCAGCTACTTGGGAGGCTGAGGCAGGAGAATTGCTTGAAGCCGGGAGGCGGAGGTTGCAGTGAGCCAAGCTTGTGCCATTGCACTCTAGCCTGGGCGACAGGGCGAGACTCTGTCTCAAAAGAAAGAAAGAAAGAAAGAAAGAAAAACACTAAAGAAAAAAAGTAGAAATGAATAAAGAAAAGTATGTAATAAATAATTACTACTTTGACTTTCAGGAAGGCATTATGTAGTGACTTGGTATTTTGGCTTTCAGAAATGCAGTATGCGGTAAGCAAAGAGAAGAATCATGCTGTCCACATCCTCAGGTCTGTCCTTATATTTTAAAAAATAAACATATATGTTTAATATTATGGCTTCTTAAGAATAGGGACCAGATCTTTTTCATCAGTGGATGCTCACTAATATCTGGTAAGAGAGAAACCTAAATCTTGCATTAATTTCTGATAGAAAACTAGCAAGAATAAAAGATGATACTAAGAATTGGTCTTTGGAATTAAAGGAGGAAATGCTTTAGGCTGCAGTCAGGCAGCGTAGTCTGCTGTCTGTGTGAAAACAAACAACCTTTAGCCAGCAATTGCCATCCATTGGAAAGAAATCATGAAGTTCAAAGGAAAAGTGGCAGAGTTCTTGATACCACTGAAACTTAATATGGTTGAAATGTAAAAATACTGTACATTAATTTTCTGAATGTGCATATTTGTGGGACAGTTTTTTAAAAACTTATTTAAAAGTAAAACAATGCACTGTACACTAATATCAAGTAGATCCTTGTAGGAAAGGGCAAAGGGGAAAAGCAGGCAAGTCTTACATAATTTGTTTTAACCAAACTTTTAGAAACAAAACTATTGCAAATTTAATTCTTTGTGAAAACTGTAGGATGAGATTTTGCCACATGAACCCAGTTTTCAAGAAGGACATTCCTGAAACCTTCTTCAAGTACAGAAATGGACTTCATACATGTCGAATGGTAAATAATGAGGCTTATTTGTCATTCAGTATGTACTTGATGGGATCTGTGATTCAGACAGTTGTCTGAAATGCATGCTCCTGTGTGCAAAATACCCATTTAAAAATAAATGTGTCTCTAAGTACATCCACTAAAATTATAATCAATATAATTGTAATATTTCACTTACAGAGACTGAAGTTGTTTAAGACTTTCAAACTGGTTCTTGTGAAGATACATAAGAGGATTGGATGACAGGTTCCTTTTTTTTTTACCATTAGATGAGAGAGGAAAAGAAGTTTGAAGGTATTATTATTTTGAAAGCTCAAAATATTGCCCTTTAAATCTGATTATGGTGAGAAGTAGAACTTACAGCTTTTGTAGAAGCTTCAAGTCTTTAAAAAGGTGAGGTGATAGTTCCGTTATCGTATTGCTAGACAGATCCCTGTTGACGACAATGAAAACCCAAAGCAATTACTTTGGAAGTAAATGACAGACTTATTACTCCTCACAATTATCATCATCCCATTTGATGTAACAGAAAATATGAATCCAATTTAACCAACCTGATAACTTGTTACACAACAGGGCCGTATGAGTCAGCCAAATGGATACGGTTTCCAACACTTACATGTAACACTTTGCTCGTCCAGTTCCTATCTGGAATTTCCTCTTACCCTCTCTCAAACACATTCCCAACCTGGCTTTCATATCTAATTTGGTTAATTTCCCTTGCTCTAGATACTCTTTGTACACTTCTACTCTTCATGCTTCTGTGATTGCCACTTGCTTCATATACGTGGTCTCTTGTTTATCCAACTACACTTTTCGAGGTCAAGTCTTGCATCTTTGATTTGTTTTGCATTCCAACCAAGACAATATTGTCCACTCAGTATCTGCCCAGATAATCTTGAATAAGTTCACACGCTTTTAATATGTTCTTCTACAAGACTATTTTTGCAGAAGAAATTGCAAGTTTAGAATTAAATATAATAGGACTGTCCAATCCAGACAGAATCCTAAGAAAGTGACTCTATAAAATGTGGAAAAGAGACCTGTTAAAATCAGAAGAAATGAATCTTTAAGAGTCCAGAGTATATTTCTGAGCCAGAGAAGATGTTAAAACAGATATACAGTTGCCTAACTAAGAGTCAAACAAAAATGATCTCTTTTGATACTCTGGAACTGCTGATGGTTATGTGGGAGTTACAAATAACTATGACTTAGCTCTTTTTGTAAAGAAGCTTACATTTAGAGTAGCAACTAGATACAAACAAGGAAACAATCAAACAGGTGCTATTATAGAAGTGCAGAGAAAACATAGAGGAAAGAGTCATCAGTCTTGGCCTGGGACATTAGGAAGTGTTTGAAGAAAGCTTGATGATTTTAGGTGGGGTAAAAGAAGAACAGCTTCTCAGGTGGGTGTAAAAAATGATCTGAACCACAGATGCTTGGAATTCAGTGACACTTTCAGGAGTCAGGAAGTGATCCAACATGGGTGGAGGATGCAAGATGTAGGGAGAGGTAGAGGACGTCATGGAGAGTGCGTGGAGACAAAATGGGAAAGCCATGCGTGCACTTCAAGGCAGTAGTTTTCATAGTAGAGTCCAAGCATCCAAGTCCCCAAGGATGCTTATAAAAAGAGCACATCCCCGGGACCCACCTTGGAACTATCACATCAGACTTTCTGGGAGGGAGCCTGGTAACATGCATTTAAGCCAATATCCCATGTGATTCTTCGGCCCATTAATGTTTGAGAACTGTGTCAAGGACTTTGCTAAACACCAGGCAACAAGAAGTAAGAACATTAAATAGGGCAATGGCATCATTTACTCCGGGTTATGGAATGATTATTCTGTCAGAAGCATGAAAGACAGGCAACAAGGCCTGGGAGTTGGGGGAGGAAGACCAGGCAGGAGCTTCTACATGGACCAGGTGAGAGCAAATGAGGGTTAAGGGGGACAGCAGCAGGGCTCAGGGTCTGGCTGAACATGTATTAAGAGAAAGTTGGAGGGAAACGGAATGGTCTTCAAGCCTGGCTACCAGGAAGGAGGCACTGAGATGGCAAGTCCAGGTGAAGAAGCTGGCCATCAGGTTGGGGTCTCTTGTTAGTTCTGTTTCAAATGGGTTGCTTTTGAGGTGCTGTCATGACACCAAAGTCTGAAGTCCTGCCAAGTGAGATGTCTCATCTGGTCCTCCAGATGAGAGGAGCACACCTAGATCTCAGCCCAGAAGGGAGACCACAGGTGCACACAGGCCAGAGAGAGCCTGACAATAAAGCAATATGATGATGATTTCATACACCTAGAAAATGCCTTTCAAAGGGTTACCCAGAAAAATAAAGCACACTCTTTTGGAGGAAAGGACTTTGGGGGTCTCAAGTACTTGTGCTTATTCCTCCCTGGATGGGTTTGTTGCCATGAAGGCACAGTAAAACTACTTAACATTTGTAAACTCAAGACATATGAATGCCTTGTTCTAGTTAAGCCTACCAGCTTCTGAATTTCTTTTAGCTTTCTGAGGCTAAGTGAATTGCAATGGATCACTATAGATCTTAATAGCAAGCTGGCATCTCTTAAGTGGGCTCTTATTTTTGGTGTGCCTCTGCCTATATGTAGGATGCGAAGAGGGTTAGGAAAATTTTAAAAATATGGACTCTGTACCACTGTTTCCTTAAGTTTATATATAAAATACCCCTCTGGGTTGGGCGTGGTGGCTCACACTTGTAATCCCAGCATTTTGGGAGGCTGAGGCGGGTGGATCACTTGAGGCCAGGAGTTCAAGACCAGCCTGGCCAACATGGTGAAACCCTGTCTCTACTAAAAATACAAAAAAAAAAAAAAATTAGCCAGGCATGGTGGCAGGTACCTGGAATCCCAACTACTCAGGAGGCTGAGGCAGGAGGATCACTTGAACCCAGGAGGCAGAGGTTGCAGTGAGTGGAGATCATGCCATTGCACTCCAGCCTGGGTGACAAGAGCAAAAAAATCCATCTCAAAACAAAACAAAACAAAACAAACAAACAAACAAAAAACCCCTCTGTTTGTCCTGGGTTATTCCTCCACCCCACCATGCAACCCAAGTCCACAGTCATCCTCCACAGCCTGGGCAGGAATGCCCTGGGAGGAAGTCTTTTCTGAATGAGCTGCCTTTAAGTTTTTGCCTATAAAATGATCATACTTTCAGTTCTAATGCAGTACCTTGCACATACCAGGCACTTCATAAATATGTGTGGATTTGATTTATGATGCTCATTAATTAGATTGAATTACCTTAACTATTCATGAGTTATTTTTTAGATTACTCTTATTATTTTCTCCAATCCTTTCTGGATTTCAAAATAAGGTGTAAAGAATGGGGAGAGATTAATTCAGAAATTAATTTCCATTTTAAGGCCTCAATCAGAAAGATGAGTTTTCTATCCTAATCACTGCTATGTGTAATGTAACAGACTTAGTTTTAACTTCCACTGATACACAATTATGTGGGGAGCAATGAATTAATAGCGAGAGAAATGATTTTAAAAGGCTTAGATCCATAAAACAAATATTTGAACAGAAAAAATTCACATGAGCTCTCTGAATATTTTTTCCGTGAGCCTAACCCTCATTCTCAGCATTGGGATTTGCTTCACCTGCTATATAAGTCATAATTTCTCAAGGACTAGTAAGCATATTTGTTCCTTTGTTCAGTTATAAGGAATTAATATTATTTCAGTTAGTCAGTTATTCATTATCAAACATTTATTGGGAATTAACTATACTCCAGTCAGTAGAAAGAAATGATCCCTGTGTTTAAGAAGCCATGGAAAACTCATTTACTCCCAAACACACATAAATAAGAAATCACCCAAAGAAAACAAGTAGAGAAACTAGGGTAGGTTAAATCCATATTTAGCCCACTGTCTGATTTGAATGTGCTTTGGACTTCAGGATAATGTTGGTTTTCTTAATTGATTTTTAATATCCAATAGTCTACAGGATTTTGATTGCTACTAGTGGCAAAGCAGTCTCACTAGTCATTTAAATTTATAATCTCGGAAGAAGCAATCATATTTTCCTAGTAGACGATGCTACTTACAGTTCTCCTAAATTTTTTAATGAAGAAAATGTCTTCTCTGGAACAAAACCAATTTGATTTCTAGGCAGAAACCTGTAAGACATGGCGAGAATCAGCATGTGGGTTTGCGTCTGCTGTAGTAATCAGTTCTCATTGGGAGAGGCCACTGATCCAGGCAGAATTTTATAAGCCTCCTTTGAAGTCTTCAAGGGAGGCATCTTTTGGAGTGGAAACTAAGGCAGGACTTTTTCACCGTGGACATCCCCATGTTCTCTTCAGGAAGTGCTGTCATGAGCAATTTGAGGTCCTGAGTGCGGTCTAGAAAGCTGCATTTTGTTTGGATCTAATTATTTTAGAAAATGTCTCTTTTAATTTTCCTTTTCCATTCTTTTTTCCAATCATCCATCCAATCAACAAACATCACTAAGTGCTTACTAAATGTGGAAAACTATCATTAAAACAAAACCAAAACACTGATGTTTTGAAGCTTTCCAGCATGAATGCACTGATTGACCAAACCATCTGCCTTCCCGCCCCCATAAAAAATATAAACAGCGATCAGAATCATGAGGCAGAATCTTTGGCCAATCAGAATGCATTAGATGTTTTTCCTTTTAGATGAAATTATGATTTTTTTTTTCTTTAGGGAGAAAGACATCAAATGGTAAGAGTCATTGGCTAATCATTGTAAAGCTAATCATTGTACAGCTAACCCCTTTCACATACATTATTTCCCTTCCTTGGTGACCATGGGGTTAGGAAACTGGAACTTTCAGGTCCCAGTTCAGCTGAGAAGGTGCACGGAAATAAAGATGGCACATGATGTCCCTAAAGGGTGGGCACCTTAACTTGAGGCTCAGTCCCAACATCCAAATCAATAAATCAGTGTGTGCATTTTCTAGCACTGCAGTGTCAGACCAAGGCTGTAAACAAAACACTACTTTAAAATTTTTTGTCAATGTTTTCTTTTTAACTTCCAAATATATAGGGTTTCCCCTCATTTAGTGAAGTCCATTGTATACTTACAGCACTGTGAGCGAATCGCACGACAGAAACGTAGAATTTGTGAGATACTTTATTCTATTGCCTTCCAAATCCCTGGAAGTCATGGAGGAAAGATATTTTTAATATTTTTTGTACAAATCATATGCTTAGAGATACTTTTTAAAATGGTTATCAAGTTTATTTTTACTTCATTCCAGTTGTTACTATCTTTCCTCCTAATTATTGCAAGGTTAGTATAACTAATATTATGCTTCTTTCCCCCTTCCAACTAATGTTAATAAAATTGAGGAAAGGGCAGCCTAACTTTTAGCGAGCGTCTTTCTGTGCTGAATGCTATGCTATTAATTATAATATTGCCCAACCCATCATAAACTACCATTGATTGGGCTTTTATGGTGCCAGGTGCTGTTCTACACGCATCACACAGCACTCCTGCCAAATTGCTGCTATTATCCCCCATTTAACATAAGAGAAATCCAAGGCTTTTGGTGATTCACTTTCCTTCTGACCACACAGCTAGTAAGTGGTAGAACTGACCCAGCTCAGATCTGTCAGAATCTAAAGCCTAGACACTTAACTACCATGTCTGTGGCGTCATTGATCATTATATCCTCACATTCCCTCCAACATCAGGTAGATGTTCTTGTCTCTGTTTTGCTGAAGGAGAATCTCAGGCCAAAGTTATCCTGCACATACTGAACACCAGAGACAGGATGTGAATCCCGATCTGTGTGATGCCAAAGTGCAGGCTCTTTCTATGATGCCTCAAGGACGCTAATGCCAAGGGCAATGCTGCTCAGAATGGCAGGGATGCAACCTCAGCGCTGCCTGGAACTTGCTAGAAATGCAGATTCTTGCCCAAGACCGACTGAATCAGAAACTCTAGTACTGAAGTCCAGCCATCTGTGTCTCAGCAAGTTCGCCCATTGTTTACGATGCACGCTGATGTCTGAGAAGCACTGCTGGGGAGATTTCATTTTGCCAGGTAATTCTGCAGGTCAGTGGCATCCCACATACGTGGACAGCGCCTTCCGGAACACTCTGACATTCCCTCTTTGAGCAATGCGGGGGACTAAGAAACAGCCCATTTTTCTGCCAAGTCTCCTGATTCCTTTTCATAGTCAGCTTCTTACAGTGTTCCCCAAATATGGCAATAGCTATTTTTCTTCTTCTGAACTTTTCTCATAGTCACACTAAAATCACCAATCCCTTTGTCATTTTAAGAAAATCCTATTTTAAAACTATCTTGGAGATTTGTGTAGGAACTTGAGATGTACATTTTTCACACAATATACTGTGATTAAAAATAACAAACACCATACTCTCCTAAAAATCCAAATATTGTGAAATGGAATGGAAAAAATGTTTTTCATGTTCTCCGAAGAAGGACACTTTGGTGTTGTGGGAGCAATTGTCCAACTTGACAGCAAGTAACGGAAGAGGAGAAGCCTCCCCAGGACAGGTTTTCTCCTGTCTGGCCTTTCTTCCTGTCTGGCCTTTCAGCTTCCTACCCTCTGTGTTGAAAGGCTCTCAATTGCAATCAGGCTGTCTTGCTACCTGTGCGTTTTTATTGTGTGTCTATTTTTTCCCACGTGTTTGTGTGAGCCCATTGTGAAAATAAGTGTCTCCGGAACCCTGAGCTCTGAGGCTGGTTCCTCACCTCCTGCTGACTGATGCCCCTTTTGGGGAGGGAGAGCAGGCTGAGCTCCTGATATTTTTCTGCTACCTTTACTCTTTCCTGTGTGTTTCCCATTGTGTATATGCACTTGTTTAGTTTCTAAGTATTTTCTTTTCACCTATTCTTATTCTCATGGTGTTCAGGTCATTATTTCCGTTTTTAATAGTGGCACACTTACGTGAGACCTCTACTGTTTTAGAAGCCTTTTGACAGCATATATTTAAATAAATACATAAAAATAAACATCAGAAAATAAACACAACACCACCTAATAGTGTTGTAACAAGAGATTTTGAGGTTAGTTTAGAGGGGATCAAAAGCTGAAGTACTAAAACTTTATCATCTTATGGGTCTTGAGTTCCATGATTTGACAGAGAAGAGTTCCAGCAGCGCTACCATCAGCATTTTCATGGAACAGGAAAGCAATAGACATGACAATCCTGGTTGTTGCAGAAGACCGTGAAGGTGTATGTGGCAGGGAATGGTGGGTAATGGTGGTGAAGGTACGACGTAAATTAAATGAATGTTTTAAACAGGTATTGGTTAAAAGCTAACAAGGAGTGGAAATGGTTTAGTACATCCATCCTAACAAAGGCTTATTGAGCACCTATTATGTACTGGTCATTGTCCTAATGCTGGGGTAGGAAATCATACTATAGGTTTCTGCCTTCCCAGAATTTATGGAACAGTATAGAAGACATAAGCACTGAGGAGGGTGGATCACCTGAGGTCAGGGGTTGAAGACCAGCCTGGCCAACATGGTGAAACCCCATCTGTACTAAAAATATAAAAATTAGCCAGGCCTGGTGGTGCATGCCTGTAATCCCAGATACTCGGGAGGCTGAGGCAGGAGAATCACTTGAACCCAGGAGACAGAGCTTGCAGTGAGCCGAGATCGCACCACTGCACTCCAGCCAAGGTAACAGAGTGAGACTCCATCTCAAAAAAAAAAAAAAAAAGACAAGCCCAATGACTATATGGTGATAGTACCCTGAGATAGGGATGAGATAGTACCCTGAGACAGGGCAGTGTGGTGGAGTTTTGTAGATGATGTAATGTGTGGGAGTACATAGGTGGCTGCTGAAACTGGTTGGTGTGTCAGGAATGACCTCCTGGAGGTGAGGTTTAAGTTGTCTTTCAAAGGAAATGTTTAAGTTATCCAAAAGAATAAGGGAGCAAGATTTTTTAAGTCCAAGGAACAATATGCTTAGGGAATTGACTGTAGGAGTAGTAGTTTGATACATGCATACGAGGGTCAGGGATAGCATCTAGATGGGGTAAGGAATGGAAAATGAGGGTCTTGGATGCTCAAAGGGAAGGTCAAACTTTACCCTCACCCTTTGGGAACCCTCAAATAATTTTGAAACTGGGAAGGTAATATGATCAGATTTTGATTTTGGAAAGAAATTATAGATGGACTTTCTAGGTAACCTTGAATTAACTTTATGGCTAGTTTCCTTAATCAGGGCAAATAACAAATTAATTCCTAAATAAATACTCACACCCAGTTGAGTTGAGGCATTTGGGCACACATCTGCTTGGGAAGAGCTTCTAAGTAGTTATTAACCATAGACCTTTACACAAAGAAAATGTTAATTAGAAATAAAATGATATGACACTTTTAGGACAGTCTTTTTATTATTTTAAAATTTCAAAACTTGCGTGCTAAAATTAATATCTTATGATGATAACATATATAGCTATTTCAAAATGGTCTTTAAAACATGTGTATGGCAAAGATTAGGGAGCAGATGTTGTCAAAGAAACTATGAATGCATAAGTATGATACATATCCTAGGAATAGATGTTACACAGTTTAATTTTATGAGATGAAACAAAAGTATATATTGGGTAATAATTTTGAAGTTCATGGTAATTTTCCTTGTAAACTTCACGTTGTAATCATTTCCAGTGCCATACATCCAAAGTTTCTTCTTAAGGGCATCATTAATCATTTATAATATTAAAGGGCCACATTGGAAACTGCATTAAATTGGAGAAGTGACAGTAGGGGGAATTTGGGGAAAGAAAACAACTCTTGAGCATGTTAAGCTGCAGGATTAATTTATGATATTGTGGTTCCTTTTGACAAATGGAAAAATAATGATGTTATATGATCAGTTGTAAAGGAATATAATAATCCCCTGCTGATAAATCATTCTAGTGTATTAATAAACAGTGAAAATATTATTGTGAGACAGCTCTCTTGGTAGGACAAAGATTTTGAAAGTTTCAGTGAGTCTTGCTGGGCAAAGGCACATTTTCTTCCATTAAAAATGGAGTTGGAGATGAACTCCTGGGAGATTCTAAGAAAATATAAACATAGGATATAAAAATTAATACTATCTTTGGTCAACCACTGCAAATAAAAACATGCCTTAGTACTAAAGGAAATTAAAAGGGATAGAAAAATCAACTAGTAGGCTTAAAATATTCATTATGATCTGGTCAGCTCTTCCCTTTGAGCCATGGCCAGGAAGTATTATATTAACAGTAACTGTGGCTGGAAACACAGGAGAAGTTTTGACTAATAAAAATTTTTGTGGGCTTGATTTTTTTAAAAGTTCTTTTTGTAAGCTAGTGCTAGATGTCATTGCAATGTATCGATAGATGTATTGAAAGGTTGATGAATACTTACAGGAAAAACAAGGAATTTAATCCCGTAAACAAGCGCTGTGAAATTCTGGTTATTGGATTGTCATCTAGAATTCTGACAAAATGTATCAAGAAACATTTCCAATATTAGAGACATTTGTGAAATAAAACCTGCCTCCCCTCAACACCTGGCCTACTCCTTTGTGTGCTTCCATACTTGGCTCACCTGTCCCTTCCCTGAGAGCTTTTCCTTCCGTCTGTGGTTGGAGCAACTCTTTCCTCCAAATTCCTACAGCTTCCATCCCACTTATCAAGTTGGATCCTGATTGTTTTGCTTTCTCCCTGCTGCCTCCACCTCCTGCTGGACTTAAAGACCCAGGTTGTATCTGTCACCTCTGGGTACCTGGGTCTGGCACAAACTCCACGTATTGAATGCATTTGGGCTCCATAAATGCCTTAACCTACTAATTGGCTGAGCTGAAGGATGAATTAAAGTATAATTTTTAGGAAATCACAGAGGGTTCTTTGGTCACATGGTGTTAAACTGATGTATTAAATAAGGTGTGTTTAAATCAATGGATGGATGTCACGCTATTCATAAGGAGCTTTCTGGGTGAAAGAGTGAAACTATTTGCATATTCAAACCACTGTTTTAAACTATATTTTATAGAAGAAATTAGAGTAAGGGGAAATAGGCCTCTATTCCTCTTGTTGCCTGTGAAGCCAGGTTGTGTTTCCTCTTACTTGCAGTGGCCGGTGAGGGCAGGAGTGGGAGAAGGAAGCCACATTGAGCACCTACTATATGCCAGGAGCTTTGCATGTGGAACTGTTTAACTGTTATGTGATATAATCCTCATAACATCCTTCTTGGAAAGGAATTATAATTTACAGATGAAAATAAAGAGGTCTAGGAAAATTAAGAAAGTTGCCTGGGCTGGGCGTGGTGGCTCTTGCCTGTAATCTTAACACTGAGAGTATTAGGCAGGCAGATCGCTTGAGCTCAGGAGTTGGAGACCATCCTGGGCAACATGGTGAGACCCACCCCATTTCTACTAAAAATACAAAAAATTCGCTGGGTGTAGTGGCTCACACGTGTAGTCCCAACTACTCAGGAGGCTGAGGTGGGAGGATTGCTTGAGTCCCAGAGATTGAGGCTGCAGTGAGTTGAGATTGTACCAGTGCACTCCAGCCTGTGTGACAGAGTGACACCCTGTCTCAAAAAAAAAAAAAAAAAAAAGAAGGAAAGAGGGAAGGAAAAAAGGAAGGCAAGCAAGCAAACAAGAAAGAAAGAAAAAAGAAAGAAAGAGAGAAAGAGAAAGGAAGGAAGAAAGAGAGAGAGAGAGAAAGAGAAAGAAAGAAAGAAAGAAAGAAAGAAAGAAAGAAAGAAAAGAAAAGAAAGAAAGAAGGAAGGAAAGAAAGAAAGAAAGAAGAAGAAAGAAAGGAAAGAAAGAAAAAGTTGCCTGGAAGGCTAAGCATGGGGCTAAGGGCCAGGCACACAGAAGGGCTTGGATGAAGTTGAGGCCCTGGCTTTTTCCACTAGACCAGGCCAACCTGCAGAAAATGGGCAAACAATACAGAAAGCCTGCTAACCGCCCCTTGTGTATTTTCCTGGTGAAAGCACAGACATCTGACGTGAGGTTTCTTGGAACGGAGCTGGTGGCTCAGTCTGGAAAGTGGTGAAATACTACAAGCTATCATGTTTTCAGACTTCTCTCTGAATGCTCTGGAAAGCAGAACAAGTTCTTAACTTGCTTACTTTTCAGTACAGTGGTTTTCAGCAGAGGTCAATTTTTCCTCCCAAGGGACATTCAGCAATGTCTGGAAACATTTTTAGTTGTCACAACTCTTGGGAGAAGGGGTATACTACAGGCATCTAGTGGGTAGAGGCCACAGATGGTTCTTAGCATCCTAAAATGCACAGGCACATAACCACTACTTGACATGACATTGAATTGCCTGGATAAAGTTCTGCAGATTATATGATAATCAGAAAAGCAAGTATAAAAATAAGATATGTCAAATAGTGGAAACTACATTAGCACTGTTATATATCATCAAGACTATGATCCTCTATGGGAGAAAGAAGAATTAGAGTACTTACAGCCAAGTTAGCTGATGTAAGTCTTTGAATATTCCAGGTCTGAGGGTTGTGATGCAGTTGTGGTTGAGATATCTACAAATAGCATGGGTGAGTTAATTAGGCAAACTCAATACCCTATTTTAGTCACATATAATTAGAATATGAGCCACTGATGATGATTATGGATATGGACATCTGCGTCTGAAAGTATTCGGCTGAATGAGCAGAGGGGGCAAATTCAAGGGGTATCCAGAAGGTACAGATAACCACAAGCCCAGTGTGTGCAACACCAGGGCCAGGGCAGAGAAAGTGGTCCTAAAATGTTTTGGGATATTACATCATGTTAGATTGTAAGGGTATAATAACTAAGTATGTGGGGCAATTTTTGCTTTTGTCCTTTTTGGTGACATCCTTAGTAGACTAGCATTTTAAGAAAATGCATAGCAAGTTAGCAAGAGTTAGAAAAGAAATAAAATGCTAAAATATTGTGGAAGTGACCCAAGCTAGAGAAGACAAGGTTAAGGAGAACCTTTGTATGTCTTCTGGTAAAGGTAGGAATCGTTTAATAATTCTTTCAGTGTAATAACTAATCTAAGTACTTTGTGATAACCTATTCCTCCCACTTCCCTACAATCAAGTCGAGCCTTGAAAAAGTACCATTCTATCCTTTTAGTCTTTGCTTAAAATTATACCTACAATATGAGAAAGAGGTTACTCACAATATTTGCAGATTACATAATCCAAAAAATGCTTTCCTGGATATGTGTCTAATGCAATTATGCTGAAGAAATCTGGTAGGAATAAGATAAGAGAGTCAGGTGATTATGGTTTATGGACTATATTAGGTTGTTGAACATATTCTCCACTTTCTTTACCTGAAGACAATTGTGAAATTGAAGTACGAAGTCCTATTCTCATGTTGGGGAGATGTTGTCAGTGAGAAATGGCTACCAACTAGCCAGTGCTTTCCTCATAGTACTCATGCAATGAGATTGAGGCATCTCTGATTCATACGCTGAACTCCAGTGTGATGTGTCTGCGGAAGGATCTAGTCTTGTTTCTGCAAACTGGCACTATGGTGACCGTCCTGTTCTGACTGGCAGGAGTTTCTGGCCATGTGAGACTAGCCAGCCTCGCACTGCTGAACTTTCTTCCTCTTTGTGCACAGAGATGCACCTTTAACTCCTCATTTATCCTTATTCTATTCCCATGAAATAAAGGAGAGGGCAAGCTTTAATTCTTTTCTATTTCATGATGCAAAGTGAGAAGGACAAGGCAAGTTAGGTACTCAGGATATCAAAGGACATCAGCAGTTGAACCAGGGCAAGTATGCCAATTTCAAGTCATAGGATCAGGACTGACTTAACCTCTGAAGCAACTTAATAGTACAGTATTGATTCCGTAATTGCGCTGTCAGGAGTATCTAAGTAAATAATTTCCATTTGCTGTCTTCATTGTACAATGGGAAGTTAGCTCTGAATTCCTATTCTCTGAAGGCTCTCAGGGGCAGGAAATAACTATACTAATAGTAACAAATTGTTACATAGTCTTTTGAATGGCTTCCATTTCTCTTATTTTGGTTTGAATTGCTTCCTAAACTATTACACAGCGCTGTTTCATTGTTATGATATTCTACTGCAAAACTATTTGTAGATCACATGCTCATTTGACGTCTGGCTATACTGTGAATTTTGTTATACCATGATTATTTCCTAGCAGAGCTCCCCAGCCTTTGCCTCTGAGTCACGATTGTCTTATAAGAGTGCCAGGATGGTGACTCTTTCAGACCTGAAGAGAGCCAGGTAAAGCCAAGATTGGAGGGGTTATCAGAGGTCAGGAAGCGGGGAGATGAAGGGGTACAAATGAATATTTACTACCACTAAACTGTACACTTAAAAATGGTAAAGATGGTAAAGTACACTTATTTAACTTCAATTAAAAAAAGAAAGTGAAAGTAAATAAAGATTATTAGAAAGGAAAAAAAAAAAGCCAGGACAGGCTTCCAGTTATCAGCAAACACAATCTTTTACCCCAAGTACTTTACAAATACGGTCATTTTCCCTATGTTCCTCCATGTGCCAAGTGTTGGCACTACAGAACATCACATCTGTGGTGATATGCAAAGCATCAATTTCAATCCTGCAAAGTAAACTTGAAACCCAGTGTGACCTTGTGCCATCTTAACCCCCATTCCCGGTACCATATCTATGGGGAGATGCTTCACAGAGCAGCATACATTCTGCTTTTGGTTGAAGGTTCTGCTGTGAATAGGATGAACTCACACAGATCAATATCTGTTTTAGCACTTTCAGAGCCTTGAGACTGATGCAATGAAGTTAATATGATGAATTATGTTACAGTAGCAAATGAAAATAGAAAAAGAGCAAAATACTGTATTGTAGGTATATTGAAGTTTCTCTTAAATATACAATTCACTGCTTAACTAATGCTATTTACATTTTATTCAAGATGAGAAATTCAAAAATGGAATGTATATTTTACCTACATGTTGTCACATCTTGAAGAGATGAATGCAGTTGCAAATTGTGAATTTGACCTTACGCTTTTGTCTTATAAGTCAAGGGAAAGAAAGAGTAAAACCAGTGATCCACACAACTCATCTGATGTGTACAACCTATCTCCCTTCACTGACATCAGTTAAAACTCAAACTCTTAAATAATGAAGAGCTTCTAGTCTTCTATTTAGTTAGCTGGTTGCCACCCCATAGAGAACTGTAGTCCCTCCTACGTTCCATGTCTCAGACTTAGGCTGCTGAACTTGAACTCCATCCTCTAGTCTCTGCTGTCTTCTTTGCAGAATAGTAGCTTAAAGAATGTGTGGGGATATTTGGAAACATGACAACTTGGCAAGTGGCGCCCTCTTTTTATTCAGAGCTGAGATATAAGCCCATTTAATATACTTTACACCGAATGCCTTTTCTAAGGATAACTTACAGGTTCATGAATTCCTGCAGTTTCAGCTGTCAGGACTTTTCAAGCAGAAATGCCAGGAATTTATGTACCCGAAACTAAAGCAAATAAATGCTTTAATGACATGCATGTTTATAGGCAATTTTTGAATGTGCCATTTTGTATTCAAGAGCCAGGCAGACACCTTGAGTTTCGTTTTGTTTCCAGTGATTGTATTTAACAAGAACCCAGATTAAGAAGGAATTCCTAATTTATAAAAGGTTTTTGTTACAATAAGGAGGAGAACTGCTGTTTGTTTCCATGGTAGCAGTGATAAAGTATTATAGTCAATTCCATAAATTGTATTTTATTTCCCTGAAAGGTCATTTGAAACTGCATCCACCCCCAATTTAGAAAGGCCTGACATTTTAAAAGATTATTAAAATGAATAAACTGATCAATGGTAAAAACATTCAGATCAGTTAAGCAACACATTCATCTGGCAATTAAGATTTAATTTTGATTTAGGAATTTGTTTTTTGTTTTTTTTTGGATGCCTAAATGATCTCAACTCCACTGTGAATATTTAGAGCATTCCAGACTGGAGACCCTCTTGACATTAAATTTGGTGATCTCGCAGGACAACAGTCCCCACGGTTTCGTAGAAGACAATTTTTCTTTTTTCTTTCTTTCTTTCTTTTTTTTTTTTAAGACAGAGTTACGCTCCATTGCCCAGGCTGGAGTGCTGTGGTGAGTTCTTGGCTCACTGCAATCTGGACTTTTTGGGGTCAAGCGATTCTCCTGCCTCACCCTCTTGAGTAGCTGGGACTACAGATGCACGCCACCATGCCCAGCTAATGTTTTTGTTGTATTTTTAGTAGAGACATTCACGATGTTGGCCAGGCTGGTCTCAAACTTCTGACCTCAACAGATCCACCTGCCTCAGCCTCTGAAAGTGCTGGGATTACAGGCTTGAGCCACTGTGCCTGGCCAATTTTTCTATGGATGGAGAGGGGGGATGGTTTCAGGATGATTCAAGTGCATTACATTTATCCTTAGATTCTCTTAAAGAGTGCACAACCCAGATCCCTTGCATGTGCAGTTCACAATAGTGTTCACACTACGGTGAGAATCTAATGCCACTGCTGATCCGACAGGAGGAGGCAGAGCTCAGCTTTGCTTGCTCGCTCACCACTCACCTCCTGCTGTGCAGCCCAGTTCCTAACATGCCACAGACTGGTACCGCTCTGTGATTTGGGGTCTGGGAACCCCTGGCATAGGATATATCCCAATACAACTTAAATATGCAGATTAACTTTATTAGCTCAATACAGTCTAAAACACATATTTGTGCATGTCTGTTCTCTGCTCAAACAGAATAAAATTCAGATGCCTTAGCTGGCATACAATCAAGATTCAGTGACCTCTCCGGCATACGCTCCATCATCTCCTGTGGGGATGCCTTTCCTTTAGGCAAACTGCATGTTCACTCTCTTCTCAACATCCTTTGAGTATTTCTGCTTATGTTTCTTTCTTCTCCCTGGTGAAGATGCTCCCCACCTTCTCTTTAGTTCTACATGTTAGTGCTACCCATCGTTCATTCAGCAAATACTCATTAGTCCTTATGGGTTTCTTACTAGGTATGCTACGACACAGGCCTCAATAGACTAAGAGAGAACCAGGAGGACTGTCCAGCCCATGAGGAGGGTATGGTGGTCAGAGAGTTGTTCCTTCGAGAAGGAAAGTGAGGGCTTCATGAAAATAGAATTGTAGTTGACCCGAGTCATGTGTAAAACTCAAACAGTAGAGAATACTGTGGCAATAAAAATGTGTATCTAGTTGGAGAAGCAAGAAAGTGTCAAGGAAAGTCTCAGTTTGCCTCCTGGAACCTGTTTTATAATGTTGTGAGATAATATAAAAGGAACAACTGCTTATTTCTCAACTCCTACTTTGTTCTTGTGTTCTGGATCAAAGAAGATGGTCTTAGGATTGAAGCAAATGGAAAGGCTATATGGCAGGTCAGTGAAAGCCCAAGATGGTAGAAGGTGTTAATCAAAATTAATTAAAGCCCTCTGGTTTGGAAATTTTCTCCCAGAAATTGAGAAATGCCAAAAAATGAGAACATCAAATTATGATCAGTTGCTGAGGAATCCAGAGAAAGGATGAGCAGCTGGAAAGTAAAAGATGGCAAATGTAGTCTTAAGTTCTCAAAAAGGGAAGAAGTTGGTTTCACAAGCTGTAGTTGGATGAGCTCAATGCTGGTCTTGGGAAGATCATAGAACAGGTGAATATGATGCTGCTTTGTCTATGCCTCAAAGAGAGAGTGACCAGGAGAGCTCACAAGAAACCACATGGCAGACCAACTTCATATTCTTCTTTGAAAGACTGTGCAAAACTATGTGATAAACATTGTTACATGTCTACTGGGCATTGATCAAGCAGTTTTATAATTTTTTATGGACAAAAGAAAGAATGACACATATTCTTATCTGAAGGATGATGATGAAGGAATATAGAAAGACAATTTAGTGCTGTTCTCTTCAATATTTTACTCCATGACCTGGGTGAAGGTAGTTGATCTTATTTGCAGATGACATAATTATGAGAGGAGTAGTGACTATGATGGAAAATACAAAAAGACCTTCACACTCCGGTAAGAAAAGCTGACTCTAACAGGATGAAACTGACTAGGGATGTATTTAAGGACCCATGACTAACTCTCAAATGCTAAGTGCATGAGTACAAGATGTAGCACACACATCACTTAGCAGCAACACATGTGGCATGGAATTAGAAATTATAGATCACTAGGAGTCAAGAGTATCAAGAAGTCATCAAAAGAGCAATATAATCATAGGGCACATAGAGTGCAGAAGGAAAGGGATGCGAGTTCTTCCCTATTTGCCTCGGTCATGTTACGGTGATAATAGTATATTTATTCTAGATGTCACCCATCAAGACAAATGTAGGTAAACATATGCAGATTATTGTGACTAGAATGAAGAACAGATTTGAAACTATGTCCTTTGGGGAGGAATTTAAGGAAATGAGGATACTTAGGGAAGAGATTAGTGGTGTGGTGGAGGGTGATGATAGCTAGTCTTAAATACCTGTAGACGTATGTAGAAGACCAATTAGATGTGTTCTGAGCAGTCTCTTGGGGGTAAATTTAGGAATGATGGGAAGCTTTAGAGGCGCCTTGAGCAGTGGTAATGTGGACAAAATTATTAGTGAATTGTTTGAAATTCCATTTCCCCAGCACCTTCTAATCCTCTTTCTGGTTTATTTTTAGCCCTCACCACCACCTAACAAATTATATATTTTAAACTTTGTTTATTGACTATCTTTCTTGATTGGAAATTAAGCTCCACAAGCTTAATTTCATCTTTTCATCTGTGTTGTTCATGCTGTATCCTTGGTGCCTGGCACCTTGTAGGTATCAATAAATATTCATCACAGGAGTGAATGAATATGTGGGTCTTGCTAGCTACTGCTCTCCTGCTACCAGATTCCATACCAAGAGTTCTGGCTGAGGCCCATCTGGTTTCTTCCTCCAACTGACATCCCTTCCTGGGGATGGTTTGGTATTTGCCACATTTGTTATTTGGGTCATTGAATGAGGATTGGGAAGAAAAAGGTAAGAGTAGATGGACAGGAGGGACAAGAAGTAGGACTGGTGCAGGGGGCTATTTTTCTGGGAGTTTGGAAAAGAGCAGGAGGAGTTGAGGAATGTGGGTAAAGGGGATGGTGAGGAAAGGAGATTTAAGGAAGCATTGTTGAGCTTATGAGCTGCTCTAGGATATTTGAGTATAAAGAACTTGAGTTATTTTCAAATCAAAGTTTACTTACTGGGTGGTTTCATTGATAATAACATATTCTGAGCCTGGACTATGTGGGTGGGCTTCCAAAGGAGCATGGTCAGAAGGTTTGGGTTTGAGGCCAATCTCTATTACTTGTCAGCTGACTGACTTTGGGCAAACAACCTCTCTCCCCAAGTAGCTTTCCTCATTCCTGAAACTGCTGTAACGGTGTCTGCCCCACCTCACAGACTTTGGAGATCAAAGCCAAAGTGAAAATTCCAAATATTGGAATTCTTTGTAAACTTTAAAAAGTGGTAGATGACTGTAAGCAATTGTGTTTTATCCCCCTGTGCTTTATCTTACATATAATAGACACTTGGTGAATGTTTATTGATGAGAGTCTCATAACCTCTTTTCTATTAGTCTCTGGGAAAATTAAATTGCCTGCAAATCATCAAATAGCAGCTTGCATGGGGAGAAGCCCTGTCAGGTGATATTCAGGTTATGATGTGGTGCCTGTTTTCTCTGACAAAGTAGAATTAGACATTTACTTAGAGAAATTGCTAGCTAATCTTGGCAATAAAGGTTAGTCTCTATCTTTTTTCACTAGGAAAATTGTGGACCTGAATTATTAAATTGCTTCTATATTCTTCTCTTCAGTGGGCTAGCAGGGCCTGGGACCACAGAGGGAGATATTGGCATAGAACACAGTTATGAGTTAATAGACCAAGGAAGGACGTGGCCTGAGAAGTCTAATTTTAACCCTCCTGCTTGAGCCTCTAGTGACTCCGCCCCCTCCCCAGAAGTCAGCTTGCCCCAGATTAGGGGGCAAAACATATACAAGGGAATTCTACATGGGGTGGGACAGTCTGTGCTGGTAGAAATTCAGTTGATTGCTAGAACTATTTCTTTCCCTCTTAAGGTTTCCTGTTATGGTAAAGTAAGCACTACCTTGGACATCAGAAGACATTGGCTCTAATTCTGGGTCTTCCACTTACTAGTTGTAGATCTTAGGTGAGTCATTTAACCATTGCAGACTTTAGTCACTTCGTGTGTAATGAGAAGATTTAATTAGAAATTCTTAAAACTTCTATGACTCTAGAAAATAGAATTTCAATTGCTGTGAAACAAGAATTCTGAAACGAAAATCTCTTCCCTTCCTTTCTGCTAGTGCTATTTTATTTTTCCTCCCACATGTATTATTCAGGCAGTACAAAGACAATATTGATTCATCTAATGAACATGTTGTGATTTTAGGGATTTCTTGGAAGACTAGGAAGAATGTGGTTAGAATTTCCTCTCTAGAGGAATCTGGACATGCAGAGCCAATGCATAGCTACTCCAGTGTGGCAATGACATGACCACATACCCACATACTTTAGGATGAAGCAACAGGTCTGAGAGCAGCCGGGGTTTACAGAGGCCACAATCAAGCCCAGGTATGATTGAGTATTGATGTTCACACAAGGTTCTACGTCATGGACTTCCATTAGCTACTTCTTTTCTTGTATGAGGAAATTTATACCTAAATTCAGGAACACAAAATCCTTGATGGTATTTCAAACCAAATGTGTGTGCCCAGTATCAGCAAAGATTCAGATAATTTTTATTCCTGGATTTTCATAAATTTCACATTTCTAGAAACTTTTCTCCTCTATGCTGGATATTGAAGGATAAAACAATAAGATGATGGTACCACCAAGGGGGCTTGCAGCGTGTACAGCATTCTCTTGCTAATTTTGTTATCTAGTCTAATGATCATCTCAGCAGGTGTAGCCCCTCCAGTGCCACAGAGCAACTGGCCCAGAGGGATTGACAGATATTGATCCAACTTACAAATGACTGATACACGAACCTGAATATTCTCCATTTATTAATGTGAATAGAAAGCATCCCATCCCACTTATAGGAATGCTCTTATTCTCTATGCCATGCAACTTTTCAAATACTTTAAAATGAAGAAGTTGGGAAATTAAATTCATCATCCTAAGGTTTCTTGGTGAGTAGAGAATCAAAGCAAAGGGATTGTTCATGAAAATTGTGGTGGGGATTGATGGTGCATCCTGACCCTCCAAGAGAGATCATCTCTAGGGATTATATTTCCCAGTTCCCGGTTTTCTTTCTTGGATGATTCTGGAAGCATATTGGCCCTTCTTTGTCACAGAATACCTTCTCTGCTGATCATATCCTATTTATTGGCATTTTCTTTCCTCAGATATGTTAATATCACTGGTTGCATAACTCCTGTGTTTTCACTCCTAACACCCTGGGGGATATCTGTACCCTATCATTATGTATCTGAAATGATCTGATTGTTCTTGTTTATGCTGTCACTCTTTTTTTTTCAAGTGAAAAAGTGCCTCTGAATCTGCAATGTCATTTTCCCAATATCTTGAGGAAAATAATGGAACTGTGTATTTTCCTATTGAGATGTTTTACCTCGACTCCAAGTTAATTCTCTGAAAAAGTTTAAATAAAATGGGTTCAGCTCCTTCAAATTATGAAATGGAAAGATAACATACTTTCAAATGTTTTATTTTCTAATCTTAATTACATTTAGAAACATAAATGTAATGATAAAGATAACAAACAATATTTTATTTTTAGATCAAAAACATCTTACACCACCACGAGGATTTTTTTTAAATAAATATGCTATTAACGGCTACTTACATCTTTTTAAGTTTTGTGTATTTGATGAAAACTTTATCTGGAAGACTGTGGATTTTGTTTTTCTTAAGAGACCTAAAATAACATGTAAAGCAAACTTCATTATGGATTGTTATGGCCAACCCACTCTTCCCTAGAAGCCACATGCTTGGGAAAAGAATATTTGATGACGTTCATTATACTAATCCATATTTGAACATGACAATAACTAAAAATTTTTCATGGGAGAATGAAAAGTTTATAAAGCAAAATAAAGTAGCTTGTGAGTATTTGACAAATGTAGCCAGTTAGTATAGTAGACTGGGAAGTCCATGTTGATTTAACTTCTTTGTTTTTACTCTGTGGGTGCATTAACAAACCAAACCAAACCAAAAACCAGCCAAAGATCCCAACCCACTCATGCATGCCCAAATGATGACATGACTGCAAATTCCTGAGGCTTTCAAGAACTTTATGCAAAGTACAGAAAATTTTGCATGATATAACATAGCTACTAGCTTCATGGATCTTTTATATCTTTGCAGTCTTGGATAGATTACCAACGTTAAAAAAAACGTAGAATAAGTGAGTGTGCTTCCTTTTAAAACAAAAAAAAAAAGCATTTCAACACAAGGACAGTAGTAATCATACATAAATCAGAAAGCAATTGAAAATAAGAACTCCAGGCCCACAGACATTTGTGAGCTAACTGATGACAGGCTAATCTAACATACAGTGTGTAAACCATTTTTTCCCCCTGAATAGGAAGCATGGAGAATTCTCTGATGACTGGTAGTTTTAAACAGGGTTTCTATTATTTTGCTAATGCACAAGCAACACTATTGGGTTTTTTCTTGGTTTTCATGTGACTATAGGGACAGATATCACCAATAATTAAGTTTTACTCACAGTAATGTCACATTGTTAGAAATCATCGGCACAGACTTTAAGTCACCATTTACACATTCCAATTCAGTTTCTTTGCAGTCACAGCATTGTGGATACTGTTTTAGAACTAATGGGACAAAAAGAGTAAGATTTCACTAGTAAACAAATACATTAATTATGACTTTGCCTTTAATAACTGATATTGTTTTCTTTTCATCGAATGTATAAAATTTACATCTGTTAAATGAACTCATTCAGCCCCTAATAAAATTAAATAAGAATTCTCTCCTACTTAAATGCAGACTAATGTGTTAATCTCAGTTCTAGCTTCTAGTAGTCATTTCAGAGGCATTTACCAAGTGATTGGAAAAAACGCACAAAATGTTAACTAGCATAAACTCATCTAGTGAAGCAAGATTAAGTTCACTTCAATGAAAAACATTTGTATGATTGAGTAATTCTTAATGGATATGACTGAGTCAATTCATTTGAATAGCATAAAATAGTTGCTCAATAAATCCTTATTGTTTAAAATCAGATTCATTTTTTTTCTTCCTTCAAACTTCCCTTAGAGCCATGAGAAGATTGAGATGCAGGTTCTACCATAACCACCCTGGCACCTTACTAAAATCCATCCAGCCAGATATTCCTTCATTTTGGTTCTTTGTTTTTTATTACTATGAGGTTGAAAGTTGAAGGTAAAAAGCTGCAAAGCTGAAATAACCAAAGATCTATCTATCTGAAGCATTCAGAAGAAAGAAGAAGGACTCAGGATGTACTCTGAAGGGACTTACGTAGTTACTAGGATAATGACATGTAAAGGAGTGAGAAATCTAAGGAGAAGCCAGGCCAAGCTGGTCCATAGGACAGTCACTGTGTGTGTGTGTGTGTGTGTGTGTGTGTGTGTGTGTGTGTGTGTGAAAGAGAGAGAGACAGACGAGGGCAGAGGAGAGAGAGCGAGGCTTTGAGAGAAAGAGCAAGTATTTTTGGAGTCTGATTTCTCCTCTGAGCCTATGAATATTTGTACTGATAGAGCTAAGAATGTGAGAGTTATTTTTGAATTTATTTTGTTATTTATTTTAATGTAATTATAAGTTCTTTTCAGGTGCCCTTCTTCTTTTAGATCACTTTTATCCAAATGTTATTTTAAAAATAAATTTTACTGAATTTTATTAGTAAAGCCAACAAACTTCTACTGAGTACTTAATGTAAAAGATGCTTTTAGTGTATACATTTTGGAAAATATTTTATGTTGTCTATACATATATGTTAATTAGCTCAACTTCCTAAAGATAACTTTCATATGCTTACGTCAATGTTTATTGACATAACCACCATTGAAATAGTGGTTATATGATTAAATTGAAAACCTGTGGTTGGAAACTTATTTACCAATAGAATAATTTCATATGGTCAAGCTGGGTGTGCTGTCAACACCAGAAATGTGAGCATTAACTGTTCACCCTCCATCACCTGCAAACCAATCATGTCCCCATGATTTTGTGGATTCTTTTTCTGAAACTCCTTTTGCATCTCTCTCTACCTCAATCTTCTCAATGGCATTTTCTGGGGATTGGAATAAACATAATAACCAGTAACTCTTTTATCATCATTCTTTCTCCTCTATCTGAACATGATTGACATTTTGGATCAATCGTTCTTTGTCATGGGAGGCTGTCCTTTGCATTGTAGGATGTTCAGCAGTAGCCCTGGCCTCTACCCACTAGATGCCAGCAGCAACCCACCCTCCTCCATCAGGATGACCAAAAGTGTCTCCAGGCTGGGCATGCGTGGCTCACACCCGTAATCCCAACACTTTGGGGGGCTGAGATGGGTGGACTGCTTGAGCCCAGCAGTTTGAGACCAGCCTGGGCAACATGGTAAGACCCCATCTCTACAAAGAATATGAAAATTAGCCAGGCATGGTGGTGCATGTCTGTGGTCCCAGCTACTCAGGAGGCTGAGTTGGAAGGATCAGTTGAGCCTGGGAGGTTTGAGGCTGCAGTGAGCTGTGATTGTATCACTGCACTCCATCCTGGGCAACAGAGTGAGATGCTGTCTCAAAAAAAAAAAAAAAAAAAAGTCTCCAGACACTGTCAAACGTTCTTTGCAGGCACTGTTGCCATGGCTGAGACTCGCTGCTCTAATCCATTCTCTGCAATTCTAATGAAATAATCTTCCTCACATACATTTCTGATCACATGCTCTTCCTCCTCATTAAGAATGAAAGAAATATAGAACAAATCAAACAAACATAAGGCCCAAAACTATGATGATTTCCCATTCTATACAGCAGTAACCTTTAAAATGGGATGTGGGCAAGACAACTCATTGTGGCTCAGGTAGAATAGTAGAACTTTTGGTTATATTTATTTTTAATCTTATCCTTTTTTACTTTCTAATTTTCATACAGAATATTCTTGTGTATAATAAAATATATAAGTGGTAATTATAAACTGGTATTATAGAGTACATAAAATACTATCAGTGTAGTATTTGATATATATGTTATATATATACATTTACATATACATACTAATGTATGTAATTGTACATTCATCTTCCTAATTATATATCTATGTCTCTACATATACACACACACCCCAAAAATTCTATCTATGGGATAGAGGCCACACTTCAAGGTGTACACCAAAACCCTTCATGGGCTAGCACCAGCCTTCTAGGCTCGGCTCCTGCCCCTCCACCTCATGCACTCAGAATGGTTGTGAAGAGGCATCCTGCAGCCTGCTGCGCATCTTCTGACCCCAGTGTTTTGTTGATCTTGCTCCTCTGCTCATCCTGTCACCTCATATCCTTTCCTTCATCCATGGACTTCAAAGTCCATCTCAAATGTTATCCTCTCTGGGAATCTTTCCCCATCCTCAGCACAGCCATCATTTCTTCCAATGGGCTTCCCCATTCCCTGGTGCAAACATTATTCCTCCCTTTTAGCAATAATATTATATCATCACTGCTTTTGTAAGGAGCTGTCTTTCCTGCTACATGTGAGATGTTTGTGGGTTAGAACTCAGTCTTAGTCATCGTTGTCCTCTCAGTGCCTAACATCTTTCTTGAAGAAAATAGTTAAAAGTAATAAGAACTTTACTATTTGTCACAATTATTCAATACTTATATATTCTTGCAATCAGAGAGTAATGCATGAAAATAGCATAAATGGAGATGGTCGTTTTCTTTTTCTATCTTTCCAATCACAGGCAGACAGCAGACCTGTTAGCCAGTGAAATACATTGAACTAAAACGGAAATTCTGAAGGGAATTTGTCACATTACCCATATAAATCTGTGCATCACAAATCATGTTTTTCACAAAGCTGATACTGTCTTTGAATCAAAACCACTTACAGCACTCCTGTGTTAAGGCCACGCTGTTAGCATTTCCATGCACTGTGCCAAATATGGTCGCCCATCCACTAGTGTCACCTGTGAAATAGTGATTGAGATGTGTCACTTATTCTAGAAACTAAATACCATCTGACAAAATTTAACAATTTGGTAATGATTTTAAACTAAAATATGTTTAAGTAATAGAATTATTGATATTTTAAATACATAGTAAGAGAGAAAAAGTTAGGCAAACATCTGCAAGGTGTCCCTTTTTTACATGAAAAATACTCCAAATGTATGTATCATAAAATTTGCAATGCAAGTATATAATTATTTTACATAAATATAAATGTCTTGGAAAATATCATCTATTTCTAATACAGACATTGTCCATGTTTGACTTTAATTTTGAGGACCTCTGAAGAAAATATCTGAATTTTGTTTTTGTCACGTGCATACTGCTGTATATGTAGAAACATACTTGATAGATATATTGAGTTCTGATAACATTTATGTCATCTGACTTTTTTTTAATAAAGCAAAAGCAAAGTTTCTCAAAGGCTTTTTTCTGGGTGCAGCGGCACTCGTCTGTAACCTCAGCACTTTGGGAGGCTGAGGTGGGAGGATCACTTGCATGTAGGAGTTCAAGACCAGCTTGGGAAACATAGGGAGACCCTCTCTTTACAAAACAGAAAAAATTAACTGGGTGTGGTGGTGCGCACCTGTAGTCCTAGCTACTTGGGAGACTGAGGTGGGAGGATAGCTTGAGCCCAGGAGGTCACAGCTGCAGTGAACCATGATCATGGCACCACACTCCAGCCTAGGTGACAGAGGGAGACCCTGTCTCAAATAAATAAATAAATAAAGGTTTTTGAGTAAAATAACATTTCCTCAATTTGTCATATATTAATGTCAATTTGTCATATGTAAATGTAATTTATTTGCCAAATTTTCCTCTTCCTTTTGGTAAATCATATTTTTAAAAAAGGAGGCCTAATTGTGAAGTATTGTTATTTCACTATATGTTATAAAATAATAAAATATGCATTATAATGTAAGATACTGAAGTTCACACAAATACCTAAATCAATTAAAATAATTGCCCACAGTCTGCTTTGATCCTTGGAATCTTTATTTCTATTTCTTATTAATACTCTCAATGATGCTACTATGATGCTCCCTCACTTGCATTATTTAATTTGGGTTCAGAAATCCTCATGGGGTAAACATTCATGGCTTCTGATTCCCATGCAGCAAAGAGGAAAGGATGAGAATTTGAGTAACTTGCCCATTGGCATCCAGACAGTTGCCCCCAAAACTGAGCACTGACTGAGTACCTGCTGTGTACTCTACTGCTCTAAGCTCTGGTGATAAGACTCAGGCCTCTTCTCAAGGAGTTCCTGTCTAGGAAGATAAATACAATGATAAGGGCCAAGCGCAGTGGCTCATGCCTGTAATCCCAGCACTTTGGGAGGCCGAGGCGGGCGGATCACCTAAGGTCAGGAGTTCCAGACCAGCCCGGCCAACATGTTGAAACCCCGTCTCTATTAAAAATACAAAAAAATTAGCTGGGCATGGTGGAGGGCGCCTGTAATCCCAGCTACTCATGAGGCTGAGGCAGGAGAATCACTTGAACCCAGGAGGCAGAGGTTGCAGTGAGCTGAGATCACGCCATTGAACTCCATCCTGGGCAACAAGAGCAAGACTCCATCTCTAAAACAAACAAACAAACAAACAAACAAACAACAACAACACTGAAAAGATAAGGCATTCTACTTTGTGCAGCATACAGATACACCCAGGGTGCTGTGATAACAGAGAAATTGCAGCCATCCTAGACCGGTGATACAGCTTCAGGGGGGCCAGGGAAGCCCTCCTGGAGGAGGAGACACTTAAACCAGGCCCTAAAGAATGAGTAGAAGTGATCCACGGGAAGTGTGGATAGAGGCTATGTCCTTCAGAGGGAGGCACGCCTGAGTACCCAGGGGCAGGACAGGAGATTCTAGAGATGCATGCTGTGGGCTTTGCTGCCCCACTTTGATGGATGGTTGGGCAGTGCTGAAGAGAGGTAGCTCTCTGTGGGAGAAAACACACAGGATTCTTTTGGATTAACTAGACATGTCAGCCTCTCTTGGCATCAGTTTCCTCCAGAGAAAAATATTTTTTAGGTTTCAATAAACAGAGGTGAAATTGGCCTGTAAGATGCTCTGGGATCTGGTCTCTGGTTACCCCTTCATTCCATGTGTATACCCCTGTTCACTCTGCTTGAGCCACACACCATCAAACACATCATCCTGTTTCAGTCAGCCTTGGGCCTTTGCACTTGATGTTGCCTTTGCCTGGAATTCTGCCCCTCCAGAATATTTCACAGTATCTTTCTTTCTTTCTTTCTTTCTTTCTTTCTTTCTTTCTTTCTTTCTTTCTTTCTTTCTTTCTTTCTTTCTCAATCCAAATGTCATCATCTTAAAAAGATTTTCTCTGGTTACATCCTTGAAGTATCCCTCCCTCCAAGTTACTTTCTATCTCATTATCCTGTTTCATTTCCTTATTTATCACTCAGATTATTGATTTTTTTACATACAGGTTTATCATCATCTTAGTTCACATTACCCATGTGAACTCCACAAGGTCAAGACACTTGTCTCCCTTGAGCTCACTGTGTCCCAGTGATTTGGAGAGCTCCTGGCACATAGCAGGCACTCAGTATAGGTCTGTTCTATCAATTAATTCTTTAGCTAGGCCCATTCACACTTTATGCATTTTTTTTTTTTTGAGATGGAGTTTTGCTCTTGTTACCCAGGCTGGAGTGCAGTGGTGCCATCTGGGCTCACCGCAACCTTGCCTCCCGGGTTCAGGCAATTCTCCTGCCTCAGCCTCCCGAGTAGCTGGGATTACAGGCACCTGTCACCACGGCCAGCTAATTTTTTAATTTTTTTGTATTTTCAGTAGAGACGGGGTTTCACCATGTTGGCCAGGCTGATCTCGAACTCCTGACCTCAGGTGAGCCACCTGCCTCGGCCTTCCAAAGTGCTGGGGTTATAGGCATGAGCCGCCACTCCCAGCCACTTTACGAATATTCTTGAAGCTGAACCAAATTACCAGCCATAAGGAGGTATTCATAGAAAACTGCTTATAATTAAAATATGAGTATTGAAGTAGATTTTCAAATATAATTTTATTTTTATAAAATATAACATTTTATGATACTGTATTTCTGACTTAAGTAACCTGTACCTACAAAAATTCAGGTCGTTATCACAAATACATTGGGGAGTCATTATTTGTGTTTCAAAGGAAATCCCTACAGAACACCAAATCAGCTTTCCTAGTTTATCACAATCATTATCCAACCGACCCACAGTTTTGGGGTGTTCATAAAGTGAGGCACACATGGGGAGCCGAGGGGAGCACTCACCACAGTTCTCTTCGTCCGCCCCGTTCCCACAGTCATCCTTGCCATCACAGTGAAAAGCTCGGGGTAAGCACTTGGTAAGATTCCCACAGGGAAAATATCCTTTTTGGCATGAAGGAGTGATCATGCTACCTTGAGTCAGTGCAAAATCTACATGAAAGAAGGGGCAAAAACAAAGTGTTACCATGGCCAAGCTCTCTCCGTGTTGTCCCATTTAATTTTCACAAGAGCTATATGAGTTGAGTTCATCTGGTATTATTCTTAGTGCACAGTTTCTTTGAATAATATTCTCAATGACAACTTTATTTTTTATTTTTTATTTTTAGACGGAGTCTTGCTCTGTTGCCAGGCTGGAGTGCACGATCTCAGCTCACTGTGACCTCTGCCTCCCAAATTCAAACGATTCTCCTGCCTCAGCCTCCCGAGTAGCCAAGATTACAGACGTGAACCACCACACCCGGCTAATTTTTGTATTTTTAGTAGAGACGGGGTTTCACCATGTTGGCCAGGCTGGTCTCAAACTCCTGACCATGTGATCTGCCCACCTTGGCCTCCCAAAGTGCCGGGATTACAGGTGTGAGCCACCTCGCCTGGCCAATGATAACATTTTAAACAGCCATAATCACACCCAACATCAGCTATATCAAGAACAGAATCCAGGTTCATTTTGAATTCACTTCCACAAGGTAATCATAAACAAAACCAGATGTATTGTCCTAGATTTGTATGAAATCAAGGAGTCATCCACCCTTGGAAACAGAAAGGTAAAACCATGAGCTAATAAGGTCAAATGGGTAGATGTATTTACTTATTAATCTTTTACAAGAAGGACTTGAGGTGACATGATAAAAATATACCTGCAAAAGGAGAGTTTAAGTATGAGTTAGAGAGAAATCCTGGAACACATTAGAAAGAGGGGAACTAGAATTGAACATTGAACACTCATCTATCGTGTCTACTGGGTCTACTGTTTGCCAGACACTTCACACAGTGGTTATCATTGTTAATCTTTCAGCCAGCCTATGTATGGGCGATATTATCCTTCATGTTTTGGGATTAGGGAAGTTAAATATCTTGTGTGCAGTGGTTTGTCTGGGAAGTGACACAGGGTGGCTTTGAATCCTCCCTCTGACCCCATAGGCCCACCCTTAGCCATTGCACTATGAGACTATCAATCAATTCAGGAATCTGCATTTCAAGGAGCATAAATCAGGACTAGTTAGAAACAATCTTCTGGTGCAGGGTACATAAGAGAAGACCAATGATAGTTGAATAACAGCTGAGTTGAATAAGAAATTAAAGAAAATAAATATAATCGACATTTACAAAAGTATTATATCTATGGATAGGATGACCAAAACAATTCTAGCAATTTAAATGTAAGAGATATTCTTTCAATTTTGAGAGGATACTTTTCAGAAAATAAAGAGACATGTTTTAAGTTGGCTAATAAAATTACAGAAGTCATGTTTTTTTTAAAAAGAGTCCTGTCCAGGTGCAGTAGCTCACGCCTGTAATCCCAGCACTTTGAGGCCGAGGTGGGGAAATTACTTGAGGCCAGCAGTTTGAGACCAGCCTGGCCAACATGGTGAAACCCTATCTCTACTAAAAATACAAAAATTAGTCAGGCATGGTGGCACGTGCTGCAGTCCTAGCTACTCAGGAGGCTGAGGCAGAAGAGTTGCTTGAACTTGGGGGGCAGAGGTTGCAGCGAGCCAAGATGGCACCACTGCACTCCAGCCTGGACGACAGAGCTTGACTCAGTCTCAAAAAAAAAAAAAAAAAATTGGAACTTCACAGAAATTGATTTAAGGAGAGTGTAGACACAGGAATGTCTATAGGTCATCATGACTCATTGAAGGGAATGAGGGATGTGGGCAAAGTGCTCCTAACCACGCACTTTGGCTGAAGGCTAGCATCATGACCCAGAATTCCCTTGGGCGGGTGTGGGAGATGATATTTTTAACATAGCAGAAGGATAAGGAACAAACTTCAGTAGGAACATCATCTACTTTGTGCTGGGCATTTCCTAGTTACTTGATTTGATGTTAATGGCAACTGTGTATGTTTGGCGTTAATATCCCCAAATAAAGATGAGGAAACGACTGAGAACACGAAGGCACGTCTACTTTGGTTCTTGGGAAAATGCTCTTGTGAGGCCTGAGCCCTTCAAGCAAATGCTGCCTTGTAGAGAAGCCCCTCAGGAGACTCTCCTAAAGGAGGTAGAACCTGCTGCTCTCATTAACAAATGATGTCATTTGTTAAAGGGCAGGGGTTGGAGTTTAGGCAACAAAGCTATGTCTGAATTACAAATGCACATTAAGCTTTTAGGATGAGTAGATCATTTCAGCTTGAGTCATTTAGTCCTGATGACCCTGGAGATCCCGCAAGCACGGAAAAGCAGAGCCTCTGGCCCTCTCTGGGGTCAGCCGGGTGTGCTGGTGCACACTTCGGAGGCTGGTGTGGCCACAACCTCTGGGTCTTTTCTGACTGAGGAGGAAGACTCAGAGCGTGGCTTTTGGATGCTTTTCTGCTCATTGGAATTTTGATCTTACAAAAGCAAAAATCATTTTCTCTGCTATTGCTGCAGTAGTGGATGAAAGATTTACTACCGGCAGCTAGGCATAAGACCAGTCAAGTCTGTGACTATTTTAGGAAGACTTCTCCACTGCATGGCACTGGGGTTGGCTTGTTAAACCTGTTCACGCAGGGAGAGGCATACTGTGTCATAGATTTTAAAATCCCTTAATTTCTTGCTTGTAAAGATTTCTATAGGAGTCAGATTTATAAAAATGAGTAGTCCTCCTGTGTTTGGAACATGAACGAGAGAGTCAATATATCTTTGTGTGGTGGCTTAGAAATTTTTTAAGGCAGTAATTTGCAGTTAGAAATATATTTTATATCACAATCCAGCATGCACCCAGCCGTACCCACGCTCCCAACACACACCTACACCCCCACACTCACTCTCACACCCACACACACTAGCACACACCCACGCACACTCATGCCCACACCCACACCCACATCCACATAATGAAAACAAAATTTCCCGAAATATCACTCTTTTAAAGTTATGTGGGATGAGCTTTGATCATTGCTATTCTATCTTATTCAGTTGAGAAGGGATCACATGCCTCTAAGTTGATTTCATGATCCCCTAATGGGATGTGACCCACTATTTAAACACATTCGTTAGTGATAATGCACCTCAGAGACACTCAGACCTGGATTAGAATTCTCTCTGCCACTCACTAGCTGTGTGACCTCAGGTAAGCTACTTAACCTCTTTAAATCTTAGTTTCCTCACATTTATAGTAGAATTAATGAGAGCATCTCCCTTGTGGGTATGTTTTGGGGACTAGACAAGCTGATGCTTATGAAGTGGTGAGAGTGCCTGGCCCATGGTAACCCTGGGTTGATGTCGGCACACAGGCAATTTCCATACAATGTAAGAAAATAGAATGTTAAGAAGGAAGCTCTATGTAAAATGGAAGCTTGCTGTGCCTCAGCATTTCATGATTTTTTATGTGACTTCTCTGAAAGAAATAATAGGGACTAAAATAAAAGCTTCCCCTACTTCTTTATGTTATTCCATCTTAAAAGCCATATCACATGTATGATTTTTATTTTATTTCAAATCTCTTTTGAAAGCTGAAGGAGGACTGTAAATGATAAATAACCAAGGAAAATGTCCTTACAATCTCCTAACAATATTTTCTTAATGTTTAGAAGAAGCGATTAAGCATTCGATTAAAGAGAATTTTGAAATAGAGAGGTGAGGCAATGTGAATAGGATCTTTTGAAGGTGGCATGTGATGTTTCCTTCCAGGGTTTATTATGAAAATAACTATGAGTTGCTTTTTTTTTTCTTCTTGAGATGGAATCTTGCCCTGTCACCCAGGCTGGAGTGCAGTGGCACAATCTCGGCTCACTGAAACCTCCCCCTCCCGGGTTTAAGCAATTCTCCTGTCTCATCCTCCCCAGTAGCTGGGACTACAGACACACGCCACCACGCCCGGCTATTTTTTGTATATTTAGTAGAGATGGGGTTTCACCATAATGGTCAGGCTGGTCTCAAACTCCTGACCTCAAATGATCCACCCGCTTCGGCCTCCCAAAGTGCTGAGATTGCAGGTGTGAGCCACTGCGCCCAGCTGACTGTGAGTTCTTTGAGGGCTGGACCTAACTAAATGCCCATCTCACATATGCAGAACGTCTAGGCGGCAGAGGCAAACAAGCAATCAATTGTCACAAATAAAAGGCATCAAGATGGTTTCCTTTTCCCTAGAAAAAAGATTGAGTTGCATCTAACAAGTGTGGACAAAGAAGGGGAGGAAGAGACTGAACATGTACGAATAGAACCTGCCGACTGCATTTCTTGTCATTCCCCATTTTCCACCCCAGAGTGGCATCTTCCTGAAGACATTTCAAAGCACAAATTTTATGTATAAGGAGAATAAATGAATACAATGTATTCCCCACCCTTTTCTCTCTGTGGCTTCCATCTCTATTGTCTAACTTAATGTCTTACTTGGTGCTCAGTAACTTTTTAAGTGAACATGTGAATTAATGAGCCATTTAGAAATAAAAAAAAAAGGAATTGAAGGAAGAGCACTTTTCAAAATTTAAGCTTCCCAAAGCAGCAGATTTAGGCTGTTATTCTGATGAGAAATTATTTTTTAGTCTTCCATGCACTTCATTTATCATTCCACTCTGTCATTATACAAATTAAATAAAAATTAAGAACCCCTGCTGTACTTGGTACATAGTGAAAAAAGAATCACTAGCTCTCTGTAGAAAGTGTATTCTGTGGTCTATTCTTCCTGCTCTCTGTGGAAGTGGAAAGAGACAGTTTTTACTGAAGCTTGGGGATTATAAAAATGGAGGATGCCCGCATGGTAGCAGTGCTGATGGCTTCTGCAGTGGTTTCCATGGGACCTCTGCCAAACACACAGCTGAGAGGAGGCTCGAACATACGACAGAGAATTGCTCAGTAGTCACCCTTCTTCTGTCTTCTGGTCAATATTCTGGACGTGTCTGTGCCAAGAGATTTTAAAATGACGTTTAGATGGCCTTTTAAAGCCAACTGGATTGCTGCTCAAGGCTATTTTTTGCTCCCCATCAACACTTTCCCTGGATTATTGGGAAACAACAGGTGAGAATCATCTTTCAGGTCCTCAGTTTAAGAATTGATGGAGATATACAAGTCCCTTTTTGCTTTCTCTATTTCTCTGCCAATGCTAGTCCTACATAAAGCTGAAGAAAGCCTGTATCCTCTCAGCCAGATGTTCTGGCTCTAACACCAGGGGCGATGGCTCCAGGGGGGTATAGGCCAAGGAGGAGTGCATCACGCTTAGTGGTGTTTAACAAAAGTCAGACGACCTGGTCACCAAGGATGGCAATGGTGCCTCAGAGGGGCTATAGAAATTGCCGGCAAGCCTTGCCATCTGTTCCAAAGAGCCAACTAACTGCAGCACCAGAGGGAACATTCATTTAGCATCCAGAAATGTTAACTAAGTGCCTACTATGTGCCGCAGTTTGTTGTCAGTCAGCAAAGCAGACAGCGTCCATCACTACCAAGAACTCAGGGGCTGGCATCTCTGAGGGGGGCAGCAGCACTGTCCCGGGCGGCTCCACTGAGAAGCCAAGGAGAAGTAGCTCCATCAGCGGAGTGCACCTGGCCAGAGCCTGCCCCTACTTCTGCGAAGAGTCAATTTTACTAAAAGTCCACCTTTGTTGGATAGATGATTTGTTGTTTGTTTGGAGAAAACTAGGAAAGTCTTTCTTAAAAGGCTTTAATGCTAAGGTAGGCGAAGAGAAATTGGCCTCTTGGTGGTTGTTGTTGTTGTTGTTTTCCAAACTTGGCAATCTTACCCTTTCAGGCAACTGTTTGGTACTCCCCGCCTGGATGGTGTTTCTTGGCCACATCAATCGTTATATTCAGAAGTTTGATCCAGTTTCATTCACACATATTTACCCCACCTCCTTTCCACTTCAGAGATTCCTGCCCTAATGGAATTTCTCCCAACCTCTATTTTCTGTCGTGTTCTTCTGGGACAAAGCAAACACTTCATGCTGGTAAAAGTCCCTCAGGACCCTATCCACAGATTTTTTGGGGGGGAGGGGGCAGAAAATATTACCCCCCTCCTTCTTCAGATGACTGCCTAATGTTTGAAAGACAGATTTGGGGAAATGCTGCCTAACTTTGTGGAACAGAGTGTAGGCTCAATACATTTTCATTTACATTGGAAAAAAAGAGAATTTCAAACTGCCAACCTCATCCTTACCAGGGATGGATGTCAGCCCCACATCCTCCTTGCCTGGGTGTCTTTATGTGGGTCACAAACAGAATGCTGTGGCTGTTGGTGGGTTATAAGGGATTTAAGGGAAGAAGGAAGACTTCTCTTCCAAAAGTATTATTTCTGCTGACTGGTAAACTGCCAAAACTCCACCTTTAGAGATGCATTCTTTTAGGTTAAAATCTTACCTTTCAGTATGTAAAATTCATCTCGTTCTGCATGAGTTGAGAGACTACCTTCTTCCTAAAGCCTGCCTGAGGCGAGTGAATGGAGAGAATGGGCAGTGTGGTGGGTGAAGGGGAGAAGACCATGGAAAGGGGGATTGTGAAGGAGACAGGCAAGGGGAAGCCCGATGGGAACTTGGTTTGAGAAATGTGGAGAGAAGGTGGTACCTTGGTCCCTTCACCTCTCTTTTAATTCTTCTCTGATTCATTGACTGCTATGTCCCATGGAACTTTCACTGGCTGTTCTTCCTCTGAGTGGGAATTATCCCAGATTCTATTCCCATCAACTTACGAATGTACCTGCATCCCAGGCTGCAGTGTATGTTTGGGCAGGACCCACCTCACATAAGCGTGGGTACCATCCACATAGACTGCTCGTGCTGAGTGTGTGGAAACTGCACAGGACTAGACCAGGTCCCTGGATTCTTCTTTTGTGATGCACAAAGAATGAAGATCTCTTGTCTTTCCTATAGTAAAGCCTTCCATCTATGTTCTGTGCTCACCTCGACCTTGCTTTCTCAGACTCTGCATTCATTGTTTCCTTTCTTTCCTATATTGTGTATATATATATAATATATATGTATTTCTTGAAATGGATTTTCACTCTTGTTGCCGAGGCTGGAGTGCAATGGCATGATCTCGGCTCACTGCAACCTCCGCCTCCAGGGTTCAAGTGATTCTCCTGCCTCAGCCTCCCAAGTAGCCGGAATTACAGGCATGCGCCAACACACTCAGCTAATTTTTTTGTATTTTTAGTACAGATGGGGTTTCACCATGTCAATCAGGCTGGTCTTGAACTCCTGACCTCAGATGATCCACCCACCTCAGCCTCCCAAAGTGCTGGGATTACAGGCATGAGCCACTGCACCCAGCTATTTTCAATATCTTTGTCTCTCTATTGCACAGCTCCCATCTTCAAAACAAACGAGTCAACCAACCTAAATCCTGTTATATCTGCCTGCCTGTAAAACTGAGATATACTCTCCTCCCCTTCACAATTAAATTTCTCAGAAGAACCATACAAGTAAGTCAATGTCTCCACTTCTTTACCACACTTTCATTCTTAAATCCATAGCTTCCATCTTGACCTTGCTGCTCCGCTGACATTCTTCTCACCAGAATCACTGTCATCCATTTTGACACTAAATCCAATGGCTCTTTCATAGTCCTCATCTTGCTTGGTTTTCTGCATTTGACACATCCAACCTTTGTCCCCAGGTTAAAAACTTTTTTCCCTCCATATTTTCTAAAAATTCCTTTTCTTCCTCTTTATCTCCTTAATTCATCAGCTCCATTTTCTTTGTCAATACACTGACTATCTCTGACATGCGTTAGATCAGAGGTTTCTAGATTTTTGCATTTCTTAGACCAAATAAATTCAATTAAAGAATTTAGAGAAACCTGTCAAAAGTCACTAATGTTTTAGTTTGTTAAATAAGGATGATTTTAAAACTCTGAGTTACCATATATTTTAACATTGATTTATTAGAAAAGTAGTATTTTAGTGTTAAAAATTAGAGAGACTATACCTACAGAAGAAAAGACAATCTTTTCAAAGGAATACATTTGGCTTTATGAAAAATGTATTCCTTTGAAAAGATTGTCTTTCATCTAATTCATGCTGATGAGACGGTGAAACTTTCATTCCTGACGCAATAGTCAGGACCAGTGTTTTGAACCATGTGTGAGAAAACGGAAATGGGCAATGCAACCAGAATTCTTTAGGGAGGTTAGTCCTCTGTTCTGTGACTCACAAATATTTTCTTGCAGTTTGTCACTTGTTTTTAACTCCGTTTATGAGAGGCTCCAGAGATGGAACTGCCAGATCCTGACTTTAAAATAACTATGCAAACTAAAAATAGAAGGTAACTTACTTGATTTAATTAAGTGTAGTTATCTATAAAACCCCACAGCATATGAGTGAGGTTTTGAAGGGTTTCCCTTTGAGACTGATGATGTCCACTATTACTATATCTATTCATTGTTGTACTGGAGGGCTTAGCTAATGGAGTTAAACAAGGAGAGTAAATTAATGGCATACATATTGGAAGAGAAGACATAAAACTGTGATTATTCATAAATAATATGACTGTGAATATTAAAATAATAAATTATTAGCATTGGTGAATTTTGCAAAGTTTCTATAAAGTCAATTGTATTTTTATATTTCAGCCACAATTAGACAATGAAACATTTTAAAAATCACACCTTTTACTACAGCATGAACAGGGTCATGTATTTAGGAATAAGTCTAACAAAAAATGGGCAAGACATTTATGTAAAGTATATACTATTAGTGAAAGACATTACAAACATAAATAAGTGGAGGACAATATTTTAAAGATGTTCATTCTTTCCCTAAATCAATCTATAGATTCAAAGAAATCTCAATAAAAATCCCAGGAGTATGTGTGTAGGAATGGATAAGTTGATTCTCAAAGGCATGTGGAAATGCAAAAGAACACGAAGAGCCAGGCTACCACTGAAGAAGGAGAACAAGGAGAGAGGACTCATTATCTGTATGGCAAGACATATTATAATGGTACAATAGTTCAGGCAGTGTGATGTTGGTGGAAAGATTGAAAAATAGACCAATGGAACAGAATAGAAAGTTTGGAAGAAGACAGACACATATGTAATCATTTGTACCACAGAGGAGTGAGGCGAGGTGATGCTCAATTCTAGATAGATAATAGGTTGAAATATGAAAGGAGAAACAATACAGTTTCTAGAAGATAACATAAGAAAAAATCTTTATGACTGTGAGATAGATGTATTAAGGAGAATACAAAGAAGAAAAGCCAAATAAAAGTACTAATCATAAAGGAAAAGATACCTAAATTAGACAATATACAAATTAAGAACGTCCTTGTATTTATTTTTTTTGAGATGGAATCTTGCTGTGTCACCAGACTGGAGTGCAGTGGCACGATCTTGGCCCACTGCAACTGCTGCTTCCTGGGTTCAAGAGATTCTCCTGCCTTAGCCTCCTGAGTAGCTGGGACTACAGGTGCACAACACCACGCCCAGCTAATTTTTCTTTTTCTTTTTTGTATTTTAATAGAGATGGGGTTTCACCATGTTGGCCAGGTAGGTCTCGATCTCCTGACCTCGTGATCTGCCCGCCTCGGCCTCCCAAAGTGCTGGGATTACAGGCGAGATTTTTACACAGTGCCTGGCCTGTCTTTTAAAAAAAGTCATCATTAAGAGAGTGCAAAGACAAGCTGCAGAGTAGAGGATATTTGCAAAGGGTCTGTAATTAACAAACGTATAGGTGTCCTACTAATCAATAAAGAAAAATGAACGGTAAATAGAAAAATGGGCAAGAGACTTGAATAGGTACCGAACGAAAGAGGATATCTGAATGACGAAAAACATCTGAAAAGGTATTAAATCTAATTCATAATCAGAGAAATGCAAATTAAAACCATGATAAAATATCACTAAGATTACTAGTATGGGTGTAATTTAAAAATAAAAAACCCAATGATACACTATTTGGTGAGGATGTAAAATCATGCAAATCCTCATACACTGGTGGAGTGTTAATTGGAACAGCTGCTTTGGAAAACAGTTTATCATTATCTACTAAGTTTGAAATTGTGCAAACCCTACGAGTCAGTAGATTTACTTCTAGGTAAATGCCCATAGAAATTCATGCACATGTGCACCAAGAGATTCATACAAGAATGTTCACAGCAGAATTATTCACAATAGCCCCAAGCCAGAAATAATCCAAGTGTCTTTGAAAAATAAAACGGATAAACATTTGTGGAATATTTCTCAATGACATACCATATAGTCTTGAAAATGAGCAAACTACAACATCCAAAGTGATTTCAGATCAAGCAGGGCCAGTGGACAGTTCTCCTTCACTTTTTACAATTATCTTGTATTCAGTTAGGAAAACATTCTTTGCAGCTCTGACTTTTAAGATAATTAAGATACTAAGATTGTAGCATGTTCTGTTCTCTGTATTTCCTATTTCTTTGATGATCATCTCAGAAGTCATTTTTGCAAAAACTTTACTGAGACTTTTCAAAACCACTCCTCAGTACAAACTTTCCCTTTTTTCTACCCAAACCATCTTGCACATACCTCTATGTAATATTTATAGCATGTCATTATTATTATACTATTAAGCTGGTGCAAAATAAATTGTGGTTTTTGCCATTAAAAGTAATGGAATTTATTAATTTTGATTCTCTCAATGGCTAGAAAAGTTTTCAGTTCTTAGTATATAGCAGATGCCTCAAAAATTGTTGTCTGAACTTAATTAACATTTTCCGGAATAGCAATGCCGTTTCTGTAAGTGAGCCACAAAGACCTAAAGCTCCATATGTAGGAGTGGAGAGCACATCAGTGCTTCAGTGATAATCCATGTCAGAAGCTTAGGCCAAACTTGGGCATACATCTGCTGATGATGATGTCAGTGTGGGTTGAGTGCATGTAATAGAAGCATTATGCTCATTTTCTTTTTTTCATTTATCTTACACCAATGGTTCAGTTTTTTTAAGTGAAAAACTTGCTTGGCAACATCTTCTGTTTTTTTTAAGCCATTTTCTAGGGAAGAGGAGCGGTGGCAAAGGGCCTCTCTTAATTTTTCAGCTGGAATCTATGTAGGATGGGGTAAGGTGGCCCATATAATTTTGAGAATCGGGTCACAGCACAGGTAATTTTCTCATGCTTTATTCTTTTCAAAACTTACAATTCACAGGTAAAATGAACAAAAATAACAGCATGTACACAACCCTGTGCTTTTAGGGAGGGCAATTTATTTTTCCAAGTGGTTAATTTTAACTTTAGTTATTACAGTAAGAGTGGCATTTTAAAGTGGGAAACAGGAAACAGCCAAAAAGGAAATGGCTTCAAATAAGGGAACAGAGTTTTCCTGTAACACTCAGTGTAGATTATTATCCTTTTCCTATGTATAAGAAAGTTTACATAACTATCATCTCACCCTCAGATTGAATTTTGAGGCTTTTAAGGGAATACTTTTACAGTGGCTCTTAAGGCAGAATGAAAGAGAATCAGTGTCTTCTACATTTCTTATATACCATGGGTTTACATGAAAGGAAATTATGAGTAGAAATATCTACAGCAATAGATATATTATTTTTTAGCCTGTGGGGTTGAAACAGAATGTCCCAGGCAAGGTGTGAATAACAGAAAAAGAGAGAAAGAGGCAATGACCTATTCAATGTCTACTGGCTGAGCTATAATCGAATAAAAAATTGGATAAAGAAAGCCAGGTGATGAATAAGAAGTAGAATCTGGCCCCAAATCAGAAGAGATTCTTCCTTAGCCATTTGTCTTATGAGTTTATTAATTTCTCTTAAAGGTGGGAGTGGTAATTAACATCAAGTCTGCTCTATAGGTAAACTAGCATATTAATTACAGTTTTTGAACTATACTATTTGTTAAGAAACTTTATATTGATAAGTAGACAATGTAGATTCAGCTATTCCCTTACCAAATACTTAATTTGTCCTCATTGCCCCCAAATTTAAAACACCGTTTCAAGTAGAATTAATGTGTCAAACAATCCAGGTGAATCCAATTAGCAATCCTGATACATACAAAGAATATAACAAAAATTAGCATCTCAAAGAAAAAAAAGCCCATGTATATTTTGGCCAGTTTTTCCAGGTGTATGATCCATTGAACAGGTTTATCAGAATCACCTGGGCTGCTTCCTAAATGTGCAGAGCCCATGACCCACCATAGACCTATTGAATCATCAGGGGCTGGAGTTCTGGAATCTATGTCTCTGACATCATGACAAGTGGTTCTTGGAAACTCGATAATTATGTAAGTATTGTGGATGAAGCGGAGAAGTTATTTGGTATGCCGAAGGCCAAACGCCAGTCAAGGTCAAGGCTATGACTTGAACATGGGTTTGCTGACCCCAAATCCAGCATCCTTGTTGCTCTGCTGCCTCCCGTCTCCTAATCTCTTAACGTTTGTGTAGCACTTTACTTCACGACTCCAGATCTCTGGTGTCTGTATGTTCACCCATATCCAATCTTTGAAAACGGACAGTCTGAAGGACAAAGTCTACCTTCTTTGCTGAACTTCTGGATCAAGGTCATCCATTGTGAGAAAACCCTGAATATGCTCTCACATCATACTCTTCCACAGACACAGAAAAAACTGATACTATGCTTTTTCATGAAAACATTTGGGTTGTAGGAGAGAAAGCTCTCCATAGAACATGAATTCAGAAAAGGCCACTGTTGCGAGAGGACGTAAAACCACTTGTTCTGCAGGGAGCCGGGACTGCAGAAACAATCGCAACTGGGTTCAATGCCAGTTTGAGAAAGGGGCTTAGTGCAGCCCAACTGGCAGAGGCTGGGATCTGCATGAAGCCAAGCATTGGGACTCAGCCCCTGACAAAGCATGGGGTATGGAATAACTCTGATCGCCCAAGATTGTGATTTAAATAATGCTTGCTCATGGCCAGCAAGGAAAGAAGTGGTGATACCACTGCAAATGGGCATGAGATTTGGAACTGGTTCACCCACAGGCAAAACCTCTGAGATGCGACAGTTCAGACCTGAACACTCCCTGGGCTATGTGGAAGTACTTCTGAGACTACTTTGAGGAGCTGTGTGCAGGAGAAACATTCTTCCAACTTTATGAAAATGTCCAGGGCTCCGCAAAAAGGGGGAATTCATACCTGGGAAAGAGATGATAGAGCTTTTTTTTTTTTTAGATGGAGTCTGACTCTGTCACCCAGGCTGGAGTATGGTGGCACAATCTTGGCTCACTGCAACTTCCACCTCCTGGGTTCAAGCGATTCTTCTGCCTTAGCCTCCCAAGTAGCTGGGACTACAGGCACGCACCACCACGTCTGGCTAATTTTTTGTATTTTTAGTAGAGACAGGGTTTCACCATGTTGGCCAGGCTTGTCTCAAACTTCTGACCTCAGGCGATCTGCCCACCTCAGCCTCCCAAAGTGCTGGTATTACAGGTGTGAGTCACCACGCCCAGCTGATAGAGCTTTAAAGACTATTTTAAACTCTGCGTGATTAAAATTCTCAAAGAACTAATGGAAGGAATATATCATGAAATAAGAATGAAAGTTTATAAAACCCCAAACAGACAGCTTTAAACGCAGTTGGAATGATCCAAATAAAAAATATAGTCACTGAAAAAAAAAACAAAAACAAACCTAGCAATTGAATAGAAAATAAACTGGAATCAGAGAAAAGGAGAATTAGTTAAAATTATCTTTCCTTCATCAGACACATTCTATTAACACTGAATTTCCTTGGGCAAATAAAATAGCCATTATGCCACTCGAGAATAATATGGCACAGAACAGTTGGTGATCTGTAGAGGGGCATGGCTAATGGAGATCTGTACCATCATAGCAGAAACCCTTTGGAGAGATATGTTGCAGAATTTATAACATTTTTTAGAATTTTAGAAAGTTAATGCACATGCTATGAACTATATAGTTTCCTACTGACCTGGGGCAAAGTTCCCTAAGCAAACACATGAACATTTTTCTATAGCACAGTGTATGAAATTTTACAATAAGTGCATAAAGAATCTAAATAGCTCCTGGCCAATTCTGACCAGATTTTGTAGGCAAAGGTGATCAACTCAGTTTTCTGAGCTTTCTGGATTTTAGAATTGTAGACAAATCATTGGACCTAGAAAAAGAGAGCACACCAGTATTGAAGTAATACAGAGATACAATATTCATTTGGTGGTATTTGGGCATGTATTCTAGCAAGCAACAGACATGGTGACCACTGGTCGGGCCAGGAGACTGTGGGATAGAGACAAATAATAGAAAGAAGGCAAAGGCCAAAAAAGGGAGACAAAGAAGATCCAGGAAGCCCCTGGGGAGGGAGCTCGGCAAAGACAGGAGGTGATTAGAGACAGGAATACTTAAGGGGGCGAATCTAGGGATAGATGTATTCCAAGGTGGAAATGAAAAGCCAGATGTGACCAATCAGGATGGAGCAGGTGTGAGAGTTACCGAGAATGGGATGTAGCCAGGACAAAGGCAGAGTTGGAGGATATGGGAACTCAGAGAGCAAGAGAGCTGAAGAGCAGGCCCAAGGTGAGCAGAAGGGAGATTTCAGAGGTGAGGACAGCAAGAAGATAGGGATGGGGGTAGGAGGGCGAGACATGAAAATGGAGAAAAGACAGGCCGGGAGAGCATCTGAGACAGATGCCTGCAGAGGCAGGGAGGAGGGGAGAATAAATAAAGATGGGAAGGAGAGGCGAGAGGCTTGAACAGGAGCAAGGGGGCCCGAGTCAGAACAGTGGGAAGGGGGAGGATGGGAAAGGAGGACTAGAACTTTATCAATCACATTGAACATGTTGTAAAGGCTTTTTACTTTGTAATAAAGTTAAATTTTCAATCGCAATTCTTTAATTTTTTTTTTTTTAATTTTGAGACAGAGTCTCGCTCTGTCGCCCAGGCTGGAGTACAGTGGCGCAGTCTCGGCTCACTGCAACCTCCGCCTCTCAGGTTCAAGCAATCTTCTTGCCTCAGCCTCCCGAGTAGCTGGGACCACAGGTGTGCACCACCATGCCTGCCTGATTTTTGTATTTTTAATAGAGATGGGATTTCACCATGTTTTCCAGGCTGGTCTTGAATTCCTGACTTCAGTGATCTGCTTGCCTCCCAAAGTGCTAGGATTACAGGTGTGAGCCACTGCGTATGGCCTCAATCTCAATTCTTTTTACATCTTAAAACACTCAAAAGTCTGTTTATCACATGACTGTTGAATCAGCTGTTTTATTTTCGCTTCGGAGCACTTTTCTGATAACAACATTGACCTTCACTGCAAACTTAATTTTTTAAAATACATGCAAAAACCTGGAAGTACGGGTGAGTAAAGCATATGAGAGGTTTATTTTTTGTTTTTAGATAATTAGGCCTCTAATGCCACTACTACTTCACATGTGAAACAAGCACACTCATTTTACCCAAAGAATGTTGTTATATGTTTACCAAATAAATAAACCAAGCCATTCTGGGCTCTTAAATAGATATGTACTGCTAAAAATTAGTTGCATTTTTTGTTGCATAACTATTTATACAAAATCATTCTTTGCTAATTGAATTTTATTTGGTTTACTATATTCCAGAATAAAAATGTGCCATTTTTCGATACCAACCTATTAGAAAGCAGCATCCCAATTTTGCCTCTAAAATTCACATGGCAGGCAATTTTGTCACTTCAAGTGAGAGGCCTTAAAACTCTTTGATTACATCTGGTCATATTTATTCACAGTAAGATGAACACACGAGTAAGCATCTGTTGTGAGATGTATTTAGCTGGCGTCTTCAGAGATAACACATCTCTAAAGGTTTTAACTCCCATGTTCCCAATCTTTTTCCTCCTCCCTCACAGTGGGCTTCATTCAGCCCGCAAGCAGGTCAGTCTTCGGGATGACTGGCCTGAAACATAATTGATTTTCACAACTATCCACAGCATGAATATAAAGTTGTGAAATTAAAATTCAGATGGAAAACCTTTTCTCAAGTCAGAGTGGCCAAGTGAAACTGACATCCGTAAGAAAGGACCATGCCAGGCATGCCTTGAGTCTGGCCACTAGGGGGCAGTCAAACACTGCTCCCCTCAAAATACTGTTCGGGCCCGGTTTTGGTTAACCTATTTTGGAGGTTAAGCAAATTATTTAAGTAGCAATTGGTAGTTGCCAAGTAGCAGCCTCAATGCTTCATGCTTTTACTTTCTTACATAAGCCCATGTTTTTGATTTGTAATATGGTTCCTAATTTGTCCATTAAGAAATGTTTTTTAAAAGTTTAAAGTTATGTTTAATAACTTTATTTTAGAGATGTTTACTCTTAGAGACAGATACTGTTTTTAGATCTGCCTGTGGCTTTGGAGTTCCCAGTCTAATTACGTTAACGCAAGATAGTTACTAACAATTACATGAATTTTATGGACATATTTCAACAGGTTGAAATTCCACAAAACACAATTGGTAGTTACCAAGTAGCAGTCTCAATACTTCATGCTTTTAATTTCCTACATAAGCCCATGTTTTTGATATGTAATATGGTTCCTAATTTGTCCATTAAGAAATGTTTTTTAAAAAGTAGTTTGAAGCTGGTTAACAGAGATACACAGTGAATAAATTAATGATAAAACACACGTAATAATAATAAGATACATTATGCATAGTTGTCTGTTAGTGCCTGTAGCTTAAGGCAATCACTCATTCCTTAGGCACTCCAGAGTGATGATGGTCAGAGAAGAAAAGACGATCACATAATTTCTAATTTTATGTTTTGTTTAGATCTGGCCTAAGAGTCTATCACAAATATTATTTAAATTAAAAAGACAACCTTTACTCTTAGGCAACTCTAAATGAGCTTTCTTTGGTTACTATGAAAAGCCTTACCGTTTTAATTGTCCACAATTTTGTTGTGAAAAAGAAAAGAGTTTTACTAATTATAGAGCAAATTCTATTATTTTTATAAGTAGGAATAAAATGTCAAAGCATTGATTAATGTGTCTTGCTTTGAAAAGAAATCATTTTAAACATAAAGGTTTAAATTAGTAGTCAAAAGTAATATAAAATTAGAAAATAAAAATTTCCAGGATTATAATCAATAAATATTTGTTAGGTTGGTACTAGGAGTTTGAAATATGGCTTTTACTTAGAAATAAAATCAAACAAAAATTATTAATTGAACTTTTTTTTAGTTTAAAGGGTGACTTTACATTATGGTAAATCACAAAATGTTATTTTAGTAATAGATGTTTTTCATCTCATAAACGGTTTAAGCAAAATCAATTAAATGCATTATGTATAAAAGCAAAAGTATAGTAAAATTGGTTAAACTGTGGTTATAGTCCCGTACATTAAAGAACTTTTTAAGGGCACAGATGAGCTCTATGACATGTCTTAAGAACCTGCTTTGTAGCTGTATATTCTTAAAATTGTATAAAATTGAATATTCAAATGTGGATAGAACATGAACTTCTGAAGTAGGACCTTAAATATAGAAATAGACTGCTTGTTGCAACTGTACTGCATGCAAGGTGAGTTCATATATTGTTTCTTCTTAGTTAATCCTTAGCTTTTCATGTAAGAGATATTAAAATATAAAATAAAAGTCATGCTAGGTGCATGGAGATATAGATTTTAAATATTTGTAGTAAAGTTTTAGTATTATTTTAAATTCAAAATAAAATTTAGATATTTTAAGCCTTTTAAAAATCTTTTGTTTGTTAGAAGTTTTAAAATAATTCCTCATAAGTATTGCATTTTATTTCAAGATTTAAAATATTCACTTGGAATTCACCTAATAAAACTGAATATTTAAAAAACCTAAAACGAATTTCTCAGAAAATAAAAATAATTTCAAATTTTAACCTTTATTCTCAGAGGTTTATCAAAATTCTTTAAGAAAAAATACAAATTAAAATAGAAACATTTTTGAATAATAATAAACCCCAGCAAATCTTGGGTGTGGTTAATAGGTTGTTTATGAATGTATAGGCTGACAACGTATCTTTTTATTTAAAAACAAGTGAAGATTTAGGTTTTATTTTTTGGTGAGCTTTACAATGAAAATGGTACTGACTTGAAACTTAAGAGTTTGACTGAAATAAAAATTTCCACAAATTAAAAACAAAAGAAAATTATCTAAGTAAATGCACTTGTATAGACTTTTAATAACTTTATTTTAGAGAGGTTTACTCTTAGAGACAGATACTGTTTTTTAGATCTGCCTGTGGCTTTGGAGTTCCCAGTTTAATTATGTTCACGCAAGATAGTTACTAATAATTACTTGAATTTTATGGGCATATTTCAACAGGTTGAAATTCCACAAAACACAATTTTAGTTTATTAATTTGTCACACTTTTCAGAACAAATGCCAAAAATGTTTTCTATGTTTTAATTGATATAGTCAACATTGTTTTTTGACATATTTTATCTACAGCTTTAATAACATACAAAGGCTTGTTTCCATGAAAAATTTGTTGCATCTAAAAATTACTAGGCTGTGTGGGACTACAAGCAATGAAAGATAATGACAAATACCAGGCAAATTTGATGTCTGTTTTTTTTTTAAACACCCCAATATATTTATTACAACTGCCATAGAACTACATAGAAATGTATTTTTTGGGAATTGCACTCATTTAAAACGAGAAAGTAGCAACCTTACCTTTGACATTGATCAGAACGATGAAATGAAGTAGAAAGAACATTGTAATCAATCTGAGGCTGAAGAGATGTTTAAAAACCAGAAAAACAATCATAGGTTTACAGCAATTGAGTTATTAGACGTATCCTCTTATACCTCAGCAGGAGTTCTGATGTAGTAAGTTCAGTGCCTCCCATGTTCTGAGCATGCTCACAGCTAGAACCTCACTGGCATGAAGGGAGATGGATTCTTGTCACTATGCAGCCTGTCTTTTTTGTTCTTTCTTTTTTGTTTCTTTTAGTTTAAATCTACAGTTGTGTTCTTGATCACTAATTCATTATGGTGTGTAAAAGAAGGTATAATAGGACTTTGGTATTATCTGATAAGAAATATTTTTTAATCACTTAAAAATTTTTTTCCTCCAAAGCATGTACAATTTGCTCTGTTTAAATCCAAACATCGAAGTTCTCAAATATGAAGGATATAGGCTTACACTGAATAGGCTATGAAACCCTTTACAATTATATTTTCATGCAATAAACAAATGTAAAAAACTACTTATTGACAGATACACAAAGAACACCCACTTCTATTCAAATGTACCTAAATGTTTTCAAATGACATATGAAAAGATAATTTAAATATATGGCATTGTGTTAAATAATTACTGTAAAACATTCATACAATATTTTCACTTCACATACTTCCCGCATAATCATATTCCTTTTTCTTGAAGTGAATAATTTTATTCTTGCTTCCAGCTCTGTATTGCACACCTATTAGAAAACACTAATTATAATTTAGTTCTTACATCCTGAAAGCAGCTTTCTCAACAGCATAGTTAGTACAAGTTAAAAGTATAAAAATTGACTTTTGGTTGTAGGATTCTGTTGATCCTAGTGTAATCATTAAGACTTCTCCAAAAAGATGTAGAATTTCCATGTCTGAGTTTATATTTTACTAACAGGGAAATATCTATCTAGAATACAGTTTGTAGTTCTGATTTGAAGAGAAGATTTTGTGACTGAACGATGCAGATTCTCTTATATGTTGTCGTTAACTGTGTCCTAACAACACTGAAAAAAACTACCTTGTGGTGACTATTATCGTCACAAATCATAAAACACGGGGTTTTCCTTGTTCTTTCTTTCATTCTAGCCTTTGAGAGAACAAGGATTCAAACAGAATGTACAATAAAAAATACTTTATTTATCACATAATGTATTTAGTTCTTTTCTCTTTTTAAGAAGTGAGTTAAGTTCTCTAAGACACCTCCCAGACATATTTATATGTGGTCTCATCTGATCTTTCAAATCAAAAGAAAAAGCAACAGAGAGAATAAAGATGAAAAGAAATACTTCAGGATCTTTTCTTACATTTCAAGCATCTTTTTTTCCCTCACTAACCTCAAGGTCTTTTTAGGTAAAAATTGCCTTATTTCACTTAAAGGAATGATTAGTTTTTCTTACGTTTTGTGTTTTGCTGTCGAGATGATGGATGCTAGTTTCTGGTACTGAAATTTTGAGCATGAGTTTTTAAGTGCAATTAAATACCATCATAAGTCTATTTGAAGTATAAATATATTTTCTATGAAAATGTAATTTTTGGAGAAATAAGAAATGTCAAGATGTCAAAGAAATTAGTTAAGATTTATTCATGATATCGAGCCCTAGCAATAGATTTACATTGCCAAAAAGTTGAATCGTTATTCCTTTCTGTTAGGCTTTTCAATGTTAATCTTTGAAATGTATTAACACAAACTTTCAGAAATCAATAATTATAAATAATAGGAACATCTTTGGCTCACTGGTTTTTAAAGGTAGAGCATGCAAGCTTTGAAATACCATTTCATTTAATATGTTTTAACTTTGACTTATCTGGTGTGAATATCCAGCCTTTTGCACCGAAACTGAAATGATTGACATGTACACAGGGATATAATGTATGTGTTTAAATAAGAGTGAATGAATGTAGTCTATTCTTAAAGCCACAGTTGGTAAGGAGGTTCCAAGGAGTGCTTCATGCAGAGCTGAGATGAAAGACTTGTGCAAACTGATTCTCACTCGATAGTAACTTCGAATCTGCGCAAGTGTTTTTTATTGATCCTTGCCTGAATCAGCTCATCCCTTCATTCCAGTCACCTGTTGGTAGGACCCATACTTTTAGCAGTAATACTATAAAACCTCATGTGAATATATTATTTACTATATAGCACAATTCAATATAATTCTGGCTAATTGAAGGGAATTTATTTACTGAAAGTACTAATTACCTAGTTCTATGTGATGGGGGGAGGGCACAGACATTTTCTTAGCTTCTACTGTAATTTTTGTGTACATCTTGGAAACCATTGTTAAATATAAAATTCTTAAATCAAGAACATAATTTACTTAAAAATGGTCAGAAACCCTAATTTTAACACATTTTCATAACTGTGTGATTGTTTTTTATATAGGCTATAATTCATTACCTTGCCAAATTAATGTTTTCAATTAAGATATTTACTAAACACTTACTCTACTTAATGAGAGTATAGCCTTGTAAACATTTCTCACTTCTATAGCCTTTTCACTTTATATAGCCTCTTATTCACAAAACCTGATCCATTAGCAGTTAGTATCACTTTCTGTTTTGGGGAAAACAAGACATAGTGATATTCAAAGAACAAATTATATGAATAGATAATATCTGTCCTCAAAAAGATAAATTATAGAATAATAAACATCAGAATCCCAAGCTCATGATAGCAGGCCAATAATGTCAATGCTCACTTGAATAGCCTCCTTATCATAAATCAAGTTATAGTAAAATCTGAGGAATTCAGCCATACTAGCTAAGTATTTGTGATTATAGCTATATATTAGCCTTTATGTGTGAGTTTATAGCATTGTCATTATTCAGTAAGATTTATTTGCACCCTGTGGGCACAGCAAACCTAACAATCACATGATCTCATCAGCATAGTCAACACAGTGTGTCCATCAGTTGAGCAAACTAGTTCTGGCACAGGGTCCATTTTGATCAAGAAAGTCTAAATGAAGGTTTCTTTTTTTTTCTTTTTTTAGACAGGGTCTTGTGCAGTGGTGCTATCGTTGCTCACTGCAGCCTCAACCTCCCAGGCCCAAACAATCCTTCTACCTCAGCCTCCTGAGTAGCTGAGATCACAGGTGTATGTGACCACATCCACTAATTTTTTATTTTCATTTTTTGTAGACGTGGGGTCTCCCTATGTTGCCCAGTCTGGTCTTGAACTCCTGGGCTCAAGCAGTCCTCCCACCTCAGCCTCCCAAAGTGTTGGGATTATAAACATAAGCCGCCATGCCTGGGCTTAAGTGTTCTAACTTTGATGTTCTAAATTTTAAATAATTTAAGTCATGCTCCATTTGTCTGGGAATTTCAACTCTTGGCAAGCTCAATTATTAGGAGCATAGCCACGAACCCAGAGTAAAAAATAACCCTGAGACATCCACTACTGGCAGTATGGTAGATTAGATACACTGAAAAGACTTCTTACTTGAAAATACTGTAACAGCTCCTGCATAAAAAAATTTTGTTGCATTTCTGCAGTCTTCAAAATGAGGGGAATCGAGTCTAAAGGGAAAATACATGACAAAAATAAGAACCAAATGCTGAAATGGCAATGGAGCAGAGTGAACAAATGTAAAAGGCAAGATTCGTTTGCAAAAAATGCAGATATCAGCACTACAACTTTTAGGCCTTGAGTCAGTGTCCAAATCTGAGAGCTAAGCCAAAGCTTCCACGAAGGATCAGGCTAAAGACATGAAAGGCGGTGTCCTGTAGCACCATTGCAAAAGAAATGCACACTGTATAAGAAAAATATTCTTAATTGAAACCCCTAGATTTTATCCAGGTTAAAATCAACTAAATATTAGCTCATTATCAAAGATCAACCGAGGACATATGGGTAAAAGTTGACAGAAACAAAGCAATAAATTTAGAACCCCATGTACTTCAAATATCGAAATGATCAGTTATGGAATGTAAAATATTTAAAGACTGCAATCACAAGAATAATTAAGGAATAAGAAACTATCAAAAAGCAACAAAGAGAATTTTCAGAAATGAAAAATATGTTCCTAAAATTTTAAAACTCAGTGGATAGGGTAAAGAGCTGTCAAAACATAGTTGAGAAAATAAGTTGTAAATGGAAGTAAGGGAGTGAAGAAACTTCCCAGAAGGCAGCATAGATAAACAGGGAATGAAAAAAAAAATGAAAGAAGAGACTAGGAGGAAAGCAGGAAAAATTTCAACATACAGCTAATTATAGTCCCCATAGGAGAAACTAGTGAGAAAGAAGAGGAGATAATATCTCAGGAGATAATTATTGAGAATTTTCTAGAACTGATAAAATACAAGAATTTATAGATATAGCAAGGACAACATCTACTAGGCAGGGCAAATAAAATGAATCCATATTTAGACATTCAGTTTTGAAATTGTATAATATAAAAGAAACCAGAGGGAAAAGACAGACCACCTACAAAGGGAAAATTAGAATGTTAGTAGACTTGCCAACAACAGCAATGGAAGCCAGAAGAAGTGTAGTAATGCTCACAGTTCTGAGAAAAAATTACTGACAACTAAAGATTGTGCACCCAACAAAACGATCTTTTAACAGGAGTGTAAAATAAAGTCATGCACAAGATATATGAATACTAAGAAGTTAGGTAAGAACCAAAATGAAAAATGCAGACCAAAAGTTTGATAGCATTTCAGGGAAGGGAACAATCTGAGTTGTGAAGGTCATTAGGTGAAACCTCAGCTCTGTCCATCTTGATTGATGGATTGAGAGATTAGGAAATAGTGTCAGCTATTCTCCCGGTGGTATCAAGGCACACACGCCAAAGTAAGTCTAAAGGGTAGAAGGAAGTAAAACAGATTCTTGCTTCTGTGTGAAACTGAGAGCATCCTCGGGTATCTGTAATCCCAGCTACTCGGGAGGCTGAGGCAGGAGACTCACTTGAACTCAGGAGGCGGAGGTTGCAGTGACCCAAGATTGCGGGCCAGACCAAAAACTGGGTGGATACTCAAAAAGCATATTAGAGATATTATGGTATATTAGATTATTGTTCCCAATTATTCCACTCCCCGTAATAAGAGTATGTGCCCCCACATTTTGCCTTGTGCCTTGGCAGGGCCTCTCAGTAGGTAGTATATTTTTCTACTCCATTGACTTTTGCCTTGGCCATGAGACTTGTTTTCACCAACTGAATGTGACTAGATGTGACATATGCCACCTGCCAGCAGAGGTTTGTTTGTTTTTTGAGAGGGAGTCTCGCTCTGTCGCCCAGGCTGGAGTGCAGTGGCGCGATCTCCGCTCACTGCAAGCTCTGCCTCCCGGGTTCATGCCATTCTCCTGCCTCCGCCTCCCGAGTAGCTGGGACTACAGGCGCCTGCCACCACGCCTGGCTAATTTTTTTTTGTATTTTTTTTTTTTTTTTAGTAGATATAGGGTTTCACCATGTTAGCCAGGATGGTCTCGATCTCCTGACCTCGTGATCCACCCGCCTCAGCCTCCCAAAGTGCTGGGATTACAGGCGTGAGCTCAGCAAAGGTTTTATGTGTGCTTTTGTGGTATGGCATGGTCATTGGTACTCCCCCATTCCTTAGCCAGAATGAGAGTCACATGGGGCGTGCTTGGACCCAAGTTCAGCCAGGCCCAGAAGAGCCACGCAACAGCCACAGACCTATAGGCAAGGCATACATGTTTATTGTGTAAGCCACTGAAACTTTGACTTTATTGTTGCTGCTGTGTTTGCCACAATAAAAATTAACTCAGACAGATAAATCTGGAAATCATCAGTTTAATGCTTAGTTTTACAAGGCTAAAACTGATGTGATTGGCCTAGAGGCATGTGCTGTGTATACTGAATAAATGAATACACAAATTTATTTTTTCTTTGCAGAGCTTTTCTTCTTTTGGAATGTGTTCTACATTATATACTGTTCCCAAGTTTCTTATAGTGAATTATTCAAAGATTACTTCCAGAGCTGGCATTCCTTTTATTATTCACAAAACGATTCCTGAACATTAACTAAATTCCTTTGTCTTTCTGAAATTCTGTGTAATGTGACTGAACCTCAATATGCATTTAGTCAACAGGTGCTATTTTCTAAGGCATATGTATCATGAACTTTTAGTGCCTTCATTATAGAACTTCAGGGAACATAAAATAAATTAGAACATTATTGGGGGCTGTTTAAATTTCTAAGTCTGTGTATTAAGTTTACCCTGAATAAATGTATTTTTATTTATAGAGTGCCAGCCATATATATTGCTGGGTAATGAGCTTTGATTTAAAGTGAAAAGTCACAAATCATTTTTATCTAAATTCATTTTGAATTCATTATGCCAGCTCTACATTTGATAGGATTATAAAACACAGACCTGGTTGAGCCCACAGGGGCCCTCATCTGAGCTCAAACACCCACAATGACCATTCCTCTCTCTCTCTTCTCCTATCTCGCCTTTTGCGTGAGTGTAAACATTGATCTGTGCTCCGTTTCTCGATTACCTCATTTCCTTCGTTCTGACAGCTGCCTGAAGCATGCAGAAAAGTTTTCATCCCACTAACTCTTGGGAATTTTTTTTTCAGATAAAAAGATTTTCTTTATTAATGACCCCAAGTGTATTTCTTTAGATACAGGAGTTTTAAATCAAATACTTAGGAGAAAACAAGTCAAGATTGCATTATTTTGCAACTCTTTACCAGCAAGGTATTGCAAAGTGAAACAGCTTAGAAAAGAGAGTGGAACAGAAAGAGAACGAGGGAGGGAAGATAAAGAAAAGGGAATTAAGTTGATTGAGTGAATTTTTTTTTTTAATTCTTGGGAGCTATGAAGCCCTATGAGCACAGCTCATTTCTTTAGATTATTTTTCAAAAGTGTACAAAATGGAACCAAAACAGAGAATTCTTCAAGTATCTAAAGAGGTGCAACGTTAAAAGCTGCGATTACCAGTAGCAAGTGTTCCAGCCTTCAGTTGCCAGCCACTTCCTCCTCCTATTCCCAAGAGTTAGCAGGATAAAAACATCTTCCCCAGGATGCCCTAAACAGTTCATTTTGGATGAAAGAATTAGTGAGCAGAAGCAAAGCCCCAACTATTCAATACACAGATGAATCTCTGAATATCCAAGTTAACTCTGCTCCTCTTTGGGCAATCCTGGGACAGTCAGGATGCATATTTTTATTTCATTTATTGATGGGTTCATTCATGAAATTTGGAGTTTACATTTAAGATGAAATATGAGGGGGTGTGGCATATGTAGAAGGCTGGAGTGAAGGGGTCTGTGGGAGGGCATGGCGTGCAAGTAGAAGTGGAGCATGTGAAGTACCTTTTAAGCCATGGGAAGAAATGTAGACTTCACGTGGTGGGAAAGGGAGAGTAGTTGCAAAGCTCGAATCAAGGAGGGGAGAATAGGTTGGCGTGACCCATGGAGAGGGTGTGCTGGAGAGGACAGACCCTGAAGGCAGGAAGACCTGTAAGATGTATTGCATTCATCTAAGAAGGCACGAACCAACAGCGTGGCAGGGGGAATGAGGAGAGGAAACAGATGTGAGATGTATTTTGGAGGAAGAATTGATGGGATGATGAGTCATGGGAGGAAGGGGGAGAGAGAGAAGTCTCCGGTGATTCTCAGGTCTCTGGATTGAGCCACTGAATAACAGACTTACGAAGAGGAGCATTTGATCAGGATGATGTTGAGTATTTCCATGTGCTGAGCCTGAGAAACTTGAGGAACATCCAGACAGCAATGTCTAGCCAGCAGGTGGAAACAGACTTCAGAATGCAGGAAAGAGGTGCAGTCTGGGAAACAAGGAGTTTCACTTGCAAAAATATTTCCTTAAAATACTTTAAGAATAAAGGGATTGAAAAGCTAAAGAGAAATGAATTAAAATTTTAAAATCATTCAGGTGTTACATAGTAGGAGATATTCATTAAAAGTCATTAAAATTGTAAGTCACTCAAGGTACTAGGGTCACATACGGTTAATATCAGATCACTATCTAATGAGCATTTATTATGTGGCTAGCATACACAGGCTTCAACTGGGTAAACCCAAGGAAAAGAAGCGGAAAAGAAAAATCACCCCTCACAGCCAGCAGTGTTATTTTTCCATTTAAGACGATTAACAACCAGTTACTTATGAAGTCATACAATAATTATATGCTGAAAATTAGCTGGATCCTTCAGTACAATACTATGGATTTCAAAATGGGTATTTAAGGCATACAGAGTTAACAAATGAATGGGGAAAATAAAACACTAAACTCTGTGAAAATGTTGAAATGGTCGTATATTTTCATGGGATCTAGAGTAGCTCATTTCAATCAAATTGATGAGGTCAAATAACTAGACTTTTTCAAGCACAGAGCCAGAGAAAGACTGAGATTCTCTATTAAATCACAGAGCCACCTCCAAGGCAGATGCATGCAAGGATAATTGCTCTAAGGCATTATGTTAGGAGCCCCCCGGGCTCTACCAAGGACCAAGGGATCTGAAAGGGATTGAGGAAGGCAGCCGAGACAGGGGCTGAGGTACTGGAGAGAGAAATGATTTCACTGGCTGGTGCCAACAGTGGCCTGAAGTTTTTATATGTATATGTGTGTGTGTGTGTGTGTGTGTATATGTGTGTATATATATATATATATAAAATGGAGCACAGCTAGCTGTCTAGAATCTGAACTTCCTTTGCTTTCCACAAGCCTCCTGAGGCTGGAGATACTTCCCTCTATTCTGTACATCTCCAAGTCTATCCATGATGTTCACTTAGCCATATTTAACATACATATTATTCATTATTATATTATAGATATAAAATATATATGTCATCTAATATGATATGACTTAGGAAGATCGGACTGGCAGGGGGACACGTCGTTACTGCTGTGTGCCTAACAACACAGTATATGAAAGGTGGATGTGCTGAGAGAAAGAACCTACGCAGTAGAGCAATCAGTGACAAACACTTATAAGGTGAACATGTACAGTGGAGAACAGTTAAGAGGAATAAACTGGGGGCCAGGTGCGGTGGCTCATGCCTGTAGTCCCAGCACTTTGGGAGGCTGAGGCCAGGAGTTCAAGGCCAGCCTGTCCAAATGGTGAAACTCCATCTCTACCTAAAAACACACACACACACACACACACACACACACACACACACACACACACACACACACACACACAAATTAGCTGGGCCTGGTGGTGCACCTGTGATCTCAGCTACTTGGGAGGCTGACACACGAGAATTGCTTGAATCCATGAGGTGGAGGTTGCAGTGAGCCAAGATTGCGCCACTGCACTCCAGCCCGGGCAACATAGCGAGACCCTGTCTAAAAAAATAAACACATAAAAATAAATTTAAAAAATAAAAATAAAAATAAACTAAAACAATGAGAGATTTCCAAATGTCATAGCCACACTTTGAAGAACACCATGAAAGTGGTCGGAGAATTCCAGACTTGTATCTATTATTTTCTTTTCTTCTTAAGGAAGATCAGAAAGTGAGAAGGCTTCTCTTCCAAGAGTATGACAATAATAGTTACAGTTTTTATTCACCTCACACCTGGCAGTGTTATTTTTCCATTTGACGTGATTAACAACCAGTTACTTAGGAAGTCATGCAACATATCAACAACCATATCAGGCAGGATCACATTCAGATATTGTTAACAGAACAGCAGCCCATGGTTCAGTAATAAATACCAGTTTTCGCAGGAATGGCTTGGTTGCTGGTTTTTGGGGAGGGCCAAAGCTTACATCATCATCGGTTTCTATGACATATATGTGAGCTTGGTGCTTAATAAATATTTACCGAGGGGGCAGTTTGGCTTTACTAAAGCAGAGTTCTTCTATCAGTTTCTTATTTTTGTGTTGTTCAATTTTACCTTGAGATATTTGCTGTTGAAGTGTTTCATAAACAAATCTCTTGAGGTAACTATATAAAGAATTGTTTGGAATTATAATTCTTATATAGCTGTTGCCAAGTTCAGTGATATATGAAGCTTTTAGTGGATATAGTGGATGCATATAGGAACCCTCCTGAAAAACTGAAACATTATATGCAATTCTGTGTTTCTTAGGAAACAGATTTTTAATCTATAAGACTTTCCTAGGACAAATGCTAGATGAGATTATGATTTGAACCGGGTCTTTGTAAAATACTAGCTTTCTATGAGAAGAGAATTTTAACTCATTCTTTTAGCACTCAATATAAACAAAAGAAACAAAATATGTGTTGTAGAAAAATGAAAATATTTAAACAAGTTATTGAGTTATAGCTTATATACAATAAAATCACTAATTTTATGTTTACATTTACATAAATTTGAGTTCCTACATTTCAGTCCATAATAAATTTTGAGTTATTTTTTGTTCATGATATGTGAAAAGAGTCAAGGTCTTGCATATGGCTGTCCAATTGCTCCAGCAACAGCTGTTAAAAAGATTATCATTTCCCTATTGAATTACCCTGAAAACTCTGCTAAAAATTAATTGAGCATACATTTGTGGGTCTATTTCTGTACTTTCTATTTTATTCTATTGAGTTCACAGTCTATCCTTTTGCTAATACCACACTGTCTTAACTACTGTAGAATTGTAATAAGTCTTCAAAACACATTCTCAACTTTGTTCTTTTTCAAAGTTGTTTATGCTATTCTAGGTGCTTTGCATTTCCACAGGATGAGCTTGTCAATTTCTACATTTGCTGGTATTGTGATTGGGGTTGTGTGGAATCTAGAACTAAATTTGGGGAGAATTTACTTCTTAACAATATAGGATCTTCTGATTCATAAACATGGTATTAGTGGCTATGTATTTAGGTCCTCTTTAATTTCTTTCAGCCATGAAAGTTTCAGCCATGAAAGTAGTTTGCAGTGTACAAATCTTGCACATATTTGGTTAAAATCATCCTTCATTCTTTTAGATATTATAGGAAATTATACTTTTTAAAATAAAATTTCATTTCAAAATCCCAAGATTTTGGGAGCCTGAGGCAGGCGGATGGCCAGGAGTTTGAGACCAGCCTCTGCAACACAGTGAGACCCTGTGTCTACAAAAAAAAATTAGCCAGGTGCGGTGGTGCATGCCTGTAGTCCTAGCTACTTGGGAGGCTGAGGTGGGAGGATCACTTGAGCCCAGGAATTCGAGGCTGTAGTAAACCATGCTCATGCCACTGCACTCCAGCGTGGGCAAGAGAGCAAGACCCTATCTTTAAAAAAATAATTTGCAATTTTTGTTTCTGGCATGTATATGAAATACAATTGTTTTTGCATATTGACTTCATATACAGAAACCTTGCTAAACCTACTTGCTAATTCTGGTAGCTTTTTTGTAAACTACTTAGAATTTTCTTCATAGATTATCATGCCATCTGTCAATAAAGACAGTTACACTGATTTCCCAATCTGTATGCCTTTTGTATGTTTTTTCTTGCCTTTTTGCACACGTTGGGACCTTCAGTACAATGTTGAATAGAAGTGATGAGAGTGGACATCCTTGACTGTTCCTGATCTTAGGGGGAAGCATGCAGTCTTTTACCACTCAGTATAATGTAAATGTTTTTTCTAGATTCCCTTGATCAGATTGAGGAGGTTTTCTTCCATTCTTAGTTTGCTAGGAGTTTTGTGTTGTTTTTTTTTTTTTTAAATCATGAATGAGTGTTGGATTTTGTCACATTGTTTTATACATCTGTTTAAATATCTTATGCTTCGTTCTTAGCATCTAAAAGTTTTTCATAGACTATCTCAGTCTTTCTCCCAAACCTGATAGTTGTTTTTGTTTTTTTAATATCACTGCTTTAAAAATGATATTGCCCTGTTTTCTTTCTTTATTTTCAATAAGAAGCCTTTGATTATTCTTATTTTTGATTTCCAGTTTGTAATGTGGGTCTTTACCCACTTCTAGTTCTTTTTAAGATTTTCTCTTCACAATTGGTTTTAAGTAATTTGATTATAAAATGTCCTTTATTTAAAAAAAAAATGTTTCCTGTGCCTGGAGTTTGTTGAGCTTCTTGGATCTGTTGGTGTTCAGTTCTTACCACATTTATAAAATTACAGTAATTATTTCTTCAAATATATTGATTTAAGGAGTTGTAGCACTCTTATAAGTAGACAGGAAGAAAAAATTGAACAGCACTATCAAAATCCCAACGTTCAGGGACATTTTGAAGGCTAGATGAAAGGCTGTGGAACAGGTGCATTTTAGGATTATGGAGAAGGAATTGAATACATTAAATGGTGCATATCATGGAGAACTTTAATTTTTGGCATGAAGCTTTGTTTGGATTTGATGCAACAAATGACAAGAAGCCATTTGTGGTCACCGAGTAAGAGAAGAATGGAGGAAACTGTTTTAGTAAGACAGATTGGGCAGTGTATGGAAAATGGAACAGAGAAAGAAGAGACTGGAGGATGAAATAGTAATTTGGAAAAAGGTAACATTAGATATATATCTCACACAAAACACAAAAATAAATTCCCAATGGATTAGAGATCTAAAACTAAAAGGTGAAACCTTACAGTTGTACCTCAGTATCCACAGAGGACTGGCCCCTGTAGATAACAAAAACCACAGATGTTCAAGTCCTTGACATAAAATGGCTTAGTGTTTGCATTTAACTTATGCATTTCCTCCTGCCTACAGTCATGTGTCTCTTTTTGGTGGGGATACATTCTGAGAAATGCATTGTTCAGCAATTTCATCATTGTGTGAACATCACAGAGTGTACTTACACCAACCTAGATGACAGCGCCTACTACACACCTACACGTGTATATTCTATTGATTATAAGCAAATCACTGCTCCAACCCCTACTCAAAGAAAGAGGATTTCACAAGGGCATGGACATGAGGAGGCAGGGATCCTGGTGGGTGTGGGTATGCACCCTAGAGGGTGCCTGTTACAATAGGCAAGCCTGTTGCCATCAACTCAAGCAGGAGCTTGAAAATAAGTAACATCTATTTCTAAGTAAAATAAGTGTGACATTTTTGCTGCCACACTAGTGTGGCTGTTAACATACACACACACCACCAGTACTTTCTCTTGGGAATCCTTGCTGTTGCTGCTACCTCATTCCCCACTGAAATGCTGGTTGGTATCCTGGTCTTCTAGTCAAAGTTGTTGGGCCACAGTTTTACTTTTCTACCGTGGCTCTACTAGAATGAGGAGTGACTGCTTAGTGGTTCTGAAGCAGAATTTAGATCTTCCTGTGCTAGGAGTAGGAAAGTTCCATACTACAATGACAGAGCACACTACTCTCAGAGGTCTTCTCCTTCCTGGCCCTGCATGTCTTCTTTTGTTTCTTAAGTTAGGCCCTTTCTGCCTTCTCCCCTCATGTGACTGGCCCCTTGAATCAGTTAGATTTAAGTTCACCGGATGAGCCCCCAAATAACGATGTAAAATAAAAATGCACCATTTTTTTCACGTAAAATAATTCAGGAAAGATGGCTGTCCATGGCTGACCTGGTAGCTCCACTATGTCAGCATAGCCCAGAGGAGAAAGTGAGGCAGAGTCTTTTATTGTAGGAAGCAATATGCCTAACTAAGAGGCAGGGCTGAGTGGCTGTGAAGGAATGGGAGAAGAGACGCTGCAATGGTCCACTTGCCACCTGTGAAATGCCCTTCATTAGCTTTCAGGCCTTGGGAAATGCTTTCTAGAATTTTGTTTGTTTATTTGAGACTGAGTCTTGCTGTGTCACCCTGGTTGGAATGCAGTGGCGCGATGTTGGCTCACTGCAGCTTCCACCTCCTGGGTTTGAACGATTCTCCTGACTCAGCCTCCCTAGTAGCTGAGATTACAGGCACGTGCCACTACACCTGGCTAATTTTTGTGTTTTTAGTAGAGATGGGGTTTCACCATGTTGACCAGGCTGACCCCAAACTCCTGACCTCAAGTGATCCACCCACCTCAGCCTCCCGAAGTGCTGGAATTATAGGCATAAGCCACCGCACCTGGCCTCTAGGATTTTTTTTATATTATAATTTGTGTGTGTTTGTTTTACTATTATATTCATGCAAAGACTGTATCTTCATCATTTCATCCTGAATTCTTAAGGCAGTCCTTGTCATATATAAATGTATAACATGAGGAATTACATGAACTGAACCACTGTTGCTTCTGCACACGGTCTTTTGTAGTACTGGAAATTACAGTCCCTAAAATTAGTGAGACAGAGCATTTCTAACGAGGAAAGGGTTTGCCATGCTTGTGAAATGAGCTTGTTTCCTTCAGAAAGGGACTCTGTGATCAAGGAGGCTGGCAGCCCACCCCGTGGCCTGTAGAGTCCCCATGACTGTGAAGGAAGGGGTGCAGAGAGACATCAGAGATGGGCTGTACCTTTCTAGTTCACTCTCACTCTTGTACCTGTGGGCCCTACTTGCACCCTGGAGAGTTGAAATTCTTCCAGTGAGTTGACCCATATTTCCAGAATCCACTGCTTTTGCAACTTTGTACCTCATTCTTGCTTTCCTGAGCCTTTTAAAGGGAGGTTTGTAGGAGGCAAATCAGGCTCCGCCAGCTGAGCTCTGTTTTATGACTGAGCTCTTACATTATAGAATTTTGGTGGGAGTTTCCTTGTCCAAAAATCTTGCCAAAACTCCAAATTCTTTTCTTTTTTTTTTTAGAATTTTTTTTTTTAAAATTTTACTTTAATTTCTGGGATACATTTGCAGAATATGCAGGTTTGTCACATAGGTATACATGTGCCATGGTGGTTTGCTGCATCTATCAACCCGTCATCTAGGTTTTAAGCCCCTCATGCATTAGGTATTTATCCTAATGCTCTCCCTCCCTTTGCCCCCAACCCCCTGACAGGCGCTGGTGTGTGATATTCCCCTCCTGTGTCCATGTGTTCTCACTGTTCAACTCCCACTTATGAGTGAGAACATGCAGTGTTTGGTTTTCTGTCCCTGCGTTAGTTTGCTGAGAATGATGGCTTCCAGCTTCATCCATGTCCTTGAAAAGGACATGAACTCATTCTTTTTTATGGCTGCATTGTATTCCATGGTGTATATGTGCCACATTTTCTTTATCCAGTCTCTCATTGATGGGCATTTGGGTTGGTTCCAAGTCTTTGCTATTGTAAATCGTGTTGCAATAAACATACAGGTGCATGCGTCTTTATAGTAGAATATTTATAATCCTTTGTGTATATATCCAGTAATGGGATTGCTGGGTCAAATGGTATTTCTGGTTCTAGATCCTTGAGGAATCGCCACACTATCTTCCACAATGGTTGAACTAATTTACACTCCTACCAACAGTGTAAAACTGTTCCTATATCTCCACATCCTCGCCAGCATCTGTTGTTTCCTGACTTTTTAATGATCGTCATTCTAACTGGTGTGAGATGGTATCTCATTGTGGTTTTGATTTGCATTTCTCTAATGACCAGTGACGATGAGCTTTTTTTCACATGTTTGTTGGCCGCATAAATGTCTTCTTTTGAGAAGTGTCTGTTCATATCATTTACCTATCTTTTGATGGCATTGCTTTTTTTTCTAGTAAATTTGCAGAACTCCAAATTCTTAATGTGTAACGGAGTACTGAAATAGTTCCATTCCCAACCATAGTATCTGTACAGTTTCTTTCCATGTAGTCTTAGTTGCCCATTGATTTTCATTATAAAACCAAAATGTCTTTCTCTGAAAACCACTTGGGCATAAGACATAAGGAAAATCATATTTCATGATACAGTAAAGCCTTCAAAAGAGTTTATATAAAGAAAGATTTTACAGTTCAATAAAATAATTTCACAAAATGCAAAAGAATTTAAGAGAATATGAAGAAATCTATACTAAATTTTATCTCACTTTAGCTTAAAAGTCTAAATGATAAATAATGAGAAACTTATTGAACACAATTGCTAAATAAGAATATTACAGGTTTATAAAGCTCTTTCTCCAATATTCTAAAGCAGGATATATTTCATCCTTCTTTGCTTTGACTTTTCTCACACATACTTCTGAAGCCACTGCTATCAGAAAACTGGAGGGGTCAGTAGGGAAGAAGGTAACAAAACTGATCTGGTTTTGAAGCTGGAAACCATCATTCTAAGCAAACTATCACAAGGACAGAAAACCAAACACCGCATATTCTCACTCATAGGTGGGAACTGAACAATGAGAACACTTGGACACAGGGTGGGGAACATCACACACTGGGGTCTGTCATGGGGTAGGGGGAGGGCGGATGGATAGCATTAGGAGATATACCTAATGTAAATGACGAGTTAATGGGTGCAGCATACCAACATGGCACCCATTGTATATATATGTAACAAATCTGCAGGTTGTGCACATGTGCCCCAGAACTTAAAGTATAATAATAATAAAAAAGAAAACTGACCTGGTTTTTAAGGAATTAAGAGAGAAAAACAGTGTCAACAATTCAGAAAGTCCTGGTCATTGAATAAATCAGAAAACCCCATTTGCTGAAATAAGAACTGACAGAAGTTGATATATCTTCAGAGTATGTATTCAGCTAGCAATAGATTGAACTAGGTCTGCAACTTAAAAACTCTTTGTTCACTAATTTTAATAAATTGAGTCTTTCTGAAATTTATAACAGGCACCAATTATATATTTCATCTATAATTGAGCATTTTTCATTTCATGTATCTTTTAAGAGTATAAAGAGGTTGGCATGCCATAAAAAAAGTAGCCCCTGATTATATTCATTTTTTTCAGTACATGAAACTGTGAACTCAGGACACGACTTCATACTGCAGAATATTTGTTGGACCAGCATCTTGAATTACTTTGGATTTGGCAAACCTCCAGCTCATGGGCCAAATTTGGCCCTCAGCCCTTGTTCATCTGATTCTTGGCAAATATCCCGTATATGAGTGTGGGCCTGGCAAGAGCTTCTGCAGCCCCCAGTGTGATTTTATCACCGGAATGATTCCATCTCAGGAAGAGTCTGTGAAGGTTTAATGATGTGCTGTGGAGAACTGTGATTTGCATATTTTAGCTCGATAAAATGTCGAATGGAGGTGGCTTCATCTTCCAGGCAATAACACCTCACACACCACAGCTTTAGTAAATAGCAGTTAACCCCGGATGCCCTCTAATTAAAAAAACACTAGGCTTCTCCCATTCTTTTGATTTCATCCTTCTTTCTCCTCTTTCTCCTTTTTAGCTCTGTGCTGGCCACAGATGAAACCCTTAATGCATATTTGCTGATTGAGTGAACGGGGGATTTTTCCTTCATCCATCTTTCTCTTTCCCCTGAGTGCTTCTCTTCCCCTTCTATTGCTTTTCTCTTTTTCACTTTCTTTCTCTCTTGCTGTTTCCCTCATTGAAATGAACACAATATAGAACTCACATAGATTTAGATTCAAATAGATTTAGATTGATAAAATAATTAAAAACTATTTCCTTGAAGGAATCTTAGGAGTCATGTAGTTCATGAGTAAATTAATAAATATGTTTTGTAGTTCTCAGAAAACAAAAAAAGGAAAAGCTGATTTTTTAACCTTGATGGATTTCTCTCTTTAACATTAGAAGCCCTCTATATGATTCTAAGCATAATCATATAAATCAATAATAGATATGTCATAACTAAAGTATACTTAATTATGATTAGAAAAAGTATGTTTTCTTAAAATATTCTTTCTCCAAGATGTCATTACTGGAGGTCATATTCTAACTTGAGATGGTGCATTTTGCTACATAGGGGACTGGAATTCCGTTGGGATATCTTTGCAAATTGGGTAACAGTGATGACTGGGTTGGGGGCTAAGATTGAGAATGGATGGGTCCCCCAAAATAAGTATTGATGGAGAGAAACCACTGTTAGGAAGATCTGGAGGGCCAGTTTTTGAGTTACCATATTCCTGTGTATGCAGCTCTCAAAGAAGTGAGCATAAAATAGTTAAACATTAAAATTTGGAAGCAAAACAATAGGTGCTTGGGTGGGTGAGGACTGTGTCAGAGTGCATGCCACAGTCAGAGAATCCATGACTTCCGAAGGTCTGGAAGAGCTTTGCAGGCTCTTTGAAGCTGCTTTCTTTCTCCAAGTTCCAGAGTAGCTGAAACAGTCCAGGATTCTACTTCCTCCCAGAGGAGCGATTGGTTATACGTACAGAAAAGATGTTTCTGAAGAACTTGGAGCCTGCTCTGGGAAGAATATGCACTGGAGAACAAACACTGCAGGAGAATCTTCCATCTCAATGTTCACATGGATCTGTGCAAGAGCAAATTTGAAATAGAGATGAACCAGAGCTAGAGAAATGCAGCAGATGAATAATGTAGGTATGCTTAAAATCAGACCACCAAGGTGTTACAGACATGGAAATGGAGAAACAGCTATTCTAGCCCAGGTCAGTGCGATAAGAAACCATGATGTGAGAGCCAGTGAATAAAAGAAGAAAGGAATCTGAGCCAGAACGGGAGAGAGGGGGTTTCCTGAGCCAGTGCCTGAGTGACCATTAGGGAGGATGTGTTAGTCTGTTTTTGCTTTGCTGTAGAAGAATCCCTGAGGCTGGGTAATTTATAAAGAAAAGAAGTTTCATTGGTTCATGGTTCTGCAGGCTGTACAGGAAGCATGGTGGCAGTGTCTGCTCCTGGCGAGGCCTCAGGAAGCTTCCACTCATGGTGGAAGGTGAAGGGGGAGAAAGCGGGAGCAAGAGAAAAAGGAGGAGGTGCCAGGCGCTTTTAAACAACCAGCTCTTGTGTGAACTGCCAGAGCGAGAACTCACCCATTGCCATGGGGATGGCACCAAGCCGTTCATGGGAGATCCAACCCCATGACCTAAACACCTCCCACCAGACCCCACCTCCAACACTGGGGATCACATTTTAACATGAGATTTGGAGCGGACTGACATCCAAACGGTATCAGTGGATTTCTGGAAACATGGAAACATTTTCTGTATTTCTTTATCCTCCTACCCTGCCTCTTCTTTCAGTCTCAGATCTCATAAGACAGGGGTAAAGAGACCTCCGAAAAGAAAGCTTTAGAGAGACCTAGACTGTTATTTTCAGTTAAGGGAGGATTTGTCCTAGGGCTATCTTTTCACAGCTAGAATCGGCCCATCTGTATTATCCTAAACAAAATGCACTTTTCTCTCTGAGTAAGTCTAACAATAACTTTTAAACCTTCATTTTTTTCCTCTCTATTTCTCTAGCCATATTTCCTTTTTGTGTGTATTTTCTATTCAGGTTATTTATCTATTTACCTACTGATGTCTTAATGTTTCTCTTATTGGTTATTATTCTCTTTTTTTTCATTTAAAGTTTCCTGAATTAAGAAAAAAAATCATGATTAACAGATGTTCCCTCCATTATAAGCATACGGTACTATTCCTTAGTTCCTGGAGAAAATTACTCTCTCCTAGAGAATCAATACATCTTTCAAATATTATTACATATGTGACTTCAAGCTACAAAGCAGAAATTCAAACCTTGCAATATGTATATGTCAGAAGAAATTTCCTATAATTGTGTTTATTTATCTCTGGTTTATCTTGGCAATCAATGTTCTATGTTTACTCATATAAGATACCATAAATAGTCAACATCTGAATTCTACCAGACAAAACAAAATGTTTGCTTTAAATATTAGACATGTACTTATTTATTTAATCTTGAATCTTATTTTGAATAATTTGAAAATCATCTAGTTCTTGAAACTTATTCTACCAAACTAAAATCCTTAGCTGTCTCTTTGAGGAAGTTACTTTATCTTGCTGGTTATTATGTCTCAGATGAAAAGAGGTAGATTTTTAGAATTAGCAATTCAAGGTTGTGTAGTTTATGTTTTCTTTAAAAATCTGAGCAGCCACATAGCTAGTACAAAATAATAAGTATGCCCAGCCCTTCCATCATCATCTGTTTGGGCCTCCACAATATGCATGCAATAGTGATTATTTGAGGAAAGGAATGTGATTGTTGAGTTTGGGTGTTAACCTCACTGGGTTAAGAGACGCTTAGATAGCTGGTAAAGCATTATTTATTCTTAATGCTTAGGTAAGCATTGAGCCCGCCTGTCTTCTTCTGAAAGGGAAATTCAAGTGGTTTGGGATTTGATTAGAATGATTAGGCTGTCCCAAGTGTGTCTGTGAGGGTATGTCTGGAGGAGATAGAGTGTGAGTCAGTGGACTGATCATTGTGGGTGGGCACCATCTATTCTGGTGGAAACCTGATGGAATAAAAAGGTAGAGGAAGGGAAAATTCGTACCATCTCTCTTCTGGAGATGGGATGCCTTTCTTCTCCTGCCCTTGATGTCAGAATTCCAGGTTCTCTGGCCTTTAGACTCTTTTCCGTGGCACTGAGGGCTCTCGGGCCTTTGACCTCAAACTGAGAATTACAACATAAATTTCCTAGGCTCTGAGGCCTTCAGATTGGGCTGAGCCATGCCATTGGCTTTCCTGGTTTTCTGGGTTGCAGACAGCTTACTGTGGGACTTCTCAGTCTCCATATTCAAGTGAGCCAATTTTCCTAATAAATTCCCTTCCCTATATCTCTGCTTATATCCAGTTGCTTCTGTTTCTCTGGAAAACCCTGACTAAAACAGGTTTTGGTACTGACAGTGGAATTCTAAAGGAACAGAATTTTTAGAATGAGTTTTCTTCATTGTTTTGGGGATTTCTGGAATTGGTTCTATAATCTGATTTGGCTTAAAAATACTAAGAACTCTATTTCCAATAATAATACAGAGAGCACTGGTAGTTCATGGCATAAACTGTTTATAGGGAGACCCAAAATATCTGCATTGGATACTCCTAATTGACCACTTTTAAGATGCAAGAAACCTAGTAACTCTGTGTGTGATACCTGTGAACATATTTGGAAAATGAAGGAATGAAATGATGTTGGTTAGTTGCACCTAATACTGTTGGACAAAGTGACGAAAGGAAAGGATGAGCTCATAAATTTGAATTTCTGGCTCCAGCTTCACATAAATAGTCTAAAAGCTTCTAAGTGTCCTCTGAAGGAGAATCTTCTTTCGTGTAAGTACAGAGCTGAAATCGTTGAAAATCAAACAGAGGTCTTTGTCATGTGATTGTCTGAATTATAACAAAAGTTGAACTCTCAGCCCTGTAGGTGTCTACTGTTGGAGTAAAGGCATTTATTGGGAAAGAACAGAATCCTGAAAGTTGGGATGGGGACAGGTAGGAAGACTCTGATGAAGATATTGAGCTCCCCAATGTGCAGGCAGTAGTGACCATTTGAGAAAAGGAGAAAGGACTTATAGAAAAAACAATTAGAATGATGCAAAAAGGCATATTATAAAGAATTGACTGGGAAATCAAAATAATTATAAATATTTAAATATCTTTTATAAATAAAAATAAAGTCAAATCAAAATAAAGGTTGTAATGTCGAGGACATGAAGGTAAAATTAAAGAAATCACTATGACAGGAACTGGGTTTCTGCCAAAGGATTAATGTGCCTCTACTGAGGAAGAAGTTGACTGCAGAGAAATAAGAAGGCTTCAAGTGCATTAAATCACATGAGGAACCTTAACACCATCTCCAAATGTTGGTTCATGAATTCCAGTGTAAGTCTGGAGAGGTCCTCTGATGCTGTCATGCTATGTCTGGGAAGAAGGCACACTACCTTCATGCTTTACTTGCCACTGCCTGGCAGAGAGCCCACCAAAATAGCACACAATTCTTATTTATCAAATCTTTCAACTCCCTGTATAGGGGGAAGAAATAATATCTTTATTCTTATTCAACACAAGGTTAACGGTGGAGGCACCTATAATAAAAAGACAGATTAACAAGAGAAAACCATAGAAATGTATTTAATATGTGTTATCTGACACAGGAGGCTTCAGAAGTAAAGACCCAAAGAAACAGGAGAACTGTTGTATTTTTATGACAAGTTTGACAAAGTTTTATGCCAAATATGAAGTGGATAGCTGTGGGGAAGTATGACTGGACAAAAGGGGTGTGACCCAATGGTATTAGCCTAGGGAGATCATAGCAAAGCTTCTTTGTTCAGATTCTTGGCATCTCTGTCTTTGAGGATAAGGATGTTCCTTCCCACTGGGTAGGGAAAGCACCTCTGGAATTAAGGTTTTATGACCTCCTTCAGGGTAGAAGGGCAGGGAAAGGTGAGAAGCATCTTCCTGTTTCTGCTGTTTCCTCAAATGCCAAAGTGCTATATTTTAGAGGGAGGTATCCTGAACCTCATCACTTGCTTCTGCTGATTCATGTAGGAATAATTCATAGACACTGAATAAAACTATGTATCTCTAGTACCTTTGAAATGCTGAAAATAAAACAATAGGCCTTAAAAATACAGATGGTATTTTCCTATTTTCTTTAACTTTGGAGGCCAGGACATTGAAAATGAAGAGAAGTTGGGTAACATAGAAGCAGTGAATAAACAGCTGGGTCCACTTATCTCGAATTAAACCTGTTTCTTATGAAGTCCTATGGGCTGCCAAAACACAAGAGACTGATCCTACTTATTCCTTTGAGCCAACCTGTGACCCCTGGCTCCTCCTCAGAATAAATGAAAGAGATAGTTAACATAAAAATTGGGATTGGCATTCTACTTTTGGGTATAAGTTGGAATCACACAGTGAGTAGCTTATTTGCTGAGTGGGCATAGACTTTAGCCTCTCTATATGATCACATCACATGTTGGGTAAGTGGAGAATTGCCACTTTTCTTCACTTCCCATTGCCCTGGTCTGTTAAACCAGCCAACCTAAGTGTATGGGGACATTATTATGATCGGGAAACTGAAAATGGTAAACACATACCCACTTTCCTCATATACTATAGTCTCATGGGCCTCAGCGTCTTCCTATCCTACAGAGAGACAAAAAGTCACCTTTTTCATCTAATTAAAAAACAGCTGAATTCCAGTTTAACTTTAGGTTATACTGTACACGATGGACTCGGGTGGATGACAGCTGTCTAAATACAAGTATTGAGCAAAGTGCTTCTATGTTTTGAAAGGCAAAGTAACAGTCACCATCAGACTGAAACCCATGATATAGGATGGTTAGCACCTGAAGAGTGTAATCAGACCCTTCTTTTAACAGACCACCTGTGGATGGGATGGTACCATAATTTGCCAAAAATAGGTGCTTACGCTTCTCCTTGGGAATGGCTATGGGTTTGTGGAACTCATGGCTAGCTGGACTTACCTTATAATTGGACTGGAAAGTATACACCCTTATCTCTTGGGACATATCCTCACTAAATTGGACTCTCTTTTATCTAACTGGGAAATAGTAAAGTCTTGCCATAGGTGACAAAAACAGGTGTCTTGGTGGTCTTACCCAAAGGCTAAAATTTCCTCACAGGCAGCCAAAGTTGATATGGAGCTGCAAGTGGAAGCCCTAGCCAAACACACAGCTGCAGCTCTCAATATTACACTCCATGTCCTTCCCCTCCCAGCTGAGGAAACTTCTCAAATTAGGTAGGTGGCCTTACAGAACCAAACGGCTTTGGACATTTTAACAGCAGCTCAAGGGGGAGCTTGTGCTTTAGTCAAAACTGAATTTTGTGTATATGTTCCAGACTATTCACATAATATTACCCAGGCTATGAAAGCTTTAGACAGGCATGTCTCTGCCATTGATGTACTGTCAGTCAACCCCCTAGCAGCTTGGTTCCAACAATTGCCCAGTTCCTGGAAAGTCTTCGTATTTGGTTTACTTGGAATATTTTTAGTTATATTGCTTTGCTATTGTGGGATATATTGCTGTTGTACTCTTTGTATAGGAATTAGAGATAAGCTTACTCAATGCTTTCTTAAATTGGACACTTATTAATCTTCCAGATATCACGTTTTATCAGGATTCAGAGTTGTGAATGACCCTCACCATACTGGCACCTTCTGACTGAACTCCTCCATACCCTGAAAACAAGATACTCTAATAGTTAGGCAGGAATATCATCACCCCTGTTGAGACTGAAAAAGCTACAGAAGATGGTTCTTCATCCCTCTACAACCCTTAGGATTAAGGTCTCCTTGCAAAAGGGAGGGGGAATATATGTCAGAGGCATTTGAACCAGAGTGACTCCATCATGAATAGGCACTGGGTAAAATGAGGTTGAGACCTACTGGGTTTCGTTTGTAGGAGGTTAGGCATTCTTAGTCAACAGGGTATTTACAGTTAAGGGAACAAGTTAATAATATTTACCAAACAGACGTAGGACTTAAGAGACCCAGAAAATGTTCAGATTTCCCAATATCTTAAGAACAAAATCATTCTTAGTTTAAATTTCACTCTGAAGATAATAATATACATTCTTTAGAAGACAGTAGTGACACAAAGATTAACAATCCTTTGTCACAAGCCCTTGTAGTGGAGCATATCTCCCCCATGATGTTTTGCTTTGTTATCTTATATATAAACAAGCATTGTACCTAAGGTGTGTTCCTCCTCTGGCTTTTGGGAATGCCCTGCTTTGTCTATGGAGTAGCTATCCTTTCATCCATTTACTCTCTTAATACATTTGCTTTCACTTTACTCTGTGGACTCACTCTGAATTTTTTCTTGTGTGAGATCCAAGAACCTCTCTTGGGTTGGTTCCTCTCTTGGATCGGAACCCCTTTCTGGTAACATCTTGGTATCGAAAAATGGGACAACTCAAAATGGAGGCTTCTAGGTCATAGGTGGATTCAAATATTTTCTGATTAAAGATCTGGAATCAATAGAAATGAGTGGCAGGTGAAGATAAGGGGTTGTGGAAACAAAGGTTATTATTATGCAGGTGAAGCTTCCAGCTTGCAGGCTTCAGAGAGAATAGATTGTAAATGTTTCTTATCAGACCTAAAAAAGTGTCAGACTCTTAGCTAATTCTCTACTGGATTAGCAAAGAGACTTAGAAAAAGAAAGGGAATCTCTATAGAATGTGGATTTTCCTCACAAGGGCCATTTCAAAGTATGTCAAACAAACATATTTTGGGGGTAAAATAGTTTGATTTCCTTCAGTTCCTGCTATCTGTCATGTCCAGGTAGATGAGTAGCTTTTCTTGTCTTGGTATGTGATGTGATGGGTGTGTGTGTGCGTGTGTGTGTGTGTGCGCGCACATGAACGCATGTTGGGTGTGGATGTATGATATCTGAAGAGAGAATGGAACCCATTTCCCCTTCCACAGTCTTCAGTTCCTAGCAGAGCTCCTGGTGCCTCCTTCACATAGGCATGGTAAGGATGAGGGGACTAATGGAAAGCATTACAGCACTGTGCTTTAAAGAGCCCTGTTTCAGGACTCACACGGTTCAAATTGTTTCGCTTCCTAATAACAAGACTTTGTACTTAACCTCTCTCCACCTCAAATTCTTCATCTGTGAAATTAGAATAATAGTGCCTTTCTTTAAAAACTGTTGACGCCACACATAAAGGATGAGCTCACTTTCCTTATCAATACGTATAAGCTTCTTCATAGTTTGACCTCAAACTAATCACTCCAGGCTCTTACAAATTCCTCACGTACCTTACTCTGCAACCCACCAAGCATATCACCTTTTCATTGCAAGACAGGTTTCCTAATAATGTTGTCCATTGAGCAAAGTAAGTCTTATCTGGTGTACATTTTCCCCTTTCTGCCTACTAAACTCCTTATTCTTAGTGCTCCTCTCGAAAATCTTCTGTCCTTCTCTGACTTTTCTGCTTCATTGGAAGGAATTAGATCTTCTCTGAACTCACGATGAGCTCTAAATTTCCAGCTCACTAGCAAAGACCACCCTGTTTTGTACCATTTATGATGTAATGTGTAAGCATCTTGAGGGCAAATATATGTTTAATTTTTCTTTCTATATCTTGTCTGTAACAGTAACAGATACATGATAGCTTATCAATTAATGTGGAGTAAATTGAGTTCTTCCTGATGTGTTTTTTAAACATACCTTTAAAAACATAACTTAACTTGACAAATAACTAATAACCTTATATATGAATGCATACAATAGCTCAAATTGATTGATGACTGAAAAGAATTAATCTCCTTACTGTAACACTGTGTTCAATTCTGAAACCTGAGACTATCTTAGTTCATAAAAGAAGAAACATAAATAACTAGTAAGCATATAAAAAGTTTATCTGAACTAATAAGCAAAGAAGTTAAAATATAAAAAAAACAAAAAGAAATATGTGAAAAATTTTAAAAAGATATTCAATTCAGGTGAGGATTCTGTGAAACATGAACTCTAACACACTGCAGATGGTAGTAGTGGTCTAAATTTCTGTAAAGCAATTTGGTAATACGTATCAAGAGTCTTAAAAATTTCTGTATCAATGACATGATTGTATATTTAGAAAACCCCATCGCTCAGCCCAAAATCTCCTTAAGCTGATAAGCAAATTCAGCAAAGTCTCAGGATACAAAATCAATGTACAAGGAACTTAAACAAATTTACAAGGAAAAAACAAACAACGCTATCAAAAAGTGGGTGAAGTATATGAACAGTCATTTCTCAAAAGAAGACATTTATGCAGCCAACAAACAGATGAAAAAAAGCTCATCATCACTGGTCATTAGAGAAATGCAAATCAAAACCACAATGAGATACCATCTCACACCAGTTAGAATGGTGATCATTAAAAAGTCAGGAAACAACAGATGCTGGAGAGGATATGGAGAAATAGGAATGCTTTTACACTGTTGGTGGGAGTGTAAATTAGTTCAACCATTGTGGAAGACAGTGTGGCAATTCCTCAAGGATCTAGAACCAGAAATACCATTTGACCCAGCAATCCCAGTACTGAGTATATACCCAAAGGATTATAAATCATTCTCCTATTAAAATACATGCACATGTATGTTTATTGCAGCACTATTCACAATAGCAAAGACTGGGAACCAACCCAAATGCCCATCAACGATAGACTGGATAAAGAAAATGTGGCACATATACACCATGGAATTCTATGCAGCCATAAAAAAGGATAAGGTTATATCCTTTGCAGGGACACAGATGAAGCTGGAAACTATCATTCTCAGCAAACTAGCATAGGAACAGAAAACCAAACACCGCATGTTCTCACTCATAAGTGGGAGCTGAACAATGAGAACACATGGAGAGGGAGAGGAACATCACACACCATGGCCTGTTGTGGGGTGGGGGGCTAGGGGAGGGATAGCATTAGGAGAAATACCTAATGTAGATGACGGGTTGATAGGTGCAGCAAACCACCATGGCACGTGTATAACTGTGTAATAAAACTGCACATTCTGCACAGGTATCCCAGAACTTAACGTATAATAAATAAATAAATAAAAATTTAAAAAACTCAGTCTCTTCCCTGAGTTGTACAATTCTAAGAATATCTCACAAGGAAATAAACAGAAATGTAAACAAAGCTTTGTGCACACAGATATTCAGGACAGCATAAGTTACAATAACAAAAATTGGAAACAAAACATTCAACAACATGGGAGGGGTTAAGGAAATTATAGTCTATATGTAAAAGAAACATTATGCAGCCACCAAAAATGATGGGTACCAAGAGTCTTTAATACTGTTCAGAAATGTTGTGGTCTTAAAGTGCATCATCAGTTTGAGCGCAAAGATGATGGTAGATAAACAGTCCATAATGATAGCTGCATTTTTTGTTGAATGAGGGATCGTGGGTGTTGTTTTTCCTCTGTTATACTTTTTTTGTTTGTCTTAAGTTTTCTGTAACAAACATATAGTTTACAAAACTTTAAAGTATTATTTTACAATAAAAAATTGAGCTTGTCAGACAACTTACAGTCGTACCCTCAAGTGGTTTCTTTCCTAAATGGATCCCTTGGTATCTTTTATTTAAGACTATCCCTCTGGCAAGGATCCACTAACTTTTAAGCTAAACTTTAAAGGATCAGGAGGGGTTAGTTAGACAAGAAAGGGAAAGAGCATTCCAGGCAGAGGAAATAAGTGGCAGAGGCATAGAGGATGACATCTCATGAGAGATGGGAGAAGGGTCTTTAGGAACTGCAGAGTAACACAGGGGAGATGGGTCAGAAATAGATGACCAGGTCACAGACAGAAGGGCACTGAGGTCCTTGCTGTGGAGTTGGGCTTCCACCTGCTACTCATGAGGAGCAATGGGGGATTTTAAGCAGGGAAGTCAGCTGATTAATTTCATTCCAGAAATTGGTGCTATCGCTGCATCATTTTGGTGGTCTTAGTTTGTGCCTGATGCAAAGCAGGTGTTCAGTAAATGCTCTGTTTGAATAAATAAATGAATGGAAGAGAGGTGACGCTAGAGGCAGGGAGGCAGTACAAAGGCCGTTGCATCAATCTGAAAGATAGATGCTGGTGGCCTGAACAAAGACAATGGCTGCTGGGTTGAGAAGAAGAGATCGTTTAGGAACAAATTCAGGACTTCTGGTTTCCAGCCTGGCATGCGAGGAGCATGGTAGTCATTTATCCTGTTCATGCAAGAAGAAAAAAAAATGAACAAACAGAAAATCAATAACTTAGATCCATCAGAGAACTGAGGTCTTAGCTAAACCAATGCCCCAAAATTGATAGATAGGCATATACAGAGAATGTATATGTAGATAGGTAGATAGAATTCTACCTATCAGAGCAGAAGCCCAGGAACAAAAACTCTGTGGGAACCAGTACTAGGGTAGGAAAACATAATCTGTGATTGACAAATTGGTAGAAAAAGTCAGTGTGGACAAGTTTGAGAGTTAAAAACTCCAGGAGGGCCCAGTCTTGATGGAGCCTCCACACTTTTATGACTTTTACCTCCAGGTTCTCTAAAGAGCAGAGAAAAATTCCTTTATGCTTCTGGCAGCGGGAGGGGAAAAGTAGCCATTTAAAAATATACCCAAGTATTTTGTTCTTAAGCAATCTTGCCCTCAAGAGAAACTATGCAAGCAAGAAGAGAGTGGGGTGAAATATTTAGTGTTAAAACAAACATCAACCTAAAATTCTGTACCCAGTGAAATTATCCTTCAAAGTAAAGGAGAAGGAAATTGGGAGGCTGAATGAAGTTGAGGAGGATTTATTCCCTACTTGGTTATGGAATTAAGTGGTGATTGAGAAGATTTTATAGTTATTTTCTCTTTGCTTAAAGACTGAATGTATTAACCAGCAGTGCATGCAAGAGAAGAGGCTTGTGAGAGAAACTTTGGACATAATGAATTTAAGGTATTTCAACATATCTACATAGAGGAGGGGAAAGGGTTTGTGGTAGAGCTGTAGATTTCTGCATCATCAGTATTGGTGTCAGTGGGTTTGGTTCAATCATTCAGGGAGAATGTATTAAATGAAAAGAAAAAGGAACTGAGAATAGAATTCTGAGATAACATTTGAGAGTATGTCAGGATTGCATTTGGCTGCAACTGAAAGCCTGAATTGCGGCTTTTAAAAAATAGGATTTTATTCTTTTTTATAACAAAAAGTCTTGAGTTGAGTATTCAGTTGGTGTAGATATCTCTTTATCTTAATGTTTTCCTTTAGCATCCAGTCACAGGTTTGCTGGAGCAATTCCAGTCATCATGTCTGCATTCTAGCAGGAGGGAAGGAGAAGGGTAAAAATATCAGGAAAGCAAAGCTTTGCTGAAAACCTTACAGCCTTCCACATAAGCCTCATTCATCAGAGCTCTCCTAATGACCTATCCTGCCAGGGAGGTGGTCAGGGAGGAGACCACTGGGAATGAAGGTTGATTAGCTAACCAACAGCATCTGCTACAGGTGGTTAAGCAGAAAAAAGAGGACCTGGGAAGAAATATTGAGAAAATGGCAAACTAGGGTGGAGAGAGGTTGTCCAGAAAATAGGAAGCAACATGTTTAAGAGTCATGGGAGTATACCTTAAACAAACAAAAGAACTGAGATAATGAATATGTTAATTAGCTTGACTAAATAATATATACATAAACATCATGTACACCATAAATAGTTTTGTCAATTATACTCTAATAAAACCGGGGAAAAGAGAGTCATGGAGTCTTAATCCCATCAGATACCTCATAGAGTTCCAGCGAAATAAGAACAGCCACCTAGTGATGAAGAGGCCATTGGTCACATTAGCAGAGAAATTTCAATGGAGTTCTGGGGAAGGGTCCAGTTTCCTGTGGGTTGAGGAGCAAATATGCAAGAAGGCAATAGAGACACACTAAGGCTACTATTTTTTTTCTTTTGTCTCCATTGATGTTTATAAAAACACATATGTAACATATATGTAAGTTGTAAGACACAGTAATGAAATGAATATCACCACCCATCACCAACTAAATAACAGAACATGACCACAGCACTTCCTCCGTTTGGCTCTGAGAAGCACTCTTTCATGAAGTTTGATTCCAAAGGACAGAATAAATTGAGTGATGCAAGCCAGAGGGAGAAGAAGACAAGAAAAGCAATTTTTTCTTTTATCTTTTTGAAATTAAATGTTTAATTTTTATGGATTTAGGGGTACAAGTGCAGTTGTGTTACATGGATGTATTTTGCAGTGCTGAAGTCTGGGCTTCTAGTGTACCCATCAGCTGAATAGTGAACACTGTACCCAATAGGTGGTATTTCATCTCTCACCCTTCCCACCCTCTGCCATCTGAAGTCTCCAATGTCTATTGTTCCACTCAGTATGTCCGTGTGTACCCACTGTTTAGCTCCCACTTATAAGTGTGAGCATGTGGTTTTTAATTTTCTGTTTCTGAGTCACTTCACTAAGGATATTGGCCTCCAGTTCCATCTATGTTGCTGCAAAAGACATGATTTCTTTCTTTTTAATGGCTGAATAGTACTCCATGGCACACATCATCCACTGATGGACACTTAGGTTGATTCCATGGCTTTGCTATTATGAATAGTGCTGCCATAAACGTATGAGTGCAAGGATCTTTTTAATATAATAATTTTTTTTCCTTTGGGTAGATACTCAGTAGTGAGATTGCTAGATTAAAGGGCAGTTCTATTTTTAGTTCTTTGAAAGATCTCCATACTATTATTCATAGAGGCTGCACTAATTTACATTCCCCCCAACAGCGTGCAAGCTTTCAAGAAAGGCATTTTTAAAAAGACCGATTGAGAAGTTGAACAGAGGAGAGTGGAAACGTATTGAGCAGCATGGCAATACAAGTCCTACTGCTGGAATCTGTCCCCCAGATTTTGTGTGTTGAAAACTTAATCCCCAAATGTGCATGTTGATTTGACGTGTGGGTTTTGGGAGGTTATTAGTATTAGATAAGTTAATCAGGCTGGGGCCTCCATCATGGGACTGGCAGCTTTATAAAAAGAAGAGAGGCCAGAGCCGATACGCATACACCCTGGCCCTCTTGCCGTGTGATACCCTCCACTGTGTTGTCATGCAGCAAGAAGGCCTTCACCAGGTATCGGTGCCATGCTTTTGGACTTCCCAGTCTCCAGAAATGTAAGAAATATCTTTTCTTTACAAATTTTGTAGTCTGTCTTATTTGTTACAGCAATAGAAAATGGACTAAGTCTCTCAGAGGAGATCTGGGGAAAGAAACAGAAATGAGGCATCTGGCTAGTTTTGCGGCGTGTACTGTTTCTAAAGGAGAAGTGATTAGCACTTCTTTTTCTTCTCCAGGGACAAATACGGGGAGAACATGGTTAACATCAGTGAAAAGGATTGAGGCCAAAGCACCCCATTTAATGGAGCAGTGAGGCCCTGCAACATCATTCCTGACAGGTTATAGGAGAGGCTCACAGCTCTCTGCCTGGGACAAGCTGCACAGTGGCAGGGGCTTAAGACAAATAGCTGCTTTGAGTCTCTCCCACAGGAAATTACTGTCTGTCCTCTAGTCCTCTTGAATGCAACAGGTAAGGCAACATCACCCTTGTGTAAACAAAACTCACACCTCCAAGGCAGGAGCAAAGGTTTTTAAAATGAGACTCTGGGGCATGGAAACCAAGCAGGTCTTGACCATTTCCTCATGTTTGTCTCCACGTCATGGTTCTTGTTACCATAACACCTAATATGTTCAGAGCCACTTTTCTCCCTCTGTTCTCTGGACTGAATGTAGAAAAAACATAGTTATTTTCAACTTTCTCCTCTAACTAGAACTAAAATTGTCTGGATTCAAAAGTACAACAATAATGAAACACAAAATAAAAAACAAGCAACCAAAAAGCCTCCCAAAATAACTAGGTAAAATAAATAAATATAAAAAGTACTGAACTTTGGAAGTACCAACTTTAGGCTACACAGAAGCCATATGCTTTTCTTCCATACCTTCTGCCAGCTCTGCCCTTGCTCAATAACTCATATTCATGGAGCACTTATTATGTGCCAGGACTGGCTAATTGCTTCAAATGGATTATCCTCTCATTTAGTTTCCACACCATTTTCAAGAGGTGATTGTTCATATTACTAATATCACCCCAAATGTTTCTGTAGGTGAAGCCACTGAGACTTGGAGAGGTTGCATGAATCACTTGCAGAGCTGGGATTCTGGTGGACACCAGACTCAAATATGCCCAATGGCCTTGGATTTGTCTTTCAGCCACTGGAGGGCTTGCTCTGTAGCCCCTCAGATATGTGCTTCACACTCACCACAAGGTCTCCATTCTACCCTATCCTGTCTTCCTTTTATTTGATGAGCTGTAGGCTTTACATCTCTCTTGAAATCAAATCCACAGAATTAAACCCTATTCTCCAGCTGAGGTCAGACCTGTGCCTAGGATGGAATAGGGGAAAGTCTATTACTTTCTTTGTGATGAACATAAATTTTATGTAAATGCAACAATACTTTTGTACTTTTAAAAAAATTTTTACTTTAAGTTCTGGGTTGCATGTGCAGCATGTGCAGGTTTGTTACGTAGGTATACATGTGCCATGGTGCTTTGCTGCATTTTTTACATTTTTTTTCTGTTAATTCAGTGCTCTACATTGTGAACTTGTATCACAGACTTGCTTTTCAACCTAAGTGAAAAATTTTACTTTTATTCTTGTTAAATTTTATCTTGTTTTAGCCCATGCTTACAGCATGTTAAATTTTTACCAATATCTTTTGATCCAACATATTAGTTTTTGCCTCCAACTTTCTGCTATCTGTGAATCTGGTAAGTTGGCTTTGTGTATCTTCATCCAACTCATTCATAAAGAAAAATCAAAGACACAGGTACAAGAACAGAACCCTGTACCCTACAGATCATTTTCTACTTGCCACTGACCCTTCGTCTTCAAATAATGCTGGAATTTTTTGTCCAAACACATAGGAAAATGCCTAACTATAGTATAATGTAGCAATATTTTTTTTGAAAAATCTAATGAAGATTTAAAAGATACTGCCAAGTAGCCTGCCCTTATTGCAGGTATAATATTTTCAATTAACAAATTCAGGGAAACAAAAAATGTAGTTATACTGTTAAAATGTATTCTATATCTTGATCCACATATTGCACCCAATAGTGATATTCTTAATGTAGGTGAGTCCAGGTAAAGTGAACCAATTCTGTGCCCATCTGATTGTCTCTATTTATTTTAGTAACATGAAGCAATGTCCAGGCAAACATTAGAAATACGCTAGGAGTGCCAGACAGGGTTGTGTGCTCATTTGAGAGTCTCTCTATGAACTTAAAGAGAAGCTGGTCAGATTAGTTGTATATTTGCCTTGGTGTTGTTGAGCTGTGTGGGTGCAGGTGGAAATCAGGTGGCTAGCAGGGCTTAAGTAAAGTTTTAGCTTTGCAAGGTCAGTGAAAGGAGGAAGGCAGGAGAGAGGGGGCCAAGTTTATAATCATGGCCCATGGAATCTGTGCTGGGTTAGATGGGACAGAAGGGCACCAGAAGAAGGTTGAGAGTAGGAAACGGTTGGGTTGATACTTTGGTAGGCCCAACAATTCCTTGGGTGGCACTACAGGGTAGAAGAGTTGGAAGAAAAGGCTGTGGTTATCAGGAAGAGGGCTTTTTACAGATTCCAGATGTGCTGCTGAGGTAGGGAGGAAGTGGTGGGTCATTGGAAGCAAAGAACCTGAGGATTTGAGAGGCCAAGATGCTGAATCAATCATCTATTTGGGTATTGAAGTTGTTAAGAAATATGACAGAAAGGAAGAAAGAGCCCAGTGGATAAAATTAGCCATGAATAGAAAAAATTGGAGAGGGAGGGGTACAAACAGGAGTGACTAGGTCAAGTGTGATGGCATGAATCTCAGCTGATCCTCTGGAGTGTTAGAAACAACGGGGTGATCTGAGGACAACAACATAGAGAACAATGTTCTGCCAGTCCTTCTGCATTTGTGTTTGACTATTGTGTTATATGGTGGGAAGTGCTACAAATACAGGGTTAAAAACAAAATAAAACAAAACAAAAAATCCTTTTTAGTTTCTGAAGAGCACTCAGTGTTAATTACATGACAATATGCTTAATGTACCCCCACTGGCAATGGCAAACATGTGCAGAACAAAAAAATCAAAATACTCAAGGACTTGTAGCAAATAATAAGTAAAAAACATACTAATAGCTCAACTGTTTCTGTGACAGTTGAAGAAGGAATTTTACTCCAGGCAGATTAAACATAGAGGTTTTGCCTGGAACCATAAAAAAAAAATCCCAAGTTACTAATAGAAGCAGAGTTGTAATTGGACTTACTTGACAAAAATAAAATTTTGATAAAATGAAAGTTCTCTGTGAAATTATTGTGGATCATTTCTTATAATGCATCTGAGCAACATCCCCAAGGTTTCTGAGTTTGCTTTTTTCCCGCAATGTCTTATAATGATTAATTCAGTTTGATGCCTGATTATACAAAATGAAACTTACAGCAAACACCTAAAACATGTATGTAAGATAAAGCTACATTTTATAATTTGTTTTGAATAGGTTTTGCCATTAATTAATTGGAAATGGAGAAAATTAAATAATACAAAGTTGAATGTGGTAAATCCAGGAGTAAATGTATAACGGTAAATGAATAAACCCAGGAGTATATGTATAATGTATATTATCTCTTCTGTCATCTATAAAAATGCTGATGTGTTTTCCATCACATATTTAAATTCCAGTCACCCATGAAGCCAACCCAAGCCCCACCTCCTTCATAAAATCTTCTAGGACTTTCCCCAGGTCTCATGATCTCCTTCTTTTCTGAAATCCTATAGCATTTTTATTCAGTGAAATATTATTTATCACCTATTATGTAGCAAGTATTTTATCAAGCACTGGGGCAGCAGGGAAATAGTAAGACTAATTAGGGGAGAAATAGTAAAAACAACAGTAAAACTGACTAGTTCTTATTTGCTGAGAATTGTTATAAATTCTTTGAAATTCACTAACTCTGATTTCTCACAACATGATGAGGTAAATACCATTATTATTTCCATTTTAGATAAGAGCAAATAGAGACATAGACAGGTTAAGACATTTACTAAAAGTCATAGGACTAGTAGGTGGTAGAATCAGATTCAAAACCAACTATCCCTGATTCTAAACTCTTAACCATCTAAGTCATACAGCTGCTTTTTGCTTCAATTTCCTCATCTCAGAAAAAAGCCTAATACTTTACATTTGCCCTAATTTATAGGGTTTTATAAGATTCAAATAAGAGAATAGATTTAGAAATACTTAAAAAATTGAATCTGCTGTAGTAATGCAAAGTAATAATAATATCTATGAATTGTTTCCTGTGGACTAACTCATTCAATTCTCAAAACAACTCCATGGTAGCTCTTCAAATAATGCCCTAATTTATGATGGGGAAACTGGGATACAGATAGTTCATATCACTGCTGAGAATACCAACCCAGGGAGTCTGACCCCAAAAGCCGTGCTCTAATTTCTAAACTCTGCTGCCTCATTTTTGAACTTTGTTCTGTGACCAGTACATGGGGTCAGGCTGGCTGGGTGTCCATGGTAGTCGGGGAGGATGATGCTGAGGTTAGGATGAACTTCAGGGAGGGTGATATTCCTCTCCTGGCCTCATGGTTATCCTGGTCCCTGAGGCTGTACCAGTGAGCTCAGACCCTGGAGTGGATACCACCCCACAGCCTTCCAGCAAAATGACTGGGTAGCAGAGCCCTGCCATGAGATCCCCCGCTGAGTAAGCACCTGACCTTCACAAGGTATCTGCAGTGATGGGCAGGGTCCCCTTAACCAAAAGCAAGCACAACCCACCTTTCCCCTGGGAAAAGCCCAGAATATGTGGTTCCTGTAATTCTTGGTGACCTCAGTGTGAACATTTTCTGTGAACGCAACCCATTGCCTCCAGAAAAGTCCTTTCCATTTTTGCTTCTCTCTCATTTTTAGGGAGTATTTCTTTAAATTGAACTTGCAGATTGCTTAAATGGAACTTTTTTAGACGGGTTCAAGATCTGCCTTTTCTACTACTCCTAATAAATCTGGGTTTGGTTTAGCATCTACATACTTGGTTGCTCTGGCCAAAAATCTCATTGTTTGATTACTCATGCTGGGAGCTAGGTGTGATGGGAGGGGGTTACCTACTGATGTGGCAGCATCCCACCCCCACCTCCCCCGCCGCTCACAGCACACTACGTTTCTGTATTGGAAAATAAAAATTAGCATTCACAAGTTTAATATTCTGAATTTGGTAATGAGGCTGGTTTAATTTTGCTGATCCACCATTTCTCCAAATTATTTGACATCAGGACTCTTACTGTAAGAGCAGGGTATCTGTTAACTCACGCAGAGCCAGTGTTCAAGAGAATACATTTTGGGAAATTTTGTCAAGCAGGTGTATAATTGGAATTCTAACTAAGTACTAAAATAACAGATGCTGTTCTTCAGGTTCTAATCTCACAGAAAAATAAGATCAATACTTCCTCCAAGTAGATTCCATTTAACCTTGTTTTTAGTTCACACAGGGCAAAAACATGGCAGAGAGCATTCTAGGCAAATTCGGAGTTATTAAAATGTAACATCTTGGTGGCTCGAGGAAGGAAAATATTCTGTTGATGTGATGTATAATTTTTATATAATAATTCATTTAATCACTTTTCAGGCTCTATGAAAATGAGATCTTAGAAATCATCTAGTTCAACTCATTTCACAACAGAGAAACCCAAGGCCCTAGAAAAATAATAGATTCTGTCCCTGATCACACAGGTAGTTAGCAAGAGGGGACTAGAATCCCAAACTCCTAATTCCATAGTTCCATTCTCATTCAATGAATAGTTGGATTCCAACTGAAATAGGAGCTTGAATGATACACTTTATAAACCAAATAGACGTATATGTGACTTATGCTCAACATTTCAGTAGGCATAATGGAAAGCATATTTTCACTGTGATCTCTGGGTCTTTTTGAAGTTTGTTATCTCGAGGGTTGCACAAATATGAGAGGTTCTTTTCAGATATCATAAAATACCATTAGAATGCTACAAACAAGAAAATTCAGACATTAATGGCAGAAATACTGTTCCTCTATGAAGCAGAGTTTATTTTCCACTTAGTCTCTGTTTCATATAAATATGAAAAATATTCTCTATAAAATTTATCTGAGAAGGAGATTCACAGGTTTCATACATCGAATGAGAGAATTTCCATCTGCTAATGGAGTTGTTAATAGTTCCAACAAAAATATTGACATATAGCATAAAAATTTATTGTCCCTAAACATGTCCTATAAGACCCAAAATAAAACTTTATATCACATTTTATTGCACATCTCTTTTACTTTCTTCCTTTACTTTGATACAAGTGAAAAGAACATTAAAATTTCTTTTGTATTCAACCCCAAGTATATTAAATTATTATTTCCTTAGATCATTTATGTCTTTAAAAATTCTTTCCATACCAGTATGATAGGAAGTAGAGCAAAGGAAACCAGTACATAAATGGAAACCACCGATGTTTACCCAGGGTGGCATTGAGCACCTTTCCAAGTATCAGGTGGTGTTTTCAACTGTGAAAAGAGAAATAATATCTAAGTCATCAACTTCTTCATAAAGACAATTTGGAAGGAGTTCATAGGTAAATTAACATCACAAAAGGGCTATCTTTAACTTAGGTATACTCAAAAAATCAGAACAAATTTTGTACTTGCAAGATAGTGAAAATAATTTTAAATAGGAATTTTCTAAAGTGAAATAATTTCCTTAGATATTTGAGAACTGTTGTGTATTGATTTAAGAGTTCACGATTAATTCTTAGGTAATTCTTCTGCATACCAATGTGATATTTTTACTGGAAAATATTTCTCACGAATTTTCAGAATTAAATTAGTTCCCCCAGTTAATTAAGAACCTTTAGAAAAATTGCCTTAAATTTATCTGTCTGTTTGTAGAACCACCACCTATTTAGTTGTAGTAGAGCCTGGGTGGGGGATGTCCGACTTTTATTGTTGTGAGCTCTTTTTAGAATGTAACACATCTTCTTTTTCTTTGGTTCTGTGATTTAATAGCCCCAGATAAGTTTCATCAAGCATCATTTCACATTCATATTTGGAACAAAGTTGATTGGCTGGTTGCATTAGGTGCAGAGAAGCAAGCCATGGACTTAATTATTCATGCATTCTTTCATTCAAATATTTGTCAAGGTTAAGTCTGTCCCAGGCACTCTTAAAGGCACTAGGGATATAAAGATATAAGACACTCAAGGAGTTAATAGTATAATGAAGTAGAAGTAATGATTAAACAGTATATGAAGTATCACAAGATGGATCATGAGGAATACTCTAGGAGAATGTAGGAGAGATACCTAACCCAAGTTTGAGGTTCAAGAAGGACAAAGAATGAGCAGGAATAACACAGGTAAAGATGGGGAGGGGAAGAGCGTTCTAGCAGTAGGAGCAACATGAGCAAGGGCCTAGGTGTGCATCCCATAAGGCTTGGTCTGGCTGGGCTTGAATCTGAGTAGGAGTAGAAGGAGACAAGCCTAGGAGGTGAGTAGTGGTGGGTCCTGAAGAGTCATACATGTCCCTTGAGGAATTTGGACTTTATGCTGAGGTCAAAAAAAAAACAAACCCATCAAGGGTTTAGGTAGAGAATAACACAATCAAATTGATATTTCAGAAAGTGGACTGGCAGCAATGAAGGGAATAAATTCTCAAGGGTCCAGGATGTCGGAAGTTGCTATGGTTTGGATGTGGTTTGTTCCTCCCCAAGAACTCGTGTTAAAATTTGGTCTGCAATGTGGTATTGAGATGTGATGGGACCTCTAAGACATGTTTGGGTCACAGGGGCTCTGCCTTTATAAAGGAATTAATGTTGTTCTTACAGGAGTGAGTTAGATCTCATGGGAGGGGTGTAGTTATCATGACAGTGGGTTGTTACAAAAGTGAGTTGGAATTCGGCTTCCTTGGCTTGCTCGGCTTCCTCTTCCACCAGGTGATACCTCCTGCCATGTTATAAAGCAGCATGAGGCCCTCACCAGATGTTGGCACCATGCTCTTGGATTTTTAGCCTCCAGAACTGTGAGACAAAATAAACCTCTTTCTTATATAAAGTATCCAGTGTGTGGTGTTCTAACAGCAGAAAATGAACTAAGGTAGCAGGTAAGTCAGTGAAGGGGCAGTTGCAATGGTCCTGGAGACAAAGGACAGTGTCCTGAACCAAACGGCACTGCCACATCAGTGAGGCCTACAGTCTTGTAATCAAGTGACAATCAAACATAGGAGACACAGTGACAGCATGATGGGGAGAATGAGGCTGTTTGTGTACACATCATTTCCACACAACTTGGAAATAATGTTTGCATAAAACCATGCATTTCTTTGTCTGATATGTTCTCTATCTTGTTCTTGGACAGAAATCTCAAAAAAAATACCAGACCACACAGTTTTACATCAGATATGTGCAAACCGAATTTCAAAGCTCTGACTTAAAGCTTGTAAAAATAACTGAGGGCCAATGCTGTAAAACTCATTAGCATAGGTGAAGCTGGAGACTGTTAGCCTCATAACCAAGCTCTGAAGCCAGCAATTAATCCTTTTAAACTCCCTCTTTCAATAAAAAGAGAAGGTTGCTCTCTGAAATGGCAGGTTTCTGAAGCCAAGAGTACGTCTCCCCATTGTTTGCCTCGGCTCTGGATCCAGACCCTTAAGACCACTAGGTGACACTGTGGAATGTGGTCATTGCATTGAGCTATTTTCACAGGCGAGAAAATGAAGTCAGCTTTTGATTCCCCTAAAATTTCATTTAAATAAGAAAAGCCACTTGCTTCTCAACCACTTTTCCCAATTCAGTTATTTCCAACTTGGTAAAATAGCTCATGTTTACAAAAAAAAAAAAAAAAAAAAAAAAGCACTAGGAAGGATAATTATTTTTTGTGAATTAAATCTGTCTTAGAACACTGCTACTTCCAAATTAATACATTTTGTAAGAATGTTTGTTTAGGAAGTTTCCTTAAGCAGAGGGATGCTAGCAGTAATAAGACCCATTCCATCACCATCAAAAAAGAACAAACAAAACAAAAGTATTAAACTGTTTTTGCTATTAACACTGTCTTCTGACTTTATACTCTGGGTTTGCTGTTTCAGTTTGTTTTTTCCTCGTCCCATAAGATATATGAATAGTTTACTTACATCTGGGAATTAGTTCTTTCTTCCACCACTGGGACCTGTGCATTTATTTTTTTCTTCTCTTTTTCTTATTTTCCTAACTTCTACTTCTGCTCTATTGAGTAGTTATATATTCATCCATTTCTTTATTTATTCATTGATACATACTCTAAAGATTTATGGTTGCACTGCTATTCTTATGAAGAAGATATTTGTGTAGCAAGAAACAGACATGTTTGTGCTTTCTCCCTTGAGGGACATATAACATTCCCTCTTTTAAAGTTATGTTTTCCAGGTTACCTTGTCTTTCTGGGTATTTGATGAAACAAACACACATTTCTCTTCTTTTTAATTTGCCTCTTTATGTACCTGTATACACATTTTCCTCTATAATGACTTCAGCAACTTGAACATCTTATTTCCATCAGGGTATGGTTACCTCTTTGCTATACCTCTTACAAATTATACATTAAAATCAGGTTTTTACTTTTACTGTCAAATGTACTTCCTTCCCTCAGTTTAGCATCAAACCAACTAGGCATTCTTAGGTTACTTTTCTTTCCGCTGTCTCCTTTAAGAAAGATTCCTTGCTTTGTTATTTCAAACAATTACAGGTTTTTGTTTTATAGAACAATAGAACTAGAAAGTTATCTTTCCCACCTCATTTTATTCAGGTCATTAAAAAAAGTGTGAATCCCTGCCCAGAGCCCGGTTTTATCTGAGCCATGTACAATGAACGCTGAGTTCCATTCTCTTGCAGATAGATCTTCAACTCCCTAGACCCAGAGGACTCTACATGGGCAGCGTGTGCTTCTATCATCAGCTCTCAGTGGTCTGTAGAGCTGGCAAGGACCCCTCAGCTGCTAGACCCAAAAGCATATTTCTTCATTTCAGTAACCATGAGAGTAACTTTTGTGCAACCTACCTCTCCAGGGGAATCTAGTTGCAGAACAGTTCACTTCCAGCTGGGTTTCCTGGATTCCTGGGATTTATCTTTCTTTCAAGCTCCTGCCCCTCATGAGAGCCCCACTCTCTGAACACTGGCCTTTCTGCATTTTCAAAGACTTATGCACATTACCTCATTTAATGTTAACTATAACCAGATGAAATATCATTTTCTGTTTTTGACAAACATGCAAACAGACAGAGAGATTCAAGACCATTTTTCTAAAGGTTCTTAGTTAATTAGGAAAACTAGAATTTGAATATAAGTAACCAAACCCCACATTTTTCTCATTGTATCATATTAGCTCCAACTCTTAAACCATCTGAAGCCCATTTGCTCCTCTTAATCACCACTGTAACTAGACCTGCTCTGTCCAAGATGGTAGCCACTAACTACATGTAGTGACTGAGCACTTTAAATGTGGCTAGTTCTAACAGAAATGTGCTGTATGTGCAAAACACAACCAGATTGCAAAAAACAGTACAAAAATAATTAAAATATCTCAACTATAACTTAAAAATATTTGTTATATGTTGAAATGGTAATATTTTGAATACATTGAGTTAAAATATATCATGAAAATTAATTTAACCTCGTTTCACTTTTTAAAATGTGGCTAATAGAAAATCTAAAATTTCATAAATAATATATTGGACAGTGCTAATCAAGACCATTTGTACATAGCTGTATAATCACAAGAATTCACATTTTATCTTTCTTCATTTAAAGACCATCAAATCTTCATAAGAAAGATAACACAATGTATACATAACACAAATCTGTTAACACTAAATAAAGACAAAGTGGAATATTTGAAAGGTTCTAATCCAAAACATCTTCCCAGACAACCTGCATGGATGTCTTACTGTTAGACTCATTCCTCTGAAATAATGTATCCAAGAGCTACCATTCAAGTGAAAATTTCTTTGCTATGAGTCATTATGGCAAAAGATTAAAGATCAGCAGTTCAAATTATCTTCTAAAGGGTATTGTGCATGTGGTTTTGATCTGGGAAGAAATGAGAAATGCTGCAAGCTCAGGTACTGACAATGGAATAAAATGAATACTTGGCAATTGTCGATAATCAAATAAACAAAATAGAACATTTTTTGGTGTCATTTTAGAGAAGATTCAAGCATGACATGGAACTACCTTTATGGTTATCTCTACACTGCTAATTAATGACTATTATCTTTGAATTGGTTTAACATAATCCAGAAATTTATATTGCTTGGTGCAACGTAGATAGATCCTTAAGTGGGATGTGTCTATGCATTTCAGATGCCTCAAATTATATAAAATCAATGTTTTGAAGGTTGTCCAAGTATTTTCGTTTTCATGAGGAAGATTTGGAATGGTTGATTTATATATCATTGGTGGATCCTCTCCATTGCTGTTCAGCAAGTTGGCATCATTGTCCCAAATAACAGAAATTGTGAGGCAGAGAGAAGAACTGCAGAGGAATATAGCAGTAGCTTTGTAGTTAAAAGCTGGTTAAATTGTCATGTTTCCATAAGTAGGTAAGAAATCAAAGACAGATTAAAATTTTTTTTTTCAAAACAGGAAAAAGAGAAAGACATCTAATAGTCAGTAGTCAAATCACTTATTTATTAAGAGAAATCTAGAAGTTTGATAAAGAGTTAGGTTATACAATCACAAAGTATAAATTTAGTCAACATTCAAGCCTCTAGAAATACTCTGTGAAGGGGGGAGAGCCATGCCACAGAACATTCTAATGGTGACCCTCACAGAGACATGAGTGGCACAGCTACAGACGTGGTACAGATCTGAAAAACCATCATCATTGGAGGACTGGGCAGGCTGTCTGTGAGCATTTCTAACAGGCATAGTGACTGCTGCTTTTGTGGTGATATTTATGTTGATCTGAATTTTTGAATAGTTCTGGTTTTGTGCAATTTTACTGAATGTGAGTCAATGAATGTATAATTAAATGTGATTTAATATTAGGATTTAATAAAATGCTTCACAATGAAATAATTATTTTCTAGATATTGTGACCACATTTTTGGTTTATTTCTATAAAAGAAAATCCTTCCAGTCCCTACCGTCTGTATAGTGACTAGCCTGGAAGGATCTCCCCTACTGCAACCCCCAGAGGATCAAAAGATAGCCACTCTATGTGTTTTGATTAGAAAATTTAATTCATTTAGGTTTAAGTAATTATTGATAGGTGAGGACTTACTGATGCCATTTTGATATTTTTTTTCTGACTGTTTTGTTGTATTTTTGTTTGTTTCCTCTCTCTTGCTGTCTTCCTTTGTGGTTTGATGTTTTCTGTTGTGGTGGTATGCTCTGATTCCTTTCTCTTAATATTTTTATTATCTACTACAGGTTTTATTCTTGGTGATTACCACAAAAATTACATAAAATATATTATAGCCAGCCAGGCATGGTGGCTCATACCTGTAATCCCAGCACTTTGGGAGGCCAAGGTGGGTGGATCACTTGAGGTCAGGAGTTTCACGTAATGTGTGTCTCGTAAGTCCTATAAGACTTCTTTACTCTTTTTTTATTCCTTTTTAAAAACCGTTCCTCTGATTGGATAACTTCAAAAGACCTGTCTTCATGGCACACACCTGTAGTCCCAGCTACTCGGGAAGCTGAGGCAGGGGAATTGCTTGAACCCGGGAGGCGGAGGTTGCAGTGAGCCGAGATTGCGCCACTGCACTCCAGCCTGGCGACAGAGCAAGACTCCGTCAAAAACAAACAAACAAACAAAAAAATACACACAAACATAAAAACCTGTCTTCAAGTTAATTGATTCTTTCTTCTGCTCAATCTAGTATGCTGTTGAAGTTCTCTATTGAACTCCTTAGTTTAATCATTATTCTTTATCTCTAGAATTTCTGTTTTTAATAAATGGATTTTTTTTGTTGAACTTCTAGATTTGTTCATGTATTTTCCTAATTTTGTTTAGTTGTCTATCAATTTTTTCTTGTTTACAGAACTCCTTGTAGAGGATTATTCTGAATTCTTTGTCAGTCAGTTAACAGATCTTTGTTTCTTTAGAATCAGTCATTTGAGCTTTATTAGTTTCATTTGATGGTGTATTGTTTCCCTGATTTTTTATGATCCTTGTATCCTTGCACTGGTGTTTGCACATCTGAGGAAGCAGCTACCTCTTCTAGCCTTTATGGGTTCACTTTGGCAGGGATAGACCTCCGTCAGTTAGTCCATCCTGGGGTTCTTGGTAGGCCAGCTCTTAGTATATGTAGGCAGGTGGAGCTTGCTGTAAGATTCTTTAGGTGGGTGGGGCTCCTCCCCATGCTTTGAGGTGAGATGGGTTCTGGCTGGGCTTCAAGCTAAGGCAGGGCTACTGTTTGGCTCCCTAGTTGGGTGGAACCTCTGACTAGACTTTGCAGTCAGGAAGAGTCCTTCACAGGGATCGACAATCCTTGTCTGAGTGCATTGCACGCTGTGCTCCTTGGCTGGGTGGTGCCATTGGTTGGACTCTACAATTGGTTGGAAAGGTAGGCTGGGTTCCACAAATGCTCTTGGTCAGGTGGGGCTCCAGGCTGTGCACCATGGCTGGCTTCTGCCAGTGGCTGAACTGTGCATTCAGGCAAGGTTGCAGCCTGGGCTCCACAAACAGAGACTCAGGCTACAGCCTTCTGTTGAGTGAAGTCACTGGGTAAGTTTCTTATTTTTGATGATTTTGACAGTTTTGAGAATTACCGATCAGGTATTGTGTATAAGGCCCTCAATTGAAATCTTTCACACATTTTTAATGATTAAAAATGTAGTCAGGGAGAGTGACATCAGTAAAATGACAAAGTAGAAGTAATTGGAATCCACTCTTCCCCACAGAAAGCCAGTCAACAACTATTCAGCGGCAGTAATATTACCCAGAGTATCTGAGAGCTTAAAACCGGGGCTGTGATGATCCCTCGGGCACAGAGCAAAGACAAATCAGGAGCAGATCATAAGGAAGATGAGTCTTTTTAACCACAATGCCCTTTCCCCAAGCTGGTAAAGTATTACATGTGAAAAAGAACTCATGGTTTTTATAACGGAAAAAGTGAGTTAGAGCTACTATTCACAATAGGCAAAATATGGAATCAACCTAAGTGTCCATCAATGGATGAATGGATTAAAAAATGTGGTTTATACGAATGTCCATCAATGATAGACTGGATTAAGAAAATGTGGCACATATACACCATGGAATAAATCATTCTACTATATAGGCATATGCACATGTATGTTTATTGTGGCACTGTTCACAATAGCAAAGACTTGGAACCAACCCAAATGCTCATCAATGATAGACTGGATAAAGAAAATGTGGCACATATTCACCATGGAATACTATGCAGCCTAAAAAAGGATGAGTTCATGTCCTTTGCAGGGCCATGGATGAAGCTGGAAACCATCATTCTCAGCAAAATAACACAAGAACAGAAAACCAAACACCACATGTTCTCATTCATAAGTGGGAGTTGAACAATGAGAACACATGCACGTGTACCACAGAATTTAAAGTATAATAATAAAAAAAAGTTTCTATGTCTACTTTGGAAACAAATACTTTCTCAGGTATGTGTTTTGTAAATATTACTCCTATTGTATATTTTCTTATTCTCTTAACAACTTCTTTCATAGAGCAGGATACTTTAATTTTAATGGAATTCTGTTGTGGTGGTATGCTCTGATTCTTTTCTCTTAATATTTTTATTATCTACTACAGGTTTTATTCTTGGTGATTACCATGAAAATTACATAAAATATATTACAGCCAGCCAGGCACAGTAGTTCACACCTGTAATCTCAGCACTTTGGGAGGCCAAGGTGGGTGGATCACTTGAGGTCAGGAGTTTCACATAATGGTGTCTCATAAGTCCTATAAGACTTCTTTACTCTTTTTTATTCCTTTTTAAAAACCATTCCTCTGATTGGATAATTTCAAAAGACCTGTCTTAGAACTAACCCAAATGCCCATCAATGACACACTGGATAAAGAAAGTGTGGAACATATACACCATGGAATACTATGCAGCCATAAAAAAGGATGAGTTCATGTCCTTTGCAGGGACATGGATGAAGCTGGAAACCATCATTCTCAGCAAAGTAGCACAAGATCAGAAAACCAAACACTGCATGTTCTCACTCATAAATGGGAGTTGAACAATGAGAACACAGGGACACAGGTTGGGGAACATCACACACTGGGGCCTGTCAGGGGGTGGAGGGCTAGGAGAGGGATAACATTAGGAGAAATACCTAATGTAGGTGACAGGTTGATGGGTGCAGCAAACCACCATGGCACATGTATACGTATGTAACAAAGCTGCATGTTCTGCACATGTACCCCAGAACTTAAAGTATAATAAAAAAATGTGGTTTATATACACAAAGGGGTACTATTCAGCCATAAAGAAGAATGAAGGAAAGTAGGGGCGACTCACAACCAAAGGAGCCCAAAAAGACATGACAAATAAATGTGATGTGATATCTGGGATGGAATCCTGCAACAGAAAAATGAAGTTAGGAAAAAATTTTCTCCCATTCTGTAGGTTGCCTGTTCACTCTGATGATAGTTTATTTTGCTGTGCAGAAGCTCTTTAGTTTAATTAGATCCCATTTGTCAATTTTGGCTTTTGTTGCTATTGCTTTTGGTGTTTTAGTCATGAAGTCTTTGCCCATGCCTATGTCCTGAATGGTATTGCCTAGGTTTTCTTCTATGGTTTTTATAGTTTTAGGTTTAACGTTTAAGTCTTTAATCATACTGAGTTAATTTTTGTATAAGGTGTGAGGAAGGGGTCCCGTTTTTGTTTTCTTATTGAGAGTTTTTAGCATGAAGCGGTGTTGAATTTTATCAAAGGCCTTTTCTGCATCTATTCAAATAATCATGTGGTTTTTGTCATTGGTTCTGTTTATGTGATAGATTATATTTATTGATTTGCATATGTTGAACAAGCCTTGCATCCCAGGGATGAAGCTGACTTGATTGTGGTGGATAAGCTTTTTGATGTGCTGCTGAATTCAGTTTGCCAGTACTTTATTGAGGGTTTTTGCATTGATGTTCGTCAGGGATATTGGCCTGAAATATTTTGTTATTGTGTCCTGCCAGGTTTTGGTATCAGGATGACACTGGCCTCATAAAATGAGTTAGGGAGGATTCCTTCTTTATCTATTGTTTGTAATAGTTTCAGAATGAATGGTACCAGCTCCTCTTTGTACCTCTGGTAGGATTTGGCTGTGAATCCATCTGGTCCTGGGCGTTTTTTGGTTGGTAGGCTATTAATTACTGCCTCAATTTCAGAACTTGTTATTTGTCTAATCAGGGTTTTGACTTCTTCCTGGTTTAGTCTTTGGAAGGTGTATGTGTCCAGGGATTTATCCATTTCTTCTAGATTTTCCATTTTATTTGCATAGAGGTGTTTATAGTATTCTCTGATGGTAGTTTATATTTCTGTGGGATCAGTGGTGATATCACCTTTATCATTTTTTATTGTGTCTATTTGATTATTCTCTCTTTTCTTCTTTATTAGTCTGGCTAGTGGTCTATCTATTTTGTTAATCTTTTCAAAACACCAGCTCCTGGATTCATTGATTTTTTAAAGGGTTTTTCTTGTCTCTGTCTCCTTTGGTTCTGCTCTGATCTTAGTTATTTCTTGTCTTCTGCTAGCTTTTGACTTTGTTTGCTTTTACTTCTCTAGTTCTTTTCATTGTGATTTTAGTGTGGCGGTTTTAGATCTTTCATGCTTTCTCCTGTGGGCATTTAGTGCTATAAATTTCCTTCTAAACATTGCTTTAGCTTTGTCTCAGAGATTCTGGTACATTGTGTCTTTGTTCTCATTGGTTTCAGAGAGCTTCTTTATGCCTTAATTTGGTTATTTACCCAGTAGTCATTCAGCAGCAGGTTATTCAGTTTCCATGTTGTTGTGTGGTTTTGAGTGAGTTTCTTAATCCTGAGCTCTAATTTGATTGCTCTGTCGTCTGAGAGACTGTTTGTCATGATTTCCATTCTTTTGCATTTGCTGACGAGTGTTTTACTTCCAATTATGTGGTCGATTTTAGAATAAGTGCCATGTGGTGCTGAGAAGAATGTATATTCTGTTGATTTGGGGTGGAGTGTTCTGTAGATGTCTATTAGGTCCACTTGGTCCAGAGCTGAGTTCAAGTCCTGAATATTCTTGTTAATTTTCTGTCTTGTTGATCTGTCTAATATTGACAGTGGGGTGTTAAAGTCTCCTACTTTTATTGTGAGGGAGTCCAAGTCTCTTTGTAGCTCTCTAAGAACTTGTTTTATGAATCTGGGTGCTCCTGTATTGGGTGCATATATATTTAGGACAGTTAGCTCTTTTATTTGCATTGATCCATTTACCATTATGTAATGCCCTTCTTTGTCTTTTTCGATATTTGTTGGTTTGAAGTCTGTTTTATCAGAGACTAAGATTGCAACCCCAGCTTTTTTTTTTTTTTTGCTTTCCGTTTGCTTCGTAAATATTCCTCCATTCCTTTATTTTGAGCCTATGTGGGTCTTTGCACATGAGATGGTCTCCTGAATACAGCACACTGATGGGTTTTGACTCTTTATCCAATTTGCCAGACTGTGTCTTTTAATTGGGGCATTTTGCTCATTTACATTTAAGATTAATATTGTTATATGTGAATTTGATCCTGTCATAATGATACTGGCTGTTTATTTTGCACATTAGTTGATGCAGTTTCTTCACAGTGTCATTGGTCTTTATATTTTGGTGTGTTTTTGCAGTGGCTGGTACTGGTTTTCCTTTCCATATTTAGTGCTTCCTTCAGGACCTCTTGTAAGACAGGCCTAGTGGTGACAAAATCTCTCAGCATTTGCTTGTCTGTAAAGGATTTTATTTCTCCCTCTCTTACGAAGCTTAGTCTGGCTGGATATGAAATTCTGTGTTGAAAATTCTTTTCTTTAAGAATGTTGAAATATTGGCTGGGTGCGGTGGCTGACACCTGTAATCCTAGCACTTTGGGAGGCCGAGATGGGCAGATCACGAGGTCAGGAGATCAAGACCATCCTGGCTAACATGGTGAAACCCCATCTCTACTAAAAATACAAAAAATTAGCCAGGCATGATGGCGGGCGTCTGTAGTCTCAGCTACTTGGGAGGTTGAGGCAGGAGAATGGCGTGAACCCGGGAAGGGGAGCTTGCAGTGAGCCAAGATAGCGCCGCTGCAGTCCGGCCTGGGCAAAGGAGCGAGACTCGGTCTCAAAAAAAAAAAAGAATGTTGAAATATTGGCCCCCACTCTCTTCTGGCTTGCAGGGTTTCTGCAGAGAGATCCACTGTTAGTCTGATTGGCTTCCCTTTGTGGGTAACCCAACCTTTCTCTCTGGCTGCCCTTATCATTTTTTGCCTTCGTTTCAACCTTAGAGAATCTGATGATTATGTGTCTTGGGATTGCTCTTTTTGAGGAGTATCTTAGTGGTGTTCTCTGTATTTCCTGAATTTGAATGATGGCCTGTCTTGCTAGGTTGTGGAAGTTCTCCTGGATAATATCCTGAAGTGTGTTTTCCAATTTGGTTCCATTCTCCCCATCACTTTCAGGAACACCAATCAATGATAGGTTTGGTCTTTTCACATAGTCCCATATTTCTGGAGGCTTTGTTTGTTCCTTCTCATTCTTTTTTCTCTTCTCTTGTCTTGTCCCATATTTCTTGGAGGCTTTGTTCGTTCCTTCTCATTCTTTTTTCTATAATCTTGTCTTCACACCTTATTTCAGTAAGTTGATCTTCAATCTCTGATATCCTTTCTTATGCTTGATTGATTAAGCTATTGATATTTGTGTATGCTTCATGAAGTTCTTGTGCTGTGTTTTTCAGCTCCATCAGGTCATTTATGTTCTTCTCTAAACTGGTTATTCTAGTTAGCAGTTCCTATAACCTTTTATCAATGTTCTTAGCTTCCTTGCTTTGAGTTAGAACATGTTCCTTTAGCTCAGAGGAGTTTGTTATTACCCAACTTCTGAAGCCTACTTCTGTCAATTCATCAAACTAATTCCCTGTCCAGTTTTGTGCCCTTGCTGGAGACAAGTTGCAGTCATTTGGTATTTGGTAGTATTCTCTGATGGTAGTTTGTATTTGGAGGAGAAGAGGCACTCTGGTTTTTTGAATTTTGAGCATTTTTGCAATTTTTTTTCTCATCTTTGTGGATTTATCTACCTTTGATCTTTGAGGCTGATGACCTTTGGATGGGGTTGTTGTGTGGGGGTTCTTTTTGTTGATTTTGGTGTTATTGCTTTCTGTTTGTTAGTTTTTCTTCTAACAGTCAAGCCCTTCTTCTGCAGGTCTGCTGCAGTTTGCTGGAGGTCCACTCCAGACCCTTTTTGCCTGGGTATCATCAGCGCAGACTGCAGAACAGCAAAGATTGCTGCCTGTTCCTTCTTCTGGAAGCTTTGCCCTAGAGGGGCACCAGCCTGATGCCAGCCAGAGCTCTCCTGTATGAGGTGTCTCTCAACCCCTGCTAGGAGGTATCTCCTAGTCAGGAGGCATGGAGGTCAGGTACCCACTTGAGGAGGTGGTCTGTCCCTTAGCAGAGCTCGAGCACTGTGCTGGGAGAATTCTCCCTGTCAGGATCTGCTGCTCTCTTCAGAGCTGGCAATCAGGAACATTTAAGTCCACTGAAGCTGTGCCCACAACTGCTCCTTCCCCCAGGTGCTCTGAAGTTTTATCTATAAGCCCCTGACTGGGGCTGCTGCCTTTCTTTCAGAAATGCCCTGCCCACTGAGGAGGAATCTAGAGAGGTAGTCTTGCCACAGCCGCTTTGCTGCACTGTGGTAAGATCTGCTCAGTCCTAATTTACCAGCCTCCTTAGCACTGTGAGGGGAAAATCGCTTACTCAAGCTTCAGTAATGGCAAAAGCCCCTGCCTCCACCAAGCTCCATTTTCCCAGGTTGACTTCAGACTGCTGTGCTGGGAGCAAGAATTTCAAGCCAGTGGTTCTTAGCTTGCTGGGCTCTGTGGGATTAGGGCCCACTGAGTGAGACCACTTGGTTCCCTGGCTTCAGCCCCCTTTCCAGGGGAGTGAAAAGTTCTGTCTTGCTGGGATTCCAGGCACCACTGGGGTACGAAAAAAATCAAATTAAATTAAATAAAAAATTAAAAAAAACTCTTGCAGCTAGCTCAGTGTCTGCCCAAACAGCCTCCCAGTTTTGTGCTTGAGACCCAGGGCCCTTGTGGTGTTGGCATATGAGGAAATCTCCTGGTCTGTGGATTGCAAAAACCATGGGAAAAGTGTAGTATCTGGGCTGGATAGCACAGTTCCTCACAGCTTCCCTTGGCTGGGGGAGGGAAAGCCCCCATTCCTTGCACTTCGTGGGTGAGGCTACGCCCCACCCTCTTCTGCTCACCCTCCATCTGCTGTGCTCACTCTCTATCCAGTCCCAATGAGATGAACTGGGTACCTCAGTTGGAAATGCAGAAATCCCCGACCTTCTGCATTGGTCTCGCTGGGAGCTGCAGACCAGAGCCAAAATCCACAAATGCTCTCGTCCGTTATACAAAATGGTATAGTATTTGCATATTACCTAGGCACATCCCCCCATATGCTTTAAATAATCTATAGATTACTTGTAATACCTAATAAATATACACATTATGTAAATACTTGTTCTACTGCATTGTTTAGGGAGGAATGACAAAACATCTGTACATATTCAGTATAGACACAATCATCCATTTTTTTCCCAAATATTTTCCATCTGCAGTTGGTTGAATCCACAGATGCGAAACCCACAAATATGGAGGACCAGTTGTACTTGCTTGGTAGAACGTTTACAAAGTTCTTTGGGATTTTCTAGACAGAAAATACTGACATTTGCAACTAAATAAAGTTTTGTTTCTTCCTTTTCAATTTATATACAGATGTGTTTCCTTTTATTGTCTTATTTTTCTAGCTAAATTTTCCAGTACAATGTTGAATAGGAGTGGTGAGAGGAGAATCCTTGCCTCATTCCCAATCTTAGGGGAAATCATCTGGTTTCTCACCATTAAGTATGATAAAAGTTGTAGGTTTTTGTAGCTTTTCTTTATTCCAAGCAGAGCAACATGCACCTTTTCAGACAATCTGTGTTTTGTCCCTCTAAAAATGTCTTTGTGTTGATTTTAACCAGATTTTATATAAACAATGATGTCTCTGGGGAGGGAGGCTTGAAAAGGGTTTCATCCTGTACGTTGCATACTTTTAGCCATAGTCCTGGTTAGGAACTCCCTGGGAATGGTATTCGCTGCCAGTCCTTGGCAACCAAGAGTCTTACTGGATTTTTGAACAGCTAGTCAATCTGGAAAAAAGCAATAATTTCAGAGGATAAAGAAACATGAAGTATTATGGAGGGAGACATGGTTAAAACTATAAGTATGCGTCTAATTATCTATATCATAGAAATACTTGATCAGAAAATGTGGTAACATTCTGAAGGAAAAACATTAATGAAGTGGGAAAATAGCTTACATTCTTTGTTTGGAGTGAAATGTTTTCCATTTATAACTGAAAGATTGAGGGAGGAATCATTCTGCAAAGTGATTTTTTCTGAATTTCCTTCTTGGCAGAGATACTCCTTTTCTGAGTGAGTGAGTATTTCTTAACCTCTGTGCTGGCTTAAATAGCGTCTCCCCAAAATTTATGTCTACCTAGAAACTGTATTTGGAAATAGAGTCTTTGCAAATGAAATTTAGCTAAGATGGGGTTTTAAAAATAAGTTCCCTAAATCTACTATGAGTGGTGTTCTTAGAAGAAGAAGGAAATTTGGACTCAGTTTTTGTAGAAGGCCACGTGAAGATGGATGCAGAGACTGGAATGCTGCCTGTACAAGCCAAGGAATACCAAGGATTGCCAGCAAACACCAGAAGCTGGAAGACACAAGGAAGGATCCATCCTTAGAGTCTTCAGAGAAAGCATGGCCCTACCAACTTGAGTTAGGACTTCTGGACTGCAGAACTGTTAAATAATAAATTTCTGCTATTTTAAGCCACCCAGTTTGTGGTACTTTGTGATGGCAGCCCTAGGAAATGAATATAAGCCCTGATATGTGCATCATCTGAAGTGCTAGAGGAATAATCATTTTGTATGACCTAGGCCATGTCTCTAGAATGCCAACATATACAAATGAAAAGGGTGAAAAAATCACTTGGTTTTGGAGTTATTTAAAAATTGGTAAAGACAGGGACTATTGCTACAAAAGGAAAATATTATCTTGCCAGTTGATGGTTGTTTTTACTTCCTATTGGTCTCCAGATGAAACGATTCAGGAAGTTTACTGTCTTCCCTGACATCCAGTCCTATTCTCCTTGGACCAAACTCCATGTTTTCCTGGTAGTTGGTTGGCTGAAAAGAGTGTTTCTAAAACTTATCTGAATGATTCTGATCTGATTCTTTGGGCTTCTAATGAATTGGAAGTTCCAGGGAATCTAGATGTTAAACCAGCACTCAGTGAATACCAATAGCAAATTTTTTTTTTTTTTTTTTTTTTTTGAGACGGAGTCTCGCTCTGTCGCCCAGGCTGGAGTGCAGTGGCGGGATCTCCGCTCACTGCAAGCTCCGCCTCCCGGGTTCACGCCATTCTCCTGCCTCAGCCTCCCAAGTAGCTGGGACTACAGGCGCCCGCCACTACGCCCGGCTAATTTTTTGTATTTTTAGTAGAGACGGGGTTTCACCGTTTTAGCCGGGATGGTCTCGATCTCCTGACCTCGTGATCCGCCCTCCTCGGCCTCCCAAAGTGCTGGGATTACAGGCGTGAGCCACCACGCCCGGCCCCAATAGCAAATTTTAATCAATTTATTTAAATATGCCAGACTTGTGTAACCAAAGATTACCCACAGAAGATAAAATATGTTTTAATGCATTTCTATGTAATTTCCAGGTTATCCTTGTATCCAACAAACATGTTTTGAGCACTTACTGTATATCAGGCTAAGTGGACTGAGAGAAGCAGGGATGTGGAGTAAGTAAACCAGCATCTGAATCTTGATTCCACCACATGCTAGTGGCATGGTCTAGAGCTAGTTATTCAGTCTTGCTGGAGGTCTACTTCTTTACCTGTAAAATTGCAAAATTGTGAAACATAATATAAATGCAAGATATTGTAATGAGAAAACTGGATGTGGGCACAGACTGTTACAAGAGGAAGCCTAATGACACTAAAGGAAAAACAAGATATATCAGAGATGCAAAACTAAGAAGTCAGTATATATATATATATATATATAGTTTTTCTGAATGAAAAGTAGACCTTGAGCAAACTGCGCTCCAAATTTTCTTTATTCAGAATAAGAAAGGTCTGGGAAAGATTTGTCCGTGAGGAGCATTGGCTGTCAGTAACATAAATGAGAGGCTGGTCCTCCGAACTAGCTACAATGATAAATGCACATTCCTTAGGAGATAATCAACTTCTCTCATAACTAGAAACGAAATTGTGTAAAGTTTTTAAGAATGTGGAAACAATAAATTTTAGATATAGTCCCTACTTGCTGAAATAATATAGTATGTAAGAAACAAGAGCGAAAAAGACACAAGAAGGGAAACACCATATCAATCACCTGAAATCAAACATACATTTCTCTTTCAGACTGAGAAATAAAAACCAAGCAAAAGGGCCAGAATATCCCTTTATTGTCATCAAATGATGAACAATGTGGAAAGCTCTGAATTATATAATTGAAACTGTGACCACAGCACAGTAAAAATATTGACAGTTTGAAAAATAGCAATTCAACATTGATTTCTTTCTCTCCCTAGGGCTAACATCAGCTGATGTGCACGCAGAGCCTTGAGCCAGTGTATACCGATGATACTCAGTTCTAGATCTGGTTTGTGTGATACTTGGCTCCTCCAATACAATAAATCAAGTGACTCCCTACCCTCCCCCAACTTTGTAGTAGACATTTGTCTATTTTTTTCTTTTATTTAGCATTTGAACCTCTTCTTATGTTTGAAAATTCCCTATCTTTTAAGTCTTGATTGTGAGTAAACCTAGCTTACCCTTATGGAAGCTGAAAATCTCACCTCTGCCTTTTATTTGCCGTTGTAGCCTGAGCATGGGCATGGGAGCTAGCATTGATTTGCTGATCAGAAGCATCAGCCTCAGATCTTGAATTAAGAGGTAAACAGATGAAGAAGTAGGGGCCATAGAGAATTTTTTTCTGGGGGGAGGAAGAGTGGCCGCAGCCACACAACACTGTGTTTCAAGTCACTGGAGGCAGTGGTGCAGCTGTGGCATCTCTCGTCCATTGCCGACAGACAGTGGTGGGCAGGAATGGTGTCCTCACAGAAAAGTCTTTTCTTGGGAGAAGATGGGGAGGAGGACAAAGTGTGACACTGATTGCTCCAACCTTCCTTGTTTCTGCCCATTTTCCAAGTCTGGTTCTCTAGTTGGTTGAAAGCTATACAATATTTATTTTGTAATTTCTCCCCTTCCTCTCCTCTCCCTCCTCCTAGACCCTCCTCCCCAAAGCCCTCAAGTAAGGAGGATGCTCTTAATCAGGAAGGCAAAGTGACTGGCTCTGTGAATGTCAGTCAAGTACATTCCCTAATCTTTCTAGTACTTTCTCAATGGATTCCTGAACAAAAAGGACATGATGACAGGGATGGAGATTTTACATGGGCTCAACAACACATTCCCTTTGATTTTAAGAATATTTCCACTAGGGAGCACAGCAGTAACTCCATTGACTTGGAAATTGAGGCTGTCACCTAATCATTTCAGGCTCCTCTTGCCAATGAGCAAACGGACAACAAAAAAGAGATGAGATTTTGGTGTTGGTTGAGGTGATTGATCCTGATTGTCAAGAGGATATAGAGTTGATACTTTCAGAGGTATAAACTTTGAATGAAAGTCCAGGGGATCCTCTATGTTACCTCCTATTCTACTAAGTCAATTAATAGATTTTGACAACAATCCAATCCATGTAGAATACCTACGGCTCAGACTTCTTACATAATGAGGTCATTATACATAATAAAGAATCCCATCTGGCTGAGGTTTTGGCCAAACATAATGGGGAAAATGAAATTGGTAAAATAGAAGAGAGAAGTCATAGTGACTTCTCTAGAAGTCACTATGACCTTGTGGCTAGGGCAGAAATGAGGTTGGTAGCACCTACTTAAATTTTTTCTTGCTGAAGCACATATATTCATATATTTGAATTACCTAGTTTTTTATTTCCACTCTTCCTATCCTTCTATTTTATAAAGGGTATATTGGTAATTTTAACTTTGAAGTTTACTCCGTCTGTTATAAAATATTGAGATGGTGACAAGATAGAATTCATGGGAAAATGAATATTACCCAGAGCTCCAGGATTTACGAACTAAATTTACGAACCGATTACACCTAGCTTGTCTTATTTTGGAGAAGAGGGTAAGCACATTTTGGGTGGTAGGGAAGATGGTTACATGATTGAAATAGAGCCACTTCTTACCTCCTCCTCTCCCAAGCATTAATCTGTATGTTATATTGGGCATCTAAAGGGAGTGCTACATGGGTATTTAGCACCCATCTTTTTTGAATGTCTGCGGTCCCTTCCCACGTTTGAGAAATGTCCAGAAATGCCCATTACTGGGAGGCAGAGCCTGCTTCCTGCTGTCAGGTTCCTGACTCTTGCTGCTAAGTAGAATGCCTACACCTAAGGCACTTCTAATCAGAAACTCCTCCCTGGACTGAAAATTGGGAGCTTGTGATCCAATGAAGAGGAACTCTGGGAGCCCATCCTGGGGCAGGTATAGCAGCTCAGCAGTGAGAGCTGTATGGTGGCACCATCTGGGGTCCGAGGAGAAACGCAGCAGTGGTGGCCAGTATTTGGTGATGGTGATGGGAGTGTCCTCACCGTATTCACCTTGCGGCAAAGTTTAGCTGTAGTCTGGCTGCTATTTAACATCCCTTCTTTCTACCCAGTTTCTAAGTTTTGTTTTTTAGCTTTTCCTGTGACTCTAATTCTATTCTGCCAAAATCCAGCCTTTATTTAAGATCTCTAATTGACACAGCCCTTTCATTTATCACAGGCTCTGTTTCTCACTTCTCCTTTCCCATCTTTTATCATCTCATCACAAATAAACTCCCAACAGTAGCTACCCAAACTCATTTACCACACAGCCATGATGAGTCTGACTAACATGGATGCCAATGCTGACATGGTGCTGGGCGATTCAGAATTTATGCTAGACCAGCGCATGCAGTGGTAATAATAGCAATGGCAAAACCTTGCTGCTGATTACAGAGATGAAATATTTTTGATCAATAGGTATACAGTCTGATGCAGTGAATCCATATTTCATGTGATGAATTCATATAACTTGAATCAAGCTGATATTCTGGTAAGCTGTCATCTCCCTTCGTAATTATAAAAAGTCAACATGGTTCAAGAATGTCAAAGAGGACAGGCGCGATGGCTCACACCTATAATCAATCCCAGCACTTTGGGAGGCCGAGGCGGGCAGATCACTAGGTCAGGAGTTTGAGACCAGCCTGGCCAGCATGGCAAAATCCCATCTCTACTAAAAATACAAAAAATTAGCCAGGCATGGTGGCTCCCGCCTGTAGTCCCAGCTGCTTGGGAGGCTGAGGCAGGAGAATTGCTTGAACCCGGCAAGCGGAGGTTGCAGTGAGCTGAGATCGTGCCACTGCACTCCACCCTGGGCAACAAAGTGAGATTCCCTCTCAAGAAAAAAAGAAAGAAAGAAAGAATGGCAAAGGAAATCATTTTCAGGGTGAGCAGAAAGAGTTTTATTATTTCTTGACAGAAATAGTTGGAGAGGTGGATGAGGCATGTGCTCTGAGGCAGCTGCAGATTTGTGACCAATTAAGTGATGCTTTGGGAGTTAGGCTTATTAAGTAAGGATGGGCTTGGTGACATGTGTGACTATTGTTCTATCTGAACTATTCAAGATAAAACAGAATTTCCCATGGTCCCTGACCCAACTTTATGTGAGAGAGAAGATTGAAGACAAAGCATTTACCAGTCCATGTATTGGTATCATGGAGTGAAAGAGCTAACAGTCAAAGGTCTGGGTTCCATTCTTATCTAGCAGAGGACAAATCACTTCATGTCTCTAGGGCTTGCGCTCCTTATCTGTGCTCAATTTTTTTTTAAAGCAGTGTATTTTTGTATCTCTGAGATCTCTTCAAATTCTAACCTATTAGAGTCTTGGTTGAAGATTCAATCAAATGAGTGCAATTACCCTCCCTTCACAGTGATAGTATAAGGACCAAATGAGATAATTTAGATCAAGTTTTCAAGGTTCCTTTTAATGCGTCCTTTTATTTATAGGCATGATACTCTTAAAAAGGCCAATGTCACTACTGCCAGAGCAATCCAGAGCCCAGGATGTCCTGACCTCAATTTAAGGGTCTATGTCTGAGTTTGAACCAGAAACAGATCCATGTTTGGGAATGCAGCTGTTTTTGAGTGCTCATTCTATTTCATGCAGCAAGGCTAAAATATTACGGAGCGGAATGACTAGATTTTTAACTCATATATCCTACCCCCCTTCTCCTGTGATATTTTCATACATTTATCTTAAAGTGGGGTGATGTTTAATTCTACTGTCTGGTTCTGTTGCTAACTAACACACATAATAAAGAGACTCATCTTCACTTATTTTGTTTATTTTTTTGTTTTTTAAAGGTAACTTACCTGGAATTACATATGGTTCTTGGGATAGTCATTTGGAATTTATTAATAAGTCTACTATGTCTTTTATCCTTCGGTAATTCCTTGCATGTTAAAAAGGTAACATTTGGTTAAAAAAACTCTTCTGAACACACTTTCACAATAAATATATGAATACATTCACATTTTCAAAAAATCAAATAATATATAAGCATGGAGAATAAAAAGTGAAATGCTCTCTTTCCTTCTTCTCATCATTCCCTTTATTTTCCCAAGAAATAACTACTTGTAACAATTTAGTGTGCATTATGTCAGACAACTGTCATGTATTGACATACTATATGTACATATACAAATATATTGGTTTCATTTTTGTGCTGGTTTGTGTAGAGGGGAATCATATGATGTGTACACATTTTTCGCAACTTGCATTTTCACTTAATGATATATCTTGGAAATCTTTTCAAGTAACTATACTATACAGATCTACCTCATACTTTTAAACTAATAAATAATATTCCATATTCTGGCTATTTAACAAGTCATGTAACAATTGTTTAAACTCTTGTGAAAATGCTTCCAGAGATTATGTTTGTTTGTGCCTCCTTGAGGACATAAATATTTTTCTTTGATACAAGGAAATGAGTGAGTTGGTTGAAGAGCAGGCATATTACAAAAGACTATGGCTTTTGGGACTGTATGTTAACTTTAGAAGTAGATACTGAAAACATCTTTGGGAGTGGGGATGTGGTAGGGTGAAGGAGTCAGACTCCCTCGTGACCGCATCAGACAACAACTCTGATGACTGAATCATCCCTCGGGTTCTGTCCAGCTATAGCATTCAAAGGCTAAACCTAGCTCTTAGGGAACCCTTTGTAGTACCAATTCCTCACCAAAAATAGTTGTACAATAAATTGACTAGACTGTATCTGCTTCCAAATTCAGGGAGTCTGCATTGACAGCTCTGTCTATGGTTCTTAGCAAATTTTGCTTCTGGGATGCCTGTTGACTGAACCATGGAGAAAGAGTTGACTTCGAGTGTGGTTGGCCAGAAGTTTGATTTCCCCTGTCCAGAGGTGAGGTGGGTTAGTAACAGCTAATTTGAAGCCCCAGGCCCATAATCAATTTGGACATCAATATGTGGGCATAAAGCAGTTAAGTGCAAACTTGTTGGTTAGGAAGAAAATGATTTATGGAATAGGGCATAAACTTTAGGTAGACAGATCTGGGTCTGACTCTTAGCTCCCCAGCTAATACCTTAGAAACTTCAAGCAGACTACTCAACTTTGCTCAAGGTCATCTGTGTAATGGGAATATCAGTAGCTACTTCATACATTTGGTCTAGGGATCATATAAAACCTGTAAAATTCCCCCAGCCATCCCATTACTGGGTATATACCCAAAGGATTATAAATCATGCTGCTATAAAGACACAGGCACATGTATATTTATTGCAGCACTATTCACAATAGCAAAGACTTGGAACCAACCCAAATGTCCATCAGTGACAGACTGGATTAAGCAAATGTGGCACATAGACACCATGGAATACTATGCAGCCATAAAAAAGGATGAATTCATGTCCCTTGTAGGGACATGGATGAAGCTGGAAACCATCATTCTCAGCAAACTATCGCAAGGACAGAAAACCAAACACTGCATGTTCTCACTCATAGGTGGGAATTCAACAATGAGAACACCTGGACACAGGGTGGGGAACATCACACACCCGGGCCTGTCATGGGGTAGGGGGAGGGTGGAGGGATAGCATTAGGAGATATACCTAATGTAAACGACAAGTTAATGGGTGCAGCACACCAACATGGCGCATGTATACATATGTAAGAAACCTGCACGTTGTGCACATGTACCCTAGAACTTAAAGTATAATAATAAAAAAAAAAAACCCTGTAAAATTCCTCTTATACAGTAAGTTCCCTTGAGAATAGTTTATCTGAAGAGGCAAATGTGCAAATGCATCAGCTGTCTAGGTTGTTATCTAGGATGAATTGATGTATCTGTGTGATGCAGCTTATTATCAGGCGAGTCACTTTATCTTTCTAAATCTGTTTCTTCATCTATAAAATGATTCAGCAATCTTAGAATTTCCATTGCAGATCAATGAATGACCTTTGGCTTTTTGGGGACACACTTACCCATCCTTTCTTTATATTATAATCTCAACCTGGGCTATTTTCAATAATATTGAAGATTTTACTTATAATACTTCCCCAATGTGCTTTGAATCATAGTATTTCCTTCTTAGGTGCATGTTTAATATTTTTAAAATATCTGTGAAATTTTAGTGGTGTTTAATTATTTTCAATCAAAATATCTTCCTGCAAATATGGCTGTGTCATTCCCACAGAATTGGCACAGAAATTATTATTATTATTACCATCTTTTATTATACTTTAAGTTCAGGGTACATGTGCAGAACGTGCAGGTTTGTTACACAGGCAAACATGTGCCATGGTGGTTTGCTGCACCCATCAATCCATCATCTCCTAGGTATTTTTCCTAATGCTATCCCTCCCCTAGCCCCCCACACCCCAACAGGCCCAGGTATGTGATGCCCCCCCCCCCCCATGTCCATGTGTTCTCATTGTTCCACTCTCACTTATAAGTGAGAACATGTGGTGTTTGGTTTTCTGTTCTTGTGTTAGTTTGCTGAGAATGATGATTTCCAGCTTCATTCATGTCCCTGCAAAGGACATTAACTCATCCTTTTTTATGGCTGCATAGTATTCCTTGGTGTATATGTGCCACATTTCCTTTATCCAGTCTGTCATTGATGGGCATTTGAGTTAGTTCTAAGTCTTTGCTATCGTGAACAGTGCCACAATAAACATATGTGTGCATATGTCTTTATAGTAGAAGGATTTATAAGCCTTTGGGTATATACCCAGTAATGGGATGGCTGGGTCAAATTGTATTTCTAGTTCTAGATCCCTGAGGAATCGCCACACTGACTTCCACAATGGTTGAACTAGTTTACAGTCCCACCAACAGTGTAAAAGTGTTCCTATTTCTCCACATCCTCTCCAGCACCTGTTGTTTCCTGACTTTTTAATGATCGCCATTCTAACTGGTGTGAGATGGTATCTCATTGTGGTTTTGATTTGCATTTCTCTGATGGCCAGTGATGATGAGCATTTTCTTATATATGTGTTGGCTGCATAAATGTTTTCTTTTGAGAAGTGTCTGTTCACATCCCTTGCCCACTTTTTGATGGGGTGGTTTGTTTTTTTCTTGTAAATTTGTTTGAGTTCTTTGTAGATTCTGGATATTAGCCCTTTGTCAGATGGATAGATTCCAAAAATTTTCTCCCATTCTGTAGGTTGCCTGTTCACTCTGATGACAGTTTCTTTTGCTGTGCAGAGCTCTTTAGTTTAATTAGATCTCATTTGTCAATTTTGACTTCTGTTGCCATTGCTTTTTGTGTTTTAGTCATGAAGTCTTTGCCCATGCCTATGTCCTGAATGGTATTGCCTAGGTTTTCTTCTAGGGTTTTTATGGTTTTAGGTCTTACATTTAAGTCTTTAATCCATCTTGAGTTAATTTTTGTAAAAAGAGTAAGGAAGGGATCCAGTTTCAGTTTTCTGCATATGGGTAGCCAGTTTTCCCGACACCATTTATTAAATAGGGAATCCTTTCCCCCTTGCTTGTTTTCATCAGGTTTGTCAAAGATCAGATGGTTATAGATGTGTGGTGTTATTCCAAGGCCTCTGTTCTGTTCCTTTGGTCTGTATATCTGTTTTGGTACCAGTACCATGCTATTTTGGTTACTGTAGCTGTGTAGTATAGTTTGAAGTCAGGTAGCGTGATGCCTGCAGCTTTGTTCTTTTTGCTTAGGATTGTCTTGGCTATATGGGCCTTTTTTTCATTCCATATGAAATTTAAAGTAGTTCTTTTCCAATTCTGTGAAGAAAGTCCGTGGTAGCTTGATGGGTATAGCATTGAATCTATAAATTAATTTGGGCAGTATCAGAAATTATTTTACTTGATGTATTGATAACAATGAGTGACTCACAGACTCCTAGAAATGCATAATGAAGAAAAGACTCTGGAAAAAGAGAAGGAAGGATTTATCTTCTCTGGGGCTGGGGATAAAGCTTAGTATGGGGAGATACTCCCATCTCCAGATCTGGATCTGAATCAGGATCAGGTGAAAGGCTCTTGTGAGGGAAAACTATAGACACTGGGGACTTCTCTAGCCATCCTGTGGAGGTTTTATTTTCATAACAAATTCAAACAGAACAATGACTGATGCTTCCTAGTGTGATGATGATTGCAGTACTATCCGGAGGTATTCACAGATGCTGTCAGTTCATTCATCTTCAATCCCATCTGCTCTCTTAGGTCTCATCTAGTTTTGTAGCTCAGTAAGACTCAGGTCTGGTGGAAGCAGGGAATGGTAGCATCAGTCTACCTAGCAGAGTGGTATCCTCCTCTGTTTTTGCAGAGTACGAAGAGGAAAGTCTTATATGTTGATGCAAAGAGTTTGCAGTAGGAGTGTGTCTCCAGAACTTCAGGTAATTTCACTCTTTGCCCGGGCCACTCTCTGCTACTTCATCTATATACCATTTGGTTGTGCACTGATTCTCTCATTGAGATCCTCTGTCTTGATATGTCTGTGGCAAGAAGCGAGAGCACAAAAGCTCTGTTTTTGGAGCTTGTGATATGAGCATGGGGATGATGAGTGAACATATTCCCTTCTGCTCTAATCTGAAACAAGCAGATGTAAGTTGTGCCTGGGTACCTGCATTTTTTTTTAGGTGGCAAAGAAAGCCGATGACAGAGAGAAAAGAAATAAAAGGACAAAGTTTCAGCCTCTTGCTATATTAAGAAAATAATGAGAGTAGTTTTCAACATTAGTTTTAATCATTTCAGCCACTCATAATGTGCTGACTGGAAGTGATAAATGCCACATCAGGGATATTGCAAATGCAATGTTCAAAGATTATGACTATTTGGCTTTGCTCCCCCGAGCCTGTGGGCATATCCACAAGAGTCAGCCCAGCTGTTGTTGCACAATCCTCAGTATCATGCATTCCAGAGACCCATTCTGATAAGTCAATCTATTCTGCTCTTGGAATTATTGTGAATGAAGTTATCATGAAGAGCTATGGAGAGTGATGTTTCTGGGACTAATGTCAGCATATGTCAGCGTGGAGCATCCATTTACCATCTTGTTCAGCATCAGCAGCTACAGCAGAACCTACTTAGGCCTTATCTAATCATTGTGGAGGAGCCCGGTGGTCTTCACAAGCCAGACTGAAGCACGATGATCTGTGAGTGCCATAATGGGTGCCAGCTGTGATATAAATGATCCATTGACAGGGTTTATTTATTTCTCATGTAAGGACATTTTCCATGACGGCTAGTTAGCTTAAGAATTTAGCTAAGAGTTCTCACTTGACTTCCAGACAGCATTTGCAGCTGGACAAATACCAATTATTCTTTCTGTCACTAGTTTGGTGATTAAGTTTTCCATGGAGACTGTAGATTGAATCAGTGACAGTAACAAACGGAACTAAGTCTTGGTTTGTCTGTTTGCTGGGTGTAAATATCTGTCATATCAATGGGCTGCAGGCAGCAACCCTAAGGCTGAGTAGATGGGCAATGGGAAGAGAAAGAAAAGGAGGTTTCCCTGCAGCCTGAGAACCCTGCTTCGAAGGACTCTTGGTTTTGTTTTTTTTTTAAATTTTATTATTATTATACTTTAAGTTTTAGGGTATATGTGCACAAGGTGCAGGTTTGTTACATATGTATAGATGTGCCATGTTGGTGTGCTGCACCCATTAACTCGTCATTTAGCATTAGGTATATCTCCTAATGCTATCCCTCCCCCCTCCCCCGACCCCGGTGTGTGATGTTCCCCTTCCTGTGTCCATGTGTTCTCATTGTTCAATTCCCACCTATGAGTGAGAACATGCGGTGTTTGGTTTTTTGTCCTTGCGATAGTTTGCTGAGAATGATGGTTTCCAGTTTCATCCATGTCCCTACAAAGGACATGACTCTTGGTTTTAATTGAAAGTATTCTGAGATAAATTGTCAGCCATGACAAACACAAAATACTTAATTGAATATCCTTCAGATAATCTATAAAATATGTATTCTTTCCAATTAAGAGCATGAATAATATATCCAGTTATTGATCAGGATTTCTTTTCTTACCTTGTGCACTCTCCATTATCTTTGAAGCCACTTTTTATTGTTTTGATTGATACATAATAATTGCACATATTTACAGGGTACATGTGATATTTTGATATGTGCATATAACATGTAATGATGAAATCAGGGTAATTGGGATATCTATCTGATCAGGATTTCTGACTGCTTAGAACAACTGTTCTAAAACCCATCAAATTTCCCACTTTTAAAAATCGAGGTGAAATTTATATAACATAAAATTAACTCTTGCAAAGTGAACAATTTTATTTCTCATGTAGGACATTTTCCATGATCACTAATTAGCTTAAGAATTTAGCTGAGTTCTCAGTTGACTTCCAGACAGCATTTCCAGTCAGAAGCATTTCAGTGGCATTTGGTATAGTCACACACAGTATTGTGCAACCACCACCTCTACATAGTTTCAAAATATTTTTATCACCCAAAACTAAAACCTCATACCCTTTACCAGTTATTTCACATTGCTCTCTCCCCCCAGCTTCTGGCAACCACTAACCTGCTTTCTGTCTCTATGGATTTGCATATACTGCATATTTCATAAAAATTGAATTATACAACATGTGACCTTTTGTGTCTGGCTTCTCTCACTTAGCATAATTTTTTTGACATTCATCCACATGGTAACATGTATCAGTACTTCATTTCGTTTTACGGCTAAATAATATTTTATCATATGTATATATACCACAATTCATTTATCCATTTATCTATTCATGGACATTTACGTTGCTTCAACTTTGGGATATTGTAAATGGTGCTATTATAAACATCTGTGTACAAGTATTTTTTTGTACATGTTTCTGATTCTTTTGAACATATGCTTTTCACAGGGGCTGCACCATTTTCCATGCCCACCAGCAATGTGTGAGTGTTCCAATGTGCTCATTCCCACTCCCAAGCCTTGTGGCAGGCAGCTGTGCACAGGTTCCAGGAGCAGCTTGCATGCAACTTGTGGGAGCCAGAGCGGGCATAAAGGATGTTGTCCTCCAAATATCAGGGATCTGTGTTCTCATTACTGATTGCTGCTTCTGGTCATGGAGCTGCAGGCACACAGGTGGGCAGTCATTATTGCATACCCTCTCACTTTTAGTACTGCATCCATTTCCCCTCCAGCTGAAGCAACTTTCTGTGGATTTAAAGGGCCAGTGTGTTTTCTCATCTTCCTTTCTTTCCTTTTTTTTCCCCCTTTTGGAAGCCAAGTATTTAGAACACTCAAAAGCAACCACACATATGGGGGGATTTAGAAAGTCACTGCACATTTCCAGGGAAAGGCACAATCTCAAAAGACCTGAAGATCTTAAGTTTTCACCTCAAAGTGATTCCCAGCACAGACAGGCCACAACATTTCAAAAACAAAAACAAGCAATCAAACAAAATAGCAAACACTGTGGAAGTGGGGAAATCTGATTTCCAGAGTTACTGCTTTATTAAATTCAAATGTCCAGTTTTCAACAGAAAAGCATAAGGCATACAAAGAAGCAGAAAAGTATGGCCCATTCAAAGGAAAAAGTTAACAAATAGAAACCACCCAGTAGAAAGAGCAGAAAATAGGCCTTCTAGACAAAGACTTTAAGAGAAACCAAAAAAACTTCTGGAGCTGAAAACACAATAACTGAAATGAAAAAATCACTAGAAGGACTTGAAGGCAGATTTCTGCAGGCAGAAAGAATCAGTAAACTTGAATATAGGAAAACTGAAATAATCATATCTGAAAACAGTAAGAAAAAGATTTAAGAAAAAAAGATTAAAGAAAAATGAACTGAGTCTAAGAGACCTATGGGATGTCATCAAGTGGACCAACACACACATTGTGGAAGTCTCAGACGAAGAAAATAGAAAGAGGTAGAGACGTTTTTTGAAGAAATAAAAGCTGAGAACTCCCCAAATTTGGTGAGCTTGTAAACATCTGAGAAGTCCAATGAACTCTAAGTAGGATGAAATTCAAGAGATACACACAAAAAAACATTATAATCAAACTCTTGAAAGACAAAGAAAGAATCTTGAAAGCAGTAAGAGAGGCAACTTGTCACTTACAAGTGACTCTCAATAAAAATACCAGTAGATTTCTCATCAGTAACTGTGGAGACCAGAAGACAGTGAAATGATACAGTCGTATCGCTGAAGAAAAAGAATTGTTAGATGCAAACTCCTTATCTGGCAAAATTGTACACTGAGGGAGAAATAAAGAGGTTCTCAAATGAACAAAAGCTAAGAGAATTCATTACCATTAGACCTTTTCTATGACAAATTCTAAAGGGAATCCTCTATGTAGAAATAAAAACTAGATAGTAGCTCAAAGCTCGGATTATTGTAACTCCAGTTTATAACTCCACTTTTCATTTTCTACATGATTTAAGAGGCTAATTAATACATTAAAAAAATTATTATTCTGGGCCGGGCGTGGTGGCTCATGCCTGTAATCCCAGCACTTTGGGATTATACAACATGGGCAGATGACCTGAGGTTAAGTTCGAGACCAGCCTGGCCAACATGACGAAACCCCCATCTCTACTAAAAATACAAAAATTAGCTGGGCGTGGTGACGGGCACCTGTAATCCCAGCTTGGGAGGCTGAGTCACGAGAATCGCTTGAACCTGGGAGTTGGGGGTTGCAGTAAGCTGATATTGTGCACTATCCTCCAGCCTGGGCAACAGAGCAAGACTCCGTGTCAAAAACAGAACAAAACGAAACAAAACAAAAATAGAAAAAAGTTATTCCAAAAGCTAGTATTATTGTAAGTTTGTTTCATAATTCCAAATTTTGTTTCCTGCATAATTAAGAGACAAATACATTAAACAGAACATAAATCGTCTATGTTTTCAGACACACAATATAAGATGCATAAAGGTTTAATTTTGTGACATCAATAACTGAAAAGAAGTGGAGTCAGATATCTATAGGAGCAGAGTTTTTGTATGTTATTGAAGTTAAACTGATATAAATTAAAATTAGAATGCTATAAGTTTGTTGTAACTTTGGGATGTTAAATGTAAAAAGAAAATGGCTATAAAATGTACACAAAGGGAAATGAGAAGGGAATTAAAATGTTTCACTGCAAAAGTTAACTAAATATAAAAGAAGATAACAATGCAGGAAAAAAGGGACAAAAAACCACAAGGCAAATAGAAAACAAATTGCAAAATGACAGAAGTAAATGCCTCCTTATCAGTAATTACTTGAAAGGTAAATGGATTAAACTCTCTAATCAAAGGCAGAGGTTGGCAAAATGGACTTTAAAAACCATGACCCAACTATGTACTTTCTATAAGAGACTTACTTTAGATCCAAAGACACAAATAGGTTGAAAGTAAAAGGATATAAAAGGATCTTACATGCTAATAGTAACACAAAGGGAGCAGGATTGGCTCTAGTAATTTCTGATAAAATAGACTTTAAAATATTCGCAAGAGACAAAGAAGGACATCATGTATTAATGAACAGTTAAATTTAGCAAAATGATAGAAAAATTATAAACATTTGTACACATAATAACCTACAGGCCACATTTGGTAGGCTTTCAAATTAACCATCTGTGAAGATCTTATGATTCATGGCTTACATCCTGTCCCTGAGTAAAGACTCTTATTGTGAATCTCTCAAATCTTATCATGAGTAGCTCAATCTGTTGACATTATTTTTAATATGTAATCTACTCATAATGAAAAGGACACTAGCTTGTTTCTAAATCATAAGCTTTTGCTGATTTGTTTCTGAATCATGAAGTTTTATGAATTGTCTTACATGTAGAATATTTTACCTTGTATTTTTTTTTGTTGTTGTTGTTTTTTGAGATGGAGTCTCGCTCTGTCGCCCAGGCTGGAGTGCAGTGGTGTGACCTCCGCTCACTGCAAACTCCACCTCCCAGGTTCACGCCATTCTCCTGCCTCAGCCCCCACGAGTAGCTGGGACTACAGGTGCCCGCCACCACGCCCGGCTAATTTTTTTTTTTGAATTTTTAATAGAGACGGGGTTTCACCGTGTTAGCCAAGATGGTTTTGATCTCCTGACCTCGTGATCCGCCCGCCTCAGCCTCCCAAAGTGCTGGGATTACAGGCGTGAGCCACCGCGCCCAGCCTAGCCTGTATCTTGTAACCTGCAGCCAATGTTTGTAATCTCTGTATCACACCCTGCAATGAAAAAGGGCAACTCTGACATAAGAACTCCCCCTCCCTTCTCCTAAATTTTCTTATAAAATCATTCCAACTTGTAGCAGGCAATAAAGCTATAAAACTCTTAGAAGTCAAATTCACAGGAGCAGAGACTAGTATGGTGGGGGAGGGGTGTGAGTTGGGGGGATGTTGGTCAAAGAATACCACATTTCAGTTAGATAGGAAGGATAAGTTCCAGAGATCTATTGTACAACATGATGACTATGTTAATAACAATGAATTGTATACTTTAACATTTCTGAAAGAGTAGATATTGAGTGTTCTCACCACACAAAATAAGAAAACTATGTGAGGTAAAATATGCATTAGTTAGCTTGATTTAGCCATTCCACAATGTATTCATATTTCAAAACATCATGCTGTACACCATAAATATATACAATTTGTATTTGTCAATTAAAAATAACTTAGAAGAAAACATAGGACAAATTCTTCCTGACATTGGGTTTGGCAGTGATTGTTTAGATATGACACCAAAATAACAGGCAAGAAAAGGAAAAAAACCCAGAAAATTTGGTTTTATAAAAATTAAAAATTTTATGCACCCAAAGACACTTGAACAATGTAAAAAGGCAAGCCGGGCATGGTGGCTCACACCTGCAATCCTAGCACTTTGGGAGGCCGAGGTGGACGGATCATCTGAGGTCAGGAGTTCGAGACCAGCCAAAACCCCATCTCTACTAAAAATACAAAAATTAGTCAGGTGTGGTAGCGCATGACTGTAATCCCAGCTACTAGGGAGGCGAGGAAGGAGAATCGCTGGAACCTGGGAGGTGGAGGCTGCAGTGAGTTGAGATTGCGCCACTGCATTGCATTCCAACCTGGGCAACAGAGCAAGACTCTGTCTCAAAAAAATAAAAATAAAAAAAAGTAAAAAGGCAACTTACAACAAAGGAGAAAATATTTACAAGTATGTCAGATAAGGGATTAAAATCCAGACTATGTAGCGAGAACTACTGCAACTCAACAATAGAAAAACTAACCCAATACAAAAATGAGCAAAGAACTTCAATAGACATTTCTCCAAAGAAGATATACAAATGGCCAATAAGCATATGAAAAGATGCTCAGTATCACTAATCATTAGGGAAATGCAAATCAAAACTATTATGAGATACCACCTTACACCCATGAGGAAATACTTAAGAACTAACTTCACCAAGGAAGTGAAAGACTTGTACAATGAAAACTACAAAATTTGCTGAAAGAAATAAAACATTAATAAACGGAAAGAAAGCTACTATCAAAGAAAAAAGAAAGTAACAAGTGCTGGTGAGGATGTGAAGAAATGGAAACACTTCTACATTGTTAGTGGGAATATGTAATGGTGCAGCCTCTGTGGGAAACAGTTTGGTGGTTCCTCAAAAAAGTAAAAATAAAATTATCATATAATTTAGCAATTCCACTTCTAGGTATATAAAAGTATGGTCTCAAAGAAATATGTGTACACCCATGTTTATAGCAGTATTATTCACAATAGCTAAAAGGTGGAAGCAACCCAAGTATTCATTGATGAATAAAAGAGTAAGGAAAATGGAGTCTATACATACGATGGGATGTTATTCGGCCTTTAAAAGGAAGAACATTTTGACACATGCTACAAGAACATGAACCACAAAGGTACCACATTAAATGAAATAAGCCAATCGCAAAAAAGTCAAATACAGTATGATTCCACTTATTTGAGGTACTTAGAGTAGTCAAATTTATAAAGACATAAGTAGAATAGTAGTTGCAGGGGCAGAGGAGAAGGGGAATGAACTTTATATTAATGGATATAAAGTTTCAGTTTTGGAAGATGAAAAGAGTCCTGGAGATGGATGGTGGTGACAGTTGTACAATAATATGAATGGCAGTTAATAACACTGAACTGTTTACTTAAAATGGTTAGATGGTAAATTTTATGTTGTGTGTATTTTACTGCAATTTAAAAATGGAAAAAAATAGCCATCCTAATAGGTTTGCAATGCTATGTCATTGTGGTTTTGATATGAATTTTCTGGATTAATAATGATGTTGAGCACTTTTTCATATGCTTGTTGTTCACTTGTGTATCTTCTTTGGAGAAATGTCCAGTTGAGTTCTTTGCCCACTTTTTATTGGTGTTGTTAATTTTGTGGTTGATTAGTTGCAGGAGTACTTTACATGCTCTAGATACTAAAACCTTATCAGATATATATTTGCAAATATTTTCTCCCATTCTGTACTTTTTTAAACTTTCTTGATAATGTCCTTTGATGCACAAGATTTTTTAATTTTGATAAGTCATATATATCTATTTTCTTTCTTTCATTGATTATGCTTTTGGTTTCATATCTAAGAATCCATTGCCAAATCCAAGGTCACGAAGATTTACCCCTGTGCATGTTTTAGGATTTTTATAGTTTTAGCTTGTAGATTTAGGTGTTGATCCATTCTGAGTTCTTTTTTGTATATAGTGTGAGGTAGGGATCCAAATTCGCTCTTTTGCATTTGTATATCCAGTTGGCCCAGGACCATTTGTTAATCAAACCACTCTTAAAAATATTTTTACCCCTTTTCTGTAATCCTGAACTGAAATTCCCAGAGATGATAATCTGCCAACATGTGTATATTCAACAAATTCAATATAATACCTAATCATAATATAATGAGAAATGAAGGTAGGTACTTTATAATCAGGGCTATGTAATTCAACATATAAATGCTCAGGAACAGCTATACTAGAAGACTTGAAGTGCTTGTATACTTGCACTGAAACATAGAATGACCGTAGACCAATCTTTTATAAGCACTCAAAATTACCATCGGTGATGCAATTTTCCGAAACAAATAACTCTTGATTAGTAAACAAAACACAATCTTTCCTTAATTTATATAGCAGTTGCATTAAATGAATTTTAACATCATGCAAAAATACATTGTTTTTATATAAAACAGAGTAAGCTTAGATAACTAAAGACTATAAAAAGGCTTTTCACTTCCACAAGGATCCCATCTACATGATTGCACATCTGAGAATTGTGCAAAATGCAGTACAATTTATCATGCATTGCTGTTCCACTTGCTGTAGAATATATTGCATCCTTGGCATTTTTAAACTAAATATGGCAATATTCACCACCCCACCACAAACTAAGACAAAAACACTCTCACTCATTTTCAAACACCCCACAATGTTTCGGCCAAGATGGTGTTTTCCAGGTTTCTCCACTGTAAAATTACTACTTTTCCGCTTATAATGAATAAATATTTGAGGGGAAATACTTTGACACTATGCAAATATCCTCTTTCTTTTTAAACTTGTGCCCATTAATTTTAGCATCCATTAGCATATCTTGCCTGCAGAAATTATTTCTTTTATGTTCTCATGGTGAATTTCTTTTTCCTTTTCCTTTTTTTTTTGAGACAGAGTTTCGCTCTTGTTGCCCAGGCTGGAGTGTAATGGCGCGATCTCAGCTCACCCTCGCCCACCGCAACCTCCACCTCCCGGGTTCAAGCGATTCTCCTGCCTCAGCCTCCCGAGTAGCTGGGATTACAGGCACGCGCCACCACACCTGGCTAATTTTGTATTTTTAGTAGAGACGGGGTTTCTCCACGTTGGTCAGGCTGGTCTGGAACTCCTGACCTCAGGTGATCCACCCACCTCGGCCTCCCAAAGTGCTGGGATTACAGGCGTGAGCCGTGGTGCCCAGCCTAATGGTGAATTTCTATACCCATCATTCCTTCTACATTTAGTAATGGGAGTGCTTCCTTAAAGAGTTTTCTGGCTGGGCGCGGTGGCTCATGCCTGTAATCCCAGCACTTTGGGAGGCCGAGGCGGGCGGATCACGAGGTCAGGAGATTGAGACCATCCTGGCTAACACGGTGAAACCCTGTCTCTACTAAAAATAGAAAAATTAGCCGGGCATTGAAGCGGGCGCCTGTAGTCCCAGCTACTCTCTCTGGAGGCTGAGGCAGGAGAATGGAGTGAACCCGGGAGGCGGAGCTTGCAGTGAGCAGAGATGGCACCACTGCACTCCAGCGTGGGTGACAGAGCGAGACTACCTCTCAAAAAAAAGAAAGAAAGAAAGAAGAAAGAAAGAAAGAAAGAAAGAAAGAAAGAAAGAAAGAAAAAGAAAGTTTTCTTGGCTGGGAGCAGTGGCTCACACCTGTAATCCCAGCACTCTGGGAGGCCGAGGCGGGCGGATCACGAGGTCAGGAGATCGAGACCATCCTGGCTAACACGGTGAAACCCCGTCTGTACTAAAAATACAAAAAAATTAGGTGGGCGTGGTGGCAGGTGCCTGTAGTCCTAGCTACTCGGGAGGCTGAGGCAGGAGAACGGTATGAACCCGGGAGGTGGAGCCTGCAGTGAGCCGAGATGGTGCCACAGCACTCCAGCCTGGGCAACAGAGTGAGAATCCGTCTGGGGAAAAAAAAAGAAAAAGAAAAAGAAAGAAAGAAAGAGTTGTCTTTTCTCTCCCTTTTATTTACTTATACAATCACTTATTTATGTCCATTTGATTCATAAATATTCATTTTATTCTTTGGGTTTTAATCCAGTACTATTGTTATTTATTTTGTTACTCAAATTGTTCCAGATTTGGCCATAGAGGGCTCCTTCAGGCTAGCTCTTCTGTTCCTTTGATATGCCAAATCCTCTACCACAATTTTCTTGTCTTAGTACTTCCTTATTTTCTGGCACCACAAGATTCTCCAGGCTTATCTTGAAGAGCCCCTGCCTCAGCCCTGGAATGAACCACTTCTACAAGGCACCCCAGTTCTTTTTATTGAAGAATCATATTCAGAAACCAAGATCTGTGCACTAGATGTGTTCATTGCTACTGGAGTGTCACTGGTTTTTGAGAGTCTCAGCAGACAGAGCTGTGGAATAAATGTATGAATACTAAACCATGTGAAAATATACATCTGTATCTATCCATCCATCCATCCATCCATCCATCTGTTAAACCGTGTGTTCACATTGATACTTCCACAGGGTTTGTAACTTTTTTCTCTTACAGTGATAAATCTGACTCATTATCTGCAATAGATTTACTTATTTGTTTAACCCTAGATGCATGTAAAATAGCTTCGTAATTGCTAACTGATATGGTTTGGATGTTCTGTCCCCTGCATCTCATGTTGAAATGTGAACCCCAGCGTTGGAGGTGGTGCCTAGTGGGATATGGTCTGATGATTATGGGGGTGAATCCCTCATGAATGGCTTACTGCCATTACCGTAGTGATGAGTGAGTTCTTGCTCTTAGTTCATGTGTCAGCTGGTTGTTTAAAAGAGCCTGGCATCTCTCTTGCTCCCTCTCTTGCCATGTGACATGCTGGCTCCCCTTTGCCTTCTGTCGTGTAAGCTTCCTGAGGCCTCACCAGGAGCAGATGCTGGTGCCATGCTTCCTGTACAGCCTGCAGAACCGTGAGCCAAAAAAGCCTATTTTCTCTATAAATTTCTCAGCCTGAGGTATTTCTTTATAGCAATGCAAACAGACTGATACAATAATCTATACCTATAAGGGGATATTTTAAATTTACTTCTGCTCTTATAATTTGTTAAACTTTATAAAACAACCTAAGATGACAGCACTGAAGGAGATGTATAACTGTTTCCAATTTACAGATAACCAAAGGTCAAAAGAGTTAACATAACTTCCCTAAGGTTAGACATAAAGGCCTGATTCCAAAACTCATGTTCTTTTCTTTAAACAAAATAGAAGTAGAACTAACCCTTCTTCCAGATGAAATCTTACGTAAAGACTCAGTATACAAAACTATTAAAATTAGAACTTTTCTCATTGAGAGAAAGGTAGATGCCTTCCCCAGGATGGTGCTGAGCCGCCTGAGAATTCTTACATTTCCAAGAAACACTACAATATATTTCCATTTTTGATGAAACTCATTTTCTTAGAATAACTCTTTAAGTCCAGGCATTAATAAGCTGTGATTACAAAATGAAGCAAAATTTACATAATGACAATATGACAATGGCTTAAGTCTTCATGCCCCACTTACCACCCAAGTTAAAACTTACAATGACCCTCCTGAAGATGACATTTCTAGTGGCTCCCAAAGCTAGCTGCTCTGACATGGGTTCTAACTCTCTCTCTTTGACCTCTTTTGACATCTGAGTCTAGGAGCTCTGTTGGTGCCTGGGGTCTCACAAAGTCTGTAACATCTGTAATAAAGAGTCCCATATTAGCCTCTGCCCTTCTTTGTTCACCCTATTACCAGGAGTTTCACAAAGTCTCATGAAAAGTTTTTAGCCCTTATCCCTTCAATCCTAAAATATCAAATCCAGTGGAAGTGTTTGCTTTGGGAGAGACATCAGGATTTTCATTCAAATAAAGCACCTCAGTCTCTTTCTAATTACAAAGACAAAGCTCCTATACTAATGCAAACAAACACAGATAAAGGGTGGTATGTGATGGGGAGAGAAATGTAGCTTGGATCAGCAGTCTTCAAATTATTATGCAAAGACCCAGGAGCTTAAAGCCATTCCAGGGGAGGAGGGTTTAAAGAAATGACAATATTTTCATCCTTTATAATGTGCCATCCCCTATAATTAATCTGCCCAGAACAACCCGATGATGAGAGGTAGCTCCTTTTCCTTCTTCCTTTTATAATTGCCCTTCTTCATATTTACAAAAGAAATACATAACTTCCACCTGACCAAATGATGTGTTAATTGCCCCGAGGTATAAAAATCTTAAGAATGCTGAACAATAGAATAATTGAAAATATTGATTGTTTTTGTCTTGGGAAAATAAATGATTCTAATGGCTAAGTAATGAATCATTTTGCAAGCCAGTAGGTTTCCAATTCTTTGCTTTCAAGAAAATTTAAAGAAAATCTAATAAAGTTATCATGAATAGATCACAAATTAAAAAATATTGTATTATGAAAATTGTCAAGCGTACAAAAAAGTAGTGAGAACTTATAAGGAATCCATACAAGCCCATGATCTAGTTTCAAAAGTTATCAACATTCTGACACTTTTGAAAAAATATTTGATACTTGACTACTGTATAAATTTTGGCATATATTTGGAAAAAAATTCAGAGTCATCATTGTTATTTACAAAAAGAAAACCTTCAACTCCCATTTATTTGTTTATGCAATAGAATTTCTTGGAGTTTACATCTAAAAAAATGGAAAATAGAATTGATGCTAAACTCTGTCTCATTTTAGGATTATATTAATGCATGAATATATGAATTAATTAAAAACAGAAGGGCCCAGCTATCTAATTAAAGGTTATTTTACAATAAAGTTTTACTTTTTATCGTCAATAGTTGTTTGTCAAATTAGTAATATATTTATGTTGCTTTAATCAACCATTTACCTCGAATTATTGTGATAACATCATAAGCATGTAATCTTGATCACAGAAATTTAACTTTTGAAAATTTTTTATTTATACTGCCTTTCCTTGCAGAGAAGTTTGATGAGGTGATTAACAACAGAAACACACTTAGGTGTATGGCCCACAGATCCTATAAAGCAAGTACTCAATGGAAACTACAAAGCAACTAGTTAACAACTTCATCATGGGAACAAAACTTCACATATCAATACTATCCTTGAGGCGGGGCACAGGCCGGAGTCCTGACCTCCCAAATCAATACTAACTTTGGGAGGCCAAGGTGGGCAAATCACCTGAGGTCGGGAGTTCAAGACCAGCCTGGCCAACATAGTGAAACCCCGTTTCTACTAAAAATACACAAATTAGCTGGGCATGGTGGCGTGCACCTGTAATCCCAGCTACTCGGGAGTCTGAGGCAGGAGAATTGCTTGAACCCGGTAGGCAGAGGTTGCAGTGAGCTGAGATCACACCACAGCCTGGGCTATAGAGAGAGACTCCATCTCAAAAAGAAAAAAAAAAAAATACTAACCTTGGATGTAAATGGCCAAAAAATCCCACTTAGAAGTCACAGAGTGGCAAGATGGATACACAAACAAGACCCAGCCATCTACTGCCCTCAAGAGATCCATCTCATATGTAATGACACCCACAGGCTCAAAGTAAAGGGATGAAGAAAGATCCACCATGCAAATGGAAATCAGAAGAAAGCAGGGGTCACTATTCTTAGATAAAACAGACTTTAAACCAACTACAATATAAAAGGACAAAGACAGGCACTACATAATAATAAAGGGTTCAATTCAACAGAAGAGTTAACTATCCTAAATATATATGCATTTAACAATGGAGCACCAGATTCATAAAGCAAGTTCCTTTAGACCCACAAAAAAACAGACAGCCACAAAATAATGTTGGGGGATTTCAATGCCCCACTGATAGCATTAGACAGATCATCAAGGCAGAAAACTAACAAAGAAATTCCAGACTTAAACTCAACACATAACCAATTAGAACTAATAGACAGCTACAGAATGCTCTATCCATTAACCACAGAATATACATTCTTCTCATCTGCATACGGGACATACTCTAAGATCGAGTACATGCTTGGCCATAAAGCAAGTCTCAAAAAATTCAAAAAAGTGAAAATCATGTCAACCATACTTTTGGACCACAGTGGAATAAAAATATAAACCAATACCAAGAAGATCTCTCAAAACCACAAACTACATAAAAATTAAACAATTTATTCCCGAATAACTTTTGGGCAAAAATGAAATTAAGACAGAAATCAAAAAAATCTTTGAAACAAATAAAAACAGAGACAAAATCCCTGGGATTCAGAAAAAGCAGCTTTAAGAAAAGTTTATAGAGTAAAATATTCACATCAAGAAGTTAGAAGGGTCTCAAATCAATGATCTAACATCACAACTAGAGGAACTTGTAAAAATAAATACAAACTTACCCCAAAACTAATAGAAGAAAAGAAACAACTAAAATCAAAGCAGAACTATACGAAATGGAGATCCAGAAATTCATACAGGGAATCAACAAAACCAAAAGTTGGTTATTTGAAAGGATAAACAAAATTGATACACTGTTAGTTAGATAACCCCCCCCCAAAAAAAAGAGAGAGAGAGAGAGAGAAGATCCAAATAAGCACAATAAAAAATGACAAGCATGACATTACAATTGATCCCAAGGAAATAAAAAGATGCTCAGAGAGTATTATGAACACCTCTATGCAAACAAACTAGAAAATCTAGAGGAAATGGATAAATTTCTGGACACACACAACCTCCCAAGATTAAATCAAGAAGAAACTGAAACACTGAAAGGGACAATATTGAGTTCCAAACTTGACTTAATAATTAAAAAAATCCTACTTACCAAAAAAGAGCCCTGGACCAAATGGATTCACGCCAAATTCTACCAAAAAAGAGTTGGTACCAATTCTACTGTAACTATTCCAAAAAATTGTGGAGAAGGGGTACTCCTCCTAACTCATTCTACAAAGCCAGCATCACCATGATACCAAAATCTGGCAAAGACATAATGAAGAAAGAAAGTTACAGGCCAATATACCTGATAAACATAGATATAAAAACCCTCAATAAAATACTACCAAACGAAACCCAATAGCTCATCAAAAAGTTAATTCAGGCCAGGTGCAGTGGCTCATGCCTGTAATCTCAGCACTTTGGGAGGCCGAGGCAGGTAGACCACCTGAGGTCAGGAGTTCGAGACCAGGTGGGCCAACATGGTGAAGCCCCATCTCTACTAAAAATACAAAAATTAGCCAGACTTCATGGCACATGCATATAGTCCCAGTTTCTCAGAAGGCTGAAGCATGGGAACTGCTTGAACCTGGGAGGCAGAGGTTGCAGTGAACCAGGATCTCACCACTGCATTCCAGCCTGGGTGACAGAGTGAGACTCTATCTCAAAAAAAAAAAAAAAAAAGTTAATTCACTTTGATGAAGTGGGTTTTACCCTTGGGATGTAAGGTTGGTTCAACATATGCAAATCAATAAATGTGATTCACCACATAAACAAAATTATAAACAAAACCTATATGATTATCTTACTAAATGCAGAAAAAACTTTCAATATAATCCATGATTAAAAACCTCAACAAACTAGGCATCAAAGGAACATACTTCAAAATAGTAAGAGTCATCTACAACAAACTCACAAGCAACATCATTCCGAGTGGGTAAAAGTTGGAAGCATTCCCCTTAAGAACTGGAACAAGACAAGGATGCCCACTCTCACCAATCTTATTCAACATAGTACTGGAATTTATAGCCAGAGCAATCAGGTAAGAGAAAGAAATGAAAGTCATCCTATAGGAAAATGGGAAGTCAAATTATCTCTCTTTACTGATAATACAGTTTTATACCTAGAAAACTAAAGACTGCCAAAAGGCCCCTAGAACTGATAAATGACTGTATTAAAGTGTCAGGTTACAAAATCAATGTATTAATACAAAAGTTAGTAGCATTTCTATACACCAATAACATTTAAGCAGAGAGCCAGATCAATAACACAATCCCATTTACAATAGCCAAAAATAAATAAATAAATAAAATACTTAGGAATACTTGTAGCTAATGAGGTGAAAGATCTCTACGAGGAGAACTATAGAACACTGCTGAAAGGAATTATAAATGGCAGAAACAAATAAAAAAAAAATCCCATGCTCAATATCATTAATATGGCCATGCTGCTCAAAGCAGTCTACAGATTCAATGCTACTCCTATCAAAATACCAAGGTCATTTTTTTTATGGAATTAGAAAAAAAAATTACTCTAAAATTCATATGGAACCCAAAAAAGCCCAAATAGCCAAGGCAATCCTAAGCGAAAAATAACAAAGCTAGAGGCATCACATTACCTGACTTCAAACTATACCATAAGGCTACAGTAACCAAAAAAGCATGGTACTGGTACAAAAACAGACACACACACCAATGGAACAGAATACAGAAACCAGAAATACAACTGCATACCTACAACCATCTGATTTTTGACAAAATCAAGAGAAATAAGCAATGGAGAAAGAACTCCCTATTCAATAAATGGTGCTGAGATAACTGACTAACCATATGCGGAAGAATAAAACAGGAACGCTGCTTTCACCATATAAAAAAATTAACTCAAGATGAATCAAAGATTTAGATGTCAGACCTCAAACTATAAAAATCCTAGAAGAAAACCTAGGGAATACTATTCTGAACATGGGCCTTGGCAAAGAATTTATGGCTAAGACCTCAAAAGCAATTGCAACAGAAACAAAAAGTGACAGATGGAACCTAATTAAACTAAAGAGCTTCTGCGCCGCAAAAGAAACTACCAACAGGGTAAACAGACACCCTAAGAATGGGAGAAAATATACACAAATTATGCATCTGACAATGTCTCATATCCAACAATGTCTAATTTATAAGGAATGTAAAAAAATAAACAAGCAAAAAACAAATAACCTCCCTAAAAAGTAGGCAAAGAACGTGAATAGACACTTCGCAAAAGAAGACATACAAGAGGCCAACAAACATGAAAAAATACTCAACATCACTAATCATCAAAGAAATGCAAATCAAAACCAAATGAGATACCATCTCATACCAGTCAGGATGGCTATTATTAAAAAGTCAAAAAACAATAGATGCTAGTAAGGCTTCAGGGAAAAGGGAATGCTTATATTCCGTTGGTGGGAACGTAAATTAGTTCAACCACTGTGGAAAGCAGTGTGGAGATTTCTCAAAGAACTCATAACAGAACTATACCATTTGACTCAGCAACTCCACTATTGAGTATCTACCCAAAGGAAAATAGATTGTTCTACCAAAAAGACACATGCATTCATATATTCATTGCAGCACTATTCACAATAGCAAAGACATGGAGTCAACGTAGGTGCCCATCAGTGGTGGATTGGATAAAGAAAATGTGGTACATATACACCATGGTATACTATGCAGTCAGAAGAAAGAACAAAATCACGTCCTTTGCAGCAACATGGATACAGCTGGCAGGCATTATCCTAAGCAAATTATAGGAACAGAAAAGCAAATCCTGCATGTTCTCACTTATAAATGGGAGCTAAACATTGGCTACACATGGACACAAAGATGAGAACAAAATACACTGGGGACAATTCGAGGGGAAGAATGGGAGGGGACAAAGGCTAAAAAGCTACCTTTTGGTTACTGTGCTCACTACCTGGGTGATGAAATCAATCATACCTCAAACCTCAGCATCTTGCAATATACCAGTGTAACAAATCTGCACAGGTACCCTCTGAACCTAAGATAAAAGTGAAAAATAAATTTAAAAAAGTTTTTAGTCATAAATTATATTGCATTAAGATAAAAGTATGTGAGAAAAATGGAATGGAAATACTAGTTCAAAGTATGAAAGTAATAATATAAAATTTATGTTAAATATTGTTTATGTAGTTTTTAAAAAATCAAAGATGATAATATTAAGTGGTTATGGGATTTTATTCAATGTAATACATCCAAAAGAAGACTGTAACAGTCATATAACAGTTTTATTTTAAAACATCAGTTTTTAAAAGATGCTACACATCATGCTTTTGTAACTTATGAAAGTTTTAGATACGAATTAAAAATTTGTAGGGGCATATACAGTTTTACAAAATTCTTACAACATTTTTCAAGACTGCTGGGTGATAATAGTACTGTCTGGCTATTAACTTGATCATCTAAAATGCCATTTTAACAGAGAGAGGAAAAACGTTGTGTGTGTTGAGGAAAAGAGTGATCTCAATGTTTTAATATTACAAGTCTTGTGGATAGCATATATACTAGATGGATAGTATCCACGATTAACTCCCCACAAGACCACCAGAAAACCTATTGCCTTATGCTAGGGTAGGTTTATTAGACTTATTTTCATAAGAGAGAAAGCCATCTTGACATCCTACCACATCTTGGAGCAGGAAAGTTAGAGGAGGATATTAATAGGATTGGAGGTCCAGCTAATGTCATTTAGGGTGGGTCATTCACAGTGGAAAACTGATTCAGATTGGGCAAAGTTCAAGATAACAATAATTTGGCATTAGTGTACACAGCAGTGATAGGGCCTTGAAGTGAATCTTGATAAGTTCCCTATTGTTTGCTAAACAAGCTGCTAGCCCAGGACTAATTGGTTTGCAGTAGTTTGTTGGAAAAGAGTCATGTTTAATTATTATTTTATAGCTTTTTTTTTTTTTTTTTTTTGAGACAGAGTCTCACTCTGTTGCCCAGGCTGAAGTGCAGTAGCGCGATCTCGGCTCACTGCAACCTCCGCCTCCTGGGTTCAAGCGATTCTCCTGCCTAGGCCTCCTGAGTAGCTGGGATTACAGGTGCGCGTCACCACGCCTGGCTAATTTTTGTATTTTTAGTAGAGACAGGGTTTCATCATGTTGGTCAGGCTGGTCTCGAACTCCTGACCTCGTGATCTGCCCTCCTCGGCCTCCCAAAGTGCTGGGATTACAGGCGTGAGCCACCGCACCCAGCCGAGAATTTGAGTTTCTAACAAGTACCCAAGTGACGTGAGCACTGGCAGTCATGGGACCACTCTATGAGAGCCACTGGCCTAGAGGAAGAAATTGGGGGGTCACAAAGACAAAACAGTTTTCCTTTCCTCCCAGCTTTCATTTGCTAATTTATATGGGGTCCTATTCACAAGGTGAAGCTACTTATTAGTGGCTATTTGTCTATTTAAGGAATGATTTTGCCTCTGCAGTGATTAAACTTTCAAATGACATTTCCCCACACATAAACCAGTTAGTTTCGCCTGCCGTAGAAGGGTGAAAGACTTCTATGGAACACGGTATTTTAAATTAAACTCTTCTATAAATGGAGTGACAAAATTTTAACTGGAAGCACTTTTTGAGACCATATGTGGTAAATTGAAAACCAAAACATAACCAGAGAGGCTTTGCCAAGCCAACACAACTCCTGGTTTTCCATCTCTAACCGTGTAGTGGTCAGCACGGAAGGCTGCACAGTTCTTGGCTGAGATGGATCTTGTGCTGACAGCGGCAACAGAGAGGCTGCAGCAAGGCCGGGACTTTGCACCTCAATCTCTTAAATGTGGGCTTCCTGCTTGCCCTCTTTTTCCTTTTGGCCTCCAAATATAAGCAATCACTCAGTACTCTAACTCAAGTCCTATCCTCTTTCTTTCTTACTACAGGCCAAGAGCAATGAAAATCTGGCTAACACAGTGAAACCCTGTCTCTACTAAAAATACAAAAAAAAAATTAGCCGGGCGTAGTGGCGGGCGCCTGTAGTCCCAGTTACTCTGGAGGCTGAGGCGGGAGAATGGCGTGAACCCGGGAGGCGGAGCTTGCAGTGAGCCGAGATCGCGCCACTGCACTCCAGCCTGGGCGACAGAGCGAGACTCTGTCTCAAAAAAAAAAAAAAAAAGAAAAGAAAAGAAAAGAAAAGAAACTCAAATTATCAGGCTCCACTCCAGATCCACTGAATGAGAGGCTGGGCGTGGGGAGTCTGTACTTTCACCAGCCCTCCAGGTGGTTCTAATGCTTGAAAAGTTTGAGAACCACTGCCCTGCGCCATCTTCTGGTTCATCTGGACATTTCCCTTTCCTTAAGTCCTCCTTCAGCCCGACTTGGCTTCCATGAACTATGGGCAAGGATTTCTTTGCAAACCAGAGTGAACAGCCTGGACAGTTAACCTTGTTTACTGGTTTGCAGTTACCCCTTTTGCTTTGGTGGAGCCCTATTGGAAAGAGTAGCAGAGACCTGACAACGCTGGCAGCTCTTCCCAGTACTTTTCCGCATTTCTGATTGTTTTTTAAAATTCATCTAAAACAGCACTTAGTCTCTCCCAGAGGCACATTCACTTCAGGTACTTTCATTTACACATTTGCCCTTCTATGGACCCATACTTAATATACCTTTTCCCATTTACCTGGTTGTTTCCTAAGACTGACAAAAAGTGCTCCCAAAGCTTCTATGGAGGCGTCCATCTAGGCTATTTCATGGATTTCATCCAGGAGAGAAGTCAAGGCAATGATCAGTTGTGATATCTTCATTGATTCCTTTAAGGAACATTCTTCAGCCTCTAATATAATCACAATATTATAGAGGATTAAAAAAATAAGAAAAATCCTCTGTATTTGCGGGACTTACAGTATTGACTCTGGACTGAAGAATGCCGAGTAAGATGCTTTGTATGGTACACACTAAGAACAATGCAGTGTTCCAAGTGTGTTGTATTTGCTAGCCCTTTTAACTTGCTTGTCAATCCTCTGAGGTGGGTGCTATTATTGTTACCTCAAAAATAAAGAAGGTGAGACCAGGGAGATTAAGTAACCTGAGAGAGTTGAAACATTTTGAAAGTTGAACAATTAGGATTTGAACCCTGGCAGTTTGGCTCCCAGTGTTTACTCTTAACCACTATACCACACTAACTCTCAGGAGTTTAATAACAGATAAACACTGATAAATCATTAGAGTGGTAAAGATAAATTGTGGAAGTTAAAGAAAGGAGTGATTCCTTGCTGCTAGGTAGGGGTGCCAGATTTAACAAGTAAAAATATAGGATACCTAGTTAAATTTGAATTATTTTAACTGCCTATGCATATGTACATTGAAATACAAGAAAAATATTGCTTGGCACACATGAATACTAATAATTATTTGTTGTTTATCTGAAATAAGTTACAAGTATCAGGTTATTTACAGCTTTCTTTAATTATACTTCCCCTATTGGGCTCTCCTTAACAATTCATTGATTTGTGGAATTTGCTTATAAAATTCCTTGTAGTTACAGCCTATGTTCCATTTACATTGTAGCATAGCTTATACAATGTTCATGTAAAACTTATTGTGTTCTTTTGCCTATCAGGTGTTTTTTTTTACTGAGAAAACATACTGAACATTTGCATTAGGAGTTGGTATCCTTAACATGTCCTGGCATAAAGTTAACAATTCTGATAATTGCTCTTCCAACTTGATTTGTTAAAGCACATAATAATACAAACTCATGGCTTAGCTCCATCGTCTAATTCTTAAGGATTATGATGCTTTTCTCTCTCCTTTTTTTTTTTTTTTTTTTTTTGACAGAGTCTCGCTTTATCTCCCAGGCTTGAGTACAGTGGCACGATCTCGGCTCACTGCAACCTTTGCCCCCAGGCTCCAGCAATTCTCCTACCTCAGCTTCCCAAGTAACTGGGATTACAGGTGTGCACCAACACGCCCAGCTAATTTTTTTGTATTTTGGTGGAGATGTGGTTTCACTATGTTGCCCAGGGTGGTCTTGAACTCCTGAGCTCAGGCAGTCGGCCCTCCTCACCCTCCCAAAGTGCTAGTATTACAGGTGTGAGCTACCACGCCTGGCCTATGCTGCTTCTCTTGATTGAAAACTTTTAAAATATTGTCCACTGGCACAAAAAGAGCATTGTTATTAATTTTTATTCCCTCCTTTTTAACACTACATATGAAGACTCCTTTTCCATTGAAGGACAACAAACACATTTACAAAAAACTTCAAAACAATGAAAGACCATGATGGTGAGTGGCTAACTGTTTAACAAACCAATTTTTGAACAAATTGGTAGACTCTGTGTCCCCTCACCCTTGCTATTGCAGAGTAACTGGGTCCCAGACAATGGGATGTGAGCAGAAGTGGTATGAACCACGTCTGGGAATGGATGATAAAAATCTTCCTGGCAACTGCGTTGCTCTTTCCTGCAGACAAGCATAACAACCTAGGAAGCCATGTGCTGAAGACAGCCATACCACAAGATAAAAGGATCCCAAGTCCCTAAATTGATGCTTAGAAAAGAACAATATTTCTGTTTGGGACTTCCTATCTTAGGGCTGCAGATATCTTGAGATTTCTGTATTACTATAGTTAATGTAAATATAACTAATTTGAATTCCAAAAAAAAATAACACAAAAGGAAATATTATCTTTTAGAAGAAAATCACACAAAAAAATGTCAAAAACCCTGTTCCAAATTAGAAGTATTAAATCATGAGTCTCTGTTAATCTGATACATGTAAGTCCTATTATACTTTCTTAGTTTCCCGTCACTTTGTTGTGTTTCTGGGTAAGGCCTTTCCCTAAAATGTGAGAAAGAGAACTGCCTGATCAGCCTTACATAAATTCAGAGATAGGCCAGGCGTGGTGGCTCATACCTGTAATCCCAGCATTTTGGGAGGCCGAGGCGGGTGGATCACTTGAGGTCAGGAGTTCGTGACCAGCCTGGACAACATAGTGAAACCCTGTCTCTACTAAAAATACAAAAAATATTAGCCGGGCGTGGTGGCAGGCCTGTAATCCCAACTACTTGGGAGGCGGAGGCAGGAGAATGCTTGAACTTGGGAGGTGGAGGTTGCAGTGAGCAGAGATTGTGCCACTGCACTCCAGCCTGGGCAACAGAGCGAGACTCCATCCCCCCAAAAAGTAAATAAATAAATAAATTCAGAGATATGTATTAGCCTAAGCCTTTGTAACATATCTTGGAGAGCAACTATTATATTTACTCATAACATTTAAAAACATTGCTAGCAGGTATTTTAACATAGTCCTCTTTTTCACTGGTCCCATCACTAGTGAATACACGGCTTCCATATATTTTAGCACTATTTTTTGTTTCTTAAATGAAAGAAACGTGATTTCACAGGCTTTCCTTTAAGAACTTTTATTTCTTCAACAAGGGATTTCTTCTCTGGGGGAACCAGGAGAATACAAAGATAAAGACCACAGGAGGGAGGAAATAAAATAAAGATATTTACATGCAAAGGCAAGCAAGCTTCCAGTATGGAGAGTATTCGTTTATGAATACATAGTCTTATCTTAGTTCAGTGTCTCTAGTATTTTAACTTCCTAAGGTAACATTTATCTCAATCAATATTTTCCTTGGCTGTGGTGGTTTCCTGGGAGACAAGCTATAGTGCACAGAAATCAGATTACTTTTATATTCCTTGGACAAAGATGAGAGCATTTAGCTTTTCAAACTATGTTGTAAAGCTAGAGTGATTCTGGGAAACTCATCATAAGAATCAATGTTATAGGTTATAATTAGCTGAAAGAAAAAACATCTTTCTGAAATATGACTGGCCTGTCTGTGATGGGATAAAATGGTTGCTAGGAACACAGGGATGCTGTTTTGCCAGAAAGTAAGATGTATGATCTAGGTAATAGGCTATTTTTGACAGTTATGTGATGGCTCTGAGAATTACGTAAAACATAAAATTTAAAATCACTAGTTTACCACACATCTTCTCTAGTCAGAGCCTAATGCAAAGTGTGGGAATCCTGGATTATTGCAACGACCACTAATTGATCCGCCTCCAGATTTTTCCCATCTAATCCATCACCGTGCAACCAAAATGGGAGTTATCTTCCTAAGCTAAAGCCATTCAATGGACTAATATGGCTTCTAATTGCTCATAGAATAAATTCCAACAGCTTTAACATGATTTTTAAGACATGGTAGCATCTGATCCTGCTTACCCCTTTCACTTTTATCAGTTGTTGAGTAAGAAATCTTAATTTCTTGGGGGGTAAAAACGTAACAAATGTTTCTATGTATTACATGTATTACCCTCTTTTGCTAAATCTTGTTTTATGGTCATTGTTCACTTTTTTCTTATGTAATTTTATTGAATAGATAATACCAGTGTAACTACAAAATTCAAATATTTTGTAATGGTATATAAGAAAAATGACTCTGTCTTCTACACAGTTACCCAATAATTGTAATTTATTTAGTGTGTGTCTTTGAAATATAGTCCAATAATACAAGAAATGTTTATTTTTACTTCACAAATGGTATCATTAGAGACACACTATTCTTTGCCTTGCTTTATTTTATCTATCTATCGATCTATTGATTGATCTATCAATCATCTATCTATTCATCCATCCATCAATGTAACTTTCTAGAGGCAGACGTATGCATTCAATTTCAGTATATACAGAACTATTTAAGTTGACTTCACAGTATTCCATTGTATGGCCTAAAAAATGTTATTGCCTTAGTTCACACCCTCTAGAAAGTAGAGCCTAATGCAAGAATTAAGTGCTAACACTTTATTTGAGAGGCACAAGCCCAGGGCCATGTGAGGGAAGAGGGAAGTGAGGCAAGGCAAGGTGTGAGGCAATGTGATGTGATGTGCTACCACACGGTCCCCCGCTTCACAACAAGCCATGAAGAGACATAGCAGGGTACTTAGCTCACTTAACACAGAAGGCTTCTCCAGAAGCATTTCAAGGAGGAAACACATCTCAATGTAGTCCACAATGGAGGGAAAGGAGGCCACATTATCTGCCTATTTCTTTCCTGTCCCTATTTCCCATTAGCTAAGCTTCACCCTCAGCTTATCTTTGCACTTCTAAGTGGTATCATCTGGTCCCTCAGCAGTCATTCAGGAGACCAGGTTTATGTAGCATAGTCTGGTATTTTATCCAAATCCAAAATTGAAGGGGTGACCCACTCTACCACAGTAAGTCACCCAAGAAAGACAGAGTAAAGAGAATCAAAGAAGAAACACAAGATTCATGTCCCAGTAAACATATTGTTTAAAGGAATTATTTAAAAATTACTGTAATCGGAGAGGATGGGGGAGAGAGGATGTATCAAAACTTATTCATGCTACCTGCCGTTGATTGTTATTTAGATTTTTGTTTACATTTAACAGTGTAGTAATGAATATCTTTCACATGCAATGGCAATGTCTTATATGTGCAAGTGTATCTGTAGGATTCTTCTGAGAGGTGGAATTGCTGAATCCAAGCGAGAATATATTTACAATTTTTTCAAATGTATGTGCATTTATTTGATTTTCTTCTGTTCAGGGTTCAGTGAAAGCCTTGAATCTGTGGCTTGTTATCTTTTATCAGTTTTGTAAAATTCTTTTTTTTTTTTTTTTTTGAGATGGAGTCTTGCTCTGTCACCCAGGCTGGAGTTCAATGGCATGGTCTCAGCTCAACCCCTGTCTCCGGGGTTCAAGCGATTCTTCTGGCTCAGCCTCCTGAGTAGCTGGGATTACAGGTGCATACCACCACTCCCAGGTAATTTTTTTTGTATTTTTAGTGGAGACAGGGTTTCACCATGTTGGCCAGACTGGTCTCAAACTCCTGACCTCAGGTGGTCTGCCCCTCTCGGCCTCCCAAAGTGCTGGGATTACAGGTGTGTGCCACCGTGCCTGGCCTGTTTTGCAAAATTCTTAACCATCATTCTTTTAAATATTGCATCTGGCTTGGCGTGGTGCCTCATGTCTGTAATCCTAGCACTTTGGGAGGCCGAGGTGGGCAGATCACCTGAGGTCAGAAGTTCTCAAGACCAGCCTGGCCAACATGGCAAAACCCCGTCTCTACAAAAATACAAAAATTAGCTGGGCATGGTAGTGTGTGCCTGTAGTCCTAGCTACTCGAGAGGTTGAGAAGGGAGAATCGCTTGAACCCAGGAGGCAGAGGCTGCAGTGAGCTGAGATCACGCCATCGCACTCCAGCCTGGGCGACAGAGCTTTTTCTCCTATTCTCTCTGTCCTTTATTTGGGGACTTTGATTCATGTCTCTTAAATTTTCCACCATGTCTCATGTGGCTCTTCTGTTTCTGTCCTTTGGTCTCTTTATCCTTCGGTTTGGATATGTTCCAGTAAACTATGCCTCTTGTCTGCTCTGTGCCATCTGCTCTTCAGTCAATCTGTTGGCTTTTTCCATTCTAATCTTGTCATTGATTCTTCTTCATTAAATACTCCAGTTCTCAGAAGAAACTTTCCATCTTGTCATCCATTTTTCTAACATACTAATTGCAGTTATTTTGACATCCACATTGGATAACTTCAATATCTTGATTATCTTTGGGTCTATTTTATATCTGTTTTCCCCCCTTTTGGTTTTTGCTCTTTATTTCTGTCTTCTGGGATGCCCGGCATGTTTATTTTTTATGGGATGCAAAGAATTTTGGTTGTATGTAAAGAATTATCAAGGTAACTCAGGGCTTTGGATGGCATTATATTCTTCCAGGGAGTCTATTTTTCTTCTGACAGGCAACTGGAGTTGTGGCAGACCACCTGTTCAGCAGATTTGAAGTTACAGGTCACTGTTTATGAGACATTGTCTTGGTTTGATTTGATCTTCCTCTGAGTAACTGCGCTATGGAGTCCTAGAAGTCTGAGGTGTCCCACTAGGCTCCTCAACTTTGGTGGGCTCTGATCTCTAAAGTTTTGCCTTCTCAGCATTGTCAGCTTCAAAACTGTGATCAGCTTCCCAGACTCTTAGGCACTGCTTTCTTTTCGGCTTCTCAACCTCTGGCCCCCTGAAGTGTAAGAAAACGTGAACCCAGGGATCGAAGTCACTTTAATGTGCTCCTTTCCCTCTGAATTCAAGCCCCTCAAAACTTGGCAAGCATGGCTACCCTAAACACAATTTTTAGTCTCCTCAGCACCATACAATAGCTGAAAGTTCTGCTCTGCTCCCCAGCTGCCATGCTGTTGCTTTCTGCTGGGCTTCTCTGAGTTTTAGGCAGATTGTGGATTGTCAAGGGCCTTGTGTCCTTCATGTCTGTGGACTAGACTCCCTAAGGCCACAGACACCTTGCATGGAAAATTGTTAAGAAGTATAGGGCTATTCCTCAAGGTGTTTCCATTCTCTCCAGGATCTTGACCTCTGGTCATACTATATATATATATATATATATATATATATATATATATACACACACACACACATATATACATATATATAGTCATGTAGATAAAGAGTCATTCTCTCTTTATGTATATAGAGAATATATATAGACAACTAGAATACATATATATAAAACTAGAAAATTATATATAATAAACTAGAATACATCTATCTACTTATCAATCTTGATCTCCCAGTTTCTGTAGTTTTCCTTCATGAAAGGGTAGTGTAATAAAAAAATCCCATTGCGAGGGTAGTGTTAGCAAAAATAAACACCCATCTCTTGACATGTGTTATAAATAAGAGTGACATTAGTATTTTGAGGATATCCTAGAATTTCAGGAGCATGTTTTCGATGACCTCGGACCAGAGTACAGTATCAAAATTCATGCCATGCATTGTAAGATGATTAGAAGAAAGAAAAGGAAATAAAAAATAGTAAACGTATAACTGGGAAGCCAGTAAAGTAGGAAATATTCTAGAAGTATATGAAGAAATTGTAGATCATGCTGACAATTTTACAAGCTATAAATAATAAAACTGTTCACATTTTGGTCCAAGAAAAAGATACATAAAATAAGAAACTATATATATATATATATATATATATATATATGAAAATGGATGTGTGGAGTCTCTTTAAAAAAGCTGGCAGTATCACCATAATTTTTTAAATGACCTTCCCCCCACCATAAATTGAAGAGAAACTAAGGTCTACAAGTCTGCATATATTCCTGCCTCTGTGTTATAGGATTCATACAAGACAGAAAATGTATTTCAATGAATAACATTTTATATCTGTAAAGTTAAAGATTTTATCCAATTTTTTGTTTCAGAATTTTCTCAATGGATGAAAAGATCTAATACTTCAGTATTCATTTGACAAATATTTGTTGAGTTTCCACTATGTTCCAGGCACTGTGAAGGTGTTTTGGATACATCAGTGAAGAGAATGTCCTTCTTTAGGGGAGCTTATATTATCGTGGGAGGAGAAAGGCCATACACACAAGTCAGTAGAACATGTAGCGTTGCAGATGAAACAGAGATTCGTGCAGCGGAAATGTGTGACGAAGTGCTCTTGGGGATCATTTAAGCTGGGAAGGAGATACAGTAGCCCACCCTGTGGGGGGCTCTGAAGCTGTGATGGTCTTTCAGAGTGCCCTGAGTTGGGCAAGGGGACGGGGCATTTATATGGCCACTTTGACCAGTTACTGAATGCATTCCCAAAAGCTGCTCAGCCTCGGTGGAAGCATCTCTCTTCAGTGGACAAGATGCCTGAAGAGAATGACAGCTGCCCGCTATGGGTGGCAGCACACTCAGCAGCTGGGGAAGAGCTTTCCAGTGCTCACCACAGACAGTTTGTAAGGAGTGATAAGTACTAAAGTAAAGTAGGGTAAAGAGGACCAGGAATGCTGGTGGTCCTGGGGCACGGGGGGATGGCTATTTACACAGGGTGGTCTGGGGAGGCTTCTGAGAAAAGGTATATTAGAACAAATCATGAGGGAAGTGAGATAGTTAGTCATGAGATTAACTAAGTCAGTGCAAAGCCCCTAAATTGTATGTTTGCTGGTGTGTGCAAAGAACAGTGATGAGGTTACTGTGGGTAGAGCAGCAGGAGTGAGGAGCAGAAGGATAGAATATGAGGTCAGCGAGGAGATGGTGTGCCAGTTTGTGCCAGTGCTTGCAGACATTTAAAGACTTTAGCTTTTACTAAACAGCGCCGTGGAGAGCCACTGCATAGTGGGGCAGAAGACTAAAATGCTCTATAGTTTTAAGAGAACAACTCTGGCTGCTGTGCTGAGGATAGACTCTAGGGACTCAGAGATAGAAGAAAACATTATACTTGGATATCAATGGTATAAAATAACTAATTAACTCATATGCAATAGTATCTTGGTGAAGACTTCTCTAATTTTGAGGGATCATATAAGGAACACAGAGAAAGCCCTTGCCCCTGACCAGGCACCTTGTTTTAAAAAACTGCTCTCATTTAATCTTGATGTCCACACTATTATTATCCCAATTTTATGCATTAGAAAATGGCAGTGCAGAAGGCTATGTAACTTTTCTAAATTCACACAGCTAGTAAGAAAGTGATTGCAGATCACTGGGATGGGAACTATTTCTTATTACAAAGTGTTCCCTGTAATTCAACATCGCCACTTCTTGAATCTTAGGTGAGTTGTTATTCCAAGCAGTGGCTACTTTATTTATACTAATTAAGTACCTGACATATCAGAGTATACATTTTGAGCCTCTTTTGTTAAATGTATTCCTATTTTACTCTTTATGATGCTATTACAAATGGGTTTGTTTTCTTAATTTCATTTTTGGATTGTTCTTTGCTAATGTATAGAAGTACAATTGATGTTTGTATATATTGATTTTTTATCTTCCAACATTGCTGAACTTGTTTATCAGATCAAATAATTTTTACTGAACTTCTTATGAATTTCCATATACAATATCTTGTCATCTACAAATAAAGATACATCTTTCAAATCCAGATGCCTTTCCTTGTATTGTATTGCCTAGTTGACTTGTCTAGAATCTTCGGCACAATATTGAATAGAGTGGCAAAAGGAGATATCTTTGCCTTGCTCTTGCTCAGTCTCATCATTAAATATTATGTTAGAGCTGTGGGTTTGTCACATATGCCCTTTATCAGCTTGAGTAAGTTTCCTTCTGTTTCTAGTTTGTTGCATGTTTTTATCACAAAAGAATATTAAATTTTGACGAATTATTTTTCTGCATCTATTGAGATGATCATGTGTCTTGTGTCCTTTATTCTATTGGTTTAGTGAACTACAATAATTTTATAAGTGAGAAAATGGCAGCATAGAAGGTTAAGTGACTTTTCAAAAATCACACAGCTAGAAGGGTAAGTTACCAGAAATAAAGTTGGAATGAGACTTATTTTTTATTTCCAAGAGCTTCCTGTAATTCAACATGGATATTCTTCTTGACTTTCAGGTGTTAAACTTTGTACTCCTGGGATAAATTCCTCTTGGTGATGGTATGTAATCCTTATTATCTGTTGCTGGATTTAGTTTGCTGGTATTTTGTTGAGGATTTTTTTTCATTTGTATTCATAGAAGATATTGTTCTGTAGTTTTCTTGTGATGATGTCTTGGTCTAATTGCAGTATCAGGATAATACTGCCTCAGATAATAAACTGAGAAGTGTTTCCTCCCCTTAAATTTTTTAGAAGAGTTTTTGAAGAATTATTGTTCATTGCCCTCTAAGTATTTGGTAGAATGTACCAGTGAAACCATCTGGTCATGAGCTTTTCTTTGTGGGAAGGTTTTTGATTATTAATTCAAAAAAATTGCTATAAGTCTGTTATGATTTTTTATTCCTTTTTGAGTCAATAGTTTGCATCATTCTGGGAATTTTCCATTTTATATACAGTATTTAATGGACTGTCACACAATTGTTTATAGTATTCATTTATAGTCCTTTTTATTTCTGTAAGGTCGGTAGTAATGCTTCCTCTTTAATTGCTGATTTTAATAATTTGAGTTTTTCTCTTCATCTTGGTCAATCAAGCTAACGATTTGTCAATTTTGTTGATCTTTTCCAAGCACCAACTTTCAGTTTCATGTATTTTCTCTATTGCTTTTCTATTGACTAAGTTATTTCCACTCTATTATCTCCCTTTTCTGTTTGCCTTGTGTTTAACTTGCTTTTTTAAAATCTAGTTTCTTCAGTCCAAAAAACTTCCTTCAATATGGTTGTTGTTTTGAGAACTTTCTTATTTTAAAATATAGGTGTTTTTAAATATAGATTTTCTTCTGAGTACTGCTTTCACTGTATCCCATAAGTTTTGGTATGCGTCTCTTCATTTTCATTTATCTCAAAGTATTTTCTAATCTTTCTTGTGGTTTATTATTTGATTTATTGGTTGTTTAAAAGTGTATTGTTTAATGTATACATATTTATCCTTGTTTTAATTTCATTTCATTATTGTTAGAGAGTATGTTTTGTATAATTCAATTCTTTTAAATGTAGTGAGGGTTGTTTCATGGCCTAGCATATGGTCTATCCTGAAAAATGTTTCATGTGCATTTGAGAATAATGTGTATTCTGCTATTTTGGAGTGGACTGTTCTATACACGTCTATTAGATCTAGTTGTTCTATGTTGTTTTTTAGGTCTTTTATTTCTGTGTTCATCTTTTCCCTAGTTGTTATATCCATTATTAAAAATGGAGTATCAAAGTCTCCAATGGTTATTATTGAATCGTCTATTTAATTTTGTCAGTTTTTGCTTCATCCTGGGTTCTGTTGCACAGCTTATAATTATTATATCTTCTTGATATATTAACCTTTTAGTCATAAATTATTTCTCTTTATCTCTAGTAATAATATTTTTGTTTTAATTCTGCTTATGTGATATCAGTATGGCTACTCCAGCTTTCTTAACATTGCTGTTTGCTTGATGTGTCTTTTTCTGTTCTTTTACTTTCACCCAATTTTCTTTGAATCTTCTGTAGACATTCTATAGTTCAATCTTATTTTTGTTATCCAGTCTGACAATCTGTGACTTTGATTGGATTAACACATTCATATTTAATGTTGTTATTGATGTAGCTGGATTTACAACTGCAATTTTACTTTTTGTTTTCAAATATCTTGTCTGTTTTTTCTTTTTTCTTCTTTACTTATTTCTTTTTCATTAAATGATGCTGAGACCAACTTGGTTGGGGAGACCCTAACCCAGTGGCGCTAGAGAAATTAAAGACATACACACAGAAATATAGAGGTGTGAAGTGGGAAATCAGGGGTCTCACAGCCTTCAGAGCTGAGAGCCCCAAACAGAGACTTACCCATGTATTTGTTAACAGCAAGCCAGTCATTAGCATTGTTTCTATAGATATTAAATTAACTAAAAGTATCCCTTATGGGAAACGAAGGGATGGGCTGAATTAAAGGAGTAGGTTGGGCTAGTTAACTGTAGCAGGAGCATGTCCTTAAGGCACAGATCACTCATGCTATTGTTTGTGGCTTAAGAATGCCTTTAAGCGGTTTTCTGCCCTGGGCAGGCCAAGTGTTCCTTGCCCTCATTCCAGTAAACCCACAACCTTCCAGCGTGGTCTTTATGGCCATCATGAACATGTCACAGTGCTGCAGAGATTTTGTTTATGGCCAGTTTTGGGGGCCAGATTATTGCCAGATTTTGGGGGGCTTGTTCCCAACAAAATGAGTATTTTATAATGTAACATTTTAATTTATTTAGTGATTTTCACTATATTTTTTGAGTTATTTTCTGGTTGGCTGCTCTAAGGCTTACAATACATATCTTAACTTACCAGAATCTAATTCAGATAATATACTAACTTAATTCCAGTGATATATAGAAATGTTCCTCCTATATACTTCTGTTTTCTCTGTCCTCTTTTATGCTATTGGTGCTATAAATAAATCTTTATATGTTATAAACTCAATAATACATTGTTACAATTGTCATTTAATAAATTTTTGTGTTTTTTTATAGAAAATAAGAGATGAAAGGAGAGCAAGTACATATTTATAGAGTTCGTTAGACTGGCTGTAAAGTTAGACTAACTTTCTTCTTTACCATTTCTGGTTCTCTTCATTTGTTCCTGTGGATTCAAGTTACCATTCAGTGTCATGTTCTTGCTCTAATACACCTTTGTTTCCACTGACCTACTTTGTGCTGTTATTGTCAAGTATGTTACATTCATATACATACAGGCATAACAATAAAATTATGTACATATTGTTGTAAACCATTTCTTTTAAAATCAGTTAAAAGAAGGAGGTGTGGCAAATCACCATGGCACGTGTATACCTATGTAACAAAGTTGCACATTCTGCACATCTATCCCAGAGCTTAAAGTAAAATTAAAATAAATAAATAGAAGGAAGGGGAAGAAATGTGCATTTAAACTGTATTTTCTAATTACATAATTACATTTACTTATGTTCTTCACTTTTTTGAATTACTGTCTGGGGTAGCTTCCCTTCAGTCCAAAGACCTTCCTTTAATATGTCTTGCAGGAAGTGTCTGAAGCAACAAATTCTTTCAGTTTTTGTTTTTCTAGGAATGGCTTCATTTCACCTTAATTTTTGAAAGACAATGTTTCTGAATGTAAGATTTTTAGTTGACAGCTTTTGTTCTTTTAGTACCTTGAATATGTCATTGCATTGCTTGCTAGCCTTTACTGTTTCTGATGAGAAGCCAGCTGTTAATTTATTGGAGTTCACTAGTATATGATGTTTTTCTCCTATTACTGCCCAAAATTACACTTTTTCTGTTTCTTCATTAAGCAAACACTTTATTCTTTCCAACTTTATTGAGTTATAATAGAAAAGTATTATACATATTTATGGTATATAATGTGATGTTTTGATATATGTATACATTGTGAAATGATTACCATAATTAAGCTAATATATCCAACACCTCACATAGTCACTGTATTTGTCCATTTTATGCTGCTATAAAAGAATGCCTGAGGCTGGGTAATTTATAAAGAAAAGAGGTTTATTTTGGCTCACAGTTCTGTAGATGGTTCAAGAAGCATCGTGCCAGCATCTGCTTCTGGTGAGAGCCTGGGGAAGCTTCCAGTCATGGTGGAAGCTGAAGGGGAGCAGCCATGTCACATGGCAAGAGAGGAAGAAACAGAGAGATGCCAGGCTCTTTTAAACAACCATCTCTCGCGTGAACTAATAGTGTGAGAACTCACTCTTTACCGAAAGGACAGCACCAAGCCACTCATGAGGGACTTGCCCCATGACAAACACCTCCCACCAGGCCCCACCTCCAACACTGGGAATCACAATTTAACATGAGATTTGGAGAGGACAAATATGCAAACTCTTTTAGTATCAGTCACTATTTTTCCTTTTGTGGTGAGAACATTTAAGAGCAACTGTCTGAGCAAATTTCAAGTTTCCAATGCAGTATATAGTTACCATGTTGTACTTTAGGTCTCCAAAAATATTCATCTTATATAACTGACATTTTGTACCCTTTAACCAACTTCTTCCTATTTCTCCCACTCCCAATCCCAACCCCTGGCAACCACCATTCTGGTCTCTGCTTCTATGAGTTCAACTTTTTTGTATTTCACGTATAGGTGAGATCATGTAGTATTTGTCTTTCTGTGGTTATTTCACGTAGCATAATGTCCTCCAAGTTCACCCAGTTGTCATAAATAGCAGAATTTTCTTCTTTTTAAAGGATGAATAATTTTTCATTATATAAGTACATATACCTGTACACATACATATATATGATACAATATGTATGTATATGTACATAACACATATGTATGTATACATACATAACACATATTGTATCATGTATATGTACGTGTACAGGTATACATACATGTACAATGGAAAATTATAGTATGTACATACGAGAGAGAAACATTTTTTTTATCCATCAGTGGACACTTAGATTGATTCCATATCTTGGCAATTGTCCATGATGTTGCAATGAACATAGGAGTGCAGATATCTCTTCAATATAACAATTTCATTTCTTTTGGATGTATATCCAGAAGTGAGACTGCTGGGTCATATGGTAATTTGTTTTAATTTTTTTGAGGAACCTCTATACTGTTTTCCATTATGGCTATACTAATTTATACTCCTACCAACAGTATGGAAGAGTTCCCTTTTCTCCACATTCTCCCTCACACTTGTTCTTTTTATTGTTTTTTTTTTTTTTTTTTTTTTTTTTTTTTTTTTTTTTTGAGACGGAGTCTCGCTCTGTCGCCCAGGCTGGAGTGCAGTGGCGGGATCTCGGCTCACTGCAAGCTCTGCCTCCCGGGTTCACGCCATTCTCCTGCCTCAGCCTCCCAAGTAGCTGGGACTACAGGTGCCCGCCACTACGCCCGGCTAATTTTTTGTATTTTTAGTAGAGACGGGGTTTCACCGTTTTAGCTGGGATGGTCTCAATCTCCTGACCTCGTGATCCGCCCGCCTCGGCCTCCCAAAGTGCTGGGATTACAGGCGTGAGCCACCGCACCTGGCCTTTATTGTTTTTATAATAACCAGTCTAATAGGTATGAGGTGATATCTCATTGTGGCTTTAATTTGCATTTCCCTTATGACAGTGATGTTAAACATTTTCTCATATACCCATTGGCTATTCATATGTCTTCATTTGAGAAATACCTATTCAGGTCTTTTGACGATTTTAAAATCAGTACATTTGTTTTCTTGTTATTGAATTGTTTAAGTTCCTTATATCTTTTGGATATTTACTCCTTATCAGATGTATGGTTTGCAAGTACTTTCTTCCAATCTTTACGTTGTCTCTTCATTCTGTTGACTGTTTTCTTTGGTGTGCAAAAGCTTTTTAGTTTGATAGAATCCCATTTGCCTATTTTTGATTTTACTGTCTGCTTTTGGGGTTATTTCTGTTTGTCTTTCACTGAGATTTTTAAATGTGTAGACTACATTAATAATATTATTTGAGTACTTTTTTTCTGATCCTTTTCCCTTGCCTCTCTGTCTGGTACTTCCATCACACACATATTGGTTTCCTTAATGCTGTTTTACATTTCTCTGAAGTTCTGTTCAATTTTCTTCATTCTTTTTTCTCTTTCTGCTCTTGCCTTGCATAATCTCTATTGATCTATCTTTAAGTTTGTTGATTCTTTCATCTGCCACTTCAAATCTTCTGTTGATCCCTTTTAGTAAATTTTTATTTCACTTTTTGTGCTTTTCTATTCTTAAATTTTAATTTTTAAATAAATTATATTTTTTATATTCTCTATTTGATAAGACAATGTCCTTATACCTTTCTATTCTTTTTAAAGCATGATTTCCTTTAGCTCTGTTAACATATTTATGACAGCTACTCTGAAGTCATCGTTAACTTTATTTAACAAATTTGTTAAGTTTTCAAAATTTATTAAGTATAATATCTTGCCATCTCACAGTTTCTGTTGCCTGATTGTTTTTTTCTTTCTTCTTTTTTCCCCTGTGCATGAGTCATACTTTCCTGTTTCTTTGCATGTCTCATAATTTTTTATTGTTGCCGAAAACTAGCTATTTAAAATAATATTAATATATTGTAGTAATTCTGGATTCTGATCCTCTGCCAGAGGCTTATTGTTATTGTTTACTTGTTTCTTTGTTTAATGACTTGACTGGACTATTTTCGTGGTCTATTTTCCCTGATAGGAAGTCTCTGGTTTTGTTCCTCAGAGGGCACCGCATTGGACTTGCACATAGTCACCTGGATTGACAATGGTTTCAGCACGGCTTTTTACTGTTTCTTATTGTGAGGCTTTCCCAGAGGCTGTCTGCCTCTGTTGTTATCACAACCAGATGTTAGGCTTCACTAATTGTCAGCTGATTTCTCTTTTGTTTCCAACAAAGCCCTGCAACATAAATTGTTCCACCATCTTATCCAATTTAGGTAAGCCTCTTTATAGGAATAATTTTTGACTCCAGTCTTTGAGGTTTGTTCCAGTCCCTGGAGACATTTTCTTAACTATCCCTTTTTGTGGTTCTCTCTGGTAAACAAACAAACCTAGAGTTTAGCTCAAAGCTCTCAAGGAGGTACTAGCTCCACTTAAGCGCTTATCAACGAAATGTCCATTGCTTTTGAGAACACCTTTAGGCTTGCATTTTCCCACTTCTTCTAAATAAAGACAATTCCTTTATAAAGAGCTTTAGAGCTCTCTGTCCTTATAAGCTGCCTCTGCCCCTGGGTGAAATTTCTGAGCCACTGCTCCAGAGCTGGGTTCAAGGACCATGGTCTGCTTCCCTTGGAGTGACAGCCCTGCTTTATGTGCAGGATGCTAGATAGACGTGGTAGCCTCTGGGCTTCTTGGCTTGTCTCTCCCAGTGTGGAACCTCCACCTTAAGAGAAAGCTGGGTGACAGCAATTGGGCCCTGGAATTCTCAGTCTGATACACCTGGGATAGAATATCCACCCTACAAGTGGGGCTGTGTGGCAGAAGGGAGTCCCACTCTTTCTGTAGTATTCACTTGGAAGTTAGCCTCTATAATATGAAACTCGGGGGATGAAAGGTGCCAGTGGCCTACTTCTCCTGGGGGTGGTAGCAGCTTTAACTGGGGATTTAGTGTCTTCTTGGCCACACCCACCCAGAGATCCCATCACAATGAGCTGGCTGGGAGAGAAGGAAGGAAGTTGTGACTCAAGTGCTGCAGACTCTCATTATTCTTGAAAAAAATAAATGTAGTTGGAACTAGCTGATGTAATCAGTATCTGGTTTCTCTCCCCCCATCTTGGCTTCTTCAGTATTACCTGATAGTTGCCAATTCAACAAGAGCCAGTTTCACTGCAATTACCTCAGGGAGCCAGGAAGCACACAGAAGAACTTTCCTTATGGTGCTAATTTGAACACAAATTAGAAACAAGTAAATTAAAATTAAATCATTAAAAGGGTTGAGGTTCCAGGATGGCCGAATAGGAACAGCTCCAGTCTGCAGCTCCCAGCATGAGCAACGCAGAAGACAGGTGATTTCTGCATTTCCAACTGAGGTACTGGGTTTATCTCACTGGGACTTGTCAGACAGGGGGTGCAGCTCACACAGCAGGGTGGGGCATTGCCTCACCTGGGAAGCACAAAGGGTCAGGGAATTCCCTTTCCTGGCAAAGGGAAGCTGTGACAGATGGTACCTGGAAAATCGGGATGCTCCCACCCTAATACTGTGATTTTCCAATGGCCTTGACAAACGGCACACCAGGAGATTGTATCCTGTGCCAGGATCAGAGGGTCCCACGACCACGGAGCCTCACTCACTGCTAGCACAGCAGTCTGAGATCAAACTGCAAGGCAGCAGTGTGGCTGGGGGAGGGGCGTCTGCCATTGCTGAGGCTTGAGTAGGTAAACAAAGTGGCCAGGAAGCTCGAACTGGGTGGAGCCCACCACAGCTCAAGGAGGCCTGCCAGCCTCTGTAGACTCCACCTCTGGGGGCAGGGCATAGCTGAACAAAAAGCAGCAGAAACTTCTGCAGACTTAAACGTCCCTGTCTGACAGCTATGAAGAGGGTAGTGATTCTCCCGGCATGAAGTTTAAGATCTGAGAATGGACAGACTGCCTCCTCAAGTTGATCCCTGACTCCCGAGTAGCCTAACTGGGAGACATCTCCCAGTAGGGGCTGACTGACACCTCACACAGCTGGGTGCCCCTCTGAGACAAAGCTTCCCGAAGAACGATCAGGCAGCAACATCTGCCATTCTGCAATATTTGCTGCTCTGCAGCCTCCACTGGTGATACCCAGACAAACAGGATCTGGAGTGGACCTCCAGCAAATTCCAACAGACCTGCAGCTGAGGGTCCTCACTGTTAGAAGGAAAACTAACAAACAGAAAGGACATCCACACCAAAACCCCATTGGTATGTCACCATCATCAAAGACCAAAGGTAGATAAAACCACAAAGATGGGGAGAAACCAGAGCAGAAAAGCTGAAAATTCTAAAAATCAGAGTGCCTCTTCTCCTCCAAAGGAATGCAGCTCCTTGACAACAACGGAACAAAGCTGGACGGAGAATGACTTTGATGAGTTGAGAGAAGAAGGCTTCAGACAATTGGCAATAACAAACTTCTCCAAGCTAAATGAGGAAGCTCAAACCCATCGCAAAGAAGCTAAAAACCTTGAAAAATGATTACACGAATGGCTAACTAGAATAAACAGTCTAAATAAGTCCTTAAATGACCTGATGGAGCTGAAAACCATGGCACGAGAACTATATGACACATGCAAAAGCTTCAGTAGCTGATTTGATCAAGTGGAAGAAAGGGTATCAGTGACAGAAGATCAAATGAACGAAATGAAGTGAGAAGAGAAGTTTAGAGAAAAAAGAGCAAAAAGAAACAAACAAAACCTCCAAGAAATATGGGACTATGTGAGAAGATCAGATCTACCTCTGACTGGTGTACCTGAAAGTGATAGGGAGAATGGAACGAAGTTGGAAAACACTCTGCAGGATATTATCCAGGAGAACTTCCCCAACCTAGCGAGGCAAGCCAACATTCAAATTCAGGAAATAGAACGCCACAAAGATACTGCTCGAGAAGAGCAACTCCAATACACATAATTGTCAAATTCACCAAACTTGAATCAAAGGAAAAAATGTTAAGGGCAGCCAGAGAGAAAGGTCGGGTTACCAACAAAGGGAAGCCCATCAGACTAACAGCAGATCTCTCAGCAGAAACTCTACAAGCCAGAAGAGAGTGGGAGCCAATATTCAACATTCTTAAAGAAAAGAATTGTCAACCCAGAATTTCATATACAGCCAAATTAAGCTTCATAAGTGAAGGAGAAATAAAATCCTTTACAGACAGGCAAAGGCTGTGAGACTTTGTCACCGCCAGGCCTGCATTACAAGAGCTCCTGAAGGAAGCACTAAACATGGAAAGGAATAACTGGTACCAGCCACTGCAAAAACATGCCAAATTGTAAAGACCATAGATGCTAAGAAGAAACTGCGTCAACTAATGAGCAAAATAACCAGCTAACATAATAATGACAGGATCAAATTCACACATAACAATATTAACCTTAAATGTAAATGGGCTAAATACTCCAATTAAAAGACACAGATTGGCAAATTGAATAAAGAGTCAAGACCCATCAGTGTGCTGTATTCAGGAGACACATCTCATGTGCAGAGACACACATAGGCTCAAAATAAAGGGATGGAGGAAGAGCTACCAAGCAAATGGAAAACAAAAAAAAGCAGGGGTTGCAATCCTAGTCTCTGATAAAACAGACTTTAAACCAACAAAGATTGAAAGAGACAAAGAAGACCGTTAAATAATGGTAAAAGGATCAATTCAACAAGAAGAGCTAACTATCCTAAATATATATGCACCCTATACAGGAGCACCCAGATTCATAAAGCAAGTTCTTAGAGGCCTACAAAGAGACTTAGACTCCCACACAATAATAATGGGAGACTTTAACACCCCACTGTCAACATTAGACAGATCAACGAGACAGAAAGTTAATGAGGATATCCACGAATTGAACTCAGCTCTGCCCCAAGTGGACCTAATAGACATCTACAGAACTCTCTATCCCAAATCAACAGAATATACATTCTTCTCAGCACCACATCGCACTTATTCCAAAATTGACCACATAGTTGGAAGTAAAGCACTCCTCAGCAAATGTAAAAGAACAGAAATTATAACAAACAGTCTCTCAGACCACTGTGCAATCAAACTAGATCTCAGGATTAAGAAACTCACTCAAAACCGCTCAACTACATGGAAAATGAACAACCTGCTCCTTAATGACTACTGGGTACATAACGAAATGAAGGCAGAAATAAAGATGTTCTTTGAAACGAATGAGAACAAAGACACAACATACCAGAATCTCTGGGACACATTTAAAGCAGTGTGTAGAGGGAAATTTATAGCACTAAATGCCCACAAGAGAAAGCAGGAAAGATCTAAAATGGACACCTTAACATCACAATTAAAAGAACTAGAGAAGCAAGAGCAAACACATTCAAAAGCAAGCAGAAGGCAATAAATAACTAAGATCAGAGCAGAACTGAAGGAAATAGAGACACAAAAAACCCTTCAAAAAATCAATGAATCCAGGAGCTGGTTTTTTGAAAAGATCAATAAAATTGATAGACTGCTAGCAAGACTAACAAAGAAGAAAAGAGTGAAGAATCAGATAGATGCAATAAAAAATGATAAAGGGGATATCAAGACCAATCCCACAGAAATACAAACTACCATCAGAGAATACTATAAACACCTCTACGCAAATAAACTAGAAAATCTAGAAGAAATGGATAAATTCCTGGACACATACACCCTCCCAAAACTAAACCAGGAAGAAGTTGAATCCCTGAATAGACCAATAACAGGCTCTGAAATTGAGGCAATAATTAATAGCCTAGCAACCAAAAAAAGTCCAGGACCAGACGGATTCACAGCCAAATTCTACCAGAGGTACAGACAGGAGCTGATACTATTCCTTCTGAAACTATTCCAATCAATAGAAAAAGACGGAATCCTCCCTAATTCATTTTATGAGGCCAGCATCATCCTGATACCAAAGGCTGGCAGAGACACAACAAAAAAAGAGAATTTTAGACCAATATCCCTGATGAACATCGATGCAAAAATCCTCAATGAAATATAGGCAAACTGAATCCAGCAGCACATCAAAAAGCTTATCCACCACGATCAAGTTGGCTTCATCCCTGGGATGCAAGGCTGGTTCAACATACACAAATCAATAAACGTAATCCATCATATAAACAGAACCAAAGACAAAAACCACATGATTATCTCAATAGATGCAGAAAAGGCCTTTGACAAAATTCAACAGCCCTTCATGCTAAAAACTCTCAATAAACTAGGCATTGATGGGACATATCTCAAAATAATAAGAGCTATTTATGACAAACCCACAGCCAATATCATACTGAATGGGCAAAAACTGGAAGCATTCCCTTCGAAAACTGGCACAAGACAGGGATGCCCTCTCCCAGCACTTCTATGCAACATAGTGTTGGAAGTTCTGGCCAGAGCAATCAGGCAAGAAAAAGAAATAAAGCATTTTCAATTAGGAAAGGAGGAAGTCTAATTGTCTGTGTTTGCAGATGACATTATTGTATATTTAGAAAACCGCATTGTCTCAGCCCCAAATCACCTTAAGCTGATAAGCAACTTCAGCAAAGTCGCAGGATACAATATCAATGTGCAAAAATCACAAACATTCCTATACACCAATAACAGACAAACAGAGAGCCAAATTAGGAGTGAACTCCCATTCACAATTGCTACAAAGAGAATAAAATACCTAGGAATCCAACTTACAAGGGATGTGAAGGACCTCTTCAGGGAGAACTACAAACCACTGCTCAAAAAAAATAAAAGAGGACACAAACAAATGGAAGAACATTCCATGCTCATGGATAGGCAGAATCAATATTGTGAAAACGGCCATACTGCCCAAGGTAATTTATAGATTCAATGCCGTCCCCATCAAACTGCCAATGACTTTCTTCACAGAATTGGAAAAAACTACTTTAAAGTTCATATGGAACCAAAAAAGAGCCCGCATTGCCAAGACAATCCTAAGCCAAAAGAACAAAGCTGGAGGCATCACACTACCTGACTTCAAACTATACTACAAGGCTACAGTAACCAAAACAGCATGGTACTGGTACCAAAACAGAGATAGAATAGAGCCCTCAGAAATAATACCACAGATCTACAACTATCTGATCTTTGACAAACCTGACAAAAACAAGAAATGGGGAAATGAGTCCCTATTTTATAAATGGTGCTGGGAAAACTGGCTAGCCATATGTAGAAAGCTGAAACTGGATCCCTTCCTTAGACCTTATACAAAAATTAATTCAAGATGGATTAAAGACTTAAATTTTAGACCTAACACCATAAAAACCCTATCAGAAAACCTAGGCAATACCATTCAGAACATAGGCATGGACAAGGACTTCATGTCTAAAACACCAAAAGCATTGGCAACAAAAGCCAAAATAGACAAATGGAATCTAATTAAACTAAAGAGCTTCTGCACAGCAAAAGAAACTATCAGAGTGAACAGGCAACCTACAGAAAGGGAGAAAATTTTTACAATCTACCCATCTGACAAAGGGCTAATATCCAGAATCTACAAAGAACTTAAACAAATTTACAAGAGAAAATCAAACAACCTTATCAAAAAATGGGCAAAGGATATGAACAGACGCTTCTCAAAGGAAGACATTTATGCAGCCAACAGACACATACATGAAAAAATGCTCATCATCACTGGACATCAGAGAAATGCAAATCAAAACCACAATAAGATACCATCTCACACCAGTTAGAATGGCGATCATTAAAAATTCAGGAAACAACAGGTGCTGGAGAGGATGTGGAAAAATAGGAACGCTTTTACACTGTTGGTGGGACTGTAAACTAGTTCAACCATTGTGGAAGATAGTGTGGCGATTCCTCAAGGATCTAGAACTAGAAATACCATTTGACTGAGTCATTCCATTACTGGGCATATACCCAAAGGATTATAAATTATGCTGCTACAAAGACACATGCACATGTATGTTTATAGCAGCACTATTCACAATAGCAAAGACTTGGAACCAACCCAAATGTCCATCAATGACAGACTGGATTAAGAAAATGTGGCACATATACACCATGGAATACTATGCAGCTATAAAAAAGGATGAGTTCATATCCTTTGTAGGGACATGGATGAAGCTAGAAACCATCATTCTCAGCAAACTATCACAAGGACAGAAAATCAAACACCGCATGTTCTCACTCATAGGTGGGAATTGAACAATGAGAACACTTGGACACAGGGTGGGGAACATCACATACTGGGGCCTGTCATGGAGTGGGGTAGGGGGTAGGGATGGCATTAGGAGATATACCTAATGTAAATGACGAGTTAACAGGTGCAGCACACCAACATGGCACATGTATACATATGTAACAAACCTGCACATTGTGCATATGTACCCTAGAACTTAAAATATAATAATAGTAATAATAATAAATTAAATCATTAAAAGAAATAAAGAAAAAAAAATAAATGTAATAGGTTTTCTTGAATACATATTTATTTGTTTTCTGTATGACTTTATGACAATTTTCAGAGACTTTAAGTAGTTTTTTTTTTACACATTGTTAACAGTTATGGATGATTGTTTGTTTGTTTGTTTGTTTTGCTTTTGAGGGGGAGTCCACAGAACTCATGTGGCCACTGCAGAAATTATCTTCCTTCAGAATTTGCAGAGCAGGATTGGATTCCCAAACAAGTTATTTTAAAGTCACTACTTTTAAAAGTCAACAGCTTTCTCCTCTCCTTTTTCCTGATAGTTGGAACTAATGCATTTCTTCAATTCTCTAGATTCCAGATGGCTCATATTCTTTTGATCCTCCTTGTGTGAACAAAAATCACTGTATTTAAGTAGTTTGCATAGAAATAATTGGCTCCTTATCTCATGTACTTCCTAATCAACACTTCATTCCAGCAAGGCTTCCTGTGGAGCACAATGAAAGAAGGAATCCACATCCAAGAGTGACTGATTTTATCTGAGTCTAAAGTAAAATAAAACACCATATATGTCACAGAAAAAGGAAACTGACTATCTTCTGAGGGGATATTAGGGCAAGTTTTGAGGGACAAACTCTGGATGCAACACAAATGACTTTGCAATCAGAATCATCTCAGAGATGGGTAAAGGGAATAGTTAGAAAAATATTTCATAATCTTAGCAAATACCACTTTTTACTCTTTTATTCAGTGAATTTAAACTTAAATTCAGTAATATATGTGAATTAATAATTCTAGTTAAAGCAGGTTTATGAAATCAATTATGAATACAATTTGCTACTTGGATAATTATTTGCAAATATTTCTAAAAATATTTCAACTCAATCGTGGCTATATTGCCTAATCTGTAAAATGGAACTTTTACTGCTGTAACCACCCAAGGGTTTCTTCCTGCTCACTGCACAAATAAAGACCATGACATTGTAGTAAATAAAGAGTTTAACACTAGGCCAGCCACACCATGTGGGAGACAGAGTTAGCACTCAAATCATCTCCTCCAAAGCTCCTAGGTTCAGAGTTTTTCAGAGGCAGTTTGGGGGAAGTGTTGGGGGAGCTAGGCTTGCTGCTAATTGGTCGGGACGAAGATGAAATCATAGACGGTGGAAGCTGTCCTCCTGCATGCTGAATCACTTCTGGGTGGGGCCACAGGAGCAGGGTTGGTGGGTCTAAGTGGAGCCATGGGTGTCAGACATTAAAAAAACAAACAAACAAACAAACAAAAACCCTATAAAGATATCTCAAAAGCCTAATCTACAATAGTGGTGTTCTCTGCAGGAATGGCTGGCAGTCTATGCCTACAGGTTAGCAGAATCAGGCTCCTCTCCTCCCCCAGCTTGATGGCCTTACATTAGCTTTATAAAGTGGTTGAGTTTTGGGGGAGGCCTATTAAACTATAGTCTGAATGTCTCTCAAAGTCATGTTGGCCCAAAAGCCCAGGAATAAATAAGGAAAAGGCAAGATGGGGGCTGGGTTAACTCAGCTCTCCTTCACTGTCATAATTTTCTCACTGATGTAATTTTTGCAAAGGCAGCTTCACTACTCCTACTACTGGCCTTTCTCCTTAGCTAATTGTGTGGTTTTGATAGTTGGTGAGATAAAATAGTACATGTGCTCTGCAAAAAGGTTTGTTTTTTTTTTTTTTTTTTTGAGACAGAGTCTTGCTCTGTTACCCAGGCTGGAGTTCAGTAGTGTGATCTCGGCTCACTGCAACCTCCACCTACCAAGTTCAAGCGATTCTCCTGCCTCAGCCTCCCGAGTAGCTGGGATTACAAGCACGTGCCACCACCCTTGGCTAATTTCTGTATTTTTAGTAGAGATGGGATTTCGCTATGTTGGCTAGGCTAGTATCGGACTCCTGGCCTCAAGTGATCTGCCCGACTCGGCCTCCCAAACTGCTGGGATTACAGATGTGAGCCACTGCACCCAGCTAAAATTTTTTAACTTTGAAAATATATATTTGAAATAGTTCATATATTTGAGTTATTTATGTTACCATCAAAGGGAAACAAAATGTCAGAAAAATGAAGTAGGAATCTTGCCAGACAATTCTTTGACTATCTCTAGTACCCTCACTTTCTTGTTCCAAACTCCTCCCATTCTTCTCAGATCCCCATCTTCTACTCTACCTGCCTACCTGACAGCAGACACATTCACCTTAAATTCTAATTGGAATGCTGAAGATACCTGTCCCTCAGTTTCCAGAGGGGATTTGTTTTTCATCTGTTTTATTATGGGGCTTCCATATAAAACTTATCTTGTGAAAATCATTTCAAAGTTAAAGTAATTTTGAAAATCACTGTCCTAGAGCACTTAAACACATAATTTTAAAACTTTTCTATAAATTGAGGAGGTGGAGCAAGATGGTGGAACAGAAGGCTCCAGAGAGCCTCTCTGGGCCAGAAGGGAATCCGCTGCCCAGGTACTACATCATGGGTCTTGATGAGCCTCTAAGCCTTGCTGGTTTCAGGTGAGACTCAGCATATTACCAGCTGTGGTGGTTATGGGGCAAAACTCCTTCTGCTTGAGACGAAGGAGACGTTGTCTTGCACCTTAGGTACCAACACTGCCATGGTGGGGTAGAGCATCAAGAGGGTTCTTGGGGTCCCTGATTCCAGGACTTGACTCTGGAACAGCTTTTCTGGACCTGCCCTGGACCAGAGGGGACTCCAGTGCCCTAAAGTGTGAGTCACAGGCCAGGCAGCATTCACAACAAGCTGACTTAAGAGGGCTTGGGCCTCAAGGGAACATTGGTGGTAGTCTGGGAGTACCCCTCGCGGCCTGGGGTGGCAGTGGCTACAGGGTGTGGCTCCTCTGCTTTTGGAAAGAGGAAGGAAGAGTGGGAATGACTGCATCCTGTGGTTTGAGTGCCAGCTCAGCTGCAACACAATAGAATATCAGGTGGACTTCTAAGGTTTTTGACTTTAGTCTCTGACCCCCAGATGGCATTTCTGGACCCACCCAGGGCCTGAGGGACCTCACTGCCCTGAAGGAAAGGATACAGGCCTGGCTGGCTTTGCTACCTGCTGATTGTAGAGCCCCGGGGCCTTGAGTGAACATAGGCACTAGCCAGGGAGTGGTTACAGCAGGCCTTGGGTGAGATCCAGTGCTGTGCTGGCTTCAGATCTGACTCAGTGCATTCATAGTAGAGGGGGCCACAAGGGTGCTGTGTCACTCCACCCCCAGCTTTCAGTGGCTCTGAACAGAAAAAGAGACTGTGTGTTTAGAAAGTAGGGGAAGAGAACAAAAGTCTCTGCTTGGCAATCCAGAGAATTCTCCCAGATCTGGTCCAAAACCAGATCATCAAGGCAGTACCTCTAAAAGTCTGCAAGAACCATGGTGTTACTGAACTTGAGGGGCCCCCTAAAGCAGAACTAGCTTACATCACAGCACCCAAGTCCTTTTGAATAACTGGAAAGCCTTCCCAAGAAGGATGGCTAAGAATAAGCCCAGACAGTGAAGACTATAATAAATATCTAACTCTTCAAAGCCCAGACACTGAAGAACATTGCTGTGGGAAGTCAGGAACCCCGAACGGAGGGACTGGCTGGAGCCACAGCAGAGGAACATAAATTGTGAAGATTTCATTTTAATATGGACATTTATCAGTTCCCAAATAATACTTTTATAATTTCTTACGCCTGTCTTTACTTTAATCTCTTAATCCTGTTATCTTTGTAAGCTGAGGATGTACATCACCTCAGGACCACTGTAATAATTGTGTTAACTGTACAAATTGATTGTAAAACGTGTGTTTGAACAATATGAAATCAGTGCACCTTGAAAAAGAACAGAATAACAGTGATTTTTAGGGAACAAGGGAAGACAACCATAAGGTCTGACTGCCTGTGGGGTTGGGCAAAAAGAACCATATTTTTCTTCTTGCAGAGAGCCTATAAATGGACATGCAAGTATTGTTGTGTATATATAAGCATATATTTTTTCAAATTTTCTTTTACTTGAATAATTTTTCTTGATATATATGTTAAATTATTTGTTTAATTCTTTCTTAGGGACTCCAATTATGTACAAATTGAATCACCTTTGTCTGTCTTGTCTAGTTATCATTGTGTGTATGTAATCTTTTTATCCGTTTATTCCATTTTACATTGTTTACTTTTTATATATCCTCTGTATTACTTATTGTGGTTTTTTCATTATCACCTCTCCATTGTAGGGGTTTTTTTTGTTGTTGCTTTTTGTTTTTTTTTTCTTGGGACAGGGTCTCCCTCTGCTGTCCAGGCTGGAGTGCAGTGGTATGATCACAGCTCACTGCAGCATCAACCTCCTGGGCACAAGTGATGCACCTGCCTCAGCTTCCCAAAGTGCTAGGATTACAGGTGTAAACCACCACACCCAGCTTCCCTTGTATTCTGATTTCATTTTAATTTCTGTGATATTTTCATTTGTTTTCTATTTCTTTCCTGAGTTCTGCTACTTTAATTTCATCTCTTGTTATATTGCCCTTTCAAGTTCTGTATTTCTGGATTGTAATTATTTTTTCATTAAAGTGATTACCTTCTTAATTTTTTCTTTTAAATCATAGTAAAATATTTGGTCATAATTTTTATTTGCTGCATGGCTAAAAGTTTTAGTGAGTATTCTTTGTCCTAAGTTTTCTAGTTTCCTCATACTTTTAATCTTATACTATCTTTGACTCAGTGTTTTTCTACTGACTTTTTCTTATAGCTTGCATAAACACATTTTTCTTGAACTGGATTTTGCTGAAGGTTGGTATGTGAGCATGAGCATGTATGTGCGTGTGCACGTGAGTGTGCATCTGTAGGGGTAGTGCAGCCTTCCAGGCTTCACAACCTAAACACTTTCTCCTCTATCATGCAGACACACTGCTTAATGTGAAAATGGCTCTTCTATATAATTCTTCTACATTATTGTGTGGTCTTTTATTCTTTCCTTCTCTGAGCCAAACTACATCCAGAGAGACTTCCTCAACCTTCCCTGCTAACCCCAGTTTGTACTCCCATCGATCCAAGTGATCTATATAGGTTTGCACTTCAGGGTAAGACTCCTGACCTTCAGGAAGTATATTTTTCTTGGCTTTGAGACATTTAGTCATCTTTGTGGTTTTCTCTGCATTTCTATTTGGCTATGTCCAGTCTAAGCTTGTTTTGGCATCCTTACATATATTTTGAAGTAAGTGGATAATAACTGTATACTAGTTTTACTGAATGCAAAGTTTATAGTTTTGCTTCTTCCTCCTTGTTAACTTTCATATAACCTCTAGGAGGAGAAGGGAAAAGATGCTGACTTAACATCCATGTTCATACTTGAAGTCTCTCTCTCTCCATATTTGTTTTAATTATTTAGCTTTGAACCTCAAATCAGGGAATCGTTGGCCTATGCAGTGGTCTGTGAGTTATTTCACCTAGCTTTTTAAAACTGGCAGAACCAGTTCCTAAGATCCTCAATTTCTAATGGTGCAACTCAGCATCATAGAGATCCTTGGTAACTGTTCCTAATCTCTCTTTATTTAATCAATCAATTTGGATAAGCACAAATACTATGTGGAAAGTACCAAAACTATAAGATGTCCTTTATATGGTAACTCAAGTACATGAACCATAGTTCAATGAAGAATCTGAACTTAATGAATTCTAGCTAAATAGCAAAATGAATAAAGGAACTTTGTCAAATGTTAGGGTTAGTGAAAAGAAAAGACTACATGTAGTTTGATCTATAAGAAAAAATTCCAGACATACTTAAATACATAGCTCCCATTCAACTTTCTCTATATTTCCCCTCATGATTTCCCTTAATAGAATACATTTTCAACTATTTTTCTCAGCTAGAGAGAATTAAATATATGCCTGTTTCTGTATCTCCAAGGATATGTGGAATGAGTTGTTTTTGTCTTCATTACTTATGTCCTTGTCATATTTACTTATTCAAGTGTCTGGAAAAGAAAGCTTCCTTTCTCCTCTTGTAGCAATGATAAGAGATGATGGCCAATTCAGGTGAATTTTTAAAAAATCATGAAATTGCTGTTCTGGTGTTCATCAATGGATACTTCGTTTTCATGTTAATTGCAGATTTCTGCTTACTTTGTATGAAATTAAAGATTGTTTGACCTCAAGAGGTTTAACAAATAAAAGGGCAAAAGAAAAAAACAAAAGAGGATCCATGAGTATAGAAATTACTTTACCTTTTGCCCTTTGCTTTCATACATTCTACCAGAGGAGAATAGACAAAATGACCCAGCAGTCCCCACCCTCCTCTGCAGGGCTGGTCCAAAGGCAGCCCAAGGGACCCCACCTACATAGATAATCTAAGCCAGTTCTCTAAAGGCCCCACTTGAGCAACCCCTGGGCATAAGCATCTGATTGCTCTCTGGGAGAGTCAATCCCCACCTCAAGCAGAGACACATCCTCTGTTATAGTCTCTCAAGTGATCTGCTGGATTTTTTTTAAACCTGTTTTCACTTTGGTGGGAAATTTGAATGCCTAGTCAAAACAACAGTACCCACAGCTAAACTTCTAAGAAATCTCAGAAGTTACATTTGCTGTTTGTATTAAAAGGAGTCTTCAACAAAACACCCCAGCCCCTCTCTGAAATATAAAGCAGAGTTAACTCTCAAGGGGAACTTTTTCAAAAAGGGAGGTGCCGTGTTATGGAAGCCTCCAAAGCACAATACATAACCCTCAGCCTCACAAAGCAACCCAAACCCACAAGGGAGTCCTGCCTGCCACGTTTTTGAAAGTTCTTGAAGCTGTTGGCTATGAAATCTGAAGCCCTGCTCTACAGACATTAGTAAAACAGGGGACTTTTGACACAAGCCAAACTGCATTTGAAAGTTTTTCAGTTCAGTACCAGGGTCCAATTTTAAGTAATAAAAATCCTGTCTCTCCTTCCATATTCCATGTGAGTCGCTCATGAGAAATCCTTCCATTGACTGTCCATTTTTGGTCATCTCTAAGTCATTCTTTACATTGCCACACAGTGGTCATTTAAAAACTCATTGGTACCCAATGGTTAGGAGTGTTGTCTTTGAGTCAGATGGCCTAAGTACATTCCCCTCTGTCATTTCTTACCTGGGTGATCTTTGGCCAGTTTGTTAACTTCTCTGGGCTTCCATTTCCTCATGTTGCAAGGATCAAATGAGACAAGTCACCTAATGCACTGAATCCACTGCCTGGCACAGAGCCATCTGGCTTTGCAAGGAGGATGTGCCTCACATTCCAGGAATAGATCATTCCAACCACACACAGGTTCTTCCTTAATTTTATGCAGCTAGTAAAACGTTTTACAAATTCAATACAAGGAAAATGGAAGACAAATCTCACTCATGAATGGAGACAAAAACCCCCTAAAACAAATTGGCATATCACATCCAATTTAGCAATATATAAAAATAAAATAATAAAACATCACTATGGGTTTATTTCAAGAACTGCAATGTTGGTTGGAAAGTAGAAAATCTCATATAATTTAGAATGTTAATACATTAATAGGGAAAAATCATAATCATCTCAACAGAGGCATAAAAACATTCAGTAAAATTCAATACCCTTCATGAAAAAGTCTTAGCAAACTTGCAATATATAGGACTTTTAAAATCTGAAGGTATGTTTCCAAACACTAGCACTAACATTACTGGTGCTTCTAATTCTAGAAGCTTTTTCATTTATAATTAGGAAAAGGTCAAGATGTTCACTGTTTTTTTTAAAAATATATATTGAGTTGGTGGTCCCCACAAGTGCATTAAGATGAGAGAAATAAATTAAAGTTATAAGGATTGGAAAAGAAGAAATAAATTTTCATTATTCACAGCGGTTGATTGTCTACATAAAAAAATCTATAATGATTTGCAAAGAAACTATTAGCTTTGGTAAGAAGTTTAATATAAGTTTCTAGCAAACAATTGAATTTTTATAAAGCAAAGACAGCTGGAAAATATTTTAAAACAGTTGTTACAGCCAGAAAAGTTTAAAAAGTCATTCTAAAGTATATCTCATAAAGATGTGCAGAACTGTTGTGCAGATACTTAGAGAACTTTATTGAGAGATAGTAAATAGACCTAAATAAAATAAGAAACATACTAAGTTCATTAAAGGATGATTCAATACCATAAAGGTGTCTGTTTTTATTCAAATAGATTTAAAGATTCAAAACAGCTTCAATAAAAATGTCACCAACGTTTTGTGAAAGAGTTGTACAAATTGTAAAATATGTATTTCAATCGTGTCTGTGTGAAGAGACCACCAAACAGGCTTTGGGTGAGCAACAAGGCTGTTTATTTCACCTGGATGCAGGAGGGCTGAGCCCGAAAAGAAAGTCAGAGAAGGGAGATAGGGGTGGGGCCATTTTATAGGATTTGGGTAGGTAAAGGAAAATTACAGTCAAAGGGGGTTGTTCTCTGGCGGGCAGGGGCAGGGGTCACAGGGTGCTCAGCAGGAGAGCTTTTGAGCCAGGATGAGGCAGGAGAAGGAATTGCACAAGGTAATATCATCAGTTAAGGCAGGAACAGGCCATTTTCACTTCTTTTGTGGTGGAATGTCATCAGTTAGGGCAGGAACCGACCATCTGGATGTGTACGTGCGGGTCACAGGGCATATGATGGCTTAGCTTGGGCTCAGAGGCCTGACAATATATATAAAAGCAAAGGGACAATGATAGGCAAGACATCTCAAATAATAAATTGGAGGAACTTGCCCTACCAGAATTAAGATTTGCTATGAAGCAATAGTGATTGTGACTTTACAGTATCAATGAAGAGACCAATGGAGCAGATCAGAGAAGGCAGAAACAGACCCACGTAGACATAGAAAAGATCTGTGACAGGGAGGCAGGGCATCAGTAAGGAAAGATGGGCTGATCACAAGTGTGCTGAAACACTTGGTTAGTCGTGAAAAAAAGTGACATTGGAGGCATATCTTACACACAACTCAAAAATTTCAGTTGACTATAAGTTTAAGTTTGAAGGAAAATAATGTAAAAACTTAAAATAAAATATTGAAGTATATCTTTTTTACTTTGGGGGTAGGAAAACTTTTCTTAAATAAGACAAAATATACACATACATAACATAAAGCCGAAGATTAATATATTTGACTACATGATAATTAATAAATCCTATTAGTAAGAGTGATAGAGTGATGTCAGCAAGATGTCTGACTAGAAGGCCTTAGCACCCATTCCCCTTTGCCTCAAAGACAGGCAAAACAATAATGAACAACTACATTTTGATGAAAATAACTAGAGTGCCAAAGTACATCAAAGGAGTCAAGCTTGTCCTTGGAAATGCAGGAGAAATAAAGTCTTTCTCAGACAACCAAATTCAGAATACTGCAAGACTGTTATGGTGCTCTATAAATCATATATAATTCTAGTATGAAGGTTAAAATTCAAAACAGTTAAAAGTATAGCCATAAGAAGTTGTTAAGAAATAAATGTTTCAAAAAGATACAAATAGTCACATCAAAAATAAAAATGGGAGGTAAAAGTCTATGATGTATACTACTGAAGTTAAGTTGCAATCAGTATAAAATAGTCTATTATAACGCTAAGATGCTTTACGTAAGCCTCATAGTAACCACAAATAAAAAACCTGTAGCAGATACACAAACAATAGAGAAAAAGGTATCTAAATTTAGCACTAACAAAACTCACCAAAACACAAAGATAGACAAGAGAGGAAAAAAGGAACAAAGATCTACAAAATTATTGGAAAATAATTAACAAAATAGCAAGACTAAATCCTTATCTGTTAATAATTATTTTGAATGTAAATGACTTAAATTCTCCAATGAAAACATAGAGTAGCTGAATGAATTAAATAAATAAGATCCAACTTTATGCTGCCTATAATATACCCACTTTAGCTTTAAGGACATGCATAGGCTGAAAGTAAAGAGATAAAGAAGATACACCATACAAATGGTAAACAAAGGGGAGCAGAGGTAGCTATCCCTGTATCAGATAAAATAGACTTTAATTCAAAAACTGTCACAAGAGTCAAAGAAGGCTATTATTTAATGAGAAAAGGTATAATTCACCAAGAAGATATAACAATTGCAAATATATATGCACCCAACACTAGAGCATCTAAATATGTAAAGAAAATATCAATGGTCATAAAGGAAGAAATAGATGGCAATACAATAATAGTAGGGGACTTCAATACTCCACTTACAACAATGGACAGATCAATGAGATAGGAAATTAAAAAGGAAATATTGAAATTGGATAGCACTTTTTACAAATGAACCTAGCGGATATAGACTAATTATTCCATCCAACAGCAGAAAATACACATTCTTCTCAAGTGTACATGGAATATTCTCCAGGACAGATCATATAGTAAGCAACAAAAAAGTCTTAATACATTTTGAAAAATCAAAATTATATCAATTATTGTTTCTAACCACAATGGTATGGAACTAGAAATCAGTAACTGGAGGAACTTCTGAAACTACATAAATACATAGAAATTAAACAACATACTCCTTAACAATCAATGGGTCAATGAGTAAATTAAAAGGAAGATTTTAAAAATGCTAGAGACAAATCAAAATGGAAGCACAGCATACCAAAACTTATGAGATAACAGCAAAAGCAGTAATAAAAGGAGATTTCTAGTAATAAATACCTCCATCAAAAAAGAAAAAAATCTCAAACGCACAGATGAATGTTGCACCTCAAGAACTGGAAAAACAAAACCAAACTAAACCCAAAATTAGTAGAAGGAAAGAAATAATACAAATCAGATGAGAAAGCAACAAAATAGAGACAAAAATACAAAAAAAGATCAATGAAACAAAGAGTTGGTATTTTTAAAAAAGATAAACAAAATCAACAAACCTTTAGTCAGATTAACAAAGAAGAGAGAAGACTAAAATAAATAAAATCAGAGATGAAAAAGGAGATATTACAACTAATACCACAGAAATACAAAGGGTCATAAGAAACTATTATAACTATATGCCAAGAAATTAGATAATCAAGAAGAAACGAACAAATTCCTAGACATATACAATCTACCAAGATTGAATCATGAAGAAATAGAAAATCTAAACAGATCAATAATAAGAGGATAGAATCAGTAATAAAAATTCTCCCATCAAAAAACAGCCCAGGACCAGATGTCTTCATTGCTGAATTCTACCAAACATTTGAGGAAGAGCTAATTCTTCTCAAACTATTTCAGAAATTTGAAGAAGAGAGAACTGTTCCAATCTAATTCTGTAAGGCCAGCATTACCCTGATACCAAAACCAGATAAGGATGCAACAAAAAAAGAAAACTTCAGGCCAATATCCCTGATGAAAACAGTTGTAAAATTTCTCAACAAAATATTAGCAAACTGAATTCAATAACACATCAAAAATAACTATTCACCATGATCAACAGATGAACAGATAAAGCAAACATAATATGTACACAATTGAATACTGTTCAGCCACAAAAAGAATGAAATCCTATCATTTGCCACAAAAAGAATGAAATCCTATCATTTGCAACAACACTGATGAAACTGGAAAACATTATGTTAAGTGAAATAAGTCAGACACAAAAAGAAAAATATGAAATGATCTCACTGTATGTGGAATCTAAAAGAGCTTATCTCCTATAAATAGAGAATAGAATGGTGATTATCAGGGACTGACGGGGGTAGAAAGAGGTTAGTCAGCGGTACAAAGGTACAATTAGATAGGAGGAATAAGTTCTGATTTCTATTGCACAGTAGGGTGACTATAGTTATCAATAATATATTTTATGTTTCAAAATAGCTAGAAGAGAGGGTTTCGAATGTTCTTACCACAAAGAAATGAAAAGTGTTTGAGGTGATAGGTTTGCTAAAATTAGCTGGATTTGATCGTAATACAATGAACACGTATTAAAACAATAGATTGTTTCCCATATATATCTATAGTTATGTCAATTAAAAATACAATAAATCTTGAAGAATGATACAATAAAGAAAGGAACAAATACAACCCATAAACTAGAAGATCTTTGTGGCATACATAACACAAGTGATCGTGTCCAGAACCTATAAATCTTCTATAAATCAATAGGTTTTAACATGTACAAGGTTTACTCCAGTGTTGTTTATAGTGACAAAAAAAAAAAAAAAACCCTGGAAGTAACCCAAGTGTCCTAGATAGAAAATTGATAAATTTGGTACCTTCATATAGTGGAATACTGAGCAGTAATGAAAATGATTAAATCATATATAACATTCATAAATCTCAGAAATGAGTTGAATGAAATTTAAACTATGGTACAATATCAATTATAAAATCTCAAGAACATGAAAATATAACTAATGTCTTAGTAAAGATACATACATATAAAATGTAATTATAGTAAAAACGAATGCAATGACAAGTGTAAAACTATAGGTAATGGTCACCTCAGGAAGGTAAGAGAGTGGAATGTGACTCAGTAGACACACCAGGAGTTTTCAATGATATTGGTACTGTGCTACCTTTTAATCTGAGTCATTGCTGTTTGGATGGCTTCAGAGTTGTTAAAACATGAAAAGATGTGCATCTCAGAATTCTTTTTTTTTTTTGAGACAGAGTTTCACTCTTGTTGCCTAGGCTGGAGTACAATAGCATGATCTCAGCTCACTGCAACCTCCGCCTCCAGGGTTAAAGCGATTCTCCTGCCTCAGCCTCCTGAGTAGCTGGGATTACAGGCATGCACCACCACACCTGGCTAATTTTTTGTGTTTTTAGTAGAGACAGGGTTTCTCCATGTGGGTCAGGCTGGTCTTGAACTCCCTACCTCAGGTGATCCACCCACCTCAGCCTCCCAAAGTGCTGGAATTACAGGCGTGAGCCACCACGCCCAGCTCAGAATTCTTGAAATATTGTAGTTTATAATATATTTTGAAAAATTAAATGTGCAAATGCAACTCTGCTTTCTCAGATATTTCCCATTTTTAAAAGATTTCTAAGAATCTCTCATCCTTCTCTTTAGTTTGTCACTATTCTTCTTAAATATTATCCTCTAAATAAAATATTATGATTGAAACTGAACACAATGCTTATTTCCAGAGTGGCTTCTATCACTGATGTCCTTATAGAAGTGAAAAAAGACTTCAACTCTCCATTCTCCCGGACTAAAGTTTCGCTATAAAGTTCTGCCCCACCATTATTAGAGTTGGTGCAGAGCCCAGATTTCTTAATGGTTGTTCTGGTAGACAGGAGAAAGGATGAAAAAGTAGATCACAAAAGATCATATGCCACTAGAAAGTTGTCTGAAAGAAGAACATACAGTTGCCCAGAAACCTGCTTATGTGAGTTGAAATGCTGTCTGCAGGGGACACACAGGCCTGGGGTCTATCTTTGTGTGGCAGTGATGTAGCCCTCTCTGCTTCCTTTCAACTTTCATCTCTTTCTTGTAAACAAACCCAAAGCACAGGATTCTGCACAAGTTTCTTAATTTTGCATTCTCTACTGATGTCTTTACGTCCAGTTACCCATTAAAAGTATTAAAAACCTGAAAAGATCTTTTAATGTATTTTTAATGGGCGTGGGGAGAGGTGGGTATACATAATTTTCAGACCTTTCTAGAAAGGTTTGAGGCAACTGGACAGTTATATATCTCATTCTCAGCTGATCAGACGAGAAATGAATTCCCTCTTCCACAGTCTGTTCCAAAATATAAGTGAGATGTTCCGGACAAAGAATGTAAAGTAAAACCATGTTACTCCAGCTGCATGAAAAAGGTGATTGAGTTTGGGGGACATAGGGATATGGAATTATTTAGTGGTGTATGCCTCTCAAATGTCAATGAGTTCCAAAAGCTCTTGAGCCAGAAGATCATGCTAAGTATTAAACCAGTGTTTTTCAAGTGTGGTATTGACTGGCCTTGTATCAGAATTGCCTGGGGTGTTAGATTAAAGTACAGATCCTCATTTGCTCAGAATCTTGCTGGGATGAAGTCCTGCAGTTTGCATTTTTAGCCAGTTTTCTAGGCTATTTTGAGACAAAACCCTCTAAATTATTTTAAATGCCCCTAACCATGAAGAGTTAGCGCTGTTACCAGCCCAGCAGTCTCTCTAAACACAGCACTAAAAATGCTATTCCCAGAGATAAGCCTTCACAGCATTTGCTGAAATATTTTACCAAGAGTGACCTAGTGCAATTATAGTCACCTTACATTTTACAGTTCCAAATAACTGGCCCTCTTTATCCCAAAATCTACTATTATTTTTTAGATCATGAGCCCTGATTATTTTCTTCATTGTGTTTTTAAGCTGTCTGATAGCAGCTGCCCCACATCTGTCCTTACAGCCGGATTACTGTCCTTCTGACAGTGTATAAAGCCAAAGAATCAATCAGCCATATTTTAGTGCAAATACTCAGATGTACCACCCATTTAATTCTGGGGTACTTTTACTCGGTTTCATTATCCTAGTTCTTAATTCTTTGGACCTCCAGATTTGGAGCTCATCCCTGTTCTTTCTGGCAGTCAGATGCCTCCTGGCATCTCTCATTGTCAGGAGAGAAATCCTTGTTCCTACCTCATGCCTGTGGGAACCAACCCCAATATGGCCAGGAGTAGTGGTGAGTCCCGTCCTGTTCTCCCTTCAACAAGAGAGGCTGGAGGCCCAGCTTGGGACCGATCATGGCTTCTTACTGCAACAAGGGGCCCCTGTTCTCACTGGCTCAAGTTTGGTCCAGGGCAGATGACCCCCAAGTCTCCTGTCTCCTGTGACACCAGTTGAATGGGCATAATGTAAGGCAGGGCGGCTATGTCTCAACCGTGGTGTGGATGGTGCTTTGTGCACATTGCCTGCTGTGAGGAGAGCCTTGCAGTCTACAAAAGACTGCATATCTGCTGGTAGTGGGAACTTGTTTAGCCCTGCATATATCCACACTGGACTCTAGTCCCCTACCAAGTGTATGTGTCTCCTGATGAACACGTCCAACTCACATCTATCCTGACAACCAGGGATTCAGAAATATAGCCACAGATTCAACAGATTAATTTTTAAAAGACTTATTACATACCAGGCATTATTCAAAGCATTGGTAATACACTATTGAAAGAAATGAAGTCCCAGCTCCTGTGTTGTTTATATTCTAGGTAAGGAAGAAAAATAAACATAAATAAATATAAAATACATCAGGGATGAGGCTGGGCATGGTGGCTCACGCCTGTAATCACAGCACTTTGGGAGGCCAAGGCGGGCAGATCACGAGGTCAGGAGATTGAGACCATCCTGGCTAACACAGTGAAACCCCGTCTCTACTAAAAATACAAAAAAATTAGCCGGGCATAGTGGTGGGCGCCTGTAGTCCCAGCTACTCGGGAGGCTGAGGCAGGAGAATGGCGTGAACCTGGGAGGTGGAGCTTGCAGTGAGCCGAAATTGTACCACCGCACTCCAGCCTGGGCAACAGAGCCAGACTCCATCTCAAAAAAAAAAAAAAAAAAAAAAAATATATATATATATATATATATATATATATATATATATATATATATATAGATACAGATATCAGGGATGATAAGTACTAAGCAGAAAAATAAAAACTCTAAGGAGATGTCTTAAAGTGGTTGAACCCCCACCCCCACTCCAACCAACCTGAGACAATGGCATAAGTGTAGGTAGTTTGTCTTAGGTGGATCCCAAGAAACAGGATTGAGCAACTGGGAAGAATACAACAGTGAGGGAGGAAAGCCCATCCCAGTGGTCATTACTGCTATGGGTGACTGGGACGTAATCCTTATGGGATCTTTTTCTCTTTTTGAGACGGAGTCTTGCTCTGTCACCCAGGCAGGCTGGAGTAAAGTGGGGCAATCTCAGCTCACTGCAACCTCTGCCTCCCAGGTTCAAGCGATTCTCCTGCCTCCGCCTTCCAAGTAGCTAGGATTACAAGCGCATGCCAATACGCCCAGCTAATTTTTGTATTTTTAGTCGAGACAGGGTTTCACCATGTTGGCCAGGTTGGTCTTGAACTCCTGACCTCAGGTGATCCACCCGCCTTGGCCTCCCAAAGTGCTGGGATTACAGGCATAAGCCACTGCACCTGGACCCCTATAGGGATCTTCTGAGGGACTTCATTGAATGTGCCTCAATTATTCACCCAAATTACAGAAGATAGCAGTATTTATCCATAGCTTCTATTCTCCATGGGTCAAGGGTTTTCCTGATTTGGTTCCAGGTTTGAGCATGTGATGGCTGAGTGGACTCTCATAGGCTGGAGCTGGAGAGAAGCCCAGAGACAGAAAGCAAGAGATATGCAGTGCAGCTGGGGAGGTCTTGCCTTGCTACATTTGCATGAAGCTATTGGCTATAGCAATGGCTGAAGAGAAAGCTGAGCTGAGAGGACATAAAATGAAGCAAGGATGGAGAAGAGATGGAACAATCTTATATAAATTGGCCAAAGAAGTCATTAGACCACCTGCTCTGTGCTGCATGCCTACCATCAGCTCCAATGCTCACTGCCATTAGAGAAAATGGACCAGAAAAGCAGTCATGGCACCTTCATTCATGTCTTAAGAAAGCTTTAGGAGAGTGGTTTGAAAACTAGGCTTCTGTGAAGCACCTTTGGGTGCTGCTGAATTGGAAGGGGGAGGAAGAAGTGGGCTGATAGCAGAAAAGGGCCAATGGGTGGAGTCTCAGTCCTCTGACCCACTTCAACCAGAAAAATCTGCTTTCATTCATTTTGCATATTGAGCGTCATTGTGATAATTTGGGGCTGAAATAAATTTGGAAGCCACAAGAGCGCATTAAGGAATTTCACTGGGAGAATTGGTGAGGTCCCAAACCTGGGATGAGTTGCCCATCTCCCCTCTGGTTATTAAGCTAGGCTGATATACAATGTACCCGGGAAGGAAGTCACAAATATCAGCTTGTATTCAAGAAAGCATTTTGACTCATTGTGCTCCCTCTCTAATCCCATTTAATCTCAGCCTGCTTTCACTGAGTCTCTTTCTCTTGATTCATTCATTCGCTAATATAGCAAATATTTCATGAACATATATGATTTGTCAACATTGTGCTAGACCCCTGAGATATGACTGAGATATAGTTCTTTCATTCAAGGAACCCAAGTCTAATGGCAAATGAGGACAGAAAAACGAATTAACAGACAATTACCATACAATGTTAAGCAAAGAATAAACAGTCTTGTGAGAACATGGAGAAAAGCCTTTGAATCTAACCCATGTGTAATCTAACCCATGTGATTAAGGGATGGGGTCTCAGAGGAAGTGCACCATGACATGAATCCTGGAGAATGTGCTGGAGTTAGTGAAGTTCTAAACTCTTGTCTGTAACAACATTCCCACATTTGAATCTTGGCTTTCTTTTTTGAAATCTGGGTAAACTTGATTTTCTGGGACCCATATGATATTATTCTAGAACATAAGATGTCACCTTGGTCAAATCATTCTACTTAGAGCCATCAGCTTCCCCATCCATCCTGCATGTGGGAGTAAGGATAAGGCTGGGAAAAATAAACAGTGTTATCTTGGAATGATCATAGAGTGGAGTAAATAAAACCCATTCAGCAAACACATTCTGGGCACCTACAATGTTCCAAGCACAGTGGCCAGTGCTGAATATAGAAATGAAATATCAATTCCATGTCCTCAAATCATCTACAATCTAACTGTACATAAGGCGAGTGGGACCAAAGCCTTAATCATTGCTAACTCTTCTCAACAGTACTGTTGAGTGAGTTTCACCATGGCACTCACGAGGGAGCTATTTTTATGGGGTATCTAGCTTTGGGAAGGAATAACACATTTCTATCTGCAAAATATTCTTATAGCATGTAAGAAGCACAGATCAGCCGGGAGCGGGGTGTACATAGGGTGTGAAGAGATAAAAAAGGAGACAATTGCAGTACAGTAGGTAAGTGCTATAATAGAGGTAGGCAGAGTGCTAAAGGATCCTGGAGAGTTTCATGGGGGCTGGGTCCTGAAGGGCACAGAGGGGTTAGCAGGACCCCTCCACCTGAACCCTCTTTGCCCTTTCTACCTGAAGGGCAAAGAGGTGGAAGTGGGGAGGTTGGCTCAAGAGAGCCTGGGCCTTGGTAGCATGTGAGAGCTGGAGTAAAGTAATAGGCTGAACTGGAGATATCAGTAAGGGCCAGATTATCCTAATCTTCATGTTCCAGGTTTTGGACCAGGCTTTATCTTACAGGCCCTGAGGAGGCACTGATGGTTTCAAGAAAGATCGCTCTGGGCAGAGTTTAGAGTATACAATGGAGTGGTTGAATGTAGGGAGTTATTTCCAAGGTGACGACAGTAACCTAGAAGGAAACTGATCAGTTTCTGAACTAGCAGAGTGCAGAAGGCTTGTTTCGGTTATCTACTGATGTGTAACAAACAAGCCCAAAACTCAGTGGCTTAACAAAAACAATTTATTCTTTCTCAGGATTCTGTGAATTGACTGGTTGGTTCTTCTGCACATTATGGTATCAACTGGGGTTTCGGAGTGACTGGAAGGTCCAAATGACCTCACTCACATGGCTGGCAATAGGTGTAGGCCACAAGATGGGAGCTCAGCTGGGACTTTCAACCAGAGGTCTCAGTTCTCCTCCACATATGTGTGTCCATGTGGCTACTTGAGCTTCCTGACAGCATGGTGGTTGGGGTTTTAAAAAGGAATGCTCCAAGAGTAGAATCCCCAATGTGCAAGTGCTTATAAATCCCCGCATTCACCACACTTGCTAATGTCCTATTAGCAAAAACTAGATCTATGGTCAAGCCCAGAGGGGTGTACATAGGGTGTGAATACCAGAAAGCATGGTTCAATGGGGGCTAACGTCTACCATGGATATGGAGAAAAGATAAATAGTGTGATGGTAAATTTTATGTATCAAGTGGGCTCGGTGGCTCACGCCTATAATCCCAGCACTTTGGGAGGCTGAAGTCGGCAGATTACATGAGGCCAGGAGTTTGAGACGAGCCTGGCCAACATGGTAAAACCCAATCTCTACTAAAAATATGAAAATTAGCCAGGTATGGTGGTCCATGTCTGTAATCCCAGCTGCTCAGGAGGCTGAAGCAGGAGAATCACTTGAACCTGGGAGGTGGAGGTTACAATGAGCTGAGATGGCACCACTGCACTCCAGCCTGAGTAACAGAGTGAGACTCTGCCTTAAAAAAAAAACCAGAAATGTTTAATATGTCAACTAGCCTGGGACACAGTGTGCCTAGATATTTGCTTAAACATTATTCTGGTTGTGTCTGTGAGTGTTTCTTGATGAGATTAACACTGGAAATGGCAGGCTGAGTAAAGCTGATTGCCTTCCCCAATGAGGGTGGGCCTTATCCAATCCATTGAAGGCCTGAATGAAACAAAAGGCTGAGTAAGGGATCTCTGGTTATCTTCAAACTAGGACATCAATCTTCTCCTGCCTTTGGATTTGGACTAGGATTTGAACTGGAACTTACACCATTAGCTTTCCTGCTTCTCAGACTATCCCATGAGCCTTCCTGGGTCTCCAGCTTGCCATCTACAGATTTTGGGTCTTCTAAGCCTGCATAACCATATGAGCCAATTCCCTATAATGAATCTCTATTATGTATAATATACTATTTATACATATATACACCCACAGAGATCTACCTATCTATCCACCTATTGGTTCTGCTTCTCTGGAGAAACCTGATTCATACAGATTAAAAAATGTCACTTCTAGTGCTCACCCACTGCTCCAGTCTGTTCTTCAGAATTTTTACTGCTGACACTTGCCTGCCCCCTTCCTCAAATAGGAGCAGGAAGTAAATGGGGAAGGGGTTATGGGCTTATATTGCCTAAAAGACTTCACACCATTACAAAAATATCGTTAAAGCGGAAACCCTCTATTCTTTTTTCAAAGTATTTTGACTTGAAGTTATTATTGAGTAATTTTATAATATATAAATGTGACTATTTAGCAATTAGTAACATTTTAAAAGGATGCTCTTTGTTGAAAATACATAAATATCATTCCACTTTATGGCTTGAAATCCTAGGGCACAATTCATGTTTAATCTAAAATGTGAAAGTGAAGTCAGGCTGGGAAAAGGAAAGCAGGAAAGAATATAGCTATAAAACAAGCTGTGCTGCTTCTCAAAGTGTTTGAATGTGGCTTCTTTACCATAATGAAAATGACTTTGATAATCATGGTAATTGGTCCCTATGATTCTTCACAAATGTGATTCCCTTGGGGTGATCAAATGCTTTGAGATGTTAATTTCTGTATGTTGCAAGAATATTTTAAAAATAACCTCCCCTTGTACTCAAAGATGATGCACAAAACCAATTCTTTCTATGGCTGGCTCCTGGTCTGTGCCCTGGTTTCCACATTTGTAAAAGGGAGATAACAATAGTATTAAAATATAGTATAAAGCAGTATAGTGTATAGTATAAAATAATAGTAATCCCCTCATAAGTTTGTTGTAAAAATTAAAGAATATGTGTAAATGATCTGTGCTTCTTTTTTTTTTTTTTTTGAGATGGAGTCTCATGCTGTCATCCAGGTTGGAGTGCAGTGGCGTGATCTTGGCCCACTGCAACCTCTGCCTCCTGGGTTCAAGCGATTCTCCTGCCTCAGCCTCCCGAGTAGCTGGGATTACAGGCACGTGACATCACGCCCAGCTAATTTTTTGTATCTTTAGTAGAGACTGGGTTTCACGGTGTTGGCCAGGCTGGTCTCGAACCCCTGACCTCATGATCCACCTGCCTCGGCCTCCCAAGGTGCTGGGATTACAGGTGTGAGCCACCGCGCCTGGCCGATCTGTGCTTCTTATATGCTGTAGGAATATTTTGCAGATAGAATGTGTTATTCCTTCCCAAAGCTAGATACCTCATAAAAATAGCTCCCTTGTAAGTGCCATGGTGAAACCAAAGCACTGTTGTTGAGAAGAGTTAGCAATGATTAAGGCTTTGGTCCCATTCGCCTTATATGACTCCTCCAGGCCTTGTGTTATTCATGTATCAAAGGAGGAAGTCGAGCCCAGTGTTCTTCCGTGCCTCTTATCTGGTCAAGGCACACTGTCTGAAACTATCCATCAGGAATCACCAGCAGCCTTGACCCATCTGTTCCTCCTCCATCATCTGTAACAGAAGTTCTCCCTACCACTTCTTTTTAATATTATTTTCTCTTTGGAAGTTCTAATCACCTTTGAAGACAGAGCTTTATGCCTGATGATACATAGCCCTGAAGGTGTAACTTAACAAAGCGCCTTCTCTTTGTTGCAGGTATCATATTCTTTTACCTTGATTTGATTTCCCTTTATTCCAAATGTATTCCATCCTCTTTTTCTTGTTGAATACTCATTTCTGTCTAAAAAGACTGGATTTCCTTTCACAACCTTCAGCAGAGTCGTTCTTGGTATCTTTTCCCCTTCCCCAAGAGCAAGCACATGGACTTATGGCTACCACCAATTCCTACTTAGCTATGATTTCCTCAATTCAACAGCCTGTGACCCTTCTGTGGAGAGTTAGTGATTGGATGAGATACCACCACACATGCTAATGCACACACACAAAGCACTCAGAAGATTCAATATAGAATTTTCCTCTCAAGAAAGTTGTTCACCTCTCATTGTTCCCAAGAGCAAACCACACCTTGTTCATTGCACCTATGCCTGTTCATGGGACTCAGAAGTAGCAAAGCCTATCTATTGTTACATTAAATAAACATGAAGCCATGGCCTGAAGCTATTTCCCTCCTTTGCGTTTCTATGCAAGGAACTGCAACCTTACATGAAATGTAAAATACATCATGTTTCTAACTTGTCCTCCAAGATATTCTGCTCTCTATGTATAAATGTAAATTTGAGGGAAGAGAGAGACCTTCTCATATGGTTTTATACTCAGTACCTGTTTTAAGAAAAAAAGAAAAAACAACAAGGAAGTAAAACCAAAGACGGGCAGCCCGGCGCCAGGCTCGAAACCAGGCCTGGGCCTGCCTAGCCTAAACCCAGTAGTTAAAAATCAACTCATGACTTAGAACCCGATGTTACCCATAGATTTCAGGCATTGTATAAAAGAACACTGTGAAACTCCCTGCTCTGTTCTGTTTCACTCTGACTACCAGTGCATGAAACCCCTGTCACATATCCCCTAGATTGCTCAATCAATCACGACCCTTTCATGTGAAATCTTTAGTGTTGTGAGCCCTCAAAAGGGACAGAAATTGTGCACTCGAGGAGCTCGGATTTTAAGGCAGTAGCTTGCCAATGCTCCCAGCTGAATAAAGCCCTTCCTTCTACAACTCGGTGTCTGAGTTAAAAAGAGAGAAAGAGACAAAGAAGAAATCGAAGACAGAAAGAGAGAGATGAAAGTAGTAAAGAAAAAAACGGTGTACCCTATTCCTTTAAAAGCCAGGGTAAATTTCTATCTACCCAGCCATGGCATATTCTACTTATGTGGATCTTCAACCCATATCTGCCTCTCAGTTTGCAAGAAATAACAAAATCTATCCTTGCCTTACAATCCCAAATAGACTGTTTGGCAGCAGTGACTCTCCAAAACCGCCGAGGCCTAGACCTCCTCACTGCTGAGAAAGGAGGACTCTGCACCTTCTTAGGGGAAGAGTGTTGTTTTTACACTAACCAGTAGGGGATAGTATGAGATGCTGCCCGGCGTTTACAGGAAAGGGCTTCTGAAATCAGACAACGCCTTTCAAATTCTTATACCAACCTCTGGAGTTGGGCAACATGGCTTCCCCTCTTTCTAGGTCATGTGGCAGCCATCTTGCTGTTACTCGCCTTTGGGCCCTGTATTTTTAACCTTCTTGTCAAATTTGTTTCCTCTAGAATTGAGGCCATCAAGCTACAGATGGTCTTACAAATGGAACCCCAAATGAGTTCAACTAACAACTTCTACCGAGGACCCCTGGACTGACCCGCTGGCACTTCCCCTGGCCTAGAGAGTTCCCCTCTGAAGGACACCACAACTGCAGGGCCCCTTCTTCGCCCCTATCCAGCAGGAAGTAGCTAGAGCTGTCATCGGCCAAATTCCCAACAGCAGTTGGGGTGTCCTGTTTAGAGGGGGGATTGAGAGGTGACAGCGTGCTGGCAGTCCTCAGAGCCCTCGCTTGCTCTTGGCACCTCCGCTGCCTGGGCTCCCACTTTGGCAGCATTTGAGGAGCCCTTCAGCCCACCACTGCACTGTGGGAGTCCCTTACTGGGCTGGCCAAGGCTGGAGCCCACTCCCTCAGCTTGCAGGGAGGTGTGGAGGGAGAGGCGCCAGCGGGAACCGGGGCTGTGTGTGGCGCTTGCAGGCCAGCTGGAGTTCCGGGTGGGTGTGGGCTTGGCGGGCCTGCACTCGAAGCAGCCGGCCAGCCCTGCTGGCCCCAGGCAATGAGGGACTTAGCACCCGGGCCAGTGGCTGCGGAGGGTGTACTGGGTCCCCCAGCAGTGCCAGCCCACCGGCGCTGCACTCGATTTCTCACTGGGCGTTAGCTGCCTTCCCGCAGGGCAGGCCTTGGGACTGCAGCCCGCCATGCCTGAGCCTTCCCCCGCCTCCGTGGGTTCCTGTGCAGCCCAAGCCTCCGGACGAATGCCGCCCCCTGCTCCACGGTGCCCAGTCCCATCGACCGCCCAAGGGCTGAGGAGTGCGAGCACATGGCGGGGGACTGGCAGGCAGCTCCACCTGCAGCCCTGGTGCGGGATCCACTGGGTGAAGCCAGCTGGGCTCCTGAGTCTGGTGGGGACATGGAGAGTCTTTATATCTAGCTCAGGGATTGTAAACACACCAATCAGCACCCTGTGTCTAGCTCAAGGTTTGTGAGTGCACTAATCGACACTCTGTATCTAGCTGCTCTGGTGGGGCCTTGGAGAACCTTTATGTCTAGGTCAGGGATTGTAAACACACCAATCAGCACCCTGTGTCTAGCTCAGGGTTTGTGAGTGCACCAATTGACACTCTGTATCTAGCTGCTCTGGTGGGGCCTTGGAGAACCTTTATGTCTAGCTCAGGGATTGTAAATACACCAGTCGGCACTCTGTATCTAGCTCAAGGTTTGTAAACACACCAATCAGCACCCTGTGTCTAGCTCAGGGTTTGTGAGTGCACCAATTGACACTGTATCTAGCTACTCTGGTGGGGCCTTGGAGAACCTTTGTGTCGATATTCTGTATCTAAGTAATCTGATGGGGACGTGGAGAACCTTTGTGTCTAGCTCAGGGATTGTAAACGCACCAATCAGCGCCCTGTCAAAACAGACCACTTGGCTCTACCAATCAGCAGGATGTGGGTGGGGCCAGATAAGAGAATAAAAGCAGGCTGCCCGAGCCGGCAGTGGCAACCTGCTCGGGGCCCCTTCCACACTGTGGAAGTTTTGTTCTTTTGCTCTTTGCAATAAGTCTTGCTACTGATCACTCTGGGTCCACGCTGCTTTTATGAGCTGTAACACTTACCGCGAAGATCTGCAGCTTCACTCCTGAGCCCAGCAAGACCACGAGCCCACCGGGAGGAACGAACAACTCCAGACGCGCTGCCTTAAGAGCTGTAACACTCACCGCAAAGGTCTGTAGCTTCACTTTTGAGCCATCGAGACCACGAACCCACCAAAAGGAAGAAACTCTGAACACATCTGAACATCAGAAGGAACAAACTCCAGAGGCGCCACCTTAAGAGCTGTAACACTCACTGTGGGGGTCCGTGGCTTCATTCTTGAAGTCAGTGAGACCAAGAACCCACCAATTCCGGACACAGAGAGAGTCACCCTTTATTACTAGTGTCGGGCCTCTGAGCCCAAGCCTGCAAGTATTCATCCAGATGGCCTGAAGCAAGTGAAGAATCACAAAAGAAGTGAAAATGGCTGGTTCCTGCCTTAACTGATGACATTACCTTGTGAAATTCCTTCTCTCCCTCATCCTGGCTCAAAAGCTCCCCCACTGAGCACCTTGTGACCCCCACCCCTGCCAGCCGGAGAACAACCCCCTTTGACTGTAATTTTCCACTATCTACCCAAATCCTATAAAAGAGCCCCACCCCATCTCCCTTCACTGACTCTCTTTTCGGACTCAGCCCGCCTGCACCCAGGTGATTAAAAAGCTTTATTGCTCACACAAAGCCTGTTTGGTGATCTCTTCACACGGACTCGTTTGAAAACTAGCAAGAGGTTTAAGTCAAGCAGATGTCACAAGAGACTGGCACATGAGGGTTGACACCTAATTTCCCAATAAGAAACCTTCAGTTTAACTTGTCTAAGATTATTTTTTCCCTTTAGATTGAAAACTTTTATTTCAATACTGTCTTAGTCAATTCAAGCTGCTGTAACAGTGTACCATGGGTTGTGTGGCTTACACACAACAGAAATTTATTTTCTATTGTCTTGAAGGCTAGAAATCCACGATCAGAGTGCCAGCAGGTCAGTTTCTTTGTAGGATCCTCTTCTGGGTTGCAGGCTACTATCTTTTTACTGTATCCTCACATGGGGGAAAGAAGGTGAGAAAGCTCTGTGGGGTTTCTTTTATAAGAGTACTAATCCCATACATGAGGCCTCTACTATTATTATCCAATTTCCTCCCCAAAGCCCTGCTTCCTAATACCATCACATTGGGGGTTAAGATTTCAACATATGGCTGGGCACAGTGGCTCACACCTGTAATCCCAGCACTTTGGGAGGCTGAGGCAGGTGGATCACTTGAGGTCAGGCATTTGAGACCAGCCTGACCAACATGGTGAAACCCTGTCTCTACTAAAAATACAAAAATTAGCTGAGCGTGGTAGCATGCACCTGTAGTCCCAGCTACTCAGGAGGCTAAGGCAGGAAGAATCTTTTTAACCTGGGAGGCTGAGGTTGCAGTGAGCCAGGATTGTGCCACTGCACTCCAGCCTGGACAACAAAGGGAAACTCCATCTCAAAAAAAGATTTCAACATATGCATTTTAGGGGGAGACAAATATTCAATCCATTGCAAATACTTAAATGTATCTTTTTTTCATCACATGATATAGAATTAAAATAAAAGGATTCATCAGCAAATAACAAAGTATACATTTTTGCACATATAGAATAAGAGAAAATCATGAGAAATGTAAAATACATCATGTTTCTAACTTGTCTTCCAAGATATTCTGCTCTCTACCTTTGGTAATATAAAAAGCACAATGAGAACACCCATCTCCTAATTACAAGGCAGCTACTAGGCCAACCAACAATCATGTAGCACACATGTGGTTATTTTCATTGAAGACTCATGGCTAAACCTTAGTTTTTGAATATGCATATTACATGAAAAATAGCCAAAGCCTATTTTTGCCTCAACTTCTTTGTAAATCTATCTCTTTGCTCACATATAAATTATTTTCCCGGTTGCATCCAGAATGTTACGCTTGAATGAGTCACGAAGCTCTTCTTAGCCCTTGCCCCTGAGGTACTATTACCTTATGTTTTTCCTCACCATCGGCCTTTTTTTTTTTTTCTCTGCAAAGCTTTTTGAAGCTCAGCTTCATGGAACAAGAGAATAAAAAAGATGAAAATTATTGCCATCGATCACTTTTAGATAAAGCCAAATGTCTTCCAGCCACTCTGAATTGATTTTCTTTTCCCCCATGAGAAAGCAACAGAAAGGAGTTAGAAACCACATAGGGGACTGAATCAATATAAAAGTGAGAGGCATTTTGTGGAGGTAATCACATGTAGAGAAGCGGGGAGTTCACAGGACTAGTTAATAGGGCTAAGTTGCTGACTCAGCTTTATTAACAACTCACTAGGCAAGCCATAAAACCCTCAGACTTTACACTTAAATATGTGTCCCTGCTCCCTTGTGGAGATAATTCAGCTGTCATTTGTTGCATTCTTTCTATGCATCAGACAGAGTTAGGGCCTCTCACAATGACACGCAGAAGTGATGGCTTTATGTATAGCACTACCGTGCTGACAGCAATGAGCTCCAGGGTCAGATGAGAGGGTCGTAAGTATGATGATACTAACAAAAGAATGCTAGTGGAATACCACTAGCATTTATTATTTCCACTGACAGCTAAATACATCATGCTTGCACTCTTTTTTTTTTTAACCCCTTAAGGCAACTGGTTACCATATCTGTCTTAATGTGTCTTTACATTTTTTGTTCAATTGTGTAAAACATATATAACTAAATGCGGCATTTTAGCCATGTTTAAGCATACAATTTAGTCACATTAGCTACACTCAAAATGTTGTGCAATCATCACCACTATTTCTGAAATTCTTTATCACCTTACATAGAAACTCTATATCCATTAAGCAGTAACTCCCCTGCTACCACACACACATACACTGAGAGTCCCTGGTAACCTCTAATCACTTTCTGCTTCTACAAATGTGTCTACTGTAGAAATTCCATGAGTGGAATTATACAATATTTGTTATTTTGTGTCTGGCTGATTTCACTTAACAGTGTTTTCAAGGTCTATTCACGTTGTAGCATGTATCATTTATTTTACAGAAATATAGGCAAGATAATATTTCTTTTTTTTTTTTTTTTGACGGAATCTCACTCTATCGCCCAGGCTGGAGTGTAGGGGCACGATCTCGGCTCACTGCGAACTCTGCCTACCAGGGTCACGCCATTCTCCTGCCTCAGCCTCCCGAGTAGCTGGGACTACAGGCGCCCGCCACCACGCCCAGCTAATTTTTTGTATTTTTAGTAGAGACGGGGTTTCACCGTGTTAGCCAGGATGGTCTCGATCTCCTGACCTCGTGATCAGCCCGCCTCGGCCTCCCAAAGTGCTGGGATTACAGGCGTGAGCCACCGCGCCTGGCCAAGGCTGGATAATATTTCATTGTATGTACAGTGGATCCTCATTATTCACAGATTCCGTAATTGCAAATGTGCCTACTTGCTAAAGTTTATATGTAATCCCCAAATCAGTACCCATGGGGTTTGTGTGGTCATTCACCAATGTGTAGAGTGGCAAAATCTTTCAATTGCCTGGTGCTCATGTTCTCAGCTAAGGTTGAACAAATCAATGCTCTGCTTTCTTATTTCAGCTCTTATACTATAAAAAAGTGTCATTTTTGTGGTCTGTTTGGTAATACGTTTTCCATATGTTTTGTGCTTTTTGTTGTGGATTTCAGTGTTTAAAATGTCCCTAACCCTATGCCTAGTGCTGAAGTGCTGTCTAGGATCCCTGAAGTGCAAGAAGTCTGTGATGGAGGCAACATGTGTGTCAGATGAGCTTCATTCAAGCATGGGTGCTATTGTCTGTGAGTTCAGTGTTGATGAATCAACGATGTATATTGAAGTCTCTTCAAGCAGAAACATACATAAAACAAGGTCATGCACTGATTAGTTGACCAAAAGATTGAGTAGATGCTCACAGGACCCTTTTTTCCCCCAGTAGCAGTGATTTGGTATTCACAAATTCGTTTTTTGCAGTGACTATAGAACATAACTACTATGGGCAACGAGAATTGACTATATATAGTCATCCTTTGGTATCCATGGGGATTGGTTCCTGGAATTCCTGTAACACCAAAATCCAAATATTATCAAGTCTCAAGTCCTTGTTATAAAATCACATAGTATTTGTATATAACCCATGCACATCCTCCTGTAAACCTTAAAACATCTCTAAATTACTTATAATATCTAATACATTATAAATACAATATAAATTTTCTATAAATACTATGTATACTACTACACTGTATTTTAAATATAATATAAATGTTATGTATGTTACTATGCTATATTTGTATTATAAATATAATATTACCATAAATACGTAGCAATTATAGTAAAGTTTATATTTATATAATATATATTTACTTTAATGTAATTATTAATACACACAATACATATATTTATATATTATATAAATATATAAATATAATATAAATATTACTATATTATATTTATATATTATAATATTACTATATTTTATATTATATAAATATATAAATATAATATAAATATTACTATATTATATTTATGTGTTATAAATATAATATAAATATTACTATATTATATTTATGTGTTATAAATATAATATAAATATTACTATATTATATTTATGTGTTATAAATATAATATAAATATTACTATATTATATTTATGTGTTATAAATATAATATAAATATTACTGTATTTATGTGTTATAAATATAATATAAATATTACTGTATTTATGTGTTATAAATATAATATAAATATTACTGTATTTATGTGTTATAAATATAATATAAATATTACTGTATTTATGTGTTATAAATATAATATAAATATTACTGTATTTATGTGTTATAAATATAATATAAATATTACTGTATTTATGTGTTATAAATATAATATAAATATTACTGTATTTATGTGTTATAAATATAATATAAATATTACTGTATTTATGTGTTATAAATATAATATAAATATTACTGTATTTATGTGTTATAAATATAATATAAATATTACTGTATTTATGTGTTATAAATATAATATAAATATTACTGTATTTATGTGTTATAAATATAATATAAATATTAGTATATTTATGTGTTATAAATATAATATAAATATTACTATATTTATGTGTTATAAATATAATATAAATATTACTATATTATATTTATGTGTTATAATTATAATATAAATATTACTATATTATATTTATGTGTTATAAATATAATATAAATATTACTATATTATATTTATGTGTTATAAATATAATATAAATATTACTATATTATATTTATGTGTTATAAATATAATATAAATATTACTATGTTATATTTATGTGTTATAATATAAATATTACTATATTATATTTATGTGTTATAATATAAATATTACTATATTATATTTATGTGTTATAATATAAATATTACTATATTATATTTATGTGTTATAAATATAATATAAATATTACTATATTATATTTATGTGTTATAAATATAATATAAATATTACTATATTATATTTATATGTTATAAATATAATATAATATTACTATATTATAGTTATATGTTATAAATATAATGTAAATATTACTATATTATATTTATGTTATAAATATAATATAAATATTACTATATTATATTTATATGTTATAAATATAATATATAAATATATGTATTGTGTGTATTAATACATATACACACAATACATATATTTATATATTATATTTATAATATATAAATTTATGTTTATATATTATATATATTATATATATTTATAATATATAAATATAATATAGTAAATAAGTTTTACCTTTAATTCGGCCCCTGTCCCACTGTTGCCTTAGGTCACACCCTCACAATTTCTAGTCAGGATGGTTTCAACATGCTCTGGACACTAGCTGGTGTTCTTTCCTGTTCTTGCTCTGTCCTAGGGCAATTCATTCTCTATTCAATTGTTAAAACCATGTTTTAAAAAGACAAACACTATTAAAGCTTTTGATGTTTACCCACAGCATAACAAGAAAATCCAAAAGACTGTCTACAAGCCAGAGAGGGCTTGAACAGATTCTTCCCTCGCAGCCCTCAGAAGGAACCAGCCCTATCAGCAATTTGATTTAGGACCTCCTGACTCCAGAACTGGGAGACAATAAAGTTCTGTTGTCTAAGCCACTCAATTTGTGGTACTTTGTTACAGCAGGCCTAAAAATCACATACAGCTCTTAAATTTGAATTTATTCATAATTTTTAAATCTGGATATGGAAAAAGTGGACCGTTATCTTACTATAGGTGATTATTATGCTGGAGCTGCTTTGAAGGATCCAAAATCAAAACCCATCTTAGACTTTTTTTTACATTTCCTACTTTGCATTTTGAAACTAAGGGAGGAGACCACCCCTCATACTGTCTTATGCCCAATTTCTGCCTCCAAAGAAAGAAAAAGTAAAAACTAAAAGGCAGAAATGAAATCCACAAGCAGACAGCCCGGCGCCACACCCTGGGCCTGGTAGTTAAAGATCGACCCCTGACCTAATCGGTTATGTTATCTATAGATTACAGACATTGTATAGAAAAGCACTGTGAAAATCCCTACCCTGTTTTGTTCCAATCTAATTACCGGTGCATGCAGCCCCCAGTCACGTACCCCCTGCTTGCTCAATGGATCACGACCCTCTCACACGCACTCCCTTAGAGTTGTGAGCCCTTAAAAGGGACAGGAGTTGCTCACTCTGGGAGCTCGGATCTTGAGACAGGAGTCTTGCCGATGCCCCTGGCCCAATAAACCCCTTCCTTCTTTAACTCGGTGTCTGAGGAGTCTTGTCTGTGGCTCATCCTGCTACAAAACCATTTGAATGTAACCAATAACAACATCTCTTTCTATGAAATCCCTGGTATTCATCTACTAGGGAGGTTTTGGGGAATCCACAGTTACTTTGATTAATATTTAAAATGGATTTTGATGGTGAAAAAACAGAAGTCTAGGCCAAAGCAAATTTGACAGGAACAGCAGCTTCCCTCAAAGGCAGGAAGGCTGCTCTCAGCCTCAACGGGAACTTGTCTCTTCGTTGGGTAGAACCCTTTGGCTCAGCTGAACTTTTGGAGCTACGATCTTTTTTTATCATATGGTTTTGCTGTTTTTCTTCCTGGAGTCCAAATACTATAATTAATGCCTTTCTGTTGTGATTCTGTAAGAAAGCACTCCTTGTTCTTTAGAACAAGACAGAGATACATCACGAAAAATATGTGAATTAATATCATGCTTCTACTTGAACGTTCGACCCAAGTAACATATTGGTCCCAATTTCCCTTGGTCATAGCATCCTCTAATGGGTGGGGCCACCTGTGACCAGCACGCTGGTGACTAAGCCACTGGCCACACATACCTCCAAATGGTAGACAGGCCAGAAAGTACTCTAGAAGATTTCCTTCTAAATGGAACAAAACCCCTCCCTCATTAGTCAGACCAATCCTCAGATCAGGTCAGGGTCAAATCTCAGAAATTATAGACCTTGAAGTAATTGAATTATGTGAGAGAATGTGGAAGCAAGCATGTAGGCGTGAGTTAGGAGGAAGTGCTGGGTGGACCCACACAGACACTGCAGGCTGTTTGTCTCCTCAAGGTTGCTCTGACCCCCTAGATTCCATGAGCAAAGTCGAAATAGAAGAATCCTGCTGCCCATAGCAAGTGGAAGCAGTGTGATTAGTGAGAATAAACTAGGCTTTGGGTCAAGTAGACCTGGGCCCAAATCCTGGTTAAGCTGTTCCTAATTGTGTGACTTTAAGGAGGATTCATTAGCCAACATGATCTTCATATCCTGCGTCTGTGGCATGTGGATAATAATGCATCATATCTACCTCAGAGAGTGTTTGTTCAATGCAGTCATGTTTATAAATCTTTTAACATGCCTTACACAAAATAAGAGTCTTAATAGGAATTAAAAATGTAAAACTGCCTCTGGCTGGCTTGGGCAGCATGGTGTGAAATACAGCTATACCTGATTGTTGCAGGGAGAGCATAGTATATAAGAGCCAAGAAGATTTCGACAGATTTACATGACAGCAAGCCCCAAACTAACAGATCAGCCTCTGTCATAGCCTTGAATTGGGATCATAGCTTTTACCAGATTGGGTCTTGACATGGAGTCCCAGATTGGAGAATCTCTTGTCCACCTCCTCTGTCTCTGAGCTACTTTCCTCCCTGTCCTGAGGCCCCCAGAATTGGGATATAATCAAAAGATGAGTTTCTGGATGACTAGAGACCTCAACAATTTCAAAGGGGTGCAAAACCAGTATGTGTTCTTATCAGATGTAGGTTTCAGTCCAGAAATTTTCATTTATCTTTCTTTTGCTTGACTGCCCTTAAAAGCCAATGAAGACAGTAATAGCAACACCCTGCCATTAGTATTACACTCAAACTTGGAACTTCCTTGGGTTCGAGTCAGTATGAAAATAAACTTGTTCTCTACTCTACTACCACGGAAAATAAAAAGCTTTAAGTTTTAGCACGTTAAAAGGTAAAACGACTTGAGTAGAATAAGCAGCTTTGAAAAGGCAACTTAAGAATATGTCACTTAGGGCACAAAAATGGACATCTGGCCTCTCCAACCAGAAAGGAGAGAAAGATCTAAAAGCTTATGGTGATTTGCATAATTTCAAACACTCTTTCTTCACTGAACCTAATGAAATAGAAATTCCACACACTTCAAACCATGGCTAAATCAGGTTCTCTGGCTTGGCGGGAACACAAAGTAGGAACCAGGATCCAAGTCAATGTGGCTTATAAGTGAAGAGGCAAAAAGTCTGGGTACATTTATGTGATCACTGGTGCAGTTCCAAAGTCATGCCTCAAAATAGGACAAGCATATGCGGCCACCTCCCTCACACAGGCACATGTTCCAGTGTACTCTTATAGGATTTGGGCATACAACTCAGAATCCCTGATGTAACACACACCTCATCGCCATAAGGAAAACTGACCCAGCCAGAGCTTGACACATCATAGTTTTAACAAATGTGAACTATGGACACCTTTAGAGGGATATCAGCAAAAACTCACTCACTCCAAATAGCCTTCAGTGACCAAATGATTTACAATAGGGAGCTTTTTAATCTTTCTTTTTCTTGGGCTAAGAAATCCTGAATATAATCATGAGAACAGTAATTTGCTGCATATTACACTCCCCTGAATCTGATGAATCGATTGGTGAATGGCAGCATGGAGAAAGGTCCTTGTCTAAGAGCATGGTGGCTTGTCTAACATTTGATCAGTGATTTTGATGAAGAAATAGAGATCAGGCTTACCAAAACTGCAAACAAACAAGGCTTATAGAGAGGAAATACAATGGTAACAGAATCAGATTTTCCAAAATCTCCATGGGCTGAAGCAGTGAGCCAATCTTACAGATTGGCTGTGTACTTGCACTTGAAAGAGATCAGAACTACACAACTTGATATTGGAGAAGATGTGGCTTTAACAGCATTGTAGATGGAAAAGACATGCAGTCTAATCAAAACAAAGTTCCACATGAATGAAGAGCATGAGGTACCTGCTGGAAAAGATAATGAAGTCATAGAAGCATGTCCTTCTGAGTGAAGGAGATAGTTGCCTATTCAGATCCACACCTGCGCTTCATGTTCTGGTCTGGACCTCACCCTTGAAAACTGAACTGGAGGAAGTGGGGCATGCTCAGAGGAAAGAAATGCAAAGCTTTGTCACATAAAGAGAGCGTGACAGACTAGAGGATGCATGACCTATAAAGAAGATAACACAGGCCGGGCTTGGTGGCTCATGCCTGTAATCCCAGCACTTTGGGAGGCTGAGGCAGGCAGATCACCTGAGGTCAGGAGTTCAAGACCAGCCTGACCAACATGGCAAAACCCTGTCTCTACTAAAAATACAAAAATTAGCTGGGCGTGATGGCAGGCGCCTGTAATCCCAGCTACTCAGGAGGATGAGGCAGGGGAATCGCTTGAACCTGGGAGGTGGAGGTTGCAGTGAGCCAAGATCATACCACTGCACTCCAGCCTGGGAGATAGAGCAAGACTCTGCCTCCAAAAAAAAAAAAAAGAAAGAAAAAGAAAAAAAGAAGATAACACAATTGAGCCCACAACAGTTTACCTCAAATGAGGGTCATGAGGGAAAATAATGAAACCAGTTCGGTTTGGCATGATATCTCATAGCAAGATGAAGACAAGTGATGAAAGCCACAGGGGCATAGATGTTAATAGAACATACTTTAAAATGTTGCAATTGCCAGATGTATGCTTACATCTCCTGTAATTCTCCGCAGTCTCAGCCTGGACATCCTGGCAATAATTCACTTCAGAAATCTTTAAACTTGGTGTCGTACTCTGTGTGTTAGGTTTCGGTTCAGCTGATAGTAATAATAAACCCCCAAATAACAGTAATTTAAACTACATAGGACTTTGTGTCTCCTTTACCTAAAAATCAAAACAAAACAAAAACATTCCAGAGGTGGGAGACCAGCTAGGGTAGTGACTTCTGTGTTACCGTTGCCCATCTTCAGCGAGCTGCCTCAGCGACCAAGGAGGCCTCTGGTGCTCCAGTGATGACATCTGCATTCCAGATGGAAAGAGAAAAAGTAGGGGAAGTGGGAAAAGGTTCGCCACCTCTTTTTTTGGGAGACTTTCTAGAAGTTCCACACAACCCTTCCACTTGGACCTCAGTTACTGGAACTTAGCCTAACTTGAAGGAAGTCTGGGCATCATAGATTGCATGTGTGACAGTGTGCCAGGATGCAAAGGGGGTCCTTACTAAAGTGGATGGGGTGGGTGCTACAAGGAAATAAACGCTGCCGTGCACCTCTTTATGACCACAGCCCCTGTCCTTCCACATCTTATTTTATTATTTCCTCCACAACTGCTCTGGTTCCTTCACAGAGATCACAAGCCCTGATACTTCTGTATTCTTGTAGCCTATCGGCCCCTATGTGTTCTCTTTCTTCTCTCACCAGCTTGGGCCCTCAGGTGCACCATCTGTCCTGCTTACTTTATCATGAGTGTCCTCAGTTCCCTTCACCAGTATCCTTTGCTGCACGCCCTGGCTACATCTAACACTGGGTGAAGTGGCTCATGCCTATAAACCTAGCACTTTGGGAGGCTGAGGCAGGAGGATCATTTGAGGCTAGGAATTTGAGACCAGCCTGAGCAACATAGGGAGACCCTGTCTCTATTTTTTTTAATTAAAAATTAGCCAGATGTGGCGGCACACACCTGTGGTACCAGCATTTTGGGAGGCTGGGGAGAGAGAATCACTTGAGCCCAGGAGGTCAAGGCTGCAGTGAGCTATGATCATGCCACTGCACTCCAGCCTGGGCAAAAGGCTGTCTAAAAAAAAATAAAGATCTAACCTTGGTCTAACATCTGCCTTTCCTGCTTTCATATGAACAGCCCAGTGTCCCTGGACATTGTTATAAAACCATGGAGACTGGTCCATGACAATCCTTGGATTCCCATATCAGGCAGGTCCTTGGTCTGCCCATTCTTCCTTTCTGTTACATCATGTCTATATCTCTGGCCCAAGCCCCTCCACGGCTGATGTAAGCCTTCATCATTTCCCTCAAGTACTGGCCTCCTCACTCTCAGAAAATGACCCATTTCTTGTGTTTCCAAAGAAAAAAGAAAAATTGGGCCATCAGTAATTGTCATAGATGATATTTATTGAGAATTTTTATTTGTATTTATTTTTAATTTTAAAAAATTAAAAAATTTTCTTGGAGATAGGAACTCGTGCTGTTGCCCAGGCTGGAGTGCAGTGGTGTGATCTCGGCTCACTGCAGCCCTGACCTCCTGAGCCCAAGCAGTCCTCCCACCTCAGCCTCCTGAGTAACTGGAACTACAGGTGCACACCACCACATCTGGCTAATTTTGCTTACTTTTTGTAGAGACAAGCCCTCACTATGTTGCCCAGGATGATCCTGAACTCCTGGATTCAAGCAATCCTCCAGCCTCGGCCTCCCAAAATGTTAGGATTACAGGTGTGAGCCGCCTCATCTGGCTGCAAATCAATATTAATAGAAAAATTACAGAACAGCCAATTATGCTTATTTTGACATTTTCTTTTTAAAAGTGGAAATATGGCCATTTTTACCAATAAAATTATACCTAGGCCATTCTGAAAAAAATGCACTTATTGAGTTAATTTTACATATTTCTGCAAAAAAGGTCCTGCCTTCTGGGTCTCCACCAGCAAGATAACAGAATCCTTAAAATGATAAGTCATTTGCATCCACCCTTCCCTGGGTGGGGCACTCCGACTTTAAGAGTCACACAGACCGGAATTGTGGAGGCAGCATTCTCCTTCCAGAGTCAATAAGCTCAGCACTCACAGGTCCCTGGAGAGTATTTAGGCATTAATTTCAAGCTTCTTACTAAGCATGAAATATTTTGCCTCAAAAAACAAATATCCAGCAATAAAAATGTTTCTAGCATTAATTTCAAATTTAACTCTTAAATCTGAACTTCTTCATGAACAAAGCAAACCATCTCTTGAATGGGAAAAAGATGAATCAAAACCAAGTACTGATTCAAAGCAATTGAATGTTTTTCAATAGGTTTAATAATATCCTGATATCAAAAGAGTCACTAAAGCATAAATATATATTTTCCTTCTTAGGGCTCAAACACAAATTTAAATAAATAAATCAGTGCATGTTGCAATTCAGGATACTAGAGTTCATTATTTCATTTGGCACAAAAAGGAATAGATTAATATAAAGTTGCAAATCTCCTATCATGCATATTGTTAGTTTCAACATATTGTTAGTTGCTTGTGCACATTTACAGCTACTTGGCTGTGGAATTTGGCCAAATTGTAAGGGTAGTTTAAATAATCAGATTGCCCAACGTATGGTCTAATTCACAGCTAAATGCATGGAATTCATAAAGTCTGTATGGACTGTTTCCTTAGAGGCATAAGCCAGTAAGCTGAAATTATACAAACTCAAATACAAGATTCCTCTAAATGTAAATATCAACAGCATAAATGCAAAATGAGGGGTACAAGCCTTAATATAATAGCATTGAATGTGCGGGAAAAACACTTTTTTTCCACTTCTTATTGAAAATTACCTGAAAATCAGACAAAGGGAAAACAAACAAAAAAGTGATCCCATATGAGCTCAGGGTTTATATCAGAGAGGTTATCTGTATTCCACACTGATTAGCGCAGATAAACACAGGCTCTATTAAAATAGAGTAAATCCAGGGAAACTCTAAGAAGCAGGTTTCAAAACCTTTCTCTAGGATGAACAATGCATTTGAATTGCATTACACTTAGTGTTCTACTTTATTTTTCTGGGCAATGTAAATGTATTTGTAAGAACACAACTGAGCAGCTATATCTTCATTTTTTCTGTTTTCTTTCAGCAGCATACTTGTTTTTCTGCCTGTGTTTCTGCAGCAGAATGAGCAAGAGGAAGAGTGGAAGGCCATAAACCACAAAGCTGGTAGGCACTGCAGCACACAGGATCTCATGTGTAGAGTAAGGACTTTGGATTGATTCTGGTGTGATGGCATATTAATTGGATATCCAAGAATGGAAACCTCTCTGGCTGATTGAGGGAGAAAGCGATTCAGTTTAGTGAATCTGGTGCTTGCGAAATCTTTGGAAGGATGGGAGAAGTAGGCTATCAGACACACCTCTGGGAATGACTTCCAGAAAAACTGTCTCACAAGAGTGCGCCATGGAAGCTACGATTCTACCATGCTCTTGAGTGTGGGCAGTCAAGATGCCACACAGCATCTGTTCTCTGGAGTGTACAGCTGAAACTCTATTCAGAGATGAGGAAGCTGCTGCTTCTGCAAATGCTTGTCTCTATCCTAAGCTGGTTCCTGGACACTAGGATGCTTCTGCAGAAACCAAAACCAAAGCCAAAAACATTCCACAGTGCTCCACACCAGGGCTTGCCAGCAACAGCATTTGAGGCAGCAACGAGATAGCTGGTGCCACTTCCGCCATCATGTTAATAGGCAGAATCTAACATATGTCCAGAACATAACTGCAAGAGAGGTTGAAGCTCTATGTACTGGAGAAGTTTAGAATCAATCCTGAGTGTTGATCTACGATATCAAGTACGATGGGAAGATTTTGAAATGAGAAAAGAAGAGCGATAGGATATGATGTACCTTTTACGAAGCTGACTAAGGTTACAGTGGCAAAAAGACAGCGAGAGGATGCTGGAAGCTGGATGCAAGAAGATGAGCTAGAACCTGAGGGATAGAAATGAAGGTGAGAAGAGTGGGAAGATCTGAGGTGTGTTGAAGGTAAAATCCAAAGCATCTGCTGATGGAATGGAATTGGGTAAAAAAAAGAGAGACAAGAATGAATCCAAAAGTTTTGGCCTAAGTCATTGGAAACCATTTATTGAGATAGGGAAGTCTGTAAAAGAATCAGGTTTAGTTGAGGAAAATGGAAGTTACAAATGGAGATGTCACGTAGGTTGGGGAGAGAGTAGACTAATGTCATAGCCACACAGATGGCATTTAAAGTTATGAGACCAGGTGCCATTAGAGGATGCAGAGTATGTTAGGAAGAAAAATGTCTGAGGGCCAAGTCCTGGGGTCCTCCCAGTGTTTAGATGGCAGGAAGTTGAAGAGGATGCACCAAAGGGGAGTGAGAAGACTTGACCAGTCAAATAGATGAACTGACACAAAGCTGTGCTCTAGAAGTCCAGAAGAAAATGTGAGCCAAAGAGGAGGTCACTTGTATCAAATACAGCTGGTGGGTTGCATCATATGAGGTTTGAGAATTGATCAGTGGGTTTGACTACTTAGGGGTCATGGATTTTGGTAGGATAGTGAGGGCAAAATTTTAATCGAAGTCCGTGCAGGAGGGCTGGGTGCAGTGGCTCACACCAGTAATCCCAGCACTTTGGGAGGCTGGGGCAGGAGGATAGCTTGAGGTCAGTAGTTTGAGACCAGCCTGGACAACACAGTGAGACCCCATCTCTAGAAAAAGTAAAAAATGCAGCTGGGCTTGGTGGCACACAGGTATTGTTCAAGCTACTTGGGAGATGGAAGGATCGCTTGAGCCTGGGAGTTCCAGGCTGCATTGAGCCATAATTGTGCCACTGCATGCCAGCCTGAGCGACGGAGTGAGGCACTGTCTCTAAAAAAAAAAAGAAGACAAGAAATCAGTTCAGGAAGCAAACCAAGTATGGACAACTGTATCAAGAAAATTTACAGTAAATGGGAGAAACTACTCCAGTTTAATTCAGGAGGTGGATGTTTGGGTTAAGGAATTTTTCTTTCAAGTTGGGAAATAATAAAGCAGGTGTGTTTACTCACAGGAATGATCCAGTAGTGAGGGAACATGAAGACTGTACTAGATTTTGGAGACTACTTTTTCTGCTTAACACTTTGAACATTTTTTCACATAATTTTATTTTTTTGTGGATGGCTTAGTGGCTACATTATATTCCCTGGTATGAATACAATGATTTTAGAAGCCTTCTCCTTGTGTTACACATTTGGGCTGTTTAATCTTGTTTATCTTTGCTTATATTTTCCATTCCTTTTTTTTTTTTTTTTTTTTTTGAAACGGAGTCTCGCTCCGTTGTCCAGACTGGAGTGCAGTAGTGCGATCTCGGCTCACTGCAAGCTCCACCTCCCAGGTTTAAGCAATTCTCCTGCCTCAGCTTCCCTAGTAGCTGGGATTACAGGTGCACACCACCATGCCCAGCTAATTTTTGTATTTTCAGTAGAGACAGGGTTTCACCACGTTAGCCAGGCTAGTCTAAAACTCCTGACCTCAGGTGATCCGCCTGCCTTGGACTCCCACAGTGCTGGGATTACAGGCGTGAGCCACTGCACCTGGCTATTTTCCATTTCTAATTTTCAGCCAAGGGGTTTAAATATTTTAAAGTCTCATACACTGACACATTTGCTTTCCCAAAATCATGTTCCAAGTTTTCAATTAGAGATTTGAACGTTTGTTTATTTCAAAGAAAATCTCAGCTTCTTTTGCCCTCACTTCTAGCTCAGTGTCATGCTGATGGGTCGTCAGGATATTGGAGCTTCAGAAAAACTCTCAAAGTAGCCCCACCTCATTTCAACAGGATTGTTTCGAAGCAGTTGCCAAAGTTTTACTGCCAAGAGGTGTGCTTTTTTCTTCATATGTACAGTATTTTATTAAGTTCCCCAATGGAAGAGCTGAATTGTGCTGAAAGGAGAGCATATACCTTTAAGTAAGGGCTTTTCTTTAGATCTTTCAGTTGCTGTCTGTGAAACTGATTGATGTTTTTTTAATTTCCTATATGGAACTTTTCTGGCAGTCATTGTTTCTGCTTCAAAGGGGGGAGGAGAAGCAGGAGACTTTTCGTAGTTATTTCAAAGGGGAGGGGTGTGAATAGTGGTAAGTATATAATCATCAGGAGGGGAATTTATAAATATTATAAAACAAATTATAAATACTTATTATAAATTCAAATATTAGAACTATGAAAAATAAATTATAAATATAAAATTATATAAATGTTAAATATAATCAAATCATACTTTATTACAAATAAGTCATGATATAATTATACATAAATTATAACATTTAAAATATTGATATATTTTATTAAAATATATTATGAATATATAAATTATAAATACGATATGAATCAGCTAGAATATTTTAATATCCTGCTACTGAAAAAACTTATTTCTTAATTTGCAGGTTAGAATTAAAGAGAGGGAAAGATGTACTTCACAGCTGCTCCCCCAGAAGATACAATCACACAGAATTTCACACTTTTTTGCAGCCATAACTCCTTTTTGAATTGTAAGTTGTCAGAATCTCAGAAGAACCACATTGGTGTTATACAGATTTTGATATACTGAAAAAAGACATAAGTTGTGGTTTTCTCTAATTTTCTGTACATTATTTGCACAGTGTAGGTGGCCTTAAAGATTAAAGGGTTTTTTGTTTTTGTTTTTGATGAGAGTTAATTATAGCATTTTACAATCATTTGAGTTCTGTATAAAAGCCTTAATGAAAAATCGCTGGACAACAATGTAAAGCCCTTTAAAAACAAAGTTCCTTTCAGTGTAGGAAGGTCCTGATTTTTTTAATCTGTATTTACAGGAAGTAAAATAGCTCTGAAAGTTGAAAATATTTTCATAAGTCACTTGGCCACAAAACTTGCTCTGACCTGAACTCATTTGGCCATGAAACTTGACCTTAACTGACATGGGGCTATGATTAGTCTTTATTCGTCCCACTGTATGTAAATAATCATATATTTCTACACAGAGATATTAATGTATTTAATTACTGAAGCTGCCTTAGGACGCTGCAGAAATATTCTGAACATTGAAGCACCTCTGACTCCAAGGTTTCAGAAGAGGGATTATGAAGTTATATACTTTTCATTTTGAGTTCTGATATATTGCTCTTTCACATTTCCTTCTGAAAATAATTGGCGAAATGTTCAGAACTCCTTGATATGAGAATTCTGAAATAGAGTTCAAACTTTAAATCAGAATGAACTAGCACCATATTCCTGTTTTTTCAGTTCCTGTTGAAATTCACTATGTCGAAGTAAAATAGAAAAAGAGTTTTAATGATTAAGAAATAGGGTCTGGTTGAAGTATTGCATATTTCCATTCATTCCTTTTCATTCTCAGTTCTTTCCCAGCACTTAAAAATTTTATATTTTTGTTATATATTTTATGATTTATATTGGATGACATAATTGACATTTTTATCAACTTATTGATAAAAGGAAGTACATTTTTGTGGTCAAATTGTTCCTGGTTGAGACTGTGGACATAGGTAAAGTTTCAGCAGACCCAGACAGTAATTTCTCCGTTAGCAGATTTTTGGAAAACTTAATTTAAACACACAACAAAGGTGGAAAAATGACCAAAAGAGCTTCACTTTGTTTTTTGTTATTTCATGGTTGCTTATTAATTTACCTCAAAAGACAACGTTTGAAAAAAATTTTGATTTCTTTGTCTCAGAATAGATAAAGAGATGCCTTGGTAAATATATAAATAGTTTCTTTGTTAATGAATAACATAAGATGGAGAGATGACTGGAGAACTTCCCCAAAACCATATGAACCAAAAGCTCAAAACAGGCCCAGGTAACCACTGGTAGAATATCTTTCTTCTGTGACTTGAACATTTGTCTTCAATCAGATCTTCTGATTTTAACTCACATAGCCTGGGAATAGGGTAATTTCAATCCTGTTCCATTTCGTTGTTCTGTGTTTTTAGGAAGTCTGGGTTATGCATTTTTCTGCTTGGGTTAAAGAGATAAACACCTCAATTTTGGAAAAAAAAAACCAAACAAACAAAAACTATAGCACCTCATACAGAAAGGACTACCAAGGACCCAGATGCCTCAGGAATATCTTTTAGAGCCATCCACTGAGCAACCAACTGAAGCAGGTCAAGGTACCAGCCATGGGCCAAGGGAAGATGAAAGAGTTACTGAAGAAAAGAACTGATAAAAACTATAAACAATCAGTCACCGAAATGAGAACCATGGCATGTACCCATATTTTCTTGTCGTATCATGTAATGATAATACTTTCATAATAATTTATTTTTATCTCTTCCATTCCCCTAGTGTATACAGAATGTGTTGTGATGGTGACCTTCACAGATTTAGTCCAGAGGCAGCAGAAGACCAATATGGGATTGGAAGAAAACTTGGTTAAAAAAAAACAAAAAACAAAAACTTGGCCCCAAATTCCTGAATTCAGTGCTGTATGCAAAAAAAGAGAAACTCTTGAGTGGTTTCCTTTTGGGATAGAGTGAGTTTTAATTTATTCAGTTCCATTGAGGGATTTTTTACTTGAAAGTTTAAGCACATAAGAAGATTATGTGTAGGTATTAGAAAGACAAGTGGACATTTGTCATTCTTGGTGCCTATCACTGTTGTCCTGTCTGCCTAGTGCTGAAGTCCAAACTCAAAGTCCCAGTCCCTTGCCAGGAGGAGGTAAAGAATGGAGCCAGGTGCTGACAATCAGGAGCCTTGTGCTGTATTCCTTTCAGAAATGAGTCTTCTGGGAAACGAGCTCTGCTGGGGATCCCATTTTGCTGAAACAGGTGGCAGTGGAGCTGCTGGCTTTGGGCCTGGTAGCTTGAGGGTGGCCTGTGGAGTACATGACATAGGACTACATCCATCCAATGCCTGTCAGCTTCTAAGTGTCCAAAAAATGGTTGCTATTGATACCAGTAGTAGTAGCGGCAGCATATAATAAAGTTCCCTAATTCTGATGCATTTAAATTTAGACTAGATGACCACCCCAGATAGTATAGAGTACCTGTGTTACAGACTATGGGCTCTTAGATTCCCCAGGTAATAGAAATCAACACAAGCCAAGCATGTTTCCTCGATGAGGCTCTATTCTGGGGCTTGTGCAAGGGAAACAGCTGAGGTATAAGGATTTTCTAGCTAGCTCTCTGAAAACAGCCCCAGTAGGGAATTTTTATTAGGTGAAGAGTAGGAATTGACATCAGGGGTGGGGTTTGCAGGCTGCGTAAAGCATGGGAGCTGTAGGGTATGCAGGTCAGCACTTCTGGTTGCCATGGTTATCTTGAGTAAAGGGCAACCTGGTAGTCTGGCAGGTGGCAACAAGGCTGTAAATCAATTGTCCAACATTCCTTCCCAAGGTGGAACACTCCACAACCTTGGTTCAATATTGTGGATCTCCGAAGGACAGTTCCTGGAATTCTTTAAGTAAAAGGCATGGTTAAACATTATGAGAGCAAAGAAAAATGGCTATTTTCTTTGTATGACTAAACCCTTGGGGTTAGTGGGTACAGCATCAGCGAGGTAGTAGTCTGGGTTTTGTGGAGAGAGGAAAAAAAAAAAGAAAAAAATATCTGAAGGAGGAGCTGTGTCCCACTCCTGTCTCACTTGGACTAGGTCTTTGGTGCACGTGGGTTACTTTTTTGTTTTCCTTGCTCTCATTCCATAGCGTAGCTGTCCCTGCCCTATCTTCTGTGATTCTAGAGGGCCATCTATAAGGGCTCTGTCTTAGTTTGTTTGTGATGCTATAACACAGTACCACAGACTGGGTAATTTATAAAGAACAGAAATTTGTTACAAGTAATGGCAAAAACCACAATTATTTTGGCACCAATCTAATGTTTCTCCCAGTGCTGGATGCTGGGAAGCCTCAAATCAAGGTACTGACAGATTCCGTTGTCTGGGGGAAGGCTGCATCCTCAGAAGGGGAGGGGATCTGTCTTCACATAGCAGCAGAGCAGAAGAGAGCAAGCAGGAGATGAACAGCATGCAGCCTTGTTTGTAAGGCCTTAGTTCCACTGATGAGGGCAGAGCCCTCTTGAACAAATCATGTCTTAAAGCCACACCTCTTAATACCAACACATGGACAACATCAGAATTTTGGAAGAGACATATTCAAACAATAGCATTCTGCCCCAGCCCCCCAAATTTATATCCTTCTTATATACAAAATGCATTCTTTCTATCCCAGTAGCCCCCAAAAGTCTTAACTCATTCCAACATCAACTTTACAGTCTGAGTCCAAAGTCTAATCTAAATCAGATATCAGTGAGATTCCAGGCACAATTTATCCTGAGGTGAATTTCACTCCAGCTATGAGCCTGGGAAATAAAACAAGTGATTTGTTTCCAAAATACAGTGGTAAGGCATAGGATAGACATTCCATTCCAAAATGGAGCAACAGGAAAGAAGACAGGAGTAACAGACTCCAAGTAAGTTCAAAACCCAACAGGGCGAACAACATTAAATCTTCAGTTTCAAGAACAATACTTTTACTGCCTTCCAGACACACTGGGGCAGAGGTTGGGCCCTTAAGGCCTTAGACAGCCCTCACAGCCCCCTCACAGCTTTGCTGGGCACAGCCCACGCAGCAGCTCTCACTGGTTGGAGTCAGGTGCCTGCAGCAATCCCAAGCTGGTATCGCATGCTGGTAGCTCTACATACACTTATGGGGTGTTGGGGGTGACCCTGCCCCTATGGTTCCACTAAGCATTGCCTTAGTAGGGGTCTTTCTGCAGTGGCCCGCTCCTGAGGCAAGTCTCTGCCTGAGCCCTGAGGCTGTCAACATCCTTTGAAATCTAGGTGGAGGAAGCCATACCTCTAAAGCACCTCTACCCTACAAGCCTGTGAAGTTAGTACCATGTGGACACCACCAACACTCATCACTTATACCTTCTAGAGTGATGGCCCAAGTCACACCTTCACCTATCTGTGCCACAGCTGGGGCAGCCAAGACTGCTCTGAGCCTGAGCAGCAAGCCTCAAGAGGTAGGGCTTTCAAGAGGTGATTAGGTCATGAGGACTCCTCCCTGGTGAATGAGATTAAAGCCCTTGGGAATGGGACATCGCAAAGCATTCCTCTCATTCACTCTTCTGTCATATGAGGACACAGCAATCCTCCCATCAGAGATGCATCCTTCCCCAGACACCAAACCTACCTGTGCCTTGATCTTGGACTTCCAGCCTCCAGAGCTGAGAGAAATAAATTTCTGTTCTCTGTAAATTACCCTTTAAATTGTTTTGGCCTTGAGGTCCTGTCACTCTGGGACTGTGAAGGGAAGGACAGCCTCTCTGTGTTATTCTCTCATTATCTTGATGAATAAGCACCTGGCTTCCTTCTAGCCATACTAATCTTCTTAACAAATGGTCTCTTTACACACTCTGTTTTTTCTACTAAACACGCTTCTTTATTCTTTTTACATGGCCAGGCTGCAAAATTTCCAAATCTTTATATCCTGCTTCTCTTTGAATTACAATTTTCACCTCTAAATCATTTATCTCTTCTCACATTTTACTATCAGCAATCAAGAGAAACCACACAGCCCCCTCACTACTTGGCTGTTGAGAGATTTCTTCTTGCAGATATCCTAGTTCGTCCCTCTTATGTTCTGCCTTTCACAAAGTCCTAGGTCATGGACGTAATTCTCTGTTGCTTTGTAACAAGGATGGCCTTTCATCCAGTTTCCAAAACCTTTTTCCTCATTTCTACCTGAGACCTCATCAGAAATGTCTTCACTGTCCATATTTCTACCAACATTCTGTTCACAACCACTTAGATAATTTCTGGAAAGACTGAGGCTTTCCCTATGGCTTTCCTCTTCTTCTGAGTGCTCATTAGAATTGCCCTCAATGATCCCTTCATGGAAACACAGACTCACTCTATTTTCCAGCACTCACTTCAAAACTCTCCCAGTCTCTACCCATGACCTAGTTCCAAAGCTGCTTCTACATTGTCAGGTATTTGTTATAGCAACACCCCACTTCTCTTGTTCCAATTTATGTCTTAGTTCATTTGTGTTGCTATAACAGAATACCACAGACTGGGTAATTTACAGAGAACAGAAATTTATTTCTCTCAGCTCTGGAGGCTGGAAGTCCAAGATCAAGGCACTGGTAGGTTTGGTGTCTGGGGAAGGATGCATCTCTGATGGGAGGATTGCTGTGTCCTCATATGACAGAAGAGTGAATGAGAGGAATGCTTTGCAATGTCCCATTCCCAAGGGCTTTAATCTCATTCATGAGGGAGGAGTCCTCATGACCTAATCACCTCTTGAAAGCCCTACCTCTTAATACTGTGATTTCCCCCAGGGGTGGGCATTTGATCCAACAGAGCTAAATTTGGGATTGATGTAGCTGCTGGGGGAGCAGAAAGGAGGTCATTTCTGAGATAATCACCCCTTATGATTATCAAGCTACTGTGACTGTCATTGTACACAGGCAGAGAGCCTAACCTGGCTTAGATGAGAACAAGCAGAAGTTAATAGAGCTAAGAAATGAAAACAGAGAGGAAGAGAGAAAGGGAGAGACTCAGTGGGGTATCTTGGGAACAGGCTGATCAAGCTATGGCTTGATCCTAAAGTTAACAGACTTCCCAGTGATGTGAGCCAACAAACTCCATTTTGATTTAAGCTATTTTGTACTAAATTTCTGTCCTTTGCAACAGGGAAAGTCTGCCTGAAAGAACAAACATGGGCCGTGCGCGGTGGCTCATGCCTGTAATCCCTGTACTTTGGGAGGCTGAGGCAGGTGGATCACAAAGTCAGGAGTTCGAGACCATCCTGGCTAACACGGTGAAAACCCGTCTCTACTAAAAACACAAAAATTTAGCCAGGCATGGTGGCGGGCGCCTGTAGTCCCAGCTACTCTGAAGGCTGAGGCAGGAGAATGGCATGAAGCCGGGAGGTGGAGCTTACGGTGAGCTGAGATCATGCCACTGCACTCCAGCCTGAGTGACAGAGCGAGACTCTGTCTCAAAAAAAAAAAAAAAAAAAAAAAAGAACAACCATGGTGTTTTAAAATCCTTAGATACTGAGAGTTTCTGAATATTTTTCCCTTTTCTTAAGCACCAAGTCATATCCAGACCCATATTGTACTCTGTAAATACTTCATTTTCTTAAATAGAACTTCTGAAAATAGTTTTAAAAAATATGTAATTACTGGGGATTCTAAGATGGCCGAATAGAACAGCTCCAGTCTATAGCTCCCAGCATGAGTGACACAGAAGACAGGTGATTTCTGCATTTCCAACTGAGGTACTGGGTTCATCTCACTGGGGCTTGTTGGACAGTGGGGGCCGGACAGTGGGTGCAGCCCACTGAGCTTGAGCCAAAGCAGAGCAAGGCATTGCCTCACCTGGGAAGCGCAAGGGGTCAGCGAATTCCCTTTCCTAACCAAGGGAAGCAGTGACGGACAGCACCTGGAAAATCGGGTTACTCCCATGCTAATACTGAGCTTTTCCAGTGGTCGTAGCAAACGGCACACCAGGAGATTATATCCCACACCTGGCTCAGAGGGTCCCATGCCCACAGAGCCTTGCTCACTGCTAGCACAGCAGTCTGAGATCGATCTGCAAGGCAGCAGCAAGGGTGGGGGAGGGATGCCTGCCATTGCTGAGGCTTGAGTGGGTAAACAAAGTGGCCAGGAAGCTCGAACTTGGTGGAGCCCACTGCAGCTCAAGGAGGCCTGCCTGCCTCTGTAAACTCCACCTCTGGGGGCAGGGCATAGCCGAACAAAAGGCAGCAGAAACCTCTGCAGACTTAAATGTCCTTGTCTGACAGCTTTGAAGTGAGCAATGGTTCTTCCAGCACGGAATTTGAGATCTGAGAATGGACAGACTGCCGCCTCAAGTGGGTCCCTGACCCCCGAGTAGCCTAACTGGGAGGCACCCTCTAGTAGGGGCTGACTGACACCTCACACGGCCAGGTACCCCTCTGAGACGAAGCTTCCAGAGGAACAATCAGGCAGCAGCATTTGCTGTTCAGCAATATTCGCTGTTCTGCAGCCTCTGCTGCTGATACCCAGGCAAACAGGGTCTGGAGTGGACCTCCAGCAAACTCCAACAGACCTGCAGCTGAGGGTCCTGACTGTTAGAAGGAAAACTAACAAACAGAAAGGACATCCACACCAAAACCCCATCTGTACGTCACCATCATCAAAGACCAAAGGTAGATAAAACCACAAAAATGGGGAAAAAACAGAGCAGAAAAGCTGAAAATTCTAAAAATCAGAGTGCCTTTCCCCCTCCAAAGGAACACAGCTCCTCAGCAGCAACGGAACAAAGCTGGATGGAGAATGACTTTGACGAGTTGAGAGAAGAAGGCTTCAGAAGATCAAACTTCTCTGAGCTAAAGGAGGAAGTTCGAACCCATCGTAAAGAAGCTAAAAACCTTGAAAAAAGATTAGACGAATGGCTAACTAGAAAACCAATGTATAGAAGTCCTTAAATGACCTGATGGAGCTGAAAAACATGGCACGAGAACTACATGATGAATGTACAAGCTTCAGTAGCCGATTCGATCAACTGGAAGAAAGGGTATCAGTGATTGAAGATCAAATGAATGAAATGAAGCAAGAAGAGAAGTTTAGAGAAAAAAGAGCAAAAAGAAACGAACAAAGCCTTCAAGAAATATGGGACTATGTGAAGAGGCCAAATCTACGTCTGATTGGTGTACCTGAAAGTGATGGGGAGAATGGAACCAAGTTGGAAAACACTCTGCAGGATATTATCCGGGAGAACTTCCCCAACCTAGCAAGGCAGGCCAAACATTCCAATTCAGGAAATACAGAGAATGCCACAAAGATACTCCTCGAGAAGAGCAACTCCAAGACACATAATTGTCAGATTCACCAAAGTTGAAATGAAGGGAAAAATGTTAAGGACTGCCAGAGAGAAAGGTCAGGTTACCCACAAAGGGAAGCCCATCAGACTAACAGCAGATCTCTCCACAGAAACTCCACAAGCCAGAAGAGAGTGGGGGCCAATATTCAACATTCTTAAAGAAAAGAATTTTCAACTCAGAACTTCATATCCAGCCAAATTAAGCTTCATAAGTGAAGGAGAAATAAAATCCTTAAAGACAAACAAATGCTGAGAGACTTTGCCACCACCAGGCCTGCATTACAAGAGCTCCTGAAGGAAGCACTAAAACTGGAAAGGAACAACCAGTACCAGCCACTGCAAAAACATGCCAAATTGTAAAGACCATCGATTCTAGGAAGAAACTGCATCAACTAACGAGCAAAATAACCAGCTAACATAGGAATGACAGGATCAAATTCACACATAACAATATTAACCTTAAATGTAAATGGGCTAAATGCTCCAATTAAAAGACACAGACTGGCAAATTGGATAAAGAGTCAAGACCCATCAGTGTGCTGTATTCAGGAGACCCATCTCACATGCAGAGACAAACATAGGCTCAAAATAAAGGGATGGAGGAAGATCTACCAAGCAAATGGAAAACAAGAAAAGGCAGGGGTTGCAATCTTAGTCTCTGATAAAACAAACTTTAAACCAACAAAGATCAAAAGAGACAAAGAAGGCCATTACATAATGGTAAAGGGATCAATTCAACAAGAACAGCTAACTATCCTAAACATATATGCACCCAATACAGGAGCACCCAGATTCATAAAGCAAGTCCGTAGAGACCTACAAAGAGACTTAGACTCCCACACAGTAATAATGGGAGACTTTAACACCCCACTGTCAACATTAGACAGATCAACAACACAGAAAGTTAACAAGGATATCCAGGAATTGATCTCAGCTCTGCACCAAGTGGACCTAATAGACATCTACAGAACTCTCCACCTCAAATCAACAGAATATACATTCTTCTCAGTCCCACATCACATTTATTCCAAAATTGACCACATAGTTGGAAGTAAAGCACTCCTCAGCAAATGTAAAAGAACAGAAATTATAACAAACTGTCTCTCAGACCACCGTGCAATCAAACTAGATCTCAGGATTAAGAAACTCACTCAAAACCGCTCAACTACATGGAAAATGAACAACCTGCTCCTGAATGACTACTGGGTACATAACGAAATGAAGGCAGAAATAAAGATGTTCTTTGAAACGAATGAGAACAAAGACACAACATACCAGAATCTCTGGGACACATTTAAAGCAGTGTGTAGAGGGAAATTTATAGCACTAAATGCCCACAAGAGAAAGCAGGAAAGCAACAAAATTGATAGACTGCTAGCAAGACTAATAAAGAAGAAAAGAGAGAAGAATCATATAGATGCAATAAAAAAATGATAAAGGGGATATCACCACTGATCCCACAGAAATAGAAACTATCATCAGAGAATACTATAAACAACTCTATGCAAATAAACTAGAAAATCTAGAAGAAACGGATAAATTCCTGGACACATACACCCTCCCAAGACTAAACCAGAAAGAAGTTGAATCCCTGAATAGACCAATAACAGGCTCTGAAATTGAGGCAATAATTAATAGCCTACCAACCAAAAAGAGTCCAGGACCAGACAGATTCACAGCCGAATTCTACCACAGGTACAAGGAGGAGCTGGTACCATTCCTTCTGAAACTATTCCAATCAATAGAAAAAGAGGGAATCCTCCCTAACTCATTTTATGAGGCCAGCATCATCCTGATACCAAAGCCTGACAGAGACACAACAAAAAAAGAGAATTTTAGACCAATATCCCTGACGAACATTGATGGAAAAATCCTCAATAAAATACTGGCAAACCAAATCCAGCAACACATCAAAAAGCTTATCCACCATGAACAAGTGGGCTTCATCCCTGGGATGCAAGGCTGGTTCAACATATGAAAATCAATAAACGCAATCCAGCATATAAACAGAACCAAAGACAAAAACCACATGATTATCTCAATAGATGCAGAAAAGGCCTTTGACAAAATTCAACAACACTTCATGCTAAAAACTCTCAATAAATTAGGTATTGATGGGATGTATCTCAAAATAATAAGAGCTATCTATGACAAACCCACAGCCAATATCATACTGAATGGACAAAAACTGGAAGCATTCCCTTCGAAAACTGGCACAAGACAGGTATGCCCTCTCTCACCACTCCTATTCAACATAGTGTTGGAAGTTCTGGCCAGGGCAATCAGGCAAGAGAAAGAAAGAAAGGGTATTCAATTAGGAAAAGAGGAAGTCAAATTGTCCCTGTTTGCAGATGACATGATTGTATATTTAGAAAACCCCATCGTCTCAGCCCAAAATCTCCTTAAGCTGATAAGCAACTTCAGCAAAGTCTCAGGATACAAAATCAATGTGCAAAAATCACAAGCATTCTTATACACCAATAGCAGACAAACAGAGAGCCAAATCATGAGTGAACTCCCATTCACAATTGCTTGAAAGGGAATAAAATACCTAGGAATCCAACTTACAAGGGATGTGAAGGACCTCTTCAAGGAGAACTACAAACCACTGCTCAACAAAATAAAAGAGGACACAATACAAATGGAAGAACATATCCATGCTATGGATAGGAAGAATCAATATCGTGAAAATGGCCGTACTATCCAAGGTAATTTATAGATGCAATGCCATCCCCATCAAGCTACCAATGACTTTCTTCACAGAATTGGAAAAAACTACTTTAAAGTTCATATGGAATGAAAAAAGGACCCGAATTGCCAAGGCAATCCTAAGCCAAAAGAACAAAGCTGGAGGCATCACGCTACCTGACTTCAAACTATACTACAAGGCTATAGGAACCAAAACAGCATGGTACTGGTACCAAAACAGAGATACAGACCAATGGAACAGAACAGAGCCCTCAGAAATAATACCACACCTCTACATCCATCTGATCTTTGACAAACCTGACAAAAACAAGAAATGGGGAAAGGATTCCCTATTTAATAAATGGTGCTGGGAAGACTGGCTAGCCATATGTAGAAAGTTGAAACTGGATCCCTTCCTTACACCTTATACAAAAATTAATTCAAGATGGATTAAAGACTTAAATGTTAGACCTAAAACCATAAAAACCTTAGAAGAAAACCTAGGCAATACCATTCAGGACATAGGCATGGGCAAGGACTTCATGTCTAAAACACCGAAAGCAATGGCAACAAAAGCCAAAACAGACAAAGGGGATTTAGTTAAACTAAAGAGCTTCTGCACAGCAAAAGAAACTACCAACAGAGTGAACAGGCAACCTACAGAATGGGAGAAAATTTTTGCAATCTACTCATCTGACAAAGGGATAATATCCAGAATCTACAAAGAACTCTAACAAATCTACAAGAAAAAAACAAACAACCCCATCAACAAGTGGGCAAAGGATATGAACAGACACTTCTCAAAAGAAGACATTTATGCAGCCAACAGACACATGAGAAAATGCTCATCATCACTGGCCATCAGAGAAATGCAAATCAAAACCACAATGAGATACCAACTCACACCAGTTAGAATGGTGACCATTAAAAAGTCAGGAAACAACAGGTGCTGGAGAGGATGTGGAGAAATAGGAACACTTTTACACTGTTGGTGGGACTGTAAACTAGTTCAACCATTGTGGAATACAGTGTGACCATTACTCAAGGATCTAGAACTAGAAATACCATTTGACTCAGCCATCCCATTACTGAGTATATACCCAAAGGATTATAAATCATGCTGCTATAAAGACACAGGCACATGTATATTTATTGCAGCACTATTCACAATAGCAAAGACTTGGAACCAACCCAAATGTCCATCAGTGATAGACTGGATTAAGCAAATGTGGCACATAGACACCATGGAATACTATGCAGCCATAAAAAAGGATGAGTTCATGTCCTTTGTAGGGACATGGATGAAGCTGGAAACCATCATTCTCAGCAAACTATTGCAAGGACAAAAAACCAAACACCGCATGTTCTCACTCATAGGTGGGAATTGAACAATGAGAACACATGGACACAGGAAGGGGAACATCACACACCAGGGCCTGTCATGGGGTGGAGGAATGGGGGAGGGATAGCATTAGGAGATATACCTAATGTAAATGACGAGTTAATGGGTGCAGCACACCAACGTGGCACATGTATACATATGTAACAAACCTGCACATTGTGCACATGTACCCTAGAACTTAAAGTATAATAATAAAAAAAATGTAATTAAGCAAGAATAAAGAAAGACTTCTTGTATGGGTCAAAAATAGAAGATTGAAGTGTAACATGTTGCACACTCCAACAAAAATCAACCTTATGATGATTGATTTCTTGGAGGGCCCCACTGTCACATGGCACTTCCCACCCTTATCACCAGAGAAACAATCACGTGGGTCCCACTGTCCATCTTTTACTACTGGTGAGGTTCTTTAACTTTATGAATTAAAAAAACTGAGAATAACTGAACTCACAGTATGGAATAAGAAATTCTTTATAAAGAACAGTTTGAAAAACTCATTTTAAAATAAAAAGATCTATTTGTTTAAAAAATAATTTTGTTCTTAACCAGATTTGCATTCATCTTCTGTCAGCCCATTCCTGAGCTCCTGATCATTCTTGACCCATTGTTTACAGTACTATTAAAGGGTGATCTAATTTTATTTAGTCTTCACAACACCCTCTCATACACAAAGGGAAAGAGAGGCTAGGCTTTAAGAGGTTAAGAAACTAGCCTAAGTTTCCATCATTTTTAAGTATGGAGCCAGGGCCAGGCTATCTGTCTCTAAAAATCTCTTTGTTTTTTTTTTTTTTTTCTATTATCCTGAGCTGTCTCTAAAATGTTCACTACTGATGTGAGAATCACACAATGAAAAGTCTGTCTGTGGGGAAAATGTAGAGGAAAACATTTTGATGGAGACATGCAGAGATACACTGGAGCTAGCACACAGCAGCTCACAAGAGCTGATTATATGTATCTCTTCCCAACTCTGTGTTCAGTGATGTCATGTTAGTAGTTTTGTAGCAGGACGAGCCACAGACAAAACTCCTCAGACACTGAGTTAAAGAAGGCAGGGGTTTATTCGGCTGGGGGCATCGGTAAGACTCCTGTCTCAAGAGCCAAGCTCCCCAAGTGAGCAATTTCTGTCCCTTTCAAGGGCTCACAACTCTAAGGGGGTGTGCGTGAGAGGGTCGTGATCGATTGAGCAAGCAGGGGGTACGTGACTGGGGGCTGCATGCACCAGTGATTAGATTGGAACAAAACAGGAGAGGGATTTTCACAGTGCTTTTCTGTACAATGTCTGTAATCTATAGATAACATAACCGATTAGGTCAGGGGTCGATCTTTAACTACCAGGCCCAGGGTGTGGCGCCGGGCTGTCTGCTTGTGGATTTCATTTCTGCCTTTTAGTTTTTACTTTTTCTTTCTTTGGAGGCAGAAATTGGGCATAAGGCATATGAGGGGTGGTCTCCTCCCTTAATTTGAAACCAGATACAGTAGGAGTATTTACACCACAGAAGTTGGCAGATGCCATGAATCAGGGCTTTTATTTGGAAAGCCAATTGTTTAAGTTTTCACAGCACACCATTACCTGCAGCGAATAAACATGATAGCTCATTTTTGTTTTTCAAGAATTTGTGGGAAAAAGATATATATATATATTTGTGTGTGTGTATATATGTACACACACATACACACATATACACACATACACACACATACACAAAACTATATGTATATATATGTATGTGAGTGTGTGTATATATATATATACACATATATAAATATCAGGAAAAACACAATTCCATGCTCACAAATAGGAGCATGGACATTGTAAAAATGTCCATACTACCCGAAGCAATTTATAGATTCAATGCTATTCCTATCAAACTACCAATGACATTTTTCATAGAATTAGAAAAAAACTATCCTAAAATTCACGTGGAACAAAAGAAGAGCCATAGTAGCCAAAGCAATCCTAAGCAAGAAGAACAAAAACAAAGGTATCACACTACCCATCTTCAAATGATACTATAATTCTACAGTAACCAAAACATCATGGTTCTGGTATAAAAACAGACACATAGACCAATGGAATAGATTAGAGAACGCAGAAATAAAGCTGCACACCTACAACCACCTGATCTTCAACAAAGCTGACAATAACAAATAACAAGCAACGAGGAAAGGACTCCCTATTCAATAAATGTTGCTGGGATAACTGGATAGCCGTATGCAGAAGATTGAAACTGCACTCCTACTTTTCCCCACAGACAAAAATTAACTTAAGATGGATTAAGGACTTAAATGTAAAACCTAGAACTATAAAAACCCTGGAAGAAAACCTACGAAATACCATTGTGGACATAGGCATTGGCAAAGATTTCATGATGAAGACTCCAAAGCAATTGCAGCAAAAACAAAAACTGACAGGGGGGACCAAATTAAACTAAAGATATCCTGCACAGCAAAGAAAAGTATCAACAGAGTAAACAGACACCCTACAGAATAGGAGAAAATATTTTCAAGCTATGCATTTGACAAAGGTCTGATATCCAGAATCTATGAGGAACTTAAACAAATTAGCAAGCAAAAAACAACCCATTACAAAAACCAACAAAGGACATGAACAGACACTTCACAAATGATTCAGATTTGTTTCAAACGAATTCACCTCCACTCAATCAGATGATTTAGACTTATCAAATTGAAGACATAAATAGAATTCTAATTAAGGCAACTAAGATCATTTAAGAAACTAACATCAAGGAAGTATTCCTTTTCCAGCTAAATTTTGAGAAGAAAGCCAAATTCAGAAAGAGGTATTTCGAGACTTTGAATTTTTTTTAACTGGTAAATGTGTTTCAGAGGTGAGGATATCAGTTGTTTAATGAGGCATCATGGTGTTTCAATCCTCTCCAGAAATGGGTAGTGGAAATGGAGATCTGAACCATAGCAGCCGTTAAGTTCCAGCACTTGAGACTCTTGTTAGCACATGCCGACTTTTCACTTGGAAATTATTGTTACTTTCTCACTAACCTCCCAGATCGGTGCACCAAGTTACAGTGGAGACAAGTTGCTGAGACGATGCTTCACTCTAACTGACAAAAAAGTGATATGAAGGTCATATTTTTCAGGGAAAATGTCAGGTGGAAAGACGTTGGGTGAGAAATGAACAATTAGGATGACAGAGATATCTCATCACTGACAATAGCTTAATACAAAAATACCTTCCTGCCATCAGCACTTTCACTTTTATAAAGAGGCTGAAACACCCTAGTTTGTTTAGAAAGCCATCGAATGGCTCAATTTTAGAGTTTAAAATTTACATTTAGATTTCAATTCAGATTTACAGCTTAAATTTCCTTTGTTGTACAAATGTAATTTTTTTCTTTTCTTTAGCATGATAAAAATATGGAAAGGGAAATATAAAGTGAATTGAATATTAAAATAGCCAACATATCTGGAAGCCTATATTGAGTATCAACTTTGTGTGAGATTTTGTGATACTAACAGTTTATTAGAGGGAAAAATATATGTACCATATGGACAAATAGATATTAATATGGGAGAGTAAATGATGAGAGTCAGAAGAGTGAGAGATGTATGTTCTGTAAGTGATCACAAAAAAAGAGAAGTCACTTCTGAGCTGTGATAGAAGATCACAAGAACAAAATGGGATATATATCAGACCCTAATACCCTGTTTGGGTACAACAAAAGTGTAAATACTTCAGATAATAAATTAGAGATGTGAATACAGTACTGACCATAGTCTCTCTGTATCAAAGTTATCTGAGAATGAGTTAGGGGAACTGAAAGCAGAAATTCTGCATTCCAGAAACATACTGGCCACATGAGCCCCAGAAGTGAGGGCTGAGCTATGGCAAACAGGGCCAGGGGAAAGGGTACTGGCCTGAGAGAGAGAGCCCCTAGGTCCTGTCCTGCCTGTGTCAGCAACTTTCTGTAACCTCATTTGTTTCTCTTAGTTGTAATATCAGCCAGTTGGAGTATGGAAGCCTAAGGATCTTTTCCCCCTCTTCAATTCTGTGGTAATTCCCAGAACCACAAGGCCTTCTGCATTGTCACCACCCAAGCACACTAGCTGCTTTGTCCCTTTGGTCATGGTTCTCATGTTAGAACATATACTCCTCAAACAGCCGGTTTACACCATGGACTGTTGCATGCCATGCCATTTTTGCTGCCAATTCCAAAAATGGAGGGCAGATGCTATGGTGCCTTAAGAGTGATATGCATGTGGTTCTCAATCTTGACTCCTCATAAGAATCTCCAGGGGAGCTTCAGAAGTACAGATATCCCCCAACTAGGGGTTCTTATTTAGTTGATCTCATATGTAGCCAGAGTATGAAAACTTTTCAAAGCTTCCCCAGCCCCCGCTAGTGAAATCTACTGTGCCACTTGTGCTGAGAACTGCTGCATTAAGGACATTTTCAGATCGTTGTTAACAGTACTAATTTTATAAATCACATCTTGCTGTCTGGCAAAACTAAATGCAGTTTCCTAATTTGTCTATGTGAGTCTAAAGGAAGTACAGGGTCTATCTTTTGTGGCTGGTGACAGGGCCCTGTTAAGCTTGTCATCTCTCCCAACCCTACCCTCCCAAAACCAGAACCATTATGTCAAATCCCTGCTTGGAGTATAGGCATGGGAATGAGGCTCTTCCTTCTTTTTCAAGCTAGTTATGGGTCACCTGCATCTGAATCACCAGCAAAACTTATTATAAATAAGGATTATCTACTATATATGGGAGAAGCCCAGGAATCCATCCACAACTTCACATTTAATGCTTTTAATAATAGATGAAAACTAAAACTATAATGATGAAACCCAAAAGGAAAAGCCATAATATATAACTTGATAATAATATCTAAAGTTAAAGGTTTAGGAAATACCAGGAGGCCAATATTTAAAACAAGAGCTAAAGAGCTTCATAATTCACTAAACATGGCTACTGCAATTTTTAAATGCTGTCATTTAAGAAAGACTGCCTAGAAAAAGCAGGGAAAATGGAAATCTTGGAATTGATTATTGCAAAATGAAAAGCATATGGTGTGCAACTGTACAAATTTGGCACCCTTGTCCAAAGTAAATGCTGTCTAAATATAATAATTGCATATCACTCCAAGCCATAATAAAAGTGACTTTGACCACATGGCCAAGTTAAAAGAGCATTCTTTGGAGTAAATTATTCTTTATTTACAATGTATATTGTTGTCTTTTAAAAGAAAAATGCTATTTTGCTCTAACATGTCTTCAATCACATTGCCAAGTTAAATACTTTAGCTTTGGGATAAAATTAATATGGCCAGGAGTGTAGAGAAGTCGAGTGAGAGTATTGAATTCCACCTATGGTCTTCCTAATGCTGTTTCAGTGATGCAAAGTAGAGAAGTTACTGTTGAAGGTACTAAATCATTCTCTTCTTGGGGAGAGATTTAGGAAGTCCAGAGGAGGCAGGATTTCTCCCCCTGTGTGTCTGCGCTGGCCATGAAGTAAAAACTAGCCAAAAGTAGACCATTATGCAAATCATTTGGGGGTATCTATTGTGGCAACAAAAGCTACTCTCAAAATGTGTGGCCTGAAACAATAACCATTTTATTTTATGTCTCTTGATTTTGTAGGTCTTTTGGGCAAAGCTGGTCCAGGAGATTCTTCTGATCCATGGGACATCAGTGGGTCATTTTGTGGTACTTAGCTAGTGGCTAGTCCGGTCTGAAGGGTCCAACTGACCTCTTCACATACCTGGCACCTTGGCGGGGACCCTGGAAGGCTGAGCTCAGCCTTTTCTTCCTCATCCAGTCTCAGGACCTCTCCCGTGGGTGGGTGAACTTAAAACGGCAGGTCAGGACTCCAAGAGGCTAAGGCAGAAGCTGCTACTTCTCTGAAAGACTAGGTCCCAAATGGCTGTTGCTTCTGCCATATTCCACTGGTCAAAGGAGTCACAGGCCAGCCTGGATTTTAAGGATGGGGAAATAGATCCCATTTTTCCATGAGAAGAGTGTCGAGAGTCTTTAGTGAACCATAGCCTGCCCTCTGGCCACGAATTATTTAGCTTCTTCCCAGAAGACCCTCAAAGTCTCACCCCATTATGGCATTGGTTCAGAGTCCAGGATCTCATTTTTCTAAGTAAGAGCCTCATCTCAATGCTCCTAGATTCTGGTGACTCCAATTCTTCCTTTGAGCTCCCTGAGCTATAATATAACATGGCACTGCCTTCTACAGTTATTCATCTCTGAGTGACCTCAGCATGCTTGTTTTGCCCTCTCAACCTGCCAATATTTCTGTAACCAATTCCCTGTGTTAAATCCCCTTTGTGTGACGTATCATGATTTCTATTTTTCTGATTAGACCTCGATGGATACAGATACTAAACCAAGATGCTTGCTCTATGTGTGTCTTGGCTTTAGGAGCAACGTGTTTTTACCTGACCATCCAAAAGATGGAGAAATGTGTTGTTGGCTACCCATCTATTTTGCCCGTAGAGATGCCGTGTTATTTTAACAGTCTCTAAAGCTCTCTGCAGGTCAAGCTCCCTGGCTGCCACTCTGACCTTGCCACTCATTATAATCGTGCCCAGCTTGCTTCTGATGATGAAGCAGCTCCTTTGCCTCTGTTATTTCAAGATCCTATTAGTGGATGTGGCATCACTTGGAAGTAGAATTTCTGACCCCAAAGCAGTTCTTCTGAATCAGAATCTGCATTTTAACAATATACTCAAGTGATTTGTATGCATTATAAGTTTGAGAAGCCCTGATTTGCCTCAAATTTTGATTTCAACCCCAGCCTTATAAACCAAAACACGATTGCTCTTCTGGTCAAAGGCTATGGTTTTAAAACTAGGCTCTCTCCTGACATCGATCAACCCAGCCATTATAGTTCAGCAGGCCGGGCCTAAAATGTTTACCCTGATATTTTCATTAATAGAACTGGAGAAATACACCAGCAAAATTGAGAATTGTGTTTATTTAACCAAATCACACAAATGCACAGCCCCTTGCCTTGATTATAATTAGTAAATGGAAAAATTTTTGTATTTTCACAAGTATGTTTCATTTTTAAACACCATTTTATACCAAGGAAAAAGCCACCACTTTTACCAATGAGATCAAGAAAGTAAACAAAAATGTCATTTAAGCATTTGTTAATTGACAGACTGTGCTGGTTAACACAGTGGTCATTAATTGCCTTTGGTGTAATTTTAGCATGCACAAGCATAAGGTTTGCTGGACCAGCTGCCAAAGAGGACATTGGTGAAGAGAAAGAAAGCTAGACCCAGTAATAGTAGAGGCTGATAAAACTGACAAAGCTGCAAAGGTGCATCTGTGGGTTAAGTCAAGAAGTCCTACATGTGATGTCAGGGAGCATGGCAACCCTTTAGAGGACACTTTGGCCATATCTGTAAAACTTTTAAATCCATGTACCATTTGACCCAGAATTTCCATTTGTATCAGTCAGGATTGCACTTGGTTGTGTGCACCTACAACCCGATTAGAGACTTAACCAAATAGAGCTTTATTTTTGTCTTAAGAAGGGACTTGGAATAAGGTATCCATTTGTGCTAAGCGTGTGACTTTTATTGCCTTTCCCAGGCAAATTCCAGGGTAAAGGAGAAAGGGCAAAGGGCAAAAGAGTCATGTCCAGCTGAGCCTGTCATGTAAAACAAGCTCCCTCAGAAGGGAAAATCTGTCACATCCACTTACATCTCATCACTTTGTCACTTGGATGCTTTGTTACCTAGCACTCCAAGTGCAAAGTCCAGGAAGCTGAGCATTGGAAGCATGACACCAAGAACAAAATTGGGGTTTTCTCAGCAGAGAAGAAGGGGAAAGTGGACACTGGGCAGGTAGCCAGCTGTGGCTGCCATATTCCCTGTAGAATGCATCCTTCAGATTTACTCCCAGAAGTACACAGTGATATATGCGAAGATATTCCTGGCAGCAAAAATCTAGCAATAATCTCAATGATCATTAATTGAAGACAAATTAAGCAAATTATTAATTTATAATTTGAAAAGTTATGCAGCAGTTAAAAGGAATGAAGTATATCTATGTGGAATGGTGTTTAAAATGCTATTAAGTGGAAAAAGCTGAACTATATAGAAGGATATATATATGCATAGGTGTATATAACTATATAGAAGGGTATATATAGATGTATAGAAATATATATATGTAAAGTGATTTTATTTGAGAAAAGGGAAAGAGAATGAGGGAAAGAGAGTTAGATATAGTTAATATATGTAGATAGACTTATTAATTTTTTATATAATATACAATAGATTATAAATAAAATTTATCTCTGGAGTGTGGATATGGGAAATGAGGTTAGGTGTAGGCTTTTACATCCTTTGATACTGATTTAACTTCTTATCATGAACATGTATTACTTTTGAAATAAATAAATTAATAAGCATTAGTATCAGGATACAAGAAAAAAGACACAAAAATAATTCAAAGTGTTTTAATAAGTACATTTACCATTCACTTCCCTTTTACTATCAAACCACTCCTCCTTGTTTTATGAACATGGTGGCATTCTACTCTGGGTACCTTCCATTGTATCCTATCATTCAAGCTGTTCTCTTGAGCTTTTTAACCTTAGCCCTCCACTTGATTCTCAGTTCCACATCTTCTCCTGGCCCTGGTGCTCTTTGCAACTTCCAGTGAGGAATCTCCTCTTCTCTTCTAGTCCTAGTGGAATCTTCTGATGCATTGCCTCAATTTTTCTCCCCACTACTCCCACCCCAGTAAGGGATGGGTTTTTAGATATAGAGTTCAGTTGGGAAAGTTTAATTCTGCTCTAAAGAAATTTGACATTTTTTTTGAAACCACTCTCTTGAGTTGATAAACTAACCAAAAGAAAGGGACAAGGGATAAAAGTAGTATTGGCCACTAAGGTCCAGATATATACGTGTATGTGTGTGTGTGTGTTTGTATGTGTGTACTCAATTTGAACCTCACAATAATCTTATGAAGATGATATAATTATCTGCATTTTAATAATCAAGGACACTGGGGCTTAGAGAAGACAAATAATTCCCTAGATCACCTAGTTAGTTAATGATAGTACTAGAATTCACATTTAGAACATACTTCAAAGGCTGCTATATTTTAACTACAGTAAAGCGTTCATAATGTCTGCGAGCTTTTTTTGTTTTGCTTTTCTTTGATTTTGGCTGGTGAGGAAGGCTGGAAGCCAAAAGATAGGAATCAGGTAAGCTACTGTCCTTTAGGGCAAGAATATAAATTTCCAAAAGACAAAATGAGAAATAAGTTAGAACCTGGAGTTAACCTAGCATTCAACCACTATTTCTTCAAATATATGTTCTCTCTTTCCTCTTTTTCTGAGATTCCTATGATGCATCTGGTATGCTTTATGATTATTCCACAGACCTTTGAGGCTCTGTTCATTTTTCTTTATTTTTCTTTCCGTTCCTCAGACTGAATATTCTCAATTGATTTATCTTCAAGCTCTCTGATTTCTTTCATCTTTGAGATCTCTAGTATTTTCTTCTGCCATTTCATTCTGCTCTTGAGACCATCTAGTGAAATTTTTATTTCAGTTATTGTGTTTTCAACTCCCAAATTTCTATTTGTTCTGTTTAAAAATTTCTATCTGTATTGATATTCTCCACTCGGTAAGCATTGTTCTCATTGAGCATGGTTTCCTTTAGTTCTGTAGATATAGCAGCTGGTTTAAAGTCTTTTTCTAGTATGTCTAACATCTGGGCTTTTCCAGGGACAGTTTTTATTCACAGCCCTTTTCCCTGTGTACATGCATTAGTTTCCTACATTTCTTTGCATATATTGCATAGTTTTTTTGTTGAAAACTGGATGTTTAAAAGTAGTATAATGTGGCAACTTGGGAAATCAGATTTCCCTCCTCCCAGCGTTTTTGATTGTTGCTGATGCTGTTTGCTTGTTTTGTGATTTTCCTGAACTAATTCTTTAAAGTTTTCATTCTGTCGTGTGTGGCCCCTGAGGTTTCTGGTCAGTTAACCTGGTGATCAGTTAATAATTGGATGGAGATGCATTGATCCAGTAGTCTCTCAGCTTTTGCTCAGGGGCTGTTTATATGTGTTGGGGAATCTAATCAACACTCCAGCAGAATGCTTGCTATGCTGCCTTAGCCATCACTTATTGCTTGCACAAAGCCTCAAGTTCAGGTGAGCGAGGTCAGCTGAGTAGAACCTTTTCAGATAATTCCTGGGAATATTCACAGCCCTGAATATACATTTGTTTTTTCTAGATCCCCAGATATATTTTAGAGCTTTTTAAAGTTCACCGGGGACATGTCATTCCCAATTTTTTCTTTTAAGTCTTTGGTCAGCCTTTTGTTACCCTCAAGCAGTATTTTCCCTTCAGGCAGCTGTGATGTTAAAAAATTGCTGCTGATTGTTATTGACAATGCTCTAGAGATTAAACTGTTGCATAGAAATAGTCTGAGTCAGATCAAATAAAGACAGTGAATAGCTTTTAGGGGAGCTGTGACACAGGTCAAATAGTGACAATTCTCTGGAGATTGGGCTTTGCGGGAGCTCCAAACCCATTAATTCTTGGCCCTTCCATGGCTGCTAGGCTAACGGTTTTCACCACTACCATATCCACAAGGCTGTTGGTTTTCAAGGCTACTCCAAATCTAGGAAGAGGTTGATGGGAATAGGGCAAGTGAAAAACCATAAAGGTCACTACTCTTACCAAGATTCAGGTGTTTATCTGAATACAAGCTCCTGAGATTTTTGCAAGTCTTTGGTTAATTTTCAGAGTTCTGAAAAAGTTAATTTTGACATTGTTGTCAGTTTTCTCACAGCTTTTATGGAGGGTCACATTTTCAGAGGTCCTTACCCTGACATTCCAAAAGTTAGACCCAGCAATCTAGTACTACAGAATAAGAGACATAAACTTAGAAGCTACCCCTGATTTATGCATCAAGTATTCGGTGATTTTCTTCTTTAAATTTTCTGTTATGTATTAAATGCCTTTTGAAAATGACACTCTTGTCCACTGCACTATGGCAAATCAGGGAAAGGGTTTTTTTCAAGGCTACATCAGAGTGGGTAGAGAATTAAAGGAAGAAAATGTACACCTGAGCCCCAGAGACACATAAGTATTGGAAACTAAAATGAGTAAACCCCAAAAGAAATGTGAAACTAGCCATGGGCAGCATGTTCTCCTGATCTAGATATTCTTCTTACAGTACTAAAAAAAATAAGAATATTTAGGCTGGGCATGGTGGCTCATGCCTGTAATCCCAGTACTTTGGGAGGCTGAGGTGGGCAGATCACTTGAGGCCAGGAGTTCAAGACCAGCCTGGCGAACATGGCAAAACCCCATCTCTACCAAAAATACAAAAAAAAATTGACTGGGTGCAGTGACTCATGCCTGTAATCTCAGTACTTTGGGAGGCTGAGGTGGGCAGATCACAAGGTCAGGAGTTCAAGACCAGCCTGGCCAACATGGTGAAACCCTGTCTCTACTAAAAATACAAAAATTAGTTGGGCATGGTGATGTGTGCCTGTAATCCCAGCTACTTGGGAGGCTGAGGCAGGAGAATTGCTTGAACCTGGGAGGCAGAGATTGCAGTGAGCTGAGATTGTGCCACTGCACTACAGCCTGGGTGACAGAGCAAGTCTTCATCTCAGGGGAACAAAAAAGTAGCTGGTGTGGTGGCAGGTGCCTGTAGTACCAGGTACTCAGGAGGCTGAGGCATGAGAATTGCTTGAACCTGGGAGGTGGAGGTTGCAGTGAGCTGAGATCATGCTGCTGTACTCCAACCTGGGCGATGGAGTGAGAACTTGTCTCAAAAAAAGTAAAAATTAGAATATTTAAAGTTTTGTTTGAATAAATGAGTAAGTTAAAAAAAAAAAGTTGTGCTTTGGGTAACACCTTGATCACCAATCTAAATAATTCAGGCTGAAATTCTTCAGAGTTTCTGTCCTGAGGGAATGATCTAGATTCACTATCACAAGTGAATTAAGTTTCAATCTGTGCATCAAATGGATCATGCAAATTGATGTAGACTTTCAATAATTTTCTACTAGTAAAATCAGACTTTGGTTCTATATTGTTAATCTTAAAATCTTCTGATTAAACAGAATTTAAGAAATAATTTATTGCAGTAATAAAGCAAAAAGAAATATGGAGAAGAAACTCAAAAGTTTAGAACCTGAATTGGCCTCATTCATTTAAAAAAAAAAGTACTGAATGCCTGCAATGTACAGACCCTGTGATGGGTATAAGAAATAGTAAAATGAATGAGACAAGAAGAAACAAGGGTAGAAATAACTTAATCCTATTGGAATTATCTCCTAAAAACATAAAATTAAATTAAATATTTTATTAGGAAAATTATAAATTAGAATTTTTAAAAATCATTAATGCCAATGAAAGTGATCTGTACTTATTTTCACATTAGATTGTAATCCTATGTCCCATTTATATTGGAGATGTCATGACACTCTGAATATCCTAAATTACCTTTTTTGAATATAGTGCTGCTTTTAGATCAAACCAAATTCAGAGAAGTGAAAAAATTATACCTTAGCATATCCTGATCTTATAATACATTTTTGCAAACCTGCTGATGAAAATGTAGCAGATTAAAGTTTTATTAAAAAGAAGAAATACCATTCATAACCAGCTTATTAATCTTGAATAGTCTTTAAATAATGCAGAAAATAAGTACAATAATGCTTCCCAGTATGTCAAGGACCACAATAAGTATTGGCCAGCACTACTTCAGTTCCCTCTGATCTTTCATTCTGAAAGCACAGAACCCATTCAATATCTTCTATCACAGCTGGCCCCAGCTAATTGAGCTGCTCCCCACTGTCCCTGTGTTATCTCACAGTACCTTCTCCCAGTCAGCAGACGTAGCTACATCACATTTGAGAGTTCCCGGTATTAACAGAACCAGGCCGGGAGATTCCCTCTTGATCTGGCCAATGAGTTTTTATAAATTAATACTCTTTAAAATTGCAGAAACGAGAATGGGTCCTTTTTCTGAGGTTGCTTTTACTCTTAGCAATCAGAGGAAAATGTCATAAGTTTCCATCACCACATATCCAATAGCTGTGCCTATATGGCCTGCTCTTCCTCCCGTTACTAGGAATTAACTGTTCATGTTCCTAGCTATGGCTCCTCCCTGTGCATGAGAGCCAATCTTCTCTTTCCTATTCAATGACATCACTTCAGAAACTTCTTTCTCATCTGTCTTTCTTCTCTACCGGATCATTCTCATGAGTATAAAACATGCTATTATTTCACCTACTTAAAAAGTACAATTCTTTCTTAACCCCACGTGTCACAGTAGTCTTCATTTCTCTTGTCCCCTTTAACGTATTGCAAGTTTTATAAATAATCCGAATTCATTGTCTAGTTTTTCTCCAACTTCCTCTTGAACCCATTTCTATCAGGTTGAATTTCAGTTCTCATCATACTTGACCTCCCAGCCAAGTTTGATGCTGCCAATTACTCTCTTCTGGTTGAACTACTTGTTTCCCATGCTCCTAATGGTTTTTCTCTTTCTTTCCTATTACAGCTGCTCAGTCTTTGTCTCTTTTACCCGGTCCTGCTCATCTTCCCATCTTCTTAAAGTTGGAGTGTCCACAAGTCTGGTCCTTTCATCTCTTTGTTTTTCCCCTTGCTTCATTCAGCCACAAGATAATTCCACCTAGGTTTAAATACTATAATATGCTGAAGACCCCAATTCATATATCCAGACCAAACCTCTCCTTGAACTTCAGATTCATATATCTGACTAATTACTTAACATCTCCACTGGATATCTAATAAGTATCTCAAACTTATATTCAAAACTTATTGCTCCTCTTCCTCCCCAGCAACAACTATCTGCTCCTCTGGCAGACTTTGCCTTTTCTGGAAATGTTAACTGCATCCTGTCAATTGCTCAGACCCCAGAGCCATCTTTGGATCCTCTTTTTCCCTTCAATCCCACATCCAATTCATTAGCAAATCTGTTGGCTTCACCAGCAAACTCTATCCAGAATCTGATTGTTTCCAGTGAGTTGCACCGCTATCACACTGGTCAAAGCCACCATCCTCTCTCATGAATTATTGCAATAGCCTTCCAACTGATCTGCCTGATTTGCCCATTTGCCCTGCCTACAATTTATTCTTAACACAAAACACAAAGCAATTCTTAGATCCCAAGTCAGATCATGTCACTGCCTAGCTCAAAACTTTCAATGCCTTTCCCTCTTATGCAAAGTAAAAGGCTAAAAGTTTACAAGGCCTACCAAACCCTAAAGATTCGATACTTTTTCCTCTCTAACCTCATCTCTTACTACTAGGTCCCATACTCCTTCCCTTCAGCTACATTGATCTCTTTGTAGTTCTTCCAACACAGAAGGCATGCTTCTACTTCAGGGCCTTGGTATCTGCTGCTACTCCCATCTGGAATGCCCATCCCTCTGTTATCCATATGCCTGGGTCCCTCATCTTATTCAGGCCTTTGCTCAACTTCCATTTTCTCAGTGAAGGCTTTCCCAGCCATGCTATTCAAAATTGCAAAACATCGCCCCAAGCAGCCTACACACTTCCTATTCTCTTATTCTGCTTTAAATTTTTCCAAAGCACTTTTTAACATCTGACCTGTAGTACTTTTTCTTATGTTACATCTCAAGCACCTAGAACTGTATCAGGCACAAAATGTAGCTAATGAATATTAGCAGAATGATTGTCAATGCAGAACCTGGGAAAAGAATTACCATGTCTCTTCCCAACACAACTGGAACAGTGCCAAGGGCAGGAGCTACCTTCTGAGTAGGAAACAGATTCCCATGTGAGCAATGTTTCTCCACCTAGGCCAAAAGGACTAAAATTAAGCATGAGAAGACAAACTATGAGTGAAAATTGAAGAGCCAATAAACAATCAATTCAGGGTTCCCAAATCTATGGATATTAGAGTAATCAGAAAAGAATGCAGAATAGTTACTATGAGTTGTTTAAAGATATAAAGATTATAATAAGAAAATACTGGGAACTAATAGATTTACAAAATATAACTCTTGATGTAAAAATACATGAATCTGTTTAACAGCAGATTATGGGAAGAATTTAACCAGCATTTACTTAGGAGAGACAACAAGATAGAAAATGTGAAAGAGAGGTTAAGGGATGAGAATTGAATGAGAAAATCTAATATAGGAATGACTGATGTCTCCAGAGGAAAAAACAAACAAAATGTTGGAGAGAAAGTAGTTTAAACCAGTGGTCTCCAACCTTTTTGGCACCAGGCACCAGTTTCATGGAAGACAATTTTCCACGGAAGGGGGGTTGGAGGGAATGGTTTTGGGATGAAACTGTTTTACCTCAGATTATCAGGCATTAGATTCTCATAAGGAGTGAGCAACCTAGATCCCCCACATGCACAGTTGACAATAGGGTTCATGCTTCTGTGAAAATCTAATGTCACTGCTGATCCAACAGGAGGCAGAGCTCAGATGGTAACGCTTGCTCGCCCATTCACCTCCTGCTGTGTGGTCCAGTTCCTAACAGGCTGTGGACCAGCACCAGGAGTTACTTCTGGTTTAAATGATAATGACTGAGAATTCTGCATTATCAATGCAGAATTGATAATAATGACTGAGGTTTAAAAAACACCACATGAATCCAGGAAGACCTAGGAAACACAGTGTGTCTAAAGCAGGATAACGAAAAGAAGTCCATTCTTAGATAAATGGGTGAGGAACTGCAAAATATCACAGGCTTAGAAAAGATCTTGAAAACAATTATAGAGAAAGAACCCATCACGGTAAAATGAGAACAGACTTCCCAACAAAAAAAAGGAGGTTAAAATACAATGAAAGAATAATTACCAAGTGTGGAGAAAAAATAATTCAACTTAGAATCCAGTGTACTGTATAGCTGTTATTCAGGAATAAAAGTAAGATAAAATATTTATAAATTTAGAAAATGGGAGAGTCTGATACCAAGATACTTACTTCAAAAGAACTTTGAAATTATTTCCTTCAAAAAAAAGGAAAATGATTCCAGAAGGACAGTCTGGGATGCAAAAAAGAATGATAGACAATGAGAACAAGGACACAACATACCAGAATCTCTGGGACACATTTAAAGCAATGTGTAGAGGGAAATTTATAACACTAAATGCCCACAGGAGAAAGCAGGAAAGATCTAAAATTGACACCCTAATATCACAGTTAAAAGAACTAGAGAAGCAAGAGCAAACACATTCAAAAGCTAGCAGAAGACAAGAAATAACTAAGATCAGAGCAGAACTGAGGGAGATAGAGACACAAAAAAAAACCATTAAAAAAATCAGTGAATCTGGGAGCTGGTTTTTTGAAAAGATCAACAAAATAGATAGCCAGACTAATAAAGAAGAAAATAGAGAAGAATCAAACAGATACAATAAAAAATGATATGGGGATATCACTACCAATCCCACAGAAACACAAACTACCATCAGAGAATGCTATAAACACTTCTATGCAAATAAACTAGAACATCTAGAAGAAGTGGATAAATTCCTGGACATATACACCCTCCAAAGACTAAAGCAGGAAGAAGTTGAATCTCTGAATAGACCAATAACAGGTTCTGAAATTGAGACAATAATTAATAGCCTACCAAACCAAAAAAAGTCCAGGACCAGACGGATTCACAGGTGAATTCTACGAGGGGTACAAACAGGAGCTGGTACAATTCCTTATGAAACTATTCCAATCAATAGAAAAAGAGGGAATCCTCCCTAACTCAATTTATTAGGCCAGCATAATCCTGATACAAAACCTGGCAGACATACAACAACAACAACAAAATTTCAGGCCAATATCCCTGATGAACATCAAAGTGAAAATCCTCAATAAAATACTGGCAAACCGAATCCACCAGCACATCAAAAACCTTATTCACCATGATCAAGTCGGCTTCATCCCTGGGATGCAAGGCTGGTTCAACATGCACAAATCAATAAATGTAATCCATCACATAAACAGAACCAATGACAAAAACCACACGATTATCTCAATAGATGCAGAAAAGGCCTTCAACAAAATTCAACAGCCCTTCATGCTGAAAACTCTGAATAAACTAGGTATTGATGGAATGTATCTCAAAATAATAAGAACTATTTGTGACACACCCACAGCCAATATCATACTGAATGGGCAAAAACTGGAAACATTCCCTTTGAAAACCAGCACAAGACAAGGATGCCCTCTCTCACCACTCCTATTCAACATAGTACTGGAAGTTCTAGCCAGGGCAATCAGGCAAGATAAAGAAACAAAGCGTATTCAATTAGGAAAAGAGGAAGTCAAACTGTCCGTGTTTGCAGATGACATGATTGTATGTTTAGAAAACCCACTGTCTCAGCCCAAAATCTCCCTAAGCTAATAAACAACTTCAGCAAAGTCTCAGGATAGAAAATCAACTTGCAAAAATCACAAGCATTCCTGTATACCAATAACAGACAAACAGAGAGCCAAATCATGAGTGAACTCCCAGTCAGAATTGCTACAAAGAGAATAAAATACCTAGGAATTTAACTTACAAGGGATGTGAAGGACCTCTTCAAGGAGAACTACAAACCACTGCTCAACGAAATAAAAGAGGACACAAACAAATGGAAGAACATTCCATGCTCATGAATAGGAAGAATCAATATCGTGAAAATGGCCATACTGCCCAAAGTAATTTATATATTCAGTGCTATCCCCATGAAGCTACCACTGACTTTCTTCACAGAATTGAAAAAACTACTTTAAATTTCATATGGAACCAAAGAAGAGCCTGCATAGCCAAGACAATTCTAAGCAAAAAGAACAAAGCTGGAGGCATCATGCTACCTGACTTCAAACTTTACTACAAGGCTACAGAAACCAAAACAGCATGGTACTGGTGCCAAAACACACATATATATAGACCAATGGAACAGAACAGAGGCCCCGGAAATAACACCACACATCTACAACCATCTGATCTTTGACAAACCAGACAAAAACAAGCAATGGGGAAAGGATTCCCTGTTTAATAAATGGTGCTGGAGGGATTAAAGACTTAAATGTAAGACCTAAAACCATAAAAACCTTAGAAGAAAACCTAGGCAACACCATTCAGGACACAGGCATGGGCAAAGACTTCATGACTAAAACACCAAAAGCAATGGCAACAAAAGCCAAAATAGACAAATGGGATCTAATTAAACTAAAGAGCTTCTGCACAGCAAAAGAAACTATCAGCAGAGTCAACATGCAACCTACAGATTGGGAGAAAATTTTTGCAATCTATTCATCTGACAAAGGGCTAATATCCAGAATCTACAAAGAACTTAAATTTACAAGAAAAAAACCATCAAAAAGTGGGCAAAGGATATGAACAAACACTTCTCAAAAGAAGACATTTATGCAGCCAACAAACTTATGAAAAAATGCTCATCATCACTGATCATTAGATAAATGCAAATAAAAACCACAATGAGAAACCATCTCATTCCAGTTAGAATGGTGATCATTAAAAAGTCAGGGAACAACAGATGCTGGAGAGGACATGAAGAAATAGGAATGCTTTTACCCTGTTGGTAGGAGTGTAAATTAGTTCAACCATTGTGGAAGACATTGTGGCGATTCCTCAAGGATCTAGAATTAGAAATACCATTTAACACACAAATCCCATTACTGGCTATATACCCAAAGGATTATAAATCATTCTACTATAAAGGCATATGCACATGTATGTTTATTGCAGCACTGTTCACAATAGCAAAGTCTTGGAACCAACCCAAATGCCCATCAATGATAGACTGGATAAAGAAAATGTGGCACATATACAGCATGGAATACTATACAGCCATAAAAAGGATGAGTTCATGTCCTTTGCAGGGACATGGATGAAACTGAAAACCATCATTCTCAGCAAACTAACACAGGAACAGAAAACCAAACACCGCATGTTCTCACTCATAAGTGGGAGTTAAACAATGAGAACACATGGACACAGGGAGGGACACTGGGGCCTGTCAGGGGGTGTGGGGCTGGGGGAGGGATAGCATTAGGAAAAATACCTAATGTAAATGATGAGTTGATGGGTGCAGCAAACCAACATTGCACACGTATACCTATGTAACAAACCTGCACGTTGTACACATGTACCCCAGAACTTTAAATATAATAATTTTTTAAAAAAAGACTATCACATGGTAAATATTTAGGTAAATCCTAGCAAGCATTGCCTGTATAAAATTACAATGGTGGTTGAAAAACAAAACCAGCTCCGAATTCCAATGTCTCCCCCAACTCTGCCACCATCAAGATCTGCACTCTTCTCACAGCACCCTAGTAGCTGTTCTCCACCAGCCCCATGCGTTCTTAACTTAGTCTTTATCCAAAATCTCATGGAATTTCAATGCAAATTTTGGAGGTTCTTTATCTGTGCAAACCCCCATCTACTAATAGCCTGCCCCAGAAATTCCAGCTACCTTAGCAGCACTGAATTCAGATCTGTCCCTTCTGCCCTGCCATAATACTGCTTTCTATTTGGGATCCACTTTGTGGTGCAATTTGGAAAGTGCCCAAGATGAAAAGCTAGGCTGAATGTTGAGCTCATCTTTAGTGTTTCTTTTCTCTCAGTATCATAACCTTGTGCTGCCTATTGTCCACTGCCCAAAAATAGTCGTTTCATGTGTTTTGTACAGCTTTATAGTTGTGTAGCCAAAGGATAAGTTGCTTGTTACTCCCTCTTGGCAGGTGTAGAGTCCCTTATTCATTAATTTTTTAGCCTATAGCTTTCCTTTATGACTATAAATGATAAATGATAGCATATAAGGCTACCAATTTCCTTTAGAGCACCATTTTTATTGCATTCCCACAAGTTTCCATATGTAATGCTTTGGTGTAATTAAATTCCAAGTTTTCCATTTTTCATAATTCATTATGGTTTCTTTTCAAATGTATGACTTATTCAGAATTGTGTTTTCTTAATAAAAGACATATACAAGAATCTTCATAGCCATTTTATTCAGTAAGCTAAAGACAGTAAGCTAAATATGGAACCTAGGTGATCATGAGCAGGAGAACAGGCAAACAAATTAATGTATATTCATACAATGGAATTCTACTTGGCAGTGAGAACCACAATGTTCTAATGCATGCAGCAACATGGGATAAACTTAACGACATCCTGTGAAAAAGATGCCAGACATGAAGGAGAACAGATAACACAATGCCATTTAATAGGAAAGTCTGAAAAAGTCAAAGCTAATTTATGGCATTAGAAATTACATTAATGGTTGACTCTGCAGGGGCGGGGAGGTAACAAGGACTGACTGAGAAGGGACTGATTGATGGGAATAAAACTCATTGAAAAACTTAGAAATGAAAGAAATATAATTTTAAAATTTTTATTTCATGCAACTTGATTTCTAACTCCTTAATCCCAGGTATTCTAATGTTTCTCTTCTCTTTTGGGGTTCTGCATGGCACTGGGTTCTAATGCAGCATCATAGCACTCAGGGCAGGGGACACCTTGGCTGTCAGTCATCAGCTCATAGACATTGCTCCAGAGAGCACGATCCCCCTGCTACTTCTGCACCCTCTTGGCTGCATGATTCCCAGTTCCTAGATGTGCCATGCAGCATACCCTCCAAAGTCAGGCCATCTTTCTGGAGAAGTTGCTGATAAACAGACCCCAGACCCCTCTGCTCTATGGACCCTTCAATGTCTCTCTCAATCTCCCTGAGCTCCAGGAAAATCCATCAGGCTTGGGGAGGTCCCTGCATTCACTTCTACTTCTCCAAAATGTTTCTTCTCCTCTTTTTGGAGACACAGTCTTGCTTTGTTGCCCAGGCTAGAGTCTAGCGGTGCAATCATGTCTCACTGCAACCTTGAACTCCTGGGCTCAAGTGACCCTCCCACTTCAGCCTCCCAAGAAGCTGAGACTACAGGCACATGCTAACATGCATGGCTATATTTTTAAAAAAGTTTTTGTAGAGACAGGGTCTCGCTATGTTGCCCAAGCTGGTCTCGAACTCCTGGTCTCCAGCAATCCTCCCAGCTTGGCTTCTCAAAGTGCTAGGATCACAGGCATGAGCCACTGCATCTGGCTGTTTCTTCTCCTTCATGTATGAATCCTCTCTTCTTTTTGGGCTTAGACTTTCAGAAATACAAGCCAAGAAAAGAGATGTTTGTCAAGTAATCCTAGATTTCCATCTTGCCCCACTCTCTGAATGAAGTCATAAGCTCAGAGTCAACTTGGAAATTGAGAGAAGGACAAACGATAAACAAAGGACTAAATAGCCATGGATTGCTGTCTTAAGATACTATCTTGCTAATATTATTTTACTAGTCTCTAACTCTCTGCCTTATGGAAAATCGGACTCCATTTAAAATTTCACTTCATGGGCCACTCAGATATTATTTTTCTTGAGTAGGAACTGCAATGTGCTCATAATCACCTCCCTTTAAAAATGGCCCCATGATGCTGCTTCTGCATTTCTTGCACATCCTAAGTGTTGCCTTGACTCTGAGGAGCTCGGTGATGTACCAGAGTTTGTGTTGCTGAATGGTTTGGTGTCATTAGCCACTGTAATCCCAAACTATCAGCAACAGGATTCTCCATTCTCAGGTTTTGTATGATCCGCTTGGCACCACATCACCAAGATCTTGTTTCTGTGATCAGCGGGCTCTGCAGCACACAAGTTACTACTTCCTGTCCAGAAAAGGCCCAATCCCTGACCAAGGTATTTCAGTTCCGCTCTGAAATGGGTAAGAATTTCTGCTCAGCTAACAGCTAGGATGGGTACAGGTCAGATAAAATTGTTAAAGCTGTTTAGGAAAAATATTCTTTCTGCAACATGTACTGAAATTAAAAATATGCAATTGTGAGCAACTTTGGTTCAGAATTTTTTCTTTCCCTGACATTCCTGATGGCTGCCTCTGACCTTTCTCCTGTCCTGTGACTCAAATCACTGCTCCATTAAAAAAGAAAGAGAGAACAAAAGAAAGAGAATTTCCACACAGATGAGAAAAAAAGAGCATAGCAGCCTTTTAACCCTGTGTAGTGTAAGAAGTGCCCATGTAAGAGATTTGTTCAAATACACGGAGAAGGTAGACAGACTGAAATAATCTTGGTTAAGAGCAACCAGTTAGAAATAGAAAAATTCGCTGAGTTCTGATTGTGTTGACCTTTTGGTTTGAGGTTTTATATCCAATTTCCTCTGAGGCTGGTGAGCCTCTAGGCATTTGTTTTTTATTTATTCACGGATACGTTCTGCAGCCCTTCTGGGAGGAAGCTCGCAATCCTCCTCTGCTGTGTTCTACACCCCATTTCTCCAATCTTATGCTGTGAGTCACTGAGGTCACCCATCACCAAGCACTGCCTCACATTGCTGAGAGTCTCCTAGCGCATACTACACTACCAGTGGAGAGAGAAGATTGGTCTACATGAAAGCTATCATCTCTACCTCTCTTGAGAAAATTCCTAGATGAACTGTACATTCTGAGGCTGGTGCTACAGAGAGCAAAACAATCCTCAGTAGCAGGTCAGACATGCAGACTGAGCAAGGCCGACAAACCAAACTAAAAAAGAATTAGAGTAACATCAAAGAAAATATGACATCTAGGGCAAGAGTGATGTCTTAAGACATAAAATGCAAACTATGAAGGAAAAGATTGACAGTTTTGACTTCATTTGAAAAACTGTTGTATGACAGAGATATAAAAAAATGTAAAAAGCCAAACCCACAGGTTAGAAGATTTTTACAATGTTCCTAAGCAACAAATAATTCATCTCAAGTATCAATTTAAAAGATGAACAACTCAAAAGAAAAATAAATAAAGAAACAAGCAAGCACTTCACAGAAAAAGAAATACTTATTATAGCCAATACATAAGGAAAGATATACAGCTTTACTAGTAATCAGGAAAATGCAAATGCCATCTCACTCCATTTAGGCTGGTGAAATTTAAAGTGTATGACTTTACTAAGTGTGGGTAGAGAAATAGAAACCTTCATCACGAGTACAACCACAACAAAATACATTTTGGCATCATTAGTTAAAGTTAAAAATATTCACACATGCCTATGACCCAGAACTATTTCGAATTACTCCAAGAGAAACTCTCACATCTTTGGAGAAAGAAACATACTCAAGGACATTTCTGTAGTGCCTTTCACAACAGAAGAGCTTTATGTAACCTAACTGTCCATCAATAGGGGAATGTATGAATAAAGTTAGAATTATACAATGGAAAAAATATATAGCATAGTCTAAATGAATAATTGGAGCTATATGTGTTAATAGAGACATGTTGAAAACTAACACTGGCTGGCATGTTGCCCATGTTGCAGAATGGTCTGGGCAGTGTAGAACTACTTATATTAACTTTTAAAAGAGAAAAACAATAATATATATGGTGTTAAAATATGATATATGTATATATATCTATATAGGGAGTATATACACTAGTGTGTATATACCATATATAGTGTATTATACCATATATAAAATAGGGATTTTTCTTTTTAAAATTAATATAAATGGCTTATATATGGCATGTATATATGTGTGTATATGCACACATACACACATATATATGATAAGAGTACAGACCAACTTCAGAATACTGATAACTTCTGGAAAGGGAGGGAAAGACAAGGAAAGAGAAGGAAGAGGAAGAGGAGGACAAGGAAGCTGTTACCATTTTTTTGAGTGCTTCTTATTTGCTAGTCCCTGTTCTAAATATGGTCAATGGATTGTCTCATTTCATTCACCCGCATAGTTACTTATAATACAGGTACTATTATTATCATCCTCATTTCACAGACAAGAACATGGGATTTCAACTTTGTCCATTGTAAAGTGCTTCTTTAAAAAAATTAGATCTGAAGTAAATGTGATGAATACTAACATGTATTACATCAGAGTGGGGGCCAGTATACATATTACATTTTTGAGGGGTGTCTTGTGACAAAGAAGCAGGCAAGTGAAACAAATGGGATCTTTTGCCACATTCAAAATCTCGGAACACTAAAAAAAATTACTCTCTCCCTATAATTACTTTTCTAAAACGCTGATAAACCACTAAAGTTAATTAATATCTTTGCCTGTTCAACCTTGGTAGTGACTTATCATCAATATGCTTATTGGGTACCAACCATCAGATGAGCAATTACTTTCTTAGTTAACACTGAACACACTAATTTACTAATCTAAGCCATCCCTCAAGGCAATTTCTTACTTTATAAGCTGACTTCTAAGTTAAACTTTAGGATTACATAGAAAATAGTTCTTTCTTATCTGATAATAATTAATTTGCAGTTTATGTAATTTTATGTATGCTTCATGCACCCATTCAATCAGAATAAATTGGGTAAGTGACTTGAAGAATCAAAGAAAGTGCTACATACCATTCTTCAGAGTCTTCATTTGCCTTCCATTTTTCCTAACATTTTCCCTAACACTTTAATTTTGGTTGGCAAACAGTCGGCAGGTGACAGTTTGGTCAAATGTCTTACCACTGCATAGTGAGGGTCACCCACTTTGTAGCCTGAGATGATTGAGTCCAAACCCATCATTGCTCTATCTGCTCCATTCACTCATTTTCCCCATTTTATGGGTTACACATAACTTATAGCACCCTTGTTTACAATAATCATACACCATCAGTTATAAATATATGGAGCTGCAAGTAAGAGAATGCCTTACCTGTACAGGTAGTCTCTGACTTGCGATGGAGTGTTTGACTTGATGATGGTGTGAGAGCAATGTACATTCAGTAGTAACTATACTTTGAATACCTATACAACTATTCTATTTTTCACTTTGGTACAGTATTCAATACATTACAGGAGATATTCAACACTTTATTATACAATAGGCTTTGTGTTAGATGGTTTTGCCCAAGCATAAGCTAATGTTAGTGTTCTGAACATGTCTAAGGTAGGCTAGGCTAAGAGCTGATGTTTGGTATATTAGGTATATTAAATGCATTTTTGACTTATGATGTTTTCAACTTTTGATGAGTTTATTAGTATGTAACCCCACCATAAATTGAGGAGCATCTGTATAATATAACAAATATGGAGGTGGGACAGAGACCCAGAATCTTTCTATCTATCTCTCCATCACTCTCAGTTTGCCTGCTTTTGTTACCTCTTTGATATTAAAGAGTTGCTGCAGCTCCAACAAGGCAGACAAAGGGGCATAGGAAGAAAAAACTGGTATCTGGGTATTTTCCATCTAAACAGAATGCAAACACTATCCTAGGAACACTAACGAACTTCTGCACACTTTTTAAAAATCAGAACTATGTCACATGGTCATCTTTGGTTGCATAGGAGGCTGAAGAAATGGAAAATAGGATTGTCCCACTGGTCTTAGTCAAGTCATGATTCATTCTTTCTCGATGTACATATTATCTCCCTGCACAAAGCAGTTATCTCGGCATAGAAGAAAGGAGGATAGATATTTGGAAAGCAGTTATGTGACTTCACAGTGTTCAGCCATCTGATCTTCCCTGGGGGGAGGCATATTCTTTAATTCAGTATTCAACGTACCTGCTCCTGATTTAGCCCCACTGGACAATGGAAAAAGTTTTGTAGGAAAGGGTAGGGTTGAGTAAGTTTGGTATTCTCTATCTCCTTCTGGAGCCCATGTCTGGGCAGAAAAATCCACCAAGGGTGGTTGTAGAGTTGGATTAAAAGGAAGACTGTTCAGGCTGCTCATGGTTTTTGCAGTATATTGGCAAGGCAGAAAATTAGCAAGGATATTAACAAATGAACAATCTCAATAGTGTTATGAACTGTGAAGAATGTAAAGCAGACCAATAACTGGGGTGGAACATACCTGGAAGGGAAGCAAGGAGCAATTTTTTTTTTTTTTTTTTTTTGAGACAGAGACTCGCTCTGTTGCCCAGGCTGGAGTGCAGTGGCGCAATCTCGGCTCACTGCAAGCTCCGCCTCCCGGGTTCACACCATTCTCCTGCCTCCGCCTCCCAAGTAGCTGGGACTACAGGTGCCCACCACAAAGCCTGGCTAATTTTTTTTGTATTTTTAGTAGTGACGGGGTTTCACCGTGTTAGCCAGGATGGTCTCGATCTCCTGACCTCGTGATCCGCCTGCCTCGGTCTCCCAAAGTGCTGGAATTACAGATGTGACCCACCGCACCCGGCAGAGCAATGTTGATGCTGAGTATTTCAGATAGGATAGACAGGGAAGCTTTCCCTCAGGGGGTGACTGTTGACTTGAGACATAAGTTATGAGAAGGCACCAGTCATGAAAAATCTGAAGCATGAGTACTGCAGGCAGAGGTGATAAGTGCAAAGACCCTAAATTGAGAATGAGCTTGGATTGGAGCAGAGTGGGAAAAGAAGCAAGTAAAACTAGATAAGGTGTAGGTAAGAAATAGAGGTGAGCAAGGTAATAGAGAGCCTCATGGGCATGTTAAGAAATTGGAGGTTTAAATACAGCAACAAAAACAAGACAATGACATAATCTTATTTTGTTTTACAACATATAAGGGATGCTAAACCATTCTTGGGATAAGTTAGAAGTATGGTGCCAGTTAACTCAGGTCTCTTTACATACCTAGCCAAATGTAAATTGTTTCCACTGTTACTCATTAAGAAAACACTCTTAAAAGGGAAAAAATAAAGCATTCCTCATTGCTGCCATCTACAAAAATGTAAATGTGAAACAAATATTTTTAAATCTTGGTTTAGAGTATTTATAAGTTATTAACCAGTTTGGGACATTAATGTATCTTCATGCAATGACTAGCTTCAGATGACCTTTGAAAAGGTGCTTTTGCAAAAATAAATGGATGATTGAACTTCTAGTTTGTAGTCCAGCATGTAAGAAACTTGGAAGTTGTGACTCCAGTCTTCACCACAACAATAAAAGTTGAGCAAACTGAAAATCAACAACTCTTCTTAAATCCCTTGGGAAACTGAAGTCACAGTGCACCCCAAAATTGATGTCTATCACTCCAAAATTGATGTGACAAGTTGATAGAGAGAATCACAACTTTCTTGGGCAGAAGCCCTGGAATCAAAACCACCAGGAAAATTTAACCTGTAATTGATGAATCGCTAGATGATCAGTGTGGATAAGATTGACAGTAAAAAACTTCAGGGGGCCCAGTCCTAAGAGGGACATATGTTATGATGAGTTTTACTTCCAGAAGTCCTATCAGTTTCTAATAGAGAAGATTAGAGAAAAATTCCCCTGTGCTTCTGGCAGGGGGTGGAGGAAAGTAGCCACTTTAAAATATACCCAGATCATTCTGTTCTAAACAAGGCCTGCCCTTAACAAAAATAAAAAAATGCCTCTGATTGTTCCATCAGTAGACTGAACATTGTGAAGCAAAGAATCTATGAGTTTGAAGGAAGGTCAATAGAAACTTCCAAAACTGAAATGCAACAAGAAAAAAAGTGAAAAAGATAGAGCAGAATATTCAAGAATTGTAAGACAATTATAGGAGATATAACATAAATGTAATGATAATACCAGAAAAAAAGTAAGAGAAAAGACCACAGGAAATGTTTGAAGCAATAATGGCCAAAGTTTTCCAAAATGTATAACAAAAATAAAACCACAGATCCAGGAATCTTAGAGAACACCAAGAAAGATAAATACCAAATAGTCCATAGAGAGGCATGTCATATTCAAGCTGTAGATAACTAGAGACACAGAGAAAATTTTGAAAAAAGCCAAAGTGGGGGAAAGATCTTACCTGTAGAGGAGCAATGATAAAAATTATATCAGGCCAAGTGAGGTGGCTCATGCCTGTCGTAATCCCAGCACATTGGGAGGCTGAGGTGGGAGGATCACCAGAGGTCAGGAGTTCGAGACCAGCCTGGCCAACATGGTGAAACCCAATCTCTACTAAAAATACAAAAATTAGCCAGGCATGGTGGTACGTGCCTGTAGTCCCAGCTACTGAAGAGATTGAGGTGGGAGATTCACTTTTTCAAAAAGTGAAAAAGCCCAGGAGATTGAGGCTACAGTGAGCCATGATCCAGGCTAGGCAACAGAGTGAGACCCTTTCTCAAAAAAAAAAAAAAAAAAAAGAAAAAAAAATATATATATATATCAGACTTCTCTTCAGAAACCATGCAAGGAAGAAAGAGAGTGGAATAAGATATTTAAAGTATTTAAAGAAAAAAAACCCCACCAACCTAGAATTCTATATCCCGAAAAATTATCCTTCAAAAGTGAAGGAGAAAAAATGCTTTGCTCAGATAAGCAAAACTTGAGAGAATTTGTTGCAAGTAGATCTGCCTTGCAAGAAATGTTAAAAGAAGTTCTATAGAGTGAAGGAAAATTATATATGCAAGAAACTTGGGTATACGTAAAAAAAGGAAGAACATTACAGAAGGCATAAATGAAGGTAAAATAATTATTTTTATTTTTATTATTCTCAACTGATCTAAAAAGCTAGAGAAAATTGAGTCATATAAAATTCCCAGGTAAAACCAAAATTGACAGAAAAAGAATGAAATACAAATAAGCAGACAAAAGAAAAAAGGAAAAGAAAGCCCAAGGGCAATGAATCGCAAACAGTAACAAATAGAGTAGATATAAATCCAGCTATATCAATAGCCACTTTAAACATCAGTGGTCTCAAGTATACCAATTAAAAGAGACTGTCACAGTGCATAAAAAGGCAAGACCAACTATATTTTGTCTAAGAAATCCACTTTACATATAAAAACATATATAGGGTAAAAGTAAAGAGATGAAGAAAGATAAATCATGATAACAATAATCAAAAGAAAGCTGGAGTAGTATATTAATTTTAGGAAAAGCAGACTTCAGAACAAGGAAATTATCAGGAATCAATATGGGAATTGCAAATTGCATAATGATAAAGGGGTCAGTTCTCCAAGAACACATAATAATCCTCAATGTGTATGTGCCTAACAACAGCGTGTCAAAACACGAGTGAAAAATGGACAGAACTGCATTAGAAACAGACAAATCAACTATTTTAGTTGGAAACTTCAACACTCTCTATCAGAAATAGGCAGATCCCGTAGACAGAAAATGAATAAGGACATAGTTGTGCTCAATAGCACCATCAATCAACTGGATCTAATGGACATTTACAGAACACTTGATTCAATAATGGCAGAACACACATTCTTTTTAAGGTCATAAGGAACATTCATCAAGATAGAGCCCATTCTGGGCCATAAAACACATCTTAACACATTTAAAATAATACAAATCATATAGCATATGCTATAGATCACAATATAACTCATCTACAAATCAATAACAAAAAGATAGCTGAAAATCTTCTGAGTATTTGGAGATTAAATAGCTTGTAAAGAATACATAGGTCAAAAAAGAAAACTCAAGAGAAGTTTAAAAATATTTTAAACAAAATAAAAATGAAAATACAACTTATCAAAATTTGTTGGATGCAGTGAAAGCAGTGCATAGAGAGAAAATCATAGCAGTGAATGCATATATTAGAAAAGAATAGAGATCTGAAATCAATTACCTAAATTTCTACCTTATGAAACTAGAAAAAGAAGAGCAAATTGACTTAACTTGCCAATTAGAAAGAATTAGAAAAAAAAAAGAAACAATGAAAATTAGAGCAGAAATCAATGAAATAGAATGTAGGAAATCAACAGAGAAAATCAACAAAACTAAAAGTTGGTTCTTTGAAAAGATCAATAAAATTGTAAAAGTCTAACCTGATTAGCTAAGAACAAAAGAGAAGACACAAATTAATATAATCATAAATGAAATAAGGGCCATAAATACTGATTCTATGGACATGAAAAGAATAATAAAGGAATATCGTGAGCAACTGTATGCCCACAAACTTGAAAACCTAGATGTAATGAACCAATTCCTTGAAAGATACAATCTACCAAAATTCACAAGAAGGGAAATAGACAATTTGAATACTTCTGTTAAAGAAGTCAAATCTTCTTCTATTAAAGAAGTAGAATCAATAATTAATGAGCTTCCAAAACAGAAAACATCAGACCCATTTGTATCTTAGTGAATTCTACCAAACATTTAAGAAAGATACGATATCAGTTCTCTACCATCCCTTCCAGAAAATAGAATCAGAGGCAATACTGCTTAACTCATTATGAAGCTAGCATTACCCTAACAAAGACAATACAAGAAAAGAAAACTATGGACCAATATCTCTCATGAATATAGATGCAGAAATTAGCAAGAAAATATTAGCAAATCAATCCAACAATGCATGAAAAGAAATTATACAACCACAATCACAATTTTACAACACAATCACAACACAATAAATCAAGTGGGATTTATTCCAGGTGTGCAAGCCTGCTTCAACTTTTGAAAAGACGTCATACTCAATGGTGAGAAATTAGGTGCTTTCCTGCTAAGATTAGGAACAAGACAAGCATGTGCTCTTGCACCTCTCATGTTTAACAAAGGAAATTTGGTGGAGAAAAGATAGTCTTTTCAACACATGATGCTGAAGCAACTGGACATCGACATGCAAAAAAAAAATGAAGTTAGACTTACACCTTTCATAAAAATTAACTCAAAATGAATCATAGACCTAAATGTTAAATGCAAAAGTATAAAACTCCTGGTTGAGCACAAAGGAGAAAATCTAGGTGAACTGAGGTTGGTGATCATTTTAGGTATAACATCAAAGGCATAATACATGAAAGAAAAAACTGATAGTTTGGACTTCATTAAAACTAAAATTTTCTGACAACAGACTGTCAAAACACATGAGTTAAAAACTGGTAGAACTGCAAGTAGAAATACACAAATCAACTATTTTAGTTGGAACTTCAACACTCTATCAGAAATGGATAGATCCAGTAGGCAGAAAATCAGTGCTCTATAAAAGGCACTCATAAGAGAATAAAAAGGCAAGCCACAGACTAGAAGAAAATATTTGCAAAACATGTATCTAATAAAAGACTGGCATCCAAAATATACAAAGAACTCTAAAAATGCAACAATAAGAAGACAAACAACTCAGTTTTGAAATGGGCCAACAATCTGAACAGACATCTCACCGGAAAAGATATACAAATGGCAAATAATTATATAAAGAGATATTCAACATGGTATGTCATTAGGGAATTGCAAATTAAACTAACAATGAGATACTACTACACCTTATTAGAATGGCTAACATCCAAAACAATGACCACACCAAATGCTAGCAGGGATGTGGAACACCTGGAGCTCTCATTTATTGGTTATGAAAATGCAAAGTGGTACAGCCATTCTGGAAACAGTTCGGCAGTTTCTTACAAAACTAAAGATACGTTTACCATTCAATTCAGCAATTGTGTTCCTTGGTATTTACCCAAATGTGCTGAAAACTTATGTTCACATAAAAACTTACACACAAATGTTTACAACATCCTATTCATAATTGCCCAAATTTGAAAGCAACAAAGTTGTCTTTTAATGGTGAATGGATAAACAAACCATGGTTCATCTGTACAATGGAATATTATTCAGCACTAAAAAGAAATAAGCTATTAAGCCATGAAAAGACATAGAAGAATCTTAAATGTATATTGCTAAGTGAAAGAAGCTAGTCTGAAAAGGCTACATACTATGTGATTCTAACTATATGACATTCTGGAAAAGGAAAAACTATAGACATAGCAAAAAGAATCAGTGGTTGCCAGGGGGTTGAGTGGACATTGAGGAGGGAGGGATGATAAGTGGAGCGCAGAAAAGTTTTAGGACAGTGAAACGATTCTGTATGATACTGATGGGTACATGTCATTATGCATTTGACAATAACCCATAGAATGTACAAGACAATGAGTGGGCCCTAAGGTAGAGACCTTAGTTAATAATAATATATCAATATTGGCTCACCAATTGTAACAAATGTTCACACACTAATGCAAGATGTTAATAATAGGAAAAACTGGGAGGGGCATGAGAAGGTATATGAGAACTCTCTGCACTTTCTACTCAATTTTCCTGTAAACTAAAAACTGCTCTGAAAGTTTATTAATATATTTTTTTAAAAAATCAGAAGCTACCCTTCTATGTGCTCCTCTCACTGGTCAGCAGAAGCAAGAAGTTCTAGGTTTTCTCCAGGTCTCTCCCTTGCCCCTGGCCTCCTTAGTTTTAAGCCATAAACTCAGCTTCAGTTCTCTAGTTGCTTTTTTACTTAACTTTCATAGTTTCAAATTTTTATCTTAGTTACACTTATAATAATATACATTACTGCTCAGATAATTCTGTAGTGGTCATGAGTCCCTTTTAGTTAATTTCTGCAAATGAGGTCTTTGGTAAAATAAATATGAACACTATTGGCTTACACCTTTCAATCTGTTAAATGCAGACGCTAGAAGCTATAACTCCCTAAATTAACATGGAAACAAAATAATTTAAGCCTCCTCTTTGAAAAGAGCAACTATAAAATCAGAAATATGAGGGTCCCTTTAAGAAGAAAATCACATTTCAATGTAAAGGACTAGGGATAAATCTCCTCAGATTTGAAATTATTGTGGTTTGGGGGATGCTGTGTTATAAATCTTTCTATGTGCTGATTAGAAAACTGAATTTAAAGCCTAGTAAACTCAACAAAGAGCTCTGGTGAGCTAACTGATCAAGGGGAGAAACTGTCTGCAAGGCATTTGACTGAGCTGTGCTCTCTATTTTAAGTGCCAGCTTTCCTTCCATTCAGCCAAGAGAGATAAACTCCTGATGTCAAATGGCTTTTTGACAAGATCATGTCTGAAAGTGTAGATCTTTATATTTGTGTGGGCATCATTGTCTGCAGAAGTTTTAGATAATTGCAAAAAGTGAAAAACATCAGAGATGGTGATAGTTCATTTTTTTCATTAATTGTATTTATTGTTAAACACTCCAGAAACAACTCATCTTAAAATAAACCGTTTTAAAATTATTTTCTCTCTGTAATCTGGATCTTTTGTTCCCCATCCACTATTTATAACGTGTAATTTCTGAGATCTGCAATAGCATTTTATCACTTTCTCTTTGTTGCTGTTGATTGTAGCACAACTGCATGAACTGAAAGTGCTTCCGACAGTTTGAAAAGCTAAAACATGACTCAGATTGTTGTTCATTCTTTGGCACTACTACTGGCCATTTTACAAGCACAGGATGAGAATAAGAAGTTTTGATAATGAAGACAATATGGGAGGTAAGAAAGTACTACCAGGGAAAGAGTGTAGAAAAGAAATATTTGACATCCTAAATCCTACCATCTCCTTCCCCTAAAACTGACATTTATTCCAAATTCCATATTTCTGCCACTAACACAATCTTGTCAGACACATGAGAAAGTTTGGTGTCATCCTCAAACCTTTTCTCCCTATCTGGCTCTCCAGATCCTCTTCTCTCTAATTCTCTGTGGATTCCAATAGAGGTGTTCTCCAAAATACTATAGAATCAGTGTCCATTGATCCCACAGGGACGCAAGCTCTGATCTGAACCCCAATGCAAAGGGCAATGGATATATAACATTTATCTATAGGGATTAGGACCAACTGATAGGCAAAAGAGCTGTGCTATGAACAGAATTACCTGGAGAGGACCTGAGCAGCCTTGGACTAAACTAAATAAAAGGTGGAATGAAAGGAGAGAGTGTATAATTCTATGAGAACTGTAAGACCTCCTGGGTTGCAGCACTGATAGTACCTCATAGCACGTTTGATAGTTGCATGTCTACTCTCCCTGGGTTGCCTCAGTCTACCATCTAGGCCACTTAGGATTTTCTTCTCTCCATGATTTCACAGTGAGAGATTTCAATCGCTTTAGGTTCCCACAAGAGGGCAGAAAGTTATATGCAGCCTGTACCACACCCTACTCCTGCCAGCCTCTCCTGCCTGAGCACCCACTGCCTCAGTCCCCCCTACATTGCTTATAACAGGGCAACCCCCACTTCTAGTCAATCAAACAACCATCTATCTTAGCTTCCTGGTCAGAGTATGAACTCAGGAACTCTATAAACATTAATTCTTTTGCCTCCATTTCTTTTCTTTTCATCTTTCTAGTTCAATTGCTTATCGCCTTGTGCCAAGACAAATCTCTTCTAACCATTCTTCCTGTACTTTGAACTTTTCCCTCTCCAATCCACCTTAAATAATACAGCTGTTTATCTTCCTGTCTCATTATCCTGTGCACCCTCACCCTCCTCTGCATCATTCCACATCTCCCTATTAATTATCACATCTATCCAACCTTTCAGCAGGGAATCCAGCTTCTCTACATCTGGCTCACGTCTCCCTTGATCTAGCCTTATTTCCTTCATATGCGGACAGGAATCCTCTGTTCCGTCAACTGGACTGATCATTTCAACCATTCAGAGGAAAGAATTTACCCTGCTTATCCCTAATCTACTCACATGGACAGATTAAATGGGTACCAAGAACCATGAAGGGTCTTACATTTTGCCCTACTTGCAAACTAACAAGTTAAACTGCTATAGTTTCATGGATGCTGCAGAAGACATGAGACTTCTGGGTCAGAGACAAACGACTTTCTTACTAACAGCAATAGCAGCAGCCAAAGTATAAGCATTTTCTTGCAACTGTTTCTAGAGCCCCAATCATAGGGCAATACATGGAAGGCCAGGGAAAATCAGCATATACAGTAGGCTGCATTAGAGAAGAGGAACCCTGAGTTCAGGAACACATATCTTTTATAATAAGCAGTAATCATGCTAGCTGTTTACTCCTGAGGAAAACATTTTGTCTATCTTTCATGGCAGTTGTCCATAATAAACATCTCTGAAAATATAGTTCAGAAAAAAAGGCAGTCAGCACCTCTGCTTGTAGGACGTATGCAGAAACACAAGAGACACGTGGATGGATAATTGTCTCCCAACAATGAGCTTAATTCTAATCCTTTAAAAAACAGAAAGGTTGATTTGTTGGTGAAGTGGACAAAGAAGGTTGTAATGGGCTTTTTTTTTGAGACGAAGTTTCAGTCCGTCACCCCCGCTGGAGTGCAGTGGTGCGATCTCAGCTCACTGCAACCTCTGCCTCCCATAGTCAAGTGATTCTCCTGCCTCAGCCTCCCGAATAGCTGGGATTACAGGAACGCACCACCATGCCTGATTAATTTTTCTATTTTTTAGTAGAGATGGGGTTTCGCCATATTGTCCAGGCTGGTGTCCAACTCCTGACCTCAAGTGATCCACCTGCCTCGGCCTCCCAGAGTGCTGGTATTACCGGCGTGAGCCACTGTACGTGGCCTGTAATGGGCTCTTGAGTCAAACATCATCAGTTCGCTAATTGCCCTTATCCTAGTGCCTGGCCAACAGTAAATGTTCAACATAAGTTAACTAATATTATTTTTGTTGCTGTTGTTAAGTAACAGCAATGACTAATAAATCTCCTAATCTTCTACCCCTGATCCCAGGAGAGGTGATTAGTGCCTATCTCAGGAGAAACATGGATGGTGATTGCTACAAGCTGAATTATGTTTCCTCAAAATTCATATGTTGAAGTCCTAGCCCCTGGTACTAAAGATTGTGACTGTATAGGAGATAGGAGGTAATTAAGTTAAAATGAGGCCATTAGGGTGGGCCCTAATCAAATATGACAGGTGTCCTTATAAGAAGAGGAGATTAGCATATGGACACACACATGGAGAGAAGACACAGGGGAAAGACAGCTATCTACAAGCCAAAGAGAGAGACCTCAGAAGAAATTAACCCTGCCAACACTTTGATCTTAGACTTTTAGCCTCTAGAACTGTGAGAAAATAAATTTCTGTTGCTGAAGCCCTCCAGTCTGTGGTATTTTGTTATGGCAGTCCTTGCAAATGAAGACATACAGTGATGAATGAAATATGAATGAACCTTCTGAGACCTGGCTTTGGGTGATTCTGGGCCTTAACCAAATAGCTTATTACAGGAAAAACCAATGTGAGGTATGGCCTTAAACATTCTCTAAATGATGCAGGGTGTGCACCTTGTAGTCCCACCCTTGGCCAGGGCTCTGTTTTCGCAGTTCCCACCCAGCCCTCCATGCAGCTAACACTCCTGACTTCAGAAGCAGGGCCCTGCCCCTTACTGCCTTATTTCACTTAGGATGTTACAACAGGGTTGGGGGCTTTCCTAACTCTTTAAGCTTCTCAGGGAGACAAAGTGTGGTAACTAAAAGCTAAGTCATACTTGCAAATAAGTTAGAAATAACAAATACAAGGTTATTACCTGCAATTTGTAAACAAATTTGATAGTCATTCTCCTCTCCTCCTCTCTCAAGGTTAGAGAGTTAAAAATTGTAATTATAGGTTGGGGACTGTGGCTCACACCTGTAATCCTAGCACTTTCGGAGGCCAAGGTGGGCAGATCACCTGAGATCAGGAGTTCGAGACCAGCCTGACCAACATGGTGAAACCCCATCTCTACTAAAAATACAAAAATTAACTGGGCTTGGTGGCGTGTACCTGTAATCTCAGCTACTCAGGAGGCTGAGGCAGGAGAATCACTTGACCACGGGAGGTGGAGGTTGCAGTGAGCCGAGATTGCACCACTGCACCCCAGCGGGGGTGACAGACTGAGACTTCATCTCAAAAAAAAAAAAAAAAAAAAAGCCAGGAGAATCGCTTGAACCCAGGAGGCAGACATTGCAGTGATCCAAAATGGTGCTATTGCATTCCAGCCTGGGCAACAAGAGCGAAACTCTGTCTCAAAAAAACACTTAAAAGTTCCTCTACAGTTAGCAGGAGGCTTCGCACATACAGTCATGTGCCACATAATAATATTTTAGTCAATGATGGACTACATATATAACAGTGGTCACATAATCTTATAATACCATATTTTTACTGTACCTTTTCTATGTGATATGTTTAGATGCACAAATACTTACCATTGTGTTACAGTTGCCTACAGAATTCAGTGCAGTAACCGGCTGTGCAGGTTTGTAGCCTAGGTGCAACAGGCTGTGCCATATAGCCCAGGTGTGTAGTAGGTTATTCCATCTACGCTTGTGTGAAGACATTCTATGATGTTCACATAATGATGAAATCTACTAACGAGTCATTTCTCAGAATGTATCCCTGAGGAAAGCATGACTATTACCATTTTCTCCACTTTTAATCAGATGGCCTGCCTGGTTCAGAACGCCCTTGTAATTCTTTTCTTCTTACCCAAGCTCTCCCCTCCCATCAATGCCTTGCCTCAGTCCTTAGAGAATACTTATCTGAACATTTTTGTCATTACCATCTATGCGTTCACGCTCATATAGCATACACTCTCATGGAAATTATTTTGTGGACACCTTCTTCTCCAGAAAGATTTACAATTTTAAAGCAATAGACAGAAGACTCCATTATATCATTTTTAAATTGATAGACCTGATTTTTTCAGAGCAGTTTCAGGTTTACAAGAAAATTTACCAGGAAGTACAGAGAGCTGCCATATACCCCTTTCCCCCAGCCCAACACTTTCTCCTATTCTTAACATCTTGCATTAGTGTGGTACATTTGTCACAATTGATGAACCAATATTGATACATTATTATTAACTAAGGCCAGTTGTTTATGGGGGTTCACTCTTTGTGTCATACAGTTCTGTGGGTTTTGATCAATGTATAATGTCAGGTATCCCCCATTATAGTATCATATAGAATTGTTTCACTGCCCTAAATACACCCTCTGTTTTACCATTTCAATCCTGCCTCTCTTTTCCCAAATCCTTGGAAACCACTGGTATTTTTAGTCTCTATAGTTTTGCTTTTTCCAGAATGTCCTATAGTTGGAATCACACAGTATGCAGCTTTTTCAGACTGGTTTCTTTCACTTGACTTGACATCTCGACCTCATTATATTTTAGCACAGACCCCTACTCATAGCAAGACCTCAGTAAATATTTTATGAGCTGCTGTTGATGATAACTCCCATTAAGCAAAGCTTCATGGAGGAAGTGGCATTTGAGCTGATCTTTGAAAGATGAGCAGGATTCTACATGACAGCTAAAACATCCAGCAGAAGAAATAAACAAAGTGACATTAACAAAGTCACAAAGGTAAAGTTCCTGCACCTCTGAGGCTCATGTTCTTTGTCTAAACTTTTCTCCACCTGCTGTTGTTGATAAAGTCTTTCTCTCCTCCTCATGATTTGTCATTTTCTTGGGTGTTTTCAACATTCATGTATTGGCCCAAGTAATATCCTGTTGGCATTTTAAATTTTTTTATTTAATGCAAAAGTAAAATAAGTTTCAGAAGAGTTAAGTGAAGTGCCTGAGTTAGTAAGTGGCAGAACTGCTGCCTAACCCTAGGTGTTTTTGACACTCAAACATTACTGTGACATTTTATGTCCCTAAGGATTAAATTAATGTCAACTCAGATCCACTGAAGATTCAGTTATGGCCTCAGTGTATGCTTTGAATGAATCATCAACATATGATGCTATTTCTCCCATAGCAACAATGCATGCATTCTGGGTCCACGTGGTGGAACTGGGCATGGGTGCTGTTTATACTTCATAGCACACTTGTAGAATTTTTGCTTCCTCTCCCTGAAGCCAAGGAAGGAGTGTTTCTACCAAGTGACACAACAAGGATCCCAGTAAGCTGGAAATGAGACTGTCACTTGGCTATTTGAGCTCCTCACGTTCTTGAACCAATAGACAGACAGGAGGTTGCTTTACTGGCTCAGGTGAATGAGGTTAGTTTCCAAGGGGGAATCAGATTACTGCTACATAATTGTAGCAGGGAAGATCAAGTCTAAAATGTAAGTGATTCTCTATATCACAGGGAGGCTAACTCCCCCCGTGTCTGTCTCCTCTGGTGTCTCCAGCAGTAGCTGTGTTACTCTGTGGCTCCAGTTCTCAGTAACAGGCCTGCTGTGGTCCCACCTTCTGCCAAAGACCTTGAACTCGGGTCTCTGGTCATACCCCCTCCTCTCTTTGTCCTTCTGGCCAGGGGTGGTGGTGACTTGCTGCTATTGCTAATCTCCGGATGGTATCTCTGTGTCATAGTTTAGCTTTTCAGCTCTTTCATTACTTATGCACAAAATTCCTTGTATTAAATTATCTTTGTTTTAAATACCCAATGTGGTTTCTTTATTTCTGGCTTGGTTTGACCTTCACTGATATAGACTCCCTTCTCTTATTAATCTATCTGTAATCTCTCTAGAAAATAGCACCCCCTGTAGTAAGTATGGCTACCATCTAAACAAGGAAGATTTCCAAATCTGTGTCTTCAGTCCTGATGTCTCTTCTGAGAGTTGGTGCCTTTTCCACAGACGTAACTTAGATGTTGTGACAGTAAATATCAGCTACATTGAGCTGAGGAAATAAATGATCCCAAATTCCAGCAGCTTATGGTAAAAAATAGGTTTATGCCTTGCTTACACTACATACTCATCTCAAATCAGTTGAGACTCTACGTTGTTTTTCGTCTGAGACCGAGATTGTATGGAAAACATCTGGCTCTTAAGCCTTGTGCCTGGAAGGTCCACATGGTCACTCCTGCATTCATCAGGCAGAGAGGGGATCCAGGAGGAAGAAACCAGAATATTCGATACACTACACAGTTAACAAGCCCTCAAATGCAGCATGCCCACACAGAATTGCATCATCTTACCCCCCAATACGTTCCCCCACCTGTGCTCCGATTCATATAATGTCACCATCATCCAGAGTTACCTAAGATAGAAACCTAGGTGTTATCCCTGGTCTCATTCTTTCCTAATTTTCCCTCAATGCTTTCCCCCAATAAGTCACCAAGTTTCATTGAGTCCATCATGTAAGTACTTCTTAACACATTCCCATTTCCATTATTCATATTCAGATGACTGTCATCTCCAGAATGTCTCCAATCTTGTTTTCAGTTGATTCTCTATAGAATGTCCAATGTAGAATCAAAGAGGATCCTCTTTAAATCTTTACTGACCTTGGTTATAGATTAGTGAGTTATGACAGTATTTAGCATGAGGACTTGCAAAGAAAGAGAAAGTAACCCTGTGGGGATATATACGTGAAGCATTATTAATACTGCCTTCAAATTGCTCTTCTAGGAATGACAAGGAAGAAGAGGTTATGGAATGTTTACATTCCTGTGGCCATGAAAACACAATAAGTTGGAAGCATTGTTGGCAGCCAGCCAAGTGGGGCTGAGTTCTAAAGATTACAAATGTACAGCATCTTCTCCTGGTTATCACTTTATAAAGCGTCTGTGTTTACTAGTATTTAAGGTGATAAAAAATAGACCTTCCAAGGTATATAACTGCTGAGTTATAGGGTTGAATAGTCCAACCACTTACGCTATAACATTTGTTATAGAAGATTATATTTTTCCACTTAAGTTATAAAAAGACAGGAACCAATTTCTCCTATAATTAATTTCAACCTATAAATGCTGAGTGAGTTATTGGTTTAGCTAAAGCATTTTTGACTACTCAATCTGTCTCTGTCTGCATATGGATATCACTATTAGAGAGATTATAGCTAGTCTAGGCAGCTCTAATTGGGCAAAATACCCGGCTTCATTTCTTCCACATCAGAGAGATGTTTCTAAAGCACAGGACCATGATCATATCATACACACAGATGTGTAATAATTCACAGAATCAAAGGAAGAGCTCAACACCGGTCTATAGGATGGCTAGAAGTCAGGAAAGTCCTGAGAATCTGGGAGAGTATCTGCAGGGGACTGCCCTCTGGAGGACACATATCAAACAGCTTCCACTTTCGGAAACATCCCAAAACTTCAGGAAAGAGGAAGCAATTATTCTATAGAGAAAAACTGATAAGGAGGAAGGCCAGGCAAAATTCTAGTTATAAACAACCTTGTGAGGTATTCTTATTTGCTAATGACAAAAATGATGCTTTGAGAATTTAAATAATTTGTTCAGCTGGTAGTTATCAGAGACAGCCCTTAGTCAAGTCTATTTGACTCCAAAATCCATGCTCATAACCAGCATGCAACCATGGCCACTTACTCACCCTTGAGCCCTCAGTGACTGGTAAAGTATTAACACTAGGCAGGCATTCCATAAATATTCATTTCATTGAATGAAAACATGAATAAAAATGAATAAAGATAATAATAAATGGTCAAAAGTGGTCTAAGCTCCTAGCTGAAGCTTAGACTATGTGGCGATTTATGCAGGAACATGAGGGTGGAGGTATAGGATGAACCTACACTTCTATTCAGATATGATTTTTCCTAAGTAGGCTATTCTATTCTATGTTCTACCACCCCACTCCAGCCAATAATGCATCTCCTTTTCCCTGTGGCTCATTTAATCGCCTTTCTGATGGAAGCCTTCCTATATAGTTTCTGCCCTCATAGATCTTACTCTCATGTGAGCCCCAAAAAAAGTTGCATATTAACAACATTAATTACATTGATAGTATTGACTGGCATAGCTTGCTCATTGCTTAGTGTCTAATACATATTAAACAAAGCTTCTCCCCAACCAGATTAGCATCAGCTATGCAAGGACAGATAAAGGGTACTCCCAATCAGTCCCAGGGAATATACAACAAATTAAAGATGCTCCATGAATAATTATTTCTTGATTAATTGTTGAAGTATTGCCTCACAAATCAATAGCTTGTATCCTGAAATAGCAAAACCGAGCTCCCTGGCTGTAGAGCAGGGAGACCATAATTTAAAGGTTGTAAACTCAGGATGTGACCCTGCCACTGATTCACTGACCTGAAGCTGGACACATCCACACTGAGCTTGAATTCTGCCCTGTGTGCTATGCTGTCAGCAGGATGGGCAGTAAGATTTCATAAAACCAATGCTTAGAAAGACAATTAGAGAATCAGAGCAAGCCACTGCTTCAGAGCATCCTGCCTAATTTACTAAAAATGAAGACCATTCTTGACCTGGTCACTTCTTCCATGCTAAGCTGTGTGAAAACCATAAAATGCTTTTAAAATTAATCTCTCTGATGCAGTTTGTCTCCAGCAACATCCAAAATCTTATTTCTTTTTCCGTGGTTTTCTGAGTTTCTTTCAAGGAATTTGTGTGTGTGCGTATGTGTGTGTGTTTGTGTGTGTGTGAATGAGACTTAAGATATTTTTTGTGTGTCAGATGTTTTCTCTGGTGGATTTTTAAAAGTTCTCTGAGCAATGTTATACAGGTATCGACATTCTTCCAAATAAGTTACACAATGTTTTCAGTAAATACTTGGAGGGGAGAGGCACTAAAGATTAACAGCAATAAACACAGCAAAATTCAGGTGTCTCAAATTTCCTTTCTTGAGAACAGATATCCTGGAGCTGACAAAATGAAATTGAAGCTCACAGAAGGAATCAGGGAGTACATCAAAACACACACACACACACACACACACACACACACACACACATACACACACACACAGATTTACTCTTACTAACCAAAATATGCATAGCTCTCCTTACACCCTAAAAACCATTTGCAGGACAGTGAGTGGGGAGACGTTTCTGGGCACCTGACTCAAGGCAGTAATTAAAAATCATCATCTGTTTCCTTTCTTCACCCAGTCCGTGGTGTTTAGGTGAAGTTTTCAGCTGTTGATAGATTAGATTTCCTAGAATAGCAGGATGAGTGATTTTCAAGATCTAAGAGAGGTTAGAATGTAGCTCTTGCTGAAATCGCCCATGTGAAGAACAACATTGAACAGCATATCAGGCAAAATGCAACTTTGAGGAAATCTGCCCATAACTGTGAAACATCAAACCCCTTTGAAGTGTCAAAAGCATCTTCGTACATTAAGTCCTGGAGGTAAAAACCTCCAGAGCACAGGCTTTTTCTTTTCAGAAGACCCTAGAGATGAAACTTTGAAGGTTTTGGGGCCCTATGAGTTTAACTGTCAATTCTTCTGTTCCATTTTCTTTTTTCTGCCTTTTTAAAGAAAAGGCCCCTGCTGCGAGATGTTATAAAAAGCTGCAATTTCCACTTTTGATTAGTTTTCATATTCTTGAAGCCACAAGGCAAATGCAGGGCAGGTGGAAATGACTTTTAATTCCCTTTTTCATGTAGAAGGTAACGAAGCAAAAGACACAGGGGTGGCTTCATCAGGCACCTGGGGACCCCAAAAAGACATGAGGAGTTGCCCACAAAAGCTGCCAACAGCTCCTTTTTTATTAATTCTACAGGACAAAACAAGATAGCACAAAACATAGGGATGCTTTTAGGGAATCACTTATTGCAGGGGTAGAAGAGACAGAGATGATAAAGAAAGCCAAGGGCCTCAAGGCAAAACATTAATACATTTTTTTAAGGCATCACAAAACTTCTATTACGAAGACCAGAGCCAAAGCAATCTTCTGAATTTTATGAATTTTACATCAGTATACCAATTGCATTTCTGAAGATGAAAATAAGCAATATTCCATGATATAAAATTATCAAATTAACACATTATCATGTAAACATATTGAGTCTACAAAGCCATTTGTTCTGATTCTGTAGCAATTGGTGCCAAAAATTATGTCCCAGAAATTTCAGACAATAATTCCAAGAAGGTTAAAACTACAACACACAGCTTTTCAGAGAGCAAATGAATGCATTTCTCAGAATTATTCTTGTATCTATTATCATAATCACCTCCAAGGAATTTTGATGTTGTTTCAGATATGCACAGTAAAGGGCATGGTCCTGCAGAGGTTTTCTTGGTGAGCTTACAAATACAGGTTCTTAGGCTGAGAGGAGCCCTGAGGTTCTACTCATGTCACTCATGAGGAAATGAATCAGTAAACTCCATTTGGGCCACGTTTCCTTGTGAAGTTCCTCCTCCATGGAGGAAAGGGTGTCATCATCAGTTTCATTAGTTACTAATCTTGGATAAGTAATTATCCCCTGCACACCAATTTCTCTATCTATAAAATTAAGATAATAATAGCTACACTGGATTTTAAGAGGGTCATATGAGATAATGTGGGTCAAAGTATAATCCACCCAACACTGGATGTGAAAGGATTATGGGTTAAAAATTCTGAATTTCCGCCAGAAGGAAGATGAGTAGGGAAAATAGCCCATATTTGTGCTCTGGCCCAGTGGTGGATCCACCCTAGCATAGATTAAAAAGGAAAATCATTCTCCTACCAAAAGAAACATAAGGAGGAAGGCTCTCCAACCAAGGTGAATGTAGACACAATTCACAGGAGAGGCAGCAGCAGAGCCGATTAAATAGAAGGAATAGTCCTATGTCACTCATCTATAGCCAGTGGCAGAATTTTTGCATTTTATATTAAATGAAGCAAACATCATTACGGATGACACTGACAATGATCCAGTGCTTCAGGTCTTTGGGGTCAATAAAATTGACTAAGCATTAGCAGGGAAGGGGGAAAAAAACCCCTCTTTAACCTCTAAAACATAGACATGCTGAATATAACAAAGAAGTATTTAAAACAGTTCAGCTTAAAACCAAAAAATGAAGAGAAAACTCCAAGTCACCATAGTGAGTGAATGCTGAAGCCAAGGGGTGATCCTTCTATTGGACCTAACACATAGGGAAAGAAGGCTGATCGGGAGGGAGTTCTGGTTCTAGCTTGAGTGCCTGGAGACAAGTCACAAAGGAAACTCCAGTTGTTTTCCCCTAAGAAATATGGGGGAAAAGAGCCACTCATGAGAAATCTGAGCCCTCCTCTTGTACCATGCACATGTGTGAAGTCTGAATTCTTGATATTTGCATGGTGGAGGAACACCAAGTTAAGAATGTAATAGAAAAGCGGTCTGACACTGTGGAAGCCCAGTGTGCTCCCAACGTGGGCAAACATAAAACTACTCTGAAGATTAAAGTCGTAACCAACACCCAGGAGATCCCCACAGAAGACAATCCAATGACAAGGAGCTCATAGTAAAAAATAATAGTAATAAAAATTGTAATAGTGACATAAGTAAACAAAAGAAGAGAGGAAAAGAGACTTCATTGGAAGATGTGCCTTCCCAGGAACTGAAGATAACAAGACCACCTCAAAGAGGATTTAAAATAAACACGTCTAAAATGTTTAAAGAAAGAAAGAAATGCAAAAAGATATTCAAGATGTTGGGGGAGGGAAAGAACAAATCTTTGCAAGAACAAAAGATATTCTTGAAATTGAATCTATGGTCACTGAAATTTAATAACTCAAAGAATAGAAAAATAGATTTAGGGACAGTGAGAAGTAGTGAATTAATAGTGTTAAAGGGTGAATTGAAGCCCTAACCCCCAGTAGTTTAGAATGTGACTGTATTTAGAGACAGGGTCCTTAAAGAAGCGTGGACCCTTGTGCGGTGTAACTGGTGCCCTTAAAAGAAAAGAAAATTTGGACACACAAAGAGACACTAGGGATGTGTTCACACAAAGGAAAGGCCGTGTGTCCATGCGCACAGAGGGCACAGCAAGAAGGTGGCCATCTGCACACCAGGGAAAGAGGCCTCATAAGAAACTATAATAGCCTGATAGATTCTTTCTGCCCACTGCACCGACAAAACCAGTTCACTGAGATCATGGTAGTGTACTAAAAGAAAAGTTTAATTGATACGAGGCTGCCATTTCATGCAGGAGATGAAGTTATTACTCAAATCAGTCTCTCCAAAGACTTGGAGATTAGGGTTTTTCAAAGACAGTTGGTTGACAAGGGGGTTAGGGAATGGGGAATGTTGACTGGCTGGGGATGAAATCATAGGAGTGTGGAAAACAGTCCTCCAATCTGAGTCTGCCTCTGGGTGGGGGCCACAGGACCAGTTGAGTCATGAGTCATGGGGCCAGTGGAGCCATCAGTCATCAGAAATGCAAAAGTCTGAAAAAAAATCTCAAAAGGCCAATTTTAGGTTCTACAATAATGATGTTATCTACAGGAGTAATCAGGGAAGTTACAAATCTCATAACTTTAGTTTTACGAAATTTAGTAAATTTGATTTTTTACTAAATTTAGTTTTACAAAACTAATTTAGTTTTGGGAAGGGCTATTATCTTTCTTTTAGGGTTAAACTATAAACTACATTTCTCCCAGATGAAGCTTGGCATAAGTTCAGGAATGACCAAGGAGAACTTGGAGGTCAGAAACAAAATGGAGTCAGCTATATCAAATTTCTCTTACTGTCATAATTTTGTGAAGGCAGTTTCACAACAAAACATGCCCACACCTTGATTTTGGACTTTGAGCTAACAGAACTTTGAGAAATAAATTTCTGTTGTTTAAACCACCCAGTCTGTAGTATTTTGATATGAAAATAACCCTGTAGACTAATACAAGTGGATAAGTACAACGACCAAACTGGAGCACAGAGGAGAAAAGAAAGCAAAGTGAAGAGACACAGAGGATCAAAATAAAAAGATCCAACATATATCCTGTAAGATTTTCACAAGGGGAGAATGCGGAGAATTGGGAAAAGCAATATTTGAAGAGAAAATTGCTGAATTTTTTCCAGATTTGAAAAAAGACAGGAGTCTTATAAAAGTAGCACCTTAAGCAGGATGAATACTTAGGAGTGAGACTACAAAACAAGAAAGACAAAGACAAAATCTAAGAGGCTGCTACAGAGCAAAACAGAGATCACCCTCCATGAAATTACAATTACAATTTCAAACAGTAGCAGTTATCTAAAACAGTAGCAGTTATCAGAATGATAAAATAACATTTTCAAATGCTGAGGAAAAAGGTCAACCTAAAATTGTATAAGCAACTAAATATTACTCCAGCAATAAAGACAAAGTAAAGATATTCTGGAATGTTAAAATATTGAAAGGGTTTACTACTCACAGATATTTACTGAAAATTCTTCCTACATATGAAGGAGAAGAATATTGAAAAACATGTAAAGAGAAAACATTTAGCCAAAAAATTACAAATTTATTAAAAATTCAGAGTAAATACTGACTATAAATACTAATAATTCTCTGTGATAATAACTGCTTTAGAAGGTACATGTGAAATACTAGACAACAATCACCTGAAAGATGGAGAGGGGGATCTTGGAGTTCAAATATTCTAAGGTTCAGGAGGGGGGATTAAGGTTCTGGTTTAGATATTTTTTTAAACATCTGTGTTAAATTTTAGTGATAACCACTGATATAATGGAAATAAAATGTATTTTTCCAAAAAAGAAAAATAGCCCAGAAGGCAGAAAATAGATGGGCAACTAAAAAATATGGCAATTAGAATTCACAAAATAACAATGCAGTCCTTGACGAATATATTCATCCACACAGATGAACCTGGAAAACACAATAGTGAATAAAAAATAAAATTAAATTAAATAAATAAAAATAAAATAGTGAATAAAAAAGGAAACGATAGACTAATACATACATACATAAAGTGTGATAATATCAATGTCCATTTAAAAATGACAGAAATGAATATCATGCTTGAACACACACTCACATCACTAGAAGAGTATGTTCCAAAGTCACTATGGAGCTTGTTTATCTGGAAAGAAAGTAGAATGGTACAAACTTGATGAACAAAGAAGACTATAATTTAATCTGCAGTGTCTTATTTTTGTGAAAATAAAACAAAAAAACAACCAAACAGAAAACTTTTTGAATCAGAAAGAAAGAAAGAAGAAAGGAAGGGAGGGAAAGAAGGAGAGGGGGATGTAGGAAAAGAATCTTATTTAAAAAAACAGGCCCTGACGCCAGATGGTCACACTCCAGGTTGGTCAGTGCAGGACAAGAAGGACCCATAAGAGGGTATGGATGTGAAAAATAATCAGGGAATACTGAGATGCTGAAAAATCATCAAATCTGGGGAAGAGCCAGTATTGGTCCATGGCCTGTTAGGAACGGAGCTGCACAGCAGGGGGTGAGCTGTAGGCAAGAGTGAAGCTTCATCTCTATTTACAGCTGCTCCCCATCACTTGCATTACTGCTTGAGCTCTGCCTCCTGTCAGATCAGCGGCAGCATTAGATTCCCATAACAGCATGAATCCTATTTTGAACTGCGCGTATGTGGGATCTAGGTTGCACACTCCTTATGAGAATCTGATGCCTGATGATCTGTCACTGTCTTCCATCACCTCCAGATGGGACCATCTAGTTGCAGGAAAACAAGCTCAGGTCTTCCACTGATTCTACATTATGAATAATTGTATAATTATTTCATTAGATATTACAATGTAATAATAATAGAAACAACGTGTACAATAAATATAAGGCACTTGAATCATCCTAAAACCATCCCCACCCAGCCACCAGTCCATGGAAAAATTGTCTTCTATGAAACCGGTCCCTGGTGTCAAAAACATTGGGGTCTGCTGCCTTAGCACACTGAATACCAATTAGCACTTTTTCTTAGAGACTGGAAACTGGCTACTTATTTGAAAACATACAGTATCCTTGATGGTCTATTTCATGCAAGCATGGATAGTAAACTTCATGGATTAAAAAATAAAAGATAATGCTTTATGTGAACTTTGCCTAACTGTACTTAAAAAGTCATAGGCTTTTCTTCAAATAATGGCAAGGGCCTCAGCACAAGCCTTGACACTAGGGGACAGAAAGAGAGGGCTGCATGAGGAATATCAGTAGGACCAGGATAACCAAGAATCAGAGAAGCCTAAACCAAGCTTCTGAATCAGAACAAGAATTTTTTTTTTAACTTTAAGTTCTGGGATACATGTGCAGAACATGCAGGTGTGTTAGAGTTACGCATGTGCTGTGGTGGTTTGCTGCACCCACCAACCCATCATCTAGGTTTTAAGCCCCTCATGCATTAGGTATTTGTCCTAATGCTCTCCCTCCCCTTGCCCCGCAACCCCTGACAGGCCCTGTTGTGTGATGTTCCCCTCCCTGTGTCCATGTGTTCTCATTGTTCAACTCCCACCTATGAGTGAGAACATGCGGTGTTTGGTTTTCTGTTCTTGGGTTAGTTTGCTGAGAATGATGGTTTCCAGCTTCATCCATGTCCCAGCAAAGACATGAACTCATTCTTTTTTATGGCTACATAGTATTCTATGATGTATATGTGCTACATTTTGTTTATTCACTCTATCATTGATGGACATGTGGGTTGGTTTTAAGTCTCTGCAGTTATAAATAGTGCTGCAATAAACATACGTGTGCATGTGTCTTTATAATAGAATGATTTATAATCCTTTGGGTATATACCCAGTAATGGGATTGCTGGGTCAAATGGTATTTCTGGTTCCAGATCTTTGAGGAATCGCCACACTGTCTTCCACAATGGGTGAACTAATTTACACTCCCACCAACAGTGTAAAAGCAGAACAAGACTGTTTTTTTAGCTAATCTTAATGTAATGTTTCACCAGCAATTTAAAGAGAGAGACTTGGTATCAGATACATAAATATCCCTGGTATAAATCCCTATAACACAGTGATATTTAACATTCTCATAGATGGCCAAAGTTGCATTGTCTAAGTGATGTGAATGAATGGAGACAAAGTGCTCTAAAACAATTTGCATTTTGGGTTACTTTCTCTTTTAGTTAAAAACAATGAAAACTTTTCAGGCAAATAAGTCCAGTTTAACTCACAACAACCTTGAGCACTGGTGACACAAAGATGAGGCCCATGAGCATCGGCTTGGCTGCTCCTGCTGCCTCTGAGGAGATCTGAGTTCATTTGTCCACCTGTGGGCTAATCCCCCAAAGGCAGGGGACAACAAGCAGGGAGGCAGGAGAGGGCAGAAGAAAACCACTGAGCACTCATCTGTAGTCTCTATTAGCTGGCTTGATAGATAAGATAGAATTCCACACTATGTGGTCTCTAAGTCACTCACCAATGTCACCTGTGATTGTGGGCTCCCAACCAGTGCAAGGACTCCAGATGAGAGCCTGCTTATTAAGAAGAAAGGCATGGAACTCTGCAGGGTCTAGTTCAGAGAAGGTTCACTCTAGTAATCAGACTCCACGAGTTCCCATAGCACACACATTGGAGATATGTGGCAGGAGAGAGCCAGGCAAGGGCTGAGGGAGCCAGAAGGTGAGTGAGCCTTTGGAACAGCTTGGGACTGTGCCAACCTCACCAGCAGGGTCTGAGGGGCCACTTTCAACCCCATACCAAGAAGGCAGAGGCAGTTTAGTTTAATTATCAACACAGAGGGGGCTATGCCTATGTCTTTCACACTCTCTTCTGTGCTCCAACCCAAAGGAGTAAAGGCAAAGAATGGGGAGAGAGGGAAGAGGGTGAAAGAGGACACCCAGTGGCTGATATGGTTTGACTCTGTGTCTCCACCCAAATCTCACCTTGAATTGTAATAATGCCCACGTGTTGTAGGAGGGACCTGGTGGGAGGTAACTGAATGGGAATGGGTTTTTCCCATGCTGTTCTTGTGATAGTGGGTAAGTCTCATGAGATCTGATGGTTTTATAAAGGGGAGTTCCCCTGCACATGTCCTCTTGCCTGCTACCATGTAAGACGTGACTTTGCTCTTCATTTGCCTTCCACCATGATTGTGAGGCTTCCCCAGCCATGTGGAACTGTGAGTCCATTAAACCTCTTTCCTTTATAAATTACCCAGTCTTGGGTGTGTCTTTGCTAGCAGCATAAGAACAGACTACTACAGTGGCCCCACCCCTGTCCCAAGACCCTCAGAGTCCCAAGTGCACTACACACTACAGATAGGAGAAGAGCTTTGAATGAAATATGCATGACTCACAACATAACTTCAGGGGCCCAGCGCAAAATGTAAACACTGGTCCCCTTGCTTAAAATTGTTAAGAATTGCAAGACAACGACAGGTGAAGGGCCAAGCACAGGGCCCTGAGTGAATGCACGAGTTGCAGGCCCATTAAGTCACCCCTGAAAACATGAGAATGCAATTTCAACAGAACTAAATCATGAAAACTAGAACGAATCTGTTTTACCAACCAAGAGATGCTGAAAAGTCATCAAATCTTTTCGATGGGGAAGAGATGCCCTTAAGGCAGCATTATCAGTGGAGAAGGTGTTTGACAGAAAACAGTAGTGATCACTGGGGAAAAAAAATTCATATTTGATTCTATGTTGAAACTGTTCATTAAATAAAATATTCCTTTTATGAATATCCATTAAATGAAACATTTCCTGTTTCAATGGAAATATTCTACACTTGGAGCACAGCCTTTTTATAGACACAATGACATGAGAGTTTGTTAGGAAGAGAGAGCCTGACGCACACAATTTTTAGGAGGAGGGAGGCAGCACACCAGTCCAGGTTTTCCACAATTCTCTCCTAGGCGATCTACATTACCCCCATTGTAGACAGGAATTGGAGGTTATGAGTACTTGAGAGATGTGCTCAGGGTCACAGAGCTAGGAAGAGGAGAAGGTCAAATTCCAATCCAGGTCCCTCGGCTCCAGTCCAGTTTATTGTGCCCCTTGGTGCCGCCCCGTGGCTCTACTGCAAATCATTTGTACTTGGTTCAGCATCACTACACATAGGTTAACTGCAGAGTAAACTCTATATGGTTCTCATTCCATAGTGTGACTGATTCACCCTCAGTGAATCCTTGGGTTGTCTTTATGAAATCCACAAAGATGTTACTCTCTCCACACATCTATCCAGCCAATCCCTACAACAAACATGTGTTTATGGATCCATATCTAGGCCAAGTAGACTCAACTCTGCCATTGCAGTCAAGATTCTGGGGGCCAGAGGAGGGAGGGCAGGTAAGTTATATCCCTTAGAGAATGCCAGTTTAGCTAGACTTATTTCTCAATGTACTAAAAATTATAAACTTTTTATAACATCAACTCCTTATGTAAATTTAATGCACGTAAGTGTCCAGTGCAACGGAGATCTAGAGTGAAGTTTTCATGTATACAGTTGGGTTAGTTGATTTTCTTATTCCAAGTGTGCAACAGTGTTTTTATTCAGAGGGGGAAATCAAAGAAGGAAAACTCCCTGGGGCTTTGCTCTTCATTTTGCTAAGACTATACCCTTCTCCACTCCTGGATCTTGATATTGTGCAAGGCAGAATAGATTCCCCTAAGATTCCATGAAGATGTCTTGGTGAAAAGGCTCAACTTAGTGGGTATGCGGAAGAGGCAGTGCAGTTTCATAAAGAGAGTGCTCTCTTCTGAGTCTGTCAGATCTGGGTTTAGATCCACTTTCCTCCCTTGGCTAGCTGATCTTAGGCAAGCTTCTGCTTAAAATTTCCAAGCCTCAGCTTCCTCATCTATAAAATGGGGATAAAATATATACTCCAATGTGCTGTTGTTAAGATTAAATAAGATAGAATTCCTGTTCTAGTCATATTATGGACTGCTTAAAGACCTCACAATACAAAATACCCCAAAATGCTGGATAAATTAAGAAAACATCTGTTAAAATGTAAAGTAGGTAATATCTACCCTAAAGCAAGGAGAGAAAAACAAAGAAAGTGGCTTCTCTCTGCATGGGCTCTTCATTCAGACCTGTCACATCAGTCAGGTCTCTGTTCAAATGTCACCTCCTCTGCCCTTCTCTTCCCCTTACCTTGTTCAACTTTTCTTTCCAGCATTTGTCACTGGCTGTCATCATATTCTTTGTGAGCAAGGGGACTATTTTCCCCTCATTAAATCCCTACACCTGGAACATGGTGGGTTCATAATAAAGATTCATTTGATGGATGAATAAACCTTTAGTTTATGAAGTGAAATCCAATACTCAAATCTAGTTATTAAATCAATGTTACCAATTGCTCTAGGACAAGAATGTTAATATTTAATAATGAAACATAATGGGAACAATTCAAACATTTTTACCTAAAATCGAGAAGTTCAATATTTACCTTAAGATAGAAAAGGTAGCAAGTTTTAACAAAATGAGTTTAAAATATCCACAAATGTGGCAGGGGGATTGACTGGACAGCTTGACCGTGTCTCGCCATTATTTATGTAACTAATAACTGACAATTTGCATATAAAAGGCCCAGGGGGCACATGGGAGAAGGAAGTTAGGAAAATTCCCATTTGAGCAGTCACTGAGTTAAGCTCTAAGGCCATCTCCTTTTCAAGAAAACTAATGTTCTGGCAAGAACCAGCCCAGTTCTGCAAGACAATAGGGCTGCCTGACTGCCTCTGAGGAACAGGTAACCAATATAATTTGTTTCAAACTGGAACATATTAAATTTATTTCCTAATTTTTAAATATTGATCTCACTTGTCAAATGCATTTGAATAGGAATTGGTGCATGCACCCCTCTTAACTCCTAAGAGATTTCCAGCCACTCCTGCCTCATCCATTGATTCCGTTCAGTAAAGGGGGTGGGCGATCCGTTGGTAAATGTCAGCTCTTGCCAATCACTCTCTCCATCCAACACCTGTACCCACACACAGTTGTTCTCTCTCATCTGGAAATTACTGGGTTGGGATTGTTGTATTTTATGTTGAGATGAGGATGCCCTTGGGCTGATAGCCAACAGCACCCTCAAAGAGAGGAGGTGAGATGGGGAAAGCCCTGTGGAGCAGTTGTTCTCAAGCATGGTTCCCTGACATGCAGCATGGTCACCTAGAGCTTGCTAGAAATGCAAAATCTCAGGCACCGCCCTCCAGAATCTTTTTTTTTTTTTTTTTTTTTTTTTTTTGATACCGAGTTTTGCTCTTGTTGCCCAGGCTGGAGTGCAATGGTGCGATCTTGGCTCACCACAACCTCCACCTCCCAGGTTCAGGCGATTCTCCTGCCTCAGCCTCCTGAGTAGCTGGGATTATAGGCATGCACCACCACGCCATCTAATTTTGTATTTTAGTGGAGATGGGGTGTCACCATGTTGGCCAGGCCTGTCTTGAACTCCCGACCTCAGGTGATCCACCTGCCTCAGCCTCCAAAAGTGCTGGGATTACAGGCGTGAGCCACTGCACCCTTGGATCTTTTAACAACCAAGAGATGCTGAAAAGTCATCGATTCTGGGGAAGAGATGTCCTTAAGGCAGCGTTATCAGCGGGGAAGGTGTTTGGCAGAAAACAGTTGGTAGCGATCACTGGGGAAAAAAATTCATATTTGATTCTACATTGAAACTGTTCATTAAACCTGATATTCTACACTTTGAAGCACAGCCTTTTGAATCAGAAACTCTGGGGTGGTTCCAGTCTTCTGTGTTGTATCAAGCCTCCAGCTGATTCTGATTCTCACTCAAGTTTGAGAACCACTGGATAAGAACTAATTTTCGAGTAGCAGAAACTCTCAGAATGAAGGGATTTCATGTTCTTCAGAAGCAAAAGTCCACCCACTGACCCAATTCAGTACACATGGGGTGTGTAAGCTGCACCCTCTCAGCTGTACCAGGGCTGGCATTTCTAATAGACTCCAAACCCAGATAAAAAGCCAACATTCTTCCAAAGAGTTCCCAGGCAACCACAACCAATTGGTTAGAGCAGGCCTGTGGTGTGGTACTTATCTGCCACCTGACAAAGCCTCTCTCCTTGACCCAACTTTAGACAGGCTCCTCTGAGGCCTGTTTTCAACTAGGCCTCATCCTTGGGTTGTGTCCTGGTCCTGTGCAGCCCTGTTCTAGCAAAATTCGTGCTAAGTCAGTTTAGGGAGACCCTCTCCACATTTATCTGATCAAATTCCTCACCCCCGTCCTCAATGTCTAATCCTCAATACCTTGAACAAGAGTCTCCCTAGACTTGATAGCTTCTGTTAGTAATTTCCCACCCAGGGTTCCCCTCACTCTGCTCCTTGGCTATAAATTCCCTGCCATCTTTCCTGCGTTTGGAGCTGAGCTCAGTGTTACTGAAGCTGCTCTCTGCTACTGCAATAGCACTGAATAAAATCAATCTGTATTGCCTTAACTAGTGGCCATCTCTGTTTTTCTTTGACACATCTTAGTCACTGGTAAATTAAAACTCTATCTTAGGAGACATATGTTTGTGTTATGTGATATTGCAGGCTGGGCCACAGAGCGAACTCATATCTTATTAGAACAAACTGGGCACAGTGTCTCACACCTGTATCCCAGTGCTTTGGGAGGCTGAGGTGGGAGGATCACTTGAGGTCAGGAATTTGAGACCAGCCTAGGCAACATGGCAAGATGCTGTCTCTACAAAAAGTTAAAAAAAAAACTAAAATAAAACCCTATTAGGACAGTCCAGGAATTGTGGCTCACACCTGTAATCCCAGTGCTTTGGGGGCTGAAGTGGGAAAACTGCTTGAGACCAAGAATTCAACACCTGTCTGGGCAACATAGCAAGACCCTATTTCTACGAAAAGTTTTGAAAAACTAAACTAAAATAAAACCCTACTAGGACAGAAACTGATCTTCACTGAGTCCTACCTCTCACAGCCCTACTATATAATAAGCTGATACCTCTCTCTCTCTCTCTCTCTTTCTCTCTCTCTCTCTCTATATATATATATATATACACACACACCAATTATTAGCAGAAAAAAAAGTTGGCCTAAAGCTCATTTAACGCTCAGAAGACTTTATAAAGAAATACCTTCATTGCTGTCGGGAAAGTCAGCAATGTCCCTCCCCCCATTTCTAAACTCAGTGGCTCATGTTCAACTTTAGGCTATCTCAGGTTTTCACTACCATCATCGAATGCCTACATTTTGTTTCCCCTGTAATTTCCATATGATTCTTTGTGAGCACCAAATTCTATTTTGAAATACATTCATGTGACCTACTTATGTCTCAGACAACCTGATTACTATAATAGCACAGCCTGCATAAAAGGAAAATAACTAGAGTTATTCAAATGACAAAAATTTAATTTGAAGACTATCAGAGGAAGAAAGGGGAAAAAGTCTTTATAAGGATACCAAAAAAGGCTCATCAGCTCAAATGCAAATGACATTTGACTTTCTGGAAAAGGAAATGCATTGCACTGGATTATGATTCAATTTCTATACTTCATGTACTCTAATTTTCTCCGTTACAGTTACATAAATTTTAAAGAACAAAAAGGAAAGCAATTTTCTCCTTTCTAAATCAAAGATAAATGTAAGTGTGCCTTGGAATTAATTTCAAAGCATGGAGTGAATTTTTCCAAAAGATACTTTTACATTCGTATCAGGTATTTCATTAGAATTTATTTTTAATTCAGGTGAAATCAAAGTGCTTTTGCTTTCTGAAGGTTGGGGAGAACAAGCACCCTTCTTTCATGAGCCCTCTAGAAAGTGTTTCTGATAGATCTATTTCAACTCTGCCATTCTTGAGGCAAACCCAGAGCTAGGGAAGGAAGCTACTCTCCTAGTATACCAGAGTAGATGGATAAGTTCTGGTTGTGGATATGAGTGAGCAAAGTATACAGAGGCACTGCTAGGAAATCATGCTGGGGGTTCAACAGCCAAAAACTTTTTCAGGTGAAAAGAGGTGCTTGCTCTGAGCCTGCCTAGGGTGGCCAAGTGCCCATGGGCCATGAGCCTTAGGCAGAGAAATTCAGGAAATCCTCCTGGCCTTCAATCCATGACTACCAACCCTCTCATCTGCCTCTGTCACTCAAAGCTACCAGGGCAGCCCTGATGTCATTTACTCAACATTGTTTAACTATTTACTTAGCAGTCCTATAGTGCCCATTTCTCATGTGCACAGTGCTGGCACACCACTGGATTTATGAGTGAATTAGTAAATTAGTAAATGAATGGTTAGACAACTTACAGACTGGGCCTTGGAGCTCAGAGCTCCAGACCTCGCCCACTTCTTCTGGCCTGGAAAGGTTTCTATTTTGGGTCTCATTTCCTCTGCCTGGAAGCAAGAGGTGATAAATTAATTCCTGCTAATATTCTAGCTTGCTAATTTGTTACTCCTTTCAGATATCTTACGGTCTTAATTCAGTTCAAACCTCCCAGGCGTATTTGGCGAGAGGAATATTTTGGGTCTGGAGGGCCTGTTTGTGCCCCTCGGAGGACACTATGGACACAGTGCTCCTGGGGAATTACAGCTGTCTAAAGTTCTCTTTGGTAGAGACGAATTCAAGATACCTCAGCTGCCCTTGATACAAGTGCAAAATACTGCCTCAGAGGAGAAAAAATATTTACAGTAGTCAGAATTCTAAAAATAACAACTATGCGAACATACAGAGACTGTCTTAGAATGTACCCAATATAGAAAGAATCATTGAGGAGGTACTGTGCTTTGCAGCCCGTGGTCAGCTGCACTATCTGGTAGAGCAATAGCCTCCAAATAACAAACTTCTCATTTCCTCCTCTGTTGTCTGTTGCCTTTGTGTTTTTCCCTCTCTCTCCTTTGTAAGACAAACACCTTTTAACTCTGTATCTCAATACTTTCTGGATTCAGGCTGTGGAGTAGCTGTCAGAAGGAGGCAGCTCACTGTGAGCTTGTAAAATATTTTAGAAATTACCCTCAACACACAATAACTGTAGCAAGTTTAATGTGGCAGGAGGTTGGGTAAACTAGGGCAGACTGCCATCCCATTTGCTGTGTGTGTATGTGTGTGACTAAACATCCAGAAGCTGTCTTAGCAAAAGGAATCAGGAGCATAAAACATGACCAGCCCTGCTTGTGCTGCAACCAAAAGGCATGTCATAGGGATGTCAATAAATTATATGCTGAGGACAAAGCAACACACACAGAAATTAAACTTGTTGCCCCCTTCAAGGAGGAGGAGCAAAGCTTTCTGATGATGCTACAGATGGTCCAGTGAGACATATCTCATACCTTTTTAACTAAGCAGTGTTGGCACAAATCCACTCCAAAGAATTAACATTTCAACAGGCTCATCTGATGGTAACAAAATCAGAGATCAATGAAAGTTTATCCAAATTCACTAACAAAAACAAGATACCATTGTATTTTCCTACTAATCACCCGTGAGAATTAACACATTTCTCCCCTTTTTAATGCCAATATATGTTTTGAATAATATTCTCCATTCTAAATAGCACACATGTGCTAAAGAACGCAAATTCAGCAGTGAAGATTAAACTTGATGCAGAAAATAAGAACAAGGTGAGAAATGCAGTTTATCATGACATTCATTTATTTTCCTATTTTGTTAAACTAAAAAAGCACTGCACAGGGAGCATATTTAAGCAATGATCTTGCTAGAGATCATTTTGGAACCCACTTTTTAAAGCCCTCTAAATTTCTTAAGATTCATAAGGCAACAGGGATGATATTACATATGTGATGTTATGTCTCTATCAAGAAAGAGCAATGATTAGCAAATACAAAAGAACTGTGTATAGTTGTGTTTTTAAGAGTATTTATTAGTTAGCACGGAAAAGACCATATGTCTTTTGGCAGGAGGTGAGATAATAATTAAAGAGTCAACTCAAGTAACTGGAGAAAAAAAGTAAAAACAAAAACAAAACTGGAAAAGAGAAATTAAAATTTTAAGTTGAAAAGAATTAGAAAACTGAAAATAGTGAAATACATAGAACCAGAAACTGATTTTTAAAAAATCTTCTTAAAATAATAAAATTTCTAGCAAACAATAACAAACACAAACACAACAGCAAACAAAATTTAAGAGATGAGAAAACAAAACCAATCCAGAGATGATGAACAGAAAACAAATGGAGATTCTGTGGTTAAATTTTCCAAGCCATGGGCAATAGTGTACGTGCATATTAAATAAAGAGATTAAAACCCAAGCTGATCTGTTATATCAGTGGAGCCGGTAGCCCTGATATAAGGCATGTCTAGAATTCTCTCCAAGGAGTAGAGTCTCTAAATATGGTAAATAAATAAAGGTCTGTACGTTTCCATAGTCCTCTGCAAAAGGAGAAGTTGCAGAATACTTTCTAATGCCCTCTGATGTTTTACACTTTATAAAATATTTTTGAGTATATTGTGTTATTTTATATTTAAAACAAAACAAACAAAACCCTAAGGCGTAGGTGTTATTATCACCCTCACATTTTATAGTTGAACAGTCATGAAAACTCAGGGTCAAAAAGAAGACGTCAATTTCCCAAAGACACACGGCTGGTAAATGGTATGGGCAGGACTTGGGTCAAAGTTCTTGCTATCTGCTTTGGGAATAGACCACATTCCTCCCCTGCCTTGCTCCAGTGTCACCTGGAGAGCAATTTACAAACCTCAGTTGCAAGGATTTTTTTTTTATTACAGAGTAAAGTGTGTGTACTCTTAATAGTCTATAAATTAAGCAGATGGTTGAACATGGAACAAGAGAAAAGTTATTTCCAGAGAGAAACTACTTAATATAGTTTGCAGAGGCAGGATCTTTAATAAAGGATAGGTCCTCAGAAAAGCACTAATCAAGCTGATTGGTAAGGGGCAGTGAAGCAACATCAGGCCCCAAATCCTTCAGAAAATGTGTGGCAAAAGCTTGACCCCAAGTGTCAGCATTTCAAGTTCTTAGGGGATGGCGAAGGGCTTAAGAATTGATTTAGCATTTATTGAGGTGACCACAGGACCCCTACGTTGCCTGGATTTTTTAACCATTCATTAATCTGGAACAGTAAAACAACAACTATTTGGTGGTGCTGGGCCTCATGAGCATAGGAGAGCCCTATCACCATGGCCTTAGGAAAACCCTTAGCAAAGAGGAAGGATGGTGTTACATTTCCACTGCAGCTGTGAGCAGAAAATAGGAGGATATATGACTGACAAGTTTAGTGAAACAAGAAGGCTTTCAAAGACATACAAAAAAAAAAAAAAAAGAAGAAGAAGAAGAAGAAGAAGAAGAAGTCCAGATTTGGAAATGCCAGCAGCAGAGCTGGGGAAGAGAGGCATCAATCACCAGCATCCGTGGCCAGCCAGTCAGCTGAGCCAAAGGAGAAGGCAACGGTCTCTCTGGACCTTTCTGTTTTGTTGGGGGAAGGAGTTGTTGCAGAAAGTAACTGAGAAGACACTAGAGGGTTAAAGGATTTCTGGAGTGTGTAGTCCATGTATAAGTTCACTTCACATGGTCACATGAAACCAAAGCAGATGACCAAAGACCTCCCCGAGCACTGATTAGTTACAACAGTGCAGGGGGAAAAACTAAAGTTTAAAAAATTGAATGTTTTCTTTTGATAAAAATTTCAGGATGTTAGAGAAGAAAATTGTACTGACTGTCAAAAACTTTTCCAAATATAGCTCCAAGTGCTGAGCAAGCTGCAGGGTGCAGTTAGTTTAAGCCACTCAGAAAGTGAATTAGCTTTAAACTTCATAGGTCAAGAGGAAACCTTTATTTCATGTCAACTGAGATGTTCGTGAGAGTAATGAACATGATGGAAACTGTAGCTGAGATTGAGCCATGTGTGGAATGTTAACAGGACCAGAGCGAGGGCAAGCAGCCCGGTTCCTGTAAAGGCATGCAACCAAAATCCTTTGTATTTTCCTCAATACGTTCCATTTTCCCCTTAACTTTGGTACTTTGGTCTGGTAAGTGTGGGAGCCATTATGCAATTAGCTTGTCAGTGGCCTAATGTTTCCATATAAGTTAATTCAACTGTTATAACAAAGCATATTTCTTTGGGGGAGTGGCAAGCAAGATGTATGAGTATGCTCCCTTCCTCATGTAGCTTCCCAGCTTTCCTCAGATTCCACTGATCCAATTCCTTCTGAGTCTTTCGGCTACATGTTGGCTACATCTCCACTCGGGTAAAATAGCTAAAGTCATTCCCCAAAGCTGGTTCCTACCACAGAGGATGCATCAAGAAAGGGCAATTTCTCCCATTGGTTATTTAATTCTGCTGATGGGTTTAGCTTCTTCACTTTCATATCTTATTTCAGCCAGATTTTTGAAAACTGTGAGAAAAATAATACGAAAAGCAAATATATAGGATAATAATCTCAGTGGTAGTTTGCTTAACATTTTCTGTAACATAATAAACCTTAAAAATGGATTCAAGTAGAAAACCTGGATAGACCAATAAATACGAAGGGATTCAGAAAATCATCAAAGAAAGTACAAGCAAAAGGCCCTGGGCGCAGAGGATTTCATGGTCTTTAAGCTTTCAAGGGACAGATGATTCCCTTTAAATTCTAAGTATAGGAAAAAAAACCAGATAATTTTCCAAAAGTAGGACAATCTTTATTATAAAAAAAAGAAAAGTATAGGCCAAGCTTATTTATTAATTTATATATACAAAATTCTAAACATATGACTAAAAAATAAAATTAGAGAATATATTAAAATAATAATCTGCCATGATCAAGAAGATTTTAGGAAGACTAAAATACATTAATATTAAGAAAGCTAATGAAATAAAGCATCACCTTGATACACCAAAAAAGAAGAAAAAAAAGAATCATCTCATAGATGTCAAAAAGGCATTCAATATCATTTTTACCATTGCTGACTTAAATGATTTATTTTATTATTATTTTATTTATCTATCTATTTATTTATTTATTTATTTATTTATTTATTTATTTATTTATTTATTTTTTGAGAAGAAGTCTTGCTCTGTAGCCCAGGCTAGCATGCAGTGATATCATCTCAGCTCACTGCAACTTTCGCCTGTTGGGTTCAAGCGAATCTCCTGCCTCAGCCTTCCAAGTAGCTGGGATTACAGGCATGTGTCACCATGGCCGAATTTTGTAGTTTTAGTAGAGGTGGGGTTTCGCCATGTTAGTCAAGTTGGTCTCGAACTCCTGATGTGAGGTAATTCTCCTGCCTCGGTCTCCCAAAGTGCTAGGATTACAGGCAAGAGCCACCACGCCTGGCCTTAAGTGATTTATTTTAAATATAATTTTGGAAGTGTGTTAGCTATCTATTGCTGCATAGTAAATTACCCCCAAATTAGCAGTTTAAAACAATAAGCGTTTATTATCTCACAGATATTTTGTAAGTTAGGAATTCAGGAGTGGCTTCGCTGGATGAATCTGACTCAAGGTCTTTTATGAGTTTGCAATCAAAATATCAACCAGGGAAGCAGTCATCTGAAGGCTACAATGGGGCCAGAGTAACTGCTTCCAAGCTGACTTACTCATATAGCTAGCAAGTTAGAGCTGGCTGTTTGATGGGAGGCCTCAGTTTCTCACCATTATAGGGCTGCTTGAGTGTTTTCACAACATGGCAGCTGGCTTTTCCCCCTGAGTGAGTAATCAGGGGAAAATTTCCAGGCAGAGACTGCAATGTCTTTTATGAACCAGCCCCAGAAGTCACCAAACTTTATGTCCATAATATTGTTACATACGTCAGCCTTATTCACTATGAGAGGAGACTACACAAAAGTGTGACTACCAGAAGGTAAGAATCATTATAGACATTTTGGAGGCTGAGTATCTCTGACAGATTCTCATATAATACAAATAACATCTATCTTAAGCCATAGACAACATCATACTTAAAATAGAAATGCTAGAGAAAGTTCCAGTAAAATTGAGAGTAAAATCAAGATGCCTACTATAATCTTATTATTCAACATGTTCTAGAAGTTTTAGCTGATACAAGACACAAAACAGGCTGGGCACAGTGGCTCACACCTGTAATCCCAGCACTTTGGGAGGCTGAGGCAGTTAGATCACTTGAGTCCAGGAGTTTGAGACCAGCCTAAGCAATGTGGTGAAACTCCATCTCTATAAAAAATACAAAAAATTATCTAGATATGGTAGCATGTGCCTGTAGTCTCAGCTACTTGGGAGGCTGAGGTGGGAGGATCGCTTGAGCCTCGGAGGTTGAGGCTGCAGTGAGCTGATCGTGCCACTGCACTCTAGCCTTGGTGACAGAGAGAGACCCTGTCTCAAAAAAAAATAAAAAATAAATCAAAAGACACAAAACAGAAATTAGAGGTAAATTTATTGAAAGAAAAGCTTCCAATGATTTGCAAACCATATAATTATATAAGAAATCTCACTTATGCCAACAGTAACCAGGTGGAAAATGCCATTTACTATAGCAACAAAAATCACCAAGAAACCAAAACGATCCTAAGCAATAACAAAAGTGCACTTTACTGAGAGGTCTGAGAAACTAGTAACTGTAGAGGTGCATCATGTTCCTTGATGAGCAGATGTTACAAAAACATCAATTCCTTCCAAAATAATGTATAAGTTTATTATGGTTTCAAGAGGGATCCCAATAGCCTTTTAAAAATTGTTGATAAGGGATATTTTTAAAAGTAATGATAGGTTAACAAATAGGTAAAAAACCTACGTACATTTTGAAAAAGAAGAGGAAGGCTAGGGAAGTCATCTTGCCAGATACTAAAATATACTTAAAAAAATGCAGTTGCCAAGCCTGGTACAGATGCAAAAATAGATAAGTCAATGCCACAAGTAAACAGTACAGGAATAACCCAACATACATGAATTTAAAATAATTTAAATCTTTAGGCAGTTTATTATACATATAAGGATTCCAAATAACATCACAAATTGGAGAGGAAATGAAAGATTGTTAAAAATATAATACTGGATTCATTGGTTAGATGTAAAAAAAAAAATTGGCCTGAAAAATATTGTGAAATATGAAAGGAAATAGAGAACATTTAGTACTAGAAATGGAATATCTCCATTCTGGGAGTAGGATAAGACCAAATTTCAAAAGAAAGATACAACATTCCCACTTTCAAATCTTTCCAAATTCTGACCCATTCTTTCTGATGTGTAGAAAACGAATATGCCTGATGTTGGGTTTTCTCCACCATTTCCAAAGTCTCTCCTTATGAGATCATTTTAATTTTAATCAAGTTTTCAGAAAAACTCATGCTGCATTTGGACAGGGCCTGATTCCAGGAAATGGGACAATTTATTTTAATCTCATCAGTTTCACTTACAAAAATTTGGAAATCTAGTTCAGCCTTTCAAATTTAAACTTCCACAAAGTGTAAATTTACTCTACCACCAAAGTCAACCTTTGCTTGTTTTGTCTCTACTTAAAGTGGTTTAAAAAAAGAGAATGGTTGGGGCTTGAAGGCACTAAATGTCAGCTTTATTTTGGTTTTTCATTTGTTTGTTTTTAATATATGGAAATATCTACTACCGAAAGACTTAGAATGGATAGATTGATGATGATGATGATGATGATGATGATGATAATGATGATAGATGATAGATAGATAGATTATAGATAGATAGATAGATAGATAGATAGATAGATAGATAGATAGATAGACAGATATAGATAGGTAAATAGACAGACAAATCAGCCATAAGAAAATGATGCTTGTTAATAGTCTTGAAAGCAAGACTTACTGTGAGGAAGGAATTACTGCTTGGGGCTTTAACTTCCTGTATGGAAAGCAATTATTCTCACTGTATATCAGAGAAAAGATTATAGTTGATTTGAAAATAAACACAGTTTCATGTGAACCCAGAACAGAAACATTCAGTAACAAGGTGATGGGTTGATCTGAGTTGAGTGAATTATTCTAGCTTGTGACTTGGTAACACTGAGTGAAACTCCCCCAGGGTTCCAGCTGCCTGAGTTTCCTATCCAAATCTCATTCCCACCCCCGAACCCAGATCTCGGCTCCCCTTCATTTTCTAAGGCTCTTTTCTATCTTCATTTTGCATCAGAATCACCTAGGGCATCTCTCAAAAATACAGAGTCCCCGGTATGAGCTAACAGGCTCCCCCAAATGATTGTAACATGGACAAAGGTTGAAAATCACTTTTCTGACTCCCTGTTTATTCCAACTCTTCCTGGACCCTTTTTTCTCCTATTCGACATACCACCAATATCTCTGGTTTTAGAATACTGAATTCAATAACTACATATTTGTAAAGTGTTTTCTTTCTTTTACCTGTTTTGTTGGAATGTATCTCTCCTATTATATTTTTTGGAATGATATGCTCATATTCCTGAAATTGTTGTGGTTCTCAGTAAGTGGATTATTCTGTTCAGCATCTATGCTTTCTGTAAAGTCATATACCAAAATGGCTGATACTTATATACATTTATTATGTACCAAGCACTGTCTAAACACTTTATCTAAATTCCTTCAATCATCACAACATCTTGCAGTTAGGCACTATTATTACACCCCTGTTTTCAAACGAGGAACTTGGGACACAGATAAGTTAATTAATTCATCCAAGGTCACACAGCAGAGCCACCTTCGAGCCTAAGTTTTCCAGCTCTTATTTGCAATATCATTCTGCCTCTCTGCTCTGTATTTTGTATCTTTATTCAAACTTTTTCAAAGCACAAAACACAGCAAAGTAAATAGCTTCACCAATGAAGACAGAATTAAAAGGCTTCCATCTTCTTGGTTTCTGAACAAACTGTAACATGGCTTGTTTTTCTTTTGTCCACAAACAGGCAAATCAGTTAAGATTAAGAGATAGAGAAATGATATAATTGTCAACCACTTGGGGCTTCTGGCAGAAATTAAAGGTCCCCTCAACTTCTAACAGTCCTGCACTGTGGCCAGAGGTGGCTTTGGTGGTGAAGGTTTGCACAGTAGATAGTTTAATGTGTCATTGTTTTCAACCATTGTTTTTTTAAGTATCAAATTATTCTAGTCGTGTATTACAGACTCTTTATCCTATGTGTAGAAAGGAAAAAAAGAGAAGAAAACAATGACCCAAACCCAAATATACATAAATACCTGCATTCGTCTCTTCTCTCAGTAAACATTTAATCAGCATTAACTACCTACTGGCCATTGTGTTGGATGCTTATAGGAATACAAACAAATATGTAGGAGACACCTCTGATCACCGATGCTCCGAAATACTGACTGATTTCATGCAACAATTCAAAATCCACAGAAGCTGAGTCCCACTGCTTGCCCAGAATGGTGCAAGGTGCTTTTCACTGATTCATGGGAGTCCTCCGAGCTGCTTGGTCTTATGGACAGTAGGACAGGATAGAACATCCTCCAAGTGACAGACTAAGAAAGGCTGATGATAAAGACATTGCTGGAATTGAAGTTAGATGCAATGAAAATTCATCAAAATCTTTTAGGCAGAAACAAAACTATTCCTATTAACGTTTAAATTAAATTAGTATCTAGAGATAAACTATCCTTCCACTGTACTCTTCATTAGAAATAAGAGAGAGAAACTCTACCAGTAATTAGTGATAATTGCTTATACTAAGCTATATGAGTGCAATTATGTTTATTACATTAACTTTACTCTAAGTACACATATGGAAAATGCTGCTGCTTTATGCTATTCATCAGGCATTAATACTCAAGTTATAGGCTTGATAGCTGAAAAGAAAAAACTAGCACCCTGAGGCTTAGCTTTGCTAAACTTAAAACCCACCTATCTATAGCTAATATCTCCACAAGGTTTTTCTTTCATTTATTTATTTGTTAAATATTTATTCTATAAGACTTCGGTGCCCTTGACATGCTTTTAAATATTTTCCTTTTTCCTGCTTTTGCCTTAGTACTATTTGCAGTTATAAAACAATTTCATACAATGAAAGCCCTTTTTCCTATAAATGAGTAACTGCTATATTTCCTAATCCCTCTTTAATTAAGGACTAAAACTATAGCTTGAATTATAAGATCATAAAATGAGAAATAACCTTTTAGTAACTTAGTATATACAGAATAATGAGCAAATGTTTTATACTTTTTGAAAGTGACCCCAGAAACCCACTTAAATCAACATGAGAGATGCTTTCCTGAATTTCTGATTAATGTCGCACTTATCTCTGGAGACAAAGATACTAGTGATTAATAAAACAGACAGCAAAGTTGTATCTTTTTTTAAAGTTCTGGCAACTTACCATTTTCAAATGCTGAAATTCATCTGAGGATTAATGATGAAGAAGGTTTGTGAGGCAGTTTTAGCTTGCACATTTTGCAGGGTAGAATTAACGAGAGAAGAACTAATCTCCAAAATGGGAGAAAGGAGTCAAAAACAGAAAGATCATAAATTCACTGAGGCCCGTGTACTTAGTTTCCAGAATGGCCCAACATCTGGGATTTTCCTGTCATTGGCTGGGATTTATTGGAGTTTAACAGTTGGAGCATAAATTATGTCACATCATTTAGATTATACCAGTGATGCATTTTGTATTCATTCATCAAACTTCAAATATCACTGCAAACCCACAAAAGCTGTTCCCAGCCTTGCCAGACCACAGCCATTTTGCAGCAGGATGTCTGATATTGCACACAGTGTATGTCCTTGTCTTATACACTCTGTGACCACAGAAACCAAAAGATAAAATAATAATGAATTTTAATCCTCACCTTTCCTATCAAAGGTCTATAATGCATGAGTCTTCTAGGAACTAGGTTGGCTATCGCAAGCTTATAAAAATGCATGAGCAGGAAATTTACCAAAATGAGGAAGTAAACTTCCTTAGAGGGGCTTATATTATAAAGTTTGGTGAAAAATTTGCTCAAATGGAAAGAAGTTTAAAATACGTGTTGAGTGTGGGACGATAGTGATAGCCTGAGCTTTGTTAAATGGTATATTTGTATCTGGAGAAGGCTTTTAAGGGTATAATCCTTAATAGAGCTGGGCTACAAATATGGAAAATTTCTGGGGCTCCTCCAACTATACCGTGATCCCACCATCTTGGTCTCGTCATATGTCACTCATGCCCAGATTTGGGCCACTGTTTCCTTCCTGCCTCCAGTTTATCATTTATGTGGCCATCCTACAGCCTGCTGTGAGGCAAGTATTTCTAAAATACCATTTATTAAATAGGCAGTGGCTCCCCCTTTTTTATCATAGATCCCCAACTGGTCTTTCAAAGTTTTCGTTATCTTCCCTGCTCCACAAGCATGTGTCTCCGTATTCCTCCCAGGGGAAAACCATCTACTCAGTCAGCTAATTTGCAGTGTGTGTACATCATGCCATACTGAATTCCTGCATCTGTCTGTGCCTGTGCAAATGCTGTTACCTCAACCTGGAAGATGACATCTTCTTCCAGCCTCCTATTTCCAGCCTTCCCTTATGGTACAGCGCAACTTCTTAGGATGTTTGCATCTCAGCTGTTCTTTTCTCTCTCCCAACTCCTGCTGCCTTCCAGCACAAGCCTAAACACCCAACCTTCTTAATGCTTCACGTGACTTAATTGTTTGTTACTCCTGTAGAGCAAGAACTGTGTCTGACATATCCTTTGTGTCTCTCAGCATAAGTACGATGCTGAGAACAGAGAAAATGTAAAATGCTTGTTGATTAAAGCCCATATCTAATACATCACATCCTTTACTTTACAAACTATTACTTTTGAAATTTCACATTCTATAAAGAATTCAATCACTTCTAATCAATTCTGTATGTACTGTATTCTATAAAAACATTTCTGTTGACGGGGTGCAGTGGCTCACGCCTGTAATCCCAGCACTTTGGGAGGCTGAGGCAGGCCAATCACAAAGTCAAGAGATCGAGACCATCCTGGCCAACATGGTGAAACCCCGTCTCTACTAAAAATATAAAAATTAGCTGGGCGTGGTGGTGCGTGCCTGTAGTCCCAGCTACTTGGGAGGCTGAAACAGGAGAATTGCTTGAACCCGGGAAGCGGAAGTTGCAGTGAGCTGAGATCACACCACTGCATTCCAGCCTGGCAACAGAGCAAGACTCCATCTCAAAAAAAAAAAAAAAATCTAAAAGAAAGACAGCTTTCATTTGTGAAGATGGCCCAGGTGCCATCATATGGATGTCCCCAAATCCTCCAGCCTTACAGAATCACCTTCTTCTTCAACATTTATATTGCAATAGCTCAGCACCATTCCATAAATGTTGGGAAACAGCATCACCACCGAAGTGTCCAGGGATTCTAGAGAAGATTATATTTCTCTAAGTCGTATCTTACTCTTATTCCTTGCCTCTGTAGAATGTCCCATTTCATACGTATTTCCCGTCTTACTGGTTTTGCTTTTCATCTTGTACTAACCTAAATAAACATAGTTTCCCCTTCTTGATTCTCACAGATACTGTTACATGCGATAGTTTTATGTAGAGGTATTTAATTTAACATTTTGTAGAGAGAAGGCAGGAAAGTAGTAACATCACAAAGCATAGGAGATGATTTGAAATTCGGTCTCAGCCTTAGACACCTCTGAGTCATTCTCCCAATTTCCATCATTCCTGCCTGGGGGGATTTCTCACTGACTTTCTTCTTCCATCCCCTGACTGCCCACCAGCTTGCTGTCCCTCTCTCTGTCTTCACATTTCCTTCTTAACAAGCTGCTCCCTGGTGCTTTACAATCCTATGGTCCCCCACACCCTACCTTACTGTGCAGAGCAGTTCGTAAGCCACCCAGACCACTTTCCCTTTCTACAATGAGAAGGTTGTTAATCAGCATGTTCAGTCAACACTGTCCTCTCATTGCGATGAATTCTGCCATCAGCTTGAAAATATTGTGTTACCTTAATACATAAATAATTCACCAATCCTTAATAATTTAAGGGGAAAATTAATATATATGTTATATAATTTTGCTGATGCTTTCTTCTGTGCTTTTCATCATTTTAGGTGCCTGGATCTAATAGGCAACTACTTATTTGCAGAGTTATATTAGATTGTTGAGTCAAATTTTCATTTATATAATGTTCCACATTTTCCCTTAAGCTTGAATTTTCTTGATAATTAACACATGGATTCTCTCCAACTTTCAAATGCACTGCATAGCAAAAACTTAACTTTAAAGTATTTATTACAAGATGTTATCTGCAAAAGATGCTTGGTAGTGGGGTTTGGTTTGTCTTGGTCCATCCCAGTCATTAAAGCGGTGGATAGTTCTTCATTTTATAATGTAGATATTTCTTTGACTAATCAGAAAGACTTGGTAGGTAGGTGAAGGAAGAGGAAGGAAAAGATATTATACACTATTAATCAGGAGGTATGGTAGAACCCTTCCAAGTAAAGTGCAAGATGACAACCTCAGTCACTACATACTGAGATTTTCAGGGTTGGAGGACAAAATCAGATAGTAGAGGGATTTGGGAAAGCTGCCAGGAAATAACGGCAGTGAGACATGAAGCAGAAGATTCCAGAGCTAGCTGCCAGAATCAAGCTGGAGCAGGCCATTGAGGTATAGAGGTTGAAATCTCACTAACATTTGCAGGGCCCAAGACTAGGGTACAGGGGCAAGCCTTCACCGTTGGTCTATATACTTAAAAGCTGCAATAAATCAAACTGGCAAACTACAAAATAAAAGATGTTTTATTGTCTTAGCTTAATAAGTATACCTTCCTAATGACTTAGAAGACCATATTTGAATTTAAAATTCTCATACTTCTCAGAGTTCTACATTAACATGTGGACGTGCAGAGAGAACTGGTCCAGGCTCCCAGCTCCCCAAAACGTCTCTCTCTCTTCTTTCCCCAGCTCAGGCCAGAAGGGAAAATGGGCTTGTACATGCCTGGGAATAACCCAGCCTCATATCCAAATGCCATCCATACCCTCTATAAGTAGCTACTCCTTGGCTGTCTGGGCCTACAGGTACACACACAAGTAATATCTGCCTCAGGACAACACATCCAGAGAAGGGGCCCACCCAGGCTTTGAAAGGTGGCTTGGAGCTGTTTGAACAGGGGATTCTGAGGTGCTGGGTTCCTGGAGCACAGTGTAGAAGGGGGTCATGTCTCCTCGACCCTGAGCTCTCCTTGCCCTTTGAGAGTGGAGCACAGCAGGAGAAAGCCAGAACAGGAGGGCTAGGCCTAGGGCTAGAGCCCCTCTTGCCCAAATTTAATGGCAGTATAAATTTTCTACCTAGCCAAAAAGCCTAGTTGAGTCAAAGAAACTGAGCATCAGGGTGGAAGGCAGATGTCCCAGGTAAATCACCTGGAAGATAACCTGAAACCAGCCACCTCTATTGTTCCCCTCCAACTGGTTACAGTCAGCTATATTCCAGTTAATCTTTAGTGTGCAGAAGGAGTGTGACAGCTTTCAGAATCCATCACTCATTCCTTATCCCCCAAAACCTGTCTCTTGCATGATTCTTACTGAGTCCTCCACCAAAATAGTGCCATTCATCGTGCTTCCTCAGCAGGGCTTGAGAACACGCAATGGCAAGAATCACCTGCAGAGAGTGAAGAAATGGTCTACAAGATGTATGCCAGGTTGACACCTGAGCAGGATCTACAGGATGCATGGGCTTTCTCTGGAGAGCGTCTGAAATTACTGGGGGAAGAACTACAAAGGCCGATCTCCCTGTCATGCAAGAAGGAGGCTCAATAAATGCCAGTTTGGCATTAAAGGGAAGGATGTCTTTAGGCATCTCAGGACAGTACCAATTGTTGGAACAACAGGAACTCCCATACACTCCTGGTCGGGGTATAAATTGCTCCAGCTGTTTTAGAAAGCAGTCTGGTGTTGTTTAATAAAGTAGAACACACAGATTCTCTAGAACTCATCAATTACACTCCTGGTATACATACGTGCACCAAGGACATGTACAAGAATGCTCATAGCAGCAAGACTAACAAGTATCATTCAACAAGAGATTGGATATCTAATACCATTCAACAAGAGATTGGATAAATCGATCTTGGCATAACCATGAACAAAATACTATATAGTGGTAAAAATGAATGAACTACTGCAACATAAACATCATGGCTATATCTTACAAACATACTATTGTGTGAAAGAAGTCAGGCACAAAAGAATACATATTATAACTTCAATTTATATAGAGTTCGAAAACAAGCAAAACTAAATTATATCAGCAGAGGTTAGAAGAGTTGGAAATAGCTGGGCTTGGTGGCTCATGCCTGTAATCCTAAGGCCAAGGTGGGAGGATCAATTCAGCCCAGGAATTTGAGATCAGCCTGGACAACATAGTGAGATCCCATATGTACAAAAATAAAAATAAAATAAAATAAATTAACCAAGCATAACAGAACATGCTTTAGTCCTAGCTACTTGAGAGGCTGGGACAGGAGGATCACTTGAGACAGGAGTTCAAGGTTACAGTGAGCTATGATCACACCACTGCACTCCAGCCTGGGCAACCAAGTGAGACTTTGTCTCAAAAGAAAATAAAAAATAAAAAGAGTTAGAAATAATTTGGGAATACAATCTCATGCAAAATAACATTTTTTTTTTGTACATTCTCAGTTTTGATCATGAATTTAGCTCACTTTTTCTCATTTCCCTTCTATAGTAGCAGAAAAGCAGTTGTTCAAAGGAGCAAATAATGAATCTACTTTTCCACCCAAATGAAGGTCATATGTTAGAAACAGAAACTTGGAAAAGAAACACAGCAAACCGTGGTGTCTTTTAAAAGTTAAAATCAACACAATCAGGAAAATTTGGTGAAACTCCATAGCAAAGAAAGCTATCTGCTTTCCCCTGGCTCTTTTCTTTTCAGGGTGTTGATTGTCTTTCCTGTTGGGTTTGATTTTACTATAAAAAATTTCAAAACATGAAACTGGATCTCTGGGAAAGAGACAACATCAAGAAAACAAGAGACCAGGGTGCTTCCTCCTGTACCTGCCTCCCAGTAATGTGTAATTTTTCTCAAGAAAATTAACAACTTCAATTTGAACTTGAAACTAATTAAAAGCCCTTTGGAAAATCAGGATGGATTTCCTCTCTTCCTGGAACAGAGATGCACCAGCAAACAGGCTTTTCAAGGAAGGAATTGCTGAGAGTGAAAAGCCAAAGGCCACCGGCCAGTGTGAGCAAGAAGAAATTTGGGAGGCAGGAAACTGAAAGCAGCAATTCTATTATCATGGGCAAATGAATCCATCAGAGAGTATCAGGGAAAAGGAGGTGACAGCATTTTAAATTGTTCTAGTGAGCCATAATCTGTTACATCATGTTCCCCATCCACATCTTTGCCTATAGATGTGAATATCCTTTCCTCAGTATAGAAATGGAATAGATTCAAAATGGAAATGGAAAGAGAAGGCAGTTTTAAGATCCGCTAGGATTTGGAGCCAGTATGTAGTGATTGTGTAAATTTGCTGATAACTGGGCAGGCAAATAAATGGGAAACAGCTGAGCATTCCAGAGTACAATGTATTTGGGTTTTCATTGGGTTTTAATCCTCACTCTACCGTTTAGCTGTGTAACCTCGGTTACTTAACCTTTCAACTTACAGATGGTTTCTTCATCTGTAAAATAGAAATATTAGTACCTACCAGACAGGGTAATTGTGAGAATTAAATTATGAAAAGCACTCAGTGTAGATGCTGGCACATGACAAATATTCAGCATATATTAGCCATTTGCTAGATCATGCAATATGTATCAGATATCATCAGTCTTTTTTTAAGATATGATCAATCTTAAAAGCAAAAATAGTCAAAGCATAAGTGTAAGCAGAGAGTACTGAAATTGCTTTGCAGTCAATCAGTTCATAATATAAGCAAAGTATTCATTCAACAAAAGGAACGGTCTCCTTCAAGAAGGCCTCAGTGCCAGGGGCAGTAGCTCACACTGGTAATTCCAGCACTGTGGGAGGCCAAGGTGGGCAGATCACCTGGGGTCAGGAGTTTGAGACCTGCCTGGCCAACATGACAAAGTTTTTTTGTATTTTTAGTCTCTACTAAAAATACAAAAATTATCTTGGTGAGATGGTGCAAGCCTGTAATCCCAGCTACTCGGGAGGCTGAGGTAGGAGAATCGCTTGAATCCTGGAGGCAGAGGTTGCAGTGGGCCGAGATCGTGCCACTGCACTCCAGCCTGGGAGACAAAGTGAGACTCCATCTCAGAAAAAAAAAGAGGAGGAGGAGGAGGAGAAGAAGAAGAAGAAGAGGAAGAGGAAGAGGAAGAGGAAGAAGAAGAAGAAGAAGAAGAAGAAGAAGAAGAAGAAGAAGAAGAAGAAGAAGAAGCCACCCTCGGCTAAGAAGCAGCTTTGAAATTCCCAAAGGCAAGGGTTACAAGATACAGAGCTTAGATTAATACATCTTTTGATATTTCTTATCTATTTCTCAGAAAATAGAGAAAAACTAAGAGTGGGTGGTGAAGTGTCAGAGTGAGTGGCAGAGTTAACAAAAGTGTAGAGAACAGAAAAGCCTCTTGCTGATTTGACTAAAATAAATTATTACAAAAGTAACACAGTGGCCCTTGCTGAGATGTTTGTGAGGCCTCAACACCACCAGGGAGGAAGAGAAGCAACACCGCCCCATGGGAAAGGAACAGTGGAAAAGCAGAAATGCCTCCCCTTGTGCCAAATACCCACCGCATGCTTGTAATTTAGAGGCAATTCAGTAATGATACTGGGAGAAGGGAAGAACTGCAAGAACTTCAAAAGCAGAAGAGGATTGCTTGTGGTGAAAAACAAAGATTGCTCCACCACCATATACGTTTAAGGAGTATTACCAAGTCATTATTTAACCATCAATTATCAATAATGTTTGAGAAAAGAAAATATGAGCTACATAGTGGCCAATCATAAGTTGAAATATGGTTGTTTTTGCCAGTTTACATCTAGTTGAATGTATTATAATGATTCCATCCTGGGATGTAATCTAGGATGATTACGATTACGCAGATACTGGTAGAGGAGTTCAAGGGGGAGTAGCTGATTTAAACTAGAGTTCATTCCCACTCCCCCGGAGAAGCATCTTACAGAGCAGCGGTTCTCAAAGTGTGGAATGTCAGCATCCCCTGGGAACTTGATAGAAATGCAGAATCCCGGGCCCCACCTCAAACCTACTGAATCAAAAGCTAATCCTTGTTTGAGCAAGTGTTCCATGAGATTCTGAAGCACACTAAAGTTTGAAAACCATGTGTATTAGTCCATTTTCACACTGCCATTAAGAAATACCTGAGACTGGGTAAGTTATAAAGGAAGGAGGTGTAATTGACTCACAGCTCCGCATGGCTGGGGAGACCTCAGGAAACTCAGAATAATGGCGGAAGGGGAAACATGCACCTTCTTCATAAGGTGACAGGAGAGAGAGCGAGTAAAGAAGGAACTGTCAAACACTTATAAACCATCAGATCTTGTGAGAACTCACTATCACGAGAACAGCATGGGGGAAACCAGTCTCATGATCCAATCACCTCCCTCCCTCAACACATGGAGATTACAATTTGAGATGAGATTTGGGTGGGAACACAGAGCCAAACCATGTCACCATGAATATAGATGATATATTAGCAGCAAAGCATGGTGGCAGTTTTGTGAGCTCTTCAGTGGAGGACTTGGGCTCAAAACCTATCTCAGGCGTAGTGAGTGAATCTGTTCAAGGTACTCAAACTATTAAAGGGATGATAACCTTGTAAAGTTGTATCCGTCTGTTTTCACACTGCTATAAAGAAATATCCAAGACTGGGCAATTTAAAAAGGAAAGGGGTTTAATTGAGTCACAGTTCCACATGGCTGGGGAGGCCTCTGGAAACTTACAATCATGGCAGAAAGTTAAGGGGAACCAAGGACCTTCTTTACATGGTGGGAGGAGAGAGAAGTGCCAGCAGGGGAAATGCCAGACGCTTTTAAAACCATCAGATTTCATGAGAACTCGCTCACTATGGTGAGAACAGCATGGGGGAATCTGCCCCCATGATTCAGTAACCTCCCTCCCTTGACACATGGGGATTATAATTCAAGATAAGATTTGGGTGGGGACACAGAGCCAAACCATATCAGTTGTTGTGAAGATAAGATAATGTATGTTAAATGTAGTGCTGATAGAAAGTGATTAATATATGCTTGCTATTATTTTCGTTGGTGAACAAAAAAATGCAGACTTCCAATGATATGAATTTCTCACAGCCATACAATGTCCATTGAACTATAGTTTTGTTTGGACCCAAAAGAGAGACAGCATTGATGGAGATTATCTTAACTGGAACATTAAGACCAGTTACATTTAAAGTAATTACTGATATTTAGGGACTAATAGCTTCTATCTTACATTAGGCATTCTACTTATTTATTGTTTCTTTTTCTCTTTCTTATTTGTGTTTTATTAATTTTTGTCATTTAAAAATTTCCCCCCTACTAGTTTGGAAGTTTTTGCATACTTCTATTTGTTTAGTGGCAATCCTAGAAATTACAACGTGCATGTTTAGCTTACTGATGTCTACAGTTAATCATTGCACTTACCCTTTGTCCACAAAATATGAGGATTTATGAACATTTTACCTTCAACTATCTCTGCTAATGAACTATATAGTAGTTTCAGTTATTCAGTGCCCCTTTCCATTAGGCGCATTTATAAAGGCCTCCTTCTGGTGACACTTTTTGGAGGGAAAGAGTGTATTTCTTGCCATAATAATCATAAGGCTTTGCCATGTGCTTGGCTTGGACCAGTTGATTGTGAGTAGCAGTCACGTATACCACATTCAAGCAAAGCAGTGGGACCCTCATTTGGTTCAGCCTTTGCTTGATTGCCTCTGCCAGATATGGGTTCGCTCTTATAGCCTGTATCCCAGATTGAAGAAGACACAGAATGAAGAGCTGAGCTGCAACTGGGCCCACCACTGTTGTATAACCTAAATGAAAAGTGAACTTTCTAATTTTTTTTTTACAAACCACTGAAATTTAAAGGTGGTTTGTTATCAAAGCATAATATAGCTCAGGGTGTGGCAAACATTTTCTGTAAAGGATAAAATAATAAATATTTTAGGCATCATGGGCCACAGACACTCTCTGACACTTGTACTTCTTTGTTTTTGTTTTAACAGACCTTTAAAAATGTAAAATCCATTCTTATCTCAGACTCCATACAAAAATGGACTGAGGTAGTTTCCAATCATTGACCTATCCTACCATGATTGATAAAACACTGAAGGAGAATTTGTATACAGAAAACTGAAGGTAGAAGAGATCAGGCTTCATGTTGGTGACATAAGTGTGTAGACAGTAATGACAGTCATTAGAGAAGAGATTCTCAAAGAGACTGGTTGAAGTGATATGCCTCTCCTGCCTCTCCCAACGTATGTCAGTGCCATCATGAATTTAGTTTGCTCTTCTTTTTTGGTTTCTTAAGGGGTAAAGTTAGATTACTGATTTGAGCTCTTTCTTCTTTTTAACATAGATATTTACAGCTATAAATTTCTCTCTACGCACTGTTTTTACTGCCTCTCATAAGTTTTGATATGTTATGTTTCATTTTCATCAGACTCACAACATTTTCTAAGCTCCCTTGTAATATGCTTTTTGACCCATTGGTTGTATATGGCTGTGTTGTTTTATTCCCACATATTTGTAAATTGTCCAGTTTTCCTTCTATTATTAATTTCTAGTGTTATTCCATTTTGGTTAAAGAGGATACTTCGTATGATTTCAATTTTTTTAAATCTACTGAGACATTTTATGGCCTGCTATATGGTCCATCTTAGAGCATGTTCCATGTGCACTGGAGAAGAATGTGTATTCTGCTGTTATTGAGTCAAGATTCTATATACATTTGTTAGGTCTAATTTATAGTCTTCTTCTATTTTCTTGTTGATCTTCTGTATAGATGTTCTATATGTTATTGAAGTCTCCAACTATTATTGTAGAACTGTTTACTTCTCCCTCAACTTTGTCAATGTTTGCTTCATGTATTTTGGGGCCTGTGTGTTGTTATGTGTATGTGTGTTTATAATTGTTATTTCTTCTTAAAGAATTGCCTCTTTTATCAATATATAATATCTTTTTGTGTTTCTTGTAACCATTTTGACTGAAAGTCTTTTTTGTGTAATGTTAGTATAGCCTCCTGTCTTAGTCCATTTGTGCTGCTATAACAGAATACCACGGGAGGTAATTTGTAAAGAACAGAAATTTATTTTCTCAAAGGTTTTGAGGCTAAGAAGTCAAAGATCAAGTCACCAGCAGGTTCAGTTGTCTGGTGATGGCTACTCTCTTCTTCTAAGATTGTGCCTTGATGCTTTATCCTCTGAAGAGGAGGAATGATATATCCTCACATGGCAGAAGACAGAAGGGCAAGAGAGAGAAACTCACGCTATCAAGTCCTTTTATAAGGGCACCTAGTCCCATTAATGAGAGCTGACCCCTCATGACTTAATCACCTCTAAAAGGCCACACCTCCCAATACTATTTAACTGGGAATTAAGTTTCAACATAAGTTTTGGAGGGAACAAAAACATTGAAACCATATCACCATGCCTGCTCTCCTTTGGTTACCATTTCCATGGAATATTGTTATCCTTTCACTTACATCTTTTTCTGTCTTTGGATATAAAGTGAGTCTCTTGTCAACAGCATACAGTTGGATCATGTATTTTTTTCAACCCATTCTGCCAATACGTTTACATTTAATCCATTTACATTTAAAATAATTACTGATAAAATGACTCACTTCTGCCATTTTGCTATTTGTTTTCTCTGTGTTTTATACCATTTATATTTCTTACTTCCTCCATCTCTGCCTTCTTTTGTGTTTTGTTTTGTTTCTTTATAGTGTATCTTTTTGGTTCCCTTCTCATTTCCTTTTTGTGTATGTTTTTATACATATTTTCTTAGTGGATATCATGCAGATAACAATTAAAATCCCAAATTTACAGCAATTTCATTTGAATTGACACCAACTTAGCTTAAATTGCATTTAAATAACCTCTACTCCTATACAGCTCCATTCCCCTTGATTTTGTTATTGTGACAAATTACATTTTATGTATTATATGGCCATTAACATGGTTTTATAATTACTTGTTTCTATATTTATCTTTTAAATCAAATAGGTAGTAAGAAGAGGAGTTACAAACCAAAAATACAATAATGCTAGCTTTTATATTTATCTACATTGCTACCTTCAGCAATTCATTCTGTTTTCATTTCCTTTTTTTTTGAGACACAGTCTTGCTCTGTCACCCAGGCTGGAGTACAGTGGTGTGATCTCAGCTCATAGCAACCTCCACATTCTGGGTTCAAGCAGTTCTCCTGCCTCAGCCTCCTGAGTAGCTGGGGTTACAGGTGTGCACCCCTATGACCAGTTAATTTTTGTATTTTTAGTAAAGATGGGGTTTCACCATGTTGGCCAGGCTGGTCTCGAACTCCTAATCTCGGGTGATCTGCCTCCCTTGGCCTCCGGAAGTGCTGGGATTACAGGCGTGAGCCACACCTTGCCCAGCCTCTTTCATTTCTGACTCAAGGATCTCTTTCTGCACTTTTTGTAGGGAAGGTCTACTAATAATAAATTTCCTTAACTTTTTTTATTGGGAATGCCTTAATTCCTCCTTTCTTTTTTCTTTCTGGTTTTTTTTTTTTTTTTTTTTTTTTTTTTTTTTTTCAGAAATGGGATATTACTATATTGCCCAGGCTGGAGTGCAATGGCTGTTCACAGGCATGATCACAGCACCATACGGCCTGAAACTCCTGGCTTCAAGTGATCTTCCTATCTCAGCCTCTTGAGTAGCTGGGATTACAGGCACATGCCACTGCACTCAGCTCTGCTTCATTTTTGAATGTCAGTTTTGACAGATACAGAATTCTCAGTTGACAAGATTTTTTTCTTTTGGCACTTTAAAAATGTCATCCCACTCTCTTCTGGCCTTCATGATTTTTGATGAAAAATCTACTAGATCAATGCTCTCTTGTATGTCATGAGTTGTTTTGTCATGCATTTTTGAAGATTATCTCTTTGTCTTTGTCTTTCAACAATTTCATTATGTGTCTCTGTGTGGTTCTCTTTACAGTTATCCTGGAATTTTCTGAGATTCTCAAATATGTGGTTTTATGTCTTTTATCAAATTTGGGAAGTTTTCAGCCATTATTTCTTCTCTGCCACTTTCTCTTCTCTCCTGGGATATTCATTATGAGTATATGAAAATGCTTGATGGTGTGCCACAGGCTTCTTAGGTATTATTTTTCTTCATTTTTTTTCCTTTTTGCTTCTCAGACTGGGTAGTTTAAGTTGATCTGTCTTCAAATTTCCTGGTTCATTCTTCTGCCTGCTCAGCTATGCTACTGAAACACTCTAGTGGGTTTTTCACATCAGTTATTGTATTTTTCAGCTCCAGAATTCTGTTTGGTTCCTTTTTATAATATCTATTTCTTTTCTTTACTGATTTTTATTTTTTCATACATGGTTCTTCTGGATTTATTTAGCTCATTGTTGACAGTTTTCTTTAGTTTTTCTAGTATATTTAAGACAGTTGACTTAAAGTCTTTTTCTACTAAGTACAGCGTCTGTGCTTCCTCAGGGACCCACTTTCTACTGAGCAGATTTTAGCTATGGTTCTCTCTCAGATTTTCTTGTCTCTCCAGATTTCCAGGTGGCAGTTTTCCCTGTCACCTCAATCCTCTCATGAGTCCAAGAAAAGTAACTGATTTTCAGTTTGCTTAGTTTTTCTATTGTAAGAATGAAAATGGTAACTTCTAGGTTCCTTATGGGGCTGAAGTTGGATTTTTTTCCTTTTTTTTGTTTCTTTGTTTTAATTTCCTTGTCTTCCTGTTATTTAAAAATACTGTGAATTTCATTTTCATTTATTAAATTATTTGGGGTGCATCCTTTTATATCACCTTTTCTAGTTGTTTCTCTAATTATTACATTATATATACATAACATGATGATATGGTTTTGCTGTGTCACCACCCAAATCTCAACTTGAATCGTATCTCCCAGAATTCCCGCGTGTTGTGGGAGGGACCTAGGGGGAGGTAATTGAATCATGCAGGATGGTCTTTTGCATGCTATTCTCATGTTAGTGAATAAGTCTCATGAGATCTGATGGGTTTATCAGGGGTTTCCACTTTTGCTTCTTCCTCATTTCTCTCGTCGTCACCATGTAAGAAGTGCCTTTTACCTCCCACCATGATTCTGAGGCCTCCCCCGTCATGTGGAGCTGTAAGTCTAATTAAACCTCTTTTTGTTCCCAATTTTGGGTATGTCTTTATTTTGGGCAGTATGAAAACAAACTAATAAAGATGGTATATGTAATATATAATATATATAATGTATCTTACACACACACACACACACACACACACACACCAAGTTTTCTAATATTTTGTATTTGATACTTTGGCATCTTATTCCCGGATGGACTGCTCCTCTTAGGGTTAATAAATTCCAAGAAATAGAAAAATGACTGGTCTGTGAATGCACCTTTCATATACAAACTAACCAATCTAAAGCTCAAATTCCCAGTGATCTCCTTTATCTAGTACTTACATCTGGGCTACTATCCATCTGCCATAATCACTTCAGGGCCAGGTACCAGACAAATCAGGGCACTACACCCTAAAGCCCACTGAAATTATTCAAACTAGCCAACCCTAACCCTGTTTATCCTGTCTTGCCTTGACTTTCCAACAAAGAAAACACAAGAGTTTCTTGCCCACATTTTCCCCTTGCTCCCTCTGCCTCCTGTCCAACACTGGTGCTTCCCTGTATGGCCTCCCTGTGTCATGTCACGCCTCCTGTTTCTAGGAATCTATGAGTATAAAACTTTTGCCTTCATAAAAGTCATTTTCATGTCTGTGTGTCTTGCCACACCTGATTAAAACAAATCCCAGTACCACAAAAACAGTCTACTAGTGTGACTTTACCATATAGTATGAAGTTAGAAAACCTACCTCTCTTTTACATCCCATTCCTATTTATATTCTCATTGTCTTGAGTATTTCATCTGCATACATTTAGTGACATCCAGACATTATTATAACTTTTGCTTCAACCATCAAACATAATTTAGAAAACTTAATAGGAGAAGGAAAATGTTTTGAAATTACCCTTATATTTACTCTATTATTATTTCTTTCTGATATGCCAAAAAATGTTCTTCTATTATTATTTCTCTCTATTTAAAGAACTCCCTTCAGCCAATCTTTCAGGGTAGTTCTTTTGGCAACAAGTCCTACTAGTTTTTCTTTATCTAATACTATCTTAATTTCCCCTTCATTCCCGAATGATATTTTTGCTGGATGTAGGATTTTGGGTTGGCAGCTCTTTCAGCACTTGAGAAATATGCCACTTCCTTCTGTCTCATAATTTTTAGTAAGAAATCTGCAGTCATTCAAATTCTTTTTCTTCTATAGATAGGCAGTCATTTCTTTCTTGCTTCTTTCAAGATTTTTGTCTTTAGTTTTCAGAAAATTGACTATGTCTTGGTTTATGATTATTTGGGTTTATACTATTTTATATTTATTCAGCTTGTTGAATCTATAGTTTATGTCTTTTGCCAAATCTGGGGAGCTTCCATTCACTATTTCCTCAGGTGCTTTTTTGGTCTTGCCCTCTTTCCCCTCTCCTTCTAGGAGTCCTATGACACAAACATTTGAGCTTTTGTTATAATCTTACAGGAGTAAGGCTCTAATCATTCTTCTTCCAGCCTACTTTATCTCTCTTGTTAAAAGTGGATAATTTCTATTGTTCTACCTTGAAGTTCACATATTCTTTCTTGTTTCCTTCATTCTGACTTTGAGCCTGTTTATTAAGTTTTACATTTTAGTTGTATTTTTCAGTGCTTAATTTCCCATTTGGTTCTTTTTCATATGTTTTATTTCTTTAGTAAGATGTTCGATTTTTTCATTTGTTTCAAGCATGCTCATAATTGCTCATGGAAGCATTTTTTTAATTATACTTTAAGTTCTGGGGTACATGTGCAGAACATGCAGGTTTGTTACATAGGTATACATGTGCCATGGTGGTTTGCTGCACCCATCAATCTGTCATCTACATTAGGTATTTCTCCTAATGCTATCCCTCCCCCAGCCCCCAACCCCATGACAGGTCCTGGTGTTTGATGTTCCCCTCCCTGTGTCCATGTGTTCCCATTGTTCAACTCCCACTTGTGAATGAGAACATGTGGTGTTTGGTTTTCTGTTCTTGTGTTAGTTTGCTGAGAATGATGGTTTCTAGCTTCATCCATGGACCTGCAAATGACATGAACTCACCCTTTTTTCTGATTGCATAGTATTCTGTGGTGTATATGTGCCACATTTTCTTTATCCAGTCTATCATTGATGGGTATTTGGGTTGGTTCCAGGTCTTTGCTATTGTGAACAGTGCCACAATAAACATACATGTGCATGTGTCTTTATAGTAAAATGATTTATAATCCTTTGGGTATATACCCAGTGATGAGATTGCTGGATCAAATGGTGTTTCTAGTTCTAGATCCTTGGGGAATTGCCACACTGACTATGGAAGCATTTTTATAATGGCTGCTGTAAAGGTTTGTGTAAGATCATTCCAATATTTCTGTTACCTTGACTTTTATGTGTATTTTCCTTTTTATTCAAGTTTAGATTCCCTTGTTCTTTGTATGATGTACTAGTGATGCTTCTATTTAAATCTGGACATTTTGAGTATTATGTCATGAGATTTTGAATTTTTATAAGCCTTCTGTTTTAGGTGATCATCTCTGACGCTATATTGGAAAGAGAAGAGGAGAAGGATAGTCCTGCTGCACTACTTCTAGGCAGAGTAGAAGTCCAGTTTCCCCACTGGGACTCTATTAACACCCCAAGGGGTGAGGGTCTCCCTCATTACTGCTGGCATGAGGTGGGAGCTCCCACTCCCTGAAAGGTCTCTGCTGATATTACCCTGACTGGGAAAGCTGGGAGTGCCTTGTTCCTGCCCTCTACTGACACCACTTGGGTGGGGTGGGCAGGGTTGAACTTTCTCAGTCTCTACTAGGTCTCCTTTGACACTACCTCTATGTGTAGGGGAAGATAGCATCATTACTGCTAGGTAGAGATAGAACTCAGTCTCCTCACTGATGCTGTGAGTATGGGGATGTCTTCATCAACATCCAATAGGAATAAAGTCCCAGTTTTCTACTTAGCTTGCTCTAACACCACCCTACAGCAGGAGCTTAGAACACCTCGCTACAGCACGACAAGGGTAGAAGTCTAGGCTCCCCACTCTGCCTTTTCTGGTGTAAGCGGAAGTGGGGCCACTGTTCTTTCTGTGGTTTTTGGCTGGAGTACAGCAGTTATTGCCTAAAAGGTTTTGGTAATGCGAGGCTGCTTTTTCCTTTTCCTTTGGCTTGAGAGAGCAGGCTTTTGGGGGACCTTTTCTTGTCTGCATTCATTGGTGCTTCTGGGTTGCCATCTTCTTTAGATCCAAGTCTGGGATATGTGATACAAAAAAAAAAAAAAATCCGTGAAACTTACCTCTGTTTTATTCCTTTAGTCACCAAGTTTCTAGGTGTCTGCCTCTTCTCTCTACTTCTCAGAGTCTTACATTTAGTTTTATATATAATATGGAGGGTTTTTAGCTGTACTTAAGAGGAGGAATAGGAAAAGTACATATTCTATTTCCCCAAAGCAGAAGTAATTATCTCATTTTTTACATGTAAATCACTTACTCTTTAGAATTCATCCTTCTAAGTAGACAATATGAGTCCAACTTTAGTTTATTCCAGATGGCCACCTAGTTATACAGAATTCACTTATGAGAAGTTTGTATTTTCCTCATTGGTTCAAGATACTTTTTAATACTTACAGATTTCTATATTTGAATGTATTTCTGGACTTTCTATTCATTTTCATTGAGATGTCTATTGATGCACTGGTACCATACTTGCAAATATTGGGTAATTATAATATTTATAATGTGTTTTGAATCTTATAGACAGCCTTCTTAATTTCTTGAATCAACTTCAGTAGCTCCAGAAAAACACTATTTGCTGTCTTTGGATACATTAATTTAAGAAGATTTGAAATATTTTGATGATGAATCTTCTTTCTTTTTTTTTTTTCACTTTTAATAAGTGTATTTTCTTTCCAAAACTTACTTTCTCAACTGACATTTCCTGCCTCAGCCATAATCTATTCTAGTTTTGTGTCCTGGTATCAAATATTTTGCTTTTCTATTTTGTTCACTCTGAGGACAGTGCTGACCTTACAGGTATAGCTTTAGAAGGTTGGGTCTGTTTTCTCTGTTATTTAAGTGCACTTTTAAATTTAAAATTCAGAGTTTATTTTTCACATAAATGTTTATTCTTCCCATTAAATGTAAAGAGACTTCTCTACTTGAAAGCCTAGCTTGTGTTTTATAAATTTAGTTTGAAATCTTAGAGAAGTATTTGTCATTCAAATAGCTATTAATCAATCGAGAAATAATTTTTTGAAAGCAGAGGCTGTGTGTTATTCACTGTTTTCTCTCTAGAGCCAGGCACAGTACCCAGAAATTCCATAAATATTTTATGAAATGGGTTGAATATTAATATATGTACAAAGTAAATGATGAATTCATATAGATAATAAACACAAGCAGAGATAAAGAAGAGAGAGGCCATTTCAAGCAGCAATTTTTGTGGTGAAATTTTACCAACAAGGTGGAATTTGAGCTCTGCTTTAAAGAATGAGTTGAAGTTATAGAGGCAAAGACAAAGAGGAAGATAACTTTATTTGAATGTAGTGTGAGTAAACGTACAAACACAGAAGTGTACTAGACATTTTGAAACCATTAGTAGTCAGAAATAGGCTTATGAAGACAAATAATTGAAAATAAAGCCATAAATTCATGTTGCAGCAAACCAGAGAGTTGTACTTTATTCTGTGTGCAATGGGGATCTACGGTAGGCTTTTAGTGTATGCTTCTTTAATGCATAAACACTATAGGAACTTTATTCTTTGTATTTTTAAAGGTACTTTATTCTAAAAAGTTTGTAACAAACATAAAAAATAAATTTCAAATTGGCAGTTACATTTGGGACCAGCTTTTATTTTAGTATTTAAAAAAAAAAAATGTAGTTTTTTGGTCTTCTTGGATTCTCTTATGGATAATGTCCTGTGGAAACAACACAAACAAAAAAAGCAATGTAAAATTTAAAAAGACCACCCTCATGAATATGTATATGCAAACATATTAAAGGCTGAACAAAGTCTGTTCAATATTCTGTCCTAAAGTTAATATATTATTACTATTATTTAATCACATAGAGATTTATTTTTCTCATATAACAAGAAATCTGGAGAAAGATAGTGGAAAACCAGAATGGACTTCTACAATGCTGTCAGGGACCCAAAACTTTCTATCTTTCTGCTGTGCCAATATTAGTAGACATCTTTCTGTCCTTCTATATCCATTCTCTTCTTCCACTAGTAGTATAATTTTTTTGGTGGTAAGTTTAATATTTTATATATATGTATATATATATATATATATTTAATTTCAATAGCTTTAGAGTATGAGTGGTTTTTGATTACATGGATGAATTATATAGTGGTGAAGTCTGGGGTTTGATTGTACCCAACTCCTGAATAGTGTACACTGTACTCAACAGGTAATTCTTCATCCCTCACCTCCCTCCCGTCCTCCTCCCTTCTGAGACCTCAATGTCCATTATACCAGTATTTCTTTGCATACCCATAGCTCACTTCCCACTTAAAAGTGAGAAGAATATGCAGTATTTGGTTTTCTGTTTCTAAGTTACTCACTTAGAACAATGGCCTCCAGTTCCATCCAAGTTGCTGCAGAAGACATTATTTTGTTCTTTTTTATGACTGAGTAGTATTCAATGGTGTACATATATATCACATTTTCCTGTTTTTTTTTGAGACAGAGTCTCACTCTGTCACCCAGGCTGGACTGCAGTGGCGCAATCTCGGCTCACTGCAACCTCTGCCTCTGGTTTCAAGCAATTCTCCTGTCTAAGCTTCCCAAGTAGCTGGGACTGCAGGTGCATGCCACAACACCTGGCTAATTTTTGTATTTTAATGGAGACAGGGTTTCATCATGTTGGCCAGGATGATCTTGAACTCCTGACCTCAGGTGATCCACCCACCTTGGCCTCCCAAAGTGCTAGGATTACAGGCATGAGCCACCATGCCCGGCCATATATCACATTTTCTTTATCCACTCAGTGGTTGATGGGCATTTAGTATGAAACCAACATACTAAAGGTGATGTATTATTAAAGAAGTAATTACCTTTTTAATTATTTGAAAATTAACCAAGCTCTCCACTCTACTTAGAACAGTTTTTGAGAGACAGCATAAATTGGTGATTAGAATCTTGGACTATTTCTCTGACTGGGTCCAAACCCCATCTCTGCCATGTATTAGCCATACAATCATGAATAAAGTATTTAAATTGTTTAACAGCAACTATTCATCCAAGAAAATGGCATTAGTAATTGTGTTAGTTTTATATTACTGAACAATACATAAATTATCACAAACTAGTAGCTTAATGCAACACATATTTATTATCTTACAAACTTTGTGGATCATGAGCCTGGCCAAGATTTAGCTGGGTGCCCATCTTATGGCTTCAAAAGCCTGCAGTCAAGGTGTATGTAGGTCAGAGCTGCAGCCTTATCTGAGGCTCAACTGGGAAGTCATCTACGTTTGTTAGCAGAATTCAGTTTCTTGTAGTTGTAAAGCTAAGGACTGCGGTTTTTGTTTTGTTTTGTTTTTGCTTTTGCTGCCTATCACAAGATCACCCTCAGTTCCTTGCCCAAAATAGGCAGCTCAAAATAAGGTACCTTACTTCTTCAAAGCCAGGAAAAGAGTGAGAGAAAAATCCATCAGGGTAGACACTAAAGTCTTATATGGCATAATTGTGTACACAAAATTACATATATCTCATCAACTTTGTCTTAGTTCATTGGTTAGAAGCAAACCCCAGATCCTACCTAAACTCCAAGAGAAGGAATCACACAAGGCAGGAGTGGTGGGGGGCACCTACAGGAGCCTTTCTGCCACACCAGTGATAGCTACTGGGTTTTTAGGAAGGGAAAATATCATCAATACTTCCATCTCCCTGCATGTATTCTAAGCCAGTTTCTTTTTCTTTTTGAGATGGAGTCTTACTCTGTTGCCGAGGCTGGAGTGCAGTGGCACAATCTCAGCTCGTAGCAACCTCTACCTCCTGGGTTCAAGCAATTCTCTTCCCTCAGCCTCCCCAGTAGCTGGGATTACAGGTATCCGCCACCACGCCTGGCTAATTTTGTATTTTTAGTAGAGATGGGGTTTCGCCACGTTGGCCACGCTGGTCTCGAACTCCCGACCTCAGGTGAGCCACCCACCTCGGCCTTTCAAAGTGTTGGGATTACAGGCGTGAGCCACTGCGCAAGCCCAGTTTCTTATTTCCACAAGATATAATAGTTAGAAGTGCTGCGAGTAAAATATCATCTTAGTTAAGGACAAGCTTCAAGACTTAACTCTTCAGTCAAAGGGTTTTTCAATATTCCTTTACCACCCCCCTCCCACCGTCACCATAAGTAAATTTTCCCAGAAACAGAACTGGATATGAGCAGGCCATCATGGCAGTCACTAGTCACTTAAAGTGAGGCAGAGCAAGAAAATATGGATTTTGGTGTTTTAACCCATCAGGTGTTTTGATGTTTCAACCCATTAGCATTGTGGCATTTCAACCCATCAGGCTTACCCATCAGGCCTAAAGTTAATAGTGGTTGTGGCTATCTCCTCAAGAGCAAGATCAGTCATTTTTCAGGAACTTCTGCTAACATCTTCATGAATTTTCTTTCCTCATACCAACCATTGCTTTTTTGTATATCTTCCTGGGACCACTTGCAGGCAGTTCAGCTTTTGTCTTAAATTGGGTCAACTCTAAGGCCATTCTATAATCTAAACTAAAAATACATTCATTTTCATTTTCCAACTAAAATTTTGCCCATATATATAATGTGTTTAAATGACAGAATAAAGATACTATAATAATACAAGGTCAATAATTTTTGTAAAGCCTCAAGATTGCATAATAAGGGTTCCTTTATATTATTTTATTTCTGGAGAAATAAAGTAAAAAAAAAAGTTATGTTCCTATTTTTCCTATAAGCTAAAGTTAAAGGCCCAAATTCTTTAATACAAAGAAATTAAAAGGCTGTAGGTCTTTCTTCCTCAATCCCTTATTTTGCAGTGTTTGCCAATTGTTTAAAAATCAGTCTCCTAGATACTTTAGAGGTTCATTCAGCTCCTTTAGCATGAGTTGTTGCTAGAAGAAATAAATGTAAGTTATTTGGGGAAAGTAGAAAATTGAAGAAATAATATTTGAAAACTTTCTAAGGTTGATAAACATTCCGTACCCACAAATCAATGAGTCCCAAGCAAAAGAAACTTAAAGAAAAGCACACAAAGATGCATTATAATAAAACTGCTAAAATCCATTATAAAGAGAAAATATTAAAAGTAGTTGAAGAACACATTACATTTAAAGGCACAAAGATAAGAATGATAGCAGACTTCTGAGATTAGGCAGGTCAGAAGACAATGGAATGGCATCTTCAAAGTACTGAAAGAAAAAGAAAAATCTGTCAGGCTGTAAATCTACGCCTAGCAAACATATATTTCAAAAATGAAAGAGAAAATAAAAATTTCATTAACAAGCAAAATTGAGAAAATTCATTATCAGAGGAATAAACTTCAAAAAATTAAAGAAATGTTCCAAGAAGAAAGAAAATAACCATATGGAAATTTATACTACACAAAAATTTAAAGCTGATTAGAAATAGTAAATATATCAGGTAAATTATTTTCTCATTTGCTAATCTCCTTAAAAAATAACGACTGGTTTTAAAAAATAATGACGTATTAAGGAGTACATAATATAGATAGATAGATAGATAGATAGATAGATAGACAGATACAAATGTGTGAAGACAATAGTGCAAAGACAGAAGGAAAAAGTATTTTATGCTCTACACAAAGTTGTGCAATATTATTTGAAAATAGACAATGATGGCCAGGAGCAGTGGCTCACGCCTGTAATCCCAGCACTTTGGCGGGAGGAGGTGGGTGAATCACCTGAGGTCAGGCGGTTGAGACCAGGCTGACCAACATGGTGAAATCCCGTCTCTACTAAAAATACAAAAAAATTAGCTGGACATGGTGGCAAGCGCCTTAATCTCAGCTACTCGGGAGGCTGAGGCAGGAGAATCGCTTGAACCCAGGAGGCAGAGGTTGCAGTGAGCCAAGATCCGCGTCATTGCATGCCAGCCTGGGCAACAGAGTGAGACTCCATCTCAAAAAAAAAGAAAATAGACAATGATAAGTTAAAGCTGTTTATTGTAAACCCTAAAGCAACAGTACAAAACAAAACAAAACAAAGAGGTATAGCCAATAAGCCAATACTGGGGATAAATTGAATCATAAAAAAAAATTAACACTCAACTAACAAAAAGTAAATCAATAAAAGAGAGAGAGAGAGGAACAAACAATAATTTAAATTAAAAGAAACTAGAAAGATGATAAATTTAATCTAATTAATGATAATTAAACATAAGTTGTCTAAACCTCTCCTACCCAATATGATAACCACTAGATACATGTGATTATTGAATATCTCATAAATGATTCGTCTAAATTACTGAATTTTGAAGACTTCACACAAAAAATAATGCAAAATGTCTAATCAATGATTTTAGATTGATTACTTATTGAAATATTTTATATGTATTGGGTTAAATAAAATATATACTTCAAATTCAATTTACCTTTCTTTTTACTTTTTTAAAGTGAATGCTCAGAATTTTAAATGTGCATATGTGGCTCACATTATATATATTTGTGACAGCTCTGGTTTAAATATTCCAGTTCAATTGCAGCTGCCAGATGGGATGGAAAGCAATATCCAGCTATATGCTGTGTACAAAAAGCCAGCTTTGAATGTAAAGACGGGGTAAAAGAGAAGATGTTTTTAAAGTTATGCTATTAGGTTTGTGCAAAAGTAACTGCTGATGCAAAAGTAATTGCAGATTTTGTCATCAAAAGTAATTACTTTTTCATCAACCTAATAGTAGACATAGCCTTAATCCAAGATGTGAACCCCAAAATTATATGTACTGTTTCTTTCCAGATATCTTTAGACCCTTCATGGTTTTAGATGTCTGAAATACAAAGTAACTTCCAAGTGTAAACATTACACTAAAGGTCAGCAAATACAATACAACACACCAAGAGTCAGGAAAGTTTTGTAGTCGGCAAACTTTATTCTTTGGTGTCTTCCCAATTCCCTGTTGCTGTCTTCACGGGAATGATATTGAGGATGCTTTTCATTTCATGAACTCTCTACTGTCAGCTTTTCTCCCTTCCTGCTCTCCTGTAATTGTGAACTAAATCCAGATAAAAGAAAGGTTTGAATTATTACCCACAGCCAATGACATATTTTACTAAGGAAATTTAAAATGTGTGTAGAAAAAATAAACTTCGGTATCAAGTGAATAAATCCAATCTTTCAATCACTAGAGGTTGAAGTACAGACTCCCTGAAAGGCCATATTTGGGAACAAGAGGGCTCCCCATGCCATTCAAACAAGGCCATAGAGTTTAACTGATGAGAAAGTTAATGCCATGTCACTGTCATCTACAAATGCTTACCACCCAGTTCATAAAAGATTATTTTACTAGATTCCATTCTCTGGACTGGTCACAACACATCTATAGTAGCTTTTTGAAGGACATTGAAAAACAGAAGTATGTCCAGAGGAAGGTCATCAGGAATGTAGTGGGACAGAAGGTGATTTCCATCAAGGAATACGGAAAAAGTTGGGAATGGTTAGCCTGGAAAAGTCTCAGGAGGAAAATAATACTCCTCAAAAATGTAATGGATAATCACAGAAATGAGAAAAGATTTATGCTGTTGTTTCAGAAAAGGCTGATGAAAATAAAATGTTGAAGAGGCAGCTTTGAGCTGTCCATCAATGCAGTGAGGGAATGGAATAGGATCTGCCTCACCGAAGCATTCAGATGGCAGTGAATGAAGGAGAACCTGTCAGGGATGATAAGTAACGTGTGACTTGGGGAAATGTGTAACAAGATGCCTTCTAAGATTTCCTTCAACAGTTATAATGCTGTGAGTTCATGTCCTGTATGTTAATTTTGCCCCTAGAAGCAGCCATATTTTATTGAGAAAAAATGCATTTTTCACATTTATGCAAAACAAATTACTTTATTTTCAAATGTTACATGATACAGTTCTGCATCACTTAACAACAGGGATACATTCTGAGAAATATGCCATTAGCTGATTTTGTCCTTGTGTAGACATCATACACAGAGTGTACTTACACAAACCTAGATGGTATAGCCCACTATGGGCAATGGGGAATAGCCTGCTGCTCCTAGGCTGCAAACCTGTTCAGGCTGTTACTACATTGAATACTGTGAGCAACCGTAAGGCAATGGTAAATATTTGTGTATCTAAACATACCCAAACATAGAAAATGGGCAATGAAAACATGACATTATAATCTTATGGGACCACTATCACATATGTGGTCCATAGACCAAAACATCATTATGAGGCACATGACTGTATATAGAATGCATTTCTCCTATTTGTGTTTTAACATACTCTTCCTCTTTGTAGGGTAGTCAACTGGACTTCTGCATAATAATAAAAGATATTGTAATAAGTACTAAGACTTGTAGTCCATGCTTTCGTTGGGTGTGATCTTCAAGTTATGCAAATAGTATTATCTCAACATTTTAAAATAGAAGTAATGCTTATAATTCTAATTTTTTAATAATCTCTTTTATGAGGAGGAAATAGGTCCCTTACTCTTCTGTGAACTAGCATATGCAGGCAATTGTAATACCAACTTCACTCCTGCCAGAAATATAGAAAACATCAGAGAGATGTCAAAATAATAGGAGTTAAGGCCACAGACAATTTTGACAACTTGTATCAGACAATATATTCGGTATCATATCTATTAGTGAACTGCTATATAACCTAATTATAAGATAAAGTAGACAAAATCAGGTTAAGTTATTGATTACTGATTTGACATTAATAAAGAAAATGCTGGCTATCACCATAGATGGTGGCTTTCCTCAGTAGTCTAGCAAACATTGTATATTTGACTGAATAGTGTTAGGACAGGAAGACTTTCCCTTGATTTTTTTAATACAATGTTTTCCATATAAAAATGTTTTCTTGGGCTGGGCACGGTGGCTCACATCTGTAATCCCAACACTTTGGGAGGCCAGGATAGCGTATTACTTGAGCCAGCCTGGGCAACATGGCAAAACCCTGTCTCCACAAAAAAAAAAAAAAAAAAAAAAAAGAAAGAAAAGAAAAATTAGCCGGGCATGGTGGTGTGCACCTGTAGTCCCAGCTACTCAGGAGGCTGAGTGGGAGGATCACCTGATCCTGGGGAGGTTGAGGCTGCAGTGAGCCATGATAGCGCCACTGCACTCCAGCCTGGGTGACAGATCAAGAACCTGTCTCAAATTAAAATAATTAAAAATGTTTTCTTGGTTTGTGTAGACCTTGAGGTAAAAGTCTCCGAAGGAATCTAAGTGTTTAAATAAATAGTATTCATATTATTTAAAAATAGGTCTTCCAAGTATGTAGCAAGTTGTTATATTTTAATTGCTTGCATTGTTCTTGCACCGAGAAGAATAAATAAGCTTTCCTCTATCTGGCAAGAAAAACATTGTATTGAAATAAAATGCAAATACAGAGTTCTGATTTCATCATGACGTTATAATCTCATTATGTCTGTGTGAATACATATTTACTCATCTGTCAATTTCACAATCTCTAGAAGCTGTTAGTAAAACTTGCTCTCTTAGCTGCGGGCTGAGTCTTATCTTTTTAGCTGAGAGATAAGACACGTTATAAAAATCTGTGAATACATGCTGTTCATGGCAGACTGCTAACAGTTCCTTAAAATTTGATCTTCCTTTCTTCCATATTAATTCAGTTTAAGCTGAGCCATGGCCACCAAGCTAGAGACTGTGTTTCCCAGCTTCCCATAAGTGAATAACTCCCATAGGGCTGGCTTCTCACGGATGAATTCTTTAAGCAGGCTGTTTTCTGATGCCTGGCAATGAAGTAAAGAGGACTCTGAGGAAATGACCTTTCTGTGTCCTTCTCTTGCTTGATAGATCTAGAGTATGTATTTAGTCTCTTTTAAACTAGTGCTGTGAGATTATATGCTCAATTTTCCTAAACAATATTTTAGATTGCAGGACATGAATGAAAGTGATATATGCTTTTCTGTGTCACTTGCTTTAAAAAAAAAAAAATCGTTGGCCCTCCACACACCATGGGCTAACACAGGAAAAAGGCAGTGACTCAACTCCCCCACACAGATGAAATGATATCCTTGGGATGGTGAAGCAATAAAATAGAAGCAATGACCTAGGTCTCTGAGTGACCACGTGGAACAAAGTCACCCCAGTAGCAAGGATCTCTGATGAGCACTAGGGTTTAATATTTGCCAATCCTTTGCCTTTTCAAACAATAGAGTAGGCAGGAGCTTCATGTCTGCACAATGGCTACTGACTATCAACAGAAGATAGATAAACAGTTCTCTTGTTTGGTCAACTATCAGTACAACTCTCAGCCATGTGCTGAATGTAACCATAGTAGTTTACTTCAGCATTACCACTGAAATTAGAGCTACTCGTATGAATGATTTAGAATGTTAAGGTGCAGTCATTCTTCATTCAGCAGACTACTTGCAGAATCCTAAGACTTAGGGGAAAACAAGTGGCTTCATTTGATGTATCATTATCTCCCACAAAGGCATATATTTTTTAAAACTGCTATTCAAAAACTTATAATAAAAAGAATGTTGAAGTCGGAAATCAGAATCCCTGAATAAAAGATCCCATTTTTACTAGTTGGTCAACTATGGACATATCTACTCGTCTTTATGAGCTCTAAAGTCCTCATGGGAATATGCTGACCCCTACCTCTTCGCAGACTTGAAATGCTCACCTGAAATAATTTGACCACAAATATATTTCCCTAGAAGATAAAGCAACTTACTGTAGTACATACACAAAGAACAGAGTGGGGTGGGGGGCAGTGTTTCATCCATTAGGGAGGAATATTTTATCACTGACATTGTTTAGAATTGCTAATGCATTGTGATAATAAAAAGCAAACTGCCTTTTAATCGGTTTTATTATTGTTTTTAAATTCTCTGCAGTTGATTATCTCCCTACTGCCTGTACCAGGGAGTTTCACTCCCAACAATCCACCTATCCCATGCCACTGACACACCCGATTGGATTTTGCACAACTGTTTTTCAGAATAGCTCAAGCCTCTGAAAAGCCAGGATTCAACTTTTAGTGGCATTTGATAGAGCAAATTAAATGAAACATCATTAATAAATACTAATAAAATAAATTATTCTCTGCAGATCGCTTTAGCTGACACTGTCAGTGACATGCCAATATATCCTTAGCCATTTACCATTTCCATGCACGCCAGGCCAATTTTCAATTGCCCTTTATTCTCCCAGCCCCAGAAGTGGTAGATGCTTCCTGCAGTTACTATTTTTGCATTACCTTTTTAGTCCTCTAATATCTGTTTAATCAATTCTCCATGTTAAATTATTTTTCTTAAGATAACTGGTGCCATCTCTGTTTTCCTGAGTGGACCTTGATTGATATAGCATCAAAACTGTGAATCAAAAAAATTCAAGTCATTTAAAAGACAGACTTTTATCTTCATGGTTAAAAGGAATTAGGAAAGATGTATCATTGTCTCTCACAAATGCATAACTTTTTTAAAAATTATTTTTCAAAAACATAAAGAATATTGAACTCAGAAATCAGACTTCTTGAATAAAATATCTCAATTTTACTAGTTGGTCAACCATGGATATATCAACTAGCCCTTCTGGGCTCTGCAGTCCTCATGGGGATATAAGGACCCCTACCTCTTCACAGACTTGAGATGCTCACCTGAGATAACAGATGTTAAATTGCTTTGTAAACTATAATTTGTTTTGACACAGAAGTTATTCGTTATTTGTTAATAGTTACACCTCTGAGAATTAAGAATATTCAAGTCACAGCATGCAGAACAGTCCAGCAATGATAGATCTGAAGATTGTAAAGAATTTAAAGACCTCCACTGTTCCAAGGATTCTATCCTAGCTGAGGAAGAACCTGAGTTCCCTTCTACTTCTATCTCTGCAGTTCTGTCTGACTTAGCTGACTTGAGAAGCTGTGATGGCCAACCTTTGCCCTCCCAGGACGCCGAGGTTGCTTTATCTCTCAGTTGTGGCCATTCCAGAGGACTCTTTAGTCATATGCAGAAACATGACATTTTAGATACCCTGTGTAGGACCATCTGGCAAAGGAAACCAAGCTGCTTCTTGACATTAGGTGTGGCATGTCTACTTTTAAGTCCCTCACCCCCAACCCCCATGCTGTTTGTACAAGTTTTGCTTACTTATTTTTGTGCTTCAGTTTGTCCAGTGCTCTCTGCTTGAATGGCAAGATAGATTTATAGGCTTAATTCTTGGTCAGGCAGAACTCCAGATGAAAAAAACTTGCATCTTCAGTACACTTCCTAAAGGACAATCAGATAATGGATATGTTTTATGTAATTAAGAGTTCACTGTAGTGGCTTTCATTTAATATGGCTGTCTGGGAAGAACAGGGTTCCCTAGCCCTGTACAATGTAATTTAAACTTACAACATTTTTACTGTGTATAATATGGTGTCCTCTGTGCCAGTTTTGTACCTCATAGAGGCAGATTGCTTCCTATCGCTATGGTTCTTATTATCAAAATTAAGTTTACTTGTATACGGAACAACCACAAGAAATTTGATTCTGTAAAGAATCCTCTTTAGCTGTGGCCTGGCAGTTTGTAAATGGTGCTTTATTTAACAGACTACCTGTGGAGGAAATATGGTTAAAATATATATATATAAAACTGAAATTTTAAAGAATAATTTATTTTAAAGTTTTACATTAATTTTATGTAAATAATTGATTTTTGAAGGCTCTTTAGACATAGCAAAACTCTTATTTCCTTATCATTTTCTTTTTTATTTGTACAGAGGACTCTGTCAATTCACCCTCAATGAGATTTTTGCTTCTGTATGTTTACTAGAGGTGAGTGGATAGTTGCTTTGAGCCACTGAAAGCAAATCAATTCTGATTAAACACTTGACTAGAAAATAAAAGGATATGAAAATAATGTTTTTGACTGGTTTATTTTCCGCTTGTCAATGATATTTTTGGTGATTTTTCTACCATTGAAAAATGTATTATGTTAGGTTGTTAAATCCTATAACTAACCACTTTAATGTGCTTCATTTCTAAAAATAAGGACTTCTATGAGTCATACCTATGATTGCAGAAGAAAACTGCATCTTGGGATTAAAAATATAAAAAATAACCAATGGGCATTATCACATGGATGCCTCACCAGCTCAAACTCAGCATGTTTCCAAAACTCCTCGTTATTTCTCCCCCCATAAACAATCAAGATAATGCTATTTCTGTCTCCCAATCATTCACATTGCAAATTCAAAACCACCCAAGTCTCTATCATCCCTGGGAACTTTAGCTGCAGTAAGTTGCTAAACTCAATTGCTTCTCATTTTTCAACATCTGCCTCATATACTTCTCCTTCCTTCCTTCACATTTCCACAGCCCAACCCCTGCCCTGGCCTGGACCTCCTTGACTACTACAGTCAACTTCCTCAACTCCTAACTTGATTCTATGCTTCTTGGCTGGTCTCCTCTCCTCTCCTCTCCTCTCCTGTCCTCTCCTCTCCTCTCCTCTCCTCTCCTCCCCTCCCCTGTCCTCCCCTCCCCCCTCCTTTCTTTCTTTCTTTCTTTCTTTCTTTCTTTCTTTCTTTCTTTCTTTCTTTCTTTCTTTCCTTTTGTTCTTTCTTTCTTTCTTCCTTTCTTCATTTCTTTTTTCTTTCTTTCTTTCTCTCTTTCTTTCTTTTATACAGGGTCTCACTCTGTCACCCAGGCTGGAATTCAGTGGCATGATCATGACTCAGTACAACCTCTGCCTCCCAGGCTCAAGTGATCTTCCCACCTCAGCCTCCCAAATAGTTGGGACTACAAGCACATGCCAACACATCTGGCTAATTTTTGTATTTCTTGTAGAGATGGGGTTGCACCATGTTGCCCAGGTTGGTCTTGAACTCCTGAGCTCAAGTGATTCGCCTGCCTTGGCCTCCCAAAGTGCTAGGAATATACGCATGAGCCATGGCACCCAGCCAGTCTTTCTACTCTCTGATATAATCTATACAGTCACGGTGTTTTCTCCATATTACTGAGGTCCTCAAGAAAAAGTTGTATAATCATATGGCTAAGATTTCCTAGAGAAAATACAGACAGTACAGCCATCCTAAAACTGAGATTCTATGATCCCGTAAGTCTAAACCCACATCCTTTCACATCTCCATATAGGTATCTCTTTATTTTCCTTCTTTCTGACTCTTTCTAAGCTCTTTAAGCTCTATCCTATGGCACTATTTACTAAGAAGTGGAAGAGCTTCTCTAAGTTAGAAGAGCTTCTGAAATGTATTCAAGCTTGCTTTGATTTCTTCTTAAAATTCTGGAGCATAAGTCTTTGTCTAAGTCTTCTCTAAAGAGGAAGATATTTAAGTTAGTCCTTTCAGTTGTGTGACATGCTAAAACTGGACTTTGCAGAACTTCTCAATGAAGAATAAAACTTTCCTTAGTTTTCCCTATATTTAGGCAGGTTCATATGTTGAGGACTTAGGTGTATTTATTCCATTATATTATTATGTAGCTTTCATTCAAGGCTTTGAAATAAATTAAACTTTGCTGACACTACTTGATATGGTTTGGCTTTGTGTCCCCACCCCAATCTCATCTTGAATTGTACTCCCATAATTCCCACATGTTGTGGGAAGGACATGGTGGGAGATAATTGAATCATGGGGGCACTTTCTCCCATACTGTTCTTGTAGTAGTGAATAAGTCTCACAAGATCTGGTAGTTTTATAAGAGGAAACCCCTTTTGCTTGACTTTCGTTCTGTCTTGCTGCCACCACGTAAGAAATGCCTTTCACCTTCTGCCATGATTGTGAGACCTCCCCAGCCACGTGGAACTGTGAGTCCATTAAACCTTTTTCTTCCCAGTCTTGGGTATGTCTTTATCAGCAGCGTGAAAACTGACTAATACAGTAAATTGGTATCAGTAGAGTGGGGCACTCTTGAAAAGATACCTGAAAATGTGGAAGCGACTTTGGAACTGGGTAACAGGCAGAAGTTGGAAAAATTTGGAGGGCTCAGAAGACAGAAAAATGTGGGAAAGTTTGGAACTCCATAGAGACTTGTTGAATGGCTTTGACAAAAATGCTGATAATGATATGGACAATGAAATCCAAGCTGAGGTGTTTCAGATAGAGATGAGGAACTTGTTGGGAACTGGAGCAAAGGTGACTCTTAATGTTTTAGCAAAGAGGCTGATGGCACTTTGCCTCTGCCCTAGAGATTTGTGGAAATTTGAAGTTGAGAGAGATGATTTAGGATATCTGGCAGAAGAAATTTCTAAGCAGCAAAGCATTCAAGAGGTGACTTGGGTGCTGTTAAATGCATTCAGTTTTTTTTTTTCTTTCTTTTTTTTTTTTTTTTGAGATGCAGTCTTGCTCTGTCACCCAGGCTGGAGTGCAGTGGTGTGATCTCGGCTCACTGCAACCTCCACCTCCCAGGTTCACGTGATTTTCCTGCCTCAGCCTCCCAAGAAGCTGGGACTACAGGTGTGCATCAACACATCTGGCTAATTTTTGTATTTTTAGTACAGACAGGGTTTCACCATGTTGGCCAGGTTGCTCTCGAACTCCTGACCTGAGGTGATCTGCCCGCCTCAGCCTCCCAAAGTGCTGGGATTACAGGTGCCCAGCCTGTATTCAGTTTTAATGGGAAAACAGAGCACAAAAAATTCAGAAAATTTGCAGGCTGACAATGTGATAGAAAATGAAATCCCATTTTCTGAGGAGAAATTTAAGCCACGTGCAGAAACTTGCATAAGTAACAAGAAGCCGAAAGTTAATCACCAACACAATGGGGAAAATGTCTCCACGGTATGTCAGAGAACTTGTGGCAGCCCCTCCCATCACAAACCCAGAGGACTAAGAAGAAATAATGGTTTTGTGGGCCAGGCCTAGGGTCCCTCTGCTGTGTGCAGTCTAGGGACTTGGTGCCCTGCATCCCAGCTGCTCCAGCCATGGCAAAAGGGGGTCAAGGTACAGCTCATGCCATGGCTTCAGAGGGTGCAAGTCCCAAGCCTTGGCAGCTTTCATGTGGTGTTGAGCCTGCAGATGCACAGAAGTCAAGAATTGAGGTTTGGGAACCTCCACCTAGATTTCAGAGGATGTATGGAAACACTCAGATGTCTAGGCAGAAGTTTACTGCAGGGATGGGGCGCTCATAGAAAACCTCTGCTAGGGCAGTGCGGAAGGGAAATGTGGGGTCGGCATCCCCACACAGAGTCCCCACTGGGGCGCTGCCTAATGGAGCTGTGGGAAGAGGGCACCATCCTCCAGACCCCAGAATGGTAGCCACCAACAGCTTGCACCATATGCCCAGAAAAGCTGCAGACACTCAGTGCCAGCCATAAAAGCAGCCAGGAGTGGGGGCTGTACCCTGGAAAGCCACAAGAGTGGAGCTGCCCAAGACCATGGGGACCCACCTCTTGCATCAGCATGACCTGGATGTGAAACATGGAGTCAAAGGAGATCATTCTTGAGTTCTAAAATTTGACTGCCCTGCTGGATTTTGGACTTGCCAGGGGCCTGTAGCCCCTTTGTTTTGGCCAATGTCTCCCATTTGGAATGGCTATATTTACCCAATGCCTATACCCCCTTGTACCTAGGAAGTAACTAACTTGCTTTTGATTTTACAGGCTCACAGGCAGAAGAGACAGGCAGAAGAGACTTGCCTTGTCTCAGATGAGACTTTGGACTTTTGAGTTAATGCTGAAATGAGTTAAGACTTTGGGGGACTATTGGGAAGGCATGATTTGGTTTTGAAATGTGAGGACATGAGATTAGTAGGGGCCAGGGGCAGAATGATGTAGTTTGGCTCTGTGTCTCCACCCAAATCTCACCTTGACTTGTACTCCCATAATTCCCATGTGTTGTGGGAGGGACCTGGTGGGAGATAATTGAATCATGGGGGCGGTTTCTCCCATAGTGTTCTCCTGGTAGTGAATAAGTCCATGAGATCTGATGGTTTTATAATGGGAAACCCCTTTTGCTTGACTTTCATTCTGTCTTACTGCTGCCAAGTAAGAAGTGCCTTTCACCTTCCGCCATGATTGTGAGGCCTCTCCAGCCACATGGAACTGAGTCTATTAAACTTATTTTTCTTCCCAGTCTCGGGTATGTCTTTATCAGCAGTGTGAAAACTGATTAATACACTACTAATAATAAAAACTTTGGAATTCCCAAAGTCTGTGACCAATCACTTAATTCCCAGTGTTTTCAAAGATCACTTGAGAAATTAATGCTTTTGAGACACCACATGTTTTGTATAAAATGTAACCGCAAACAGAACTTTGGAATTTCTGCTTGCTTTTCTTTTTGTCTAGCTGGAATAAGTTAAACGACTCATCCTTATGAAAACATAAAATTTTCAAATCTTACGTTTATTTTGGTGATCTCACCCCCCTTGCCCTGTAATGCTGCAGTCCTCCCCCACTGTGATGCTGAGTTTAGCCATGTGACTTGTTTTCACTAATGAGACAGTAGCAAACTCAATGCAAGCAGAAATGTATAAAGGTGCTTTCATGTGTGTCCTTGCTCTCCTGGACACATTATCCTCCTATGAGCACAAGCTTAAGCTAGCTTAGTAGGAAATGAGAGGCTGTGGAGAACAGGTGAGGTGCTCTAGCTAGCAGCCACTCAACTTTCGGAATCAGAGTCACTTAACTGACCTCAGGTTGACCACCAATGCATGAGGGAGTCCAACAAAAACTCAAAGAACCATCCAACTGAGTCCAGCCTAAACTGTTGTTCCACAGAATCATAAACTAAATATCATCATTATATGAAACCAGTAAGTTTGGAGTGGTTTGTTATGCAGAAATTGCTAACTGGTACACCACACCAAATAAGCATTCACCTCCTTCTTTTAGGAAAGGAGAAGAAAAATCATGGTGTCAATAAAGAGATGCTGTGGTTCAAAAGAATCACAAAGGCTAACTCCTTTTGAAAGACATTTAACAAAGGAAGGTGAAAAATCTTAGAAAATATTTCAGATTTTTTCATCTATCAAGTTAAAATAATTAGTCATAAATAAAGAATAATCCACAATTAAAAGAACATGGAAAACACAATTTTAAAAAAGGAGTTTAAGACATGAATAACAGATTTGATACTGAAAAAAATTAACTTTGAATGAGGAAGCATCCTTCCAGAAATAGAGTAAAAGTAGAAAAAGATAGAAAAGGCAGCTCAATTTAAGATCTCCAAATGACAGATCTTAAGATTCCCAAAGGTAACAAATATGAAATTTAGAAACAACAACCCCCCAAAATAGAAGGATGCTTTCCTGATCTAAATAAATAAAACTTAAATCTAAAAATTGAGACTGTACTTCATGTTATGAGAAAAAACAATTTCAAAAAAGACATATTTTGCTAGAATTTGGGGAGATTAAAAGACTCTAAAAGCAATCAGAAGAAAATGTTCAGTCTACCACAGAGAAACACATCAAGTTGGCCCCAAAGTGCTTCTTAAAATCAGTAAATGCTAGAAGACAATACTGCAATACCCAAAGCTCCCAGTAGAAAAAAACAAACAAAAAAACCCACGTGACTGAAGTTTATACGTGAAGACCAAAAAAAGTCACAAACAGATGTTCAGTGGCAGAAAAAACAAATTTAAAGAACAATGAAAGAGCTTGAGAGTAAAAAAAAAGTGACTAGAAAGGATTAGCAGAGAAATTTGAAACCAGATGGAGATACAGAGGTAGATATAGCAGTTGTTTTAAATACTCACATAATTGATTTCACATAACTTGCTTTAAATTTGAAGGGGTTACCTACATTTTAAAGTTAGTAGGGTGTTTATTATCTCAGATAATAAGGCTCAGTAAGGGTGAACGGGGAAGAAAAGGGAAGTTATTTGCTACAAAAAGTATTCAAATATATTTATATTATAAATATATACATATATATGTATATGTATATAAGAAGAAATTGGCTCATGCAATATGGAGGCGGAGAAGTCCCAAGATCTGCGGTCAGGGAGTGGGAAAGCCACGGAGCTGATGCTGTGAATTCCAGTGAGTCTGAAAGCATGAGAAGTAGGCAGAATTATCAGTTTCTGGTGTTATCTTGAGCAGCTGAATCAGCTCTGGGCTACTCGCCCGTTGACTTTTATAAAGTGAAAAAAAAAAATGCCTTCTTCCTAGTACAGATTTCTACTGAAGTTGAATGCAGTGCAAGCTGATATTCTACAACAATTACATTTATGTACTATTGATGTAAGAAAAGACATCAATAGTACATCTATTGGGCAGAAGGAGAATCCAGAAATGTAACTTGTTATATAACCTAATATAATAATAAGCAAAGTATGATAAATTACTCAGAGGCAGATGAATTACATAAATTATTTCCTGTAATTAAAAATAGAGCTTTCCATAACTCACATTAAATTCCAGGTGGATCAAGAGATATATAAAATATAAAACTATAAACAAAAATATATTTTTCAAGCAAATGCATTTTATTTTTTTAATATTAAATATATTTAAAATATATTTTTTAAATCTTAATCTAACTTCAAAGAGAGAAAGAACTTTCCAAGTATAAAATCATTGAAAGAAAGAAATCCTAATGAAAACAATGGATTCATTTGATTTCGTAGACATAGATAAATATTTTATATGCGCACACAAACATAAGTTTAAAAGTCAATCAAGATATTGGGAAAATATTTACCTCAAATGTGATAAGCAAAGGCTACTTTCCTTAGCATATGAATATTTACACATTAGAAATAAAAATGACAAAGAAAAATGAGCAGATGGCATTTCCAGGGCAATTCACGGGAGAAAAAAATGCAAATGGCTGGGTCAGGCGCAGGGGCTTGTAATCCCAGCACTTTGGGAGGCTGAGGCGGGTGGATCACTTGAGGTCAGGAGTTCGAGACCAGCCTGGTCAACATGGTAAAACCCCATCTCTACTAAAAATACAAAATTTAACTGGGTGTGATGGTGCACACTTGTGGTCCCAGCTACTCGGGAGGCTGAGGCAGGAGAATTGTTTGAACCTGGGAGGCGGAGGTTGCAGTGAACTGAGATCATGCCACTGCACTCCAGCCTGGGTGATAGAGTGAGACTCTGTCTAAAAAAAAAAAATGCAAATGGCCAATAAGTATAAAACGTATTTGACCTCACTAATAATCAAAGACATTTAAGATAAAACAAAATATTTATCTCAATATTTTGAGTTTAGGTTATCAAAGAATGTACCATAAGAAAATAATCATAAATAGGAATCATAATTTATGTACATATATGTTCATCAGATTGCTATCTCAGCTGAGTTATTTATACTGGCATAGTATAAGCAGTTGCATTTAACATAAATTTGAATCACAAATTATTGCTTCTAATGATTTAAAATTATTCTAGATGCATACTTCAAACAAAAATGATTTTGTCTGCAGAAGATTGCCTGTCGTGCACTTGGTCAATCACACACAGGCAATGGCATTAAATGCTGTAGAAATTGATCTCAGTCTTCGAATTTTCAAAGCTAGGAGAGGTGGCATGACCAATTCAAGAGTAGTGAAGGACTTTTACTCAGGCCTCAAATCTATTTTCAGAAGCTCCGGCTGATGACCAAGAGAAAGTAGGTATTCCAGATAAGAAAAAACTTGGAATAAGTTTAACGAAACAGGAAATGCAGAAAAACCCTGATTTTTTTTCAGTATACATCAAAATTATATTTTCATTTCTACAAGAAATGAAGAAGTGATGATCACAGGCCTCGATTATGAAAAGCATCACATACATCACTCTACTGGTGGTGATAGCTATTGATGATTCAAAGCAATTTATGACATTATCTGGACTAAATAAAATAGAAGATTTAAAATAATGCATTATGTGTTACATTTTAAAAACTTGTTTTCAGTAAAATGTTATTAAGTTAATAATGTATCTTAAAATTGAAAGCTTCCAAGGTCAAGGCAATATGATACACACACGCATAGGTTCCTGGAAGCATGTACGACAAAACACTAAATATAGTTACCCCTGGATTACGGAATTATGACTACTTTGGGTTTTCTTTTTACTACTTTTTTATCTTTCTCAGTTTTCCATAATGAGCTTTATTCTTTTATAAAACCAGGATTAAGAAAAATATTTTTACAGTGATTGAATGTCCTCTTTCACCTAGTCTGAGTGTAGAAAAATTCCCCGTTGACATGTAGTGTAGTTTTGGACCCTATTTATTTTTCAAGGTTGAGTCTACCTCTAAAAGGATGGGAAACCTAAACTGTTTTTCCTACTGTCACATAGTCAACAATGAATACTTTACCTCCGGTCACCAAAATGTGTGGGGAGTTCTCCCCACCAGCAACCAATCAATTCTGCAGTGGACGCCAGCTAGGTATCCTCTAACTCAACTCACTTCTGTCACTATCTACCTGGAAATAGCATCAGATACCAAGTAGTAGGTTGTCACGTATACTCCTGACTGACCAGTTATAAATTGGGAGTTCTCACGATGGACCCCCTCCTTGGGCTTGATTAATTTGCTAGAGTGGCTCACAGAACTCAGGGAAACACTTTACTTTCACGTACCATTTATTATAAAGGATACTACAAAAGATACAGACGAGCAGCTGGATGAAGAGATGCACAGGTAGTTGACGTGGAGCTTCCATGTCCTCCCTGGGCACGCAACCCTCCAGAAACCACCATGCTTTCAGCTCTCTGGAAGGTCCCAGAATCCAGTCCCTTTTAGGTTTTGATGGAGGCTTCATTACACAGGTATGACTGACTCTTTACTTCATTGGCCATTGGTAATCAACTTTACCTTCAGCCCTTCTTCCCTCCCTGGAGATTGGGGGCTGGAGCTTGATAAAAGAAAAACTTCAGCTGAATTAAATTTAAAGGAGTTTAATTGTGCAATGAACAATTGGTGAATCCGTTCATTTCTAGTTCAGGGCTGTTATGAATAAAGCTGCAATAAATATTTCCAAGTTAGCCTACTTGCTGCTGTTGAATTTCTAATGTTCTCAACGTAACAACTGCTTTCGTTCAGCTCTAAAGGATTCTTTGTCTTCAAAAGATGTGATAAAGGTGTTCAAAATAGCTTAGCGTTGGCCTTAATTTTTAAATGTTGCTACTATAAATTTCGAAAGTAAAACTTAGTGACTATTAACAGTGGAAAATGTATCCACAGAAAAGAGTATTATTTACTCAATAAGCATTATCAATAACAATCTGAAGGGAAGTCTACATGGTAGATTATATTGTATATATATTTATATTTGTGTATAGTATATTATATTATATATTTATGTATATTATATATATTTATAATTAAATTAAATATATATTATATATAAAACATATTATACCATAAAGACTTCCCTTCAGATTGTTTTTAATAATGCTTATTGAGTAAATATACACATATATAATATACATAAATATAAATGTATATTATATATACATAAATCTGCTCTTTATCTTGCTCTTTATCCATCATTGTGGGAATAAAACAAAGCATTCTGTGTATCATCTCTATAAATATACGAAGCTGTAGATGAAGGTGCAAATAGCTAATATAGTAGGTAACAGTATCAAATCGGCAACAATATGTATAATAGGAGAAAATTTGCCAGAGTTTGTAGAAGTGATTCCAGAATCAGGGAAAAACTGAAACTTAATCAGTAGTTCCCCAATTAGACCACACATTGAAATGACCTAGTAGGAGATATAACCAGAAGGAAATAGAGGAATGTGATGAAAACAATGTTTTTTAAAATTAGAAATTATTATGCCCCTCTATAATCATGGGTGTTATGATTCAGTAGATTAAGGTGGGGCTAAGAATTAACAATTTTAAGATGTATCTCTGGAAATTCTGACACATTTGTTTGGATGAGAATTTAAGACCTAATTTAGAATAAGGATTGGATGAGCTCCAAAACCTTTCTGAGCTGAAGATACTATATTCCTACTAATAGTTTAAATGCCTTCTGATATCCTTGAATTACGCTGAAGCCAGATGCCTTCTTAGCAATGCCAAAAGGAATTTACTATGATATGATAATACTTCTCTCAAAAGACAAGGGAAACACCATAAAGAGCACAGGTAAAGATGGGGAGGATGAGAGGAGATGCAAGGATAGAGGAATTAAAACCAAGAAGGGATGATGACAAAATAATTCTCAGGAGTCTGGCTTCTGATTTTATAAATTCTCAAAGTTTCTAGATGCTTAAAATGTGAATGAATTTTATGTCATTATCTGAAAAATGGACTGGCATTTCTCTTGTGTTAAATGGATGTAAATGGAGTGAAGTATAGATTCTGCACCAGCAGTCTAAGCTATAAAAATATAATTGCTCCCAAATTGAGATGCATTATCAATTTTTAGTTTAATATTGGTTCAGAATTAAAGGGCATCAATCAGCATGTTTGGCACAGGCAGAAGTGTAGAGCAATAGCGATACGTTTTTAAATACAGAGAATCAAAACATTAGTTATTATTTTTTAAATTACCCACTATGGGATGAGTTTTGTGCTAGGTATTTTACTTACCTTGTCCCTATTCTTTATATTAGTCCTGCAAATTAAGTGTGGAGTATGGTATCTCAATAGACAGAGACATGTACTAGAAAGAAACCTGGGAATAGGATTTTAGTCCTAGCTGTGCCACTAACTGGGTGATCTCTGTCTTGTAACTACTTAACTCTCTCAATTTAAGATCTGCAAAATGAAGAGTAACTTTGAGCTTTTTAACAGTGTATTAGTGAGGATCCCCTGTACCACACAGCTGTAACAAACAGCCCCATTAACTCAGTGCCTTACACAGTAACAGGTTTTTGGCATGCAAAGTCCACTGTAGACCTGGCTGACTTTCCAGATCCGATTTCCTCCATGTGGTGATTCAGTCAACTATGCAGCTTAGAGCCCCTGGTTTCATCATTTCACAGGAGGAGAGACCTCAACAATCTCCAAGGCTTTTCACTGCCTTAAAAATGACACCTCATGTCTTCTCAATTTGTCATTGAGCAGAACAAGTCACAGGACCCCATATGGTTGGAAAATAAAGACTCCTATATGTCTAAGAAGGAAAGAAAAAGTGGATTTTGGAAAGCCCTAGCAGGGTCTACCATAAATCGTCCCTTCTCTTTAAGTGCGTGAGTACCTATAGCCTTCAGGATACTTGGTTAAGACGGTTGGATTCAACGTTTTGCAAATGCGTAGGGAAAAATAACCTCAATAATTACCCAGGCTCTTGCTATTAATCACCTCCAATGAGGGTTTATTTTGTGGATTAGTATTATTACAACGAGCAATCTTTAGATATTATGATGAGACATTAAAAATCTTAACTGAAATAATAATAATAATAACGGCAACATTTATGGGAGGTTGTGTTGTCTAGGCATTGGGACTAAGTGCTAAGTGCTTTAACGAACTAAACTACTTCAATCTCACAGTTCTATGACATACGTATTTTTCTAATCCTCATTTCACAGCTTCAAAACTAAAATAAAAGAAAACCTTTTTTTAAAGCTTAGGTTAAATAACTTATCCATATTTAAATCATTAGTAAATGCCAGAGCATGACTTGAACTATCTATGCCTGACCTTGAAGCTCATGTTCATAACCAAGTCATATTTCACCTTGTTTTGTTAACAAATAAGGAAGCCAAAGCTCAGAGAAATGCATGGCCTGATTAGTGTCATCTTGAAGGCTGAAGTATCAACCTCATCTTGAAGGTTGTGAACTACAAAGCATGTATCCTCTGGAGTTAGAATATTTACTCTGCATTTCTTCCATGGCTCAATTGCTTATGATAAAACAAGGTGACTCAGAGAATAGCCCCAAATGCAGAAGTTCATCTGTTACATTCACTTACATTCAACACCCTGGCCATGCCTCTTAGACCTCCAGTCTTTCCAGGATTTCTTTTCTTCAGGTTTATTTTCCTTGGCCATGTCTATTGTGTTGAAGGACATTCAGAGTCCATTCAAGGGCACATCACTTTTGACTACAGCACAGAAGAATCTTGGTGTACAAATCTCCTATTTTAAAAAAATATTTTAAAAACTCTTCTCCTGTTCAAATCATTTCTCCTTGAGAAGCAATTGTATCACCAGCCAATAAATATTGGTTGAAATAAATGAATTGAACTATTAAATCAGAATTCAGTTAAATGCATTAACAAAGAACTTCTTCTGTGTCAGGAGTGAGACATTGTTAAAAAGTTATTCTATGTACCTATTCTTCCATTATTCAAGAATAGCTGCAGTTAAACAAAAGAGATGGTGAGTGACTTAAATTACTATTTCAGCAATTTAGGATTGGATGAGCACTAAGGCCCTTTAGCTCATTCAATTGCCATAAGAGTTGTGCTCTAAGAAGAGACAGTCCCTTTTGTTTCTGTCCTTTAGAACATCTTTTCTTTCAATAAAATCTCATGTTTCCCTTTGCTTATCTTAAGAAACTAAAAATGTTCCTAGGGTCTCTTGAATACAGTATCAGAATAAGATTTATAAGAAAAACTAAGTTATATTTAAAACTATAAGGATATATGTTTATCTCTTTTCCTTCCTTTCTCTTTCCTCCTCCTGCTTTTACTACTCCTCCTTCTTTTCTATTTATCTTTCTCCTACCACCTTTCTTCCTGAAATTTATGCTTATCCTTATATTAACTACTAAATGAAGTATGGGAGTTACCCATTTGTCTTGGGTGATGGATGGGGAAAATCCAACACAGTAACACAAAATATGAATATTTTATTGTATCTAGAATGTTTAATTTATTGTATCTAGAATGTTTATTGTATCTAGAATGTTTCTGAAGGGTAAAATAGCTTCCAGCAGTGACTTAAAAGCTAATTGAGATGTTAATTAACATGTTAATTTTAAACACTTGGAAAAGAAGGAAAATTAAAAATAAAATAAAATGAAAAATAAATTAAAAATAAAATTAAAAATAAATTAAAAATAAAATTAAAAATAAAAATAGAGAAAAAATAGGAGAATAAAAAGAAAGAAAATATGAAAAGAAAAAAATCTAACCAGAAAGAGGAAACAGGATGTAAGAAGCAATGGAAAGCATGATCAATTTATGGGTAGCTATAAATAAACTCTAAGAATAATTATAAAAATGACAAATATCTGTTATAAGCTAGATAGGATTAAAATACAGAGCATCAGTAATGTGAGAAAATATCTGAGTTAAAATGGTCAGAGTTTCTTATATTGCTAAGGAGAAGGCAGAGATGTTGATTAACTGAGACTATGTCAAATAAGTGGGAATTACTAAAAGACTAGAAGTAAAATGTGGTAGAAATTAAAAAGAACGAAGAAAACTCCATCAATTCAACAGAAGTCAAAGAGGAGGAAAAGAAGCATAATAAATAAAAAGAACAAAATAAGACTGATAAAATAAATCCATGTATCCTGACAATCACTGTTATTTAATGAAACTCCTTGTAGAAGATGAAGACTCTCCAATTAGATTATTTTCAATAAAGCAATTTGCTGTTTATAAAAATTATACTGAAAATATAATGACAAAAAAAAGATTGAAAGCAATGGATTAAACACGGTGACTTCAATATACAAGTTTGCCTCGTTTTCCTACAGCACCACTTTTAAACAAGAGAGAACTTTTAGAAGTTGTAGACAGGAAAAAAGACGACAGCAATAAAATTTTGCTGACTGTAAGACAGATGAATATTAATTGATCTTACAGATTGGAAAATTTTGAAACCTAACACAGCACTGTTGAGAAATCCTAGTGAAGGCCAGAAGCAAAACGAGTCGTTTTGCAGAACTCCAGATACAGAGGAAGTAGAAGTGATACAGGAGTTAAAAAGAAATTATTTAGGCAGTTAGGGTAAGAGAGTCTTCGATAAGGCTTTCCTTGTGACAAAAAGCAGCCCCCAAATCATTTCTTTTCTAACAAAGAGCAGCCGGTAAAATCAGGCTGCAGACATAAATAAGAAAGCTGGAAGCTTGCATAGTTTAATGTGGGCAGCTCTCCCAAAAGGAAAAGGCTACCCCGGGGGCCGGGCATATTCAACATGGAAGTTCCCCCTTCCCTTTTCTTTGACACCATATGTGCAGTAAAAAAGCAGGCAACAAGGCGCCAGCCAGGTAGAGACACCATCTGCATAATAAAATATTAGGGTGGGAGATGGCCAGCCTCTTCAACGCTATGTAAATGGCACACCTGGCCCAACCAATCCTCTGGGACCTATGTAAATCAGACACTGCCTCTTCAAGCTGATATATAAAAACCCGTGCATTTCACCTCAGAACCAAAGACCCACTCAGCAGCCCCTTTCTCTCTGCAGGAGAGAGAACTATTCTCTTTCTTTCTTCCATTAAACCTCTGGCCTTAAACTCACTTCTTGTGTATCTGCGTCCTCGATTTCCCTGGCATGAGATGATGAACCTCGGGTATTTACCCCAGACAAGGACACCACTTCAGAAGCACGAGTCACCTCTGAAAATGGGCACAGAAGAAGCTAAAAACAGAAAATTGATTGAAAATCTGTAACAGAAGCAGTTAAACCCCTAGATCCCTCCTCAGTCCCCCTGAACTAGGTAATTACCCTGCCCCAGCCTGGCAGAAGGCTGGAGGAGACTGCGTGGGAGGTGCACTAGTCCTGGGGACCCTTTCATACAAAAAGGGAAACCCTTAACTCCCTCACTCACAGCCTCACTCCCAGGCAGAAAATTAAAGAGCGACTTTCCGATGAAATTTACCAAGAAAAGAGATCTACTAATAACTGATACTTCAGGCACTGGACCCAAGCTTCCCCAAGGGAGCCTTTCAGCCCGTCACTCTCAATGAGCCCTGCCCATAACAAGGGACTTCTAATCAATGTTTTAGAGTGATAGTCTTGAAATCGAATGGGTGACTAACAGCATCAGACATTTGTAAAACACCATTAATGTGGAAGACAGAGACCAAACAGAACAAATTGGAAGGAAAGAAGGAAGGAAGGAAGGGAGAAGGAAGGAACGAAGGAACGAAGGAAGGAAGGAAGGCTGGCTCACATCCATAATCCCAACACTTTGGAAGGCTGAGGTGGGAGGATTGTTTGAGACCAAGAGTCTGAGGCCAGCCTGGACAACATAGCAAGACTCAGTGTCTATGAAAAAAAAAAAAATCAGCCAGTCCTAGTGGTGAGTGTCTGTAGTCCCAGATACTTGGGAGGCTGAGGCATGAGGATCGGCCAGGCATTCAAAGCTATAGTGAGCTATGATCATGTCCCTGCACTCCAGCCTGGGCAAGAGAACAAGACCCTGAGAAAGAAAAGAAAAGAAAAGAGGAGAGGAGAGGAGGGGAGAGGAGGAATCTTTGAGGAAACATACAATGTAAATTTAAAAAAAAGAAGAAAGTTTGACAAGAGATCTTGGACATTACATCTACGTAATATTTTCCTAGGGCTGCAATAACAAATTACCACAAAATGGGAGGCTTAAAGCAACCAAAATTTATTTTCTCATAGTTTTGGAAGCTAGAATTGGAATATGAAGGTGTCAGCTGGGCTATGCTCCCTCTGAGACTCTGAGCAGAACCTTCCCTACCTCTTCCTTGCTCCTGGTGGTGGCTGTCAGTCTTCGGCATTTATTAGCTTGCGGCTGCATCGATGCAATCTCTGCCTCTGCCATTACATGTTGTTCTCCCTGTTTGTCTCTATCTTCTTCCTATAAGGACACCAGTCATATTGGATTAGACCCCACCCTATTACCTCATCTTAACTCGATTCTATCTACAAAGACCCTGTTCACAAATAAAGTCACCTTCTGAGGCATTGGGGGTAAGGACTTCAACATACCTTTTTAGGGGACATAATGCAACTCATAACAATGTATGACAGCAGGAAAAAGTCAGTAGAAGGTTTGAACTGTAAAGATTTCCTGGGAAGAAAATCTCCCAGAAAGTGGAACAAAAGTGGAACAAAGGGCAAAGAGATGAAAATTAGGAGAAAAAATAGAATAAATTTAGAGGACAAGTCCAGACCATCTAAAATTTAAATAGTAGGAGCTCTGAGGAGAAAAATAAAAAAAAAACAAAACACACACACGGAAGGGAATTACTAAAAGAATAATTCACTGAATGACCAACACACAAAATGAAACATAGTTGTGGACTGTTACAATATAGGTGATCAATACATAATCCTGAAGGGGGTAAAACAGGTAATATACAAGGATTGTCACAAAGAATGGCATAGGAATTCTCAGTGGTGACACTGGAATCTAAAAGACAAAACAAACCTTAGAATTTTGAAGGAAACTGATTTCGAAAGTACTGTACTCAACCAATCTCTCAGGTCCAGTCAGGTGCTAACATATTGTAAAGATAGCTCAGACATGGTAGGCCTCAAAGTGTCTCTCCCATAGACCATTTTCCAGCCTTTCAGCCATGTTCTGGAGGATGTAAATCAACTGCAAGAATTAAGGGGTTTCCCAGATGAGAACCCCAGGAAAGAGATGTACAAGAAGTGCAGAAAATAATGTGTATATATCAGTGCAAGAGAACTGAGGGCTCGAGTACAGGTGTCTCTAAGAAAATGAATCTGAGGATTATGCTATATGTTTGGCTATTTGGGGAAGACAGTTAAACTTGTGGTAGAGAGTCCAGGATCAATTCGTGATGAGATTTAGTCACCTGAGCAGAGAAAAATGAGGCAATGATTGACCCAAGCAAAAGAAAATTGTCCCATGTAAAAAGAAATATATCATAGTGCACTACTTGGTTCCACTGAGAGTATTTTTATATACTGATAATAAGGCTAACAGTTAAACTGATTTCATTTGGTCAGTCATAAGATAATTTACTGAACACTTACAGCAAGTAACACTTACATCAGATCGGCATCAGGTGCCCATCTAGGCACCAAGCATACATCAATGAGACAACTAACTTAACTAATGAGATGAATGTATTTTTACTACCAAAATAAAAAAAAATGATAGTAAAAACAAGGATTGTCACAAAGAATGGCATAGGAATTCCCAATGGCAACATTGGAATCTAAAAGGAAATCCTATCAGCTGTTTTTAAAATATATGCTGGATCTAACCAATTTCCACAAGCTTCCCTGTTATCACTGTTGGGGGAGAAAGTCGGCTGTGGGCTCTGAGCCTTCCTGCTTACTGCTGCATGTGCCAAACTGCAAGGATTATTCTTTCCTTAAATGTGAGCAGTTTCTATAGCTGGTAAAGAAGGCAACTAATACATGGAGGCAACCATAGCTTGATTGCGGTGTGACTTCTTGCTCCCCTGGAGACATGGACTGACTTGTTTGCTATTTGCTACGAAGGGTTCTGGGCCTTAATCCTGGGTCCCTCTACCGCTGTGCAACCCCCTGCAGGCCGAGCATCTATCTAGGCTCTTTATGGGACTTGAGGACGAGGCAAACTGGCACAATTACGCTGCTGCTGTTTTCTGTGCCGTGAGTAAGTAACTGTCTTAAGGCTTGTTGTCTGCTTTCCAGGAGTACTCATGGAGCTGTGGCACCCTTCCTGCTTGCCATTCTCTATGAAGTTGAGGTTCTGTATACATCGCTGGTAAAAAGGTAAAAATCAGGGAGTGGCTTTGGAAAGCGGTTTGACAGTTTCTTAAAATGTTCAACATAAACTTTCCATATGACCCAGCAATTTTACTCCTAGATATCTACTTAAAACAAATGAAAACTTAAGTCCACTCAACATAAATTGTTTGTACAGAATTATTCATAACAGCCAAATACTGAAAACAACTCAAATACCCATCAACTGATGAATGAATAAACAAAATGTAGTATATCCACACAATGGAATACTATTAAGCAATAAAAACGAAATCAACTACTAATACTTGCCACAAAATGGATTAATCTCAAAAACATGCTAGTGAAAGAAACCTGGTGCAAAAGACTGCAATACAAATCTGTATAGATAGAAAGCAGATTAGTTGTTGACTGAGGATGAGCATGAGAATGGAAATTGACTGTAAATGGAAGTTGACTATAAATGGGCACAAGGACCTTCTTGAGGTGATGGACATATTATGCAACTAGATTGTAGTGGTGGCTGAACAACTCTAAATTTACCAAAGATCACTGAATTGCACACTTACATAGGGTGAAAGTTATAATATATAAATTGTACCTCAGTAAAGCTGTTTAAAGAATATATTCCATTCATTAAAGAAGAAAAGGATACTATAAAATAGAAATCATAAAAATAAAAAATAACTCTTGAAAAGGAAACGTGATTTTGAAATATCTTTAAATGTAATAGAAGTTTGGAAGGTTAAAGTGAAGGAAATCTCCTAGAATACGAAACTGAAATACTCAAGCATGAAAGATAAGAGAACCTAATCCAGGAATTTTAAGAGAATACAGAGATCCAAGAAGAAGTAATGAAACATTTAAAAACCCTCTAAATATATTGCCATGAAATTTCAAAATGCTAAGGGGAAGGAGAAGCCCTAAAACTTCCACATTGCAAAATACAGAAAATGAGACTCAGCCAGGAATTTAATGTCTCATCAATAACACTAAATGGACACAAGAATCAGGGCATTGGACCATGGAGAATGAAATGCAATCCTAGCACTTTATTTTACGTGGCAACAAACAAAATGCAAATCGCTATTCTTATGTAAATACTATTTATTACTTTTCAACTTTTAGAGAAGGTAGTTACAAAACAGAATATAAACATCATCAGATGACTTGATATTTCAGTTCTGAGGAAAAATGATTTTAAACCTAGACTACTATGGCCACCCAATTTTTCAATGAGAGTTAAGACAAACGAAAGCATTTTTGGAAAAGAGCTCAGAATATACCCACCATACATTTTTTCCCTCTACGGAGAATAACAGGGGTAAAGAGAAAGGAAATCATGGGCTGTAAGAAATAATGAACTTTACTGAGGAGCTCAGTGAAAATGTTGCCAGCATGACAGTTATGCAGAATATCTAGTAAACAACTGGTTCAAATTAAAAATAAGAAGCCCGCCAGGCGCAGTGGCTCAGGCCTGTAATCCCAGCACTTTGGGAGGCCAATGCGGGCAGATCATGAGGTCAAGAGATCGAGATCATCCTGGCCAACATGGTGAAATTCTATCTCTACTAAAAATACAAAAATTAGCCAGCCAGGCATGGTGGCGTGCACCTGTAGTTCCAGATACTGGGGAGCCTGAGGCAGGGGAATCACTTGAACCTGGGAGGCAAAGGTTGCAATAAGCCAAGATCACACCATTGTGCTCCAGCCTGGCGACAGAGCGAGACTCCATCTCAAAAAATAAAATAAAAAAAAGAAGAAGCCACTGGATTCTAAGAATAAAAGGGAATAGGATGGATTCCAAGCAATATACCAAGACTACAGAACTATCTTATATTAGTAAAAAGTGGTAAAAATAAAAACAAAAACATGTTTCTACTCACAACAAGAGGGGGAGGAGTTAATTAGAACAGTTAAGAAAGCTGTAAAACTGTATAAGAAAGGCACGTCCAAATACATTGCAAAGTGAACTATGGCATGATTTCGAACAATAGAGGGAGTCTAAGAAAAGAAAATCCACTTAGGTTCCATGCTGTGAATTGTCGCCTTCAAATGACACAGGAGTTAGGGCATTGCACCCATGGAGAATGAAATGCAATCCTATTTTACTTGGCAAGAAATGAAAAGCAAATAGTTTAATTACATACATTTATTTATTTCTTATCAACTATGAGAGATAACTCATTGAATTAATCCTCAACCTTAAATGTATTACAAAACAGAATATAAACATCAACCTTGATGATATAAAATGAGAAGAGTGTAGAAAAGAAGGAAGTAAATAATAATATCCTCATCTAATATAATAGAAAGTCAAGATATAACAGCTTAAGTTGGTGAAGTAAGAAATAGAAGTTTAAATATGATATATAAAGTTACAAAGGCAAGCAACAAAACTAAAATAATCACTGCCAAAAATCCAAATGGAGAGATAAAAAAAAAAAAAACTTGGATAAGTAATGGAAGTAAATCCTCATCTTTCATAGTGGAGAGTTAGTAGAAATATGTTAAATGTATAAGTAAAGAAATAGCGACATATGCATATTCTCACAAATATGTGGGAGCTAAAAAAATTGACCTCATGGAGGTAGAGAGTAGAATGGAGAACCTCTCCTCTTAGTGGAAATACTTTAAAGCTTCTCCTCATTTATGTAGTTCCATAATGTACAACTTTAATTCTAGCTGAATTAGCCAGGCATGGTGGTGCACGCCTGTAATCCCGGCTACTCAGGAGGCCGAGGCATGAGAATTGCTTGGACCCAGGAGGCAGAGGTTGCAGTGATCCAAGATTGGCCACTATACTCCAGCATGGGCGACAGAATGAGACCCTGCCTCAAATAAATAAATAAATAAATAAATAAATAAATAAATAAATAATTAATTCTAGCTGAAGTTCCACTGAAATTGTCTTTGTACCAAACGGAACCATACTTCTCATTACTTCTCACTTTCATTGTTCACTTAGCACTTGCAATGAATCAATTATTTCTGGAATACAGAGAAGCCTAAATCAAGAGAGAAAAGTTTTATAGCCTAGAATGGATTGAGTATTTATTGATTATTTTTACCATTATTTACATTCAAAAATAATTTAAAGGATTTTACAATTCTGAAATGGGATTGTTAAAAAGGAGAAAGAGGGAAAGGGAGTGGAAATCATTTTCTAGAAGACTCATTTCTTAAAATACCAGTAGACTATAACCCTGCTATGCTTGTTTGTGCAGTGCAAACTCTTGATAGGTCACACTAAGCTTTTTATAAACTATTGCTACTTGCAGAGAGGATCCAGGCAGCATGCTTTACCTATACAGCCAGGAAATGCAGACAGGAAAACATCTTCACTGGTGTGCACTGACAAAGAAGCTTGGGGAAGCCTTCCATAATAAAAAAAGATGGGGCCGGGCGCGGTGGCTCACGCCTGTAATCCCAGCACTTTGGGAGGCCGAGACGGGGGGATCACGAGGTCAGGAGATCGAGACCATCCTGGCTAACGCGGTGAAACCCCGTCTCTACTAAAAATACAAAAAAATTAGTCGGGCGTGGTAGCAGACGCCTGTAGTCCCAGCTACTCGGGAGGCTGAGACAGGAGAATGGTGTGAACCTGGGAGGCGGAGCTTGCAGTGAGCCGAGATCGCTCCACTGCACTCCAGCCTGGGCAACAGAGTGAGACTCTGTCTCAAAAAAAAAAAAAAAAAAAGAAAAAAAGAAAAAAAGATGGGTAGGATCCTCCATAGGTCTCCTTGTGTCCCATCCTTCTCAATTCCTTCCATTTGTATATAGGAAAGTTCCAAACAGGACATGAGGTATCATAACAATAAAGAGTTCTGTACAACAGAATTTCTCCTCTACAGCACTTAATACACTGAAACCTATCTGAATGTAGTCTGTTTATGCCCTTTTTCTCAGCTGTTTCCTTGGGAGAACTGAACTGCAGTTTAGACTCTCATGGCTTTTGCTTTGCTATAAACATAACCTCCAACCCAATCTCCGCTGTACCTCTCCTCTGCAAGCCATCATTCATTGAAAAAAACAGACCTTTCTCCCAAATTCACACAACTGACACTCCTTCCCAATGTAATGGGCACTCAGTGTTAGACTTTATTCTTCTCTTGTTCTTGGTGTGTTTAGAGAGCAAATATAAAGTTCTATTTGTAGGATATTCAAAATAATATAAAAGTCGAAGTCCAAAAGAGAACTTTGTGTAGAGTTAGGGGCTTGAATTGATAGTAAAGAAATAAGAAGAGTTTATACAATGAAGTTATATTACACCACTTATTTCAACCATTTTGGAGCAAACATTCTACCCTGTTACATATCCAGTGCAGGGGAATCTACAATTACCATATGGAAAAAATAGCCTAAATTAAAATCAAATAATTAGATGAATATCTGAGCCATTAATAGAAACCAACTAGCTCCCATTTTAATAAGCAGGATTTTTCAAGAAGGCTTCCTGCTGTAAAGTCAAGAGTGTGGAAAGTGAACATGACTGCATTGTGATAAATGCAAATAGTTATTCCTATTGGTAGAATAGGTTAAGAAACTTAACACAAGCATTATGCTGAAGATAGTTCACAGGGAAAAGGGAGCTGGTGGAGAGCCTTGGCTGACACCAAGCTGCCTCCGATTGCATTTCTGCTCCTCCCTCTGCCTCCTGTGCACTTAAACTTCACTTTCCTGCCATGTAACATGGGCAATAATAATTACATGTCACACAAGGTGGCTGTGAGGAAAAGATGAGTAGCATTCATTAAACATTAACTGTAGTGATGATTATTACTACTTTTTCCTCACTTAAGACATAAGATAACGAGCTCAGAAGAGATTGTTACAGCCACTTCGTTCTAACTGGGTGGCCACAGTAAATCTTATTTTGTTAGCAGTCATAGACTAGGTAAGCAAGTATTTTTAAAAATTGATGTGTTGCTGTGTGTTCCCTGCATTCATGGTATCCAAACCCAGAACACCACTAAGATATAACGATGGAAGGACTTATATGAGAGTTAGGAGTAATCTTCACTTTGTCACATTGGAAATGGCTGGTTTGCTATTTTATTATGTTATTTTACAATAATCTATTATATGACCTCAGAGTCTGAGGTATGTGCAGGAGTGTGCTGAAGCCAGCCTGTATCAAGACCCAATTGTTCAATATTCAAGAATTTTGGAAGCTGGATGCTAAATTATTGATGGCTTGAAATAAACCACAGTGGGAGTATTTACACCACAGAAATTGGCAGCTGCTACAGATTGGAGTCTTTACCAGCACACCCCTCAGTGTGTATGTCCTGGATAACAGGTGGAAGGAAGTGAGGACACTCAAAAGTAGTGGCTTGTTCTTTCCAAAGTGTGTTTCCATCCTATCCAAATAATCTTTACACCAATTCGATGACAGTGACAGGGTATTATTTATTCTTCTTATTTTACATATTAGGAAACTAAAACAATGATGCAAAGTAACATCAGGATTAACCCAAAGTAATGCCTATCAGGGCAGAGCCAGGACTAAAACTCAAGTGATCAGAATTACCACAACACTGATTCTATTCTTGTTTTGAGATGTAGCATCATAAGATTTTATCTGTAGTAATTTGGGACTCCCAATTAATTTTAAGAGGTGCTACAACATTTTCTAAATAAAACAAAATAAAGAAGGGAAGGAAAGAACCAAGTCATCTAAATTAAATACCATCCATATATCATTTTGTTGGGAGGGTAGAGGATGAGGAGACAGTTGACAACATGGTAAAGATTTCCTGTAGAAGTAAATATTTAATTTGTCAACATGACGTGAAGTGTGTGCTTGTTGCTTTTGGGTATGTACTATTATTTGAATATGGTTTGGGTTTGTCCCCATCAAATTCATGTTGCAATTTTATGCTCAATGTGGTGATGTTGGAGGTGGGGCCTAGTGGAAGGTGTTGGGGTCATGGAGGCAGATCACTCACAAATGGTGTGGCATGGTGCTCCCAGCAGTGAGTTCTCACTCTGGCAGGCATACATTAGTTCTCTTGAGAACATTCCTCGAACGTGGTTTGTTTTCTTTTTTTTTAGTAAAAATTTTCTTTCTTTCTAAATTATACTTGAAGTTCTGGGATACATGTGCAGAATGTGCAGGTTTGTTACATAGGTGTACACTTGCCATGGTGGTTTGCTGCACCCATCAATATAATCTACATCAGTTACATCAGGTATTTCTCCTAATGCTATCCTCCCCTAGCCCCCCACCCCACAACAGGCCGTGGTGAGTGATGTTCCCCTCCCTGTGTCCATGTGTTCTCCTTGTTCAACACCCACTTATGAGAACATGTGCTGTTTGGGTTTCTGTTCCCGTGTTAGTTTGCTGAGAGTGATGTTTTCCAGTTTCATCCATGTACCTGCAAAGGACACGAACTCATGCTTTTTTATGACTGCATAGTATTCCATAGTGTATATGTGCCACATTTTCTTTATCCAGTCTACCATTGAAGGGCATTTGGGTTGGTTCCAAGTCTTTGCTATTGTGAATAGTGCCACAGTAAACATGCATGTGCATGTGTCTTTATAGTAGAATGATTTATAATCCTTTGGGTATATACCCAGTAATGGGATCACTGGGTCAAATGGTGTTTCTTGTTCTAGATCCTTGAGGAATTGCCACACTGTCTTCCACAATGGTTGAACTAATTTACACTCCCACCAACAGTGTAAAAGCGTTCTTATTTCTCCACATCCTCTCCAATATCTGTTGTTTCCTCACTTTTTAATGATTGCCATTCTAACTGGAGTGAGATGGTATCTCATTGTGGTTTTGATTTGGATTTCTCTAATGACCAGTGATAATGAGCTTTTTTTCATATGTTTGTTGGCCGCATAAATGTCTTCTTTTGAGAAGTGTCTGTTCATATCCTTCACCCACTTTTTGATGGAGTTGTTTTTTTCTTGTAAATTTGTTTAAGTTCCTTGTAGATTCTGGATATTAGCCCTTTGTCAGATGGATAAACTGCAAACATTTTCTCCCACCCTCTAGCTTGCCTGTTCACTCTGACGATAGTTTCCTTTGCTGTGCCGAAGCTCTTTAGTTTAATTAGATTCGCTCTGAAAACTGGCACAAGACAAGGATGCCCTCTCTCACCACTCCTATTCAACATAGTATTGGAATTCTGGCGTCAGCAATCAGGCAAGAGAAACAAATAAAGTGTATTCAAATAGGAAGACAGAAAGTCAAATTGTCTCTGTTTGCAGATGACATGATTGTATATTTAGAAAACCCCATCGTCTCAGTTCATAATCTCCTTAAGCTGATAAGCAACTTCAGCAAAGTCTCAGGATACAAAATCAATGTGCAAAAATCACAAGCATTCCTATACACCAATAATAAACAGAGAGCCAAATCATGAGTGAACTGCCATTCACAAATGCTTCAAAGACAATAAAATACTTAGGAATACAACTTACAAGGGATGTAGTTTGTCTAAAAGACAGGATGAGGATGCCCTTGAGTTTTCCTTCTTCACACATGTGCACTTCCCCCTTGGACTTTCTCTACCATGTCTCATGCAAGCACGTGGTGGTCACCAGAAGTTCAACAGATTCAGTGTCATGCTTCTCATAGGTCCAGGCCTACAGAATCATGGGCTAATAAACCTCTTTTCTTTATAAATTACCCAGTCCTAAGTATTCTGTTATAGCAACACAAAAGGGACTAAAACATTGTGGAAAGAGGATATTAAAGAAATGGAACACGTACATTTTTCCCTGAGGAAGATTTCATTATCATTAGGAATCCTGAACAGACATGAAATGCTTAAAAATGTTTACAAAAAAGTAAGAAATTTTTGTTTGGGAGCTTATATGTTGAGAGGGGGACCAAAGGAGGCTTTCTGGAGGGAGGGAATTTTGAGGTGTGTCTAGCAGGTGTCTTTTAAATCCGAATTGCTGAAGAGGAGATGCAAAGATATTGACAGCCAAAATGCTAACACAGCTAATCAATGACTTCCTTCCCCCAAATACCTCCAGCCTTCTGAATATTGTTGTATATAATGGAAACTCCTCTAGGGATAGGGCGAGGAAGCTTCAACCAGACAATGTCATTAACCCTTTTCCAGTCCGTTAAAAAAACCGAGGTTGAAAATTAATCACAAAATAGATTGAAGCATGGGATTTTTGTTTTCCTTTCCACCAATTTCCTTAGTCTATTGTGACATTCTGGTGGACAAGTCACTGTATCAGGCATGGAAATATCTGTCTGCGATAATTTTCCTATTGTTCTCTCTGAAGCTACACGGCATATTGTTGCACCCCAACTCACGAAAACCTAACAGGCAGATATTCAGACTCTTAACTAAATTGATTGGTGTACGGTTCTTTATATCACAAAAAGAGCTCTTATAAAAGGATTTATCATTGTTTTATAAAGTCATGTTTTTAAGAGACATTTAAGTGCTGTCTGTATTTCAGGCACTGTAGACACAAAGCTGTATAAAACAGGATTCACTGCCCTCTCAGATCTCCGAGTATGCTGGAGGAGACCACGCTGTTCTGGCATAATTATAATCAAACCCAGTTGTTATAATAGAAGGACATGCAAATGCTTTAGGATTAAGGTTAGGACAGTTAACTGCTGCAGGTATTGGACAAGTTTACCCCAAAAAAGGTGATACTTTAAGTGGAAATGAACAAGTTCACCAGATAAAAAGGGATAGCTTCCCTCAAGGATGACAAAACATAACAGTAAGAGAGTGCTAAAAAAAAAAAAAAAATCAATGTGTTGCCATGGTTTCCTCTGCATTCATGGTATTTCAATCTAGAAGACTACTTAGATATAATTACCAAAGGACTCATGTGTGATTAGCAGTAATTCTTACTTTATGTCACCAGACCAAGAAGTTTGTTGTTGTTACTGTTATAATTGGAGCAGGAAAATTGAAGTTTCTGGAGACAAGAGATTAAGGGTAAGCAATAGGAAACCACTGAACATTCTTAGCAAGAGAATAGTCACATGCTCTGATTTGTAGGGCTTAAAAAAAACAAAAAAAAAAAGATTATTTTAGACATGATATAGAGAGTAGATTAAAGGGTAGAATTCTTTAGGATCTCTCTTGTTACATTTAAAATATAAGTTTATTTACAAAATTTCTTGCTGCATAGAGCAAACCCTTATCCACAGCTGCTTAACAAGCTGGCAGATGTGGCCTGTAGCAACTGGGGCACACCTCTAATATGGGAGGTGATGTGTGATAAAGCCCAGCTTGTCTGTCATAGTGTTTTAATGCCTTGCTTCTTTATTTTTCAGAGGCACACAGCATTTTTGCTTAAAGCAACTACCCCAACTTTAAACCTGATAAACTATGATTGACTTTGCATCACCTACACTAAAAAAGTTTTCAAAGTATCAAAACAATGGCTCTAAATAATTTAGATATATAAGGTGTCTGTCATTTTTCTTCCATTTCCCCACCAAAAATCTCCACAAGTTCTTTGAAACCTACAGTGACATGCATTTTACCTCTGGACTATCTGCAAAGTTGGGATGGGATTTAATTCATTCTTTAAGATAAACAAGGAAAGCCTGTAAGGAAATTTCTCAAAATGAGGTCTACGATACATACTCCTAGTATTTTTTTTTCCAAGGAATTTCTAAATTGAGTTTAAAGTTTGCTTCTGATGGCTAGTATCCTGCTGAGTTAATAATTTTCAAATTTAGAAGACATAAAATAATAAAACTAAGTTGAAAAAAGCCACGATAGTCCAGGTTAGTGCTTTGGAACTTCTGGCGATATGGTCAGGGATCTTGGCAGGCAGTTGGCTTTATTCTTGGGTTTTAAATAATATTAATGTGGAAATCTTTGGCCACTTATGACTCTAATTCTACTCTGATGGCATAGTATAGGCATCGTTGGGCACTATTTTTCATTTTTTACTTTTAAAATAGGTGAGAGACTTTAGAAAACTCAAATCTCAAACTTCTCAAAGCAAAGGATCCAGGAAAATGAAGCTCTGCCTGCCATTTGCAAATAACCAGAACGATCATATTGTAAGTCAGAGAGCTTGAAAAGCAGTTCACCCTGCTCCCTTTTTCTCTTACTTTGGTTGACAGACTTTGTGTTTGCCAAGCCAAGGAGGAGGAGAAAAGAGATTAATAATGGCAAATTACCTAGGATTGATTCAGACTGGTGATTGATGAAAAATTTTTCAGCCATTGGCTAAAAAAGAAAAATCTAAGTGTAAAGTTGTTTGTATTCATAATGTCATTTCAATCCGAGGTTTATTTATCACAGTCCAACGGACTTTAGGCCGTGAGTCATTCCTTTAAGACCCAAAAGCTTAGCCTTTGTTGTATAGGAACTCAAGAGTCTCTACCCAAAATGTTAGGTAGGTGGCTTTGAAAACTGTTAGTCAGTGCCATTGAGGGTGGTGATGGGAAAGCAGTTGCCTGTTGTGCAGAACTGCTCGAATAATCTTCTTAAAACACCACTTTGATCCTTCTTATCAGGTCAAGACTAAATTCTCTAGTCATGGATCCAATTCCTTCAACACACAGCTTCACTGGCTATCTCTGAGCCTCTCTCTTACTCTCCCCTGGTGCCACCTACTCATCAATTTTTACCTTACACTTGGTTACTCCTCTTTTTTTTTTTTTTTTTTTTTGAGACAGAGTCTCATTCTGTCACCAGGCTGAAGTGCAGTGGCTCGATCTCGGCTCACTGCAACCTCTGCCTCCCAGGTTCAAGCCATTCTTTTGCCTCAGCCTCCCAAGTAGCTGGGATTACAGGCATGCGCCACCACATCCAGCTAATTTAATTTTTGTATTTTTAGTAGAGACGGGGTTTCACCATGTTGGCCAGGATGGTCTCGATCTCTTGACCTCGTGATATGCCCGCCTTGGCCTCCCAAAGTGCTGGGATTACAGGAGTGAGCCACTGCGCCCAGCCTTACTCCTTTATTTTCATGGCCCATATTTTATATCTTTGCCTTTGGTGCACATGCTCAACCTAGGATACTTTCTTAAATATTCTCCCTTAAACAAAACCTTCCGGAGTTTAGAATCTCACTTTACCAGACTTACCCCACCTGTGAAAGATATTTTGGTACCCCATGAAGGAAGGCAAGGTACTACCTGGTAATACTTTAAACCCTTTGTCATGCATTATTAGCCCTTTCATTCACAGGTTATAGGACTTTAGAACTGAAGGGATCCTAGGGATCACTTACAGAAGGGATTATTGAGGCTTTTCCAATGACAGAGAGAGTAAATGATTTTCCCAATGAGACAAAACAGTGCAGTGAAAACTGATGTTTCTGTAGACAGTCTTGATGCTCAATGATATCAGGAGATGATTCACAGTCCTCAAGGGCAGTTCACTTATGTTCCTGACAGTTCAGAGTTAAATCTGAATCTCATAAACCATGTATTCCATGTAACTCTTGTGTGACATCTCCCAGTTCAGAAGGATAGACATACTTCAGAGCATCACATTGTCTACCCACTCCAAGAGCAGCGAGCAAGTGCTGCATTTTGGAAAGCTTTCTTGGTTGTTTGATGTAAATTAAGGCTTCTACTTCCACTTTCTTATAGTAACCATTTACTTTCTCAGAGCAAACCTTTACCTTTTTATATGTGAATTTGCCTGTGATTATATTATTATATATTGCTATTATTATTTTAATAATAATTTAATTATTATATTATAATTGGACTGTAAAAATCATGAGGGCAATGGCTGGGATTCCTTTATGTATCTTTGTATCCTAGTGTCTAGCACATGCTTTGAACATAGCAGGTACTCAAGAAATATTGAATGAATAAATGTATGTTTGTGTCTTTTTTTTCTAGTTTAAGTGTAAAGTCTATAAGAGAGGGACTTAGTGCTTGTTAGCTTAAAGTAGGTCACTTAATGCCAAATCAGGGTTTTTAAAGAAAATTCACTAGAAAGGGGGTCAAAAATGTAAACTCCTATAGATGCAAGCAGGGAACATGAATGAGAAAAACCAGGCTGTGTGTGAGAATTACAAGCCAGGGACTCCTGGCTGGTGATGCCCCTCCCAGGCCTTGCTTGGCCACATTAGTATGCCTCAGCTCCCCTGTGTTCAGTGGTTCCTGAGCTCTTGCATTGCGCCCATGAAGAATGAGGATATGTGGGACATTGAAAGATGAGGAGGATGGAGAAGATTTTTATCGAATGATGAAAATGGCTTTCAACAGAGACAGGAACACAGTTGCTGGGGGTGCAGGGATTGTTCCCCTACCCAAAGGCCAGAAAGATCCCCCTGGTGGCCAGGTCTGGGGCCTTTTATGGACTCAGAATGGGGAGTGTGTGCTGATTGGTTTGTGAGTATGCAAATAAAGTTAAAGCAAAGGCACCACTCAAAGGTGGGCACAACAAAGTAGAAAAACCAATTAGGAACATCAGTTTTCACTGCACTGTTTTGTCTCATTGGGAAAATCCTTTACTCTCTCTGTCATTGGAAAAGCCTCAATAATCCCTCCTGTAAGTGATCCCTAGGATCCCTTCAGTTCTAAGGTTCTATAACCTGTGAATGAAAGGGCTAATAATGCATGACAAAGGGTTTAAAGTATTACCAGGTAGTACCTTGCCTTCCTTCATGGGGTACCAAAATATCTTTCAGAGGTGGGGTAAGTCTGCCTTTGGTGCACGTGCTCAACCTAGGATACTTTCTTAAATCTTCTCCCTTAAACAAAACCTTCAAATTCATTCCGGAGTTTAGATTCTCACTTTGCCAGACTTATGTATATGTAAAATAGGTGAAGGATGGGGACCAATCAGAGGAAAGCTTGCCAAACAGGAAGACAAGATCTCAATCTGGGTCCAAAGATTTAACTTGTAGGTTGGCTTTCAGTCTTTAAACTGTCTTCAGTTGGAGGTGGGGTTTCACTGAGGACCCACTTCTGTCTGCCTAGAATTTCTCTGCCTCTATCACAAGCACCTCTATCACAAGCACCATGATTAGTAAATGATACCCAGAACCAGGGAGGCAATAGAGAGTGGAGAGCAATGTGGCAAAGGAAAGAGCATAGGCCTCAACTAAATGGTCAGGATGTTACCAGGTAGAAATGGAAATCCAGCGTAACCAGATCTGATTTTTCTAGAGAGTGAAAATCTAGCTTTTGATATAAAATATCACAATATTAAAATATTGATAATTAGCTCATTTTAAAAAGAAAAACACTGTAGGCAAAACAAATCTTTCTATGGGAAGCCCAAAGGCTATAAGTTACCAGACTCCTGTTCTAAAATCCAAGGAATGTGACCAGGAAGCTCTGTAAGGGTAATTGAACCCAGTCTTCCCCATCTTTCCCGCATACCATGAGACTGCCTCTGGTACGTAGTGTCACGATCCAAATGTTGGGTCACCTGAGGGCCAGATGGGCCATACCTTTTATTCTAATCCAGGACCTACCAAGGCCAAAAAGAGATGGCACAGATGTGCCCTGCTGGCAGGCTGTGCAATTTGAGTCAGTGAATTCTCCCCATCACTCTACCCTGAGTCTTCATTTTTCATCTGAATTAGTGCAACAACCTCCACATTGGTCTTTCTGCTCCTAGGCTGACTCCTTGCCAATCTGTCCTTCACATGGCCACTCCAGTTCTCTTTCTAAGAGGCCAAGTTGGTCATGCCACAGCCCTGCTTAAAACCCTGCAATGACTTTCCATTCTCTTTAGAAGAAAAATCAAGCTCCCTACCTGCTTTCAAAGCCTTCCAGACTCTGACAGTTGCCCAGCTCTCCTGCCTCCATTTTCTCCTGTTTGTCATCTTATATATAAGGCCAAATCCCCTCTTGCTTCTAAGGCTTTCCACATGCTATTCCCTCAACTTGTAATGCCACATTTTCTCTTCAATCAAGACTGACACCTCCCTGTGGTTAGGCAAAATCCTATTCAACCATCAAGTCCAACTTACATTTTACTTCCTCAAGGAGATCTTGTTGAACCCCTAAATGGGTAAGAGCACCCTCTACTTTCCTTGTGATAGTAAATTTTGTGCATTGTTGTGCAGTGTCTGCCCTCCCCACTAGTCTGTAAGCTCCATGAAGAGGGGACTCACTTTATATAGCACTATCCCCCAAAACCAAGCACAATAAGGAGCATATTCTAGAATCTCAACAACACGTACTGATAGAGAAAGTGATCAAGTTAATATTTCATACCAGTTTTTCCCCCAAGCTGCCTGTTGGGTGCTATGATATCCACTTCTTTATTCAGGGCTTGTATTTGTAATCAGACATAGTTCTTAACTTTGGCTTATGTTTGATAGTCCCTAAGTACCGACTTTATCCACTAATTTCCATTGATAGCCATACTCCATATTTTTCACTTTCCAAAAGCACCATGAAATATTAGCAGTCAGTTGCAAAACAAGAAGCTAGATATATGTCTACTCACATTAAAAATCTCTAGATATTTTAGTGAGTAGAGCAAGTTTTAAAAAAATACACAGAAGAATGTTACATAGTTCTACAAGATTATTTTAAGAAATTTGTAAGCTCTAAGAAATCTTAAATTTTGAAGACACTACTCCACCTAATTTGAGACCTTTTTCCTAAATTAAATATAAATTTTTTGTTGTAAAAAATATTAGGAAAGATTTTTCTAATTTTGCTTTTGAAAAGATTTAGTTACAAGTAACTTATTTATTTTGTAATTAGTTATAATTTTTCAGTAATTATCATTTGCACTTGGGAACATTTGTGAAGTAAGGAAAATCTAACCTACCCATTGTTTTCAAATGTAATGACTTGTTTATAAATGCTATATTTGTTAATATTAAATTTGGTAGAGTTTTAAGCATTATTTTGAAATTTTGTAACTTTCTATACTTTAGAGGCAATAAAGAATGTTAGTACTTAAATATATTCATGGCTTCTGTAAAGCGGGTAAGCATTAGTCATTATGCCAATAGTGTCCAACAAAATGGTTACATGGCTATAAATATAAATACAGATATAGATGAAAATGCATAGAAGAAATAAAAGATCTGGAATCATATACAAAGAACTGATAACACTGGTTAACTCTAGGAAGAGAGCCAGTACTGAAAGTGGAGGGCTGAGAAACACTAGCTTAATCCATAATGTCTAAGTTTTTCACAAAGACAATTTAGTCCTATATTACTTTAAAATACTTGAGTGGGAGATCTCATAGATACTAACGATTTTCAAGTAGATATGTGTGTTTACTAATGATGGAAAGATTTCTAAGCCTGTTTTTGCTAGACTGTAACATATTTAAATAGATGAAATAGTTAGTGTTGATTTTATACAAAACAAACAAGCAAACAAAAAAATCTCCAAGATAATTGTACAAAAATTTCACTGAAGTATCTGACTATTTCAGGTCTCTTAGAATAGATAATTCAATATATAACTTTTGTAATAAATCTTCCCCAATGCTAATATCTGATTTTATAGCTTCTGGGTGCTTGGAATCGAAAAAGAAATTGATTTGAAAATTCCAGTATTAAAATAATGATACTCCAGAGGAAAAAGTAAGCAGACCGTGTCTCATTAATGTTGTTACTTTGCAGCAGTTTGGTTTTATCTCAGCATTTATTCCAAGGCTTTGTTAGTTGCTATAAGGCAAAGCATTTTCTAAAGACTCTAAATCAAAAGAATTTTCTAAAGACTTTGAGATGTCATCACAGAGGAAGATATTGGAATTTCATGTAACATGACCCTCATTCTTTCAACATATATTTTAATAATTACTTTTGAGAACATTTGCAAGCAGATATTTATATATGAGCATAACAAGTACAAGTCTGTTCAAATGCATCCAAGAGCATTTGTGCTTCCTCCCATTCAGAAAAGACAGTATTCTTATAAGTGTCAGAGTTTTATATAGTCTGTCAGTAAAAAAAGTATTTCTCAATAATCTAGTTACCACATGATGTTCTCCTGCATTACTTAATTAATTCTAAAAAGTAATTCTTTATATTCTTTTTTTAATAGCCTTCTTTTGTCCATTAATTTTCTCTCAACAGACCCAGAAACTGAATTGACCAGGATGAGCACAAGGACCATCTTCTGTTCTATTTTTTAGCATGGAAGAATGTATTTATCTTTTTATTTCCAAGATGAGATCTAGAGAAAATGTTAATTGATTCTTTTTGGCAATACGTGAGAAGTGGTAAAAGTATCATTCTAAAAACATGAGATAGCAAACAGTGCTAAAAAGAAGAATTAGAAAACATTAAAGTCCAATTTTCCAAAATGACATATTATGAAAGGGACAAGAAACAGGAACAAAGAAATCCATCAACCTGATGAGAAAGATTTCATTAAATGTCATAATATTCAAATGAAGCAAGCAGTAAGAATTTAAGGCATCACTGAAAAAAACTAAGCATCATGGATGTAAAATGGAGTTGTGAAGAGGAAAATGGAAGATATTAAGAAAATTAACAAATTGCTGTTTTTAGTGGGTTGCAGCACTTAGATAAGGAAAAGTAACATGGAAAAGAAATCTGTTTTTAGATCTTGATTGTATGAATTTTGTAACCTGAGTCAGGTGCTATGAAGGATCAGTCAGCTAAAACTCTTAAGGGGAAAATTACCTTCTTCCCTATAGGAAGCCTTGGTCATCCAATCGGAGAATTGGGTTCTATTTTGACATTGTATTGGTATTTGGGGTAATGCCGAAAAACAGACAAATTCTGAGAACAAAATCTGAACCATTCCAGACACAGATTGTTCCGAGCCTGGGCTTGGCCCAAAGCATCTCATTGTTGCTGTTTGGGTTTCGCATAGCCAGACGTTTTAAGACCTCTGACCTATTTCTCTGAACACAAACGCTTATGATTTCCAATTTCCCTCCTTTATTTTAGACTGACTGCAATGGCCATGCCTCATTTTGAGTGGGTCTTAACTTACTTTTAAAACTCTTGGAGAGAAACATAAAACTGAACCCAAACATTGAAGCCACATGTGCAGACCACCCAGCACCCCTCAACCCCATTCCCATGAGCCTGCGTCCACCCCAGCAATCCATGAGCATTCCAGTTCTTCCTGGGCAGGGAGGCAATATTCATTCAAAATTCCAGAAGGTGATTAGCTAGGCATGGTGGTGCACACCTGTAGTCCCAGCTACTGAGGAGGCTGATGTGCAAGGATCACTTGAGCTCAGGAAATCCAGGCTATGGTGAGCCATGATTGTGCCACTGCACTCTTAGCCTGAAAGACAAAGCAAGACTCTGTCTCAAAAAAAGAAAAAAGAAAAATCCACAACAACATTCAAAAATGAATCTCAACACTATCTGGTTTCTGCTGAAATAAGGTGGCTGCTCATGAGAGCTGTTTTAACTCACAAGAGTTTCAGCACATACAAACAATTATTGCTATGACACCGAGGTTGAGAAAAACGAAGCTGGCTGTTAACATTTTTCTCTAAATCCATCCCAATGACGTTAAAGGTTCCTTTTTTTTTCCTGTGCCCCCCCAGATGATCTTGACTTGACAGACATGATCCCAACAGCACTTAGCTATGTGCACAAGTCTTTTATCTCTGTTACAGCCTTCTCATTTTAATCATCAAAAGAGGCCATCAACCAACATTCTGCTTGTGGTTATAAACATGAGACAAATAAAATAAAAAGTGCTTGGCATGTCATCATCCCACTTTTGTATTACTGAATGCACTTTAAACTATGTCTTTGTGGAGGACAGTGTGGCAATTCCTCAAAGATGTAAACCAGAAATACCATTTGACCCAGCAATCCCATTACACCCAAAGGAATATAAATCTTTCTATTATAAAGGTACATGTACAAGTATGTTTATTGCAGCACTATTCACAATAGCAAAGACATGGAATCAATCCAAATGCCCATCAATGATAGACTGGAGAAAGGAGATGTTGTACTTATACACCGTAGAATACTAGCCAGCCATAAAAAGGAGTGAGATCATGTCCTTTGCAGGGACATGGATGGAGCTGGAAGCCATCATCCTCAGCAAACTAACACAGGAACAGAAAACCAACACCACATGTTCTCACTTACAAGTGGAAGCCAAACAATGAGAACACATAGACACAGGGAGGGGAACGTCACACCCTGGGGTCTTTCGGGGGACAGGGGTAGAGAGAGCATCAGGATTGATAGCTAATGTATGCAGGGCTTAATAACTAGGTGATGGGTTGATAGGCGCAGCAAACCACCATGGCACACGTTTACCTAAATAACAAACCTGCACATCCTGCACATGTATCCCAGAACTAAATAAAAATAAAGTAAAATAAAATGAATATCTCTTGAGCACAATGTCCACGGGCCCTTTCTGATCAGGAAGGAATTACTCTTAAGCTTTTCTCTTGTCCAATGACTTGCACAGCATCTACCCTGCTCTGGGGTCCACTCATCTTAGACTTTCCAGAAGAGTGTCTGTTTTAAATACCGTGTCCTTCCATTGCCTTAAGACATTGGATGTAAAATGTCCCCACCCTTCCCAGGATGCTCTTGGACCAAACTATCTATACATGGGTTAGGGAAATGTTTGGTGTAGGCACTATTTTCTCACAAGTCTTCATAATTAGCTTTCCTATCTATCACTATAGTGATCTAGGGCATCCCAGGATATCTGGTATCCCAGGGAATCAAGCTTTCAGCCAAGGTTTTACCCTTGAAAAAATGGGCATCACTCAACCATTTCAACAGTGAACTCAAGGATAGCCCATTACCAGAAGAATCCCATCACACTCACCCTCACCGCCAATCACAAATATTCTCAGAGTACAGAGGCTGGTATAAAATATCTTTTCACTGGGTCACTTCTCAGACATGCAGAGGCCTTCTCAGATGAGCATCCATAAGTTCCTCTCCCTTGGTTTCCTTTCTTCCTTTCTTTTTCTACTCTCTGTCCACCCCTAGAACCTCCTTTGTTGCTGGTCCTGTGTCTGAGCCCTTGGAAACCCATTCCTAGTTTCATTCAAGGAGGAGATGGTGAGTTCTTACCCTCTTTAAAGCAGAACACTTTCAAGACAAACAAATCTCTCTCATGCATAACATGGATGCATTATTCTGCTGCAAAAGTCCCTCCTGGGCAAGGTGAAGAAACATCAAAATATAGGTGGTCCAGGGGAAAGAAAAGCCCATTCTATCACAGTTCAATAACAAGAATTTAAAGAGACAAAAATTTAAGATATAAAAATATTTTGTTTTGCTAGGAGTGGTGGCTCATGCCTGTCATCCCAGCACTTTTGGAGGCCAAGGCAGGCAGATCACCTGAGGTCAGGAGTTCGAGACCAGCCTGGCCAAACATGCTGAAACCTCATCTCTACTAAAAATACAAAAATAAGCTGGGCGTGTTGGCGTGCACTTATAATCCCAGCTACTCAGGAGGCTGAGGCAGGAGAATCACTTGAACCCATGAGGCAGAGGTTGCAGTGAGCCGATATCACACCATTGTACTCCAGCCTGGGCAACAAGAGCGAAATACCATCTCAAAAAAAACAAAAAACTTAAAATATTTTGTTTCTAAGAAACTACTCTCTCTCTATATATATATACATACATACACACATATACATATACATATACATATATGTGTGTATATATACGTATGCATATATGTCATGATGCTTAAAGTTGAGACAGTGTCTATTAAGATAAGCATAGTTAATATCATTGAGTGCTCTCTTTGTGCCAGATTCTAAGTGTTTTATTTCTATTATATTATTTAATCCTCAAAACGACCCAAAGTAGTAGATGTTATGGTTGCCATTTTGCAGCTGGAGAAACAAACTGGAAAGTTCAAGTTGCTTGATTACAGTCAGACCACGCCTTCTGATTTGGGTTCAGAAGATGATGGGCACTGTCTGCATTATAGTTCTTTGAGTGTGACAGTTAATCCTTGATTAAATCGAAAGCATCTGGAAGTCGAAAAGCTTCATACCACCTCTCCCCGCTGCTCCACTAGAACTTAGAACAATGACCCACATACATGAGGAACTGACAAACATTTGTGAAATGCATGAAGCCACAGCAGAATTCTGCATAAGTTAAAAATTAAATTTTGCAGAAATAGTATCACATTTTTGCAGTTATATCCAAGTGTTCACACTTTGAGGTCACACATATAGTAATAAGTGAGATATAGTGATGACAGGAACATAGTTCAAAAGGGAACAAAAAACTTTAGCCAGAATCAACAAAATAAATGTCTTCCTGCACCAGAAATGGAACAGAGATGCAAAGTGGTGAGGTGGCTGAGACCAGGAGCCCAGGAGGCCCTGAGTCTGGAAGCAGGCAGTGGCTACCAAGAGATAATGTTCTGTTGGGTAAAGGGGACTAGGAGTTCTCCATCAAACACAGGGCAAGGGCCAGGCTCGCAGTTTGAAGGCAGGAGCTGAGGAGGGGCTCTCCCTAATCATGAAAAGAAACTAAAGAAGGAAAAACTAGCACGACAAATGTCCCCTAGAGAGATGGTTTTGGAGAGCAGCTCTTAGTTTCATCAGAATGCGATAGTAAACCATGTTGCCAGCTGGCCAAGTGAGAGGATCTTCCATCTCCAACATCACAGTGGAACAGGCATCTGAAACTATCATCTGAAACAACAGCTAGGGAAAATGCTCTGAATCCTCTTAATCCCAGAGGCTCAGAGGGCCAGGAGGAAGCAATTGCAAATCTGCTAGTCTGAGAGAGAGAGACAGATGCATTATGCAATCTAATACAAAAAGAGACAGCCAAGAAAATCAACCATCAAAATATGAATTTACTCCAGACTTAATTTTTAGAATTTTTTGGCAAAACCTTCAAATATGTAGGCTAAATGTGTTCAAAAAGATAAACGAGGCATAACTTCTTTTAACAAGAAAAAGACTGCATAAAACACAAACAAGGAGAAATGAAACAAGTACAAGTAGCACCGAAAAAGAACCTACTATAAATGTGGAAATGAAAGATATAATAATAAAAATTAAAATAAAGTACACTCGATAAATTAGTACAGAGTTGAAGAAAGGTGAATGAGTTGGACAGTATTTAGAAGGATCAAGCCTGCTTTTCAGTTCACATCAGGAAGAAAACACCAAATAGGTCTTGCTTTCTTTTTTTCCAAAAACAGTCTACTACAAGCGAGGGGGTGCTTTGGGGCTGCTTAAGCTCCCACAACCTTCGTTCAGCAACCATCTTTGATTAAGAAAATTAAAGAATAAATGCGTCCTGTGTTCTGTGCGGTAAGTATTGGCTATTCAGTTGCTGTAAAAGTACAAGTAGCCCCTCTTTGCTATAAGAGTTTTAAACCAGTGAGAAGAAGTGACTTTCCCATTTCACTCTTCTCACACCCATTTTGGGGATCAGAGACAGGAGACAGGGGCAGAGCCTCTGGGCTGGGGGCTGCCTCCCTGAGCAAGTCACTCCTGTGTTCCAGTGGGAGCGTATGGTGTGAGGGGCCCAACCTGGACATCTCTTCAATCCCAAGATGGATAAAAACAAATCTCTCAGTGAAGGATCATTCATGCCTATTGCCAGGAGTTACAGAGGAATAAGCGTGAGATTTAAAAGAGGTTTTTATTACCTTGTCTGAAGAGAGAGCTGGTGCTGCTGGGTTTTCTGCATTCCAACCTCTGAAAGAAGGGTTGTGTGTGTGACTCTGTGAGGTGGCCCCATTCCTGAGAGAGTCTCTAGGTACATGGGAAATAAGATGCATTGGAAATGGCACTCATCTGGGACACTCTAGAGCTGTTGTCTCTGCTGAAGGAGCCACCCTCCACCTGACTGGGAGGGCTCCTAGCTAGGGATGGTGTATCACACCTGCGACAGTTCCCCTTAAAGATGCTCTCCACTCAGACACAGGAGGCAGGCTGAGGAACTGAGGGGCACTAGGAGACTTGGGGTTGCAGAATGGAACATGTACATTGGATTTTCTTTCAATTTATTTAGTCTTAAAAAAAAAAACAAACCATGCCATGGACAGTTTGCTTGGTATTTGAAAGCTTGATGCTCGCCATCACTGAGGATTTGAGCAAAGTGAATATTCCCTGAAGTTTTTTAATGAATAGGCATTAAAAAAAAAAAGCTATATAAGAAACAATGGAGCCATGAAAGCAGATTGAGGCAGATGAGCCATTTTATTTGGAGGATCCTCTGAGCAGTGATTGCCTTGAATAGTTTTGCCTGTACCTTGACCTCAGCTGGTCTCACGGTGAACCGTGAGCCCTCACTTCCTCCTAGCTTCTCCATGGGGCCAAATCCAAAGTGTGTACGTTGGACCTGTAACCACCCCTGCCTATCCCTGCTGCACATCTGGCCTGCTGCTCACCACCTCTGTGGTCAAGGCTTCCTTCTGCCCTTTACAAGCTTTTACCTCTCCAGAAAATTCTACCGTCACTCTATCTTGCTTAACAGTGTCTTTTTATATTTTCCTGTGTTATTTATTTTGCTTAGTTTCCATAGAAACATAGGACTGGAGGATACTGTGGGGATTATCTACACCTACATCTTACGGATGAGAAAACTGAGGCCCAGGGAGATGGAGTTAGATTTTGTTTTGAGTGAGCCATGGGGGAAAAGAAGGATCTGTATAAAAGGACCTGGCTCCTCTCAGAGAGCTGGCTGTGTTTCTAGAACTTTGCGTCAATGAGTTTCTCAGGGTAGCAGGTTATTCCTGCATCCCCAGAGCTCCCCAGAAGCCCAGCACCAGAGCTCATTCTGAGAGTATCTGCACTCCCTCTGGGATCGGCTGACCCTGCTTCTGACCCTTTTAGACTCTTGGCGTGGTCTGGACAAGCAGGCTTCTTTCCCCAGCTTCCTGGCAACCATGATGTCATCCAGAATGTTCTCTCTCCAGCCTGACCTCATTTCCATCTTGCTGCCTCTCTCTAATGCTGCCACTCTCCTTGCCATGGAATTTGCTGGCGGGCCCATCAGCAGGGTGCCTCCTTCTGCCCCTCCTAAGTGTCTTTGGTGCCCTCGTGCCCATGAGCAGGAGTCTGTTACGAGGCTGCATTTGGACCAGCCCCCAGTGGAGTCTCACTGTTTTGTTCCCAGCTCCACAGGGAGGGCAATGTGACCCATCCACACCTGCACACAGTGCCTGCCAAGGCATGACGTGCTGAGGAAGACGTTTGCAAATTTGAAGGCTGATGAGGATAAGGTTCTCGGAGAGTTCCTGCTGTACATCTGTGGCCTAGGGCTTCTCCTTATGGAGAATAAAGTGAGTCAAATTCAATTGGCCTTAGAATTATAGAAGGTTAGAGCTGAGTCTTAAGAGATCATCTAGATGAGAGAGAGTCCACCAGGGATCAAATTTCATGTCCACACAAATCACCATAGGTGGTTGTTTAAAATTCAGATTTTTGGGTCCTACCCAGAGAGATTAGGAATTTAGTTGGTCCACAGTAGAGGCAAGGAAAAGGACTTTTTAATAAGCATAAGTGGTTCAGATTTGGAACCCCTCGAAGGTGCAAATAAGGAAGGCAAGAGCCGGGTCCGCAGTGTCCACTGCCTGTCGGTCCCCACTCAGGTGATGAAGGCTGTGGCTCCCCAGTCTCTGCAGAGGGGAGCCTCTGATCTTGCACCTCTGCGTGACCTGGTCTTCCTTTTGTTTCTAGAACTCTCCCTTCTGTGTGTCCCACCCTGGATCCTCCAGAGGCAGGCTGTGCTCCCAGAAAGGTACCCAGAGGAAAACACAAAGGTATGAGGGAGGGCAGCACAGAAAGGAAACTGAATGAGCAGTGAATGCAGCTTCAAAACTACTTCACGATTTTGCCAAGGGAAATTGCTCAGCCTGAACATCCAGGTAATTGGGTTGAAAAACAGTCATCAAGCCATCTGCCAGCCAATTAAATGTGTGGTCAGTCACTCACCTGATGAAACACCAAACAAAAATGTCTGCTTTAGCTGTTCCTTCCTCCTCCGTCCTCATCCTCCCCACTTCTTGCTTATTTTACTTCCCGATGGATGATGTGAGAAACCAAGTCAGAAAGAGAGATTAAAACAAAAGTTGCATTGTTTATCAATGTTAAACTTGTTTAACTTATTTTGTCAGAGTTTTTCCATGTGACATTGTGCAAAGACAAATATGTAAATGTGTGACCTGGTTCCTAAAGCTCACCAGGAGTGAGGCGACAGGACAGAAACCCAGAGGGGCACCAAAGATTGGGTGCTGCATACACAGAGAGTACAAAGGGAGGGGGGCATTAACCATTTTCTAGTAGAGATGCCTTTTAAGAAGATTTCATCGGCCGGGCATGGTGGCTCACACCTGTAATCCCTGCACTTTGGGAGGCCGAGGTGGGTGGATCACCTGAGGTCAGAAGTTCAAGACCAGCATGGCCAACATGATGAAATCCCATCTCTACTAAAAATACAAAAAATTAGACAGGCATGATGGCGGGCGCCCATAATCCCAGCTACTCAGGAGGCTGAGGCAGAAGAACCACTTGAACCCAGGAGGCAAAGGTTGTAATGAGCTGAGATCACGCCACTGCACTCCAGCCTGGGCAACAAGAGTGAATCTCTGTCTCAAAAAAAAAAAAAAAAGAGTTATTTTATCCTTTGAAGTTCCTCTTAAAGAGCCATTCGACTCTTTTGCGCCTAGTGTGCAACTTCAAATTATTTCTTCTTGCAGTTTTCTCAGTGCTTGCCAAGACCTCACAGATGAGAGGATGTTTTATACCTTCAGTGTGAGTTTTGTTCCATTCACAGACATTAATCACCAAGTGCCAAGAAGGGGCTGATATATGGCACACAACAACCAGCATAAATTACATTTTAAGGCACTCAGATAAGAGCAAAGTCAACATCTCCATGTACCACCTCAAATTCCTTTTGGAATTAGATGGTGGTATAAATCTCAAGTTATAAATAAATGAGACATTTCTGTACTGTGTTATACTAACATCATAAAAACAAACCACTCTTTTCCTCTTCTGAGTGTGCCTGAATTTGAACCAGGAGTAAAAATAGTTAAATAAACACAAAAGTTTGTTAAATGAAAGTGAATTTAAAATAAGAATTTAAAAATCATGAAATGCAAGTGGTCATCACACATTGTGGCTACTTAAGATCCCAAATCACATGGTGACAAAGATGGTCTTGGGCAAATGATCCTCTTCCTCTTCTTCCTCTGTTGGGTAATAGTTCACATGTGGATGACTTACTTAAAATGCTAAGGTTATGGGGGGATCACGACTATAAAAGTTATCTGGTTAAGAAAAAACAATGGTGGAAGTTTGATGATAAAATATGAGAAGTGACCGTTTGTGGGCCTGGAAAATCTCACACATACATGTCTTTTGTGAGCTCATTTGAGCATCAGTTCTCAAGATGTGCTAGAAGGAGCTCTGAACCACCCTGCTGCTGAAGTAGAAGTGAGGCTCACAGCCATCACTCAGAAGATGCTAAACAAACCTTGATGAAATAAAGATGTTACATAAGATAGTAACATCTGCATCTATTTATAGTTTATGGACACACAGAACACATGCCATGCACAAGGTACCTCTAGATTTTATGAAGAACTTTTGGGGAAAAATTAAGTACTTTTCATCAAACAGAAGGATTGAAAGTGATTTTATTGTGGCTTTACTGGAGAAATACTACGTTACTCATAAAAAATATGGTATATTACTTATTAGAACCAATACAAAAATCATAATCACCAATATTCCAACATTTTGGGCAAAAGGTATAAAATCATAGGAATAGAAAGAAGTATATTGATATCAATAAATATAAAATGCAGCAAATTTACTGATGTATACAATCCTACATCTTTTATATGATACTATAAATGCAAATAACAATCTTGCTTTTCAGAAAATGCGGGTACCTAAAAAGCCAGTCATGCTATAAAACACGTGTAAATGGATTGTTACATTAGTGCCCTGGACGAAGTAAATATATAAGTAAAAATTGAAAGAAGCAAGTAGCAAGATATGATAAATTTGAAATTAATTTATATGGAGCTGAAGTACACATGAACAAAAAATAATAACTGATAGAAAGCTTTAAACTAAATAATAAATTTGAAAGAATTCCAATATCATGTTTATGCAGGCAGCAAAACCAAGTACTTCCCTGACTGTGAGTAAACAATAAGAAATAAGGGAAAACATCATGAATTCTAATAGACACTGCGTTGAATCTGTTGTTATTGTAGCGATTCCATTGGTTGTAACTCATAGCTTATGCTAAGGCAAATTTACACCCCAGAGGTTAGTGAAATAATCCCAAATCTGCTTCTTCTTATCAGCTGCGTGACTTGGGTTTGTTATTTCTTCCCATGGGTGCCAGGCTCCGCTGTAAGGAGCAGCAACATCACTATTATCCTGTTGTCCACCCCTCTCCACCTCCTCGAACCTTGGGGGCCTGGCTTGACAACTGGAGCAAGAACCCATTGGATAGAGGGAAAACCTTTTATATTTGGGGAAGAAGCAATATATATCATAACCCAACAAGTACAGTTCATGTGTAGAACTATAATAATGGCTGATATAGGAAAGATACGTTTTGTTAATCATTTTAATTGCCTCTTTAGCAACAAGGCTCTTGAATATTCAGTGGCCAATAAGCCAAATGTTTTAGTCAAATACCTGAAGATTATACTAACACATGGCAGCTGGCTTAATGTGCTGACCAGAAGGGACGAGGACCCTGATTGGTTTTTCTATTAGGGCAGTTTTAGACCTGGGAGCTGAAAGCACTGGGGGAAGTGACTGTAAAGAGATATAACACGTGACATCGTAGAGAGAAGGGGTGGCCCATGCGGACTAGGAGCCTGTGGTCCAGGATGTGAACAACCATGTACTGAACAGTGCTTACAAGCAAAAGGACCTAACAGCAATCATTAGAAAAGCTGCCTTCATTAGATCACTAAATGTTCTGAGAGGCAGCTATGCTCAACTCCTCAGGAATTCATTTAGCTGGTGTAGCCTCAGGCCACACTTTCTTTATGAGAAGCAGGCAAATAACTGTGATTCAAATTGATAGCAGGGAATTTACAAAGCACTAATCACAAAAACACAAACACATTTCAGGAGCACAATTGTGTCTGTGAGCCTTCAGCACACAAGCTATTCAATCTGTATCTACATCTGAGTCTGTAACTATGAACTGAGCACTAGATACTTATATTCCCAAGGGCTAATTATGATCAAATGGTCCATTTAATCTACTCTGTCTCATAAGACAAGGAAATGTACACTTTAGAAAGCTTCCCATTAAAAATAAATTACAAAATTTAAAAGGTTAACTAACCTTTAGGTATCTGGGTAAACTTGGCCATCCAGAAACTCTTATTCCCAAGCACTCTGGATTGGGGAATCCTTTAAATAAAACAACATGTAGATTGATTTGGATTATACGTAAATATTGTTTCCTTTTTAAAAATTATGTACCATGTTTCATTTTTTTAACCTATCCATATACCATGAGTGTACATTTTGATGGTCAGTTGAGTTTTTGAACTTGGCATAAATTTCATCTTCTTTTTTTAATGAAACTCTTTTCCTTGTTTTAGTCTCTTTCTTCTCTTTCTCTGTCCCTTTCCTTTCAGAAGCTGTATTCACAGTGATGACAAAATGACGATCTGCTGAATGTTCTTTATTACAATCCACAATATGCTTATTGTTTCCCTGAGAAGAAAAATAAGAGAATCCCCAGTATGAGGGGAGACTGTCCCCAAAAAGGGTCTCAGCCATTTTCTGCTGCTCTCTAAACTCCAATCCTGGAATTTGAGCTTGAAGAGGTCATACACATCCTACCTTTCTTATTTTGTAGGTAAGGAAATTATGACCCCCAAATGTACCTTCCTCCAACATCACACTGCTGGCTAGCAGCAGTAAGGCGTCATATCATTTTCCCTAGCTGTTGTCCAGTGCTTGTCCCATTACGTAAACATGTTTCCCTCCACTTCCTTTCTTACTGATGATAATGTCCACTTAAGGCTATCATTTGCTTATTTTGGAAGATGGGACTAAAGTGGGTGATGGGAGGAGAGCTATATGGATATTGCTTGTCTGTTTTCTGTAATATGATGAAAGGGTGTGAACATTTCAAATAAAATAATTATACTGTTAGCAGCAGTAAATCCATATGGGTTTGCAGCAGTCTCAATTCTTGTCTCCTCAGAAGAAAGAATTCGACCGAGAGGCATAAGGCAGAGGAAAAGACCGAGGCAAGTTTTAGAGCAGGTGTGAAAGTGTATTAAAAGCTTTCAAGCAGGAAAAAAAAAGGAAAGAAAGTATACTTGTAAGAGGGCCAAGCAGTCAACTTGAAGGACAAGTGTGTGGTTTGACCTTTGACTTGTGATCAAAAGACCTCCTCTGCTGTCTTGCATTCCTTCTTCCCTAATTCTTCCCTTGGCTGTGGGCTGTTTGACGAGCAGTGACCTACTGGCAGTTGGGAGGTGAGCAAGTGCAGTGTGTTTACGGAGTTGTACACATGCTCACTTGAGGCATTCTTCCCGTACCAGTCAAATGTCAATGGAACATCATAGACCAGTTAAACTCCGTCATTTTACCTCTTAATGCACATGCTGGAGCCCACTGCCCAACTCCTGAGATCTTATCAGGAAACTGCTGATCACTAGTTTCAGGTTTTTTTCTATCATAGGAAAACTGCCTTTCCCTGGCACTGACTGTGACAAATTATTATTTTAGAGAGACAATTAACAACAGCCAGACCATCACCTGATGTCGCCTGACATTCCTGGGGCAGGGTGGGAGAGCCCTCTCCTGTCTTGCTCATGCCAGACTAGCTACTTACTATAACAATACCTCCTCGAGGAAAAAGCCCCCAAATAAATATAAGGTATTAATAAGAACCAGAGAGGGTTTGATTGATCACAGCATGAATTAATATCTAGATATGAAATGCAGAAATACATGCATTCAGAAATAATCTCCTTTCCTTCCAGAACACTCAGATTGACCAGGAACAGAATTTAAACATCTACAGTCTCTCTGTGGCTATGATTATAATTATGAACATTCCCAACAGTGTTGTAGATATGTAAGTGATATACTGAGGAATTTCTTTTTCAGAAAGTATATAAAGGCATCTATCATAGTTTTTTCTTCAGATCTGAAACAATTAGTAGACACGCACAGGTTATTTTTTTTCCCATCCCGTGAGCCAGGATGCCAGGGCATATATCTGGTCAGCCACATCTCAGGGGTTCTGCTTCAATTTTCCCAGGTTTTCTTCTGTGTCCCCCAGTGGTCCCTGGAAGCTCCCCACCTCTTGGCAAGAATACAACATTGCCAGGAAGGTGCCAGGGCGGTTGGTTAATCATTGGTCCAAAGAACTTCCTGCAGCTTGCAGGGATCTTCCCCATCGAAACCCTCCAAGGTAGGTAACAAACTCCTGCAATTGACATGCAATGCAAGTCAGGGCCAGCCAAAATTACAACCCGGCAAGAGTCACTTCTAGCATATTCTATGCCCTTTGCCCCATGGTGACTTAGTGATTTTCAGTATTCCCACTTTTATAGAGCAAGTTTTAAGGGGTCTGTGAAGTTACTTTAGCTAAATTAGATATTATAAGTAAAAATTAGTGGTTCAACTCAAAACATGTTTGTATGAAAGAAATAACTGAGCAGTAATTTGGGCATAGAAAGAAACTTAAGAACTATCTACATTCACACCAAAATCCACATAGAAAGGCCTGCCTAAATGCAAAAATACTTTTGGGCTTATGAAAAAACTGAGGTGGAAAAAAAAAAGCTTTTCTCAGGAGAAAGACAGCATTAGTTATTTTTTAAAAGGCAATTTTGCTAAGTTGAAAATCCATGAAGTCAATGAACTATCACTTTCTGAGTTCAAAAAGTGAGACTTTTACTTGCTTAATTATCCTTGCACTCAGTGCCTTTAGACTAAAAATGATGATTTTTTAACACTTAAAAAATCCACTTCTTTCTCAAAGACCTAAATCTTTGCATCTCCTCTTCATGCCGTCTATAAGTACTTAAAATTTTTTTATTTCCTTTTCCAAAAGCCTTAAAGAAAATAAAGATCTAACAATTAGGGTCTTAAGTTAAAATCTGATAATTTTTTTATTCATCAAATTTCTGCATCCCTAACTGCAGCAAATTGAGCGTCTTCAATAACTCTGAACAGCTTTTGACAATTTGAGAGAAAAGGTTGCTGATTAATCTACTGAGTCATTGACTTGGACTGGGCGACACTAGGAACTTGAGGAAGACGTGACATTGATAAGTCCGGGAGGTAACATTGATAAGGCCAGGAGGCAGGGAAATACCGGGTAGAAGAGGGCAGAGTTCCTGACGAGGGCTCCACCCTTAAACCTAGACCCGTGGCCCAAAGTGAGAACTATCCCTGTTTTCCTGGCCAAATGTTGCCTTTTGGCCCATCCCGTCCCCTATTCTGTACCCATGAGAACCCCAGACCCCAGACTCAGCAGTCATACACACAGAAGAGAGAAGTGTCTGAACATCAAGAGGAGAAGAAACAGCTGGATGTCGGAGACTGTGGTCGGAGAGGAGTTCAGCTAGGGATGGCTGGACTCCAGGGGAAGATTGTCTTCCCACTCCACCCGCTTTCCAGTTCCCCTTTCTGCTGAGAGCCACTTCCACCACTCAATAAAGTCCTCCACATTCACCACCCTTCAATTATTTCTTGTAACCTGATTCTTTCTCAATACCAGACAAGAACTAGGGTACCAAGAGGGCAGGGTATAAAAGGCTGTCCCTGCTGACCCTTCGCTGAGCTGGTTAATACTTAGCTGTCCAGACTGCACCCAGAGCAGCAATCCTGCCCACCCCCCACACGCCCTTCACTATCTAAATAAGTATCTTCCCATTTTTCAACAAATATTTGTTGATCAATTATTATATACCAGGCACTGTTTAAGCTTCCCACCTTCACAGAATGCACATTTAAATAGGGGGGAGAGAGAGAGTGTGACAATGATATCTCATTACCTCCAGAGTTCAGCGCTACAAGTAAAAAGAAAATAAGATGTTGTAAAGACAGAGTGACTCTTCACTGGGTATCAAAAGGGCTAATGAGGGAAGGCCCCTCGGGCTGTTTCAGATCCCGTGCTGGCTGCCTTTCCTCTGCTGTGCCACAGCTCAGAAGCCAGGTCTGAATTCCTGTCACAAGAAACCGAACAGCTTTTTTAAAGAATATTGTGAAATATGCAAGAATATGCGAGCGTGTACACTTAGCATGTAAACACTGGAGAACAAAAGAAAGCTGAAAAATAAATATCTATTTTAACAAAACTGTTTGGTGAAGTTTTTAAAAATCGCTCCAAAATATAAGGGTCTTGATTTTGCCCCCTTTCACCCTAAGGGCCAGGAAGGCAGCTAAAAAGTTACCAGGGGAGGTTTGTCAGATGTTCAAAATCTCCAGAATAATGCTACCATCCCCTTCTGCCCCTGAAAGACACAGAGTCCTGGGAAGAGACAAGATGGGTGTAGTTTAAGGGGAAAGGGTGTCAGAGGGACCATTAGAGACTTGGCAGGATCCAGTTACAGCCTCACCTGGAGACCACATTGTCTCCCCCTTTGGACTTCTGAAAACTCCAGAGAGCTACAGCTCCCAAAGAAGGAAAGGGTGTTTCCTTTTGTTATTGGAGTCAGATGATGAAAATGTGTTTCTAATTTGTTCCAACCATTGCTGTGTTTCCAATCCTATGTTATGCTTGATATTGATTTTTTGTAATCCTTATTTTTTTCCTTTTTGATGCTAAGCAACTGAAAAAGGGAAACATAGTATTAATCACACAAGCTTACTGAGCTGATCCCACTGTTTATGACGTCTCCTTCCTAAGTCCCTGTAAAATCTTGGCAGGGTGGCAGGAGGGAGGTTGAGGCAATGTTCAGCAACCCACGTATAGGCCCACCAAGTCACTTTCCCGTTGCAATGATCTGGATTATACAGGGCATTTCACAGACCTTCATGAGGTCCTTTGTCACATAATCCTGTCCCTCATTCAGGACAGAGTTGCTAAAAAGGAGGGATTTCTCGTTTTTAGTTTCATCATTCGTGTTAATAGATCGTATTGGCTTTTAACAGAAGAAATAAAGCAGAGTAGATTTTAAAAGTACTTCTGTCTGAACCTTTCTTATTTATACCATTTTTGGACTTTCATGGTAATTGTTTTTGTGTCTCATTTTCTTTTTTTCCTACAAACCTTAAACATTTTTACCTTAACTGAAACATCTTAAGAATACATTCAAAGTGTTTTGTTGAGCCTATGTATGTTGCTAATGCAGATTAAAATTCTGCACAAAATAATACAATTGCTTATCAGTCTGGACAATGACGTAGGTCAACAGTTTCTGCCTCTTAATGGCCACGGAAACCATTTTTCCAAAAAGAATCTCATATGGGGTACCAATACATAAAAGGATAACATTTGGATGTTCTCACTGAAACAAGGACTGAAAGGTCAAATGTCCTCTCTCTCTTCCATCTTTCCCTGGCCCCCATCCTTTCACACTCACACACCACACAGGCCTCCCCCACACATGAGAGATACACACACACCACATGCCGACCAGCATCCTGGCTTGGAGGTACACAATTTTTGAGCCACACCTCTCAAGGAGCCTCATTCCCTCTAGTGTCATAAGACCACGTTGTATCGGTGGCCACACTGGATATCCTGAATATGATTATCTTTTCAGCATGCCCACCACTAGACTTCTGCATATTCGTCTTCAAAGACCATCCAAGAAATTTAAAAGGCAATGCATTTAACTCGTGTTTATTTCTCCTTGCCCTTTTATGAAAACTGAAATAAAGATAAATTATTGTAATAAAGTTGCTTTGGAAGAAAATTAGAGATATCACCTGGTGCTGCTCTCAGGCTTAAGTTTATCTGTTAATGTGTTAAACAAATATTCACTGAACTCCTACAGGCAAGACAGTTAATTGTCTAAGCCAAACAGATTAAGGCAGCATGGTTAAATGGAAAGCATATGATCTTTCTGTGTTATCCCACAGGCCTCAGTTTCTTCATCTGTAAATTGGGGATAATGATGCCTAACTTTCAATGTGTTTGCGAAGCTCAACGGGATAAAGCATACGAAAATATCTATTCTAGCACTTGGCCCAAAGCATACTAAATTTCCCTTGGGGTGGGGTGGGTGGGGTGTTGTAACAAGTTTTCTGTGCTGGAACCACAGGGTGGAGAGTAAAGCCTGCCATCTAGTGGCCAAAGTGACAGCTGCACTTCACGTTCCTGTAGGGTTGAGTCTCAGGGGTTCCCAAATTTGGATCTGCATCAGAATCACCTGCAGAACTAGATCCCTCTCCTGGAGATTCTGATGCTAGAGGTCCAGGCCTTAGCTTGGGAATATCTAGTTTTAAGAACTCTCCCAAATGACAGTATGTCACCTGCCGATCGTAAGTTGTTTGACATCACTAACCTGAGGTTTCAGGCAGGAGAGGCTAGTAATTGAGAAAGGTTATTTTAAGCTCTTCATAACAAGGGATCTTGTGCCTGCAGGATTGCAAACACAAGAAAGCACTTTATTAAAGTGTCAATTTCCAGGCATGCAAAGCCAAGCAAACCAAGCTAAGAATGATCCCATGAAGAAAAAGCAGTAACTTTTGCTCCTTCTATATAGTATATATACTTAAGATTGAGGTAAGCCTACAAAGAAACACCACACTTACCTTCTCCTCATAATTATTCCCTGAGAGACCTGGAAAACCCATTATAGCATTTCCACACGTTTGACAAGCATTCATCCAAAAAATATTAATTTCGCACCAGGTATGTTCCAAGAGCAATGTTTGTACTTGAGAATATCAGTTGCATAAGATTGATTCAGTGCATTCTCTTACAGATCTTATGGGCTACTTAGGAGATGAGCAGGTAATAGAGCCATTGAAATAGAATCTGCAGTGTGAAGACATAGAGTGTGGAAGGTATGGAAGCACAGGGAAAGCCATCTGTATGAGTTTCCTGTTGCTACTGCAACAGATTGCTACAAATTGAGTGGCTTAAAACAACACAAATGGATTATTTTATAGTTCTGGAGTTTAGAAGTCCAAAATGGGTTTTACAAGGCTAAATCAAGGAGTGCGCAGAGCCGTGTTCCTGTGGACACTCTATGGAAGAATATGTTTTCTTGCCTTTTCCGGCTTCTGGAGCATCCACAGTCACATCGCCTCTGATTCTGACTCTCTTGACTCCCTCTTATTGGGATCCTTGTGATCACACTGCTCATCTCCATCACCTAAGATTATTTCCTCATCTCAGTATTCTTAACTTAATAGCATCTGCGACGTCCTGTGGCCACACAAGGTCATATATCCACAGGTACAGGGCATTAATGACATGGACATTTTGGGGAGCCAGTACTCTGCCTCTCACACCTTCTCATCCAGACTTGGGGAATCAGGGAGGCTTCCTACAGGAAAAAAACTTCTGAACTGAAACGTAACTGATAAAATATTATATTTCCAGAAAATGTGGGAAAAGTGAAGGAGGAGGGTCAGTCACAGTGAAAAGAAGACTTCCTAAACAGAGGAAAATGGAGATGACTCAGAGCTAAACCAAAGAAAGTGCTTTAGCTGGAAATAAACCCAAGCATTTACAGTCAATTGATTTTCAACAAAGGCACCAAGAACACACAATGGGGAGAATCTCTTCAATAAATGGAGTTGGAAAAACTGGATATCCACATGCAGAAGAATGAAAATGGGCCATCATTTCACACCATATACAAAAATCAACTCAAGATGGATTAATGGCCTGGAGGCGGTGGCTCATGCCTGTAATCTCAGCACTTTGGGACGCCAAGGCAGGTGGATCACGAGGTCAGGAGATCGAGACCAGCCTAGCTAACACAGTGAAACCCCATCTCTACTACAAAAAATTAGCCGGGCGTGGTGGCACATGCCTGTAATCCCAGCTACTTGGGAGATCGAGGCAGGAGAATCGCTTGAACCTGGGAGGCGGAGGTTGCAGTGAGCCAAGATCGCACCCGTGCACTCTAGCCTGGGCAACAGAGCGAGACTCTGTCTCAAAAAAAATCCACAAAAAACAAAAAACAAACCAACAAAAAAAAGGTGGATTAATGACTGGAATTTAAGACCAAGACCTGAAACTATAAAACTACAAGAAGAAAACATAAGAGGAAAACAACATGAGCTTTTTCTGGGCAATAATTTTTTGGATATGACCCCAAAAGCACAGGCAACAAAAGTGAAAATAGACAACAGGATTACCTCAAACTATAAAGCTTCCACGCAGCAAAGAAAACAAGTAATAGAGTGAAGAGATGTCCTATATATTGCCAGTCGTATGTTTGATAAGGGGTTAATATCCAAAATATACAAGAAACTCAAATACATCAACAGCAAGAAAATAAATAACTTGATTATAAAATGAGCAAGGACCTGAATAGACATTTCTCAAAAGAAGACATACAAATAGTCAACAGGTATATGAGAAAATGCTCAGCATCACTAATTATCAGAGAAATGAAAATTAAAACCACAATGAGATATCACCTCACACCTGTTAGGATGGCTATTATCAAAAAGATAAAGGATATCAACTGTTGGCGAGGATATGGAGAAAAGGGAACCTTTGCACACTGTTGATGGGAACATAAATTAGTAGAGCCATCATGGAAAACAGTATAGAGGGTCCTCAAAAAACTAAAAATAGAACTACCATATGACCTAGAATCCCACTGCTGGATATAGACCAAAAGAAAGGAAATTAGTTTATCAAAGAGCTATCTGCACTTCCATGCTTACTGCAGCACTATTCACAATAGCCAAGATACAGAATCGATTTAAATGTCTATCAATGGATGAATAGAAAAAGAGAGTGTTGTATATATACACAATGGAATACTATTTGGCCATAAAAAGAATGATATCCTGTCATTTTCAGCAACATGGACGAGCCTAGAAAACAATACGTTAAGTTAAAAAAGCCAGTTACAGAAAGATAAATATTCCATATTCTCACCCAGATGTGAGAGCTAAAAAAAAAAAAGTTGATCTCATGGAGGTAGAGAATAGAGTAACGTTTACCAAAGGCTGGGAAGGGTAATGGGGAGGAATGAAAAGAGGTTGGTTAATGGGTGCAAAAATACAGTTAGAAGAAACAAATCCTAATGTTTGATAGCACAGTAGGGAGACTATAGTTATCAACAGTTTACTGTATATTTTTAAATAGCTAGAAGAGAAGATTTGAAATGTTCTCAGCATAAAGAAATGATTCATGTTTGAAGTGATGGACATCTCAATTACCCTGATTTGATCATTATATGTTATATGTTTATACCAAAATACCACATGTGCCCCATGAATACTTACAATTATTATGTAGCAATAAAAAAGCAAGTCAGGTGGCTCATGCCTGTAATCCCAGCACTTTCAGAGGCTGAGGTGGGTGGATCACCTGAGGTCAGGAGGTCAAGACCAGCCTGGCCAACATGGTGAAACCCCACCTCTACTAAAAATATAAAAATAAGCCGGGCATGGTGGCAGGTGCCTGTAATCCCAGCTACTAGGGAGGCTGAGGCAGGAGAATTGCTTGAACCCAGGAGGCAGAGGTTGCAGTGAGCTGAGATTGTGCCACTGCACTCCAGCCTGGGCTACAGAGTGAGACTCCTCTCAAAAAAAAAAAAAAAAAAAAAATTCAAGTCACTACAACACAGTCCTATTTTTATCTTTTTCTAAAAAAAATGAAGGCTATTAGTGAAAAAAGGATCAAATTACAATAAGGTCTTTAATAATATTATACCAGTATTAATGTCTTGTTTTTAATTATTGTACTATGGTTTTACAAGATGTTCCCATTAGGGGAAGCTGGTTGAAGAATATAAAGGAACTGTACTATTTTTACAACTTTTTTGTAGGTCTAAATTAGTTCAAAATAAAACAGATCTAAAACTTTGGGGAAAAAATTAAAAATAAAAACTTCATAATAGTATAAGTGGGGGGAAGTGTATTTAGGAAGGAGATTAGAGGGAGATGAATATTAAACAAGAAAAATTATTTTTCATAAAATGAAATGTTTCCTTTGGAATAAATAATGCTTTTTTGTTTAAATAAAGTGTTTTATGGCTGTGTGGTGGGTTGGGGAGGGAGGAAATGAGAAGGCCCTAAAAAGTAACCAGAGGTCAGTTCATGGGGAACAATGTCAACAGCTGCATTACGGCCTATGGGATTTATCCTAAGGGTAGAGGGGAGCAACTAAAGAACTTTAAGTAGGAACATAATTTTACTCTGGTGTGAAGTGAAGCTTAGAAAAGGGCATGGCTGGAGGCCATTGGAGAAATCCAGATGAGAGATGACAGCTGCCTGAACTAAGGGCTCTACGGTAATGGCACAGGTTCATAGTGCAAAGCTCCTTCACCTACCAGCTGTGTGATCCTCTCCAAAGTACTTAACTTTTCTATACCGCAGCCTCCTTATCTGTAAAAGTGGGAATAATGCTAGCACTCACCGGATCTTACCCAATTGTATTGGAGGGTTGTATGAGGAAACACATTTAAAGAATTTATTACAGGGCCTGATACATAATAAAGGTCCAATAAAATTTAGCAGTTGCAATTTAATGGTAATTTCAGCAGGAAAAAGGGGAACTGTGGGATTTGAGATATGCTTAGGAGAAACAAGTAATAAAACTAGAGACAGGTTGTTAACAATAGGATGAGGTCAACCAGGAAGCCCAAGCTAGAGCTCTGGTGTTGGGGTGGGCAGCTGGCCCAGTGATGCTGCAGATGATGGTGGCTTAGAACACAGAAGAGCCTGGGTGTGGGTGTGGGTGTGTGTTGGAGGGCAGGGAATGATTGCTTCTGTTTTTGACACACTGTTGGTGAGAGTGATTCTGAGATGCCTAAGAGAAGAGACCCAAGAGACATTGGTTGGATGTGTTTAGAAAGATTTGAGCTGGAGATGTCTACTTGAGAGTCATTAATGGAATCCAAGACAGTGAAAGAAATCACCCTGGAGCACATAGAGAGTGAGGAAAGGAGGACCTAGGACAGAACCCTGGAAAACATGGATGAAGAGGCCACTTTCCCTCTCATGCCATTTATCACTTTATTGTAGTTATTTGTTTAATGTCTCTGCCACATAAATCCATTAGACTGCAAGCTCCCTGAGGGCAGTCACTGTGTCTAACTTGCTCACCATGTATCTCCAAAGAGTAACATCTAGCTGGCACACACCTCACTCAATAAATATCTCCAGTTCAATGATTAAATGATAGGCACCCTTTAAAGCCACAAAAAGAATAATAAGTATAATATATAGGTCTTTGAAAGTTTGTGCATGAAGACAATTAGTCTTGAGCAATAGCAAATGGTATTAGAGAGTTTATAATGTTGGGGTGTATAAGAAGTTGGTAAGTAAAGGCAGAAGAATTACTCTAAAATGAACCATGAGGGAAGAATTGCTAGAATCTGGTTATTGTATGATGATGATGATGATGATGATGAGGATGAGGATGAGGATGATGATGATATGCAAAAAATGAGACTTATGGAATGATACTGTCATTAAGAATAGGACAAATGGTCACCTATATCCCTGGGTGATTCAAGCACAATCTTTAGTAGAGGTCTGTTTCTGGCTCAGTAGTCCTGGGGTGATTGCAGCCCCACACAGGCATCCTAGGCCAATATCTAAGATACTCCCTTTTGTGTATTTACACATTCATTTCACAAATATTCATTGAGCATGCCAGGACACAGAAATGCGTGAGACATCATATTGCCTGTGTCTAAGAAATTAACTTATCAGTGTGATAGAAAGAAATGTAAACAAATTAACAAGCTATAATATTGGTTTTATAATCTGGATATGGGGCACTATATCAAAAGTTCTTAATCAAACTCAATAATGACCTTTATGTTGCTAAATGAAATAGTTCTATGTCCTCATCTTACTTGCCCCATCAACACCGTCTGACACAGTTGATTACTGCCTGTTTCCGTGGTATGTTCTTTCCTCGGCTCCCTAGTTTGACTCCTGGCTTATTGCCTATTCCTCTGTAGTATTCTTCCATGACTCTTCTTCACCACCATGACCTCTCAGCATTGGAGTGCCTCAGAGCTTACTGCTTGGACCTCTTCTCTATCAATACTCACACCTTGGTGATCTCATTGAATGTCTTGGCTTTAAGTATCTCTATGCTGAAGACTCTTACATTGGGTCTGAACTTTTCTCCTGACCTGCAGGCTGTGTAACCAAACATCGAACTGCCCTCCTCATGGATGTCTACTAGGCATCTCAAAGTTGACATGTCCAAAAGCCAACTCCTGAATATCTTCCCCAGCTCCTCCCACAGTCTTCTTGTCTTCATAATGGCAGCTTCATCCCTCTAGTTGCTCAGGCCAACATGCTTGGACTCATCCTCACCTCCCCTCCTTCTCTCACACTCCAGAGACAATCTATTGGCAAATCTTCAGGCCTTGTTGTCATGTGATAACCAGGAGCTCATCCCCTCACCACTTCTGAACCTGCCCATGCCATGGGCATCTGCTTGGAGAGCTGCAAGAATTCCTACCTGTTCTCCCTGCGTCTACACCTGCTCCTTACAGCCTCATCTTAACAGAGAAACCAGATGATCTTACTAAACCTTCCACTCCCTCTTCCACTCAGACCCTGCTGCTCATCTCACTCTGAGAAAAAGGCAGCGTCTTTCCAAGGCCTGATTCCCTCTTCAACCCCAGATCTTCCCCTGCTCCCTGTTCTCCTGTCACACCAGGCCCCTTGATGTTTCTCCCACACATCAGGCCTGAAGTCATTCAATGTGTTACATCTGTGTGATTTAAAGACCCATCCCTTCAAATGCCTGAAAATTTCTGAGAATATGAAAATATCCACCTTGGAAACAGCAAATGATGTCTCCTGCCTTGAAGATGCCCCTTCCCAGCAAAGCACAGAGAGTGACCTGATTTGCCTCAGCCCTTTGGTGTTGGATGGAGGGCAGAGGGAAAGTGGAGGAAATGGCTGTCCCGTGAAAGCTGCTCACACTCAGCTCCTGAAGACCTGACCTGGGCATATGCTAGATGATAAGACAGTTCTTGACCTCAGCGGCTCATGAGAGAGATGCTCCACTGAAAAACCCTGCTGGGCAGGATGCAGTGCCCAGTTAAAGCAGCAAGTAGACCCACATATCAGAAAAGAAAAATGAGAACAGAGTTAGATGAGCAGATTTATCAAACCCTGTAATTGTAGAACTTATCAGTTCCAGGGCAGCTGTTTTCCCTTTGAAAGGGTTAGAGAGGGAACATTCTGCTTCTTGGAAACACATCTAAGATGATCTAAATAAGGATTAAACATATACTCCCAGCCCCAAGTAGCCTGCCAATATGAACCCCAAAATATAAATAAAGTTTGAAGGGAATGAAAAGCCTTTTTAAAAATGCTTAAAATGTGCCAGATACTGGGAGGACTATTTTACATAAATTAGCTTATTTAATCTTCACAACAACTTTCAATTGTTCCCATTATGCCTACAGGAGATTAGGTAAATTGCCTCAGGACAGTGGTAAATGACAGGGTCAGGCCTATTGACCTCCAAAGCTTTGTGCCTCCACTACATCAGGCACTGTAGACAGGTAAAGGGGTGTGGGCACTGTCTCCCACATAGAAGAAGGCTGAGGACAATGTTGATTGCCCCGCTGAACATTTCTCTCCCAACTTGACGGACTTCTCTGTTCCTCTCTGGGCCACCCGTTCGGTAAGCGGCTGTGGATCACAGCCACTAGAGGGCAGGCATGGCATGAAAAGCCACCAGCCCTTCCCAGCTCCTTTTCTGGTCTTGCTCAGACCAGGGCAGCAGGAAGAGGCACTCCTGCGACTGCAGAACAAATGACAACAAATGGCAAAAATGATCATTTACATTTCTCAAGGCTTTCACAGTCCACAAATCCCTTCCAAGTCACATTTCATCTTTGACACAGCTTTGTCAAGGTAGTTTTTTTTTTAATCATCTTCATTTTACAGAAATATATAAAGTAATGAGATAGATATCAATGATTTCACTTTCAATATTTTTTCTAGACTGCAGAGGCTTTGCTAGAACTGTGGATTCCTCAAGGCAAATTGGTCCATGGGACAAGCAAGCCAAAGCATAGAGGGTAGGTACTTAGAGGGACTGTCCTGTTGAGCCCCTTGCATACAAGTGCTCAAGGAATAGTAATTCACTAAACTAACTGAAGAAAACAGTCTCAAGAACCTATTGTGTCCAGGTCACGACCTTCAAGATTTTACAAATAGGGCTACTTGGGATTATTATCCCATTGTAAAAGCAAGGTGGCCAGGCGAGGTGATTTACTCCTGTAATCCCAACACTGGGAGGCTGAGCTGGGTGGATCACCTGAGGTCAGGAGTTCAAGACCAGTCTGGCCAACATGGCAAAACCCCATCTCTACTAAACACACAGAAATTAGCCAGGTGTGATGGCAGACACCTGTAATCTGAACTATTAAGGAGGCCGAGACAGGAGAATCGCTTGAACCCAGGAGGCAGAGGTTGCAGTGAGCCGAGGTCACACGACTGTACTCCAGCCTGGGCGACAGAGTGAAGACTCCATCTCAAAATAATAATAATAATAATAATAATAATAATAATAATAATAATAATAAATAAAATAAAATAAAATAAAAAATAAAAGCAAGGTATCTACCCTTAAGCCACAAAGTTTTTCAGTGAAAAAAGTGGGACTTAGACTAGTTTTAGAACTCTTTTCACCACATCTCACCATTACCAATAGATCTAGAACCCAGAAGAAAATCAAAGTTCAAAGAGACACAACTTGGTCCTCAAATTCTAGGAGGCTGGCTAAGTTCCACTGGCTGTCACTGAGGTGACAAGTCATCTGTGGTTTGTCCCAGCCACTCGGTTGGACCAGAGTTAGAGAAATCCATTCACCTCACCTCATTTTCAAGATTGTAGCAGGTTACAGATAACAACGCAGCACTGGATGAACACTTTGAAGGCTTCCTGTTCAAGGAAAGGTTAAGAAAAATGAACTCCGACTAGGTGGTTAAAATGACCTACCAGACTAACTAGTAAGAATTTTTATCAAGCTATGTTGATGATAGCTGAACTAAGACAATGGCAAACAATGGTTTGAAACATCTCTGGATGAAACAGTAAAGGAGCAAAGTGTCTTAAAGAGCTTACTCCACTTAATAGTTCTTCATCAACCAGGTTCCAATCTTTTAACCCTGGCCTCTCTGAGGAGACCCATCAACCATACCTCCTAGCCATTCCTCAGCCCAACCCGCTTACTGTGCCTTGTTGAACTGTCGGTTGCTGCCTCTTCAGTTGACATTTCCTTTGGACTATCTGTTTCATTCTCAACTCTGGCTTCACCCTGGGATCGTAGCTTGTGAATGCCCTTAACGCCGTACCCTGACACTTTAGCACCAGTCCACACCCCCTGCGCTTCTAGTTCAGCCCCCAGAGCGCCATGCCGTATGGAACTCTGATCTCACTTTCAGCAAGGAAGTACCCACAGGAAGGGAGCCATTTTTACAGCATCCATTCAACATCATTCAGCAAATGATTCCGCTTCACCTAAGTGGTATTTATGATGCACATTCTGTGCAAGGGTTGTGCTTGGTACAGGTGAGGATATAAAGAAAGTGAAAATAAAAATCCATGTCTTCATGAAGTTAGTCTATTGGAAGTGGGGACAGATTAGAGAAAGTTAATCCTAATATATAATGAAACAGGTTGAACTTCATCATAAGTTTAAAATGCTACAGGTGTCCAGAGGAGGAAGAAAAAACATTCAAGTAAAAGGATCAGGAGAATCCTTGTAAAGGAGTTGACATTTAATAAGTCTTAGAAAGGATCAAAGCGTAGGAACTTTCCAGAGAGGAATAACACCCACAAGAGCATGTACGGGGAAAGCACTGAAAAGGTGTGTAGATTTGTGCAACAGTCCAATGTTGCTGAAGAGTGAGGAAATGGGATTCTGGAAAAGAGTGGGATGCTAGGGAGAAATCCATGTGGCTTCCTGAAATGCCAAGAAGGGGGTGAATGAAACTGATCTTCTCAAACAAGGGGTACAATATGTTCTGACACACCAAGTGTTGAGCAATGTTTAAGTTATAACTTTTCCACCAGGCCAGCTTGTGCTGGATGGAGCTGCCTGTTGCTGACAGATCCACTTCATGAACACTTGTCTGGAACACTTCTCATGTCCCCCATCACAATTCACTAAGCTCTTTCCCTCTGCTGCAAGACATCATAAAACTCCCACCTCTTCTTCCAAACCTTGACTCATTTCCTGGAATCGGGGTAGTAATTTCACCTTTACCATTAATAAATACATCACCTTTGCCATCTCTCAGAGTTCAACTCATGCTCTCTCCTACAACCCTCCCACCCTCCATTCCTGTCAGACACTTTTGTTTATCCTTTGTGTTAAACTGTGGTGATTAAATATTGGTTTAAATATTGATTAAATATTGGTTATGCCTATTTCCATCCCCATGATGCTGTCTGTCTTTGATGGTGGGCTCTCCTTAATGTGGCTCCCCTCCACTGGAAACAAAGGTCAGGAACAACTCCAAGGCCCAGCCTCGTAGACCATTAATTACAAAATAGGTTCTTTTTATGGTTAAAACCTAACATAGTGACAGAAATTAAAACCTCAGGTAAGGAAACTCTTTTAAGAAGTAGCTCAGGAGTGACCCAAGAGGTGGTATCCAGTGATGGATTCATTTATTCATGATTTGCTGTTATTTCCTTGACCTTTGTCAAGTGATAGCACTTTGGGCAATTTGAGAATGTGCTGAGAATTTGCCTGAGAAGGTGCTTGTTCTACAGGGACTAGACATCTCAGTGAGGCACCCACTAATGGCTTTCTCTAGGTTGATGATGCATTCAACATTCCCAGAAGAAGAATGGGGTTGCTAAAGAGACCTTCCCTTCCTATCTGTGTGTCCATTTCCATAAAATGTGTTGTGAAGTTGTCTGTAATAGCCAGGAGACCTTACTGATTGAAGCTCAACTGATTTCAAAAAATCTCCACTGACTTAAAATTCAGAAGCTTTTGGAAGGGCACCATAATAGGCTGAAGTCTGTGTCCTCCCAGAAGTTTGTATGTTTAAGTCCTGACCCCCAGTACCTCAGAATGTAACTTCATTTGGAGATAGAATCTTCAGAGACATAATTAAGGTAACATGAGGTCTTTAGGATGTCTCAGGGGAGAGCTAGTGACAGTCACATTGGGGAGACCAGGAGGAGCTACAAAGAGGAGTCTGAGGTTGTAGGGGAGTTTGTAAACAGTGGGAAGTATAGGAGCATAGAGCGTACTGGTTTGGGAGGGAGGATGATGAGGGGGAGTGGGACCAAGCATTGGAAGGATGATGATATTGGAGTGAGGAATAGGCAGGAGGCTGGGCTGCAAGGACAAAAAGAAAGCATAACCCAAAGGAAGCCCAACACAGATGGGTTTGCCTTAGCATGTTAACTGAGTGATTTTGGAATAGACTTTATAGAAAAAAATAGAGCGTGCAAATCCTGGAGTCTGGGGATTCACAAGAAGAAACCAGACAGGACATGTACTGACAGCTGAATGGTTTACACCAACCAAGGTGTGTTGGATGTGTTTGGCAGATCTGGTTCTTTCAAGTTCTTGTGGCTTGAGGACAGGCCGACTTAATATGTCTGGCTTCAAGTTCATCAGGAGATCATAAGAAAATGTCACCCAAACTGGGAATCCTGAAATCCTTCCTTCCTGTGTGTATCCAGTTAGCAGTTCTGAATACATGGCCATAGAGAGAAGGAATTATGTGCATATGTGTGCGCTAAAATAGTACTTAACGATGGTCTAATGCTTGACCTTACCTTGCTGTGTGCAAATAAAAGCAAACTATTTAAGGAGTAAATGAATGTCTGGTAAAAATAAAAGAAAACGCCATTAAACGTGTGTGCAGTTTAATCTGTATAGTTAATTACAGGTAAGAGAATGTACATAAGCCCTCATACGTACTCCTTACATTCCTTAAGTCTTTTGGTTGTTGCCATTTTCCTATACGCATAGTTTTCTCATAACCTTCTTAGCATCCAGATTTCTGAAACATGGTGAAAATCATGCAGTCAAGAGCAAAATTCTTAGAATCTCAACCCACTTCTACATTCTATGAGAGTATTTAGAATCTCTTTTTGTTTTTCTATTCTTTTAGTACCAGAGCCAATGTGTCTTTTAATTCATACTAACACCTCCTACTAATAATCAGATCAACTAGGTGGTAGAGAAACACATATGTAAAATTGAGAAAATTTGTAGGAATATAAAAGGAGGGATACTCTAATCAAAGTTGCTTACTTAGCAAAGCCTTCCCTCCTACAGATGATATAAAACGAAAACAGGTACAGATCCCACTTCTATACCTGTAATATACATAACAAAGTACCACAGATTGGGTGGTTTAAACAACAAAAATTTGTCTTCTCACAGTTCTGGAAGCTAAAATCCAAGATCAATGTGTTGGCAGGATTGCTTCTTTCTGAGACCTTTCCTTGGCTTATAGATGGCCGTCTTCTGCCTGTGTCTTCTCACGGTCTTCCTACTGTGTGTGCCTGGGTCCAAATTCTCTCTTCTTATAAGGCCTCCAGAAATGGTAGCTATTAATATTCCATCATTATAATTATCATTGTGATTCCCCAGGTCAGGAGGTGAGGGTTATTGTCCTGCCCCCCTTCCAAATCTCTTCTAGACCATTACTCCCCCACCTTGTGGTGACGGCCCCCACCTTTGTGGAGCATCTGCTGCCTGGCACATGGTCCCAGGCTTCAACCTGGAACTGTCAGCAAGGACCCCAGCTCACCCATACTCCATTTTGGCCCTATCCACAGCCCTGCCTCTGTTCATTTCCCTCCCTTCCTCTGCAATTTAGATTTCATGGTGCAGCATCACCATCCCACTCTTGCCCAAACCCTAAACTCTCTTATCCATCTTCCTTTTTTTTTTTTTAACCTACCCAGGCAGATTGCATCCTTGAATGATACCAGGTCTGTCTTCTCTGTGCCAACCCTTGAGTAAGGAAGACCTGGACTCAATTTGCTCACACTTAACAGAGGATTTTTCCATCCTTTTATAAGACAGATTATTCTGAAGTTTCTTTCTGTGCTATTATACAAATCATAAGTATACACAGAGGTTCTGAGTTGATCCAAACTAATTATAGCAGACGCTACTTACAGAAGACATCGACCTGGCTGCAGGTCTGTAAAATCACTGGGGAAGCATTTCATCTTTCTATGCTGTTGATGAGTTTTAGCACAGGAATCAGCCTATCCCCTAACAGTTTCATAATGATTTGTGTTGGCTGGTTTTAATGTGGAGGTTTGGCCTTTGAAAATGCGAATCATTAAGAAACAGAAGTTATTTAAGTCAACACATATGCAGTAATAGAACCAGGAAGGAGCATTTCACTTTAAGCATTTCTCTGAGTTCTGGATTGTTCTTCAACCTTTTACTGTCAGGCATCTCCTGAGCCTTTGGTATTGAATTGCCTGGTTGCAGACTATAAATGAAAACAATTATTTAAGAGGTTGCTGAGTGACTCTTTGGGTACAGAACTCCACCTCCCTCACCTCTAGGCCGCAACGTGGAAACCCTGCCTGAGTTTCCAGCCTGCCACCTTACCCTGTAGATTTCAGACTCAAGACTGCAACAGCAATTCCTGCCTGAATTTCCACTCTGCCAGGCTGCCTGACAGATTTCAGACTTGCCAGCCCCCACAATCATGTGAGCCAATTTCTGAAAATAAGCCTCTCTCTCTCTCTCTAAGTGTATATGTACACACATATATCTCCTATTGGCTCTATTCTGGAGAACCATGATTGATACACATATCTCAAGGTTTGTTACATTTATAACTGTCCCTTCACTTTCCAGAGACCCTGGTCTGTTATTATTTTCCTTTCTTTGAAGTCACAAGCAACATAATACATCATTCAGGGCCTAGAGTTTTATGAGCATTTGGGATTACCCAAACCCTCACATCCTTTCAAACAATAAACTCATGGAGTTGTTGGAGGATATAAGACCAGAGGAAACAGTCACAAAATAATATAAGTTTTTTACAAAATCGATACAAAATTTATAAATACTTGGCACATCATGCCAAGTGTACTGCTTCTTTCAGTTCTGATTTTTTAAAAATTCATTCCTATAAGGAATGACTCCAGTTTTGATTTTTGGGGGTCAACAACGAAACTGTAAAGAAAAGTAGGGGGACATTGTTAGTCTCTCTGAGGTAGGATTACATACAGAAAGTTTTTTCTAACTTGTTTTTATGATGAACATATACAGCTCTTATAATAGAAAGATATAGGCCAGATGTGGTGGCTCACACCTATAACCCCAGCGCTTTGGGAGACCAAAGTGGGAGGATCACTTGAGGCCAGGAGTTCAAGACCAGCCTGGGCAACAGAGCAAAACCGCATCTCTGCAAAATTTTTTTTAAAGATTAGACACGGGGCCGGATGAGGTGGCTCATGCCTGTAATCCCAGCACTTTGGGGGGCTGAGGTGGGCGGATCATGAGGTCAAGAGATTGAGACCATCCTGGCCAACATGGTGAAACCCTGTCTCTACTAAAAATACAAAAATTAGTCGGGTGTGGTAGCATGCGCCTGTAGTCCCAGCTACTTGGGAGGCTAAGGCAGGAATATCGCTTGAACCCAGGAGGCAGATGTTGCAGTGAGCCAAGTTCGAACCACTGCACTCCAGCCTGGCAACAGAGACAGACTCAGTCTCAAAAAAAAAAAAAAAATAGACGTGGGGGTGCCCACCAAGTTCTATCTACTTGGGAGGCTGAGACGGGAGGACTGCCTGAGAGCAGGAGTTTGAGGCTGCAGTGAGGTAAGATAGAATCACTACACTCCAGCTTGTATAACAGAGCAAGACCATGTCTCAAAAATAATAATAATAATAATAATAGAAAAAATAAAGAGTCTGAAAATAGAAATACTTGTTTTTATAATAAAATACTTGACTTAAAACAGAGTTGGAAAATTTGGATAATGCGTATGAAATTAACGAAAGGCTGAAAAACATTAAGAAGTTGATAACTCAGGGGTATAGGAATGTAAGTTGATTCCCCTAACACCACAAACAAATACAGTTGACCATTGAACAATGCAGGCATTAGGGGCACTGACCCCAGGTGCAGTGAAAGAGCCATGTATAACTTGATTCCCCCAAAAGTTAACTATTAATAACCTAATGTTGCTTGGAAGCCTTGCCAATAATATAAACAACACATATTTTGTATGTTATATGCATTACTGTATTCTTATAATAAAGTAGCTAGAGAAAAGAAAATGTTACTAAGAAAATCATAAGGAAGAGAAAATATATCTACTCTTCATTAAGTGCAAGGGGATAATCACATTGAGTAGGTAGAAGAGGAGGAGGAGGGGTTGGTCTTGCTGTCTCAGGGGTGGCAAAGGAGGAAGAAGACAACTGTGTGAGTGGACCTGCACAGTTCAAACCTGTGTTGTTCCAAGGACAGCTGTATATGTGCAGGCAATGAAAGGCCAGGAGTTACAGGTAATAAGACTGACCATCGCACAATGGGAGGAAACAAAAGATTCAACTTTCTGGTAGAGCCAAGGCCGAAGGTTCTGAACACTAGTTAATGGAATAGGACATTGTATTAAAACACAAGGCTGTTAATTGGGGCCCTGGGCCCCGGAGTGAGGCACTGTCAGCTAATTGGCCCTGGCTGGGAATGATTGAAATGCAGTGGAAAGATGAAGTTAGAAGTGGCTGAACAAGAAAAAAAGGACTTGGGAAGAAAATGCTATCCAGAGAAACTCAATGATGAGACAACTAAGAAAAGTGACTCAGCTCTTGCCCTGATTTTTTTCTTTAAAAGAATAGATGTCCATAAGTTAAATTGAAATGCGTTCAAGCAGAAAACGCAATAACAAAAGATGAGAAAGACATTCAGAAATATATTTGAACTTTGAGAAACTTTATCAATCAAATGCTACCCAAGAAAAGGAACCCTTCTGGATAAAAATCCTTTCACCAAATCCTGTAAAGGCTTTATGAGTTCTTCAGTGGAAAGGCACCCTGGAAATTTAGGTTATTTTTATCACTTTTGCTGAAAGGGCCATTTCTCTCCTCTTGGGCTGAATTCTTTGATGCAAGTTCTGTAGCTTTGGAGTGAATCTGAATGTAGTTTTCAGAGCAGTGAGAAAAATCATGCACTGTTGAGATCCCAAGCTTCCTCCAAGACATTTTTTGAAAAGAACTCATAAAGATGTCTAGGTTTCCTCTGAGTTCTTGTGAGATATGCCTTTCAAAGAAGCTAGTAGTTCAGAATAATACTATCCTATGATTATATACTGTCAGATTCTAAAATGCCAGGTAGCAATGGAAGAACAAAAGAAGCAAAATATATTCATTTTTAACTCATTATGGACAAAATGCATAGATACAGTCTCTAATTTCAGGATAAGTGGGTAGATCTGGATGTACCTGTCAAGTTACCTTGTTGATGGAGCCCCACGAACAATATCAATGCCACAGCCACAGGTCAGTAGGAAGGAAAATGATCACATCAGCCACTTCAGGCATTTGTCAAAGAGGTATCAAATGCTAGGCGGAAGAAATGGGTTAGAACAGAAACGGTGTAACAAAAGTCCTCTTGAGACCTAAGCTAGTCTATGACCTACATAATAGCACACAGTGACCAATACCATCCTAAGACAAGAAAAAGAATAGTATAGTTTTTGAGTTTGGGCATCTTGTATATTGTTTGCTTTCGGTACTGTATTTCTTCTTTGTCACACAATTTGAACTTTAAAATGTCTCCTGTGTACTAAGAGTCATTCATTTAATAACAATAGTCAGCACATACTATGCTTTTTATATTCATAGCACCATGGTTTACAGATATTATCTCACTACAATCCTTTTAGATAGGGGACTGTTTCTGTCCCCATTTTGAGTGAGAAAACTGAGTCACAGTGAGGTTAACTTACCCAAGGTTACACAACTATTCAGTAACAGAACTAGGACTTAAGCCTGGTTAGTTCAGCTAAACGTCAAGGCCTTGACACCACTACATCACGTGGCAGCTTACATTTTCACTGAGCATCCAGTAAGGATGTGGCACTTCAATAGCCTCTGTAGACGGTGTGATGCATAAGACAGAATTGTAAGATTTTTAATGACTAAAAATCAATGTTTTTCTACTTTGCAAAAGCCTATGTAAGTATATGCTTAGCATCTTGCCACATAGCCTTTGATACCATCTGTACTAAAAATTCACAAAACAATGAAAACCACTCACTGGCAGAGAAGAGCTGCTAACAAAACACCTAATACTCAGGGGAGCAAACAAATGGCTCTGCGATGGTTCTCTGGGCAGGAGGCATAGCTTGCTCCAAGCCTGCCTGTCTGTAATGACGATCAGAGAGCTTCCCATGCCTCCTCGTTGAACCTACTCCATCTCCAAGAGACCAACACCAGGAAAGTGGCCTGTTCAGGCCAAGACTCACTCTGTGACGCTCTTGGATTGCCTTTTGCTATAAAGTCTAATGAGAATAACAACAATAACAACACATGTATGTTGCTTAGTGCAGTCCTATACAGCACTGATTTGCTGTAATACTCTGGTCATAGAAACATCTTTTAATTAAAAATATAGAGAGAGACTATAAATCCATTCCAGTAAGGAAGAGTGCAATTATTAGGGTGAAGCATATGAAGTTACCAATATTCAATCTTTTTGGCCTACAAAAATATTTTCTTGTATAGAGTGACTGCAGTAAATAAAGCGCTATCCGAAGCTCTCAGCCCATGAACTGACATCTCATAGGGTGCTTTGTCTCGTCAGGATGAAGTTCAACTCTCTGTGGTTGCTCTTTCTTCCATTATGGAATATTCTAGGGTTTAACGTTGACTCACAAAACAACCACAAAGGGCACACAAGCAACGGTGCCACAGGTGCTGCAGAGGATGGAAGAGGTAGAGGCTGAGGTTGAAGTGCAGCTTGGTGGCCAGTGGCCTTTTCAAGGAAATGTCAAAGAAGCACAGGGGGCACATCAGCTGCCAAGTGGGGAGTGGTGCAAGACCTGTGATATTATGAAGAGCATCATAAGCACCATCATAGCACAGGAAAAACAAAATAAAACAGAACAGAGGCAGCTCACAACTGCAGGAGGTATGACAAGAATGAATGACTGTTGAGGTTGCCTCTTGGTAGGGATTATCCTCCAACAGCTTCATGCTTCCAGAAAGCATTCTCTATGCTAATCAGATATGCATAAAATAATAACGGTAGGCCAACACTTTCTGAGGACTGACGACCAGCAAGGCACTGTGCCAGAGGCTTTGTGCATATGTATTAGTCAGGGTTCTCCAGAGCAGCAGAACCACTAGGATATAAATACAGATTGTGTCTTATTTCAAGGACCTGGTCTATGCCATTGTGACGCTGGCAAGTCCAAAATCCATAGGCAGCCAGCAGGCTGAAGCAGAATTTGAAGCAGAATTTCTTCTTCCCCTGGAAATCTCAGTTCTGCTCTTCAGGCTTTTCAACTGATTGAATGAGGCCAACTCAGATGATAAAGATAGTGTCCTTTACTTAAAGTCAGCTGATTGTAGATGTTAACCACATCTGCAAAATACCTTCAGAGCAACACCTAGATTACTGTTTAATTAAATAACTGGGTACTATGGCAGGTAAAATTAACATCGCAACATGTATGCTCATTTTTTCCTCATTAAAAATACATAAAGTAGTATCATTTTATCCCCACTTTACAGATGAAGAAATGAAGGCTCAAGAAGGTAAAGAACTTGCTCAAGATCACACAGATTATAAGGAAGAGAGCCAAGCTTTAAAACTAGTGTGGCTTCAGAGCCCATGAATTTAACCACTGGGATTATCTGTCTCACCAAGTAGCAAGGAGTTTCTGCTAAGGATGCTCTCATTTGGGAGTTGACTAAGGAAACGCTGGCAAACAGTACAGCCAAGAGAAGGTCAGCCTCAGCTTTTGAACATCAGAGAATCGCAAGCTCTCCATTGTTATAGGCTGCACAGCTCAGTGCCCAGGCAATATATCCAGCCTCCTTCCCAACCATGCCCCTTCCCCTTTCATCCCACCATGCAACAAACACAAGTGAGTGCTCACTAAATTAGCCACTCTATAAATAAAGGGAAGGTTATAACATAGTAGGTACAGGGAGTACCAGCTTGTGTGAAAAAAAATTAGATAAAATTGGATTACATATTAAGACAAAAGTCAGAAGGATAAATAAAAAAAGTCATTATTTCTGCCACTCCAAATAAACTTCTTCCAAAGTTCCAAATTAATCAGAACAGCAGCATTAGCAGGATCTGGGAAAGCTGCCCCCTTGAAGCTGTGACAAAGTGGACATAGAAGAATGTGGGGATAGGGGACTCCAGGGAAAGACAGGTTGGCAGCTACTTAAGATGAGATTTTTCTTTCCTTCACTTAGTTTTCAATCTCTTTAGTTTTTCCTTCCCTCCTGCCCACAAATAGAATAAATGCTTCCACTATCTTAAAAATACCTTGCTTCTAGATAATTATAATAAACATAAATGAACTAAATGCTTTAGAAATGGCAATGTTTGATCAGAGAAAATAGGATTTTAAAACATATTCTGATTCCAAGAGATAAGTCTTGAATATAAGGACATCGAAAGATTGAAAGTAAAAGGGTAGAAAAAGATATTCCTTCCAAACCCTGAGCAACAGATAGTGAATATCAGATAAAGAACACTTCAGGATAAGAAATATTACTAGAGATAAAGAAGGAAATTTCATAGCAATAAAAATTTCTACTTACCAAGAAGATATAAAAAAGCTCTAAATCTGTAAATGTTTAAATACACAATTCAAAATTTGTATGTTCTTCTAAGACAGCAAAAATTAACAAAAGTAAAAGGAGACACAGTTCTCAATAACGTACTGTGGGTTTTAAGACACCTCCATCAGTAACTAACAGAACAGAAACTTACATAAATAGTAAGGTAACAGATGGTTTGTCAACATGATGTAACTGACATATCAGTAAACTGAGTTATTGATTGAATATTGAAATGCACCATGACTATCGCTAGAGATGCTCAACCAAAATAGGAACACATATGCACCCAAACACATTTACAAGAATATTTATAGCAGCATTATTTCTAATTGTCAAAAAGCTGGAAACAACCCAACAGTATCACAGCAGACTGAATAAATGAATTGTGCTTTGAAAAAAACTTTCTTCAACTCTGATTTCCCCCTTCCCACCAAGGTACCAAAACTTTTATTTTCCTATTTGCCAATTTTTAAGTAAAAATTTTTTTAAAAAATAGCTCTATTTCCTCACTTCATCACACTGCTCAATACTCAGCAATATTTTTAGTTAGTCCGCATCTTGCCACAGAAATTGTTCTGGTCAGAGCGGCAGTTACAAAATTCTGTTATTTTGTTTCTTCCTATTCTACTTGGCCTCTCTGTATCATCTGACACTGAGGATCCCTTCCTTTAATTTGAAAATCTCTTCTTTCTTAATGTCTTAATTTACCTCTCTTGGCTTTCTCTCTGTTGCTAAGACCTTAGTTTTCAGTGTCTTCCATAGCCTTTTGTTCCATCATTTCAGGTACGAGGAGTCCTGGTCCCTGCTCATTCTGGGTCGTGGTATTCCATCCCGTGGCTTTGGCACCATCTTTGTACTGAGGCAGTAGGCACCGCGATGTGATTGAAAACAGCCTTTAAAGTCAGACAGAGGACAAGCTAATTCTGCAAATCAGGGTCTCTAAACCCAACCTTTCTCCTGAGCTTTAATCCGAAGGGCACTAAAAATAAACTTGACCCAGGTCAAAACTGTGTTGAGGCCGGGCGGAAGCAGTCGCTCACGCCTGTAATCCCAGCATTCTGGGAGGCTGAGGTGGGCGGATCATGAGATCAGGAGATCAAGACCATCCTGGCCAACAATGGTGAAACCCCGTCTCTACTAAAAATACAAAAATTAGCTGGGCATGGTGGTGCGTGCCTGTATCCCAGCTACTTGGGAGGCTGAGGCAGGTGAATCGCTGGAACCCGGGAGTCAGAGGTTGCAGTGAGCTGAGATCGCACCACTGCACTCCAGCCCGGCGACAGAGCGAGACTCCATCTCAAAAAAAAAAAAAAAACAAAACACACAAAAAAACCTGTGTTGAGAGCCGATTTTACATCCCTCTACATTCATGAATTATTGAAAGCCCATATCCTATTCTCACAATACCAGACCCAGTTCATGTACTTCTCAGATCTGGTTGGCTATGATTTTTCTGCTCAGGGCTATAGGTGACTCTCCAGGGAGATTGCTTGGCACCCAATGGCATTATTGTTGGCACAGAGAGAAGATGTCCATCTTTGCCCACTGAGCTTCGTCCCTGCCCACTCAGGGGAGCTGCTCAGCAGTTGACCCTGCTGCAGCAAGCAGCTAGTCCTGAAGTCCCGTGTAGTTCGAGGAAGGACCAGGCTATGTGTCATGTCGCACCTCCCACCGCAGGGCCCTCACCTCCCACCCTTAAGCTTTCCTGTCAATGCTAAGGTGCAGATGCCAGAGGCCTCCTAAACCACCCAACCCACTGACTTTCCAAGATGGGTATTCAAAGCTGCATGTTGCAGAGAGACAGGTATTTAATGTTTCTGGCTCATGCCCTTTCATTGACTCAATGCCAGCACTCTTGTGGCAAAAATAACCTAGAAATGTAGGTAAGTTGACAATCCAATTGTGCTGGTGGGGGCTGGATTTGGCCAATGGGCAGCAGGAGAAAGGAAGGAGCCAACAGATAGATTATTCTCTCCTCCTCCTCCCAAGAAATTGTGCTGAGACTCACGCTTCCATATGCCCTTCCTGGTGACGTCCTGCATAATTGAGCAACAAGGATGTTTTCCGGTCAAAGTCTAGACAGCTTGGAAATGCAACATCCTGTACTTCTTCTTTTCCTTCACCTCATTTACCTGGTTCCTTCACTTTTGCTTCCCTGGACTGCACTCACTCAATAAAGTTTTAGCACATAACTTTTTGACTGAGGCTCTGTTTTCTGGAGAAATCAGGCTAGAGACACCATTCATCAAGAAAAGGAAAGGGAGATTAAAAGTAAAGATTAAACCTCTTGATTCCCCACTAGGTGCCAGTATTCTTGCTAAGCAACTTACGTTTGCTATCTCTTCTTCACAGAAAACTTTGCAATAGGTATTATTTCCCTCAATACAGTGAGGAACTGAGACTCAGTGAGGCGTTAGTAACTTACCCAAGATGACAGAGCTAAGATGCTGACTTCGGTGCATCTTGCTTCAAAGTCAGCATTCTTCCCACTATTCCTGTCTCTATTATGGAACACAGGGGCTTAGGAATTCAGTGAAGGTTCCATGTGGTAATTCATTGGTGGGGATTTTCAGAAGCTTTAGGCTGACTCAGTGAAGACCCTTTTAAATATCCAAGCAGAGCATGATAATAAAGCCCTAAAATGGCAGGCTGGGCAATCAGTTAAAGTGAAGATTAAGTTACAGTTATTATTTAAAATGTAGATATCATTTTAGGTAGTCATTTCTGAATGGAATCACACTGATGAGCTAACTAAATTAGATCATGAAAGTTACTATTATAAGGACGAGAGCATGAAGGGTTGGGAGACACACAGAGACTCAAGAAGAGAAATGAGGGAAAGAGCCCTCCCCACAAGCCCATCCCTATGCTGCATCCTCAGCATGAAGCCACTTGGCCCCTGGCCCTCTGCTCATCCACCCCATCCAGATCTGTCTGTTCTGCCCATGAAGATCTTTGGGAACAAAAAGTACAAAGTTTTAGCTAGAAAATCAATCTCAAAACAAAATAGAGGGGTCCTGATTGCCAGAGACTAAAATGGAAAGGATTTCTTCATACTGCACAAGATGTAACTGGCAGGGTTCTATGCTTGTGCAGAGGTTTGGGACAGAATTGCACTTTGAAAAATTGGAAAAAGATGGAATTTGGACCCTGTTACGCATCTCAGCATCTCTCCATGTTTTGGATTATGGAATGATCTGTGTCCTCCTGTGGGAGGAGGGAAGTGTATTTTGTGCAATTAAAAAGTCAGGCTATTTGTAGGTCTAATTATTCTCTCTTGCCTGATCAAGTGCTGAAGGATTAGCCCCTTAAAGATGGCTGTTAATCCATAAATGCATAACGACACACACGTGGGTTTGCGAATTTGTAGAGAAAGCATTAATACCTCCTGCCTGATGTAGAAATAGGCAGGTTTCATTTAAACTTGATGAGTGACCCAAAGGGGTCAGGAAACTCCACTGTACCACCGAATGGGTTAGTCCTCTGAGCATGGTTGCCACCAGAGGCTGTGATCTCAAAGAGGCCCTTTCCTTTTCTGCATTTTCCCAGCGAGCTGTTCAATTGCATTGCTGCAATGCCAAAATCTCCTCCCAAAGAATTAGCATTTATCTCTTAAAACATGGAACTCTCTCACCCCCAACCAAAACCTGTTCAAAGAGCTTAAAACAAGACTTAATATGTTCCAAATTTTAATATAAATCACCTGGGGATCTTGTTAAAAAGAACATTCTGATTCAGTAGGCCTGGGTGGGGCCTGAGATTCTGCAAGTCTAACAAGTCCCAGGATATGTCAATACTATTGGCCCACAATAAGCATCTTGAGTAGCAAAGGCTTAGAAGACCATTTGGTTTTTCTTTAGAAATTGTTGAAGATTATTCGGTCCTTAGAAAGCTCCTTTCAAATGCCTCAGTGTTATCTAAAAGCTGTTCTGGGAACCACTGCAGAAATTTTCAACCAGATGGGGCTGAAGTTAGAAACAGTGAGGACATGATGTTTCAGCTTTTCTCTTGGGCCACATTCTAAAACTCAGTGCTGACCTAATGGCTTGCTATCAAAATTAGACATAAAAATGGATTTTACTAACACTACTTACTAACTGTGCTCATCCCTGAGACCACCAGGTTCATCTTATTCAGTCTCAAATTGGCTATTTTCCATCAGGTAGTTTCAATTATTGCATAGGGTAAGAAGATTTAAATGTTAAAGCACATAAACAGAAGTAGTTTAATTGTGCACTTAAATTTTACATTTGATTGAACAGAAGTAATACTTGTTATTCCATCTCTATTTCAGGATTTTCATTTTCTGCTTGGAGAATTCAGTCATTTTAATATCCAAAGAAACTATTGTGGAAAATTCAACTGGTCCAAAGTATGTTTAACTGTCTAGAACAGATGGGGGAAAGGGGTATTTTTCCAGATGCTTTAGAAATGTTTAATATGTATTTCCTCTTACTCAAAAAGCACAGCTACACATTATCTTATGCAGAGAAATGCCTTATTTGGAGAAAAATAAATATAAACATTATGGTTATGTATAAACTATGCCAATTCTTGGACTTATCCCTTATTGTTATTTTTGAAAACCACCTGCCTGGATTAAATCTTTGCCACCTGTATTTCAGGAACATCTTCTGGTTAGTGTCTCTGTCTCTAGGTGCTAGCGATTCTAAACAGATATCTATTCCAAAACGTATTTGCCAAAACAGTCTCCTTAACTTAAGGAGATTAAGACCTTAAAAATCATTTACCGTATTCTCCTGCTTCTTTGCTTCAAGCCATTTGCTCAAAACAAAATTCTGGAAAGTGGCATCAGCAACATGAAGAAATAGTTTCTCATGGCTATCCCTCCTCCCACAGATGCACCAAATAAACACCTATACATGGATCAGTTCCCTCCAAGAGAAAGCCAGAAACTAGTTGAAAGACTCCTGAACACCAAACAACTGAGAAAGTATCCACATTGAAACAGGCATGAAGAGTGGAGATATACTCATCCACAAACCCCATCTTCAGCACAGCTCCTTACAATCAGGAATGAATCCTCAACTCCCAGCTTCTCCCTGAAGAGTGAAGGGTTCGCATCATGCATACAGCATCCGATCTTTTACAACCCTGCTGGAGGGTTTGGCTCTAAAATTGTTAACAGTAGTGGATGTCCTGGTTCTTGGCGTCTTGAAGAATTGGACAAAACACACAAAGCAAGGAAGGGACGAAGGGATTTACTGAAAATGAAAGTACACTCCACAATGTGGGAGCAGGTCAAAGCATAGGGGCTCGAAGGCCCTGTTACAGAGTTTTTGCGAGCTTAAATACCCTCTACTTGGGGTACGCTCTATGTAAGTGAAGAGGATGAAGTAAAGTTACAAAGTCATTTACTCGGCGTATGCTCTATGGAGAGGATATTTCCTGTCATAGCTGAAGTATGAATCGGCCTTATGTTCCCTGCCTCCACACCCTACTTTACTGCCTCTTCTCCCCACTGAGAGATGTGATCCCCATAAATCTTTATGGGAGGCAGAAGGACCAATGTTCTTTTTTCTGTAACTGCTTCATGCTGGCTCCAAGTGTAGTCCCTACCTATTGGGGATCATGGAACTCTCACCCTGCTCCAACTCGTGGAGGCAGGGTAGCTTCCTGATGGCCAGTGGTGGTGTCTTCACCTGGAACTGGCTGGAACTTTTGTTACACGATCATAAGTTTGATGGTCTCTAGGCGAAAGGAAATGAATTTGGTTAACAGACTTAATGGGAACTTCAGGGGGTGGATATCTATGCTATCAGAAATGTTTGTTATAGAGATCTGCAGGAGGAAAAACAAAACCTGGTCTGTTCTAGAATCTATGTGTTTCCTTAAAGTCTTAGCACAAGCGACTCCATTTTGGTTTGGTTTGGTTTGGTTTGTTGGGGCCTAGTACATGAGCTCAGTCCAAAACAATGGACTCTCAGAATTTTGTTTAAAAAAATTCCCTCTTTTTGGTCAAATTCTCACTTAGGTAAGAGTGTGACCAAAACATAGGGCCTTAGCGCCACTCTCAGTTACCATCATTTTGGGTTTCCCATCTCAGCACATCATTCATAGGTTACGGTGTCCTCATGGTTGCACATTTCTTTCAGCTCTTCTCATTCCAGTTGAAGAGAGACCATATGACATTCTAGAGATGGCTGCATGCAAGTATTTAAAACCCTTGAGAGAATACAGGGCACCAGGGAGGCTATTATTATGACTATCAGGAGGATAATACCAAGAGTTTGGAATATGCTCCTTACCCATGGTCCCCATAAACTAAACCTCCTAAAATCAAATAGGTCAAAGAATGAGCTAGATAAAGAGCTTACCCACTTGACGAAGCATTTTCTTCGTCAGTGCCCTACCACTGAATTTCTATAATCTTCATTTGATGTATTTCTCCATAGGCCACAAATGCCAGCAGCTTCACAGACACTTCTCTGTTTAGCCAATTCTATCATAACTCTCAGAAGAGAATTTAGATTCTATTGTGTAACTGTAGCCTTTATGGTAGAATTTGTTATAGAAGCTATCATGAGGGATACATTTCTAATCATTGCTTCTTTTACTTTAAACCATGGAAAACGGACCTAACAAATGATGGACTTTTAGAAGAGTGAAGGCCTTCCGTCAATATTCTCTTTAATCCATGATATGGGTTAAGAGGAGTGAACCAGTGTTTTGTTTTTGACTGATTATGAGGCAACGCATGTAGCATTAAAGTTTCTTACCTACATTGGGCCTTCATCTTTTATCTATCAAAGTAGAAAGTTATCCATGTATAAGGCTGACTGCAAACTCCTTCACAAATAAAAGTATATCCCATAAGTGCACATAACAGATCCCTTTTCCACTTCTATTGTTCGTAGAGGCATAAGCAAGAAAAAATATTCAAAGATAAGAGTTTTGTGACAGTAGAAGTCTTAATCTGTGAACTTGGGAAAAGCTGTTCACATCAAGGATGCCATCTTCTTCTTGGGAAAAATTTCTGTGGTCAGTTTTAACCTAAGCGTTCCAGTGGGTGCACAGCTCCAAGAGCATGGAGGTGCCCTTCTCAGTTGTGAGATTATGAACTCAAAGTTCAAGGTCCCAAAGTTTTGTTGTAGTGTGGATGGCAAGGATAGTCTTTCTGTGATGTTTCCAGAAGATTCAAACCATAAAATTTGAATTCCTAAACTACTTTTTTCGGGCCTGCAGGAAGTAATGGAGCAAACCAGCTCCCAGCACTGTGGGAGGCCAAGGCAGGTGGATCACCTGAGGTCAGGAGTTCGAGACCAGGCAGGCCAACATGGAGAAACCCCATTTCTACTAAATAAAAAAATTAGCCAGGCACGGTGGCAGGTGCCTGTAATCCCAGCTACTTGGGAGGCTGCAGCAGGAAACTAGCTTGAACCCAGGAGGCAGAGTTTGCGTGGGCCGAGATCACACCACTGCACTCTAGCCTGGGCGACGGAGCGAGACTCTGTCTCAAAAAAAATAAAAATAAAAAAAAGTTTAAAAAAAAAGCTTTCTTTACATAGTGAAAATACATTGTAGCATAATAATCTACTGTTATAACATCAGTCCTCTGGCATAGGAAAGCTTTTATACAACCAGAAAACATGCCTTGAAAATAACAATTGAATGAAATCCCTTTATAAATGTTTAAATGGCCGACCAGGTGACCAAATGTACCTGAAGCTTTAATTATTTTCTCAGGAATATGGGATCAAGCATTGGTTATAAGCTATTTTAAACAATTTAAGTATTAGCTGGTTTAACATGAAATTAATATTAATTAATTATATTTAATTTTTTGTTTTACTTGTATCAGTAGCTTTATACAATTTTAGAATCTGTATTAGTATTATTCACAAAAATACAACCTAAAGAAGATTAAACATCATTTTGGCAATCCCATGTATGTAAACATGTCAAATAATCCTGCTTACCTCTTTTCTGGATGTTTTCAGGCATCAGGAAAGACAATTTTTAAACTGAAGTTTGATTTTGGGGTTCCACATTACCGTAAATTATTTATTTGCCAAAATGATGACTCAGAAGTTTTAAAGAAGCAAAAACCTTTTATATCCTTTTACAAAAAAAACTCCATATTCTACTGTTCTTACACATCTTGCATGTAAAACTGTTTCTAGTAGTCTTAATTGCATGTTACAATAGCGACTCCTAGCAATTTTAACTTTAATGTAAAACCTGGTAAGTTATATTCTGATAAGGTTTGACTATTTCCAGCACAGCTAGGGGCGTGGCCAACTCCACATGTCCCCAGGCCTTACTTAGCTGGAAAGCAGGCAAGTTAAACAATTTTCAAAAGCCAAAGAAGCAGCTTATGGCATTAAAGCATTTAGCAAACCTGACAGTTGAACATAATTTAGACCATGTTTACATTTTGAAGACAATTGTTTTACTAACAATCTTTAAAACCGTCTTTATTTCCCAAAGATTACTCAAGTCACATGAACTAAATAAAAGGCATTACGTTTTTCACTTTTCTGACAAAATATTTGATTTAAGTTCTTCTTATTATTAAACCAATTAACTTAAAACTTCACAAAGGAGATTAACCAGTTTGCATAGAGAGAAAGAGGCCCAAGACTGACTGGTAAGAAATTCTTACCCTTATGCCTGCGTGCCAGGTGTCTGGGTTCTCTCTCCCTGAGCGACCCTGGCGACCCTGCTTGAATGTATGCAAAAGAACACATGAATTAAGAATATTCATGAATAGTTTACAAATATTGGAGAAGTTAGGCAGAGAGAGAAATATGACTCAAATTCTATTTGTGAGAGTATACTTAACACAAAGTACCAGGAAGGCTAAAATCCAAGGTTAGTTTAAGGATAAAAAGCTGGCGTGTTCCATTAATTCTTGCAGGCCTGACAAAAGTAGTTTAGGAATTCCAGATAAATGGAACGGAAGATGACTTGCTAGAAGTGCATAGGAAGCAAAACAACTATTCACATAACGAAATAAAAACCAAACTAAAATAATAAAATCATGATTTTATATATATGGATACACAAGCAAAATCAGAGGAGAATAAAGAGCAAAGGAATGAAAACTAGAGCAAAAACAAATAAACAGGAAACCAACCCTAAATTTTCATACTCAATTTTCCCTAGCCAACAGTGTTTCCTAGGGCCCCAGAAAACCCACATAATGAATATTTTATTCCTGATACTCAATTCAACATCCCCAAGTTCACCAACGCCATCATACATCCTGTGCAATTAAGTAATTCACTTAAGGCACACGACCAATAACCACACTATCCACGTACGGCAGTAAACATAGTGTGAAGTAATGCAAGCATATATGTGACATTTGGTTCTGTGATAAATCCAGCTTCATGCTTAACTATGTTAAAAAAAGAATTGTCAAATTGCCCATGCATTTTTACAATACTTCTTACTTTAATGAAGACTAAAAGCTTTAACTATGAAAATGTTAATTAGCCAAATGCTTCCAATTCTTTATCAGGTTTTAAGGAATATTCTATAGTTTAAACTTTTCCACATCTTTCACCTCTACTTAATGGTTCCTTACTATATTGTTTCATAAATAACTTTTTCTTTCTTTTCTTTTCTTTTTTTTTTTTTTTTTAATTGAGAGATAGCCTTGCTCTGTCACCCAGGCTAGAGTGCAGTGGCACAATCTAGGCTCACTGCAACCTCTGCCTCCTGGGTTCAAGCGATTCTCCCACCTCAGCCTTCTGAGTAGCTGGGATTACAGGCACGTGCCACCACGCCCAGTTAATTTTTGTATTTTTAGTAGAGATGGGGTTTCTCAATGTTGGCTAGGCTGTCTCGAACTCCTGGCCTCAAGTGATCTGCCCACCTCGGCTTCCCAAAGTACTGGGATTACAGGCATGAGCCAACATGCCCGACCCATAAATAACCTTTTCAAGTCTGTAATTTGAACTAACTTTTAGATAACATCTGAATTAGACATCTATAGACAAGAATTATTTTGCATTGCTATGAGTTATCTACCATTTACAGAGTTTGAAAATAGCTTCAAGATATTGAAAGGTGCAGAACTCCCACAGACTCAGAATCAAATTACCCCTTGAGAGATAATGCTCTAGTTTTCCACTGAAACATAATATTTTCCTATGGTCTGGGGAAGTTAGGAAATAGATGAGGCTGCATATGTTGAAGGGTATCAGATTGCAGAGACCTTAATGCCAGTGGGATGTGGTTTTAACCTATACATACTAGCATCAAAATGATCAAAGTGGCTTGACATTACCTTGAGGAGACAGTATTCATGAAAGGAGTAATGAAGAGCCCCTGGAAAGCTGGAGGCATTTTGGAAGCTTAGCACTGATAAAGATTTGAGGCTAAAAAGGTCTGAACTAAAATTGAGGTAGTGAGACTCACAAGAAAGGATAATTATAAATATAATTATGTAAGAAGAATCAATATTGGTTGAGGGAAACAGAAACAAAAGGTAACCGTAGTTTTAAACATGATTTGAAGCTATTTCCTTTGAATTCAACGAACAATGAGTATCTGAAGTATACTAGGATTGTGCAAGGTGCTGGAATTACAACAATGAGAAAGATTTTTTTAAAAAAAATTCAAATTATACTTCTACAGAAAACCATCAGACCATAAAGAAAGACTCCAAGAAAGAAAGAAAAACAAAAGAACAAAGAATCTATAAAACAATTGATAAAGTAACAGTAGTAAGTCCTTAGTTATCAGTAATAACTTTGGATGTAAATGGATTAAATTCTCCAATCAAAAGACATAGGGTGGCAGAAAGGATTTTTTAAAAAACCTAACTATCTGCTGCCTACAAGAGGCTCATTTCACCTTTAAGTAAACACACAGATTGTAAGTGAAAGGATGGAAAAACACATTCTGTGCAAATGGAAATCAAAAGAGAGCAAAGGTAGGTATACTTACATCAGACAATATAGACTGTAAATAAAAAACTATACAAAGAGACAATGAAGGTCATTATATAACAAAAAGAAGTCAATTAATCAAGAGGATGTAACAATTATAAATACATATGCACTCAATATCAAAGCACCTAAATATATAAAGCAAATATCGAAGGATCTGAAAGGAGAAACAGAATGTAATGCAATAATAATATGGAAGTTTAGTAACCCACTTTTGACATGGACAGATTTTTCAGCAGAAAATAAGTAAGAAAATATTGGACTTTAACTATACTTTACAGCAAAAGAACCTCATGACATATACAGAATATTTCATCTAACAGCAACAGATTACATATTCTTCTCAAGTGTACATGGAATATTCTCTTGGATAGAGCATATGTTAGGCCAAAAAACAAGTCTTAACAAAATTAAAGAGATTAAAATTATATCAAGTATTTTTTCCCAATCATGGTGGAATAAAACTGGAAATCAACAACAGAAGAAACTTCTGAAAATGTGCAAATAAATGGAAATTAAGCAATATACTTCTTAACAACCAATGTGTTAAGAAAGAGATTAAAAGGGAAATTTTAAAATACCTTGAGACAGACAAACAAAAATGAAAACCAGGCATACCAAAACTTATGGGATGCAGCACAAGCAGTTCAAAGAGAAAATTTTATTCCAATAAGAACCTTCATCAAAAAAGACAAAGATATCAATAAAAACTTAATGTTATACCTCAAGGAACTAGATAAAGAATAATAAACTAAGCTCAAATTTAGCAGAAGGAAGGAAATAACAAAGATAGGAGCAGAAGTAAATGTGAAAGAGAGACTATAAAAACAATAGAAAAGACAGATAAACAAAATTGATAAGCCATTAATTACGCTGAATAAGAAAAAACGAGAAAAGATTCAAATAAGTAAAATCAGAAATGTAAGAGGAAACATGGTACAACTGATACCACAAAAGTACAAGGGTTATAAAATGATAAAATAAAGAATTATATGCCAACAAATTAGATAGCCTAGAAGAAATGGATAAATTCCTAGAAATATAATTGACGAAAACTGAGTTATGAAGGAATAGAAAATCCAAACACACCAATAGTAAGTAAGAAAATTGAATCAGTAATAAAATGTCTTCCATCAAAGAAATACCCAGGACCAGAAGTCTTCACAGGTGAATTCTACCAAACACTTAAAGAACTAGTACCAATTCTCAAACTCTTCCAAACAATCAAAGATGGGGAAACTTTCAAACTCATTTTATGAGGACAGAAATTACCCTGATACCAAAGCCAGACAAAGACACTACAAGAAAATAAAATTACAGGCCAATATCCCTGATTAGTATAGATGCTAAAATCCTCAACAAAGTACTAGCAACCCAAATTCAACAGCATTTATAGGATCATTCACCAAGGCCAAGAAGGATTTACCCCAAGAATGCAAGGATGGTTCAACATATGCAAATTAATAAATGTGATTTACTATATTAACAGAATAAAAGACAAAAAACATATATATGATCATCTCAATAAATGAAGAAAAACATATGACAAAATTCAACATCCTTTCATGATTGAAAAAAAAATACCCAAAAAAAAGATATAGAAAGAATGTTACTCAACACAATAAAGGTCATACATGACAAGCCCACAGCTAACATCATACTCAATGGTGAAGAGTTGAAAGCTTTTCCTTTAAGATCAGGGACAATACAAATTCCCACTCTCTCCACTTCTATTCAACATACTATTGGAAGTCTTAGCCAGAGTAATTAGGCAAGAAAAAAATCAATAAAAGGCATTTTGAAATAGGAGACAGAAAATAAATTGTCTCTGTTTGCTGATAACATTATCTTATAGATAGAAAAGCCTCCACCAAAAACACATGAGAACTGATAAATACATTTAGTAAAGTTGCAGGATATGAATCAACAAAAACTGATCAGTAGTATTTCTATGGTAATAATAACTACCCCTAAAATTAAGAAAACAATCCCATTTATGATAGCATAAAAAATACAGTCAGCACCTTATATCCATAGACTCCACATCTGCAGATTCAACCAATCATGAGTTGAAAATACAGTTAGGCCTATGATGGTTGCATCTGTACTAAATATGTACAAATGTCTTTTCTTGTATTATTCCCTAAATAATAACATATAACATGGCATTTACGTTGTATTAGGTATTATAAATAATCCAGAAATGATTTAAAATACATACTTATATGCAGCAATTTTAAGATAGGGCAATAGAAACAATCTAAACTGAAACACAGAGAAGAAAGCCTTCAAGAAAATAGAAAGCACTAGTTAACTATGTATCACATTTCAAGGGTCTAATACTAGTGTAACTGAAATCCTTAAAAAAGAGGAGACTGGAGGAAAATATAAATACTTGAAGAAATAATAGTTAACAAAAAAACTTCCAAATTTGATGAATGTATAAACTCCTACAACCAAGAAACACAATGAACATCAACTTTCTCAGAAACAATGATAAAGAGAAAAAAACCTTAAACTCAGTGAAAGAAAAAGGAAGATTCATTAGGTAAGATAAACTAAGGATAACAGCAGTTTCTTATTGGAAACAAAGCAAGCAAGAAGATAGTGGATAGCATTCTAAAAGTCCTGAAAGAAAAAGTATTACAGCACTTCTCTATTAATTCCTGTTCTGTTTCAAGTAGGCTGAGACCTGTGGGTAGGGCATGCTGTGGGTGATTTGGGCACTAATCTAGAAACTTCTCAGGACGCTGCATTCTTCCAGTCCTCAGCACTGCATCCAGTCCCATCTTCCTAAAGTGCAGAACTGACCTTATCCCTTCCCTGCTTAAAACATTGCCCTGGAGCAGAGTGGGTTTAGAGTCTTGCCCCACTTCCTGTCTGGGAGATTGAAGGCAGGTGACTTCTGAGCCTATTTTCTACTCTACCTTGGGCCAGTGATACAGCCTGTTTGTGCCTCAGTCCCCTCACATGCAAAATTAGATGATGGTAGCTCCTACCTCATTGGGCTGTAAGAAATAGATGATAAGGGAAAAGGCTAAGAAGTAGGATAGCTGTATTAGTTCATTCTTGCATTGCTGTAATGAAATACCTGAGACTGGGTAATTTAAAAAGGAAATAGATTTAATTGGCTCACCGTTCTGCAGCCTATAAAGGAAGCATAAACGGAAGTATAGCAGCTTCTGTTTCTGTGGAGGCCTCAGGAAGCTTCCAATCATGGTAGAAGGCAAAGTGAGAGCAAGCTTCTTATGTGGTGGAAGCAGGAGCAAGGCGGGGCAGGGGGTGCTACACACTTTTAAACCACCAAATCTCATGAGAACTTACTGTCACAAGGACAGTACTGAGGAGATGGTGCCAAACCAGTGGCAAGAAACCATACCTATGACCCAATCACCTCCCACCAGGCCCCATTTCCAACATTGGAGATTACAATTTGACATGAGATTTGGGTGGGGACACAGACTCAAACCATATCACTAGCCTGTAGTGAGCTCAAAAAATAGCTATGCTATTAAAAAAAAAGAAAATTATTATATAACAATACATAAACAAGGAAAACATCTTTTGAAATTCTGGCAAAATAATTCATTTTTCAGATATACAAAAGCTGAAAAATTTATCACCAGTAAGAAAGGAGTGTTAAAGAAGTCCTCCAGGACACAAACAAATGGAAGAACATTCCATGTTCATGGATAGGAAGAATCAATATCGTGAAAATTGCCATACTGCCCAAGGTAATTTATAGATTCAATGCCATCCCCATCAAGCTACCAATGACTTTTTTCTCAGAATTGGAAAAAACTACTTTAAAGTTCATATGGAACCAAAAAAGAGCCTGCATTGTCAAGTTAATCCTAAGCCAAAAGAACAAAGCTGGAGGCATCACGCTACTTGACTTCAAACTACACTACAAGGCTACAGTAACCAAAACAGCATGGTACTGGTACCAAAACAGAGATATAGACAAATGGAACAGAACAGAGCCCTCAGAAATAATACCACACATCTATAACCATCTGATCTTTGACAAACCTGACAAAAACAAGAAACAGGGAAAGGATTACCTATTTAACAAATGGTGCTGGGAAAACTAGCTAGCCATATGTAGAAAGCTGAAACTGGATCCTTTCCCTACACCTTATACAAAAATTAATTCAAGATGGATTAAAGACTTAAATGTTAGACCTAAAACCATAAAAACCTTAGAAGAAAACCTAGGCAATACCATTCAGGACATAGGCATGGGCAAGGACTTCATCTCTAAAACACCAAAAGCAATGGCAACAAAAGCCAAAATTGACAAATGGGATCTAATTAAACTAAAGAGCTTCTCCACAGCAAAAGAAACTACCATCAGAGTGAACAGGCAACCTACAAAATGGGAGAAAATTTTTTCAATCTACTCATCTGACAAAAGGCTAATATCCAGAATCTACAAAGAACTCAAACAAATTTACAAGACAAAAACAAACAACCCCATCAACAAGTGGGCAAAGCATATGAACAGACACTTCTCAAAAGAAGACATTTATGCAGCCAACAGACACCTGAAAAAATGCTCATCATCACTGGCCATCAGAGAAATGCAAATCAAAACCACAATGAGATATCATCTAACACCAGTTAGAATGGCGATCATCAAAATGTCAGGAAACAACAGGTGCTGGAGAGGATGTGGAGAAATAGAAACACTTTTACACTGTTGGTGGGACTGTAAACTAGTTCAACCATTGTGGAAGACAGTGTGGTGATTCCTCAAGAATCTAGAACTAGAAATACCATTTGACCCAGCCATCCCATTACTGGGTATACACCCAAAGGAATGTAAATCATGCTGCTATAAAGACACATGCACACGTATGTTTATTGCGGCACTACTCATAATAGCAAAGACTTGGAATCAACCCAAATGTCCAACAATGATAGGCTGGATTAGGAAAATGTGGCACATATACACCATGGAATACTATGCAGCCATAAAATATGATGAGATCATGTCCTTTGTAGGGACATGGATGAAGCTGGAAACCATCATTCTCAGCAAACTATCGCAAGGACAAAAAACCAAACACTGCATGTTCTCACTCATAGGTGAGAACTGAACAATGAGAACACTTGGACACAGGAAGGGGAACACCACACACCGGGGCCTGTTGTGGGGTAGGGGGAGGGGGGAGGGATAGCATTGGGAGACATACCTAATGTAAATGACGAGTTAACCGGTGCAGCACACCAACATGGCACATGTATACATATGTAACAAACCTGCACATTGTGCACATGTACCCTAGAACTTAAAGTATAATAAAAATATATATATATATATATATAAAAAGAAAAAGCCACACCCACAAAAAAAAAGTCCTCCAGGCACAAGATAACTGATCAAAAGAGGAAAATATAGATATAAAAAGAAAAGAGAACATCAGTTATGTAACTTTTAGTTATTTAATATCTTTTGAAGATCGTTCTTTATACCTAACAGATAATAGGTATAAAAGAGGATCCAATCGTACGCTACCATTCAAGACTACATACGTGTGTGTGTGTGTGTGTGTGTGTGTATACAGTCATGTGTCACTTAACATAGATACTTTCTGAGAAATGCATCACTAGGCAATTTCATCACTGTATGAATACAACATGGTATACTTACACAAACCTAGATGGTATAGTATATTACACACCTAGGCTCTATGGTGTAGCCTATTGCTTCTAGGCTACAAACCTGTACAGCATGTTACTGTACTGAATACTATAGGCCGGGGTCCCCAACCCCCAGGCCACGGACTGGTACTGGGCTGTAGTCTGTTAGGAACCAGGCCACACAGCAGGAGGAGGCATTAAATTCTCATAGGAGTGTGAACCCTATTGTGAACTGCGCATGTGAGGGACCTAAGTTGAGTGCTCCCTATGAGAATCTAAAGCCTGATGACCTGAGGTGGAGCTGAGACACTGATGCTAGCACTGGGGAGCAGCTGCAAACGTAGATTAATATCAGCAGAGAGGTTTGACTGCACAGAGATATAATCAATCAATTGCTTGCAGACTCATATCAAAACCCATCAGTGAGTGGCAAGTGACAATTAAGCTGCATCTGGTGGGAGTCTTTAAGTCAGAATCTGACATTTATTTTAGTCCATGAGTGGCCTGACCATTATTTTATTTACCACTTTCATCCGTGCCTCTTTCCCACACCATATACTTGTCTCAGTCACAGTTTTGGTAGGCCCACAAGCTAATCCTAGCCAAAATGAGTAATAAACAAATGTCACTGTAGAGCTTATTTGAAAGGGGGAATAAACTCAAATGATGAGACAGCAGAAGACTCTAAGGCTGCCAACAAAAAGAAAGTTGCATTTTAAAGAAAATACCAAGACTTCTACTTAAATTACAGGTTCATCACAACAGATGATTTACATTCTCCAAGCCCACTTTGTATTATATGTGGCTACCGGCTACTCAACAAAGCCATAAAACCTTCAAAACTGCTTCACCACATGGAGACAAAGCAACCTGCATTAAAAGACAAGTGCTTGGAGCTTTTCAAAAGAAAACACGTAGCCACAAAGAACAGAAGTAATTGTTGAAGGCACCACTTCATCAAATGTGTCTGCACTCAGAGCATCATTCTTGTGGCTAACCACATTGCTAAAGCTAAGAAGTCCTTCGCTACTGGTGAAGAGTTGATCTTGCCTGCTACTTAGGATATTTGTCATGAACTTTTAGGAGAGGCTACAGTTCAAAAGGTGGCACCGTAACTAGATGAATTGATGAAATACCAAAGGATATTGAGGCACAATTGTTAGAGAGGATCAGTGAGTCACCATGGTACGCAATCCAGGTTGATAAGTCTACCAATGTTAAAAACGAGGCAAAAATGTTTGTTTTTGTGCAATATATTTTTCAGTAGGATGTGCATGAGGGTAAGTTATGTGCACTTGTGTTGTTAACCAGCACCACAGCTACAGAACTATTCAAATCTTTGAATGATCACATATCAGGAAATCTGAATTGGTCATTTTGTGTTGGTACATGCATGGGCAGCTTTCTGTTCACTACTCAGGTCAAAGAGGTCCCTTCTGAGTGTGAGTCTATGCACTGTGTCATCCGTGGAGAAATGCTGGCTAGCCAAAAATGTGACCTGAACTTAACGTTTTGCAGGATGTGATTAAAATTATCAATCACATTAAAGTACATGCCCTTGTCTGGGTGTGGTGGCTCATGCCGGTAATCCCAGCACTTTGGGAGGCCAAGGCAGGCAGATCACTTGAAGTCAGGAGTTCAAGACCAGCCTGGTCAACATGGTGAAACCCCCATCTCTATTAAGAATACAAAAATTAGCCAGGCATGGTGGCAGATGCCTGTAATCCCACCTACTCAGGAGGCCGAGGCAGGAGAATCACTTGCACCCGGCAGGCAGAGGTTGCAGTGAGCCAAGTGTCACTGCACTCCAGCCTGGGCGACACAGCAAAACTCTATCTCAAAAAAAATTAAAATAAAAAAAAGGTTCATGGCCTTAACTCAGATCTGTTCACACAGTTTTGTGGTGAAGAGATGGGCACAGAGCACACACGTCTTCTCTCGTATACAAAAGTGAGATGGCTTTCTAAGGGTAGATCACCAGCCAGCGTTTTTGAGTTACCAGAGGTGCTCCAGACAGTTCTTTCAGAAACAGTCACCACTGGCAGTAGATTTCAGTGACACAGAATGGGCCACAAAACTTGCTTACTTGTGTGATATATTCAACCTTCTCAATGAACTCAATCTGTCACTTCAGGGGAGAAGAATAGTTGTGTTCAAGTCAGCAGATAAAGTGGCTGCATTCAAAGCCAAACTGGAATCATGGGAGTGATGAGTAAATTTTGGGAGTTTTGACATGTTTCAATCATTAGCAGAGATTTCGAAAGAGACTGAGCCAGGGTATTCTTTCTCCCAGCTGGTGCATGATCACCTAGCTCATCTTTCAAAAGAGTTTGAGCATTACTTCCCAACCACAAAAGACCTCCAAACTGGGAGGGAATGGATCCATGACCCATTGGTGAATAAGCCAAGAGAATTGACTTAGTCTTTGATAGAAGAAAATCAACTGCTTGAGATCATAAATGACAGCTGTCCTAAAAGTATGTTTGAGACAACTTCAAATCTCCATACGTTCTGGATCAAAGTCAAGGCAGAATATCCCGAGACTGCCACAAAAGTACTGAGAAGCCTGCTTCCATTTCCAACATCCTATCTTTGTGAAGCAAAGTGTTCTGCAGTGACAGCAACCAAAACAAGATTATGAAGTAGACTGGACATAAGCAACACACTTCAGGTGTCACTCCCAGATGGGACATCTGGATGGGACATCACTCCCAGATGGGACATCACTCCCAGATGGGACAGCCTAGTTGCAGGAAAACAAGCTCGGGGCTTCCAATGATTTTATATTATGATGAGTTGTATAATTATTTCATTATATATTATAATATAATAATAAAGAAATAAAGTACAATATATAATAGTATAATAATAAAGAATAATAAAGAAATAAATGTAATGTGCTAGAATCATCCCAAAAACATTCCCACCCCCGCCCCGGTCCATGGAAAAATTGTCTTCCGAAAACAGTCCCTGGTGCCAAAAAGGATGGGGACCACTGCTATAAGCAGTTGTAACACAATGATAAATACTTAGGTATCTAAACATAGGAAAGGTAATACATTGCGCCATGATGGCTACGACATAGGAATTTTTCAGCTCCATTATAATTTTATGGGATCACCGTTGTGAATGCAGTGCATTGTTAACCAAAATGTCATTATGTGTTATATGACTGTATATATAATCTCGACTTTTATTTGTACCAATATATACAATGGGAAAAGTTGTACCATGCAAATACCAGTTAGAAAAAAAAACTATTGTAATGATATTAATAACATAATACAAAGTATATTTTAGAGCAAAGAATATTACCAAAGATGAAGTTTCATAGAGATAAAATAGTCAAGGCATGAAGAGGACATAAAAAATTATAATTATTTGAAATAAAAGCATAAGAAGGAGGTCTTAAGACACTTATGTGCCCTTTAGTAAAATGATTATAAAAGGTTTGTAGTAATTTCACCTCATGTTCATGTTGGTTAGAATTAGATGGAATGACCTACAAGGTTTCATTTAAACAAATTAGGGTTAACATTAACAAACTAATACAAGGGTAAAATTTGGCTTTAAACAGGATTTTGATGTCATAATAAAGGCTAATAAAAGATTTTTGCCTTTTGAGTCATCATTTCTGCAAAATAATTTATGGCACATGAGATTGCCAAAATGATGTCCAATCTTCTTTAAGTTACATTTTGGTGAATAATACTAATATGTGTTCAAAATTGTATGAGATTTCTAAAATTCTGGTGTCTAAGTATATGCTATCATCATAATTAATGGTAAAGTTATTGTAAACCACAGAGATAAACAAACCTCTTTGTCAGTCATGTTTTTAACTGTAACTATCCTGGAAATGTTGCCATTTGCAGACAATTGTTGTCTTGCTTTGTTCCTTCTCAAAAGATGGTTTATAATCAAGCTATATTAAAGACTTTAACAGTTGTTCTCAAATACAGGTTGTTAATAGCTTTGAGGATTGTAACATTGGAATAGAGAAATAAGGTACGAGACTCATAAAGAACTAACATGTTCACAAATACCAAGCAAAACAAGAGTTAACTAAATGTACTACACTCAGAAAGTTAAAGCAAACTTTTTAACTTTTGCTTGGAATATTGCTAATCCTTGTTTTGTTTTTCAGAGTGAAGGAAACTTAGTTTAAACTCTTTATGGCCTTTAATAATTGAGTAAGGTATATTCCTATGAACAAAATTTGGAGCATGTTTTTTCTTCTCTGCCTGGTTCCCCTAAAATTAACTATCTGGGAAGACTCTTAACTTATGGCAATATAATTGTTTGCATCAGTGCAATAAGAATCCATTTTTCTTTGTCAACAGGTCACAACTGTTACCAAGGCTTTGACTGAAAGGGTGTGTTTCCTTTTAAGGAATCAGGTTTGACATGCAGAGCCAATAAAATCTCCTTGGGAACAGCTGGCCTTATACCTTGTCTACACAGTCCCTGCACAGGGTTCCTAACCTGTGGTCAGTAAAGAATGTCACTTTCTAACAGGTCTGGAAGCTCCAAGTTTATCTTGGGACCTCAAGAGGAGAGGATCACCCAACTCACAGGTATTAGAGGATACAAACCCATGGCTGGGCTCAGCTTTAAAAGTCTTATTTGAAATTCCTTGTGGAACAGAGTTTCATCAAAGCCAATCCAAAAGGCCTGTGTAAAAATAACCATTCTTGCTGCACTTTATGCAAATAATCAGGCCAAGTATAAGACAAAAGTTTACTCATAATTAGTTTTTACCAAAAGTGAGGACTGGAGAGAAAAATTTTTTGCTGCAAATCTTATCATACATTTGTCATTACATCCTAGTCTCTTTAATTATTTTTAAGCTTTTTGCCTACATTTTAGAGTAACCCTGCTTATTCCTGTGAATCAAGTGGTGATCAGCTTGGGGAAAAAAAAGGGATGGGTAACGTAAAAATGTGAATCAATATGCTGGTTCTGGGCAATTATCCTGCAAATTCTGCCAGGTAATGAAAGTGAGAAAGGTGCCCATAACCCAGGGGTTGGTTTGTTTGTTTTGGGAAAATAAAACCAAGAAACTTCATAGATTCCCAACGGGGAATTCTATATCTTGGCAAGTAAAATTTTAGACAGAAATTATCTACCACACCACACTTGTGGGAACTGCTATGCTCACTCTACTATTTGCAGTGGGGTTATACATGGTTACACCTTCTAACTGAAATATTGGACAGAGAGTTTCCATTGCAGTACTATTTTGCTTAATTATTAGCCTTATAGCAGGGATAATAGTTGACAAAAAAAAAAGCATGAAAGTTTTACTATGACTGAGTCTGCTAGGACTTTTTATTAAGTTTAGTGATGCACTTTTAAACAAAACATGCTGTTTTTAAATTAACACCTCCAGTCAAGTAGAGGTACTTAAAGATCAAATAAAAATTATTGCCGGGCTCGGTGGCTCACGTCTGTAATCCCAGCACTTTGGGAGGCCCAGGCGAGCGGATCAGGAGGTCAGGAGACCAAGAGCATCCTGGCTAACACGGTGAGACCCTGTCTCTACTAAAAGTACAAAAAAAAAAAAAAATTAGCCAGGTGTGGTGGCGGGCGCCTGTAGTCCCAGCTACTCGGGAGGCTGAGGCAGGAGCATGGCATGAACCTGGGAGGAAGAGTTTGCAGTGAGCCGAGATCACGCCACTGCACTCCAGCCTGGGCGACAGAGCAAGACTCCGTCTCAAAAAAAAAAAAAAAAAATTACTGACAGGCGGCCGGGCGCAGTGGCTCACGCCTGTAATCTCAGCACTTTGGGAGGCCAAGGCAGGTGGATCACGAGGTCAGGAGATTGAGACTATCCTGGCTAAGGCAGTGAAACCCCGTCTCTACTAAAAATATAAAAAATTAGCCAGGAGTGGTGGTGGGCACCTGTGGTCCCAGCTACTAGGGAGGCTGAGGCAGGAGAATGGCGTAAACCCAGGAGGCGGAGATTGCAGTGAGCCGAGATTGCACCACTGCACTCCAGCCTGGGCATCAGAGCGAGACTCAGTCTCAAAAAAAAAAAAAAAAAGAAAAGAAAAGAAAAAAAGAAAAAAAAATTATTGACAGGCTCAGGGAAAATGCTGGCTTCAGCCCTGGATGGCTACAATCCCTCTTTAATGAATTCCAGTCTTCTTTATGAAATTGGTTAGCCCCTTTATTAAGCCCTCTCTTGCTTATGTGTCTGTATTAACATTTGGACCCTCTATATTCAATACTATGACTCAAATTGTTTCTTCTCGCCTAGAAGCAATCAAATTCCAAATAGTGCTGTAAACTGAACCACACATGGACACACCATTAGTCTGAGGACCCTTAGATGGACCCCAGGAGGAGCCCTAGCTGTTGTTTCCCACTGAATACCCCTTTTCAGCAGGAAGTAGCCAGAAAGAGTCATCGCCCAAAACCCCCTAGCAGCAGTTAGTGTGGCATCTCCACAAGGGGAAATGTTGTAAGAGTTATTAAGAAATTATTTTAGGCAGATAGAGAGGAAAAGGAGTCCTTGGGAAGTTTTCATTTTTTAAAGCATCTCCCGAAAAGTTTCTTGTAAAGCTCTGGCCCTTAGAGCCAGGCCGGCAACTTTGATATGCAAATGCAAGCCATTAGAAAATGAGTCCATCCAATATGGCGATTCTGCTGGGCCTTCTTGCCCTTTCCCCACATGTTCCTGGCAACATGGCTGCCCCCACATATCCCCACGTGTGTAGAACATCTATGGCACCATGCATTTGCATATTAAAAGGCTAGGGTGGGAGGGCCAGGTTTTTTGCAGGCTACGTGAATGACATACTTGGACAAACCAATTCCCTGACCCCTATCCAAATCAGACATCGCCTCTTCCAGCCTCTGCATATACACCTGGCTGGTGTCCACCGCACTTGAGGACCTCCTCTTTCAGCTTTGGAGCCCCCCTCCCCCTGTCTCTGTACAGGGGAGCTTCTTGCTTGTGTCTTCTCCCTTCCTTCTTGCCTATTAAACTCTCCACTCCTTAAAACAAACAAACAAAAATCATAATTATTTGTATACCTAGAAAGAGTTTCAAACTGCATGAAACAGAAGTTAATGGAATTGCAAAGAGAGGCAATTCTCAACGTACTGCCTTTGGGGGTAGCCCCGCTCTGCAGGAGTAGAAAAAAAAAAAAAAGAGGCCAGGCACAGTGGCTCATGCTGGTAATCCCAGCACTTTGGGACGCCGAGGCGGGTGGATCACCTGAAGTCGGGAGTTTGAGACCAGCCAGACCAACATGGAGAAACCTCGTCTCTACTAAAAATACAAAATTAGCCAGGCATGGTGGCGCATGCCTGTAATCCCAGCTACTTGGAAGGCTGAGGCAGGAGAATCGCTTGAACCCAGGAGGCGGAGGTTGTGGTGAGCCGAGATCATGCCATTGCACTCCAGCCTGGGCAACAAGGGCAGAACTCCGTTTCAAAAAAAAAAGAATTGCAAAGAGAAATAGACAAATCCAAAATTACAGTCAGAGATTGCTACACCCCTTTATTAAAATTTGGTATAACATGCAGATAAAAATTCTAAATAGAATTTCAGCAAAAAGAACTCAATAATATATTAAAAGAAAAATACAATGAGGCCATGTAGGAGTTAGTCTAGAAATGCAGAGTTGGTTTAACATGAGAAAATCAATGTGATTGACCATATTAACAAACTAAAAAGAAAAAAAAACATTATAATCTCAATGGATAGAGTAAAAGCATCTGACAAAATCCAACATTCATTCCTGATTTTTAAAAACCGATTTCTCAATAATTAGGAATAAAATGAGTCCTCTTCAACCTGCTGAAGGGCACCTACCAAAACCTATAGCAAACATACATAATGGTAGATTAAGTGCTTTCTCCTATGACCAAGAACAAGACAGTTATGTCTGCTCTCACTCCTGCTATTCCACGTTCAACTGTAGGTTCTTAGCCAGTGCAATCAACCAAGAAATAAACTCTATCCAGATTAAAAGGAAGAAGTAAAACTGTTTTTATTTGCAGATGACATGGTTGTCTACATAGAAAATCTGATGGTATTTTACTCCCCCTCAAAAAAAATAAAGCTACTAGAAGTAGTGAGTTTAGCAAGGTTGCAGAATACAAGATTATATGCAAAAATCAATTGTATTTTTATATATTAACAAGAACCCAAAGTTGAAGTTTACAAACAATACTATTTACAATAGCTTCCAAAAATATGACATACTTAGGAAACAAATCTGACAAAAATATGCAAGACTTGCACACTGAAAACTATCAAACATAGATGAGATAAATTAAAGAAGATCTAAATCAAGGGTGTCCAATCTTTGGCTTCCTTGGGCCACATTGGAAGAAGAAGACTTTTCTTGGGCCACACATAAAATACACTAACACTACCGATAGCTGATGAGCTGAAAAAAATCACAAAAAAAACTCATAATTTTTTAAGAAAGTTTATGAATTTGTGATGGGCCACATTCAAAGCCATTCTGGGCTGCATGCAGCCTGCAGAACACAGGTTGGACAAGCTTGATCTAAATAGATAGATATGCCATATTCGTGGCTCTGAAGACTCAATGTTAAGATGCCAATTCCCTCCAAGTTGATCTATATATTTAGTGAGATCCTACTCAAAATTCCAGCTGGCATTTTTTGTGTATAGAAATTGACAAGCCAATTCTAAACTTTATATGAAAATGCAAAGGATCTAAATTAGCCAAACAACTTGAAAAAGAAAAACATAGTTGGAGAACCAATTCTACCTGATTTTAAGTTTCATTATAAAGCCAAAGTAATTAAGACAGTGTGGAAATGGCATGAAGATACACAAATAGATCAATGGAACAGAATAGAGATTCTAGAAATAGATTCACATATATGGACAATTAATTTTTTTACAAAGGTACAAAGGCAATTCCATGGGGGGAAAAAAGGTTTTTTCAATAAATGGTACTGGAACAATTGGATATTCTATGCCAAAAAAAATTGAAAAGAGAGAGAAATTTCAATCCATATTTCACACTATATACAAAAATTAACTCAAAATGGATCATAGATTTAAAGATAAAATAAAAAACAACTTCTGGAAGAAAACACAAGAAGACTACGTCTGTTTATAATTCCTCTGAAGTCAGTCAGTGGAATGAAATCACCAGAGAAATAATCTAATTATTGGCAGTGTTGAATTATTAACAAGGGCAGAGGAACCAGTTCTCCTTTTTTGGCTTCACCATTAAGTCAGTTATGAGCACTCTCAACCCTTTACCTGGTGGAATTCCCTTATGTCTGTTTGCACCTCCAGTTGCTATTAATAAGAAAGAGAGAGGCAGGAGAAGGGAGGGGATACATCAAATACTTTTTTTAGTTGACCCGTAATAATCGTACATATTTATGGGGTACATAGTGATGTTTCAATACATATAATGTAGAGTGATCAGATCAGGGTACTTAGTATATCCACCTTTGCAAACGTTCACCATGTCTTTGTGCTGAGAACGTTCAAAATCCTATTTCTTGCGTTTTGAAGCTGTATACTATTGTTAACTATAGTCATCCTACAGTGGCATAGAGCACTAGATATTCTTCCTGTCTAGCTGCAATTTTGTATCCTTTAACAAATTTCTCTCCATCCCCCACTTCCCCAACTATGTAGATAAGCACTGGCACATGTTGCCAGGGCATAAACAATGGAACCTCAACCCATTTGCCTGCCTTTTAGTTGTTATTCTTTGGTGGTTGCTTGTTTTGTATTATGGAAGCCAGAGGATGGAAGACATATGCATGTTCCTCTTAGGCAGTGTTCTATGTAAATGAATTTGAGTGCCAGTTTTGACAATTTTCAGATCCTTATGATATGGAAGTGCTGGGAAGGGAAGGGCGTGGTCCCTTTAAATGATACAGAAGGGGGCGGGGAAGTGCTGGGTACGGGAGGGCGTGGTCCCTGGCTAGGGCTCCACTCCCAGGCCTGTGCCCACGGAGCTAGATGAGGACAGGCATTTTTGTTTTCCTGCCCAAATGTTGCATTTCCTAACACCACTCTGGCCTGCCATGCCCCCATCCTGTGCCTATAAAAACCCCAGACCCTAACAAGCAGACACACAAGCACTTGTACCCCTGAACTTAAAAGTTAAAAAAAAATTATATCACGTAGGTATTACTGTCTTCATTTTTAAAGGTTTGGTAACTTACCCAATGTCACAGTGCCAGAATACGGCAGAGCTAGTATTTGAACCAAAGAGCACACAGTCTGGCTACAGAGTCTGGTTCTAACCACTAGGCATTGCTGCCTTATAACTGATATTAAAGGTAAAGTTTTAACAAGGAAAGAATCCATGTAACTCGCTAACAATGGCAACCAACTTGTATTTAAAAAGTAGTTTGTGGCCGGGCACAGTAGCTCATGCCTATAATCCCAGCACTTTGGGAGGCCAAGGCAGGCGTATCACTTAAGCCCAGGAGTTTGAGACCAGCCTGGGCAACATGGTGAAACCCCATCTCAACAAAAAATACAAAAAAAAAAAAAAATTTAGCCAGCAGTAGTAGTGCATGCCTGTGGTCCCAGCCACTCAGGAGGCTGAGGTGGGAGAATTGCTTGAGCCTGGGAGGTGGAGGTTGCAGTGAGCCGAGATCCTGCCACTGCACTCCAGTCTGGGCAACAGAGTGAGATCCTGTCTCAAAAACGAAAACAAAAACAAAAGCTGTTTGTATTACCCAACGTTAAGTAATGCATGTGTTTACATTTTTATTTTTCCTCAACCTCCTTGGCTCAAGCAATCTCCCACTGAGTAGCTGGGACTATAGGCACACACCACCACAATTGACTAATTTTAAATTTTTTATCGTCTGTAGAGAAGGAGTCTTGCTATGTTGCCCAGGCTGGTCTCAAACTCCTGGCTCAAACAATCCTCCTGCCTCACCCCCACAAAGTATGGGGATTACAGGTATGAACCACTGCATCAGGCCTTAAGTTTTTAAACTGCTAGTTTCTACCACACAGTAGGCACACAACATGTGTTGACTGGCTGACTGGTCACACAGTTAAGTCTCAAGAAGCTATACTGACAAAATGTAGAAATAAATTAAGTAGTAACAAATCGTTTATATTTGGCTTTTGAATATCTAATATGCTACAGCAGGATGGAGAAGACTCTTTTCTGCAATTCCTTTTCCTAAATGTACTTTCCTTAGGGCGTTTACTAAGTTATGCCTCAGAAGTCCTGTAAGATATCAGTAAATTCCTTCAAACTTTCAACAAAAATATTATTTTCTATACATCTGAAGTCATTTTACTATCAGCCATCATGAGTCTGTAATTCATCTTTATTCAGCAAGATCTTTGAAACCAAAGCAGGTCTCCACCAGGTTCTATAGACTTTATCATCCAGCTCAGCAATGGCAAATGGATCTCATCTAGAGTGTTCACTCTGGGCAATCTTCCCTGCGAGCATTGGAAAGAAAAGAGGTCTGAGGCTGACCCTTGGCTTAATCATATAGTGCATCATCTCTAGGAGACCTGGGGATGCACTGCCACAGAGTAACACTCATTCTATCCCTATGGCCCAGCTCTTGGCTCCATACTATTTGTTCAATTTTCAAAGCCAATGATTGTGAGGGATTCAAATGTCATTGTCAGAGGATCCTCAAATAACTAGAAAGACATCTTCAGTTCATTAAATTGAAGTCCAGTGAAGCTAAGAGCCAGCAATATTGATTTCTGTTGTCATTCTTAAAAGTCAGCCAGGAATTCTACTCCCTTTATTTTCTGAACTTCAAGCGACTAGCCTCTCAAATAAAAGATTCCGGAAAAAGGTCATTAGAGATCACTTTACCCTCAAAGTCGAGAGGCTAGAGATGACACAGGTCAAATCAAGACTGGCAATGGGACCTGAGAACCTAGTGATTTGGCATTTTAAAGTAAGGATCCTGGTCTTTTATGAGCCGTGATTTATCTATCTATGAAATAACACCCTTTTCTCAGGATGAGTCACTGGAAATAAGGTGATACATTTATAGAATAAAGATGAGGAACTTGCTTAACATCACTAACAATCAGGGAAATGCAAATCAAAACCATAATGAGGTATCACCTTACATCTGTTAGGATAACCATTATCAAAAAAATCAAAACATAATAAGTGTTGGCAAGGTTGTGAAGAAAAGTGAACCCTGGTACACTGTTGGTGAAAATGTAGATTGGTATAACCATTATGGAAAACAGTATGGAAGTTCCTTTAAAAAGCTAAAAATGAAACTTCCATATTAGCCAGCAATCCCACTACTGGGTATATATTCAAAGAAAATAAAATCACTAACTCAAAGAGACATCTGCACGCTCATGTTTATTGAAGCTTTATTCACAGTAGCCAAGATACAGAAGCTACCTAAATGTCAATAGATGAATGAATAAACAAAATGTGATACATACAAACACCATACACTGTGGAATATTATTCAGCCTTAAAAAAGAGGGAAATCCTGCCATTTGTGACAATATGGATGAACCTGGAGAACATTATGCTAAATGAAATAAACCAGACACAGAAGACAAAATCTGTGTGATCTCCCTTATATGTGGAATATTAAAAAGTTGAACTCATGGAAGCAGAGAGTAGAATGGTGGTTATCAAGGTCTGGGGTGGAGGAAAATGGGGAGATGTTGGTTAAAGGGTACAGATTCCTGAGTTACAAGTAAATTCCGGAGACCTAATGTACAGCATGGAGACTATACTTAATAGTAATGTATTGCATACTTAAAATTTTCTGAGAGAGTAGAACCACACACACACAAAAATAGTAACTAGGTGCAATGGTCTGAATGTTTATGTCTCTCAAAATTTATATGTTGAAACTGATTTCCTAATGCAATAGTATTAAGAAGGGGGGACTTTCAGAGGTGCTTAGTTAAAGGGATTAGTGCCCTTACAAAAGAGGGCAAGAGGCCGGGCACGGTGGCTCACGCCTGTAATCCCAGCACTTTGGGAGGCCGAGGTGGGAGGATCACCTGAGGTCAGGAGTTCAAGACCAACCTGACCAACATGGAGAAACCTCATCTCTACTAAAAATACAAAATTAGCCGGGCGTGGTGGCGCATGCCTGTAATCCCAGCTACTCGGGAGGCTGAGGCAGGAGATTGCTTGAACCTGGAGGTGGAGTTTGCAGTAAGCCGAGACAAAGGAGGGCAAGAGAGCTTGTTTGTCCCTTCTACTGCGTAAGGATGCAGCAAGAAGACGCCATCTATGAAGCAGACTGTAAACCCTTACCAGACACTGAGTCTGCTGGTGCCCAGATCTTGGACGTCCCAGCCTCCAGAACCCCAATCAATAAATTTCTGTTGTTTATAAATTTCCCAGTCTAAGGTCTTTTTTTACAGCAGCCTGAATGAACTAAGACACTAGGTGAGATGATGGATATGTTAGCTTGATTGTGGTAATCGTTTCACAAAGTACACATATAATCAAAACATCACATTGTACACCTTAAATATATACAATTTTTGTCAATCATACCTCGAGAAAGCTGAGAAAAAAGAATAAAAGGAAATATTTGAAAATTATTAGAATTCTTTTTCCAACATTAACTTAGACAAAGTCAGGGGTTTTTGTTTGTTTTTCGTGTACTTTTTTTTTCTTTTAAGACAGGATCTCACTCTGTCACCCAGGCTGGAGTGCAGTGGCGTGATCACACCTCACTGCAGCCTTGACCTTCTAGGCTCAGGTGATCCTCCCACCTAAGCCTCCCAAACAGCTGGGACTACAGGCACATCACCACACCCTGCTAATTTTTGTATTTTTTGCAGAGACGGGTTTTGCCATGTTGCCCAGGCTGGTCTTGAACCCCTGCGCTCAAGCAATTTGCCCACCTCAGCCTCCCAAAGTGCCAGGATTACAGGTATGAGCCACCATGCCCGGCCCAAAGTCAGTTTTAAATGAAGCAAATGACAATACTAAAAAGTATATTAATAATAATAATACATTTGAAATGTGGGAGTCACTCAGTTTTCTTCTACCAAGTAGTCTGCTTCCAAGGAAACTAAGGGGACCCTTTCTGGGTGAAGAAAAGGAGAAATCCAAGGAAGCCTCATGGAAGATTGAAGGAACAAAGATTGGTGCAGCCCTGCTGTGTACAGAAAAGGCTCAAGGCCAGAAGAGCAGTGATTATCTCAACTCAGCACTTTCTCCAACTCATGTCTACTCTTCCTGATAGGACTGTCCACTGCACAAAGGCACAAGAAATACAGCCAACTATTTTCACCTCGGAGGTCTCTGACAGCACAAAATACTCTCCTGATGCTGGCAGTCTTTCTCCCATCATTGCGGCAGGTTTGGTCAAGGCAAAGAATTGAGGCATGTAATTGACTGACCAGCCTGAGACATCCACGGACACCCATGGCAGAAAAAGGAATTACACGGTGTGTGAAAATATTTCTACCATTTCAATTTTAGAACATTAGAAATAGACTTAAAATTGAAAGTAGCTTAATTGCTAAAAACTATTAGTTTTTTCATAAACTGCATAAATGAATCTGGATCCTTTATCCATCCAAAATGTGGACACATTGTTTCATTTCACAAGGTGGCTTATTTTCAAAGCCTCTGACAATCAGCTATAAAAAGACTGGTATTCAATAGGGGCGAAAAGGCTCCTACTAATCACTGCTCTGTGAGCTTCTCTTGAATGTGCTCTCCAGTCATAGTGTTTCCTGGACAGACTTCCTTTGTAGCAGCAGCCCAGCGATCCATTAAAATGACAAGTGAAGGCCCACATGGTGGGCTGAGTGCACTTAATGCAATACTGACAGGAGAGATGACAAAAAAGTTTCCACCGGGCAATTGCAAAAATGCCTCTATACCTGGGAACAGAGGGAACTTTCAAGTTAGAGTGCAGAGTAATCTCTGACACTCCGGGGATTGGAAATGGATCTGTGAAGCAATGGCACCAAATGAATCAAAGGGATTTTAAATTGGTATTAGAAACCTAAGAATACAAAGTTTGTGAGAGGATTTGCTACAATAATGCTCTAATGATTACCTCCTGTGGATGGGTTAACATTTAACTATCATCTTTATGAAGCTCTTTGGACATCATTCAGTAGATGACACTATCCACCCTTGTCTCTTTAATTATTATCAAAATTAGATTTAAAAAAATTTTAACTTTTATTTTAGAGACGGGGGTACCTGTGCAAGTTTGTCACATGGGTACCTGTGCACCCAGGTAGTGGGCATAGTTCCCAACAGGTAGTTTTTCAACCCACACTTCTCTTCCTCCCTCCTTCCATCTAGTAGTCCACAGTGTCTATTATTCCCATAAAACTAGATTATTTATACTAACTTACAGTTCAGATGGTAGACAAAGAACTGTGGGTTACTTTCTTGGGATTTTTTTTTTTTTTTTTTGGAGCCAAGTTTGAAAAAAATAAATGTGGAAACTCTGCTTTTTTAGCAGCCTTTTAAGGGACTCCATTCTAGTTAGTGTGAACAACAGTAAGGTGGATTGAGAGGTAAATACTGCATGCTTTGTGTCTGTTTCAGAAACAATTTAAAAATACATGAAATGAAAATAAAAGTAGGAAGCAACAGTTCCGTGTATTTTTAAATTTTTTATTTTGAAATGATGTTAGAGTCACTTGTCCAATTTCTTCCCCTTCCCCTACTGTAGCCAGGTGTTCTTAGTAGACATTTCTTGAGTTGGTTCCAAATCTCTGAATTATTTTTTTGTGGCTTGGCTTTTAATTTGTTTTTATTTAAAACAGACTTGGATCTATTTTGAGATTCAATTATGAAACTCTAATTTCTAGAATAAAATTTTCAAACTATCGTTAAATAATCCTTTTACTAAAAGAGCTGTTCCAAAGGCAAAATGGTGCTTCTATCTGCCTCAGCTGTATGGAGTTCCGGTTTAAATTGATATAAGAAAGTATTCATTTGCATTTTTTTCAAGGGCACTATATATTGTTTACTTCTATGGAAAAATACAAACAATTAAAAAGTCACTTCAATAGTCAAGCAAAATTGACAAGCACAATATTGTTGTAAATTCTCGATATTACAACTTGAATCATACTTATATCAAATATACTACTCAGAGTCAATTTTCCATGGGTTGAATAGTAATATTTTATGTGGAACAATGTAATATATGATTGGAATCATCTGTTTCCTGAAAGTTTGGTAAAACTTATCTGTGAAACCATATAGGTCACACTCACACACACACGTGTACACACACAAGAAGTTCATGTAAAAACTGGCAGAGACTGAACAAGGTCTGTAATCTAGTTAATGGTTTTGTACCAGTGTGAATTTCCTGGGTATTTTTTGTGGGGGGTGGTTTGGGGTTTGTTTTTTGTTTGTTTGTTTGTTTGTTTGTTTGAGACAGAGTTTTGCTCTTGTTGCCCAGCCAGACTGGAGTGCAATGGCGCGATCTCGGCTCACTGCAACCTCCACCTCCCGGGTTCAAGCGATTCTCCTGCCATGATCTCGGCTCACTGCAACCTCCGCCTCCCAGGTTCAAGTGATTCTCCTCCCTCAGCCTCCTGAGTAGCGAGGGATCACAGGCGCACACCACCACACCCAGCTAATTTTGTGTTTTTAGTAGAGATGGCATTTCACCATGTTGGTCAGTCTAGTTTCGGACCCCTGACCTCAGGTGATCCACCCGCCTCAGCCTCCCAAAGTGCTGGGATTACAGGCATGAGCCACCACACCCAGCCAGAATTTCCTGGTTTTGATATCATGCTACAGTTACGTAACATGTCACCCTGAGGGAAAGATATGTGTGATGAGTTCACAGATTTCTATGTGCTCTAAAATTATTGTGACTCTAAAATTAAGAACTTCTGTTAAACAAAAGCTGTCATCAAGTGAAAAGACAAGTGAGAAAAGCAAGAAAATATTTACAACAAATTTAACTGATAAGTGGTCATTATGGAGAATTCTTTACAAAAATCTTAAAACCTCGTACAAATGAATAAAAAAGATAAACCAATGAGGGAGGCAAATGGGAAAAAGATTTAAACAAGTACTTATTTCAAACTGAAGAGAAAACACTAATGGACCTTAGATACTTGACCTCATTAGAAATCAGGTAAATGCAACTTAAAATCAGGTAAGTGCAACTTCAGATCACTCTGAAATATGGTTTAACCCCAGGGAATAATGGAATCCAGTAGGACCTGAAACAATTTCAATGGCATTAGTACTCTTCTAGTTGCCTTTGTACCTTTGTGCATTTTTCTTCATGACTTGCATATATTAGTTTGTATATGTCAAATATTGTATAACGCAAAGAGAAAAGAGAAGCTTTCTCTTTGGCTTCTACAAATCTCCTTTTCTGTGGAGCATGTGTGTCTGAATAGCAAGCATTTGTTCCTGTCAAGACAGATCAGAGCCATGCCTTGGCTGACACTAGAGGCTCAGGTCTCAACCACAGTCCAGGTGGCCATGCTGAGCAAGCCACCCCTCTCCACCTTCATTTGTTTGTGTGGTGAAGAAACGTCCTGTTTGTTAATAGCCTCCCACACACCCGTCATGGTGTGGGTCATAATGCTGTCTCTCTCACAGTTTCCTCTTCCTCTACCCCACAGATCCAATGCTAGCATTTCAGTTCCTAATTTCCTCTTTGGGATGCCAGCCCCTTCCTATATTTCCTTGGCAGTTCCTATTCCCAAGTTTACCACCTTTGAGCTACCAAGCAACTGCCAGCTCCATCTCTATTCCCTTTCCTCAATTCTTGTCCCCAACTCTGAGACCTTTCTTCACACCTGAAAGAGAATTCTCTTTTGGAACTATCTGCCCCTTTCCCTTTGTTTCTTTTCTTTTAATAAGTCTTCTTCTTCCTCTTACTTTTCTCCATGAAACCCTTCCTGGCTAACCCAGAAGAACATTTAGATTCTGTTTACCTTAATTTTTCAACCATCCCAAGGATATATTAAAAATACTAGTTGTGGCTGGGTGCGGTGGCTCATGCCTGTAATCCCAGCACTTTGGGAGGCCGAGGCGAGCGGATCACGAGGTCAGGAGTTTGAGACCAACCTGGCCAACATGGCAAAACCCCATCTCTACTAAAAATACAAAATTAGCCAGGCACGGTAGTGGACGCCTGTAGTCCCAGCTACTCTACTTGGGAGGCTGAGGCAGGAGAATTGCTTGAACTCGGGAGGTGGAGGTTGCAGTGAGCCGAGATTTCGCCACTGCACTCCAGCCTGGGTGACACAGCGAGACTCTGTCTCAAAAAAAAAAAAAACAAAAAAACAAAAAACAACTTGTTTTCAGGCCAGGAGCGATGGCTCATGCCTGTAATCCCAGCACTTTGGGAGGCCAAGGGGGGGCGAATGACTAGAGGTCAGGAGTTCAAGACCAGTCTGGCCAACATGGTGAAACTCCATCTCTACTAAAAAAAAAAAAAAAAAAAAATTAGCAGGGCATGATGGCAAGTGCCTGTAATCCCAGCTACTGGGAAGGCTGAGGCAGAAGAATCGCTTGAACCCTGGAGGTGCAGGTTGCACTGAGCCGAGATCATGCCACTGCACTCCAGCCTGGGTGACACAGTGAGACTTCACCTCAAAAACAAAAAACAAAAAAAATCTAGTTTTCAATTTAAAAAAAAATAGGAGATACAGTCTGCAAATATTGTCATGCCACTCTGCAGAAGGGAGGGCAGATTTTAAATTGAGTATCTGCTCCCTAAATCTTGGACAGGTAGCTGCTGGCATCCAACCCGGCCCCTTCACGATAACCACCTGCCTCTGGTTCAATAACAATAGCACCAAGTCCCACATGAGAGGAAGGGAGACCCCTCCACTGAAGCAGGGTGGGGGGGTCCCTCAATAATGATCCATTCCAGTGGGTCCTTCCCCTAATCTACATCTTGTTGTCTTCACTGCCTCACCCGGAGCACCCTTCTTTCTCCAACCCTCTCTTGCCTCACCTCTCTCTAGCTTTTTGGTTTAGCAATGTGTGGTGTCCAGTTCATCTACTTCTCTAGCTTCATCTGGCCTTAACTCAATGTGTAACTTATTCCCTCCCTTCTAGCAAGATTTCTGTTGATGATTGTTTCAGAGGGTGGCCTCCCCATCCAACCACTGGGACTCCCTCTTCTTCCCTCTCTGTATCTCTCCCACAGGCTGGCCTGACAGCCTGGGACCTGGCCCAGGGTCGGCAGGCCAACAACTACTGTATGTGCACCAAGAATGTCTCTTTTTCTGACATCTTACTCTTTTATGATCTAAAGATACCAAGTGGGCTCTTCGGGAACCTGGTGAGACATTTCCCAAGTCTGAGCTGAGACCCATTCTTCTCCAGTCAGAACACAGTCCCTATTGTCTGAAGTAAGAACTGGCGGCTACTACTTTCTACATTCCTAACTATGGGCCAGCTTCCCAGTACCATAATCATCATCACCACAACAACTACTACTAGCTTGTAGGGACATCCTATGTGTTTGACACTACTTTTAAAGCACCTTGCAAATATCATCTTTTAAGTTTACACAACCCAGTGAGAAGACACTAACATTATCTCTAGATGAGAAAACTGAGGTTAAAAGAGGTTGTTCTGCTAGTAATTGGTGAGGCATGGATTCCAGTCCTGACAAACTACCAGATGCCCCCAAATCCTGAACTAAATACACAAAGAGAAAAGAAAACTGAATCATGCCTGATTTACCAGAAAATTCTCAGTGTGTACAAAGCACACAAGGAAAGCCAGGTGTCCCTGAGTGGATGCCATCAAATTCTAGTATCTACTAGTCAAAGATATTGGTCACAGTTTATATGTCCTAGGAAACAGTCTTTATTTTTATTGAGGGATGTCAGAGAAATATGCATTTTTAAAAATTTTATTTAAATTAAAAAGATATTCTTGGCTCCCGTTATGCTAACAATTTTGGGGGACTATATATATATATATATATATACACGCACACACACACAGACATAAACCATAAAGGACAGTCATCATAATCACTCCCTTGTATGGCTCTTCCTCTGTATGGCTTCATCAGACTCACTAATGTAGCTGGAGGAAAACACAGTCACATTGATTGTCTTACTTTAAATTCATGATCTTGAAAGTCTAGTGGGCCCTGATGGCTGCCCAACAATGGTATTATACTTCCGTAGTTCATGCACTCTCTTATTCTTCTAGACAATATAGTCTATTTTTGTTATTCACAGTAGCTATCTCCCATAAGGTTGTCAGGAATGCTGAATTAACAAACACTAAACCATCGCTCTTAGGGGAAATACAGAGTCAGGTCTCTGCAAGCTTCTGGCCACAACATTTTCATCAACCAATAAGCATAATCTTATTTTATGTAGGTTTCTGTTTAAGGACACCTTATTTAATATATATTATTGATTCATTAACATTTAATTCACAGACAAAAGCACTAAAACGCACTTCTGAATGGAGCTTCTCTAGCATACGTATTTTCTGCATAAGGCACATCACAGCCTTTGTTGCACTCAGCAATCCTGGGCAGCACTTGAGCACTACACTTGGACAGGGGCATTTTAAACAGCAAAGTCACCAACAAAAAGCACAAAAAATGCTAAAAACGTGACACTAAAGAGACCACAAAGATGACACTTGCTTATAGTATAAGAGCTGAGATGGGAAGGCAGACTGTGGCCTTGTTCAACCTCAGCTGGGAACATGCACCTGGGATGACTGAAAATAATACATAGTTTGTTATACACGTGGAAAAGGACATTGTATCCAGGCCAGAGCGGAGAAACCTTAGAAGTCATGACCTCTGACCCAGAGGTCAGCCTCCCTGCTGCAGACAAACGGCCTCTTAACTGTCACAGAACTTTGGGAAACCTCTTAACTGCCACTGACACAGTGTCCAGCCACATCTCTTGATGAACCTGAAGGAGAAGGAGCTCCACAGGGATGTTTGAAACCAATGATATTCAGATATTTCTGCTGGACTGAGTGTCCCAGAAAGAAACCAGACTGAAGGGGAAAAGTAGAGCAGTTCCAGGAGAAAATCCTTATGAATAAAGAAGTTTATCCAAGGGCACAGCAGAGCAGCAAAGCATGTCGGCCAGGCAGCAGGGTTGGGTGGCTCCCTGGGAGGCTGGGTAGAGCTTGTCTGGCTTCCCCCGCCTCAGTGCAGTATGCTCCAGAAAGGAGAGGGCTGGGGTGTAAAGGAACCGTACCATGTGCACTCCAGTGCCAACAGAGGGGTGATCCAGGGGAGCTGGTGGCAGCCGGGGAGTGGCCTCTGTGAGGGGAATGGAGCAGGAGAATGGAGGAAGGGGGTCTCTTAGGCACATGACGAAGTGGCCATGCCTCCCTCCAGGTGCTTCTGGGAGCAAAGTGATCTAGTAGAAGGGGGCATTCAGATCCCAAAGGAAAACGCACCTAGAAATCCCGAGGAATGCTTTGGAAGGGGGATCATGAGGGGGTAAAATAGAATTTTTGCTGGGAAAAGAAGCAGGAGGAGGGAGAATTACAAGGTCACCGTATATGTGAATTGTGTGTATTTTCTTACAAATGAAACTTGCTGGAAACTAAAAGCTTTGTATAACGCGTGCTGCTATGAGCCTGGAATTTTTCCATGCTATGAAATAGATGGTAAGCCTTAGCCAGAGCTGGGAGGGAAACATCCCAGTTAGGTTTCAATCCTCTTCCTCGTGTCCCATGGAGTAGATTGTCACTGGGAGTCCTCTTCTTGCGGTGGTGTCCTTATTTCTGAGACCTGGACTTTGCCTAGGCGGGTGCTGGAGGAACAGTCTCGGAGTGCAATGTTGTCATTGTTGGATTCATGGGAAGCTCTGCCTCTCTCCACTTGGGCTGGTGAAGTTTGCAGTGGCCACTAAAGACCTCTCAGGCCAGCCCAAGCCTGCTGTGCCTGTTTCTGTGTTCTCTTTGGCAATTGCATTCTCTCTTTTGGACCCAGCTTCTTCCTACATGCTGTGGTCATCAGAGAGGTGTTTTTTAAACTGCAATATTTTCCTGGTTGGATTCATGGGAAGCTCTGCCTCTCTCCACTTGGGCTGGTGAAGTTTGCAGTGGCCACTAATGACCTCTCAGGCCAGCCCAAGCCTGCTGCACCTGTTTCTGTGTTCTCTTTGGCAATTGCATTCTCTCTTTCGGACCCAGCTTCTTCCTACATGCTGTGGTCATCAGAGAGGTGTTTTTTAAACTAATCTCAACAGCTAAATACAAACTCAGAAAGACTCTGTTGGACAAAAAAAAAAAAAAGGGCAGGAAGTGGGGGATGAGGTTTACATTTTAACATAAAAAGCTCCTGCTTGAAATTAGAGGCGAACTTTCCCCTTTTAGTCTAAAATATGTATACCTATCCATTCCTCATACAACGAGTGACAATGAGCGTCTCTCCAGCCTCCCATCCCATACATACTCTTGCCGTAGTCACCAATGACAAATATATTTGGTCAATTTTGTGCCTGTGATTAAAGCAAACCTCTATAGAGCAGGCCCTCAGGCCAACCCCGAGACTCCCCTGACCACCTCTAGTCATTTTGTTTCCTAACCTGCCCCTCCCAGTGTCCTGAGGCCCAACCTGTTGCCAACCATGACCTGGCCGAGTTTCTTGCTGGCCCCCATTTTGTCCTTTTCAGAAGGCCAGCAGAACCCAGCTAACAGAGCTAGTGCTTACAGGGAGAAGGGCCTCAAAGGTGGGGTAGACAGGATGTTGAACTCCAAAGTCGGTTAAAGTTAAGAGGGAAAAGTACCACTGCAATCTACAGAGGCAGGTTCAGAATTTGGAAATTCAGGTTTCCTGGAGAATCCCTCGGGCGGAAGTTCACACCTCTGGCAAAGGCCTCATGACACTATGGAAAGCTCACAGGTTTCGGTTCTTATTCTGCGGTGATCTGTCAGGTGAGTTTGGAGTGGCCACTGACATTCTAACCTCAGTATTTTATCTAGATTTCCAGGAAGTTGCGAGAAAGCTGCAGAGGGTAAACCCTGAGAACTTTGTGGCTCTAATGATTAGAAGTAGGGGCAAAAGAGACCAAGAGGGGGCACTGAGGTGTCAGCCTCAGGCAGTGTTAGCTCTGCACTCTGCTGTATAATACCTGCCAGTTCTGCATGGCCCTTCAAAGCTCCTGACACTGATGTTTCTGTTTCTGTGTCTCCTGACTTCTGTAGCTCATTAGGTCACTTGCTCCGAAGACATTCAGGACCCCCAAAAAGACAGCCCAGTGAAGGGCACTTCTTATCTGTTTTCATTACCATCGTATTTCCTAGCATGTTGAACAGCATTGAATAGAGATCTTCTCAGCTATGAAAAGGACACTGATGTCTAACACCGCAGCAGCCTCATTTTGTCATGTTTTCCTTTCTTTTGATTACTTTAAATTATTTTTAATTTTTTTATAAAAAATGCCTATCTTATAAGTTGTGTGACATTTCCCCACTTAAAAGCTTAGATGAAGCCCCATTGTCAACAAGTTAAATCCTTGGCATGAATTTTTTTGATTTTTTGTGATCTGGTCCAAGCTTTCTAATGTCACCTCCTGTCTCTTCCTCCCTCTCTGTGATGCTAATAATTCAGAGCTTATCAGTGAGGTCTGATGCTCAACAAAACACTCTCATATCTCTGATTTTGCTTATATTGCTGTTTCTTCTGTCTTCTGGAGAACATCTCCTCTGCCTGTAAAACATTCTTCTGCCATAATTTCTTGTAAATCACTTTATTACCCCACCTGCTTCATTTCTCCTTCAAAGGCACCTGGCCTCCCCACACCTCACTGCATACTCCCCCAAATCAACTTCATTTATTGTGGTTGTATACAGCCTTTTATTATTTAACTTTTCATATGTGTCTTATCGTTTCAACTGTTGGAAGTTTTTTAGGGCAAGAGGGATGGTTCTTAGATTACTTTTAGACCTCTCATGTTACCTGACACAGTATTACCCATACAGCTCTATAGTAAATATTCAATTAAAATCTAGTAGGAATAGACACCAGATGCAGTGGCTCACCCCTGTAATCTCAGCACCTTAGGAAGAAGAGGCCAGGGGATCGCTTGAGGCAAGATTAGAGACCAGCCTGGACAACACAGTGAGGCCCCTTCTTTACAAAAAATTTAAAAAGTAGCTGGGTGTGGTGGCACACACCTGTAGTTCCAGCTACTTGGGAGGCTGAAGCAGAAGGATTGTTTGAGCCCAAGAGTCCAAGGCTGCGGTGAGCTAGGATCACACCACTGCACTCCAGCCTGGGAGACAGAGCGAGTTCCCTGTCTTTGTATACTTATATGAATAGAAGGCATACCAATCAACTCCTTTGAAAATATACCCACCTTAAGTTTTCTTTCTAAACCTGCCACATCTATCTCTAACCAGGCACTTTTCCATCTTTTAACTACCTTCAGTGTTCAAAGTCAGTTGACCAACATCAGCTGTGTTGTGCATGACTAACTCTTAGGAAGGAGGTAACTGAAGCCAGTTTTGCAGACATGAACCAACGGCCAGTAGAAGTGTTCTGGACATTGGTGCATGAGTCCGTCCCACTGAGGTGGACTGAAACGCCGTGAAAGGAAAAAAACCAAGTGGCCTAAAGATACACCTTTAGTGAGTGAGTACAACAGTTAGAACCTCTCTAGCCATTCTTATTTTAGGTAGACAAATTGTGTTTATTAAAGTTTAAAAATGGAGTTTTGGAGAAAACAGAATAGGTAGCTCAATACAGCTTTGGTTTTTGTGGATGTCTCTTCGGTGCCAAATTATGTCCTAAAAGTCTGTCTTCTCAAAATAAATCCAAACAAGTTTCCTCTTCAGTGATTTCCCTTAGGAATCAAGAGATTCTACTTAAAGTATGAAGAAAGCTACTGTAGCATTTTAGATCATTCTTACCAATGATTCCTAGGATATATATCATAAATATTTACATAATATAGGTAGTAGTGTACATCAGAACCCAAACACAGTGTATACTGTCAGTGCACCTTGAAACTTAAAAAAAAAAAAAAGCCTTAAAATGAATGCTATAATCTTCGACTGAAGAAAGCCTTCGATCCCAAACTTTTACATTGTCTTGGGGTGACCTTTTCTCATGTTCTCTCTCAGCATTCCTCAGTCTTTCAAAACATGGCTAGAAAACACAAGCCTTCCTAGTTACGGTAAGTTCATCCTACTGAGAAATCCAACTTTTTTCAAAGCGAAAATAAGCCATGAATTCAACCATTCAGCCAGACTTGGAGATTATGAAGATTCCTGGCTCTTGGGCTACTACTTACTTGCCAGAAATATCAAAAGACATCAGGGTTTGTTATCCTTAACATACAACCTATTTGATTCAAAGACACTTTGAGAAGTAGTCATGCACACAATGATCATATCCTAAATCCTATCTATGTTCTGGACAGACGCTGGACAGCATTGCAGCAAGAGCCTATGACAGAGTCTTTTTCCATCCTGAAGTCAGGATCCACTGGATAAAGTTTATCAAGAGGACTTCGTCTTCTTAGTATGTGATTTCCAGAAATGTGGACATTGAAGGAGAGCACATATCCTCTTAACATTTTCAACTGTGATGCTCTTCCAATTGCACCCACAGCTCCCTGTCCCTTGCCACTCCAGTCTATTCTCCACAATGCAGATCAAAGTATCTCTGCAAAATGCAAATCTGATTATGTCTCTTCCCTATTGAAAATGGCTTAAAAGTCCCCCATTGCTCTTAGGATGAAGTCCAAATTCCTTATTTTGGCTTACAAGCCAAAATCCAGCCCTGGATCCAGTCCTGGCTTACCTCTCTAATTGTTTTTTAACTTTACCACCTACCACCTACCACCAGCACACATCTCCTCTGCTTTCCAACTATATCGAAAAGCACTTAATTCCGTTTGCTCTCTTGTCTCTGTCTTCGGCATTTTGTTCCCTCCTCTCCTGCTCCCCACATACTCTTAATGTAGACTTTATTTCATAAACACATATGCTCCTGTTTGCACAAACTCATGTAAGATTACGTGTTTCAGGTGGTATAAAGAATAAGATTTAACTGCTACTATTATACACTACAAATTCTGTAGTGATACTACACACCAGCATGTAACTTGGAAATCTAAATACTGTCAAATTTTTGTCTTGATGACCACCTTCTTCCCCTTCACCAAGTGAGTTGGAATGTTTGATGTTAGAAAATAAATTCTATTTCAAATCAAAGGCAACTCTATTATGGTAGAGTGCTCTGGCCTCCTCTCTGGATGCCTTCCATTGTTCACTAATGAGATAAAATGTGGTTGCCCCATATCTGTCTTTGTTTGTTTTGGCTTGGTCTTGACTATGTAAAAGATCATACAGTAACATTAACAAGATATTTAATTCACTAAAGAGGTCTTTAACTTCCTTATTTGCTAAATTAATAGGAAGATAATATAGGGAAACAACAAAATACAATTCACCAACCCCATTTTTAATAGACTTGACAGTCTCTGTGGGCCCTTGGAAAAAGCATCATGGTACTTTCCGTAGTTACACAGAAAAATCATTTTGCATTTGGATACATTATCTCACTACCTCTAAGCTTAAGCTTTCAGCTACTGAAATGCAGACTCACATATAGTAAGAATCCAAATATTTTGTGGGTTATTGGTTATTGCCAACATATCTGGTAAATGATCTGAATTCCATTTTAAGCTGTCTTAATGCCAAAAAAGTATATCCTTAAATAACTCAACTTTAACCCAGTAGGTTTTTACTAAGAATTTACTGTAGCTTAAGGCTTTTGTTCCTCAAAAAAGCCCTCATTTAGATTGATGTCTCTGAGTAATTATTAGGTGTGCCCAGGATATACTGGAGTGAATGCTCAAACATTGACCTTGATGCCAGGACTCCCCTGGGTGGCTTCCCTGAGCCTCCTGATGCTTTGGGCAGGGTTGGCACCCCTGCCTGGTTCTTGTCCCTCAGAGGCTTACATGGCTGTATGCAGACAGCTGGTGTGTCACCTGTCTCACTGTGCCTTTGTAGAAGTGCTACCTGGATGGGTCATGAGAATGAGGGATTTGCCATATTAAATTCTTAAGATTACTTCCTACAGAATTCCCAAAATCAAAGATTTATACCATCAGGGTCACTATCCAGCCAGAAGTGACCCAGAATCTCCTGTTTCAAGTCACCCAGGAGGTCCTGAAGTTGAATTAAACCAACATGTTTGTGAAGTGACTGCTGGGGATTGTGCACAGGGCAAGGGGCCAGGGTGGTCTTGATAGATTCACAGCCCAGCCCTGCCCTGTCTGGAAAATCTTACTCCAAATGGCAGGACCTCGGCCTTGCGCTCCCAACCCTGCCCTGGCATTCACAGAGGCACTACATTAATACTGAATCATCAAATGAAGTGGGAAGCTTTTCGAACTAAAGGAGCTTGTTATCCTAAAGAACAAAGCCAGCCATTTTTTAAATACTTGAGAACAAAGTCTAAACAAGATGCAACCAAACTTGAGAATTCATACACTCAAGGATAGATTCAATAGTATGTCTGACAAGGATTTCGTTTTCTATCTGAAACATAAGCAATCTACCTAAAGACAAGCTGCCATGCCTCTCTGCAAGCATGCTGCTAGGGGCCAGGGGAAAGACCCTAGAGGTGTTGCGATAAAAAGGTACCTCAGAAGGGTGTATGAACCCTTTAAATTAGTCCTAGATGGCCCTTGCTAAATTGCATCTAGCAACGGGTAGGGGCCACTCTCTGTTGCCTCCCTAACACAAGCAGGTGAAGCTGTGGGACCAGGTCCTCCTCAAACAAGGGAGATAAAGGGAGTCCCAGGAATTGGGGACCCGGCCTAAGAAGGTGACAACTAAGAGGTTGACCTTTTCCTGACCCCCTCACGGTAATGCTAAAAGGAGGGCATAGGTCGGAGAGGAGAATTGGAAGGCCCACTAGAGTCGAAGAGGTCCATCCTCCTCCCCTCAATCCCCAGAATCACCCAGGGCTCCTAAATGGCAATGATGATCTGAATCACCAAAGCCAGGAAAAGGAACCCTGGAACCCATCAGCCCTGCTGCTCCATTTGGGACACTGGCCCTGGACCCAGCAACCCATGTCTTGGGAATAGTCTGCCCTCCAGTGGTTTACATTTGCAGAGGTCAACAGGTGCTTCTTAAGAATTCTGGGGTTTGTGAGCCTGCAATATGGCTATTACAGCCTCTGCCTTTTTCTTGAGTCGCCTTTCCCTCTCTTGGGCCTCCTGATTCCTATTGTACAAGACCAAGGTGGCCACTTTCAGGAGGTACTACCTGATTCTATGGCCTCTTTCTGCAGCTTCCTCCTGATACGAGGGGCTGCCTGATCTAGGACCAGCTGTCCCTCTATTGAATCAGGAGATAGAGGGGTGTGTTTACCAAGACTCCTGTTAGCCTTTCCAGGAAGATACTGGAACTCCCATCCAATCCCTGATCTACCATGGATAGCCCAGTGCAATTGAGAGGCCCAGTCCCAGTCCCTCACAAGCCTTCTAATATACACACCTGAGAGTTTTTCCTTCCATTGTCCCACTTCATCACTGGGGTCCCATTAGGGTCCTCCAATGGTACTGCTATTCTTCCAACTGGATAATGTTCCGCCCCTTCCCTGGCCCTATACAAGATGTAAATAAAACTCATTCCCAACATTCTTTCCCACTTGCTGAGAAGGGCCTACTTTTCAGGGTTTGATTCAAAAAGGAACATGGCCATCCTTCCAGAAGAGTTTAAATACTTGGGTTAAGTTCTAGAAAGCCTCTATATACCTATCAGGGCTGTCTGAAAACCTGCCAAGATCCCCCTTAATTTGCCTTAAGTCCTGAAGAGAAAGGGTGACCTCTGGACCTTAATGGGGCCATATTCACCAGGCCTCTGTTGTAGGGGCAGTTGAGACTGGGACCTGCCTAAAACCAGGATTCCTAGGCTGGGGTAAACTTGAAAGATAACCTGGATAGGGAGGAGCAGAGAAGATTGATTCCCCTGCTGGAGGTAGCTCTGGAGTTTGCTTCCCTACTTCCCTGGGATTGCCCTTGTAACCTCTCCTGAGATGGCCACTAAGAGGGCTGAATCAATCCTACAATGTCAGCAAAGGTCTGGGTTAGGGTTACACTGCAAGGCAAAGAAGGCCTGCACATGGGGGACCTTGGACCATTTGCCCTCGTGTTTACAGAAAAGCTTCCTTCCTGAGGCAATGCTTCTTTTCTGTGCCTCAAGGTGCTTGGCACTAAGTTGGCAACCAAGTAAACTACAAGGACATTTTTACCACGAGTTTACTTACAGACACCAAGGCACACTCCACTTTGTGTTACTCAATCTTCTATTTTATACTTTCAATGACTAAGCTAAATGCTCATTCTAGGCAGTAACATCCCTGGTTTTCAACAAACATCCTTAACATTTAACACTGTATAGAAAAGAGATAGGAACCACAACAGCCACCAAAGAAAGCAAGAAATAAACAACAATAGGAAAGACTGGAGGTCCTAGTGCCGACGGGCAGTTGGGGACTGGAGTTAGTTCAGAGGCCTTTGGATAATACTGAGGTATGGCCTTGGCCAGATACCCTCAGTTGCCCCAGGACCTCCTTCCAGTCCCATGCAATGGGTAGACCTCCAGGAAGGGAAATTGGGTTGGAACAAAGCCAACATTCCCAACACCCAAGGGTGATAGGGGATTGACAACGTCCTCCCCAGCAAGCCTGTCCTCTGTGTCTTAAGTCCTGCAACTGCTCTAGTCACTTTTAACTGGCTGACAGAGGCCCGGTATTTTTCCTTCATTTTGACTATTGTGGAGTTTAGAGACTCCAAAAAACAGGACAGAATCGTTTTTACCCTTCTACAGATCCTGAACAAGCCCCCAAAATGTTCACAGGATCTCTGGGGTGTCAATTTTTCTGGCCGGAAACCTCTGTGGCTGTGGTGTCTTTGCCTGAGTTCTCGTCCTGCTTCCAGGAACACAGACAAGTGAAGGGCAAAGAAGAGGAACTGTTTTACTTAGTGTTAGAACAGCTCAGAGGAGTGGGTAGCTCCTCTCTGTTAGCAGGTTGTCCAGTGTTGGGTTCTCATCAGAGAGGAGGCCCTAGAGAGAATGGCTCATCTCCACAGGCAAGTCATTCAGAGGTCTCTGCAGGTCTCTGAAACTCTAAGCAGACAGAGCAGCTCCCCTCTGCTGGCAAGTCATCTCTGCAGCTGGTGGTCCCATCTCTCTGCCCTCTTCTGCTTCTGGTCATCTTCTGCCCTGCTCTGGCTGAGCTTATGGCTTTTACGGACCTCAGAGGGGAGGAAGTGCATGCCAGTTGATCCATGGGTGGCCATGGAAGAGGCAACATGAGTCCCCGCTCCAGTCAGCAGGACTGGCAGCCAGGCCCCCAACCTTCAGGCTCTCTCTGGCCTGAAGGTGGGGCCTTACTGGGCACCCACCCACTTCTGGCCAGAAATCAATCTGCCTCCTGCTGTCATTCATGGCCCTAGGGCTCTGCCCCAATCACCCTTTCAGATATCTGAGCAGGCGCCCAGAGTAGAGAGGCCAGGCAGTGGGAGCAGACACCCCCGAGCCTGCAGGGATGGTGGGGTTGAGGGGAGTTCCTTCCTGGGGCCCCCGAGGGTGCAGGCTGCAGAGATGCCCAGGTCCTGTGCCTGGGAGGACAGCCACAGCTGCACCCGGGAGCTCCCACCCCGCCAACTTAGAAGAGGCAGGGCTACCACTTGTCCCAGTCTCCTGCCTGCTTCATGGAGTGGGAGGTCCAGGTCTGCATCTGTGGCAGGAAGGCAGATCCCGCCTGTTCCCAAGCTCCCCCAGGAGCACAGGGAGGCACCAATCCACAGCCGCAGTTTGGGCAGCTGTACCTGCTCCGCAGAGCAGGAGGCCTGGGTCTGCACCTGTGGTTTAGGCAGCTGCAGTGGCACAGAGAGCTCCCCTCCAAACTCAGAAGGGGCAGGACCCCCCTACCCCGGCTCTATGGAATATGCAGCTCCAGCTGCACCTCCCTGCTGCAGCCGGAATGATGGTAGCAGTCACTGCCATCAGAGGCATCAGGAGAAAAAGAAGCAACGGAATTTGGTCTCTGAAGGGGTTAGGAAAGACAGATTGTCAGGAAACATAGAAATAAAAAGCGGTTGCACCCCGACTCCCCTGGGTGCCTGTTCCTCTCAGCACACACAGCTATCCCTTAGCCCTGGAGGGAGGCCGTGGCCTGTGGGGCACTGATGCACTTCTGTGTGGGAGGTGGAAATGGGAGGGCAGGTAGGCTCGTCTGTTAGCGCCTCTGCCATCCTCCAGTGCTCAGCATCCTGTGCTACAGGGATTGCTGCTCACTGCCAGAGAAGGCTTTTTCCAAAAGCCAAGCCAGCTCTAGTCTATTTGGACGCTGTGTGAGAGGAGGGGGTCAGGGCAGGCAGGGGAGGGGCAGAGAGGGAAGTAAACGGAGGGGTGGGACCTACAAGAGACTCCTTGGATATCAGTAATGTTGTCCTTTCCTTGAAAATTCACACAAGTGCTGTCTTTACAAGTATTTGCTAAACTGCCTAGATTTATGCATTTTTCTGTATATTTTGTTTTACATTAAAAACTGTTCAAATGAAAACAAAGATAGCACAAGAGCATGAGTTAAGCAAGCCCCTCCTGTGCCTCTTAGTAACTGTAGGACTTTATTTTATAAGAATAAAATCTGTTGAATGTTGCCTGTGTCCCTGTACTAAATGTGCACTATCCAACATTCCTGTGAGTTAGACATATAGTGCCCTTTCTACAGAAGACACTGCCTTTAGCAAGGTGAAGAGGTCTGCCCTGTATCACATAGCCCTTGAGAGGCAGAGCCAGGTTTGGACATCAGGTCCTCTTAGGTCTACCCAGAGCCTGCCCTCCTGCAGCAATGTGGAGCATGCCCTCAAAGGCCTGCTTGTGACTGGCAGGGGCACTCACAAATAAAACCACACTGTCAGGCTATCCCTAGAGATGAGTCCAGAGAAAGGTCCCTTCATGAGATTGGAATTAGGAGATTTGGTCTTGACAGAGAACTTGAAAGTCTGCATTGGCAGTGTACTTGAAAATCTGCATAGGCAAGACATGCCTAATTAAATGTGATGGTTTTTTTCTAAGAGTGTACTTTAGGTTGACGTAATGTTTCTGCCAGGTTGTATAAAGGAAAATGCCTGTTAGGTTTGCTGCTTGAAATACATTATACCTGGAAGAGTTTAAAGTGCTTCAAGTGGTTATTTTTGTTAAGGGGTGTATCAAAATATGGATACATAATTGACTCCCTCTGTGGTTCCTGGTGTGGCCTCTGGCTCTGAGACATATCAGCCAATACCCTGAAGTCTGTGTACAATAGTACCTCTGCCCCTAAGGAGCAGTAATGTGTACAGTCCCTGGATCCTGATGACCCTGAAGAGCCTCGGCTGATGGAACTCAGCTTCTCCCAGTCTGGAAAAATGACTCAGCGCATGGAGACTGAAGACCATCTGAAGCATTTCTCCAATTGCTGTCTTCTCCTGCACAAGCAAGGGTTATAAAACCATGCATGGATTGAGGTTCAGGACGTGGGGGCCTTGAGTGACTATAAATGGCTCTATTTATTGAGCCAAGTCCACAGTTTCTGTGGAAATGTATTTCACTGTGACCCACCTGGTTCCTGAAAGTCCCTGTGCTTATAACCCCAGTACTATAATGGCATCCTCATATTTCCCCCAAAAGAGGGGTGCTTAGGCCTGAATATAAGTGGCAGAGGGAGGGTCAAGGAGACATTCGAGCCACTAACATGTAAATTTTCCTAAAGTATTCAGTTAAATATTGTTAAGATTGTGTTGCTGAACACCAGGGGTTCAGCCTAGGCCCAGTGGCTTGTCACAGAGAATGCCAATCACTGAGACGATGAGTACTGCCAGGGAAGGAAGGCTTTATTGCCGGGGATGTCAGCCAGAGAGACAGGAGGCAAGTCTCAAATCCATCTCCCAGCTCAACTAAAGTTGAGCATACTTTTATTAATGGTTTTAGAACAGCATCTTAAGCCACATTGAACTAGGATGATCAATAATATAGATAACCCAAATTTTAAGATAACGGAGAGTATGGAGGGGATCCCCTGTGGGAATCCAAGAGAACAATCTTATGCCTACCCACAAGTCTTCCTGATTCATCACATCCCAATCAAATGGAGTGCTGTTCAGGTCACCATCAAGGGAAAAGAGGCACTTGCCTTCTTCTAGGAAACAGGGGGACTTCGTAGTCCCTAAAAGGTTTTTCATATAAGGCATGCTCAGTACACTGTTCTTTTAGGGGTCTTCAGATGTTCAAATGTGCAGGTAGGGACATGCAAAAAGCTATGAAGTGGTTGGATTAAGGGGTCGCTATGGTCTAGAGCAGATTGGGGGTTTTGGTTTTGTTTTGTTTTGTTTTGTTCGACCCAGAGTTTTATTGTTGCCCAGGCTGGAGTGCAGTGGCACAATCTTGGCTCACTGCAACCTCGCTTCCTGGGTTCAAGTGATTCTCCTGCTGCAGCCTCCCAAGTAGCCGGAATTACAGGTGCATGCCAGCACAGCTGGCTAATTTTTGTATTTTTAGTAGAGACAGGGTTTCACCACATTGACCAGACTGGTCTCGAACTCCTGACCTCAGGTGATCCACCAGCCTTGGCCTCCCAAAATGCTGGGATTACAGGCATGAGCCCACCACACCCAGCCATATTGGGGTTTTGAGTGACATATATAACAGTGGCAATAATTGGCCAATGAAGCAAGAGTTTGTGAAATATAAATTAATGAGTCATCCATCCAGGAGCAGGAAGGATCTGGAGAACAATAACAACCTGAAAAGCACATGTTTCCTTTATGATTTCTTATGTAGGTTTCTTTGGCTGAGCTTTGAATATTAACTTAAGGCTGTGGGAGGGTTCACGAGACCATGACTATTTTCCCTGGAGGGATCACAGAGGGACTGATTGGTGAATCCATGGCTTAACACTGGCTAACCTGACAGATAAGTTGAGTGGTCAGCAGCACCTCAAAAGGGCTGACCCATTGTGGTTGCAGCTGGTCTTCTGCCTGGCAGGATTTCTAGGTCTTCAGCAAGACTTGGTTCCTGGTTTCAAAGAGTAGAGAGGCATGTCCGTAAGGAAGTGGAGTCTGTTGGAAACAAACTCAGACGGACTAGTCAATATACTTAGTGTATTTCCTAACTGTTTTATATGTGACTTAGCTTCTGTTTCAAGGGAGGAAAAATCCTCAAGTGACAGGGAGTCTCGGAGTCAGGGAAATGGTCTCCCATATAATATTTCAAAGGAGCTAAGAGCCAATCCACTTCTGGCAGGGCTAGCCATATCCTCAGCAGGGCAAGGGGAAAGTTCTTTTCCCAGGGAAGATTTGTCTCTTGGCAAATTTTAGAGGCGTCTTTAATGTCCTATTCATTAGAGTTCTTAGGAGTCCATATCAAGGAATTATTTTCTCTATTAGAGCTTTTACAACTTCAGTAGATTTCTCAGGCCTGGCGGCATAAGCCTCAACCCAGCCTGTGTAAAGATATCAACCAAAACCAACAAATATCAAAAACAATCCAGGGGCCAGGGGCATTATGGTGAAATCTGATTATGAGACTTATCTAGGATTAGTACTTCTCCATTGAGTTCCTTGTTTAAAAGGAGCTTTCGTGCCTTCCAGGAGCTTTGGGTTATTTTTCACGCAGATAGGGCAACTTTGGACTATGGTTTGTATTGTTCATTGCAAGTCAGGCCCAAAAAGATAAGACTGTATCCAGTGTAGAGTAGCCTTGCACCCATAATGAGTGTTTTGATGGATTTTCTCAAGAATCAGTCTAATCAAAGTTTTTGGAAGGGGAATTTTTATTTCTTTAAGCCACTGATGGTTGGCATGTTTAGAAAACCCCCATTCCTCATCTCTCTTAAGATCAGCCTCCAAATATCTTGGGCAATGGGTCTCCAAACAGAGTGGGAACAAGAGCCATCCAGGTAGCGGGTTCCCTGACCGCCTTTTTCGCCTAGCTAGGCTAGCCTTCATATTTCCTTGTGCAACATGAGTGCCTGCCTTCTGGTGTCCTTGACAGTGAACAATTGTTATTTCTCTGGGCATTTTTCTGTTTCTAATAATACAGACATTTGAGGACCATGCTTTATTTGTTATTGAAAATGAGGGAGGCCCCTTTCCTTTGAAATTACCCCATGAAAATGGGCCATTAGAAAAGCATATTTGGGTGAAACATTGAATTGTTTTCCCTTACCCAGATGTAGAACTCTGGCTAAATAAAGCTCAGCCCTTTGGGTGCACGTCCCTTGGGGGAGGGCCTGCACTTCGATTACCTGCTGAGCAGTAACTACAGCATACCTGGCCCCTCTGACTCCTTGTTCCACAAAATTTTTTCCATCAGTGAAGAACTCTTCATCAGGTTCTGTCACTGGCAAGTCTGTGAGGTCCAGTCTGCTAGAGTAAACTTGATCAATTATTTGAATGCAATCATGAACAGGAAGCTGGAGTTTCCCTGGTAGGAGGGTAGAAAGGATTCAGAGTAGAAACAGCCTTAAGAGTTACATTTGGTAGCCAAAAATCATAGGAGAAATGATTAACATTATTAATCAGGGAAATGCAAATTAAAACCACTATGAGATACCCCAGGCAGAATGGCCATTATTAAAAAGTCAAAAAACAAAAGCTACTGATGTGGATGTAGTGAAAAGGGTATGCTTATACACTGCTAGTGGGAATGCAAAGTAGTACAATCTCTATGGAAAACGTGGAGATTTCTCAAAGACCTAAAAGTAGATCTACCATTTGATCCAGTAATCCCACTTCTGGGTATCCACCCAAAGGAAAAAGAGTCATCATACCAAAAAGGCACATATATGTTTATTGCAGCACAATTCACAATTGCAAAGATATGGAATCAACCTACGTTCCCATTAACCAATGAGTGGATAAAGAAAATGTAGCACATACATACCATAGAATGCTACTCAACCAAAAGAAAGAATGAAATAGCATCTTTTGCAGCAACTTGGATAGAACCAGATTCCATTATCCTAAGTGAAATAACTCAGGAATGAAAAACAAAAACCGCATGTTCTCACTTGTAAGTGGGAGGTACGCTATGGGTACACAAAGGCAGAGTGGTATAATGGACACTGGAGACTCAGAAGGGGGGATGGTGAGAAAGGAAGTGAGGAATAAAAAATTGCCTATTGGGTAAAATGTACACTATTCAGGTGACAGGTACACTAAAAGCCCAGACTTCACTGCTGTATAATTCATCCATGTAACCAAAAACCACTTGTACTCCTAAAGCTATTGAAATAAAAAAAAAAAGTTACATTTGAGTTATGGTAGCTTGTTCCAGCATCAATCAGAAAATTGACCAATTTATCACTCAATCTAATGGCTATCCTAGGCTCCTGGCAGGTAACATTAAGAAAGGTGGAAAAAGCCTTAGAGTCCCAACATTTCAGGTCATCTCCATTGAATCCAGCCATTTGCAAGGCTGGGTCTTGGCCCCTTTCTATTCAACTTAGGACAATCTTTGTTCTAGTGTCTCTCTTTTCTGCAATCAGCACACTAGTTTTTCCTAAGGTGTGTGTGGGCGGTGGCTTTTGCCCTTTTTGAGGAGGCCATTCCAGACCCTCAGCTAAGTCTGTGGCTGAGAACTTAGCCTGCAGTTTCATCTCCTGCAATTTTTGTTTCTCCTTTTGTTGTTCCTAGTCTGCTCTAGACTCAGAAAGACCTTGTATGCCACATCAACCAAGTGAGATATTGGCAATGTTAGGGTGCCCTCTGATTTTTGCAATTTCTGTTGAATGTCAGGCATACTCTGCCCTATAAAAGTCATATTAATTAACCTGGAATTCTCAAGACTGCAGCTACATCTGTATATTTCCAATAAGCCTCCAAAATCCTTTCCCAAAATGCTAATGAGTTCTCCTCCACTTCTTGTCTAATTTCTTGAATCTTGTTTATGCTTTTGGTTTTTAGGGACACCCTTCCTGAGCCCCATCAAAATACAATGCCAAAACTGTTGGATTTTATCTTCCTCCCTGTCATTCAGATTCCACTTGGGGTTATAAAGGGGGCATTGCCAGATTGGTGCTGGCCCTTACCTTGTTATTAGGATCTTCTGTGTGTGACTGGTCAGCCCCCTCCTGAGCCTTTTCTAGCATTAGACAATGGTTTTTGGATGCCAATAAAATGCTAAGGAGACTCTGAACATCAGCCCAGGTGAGATAACGATAGACTCAAAAAGTTCAGTTGTATGTTTCGGGTCATCCCTATAAGCCGGTGTATTAGTGCGTTCTTACATTACTATAAAGAAATACTTGAGACTGGGCAATTTATTTAAAAAGAGGTTTAACTGGCTCACAGCTCTGTAGGCTGTATAGGAAGCACGGCGCCATCTGCTCCTAGGGATGCCTTGGGAAACTTATAATCATGGAGGAAGGTAAAGTGGGAGCAGTCAGTTTACATGATGAAAGCAGGAGCAAGTGGGCGGGGTCGGGGGGGTGGCACTACACACTTGTGAACAACCAGGTCTCACAAAAAGTCACTATCATGAGAACAACACCAAGGAGATGGTGCTAAGCCATTCGTGATGAGGATGATGACAATAGTACTTACCTCATAGAGTTGTTGTGAGGGTCAAGTGGGTTAATTAGTGTAGTACCTTTAAAAGGTGTCTGGCATAGCACATGCACTCAGTGAATGTTAGCTAGCAGCAGTGGTGGGAGGCCTAGGAGCAGGAGCAGGAAGAGGAAGAGTAGCCATCCTCTTCAGAGATCCCAGCCTGGTGCTCAGGGAAAGCCAACTATGCCCTTGGCTGAAGTTCTTCTCTCTGTTCTGTGTTCTATTTGCTTTCAGTGGTTTTCAGTGTTATCATCACGTTTTTAAATCCATAAGCAACTGCAGGGACTTCTTGAGAGAAATAGTTATGAGCTCTCTGGGGTCATGGGATAATATAACTCCTTATCTCTTCCTCATAGAAGCACTTGAGTTCCCTATTTGCCTTCCCCATGTGAACAGAGCAAACATCAGGCTGGAAGAGGAAAACCTAGCCTCTGGATTCCACTTGATTTCATTTCCATTATGTTCCCTTCCACCCAGATCCACGCCAGAGGTTTTTCATTACTAAATAGAAAATGAAAAGAGAGAAAAACAAACTCAGCTTTTTCACTGGATCCTAAAATGTTTTCTTCAGAGGCAGGGCAGGCTACACCATTCCAGTTCAGTGGCATCACTAACCATTGGAGGTCAAAAGCGGAAAAGACATTTCTCCCAAGATATCAATGTACAAGTTTTTCAAGTAAAGTGGAGGAACTCAAAGCATAGCCTCCTCATTTAACATGTTGGTGTAGACATCCGGAAGCAGCAAAGGACAGGGTGCTGGGCAACGCTGACCTGCTCTGGCTTCTAGGCACTGTCTGAACCTTCCCTCCTCTCAGGCCGTCAGGCTGGGGCACCAGCAGTAAAACTCAGTAAGACTCAAAGCACTTGGCAAAGAGAGATGATGATAACAGAGAGCAGAGGGAAAAGATTATCTTCTTGCATTTTGAGTTTCAAAAGCCTACTACTTTATGGGAACAGAAAAGCCTCTGGCTCAAAAGATTTGAGAGGAAACCTGGTGGGTTGGAGCCCAACACCCTACTCCCCCAGCTGCCCCCAGGGATAACAGAAGATGCTTCCTGGAGGAACTGAGAGGAAGAGGTATGAGGGATGGTTCATGGGTCTCTGGAAGAGACCCCACTCTCCATGTCATGCCCTGCAAGGTCTGTGGGGACCCCAAGAAGAAGAGACCTGGGTCTGTGATTTATTTTCCAGGGAAACCCATAGAGAAGCAGCTAGACTCAAAAAATATATAGGTGGTTAAAGGGGGTAACAAAAGACGGGGTCTTAGATGGCCGCCAAAAACTTCTATACAGCTCAGACTAGCTTGAAAATCAGAAGTTGCCTCCTATGTGCCAGAGACATGGTATATCAATGGAACTGAAAGGGAGGGGGCAAGAGAGTGGGACCCAGGGGCATCCCTGCAGCACCCTATATAGTCCAGCAACTGTGGGCCCAATGCAACAACGGACACCACAGTGGATGCTGTACAGACAAGTGACAGAGAATCAGTGGGCTCCCTGAAGCCATGGGATATTATAACCCCTTCTCTCTTTCTCATAGAAGCACTTGAGTAACCTATTTGCCTTCCCCAGGTAGACAGAACAAACATCAGGCCAGAAGAGGAAAACCTGGCCTCCGGAAGCCACTGGATCTCACTTTCCATTTTCCTCCTGAGCCTTTTCTAACCCTTGTATTAGTCTGTTTTCACGCTGCTGATAAAGACATACCTGAGACTGGGTAATTTATAAAGAAAAAGAGGTTTAATGGACTCACAGTTCCAAGGGGCTGGGGAAGCCTCACAATCATGGCAGAAGGCAAAAGGCACGTCTTACATGGTAGCAGGCAAGAGAGAGCACGTGCAGGGGACCTCCCCTTTATAAAACCATCACATCTCCTGACACTTATTCACTATCCCAAGGACAGCATGGGAAACCCCCACACCATGATTCAATTACCTCTCACCAGGTCTCTCCCACAACACATGGAGATTATTACAATTCAAGATGAGATTTGGGTGGGGAAACAGAACCAAACCATATCATTCTGCCCCAGCCCCTCCCAAATCTCATGTCCTTGCATTTCAAAACCAATCATCCCTTCCAACAGTCTCCCAAAGTCTTAACTCATTTCAGCATTAACTCAAAAGTCCACAGCCCAAAGTCTCATCTGGGACAAGGCAAGTCCCTTCTACCTATGAGCCTGTAAAATCAAAACCAAGTTAGTTACTTCCTAGATACAATGGCCATACAGGCATTGGGTAGATACACCTGTTCCAAATGGAAGAAATTGGCCAAAATGAAAGGGTGCTACAGGACCCATGCAAGTCCAAAATCCAGCAGGGCAATCAAAGCTCCAACATAATCTCCTTTGACTCCATGTCTCATATCCAGGTCACACTGATGCAAGAGGTGGGCTCTCATGGCCTTGGGCAGCTCTGCCCCTGTGGCTTTGCAAGGTACAGCCCCCTTCCCAGCAGCTTTCATGGGCTGGCATTGAATGTGGCTTTTCTAGGTGTGCCATGCAAGTTGTTGGTGGATCTACCATTCTGGGGTCTGGAGGACAGTGGTTCCCTTCTCACAGCTCCTCTAGGTAGTGCCCTAGTGGGGTCTCTGTGTGGAGGTTCCAACCCAACATTTCCCTTCCACACTCTCCTAGCGGAGGTTCTCCATGAGGGCCCCACCCCTACAGCAGACTTCTGCTTGGACATCGAGGCATTTCCATACATCTTCTAAAATCTAGGCAAAGGTTCCCAAACCTCAATTCTTGACTTCTGTGCACCCATAGGCCCAATACCATGGGTAAGCCACTGAGACTTGGGGCAGCAGCCTGAGCTGTATGTTGGCCCCTTTAGCCATGGCTGGAGTAGCTGGGACACAGGGCACCAAGTCTCTAGGCTGCACCCAGCAGAGGGGCCTTGGCCCAGGATACCATTTTTGCCTCCTAGGCCTCTAGGCCTGTGATGAGAGGGGCTGCTGTGAAGGTCTCTGACATGCCCCGAAGACATTTTCCCCATTGTCTTGGTGATTAGCATTTGGCTTCCCATTACTTATGCAAATTTCTGCAGCCAGCTTGAAAATGCATTTTTCTTTTCTTTTGCATTGTCAGCCTGCAAATTTTTCAAACTTTCATACTCTTCTTCCTCTTAAATGCTCTGCTGCTTAGAAATTTCTTTCAGCAGATACCGTAAATCATCTCTCTCAATTTCAAAGTTCCACAAATCTCAGGGCAGGGGCAAAATGCCACCATTCTCTTTGCATAACAAAAGTGACTTTTCTCCAGTTCCCAACAAGTTCCTCATCACCATTTGAGACCACCTCAGCCTGGATTTCATTGTCTATATTACCATCCGCATTTTGGTGAAAGCCATTCAACAAGTCTCTAGGAAGTTCCAAACTTTCCCACATTTTTCTGTCTTCTTCTGAGCCCTCCAAACTGTTCCAATCTCTGCGTGTTACCCAGTTCCAAATTCGTTTTCACATTTTCAGGTATCTTTACAGCAGTGCCTCACTCTACTGGTACCAATTTACTATATTAGTCCATTTTAATGCTGCTGATAAAGACACACCTGAGACTGGACCCTAGCCAAGGCCCTGGGCTAATAAGAGAATGAGACTCCCTAATTTGTCTGAGATTCATTTCCCATCACCCTATTAGACTGACAGCTTGAAAAACAAATTGAGGTTTATATTTGACAGAGATATTTCTGCAATCTGTGTCCTGAAATACAGATGCATCCTACAAGTATGCATAATATTGTACAAACCATTGAGCCTGGGTTATCACAACTGAAGACATCTCTTCAAATGGCAGATTAGTAAACTTATGAAAAATAAGTAAAATTTGTTGTGGGTTGATTATTTGGAGGGTTTATTCCATGTTTGGCAGGACACTACCCACACTGTTGCCATAGGTAAGGGTAGGCTAAAGAGGAACCTTACAACCCATAACCCCCATGGGAACCCTGTTCCCATGCAGTGTAGAGAAAGTTGACTAATGTTCCCAGATTCCCAAGGAGACTTTAGAATTCTGAGAGCAAAAGTGGCCCAGAAATGGCCTCAGACTTGGAAGAGAAAGTTACAGAGGACAATGGCAGGGACTTTCGTCAGCAGGGGAGGGGAGTATCATATCCTGGTGGATTCCCAGTATTAGACACCTGATGCTCAGGCCCCCGGCCACATTGTAGAAGATACTATCGGGACAGAGAGTGATACCCATAGACTGAGCAGGATGAAGCCCCGCAAAGAGTGCCCACTGGAAAGCAGCTATCCCTTTTCCAATGCTGGAAAATACATCCTCCCCAACCTGTTGCACTCATATCACCACCAGGAAGAAAGGCAGGTGAAAATAAAGAGGAAAGAAACTGTGAAAAACAGCATTTATCCTACAATGATAAGCTTTGAACTTGACAGTGATTGAGAAAATAACATTTGAGTGTGGCTGAAAAAAAATCCCTGGATTAGATTGGAAATGCCAGAATGGGAAAGATTGAATTATATTTTTTCTCAAGAGCAAAGTTGAGTTCAGTATTTGAAAATAATGTCACGTTTGCTTAAGCTCCTGTTCAGGATGGTCTAATATAGACCTGTAATACTGGGCAAGAGAAGTACAAGAAGAGTAGTATCATGGGAGTGTTCTAGGGGAAAGAGCAGAAAGCAGCAGGTTACTATGAGCAGGGGAGTCCATATTACACAGAGATGTAATCCTAAAGAGGGGTTTTTACAGGGGGGCAACACGGCATTTAGGCTAGAACTTCACATTAGGTTTATTAAATTAACAAATAGAAAATACTATTCTTAAAGTAGGTTAACATGAAAAAACCGTAGTTATTACAAAATCTGGTTAAATTGCAATAGATATAATTATCTCATTTTTCCGTCAAAAAACTGGGTAAGACCCAGAAAAATAAAACATCTTACCTAGGTGAAATGGGAAAAGTTACCTTGTCTCCCTTGCAGGGTGCACGATGCGGGTGTGGTTCACTTCTTCAGTGCCCCACTGCTCAAATCTCTAGGGGAGCATACAGATGGGCAGGCTGTGGAGCCATTTTTGTCTCCTTAGGAGCTGGACAGCACTCAGTGCTAACCTTATTTTGGTTTCTGGACCTTCATAAACTTCTGGTCCCTTTTCATCCCACCGCATTGGTCATTCGGAGTATAGGCGAGCATTTTGTGCTTCAGTCACACATGGACTCCAAATGCGTTAATCACACTCTCCTCAGAAGGGCCCACGCGAGGAAGCTGGGGCGCACAGGAAAAAAGCAGCGAGAGTCTGGCTGAAGTCAACCCCGCTCCCGTCCCAGGAGCTCAGTGCCCAGCGAAAGGGTCGATGGAGGAGCTTCTCTGCTCCCCTCGTGCCTCTGACGGTCTGCTGGCTGCTAAGCTGTTGGGGAGCCACTCTGCCGCCGAGACCCAGGGCAACGCTATCAGTGGCGATGAGGCATGGCCTGGGAACAGAGTGGCCAGCTCGCGCAGCCCTGGCGCACCCCCTCACACCCAGGAAGAGTCGAGGGCGCCGCCTGGCTGTGCACCTTTGGCGCTGCTCCACTGCCTGGATTCCCTTTACCCTGGGGCCCCAGCACCCCGAGACCAACGCAGACATGCCCTGCAATCGCTCCGACTTTAGCCAGCACATGACTCCGTTAGCGGTCCCTGGGGAGTTGTGGGTCCCCTGCATATTTAACCCTCTGCGCAGACCACCCCTTAGGGAGGGGCAGCGCAGCCCGGCAAAATCCCCATTGGTACCAAGGAAATGCAGACCCCCACTGGGACAAAGGAAAGGCAGACGCGACGCCAATTGCTGAAAGAGGCACCACCACAGCCCCGGAGGTGGAGATGGGGTCATCTCTCACCGCAGACCCCCTTACCAGTGCAAAGCAGTCATTCTTCCCGTGGGGGCCTGCTGAGCATGCACTGATTAAGGATTCCACCAACTGAGGTTGGGTTACAGGAGCAGACTGCTCTCCTGCAGCTGACAGTTTATAAATGCAGACTTTCTGGGCCAAAAGGAAAAGGAACTATTTCTTCTGCAGGCTTAGCCACAAGTAAAATTATGGTCAGAAGAGGGTCTTGCAATGTCTGATCTCTCATCTTTTGTCAACAAAATAGGAATACCCAGCTCCCAGAACATCCGCTTTGCCAACAGTCATGCTCAGTAAGTCTTTTATGAGTGAATTAAAGGAATGAATGAAACAAATGAAAAAGTGAGCAAGCAGCACCAAGCTCTCAGGGCCTGTGGGCTAGTGGTAGAGACATAATAGAATACAAAGCAATAGCATAATGTCCCACAGGGACTCTGCACTACTTTTAATCCTTTTTCTGCATCATCTTTTCTCCATGCCGCTTACATCCCCACTTCATTCATTCAACAAGTATTTACTGGGCAGCACCAGTACACACACCAGCAGTGAACAGCTTACATTCTGATAGAAAGGGGCTGAAAACACAGGTTTTATGGCTGCAGATAATTTTAAAGAAAATGAATGTTATTAAGGCCATAGCATAGGGTGATGTGACAGTGATGGAGATTGGGGGACAACTTCAGATAAGACCGTCATGGAAGGCTTCACTGATGAAGCAATATGACAGCTTCACTGATGATGGCTTCACTGATGAAGCTGTCTGCTGACTACTCAAATGGAAATGCGCCTTTCTGCAGATGGTATCATCAAGAAGAATGACTTTCAGACTGGAAAATCCCAGCAGAGGTAGTAAAGAGGACATTCAACTATGGAAGTAATAAAAGAGTCTCTAGCAGCTAATGATTTTAAATCCTGCTCAGAATAGCTAAAAGCATGAAGGAATTTAGAGACATAATCCTGGAAATTGAGTAATCTTTTTGGAATTATGGAGGATAAAAGGGGAGCTAAACACAAACATGCTGATTATTCACCACAAGGGAGGAAAATGAAGATTTGGGTCCAGGTTGCTGAGTTTAATGTGAATTCTCAGCAAAATGCAAGATTTTCAAAAAGCTGGTTCACATGTCCTCAAGGATCTTCTTGTCTGCTCAGCAGATTGTCCACCTGACCCTGAGCTGTGAGTGTTCAGAGCATAGAATGTCTTTGTCCAAACCTGAGTTCTTACACCCCCCACTCATCTGTCCTTCATTTTCATTTAATGTACTCACATTCATTCACTTATTCATTCATTTCAGAAATACTTAGTGAACACTAAATGGTAGTCAGGATGCTACATGCTAGGGATACAAAAAAGAAGTATAAAATGCAGCAGTGTTGCCTGCAGCAACTTCAAGAATTAGGCAGTAGGAATTCCACCCCAGGACTGCCGCTCAGCTGGCTATGTGCATATGGACAAATTCCTTAGCTTCTCCGCAGGCGGCTGCTTCCTCATCTGTCAAATAGGGATGACGGCACAGACTTGACACCAAAGTATGTATGAAAGGAAGGAAGGACAGAGAGAAGATGGGAAGAGGGAAGGAGCTAGGAGGTGAGGAGGGCCACAGGGAGGAAGAATTGGCACTTACCTCATTTGTGAGGACTGGCTGAAATAGAAACACCTCACACAGCGCCTGGCACATGGTAATATTTATAAATACTGCCCCTCACTTCAAAGAGCTCACCATCAAGTGAGGAGCTAGGAACACAGTTCAGATAATGGCTAGCATTTATTGCGTGCTTATCATGTGCCAGTTACTGTTCTAAACTGTACACATTTGGGCTCACTTCACACTCAGCACTTGGTGAGTTTGGGTCTCTTACTATTATCCTGACTCCATAAATGAGAACTGCAGGCATAGGAGGGTAAAGTAACTTGCCCGAGGTCACATAAGGAGTGAGTGGGCAGCAGAGCTGTGATTCAAGCCCAGACATTTTGGCTCCAATCACTGCACCCCGCTGCCTCCCACAAGTATAAGCAAGTGTGAATACTGCCATGGGCACATGCTATTATGGGGGACTTGCAGCCCAGTAAGGAAGTGGTGTGGCCAAGGAATTCTCCTGGGGTAGGGGGACTTCTGCATTTGAGAATTTCAGTATGCCCATGAGGAGGGAGTCAGAGGAAGAGGGGGCAAAGGGCAGCAGAAAGAAGACAAGAGGAGCACAGAACTGGAAGGCACAGAGGAGCAGACCCATGTTGAAGCAGGGACGGGTGATGAAGGTCATGCTGGTCATGCAGCCACATACACCATGTGAGGGGCTTGGACTTTATCCTCTAAGCAATGAGAGTCACAGGAAGCAGCGTGATCAGAATTGCACTTTAGAAAGATTACTCTGGGGGCTGAATGGTTGTGGATAAAAGAGGGTCATGGACTAGGGAGAGCCAGTTGGAGGGTTGCTGCCAGGGTGCCTCCAGGATCGTGGCCAAAGGTATGGACTGGTTCATGACATATTTAGAAGATATAATTAGAAGAAGGCAGTTCTTATCAAATGAAAAGGCTGAACAAGAAAGAGGGGATGAGGACATTTCCCATCCCTTTGGAAACTGGAAGGATGGTGATAGCAGCTCCTGGACTATGGAAATGTAGGAAGAAACACTGATAGAAAGCTCTCAGGAGCAAGTGGCTGCCTGCATCCCAAAGTCAGGGAGTTCTCCACCTCCCTTTGAAAATATTTCTTTTAGAACAAAAAACTTTAAACATATAGGAAAGTAGGGGGAATAGTACAATAAATACCCATCACCTAGAGGCTGAAAGAATGAGGGTCATGATCAACTCAGTATACCACCAGAGGCTATATGAGTAAACAGCAAACTGTTCTCATGAAAGCAGGATGTTGGCAAACTGATAGATTGCATCTGCCGCCCAGAAGGAATGCTGAGGGCAGTTACGCCCCAGGCGTAGTGTTTGTTATGATTATCTACAGGCACTACTGAAGCCTGTTAGCAATAATGTGAACCTGTGATCAAGCAGCTAATCAACTGTGAGCTCCTCCTCCCTGCTATTGCTACCCAATAAATATGAAGGGCTGTGGAAGCTCAAGGCCTTTGCTCACTAGAAGCAAGGAGCCTCCGGCCCCTTCTTTAGAACAGTTTCTTTTGTTTTTGTTTTCATTTCTGCGTTTGCCCCCCTTCATTCAGTCCCGTAGTAACCGTCACAACTCTTCAACAATGTTTCCCACATCTGCTTCACATCTACATAATATATATTTTTATTGTTATGCAACATTTCTTTTTAGTTTTTATTGTTGTCAAATCATTTTACATAAGCTACATTACATTTACCCTTAAACACTTTGGTACATATCATCAAAAAATATCCAGCTAAGCAATTACAATAACATTGTCGCACCTTGAAAAAATTAATAACTATCTAGTATCATCTAAGTCCACATTAAAAGTCCCCTAACAGTCTCAGAATTATTTTATAGTACTTTTTTTTTTTTGAGATGGAGTCTCATTCTGTCGCTAGGCTGGAGTGCAGTGGTGCAACCTTGGCTCACTGCAACCTCCGCCTCCTGGGTTCAAGTGATTCCCCGGCCTCAGCCTCCCAAGTAGCTGGGACTACAGGCGCATGCCACCACACCCAGCTAATTTTTGTATTTTTAGTAGAGACAGGGTTTCACCATGTTGGCCAGGATGGTCTCAATCTCTTGACCTTGTGATCCATCCGCCTCGGCCTCCCAAAGTGCTGGAATTATAGGCATGAGCCACCACGCCTGGCCAGTACTTTTTTTCAAAACAGGATTCCATTAATGACCCCATATTGCTTTTGTTACACTTCTTTAGTCTCTCTAAATCTCCAGCCACCTTTGTCACATGATTCTCTTGAGTATTTGATATTGACTCATTAAAGAAACCAAGTCAGGTTGCAGGGTAGAATACCTCACAGTCTGGATTTGTCTGATTGTTTTCATCCCATGTCACTTCTAACTTGTTCCTCTCTTCCTCACATTTCCGGTAAACTGGAAGTTCTAAAGTCTTGACAGGATTCAAGTTAGACATTTTGATAAGCACGTGTCATTGGTGACAACATGGCATTCATACAGCATCTGATGCCAAGGTTTTGGTTTCAAAACACCATCCTGCTATTACGCTACTGAATGCATCCTGACAGATTCCAGGTTTGGGATGGGGAATGAAGTAGGTGGGCCTTGTTCTAGAAAGCACAGAAGTACCCATGTACTAACAGGTCATGTCAAAAGAACCCAAGAGCCAGCTTAAGGGTAACCTCTGAGCATCAAAATGGATGACTGGAATTGATCAAAACACAGTAAATAAAAATCTATAATACACAATAATCAATAGTCAAAAAAAATCCTCTGATACTCTGAGAAGCAGGAATGGCCCAGGTACTGTTAAGGCCATTTGCTCTCAATAGCACCTCAATCTGATCTAGGATTCTGTGTCTTGAATTCAGAATACTCTGATCTTGACTTAAACTTGGACCAAGAACACAGCTACCCCTCGTGTGTGTCTGGAACAATCTGGTTTAGGTATCCACAATGATTCCCTGCTGTCAGGAAACTAGTCTCCACTAATATTAAATGATTGTATGGTAGTTAAAACACCAGGCAACTTGACAGTTTCTATAAATCCCAATGTTACTTGTCAATACTGTAAGGTCCTTGAATCGGTTTGAAGCCCGAGAGCGTGCCAACAGACAACATGAGGTGGTGTGGAGCAACATGCTGTTTTAATGAGCACCTGGGTGCAGGTGGGCTGAGGCCTAAAATGGCGCCAGCCCCAAGTGAGGACGGGACGGGGTTTTATAGACCTCTGTAAACAGAAAGTGTCCTAGTCTGATGTGACTGCTACGTAGTACCCAGATGGCTTCTTCCTCGATCTTCAGGGCTAGGTGTCTTCCAGCCAGGGTAGGTGTCTTCTGGCTGGCTCTCTTCCTGCTTCTGCTATCTTGCTGGCGTACGCTGCTGACACAAGTGGCTTTATGCCTTGGGACTGGGCCTGAGGAAGGAGGAGTTACTTATCCCTTCAAGCTTTCAGGGCCCAGGGAGAATCTTTCAAAGATGTTCTCAATGAAGAATTTATTCATCATTTTTGGAATTAACCCTAAAAAAACTCAAGTTGCTAAGAGACGTAATTTTTTGTTAACTACAGAAATTTTTAATGTTGCATTTTGCTGATGCAGCACTTCCTCAGGATTAACTGGGCTGCCCTCTCATAGTCAACCTGCACAAGAGCCACCACCCAATCTTTGTAGCCGTCACTCAACATTGAGAACATCCTGAATAGCCAGACTTGTCAATTCTCCAAGGGAAACCAAGAAGCAACACTGGCATATGATAAATAGACCTTTATGCTATTGGAAGAAAAAAAAAACACCTTTCTCTGTATTTTCAATTTCAGAGGAAAGAGGTAAAGCCATGATTCTCCTGGGCATTTAATCAACAAACCTATATTTAATCGACAACTAATATGCAAGCTCCAGGGCCTCTATCAAATTTCTTAAGAGTAGCATGAAGCTCCTGATGTCTTCCTGCCTTCTCATCAGTCACATTAATGGTCTCCACTGGAAACACAGCTCCTGACTATAGACTAAGCTGTGGCCCAGTTAGTTGCCAGGGTACCATTAGAGCAGGAGAAACTCTCTTTCCCAGGGCTTCTCTTTCACCTTAAAGAGAATATTCTTTAAAAGTCTTCATGGTTTAGACAGTGTAACAAGTGGTTTAAGGCACCCTTACCTATAGCTTCCTTTTCTTTTTTTTTATTATACTTTAAGTTTTAGGGTACATGTGCACACCATGCAGGTTTGTTACATATGTATACATGTGCCATGTTGGTGTGCTGCACCCATTAACTCGTCATTTAACATTAGGTATATCTCCTAATGCTATCCCTCCCTCCTCCCCCCACCCCACAACAGGCCCCGGTGTGTGATGTTACCCTCCCTGTGTCCATGTGTTCTCATTGTTCAGTTCCCACCTATGAGTGAGAACATGTGGTGTTTGGTTTTTTGTCCTTGCGATAGTTTGCTGAGAATGATGGTCTCCAGCTTCATCCTTGTCCCTATAAAGGACATGAACTCATCATTTTTTATGGCTGCATAGTATTCCATGGTGTATATGTGCCACATTTTCTTAATCCAGTCTATCGTTGTTGGACATTTAGGTTGGTTCCAAGTCTTTGCTATTGTGAATAGTGCCGCAATAAACATACGTGTGCATGTGTCTTTATAGCAGCATGATTTATAGTCCTTTGGGTATATACCCAGTAATGGGATAACTGGGTCAAATGGTATTTCTAGTTCTAGATCCCTGAGTAATCGCCACACTGTCTTCCACAATGGTTGAACTAGTTTACAGTCCCACCAACAGTGTAAAAGTGTTTCTATTTCTCCACATCTTTACCAGCACCTGTTGTTTCCTGACTTTTTAATGATTGCCATTCTAACTGGCGTGAGATGGTATCTCATTGTGGTTTTGATTTGCACTTCTCTGATGGCCAGTGATGATGAACGTTTTTTCATGTGTCTGTTGGCTGCATAAATGTCTTCTTTTGAGAAGTGTCTGTTCATATCCTTCGCCCACTTGTTGATGGGGTTGTTTGTTTTTTTCTTGTAAATTTGTTTGAGTTCATTATAGATTCTGGATATTATCCCTTTGTCAGATGAGTAGATTGCAAAAATTTTCTCCCATTCTGTAGGTTGCCTGGTCACTCATGGTAGTTTCTTTTGCTGTGCAGAAGCTCTTTAGTTTAATTAGATCCCATTTGTCAATTTTGGCTTTTGTCGCCATTGCTTTTGGTGTTTTAGACATGAAGTCCTTGTCCATGCCTATGACCTGAATGGTATTGCCTAGGTTTTCTTCTAGGGTTTTTATGGTTTTAGGTCTAACGTTTAAGTCTTTAATCCATCTTGAATTAATTTTTGTATAAGGTGTAAGGAAGGGATCCAGTTTCAGCTTTCTACATATGGCTAGCCAGTTTTCCCAGCACCATTTATTAAATAGGGAATCCTTTCTCCATTTCTTGTTTTTGTCAGGTTTGTCAAAGAGCAGATGGTTGTAGATATGCAGTATTATTTCTGAGGGCTCTATTCTGTAGCCTTGTAGTACAGTTTGAAGTCAGGTAGTGTGATGCCTCCAGCTTTGTTCTTTTGGCTTAGGATTGACTTGGCAATGTGGGCTCTTTTTTGGTTCCATATGAACTTTAAAGTAGTTTTTTTCCAATTCTGTGAAGAAAGTCATTGGTAGCTTGATGGGGATGGCATTGAATCTATAAATTACCTTGGGCAGTATGGCCATTTTCACAATATTGATTCTTCCTATCCATGAGCATGGAATGTTTTTCCATTTGTTTGTATCCTCTTTTATTTCATTGAGCAGTGGTTTGTAGTTCTCCTTGAAGAGGTCCTTCACGTCCCTTGTAAGTTGGATTCCTAGGTATTTTATTCTCTTTGAAGCAATTGTGAATGGGAGTTCACTCATGATTTGGCTCTCTGTTTGCCTGTTATTGGTGTATAAGAATGCTTGTGATTTTTGCACATTGATTTTTTATCCTGAGACTTCGCTGAAGTTGCCTATCAGCTTAAGGAGATTTTGGGCTGAGACGATGGGGTTTTCTAGATATACAATCATGTCATCTGCAAACAGGGACAATTTGACTTCCTCTTTTCCTAATTGAATACCCTTTATTTCCTTCTCCTGCCTGATTGCCCTGGCCAGAACTTCCAACACTATGTTGAATAGGAGCGGTGAGAGAGGGCATCCCTGTCTTGTGCCAGTTTTCAAAGGGAATGCTTCCAATTTTTGCCCATTCAGTATGATATTGGCTGTGGGTTTGTCATAGATAGCTCTCATTATTTTGAGATACGTCCCATCAATACCTAATTTATTGTTTTTAGCATGAAGCGTTGTTGAATTTTGTCTAAGGCCTTTTCTGCATCTATTGAGATTATCATATGGTTTTTGTCATTGGTTCTGTTTATATACTGGATTACATTTATTGATTTGCGTATGTTGATCCAGCCTTGCATCCCAGGGATGAAGCCCACTTGATCATGGTGGATAAGCTTTTTGATGTGCTGCTGGATTCGGTTTGCCAGTATTTTATTGAGGATTTTTGAATTGATGTTCATCAGGGATATTGGTCTAAAATTCTCTTTTTTTGATGTGTCTCTGCCAGGCTTTGGTTATCAGGATGATGCTGGCCTCATAAAATGAGTTAGGGAGGATTCCCTCTTTTTCTATTGATTGGAATCATTTCAGAAGGAATGGTACCAGCTCCTCCTTTTACCTCTGGTAGAATTTGGCTATGAATCCATCTGGTCCTGGACTTTTTTTGGTTAGTAAGCTATTAATTATTGCCTCAATTTCAGAGCCTGTTATTGGTCTATTCAGAGATTCAACTTCTTCCCGGTTTAGTCTTGGGAGGGTGTATGTGTCCAGGAATTTATCCATTTCTTCCAGATTTTCTAGTTTATTTGCATAGAGGTGTTTATAGTATTCTCTGATGATAGTTTCTATTTCTGTGGGATCGGTGGTGATATCCCCTTTATCATTTTTTATTGAGTCTATTTGATTCTTCTCTCTTTTCTTCTTTATTAGTCTTGCTAGTGGTCTATCAATTTTGTTGATCTTTTCAAAAAACCAGCTCCTGGATTCATTGATTTTTTGAAGGGTTTTTTGTGTCTCTATTTCCTTCAGTTCCACTCTGATCTTAGTTATTTCTTGCCTTCTGCTAGCTTTTGAATGTGTTTGCTCTTGCTTCTCTAGTTCTTTTAATTGTGATGTTAGGGTGTCAATTTTAGATCTTTCCTGCTTTCTCTTGTGGGCATTTAGTGCTATAAATTTCCCTCTACACACTGCTTTAATGTGTCCCAGAGATTCTGGTATGTTGTGTCTTTGTTCTCATTGGTTTCAAAGAACATCTTTATTTCTGCCTTCATTTCGTTATGTACCCAGTAGTCATTCAGGAGCAGGTTGTTCAGTTTCCATGTAGAGGGGTTTTGAGTGAGTTTCTTAATGCTGAGTTCTAGTTTGATTGCACTGTGGTCTAAGAGACGGTTTGTTATAATTTCTATTCTTTTACATTTGCTGAGGAATGCTTTACTTCCAACTATGTGGTCAATTTTGGAATAGCTATGGTGTGATGCTGAGAAGAATGTATATTCTGTTGATTTGGGGTGGAGAGTTCTGTAGATGTCTATTAGGTCCACTTGGTGCAGAGCTGAGTTCAATTCCTGAGTATCCTTGTTAACTTTCTGTCTCGTTGATCTGTCTAATGTTGACAGTGGGGTGTTAAATTCTCCCATTATTATTGTGTGGGAGTCTAAGTCTCTTTGTAGGTCACTAAGGACTTGCTTTATGAATCTGGGTGCTCCTGTATTGGGTGCATATATATTTAGGATAGTTAGCTCTTCTTGTTGAATTGATCCCTTTACCATTATGTAATGGCCTTGTCTCTTTTGATCTTTGTTGGTTTAAAGTCTGTTTTATCAGAGACTAGGATTGCAACCCCTGCCTTTTTTTGTTTTCCATTTCCTTGGTAGATCTTCCTCTCTCCCTTTATTTTGAGCCTATGTGTGTCTCTGCACGAGATGGGTTTCCTGAATACAGCACACTGATGGGTCTTGACTGTTTATCCAATTTGCCAGTCTGTGTCTTTTAATTGGAGCATTTAGCCCATTTACATTTAAGGTTAATATTGTTATGTGTGAATGTGATCCTGCCGTTATAATGTTAGCTGGTTATTTTGCTCGTTAGTTGATGCAGTTTCTTCCTAGCCTCGATGGTCTTTAAAATTTGTCATGTTTTTGCAGTGGCTGGTACCAGTTGTTCCTTTCCATGTTTAGTGCTTCCTTCAGGAGCTCTTTTAGGGCAGGCCTGGTGGTGACAAAATCCCTCAGCATTTGCTTGTCTGTAAAGTATTTTATTTCTCCTTCACTTATGAAGCTTAGTTTGGCTGGATATGAAATTCTGGGTTGAAAATTCTTTTCTTTAAGAATGTTGAATATTGGCCCCCACTCTCTTCTAGCTTGAAGAGTTTCTTTGTGGCATTCTCTGTATTTCCTGAATTTGAATGTTGGCCTGCCTTGCTAGATTGGGGAAGTTCTCCTGGATAATATCCTGCAGAGTGTTTTCCAACTTGGTTCCATTCTCCCCATCACTTTCAGGTACACCAATCAGATGTAGATTTGGTCTTTTCACATAGTCCCATATTTCTTGGAGGCTTTGTTCTTTTCTTTTTATTCTTTTTTCTATAAACTTCTCTTCTCGCTTCATTTCATTCATTTGATCTTCCATCACTGATACCCTTTCTTCCAGTTGATCGAATTGACTACTGAGGCTTGTGCGTTTGTCACATAGTTCTCGTGCTGTGGTTTTCAGCTCCATCGGGTTCTTTAAGGACTTCTCTGCATTGGTTATTCTACTTAGCCATTCTTCTAATTCTTTTTCAAGGTTTTTAACTTCTTTGCCATGGGTTCGAACTTCCTCCTTCAGCTCAGAGTAGTTTGATCGTCTGAAGCCTTCTTCTCTCAACTCGTCAAAGTCATTCTCCGTCCAGTTTTGTTACGTTGCTGGTGAGGAGCTGCATTCCTTTGGAGGAGGAGAGGTGCTCTGATTTTTAGAGTTTCCAGTTTTTCTGCTCTGTTTTTTCCCCATCTTTGTGGTTTTATCTGCCTTTGGTCTTTGATGATGGTGACATACAGATGGGGTTTTGGTGTGGATGTCCTTTCTGTTTTCTGTTTTCCTTCTAAAGTCAGGGCCCTCAGCTGCAGGTCTGTTGGAGTTTGCTGGAGGTCCACTCCAGACCCTGTTTGCCTGGGTATCAGCAGTGGTGGCTGCAGAAAAGCGGATATTGGTGAACAGGAAATGTTGCTGCCTGAACGTTCCTCTGGAAGTTTTGTCTCAGAGGAGTACCTGGCCATATGAGGTGTCAGTCTGCCCCTATTGGGGGGTGCCTCCCAGTTAGGCTACTCAGGGGTCAGGGACCCACTTGAGGAGGCAGTCTGTCCGTTCACAGATCTCCAGCTGTGTGCTGGGAGAACCACTACTCTCTTCAAAGCTGTCAGACAGGGACATTTAAGTCTGCAGAGGTTTCTGCTGCATTTTGTTTGGCTATTCCCTGCCCCCAGAGGTGGAGTCCACAGAGGCAGGCACGCCTCCTTGAGCTGCGGTGGGCTCCACCCAGTTTGAGCTTCCCAGCTGCTTTGTTTATCTACTCAAGCCTCGGCAATGGCAGGCGCCCCTCCCCCAGCCTCGCTGCCGCCTTGCAGTTTAATCTCAGACTGCTGTGCTAGCAATGAACAAGGCTCCATGCGCGTAGGACCCTCCGAGCCAGGCACGGGATATAATCTCCTGGTGTGCCGTTTGCTAAGACCATTGGAAAAGTGCAGTATTATGGTGGGAGTGACTCGATTTTCCAGGTGCCGTCTGTCACCCCTTTCTTTGACTAGAAAAGGGAATTACCTGACCTGCTTCCTGGGTGAGGTAATGCCTCTCCCTGCTTCAGCTCACGCTTGGTGCACTGCACCCCCTGTCCTGTACCCACTGTCCGACACTCCCCAGTGAGATGAACCCAGTACCTCAGTTGGAAATGCAGAAATCACCCGTCTTCTGCATCGCTTACGCTGAGAGCTGTAGACTGGAGCTGCTCCTATTCAGCCATCTTGGCTCCACCCCCAAAATATCAATTTTAACACTTCTCGAGCCCCACGTTGTGTGCCACAAATGTTGCAGGACTTTCCCTTAGTTTAGATAAAGACAGGGTCCTTGTCTGTCCCATGGCTGTAAAAATTCAGGCTCACAGATGGTTTGAAGGGTGAGTAAAGCAGGGTTTTATTGGGTGAAAAGTAAGAAAAGGAGGAAACAGACTTTCACTAGGCCAGAGTCCCTCTAGCTTCCTTACTTGCCATTGTGAAGGCTATAATCTGACACTCCTTTAATAAGCTCCCTATACTCCTTTTCTTTTTGAGACAAGCAGCCTTGGCAAGAAGTATAATTCAAAAAATGGACTGCCCAGAATAAAATTCCCAGCCCAAATTGAGAGGTGACAGCGTGCTGGCAGTCCTCAGAGCCCTTGCTTGCTCTTGGCACCTCCCCTGCCTGGGCTCCCACTTTGGTGGCATTTGAGGAGCCCTTCAGCCCCCCACTGCACTGTGGGAGCCCCTTTTTGGGCTGGCCAAGGCCGGAGCCCACTCCCTCAGCTTGCAGGGAGGTGTGGAGGGAGAGGCACGAGCAGGAACTGGGGCTGCGTGCGGCACTTGTGGGCCAGCTGGAGTTCCGGGTGGGCGTGGGCTTGGCGGGCCCCGCACTCGGAGCAGCGAGCCAGCCCTCCTGGCCCTGGGCAATGGGGGACTTAGCACCCGGGCCAGTGGCTGCGGAGGGTGTACTGAGTCCCCCAGCAGTGCTGGCCCACCAGCGCTGCACTAGATTTCTCGCCGGGCCTTAGCTGCCTTCCCGCGGGGCAGGGCTCGGGACCTGCAGCCCGCCATGCCTGAGCCTCCCACCCACTCCATGGGCTCCTGTGCGGCCCGAGCCTCCCCGAGGAGCACCACCCCCTGCTCCACGGTGCCCAGTCCCATTGACCACCCCAAGGGCTGAGGAATGCGAGCGCACGGCACAGGACTGGCAGGCAGCTCCACCTGCAGCCCCAGTGTGGGATCCACTAGGTGAAGCCAGCTGGGCTCCTGAGTCTGGTGGGGACGTGGAGAGTCTTTATATCTAGCTCAGGGATTGTAAATACACCAATCAGCACCCTGTGTTTAGCTCAAGGTTTGTGAGTGCACCAATCGACACTCTGTATCTAGCTACTCTGGTGAGGATGTGGAGAGTCTTTATATCTAGCTCAGGGATTGTAAATACACCAGTCAGCACCCTGTGTTTAGCTCAAGGTTTGTGAGTGCATCAATCGACACTCTGTATCTAGCTGCTCTGGTGGGGCCTTGGAGAACCTTTATGTCTAGCTCAGGGATTGTAAATATACCAATCGGCACTCTGTATCTAGCTCAAGGTTTGTAAACACACCAATCAGCACCCTGTGTTTAGCTCAAGGTTTGTGAGTGCACCAATTGACACTCTGTATCTAGCTGCTCTGGTGGGGCCTTGGAGAACCTTTATGTCTAGCTTAAGGATTGTAAATACACCAATCAGCACCCTGTGTTTAGCTCAAGGTTTATGAGTGCACCAATCGACACTCTGTATCTAGCTGCTCTGGTGGGGCCTTGGAGAACCTGTGTGGAAACTCTGTATCTAACTAATCTGATGGGGACGTGGAGAACCTTTGTATCAAGCTCAGGGATTGTAAACGCACCAATCAGCACCCTGTTAAAACAGGCCACTTGGCTCTACCAATCAGCAGGATGTGGGTGGGGCCAGATAAGAGAATAAAAGCAGGCTGCCCGAGCCAGCATTGGCAACCCGCTCGGGTCCCCTTCCACACTGTGGAAGCTTTGTTCTTTCGCTCTTTGCAATAAATCTTGCTACTGCTCACTCTTTGGGTCCACGCTGCTTTTATGAGTTGTAACACTCACCACGAACATCTGCAGCTTCACTCCTGAGGCCAGCGAGACCATGAGCCCACCAGAAGGAAGAAACTCTGAACACATCTGAACATCAGAAGGGACAGACTCCAGACGCGCCACCTTAAGAGCTGTAACACTCACTGCGAGGGTCCGCGGCTTCATTCTTGAAGTCAGTGAGACCAAGAACCCACCAATTCCGGACACAAAATCACAGGCAGAGCTATTATCACACCCATTTTATAAAACTTTTCAGTCCATATTTCATGTTTATTGGCTCATGGCCTTCTAAAATCTGATGGTTTTAGTTTGGAAACTAGTTTCTGGAGTTCCATCTCTTATGTGCAGTCAATTCTCTCCAAACCATTGTGAAGGCATCCCTCTTTGCTGAGGTTGCAGCAGCAGATTCACTTGGCTGTCTCCATTGGGTGGTGGCTTTGGCTTCTCAAAAAGAAGGTCAGAGAAAGGTTCCTAGAACACAAACTCCATGGAAGCATGGATCACAGAGATTCAAATAATTTCCTTTGAAAAGACTTCAGTGAATTCCCTCTTCAAATCTTTTTTAGGATAAGACTGGGAGTGTGAACATTTCTGTCAGCTTCAACTTCTTCTTCCCCCAACACTGTTAAGTTCTACCAAATATTTTAAGTTCCAAGATACATGTGCAGGAGGTGCAGGTTTGTTACATAGGTAAAGATGTGCCATGGTGGTTTGCCACACCTATCAACCCATCACCTAGGTATTAAGCCCAACATACATTAGCTATTTTTTTCTGATGCTCTCCCTCCCTTAACCACCCACCTCTGACAGGCCTGTGTGTGTTGTTCCCTTCCCTGTTTGTTGGCCGCATGTATAGCTTCTTTTGAGAAGTGTCTGTTCATGTCCTCTGCTCGCTTTTTAATGTTTTTTTTTTTCTTGTAAATGTATTTAAGTTCCTTGTAGACTCTGGATATAAGACCTTTGTCAGATGGATAGATTGCAAAAATTTTCTCCCGTTTTGTAGGTTGTCTGTTCACTGTGGTGATAGTTACTTTTGCTGTTCAGAAGCTCTTTAGTTTAACTAGATTCAGCTGTCAATTTTTGCTTCTGTTGCAGTCACTTTTCACTTTTTCATCATGAAATCTTTGCCCATGCCTATGTCCTGAATGGTATTGCCTAGATTTTCTTCTAGGGTTTTTATAGTTTTGGGTTTTACATGTAAGTCTTTACTCCATTTTGAGTTAAGTTTTGTATGTGGTGTAAGGAAGGGGTCCAGTTTCACATAAAAAAGGAGTCCAGTTTCAATTTTCTGCATGCAGCTAGCCAGTTCTCCAGCACCATTTATTAAGTAGGGAATCCTTTCCCCATTGCTTGTTTTTGTCAGGTTTGTCAAAGATCAGATAGTTGTACATGTGCCATCTTATTTCTGAGTTCTCTATTCTGTTTCATTGGTCTGTGTCTGTTTTTGTACAGTACCATGCTGTTTTGGTTACTGTAGCCTTGTAATATAGTTTGAAGTCAGGTAACATGATGCCTCCAGCTTTGTTCTTTTTGCTTAGGATTGTTTTCGCCATATGGGCTCTTTGTTTTGGTTCCATGTGAATTTTAAAGTAGTTTTTTCTAATTCTGTGAAGAATGTCAATCGTAATGGGAATAGCACTGAATCTAAATAAATTACTTTTGGTAATATGGCCATTTTCATGATATTGATTCTTCCTATCCATGAGCATGGAATGTTTTTCCATTTGTTTGTGTCCTCTCTGATTTCCTTGAGCAGTGGTTTGTAGTTCTCCTTGAAGAGGTCCTTCACTTCCCTTGTTAGCTGTATTTCTAGGAATTTTATTCTCTTTGTAGCAATTATGAATGGGAGTTCATTTATGATTTGGCTCTCTGCTTGTCTATTGTTGGTGTATAGAAATGTTTGTGAATTTTGCACACTGATTTTGTATCCTGAGACTTTCCTGAAGTTGCTTATCAGCGTAAGAAGCTTTTGGGCTGAGATGATGTGGTTTTCTAGATATAGGATCACGTCATTTGCAAAAAAAGACAGTTTGATTTCCCCTCTTCCTATTTGAATACCTTTATTTCTTTCTCTTGCCTGATTGCCCTGGTTAGAACTTCCAATGCTATGTTGAATAGGAGTGAGCATCCATTTCTTTACCTTCATCAATTACTCTTTCTTTAATCTCTTGCAACCTCTTTGGGGTAACCTCCCATGGCCACTCCCCCATCACCTGATTCATTGCTTCAAGAAGAAGCTCTCCTGCCAAATGCAGAAAGGCTGCCAGGGCATGGATTCACCCCATAACCCCCGACATCCCAATATTAAGAATGATGCCACTGGGACCCAACCTGAAGTGCCACTTCCACCAGGCTTTGCTTTTTTATGGACAATTTCCATCTTCACATCATGTTTTCACCTGTGTTTTTTTCCTCAGAAAACTGAAACTCCTCAACCTCCACTGTCCTGCCAGGGCAGTTCAGAGCAACCTTGCCCACAGCCACAAGGGCACCTCACCCCATCTGACTTGGAGGGCACTCGGGCAAATGTGGGGGCCCAAGTCGACACTCAGCTCTGGCCCTCACATCCCCTAGTCTGTGAGGTGCTGCCACAGCAACTGCTCAGTCTGACCCCAAAACACCTACTGTTATTTGATTCTAATTGCCACCCCTCATGTTCTTCCACAGGTGGTGTTGTCTCCCAATTACATAAGAATACTGAATAAGATTTCTGAACTTTCACAATAGAATGGCAATCCTATCCCTGCCTCTTCTAGCATCCAGAACACATAAATGTATATTTAGCCATATGAAGTAGCCAACACACCAAATCCTTTTGGAGAATTGTAGTTTTTTGCTATCCACTGCCAGCAAAGGCTCCACTAAGAGTTGACAGTGAACGCCCCTTAGGCAGCTTTTTTTCTTTACCCCACCACCAGGAATTCCTATTTTTTCAACTTCTATCAACTATTTCTACCTATTCTTGAATTTCCTATAAAAAGAATCTATGCTTTCTTTCGTGTCTGCCTCCTTTTGTTCAATATACCTGTGAGAATCATTAACATTGTAATGTCTACCAATAGTTTTCTCCTTTTAATTGCTGTGAAGTAATTATCCATCACTGTACGGATATATAATAATTTATCCATCTCTTCTTGGTAGAAATTTTTTTTCAATTTGGGGCTGTTATAATAAAGCAAATATGAACTCTTTTGAACATTTCATTTTGTGGAACTGTGCACTCAGGAGAGGAATTACTGAGACATAGTGTAGACCCGAGGTCAGCAAACTTTTTCTGTAAAAGGCAGATAGGAAATATGTAGACTGTGCAAGCCATACGTTCTCCATTGTAATGAGTCAACTCTGCCATAGACAATATGCAAACAAATGGGCGTGCCTGTGTAATACAATTTTGTTGACCAAAGCAGGTGGTGGCCTGGATTTAGCCCATGGGCAGCAGTTGGCTGAACCCTGGCATAGATGTTTGGTTTGCTTTAGTAGAAAATGCTGAGAATAATTTTGCAGTGTGGCTATTTAGTACTCTTAAGCAATACTTTATAAGAATTCAATACATGCTTCACATTTTTGTCAACACTCAAAAGTATCAAGTCTCTTTAGTTTTGCCATTGTTGTAACCGCATAGCATGTCTCACAGTGGGTTTGTGATCTCATTAATGATGTTGAACACTCAAAATACATGTATTGGCCATTTGTATTTCCTCTCTTGTGAGGTGCCTGTTCAAGTGTTTTGGACATTTTTGACTGCGTTGTGTCCTCGGATTTGTAGGAGTTGTATTGGCTATGAACCTGTATTATCTACTGCTGCATAGCAATATTACTGCAAACTTAGGGGTATAAACAAACATACATTTGTTATTTGACAGTTTCTGTGGGTCAAGAGTCTCAGCATGGCTTAGCTTGGTCCTCTGCTTTAGGATCTCTCACACAGCTGCAATAGATATGTTGGCCAGGGCTGTGGTCTCATCTTTTGCTTAAATGAGGAAGGATCTTCTTCCAAACTCATGTGGTGGCAGTGTTCAGTCCCTTGTGGTATACCGCTTTCCAGTCTGCTTCTTGCTGCCTGTTGCCTACAGGTTACCCTTAGTTTCTCACCATGTAGGCTTTCCCAACATGACTGCTTGTTTCCTCAAAGCCAACAAGGAAGAGTATCTCCTCATGAGATGAATATTACAGGCTTATGGAACAGATTCACATACACATAATCACATACATCCCATATCCAATTAGTTAAAATCAAGTCACATAGGTCCCATGAAAACTCAAGGGGAGAGGATTACACAAGGGTATGAATACCAGGAGTCAGGGGTCATGGGGACTATTTTAGAGTTGTCTGCCACAGAGTCTTTGTCAGATATATCATACATATCTTCTCCAGTCTGTAACTTGCCTTTTCCTTTGATAGAAAAAAAATGTTTTATTTAAAATAAAATCAAATGTATCCACTTTTTAATTTTGTAGATAGCGTTTTGTTGTTGTTGTTTTGTAGAGTCAGGGTCTCATTACATTGCCTAAGCTGGTCTCGAACTCCTAGCCTCAAGAAATTCTCCTGCCTCAGCCTTCCAAAATGTTGAGACTGCAGACGTGAGCCACCACACTAGCCCTAGATAGTGGCTTTTTATTACCTGTTTAATAATTCATTGCTTACCTAAGATCATGAAGATATTTTAGTCTGGTTTTCCTCTAGACTAGTGTTTCTCAACCTTGACAATACTAAAATTTGAGGCTAGATAATTCCTTGTTAATTCTTCTCCTGTGCATTGTAGGGTGTTTAACAGCATCTCTGGCCTACCCATGAGATGCCAGTAGCACCCCCTTCCAGTTGTGACATTCAAAAATCTTGCCAAATGTCTCCCAGGGCTAAAAGGCCCCCAGTTGAAAAGTACTGTTCTTAGATGCTTTATAGCTTAATCTTTGAATATAATGTCTGTAATCCGAGTTAGTAGTTGCTTCATATTGTTCCATATATCTAATTTCTCTACATTTATTGAAAAGATCATTTCCCTCATGAACTGCATGTATCACCTTTGTCTTACATTAAGTAATCATATTATATATGGATTCTGCTCAATTTACCTAACTTCAATCGTCATGCCAGTAAAACACTTGAGTAGTTTTTTGGTAGGTCTTGAAATCTGTTCTTGTAAATCTTCGAATTTTGTCATCATAATTGGCTTGGCTATTCTCGGTCCTTTGCATTTCCTTCTATATTTTGAACCAATTTGTCAATTTTTACACACAAAGTCTCAGATTTTTACTGGAAATAAATCTGTAGATCAATTTGAGATAATTGTAGTCATAACAATATTGAACATTTCAGTACATAAAATGATAAACCTTAGTTCCTTTTTAATATCTCTCAAGATTTTCTGGTTTTCAGTGCAGAGATCTTGCAACTATTTATTTCTAGATATTTCTAGATGCTTGCTAATGCTTTCCGGCTTTACTGAGGTATACTTGACACATAAAAAGTGTATATACTTAGTGTACATGATTGTATATATGTATACATTGTAAAATGATTGCCACAATCAAGCCAATTAGCATATCCATCCATTCCTGCTTTTTTTTTTTTTTTTTTTTTTTTTTTGGCAGTGGTGGTAACATTTAAGATCGATTTCCTTAGTATTTAATATTTGTAAACCATTGTAAATAACATTGTTTCCCTAATTTTATTTTCAAATTGTTTGTTGCCAGTATGTAGAAATACAATTATTTTTTATATCAGTCCTGTATCTAGTGATCTTACTAAATTCATTATAAAATACTTTGGATTCTGTTTGTATGCAATCAAGTCATCTGTAAATATCTTTTTACTTCTATTTACTCTTTATATAATTTTCTTTTCTTTCCCCTGACTGGGATCTCCTAAACGATGTTGAATAGAAGTAGTGATGGTAAACATTCTAGTCTTTCCTCCAAATTTAGGGGGAGAAATAATTCAATATGAAAGCATTAGGTATTTATGATACTTTTTTCTGTAGATACTCTTTATTATATTGACGAATTTACCTAGTTTGAGAATTACAAGGTTGGCTGCTGAATTCTGTCAAATGCTTTTTTTCCTCCTTTTTTGCGCAGCTATTAAAATGGTTATACAATTTTTCTCCTTTATTCTATTAATGTGGTGAATTACTTGATTTTTGAATGTTACAGTAGCCTTGCATCCCTGGAATAAACCCATTTGGTCATGAGTTACTATCCTTTTTATGTATCCTCTTTTTACATATTGCTGATCATTTTGTTTAGGATCACTGTCTTTTATGCTCATGAAAGTTGTTAGTCTGTGATTTTCTTTTGTCAAGTTTTGGTGTCAGAGAAACTTGGGTCTCATAAATTCAGCTGGGAAATGTTTCCTTTTTCATTATGCTCTGAAAGAGTTTATGTCCCATAAACATAGTATTTCATCTTTGGATGCCTGGAGAATATCACCGATGAAACCATCTGGGCCTAGAGTTTTCTTTGTAAGAAAGTGTTCAACTTTTCATTACATAATAAAGTTTTTATTTAGTCCATACAAATTACATCTCTGATTATGAATGGAAGACAATAGAAACATTCTTGAAGATGTCAATTACATTAATTTTTGAGGATATATACAACAAGAGGTCTTCAATAAACCCAGAAATGCAGACAGCACTGATATTTACATACCCATACATAGCATCATTTGTGATTTAGCATGCTATTATTGTTTTCTGCTCCTAGGCATTCTAGAAAGGTTATTTTCATGTCTGGATTTCTGATTTAGTTTCAAGATGTAAAAATCCTACATAGTCAGACAACCTGCTTTGGCTATATCATCAGAAATGGCTTAAAAGCAAAAATGACATTCCAGTTATTCCACACACAAATCCCTGATGTTAACATCCCTAGCCTAAAAATAGCCATTTGGAAGGAAAGCCCTATTTCAAAGCAAAGGAAATGTGAGTAAGACAATATCTGGTCCTGGAAATGTCAGACTCAAAATTGAGTTCTTTAGATGGGAATCGATTCTAAAATAACATCTCTGATTTGTTATATAACAAAACACAATGGCTTTATAAACTTTATATAAACATTATCAATTTCTGATGGTTTTCTCTTAAAAGGGTAGCTCTGAAGTAATTATTCTCTCTTTAAACTGTATTTACTGAGCCGCTGACTTTTTTCTGATTTCATTCATTCATTTTCCCCATTTCCCCTCCCCATTCCCAGTCTAGACTAATGAACACAATATTTGAGAAATCAAAAACTTAGGCAAAGATCTTTTACTTGTGGTTAGGCTTACACCATTCCAAAAAGTAAATATAATTAACAAAACACTTAAAAGTACCAGAGGAGGTGCCCCGGTATCAGTAGAAGGCACTAATCAGACCACAGAAGAAAGCTTGACAAGGATCTTCATATACGGATGCCAGCTTCAATCATGTCAAATGAACATGTTGTTCTCTCAGTGGTAACAGTTAGTAGGCCAGAGCAGAACTGGAGACTCTTTTCCACTGGTGTAGGCAGCCAGGGCTCTCCAGGAGTACTATTATAGATGACATGAAGGTGACTACCACGGTAGCAATGACAACAATCCCAGTTACAATGACTGAACAAAGCTAAGGCCATCAGTATAGGCTTGAAGCGATCTAGAAATCCTTCTGGAGCCTCTCATCAGCTGATCATCCCTGATACATCCCTTGGATGGCCACAGAATCCATTTTCACAAAACTGAATCCAATGCATTGTGTTATCACTGCAACACGTGAGGTCTGGTAGTTGCTAATTTGGAAAAATGGTAAATACTAATACTATTGCAAATAGTCAATCTATGCTACAAGAAAAACATATTAACACACACAGGTACTTTTGGTGGTATGGCTTTAAATTCTGTGCTGGGCTATAAAAAGCATTATAAGCAAAGTTAATGAGTAACAGTTTTTATTAAAAAGAAAAAAAAGAAGTAATTTACCAAAATTAGTTTAAGACATATTAAATTTTATGCAAATACCTTTACAAAAACTGAATTATATAATTAGAGTGCTTTTTATACATTAATACTGAATATGTTACATTACTATATATTAAAGATATAATTTGAAAACTAGAGCTGTTTCAAAATACTGTGTTCAAATGTCATTCTTTGGGAACCCAGAGAAATTGCCTGATCACCATGCTGTCCTTCCACAAGGGGTTTCTCTCCTGAGTCAGGAGAGAGTCATTAAGTAACATTTAAAAAAAAAAAAAAAACAAGAGTAAAACATAAGGTCCAAATTTAATTCACTTCCTGAGACTCACATAGAGCTTGCTGACTTGAACAAAACATGTCAACATTGTTTTAAAATATTGAGGACACTATTTTCTGGCAGCATCTACTACTTTCATGTTACAAGTAAGCCATAAAGATAGGGCTTCAGGGAGAAATAAAACACAGATGAACTTCCAAAGCAATACGAAGCTCTAGCAGAAGACCTCATTCTCTTTTTATGAGGCACAAACAGCAAAAGAATAGACAAAACATAACCACCATGATTACAGACTTCAGGGGATTTCATATCTAGGGTTTCATGATGTTTTATGTACAGTATTATTCCTTAATACGGTATTATTCCTACTGAGTTCCCAGGAAATAATTTTCATCATCAATAATATGGTTTAAAAGTTCATACCATTCACAATATCCATGTCAAAAGACTTTCAGTCTTCTTTTTATATATACAAATAGAACTGTAGACAGTCACATCTCTCCAGGCTCATGCCCAACTGAAACTTCCATTACAATGAAGAGACAGAACAGGAAAGGGACTTCTGGTACCATTTATTTCCCTGTGACAATAAAAAAAAACTGCTGTATCACAGCTTGGAGAATACACAGTCATCACTAAGTGTTAAAACAACTGCATAAGTCAAAAGCAAGTGATTTTTCCCAGAAAAAAAAATGTTTCTCCTGTGACCCCTTTTCTTCCTCTGTCAAAAAATACCATACATAAAATCTCCCCCTAAAGTCAGGAAGCACCCAATGCCATGTGGCAGACACAAGTGTTGTGAGCACAGCACAGTGGGATGAGGCCACAGTCTCCAGTTCATTCCCTGCGCAGGCTAGGCGCACAGGTCACCCTGATTTATAACTCCTCTCGAAAACCTTTCTGTGTCTCCTGCCTGGCTTTGTCTTCGTCACTGGGTGCCAACCATGTGAAATACACCTTCACTGGATCGATGTTCCAGTGTTTGTGGAACGATATGGGAACTTGATGAGAAAGGTAGTCCTTAGGGTAATCCACCGGCCGAGCCTGCAGGAAAAATAGAGAGTTAGGCTTCCTTGTTGATTGAATATAATTTTGCTGCAGAAGAGCATTTGAATTTATAAAGTGGACTGCTTTACTTCACTACCTAACATTGGCTATAGGAATCTAAAAGCAAAAAGGAAACTATTTTCTGATATCTTTCTTCTAACTCCAGGTGCTTTGCTTTTGTGTCTCCAATTACCTTAATACCCCAAATGCACTGCTTTTTGCTTCTATGTTCCATAGTCTTGCCTCTGGGAGATTCCTAAACAATAGTAATAAATACAAAAAGCTTTCTTTGATAAGCCATTTAAGTTACTATTATCACTTCTGCACAAAGACAGAAAAACTGTTATGTTCCAGGTACTTCTAAGGAAACTGGCCGTAAGTTTGTTGTGGGGGGCTGGGACAAGGATTTCTCAGATTTCCCTTGGCCTCTCTACTGCTCTAATGTGTAATTAGGTGATGTCATTCGAAGAAAGAAAACAAGGAGCTCACTCGGGAGGAGGATAATGTAACTCATGCTCTCTTCCTGACCAAATATCTAGTCTAGTTCCAGAGGTGTAAATGAGAATTGCAAGTAACCCGAAATAGTTTGTGAAAGGACCTAAAAAGTTTTTATATTATCTACATTGCAAAATTTTTTAGAAGTTAGAAAATAAAACTTAAGCAGAACTAGATACAGGTTAGAATAAGATTGAAGAAGTAGCATATAGGGTTAGAAGGAAACTGAAATCAGATACTATTTTGTTTTCTCTAAGCAAAGTATCCAGTTTCTCTCGGTAAACCTTTTTTTTTTTTTTTTTTTTTTTTTGAGATGGAGTTTCACTCTGCTGCCCAGGCTGGAGTGCAGTGGGGCAATCTCAGCTTACTGCAACCTCTGCCTCCCGGGTTCAAGCGATTCTCCGGCCTCAGCCTCCCAAGTAGCTGGGATTACAGGCATGCACTACCATGCCTGGCTAATTTTTGTATTTAGTGGAGACGGGGGTTTCACCATGTTAGCCAGCCTGGTCTCGAACCCCTGACCTCAGGTGATCCACCTACCTTGGCCTCCCAAAGTGCTGAGGTTGCAGGCGTGAGCCACTTTGCCCAGCCAGTAATCATCTTAAATTTGTTTATTAATTTATATGGGCCACTGTTTTATAAAGTAACTCATTAGGTCATCAATACTAAAATTGTCTTGACTACTAAAACTAGATGTGATGCATTTTAAAAACAAGTCTTTTGTAGGCTACTTTTTTTATTACAGTCTGCCTAAATCTTTGATATGAATACTTAAACTCACTTAAATGGTTTACAGAATACCTTTGTTAAATTTTGCCTTATTGAATCCTAGAAACAGCCTTATAAAATGGACAGAATATTATGGTTCACTTCCAATTTACCGCTGAGAAAACCAGAGCTCCCAGAAGTAACATGACTAGCAAACACTGGAATAGAGACCAGAGAGAGGTGCTCAGCCCAGGGCCAGTGCTCTGCCAGGACACCGGCTGCCTCTGCTCAAGCCATCTTACCGCCGGTTGGGCACACTCAGCAGCACCTGGCCTAACCTAGCTTCACCAGTACAAATATACTGCTCAGATGAGTGTTCCAACAATAATATCTGCGAAGAAAAGTTCAAAATAATCTAAGGGGAGAACTTTCACAATTGCTATTTTTAAGAAATTATAACTGCTCAGGGAGTTAAAAATCTAAAAGGAATTTTAAAAGGAAAAAACAGTGAGACAGACAAAAAATACACACTGGAATACAGTCTAACAGAGTTGGGAAAGTTTTGAATATTAGTTGAAGGAATTCATTTATTATACGACGTTTCTTTGCAAGGCCCTCTGAGAGTTTACTGGCAAGGAAGAAAACCAAGGAGAAACATCCTCTCAATTCCGTTAGAAGATAATTCCACAATGATCCCAGAAGAAAGAAATACAGTAGTTCCCCCTTATCCATGGTTTCACTTTCTGAAGTGTCAGTGTCCCACAGTCAATTTTAGTCTGAAAATATTAAATGGAAAATTCCAGAAATACACAATTCCTAAGTTTTAAGTTGCGGGCCCTGCTGAGTATCAGGATGAAATCTGGGGTGTCCCACTCCATCCCGCACTGGGCATGAATCCTCCCTTTGTTCAGCATCTTCATGCTGTCTACACTCCCTGCCCCTGAGTCGCTAGAAGCCGCCTCATTATCCAGTCAACTGCAGCAGTATCACAGTGCTTGTGTTCAAGGAACCCTTATTTTACTTAAGAATAGCCTGAAGCAAGAGTAGTGATGCTGGCATATGGTTATAATTGCTCTATTTTATTATTAGTTATTGTTGTTAATCTCTTACTCTGCCTACTTTCTAAAGTAAACTTGATCATAGGTATGTAAAATATAAGAAAAAACATAGTATACGTAGGGTTCAGTATAGCCAAGGTTTCAAACATCCACTGGGGGGATTGTGGAATGTATCCCCTGTGGTTAAGGAAGGACTACTGTAAAAGCAATGGAAACAAATCCTTGCTGGTTTTTCACCTTTAAAAATGAACTGTTGAAGATAGAAATGCATCTAACAGGAAAAAAAATAAACCATAACATTTTCCACTCTATTAATGCAGATTCTAGAAGTGATTTGCTGCATCTCAGGGAGGCTATACATGCATTAAAAGAGCTGGCTTATTAAACATTACAATTTACTGGTCATTTTTGACAAATGAGGTAATGGAAAAGCATTAGACAAAACCAGAAAAGTGAAATACATCCAAAATGGTATCTTTAATACCAAGAACTCTATGCAGCCTCTAATAATCATATCTCTGTGCCCAAAATGTCAAGAGGAAATCCCAAACAGGCAGGATGAGGGGTGGTGAAGAACTTGAGGAACAGACACAGAGTGTGGTAGGCATCTGCATACAGGAAGAGAGAGGGGCTGAAACTGCCTAAGAAAGACCTACAGCCAGGTGTGGTGGCTCAGGCCTGTAATCCCAGCACTTTGGGAGGCCGAGGCAGGTGGATCACAAGGTCAGGAGATCGAGACCACCCTGGCTAACACATGAAATCCCGTCTCTACTAAAAATACAAAAAATTAGCCAGGCGGGTGGCACACACCTATAGTCCCAGCTACTTGGGAGGCTGAGGCAGGAGAATCGCTTGAACCCAGGAAGCAGAGGTTGCAGTGAGCCGAGATCATGCCACTGCATTCCAGCCTGGGTGACAGAGCAAGACTTCATCTCAAAAAAAAAAAAAAAAAAAAAAAAAAGGGAAAGACCTCCTACATTGGGCAAAATTAGAACCTTTCATCTGTAAATACTGGAGCACACTAAACAGGGCAGCAAATGGAGATTAAAATCACATTTCCTTAGACAAGTGCCTTTCTATAACTGTATTGAAAAATGATTTCCATCCCATACAGTTTACCCACCATAACGGTGGTCTAAAACTTTTCGGGAAATTTCCAGAGTTGAGCAACCACCAATCATTGCACACTGCCATGTCCATTAGTGGCACATAATTTTGGAAGAACAGAAAACCATATGCTCTAGGTGCTGTGCTTTCAACAAAGGGAAATACTAGATTTTCCCTGGAGTCCCCTTCTAAATCTGCGAATTCACAATAACTTTCTCTAAAAACAGAAGAAATGTGACGGCCCAGGCAATTTTGCATATGAGACTGCTTCCAAATGCCCACTCTGTCTCTAGCTCATCAGGATTCTTAAATTTTATCTCTTTGCCTCATATTTCTTTGTGAAGATGAACAAACACAGTTTGGATCAGTGTTTAAACACTATAAATGGAAAGCACTATCCAAATCGTTACCAAACTCTCTAAAAGAGGCTTAAGAATTGGAAGATACAGCATTATCTGTTGGGGAGGATAGGTTTTAAACATATTTTATGATTTTGGAAAAGTTTAAAATGTATGTGAATTAGAGAAATCAAGGGTTCTAAAGTGGGGGAAACAACAACCTTATTTTTAAAAAAATTATCTTCAAAGGACTTTTGCCTATAGATGATTTTCCTTCTTTTCTCCTTATCATTTTATTAGCTAATTTATTCTTCCCTAAATGAAAAGGGCTGCTACAAAAATCTAAGACCTGTCACACTAACCTTGATAAATTATTTCCCTTATACACTAACAGTTTTAATTACCCCTTTTATTGCGTGACTGAAACACCATGAGACAGAGCAAGAGAGGGAACCGCAGAGAATAACGCTTTCTTTCCTAAGTCATCCTAACACAATACACAGGCTTAAAGTGGGTAAGACCTCTCAAAGTCCTAAAGGACAAGTAAGTATCTTCTAACTGACACCAGGAAGGAGGTTTCTCATACATTTCCTTATATTAAAGGTCTCTTTTTATCCTCTCTTATTGTCTCAAGGATACAGAAATGGATTCTGCCTTTCCTGATGATGCAAACACTTTCTTAGTCTTATTCGAGTTGTTTTCTATAGTATACTATTTCTGTCATGCTAAGTTTTCTATATTGCTATGATAATGTTTGCTACTGGTTACCAAATAAATAGAGCATGGGCCAGGTGCAGTGGCTCACATCTGTAATCCTGGCACTTTGGGAAGTCGAGGTGGGAGGATCGCTTGAGTCCAGCAGTTTGAAACCAGTCTGGGCAACATAGTAAGACCCCCATCTCTATAAAAAACTTTAAAAATTAGCCAGGCATGGCGGTGTGCGCCTGTAGTCCCAGATACTTGGGAGACTAAGGCAAGAGGATCATTTGAACCCACGAGATCAAGTCTGCAGTGAGCCACGTTGCAGTGAGCAAGACCCTATCTCAAAATAAATAAATAAATAAAAATAAATAAATAAGGCATAAAAAAAGTATTTTCAATATAAGAGAAGGCATCTAAAATACTTATGCATACACACTTCAAGTTTCAAAAACTTTAAATTTCTTGAGGAGGATATTAGATGGGTATGGATCTATGGTTATTTTTAGTTTGTGAACAACTGCTATTATTCTTAAAAGAAAATTCACTGACTTGGTTCTTAAAAGATACTAAACATAATGCAGGAGGATTTCCTTCTCCAACCCCCAAACTGCAATATGGGGAGGCTAAAAGCACTACCCGTCCCTGGTAAACATAAGCTCATCTCTTCTTTTCCATAACCCTCAGAATATATGCTTATTGAGATACCCATTTGCAACTTAATAGATTTTAGCCATTCATTTTAATGGCAAGTGAAGGAGAAAAAGCTCAGTGAAAAGACAGATAGCGTAAAAACTGAGGATGGTGTAGAATTACATAGACTCAGTGGCCAGTAGGACAATATTAGGTCAGTCCTATATATTTCTAGGCAGTATCCAATAATTTTTAAATGCTACCAATCCTTTTAACTAAAAAGATAAACCAAAAAACAGCTTTTCCCTGGTCCTACATGGCGAGGATCCTGGTCAAACGCCACTTGGTTTTCGAGACGTTTTTGCCTCCCATCTTCATGACGTACATGAGACAGTGTGTACATCAAACAGGGTAACAGTCCTGGTTAAGGACATTCCCCTGGAGCCTGTCAACACAGTTCTTAGTCTGTTTCCCGAATATGTGAAGAGAAAGAAGTCAAATCCTTAAGTGAGAAGAATCTGTCCCTCACCTGCCATGAGGGAAGAATAAAAACCATTTCCTCACCTGATGGAAGAGAGGGCTGTGTGTCACAGGGATTCCCAAGCCACTAAAGCACATTCCCAGGACCATATCATCGGGAGCATCATTGCTGTAGCATCGACATTTACTGGCGAGAAGTCTCCTGACGGCTTCTCTGCTGAAGACCATTCTAGTGGGAGCCAGAGCAGAGAAAGGGGTTAGAGAAGCTCCACAGACACCGCTGCTGCACAAATGGGCCCCGGGAAACAGGACTTTACTCCTGCAGACTGAGAGGCAATAGTAGCTTTCTCTAGTTACTGAGCTCTAGGTAAAACCCTACCTGTTCTCTTTTAGTCTTCTGGCCCTTTCCAACACTTTTGTACCAAGTTCCCAAAATAATTTCTCTTCGTTTTAAAATACAGATTGGTTTCTTGTTTTCATTCTGATCCTAAGGTAGAAATGAATCTTTTCATACCATAAAAAGCTCAATAACTGAAAGGGCCGAAGGAAACAATATGGTTCATAAGTTCAGTCTCAATCATCAAAGACTTTCTTTAAGGCAAAACTATTTAAAATTCATCCATATAGTCCCACTGCCACATATAGGGCCTTGCCCACAGCACTCAATGGAAGTTTGATGCATCAAACAAGTGAGAACAAAGTCGCCTTTACAAAGACCTTCTTCCTGGGGGAGGAAACATTCTATGAATCAGTCTAGGAGGAAGGAAAAAAGGACAAAGAGCTTGAATCCCTGAATCAAAAATACTGATTCCACATGCTGGGCTCAATTCAGCAGTTTTACCTAATGCTAGTGGCCAACCCCCTCCTCCGTCCCCTGCAACAGTGCAGAACTCCCTCCCTGCCCTTGACTAGACAAGAGAATTTCTTTACTTAAGATGTTGTAACAAAATAGGAAGGTATAAAAAGAAAGTTCCTGTCAACTACAGAGAAAGGAAAACTGCAAGTCTGAAAACCCACCATAAATTGCCTTTCTCTTAGAAAGCCTGCTGTCCACAGTGAAACCTCCCTGGCCACATTTTTTGTGGCTGAGTGGAACTCCTACACCCAATCGGCCACGTTGGGCTCAAGCTACTGACTCCGGGAAAAGAGCACACATGAGAAGATGTGTTGACAGTAAATAGTAAAAATGCTTTTTTTCTTTTGTCAGCATCTAGTAAAATGAGAAAAAATGAGAAAGACTTTCATTTTTTTGATCCGCTCTCTGAAAAACTAACTTTATAGGAAGATGAAACGTGAGCATGAAATTTTAATATGTAATTATTTTATACTTTTGCCTACTCACACAGTCTTACATTAATTATTTGCATAAACTAAGTGAATATGAGCCGTTAATAACACTTGTTTATTAGCATGCTGATGAGTTCTTTCCAAATAAGGTTGCTCCCCAAAATGGAAAACTACCAGTCATATCATCGTGGGAAAGAACACTTGTCTGCTCTGGCCACCAACTATTAAACATTAAAAAGATGTTGAAAGGCTACAGGATTATTTTATTTCCTTCAATATACAATATACAAATGTTTAAAATAAGAAAAACTGAAATGGGAGTCTGGGACTTGCCCAAGAACACAGTGCAGATCAAGACGATGTAGGAAGGGAACATGCATGAGAAACATGCCTGCCCTTCCTGGCCTTCAGCCAATAAATAGGTCATGGCAGTCTCTCTGGGTAACACTGCCTGCGGCCTCTTCCGAGGACATTGCCCAACATCTTATTCTGGTGTAGTCATTTGCTCCCAAGGCTGCCAAAAAGGCTGATGATAGATAGCCTAAGCACAGCTTCCTACCTAAATGCACATATGTAAATAAGTATTTTCAAAAAGAAATGGTCAAAACATCACATGTTCTCACCTATAAGTAGGAGCTAAGTTATGAGGATGCAAAGGCATAAGAATGATACAATGAACTTTGGGAACTCGGAAGAGGGGTGGGGATGAGGGATAAAAGACTACACACTGGACACAGCGTACACTACTTGGGTGACAGGTGCACCAAAATATCAGAAATCACCACTAAAGAACTCATTCATATAACCAAACACCTCCTGCCCCTCAAAAGCCTGTTGAAATAATAAAAAAAAAATGGTCATTCAATTTATTTTCTCCAAGTACCAAAACTTTCATGGAGTAAGCAACAAAGTGAAAAACAGACACTTGGATTCAAATAGTACAAAGGTCTCATGCTCCAAACAACGCAAAATACCTACACAGAAACCACAGGAACCTACATGTCTGACTCGGCTCTGTCAAAACATCCTTACCTAAGATGGATGGTTTAAGGTAGTGGTTTTCAAAAACTTACTGGACTGTGACCCGCCATCAGAAAACAAGAAATTAATTTCACATTGCAACCATTTATATGTTTCATGTGTGAGTGTGCATGGGTATGTATAAAGCTGAAACAAAAATGTCACAAACAATACTTACCCTTATGACATGGAATGCACTCTGATATTTTCCATTTTATTCTATTCCACTCAATAGTTCATTAATTTAAAATGCTAGTCATGGTCCATGAATTGGTTTTACAAGCCACTGATTCTGACTTGCTGTTAAAAGGCATATTGGTTCTCAAGCTAGAGCATCAGAAAATTCTGCTGTAATACTAGAGAAACTATTCAACATTATGTCTTACAGCTTTTATCAAAGGTTGATGTAAGAGACAATCTCATGACGAATGTTCCTGCATCTTTGTAAAAGCGCTATTAAAGACAGAACATCACATTGGTCAATGTTAGCTATATAAAGATCAGTGCCTTGTGTTCATGGATTTGTTTATTCATTTATTCACTGTACCTTGAAAAACATGAGTCCCTATGCTAAGAAGCGAGGAAATAACGAGAAATGAAACACACAGGTGTTGCCTTCAAATAATGCATAATTTAAGTGGAAAATAGAAAAGTAAATAGGCAATTAAATGATAATGGTTTGCATAATATGCTATGAAAGTACATTAGAAATGCATTAAACCCAGATTTGAGAGGCTAGATTGGGCTAAAGGCATTCAAGAGTAAATGGTGATAGCTATGGTGAGTCCAAAAGAACAAGGAGGAACTAGACAGGCAGAAAGTTGGGGAAACAATGGTATGCAGAGACCAGCGAATGTCGTATCTTGGGAGGAGAGGAAAAAAATAGTGCTTCAGAGAAACTGAAACAAGTTCAGCAAGAGTTCTTTAAGATAAGGGTGTAGATGGATGAGGCTAGAAAGGTAAAACAGCATCTGCCAAGATCATGAGAGGTCTTATAAGCCTTGGAGTGCAGACTTGATCCTAAAGGCAATGGGAGAAGTTCTACTGCCAGTTAGGATATCAGAAGATGCAAAAGACTTTCATGCCATGGTAACACTCAAATAAAAATATTCAAATAACAGGAAAATCATATGTAATTATGAAATTGAAGAGAGGTGAATGACACGAAGCCTAGATGAATGAATTTCTAGAGAGAAAAATCCTTGCTAGGGGAGTAGCAAGACAGCCATGGCAGCTTTCAGCGGCAAACTGGGCCTGGTAAGTGGGTAGAAGACAAAACTTTTCTTGGGCTTTCGGGCCCAAAGCAGTGGCCTCAGCAACACCCAGGGAGGCTGGTAATCAGGCAAACTAGAGAAGATTAAATTGAGGACTCATCCCAGATCAACTTGACTCTTGTTAAAATCTAAATGATCATCTCTTTGTCTTAGATGTCAAAAGTAGAAAAAGGTTCACACTCTTGGAGAAAAGACAATGAGAAGCCACTGAGGGCCTCTGAGCAGAGGGGAGACAGGACCAGATCTGCTTTTAGAAAGGTCCCTTTGACTACAGTGTGGACAACAGCATGGAGTGGAGTTTAAGACCAAAAAGTAGGGGGAACAGGAGGCTGTGGCAGGAGCTCATATAGGATATGACAGTGACCTGGCTGAGATTACTGGAGGTAGAGAGAAGTATTGATGGAAGAGAGATTTAGGAAATAAAATGGACAGGACTGGGTGATTCAGTTGATTGCAGGGAGTGGGGAAAGAAGGAAAGAAAGGGTGAGAGCTGACTCACAGACTCCTGGGATAAGAACTCATATATGCCAATGTTTTCCCTGAGAGGGGGACATTGGAAGAACAAATCAGGGGTTACGGTCAGAAATGACAAGGTGTTGAGTGTGATGTGTCTGTCAATCAGTCAAGTGGAGATGCCCTTTGAATCTATGAATCCAGAGGCCAGCAGAGTTCTAGGCTGGAGAAAGAGTTCTGGGTACATTCAGCATCAAGCCATAAGATCACCCAGGGACAATACAGGGTGAGAAGGAGGACTAGAAAAGATGCCTGAGTAACACAAGACATTGAAGGGATAGACAGAAACAACTGAGAAGGAATGACCAGAAAGAAGGATGAACAAGGATAGGATGGCGCTCTGGAAAGCAAGAGAAAGGGGTGTTTCAGGTCAACAGTCACTGGTGTTAAAGGCTGTCAGTGAAACAGGATAAAAATTGGAAATTATTAATTTGATTTAGCGACAGCAAGGTTGCTGGAAACCTTGGTGAGGTAGTTTAGGAGGCTGGGAGTTTATGACTCTTAGAAGGCTGAGCATGGAGCTGAGAAAATGGAGATAGAGTAGTGAACTCAAGATGTTCCGCAGGGTAGGAAGGAGAAGGCATGGTGGTGGTGAGAAGTTTTAAGACAGAAAAACTAGAGGTGGTGGGAAGTACCCAGGGGCAGGGTAGACGCTGAGCACAGAAGTTAAAGGTGCCACCTTGGTGGTCTAGCACAGCCTGCCAGGGGCAAGGGAAGGGGGAGCAGTGACAATTATGCAATGTATTTGCAAATCTGGCACTGGCCTGTGAGGTCCTGTGGGGAAGGGGCTGTGCAGCTTTCATCTGTGCATTCCCTGTGCCTGGCCCACACAAGGCCAGTTGAACGAATAAACAACCAACTGGGATGATGAAAGGCAATTCTAGATAGGTAAGGTAAAGTGAGGTTTCAGAAGGCCTTGAGTGCCAGTCTTGGAAACAACAGCTAAATCCAATATGCAATGAAGACAACAAAATGGTTTTCTTGCAGAAATCATATAACAAGTCACTTCTGTGTTAAAAATATTATATGAACGCCATCATGCTATAAAGTATATAAACCCATATACAAATAACAGGGCCACTTTCAAAGTGGAACATCCTGGCTCAATGGGTGCCATGTTCTGATCCTTAATTGGCCCTAACTCTTCACCCAGAAAGCCCGATGCATTACAGTAAGGCCGCAAATAGCTTGAACCTTTTTTGATAAGGAGGTCAACACTCCTTGGGCTTACTCTAGTGTCTTTTCAAAGGCCTCCCTGGACTCCCCCTCCTGTTGTTAATGACCTCAGGTAGATGCAAGCCATCGTCTAACAAAGATCAGCACACATGCTCAGGTTTGGTTATCACTACAAAAGAGCCACCACCATAACCGTGTTATCTTCACCACTGTATTGGCTAAACAAAATCAGGATGCCTGTAGTACGACTGTTGAGATCCTGCAGGTTCCTGTAGGAATTGTTCCAATCTAGGGAATTGCAAAGTAGGAATTAAAGGTCCTAGCCCTCCAGAAGTGTATAATCCATTAGATTATAAACTAGAATGCTGCCTGGAACACAGAAGACATGCAACAAATATCTACTGAGTGAATTTAAATGACTACCGTTGATAAGATTTTGCCTACACGCACCAATAGTAAGACTACAGAAGTAATAGGGAAAACTGCTTAATTGATTTACCCATATAAATCAAGTTAAAATCTTTCTTCGTATGAGATTAGGCAGATGCTTCATTTAAAACACTGATTTTTAACTGTTATTTAAAACCTATAAATCCTACATAAATATTACTTAATTGCCTAAGTAAGCTTCTATACTACACTTTCTCCAAAGGCGATTTATTAAGCATTACATAATTTAATAGTCTAATGGCTTATTCTCTGAGATTAAAATCTATAACCAATTTTTTTTTTCCATTTAAATAGACAATCAAAACTAGTTGGCTGTCTAGAAGCAACCATTGTTAGGGACATTCTAGCAAGTATGACATACTTTTTTATATCATTTCTTCAAGGGCTAAAATATTCTTTACTGAGTGTTCTTTTAATATTTAGCAAATATAATGTTCACTTTCCTATTATAGTAACAACCACCATTCACAGAGTACTCACGTACAGTATAGATCCCAGTGCCAGAGACCTACCTCTCGTGTGGAAAGGGAAGTTTATGTTTAAAGTAGTTGAAGAAAGCTGTGATCATAGTTACCCTCCTCCTCCCGTGATGTAGCTGTAGCCACCAGTGCCCAGGCCGTAGCCGTAGCGCTCTCCCAGAAACACAGGCTCGCCGGAGTCATAACAGCTAAGCAAGTGCTGGAGCCTGGAGATACTGAGATGCCAAAGGGAACACAAATCATGATTATTTGATTCAAACGTGGTTATGGAACAGTTTATGGTTCTTACATCCCACTCTGTATACTGTGTAATACTAAACTGAAATAGTTAAGAGAAGAAATTTGAGTGACTTATAAAATAAATAAAATTTTTAAACAACAACAAAAAAAGAAAAGAATGCATGAACACTGTACATTACTGGAAACAGAAGAGAAACTGAGACACAAGGGGCTTGTTCCTCAGTTTTTACAAGCCCCTGCCATAATACGGCTGCCTGATTTGTGTGGTGAGAGTGGCAGGTTACTGAAGTGAAGTTGGCCAGTGTGCTCTAGATCTTATTTCTACCAGTCCTGTTTTCAAGTGAGTGTGAACTAATCCTCACATCTTTTCAGATGAACTTGGTATTTAACAAAAAAATTCCTGATGGCCTAAAAAGGAGCCACTGAGATGCAAATGCATGTTGGGCCCCTGGCTGGCAGGTGGGGAAGAGAATTTGGGCAGTGAGGCTATCCTAGAAATCCTCAGATAATGAGGCACAACCATGCTCGTTTCCCTCAATAAGGCCACCCAAGTCTGAGAACTTTTTGTGTCTAATTGCTTATACTTTTGAATACCTTTTGGCCCCTATCTGCCTTTAACACACATTACCAACAACAGCTTACAAAGGGCAGTGTATTAGTCTGGGTTCTCTAAAGTAAGACTATCCGTGAGTTGGTCATAAAAATGCCTGCAACTGCAGCTGCTGTTTGGATGAAAACAATGAATTTATAGGAAAATAAAATCGAAAAATAACTTTTTTAAGTAGACACAAAGGGTAGTACTAAGAAAGCCTATTTTTTCTATGTTTTAAGAACCTACACCAATTAGAAACGTCCCTTCCACCTATAAGCCTGCAAAATCAAAAGCAAGTTAGTTACTTGTAAGATACAATGGGGATACAGGGGGTAAATATTCCTGTTCCAAATGTGAGAAAATGGCCAAAACAAAGGGGCCACAGGCCCCATGCAAGTGCAAAACCTGGCCAGGCAATCATTAAATATTAAACCTCCAAATGCGGTGAGTCAAGATCGTGCCATTGCACTCCAGCCTGGGTGACAAGAGCGAAACTCCGTCTCAAAAAAAAAAAATTTATATATATATATATATATATATAAAACCTCCAAAATCTCCTTGATTCCATGTCTCACATCCAGGACATGCTGATGCAAGAGGTGGGCTCCCTAGGCCTTGGGCCCCACCCCTGTGGCTCTGCAGGGGACAGCCCCTGTGGCTGCTTTCACAGGCTGGTATTAAGTGCTTGCGGCTTTTCCAAGGTGCACAGAGGAAGCCGTCACTGGATTTACCATTCTGGGGTCTGGAAGATGGTGGCCCTCTTCTGAGTGCTCCACTAGGCAGTGTCCCAGTGGGGACTCTGTGTGGGGGCTCCAACCCCACATTTCCCTTCTGCACTGCCATAGCAGAAGTTCTTCATGAGGGCCCCAGCCCTGCAGCAGACTTCTGCCTGGACATCCAGGTATTTCCGTACATTCTCTGAAATCTAGGCAGAGGTTCCCAAACCTCAACTCTTGTCTTCTGTGTACCTGCAGGCCCAACACTACATGGAAGCTGCTAAAGCTTGGGGTTTGCACCCTCTGAAGCAAAAGCCAAGCTGTACCTTGGCCCCTTTTAGCCATGGCTGGAGCATCTGGGACACAGGGCACCAAGTCCTGAGGCTGCATAGAGCAGTGGGGCCCTGGGCCAGGCCCACGAAACCACTTTTACTCCTAGGCCTCTGGGCCTGTGATGAAAGGGGCAGCTGTGAAGATCTCTGACATGCCCTGGAGACATTTTCCCTATTGTCTTGGTATGAACATTCAGCTCCTTGTTACTTACACAAATTTCTGCAGCTGGCTTGAATTTCTCCCCAGAAAATGGGGTTTTCTTTTTCACCTCACAGTCAGGCTGCAAATTTTCCAAACCTTTATGCTCTGCTTCCCTTTTAATAAGTTCCAATTTCAAACCATCTCTGTGAATGAATATGACTGAATGCTTTCAGAATAAGCCAGGTCACCTCATGAATGCTTTGCTCCTTAGAAATTTCTTCCACCAGATACCCTAAATCACCTCTCTCAAGTTCAAGGCTCCACAGATCTCTAGGGCAGGGGCAAAATTCCACCAGTCTCTTTGCTAAAACGCAGCAAGAGTGACCTTTGCTCCAGTTCCCAATAAGTTCCTCATCTCCATCTGAAACCATCTCAGCCTGGACTTCATTGGTCAAAACTATTCTACAAGTTTCTAGGCAGTTCCAAACTTTCATTCATCTTCCTGTCTTCTTCTGAGCTCTCCAAACTGTTCCAACCTCTGCCTGTTACCCAGTTCCAAAGTCACTTCCACATATTTGAGTATCTTTTCAGCAACACCCCACTCCTGGTACCAATGTAATGCATTAGTCCATTTTTACGCTGCTGATAAAGGCATACTCAAGACTGGGAAGCAAACGAGGTTTAATTTAACTTACAGTTCCACCTTGTGGCTGGGGAGGTCTCACAATTATGGCAGAGGGCAAAAGGCATTTCTTACATGGTGGCAGCAAAAGACAATGAGAAAGAAGCAAAAGTGGAAACCCCTGATAAACCCATCAGATCTCATGAGTCTTATTCACTATCATGAGAACAGCACGGGAAAGACCAGCCCTCAGGATTCAATTACCTCCCACTGGGTCCCTCCCACAATATGTGGGAATTCTGGCAGATACAATTCGAGTTGAGATTTAGGTGCGGACACAGCCAAACCATATCATTCCACCCCTGCCCCCTCTCAAATATCATGTCCTCACATTTCAAAACCAATCATGCTTTCCCAACAGTCCCCAAAAGTCTTAACTCATTTCCACATTAGTTCAAAAGTCCATAGTCCAGTGTCTCATCTGAGACAAGACAAATCCCTTCCACCTATGAGCCTGTAAAATCAAAAGCAAGTTAGTTCTTCCTAGATACAATGGGGGTATAGGCATTGGGTAAATACAGCCATTCTGAATAGGAGAAATTGGCCAAAATGAAGAGGCCACAGGCCCCATTCAAGTCCAAAATCCAGTGGTACAGTCAAATCTTAAAGTTCCAAAAGGATCTCCTTTGACTCCATGTCTCACATCCAGGTAACACTGATGCAAGAGGTGGGTTCCCATGGTCTTTGGCAGCCCTTCTCCTGTGGCTTTGCAGAGTACAGCCTCCCTCCTGGCTGCTTTCACAGGCTGACATTGAGTGTCTGCGGCTCTTCCAGATGCATGGTGCAAGCTGTCAGTAGATCTACCATTCTGTGGTCTGGAGGACAGTGGCCCTCTTTTCACAGCTCCACTAGGTGGTGCCCCAGTAGGGACTCTGTGTGGGGGCTCTGACCTCATATTTCCCTTCCCCACTAGCATAGGTTCTCCATGAGGGCCGCTATCCTGCAGCAAACTTGCCTGGGCATCCAGGCATTTCCATACATCTTCTGAAATCTAGGCAGAGGTTCTCAAACCTTAATTCTTAACTTCTGTGTACCCGCAGGCTCAACACCACATGGAAGCTGCCAAGGCTTGGGGCTTCCACTCTCTGAAGTCACAGCCCAAGCTGTACTTTGGCCTCTTTTAGACACGGCTGGAGTGGCTGGGATGCACAGCACCAAGTCCCCAGACTGCACACAGCATGGGGACCCTGAGTCCAGCCCACGAAACAAACCACTTTTTCCTCCTGGGCCTCTGGGCCTGTGATGCGGAGGTAGGGGAGCAGGGGAAGGAGCTGCTGCGAAGGTCTCTGACATGACCTGGAGACATTTCCCCCATCTTGGGAATTAACATTCGGCTACTTGCTACTTACACAAATTTCTGCAGCCGGCTTGACTTTCTCCCCAGAAAATGGGTTTTTCTTTCCTATCGCGTAGTCAGGGTACACATTTTCTAAACTTTTATGCTCTGCTTCCCTTGTAAAACTGAATGCCTTTAACAGGATCCAAGTCAGCTCTTGAATGCTTTTCTGCTTAGAAATTTCTTCCACCACATACCCTAAATCATCTCTCTCGAGTTGAAAGTTTCACAAATCTCTAGGGCAGGGGCAAAATGCCACAAGTCTCTTTGCTAAAACACAGCAAGAATCACCTTTACTCCAGTTCCCAACAAGTTTCTCATTTCCATCTGACATCACCTCAACCTGTAGTTTATTGTCCATGACTATTAACATTTTGGGCAAAGCCATTCAACAAGTCTCTAGGCTAAAGTTCCAAACTTTCCCACATTTTCCTCTCTTCTTCTGAGCCCTGTCTCTAAATTATTCACCAAGATATCTTTTCTCACAGAGCAATAGTAACATTAACAGTTCTGGTCTCATTTTTTGGTGGGAGGGATGGGTAAGAACAAAACAAAGTACATGAAAAGATCACCTTTCCCATCCCCACTCATGAGTCTTATAAAAATACCCTAGCTAATAAAGCTAAAGCTGAAAGTGAAGAAAACGAATTTAATATATGAAAAGAAACTCTGACCAGTGACAAGTGTTGGTGCTCAAAGAGTTCACAAGACTTCCAATCAGGTTTATATCTGTCTGAAGGTCAAGGCCTCTGACAATGTTGATGGTTTCTGAGTGACTAGAAAATGTTCTTTGAACACTATCCTGTTTTCGGCACACAAAGTGACTCTAGGACTGCCTCGTAATAAGAGTGGTGTAAAAATCTGATCTGCTGTTCTCTACAAGAAGTTTGCTATTAACCTCTGCTATTTTATCATTGGTTTTGTTTAGTTTAGTTGCCAATGATTTTCTAACTTTTAATTCTTGTAGATAGAGCTGCTTATATTTTTCCAACTCAGTTTTATTAGTCTTATGGAAAGTTTTCATTTTTGAGAGTTCAGATTTCAGATCTTTCTCAGCTCCCTGCGACTTCTTATTGAAGCAACTTTATTCTCTCTTAACTAAGTTCTCTCAAGATGCTGCTTGTGTCTGCAAAGATAGATTTTCTTTTAACTTTTCTACTATATCTTGTTTACTCTTTCTTTGGTCTCTTTCTTGTACTAAATTTGTTTCCACATTCTTGTTGTACTAAATTTGTTTCCATATAAGTTTTGGGGCTTTCTATTTTTACTCTATAGTCAAGATAATCCCTCTTTTACAGACTTCTGCTTTCCAATGTATTTACTTACTTTATCTTATTCATTCTAATACATTTGCTTGATTTACTTCATTTGACACTGTGTTTGGCTTACACATAGAGTATCCTTGACATAAGTAACTTTATCTCAGAAAAAGACTCCATCTTACATTTCATTAGGCACTTTGCCAACAGAGGCCAGATGTTTTACTTGATCAATAAAGACTCTATTCAATCAAATGAGGACATAACCAAGCACATTCCTCCATTTTCAGTCCTCACCATAGGACTCTGTGGCCATAGAAAGAGCAAGACTTCAGCAGCTCAAACGGCCATCTTAACTGACAGTCTTGCTGTCACTTGTGATAAGCACCCGGCATTTGCCACTGAAGGCTCTGCCCACATCAAAGTCTTTTCCTTGCAAGATTGAGGGACTGCCTGCCCCAGACCAGGATATTCTTTTTGTCAATGTCTCTCTCCCTGGAGTGGTTCATTAACCCTTTTTCCTATCCCCTTTTCCTTGATGTTAAATGTTACTTTGTTATGGGAAGTTTAATCTATAAAATTATATATTAAGTATACTATTATGGTTTGCAATATTGACTGACTTGTGGAGTGACTTGAACCTGTGTGCCTATGGCTCTACTGACTGAAAAGGAAGTACTGAGAATCGATTCCTTGGGAACTCCATGTAGCTCATGGCTTTTGTGGCTGAAATAGTATCAGTAAAAGTCTGACATTGTGGAAAGACATAAAGACATGTGGACCTGGTTATCCCCGACCTGGTGCCATGCATGAGGGCTTAGGTTTCTTTGTACAGATTCTAAAACCAAGGTCTTTTCTCTGAGAGCATCTCTTGTATGATGGAGATCAATTTCTAGGCTACTGAATTTACTTTCAGCTTTACAAAGTGGTTGAGAAAGAATATGCTTATCTTTTAGGTTAGTTGCATCAAAATTAACTGTGTCCTACAAACAAAACTACTCATCTCTTGCTCTCAGGAAAGCAAGTTCTAGGTCTCTTATTGATGTGTGACAGATCAAAATCATGGAGAGCAGCAGCCAGTCTAGCATGGTACAATTCAACGCTGTATCCAGGATTTCCTTGCTGTGTTTACATTCTCCAGTTTAGAATTGAGCATTATATTCTTGCTGTCAGACTACTGAGCTGTCCACTGTCCTGGTGTGATATTATGATTATATATTGATATGGTTTGGCTGTGTAAAAATGGACTAATACATATATATTGGTTTACATCCAGAGTTCCTGGCTCTTAACTCCCATAGCCCTTGTTAGTCTTTTATTATAATGCTGGGTTGCTTTATTAGGCCTCAGGAGCAGATGTCAGGAAACAATCTCTCTCTCTGACCTTCTCCTGTTGACACAAGATTCTTTCAGTGCTGCTTCACCAGCCAGAAATCTCCACGGTTGGCCAGCTGCACCTCTGGCCGGGGCCTCACTCAGCTCTGGGCTTGCCACTAGACTTGCTCTGCCCATTAAGCCTGGCAGGCAATGCTTAGCTCATGTTATTGGCCCAGGTTCCACACCTGCTGTGGCTCTGTGCTCAGCCCATAGCTGGGCTGGGCATGCTGTGACTGGCTTCTGCCTTGGGTGCCAGCATCTGGACAAGGGGTGGGGGATGCAGCAGAGCCTGAAAACTTGGAGATGCCAGCAACTGCGGAGCCCCAAGGGGTGTTACCCTTTTGCTCAGGGAGTCCTAAGCTCTGAGCCCCCAGGAAGCATCACAGCTTGTTCCTGTTATAGCTCATTCATTCCTACCATCTGCATGCTTTCGTGAATGGGGGCATGTCCCAGCTCATTTGGTCCTGCCACCCCACTCCAGCCCGTGGCTCCTGGGCTGGCCCAGCCCCACCGCTGCCAGTTCCCATAATGTGGGGCAGCTGCCCAGCACCAGCAAAGGGTGGGAGGATTACAGTGTTACAGCTCTGGCTCAGGGAATCCTGAGGTCTAGGCCCCTAGAAGGGTTGCTGCTCTAGTGAACAGGAGTGTGTCACCACCCTCAGCTCAGTGAGCCAGCCAGGAAAGTGTTATAACCCTTTTCACTCCTACTGTTCAGCGGGTCCCAGGTTCTTGTCCCACATCCAAGAAGCATGAGGTTACACAGACACTGGAGAGTGAGCCAGGTGGAGGAGGGTTTTATTCAATGCAAGAACAGCTCTCAACACAAGACGGGACCCAAAGTGGGTAGCCCTCTGTATGAGAGGGTGCCCTAACTAAGGCAGGTAGTCCCAATATGTGGCTGAGTCTGGGGTTTTTATGGGCTCAGGATCGGGGAGTGTGTGCTGACTGGTCCATAGGCGGGCTTGGGAAAAGCACCATTTGATTAGCTAAAAGGCATCGAGGAAGTTCTCACTCCTGGCTGTGGACCCCACCCTGAGCTGATAGCCTGGCTTGAAGGTTGGGTTTCACTGGGGACCTGGCCGTTTCTGCCTAGGAATTTGTGTGCCTCTTGCCTCTATCAGTGTCCTTGTACCTGCCCAAGGTAGGAATTTAATCTGATTGTGGGTCAAAAGACTCTAATTCCAGAAAATGTCCTGCCCCATAACCTAGAGGAAGAAATACTACACAGAGAGGCCAAGAAAAGTCTGAATAAGGAGGTCTTTCTGGGTTTAGAACATGGGCTTCTTGTTCAATCACATTTTTAAATGGTTGTCAATCATGCCTATATAATGAAGCCTCCATAAAACCCCAAAAGGACAGGGTTTGAACAGTTCCTGGATAGCTAAACATGTGCAGATTCCTGGGGGTTGAGCACCCAAGTGGGGCAAGGAAGCTCCACACTCCTTCCCCCATACCTTGCCCTACACATCTCTTCATCTGCATCCTTGATAATATCCTTTAAAATAAACCAGTAAACCTAAGTGTTTCCCTGAGTTCTGTGAGCTGCTCCAGCAAATTAAAGGAACCCAAAGAAGGGGCTGTGGGAACCCCAACTTAAAGTCAGTCAGTCAGAAGATCTGGAGGTCTGGACTTATGACTGGTGTCTGGGGAAGCAGTCTTGGGGACTGAGCCGTCAACCTGTGGGATCTAAGGCTATCTCCAGGCAGATGGTGTCAGAACTGAATTGGAGGACACCCAGCAGGAAGAGGACTGCTTGTTTGCTGGGGAGAAGAAATTCCCACATATTTCAGGGTCACAGAAGTCTTCCTCATTGATTGTTGTGGTATAAGAACACAGAAAAAAATGTTCTGAGAGTTTTTCAGGAACAATTGATGTTAGTGAAGTGGGATTAGCTAGAATGGCTCAGGTTCAGAGAAACATTTGGTTTGAGAAGAGAAAGGATAAAAGCCTGGGGGATGAGAAACCCTTGATTCCTGGGTGGCCAAACAATCACCTGTGATATGAAGTCACAGTGCTCTGCTGAGTTACTAAAGGTAAAAGTTACCAATGGAATTTAGAGATGGAGAATTGGTTCACCGGATGCATAAGAAAATGCAAACTAATCAGAAAAAAGCAAACTATTCAATCCCTTGATTATTGTTATCTATACTAGCTAAAATAAAATTAAAAGAAAGTGCTGGGTTAGACCGTGACACTACATACACCAAACTTAGATTTCAGTGAGTCTAAGCTTCAGCCACTAGCCTCAGAACCATGGCACAAGGGAAAAATTATGCAGGAACAACAGAAAGTACCTCTGAGACCTGTGGTGACCTGTGGGAGAAGGGAAGAACCAAATAATTATTGAAACTAGAGGGTATGGTGTAAAGGAACTATTCCATTTTGTAGATCTGTATCATCCACCTCTTGAGGAACCTTTATAAAAATGGATTATGAGAATAACTAATTTAGGGGCAGTATCTTTGGTTTTGAATGCTGCAGAATGGAAGAGCATGTTTGGTTTGATGCAGGACCCACAACTCAATGCTGAACAATTGCACATGGGTGTACATAATCCAGACACACAGGAGGTTATTCCTGAGGGAACAGCAAGCCTGATGGACTGAATAAAAGCCACTGTAAGATCTGTTTACCCTGAGAAGGGGGACTGCCAGACTCCACCTATAAATGCCAAGTAGAACACCCCAAATTATGCAGCTGATACATTTCATCTGTAAGCCATGTGGGACTAGCTTTTTTTTTTGTTTTTTTTTTTTTAATTTTTTTTTTTTTATTATACTCTAAGTTTTAGGGTACATGTGCACATTGTGCAGGTTAGTTACATATGTATACATGTGCCATGCTGGTGCGCTGCACCCACTAATGTGTCATCTAGCATTAGGTATATCTCCCAATGCTATCCCTCCCCCCTCCCCCGACCCCACCACAGTCACCAGAGTGTGATATTCCCCTTCCTGTGTCCATGTGATCTCATTGTTCAATTCCCACCTATGAGTGAGAATATGCGGTGTTTGGTTTTTTGTTCTTGCGATAGTTTACTGAGAATGATGGTTTCCAATTTCATCCATGTCCCTACAAAGGACATGAACTCATCATTTTTTATGGCTGCATAGTATTCCATGGTGTATATGTGCCACATTTTCTTAATCCAGTCTATCATTGTTGGACATTTGGGTTGGTTCCAAGTCTTTGCTATTGTGAATAGTGCCGCAATAAACATACGTGTGCATGTGTCTTCATAGCAGCATGATTTATAGTCCTTTGGGTATATACCCAGTAATGGGATGGCTGGGTCAAATGGTATTTCTAGTTCTAGATCCCTGAGGAATCGCCACACTGACTTCCACAATGGTTGAACTAGTTTACAGTCCCACCAACAGTGTAAAAGTGTTCCTATTTCTCCACATCCTCTCCAGCACCTGTTGTTTCCTGACTTTTTAATGATTGCCATTCTAACTGGTGTGAGATGATATCTCATAGTGGTTTTGATTTGCATTTCTCTGATGGCCAGTGATGATGAGCATTTCTTCATGTGTTTTTTGGCTGCATAAATGTCTTCTTTTGAGAAGTGTCTGTTCATGTCCTTCGCCCACTTTTTGATGGGGTTGTTTGTTTTTTTCTTGTAAATTTGTTTGAGTTCATTGTAGATTCTGGATATTAGCCCTTTGTCAGATGAGTAGGTTGCGAAAATTTTCTCCCATGTTGTAGGTTGCCTGTTCACTCTGATGGTAGTTTCTTTTGCTGTGCAGAAGCTCTTGAGTTTAATTAGATCCCATTTGTCAATTTTGGCTTTTGTTGCCATTGCTTTTGGTGTTTTGGACATGAAGTCCTTGCCCACGCCTATGTCCTGAATGGTAATGCCTAGGTTTTCTTCTAGGGTTTTTATGGTTTTAGGTCTAACGTTTAAATCTTTAATCCATCTTGAATTGATTTTTGTATAAGGTGTAAGGAAGGGATCCAGTTTCAGCTTTCTACATATGGCTAGCCAGTTTTCCCAGCACCATTTGTTAAATAGGGAATCCTTTCCCCATTGCTTGTTTTTCTCAGGTTTGTCAAAGATCAGATAGTTGTAGATATGCGGCATTATTTCTGAGGGCTCTGTTCTGTTCCATTGATCTATATCTCTGTTTTGGTACCAGTACCATGCTGTTTTGGTTACTGTAGCCTTGTAGTATAGTTTGAAGTCAGGTAGTGTGATGCCTCCAGCTTTGTTCTTTTGGCTTAGGATTGACTTGGCGATGCGGGCCCTTTTTTGGTTCCATATGAACTTTAAAGTAGTTTTTTCCAATTCTGTGAAGAAAGTCATTGGTAGCTTGATGGGGATGGCATTGAATCTGTAAATTACCTTGGGCAGTATGGCCATTTTCACGATATTGATTCTTCCTACCCATGAGCATGGAATGTTCTTCCATTTGTTTATGTCCTCTTTTATTTCCTTGAGCAGTGGTTTGTAGTTCTCCTTGAAGAGGTCCTTCACATCCCTTGTAAGTTGGATTCCTAGGTATTTTATTCTCTTTGAAGTAATTGTGAATGGGAGTTCACTCATGATTTGGCTCTCTGTTTGTCTGTTGTTGGTGTATAAGAATGCTTGTGATTTTTGTACATTGATTTTGTATCCTGAGACTTCGCTGAAGTTGCTTATCAGCTTAAGGAGATTTTGGGCTGAGACGATGGGGTTTTCTAGATAAACAATCATGTCGTCTGCAAACAGGGACAATTTGACTTCCTCTTTTCCTAATTGAATACCCTTTATTTCCTTCTCCTGCCTGATTGCCCTGGCCAGAACTTCCAACAGTATGTTGAATAGGAGCGGTGAGAGAGGGCATCCCTGTCTTGTGCCAGTTTTCAAAGGGAATGCTTCCAGTTTTTGCCCATTCAGTATGATATTGGCTGTGGGTTTGTCATAGATAGCTCTTATTATTTTGAAATACGTCCCATCAATACCTAATTTATTGAGAGTTTTTAGCATGAAGGGTTGTTGAATTTTGTCAAAGGCTTTTTCTGCATCTATTGAGATAATCATGTGGTTTTTGTCTTTGGCTCTGTTTATATGCTGGATTACATTTATTGATTTGCGTATATTGAACCAGCCTTGCATCCCAGGGATGAAGCCCACTTGATCATGGTGGATAAGCTTTTTGATGTGCTGCTGGATTCGGTTTGCCAGTATTTTATTGAGGATTTTTGCATCAATGTTCATCAAGGATATTGGTCTAAAATTCTCTTTTTTGGTTGTGTCTCTGCCCGGCTTTGGTATCAGAATGATGCTGGCCTCATAAAATGAGTTAGGGAGGATTCCCTCTTTTTCTATTGATTGGAATAGTTTCAGAAGGAATGGTACCAGTTCCTCCTTGTACCTCTGGTAGAATTCGGCTGTGAATCCATCTGGTCCTGGACTCTTTTTGGTTGGTAAACTATTGATTATTGCCACAATTTCAGAGCCTGTTATTGGTCTATTCAGAGATTCAACTTCTTCCTGGTTTAGTCTTGGGAGAGTGTATGTGTCGAGGAATGTATCCATTTCTTCTAGATTTTCTAGTTTATTTGCATAGAGGTGTTTGTAGTATTCTCTGATGGTAGTTTGTATTTCTGTGGGATCGGTGGTGATATCCCCTTTATCATTTTTTATTGTGTCTATTTGATTCTTCTCTCTTTTTTTCTTTATTAGTCTTGCTAGCGGTCTATCAATTTTGTTGATCCTTTCAAAAAACCAGCTCCTGGATTCATTGATTTTTTGAAGGGTTTTTTGTGTCTCTATTTCCTTCCATTCTGCTCTGATTTTAGTTATTTCTTGCCTTCTGCTAGCTTTTGAATGTGTTTGCTCTTGCTTTTCTAGTTCTTTTAATTGTGATGTTAGGGTGTCAATTTTGGATCTTTCCTGCTTTCTCTTGTAGGCATTTAGTGCTATAAATTTCCCTCTACACACTGCTTTGAATGCGTCCCAGAGATTCTGGTATGTGGTGTCTTTGTTCTCGTTGGTTTCAAAGAACATCTTTATTTCTGCCTTCATTTCGTTATGTACCCAGTAGTCATTCAGGAGCAGGTTGTTCAGTTTCCATGTAGTTGAGCAGCTTTGAGTGAGATTCTTAATCCTGAGTTCTAGTTTGATTGCACTGTGGTCTGAGAGATAGTTTGTTATAATTTCTGTTCTTTTACATTTGCTGAGGAGAGCTTTACTTCCAACTATGTGGTCAATTTTGGAATAGGTGTGGTGTGGTGCTGAAAAAAATGTATATTCTGTTGATTTGGGGTGGAGAGTTCTGTAGATGTCTATTAGGTCTGCTTGGTGCAGAGCTGAGTTCAATTCCTGGGTATCCTTGTTGACTTTCTGTCTCGTTGATCTGTCTAATGTTGACAGTGGGGTGTTAAAGTCTCCCATTATTAATGTGTGGGAGTCTAAGTCTCTTTGTAGGTCACTGAGGACTTGCTTTATGAATCTGGGTGCTCCTGTATTGGGTGCATAAATATTTAGGATAGTTAGCTCCTCTTGTTGAATTGATCCCTTTACCATTAGGTAATGGCCTTCTTTGTCTCTTTTGATCTTTGTTGGTTTAAAGTCTGTTTTATCAGAGACTAGGATTGCAACCCCTGCCTTTTTTTGTTTTCCATTGGCTTGGTAGATCTTCCTCCATCCTTTTATTTTGAGCCTATGTGTGTCTCTGCACGTGAGATAGGTTTCCTGAATACAGCACACTGATGGGTCTTGACTCTTTATCCAACTTGCCAGTCTGTGTCTTTTAATTGCAGAATTTAGTCAATTTATATTTAAAGTTAATATTGTTATGTGTGAATTTGATCCTGTCATTATGATGTTAGCTGGTGATTTTGCTCATTAGTTGATGCAGTTTCTTCCTAGTCTCGATGGTCTTTACATTTTGGCATGATTTTGCAGCGGCTGGTACCGGTTGTTCCTTTCCATGTTTAGCGCTTCCTTCAGGAGCTCTTTTAGGGCAGGCCTGGTGGCGACAAAATCTCTCAGCATTTGCTTGTCTATAAAGTATTTTATTTCTCCTTCACTTATGAAGCTTAGTTTGGCTGGATATGAAATTCTGGGTTGAAAATTCTTTTCTTTAAGAATGTTCAATATTGGCCCCCACTCTCTTCTGGCTTGTAGGGTTTCTGCCGAGAGATCCGCTGTTAGTCTGATGGGCTTTCCTTTGAGGGTAACCCGACCTTTCTCTCTGGCTGCCCTTAACATTTTTTCCTTCATTTCAACTTTGGTGAATCTGACAATTATGTGTCTTGGAGTTGCTCTTCTCGAGGAGTATCTTTGTGGCGTTCTCTGTATTTCCTGAATCTGAACGTTGGCCTGCCTTGCTAGATTGGGGAAGTTCTCCTGGATAATATCCTGCAGAGTGTTTTCCAACTTGGTTCCATTCTCCACATCACTTTCAGGTACACCAATCAGACGTAGATTTGGTCTTTTCACATAGTCCCATATTTCTTGGAGGCTTTGCTCATTTCTTTTTATTCTTTTTTCTCTAAACTTCCCTTCTCGCTTCATTTCATTCATTTCATCTTCCATTGCTGATACCCTTTCTTCCAGTTGATCGCATCGGCTCCTGAGGCTTCTGCATTCTTCACGTAGTTCTCGAGCCTTGGTTTTCAGCTCCATCAGCTCCTTTAAGCACTTCTCTGTATTGGTTATTCTAGTTATACATTCTTCTAAATTTTTTTCAAAGTTTTCAACTTCTTTGCCTTTGGTTTGAATGTCCTCCCGTAGCTCAGAGTAATTTGATCGTCTGAAGCCTTCTTCTCTCAGCTCGTCAAAATCATTCTCCATCCAGCTTTGTTCTGTTGCTGGTGAGGAACTGCGTTCCTTTGGAGGAGGAGAGGCACTCTGCGTTTTAGAGTTTCCAGTTTTTCTGTTCTGTTTTTTCCCCATCTTTGTGGTTTTATCTACTTTTGGTCTTTGATGATGGTGATGTACAGATGGGTTTTCGGTGTAGATGTCCTTTCTGGTTGTTAGTTTTCCTTCTAACAGACAGGACCCTCAGCTGCAGGTCTGTTGGAATACCCTGCCATGTGAGGTGTCAGTGTGCCCCTGCTGGGGGGTGCCTCCCAGTTAGGCTGCTCGGGGGTCAGGGGTCAGGGACCCACTTGAGGAGGCAGTCTGCCCGTTCTCAGATCTCCAGCTGAGTGCTGGGAGAACCACTGCTCTCTTCAAAGCTGTCAGACAGGGACACTTAAGTCTGCAGAGGTTACTGCTGTCTTTTTGTTTGTCTGTGCCCTGCCCCCAGAGGTGGAGCCTACAGAGGCAGGCAGGCCTCCTTGAGCTGTGGTGGGCTCCACCCAGTTCGAGCTTCCCGGCTGCTTTGTTTACCTAAGCAAGCCTGGGCAATGGCGGGCGCCCCTCCCCCAGCCCCGTTGCCGCCTTGCAGTTTGATCTCAGACTGCTGTGCTAGCAATCAGCGAGATTCCGTGGGCGTAGGACCCTCTGAGCCAGGTGTGGGATATCGTCTCGTGGTGCGCCGTTTCTTAAGCCGGTCTGAAAAGCGCAATATTCGGGTGGGAGTGACCCGATTTTCCAGGTGCGTCCGTCACCCCTTTCTTTGACTCGGAAAGGGAACTCCCTGACCCCTTGCGCTTCCCAGGTGAGGCAATGCCTCGCCCTGCTTCGGCTCGCGCACGGTGCGCACACACACTGGCCTGCGCCCACTGTCTGGCACTCCCTAGTGAGATGAACCCGGTACCTCAGATGGAAATGCAGAAATCACCCGTCTTCTGCGTCGCTCACGCTGGGAGCTGTAGACCGGAGCTGTTCCTATTCGGCCATCTTGGCTCCTCCCCGGGACTAGCTTTATGATAACTGGGATATTCACCCACTGAATATGACCGTTATCCAGGCCATGGTACATGTTGTTGTTAAAGGGGCCCATTTTGCATAGGCACCTCATATAAACTTACTGCTGCAAAACCAAGACAGTTCCAGAAGCCTTATCAAATTTGTGGTCTAAGCTTTACCTTGAGGTCTTACAGATGCTAATAAAGACATTAGGTTAATTAACAAGAAAATGATGAAGGGGAGAGGGGAGAGTCAAAGGACTCATCCTGGGAGGTGGAAATTTTTAAATGGTTTGTAAGAAATAAGATGAATACAGAAAACATTCATAGGAATGAAAGTAAGAGGAAAAAGAAAGGGGAGAGCCATGGGACTCACCCCAGGAGGGTGGACATATTTAGGTGGTTATTAAAAAATGGAATGAATAAAGTAGAAATTGATGGGGTTAAAACAAAAGTCTTAATACAACATTATTAAAGACTGAGTGGAGGAAAGGGACCCCTGGCTGATCTCTCAACATTTAAGGGCCCAAACCAGTTTGCTGCATTTCCCCCAGTTTGGAGAACTTTTAAAGACAAGAAGATAAAGATTAAAATGAGAAACCCCATCTATAATTACCTGTTAGACTGGTTAATCAAGGTAACAATTAAGAGAGAGGCCAGGGTCTCCTGGTGGGACTCCAGGCTGGGGACCCAAAGCCTTTTGCAGAAGAAAGGGTAAAATGATCTGGGGATGAAAAGGGGAAATTCCTGGGACTAGAACATAAAAGTGTAACGGTTGTTAGGATTATGAAAGCTGCCATATTTGAACATACTTCATGTGAAATGGTTTTATCTCTTTTACCTGACTGCATTATGGGAAGAGACATTTTATCTGACTGGGAAATGTTCCCCCTATCCAGTACTGTAAAACAGAAGATATGTAAATCCTTTGAGCAGTATTAATGGAACTTGCTAAAATTGGAACCAGTTAAGACTGCCCAGGCCCACATAGTGCAGAACAGAAACTGAAGAGCTGGTGGGGACAACTTCCCCATTTGATAGCCCCCTCTGCAGAGTACCTCCTGGGGCTTATGGCAAAGGTTTGTGAGTGCCTCCCAGCAATGACTACTAGGACTTTGAACTAGAGAATTTCCACTTGAAGGGCATTTACTTCCTTGCTACAGGACATTAACTGAGGCTACTCCTATGACTAAAGGACATAAAGTGATCTTGATGAAACCCCCTTTGCAAAGATTATGACAGTGAGAGAAATTTAGCTTGGCTGACTCCATCTTGCTTCTAGTCTCACAGGCTGGCTGTCTTCACTCATTCCTGGGCGTAGGTCAAGCTAATCATGGCAGGAATTTAGTTTATAGTTTAACTTGGAAGGAAGGATGCTAACAGTCTCTCCCTAAAACTAATCTCCTCCTTGCTCAGGGACCAAAAACTAATGAAAGACCACAAGATTAGGATCAGGGGAGGGGCCTGAACTTTGCTAAAGTGTATTTTTTATCATCCCTTACTGCTCAAGAATCATGTGGACAGAGGTCACAAGATTTGACACTTCCCCAATTGCTCCTATAGATAACGTTACTATTGTAGAACCTAAGATTGGTCTTTTGAGATGTTTTTCAGATTTTTGCCTTCTGGTAACCAACTGAACCCACTCAGACCCATGACTCATGACTCAACCAGTCCTGTGGTCCCCAACCAAAGCCAGATTCATTGTACAAGGACCGGTTTCCACATCCCTAGGACTTCATTCCCAACCCATCAGCAGTAACCATTCCCTAGCCCCCTGCCCACCCAATTATCCAAAAAACCCTAGTCTCTGAGTTCTCAGTGAGACTACTTTAAGTAATAACTCCAGTCCTTCCACTTGGCCAGTCTTGCATTAATTAAACTCTTTACTGCAATATTACAGTCTTAATGAACTGGTTTTATCTGTGCAGCAGGCAGGAAGAACACATCGGGCAATTACATTTATATCTGAAATGCCCATGCTGTTTTGGGTGATGTCAGAGGAACACTTTAGTAAGGGAGGCAATGCCCATTCCATTATCAAACAGAATTTATACATGATCGTGCTACCTGGGGAATGCAAGGAGGAGATCCTCACAAACAGAGGGACTCTTTTCCCCTAAAACTGACTCTGGAACTATGTGAGGAGCCACTGGATTCTACACTACCCTGTAAGCAGCTCTTGACTGACCAACCAAGAGCTACTTGGTTTGAGGATGGCAATTCAATACCAGGGTAAATGAATACCATCCTGTTTGGAAGTCTGCTATTTTGACCAAAGGAGGTAAAAACAAATAATCTCAGTGGGCTGTATTGGATGCATTTTCCTAACAGTAATGGAAGAATTGAACAGTGGTAGAAACACTTGTGTTTAGGATTTTACTAACTCATAGGCAGTGACCAATTGCCTGCCCATACAGTTAGGCAAGAGGGCAATGGATACTTGGCCTATTAAAAGGATGCCCATATGAAGCATGGCCCCATGGACATTTGAGGGGTGCATTAAAGTAGAACAAGTCAATGTCAATCAGAAGAGCCCCTTTCCAGGTTTGGAAGGTGAATGGAATTGACAAGCAGGTATCCCTGTGGACTTCCTTGAGGTGGTCACCTGGATCCATGAAATTAGTGGATATGGGGGTACGGCAGCAGGCAGAGATGGGCTGAATCTAGACATGTTCCTTTTGCATCCTCTCAGGCACAAAATGCCAATAAGAACTGTTCTCTCCACCAGAAAAAAAGGCAGAGACTGATAATGGCTATGGGGCAGATTCCCTGGTGCAAAGGTCCTAAACAAAGCTGGCAATACAGAGACTGGTGCTAGTGGCCCTATGGGGCTACAAATGGGTCTTGACAGGAATAGACAATGACTCTGGCATGGCTTTTGCTTACTCAGTGGAACATGCAAATACTCTGAGTACCATTAAAAAAACAACTAAACAGAAGATATTGCATGGATTTGTATGGCCAATCGTCATTTCTTCAGACCAAGGAACACACTGTACAGCCTATGATGTCCAACAATGGGCACAGAGATAGTCTCCTCAGAGTCATAGTTTGATAGATGAATAGAACAGGTAATTAAAACACTGGAAACATAAAAGGCTGGCTTACATGCCTTCAAGAGTGTGTGCTCATACTCAACATGAGTGGGACTAAAGGAGTCTGCCCACTAGATGTTCCTGTTTTTCTAAGGCTGGTCTGGAGAAGAAGGGGTGAAGAGGATGCTCGGGTGACTATGCAAATCTTGCCAAGGCAGGAGTACGTTGGAATAATGATCATTTTTTCTTTCTTCCCTAAATCAGATCACTAAAACCTTTTCTTTCCCTCCTACTTGACGTAGTGGCCCTAGGACCAGGCCTGCAACTGCCAGTGCTGGAAGCAGGGCTGATTTCTAAGCAAAAAACCATAACTATGTTTTTAAAGCTTATGTCAAAATTCCTTAGGGCCTGATGTGACTGTGTTGCTCCTTCACCCCGCTTAGCAAAGCTGGGGCTAAGAGTGAATGCAGCTATATTGCCTGGTGGTAAAAATAACCCACTAGCTTTGCACCTACATAACTTTACCCTATCTGCATGGGAGTAGGCTGAGGAGAAGGTACCTGCTAGACTAGCATTGTTGCCTGCAGTCTAAACCAGAACGGTAGTGATTCTGATGTCTCTTCCAAAGGTGGAAACATTTGGGTATTAACGGAGAGAAAGAGAAATAGTAGTTGAGGGTAAAGGAATGAATAATGGGTTATAAATTGAGGGAAATCCAACATTACATTAACACCTTGAAAGACCCTTAGAGAAACAGATGACATTGTCTCTCAGCTCAATTATAACAGATATCTAAAAAGGTAAAGCTATTTGTTTGCCAAGACCGCTCCAGCTTTGGAACCTGACAAGATTGAAGGGAAGCCTGCAAACCTGAGTGGACTCACTCTGGGAAACATTAATACAATATAGTGGACTAGACTAGTTATTAATGATGGAATGAGACTCTAATGTGGCAATATCTTTTGAGTTGTATGTTCTTTTGATGTAAGGTATCTGAAGAACGAGGGTAGGCTGTGATATTATGAAATATATATTTGGTTTTCATCACCCATTTGCTGACATACCAATCCTAAAATCTTTGGAACGTCCAAATTGCTATCTTTTTGTAGGCTAACGTATACCGACAGCTTCAAGATGGGACTGGTCACCAGAAAGGCAAAGGCATGATTAGAGAGTTGGGACTTTCAGTCCCACCCCCCAATCTCCTGGGAGGGGAAAGCAGCTGAAAGTCAAGTTGATCATCAGTGGCCAATGGTTTAATCAATCGTGGCTATATAATGAAGCCTTCATAAACCCCAAGAGAGCAGGCTTCAGAGAGCTTTAGAATATCTGAACATGTGGAGTTCCTGGAGGGCATGGAAGCTCCACACCCCTTCTCTCATACCTCACCCTACACATCTCTTCATCTGTATCTTTGTAATATCCTTTATAATAAACTGGTAAATGTGAGAAAGTATTTCCCTGAGTTCTGAGAGCCACTCTAGCAAATTAAATAAACCCACAGAGGAGGTTGTAAGAACCCCGACGTGAAGCTCATCAGTCAGAAGTTCTGGACGCCTGGACTTAATGACTGGTGTCTGGTGTATGGGGTGGTAGGGCAGTCTTGGGGACTGAGCCCTCAAACTGTGGGAATTGGCACTATCTCCAGGTAGACAGTGTTAAAATTGAATTAAAGGACACCCATTTGGTGTCCACTGCAGAACTGATTGATTGCTTGGTGGGTAGGAGAACTCTCCCTGCTCCACACTTTTGGTCACGGAAGTTGTCTTCTGTGTTGATGATTATTGCAGTGTGAGAACAGAGGGGAAAATAGCTCAGTTTTTTCCTAACCAACTAATCATTAGGGAAATGCAAATCAAAATTCACACCCACTAGAATAGCGACTATCAAAAAAAAAAAAAAAAAAACCCAGAAAATAATGGGGTTGACAAGGATGTGGAGAAACTGGAAACCTTGTGCACTTCTGGTAGGAATGTAAAATGGAACAACCTCTATGGGAAAACAGTGTGATGGTTCCATTATAAATAGAATTACCATATGATCTAGTCATTCAATTTCTGGGTGCATACCCACAACCCCATGTTGATGGAGTGTCCATCAACAGATGAATGGATAAGCAAAATATGGTCTATCCATACTGTATCCAAGGAATGTTATTCAGCCTTAAATAGGAAGGAAATTCTGCAATATGCTACAACACGGATAAATTTCGAAGACATTATGCTAAGTAAAATAAGCAAGTCACAAAAAAAAAAAACAAGTACTGTATGATTCCATTTATATGAGGTACTGAGAGTAGTCAAAATCATAGAGGCAGAAAATAGAATGATGGTTGCCAGGGGATGGGGTTAGGGGAGTATAGAGAGTTATTTTTTAATGGATATAGAGGTTCAGTTTTACAAGATGAAAAGAGTTATGCAGATGGCTGCACAACATTATGCATGTATTTAATACTACTAAACTGTATACTTAAAAATGGTTATGATGGTAAATTTGAAGTTGTGTGTACTTTACCACAATTAAAAAAAAAAGGAAAAAGAAACATATGGTGGATGAACCAGATGGTGATAAAAAAAAAATGTTACATAATTTTACAGTATTTCTCCATCATCTCTATTGAAAAATAGACCCTTCTTTTTCTTAGTATTTGATAATCTATACTAAGAGAAGACTAGTAGCTGTTATGAAATGAATGTTTGTGTTCCCCCCAAATTTTATCATATGTTGAAATCTAATCCCCAATATGAAGCTATTTAGAGGTGGGACCTTTTGGGAGGGTGAAGAGATCACGAGGGTGGAGACCTCATAAATGGGATTCATGCCCTTCTGAGAAGAGGCCACAGAGCTAGCTTGCTCTCTTTCCACCATTTGAAGATACAAGAAGTCAGCAGCCTGCAACCCAAGAGAGCCCTCACTAGAACCCAACCATGCTGGCACCCTGATCTCAGGCTTCTAGCCCTCCAGAACTATGAGAAATAATTATCAAACAAAACAAAACAAAACAGGAGATGGCTGGCAAGATGGCCAAATAGGAACAGCTCCGGTCTGCAGCTCCCAGTGAGATCAATGCAGAAGGCAGGTGATTTCTGCATTTCCAACTGAGGTACCTGGTGCATCTCATTGGGACTGGTTGGACAGTGGGTGGAGCCCACAGAGGGCGAGCAGAAACAGTGGGTGCGTCGCCTTACCTGGGAAGCACAAGGGGACGGGGAACTCCCTCACCTAGCCAAGAGAAGTCAAGAGGGACTGTGCTATGAGGAATGGTGCATTCCAGCCCAGATCCTACACTTGTCCCACGGTCTTCACAACCTGCAGACCAGGATATTCCCTCAGGTACCTATACCACCAGGTCCCTGGGTTTCACACACAAAACTGGGCAGCCATTTGGGCAGACATTGAGATAGCTGCAGGAGTTTTTTTATACCCCAGTGGTGCCTGGAATGCCAGTGAGACAGAACTGTTCACTCCCCTGGAAAGGGGGTTAAAGCAAGGGAGCCAAGTAGTCTAGCTCAGCGAACCCCACCCCCACGGAGCCCAGCAAGCTAAGATCCACTGGCTGGAAATCCTCGCTGCCAGCACAGCAGTCTGAAGTCCCCCTGGGATGCTCGAGCTTGGTGGGGGGAGGGGCATCTGCCATTACTGAGGCTTGAGTAGGCAGTTTTCCCCTCAGAGTATAAACAAAGCTGTCTAAAAGTTCTAACTGGGTGGAGGCCACCACAGCTAGGCAAAGCTGCTGTAGCCAGACTGCCTCTCTAGATTCCTCCTCTCTGGGCAGGGGATCTCTAAATGAAAGGCAGATGCCCAGTCAGGGGCTTATACATAAAACTCCCACCTCCCTGGGACAGAGCACCTGGGGGAAGGGGTGGCAGTGGGCACAGCTTCAGCAGACTTAAACGTTCATGCCTGCCGGCTCTGAAGAGAGCAGTGGATCTCCCAGCACAGCACTGGAGCTCTGCTAAGGGACAGACTCCCTCCTCAAGTGGGTCCCTGAACCCTGTGCCTCCTGACTGGGAGACACCTCCCAGGAGGGGCCGACAGACTCCTCATACAGCAGAGCTCCAGCTGACATCTGGCGCGTGCCCGTCTGGGACAAAGCTTCCAAAGGAAGGAAAAGGCAGCAATCTTTGCTGTTCTGCAGCCTCCACTGGTAATACCCAGGCAGATGGGGTCTGGAGTGAACGTCCAGCAAACTCGAGCAGACCTACAGTAGAGAGGCCTGACTGTTAGAAGGATAACTAACAAACAGAAAGGAATAGCATCAGCATCAAAAAAAAAGGACGTCCACACAAAACCCCATTCAAAGGTCACCAACATCAAAGACCAAAGGTGGATAAATCCACGAAGATGAGGAAAAACCAGTGCAAAATGGCTGAAAATTCCAAAAAAAAAACCAGAATGCCTCTTCTCCCAAGGATAACAACTCTTCACCAGCAAGGGAACAAAACTGGACAGAGAATGAGTATGACGAACTGACAGAAGTAGACTTCAGAAGGTGGGTAATAACAAACTCCTCCGAGTTAAAGGAGCATGTTCTAATCCAATGCAAGGAAGCTAAGAACCTTGAAAAAAGGTTAGACGAATTGCTAACTAGAATAACCAGTTTAGAGAAGAACAGAAATAACCTGATGGAGCTGAAAAACACAGCATGAGAACTTTGTGAAGCACACACAAGTATCAACAGCCTAATCGATCAAGTGGAAGAAAGGATAGCAAGGATTGAAGACCAACTTACTGAAATAAAGTGTGAAGACAAGATTAGAGAAAAAAGAATGAAAAATGAACAAAGCCTCCAAGAAATATGGGACTATGTGAAAAGACCAAATCTACGTTTGATTGCTGTACCTGAAAGTGATGGGGAGAATGGAACCAAGTTGGAAAACACTCTTCAGGATATTATCCAAGAGAACTTCCCCAACCTAGCAAGACAAGCTAACATTCAAACTCAGGAAATACAGAGAACACCACAAAGATACTCATCAGGAAGAGCAACCCTAAGACACATAATCGTCAGATTCACCAAGGTTGAAATGAAGGAAAAAATGTTAAAGGCAGCCAGAGAGAAACGTCGGGTCACCCACAAAGGGAAGTCCATCAGACAAACAGCGGATCTCCCAGCAGAAACCCTATAAGCCACAAGAAGAGAATGGGTGCCAATATTCAACATTCTTAAAGAAAAGAATTTTCAACCCAGAATTTCATATCCAGCCAAACTAAACTTCATAAGCGAAAGAGAAATAAAATCCTTTACAAACAAGCAAATGCTGAGAGATTTTGCCACCACAAGGCCTTCCTTACAAGAGCTCCTGAAGGAAGCACTAAATATGGAAAGGAAAAAGCGGTACCAGCCACTGCAAAAACATATCAAATTGTAAAGACCTTCGACACTATGAAGAAACTGCATCAACTAACTGGCAAAATAACCAGCTAGCATCATAATGACAGAATCAAATTCACACATAACAATATTAACCTTAAATGTAAATGGGCTAAATGCTCCATTTAAAAGACACAGACTGGCAAATTGGATAAAAGAGTCAAGACCCATTGGAGTGCTGTATTCAGGAGACTCATCTCATGTGCAAAGACACCCATAGGCTCAAAATAAAGGAATGGAGGAAGATTTATCAAGAAAATGGAAAGCAAAAAAAGAGAGCAAGGGTTGCAATCCTACTATCTGATAAAACAGATCTTTAAACCAACAAAGATCAAAAAAGACAAAGAAGGGCATTACATAATGGTAAAGGGATCAATGCAAAAAGAAGAGCTAACTATCCTAAATATATATGCACCCAATACCGGAGCATCCAGATTCATAAAGCAAGTTCTTAAAGACCTACAAAGAGACTTAGACTCCCACACAATAATAGTGGGAGGCTTTAACACCCCACTGTCAATATTAGACAGATCAACGAGACAGAAAATTAACAAGGATATTCAGGACTTGAACTCAGCTCTGGACCAAGCAGACCTAATAGACATCTACAGAACTCTCCACCCCAAATCAACAGAATATACATTCTTCACAGCACCACATCACACTTATTCTAAAACTGACCACATAATTGGAAGTAAAACACTCCTCAGCAAATGTAAAAGAACAGAAATCATAACAGTCTCTCAGACTACAGTGAAATCAAATTAGAACTTAGGATTTAAGAAACTCACTCAAAACCGCAAAACTGCATGGAAACTGAACAATGTGCTCCTGAATGACTATGGGTAAGTAATGAAATTTAGGCAGAAATAAGTTCTTTGGAACCAATGAGAACAAACACACAATGTACCAGAACCTCTGGGACACAGCTAAAGCAGTGTTTAGCGGGAAATTTATAGCACTAAATGCCCACAGGAGAGGGTGAGAAAGATCTAAAATTAACATCCTAACATCACAATTAAAAGAACTAGAGAAGAAAGAGCAGACAAAGTCAAAAGCTAGCAGAAGACAAGAAATAACTAAGATCAGAGCAGAACTGAAGGAGACAGAGACACAAAAAAACTCTAAAAAATCAATGAATCCAGGAGCTGGTTTTTTGAAAAGATTAACAAAATTGACTGCTAGCTAGACTAATAAAGAAAAAAAAAAGAGAGAAGAATAAAATAGAAACTATAAAAAATGATAAAGGGGATATAACCACTGATCCCACAGAAATACAAACTACCATCAGATAATACTATAAACACCTCTACACAAATAAACTAGAAAATCTAGAAGAAATGGATAAATTCCTGGACACCTACACCCTCCCAAGACTAAACCAGGAAGAGGTAAAATCCCTGAATAGACCAATAACAAGTTCTGAAATTGAGGCAATAATTAATAGCCTACCAACCAAACAAAGCCCAGAACCAGACAGACTCACAGCCGAATTCCACTAGAGATACAAAGAGGAGCTGGTACCACTCCTTCTGAAACTATTCCAAACAATAAAAAGAGAGGGAATCCTCCCTAACTCATTTTATAAGGCCAGCCTCATTCTGATACTAAAACCTGGCAGAGACACAAGAAAAAAAATTTCAGACCAATATCCCTGATGAACGTTGATGTGAAAATCCTCAGTAAAATACTGGCAAACCAAATCCAGCAGCACATCAAAAACCTTGTCTACCATGATCAAGTCAGCTTCATACCTGGGATGCAGGACGGGTTCAACACATGCAAAACAATAAATGTAATCCATTACATAAACAGAACCAATGACAAAAACCACATGATTATCTCAATAGATGCAAAAAGGCCTTCGATAAAATTCAACACCCCTTCATGCTAAAAACACCCAATAAACTAGGTATTGATGAAATGTATCTCAAAATAATAAGAGCTATTTATGACAAACCCACAGCCAATATCATACTGAATGGGCAAAAACTGGAAGCATTCCCTTTGAAAACTGGCAGAAGACAAGGATGCCCTCTCTCACCACTCCTATTCAACACAGTATTGGAAGTTCTGGCCAGGGCAATAAGGAAGAGAAAGAAATAATGGATATTCAAATAGGAAGAGAGGAAGTCAGATTGTCTCTGTTTGCAGATGACATGATCATATATTTAGAAAATCCATCATCTCAGCCCAAAATCTCCTTAAGCTGATAAGCAACTTCAGCAAAGTCTCAGGATACAAAATCAATGTGCGAAAATCACAAGCATTCCTATACACCAATAATAGAGAAGCAAATCACGAGTGAACTGCCATTCACAATTGCTACAACAAGAATAAAATACCTAGGAATCCAACTTACAAGGGATCTGAAAGACCTCTTCAAGGAGAACTACAAACCACTGCTCAGGAAATGAGAGGACACAAACAAATGAAAAAACATTCCATGGTCATGGATAGGAAGAATCAGTATTGTGAAAACGGCCATACTGACCAAAGTAATTTACAGATTCAATGCAATCCCCATCAAGCTACCATTGACTTTCTTCACAGAATTAGAAAAAACTATTTTAAATTTCATATGGAACAAAAAAAGACAATCCAAAGCAAAAAGAACAAAGCTGGAGGCATCAGGCTACCTGACTTCAAACTATACTACAAGGCCACAGTAACCAAAACAGCATGGTACTGGTACCAAAACAGATATACAGACCAATGGAATAGAACAGAGGCCTCAGAAATAATGCCACACATCTACAACCATCAGATCTTTGACAAACCTGACGAAAACAAGCAATGGGGAAAGGATTCTCTATTTAATAAGTGGTGTTGAGAAAACTGGCTAGCCATATGCAGAAAACCTTTCTTACACCTTATACAAAAATTAAAATGGATTAAAGAGTTACATGTAAGACCTAAAACCATAAAGAGTCTAGAAGAACACCTAGGCAATACCATTCAGGACATAGGCATGGGCAAAGACTTCGTGACTAAAACCTCAAAGGCAACGGCAACAAAAGCCAAAATTGACAAACAGGATCCAATTAAACTAAAGAGCTACTGCACAGCAAAAGAAACTATCATCAGAGTGAACAGGCAACCTACAGAATGGGAGAAAATTTTTGCAATCTATCCATCTGACAAAGAGCTAATATCCAGAATCTACAAAGAACTTAAACAAATTTACAAGAAAAATACAAACAACCCCATCAAAAAGTGGACAAAGGATATGAACAGACGCTTCTCAAAAGAAGACATTTATGTGGCCAACAAACATATGAAAAAAAGCTCATCACTGGTCATTACAGAAATGCAAATCAAAACCACAATGAGATACCATCTCACGCCAGTTAGAATGGCAATCATTAAAAGTCAGGAAACAACAGATGCTGGAGAGGATGTGGAAAAATAGGAACACTTTTACACTGCTGGTGGGAGTGTAAATTAGTTCAACCATTGTGGAAGACAGTGTGGCGATCCCTCAAGGATCTAGAACTAGAAATACCATTTGACCTAGCAATCCCATTATTGGGTATATATCCAAAGGATTATAAGTCATTCCACTGTAAAGACACATGCACACATGTTTACTGCAGCACTATTCACAATAGCAAAGACTTGGAACCAACCCAAATGCCCATCGGTGACAGACTGGATAAAGAAAATGTGGCACATAAACACCATGGAATACTATGCAGCCATAAAAAAGCATGAGTTCATCTTCTGCACGGACATGGATGAATCTGGAAACCATCATTCTCAGCAAACTAATACAGGAACAGAAAACCAAACGCCACATGTTCTCAGTCATAAGTGGGAGTTGAACAAGGAGAACACCTGGACACAGGGAGGGGAACATCACACACCAGGGCCTGTTGGAAGGTGGGGTGGCTAGGGGAGGGGTAGCATTAGGAGAAATACCTAATGTAGATGATGGGTTGATGAGTGCAGCAAACCACCATGGCACGTGTATACCTATGTAACAAACCTGCACATTTTGCATATGTACCCCAGAACTTAAAGTATAATTAAAAAAAAAAAACTACCAATGTTATTGGAAAATGTCAGATAAAACAATAAAAAAAATCCATTCTGGCAATCTGTATCTTTTAAGTGAAGCATTTAATCCAGTTATATTCAAGGTTAATCTTGATATGTGAGGCTTTGTCCCTACCTAGTGGTGACAAATTTCCTCAGCATTTCCTTGTCTGGGAAAGATTATTTCCCCTTTATCTATAAGGCTTATTCTGGCAGGATATAAAATTCTTGGCTCACAGCTTTTTTTTTTTCTTTTAGCACGATGGCTAAAGTGCCATCTCATTCTCTTTGGCCTATAAGGTTTCTGCTGAAAAGTCCACTATTAGTCCTTTATACATGACTTGATGCTTTTGCTCTTGCTAATTTTAAAGATTCTTTCTTTCACTTGAATTTAAACATTCTGAATATAATATGCCATGTGAAGTCCTAATATGCCATGTGAAGTCCTTTTTTCAATGTATTTACATGAAGATCACTGGATCTCCTGTATCTAAATATCTAACTCTTTTGCTACATTTGGGACATTTTCATCAATTATGTCCTTCAGTAGGATTTCTAAAGTTTTTGATCTCTCTTCCCCCTCAAAAATATTGATAATTTATAAGTTTGGTCATTTTGTGTAGTCCTAGACATCTTGAGGGCTGTTTTCATTCTTTTTCATTTTTTCCTTATTTTTGTGTGGCTGAATTATTTCAAAAGATCTGTCGTCAAGTTTTGAAATTCCTCCTTCTGCTTGGTCTAGTCTATTACCAAAGCTTTCAAATGTATTTTGTATTTCCTTCAATGAATTTTCAGTTCCAGAATCTGTTTGGTTTTTTAAATTAAAGATATCTATTTCCTTGGTATATCTCTCATTCACATCTTGAATTCATTTTCTTATTTTTGTACTGGTTTTCAGATTTCTCTTGTACCTCAATGAGGTTCTTTAAAATCAATATTTTGAATTCTTTATCTGTTATTTCAGGAATTCTTACTGATTGGGATCTGTTCCCAGAAAATTGTTGTGGTCCTTTACTGGTATCATATTTTCTTGCTTTTTCATGTTTCCTGTTTCCTTCCATTGATATCTGCATATCTGGTATTGTTGTTCCAATTTTTAAAAATTGCTTTTGTAGGGGAGAATATTTTTCCTGAAGATGTATATATGTTGTTGGTTAAGTAAGACACCTTGGCTTTTATTTTTGGTGCTGTTGTAGTGTGGTCTTTGTGTGACTTTTTCAGTAGTACACAAGGTTCGTGGTATGTGTAATTTCCTCAGTGGCTTAGGGTATGGTTATTAGCTGAAGCTGTGAAATTTTGCTGGGGACTTGGATGCCAACTGAGTCAGTCTTTGGGCCCCAGTGGTGGCAGCAGAAGGGTGAATATGCCTGTTTTTAGGCCCTAAAGCAGCTTATGCTGGCTGTGGTGTTAGAGAGTTCTGAATGGCTGATTCTTGGGCCTGCAGGTGAACTGCTTGCTTAGAAGCTAGTAATGAGAGCAGTGGGCTAGGTGTGTGGACAAGTTGTTAGCCCCCTGAGCAGCTGGTATGATGTGAATGATGGCAGTAGTGGTGGTGGAGCAACCCACTGAGACCCAAGAGGTCCATGTTGGTGTTGTGGGTAGCTACAATGGGTTAAGCATGCTAGTCCTCAATTCCACAGCTGCCTAGAGTGGGGCAGTGGGTACTGTCCTAAGTGTCCATTATGGCATTCCTGGAGGTGGCTGTTCTCTGCTTTTGTGCTTATGGTGTGCCTGGGGTTCATTGACACTCTTGGATCTATGGGTTTACAGTTTTCATTAAATTTGAAAAATATTTCTTTAAATAATTATGTGCTCCTTCTCTTTGGAGATTTCAATTGCATATATTCAAGGCCACCTGAAATTGTCCCACAGCTCAGTGATGGTGTTAATTTTCTAAAATTATTTTTTATCTTTGTGTTTCAGTTTGGATAGTTATTATTGCAATGTCTTCGAGTTCACTGATACTTTCTTCTTAAATGAATTTGCTATTAAACCCATCCAGTGGGTTTTTCACCTCAATCAAGAATGTAGTTTTCATCTCTAGAGGTATGATTTAAACTTATTTAAGACTAAGAGACATTCCATGTCTTTTTGAACATATGGAATAGAGGTATAATAACTATTTAATAGTAACAGCTTAATAACTTCTAATTCTAACCTTGTATAAATTCTGAAACCATTTCAATAAGCTAATTTTTTTTCACTTCTGTATTTTCCTGCTGCTTTATATGCCTGGCAACTTTTGATTGGATGGCAGATATTATGAATTTTACTTTATTAGATGTTGGTTATTTTTGTATTTCTGTAAGTCTTCTTGAGTTTTGTTCTCAGACACAGGCTACTACTTGGAAACAGTTTCATTTTCTTGTATTTTCTTGCTTTTCAGATATGTTAGGCAGGACTGGAAAAGTGCTTAGTCTAGGGTTAACTATCCCCCCTATTGAGGCAAGACCCTCTTACACGCTGTTCTCAATACCTTGTGAACAGGGGTTTTCCAGCCCAGGCATGTGTGAGTGTCAGGCACAATTCCCTCTAATCTGGTTGGGTCTTTCCCCAGCATCGGGTAGTTTCCTCACACATATGCACTGATCAATACTCTATTGAATACATAAGGGGGCTCTTCACCTACCTCCAGTGTTCCCTTTCTGTATAGCTCTCTCCTCTCTGGTACTCTGTCCTGCAAACTGTAATAGCCTTGGTCTCCTGAGACTCTCAGCTCCATCTTTTCCGCCCACAGAGTCTGTCAGGTTCCATCTGGTGCTCCCTCCCTAAGCAGTAACTTGGAATTCTCTTAAGGCAGTCAGCTCTGGCAGTCATAGAACTCACCTCATTTGCTTCATGTTTCTTTTGGATCATTTTCCTTTGCACCTAATATTCAGTGTGTTAAAAACCTTTGTTTTATATATTTTGTTCCTTAAGAGGATTGGTTCAGATAGAAGGGTAAACCCCGTCCCCGTTACTTCATCTTGGCCAGAAAAAGTACCCATCTAGTTTTTTGAATATGAATATATGTAGAATTTAAAGCCATTTAGGATGAGAATGACTCCTTACCTTATTAATGTATCATCATCCACAATGACTAACCATGCTGTTTTGTCCTGGCTACGATTCAGAAATCTTTCCAAAATGGCAAATGTCTTTCCACAATGACCTAGAAAAGGCAAGAAAAAAACTTACAATGTATTATTTCTTATAAAATATATAGAATTTGTTCATTTCTTTTTAGTTTTGAAGTGTTCTAAGAGCTTACATGCCAAAATGCAGCTTAAAAGTTCAAAATTTTTAAAAATAGCCTTCTCTAATTTTCACAGACACATTGAACCAGTGGGAACTTTAGAGATAATGAAATTCAAGCCATTCATTTCTCACACAAGGAAATGGAGACCTAGAGAGATGAGTGGAATTACACAGTCACACAGATAATCTGAGGCAGAGATAGAATTAGTAACTTCAGTCCAGGCAAGAAAGTTTTAAGACTCACAGCAATGAGCAATGGCATCCTTTCTTAGATAAACTTATTCTGAAGGAGCTGTTAGAACCCCAGGCACCACTGCCACAGGGAAGCAGCAGTGCAAAGGCGGAAGCTTATACCTTCATTTACTTATTTTGTAAATATTTACTACCACTAAGTTTCTAACATGCCAGATACTGTGGCAGGTACTAAGCACTAAAGATATAGTGCTGAGTAAGACAGAGTAACAGTCCTTCAGATACCAATAGATAAATTACAATGCTTTAATGGTAAATGCTGGACAAAAATAAAACACTTGGGAAGAGTAGTCAAATTGATAAACAGGAATATGCCCCTCATTTTAATTATTTGGTGACACAGTGGAGCACAAATATTAACTTATATTAATGACTATTAAACCACTCAATTTGACCTTTATTTTCTTTACTCTTGATCTCTGTGTATTTTTAACCATTACAATACGTGTTTCAAAGCCACCTCAAATCCCTTTTAGAACAAATATAAATATAGACAATAAGACCAGACTAGTAATGAAGACATCAAATAAGGTATAAGTAAATACATGATTATTAAACCCAATCTAAAATCGTTTTTCCAAATCAAACAGCAACAGACAGACTCAGTAATACACTTAACCTTGTTAGAAGAATTGGTAACTACAGAGATGGCATATCTGATTCTGCATTGTACTATATTAATGAAAGAATTATGAGTGACACTAACATAAAATAAGATAAATTACTGTATAGAACATAATCAGTTTGCTACTTTTTTTTTTTTTTTTTTTTTTTTTTACTCATAAAAGGGCATGGGGAACAAAAAAACTAAAGAACAAAGGGTGGCAGGAACACTGGATAAAACTTAAGATGAATAAAGAATATCTGAAGATGAGGTGGCCAAATTTTCACTTCCATTTTTTGACACAATTTTTTAAAATTTTTATAGATTTAAGAGGTACAAGTGCAGTTTTGTAACATCGACATATTGTACAGTGGTGAAGTCTGGGCTTTTGGTGAAGCCATCACCCGAAGAGTGTCTATCGTACTCAGTGGGTAATTTCTCATCCCTCGCCCCTCTTCTACTCTCCCACCTTTTGGAGTCTCCAATGTCTACCATTCCACTCTGTATGTCCTAAAAAGTGTTTTTAATTAGAAAGCCTGCAATTTGAAGAGAAAAGCAGGTTTATTTCCAACAATTTACTAATTAAAATCTTAACATATAGAATACAGTTTATTCTACATATAACTAGTGTAGAATGTGATTAGGTGGTACTCACGGGTAATATAATATGTGAACTAGACTATAAGACTGACAAGGAGAGAAGCTTTATGTGGGAATATAATAAACACCCCATCATGGTCGCAAAGAATTATGAAGGTATGAAAAATCTATTGTTAAATTCTGCTGTAACTATCATGTGCTCAATTATAGGATATAAGCTACTAAAAACTTGCAACACTTCGTACTATAAAGCCCTTAGTTTGAAAGAACCAATCAGTATCTGAGAGAAGGGAAAAAACTAATATGAGGCAAAAATTATAGCACTTATAAAACATTTCATTTTTATCCTAACCTAATTTACTGTATTTACAGAATGGCAATGTTTAATAAGGAGAGTAGTAAGAATTATGACTCACCTCTATCTGTATTAGGAATTCCCAAATCCACAGTAGGAATGGAATTTTCAGTATAGTCACTATAGTATTCAATGAGACTTGCCTGGCTCTCCCAAGTCTGCTTAACAATAGGTACTGAAAAAATTACAGAGGTGACAATCACTGGCACAGTTACACAAGGAAGCTTAAAAATTCAAAATGGCAGTATAATCATCTACAAAGGAAGAGAAACATTACTGGTTGTTCTTCAGGTGTTCCAAGAGTTGCTTGCTTCCAACCCTGAGAAATGCCAACGTTGTTGACTAAAACCCTCTTCTTGAAGCATTTTCAACATTCTCTAGAGTAAAGCATTTCTCATTCCTGGTGATGAATGCACTTACTTCCATATAATGATAAATTTTCTGGTTTGATTATGCTATTGTGTTTACATTAATGTTAACTAATTTTTCTTTTACCACGGAGCACGGTAAGAGAAAATCCATCCCTCTTACCGTGGAGCATGAGAAGACCTTTGCAAACTATGCATGTCCCCACCCAAAGATTCTAACAGAACTACCCAACCCTACAAAGGGCATGACCTTGCCAAATGAGAATCACTGCATATGATGACTGATATTACGATGTTGTACTTTTGAAAAATGTGGAAGTACTAACATTCAAAACTACTGCAGGCTTTAAAACTCTATCATTAGCAGCTAAATTGTTTTAACACAATAAACACAACAGAAAGCTGTCCTGGTTTTCTGTATTTTGGCTTTGGAGGCTCAAAGATAGCTCTGTCTGCATACCTGACATATAGACTTACCACTACTTGATATTAATTCACCTGACCAAGTAATTCTTTTCTTCTATACTTAAAAAACAAATTACTGCCTATGCATCTCTGAATTTTAAAAAGTGGTTTCTTGTTTTTTCAATAGAAAAAACATTTAGATTTTATATCCTGTCAAAACTCTGATGAACCAAATCTTCACTTAACTTTTGAGAAACTTTATCAGATCATGTATCTTTCCCCTGTTCCCAACTCTAATAGAAATATATACAAAAACTGATGTTCCAATGTAAAATTTAAGTGTTTAGCTAATAAGTAAGCAAATTCTGAGTCCAGCTCAGACAGCCCTTATATAGAAAATACAGAAGTGCATCATTTTATAATCTCTTTCACTGGCTTTTTTTTTAAAAAAACTGAGTTCTGCACATCTGCTAAAATTACCAAATTACCAGTTAAATATTAATTTCATATATTAAAATATAATTTTTCTGCAACCATAAAAAAGCAGATAGTTCTAAAGGTTTCTACATGTCAAAATGGTCAAAGATGTACTAAATAATAGGGCTACTGGCGGACAAAAAAAGGAAAAAAGAAATGTTAAAAAATTTCACTCTGTTCTACTTCCAAATTTCAGCACAACAAAAATGTTAACCTTGGCACTGCTGTGGCAGTTTGCTTTGCATACAATAAGCAAGAGAACTTACCCCAGAAAGGGCTCCCTGCAGCTTGCAGCCACTAAAAGTTCACACTGTTGGGTAAAATATCCTCCATTGCATAATGCTGGAAGAAGCTGTGAGGAAAGGTCAAGAACTTTCCTCAGTCCCCAGCAAGGGTCCTGCAGGCTGTGCAAATTTTGCTTTCAATTTCCTCAGCCTTTAGGCTTTCAGTCCTTTTTCGCTCTAATAGGTTTATTAAAGAACACGGGTGTTTCTTCTCAATTAACTGAGTTAAATAAAATTAAAATCAAAATCAAGGGTGAGTTAGCACTTTTGCTTTCTCTTTTACTTTGAAACAGGTAAAATAGAAATTACACTAAAGGTAAGAATTAGTGTGTGTATGACTCATTTCCCAACACCTGGCACAGTGCCTAGGACATAGTAGACACTCAATAAACAGTTGAATGAGGACTGAATTTTGTAGGCATTTCAATAAAAGGCCTAGGATTATTTGTGGAAGCTTGTTAAAGGAAGGTTTTATTCATAAAGGCAATTCAGCCTTTGATTAATCATTTTAAAACAAGCCAACCATTTAGATATACTAAGATATTATGATTCTACAATACCTAAAGCATTCAACAGTTTGTACATCTCTCCCCTTGTCAATATAACCTCCATGCATCTGTCATTTTTTTTTTTTTTTTTGAGACAGAGTCTCACTCTCTCGCTCTGTTGCCCAGGCTGGAGTGCAGTGGTGTGATCTCAGCTCACTGCAAGCTCTGCCTCCTGGGTTCACACCATGCTCCTGCTTCAGCCTCCTGAGTAGCTGGGACTACAGGCGCCCGCCACCACGCCCGGCTAATTTTTTTTGTATTTTTTAGTAGAGACAGGGTTTCACCGTGTTAGCCAGGATGGTCTTGATTTCCTGACCTCGTGATCCGCCCGCCTCGGCCTCCCAAAGTGCTGGGATTACAGGCATGAGCCACCGCACTCGGCCCTGTCTGTCATCTCTTAGCCATAAAGGATTTAAAGTCTTCCAAAAAAACAGCTTAAGGCTTTATTTTCAACCAGGGTTGATTCTAAATTAGTTAAACTTTTAGAATAATGGTCTATTTTATTAGCATCATTTAAATTCTAAAATGAATTCATTCTATTATTTACAAAATATTTTATATTGTATTGAGGCACTGTATTCCTAAAGATACTAAACTTTGAGAAAATACTTTAATAAGTTACCTGATACATTATCTCCTTTTCAATAAAGAAGTATACTTCCTATAATAATAGTGAATGCCTCTTTCAAGAAAGTTTGTCATGAGATAACTTAAACTTGGAGCAAAGTAAAAAAAATTTTACTATAAAAATGCCAGCTGCACAGATGGCATAAATCTTTCTTAGAGCTTTCTAGACTCTAAGCAGAAGATGTGTCTCACTATGAGGACAGAACATGCATTTTTACCCCCAGGGAGGTGACTTATAAAACTGTCTCAGATTATAAATGAAAATGAACTTGACACTTGAACATTTTATTAAAACTACCACACCATCAAATGTGAATAGTTTTTATTTTAAGGAATCCACTATTTTCAGCTTGCAGATGGCCCTTTTGTCTCAGTGTGCAAGTCAGTGGTCACAAAATAAGACCCTGATTGCACTTCTCTTCTCAGGAGCAGATTAGGGACACACACATGAATGTGTCCTAATTCCTCATTTTAAAGACTGAGGTGTACCTAAGCCTGAAAAGTATCCCTCCTGGATGCCCTAACACAACACTGTAGGGCAATCTGGAACATCAGCTATTCAACAGCCAGGGAAAGGCAACACCTGACTCCTCTCCTCTCTTCATTCATTGATCTAATCACCTCATTTGATTAGAGTCTGGCCTTCTATCTGGCTGTATTTTAATTCAAGCCTCACCTTTTAAGTAAGCAGACTGTACCACAGTACATGTAAGCCTCTTTAGTCAAAGAGAACACCAGCCACCAAACACCCCTTTCAATCAGTTTGTTCAGATTTGCCTCTAGACAAGACCACAGCAGTAAAGACAGCAAACAGGTTTTTGTTTTTGTTTTTTTTTAATCTGAAAGGAATATAGTGCTAATTTTTAAGAGCCTAGGAAGCTGTGGAAAGGAACTAAAGGCTGAGCAAACGGCAATTTAACCTCTTTAATTAGAGGGAGACTGCAGGAGAGCATCCCACAACCCACCATTTGATGAACAAAACCAGTGGCTGCCACGAGGTACATGAGACATGTACACAAACTGCATGGAAAAATGATGCAAAGAAAATTCTTAAGGTTTTCTGACAGCTCAGGTCACACAGTGGGAAACACAGAACCCAAGAGGAAGCAATCAAGTTGAATATTAAAACACCAGAGATCATTTCCTTGCTTAAATATAATTTTACATGCTATGCCCAATTCATCACCTTATGTAACAGTTCTCAAGTTTCTTTAAAATCCTACTAAATGCTTGCCTCTCAGAGGGTGCTGCTGTTTCAATGATGTCAATATGTATTACTTCCTTGAGCCAAAAGACAGAGTATATTTTTGCTTGTTGTGTTCTAAGAATGCTGTTTCACTTAAGTCAGAATCCAGACAAAAGCAATTACATAAATGTGTTATTGTTAAGCCAAGAAAGTACAATATTTAAAATATTTCTTTTCATTGTGAAACTTGGTTTTATTATCAATTCTTCCATGAGAGTATAAAAAATAAATGCAATCTATATTTTCCCTTGCTGTGACTACGGCCTTGAGCAGAACATGTTCCATCTCTCCTTCTCATCCCAGAAGGTAACCAACATATAATGAAGCAGGAGTGGGGGCCATCACCACCCAGTGCCAGGGGACACTGTGCCCACAATTAACAGTACACCCCACTCTCAACTTGGCAAACACAAGTACAGTTTCTCTAGATTTTTTTCCTTCATCATTTGGCCTTTGTTACTGAAGTATTTCTACCACAGAGTGTTGCGGGAAGTCAGGGACCCCAAACGGAGGGACCGGCTGAAGCCATGGCAGGAGAACATAAATTGTAAAGATTTCATGGACATTTATTAGTTCCCCAAATTAAAACTTTTATAATTTCTTATGCCTGTCTTTACTGCAATCTCTGAACATAAATTGTAAAGATTTCATGGACACTTATCACTTCCCCAATCAATACTCTTGTGATTTCCTATGCCTGTCTTTACTTTAATCTCTTAATCCCGTCATCTTCATAAGCTGAGGATGAAATGTCACCTCAGGACCCTGTGATGATTGCGTTAACTGCACAAATTGTTTAAACAATATGAAATCTGGGCACCTTGAAAAAAGAACAGGATAACAGCGATATTCAGGGAACAAGGGAGATACCCTTAAAGTCTGTCTGCCTGTAGGCTGGGCAGAACAGAGCCATATTTCACTTCTCTCAAAAGCAAATAGGAGAAATATTGCTGAATTCTTTTTCTTAGCAAGGAACATCCCTGAGAAAGAGAATGCGTTCCCAAGGGACGGTCTCTGAAATGGCCGCTTTGGAAATGTCTGTCTTTTATGGTCGTTGATAAGGGATGAAATAAGCCCCAGTCTCCCGTAGCGCTCCCAGGTTTATTAGTATGAGGAAATTCCTGCGTAATAAATTTTGGTCAGACTGGTTGTCTGCTCTCAAACCCTGTCCCCTGATAAGATATTATCAATGACAATGTGTGCCTGAAACTTCATTAGCAATTTTAATTTCGCCCTGGTCCTGTGATCTCGCCCTGCCTCCATTTGCCTTGTGCTATTTTATTACCTTGTGAAGCAAGTGATCTCTGTGACCCACACCCTATTCGTACACTCCCTCCCCTTTTGAAAATCACTAATAAAAACTTGCTGGTTTTACGGCTCAGGGGGCATCACAGAACCTGCCAACATGTGATGTCTCCCCCGGACACCCAGCTTTAAAATTTCTCTCTTTTGTACTCCTTCCCTTTATTTCTCAGACTGGCCAACACTTAGGGAAAATAGAAAAGGACTCACGTTGAATATTGGGGGCTGGTTTCCCCCACTAATAGAGTGCACAGGGAAAAGAAAATGAAAAAAAAATCCAACACCCCAGACCATGTATTCTGCTTGACTATAGCAGTGATATGCTTAGATAGGAGTGGCAGTCTAAATTCTCAGCTCGATTTGTATTTTAGATCCTGTGTGGGTTTCAATTCCTTGCCATCCCCATTGCTACTAAAAATGGAAAGCCTACTTTCACAGCTTCTGGCCAAGTCAAAACTGACCTTGAGCATAGCAGGACATCAACATGAATAGCAAAGACTATTTATCAAGTATGGAGTTTGTAATACATCCAAGGAGATTACAGTATAGCTGTGCTGTGGTAGAAAAAAATGTGGGACTTAGGAGCCAGAAAACCCAAGTCTTTGGCTCTGCTACTCAATAGGATACAAGAAACTGAGCCAGTTGTGTATCATTCCATACTCAGCTTTTTCCACAACAAGTGAATAACAATAATTATCATATCACGAGGAAGTGTCAACATGAAACTAGGTAATAGAACATATGTGAAAAACACACCAGAAAATGTAAGAAATATTAGCAGTTAGAAGCAGTTAGTGTGATGTTATCCTTGTAACTGGTATTACTGGATAACTCTTTGGGCCAACTGATGGCTGGACTAGGCTTCTAAAATGAGGGGCAGAGCCCAGTGGTGGCTTGGCAGGCTACATGAAGTCATGCAAAATGGACTTCAAAGTCACTGAAATCCTGTTGCCTTAGACTATCTTTTCAAACAAACATATCCAAGTTGAAAAACGGCTTACCACAGAAACCCAAATATGAAAACTTCATGATACATTTTAGGCCTCATGCTTTAATGATCCCAGATTCAAATTAACAGCAGTAAATCAATGCATCTGGCTTTGGAAGGTTTGTTTCTAATGCTCCTAATAGGCTTTTAAGATTTTGTAATTTTTAAAGACTTTTGACTCAAAATTCAAACAGAAAAGGATTTCATGAATATCTAAAAAGAGTATCTCAAACTTATGCAAAATAAGAAAGCAGTAAACTAGATTATTCAAAATTACTAAATCAAAATTAACAAACTATTTTTTTTTTCATTTCTGTAGAATATAAAAAATACAACAGGGAGTGTCCCTAATTTTACTGCTTCACTGTGACCTGAAAAATGTGTTTCAAAGAAAAAGTACCAGCAACACCATCCTTAACATTAATATTGTGAAAACAATCACTACTCCAAGTGTAGCTTCAAGATCAATTAAATCAATTCAAACAGTTCCTGCTTGCTGTAAAAGAAACAAAACAAAAAGCGGTATAGTTCATTTCCCCAACACCTATTTAAAGAAGGTATTTGTCAAAATAATCCCACAAAACCCTTCCATATTATGAAAAAAGTAAAAGGATATTAAATTTAGGTTAAATTTATGATAAATAAAAATTTTATTTTAACTGCTATACTGATTCTTCACAGTATCTTAGGACTTGTTGCATAACAAATGTATTCATATAGACTGATTTAATAGGATTTGGAATTTAGTGTGGCCATTTTAGGCAAATATGAAGGTTTATAGTTAATGTATTTTTAAGATATAATTGATTATAGCTGGATTTTAATTGATGTTGATGTCTTAGACAATACTATAATCTCAAATTATAATATTATTTTATTTGGAAAACATCTTCCCCTGTAAAATATAATTTGTATGTATCATATTATCACATAAAATATATAAATGAACTTCTTCAGTAGTTCCAATCCCATGAAAATGACAGTTGGTTTAGAAATCTCTCCTACATAAATACCACATCCTTGGTGAAATTGACAGTCTTTTCATGGGGAAAAAAATTAAAATACGCACTAAAATTAGAAAATGCAAAAGACTGCCTAATTTTCAATTTCAGAAAAGTGTTGCTTGAAATAAGGTGCAAAAAGAGAGAAATTATGTCTATTTATATTTAGGATGGGCTTTTTTTTTTTACATTATCGTCACAACTTAGCAGAATTCTGTAATGACATCAAAAACCTGAATAAAAACAACATTAATCTGCATGCCAGGATTTCCTTAAGAAGAGATTCACTGTTTGTACCGCGGCTTTTTCTTCTTCTCCAATATTATCTACTCATGAGCAAATACATCTCTTAACTAACAAGTTCCAAGGTAAGCATTTGAAATAAATTGAAAAAGAAGAAAAAGTCTTTTTTCTTTGTTGGCATGCTGTTACCTTGAAATCCCCTGACATTCTTCATCCCGTTTAGAGACTGCGCACAGACCTAATACATTGTTTGACAAAATGGACTGTTTTTCACACAGTCTCCAAGACTGCCACACTGAGCTTTTCCATTTCCAATTTAAAATACTGCCATAAGCAGTATCGGCTATGACCACTCACGTTTCAATACAAAATTTTCTTTCCTAATTGATCTTGGTGATTGAAATGGTGCAATGAGGAGTATTGATTAAATAACTGCTTTCACTTCAACATCCGAATTGTCATTATCCCTTTTCTGAATTTACACTCAAGAATTCATTGGTACTTTTCTTTAGAAGGTAGTCTGGATTTTAGCGTTCAATAAAATGAATAACCCAAAACATACTTCTGTCACCATGAAATTTCTTGCATGTTTTTACTGCAACAAAAATATCCTTCTTCTTCACTGGCTTTCTCTAAAAAAAAGAAAAGAAAAAATGTATGCATATGTGAGTCAGCGTTAACTTCACACCCACACTAGATCTCACACGCTCTAGAGTTCAAATTAACCAATGTCAAGGATACCAAACATATTTCCGGCATAAAGTTTTAGGGGAGAAATGGAAACATAGGTCAGCTGACAACATAGCCTTTCTGTCAGCCAGCCCTGGACCTGCCTGCTACACTGTGCACGGACTGTGCATCCCCTTAACAAGTTTCCAGAATTTCAGTCTGCTTGTTTAGAAAAAAAAATAATAACCACTGCAAGGCTGCTATTATTACTATAATTTATTAAGCACATAGTAACTGACCAATAAATGTTAGTTACCTCTCATTTCCTTTCTCCAGCTGGTGAAGATTTTGACAAAAAGAGAGAAATAGGGGGGATTTTTTAGTGTAAATTAAGAGATGTTGCCCTTTTCTGGGCCTGGCCTTACTTTAATGTTGAAAACATTTTTACGGCCTCTTTACTGGCGACCCAAGTCTAGGCTAAGGATGTTTTCTCCTCTGCCAAAGGTAGGATTCCTTGAAACACCTGGTGGAGATGGGGTGGGGGCAGTCCTGGAGCCCAGGCTGATCACACAGATGAAAGGGGGCACAAAGAGGGATTTGTCAACAAGACACACCCAAGCCCTTCATGACCCCTTTATTACCTGCCTTAGGCCTGCAATCATAGTTAATCATGACTCCTGTATAATTTGGGGCTGGTTTATAGTGACATCTAACTACAGCTTTGTCATGTCACTCAAGGCACTAGGAGAGCACTGAAAGAGCAAGCAAGCATTCTGCCTAGAAAGACTGGTCTCCCCCTCTGGAACTGCAAACAATTACAGATTCTCTCTCAATGCTGCACTGTGTTTTGGGGTGTGTGTGTGTGCGTGTGTGTGTGTGTCTATGTATTTATCTCTTCAAATGGCACACACAGACTTGTGTGTGACTGACTTGAGAATAACGACAATATCTGAGGTTGGTGAACACATTTTTTCTTATGAGAAAAGCTGTTAACAACCTTGTGAGTGTCAGGGTCTCCAGGCTCATACTGGGGCTGGACCTTGGGTCTGCCAAAACAAGTGAATTCATTCTGAAAGTTCTGGATGGCTGTCATTGAGATGAAAGGCAGAGCCACCTGCTGAAAGAGTAAAGGGTGCGGGCTTGTGGAGAAGGCGTGGGTGTCACAGAAAGCACTGGAAATTGCCTTTCCAGGAAATGGAACAGAAATTCTAATCAATGCATCCTACATCATCAACAAAAGAAATGAGTCTGGGCACACTAACCCTAAAGCGCTATGGTGGGCAGTCCCTCACAAAGGCTCTGGAGTAAAGGGGAGCCCTTGCTTCCCTCCCTACTAGCTGTGTAGCCATAAGCAAGCACTTGGCTTCTCTGTGCCTCTCTCTTCTCATTTGTAAGATGGAGTTACAATAGTACTAAACCTTGTATGATTGTTATTACTAGAGTCATGATATATAGTTCTTACTTGGCACAGGGAAAATGTTGATTTTCTTTTTAGTATGTAAAGTGCTAGTGCAGCACTATTCACAATAGCAAAGACATGGAATCAATGTAGGTGCCCATTAATGGTGGACTGAATAAAGAAAATGTGGTACAGATATACCAAGGAATACTATGCAGCCATAAGAAAGAATGAAATAATGTACTTGCAGCAACATGGATGCAGCTGGGGGCCATTATCCTACGTGAATTAATGCAGAAACAGAAAACCAAATACTGCATGTTCTCACTTATAAGTGGAAGCTAAACACTGGGTACACACAAACATAAAAATAGGAACAACAGACACTGGGGACTCTAAAAAGGGGAGGAAGGAAGAAGAGCAAGGTTTGAAAACTTCCTATTGGGTACCATGTTCACTATTTGGGTGACAGAATCAGCAGAAGCCCAAACCTTAGCATCACACAATATACCCTTATAACCAACTTGCACATGAATGCCCTGAATTTAAAATTCATTTTAAAGTGCTAGGATGACATTATGCACAGCATCTAAATTTTTCCTTTGATATGCAAAGAAGTTTTTCTTCTGTTACTCACACAAAGCGGTAGAAAAGAATGGAATGTGGTAGCACAGTAGAAGTCCACGTCATTGGTACAAAACTCAGGCACTGGGGTCAGGGGAGGTCCTCCGCCTTTGTCCCAGATGTAGAGGGCAATCTGCCACGAGACAGGAGACAGGCAGTGATGAAAGAACTCAGTCAACACAAGTATAAGAAGGGACAAAATATCTCAAGGGAAAGCAGAACACATCTTCCATAGAGAGTAGGCTGAACCATATCAATTTGTCAGTATTCAACAGGACTTCCTAAACTTAAAAAAATGACAATTCCATGTGAATAAATGTAATCTATTACTAACAATAAGCAATTAACTATGAATCAATATTCTGACCTCCAAAAAATTCCGAAGTATGCGGTTTTAGGAAAGAACACATTCTACAACATCACAGAGAGAGATGTAAGAAAATATTATGGCTCCAGTTTCCTTAGTATGGTAATCACATACCCCAAATACTCAACTTGCTTAAAACATCTACAAATGTTGGGTAAAATGCCCTTAAATATTTACATGTATTGCTAAGTTGGCACAAAAATGTGGAATCTGCGAGAACAAAAATGGGAAAGTGAGATCCTGGGGAAAAAAAGGCACCAAGGGTAGTTTTCCCTAGTAGGTATCAGCTGACCTCTGGCAAGGCTGAGTTTCTGATAGGAGTGAAGAGACTGAAGTCTATGACCCACCCAAGGTGGGGTGTGACCAACAGCAATCCCCCTACATAAAGCTAGGACCATGGGTCTAAATGGAGGGAAAAGAATAATCTCTAAATCTCCTCTTAGATTTTGCAACCAAAAGCCAGGCCTCCCTAATTTGTGCCACCTGTGAGGTCCCAAAACATCTCAAACTGATAATTTAAATTATCTCGTCAGTATAACCCACTAGCAACAGGCAGAAGCTAATGTAAATCCTTACTAAGGAACCACTACTTTAATATACGGCTCAGAGGATTTTTCCAAAGGAACAAGGGTGCTTACAGAACAATCACTCAGAGAAAAAAAAATCACACACAAAAAAGAAATAAGATAACGAACAAGAGCCAGCAGACATAATTTATTTAATCAGACTCAAAAAACTTCAGCTATCAGAATTATCAAACAGATTATAAAATTACTATGCTTAATATATTTTTATAAAGAAAAGAAAAACTTTAAAACGTGAGAAAAAATTATTTTGAAAAGATTACACAAAACAAGTAAGCACATTTGAAAAATAACTGAGGCTGGGCGTGGTGGCTCACGCCTATAATCCCAGCACTTTGGGAGGCTGAGGCGGGCAGATCGCCAGGTCAGGAGTTCGAGACCAGCCTGTCCAATATGGTGAAACCCCATCTTTACTTAAAAATACAAAAATTAGCTGGTCGTGGTGGCACGCGCCTGTAGTCCCAGCTACTCAGGAGGCTGAGGCAGAAGAATTGCTTGAACCCGGGAGATGGAGGTTGCAGTGAGCCAAGATCATGCCACTGCATTCCAGCCTGGGTGACAGAGTGAGAGAGACTCTGTCTCAAAAGAAAAACAAAGAAAGAAAAAAGAAAAATAATTGAATAAAACTTGTGATGACAGAAAATGACTGGCAACCTAGAATCATCTACATGATGTAAGCATGCTTCAAAAACAAAGTTGAAATAAATATTGTTAAAGAAAAAATATTGAGAGAATTTACCACCTCACTAAAAGAAATTCTAAAGGATATACACTTCAGGAGGAATAAAAAGGATTCAATTGGAAGGCCTAAGAAGCAAGATGGAATGATAAGCAAAAACAATGGCAAATATATGATGAGTTAATAAAAATGTTAACTGCATAAAATAATGACAATATCTAAGTTTCCAGGGTGAAAAGAAAAAGGGACAAAAATATTGAACAACAAGTGCATGTAAGTTGGGAGTGGGATAATCAGAGTTAAATTATCCTAAGGCCCTCAAATTTTCTGGCTATTGATTAATAAACCATTGTTAGGTTAAGAAAGCATGTTAAATATTTAAAATAATCAGTAAAGTACAGACAGATTTAACTTCTAAAATAGCAGAAAAGAAAAAATATGGACTAATAAATAAATGAATAAGAAGACAAGGAACTTTAAAATAGAAAAATAGAGGGGCCGGGCACGGTGGCTCACTCCTGTAATCCCAGCACTTTGGGAGGCCAAGGTGGGCAGATCACAAGGTCAGGAATTCAAGACCAGCCTGGCCAAGATGGTGAAACCCCATCTCTACTAAAAATACAAAAAAAATTAGCCGGGCATGGTGGCGGGCACCTGTAATCCCAGCTAATCAGGGGGCTAAGGCAGCGAACTGCTTGAACCCAGGATGTGGAGGTTGCAGTAAGCCAAGATGGCGCCACTGCACTCCAGCCTGGGTGACACAGCAAGACTCTGTCTCAAAAAAAAAAAAAAAGGAAAAATAGAAAATAAGGAGAGGGGCACAAAATAAAGTGATAGAAGTCAAATATATCAGTAATTACAATCAACATAAAGGTAAATTTGCTATCTGGTTTAAAGATAAAGATTTTCAAACTGGAGGGTGGGGGGAAAAGGCATGTCCTCTTTAAAAGAGACACATCTAAAAAAGATAAGGACACAAAAGGATTGAAAGAAAAAGACAAAAAACGATTATGAGGCAAACAACCAAAAAATGCTAACATTGAAATATTCATGTCAACAAAATAAACATTAAGACAAACAGCATTACTAAAGATAAAGACAAATTCACTAAGAGGATGTAACAATTCTAAGTTTGTATGCATCTAATTAACATAGCCTTAGAGTATAAAAAGCAAGAGTTGGCAGTTCCATAGGAAAAATCCACCATTATTATGGACGATTTCTACATTCCTCCCTTAGTAAATGATAAGCAGACAAAACAAAAGTAAAATGAAGGATTGAAGCAATGAAGTAAAGAAGAAAATATCTGAAAAGCATCATTAATACTTTCTTCAATCTAATAGATATGAAAACTGAACATGAGCTAGGCCATAAAGTAAGCCTAAAAGTATCTCAAATGACTGTTGTATAGACTACAATAATACTGTTAGAAATCAATAACAGAAACACCACCACACACACAAATATACTGGGTCATGATGAAAATTTATTTTTTTAAAGTGGGTCATAGTCAAAAAAAAGTTTAAAAGCTTCTGCCTTGGAGTAACTCTTGCAGATGATCACCATGATACACATTAAAAATATTCATAGAAGCAATGGTTGTAATAGCAAAAAACCAGTAGCCAATCAGAAGCCCATTAACAAGAGAACGGATAAATAAATTATTATGGTCATATGGGAGACTACTATAGAAAGTAAAAATAAGTTAATTAGAGCTGCATGAATCAACATGGATGAGTCTCAAATTAGAACAGTTATTTGTGATAGAGGTGGGAGACAGCCAAATGCCTAGGCAGATAGGGAAGGGCCCCCAGAGAATCTCTGATCAACCCCACAAGTGTTTATTTACACCAAATGTTTTGTCCGAATATGGGAACCTGCACAGGGGGTTTGCCTAGGCATGCCTGCAGTGGACTGGAGGCCCACATGCATGGAGGCCCACATGCACTGGAAGAATGGGGTGGAGCCACCAGGAATTCACGCCTTATGCAGGGGAGGAGAGTCCTCTTCAACTCGTGTGTAGGGGCCCTGGTATTCATTTTATGAGGTGGAAACCTGCTGACAGGACCCCCTCTCTTTGCTGAGAGCTTTCCTTTCACTTAAATACATTCCATCCTCCTCACCCTTCAATGTGTCTGTGTGCCTAATTCTTCCTGGTTGTGAGACAAGAATCCAGATTAGCTGAACTAAGGAGCAAAAAATCCTGCAGCATTTGTATACAATTTTGTTTATATAAAGCCCAAAAGGATGCAAAATTACATGTTATTCAGAAATACATTCATACGTAATAAAATATGAAGAAAAGTAAGGGAGAGGGAGAGAATTCAAGAGAGTTTAGTGTGGGGAGACGGAAGGAGGCCTCTCCTCAAGAAGCACATAGGTAGCCTCAAGGTCACTCATAGTTGTCTCCTTCTTAAACCAGGCAAGCTAGTTAAGTATTTTGTTCATTAATCTTTATACCTTTCATATATGTTAGAAATATTATTTTGTATATATTCAATGTTTAGTAGATTTCCAAACCTAAGTATCTAGAGCTGACTTTTCATTAATCCTATCTAGGCAGAACTTGGTTTTCAACAAGCCATTTTTTTCATCTTTGTGGAAGAGAAGAATTATGTTTTTCTAAGTTTATTTCTACTCAAATATTCTGTATTACCATTTAAAGACAGCTGAGAAGTCAGAAAGTCTTGTGTGTGCCTTCTTGTCCCTGGAAGGCCATCAGCACTGCTGGACTGAATTACATGTCAAGATTTACCTTAATGTCCTAACATACAGATTCCTGCAGAGAATGAGAGGCAAGACTGTTTTGTGCAGTCAGGCATGCCCACAAGTGAAATGCAAAAAGGGCCTTCTTAATGATGATTCGAGAATAATTAATGATGGGACAACTGCCACCTGCCTCTAGAATAACTGGTCACAGATGTCCAGTAAATGTGAAGGAACCAGGAGTGTTAGGGCTCCAGGCTGCCTGCTTGGGACCAATAGGCTCAATTCTGCTCCAGACAGCCAAGCACAGACACACAACAAAGGCATACGTCTTAGTCTGTTCAGGCTCCAACAGTAAAATACCATAGACTGAGTGGAGTCTAAATAACAAATTTATTTCTCACAGTTCTAGGGGCTGGGAAGTCTAAGATCAAGGGACTGGCAGATTAAGTGGTGAGGGCCTGCTTCCTGGTTCATGGATGGCACCTTCTAGCTGTATCCTCACATGGCAGAAAGGGCAAGGAAGCCCCCTGCGGCCTCTTTTATAAAAGTGCTAATCCCATTGATGAGGGCTCCACTCTCATGCCCCTATCACCTCCCACAGGTCTACCTCCAAAGACCATTTCACTGGGGCTCAGGTTTCAAGGTATGAATTAGGGGGGCGGGGACATGATCATTCAATCTACACTGGCATACGTACAACCGAAGCATCAAGTAAGAGCAGAGGTACTTTTAATGACATTTTTGCATTTTTTTAGAAATCTACCTCTGGACCCATTCATCTAGCTTAAAAGTAAAGAATCATGAATCACAAGATGCAACCTTTTTCACTGTTCTGTCTTCATCTACATAACTGAAATGAGCTTAAAATAAAAGCACCTAATTCGCTGGAGTGCTATGAAATTATCTCTGTGGGGAGTAGATGTGGGTGGGGAAAATGCAAGATTAGGGAATGCAAAATACCTTTTACATCAAAGGACATGAATTCTTGATTAGTAAGATTTTTAATCAAACAAAACATGACATACCTCATGTTTTAAATCTATTGTAAAGTCGGATTTCAAGGATTCACTCTTTAGTCTCTTGGTAAGCCTAGAAAATAGAGACAATTTGATTTTTTTTAACCAAAAGAAGTGTCAAGCAAGACTAACACATTCTTGAGACTTTCTAGTGTTTGAAAACAGATAAACATACAGATTTAAAGATAAAAATAACAGTTTAAATTCCTTGAGGGAAAGGACTGTGAAAACCCAACGGCTGGCTGACCAATAAATGAATGCAAGCCTGGTTGCAAAAGTAGCATTCATTATTCCAACATCTGCCAAACAACGTACAATACAATACAATGCCTTGGGGAAAAAAGTCATAAGCTTTGTTGACTCCTTATCATCTTTACACTAAATAATGACAGAGAAAGAAAAAAGAAAGAGGGAAATAAATTATGCTTGAGAAAGACAATGGCCACTTTTTGTTTCTCACTTTAATGAATCTTGCTGGGTTTTATGGGGGAAAAGCATGTGGTTTTGTTTTATTTCAAGTCACTGTCTTGTTTGAACATTTTCAATGGCTCCTTTCCCATACAGAATAAAGCCCCAAACTCCTGAGCCAGTCTTGAGGGCCCTACCATTCCCCTGACCATCTCTAGCATCACAGCACCCACTTGCTACACCCAGAGCACACACCTCCCCATTGTTCTCTCCCAATGGACATCTGCCTAGAGTGCCTGTACCCAACCTTTACTGAGCAAACTTGTAAACACCAAACTCATGGGTATCTTCTCTGTAAAACTTTTCCAGGTTTGCCCATCAGAGTAAATGGAAACTTCCTTGACCACCAGAGTACAAAGCACGGACCTATCAGCTTTACCACATTCATTAAAATCTGGTGCATACATAACTCTCTCTGTGCTATACTTTCTCCTCTGTCTTGCCAGCACTGCCCACCGCACCTGACCACAGTGAGCACTCAGTGAACTCCCTGAATGAATTAGACAACATATTATTTGATTCAAAGCTAACGAGGGAGGAATACTTACCCAAATCACCAAAATACCATATGGTTTTTTATTTATTTATAGAGCTCAAGACTAGACTATTAAATTACAAACCTCCTAATACATAGTTTCACTACAAAGAAATAATAGTGATTTTAAAAAGAGTAGGCTAGGCACAGTAGTTCATGTCTATAATCCCAGCACTTTGGGAGGCAAAGGCAGGAGGACTGCTTGAGGCTAGGAGTTAGAGCCCATCCTGGGCAACATAGTTTAACATAAAAGTTAAAACAAATTAAAAAAAAATTTTTAAGTTAGTCAAGCATGGTGCACTTGTATCCTAGCTACTCAGAAGGCTGAGGTGGGAGGATCGCTTGAGCCTAGTAGTTGAAGGCTGCAGTCAACTATGATCACACTCCAGCCTGAGCAACAGAGACCCTGTCTCGAAAAGAAAAAAAAAAAAAGAAAGAAACAAAAATTTTAAAAGAAAAAGGAAAAATACTAGTAAGTTTCCATTTTTTTCTACTGTTTTTAATTACATCTGTCTGGTTGGGCCACGAAAGATTTCTATAAAAATTCACTTCTGATTAGAAGAAGACAGAAAGCAGACACAGGATAAATGTGCTTCATTACAAAGCATTTGTCTCACAGCTGATACTAACACAGCTTGGTAGCAGGTAGCACCAAAAGAAGCCCCATATAATATCTGTCACATTCCCACTCAATACTTGCCCACAGATCTGTGAGTATAAGTGGGGTGGACTGAGAGACTATATCCTCAGATACACTCCAAATATATACTTAAGAGAAAAAATGTCTGCCCTGGCAAGTGAGATCTTGTTCAATTTGAATTCTGCTCAGTTGGAGCATGTTTTCATAAATAAACTGCATCAAGGTAACTTTGGGATTTGGACTCATGCCACATGCCTTCAAAATCTAATCAGACCACAAAGAGTAAGTATTCATTTCATTCAGGCTCCAAAGACAGAAAAGTCATACCCGGGCTTATTGCCACAGGCAAGGAACACCAAGTTGTGATTAGAATACAAGAGGCATGTGACCTCCACTGTTAGATGGCAATGTTTCATAGGCCCCTTCATAACAGTCAGTAAACACCTTAGTACTGTTACCTTAAACATGCTCTCCATCTTTTTGGCTTTTCAAGTTTCTTTCTCATTCAATCCTTGAAAATTCTTTTTCTTTGAGGGAAACCTCAGAAGGGGAAAAAGTGAAAACCACTGATAGAATTTCTGAGAGTGGCTCATGCCTGTAATCCCAGCACTTTGGGAGGCTGAGGCGTGGGGATCATCTGAGGTCAGGAGTTCAAGACCAGCCTGGCCAACAAGGTGAAACCCCGTCTCTACTAAAAATACAAAAATTAGTCAAGCATGGTGGTGCATGCCTGTAATCCCAGCTACTCAGGAGGCTGAGGCAGGAGAATTGCTTGAACTCGGGAAGTAGAGGTTGCAGTGAGCCAAGATCATGCCACTGCACTCCATCCTGGGCAACAGAACAAGACTCCATCTCAAAAAATAAAAATAAAAAAGAATTTCTGAGACAGAGAAGGACTGATGAGAGGACAAATGAATATATACATGGCTATCTTTCAGTGGCAATCTCTTGCAGCCCACAGAGTGTACCACAACCTCAATATCACAGACTTCTAGTGGAAGAGTTAGCCTCACGTGCCATCTCAGGCCTATGTCAGTCATCCAGTCACCTTGCAAACAAGTTCAAGTTCTAAGAGTGTGCAGGGTGACCAACTAACTTAAAAGGCAATACCTAATAGTGGTAACTGGATTTCAGTTTTCTATACACCAAGCAAGATAACAGGTTTTTCCAATGCTAGTTTCAGTAACCAACAATACCAAAAAACCAATGAAAGCCAGAAATTCCAGTTACTTAGATGAAATGTTTCCTCATTAAATATTCAGTTCCTGGAAAACACGAAGTTTGGTACTTAGCTTTCCTAATTTTTAGAATTATTGGGCCGGGTGTGGTGGCTCATGCCTGTAATCCCAGTACTTTGGGAGGCTGAGGTGGGCGGATCACGAGGTTGGGAGGCCAAGGCGGGCAAAACATGAGGTCAGGAGATCGAGGCCATCCTGGCTAACACGGTGAAACCCCGTCTCTACTAAAAACACAAAAATATTAGGCGGGTGTGGTGGCGGGCACCTGCAGTCCCAGCTACTCGGGAGGCTGAGGCAGGAGAATGGCGTGAACCCGGGGGTGGAACTTGCAGTGAGCGAGACTGCGCCACTGTACTCCAGCCTGGGCGACAGAGCGAGACTCCGTTTCAAAAAAAAAAAAGAAGTTAAGTCATGCCCCCAATAGCACAGTTCTAATGACACAACCACCTAGGCTACAGATGTGCAAATGACTGAGGGTCCTTTCAACTCAATACCTAGCTGACTTTTTCAATTCTACTTCCTAGCTGACTTTTTCAGTCCCACTTCCTAGCTAACTTTTTCAGTCCCACTTCCAGGCTAACTTTTTCAGTCCCACTTGTGAATCAGTCAACAGAGCCACCTGCTGAAGGAAATCTCGATAAGGTTTGCTGGTGGAAAAACAATGGAGAAAACCAGAAACAGTGTCCTGGAATGACATATATTTGAAGAAATCATCTTATTGGTAGTTAATGAAAATTTCTCCAAAAATGAAAGTATTGTTTTAATTGATCAAATGGATGGACTGCCAGGAAATATTAGGCAGTGTGAACTCAAAACTGATGTGGAATTGTTAGGCCAAATAAAATTTTGGTTGGAAACAGTCTAAGAAAGTGTGTCTCATGAGCTATCTTTAGGTAACCAGTTGTCCTGGGGACTAGGACAGAAGAAACACCTAAGTAACTGTAAGTTGTTACGCTACCTACAATGTGGGCCGTAAAGTCAAGGAAAGGACACAAAGGGAATCAACATTCCTGGACTGGCCTTCTTGGTTGTCTATATAATACAGAGTTTCCCCTTCATTCTTTCTAAACAAATTCTGGTTTTGATTAATATTGAGCCCAACAATTATACAGGCTCCAGAGTCAGAGATTGATTACTCTGGGCCAGCCAGAATAATCAATGAAATTCCCTGGCAACTGTTAATACTCTGGGGATTAGAACTGAAAATTCTAATAATTCTAATAATCAATGAAATTCCTGCGCAACTGTTAATAGTCTGGAGATTAGAACACACATGCAGTTGGCCCAACCAGACTGAGGACAAGCACTTACCATTCATGGTTGGGAACAGGCTATCTACTATTGGATGCAAACAGGAAATATGTAGCCCTTATTGTCTTGAAACCACAAGAGGAACCAGATTTAGGATAAATGGATTCTGTGTACTATAGGCTAGAGGGACAGAGAAAGTGTGGGTCCTCAATGATATTGATAAACTGCTAGATCAACCAACCACAGACCTCACCCCAATTACAGCAAAAGTATTTCCTTAATCCAGTTTGAGTTGCTTCCTATTACTTGCATCCAAAAGCATGCTAATTGATATAGCTAATAATAATAGGAAGAAATAAAGTCAGCACATTAGCTTTGAATTGGGAAAACAACAACTAGGAAGATCCAATGTTGCAGCTGATGGGGCTAATGAATACTTTATCCTTCCTTTAGTCCTGAGTATAATACCAGTTTCTTGAAGAATAAATAAGAATCCCCACTAGAAAGCCATTTTAAAATATATCTTGACCACAAGATAGTTGCTATGCTAGATGGGTTATATCATTTGCTTGATTACTTGTTGGCATCGGGGGAAAGGAAATATGATCTAAGGTAAGTAGAATTTTAAATATGGCATTATGGTAGAGTCTGCATATTTATTTTGCTTTTTTTTCCTGGCAGAGGAAAGGGAGAGGAGGTAGGGAGAAGACCATGGATATCAATGAACTATACACATTCTACGGTTTGTTGGTCACTGTTGAGCGTTGTGACGAGCAGATGACACACCATGCAGAAGGCTATCTGGTGCCTCACTCCTCTATCATACTGGAGTCACGGGGAAGTGCTGGGAATTTCCTGAGCTTTGTGGAAAAGATTAACCTCTTGGCTTTAATTCCCTTAGTCATAGTTCCCTATTACTATGGTCTGAATGTTTGTGTCCCCTCTCAAATTCATAGGCTGAAGTCCTACCCCTCAAGGCAATGTTATTAGGAGGCAGGGTCTTTGGGAGGTGATGAGGCCATGGGGAGGGAACTCTCATGAATGGGACTGCACCCCTATAAAAAAGACCCCTCGTCCCTTCTCCCAGATGAGGGGACACAGCAAGAAGGAAAGGAACCAGAAAACTGGCACTCACCAGACACTGAATCTGCCAGCGCCTTATCTTGGACTTCCAGCCTCCAGAACTATAAGAAATAAACTGCTGTCGTTTATAAGCTACCTGGTTTATGGCATTTTTTTATAGCAGCCCAAACAGACTAAGATGCCTACACACCCTGCTGCAGTGACAAGGCCCTCAGTTCTCACTCCTAAATATGGTTAAACTTGACTAGAAAGGGAGATGTGAAACCGCTATGGAAGCTGGGCACTGGCTACCTTCCCTTGTCAACAGATGTGTTCAATGATCTCACAAACACAATGGGGAAGGGAATCATGGACCTGTGGTCTCCTGTGGGACTACCTTGCAAAATGCCAGATAATCCAGAACATACAGTCGCCCCTTAATAAAGCTAACATCTCAGCTAGTGCACAACCTGCAACCCTGGTTCATGAACCCCTGGAAGCTAGTCATGTGGTGAGCATGAGACAGTAATGAGGTGAGCACTAGCCAGAGCCAACAAAGCCTGCCAGTGCTCTGGGTGCTGCTACACTTGATGAGCAGTGAAGCAGAGGACAGAGGTTTCCTAGAACAGGTTATACTTAATGCCAGCATGTCAGCCATAAGAGTTAGGTTGAACTGCCCTATATAGGGATGCCAGGAGTCAAAAATGTGTTCAAACAGGATCACTTCCATCAACCTGCACCTGGTTCAGACAGTAAGTCAAAGGAAGCAAGAATAAATAGTTACTTCTAACACCTAATTCAACAAAAACGGAATTGAATTCAGCATCAAGAGGTCTCCAAGAAAGTCTTGCTAAAGGAAGACAGGAAATTGTGATGGGAAGAAGGAAGGTAAAACTCTAGACTATAAGGATTTGCCTTCAGGATGAGAGGCCTCCTGGATCAGAAGGCAGTGATGAAGAAAAGAGCTACACTGGCTTCAAGGAAATGATTACACCCCCGCTTGCCATATAGCTCTACCTGGGCCCACTGGTTTCCTCTTTAGCCCTGGAGGAAGAAGAACCTGCTGCACTTAACAGCACTTTACAGGGCAGGCAAGAGCTGTGTTTGTTCCTCTCTCAAGGGACTTCATAGCACATGGGAAATGGGAGAGAAACAGGCTTATACAGAGGTTATAAGTCCCAAGTCAGAAAAATCACAGCCACGTGGGACTTCTCCCATGGAGAAGTCAGACCAAATCTTTCTATACTATAAAACTAAGTAGAGATCAAATGAGGAAGGCTAGAGGAAGCCTCCTGTGGCCGAGGATGAGAAGAATACTTGAGGAAGGGAAAAGGAACAGTGGCTCAGCCTACAAAGTGCAGGTCACAGCTTCTATTCATTAAGAGTCCAGACTCAACAAAGGTGGCTAAACTGGCCCCAAACATAAGGCTGCTGGACACTGCAGGAAATGAATGTCCTGGGAGCTCCTGGTCCTCAAGCTGTAGCAAACCAAAGTGTATTTAATTTGAGAAGAAACACGACCCAAGGCTGCTGAAGGGCAGAACATATTCCCCTCTCCCCTGCAGAGCACAGAATTAAGCAGACCAGTAGACGGTGAGAAGGGAATGACCACTACTTCTTCTTGTCTTCACTCCTCTTCCTCCTTGACCCTTCTAAGAATGAAGGGAGGGAAACTGTGCAGATGCTCTTAGGCATGCTTGGCAGGGGCCGGGAGATGGGCATTCTTGCCCGGCAGGCCCAGGACTGAGTGCGTGAGTCGAAGATCTTAACTGGAAACAAACAAAAATAATCCACTCTGGCTAGTTAAAGCATAACGTACATTTATTAAAGCATATAGATGGCTCATGGAATTACTGGAAAGTCTGAGTAAACAGACTGTAAGCTGAGATTCCAAGAACCCCCAGATTTGTACCACAGAAATCAGCAGCGTAGGAGCTTCAGACTCTGCCATCATCAGGAAGCCGCTGTCAACTGCAAACGACTCTTCCTTTGCTACGAGTCTCAATTCAAATGGTCCCCCATGCTTTGTCTCCTTCCCCACACAATTCAGTTCCCAAAAATAATTGTACATAACACATCTACCTGATGGAACCTACAACATACGGCTGCTTCCTAGTAGCAAGGAAAGCTAGGAAACACAGGGGGTTTTGTTGTTGTTGTTTGGATTCTACCCTGGAAAGGAGGGTATCACACTGTAGAGAACTTTGAAATGTGAAAGGAGTAGTCAAGAAGTTTTGTCCAGCTGTGAATGACAAGGTATGTAATATCCTGTATATCTACAATGGGCTAATAAGATTTTCAAGACCCCAAATCCTAGAGACAGGACACTTAATGATAGAAACTCTTTCATCTCTGAAGATATAAAAGCCACAAGTGCTTTATCAACTTTCCATTCCCTAAAGAACAAAAACATAATGATTAATCTGAAGGGCTTGTCAACAACCATACTTCTCCTGAATTACAATTTAACTATCTTCACTTTCCACATCTAACAGAGCACCATTGTGAATATACACACAAATAGCTAGGTATGACGACCTATAGTACCTTCCACTAGCTGTCCCTCCTGACTGGCCAGTGTTTAAGTATGCATACCCATGCACCTAATGAGTCATCAACTCTCAACCCCAGCAAGTTACTGCTTCATTTTCTTACTGGTGATCAAAGTTACACCTATAGCTAAGTAGATCCCTTAACAACAGTAATGATGCTCCCATGTGCATGGTTCTCAGAGCAATTCTGTGTTCTCCCTTAGTCTCACAACTTGTTATCTTTGGATGAGTGAGAAGAAATACAGAGAGGTTGAATGATTTGTCTGAAGGGTCTAGTAAATGACAGCGCTGAAGCAGAAACCCTCAAGCATCTGGCTCCTTTTCCAGATCTTACCACACACTGCCTCTGGCTGAAAAACTCATTTGAGATCCTGAGATCCATCAGTTACAGTACTCAATGAAATTAAAGTTGATGCACACCCCTCCCGCCCCCCGAAAAAATTCCAATAAATTCTTACTTGTTTACAAGTGGAATACTTAAGGCCCAGCCTGCAGCAAAGTCTGGATACTTAAAAACTGTAGGATTCTCGGAAAAGGCATAATGGTGAATTATTGTAGCTTCTTCATCATGTAATGCTTTTCCCAAAAACCATTCCTGTTAAATAAAGATATAACATGTCACTTTAAAAACAATCATTTCATGTAAGACCAATAGAAGGTGGTACTATTGGTTTCAGATAATTAAATATTTTGGGTGATAAAGAGTTATTAGCACAGATTAAATATTTCTAGAGAATGTGAACAAAAATATAATTAACACTAGTATGATAATGAATATAAGCTTTGTATACAAAAAAGTAGTTCAAGATCTGATCATCAAGATGAACAAAATGTTAGTCCTCATTATACCATAAATGTATAAAAGTTGTATTTTATAGAATATTCCATATAAAAAGACTATTAGGGCAAAGAAAATAGTATGCCCTTATACCCTACTGAGGTTTTCAAAGAATAATTTGAAAAATTCCTTTCAGAATCAGTGATTATTTATTTATTTACTCATTCATTCAAATGATTTTTATTGAGAATCTACCACACACCAGGCAGGAACATAGCTTACCCTAGAGTGGAGAAATGGAAATTAAGAAAGTAAATCAAATAACTTCAGGTAGTGACTGAAATGTGCTAGGATGAAAATAAATCAGGGTGACTAGGAGCTGCCCTGAAAAGAGAGGGAAATCTATTATGATGTAACAAACTGAGATGAAATAATATCAAGGAGCTGGACCTATGCAAAAATCTGTTAGTCATCTAATGAAGACTAGCATTTTGTTCATCCTCAGTAGCAAACTGAGATGAAATAATATCAAAGAGCCAGCTCTATGCAAAAATCTGAGGAAGAGCCGTCAAAGGACTTAATGCAAAGTCCCTGAGGTGGGAAAAAGTTTGATACAGTCAATGAAAAAAGAAATCCAGTGGCTGGAGCTACTGGGTGTGGGAATAAGGTACAAAAGAGACAGGCAAAAGGCTGACCAGGGTGAGTTTTATGTGCCAGGGGAAAGGAGCACAGACTTTATTCTAAGTGTAACGAAAGACTTCCACTTCTGACCACAATAGAACAATCTGGATTGCATCTACTCTCCTGTTGAGAACAAGTTTAAAAGCTGGAGAAATTACACAAAGCAAATGATTGAAGCCATCAGAAAACAAACCTGCACGTTGTACACATGTACCCTAAAACTTAAAGTATAGTAATAATAAAATTAAAAAAAAAACAGAAAACAACAAAGGCAGAAAGGACATAAAGGACTAAGATCTCAGAATTAGAAAGCCCATCCATGGGAGCCCCTCCTTTCCTCAAGGAGTTTGCTGATTCCTGGAGCTGCAGATAGCACACAGCCAAAAGCAGCAGCTGGGGGCTCTTGCAGCCTTGCTGGACTGAAAGGCGGAGTCTGGAGCTGGAGACCTTGAAAGAGAAGAGATGTAAGGGGGTCCCAAGATGCCGCATGCAAGTTTCCCTCAATGACCTAAGCTGCACAAAAACCAAGGGGGGAAAAAAAGAACCAAGCAGAAAGCAGCAGTGGAGAGGCTAAAAAGCTGAGCAAAGCCTTTAGCAGTACTGTAGTGCCGGGAGATCAAGGTTGGAGTTCAGACTGCCAGGACAAAATGGCTCTGGAGTAAGGGCAGTCTATGAATAGACGTACCCAAACAACATCTACAACCCAGAAGATTAAATCCTTCTATAGGAAGTCCTATCATCCATAGCCTTCTTAATTTTTCACATAAAACATCTGAGATTTAGCCAAACTCACCCAGCAGAGCAAGAAACAAGACCAAACCAGAAACAAGAAAAGTGAAAAATAGAAGGAGATGCACAGATAAAACAGATTTTGCAGTTATCAAATAAGACTTTTAAACAGCTATGGTTAATGTGTTCTTTAAGGATAAAAAGATTTTTTAAATTGCACCAAAGAACTACAATTTATAAACAAGAGCCAAATGAAAAATCTAAAACTTAATGAAAGAACTGAAGTTAGTAATTCAAAAAAATATTAAACACAATAGCAGAGAAGACTAACAGTCTGGAAAGCAAGTCCGGTAAAAAATATCCAGACTGATATAAGAAAAAAAAGGGAAGAAAAGAGCTATGGCAATATGAGACAAAAGGAAAAGGGCTAAAATGCATGACATTAGAAACTAAGGAGAGACAGAATGAAACTGAAGGAATACTTGAAGAATACAGGCTTAGAATTTTCCAAAACTAACAAAAGTCATCAAGTTGTAGACTCAGGAAGCTCTATAAACTCCGGTGAGAACAAATACAAAGAAAATCACACATAGGCACATAATGGTAACACTGTTGAAAATTAAAGATAGAGAATATCCTAAAAGCAGCTGGCAGCAGGGGAAGTCATAGAGGGAGACAGTATACATGTTTTTTTCAAATAAACAGAAACAAGATATACAGTTGAGTTTTCAACAGAAATGATGAGAGGGGAAAGACAATGGTGGAGCATTTGTACAGTAATGGAAGAAAATTGCTCCCAACTCAGAATGCTATACCCAGCAAAAATATCTTAGGTGGAATGGGAAACCACTGAAACAGGAGGATCTAATAATGGTCAAGGCAGGAGATGATGATAGCCTGAAACAGCGTAGTAGTATTAAATATGGAGAGAAGATGGACAGGAGATATATTTTGGAAGTAGAACCAGCTGGTCATGCCAACATGAAGTTGAAGAAAAAAAGATGAACCAATCTCAAGTCTTAGGTTTTTAATATGAGCAACCAGATAGACAGTTACAGTGATGCATTTCTGGATGAGGAAGATTGAAGACGGAAGAGGTTTAGAAAGGCATTGAGAGTTCAGTTTTGAACATGTCGAGTTTTAGGTTCCTATTAGATAAGCAACAGTATGAAGTAGGCAGCTTAACATAAGAGAGTACATGGCTGACTCCCTCAGTTCCTTCACTCTGTTCAAATGTGACCTGATGAATGAGGTATTCCTTGAACACCCTATATAGACAGGTAAGCCCATTCCCAATGCATCCCTTACTCCCTTATTCTGCTTTGTTCTTCTCCACGGCACTTGTTACCATCCGACACATTATACATTTGCATTTTTCTCTATTGCTTATCTCCCCTGAAACAAGAACATCATCTCCTTGTGGGCAGGGATGTTGTCCATTTTGTTCACTGCTATATCTCCAGTACACCTAACATGTAATAGATGCACAGTAACTTTTTGTCAAATGAATGCAGCAAGTCCAGGAAAGATTTAAAAAGCAACTCGCCTCTACTGAAGAAACTAGAGCATACAATATGAATCAAGTACCCTAAGTTCTAAAAGTTTTGTATATTTTCTCTTACCCAACCAAGACCACCTCACTCTCTATTATTTATCAGAATATAAAATCAAGAAGACACCATACATGAGTACTCTTAGGTATTTCTTAAGAGCCTTATTCTGCTTGTGGTTGTATTGCAAATTCCTCCCACAGTCCTACTTTTCCTCAATTCAGCAACAGGTCATAACTGAACATATGTGACAGCTGTTAACTTTTACATCTAACATTAAAAATGTATTTAGATTCACAGATCCATATGATGACTTTCTTCTTGATACTTTGCCTATGGGTATATTAAATCATTACTGGGTAAGAAGAATACCCTGTAACAACCAAGACAAATGACCTCAGCTTGAGATGAAAAATACAACACCTTAAAAAAAAATCTATAATAAAGCTCTTTATCAAGTGACTAAACCTTAACCAATATGAAAATCACTGTATTTTACATACCATGCCAATATAGCTTGTATAAAGAAAATAAACATCTCAGTATATTTTGAAAACTGTCTTACAAATCTTTCACTATTAAAACCTTTCACGATTAAAACCTCTGGTTGCAAATACAGTTTTATGGAAAACATGTTGTTATGTTTTATCTCTTAATTGCAGTATTCAGCTATTATATAGTATATGATTGTTTTTCAATATTTTTGTGTGGGTTATACTGTAAACTACTTTTAAAAAAATTATTATAGAATCTATGCATAGAGCCACTCCCCAATCTTTCTTAATGACTTTATTAATGATTTCATTAAAAGGACAATTATAATCAAGAAAAACCTTAAAAGAATAACTCAGTGTTCCACTAGCATCTTAGAATTATTGCTTTTTTTTTTTTAAGTTCTGGGGTACATGTACAGAAAGCACAGTTTTGTTACATAGATATACATGTGCCATGGTGGTTTGCTGCACCCATCAACCTGTCATCTACATTAGGTATTTCTCCTAATGCTATCCCTCCCTAAGCCCCCCACCGCCCACAAGGCTCTGGTGTGTGATGTTCCCCTCCCTGTGTCCATGTGTTCTCATTGATTAACTCCCACTTATGAGTGAGAACATGTGGTGTTTGGTTTTCTGTTCTTGTGTTAGTTTGCTGAGAATGATGGCTTCCAGCTTCATCCATGGCCCTGCAAAGGACATGAACTCGTCCTTTTTTATGGCTGCATAGTATTCCATGGTGTATATGTGCCACATTTTCTTTATCCAGTCTATCACTGATGAGCATTTGGATTGGTTCCAAGTCTTTGCTATTGTGAACAGTGCCACAATAAACATATGTGTGCATGTATCTTTATAGTAGAATGATTTATAATCCTTTGGGTATATACCCAGTAATGGGATTGCTGGGTCAAATCGTATTTCTAGATCCTTGAGGAATCGCCACACTGTCTTCCACAATGGTTGAACTAATTTACACTCCCACCAACAGTGTAAAAGCATTCCCACTTCTCCACATCCTCTCCAGCATCTGTTGTTTCCTTTTTAATGATCGCCATTCTAACTGGCATGAGATGGTACCTCATTGTAATTTTGATTTGCATTTCTCTAATAACCAGTGATGATGAACTTTTTTTTCATATGTTTTTGGCTGCATAAATGTCTTGAGAATTGTCTGTTCACATCCTCTGCCTACTTTTTGATGGCGTTCTTTCTCGTAAATTTGTTTAAGTTCTTTGTAGATTCTAGATATTAGCCCTTTGTCAGATGGATAGATTGCAAAAATTTTCTCCCATTCTGTAGGTTGCATGTTTGGTCTGATGATAGTTTCTTTTGCTGTGCAGAAGCTCTTTAGTTTAATCAGATGCCATCTGTCAATTTTGGCTTTTGTTGCCATTGCTTTCGGTGTTTTCGTCATGAAGTCTTTGCCCATGCCTATGTCCTGAATGGTATTGCCTAGGTTTTCTTCTGAGGTTTTTATGGTTTTAGGTCTCACATCTAAGTCTTTAATCCATTTTAATTTTTTCATAAGGTGTAAGAAAGGGATCCAGTTTCAGCCTTCTGCATATGCCCAGCCAGTTTTCAAAACACCATTTATTAAATAGGGAATCCTTTCCCTATTGCTTTCATCAGGTTTGTCAAAGATCAGATGGTTGTAGATGTGTGGTGTTACTTCTGAAGCCTCTGTTCTGTTCCATTGGTCTATATATCTGGTTTTGGTACCAGTACCATGCTGTTTTTGTTACTGTAGCCTTGTAGTATAGTTTGAAGTCAGGTAGCATGATGCCTCCAGCTTTGTTCTTTTTGCTTAGCATTGTCTTGGCTATGTGGACTCTTTTTTTATTCCACATGAAATTTAAAGTAGTTTTTTCCAATTCTGTGAAGAAAGTCAATGGTAGCTTGATGAGGATAGCACTGAATCTATAAATTACCTTGGTCAGTATGGCCATTTTCACAATACTGATTCTTCCTATCCATGAGCATGGAATGTTTTTCCATTTGTTTGTGTCCTCTCTTATTTCCTTAAGCAGTGGTTTGTAGTTCTGCTTGAAGAGGCCCTTCACATCCCTTGTAAGTTGTATTCCTATGTATTTTATTCTCTTTGTAGCAACTGTGAATGGGAGTTCATTCATGATTTGGCTCTCTGTCTGTTATTGGTGTATAGGAACGCTTGTGATTTCTGCACTTGATTTTGTATCCCGAGACTTTGCTGAAGTTGCTTATCAGCTTAAGGAGCTTTTGAGATGATGGGGTTTTCTTTTTTTTTTTTTTTTTGAGACAGCGTCTTTGCACTGTCACCTGGGCGGGAGTGCAGTGGCGCCATCTCAGCTCACTGCAACCTCCGCCTCCCGGCTTCAAGCGATTCTCCTGCCTCAGCCTCCCGAGTAGCTGGGATTATGGGCACCCACCACTATGCCCAGCTAATTTTTTGTATTTTTAGTAGAGACGGGGTTTTACTGGTCTCAAACTCCTGACCTTGTGATCCACCCACCTCGGCCTCCCAAAGTGCTGGGATTACAGGTGTGAGTCCCTGCACCTGGCCACTATGGGGTTTTCTAAATATACAATCGTGTCATCTGCAAACAGAGACAATTTGACTTCCTCTTTTCCTAATTGAATGCCCTTTATTTCTTTCTCTTGCCTGATTGCCCTGGCCAGAACTTCCAATACCATGTTGAATAAGAGTGGTGAGGAAGAGCATCCTTGTCTTGTGCCAGTTTTCAAAGGGAATGCTTCCAGTTTTTGCCCATTCAGTATGATATTGGCTGTGGGTTTGTCATAAATAGTTCTTATTATTTTGAGATAGTTCCATCAATGCCAAGTTTATTGAGAGTTTTTAGCATGAAGGGCTGTTGAATTTTGTCAAAGGCCTTTTCTGCATCTATTGAGATAATCATGTGGTTCTGTATATGTGATGGATTACATTTATTGATTTGCATATGTTGAGCCAGCCTTGCATCCCAGGGATGAAGCCAACTTGATCGTGGTGGATAAGTTTTTTGATGTGCTGCCGGATTCGATTTGCCAGCATTGAGGATCTTCGCATTGATGTTCATCAGGGACATTGGCCTGAAATTTTCTCTTTTTATTGTTGTGTCTCTGCCAGGTTTTGGTATCAGGATGATGCTGGCCTCATAAAATGAGTTAGGGAGGATTCCCTCTTTTTCTATTGTTTGGAGTAGTTTCAGAAGGAATGGTACCAGCTCCTCTTTGTAACTCTGGTAGAATTCAGCTGTGAATCTGTCTGGTCCCGGACTTTTTTTGTTTGGTAGGCTATTAATTACTGCCTCAATTACAGAACTTGCTATTGGTCTATTCAGGGATTCGACTTCTTCTTGGTTTAGTCTTGCATGTGTCCAGGAATTTATCCATTTTTTCTAGATTTTCTAGTTTATTTGCATAGAGTTGTTTATAGTATTCTCTGATAGTAGTTTGTATTTCTGTGGGATTGGTGGTGATATCCCCTTTATCATTTTTTATTGCATCTATTTGATTCTTCTCTCTTTTCTTCTTTATTAGTCTGGCTAGCAGTCTATCAATTTTGTTGATCTTTTCAAAAAACCAGCTCCTGGATTCATTGATTTTTTTTGAAGGGTTTTTTTGTATCTCTATCTCCTTCAGTTCTGCTCTGATCTTAGTTATTTCTTGCCTTCTGTTAGCTTTTGAATTTGCTTGCTCTTGCTTCTCTAGTTTTTTTTTTTTTTTTTTTTTTTTTTGAGATGGAGTCTCACTCTGTCACCCAGGCTGGAGTGCAGTGGCACAATCTCAGACAACTGCTGCAAGCTCCACCTGCCGGGTTCACGCCATTCTCCTGCCTCAGCCTCCCGAGTAGCTGGGACTACAGGCACCCGCCACCACGCCCAGCTAATTTTTTTTGCACTTTTAGTAGAGACGGGGTTTCATCATGCTAGCCAGGATGGTCTCAATCTCCCGACCTCGTGATCCACCCACCTTGGCCTCCCAAAGTGCTAGGATTACAGGCATGAGCCACCGCACCCGGTCTTCTCTATTCTTTTAATTGTGATGTTAGAGTGTCGATTTTCGATCTTTCCTGCCTTCTCTTGTGGGCATTTAGTGCTATAGATTTCCCTCTACACACTTCTTTAAATGTGTCCCAGAGAGTCTGGTATGTTGTGCGTTTGTTCTCATTGGTTTCAAAGGACATCTTTATTTCTGCTTTCGTTTCGTTATTTACCCAGTAGTCATTCAGGAGCAGGTTGTTCAGTTTCCACATAGTTGTGCGGTTTTGAGTGAGTTTCTTAGTCCTGAGTTCTAATTTGATTGCACTGTGGTCTGAGAGACTGTTTGTTATGATTTCCGTTCTTTTGCATTTGCTGAGGAGTGTTTTACTTCCAATTATGTGGTCAATTTTAGAATAAGAGTGATGTGTTGCTGAGAAGAATGTATATTCTGTTGATTTGGGGTGGCGAGTTCTGTAGATGTCTGTTAGGTCTGCTTGGTCCAGAGCTGAGTTCAGGTCCTGGATATCCTTGTTAATTTTCTGTCTTGTTGATCTGTCTAATACTGACAGTGGGGTGTTAAAGTCTCCATTATTGTGTGGGAGTCTAAGTCTCTGTGTAGGTCTCTAAGAGCTTGCTTTATGAATCTGGGTGCTCCTGTATTGAGTGCATATATTTAGGACAGTTAGCTCTTCTTGTTGTGTTGATCCCTTTACCATTATGCAATGCCCTTCTTTGTCTCTTTTGATCTTTCTTGGTTTAAAGTCTGTTTTATCAGAGACTAGGATTGCAACCCCCGCTTTTTTTTTGGCCTTCCATTTGCTTGGTAAATCTTCCTCCATCCCTTTTTGAGCCTATGTGTGTCTTTGCACATGAGATGGGTCTCCCAAACACAGCACACTGATGGGTCTTAACTCTTTATCCAATTTGCCAGTCTGTGTCTTTTAACTGGAGCATTTAGCCCATTTACATTTAAGGTTAATATTGTTATGTGTAAATCTGATCCTGCCATTTTGATGCTAGCTGGTTATTTTGCCCCTTAGTTGATGCAGTTTCTTCATAGCATCAATGGTCTTTACAATTTGGTATGTTTTGGCAGTGGCTGGTACTGGTTGTTCCTTTCCATGCTTACTGCTTCCTTCAGGAGCTCTTGCAGGGCAGGCCTGGTGGTGACAAAATCTCTCAGCATTTCTTTGTCTGTAAAGGATTTTATTTCTCCTTCCCTTATGAAGCTTAGTTTGGCTGGATATGAAAATTCTGGGTTGAAAATTCCTTTCTTTAAGAATGCTGCATATTGGCACACACTCTCTTCTGGCTTGTAGGGTTTCTGCTGAGAGATCCGCTGTTAGTCTGATGGGCTTCCTTTTGTGGGTAACCGGACTTTCCCTCTGGCTGCCCTTAACATTTTTTTCCTTCATTTCAACCTTGGTGAATCTGACGACTATGTGTCTTGGGGTTGCTCTTCTCGAGGAGTATCTTTGTAGTGTTCTCCATATTTCTGAGTTTGAATGTTGACCTGCTTTGCTACGTTGGGGAAGTTCTCCCGGATAATATCCTGAAGAGTGTTTTCCAACTTGGTTCCATTCTCGCCATCACTTTCAGGTACAGCAATCAAATGTAGATTTGGTCTTTTCACACAGTCCCATATTTCTTGGAGGCTTTGTTCATTTCTTTTCACTCTTCTTTCTCTAATCTTGTCTTCTTGCTTTATTTCATTGAGTTGATCTTCAATCTCTGATATCCTTTCTTCCACTTGATCGATTCGGCTATTGGTACTTGGGTATGCTTCACAAAGTGCTTGTGCTGTGTTTTTCAGCTCCATCAGGTCATTTACGTTCTTCTCTAAACTGGTTATTCTAGTTAGCAATTCCTATAACCTTTTTTCAAGGTTCTTAGCTTCCTTGCACTGGGTTAGAACATGCTCCTTTAGCTTGAAGGAGTTTGTTATTACCCACCTTCGGAAGCCTACTTCTGTCAATTCGTCAAACTCATTCTCCATCCAGTTTTGTTCCCTTGCTGGTGAGGAGTTGTGATCCTTTGAAGGAGAAGAGGTGTTCTGGTTTTTGGGATTTTCAGCCGTTTTGTGCTAGTTTCTCCCCAATCTTCATGGATTTATCTACGTTTGGTCTTTGAAGTCGGTGACCTTCGGAGGGGGTCTCTGAGTGGACGTCCTTTTTGTTGATGTTGATACTATTCCTTTCTGTTTATTAGTTTTCCTTCTAACAGTCTGGTCCCCTGCTACAGGTCTGCTGGAGTTTGCTGGAGATCCGTTCCAGATCCTGTTTGCCTGGGTATCCCCGGTGGAGGGTGCAGAACCACAAAGATTGCTGCCTGTTCCTTCCTCTGGAAGCTTCATCCCAGAGGAGCACCTGCCAGATGCCAGTCAGAGCTCTCCTGTATGAGGTGTCTGTCGGCCCCTACTGGGAGGTGTCTCCCAGTCAGGCTACACGGGGGTTCAGGGACCCACTTCAGGAGGGAGGCTGTCCCTTATCAGAGCTCAAACACTGTGCTGAGAGATCCGCTGCTCTCTTCAGAGCTGCCAGGTAGGGACATTTAAGTCTGCTGAAGTGGCGCCCACAACTGCCCCTTCCCCCAGGTTCTCTGTCCCAGGGAGGTGGAGGTTTTATCTATAAGTCTCTGACTGGGGCTGCTGCCTTTTTTCAGAGACGCCCTGCCCAGAGAGGAGGGAATCTAAACAGGCAGTCTGGCGGCAGAGGCCTTGCCTCGCTGTGGTGGGCTCCACCCAGTTTGAACTTCCTGGTGGCTTTGTTTACACTGTGAGGGTAAAATTGCCTACTCAAGCCTCAGCAATGGCGGACGCCCCTCAGAATTACTTTTTGCAAGCACCTGTGTTTTATCTCTATTAAAAATAAATTTAGGCCAGGTGTGGTGGCTCCATGCCTGTAATCCCAGCACTTTGGGAGGCCGAGGCAGGCAGATCACTTGAGACCAGGAGTTGAAGACCAGACTGGCCAACAGGGCAAAATCCCATCTTTACTAAAAATTCAAAAATTACTCAGGTTTGCTGGTGCAAGACTGTAATCCCAGCTACTTGGGAGGCTGAGGCACAAGAATTGATTGAACCTGGGAGGTGGAGGTTGCAGTGAGCCAAGACTGCACCACTGCACTCCGGCCTGGGTGACAGAACGAGACTCTGTCTCAAAAAATAAAATAAAACAAAATAAATTTAAAGTCAACACACCTCATAAAATACACATATATTAAAAGCATACTGTGGTTACAAAGGAAAGACTTCAAACAACATACAAAAATTTATAGAAATCACCGAGGAAGGCAATTTAATAAAGATTAATAAAAGTTAAAAGTTTTACATTTAAAATATTTTGACAGTATACATTTGCATTAGTAAGAATGACTGAAAGATGATGATGGAAATAAATCAGAATCAAACAAAATACCTTATACCCTCACACATTACATAATTATTTTAATGTACTCAAAGTTTATTTGTGTAAATATCAAAGCCAGGTTTGCTTTATACTTTTTTCCCTTCAAATGGTAGAGGACAAAAAAATCACACTGGTTTGAGCTAACTTCAACATCATATAATCTTTATCATTTCTTACTGTTAGTCTCAAAAGAAATAAAGCATCCTGGATGGTTTTTTTTTACACATGGCAGAGTTCTGAAAAGAGGGAGAAAACATCTCCTTTTACCTCTGTTCTGTACTTGCTTTTCATGAACTTGCTTTGAACTTTTAAATTTATCATCCCAATTTTCATTAAAAAGCAAAGTGAGTCACCATCTCCTGTACAGAATTAGAGCTATGGATAATGGAAAAATAACCTCCAGGTGAAATGAACACTAGGAGGAGGTGAAAACTCCTACATCCTAAAAAAGATTTGGGAGTTTTTCCCAAGCCAAAAGGAAACATAAAAGCCTAACAAATGGTTTGCATAAAACATGGCAGAAAGTGCACAGATGCTGGTTAGTGTCATCTGAAAAGACTGGATGAGACAGGTTCATAATTCTTCTCTTTGAAAGAATTATTTTTTTAACCCAATGACCTTCTCATCCAATTATATCTAAAGCTTCCCAGAAATTAAAAGCATGAAGAAAAATCATAGTGGATCTTTCCAGCATTTAAAGATCATCAAAAGCAGTGGTTTCTATTATAGTAACAGGCTTTCCAGGGTTGGAGAAATTAATCTAACGATCACTGTTGCCCAGTGTTTGACATCTACATCAACAAACCGAGCAGAACCCAGAAGCTTGCCTTTTATTCCCCATGAGCTCATTACATCTGATTCATCTCAGGAGCGAGCATTCGAAGGTGGGTGGGACAGGTTTCCACTGGGACCAGAAAGGGCCCATCTCTGCTTATCTCAAGTTTAAAGAATTCCAAAAAGTGATCAGGTTGTAACCTGGGCTTCTTTCCTCTGAAAGAGAACTGAATGAGCTCGATTTACTCTTGACACATTTCCAAGGCAGCTCTCTAAACCTAACGAGCCTTTGAACATAGCCCAGCAGCAAAACTGATTATTACAGGGTTATAAAGTCATTCGCAAATATTCACTGACCACCTACTAAGTGTTAAACACTCTGCTAAGGGCTAGGGATTTCAAGGCAAACAAAATCCAGTTGCTCTATCAAATCTGCATGAAATAAAAACAAGATCTGAAAATGTAAAAGCAGTAGTGGACTTCACTGAGTTCCTCTAGTTCAAGATACATCCCTTCCCACCCCCATTCTTTCTCAAATCGTGTTCCCTCTGCCTGGTAGACCCTCTTTCTCTCTTGCTAACTCCTACTCATCCTACAGAACTCAGATTAAATGTCACTTCCTGTCCTGACCCTCCCAGGTTAGATTCCATGCCCCTGTTATATGCTTCTAACAGCACCCTAGTCTTCCTTATTAGAGATGTTTTCCTTCTAACCATAACTGCTTCTCTAATGGTCTGTTCTCCCTGCTATTCTGTGCCACCCACATGTTCAGAATCGCTGTCTGTTTTGTTCTAGCCTCCGCCATCCACAGTGCTCAGTATACAGCTGGCACTCAAAAAAAATTTTCTATCTAAAATAATATATGGTCACTGTCTAATAAGCAGAAATAGCCAACTTAAGTTTATTGCTAAGAAAAGCAGTTTATGAACTTCAAGTTATAGTTTCCAACTCTCTGAAATTGCTAACACATATATTAACAGATTTTTTTCATTTAAAATGGCTCATTATAAGCTCTGTCCCTCTATAAGCTACAAACTTCAAAGAGCATTACTTAACATATCTCAGATATTCAACAATGTTTCATTCTTTTTAATTTTAAACTAAGTGGTTTTTTATTAGATTCAAAAGCTTCTTAATCAAAATTAAATCTCCTTTGAAACACTGTCCCCCAAAATAAGAACTGGTATTGAAGTTATATTCACCTTAGAGGGGTCATATCTTCTGAGGGTTTCCAAGAGTTTTGGAATCTGTATTCTTGTCTCTTCTTCACAGAAGAAAATCCAAGATGAATTTCTGCTATATGTTACAGAAAAACTGACCAAAAGAAACAAGTTTCAGTAATCACTTCTGTAAAATAAGTTAATAATAAGGTTTAAAACTGATCAGTAGGAAGTGAATGAAGGGTACACAGAATGGCATATCTAATTTTTTTCTCTATATTTTTCTTCAGCTTATAGAAAAGCCAGATGCTAATGGTTTAAAAAACAGCTGGAGTTCGTAAAGTTAATTCTCTCCATAACAACACTAGTTCAGGGGATAAATAATTTTCAAATATCAACTTGAAGCATTTTATTCTTTAAGAAAAAGCATATATAGGGCAGGGTGTGGTGGCTCACGCCTGTTATCCCAGCACTTTGGGAGGCCAAGGCAGACGGATCACAAGGTCAACAGATCAAGGCCATCCTGGCCAACATGGTAAAATCTCATCTATACTAAAAATAAAAAAATAACTGGGAGTGGTGGTGCACGCCTGTAGTCACAGCTACTCGGGAGGCTGAGGCAGGGAATTGCTTGAACCCATGAGGCAGAGCTTGCAGGAGCCAAGTCACCACTGCATTCCAGCCTGGCGACAGAGCGAGACTCTGTCTCCAAAAAAAAAGAAAAAGCTATTCATGATTAAGAACCAATCATCAAGAAATTTGGTTAAGGTAGTAATCATAAAAAGTAAAACTCAAATTTACTTCACTTACTGACTGAGGAAAACCACACCCTCTTAATAAAAAGACTAAGGGCGTAAAAGTGTTCAGGTAGGAATGTCAGTAATTCACAGGTGAGTTAAACAAACGTACTGCGGTAACAACGGAAGTATGGTCCATGCACCTTCTTGTTTAGCCAGCTGATGAAGGAGGAGGACACTGGGGAGCTCCTGAGAAAACAATGATCAAAGAAGATAAGTATGAATTGACTACTCCGAAAAAAAGTAAAAAAAAAAAAAAAGAAAAGAAAAGAAAAGAAAAAAGAAAAAAAGAAAAGGCTTGGCTTAAAATGCAGCTGTTTCTAGAGACCTGACATGGTACTCTTCAAACCACTTCTTTTTCCTCATTTTCTCCAGGAGCTACTGGAAATGAAGTATTTTGGCTGAATCCATGCAACCTCTACACTCTGCACCACCCACACACCCAAATAGAGCTCAAGACCTACAAGGAGGGTCTTCCGTGACTCCGAGCCAACCTGAAATCTGTGAAGGTGACTTGAAGGGAAGAGCCTGGGGGAAGTAGTCAGGGATAACTCAGAGGCACAGAAGCAGTTTTTTATTTTATATACAACATATGGAACATGTGAAAATGAAAACCCTTTGGCTAAACTAGAGGATACAATATTTGATCTACCTCATGTGCAAAAATTACTTTACTTTTTAAAGTTCTCTAAACACATTAAAATACCCTGATAACAAAAAGTTTTGGTCGAGAAATGTAATCCTTAATTACTCAGGCAATAACAGGAATAGCATAATAATGGAATTGACAAATTTATAAGCATAGGAGGAACTAAAATTCAGAAATAAGGCACAACTGTGCTTACATAAATTATGTATACATATATAAAGAGAGATTAATATTTTTAAGGCTACGAGTGTTAGCTTTGAAGCAAAACACTATTCCCTATATTTCAAGTTGTTACAAAAGCCAAAAGTCAAAAATTTCATATCTCATATGCTTAAACCTCCTCCCCCAACAAACTTTATTATATCCTGTGTTTTATACTAGCCATAAAACTATATTCCTAGTAACCATTACAGACAAAAGAATTCAAGAACAAGTACCTAAGTATCTGAAACATTACTGCACTGATGTGGATTTCACAGCTGTCTTAAAGTTCATAGATATTTATTATTTAAGAAGAGAATAGTCTTTAATGTAAATCTTTGGAATTAAATTTCAAGTAAATCTCATTTATTTTATATAATATTCATTTCAACTTCCATGTAGAAATATGAAATGCAAAAAACAGTAATCACAGGTTAAATCAGACAAACAATGTGGTATGTTAGAAAGAGCAAACCTTAAGGCTGAATTAGCAGTTACCCAATATAAATAATTCAGGGCCTTCCTACTGTTACTTCTGAATTATGCAGTAATTTTCATTGTCTTTTTAAAATTCCAGCAAATATATATATTCATGAAGGATTACATAAGAGCAGAAAATCATGTGTAAAGAAACTAATGATGTTACTATTTGCATAAAACTTTGGAATAATTATGGGTAAATGCAAATGTGAGCTAGACAAGAAAAGAAATATAGCAAATACTTTTTAAAGTTTTACATAAAAGTAGCTAATGAGTTATTATGTATCAATTAAAATTATGATGAAAACTTTATAACAACGGAAATGTCTTTATGTTTAATAGAAAAAAACCAGACATGATTCCAAGAATAAAACAAAATCCTAGATGAACAGAGACTAGAAGAACCAGGAAGTGAAAATATTTGTGTCAAGATGATAGAACAATGAGATATATGCTTTAAAAATCCTTCAATTAAAACATAGCTAAGTTTTTTAAACATTGAAGGAAAATGAATGCACCTCAAAAATTTACTTCCAAACAAGTATTATACTTCCTAGTTATAGGATATATATATAATGTAATATCAACAGCTATTAACTGAGAAAAGGCTTCCTTTGATACCTTGACGGTAACCTCAGCAGAAAGGCTACAAAAGCACTTTCCTGGGAGAGATTAGAAGACAAGCTTATTAATAATTTCTGCCACAACATAAAATGTGGGAGGCAAAGGTTTAGGTAGTGCAAACAAGGAATCACATCCTAGATTGAAATAAACTCTATGGATTATCAGTAGATTAAAGTCATTCATAGCTCCATTATATTTGTTTAGTAAATCATATACTAGATTTCATATTTGCTTCAGTTTGTGAACACAAGATCAGTCAAATTTTCTGTCTCTCTGTATCTCCATATAACAACATTTCAAAAGCTAGCATGCCTTGTTAATAACACTCTCCAAAGGTGAGTACTCAAAAATACAAAGTAGGTGCTACTTTGGCACTCAGAAACCTGCTCTTGATTAACTCTTGATTAAGCCAAAGTCATCTTAATTGTAAATAAATTTTAATCTACTAATCCCCAAAAATGCCCAAGAGCTTTTATTCTTGTCATATACATATACACACATATATACACATATATATATATGAATGCACACAGAGACCCAAACAGATGTAATATTACACTTAGATGTAGTAGCACCTTAAAGGTAATTATCAAAAAGGGTGCAATAAAATTTTCTATCAAATGATCTTATCTCAGTTCCTACCACTTAGGATTATAATAATTTATGTTCCATCTATCGCCATCATAAGATTTAGATCTCCTTAAAGGTAGTGTCACTAAATGATACCATTTTTAGATTCAAAGCAAGTTTTTATTTTTATTTTTGGAGACAGAGTTTCGCTCTTGTCACCCAGGCTGTAGTGCAATGGCGCAATCTCGGCTCACTGCAACCTCTGCCTCCCAGGTTCAAGTGATTCTCTTGCCTCAGCCTCCCGAGTAGCTGGGATTACAGGGGTGCACCACCACGCCTGGCTAATTTTTGTGTTATTAATAGAGACAGGGTTTCACCATGTTGGCCAGGCTGGTCTCGAACTCCTGATTTCAGGTGATCCACCCGCCTCGGCCTCCCAAAGTGCTGGGATTACAGGCATGAGCCACCGTGCCCAGTCTCAAAGCAAGTTTTTAAATAAGTAACTGGCTGAATAACTAAGAAATAGTTTTCAAATTAAAATTCAAGGGGAAAATAAGAAAATGTTATATCAACATTACCAAGAGCTGTCTGGAATAAAGACATAGTAAAGGCATTCATGCATGCAACAACTGTCGTCAATCTAAATGATGCCTAATCATGCTACTATTTCAAACCTAAAAGGTAATTCAAAATTCTCTCGATAATGAGATAATGCCGTAACAGGCAGGCATAAAGGAGCTAAAAATACAAATGATCAAATATGGATAAATGACAGAAAAGGGAAAGAAAATGAAAAGGTCGCTTGCAGTAATTTAAACTTTCATGTCAACTCTATTTATCTCTTTGAATTAAAGTCTGCCTTTATCAGCATCCACTGGTATCATAATCACTTTGAAGACAGGAAGCCTACTGAACTTTCAGTCGGTACTTCCTTGGAACATATTTGTTATCAAGGCATGAATTCATATTTAAAGCAGCTAATAATTATTGAGAGCAAACAAATTTAAAACCAACATTCTAATTCATTAGTTGGTTCTTATACATATTCATCATCCTCATTTGGGAAAGGGGTTTGATTCCAATATCACAGCTGAGTATTCTCACAATATTTTTAGAATGGAGAAGGGTCATTATTCTTGACATGGAGGGGAAATCATTAAAAATTTATATGTAGAAATATTAATAGTATGAATGAAAAAGCTAACATTTGAACATGGATTAAAATAGATGAATATATAAAATATCATAAATAACCTTAATTATTCAGCAGATTTGGTTTTGAACCATTTTAGTTTTTCTGCATGTCTGGAAATAATTCAACAATTAAACTACATGGTGCTGGTCTTTCCCTTGTCAACAGACTATTTGCCAGTATTTGTCATTTGTCCTTAATTTAACCTCTAAACCTAGAAGTACATGGGTTTATGGTCTCATTCAGTTTTATTATTCAGACTACATGCTAAACTAGAAAGTAAGATCAGCATTAGGCAAAGGTTCTAAAAAACTGAACTTTTAAGACTGATTCCATTTCAACTGTTTGTCTAAATTCCAACTATTACATCATTCTGAGGCACTGAACTGAGCTTTTAGAACAACAAATAAATTATGGTGAAAATTAACATCTGTTTATTGTTACAATTTCTTCTGTAAGAGGTACGTATGTCTTATGAGGATAACAGAGATCTGTAATATGCTATTTGCAACATGTATCAGACAGATTTACTAGCCTTTAGAAATCCAGTATTCATTTATGGCCCCCAGCAGATTATATGTGATGTTATAATAACATACCTTCTAGGAATCTGAGTCTATATTACAAAAAAAAGAAAAGATTTTTCTAGATACCTGTCTTAATCATTAAATGTCCTTTCCTAACAAGATAAAATATTACCTCATTATTTAGAAATTTTTATTTTTATGAACAATTTACTTTGAAAAGCATTACTCCGTCCATTTTATAGCTCATATAAATCTATTTTAACTAATAATTCATTCACTCACAAAAGGCTGTAAAGCTCAGTATTTAAGGATCTGATTTTTGGAGCCAAATTCCTTTGAATCCTGGCTCTATTTCTTCTGAGCCATGCAACTCGAGTGAGTTTCTTATCCTAGTTGTGGCTCTGCCACCTCATTCTCTCATGTGAGATGACAACAGCAAAGGGGAGCAAGTGAGTTAATACATGCCAGGCACTTGGCATGTGGTAAGCATGTGATGACTATTAACAATATCAATTTTGCAATAATTTTTAGCAACTACTATGTACCAGGTACTGTTCTAGGAATACAGTAAACAGCTGTGATAAGACAGGCAGAGTCCCTGCCCTATTGGATCTCATGTTCTCATGAGGGAGACAGGCAACAAGCAAATAAATCTACAATATAATGTGTCAGGGATAGAAGCCATAAGAACAGAGCTATATGAAGAGACAGACTGAATAGCACACTGTTTACCTATCAACATGGCTCTGCTGCACGAGGGATCATGGCCCCACCTGCAAGTCAGGAGGCAGCAAGGCAGAGAGAATAGGCTTTGGATCCCCTCAGAACTGAGGTATAGGACTGACTCCACTATTTTATTAATCTCTCTAAGCCTCAGTTTCCTCTCTGCAAAACGGCAAGAATAACAGCAACTAATTCATAGAGTTAAATGAGCTGATGCTTGAAAACAGCATAGCATAGTGTACCAATATGAGCACTAAATTAAATAACAATGATTATGAGCACTCAAAAAAAGCTACAATAACTACTGTCGTTTCCAACTCTCTCTACTCCAAACCCTGGGCCCATAAACTAGATGTCTCACTAATCCCTCAAACTCCACCTTTCCAAAAATGAACTCATCATCTTAGCTGAGAGTAGCTCATCCTCTTTTCTTCATCCATTCCCTAATATCCAGTGACACCCACGATGTATTGCCGCCTTCAGTGACAGTCCTCAAGCTGCCCAAGATGGGAGTCTACCAAACTTATACTACATTTCTTCAAGGCTTAGTTCAAATGCCATAAAAAAGCCTTTACTGGCATGTCCAGATGGGGTCACAGCTTTCCTTGCCTATGTTCTCAGGGGGCCATGTTTGTACTGATTCATACAGCAACTCAACCAGTGGAATGACCTGCTCCCCCAACTAGAATGAGCCTCCTGGAGGGCAGGTGCCATTTCCGCAATAGGCACTGGGCATGGCACAGTCTACAGTGACCTACACCCTGGAGAGGCCATCCCTGCTGGGCATCACACACCACTGGCACCATGTTCATGGAGCCCCCACCTCCTCTGCACACTTGCATGTGCTGGCTTTGCACTTGGCCTCCACTGTCACCACTAGACACCCAGAGGAGGGAGGTCTAAAGCTACCTGATTCTTGGGGTCTCCAGCTCCATACTCATCCAACATGCCATGCTGGAAGGGAGGCCCACCCTCCCCTGAGCTTGGGAAGCCCGAGCACCTGGCCTCCGTCTGCCTTAATGGGCTGAGCCCCAGCTCCCTCCAGACACAGGGTGTAGACTTCTCCAGGAAGCAAAGGGGTTCAAATGCTGGGCAACCAAAGAGAGACAAAGGGTCATGACACAGCCTTCCAAATGGTGTGAAGATTTCATTACTGTTGAGCAACTTGGCCTTGAATCTCAATGTTCTATTTCCTGTGATGCATGAAGTTCTATATAAAGACACATGTATAAAAGATGTTTCTAAGAATGCCAGTTGTATATGTGAAAAAGGACAGTATTATTTAAGTGAGAGAATGTGTATAAAAAAAAAATTCTATTTTCTCCTGGAGCATCCTATCCAGGCCGCTGCCCAAAGTAAGTATTCAATCAATATTTGTTGAATGAATGGGTCGATAAATTTGCATTCAACAGCAATGCAATAAAGTCTCGAATTTAATAAATAAAAATACAATTAATGCCTATCAATTTCTAAAAATAAAATTAACTTTTAGTAAACTATTAAGCATCCAACTCCTTTCACTTCAAAAGAAAAGTTTAATGATATACAGCATCAAAAAGCTGAGGCAATAAATCACACTCATGACTCTCAAAGTTAACCTTTTAATGAAGTAACTCACAGTCTCCCTGTGAATAAAAAAAAATTCTGAAATTAGAAAACGCCAGGCCATCTTTCTCAAGCTTCTTTACACTAATCTATGAAAGGCTTTGCTAGCTCTCCTGGCTTAACAAATGAAAATCAGGTGTTTTTAATATAAAAAAAAAAAAAGAAAAAAAAAACTAAAGAGGCAAGGGCCTAACTCTTTTCAAGAAAAATAGTGATTTCCAAAACTTTCTGCAAACAGCAGAAAAAAAATAATTTGTAAAGTTGAGATTATGCCAGGTTTTAAATAAAGGGTTTATAGTCTCACCACAAAAGGCTACAAAATTAGAAGTGTCAGTTCTCTTCAAAAGCTACATAGTTCAGGTGGAGAGAGTATAGAGGTCTCTAAGCAGCTAGGTTAGCTCCATTTGGTCTAAAGCAGAAAATGTAATCCAACCTCTGACCCGCCGACCTCTGCCCCCAATAATGAAACCCTTTTAAGCATCCTGACTTCTGATTTTTTTTTAGAGAGGGGGGCAGTATTTGCAGGTTGCCTTGCCTGGAACCATAATGTATCTCTGGTTCTGCCTATTTCTCAGCTCCTGCCTTAATTCTAAACACTGTCCTACCCCTCTCCCCAAATATTCCTTCTACAGTGGCTTACTTCTCTGCTCCCCATCCAAAGTGATTCCCTGGGCAAGCAAGACCCTGGCCTTGTGCTGAGGTTAAAGTTCCTACTTTAGTGTCTTCAAATGGTGCCTGGATTCTTGCTTTACTAGAACCTACTGAAAGCAATGCAATTATGCTTTATCTTCTCTCCTTCATTGTTTCCAATTTAATCTTACGTAAAGTTCCTCTGGAGAACAACAATGGTTTTAGACAGGTGTTAATATGCTTTTGAAACTACAGGAAAGATTGTTTCAGCATGGGATCCGCTTGGTGGCTAGACCCCAGGTTCTAGAAGGAAAAAAAAAAAAAAAGACTCAGGTGACAGCTTTGCCATCACAACATAAATTCAAGATACTTAATAGTATCATCTCTAGAACCTGAGCTGTTTGCTCTTTTGTTTCATGTAACTAACAAAATATTTAATATAAGAATTTTTACACAAATATCCACTCCAGAAGGAATTTTAAGTCAAAAAAACAGATGTCAAATCATAATTGACACAGATGCAGTGCACATAATAGGCATCTGAACAAAATAAACTCAAACAGGTGATTTATTAGATCATTGCACAAACTCTCCTTATGGGTTTCTGTCTGTCTCACCTCCACTTTGCTTTTTGTTTGCATACCTCTTTAAATAGTCAGTCTCGATCACTTCACATTACCCTTCCATCTGTGATACAGGGAGGAAAAAAACAGGGAAAAAAATAGCTCTTCTTCAAACTCTGTATTCCTCTATGTGCAGATCTGCATTTAGGAAGCCGTAGTCATCAGCCACATCCCCACTCTCACCGACCCTCCCTTCCATTCACTGCAATCTACAAAGATCACATTCCACTCCCAACACACACTTTACCCATCCCACAAACTGTTCCCTTACAAATTCCAGTTCCTACTTGGCATCCCAAAAGCAGACCTTCTGGCAATTCATGTCTTCATCTTCCAGAACTATGTTCTAAACCTATGTCCTCCAGCTCATTTTCCCTGTCTTTCCTGAGTGATTTCACAAAAGTCTTCCCGCCTTCTCCTCTCAGGCTTCACATGCACAATTAGCACAGCGTCAACTCAAACTTTTTACATATTGCTACACAGCTTCAAACACGTTATCGTCATTCTCAAGGCCCCCATGTGTTGTCTACAGATGTCTTTTTGCATTCAAAAATGACTAATATAACCATAGATGCTCAATTAATATTTGTTGAGTCAATTTTTTTCTCTTTTGAGATGGGGTCTTGCTATGTTGCCCAAGGTGGTCTCAAACTCTTAGATTCAAGCAATCCTCCTGCCTCAGCCTCCTGAGTAGGTGGGACTACAGGTGCGCCTGGCCTATTGAGTGGATTCTTTAAAACACTGATTCTGTACTTACAATTTCTGCTTAATGATATACTCACTTATATTATGAAATAGTTACCATCTACTTTATAAAAACGAGAATACGCATTCTACTAAATTCCTTTCTAATCCTTTGTGACAGAGCAACTTAGAATGATACTCTGCACATAGAATAGAACCTGATGAAGTCAGCTGAGTTATAGATTGGAAAGAACATAAAATTATCAACCTCAGCACCATTATAACTGCATGATAAGCTTCAAAACTGGAGATGGAAATGACTACTTACAATGACCCTTGTTGCAGAAAACAAGGGAAACAGTTTAACTCTTCTACTAACAACTCTGCACACAGTATTAAATGTCAGATAAAAAGTTAGTTTACGCTCTTTCTTTTTAGATTCATGCTGTAATGATGAAAAATGTTTCCGTTTTTAATAAGGCTGCATTTTAGCACCTTGAGGCAAAACAGGCATAGGTAATGACTTGCCTAAGCAAAGAGAATAGCTGGAAACAGATGCATAATCACAGAAGTCATTAAATTTTTGCACCTTAATTTTTTGGCAGACTTTGTAGTCAAGTGCAACCTGACAGAGTAATGACTAAACAGCAGTTCTAGACATCTGGTATTGTGGGAGGAATATATATTTTGAGCTATCAGATAAATATTCAAATGATAAAACTTACTGCTGACTTCTGCCTCACCAAGCAACTTTTACGAATGTTCATGGTGGGCAAATTGATGAAGAAACCAAAACTGCAACCTTCATGCTTCACAGTTGGGGTCCCAGGTGACATGAGGGTCCCAGACATCCCGTCCCTTACAGGCACGGTGCATACCTGCCACACCAAGCTGCTGAGACACCCCTTTGAGGAGCCAGCCTGCTCCCACCACAGCACTGGGACGCCAACAACTTATGCCTCTTAGTTTTTCCCTTTCTCAGCTCCCACAGCTGACGGAGTCACCAGTTCTTTCTTGAGCATGTCCATTTCTTAAAACAGCCTCCAGTAGACGGGGCATGGTGGCTCACACCTGTAATCCCAGCATTTTGGGAGGCCAAGGCGGGTGGGTCACCTGAGGTCAGGAGTTCGAGAGAAGCCTGGCCAACATGGTGAAACCCTGTCTCAACTAAAAATACAAAAAATCAGCCAGGCGTGGTAGTAGGCACCTGTAACTCCAGCTGCTCTGGAGACTGAGGCAGGAGAATCGCTTGAACCCAGAAGGCAGAGGTTGCAGTGAGCTGAGATCGCACCACTGCACTCCAGCCTAGGAAACAGAAGCAAAACTCCATCTAAAAAAAAAAAAAAAAAACAGCCTCCAGCTAAGTTTTAACTAAGGAGCCCTCCTGCCTCTTTAAAGTGACTTTGCCTCCCTATGCTTTGTGAATTTCAGCATTTAATTCTCAGAAGTTGATCTTATTTCTCTATTTTCATTTAGTTCCAGGTGAAGTTATCTCATCATTGCCCCCTAAGTATTGTCTACAGACCCTACGTTAGCTGTCAGCCATTCTTGTTCTTGGATCTCTCTTTTTTTTTTTTTGAGATGGAGTCTCGCTCTGTTGCCCAGGCCGGAGTGCAGTGGTGCGATCTCGGGTCACTGCGACCTCCGCCTACTAGGTCCAGGCAACTCTCCTGCCTCTGCCTCCAGAGTAGCTGGGATTACAGGAGCTGGCCACCACGACCGGCTAATTTTTGTATTTTTGTATAGACAGGGTTTCACCATGTTGGCCAGGCTGGTCTTGAACTCCAGACCTCAGGTGATCCGCCCACCTTGGCCTCCCAAGGTGCTGGGATTACAGGGGTGAACCACCATACTTGGCCCCATTCATGGATCTCTAAAGTGCTATTCATGGAATAAAGTCAACTTTTAATCATACATGTGGCATAAAAAACTCTGTAAAAGAAAAAATGATCCAGAATCAAGTATAATTGCAAACCCTAAAATCTTTCTGGACAGTTCAACTTCCAAAAGACTTGTTAACCCAAAAATGAAATTACCTAAGCTGTAACAGCTCACTATGGATCTTGTGACCAAATTAAAGTTTGGTCATAACTACTTGGGTGCTCTTAGCTGGCTTCATCCAAGCAAAGAATTTCAGAACAATAACCGACCTTCGTATAATTAAAGGGAAGCTTCCTTATTGCTTTAGTCTAGGCTCTACTTACTATCACAGAAATTAAATGCTGGGGGTGATGGGGGTGCATTGCCTAACAATATTGGTTAATTACATGCCTTTAAATGTAAAACCAATGTTGCCACCTAGTGGCAATCTAAGTCCCCTACTCAACAGGCTGTCTAAACAGAAAACTGCAAATAAAGGACAATAAAAATTAAGTATAAGCGTGATAAAGCTAAATAGATGCATAGAATAAAGCACTAAAAAGTCAAATACTTTAAAGAAATGTAGCTATTTCCTAAGCTTCAAAAGCTAAGGACAATGAATCAATGGAAATACAGGTTCTAATGCTGTGTGTGTTTGGCAATCCACTACGTGCTATGCGGGATGCAAAAAGGAATAGGGAACAGGTCCCACCTCCCTCTGGAGCCTGAAGGCAGAACAGATACACTGAAGGACAAAGTACACCTTGGGGGTGCATACGTGAAATGCCAAATGAGCATCCAAGGAAATAGGTGTCTACAGATGAAAATGTCCATCACAGTGGACTGAGGTTACCTGCAACAACACAGAGTCTGTCATAAATCCTGAAGGCATTAGTAAGTGACAGAAGCCAGTCGCAAAAGGACAAATACCTATGACTCCACTCTTCGAGAAATCCAGAAAAATCAAATTCACAGAAACAGCAAGTAGAATGGTGGTAGCCAGGGGTTGGGGTAGGGAGGAATGGGGAGTTGTTCAATGCATACAGATTTTAGTTTCACAAGATAAAAAAGCTCTGGAGATCTGTTACACAACATGATTCCACTTGACACTGCTGAGTTGTACACTTAAGACGTGCATTTTAGGTGTTTTTTATTACAATTAAAAAATAATAACAGTGGTGGTGCCAGCAACAACGAAGCACACTGAGTGGGATGCATCCTGAGGTCAGTGCGCAGGCCACAGTCCCAATTAGTCAGGCAGTCTGAGACCAGTCTCTCTGAGGCCTCTCCAGAGAATGTCGCATTACTGATGGCAATTTGACGGGCCAGTCCTCAGGTAGCCAGCATCCCACACTGCCCCTCCTCTCTGTATCCCTTCGTATGGCCCTTCAGTCTGCTCCGACTCTGCCCAGCCCCTAGACACTGGTCTTCCCGCAGGGCCCATGGCTTCCCCTGGAAGCAGCACCTTCAAGCTTCTAGCCACTACCTATGTATGCTGCTGACTCTCAAATCTACCATCTTCTGGCCAAATCTTTCTCCTGAGCGTAAAACAAATATCCAGCCTCCAGCTACTCACACCCTCACTTCAGATATGACACCCAAAGTCATCATCACCCTCTAAACCTGAGAACCTGTCCTCAATCTCACTCAGCAGCCCCACCTCATCTGAGTCCCAGCTGGAAGCGTCCCTGCCATTCTCTCCAGCCTGGGTCCATCTCCCACCATTCTGGCCCTGCAGCACCCCTACGCCACCCCCAGCCAGATCCATGGCCCTGTCCCCAGCCCAGGGCTTCTCAAACTGCTGTGGTGGAGGGCACACAGCAGTCTGCAACCCGCCCTGTGCAGCATGGCCCAAGACTAGTCCCACGACCTTAGAATGAGGTTCCTCGCCCAGTCCTGGCTCTCTTAATGCCATTCTCCCTAAGGCCACCAGGGGATGGTTTTAAAACACAAACTCTACCAGGTCTACTCCCTAACGGCACTCCCTGGTAGTAATCCTCAACCAAGGGGCACTTTTAACTGTAATAGAGACCAGGGTCACTGCTACATGTATTGCCAGAGACGAGAGATGCTAAACACCTGTATACCAAAGAGATACACCTCAGAATACCAGGAGGGCCCTCAGAGAAGCCCCCAGAGAAGCCTGGCTCCCCAGAGGACATACAATTCTGCGTGACCATGATCCATCCTGACTTCCCAGGCCTGTGGCCCACACTGCCACCCCCCATCCGCTGGCCCCAGGACAGCATCACAGCCCACACACCTGTGCTTCCACCTCTCACCTGGCCACCTTACCTGCTGTCCTCCTTACCCTGAAAGCCCTCCCCTCCCACCTCAGCCTCAACCTAGCTAGTGCCTAATAGGTAGGCTCAGTTCCAGGCTCAGCACTTTCAGAAATCCCTCCTTGAGCATCACATCCCCTCCTCAGCTCCCCTGCCCCACTTCACCATGGTAGGGGCCCTCCTTTGTGTCCCAAGTACCCTTCTATCACTGCTCTTCCACCTTGCTTGAAAACTGCCTGCTTGGCCAGGCACAGTGGCTCATGCCTGTAATCCCAGCACTTTGGGAGGCCGAGGCAGGAAGATTACGAGGTCAGGAGATCAAGACCATCCTGGCTAACATGGTGAAACCCCGTCTCTACTAAAAATACAAAAAAAAATTAGCCAGGTGTGGTGGCGGGTGCCTGTAGTCCCAGCTACTCGGGAGGCTGAGGCAGGAGAATGGCATGAACCCGGGAGGCGGAGCTTGCAGTGAGCTGAGATGACGCCACTGCACTCCAGCCTGGGCGACAGAGTGAGACTCTATCTCAAAAACAAAGGAAAAGAAAAAAAAAAAAGAAAAACTGCCTGCTGATGGCCCTTCTCCTCTCTGGGACTGTGCATTCTTCAAGTACCAAGACTATGTCTTGTTGATCTTTGTATCCCCAGTACTTTGCCCGTAGTATGTCTTCAAATACCAAAAGAATGAATGAGAGGTTCATAGATAAATTCTGTAGACTAAGTGAGTCCTTGATATGAAAACAAAATCCTGACTTTGGCAGAGACATCGATTTGTCCCTCTGTATCCATGCTCCCTTTCCCTTCTAAAGATTAGAACCCCTTGAGTTCTAGCTGAATCCAGGGCCACCCAACTAGACATTACACTTCCCAGCCCAAGTGTACCCACATGATATATCCTGGACATAGGTACATAAAGGGACACAACATATACAACTGCAAGGTACAAAATCCTTAAAAGGAAGCAGCTTGGCCTACACACACTGGAATGCAGAATGTAGGTCAGCTTCAACCAAGCAGGACAAGACACTTCATCCAAGTAACAGGACAGAGGAACCTGGAGCAGAGCTGCCTCCCCAGGCCCCCACCAACTAGACTGTTGGGTGGGGAGAAGTACATCTTCCATTTTTTTTTTTAATTTTGTTTCAATACTGAAGGATTTCCATCTTCTTTAAGTCACTGTTATGTTGTCTGTGTTAGTCAAGTGAATCTTCTGGTTCTTTTTCATATTATCTCCAAAAGATTTAATTATTCATAACATCATATTTTTCTAGAACCAACTCATACCTAATTTTTTTTCTACTCTTCTTCCTAAACTCTGCGGTTTCACTGAGAGAAATAAATAGCTACTATATTTAATAAGAGGGAGGTTGGCCATTATCCATTTAAGAGTTAACAGGAATAAAATACATAAGTTACTTAAATTTTCATTTTCATTTGATAAATTTCTTAGAGTCAATTCAATTGCCATATGCTGAATACCTACTATGTTCAAGGTGCTATGGAAGGATCAAAAGAAGTGTCTGCCTTCAAAGAACTTGTGATTTAATACAGCATGTGTGTGCATGCATGCGTACATACGGCCAAAGGTCCATACTGTATGTAGGAGAAATACAAGGAAACTTCTATTACAATAGAGAAGAAAGTAACTCTGGGAAAGAAAAGATCATGAATTTCAAGGATTCAGTGCTTGGTTCTGAAGAATCAACTCATAAGACATAGTCTATTCTCTGCTCTCAAAATTTGTAAAAGAGACAGGTAACAAATAATACACAATGAAAAGTATACAATAGAAGTTTGTCCAAGATACAAAAGTGGAACCAAAAAGGAAGTAGCTTAGCACGGCGGCTCAAGATGGTGCACGGAAAACCTTTATGGGGATACATGAGCTTGACAAGAAGACAGGATCTACAATATACAAAGCCACAGGGGCATAGCATGTGATACGGTCTCAATCTGTGTCCCCACCCAAATCTCATGTGGAATTGTAATCCCCAATGTTGGAAGTAGGGCCTGGAGGGAGGTGACTGGATCATGGGGGCAGTTTCTCATGGTTTAACATCATCCCCCTTGGTACTGTCGTGAGGAGAGTGAGTTATTGAGAGATGTGATTGCTTAAAAGTGTGTAGCACCTCCCCTCTCTCTCTAACCCTCCTGCTCCAGCCACATAAGATGTGCCTGCTTCTTCTTCACCTTCTGCCATGATTGAAAGTTTCCTGAGGCCTCCCCAGAAGCTGTCATGCTTCCTGTACAGCCTATGGAACCATAAGCCAAGTAAACTTCTTTTCTTTATAAATGACCCAGTCTCAGATATTTCTTTATAGCGATGCAAAGATGGACTAATATGGCAAGTGATCCTAGAACCATATACTAGTTTGAAGTTACTGGCAAATAAAGCACAAGGGGATGAGCGGTGGAAGATGAAGCTGGGATCTAGAGACAGGAACTTCAGTTAATAAGCTCTGGTGCAACTGTCTTGGCACAAGGTAACAAGCAATGGAGGTTCCTTCTGCTCTGTTGAATCCACACCTGCTCAGCTGCCTACCATCTTGCCTCAATCCTGACAGACACCAAAGAGAAGCTATAACACATTCTCCATTCCTAAATACAACTGCCAAGTTCAGCTTACACAGGAACCTCTAACCATCCTCCCCAGAGCCTAGAGTCAGTTTTAAGCATCCAGTGCTCTTGTACCTGGGCCCTATCCTTTGCGGAGCCCCAGGGCCTCTCAAAGAAGCAGGCATACCCAGCCCCCAGCAACAGCCTGCCAACTCTCATTTTTCCTAAGGGGAAGAGGAGAAGAAGGAATACTTTATAATTTCTATTGCTTCCCACCAAAACGTACCCACATGCCTTATCCCTGCTGTAAACCAAGTCCCAGGAACACTGCCCTGCTCGAAGGTGCTCTAAAAACTACTCTTCCCAGAAGAACAGAAGGGGAAAGGCAGGTAGAGAGCCAGCAATGAATATCCATTTGCACAGAAACAAAATTGGCCAAAAATAAAATAAGAGTGGATGAACAGTAGAGGAAGTATAGGGGCATATGCAATCAACTAGACTTGGATGGCAAGGGGCGTCGCTATTCGTATCCATGGAAAGGACCACTGGTATGGATTAAATGGGGAAGATACATAATCTAAAAAACACAAATCTGTATCTGCAAAAAGAAAGGTATTGCTGGGAGCAGGGGCACATGCAGGTGACATAGGGAAAAGTGTGCTCTTAATTCATATGAGTAAGGGATGCCTAACTGTGGTTCTGATGTCATCACTGATCACAAAATTTGGGGTAACTGGCAAGGTCTGACTGAGCAAAATCCAGTTAGAGCTTCCCTGGATCCACCTGAGGGATGGATTACCTGGGCTCCTGGCTCCTCCTCCTCCCTGCAGCAGCCTGCGCGTGGCCACCCCACTAGCGCCTCCAGCAAAGCAGATGGAAGAAGCCAGCCAGTCAAGGTTGCTGCATGTCTGCCTCTCTAATAAAATCCAGGAAGATTTAGTAGGAGAAAACCTCCAAAAGTTAGGTTTCCAAAAAAAAGAAAAAAAAATTTTTTTTTTCTTTGAGACAGAATCTTGCTCTGTCACCAGGCTGGAGGGCAGTGGCGCGATCTCAGTTCACTGCAACCTCTGTCTCCTGGGTTCAAGTGATTCTCCTGCCTCAGTCTCCTGAGCAGCTGGGACTACAGGCGCACACCACCACGCCCAGCTAATTTTTATATTTTTAGTAGAGACAGGGTTTCACCATATTGGCCAGGATGGTCTCGATCTCTCAACCTCATGATCCACCCACCTCGGCCTCCCAAAGTGCTGGGATTATAGGCGTGAGCCACTGCACCCAGCCAAAAAAGAAAAATTTTTAACTTATCAAGCTGCTCCTATCTCTGACTACTGAAAAACAATCTATAGCATGTGTTACTTTCCTCTCCCTTGAGAAAGTACGATGTTTCAAGCAGAGCAACCCAGAGAACCTGGCCTTGCAGGGACGCAAGACAGTTTGATACAGTTTATATATAAAGCATTTAAATATTAAGAACAATAAACCTTATTCCCAGCAGTTCCTTGCCTTGAATACTGTTAAGGCTGTTTATGTTTCCACTGACATTTCTGACCCTTTATTTTCCAATACCCATGAAGAGAAAGAAAACAATCTGTCACGCACATATGTCTCTTGTCAAAGAGTTCTTTCCTGGGAGAACAAAGGGATAGCATTTATCTACAGGCAAGCACTTCGGTCTTGAAGGACATCACAACATGGTGCAGAGGTCTTGATGGACTTACTTAGCTAAAGAAGGAAAGCACCTATAGGGCAGCACAAGGTAGATCCTCCCTCACTCCAAACCTCCAGTATTATTCAGAGCAGCTTTATATTCTGTTCATGCCTATTTTAAATGTTATTAAAATGTACCTATATGCGTAGATTTTTCTCTCCATAATCCTTCTGGAATATTACATTATAAATCAACTCAAAAGTTAAATTAATGACATCCAATTAAAAAAGTAGATTAAGAGACTCATAGAGGAAGCACTGCGCTAAGATTAATGAAAATGTTATTCCAACATGAAAATTGCCTTAGAACTTGTTACCAAAATTTTGAACATTAATTATCTCTATTTTAAGCCTTGCCTTTAGAAAGTTATTTCTTCTACTTGCTTTTATCATACTTCGTGACAAATCTACAGTTGCCCCACACAATTATATAGTTCTCTTAAATTTATATATATTTTTATATATATATATACACACACACAAAAAAAAATTCAGAATATGATAATTTGTGCATTAGGAATTAACCAAAACGTTTTTTTCCTTTTTTTTTTTTGAGACAGAGGAGTCCCACTCTGTCACCCAGGCTGGAGTGCAGTAGTGTGATCTTGGCTCACTGCAACCTCTGCCTCCTGGGTTCAAGCGATTCTTCTGCCTCAGCCTCCTGAGTAGCTGGGATTACGGGCATGCATCACCAGGCCCTGCTAATTTTCGTATTTTTAGTAGAGATGGGGTTTTGCCATGTTGGCCAGGCTGGTCTCCAATGCCTGACGTCAAGGGATCCGCCCACCTTGGCCTCCCACAGTGCTGGGATTACAGGCGTGAGCCACCACGCCCAGCTGACCGAAACATTTTCAACAACAAATACTCAATATTAAATAAGCAAAATGAGTCAGAGGAGTTATTCTCGTCTAAATAAAAACTGATTCTCCACGGATCCAGTGTTTTGGAAAACATCAAGGTAATCAAGAAATACATAACTGGCAGACCCCCCAGCCATCGCTACGTACCTGTGTAAGATCTGCAGCCTGCTTTAAGATGCTTTTTTTTAACTGCTCTGCTCTCTTTGCATGAAAAGAATTACTTTGACTCTGGATGACGAATACAATTCCTTTTAAGTCTAGAACAAAAAAAAATAGTTTTCAGGTATTTCTTTTTACAAAATTATTAAAATAAACTTGAAAACAAGTGAAAAAATAGCTACAAAGCAAACCTTCAGGCAGTAAACTCTTAATGGGAAAAAATCAATTCGTATGTAATTCTAGAGACAAAATTTTCTCTCTTTTTAAACTGTTTCCCAAGCTTCCTTCCTAGAAGTTAGCAAGTAAATAAGCTGACTGTACCAGACCCAGTCTATGGCACCAAACTGAGAATGTGCTCCCGCATATGTCAGAAAGAATGGCTGAAAATGTGTGAAAATATCTAGAACACTAATCTTCCCAGTAGCTGAAAATCTAACTTTCACAAGTAGCTTTTTAACAATTCCCACATAATCCTACACTGTGCTGCTACCTGTTATGAGTTGAAACATGTCCTCTAAAATTCATATTTTTTAAGTCCTAACCCCCAATACCTCAGAATGTGACTTCATTTAGAATTGGGTCTTCACAGAGGTAATCAAGTTAAAGCGAGGTCATCAGGGTGAACCTTAATCCAATATAACCAGTCTCCTTAGAAATTTGGACACATAAATGACACACAGAGAAGGAAGATGATATGAGGAGACACACAGAGAAGATAGCCATCTACAAGCCAAAGACAGAGGCCTGGAACAGATCCTTCCTTCCCAGCTCTCAGAAGGAACCAACCCTGCCCACACCTTGATGTCAGACTTCTAACCTCCAGAACTGTGAGACAATACATTTCTGTTGCTTGTACTAAGCCACGTTTTGTGGTACTTTGTTATGTAGTCCTAGCTCACTACTACACTACTTCAAGAATGTTCTGAATGGTCCTTTAAGGTGACACTCAACAGTAACTGCCCATCTCCCATGAGTTCAGAAGGGTTTGCAAATAAGTAACTCAATAATCCCTACCCTACCTCATAAGGCACCTAGCCAGGATTAGGTGTTATCTCCAGGAAACGGCCACAGCAATTCCTCAGCAACAGGGCTTTAGCGTGAAGTCCTGCATAAAGCCCATCTATAACACCCCATGCTGGCAGTATTCACCAGCCTGCTAGAGATGCACCTGAAGGCAGCCAGCTTTTTACAACGGCGAACAGGAAGGAAACCCGAGTATGTCCTGCCCACAAAGACCATCAGAGGGCTTGCCAATGGCAGTAGCAAGGCTGCCTCCCAGAGAAACACGTTAGGCCTCCCCAGGTTCTGGGCCTATAACAAAGAAATGGATAAAACAGTGATTGTGTCAGCACCCTGCCACCAGACAGGAATGTCGGCAGAGGAAGGTGCCACGTAAATTCTAGCCTTCAGCCAGATTGTCAGCAAAGCCATGTGGGGACCTTTCCCCCACCATGAATCTTTCTCTTTAACACCTCAGCTCAGAGAACCTAATTTGATTTTAATTTTATTCCATTATATTTTATTGTTCTTATGCTCTATTCTATAGGTCCATTCATTTATTCACTTGCTCAAATATTCACACAACAGATAGCTCCACAGTGAGCCATCTAGATCCTAAAAATAATCTAAAATGCTCTTTGGTTAAAACTAAATAAAATATGTAAAAGGAAATGCTGAACAGCCTACTGAATATGACCTAATTCCTTTTCTTTAGGAGTTTATATAAATAGGAACATTCCATATACCTGTCTCTATTTTAAACCAGCTTCTCGGCTTTATATGTTGGACACATGGGTAAGACTTAAATGGGTGTCTTCAGTTTCAACTGAATTCTTATCTTGGATCTACTACATCTGAAACATTAATATAAACTGACACATCTAAAGAGGAGTTATAAGGATTTCTTTTTGTTAAGAATGGAGTAAATAAGCCTCAGAGAATAATTTTTTTTTTAATTTAATAAAGAAGATGCACATTCCCAATGACCCAGAAATTCCACTCTTATTAATCATCCTTGAGAAACTCAGATGTGTGCACAAGGATATATGACAAAAGTGTTTACAGTGGCACTGTGTAAAAGAAAAAAATGGGAAGCAACAAAAATATCCACTAACAAGATACATTAACTTGAATACTATGCAGCAATAAAAATTAACCAGTACTACATGTATCAATCCAGATGGATAAATCCCATAGTCATAATGCTGAAAAAAGCAAGTTGCAAAAGAATAACTATATAATAGTTTGCAACAATATAAACATAAATATATTAAAATGTATATATACCAAACATATACACACATAGCATGTGAAGGTATAAAAGATTACATGAGTATGATAAATACCAAATCAGGATAATGGTTAAAAGGTTTCAGCTGTGTTAATGGTATTTAATTTCTTAATCTAGGTGATATTTTATTTCTTAATCTAATGAACATATAATACATGAATGTTCATTATATTATTCTCTTTATAACTTCTTATATGTTCAAATTATTTCCTAATACTTTTTTTAAAGAGTAGATTTCTCTATCAAAAGGTTAATCCTAGCTGGGCATGGTGGCATGCACCTGAAGTCTCAGCTACTTGGGAAGCTGAAGTGGGAGGATTGCTTGGGCCCAGGAGTTTGAGGTCAGCCTGAGCAACACAGCAAGACTACATCTCTAAAAAAAAATAAAAATAAAAAAAAAGCTTAATCCTGCGCTCACCGCTCATCACAGTAACCAACTCCTGCCACTCCTACCAGCTCAGCAAAGCTCCCACTGTCTTCTCATTGAAGACAACAGCATTTCCATACAGGGAAGAGGATTTGCAAGATTAAAGAGCAAATTCTTCCCATACCTGGGTCATGTCCTGTGAGTTGTATCTGTCCTCTTTTTAACATAGCCACTAAGAAATCATGCTGGCCTCTCCCTTTTTCCTATACTTCAATCATGCACGCTTCATTCATTCATTCAGCAAACATCTTCTGAGTACCTACTAAGTGTAGGGCTCTGTGATACAAGAACGAGTGAGCCCAGTCGCAGCCCTGGAGTGTCTGAGCCTCGTTCATAGGCAGGCCATTGTAACACAAAGCAGTAAGTGGAAAGCCAGAGCTAACTGAGCACAGGGCACTGGAGCCCAGACAATCGGGGGCGAGTGCAAGGAGAGCTTCCAGGAGGAGGTTATTTCCTGAGTTTCCTTTAAAAAGCAGCAGACACACACACAGAGGGTAGCAGATCAGTGGGATCACCACAGAGCCCACAGCCTGTGGTATCTCTGCAGTCTCCCTGAGTGAACGACCATGTCTGTCAGGCATTTCTGAGAAAAGGAGCACGGCGGGGTACAGTAGGTGATAAAGTTAGAAACGGAGGCAGATCCGTTAAGACAAATCATGAGGGATTTATATACCATGCTGAGAGGCTTGGGCTCTAGATTAATCACTTTCAAATGGGGGAAGGGCCTCATGAGCCAAGTGGGGTCCCAGGCAGTGGGGACTTCCCAAAGGAGGGAAGGAGGACACTGTCCCGAAGATGGGGGAAAAAAGGGGTGGGAAGACCCTCCCCACAGAGGGAGCAGTGAAAGTTTGGGACAGAATCAAATTTAGGGCAGGAAAATACTAACGGTTAGGTATAGCCAAGGAACAGGACGCATGGGGGTATTATCGAGGACAAGGCTAAAGGGGAGGGGAGCTCCTGCAACCCTGATCATAATGAATGCCGGAAGATCACTGACATGCTAGTCAGCCCCAACCCATTCCAGAAAAGAACCAGGTTAGTATAGTTAGTACAGTTCGGTGCTGAAAACAGCTTATGTGTTTAAATTCCTGCTGTTCTTTATAGCAGTACCAAGAAATATTTTCTGACATACAGCCTAAGCCATCCCTTCACTGAATCACATTCTGGCTGAGTCCAGATCCCAGAGCTTATCTTGGTAGCTGTCTTCTCTGTGTATGCCATCCAACCACCTGACTCTTAAGCTCCTGCTGCCCAGTCCACAGAGCTAAATAAGACAATTCCATGATTTCCTTATCATCTTGGTTGCACTTCTTTAAACTCACTGCAATCTGCCTTCAGCAAACACTGTCACAACTCAAGATGGATTGTCATTGTTTCTCCCCCAGGAATGGGCAATAAATGGGCCGCACACTAAGTGCCTGACAATAATAATCAGAGTGACAGGCTAAAAGGGGAAGATAAAGAAATTAGCAAAGGATACCTAAAGGGCCAATGCAATGCCAAAGCCAATGGTGAGTGGCAGACAGTGCTCAGGAAAGGCAGCAGGACAGAGAGATAGTTAGAAAATGGATGCTGAAGAGCAATGATTCTTCTATGAAAGCAGAAGAAACCAATGCTCTCTATGTCTTCAGTTGCTGAGCACCTACCATGGGCCAAGCACTGTACTGTAAAGTGCTCATCTTCCTGGTCAGAAATTACCTAGAAAAATGGGTTTCATCATGCTGGTGTTTTTCTGATGAAAAACCAATACGATGTACTTCTGATATAAGCTGTAACAAGCAGCCTTATGATTTAAAGTTGAGGAAAAAATATGCATGCATACACACACACCCACAAACACACACACACAAAGCGGGCCACTCCAATTATGTTTACTTGGTGAGAATAATCATATACTAGTGAATCTATCAATTAGGCAGCAAGCTGAAGGAGAAACAGCATCCCGTGCATGGAGGCTATCTCCCAGCTCTGACTGTGAGCCATGCTCTCGGTGCCCTGAATCTACTGTTGTCACTGCAACTGCCCAGGATCTTTAGTAGCCTCCTGGTCTTGCAGGCTCACACAAAGATTGTGACAAAGAAGTCCCCTGGGTCTTTTTCAGATGAACTGATACCAAGTTAGGTATCACTCGACTTGCCATGTGCAATTGCAAGAATATAAATTTACTTGTCCAAGGTAACTTCCCCTTTGTAGTTTCAAGCCCATGTTCCAGACTTGCATCATTAATTCATTTAATAACCAGAGACTCATCTGCTCCCATAAACTACAAATAAATGCTCAAAGCCACAGAGTTGGTAGCAGGGAAGAAAATCTCCACATGGAAAGGCGTGGCTAAACCATACAGGGTGTTATAATAGAAAGAAAAAGCAACAAATTGACGTGGTTCCTTAAATACAGCTGCTCGCAGACCCCAAAACACTCCCCTGTGGGCCCTAGATATGCGTGCCCAAGACAGGTCATCCTCCCACTTCCACCCGGGGGCGGGGGTCTCTCCTGAACTTCTGCACCCCTCAGAACCCAGGCCCAGGAAGGGAAGGCCTAGAAAGGAACACTTTCCTTTATCCTTTTCCCTCTTATCTAGAGCTCGCCTTCCAGGTCTCCATGGAAAATAGTGGAGAGGAAGCAAGAAGAGCATATTGTTCCCTTCTTGTTTCCTGGAACCCAGGCTTATCCATCATGAAACTGGAGGTGAGCCAACCCCCTGTGTCTGAAGGGAGACTTCTCCCATGGACCGCATACCCCCTGACACCATAGGCTTCCTGTGAGGTTCCACTGCTACTGGTGTCCAGGTCCTGGCTGATTGTGTTCCAGACTTGGGTCATTCCTCCTACCCTGGGAGGAAAGACATTGACAAAATTCACACCCTTCAAGGACAAACTCACCCCTACACACAGAGGTGTGGCCTTACACACTGGGCATGCTTCCCATTAATTTTTTTTTAAAGTCTAACTCCTGGTCACATTTCTGAAGATACTTACAAACTATGGCGGAGAGGGTGTTTCAAAAGGAGTACAAATAAGGAATGGGCAATGATAGAAGTATGATGCCTTACAAAGGAAGGAGTAACGGCTTCCAGGCCAGGATGCTCGGGACAAGTTTGGCAGACGTGACTGGTGAGCTGACTCCTGAAAGGCATGGAGGTGTCTGCAGGTCAGCAAGTGGACAGCCTGCTCCCGGACGGCCTGCGCTAATGTCACAGCTTGTTCTGTTCTCCCACATCATGTGGGTCCTTAATAACAGGGACCATGTCTCCTTCCCCTCTGCATTCCCCCAGAGAGCCCACCAGGCATGGTGCTTTATCCTTACTGGAAGCTCAATGAATGATGCCAGAGGGAATTAAATCCAACATATCTCACTAAGTAAACATAAATCCACCACATGCCAACATGCCCATCTGAGAGGTGTTTGCCCCACATCTTCAGGAGAGCAAACGTTAGGCTGGGCCAAAGACAGAATATTTGAACAACAATATTTACCCCATAAATAAAATCAGAAAAAAATCACTTCATGGAAATATAATTCATACAAAATATACCTAAGTACACACTCTTAGGTAAAAAAAATCATTACTTACCTATGTCATTTTTCCTTGATATACCACTTTTCTCCAAATCCTGTATTTTAAATGAAAGAGAAAAAGATGAATCTCAGTACATAACAAAGCCAGCAGTACACTGAGTAAACATGCATGGTGCATGGTATGTATCAGCACATGGGAGGAAGATTTGAAAAACGGAGCTTGGAAACGCTTCCCTAAAGAAATGAGACCGAAACCTAAGGGACCACGGAGCAATGATGTACTTCTGTATCATGACAGACTTCTTAGTTGGGGCTGTGCCCTTCTCATGTGATCTTGGGCAAGTCAATTGATTGAGCTGAAGCTCTTTCCTATTGTGTAAGATGCAGTGAATGTTTAACTGGTTCATGATATTCTCAGGAGGGTCCATTTTTAAAGCCCTGTAAACCATAAAGCATTAGGAACATATCAGAGGATAGTCTCGAACCTGGCAGGGTGCTCCTCATGAAGATAAGTTCTACTAATTATTGCACTTTATCATCTTTTGGGTGCAGTCATGCTATCTTCAAGAATGTTACCACAATGTTCTCTCCAACCTGAGGAGTAGTCCTAGGGGCCTGCAAAGGGCCTCAGAGGCCAGCCTATGGTGGTCACCAGAATTCAGGAGCACAGAGGCCGGGTGCGGTGGCTCATACCTGTAACCCCAGCACTTTGGGAGGTCGAGGCAGGTGGATCACAAGGTCAGGAGTTCAAGACCAGCCTGGCCAATACGGAAAACCCCACCGCTACTAAAAATACAAAAGTTAGCCGGGCATGATGGCAGGCGCCTGTAGTCCCAGCTAATCAGGAGGCTGAGGCAGGACAATCGCTTGAACCCAGGAGGCGGAGGTTGCAGTGAGCTGAGATCGTGTCACTGCATTCCAGCCTGGGCAACAGAGCAAGACTCCATATCAAAAAAAAAAAAAAAAAAAAAATCAGGAGCACAGAAGGGGCACCTTAAGAGCTGGAGAGCTCCAGACACAGAAATCTGGATGTGGGCACAGAAATACCTGACCTCGACTCTGTGTAAATCAACGGAGGAACTCTCAAAAGATTTATCTGGCAAAGTGCAAAGTGTCAGCAGCTAAATGTGCCATTTTCATTGTCTTCTCTGCAGACTAAGAAGGAATTTTCTCCCTAATTGCCCTTTCTTGCTTTCAACAGTCATATGCTATAATTATGACAACGGGATGGTGGCAAATATCCTTCAATTTTCTTCACAGACTGCAACAAGAAATGTGGTCGTGAGCCCTTACCAACAAAATTGGGAGCGGCTTAAAAGCCAAGAGACGTATCCACAGAGATGCATCCTCTAAGAATACCAAAGGGACCATGACAACACTCGGGGAAGAGAGAGCTAAACACAGGGGAGGGACTACCTTTAGTGGCATATTCTGAAATTATCTTTGTCTCGAGACTAGAAATGCCACTGAGTAGAGGAGAACCTATAGTTATATGCTGATTTGTTAACTCTCACGATGGATCAAGTGACACCTAACTTAATCCTGATGAAACAGGTAGATCTGGAAGAAATTACTAAAAAAGACTGGAAAGTTCAATCCAGTTCCCTGAATGCACTGAACCAAAGCCAGGTTATCACCGTAAGTCAGCATGCGCAGACTTACTCTAAATGCCACTCTTGACCAGGAAGACAACCTGCCCTCAGGGAAGGGGCCAGCCTCAGCTCCAGAGGAGCCATTTGGCTCCACTGGCAACCCACCACTTGCCCCAGGCCAAGCTGCCTTCTGGATGCCACAGCTTTGGCTGCCAGCTGAGGCTCCTGGAAAAATAGAATTGTTAGATCTAAAAACAGCATTGGAGATGATTCAACCCAACACTCCCCTTTTGCAAATGAGATAACAGAGGCTCAGAAAAGATAAATCATTTTCCCAAGGTCCAGCAGTCATTCTGGCCACAGAACCAGAATTACAAACCAGGTCTCCTAACTCGGTCCCAATGCTCTTCCTCACACCGCCATGATAACGCCTGCCCAGCCTTCCTCGGGAAGCATGCTTTAAAAAATACACATCATTAGATGTGAATAGATTTTGAGAGTGAGCTAAAAAATAATATAGAAAGCAAAAGTCACCTTCATCAACAAGTTAAAAGATGAAAAATATCCAGAATGCTACAGTTCTAGACTAAGCAACTGAAGCTGAAAAGCCAACTGGACTTTCCATCAGATAGCTATCTTTGTGAAATCAAAGAATAGCAACAAAAATGATACATCTTTCTCTTTGCCATTAAACACAGCAGCTCTGTTGACTGACACAATAGCTAGGAAATGATTAGCCATTTCAAGGGGTTCAATTTGTAAACTGTAAAAATCAAATATGCAAGAAACAGTTGAATAAGGTGAATTGAGATGGAACCAAAATGGTCTTGACTAATTTCCCCTGTGAGAAAGAAAATTAGACTAAATTAACAGAACAATTAAAATTCTGTCTCCAGCTTCCCTTGTGAAAAGACTTAGTTCTTCCTAAAATGAAGGAAACACATGGTTTGTTTTATTATTTCTGCTACCAGATGTTTCTTACGCTATCAATATCAATCAAAATGTGCTCACTGTCAAGGTTTTATAAGTCAACTGAATTGCTATTCAGATACGAAAGAGATTTGCCATTAATCTCTACCCCACAGAAAGCTCCTATGCTAGCCAGGAAAAGGCACATTAAAGTCACCCTTTGACACAGGTTTTATTTTTTAAGTCACAAAAGATTTGAACAACACTTGCAATCCATACATGTAATGCTTAGTTCATAAGTCCTTCATTAAAAGAAGATATGACACCCTCGAAAGAATTTTATATGGAATCTTTTAAAGGGAAGAGAAGTAAAATGGAATCTTCCACCCAGTCACAAGTACCCACCACTGCCCTAGAGATTCTGAATAAAATAATGAGATGTGTTCATGATTACACTCAGTCGGCCCTGGGCTCTAATTCTGCCTGCACCACCAACTAGCTCAGGCCTGTTTCAACTGGAATAGGAATAATAATGACAAGACCCACTTCACAGGATTGTGTTGTAGGTTGAACAAGATAGTAAAATGCTGAGCACAGGGTCTGCACAAAGCAAATGCTCAATAATATTGGCACCTACCCTTTTTTCATCATTATCATCAACTACTTCATATGAAGTCAACTACCTCCATAAAACAAATGTAACAGACAAAAGCAGTTCCTCTTTACTTTGATTTGTTCAGGTAGGAAAGATGGCTTATGCAACCTCTTAAAAGGCTGCTTATAGGAATTGTTCTTGTCTTATCAGGTAAACGTTTAAACAGGACCTGGCATTGTTCTAAGCTATAAACAGGCACACTTAATCTTCAAAACAGCCCTGTGAGGTAGGTCCTACTACCCCATCTTACAGATGAGGAGGCTGAGCACAGCGAGGTTCACTAAGCCCCACAACTGGCTAGTGGTGGAGAAGAGATGAACTTCAACACTTTGGTTCTCGTGACCAGTGTTAACCTTATGCCTGTCATTCAGAGCTCAAAGTCACAAGGACTTTGAGTGCTACCACAGGATTAGGTAGCACTTTAAATGTGTCACAAATGATCCTCATTATTGCCAAATACACACATCATAATGCACAGGGCTGTGTAATATAAAACAGTAAAGTGAGAAATATTCAATGATTCAGAAAATTTGGATTCTAACTTTACTTTTTAATAATCACGTGTTTAGGTGATGAATCGCATTTATTGATTTGCTTATGATGAACCAACCTTGCCTCCTAAGAATAAAGCCTACTTAACTGTGGTGGATTAGCTTTTGATGTGCTGCTGAATTTGGTTTGCTAGCGTTTTTGTTGAAGATTTTTACATCTATGTTCATCAGGGATACTGGCCTGACGTTTTCTTTTTTTGTTGTGTCTCTGCCAGGTTTTGGTATCAGAATGATACTGGCCTCACAGAATGAGTTAGGGAGCAGTCCCTCTTCCTCAATTTTTTGGAAGGGTTTCACTAGGACTGGAACCAGCGCTTTACACATCTGGTAGAATTTGGCTATGAATCTATCTGTCCAGGGCTTTTTCAAAAACCACATGATCACCTGAATAGAAGCAAAAAAAAAAAAAGGGCTTCTGATAAAATTCAGCATCCTTTCATGTTAAAAACTATCAACAAATTAGGCATCAAAGGTACACACCTCAAAATAATAAAAGCCGTCTATGACAAACCCATAGCTAACATCATACGGAATGGGTAAAAGCTGGAAGCTTTCCCCTTGAAAACAGGAACAAGACAAGGATGCCCACTCTCACCACTCCTATTCAATATAGTATTGGAAGTCTAGCCAGAGCAATCAGAGAAGATAAAGAAATAAAGGCATCCAAACAGGAAAAGAGGAAGTCAAAGTGTCTCTCTTCACAGACAGTAAGATACTATACCTAGAAAAGATCTCTAATAATCTTCAGCAAAGTTTCAGGATACAAAATCAATGTGCAAAAATCAGTAGCATTTCCATACACAAATAACATCCACGCTGACAGCAAATTAAGAAAGCAATCCCATTCACAAAAAGGCCCGGCGTGGTGGCTCACACCTGTAATCCCAGCACTTTGGGAGGCTGAGGCAGGCGGATCACTGGTGGTCAGGAGTCTGAGACCAGCCTGAGCAACATAGTGAAATTCTCTACTAAAAATACAGAAATTAGTCAGATGTGGTGGCAGGCGCCTATAATCCCAGCTACTCGGGAGGCTGAGGCAGGAGAATCGCTTGAATCCAGGAGGCGGAGGTTGTAGTGAGCTGAGATCACGCCACTGCATGCTAGCCTGGGTGATAAGAGTGAGACTCCATCTCAAAAAAAAAAAAAAAAAAAGTAGCCACAAAAAGAATAAAACACCTAGGAATACAGCTAACCAGGGAAGTAAAAGATCTCTGTGAGCATTACAAAACACTGCTGAAAAAAATCAGAGACAACAAAACAAATGGAAAAACATTCCTTGTTCATGAATAGGAAGAATAAATATTGTTAAAATGGCCATATTGCCCAAAGCAATTTACAGATTCAATGTTATTTCTATCAAACTACCAATGACATTTTTCATAGAATTAGAAAAAAAATTCTAAAATTCATTTGGAAACAAAAAGAGCCCAAGTAGCCAAAGCAATCCTAAGCCAAAGAAACAAAGCTGGAGGCATCATATTACCTGACTTCAAACTATATTTCAAGGCTACAGTAACCAAACAGCATGGTACTTCTACAGAAACAGACACATAGACCAATGGAACAGGTTAGAGAACCCAGAAATAAAGCCACACACCTACAACCATCTGATCTTTGACAAAAACAAGCAATGGGGAAAGGACTCACTATTCAATAAATGGTGCTGGGATAATTGGCTAGCCATATACAGAAGATTGACACTGGACCCCTTCCTTACACCACACACAAAAATCAACTCAAGATGAATTAAAGACTTACATGTAAAACCTAAAACTATAAAAGCCCTACAAGAAAACATAGGAAATACCATCTGGGCATTGGTCTGTGCAAAGACTTCATGAAGACTACAAAAGCAACTGCAAAACAACAAAATTTGACCAGTGGGCCTAATTAAATGAAAGAGCTTCTCCACAGCAAAAGAAATTATCAACAGAGTAAACAGATAACCTACAGAATGGGAGAAAATATTTGCAAACTATGCATCTGACAAAGGGCTAATATCCAGAATCTATAAGGAATGTAAGCTAATCAACAAGCAAAAAACAACCCCATTTAAAAAATGGGTAAAGGACGTGAACAGACACTTCTCAAAAGAAGACATACATGCAGCCAACAAGCATATGAAAAAAATGCTCAACATCACTAATCATTAGGGAAATGTAAATCAAAACCACAATGAAATACCATCTCGCACTAGTCAGAATGGCTATTACTATTAAAAAGTCAAAAAATAACAGATGCTGGCAAGGTTGCAGAGAAAAGGGAACACTTACATATGGCTGGTGAGAATGTAAATTAGTTCAGCCACTGCAGAAAGAGATTTTTCAAACAACATAAAATAGAACTACCATTCAACTCAGCAATTTCATTACTGGGTATATACCCAAAGGAATATAAATTGTTCTGCCATAAAGACACATGCACACATATATTCATCACAGCACTATTCACAATAGCAAAGACATGGAATCAACCTAGATGCCCATCAGCAGTAGACTGGATAAAGAAAATGTGGTATGGATACACCATGGAATACTACACAGCCATAAAAAAGAATGAGAACATGGCCTTTGCAGCAACATGGATGGAGCTGGAGGCCGTTAGCCTAACCCAATTAATGCAGAAACAGAAAATGAAAACCCACAAGTTCTCACTTATAAGTGGGAGCTAAACACAGTGTACACATGGACACAAATAAGGGAACAATAGACACTGGGGTCTATTTGAGAGTGGCGGGTGGGAGGAGAGCAAGGATTGAAAAACTACCTATTGGGTACTATGCTTCTTACCTAGGTGACAAAATAATCTATCCATCAAACCCCTATGACATGCAATCTACCCATGTAACAAACCTGCACATGTACCCCTTGACCTAAAACACAAGTTGAAAAGAAAAACAAACAAACAAACCTGCACATGTACCCCTTGACCTAAAACACAAGTTGAAAAGAAAAAAAAATCATGTGACCTTGGTCAAATCACATAACTTCCCTGACGCTAAGTTTTCTCTGTTGTAAATGGGAATATTTGCTTTAACAAATAACAGGATCATTAAGAAGATTAAATTAAATGTGTGAAATGCTTTATTAATCATAAAAGGTCCTAAAATCGTAAGAAATTAGTATTATCATTTCCCCTGTGTAAGAATCTCATAGTACAGTTAAAACAGATAATAAACACCCTGTTGATAAAGAAACATTCTATTAAAAAAATGCTTTTACACCAATTGTGGGGTAAAAATAGTCAACTGAGCTTTAATATGACAAAAACAACTGATATTTTAAACTACTGTTTCCTTTTTTACATGCTAAACTGATCTAGTGCAAAGCCCAACTAGTAAACATTTAGAGACATTCCCTGACTACAACCAGTGATTTAAAAGCAGCAGCTCTGAGATTGGGATAAGTACTGCCTGCTCTCTGCGAGTCCCCTGGCCTAGCTTTCTGGTTCTGACTCTCTGGTAGCATAGTCACCTTTGGGTCTCCCGCCCAGGCCCCAGCATGCCCTCTCACACATTGCCACCTTCAAGGAGAGACTAATCAGGTTTCTGTGACACCTGTGACATAGTAAAATCCTTTCATAGACTGAGAAAATTAAACCCAAGGTTAAGATATTTGGTAAGACTGGGCCGGGTGCGGTGGCTCATGCCTGTAATCCCAGCACTTTGGGAGGCTGAGGTGGGTGGATCACTTGAGGTCAGGAATTTGAGATCAGCCTGGGCAACATGATGAAACCCCGTCTCCACTAAAAACGCAAAAATTAGCCGGGCATGGTGGCGCATGCCTGTATTCCCAGCTACTGGGGAGGCTGAGACAGGAGAATCGCTTGAACCCAGGAGGCAGAGGTTGCAGTGATCTGAGATCGTGCCACTGCACTCCAGCCTGGGCGACAGAGTGAAACTCCGTCGCAAAAAAGAAATAAAAAAAGGTATTTGGTAAGACTGGGGAAAACTATGGTATCCAAGCAAGACTATTAAAATGTCCAACTCTATGTCAAAACACGTTTTTTCTCAAAATAACTTTAAAACCAAGTGGATCAGCCTTAAATATTAAAGGATTTGTAAAAAGCAAGTCTATCTTATAGGTTGCATTAGGGATTCAAAATCCATGTTGACCACATTATATGAATTATGTAACAATAAAAATAACAATTGAAGAATGAAATGATTACTATTCCTATCAGAGAAAATACAAATGAATCTTAGAAGGGAGGAAAAGATTTGATCATTGGGATTAGTACCTGAGACTGCTTGACCTCTTTCTTTGTATCTTCAGAAGCCAAACCAAAAGCTGGAAAAAAAAAAAAAAGAAATATTTCTACCTTAGAATTAGCAATTCAGGTTAATTCTCACATCCAACAGTTTTGCTTATAATAAAAAAAGATACTTTAACAAGACATATTTTGCTCATTTTTAAGCAGCTGCATTGCTGCAAACTTGTATTACTGGCTTTCTTCATCTCAGACCTAAAATTATTCATCAACACGAAGCCAACACGCTTAGGCTACCAAGCAAAAGAAACAGTACATCAGACAAATTCAAATCTGTGTATGCCATTTGTGTCTATAGACATAAACTATAAAATAGATGTGTACAAAATACTATTTCTTAGAAACCTTAAGTCTGGTGCCTTCTTAAGCAAAGGGGAATTCCTGAGAATCCAGGAGGAAGAAGTACAGATTCTCACCCTCAAAATCACTGCCAGAGCCTGGCAGGCAACAGAGCTAAATTTGGAGCAAGCTTTTTCCTAAGGGCTGCAAGGTTAGAAGTGTGATGCAGATACTGCTACCAGCAAGCACAGAACCCTACTAAACCCTAACAGAACCCTACTAAGGCAATGGGGCCGGGAGAGTGAGGGGAATTAAAATCATTCTCCATTTAGAATGAATGAATGTTTGGAGTCAGAGCCATCACAGACGAAGATATCCCTAGAGCCACATTTAGGCTCTGCATTAAAAATAATAACAACAACATGACAGTAACACTCTGAAAATATAAAGCAAAATGACAAGCCAAACAGGAAGCTTAACAGAACAAAAAATAGTACCCTTCATTTTACAGTACATTTCTCCCCAACAGCTAAGAGGAAAGCATTGCAGAGTTCACTTTCTCCAATTAGCACTCCCAGGAGTAAAAGGCAATGACATAGGGCAGTGATGTACTAAAAGGGTGGGAGAAGTGACACCATGGAACAATAATGTACAAGGAGTGTCAGCAGAGGGGCTCCCTGGGTGGCAGAGGAGACCTTAATCAGAAGCAGGAGACGACTTCATCCATTTGGATCCCTTCTAATCCCTCCCCATCCCCACCCCCAGACATCCATTGCCTCAAATCCTGCATTAACATTTGCTCAAAAGAAAGAAATCTAAAACATCTTCACACTAAGAAGCAAATGACTAACATGGTTTCATCGTTTCCATTTCCAGAATGACATTTCAAAAGGCAGGGTGAAACTGAAATGTAAGCCATGTGAACCTCTATGTGAACAATTTAGATAACAGTAGACATTATACAAGGCCTCCCCAAGACCACCTCATGTAAAATAATAAATCCCCAATTCCACACCCTCCTTATCCACCTCACTCTGCTTTACTCTTCTCCAGAGCACTTATCACCAACTGACATATATATTTGTTTATCACTTATCTTACATGTCAGCTGATTATAAGCTCCACAAGGGCAGGAATACAGTTATAGTGAGTTTTGGCGGGGGGGGGGGGTGGGGTGGGGGGGTGTTGTTTTGTTTTTGTTTTTTGAGATGGGGTCTCACTCTGTTGCCCAGGCTAGACTGCAATGGCACAATCTCAGCTCACTGCAACCTTCATTCCTGGGCTCATGATCCTCCCACCTCAGCCTCCCGAGTAGCTGGGACTACAGGCATGTGCCACCATGCCCAGCTAATTTTTGTGTTTTTTGTGGAGACAAGGTTTCAACATGTTACTCAGGCTGGCCTCAAATTCCTGGGCTCAGGCAAGCCGCCCAACTCAGCACCCCAAAGTGCTAGGATTACAGGCCTGAGCCACCACCCCACCAGGAATACAGTTTTATCTACCATTTGTCTCCACACCAAAAGCACAGCTAGCACATAGAAGAAACTCAATAAATATTTACTTAATAAATGAATGAGTGAAAGTCTTCACTATGGGGGACCCTAGAGTCACATCACAAAAGGACCACCTGCTCTCTATACCAGGCAGCGCCTACCCAGTAGAACAAAGACGTTTAGTGCCCCTCACCTTTATTTTCACCAGGATCTAATGCATTTTCTCACTTTACACACACATACACACACACGCGCACGCGTGCACACACACACACACACAAAGCCCAATCATTTCTTCAAGTTCTAAGAAGAAAGGAGAGATTAAACTGCAAAGTCATTTAAATTCTGCTTCTGGGTACTTAATTTTTTGGCTTTATTTTATTTACCTCTAAGCTAATATGCACATTTAAAACCCTGAAGAAGATATCAAAAACAGAATTACTTAAGGAATATCATACAGAGAGGTTGCAACATGTTAACATATCTTAGCACCACAGAATTCCAGAAAATAGAATATTCTGAGAACTTGCAAGATATAAAAACTGTGGTCAAACTAACTCATGACTTTGATTCAAAAATCCATCTCCCACTGAGCGTGGTGGCTCACATCTGTGTAATCCCAGCACTTCGGGAGGCCAAGGCAGGAGGACCCCTTGAAGCCAGGAGCTTGAAACCAGCCTGGGCAGTATAGGGAGGCCCTGTCTCTACAAAATTAGCCAGACATGCGGCCGGACCCAGTGGCCCACGCCTGTAATCCCAGCACTTTGGGAGGCCGAGGTGGGCGGATCACGAGGTCAGGAGTTTGAGACCAGCTTGGCCAAAACAGTGAAACCCCATCTCTACTAAAAATACAAAAATTAGCCAGGCATGGTGGCAGATGTCTGTAGTCCCAGCTACTCGGGAGGCTGAGGCAGGAGAATCGCTTGAACCCAGGAGACAGGGCTTGCAGTGAGCCAAGATCATGCCACTGCACTCCAGCCTGGGCGACAGAGCAAGACTCCGTCTTAAAAAAAAAAAAAAAAAAAAAAAAAGCCAGTTATGCTAGAGCATGCCTGTCATCCCAGCTAGTTAGGAAGACAAGGTGGGAGGATCCTTTGAGCCCAGGAGTCCAAGTTTGCAGTGAGCTATAATCATGCCACTATATTCCAGCCTGGACAAGAGCGAGACTCTGTCTCAAAAAAAAAAAAAATTTTCCATCTACCCCTCCCGAATTAATTCCAAATTTCAAACAGGACAGTCAAATATCTCTGGGGTTACAATTTCCTCTTTAATCAAATAAGATAACTTTCTTAATGTAACAGGTCCAGTAGCATCATCTAATAACAGTGTTTGCTTTTACCTCACTTTTTTGCGAGGCCAGACAGCTATATGACAACAAAGTGCATGTGAACACAAAAGTCCCTAGCCCTTAGAATGTAGAATATAGTGCAGGGAAGGTATCTTTATTTGGTACTGGTTCTGAAAATTACTAATGTATCACCTTTTGTGAGTAAGTAGCTAATATTTGATGATGTAACTGTTTAAAGTAGGAATTACATACAGGAAAGATATTGCCAATATGTCAAATAAATTCCATAAATTCTGCTTGTCGTAATCAACACACCATTCCTTTAGCCAGACAAAGCTTAACTGAGCTAAGTTAAACTAGATTCTAGCTCTGTCCAAAAATATAGACCTAGAGTTAAAATATCCCTTTAAAAAAAAAAAAACCCAAACCAAAAAAGTCTGTCATTTCTTATCACTCTGCTGTGAAATTTAAAATACCTTTTTCCCATGATAGATACAAATTATAATATTTAAAACAATGACATAAAAAATGCATCAGAGTTACTTTCAGTTGTAGGAGCAAATCATAAAACAAGATAATCCTTAGAAAAAATTCCAGTTGTTTTTTGTTTTGTTTTGAGACAGGTCTCACTCTGTTGCCCAGAGTGGAGTGCAGTGGCACTATCTCAACTCAACGCAACCTCCACCTCCCAGGTTCAAGCGATTCTCTCCTACCTTAGCCTCCGAGTAGCTGGGGTTACAGGCACGTGCCACCATGCCCAGCTAATTTTTGTATTTTTAGTAGAGATGGGGTTTTGCCATGTTGGCCAGGCTAGTCTCAAACTCCTGACCTCAGGTGATCCACCCACCTCGGCCTCCCAAAGTGCTGAGATTACAGGCATGAACCACCATGCCCGGCTGCCAGTTGGTTTTATCTTTAAATTTGTGTAATCTAAATAAATCAAAAGAAATCATCAAGGAACCAAACGTGGCCGGACGTGGTGGCACGTGCCTGTAATTCTAGCACTTCGGGAGGCTGAGGCAGGAGGATCGCTTGAGGTCAAAAGGGCAAGATGGTGGGACCCCATCTCTCCAAAAAAAGAAAAAGAAAAAATTAATGCTTAGCCAGGCTTGCTAGTGCACACCTGTAGTCCCAGCTACTTGGGAGGCTGAGGTGGGAGGACTCCTTGTATCCAAAAGTTCCAGGCTGCAGTAAACTATGATCATGCCACTTCACTCCAGCCTGGGTGACAGAGACCCTGCCTCTTAAAAAAATAAAAATAAAAATAAAAAGGAACCAAATATATTGTGAAGGCACTGAATATGCTATACCACTAATAAATCCAATATTAAAATAACTAACCATTTACAGAATTCTTATCCATAAAAATCCTGGTTTCATGGAAATGAAAGAGAGATGGTGCAAAGAGATGAGCAAAGTGAGAAAAATTAGCAAGGGAGGTAAGAAATTGCCTGTCACCTTCAACAATGCTAACGAGTGCATACTGCAATTTGAGTCTGGGCTGGTGACTGACAAAGAAAAGAAGGAGTGAGGGAAAGATCCCTCCAACCTGGCCCCAACCAAAGGGGTACACAGGAGTGGCTACCTGAGGCTCAATGTTTGCTGTTTGCTTCATATTAATTTCCAGATTCAGTAGGGAAAATATTGTTGAAAATTTGGCCTTAGTGCTTTAATGTGCAGTTGGAGAAATATTCCAGGGTAAATCATGCTTTTACATGCCAAACTGCTGTTTAAAAGTAATTTCCCCTTTTCCATTTTCAACATGAATTCTGGTAAACTGCAACAGGGAACTATATTTAAAGTGCAAATCAGGGCAGGCAATAGAAATCAGACCTTTTTCATGATAACTTTAAATAATTCAAGCCAACAAATGTGTTAGCACATCTAGACAGAGAGATAAATCAAGATTTTACAACTAACCTGGGACTAAGATTTATAGGCCAGCCTAAGCCCCGGAGTGCAAGAAAACTGGCGAGTAATTAATTGCAACACATTTAAGCAGCACTAATCAACTCTCTTTCCCTGTTCCTGTGAGGGAGCAAGGGACCCCCATTCCCACGCAGGAAAGATGATTGTGCCTTCTACCTCCTAACTTGATTTTGTCCCAATTCTCTTAATTTGTTTTCCCAAACTTTCCCAGGAACATCTATCATAGAAACCAAACGGAACAGTAAAAACAAGAAAACCACTAAGCTGCCAAATAACTCCACCTCAGAGGGCGCTGGCAGGAACCAATGAGATAATGCCTAAACTTTTGGCATCAGCTCAGAATATATAAAAAAGCTCAGCCAATAGCTGTGGCCATGCTGGTGACCACAATGATAATGACTGGCAGTCTGGGAAGTGTCTAGGTGGTTGCCTGCCCTGCACAAAAGCCAGGAGAGCATAAAACCCGGTACCTGTGGCTCTGCCACCCAGGCCAAAGCTCACAGAGAGCCGTCTTGGAAGCACACATGGCTCAGGCGCTCCTTCCAGGCTATGCAGGCTGCCACTTCTTTTCTAACACGCTGGGGGAGGAAGCCTTTGGGGCTTCACTTTCTTTCCTGTGACCTACTTACAAAGCATGTCACCCAGCTGGCTCCAGCCTCCAGCAGCTGCCTCTCCGTGGAGCTTTCCAGGATTAATTCCAGGTCCTCCAGGGGGCCTTAAGCTCCAGGATGCATGGCGCATAGCCAACTTACTTGTTTCCAAGTACCCACTTTGAAGATAATCCATGGTAGCAGAGGGACAGAAACAAACACCCCTGCAGCCCAGCGACAGAGGTAAAGTCTGCCTTTTCTCCACCCTACTGGGACAAATCCACTGTCCCCTGTCCCCACAGTAGCAGACAAGCTGGGTAGCAGCTCCATCTACCATGGGACAGCACCTCCAACCATGGGATGGAAGGCCCTGTCACTCCGTACGTTTTTTAAGGGGCATCGGATTTTATTCTCTCCCTCTTGGGTTTTATACAGGGCAGGCCAATGGCAGGGTCAACACACTTGGTGGCAGAAATACCTCAGAAGAGGGAGTGACCCAGGCAGGGTCCCTTGAGGGGAGGGGGTGACCCGGCCGGGCAGGGACCCCTCTGAGGAGGGGGTGACCCGGGCAGGAACCCCTGTGGGGACGGGTGGCTGGGGCTAGAAATGAGGCTGAAGGTACCAGGGGCCATATCATGGGAGGGGGTGGTATTGGGGAGTCAGGTTTTTCCTGAGCCAGGAACAGCTGTTTGAGGTTTTAAGGAGGGAATGCCCTGTTGAGATGTGTGCCCAAGACAGCTTTCTGGAGGCAGTGTGTGGGACGGCTGTGGGAGGACAAGAAAGGACACAAACATGCCAGTGGGAAGGCCACTGGAGTCAAGCAAAGAGCGCTAAGGGCCTCAATGAAGGTGGCAGTGAGCGGGGGGGGGGGGCCACTAAAGAAGCAGAAGCTGCAGGCTCTGAGACAGAGCACCCGGGTGGGGGGTGAGACGGGAAGGGAGGGCCTGGGGCTTCCTAGAATAAAGGAGGGTAGCACGTGTGAGGGAAGGCAACTTGGTGCCCAGCGTCCTGAGGATACGCAAGTGCAGACAGGCAGGAGAGCCGGGTGCAGGGGTGAGCCCAGCACAGGGGTGTGCGTGCAATAGCGGCTGCAGCACTAGAGTCTCCACAGCGCACCAGAACGGAAGCCAAGGCTCGTGAGGCCAAGGACGGCTCAGGGGAACTGCAACATTTAAGGACAAAACTGCAAAGGAGACAAAAGGAATGGCCAGATGGGGAGGAGAAGCAGGAGAGAAGGCAGCTGTTTAATGAATCCTTTCAAAGAACTCTCTCCTTAAAGCTGCACTGTACAACAGAAAGATGTGGCAGTAGAGGAGACCCGGGCCGGGGCCCTGCCTGAGAAGTCATACAGCATAAGGTCAAAGTACAGAGTACTTTGTACTGTGTACAGAGTACAAAGTACAAAGACAAAGTATACTCAAACCTCCTAGGTTCAAATCCGAGCGCTGCCACTTAATAGTTAAGCAACCTCTCTGAGCCTCTGTTTCCCTCCCTGTAGAGGGAAGAAATGGAACAAGAATTAAGTGAGTTCATGTATGTTCAGGTTCAAAACAGTACCTGGCCTATGGTAAAACCTATTGAGCCTTTTGCTCAAGTGCCAAACAGTAAACTCTTAGGAAAAGAGATCTGCTGCTGGGAAAGATGCCAGGACAATTCAGCCAGTGGAGAGAAGTAGTGAGGAAGGAGGCCAAGCCTCCCACCACACTGAGGCAGCAAGCATGCAGACACAATATTCCTGCTTTGAGCCTACTATCGACTCAGATATGATCTAGTTCCATCTGAAACTCCTCTCCTGTTTTATTACAGAAGTCATGGGAAACACTGGAATATTAGCTTTTCTTCACTTGACAACAAAGTTTGATGAGACCAACATATTCTATGGGCCAGAGAGTAAATATATTTTACAGGAAGCACAGTAGATAGTGAAAAAAAAAGAGAAAAATAGAAAATAACTATATATATTCAAGAGGGAAAAGATCATTTCATACTTTGATTTGCATCTTGTTTAAAAACCGTCACTCAGGATATGCAAACCAGAAAATTGCAACTCAAAACAGTCTTGGGGGTGAGATTTAAAACCCCACCCTCACTAGCATGTTCCATAGCCTAAGTCATAGGAAGGGTCAGAAAAATCCCTGGTCACACAGCCTACTACAGAACACATCAAAGAGGAACACAGCAAACATTCAAACAAAAAAAAAAAATTAGCAGTTTACGCGATTCCTTTAAATTGCAAGTGTACTATGGAACAGTTAACTGTCAGGCTTAACTTATAAAAATATAATTTATGATTAACTTTTGGGCATCTTATTAATTACAAGAAGTAGGTCTTTAAAAGTACCCCCTTAGTGTGCAGATGGGTAGGTAGATGGATAAACAGACATACAGATAAAGTAAGTACCCCTTTCAGTACCACTCAATCCATGGTACACACAATCTGAGACGCTCTAAGCCTTTAGAAACTTATTTGTATATTGCCCAAAAACCTTTGCTTTAACAACTCACGGCTCTAACTTTTGATACTCATGCTCCACGGACTATGGTCTCCTCAGCAGCATTTAAAAATTTGCCAAATGATCCTGGAGCCTGAGACAGACTTCATAGTTTTAGTTCTGGTGTTTCCAGTTCCTTTCCCAAGTACACAAAAGACCTGACTGAGGAGTAGGCCTCAATGCCACACTTTGCTCTCTCCAGAACAACTCCTTACTTTAAGGCAAAACAACCACCGATCATCTTTTGTTTTTTTTTGTTTTCTGAGATGGAGTCTCGCACTGTCGCCCGGGCTGGAGTGCAATGGCATGATCTTGGCTCACTGCAACCTCCGATTCTCCTGCCTCAGCCTCTCGAGTAGCTGGGATTACAAGCACCCGCCACCATGCCCGGCTACCTTTTTTTTTTTTTTTTTTTGCATTTTTAGTAGAGACAGGGTTTCACTATGTTGACCAGGCTGGTCTCGAACCCCTGACCTCGTGATCCGCCCACCTCAGCCTCCCAAAGTGCTGGGATTACAGGCGTGAGCCACTGCGCCCGGGCTTGATCATCTTTATATTCCACAGATGTTCACAGAAATCACCCAGTAAGAGTCCTAGTTTATATCCGGGCCTATGGTGGCCCAGGCAGGGTTCTCACACCTGGCTTCACAGAAAACTTACCTGGAAGTCTCATTTCAGATCTTCTGAATCAGAAAATCTGGAGCTGGAACGCAGGAATCTGCATTTTAACAAATACAGGCTTCTTTAGGACACACAGATGATTCTCATGTGTGCTGAAGTCTGACACACACTGGGAAGGGCAACTAGACAGGAACTCAAGGGAACTGAATGGGGCTATTTTCACAACGGGCTGAGGCCATTTAACGTCCTTTACTTCATTTAGCTCGTAAACGAAAAACAAGCTCCTCCATATCCCCCATCAAGGATCTGGAGAAGATAAATTCAACGTGATGTGTAAAGAGCCTTGAGTTTCTTACGGGAAGCAATGATATAAACTAAAATATATCATCTTTTCAGCTACATAAAATATTCTTTTAGGAGTGAAAATAAGTCATATCCCTAGGAGGAAATGGCACTGCTATACTTAAGATACATTCAACTCTTATTTGATGATACTTATACTTGTTTTTGTTTTTATTTTTGTTTTGTCTAAACCCTCAGCTTTACAACATGCAGATATATGTAGATAAAGACTGCTTTCCTCTCCAACTTCTACCAAATCTTTGGTATATACACATTTTGAGTAAATGCTTAAATGAATTTATTCTGTTAAGCAAGACTCTCTTCCTTAAAAACAAACAAACATAAAACAGCCAAGTGCAGTGGAACATTCCTGTAGTCCCAGTTGCTTGGGAGGCTAAGGCAGACAGATGACTTGAGGCCAGGAGTTCAGGTCCAGCCTGGGCAATATAGCCAGACCCGCCAACTTTTTTTTTTCTTTTAGACGGAGTCTCACTCTGTCACCCAGGCTGAAGTGCAGTGGTGCAATCTTTGCTCACTACAACCTCGGCCTCCTGGGTTCAAGCGATTGTCCTGCCTCAGCCTCCTAAGTAGCTGGGACTACAAACACACGCCACCATGCGCGGGTAATTTTTTTGTATTTTTAGTAGAGATGGGGTTTCACCTTGTTGGCCAGGCTGGTCCTGAACTCCTGACCTCAAATGATCTGCCTGCCTCAGCCTCCTAAAGTGCTGAAATTACAGGTGTGAGCCACCATGCCCGACCAGACACCCAACTCTTAAAAAAAAAAACAAAAAAAAAAAACCTACTCAAATTGCCACCTAATATAATGACCCCCCAAAATACCTTCCAGCCAGACCTGTCCTCTACAGACCCAAATATCTAACTGCTCACCTAACATGGTACCTGGCCATCTCACATGCATTTTGAACTCAACTTGTCCAAAACTGAACTTACTCAGCTTCACCTCCCCCTAAAATTAAAAGTCAAAGTACATTTCAAAAAATTGTGTAAGTACTTAATGCCATAGAACTATACACTTAAAATTCATTATACTTAATAAACTGTATGTTATGTACATTGAACCACATAAAACTGTTTTTAAAAACCTGGTCCTCCTCCTTCAGTGCCCAAGTTAGTAAACAGCACTACTACCCATGGTGGATGTGACAGAAATGTATGACTCATCCTTTCCCCCACCCTTTCTCCCAGCACACTGAACCTAATCAGTCCCAGAGTCTGAGAGATTATTAATCATCTCTCACAACCTGTGTCCAGCAGCCTCCTCACAGTTCCCTATATCCACAATGGCCCCCTCCAACTCCTGCTCCATCAGACAGCCAGAGTGAGTTTCAGGAAACGGCAGCCATATCACATACTGCCCCACTACAGCCCTTCAAACACTTCCCTCTGCTCTAAGGATGACCCCAAAATATGTCCCCTGATCTGCAAGGCCCTACCCAACCTGGCCCCTAATGATCTTGCCAGCCCTTCAGTCCTCCGTCCTTTCTCCACTTGGCTCCTTCACCACCAAGCTCTGCCACCCACTTACCTGATTTCTGCTTCCCTTTCGGGTCTGAGCTCTAACGTCACATCCTCTAGGAAGCCTTCCTTGACCCTTACCCCACAGTTTCTCAAGCTTGCCACTGTTGGCATTTTGGATCCGATAATTAATTGTTCGATGGTGGGGTGGAACTGTCCTGTGCCTTTGTAGGATGTTCAGCAGCACCCCTGACTCTAGATGTCAGTAGCACCCTCTGCCAAACCAGCCCCTGGGATAACCAAAAAGTATCCAGACAGCAACAAACGTTCCCTGGGGTGCAAGATGGCTCCCTGTTGAGATCCATCTCCCCAGTCTAGGCAAAAGCCATCTATCTCCCTGCAGCATGTTCTCACAGCATCCTGAACATCTCTTCCACAGCATTTGGCACAGACACGATTCATTCTGTAGTCATTACTGCTTAACATCACCTTGCCTTTCGGGCTGCAAGCTCCCCAAGGGTAGAGACAGACTAGATCTGTCTTGTTCCTGCAATATCACGATGCCTGACACACAGTAGGTACCCACATTACTCTGAATAAATGAGAGGCTTTGGGCAGTTTTTCTTTTTAACACTATTTTTAAATTGACATTCTTCTAGTAGTTCAAGTCAACGCCTACGTTAAATCAGGTTTCTTTGGGAGTTGCTTAGTGACTAGAACTTTGAAATCATGGTAGTAAGGAAGAACTTCCTCAATAGGTCTGATGAACCCTTGAAACTCACAACTTTTCCTTTATCATGGAAAAGATGAGATTAACCTATGGGGACTCCCATATATTGTTCTTAAGAAGTAATCTGTGCAAAGCCAAAGATGGATCACACATAATGCTACAAGAGGAAAAACAGAACATTTGCAAATTTTCTCTAAGTAGTACCTTTATGCCTAAAAATTATGCTTGCTTGCTTGCTTCATAATGAGTCTAGTAAAACACACCAAAAAAACCTGGCTCCAAAAGAGCCAATTATAAGGAAGTGCTCAAATACCGAGCCCACAATGTTTGTCCCGCAGGAAGTTACCAAAGGGGTCAAAGCACCTCCTTCGAATTCACACTGCTATTTGAAACAGATGCTCTCCCTCCCTCCCACTGGCTTAGCTGTTGGCTACTGGCAAACTCCCCTGGGTCAAGTCCATGACCTGGGGAGCCATGCCAACTCGGAGGTCCTGGACTACCTGGATGACAAAGAATCCATCCAGAAGATTAAAATCTGTGCCAGTAATATCTGCATACTGCTTAAGAAATAAAGAGAAGGTTTTAAGAATCAAAAAACACAAAACAACCTGGAATTAGGTCTGACTCTTGGTGTCCTAAAATTTCTGACTCATTGCAATGAAAGGAATCTGGGCAAGACCTGGCTCAGAATGAAAAACCATCCCCAATTTTGGCAGGTGCTAAGAAATACAAAGTTGGCTCACACAGGGAAGTGACAGACAGGCATGTGAAAAATAAAAGCTAATACCTATTATTTTATCAATATCATTGGTTCGAATAAGCTTCTTCTATCAATTAGGATTAGGTTTGGCAATAGGATTAGGTTTGGCTGCATATAATCTCATGCAATACAAGTCTGCAAACAGGAAATGCAGAGCTGACATGATGCTCCACATCCATCTGGCATCCAGGCTTCTTCTATCTTTCTCTTCTACCATCCTTACTACTGGCTTCCATCTTCAAGGTCACCTCATGGTCACAAGATGGCCACCATGGCTCCATCCCTCAGATCCACTTAATAGGCAATGGGAAGGAGGATAACACAGAGCAAAAAGGCCTGCATCCCAGCTGAGTCAGCCACCTTGAATGAGCTTTACCAGGAGCCCCACCAAACAATCTCTAAAGATATCTCTGTAGAGCACTAGCTGCCCCTATATGCAAAGGCCACTGAGAAATGTCTCACAGTGCTGCTGCCACCGCTGCCACCACCACCCCACCATCCTTCCCCCCAACCCAGATTATATTAGTTTTGTTAGGAAAACAAGGGCTAAAGGGTTACTTCGCAGGTGGCTGTCAATCTCTGCTACAACGGGATCAGTATGTTAAAACTGTAAGAGGTGGCAAAGTGCTAGTATTCTATCCAGTCCATTCGCCCTGTTCATATGAGAAAACTGAAGCTCAAAGCCACTAAAAGCCACACAGCTAACAAATGGTAACCTGGAGGCCTGACTCAATCTTCTCATTCTGAAACTGGTGCCAGACTTTAGAACCAAAGTTGCAGTGAACCGTGTCTGTATATGCATGTGGGTTTAAAAGAAATTTTCTATATTGACTTTTCTCTAAAAATATAAACAAATATGCTCTAGTTTGTGGGGAAACTAAACTATATAGTCAGGCCAATCTTATATGGGAATATTTAAGGTATTTATAAACTATCAAGATTGTTCACATGTGACAGAACGCCTGTCACATTCTGTTTCAGCAAGATTCCAAGAACATCGTAAGTGGGGACATCTTTATACGTGTCGGTGCCCTTCCCCTAAATCGAAGCAGAGCTCCATAAAAGGTATTCATGATTCACTTCAGACCTCGAAGAATACAGCCTCCCGTCTGTGCCAACCCATGAAAGCCAGTTCCCAAAGGCCAAATGTCTCACAGGGACCTTTTAATGCATTTTATGTCTTATTTATTGTGCTTATCTGACAACTTCACAAGGCTAATAGACATCTCTAAAAATGTGTTGACATCTTAGTGCATTCTGAATGTCCTTCAGTGTATTATCAAATTTGGACAGTGCAAATATTCCCCTGGGGGTAATAAAAAATAGACACAGCAATACAAATGTGCATTTCAGCCCATATGTTGTATATATTATATACAAATATTATACCCCCAGTACAGCATTATAAAGTGCAGTGCTATAAATAGAATACCAATTTCAGCTACCACCCACCCATTTGGTTAGTTGCAAAACATCCAGGCAACAAGCCAACTGATGCAGCCAGGAGTCACCCAGTCGCTTTCCCAAACCTCCAACCTCCCTTTCTCCCAGGGCTGCCACCCAGCAATGCCCTTCTTCCACTGAAGCCGATTCCAGCCAAATTCAGTCGCTCCCCAAGACCAACTACAGCCTTCTCTGCCGGAGGTGCCCTAATATTTTTAATTACACTGCTGCCTAATTAATCATGCATGTAAACAATTACCAACTAATCTTGCTCTTTTCCCACACTTACTGAGCGCCTATAGAAATGCCAGAAGTACACAAATGCAGCAAATTAATCCTTATTCAGAGAGCTTAAATACAAATAAAAACAGGCTGTCAAGGTTCCGGTGGGCTAACAAGAGCAGTGCGCAATAACGCTACGTCTTTTCCTAAACTGCACCATTCTGCCATTACTAAAAAATCTGAAATCATTGCCTTTTCACACCAGCAAGTCTGGGTTAGAGGACAAAAACTCTGTAGCAGTCTGAAAAAAAAATAATTTTTCGCTCAAGCTTTCAAAGTTGAACAAATCTGATCATGAAAGTCAATTACAAGGCTGCTTTTTTTTTTTTTTTAACTTTTATCACATCGTTTTAAGATAAAGGGGGGAAATGCCCTTGCGAGGAGAAAAGAAATAAAAAAGAATGGGCATTACAGCAGCAGGAGACCGGGCAAGCACTGCTCTGCTCGCAGACGTGTCCCCTGATGTCCCCAGCGGAGACCCGAGACAGGAGCAAGCCTCCCCGCCGCGCCAGCTCCCGCGGAGGCCCAGCGGGCGCCCCTGTCCTCCTCCGGGTCGGAATCCGGGAAGGGCTGGCGCCGAGCTGGCCGCTTATCCTCAGGGGCCAGGGCACGTCCCGAAGGCCCTGCGGAGGGGCGCGCGGACACCGGGACCGCAGTCCTCGCCCCCGGGGGTCGAACAGGAGCCGCGGGGCCTCGAGGGCCGCCTCGCCGGCTCCCGTCCAGCCTCCCGCCCGGCGCGGGGCGCGCAGGACGGCGGAGCGCGGGCGGAAGGCAGGGGGGCGGGACCGCCGCCGCCGCCACTCGCGCTGTTGCAAAGTTTCTTCGGTGGCACAGTTCCTGCGCGCTTCCTGTGGGGGCGGCTGCTGCGCCCTCGCCGCCCCGTCGCCCGCCGGTTCGGGGCGGCAGAGGCTGGGAGACGCGAGTCTGGGGCCGGGGCGGCAGCGGGGACCCAAGACCGAAAGGGGCCGAGCGGGCACGCCTCGGGTCCCGGGCCCGGGTCCCACCTGGGCGCCGCGAGAGGGCGCTGCTGACGGCGCGGCGCGGCGGGGACCGGACGGCGGGACGCGCGCGCCGGCGGGGCAGGGCTGGGCCGCCCTGCGCCTCCCTCCCCGCGCCGACCGGGGCACGGGCGACTGTGCCCGCGAACCCCACGCCTCGCCCTTGCGCGCCTGGCCGCCCGCTACTTACCCAGGGAGCAGGTGAGGAGCGCGAGCAGCGCCGGCGGCGCGAGCAGCCACCAGCAGGCGGGCGGCCGCATCCTGGCGGCGGAGGCTGAGCGCCCTACCTGGGCGCGGGGAAGGGAGACGCGCGGGGAGCGGAGCTGCGCCGCTGCCGCCGCCGCCCTGCCGCCGCGGCTGACCCTTCTCTGCCGGCTCCCCTCCTCCCTCCGTCTCCGCCGCGCCATCGCCGGCCGCGCCCTCTGGCGGCCGGGAGCGGGAGCACCCCTGTGCGCGCTTCCAGCGTCTGCCGGGCTGGCGGCTGCGGCTGGTGTCCGGCCCGACGGGCTGCTGCGGTAGAGGTGGCCGCGGCTCTGCCCTCACGGCGCCCTCCTTCGAGGCGTCTGACCTCTGCCCCCTCCAGCCACCAGCCTCCACCCCTCCTCTTCCTTTCTCCTCTGCGTCCCTCCTGACCTAGGCCGCGTCCCCTGCCTTCATGCCCTCCCACCTTACCGCGTCACCCCCATCAGTAGTTCTACCTGTGAAGTGGAAGCGAGCAGTAATCACTTTTCCTCCCTGCTAATGTATTATCTGCTGTGGAAAAAAAAATGTAATCAATAGTTCAACTCTTAATATTGTTGGCACCAATGCTCTACTTTGATGAAGGTGTTTTTAATCAGCTCAACTAATTTACTTAATATCCCCTTTAAATGGAATTTGGCCAATAGCCTAGGTCTGGGATTTGGCTTTTAAACAAGTTTGTGTAAATGTAATTTTCTATAAATGTAATTTTAAGTGTTCACCATAATGGAAGAGAGTGGGTGTAATTTTATTCAAAATATAAAAATTAATTAAACTGGAATACAGAGAAGTGGAGCAATGTGGGAGTGCCTCCTGTTCCCGCAGGACTGCGAAGGGCTTTCCTCCCCAGCCCGGTAGAGTGGTGGCCCTGATAGGGGACTGGTCCTGTTGTGTTGTGTGGTGCACTGAAGGGGAAAGCATTACAAGTAAGAACTAGAGGCTCCCTTCAGTGGTTCTGAACTCCTTCGTGCCTCCCTCAAGCCTTGGCTCACTTCTGTTTCCAAGGAAGTGCACAGGACCAAGTGCTTTTCCCAGCCCTAGTTTAGCCCATGACCTCTTGAAGGCAGTTTCTATGTTTTCCTTCATATTTACTCATTTGTTGGATACCTACTATGTGACTGCAACTCTGCTAAGCACCCTAGGAATGCCAGTATCTTTCACATGGACATACAACATTCACCTACTTGCTAAACATTTAAGGAGGAGGAGGCCCTGGGAGTACAAGTAGGATGGCCCTGGGAATACAAGTAGGATGTCCTGGAGACAGAGAAGCAGGTGCTGAATAAACATTTGTAGGCTTGAGCCCTCTTAACTTGAATGCGTTTAGGGGACTTAGGCTCTAATGCATTAGGACAGTATTGTCTGCAATTGTGCAATACCTGCTGGGATTGTTTTGAAAAGGAGGCCTGGAGACAAAGAATTTTCTCTCTGTGTGGTTTATATTGACTTCTTAAAACTGGGAACTAAATATTTCACGTGTGATCCATTTAGTGTGAGTGCAAATAGTTCCCTTTTGTTCCATTCGCCCAAGGTTTATGGTCTCTTGTCAATACCATTTTGATGGGAGGAAAAAGAAATGTAGGGATCCTTCCATTTCATTTCTTAGTGAAGCATTTCAAATCTATGGTTGACTGAATTCATTGCTTTTATCCTTGGGAAATTCTCAAGCTTACCTGCCTAGTAGTTCTAGATTGTTTCCAATTTCCAAAGCTGTTTTCGCTTTTTTCCAAGAAAATATTCCTTGCATATGTGGGGTAGTAAACATTTAACCAAACTGTTTAATTAGACACAGAAGACTAATAAGCAGGGTCAAATGCCTACTCCACGTGGGTAAGCAACTCCTGGTGCTTAATCAATGTTTTCATGGAAATTCATCATGTTAGAGTATTACTATGTTCCAGAACAAGGTGTGGAAAATTAAGCCCTAAGGACAACAGAGAACACACCGTTTAAGTAATAAACTTGCCCTGGTGTCCTTCCTTTCCACAGTAGACATAGATAAATGGCACATTACAAAGCTCCATAACTCACATTTTAAAAAGAATTGCCTTTCACTTACTCTAGTCATATGATAAATGGACTTGCTGGGAGTTCTCTCTCCCAATCACATGTCAGGAGAGTTTCCTAGAGCAACGTACTGATGAGGATACTAACAGATACATGATAGGCACTGCTTGCCTATAACATTGACTGTAAAGGAACAACTCTAAGTAGAAAAAAAATAAATCCTATAAACTTTAAGATTGTGATATGAAAACAAGCAAGCCATCTTCTTGGGATTTACTCAATCCCAGCTGTCACCTCCATGCTGGCCCCTGAAACTTTCTTTGTTGAGGGACAGGGGAAGAAGCAAGGAGCCATCTTTTGTTGGGGAAGGCACTGTCGCAACCTGGTTAAAACAGACTGGTAATTTTACAGATAATTTTCTAAATACTAAAGGAGAACATAAAGACATACTAAAACCACTGAGAGCCAAATAATCTAATGAACAAGTTCCAAACAGATGGTTTCTGATCTTACAACAGTTATCCTTGAGGCCCAAAAGGCTGAACTCCATTCATTCAAATGATAGGGAGCACCTCTAGCTGATGTGCCCTTTGCTAAGCTCTGGGGCAGATATTAAAGAGCATAAAACATGGTCCTGGGCCCAAGAACTCACGGTCCAGTTTGGGAGACAAAAATGTTCATAACTAACTTTGCTACCTTCTTATAAATGCTATGGCATGCGTAGATCAGCACACTTTGGAACACACAGGGAAAAAAAAATCTCTCAGGGCCTTTGGAATCTGTAAGAAAAGAAGCGACTGTTGCACAGGATCTTAAAGGAGAAATAGCAGGTTCCTGAGCTGAGAAAGGAGGACAGGCGCCCCAGGCTGAGGCACAGCACGAATGTGCAAATCAACAGTAGTGTGGCGGGTGGGGAGAGGGGCTGCAAGGAGGAACAGCTTCTCACTGTGCCCCCTCCAGCCTGCTGCCTCTCTCCTGTGACTTGGAAGGGGCCTCCCAGGCACCCTGTTTCTATACTAGCAAAGCCCAAAGGGCATATTCCAACTCTTCCCACTCTCGGTGCCCTTTCACTCAGTGTCAGGCCTAAAGTGGATTAGCAGTCAACACAATTCAGGAGGACTATTCTCTTCCTGCATAAAACAGCAGGTTTATGAATTATGAGTGGTCTTGAGGATTATTTTCCAAACCTAAAATCAGGTCTTAAGGTTTAATAGTAAAATAGAATGTCTAAAACAGGGTCTCCGGGACTTAAGGTCATTATAATATCAGACCTATGCTACAGTACTTTAATCATCTGCTCACCATCCTCACACCCCACAATCAGTGCACACTAGGGGGTTACAGGAGAAAGACTCATCACTTGTACCTTACGCTTTAGCGTTTTGGGAAGGAAGATAATCTATGATCCCCGTGGAGAAGAGGGAGACAGGAAGAGAAGAGAGGGAGCAAAACTTTCATCACTCAGAGAGGACCCAGAGCCACAGCCCCACTGCATGTACTCAGGAAGAATCCTTTGATGACATACGGTGGTTTCTTTAATGCCCTCAGGGAGCTTGTCTCACATTGCTTCCAAAGCTATTCAAAAATTATAGGCAAGGCCAGGTGCAGTGGCTCACACCTGTAATCCCAGCATTTTGGGAGGCTGAGGCGGGTGGATCATTTGAGGTCAGGCATTCAAGATCAGCCTGGCCAATGTAGTGAAAGCCCATCTGTACTAAAAATATAAAAATTAGCTGGGCATGGTGGCGCACGCCTGTAATCCCAGCTAATCAGGAGGGGGAGGCAGGAGAATCGTTTGAACTGGGGAGGTAGAGGTTTCAGTGAGCCGAGATCACGCCACTGCACTCCAGCCTGGGCGACAGAGTGAGATTCTGTCTGGAAAAAAAAAAATATATATATATATATATATATTTAGGCAAAACCCATTCTGTCAAACCAAACTTTCAACCAAGATTTTTATTCAAAGAAGCTTAACAAAGGGATTCTCACAGCCTAACAACCCTGAACCAAAATCCAGGAAATATAACAGGTTACCATCTCAGCAGACCCCCCAGGAAAGCCCAGAAATCTGAAGCCATTGACATTTGAAGACACAGAGTGATATAAAGCCTGTCTACAAGAAAGCTATCCTAGAAACTTCTAATCAGAAATAGATGATCTACTTGGCTGTTTCGCTCTCCTTTGTAGAATCACATATCCTTCTGTTCCCAGTAAAGATCAGGAATCACTCATAGCAGGCATGACAGGAAGTGTCTGCATTTGACTTTCACTAAGAACAGAAGGCGTGGGGCATGACTGTTCAGCAGCCCACACAAAATGTGTTGGTGTTTTTGGTGCTGTTGCTAATAAGTAGTTGTTCATTTTACAACAGCTGCTTTCAGATGTAGGATCTTGCTTAATAAGCTCAACAAAAATTTTATGTGTTTGTGACGAATGTATCACGGACTAACTGCATGTATGAGGCCCTCATATGGCATGCTGAGTTTGGAGGAAAATGCATTTTCCTGGGGGAGATCACAGTCTAGTTAGGAGGACCAGGACATACAGAAATAGCCATAAACCCTCCTGGAACATGGAAATCCCCTAAGAAGCGTACGAACAAGGGCAAGGAGAAGGAAAGCACATTCATCAGTGGGGCTGCATGGGGCCTCACCGAGATGGCGCGGTTGCCAAGAGAGAAGGGGAGAAGGCATTCCAAGCAGAGGAGACAAGCAAGAAATGCCATGGAAGACCGAGAGTTCAGAGACTGAGGAGCTGTTTAGTTTGGCCAGCACGAGGGAACATGGAGGGGAGGCTGGTTAGGACCGTACCGAGCAGGGGCTTGGGCACCGTGCTAGGAGAATGGCCTTCCCTTGAGTGGGGCAATGAGCAGTGGATAGATGGAAGGATGTTTCAGCAGGTGATGACCAAAACCTCCACTACAAGACTGTAGCTCGTAAGGCCTACCTGGTGTCCTAACTCGGCAACCCCTATCAGAAAAATAATGAATATTTCAATTGTGATGAATTCACATGATGAACACTCAGTTCACGTGAGTTGGGTACTGATTTAATGATTGATCAGTGCTGTGAGAAGTTTAATTCAGTGTTAATGTTGTGGATGGATTAGAGAGGGGAAAGAAAGAAAAAAGACTGGCTAGAAAAAATTATGAGGAAAGGGGAAATGAAGGAAAACTAACATGTATGTACTGAACACATGCAGTAGCTAGGCACTCTGCCAGTTACTTTCTTTTTTTTTTTTTTTTTTTTGAGACGGAGTCTCGCTCTGTCGCCCAGGCTGGAGTGCAGTGGCGGGATCTCGGCTCACTGCAAGCTCCGCCTCCCGGGTTCACGCCATTCTCCTGCCTCAGCCTCCCAAGTAGCTGGGACTACAGGCGCCCGCCACTACGCCCGGCTAATTTTTTGTATTTTTAGTAGAGACGGGGTTTCACCGTTTTAGCCGGGATGGTCTCGATCTCCTGACCTCGTGATCCGCCCGCCTCGGCCTCCCAAGTTACTTTCAAATATATTATTTCAGTTAACCCCACACCAAAAAAAGAAAAACCTATGACAGGACTACTGTTCCCACTTTACAAGATTAGTAAACTGAGTCTCAGGCAGGTCAAATACCAACAGCCAGAACTGCCTTTAATGGAAACCCTGTTATTTAACGGAGGTAGTAGCAACAGGAATAGAAGGGAAAGGATTGCTGTGAGGGCACAACAGAGGGTCAGATCAATTATACTTGCGAGTGAGTCGATGCTGGAGCAAAGAGAGAGGCCACAGAGGAGACAAATGAGGCAATTAACTAAAACGGAGATCTGCCAGAGGAATGAGTTTGTGGAGAAAAAGGAAAGATGATCATTACTGCTAGTGTAAGTGACAGCAATGCCCTCACATTATCAATAGATGCATAGTAATAGCTAATCTTTACTGAAATGCTTGTTATATACCATGCACTATACTAAGTGCTATACGTACTTTATTTCATGTTGAATAATATTTAGTTTTCCAAACAGCTTTATGACTATCATTCTTACTTTAGGGAGATTAAGTAGCTTGCCTAAGGACAGCGATTCTCTTAGGGGTCCCTGACACTCAGGGTATCCAGGTTTACAAGGTCAAAACTACTTTTATAGCAATACTAACACATTACTTGCTTTTATGCGTGTGTATTTCCACCAATAGTGCAAAAGCAATCATGGATAAAAGTGCTATCTACTGCTGTAGCACTAGTCAAGGTAGTGGCACCAAACTATGCTTACAGTGGGAAAACAAAATAAGCCAAGTTCACTTACAAGGTCCTTGATGAAGCAGTAAAAATTACTAAGTTTATTAAATTACACCCTTGAGTATTCATCTTTGTAATATTTTGTGTAACGAGTTGAGGGGTAAGCATAAAAGTACTTCTACGTATTAAAGCATGATGTCTCAAGAAAAAACACTTGTGAGATTGCTTGAGTTGCAAGCTGAACTAGCTGCATTTTTCATGTAACGCCATGTTTAATTGACTAAAAAATTGACAAACTTATTCAGGTTATTCAGGTTTAGGGGCTGGGTATTTTCTCAAAAAAAGAGCTTGTCACTTTAAGGAAAACAACTGATGTAATTTGTTTACATTAATACAAATCAACCTTCCAAGTGAAATTAGAATTTTGGAAAACTTGTATGTGCTGCCATGAGTTTAACAGCTTCCCCATCCTTAAAGACTTTTTAATGAGATCAATGGTGGTGTTCACAAATTTGATTTTAAAATATTGTGTAATGAAATGTCTCAACCCTTGGAAGATCTGCATACTTTGAAGAAACAGTATTTTCCAAATGACCCTTTTTCAACTACGTATCTGTGTGAGGCTGCATTTTCTTCCTTTACGTCATCCAAAATAAATAAAATGAAGAAACAAATTATGAGAATCTACCTGTCTTCTATTAAGCTAGACATTACAAGGATCTGCAAAAATGTAAAACAATGATACACTTCGCATGAAGTTTTTTGTTTGGAAAATGTATTTTTCATAAAAACAACATATTAACATATGATAGGGTTATTATTGTTCATTTAAAATGAATTAATACATATGTTTAAATTTCTGTTTTAATTCTAATACAGTAAATATTCACAGATGTAACCGACATAAACGAATGCTCTTTGCAGTCCTCAATTTTTCAGAATGTAAAGGGATCCTGAGACCACAAAGTTTGAAAACTGCCAGCTTAGGACGCATAATTTGTACATTGTGGAAGCCAGCACAAAAATCCTGATCAACCTAACTCCAAAATCCTTTCTCTTACCCACTGCACTTGGTTACTCCCTGTTTAGTTTTAGATCTGCTGTATTTGAGGTGCCAGATTTCTAAGAAGCCAACTCGGGCTCAAAGTCACCTTTTACCCCCAATCATTAGAGATTTAAAATAATAAGTATGAGATGGGCAAGGTTATGCCATGGTAACAAACAACCCAACATTTTCAGTGGCTTAACGTAACAAAGGCTTTCTAAGTCATGCCAAGTCATGCCAAGCCTGCTGCAGTGCGGGCGACCCTCCAGGCCAGCTGTTCCCCATTGTTAGTGCTCTAGTCTGGCCACATCTCAACTCAAGTTCTCCACAATCGTTGTTGCCGGGGAAGGGTGTGCTGGAGAGCCAAGCACCAGCAATCCAGTGCTCCCAGTGAAAGTGTCACAAGTCACTTCTGCTCATGTTTCATTGAAGGGGGAGAAAGTACTGTCCCAGAATAGAGGAGAGCTGGGTATTGGCAGTGGTTACCGGTTGAAGGTGTCCAGGTTCTTGGTGTTTTGAACAAAGAATTGGGCAAAACGCACAAATAAAGCAAGGAAAGAATGGTGCAACAAAAGCAGAGATTTATTGAAAACAGAAGTACACACTCCACAGAGTGGGAGTGGCCTGAGCATAGGGGCTCAAGAGCCCAGTTCCAGAATTTTCTGGGGTTTAAATACCCTCTAAAGGTTCCCATTGGTCACTTAATGTACACCCTATGCAAATGAAGTAGTGGTCCGCAATCAGAGGGTTAAGTGAAAGTACAAAAGTTACACCCTATGCAAACGTCTGATTGGTTGTGGAAAGCAACCAATCAGAGGCTAAAGTGAAGGTACAAAGTTACACTTCTATGCACACAAAGACTTGACCCGCAATCAGTCTGACTGGTTGAGGAAAGCAACCAATCGGGCTGAAGCAAAGTTACAAAGTTACACTCCTATGCAAACTGATTGGTTGTGGAAAGCAACCAATCATTGATACTTTCAATTTTCCATCTACCACACAGAAAAGGGGGTGGGGGTTTGCAAAAGGAGTAGTCTCAGGTCCTTTTATTACTTAGATGTGGAAAGTTGGGGTTTTCCTTTTGATTTAGTTCTAGGAAGTTAGCATGAATCGGCCTTAGGTTCCCTGCCTCCAGACCCTATTCTCATGTCTCAGTGGCACTGCACTGCCAATAATCCTCCCCTTGCTCTACACTTCCAAGCTAAAACACCTCATCTTCTGCTTTGAAAAGATGCTGTGCTAGATGCTAGAGCATGAAACAAGGCTGAGAATTCAGCTTCTGCCCTTCAGGAACTCACAAAATCTCTGAAAAGATAAAACTACAAATAATGTTATCTTACTTTAGTACAGCTCTTTACCACCTACCAAGTAACCACACAAATAATTACTGAACAGGGCAGTTATAGGAGAGGTCCAGATGAATTGAACAGTTTGGAGTGTGCTTGGTGAAGGAAAACTCTGACATGGATGATTGAGGATGGTTTCAGGGAGAAGGTGGGATTTCAATAGAGGTCATGAAATGAGGGAAGACTCCAAACTAGTAGAAATAGAAAAGGGGGAAAATGAAGAAGACATGAAGTCAGTGAAGCAAGCGATATTTGCAGGATGGCAAGTAGACCAATGTGGCCACAGTTCATCATGTCAGGAACAGTATTGCTAGCACACAAAGATGGGGTGAGAAGACAGGAAAGCTGTCTGGAGAGGCCAGTAGCAAGCCCAGCAATGGGGCACTGGCCTTGGGGAGGACCCAAGTCCCAGCCGAGGAAGAAAGGGTATGGCTGACCAGATCCACTGGAAAGGAGGCCACCAGGGCCCTGAGGACTTCTGGTCATCTACTGGAAGAATGTTAGGCATAGAAATACATACATCATTTATTTTACTTGAAGAAGCTAGGACCAAAACATGCTTTATGTCTTTTTTTCCCAAAAAAAAATTTCCCAACTGCAATAACAATAAAATAGCTGTGGCATAATTGTTTTACACAAATGAAAATATAATTTTCAGAAATAGCATTTTACTAGCATTAAGTCAAACGGATGTTGGAGTTATCTTGTTTAAATTAAATTGTCATGTTCTTTGGCTCTACAGAGTAGGCAAGTCTTGTTTCCATTTCCCTGCTGTGTACATTGACACCTACTTTGGGAGAAACATGAGATTAAAAGAGAGGAAAGCGGGAAACCCCAAATTTTGAGATGCATGTGTTTTGTGCTCTCAGGGAAGCTGCATGATTCATTGAAGGACCTTGGGGAACCAACTGACAATAGGAAGAAACTGAAGTAGGGCAGTGGTAATAGAAGAGAAGATACTGCAAGATGAAACATTACAGGTGTAGAATTTAAGGGACCTTTGAATGATTGGAATCAACGTATTCTTCTATTATCCCACTAGATAACAACCCTTAGTTTATTCAAATGTTTGAAGTTAACTTTAGACTATACAATGTTAGAACAAGTAACGAAGTTGTGGCAAGACTCTTGTCACCTTAAATGGCAACTTTACAAAGCTGTACTTTCTTCTGTAGTCAGTGGGAACCATTGTGTGTTGAGAGACTGACACTCATTTAAGTAGCCCACTAAGAAGAGACTAAGGGCAGAGTCCAGCATGTACTGGCAAGAGTCTAGACAGATGATAGTGAGACTTGCTTGAAGACACTTGCAATAGTCTAGACATAATAAGGAAATGAACTAGAGTGGTGGCTACAGAATTAGCAAAATAAGGTGGATGAAGGATATATCAAAAAGACTTAGGATTAACCAGACTGAACTAAAAAAATGATTCTGAAGTTTGGAATCTGAATGGCTAAGTACCATGGTTAGAGAAGTCAGAGAGAAGAGCTTGTTAATTGAAAAGATCTGGTTTTCCATTTTGGACAAATTGCATTTGAAGTGAAGGTGAACCATCTGCAAAGAAATGTTCAGTAATCAGGTAGACACAAAGACTGGAGCTTAGAGAATAGTTATCAACTAAAATACAGATGTGAAGTGACCCACAAAAGAATGAGAAGAGAAACAGGAGTTATTCAGTATAGAGAGAGAGTGGCGATTGTCATAACACCAAGTTGGGGACATCACCTTGGGAGCTGTTCAGTTTTTTTCCTCTTGACACCAAACTCCGTGTCTTTTCCAACACTACTTCTCCAACTCTCTGACACCAACTGGGTGTCCAACAATTCAATTCAATTCTGACACTATGTACCTGAAATCAGCATCACATCTCACAGGTTAAAGGGCTCAGTCCCATAAGACTGACCCCACTTCAGATGCTACTCACAAGTCTGGGGCACTTCTACTTCTGTTCTCACGACCTACTCCTCAAATTCAATAATTTGCTAGAAAGGCTCATGGAGCTCAGGAAGGCACGTTATTTATGTTTACTGGTTTATTATGAAGAATACTATTAAACATAAAAATGAGCAGCCAGATGAAGAGGTACATAGAGTGAGGTCCAGAAGAGTCCTGAGCATTGGAGCTTCTGTCCCTTGGAGTTGGGCTGTGCCACCCTTCCAGCACATAGATGTGTTTGCCAACTCAGAAGTTCTCCAAATCCAATCACTTAGAGTTTTTTGTTTTTATTTTTGTTTTTGAGACGGAGTTTCACTCTTGTAGCCCAGGCTGGAGTGCAATGGTGTGATCTCAGCTCACTGCAACCTACCCCTCCTGGGTTCAAGCGGTTCTTCTGCTTCAGCCTCCTGGATGGGCAGCTGGAACTACAGGCGCATACCACCACGCCCAGCTAATTTTTTGTCTTTTTGGTAGAGACACAGTTTTGCCATATTAGCCAGGCTGGTCTCAAACTCCTGACCTCAGATGATCCGCCTGCCTCTGCCTCCCAAAGTGCTGGGATTACAGATGCGAGACGCCGCACTGGCCTATTTAGGGGTTTTAATGGAGGTTTCACCACATAGGCACAATTGACTAAATAATTGGCCATTGCTGATTAACTCAATCTTTAGCAGCTCCTCCCATCCCCCCAGAGGTTATTGGGGGTGGGGCTGGAACTTCCAAGCTTCTAATCAAGGCATGGTCTTTCTGGCAACCAGCCCTCATCCTGAGGCTATCCAGGAGCCCACTGAGACAATTAGAACAAAAGAAGCTCTTGTCACCTCTATCAGTTGAAGTTTCAAGGGTTTTAGCAGCTCTGTGCTAGGAACCAGGGACAAAGACCAGACATCTTTTTATGGTATCACAAGGGCCATTGTCCTGAGGAAGAGAAGCTAGTGGCAAAACAGAGAGGAGGGAACCACATTAGACAGTGTCATGGAAACAACACAGACGTGTTTCAGAAAGGGACAGAAAGTGAAGAACATTTAGCTTTCTTTTTGACTCTCCAGCATCTGAGCCCCTTTGCTATGTTTGGGGAATTTCTCACCTATTAGGTAAAGCCTGATTACTTTCCCAGCCTCCCTTGCAGCTAGGATGCAGGGGTACAACCTGGACTCTGCCCATCAGCACCTGTGCCTCAGGCTCTGCGTAAGAAGCGAGGGATGCTGCAGGATACACGACAGTGAATGGTAGCAGCAGTGACAGGTGCAGGTAGCATTGGTGCCTCCCACAGTGTAAGCAGCAGCATCCAGGGCTGGCAGCAGATTCCCTGGATCCATCTCTGGCATGATTTTCGGACTTATTCTTGGCTTTCTAGCCTCCTCAACTGATTCCCTGCCCATCCACCAAGACCACCCCATTCCCCTACATTATTTGAGACACCTAATATTTTTCTCTTACTTTTCTACCTAAATCAGCCACAGTTATTTCTGTTGCTTGCAACCAAGACCCACAAACAGTATGGAAAGACTGTCAACAATGTCAAGTACTGCAGGTTGTCCAAGAAGGCACTTGGTTGCATGATCTGGATATTTGTGATTTTAGGCAGTTGTCTAGTAATAAGAATAAAATATCACTAGGAGTAGAAAAGAGAGTGAATCCAAAGATAACGCTTATCTGACCCTATGTCTGAGATCAACACTGTGCTAACCAACAATATGGATTTGGTTATAGACTGCAGGAGGACTCATTATGGGCCAGTTGTTAAAAATATGAGGGCTTCTCATTCTCAGGGCTACATTTTGTATGCTAAGGAGTTTTTTTATTCTTCTTCTTTCTTCCTCCAACAGAGGCAGGCCCACGCTTAGCATTATAACTAAGAAGAAATCCCACAGATTTGTCCAATGGGGCCTTGGAAAGATCTGATTATCCAGAAAACCACCATATCCTTTTCTTTCCCCCCACTCTTCTCCTTCACTTTATGGAGTAAACCTGAGTCTTGAACTTAGCACCCTAAGCTCTTCACCCTCTGGGCTCAACCTTTCTACCATCGGTTCTGCCTCTCTCTTCCCTCACTTGTCCCAAGGTGCATCAATGCTCTCCTGGGCCATACCACATTTTGTAAAAGTCTTTTCTTCTTTCAGCCATATAAGGAAACACTGCAATGTTTTCCTTTTTTTTTTTTTTTTTTTTTTTTTTTTTTGAGACTGAGTCTTGCTCTGTTGCCTAGGCTGGAGTGCAATGGCACCATCTCAGCTCACTGCAACCTCCGCCTCCCAGGTTCAAGCAATTCTCCTGCCTCAGCCTGCCTCCTGAGTAGCTGGGATTATAGGCCCACACCACCATGCCCAGCTAATTTTTGTAGTTTTTTAGTAGAGACGGGGTTTCACCATGTTGGCCAGGCTGGTCTCAAACTCCTGACCTTGTGATCTGCCCTCCACTGCCTCCCAAAGTGCTGAGATTACAGGCATAAGCCACCGCACCCGGCCGCAATGTTTTCCTTCTAACTAGTATTCCCACCTCTGACAATTGTTCTGCCTGGAGAAATCACAGGTCCCCCTGTAAGATTCAGGTGGAATATCTCTTATTCAGGAAAGTCATCTTGAGTCCTCCACACCTTGGATCAAATGACAGTGTCCCTGTTTCTGTTCACTTTTATCAGAGCTCCCTACACAGGTAGCTATGCACCATATCTGCCTATATCTAATTATAAATTGTATGTGTGCTGCTACCACACATAGTACCAATCATGTATATTAAAATACACAAATACAGAACAAATTAAAGGATGAGATAAAAAATGTTAGGGCAAGTTTTTATATTTTTTTCTTCCCATATCTCCTATGGGAAGATGTCCCAAGACATCCATAGATTGTCTTGTCTCCACCGCCAACCCCAGCCCAGGGTGCACACATTTCATCCATATTTCTATCACGTTCATAGCATCAATCACATTCTATTACAATTCTATTGTGATACCCTGTCCAGTTTGTCATTGCATCTGCACAGTACCTGACACAAAGGTCAGGTACTTATAGTGCTGAAATAATTACCTTATATAACATTAGAAATAGTTTTTTGTTTGTTTGTTTGTTTGTTTGTTTGTTTTTAAGGCAGAGCCTCCCTCTCTTGCCCAGGCTGGAGTGCAATCTCTGCTCACTGTAACCTCCACCTCCTGGGTTCAAGTGATTCTCCAGCCTCAGCCTCCCGAGTAGCTGGGATTACAGATGTGCAACACCATGCCCAGCTAATTTTTGTATTTTTAGTAGAAATGGGGTTTCACTATGTTGGCCAGGCTGGTCTCAAACTCCTGAGCTCAGATGATCCACCCACCTCAGCCTCCCAAAGTGCTGGGATTACAGATGTGAGCCACCTCGCCCGGCCCTTAGAAATAGTTTTTTAAAATAGATAGTTTTGAGTTCCCATCATTTTCTAAGTAATGACGGATTGCAGAAGTTGGTATTTTGACTGACTTATCTGAATAACTGCAGTTTCAAAGTCAAGTGAATTCCTTTCCTTCATTTAAACAGTCCTGACACGTGTGCTCGGTTAGGTTTCCTCTTCAGTCGGTCACGGATTGATGCCTTAGAGCACAAATGAATGACAATCCAATCCATAGTCTAGGGCTATTTTAAAAATCCAGACATGGGTTTGTTTATTAAATGAAGTATTTGGATGTTACCATCTCAGCTAGGACTGGGTCATTAATTTGCAAATGTGAAAGTCTTCCCCCAAACAAGCCAAAAACCCAATTATTCATGCAGGTCTTGAATCAGAGAAGAGAGAGAGAGAGGAAAAAAAAAAAAACCAAAAGGAATATACTTTAAACAGTCACAATTCCCATTTCTGAAAATTCTATTCAGTTTGGGCATTCAAGCTTCAGTGCTTTTTCTTATGAGAATTATCTGACTGTGAAGTACTTGTAGAAAATAGAATCATTTAAAAACACTGTTATATTGTGGTCCTCCACAACTTTCTGCCCAGTTGTTTAAACTGTATTGCTGATAGCAGAGCTACGTAGGCAACGATATATAATGTGTTAATAATTAGGCATGTGAGTCCAATGAGGACAGCCATATTCGCTTGCTCACCATGTGACTGCCTGGGGGAGGCAGCTGGGTGGATGTGTCTTGGCTCTACGCTGTGCTCTATAGCTTCATTACTCAGCATCCCTGCAATTAATCCTCAAAGCAAAACCTCTTTTTTTTTTTTAATTTGAAAAAAGAGTAATTTGAAATAGGTCTCTAAAGCGTCTTAACTGAGCACTTATTCTTTATTTTGTTCCCTGTTTACTTCTCCCTCAAGACAACATTAAATTTCTGCTAAGGGCTACTTGGTAACAATAATATGGGTGAATACACAAGCACGCTGTCTGTTTGGAATGCTGCTTTTGTTTGGGAAACTGATTGATGTAGACTGTGTATAGTCAAAGGAGTCCAGGTTTGCACTGGGGTTTGGGGTAATCAGACGACTCATTCAATCTTCCCTCTGGGGGTTTATTCCTAAGTGTCACACAACCAAGGAACAGTAGCTAAATACTGCTTGATCAATAACTAGGAAGGCCCCATTGTCAGATGAATAGTTAAGCTGAATAAATATGGTGGAGGTCAGGAGGCTTGAGTGAAGTCTCTTGCTCTTTATTCCTTCCCTTCCAAATCTTACATGGCTGGGTCTACACGCAGAGCGAGTCCACCTATCCAGGCAGTCAAATAATCAGGAATGATGCACTGCCTTGGAGCAAGGCCCTGTGGAGGCCGGAAGTCAAACAGGACAATGTCACCTGTTAGTCCTGATCTTTAGGACAAGTAGCGGAGCACAGGCCCAGGAAGGTCTTAAACCTAACCAATCAGGCCAGCAGGCCCCACTTCTGTGAGAATGGTCATCACGTGGATATTCAGTTCTGCGATTTACTTGGGTTTCCTAAATTGTGTGGGTTTGATGTTGTGTTACATAACAGGTTGTCGTAACAAATGACCCCCATACTCTCAGAGGCTTACATAATACGGATGTGTTTCTCTCTTACCCTACATCACCATCAAGGGCCAGGTGCAGTTCTCCTCATGTCACTTTGACTCTAGGACCCAGGATGACATAGCAGCCTCTTTCTGAGACTTTAAAAGTTGCTAAGGGGAAGGGAGAAAACGCAGCAAATTACGTATCATTTTTGCTCCATTTCATTGGCCATAGTAAGTTGCATGACCACATGTGAGTTCAATAGCAAGGGGGTGTTAACATCCTTTTATAGAAAAGGTCACCACAAGCACGCCACTGCATATGGATAAACAGCATTACATCTAATGGGTGCTGTTGCATTCTTACCTTCTATGTTGACCCCAAGAACTTCAGAAAGTGAGACACAAAAGAGACCTGGAAATGAAGAAATGCAACCATGGAAGTGTTTTGGGCTAGGTTATGCTTCATTGTCAAGTAAATCTTTGAAAAAGAGGCTTATTTTTTGCTCACAGGACATGTTCATCTCAGGCAGTCAGGACCTCGGCTTCTCAGAGACACAGGCCTCCGCCTGCACCATCTGCAACATGGTGGAGCCAAGGCAGGTAAAGAGAACATAATTGCACACTGCCTTAAAGACTTTCACCAAGAGGTAACACAGGACGTTTCTATTCATCTTCTAGTGACCGAAGGACATCACATAGCCATGCACAAATTTAAATGGAAAGTGCTACCACACAACGTTCCTGGAAGGAGAACAAAAGTATAAGTGAAATGAAGGAGTTATATATACATATTTTTTGAGACAGGGTCTGGCTCTGTCATCCAGGCTGGAGTGCAGTGGTGTGGAGTGCAGGTGGTGGTCTCAGCCTGGACTCCCAGGCTCAAGCAAACCTCCCGCTTCAGCACCCCAAATGACTGGGACTACAGGCGTGTGCCACTATGCCTGGCCAACTTTTGTTTTTTTTTGGAGAGACGGGGGGTTTTGCCATGTTGCCCAGGCTGGTCTGGAACTCCTGAGCTCAAGTGATCTGCCAGCCTCAGCCTCCCAAAGTGCTGGTGACAGGTGACAGCGTGCTGGCAGTCCTCACAGCTCTCGCTCGCTCTCGGGGCCTCCTCTGCCTGGGCTCCCACTTTGGCGGCACTTGAGGAGCCATTCAGCCCGCCGCTGCACTGTGGGAGCCCCTTTCTGGGCTGGCCAAGGCCGGAGCTGGCTCCCTCAGCTTGCGGGGAGGTGTGGAGGGAGAGGCGTGGGCGGGAACTGGGGCTGCGCACGGTGCTTGCGGGCCAGCGCCAGTTCGGGGTGGGTGTGGGCTTGGCGGGCCCCGCACTCGGAGCGGCAGGCCGGCCCCACTGGCCAGGCAGTGAGGGGCTTAGCACCTGGGCTAGCAGCTGCTGTGCTCAATCTCTCGCCAGGCCTTAGCTGCCTTCCGCCGGGGCAGGGCTTGGGACAGGCAGCCCGCCATGCCTGAGCCTCCCCGCCCGCTCCATGGGCTCCTGTGCCACCCGAGCCTCCCCGACGAGCACCGCCCCCTGCTCCACAGCGCCCAGTCCCATCGACCACCCAAGGGCTTAGGAGTGCGGGCACATGGCACGGGACTGGCAGGCAGCTCCACCTGCAGCCCTGGTGAGGGATCCACTGGGTGAAGCCAGCTGGGCTCCTGAGTCTGAGGGGGACATGGTGAACCTTTATGTCTAGCTAAGGGGTTGTAAATACACCAATCGGCACTCTATATCTAGCTCAAGGTTTGTAAACACACCAGTCAGCACCCTGTGTCTAGCTCAGGGTTTGTGAATGCACCAATCGACACTCTGTATCTAGCTACTCTGGTGGGGACTTGGAGAACCTTTGTGTCCACACTCTGTATCTAGCTAATTTGGTGGGGACGTGGATAACCTTTGTGTCTAGCTCAGGGATTGTAAACGCACCAATCAGTGCCCTGTCAAAACAGACCACTCAGCTCTACCAATCAGCAGGATGTGGGTGGGGCCAGATAAGATAATAAAAGCAGGCTGCCCGAGCCAGCAGTGGCAACCCACTCGGGTCCCCTTCCTCATTGTGGAAGCTTTGTTCTTTCCCTTTTTGCAATAAATCTTGCTACTGCTCACTCTTTGGGTCCACACTGCCTTTATGAGCTGTAACACTCACCGCGAACATCTGCAGCTTCACTCCTGAGGCCAGAAGGACTACGAACCCACCGGGAGGAACAATTCCAGACGTGCCACCTGAAGAGCTGTAACACTCACCCGCGAAGGTGCGCAGCTTCACTCCTGAGCCAGCGAGACCACGAACCCCACCAGAAGGAAGAAACCCCAAACACATCCGAACATCAGAAGGAACAAACTCCAGACACGCCGCCTTTAAGAACTGTAACACTCACCGTGAGGGTCCGCAGCTTCATTCTTGAAGTCAGTGAGACCAAGAACCCACCAATTCCGGACACACTGGGATTACAGGCATGAGCCACCACGCCCAGCCTTGCAGGAGTTACATTAATTGAAGTGGCTAATAGCTCAGTCTGGGCCATTAAATCAAGAATCCAGACTACCAGGCACCTGAGACTCTGGCTAGACTGCACAGAATAGGGGAGAATGGAAAAAGTACATCATTTGTATGTCTCTTCCACTTTAATTTTTTCTGTGAGAAAAAAATCAAAACCCATAAAGTTAAAATATCATATGTGACACAAAGTCACATACAAAGCATTGTATTACTTGGACTAGATTCATACCGGTGCTCTATATAAACCTGCCAGGAAAACATAGTTGGGCATCAAAATGGTTTACTGATGACCTCTCAGCCTGCTGCAGAGTGGGACCCCGAGTATGACAATGAACACCTTGTCTTGATCCACCTTAGAGGCCTCTGGAGCCATATCTAAGAGACATTCATAAAGGCCTCGAGGGTCTCAAATGCCCACTTTACTGATTTGGGAGGGTGGAAGCAGCACAGAAAGGATGGGGAGGGCAATTCTGTAAAGGGCCAGGGCCAGGGCCAGGGCCAACGTCTCTTTTAGGCATGGCGGGCACAGTGCCTAGGGTTCATAATTCTTTTAGTGGCTCCTGACAATATGTTCTTTTTAAATCAGAAAAAAGGCCAGGCGTGGTGGTTCACACCTATAATCCCAGCACTTTGGGAGGCCAAAGCAGGCGGATCACCTGAGGTCGAGAGTTCGAGACCAGCCTGACCAACACAGAGAAACCCCGTCTCAACTAAAAATACAAAATTAGCTGGGCATGGTGGCGCATGCCTGTAATCCCAGCTACTCGGGAGGCTGAGATAGGAGAATTGCTTGAACATGGGAGGCAGAGGTTGCGGTGAGATGACAGCGTGCCACTGCATGCCAGCCTGGGCAACAAGAGCAAAACTCTGTCTCGAAAAGAAAAAAAACAACTTTCATATTGAAGAATTTTTTTTTTCTTAAAGACAGAATCTCACTCTGCCACCCAAATTGGAGTGCAATGGCCCGATCTCGGCTCACTGCAACCTCCGCCTCCTGGGTTCAAGCAATTCTGCCTTAGCCTCCCAAGTAGCTGGGACTACAGGTGCCCACCACCACACCTGGCTAACTTTTGTATTTTTAAAAAAATTTTATTAGTAGTATTTTTTGAGACGGAGTCTTGCTCTGATGCCCAGGCTGGAGTGCAGTGGCGCAATCTTGGCTCACTGCAACCTCCGCCTCCTGGGTTCAAGCGATTCTTCTGCCTCAGTCTCCCGAGTAGCTAGGACTACAGGCATGTGCCACCACGGAGGGCTAATTTTTGTATTTTTAGTAGAGACAGGGTTTCACCATGTTGGCCAGGCTGGCGTGGAACTCCTGACTTCAGGTGATCCACCCGCCTCGGCCTCCTAAAGTGCTGGGATTACAGGCATGAGCCACCGCACCTGGCCTTTTATATTTTTAGTGGATACAGGGTTTCGCCGTGTTGGCCAGCCTGGTCTGGAACTCCTGACCTCAGGTGATCCACCTACCTCAGCCTCCCAAAGTGCTGGGTTTACAGGCATGAGCCACCGCACCCGGCCAAAAATTTTTAAATATGTTAGTATAAACATCTATTTACCAGCCCAATAGTAAACATACATACATGTATTTTTTTCTCAACGGAGGAAAGGTTTCATAAAATTATGCTGCCCTAGAATGGGCACCCGGAATTCTCCTCGAATCTTTCCTCTGGAGAGCAACAGAAAGTTGGTGGGACTGGCCAGGCGCGGTGGCTCATGCCTGTAATCCCAGCACTTTGGGAGGCCGAGGTGGGCGGATCACGAGGTCAGGAGATCGAGACCATCCTGGCTAATACGGTGAAACACCATCTCTACTAAAAATACAAAAAAGCCGGGTATGGTGGTGGGTGCCTGTAGTCCCAGCTATTTGGGAGGCTGAGGCAGGAGAATGGTGTGAACCCGGAAGGCGGAGCTTGCAGTGAGCAGAGATCGTGCCTCTGCACTCCAGCCTGGGCGACAGAGTGATACTCCGTCTCAGAAAAAAAAAAAAAGAAAGAAAGAAAGTTGGTGGGACAAAGGAAAAACCTTAGACAAGTTAAATTTAACTGAGTTTACTTGAGCAAAGAACAGTTCTCCAATAGGATAGAGCTCAGAGCCAGACAGGTGCTAAAAACTCTGGCCTACAAGGTGGTCGGGCAGCAATTATGGACAGAAAACGGAAGTGAGGCACAGAGGCTGCTTAATTGGCTACAGCTGGCCTTTCGCTTTGATTCCTTTGCCACCTGTGATTGGCTGAAGTTCAGCTGCTGTGACTTGCTAAGACGCAACAATTTGTTACAAGAGTATACTCTTAAATTAGGCTTTCCGTTAGATTAAGTACTAAACTAGGTTGCAGTTTGTTACATAAGGCATTCCCATGTAACAAATTTAGTTGTTGACTTCTCAAATTTAGTTTTACAAAGCTAAGAACAGAAATGAGGAAATTGTGGCCTCCAGGGAAAAATAGGGCTTCCTCCCCTCCTCTCTCCTCAGAGGACACTTTGTGGAAGAGTGCTGCTAAGGTAGGTCAAGCTCTACATGATAATGGGGGGTGGGAGGATGAAGAGATGGCGGAGCCTCCAAAGTGCGGAGTGTGATGGGGATGGATGGCAGCTCTGAGCCAGCTGAGGTCTTCTTTCAGATTCTTTTCTTCCAGTATGGCTGTCACAGGTATGCCCGGAGCTGTTCCCGATAGGGTTCTTTCATCTCCCTGCAGAGAGCAGGGGTGAGAGTCAGCAAGTTGTACCCTAGGCCTTAGGAGAAGCTATTTTCTAATGAGTTGCTCATCCTTGGAGTGCTTTTGCCCTTAGCCTCGTCATTATCTGTCATCTGGACGAGTGAAGAGCATCTTTCCTGGGGACCCCGTGTTCACCTGCCCCCTATAGCGTGAACTTGTACTATAATACCATATGGTAATGAGCCGAGTTGAGGAATTAAGCACTTGAAATGTGATGAGTCTGGATTGAGATGTGCTGTAAGTCTAATATGCACACCAGATTCCAAAGATTTTGTATATTAAAAAAAATATAGGCTGGGTGCGGTGGCTCATGCCTGTAATCCCGGCACTTTAGGCAAGGTGGGTGGATCACCAGAGGTCAAGAGTTCGAGGCCAGGCTGGCCAAAATGGTGAAACCCCATCTCTACTAAAAATACAAAAAATTAGCCAGGGATGGATGGTGGTGGGCACCTGTAATCCCAGCTACTCGGGAGGCTGAGACAGGACAATTGTTTGAACCCGGGAGGCAGAGATTGCAGTGAGCTAAGATGGCACCACTGCACTGCAGCCTGAGAGACAGAGTGACACTCCTATTTCTATATATATATATATATATATATATATATATATATATAGAAATAATTTTGTTATGTTGAATTGTTAATTTAGATATATGAGGTTCAGTCAAGTATATTAAAATTATTTTCATCCATTTCTTTTTACTTTTTCGTGTGGCGACTAGGAACCTTTAAAATGACATATACCACTTGCGTTTGTGGCTTACATTATATTTCTTTAGGCGGCATGACCTGGACTTCATGCACTACCCACAGTGAGCCTTGGAGAATCATAAATCTCACTGTGTCCAGAATTGGTTCCTTCCCGTGCGTTTTTGGTCTTGCTGTCTTCAAGAATGAAGCCAGGGACCCTCGTGCTGAGTGTTACAGTTCTTAAAGATGGTGTGTCCCAACTTTGTTCCTTCAGATGTCCAGAGTTTCTTCCTTCTGGTGGGTTCGTGGTCTTGCTGACTTCAAAAGTGAAGCCGCAGACCTTCGCAGCGAGTGTTACAGCTCTTCAAACTGGCGCGTCTGGAGTTTGTTTCTCCGGGTGGGTTCGTGGTTTCGCTGACTTGTGGAGTGAAGCCACACACCTTCACAGTGAGTGTTACAGCTCTTAAAGGTAGCACGTCCAGAGTTCTTCATTCCTCCCCGTGGGTTGGTGGTCTCACTGACTTCAGGAGTGGAATTGCAGACCTTCTCAAGGAGTGTTACAGCTCATAAAGGTAGTGCAGACCCAAAGAGTGAGCAGCAGCAAGATTTATCACAAAGAGCAAAAGAACAAAGCTTCTACAGCACAGAAGGGAACCCAAGTGGGTTGCTGCTGCTGAGTCCCGTGACCAGCTTTTATTCCCTTATTTGGCCCCACCCACATCCTGCTGATTGGTCCATTTTACAGAGTGCTGATTGGTCCATTTTACAGAGTGCTGATTGGTCCATTTCACAGAGTGCTGATTGGTCTGATTTTACAGAGTGTAGATTGGTGCATTTACAAACCTTTAGCTAGACACAGAGTGCTGATTGGTGCATTTACAATCCTTTAGCTACACAGAAAAGTTCTCCAAGTCCCCACCCAACCCAGAAGCCCAGCCGGCTTCGCCTCTCAACATCGTTCCTCTGCTCAAAACTTTCCAATGGCTTTGCATTTTGCTCAGAGGCAAATAAAAGTTTTACTGTGTCTTACAAGGCCTTAGGTGGTCTTAGATGACCCCAACTGCCCTGTCTGACCCCCTCTCCTATCACACTTGCCTTTGCCTCTCCATTCAGGGCTAATCAAAGAACATGCCAAGCAGGGTTCTACTCTAGGCCTTCTCCATGTGTTTCCCTTCTGCTTAGAATCCCTTTCCCCAGGCTATCTGCAGGTCACTCCCTCACTCTTTTCAGGCTTCTGCTCATTGGTTACCACCTCCTTTAAAGTAGGAGCGCACACGCATATGCACGCACACACACATACACACACACTATTCCCTGTACCACCTGCCCCCTTACTCTGCTTTAGTTCTTCATGGTGCTTACCACAAACTGTTTTTTTGTTTTGTTTTGTCCATCTCCTTCTGTCAGAACATTAGTGTCTTAGTCAATTTGTGGTGTTACAGGGGAATACCTGAGGCTGGGTAGTTTATTAAAAAAAGAAGTTTATTTGGCTTATGGACCTGCAGGCTGTATAAGAAGCATGGCACTAGCATCTGTTTCTGGTAAGGCAGGCTTCCAGTCATGGCAGAAGGGGAAGGGGAGTCAGCATCATATGTTGAGAGGAAAGAAGCAAGAGAAGGGAGGGGTGCCACATTCTTTTTAACTATCAGTTCTCTTGGGAGACTTCACTCATTACCTCCGAGATGGCACCAAGCCATTCGTGAAGGATTACCCCATGACCAAAACACCTCCCACCAGGCTCTACCTCCAACACTGGGATCAAATTTCAACATGAGATTTGAGGGGACAAATACCCAAACTCTATCAATCAGGAAACTTCATAAAAGCAGAGGTTTTGTCTGCTACTTACTGTCAAATACTCGGTGCTTAGAAGAGAGCCTGGAGCTTAGTGGACACTCAGGAATGCTTGTTGAAGAAATGAATATCAGAGTGTGGTAAATATGTGTGGATCCAGTGGAGAGAAAGCCCAGGAGGCCCTTCTGGTCTGCTGCTAGCCCTCTGCCACCACACCAGATTTCCACATTGGGGTTTAAGGCAAAAGCCTCCCACAGGTAGAGATTTTTTCCCTGACCTTGTTTTCTATACAAACTTGAGGAGGTGGCTGTGGCAAAACAGGACCTGGGGACGTTCAGCGCCTTCCAAATACCATCAACCCCCAACACAGTTCAGAAAATACCTGCCCCAACTTTTCTCTTTGCAGCACAACTAAAACAAAATATAGTCTTTTAAAAGTCTTAGGTAAAATAAAAACAAAGCTTAGAAATGCAAATAGCATGAAAGCAATTACTGTTGGGCTTGGCCCATGCTCCTAGAGTAACTAGAGTCAACTCACAGATGGATTACATTTCCAAGAGGGAGGCCTGGGTTACTCTGGCTTCAGCTTTCATCTATTTCCAGGTCACATTGGCTCTGGATGTTGTCTCATTTTCCACTGCCTAGTATACTCCTGAACACTGTCCTCAATTCAAGGAGAAACTGAAATGCCAACTTTTCTTATTACAAACACTTTCCAGAGACCTGTAGTTCACAGTTTAAAGTCAAACACACTCTACATGCAGTTAATCCTCATTTCATCCAGTCAGTCACCTTCTCTGCCCCAACTGGCCTCCAGATTCATTTCTGTGGGCTGCTCACCCTCTGCTGGTCTCAGCGCAGCCCTCTGACAATATTTAGCAGCTTGGTCTCAATTACCAGGGAGATTGAGCAACTGAAGGCTGAAGGCCCCACGGGATAGGAGAGCCTCTTAGGGCTGGACTCACCACCTAAGGCTGCTTTCAGACCCCTCCAGGGCCACTTTACCAGAGGCAGGTTAGTGATCTGCTCTGTGTGAGATCAGACGTGAGGACTGTCCCACCCAGAATCCTGAAGCCTCACCCCATCCCATCTCCATACCTTTTTTTTTTTTTTTTTGACAAGGAGTCTCACTCTGTCGCCCAGGCTGGAGTGCAGTGGCACGATCTCGGCTCAGTGCAAGCTCTGCCTCCTGGGTTCGCGCCATTCTCCTGCCTCAGCCTCCCAAGCAGCTGGGACCACAGGCGCCCACCACCACACCTGGCTTTTTTTTTTTTTTTTTGTATTTTTAGTAGAGATGGAGTTTCACCATGTTAGCCAGGATGGTTTCGATCTCCTGATCTCGTGATCCGCCCACCTTGGCCTCCCAAAGTGCTGGGATTACAGGCGTGAGCCATCGCGCCCAGCTAACTTGCTCTCCTAATAGAACAAAAATTGTGCCCCATTCACCAGGGCTTACTTGTCAGAGATTTTGTGGCTTAGGCTCTGCTTTAAATAAGAAATTATTTAAAGCACTTTGTCCTGTTTTCTCACATTGCCTGCGTCCCCACCCACCACCTCTGTGGCTCCCAGTCTGCTGAGGACAGTGCCCCTTCCCCTTCACTTTTCCTCCCCGTTTGATCAAGCAAGGGTTTTGGTCATTAATACCCGGCCCTACCATTTACTGGTTGTCCTCAGGGAAGTTATTTAATCCAACTGAGCCTTACTTTCATTTGCAGAATGGGGATGATAATAGAAGGTACCTATCTAAGAGGAACCTTGGGAGGTGATGTAAGACATTCATGGCACCCAGCACTGTGCTGAGGTGCTCAGTAAGTGAAAATCCCTTCTCGCCAGCTGTCATGGGCGTTATTTTTTCTGCCTGCCTGGCATGTCTGTGAGGCACCATCCCTGCCCATTCTGCAGTAATGCTGGGGGCCTGGTGGTTTGATTCTCCATCATCCTCACCAGTAGCTTGGGCAGATAGCTCTGCACAGTGACTTCAGGTACCAGGTCACACTCACTGGCTCTTCTCTTCCCTTCTTCTACTTTTTTTTTTTTTTTGAGACATAGTCTCCCTCTGTAGCCCAGGCTGAAGTGCAGTGGCACAATCTTGGCTCACTGCAACCTCCACCTCCCAGGTTCAAGTGATTCTTCTGCCTCAGCCTCCCAAGTAGCTCGGATTACAGGCATGCACCACCATGCCCAGCTAATTTTTGTGTTTTTAGCAGATGGGGTTTCACCATGTTGGCCAGGCTGGTCTTGAACTCCTGACCTCAAGTGATCTGCCACCTCGGCCTCCCAAAGTGCTGGGATTACAGGCATGAGCCACCATGCCCAGTCTCTTTGTGACTTTCTTACGGTAAGAACTATGTTACTCTGGAGCTGCAAGGTCTGCCTTTGCCCCTACATAAGGAAGGCCCATCTGAGAAGGGAAGCAACGCAGAGCAGAGTTTAGCTGAGAGATGGGCAGAGAGAAAGTCCTGAGGATGTCACTTGAGCTCCTGGATATGGCTGAGCCTAAACTAGATGCCCCCTAAAACTTCCAAATTATGTGGATCAGTAAATTCCCATTTTTGTTTTGTTGGTTGGCTGATTTTTTTGTTGTTGTTGCCTGCAACTGCAAAAATCCAAACTAATATACTGTTTTTCCCTGCCCTGGTTCGTAACTTTGACAGCTTGTGTAAGATTTTCATGAGTCTCTGGCTCCCCTGGGTGGCAAAGAGAATAAATTCACATTTCTAGGAGTCCCACTCTCTGCACTAGCATGCTCCTTTCTACAGTTTATTTATGTTTCGACTCCCCTAGTCTCAAACATACTTGTGTGTAATCTTAGCCCACAGATGTTTTGGCAGAAATTTCTTTTTCATGGTTATACTGCTTTTCTAGCTGTGGTGGTTCTGGGTCTGCAGTCGGTCAAATCTCATCCCTGGTCCTGCTTGGGGTGGCCATTGAATTGGGTTTGAGTCAGTGGTACAGTGAGTGGCCCAAGTTGGGGGGCAGTGGGTCACCCTCTTCTAGGAGCAGTCAGCGACACAAAACACCATCTTGGTATTATTAGAAGGTTGTACCAACCAGCTATAGGAACAAGCCCCAGTGCCAACATGATTTTAAAAGTCCTAGCCAGAGGAATTAGGCTCATCCAGATTATTCTGTCTGAGGAAGAACTGACTAGTTAGAAAAAAATTACAAGTCGATAGGTGTTTTCATGATGTAAGAATCTATTTAAGAACATGAAGGTGTGGCCATATTCGTTTTATTTTGTCATGATGAATATCCTGGGGAGCCATTGCTACTGCAAAAAGGTCCCTGGAACACTTACCAATCTTTTAGTACTCAGAGACTACCTGGAAACACGTCTTTAGTATGTGCCTTTCTGAGCTGGGCTCACCTATTACATCATTGTTGCTCATTCCTTATTTTGAGCCTTGTACTTCAGAATCGCTAACCTAATCCGCATATGTATTTGTTCGTCTCCTCTGTATTTGCATACTCTGGCAGAGAAATGGAGTCCTCTTCCTCCATCCTACTCACTTTAGCTCAGGCGTCACCCACCTTATTCCCCCTTCCAACATCCTTGGCCCAGGTGAGCTACGTGTCCCACTGCTGTGTCCAAAAATTTTCTGTTCACAGAGCTGTCATTATAACGATTCCATTGGATAATTATGTTTATGGGTGTGTCCTCAACCAGACTGAGAAGCTTGAGGCACAGTTTTTAACTCTTTTTTTTCTTAAGGCCATATGTCTCCTGGCTCACGGTATGGCCCATAGCAGGCGTGCAAAGTTCATTGAATTGATATGTTCATTAAAAGTACGGGGTCGATAAAATAGCACCTGTTGAGGAACTACTGTCTAGATGCCTTAGAGAACTGTAGTGAGAATTTAACAAGAGAGCATAAATCAATGACAGGGAGATATACCTAGCACAAAGTCAACATGGTTGTTGAATGAATGATGGAAGATCTACATTTTGAAGATGAAAATGATGAAGTTCAGACAGCTTAAACTTTTTCCCAGAGTCACACAGTTAAAGTGAGAGAGGTGAGATCTGAACACAGCCCACTCTGGCCCCTAAGCCCTTGGCTTCCCCTACAGCTCCTTGTCATCTTCTGCATTATACATCTTTAGGTCTCTTGCCCCAGCAGGCAGGCAAACATTTTTCATTGTTGACAATGACCCTTGAATCAACTGTAACACTTTCACATGATGGCTTTCCATGGGAGGAATTCCAGAAATATTTGTTGCATGAATGGATGAATGAATAGACTTGGGAAATTTCCAGTGCTGAACAAAGGTGCGTGGACTAGTCCATTTAGGGCATGATACTATATATCCCTTTAGAACATGTACCAACATCACTATAGCAATCCACTAAGCAGAAATATAACGTGTTATAAAATAACACTGGAGACAGGGCCAAAAGAACAATGTCATAGAAATAAAGGTAAAGAAAAGAAAGTTAACCTTTCTAGGACAGTGATAGATTTTAAATCTGTGGTATTCAGAATATTCTTATGAATTTTTCACAATGGAATGGAGGTATTTTGACCTCCCCTCTAAAATCTGATTCTCTGATTTAGAATTATCTGCAAAGATATTCACACAGATATATGTAGTTTTTTTGAAATTTGTGGACTATCAATTATCTAGGCAGTCACGCAATATGAACAGCACAATATGAAAGATGAAGATAAGGAAACAGTTTTGCTGTTCTCTTTCATAATCCTGGGAGAGGGTTATGAAGGGAGTGAAGTGACTCGGAAGTGTCTTAGGTAACCAAGCATTAGTAATCAAAGCAATAACAACCATAGCTGTCAGCTATTGTGTGCCCTTTTAATGGAAGACATCTGGCTTAGGTGATATTACTTTATTAATTGGTCCCCACAATACCACAATGAGGTAGGATTTTTTTTTTTTCTTTTTTCGAGATGGAGTCTCACTCTTGTTGCCCAGGCTGGAGTACAGTGGCGCGATCTCGGCTCACTGCAACCTCCACCTCCTGGGTTCAAGCGATTCTCCTGCCTCAGCCTCCCCAGTAGCTGGGATTACAGGCGCCCGCCACCACCCCCAGCTAATTTTTGTATTTTTAGTAGAGACAGGGTTTCGCCATGTTGGCCAGGCTGGTGTTGAACTCCTGACCTCAGGTGATCCACCTGCCTCGGCCTCCCAAAGTGCTGGGATTACAGGCGTGAGCCACCGCACCTGGCCAAGGTAGAATTTCTTACCCACATCTTACTGGTAAGATTTTAGAAGAGTTAGGCAGTTTGCCCGAGAAAGGTTGCAGATGCCAGGATTTATACCCAGCTCTGCCTGACTCCACACACAGTCTAGAGGGTTGTCTTGTGACTATTACTATAATACCAAATGCACAGTACAGCTGCCAAGGCCCTTAACCTTGCTGCAGTTCTGAGAGTTGGTTCTCTTTCAGTTTCCTGAAGGCAGGAACGTGGGCTGTTCGTCATGGTATCTCCAGCACAAAGCAAACGGCTGCCACATTGTAGGAGTTCATCCAGATCACTCTATATGAGGAAAGTGCGAAGGTGACTTGCTAGAATAAAACATTTCAAGTCAAAGGCTAATAGGTATTTTCATTATGTAATCTATAAGGACATTTAAAACCATAAAGGTTTGGCCATGTTGGTTTTATTTTATCCTAATTAATATCATGGAGACCTACTGCTATTCCAAAAAGCCAATAAGGTCCTTGGATTCCTCCTTTTGTTACTGGTGGAGAGTGTCTAGGTTTTTGACATCTTGAACAAAGAATTGGACAAAATGCACAAACAAAACAAGGAAAGAATGAAGCACCAAAACAAGAGATCTATTGAAAATAAAAGTACACTCCACATGGTGGGAATGGGTCTTAGCATAGGGGATCAAGGCCCCAGTTCCAGAATTTTCTGGAGTTTAAATACACTCTAGAGGTTTCCCATTGGCCACTTGGTTTACACCCCATGCAAATGAAGTAGTGGTCCGCAATCAAGAGGCTGAAGCAAAGTTACAAAGTTACATTCGTATGCAAACATCTGATTGGTTGTGGAAAGCAACCAGTCAGAGGTACTTTCAATTTTCTGTCTGCTATGCAGGAAAAGGAGGGAGGGTTTGCAAAGTTGGGGTTTTCCTTTTGATTTAGTTCTAGGAAGTCAGCCTAAATCGGCCTTAGGTTCCCTGCCTGCAGACTCTATTCTCCTGCCTCACTTTGGGAACAGCCCAGGATTCCTCAATGTTATAGTCCCCACTCACCATCCCTGCCAAGCACCCTCACATCTCCTTACACACAACAACAGACAATGGTACTCTGCCCCCAGGGAAGAGTTCTGGGTCTATTCAAAGACAGATGTGATCCTCAAGGACATGCCATAGGTCACAGTAGTAAGGGTCGAGCTTCCATTACTCCAGAGGAGAAGAAAAACCTTTGTTATTCATCTCTGCCACCAAAGGCGATAGTCTAGAGTGGATTTCCTCCTCCTAATGAGTTGCCCTCCCCATTGGAAAGGCCAGTGCAGGTCCCAGGTGGGGGAAAAGGAGGAATGGTTTGTTGTTTGTTCTAGCAAACAGGGAAGGACACTTTTTTCACTTTCTTGCAGCTGATGATGTAAGAAGGCCTGGCTCCCTCTTGCTGGTTAGGCCTCTTAGCCATGGCAGACCAAAAAGAAATCAGATAGGAAGAGAACATGCATGTATGGCTTAAGAACCTTGGCAGAGGGCTGGGCATGGTGGCTCACGCCTAGAAATCCAGCACTTTGGGAGGCTGAGGCAGGCAGATGACAAGGTCAGGAGATCAAGACCATCCTGGCTAACATGGTGAAACCCCATCTCTACTAAAAATACAAAAAATTAGCCAGGCGTGGTGGCGCGTGCCTATAGTCCCAGTTACTTGGGAGGCTGAGGCAGGAGAATCGCTTGAACCTGGGAGGTGGAGGTTGCAGTGAGCCGAGATTGTGCCACTGGGCGACAGAATGAGACTCCATCTTAAAAAACAAAACAAAACAAAACAAAAAAACAAACAAAAAAACAAAAAACAAAAAACAAAAAAAAACCTTGGCAGAGGTAGGTCAGGGATTTTCATTCTGGGGCATTTAGGAGACATGACCAACAGTGAATGATTAATAAATGATGAAGAGAGAAAGGGAGGAAGGCAGGAAGAAACGAAGGAAAAGGAAAGGAGCAATTTTTGATTCATTCAACAAAGGCCTATAAATAAAAAGAGAAAGGACAGTCTTCGGGAGCTCACAGCCCTTGGGGGAATCAATAAACAAGCCCTAAAGTTTGAACAACTCAGACAGAAATCAGAGGCAGCTGAGCAGAGCAGGGAGCGCGGAGCAGTACTCCCCTTTCTTCTCAAGAGGAATGGAGTTGCGGGGTCGAGGGGGCAGTGGGGAGCTGTTGGGAGGGAGCCACAAAGATTCTTATGCACCCAGCCAGTCTGACCACGGTAATATAAGGCAGAGTCCTACAGAGCCATATGCCCCTTGGCTATCTTCTTTTTTCTTTTTTTTTTTTTTTGAGACAGAGTCTTGCTCTGTTGCCAGGCTGGAGTGCAGTGGCACAATCTCGGCTCACTGCAACCTCCGCCTTTCGGATTCAAGCGATTCTCCTGCCTCAGCCTCCTGAGTAGCTGGGATTACAGGTGTGTGCCACCACGCCCAGCTAATTTTTGTATTTTTAGTAGAGACGGGGTTTCACCGTGTTGGACAGAATGGTCTTGATCTCTTGACCTCATGATCTGTCTGCCTCGGCCTCCCAAAGTGCTGGGATTACAGGTATGAGCCACCATGCCTAGACTGCCCCTTGGATATCTTCCTATGCAGCCTTTAATATAACCAACTAGGGAAACTGGTTTTATTTAAGTGGAACTTATTTAATAAAAATATCTCCATTCTGGGAGTGGAAACTTAAATCTATGTGACTTGGTTTTTTCATATGACCGGGAATGATTGGGAGCACCTGTTTGATGACGTAGCCGTGCTGGCAGTCGGAGGAGCCACAACAGAGTTGGGTGGGGCGGAGTGCTGGCATTTAACAGCAGCTAACAGCGTGAGGGCCGGCTACACACCTGGCTTAGTGCAGGGCACTGGGCACAGAGAGATGCGTAAGCATGGATGGCACACCAGAACCCAGGCGAAAGGAGCTTTGGGAGTTGGGAGGCACCAGCCGGCGGGTTATCTGCCTGGGCCTGGGAGAGACAGAGGCTGGAGACATGGCAGGGACAAGGAGCTCAAGACACTCTCCTGCCTTTTTGTCTTGGGCTGACCCTGTTCCCTCTTTTCAGAGACAAAGGGGAAAACATTTATATTGTCAAAATATAAAAAGAGTTGTTAAATGGTGAAAGGCTAAGAGAGCCTTTGTAAGCAGGAAATAAGGTGGACTAACGTATTTATGGAGAATGGGCTTCTTTAATGAAAGTAACAAATTACACACTTCCTCAGGAAAAACAGAATTGTAACCGTTTCTTCAGGCACATGTGAAAAGAAAGAAAGAAAGGAAGGAATAGTTAGTATCCTGTATCTTTTCTATTCCAAATTATGATGAGGTCGATTCAAAGTCCTTGTACATAAAGATGAGTCATTTCAGTACAGACTCTTTGGGTCTAATTTACATTTCAGAATTTAAAAAGCTGGTTTCAGTGTTGTTGGCCAGCAATATTAGCTTTCTAAGAGTAACTGAATTTTTTTCTAGGAAGTCTCATCTTCTCCAATGCTTTATTCCTTCCTCTCAATATATTTTAACCTCATGTTTGCTGGTGTGGAAAGCAGCTGAAAGGCATGTAGAATAATTTGAGTGCCTCATCCTTCAGAATAGGCAAGAAATTCCCTTTTTGCTGTTTTCCCATTGATGCCAAGGAATTAAATAAAGCAACCGTAATTTGTATGGCTTTGAGTTGTGTCTCTCCTTTCCACATTATTCTAGTCATCCACCATTAGACAAGTGGTTATATACATCCTTGCCAAGATGTAACTTTGCAATCAGATAGTGAGTTCTTCCGAAGTGTCCGGAAGGAGGAATTTCATTTCACTTGGCACAAATGAGGTAAGAACAGTATGACTTGCTCAATAAAAACAGGTACCCAAAATGTTTTTTATTCTACCACTCCCACCCTCCCTAGTGGATTATTAATTAGTTTAGGGGAACTGAATGCACCCTTGGTTCCAACAGCTTAATGAGCTACCCCATGAGGGCATCTGTAATATGTCTCAAGAGCTCAGACACATCCTGGTTTCAGAATCCTCTGACACACAGAAAAATACACCAACAATTTGTAGTTATTTTCCCACCAAAATGAAGGTGCTTTTTTTCAACACAGCAAACCTAAAGAGTCTGTACTGAAATGACTCATCTTTATGTACAAGGACTTTGAACTGACCTCATCATAATTTGGAATAGAAGAGACACAGGATACTAACTCTTCCTTCCTTTCCTTCTTTTCACACATGCCTGAAGAAACAAAAGAAAGAAGAAAAGAGGAATCTATTTCTGGTATATAAATTTAGTTTTCAGGGTGGAAAATCAGAATATTATGTAGGGCAACAATGATTCTGGTTATCCAAATATTAACTTTCTTTCTCCTTTCTATGATAGAATGACTAAGGTAACCATGAATGTAAGAATTAATTAATAATTTTCAGTCACTATGTGGGCATTCTAATTATTATTTCATAAGTAAAGAAGCCAAGGTGGCTGGGCACTGTGGCTCACACCTGTAATCCCACCACTTTGGGAGGCCGAGGCAGGTGGATCACGAGGTCAGGCGTTCAAGACCAACCTGGTCAAGATGGTGAAACCCCTGTTTCTACTAAAAATACAAAAATTAGCCAGGTGCGGTGGCAGGCGCCTGTAATCCCAGTTATTCAGGAGGCTGAGGCAGGAGAATCGCTTGAACCCAGGAGGCGGACATTCCAGTGAGCTGAGATTGCACCACTGCACTCCAGCCTGGGTGACAGAACAAGCCTCTGTCTCAGAAAAAAAAAACAAAAAAACCCAAGGCAAAGGAAAACAGTGAATTGTATGTACCTTTCTGAAGGAAGTAATTGATAATCACAAAAATACTTTCAACCACAGTTCAATATTACCTTCTTGGAATAGGCAGTGCACATTTGTACAACAGCAGGCATGTCTCGTAGCCAAATGAGAGATGTGTCCCTCCTCTTGTAACCTAATACAGGTTGGAGTTGTCTGACTCATTCAGATCTGGGTTACCGTTCTCCCATCTCTTAGCCTCTGTGGCTCAGAAATCAAACAGTGCTCTATTTTCTTTCAAACACATTCTGAGACTCTGCCCTTTTTGTATTAGGCTTAAATCAAAGCTACTGCTCTTAACCAGGGACAACTTTGTCCATTGGTGACATTCGGCAATGTCTGGAGACATTTTCGGTTGTTGCAATTGGGCCAGGGGTGAGGTGGTGGGGGTGTGGGGGGTGCGGGAGGAAGAGCAGGACACTGCTGCTGGCAACTAGTAGGATGTGGCCATGGATGCAGTTAATTATTCAGGGTGCAGGACAGCCCACACGATGACTATCCAGCCCAAAATGTCAACAGTGCCAAGGCTGAGAAACTCTGCATTAGAGAAAAGCATTTCCCAATAAGTTTGTTTTTTCATTCAACTATTCAACAAATATTGATTGAGCATCTATAATGCACTATAAAGAAGAAAAACAATCACTGCCCTCTGGGTCAGACAATCAAAGAAGGGAAGTACCTAACACACACACACACACACACACACACACACACCCCAAGATCACTGCAGCTATATGTTGTAGTATAGAGTGTGGTACATGTTGTGAAGGAAATCAGTGGATAACAACAGAGAGTGAACCAGGAGGTGCTTTAGGTAATATGGTCATGAAAGACCTTCCTGAGGAGGTTACTTGCTTTGGGTAGCAAGTAACAGAAACCCCAATTCAAGTTGGCTTAAGTGGTGAGGAAATGTATGGCTGGCATAACTTAAATCTAGAGGTAGGGTGGGTCTCAAGACTGACTTCAGCCCTAGGCTCCAACTTAATTTTCTTAGTTCTATCCACTTCCATGTGTCATTTCCTTTTCAGGATGATAGTAAGGTTGTTGTAATGGTTCTGGGCCTCATAACCTCACACAACAGCGCCTGGAGGAAGAAGAAGATGGAGGGAGTGGAAGGAAAGGGATGGAAAGGGGCAGAGAAATACCCTCATACCCAGGCATTCTAAACCATAGCCCTGAAAGTCACCCTGATTGGGCTGCCTAGGTCACCTGACCATCCTGGAACCAACGACTGTGGCCAAGGGGAATAGGATGTGCTGATTGGCCTAAGCCAAACAGTGACCACCCTCCGCATTCGGGCTGGCACCAGCTTCTCCTTAACTGGACAAGAACTGGGTGTACTTTGGGGAAGGGTAATGTGCTTACTGGGTGGGCATTCAGAAACCTTCTCTACAGATGGTGAAGAATTCAATAGAGCCTTGAAGGATGAGGAACTGGCCTAGCCAGGAGCCTGAGGAAGAATTTTCTAGGCAGGGGAATAAAGGAACACCTTGATGTGGGGTAGGGGGCCAGTGTGCCTGAGCACGGTGTTCCAGTGGCAAAGTGGCTCACAGTGAGTTTGGGGGCAGACATGAACATTTTCCTACACATTGAGTTTTTGTCTGCCACATTTATTACAAAATATGATCCTTTTTAGGCTAAAAGAAACATCATTTTACATATCTTTTCCATGTCCTACCAGACAAAACATACTTACCTTATTTCTAGGTGTACCTTTTTATAAGTCTCTGCTCCCTGCGTGATTTCCCCATGCATTCCTATTTTTAGATGATCATTCTATTATAACTTAAAATAAGGACAAAATAGGTTTTAGCAGAACCAATTAAGGTTTAAAAGATACATTTTCAGGTTAATATATAAGAAGAAAACAAAAATCTTTTGGTAAGCAAATATTGAAAAAGGTTCAAACGGACAAGATTTCAGATAATTGAGTATTCATGATGCCCCAGCATTGCAGAGAAGTGACAAAACACATCTTGATTTAGAACAAGTTTTATACTACTTCTGTAACCCTCCAGACCCTGGCATTATGCTGGTTATAGAGAAGACTGCCATACTGGTTGATACCAGAAATTCAAAGTCATATGCACTTTCATGTATATTACTCTATCTGCATATCCCCTCCTTTGCCCATCTCTTCCTCCTTTCAAGGAAGCCTGGCATAGTTTTTTATATCTACTGCATATTATCTCTTTGAATGGCATTTTTGTTTGGGCTTTTCTTAATTTTGCATTTTTGTTTTATTGTTCTTTGGAAGTGGTCTGTTTCTGCTTCCAATTTTGAGGTCCTTCTTATTCTCTAAAACAAATATGGAATGAAACCTAATAATTGGATTCATAATTACATAACAAGGATTTGTAGGGATTGTCATTATTTGGTCCAAGTCTCATTTTAAAATTTCTGACATTACAACAGTAAGTGTGATAAATTCTACATGTAATAAAATATATAAACATATAAAGTAATAAAATATAATAAAGTGTTAAAAGTGAATTTTTTTAATAGTCTTGCTATATTGCCTGGGCAGGACTTCAACTCCTGGGCTGAAGCAACCCACATGCCTCAGCCTCCCATGTAGCTGGTACTAGAGGCATGAGCCACTGCACCTAGCTAGGAATTATTTTTTTATTTTTAGAGACAGACTCTTGTTCTGTTGCCCAGGCTGCAGTGCAGTGGAGTGATCATAGTTCACTGCAGCCTCAAACTCCTGGGCTCAGGTGATCCTCCTGCCTTGGCCTCCCAAAGTGCTGGGATTACAGATGTGAGCCGCCATGCCTGGCCCAGCTAAGAATTTCAATTAGATAATAAATATGGTAGATTTTACAACCTCTTATCACTTACCTGTTGTGCTGAATAATTAAGGCAAATCGATTAAATAAAAGGGGGCTACACCATGACTACACAACACATCCACAGCAGTACAAGATTAAAGTTTGTACTGACTTTCACTGAATGATATTACTTCTATTACTACAATTTATCAAATACCACCATACCATGTTTTATTTATATCTAATCCTTCCAAAATCCTAGCAAAAATAGGTATTACTTCCATTTTACAGTCGAGGAAACAGAGGGCAAAGAGGAATTTGACAAAGATGACAGACTTTATATGTTTATGTTTATATATGTTTAGTGCTTTACATATAGTTTCCATCATTACATAAACACCATGAGATGGAATACAGAAAGGCTTAGTAATTATCGCAACATCACACAGCTCACAAATAAGAATAGCTAGGATTCAAGCCCATGATGTCTGACTCCAGGAGGCCTGGTGCCCTTACAAGCTGTACTTTATATAAAACATCTTAGTAGAGTGCCAAGGATTTGAACCTGACCCAAATCTGTCTGGCTCCAAAGACTGAGAACTGTTCATGTCTCCTCTTCGTACGGCAGTTAAAATGTGGGAAGCAGACCAAATAATCTCAAAGGTTCTTTCTGTTCAAAATTGCTATGTCTCCATGGATTTTATTATAAGGTTTTGATATGTAAGAAAAAGTTGGTGGGCGGGGGGTGGGGACAGAAACCAAGTTTTTGGGATGCATAACAAAAATAACTTATAGTTACAGCTAACTATATGTCCAAATGTAAGAACACAACAACCCCGTGATAACTATTATTGCTCCCATTTTAAAGGTGAGTTAACTGAAGCATGTTAAGTAAGCCACCTAAGTGGCAGGAAAACTAGCAAAAGCACATACAATTTACATGTAATGTAAACCTGGGCCTTTCGTCTTGCCTCTGACTTAACCAACTTGTTTTGATAGACAAGGAGGAATTCCCATACTCTTTATGAGTTAGATTTTTCTAACTTTAGGTTACAACTCCTTATTCAATTACACGCTTATCCAATAACATATTTGAACTGTGCTTATACTTCCACATGCCTGACATAAGGTAAACTCAGGGATCAGAAGCAAACTTAAAAAGACACAAAAGGGTATAAAAGACCTGATAAGTTATCAGCAACACAGTTCCACCTTTTCTTACACTGTCTCTTTACTGAACAAAAGTTAACGGGGACATCGCTTCTGAGGGAAAGAAACAAAAGCTGCTTCAGATCAAACAAAAAGCAAAACTTACACACAGTACCAATTTATGGCTAGGAGTGGCAGGGTAGAACAGCGTCGGCTTAAATCAGACCTTTTAAAAATAAGCAGAAAGTGATACCGTGGACAGCCTGCCAAATGACGTCACAACTAAAAATCGATTTCTTAAAAAAAAAAACACCTGACATTTTACTCCACAAGAGATCATCCTGCTGCCTGATGAATACAAGAACACTTAACACAACCCCTTTGCTTTTATTATAAGCGGTTTGAACTGGTGTTCCTTCTCCTAAGTCGTAACGCACCAGTTGTCGGGGTAATCCAGACAATAATAGAAGTGAATACAAAACAAACGAACAAAATGACGCTTATTGCCAGGGAACCCGCGCAAAAGCGCCAGACAAAACCCTACCCAGCCTCTCTCGCGAGTCCCAGAAGACAAAGCCGGGTCCCAGCAAGCACTGCGGCCAGGACTACACATCCCAGCATGCAAGGCGCACACTTCTCCCAGCGGGACTACGATTCCCAACATGCTCTCCGGACAGCTGGCCGGCCTCCCCACCATCCCGGTGTCTGGGGTCTCTGCAAAAATGGGGTCTGTCTCCGCCCGCCCAGCCTCCCTTTAGCGTTAAGGATCGGACACCACCTCCCGGTAGTAAATTGTGACTATTCCGAGTTTTGGAGTCATTCTTCGTTGCCTGTTTTATTAGGGCAGCAAAACGCCTGTGGCTAGGGCGGGAGTGGGCGGAGGCAGGTTTGAGCCAATGGCACGGGAGCGGCCCTGTCGCTGCCATGGCAACGGCGGCCGTTCTCCGGGGACCGGCTGCCCATTGGGTAGAATCTTTCCAGAAGGCTCGAGAAGAAGGAAGCGGAAGTGGCACGTGGAGGGGCCGGTGGAGGCGCCGGTGAGTAAATGCCGCAGATTCTGGAAAGTTCTGATCAGTGCGATACATAAGGCTGAGGAAGTGGGACCTCCCCTTTTGGGTCGGTAGTTCAGCGCCGGCGCCGGTGTGCGAGCCGCGGCAGAGTGAGGCAGGCAACCCGAGGTGCGGAGCGACCTGCGGAGGCTGAGCCCCGCTTTCTCCCAGGGTTTCTTATCAGCCAGCCGCCGCTGTCCCCGGGGGAGTAGGAGGCTCCTGACAGGCCGCGGCTGTCTGTGTGTCCTTCTGAGTGTCAGAGGAACGGCCAGACCCCGCGGGCCGGAGCAGAACGCGGCCAGGGCAGAAAGCGGCGGCAGGAGAAGCAGGCAGGGGGCCGGAGGACGCAGACCGAGACCCGAGGCGGAGGCGGACCGCGAGCCGGCCATGTCGGTGGTGGGGTTGGACGTGGGCTCGCAGAGCTGCTACATCGCGGTAGCCCGGGCCGGGGGCATCGAGACCATCGCCAATGAGTTCAGCGACCGGTGCACCCCGTAAGTGGGAGTCTGCGAGGGTGGATGGGAGGAGGTTCTGGGCCCTTAGTGTGGGGACCCAAGATCGCGGGCTGGCTGTACGGATCACCGCGGCAAACGGAGGCGTTTGGGCAGCGGCGCACCCCTCCGTGGAACTAGGGACCAGCGACCCGGCCAGAGGAGGGATGGGGGGCTTGCCATCACAAATTGGAGAAGGGATTGTCTCAGGGATTCACGGGGGTGAGAGGAGTCCCAGAGTCGAGACTCTAAGGGTCGTCACCTTGTGCGGGCTTCCTATTGGGGGTTTTCAAAACCTACTGGGGGTCGGGCTGCGGCAAAGCCCGCAACTTCGCTCCCTTTTCTTGGCAGGCTGCAGCCTGCGCCTTCCGCGGCCGCCCCCGTATCCCCACCCGGCCTCTCTGAGCTGGCTGAGCCGCCTCCAGCTTGTCCTCCTCCCTTCGCGCATATCTTTGCGCACCGCGGAGCGGGGCTGCCGGCCTTTTTCTTCCGCATTGTGAATCTCGAAATGAACTGGAAGCTTCCAGAGCTTGTGTCGCTGCTTGTCCAGTGAGCAGGCGGATTGTTGTTAGCGACCACGGAAGCAGTCCTATGAAAGATTAGCCCACCTCTTTTTACCCAGTCTCTTCGTTGCTAACATTGTTGGCCTTAATGCCCGGGATCATTGTCGAAAGATGTAAACGTCTTTTTTTTTGCTCTTTGCCATTCATGAGGAATTGTAAACCGTATTTTTAAAATTAATTTTGCACAGTTTATTTAAAAGAGAATAAAAATTGCATACTTTTGTGCTAGGACGCCAAAAGAGGATGGATGTCGTCACTGAACTAAATATTCTATAGGAGCATAGGGTGGGCAAAGGGCAACATTTTAAAAAGCAAGTTTCGTGAAGGGATATTTTCGGACGAGAATATATACAAACATATCTGCATGTGCATTGATGAAAACAAATGATTTCATCTCAAGGAAAATACTGTACCTATTAATTTTTTTCAAATGTCCCAAGCTCAGGATGAAAAGTGCAAAATGAAAACATTGAACCTAAAGGTAGAATGAATGACTGGGGTAATACAATTATTTGGGTGCTGAGAACGTTTATGAAAGTTGAGTGGAAAATCTGAGGCAAAATATTTGGCAATGTTAGTAACGTTAGGAAGACTGTTCTGAGCAACCTGTACGTCTACCCCTGCAGATCTAAGTTTGTGTTTTGGTTAAGGTTTTTTTAATTGGAGTTTAGTAAGAAAGAAAACAGTATTTCAGGCTTTCATGCCTAGATACAGTTTATACTTTGTTCTGGTTGATCCAATAAAACAAAGAAAAGCTTTTCAGAGAAGAGAGTGGGAAAAAAAATTGTGTTATACAGGGACTACTGTGTGAAATCAAAGACAACAGGTATGGCCCTGAAAAATGTGAACTGAGGGCAGTATTGGAGTTCCCCTTAATATGTTTGTTAAACTATAATTGTGGTGGATTCTATTGTATCAGCTACTAATTGTTATTTAGTACAATTAATTTGATTCTCCCCTAGGAAAATGAGTAGATCCATTCTGCAAGTGTATGGTTATTCAGAGCTTACAGTGATGCTCTGATTTTGACGGTTTCTTGTCTAGCTTCTGCTTGGACACTTCTCTGGCTTTTAGGATGCTATTTTATTTAACACTTGCTCAGATAATATAGTTTGAGGATGTTTCTATTATAGCAAATTTAAACTTAAGGGTGGTACTTAATGCCCTCAGTATTTTCCCGTTTTGCTCATCTCGTTTACCATTACTCATACCTAAGCAGGTAGGAGTAACTCACCCAAAATTAGATTATATTTGAATTAGTAATCCAGAATTAGATAACTCCTCTAATCCAAAACCTAATTCACTTACCTTCTTCTCACAAGACTTTTTAAGCTAGTCTCTGCTCTGTTATTGTGCGGTTCCATTTCCATGGTGGCTGAGAAGGTTGTTTCACAGTTGTAAGTCACTTTCCATCTCTTCAAAACAGATTTGATGTAACTGATTAGTCACTCCTTTCCCTCGACATTTATATTCTGTTTTGCCATGGTACTTGTTGTGCATCATTTTTTTCTTTCTCCGGCAGAATCTCCCAGATGGGAACCTCTTTGTGCTCTTTAAACTTCAGAGGTGTAACTTGGGTTCATTTGCTTGCGTTTGCATAAAAACTTTTGATTCCTAAAGAAGCCGGTGGTATATCAGAACAAAAGTCGGTATGACAATGACATTTAGATTTGTACAGAGTTGGTGACTGAAAGGTAGAGTCACATCCTATTTTTTGTTAGTCGTGTGTAGGGTCAAATTAATAATACCGTTAACATATTTAAAACATTTTCAAAGTTAATGTTCGGTTCATAATAACTGGAACCTGGAGAATTCCTGAGCCACGAGCAGAGGTTTTTGGGGTAGTAGAACTGCCACCTAGGTTGGATCTCAGAGCAGCAATTAAGTGGAAGCCCCCTTTGAGTATCTGATGAAAGCTATAGACCTTAAAATTGTGCTATGCTTGTTCCCTATCCCCTAATGGGTAGGACATTTATGTTAGTATTTTTCTCTTATCAGTTTAAAATATCAACCTTTATGCTTTTTAATTTTTTGGAATATATTTTTTTCTAGGTCAGTCATATCATTTGGATCAAAAAATAGAACAATCGGAGTTGCAGCCAAAAATCAGGTATGTTCTTTAAGAGAATTCGGATCACTTTTTAAGGGGGGAGTTTTTAAAAGGAAAATCTCAAGAGACATATAAGAGGGTAAAGTGTGCCTAAGTTTATGTATTTTTGAGTTTTAAAAATGTAATTCAAGTATTCTTTATGAACCTTCAGATGATGACACTCTTTCCTTTCTGTTCCCTTTCCCTTGTTTTATTAAGATCGACTTTAACTTTCTAATCTGCCATCCTTAACTTTTTTTTTTTTTTTTTTTTTTTTTGAGATAGAGTCTCGCTCTGTTACCCAGGCTAGAGTGCAGTGGCGCGATCTCGGCTCACTGCAACCTCCGCCTCCCGGGTTAAAGCGATTCTCCTGCCTCAGCCTCCTGAGTAGGTGGGATTACAGGCGCGTGTCACCACGCCCAGCTAGTTTTTGTATTTTTAGTGGAGATGGGGTTTCACCATGTTGGTCAGACTGATCTCGAACTCCTGAGCTCGTGATCCATCTGTCTCAGCCTCCCAAAGTGCTGGGATTACAGGTGTGAGCCTACGCCTGGCCTGCTGACTTTAACTTTTAGTAACTTTTTGCTGCCTTTCATTTATCTAATTTTTAGAAATTATAAACAAGGCATTTTAAGTTCTTGTGAAGTTTCTCGTGATACTCATTTAAGAGATTCCTTTTATAGAAGGAACTTCTAAGAAATTATGTGTTTAAAAGCATTTTCAGGTTACTTAGTAATTAAGGTAGGACTGGGAGAAATTTTTGTCCAGACCTGTGCTGTTTAAAAAATATGGTAGCCATGTACTGTATTGAGCATTTGAAATGTGGCTCGTCTGAATCAAAATGTGAAGTATAAAATACACATGAGATTTTTTACTTTTTAATCGAATTGAAAAGTAAAGTACGGTATCTGATCAATTTTTTTCTGTTGACTACTTATTGAAGTGATAGTTCCTAAAATATATTGGCCTAAGTTAATTGAAATTAATCTAATCTCTTACCAGTTTTTAACGTGGCTGCTACAAAATTTTATGTAGGTAGCTCTCCTTTATGACTTACATATAATTCTGTTGAACAGCACTGATCTAGACAGACCCCTTGGAGGTGGAGAGAAAAACAGTAAAAGATACGTGAAATGCTCTTTGAGAGGCTCTTTGAAATAAAAAACATTTTTCTAAATACAGAAAATAGATTGCTAAGAAAGAAAATTTTGGATTAGATTGAGTACTGTATTATATATTATGGAATGTATTTAGTACTGACCTATTAAAAAATCAGGTCAGATTTGAAAACAAAAACATCTCTTAAAATGCTTATGTTTAATAAGAAATTGGCACTTTATCAAACTTATGAATCTGCTTTCATTAGAAAATGGTTTCATGTTTTCTAATCCTTTGAATATGTAGGTTGGATTTAACTTTATTTCCTTGTTACATTGGAAGAGAGAGATAACTAAAAGGGGTGAAAAAGGAAAGGAGAAATAGGCACACTCAAAATATGTTCAAAAGGATAGTGGGACTTTAGTTGTAACAATCCTTTAAATGTGCCCATTGAGGATATTGATAGCCTAGACCTAAAATTCTGTTGCATCCTTGTGATTACTTGAGAAGAATCTGTTGAGACTCATATTTGGCCAGTATACTACTAGACATACTTCATCTCAGTTTTAGACACATAAGGAATTTTAAGACCTAAACTTGCTTGAATTCTATATTGTTTGAAAACTAGTACTGCCAAGCTAACTGTATTCTTCCCTTTATTCAAAAAATTAGGTAAGAGAAAAAGTAAATAATATACTGTTTTGGTATTTTTAAGCTAATAATTTCAGAAGTCTTAGTTTTCAATCTTACAGTTATTTCTTGTTTCAAATGAGGTACCCTTGAGTGAAATGTGCTCTGAAGTGGGGCTTTTCAATCTAGAGTTTACCTAAAATATTTGACCAAAACGGTGGATTAAAAAAACACCATCTTTTACAACAGTTTAACAAACGTGCGCCAGTTGTGTAAGATAGCAGTTCAATTTCTTGTTTTTAAAAACCATGGCTCTCAAGTCTTCAGAATACGCACATGCAGTTGAAAACATTAGGTCACTTAGAAACTTGTTGAATTACTCTTCTGCCTTCTACTTTTTGGTGTAGATAACTAGCATTTCATGCTATTGCTAGGAAAGGTAGCGATCCATGCATTTTCTGGCACAGAGTGTTTATCCTGGCCGCTTAGCAATTTATTAGACTATAAAAATTAACTTTAATTTTTTTTTTTTTTGAGAATGAGTTTCACCCTTGTTACCCAAGCTAGAGTGCAATGGCACTATCTTGGCTCACTGCAACTTCTGCCTCCCAGGTTCCAGCGATTCTCCTGCCTCAGCCTCTCAATTAGCTGGGATTACAGGCATGTGCTGCCATGCCCAGCTATAAAAATTAACTTTTTTTTTTGTTTTGAGACGGAATCTCGCTCTGTCGCCCAGGCTGGAGTGCAGTGACACGATCTTGGCTCACTGCAAGCTCCGCCTCCTGGGTTCATGCCATTCTCCTGCCTCAGCCTCCCGAGTAGCTGGGACTGCAGGTGCCCGCAACCACGCCCGGCTAATTTTTTGTATTTTTAGTAGAGACGGGGTTTCACCGTGTTAGCCAGGATGGTCTCCATCTCCTGACCTCGTGATCCACCCGCCTTGGCCTCCCAAAGTGCTGGGATTACAGGCGTGAGCCACCGCGCCTGGCCAAAAATTAACTTTTTTAAACAAAATTATAATTTGGCTATAGTGCTACTAGATCTATTCATTCATTGGGTATAAAACCTCACAAGTTTAGCAGGGAAAAAAAGGAATGAAACAGTGATAAAATTCTAGTGTGTTTGTTCAGAGCTTTAGTGATAGTTTTCACTGTCTTTGAGTTTATCTTGCAGATTTTGAAATCTTTAAAGTCTGTCGTCACACTATTTTGCCTCTTGTTCCCTCTTGCTGCTTACTTTCTGGCATTTTCTATAGGAGAAGGAAAAAGTATAAATAAAATCTGTTCATAGATGGGAAATTCAGTGAAATTGGTGGGCCTCAGGGCAACTTATGTGCACTCATAGGATTGGTTTGAGTTGTAAAGTGAATAAATAAAATTACTAAAATTACTGGTAGGTGGTGAAATTAAAGAAAAAAATTAAAATCTCAAACTTCTTTTTGCAGCAAATCACTCATGCAAACAATACGGTGTCTAACTTCAAAAGATTTCATGGCCGAGCATTCAATGACCCCTTCATTCAAAAGGAGAAGGAAAACTTGAGTTACGATTTGGTTCCATTGAAAAATGGTGGAGTTGGAATAAAGGTAATATAATTGAGCAACCTTAGAAAAATACCAACTTATTAATACTTAAAAATACGAACTTATTTGAGTTATTACTTAAATTTCTTAATTACACCAGGTGGTCTTTTTGTTCTTTTTTTATTCAGCTCCTTTTAAAGTATAGTAGATAGACGCTAAATTGTCTTTGAATATTATTCAAATGGTAATATATATGCTATAACTTAATTTGTGTTTCTTCTGACTTTTTGGCAATTGTAAAATTTAGGTTTATTTGATGTTGGAAAAAAAATCGACATTGTGTTCATGTATCAAACAAAAGTCTGTTCTGAGACAGCCCAGTTGCAGTTGTTTGGAGAGCAATAGTGTAGTAACACCAGGAATCTTTTTTTAAACTTGCAGAGGTATTCCTGTCTTGTGATCAACACACAATAATATTTATCCTAGTGATTCATCTCTTCAGTTAGAGTGGAAATTTACTACCTTCTTTAATGTTTTGACTTAGATTTTGGGTGGGGTATATCTGCCCTAGCTTTCTTCCGCTCCTCTTCATCTTTAGGTAGAAGTTCTTTCTTCCTTTTTCTTTTTTTCTCTTTTCCTTTCTCTCCCCCTTCCCTCCTTCCCCTTCCCTTTTTCCTCCTTTTCTTCCTTCTTCCCAAAACAACTACAACAATAAAATAAAGATTTTGTGGAAGGGAATGTGTGCTAATTTTTGGAAGTTAAATATTGGCATGTAGCTTAAAGTACTACAATGTTTAAAACATTTTTTCCCTTCAATATAGGTAATGTACATGGGTGAAGAACATCTATTTAGTGTGGAGCAGATAACAGCCATGTTGTTGACTAAGCTGAAGGAAACTGCTGAAAACAGCCTCAAGAAACCAGTAACAGATTGTGTTATTTCAGTAAGTATAATTCAGCAAGGCAGTGTGTTTTATTTCATTTTTGCGTTCTTTGTATTACTTTTAAGTATGAAATGTGGGAAAGCTGTTCTTTAGTTACTAGAGACCGTGTTCTACTGGACTGTATTAACATGTGTTCCAGAGCATTACAAAGTAGATTTGAGTGATATTTTTAGCCAGAAGCGGCAAAGGTTCTTGACTGGAAATCAAAATCTCTTGTGAGACTTTTTGAAAATACAGATTTTGACTGGTTCCATTTGTGAGTATTCTAATACAGTTAGTTGCTGCACTATCAGGCTTGTACATTTAACACAGGAGCTTTTCACAGGTGAAAGAATTCTACCCTCCGTTGAGAAACCAGTGTATTAGGAGTTTTAAAACGTAGCTTACCAGTAGTGACAAAACCTAAATTTTTAACACTAGCAAGCCTGTTACCTTCAGTGGACAATTACTAGTTAGACTATCAAAGGGTACTTGAAATGGACAAAAGTCATCTTTTATTTGGACACCAAAAAGGTAAATTCTGCTCACCCAGGTGTCTTGGGTCACTTCTTGATAGGTTGTGGGGTATGCTTTTGGACTTAAATACAGCATGGTCTTTGCTCTATAGTATGAGCAACGTGGCCGGCTGAGATCAGTCAGCAACAAGCCTTTATGAATGAATGAGGCAGAAGAACTAACATTTCTCCTGCTGTCCTTGCAAGATGGGAAGTGTTTTAATCTCTGGCAAAATTAAAGAATTAAGTTATAAGTCAGTGGCTTCTCCCTCCCCACTCTCTCCCTTCCTTTTTTTTTTTTTTGCCACATTTTTTTTCCCCTGGTGAGCTGAGAAACTGATGGACGAAGTGTTCTGATTTGAAAGGTGAGCAGAGATCCACCTTTGCTCTTGCTCATGTCTCTCTCTCAAGCATCTACAAATATTTTGGACAACTTTGAAAAATCACCGTACTAAACTCTCTCTTAGGTACTTTGCACTTAAATGATTCTACGAATGTGTTGTTAGATACTTTTTTTCCTGAATAGTATCCTGAAGTGCTGCACTAGAAGGCAGTCAAAAAAGAATTACAACTAGAATAGCTCAAGTCAGTGCTGTAAGAAACCTCAGCCCTTGGGTTGTTTTTACTCTTAGGAAAATTGAAAGGCTTTGCCAAAAAGTGATTTTGTAATCTTAACAGGTTGACTGAATTAAAGAGCACCTCAGTGAATAGCAGAACTGAAAGGGTGGTGGCATATGTTAGAATTAGCTCTTTAAGTTCCTGTAGTTTTTACCTATAGTTTAATTATGTTGAACATTAAATGTTGACCTAGCATTATAATTTCCTAATGCCAGTAGAAACTTACAACTAGTTTGGAAGCAGATTTGATCTGCTTTAATTTCAAGTTTTCTCTTAGATTTATGTAACTTTGAATATGTCTTATGAAACTCCTGATTAATTTTTATTTCAGCTTGAACTTGGTTATAAGAAAGACTATTTTGATCCTGTAATTTTGGGACAGCCTTTTCAAAAGTAGTTACTGTTTCTGAAGGTTAAGGAGCTTGCAGAAAACTAAAGCCCTATTTCTGTTTTGTGACTTGGCGAGGCACCTACTTAGCTGGACTGTTGTGAATTTATAAGTGGTTTGTGAGGAATTTCTAAGTATATTTTGTGTTCTAGATAATTCAAAATTTTTTGTTTGTTTGTAGGTCCCCTCCTTCTTTACAGATGCTGAGAGGCGATCTGTGTTAGATGCTGCACAGATTGTTGGCCTAAACTGTTTAAGACTTATGAATGACATGACAGCTGGTAAGGAAAAGGCATTTGTGTGGAAGTGAATATACTATCAGAACTAAAGATGTTCTCAGTGCTATTACTTTCTTATAGATACAGAAACACAGCCTGTTAAAAAGTCAAGTCAGATTTGAAAACAAAAGTCTACCTCTTAAAATGCTTATGGTTAATGAGAAATTGGTATTTTATCAAACTTATGAATCTGCTTTCATTAGAGAATTCTTTTCATGTTTTTTAATCCTTTGAAAATGTAGGTTGGATTTAGCTTTGTTTCCTTACATTGCATTTATAGTTAGGAAGCAATTTTTCCCACAATCTTAAAATTCTGGGCTTCAAAACTACCTTGGCTTATAAGTAAATGATTTAGTTTAAAAAATTTTTTTTTATCTACTGAACTGTAGATAGGTGATCATTTATCAAATATTGCTTTAAGCCTGTACTATTTGAATGTGTTAGGCTAGGTATTGTGGATATACAGAGGTGATTACAGCATCTCTTTCTTGAGCTTTTGGTAGTTTATTATGATTACAGATGAACAAAAAATCAGTTAAGGAAAAAAATCAGTTTTTATGCTGAAAAGTTTTACTCATATTTCTGTTAGGTTTTTGGAAAACTGTTAAATATTGGTAAAAATATGTTTTTAGGTATACATGTTTAGAAATACAGTTGTTTAAAGTTCAGAAAAAAACTTTTTAAGGTTGATCAGCTATTTAGCTCAGATCTAAAAATTGGTAGGAACTATAGTTGCTGTAGTTGTATATTAAATTCTTAATTTTTTTGGATAAGCGGTGTCCTAGCAGGTTGTGGTTAAAATGTAAGTATTGCATAATGAGTCTGATACTGTCTGTGATACGTGGTTATGTTTCACTGTATTCACGCCATATGTTTTGTCTAGCACATCTCCATATATTGAAAAGTGATAGAGCATTGTTCTGAAATCAGAAAGAGAGTAATAATTAATTCCAAGAAAATCAGTGTGAAGTCAGGTATAAAAGGAATGTAATGTGTTCACCTTTAATTGTTTCAAGTTAATAGTCAAGCTTCCTGCATGTGTAATTTTATGTAACAGTGAGATTCCTAAGAAAATGTGAACCAAAGAATTGAAACATACTTATTTTTTGTAGTTGCTTTGAATTACGGAATTTATAAGCAGGATCTCCCAAGCCTGGATGAGAAACCTCGGATAGTGGTTTTTGTTGATATGGGACATTCAGCTTTTCAAGTGTCTGCTTGTGCTTTTAACAAGGGAAAATTGAAGGTAAAGTCATACATTGGAACTCAGTGTCCAAAACACGTTAAGTGTTGTGACTTTAAGCTACTGAGCCTCTTTACTAGGCTTTTTCTTCTTGGTAATGAAGAGTTTTATTTTAGGTAAAGATGTTAACAGGAAACGGTTGCTAAGGTTGAGCTCCATAAAGATGATGTAATTGTCTTAGCATACTCTTAAGTGTTCTTGTTTAGGAAAGAAAAGGCTTTTTACAGTTATTTTCTATGTAGTCATTTAAAAGTCAAAAATATCTTAGAGATTTATTCCTGACTGATTTGGATTTCATGTTATAATTTAAATATAGTCTTGAGTCTCTTAGTCTTTCATTGTTTGAGTAGTAATATTTAAGATTCTAGTTACAAATGTGATTGAAAATAACCAGACTATTTGTTGTTTCAACCAAATTAGGTACTGGGAACAGCTTTTGATCCTTTCTTAGGAGGAAAAAACTTCGATGAAAAGTTAGTGGAACATTTTTGTGCAGAATTTAAAACTAAGTACAAGTTGGATGCAAAATCCAAAATACGAGCACTCCTACGTCTGTATCAGGAATGTGAAAAACTGAAAAAGCTAATGAGCTCTAACAGCACAGACCTTCCACTGAATATCGAATGCTTTATGAATGATAAAGATGTTTCCGGAAAGATGAACAGGTGTGTCTTGAATTCTACAGATTAAATAGATGGAACTTCTTTTGAAACTGTAGCCCAGGTGTCAGTTCTAGTGGGTGTTGTGAGTCTTGGCCTACATTTCAGAATTGTGTGTTACATGCCTGTGGCTGGAGATGCTGTTGTTTATCACCACTAGCTCTAGGGGCACTTATGTGAAGAGGGCTTTTAAAAATACCTTTGCTAAGTACTCTCATGGGTCTAAGTACTACCCTCAAGTCTTCGTGGTATTTTCACTTTTTAGTATTTCTGGGCCAGTAATTGAAAACTCGTTTCACAGAGATACTGTGCAGGGACTGGAAATAACCATTGAAAGTAATGGAATCAGATCAAAACATTTAGAAGGGCTGCATGGTGGTACATGCCTATGGTCACAACTTTTCAGGAGGCTGAGGTGGGAGGATCCCTTGAGCCCAGGAATTTGAGGCTCCAGTGAGCTATGATTGTGCCACTGCACTCAGCAAGACTCTGTGTCAGGGGGAAAAATTTTAGAAGGTAAAATGGCAGTCATAAGCATGTAAAATGATTTGTTTGAGTAATACCAGGAGAACTGTCTTCCGCATCATCTTTCTGCACCTGTTTGGTGTATTTATCAAAAACAAAAGAGCTATAAACTACAATACAGCTAAACTTGGCCCATGTGGGATCCAAGGTGTCTGAGGGGGAAAATAATGAAATTCATTGGGTTGTCAAAAGTAGGACAGGATATTGGTCTTAACTTTTCTAAAAACAAGTTTTTATTTGCTAAGGTCACAATTTGAAGAACTCTGTGCTGAACTTCTGCAAAAGATAGAAGTACCCCTTTATTCACTGTTGGAACAAACTCATCTCAAAGTAGAAGATGTGAGTGCAGTTGAGATTGTTGGAGGCGCTACACGAATTCCAGCTGTGAAGGAAAGAATTGCCAAATTCTTTGGAAAAGATATTAGCACAACACTCAATGCAGATGAAGCAGTAGCCAGAGGATGTGCATTACAGGTACTTTCTCAACTCTGCTTTTGCTTGGTGTACAGTCTTTAAACAGTTTCCACTGGATGTCGTCATGGTGGGATAATAAACAGAGACCTGTGTCTAGGTAGCAGAAGGACATTTTAAACAAACCCGTAAAGCTGTAGGGAGATAAGGCTACTCAAATCTAAAAGATCCAGTAAATTTCAATTGAAAGAACTACCAAGCTGGTGTTTCTCAAGCTGGAAATCAAAAACAGGCATGATTCTGAGGATATCACAGAAAACACAGCTGAAACACTAATTAGCTGTGTAGTAGTGGCAGTTGTTACTTAAAAAGCACACAGGGAATTACAGTGGTAATCTGATATAATAAGGAATTGATTTAGGGGAAGTTTTCAGGGTGTTAGAAATATTAACAAATGGTTTTAGAAAATAGATAACCCTCTCTTATCCCCAAATTGATTTTTAATCTGCTTATCAGATAAAAAGGCAGCCCAGAAGCATGAAGTTAGTTTGGTGAAAAACACCAAATCTAGAAGTTATTCGGTTAAAAAAAGAAAATAATTAGTTTATATTTAGGATATTATAGTCAAGATCTAAATATAGTTTTAAATAAAGTTTCAAGTTAACATTTGAGTTTTAAGCTAGTAGCAGTTTTTAAAATATGAAACAGGATTCTGTAAACAAAGGTATTTAGAGTGACTGACTGCCTTTGTATACTTATAAAAGGAAGAATATGTAGATACTAAATATTAATAATAATCCATTGTATTATCCATCCTGTTCTATGGGGTTTTTGTTTTTGCTTTTTTCTTCATAATGGAATATGCCTCCTTAATTAACTGATTCCTTCAAATGATGGAAGTTTATATTTTCTTCAGAAGTAGAGCTAATTTTGGCCTCTCTTTTGAAGGATCCTATAGTAAATGATGAATTGACTTTTTTGGTCTATTTAGCTTAATCATCTATTTAGTTATTTTTATATGTCCTGTCTAAATAGGGAATTGTCCACCTATCTGTTGGGTGTTGCCTTTCCCAAATTTGAATTTACCATTGCTTGCTTCATTTACAAAATTACTTAAAAATATGAACATTATGGCCCTTTGGGGGGTTTCTCAGACATTTGGAAAGCAGTGTAGACAGAACTGTTCATGTATGTATGTATTATACATATTCAAAAGTGATACAATTTGAAATTGCTATCAGCAAGGCATTTCTAGAAAGACCAGGCTTTTTTCCTAATCCCCTGTGAAACCTGTTATTGATTAATTGTCGTTATCCTAAGATATATTATTTGTCTTTGTACCTAGTAATTGGCATAGTATTTAGATGGTAAAATAAATTCTTTGTTTAGATGAAATATACTGGAAACAATTCTGGAATGTGAGTTGTTTTTTTTTTTTTTTTTTGAAAACCCTGTCCATCCATTGGAATTGAGTTTTATATTAAAAGATGACTGGGAAGTGTTCATGTGCTCATGATTTTTTTTTTTTTTTTTAAGTGTGCAATACTTTCCCCGGCATTTAAAGTTAGAGAATTTTCCGTCACAGATGCAGTTCCTTTTCCAATATCTCTGATCTGGAACCATGATTCAGAAGATACTGAAGGGTATGTAGCAGAAAATAACATTCAGATACTATAATGTAAAGAAGAAAAATTAACAAATGACTTCTCTAGTAGAGTCATTAACAAATGACTTCTCTAGTAGTCATTAATTTACCTGGAATCTTTGAACAACCAAATCTACCAAAATATTTCTCTCATTTTGGTATTGTAAATGATGAGATAGAATTGATAAAGATTTTAGAAAGCCTCTTTTCTGTTTGTGTAGCACAGTAAGCATATTTTAAGTTCTTCATCTGCTGAATGCCTTTTTCTTTTCTCTCTAGTGTTCATGAAGTCTTTAGTCGAAACCATGCTGCTCCTTTCTCCAAAGTTCTCACCTTTCTGAGAAGGGGGCCTTTTGAGCTAGAAGCTTTCTATTCTGATCCCCAAGGAGTTCCATATCCAGAAGCAAAAATAGGTAAGGAGTTCATTGTGTATATTTTACTCTTTTAGTTAAAGACTTAGCTTCTCACTCATTGTACAAACTTTAAAAGTTGTCTTATTCTTAGTAATGTTGAGGGGAACATAATTCTGTGTGAAGACATTTTCTGTTTAGAATAATGGTGATGGAGAAATATCTTCATTTTATTGAGGAGTCAGCTGGTCTAGAGATAGAATGACTTGGTAGTTCTGTTACTTGGAGTTCTGCTGTTACTTAAAAGTATGTGTGTGTGTATATATATATGAACACTTTAATATTTTCACTGTTCTGATACAGTCTGTATATAAAGGATTATCCGTGCTTTTAATACTAACTTTTTCTCTAGATTAAGTGTAATTTGCAGTCTGTTACTTCTAATTTAAAACCTGAGTCAGCGACCATTGTGAATCTACTTCTCAAGTGTACCTTTGTGTTATCTTTTCTAAAGATAAGTTTTTTTTGGTACATATTTTGGGGGGACACTTGACACCATCCATCTACTTTTACCCATAGTAACTCTCTTTCCCAGACCATAGGTGAAATTTGCCAATATTGCTAGGTCTTTTCAGGACGTACCCTTGCCTCACACCTTTTCATAAATAAATTGTTTGAAGGAGTCCAACCTGATCAGTTGTGTTTTCTTTCTTACTACTTTAAAGGCTAAAATGTTCTGACCCAGAGTTGTGGTGTATTGTTAAAAACAGTTTTCATGAATTTATTTTTAGGAAAAGAAATCATTGCATGTAGACTTGTAAGATTTTGATAAATTGGAATCTGTGCATTAACTCGTTACTGTGTGGAAGATAAAATCCCAGCTCTTTGGCATGGCATCTAATTTTTCATGTTTGATTGAAACTGAAAACGTCGTACATGCTTGAGCCATCTTACATCCCACTTTCCAGAGTAAATGCTGTTTCTTTAGATAGATGGATCTTTTGGCAAATATTTCCTGAACTACTGATTTGACAATTAATCAAGGTGTATTCCTTCATCTTTCAGTGACATTGTAATTAAATCTATAGTTCTGTGTGTTTATATAGACAGCACTTTAAATACTAGGCAGTTAAATTCCATTTAGAGCTTTGCACATAATAGGTTCAAAATACTTATTTTTGACTCAGTGGTCTCTGGAGTAACAGTACTTACTTGTGGCTATAACTTACACCTAGCACTTGGTTCTGTAGTAAGTGCTCACTGTACTTAATCCTCAGAGGTATAGAAAGGTAACTTTTGTAACAGGTCACACAGCCAGGATTCAAGCCCAGACAGTCTGGATTAAAGTCTACACTTTTAACCATTAGTAATGTTCTGGAACCCCACTGTATTGTACATAATAATTTCAGGCTTTCATACAGATTTTGGCTCACCTCCCTTATTTAAAACAGCTAAATGTTTTGATTATTTAACCAAGAGAATGGTACTCTTTAAAAGGTTATAGGATTAAAATTCAGCATGTGCTTGCTATCATCTTCCTTATGCTTGCAAACAAATTTTCATGTCCAGTTTGTGCTCACCCATCTGGAGAAGTAGGGTAGGAGGAGACAAGGACTGCTTGTTATCAGTATCTTAGATTCAGTGTTTGCCTAGTGTTAAAATAGTTATAAGAGTGCCCTTACCTTTGAAAGTTTTTATGGCATGCTAAGATTAATTTCAAGTGTATATATTTTAAGAGGTCATAGTTATAGTATATATTAGAGGACTTCAATTTGGTAAAGACTAGGTAGAAGATTTTACAATAGCAGTTCTCAAGTGTTATTTTTTTAGCCTTTGTATTTTTCTTATCTGTCTCCTTTACACAGATAGATTTTTATTGATTTATTAAGAGACACGGTCTCACTTTGTCACCAGGCTGAAGTGCAGTGATGTGATCATAGCTCAATGCTACCTTGAACTCTTGGGCTCAAGGAGTCCTCCCGCCTCAGACTCCTGAGTAGCTGGGACTACAGGCGCATGCCACTGTGCTCGGCTAATTTATTATTCATTTTTTTAATTTGTATTTTTTTTGTAGAGACAGATCTCACTATCTTGCCCAGGCTGGTCTCAAACTCTTGGGCTCAAGTGACCCACCACGGCCTCCCAAAGTGCTGGGATTACAGACATGAACCACCCACCTGGCCTCCTCTACAGAGATTTAGACTTAATTCTAAATAAATTGTGATTTTGTGATTTTTGTTGTTGTTGTTCTAGGCCGCTTTGTAGTTCAGAATGTTTCTGCACAGAAAGATGGAGAAAAATCTAGAGTAAAAGTCAAAGTGCGAGTCAACACCCATGGCATTTTCACCATCTCTACGGCATCTATGGTGGAGAAAGTCCCAACTGAGGAGAATGAAATGTCTTCTGAAGCTGACATGGAGTGTCTGAATCAGAGACCACCAGAAAACCCAGACACTGATGTAAGTTTGTGGATAAACCTTTGTGTTTGAATAGAGTTGACTTAGTTCTAAGCTATAGGAGAATTGGGTAGGGAAGGGTTAAAATGAATGTTTTCCTTCATGAATAATTTTGATCAGAATTTTAGGTAATGATAATAGCGCTTGCCGGTTAGTGGTAATACACAGCTTGAAATTTGGTGAATTGTGACTAAATTCTGTGTAACTTAATTTGAAGTAACTAGTATATGACAGAGTAGATGATGTTTTATTGAGTTGGGAGTTTTTTGGTTTTTTGAAGACATAGACCACACATTGAGAAGTCGAATGTTGACTGACGTTTAAGAAACTTAAAAAACAGACTGCTACAAAAACTGTTTGAAATAGCTACCAAATATTAAAGTTTTTTAAATTGTATGGCAAAATTGGCTTTGATATTTTAGAACTTGTTTTTATTTTTACATGGTTTTCTGTATGGTGGGAGGAAGGAAGAGAAGTGTCTGTGTAGCGTATAGTAAGAGTTGTTATTCATCATTAGCATGAGTGCTAGTTCTGTGTGGTCAACAGAAGAATTTTAGGAAGCTAAAGTATTACAATAATTACAGTTTATTTCTAGGGAATAACTAGAAATAGCTTAAGAGGGAGGCAGTGTGGTGTTTTAGTTAAGATGTGAGAAAGTGCGTTATCTAGTGATCACTGTTACCTTTCTAGAACATCTAAGCAACATAAACATTCTGAACCGTAGTTTTATTCTCATCTAGAAAAATTCTAATGTACAGTAATGGGTTAAATGATGAGTGCCATATACTTTCTCAATCTCTTTAGTACCTTTTGGATATCAGGAATGCCTTGTTTCTAAATACTTCAGTGTCTATCTTAGAATCTTGACCTTAGAAGAAAAATATGAGAGAGTTCAGTGTGGACAGAAAGTAGTTAACCTAGAGTATTTCAGCCCTCTTCCAAAGATGGGTAAAGATCAAGCAAGCACTAATATATTAGGGATTGAGGGCTACTAAAAAAGAAAATTAGGAAACTCTAGGGTTCATTCTTCTTTTTCTTTACCAAATTTTTAATTAGGATTGTTAATGTGTAGCATTTATTCTTTACTCTGAGATCTTTTAAGGTATAAATAGCTGGATCACAGAAAGTGGGGACAGAGTGAGTCTTGGCTGTCTATAAGCTGAAGTGATGAATCCCGAAATAACTGATAATTGGCCATTTTATGTAACTGTTTAGTAAATTGAAATGGAGATATGTTGAGATCCATGATGGCTGCTGGTAAAATAGGTTTTGGAAGCTTGTTTCTAGGAAAGAGGCCTGGAGTAATCTATTTCCAGTGCCTTAGAGAATTAATATCTGTACTAACTTAGATGAGCTTCCTAAGGGAGAGTTCTTGATTCTTGATTGTCATCACATCAATTAAATGCTTACTTGTGTTATTTAACGATATTAACTACTGTCATTCAAAGAATTTTTTTACAGGTTTAGAATTTCTACAGAAGTTTTCAAGTACTTTGTTCATTTTGTTTTTATCCAGTACCTTTTCTCCCCACCTGTTAAGATTTCAGAAATTGAGTGTACTTTCTTTGGTGCCCTTTAACTTTAAAAATTTATACAAGTACACCTGCTTTCTACATCCTTTGTGCCTGGGCTTTCATTTCAGAAAAATGTCCAGCAAGACAACAGTGAAGCTGGAACACAGCCCCAGGTACAAACTGATGCTCAACAAACCTCACAGTCTCCCCCTTCACCTGAACTTACCTCAGAAGAAAACAAAATCCCAGATGCTGACAAAGTGAGTGACTCTTCTAGTTCATTCCATTAGACAATGTTGCAAAGTGTAATCATTAATGATATCATTAAATTGCAGTTTCAAGAGCAAGCACCAATTGATTTCGTTCTGTGTAGGATTTTTTTCTGTTGATTTTCTATGTATTTTTCAACTAAAACCAGTTAGAGGTATTCAAGCTCAATTAAGGGAATTGAATGTCCTGCTTTAAACTTTTAAAAGCTTCTCTTGATTAACTGCCACTCGAAGTAACAAGAGACTAATGTATACTGTTCGTTGTCTTTCAAAGAGCAGAGGTATCTTCTAATACCAAAGGCAGAACTTGATATTTACCAGGGCTACATGATTAGTTTTCACTTGAACTAATCAGATGATAAATATATGGGCTATAGGAGTCTAGTAAACTTTCTCCTCTCAAGCCATCGGTCAAATTTAAGTAAATTAATTATGGTGATCTGGTAATAACCAGATTGCACTTCAAGGTAATTATTTTTTTGTCCTGCTTCCACAGTAGGTATTGGAAGCTAACTTAAATAGTGATGTTGTGTGCCTTGGAAAATGACAGTTTGTAATCAAACCTTTAAGATTCATGGTCAGAAGGATATTGAAAAATTTCTGTTGTTAACTATGAATCACCGTATGTTTTGTAGAACTTTATTTTCTGTACAAGTTACATGTAAATAATTAGCCTGCTCTTGGTTGTTTGGTTTCTCTTATATTCTGAGGGTAGAGTTTTTTATCCTCAGGCAAATTACAGAATCTTTCATTGGGTCAGGATAGGTTTCTATACTATGTAAAAGTTTCCAGTTTTTAATTTTTCTGTCCCCTCATTGATCCTGGGGGCTCCCAATGTGAGCTATGGGTCCTGACTCTGATTTCTGAAAGCTGCTCTCTGTTTTCTACTGTTAAGTTGTGTGATGATGGTGGTTATTTGGAAAAATAGATGCTTAGTTTCAACAGCACACTCCTTGACTTGGGATGAGCATACACATCAACTCTTGCCGATAGTCTTAGTACCTGTCTAGAACATGACATTGGGTAGGATCTCATTCATGCTCCTTAGTTGTAGGTAGGACCACTAGTCTCAAACCTTTTGGAGCATGATTACTCACCCCTTTGGAGACGGTTCCTCATCCATTCCATGTTGAAATGCCATTTTGTGATGCTGGTTTTGTCAGTAGTTGGTTTAATTGGGTACTATCAGGTTGTCTTGTCTTCATTTAACTTCCGTACATGTGCTGTTATCCATTTGTTTCCCAACATCTGTTGCTCTCCAGTGTCTTCCTAGGTGTATGTTTGATTGGATTCATTTTTCTTTCCTGTGGCTCATGCCCTCAGAGCATGCATAATGTATTGAAGGATTGTGTGCACTAGCAGGAAAATGATGTGGGGAGGACTGTAGGCTGACTGCCTAGCTCATCCGTAGTGATACAGCTTATGGCACTTGATAGGTGATTTCTAAGGAACACTGAGATCAGTCTCTGGAACGTGGGATCTAATTCCATCTCTTTAATTTTAGGCAAGTCATTGAACTTTCTAGACCCAGTTTCTTCGATAAAGTGCCTAAGATTTTTAATCCATTGTAACTCCTCAAAATTATCTATGGCTATGATTATTGTGCCTCATGGGCCAGTCTCTTCCCGTTTTACCATCCTACCTACAGGATACATGTTACACACTGTGGTTGTCATCTGATCTGTCATACAACTGAGTCTGCTCAGTTGTGTTCTTTGTCATTTTTGTATTAGTAGGAACCTGCAGAAATGGAAATGCATAGCAAAGGCTTGGAAAATTGAAGGCCACAGGAGATACTTACTTCTTTAGCCCTGTATTTACATATTTTGAAAAACCTACATAAATGATTGGCATGTGTCACATCAGTCCATTTGCTACTTTAAGACTCATCTCTTTTTACCTTGCAAAGTTGCTTATGAGAAATGATACAATTCAAAGGTGGATAGTAATAATGTGTGTGTGTGTGTGTGTGTGTGTGTGTATGTATGTGTATGGAGTATATATATATGTACTCCAAGTTCAATAAGGAAATTTTAAAAGGCACTCATCAGCATAGTGCTAGTTGTAATTAAAGCAGGCATACTGGCATATAGGGCCTTTAATATTACAGGAATTAAGATGATCCTAACGTGTTTTGTACTGGTCGAAGCTTATCCTTAGGTGACAGGTTCTAGAGTCTATAAAGATAATTTAGTAATTTTCACTTTTTGACTCATGGGATTTACAAGAATATTTAAAGGGCTTAGAAAGTAAAGACTTGCGAAGAAAAGCTTTAGCAGGAGAGATTGTTCAATATAGAAGAGAAAAATATCCCAGTGAATTCCTGAAGGAAGGTATGGCATATTTAATAGCAGCCCTGATTTAAAATAGTGGGAATTAGGTGATCCTGTAGATCCTTCCAACTTTATGATTTTTAGAGATTTTATTTTTGCCCAAGTCATCAGTAAGTATGAGGACATTTTTTTTGTGTTTTTCCAAGTGGGTTGTTTAAAATTTTTTCCTTTTTTTATTCCTCTTCCCAAGGCAAATGAAAAAAAAGTTGACCAGCCTCCAGAAGCTAAAAAGCCCAAAATAAAGGTGGTGAATGTTGAGCTGCCTATTGAAGCCAACTTGGTCTGGCAGTTAGGGAAAGACCTTCTTAACATGTATATTGAGACAGAGGTAAGTACTTCAATTAAATATTTTTATTTTGAAATATGTTTAGTTTCTTGGCCCTGATATCTATATTTCTAGTAGATAAATGGCCATAATTCTTTCTCATCCCAAGTTTTATATAGTTTTAGGGATAGGATGAAGACAAAACTAACGAATTTTGCAGTTTAATTTTTTTTAACAAAAAAATCTTTCTGCTTGATATAACATGATTGGCTGAGTTCTTGTGAAAAAATTGGATGGCAATAAATCATAACAGAGCACAGTACAGTTGGAATTTCACGGCACACTAAATATTTCTATTAGAATACATTGTATTTTTTTAGTAGTCTGAAATTCTAGAATAATATGTGAAATAATTGAGATTTGGTTTTTCCATACTGAGGTGGGAACATCGTATTTAGGAGTTTATTTAACAATAAACTGTAGTCCATTTATTTATCTTTGATTTAAAAATGTGGCAGAGTGGTGTGACTGTTATACATTGGCCAGTATTAATCTGAATATGGATAACCATTTGTATACAAGAAAACAAAATTACATTTAAGCAGTAGCTTGATTTTTTTTTTTTTTTTTTAGCATTAAATATGAAGTCTGTGTAATCGGTTACAATGTTAAAAAAATCAAACTTCAGCCTGAGTATTTAGAAAATGGAAATGTCTGTTTGGTTTGTAGGAAGAGTTTGACAAGGTATAAGTTGGAACTGTGTTAACACTAAAATTTGTTTTGTATCATTTTTTTTAAACCCCAGAGTCTACATATTTAGAATTTAGCTTGAGTTAACTAGAAGACTGGAATTAACCTTTCCTGTTTCCTGACAGGGTAAGATGATAATGCAAGATAAATTGGAAAAAGAAAGGAATGATGCTAAAAATGCAGTTGAGGAATATGTGTATGAGTTCAGAGACAAGCTGTGTGGACCATATGAAAAATTTATATGTGAGCAGGTATGTCTTAGAGCTCTGTTTTTGTTCAGATAGTCTCATATGAAGTGTTTAATATCAAAATTGACAGTTGAGGCTTAAGCTTTTACTCAATTATGTAACTTAAACTTTTTAGAAACAGAAAACAAAGTTATGGAGAAAGGCTTGTTGCTGATGAGCAGTTTTATTTTGTACTAGCCTACCCCCAAAACTCTTCATTTTTACCATCTAGAAGAGAGAACCTATCAAATATTTATGTAGAGTCTATGGCATTACTGTCATAGGGTCTAGGATAAATACGAGAAAAATCTTCGCTTTTAAAAACGTCAAATGCGGTGACACTGCTGCCTTGGTAGCGTTCCTGTCATTGTTTCATCTCATAAGATGTGTTCATCCAGTAATTCCAGAGCTTACTAAGCCCCGTTATTCCCCTTATCCCTTTTCTTGACTCCCAGTTAGTATGGCTGTGAGTAAATCCCAGAAGCACAACTGTGAAAGATAGGACTTGGAAAAAAAGAAACTGACTAGATAAAAATCTAGGATTTAGTTACGGGTCATTTAAAGTGAAATTTGGAGTCTGTTTTATTAATAGTTCTAAGGTCTCTGGGCTACCTTGTAATGTAATTCAGTTCTTAGCTCTGTCCTGACATTCTCTGAGTTTCTTATGGTGGGATCTCTAAAGTTGAGATGACCGAACCAGGTAGGACCTCCCAGGGCTACAGTAGAAGTCATACCATACATGAACCGGTTAGGAATGATTTTTTCATGTGTTCAGTGATTGTCAATTTGTATAGCTTCCCCTTCAGCATTTGATAGTTGTGTAAGTCAACAAAAAGTTACTAAGACCTGGTTTTATTTTTTGGAGAGCAGGAAGATACTCTTCTAGAAACCACATTTCATTGTACAGATTGGGCTTCTAAGATAAAATATTTTAAGTCAATGAGAGCCATTTTCAAGGTCTCTGTGTAACAAGGCAGAGAAGCCAAATCAGAGTGCCTTCCTAGATAAGATTAGCTACCTAGTGTGAGAATACCTCTTTGTTTTGTTGTGAAAAATTCTGAAGTACGAGTGCCACTAATATTGTCATATTTTGTGTTAAGGATCATCAAAATTTTTTGAGACTCCTCACAGAAACTGAAGACTGGCTGTATGAAGAAGGAGAGGACCAAGCTAAACAAGCATATGTTGACAAGTTGGAAGAATTAATGGTAGGTCGTTTTCTCCCCCAAAAGGTGGTACTTGTGTTTTAAACTATAGACTTTAAAATAAAATTATGATAACTATTAATTTATTACATTTTATTTTAGAAAATTGGCACTCCAGTTAAAGTTCGGTTTCAGGAAGCTGAAGAACGGCCAAAAATGTTTGAAGAACTAGGACAGAGGCTGCAGCATTATGCCAAGATAGCAGCTGACTTCAGAAATAAGGTGAGTCAGTCTTTTTGTACATAGGGAGGAAGTTAACCTAGATTTTAATAAGCTAACACTTAAGCTGGGAATCATCATGAATAGTCTTAACTTTGAAATTTTGGTATTTGAGGTTAGAGGTAGATTTGAACTTGAGCTTCCTGGAAAGTTGAGTCAAATGAGATACTATTGTTCAATAAATTCTACAGAATGACCGTGTTATTTTTGTTCAGGATGAGAAATACAACCATATTGATGAGTCTGAAATGAAAAAAGTGGAGAAGTCTGTTAATGAAGTGATGGAATGGATGAATAATGTCATGAATGCTCAGGCTAAAAAGAGTCTTGATCAGGATCCAGTTGTACGTGCTCAGGAAATTAAAACAAAAATCAAGGTGAGTGTTACTGTCTCGTGTTTACTGCTGGGTTCACTTACGGACTCAAGTTGCAATCATTTGAACCTTCAACATAGCCATTTTTCCTGTAAATCTTTTACCTCATCCTAACTGAAACCAGCTTTTCTTAGTCTATTATTCTGTCACAAAATACAGAAGACCTCATAAGTTTGTTGAATTTCCACTTCTCCATTTATTCATTCATTTCAACAAGTGTATTTGTTGAGCACCTGTCATGTACCAGTCCTTGTTCTCAGGATTAAACAAGTGTGCAAAGTGTAGTCTCTGCCCTTATGGAACTCATCTTGTAATGGGAGGGAGACCAACAGTAAACAAGCCTGTGTCATCTATCAGAGATGTTAAGTGCTATAGGGAAACAAAGTAAGGAAAAAGGGGTTAGGAAATTCTAGGTCTTGTTGTATGTGAGGCTGGAAGGAAACTGGGAAAAGTGTTCTTCTGGAGTAATGTTCAAACACAGTGAAGGTCAAGGAAAAGTGACCCTTTTAAGCACTGTCAGTTTCAAGCTGTAAACTTGAATTCTAGCTCTTTCCTCACTAGTTTTCCTGATCTTGAAGTTACTTAACCTCTTTGAACCATTGTCTTCCATGAAGTGGAGATTATAATTTCTGTCTTTTAACACTGTTGTGAGGATTGAAGGAATATATGTAAGTACATAGTCCTAACACATCCTGGAAGAATATTAATACTCTATTTTGGTCAGAATGTAAACTGTGGTTTGGGGCAAGTGTAATGAGAAAATGTAATTATTTTATGTGTAATTGGAGTTGGTAGAAAAATAGTGGGTTGAGTATGTGGAGAAGCAGTTGAAAATGAACTGGATGGATCTGAGTTAATCTGATAACTAGTTTTTGTTTTCTTTAGGAATTGAACAACACATGTGAACCCGTTGTAACACAACCGAAACCAAAAATTGAATCACCCAAACTGGAAAGAACTCCAAATGGCCCAAATATTGATAAAAAGGAAGAAGATTTAGAAGACAAAAACAATTTTGGTGCTGAACCTCCACATCAGAATGGTGAATGTTACCCTAATGAGAAAAATTCTGTTAATATGGACTTGGACTAGATAACCTTAAATTGGCCTATTCCTTCAATTAATAAAATATTTTTGCCATAGTATGTGACTCTACATAACATACTGAAACTATTTATATTTTCTTTTTTAAGGATATTTAGAAATTTTGTGTATTATATGGAAAAAGAAAAAAAGCTTAAGTCTGTAGTCTTTATGATCCTAAAAGGGAAAATTGCCTTGGTAACTTTCAGATTCCTGTGGAATTGTGAATTCATACTAAGCTTTCTGTGCAGTCTCACCATTTGCATCACTGAGGATGAAACTGACTTTTGTCTTTTGGAGAAAAAAAACTGTACTGCTTGTTCAAGAGGGCTGTGATTAAAATCTTTAAGCATTTGTTCCTGCCAAGGTAGTTTTCTTGCATTTTGCTCTCCATTCAGCATGTGTGTGGGTGTGGATGTTTATAAACAAGACTAAGTCTGACTTCATAAGGGCTTTCTAAAACCATTTCTGTCCAAGAGAAAATGACTTTTTGCTTTGATATTAAAAATTCAATGAGTAAAACAAAAGCTAGTCAAATGTGTTAGCAGCATGCAGAACAAAAACTTTAAACTTTCTCTCTCACTATACAGTATATTGTCATGTGAAAGTGTGGAATGGAAGAAATGTCGATCCTGTTGTAACTGATTGTGAACACTTTTATGAGCTTTAAAATAAAGTTCATCTTATGGTGTCATTTCTAAACTGTTGATTTTGTCACTAATTTAAAAAATGAGATGAGGGAGAATATGAATTATTCTAGCAGAAATGAAGTTAGTGTCCAGTTTTTCTTTTTTACTGCTTATGTTCTCTCTTTTCTAAGTGAAAATGTTTTTCTCCTGACAGAAAAATAGCATATGTTTATTACATTAAAGCATTTTAAAAATACTATAAAGTGAATAAAACTTAAAATCTTGCCACCCAGAAGAAAACATTGTTAACACTTCGTTATACATCCTTGGAGCCTTTTACCCCTAATGATGGGGGTATATTTGTGTGAGTGTCTATGTTATAGTGCTGTAGGCTGTTTTTAAAAACTCTGTGCCAGGGAAATTAGTAAATACAGTCAAGTGTTGTAACTGCATAAATGTAGTGAGTTCATTATAAAGACGTACTTAAAAATACCAATCTTGCTATTGGTAGATTTAGGTGTTTCTCATTTTTGCTGTTCTAAATAATGCTGCAATGAATCTATCTGGTTGTTTTGTAAGCACAAAATTGAAGTAGTGTTGGAGGTAGGGGAGAAGACACATGCACTTAGGATAGGTGACAACCAGCTCCTCACTAGGGTGCAACAGTTTATTCTTTTTTTTTTTTTGGTAGAGCTGGGGTTTCGCTATGTTGCCCAAGTTCGTCTTGAACTCCTGGGCTCAAGCAATCTGTCTGCCTCAGCCTCCCAAAGTGCTGGGATTACATGGTGTGAGCCACCATGCCCAGCCATTTATGATCTTGATGAGGGCCAACTTTCCCTCTTCCACAAGGGATTAATCTTAGAACTATAGCCAATTTATTATAAGTACTATTTAGCTACTCTGTGCTCCACACATCACGGAGTAATATCTTCAAACTATGAGGTTTAGTAACACTTGACTGCTGAGGTTTATTTCCTCAGCTCTGATGCTTCCTGGGTGAAGATGTAAGTTATTAAATTAACTCAAATTTTAAAGCTAACACTTCATTCCATCTAGACCAGGTAGCTCGTCATTTGTACGTCTGATAGGTGCTTCAACATCTCAGAATTGGCTTATTTTTCATGCATTGCATATTGTACTCATTTGTAATATTGGAATGTAAAATGTTCTTACTAAGAATCTTTATGTCAGCTATTCAACATTTCCCTACTTTATAATTTCTAGCTGCTTTACCATTTAGCAACTTTAAATTTTTATGCAGTTAATATGTTTCTTTGGTTTTTATGTTTTCTGAATGTCTTTAATGCACATTAATGTATACTTAGTAGATACACATTTACACATTGAGAAGTGAAGATAGGTTTGTGTTCTGTGTACAATTAGGACATCCATTAAAAAAGATTTTTAAAAACTGTGAATGGGAAAACATGTTTTTCCTCCTGTCCTAAAATAGAACCTGATGACGGGAGGGAGCATCAGTCAGTCTGGCCTAAATCAGTGTACTGCGCTTTTGGATGCGGGCAAAAGTATTGTCATGTTGATTACTTTATAATAACGTATTAATATCATTGGCTCAAACAGTTGTGATATATACCTAGTAATCATCGAGGATCTCAAAGATATGCACCAGTTTGAATAAATGCTGTTTAAAGATTAAATTTTACAATTCATTTTAAATTGTCATTTTGTGACAATATTTCTAAACAACGTCCATTTTTAATAACAGTTGAATTTTGAGTCTACTTTGTCATGAATATTATGTCTGAGCAATGATTAACTTACTTTTCTTGAGTAAAATCCCAATGTTTGCTTGATTATTTATCAAAAGAAATAGTGCAATTAATTTGACTAGTGTAACCTGCCTCTACAAAATAGCCTATTGGAAGTTAGTTTCTGAAGGGCTAAAATCTTTAGCTACTGTGATTAATGACTTGCGTTTGTAAGCAGCATTCAAGATACTTTTTTTCTACATTACCACTTGTCAATTTATATCCAGACTTCTATTTTGCCTGTGGTGTTTTGATTGTTGTGGAGTAATATCTCTTGCCATCTATCATAGTTTTCATAGCACAAAACAATGACATCAGCTTTTCTGGGAAGATGGAGTCTATACAAATATTTGGAGAGAGGTTGACTTTCTCCAAGTACTGAGTAATTTTGGTACGGTTAAGCTCTTCTAAGTGGGCAGAATGATGAGAAGTGTTCCCCTATTTGCTCTGGCATGTGTGCTATGGTTTTCTTGTATTGGTCTAGTTTGTTAGCCTTAGAGACTTCCTAAAAGACAACTAGTCGAAACTAGTTGTCTTTTAGTTCATATTAGCATGTGATTTGGAAATAAGAACGGGAGCATACTTGAAAGCTCTAGGATAACAGCTTTTCAGTCACTTGTGGTTTAGTTTTCTTAGAACTGCATAGCATGGGCCTGTTGACAGTTCTTATACTGCTTCAGGGCAGGTGGCAGGCAGTATGGTATAGTGGAAAGATCTTTTGGGGTTGGAAAAGATTTTGTTTCATGTTCAAGAGTTCATGCTGGCCCCTTAAGTGCTATGGTTTTTAGGTAATTAACCCAATTTCTGTGAATCCCCATTTCCTCATCCAAATCTATATAACCTTGACAGGGCCAGTCTCTGCCATGGTGGATTCCTCTAGTGCTGGGTTTCTCAACTTTGGCATATTAACATTTGGGGCCGGCTAATCAATTGTGGGGGCTGTCCTGTGCCTTGTAGGATGTTTAACAGCATCCCTAGCTTCTACCCATCAAATGTCAGTAGCACCTCTCTACCCCAGTTGTGACAACCAACAATGTCCCTTGTCCTTCAGTTACAGGGAAAGTGACTTTGAACTTCAAAATAACACTCAAAGAGAAGGAAGTAAAATGGCCCTTTCTGAGTATCTTTAAGCAATCCGGCACTGTGCCAGGTGTCTTCACTCAGGCTTCACAACGATCTTCTCAGAAAGGCATTGTTGCATTGTTTCCCCCATTTTACAGGTGGGAAAATGGGGTGACGCTCTGACCAAGCTAAAATATATGTTAATTAGAACTTAGATCTAACTGTAAGGCCCATGTTCTCTCCGGTGGCGGAGCGATCAAAGTCGGCATGCACATAGCCAGGGATGAAAGTTGACTAGCACTGTGAAAATGCACTTGTATCGTCATTGAAAACTCCGTGGGAGGACTCAAAATCTCTTCCCTGAAATTAGCCATAAAATCCAACCATGTTAAGATTTGCTGTTTTTTCACCAGGCTGTATCCGGTTTTCTAAACCCATGTTTATATGAAACACTGAAGCTTTTCTTTACAAAATGCAGATTCTTAGTCCAGTGTTTTGTAAAGCCGATCGAGACCAGTATTTTTTTTTAAAAAAAGAAAAAATTTAATGAAACAAAATATCAATGCATCATAAGGAGTTAAGGTGAGGATTGGTGTTTTTGTTTTCTGTTTTTTTGAGACGGAGTCTTGCTCTTGTCGCCTGGGCTGGAGTGCAATAGCACGATCTCGTCTCACTGCAGTCTCCGCCTCCCAGGTTCAAGCGATTCTGCCCCAGCCTCCTGAGTAGCTGGGATCACAGGCATGCACCAGCACGTCTGGCTAATTTATGTATTTTTAGTAGAGACAGAGTTTCACCATGTGTCTACTAAAAGACGTATGAGGCCAGGCTGGTCTCAAACTCCTGACCTCAAGTGATCCGCCCGCCTTGGACTCCCAAAGTGCTGGGATTACAGGCATAAGCCACCACGCCCAGCCAAGGATTGTTTCTTGATGCTTTTATCTGTTTGGCATAAATTAGGTCCAGGCTTACTGAAGATCGTGTCCCAAAATGTTTGAGAGATACTGGCTTAGACAATTGCAATTGTTCATTAAAAAAAGAAACAAACAACAAAGCATACCTTTTCATTGAGCATTGGACTAGAAACTGACTTTTAACCCTGGTTGCATATTAGAATTTCTCAGGGGCTAATTGTACAAAATACTGACACATACTCTCAGAGATTGATGTAATTGGTCTGGGATGGGACCTGGGCATCAGGATTTTAAAAGCTTCCCAGGTGAGTCCAATGACAACCACAGGGCTGTTGACTGTATGTGGGGTGTCCTGTTTGATAACTGATGTCTCAGTGCTAAGAATTTGAAGTTTCCTTTTCAAAGCACTGATGATCTATTCTGTAGATAAACGGATGATAGACTCATCCATTTACATTTTTTCTGTAATTATCCTTTTCACATTGGCTATAGATGTTCAAGTATCACTTACATATACCCAACTTCCCTATACCTCTCCCGCTTCTCACAGGAGGAATTTTGGGATTGATGCAAAATGGCTTTCTGCACCTTTCTATAGGTTTTGTACATGTTTAACTGACTTCTGCATTAATCACTGAAGCTTTGAGTCCCACTGAGAATAAGCCTCTCTGTAGCCGAGTGAATGAAGGCAGCTGAGTATCTTGCTGTAGTTCACTGTTGGACTGGTGCTTTCAGGGGCTGCTTCCCTGCATCACCACCACCCCTCACCCCCCAACATCCTCTGCACAGACACGTACATCGTCCCCCGCGTGGACACATACACAATCCCAGGGGTTTCCTATCAATGTGTTCCTTTTTGCTTCTGGCTCTTATTATTAATAAAATACAGAAAAGCATGGAGAATTGGGAAACAACCCCTTCTTGCACTCAGTACTGGCCCAGCTGAGCAGGGAAGGAGTACTGGAAAGTGTAAGTGGTTGTTTGGCTTTTAAGTCAAACACTTGGGTTTACATTCTGGTTGCACTTTTCACAATCCATATGGCCTTGGCATTAACCTCTCCAGCTGGTTTCCTCTGTAAACTCAGTTTCTGCCTCCACAAGGTGGTTGTTGAAGATTAAAGGAATTTGTGCACATGATGTGTTGAGTGATCTTGGCACAGGGTGGACACCCAGGAAGTTCTACAAGTTATGTTGGCTGGGGAGGTGCTCCCTCGTCTACCTCTTCAGTGTTAGCTTTCTTCTCCGATATCAGCGTTCACTTTTTACTTCTCATTGCCACCGTTGCACACAAACACACTGATGTTTTATTTACCCCCTTCGTGGTTTCTGTGAAAGTGTGGCTTTTTAAGTAGACATTGCCAGGGAGTCAGAGCATGGCTTTCTTCCTGCTTGGTGAACCAGGAGGCTGCTGTGCGTTTAGCAGGAACCCAAGAGTCTTTATGATTGCTGAGGTGCCTGTGGCTCCTCTTGACTGCCCATGTCTGAGTGTTTGGGGGCGTTCAAAAGCCGAAGGGTGCCAAAAGTGTCTCTGGAGAATTGTGACTTTACAGTCCATAAGCAGAGGACAATATTTTCCCAGTCCCAGAGATGTAAACTATTGCCAGGGTGTGTAAGCTGTTTGGTTTCCTAATAAAATCTCTCAAGTCTTTTAATAATACCCCTTTCCCTTCTAACAATGACAAATACCAGACTAGCATTTAAAAAAAATGCTCCCATGATTTAGAAAAGTTGAAAGAATAGCACAGTGAACATGTGACCAGTTACTGTGACACTTCTCACCATGTGCCTTCTTGAGACAGGGACCTTCTCCTGAACCACAGGCCATCATCAAACCCAAGAAATCTCATTGACACAATAGTATTTCCAGGTCCAGTTGTCCATCAAAAATGTCCTTTACAACTGTATTTTTGGATCCAGGATACAAAGATTATATACTTTATTTGGTAACGATGATCAGCTCAACACTTTTAAAATGATGTAAATTTTGTTTGAGAATTTTGGAGATTTTATAGCTACTATACATAAGCATGTTATCCAAAGGATTACTTTGTTAGAGGAATTAGACAATGCTTCTTTGATAGTTGTTTTTAGGCATTACTTGTATCCACTTATGTCAAAAAGCATTATTAAATGTGGCCCATCAACCAAAAGGTTGCCATAAATTATATTGAATGTATTTGTTGACCTAACCTTAACAAACTACTGGAGTGTTCTAGTGATCAGAGTCATAACTGTTCCTCCATGATTGGGTGATACAAGTCCAGGAATAAACAGTTCCCACTGCTTCACAGCCACAAGAATAAAATCTAGAATAGCAGATATTGACTCTACAGTTGCTATGGCTTTCATGTGTTTATGGCACATATACTGTGTGTTCTGCACACAGGTGGGTTGATGTATTTTCCACACACAGCTGGTGTGTTCTGGTCACACTCCTCATGAGTGCCTGCCTGCCCATCTGGAATTCCTCCCTACAGGTGTTAGCCCTGGGCCTCGGAGAAGGGGCATCACCTTCACTGTACCAGTTAGGCCATTCAGTTGTAAAATGTCACAAACCCACCTAAAAGTACTTTGGTTCAAAGGGGATTTATAAGCAGAAGGATGGCAGGTAGTGAAAGCAAGCATTGACTAACCAGTCTGTGCATAACTCAGGGCAGCCGGGCTTTTGGAACACTGGGAATCCTCTCCACTATCCTTGCTGATAACTTGCTTCTAGGGGAGGTTGGGAAGCATAGCTGCAACAGCAGTCCCCAGCAGACACCACTAACACACCTCCCAGGGGCAAGAAGTCCCAGGGGGAAATTTCCATCCCTCCCAGGGACGAAACTGTGCCCAGAGTGAGCTCTGCAAGAACATGACTGCTGCCATTCTAACCATGAGTAGGTAGAGGGAAGAATATTTATCAAAGCAAGTGGGATGCTGCTTCCAGGAGAATGGAGGATGCTGGGCAGACCCAGCTGCACATCTGCCCGGCACGTAACCTAGTTTTTCCCGTTCTCCCCTGCATCCCAGGGCATGTGCATTCTCCCAACATGGCACAGAGGAGACTGGCCAGGAAATGTTTCTTCAGTGCTGAGTCCATAGGCATTAGGACCTCATGTGTAAGCAGCAGACCCTGAGGTTGCACAAAGTGAGGGTGGCCCAAGATGCTGAGAACCTCCCAGCTCCCAAGGAGGGAAGCAGGGACTCGTTACTCCTTTCCCACCACTGGGAATCATGCCTAGTAACCTGAGCAATTCACCAAGCCGTTGCTCTGAGCAGGGCTCTTTGGCCCTCACAGTTTGCCCAGAAAGCTCATCCTCCAACCCCCAGGCGCTGATGTCCTCATCTGTGTTGTGCATGGCGCCTCCTGCCCTGCTATTGTGTGGCTCTGAATCGGGGAGAGGGAGTGGGGAGTCCAGGCTGACTCCCAGGTCTCTCTGACTTTAGTCTCTCTTTTCAAGGTGAAAAACGGTGCCCTTCCTTGAAGGAGAACACGCAGAGAGAGAGCCAGAGAAGAAGGTGAGGGAGAGCCAGGTTTACCGTGACACATGTTGAATTTGAGGTGTGTGCAGAGCCAACAGCCAGCCAGTGAGCAGAGTCTCCCGGGTGTGGAACTCGGTAGAAAGCAGAGCTGAAATACAGACTGCAGTCGTAGTGGACAGCCGGGCTCTCGGTGCAGACACACAAGCCAGCTGTGCACGCAGTCCAAGTGAAGGATTTTTGTCCTGTGTGTGCCCCCCATGCACCTGAGTCATACGCACCCTCCTCTACTGAGCTTTTAGCCTCATCTACACATGTGAGAGGGAAGAGGCTCAGTTCTATTCATTTTTTAATAGCCCAAGTGCCTAGCACAGGGTTTGCATTTAGTAGATGCTCAGTCAGGATTTGTCAAAGAATTGAGGTTCAAAACAGAAACCCTCAGGAGGCCTATGTTAAGAATCAGGGCAGAAGAAAGGCATCTGAGGAAACAGTGGTGGGAGAGCTGGAAGGAAACAGGTGGTAGAGGTCACAGAAGCCAAGGGAGAAAAAGGAGGAAGGGATGGAGAGGGACGAGTGCTACAAAGTGGCCAAAGGAGATGAAGACCAGAATGTGCACTAGACTGAAGCACAGAGTTAACTGGCGTTTTCTGAGAGCAGTTGCAGCTGAATGAGTGTGAGGAAGCAAAGGACATTGCATTTGGAGAATGCTCTCCCATGTGTAAAATTAGAAAATTGAGTGGGAAACTGGAACAATAAATGCATTCCACAAGAGTCTGGGGTGGAGTTTGGGTGATGAATGCTGTGGTGTCAGAGGAAGATGGTTCTCTCCTTGTTCAACTTATCATGGTCTTCATATGCTTGTCTTTGGTCCCACTGAATCAACAGGGTCTGGAAGTCAGAGGCACCTGTTTCAGCCACCATCGAAATGGAAAGAACCCACAGGGTGTCCTGGATTCTCCCTTCTGTCCATCTGGCCTCACCCAGTGCTAGCCCATTCCCCTCTGCCCATTTCCTACTTGGGACCTGGATTAGTCTGTTCTTATGCTGCCAATAAAGACATACCCGAGACTGGGTAATTTATAAATAAAAAGAGGTGTAATGGACTCACAGTTCCACATGGCTGGGGAGCCCTCACAATTATGGTGGAAGGCAAAGGAGGAGCAGAGGCATGTCTTACAGGGTGGAAGACAAGAGAGAGCTTGTGCAGGGGAACTCCCATTTATAAAACCATCAGATTTCATGAGACGTATTCACTATCATGAGAACAGCATGGGAAAGATCTGACCCCATGATTCAATTATCTCCCACTGGCTCCCTCCCATGACATGCGGGAATTATGGGAGCTACAATTCAAGATGAGATTTGGGTGGAGACACAGCCAAACCATATCAGGAACCTCTTGGAGATATCAACTGCAGCCACTCACTCAGTCTCTCCCCCTTCCCATGCTCCTCAGAGTTTTAGCCAATAATGAACTATAAAACCATTCCTCACAGAAGTTAAAAAATTGCCTGACACAAAGACTTTTTGAGATAATAGGCTTGGAAATAGGAGTCTACGTTGGCCCAATGTAGACTGCCATCCATGGCAGACTCTTTGTTTCATGGCGGTGGGGACTGGAGGGCACACACTGGTCTGGGGGCTCCCCCTGGCCCATGAAAGCAGGTCTGCAGGCCAGGGGCTCTAAGGTCATTGAGACCTACCCAGGAGTGACATGTGCAGAGCTCAGATTTCTAACATAGTGCATCTTTCCTACATAAGCTCATAAATCTCTTGCTTTTAGGAAGAGAGGTGGGGGCATCACAGCTAGTTTTGGCAACCAAGGAAGAGCAGTCCTCAGTCTGAAACTATCCTCTGTGGTTGTTGGGGAGGTCCTGCACTGGTTGAAAAGTGTCCCTAAAAATGGTGATTAGCCCTTCCTCAGAGGTGGTAGAGATGTTGGGGCAGGACCATGGCTTCAAGGAGGAAGGGGTTACTCCCAAGGGACACCATGTACCCCCAAATCCTATATCCCTGGCCATGGCAGCCCTGCTCAAACCCACCCAACCTCCCACCCTCAGGTGTACATACATGTGCATATGCTCTCTCTCTAACACATACACACTGCATCACACATACCCCATGCATATGCATGCACACACACACACACACACACACAGGCACACTGCACCACACATACCCCTCAACCCCACCCTCCACCAGCCTTCACCTGTCCATCTTCCTGCTGCTCAGGCCTCTCCCTCCCTAGGAATCCCTGGCCAGACCTCCTGACAATGTTCCAGTTGGTCCCCAACCCCTCTATGGAGATCTCTTTGTGTCTCTCCTATTGTATTTAAATCATTACTTTATAATGTGTTTGTAACTCTCTCTGCTGCTAGACTGTGTGTTCCTGGAGACAAGAATAGGTTCTTAGTCCTATTTGTGTCCCCAGAGCTTAGCACAGAGCCTGAAACATAAGTGAAATGTGAACTAAATGAGCAAATGAAATAATTGATGGATAAGCACTGGCCAGATTCCATATTCCAAAGAAAACTGTGCTCCATTCCAGAAGTCTTAGTGTCATCTTTCTAGGGCTGCCATAACTAATGACCACAGACTGAGTGGCTTGAAACAACCCACATTTATTCTCTCTCAATTCTGGAGGCCAGAAGTCTGAAGCCAAGGTGTCAGCAGGACCGTGCTCCTTCGAGGGGTCTAGAGGAGAATCCGTCCTTGCCTCTTCTAGCTTCTGGTGCTGCCCTGCATTGCATGGCTTGTGGCCACATCCCTTTATTTCTTCTTTCCATTACTTTTCCACATGTATTTCTTTTACGTCCTTTTGCCTCTCTCTTGTAAGGACACTTATGACATTTAGGGCTCGCCCAGGAAATCCAGGGTAATCTCCCCATCCCAAATCCTAAATCACAGCTGCAAAACCCCTTTCCAAATGAGGTCATATTCATGGGTTCCAGGGACTAGAACTTGGATCTTTGGGTGGCCGTTACTCAGCACGCTATGGAATTCCCAAATGGATGAGAAAAAACATTGCCTAAATCTTTCTTGCAAAGTTTTCCCATGTTTCACCAGAGAGGAATCTCCTGGACAAGATGTGCTTGCTTTGTCATTGTCCAGGAACATCCAACCAGCGATTAAATTTGTAAGCCTTCAATCATACCTCTGTTGATAATAAAGGTGCACAAAAATGACACCTTTGCATGAGAATCTCCACCAAGGGCAGAAATGAAAAGGGAGACAGGAGGGTGTGCTTCAAGATGAGAGGCAGGGGAAGGTACAATATGTCATACCAGCCAAGTTATTTCAGACTAGCATCTAAGCCACAAAATAGAGTCTTTGGGATCTTGGGACTGATGGCAAGGGGAAGGCAGGCCCAGACTTAACCTTAGCTCCTGAAAGGAGGGGGTGGGATGAGGAACAGGAGGTGGAAGAGAGTCTGAGCGAGGGGGAGTAGTCACGGTTAAGATGAGACAGACTGGCCTCCAGGGTTGAGAAGAATGATCCTATCCCCTGTGCTGATAACAGAAGGACCTGACCAAGCTTCTAGGAGCTGTAGCCAGGCTCCTCTGAGCACTGGAGCCAAGTAGTGATACATCTGACTTTTTCCTGACCCAGCTCCTCTTTCTGCCCCCTTCCCACTCCCTCCTGCCTGGATTTGAATTCTGAGTTTTCTCTTTCCCAAGCTCCAGAGGGGTAGAGGAGACCAGGTCCCAGCTCTGCCATGTTTGCTGATGGGTCTGGACATCTTTCTTTCTCCCCTTTATTTCCTCAGCTGTTAGTAGGGGGTGAGGAGCATGGTCCCTCCTTGATGGTCCCCTACCTTCTACCAAAGCATCCTAGAAAAGCAAACAAACATTTGCTTGAGAGTTGGACAAGTGGTGCTACTTTGAGTTGTCCTAGACAGGAGGAGAGAAGGCAGCTCCATTCCTCGAGTACAACTGATTAGAGACCAGGATCCTGACTAGACTTCATTTACCAGTGGGTGGGGTCACTCATACCAGGGTCTTCAGCCTCTTGTAGATTTGGGTGAAGAGGAGGGAAAGACCCTGCCCAGGCTCTGAGCCCAAGATAACCTCCAGCTTTAGGGGACTACCAGGTGTCCCAGCTCACAATAAAATGGTGCCTTGGCTCCATTTTCCATTGTTCCTCGTTGCATGTCTTCCTCTGGGATCTCACCAGGAGAAGGGGTTAATGGTAGGGCATATTCAGACTCTCCTGGGACCCCTGCTCCAATGCCAGCCATCAGCATGCTGAATCCCATCTGGTCCCCTCTTCTGACGACATCCCATTCCCATCCTCCCTGCCTGCTGGCTGACAAGCCTCATGCTTTTCTTTATGGAAAGTGAAAGATGACAGATCCAGGAAGCCAGAAACATCGGTCCCAGGCTTGCTAGCAAACTGAAACAGCTTACCTCTCTGTGCCTCAGTTTCCTCATATGTTCACCAGTAGTCATCACATTTGCTCAGCCAGGTTCTGGGCTTCCTGGAGGTGAGAACTGGGAAAAGGAGACTCCTTTGAGCTCCAGTTTCTCATCTGCAAATTCTGAGGAACAGCATTTGTCTCACAGGATTGTTGGGAGGGAGAATTGAAAGATGAGATGTGGAAGCTCTTCAGCAATGTCAAAGCAAAATAAGTTGACGATTAGATAGAAAACAATGTATAAGAGGCTGAATGGAGGAGTGCCTTAATGCAGATGAGTTGCAGTTCAGACAGCATTTCTCAAAGGATATTGCTTGGAACACTCATCCCACAAAACACAGCTTGAATAAGGGGCTCCTTGTAAGTTTGGGAAACTGTTCCTTTCCTGGGGATTTACCAGGCACTTGAAAACATTAAGAGCTCAGAAAAGTACTGAGGTTAACAGACCCATTGAACTGTCTTTAATCCAGCATTTCCCAAACTCATTTCTTCAGGGAACCACTCCCCTGCCTGACATGCCCCCACTTTAATGCAGGGAACCGAGAGTAATCGTTACACTTGTCCCTGCCCCTGCTGTGATGGACGCGAGGGAGATGGGAAAGCAGGATGCTGGCTGCAGAGGCAGGAGGGAGTGAGAAGGGGGCAGAAAGAGGAGCTGGGTCAGGAAGAAGTCAGATGTGTCACTTCTCGGTTCCATTTCCTCCCATCCAGGTCAGACCAATTGGAAGCTGCACCTGGAGGTATCTGGAACCCTGCTTGGCATGATTTATAGAGGTGGGTTTTGTTTTGAACACTGCTGGCTTCATATAATGGCATTATTTCCTCGAGGGATTAGTTAATGGAGGGAACATTGCTCTCAGAGAAACAGCATCAACGCAGATCTCTCAACTTAAAATAGTACTGAGTAGACAGGCCATGACCCCGAGATTGAACTCGAAATGCTGCGGTCCAAAATCAAGGATGAAAAAGGAACACTTCGTTGAGCAGCGAGAGAAATCCACCATTGAAAGGTTTATAAAAAGCAGCTTGGAAAAAGGGGTCTGGACTACTGAGACTGATTGTTTAGGAGGCTCAAAGGCTCAGCAACAGAGGGGGAAAAACTGGGGGAGGAGCTGAAATGCCCCCCACTAACAGCTGAGGAAATAAAGACTCAGGGGAGAAAGAAAGATGCCCAGACCCATCAGCAAGCATGGCAGAGCTGGGACCTGGTCTCCTCTATGCCTCTAGAGCTTGGGAAAGAGAAAACTCAGAATTCAAATCCAGATCAGGAAGGAGAAAGGAAGGTAGGAGGGAAGGGAGAAGGCAAAGGAGGAAAGAAGGGAAGGAGGAAGAAAAGAAGGGAGGAGGGAAGGAAGTAAGGAAGGAAGGAAGGAAAGGAGGGAAGGAAGGAAGAAAAGGAGGGAGAGGAAAAGAGAGAGAGAAAAAAGAAGTCAGGCAGGAAGGCAGACAGGCATAGTCTGATAGTCTCGTGGCAATGGCAACCAACTGTCTAGCCTCAGGAGATGCATGAGACACGCACATATTGTCTGTGCCCCAGAATCCTCCTCCTCTCCCAGTAATGGCTGGGCTTCCTCATCCCTGGGGCTCCATCGGGCAACCATTTTTTGAGGGACCAGCCCACAGCCCTCAGTTGGCTGGGTCAAAGTGAGCACTGACCAGAGATATGCCAGCAAGCTTCAATTTGGGACTTGGAACCCAAGAGAAGTCAAAAATCAGTCTCTCTGTGGAGCAAAAGCTGCCAGTGAAACCTGGCAGCTGCTGTGGCCATGCTTCCTGAAGTGTGGGGAGACCTGGTCTACAGAGAGAGAGGTTGCATGAGAGAGCACCACACAGGGGCACGAGATGGAAAGACCGTCCTGATGAGGTTTTCACGTCCCTGGTGATGGTTTTTCCCATGGTCCTAGGAGAAAGTTGAGAAACTCTTAGGTCAACATTTAGCAGATGCTGAATGTTCTGTCTTCCTACACTGTCAGCTCCCTGAGGCCCCAGATGGCCAGTGTGGATGTCGAATTCTCGGGGTCCTCATAGTTCCATGGCAATTGCAGCAATGCAGGGAGAGCCAGCCCCTGGCTCTCAGCCTCTTACTTTCCTCCTTCTCCCTCCACCCCAGCTTCTTTCTGCACTGTGGAGGCTTTAATGTGCATATGCATGAATACCCCCACCCCAGCTAACATGTCCAGTATAAGTCCGCACCCCAACAAACCCTGGCCCCTTAACCACTTCTCTGGGCCTGGGACTGTGTGGCCCTTCTTGGGACTGATGGATGTGGGAGGAGGCCGTGCAGGTTCTGAACATGGACTTGGGGTGGTCTGGGCATGGGATTTCCCGGTTCCACGACCTGGAGAAGGAGGTGTGGTTAGGTAGGCGCATGGCCAGGACAGGGGTCCCCTTGCCCTGCTCCAGGAGGGGTACAGGTCATGGGTGGACCTGAGAGTGGGGAGCGGGTACTGGCAAGTGTTGGACTGGAGGAGGGCCCAAGAGATTGCCTAGCTTTGCAGTTAGGGGCTCTCTGCCCCTTGCGGTCTCCATTTGCAAAGTGATGGCTTTGAATTATAGGTGGAGGTTGACAGCTCAATGTTTGGGAACAAACAAAGGTTTGGATTGTGAATTTTTTTGTTTGTGTGACTTTGGGCAAAACCTTCATCTCTCTGAGGACCAGCTTTCTCATCTGTAAAACTGGATGTTCCCTTTCTAGGCTGCGGTGAGGATTCCACAATGTTGGTGAAGAGATCAGCACACTGTGTGCTTGGGAACTGGCAGCCACACTATTATTCTTTCTGAGGTTGCTCACTTACAGCTTTAAAGTGGCTGCTCTGGGGCCATCCTTGGGAAGAAGAGGGCAACTGGCCTCCTAATTTTATTCCCAGAGCCGATTTCCTTCAACTCTGGAGTCTGGTAGTTAAGAGCGCGGGCTCTAGATTCTCCTGGGTCATTTCATTGTTAACCATTGGTGAGTCACTTAACTTCTGGGAGCCTCAGTTTCCTGGTTGGTAAAATGAGATGATAACAGTATCTATTCCCAAAGATGTTATTAGGAATAAATGCAAATACATCTAAGCTCTGAAGCAAGGCCTGCCTGGCACAAAGTTAATGTTTAAATCTGCCAGTGTTTTTCACCAACAGCCTCATGGTTCTCTCCCACTGTCCTCAGCCCACCTATAGGCAGATGCTGTAGGTGGCATTTCGATCTGTGGCAGAGCTGCTTGGGGAGCCATCGGCTCAGCTCATCAGCCCTGTGCTCTTTGCTCAATGAAACGGCCTCCAAGGAAGAAAAACCTCAAATCTGATTTGTTCACTTAAATTCAAGCTCTAATTGTTTTGGGAAGAAGCCCACGGTGGCTGAAATCATTCCTTGTTTTGCTCTTCTTTGCTCCTGTCTGGCAAAGCTTAATCTCAGTCAGACCTTTTGATTGCACAGGGAAAAATTTGCCAAGAAAAGAAAATAGCAGCTGGGTCTCTTTAGAACTCAGACAAGGAAATTGCTTTATGATCAGGACTCCTTCTGGGCAGCTTCACTTCCTTCTTCTTCCTGTGTAAGAAAATTTAAATTAAACAAGTCTGAGCCAGTAACAGACAAATCTGGCTTCTCCCTGAGACCTGACACGCAGGCGACCTCGTGGCCCTGGAAGGTCTGGTGAATGCTGGGCCACCCCTGGCACAGGTGCTCTCCAGGAGGGCTTGCTCTGCCCCAGCAGCAGCCTGGTGGGAAATAACCAGGTAAGTACAGGGTGCAGATTCCTTGGGCACCTGAGGGCCCCCTGCTTCCCCTGCTTAAAGCAAAGACCCCAGGTAGAGCATGGTCATTGCACATTTTCCATCAGCAAAAACATATTTCCGTCAATCCCTTCTACTTGATCCTATGTTGCCCACTCTTTCCTACCTCCTGGATGTGTCTAAACCCCTCGGAAAGCCATCTGCTTCCACTCCTCAAACCCTTTCCCTTCATCATCTTGTCCTTGCCGCTGCCACCCCCAGCTCTGTGCCAACCACATTGAACTACTAGAAATTTCCAGATCCAGAACATCCCCTCTCTCTTGCCTAGTGGCCTTGCCTCAGGCTCTTCTCTGTCTCTCTTTGATTGTGGAAAAATGGCTGGGTGTGGTGGTTCATGCCTGTAATCCCAGCACTTTGGGAGGCCAAGGTGGGCAAATCACAAGGTCAAGAGTTCCAGACCAGCCTGGCCAACATGGTGAAACCCTGTCCCTACTAAAAATACAAAAAATTAGCTGGGCATGGTGGCAGGTGCCTATAATTCCAGCTACTCAGAAGGCTGAGGCAGGAGAATTGCTTGAACCCAGGAGGTGGAAGTTGCAGTGAGCCAAGATCACAATACTGTGCTCCAGCCCAGGTGATAGTGCAAGACTCTGTCTCAAAAAAAAAAAAAAAAGTGGTGAAACACACATAACATAAATTTACCATCTTAACCACTGTTAAGTGCACAATTCCACAGCATTAAGTACATTCACATTGTTGTGCAACCACCACCACCATCCATCTCCAGAGTGCTTTTCATCTTGCAAAACTGAAACTCTACACCCATGAAACAACAATTCCCCATTTCCTTCTCCCCAGCCCCTGGCAACCACCATTCTACTTTCTGTCTCTATGAATTGGAAGACACCAGGTGCCTCCTGCGAGTGGAATCAGTATTTGTCTTTCTGTGACTGGCTCATTTCATTAGCATAAGGTCCTCAAGGTTCATCCGCATGGTAGCAGCTCTTCCTTCTCTTAAGGCTTCCTTTCAGATGGCCACATCCTACTCATCTTTCAGGTCTCAGCATAAGTTCTCTCCCTCTGGGAAGGCACCCTGCTGACCTCCCAAGTGAGCACCCCCACCATGCTTTGCATTCCGATCCTGTCAGGGGACAGCCAGGGATGTGTGAGCTCCTTCAGGACACAGACTCCTTTCCATCCGTGGTTGTATCACTGCACAGCGCCTGGCACTGAGTGGTGGCCGCCAAATATCGCACAGGGAAATGTTGAACAACCTTTCCTTGAAAATATTCATGAAGAATTTTCAACAAAAACCTTGAGACCAGATCTGAATGCTCTTGATCTACCGAGGGTACCAGGTATCAACCACCCTTTCCTGGAGCATATTTGGTCTCTGTGGCACTGTTTTCTGCCTGTTCTCTGGTTCCTCTCGCCTGACCTACAATCTCTGCTCAATCCGTCCCTCCTTCTCTTTGAGCACTCGAGGTGGCTGCACCCACTTTTCTCCACACACATCCCCTTGGGTCATCCTGGCCCCACCTCTCTGGAGATGATTTCCAGTCGCCTCTCCATGCCTCACTTCATCCTGCACAGCCTGGGAAGCACCTCACTCCGGCCATCTCTCTCCTTCTTTCTGTGTAAGCTGACCCAGCCTCTGCGAGTCTGTTCGTTAACACCAGCACCATCATTTGGCTTGCAGTTTGCAAGGACATGCTTGATTCCACAGCAATGTGCCGATTGTCCATATCTTCAAAGTGTTCGGAGCATTTGTAAGCAACACCCCTTCCGTTGTATGCTCCTATAATAGCCCTTCTCCAAGGCCTTATCACGGTGGGGTGGCAGAAAGAGAAGTGGGATCCTATTCCTGCCTTGCCACATATTGGTGTTTTAAGTTTGGCAAATTACAAGTCCTCCCTAAGCCTCAGTTTCTTCATCTGTAAAGTGGAGATAACAAATAGAACATCTCCAGGGACGTTGTGAGAACTAACAATGGAATTTAGTGATTTCCTACCTAAATGGGTGAGATATCCCTGGGTGGAAGATCATCAACATGTTGTTGATATTGAATAAGGTGTGTGCTATTTGAGAAATTGGGCCACACTAAGACAATGTACGTGAGGTATCTTGTAGAACTAACATGCGTGGGCTGACCACAGGGCCATCACCTTCCTCCCTCCTGGGTTCTCTCTCTCTGTCCTTGGTCCCGCAGCCAAGCTGCCCAGGGAAAGTGTTGATTTTATTTCTAGGGAATCCATTGCTCAAAGGATCGCTGCAGCAGACACTGTCTTAGGTGAGTTGATGGATTAGCTGGCTCTCTGTCAACACCCTGCCAAATGCCCACAGCCCTCTGAACACTAATGCCTGGAAGGTGGTGAAAGTGGCCGGTATACTTCTGCTCCAGCAGGTGAGGGATTGAGTTGTGTGCTTAGAACAAGGTTTGTTCTCAAACCTGTTTGTGCCCGTCATGCATTTCATTGTGCTGATAAATTTATTTAAATAAAATGAAAATTCATGAAATTCATAAAAAAAACTTTGTGAAAGTTAAGGTGAAGACTTTGAAAAGACTAGCTGAAGGGTGATACTGAATTGAGGATATGTGAAACCACTGTTAAAGTGTCGGAGAAATTATAAAAATCTGCAAAGATATTGCACTCATATTGCTTTGCAAATATCATTAAATTCTTACTCTACTTTTACAAAGTGGAAATTGAAAATCATATATAATGCATTATGGAAGACCATGCTGAACTCATCTCTCAGTTGAAGAAACAGCCTTGGCTCTACATCAAAAGATTGGCAAATGAATGTACATCTTAACGTTGCAAATTGAAATAAAATGTTTACGGGATGTATGCATCATTTTTTAATGGTTCCTTGACTTAAAAGATATACAGTCATGCATCTCCATTCTGAGAAATGCATTGTTAGGGGGTTTTATCATTTTGCAAATGTCATAGGGATTGTGACCCAAGAAGGCCAGTGTGGGACACAGGGAACAAAATAACCCACAGAGCTAGAGAGAGGCACTAATTTGCCCTGCTTCCCTGTAAAGCCCACCACATCACAGCACAGGGAGACCAGGCAGGCGCACAGGGTCTCTGTGGTACCCCGGGTTTCCATAGCTTTGGGAGCCTCAGGGCCCCTCTCCACCTCATGCTCTCAGGAGGCCAGAGTGGCTGCACAGGAGTCCTAAGGAGGAAGAGTGAGGCAGTCGTACTTTAAGTGGCACTGGGGGAAGGAACATCAGCCACGCAGCTTGGGGTGAAGAACTGAAGGGGGCCTTGATGGTGAAACTGGGGGAGTCTTAGAGTGCCCTGAATCCTGCAGAAGGACATTTGACGTGTGAGATTTGAGCTGTGACCTCAGTTATACTAACAGGATGGGGTGGTGGGGTTGGCTAAGGGACAGTGACTCTTGCAGACGACAGGGCAGCCTGAGATGCCTCTGCCAAGAAAGGCTGCATTATTTCAGGAGGGCCCCCTCTTTGACTTGGGTGATTCTTTCAGACTAACTCCTATTGCAAAATGCATTCTGTTTCTTTATGCCTTCTTTCATCTCAGCTTCAAGGATGGAATCTTCTGGAGAGAGAATGTTATCAGTCTTTTCAGGCTGGAAGAAGGAACAGATATGGGAGCAGGAACCCACAATCACATTACATTGGTAATGAGGAACAAGGGCCACCTGTCAGTTACATGAATTTTCTGCTTTGGAACAAGATGCAGGCTGACTGAACCCATTAGATAACAAGAGCCTTTTCCCCTGAGCTTTGACTTGATTTTCAAACTACCAGCTCATATGTGATATCTTCCAGGTGAATGATTTTCTGCATCCAGTCAACTTATTTTTATTGTGGTCGTGATTGATCTCTGGCATCCTGGAAGAATAGCTACTGAGATCCAGAATCCAATCAACACATTGCTTTTTCAAAACAGACATTCAGAGAAACCTGACATTTTTAGGGCTGGAAAGAAACTTAGAGATCATCTAATCCCACTCCTCATTCGATACCTAACTCAGTGGGCATGACTGCTAGAGGAGGGCACAAGCTAATTTGGGTGAACTTAAAAGTGGAACCCAGGAAACCCTAACTCATGAAGAGTGCTACAAACATTTTATTCTGTAACTTTACAATTTGGATCCCCATTGACTGGCCCAGATACACTATAGAAGGGCTTAGGTTCTTTTTTTTCTGTGTATTTTTCTTGGAAATAATTTACAGACAGTTCCTCAGGTATCCATAGTCCAACTGGACAGAATCATAAACAAAATCACCCTATGGTTTTCTTACACAAGATCAAAGTCATGTGCAAAGCCTTTGCTTATCCTATCGTGTGCTTGGGGAGCAAGCATCATGTAACTATTCTGAGTTTCTTGAACTGGGTATCCTTTCTCCCCAATTCCTCCTCCCTCCCTCCTCCCTCTCCCTCTGCCCCTCCGCCCTTCTTTCCCTCCTCTTCCTCCCAGCTTACCCCCTTTCCTCCCTAATCCTGAACTTTGAACTTGCAGGCAGGTTTCTCCTTACATCTGCTGTAGCTCACAGTCAACCTACCAGGGTTTTTGTCCACATCAGCACCCCCACCACGCCCTTTTGTTCTTTACTTTCCCCTCTTCCCACCTCTCCCTGTACTTTTGTTTTCTAAGTTGTGGGTCTATCAAAATTGTTTTCTCCATATCAAATGCACACTGAAATTACTATATTTCTAAATCACCCCATGTGTCATGCCAACACATTCAGAGTCTTCTGGGAGCAACCAGAGCACCCCTTGATAACCTTGGGAACACGCCTGGGAACAACATCATAGAGATGCGGCTTTTGACAAGACAGAAGCTTTTCCTGGTCTATTCTTGGCCTGTCTCTTTGTTTTTTATTTTGAACATGCTTGGAGCTCTACGGAGTCAGTGACTAGGTTATACCGTGTAATCAGTATTCCAGGAGGCTCCCAAGGAAAAACCTATGACACATGATTTTGCTGGCAGAGCAGGTGTTCTGCCTTTAGTTGTGACATAGCTGGTGAGCAATAGCTCATGAAATGACCTTCTTTTCAATTTATTAAAGGGAAGGCATTTCTTGGAAATCCATATATTTCACAGAATTCTAAATCAAGACTGCATTGACCAGGGCCCTCTCAAAATCTCTTGCTTCGACTGACTTTCATAGAATTGGTCATTAAACTGATCATTTCTGCCTTTCACTGGTTAGAAAGCCCTGCTTTTAAATGCATCTCATAACAGTGAGGTGTATGCTGCAATTGAATGTTTGCAGTCTGGCTTTCTCAGATGTGACAGTGGGTTGTGTATGGTGCTGTGTCTCCTTGTGTTCTGAGGTCAGGGGCAACAGCCTTTTTGTTGGTCAAAAGGAGGACAAAGCTGGAAGGTCAACTCCAACCCTCCCACAGGTGGGCCAACAAGTCCTCCTGGTCCCAGTCAGTAGCATGAATCTTGGGATGGAAGGAACGTACTTTCATTCCTGTATTAACTTGCTTCTCCAGATCATGTCTTGACTCAAGCTGTGCTTTGTATTCTATGCTGATCTGCCTGCAAGCTACAAAGTAAACACAGGTGTGACGGATGTGCCAGCACCAACCTCAGCACGAGCTTTTTGCTCTATCACATTCTCCTGCTCCTCCTTTCCCCTGTGCCCAGCAGAAACATCTCTCTTCCAGGGTGAGCTGGCATGCTCTGGGGATCTGTCAAAACTTCATAGGGGACTCTCAGGTGGCTCTAGGAGGCAGGAGTGAAAATATCCCAGGGGCTGCTCTGCCCAAAGGTCCCTAGAAGGATAGAGATAAGTGAATAAATTCTATGCATACGATCAGAGCAAAGCTTATTGCTAAGACTGCTAGGTCTTTTTAATCCTTGCTAGGTCATCTTAAGCAAATTAAGTGCTGCCTCTGTATTTCCATAAGAAACAATTCCAGGGCAATTGGCCTTGGACACTGAGGCCTAGAATGTCTCCTACGAAACACATCACAGGAGTGCATAGGCTACTCAGAAATATAATAAGAACTTGCAAGATAAATTCAAAATAGTCCTAGCACCTGCTTTAAGGAACATAAGCTAGGGGACAAGAAAACCCTACTGGAACAAGAACAGAGTCCCTCTGGGCAGCAAGTCAGGCTAAGCTGGTCTCTACATCCCACACACACCAGGCCTCTTCCCTCTAACCCCCTTGTCCTGAACTGTTCCTACCAAGAGATGACTCTCATGATAACCCAGCTTCTTACCAAAGTTACTGCCTTCAGTTAAGCTGACTTCTATAAGTACAAATGTCTTTGATTTTACTAAACTTTGTGAAAGTAAGGTAACTTTATGCAATAGACCGCATCGTGTTTCCCATTCCCCTACCCCCAATTCATATGTTGAAGCCCTAATCCCCAGTGTGACAGTATTTGGAGATAGGGACTTGAGGGAGGTAATTACGGTTAGATGAGATTGTGAGGGTGGGGCCCCGATCCTATAGGATTATCATCCTAAATAAAAGAGATGTGAGAGAGCTCACTGTCTGTCCACCATGGGAGGGCATGGCCAGAAGGCAGCCGTCTGCAAGCCAGGAAGAGAGCCCTCACCAGACCCTAACCATGCTGGGACCCTCATCTCAGACTTCCAGTCTCCAGAGCTAAGAGAAAATGTCTGTCTGTCTCTTAAGCCATTTAGTTTGTGGTATTTTGTTATGGCAGCCTGAGCAGACTAATTCATTTTACCTCAGAGCATTCATAAATCAATGGAGGCTACATCTTTGGCCCAGGACTGAGACTAGGAGGAGGCCAGGTGGATGTCTCCTAGGAGGAGGGACAGGTGTATGCCTCGTCCCTCCTCCACAGGCACACAGTGCAGTCAAGGGAGGATGACAGCAGAAACTTTTCTTCTATCAGCTCCAAACTAATGATAAAAGGGGAGGATAAATTCTCCAAGGCTGCTACCTCATTAAAGGGACATCAGATCAATATGTCAGTGCTCCTTTAACTAAGGTTGGGATATGGATGCCAGGTTTATCTCCTGAATGCTTCTTGATACCTTTCTTTCCCCACTTCCTACCACACCATGCTCCCTCCAAATTCCCCAACTCCATCCTCAGACGTCAGATGAGATCTTTTAGAAACCACCTTCTAGATGACGGATCTGGCAGGAAGATCAAGAGGTTGAAAAGAACCATCCAGCAAGAGTTCAGATCTCGCCCTTGGCACTGACTCCTTTCAACCCCAGTGAAGAAAAATCTTAAACTTACTAAGCTTATAAACTTGCACTACAACACCAGGTCAACTCATGGAAAACAATCATTCATTTTTTTAAAAAAGAAGGCTTCCAATCTCTTCCTTTAGTTCTGTGCATGCAATGTGTGTCTTGTTTTCATCAACGGCAGAATTGAAATGTTGCTTTCCTCTTTTGACTAATTCAGAGGGCTTCTGAGATGACTGATTGATTTGATCAAAATTGGGAAAATGATTTTAACTCTTTTACAAATTCTTGAACTTGAAAAGAATGGTACTCATGATGTCACCATGCTGACATGTGCCCTTCAGAATGTCACATCTAAATTAAAAGAAAGAACATATCTAAATATGATGGGAGAGTTAACGCACCATGATGCTAGCTGCTGTGTAACCATTCCTGCAGGACGGGGTCAGATCGGGATGTGCATCCAGCAGGGAGAGAGGTACTGGTGTGGCAAATTATTGGTTGCTAATTTGGTAAGTGTTCATTAAGCATCTGCCATGTGTTAAGACTTTATGCCAGGTCCAAAGACCTATGAAATGAGACCTGTGCAAAGTGAACATATTATGTTTTTTTTCAGTGCTTATAGGTTGGTAAGCACGCAGAAGTTTCCAAGTAATCAAAAATCATTTTTAAAATAGCCAAGTGAAAGCTACTCTTCAGTTCTTGGAATAAAAACAAACACAAGCCACACCACTCTTACTTCCAAATTCTGATTTCTCTCACGGTAGCATTTAAACTTCTCCTGTGGTGAAACAGAAACAGGTAAATAAAGAGAAGTATGTGAATTGGCTCTAAATTGGCTTTCAAGAAATGTATTTAATGGAACATTACATAGCCATTTAAAAATGATTATTTTAAATATGATTATTTGCAAAGTTGTTCAAATGTGATTATTTGCAAAGTTGTTCAAGAGAGACAAAGAAAAAAACTGAGTTCTGAAAATTAGGTATTGTGTTGTGTGTGTGTGTGTGTGTGTATGTGTCCCTGTATACACATGTATATAGATACATATGCATGCAAACCTTCTGGAAGGAAATTTAAATTCATTAACCGTCTTACCAGGAGGCAGATATGGGGGGTTAAGGTCGTAGGGGAGGTCAGAAAAACAACTACTGTTTTTCATTTTTTATTCTTTTGTACTCTTTGAGTTTTTTCTAAACATGAGAACTTTTATAATTGTATAAAAGTTTTTAAATTTTTAAACCTATTTTTGTTACCACCAAAGCAATATGTACACAGAAAAATTAGAAAAGACATATTTCCAAAAAGAAAATTAAAAATCCCCATAACCTCATCTACAAAAACAATGACATATCTAAAACTCGAGTGTGTATTTTTTTCACTTTTGATCTTGTGTTTACTTCTGTTTTAACAAAGATAGAATCATACTGTAATACCATTTTGTGATCTGATCCTTTTTTCACTTAACAATTCATCATGAATATTTTTCCTGGAAATACATTTCCATATACAGCATCATTATTTAATGACTACATTATACTCCAGTGTATTATACCATCTTGTATCTAATCCATTTCCCTTATGTTTGACGGCTGTATTGTCCATTTCTCTCTCTCTTATAAACTATGTGCCAGTGCACAACCACATAACTAAATCTCTTGGCACATTTCTTATTATTTCTTGCAGCCAATTCCCTAGAAGTAGAATTGCCATTCAAAGCTTTAGATACATATGGTCAGCTTGCCATTTAGATAACGCACAGCAATTCCTCCTCTATTCAAGAGTGTGTGAGTGCCTTTTTTCCTGCATCCTTGCCAACATTGAATATTTTCATTAAAATATTTTCCTCTAAATCTGCTTTTAAAGATTTTAAAAGAATCCCTCCTTGCTGGTACAATTTAATTTGACCAACCAGAATATTACACTAAAACTGAAGCTGTGCTCATCAATAGAGTTTAACATGAAGTTCATTGTCTACTCTTGGGAGGCTGGAGCTCCTGTCCCTGCAGACCATACTCCTGGATGTCATAGACATGCACAAAGCCTTGCTGGTTAGCCAGGTAGGAAAGGGCATCTCCTGCTGTCACCGAGATGCTGCTGACTGGGGCTTTCCCTTGGGACTGAGACACACACAGGGCTCATTACAGACAAAGCTTTCCTACCAGGTAATGGCTAGTGAAATGCTGTATTCAATCAATGGTAAGAACTAGTCGTGCCTGTGTCAATCCACCAGTGATAAACACCATGAGGATAAATGAAGCCTAGGGCTTGGCGCCTGGCAGAGGTGCTGGGTTAGACAGTCAGTCTAGTGTCAAAAACCACACCAAAACGAAACACTGAACCTGTCTCTGGGAAGTGATTTCCAATTGACTCCCCAGCTTACAGGAACGAAGTTTGCAATGAGGCCCACTTCATAGAATAGCCTCCAGAAGGTAAGAGAGCCTGGGCGAGAGGGAAGCGCTAGGAAGAGGGCCATGGCTTTTGCGCTTTGCTATGTTCCCTGAGCCCACAAGGTGCTGGTCTCTGAGCCTGTGCGGAGAGGCCACTGCATCCTCATGATTCCTGGGACAAACACCTCTTCTTCCTTTTCATTTATATATGTTTTCATCAGCTAGAATTATCAGTGTATATCAGGGAAGGGGGCTCTTCCTTTTTGTGGGTTTTTATTTAAATGACTCCTGTAGCCTCTACTCAGGCCAGCTTTGGCTACAGAGGAAAGTGCAGAAGATTTGGGCTCTGATGGCCATTAATGTTTTTCAGTTTGGTATATGTGTGTGTGCATTTATTTTAAACACACAGTGGGACTTGCGTAATAAAGGAATTTGCTGGGGATTCTATTTGGCCTATCAGTCACAATTCTCGCCTGTGGTTCATGTGTGGGTGTTCACATAGCAAGCCTTTGTGTGTGGGGGGCCTGTGCAAAGCATTTCCTCTTGGAAGCTCCCTAAAAGATCGCAGAAGCCTCCTCCTTTTTCCCCAGGGGTGGGAGGAGGTGCTCTGTGCTCCCACCCAGGTAAAGCAGAAGCGATGGATGCCTCAGAGAGGAGGGTGGAGAAAGAGAGCCATCCAAGGGCACCTGGTGCCCAGCTGGGCCGTGAGCCAGGGCCCCGTGGGCTGGCCTCCCTCGCCGGCAAGGAGAGCTCAAGCAACCAGCTACCCCGGGACACCCAGCTCCTAGCCTCCGGCAACCAGAACATCACCGGTGGCTTTATTTAAAATCCTAGAGCTTTGGAGCTGGGCCTTGGCCCACTTGTGACATTTTACTGCAGCCTGGCTTACGTTGCTTCCTTAGTGCCAGCCAGCCCGTTACCACCAGTCTGGACTCAGAAGCCCGTTCTCGCTCCCAGGGGCCCAATTTCCAGCTCTATAAAATGAGCCAGCTCGGAAGCTGATCTCCCAGGCCCGGCCAGCTCTGCCCTGTGGGGATTCTTGGCCCGACTCTCTTGGCTCCTCTGTCGGGTTGCCTGGGGCTGTGGTGGCCACTTCCCCTTAAAGGCTGTGCATGGTGTTTAGGGACCCTGACTAAGTGATGTCCTTGGTCCATTTGACCTCAGAGGGCCTAGGGCCCCATCAGCCCTCAGAGCGTGCAGGGAGGATGTGGGTGTCAGGTCCTCGCTCTCCAAGGGACTGCTTCCCTGGATGGAGGTGGAGGTAGAGCAGGCTGGAGATGCCAGTCAGCCTGGGCTCTACAGAGGGAATAGGCCCCGGGAAATAGCAGGGGCACTCCAGGTGCGGGGTGGAGGCTCAGAGTCTCCCGTGTCTCACAAAAGAGCACAGCCCAGTGCAGGATCCAGGCTCACCTCCTGGCCCACTGGCCATTGGGGAGCAGTAGCTAATGCCAGCTTCGCTGCCGAGGGCTTCAGGAAGGCCAAGCAGGACTCGCTTCACTCAGGGCAGGGGGAAGGAGAGAGCTTTGGTGGTGCCCCATGCAGCTCACTGCTCTCACACTCACAGCTCTCACACTCACGGCTCACACACACTCACAGCTCTCAGCTCTCTCACACTCACAGCTTTCACACACCTCACACTCACAGCTCTTCCTCTCTCACTCACAGCTCTCTCTCTCTCACACTCACATACTCACAGCTCTCTTTCAATTAGGTGCCACCAGCAACACTGGCCTCTCTAGTCAATGGGGTAACATCAAAGAAGAAGGCTAATGGCCCTCCGTAGTTGATTAGGGGACTTGGATGTTGCCCCAGGACCCATAGGACTTTGAGGGAGAGACAGGGAATGGGAACTTGGTATAGTCTGTGGGGACAGTCTGAGGTATCTGAGGAACTAAGCAGGTGGGCTTTCAGGAGCTTAGCCTGGGAGTCTGCAGGCCCTTCCCAAGAGGACGCTTTTCCAGGAACCCGTGGACTGGTGTAATGTCGTTTAACTTTAATGGTGCCTTTTCCAGGTCCCTCGGACTCTTGCCCACATAGTGATAGATTATTATTCCTATTGCCGGATGAGGAAACGGAGTCATACACAAGTTGAAAGATTTGCTCAAGGCCATAAAGATGTCCATTTCTTCATTCGCTTATTTTTTATGGAAGTCTGTTAACTATGTCTAGGGGCTAAGCATGGTGCTGAGAGCAGGGGAAGAGGGAGAAGCAGAGATCAGAACCAATCTCCAGAGAACTACCCCAGAGGAAGGAACAAAATGCCATGGGCATGCACAGGAGGGGGAAATTTGCTGTGCATGGAAGGGAGAGGGTCATAGAGGGCACCTCAGGGCAAGCAGCATTTGATCTGGAGTCTTGAAAGATGGAACAGGCAGGGGCAGAGAAGGGCGCTGCAGGGAGTGGTAAATATCAAACGCAGACCGCCACCACACACTAAGCCAAGAATCGCTTTTAAACCCCTTCCTACCTCCCTGGTCTTCCACTTCTCTGCTGGACTTAAAGTGCCATCAACAAAGGGGCCACATCTGTCTTTTTACTACTTACTCCAACCCTCTCAGAGCGCTTAGTACATAGAACTGAAATATTTGCTGTCGAATGAAAATCCTACACACCTACTTGGAGTCAAACCTCCAAGAGCTACAAAGAATGTTGCTACTTGGGTACTGGGAGCCTTGGCAAAGAGCTCTCTTTATCTTACCCTCCTTGAGCCTGGGGAGTTCAGGGGGCCATTGCCCAGGCTGAGGGAGAAATGGATGTCATATACATAAGGGTTTGTTAGGGAATGAATATTTATGTCCCCCAAATTCATATGTTGAAATCTTAACCCACCAATACGACGATATTAAGAGGTGGGGCCTTGGGGAGGTGATTGGGTCATGAGGGTAGAGGCCTTATGAATGGCATTAGTAACCTTATAAAAGGGGCCCAAGAGGGTTCTCTTGCTTTCTTTCTGCTATGTGAGGACACAAGGAGAAACCAGCAGTTTGCACCTCAGACAAGAGCCCTTATCAGAACCCAAGCATGCTGGAACCCTGATCTTGGACTTCCAGTGTCCAGAACTAAGAAGTAAATTTTTGTAAGCCTTTTGTTTATGGTATTTTATTATAGCAACCTGAATAGACTAAGACAAAAATTATATAAATCATGGGTCTGGTGCTGGAGTCGTGCGCCCAAGGCTCACTATCATAACTCAGGATGTTAATCATTCAACAGTATTTATTTCAATCTGACTATGAGCTTAGCACTGGGCTGTGCACTTGGGAAGCCACAATGAACACAGAGAACTCAAGCCTTGCCCTCAAGTGGATGATGACCACAGCCAAAATTGTCCATATCATGAACACTTTGTATGTTCTGGGCACTGGGCATTATCCTCCGATTTTACAGGGGGAGAGACTGCTGTTTAGAAGGAACCATAATGTGCCCACAAACACAGCTACTAATGGAGGGGTTGGGATTCAACCCCAGCTGTTTGCCTCCAAAGCCCATGCCCTTGACGTTATCCTTTGTGATTGTCCTTAGGGGGCTGAATGCTCTCAGAGGCAGGATGGAGGGTCACCTATATGGAGATGTGGCTGCTGCCTTGCTCTTCAGCCCAGTATCCTCCCTGATTCCCAGAAAATAACACTAGTGATTTGAGCTAAGCATTACCTTGCTCTCAGGTTACTAGATTCATGGGAATATTGAACTTAGGGGGCAAGGTGGGAGAGGTTAAAGAGGAGAGGACGCAGCAAACACAAGCTTCCTTAGCTTTGCCCACACTCATTCCAGGAAAGAGGCTGCAGAGGCACAGAGACATGGGCATGCAGCCGCCTTCCCCACTTACCTGGGCGGGGCCTGGGGGAGCATTTCACCTCCCTCAACCTCAGTTTTCTTCGCCTGTGGTATGGAAAGTTCCTACTTTATAGGGTCTTAAAAGGGATTAATCAAGACACTATGTGACTAGTACTACACGACTTTCCTGAATGGATTTCATGAACGTAAAGTGTCAGGCACAAAGATGCTCAACAAATGACAGCTGTTACAACCATTGCCATTTAATTCTGCAGCCTCAGTTTCCCCATTCATGAAAATGAATATAATAGTACCTATCTCTCAGAATCAATATGAGCACTAAATGAGATAAAATATTAAAAAGCACTCCGGAAAATGACTGACATAGAAGAGGTACCCAACAAATGTTGTTATGTTATTTTCCTAGATAAAATGCCTTAGTATCCTAGTGAACGCACAGATTTCCTGGATTTTAGCCTGATTGAAATTTCATGATCTTTCTCTTTCCCTTTCAAATTCTTTCTCTTTGAGGTGAGAGAAGAAGTAACCATCCCCAGTGTAAGGAAGAATGAAGTTAAAATGTTGTAAAGTCAGCAGAAAGAATATATTCTCTACTCATCTGGCTTTGCTTGTACAGTTGCCTTTCTCTCTCAGTTTCCCTCTTTCCTGAGAATGACTTCAGAACAGTTTCCCAGATGGTTTTCCAAATAAGATGGCAATCTCCTAACCAATCCCATATGCAAAGATCACTGTGTTTTGGTTTGACCCTCAAGAAGAGCCAGGACTGTTCTTTTCTGGAAGTGTGGAGAAATTTTCATATATTTCTATCTCATTTTAGCAATTTTTTTCAATGCAAATGTGAGTTATTGGTGGCTATAGTTGGCTTTGCATTTTTGGAGAAGACCGGCTTCAGAAAACCACCAAAATGTCAAATAACTGATCAATAAATGCTTCTGTGAACAGGGTCTTACATTAGAACTGCTAGCTGAAAGGTTAACATTGCATTCTTGGCTAGTAATCTTGTTTTCATTTCAATGGCAATGAAAATAAGCTTTAGAAGAAGATGCTGCCACCTTTTCTCCCCAAAGGTTCCAAAGAGGTTTTTTTTTGACAGCATCTTGCTCTGTTTCCCAGGCTGAAGTACAGTGGTGTGGTCTCGGCTCACTGCAACCTCCGCCTCCCGGGTTCAAGTGATTCTCCTGCCTCAGCTTCCTGAGCAGCTGGGATTACAGACACCCACCATGCCCAGCTAATTTTTGTGTTTTCAGTAGAGATGAAGTTTCACCATGTTGGCCAGGCTGGTCTCAAACTGCTGACCTCAGGTGATCTGCCCACTTCGGCCTCCCAAAGTGCTGGGATTACAGGCATGAGCCACCATGCCTGGCCTCCCAGGAGACTTTTTAAAACTCTTCAACACTCTCAGAAACAGCTTCATAGAATAATATTTTTAAAAATATGTGTAGGAAAGGAGGATAGGAATAGACTCGATGATAAATCTAGAGCTAAGAATTTCTTTTTAATCTCAACTGTCCAGTGGTTTCAGTTTTTAACCGAGCAGCAGTGAGGACTGACTGCAAGGCTTTATCTTTATTTTACCTGCTGGGCATGCATATCTTGTCTTTGAATTTAGACTACGAGCCCCTTGAGGATAGCACCAGGCCTCATATCTCTCTGTTTCCTCTTTGTGTCTCTCATGGGTTATGCCCGTGGAAGCAGCTCAAAGATAATTTCTGATTGAGTAAGTCATCAGAGCTTCTCCTTGACTAATGAGTTATCAAATGTCTGAAGCAAGGGATTGTAATCCGGGACTTACTGCTCTCAGTATTTGCTGGTTGGGCTTCAGGAGACATAAGAACTTCCTAAATTTAAGCAAAAATGTCCAATTCCCTGTGTCTCCCCTACTGGGGCTCCACGGGCGTGGGGTGGTATAGCTCCTGGCTGTTGGCAGGTGAGCATTTGTGGCCTGCTGCTTGGGAAAGATGGGCCTAGACTCTGGAGGTGAGGGAAGAGTGGTAGGAAGGAAGCCCACTTGGCTGTGGGGTCCAGCCACTTATCCAATCCAGCACAGGCAGCAACAAAACTGGTAGATATTTGGATCCTGTGTTTGTTTCCCATATGTATTTATCAAATGGTTCAGGACATGGAGGGAGAGGGATGTGATTACTAGCTCTAAGCCTCAACACCTAGCATCATGCCTGGCACAGAGCAGGTGTTTGTCAGTATTTTTTGGATGAATAAATGAATGCATGAACCTATGATTGCATTGGCAGAAAGAAATGGAACCTTGGCAAAAAAAAAAAAAAAGAAAAAGAAAAAGAAAGGGGTAGCGGGGTGGGGGAGGGGGCGCATTTTTATAACACAATATACAGGCATTAAGGACAGACCCAGGCAGAGCCAAGTGGGTGTATAAAGGCCATGGGCCACCAGAGGGGGTTGAGAATGAGAATGGCATAAAAGCCTGAGGACATCCAGTTGGATAAGGCATCAGAGAGATGATGTCTGCACTGGGTTTGGGGAACAGGCTTGCTAGCTGGACGGAGGAAGCACGTGGGGAATGGGCATAGAAAGCAGAGGAGTAAAAGCGAGAGCAGAACCAGCAAAGCCTGAGGGGCTTATTAGGGGCATGTTGGCAGCTGATGAGAAAGGGCTCCTGGAGGTGGTGGGCTGGCCTGGCTTTGATGGACAGGTGCCTGGGGATGTGGGCTAACCTAGGTGGACTCTTAAGTGTCCTTCCAGCTTTGGGAATCTCCATCTGACAAGTCAAACCTGAAACCAGGCCAATCACTTCTAACTGGGAAGCAGTCCAGAACTGAGACTCCTTCAGACAACTTGCCAGGAGTTCCAGCCAGAAGGGCCTGTGCAGAGTGGCCATGGAGCCTGCCCCTTCATCTACTCTATCATCTGGGCCATCAGAGGGGCTGGAAGTGTTCAGCTTGTATGATATGTGGCCTGAGATGACTTTTCAAATAATAATCTCCCCGTTGTAACTGGAGAGGACACAGAGGTTGTCCTCCTTGTGCCTATGGTTCAGAGAAAGAAAAAAAAAAAGGGACAGAGTTAAGAAATCAAATCCCAAGTCACTCATAGTTAACTTTTATTTCTTTAATCCCTATGACAGAGAGTACAGAAGGGTGCCTCCTTCTGTGGCTTCCCAATCAAGGGCTCACCTAGAACCCCCACTCTTCTGTGTTGGAGTCTGTCTGCAGGTCAGCCAGAGAGGAGCTACCTCTCCTTGGGTCAGTTTTATCCCCTCTGAGGGCCTTGTCCCTCCCAGGGAAGTGCTACTCCTAGCAGCTTCCTCACCTCACCACACTGCTGGCAACAGAGTATTGACAAGGTGTCCTTACCGGGCTGAAATGCAGATGGAAATGGGACAAGGAAACCCAAGCACTGGCCGGGAGTTTTAGATATGTACCCTGAAGAGGCCAGGTGCAGTGGCTAACACCTGTAATCCCAGCACTTTGGGAGGCCGAGGTGGGTGGATCACCTGAGGTCAGGAGTTCGAGACCAGACTGGCCAATATGACAAAACCCCATCTCTACTAAAAATACAAAAATTAGCTGGCCGTGGTAGTGGGCACTTGTAATCCCAGCTACTCGGGAGGCTGAGGCAGGAGAGTCACTCGAACCTGGGAGGCGGAGTTTGCAGTGAGCGGGGATGGCACCATTGCACTCCAGCTAGGGCGACAAGAGCAAAACTTTGTCTCAAAAAAGAAAAAATAGATATGTACCCTAAGGAAAGATACAAAACCAAAATGGACTTTTGAAGACCATTTTGTCTTCAAAGTGCTGCAGGTTCAAAGAGTCCCTGATCATTCCCTCATCTTTTCACCATCCTCATTGTAGGATCATTACAATATGAAAAGAACTGGCTTCTCTTGGTCCTGCAAAGATATTCTTTCTCCCTTGCCACAGAGCACCCCTCGGGGACTTATCCATGATCACCTAAGATGCCCCTTCTGCCTGAATGTAGCTGAAAAAGTGCATTGTGAGACTGTTGAAAAAGACAGGTCAATGCCATGTCCTCCCCACAAGCCTGGGCTGCCAGGTCCCCCCCACCAACACCCTGCCCCTCCATAACTGTGAGCACTTCGGTCTGGGCTCCTCCTTCCATAACCTGCCCGCCTAGAGAATGAAGTTTATGCAGCTGTTAGAGACTGAATGCTTCTGTCCCCTCAAATTCATATGTTGAAGCCCTAACCTCCAATGTGATAGGATTTGGAGATGGGGTCTTTTGGAGGTGATGAGGGTTAGAAGAGGTCATGAAGGTGGGACCCTCATGATGGGATTAGTGCCCTTGTGAAAAGAGACACCAGAGAGCTCACTCTCTCAGCCATTTGAGGACACAGCAAGAAGGTAGCTGTCTGGAAACCAGGAAGACAGCCCTTACCAGAACCCAAACACGCTGGCACTTGATCTCGAACTGCCAGCGTCCAGACCTAGGAGAAATAAATTTCTGTTATTTAAGCTCCCCAGTCTACGGTATTTTGTTATGGCCGCACAAGAAGCCTAAGACAATATCTTAGCTTGGCTTTCAAGCTGTAATTTAAATTTCTAACCTCATTTTCCTTCTGTACCCAATGCTCTAGCCCCTCAGACATTCCATAGTCCTTCCAAACAAGCCTTTCATGCGTCCAGACTTTGCTCCTGCTTTCCCCCTTTCCCCTCATCTAGATTGCCTTTCTCACCTTGTCCTCAATCCTAGAAATCTTTTAATATCCTGTATGATATTCTAGCAAAGTTGGCGGTTCCCATCTCTGTGCTACCCCAGCATTTTATACCTTATTATATCATCTGTCACATTGTATGGTTATTATTTCCTCAGTGGTTTATCTCTTTGCCAGTCCATGAGATTCTTGAGGCTGGGAATCATGTTTTATTCATGTTTTTAGCATCTTTACCTATCCACTGAGCTATGCAAGTGCTTGATAAATATGCATTGAATGAATGAAAAACTGAATGAATATGGACTTCACTGACTCATGGATGATTTCTGCCCTTGCGATGGCCATGATTTCCTGGGACATTTTCTGCATAAATTTGTTCTTTCATTCAACATTCACTAAACTGCAAGCTCCATGAAGGGGGCGACTAAGCCTGGTTTTGCTCCTCACTGCATCTTTACTGAATAACACACACTTGGTCCACAATAGGCATTTAACAGATGCTGGTTGAATGAAAACATATTTATTGGGCAGCTACTGTAAACCAGGCACTGGGCTAAGTCCTGGAAATACCGCAGTGAAAAAGCAAATGAGGTGTGTCTTCATGGAGTTTGTATTCTAGTGACTTTTACCTTTTGGAGTATTTACAGGGGACTTAAGGTAGGTGAGGCAATGGCAGATGGTGGGGCACAGTGATTTTTTTTTTTTTTTTTTTGAGACAAGGTCTCATTCTGTTTCCTGGGCTGGAGTGCAGTGGCATGATCACAGCTCACTGTAGCCTTGACCTCCTGGGTCCAAGCAATCCTTCCACCTCAGCCTCCCGAGTAGCCAGGAATACAGATGTGTGCCACCACACCTGGCTAATTTTAAAAAGTTTTATTTTGTAGAGACGGGGTTTTGCCATTTTGCCCAAGCTGGTCTCAAACTCCTGGGCTCAGGCAATCCGCCTGCCTCGGCTTCCCAAAGTGCTGGGATTACAGATGTGAGCCACCGCACCCAGTTGACCTTGCTTTCTTAACACACGTCTTACTGACTTGGCATCCAGACAATTTTGAGGGAGATCATTCAGTCCAGGGAAGCTGTGTAAAGTTGGAGACATTTTGAGTCCTAATAAGAATCACAAGCAGTCTTCTGGCTATGGGCCCCTAACAAGCCACTAGGCAATAGGAATGCCATCTCTTAGGCTCCCTGGCTGCCAAAGGATGGCACAGTGAATGCATACAGTTTGGCCCACCAAACAGAAGCATGATGTAGATACTTCCTTGAGGAAAATCACACCCAACACACCCTGAGCCTCCCTTCGTGCCCCCCAGGACCCCCAAGGTAGATTACTGGACCCTGTGCCTCTGGCCTCATGCCCCAACCTGAACATTGGGCTGTCACTCTTCCGAAAGAGGAAGTGGATCCCTCGCACTCAGTGCTTTTGGCTCAGCTTGGACCTCAATCATGAATCCTGCTATAGCAGAGGTTTCTGAGATGCTGTGAGCCCTGAGGCAGGCCCAGAAGACTCAGGGGGAGACTCTGGAGAAAAAAAGACCCTGGTCGTGTGCCAGACAGATAGGGGACCAGGGCTCACCAGGTCATCCTGCCAGCATGGCTGTGGTTTCCAGAAGTGACGAAAGTCATGTGGCATGTCCTGTATCCAAAGCCAAAGAGGAGATGTTGTACAAGCAATAAAATGAGCTGCCAGACACTTGCTGCTTCAGAGAGAAGGTGTCAGCACATTTATAACCCTACCCCTCACCCCCAACCAGTGATGCAGATTTTTGAAATGTCAAAGCAAATTCCCCGAGTGCCAGTAGGAATAAAAAGCAATCCACTCCTGACGTTTGGGTGATTGCATTTCAGCAAATCATGTGTCAACTGACAAGCTCTCCTAGATGGTCTGCATAGCTTCGCCTTCGTAATAAGACCCTTAGCTGTTGCATGTGCTAAAACCAAAGCCATCAGCCCAGGAACCTGTAATTCCAAAAGACAAATTCAATACCAAGACTTCTCAGGTAGTCATCTCTCAGATCATTCTGCAGATGCAAGGCTTACGCTGTGAAATACAGCACACTTTCAAATGAATAAAGAACTTACAGTGTTTAAAGACGTGGAAATCCATGACTACACAGCATAGCAAGCAAGAGAAAGAAAATGCCACGGGGAGATTTAAAACTTAGTTTTAGTCAGCACTTTCAGCTTCTCCTGTCTCTTCATCCCCTTCCCCAACCTAAGCCACTAAAAAAAGTTCTTTCCGCAGAGCTATCTGTGGATAGCATCACATCTCCTCTTTCCATTTAGAGATGAACTAGGATGTAAGGACCAGGCAGATGGAAGGAAGAAACCGAAGGTGAGACAACTGACAGACCAGTTAATGGCAGCTGAGAGCAAGGGGATGTGGCCACAGCTGGAAAACCCTGCAGGCTGGGAGCCAGAACCACGACCAGCCTCGACAAAGGGTTAGAAAACAGGGCAAAGAGCGCAAGGCCAGGGGAAGCACTGCCGGTGTTCAAGGCACAGGCTTGGTTTTGATTCCCAGGGATACCCTCTCTGGCCCCAAGAGCTGTTCTAACTATTACTTCGTCTTAGGGAATGGAACTAGAGAAAATAAACTATGCAACAAATGAAGTAAAAAGGTTTTAGACTCTTGTTGCCGAGGCTGGAGTGAAATGGCATGATCTTGGCTCACTGCAACCTTCACCTCCCGGGTTCAAGCAATTCTCCTGCCTCAGCCTGCCGAGTAGTTGGAATTACAGGTGCCCGCCAGCACGCCTGGCTAATTTTTGAATTTTTAGTGGAGACAGGGTTTTGCCATGGTGGCCAGGCTGGTCTCAAACTCCTGACCTTGAGATCCGCCCGCCTTAGACTTCTGAAGTGCTGGGATTACAAGTGTGAGCCACCATGCTGGGCCGTATAAAGGTTTTTAAAGGAAATAAGGAAGGCAGGCAGGGAGGGAGGAAACTCTTCTGTCTATATCACAACCTGACTTGTACCAGAAAACAAAGGTGTAAAGGATTTCTCCAAAATCTCTGTTTAGAAGAAAAAGAATTAACAGAGTGAGAAAGATGGTTAAAAGAAAAAGAACAGAGAGTGGGAAAGAAGGAGATAAATCTGATGGAGGGTTTTGAAATATCATCGTTTTATATGTTTCACTTATAAAATACACAACTATTCTTCTGTCTCACCCAACAACTATGATACACCTAGAACAGTAACAGAACTTTATATTTTGATATTTAAGCTTTTCATCTGTTTAATGTTTGTGGGGGAATTAAGACTGTGGTTTAATTTTGCCATATCCATCTGATTAATGAAGAGAACAAGAACACAATCTCTTTTGTTTATGAAGAGCACGGTAAAATGTGATTTGATAAATTACAATCAGTTTTTTAACTGGTGTTTAAGGGATCAGGAGACAAGAATAGGATGCCCTGTAATTTCTGAGTCGACAGATGCTGCTCCATCAGCAGCTGCCTTTCTGAGGCTTGCCTGGTCCTAGGAGCATGGATCCATGGAGGTAAGGTTGAACTATGAACAGAGCTTGGCCAAGAATTGCTTTTACTTTCTGAGTGTCCAGAAGGGAATTTGGTAGATTTTTATTCTTTGATTTATGGCAGCAGAATTTAATTACGCCAGTCTCTGATTTCTTTCTTAACAATGCATTTGGCTGGGGGATAACAGTGCTTGCTTTCTCTATTTCTAAACAATTGTCAAAATGTGCGGAGAATTGCTTCCAATGTTCTGGAAGAGACTAGTTGCCTAAATTACCACTGGGGAGCAACTGGGGTCCTCGGGAATGCCTCAACACATTTTCTTCTGGAAAATTCCCTTCACTGTCTGGGTGCCTTCCTCCAGAAAAAACTTTACATTGGCCGGGCACGGTGGCTCACGCCAGTAATCCCAACACTTTGGGAGGCCAAGGCGGGTGGATCACTTGATGTCAGGAGTTCAAGACCAGCCTGCCCAACTTGGTGAAACCCTATCTCTACTAAAAATGCAAAATTAGCCAGGCATGGTGGTGCATGCCTGTAATCCCAGTAATTCAGGAGGCTAAGGCAGGAGAATAGCTTGCATCCGGGAGGCAGAGGTTGCAGTGAGCTGAGATGGTGCCACTGCACTCCAGCCTGGGCAACAGAGCGAGACTCTGTCTCAAAAGGAAAAGACAGAAAAAGGTTCCCTCCTAAATACAACCCCTCTTATATCCAAGCTGAATATAACTCACTTATTTTGGTTCACCTCCAAGTAGGTACAATCACAGACTTCACTTTGTTTTTCATCTAGAAAGATAGCAATATTATCATCTGATATTAAACATTTTTCTTTATGAATTCTTGAATACGCTTACATACCTAGTCTAACTGATGGTGCTGCAGTCTGTTTCCTTTGGGTTGGGCGGGGGAAGTCTCACCAGTATTGTCCCTTCATGGTCACCAGAAAGATGTTACCGGAAAGGGGTCCTGATCCAGACCCCAATAAAGGGTTTTTGGATCTCACACAAGAAAGAATTCAAGGCAAACCCATAGAGTAAAGTGAGAGCAAGTTTATTAAGAAAGTAAAGGAGCACTTTCGGAGGCCGAGGAGGGCGGATCACGGGTCAGGAGATCAAGACCATCCTGGCTAACATGGTGAAACCCCGTCTCTTCTAAAAATACAAAAAATTAGCTGGGTGTGGTGGTGGACGCCTGTAGTCCCAGCTACTCAGGGGGCTGAGGCAGGAGAATGGCATGAACCTGGGAGGCGGAGCTTGCAGTGAGCCAAGATTGCGCCACTGCACTCCAGCCTGGGCGACAGAACAAGACCTCAAAAAAAATAAAAAAAAAAAGTAAAGGAATAAAAGAATGGCTACTCCATATGCAGAGCAGCTCCTAGGGCTGCTGGGTGCCCATTTTTATGGTTATTTCTTGATTATATGCTAAATAAGGGGTGGATTATTCATGCTTCTCCTTTTTAGACCATATAGGGTAAATTCCTGACATTGCCATGGCATTTGTAAACTGTCGTGGTGCTGGTGGGAGTGTAGCAGTGAGGATGACCAGAGGTTGCTCTCATCCCCCTCTTGGTGGGTTTTGGCCGGCTTCTTTACTGCAACCTGTTTTATCAGCAAGGTCTTTATGATCTGTATCTTGTGCTGACCTGCTATCTCACTTTATGACTTAGAATGCCTACCTGTCTGGGAATTCAGCCCAGTAGGTCTCAGCCTTACTTTGCCCAGCCCCTATTCAAGATGGAGTTGCTCCTGTTTGAACACCTCTGACATGATGGGGAGATGGATTTAAGACTTTATCTCCCTTTCTCCTTGGGGGCAGTCCCAGATTAAAGCTTTCTTCCCTGGCAATACTCATTGTCTCAGTGATTGGCTTTCTGTGTGGTGAGCAGCAGGACCTAGACTGAACCCTTGGTGTTTTGATAACAGAATCTCTAAAAGACAGTGATAGTGTGGGAGGAGAAATCACGGGGGGACAGCATCTTTTCTAAAAACTATTGAATGTTTCTTCTGATCTGCCACTTTGTAAAAGAGGCAGCTACATTGACATGAAAGTTCTAGGTCTCCAAACCAAAAGCCAGAAGGTGTCCTCTCGTTGTTGATTTCAAATCCCTGAGAACAGATTTTCAGTTGTGCACACGTCGTTTACTTCCCTCTGTCCTCTTCCAATGCCAGGGTTTCTAGGGATGTCTACCACTCAGGTGCTTTCATCTGCTATCCATAACATTGCAACAGACCCATAGCATTACTAGAGTTCACCTCATGGTTTCAACCACTTGCAGATAACCCAAAGTTCTGCAACATGCAGTGATCTGTAATATGGTTGAGGACTGAAACTGCCTTTGCAAAAGTTATATCAGTGAGAAAATTAAAACAGTAAGCTAAGCTAACCCAAACCTCATCTTGCCTTTCCTTTCATTATTCCTGGGCTATTGGGCCAAGCTAACTTTGGAAGGCATTTAGATTACAGTTTAAATGATAATGGGTCTTGCCCAAAACTCAACTGCTTTTGTAAAGCTAATAGGAAGCCATGAGGCTGCAGGGGAGGATAGGAGCCTGGGTCCTGCTAAAGTGCAGACATTATTCCAGGGTTTATAAGACATGCAACTTCCCCAATTACTCCTACAAATAACACTACTATTATAGATTGGCCTTTTGAGATCTATTTCCAGGTTTTTTTGCATGTCTGACACTGACGGCTCCACCTGGACCAAAAACCCCGCTCTTGTGGCCCCACCCAGAAGTGATTCCTCCCACAGGAGGACAGCTTCAACATCCTATGAGTTCATCTCTGCCCCAACCAATCAGCAGCAAGTACCTGTTACCTGACCACCCTGACCCCTTCCCCCGAACTGCCTTTGAAAAACTCCTAACCTATGAGATTTGAATGAGATGATTTGAGTAGGAACTCCATCTCCCACGTGGCATGGCTGACTTCATGTCTATTAAACTGTTTCCCTCCTGCAAGGCTGTGGTTTTTCCTGATGCAGTGGGCAGGAATTACCCCTTGGGGCCTTACAGGACCAGATTTGAATTCAGGACCCATTGGCTGGTGATGAGGTGCTGGCATGGAAGGGTGAGCCAGAGCAGGCGTGGGCTGGGCAGTTGGGCTGGGCAGTTGGGCTGGCCGCCCGCCCGGAGCCACACCCGAGGGAGGCGTCCTCCTCTCCACCTGCCTTTCTAGGCTCAGGTCTCCCATTAAGTGCTTAAAAAGGCACTTCTTTGTTTCCTAAAAAAAGAAAAAAAATCCCCTAAGGAAGCTGCTACTGCTGGTAATGGAAGTGAAAAGATTGAACAATGAAAATGTCTTTCAAAATAACTTTTGGGTTCTATTTAGAAATCAAGAAATGTCTAATGGTACTATGTATGCTTTCTCAGGTATACCTTACTTGCACTTTGTAGGGGGAATTTTATACCACAGAAGGATTAATTTAAGAACTTCACAGGCTCAAGTGTTCTTCCTTTTGGAGATTCTATTCAATCAAACATATTAAAAGGCAACCACATCCCATATTTTAAAAATATTCCTATTTAATGTTAAAATCATGTAAACAAGATTTATAGTTTTAAGGTCTGTTGATAAAAATTATCTTATTCTTTCAAAATAAACTTCCATATTCTATATAACTATATATATAAATAAAATTATAGGTGGTATGTAATATGTTGTAAACATTTAATTAAACTTTTATTAGTTTTAATTGTGCAGTTTTCAAACATTTTCCGAGGCACTAAAAGTTGGTGGTCCCTAGTGCTATATGACCAAATGGACAACATTTATAATGTTATTTATAAATTTGGGCTTCATGAAGACATTGGTCTATATTCTCTCCTCTTCGAATGTCAACAGTGTAATGTAGTTTAGATCCTATGGATTGTGGCAGTGGCCATAATGATGTTATAAAGATTTCACACAGTGCCATATCTGCAAGGTGAGCAAATACTCAAATTAACAATTTCAGGCCGGGTGCGGTGGCTCATGGCTGTAATCCCAGCACTTTGGGAGGCCAAGGTGGGTGGATCACGAGGTTAAGACCATCCTGGCTAACACAGTGAAACCCCATCTCTACTAAAAATACAAAAAAATTAGCCAGGCATGGTGGCGGGTGCCTGTAGTCCCAGCTACTCGGGAGGCTGAGGCAGGAGAATGGCGTGAACCCAGGAGGCGGGGCTTGCAGTGAGCGGAGATCATGCCACTGCACTCCAGCCTGGGCACAAAGCGAGACTCCGTCACAAAAAAAAAAAAAAAACAATTTCATTCAGTCATTATTAGAGAGTTTATTAACAGCATGTACCTGCTAGAGTAATAGCTATGTGAGTATTTGTATCTCCATTCAACATCTACTTACCACCTACTGCCAGGGGAAATGTGCTTATCAAAAGTAATGTTATGGAAGAGGTGGGCTGCGTTACCATAGAATTAGAAGCTTACATGCTAATGGGGCCATTCATTCTGCCTAGATGGGGGATGGTGGGGGAGGGTCTAAGAAGGTTTCTCCAAGGAGCTGATATCTGAGTTGTGCCTTGAAAGAGAAGAAGGGTTTTGACAGATCAAGAAAGACAGAAGGCAAAACACAGATTCTCAGATCCCTGGGCTCAAGTGCCCACTGACTTGTTGGAGAGGGGATGCTCACTCTCAGGAAACAAACTAACACCATGATGTTGTAACCGCCTTTGCAAAAATCGTAACTGAGGAAATTATGACAGTGAAAGAGATCAGACCTAACTGACCCTGTTTTCCTTCTAATCTCTAAGCTGTCTTTGTTCATTCCTGGATGTAGGCCTAACTAGCCTTAGGAAGGAATTTAGCTTGTAGTTTAAACTCTGAAACAAAATTGATAATAGCCCTTTCCCCTAAAAACTCCTTGCCTGGGGACCAGCCTGCATTGTAGGACTAACAAATTAGCTACAAGATTAGAAATTACGGTTTAGAGGCCATGCAGCTTCTGGCTACAAAAGTCTCTCCAAATTGCTCCTGGGAATAACATCACTGTTGCAAAACCTAAGATCAGTGCTTGAGATATTTTGCACACCTTGCATTCCGATGTAGCAGATGACACCACCTAGACTGACAATCCAGCTCAACCAGTTCTAGGATCCCATCCAGAAACAGAAGTCAGCAAGAAGAACTCAGTTTGACCACCTATGATTTCATCTTCAACCTGACCAATCAGCACTCCCCGCTTTCTGAGCCCATACCCACCAAATTATCCTTAAAAACTCTTTTGAGTAATAATAAAACTCTGGTCTCCTGCACAGCCGGTTCTGCATGAATTACTCTTTTGCCCTTGCAATTCCACTGTCTTGATAAATCAGCTCTGTCTAGGCAGCGGGCAAGGTGAACTCACTGGGTGATTACAATATGAGGGACTAAGACGGGGTGGTCAGGGAGAGGGAGAAGCCTGTGTGAGTCAGGGTAGGGAAGAGAAATTCCATGGATATGCTGTGACTTGAGTTGGACCTTGAAGGATCACTAAGGTATGCAGAAGAGAAGAGCAAGAGGCAGGAAAGTTCCAGATGAGATGGTAAATGGTTGGACAGAGGCACAGGGCAGGAATGTGTAGGATGCTGAGAAGGTAAAATGTCGGCTTCATTGGAGTCACAAGAGAGTCTGATAAATAGAAGATAAATACTTCTTCATGAGCATGAACTCCAATACTTAGGAGCTGACCTTCTTTGAGATGTATTGAGACTGAGTTATCATAAAATAATTTTGAACAATAGATCTTGGTATCTGTAGAGAATGGGTTCCGGGACCACTGCAGATACCCAGATCCAAGGGTGTTTAAGTCTCTAAGATAAAATGGCATAATATTTGCATATAACCTAGCACAATAGTTGTTATGTTGTATTGTTTTTTTATTTGTATCATTTTTATCATTGTATTGCTGTTTATTTATTTGGAATATTTTTCATCCATGGTTGGCTGAATACATGGAGGCAGGACTCATGGGTGCAGAGAGCCAACTGTAATCTATTTTTAAAAATACTTAATAAAACCATGGTGATCACTTATTTCTGGAGCAGAAACTGGGCAAGAATGTGGGAAGACAACTGAGTCTCCCTGGGAGTGAAGCTGGAATGCATGTGATTATGACGAGGACATGGCGGGGCCTGTGGGGGGATGCTCTAAGGCCCGGAGAAGAAGGAGAGAGGGCATGGCCACATGCCCCAGGGCCGCTTTCATGTAACATCAGAGCCCAGGCCAGTGATTCAGAAAGTGACTGAAGTAATATTACGAGACTTCAGAGCATTAAAACATCATGGGTGTAGCTGGGGTGTGCCTTCCCATTAGCCTGAGGACAGAAGAACATGAATCATGGGATCTGTCTCTTTTTCGTATTCAATGAGCACTGATTATGCCCCATCCCCTTTGGGGGAACACTGCCTCATGCCAGTGGGCTGCATTTGAGCCATGAACAGGATGCAGATGGCATGGGCTTCACGAGCCCTTTTGTGAGGGGCAGTGGACATGGAATGCTCTGCAGAATCCTGTAACCTGGATTAGAGTTACAAGGTGTTAGGGTGGTAGTCATCATATTACACCACACAAGAGAACTGCAATGAAATAATGCTACCAGGATTATCCTTCCAGATAGCTCACACTATGGACCATGGAGAAACTGTACACGCTTTCATCTGACCATCATAGTAGGCTGTCCAAACAATACCTGATCCTCGGTAGAGTAGAATTGATTCTCTCATTGTTTACTTCCAGGGACAGAACATCCCCAGAACATGCTGTTCAGTTCTAAGGTGAGGACAGAGAGGCCAGGCTCTTCCTCTTAAATATATCATTGCTGAAGAGAGCAGGATGTGATAGTTACAGACGCTTGGGCGAAGCTGACCATGTGCCTGAAGGCTGGGTTGTACCTGTAGCACACCATGAGCTCTTGGTGGGAAAGTGTCAGGTGAGGCTCCAGGGCAGCTCTTGCTCAAGGAAAACAGAAAGAGGATGAACACTTGAGCCAACTGCATGACATGGTTACCCAGGGTGAGGTGTCCCCTGTGCTGTTAAAGGATGATCATGGGGAGAGGCTTTGGTTCAGATGACGGGTCTATGACCTTGGGCAAGTCCCTCAACTGCTCAAAACCCCAACTTCCTTATCTGTAAGATAGGGATTGTGACATCTACTTTAAAGGACTGTTTGGAGGATTAAATGAGAAAATATATAATGGCATGAGCACCGAACTTCACGTATGTAATTGGCATGCGATGAGCGGCAGTCACTGGTAAACCTCAGAACTGAGAACACACATCTCCTCTCCAAGCATGAGGCTTGTGAGACTGCAGAATAGATCTTCTTCCCTATTCATTTAGATCTTCCCACACACACAAATGTGTTAGTCCATTCTGAATCCTCGTGCATGAAAGGCAGTGCTTCTTGCTCCCAGCAGCGAGAAAGCCAGGTCAGATGGGCTGCTTCTGCCCAGGGGGGCCCTGCTGTGTGACTCCGGTGGGCATCCAGGTGCGAAGATCACACCTGAGCATGCAGGGCCTTGCTCCATGAACCATCTCTGAAGGTCAGCACACAGAAAGCCAGCCAGCCCTGGGGTTAAGCAACACAACCCCTGTGGACTAATTTTCGCGTCAGCAAAACGAATCCTTGATGGAAATTTGTGAGGAGTAAGCGAGAAGGATATGAAGTGTTTTTATTTAAAGGAGGAGCGTGGCAGGCAGTGGACACCTAAGAAAGGAATGTTGGTTCTGAGATCACCACTCCACCCTCTGCCTTTATTGTTGCTCCACTGCTTAGCCCCAAGTTTTGGCTGCAGTGGAACAGGTGAACTTCCCACAGATCTCAAGCCTCAGACCTGGTGCCCAGAAGATTCGTGGTATGGGAGAATCCTCTTCAAGAAAGAGCAGGATTTGGCATAAGAAATGTTTTCGGCCGGGCGCGGTGGCTCACGCCTGTAATCCCAGCACTTTGGGAGGCTGAGGCAGGAGGATCTCGAGGTCAGGAGATCAAGACAATCCTGGCCAACAAGGAGAAACCCCGTCTCTACTAAAAATACAAAAAATTAGCCGGGCGTGGTGGCGGGCGCCTGTAGTCCCAGCTACTCGGGAGGCTGAGGCAGGAGAATGGCGTGAACCCGGGAGGCGGAGCTTGCAGTGAGCCGAGATCGCGCCACTGCACTCCAGCCTGGGTGACAGAACAAGACTCGTCTCAAAAAAAAAAAAAAAAAAAAAAAAAAAAGAAATGTTTTCATGAAGGGTCTCTGGGCTTCGGGAAGCAAAGGTGGAGACTGGGTGTGGGAGGAGGAGGGAAGGCCCTGGGAAGCCCAGGCCCAAAGAGAAAACACGGGTTGCGGGCCAGCACCCTAATTCCTTCCCTCCTTTCCCCTTGCAGCACTGGGGGGGAAGGAGCTGAGGCTCCTCACTTCACAGATGAGGGTTGGGTAGCTGGATCCAGGTCACACAGCTCCTGAGTGACAGAGCAGGGATGCCGGGAGCGGGGGCGGCGGGGGGTTGGGAGATGAACTATCTGGCACTTAAGCATTGGCACTAGAGATTGAGGCTGTGTTTGCTATGAAGTGGAATTTCAGTCACCTTGCTCCAAAAAAATCAATCAAACATGCTGTTTGTTCTACACAATGCTATCATGTAGAACAAACAGCAGCTTGATTGATGGAAGCTTCTGTTTCTCAGCTGGTTATTTTGCCATCTTGAGTGAAGACCCTGCTCCCGAGCCCGGCTGTGATGATGACTTGGCAGCTGCTCTGCTCCGGCTCTCTCAGTCCTGAACAGGAAGGCTGTTTCACGGCCTCGGCGAGCACGTCGGAAAGGGAGGGGACAGACACAGGCAGCGGCCGCACATTCTAAACTTCTCCATGTAGTTCTGGTGCTGTGAGGTTTGATCACTTTTCCCTGAAGTTAACTCTTGACATGTGATTTAATCACTGAGTCCAATCACTGTATTTGAGAATCTTCTTGTGCCTGTGTTCACAAATCAAGAAAAAACATTGGGGAGGCCACACGTCATGATTTTTGGCTCAGGAAATCCAGTCATCATTACCATATAGATGGGATTTGAAATATGTAAGCTGTAAGAGTCAGCTGAAAGTAAAAGTTTTCCTGAGTCCTTTTTTTAGCTCCCATAAACTCTTGAGTTTGGATTTGGGATATTGCTGAACACGGAGGGGGCAGCTGCTGATGGGGAGCGAAGAATGTGTTTGTATTGGTGCAGCAAGGCGGGTAATGGGGCAATGACAGTGGGTCACTCTTGACCCATGAGTGGGTCACTCTTGACCCATGTGTGGGCTATGATGGCAGATTTCAAAGTGCAGGTGGTGGTTGCTCACAGCCCCGCTGGGTGGGCAGGGTAGAGCTCCTCCCCTGGGGAGCCTGGGAAAAGGGTCATGACTGACCCCACATCTACTGGGCCTCTCAGGACCATCTGAATGAAGCCCTCTTTGCAGGCTCTGGAAAAAGGAGACTAGTCAATGCACCTCCTATTGTCTGATTGTTTTTTTTAAAAAGCATAGGGCTTGTCTTTCCCTTTGAAGTCACAGAGAGCTCAGCCTTTCCAATGAAAGTGGCCCAGTGCATGGAAAGCTGCCGACTGGGCGTCCCAAGACAGGATAATAACCGCCCCAGTTCTCCTCTGTGCCCTGGGGCAATGCATTGCCTTCTCTATGCCTCTGTTTGCTTCTCTGTAAAGCTTCAGAGTTGGGCTAGATGACTACTGGGTATCTGGGAGGTAGAACTTAAAACTCTTCAGGAAGATCAGGCAGTCTCAGCATAGGCAGGACAGAGACGGGCAGCTGGAGCCGATAGGCATTCAATGTCCTCAGTGACCTCACTCAGTGGGAAAAGGTAAGGCAGGCGGCCACTCATTTTCTTTACTGAGGAGGCAATGGCAACGTGGCTTGGCAAAGGTGTGCCAAAGAAACCAAGCTTGGTTTGGTTGGAAACCAAGCAAACCTCACCTGCAGAGGAATCAAGGAGGCTTGGGTCTTGAGGCACTAGAGCTCCTGGACACTAAGGCCCTGGGCAGAAGCAGCCCACCCGGGGACCCTCCATCCAGCCTACGTCATCACCTGGGTGTGTGCTATCCCTGCATGACTGTCCTGCCTCAGGGACAGGGGTCTCAGACATGGGTCACTGCTGAGGCAATGAGACTGGTGGGCTGGCCCTCCAGGGCTGTCTCTGCTTGACATCTGCCTGTCAGGTCAATGTTTTTTGGCTGAATAAACAGCTCCCCATAGTAAATTTTAGGGCAATTTACTATAGGAGTAGGGCCAGTGGGTAGAATAGGCCTAAGAGATAGATCACAGGCTTTTCAATAGCATAGGAAGGTGGTGCTGGAGTAATTAATGGGAAATGTTAAAGAGAGCTCACCAAAAATATCCTACAAGCTGGGGACACAGGGCCTGCAATTCGGGAGCCTGCACATCGATCTTCACTGCAGAACATTAAGCAGAAGGCTGAAAACAGCTGCACAGGGCTCCGCAGAACCCTCTAGAGAACTGAGTGCTTGGAGCCAAAAGGACAACTCCATACCTCTGTCTCAGGCACAGGAGTGCAACAGTGTCAGTGCCCACACACACAGCTCGGGGGCCAGGGAGTTAGAGGCAGGCTGTGAGCTCACCTTTAGCCCACCGGCTTTTGACAAGGCCATAAACAAGCAGCTGTAGGCTTCCAGATCTCAGATCTGAGAAGGAGATGGGGGAAAATGTAATTAGAGGTCTTGAACAGCCTGCTGTGCAGCCGCTATCTGTCGTGGGGCCTGGCTTGGCTTGACCGAAATTTAAACACTGCCCTATACCCACCCCACCAAAATAATATATTGAAATGGGTTCCTTCTCCTTAGTTGTTTGCAAAAGAAGCAGACAGTGAGGCCTGTGTTCCTGGTCCCTTCTGCCATGCTGAAGCTGCCTGAGGAGAGGGGATACCTGCCCCCAGGCCACTCGGGCGATGTGCTTTACTGTCCCCTACAAGGAGAAGACCAGTGACATCTCTTTCCATGGACCTTACTTTCATAGCAGAGCTGAACACCACGCATCTGATTTGTGACACAGAGCTACCTCTGCCCTCATATAGGTTCCCCTTTCTTTTTTTTTTTCTTTTTTTTTTTTTTTGAGACGGAGTCTCGCTCTGTCGCCCAGGCTGGAGTGCAGTGGCGGGATCTCGGCTCATTGCAAGCTCCTGCCTCAGCCTCCCAAGTAGCTGGGACTACAGGCGCCCGCCACTACGCCCGGCTAATTTTTTGTATTTTTAGTAGAGACGGGGTTTCACCGTTTTTAGCCGGGATGGTCTCGATCTCCTGACCTCGTGATCCGCCCGCCTCCCCTTTCTTAAAACAGGTTTTCAAAACCAGTCACTAGGGAGATATTTGAAGGACACAGGGAATACACTTCAGGGTGGATATTGACTGAGCACATAAGTCCAGAGCCACCTGCTTGGTTTGGAATCTCAGTGCTATCTCCTAACAGGCAAGTGACTACACTCTCTCTCCCTGGTTTTTCATCTATAAAATGGGAGAATAATAATAGTACCTACCTTGTAGAGTTGTTTTAGGGAATTAAAAAACTAAAAAAATAGAATGCTTAGAATAGTGGCTACAACATGGCAATAGTACAACATGATCAAAATGATAATAGTGGCCGGGCGTGGCGGCTCGCCCCTATAATCCCAGCACTTTGGGAGGCCCAGGTGGGTGGATCACCTGAGGTCAGGAGTTCCAGACAAACCCGGTCAACATGGTGAAACTCCATCTCTACTAAAAATAAAAAAATTAGCCAGGCATGGTGACAGGCACCTGTAATCCCAGCTACTCAGGAGGCTGAGGGGAACTGCTTGAACCCGGGAGGCAGAGGTTGCAGTGAGCCAAGATCGTATCACTGCACTCTAGCCTTGGCAACAGAGCGAGACTCAGTCTCAAAAAAAAAAAAAAATTAAATTAAATAAATAAATAAATAAAATGATGATGGTACTGCCAGTCATTTCTTGCGATTGGTGTGTAAATCATGGCATAGTTCTTATAGTAGCTTCATGTGCTGTGGCCTGGTGAGGGCTGCAAGGGAGGACTGCATCCCTGGGGGAGAAGCAGTCAGGCCAAGTGTGAATTTGGGAAGATGATGATTGTCACAAAGGCAGTGGTTGTTTAGTGAGATGACATGTACCAGATGTTGTGTTAAATTCTTTACATGCATTGTTTTGTCTACTCTTTGTTGTGGGTTAAATTGTGTCCCCCTCAAATTCATATGTCGAATAACTCCCGTACCTTGGAATGTGACCTTATTTGGAAATAGGGTTGTTGCAGAGGTAATCAGTTAAGAGAAGGTCCTACTGATGAGTAGGTTGGGCCCTGAATGCTATATGACTAGTGTCCTTATAAAATGGGGAAATTCAGGGATAGACACGTACAGAGGAAGAATGCCACGTGAAGATGAAGAGAGACAGATCCCGATAACGCTTCTACAAGCCCAGGAATGCCAAAGATCACCAGCAAGCCACTAGATATGAGGTGAGGAGCACGGGACCAATGTTCGATCACAGCCCACAGAGGGAACCAACCCTGCTGACACCCTGATTTCAGCCTCTCAGCCTCCAGAATGGCGAGATAATACGTTTCTGTTGTAAAGCTGCTTGCTCTGTGGTACTTTGTTATGGCACACCCAGCAAATTAATACTCTCTTAGACAAACTTTGGGGGGTAAGCATGGTCCGTTGAGTCCCAGCAAGGTTAAATAACACAACCAAGTTTACACAGCTGGGAAGGAGCTAAACCAGAGGGTTAACCTCAGGCCAGTCTCCCTCCAGAGCATCACAGGAAAATCTAAGGATTAGAGTGGGTGGGGTGTGCCTGAATGGAGTTTTTTCCTCTTCCGAGTCTCCACTAAACAAATTAGCTTTGGTGAGATTTGAAGCCTTTACCTCCTAAGCCAGACTCTATTTGTGGTTTGTATACCCTGTGTTTATTTTTCTGTAGTTCTCCCTAGCAGTTAGTGAACTCATTCTGACAGTCCCAGCCTTTTTAATCTATGCTTTTAAGTCATGACATAAAACAGGGGAGCTGTACTTCCCAGCAGGGCAGCATGGGGACAGCCGTAGTGATCACAGTACAATAATCCCATGGAAAAGGTGGCCCTTCGGGCTGCTTTTTCAAGGAGCATTCTCTCTCCTTTCTGGAATATTGGTTTGTTTGAAGGTGCTCCGTTTTCTGGATAGAAAGGTAACATACATAGCTATTATCAGTCACTAATACCTCCATGTGAATTCATTTATCTGTTGATTTGTTTCACACTTAATGACATAAGGTTGCTTAGAGAAGGAGGATTTTAATGCTGGGGAGGAGCACAGAGCTAATTCTGGAGCCTGGGAAGAAGGATGTCAGGTGGGATGCTATACAGGGACTCCCACCAAAGTCCAAGAAGGGAAAGGTGGGAAGAAACTCTTCATATTGAAGTTGAAGCCGATTCAGCAAATTGGCCTTAAGTCCTCCAAATATAAATAGCCATCAAAAAGTAACCACCACTGACGTATCTGTTGTCAGCCCAGCACCCACCTTTTTTCTAAGAGTGGTCTTGGCACCCATGCCTCGCCAATCTGTGTCCTTTCCTCCAATTGTTCCAGCTGGCGCTAGTAGTGAAACTGAAATTGGAAGATGAGTTCAGGGCTGTGGGCATCTATGTTCCCTACCATTTGGAGGGAGAAAAGCTGTCTGCAGGAGGAGCTGAGGAGGCCAAGGTGTACCAAGGAGCAGAAATGAGAAACGCAGGCAGAGAACATGCTAGCAACAGTCCCATCTCTGAACCCAGCTGCCCATGAGGCCAACTGTTCCATGATCTGGTTTCAATCACCAACAAATCCTCCTTTTTAAACTCCAGCTATTTGAGTTAGAGTTTTGTCTCTTGGGCTCAAATGAGTCACCTGGTAAAACTCTGCGTTGGTGAGCACACTTTCTACATGACCTTGAATGAGCTCAACTACCCTACATGTGGGTCTTTCACCCATTTAGTAAGAGAGTGTATGAATGATCAAAAGAATTAAGGAACTCAGTTCAGAAGGATTGAATAATTCACCCTAGGTCATCTAGCCTGTGGCATTTTCACAATTGAAACTCAAGAATGTATGTCTCCAAAGTTTTCTGTCCCCCTCAGAAGCTATGCTTCTCTGTCTACATGTAGAGTTGTTGCTGAGAAGTGCTGCCAAACGAAGGCATGACCCAGTTTCCCTTTTATCCAGAGTAGTCGGGAGCTCAGCCATGGGATGTGAGAGGCAGTGATGCATGTGACTTCTGACTGGGATTCAGAAGAAGCAGGTGTGCCCTCTCTACTGTCACATCCCTTGCATGTGGATGCAGAGGACTCTGAGGACCTATGGCAGGGGAGCCACCCGCTGGAGAGAGGCTGGCCCTCGGGTGGGAGAGAAGCACCCACTCACCAGGGGCACTGGTGTTGGATGTCACAGAAGACAGAAATAAACTTTGGCTGTAACCTATTGAAAACGTGGGGTTTATTTGTTACAGTAGAAGCCTTACCCCAACGAATACACCATGCCTATCTTCCTTGCAAGAGATCATTTTCTTTCCATCTGAATTCCGGTCGACACAAAATAGCTCTGTTTGTGATATGCAATTTTAAATTCACAGAAAATAACAAGTGAAAAAGGAAATCTGAATCTGTCACTTTACTCTCCTTCAGAGAATGCCAGAAACCAGCAGACTTCCGAAATGTTTTGTGTGTCCCTGCGATTTACAGGAGTAAAATATTTGGGCTGAAAAATCAATTCAAAGAATGAAGACTCTCAGATCAGGCATGCTAGAAATCTAGCTGTTTGGCTTCTAGTTGATTAGTTTTTATTTGATAGGAATAATATATTCTGAAATAATGTACAGGCCATATTTCCAAGATAGGATTTCGATATATTTTAAATACACATTGGGATGTGATTCAATATGCCTGAATCATCATAGGCAAGATGCTAATCTTGTAATCATGAGTTTAGATTGGGAGAAAATGGAGTGGCACTAGGGAAAGAAAATAGGATATAAGACATGTCCCCACATACAGAATTATGATTATCTGAGGGTGGCAAATTTTGGGGGAAAAAAAGAAAATCTCATTAAAAATATGAAGTCTCCAACTTTGTGGCTTTGGATGATGCTTTTGGATGAATTTTATCTTTAAAATAAATCAAAAACCAAAGTTCACAAATCTTACCATTTTAATGAAGTTTGCCCAGAGGACTGAATTGAATTTGGATCCTTGCTGTATCACCAACTTAATTTTATATCCTCATCATCACCATGGGATGGACTCTAAGCTCACTATACAGGAGCCCTATTGGACCCATACAGAAAAAAATCCCAGCACATCCCAGGGCTCCAGTATGCAGTGTCTGAAGGTTTTTTCTTCTTTGCTCACTCTCACTCCCTTTGAGATCTCATCCATTCCATGGCTTAAAATTCCATCTAATTGCTAATGACTCCCAAATTCATATCTCTGGCCCTGGCACCTCCCCTAAACTCAGGACAACTCTATCCAACACATCCACAACAGAGCTCCTGGTTTTATCCCCCTGTCACTCACCATATTGCTTGTCTTAGTCTTTAGCTCACACCCCAAACCTTGGTGTCATCTTTGGCTCCCCTCTTGCCCTACCCCCTTAAAAATGCTTTCAGTGGTTTTCAGTATATCCACATAAGTATTCAGCCATCACCACTACCTAATTTTCAGAGCATTGTCATTATTCCTAAAAGAAACCCCATACCAATAGCAGCCACTCCTTACTCCTACCTCACCCCAGCCCTGGCAACTTCATAACTCCTTTCTGTTATGGGTTGGCCTATTCTGGACGTTTCATATAAATGGAGCAAAATAATATGTGGCTTTTTGTGACTGGCTTTCACTTAACATAATGTTTTCAAGGTTAATCTGTGTTGTAACATATCAGTACTTTATTTCTTTTTGTTGCTGAATACTATTCCATTCTACATTTACACCACATTTGGTTTACCCAATCACCAGTTGATGGACATCTGGGTTGTTTCTACTTTTTGCCTATTATAAATAATGCTGCCATGAATATTCATATGCAGATTTCTGTGTAAACATACAGTTTCAATTCTCGAGTATATTCCTGGGAGTGAAATTGCTGGGTCTATAGGCAACTTAATGTTTAACATTTGAGAACTGCCAACATGTTTTCCAAAGTAGCTGTACCATCTTAATTTCCTACCAGCAATGTAGAAGGGTTCCAATTTCTCCATATTCTTGTCAATATTTGCCTATCTTTTGATTTTAGCCATCCTAGTGGGTATAAAAAGAAATCTCATTGTGGTTTTGCTTTGTATTTCCCTGTGACTAATGATGCTGGGCATCTTGTCATGTACTTATTGGCCATCTTTGAAGAAACGTCTATTCAAATCCTTTGCCCATTTTAAAACTGGGCTATTTGTATTTTTATTGCTGAGCTTAAGAGTTCTTCATATTCTGCATAGGCAACAAAAGCTAAAATAGGCAAACAGGACTCTATCAAACTAAAAAGCTTCTGTACAACAAAGGAAACAATCAGCAGAGTGAAGAGACAACCTGTAGAATGGGAGAAAATATTTGCAAACTACTCATCTTACAAGGGATTAATTTCCAGAATATACCAGGAACTCAAACAACTCAATAGCCAAAATAAATAAATAAATAAATAAAATGGATTTAAAAATGGTGGTAAGAGCAGGTATCCATGTCTGTTTCCTGCTTCCCGATCTTAGGGGGAAGGAGCTTTCACCAGTAAGTATAATGTCAGCTGTGAGTTTCATGCAGATACCTTTTATTGGGTTGACATATTTTTCTTGTATTCCTAGATTGTTGAATAGCTTTATTATGAAAGGGTGTTGGATTTTGTCAAATGCCTTTTCTGCACCTATTGAAATAATTATATGGTCGATTGTCTTTTATTCTGTTAATATGGTATATTACATTGATTTTCATATGTTGAATCATGCTTGCGTTCCTGGGATAAAATCTATTTGGTCATATTGTATAATTCTTTTTGTATGATTCAGTTTGCTAGTATTTTGTTGAGAATTTTTGAATCCATATTTGTAAGAGACATTGGTTTATAGTTTTCTTGTGATGTTTTTGAGCTTGGCATCAGGATACTGGGCCCATAGGCTGAGTTAGGAAATGTTTCCTCCTCTTCTTTGTTTTTTTAAAAGAGTTTGTGAAGGACTGGTGTTAATTCTTCTTTAAGTGATTGCCATAGAAGCCTAGACTTTTCTTTGTTCGAAGTTTTTTTTTTTTAAACTAATAATTCAATCTCTTGATTTTCTTTTTCTTCTTGAGCCAATTTTAATAGTTTGTGTTTTTAGAAATGTGTACATTTCATCTAGGTTATCTAATTTGTTGGCATACAATTGTTCGTAGTATTTCCTTATAATCCTTTTTATTTCTTTGAGATTGGTGATGTTCCCTCTTTCATTCTTGATTTTAGTAATTTGAGTTTTTTCCTTTTTTCCCCTTGGTGAATCTAGGTAAAGTTTTGTCAATTTGGGTGATTTTTCAAAGGAATAAAAATTCTTGGTTCTGTTGATTCTCTGTATTGATTTTCTATTCTCTATTTCATTTATTTCCACTCTAATCTTACTTACTTCCTTTGGCTTGCTTTGGATTTAATTTGCTCCTCTTTTTAAGTATCTTAATGTGGAAAGTGAGATTATCGATTTAAGATCTTTTTTGTTTACAGATGTTTATGCCTTTAAGCACCGCCTTCGATGCATCCTGTATGTTTCAGTGAGTCATGCTTTTATGTTTTTGCTCTTATTTTTAGAAACTTCTCTAGTGTATCACCAAATCCTCTTGTCTCTGCTTTTAGTTGCCTGTCTTCAATATCTTTTATGTCACCCTTTGGGATAGGTATGTTTGGAAATTCAAATAATTTTGAACTTTTAAAGGTCATATAGCACATTAATGCCCCCAGTGGACTTGGTGGCAGCACCACATAATCGGACACATTTATATTTCTGTAGCAAAACCTACAAATATTAACTTCAAGTGGAATAAAGACTGTTAAACAGCCTCAAATCAGTTCAGGTTGTTTCATTGCCAAGTGAATGTGACTCAACCTTATTAAAAGAAATTCAGTTGTCGGGACTTTTTGAAGTGTGGAATTTTGAATAAGGGATTGCTAATCTGTGTATCCAGAACCAAACCACTTCTCTCCACTCTCTTGAGACCACCTTGCGCAAGCCAGCATCACCTCTCACTCAGGCTGTTGCAGAAACCTCCGGACTAATCTGTTGTTTCAGCCCTGGCCACCCTATAATCTATTAGCAACACAACAGGATGAGAGTCTGTGAAAATGAAAATCATATCATGTCATGCCTGTGTCTCAAGAAACAAGAAACAAAACCAAACAGCAACAAACCAAAGCCCTTAGCCAGGCCTCTACGGCCCTCTGCAATACACCTCCTGCATACCATCATGTTTCTATTCGATCTCATCTCCTCTCGACTCTCACCTCAGGGACTTTGCACTCACTGGTTCCTGTGCCTGCAACACTCTTTGCAGATAAATGCATGGCTTGCCCCTTCATTTCTTTCAGACCTTTTTGTATACGTCACCTTACTGTGGTCATTCCTGACCAGCCTATTAGAGACAGGAAACGAATTTCCTTGCTCTCTCTCTCCCCACTGCCTACCTTACTGCCATAGCACCTGTCACCATCTAACATACTATTTCCTTGATTTATTTTACTTATTTCTGCCATCCCTTCTCCATCCCTCCTCCCCATGAGACTGTAACCTCCATGAGAGCAGGATATTTTGACTATTTTTGTGTGTGCTGTATCTCCCATTCCTAGAACATGTTTGACACACGGTAACATTCAGTAGATTTGCTGAATGAATGAATAAATGAATCAGGCCTGCTCCTTGTGATCACAGACTAGGCAAATCTATTGCATTAGTCTCCTAGGCTGCCATAACCATCTGGGTGGCTTACACAACAGAAATCTATTTTTTGCACAGTTCTGGCAGTTGGAAGTCCAAGATAAAGGTATCAGCAGGGTTGGTTTCTTCTGAGGCCCTTCTTGTTGGCTTGCAGAGGGTGACATTATTGTCTTGCAAGTCTTCTCGCTCTCTTCACATGGTCGCTCCTCAGTCTGTGTATGTCCACATTGCCTATTCTTATAAGGACACCAGCCATAGTGCATGAGGGGCCCACTCTACTCAAGTATGACCTTTGTTTAACTAATTATATCAGCAGTGACCTTATTTCCAAATAAGGTCACATTCTAGGTGCTAGGGGTTAGGACTTCAACATATGTGTTTTGGGGAAGGAAGATATAATTGAGTCCATAACATCTATGAATCATTTATGATGTGAGTGGTCAGTGAGCTGGCTTCTGTATCTATACAAAGCAGTAAAATTGATTTCTTTTCTAAGTATCCCACATTCCTTTGATTTACTCCAGACTCCCTCCCTCCAGCCCCATGAGAGTCCAGAATAGAAGGTGGAAAAGTTAGGAAAACTTGTCATTTTCTTTGGAAAAGCATGTGAAATGACAGCTGAAGCAGATCAATGAGACTTCTTTTTGTATAAAAAGTAGTGCAAGATGGCAGTCACAGGGTTACCACATTTTAGAGGTGGACAGGATCTTAGGTGTAAAGAGAGGTGGAAAGGCAAGTGAAATCAAGATGGTAATATTACTCCCTCCAGCAGGCTCAGAAATTCTAAGCCTTACAAGTGACATTTCAGAAAGGGCCCAGTTGCCCTATGTGTTTTTCAAAATAAGGTGATAAGCAATGGTGGTAAGGGCCACTGCCTCCCTGAGGTCCCATTCCATCCCCAGCAACACTTCTCTCTCCTCCAACACACACTGTTGGGACTATTTGGGACAGGGATTACTTGCACAGTATGCATACAGGGCCCTAAATCCTGCAGTCTACTCACCCCAACACAAAACACCTGGTATGAAAAGTTCACTGCGAGTTCAATTGCCTACATATCCTCTCTTTGCAAAGCAATCTCACATAGGTAAATACCATTTGAGTGAGGCTCCTCAAACTGTCAAAGAGGGGAAAAGAAAAATATGAAAAGGAGACCTTCCCTCTCTGAACCTGTCTTGGAGGATGCATCAAAATACAGAAGAGGGAAGACCTTAATCGTATTGTTGGTGGACATGGAAAATATTTTGTTGTCCTTAGCAGATATGTGGATGTGGATCACTGGAGCCATGCAGCTTCTCAGCCTACCTGTTGGTTTTCTGGAATGGAAAAAGAACAGATGAATGCAAGGCAGCTCTATCTGCTATTTCTAAATAAAAACGCAAAACTAAATTGGCCTGGATCTGGCAGTTCTATTCAGCCTGGAGGAGGGTTATGTCTCCCTCTGAAATTACACAAGTATATCTTGTGTGATAAAAGGATTGAAGCAAATAATACCCAGCTATAGCAACATAACTCAGGGTGAGATGAAGCCTTGGGCTTTGTTTCTCCAACTGTTGACAATAATCACTATAAAAGGAATACATGAGGAAGAGCCCAGGGTGTGGTTGGAATGGATTCCGTGGTAGTTTTTTGTTGCTTTATTCAGGCTGGAGTGAACAGTATTAAAATTTTTGGGGGTGGGGATGGCTTTTTAATATGAGTTTGTTTTAAGGACCTCTGAGGGATTACAGTGCCCTTGCAGGGTCTCAGGGCTGGGAGGGTTAGAGGGAGAAGATAAGCAGGGCTGAGGTTATATTTTTAAGAATAACCAAGTCAGTGAAAAGTCAGCAAATTGTTCTCAATTACCAGACAAATGGGAGTCTTAGTAGAAGTGGGCAGAAAATAATTTCTTTCTTATTCTGCATCTGACATTGTGTTGAGTGTTTTGTGTGTCTTATCTCATTTTCAGTCTTTATTACTGCTCCGGAAGGTGGGTCCTCTTATCACCATTACAGATGAGGAAATGGGGGCTGTAGAACTTGGTCAGGTTGGAAGGCAGCAACATAGTGAGACCCCCCGTGCTAAGCTATGACACAGCACCGTCCTGGCACTTCCTGCCACTGCTGAGCACAGGGTCCCCTTGTGGACCCCCCCACTGATGCCAGGGAGGAAGGCTCTGCCGGGAACTTTGGCACGTCCTCCATGACTTGTCCTCATCCCTGGTTCCCACTATCAATGCAGGAGAGATCAGCTCCCCATTTCCCACTCTCCTCCCATCTTCAACACTTCTCAGCAGAAATGACAAGCCTGCATTTAAACCCTAATTCTGCCATTACTTCTAAGAAGTTATTTAACTTCTCTGCGCTTCAGTTTCTTCATTTCTAAGTAGGGTTGATGGGAGGATTAGAGATAATGTACTGGGTTGTAGAACCCAGTAAAATGGTAGTTAATTGTCAATATCTCAAGAAAGTGTTCCTGGAGCACTTGCTTGATAGGGGCACAGGATGAAAGGCAGGGGCTGATCGTAAAGAGAACGATGTTATCCATTGAGGGTGTGATGGTACCACACCTTTACTGCTTACACTGATTACCCTGCTACCCCAATTCTAGGTTTTCCAGAACAACCCATTTTCTTTCTTTCTTTCTTCCTTCCTTCCTTCCTTCCTTCCTTCCTTCCTTCCTTCCTTTCTCTCTCTCTCTCTCTCTCTCTCTCTCTCTCTCTCTCTCTCTCTTTCTTTCTTTCTTTCTTTCTTTCTTTCTTTCTTTCTTTCTTTCTCTTTCTTTCTTTTTGAGGTGGAGTCTTGCTCTGTCACCCAGGCTGGAGTGCAGTGGCGCGATCTCAGCTCACTGTAACCTCTGCCTCCCGGAACAACCCATTTTCTTATGTCAGTTTCACCTGCCCTTTTATGTCAATTCTGCTACACCTTAGGGATGGTAGAGTCATTCACTGTGATAGGGCTAAACAACCCCAGTGGAGAAGTGAGTGAATACTTAGGGAGATCTGTGTGAGGTACACTGAAAAAGGTACACTGATTGCACATCAAAATCCCTAAGTGCTCTGTACCACTGATCATGGTTCATTGTAGGAAAATAGCAATCTGATTGTATTTTATTTTTATTTATTAATTTATTTATTTTTAGACAGAGTCTCACTCTGTCACCCAGGCTGGAGTGCAGTGGCATGATCTTGGCTCACTACAGCCTCTGTCTCCCAGGTTCAAGCGATTCTCGTGCCTCAGTCTCCCAAGTAGTGGGGATTACAGGCACATGCCACCACACTCGGCTAATTTTTGTATTTTTTAGTAGAGACGGGGTTTCGCTATGTTGACCAGGCTGGTCTCGAACTCCTGACCTCAAGTGATCTGCCCGCCTCAGCCTCCCAAAGTGCTGGGATTACAGGTGTGAGCCACCGCACCCGGCCCTAGCAATCTGGTTTTAAAAATCCTCAGCTGTGGTGAATGATGGGTCCACACAGTCTCTTTGTCCTTGTAAAGTATTTACATTTTAAATGAGCTGTAATAAACTCCAAAGAATGAATCTTTAAAGGCCACAAAAGGAAGTTTCACAGGCTGTGCATATGGGGGATTAATTTTGGATGTAAATTCTTAAGTTATTCTAATAGGAATTTAGGGGCCCCTACTCCGGCTTTTGTGCACCTTACTACATCAATGGCACTCTTGGTTGGAGAAAGACAGCTTACCCAGGCAGGCAGATAAGCATTCCAGACTCTAATTATTTGATTCTTTCCACCTGTCAGCAGCAAGTTCTTTCCTTACGGAATGAAAACGTCTTGACTCCTTTGTAGTTACAAAAGATTGTTTGATCACATTCTGCTCGCCTTTGGGGCAAACCAAGGAATGCTTGGCCTTTTCTTGTCTTAACATCTTTTCTAACATTCCTTATCTCTTTCGTCTTTTGCTTGACATTTGTTGTTCCCATAGTGCACCCTAACAATATTCACAGGAAAACGATATACAGTTTCTTAATATGATCAGTCAATTTCCTGACAGGTTGCTGATTTTTAAAGGTCTCAGGTTCATTTTCAGTGATGACTAGTGTTTTCTTCTTCTTTCGCCCCCAGGTGTTAAACCACAGATAGTCTGAAGAATAAAAGTGATGCGGGTAGGAAAAACAAGATGTTTCTCCCTCCTCTAATAAGAGACAAGAAGAGTCACCTGGGAAAGAAAAGTGACATAAAGAAAGTCACTGTATTTGGAGAAAACTTTTATTAAATTTCTACCTAGTGCCAAGCCCTCTCCAAAAACAATCTTGTTTGAGCCTCACTCAGTGAGGCAACCATCTTCATCTCCGACTTACAGGTAAGAAAACTTAACCTAAAAAGGTTAAGAAGCTTGTCATCAAGAAATGGTACAACCAAGCCTAAAATCCAGACTGACTCTTAAATTGAGGCTCATTGAGTTGACCTACGCGTTCCATCAACCAACCAGCAATTTTGTCCTACAATTCTTTTGGCAGGTATTTTCAGGCAAATGACTTATTGGCTTATGAATCTACTGAAAACAGAATCAAAATAGTAGCATCAAACAGAAGCAATCAAAGGTCCTCCCATAGGTTTAAACATCATTCTCACCAGAAGGTCATGAAGGAAATCCTCAGTACACACATCAGGGCCTCTCCCATCTCCCCTCCACACCATCTGGCTTACTCTGATTGCTGACTTCTGCCTTGTCCAAGGGGACTGAAAGTGCCTTGGAGGAAGAAGGTAGAAGAACAATCTTCAGCTTCCCACTCCCTTCATCCCTAGATAAGAACTCTCTTCCATCATGTGTGACTTCAGCTATGAGTTGAGGGATAATTGGTTTTGTTTGAGTGTTGTGCATGTTACTACAAGTTACCAGTCCAAATATTTTTCAGGAATCATGGAGAAGAATTTTCTGTTTAGGAAGTTTCAGTCAGGTGTAGTGGCTCACACTTATAATCCCAGCACTTTGGGAGGCTGGGCAGGAGGATAGCTTGAGCCCAAGAGTTCAAAACCAGCCTGGGCAACATCATAGCAAGACCGTGTCCCTACAAAAAATGAAACAAATTAGCTGGGTGTGGTTGTTCATGCCTGCAGTCCCAGCCACTTGGAAGACTGAGTTAGGAGGATCACTTGAGCCCAGAAGTTTGAGGCTGCAATGAGCTATGATCATGCCACTGCACTCTAGTCTGGGCAACAGAGCAAGATCCTCTCTCTAAATTTTTTTAAAATAAATAAATAGAAAAGTTCAACCAGAGTGAATGTATGCTTAATCTGGAAGGATGAGTGCAGCTCCATCCAGTAGACCCTTGTCAAATAGAACTCTAACACAGATCTGCTTAATTTTCAAGATTAGTGGGAAGTCTCTATTTTTGTTAGAAAGTTCCAGAACTTTAAATATTACCCGGTTTCAAAACATGTTTTAAGGCTGGGCGCGGTGGGTCACGCCTGTAATCCCAGCACTTTGGGAGGCTGAGACAGGTGGATCACGAGGTCAGGAGATCGAGACCATCCCAGCTAACACGGTGAAACCCCGTCTCTACTAAAAATACAAAAAATTAGCTGGGCATGGTGGCAGGCACCTGTAATCCCAGCTGCTCGGGAGGCTGAGGCAGGAGAATGGCGTGAACCCAGGAGGCGGAACTTGCAGTGAGCCGAGATCATGCCACTGCACTCCAGCCTGGGTGACAGAGCGAGACTCCGTCTCAAAAAAAACAAAACAAAACATGTTTTAAATACTGTGCTTATCCATGGCTGCCTTAGCTCATGCTGCCTCTTGGGACCCTGGGTTTAGGGGCATGTCACTATACTGTAGTTCAAGGATGTGTCCAGGAAGGGGAAAGGGTGCTCTCTTAGTCTGTTTGTGTTGCTACAAAGGAAGAACTGAGGTTGTATAATTTATTAATAAAAGGGGCTTATTTAGCTCCTAGTTCTGCAGGTTGTATGTGAAGCATGGCATCAGCATCTGCTCCTGGTGAGGACCTCAAGCAGCCTCCACTCTTGGCAGAAGGCAAAGGGGAATCAGTGTGTGCAGAGATCACATGGCAAGAGAGGAAGCAAGAGAGAGGAGGCAGTGCCAGGTTCTCTTGTATAATCACATCTCACAGGAACTAATTGAGTGAGAACTCACTCTTTACTGTGAAGATGGCATCACAGCCACTCATGAGGGCTCCTCCTCCATGCCCCAAACACCTTCCATTGGGCTTTACCTCAACATTGGGGATCAAATTTCAACATGAGATTTGGAGGGGACAGTTGTCCAAACTGAAGCAGGATATCTCATCTTTCTACTTCTCCTGAGCTCTCTGACTGGCCCAAAGACCTGACCTCAAGAAGGGCTGCTCTTTCTTCCATGAGTTCTGATAGAGAGCGTCAAGTCATTTCCCAATGACTCACGTGTGTGATTTCCACATAATTTGGGGCTGCAATCTGAGTCTTGGACCACCCCTGGCCAGTCTATTGACAGTGACCGGAGGTAACAACTATGCTGTCTGTGGCATCTTTCCACAGTGGTGAATGGCTAGTTGGGTAGGGTGACTGGCTGGTCACTCTGGCCCTGTCCTTCCCTTTCTCCTTCAACAAACAGTAGGAAGGTAAACAGCCTTTAACTTGCAGCTCTTCATTTGCCAGGCAGTGGGGAGGGAGGATAAGTGGTGAGTGTAATTGCTTAAGACAGCAGAGTCAGCCTGAGACTCCGGGTGAGCACTTAAAGTGTCAAAGCAATGCAATAAACCTTCCTCAAACAGCAGTTTGACACAGTCACCCTTCTTGTTATGAGCAGAGATCTGAAACTTCTAAGCAGGTGTGTCACTTTATTTTTATTTTCTTAAAGGAAGGAGAGAGCAGCTAGTTCATTTGCATGATTTCTAGCAGTTCTTTTCTGAAACAGCCAGACAGAGACACATGGTTAAATGGTTGTCATGGAAACCAGAGAGCATAGCTCTCCTCCAAGGTCTAAAGGAAGGATGATGAAAAGTTTAAGTAATCACCATGGAAACCTAGAGCAGATTCAAGGCGAGTCAGATCCCCAGCACAGTAACCAGCAGGTAAGTCTTCAGAAACTGGGGCCCTGGTGGAAGGGTGATGCTGACTGTCCACTGTGGCTTATAGCATCAGGGCCAGCCCAGATGCCACCTCCACAGTCATAGGCCCAGAGCTCCCCACAGGGTTGGCAGTGAGATGAGTGTGTTCCCTCAAAGCTCAGACTTTCACTTTTCATGATTCGAGGTGGATCTTGGAGACTCTCTTGCCTGCCCTTCCCTGTCTCTTACCTCTTTGCATCCACAGTATGATGGGAACCCACGGATCTGTTGTCACAAAACAGAACCCTGTTCAGATTTGCAGGTAGGAAGACACTCAAGGCCCAGCCCTGGTTTATCTATGGACTTGACCAAGACACATCCCCTTTCATGTTCATTAATAACAAAAATGAAGCCAGAGATTCTGGCATTAAATAAACAAAAGCACTTGAAAGCACTTCCTGACTGCAGAGCTCTCTATGCAATTGTTGGTTTCTTCTATCACCATTTCCCCTCCTCGCCTGAGGTAAACCTATTTGGGAATAGGTGGCTGACCTTAAGCCAAGTTTTAAAGTCTAGGAGGTGCTGTGGAAGGGCTGTCACCTGAAGTGGGGACAGGAACTCTCCAAAGGGAGCCATGGGAATGGGGTGAGTCACCCCTCTTGCTCCTGACAGGGTTATGACCCTCCAGTAACCAATTAGGGGTGGGATTCTGATGCCATGGTACATAGTGGACATACACATACTCCTGGCGATGGCAGTGATATGGGCACAGGGAGCCGTGGGGACACACTGGGGGTAGGGAGTGGATTAGTTTGTTCTCACATTGCTGTAAAGAATTACCCGAGACTGGGTAATTTATAAAGGAAAGAGGTTTAATTGACTCACAGTTCCACATGGCTGGGGAGGCCTCAGGAAACTTACAATCATGGTGGAAGGGGAAGTAGGCACATCTTACATGGCCAGGGAAAGAATAGAGAGCAGGGGGAGGTGCTACACACTTTTAAACAAGCAGATCTCATGAGAGATCTCACTATCCTGAAAACAGCACAAGGGAAATCCACCTCTATGATCCAATCACCTCCCACCAGGCCCCTCCTCCAACACTGGGGATTACAACTGGACATGAGATTTGGGCAGGGGTACAAATCCAAACCATATCGGGGGAATGGGGAGATATGAGACAGGCACAGGAGGAAACCCCTGATGGGCTTGTCCCTACCTGTGGCTTTCCCAGAGTGTGCTGCTTCCGACCACTGCTTTGGGAGAGAGATGGGTGTAGCTCTGAATTTTAACTTCACAAACACATTCATTCAACAAGTATTGATTGAGCATCTATTATGTGCCATGCACTATTCTAAGCACTTGAGACACAACAGTGTACAAAACAGACAAGAATCCCTGTCTTTGAGGGAAGACAGACCATAAACAGCAAACACAACAGGTAAACAATATAGTATATGAGAAGGTGATTAGATGAATGGATTTAAACAAGGATAGAACAAGTAAGGAGGATTGGGAATGCCAAGAACTAGGGGGTGGGCATTTCCAACAGATAATAAAGTGAGCAGAGTCCGCCTCATTGAGAAGTCACATTTGAGCAGACTTGAAAAAGGCAAGGGAGTAAGCTTTGTGGATATTTGCAGGGGGAATCTTCCACACAGAGGGGAGAAACTGTGGAAAGGCCCTAAATATATTTAAAGAGACTGGAGTGGCTGGGAGTGAGTGAGCGAGGAACAGAGGTCAGAGACGAGGCCAGAAAGGGAAGGAATGGGGTGAGTCACACAGGCCCTGGGAGACTCTGGCTTTTAGTTTGAGTGAGATGGGGCCCATTGGTGGATCTGGAGGGCTTGGGCCTATAGTTTTATAGGATCTCCATGGCTGCTGTGAGAGAATAGGCTGAAGGGGCAGGATGGAAGCAGGGAGACCAGCGAGGAGGTGCTTGCTGAAATCCAGAAAAGAGAAGATCATGATGGTACTAGATGGTAGCAGCGGTGCTGGAGAGAAGAGGGCAGGTTCTGGGTATATTATGACTGTGGAACCAACAGTAGAATGCAGGTTGTAGGAGAGAAAAGTCAAAGGTGGCCACTAGGTTTTTGGCCTGAGCAACCGCAAGGACGGATTTAGCCCCAACTGAGACAGGGAAGTTGGTGGAACAGGTTTGAGGGAGAAGATCTGGGTTTCGGGTTTGGAATTCATTTTGACTTCCATTATCTATCCAAGTGCAGGTAACCATGTGTGAGCCAAGATCACTGGAAACACCAGGCTGAGATTCAGGGAGAGACCTGGGCTAGAGATACAAATTTGGAGCTGACAGATACCAATGATACTGGGAGATATCAGTAAGAGAGTGATGCAGACATGGAAGCAGAGATGAACGAGGACTGAACTCTGGGGGCTCCAACATCAAGTCAGGGAGATGTGGAGGGATGAGGAAGGGAGACAGAGAAGCAGCAACCAGGGGAGAGAAGGAAAACCAAGACAGGTTGGGGTTTTGAACTCAAGTGAGAGAAGTATATGAAGAAAGCCTGGGTGATTAGGTGCTTCAAATGCTGACAACAGATGAGATGAAGATTGGTAGGTGGATTTAGCAACAGGAGGGGCACTGGTGACTCTTATGAGAGTGGTTTTGGTGGCATTGTGGGGACACAGAGTAGGTTGGAGGGGTTCCTAGAGAGAATGTGGGGAGAGGAATTGGGAAGGTTGAGTCTAGGCAACTTTTGCCAGGAGTTTCACTCCAAAGGCTTTCTGAGCTTCAGTATCTCATCTTAGCATGGTGCCTGGCACATGGTAAATACTCAACAAAAAGTCACTAGAATGATGTCGATCCGCATGAATCCTTTCTACAGTCTGATTGTCTAGTTCTCAAGAGAGACTTGTTCAATGAAATCATAATAGTTTAGAGCTGTAAGCAATTGTAGTGACCTCAGGTTTCTGTGATGTGAGAAGGAAGAAGAGATGGACAGAACACTTTCTTTAGAAGAAGGAGTCTGCATCTGAGTTAGAAGGGTCCTCAGAGCTCACACCCAATTGTCTGATTGAGCCAGAGGGGAAACTGAGGCCTAACATCACAGCTCTGTTAGTGGCTGAGCTGGGGCTAAAACTAAGACTTTCTTGTTCTGAAGTCATTGCTTTTGATGTGTCCAAACAAATACTGGATTTTGAGCTGCTTCAGCCTCCAAAGGCTGAATTTCCATTTCTTAGGACACAATCCATTATCTTTCTGGAAAACCGAATTTCTTAGTTCCAAGGAAGTCTAATGAGTGTTCCCAACAATCTCTTTGACCACTGAGTATCTCTTTCTAACACTTTGGTGACTTAAATGTCAGTGAATCAGAACTTTATAAAGGATGCTTTCCTTGAAAGATAATGTGATGTGCACTCCTAGGCCATAAACCAGAGAGCTGGAGGGGGCTCAGAGCAGACTTCTAGCAGGAAAGCGACAAGGTGATATTCCACGGAAGGCTGACACCTTGGGCATGAGTTGTTACATATCCTCCATGATGTTCAGATGTTCAGTGGCAAATGGGACTAGATTTTAAAAGATAAAAAGAAGGAGAAAACTAGGATTTCAGCCTTCTCAAAGGCTCAGAAATGCTCAGGCACCACTAGGCTGGAAGGCATCAAAAAAGAAATGGCTGGCGTCATTGTGTGGGTGGCTGACTGCTGAGTCGCTTAAAATGGTGTTAACTATTTTGTGCATTACAAATGCACCACTTGGTGAGTTCAAACCAGGCCCTTAAAGTCCAGGGGTGGGGCTGGTGAGTGGAGCTGGGAGGAGGAGGAGAGGAGGGAGAGAAGGTAACTAAAAGATAGTTACAGTTAGGAAAAAAGGGAAGAAAATCCCAGTGAATGAAATATCTGGAGAAGATCTCCAGCAAGAGTGACCCAAGTCATTACCATCCTCTCCATTATAAATTCACAACGCTGACCTTCTCTGCTTCTGCCTCCTCCCCAGTGGGTGGGCCTGGCCGGGCAGCAGGCAGGACCATCTGTGTTTGGGCTCTTCAGGGATTCCTGTCTTCTGTTGCTGCTGCTGCTGCTGTTTCTGCTTTTGCTCAGGTAGGCAGGGAGCCCAACCAAAGATCCTAAAGATGACCAAAGGCAGCAACTCAGGCAGCTTTCTCAGGTTACACCTTCTCAATGCCCTAGGGATGAATAATAACATTTCCTTTTCCTGGGATCAGAGATTTATTCTGCTCCAGGGCCAGAATCTCCCTTTGATACTAGGCTGTCCCAGTATAAGTCCCGGAACCTGAAGGGCTTTAACAGCCCAAGTCTAGGGGATGGCAGGTGGGATCCTGGCTTTGGGGGTCAGAAAAACTGGAGTCGAGTCCCAGTTCCTTCTCTTTCAGCTAAGTGACCTTGTGGGCAAATTTATCTGGGCTTAAGTTTCCTCATCTGTAAAATGGTGATGAGCACAATTCATACCCAATGGGATACCATGAAGACGAAATCATGTAATGCATGTGAGTGGTCCTTGACCTTGGCTACGAACTAAAGTCACTGGGAAGTGCCTAAAAAATACAGATACCTGGGCTGTACCCCCTTGAATAATGGTTTTTGCTCTTGGCTGTGTATTAGAATCGCTGCAGGGGCTTTTAAAAGTCTCAATGCCCAGGCCAATTAGATCAGAATCTCTGAGCATAAAACCCAGGGAACGAGCTGTTATAAAGTCCCCAGATGATTCCAGTGGGCACCCAAGACTTAGAGTCACTGACAAACATGAAAATTACTTAAAATTAGTAAGCCAAACACATGTAAAGAATCATCATCAGTATCAACTGAAAATTAAATGTGATGATAGTGACATTGGCTATCTGGATGGGGCTTTCCAACATACTCTCGAAAGCTTCACAATATGAATATAAAGTTTAATACAGTAAGTGTGAAAAATTAAGAAGGTCTTCAAGAGACAAGTTGTTAGGAAGCATCATGATAGATTATTGTGATTAAAGAATGCCTCATGCACACACAAGTCACCCACAGGTGTTCTCAAAGGTAGAATCTGCTTTAGCAGTTCTGGGGTGGGGCCTGAGGCCCTGCCTTTCTAACACATGCCCAAGTAATGCCCCTGCTGTGGGCCCCAGGGTTAAATGCACAGGCTCTGGAGACAGATGAGGTTCATGTGCCCAGCCTTCCATAGCTGAGTTGTGTGACTCAGGGTACCATTCTTCATGTTTTCTGTCGTCAATGAACCTCCCCTCCCTGTCCCTGTTTGTGGAGAGTGCACCCCTCCTGTACTCTAATCTTCTGGGTTAGTTGAATCGTCCCACCCCTGCTCTTCTAGGTTAGCTGAATCATCATTGTCCCTGAGCCAGACTGGTTCAACAGGACCCTTCCTGGGGTGGTTGAGGACCAAGAGCATCAGCCAGTCCCTGTGCAGTTTAGCAGGGCAAAGGCTCATGGCCCTCTGAGGGGAGCGGTGTGCAGAGGGAATCAGGTGAGGGAGGAACAGAGATGAAGCAGCATTGGAGTCCCTGTTCTGTGGAGCTGCTTTTCTGCCCTTCCTGTGTTATATAAGCTGTCCAAAAAATTCTCCTTTTTGTTCAAGTCAGTTTGAGCTGGGTTTTTCTCAATGCAGTGTAGGGGGTGGTGGGGGGAAAGGCCCCAAGAAATGCCTTAACTATTCTGTACTTTAGTTTTCTTACCTGTGAGATGGAGTGAATAGTAAGTGGGTTGTAAATCATAAGGTTGTTATGGAGATTAAATAACGTAATACATGTAAGGCACTTTGTACAGTGCCTGCCCTTAAGTAAGCATTCCAGTTAGGAAGATCCAGGGCTGGCCAGAGGTCTGCATCCATTTCAGGGATTCCTGGGATCCACGGAATGGTCCATCGTAAAGGCATTCGATTCCTGGTTCAAATTTGGATCAGTCTGACCTCTTAAAGTCTACCAGGTGCTGAGGGAGTGTGTCCTCAGTCTAGTCCAGACAAACTGACTCCCACATGAATAGCACAGCCTCACCCTGCCACCCTCCCCACTCCTTTGACCTGAGATCAGCTTGGTAAAGTCCATGCCCAGACTTAGTGATTCACTGGGGGCTGTAAGATTGAGGGTGAGTCAGAAGCTGGGTTCTCCCTGGGCCTTTCTGGGAATTCACTTGCTCTAAGTCTATCTTCCAGAAACTCGGCGTGTCTTCAGGTTCTGGGCTTTCACTTATGGCTCTCACATCCAGCATGCCTTTCTTAAAATTTTCTAAAAATTTCCAAATTCCATTTCATACAAATGCCCCATATCAACCGTCCATGTCAATATCACTGTATATTTCACATAATGTAGCACATTAGGGGTGCTCAAATGGTATAGCCTGACATGACTTGCAGTGGATTTTGCTTTGATTTCAAGTCAACATACAGTAATGGAGCTCTCAGTGTGTGTGAAGCCCGTGGTAGGAGTGCCCTCCCTCACTCTGCCTCCCTGGCGGCCACGTGGTGTGAAGCTTATGAAACTAAAGGCAAACTAAGCAGTGGAGGATGCTACATTTTTGAGCTGCACTGGGAGTTATTAGCAGAGTGTGGGATGCCTGTCGCAATGCTGAAACTACAAAGATGGGAGCCATCCGAGGACCCAACACCCCAAAAGAGCATATCACAAGCATGATAGGCGTAAAAGCAGTACCTATTACTAGAGCGCTGGGCCCATGGATGGAGCTGGAAATGACAGCTTTCATAGAATCCTAGTAGTTCAGCTAGAAATAAAAAAGTGAGAAAATGCTAATTAATAAAATCACCCCACAGGTCACAAGAGTTTGTAAAAACGTCTAAAGCATTCTTTCAAAATGCATTTCATGAGGAAGAAAGGAACCACTTGCTCAAAAGATAGGAACGTTTCAAAAAAGCACACGTCTGTGTGGGCAGACCCGTGTAGGTAGCCTGGTGGAGTGTGGAGTGGGTGATGGTCTCTTCCCGTTACACTCGCTTGAGGAGAACACTAGAACAGACAATGCCTGGGTATCCTTTCTGACAGTCCGTGTTCAAGTTTCTACTGGCTATTTTAGATTTTTCTGAGAAAATCTGAATGTTGCCTGCATAGCCGCAGGGCTTTTACAGAGAAAACAATTTGTCCTTCCCTAGAACTCATTTTTAAATTGGAGGCTATGCTGAATATCGTACCGGGAGGAATAAAACTGCCCCCGACCCCCGTCTTTGAAAATCAAGAGCTGGACTCTGGAACAAATGTGCGGGAATTAGGGAACCAGGGCTTTTGGGCAGGACCCTGAGAAAGGGCCAGGGGCAGTCTTAGCTGCATGGGACCAGATTCCGTGGGGTTTGAGGAGCTCCTCTCCTCTCAGACCACCTTTCCCAGCAGAAGTCCTTATTAGGAATATGGGTGTGGCTGGGAGCCAGTGGTTCACACCTGTAATCCCAGCACTTTGGGAGGCTGAGGCAGGAGGATTGCTTGAGTCCAGGAGTTTGAGACCAGCCTGGGCAACATAGCAAGAACCCATCTCTACAGGAGGGAATCTTATCAGGGTCATGGAAATGTTCTAAAATTGGATTATGGTAATACTTGCACAACTCATTACACTTATAAACTGTACATTTAAATGAGTGAATTTTATGATATAAATTGTACCTCAATAAAGTTGAAGAAAAAAGAACCCCATTCTACATTCCAGCTACCCTTGAGAAACATGTCATATTACTACGTATGCTTGTTTATTCAGATTATTGTTTTGTTTTTTTTCTTTCTTCTTTTTTCAGGTTATTGTTTTCTTTTTGTACCTAGCTTTCTTAATTCACATTTCTGTTCTATTGCAGGATTGGTACTTAATTTTCTTCTCTTTGTATTCACTTTGTTGGTTTTCATCTTTTAGACAAATGCTATTTTCTTGGCCCAATTTTTCTTTCCCTTTAATTTTCCTTTCCCTTTAATTTTCCTTTTCACTTATCAAATGTTTGGTGATGTTTCCGTTTTTCCTTTCATTGTATTGTATTTCCCACCACTCTTTTCTTACATATGGCTTCATAATTAAGAACCTTCTCTGCCTGGCCGAAGCCTGATGTGTTTAGACAGAGTTAAGAGGCGTGGGCATGAGACCGTGCTCCCCCACTGGCTGCTCTCATCACAGCCATCCTCGGGACACTGCTCCCCTCCTGTTCCTTCGGCTGCCATGTCCACTCTGCACGTGGTTTCTGGGCTCTCTTGACATAAAGGACACTGTCTTGCTTCTTTATGCATTTGAGAAATACAAATATAGCTTCTCAGAGCCAATAGAAGTCTCAGGGAGTCAATCTCACATTGGTAATCACATTACTGGTCCTAAGACACTCTGGCCATTTGAGTTGCCTCTTACTCCAACATGAGGAAGGAAACGCCATCTGCTACCTTCGGACTCAAAAGACACCTGGGATAAGGCCCTCCCAAGCCAATCACAGCACAAAACTCAAACTGATTAATTTCACTAGCTTCAGAAAAACAGATGTGTATCATTCTTTATACTATTCTGTGTATTTCACGGAATATTTATTTTTGTTTTCAGCTAGGTTTGAGAAGTTATCTCCAGACCAGCAGTGACTTATTAAAGAATACTTACTATTTCTTATTTATTTGACTGCTTGTGGGATATATCTGGAGAGAGACAGAGGACAGGCTGGAAAATTCTTTTTTTTTTTTTTTCCAGAGATAATATTTCACTCTGTCACTCAGATTGGAGTGCAGGAGTGTGATCATAGCTCCAGATAACCTCCAACTCCTGGGCTCAAGTGATTCTCCTGCCTTAGCCTCCCAAATAGCTGAGACTACAAATGTAGACCACCGCACCTGGCTAATTTAAAGACATTTTTTGTAGAGACGGGGTCTTGCCATGTTATCCTCAAGAGATCTTTCCTCTTTGCCTTCCCAAAGTGCTGGGATTACAGACATGAGCCACCTCATCCTACCACAAATTCTAGCTTACTTTTACTTTTTTTTTTTTTTTTACCTGAGTAACCCAGTCTCCATGCACTTTCCAATGGATATAGTTTATATTTGGAGAGGGCACCGCATTGTTAATGGTAATGTTTGGCATGTTCTTAATTTTGGGCATCTTCTTCCAAGTTCTAAGGGGAAAAACATAAAAATCTCAAAAGATGAGAATGACTCACCATCACACATCCTTCTCATTCTAACTAGGAGCCTTTTCTCAGGCTCTTTTAGGTCAGGAATCACCCCCTGCCCCCATAGCCTTCACTCATATAATTCTTCTCATTCTCGGAGGCCTCAATAATCATCCTCAGGGCCTCTCTGCATATGCCAGACCATTTGAGCTCTCTCTTTTCTGGATTCCAGAAAAGTCGAGCATGTAGCTGCCATTTTTGATGTGTGCTGCTCTTATTTTCTCATAAGATGTGTACAGCCTGAAGGCAAGTGTGCTTCCTTTAGAGTCCCACGAGCCCCAGCAGTGAGGAGGACTCAACAAACTGACTGGGTGAGGGCTCCAAGGACTAACCTGTGTGTTCCAGTAAGGGCTTGAGCGGCCTTTCAAAATATGATATTGCACTTTTGAAGTCAGTCCCACAAAGAAGTGGACTTTGCTTGTAGTCAACATGTATGAAGGCAAATGGTGGCATCTGTGAAGTCCCATGTCATAAAAGTTCTTGAATAATTGATTAACTCAAATGAGGGCTCTGAGACAGGCTGTCCTTTCCATGGCCAAGGCAGGAACAAAGCAGTTGGTGCAATGAGGAATGATGAACTGTGGAAGACGCCATGGATGTCCACCTCTTCCCAACAAAATCAAGGCACAGATCTCCTAATCTCAGGGGCCTATTGTGACCCAGTTCTGGCCAGTGAAATGAAGTGAAATCAGCGGAGGAGCTCTGGGAAAACTTTTTCTTGTCTAATAAAATGTGAAACTAGTGTGAGACATACATCCTCTCTTTCCTCTCTCTGTATGTGTATGTGTGTGTGTGTCTGTCTGTCTGGTTTTCCTCTCCCCTGGTTGGCACTCTTCATCCTGATTCCAAACACAATTGAGATGTCTGGAGCTACAGCAGCCATTTTGAGACCCTGAGGCCACAGTGTGAAAGACAAAAAGTCAAGAGGCTAAGGATGGTGAAATGAGAGGATGAAGACTCAAAACTCTTGACTACATCATTAATCAGCTAAACCCATGTGGGCAACCACCTATATCCGGACATGTTTGTTAAAAGAAAACCCTTTTATTCTCTATGAGTCATTTTTCCCTGTTACTTAATAATAGCAAACATTTATTAAGTTCTTATTATGTGTCAAGCACTGTTCCAAGAACTTTATACCTTTATAGTTATTGATCCATTTACTTGTTTATTTTTGAAACAGAGTCTTGCTCTGTGGCCCAAGCTGGAGTGCAGTGGCAGGATCTTGGCTCACCGCAACCTCCACCTCCCAGGTTTAAGTGATTCTCCTGCCTCAGCCTCCCTGGTAGCTGGGATTACAGGTGCCTGCCACCACAGTAAGCTAATTTTTGTATTTTTAGTAGAGACAGGGGTTTGCCATGTTGGCCAGACTGATCTCAAACTTTTGACCTGAAGTGTGTGCTCCAACCACATCAGCCTCCCAAAGTGCTGGGATTACAGGCATGAGCCACCACTCCTGGCCTCTTGATCCATTTCCTCTTAAACATAACTCTATGAGATAAGCACTATTCATTATTCCTTTTTTAGGGATGAGGAAACTGAGACACAGAAAGATAAGTATCTTGCCAAAGTTAGCAAGTAGCAGGATGAGGATTCAAACCCAGGCAGTCTGGATTGCAGCTTAAAACATTCATAACGGATGGATTAACTATACATAATAGTCTACAATGGACATTCCCATGGTTCAACAAATCATAGAATTGTGGGACTGTTTTAGAGTTGTGAGGGATCCTTTGAGATGAGTGAATATGTTACAGTAGATATAACCTGGAATGGTGATCTCTGCCTTATGGAAACCTGTAGGCAAGATGTTTTTATACAGTTTAGCAGCAATTATGGAAATGCATTGTCTTCTTCAAGGCAGTCCCCATATTGGCATTTCCCCTTAGTAATTGTTTTCCCATTTTATTAAGCATTTCATAATAAAGTTCTCTTCCTCTGCACTTTTTAATTGCTATCATGGCAGTACATTGTCTTGTTTAAATTACTCATTACTTTTGACTATATTTTTTTCTTTCTTTCTTTTTTTTTTTTTTTTTTTTTTGAGACAGAGTCTTGCTCTGTTGCCCCTGAGCTGGAGTGCAGTGGCGCTATCTTGGCTCACTGCAACCTCTGCCTCCAGAGTTCAAGCGATTCTCCTGCCTCAACCTTCTGAGTAGCTGGGATTACAGGCGCACACCACTGCACCTGGCTAATTTTTGTATTTTCAGTAGAGATGAGGTTTCACCATGTTGGCCAGGCTGGTCTCAAACTCCTGACCTCATGTGATCCACCCACCTCAGCCTCCCAAAGTGCTGGGATTACAGGTGTGAGCCGCCGCACCCAGCCACTTTTGACTACTTTTTAAGTGTTACGTTTGTACGTTTTGATCCACTACAAAGTTATTTCTTGGTAATCTTCTGTGCATAGTAGTCTTGTCAGACACTCTTGGTTTCTAACCAACAATTACTCAGCACTCACTCCTGATTTGGCGTAACCCTTGCTGGACTTTCTCACCTCATGGAGGAGTGAGGGAGAGTCTACGTGAGGACTCACTTTCTCTCCAGGTGAACTTCCTGTCAAGCTTCTTCATGTCTTGGAGATGCTTTTCCATCAGGCCTTTCTTTGCCTGATAAAGTTCTTTACTGCTGAGTTTCTTGAACATTCCACACAAGTCCCTGCATCCTCTCCTCACCTGTTCACACAGTCCAGAAAGTTAGAAGCTTGAGTAGGTCTCAATCTTCACACTTCAGAACTCTCAAGATGCTTTGCCTTGTTTCAGCTTTCAGAGGATGGCGCCTCAGAGACTAATGCTGAGTACTTGACAACCTCCATTTTACCTGTGGAATTGTCCTTTTAAGATTTATTTTATTGTGTAAATTTACTTGGCTTCCATAACAATACCCCACAGCATCTAATTTCACTGGTTAAATGAAACATCTCTTTTTGAAAAGCAATTTTCAAGAAGCAGTTTGAAAAGTCTGATATTGTTTCTTTATGAATTGTCTGTTCTCCAACCATAGAGCAAATAATAAGTATGTCTCCTCAGCCTTCTGCTTCCTTTGTGATACTTTGAGAATCCTTCAACTCATTTTTTTTGTCAATTGATCTTCTCCCAATTGAATTTCCCTCAAATAAAATTTTTTTCTGGCCCTCTTCCACTAAGCTGTCCTTCGTAATACCATTCACCATCTCTGTTGCCTTTCTGTGGATACAGTTAATTTCTGGGACAGAAAATGGGGCAGAAGAAAAAAACCAGCCAAGTTTACAGGCTTAGTGAGATTACGGACATAGTGATGATGATCAGAAATCAAAGGTAACTGATTTGAAACATGCATTCGTATTTCAAGAAAGAAAACTAGGAAAAATCTTTAAACTTCTTGGAATTACTTCATGGAAATGTGGATTCAGTCACTTGTGAGTGTATTAATTGATGGGGACAAAGTCTCTAAAATAAGGACTTCATTGTAATTTGTTTTTCATTCTGATAATAGTTTCTGTATTGCCCACCAATATTTCCTTAATTTAGACAAGACCCATAATCTGTTTTTTAACCTCCAGCAAGCATGAAGCAGATAGATTTCCTGGGAGACTAATGATACAAGCTGTTATCTTTTGAGGGCATCTACAGGAGAGATGGAGAGATTTAAAGTCTTTCTTCTTTTTTTTTTTTTTTTTTATTATATAGATGAAGGCTTCCTATGTAGCCCAGGCTGGTCTTGAATGCCTGGCCTCGCCTTCTTATGCGCCAGGACAACAGACCTGAGCCATCGTGCCTCCCTAAAGTCTTTCTTCTATCAGTTTATTTCATCTACTGTGATACTGGTTTGGTCAGATCCAGACAACAGTTCTCCATGATGCTGGGTTGGTGAATTTGTGTCATCAGCCAATTGCTCACGTTGAACTTCATCTTTCAGCTTGTCAAAAAATAATCTAATACTTATCCAAGCACCAGCATGAATCCCTAAGGAAGCAAGATGGAGGAGGTCATCAATGCAACCAGGACCTCCAGTCCTTGCCCCTGTCCGGGACGCCCTGAGAGGCGGTGAGGAGCTGTGGGTGTGGTCTCTGAGAGCCCACTCCCACGTGCCACAAGGTCAGGGGCATCTGGAAGACCCAGAACCACGGCTGTGAAAGGCCTCTGCCATGTGAGACTCTTGATCTTAGCAGAGGCACTGAACAATTGTGTGTGTGTGTGTGTGTGTGTGTGTGTGTCGTGACAAGGGCCTGTTCATTTTAGGGCAAAGCTCTAACCAGTTCATTCTTTTTTACCCAGACACAACTGACAGATACTGTGAATTGTCCTGCTGTGACTCTTCAGAGGGACAACAATTCCTGAAACTGTTATTATCAGTACTTTCTCTTTTCTATTTTCTCCTTAAAGATGTGCTCGTATTATATCCTTTGAGCAAATGAGCAAACACCTCTACTCAAAGTGAAGCAAATCATATGAGTGAATCCCACCCGGAGGGATGTTCGTAGTGACAGGCCACAGGGCTGTTCTCAGCTGTGCCCTATTCAACAGTCTAATCCAGGACTTGGATGAACACATAGAAACACTGCTAAATTTACTGATGACACAATGCTGAGAGAGACAGCAAATCTACTGCATGCCAATATTATCAGTGAAAATTATTTTAGCCAAATAGGATAAGAATGCAAAAAAGTCAATAACATGAAATTTAGCATCAATGAAAGCTCTGGATTTAGGTTCAAAATAGGAATTTATAAGTAAAGGATGTGGACTATATGGCTCGAATATGGGCTGTATTATGCCAATGGACAAGGTGGGCTATAAGGTGCTGTGTGGCATCCAGTCCTGAGCACTCGGGCCGCTGTCGGCAAGAGAAAGCCAGGACAGTGAGGCGTCCTGAAACAAGGTCATATGAAAAACAGCTGAGAAAGCTAGAAATGGTCACCTGTGAGAGGGAAAGGCTTAGTAGTCATTTTCAAGCTCTTGAAAATTGGACATTTTTGGACATTATGTTTTGTTAATTTTTCTTTCGTTTCAAAATTTATTTTGATTTTTATTGAAATTATGTGCATTTTTTGAAATCATACGCTTTCCCAATGGGAAAGGGGAACCCTAAAACCTACACCAGATGAGGACAACCCTAGAAAAAAAGATAAAGTAGCAGATGCTTATGCAATGCAAAAAGACTCCTCATTTTTCTGGAAGGATTTTCCTCAGTAGTTTGTCAAACAGAAATCAATCACTTTCAGCTGAATAGTGTATCTGACAGAAGTTGGTAGGGAAGGAAAGTATTGAGGAATTTGAAGTTTTAGTGTGACTTCCTGCTAATTGAATAGCATGTCAAAAAAATAAAGCATATCTCAAATAATATTTAGTCAATGGGCAAATAAGATCCTGTTTATCAAAAGTCCTTTTGTATTCAACTTTCCAGCAACACAGCCATCATGTGCAGTTGACGAGTATGTATGCTCACAAGTAGTTACTTGCACATACTCCTTCAGCCATCTCTCCGGTAATGAAGAAGTTAATGTCTTACAATTAGTTTCTGAGCATTTTATAATGCTTAACTAATTATAAACTAAAAATAAAATCCCTTGAATTCAATATCTAATGAAAGACCCAGCATCCATTGATCTGCCACCCACCCATCCTCTATCTATCCTCCATTTATTCTCCATCCTTCCCCCATTTATTCATGCATGCATCCATCCATCTATTCACCCATCATCCATGCATCCTCCAACCATTACTCACCTATCCTCCATTCATCCTCCATCTTTTCATCTATCCATCCTTCATCCATCCATCATCCACCCAACTGTCCAAGGTCGACTAGAGATTCAGAAATAAAAGCTCTAATTTCTAGGTTCTATTAATAGTATTGCCCACTCTAGTGAGAGAGACAGATTGTGGACAGAACATTCTGATTCAGGGATAAAATCTCAATCACTGAGGTATGTACAGGACTTCATAGAGACTGCATTGTATAGAGAGGAGAAGACCTCCCTGAGGAGAAGATGCTCAGTGGAGGCCCAGAAGGGCACCACAGTCAGGCAGAGGAGGGCACCAATGCAAAAGCATGGGGCCATGAGAGAAGGGGATGCTTGTTTGATGCTCACCTGCTCCAGAACATGGGGGTTGAGGGGATGTGAAGGCACCATCAGAGATGAACCAGGAAAAGTAAGCAGAGCCCCAGTCCTGAAATGTTTTGTGGGTCACACTGAAGAGTTTAGGTTTTTGAGTGGGAGAGAGACATCAGCACCTCTCACAATCTTTTCTGCTACTCTCTGGTCTGAGGCAGCAGGATCATTAGAGTCATCATCCAATAGAGAAGTCGGAGCAAGTTGTCTACAGCTTAAAACCCTGCAATGGCACCACCCGCCATAAGGTCCAATATCACCTGACCCCCTCATAGCTCCCTGATCTCATTCCCTCCACTCTCAACCCACACCTATCCTGCCCCAGCCACCCCAACCTGTGTGCTGTTTCTTGAAGCCCCCATGTATGTTCTTACCTTAGGTCATATCTCTGACTCTTCTCTCTGCAAGGAATGCCCTTCCCACAGATCCTCAGGTGCCTCCTTTGGTCACCTGTCACTCCCTTACCTCCTTTGGTCATATGTCAGCTTCTCAGTGAGGCCTATCCTGCCTGCCCTACTGAAAACTCCACACACACGTGTGCACACCAGGAATTCTTGATCCCTTACCCTGCTTTATTTTTTCACAGCACTTACCACCTTCAAAATTATTATGATATAATTATGTTTATTGTCTTTCTCCTTCCACTAGTCTGAAGGTCGAGGTCTCTGTTTTGTTCACCGACCCCCAAGCACCTAGGACAAAACCTCACACATGCAGGTGCTCAATCAATGTTTGCTGAATGAACATGAGATGAGATTCATTTTCTCTTTTTACAAAAACCACCCAGTGAAAATATGAAGAGTGATGTGCAAGGATTTGAAATTGGGCCTGGTGAGACCATTTAGAAGTTTGTTGCTGTGATGGTGCTGACAGATCAAATGAAGCAGTTGCCATAGGGAGGGAGAAGAGGGCGGGGAGGGCATGAGCTAGAGTTATTAAGGAGATAGAATTGTCAGGACTTGGTGGCTAAGTACAGGCTTGTGCCTCATAATGATGCTTCAGTCAGTGATGGACAGCATATACGACAGTGGTCTCATAGATTATGCAGCATATATAGAAACGTGACAAATGGCATTTGATAATGGCATCGCAGATGAAGTAGCGGAAATGAATGATATTCAGCAATGGTGCTGGGACACTTGGTTTCCCATATAAAAATATACATAAATAAAAATATGTATGCAATCTAGGTTCATGTGAGTATGCCCTGTGATGTTTGCACAATGATGAAATTGCCTAAAGACGCATTTCTCAGAATGTATCTCCGTGATTAGCAACACACGACTGTCTCTGGATATGGGATATAAGCAGCTAGGATGACTTAGCTGGCATGGACCACAGGGCAGTGGTGGTGCCATTCACAGAGTCGGTGGGGAGAGAAGAGATGCTATTTTTGGTGGATGGCAAAGGCATGATGAGGTTAGTTTCACACACGCTGTCCTTTGGTTCTCCATGGGACAACTGAGTGGATGCAAAATGTCTTTATATATTACAGAGTGCATATTGACTTTACAATTTATTTCTTTTCCTCCTGGACAGCCACTACCAAGCACATATAATATGCCTTGAATATCTACCAAAATAAAAATAACCAACCACAATAATTTACTTCTTATCTTATAGTCATTGGCCTTCCTTCTGGTCCTGTTTGAGACTTAAAAAAAAATCACTGTATAAGGTAAAAACCACATGTCTTTACCCATTGTCTGTTTTCACACTGATATCCGGAGAGTCTTATCCCACAACACCCTCAGATGCTATCTAACGTTTCCTAAAATGATGATGTCCTTAGCTAGTTTACTTCAGACAGAAGCAAATTCACAGCAATCCGATTCTTACGGAAACCACTAGATTTTTTTAAAAAAGAAAATAGCTGGCAAGAATCTGGCTTCTCTGTAGTTTCTCCAAGCAGTAACCTTCTGTCATGACAAACTGTACCCACTTGCTAGAAACTCGGCAACTTGGTTTTCCCGTTCTGCGTGGCTCCCAGATGGCCACCAGCTGGCCGGAGCTATTTCCTGCATTCTAATCCCTTTCTGCATCCTCCTGGTTCTCTTTTTGATCTCCCACGTCTGTCCCCTCCTCCTTCTAACACCCACCATACTATATCCCTCTTTGGAAGCACCTATTTTCTAAGAAAATCTTGAGGAATTTTTTGGAGGCATTACGTCTTTTTTGTTTTGAAACTTTTGGATTGTAAGGAAAACCAGCTGCAGAGCTAGCCAGAGGCCCCAGCTCTGCTCCATCAGCAGAAGGACAGCTGTCTTTGAGGGCGGGACGAGGACCCCCACCTCGCAGGGGTCATGGCAGACTGCTTTGTGACAAGGCCGTTGGGGGACAAATGGACCTGACGTTCTCCAGAAACCAGGCTTCAGTCTTTGAGCTGCACTCCTCTTCCTTCAAAATCGTGGCAAGGAGACGCCTATTCCCCCGGTGTACTCATGGACCAGCGAGAGCCACTGACAGATGCATCACTGGATCCTAACTAAACACTTTGTTCCATCTCCCTGTGACCAGAGTATTGTACCACAATCCCAGTTGTTTGCAATAAATGGCTTGTCTTGATTTTCCAGATTATAGCTAGAAGATTGCCTCAAACGATGAATTGTAGAATGGAGCAGGATGTCTGTGTGTCTGCGTCTTCACCCGGGTTTTTCAGGCCAGTGAGTGTCGGGTCTGCGTCTTGGAGGAAAGGGCTTTGGTGGGGTCTCCATTAAGACTTCTGTACAGGGAGGGTTTCTGTAGAGGAGCATGTCTGACTGGGTGGTGGTAGGAGATTCCCAGGTGAGGGGTGGAGGCTACTGGTATGCCAGGCTAGCGTCAATGCCTGTGTGTGCATAGGGGTCTGTGTGGGTGACTGTGTGTGTGTGCACAGGGGGTCTATGTATGTATGTGCACAGGGGGTCTATGTGTATGTGTGCACACGTGGGGTCTGTGTGGGTGATTGTGTGTGTATGCACAGGGTGTGTGTGTGGGTGACTGTGTGTGTACATGGGTGTGTGTGTGCACAGGGGGTCTGTGTGGGTGACTGTATGTGTGCACAGGAAATCTGTGTGGGCAAGTGTGTGTGTGCACGGGGGATCTGTGTGGGTGACTGTGTGTGACTGTGTGTGTGCACAGGGGGTCTGTGTGGGTGTGTGTGCGCACAGGGGGTCTGTGTGTGTGTGTGCGCACAGGGGGGTCTGTGTGGATGACTGTGTATGCGCACAGGGGGTCTGTGTGTGTGTACACAATGGTTCTGTGTGGGTGACTGTGTGTGTGCACAGGGGGTCTGTGTGGGTGACTATGTGTGTAGGGGGGTCTGTGTGTGTGTGTGCACCGTGGGTCTGTGTGGGTGACTGTGTGCACAGGGGGTCTGTGTGGGTGACTATGTGTGTAGGGGGGTCTGTGTGTGTGCACAGGGGGTCTGTGTGGGTGACTGTGTATGTGTGTAGGGGGGTCTGTGTGTGTGCTTGCACAGGGGGTCTGTGTGGGTAACCGTGTATGTGTGTAGGGGGGTCTGTGTGTGTGCATGCACAGGGGTCTGTGTGGGTGATTATGTGCATGTGTGCACAGTGGGTCAGTGTGGGTGACTGTGTGTGCGCGCACAGGGGGTCTGTGCGTGTGCACAGGGATTTGTGTGGGGGACTGTGTGTGTGCACAGATCTGTGTGGGTGATGATGCGTGTGTGCACAGGGGGTCTCTGTGTGTGTGCACAGGGGATCTGTGTGTGTGTGTGCACGGGGCTCTGTGCGTGTTTGTGCACACAGGGGGTCTCTGTGTGTGTATGCACAGGGTGTGTATGTGGGTGACTGTGTGTGTACACGAGTGTGTGTGCCCAGGTCTGTGTGGGTGACTCTGTGTGTGTGTGCACAGAGAATCTCTGTGGGCAAGTGTGTGTGCACAGGGGGTCTGAGTAGGTGACTGTGTGTGTGTATGGGGGTCTGTGTGTGTATGCATGTGCACAGGGGGTCTGTGTGTGTGATGGTGTATGGGGGTCTGTGCGTGTGCGTGCACAGGGGGTCTGTGTGAGTGACTATGTGCATGTGTGCACAGTGGATCTGTGTGGGTGATTGTGTGTGTGCACAAGGGACCTTTATGGATGACTGCATGTGTGTGCACGGGGGTCTATGTGGATGATTGTGTGTGTGTGCACAAGGAAACTGTGTGGGTGACTGTGTGTGTGTGTGCACAAGGAACCTTTGTGGGTGACTGTGTGTCTGCACAGGGGTCTGTGTGGGTGTCTATGTGTGTGCATGGGGGTCTGTGTGGGTGACTGTGTGTGTGCATGGGGGTCTGTGTGTGTGCGTGCACAGGGGATCTGTGTGGGTGACTGTGTATGTGTGTAGGGGGGTCTGTGTGTGTGTGCATGCACAGGGGGTCTGTGTGGGTGACTGTGTATGTGTGTAGGGGGGTCTGTGTGTGTTGTGCACAGGGGGTCTGTGTGGGTGACTGTGTATGAGTGTAGGGGGTCTGTGTGTGTGTGTGCATGGGGGTCTGTGTGCGTGACTGTGTGTAGGGGGTCTGTGTGTGTGTGTGCACAGGGGGTCTGTGTGGGTGACTTTGTATGTGTGTATGGGGGGTCTGTGTGTGTGTGTGTACAGGGGGTCTGTGTGGGTGACTGTGTATGTGTGTGGGGGGTCTGTGTGTGTGCGTGCACGGGGGTCTGTGTGGGTGATTATGTGCATGTGTGCACAGTGGGTCGGTGTGGGTGACTGTGTGTGCGCACAGGGGGTCTGTGAGTGTGTGTGCATGTGCACAGTGGATCTATTTGGTTGGCTGTGTGTATGTGCCCAGGGGATCTGTATAGGTGACTCCGTGTGTGCACATGGGGTCTGAGTTTGTGTGCAGGTGCATATTTGTGTACCTGGCACTGTGAGGGTATGTGGGGTGTGGTGGAGGCGTGTGGGTTGCTTTGGAGGGGTATCTGTTTTGTGGTGGGTTTTGTGGAGTGACGTGAGGAGATGAGCTGGGGCAAGTGACACAAGAGGATCTGTGGAGGATGTGTTGAGGTGTCTGCCAGGGTGTTAGGTGTACTTTGAGATATTTTGGGGTATGTTTGGGGTACCTGTGAAGGTGTCTGTGTGGGTGTCAGTGGGGATCTTGTGGATGTCTGTGGTGGTGTGTGTGGTTTGTGAGTTGTGTTGGTGAGGGTGATTGTGGGGCATCTGTTGGGTGTCTTTGAAGTGAGTCTAGAGTTTCTATAAAGTGGGTGTGCAGATATTCATGGGATGCCTGTGGGGCATCTGTGAGGGTCTATGCATTTGGGTTTGGGGATTTTTTGTGGGGTGTTTCTGGTTGTCTGTGGGTCTGCCCTGTGGACAAGTGCCTGGGAAGGTGGTCTGTGTACCTGGGAAATGACTTCTGTGGCTTTTCTGTGTGCTCTGCCTGTGGGTAGCTGTGTCTGTGAACTTAGCTCTATGAAAGCAAGAAGCCTATGAGAATTCCGCCAGGGGCAAGCCTGGCCTTGGCGCTTCACTGTCTTAGCGTGTGTCTGGCCCTCCCATTCCTGGCCAAGGCCCACAGCCACCACAGATGACCTGCTGATGCCTCTGCTGAAATCCGTGGCCACTGGCCAACAGCTTGACAAGAGTGTCAGCTCCCTCCCGAGACGAAATCAGAGGTGAGTCACTCCTGATCCCAGCCTGTATGGTCACTTGTTGTGTGGCTCTCACACCAATTCCCAGGGCACCTGCAAACATCCCCGTGGATGCCCCAGCCTGTAAAACCATGCACCTGTCACCTTCAGAACAAATGTGTTGGGGCTGAGAAGGGAGTGCGTCACACCTTTTCCTGACATCTTCCAGATGATGTAAAAGAGCAAGAGGCATTTGAATTTCAATCCGCTGTTCTCCAAAGGGACTCATTCCCTCCCTTTAAGGGAAATGAGACGTTTCAAAAATCACACTTTAAATTTTACCCAGAAACTTAAAATAAACCAAAGATCGTTCTATTTAGAAGAATCCCGGGTCTCCTCATCCACAGACCATAGTGGGTGAATCGGTATTTATATTTATATTCGATGTGCAGCGTTGGCCCTCGGTATGAACAATTAGATCCTTTCAGCATCTCCAGGAGGCAGCTTGCGTTGTTCCCAGGGAAGCTGAAGCTGAAGGAGGTCACACTCCTGCCCAGGCTCCACATGGGCCTGCATCCCAGAGCAGCCTTATCCACATGGGGTGCTCCCAGGCCCCTCCATTCAGGGGTTCTCTAAGGCCTTCGGGGTTTTCTCTCAGCTAGCTCATTCCAGGGGTGCACACAGAGTCCCAAGCAAAAGCAGGAGCTGGCAAGGAGGCTGGCAAGTGAGCTTCTCGTGATCCTGAGCAGTACAGCTGCACTTGCCTTGAGGGCAGCGAGATGCTATTTTAAGCCGCCCTTGAACTGCCATCACAAAGTGATTTTAGCCAGTCTTGCCTTTTTGTTTGAAAAAGGTATTATTTTGCTAACTTCAAAGCCAAAATCCAAGGATGTTTATTCCTTACCCTTTCCTATTCATTTCAGGAAAACGCCTCTAGTTTCTAAGAAGCACACAGGGAGCCACTTCTTTACCGCTAGCTCCTGCAGGATCTGTGGGATCCTGCAGGTGCTGGTTTGCCTCCTGAGCCCTGTCCTAAGGACACTCTGCACATCGCCTCCTGGTGAGTGAGCTGGGGGACTTCTTCTGGATACATCTGAATCACTTCATTCGCACCTCAAGGCTCTCTGGGAGGAAAGCTGGTGCAGGAACTAGTGTCTTAGGATTATGAGGGAGGACGTGGAGGCAGAGGTGAGGACGGAGCTAAAGCCAAGCTGCAGGGAGCCTTTGGGCAGGAAGCGGAGCTTCGGGGTCCTAGGCATGTCCTCTCACTCTCTCTCATTGCCCCTAGCAATGAAGAGGTGCGTGTCTCCGAGATACGAGGTGCTCTTCTCTCTAGCAATGTAAGATCTGTTGAAAAGATGAGACATATCTACAAAACCTGACCATGAGTGGGTGACTGAGAAAGGCCTTGGGAGGTGCCGAGAAGGAGCATTACAGAAGGAGGCTGTGTCCTGTGATCAGGGAGATTTTTTGAAAGCAAGGGGATTAGATCTGAGCACCAAAGATGGGAGAGGAATTTGAAAAGCTGGGATGGAGGGAAGCACACATTCTCGTTGCAAAGTTTGTAAGACAAGATGCTGAGGAAGGTAAGCACACGCAGGCTCTGAAGAGAGCCCACTCCACCGCCCATGAGGAGGCAGATTCGGCAGGCTGGGCTGTGGCAGAGAGGAGTGGAAAGAAGGTAGGGGCCGGGTGCGGTGGCTCATGCCTATAATCACAGCACTTTGGGAGCCCAAGCCAGGAGGATTGTTTGAGGCTAGGAGTTTGAGACCAGCCTGTGCAACATAGTGAGACCCTGTCTCTACCAAAAAAAAAAAAAAAAAAAAAAAAGTAATTAGCCAGGAACAGTGTCATTTACCTGTAGTCCCAGCTACTCGAGAAGCTGAGCCCAGGAGTTCAAAGCTATAGTGAGTTATGATGGTGCCACTGCACTCCACATTCCAGTCTGGGTGAGAGAGCTAGATCCTGTCTGAAAAAAAAAAAAAGGAGAAAGAAATAAAACAAAAGGGAGAGGCAACAGGAAAAGAGAATAAGAGAATTCTCTGATGACAAAGGGGTTTTCACATCATCAGCAAAAATTCCCAGGGGACATATATTGTATTGTTTCCTTGATACTTTATTTTTTAGGTTATGTGGCAAAGACTGGCAAATTATTTATCAAACCCATTTCCCTTTCTGTGCTGTTCAACTTCCCCAGCTTCTGTGGCAATTATGGTGGCCATGTGACTGACTTCTGGAGTATGAGCAGAAGTGACACACAGCACTGAAGGCATAGCACATAAAATCACCCTGAATGACCACCCACTCCATCTCTTCCCCAGAATGCTGCCCGCTGCAGAGGACCCAAAGCCCTAGGGGGGAGCCTGGGTCCCCGAGTCACCCACCAAATGCATGCAAGGAGCTGTTACATAAGCAGAAAGTGAATTTCTATTGTGAGAAGCCACTAAACTTGGGAGTTATTCATTATAGCAGTTTGCCTGCCCTGACTAATACAGACTGATTCATACTAATATGTTATATCTGATTCTCTTAACATTTTATGTTTAGCTGAAATGTTCATCCTGACATTTGCTATGACTAGTTTAGGTTTCATTCCTCTATCCCCTGAACCAGGCAGAATGCTCTGTTGCACTAAATGCACCAACTCTGGAGGTCCACAATGGTATTGCACCATGAGAGAAGAATATCGGAGCAAAGCTGGGAAATGGACACACCAGGGGGAGCGAATGTAATGTTACAATCCGAGAAAATTAGAAAGGAGAAGAAAAAGCAAATCCCAATCCTAAACCATCTTGAGAACATTTGCTAGTTTATTCCTTTACCCCATGGCAACAGTTACATAAAGTGATTATGTCCTTGCTTTAAAAAAGTGCTATTCCTCTTCTTTCAAAATTATATTTAAACTTCAATATTTACCTTAATAGTTCACTTACAGATGGCAGAAGCAGAACGGTCACACATCCCTGCAACACAATTTAAAAAACAAAAGAAAAATAAATTTCTTGCAGAAGTAAAAACACAACATATTCCATTTATTTCCCACACACTAAAATCTTGTCCTCTCTCAGTAGAAACAACAAGCAATATTTTTCTGTGTAAAAGGGAGTGGAGAGTTTTCCAGTCTTCTCTGTTTCTCCCCAGACAGATGGGCTTTCACATTCAAGAGACACTGGAGCTGCCATAACCTTGAGTGGACATGAGCTTGGCCAGATTGCACTGTCCAAATGCCAGGACCCAGGGCCCCGGGGAGGTCTCTGGTGCATGCGGCAGTGCTCTTGGAGGATCTTGATCACTCCAGCGCATTCCTTGCAGCAATCTGCACTTGGAACAGCGTTTGATATGGAAGGAAACACTAGTATAATATCAAGTTGTGTATAATTGCAAAACTTGCTGTCTCGGATGTGAAATAAATTCGGCTAATTTGTTGGTAGGAGCTATCATAGTATTTTTTTGGTATCAATGTCACTGGAGACTATATCCCTGAATAAGTGCCAGGCACTGGCTCTGAACTAACTAAATGCTTTGCATGTGTTATTTCATTAAATCCTCACAATAATCCTGTGGAGTCAGTAATTTTATGATTTCCATTTTACAGGTGAGGAGACTGAGGCAGAAAGAGGTTGAATGATGTGCCCAAGGGAACAGAAGTCATGAGTAGCAGAGCTAGGCTTGCTAAACCTCGTGTGGTCTTCAAGCTCAGGTCCATCAGCACTGGAACAAGCTATGGTGTTAGTTGAGTTCACAGTAGGTCATGTCATTTTCCTGCCAAATTATCGCAGTCTGGGTACAAATAAAATCTCAGCCTGCTGCTTTTTTTTTTTTTAACCTCAGTATGACATACACCAAAAATTCTGTGTCAAGTGTGTCTTATACAAGATTTTTCCAGTGCATAATCTATTAATGGGAATTGCATCAGCATCATTGGGTTCTGTCACTTTTTCATGCCATTATAGCACCATTTAGAAGCTCATTTAATTTCACAAAGTCAGCATATACTGTTCCCTTCCCTCCATGTCTCTCTTCCTTAGCTAACGTGTCATTTTCTCACTCCACACTCCCTCATTAGAGCCCGGCAATCTGACTTCTCTCCCTGATCCTCCACTGACATTTTTCTCACCACTAGTTCCATTTCTAATAAATCGCATGGGGTTTTCTCAGTCTCTCTTCTTCCTCGAGCTCCCTGGATGTTCAGCTGCTAATCACCTCTTCCCTCCAGACATCCCTTCTCCCTTGGCTTCTGCTGGCTCCTTTCCTCTCTGTTACCCCAACACTTCCTCCCTCCAGTGCTCTTCGAGTCTTACTGCTGAGCAGTCTTCCCTAAGCCAATGATATTCATGACTACATCTCTTCCTGAATCCCAAACCGAGACTTGCAGCTTCCAACAGGACCCTTGCACTTGGGGGACCTTGGCTGTTCTAAAGCCATCTCACTCTCAACATACACAGCATCAAACCTTAGGCCTTAGCTTGGCCTGCCAGGAAGCTGAGCAGCTCCATTTGCTTGCAGCGCCCTCCATTGTCTTGGTATGCTGGCACTGGGATCTTATGCTTGGAGCTCGATAAGAATGATTGGAATGTATCTAGCCTAGTGTCTGGCATGGAAAAGGTGCTCTGTAAAACCATTTCCTCTTTCCTTTTCCTTCTCTCTCCTGCCCAGTGTTCATGGAGTCACCAGGTCTGTTGAGCATGGAAGGAAATGCCAGCTTTATTCCATTCCATCCACCCCACTGCCACTCCACTGACCCCTCATCCGTCAGCCTGGAATAGTATCTAGCCTTTGAGCCCATCTCCCAGCCCACATTTCTCCAGGGAACCACCCTGTTCACTGACACCAGGTAAATCTTTCCAACCCATGGCTATCACTCAGCTTGACTTTCAAAGCCTTCCATGCATGGGGCCTGTCATTCATTCAACATTTCCACCCCCCCACACAAAAATGAGAGCTCTTTCCTTTAGTCCACCCAGTGGCCCCACCTCTTCTCTGCCTGCCATCTCTGTGTCTTGCTCACATTGTTCCATTTATCAGATACACTTTCCCTCCCCAGACTTTGCTTCTTCAGGATCAAGCTGACCCATAAAGATGGTCTTATGTACTCAGTCCAAAATGTTCTTTATTTCCTCTGAATTCCTCTAGCATTTACAGTCAAGATCCCACACCCTCTGACTACCACTAATAGAATACACTGGGTTCTTACTGTTGTAAAGACTGATTCAATCACTCCTGAAAATAACTTGGAGAGAGATATGTCCACCTGTTCTTGCCAGTGAGGAAACTGAGGCTCACAAGGTGAACACCCCAGAATTGCATCTGGGATTTGGTTCCAAAGACCACATCCTCACTCCTCACTGTGCTAGATTCTCCTGTATTTGTTTCTTTTCGTCTCCTGATAGGATTTAATGGCACAGATCATTTATTGTGCTATTTTGTTGCTTTTCCAATGGGCCTAGCTAAGGACTGAGAACATGATATTCCTTTGATAAACACTCACTGATTTTGGCTTCTGACTTCCAGACTTAATAATGTTGTGACCCCCAAAAGAGGCAGGCAATTTATGTAAGCAGTGGTCACCAAAATTATTTGCCCTGATAAATAACATAACAATCAGCACCAGGCCAAAGTGACCAGTGATATCCAGATGACAAACTGCTTAACCTCGGCTGTCTCCTTCCTTTTCCTCCTTAAAAATAAGAAAACCAAGGTAAAATGCCTAAGAGCTCATTGCTATTCTGAAATCATTTTGCTTCCAACTCTTATTTAAATCATCTCAGGGGTTTTGTTGACATTATCTGCCAAAGATTGTAATTCATCTTTCCAAAAAGGAGAGAAGCATCAACCCATCAAACAATGCCCTTCCTTCTACAGAGAGCTGAGGTCTGAGTTTCCCTCCCGACTGCTGGGGCAAGTGCTCGCTACCAGGCCAGCTGCTTGCGCAGGGCCCCTGGATGCATTTCTAAAGGGTCATATTTACAGTGTCGGATGGCTGGGCACTGTGGAGCTTAATGGGATTCTTAATAAAGGCAGCCTTCATTAAGACGGGAGTACAGGCAAGGTGCCCTTGCGTTTGAGGAAAGGACGACCCAGTGCAAGACGGATGCTCCCCCTTGGCTTGGAAATCACGCGGGTCAAGTGCCTTGTCATGCATTAACAGCCTTTTAAGTTCCTAGGCAGATTAAGAGGAGCGGTGCAGATAAATGAAAGAAGAGGAATCATGTGATCTGTCTTGGTAGCATAAACATTGAGACACAGCAGCTGCATTTAAACACAGCAATTTGCTAAACGAGTGGTTGGCGACTTTCCAGATGGCCAATGTGACACAGGGCTTGGATGAATCCTTTATTCAATCATGCATCTGTCTAGACAGAGACATTGAAGGCCAGGTTATAGCCACTGCAGGAGTGGCAGCAGCAGCAGCAGCAGCTTTGAAAGCCTTATATAAAACATGCTCGGTATTGCCCGTGAGGCAGCTTGGCCACAGATCAGCTGGAGAGGGTGCGGCGGCATGGTGTGCGTGGAGCCTCCAGGAAAGCCGTCTTCTCAGCTGAATGACGGCCAGCTTGGAACAGGGGCTCTTTCTCTGCCCGTCTTCCTACTGTGTCACTTCACACACCTACCCGAAGAGATGGGGGTGGGTGATCTTAGGGGAATAAGGCAGCAGTATCAGTGTGGAAAGCAGCAATACTGGTTGTGTTCTATGTCCCTTTTTTAAAAATGCGCACATTAAAGTCATTTCAAATGTGTTTTATCTTGAATTTCTAGTTGATTTAAAAATTCCCCAAGTAGATAAAAATGGATGCTTAGCTTTCAGCCATGACCCTACTTTGCCTTCCCTTTTCCCTACTCCTAGCATTCAGTTCAGTCTTGGATTGAGGACTTTGCTAGAGATGATATCCTGAAGTTAGTGGCTGTAGAGGCTAGGGCGTAGACAAGATGACCACTCAGCCCCAGTTCAACTGACTGATTTAAACCAAGTCAGGTAAACTGGAGGCACCCGATGGGCCTTTGGCGTGACTGATAAAAACAGGCAGCCAGAGGGCTTCCCTGGGCTGCAATGGGGACTTACGGGAAATGCAGCTCTACTGATTGGTTTCCCTCTGGTAAGTTGTATCTCCAAGCCTATTTTATTTTTATTCTTTTATTAAGAAGTTTCCATGGGCAAGGGTTTCACTGTGTTCAACAGCCATTCGAGTGTTGTTACCGGAACGTTCTAAGCGTTTAGTAAGCAGCTCTGCCCCACCCCACCCCTGGAACCCTCAGGGCCAGCCACGATTCTTCGCCCTCCACACGGAGCAGCAGCTTCCGTTTACTTCTGACTCACAAGGAGCACTTTAACCTGATGAATCACCAGCAGCACTTCCTGTGACATTCTGGGGAAAACTACAGTTTGCTTAGGAAGGACTCTGAAGCACTTCACTTGCTGTGGTGTTTGATCTGCAATGGGGTGGAAAAATTTCAGTTCTGCTCTGTGTGGACACACCAAAGCCTTCTCACCAACTCTTGGAAGTTTCCTATCATCAGGGCTAGGTCTACTCCATAGTCAGCCTGAAATGAATGGATTAAATGAACAAGGCTGTCCCCGGGAGGATACAGCATATCCCCCTCACTGATCTCACCCAGGATGCCATTCCTTTTGTAACTGTTCTGGGCTTAGTTTACTCATCTGAACCACAAAGCACAGATAATTACCTAAGGGATGATGTTCTCAATTCTCCCAAAGGTGGTACCTCACCAGCGCCATTCTTCAGGTATAGGTAAGAAACAAATCCATACATACAAGAAATGCTTTAGGGTGTGGTCGGCCTAGACCTTATCAATGGAGGGCTTTGATAGTAAGAGTCCAGGCAAGGGTAAGGGAGTTGCCCTACTACCTAAGTTATGCCACAAGGTGAGAACAATGAGCTCTGGAACAGTTCCAAATTCGTTCAAGTCCTGGCAATGAGAAAACAGAAAGGGTAGAAAAGTCAGTGTTTTAACCTTCTACAGAAACAGTTCTCTTAGTATGTCAAATGTAATGCAGGTGAATATTATCGAAAGATCTTCAACTGCATGATCTAGGGCCAGGTATTACAAATCTAAAGCTGACCCAAGGACAGTCACGCACCAAAACAGCCTTTGTGGCATGTGGTGACAAACCAAGTTCCCCTGGCTGTTGTCAGCGTATTGCAGAGGTGGCTTTCCTTATGCTGAGTATGACTGGGCCCCTGATTGCCAGGATACATGGCAATTAAGAAGCATGCAAATTGTGAAAACCTTGAAAACCAAAAGGTGATTAGGTGACAGATTAGGTGATAAGGCAGGCAGTCAGTGCTTCTGCTTTATAAATAAACTCGTTTTTTCTCTTACACAAAACCTGAGGCTATGCTAGATGCCAACATGAGCTCTTTAATGCGACGTTCACGTTAAGCATTTTTATAACCTAATGAAAATTTGATTTTTAAAATGAGCATCAAATGAGGCCTGAAATACTGTTTGAAAATGTCACGACTTTTTAACATTTAAATATAGCTTTACACAGAGTCACCCTTGATTGACATTTTATTCCATTTCAGGGCTGTTAATTAAGAACCGTAGACACTAGCAACAAAGATTAAAGCAGCAGAGGCCGAAAACTTACTGAAATAAAATGCAGCTCTGATTTGCTCAGAGCCCACATCAAAGCGGAAGCACGGATCCTGGCTCATGCACATCTGGTCCACTAGGGGGCAGTGAATGATCGCGCCTCCAGCGGGAGGGCTTGTTCTACATCCACCTGAAGTGTGCAGGCCTTTCACACAAGTGAGATGCGCTGCCGCCAAGGCAGGTGTAGGGACTAGCCAGTTATTGCTACTAGCATAATATGCCAGAAGGATGAAGTGAAATTATCGTTTGAAAAACTGAACAATGAAAAAAGTTCATTTTTACCAATAAATTTGCATGGTAAGGAACAGGTGGTACCGCTGTACCTGCCCGGGTCCTGTTCCCTGGCTCCTGGTGGAGGGCAGTGACCAGGCTGGGCTGCACCCAGAAGGGCAGCCACGGAGAGGGGTAGAGCCAGGGAGCCCCGTTTACGCAGTTGCTGGGGCTAGCAACCACCGGGCACGAGTGACCAAGGCGGGCTTCCCCTACTCATCCTGTCCCTGTGCCGGGGTCCATTTGGGGGAGTCCCAGGCCTGGAAGCCGAACAGCACACATCCAGGGGCACCATCCGAGCCGTAGGCTGTGTGGATGCCCCCTGGAGCCGGGCAGTTCCCAGATCATCCCCGCTCCCACCACGTGGGGGCCCTGTAGAGAGAAAGGCAACACCGGAGCAAAATTAGGAATTGGGGCCAGCTGGATTTCAATGTCTGCGTGTTCCCTTCTCATTCTTCTATCCCCTCCTTGATTCAAGAATCTGGTGCCCTCCTGTCTTTGTCCAGTCCAAACCTGTTCTTCTAGGATATCCAGTCATTCACCTTCCACTGTGTTTCCTTCACCACCTCCCAAGGGAATTTGCATTTAAGCCTATTTATTTATTTTTTGAGACAAGGTCTCCCTCTGTCACCCAGGCTGGAGTGCATTGGAGCAATCATAGCTCACCGCAGCCTCAAACTCCTGGGCTTAAGCGATCCTCCCACCTCAGTCTTCTGAGTAGCTAGTATTACAGGCGCATGCCACCATGCCTGGCTAATTTTCTATTTTTTATTTTTTGTAGAGGCGGAGTCTTGCTAGGTTGCCCAGGCTGGTCTTGAACTCCTGGCCTCAAGCAATCCTCCTACCTCAGCCTCCCAAAACTCTGTGTTTACAGGCATGAGCCACCTTGATCGGCAAGACTTATTTCTAATTCTGAAGCAAAATACAGAGAAAAGGTTTCTCCCTCCTGGCCCTGATTAACAAGAATCTCCCCTGAAAATGGGAAGGAAACCAGATGTGCCATTTCCCCCAGCACTCTGACTTCAGTGATTTTAGAGTGACTTCTGTGTTCCCAGACCCATTTCTTCACATAGTCACCTGGAACATCTCTTTGTTTCCTCGAGAGTCAGTGAAGCCTCGTGGGCAGGTGCAGAGGCTATGCAGATCTGCTTGGGTTCAAATCCCAGCTCTGCCACCTCCTAGGGGCATAGAACCTTGGGCCAACTGCATAGCTGCTATGAGCCTCCATTTCCCCATTGTCACAAATGGCATGGTCATAACCACCTCGTGGGGATGTCATGAGGACTGAACGGAAAGCACTGAAAAGAGCAGAAGGCAGACAAACCAGCACTCGCACCTGCTCCCTCGGCATGGCTTGCTCACCAACGCCGCATTTCCTTTTCCGCTTCTCTCTTCGTTTTGCCTCCGCTTGAGACACAGATGCTCCTGTCCTCGTCCCTCCCCCTCACTTCTCCCTGAAAGGATGGCAGATGGTCTTCTGGCCCCTGACTCAGCGCCTTCCACTCTCCTTCCACCCTCCACACCTACCTGGCCATTGCTGTAGAGAATCAGGTACTTGTCAGGATCCACAGAACTAAAGCAAAGAATGCAAAAGCAAAACCTCATCTTCAGACATTAAGAATGACAGACTCGTTGTGGTGTGTGTGTGTGTGTGGTGTGTGTGTGTGTATGTGTGGTGTGGTGTGTGTGTGTGTGTGGTGGGGAATCCGACACATGTCCTCTGTGTCAGGCCTGTGTTCTATTTGTAGAACAGTCTTGGAAATAGACACTTGCTTACTTCGCCTGGATCAGGAGTGATTTCAGATTCTCTTCATTTAATCGTCTACTTCCACTGTGCAGATTTATAATTAAAATAAGAAACTTATTTATAAAACCAGAGTGGGAGCCGAGAGATGGCTGCAAGGAGATGCTTCTGCTGTTGAGGCCTCTGTGCAGTAGGCTCTAAGTTACACTGGGTGGCCTGGAAGGAGTTGCAGGGACCTCCCAGACATAGCCACAGATCTCTCACATCAGAGGGAAGAGACAGGGCTATTGGCTCCCTAAACCCAGCATATGAGGTGGAGAGTGAGGACATTTCTCTCAGAGAGAGGCTGGGTTTGCATGAGGAATTTCTGTGACCCTTTGCTTTGGGTAGGCACTTTGAGTTTGGGTGCCACTGGCTGGTGCCAGGACCAGGGTAGGCAAGCAGCTCCCCTCAATGGAGGAAGTCTGAAGTATGGGTGGGGCTGGCAGGAGGGTGGAGACGACCGCAGGCGGAGGGGACAAGGAGGCCAGGAAAGAGAAGAAGGAGTGGGAGGAGTGGAGAATGAAATGGCAAGACACAAGTGGTGTGACCTTTCCCAGTGACCCCACAAACCTTCACTGATGTCTATGAAAATCACAAAATGATTTGTGATGGTGCAGTTGGACCTCTTGTCAAAAGCCAGTGAAGGGGCTGAATGGATGCAAGAGGTGGAGCCCGTGCCAAACTCTGGAAATTAACATTGCCGTGGTAAGGCTTTGACGTTGTGTGATGTTGTGTAGCTACATTAAATTTAACACGTAATCCGTCAGTTTATATGGGACTTATTTGTTGTGTTTTTATTTCCAAAGACAGAGGAATCTTCTAGAAATATTTCTTTCTTGTGTCAGTATGAGAAATCTGTATGTCTTTTAAGCACATGAGTTATTATTCTCTCACAGACACTCTGAAGCCTACATTGGATGTTGTTTCCTTCTTTTTTCTGGGGTTATGGGAGCTCAAAGGGAAATGTGTTGTTCATTTCTAAAAAGTGTTTAGGGTATTATGAAATATGTTTTCTTCATTGACTTCATCTTCATATATATGTGTGTGTGTTTATATAAATATATATATATATATATATATATAGGCTTCACCTCCATTCATAAATGTGTGTGTACATGTAATCTTTTATTTTATTCTATATAAACTGCTGGAAGTATTCCAAAATCCTTTTTTAGACAGTGTTGTTATTAATAAGCAACAACATAAATAAATACATTTTACCTGTCCTGGAAGTTCTGACACTTTAATCATTTGCTGTACAGAAATATTCCTCAAGTTTTGTTGTAGTCAAATCTGCCCTGACTTCTGGCTTTAGAGTTCTGCTTTTGCAAAGGACTTTCATCACTCATGTTGTTATGAAGATATTCTCCTGTATTTTCTCCTTCTATATAGTTATAAAATATTGAGATCTTTATTCTAGCTGGAATTTATTTTGATACATACTATGGTATAGGGACTTAACTGTTCCCTAAATAAATAACCAACAGTTATTTGTTAGACTGTTTCCTCCCTAATTTGAAATGTCAGTTTTGTCAAATATTTTTTTCAATGTAAACAGGTGTGTCACTGACCTGCTTGTCTCTTCTTTGCCCCAGTATTTCACTGCTTTTATTGACTGTAACTTAACAGCATGGTTTACTATCTATTGTTCAAGTCCTTCTTCAATTTAAAACAATTCTTTTAGACATAGGGTCTTGTTCTGTTGCACAGGCTGGAGTGCAGTGATGCCATCACAGCTCACTGCACCCTCGCACTCCTGGTCTTGAGCGATCCTCCCATCTCAGTCTCCAGAGTAGCTGGGACCACAGGCGCATGCCATCGCACACAGCTATTTTTTTATTATTATTATTTTTAGTGGAGATAGGGTCTCTCTATGTTGCCCACGCTGGTCTTGAACTCTTGGGCTCAAAGGATTCTCCCACCTCAGCTTCCCAAGGTGCTGGGATTACAGGTGTGAGCCACTGCACTCCATCTCTCTCTCATTCCTTTTCAACAGTTTCTTGGCCGTTATTGCATATTTACCTTTCCAGATGAACTTTAGAATCAACTTGTTAAGCTCCAAAGCAATCTCACAGAGATTTTGATGAAAATTTCATTGAATTTGGCATTTAATTTTGGGATATCTTCCCAATATCCAGTTTACTCATCCAGGAACATAGATACTTTCTATATATTTGGGCTTTCTCTCATGTCTTTAGAAAGGTTGTTATTAAGATTATTTCTGAGTGTATTTAATAATCTGCCAGTCAATTTCTTCTTCAAACAGAGAGGAAGTGGGAAAGATAGTAAAAAGTCAAGTTCCCTGAGGCCAAGAAGTTTCATCATGAAGCCATATTCATCTGCAAAGATTTGACAACCTTTTTCCCAGCAAAGACCAGTTCAGTCCACGTAGGATATAGAAATTATTAGCTAAGAAGGTCTGGACAGTTGAGTAGGTTACAAAAACAAACAAACAAATACGTGTTCTTCAAGAAGCAAAGATTTGAGGCTCTCTGACAAGCTATCGAAAAGACCTGTTAGGACCAAATTTTTTTCTCTGTATCTCACATTTTTACAGATTTTCAACAGAGAATTTAGCTCCTTGCACACCATTCTTCTCCTCAACACTACTCTGTTCATAATTCTTGGTGATTTTAAAAGCCATTGTAGATAATCCTTCCAGTTTACCGGTTTCTCATGTCTTTCACTTTATATCTCCCAATGGTCTTGTCTCCCACCCAACTGCAGCCACTCACTGCCATGGTCACACTTGTAGTTTTTGCCAATAGTGTAACGGGAACCCCTCCAGAATCTCCATTTCGAACATTCTACCTCCAATATTTCCTCCAATAATTCTACCTCCAATATCCTCCACACTCCATCTCCAGCACTGGAACTTTCAATCCCCTGGTCCTAACACATGCTTGCTATCCCTGGCTCTCTCCTGCCTTATTTTCCTTCTTACTTGGCTTAAACTCCATGGCCAATTATAACCACTTCCTCGTGTCCACCCTCAACTCCCTTGCTTTCTCTCCTTTTTTGCTCTCATTTGGCAAAACATCACCCCTGCTTAACTCTGACTTTCCACCTACCTCATGCCCGAATTCATGTGAAAATGTGGTCGGAGAAAAACCTCAGAACTGTGCTGAGTGGTATGACTTTAAATTCGTGACCACAAACCACAAATAGGTTCTCACTGTTTCCTGGCAGCCGTCTGTCCTCTCCCACTTTCCAAGACCATTTCACTTCCTCCTTTCTCTGCAAGTCTCCAACACCTGTTCCCCAGTTCCCATTCTCAGATGAGACCTTGCTTCCTAAGTCATCACAAAACCCAAGGCCCTCAAAAGAGAAGCTGCACCAGGCCCCACCACAGAGGCACACATGCCTGCACCTGGACCGCTGCTCAGCCTTCCCTGGGGTCCCTCCAGGTGAGCAGCCCTGCTCCTTCCTGAGGCCAGCCCTCCACTGTGCATGGGAGCACAGCCCTCTTGCCTACCCAAGAAATACCTGTTTGGCGTTTATCCCCTTACTCTCCTGCATCCTTGATTTTCCAGTTTTTACCAGATCTTCCCATCAGCACATAAGCATGCTGTATTCCTGCCACTGGGGAAAAGAGAAAGGCTGGGGGCGGTGGCTCATGCCTATAATGCCAGAACTTCAGGAGGCAGAGATGGAACAATCTCTTGAGCCCAGGAGTTTGAGACCAGCCTGGGCAACATAGCTAGACTGCATCTCAACAAAAACAACAAAAATAAGAAAATTAGCTGGGTGTTGTGGCACACACCTGTAGTCCCAGCTACTCCGGAGGTTGAGGTGGGAGGATCACTTGAGCCCAGTAGGTAGAGGCTGCAGTGAATCGTGATTATACCACTGCACTGCAGCCTGGGTGACAGTGAGACCCTGTCTCAATAAAGAAAGAAGAAAGAAAGAGAAAAAGAAAGAGAGAAAGGAAGGAAGGAAGGGAGGAAGGAAAGAAAAAAGAATTTGTCTTGACCTTGACCCCCTTCCCATCCAACTATCAGGGCATTTCTCTCTGTCTTTTTTTTTTTTTTTTCCTATGGCAAAGTCACTTGAGAAAGAGGTTCATGCTGCTGTCTCCTTTCTCCCTTCCCTCTGTTTTCTTGACAGTATTCTCAGCAAGCTTTGTCCCCGCCTTCTGCAAAAGCTGTCTTGCTGGTCAGCAGTGACATCCATGCTGCTAAAGCCAGTGGAAATGCTGGGCCTCATCTTCCTAGAAGCTGCACTTGACCATGGCCTCCCCAGGCTCTCGTGCCCGCGTTCAGCCCTCACCACCTACCTGTAAGCCGTTGGCGAATACATTCATTAGCACATGGCTTTCACTTCCTCCCTCCATGCTAACGGCTCCTACTGTCCCAGGTCACATGCGCTGACCATCCTGGATGTCTAATGCCCTTCCCTGGCCTTTCTTTCCTCATAGCACTCACCATGTCCTACCTTCCTGTGTGACCCTATGTTACGAGAATGGCTTGTTGTTTACGGCAGGTTCCACTGGGGCAGGGGTTCTTGTCTACTTTCTTTGTGAACATATCCCAAGTGCCCAGAACAGTGCTGGCCCCATCACAGGCTACGTGGATCTCTGTTGTTGATGTGTTTGCTCACTTCCAGGTTGGCCATGCAAGCTCCTTGCACACACCAGCTGCGTCCCACCTGTGTGCCTCTTGGACGTGCCTGGAAGCTCTGTAGTGCATCGCTGCTCTCCCCCAGTCCTACCTCGGTGCTGCCCAGAGAGCTCCGCCTGGTCCCCATTCACCTGCTATCTCGTTCCTCCCATGCCACATTTTTTCTCCTTAGCCCTCACTCTCTAGCATACCCCTGTTAGTTTTGTATAGTGCCTGTCTCTGCCCACTATAATGCGAGCTCTGTGAGCATAGGGTTTATCTGTTTCTTTCTTTGCCGTAGGCCCAGCACTAATAACAGGGTCTGTATCTGTTTGTGGAAGAGACTTGCTGAGAAAGCATGCTTTACAAAGTTCTGTGTGTTTACAGCTGTGTCCTGATCAGCTCCCAGGCCAGTACCTCATCATCGTGAGTCTGTTCTACATGAGAGTCCCGCACCGTCTGAATGCGCTGTGTCTGGCCTGGATGCTGCACCCTGATTCCTCAGGGTAACAGTCATTCACCTTTGGCTGCTCAGCCTCCAAGCCACACGCCATGGTCAGCCTCGGCCACTATCACAGCTGGTCCTGGAGGCTGCAGGGCTCCCTCTCTTGGACCCAGTACTCCCACTACTCCCTCCCCAACTGATATGGTTTGGCTGTGTCTCCATCCAAGTCTCATCTTAAATTGTAGTTCCCAAAAATTGCACGTGTTGTGGGAGGGAGTTGTGGGAGATAATTTAATCCTGGGGGGCGGTTTTCCCCATACTGTTCTCGTGTTAGTGAATAAGTCTCACCAGATGTGGTGATTTCATAAGTGGTCTCCCCTTTTGCTTGGTTTTCATTCTCTCTCGTCTGCGCCATGTAAGATGTGCCTTTGGCTTTCCACCATGATTTTGAGGCCTCCCCAGCCACGTGGAGCTGTGAGTTAATTAAATCTCTTTTTTTTAAATAAATTACCCAGTATCATGTATGTCTTTATTAGCGTGAGAACAGACTAATACACCAACTACACGCACACACTACTGTGGCCTCCTGGACTTCTGAGTCCCAGTCACCACTCAGCCAAGCTCAGGGCTGCAGCCTCACTCACTCATGGCCTTGCTCCCAGTTGGATGAATGTTGGTGCCTAGCACAATGTCTGGCACAGCTAGACACACGCCCAAATCCATTCATTCCTTCATTCTGCAAATATTTACGGAACCGACACTATAAGCCCAGCATTGCTGTAGGCCCTTGGGATATAAGAGATAAAGCCCTTACTATCACATTACTTATATTCTGATGAGGGGAGGCACATCATAAATAAATTACCAAATAAATAGATTGTGTGTCAGGTGATGGAGAGTGCCATGGAGATAAATAAAGCAGGGTGTGGGCTATAAGGAGCTCTGGGCCCGGGTGGGGTAGTGTGCAGAGTGTATCTGCATAGAGGTGGTGAGAAAAGGCCTCTTTGAGAAGGTGACATTCCAGTGAGCCATGCGGCAGGGACAGAGTGGTATGAAAAAAGCACAAGGGAGGAAGATTTTCCCCAGAATTAAAACAGAGCCCCCCTAGGCTGGGGAAAGGTTACCACTAGGAGAGGAGCCACACAGGACGAGGAGGAAGAGAGGGCAGTGGGTATCCAGTCTCAGCTTCCCAAAAGGGCTGCTGGGGGCAGTGAGTCCCCAAGGAGGAGTGACTGTGTGGGCTTGAGGCAGACAGTGCCAGGGGCAGCCTTGTGCAGAGTCTTGGCTCAGAGACAGCCATAGGGCCCAAAGTCCCTGTGTGGCTCGGGATGAAGATCAGATGGCTTCCACCATGGGATCCCAGAACCATTGTACAACATCGGTGAGGGAACCCCCGAAATGACTGATATTATGGTGGGTGGTGGGAACTCAAAATAAAAATGAACTTGAGTTTAGGAAAGTAAAGCAAATTCTATTTCTTGCATACCTAAAGTTAGGGACTGAGATTCACACTTGCTACATTACATTAAAATCAGGCACAACGTACAGCGGTTGCATCCCTGGTGTATCTTTTAGGAATCTTTGCCCCTGGGAACTGGCATATTTTTCTCACAACAAGACTGCTGAAAAATGGAAAGAGTTGCCTTCAGTGGAGATCTCTGCCCCACTGCTGCTCATCCCGAAAGGAGTCTCCGATCCTGCTTCAGAGTGCAAAGCCGCTGACTTCTCTAAGAGAGATAGACTCCGATGGCATGTCTGCCAAAAAAATCCCAGAAACACATCCATCCTGGGGAAGGGAGCCCAGAAATTATTCATATCACTCTGCAGCTCTGGCAGGAGACCAGATCCTGGGAATTAGAGGCATCTGAAACGTTCCAGTGTGCTGCAGCAACAGCAATACACTTCGGGGGTCAACGTCTAAAAAGACGGAGCTTTGCAAAGAGGCTATCTTTGATTTCTTTTTAAGATGCAAAGAGGCCCAGTTTAAAACTTATTATTTCCTTCTTTCTTCAGGAATTTCTCATCTCTAGCTAATCTGTGTATCGGAATATGGATGAAGGGAGCAAAGGACACCATCTCATTTGGGAGTCAGGGGAAGCAAAAGGAAGTTTTACCCGACTAGCTGCAGCTGGGTGATCCACGAGAGCATTTTGTCACATCTAATAACCTGACATTTTCCACAGAGCTTAGGACAGAGCTCCAGATGCAGGGCATGTTCGCATATGGACACTGGAAAGAACCAGGGAGCCAGGGAATTGGAGAGACCCAGCGATGTTTGGATTGGCTCCAGATTTTGTTTCTTTGAACTTTCCTCAATTTCAAAGCATTTATGATAAGTGAGTCCATTTCTGACAAATCTTGGTATTCTAAATTCTAATGATCTTACCATCTCCGTATTGGAACTGCTTTTGATTTTTTGGAAGAACCATTTTTTTTCTCTCTCTCTCTGAAATGCAGTAGGATAAAGCACAGAACAAATCTCTCGGTTTTCCCTTCAAAATGGAGACAATCATTGACTCTTGCTTATGAAAGGTGACGGACATAGGGATGGACGAACACTGTCTACAAGGGGCAAATTGGTAATTTTTTTAGGTATGAGAAAGGGAAGGACCAGTCAGATTATAAATCAATCTGAAGGGTCTCTAGTCATTGATGTTAGATTCTTCTCCTCCAGACATCAGCCTTCCAAATAAAGTAAATGGCCTCTCAATGCTCTCAACTCATAACCCAGCCAAGGAAAGAACGTAGGCCATTTTTACTTAGTGTGTGCTTGACTTGAACTCAATTGATTGTGCTAAGGCAGTGAAGGGCAGCTGAGATTCCTCACATTTGTTAGAAAGCTCATTTGGGGCATCATGGTGATTACCATATCCTGAGAGAGCCAGCAAATGTCTTCACATCAACTTGGATGAAAACCAGAAAACAATGGTGACACCATCCCTTTTGCACCTCAAGGAAGCTGGGAGGAAGTGCAGGTCATCCGTGTCCAGAAAGGCCTTAATGCACTGGGATAGAAGCAGGATTCCATCATGATCTGTTGAGGGTTGTTGAACAAAGCATAATCAGATCTTCCCAGAGTTTGTGGGCTTAGTTGCAAAGAGGAGAGACAGGAGGCAGTGAACTAATCAGCCAGGATGTGTGTAAAACGATGGGGATGCACACTGGGGCCGGGATTACAGAAATGAGGGGACAAAAGCCACAAGAGTAGGTCAGTGATCGGAAGTGGAAGTACGGGACAGGAGGCACCCACAGAGAATTCCAAGGTTCCCAAATTGAATAGTGAAATGGAAGCTGATCTAACACATGGAGCTAGAAAACACTGGAAAAACTGCAGGATTTGTGGGGAACACCGTTATGTTTTGGCATTCCACGTTGGAAAGGCCTGTAGGACATCCTTGTGGACATGCCCCTGGTGTTTAGAGGGCAGAAGGCAAGCAGGGGCCTTCAGTGGAGATCTCTGCTGCTGCTGCTCACGCTGGAAGGGGTCCCCCAGCCTGCCTCAGTGTGGAGCCATGGATGTCTCTAAAAGAGGTAGACTCCAGTGGCATCAAGAAGTGGGCTTAAATCAAGGCTGAAGCCATGAAAATGAAAGGCAATACTTAATACTGAGAGAATATGGTTCACGGGAAGGCCAAGGATGGCACCTGAGGCAGAGGAGGGGCAGCTCAAGCAGAACCAGTGCAAGGCACTGTTCCAAAAGGCAAGGCAAGACAAGTGGCATCTACCGCCTTTGATATAAAGAAGGCTCAAAAGAGGGGGAAGGACTTGCCTCTTAGGAGTCACTGTGAGAAGCAGGGGGTAGTAAAGCAGGGCAGGGGTGGTGTCTTGGCAGGTGGGGAAGGCCCCGGGCATGAATGTCGGGAGGCCCTGTTTGCAAGGTGAGGGCAGCTCCCACTCCAGCCTTTGCTCCAGCTGTTCCTCTCACTGGGCTACTCTCCCCAGGTATCCCCTTGGTCCCCTGGCTCACCCTCTTGCTTCCTTACGGTCTCAGTTCAAATGACACCTTCTCATTGACCTAGCCATCTCTGTTAATACTGCAGCCGACAACCCCGCCCTTTCCACTGACGCTCACACAAGTGCATCCTTGGGCTTACTTTTCCTTTTTGTTTGCTTTTGTCACTTTCTAACATACTATATAATGTATATCTTTATAGTAATTTAATTTACATCTTGATAATATTTTTATAACATACTATATAATTTATATCTATTAGGTTGGTGCAAAAGTAAAACCGCAATTACTTTTGTACCAACCTAATATAATTTTCAAAATATTTCTAACATACTATATAATTCATATCTTTATAATAATATATGACATTATGTAATAATATCTTTATATATTTAATATTCATTGTCGCTCTCCCTCTACTCAAACAATTCCTTCTTGAGAGCAGAACATCTTATTTCTTTTGTACATTGAAGGTTCCCCTGCACCCAGAAGAGCGTCTGGCTCTCAGTGGTCCCATACAGTATTTGTTGTGGAATGAATGTTGCTGACTATGATAGAAGACCGAGAGTGCTAATGTCTAGAATAGAGATATAAAGGAAGAACTCCAGAGGCCCAGAAGAGGAAGGAATTAATTCCAGATCAGAGGACTGGCAAAGGCTCCACGAAGACAGAGACATCTGAGTCAGATCTTGGGGACTGGTAGGATTTTCATAGTCAGAAGTGGATACTGCGTGGGCTGTGACCACGCTCCTGGCTGGGGAGCTGCTCGCCTGTGCGGGAAGAGGTGAGTGGCCCAGTGGGCTGTAACAGGAGCTCCTTGAGGAGCATGGTCGGGGGCAGAGTGCAGGCCGGAAGGGACCTCCATCCACAGTCACTGCTGCGGGCTTGGACATGCCTGGCAGACTTCAAAGTGGAGACAGTGAGAAGAGAGTTGGATATGAGCCTGGAACCTGGGAGAAAGATCTGCGCTAGAGATACAACCATGGGAACCACCTGCATACCGGTGGTTATCTGGAGATCACCAGAGGGCATGAGTGTAGATGGAGAAGAGAACCAGGATGGAAGCCAAGACGCTCGAAGGATAAGAGGTCAGGGAGAAGGAGAGGAACTAGCAAGGATCAGCTAGATCAAATGATGGTTCTCATGAGAGGAGCTCAGAGAACTGACAGCGGACCTTCAACATGGTGTTGTTGGAGGCCCTGGAAAGAACTGCCTGGCAGAGGGGGCAGGGGAGTGGCGGGAGTAGACAGGGGAGACGGCGTATGGATGATTCTGATCCTTTTAAGAAGTTGTGCTACAAGGAAACGGGACAATGGCTGGCTGAAAAAAGGGAGATAGAGAAGAATTTTGTTTGTTTAATAAGGGAAAAACAACAGCATTTTAATTAGCTAGTGGGAAGGAGGCAGTAGAGAGTGGAAAGGAGGGAAAGTGAAGGGAGATTTGCAAGAGGGCTCCCTTGAGTGGGCGGGAGACGCTGGGATCTGAGATCGAGTGGAGAGATTTGCTGTGGATGCAACGTGGAAAGGCCATCTGGTATAGCCAACCGGAGTCCGTGATCTGGGTGCTGGTAGGCACAGCGGGGGGTGGGGGTGGGGGGTGGGGGAGTGGAAGCCAGTGGACGTTCCTGCTGGATGGTTTTGATGTTCCCAATGAGGTGGGAAATGAGGCCAACAGCTTAGAGGAAGATGAAAGCAGGATTGTTGGGGATTTGGTAAGAAAGGAGGAAAAGCGGAACTATAGACTTGGCATGAGCACACTCAGGAGTGGTAGGTGACTGCCTGGGGGTCTCAAGGGCCCACTGAAGTTTAAAGCACCTCCGTTGCAGGCTTGCATGTGTACTCCAGCTGTACTCATGCCCTCTCTTTACTTCTCTAATCTCCACTCCTCACTCGGCCTTTGAACTCGGTGAGGTCTGGTGCGCACAGCATGCTGAATGAATGTTGGCTAAGTGGAACTGAGGTCTACAGCACTTCAGGAAGGGCCAACAAAAAGGCAAAGGCAGACAGCTGAGGACATCCCCAGGTAGGCCAAAGGGGAAGGGGTGGGGAGTAGTGTCGTTTTTGGGATCCTGTCCTCTCTCCTGGCCCTTCTCTGCTACTGTGGTGGGTATGGTGTTGGAGAGAGGATGAGGGGTAGAAGAAAAAATGGAAGGAATCTTAAAGCTCATCTCACCTAAACTGAACACAGCTCAATGGCCTCATGGGCCACCCAGACCTGGAGTGACCTCTGGCCCCTTGGCCCTCAGCCCTGCACCTCTAGCCAGTAACAAATCCAGCTGACCCAACCTCCTGAAAAGCTCCGGAATTGTTTCCTTCTCTACCCCAGCTGCTGTTTCAGCCTTTCGTGGTTCCTTCAGCATTTCTTATCTGGATCATAATAACAATTGTTACTATTTACTGAGCACTTACTGTATGCCAGTCACTAGCTAATGGGCTTTTATGTTTGTTCATTCATTGAGTCCTCAAAAGAAACCCCTCATTTTGCAGATGAGGAACCTCAGGCCCCTGAATGTCTGCAATACTCTCCCTATCAGTCTGTCTGTCTCCCGTCTAATCCATCCCCCAATCCCCACCAGCGTGAGCATCCTTAGACATCTATTTAGAATCTGCACAGTGTTTAGGCTGCAGAACAAAGTCCTTGGCAGGGGCATAGATGACTTTTCATTAGCAAACTCTGACTGTCTTTTCTGATCTCCTCATGTTTCTTTCCTTCAAAGGGGCCCTTTACTCCAAAATAAGTCAGCTTCTCCAAAGAATTCAATGCCTCCCAGCCCCCTTCCAGCCCTATGCCCGCTGCTACCCACCATGCTTATTTGGCTCCTATGAATTGAAATGTCCTTTCTGTCCCTCAGCCTGCCTCCCTATTGTCCTGTAGCCCCACCGTGACTGCCCTGGGAGGGCTTTGCTGACATCCCCCATCGCTCCCCCAGTCTGAAGTGGTGTGCCCCCTCTCTGGGTGCCCTCACACCCACTGCAAATCTCTACCCAGCTCCGAGTCCCCACATGCCAAGGTGGGTTGGCTTGTCTGCCTCCCTCAGGTGGACATCCTGAGAAAGCAGTGTTTTAAAAATCTATTTTAGAGCTCATTTCATAGCCAAGTAGGACTCAAGATACAAACATCCTTTTGACACAGAACAGAAGAGAAATGTGTCTAATTTAGAAGTGAAGCCAGTGTCTATTTGGTTTCTCACGCATATGTTTTTTAAGAAAATGCTCTAAAATTTTAAGTTTTTACTGCAACAAATCCTCTGGATTAGGTTGATGTCATGTCCCCTAGGAAAGTAAATATTTTTTTCTGTTGTTGTTAGTTTATTTTATATTCAAATAGGGCAATGTCTTGCCCTGGTTAGCAGACAAATTAGCAGTAGGTCAGGCTGGGATAAAAAATTACTTATTTTTTAATGTATTTATTTGTTATTCAAAAAGTAGTTGTTGAATGCCTTCTTATGATCCAAGAGCTCTATTAGGCAGGTACATTTATCACTTATCAAAAACACTCTTGCCTTTTTGTTTATTTTTTATCAAAAATTTTTAAGGCTGAGGCATGCCTTGGAGTCTGCAGCACTGTGAAAGCAACAAAATAGGAGTTGTATTGTATTTGAAATCATATATTAAAGGTAATGATAGAGTGAGCGCCACACGTGGTAATTAGTTTACAATGTGCTCCTACAAATGCACTCAGACACCATGATTAGTGCTCCCTGGAGCCTTCAGCCCATGAAACTAGCGATCATGGTTCTCACCAGAACTCGACTCTCCCAGGGTATTATGATAAATACCAAGTTGGTTCTAATATTACTCTAAGTGTTTAGGCCTGGGTGTGAGAAGGGATGGCGAGATGAAATGGAGATAAAACACAAAGCTTATGCTTTGGTTGCTTAGCCAGAAATAGGTAAGGAATGAGCCAGTCACCCTTCAGTGAGGTTTTAGGGTGACATAGGGACAACCCCCCCCCCACCAGCCCCTTCCTGCACATATATGTGCCCAGCCTGTGGGAGTTATAATGGGTTATAAGTGCTGTTTCAAACTGATTTTCTATTGGGTGTGTCTACAAGCTTAACAAGAAAGAAAGAGAAAGAAAGAGAAAAAAAGAAAGAAAGAGAAAAAAAAAGAAAGAAAGAGAAAGGAAGGAAGGAAAGAAACAGAGAGAGAGAGAAGTCTAGTCTCCACTTCACAGGAGCAGAGAAGCATCCTGAGCCTCACTCCTAGTTTCCTGGGACAGCCCTCTGACAGATGCCAGGCCGCAGATGCGGGGCTGTCAGAGAATGACATCATCAGCCGACAGTGCCATTGGCTGAGGAGGCTAGTGTGTAGACAGTACTATTGGCTCCATCCCAGACGAGGCCCTCGGGAAGCGAGGGTGGCGTGGTTGGAGTGCACCACCTAAGTCAGTAAACATGCAGTGTTGGGCCTGAATGCCTTGGCCTCCCCCAACAAATCCATGTGTTGAAGGCCTAAGACCCCGTGTGATGGTCTTTGGAGACATTGTCTTGGAGTTGATGAGGTCATGAGGAAGTGGCCCTCACAATAGGATTTGTGTTCTTATAGGAGACACCAAGGAGCACTTTCTCTTTTTCTCCTCCCTCTCTTTCCTCCTTTTCTCTCTCTGCCCTCACTCACTGAGGAAGGGCCACATGAGCACGCAGTGAGAAGGCAGCCATCTGCAAGCCAGGAAGAGTGCCCTTATTGGAAACAGAATGGGTGGGCACCTTGATCTCGAATGCCCAGTCTCCAGAACTGCGGGAAAACAAGTTTCTGTGGTTTAAGCTGCCCAGTCTATGGTGTCCTGCAGCTCCAGCAGACGAATACATTCACCAAAGTGTGCACATCTCGAGGTTAGGCATCCTGTGTGCTCAATGCACAGCAAAGGGCACACACACAGCTCCAAGCCCCAGGAGTCCAGGGGGCAGAATAGGGTCCTCATGACTGCCTGGGTCCACGGCATCCCTAGACTCTTATGAATTTGGAATGCTGTCCATCCAGCCTCGCCTGGTCAGGAGTCCATATAGTCGTGATGATAATGAAAACCAGCATGTATAAAGCCCCTTCTGCATGCCAGGGAGCTACTATCACAAGAACGCCTCCCAACAATGCAGGAGGTGAAGTACTGTTTTTATTCTACCAATTTCACAGACAAGGAAGCTGAGGCACAAAGCGTTTGGACAACTTCCTGGGACTCCAAGTGAGCTTTGACTTCATAGTCTAAGCCTTTGCTTGTTCAGTTATTTAAGAAAATACTTAACAGCTATTATATGCCTTGCACTCTAGGCTTACAGTGGGGAAGAAAGCAGATGTGGTTCCTGCCCCCACTGTGTAGTGAACAGGACCGCCAATAGACAATTCACCGTCTATACTCATGGCCTATGCTACATGCAATAAGGAAAGGAACAGGGTCATGGGAACATAGTTAGATGAGGCGTTTAGGAAAGGATGGTCAGAGGAGGGGAGGTTTCAATCAAGATCTGAAAGAAAAGGCTGTCGTAGTGTCTCAGACAGAGGCACAGCATGTGCCAAGGCCCTGAGACAGGAAAGAGCTGAGTGAGACAGGATTTGAGTGAGGCCGGAGCAGCTGGGGCTCCCAAGTCAGGAGAGGATTGGAAGGCAAGGGGTCTAAGTGGCTTTGAGGGCCAGATGTGGGGACAGAAGCCCCGGGGGCCATCAAGCATGGTTCCTCCCATTCGCAGCAGGCTGGGATTAGAAAAGGAAAGGGTGTTCTGCGTGTGGAGCACCTGCTGTTGGGTGTTGTATTAGGGGCCTAATCTACAGCGTGGATTTCATCTCAACCACAGCTCAGTGAGGCCAGTCGTATAAGCTCTGTTTCGCAGATGAGACACCTGAGGTTGAGAATGAAGACATGACTTGCTCAGGTCCCCAGAGACGAGTAAGAGGGCTGAGAAGGGAGCCAGAACCCTCGGCCTTTGGAGCCTGCATGGGTCCACCACTCTGTCCTGCCCTCCCCAGAGCCCAGGGCTGCACTAGGAGGAACCCAGATCCGCTGATGCTGGATGCTGGGGTCTTATGAGGGTGGTTACAGGGTAGATGCAAAGTGCAGAGGGGCTGGGAGCCTGGGCCCCTTCAGGGCATAGGGAAGCTGCAGCACCACCTCCAACCTTTGTCATGGGGTGTGAGTGGGCATTGCCCTCTGGATGGGAATCCGGGTTTTCGATGAGCTGGGGAGGAACCCGGGGTCCCACAGGGCAGGAGCTGCACACCAGAGGGGAAAAGGCCTCTTTGTCTTATGTGAAAGGTGCTCCAGGGCAGGGCAGGGCAGGGCAGGGCAGGGCAGGGCAGGGCAGCTGAGCCTGACTTGTGTCTCCTAGGCTTTTGTTCTGCCAGAACCACTCGGGGACAGTTTTTCTTTTCAATCATTTCATTCTGAATCCATTAACTTTTTTCTATATTTCTCAATGTACAAAATGATTGATAGGAGAGAGATGAAAGAGAGACCTATTTCACTGCAATTGTTGAGCAGCTGAAGGAGATTTCTATCTCATCTGGAGAAGAAGGAGGAGGAGGGGGAAAGGAAAGGCAAAATGAGCCTGGACCTTCTCTTCGTCCACTTAAATAAGAATTTCTGACTTGGTTAATCCACAAATGTTTCCTGAGCACCTACAATGCACCAGTTGATATGTAGGTGCCAGAGAGTAGACAGTAAATTTTAAGGCGCTGGTGTCACCCACAAATGACTAAGGACCTGCACACTGGTGGCCACAGCTCAAGGCTAAGGAATCTCCTGGGTACGCTCACTTCTGCTTATGATGGACATTCTAGGTAATCTTCACAATGATGTGTGAGCTGGAAAGAATGGTAGGATTATAGCAGGACTACCTGCTCTATGAGACTTATGGCTCGTTGGGAACCAGGTCTTATTCGCATGTGCATCTCCGTGTCCAATCAAATCAGCACATAGTAAGTGCTCAACAAATGTCGAGCAACAAATGTCGTTGGGGTAAGGGGCAGCACATGGAACAGTATGGAGGCGACAGTGTTTGACGCATTGACAGTTCCCTATTCAGTTAGGTTAGTGCTTCCCCAGCCTCAAGGCACAGCAAGGCAAAGGCTGGAAAGGTAGAAGGGAGTGGATGCCTCAGAAGGGTTTGGACATTACTGTGTTGGAGAACAACTGGTAACTATTAAGAAGCAGAGTACTGTGATCAGAGTTGAATTTCAGGAAATGAATCCAGTCTCATTTAACACAGAAATTAATTTGTAACCGCATGACTCTAAAAATAATTTCACCTCCCTGGTTTCCCTGTCCTTGCTAGATGCAGGAAGCTCCCTCTTTGCTGGGCACAAAGAGGGAGCTGTGCCATGGTTGTGACAGGCTGCCTGGAACCCTGACATTTACTGATTGAACACAGCTGCCCCAGGAGAGAGGAGGCCAGGTTTTAATGTCCAGGGGAAGCCACCCACAACCAGGCCTCCTGGCCCCGCAGACGCCTTCCCTTGCCAGCAGTCCAGCTCCATAGGCACAGCTTCCAGGCCACCAAGCTGACAGTAGGGCTTTGCAATAGAGAGCTCCTACAGCTGGGTTTCACGGTTCCTGTTTAAAAATCAAGCACACTTGAAGTAGACTTTAAGCTTCCCACTTCACCTCTGTAGAAATATTTTGTATTCCACAAATCCCACAAAACAGAGGCACCGGACGATGACCTAGCAGGGTGGAGCTTGAGGCCTCCCTCCCAGCTCTCCCCATTTGGGAAAACTTCTTTGGCCTGGTTCTAAATCTGCCCACGGGGCTGGTCCTTCTCCATCAGGAGGCTAACACAATTTTCAACCACCTGAGCTCTGAATTCCAGCAGAGGGGTATTCAGATCCCAGCTCAGCACTCAGTTCCCTCATCTGTGAAATGGGATTGTAACAGTCCCTGCCTTATAGGAGAGTGGTGAGGATTAAACGAGATGATGTGGGAGAAAGGGCTCAGTCCAGTATCTGGGGCTTGTGAAGTGCTCAGAATATGAGCTGCTGTTTGATATTGATAATATGAAAAGGGTTAGCTCTGCAAAGCGGAGGGTTGAAGGCCTCTTTCTCTACACCGAAGGGTTCACTTGGTGCCTCCCTAATTCCCCGCTTCCTAAGCTGCAGCGTGGACCCCTTCCCTCCTATGATAGCTTGTCTATCTTGGAGCTGATGAAAAGAAGAATTTTGTGGGTGTGAGAAAACTCACTGCTTTGACTTGTTCACACAGGTCACTCTCAAGTCCACAGGCCTTGCCTTTGTCTCAGTGCTAAATGGCTTTTTTTCACTTCCTTTCTACCTGTCCTGCAGTTCAAAAGTGGTTCCCTGCCTCCCAATGGCATATACCCTGCCTCAACTTCTGGTTTGTCAGCTCAGAGAGCCTCTATAAGATCCTGCTCCAATCTCTGAACTTCTGTGCGTTTAAAACACATGATAAAGTCATTGAATGTACTTTAAAGAATCAAACTGGACTGAACGTATAAATCTAAATTTGTTGCTTTTAGAATAGTTAATATTTATTATGTTAGTTATATTTATATTTTGATAAATACATGTTAATGATTTACATATATTAATAAATATATACATTATGATATGTAACATTAAAATTAATTATATTTAATAGCCTAGATAGTTTGAGGTTGTATTTAACTTTTCATTCAAGTGGTTAAATCCTAGGGAACTGGTGACTTCTGGAAGAGACAAGGTAGAGAGGAGAAAACCCTTGCAAGAAGCTGAGCTTCCAAGGAGTCCATGGTGTCCTGGTAGGCAGTGCTGTGAGAACCTCAATCACTCTCCCTTCTCGTAGCCATGGCCCCCAGACTCCAGCACTAAACAGCCTCATTTTTCAGCCTAGACCCACTCACTCATAATTCATCCTCCTACGGTGTTGAAATTGCTCTTTAAAAAAATTATTATTATTATTTTATGGGCAGTTGTCAATGGCCTAGAAATTGCTTTTGCTTCAACCTTGATTTGACATTTTCCAAACCTTCTTCCCATCAAGCCACACCGCCTTTGACGTGGCCCATTACTGAGAAGAGTCAAGCAGCGCCCAGGACCCTGCATATTCGTTTTCATGATGTTGCCATTGATAAAAACCTCAGGGCCTCCTTTCCCAGCCTGAGACTCGCTCTTCTGAAGCGCTTCAGCAGTGAGTGTGATCATCTTTCTACAGAGGATTTTATTTTTTGGATCAGTTCAGAGCACTACAGACAAAATTTTGTGGCTAATAAAATAGGAAAACTATGTTGAATATAAAATAAGGTGTACTAAAAAGTACCAAGGCTAATGTTTTTCTAGTCTGGCCCATACCTTGGCCCCAGAAGTATTCCCCAAAAGAAAACCTCAGTCTCTGTTGGGGGCAATGACAGCATCACTGCAATAGGCCAAAGTGATAACCTTGCGTGGTAGCTTCGATTGATACATGAGTTTTAGTATTTTTTGAAAAGGGTCTCATAACTTTATCTTCATACCACAAACATGTATCTGTTTGTGTGAATTCACACATGAAAATGGATTCTGTAACACAGTGATTGTTCACTTCTCTTTTTTTTATTTTACTTTTTATTTGAGAAGGAGTCTCACTCTGTCGCCCAGGCTGGAGTGCAGTGGCGCAGTCTCGCCTCACTGCAACCTCTGCCTCCTGGGTTCAAGGAATTCTCCTGCCTCAGCCCCCGACCCCCAAGTAGCTGGGACCACAGGTGTGCACCACCACATTGGTTAATCTTTTTGTATTTTTGGTAGGTACGGGGTTTCACCATGTTGCCCAGGCTGGTCTCAAACTCCTGAGCTCAAATGATTTGCCTACCTCGGCTTCCCAAAGTGCTGGGATTACAGGCGTGAGCCACCACTCTTGGCTGATTGTTCATTTCTGGGTTGAAGAGCAGCATCACTCACTTGGTCCCAATGATCAGTTTATTGCAGTGTAGCATGCAGATGACATCTGTCATCCACCTGGGGTTCTGGCTGGTGGACTTGTCCTAAAGGGTTGAAGGGTGAAAATGAACAAGCATATGCCTTTTTAATGATCAGACATTTTCAGTTGTCTCAAGCCATTCTTGCCTGTAGTATGCATGTTTAACATCATATAATTTTCTTTATTTTCTCCTTCAAGTGGAAATAATTTGTTTCATAGATTTGGAGAATCAACTTTATTTTCTGTCTCTAGGGAGAGCATATTCTGCATCCCGAGGGCTTTGGGGCAGCTATAATATCTGGGATAGATTATACATTTCCTGAGGGCAGAGACTGGGTTTCTGTGTTCCCAGCACCCATCACAATGCCTGGTCTATGACAGAGACTAAAATATTTGTTGAGATAATAAAAAGAATGGCTTTAAAAATAGAACATATCCTGGAATGGGTCAGGCATTGTCATTCCTAAGCATACCTCCCCAGTGCTTTTTGTCTTTTGAATTTCTGATTCTGTCATTCAGTAAGTTCTCTGAAGAGAAGGCCTAACATAGCTACCTAAACTGATATAACCGTTAATGGGTGGAGGAAGGGAAGATTCTTTTCTATTTGTCATTCATTAAGACATACAATAAATCACATGATGGAATCACATGTAATTCATCATTCCATCTGATTTTAGAAGCAAAATGAAGCTTTATCTTGCACTACATAGAGAGATCATATTTTATTTGCATTCTACAGACTAGCAAAATCCAGCATGAATATATTATATTCAAGGACACAATTTATGTAATCACACCACTTAAGAAGCAGTTTAAAATAGCAAATAAAATCAAACTGTAGCACTCAGCATCCTTATCAAATGAAAATCACATACAAAGACCCGCTTTCTTCTTTTCAACTTCAGCTGCAGGGACCAGAAATAAATAGCTCCATCTTCTCTGATCATGATTAAGGTGTCGTCAGGCATAGAGAGAATGCGCAGCACGGGACCCCCATATGACAGCCTCCGCAGCGCAGCAGGCAGCAGGAAGGAAACCTCTTTCTGTCGGGCCAAAGCATTAGCTCGCTCCAAATACTCTAGCTGCAGATACGTGCGGAAGCCACCCTGGAGGATAAAGGACAATTCATGAAATGTCCTCTATCTTTCTGGCTTTCAAAAATTCTCCTTACCATCTGGGCATGGATAATGCCTTTCTTGGACATAACATCATTATTAGCACATAAACGCGGCTGCCAAAATCTTGGGGGGTAATAACTGGGGTGTGCCTGTTGAGCTGAGCCCAGAAGTCTGTTACCCAGCTGCTGGGCTGGCTTCTGCTGCCAGTTTCTTTCTCTAAAGAGGATGATGATGATGGTTGTTGTTGAGACTGTACCATGTTCCATGCAACAGAGACCTTCCTCTCAATTCTCAAGATAACCGTGGGAGATAGGTTCTATTGTTCACCACATTTTACAAATTGGGAAACTTAAGCTTAAAGAGGTTAAATAACTTGCCTACAATCATAACTAGTAAGTGGCTGGCCAGAGACATGAGTCCCCATGGGTGTGACAACTCTGCAGTCCTACCCACCAGGATGTGTGCCTCATTTCGAATCTTAGCAGTACACCTGCAGAAAAAAACTCTGTGGTCAGAGTGAAGGGGTCGGGGATATTTGGGGCTTGGGAAATCTACATTTTCTCTCCACTTTCCCCCAAACCCTACCTCATTAGAAGCTTTCCTTCTTTTCCCTGGAATCCTGAATGTTCCTTTTCAAATCAGATGACAATGAGACCACTTGTATTTAATTTGGTGGGGGAATTGGCCAAAAGTCTGAATAGAGAGGTGTTTTTGTTTTTTTGTTTTTTTGCTTTTTTGTTTTTTTTTTTATGGAGTCTTGCTCTGTTGCCCAGGCTGGAGTGCAGTGGCATGATCTCTGCTCCCTGCAACCTCTGCCTCCTGGATTCAAGCAATTCTCCTGCCTCAGCCTCCGGAGTAGCTGGGACTGCAGGCACATGCCAAAATGCTCAGCTGATTTTTGTATTTTTGGCAGAGATGTGGTTTCACCACATTGGCCAGGCTGGTCTTGAACTCCTGACCTCAAGTGTTCTGCCCACTTAGACCTCCCAAAGTGCTGAGATTGTAGGCGTGAGCCAGGATGCCCGGCCTGAATAGAGAGGTGTCTTACTGCTCAACTTGTCATTTTAAAACTTAATTCATTCTAGGACAATGGAAGTACACTGATGGACACGACGATGAAGAATGTTAAAAGCAGCCTTCTTAGCCTCTCATTATTATACATCCCAAATTTGGAAATATTAATAATGATGATGATCATATTTGCTGAAAATTTATTCTGTGGCATCCCTGTTCCAAACACTCATCTGATCATCACCAGGTGCCGCTGCCCATGGCATTTCTTGCTCACTGGTGTGCTCTTGCTTTGGGTGAAGTTGTGGATGCACTCTTCAATCCTTAGTTTTAGGATATCCTTCTAAGAACTTGCCGTCATTCCTGAAATTCCTAGTTGAACTACTCCAAGTATAGCCAGACATGGCAAGAATTTGAAGATTGTGAGCAAGCACGTCCCCTTGGTTCAACTTCAGGTTGGCCAAAGGAAATGAGGGGCAAAGAGTTCTCCAGAAAGAAGTGGGCTGGGAAATAAATACATTATGCAAATTCCCTAGAACTCCAAATCTGATTCACAAAAAACCCAACTTACCCCACTGAATTCTGCCCAGTGCTTCACAGTCTGCTTTCATGAACAGTTGTTCTATTTGTTTAATACTCTAGAGAGAGAGAGAGAAAAAAATCTGTTTATAGAAATTACTAGATTACTGGGGAAAGGGGTATAGAAGGAGGAGGAAATCTTCATATAAATTTCACATTCAAAAATGCATAATACTCAAAGATCTCTGGAACTCCAAAACATTAATAGGATGGTTAATTGAAATTCAGTGCAGACGCCAAAGTCCTTCTCCAGTGGGATACCTGGGCTTCTAGACCTTTTATTTTTTAAATCAGGCCCTAATTCGCAGAAGAAGCTCTGTGTTCCTCAGTGTTCATGCTCCCAGGAATTCCCCCTCTGCCCTGGTCCATTCCTGACCAAACACTAGTCTCTCTTTAGGCGCCTCGTTTTGAGTTAAACAGCAAACCAAGTTCAAAGGACAAGGATGGGGAGGATACTCACTTGGGTGTAAACGGAGACAAAAAGACGTGTAAGTCATGAGAATTGTTTTCAAGTATTAGCAGGATCATTCTGTAGGACAGAGATATTTTTTTCTGGGCAGCTATACCGGCAGACTATTAGATGAACCCAGTGATCCCTGCCTCCTGATGTTCATGGCCTATATTATTCTCATGCTCTGAGTAACTTTCTTGGAGCCAATAGAATACCTCAACTTTGAGGGGATGTCACTTCTGTGATGACATTACATGAGATCATAGTTTGTCTTGCCAGCAGACTCGCTCCCTTGCTGGCTGTGATGAAGCTGGCTGCCATACTGTTAGTTGCCCTATAATGAAGACCACGTGGCCAGGAACTAAAAGCAGCCTCTGGCCGACAGCCAGCAAGGAATTGAGACCATTAGTCCAACAACCTGCAAGGAACTGAATCCTGGCAACAGTCACGTGAGCTTCGAAGCAGATCCTTCCCCAGGCAAGCTTTCAAATGAGGCCCCCAACCTAGTGAGACCCAGCTGAGGGTCTCCCCTCTGAGGACACAGCTAGGCCATGCCTGGATTCCTCACTTACAAACACAATGAGACACGAGGTGGTTGGATCACTTGAGGTCAGGAGTTCAAGACCAGCCCGACCAACATGGTGAAATCTCATCTCTACTAAATACAAAAACTTAGCTGGGCGTGGTGGCGCATGCCTGTAATCCCAGCTACTTGGGAGGCTGAGGCAGGAGAATTGCTTGAACCAGGGAGGCAGAGGTTACAGCAAGCTGAGATTGCACCATTGCATTCCAACTTGGGCAACAATAGCAAAACTCTGTCTCAAAAAAAAAAAAAGTATATTGTTTTAAGCTACTAAGTTTTTGATAATTTATTGTGGAGCAATGAATAACTAATACAGTGGCTGAAAAGTATAGAAATTGGGCTACAGGGTAGAATATCAATAAAGACTAATTTCAGCTCATAGAGGAGAAAAAATATCTAAGGTCAGAGCTTTCCAACCTTGAAATGGGCTGCCCTATAAGGTATTGAGTTCTTTTTACCTGAACACATTCAAGCTCATGCTGGCTCATGGCTTAGCAGAGAAGAGAATTTGAGAACTGAATGGGGTTAAACATTAAAACAACTCTAAGGTCCTTTCAAGCCCCAAGATCTATAATTTCATGAACGTGTGTAGAAGGCAGCTTCACCAGAGCTGGTTGTATTACATGTCTGTGTTGGGAAGTCAGGTGTTGGTTTTCTCATATATCCCAGGGTGTCTGCCTTTGAGCAGTAATATAGTGAAATGGAGAAGATGAGGTGATGCCTGGTACCCAACACACCAGGGCATTGCGTGGTGGTGAGTCTAACACTCAGGGCCAGTGTAGGGGTCATGAAGAAAGACCCTGGCTGTGCAACCAAGTTCAGCACCAGTTCCTTCTAAGTCATGCTCCAGTGGAGACATGTCACATTCCTGGGGTGGGCTGACGGTGCCAAACTTCACCGCGGCCACTAGACAATACAATGCACACAATATTTAAGGCAGATTTTTGGAATAAATGTACAAACAAACCAAAACGCCCAGAGGTATGGCTTCAACAAGAGCCTAGGGTCAGAGATGGAACGGAAAGTGGAAAAGCCCAGGAGGAGTAGCATTTACACACTGGGCTCAGGCTGCCCCCGAGACCACCTCTGTGACTGTGGAGCCAAGCCTCAGGGAGCTGTGTGTACCCCTGGGCACTCTGAGGTTCCATACAGGATGGCAGCAGGGAAGGGCCATGCGGTGTTGTAAGCTGCATGGTGAGGCTGTGGGCCATCAGATGGGCTCTTGTTGGCCCTGCAGCACTGTGGGCTGTGCCCAGAGAGACCCAGCCTCCTCCTTCCAGCCCAGAGCTGAGGAGGAGCACGTGCTTCTGCATGCAAGGGCATGATTCTCAGTGAGACACTCAGGGACACTGAACTCTGCCTCCACACAGTGATTCAGTCACTGGAGACACTTAGACTGAGCACCAATGGTAGGTCAAACACTGTGCCAGATGCTGAGGCTTCAGAGCTGAAAGATGTGCTTTTGTGACATTCAGTATCTAGCAAGGTCACAGACAAGCAAACCAACCATGTAATGGAAAACGATAAGTTCTATATGGGTAACTGCAGACCACTGTCAGTTTTAAAGGAGGAGCATCTAAGTACAGTATTTCTAGGAAAGTTAGGACACCCTCTTGGCTTCGCAAGGAAGCCAAAGGGTTTGGTATGCTTCTGGGCTGAGACCACTGTTCCTCTAGATGCCACCTACATCTGAAATATCCTACACATCGTGCCCTACCTGAATGTATGCTTTAGCACTCCTTCCCCTTCTTGGCACTGAATTTTAATGAAGTAAGTCAGTATTGCATAGAAAGAGCAAAGGAGATACTTTCTGGTTCTTAGCAGGTACTAGAATACAAAACCCTAGAATAGTGGAAAAGAAATGAGCAAAGACCATATTTGCCTGCTTCATTTGCAGCTAGATAGGACATATGATTAATTTCTGACTAAAAAGTTGCAAATGCAGGTGTCATGGGCAGCTTCTGGGAGTTGTCTTTAAAAGGAAGGGGTGAGTCTTTTCTTGACACGCCTCCCTTCCTGCTGGCTGGAATGAGAGCATGTTGGCTGGAGTCTGAGCAGCCACCTTGGGCCATGAGGAGGAACACACAGGCTGAGGATGGCAGAACCACAGAGTAGAAGGGGTCTGGTCCCTGAAAATTTTATGAAGCTACTTGACCCCCGACTTCCTACATGAGAGAGGAAAAAGCTTCTGCCTCACTTAGGCCTTTGAGGTTATGCATATTCTGTCACCTGTAGTTAAAGCCAATCCTAACTGATATAATGAGCTTTAGAGAGAGACTAGAGTTTCAATCCCAAATCTATTCCTTAGTAGCTGAGGGGTTTCAAGCAAGTTACTCAGATTCTTTAAATCTCATTCTTTTCAGCTATGAAATAGGGGTAAGAATCCTTTTGAGGGGGCTCTTGATATTCTGGAGACTGATGAAATAAAATATATAAAGGTCCTAAAGCAACGTGGACACATAGTTGGAAGTCAATGACTGTTTGATACATAAGTGAACAGAGAAATGGTCTCATGGCTCCTCAGTGATGTACTGGGTAACATTTTGCTGAGCAAAAATGGCCCCAGATAATGTGATGTCTGTCCTGGACCCCCACCGCCTCTCCTCGCATATGCTCCGCTGGATGTGTGGAACAGGCAGCATGCTGACTCTTGCCTCTGTGCTTTTGCACATGCTGTTCCCTCTGCCTAGGAGCCTTTGCCTCTCTCTCCCTCCTTTATGGAGTGGTTCCCTTCATCCCTCAAAACTCAGCCCAAGGTTCACCTTGCAGGAGGCTCCCTTACTCCTTGGTCTGGGTTGGGTGCTGCCACTGCACCCAGGCTTAATTCTACTGCAGCGCTGATCTTCCCCAGGACACAGGCCATGACTTGACTGACTGCACCATGGGGGCTAAGACAAAGCCTCCCACAGTAAATATGTATTGAAAGAAGGAGGGAAGGAAGGAAGGAAGGAAGGAGGGAGGGAAGGAAGGAAGGAAGGAAGGAAGGAAGGAAGGAAAGAAGGAAGGAAGGAAGGAAAGAAGGGGAGGAAGGTAGGAAGGAAGGAAGGAATAAAGGAATGGGTAGATGACCAGGCAGGCAGGCAAGCATTCTAAAATTGTAGGTAATGACACTATTTTGGTTTAAAATATCTGGGATATTGCTAAAACACTGAATAATTTATACATTTAAATAAGACGCTCCTCTCTCTTCCTAACAGGAAGTTTGTTTCATTTCACACAAATGAAGGCGCTGTGGTCTGAATGTTTGTGTTCTCCCAAAATTCATATGTTGGAATCCTACCTCCCAATATGATGGTGTTGGGAGGTGGGGCCTTTGGGAGGTGATTAGGTCACGAGGGCAGATCCCTCATGAATGAGATTAGTGGCCTTATAAAAAGAGGCTCCAGAGAGACCCCTCACCCCTCACCACGTGAGCACACTGTGAGACGGTGCTGTCCTGGATCGAGGAAGCAGGCCCTCCTCACCAGGCAGTGAATCTGCCTTCATCTTGGACTTTGCAGCCTCCAGAACTGTAAGAAACAAATTTTTATTGTTTATAAGCCACCAAGTCTAAGGTGTTTTGTTATAGCAGCCCGAAAAGACTAAGACAGAAAGGGACACTTTTAAAAAATATGTGTTATTTAACATTCCTTTTCCCACAGCAAGTGAAATGCTAAGCACACCTAAACTCCCACGGTAGCCATGGAATCTGGGGCTCTGCCCTTGAAAAGGGCACCTGGGGACTTCACCAGCCTACAGTCTGACAAGAGTGTATTTTTGTTCAAACTCCAGGAACAAGATCATAGAGCTTTACCTTGAATACTTTTTTCCTATAATTTCAGACATAATCATGAAACCTTAACAAATAGAGCTTAAACAGCTTGTTCCTTTATAATATATATTTTATTTTATGATATGAGTGCAACCTTATTCATTAAGATTTCATATTCTAGGCTAACCAAGGTGGCAGAGAAAAAGTTTAAAATACCTAATTCCAGCAGATGGAGGTAAGGGAAATGCCCAACCTCTCCGGACAAAAATACGTATAAAACCAGTGATGTAATAAAAGTCTTTCTCCTTTTTTTTTTTTTTTTGAGATGGAGTTTCGCTCTTGTTGCCCAGGCTGGAGTGCAAAGGCTCGATCTCGGCTCACTGCAACCTCTGCCTCCCAGGTTCAAGCGATTCTCCTGTCTCAGCCTCCTGAATAGCTGGAATTACAGGCATGGGCCACCATGCCCAGCTAATTTTGTATTTTTAGTAGAGACAGGGTTTCTCCATGTTGGTCAGGCTGGTCTTGAATTCCTGACCTCAAACTATCTGCCAGCCTTGGCCTCCCAAAGTGCTGGGATTACAGGCGTGAGCTACCGCGCCCGGCCTTTTCTCGTTTTTAACATAAGTCTTTAAATATCTTGTTGGTCTAGTGTACTAAGTAATTTAAATATATTTTACCATGTAAACAGTTCAGTAAATCAGATGGGTTTTAAGTAGAAATTACAGTTCAGAGCTGAGAATGATCTTACAGATAGATCATCTGGCCTAATTGGTTCATATGGTTAAAGTTTTAACTGTGGTTTCAATGAGCCAATGTTTATAAAACCCATTTACTTTATTCTGTGACCTCATACTCTGTTTCATTATGCATTTGAAAGTTTCCAGATCCAGCAGCTGTCTTCCTCTCTTTTCATACTCCTGAAAGCAAAAAAGAATAATTAGCTATGAACATAGCTGCATTTTCTTTAGTCTAGGAGCCAAAGTCCAAAGAATTGAATGTCTAATTAGACTTACCTAAACTCTGTCAATTTCTAACATGTATCTCTTTTGTTCATTTCCCTGATGCATTCACAATTTGTTTCTAATTCCATTAAGAAGTGACAGTTTAAAAAGAATTTAATCTGCATTGCTGTTTTATAGAATTAAAAGGATTTTCACTGAAAAATCAATCTTCAAAAAGAAAATCAAATTACCCAGATGAATATTTGGAAAGTTCACCTGGCCAATTCCTACCTGAAAGGGTGCATTTAAGCTTTGTAACTCTTCAAGGGTCATTTGATATTATCTTATCAAAACAAAAAGAAAATAAATTAAAAATGTATAATGCTAATAGTAATATCTACAAAATACAATTTCTGGAAACCCATAATTTCTCTCTTTATGAGTCCAGTGAGATAAGCTGAGCCTCCAGGTAATTTGGATATTCCAGCCCTCACTGTTGTGAGTCTCTATGCCAATTCAATTGATTCCACAACCCCAAATTCTAGGGTAGGGTTGGCTTTACTGGGTGGAAGGAAGGAGGAGGTAGAGAGGTAGTGGGAGGAGAGGGAGGATAGGATAGGCTTTGACTTGAGAGAGAAAAGAGGAAGCTTCCGCACCCCCTCAAAAAAAGGATCAGGAACTAGACTGAATGAGAAAAGGCAGTCTACAAATATTTTACTGTGTCAGATTCCAAAGACTCTGTCCCCTGTCAGGGGTCCTCTGTTTTAGAGCTGCCTGTGCCACATCCTCTGCTCTCCAGCCCATCTCTCACCCATGCTGAGCCAGGAGGAGGCCTTGGGGGAACTGACCTGCCATCTCTTTTTCTGGGGTAAATTTTCTCAAGCTGTGGCCATTGGATGGAGGAACTCTGGTGTTAGTGAAACTGGATCTCTTTTAGTCAATAAACGGATCACCAGAGAATACCTCCTACTCACCTTCAGTCTCTTAGCTACTGTCTCACCAATTTGCCTTTTATAAATGAAAATCCCCAAACATCTGGCTTAGAATGAATAAACTATCACCAGTGAGTACAGCCAAGTCAGGCTCTGATGTTCTTACACTGTCTCATGAGGCCTGAGGCAAACAGCAAAGGAGGAAATTGGCTTTTCTTCCAATAGAATCATCTCCTGAAATCTCTGTGTACCAGTCTCCAAGGTGGTGGCCCCTCCTGTAAAACTCAGACTGACACCAAAGCTACTGGGAGATCTGCCGTTTTATAAAATTAAAGCATCTTTCAGATTGTGACTTGAATGGCCTCACAATTACTTTTCATCGGGGAACAAAACCAAGGACCCAGGTCTAGAGTGGAGACACATGTAGCCTGAAGTTTCTACTTGAAAATTCTTTGTAGGGCTCTTCTGGCAAGAACGGAACCCAGGAAGTAATTTCAGAAGTTAACTGGGAGAAATATCTTACCAGTATTTAAATACATGCAAAAGATATTTCATCAAACTGAGAGCCATTTCCCTTATCAGACAAAAGACATTACCACTGAGTTAATTCAAAGTGTTCTTTGGCCAAAGCCTTCTCTAGGATCCAAAAAAGCAGATGAGAGTTTACCAGGCTCGCACACAACACATGAGAAAAACATACTTGGGTCTAAGCTTTAATAAAAAGATCCTGTCTTGGCTGGGCGCGGTGGCTCACGACCAGCACTTTGGGAGGCAGAGGAGGCCAGATCACGAGGTCAGGAGATCGAGACCATCCTGGCTAACATGGTGAAACCCCACCTCTACTAAAAATTCAAAAAATTAGCCGGGCATGGTGGCAGGCACCTGTAGTCCCAGCTACTTAGGAGGCTGAGGCAGGAGAATGGCGTGAACCCAGGAGGCGGAGCTCGCAGTGAGCCGAGATTGCGGCACTGCACTCTAGCCTGGGTGAAAGAGCGAGACGCCGTCTCAAAATAAATAAATAAATATAAATAAATATAAAAATAAAAAGATCCGGTCTCTAAGAACACCTATACGACTTCTCCTGAGTTCTAGATGTGAAATCCAGAAGGTGAAACAACTTTTAAGGATTTGAAAATTATTTCTCTTAAGGTTGGAAAATTATAGGAAAGACATGCTACTGTCACAGTTTTTCACATTGTATTTTTCTGAGCCCTTACAATTCTAAATATCAGATATAAATACTTTATTAGTCCATAAGTTACATAAAACACATTTGTTTTGCAGATTTGTACAAAGGAATCAAAATATATTGCCTATATGTTATCTCTACCACAAACTTTCATTTTTTCCACTGTACCTGAATATTTTTTCGTCTTAGCTTCAATACTTCCTGAAATTTTTTTACTGCGATGGATTGCCTGTCCACTAACTAGCATTTTATGTGGAATTGGCCTTTTGCCTTTCTCTACCTTCATCACTGAAAAAGAAAAAAACAGCAACAACAAAAATTGCCCTACCTCCCAGGAGGGGGCTCCCCAATCCAGAAAGAGACTAACTCATCTTGTCTCAATAAATTTCCTGGAAATGCTGCTGAGACAGTGGAGTGAAAGCCATCATTAATAATAGCAATGAAGGGCATGAAATCTAAAGGGAGTGTGATTATATAATTTATAAAGGGTTTTACAGTAATTTTCATTTAAGCATAAAATGCAACCAAAAAGCCTTTTTCCCTTCACAACTTCTCCTCAGAGCCATCCGCAACAAATATCCCACCTCACCCCACCTCCACCAACAAGCATGACACACCCACACCTGTCATGCCTTAGGAGCCGGCTGAGGTTTGCTGTCTGTCCTCTGGGGTCACGCTACCATCACTGCCTCTGGCCACATCTTCTCTCACTTCCTGCCTCCCTTCTCCCACCCTTCACAAAAATAAGGAAATGGATGAAAGGTAACTACAGAAGATTTGTCAGGCTCTTGGCACACACTATGTTAACTAAATTTCCTTTGCACTTAAGAAAACAGTTCTTAAATCTCACAGACCCCATCAAATTTTCATATGTCACGAAGGAAAGCAAAAATCCAGTGATCATTAGCCAACTTCTTTTTTAAAGGCAGCAATATAAATACGTTTTGGAGAAACACAGCTAGAAAACAGGGCCATTATTGTGCTTTTCCTTGAAAATATATATCAGGCCTTCACATAATTGCATGTTTTTAAGGCAAATTTGGAACACAAAGCAGAGAAAACATATGTCCCTTCTGGGTACTCCTGTGCTTGGCAGGGCTTGGAAATTCGTAACTGCCATCGACAGCAAGTCACATTGTATCACTAAAAAGCTTGAATGACTTGTTTTCCTACAAATAAAAACAAAGGGAAAGGCCTGACTATTTCATATCCAAACTATCACAGCTATAGTGACAACCATAAATAATTTAGTCTGCAATTGTGGATTCAATTTTTAAAGATATTATCTACCGCCCAGCAATGCATTTTGTTTCATTCAAGCACAATTTCATAGAAAACTACCTGGATAATTCCCTAATATCCTATATTAGAGGGAATTCACGGAGCTATGATTCTGCTTGTCCTTACATTGCAGTTTCCCCAAAGCAAATAGGTTTTATGATTAGAGTGGTTTTCCCATAAGGGTTCATTTGCCTGCTGGTTGCTCATTTGCATTGCAAATGAGCTCTCCTATTGTTAAAACCCAGCATCTCTTTGCCTCTCACTGTAAGAGTCTCCTCTGTTGGGGTGGTTTAGGGATAATTTCATGTCTACCACAAGGGAATTGACTAATTCATCGAATATAGTATCCTTTTGAAATTCTGTTTCTTGAGTGGCTGTCTCTACAGCTTCAGAAAATAGACAGATATAATCAATGGTCTTAAGATTCTAAAAGAGAAAGTGACTCCAGAAGGTTTGGGGCTTCCCCGGGGTTGAAATTCAGAGGATTCCCCAGCAGCTTGTCCAGATGAAGAGGAAAGGAGGGAAGTCTAAGGGGAGCTCGTCAGTGAATCTAGATTGTTAAACCACTTGTGTAAAAATGGAGACCAGATATTGCTTAAGCAAGGGAAGGAGGGAAAAAATGGTGGGGGCGATTGTGCTGGGGACTTTCAAACCCAACACAAGCTGAAATTTGAAAGAGGGTTGTCTTTTTAGCCATGTTAGGAGCCAAAAATTAGAAAAGTACTTTAATTTTAAAATAATGAATGCAGGCTTGACAGCACTGTCACTAATATCTAGCCTCTGTTGAGGTTATTATGTGCCAAGCATTGAGTCTTTTACATGCACGTTTGTGTTAATCCTCTCATCAACTCTGTAGGAGAGATACAATTATTGTCTCCATTTTATAGATCAGGAAACTGAGGCACAGAAAGGTTGATGAACTTGCCAGGCTTCCCACAGCTAGTAAGTGCTGGAACCAGGATCCCAGCACAGGAGAGCCACGCTGCTCACTGGTCACTCAAGCCCCCTTCTCCAGACTCTGCTTGAGGTCCCCAGCTACCTCCAGGGACAGCACAGATGGATGAGCAGAGGGGGAGCAGTGTGGACTTGCCGGTCTCTAATGTCCCCTATCACCTCTCTTCTCATCCAGTGTAAAATTAGTGTAAATTGTTCTAACCCAAGTTGCTGGTCCCTTAGAAATGAACCTTAAATGCCTTTACTTGAAGGTGTTCTTCCTTTATTATTCTTTTAAAATAGTTAAAAGTAACAGTGACCTTTAAAGAGTCAGATCCTTCCCCTTCCCCCAGTGAGTATTAAAGACTTCCTACCATCAGGATATCACAGCTTATGTGAGCTTTTAAGAGGATCCAAATTTGTTGCAAGGCACGGCCCAAGCATTTTCCAGCTCGCTTCTCTAAATTAATCTGAAATGAGTACATTGCTGCTTTTCCAGCTGCTTGGGTATATTCCATGGCCTCTTAGTGGCTTAGAAATAAAGAGAGTTGCTTCCTCCAGCTTTACCAAATAAGCATGGCAGAGCTCATCTTGCCTGTATACACTGGTCAGCTATAGCAGTGGAGGGGGATGTTGAGAAGGCTATTAGGGCAATGACCACCCTAATAGGGAAGGTTAGGATGGATTAGCTCTGTGTCCTGAGCACTGGAGGGTGGAGTGGGCCTTAAGCAATGCATCTGTACCATGAGCAAGGCATTGGAGGAAGGCAGAGAAGACGAAGCTGGAAGGCACCATCCAACCCATAGAGTCATCCCCCTTCCTTTACAGTGGGGAAACTGAGACCCAGAGAAGTATCTTGTCGAAGGTCACATCACGGATTAGTGGCAGGAATAGAAGGCTTGTTTTTTTCTACATTAGAAATGGGATTAATTTATCCTCTTCCTGGAACAAGTTGATTGAATTGAATACAAAATTGGGAAGAACAAGGATGTTCCAAGTTGTCAAATTCCCTCCTGTAGATTCCCTCACACCCTCTCTCCTGACTGCCCTCCACCCAGCCCTGCCCTGCCAGGAGATGCCAGGTCCCTGCCAGGTCCTGTATTGTATCTTCTTTCTAGTGGGTCTCCCTAGGGCCCCTCCTTGCTGTCCATCTGTAACTTTTTCACCTATTAGGTTGCAAAGGGAATAAAGGCTCTAGCCATACCCTCTGGAGTTGTAGGCACCAGATGCTCAAATCAAGATAAAAAAAAGGGAAAGCCAAGAGTCTGGGGACAGGATGAATCAGAGCAAATCCAACCTTACTGCTTATTGTTGTGGTAAACTGTAAAAATGGCCCACACTCTTTGCCATATAATTTGGAGCTTGGCTTGTGACTTTGGTCAGTGGAAAATTAGAAAACATGATGCCAAAGAGGCTTTAAAAGGTATGCACAATGTGTGTGTCCTCTCTCTCATTTGATCTCCCTGAGAACATGCCCACGCTCGTCTGCTGGAAGAGGAGAGATACACGGAACAAGCCACGGTGCCCTGGTTCCCAGCCAAGCTCATCTTAGGTCAGCCAATGGCCTGCCGGGTTTCAGATGTGTGATCCAGCTAACTATGGCCAACAGAATTCTCTAGCTGATGAGCAGGCACCTGAGAAAACCAGTGAGTACTCTTGTGTGCCACTGAGGTTTTGTGGTAATGTGTTATGCAGCATGACTCTGGCAATCCATAACTGATACACTGTCTATTAACTTACATTCTAGTTGGTTCTACCACAGGCACATAGCCTGAAGCATCACCTCTTCCTATGGTATGTGTTGTAAATCATGACTTACAAATTTTCTCTTATATCATAATCCTCAGTAAGAATCTGTTAAACATATATATGCACACATGCTATTGATTATATACACACACTCACATATACACCATATTTTGTGAAACACTATTGACCTTTAATTTGTGTAAAGTGCTCTTATTTTTTTCTATTCTATTTCCTTTTCTCTACGCCTAAGTTGTGTCTACTATACACTAAGCTGATGTCATGACTCACTAGGGGGCAGAGAGCTGCAGTTTGAAAACCACATCACGCTTTGCCACAAGACTTTCTTATGTTAGCAATTCAACAGGTATTTTCTGTGCTCTTGGTACCCTTCTCAGTAATGGGCACAAATAAGCACTCAACAAATGTTTGTTGAATTCAACTGAATTGAGAGAAGTTTACAGTTATGAACTTCCTGGGTTTGTGTCCCTAATCCCTACATTTGAGATCTAACTTTATTTCCCAAGATTTCAGAGATATGACAATGACGGTACCCTTCTGGGAGTGCTGTATGAGTCATTCTTCACAGTTCTAGCAAATTGAAGAATGATTTCCAACACTGGCCCTACTGGTGGTCTGTCTGCCCACTCTTAGTGCACCTGCCTGCAGAAGCAAGAATGCAGTCCTGCATCTGCCCCGCCTGACCGTGTGAGGGTGGGAAGACGGAGGCCAAGTGCCGTATCATATCACTCATTGCTTCTCTTATGTCAGGCTGGTGTCTGGCACACAGTAGGTGCTTAGAAAACACCTGTTGAATTGAACTGAAGTGACATCAGGCCTCCAGGTCTGTTTCTTTATCTTTAATGGAAGGAAATTCGACCAGGTTCTTTCCAGCTTTAAAAATCTAATTCTAAGTAGTGTCAACTAAATCTGACTGTCTGCCGAGGTGGAATAAACAGCTACTACATGCTGTGCTCCAGCTGTGTCAGGAAAGGCCCCTCCCCTTACAGACACGCTGCCCACTGATGTGCCGGGCAGGCCAACTGGAGCAGCACAGCTTGGCATTAAGGTGTTCAGCCTTGTCGAAATACAAAAACGTCTGCAAAGGTACGTGCAAGCTATTATCAGTCTTTTACACCAGATTGAGAAAACAACTTCCAGAACTTTGCCTGGGAGCAGACCTTGAGAGAGGGAACAGTACTATATGAAGGAGTTGACCTGCGGTGCTAGGGGAACAAGCTTGGGGTCCTCAGAGATGAAAGGAGTGTGGCGACACTGAAGGTGAACTCGTACCGGCTCACAAATGGCCCAGTTCAGCCACTTGCTGTCTTCCCTGAGCTCTTTCCCAGTGTCTCTCAGCAAAGAAGTGAGAAGTGAAACTCAGAAACTCTTCATCTCCTCTATCCAAAGCCAATATTTTGCTCTATGAGCAATGCTGGCTCTTGCATGTTCTAAGGCAAATTAAAAATAGCTGCTGTGTGCTTATTTTCCTGCAGCGAATTTAAATGTGTGCCACTGAGGCCATCACTTTTTACTTTGAAGAGGCATCATCCCACGTCCTCCCACACAGACTGGATCCTGCACCAGCTCACACACACCTCACGCTGGGAGCTTCAGATCCTGTCACTATTCCAAGCTGGCAATGGGGAGCCTCGGGCCTCAGAGACACCCCACCAAACATAGTCCAGTCACAAGCAATATGGCTTGGGTAACTGCAGTCCCCAGACTGGCTAACCCAATTAGCAAAGGATGGAAACCAGGTGGAGTTATTTCCATATCTTGGCTATTGTCAACAGTGCTGCTACGAACATGGGTGTGCAGACATCTCTTTGAGATCCTGATTTCAGTTCTTTTGGGTATACGTTCAGAAGTCGGATTGCTGGATCATATGGTAGTTCTATTTTTAATTGTTTGAGGAACCTCTATAAAGTTTCAGTTATGCAAGATGAATTAGTTCTAGGGATCTGCTGTATAGCATTGCACCTATAGCCAACGATACTACCAAAGTCATCAATACTGAATGCACTTACAATTTTGTTAATAGGGTATATCTCATAGTAAGTGCTCTTAACACACACACACACACACACACACACACACACACACACACACGGCATAGGGAAAGTTTTGGAGGTAGTGGATATGTTTATTACTTTTTTTGTGATGATGGTTTCATGGGTGTATGCATATGTCCAAATTCATCAAATTGTATACATTCAATATGCACAGTTTATTATGTATCTAGTTGATAAATAAGGCTAGTTGATAAATAAATAGCAATAAAAAAGCTCAATATTGTATTGTATCTAGTTGATAAATAAAGTGCAAAAAAAAAAAAACCCAAAAAAACAAAAAACCCAGGTTGGCCTCAGTTAAAAACTCACTCTCAGCCATGAAGTATGCCCCATAAAGCTCTGTCATCCTCTGACAGCTGCCAAAACTTCCTACATTATCCCAGCAGACTGAAAAAAGACTTGCTGGGAATGGGAAGGTTGAAGTGGAGCCAACACAGATGACTTCTGTGTGCCCCAACTTGAGAGGGGACCAGCAATAGATTCCTCCTGAGGCTCCACCATGCTTGAAAGTGCATCACACACAGGGTAACGGGTTTCAGACTTCCTTGACTGTGACCATTTCACAGGACTCAAATGACTCCATCTTCACTTGGAAACAAAAGTTTCGCACTGCTTATGCTTATGCTGGAAGCTGCACTTTGACAGTAACTGTTGGTCAGTATTTTAGATGCCAGTCATATTCCAGTAAATCAATTTTCTGACCCATTGATCTCACCCACAGTATGAAGATCCCTGCCTTCAGGAAAGCCTCTTTTGTTATATTATTTGCACAGGTCACTAAGGGAAAAGGAAAAAACCCCAGTTCTTAACTCCTTATGATCCATTTCCACCTTACCGTTCAACATTAGTTTTATTTCTGCTGTCCATCAAGGCCCATCTCAAATGCTACCTCCTCCAAGAAGCCTTCCGTGTTCCCAAAGCCGCAAGTAATTTCCCCCTCTCAGTTTCCCTGTTAGGATTACATGTCGTTTGGATACAGTCTTCCTCTCCCATTGAGTTCCTGCTTCCTAGAAATTAGCCATGAGTCCATCATCTGCACAGATTTTGCCATTTCGGTGTCATTTACTGAATATTCTTCTTCAAGTAGCCTCACTTATTTTACATACTACCTTCTTTAGCCTCACTCTAAACAAAAGTAATCTTGAAATAATGGATTTCATGTACTTGTTATACTCTTACAGCATGTTAACATGTAAATGACATTATTAAAATTTTAAAAATCTCATTATGGTACCACCTAAAAACAACTCTTTTGAGGAAAAAATGCGCTAGCTGTGTAAAGCCTTGAGGGGCTGGATTTTGTTTAAGTTTGATTTTTCTCTAGGGCCCAGTCTATGGAATTGCTCCATAAATGTTTGCTGAATTGAAATCAAGTGCAGGGGATTACTGGAAATTATTTATACACTAACATTGTTAGCATGAATCTGATTTATCCAAAGAGGTGATTGTCACTCTGGAAAGTCAAGAATGGGATTGGACTGGAAAGGAAGTGGGCATAGAAAGGGAAGTATTGGTGGGCATGGGAAAATTAGAGGAAGAAACTCGCAGAAGCTGGCCATGTGTGTACGGGGGTGGCTGGGAGGTGTGCGAGTTTGGGGAGGGGAGTTATAGGCAGCAAAGGCGGGATGCCACCTTCCGCAGCAGGCCACCAAGCACCTGTTCTGGACCTGGGCTTTAAACGGGGTCATTGGCAGAAGGCTAACCTCCTGGCCGTGCCTAGGGGATTCCAGCCCCGTCCCAAGGTCCCGCCTGGCAGACTGCCCTGGCCCACCGATGTGGCTGCGCCCCTACCTTTTCTGCGCTTGGGCTCCTAGCCAGGCCTGAGTGGTGCGGAAGCTCCTCGGTTCCCACAGAGTGGCTGTGCATTCTCCGCCGGGTGAGGCAGGCCCACCCGGGGGTCGGCACTCGGCGGCCCCTGCTGGTCCATCGGCCAAGACCCAGCGGGGCAGGTTTGGGCTAGAAGCATCACGGGTCCCTCAGGATCGCCGCTGTGTTCAGTATGCTGCACAGACCCCACCCGAGACACTGGCCCATCAGGGTCTCGGTGAGACTGGGCCCACCCAGCCCGCATGCGACTCCCTTCTGTGCAGCCACAACAGCCACCTTCCCACGAAAATGACTCTAGAAGGTAGGGGGATAGGCGCTCTGCCTTTATTGATCAAGATGGAAGACATCAGGCTGAAAGACCTTCTCACCCTCTTTAGGAAGAAAAGAAAGAAAAGCAGGAGCCTGGCACGGTGGCACGTGCCTGTATTCCCACCTGCTCAGGAGGCGGAGGCAGGAGGATCACTTGAACCCGGGAGAGGTCAAGACCAGCCTGGACAACATAGCAAGACCCTGTCACAAAAGATAATCATAAAAATAATACTTCTTTCTTATTTATTCATAAATAATGAATGAAAAACAGGACAAGAAAGGGGTCTCTATCCCAGCCACTCATTTCTTAAATGCTTTTAGTTCTGCACATGTAATGTAACAAGTAAGTAGTAAACTACCAAGGAAAAAAATCCACAGAAGGTAAAGATTGTAATCACATAAAGTCTACCACAAAGTGAATCTGACATGTATTTCATGATAATTTTGATTGTATTACATGGTAATTAGATATAAGTGACAGTTTGTTTAAACAATAATCCTAATTACAGTTAATTTTACAACAGCACTTTGGGGGCTGCTCAGGAAAATTCCCAAAGGTGCCTGAGATCGCGGTTCTTCCATATGAGTGTTTCCGTCTTGAGGAAACAGAGGCAACAATAGATTCTAGGCTTCTATGCCCAAGTACTCTGCCCTTTCGTGTCTGTGCTTAGGAGAACATAATGCCTACTAGTCCCTTGCTTAAACTTCCTCCGTTTAAAGATCTTGCTTGCTGGATCTTCTTGAAATAGAGAGATTAGGGGAAAACTCATCTCTCTGGTTGCCAAATAGGGCCGCAGAAGTTTGCAAGCTCATTTCATCTTGCCCCTAATTTGACTCAGGGGAAAGGAAGTTGTCTCATTTAGGGCCCAGCTGTAGGTTATAAGCTGGACTGCAGGTCTTCTGTCCCCTGTCATCAGAGGACTGCCATCTTCAGGGCTCAGGATTTGTGGGTGATTAACAGTGCCACTTTAGGCAGGAGGCTGGGAGCATCGTGGTAAAACCTGGATGTGGCTTGGATTCTGCATGTAGGAATCCATACTACATAGTCTGTGAAACTCTTTAAGGACACTCTCTGCGGGGCACGGTGGCTCACGCCTGTAATCCCAGCACTTTGGGAGGCCAAGGCGGGAGGATCACGAGGTCAGGAGTTCGAGACCATCCTGGCTAAAACAGTGAAATCCTGTCTCTACTAAAAAATACAAAAAATTAGCCGGGCGTGGTGGCGGGCACCTGTAGTCCCAGCTACTCGGGAGGCTGAGGCAGGAGGATGGCGTGAACCCGGGAGGCGGAGCTTGCAGTGAGCCTGGATCACGCCACTGCACTCCAGCCTGGGCGACAGAGCGAGACTCCGTCTCAAAAAAAAAAAAAAAGGACACTCTCACTCTTGGAGCCCTGATTTTTTTTTTTTTTTTTTTTTGAAACGGAGTCTCGCTCTGTCACCAGGCTGGAGTGCAGTGGCGCCATGTCAGCTAACTGCAAGCTCCGCCTCCCGGGTTCAAGCGATTCTCCTGCTTCAGCCTCCCAAGTAGCTGGGGCTACAGGCATGCGCCACCGTGCCCAGCTAATTTTTGTATTTTTTAGTAGAGATGGGGTTTCACCATGTTGGCCAGGATGGTGTTGATCTTTTGACCTCATGATCCGCCCACCTCGGCCTCCCAAAGTGCTGGGATTACAGGAGTGAGCCACCATGCCCGGCCCGGTGCCCTGGTATTTAATTTCACTGTGTCCAAAGAACACAGAGTCTACCCTAGAGGAAAGAATCCTCTACTAACGGCAGGCCCTACACTCCGAAAGGCCAAACCAAGCTTCTCTGGGGTCAGGTAAAGGGAAGGTGGAGAGACGGGGTGAACTGAGTGAAGCAGGATTTGGGTGGATGGGAGAGGGGAGAGGGAGTAGAGATGATTCTGGAGCGTGGAGCACTTAAGCGAAGTACTTGGGGCAACCAAAGTGAGAGCACTGGGACTTGGCAGGAAGGGGACTGATGGGGGAGAGAAGGATAGGAGATGGGAGCGTTATGGATGCATCACCTTTTTAGCTAGGGCAGTCAAGTATAGAGCTACAGCTGTACAGCTTACGATATTTAATTTCCCCAACTGTCAAGTGGTGATCATCACAGTGCCTGCCTCATAGAGCGAAAAGGAAAGCTAATGTTATAACGTGTGGGCAGTGTTTAGAGTAGTGCAAGGCATGTAGCAGGTGCTCCATGCATGTTGACTATTATCATTATTATCATCGAGGCCAGGACAGCCTCCTACTATCCTACAAGAGGCTGGCCACAAGCCCTTGACGCTCTAGCTCACAGCTGATTGGGCATAGTATAAAGGATGTCCATCAATCCGAGGACTATTGAAAAGATGGGCTGGACCAGTGAGAGTCTCTCTCGGTGTTTAAACTAGCACATTTGCAAAGTATCCTGGCGGGACCGAAAGAAGCAGGCATGTGGAGTGAGCTGAGTTGTATAAACAGTGGGGTTCCAGGGTAAAAATTTTGAGCTATTTGTTCTTGGGTCCCTGAATATCCTTTGAATCCAAAGCCACTCTCCCTCCAGCTTAATAAGGACCAGCCCTGAGACAGCTTCTTGCTCTAAGATTTCTGTGAGATTTTTTGTTATTCCACCTGCGTCCCTACCACGAAGCCTTTTGGCTTGAGTCAACTCCAGGGGATTCTGTTCCTTGCAATCCAAAAAGCCAAAATAGAAGGAACTAATTGTCTTTCTGGTGGAATGTCCACACATGATTCCTATCTTCTTCTCTTTGCTTTTCTCTTTATTTTCTACAGTGAGCCTAAACAATCAATTTATAATTTTCTATAATGAACACTTATTTTGTAGCCAAAAAAAAAAAAAAGTGTTGTTTAAATGAAAGAATTAGCCCATCCATTTGTAGCAAGCAGAATGTTTGCAGGAAAAAGACCAAGGAACTTTAGGTCAGCTCTGTGTTCAAGTGGCTTTCTTTCTTTCTTTTTTTTTTTTTTTGAGATATGATCTCATTGTATTCCCAGACTGGAGTGGAGTTACGTGATTCCAGCTCCTTTCAGCCTTGACCTCCCGGGCTCAAGCTCAGCTCCCCCAAGTAGCTAGGGCCACAGGCATGCACCACCATGCCTGGCTAGTTTTTAAATCTTCTGTAGAGATAAGGTCTCACTATATTGCTCAGGCTGGCCTTGAACTCCTGGGCTCCAGCAATCCACTTGGCTTCAGCCTCTCAAAGTGCTAGGATTAGAGGTGTGAGTCATTGTACCTGGCTGAAGTGGCTTTCTAACTATCCAGTCATGTGACCTTGGCCATGCTGCCTCACTCTCTGAGCCTTGCTCCTAAAATTAGAAGGTGTGCTAAGGAATCCCTAGGTTTCCTTCTGGTTCTAAATACTGTTGCTATCCCAGCTTAGCAGAATCTGTACCCGCAAAGCTGCAGCTAGTCTGCAGGGGGTGGTTTACTTGGGAGTCAGCCTCTGTTCAACACTGAAAGCAGCTCCTTCAGAATGGGAGCGGGCACAGTGAGGGAGCACTGCTGGAACTCATCACTCATTTCTTCCTCCATCATCTTACTTTGACCAGCATTTGTTAAAAACGTACCCTACACCAGACAACATGCTAGCTGCTGAGACAGTGAAGACAAAACCAAGGACAGAGAGGCGAGCCAACAATTTTATACCACAGTAAGTGCCATGTCAGAGGGTGTCCTTGGGGCTCTTCAACAACACGGAGAGGAAGCCGTTAACTCTGGCTGCCAAGGTTGGGTGGGGAGGTGCTTCCCAAAGGAGAAGCCATTGGAAGGGTAAGTATTAGTTTTTCAGGCAGACAAGAGGGGCTGTTCTTCCAGGAACAGACAGAACAAGTACAACCGTGCAGAAGCAACAATGAGCTGGATGCTGGATGTAGTCATGGCGCTGCTAGTGATTAAGCATGAGGAAATTCTGGCACCAGCCAGGAAAAGGAAAGAGATAAGGCCAAAAAATGTGTAGAGGTGGGATCCTGAAGGAAAGTGCAGGTCATATTAAGGAGGTTGGATTTCATCATTCCTAAGAAAATGAAGAGTCATCTCAGCAAGGCTTCGGAGAAAGACCATTTTCCCTGTAGCATGGAGAGATTGGAAGTGAAGGAGATCCTTTGCAGCAGCCCAGGATGGAAGTGCAGTGGACCTGCAGCAAGGCAGGACAGTGGGGATGGAGACAAGCAGCAGCAGTGACTGCAGGGCTTGGGGAGAGGAAGGATGGCTCCAGGGTTCTGACTGGCACAGTGGGAAGAGGCTATGAGAAAAGGAGAAAAGAAATGGAGTTTAAGATAATTGATTCTGCTGGAGTCATCAAAGCCCCTTTTGAGATATCTGGGTAAAGAGGCTTACCAGGAAATTAGCAATAAAGGTCTGGAGCTCAGGAGAGCTATGGGAGGCACCATTGCAGCAGGGTGAGGTTACTCAGAAAAGGGGTCCCTCAGGACAGACAGTGGGAAAGCGTGTCTTGTCCTCATGCAGAAATGTTGGTGTCATTGATGTCTGTGTGCACAAGGAATCAGGCATCTGATGGCAATGGTCGAGATTAGTACTTCAGAGGTGATTGTGCCCACAGATTAATAGAAGAAGATCAGAACTTGGGGGTCTATACTGGAAAATAGGAAGCCAGAGGATTTAGGAACGAGGGAGATAAGAGTCAGAGACAAGCCCTGGAGCCAGAGACAGTGGAGCTTGCCCTCACATGAGTGAGGCGTGGTGGGTGGGGGTCCCACTGATCCTAAAGGTGCAGGGTAGCCTTCCCTGGAGGCAGGATTTCTCCCCCGGTTGTCTGACTGGCTCCTCCATCTTCAGCATGCTGGGAGCTGCTGCAGACTCATTCCCTAGGAACGATCCCACCATATAACCAGCTGCCCAGCCTCCCAAACAGAGTCATCTTTTACTCTCCCGTTCCTCACTCTCCTGGAAACAGAAGCACCATCTGACCTGCTGCCGACACTCAGAAGTCCAGCCATGATTTTACTCTTTCTCACCCTCATCCCCTTTATCTGCCCAGGGCCATGTCATTAGCCAGTGTCCTCCTGTTGTCCGCTGTCACTGTGACCCCCAACAGCAGTGGTTTCTGGGGCCCCCTAACTTTTGCCATTCTCCGTGATCCTTCTAGATCCCAGATCTACTTTCCTGACCCTTCCTTTCCTTGTGCCACCCTCTGCTTGGAGCCTGGGGCTTCCCCCTGCCCCATGGTCAGTACAGCCCCACTGCCTTCCACCTGCCTCTCTCGGGTTTTCTGACCTCGGGCAAATTATTTAACTTTTGTGATCTGAACTTTCTTGTCTGTAAAATGAGGTGGTTGGACCAGGTGATCTCCAAGTGCTTCCTGCAATTTTTCTGCTGCACTTTAAAGACTTTTCTGATAAGTCTCCCCCGACCCCAACTCACACAAACCCCAGGCTTACAGGTCCCCTCACCAGCCCAGTCTCCCCTAAGTCCTTTTGCTCAGTTGTTCCCCCACAAGGCACCTCTCCATTGCAGCAGATGTGTACACGGAGGTCGAAGCCTCTGTTACAGGTCGAGGCTATGCTGGTTCAGTGGTGGGTGTGGGATACAGCCCAGGCCTCTCTATCCATCTGTTCCTCTTTGTGTCTGACCAAGACTAGGTCCAGTTGGGTAGGGACAGGTCACATGATTTTATCATACTACTTAATTAAAAAAAAAATTTCTGCATTCTTCATTAAATGTTTTCATGGTTTTTGTGAAGGTCAGTGACTTCCTCACCAGGAAATCTCTAATTCAGGCTTCCTTTGACAGTGCATTTAGGTTTGTACTGACATATCCAAATGCAACCATCATGGGTCATTCCTGCACACTCTCCCCATCCCCAGCCCTTTTACCGGGACCTGCCTGTCCCTACCTGCTCCCAATGTTTGTGTTTGCCAGACCACCCTCTTCTCTCCTTCCTACCTTCCTGTTTCTGGCTCTTGTTTTCACATCCAACACACATCCACTCCCAACACCCCATCAGGCTCTCTTATTGGGAAGATCCACCGGGCCCAGTTCTTATTGGGAAGATCCATTGGTTTAGCATCCAGCCTGCCCTCAGTGGACCTGAGCCCCACCCTTGGCTGTTGTGACCACCAGTGGCTGTGGGTGGAACTCTCATTACCTGCTCTCCTCCCTGCCCACAGGTCCTTCACACACCTCCCCCTCCATCTCCAGCCTGCTGAAACACAGACACAGAAGGGAGACTGAAGAAGTCCTGTGCAAACAGAAGTTTAAATAAAGCTAAGCAGTTCAGACAAGAGCTAATCCAAACCATCACAGGGATGCATTTGTGTGGCGGTCAGATCAGAGCCAACACTAACATCCTCAGCTCCCTTGAATTCTGTGAATTCTGTCTGCAGAATGTGCTTACAAGGCTGGGAGACATCGGCCTGCTTCAGATCAGGAGCTGGCATGCCCTGGTTGCCCATGGCAACCCAGCTGCACGGGAGTGCTGGCGTTTGTAAATGTGTGTGGGCTTAAAATTATATTATTGATTCTGTCTGGAAGAAGATAGTCTGATTTGTATATAGCTCTGAATAAATTACTCCTTATCCTTTACAGCCATTGGAGTATGAACCTCTCTCTCTTTCTCCTTTTCTTCTTCTTCTTTTTTTTTTTAGAGAGACAGCAAATTGTGTCAGCAGATGTGAAATGAAATGTTTCCCATAACAACCGTACTAGAGGAATCAACATCCAGGGCACCAGCCTGGAAAGTAGTCCAGGCATTACTGAATAAATAGCAAATGGATTTGGGAGAGATGGAGACTCTATCGGGTAGTCTATTCCAAAGGGAACATACGGTGTACTCTGAATTACAGTGAGATGCAGCCAGGAATAGAGAGACAGGCAGCTCCACCCTGGACTCCATCACTTCAACCTGAGTCCAGGCTTTCTCTTTTGTCTTCTCCCATGTGTGGTATATACTCAGTGGACTCAATTATTGCCCCAATTCCTCCTGCTCCTTATATCCATACTCTTTGCCCTATAACCCTGTGAATCCTCCTACAAAAGGCATCATGCACTGCCCTTGACTCCAGGCTTGGTCTTGCAGCTCGCTTTGACTAACTGACAGAAGTGGCAGGGTGCCAGTTGCGAGTCTAGGCTTTAAAAGGTTTCAAGGAGTTTCCACTTGCCCTCCTGTCATCACTGTGAGAAGAGTCTGCCTCTGGTAGCTGCTGTCATTTTAGCTGGGACCCAGATGAATACACATGGGGAGGAGTCACCACCTGCAAATCCAGTCAGATCAACAGCTCTAAGACCTACTCCAGCCTAGACAAGCCACTCCAGCCAAGCAGCAGATGCATGTGAAATAAATGTTTATTGCTCTATGCCACCAAGATTTTGTAGGTGCTTGCCTTGCAGCAGTAGCTGACTGATAGAATCTTCCATTTTTTCAACATCATGGCAATCAGTATCACTGACAATGGGAAAGAAAAGAACAACATCCCTCAGCTCCCCATTTCGGCAGTCACTGATCACAGGCCTTATTGAGAGGAAATCCAGGTCATGCATTACAATTTCAACTCACGTTGGGTCCTCACTGTGCACTGTGTCATCAAACATGGTGTTGCCACCAGGTGCATTCTGGAGGCCAGTGCATCTGAGAAGCTCCAAGTAAATTATAAGACTCTGTCTCCACCACTGCTTTAGTGCCCATGAAAGTCTTGTTCAAATATGGGTGGGATTACATTTGAATCGAGGAGGAATAATGGCATTATACCTCCCAGAATGCATTGTAAACACTGCCTTCAATTAATCTTAGAATGAACACCTTTACCAGAATGCCAACCTCATGCTCCTTCTAACTTCCACATTTCCACCCTTCCGTCAAGGTTCATATTATACAAGTACATTCAATCAATTTTCAACAAATATTTATTGAGCACCTGATGTTGGCTGGGCCCTTGGAGCACCATGCTAGATAACAGATTGAACAGAAAAAAAGTGGTGGAGTTGTGTCATTAGGGAAGGTAAGAGTCAAGACTGACTCCTGGGCATCTGTCCTGAACAACTGGGCAGATGGAGATGCCATTTTCTAAGCTGGAAACACTTGGGGAGTTGCTGATTTGGGAAATATAAAAATTTCTGTTTGGAATATATCATGTTTGAGATGCTTCTGAGACATGAACGTTGAGATGTCAAATGGACAGTTAGGTGTCCAGATATGGAGCTCAGAGGAGAGGTCAGAGCTGAGGCTATCAATTTGGAGGGTTGCCAGCATGTGGATGCCATTTAAAACCACAGGACTAGAGCCCGGGTGAGATTTTCTAAGCAGAGAGCACTCATAGAGAAGAGGGCCCAGGAGGATATTTAGAGGAGAGGCAGAGGAGGACTAAGCAAAGGGGTTGACAGGGGAGCAGCTGGAGAGATAGGAGGAACACCAGAAGACTGTGCAGGCAGACACTGGTGCTTGCCATGCTGTGTTAGCTCACTCTGTGTTGCTATAAAGAAATACCTGAGACTGGGTAATTTATAGAGAAAAGAGGTTTATTTGGCTCACAGTTCTGCAGCCTGTATGAGAAGTGTGGTGCTGGCATCTGCTTCTGGTGAGGCCTCAGGAAGCTTGCAATCATAGCAGAAGGCAAAGGGGGAGCAGGCATGTCACATGGTGAAAGAGGGAGCAAGAGAGAGAGGAAGAAGAGGTGCCAAGGCTCCTTTAAACAACCAGCTCCCATTGGAACTAGCAGAGTGAGAACTCACTCATTACCATGGCAACTGCACCAAGCCATTCATGAGGGATCCACCCCCATGACCCAGACACCTCCCACCAGGCCCAACCACCAACACTGGGGATCACATTTCAACATGAGTTTGGAGGGGACACACATTCAAATCACAGCACATGCTTTTCCACCCAGCAGCCATTCTGCCCATCTTTCCCTGGCTGACAGAACTCTGCCTTCGAGTAGGTGTTGGGGGTCATGCCCTTCATGAAAGGAGGAGTTTCTCTCTCATCTCGGTGGGTGAATCAAGCGGCCTGAGACAAGCATGGCAACCCACTGTCCTCTCTGATTTGGGCTTAGTCATAAGCATTTAACACAACTTTGGCCAATCAGATGTAGGTGGAAGTCTACTGGGTGGCTTTTGGGGAAAGGTTTCTCTGCTTTTAAAAAGTGAAAAAAAGGAGAAAGCAGAGTTCCAGTCCTGCCTCAGAGGGAGCTTCTGCATGGAGGTGCTGCAGAATCTTGCAACCAGGATGAATGTGAGGACTAAAGCTCACACAGTGAGGAATATTCTATTTAAATTACATGTTGAATTAGCCAACTTTGGAGAATTCTCTACCACCTAGTTTATGTTGTAAGGTAATTAATTTTGTAAATGTTTAGGCATTATGGGTCTTCTATGACTTTCAGCTAAAAGCATCTTAAATGGTACTTGTGGTTTCAAGTCAACCTGTTCACTTGACCGTTAACCCATAACTTAATGGATTCTTTTACCTTATTTGGGGAAATAGCAATTACCCAATCTGTTAAGTATATGGTTTGTCAATCTTAACACTAACTTAATATTATGTTTACAATTTGTTTCTTTCAACAGTCAAAAAACAAATTATTCTGCCAAGCAAGGAGCATGTTTTAGCTTAGTCACCACAGAAGAAACAGATCACTTTTAATTATGACATTTCATCAACACTTGGCAAGTAAGAAAGATGGGTTGAAAGACTGCATCAGAAATATTCTAGAGTTATTTTCCTGCTAACATGGAAACAAAAAGATTCAATGTGAGAAGAAAAAATAGATTCCTAATGGTCAAGAGAACAAGAAAATTAGATAGAAACTTAAATATAAAGTACCCGGAAGTCAAAATGTTTGAAATGACACTTAGAGCCTTAATTAACCAGATTTTAAGATAATGACTGTAGTGTCTGTGTCTTCAAATGGTTTGGGATGTCCTTACAGCTCTTTGAATAGTGTTCTCTTTATTCAATTAATGCTTCTGAAAGAGCTTTAATTTTACATTAATCAAAAGCCCTCATGATATTTTCAGGATGTACTCAAATTCAAGAGTTTTTTAAAAGTGCAATTAAGTTATCAAGGCAGAGGCTCTGATTATAGGGACAAAAATTTCATAGCAACAGCCCATTAAACACACTGAGCCTGACACATTGCTGTACACCATGGTTCATGCCAGGCTGTGGGCAAAATGGTCAGGCTTCCCAGTGAACAAGACTGACCTCCCTCTACCTTCCTCCTGAAGAGCAAAATACTGCTTCTTTGACAACATAAACAGTTACCTTATACTACCCATTTTTACAGCAAACGACTCTCTGCCTGTAATCCAAGCTAATGGAATTTTTAAAAATTCTATGAGAGTTTTAAAAAGCAAGGACTGAAAATAGCTTTTTCTTTTTTCTTTTTTTTTTTTTTTTTGAAACTGAGTTTCGCTCTTATTGCCCAGGCTGGAGTGCAATGGCACGATCTTCGCTCACTGCAAACTCCGCCTCCCGGGTTCAAGCGATTCTCCTGCCTCAGCCTCCCGAGTAGCTGAGATTACAGGCATGTGCCACCATGCCCGGCTAATTTTTTTGTATTTTTAGTGGAGACAGGGTTTCTCCATGTTGGTCACGCTGGTCTGGAACTCCTGACCTCAGGTGATCCGCCCGCCTCAGCCTCCCAAAGTGCTGGGATTACAGTCGTGAGCCACTGTGCCTGGTGAAAATAGCTTTTTCTTTTCTTTTTTTAATTATACTTTAAGTTTTAGGGTACATGTGCATAACATGCAGGTTTGTTACATATGTATACATGTTCCATGTTGGTGTGCTGCACCCATTAACTCGTCATTTAACATTAGGTATATCTCCTAATGCTATCCCTCCCCCCTCCCCCCACCCCACAACAGTCCCCGGTGTGTGATGTTCCTCTTCCTGTGTCCATGTGTTCTCATTGTTCAATTCGCACCCACGAGTGAGAACATGCGGTGTTTGGTTTTTTGTCCCTGTGATAGTTTGCTGAGAATGATGGTTTCCAGCTTCATCCATGTCCCTACAAATGACATGAACTCATCATTTTTTATGGCTGCATAGTATTCCATGGTGTATATGTGCCACATTTTCTTAATCCAGTCTATCATTGTTGGACATTTGGGTTGGTTCCAAGTCTTTGCTGTTGTGAATAGTGCCGCAATAAACATACGTGCGCATGTGTCTTTATAGCAGCATGTTTTATAATCCTTTGGGTATATACCCAGTAATGGGATGGCTGGGTCAAATGGTGTTTCTAGTTCTAGATCCCTGAGGAATCGCTACACTGACTTCCACAATGGTTGAACTAGTTTACAGTCCCACCAACAGTGTGAAAGTGTTCATATTTCTAATCTGTTAACAGGAGAGGTTTCTAACATTCCCAAAGCAGAACTTCTTCCTCTCCAGTTCATGGTATCAAATAGCAACACTTCCCAAGTTCTCCTTTACTGCTTAGAATCATGTCCACTCAGTCCTGTGGAGCAATCACTAGTGATCAGAGAGATGCCTTGGGAAGAACATTGTGCTCTTTTTATGCTGGGAGCAGCTGATGCTAATGAGATCTACTCACAGTGGAGGTTCAGCTTCCACTGTCCACGCCAGGGTTTGTTACTGGAGTACCAGGGTAGATTCCTCTTCCCTCCACTCCTCCCCAGGTAAGTGAATCCCATCACATGTGAAGGTAATTGGTGTTCCTGTGAAGTTCAGGTTAGGGGAGAAAATGTCAGGGAGTCAACGAAGAGGAAAATAACTTTGGTATTGAGCTTACTCTCTTATCATCTTGCCCAGCCAGGGTGAGATCAATAATAATTCTAACTTACATTTGGGTGCCACCTGCCATCCAAGACTGAACCCTTATTATCCAGTTCCACTCCTCCCCAACCTCCCTTATCTCAGACGCTAACTGCATTTTTCCAACTGCTTAGGGTAAAGTTTGGAGTCATCTCCCTCCCCTTTCTCTCCCAAACACGCAGTGAGTCCACCAGCAAGTCCCTTTGGCTCTACCTCCATAGAGGTGGATTCCATCAGAATCTACCACTCCTCACTTTCTTTCCCAATACCTCCCAGCACAAGCCATCCATGACTCTCATTTGGGCTTTGCAATAGCCTCCTAATTGGTCTCCCTCTTTCCATTTCTGCCTCCCAACAATATATTCTATGTAGGGAGTGATCTTTTTAAAACAGAAGTTGGATAGTGTCAAGTCTCTACTTAAAACCCTGCCATATTTCTTTTCTCATTCAAAGTAAAGTCCGAATGCAGAGGCACACCATGGTCTGTACTTCTACCTGTTGGACCTCACCTACCACCAGTCTCCCTCATTTCTCTGGAGCCACATTGACCCGCTCTTAGGACATGCAGGGCTCCTATGCTTGTTCCCTCTGCCTGGAAGGCTCTTCCCCGAGATGGTCCCAAGGTTCTCCCCTCCTCCCACACTTCCACCAGGAATGAAGTCAGTGCCATCTTATGGGGAGGGCTTCTCCCACCACCCTACCTCAAACAGCAAACTCTCAGGCCCCTCTATGCCCTTAGCCTGTTGTATTTTTCTTGATACTTCTGAACTCGACATTGTGATACATATTTACATGGCAGATTTATATGAAATACATGTTTGTATTACACCCATTTTATGTTTTTCCTCATACTTTCATACTTGTTATTATAGCAAAGATTTGTGTATTAGTTTGTCAGTTTTCTCCCTTCAGCATATTAGCTCCATGAATGTACATTTATCCCCTTTCCTGAGGAATCCACAGAGCCTAGAACTCTGCCTAACACAGTTGAAGAATGAATTGGCACTTCCCAGTTTGCCAGTGGCTCCCAAATAGTTCATCTACTTAATCCTTGAAATAACTGCTCCAGTGTTGTAATCCTCACCTGCATAGGAAGAAAAAAATCCAGATAAGATGTGATGCATGTGAGATTTCATAATCAGTAAGCAATACAGCCATTTCTGTTTGGAGACGGGCCAGCCCAGCTCTCTGTCCTCAAGTGCAGGGTTCTTTAAACTTCACAAAAATGACCTCTCCCAGCCTTTAAAAAAAAAAGTGTGGAGATGCTCTACTTTTAAATACTACATGTAAGATGGTTCACGCCATTCTCCTGCCTCAGCGCTCGCCACCGCGCCCGGCTAATTTTTTGTATTTTTTTTTTTAGTAGAGACGGGGTTTCACCGTGGTCTCGATTTCCTGACTTCGTGATCCGCCCGCCTCGGCCTCCCAAAGTGCTGGGATTACAGGCGTGAGCCACCGTGCGTGGCCAATTTGCTGAACATTTTTTCAGGCTCTACATTTATGTAAAGATGTACAATTTTATATAAATGAGATCATACTATTTTGTAACCTGCTTTTTTCACTTAGCAAGATATCTAGAGTGTGTTTCCGTATCAATAAAAATAGACCTAAATATGTGCATAATGTTTCATTCTGAATTTCCTTAAAGGTTCCGTATTAATGAGCATAACGGTTGTTGACATTTTTTCCGGAGTTTTATATAGTGCTTTGAGCGGGGCCCTAAAAAGTTAAGAGAAAAAGTTAAAGAACGGGCTTAGCTGGGGTAAAGAGGAACAAATATTCCTAGAAATGGGGTCAACTGCAAAAGGCGCGCTAGCACTCAGGCACCCTGTGACAGGCACTCAGCTCACAGCCCATCTATGCCCCAGCATCCTGTCCACAAGCATTTAGCCTCCTTATAAAACTCCCCTCCAGGCCTTGCCTCTTGGCAGACATCCTTCCTTCCGCTGCCTTGCCCGTTATATCCTTGCAACATACCTCCCCTTTCTGCAATAAACCTGCCTTTCTAAACTCATTCCTGTCTTGGTAAATTATTTTAACTCTTACGCACCAGTCCCAGACAATCACTGACCATGACACTTTGATGAACAATCACAACAAAAACCGGTATGTAAGTTTCCCATTTGTGCAAAGACGTCATTAGAGTATATTTATGAAAATGGAACTCGGAAACATATTGCCAAACTGTCCCTTGGAAAGACTGTACCCAACTTACACTCTGTTATGAGTTGAATTGTATCCCTCAAAAAGATATGTTGCATTTCCAACCTCCAGAACCTGTGAATGCCGTTTTATTTGGAAATAGGGTCTTTGCAGATGTAATCAAGACAAAGTCATGAGGGATTAGAGTGGGCCATAATCCAATATGAGTGGAGTTCTTATAGGAAGAGGAGACTTTGGACACAGACAGACACAGAAGGAAGGTAGAGAATGCCATGTGACAACAGAGGCAGAGATTAGAGTGATAAATCTACAAACCAAGCAATGCCTAGGCTACCAGAAGCTGGAAGAAGCAGGGAAGGATCTTTCCTTATAAGCTTCAGAGGTGCATGGCCCTGCCAAACAGCCTGGTTTCTGACTTCTAGCCCCTAGAACTATGAGATAATAAATTTCTGTTATTTTAAGCCGCCTAGTTTGTGGTGCTTTGATACAGCAACTCTGGGAGATTGATACACATCCCATGAATGCACGAGCGTGCCCTTTACCACCCTTGCTGATGCTGGGTCATCTTTGCCAATGTGACAAACAATTGTCCATTTTTCCATTGAGGCGTTTGTTATTTTCTTATTGATTTACATGAACTACGATTAATATTTGCATAGATAATACTACTATTGCTACTTTTTAATATATGACGCAAATACTTTTTCTGTTATTTGTCTCCTAAACATTTTTACGGTTATGATTTTTTTTTGGTGGGGGGGAGGTCTTTTTAGTTTGTTTTAGCCATACTTTATGTAGACAAATTTAGTAGTCTGTTTATTTAAGTTTCTGGTTTTTGCAGCATGCTTAGAAAGGGCTTTCCTTAGCCACAGATTTTCTTTAAAAATTTTTCTTTATAGTAGAATGATTTATAATCCTTTGGGTATATGTCCAGTAATGGGATTGCTGGGTCAAATTGTATCTCTGGTTCTAGATCCTTGAGGAATCACCACACTGTCTTCCACAATGGTTGAACATGTATGTTTATTGCAGCACTATTTACAATAGCAAAAACTTGGAACCAACCCAAATGCCCATCAATGATAGACTGGATAAAGAAAATGTGACACATATACATCATGGAATACTATACAGCCACAAAAAAGATGAGTTCATGTCCTTTGCAGGGACATGGATGAAGCTGGAAGCCATCATTCTCCGCAAGCTAACACAGGAACAGAAAACTAAACACTGCATGTTCCCACTCATAAGGGGCAGTCAAACAAGGATAATACACGGATGCAGGGAGGGGAACAACACACACTGGGGCCTGTCAGGGGGTAGAGGGCAAGGGAAGGGAGAGTATTAGGACAAATACCTAATGCATGCGGGACATAAAACCTAGAAGACGGGTTGATGGGTGCAGCAAACCACCATGGCACACGTATACCTATGTAACAAACCTGCATATTCTGCACATGCATCCCAGAACTTAAAATAAATAAATAAATAAAATAAAAATTCTTCTAGTAGTTGGAAAATTTTATGTTATAGCTTATAGTTTACATTTGTTTATTTCTTCCATCTGGAATTTATTTTTGTTGAGTAGCAATTTGAAGGTGCATCTTTTTTTTTCTCCAGAGGATTTTTTTTTAAATAACGTGTATTCAATAAGCCGTTTTTTTTCTCACGGTTTTGCACTGGCACCTTTATCACACACTAAGTTCTCATATATATTTTAGCCTTTTTCTTGATCCTATTTTTGTCCTATTAATCTGCTCATCTTTCCTGTTACCTGTAACATAGTACAGTATAGCAATTTTATAATACATTTTAATATTTGTTAGGGAAGTTTTCTCCTAATTACTCATCTTACTTATCAAAAATTTCCTGGTTATTCTTGATATTGTTCTTTCCCAAATGCGCTTTATAATTTTTTGTCAAGTTACCTGCACGCACACACAACACTCATAAAAAAATACTGTTCGAAATTCTACTGGTGTTAACTTTATGTCAATTTAGGAAGAAGTGGCATTTTTACAATGTTGAATCTTCTTTTATTTATTTATTTATTTATTTATTTTTTAAGATGGAGTCTCGCTCTGTTGCCCAGGCTGGAGTGCAGTGGCGCAATCTTGGTTCACTGCCAGCTCCACCTCCCGGGTTCACGCCATTCTCCTGCCTCAGCCTCCCGAGTATCTGGGACTACAGGCGCCCGCCACCACGCCCGGCTAATTTTTTTGTATTTTTAGTAGAGACGGGGTTTCACCGTGTTAGCCAGGATGGTCTCGATCTCCTGACCTCGTAATCCGCCTGCCTTGGCCTCCCAAAGTGCTGGGATTACAGGCGTGAGCCAACGTGCCCGGCCTGAATCTTCTTTTATAAGACTGCACTGGCTCTTCATTTACCGAAGCCTTACTTTATGTCCTTCAGTAGGTTTCATGGGTTTTCATCATATGACTCCAATACAATTCCAATTACGTGTTATCCAAAGTATTTTATGGGGGTTTATAGTTACCATGAAATAATAAACATTAGACTAATTAAAAAAGATTAGTTAGTAGCTGATTACTCATTGACCAGTTATATCCATAAACTAATTATAAACAGCAAATAAGAAAAGACTTGTGATGTAAGATTTACACCTTTAATTTGGCTAAACAGGTCTAGAAAATCCCCTGAACCCCAAACTGGCACAAATTGGTACATGGCAAGACCCTGGGAGCAGAGATCACATAGGGATCCTATCCAAGATGTGTTTTGACTTGCATATTTAAAAAATTTGAATTAGTTGGAAACTGTTAAAAGACAGAAAATTTCAAATAAAAACCCTATTCCTGACTTTTGATTTCTGTTCAGGAATCTAGAAAGTCAGAAACGGTGTATTTCCCACCCTAATGAGGTAACAGCAATAGAAAATCGGACAAACTGCAAGTTCATAACTTTTCTTATGCCCATCAGAGAGCTGACGACACAGGGCAACCAAAACTCAGGAGACACAGGTATCTGCAGGGAGAGATGGGACACTATCATTTGCTTACCTGAGCCAGAAGTGGCCGGACACCAGAAAGAAGAATTCCGTGAGAATACTTACTAACTTGATATAGGCTGAGAGGATGGGCCGGCAAGAGAGTGTGGTGCTTGACGGGGCTGCAAACGTAGGGGAGTTCACACCCTCTTGTAGACTTTTCTCCATGTACCCCACCAAGGACTCACAAAAGGGAGTGGTGAACCTTGGGAGAAAACATCCTTCTTGGTACAAGCCTTGAAGACAGCAGCTAATTCAGGAGAAGCTTGAAATCTTAACCAGGCCTCTCCCTTAACTCCCCTATGGAACAAAGCCTTCATCTGCAAGAGGATTGGGGAAAACTCACTGCTGCTGGGGGAAGGGAACAGAAAACATCCTCTATTCATGGGGGAGGGACAGGAATAAGTGCTGGGGGAAAGGAAAGAGCCCTGAGAAGGCCATGCCCTGAGACCCAGGGACACAGTGCCTGCTTAAGAATAAGGCTTAACCAAAACAACAGAGAACACCCCCACCACAAGTCAAACAAGCATTGAGGAATCAGTAACAGTAGAACACAGTGTTCTACTGTTCCCCAGGAAAATAAGAGAGAGGCCTGGGCCAGGCACTGTGGCCCGTAATCCCAGCACTTTGGGAGGCCGAGGTGGGCGGATCACCTGAGGTCAGGAGTTTGAGACCAGCCTGGCCAACTTGGTGAAACCCCATCTCTACTAAAAATACAAAAATTAGCTGGACATGGTGGCAGGTGCCTGTAATCCCAGGTACTCAGGAGGTTGAGGCAGGAGAATCACTTGAACCCAGGAGGTGGAGGCTGCAGTGAGCCGAGATCATGCCATTGTACTCAGTCTCTGTGACAGAATGAGACTCTGCCTCAAAAAAAAAAACAAAAAACAAAAAAAAAACACAAAGAACATTTTCAGAGATAAAGAGGGATAGTATATCATGAAAAAGGGATCAATTCACCAAGAAGACATAACAGTGTGTTTGCAGCTAATAACAAAACTTCAAAATACATTACCGAAAACTGGTAGGACTGAAAATAAAAAGATAAATCTGCAATTATAGTTGGAGACTTCAGCACTCTTCTCTCAGTAATTGACAAATACACAGAAAATCAGTAAAGATACAGAAGATTTAAACTACACCATCAACAAACTTGACATAATTGACATTAATAGAATACCGAAAAGCACATACACATTGTTCTCAAGTGCACATGGACCATTCACCAAGGAAGAATATATTCTGGGCCATCAAACAAACCTTAACAAATGTAAAAGAATAGAAATCATACCAAGTATGTTTTCAGACCACAGCAGAATTAAACTGGGCTTTAATAATAGAAATATGTCTGGGAGGATCCCAAATATTTGGAAATTTAATTTCTAAGTAGCCCATAGTTCAAAGAGTAAATCTCAAAGAAAATTTAAAAGCATATTAAATTGAATGAAAACAAAAATACAAATAAAGCAAAATTCATTGAATGTAGCTAAAGCAGTGCATGGGGGAAATATATTGGACTATAGCATTAAGCATAGAAAACATATTAGACTATAGCATTAAGTAGTAGGAAAAACAAAAATTCTCAGTCACCTAAGCTTTTAGGTTAAGAAACTAGAGGGGAAAAAACACCTAGACCCTAAGCAAGAAGAAAGAAAGAAATAATAAAGATGAGTACAGAAGTTAAGGATATTGAAAAATAAAAAACAATAGAAAAAAATCTATGAAACCAAAAGTTGTTTCTTTGAAAAGATCAACAAAATTGATAAACCTCTAGCTAAGCTAATGAAGAAAAAAAGAAAGAAGACAAAAATTACCTGTATTTGAAATGAAACGGGGGCCATGACTATGAAACCCACGTACACTGAGAAAAAGGGAATGCTATGAACAATTTTATGTCCATAAATTTGACAATTTAGATAAACTGGGCAAATTCCTTGGAAGAAACAAACTACCAAGCTCATTCGAGAAGTGGGTAACAAGAATAGTTTGGATAATATCTATCAAGAAATTGAGCTGAGCATGGTGACTCATGCCTGTAATCCCAGTGCTTTTGGCCTTAAGCAATTCTGCCACTAAGGGGATTCTTCCCAGGAATGCAAGGCTGATTCAACAATTAAAAGTCAACCAAAGAACCCTCATATTAATGGACTAAGGAAGAAAAGCCGCATGATCATCTTAATAGGTTCAAAAAAAGCATTTAACAATATTCAACATCCATTCATGATTAAACAAAACAAAACTCTTGGCGAACTAGGAAGAGAAAGGAATATCCTTCACCTGATAAATCTTTGTGACACTGGCTTAGTTTTTACTGGATAAAAGACACTGTTAAGATAATAAATAGAAAAGCCACAGATTTGGAGAAAATAATTACCAGTCATATTTCTGTCCAACAACTTGTATTCAAATATGTATATATATTATCCCCAAATTCAACAATAAGAATACAAACAATCCATTTTTTTAATGAGCAAAAGATCTGAATAAACACTTCCCCCCAATATGTATACAGCTGGTAAATAAGCACATGAAAAGTTTCTCAATATCATTTTCATTAGGGAAATGCACCGTAAAACTATGATGTAATAGAATAGTAACAAACAAACAGAAATGTGAAAATAAGTAATTCAAAATCAAAGCTATTGGAACTTTATTTGGGGCCTTAAAGGAATGTGATTATGGGACATGAGTCGTATAAAAGGCAGCTATAGCCTAGGCATCTGTAACCTTTGTTTCTCTGATTATAGATTACCCTTTTCTTTACCTGCATTGTTTTATAAAATGTTATAAAGACTAAAGGGAACCAGAGAAGAATCCCTTCCCTCTTAACTATTGATCTTTGTTATAGATTAACTTTCCTTTTTCTTCTTTTACACAAATAGCATCATGTTGTCAAAAATGGAATGTTAAATATACTCTTTTAAATTGAGAAAGAAAACAATCCATACCTAATCAAATTTCTATAACTCATAAACCAGCTTTGTGTGGAAAATGTTGTAATCCTGTTAAACTTCCCTGTTTTCTGCCTATATAAGTAAGACCTTAACTTTTCAGCTTCAGAGCACTTGACCCCATCCCTTTGGAGTCTGTGTTTTCAAGGTGGCCATCCTCAGTTTTGTTCTTAAATAAACTCTCTTAAACTGGATTTTGATTCTATAGATTATTACAGGTTGACAGAATATAAAAATTAACTGTTCCAATTGCTAATAACAGATGTGGAGCCATCGTAACTCTCATACGTTGCTGGTGAAATGCAAACTGGTACAGTCATTCTGAAAATGGTTTGGCAGTTTCTTATAAAGTTAAACATGCATATGACACAGCAATCCCACTCCCAGGTATTTATTTACTGAAGAGAAATGAAAAGTTGTATTCACAAGAAAACCTAAACCTGAGCCAGGCACAGTGGCTCAATCCTGTAATCCCAGCACTTCGGGAGACCGAGGCAGGTGGATCACCTGAGGTCAGGAGTTTGAGACCAGCCTCGCCAACATGGTAAAACCTTGTCTCTCTTAAAAATACAAATAGATTAGCTGAGCATGATGGCGGGTGCCTGTAATCCCAGCTACTTGGGAGGTTGACAGAGGAGAATCACTTGAACCTGGGAGGTGAAGGTTGCAGTGAGCCAAGATTGCACCACTGCACTCCAGCCTGGGTGACAGAGCAAGACTGTTTCAAAAAAACAGAAAAGAAAAAAAGAAAAAAGAAAAGAAAACCTTAACCTGAATGCTTATAGCAGCTTTATACGCAAATGCCAAAACCTGGAGACAACCCAGATGTTCTTCAACCAGTGAACAGATAAATAAACTGGTACATCCATACTCAGCCATAAAAAGCAACACGTTACTACAGATTACTCAACAACAAGAACAAGAACAACAACAAAATTCATTTTGATAAATCGAAGATACAGAAGGTTATATATTATATTATTCCATTTATATGACATTCTAGAAAAAGCAAAATGATAGGGATGAAAACCAAACCTGTCATTGCCAGTGGCTAGGGAGGTGGGGCTGTGTACAGGGGAACAGCCAGAGGAATTTTAGATGGAATTTTACTTTCCCATATAATGATTGGGGTGATAGATACAGTGCTCTATGCATTTGTCAAAATCTGTAACACTTTACACCAGAAAGAGTGACAATAAAAATTGTAAATACATTTAAAAAACATATTTTTTGCTTTTCCTGAAATCCTCTATGACTAACACATACTAACAGGGCAACAATTAGCCAGAGATAATGTAAGCAAACCCACATCCAGCAGCTCGCCAAACACAAGGGACAAAAATTGGTGGGAGGAAAAGCAGGTTTATTGGAGAGCCAGAAAACCGAGAAGATGCTGAACTATTGTCCTAAAGCACCACCTTAAGCCAATACAAATTGTAGGTACTTTTCATGTTAAGCGCAGGGGAAAGAGGAGGGAATTGAGATCAAGAGCTAACCAGTAACCACAGACAATTGGGTGCCAGCAAGGGTCTGGGGAGGTTGGGAATGCCTTTGTCCTTGGTCAGGCCTTAATGGTCCTATACATCTTTAACAAAACATAGTTGTTTAAATATGTGTCCTTTAATCCTAAAGTGTTTTTTAAACTACACGATTGTTGTTTTTGCCTATTAGTGCTCTAAAATTATCTTAGCCTATGAGCAGGAATGGGTAAAGGCCCCTTAAACAAAAATGGAGTAAAGTAGTTTTTTTGTTGTTGTTGCTACGATAACTCAGCAGCCCTTTTAAACATAGTGGGCACTCTTCATTTCACCAGTCACTCTCCCTATGGTCTCACTCCTGGCCCGCTTCCCTCATTTAGGTTACCTGCCAGGCCTCCTGTGATACTGTGACTTATAATAAGAAATACCTATTTTGGTCTTTGTCCAGTTTCCTGGCAGGCAACTCCTAGAATGTTTCAAAGTGATAAGTGATGCGTCTTTTTGTATGTGAATGAGATGTCTGAGATGACTGCCGGGGAAGGAGGGAGGCTTCAGGATAGACTCCACATGCAGGCTGGTTGCCAGGGGAACCAATCTTGATTAGAGAGTTGAGACTTTCAACTCCACCCCCCAATCAGGGAGAAGAACTGAAGTTTGAATTAATCACCAATGACAAATGATGTAATCAATTATGCACATGTAATGAAGTTTCCATAAAACTCAAAAGGACATGCTTTGGAGAGCTTTCAGGTTGCTGAACATTGGAGATGCCTGGAGGGTGATGTGCCTGAAGAAGGCCTGGCAGCAACTTGTACTTTCCCCCATACTGTGCCTTATGTAGTTCTTCATCTGGCTCGTCGTGTTCATCTTTTGTAATACCCTTTATAATAAACTGGCATATGTGAGTGAAGTGTTTCTCTGAGTTCTGTGAGCTGTTCTAGCAAATGATCAAACTCAAGAAGGCAGTCATGGGAACTTTCAATTTGTAGCCAAGTCAGGCAGAAGCTGTGAGTAACTTCGGGACTTACTACTTCCTGTTGGCATCTGCAATGGGGGGCAGTCTTGTGGGACTGACTGGAATCACCCAGTAGGTTCATTTTGTCTGCTGCCTAGATAGACCCAATTTATCAAGACAAGGAAACTGCAATAGAGAAAGAGTTTAATTCTTACAGAACCAGATGAACGGGAGACCATAGATTTATTTTTACACAGATTAGTCTATCCAAAAATTCGAAGACTAGGTTTTTTCAAGGATAGTTTGGCGGGTAGGGGGCCAGGGAGTGGGGAATGCTGATTGGTTGGGTCAAAGATGAAATCATAGGGAATTGACGCTGTCCCCTTGCGATGAGTCAGTTCCTGGGTGGGGGTCACAGGACCAAACAGTGAGTCTGGGTAGAGCCATCGGTCATCAGAAATCCAAAAACCTGAAAAGACATCCCAAATCTTAGGCTCTACAATAGTGATGTTATCTGCAGGAGTAACGGGGAAGTTGCATTTCTTGAGGCTAATTTGTTAGTCCTACAAAGGCAGTCAAGTCCCCAGGCAAGAAGGGGTTTGTTTTGAGAAAGGGCTGTTACCATCTTTGTTCCAAAGTTAAACTATAAACTAAGTTCCTCCCAAAGTTAGTTCAGACTATGCCCAGCAATGAACAAGGGCAGCTGGAAGGTTAGACACAAGATGGAGTTGGTTAGGTCAGATCCCTTTCACTGTTACAGATTTCTCACTGTTATAATTTTTGCAAAGATGGTTTTGTGAGTCCTCATCCTGCCAGATCTGCGCCAACTCCAGGTAGTGTCACAGTTGAATTGAACTGTGAGCTAGGAGGACACCTACCTGGTGCTGGAGAACTATTCGGTCAGGGAAAAAACTCCACTCATGTGGTCACAGTAGTGCTCTGCGTTGCGTGAGAGTAGTAGGAGAGTATAGAAAGAGAAAAATATCTTGCTTTCTTGCCTATGCACCCCTGTAGGCATTTCAGTTTGAAACTCTTGCTTTTGAAAATAGCCTAATCATAGTGGCTGTACATCCATAAAAACCTGGGCCTTTACCTTGATCCAGAAACCCTTTCCTGACCCTTCAGGCCGGGTTAGGCAAGCTCTTAGAAATCTCGTAGCATTCTGCACATGGCTCTTTTAGGATGTTACTGAGATTTCCTTCTGTATTTGTTAGAACCCTGTTGATTACGAGTGGCAGAAATCTAGCTCAATCCAGCTGTAGTCAAATCAAGAAATGAATTGTTCATGGGGCATGGATGGAGATGGTTTCAAGGGTAGACACTCCAATCTCATCAGGATTCTTCCGTTCCTCATACATCCTCTCTCAGGTCTCCATTCTCTGGGGCTGGTTGCTGTTGTGGGACCGGGAAGAAGACCACGGGCAACTCTGGAAACATCTTCTTACAGCCTCATAGCAACAGAGGAAAGAGTGCTCTGCCCAGTCCCCATGGAAGAAAATCCTGGGCCAAACCCCAACCATGGCCAGAGAGGAGAGGTACCACATTCAGATGGTACCTGGCCCGGGCAGGGCACAGAGAGCCTTCAGCTGACATCAGAATCACATGGCTGGATTGGGGTGGGAGAGTACCCCCCAAAGTGAGGCATGCTGCTCTGGGCTGGCAAAATTGTAAATTTCATTACATTTGCCAATTTGTATTTTTTGCTAGACTCTTAGACCTTTAGGAATAGAATAGATTACTGTGTCTTTCATTTCTGTATCTAGTACAGCAGGGTGTCTGGTATGAAAGACTTTAAAAATATTTAAAAATAAATGTTAAATGAAGGATAAAGTTTAAATTGTCATAGTCATATGCCTTGAATTTTCTGGAATAGTCCCAATTTCATGATATGTCTATGATATCTTTTTTATTAAGATAATTCTTTAAATGAATAATTTCCTTATTTTATAAAACTTTTTATAAAATTACATTCAAAAATTTATTCAGTACTTGGCCATACCCTCCGCTTGTGGTTTTCATTCAGCAAGGCTGGCCAATTGTGTTGGTTATATTTTATTTGGCTTCCAAATTCCCTTTAATCGCCTTTTCTGGCCTGGCTGGTGCCACAGGAGGTTAACTCTTTGGACTGCATCTCCATCAATACCTTGCTGGTAAGCATCCATTGGGCTTGTCAGTGAGAGCCATTGCCAGGAGATCAGATTATATGAGAGGGAAGGAGAAGCAAGGCTGGAGGAATTTTTCCCTTCTTGTTCCCTGTGTCATGTCCCCCAAAATGGCTCTGTCCCTTCCAGGGGACAGCAGCTCCCTGACAGCCCAGGCTCTCACAGGGAGAGGTGGTAACAGCTTTCTTCTCTCTCAAGTCTCTGGGAGCCTTACCCCACGTTTATGTCCTCAGTAAGTAGTCCCTTTACTTAAGCCCCATCATCTGAAACAAATGGGGTGGATTCTGCTTCCTGCTTAGACCTTGACTAAACTACCAACTTAACCTTCTCAGGTGCAATTTACCAATTAGATCCCCCCTCTAGTTTAGTGGTTCTCACTCTTTGCTGTGCACAGGGATCACCTTAGCACCTGTGATCCGTCCCCAGAAGTTCTGATGTAATTGGACTGGAAAGTAGCCTCGGGATCAGGATTTTAAAAATCTCTCCAGGACATTTGATTGGGTAGCCAAGGCTGATAAGCCCTGCTCCAGACTCATATACCTCCTGTACAGAAAGGAGAATTCTAACACGTAGTGAAAACAACTTCCTATAACCTGCGTTTTATTTCTTACTTTCTTACAAATTATTGCAGCCTTCATTCTAAAGGGATGTTGTTTTCTACTTATTCACAAAAGCTTTTTAAAACAAAGTGGAACAATTTTAAACACATTTACATAACTGTTTCTTCAAGAGGTTCAAAACAAAGAACAGATATTTCTAGAAAGCATAGAAATCCACTATATACACTTTTATTTTGAATAAGGTGTGTGCAAGGGTGATGGCAGTGGCTGCTGCCATCATGCCAGCTGCAGCAGGGAAGCGCAGCTGGGGCTGTACACTCCCTGGAGCCAGGGGGAACCCTGCCCATTCTGAGTTGGGACAGGACCTCCCCATGTGGCTACAGCCACCCAAACCACAGCTGCAGACCCAGGCCTCCTGCTCTAGGGAGCAGGAAGGAGCGCCCCCTACTGGGTGAGGCTACAGCAGCCCAAAATGCAGCTGTGGATCGGAGCCTTCCTGTGCTCTTGGGAGAAACGGGAACAGGCAGGATCTGCCTTCCGAGGTGCAGTTGCAGCTGCCTCATTCGCGGCTGCAGACCTGGGCCTCCTGCTCCAGGAAGCAGGCAGAAGCTGGGGACAAGTGGGAGTCCTGCCTCTTCTGAGTTGGTGGGGCGGGAGCTCCTGGGTGCAGCTGCACTGCCCTCCCAGGCACAGGACCTGGGCATCTCTGTAGCCTACACCCTCGAGTGCCCCAGGAAGGACCCCTGTCCCTGCAGGCTTAGGGGTGTCTGCTCCCAGTGCCTGGCCTCTCCTCCCAAGGCCCGCTCCAATCTCCCAGCGGGGTTGGGGGCCAAGTCCCAGCGGGAGGCTGACAGAATCCTGGGTAGAAGGAAGAGGGTCCCCAGTAAGGGCCCACCCTCAGGCCAGGGAGAGCCTGAAGACTAGGGGCTGGGCTGCCAGTCCCGTGAACTGGAGTAGGGACTCATGGGCCTGGAAGAGTCCAGGCCCACCCATGGCCGCCCATGGACCAACTGGCATACATTTCCTTCCTTCTGAGGTCCATAAAAGCCCTGGGCTCAACCAGAGCAGGGCAGAAGATGGCCAGAAGACAAAGAGAGCAGAGAGATGATGGGACTGGATGACCAGCTGCAGAGAAGAGTACCCTGTCCACTGAGAGCCTCAGAGATGACCTGCCAGCAGAAGGGAGCTACCCACTCCTCTGAGTTGCTCTAACACTAAATAAAACTCTTCTTCACTCTTCACTTGTGTACCTCACTCTTCCTGGATGCAGGACAAGAATTTGGGCAAAGGTGCTGTGGCCACAGGGGTTCCCGGCAAGAAAAAAATCAACACCCCAGAAATCGCCTACCAAGGGTAAGTTTTTCAGGAAAGAAAAAAGAGAATTAAAGAGCCATCGGGGGATATCACAAGAAAAAAAAAATGGCAGGATTAGTAACTGTTGAAAAACTACTATCTTACAAATATAATAATAGAGATTCTAGTGCCATGTAATTAACTCATGCCAGGTCCATGACTGATCTGGGTTTGCCGATCTTCTCTGAGAATGAACCAGGTTAAAGCACTCACAGCTTCTAGCACATTAAAATAAGCAGTGGCTACTGGCCTCATGAGAATCTTTAAAGTGTTCAATGTTTAAAACACCCTTGCCATTTTTAAGATACAAGAGAACCTCAACCACACTCTTACTTTAAAATGCAATTGCTTTTTTTTTTTTTTTTTTTTTTTTTTTGAGACGGAGTCTCGCTCTGTCGCCCAGGCCGGACTGCGGACTGCAGTGGCGCAATCTCGGCTCACTGCAAGCTCCGCTTCCCGGGTGCAATTGCTTTTTAAACACACATTTGTTGACGGTGGTAGAATTTAATATTTTTGAGAAAGAACTGATTCTACAAAGCTTTTTCTCATTTTGAGGGTCCCAGGAATGTTGCATCTAAATAAATGCTGTGCCTGTACCAGTCAGCTATTGCTACATTGGCCTCTGGCATGCAGCAAAGAGCATTTATTTCTCATTCACAGTTTGTGAGTCATTGGGGCAGGTCAGCTGGGGTGACTCATTTTTCTCCTGGGACCAGTGAGCAGCCCAGGTTTATTTCTTCTAACAACCCATTAGCCAAAGAAAGCCACATGGCTGTGCTCACATACAAGGTCAGGGGAAATACATTCCATCTTTAGTGGGAGGCACTGCAAGGTTACATGGCCAGGGGTGTGGATACAGAGAGAGATGAAGAATTGGGGCCAATAATTCACTTTACCACCGTCCCTAAAGCAAAAGTCTGTCGAAGATGACATCTCAATACTGTATTTACAAGTAGAACATCTTGCTCTAGAGTGATGTCACTGACAAGTTCTAGAACCCTGTAGGTAAGAGGACTTTTTGTGTCCAGACAGATGGCAATACTCATCCGTATGTTGTCTGCCCCAGGGCAAGGTAGGTGATGCTGGCTTTTCTTAGCTACCCTACCTCCAGAATACCAAAATGATCTCCAAAGAAGTAATCAGGGTTTGAGGGGAGGAGGAGAGCATTGAACAGGTGGTGCATAGAGAATTTTTGGGGCAGTGAAACTATCCTGTGTGATACTGTAATTGTGGATACATGGCACTATGCTTTTGTCATAACCCATAGAACTTTATAGCACAAAGAGTGAACCTCAATGTATGTGAATTTTTAAAAAATCATTTGGGAGGTCAGGGATACCATTTGGGATGCCCAAGGTGTAGAGATACATTAAAAACTTAAGATGCATGCACAGACACGTCTGCAGTCGTGAAAAACTCAAGTCCTACACAAAACTTTGCTACCAAAATTTGAAGAAGAAGAAGACGAATAGTATAAAAACAACATTCATGGGTGATCCACAACTTGAATCAATAGAAATTTATTGACTGTTGTGAAATAAAGTTACATAGAATACAAGAGTCTATGCTAACAGAAATACAATGGCACTCACACCATGATCCGACTCTTGCTTCCTTGATCTCTTTTTGCGTGACTTTTCCCTGTCCCCGGCCAACTCACTATGTATGTGTCAACCACTCCACCTTCTTCCAGTTCCTAGAACACCAAAATCATTCCTATCTTGAGGCCCTTGCCTTGCTGTTCTCTAAGCCTGGAAAGGTCTTGTCCCATCTCTCCATGTGGCTGGCTCCTTCTCCTCTTGAAGTTTCATTTCAAATAGGAGCCTCTTGGTGCCTCCCTCTAGAATCGAAGCTCCATTACTGTCTTTCACTAGTGCATTATCCCCATCCCCTAAAGCCCTGCTTGGCACGTAGGAGGTGCTCAATAAATATTTGTGGACCAAAGGGGCTACTCATTTATTAATATTTGGCTCAAGGCCCTGATGGAGTATGGACCTCTGCTTTGGAATGGATGCTGTGAGGACAGTCAGGAAGTCCCACACTGCACACACTAAACCAAGAGAGAGTCCACGTAAAGCTCCTGGGTGGCCACTGCAACAGTCTTAAGCACTCTAAGAAAGGCATAAAAGCAGATTAATGCTCAAGTATTGACCCACATCTGCAAAGGACGTTGGGGCAGGGAGACGCTTAGCTGATAAATAGAAAACTACCCCTGTCTAAAGCAGGGATGGTTGGGATATGACTGCCTTGATGCAAAACAGGAGCAGGAAATAGGACAGGCCCAAACAAGGGCTCAAAAAAGAAAGAAAGAAAGAAAGAAAGCCAAAGCGGCAATAACAACAACAAACTCTTGCTGCTGGTGGGAAACCTACAGGGCAAGCTCCTTCTCCACATGAGCCCTGCTGGCAGTTGTTTGTATGTGTGTGTGTGTGTGTGTGCATGCACACGCGTAAGAGCACATGCAGGGGATGTAGTGAAAAGCACAGTGTGAAATGAGGAAATAAAGGATATCTTCTCAGTCAGTAGCCATGGGAAGAACCGGGAAGTACAAGGTCCTGAGAGCACAGAGATGATGGAATTTTTATATATTGGGAGAGGAACCCAAATCTAGTAATGACAATGTGTGATAAAAACTACTAGTATGATGAAAAACAGTATATTTCCAAAACTAACATTAGAGGGGAAAATGAAGAAAATCAGTAAAACTAAAAAGAACAAACAGCAAATAGCAAGCAAAAAAAATGATATAGAAAACAAAACCCAGTATGTGAAGCATCACAGTTGCTCTGTACTAAGTTTTTGAAGACAAAGACTGACACATTAGTTATGAAATAAAAGATAGGCATAATTTATTTCTAGAAGCAAAGTTACAAAGACAGATTGGAAATGAAAGCAAGGACATACTGAGCAAATGCAAAGGTAAAACCAAAATCAAATCAGCACCAATAGCAACATTAATATCAATTAAAATGCAATTTAAAGCCAAAAAGCATTAACCAGCCAAAGATGAATAATATATAATGGGCAATGTTAATCAATGAAGAAGCTCTGTGTAATTCATAAACCCTAATAGAATACAAAATATAACAGCCACATATATGAAGCAAAAACCCCAGAAATACAAGGGAAAATTGATAAAAATATATTTATTGTGGGAGGTTCCAATATTCTTTCAGAATTGAACAATTCAAGTATACAATTAAAGATATAAGGGATTAAAAAATACAATAAACTATAATTTTTTTCTCATATTCACGTAACACACAAATTAATCATATACTTGATTAATGGCATTAAATAAAACTGCAATTGATTTCCCAAAAGCAGATTTTTAAACTTTCATTCATTCAAAGAAGAGATAAGGCAATAAAATGATTTCTTAAGTCTCTGATTAATGGGACATTAAGAAATCTCTTCCACATAATTCCTAGTTCACAGGAGAAATCAAAATTGAAACTACAAATTAAGTATCCAAAAGGGAAAAGAAAAAAACATTGTATCAAAAACTATTGGATACAGCTAAAGCTATGTTCAGGGAAAATTTTGTAGCCTTAATTTTATTGTTTAAAAATAAAGCGGAGCAAAAGACACAAATTCATGACTATCACATCATACTTGAAGCTATTTGCATCTTATTTTTCCTTGATAATTGAGAAAATGACTAGGAATGTCCTCGTGCTTCCATTGATTTTCAGATTTTCTTCATTTGTACTATTTTCCCTTTTCATTTCTTCTTTTTGTTAGTGTCACAGTGAGTACGAATAAAGCGATCAATAATTTGTCTATCTGAAAAGTATGAAGAAAAACAGGATGAAAATTTTCACGTAAGTATTTAAATGATAAATTGGGAAATTCTATGAAGGAAGAAAATATCTGATAATATTACTAAATACACAAATTTGGTAAGACCAAAATAATAGCAGGCTATTATACCTAATACCTAAACAGGCACAGTTGTGTAATTATTGATTAAGAAGAGTAAACTTAATACTCAAGGGATTAGCAAACTTACTGGACAGAACACGAATTTCAGAATGAAACAGGCTTAAGTTTTAGTTCTGTGCTGGCAGTTGTTAGCAAATGATTTAACCTCTCCACTTCCTCAGTTCCTCATCTTTGAATACAGGCAGCAGGACTTGCTGTGCACAGACGTTGGAATAGATTAGGGACACTGTGTGTGAAGCACCCAGACAGTGCCTGGCCCATCAAAAACAATAAATGGTTGTCTTATCCTTTTGTTACTGGGTGCATAGTAATAAACAGTGATGATAATAGAAATTATTGTTCCAAAATTTTCATAGAAGCCAGGGCTGTTTTTTTACTCACCGATACTGGTAAGGTTTACTAGTCCTTGAATGGTAACTGTTTGACCTTGGGAAGGCCCTTCAACTCCCCCTCCCTGGCCTCCATTTCCTGATCTGTAACATTAAGGAGTCTTGTCTGGTTCTGAACATCTATGATTCCTTACTCCTAATTATATATATATATATATATATATATTTTTTTTTTTTTAGATGGAGGCTCACTCTATTGCCCAGGCTGGAGGGCAGTGGTGCGATCTCGGCTCACTGCAACCTCTGCCTCCCAGGTTCAAGCAATTCTCCTCCCTCAGCCTCCTGAGTAGCTGGGATTACAGGCATGAACCACCATGCCCAGCTAATTTTTGTACTTTTAGTATAATCCCAGACTCCTGACCTCAAGTGATCCACCCGCCTCGGCTTCCCAAAGTGCTGGGATTACAGGCAGAAGCCACCGCACCCAGCCTCTAATCATGTATATCTTTAATAGTACAGAGTGGAGCTGTAAAACTTTATTCACTCCCAGCAGTTATCACCTGTGCAGCCAAAACCAAAAAGGAGTGAAAATGCAAGTGATGTCATGCTCATATTCAATGTTCATGTTATCCTGCTCAATGTCACAAATGCCAGTGGAGGCCCATAGATCAGGGATGTCTGTGTGTGCGTTTGTGTGTGTGCATGAGTGTGTGTGTTTATTCCTGTTTTCTCTCCAATTATGTCTTCATTTATTTGTTTTTGTGATTTCATGTTTAATTTTGAAGCATCCCTACCCTACTCCATACCTTGTCTCCAGTATTTTTTTAGTTGGGTATACTTTTCATAAAGTGAAATTCACTAATCTTTTGTGTACAGTTTGATGAAGTGACACATGCATTACTGTAACCCACGACCACAGGATGATATAGATCATTCCTTCCATCCCAGAAGACCCTTCATGCACCTTCCCAGTCAACACTCCCTACTTCAAGACAGCCACTGTTCTGGTTTCTTTCATCAAAGATAAGTTTTCCCAGTTGTAGACCTTCAAATAAATGAAATCATACAGAAGGTATTCTTTTGTGTCTGGCTTCTTTCATTCAGCACGTTTTTGAGGTTCATATGTTTTGCTCTATATATCAATAACTAATTTCTTTTTATTGAGTGGTATTTCATTATATGAATATATCACAGTTTGTTTATCTATTTTCCTGCTGATGGAGATTTGGGTTGCATCCAGTTTGAGGCTATTAAGAATAAAGTGGTTATAAACATTCTTGTACATGTCCTTTTGTGGATATATGGTTTTCTTTCTCTCAGGCAAATACCCAGAAGTGGAATTTCTGGGTCATGGAGTAGTTATATGTTTATCTTTAGCAGAAGCTGCCAGACCTGTTTCCAAAGTGATTGTACTCTTTGATGGCTGGGCACAGTGGCTCATGCCTGTAATTCCAGCACTTTGGAAGGCCAAGGCAGGTGGATCACTTGAGGCCAGGAGTTTGAGACCAGCCTGGCCAACATGGCCAAACCCTGCCTCTACTAAAAATACAAAAAAATTAGCTGGGCGTGGTGGTGCACACCTGTAATCCCAGCTGCTTGGGAAGCTGAGGCATGAGAATTGCTTGAATCCTCAAGGCAGACGTTGCAGTGAGCCAATATCACGCCACTGCGCTCCAGCCTGGGTGACAGAGGGAGATTCTGTCTCAAAAACAAAAACAAAACAAAACACAAAACAACAACAAAGTGATTGTATTATTTACTCTTTAATATTCCCACCAATGCTCTGTGGGGTTCTGACTGCTTCCTCTCATTGATATTTGCTATTGTCAGTCTTTCTGATTTTAAGCATTTTAAGCATTGTCTATTACCAAAGAATTTATAGCAAAGAATTTATATTAAAATAAGAAAAAAATCCTTTCTTCTGATACCAGAGGTATACATACATGGTTCACCAAGTTTTGCATGAATTAGTAAAAACGATGAGTGTGTAAAATTTTAATGTCAATTTGAGTGTTCAAAAAGGCTACCAGTTGTAAGTCAAATGATACCAATCTTTATTATGTATAAATGCAAATTCATTTCCTCGTGATTTTGTTTACACTGTTGCTTCTGCCAGGAATGGTCCTGCTTCTCCTTACTGCACAGATTCATCTTTAAGACTTATAGGACCCCTCCTCCAGGCAGGCTTTCCTCATCTCCTGTCCATCCATAGGGTTGGGAGTACCCCTCACAGACTGCTACTGTACCCGAAGATTACTTTGATTACAGAACTGGTGACATTTTAACTATGTGTCTATCTCCCATACCAGATAATGAGTTCCCTGAGAAGAAGGATTCCTTATTTATCTTTGTATCAACTGAGCATTTCTTGAGTAAATACATTGATTCTTAATATTGAATCACAGGCTAGGAAGAAATGCCTTTTACATGGCCATTTGTGGGAGTTTCAGTTGGAGGAAGAGATGGGAAGGGAGCCATAGCTGAACAAATTCACAGAAAACTGGGTATCAGATCATTTTACCTTTCAACTAGGGGAAAAGTGGACTGATGACACAGTCTTTACCAATAGGAAACAGTTGCCCAATGAGTAAGCTTTTGAGTGGTCTGAAGCAGACTCAGAGATTAAAACAATTTGAAAGTAGAATAGTCACTAAAGATAACTAGTTCAACCTCCTCAAGTTATAAATAAACTGAATACCAAATAGTGGTGACATACGGAGTTAGTGGAAATGAAAGGTTTGCCTTCAGCTCTCTCTCCTTTATGCTTTCACAGCGTTAGTTTTTGTCATATTGGAGTTTTCTCTTCTCTGTATTTCACCCTCCAACACGCACCGTCTCTCTCCCACACCCTCACCTCCCACCCAACTTGGCCCATTACTTAAGAACAAGCCTGGCCTTTTCCCTTTCTCTCTCTCTGTATCTCTTTCTCTCTCTCTTTTAAAATGTACCTGTTCTAGGCTTCTATTCCATCAGAGACTACAACCTATGAGAGATAATCCTGTAAAATAATTTAAGCTGAGTTGATAATAATTCTGCCTAACACATCTGCCAGGTTCTTAAATTATCTGCATATGTACTCAGCCACAAAAGCTCTGCTGTGATATTCACCAGCTGAAAAGCATCAGTGCCATGCCTGACACAAGAAAATGACAAGAGGTTTTGGGCACAAGAATTCAGAGGGAAACTTCCATTTGTTTTTCAGCTTCTAATAAAGCTGGCATTGATGAGTGGGCCATTCTACAGCAGAGCTTGGAAAGAGGAGTGAAAATCCATGGGAAGCAGATCCTGCATCAGCCCAAGGCAGCCCCAAAGAGGAAAGCTCTGGGGCATGAGCCTTCAGGCACCTGCCCCTGGTGCTGCCCTGAGGGAACCAGGAAAGCAGAAGAGCTAAGAAGAAACAAAACCCTAGCTTATTCTAAGTTACCTTGTTAGCTAACAGGTCTACCTCACCTGTCTGGGGAGGAAAACCCCATTAGGTGGACAGAGTGTTTACCTGAAAGATCAGCTTACCCCAGTATCTTGGAGAATGTAGATCTGAGGCTGCCAGAGCACTTTGAGGAGTCCCTAGTTCACCCTCAGGGGCGCCACTAAGGTTGGATTGCACCTGACACACAGTAAGAGACAGCGGTGCCTGCAGACACCATGGTTTCCATGAAGGCAGAGAAATGACAGCTGAATCTGCATTGCAAGTCCCTGGGCAGATGGGAGCATCTGCTTAGGGAAGACAAAAATCCTCTTTCTACAGGGTCCAACAGATGTGGATCCTAAAGGTAAAAAGAGCTCCTTGTAAAATGCAGAGGATAATTTTATATACAAAATTGAAAGCAAGAACAGGCAGGCTGACTTGAGCTTGCTGCAGAGCTTTGGCTGGGAACTCTGGGAAGATTGAGCCAGCAGAGCCTTAGGAGCCTCTTGGTTTTCTTCTGAAGTGCCAGACTGGCCCAGAGGCATCTGTGGAGAGCAGGGAGGCATCATACTCACTCCATGTTCCTTTATCTCAACAGAAAATGTATACTCCTGTCTCAGTAGGAGGGAAACACCTGCTTCTTGTACCTCCCTGAAACCCAGCATTCAAGTTCTTAGAAGGGTCTTTAGGCTCTCAGCCCTCAATGTGTGAGAGTGGAAAATACTTCCTTTCTCCCAGCACACACACACACACACACACACACACACACACACACACACACACTCACACACACCCTTCCCTGTCAGCCTTGACTACAGTAGGTTTTCAGTCTTTCTTAGGGCAGGAGATCCCCAAAACGAGGGTTTCAGCGAGGATTTCAGAGGTGCAAGCTCTTCTGATTGTGGCTGGGGACAGCACCTGGAGGCCCAAGAGAGTCAGACAAGAGACAGAGAGCCCTTGGAGGGATCCCACATGGCCAGTGGAAGTCCCAACCTCATCACAGGGCACACAATAAGTTAGTAGCCCCCAGATAGCCTAGAGCACAAAATGGGGTACAGAAAATGATCAGCTGGGTACAGGAATAAATATTAGACTTTTATTGATATTTTTTACTTCCTTCTGTAACAGTTTGTATGTTTTATAAATGTATGTGATACATTAGTTTAGTTGGCATATGAATATATTTTATATAAATTTTTACATCTGCACTGGGTGATGTACTCACAAATGAGGGGGAATAGGGGGTGTGTGATCCCTCACGTAGGATGCTGAGAGGCAGCTGCAGGAAGAGCTCAGTTTCCTCTCCTCAAGCGCTCTTATTCTCTGAGTTCACATTTTATACACTCTCAGACTGACCTGTTGCCCCTAAGATGCCCCCAAATCAATTCCAGTCACTTGGCTGCAAACTAGGATAAGTCTTTTGTCATGTGGAGTGAAGCCACATCAATGGCATTTGCTCTCCTTCAGAGAGTGATATATAGAGATTTTCCTGTACCTTAAAAAGCTTATCACAAAAATGTACCAGCAAACAGAAAATAAAGATTAGACAAAATACAGCAAAACAACGTGACTGTACAAACACCCAAAGGAGAAATCAATTAGCTCTAAGAAAAAGAGGAATCATCCTGGAGCAATTCAGCCACAGGCAAAATGAGAACAGAAATGAGTGAAAAGCTGTATGTCTCTTTTTTAATAAGTGGGGATATAGTCACTGGGCCTCCTTAAAGGAAAATGTCTTTTCAGTGGATTGAGGTTTGCACAACACTATGAGTTTTTTTTTTTTTTGAGGCAATGTTTTCATTTTTGTGGGCATTCAACTCCAGTGGCTAGAACTTGGAACAGTTTCTATTTGGCAAAAGCAATGTATTGTGATCTGTAAGTGTGTGAAATAAGACCTCATCTTACCTTTGTAGGAAAGACTCTGAAGGTACTCTTTGACTTGAGAGGAAGTAAATGAGTTTAAAAGCATTAAGAAATCTGGGTAGGTTTTGTCGTAGTCACTTTGGTATGTGGTCTGTTTCTTTGTGTGCTCTTGGTTCCTCAGGTAGCTGTGCAGCACAGAAGGCACTATAGAAATACACAGGGGAGGAGAGGTCGGAAGGCTGGCACCCAAGCACACCAGTCTTGCCCTTATTGTTTGAAAATGACCCTGACAGCCCCCAGCCCAGCTTTGAGCTTAGGCAGCATCCTTCATGATGCTGGACATTAAGGCTCTGTATTAAACAAATTCTTCCAATGACCAGGGCTGAGCAGAGCTGCAGGGACTTCCAGCCTGTTGCTGCTGGAAGTGGCAGTGATCGGAGAATGACCAGAAGGGTGAGTTTGACCATCACTTTCAGAAGAGAAGTTTTCCCTGAACTTGACTCTTATGCAGGTCAGTGTGTTATGATAGTGAAGGAAACTGAAATATTTCACCCCAAATTACACGTCTTTGATATACGTTGAGATGGCTGTTGAGAAGGCCTGCAGACAGAAGTAGTCCTGCAAAGTTGTCTTTGAGAGTGGGGTGACCCGCATCCACAGGGAATCTGCACTGATGAAGCCTGGCTTTCCAAGGCCTTCCCTTGTCTGGATCTAAGAAAGATTAACTACGATCGGACTTCATAGGTCTAAAAGAAACCTTTACCATCATTCTCTCTGGGGGCTGCTACCACTGAACAAGACCAACTTTGCTAGCCAGGTCTCCTCTTCTCCCCCTCCCATAACCTGTTTAGCCAGCTCTTTCTATAACCTCAAGATGATATAAAAGCATCAACCCTCCCATAATTTCTTTGAGTTCTTATATTTTGCTTGACTCCCATGCATGTTAATAAATTTATATGCCTTTTCTCCTTTTAATCTGCTTTTTGTCAGTCAATTTTTCAGCAAACCTTCAGAGGGTAAAGAGGAAGTTTGCCCTTGGCCACTATGATGGTGATATTCACTGCCTACTTAATAAACAAAGGTCCTCATAGAAGCTTCTTCTTTCAGGACATCTCCTGTGCACATTTGGGATGGCACAGTAAGGGACTTCCTTCCAGGGACCTAGGCATCTTCGGATGAGGATTTTAGAAGAACGATGGTGTTTACAGTCATCGCTCATTGTCCATTTGGACTAATGGGGGTCTGAGGTGCAGGCAACACCCAAATCACTTATATTTGATTATGAATATTGCTCATTTAATGTGAGTTCTAATATTCCAGAAACTATCATGAAAAAAATAATAGAATCACGATGTAAAAACCAAATTTTCACAACCTACCCAATCCTTTTAAACCTTAAGAACACCTTCCAGCTCCAGGGATCCCCTTTAAGGGGTCATTGGCCAAATGGAGGAACCAAACTGGTGAGAGGATTTGACACTGCACCCTGAGAAGAGTGTTTGTAGGGCCTGGAAATGCTTTAACTGGAAAAGAGAAGACTTAGAAGGCATATGACAAGGTTTTTGTAGGGTCATAGATTTATACTAACTAACATCCATGGGAAGAAGTGGAACCAGTGGCTAGAAGTTTAGCAAGGAATATTACAGCTGCTACAACTTCTACACAGTTGGAGCATCAGACAACGAAGGGGGATGGGGCTACCCTGAAGTGGATACACAGGGGCACTGTCACCCCTTGGCAAGGATGGAGTCAGGAAGAGTCACACATATGAGGCTCTGGATGAGGTAATTTCTAGGCCACCTTCTAACCCCAAGGTGCTAAGCATCAATTCTGTGATTATTGTCTCAAGTGCTACTTGATCCCAACCCCATGCCAGGAATGAACCATGTCTCAGACTGACACCAAGTTTTCTGTTTAACTAGTAGCTTGGAGGTGGCTTGGTCACGGAATTTTTAAAAACTTTCAGGGGATGCACATGTGGATACACTTCCAATAGAAAATTGAGACTAAACTGGATTCCCACCCCATTGCTTTCTGTCACTTGACAGCAACTGCATCCTTCCCTCTCATTTTTTAGGAGAAGGAAGCATCCCCTAATCCCAACCACTGCCCCTCCCCAGCAGGGATGATACTCATTTCTTGGCCTAAGCAGTCAGTCATCTTCTGCAATGTACTGGCTCCCTGGGTTACAGGTTGGGAGCTGCAGCGACAAGGTTCTGATTTCATGCCAGGATCTCTGGCTTTCTCCATGACTATTACCAAAACGGGCTGCCAGCGCCCTCTGTGTTGAGAAGTTTTGGAGCCAGGGGTTAAGATCTATGAGGTTGTTTTAGAAACTGCAGCTGGGCTGGGCTCATGCCTGTAACTCCAGCCTGTAACCCTAGCACTTTGGGAGGCCGAGGCAGGTGGATCACCTGACACCAGGAGTTTGAGACCAGCCTGGCCAACATGGCAAAATCCCATCTCTACTAAAAATACAAAGAATTAGCTGGGCATGGTGGTGCGCACCTGTAATCCTAGCTACTCGGGAGGCTGAGGCAGGAGAATCGCTTGAACCCAGGAGGCGGAGATCTCAGTGAGCCAAGATTGTGCCACTGCACTCCAGCCTGGGCGACAAGAGGGAAACTCCGTCTCAAAAAAAAAAAAAAAAAAAAAAGAGAAAAAGAAAAAGAAACTGCAGCTGTACTCACCTAGACCCTGAGAAGCAACAGGCAAGCTTGAGTAGCATCCATATTTGAAACTGAAATCTTGAAGCTCAGGAATTTTAGCTGGAATTTGGTAATTCCTTCGGAATTCAGTGTCTGGAGGTTGGGGAAGTAACTTTTTCCATTCCAGAGACAAGTGAGAACTTTTCTTAATCTTCTGAGCTGGGGTGGAATGGAAATGGAAGGCAATACTTACTCCTTGTGAACAAAGTAGCTAAACCCACTCTTGCTGTGTTTAGAGGTATGGTCAATGTGCCCTGTATGAACACTTCAATGGAGAAATAATTTTCTGCTTTGTCAGTCACAGGAAGTATATACTCAAATGATCAGAAGTGGTCTCTAGTGAATATATTTTTATGTCATGAGTCTGCTCAGTGGGCACAGAAGACACTGATCACTCCACTGGGTCTGTCTGGTCCCTGGGGCAGAGGTGGGTGTCAGAGAGATTTTGGATAGGGCCAGGGTCGCCATATAAAACATGGGATGCCCAGTTAAATTTGAATTTCAGATAATGACTTTTTTAGTGTAAATACTTGCTATCTACTGCATATCATTATTCAAATTTAACTGGGCATCCCATAGTTTTATTTGCTTAATCTGGCAGGCTTAGATGGGGTGCTGTATATCATCCCTATTACCTGGAAAAAAAAAACACTCGAAGCTTATCCCTTACTGATGGAGGGTTAGGCATCACTGCATTAGTGGATAGCACCACTGTTATTTCTTTGAAATATCTCTGCTAAAACATATTCATTCAATATCTATGAAGCACTGAAGCCAGTGTTACAAACATTATCAGATTACAGAGGCAAGAGTCACAATCCATCTCACTTAGAATGAGTTCATTCCTGATTCTTGCTACAAAGCCTTAGTTCAGAGGCATATCATGTAACACCATCTTTATTCAGAAAGACAAAGATGTCAAAAATATGAGTTTCATGAGCAATGTCCAAACAGTGCAAATTACTATTGACACTGAACTCAACTCTCTTCCAAATTAGTTTTCCAATAGATCTTTTCAAAATAAATCCTAATATATATTATGTATCAAACGATTTATAATGGTACCTACTGGTATACGTTTTATATCAAAGGATACATAATTGCATCTACTGGCACCTGAGAGCATTTTTATATTGATTTTTTAAAAATGATTTCTGTCTAGACCAGCAGAGGAGGAGAGGATTCCAGTACATGTTGCCTCTTACTTTAGATAACTCAGGAGGAGAGGGCATGGGTATTCAATAGCCCTCATAATGACCTCATAAACTGCCCATACAGAAGACAGGTTATAGAGGGGAGGAACTTGTGGGGCTCAAAATCAGGGCACCCCTTAAGATATTTTGGAAAACCATCTGGTACTGTTCCTGTAACTTCCATCTATAACTTAGTGCTATGATTTGAATGTGTCCCCGCAAAAGCAAACTTAATCCCTAATGCAACAGTGTTGGGAGGTGGGGCCTAATGGGAGGTGTTTGGGTCATGGGCACTCTGCCCTCATGAGTGGATTAATGCTGTTATTGTGGGAGTGGGCTAATTATTGCAAGAGTGGGTTCCTGACAAAAAGGTGAGTTTGGCTTCCTTTCTCTCTCTCACTTTCACGCTCTTGTCCTTCCATTTTCCATCAGGGGATGATGCTGCAAGAAGGCTCTTGCAAGGTGCCAGTACTATGCTCTTGGCTTCCCAGCCTCCAGAATCATGAAACAAATAAATTTATTTCATCATAGATTACCCAGTCTCACATATTTTGTCAAAGCTGTACAAAACAGACTAAGACACTTGACTTTTTCACTAGGAGCTTTATAAGCAAAAACAAATTTCCACTGAAATACTTGATGCTTTTATCTATATCTCTTCCCTAGAGCTACCATTCAATAGTAAATGTTTTCAGTTCCTATATCAGTTCTGTGCTATTTGCCAAGGTTATACATAATTAAGTCATTGTTCTACCTTAAGACAATTAGCGTGAATACAAAGATATCTACAGAACAAACAGGTAGGGAATGTGGTAAGTCTTGCAACCATAACATTTGGAACTGTGGATCTCACGTGGAAATATGACATCAGAATCACCTGGGAAGGGTCTCTCAGAATACATCTGCTGACCCTCATTCCAGACATTGAGAACCTCCAGAAGTGAGCCCCAGGCACTTAGATTGTGAAAACAAACCGCCCATGTGCTTAAGAAATACGACTCAGAGCTTTGAATAGGGTGCTACAGGAGCCCAGAGAGAGTATGAGGGGCTGTGTTGGAGGAAGAGGAGGATGACAAGGACGAAAAGGCAGTCACAGTAAGGAGCTTTGACAACGGGTCAGTACAGAAGCAAAAACTGCATAGTGTGTTTGTGAAACTTGGCCTGGCTCACAGAAGGGTGGGGCATGCAGGGCAGGGAGGAGGAGCTGAGGGTGAAATAGGAGAGGCAAGCTGGGGCCAGGCTGTGAAGAGTCTGGAACGTCCGTTCCACATGAACAATGATGGACCGGCATAGAGGTGGAATCATTGGAGATGAAGACCCAGAAAAGGCAAAAGCCAGGACCTAGACTTAAATATCTATAGAATGAACAGGGAATGTGGTGAGCCTTACAACCATAACACTTGGGACTGTAGATCTCACATGGAAATAAGACATCAGAATCACCTGGGAAAAGTTTTGCAGACTACAAAGAGTCTCACTCTTCATTGATCCTCAGTACTTATCACAGTGATAGAACTCATTAAGTATTTACTAAGTTAATGAGTGAACGCACACACCAAAAAACCTGGAAACATAACTGCTATGGATTAGCAATTAATATCTGAAGTACACTCTAGTGACTGCCTATGTGATCAAGCTATGCTTAAGGTAACTCCTAGTAAACTATATATTGTTCATTCCATAGCATGGGCTTAGTTCTTTAAAATTGAGGCTTTTGTTGTCTTTATAAAATGTTGTGTTAATGAGCTTCATGCGTTATTTGGAAGACAGGTTCCTGATAAAAAGGGACCTAAGCGACACCTAAAACCCCCGTATTTGTGCTAAAGTATGGACAAAAATAATAACCATGAGTTAGAGCTAACCTGACCCAATGACGCCTCCCCCCAGGGTTCCTGTTCCTCAGGAGCTCAGCTCCCTGGGTTTCTTTTCCACTGGAGTAAAACTGGAATGGTTTAGCCCAAAGAAAGAAACTGGCCCATTTAAGATTAGGTATGGCATCTGCAGAAAGGCCCAAACCAAAAGTAAGTCTTCAGCAAGGACCATTCAAAACTATTAGGACCAGCTGAGCACGGTGGCTCATGCCTGCAATGCCAGCACTTTGAGAGGCCGAGGCGGGTGGATCACGAGGTCGGGAGATTGAGACCATCCTGGCTAACACTGAGAAACCCCGTCCCTACTAAAAATACAAAAAAAAAAAATTAGCTGGGCATGGTGGCAGGTGCCTGTAGTCCCAGCTACTCGGGAGGCTCAGGCAGGAGAATGGCATGAACCCGGGAGGCAGAGCTTGCAGTGAGCCAAGATCAGGCCACTGCACTCCAGCCTGGGTGACAGAGTGAGACTCCGTCTCAAAAAAAAAAACAAAAACAAAAACAAAAAACAACCCATTAGGACCATTGACACATAACCTATAGTCAAGTGGGAACTAGCTCCGCTGTCTATCAGCTGCTCTGATTCATCAAAGCCACGTTCTCTAAGCCTGACTGTGAAAAGCAGCACATTTCAGTGCTCCTCAGTCGTTTACCTTAATTCCATAATGAGGATAAAAAGCTAAGACATGGCCCTTGTTCTTCAGAAGCTTAGATTATTACAATATCATAAGTCCTACAAAAGAAGTAAGAACCAGGGCTGTTAAAACACATGGGAAGGCCAATAACCCAAAGGTGGAGGATCAAAGAAGGCTTCCAGAAGAGAGGCGAGGCGTACAACCAGACTTAAATTATGGGTAGACAGAGGCTGAGAAGGAAGGGAGACCTGCTCCACAGGGAGGAAGCAATGTGTGCCACCAGCACAAGGCCACGAGGCATGGAGGTATGCGGAGGCTGTTAGTCGGGACGGCTGGCAAGGTCATGAGGGTGGGGGCTGACAAGAGAGGAGGCAGCATGGCGGCCAGGACCAGATTGTACAGGACTCATGTAAGGCATTTAGCTTTTATCCTGAGGACAATGAAAATTCACTGAAGGGTTTTAATCCATAAAGTGACATCAGTTTGCACATCTGGAGACTCATGATGGCTGTCTTATGGACAGTGGGTTAGAGGACACAAAACTGGAAAAGCTCACTGGGAAAGCTCCTCTAGCTGCCAGGTGGTGAAACAATTGGAGGGAACCTATGGATAATGCAGGAAGATCGGCTGCCGGGGGAAGGAGATGAGTTGGAATGCTCATGAGGCTTTCACTCAGCACCCAATATAGGAAACTGAGGGTCTAAGGAGAGGTTTGGGAAGAGATACAAATGTGGAGGTTCTCAGGATAGTTGTTCTTTAAAGGAATCAGAAACTCTAACAGTTAGAGGCCAAACAGAAAAATCACCAGAGAGAAGGAGTCAAAAAAGTAGGAGGAAACTAGGAATGTGTGGCAACACAGAAATGCAAGAACAGTGGTCTGAGAGAGAGAGCAGAATCCACAGTTAAATGATGCTCAAAAGTTGGGTAAGACACAAATGGAAAAATCTCCATTGAAGGTCATTGCAGACCTTGAAAGGAGCAGTTCAGTGAATGGTGGGGGCAGACACCAGGTTGGAAGGGGTTGAAAAGTCAAAGGGCAAGCTTCCCATTAAACTCAATGGATTGTATCCCTGCAGTTAGGACTCCTCTGTCCCCAAACTCCAGCAAAATGATCGTAGATTAGAAATGTTAACACATTTTTTTAGAAAATGGAAAGCAAATGTAGATGTAGCAACTGATTGAGCAAAGTAGAGGAAGCTGAAGCCTAGATGACTGCAGCAGGGAATAATAGCAAAGAAGTGAACTAGGTAACCCACACTACAGAACACTTGCAGGCTCAAAGGTAACAGGTACAGTGGAAGGCAGGGAGCAAGGCTCAGGGCTGAACACAGAGGCTTGGCTGAAAGCTTGAATACCAAGTGGCTTCCCGGATCACCTTCATAACCCTGCATAGTCATATGACTATTCCTTCCTAACTAGAAGTTTATTCTCTGCAAAACTGAACCAAAGAAGCTCTGGACTGAGGGACACCAGGCATGGTAAAAGGTGAGTGGAGTGAGATGCTTGATTGAAAAAAAGAGGGGTCAGTGAAAGTCTGCACACCAGCCAGGAAGATCCCAACCCCTTGCTTCTCCACTCCTGCTCTCAGAATGCCAGCAGTCAGAATTACCTCTCTGGAGAGACTGATCCACAAATAATGGCATTTAGGGATTTCCCCCAAGAAAGATAGCTCATCCTCTAATCACCTAAGTCAAGTACCAGCTAACAAGTCCCTTCTTTGTACACAGTTTTTAATTATATTTGATACCTCCTTTGTAGGTTTTTGAGCCTTGGAGTTTAATATTTTGTGTGCACCCACTTTAAGAAAAAGAAGAGTCCACAAAAGTGAAACTTGAGTTTTATTAGCTTTATAATGAATCGGCCTCTGCTCCCTTGCAAATATGGACAATCAAATTTTCATTAGACCATTAAGACACTCAGAGAAAAATGGAAACAATGCAAGAAACAGATGAAAATGCTGAAAGTTAATTATATCATAAATATCTTAAAATTCATGAGAATTACTGCATTATAAAATAAGAGCAGAATGCTGTTTTTAAAAAATAATTGGAGGGAGGAAGAAAGAGAGCTTAGAAATTAAAAATATGAGACCTGTAATAAAATTTAATGAAGAGCTAGATTAAAAAGTAAAGAAGTTTTCAGCCAGGCATGGTGGCTCATATCTGTAATCCTAGCACTTTGGGAGGCTGAGGTGGGTGGATTGCCTGACCTCAGGAGTTCAAGACCAGCCTGGGCAACATGGTGAAATCCTGACTCTACTAAAAATACAAACAAATTAGCCGGACGTGGTGGTGCATGCCTGCAGTCTCAGCTACTCAGGAGGCTAAGGCATGAGAATTGCTTGAATCTGGGAGGCAGAGGCTGCAGTGAGCCAAGATCACACAACTGCACTCCAGCCTGGTGGAGATTCTGTCTCCATGAAAAACAAACAAACAGACAAAACAAAAAAGGTATAGAAGTTTTCAAATAAACAGAACAAAAATACAAAGAGAAAGAAGCTAGGAGAGAAAAGGTAAGATAATTTAAGGCTCGATCCAACTATCCAGTAGCTTCCTAAGAAAGGGTGTGTTGGAGGAACTTTTGAAAGTATATTCTTGTCAATCTGGAAATGTCTTTTTTTCTTCATTAGACTTGCTTGATAGTTTGGCTGGATATAGAATTTTAGGTTGGAAATCACTTCCCTTCAACACATTTTTCCAAATGTCTTCTAGCATCCAGGATTTCTATGTAGAAGACAGATGACATTTTAATTTCTGATCTTTTTTATGTCAACCCCCTGGAAACACTTAAGATCTCTTTATTCCTGACATTCTGAAATTCCACACTTACATGCATTAGTGACAGTCTTTTGTCATTCGTTATGTCAGGCATTCAGGGGCCCTTTCAATCTAGAAACTCTGAGAATTTTTTCCTGCATTACTCCTTTAATATTTTTCTCTCCTCTCTTTTCTCTGTTCTATTCTGTCATTGTGTTTGGAAAAAATTTTGGTAAGTGTACAACAAAGTATGGAAAAAAATAGTGACAGGCATGTAGAAAAGTAAACACGTAGAGAAAAACAATTAATTCTGGTAAAAATAAGAGAAAACAACAAGCAAAGGAAATAATGAAATACAACTTGGCTCAGCAGCAAACATTTACGTACTCATGTAATCACAGTATGTCATATCATAATATATACACTAGCAATTGAATTTAACAAGAAATCTGTAATATAATTATATTGACATGATGGATGGAGGGCCAGTGAGACAGAGTTATAGGATAGCCAAATCCTCAGCTTCCAAAACAGAAGTCAATAACGTCTAAAATTCATGAATGAAGAGGAGCAGTAGAAGCAAATTATTTAAAAATCACATAAGAAGAAATAGTTAACCAGATTGAAATTGACTGCCAATGAGGAATAAGAGTAGGGATGGGGCGGGGTAGGTCAAGGAACTACTGTTGTTTCTTTATATGCCTGTAAGTAATCATTTAAGTATATGCATACATTTGTTTAATAAAAGTAAATTTTAATGTTTAAAAACTGTAAACAAGAAGTTAGGAATTCAGAATACCATGTATAAACTGACTCTTGAAGGAATTTTAGCTGGGAAGGAGGTAGTTCTAATAAGAGAAGCCAGACTGCCTGGGTTCAAATCCTAGACACCACCAGTCCTGAGCTGGGCAACCCTGGGCATGTTGCTTAACCACACTGAGTTTTAGATCCCCCTCTTTGATTGGCGGTAATAACTTCACAGGTTGTGAAAATTAACTGTGTTAATTTATGAAAAGCTAAGGGCTTAGTAAACATTGGCTGTTTATGAAGGGAAGCAGAGAAATGAACAGTAGCTAAAAGAAGAGATGGGGTTGAGGGAAAGCTCTGTTTTTGTTTTCATCTGGAACATGCTAGACGGGATATACTACAGTCAATGTGCATGCCGGTGGGGTGGGATTAATACTTTAGAGATGGAGGGATGATGTTGGAGAAAAGGCCAGAGAACTGGAAAGATAAAGTTCTTGTTCAGGGGACAGGGAGACAGATCCACAGCTCACAGGGATTGATGGTTCTGTTGGGGCAGGAAAAGGGATGTAGGATGAAGATGGAGACACCCAGACCTTGAGAGATGTGTCATTCTCCTGTCCTCGGGTGAACAGGGGCCCTCAGCACTCCCTGGCTTGTGTTCAGAGCCCACAGGGCAGCCAGCCTTCCTCAGCAGTCACTGGGTGTCATTATTTTGTCACCAAAAAGCAGGAGAACACCAATACTCCAACTGCCATTGTGTCACAGGGCTTAGAGCCATGCACCAGCGTGTGTGGCTTTCTCAGTAACTTAGGAAAAGATTTCCGTCTGTGCGTCTAAAAATATAATCAATTTTCATGAATTCTCAATAAAGTAAATTTCCTGCTGATAAGCAAGACCAAAATTGCATTGAATCACCAAATATGTCATTTCTGGAAAATGTGTTGGTATAGATGGAACTCATTTTTGACCCCCTGAGACATGGAAGCTATGATGTCATCTCTACTTACCCTACAAAAAAACAGTCAAAGGTGTTCCCAGCCACAGAGCCCTAAGGGCAGAGCCAGGTGAAGCATGAGAGAATCTAGATTCTCACAGGGGAATCTGCATAGCAGAGTTCCCATCCCAGGACACATGTGCTCTTCCAGGAAGCAGGATGAATAGTGTGCTGGACTTTTCATCTCTAACAAAGGAGAGAATAAAATGGCCCTCACTTCATCCTCTCATGGTTTCCTACTTACCTACAGAAGACACCAGCATCCCATCCACAAGGAACTCCAAGGCAGACTCCTATTACTCCCGTATCTCTGACATCTGTCAGTCACTCATCCCTATCATTCATTTATTTGTTCAACCAATATTTATTTTCATCACCTGTGATAAGCCAGGCACTGGGGTGGGTGCTGGTGAGACAATGTGAGCCAAAAGCCACAGCCCCTACCCTGGAAGGGGCTTATTGCTGACTGAAGTGCCCATGCCACCACCTTGCAGATCCTGCCTCCATCCGCACTGCCACAGCCCTGTGTCAAGCCACCTCACTCCTCTCTGCGCTCCCCTAACAGCCTCCTCCTGTCCACCTTCTTCCTGAAGGGCCATCTCCATTCTTCACTCTGCAGCCAGTGTGAGGCTTCTAAAAGTCGACATCTGAATTGTGTCACTACCTTAATAAAAACCTCTTAATTGCTTCTGGGATGAACTCCAAACTCTTTAGTATGCCCTGTAATGCCCTTCCAGACTGGGTGTTCTCTGCCCACGTTGATCTCCTCCCTCAACCCTCCCTTTGCCCTTGATGCTCTACTCTTGCTGAAGTTCTTTTAGTTCCTGAAATGTTCCTGCAGGTCTTCAATCCTGTAACAACACTCTCCCCTACCTCTTTGCCTGGCTAATTCCTCTTCATCCTTTGGGCCAGGCAGGGAAGCCTTTCCTGACCCCCTATCCCACACTAAGCTGGATGTCTTCCTGTATGCCCACAGCAACCTGCATTTCCCACAAGGTGCACCTTTTTATACTTGATGGTTTTTATTTGCAAAGTCGCCTGTCTCCATGCCTAGACTTCAAGTTCCTTGAAGGAGAAGAACACACGCATGCTGCCGACCACTGCAACTCCAGGGCCTACCACATGACCCAGGAAAAAAAGAAAAACAAAAGTGTTTACCTTTTGATCTGTCCACAAAGTCTCTCTTAGTAAGGGAAATAAACTGATTTGATAGTGCCTTGTTAACTTCTTTCATTGAAGCCGGGATTTTCCAAGGGAGGCAGTTCTTTAGTGTCCCCGTTTGTTGACAGTGAGGTAGTGTCCACAGGAAAATGTCCTATCAAAGCAAACATAATTTTCAAGAAAATCCATATGGGTTCACCCAATAGGATCAATAATCTGAGTGTCTGTGTGCACATATTCTTCAGAATCCTTTACAACCAGCTGCCACTGCAGGTGCATGGATGCTGGGAGCCCGTCAACAGGAGACATTGGTTGACCCAGTCGAAACGCGGGCTCTGTACATTTCTTTGACTTTTCACATTGAAAATGAGAAAATGAGATTGAAAACTTCAAAGAGTTGTGCTTCCAACCAGAAGTCTCCTACAGATAAGACTAAGGGAAGAAATAACCCATGTTAATTCTAGTTCTGGCCATTCCCAAGGAGCACAGGCAGTAGCTGCTTTCCCCTTGGGAGCCCCTGAGGAAAACTCTGCCTTACATGCAGAGGCCTCAGCAACTTGCTGAAGGACAGGAATGGCCAGCACTCTCTTGTCACCTCCAAATGTCCAACAATGATAGACTGGATTAAGAAAATGTGGCACATATACACCATGGAATACTATGCAGCCATAAAAAATGATGAGTTCATGTCCTTTGTAGGGACATGGATGAAGCTGGAAACCATCATTCTCAGCAAACTATTGCAAGGACAAAAAACCAAACACCGCATGTTCTCACTCATAGGTGGGAATTGAACAATGAGAACACATGGACACAGGAAGGGGAACATCACACACCGGGGCCTGTTGTGGGGTGGGGGGAGGGGGGAGGGATAGCATTAGGATATATACCTAATGCTAAATGACTAGTTAATGGGTGCAGCACACCAACATGGCACATGTATACATATGTAACAAACTTGCACGTTGTGCACATGTACCCTAAAACTTAAAGTATAATAATAATAAAATTAAAAAAGAGAGATTTTAGGATGATAAAACTTGAAATCTTCACCCCCTCTTGCCATCGTCCCTCTTTCCCATGATCTTGCTTCCTATTTCCCTGAGAAAATTGAAGCCACCAGAAAATAACCTCCACAGCCCACCAACCGTGTCCCAGCCACCGCACCTGCACTCACACATGCTGTGACGGGAGGGGAGCCGCGCAGGTGCCCTCAGCAAGGCCCAGCCCCGCCTGCAGCACTAGATCCCTCTCTACTGAGTCTACTCCAGCAAATCGCTCCAACAGTCCTTACTTCTCTCTTGCAACTTGAATCTCTTCCTCTCTGCTGGATCATTGCCATCTGTATCAAAGAATGCGTTTATTTCTCCTATCTTAAAAAGAAAGCACTCTCTTCACTGTACTTCCCCTTCTAGTTACTAAGCTATTCCTCAGTTTCCCTTTGCACCAAAATTCTTCAAAATAGTTAGGTATACTCGCTGTCCCAAACTTGCCTTTTAAACCTCTTTTAATTTTCAAGTTCTCTCTTGATTCCCTTCTTTCCCTCACAATCTATCAACTGGAAAAACCAATACATAAAATTATGATTTATCTATTGAAGAAGCCATTTGCTGTGCAGAGGTCCCAAAGTCTGGATTTTGTTGATTGCGTATGCATTTGTTGTTTAACAAGTTCCTCTGTCCCCTGTATTTCCTGCAAATTGGCAGGTGTATCCAGAGACTCAAATTCACTAAACTAGAAGTCAAGCTTGTCCAACCTGTGGCCCCACCCAGGATGGCTTTGAATGTGGCCCAACACAAATTCATAAACTTATTTAAAACATTATGAGATATTTTTGCGATTTCATTTTTTAAAGCTCATCAGCTATCATTAGTGTTAGTGTATTTTATGTGTGGCCCAAAGCAATTCTTCTTCCACTGTGGCCCAGGGAAGCCAAAAGATTAGACACCCCTGAATAAATGGTGTTTCACAAGGCTGTAGGAGGCAGATAATACATCGTTGTTTTTCTTGTGTAACGTTAGCAGTTGTTGATATTCAATACCTAGAATAATAGGAGCTGCCATCTGGCATGTGAACACTCATTGGCTGAGAACACGCAGGACAGTCAGCCACACTAGCTCTCATTGGTTGAGAGCCTTCAATAGTACTTAGAGGAAGGGAAAATTATATGGTCGTGTGTTTGTGAATGTATAAATACAGTATAATATTGTATACATACAGTATAATATTGTAATCAACTCTTCTACATTAATTTTAAAATATAAAGGATGACCAAGCATAGTGTCTCACGGCTGTAATCCCAGGGCTTTGGAAGGCCAGGGTGAAAGGATTGCTTGAACCCAGGAGTTTGAGACCAGCCTGGGAAACAGAGTGAGATTCTATCTCTACAAAAAATAAAAAATTAGCTGGGCATGGTGGCATGCACCTGTACTTTAAGCTACTCTGGAGGGTGAGGTGGGAGCATCACTTGAGTTCAAGAGTTCGAGGCTGTAGTGACCTCTGATTGATTGTGCCACTGCACTTCACCCTGGGCCACAAAGCAAGATCTTGTCTGTAATATATCTAATTATACATAATAATACATATGTTAGAGACATATTTTTATATTATATATAAATTATATATTAAATATATAATTTAGATATATATATTTTTAGAGACAGGAGTTTTATGTGTATATCTCCAAGAGATATATACATACATATATGTGTGTGTGTGTGTGTGTGTGTGTGTGTGTGTGTGTGTGTGTATAGGTCTATAAATATATATATTTTTTTTCAGGGTTGAATACATTACAATGAATGGATATCACAAGGAACCAAATTTAATCAGCTATATGTATACATTCTAATGACTTCCAAGTCCATATGTCCAGCTCATCTCTCCCCCAAGAGCTCCAGACCTGTCTATTAAACTGCCTGTTGGACACATCTTCAACCAACATGTCTTCAACTGAAACTACATGTTCCCCCAATGCCCTTCTCCACCCAACCTGGTCCTCCACCATGTTCCAGCTGAGTAAACAGAATCTGCATACACCAGCTGTCCAAGTCAGAAGTTGAACATTATACTTTCCTCTTCCTTATCCTTTGCATCCTTTTAGTCATCAAATCCTGTTCATTCTACCACTTTATCATCTATTGAATGCATCAAGGTGGCTCCATCCCAGGTTGTCCCATCCCATGTGGCAGTCAAGCAAATGAAACCCTTTACTACAACAAAGCATTACCTTTTGTGATGGGAGAAGGGAATAGAAAGACAAGAAAACACACACGGAGAATCAGCTATTTCCACCCAGGGGAGAAGGAACTTAGAGATGGCTTTCTTTAATGTGAGTCTTGAAGAAATATAGGAGTTCCCTTCATGCACAGGATAAGGGCATTCTAGGTAGAGGCAACAGAATGATTTAAAAAATGGAGGTTTGAGAGCGTATGAAACACAAGGCTAAGCACAAGTACTTGTACATGGCTGTTCATAGCTGCACAATTCACAATAGCCAAAAGGTGGAAACAATCCAAAGATGCATTAATGGATGCACACACAGACAAACTGTGGTTTATCCGCGGAAGAGAATATTATTCAACTGTGACAAAGACTGGAAGTACTGATATTTGCTACACGGATGCTACATGGGTAGTCTTCATAATAGTGCTTTTCCTGTCTTCTTTCTAGTCAGATAATTTCTTAGATGATGAACCTTGAAAACATTATGCTAAGTGAAAAGAAGCCAGACACAAAAGGTCACCTATTATTGATTCCACATGTAAAATATCCACAAAAGGTAATCCACGGACATAGAAAGCAGACGGTGGGGAGTGGAGTCGGGGGTAATTGCTTAATGGGTATGAGGTCTCCTTCTAGGATGATGAAAATGGTTTGGAACAAAAATAAAGGTGATGGCTGTCCAACAGCATGTATGTACTAAATGCCAGTGAATTGTTCACTTTAAAAGGTTAATTTTATATTACGTAAATTTCACTTCAATTTTTAAAAAGTCCTTTTTTAAAAAAAACTCCAGGGGATAGAACACAAGAGGTTAGAAATAAATGTGAGAAGGTAGACAGGAAATAGTCTAAAAAGAACCATGTATCCTGTGACTGTAGAAGCTGAGAGATCTTTGTGACATATTTAAACTCTCATTCTTATGAGTTGTTGATACAGTACAGTATTAAATTCAACACATATGTAGATATTATCTTACTTCATTGAGATGAGATTTGTGGCTCTTGATTCCTCTTGAAGTCTCAGTTTTGATCAAATCTTCTTTAGAGTGTGATTTCCAAGTGTACTCATCACTATATTGTGTCTGATTGAGAATAGGATCACTAAGTGAATATGTATATCCTAATCTTCTGATACCGTTTTGGCTATAAAAAAACCCAGCAGAAATTAGAGTTAGAGGTTAAATACCAAATCTCACAAAAGTACACATGTCAAATCATTTTACTCATTACATTTTTTAAAAAGATTGATTGGCATAAGAGTTGGTGCCAGAAATAATTTAATTTCAGGTTTTCCTTGAAGGAAAACAACCCTGTATTTTAGGATGGCTTTTAACAAAAGTACAGATGCCTAAAATAAAATTTAAAAACATAACAATATGAAATTTATTTCATTAATTTTTTTAAAGAGCTGAACACTCTCCAATACAAATGGCACTTCAGTGTAACCAAATAGCTGGTGAAGAAAAGCTTCTCTCTATAGAAATCTCCCATTTGATAAAGGGAAGAAATACAAGAATTGAAATATCACTAGTTTCAAGCCCATAATGAAATAATGAATCTAGGCAATGGCCAGCAATGTCCACTCACAGCTCCAAAAGAGGACCACCAGACACTATGAACTTCTGAGTGAATACATGCATCATCACTTATTAAATATCTTTGCCAAAATGCAAAACTTGAATCAGATGAAGTCTTCAGAATGTTGGATTACAGGAAATACATGAAAAGAGAAATCATTTAAATGGCATCATGGAGACCAAAAAAAAAAAAAAAAAAAAAAAAAAAAAAAAAAAAAAAAAAATCCCAGAATAATGATTCTGTTTCTTCAACAAAGAATTTGTCAGAAAAAAAAAAAAAGTTCTCTTTCTCTCTTTTTTTTTAAAGATTAAATGAGGTAAGAGACAATAACCAAATGAAATGTGTGGACCTTTTTTAGATTCAATTTCAAACCACTGCCTTTTAAAAAAAAGTTATGAGACAATTGGAGAGATTTGATTGCTGATTGGCTATTTGATATTAAGGAATTGGTTTTCTTAAAGGTGAGATAATATAATTGTTACATATTTTTAAAACATCCTTATCTTTTAGAGATACATACAAAATCTTTAGAATTGAAATGATACAATGCCTGGGATTTGCTTCCACATACTCTAGTGGGAAGGATTAGTGGAGGGTACAGATAACAGTATCTAACGAGTGATGATTGCTGTTGCTGGGTCATAGTGGGGGATTTGTTGTGTGTTCCTTTGTGTATGTTTAAAATATTTCATTTTGACTTTTTTTTAAAAAAGGGCTGAATAGATTCAGATTATCTCTGTAAGAAGCAAATATCTAGGAAGTTAGAAAAAAACATCCATCTGGATGATCATTCTATTGCCATTCAGATATAAACTGGAGAGTTTCCAAAGGGACGGGACACAGCACAAATAGCTTTTTTTTTTTTTTTTGAGACAGAGTCTTGCTCTGTTGCCTAGGCTGGAGTGCAGTGGTACCATCATAGCTCACTGCAGCCTCTAATTGCTGGGCTCAATCTATCCTCCCACCTCAGCCTCCCAAGTAGTTAGGACTTACAGGCATGTACCACCATGCCCAGCTGATTTATTTTTTATTTTTATTTTTTGAGATGAGGTCTCACTATGTTGCCCAGGCTGGTCTTGAACCTCTAGCCTCAAGCGATCCTCCTACCTCAAACTCCCAAGTAGCTGGGACCACAGGCGCATGCTACAGGCTGGGATTACAGCCGTGGACCACCACACTTAGTCACAAAAATCTTTAAAAGAATCAATTTTCAGATCTCAATTTCTCAATATACTCTTTCCTAGAACATATCCACCTGAGAACAAACCTGCAAATGTATGTGGGTTCTTTCTTCCTTTACCCCTTGCCTGATTCTCCCTTCCCCATTTCACCACAGGCTTTTTCTATGGTGCATTGTCTCGAGGAATAAGCCTCCAACCCTGAGGGGGTCCCCCAGTGAAGGGAAACATGGTAGGAGTGATTTCACAGACACCTCCTTGTAATCCAAGTTCCACTTGGAACCACTTGTCTGGGCTTGTGGTTCTCAATGTCATGTGTATTTCTATAGAGTGAAGGGTTGTGCTATACCCAGGGTACTAGGTATGTGTGGGGAGGCTCTGAATTTAGCTAAGTCATAGAGCATGGCTGAGAGTAATGTCTGGTTTTCTATCTCCTAACAATTACAAAATGTTCACCTCTTTTTAGGGAGAGGCCTCTGAGAGAAGAGAGGATGTAGAATGCTTAAAGTGACTCCTTTCCTGCCACATTTAAAGATAGGCATTTATCATCTTATCTCTGGGACATACCATTAGCTGGAAAGAAAAGCAGCTCTGAGGTGGTGAAGCAGCACAGATTGGTCATGCTGACTACTTTAAATATAACCAGAATCTTGCCTTTTTTTTTTATTTGACAGAGTCTTACTCTGTCACCCAGGGTGGAGCAACCTCCACTTCCTGGGTTCAAGCAATTCTCCTGTCTCAGCCTCCCGAGTAGCTGGGACAACAGGCACATGCCACCACACTGGTCTAATTTTTGTATTTTTAGTAAAGACAGGGTTTCACCATATTGGTCAGGCTGGTCTTGAACTCCTGACCTCAGGTGACCTACCCGCCTTGGCCTCCCAAAGTGTTGGGATTACAGGCATGAGCCACCATGCCCAGAATCTTTTCCGAGACAGCAAATTTTTAAAGATTCACTGGATAAAACTGAGAAATAGGAATCTTGTATTTTTTTCAGATTTTGTATTAATCATTCAATAAAGTATTTAAATTTTATTCTGAATCCAATCATTTTACAAAATATTTACTCCAATGCAGCCAATTTTCATTTTATGTTGTAAAATATTTAACAATAAATGAAAGTATAGGCTGACCTGCCAGACCAATATTAATTTTCACTATATGTAACTTTCTTTCACTGAATACTAGTAAATACTTGATTTGATGTCTGATGAAATTAATAAAATTGTTTCTGTTTTTATACGTGATTGGTATTTAATCATTCCCAAAAGGAAAGCAGCAGAATTCTATATACATGAGAATATATTTAGGAAACATTATGCTTTTTATTATACTCTTCACTTCACAAACAACTTATACATTTAGCTACACATTTTATTGCATTATTTTTGGATATAATGCAATAAAATGTGTAGCTAAATGTATAAGTTACTTGGATATAATTAATCATATCAGACCCAAATCTTTTAACACTTCCTTGTCTACTTTTAATAGTCTTCTCTATAATATGCATTCCATAATTTATTTTTCAGTGGTTTTTATAATATTCTCAAAATATATATTAACATTTATTTGGATTGAAAGTATAGCTAGATTTTATTTTGACATGAAATAAACCTGATTTTACTTATTGATTTGAACAACAAGGACTGATTTTACCAACTAGGTAAAGATGGTATAAACCGGATAAGCTAAATGTTCAGCTCCAAGATTTTGATAAAAATATATTCAAAATATGATAAAAGCCTTTTATCAAAAAAGTCTGTATTTTGGCTTAGGATTGACCTGGCAATGTGGGCTCTTTTTTGGTTCCATATGAACTTTAAAGTAGTTTTTTCCAATTCTGTGAAGAAAGTCAAAGCTTGAGGCATCACACCACCTGACTTCAAACCATACTACAAGGCTACAGTAACCAAAACACCATGGTACTGGTACCAAAACAGAGATATAGACCAATGGAACAGAACAGAGCCGTCAGAAATAATGCCGCATATCTACAGCTATCTGATCTTTGACAAACCTGACAAAAACAAGCAATGGGGAAAGGATTCCCTATTTAATAAATGGTGCTGGGAAAACTGGCTAGCCATATGTAGAAAGCTGAAACTGGATCCCTTCCTTACACCTTATACAAAAATTAATTCAAGATGGATTAAAGACTTACATATTAGACCTAAAACCATAAAAACTCTAGAAGAAAACCTAGGCAATACCATTCAGGACATAGACATGGCCAAGGACTTCATGTCTAAAACACCAAAAGCAATGGCAACAAAAGCCAAAATTGACAAATGGGATCTAATTAAACTAAAGAGCTTCTGCACAGCAAAAGAAACCACCATCAGAGTGAACAGGCAACCTACAGAATGGGAGAAAATTTTAGCAACCTACTCATCTGACAAAGGGCTAATATCCAGAATCTACAATGAACTCAAACAAATTTACAAGAAAAAAACAAACAACCCCATCAACAAGTGGGCAAAGGATATGAACAGACTCTTCTCAAAAGAAGAGATTTATGCGACCAAAAAACACATGAAAAAATGCTCACCATCACTGGCCATCAGAGAAATGCAAATCAAAACCACAATGAGATACCATCTCACACCAGTTAGAATGGCAATCATTAAAAAGTCAGGAAACAACAGGTGCTGGAGAGGATGTGGACAAATAGGAACAATTTTACACTGTTGGTGGGACTATAAACTAGTTCAACCATTGTGGAAGTTGGTGTGGCGATTCCTCAGGGATCTAGAACTAGAAATACCATTTGATCCAGCCATCCCATTACTAGGTATGTACCCAAAGGATTGTAAATCATGCTGCTATAAAGACACATGCACACGTATGTTTATTGCGGCACTATTCACAATAGCAAAGACTAGGAACCAACCCAAATGTCCCACAATGATAGACTGGATTAAGAAAATGTGACACATATACACCATGGAATACTATACAGCCATAAAAAATGATGAGTTCATGTCATTTGTAGGGACAGGGATGAAGCTGGAAACCATCATTCTCAGCAAACTATCACAGGGACAAAAAACCAAACACCGCATGTTCTCACTCATGGGTGTGAATTGAACAATGAGAACACATGGACACAGGAAGAGGAACATCACACACCAGGGACAGTTGTGGGGTGGGGGGAGAGGGGAGGGATAGCATTACGAGATATACCTAATGCTAAATGACGAGTTAATGGGTGCAGCACACCAACACGGCACATGTATACATATGTAGCAAACCTGTACATTGTGCACATGTACCCTAAAACTTAAAGTATAATAATAAAAAAAGTTTGTATTATAGAAATTTATTAAAATTAGTGTTTCGATTTTCCAAATCCTTTTTGAACATAGAAAATTAAACAAGTTGCTTCCAAGTGAAAGAGTAACAGGTGCAATTTAATAGTCATTTGTTAAGACATGCCTTTTCAATATATTCTCAGAAACTGAGACAGGGAATAACTCAAAGAATGGAGGACAAATCATCTTATTAATAGCTTTCAATAAAATTTAAGGAGTACCGAACCAAGTTGTCAGCTGATCAGTCATTAAAAATCACATTGTGATTTCTGGGACATAATTCAGAAACAGTTCAGAGTACTGAGTGACACTGCTATACTAAAACTCCTTTCATTTGCACTTACTTATTTCTATATATATATGAACAAAGTTTCTTAACATTAAAATCTATAAATTGAAAAAAGAGAGAAGCAGAAAAAATTGATGCTGAGTGCAGTTTCATTCTGAAAATAACAATGCTCAAAACTAGATATAGGAACTAATTGAAAACTAAACAGCCACATTTATCTCATTAAGATGCAGTTGCAAAAAAATTTTCTTTTTGTATTTCATAATTATGAACATTTATAATGTATTTATTGCTTTGAGCGATTGTGTACTAAAATAATTGTGATAACTCAGTACTTAGGGTCATATAACATGTTTAAAAATTAATTTCAATTAATATACTAAAATAGTTGCAAAGAAGTATAATAGCATGATCAATAAATTGCTTCCAAACATAAAATATATCACAGCAGGGAAAAAGTCTATGGAGGAAGTGGAGTGGGAATGAGAGTTCAAGAAGAGAAAGAAATGAAATAAATGATCAAATAGAACTTATTTGTGTGTTTATTTAAAAGATCATGGCAGGTATTAATTTGCTAAAGCATTCAGAGTATTCATTGGTTTTATTGAAAAGTTTTATTTTAAAATGTCAATATGCAGGATGGGGAGGAAGTTTAATCTTTTGCAGCTATTTAAATTTATGTTGACATTTGACAAAGCCATCATACAAAGACTCTCTATAACCAAGGAACTTATGCAGACTTCACCCCTGAAAGCACCAAGAGCCAAATTAGGCTGTAATAAACTGTAAACATTAAGGTCACATCCTTAAGGGGGAAAAAAGAAATTTTAAAAAATCAAATAAAAAATAAATTCAAGAATAATTAGAATAAATAGTCTACCCTAATGAGAAGGAACCAGAAAAATAATTCTGGCAATATGACAAAACAAGGTTCTATAACATCCCCAAAAGATCACACTAGCTCTCCAGCAATGGATCTAAACTAAAATGAAATCTTTGAAGTATCAGATAAAGAATTCAAAAGGTTGATTATTAAGCTACTCAGAGAGATACCGGAAGAAGGTGAAAACCAACATAAAGAAATTAAGAAACAACTCAGGATATGAATAAAAAGTTTTCTAAAGAAATAGATTTTAAAAAAAATCAGAACTTCTAGAAATGAAAGACACATTTAGGGAATGACGAAATGCAGTGGAAAGTTTTAACAGACTAGAACAAGTAGAAGAATAATTTTAGAGCTAGAAGACAAGGCTTTTGAATTAACCCAGACAAAAATAAAGAAAAAAGAATAAAAAGAAATGAGTAAAGTCTCCAAGAAATATGGGATTATGTAGAATGGCCAAATCTAAGAATAATTGGTGTTCTGAGGGAGAAGAGTAAGTAAAAAGTTTGGAAAAATTATTTGAGGGAATAATTGAGGAAAACTTTCCTGAGCTTGCTAGAAATTTAGATATCCAAATACAAGAAGCTCAAAGAACTCCTGGGAGATTCATCACAAAAAGGACTTTACCAACGCCTATAGTCATCAGACTGTCTAAAGTCAATGTGAAGGAAATAATTTTGAGACAAATGAGACAAAAGCATCAGGTAACCTATTAAAAAGCAAAACAAAACAAAAAAACCTATCAGACTAACAGCAGACTTTTCAGCAGAAACCTTACAAACCAGAAGGGATTGGGGTCCTATCTTTAGCCGCCTTAAAGGGAATAACTCTCAACCTAGAATTTTTTATCCAGAAAAACTAAGATTTATAAACAAAGAGGAAATAAAGTCATTTTCAGACAAACAAATGCTGAGGGAATTTGTCACTACCAGACCAGCCCTACAAGAAATGCTAAAAGGAGTTCTAAGTCCTGAAACAAAAGGTCAATATACACCAGAATAGAACCTCTTGAAAGGACCTATAAAACAATAACACAATGAAAAAAAACAAAGTATCTAGGTAGCAATTAACATGATGATTAGAACAGTACCTCACATCTCACTATGAACATTGAACATAAATGGCCTAAATACTCCACTTAATAGATTGGCAGAATGGATTAAAAAAAAATCCACAAACCACAGAATATCTGCTGTCTTCAAGAGACTGATCTAAAACATAAGGATTCATATAAACCCAAGGAAAAAGGGTGGAAAAAGATATTGCATGCAAATGGAAACCTAAAGCGAGCTGGAGTAGCTATTCTTATATCAGATAAAACAGACTTTAAAGCAACAACAGTAAAAAAAAAGACAAAGAAAGTCATTATATAATGATAAAAGGATTAATCCAACAAGAAGATATTACAATCCTAAATTTGTATGCATCTAACACTGGAGCTCCCAGATTCATAAAATATTTACTACTAGACCCAAGAAATGAGATAGACAGCAACACAATAATAGTTGGGGACTCCAACACTCCATTGACAGCACTAGACAGATCATTGAGACAGAAAGTCAACAAAGAAAGAATGGACTTAAACTACACTCTAGAACAAATGGACCTAACAAATATTTACAAAAAGTTCTACCCAAGAATTGCAGAATATACATTTTTCTCATCAGCACATGGGACATTCTTCAATATAGACCATACAATAGGCCACAAAACAAGTCTCAATAAATTTTAAACAATAAAAGTCATGTCAGGTATCTTCTCAGATCACAGTGGAATGAAACTAAAAATCAATTCCAAAAGGAACTCTCAAAACTATACAAATACATAGAAATTAAACAATCTGCTCCTGCATGATTTTTGGGTTAACAGTGAAATCAAGATGGAAATTAAAAAGCCCTTTAAAATAAATGATAATAGTAACACAAGTTATCAAAACTTCTGGGATACAGTAAAAGCAGTGCTAAGAGGAAAGTTTATAGCACTAAATGCCTACAGCAAAAAGTCTGAAAGATCACAAATTGACAACCTAATTTCATACTTCAAGGAACTAGAGAAACAAAAACAAACTAAACCCAAAGCTAGTACAAGAAAAGAAATAAGATCGGAGAAGAACAAAATGAAATTAAACAGCAAAAAAAAATCAATGAAACAAAAAGCTTGTTCTTTGAAAAGGTAAAATTGATAGACCATAAACTAGATTAACCAAGAAAAGAAGAGAGAATATTCAAATAAACTCAATTTGAAATGGAACTAGAGACATTTCAACTGACACCACAGAATTATGAAAGATCATTCAAGACAACTATGAGCACCTCAATGCACTCAAACTAGAAAATCTAGAGGAAATGAATAAATTCTTGGAAACACACAAGCCTCCTAGATTAAATCAGGAAGAAATAGAAACCCTGAGCAGACCAATAACACGCAGTAAGATTGAGTCAGTAATAAAAAAAACTGTCGACTTCAAAAAAAGCCAGGGCCAGATGGATTCACAGCTGAATTCTATCAGATGTTCAAAGAAGAATTGGTGCCAATCCTACTGAAACTATTCCAAAAGATTGAGAAAGAGGGAATCCTCTCCGACTCATTTTATGAAGCCAGTAACACTCTGATACCCAAAACCAGGAATACTGGTCTGTAGAAAACTACAGACCAATATCCCTGATGAACATTGATACAAAAATCCTCAACAAAATACTAACTGAATTCAATAGCACATCGAAAAGATAATATGCAATAATCAAGTGGGTTTCATCCCAGGGATGCAGGCATGCTTTAACATATGCATGTCAAATATGATATATCACATAAACGGAATCAAAAAACAAAAATCATATGATCATTTCAATAGATGCAGTAAAAGCATTCAATAAAATCCAGCATCCCATTATGATAAAAACCTTCAACAAACTAGACGTCTAAGGAATATACCTTAAAAAAAATTAGAGCCATCTATGACAAAACCACAGTTTTCATTACACCAAATGGGGAAAAGTTGAAAGCATTTCCTCTGAGGCCTGGAACAAGAAAAGGATGCCCACTTTCACCACTTCTATTCAACATAGTACTGGAAGTCCTAGCCAGACCAATCAAGCAAGAGAAAGAAATAAAGTGTATCCACATTTGAAAAGAGAAAGTCAAAATATTGCTGTTTGCTGATGATATGATCATATACCTAGAGTTTGGATAAATGAATTCTGTAAAGTCTCAAGTTACAAAATCAATGTACACAAATCAGTAGCACTGCTATATACAACAATGACCAAGCTGAGAATCAAATCAATAACTCAATCCGTTGTACAACAGCTGCAAAAAATAAAATACCCAGGAATATACTTAACCAAGGAGGAGGTGAAATATCTCTACAAGGAGAGCTACAAAACACTACTGAAAGAAATCATAGGTAACACTAACAAATGGAAACATCCCATGGATGTGTTTCATGGATCAGAAGAATCAATATCATGAAAATGACTACACTGCTCAAAGCAATCTACAGAGTCAATGCAATTCTTATCAAAATACCAACATCATTTTTCACAGAATTAGAAAAAACAATTCTAAAATTCATACAGAACCAAAAGAGAGCCCAAATAGCCAAAACAATCCTAAGTAAAAAGAATAAATCTGAAGGCATCACATTACTAGACTTTAAATTATACTACAAGGCTATAGTTACCAAAAGAGCATGGTACTGGTTTAAAAAATAAAGTAGGCACATTGACCAATGGAACAGAATAGAGAACCCAGAAATAAAGCCAAATACTGACAATGAAGTGATCTTTGACAAAGCATACAAAAACATAAATTTGGGAAAGGACACCATATTTAATAAATGGTGCCGGGAAAATTGGCTAGCATCTCTCACCTTATAAAAATCAACTCAAGACAGATAAAAGACTTAAATATAAGACTGGAAACCATAAAAATTCTAGGAGATAACTTAGGAAAAACTCTTCTGGACATTGGCCTAGGCAAATAATTCATGATTAAGACCCCAAAAGCAAATGCAACAAAAATAAATAAATAAATGGGACCTAATTTAACTAAAATGCTTTTATACAGCAAAAAGAATAATTAGAATAATCAGACAACCCACAGAATAGGAGAAAAATATTTGCAAACTGTGAAGCTAACAAAGGACTAACATCCCAAATCTACAAGGAACTCAAAGAAATCACCAAGAAAAAAATCCTATCAAAATGTTGGTAAATGACATGAACAGCCATGTCTCAAAAGAAGGTATACAAATGGCCAAAAACATATGAAAAACAATGCTCAACATTGCTAATCATCAGGGAAATACAAATGAAAACTGCAATGAGATACCACCCCACTCCTGCAAAAAATATTATTGAATTTAATTATTAAAAAGTCAAAAAACCAATAGATGCTGGCAACGATGTGGTGAAAAGAGAACACTTATACCCTGATGGTGGGAATGTAAATTAGTACAACCTCTATGGAAAACAGTATGAATATTTCTTAAGGAACTAACAGTAGATCTATCGTTTGATCCAGCAATGCCACCACTAGGTATCTACCCAAAGGAAAAGGAGTCATTTTATTAAAAAGACAACTGTACATGTATGTTTACCACAGCACAATTCACAATTTTAAAGATATAAAACCAACCTAAGGGCCCATTGATTAGTGAGTGGTTTAAAAAAAGTGGTGTGTATATATATATACACCATGGAATATTACACAGCCATAAGAAAGATGAAATAATGTCTTTCGCAGCAACTTGGATGGAGCTGGAGGCCATTATTCTAAGCGAAGTAACTCAGGAATGCAGGAATGGAAAACCAAATACCATACATTCTCACTGATAAGTGGGAACTAAGCTATGGGTACCCAAAGGCATACAGAATGACATAATGGACTATGGAGACTCAGAAGCAGAGAGGGAGGTGGCAGTGGGTGAGGAATAAAAAATTACATATTGGGTACAATGTACACTACTTTAGTTACGGGTACCCTAAAATCTCAGATCTCACCATTATGCAATGCACCCATGTAACCAAAAACCACCTGTACCGCAAAAGCTATTGAAATAAAAAAGTTAAAATTTTTATACTGAAACTTTTGTGAGAAGTTTATAAATATATAAATTCAAACATCACTGACCTAGACTCCCTAAGTTATCTATTTGTTTTTGGCTTTCATCCTAAACATTTCTTCTTCAGGCTACTGTTACAGTTATATAGATGGCACTTTCATTACAGTCAGATGATAAAATTTCCCAGTTACGGACTCACTGGGATAGCTAGTAACTCAGAAATCTGGAATCTTGTAGCCTTGTACTTTTTGGAAATCTATCACATACTATGGTGGGAAAAATGAATGAAAATGACTAACTTCTTTGTGTTAGTCACTGTCCTAGTGCTTTGTGTCCTCAGAACAGCCACTTTAGGCAGGTATCATTGTCCCCATTTCACTAATGACAAAACTGAGCCCCAGATGGCTTGTTACTTGCGCAAGGTAGCAGAGATAATAAGGGTAAGAGCAGGGGGCTAAGAAGCCATTTCTGCCTAACTCCATAGCCATGGTCTTACCAATACTCCACTTTTCAATATCTTGAACGCTTTTAAGATGAAATTTTTGTTTGTTTGTTTGTTTTGAGACAGAGCCTCGCTGTGTCACACAGGCTGGAGTGCAGTGGTGTGATCTCGGCTCACTGCAACCTCCACCTCCGGAGTTCAAGCAATTCTCGTGCCTCTGCCTCCCGAGTAGCTGGGATTACAAGTGCCTGCCACCACACCCGGCTAATTTTTGTATTTTAGGTAGAGAAGGGGTTTCACCATGTTGTCCAGGCTTAAGGTGAAAAGATTCTCACTGGACACAATTCACAGAATGAAGATGATAATTGAAGGCTCTCTATGCTGATTTCATACCTACCAGTGACACAGTAAAAGATGATGGGGCAGCCGGATGTGGTGGCTCACGCCTGTAATCCCAACACTTGGGAAGGCCGAGGCGGGCGGATCACAAGGTCAGGAGATCAAGACCGTCCTGGCTAACACAGTGAAACCCTCTCTCTACTAAAAATACAAAAAATTAGCCAGGTGTGGTGGCGGGCGCCTGTAGTCCCAGCTACTCGGGAGGCTGAGGCAGGAGAATGGCGTGAACCCAGGGGGCGGAGCTTGCAGTGAGCCGAGATCGTACCACTGCACTCCAGCCTGGGCGACAGAGCGAGACTCTGTCTCAAAAAAAAAAAAAAAAAAAAAAAAAAAAAGGCAGCTGATGTTTAGAAACTCCCACTACTCTCAGCTCAGGTTGAATTGGAGGAGAAGCTGAAGCCAATATTGCAGTATCTGGAGGAGTGGAGGTAAGAAGAGGGGGACAGTGGCCTTCTTCCATCTTCCAAGACTAGTCTTGGTGATGCTATGATAACAAGTATTTATTCATCCATTCATCTATTCACTCAATTGTCATTGCCTGCCTACTCTATATTAGGGAATGGATTCAAGTCACGTGAATGTTTAGGTAGCACAACCTTATTAACCTATATATTGGGTCTGCTGTAAACCACAATATACAGGAACTTTATGAAAAATTGGTAGCCATTTTCTCGGTTTCCCTATAGGAGGTGTGGATACTGTTTGAGGGGAAGGGGTATCACGGATGCTTGGAGCAGAGGTGTGCACACAGTAGCCCGTATCCAAGAGCATTTTTACGAAGCTTCTCTAATTACTGTCTATGTGTTTGGATTCTGAGTCATAAAAGACAAGTCAACAAATTAAAACATGTATATCAATCCAACACAAATAATGATCTACCGAATTAAGGCAGGCACTGCTCCTGTTTTAGGCGTGAATGCAGTCCTCATAGTGGTAGCATAGGAATCCCAGTTGGGGTCATCTGCTAAAAGTACAATAAAGCAGTTTTAAATATGGCAAACCAGAATATTTTGAAGAAATGTTGTTTTAACAATTAAGATAATTTTGCAAGAGAAAAAAACATTTTGGATGGTTTATCTTTAGAGTCTAAGGAATAAAGGCCAAAATACAGCCTCTAATAGGAATGAGGAAGTTCGACTTATCTGTTTCACCCCAAAATAAAAGATAGTTCTACTGTTTCTCCTGAGCATTCATGCATGCTATTTTAAAGAATTAAAGACAGACATAAAAATATAAAGAGGAAAGTAATTCATCTGAAACTCTATCATTTTAAGAGACCTACTATTATGTTTTAGTCACCAACTTTACATGCATCATATTAGATGTACCTATAGACACACGGAATGACTTTACACACACAGGATCATATTACACACATCAAGTTTTATAATGGACATCTCCTTACTTCTTCCTTTCCCTGCCATTGCCACTCTCCTTCCTATCCCTCCTCCCAGGCAGCACATGTTAACAATTTTGCCTGTTTCTTTGCATACATGTGGAGGTAATCACATGCTGATTTATACATAGACATATCGGGTTTCAGTTATCAACATTTTGTTTCACAAAAGTGGGCTCATACGACACAGAGTGTCTTTTTCTTATATCTGTCACTAACAGTGTGTGATAGAAAACTCCTCCAAGTCATCTGGCGTAGTTCTAATTCATGTCTTGTAATGGTTGTGCAAAATTCTGTGGTGTAGATGCCATTTAAAGCTATGAGAGTGGGGAGATCAATGAAGGAGGGAGTAGACTTGGAGCAGAAGTTCCAAGGCTGAGACCTGGAACACTCCAATGTCAAGAATTTGGAGAGAGAAGGAGGAGCCAGTGAAGGGGCTGAAAAGAACTGTTAGAGAGGTGATGAAGAAACCAGGAGCCAGTGGCATCCTGAAAGTCAAAAAAAGTGTCCCAGAGAAGGGAGTCAAACACTGCTGATGATTCCAGGAGGATGCCAGCTGAGAATTCACCACTGGTAGTGCTATTGTTTGAATGTGTCCCCCAAATGTTGTGTATTGGGAACTTAATCCCCAAATGTATATGTTGATAGCATTTGCAGGTGGGGCCTTTGAGAGGTAATTAAGATTAGATGAGGTAATCAGAGAGGGGTCCCCTTGATGGGACTGGTGGCTTTATAAAAAGAGGATGAGAGACCTGGGCTAGCACATTCTTGCCCTATCACCATGCAATGCCCTCCACCATGTTACAATGCAGCTAATAGGCCCTCACCCAATGCCAGTGCCATGCTCTTGGACTTTCCATCCTCTAGAACCATCAGCTAAAGTAGTTTTCTTTTCCTTATAAATTACCCAGTATGTAGTATTCTGTTACAACAACAACAGAAAATGGACTAAGACAGGTAGATACCAGCAACAACACTGTTTATTTGCCCCAACTTCCCATTGTCAACGAAGTACCACCAAATTTCTCAGGAATATACATTTTAAATTTAAAATTCAGTCATTCTCTCACTCTTCATATCTGGGTGGTTACCTGCTGCTTTATATATGTCATGAGAACCTTGGTTGAACATCTCTACTTTTTGAATACACAATGTTCTCTAGGATGTATCCCTTCATCCCTAGAATACTGTAGCCACCTCATTGCCTGTATTTGTTCCCCTTCATGTGTCCTATTACAATTGCTATTAAGTATTTTTCTTCAATTTCCCAATATTTTGAAAAGCTATATGCTACTGCTTAGCATAGGGAGCTCTGGCCAAATATTTATGGTTCCTGTTATCTGTGAACCTCTTAATGTTCATCTCCTCATCTATCCCAATCAAGTCTTGTTTATAATTTAACAGACTCTCATTTCCAATCAGGATCTGATCATCTGCAACTATTACCTGTGCCCTTAACCCTGGCTGAAGTTCTACCTCCACTTAAGAGCCCCTTAGTCAGATAACTGAAGCCTTAGCCCCTTGTATTCCCCACTCTGTAACTGTGCTTCTATGCACTCCTAGTGTCTGCTCTCTAATCCTGCTCTACAAGAAATGACATCATTCTCCAATACTCCTTCTTTAGTGGGCATCGCTTTATGCTTGAAAGCATTTTATCCCAATAGCAGAATTCAATGTTCTTTGTTAAAAGAATTACAAGTATGAACAAGTAAAAGGGAAGAAATTGTGAGGCATGCCACTCGTAAAAGAAGCCTTCTCTAACCTGATTTGAACTTCGGCATTGGACTTTCGGAACAATCAGGAAGGATATTCTGCACAAAAGCCACACATAAATTTTCCCTGTTTTTTCTAAGGCAAACAACTCTAACAGTCCAGATCACATTTCTATTAGGCTCAGATATGCCTCAAAAAGCCTGGCAGAACAGCACTCCAGGCAGCACCTCCCAATCAATCATGTGGGCAAGCACGACACGCCCCTCTGTGTTCCCGCCCATCTAGGGTCCTATCCCTTCTGAAGATAGTTTGGCAGCTGGGGTCACCAATTGCCAGGTGCCTGGATCAGGAGTCTGACGGACAAGAGCAGCATGCCTTACTGTTTCCAGGAACTGAGGCCATGAGAGCCTCCCTCTTCCATTGTTACCTTTGTACAGATCAGGCACACCCTCCACTCCCTAATCCTAACCTGCTTGGATGCACACTTGATCTTTGGTACATCTTCCTTTAATTTCATGTTAATGATTTCCCTTACTACAACTCTTTTTGTAAGGGCTGTATTTCTATGCTTTTTACCTCCATTGACAAAGCTTCTGAAAGTACAGTATGCCATTGGAATTAATTTTCTTCATTAACAGAAATGTTCATTGAGAAATCTGTAATCACAATATTCTGAAAATCTGTTCCTAGTATGTTCTCTGCAAGTCACTACTTTCTTCTCAGTATCTCAATGTCCTTTTGTGTAGCTCATATCCATCTTTCCTGTGATTACGTCTTCCTAATTCTTTCTTCTCTCATTTTCTGTTCCTCCTTCAAAGAAGTCCCCAAGCCCTCCCGTGGACCCAGCCCTGTGGAGCACTGGGACACAGAGTCTTGACCTGGCCTTGGAGAACTCACAGGCCAAGAGATGAGCTATGTATCCTATGAGCACAAGTTTAATGTGGTGCTGATGTCCTATGTGTCACAGGGAACATGAAGAGGGTGCAATTCTTTTTGCTTGGATGAGAAGATGCGGCAGCAAGGGCAGGCCCAGGGGTCATCATAGCATAGGTGGCATCTGAGCTGTGATTTAATTTAGTAGATGTTTGAAAGAGAAGCACAGGACATGAAGTAAAACAATTTACAGAGGAAGTAGCATGAGGTATGAGAGTCTGAGATGAGACACAACAAATAGCCCCATGTGAATGGAGCAAAGGGAAAGATGGCTAATGACAGGTCAGCAAAGCATCCTAAAGCCTCATTCTGCTAACCTTGACAATCCACTGGATGTGTTCACCATTAGGAAAATATAAAGCTTAAAAAATATTATAAAGTAGTAACATGTATATTCTATTATACTTTACAAAATATTTTCACATATATTATTTTATTCCCTCACTTTGTTTTGAGGATTCAAGGTATTGATATATGTAAGTTGCTTGTAGTGTGCCACATGGTGACACTACAAAAAAGATATTTCCATGTCCTAATCCCCAAAACCTGTGAATCTTACTTTATTGGGAAAAGGGGTCTTTGCACACGCAATTAAAGATTTCGAGATTAGGAAATCATCCTGGATTATCCTCGTGTACCCTAAATGCAATTACAAGTGTGCTTATAAGACAGAGACAGAGACCTGGAGTAATGAGGCCACAAGCTAGCATTACAGGATCTCTGGGGTGTTGATTTTTCTGGCTGGAAAACTCTGTGGCTGCAGTGCCTTTGCCAGAGTTTTTGTCCCGCATTGAGGTACACAGACAAGTGAAGAGTGAAGAAGAGTTTTAGTGTTAGAACAGCTCGGAGGAGTGGGTAGCTTCTCTCTGTAGGCAGGTCATCCGGTCAAGTGTTCAGCTGTCAGTAGAGAGGAGGCCCTAGGCAGCGTAGCTCCTCTCCATAGGCAAGTCATTCAGAGATCTCTGCAGGTCTCTGAAGCTCTCAGCAGAGAGCGTAGCTCCTGTCTGTCGGCAGTCGAGAGGGTACTCCTTCCTTTCTGCAGCTAGTTGCCCCATCATCTCCAGCTATCAGCAGAGAGCATACTCCTCTACAGCGGGGGGTTCCCTTGTCTCTCCCTGCCCTCTTCATTCTCTGGCTGCTGTCCTCTTCCCTGCTCTGGCTGAGCCCAGGGTTTTTATGGACTTCAGAGGGAAGGAAGTGCATGCTGATTGGTCCATGGGTGGCCATGCGCAGGCTGGAGGAGGCAGCATGAGTCCCCACTCAGATTCCTGACTGGCAGCCTGGTCCCCAGACTTCAGGCCCTCCCTGGTCAGAGGGTGGGGCCTTACTGGGGACCCCAGCCCCTTCCACCCAGGACTCTGTCTGCCTCCTGCTGCCATTCACAGCCCTGGGGCTTGGTCCCAACCCCACTCTGAGATCAGAGCCAGTGGAGAGAGGCCAGGCAGTGGGAGCAGATACCCTTTAGCCTGCAGGGATGTGGGTGGGGTATTGCCTGGCAGTGGGATCAGATACCCCTGAGCCTGCAGGGATGGATGGGTGAAGGGTGTCCTTCCTGGGGAGTCCAAGGGTGCAGGCTGCAGAGATGCCCAGGTCCTGTGCCTGGGAGGGCAGCTGCAGCTGCACCAGGGAGCTCTTGCCCCACCAACTTGGAAGAGGCAAAGCTCCCACTTGTCCCTGGCTCCTGCCTGCTTCATGGAGTGAAAGGCCCAGGTCTGCAGCCGTGGGTTCCACAGGGAGGCTCAGAGGCACAGGGAGGCTCAGACCCACAGCCGCAGTTTGGGTGGCTGTAGCCTCGCCCAGGACTGCAGGGCTCCTGCTTGCTCCATAGAGCAGGAGGCCTGGGTCTGTAGCTGCAGTTTGGGCGGCTGTAGCGGCACAGGGAGCTCCCATCCCAACTCAGAAGGGGCAGCTCCCACGGGCTCCATGGAGTGTTGCAGCCCCAGCTGTGCTTCCCTGCTGCAGCCAGCATGATGGCAGCAGCCACTGCCATCACTAGCAGTGCCGATGGCTACCTGAAGCTGGAAGACGTAAGGACCACTTCTCCCCTAGGGCCTGTAGAGGGAGTGCAGACTTGTCCAGACCTTGATTTCAGGCTCTCGACCTTCAGAGCTGTGAGCAAATACATTTTTGTTGTTTGAATCCACCAGTCTGTGGGAACACATAGCAGCCACAGGAAACTAATACAACACCTGAGAGCCCCATCTGTAGTAATTATTCAATAACAGTTAGTCATCAGTCACCATCAACCTCATCCTATTTCGGACCAAACCTGGGCAGTGGGGACACATCAAGCCTACCATTTGGAGGGTGACTCTCCCAGCAGTGGGGAATGAAGTGGCACAGAGTAGCCATTAGAGGCCCAAGCCTGGAGGTAAAGGGGCGAATTCACCTGGGGGAAAAAGAGCTTTGGAGGCAGAATCAAAGAGACCTGGTGATCAAACTGCAGTCTCAAGGAAGCTGCCTTCCCTTCTAAATTGAGCAGCTAGGACCCTCTTAACTGAACTCTCAAAGTCTGGAAGGTTTGAGGAGGACAAGGAGTGTGATTTTGCACATGTCAAGTTGGAGGCCCTGCTGTGACACCCACATGGAACTGTCTGGTAGACAGTTAGATATTCTGGTCTGAAAAAGTAGGAAGAAAGTCCAAGTCAGAGATAAAGGTTAGAGAGTTGTTGGCACCTTTATGCAGCACTTGAAGCCCTGTGCAGGATATGGTCACAAAGAGAAGGTAAGCCTAGAAGGATCAATCCTGGGGGACTCCAACAGTTCCCAGACAAGAAGGGGATGAAATGGGGAGACAGTGGGAAAACAGGGTGGTTAGAAAGGGAAGAGAAGCATCCAAAGGGGTGCTGTCGGGATGCTAGGAGGGGATCCTCCCTCCTCTGTCTCTCCTGTTTGCCTTCCCATCATATAGAAACTGAGTGTATTAGATATTTTCTGCACTAATTAAGTATTTTCATTTTCCATTCTTAATTTACAACGGAATGAATTGGAATGAAAATATGCATTTCATTCACTCTTTTGGGAGCACAATTCTAGGGAATTTGTACTTGAACAATCCTTCACTGCTCCATAGCCACTGTGGAATCACAGTTACCCAACTATACAGCAGCAATGGCCAATTATTGCCACAAGAGACTATGATGGAGCTGACTACACGGTAATCATGCCACTAGCGTCACAGCTAGAGTGGTTCTCCCTCCACAGACCCAAAAGGCTGAACTGGTGAACCTGCTGCATCTGTGGGCAGAATTAGGATGAAAAGCACTACCTCTGTGAAATACAAAATCTCTGTGGAAGAAAAATCAATTCAGGTTAGAGGCGGCAGCTGAAGGCCATGGCTCCCAGCCTGGTGCGACAGCCCAGGGAGGGCGTCTGCCTCTGCAGACACAGCTGGGACTCCATTCAGCAGCCAACCCTTCCCCCACTTTCCTTGCTGTTTCCAAGATCCTATATGGGGATCGGGACTCAGGCAGGACCTGTTCTCTTCAGAGCTTCCAGGACTTCTCTTTCTTCTTTGCCTTTGGCCCTGTTTTCCTTGGAAAATCACCAGTTCTTCCTTTTTTCCTGTCCCCTCTTAGCCAGGCACTTCCTCGAGTGTTTAAAAACCCTGCGCGTTTTAGGGAGCGGGGATTTGGCAAAGGTTATGCGAAGGACTGAAAAGGGGCAGCGTCATGAAGGCCCTGTCATTCTCCCTGACTCCCCGTCTTTTCCTCAGTTGAGCATACTCCTAAGAGCGATGCCACACCCTTAAATACTAAGGCCCCTTTTTCTCAACAGGACCCTTTCCCCGGGAAAGACCCCAGCCCCGCCCCGCAGACCGGCAGAGTCTGCTGTCTTACTTGGCTGGAGGTTGTGGTGGCAGAGAGAGGGATCCGGAGCCCTGGGCCCAGGCTGTTCCATTCTGCCCCAGGAGGCGGCCGCGGGGCCCTGGCTCCAGCTATCTCAGCGCTTGCGGGAGCCGCGGGCTGCTTTGTGACGCGTCGCCATGGAGACAAGGATCGGGTTCCAGGGAGTTCTGCCCCTGCCAAGGGGTGCTGGCCACGCAGGAGGCTTAACCTGGCCGGCGCGGGAATGGGGTGCAGAGAGCAAAGAAATGTGGCTTTGATCTTATGGATGCCTTACTTTTACATTATTTGTACAGTTCTTGCAGTGAGCTTTCCGGACCACTGTCTTGTATGTTTCCTAAGAAAAGCAAAAAGGGAAGAGATTGAAGAGAAAGTAGATTTTCAACTACAAACTTTCATCCATTTGCTTTCAGCTTAAGCAAATGTGCGCAAAGTTGTCATGGATTTTTGCAGTCAATAAAAACCAAGCAAGAAGACTGAATCCCAAGTCATCTGGTATAAATGGAAGCAGTTTCTGTGATAGTTCCACGCGGTCAGAAGGGTCATCCTGGCTTAGGAGAGGGGCAGAAGAGGAAATGCACGCGTGGAAACAGGAGTGGGCAGGGAGGATGTGACACTGTCCTCCTCACCAGGCCACGTTCCTGGCACCAACCATAGTGTTTGTGAGGGTCAATTTAATTGTTCTTGTGCTCTCATAGAGGAAGCTGTGTCTTTCATCCCCTTGTAAGAGTTTTCACTGATGAAGGGGGTCTTTTATCTTCATATCTTGGGAACTACTGAAACTGTTTCAAAGAGTCAAAGACACCAATAACTAACAGAAATTCTTGTTTTCAGGGGCAGATAAGAAAAGAAACAATTTGCTGAAACTCCCTCTGCTTATAACAAAACTGACTGAAATCAGCCGGAATCAATATGGCCAAATGCAGTTTGCGCACAGCAAGCTTGCTGATGTCACAGCCTGAATTTCTACTGCATGTTTCATACCAACTCCCTCCAAATTTGCACATGGGACCCACCAGGAAGCATGAAGAGAGAGCCATGCATGCCTGAAGACTTCCCAGATGTTCCCTTTGCTTCCACCAATCACCTGCTAACCCCAGGATCCAACCCTAAACCTTTTGTAATAAAATTACTGCCCTAAAGCCAGTACAAGACAGATTTGAACTGGACTTTTGTTTCCTCAGAAGTTAACTTGCAATGTGAAGCTTTCCTTTTCTCAAAAACTTGGTGTCATAGTGTTGGCTTCTAGTGCAGTGAGCCCCTTTTGCTGGATAACCTTACCTGGTAATTTGACATACTAGGTGGTTAGTAACTACTGACTGTCTCCAGGTTACAACACAGTTATTACCCACTTGGGTGAAAAGAGAAGACAGGAAATACATTTTGGAGTTGGCTGGCAACCTGTTTACAAAGCAATTTACAACAGTTCCTTATTCTTAAGGGGCTATTCTAATACAAGACCTCAGAGAAACAGTGCAGTGTGACAAAGGAGGAATTTATCAAAGGAGACAGAAAAAGCATCAAGGTAAGGATCCCAAATATATGTGCAAGGAATGTCTTTAAAATGAAGAGCTAAACTAGAATTTCCTGAAGGTAGAGTTCTATCCATATAATGGAATGAATATAACACATTATAAACTCTCATGTTTTGAAGCAATGGAGGGTGGAACACATTAGAAGGCATAGATGTTATTAAAAGGAATGAGTCTAAATTAGGATTTAGTAGTGGCATCTAAATTTAAAAAGTAGCACCCAATAACAGATTACTGTCTGGAAATGGTAGAGCTAATTAGCATAGCATAATTTAAGAGAAATATATGTTTAAAATAGAGCAGCAAGTATATAGAATTTTGAAAGTGAATTCTTATTAATATCTTACAATTTGTCTCATTTTAGGCAAGCTGTGAAATGGTGCGGTAGGAACCAAATAGAGAGCCAAAGGATCTTTCTGTCACTGCAGGCCCTTAGGGGTAAGCAAATCCTTCCCTGATCCCTGGTCTCCTTATCTGTAAATGAGAATACCAGCACCCACCTCACTGTGCTGTAAACATGATGAGTTCTAACAATAATTTATAAATTGTAAAATCACACAAATCTAAGATATTGCTCTTGTTGCTATTCTGATCTTCATTCCTTTTATAGTCTTTCTACTTCAAAGTGTATTTTTGCGTGGGTCCATTTTATGGCTAGCGGTATAGCACTATTCCTGCCTTTGAATTCTGGTTGCCTGAGGCAACCCTTCTAAATGATTAAGTAGAGTATTTCCCCCCTGCTTTCTTCTCTCCCTCAACAAATACTGACTGTGCACTGAATATGAGCTGTATGATGGCATCGGGGCAACACCCTGATTATTATAGTGAACAACTTCCTAGAAAAGGAGGTGCCTGAGCTGGGTCCTCAAGGATGCTTGGAGTCAACCAGGTGAATAGGGGGAGGTGACAGGTGACACAAAGTAACGCAAGGGCCCAGAGGCATGGAACACTGTGTGTAGTCCCAAGACCTTTAGTAGTTTAATATTGCCATATTGTAAAGTGTGTCAGGGGAAACTGAGAGCCGGCTGGGGTGGAAGGCCCTGCAGGCCATCCTGAGAAGCTTGGACTTCACCTGAGCATGCTTGGGTTAAACAATGCAGTGCAGGGGCCAGGTTGGAAGTTTAAGTAAATCCTGGCCTCTCATTCCAGAAGGAGGAGAGGCAAAATTCCACAACATTCTGCCAGAGTAAGTTAATCATTCAGAAATTAAAGCATCTAGGTTACTAATTTAGGTTACTGATATCTCTTTAGCAGAGTTTCAAATTGATCCAAAACAATTGAGAATAGTTGTATTGAATGGGTTAAATGTTAATTGGTTGTTTTCAGTTGAAGTGATTACAGCCAAGCGAGGTGGCTCATGCTTGTAATCCCAATACTTTGGGAGTCCAAGGCAAGAGGATCCTTTGAGCCTAGAAGTTTGAGACAAGCCTGGACAACATAGGGAGACCCCGTTTCTACAAAAAATGAAAAAATTAGGCAAGGTGATGCATATGTGTAGTCCCAGCTACTTGGGAAGCTGAGGTGGGAGGATCAATTAAGCCCATGAGTTTGAGGCTGCAGTGAGCTGTAGTGGTGCCACTGCACTCCAGCCTGGGTGACAAGAGAAAAACCCCATCTCCAAAAACAAAAAACAAAAAATTTGTGACAATTTATTTTTGCATGCACACACGCACCTGCGCATGCAGGTCCGTGCATGTGCGCGCACACACACACAAACACACACATAGAGAACATGATGTGAAGTAGTAAAGACTGGGATGGGTGGTAAGGGTGAAGAGATAGCAAATATAGAACACTCAGGTTTGAACTATAACAGAGAAGAAAACCTCTAGCCAGGGGAGGAGGAGGGGCTCAGGTAGAGAGAGTTATTACTTGAAACAGGGGAGGAGTAACCAAATTCCTAGGCCAAGGGTCAGGAGCAGAAAGATAGAGCTTGAAGCTACAGGAGAGAGCAGATGGGGTCCAGGCCTGGAGAAGATGGGTGTGCTGGAGAGCCGCTCCCCAATCTGAGTGTGCATATCTGCCCCTGGGCTTGTGTGAGCACACAGATTCAGACTCAGGAAGTCAGGCGGAGCCTGAGCTGCTGCATTTCTAACAAGATCCCAGGTGATTCACAGAGTTTGAGACGGACAGCTCTAGAACCTTGCTGTGCTCCGGTAACCTCAGCAGCACCTTGTTAGAAATGCAGAAGTTCAGGCCCCACCCAAAGCTGCTAAATCAAGATCTGCACTCTATCAAGATCTCCGGAGGATTCCTAGGAACATTCCAGTTTGAGAAGCACTGCTCCAGGTCATATGACAGGCAAGGTCATCTCCCGAATGAGAGGGAGAGAGGAAAGAGTTGAAGGCAAAAATTCAAAGAGCAAGCTAATGAAGAACGGGTAAAAGAACTGACAGGTGGCCACTGCCAAAAGCCCAGAAGAGGTCACAGACAATCTGCCACCTTGCCAATTACTTTGGATACAAAGATAACGAAGTGAAGCTTCTCTGCCTTCACTCTTACATTTGGACAAAAGACTTTCTATTACTATGCAGTATGCAATGCTTTGATTCGAGCATCCTTATTTAAAAAATAAAATAGAGATTTCTTTTAAGGAATTGTCTCACACAATTGTGACAAGTCCAAAATCTGTGGGGTAGGACAGCAGGCTGGAGACACAGGGAAGAGTTGATGTTGCAGCTTGAGTCTGAAGACTGAGTGTTGGCAGAATTCACTCTTGCTGGGGGAAGCCAATGTGTTGTTCTAGTTCATCCTTCAACTGATTACATGAGGTCCACCCACATCAGAGAGGGCAATCTGCTTTATTCAAAGTCCATGATCTAAATGTTAACCCCATCCAAAAACACCCTCACAGAAATATTCAGAATGACTGTTGACCAAAGATCTGGGCACCGTGGCCCAGTCAAGTTGACATGTAAAATTAGCCATCACAGACTCAGATCTTGTTGAATCATCTAGGTCATAGTTGCCACTAAGAGGGGTTGTAGGCAAGTAGTCCAAGAATGATTTTGGTCCTCTTATTGGAAATTCCAGAAAAAAATTATATAGTTACTTTCTATTAGGATAGTCTAATTTAATGGGGTAAATTCTAAGCTCTGCTTCTAACTTGGTACTTACCAAATTTACTTACATTTCATCTAAATAAAACCATAACAGCAAGTTTAGACTATTGATTCTATCAAAACCTCATCAATCCCTTTTATATGTGACCTCCCTCTTCGGCCAGCCCTTCTCTCCCTAATTCTTCTCTAAACTCTTTTTTTTTTTTTTTTTTTTTTTTTTGTATTTTTTGTAGAGATGGGGTTGCACCATTTTGCCCAGGCTGGTCTCAAACTTCTGGGCTCAATCAATCCACCCACCTCAGCCTACCAAAGTGTTGGGATTATAGGTGTGAGTCACGGCACCCAGCCTCTTCTCTGAACACTTAAGAAACACACAGGCTGTGGCAGCCATTGGGTAATTACCAATGCCTTCCATTGTTAGTTCTTCTCTCAGGTTTATGCAAGTAGCAAACAGCAAAAGTGAACAGTCATTTTAAATCTGTTATACCAGCACTTATCCATCCAAATGAATGTTCTCTTTTTCAAAGTAATCACTTATTTGAATGCTGCTTGTATTAGTTTGTTCTCACACTGCTATGAAGAAATACCCGAGACTGGGTAATTTATAAAGAAAAGAGGTTTAATTGACTCAGTTCCACATGGCTGGGGAGGCCTCAGGAAACTTACAATCATGGAGAAAAGCACCTCTTCCACAGGGCAGCAGGAGAGAGAATGAGTGCCCAGTGAATGGGGAAGCCCCTTATAAAACCATCAGATCTCGTGAGAACTGACTCACGATCACAAGAACAGGATGAGGGAACCACCCTCATGATTCAGTTATCTCCACCTGGTCCCTCCCATGATACATGGGGATTATTGGAACTACAATTCAAGATGAGATTTTGGCAGGGACATAGCCAAACCATATTACTGCTGCTATCACTTGAAGCATTTTTGAAATTCTTTAGATACTCCCTTTGAAAACTGACACACGCATTCTTTTGAATTTCTTCAATGGGGGCATAACTTTGCTTTTTCAGGATAGATTGGATATTTGAAACAGTAAAACAGATAATTAAGGTAGGCGATCAAGTTGAGCAGTGTTATCTTTTAGCCAAAAATCAAGCTAGTACCATCAGGCAAAAAAAAAAAAAAAAAAAAAACAAAAACTCCCTCATTCTGTAAATCATTTCTGGACTTGCATTCTTGTTGGAATAAGTGACTAGCCTCCAAGATCACTGAGAGTTTGGGTAAATCAATCACTTGGATCAATCAATCCTTAAATATTTGTTTTAAAACTAAATTTTGCCAGGCATGGTGGCTCATTCCTGTAATCCTAGCACTTTGGGAGGCCGAGGCGGGTGAATCACCTGAGGTCAGGAGTTTGAGACCAGCCTGGCCAACATAGTGAAACTCCATTTCTACTAAAAATACAAAAATTAGCTGGACATAGTGGTACACACCTGTAATCCCAGCTTCTTGGGAGGCTGAGGCAGGAGAATCACTTGAACCCAGGAGGCGGAGGTTGCAGTGAGCTGAGATCATGCCACTGCACTCCAACCTGGGCAACAAAAGCAAAACTCTGTCTCAAAAATAAAACAAAATAAAATAAAATAAAAACTAAATTTTACATTACATGTCATTGGTTTCTATCTCTAGAACTGGATTACAAGCATCTTAGATGTTTTCCTTTTTGAATTTCTCTCAGAGCACTTGTTTTAGTCTTATTAGCTTACACAAGGGTCTTCTTTTACAAGAGTGGAAGCTCCTTGAAGGCAAGGGCCATGTTTAGGCACCTTTGTATGCCAGTATCTACCTGGTATGTGCCTATGGCACCTAGTAGGCACTCAAGCATGTGTGTTGAATGAATGAAGACGAAATGAATTAATGAATGAATGACTTGCTTAGGTCATTGTTGTCCTACGATTGTATTGATCTTAAACTGTTAAAATATCAGCATTCGGGCACATTTATACTCAGTGTGAGGCCTCTTTTACCCAGGAAGATCTGTCCCTAGGCTTTTCATCAATTTTAAAGATTGCCCAATATAACTTCTTTGTGATATTTACTAATAAAATACACTAGCACAGTGTATATTTCTTACAGGCAATCAATAAAACTTTGCTGAGTAAATATGGAATGGGTGAATGCGTTTGATTCAGAGTTGACTGAAAAGAAGTTTTAATGGTGAAAGAACCCTTCCAGATCTTTAGTCCATTCCTGGGGTGATACTGATGGTTTTTCTCAATTCCGCTACTTAAAAAAAAAAATCTTCCTTGTCAGTTTTATGAATAGAGTCTCTGTTTCCTTTGGGAAGCATTTCATATTTGATATCCACCTAAGGTTTGTTTGCACTGGTGTAAAACTTAGTTTATTGTTAATACTCTTCATTTTTTATTGAGTGTAATAATAAATGTTTAACATCTTCTGTTATTAAGTAGCATTCCCCTTCTCTTTTCTGAAAGATCAGTATCAAATTTTATTTCCTTTCTTCAAATACTTCATAGCCTTGTTCTTCAAAAGGCGCTTCTTGAGAAAGTGGCTATGAAAACCCACAATTCTTATTGTAATTCAGTAAGTTACAAGGCAAATACAACACCCACAAACCACAATGGAAAGCTCACATGAAGCCTCAGTCATAAATTTAATCAATTCTAGGTTGAATGCTAAGAAAAGTTTTAATTGTGCAAATGTGGTACATAACATTTCAAATATAAGTGGAAGGATCATCAGTAGTGTTATCAAAATGCATAATACAGAAACTTTTTAAGAAAGGATAAAAAATTACACTCAGGACCCATAACTCTTCCTCATTATAAGCATATGTAGTGATTCATTCATGCAGGTTTTTATATGTAGATAGGATTTTTTTTTCCTTTTCAAGAATTCCATTGTAGCCATGAGATGAAAAATGTATTATGGTAATGGTATAGCTTTCTTCTATTTTGCTTTTAGTGTTAGGTTTGCTAAAAGCTTATTTAAAATTCCCAACTGACATAATGTGTTTTCAATAAGGAGGACGCTGCCGTGTCCAATACCCTTCCCCTGTCATTGTTCGGTACCATATCTCCTGGCTTCCTTCTACATGGGTCACTTAGTTAAGAGGGAGGCCAAGGGAGTTCCGATTTCAGGCAGTGTGTGGCAGGGTTACTGTCCTAGCAACCTGGCTACTCCTCACTGTGAACGTTTCTCATAGGTGTCATATGGCAGGATGAAAAACATATTTGCCTCCCAGTGAAAGATGGCACAGGCTTTTGCCCAGCCAGGTTGGCAAGAGAACAGAACTCTTAACCCCTTGCTCGACAGGTTTGAGTTCAAGGGGTTGGATGCTCCAAGCAGAGGGCCAAACCCTGATTTATGAAGCATGCTAGGTCAACAGCCAGTCAGACCACTCCCACAAAGGCTGCCACAAAAACTCCCAGGGAACTGAGAAAAATGTTCAGGGTGGCAGAACTCTGTGGCCCTTCTGCCTCTTTGGAGAAGTGTTCAAAGTAGAGAATATCCCCCAGCCCCACCCAGTGCCATGGGACCAAGGCCTTTCCATCCTGGTAATCATAAGTTTTAGGGGAATCAGCTGCCCTGGGCCTGCCAGGGCATCACATCCACAGAAGCAGAAGAGAGGAGTCCTCCATAGAAGCCATGGAGGAGCCGGAGATTGACACGCAGGTGGAAGTATCTGCCTCCCACCTCCTACCCTCCCCCCAGCCTATAGTCTAGCACAGGCCTGGAGTGCGGGAGCAACTGCTACAATGTTCAGTTCAATCAGATAAATTGGTTGGGTGTCTCTTCAGATTCCAGAACACTTGGAAATGGTAATTCTGCCAAAAGAGGCTCTGTCAGAGATGATCTGGGTGACAGATTGCAGTTAAAAACATCATCTATTGAACCTAAAAAACAGTAAACAAAGCATGCATTATTACCATCACTGAAAGAAAAAAAAACCAACAGTGCCTTTCAAATTCATGCAACCTAACTATTTTAATAATTAATAGAGAATCCTGGCTTCCTCAGAAAAATTCAAAAGGCTAAACAGAAATGTGTTGCTTTTTCTTTATTAGTGGGACAAGATTGTCTCTTGCTTTTTTGCGGGCTGGAGTAAACTTGCAATGAGCTTAATATACTCTTTCACACTTGAGGGCAAAAGGCTTACATTTTGGGAATAGTTACTGAGGACAGAGAACAGTTTTTGCAGGGAATGGGCCCAGGTTAGCACCCTAGTGGCCCCGTGCTCTGCCTGTCGTGGGTGCCAGGTTTGGACCACGTGACAAGCAGGAGGTGCATCTTGGCTGTGCTGTCCTGCAGTGCATGATGACAGCTTCCAGGAAGGACCCTGCCACACTCCTCTGAAGTTGAAGTGGCCCCAGAGCCAGCTTAGAGTAAACTTTCAAGGAAGCACTGCTTAACTTCAAATGTTCCTCAGTGTCCCAAAGATGGGGTGGACACTCTGGGCAGCCCACAGGACAGAGGGTGAGCCATGGTGAAACCGGAAAATCCTGCCCAGGCTGCTGGGGCTGATAGGTGAACTCAGGGGTGTCAGAAAAAGGCCCAGGCACATATGGCACTGCAGCAAAGGGGCCAGTTAATCATCCCCTCCAAAAGGATCAGAGTATAATCCTCCACATGATTGCAACAGAGCAGAGCACAAACACATCTTTGTGAGGAACTCCCAGGCAGAGAAAGCTGAAACAACATGGGAAGAGATGAACAGAAAGACAGAGAGACAGAGAAAGAGAGGGGAAAGAGAGAGAAACAGACAGAGACAGAAATGGAGATGGAAGAGATGGAGACTGAAATGAAGACAGAGATGGAGAAAGAGCAGGAGAGAAAAACACACAGAGAGAAAGAGAAAGAGATGGAGAGAGAGAGGAGGAAGGAGGGAAGGAGGGAGGAAAAGAGAAAGAGACCACTTCTAGGATAAGAAATAGCTAGTAGCAAGCATTTTTGTTGTAAACATTTGAAGAAAGAAACACAGGCTGTGGCCAGGCGTGGTGGCTCACACCTGTAATTCCAGCACTTTGGGAGGCTGAGGCAGTTGGATCACTTGAGGTCAGGAGTTCGAGACCAGCCTGGCCAACAGGGTGAAAACCCGTCTCTACTAAAACCACAAAAATTAGCTGGGTATGGTGGCACACACCTGTAGTCCCAGCTACTTGGGAGGCTGAGACACGAGAATTGTTTATGCCCAGGAGGAGGAGGTTGCAGTGAGCCGAGATGGCACCACTGCACTCCAGCCTGAGTGACAGAGCGAGAGTCCGTCTCAAAAAATGAAAAACACAAAAAACAAAGCAAAAAAACACAGGCTGTAAATACAATTAATGAGGATTCTATATTTTACAGCTGAACTCTGAGAACACCACAACTTCACAGAGACTGCTGGTTTTCTGCAATTAGCAGCAAGAGTCCTGACTCAGGGAAGTTGCTCTCCAGTCCAGACTAGCAAAAGACAGAGAGAATGGGCTCTGCAGAAGACAGATCCAGACAAGCCATGCATGATTCATGCCACCTGCAGCCACACGGGTGTCAATACCAAGAACCTGCCATATGTCATCAAGAGTGTGTTAAGTGAAACCTTCTCAAGAGTTATTCTTTTGTGCTCTGTCCAAATCTGGAGAACCCTTCCAAATACTATAAAGATTGATATCTTGGCCGGGCCCGGTGGCTCACACCTGTAATCCCAGCACTTTGGGAGGCTGAGGCAGGCAGATCACAAGGTCAGGAGTTCCAGACCAGCCTGGCCAACCTGGTGAAACCCCATCTCTACTAAAACTACAAAAATTAGCCAGGCGTGGTGGTGTGCGCCTGGAATTCCAGCTACTCAGGAGGCTGAGGCAGGAGAATCACTTGAACCCGGAAGGCTGAGGTTGCAGTGAGCCAAGATCACACCACTGAACTCCAGCCTGGACAACGAGAGTGAAACTCCGTTTCAAAAAAAAAAAAAAAAAAGACTGATATCTTGACCATATAGTGACTCCTCCCAACTGATCATTTTTGTTCACATTCTGTTGTACAGAATATGAACATTTGGAAGGCAGCAGTCTTCCAATATGATTGCCAATAATATTTAAATGATCATCAATACTCATTTAAATTAATAATAATATTTAAAGTTATTTTGGGGTATACTGCATAATGTAATCCTCATGTCAGAAGACTTAAAGGAGCTCAAAAGGAAAAGTCACTGCATTTGTTTTTGGTAATAAACATGCCCCACTTCTTACTTTCTGAATTTTGTGATCTATTTCCCTTTCATTAATAGGTCTTGCCTTTTGAATCAATTGACTCTCTTCCATTATTTTACTCTACCCTTTTATTTAACTACCTTCCACATATCCTTCGGAATTTTTAACATACCTCTGGAAGTTACACTGAACTTTCGGTCAGAGAAACTGCTCCTTCGGATTAAAGGCTCACTCATTTTTTCCAGAAATAACTTAATCGTCTCCTTCTTTTCTGGACTTGTACTTGACAAATTCAGAACTTTTCCATTTACTTTTACAACGGAATTACTGAGCCCAAACCAATAGAAGAAATCAAATAATGCATCAGCTTTGAATTCATATGCAAAGCTTAAATTTTCTCCATTAACCACTTCATTTCCTGGGGGGAAGAAATTCTTCACTGCCTCTTGAAAATCAAACTGAAAGAGAGAGGAACATTGCATTGACTTAATGGACATAAGTATCCTGTTGACATTGTAGAACTAACAACCGCCTAAATATCCAAAACATCACACCTCTTATTTCCCTTTCACTCTCACACATATTTTTAAACTGTTGTCTTTATTTTTTCTAACAAAACTTTGCATTTGCATCATATTCCATCTAAAAATTCTGAACTGCTTGGCCAAAATTACATTTATTCTTACCCATTTCTAATAGGTTGCTAAGAACTAAACTCATTTTATTGGTAGCAATAATGCCACCTTTGAGAACAAAGTGTCTGAATGCACTTTGTTTTCTAAGGGCCATTCTCTTGGCCTAAGCCAGGGCAATAGGGCCTCAGTTCCTGCATGAAATGCACAAGCTCCTTCCATGTGGTTGACAGCCCTGGATTCAGACAGGCTAGGCTTACCTGAAGCCGGTAACTTTCTCCAATCACTGAGGAGATGACCATGTCCATCCCTTGCTCTATCTGTCTTCTTATCTTGGGGTGCCTCGTGTTTACAAGAAACGCGTACGTCCTTTCTAGAAATTAGCAAGCAGAATTCAGAAACAAGTGTGTCCATGTGACATAAGCATGCTTCTTATAATTTGCTATTGCAGTGGTTCCCACCTCCTTTGAAGATTTTATTCATTTATAACCTTCCTCTCTGCTCCCTCACAACCTTACTACAAAGCCTCGCCAGATTTCTAGAAGTGTTTCTGAGAATTTTGCAGATTTGAAGGAGGTTCTGGGCTGCTGTAAAGGCAGGCTAGATAATCAGCTCCCACAAGGCTGCAGTTTGTAACTGGAGTCTCAGAAATCAAAAATTCCACTCTATAATTATCACAGATGAGAACTGTGCCTCCACAGCATGTATCCATTATGGGGAAGGAAAGTGGAAGATCGAGATAGCTGGTTTTCATGTTCCTGCAGTGCTGGATTTTTTCTTCTTCTTTTTTTTTTTTATTTTTTTAAGACAGTTTCTGTCACCCAGGCTGGAGTACAGTGGTGTAATCAAAGCTCACTGCAGCCTCAACCTCCTGGGCTCAAGTGATCCTCCTGCCTCAGCCTTCAAAGTTGCTGGGACCACAGGCATTCGCCACCATGCCTGGCTAATTTTTGTATTTTTTTTTGCAGAGACAGGGTTTCATTATGTTGCCCAGGGTGGTCTTGAACTCCTGAACTTGCGCAATCTGCCAGCCACGGCCTCCCAAAGTGCTGGGATTATAGGCATAAGCCACCATGACTTGCTGGGTATTCAAATCACAACTTGGCTCTTACAGAAACTTTCTTATTTGCAAAAGAAAATCTGCAAAGATCAGGAAACAGGGCTGCTCCATGCTTTCCACCTCCACCCCTACCCCTACCCCATGCCCAGCTCTCCCCAGCTTCTCCAGGGACCAGACATTCTGACAAATGGCTAGTCTAGGGTTCTATGGACCAAGGCAACCAGAGGTTGATTCTTCTCCCTGCTGCTACCTCTAACACAATCCCAAGTGGGAAAACATCTCCTTCTCATTGTTTAAATAATACCACGTGTCTGTCCTGGCAGACAGATTTTTTTGGTGTTGATTGATTAGTTTGGTTTGGTAACCCCTCATGTTCAATTCTGCATGATTTAAGCCAAAAGAAGGTTGTTTACTCATTAGGAAATATAAAATGGTATTAACCAGCAACCTCTTAACTTTTCCAGTCCCCCGCATCAAGCTCCATGGCCTTAATTACTCAGTCCTTGGTCTAAGGAGACACATAGATACCTGTGTTCTCCTCCATTTAACAGCCAGGGACCAGCCACTGTGTGATTTTTAGAACTCAGTGTTTTACACTGACTTTGAGATATCTCAGAGACAAACCTTCGGTCCACCAACAGCAAGTGTTTACGTCCTCGAGGAAGGCATTTTAAACTAACCTTATTCATCTCGTTTTTCTTACCCATGTTTTTCTTTCTCCAAAATTATTTTTTGGGCACTTTAGATATAAGCTGCCTTATATCCTCTTTAAGACAATAGATAAACAAAGCAAGCAAACTCCTTGATACCTTCAATTAAATCTCATGTAAACCAAACCAACACCTCTGGGGTCATTATATACTCATGGCCACAACACTCCACAGTTGTGCTGATGGGGCAGGTTGTACACTGCCTAACTCTAGAGGCTGTCATTCACATTTACAGACATTATTTTTATATTATGACAAACTTGTGGGAAGCATTAGTAATCGTCTTGAGGAAATGGTGGCTTTTTCTGATTTGCACAAAAGTGCAGTTTAGAATAACAGCAAGACTAGACATATTGCCTTAATCATAATTTTGCAATTTAAAATTGACCATCTTAAGCTTTGTGTCATAGAGCCTCTTCATTTTATGGCTTTTATCACAATTAACTAGTACTGGGTTTCTGGATTTCTGTTGTGGCAATTCATCACATTATAGCATGACTCAGACACGTGCCTCCTTCCATGATAGTTGTTCGACAACTTCATACATTCTATAGGCTACCTACAAATTCCTCCTTGTACCACTACCTATACTTTCATTTAAATGTTAAAATGAAGAGGGCTCTTACTCTTTTTTTAGATTCCTCCTGAGTGATCGGTGCAGGAGGTGTACTTGATACAGCTGTGAATTACATTCCTAAAGAACTATCTGGCTTTCTGGTTATAATCAAGCCAAAGAACACGTGGGCTTCAGATGTTCTAATGAGCACTTCTTGTTACTGGGCATTCTGTTCCTGGCCTCTCCTGCAGAAAGAACATCATGACTTTTTATTGTCAAATGAGCAGAGAGAGCTCCACAAATTTGAATGAGAGTGAATGTTTGGGGAAATCTATTTGAAATTCGTAGATCATTTCTTATTTCCTTGGACTCATTTTAAGAATGTTAGTTAGAAGCAAGTTTAAGAAATTCTACTTCTATTACAGAACGTTATGCCCATGACTTCCCCCACATATCATTCTGAGCAGGAGGAGGAAGGCAAAATGGAGACATTTTCATACTGAAATTTGGTTTAATATAGTTGCTACCAGCTAATCTGATTTCTTGGAAGAAACAATGAAGAGATGTGTCTAAACATGACATTCCAACATCATGGCATGAAACAGAAAAGCATCCACAATGGCTATTTATTTTCTTAGTTTCCTCATCTATAAAATGGGAATAGTGTAAGCACCTCCTAAGTGGGATAATTACGCATCCTAGTTTGCCCGGGTCAGTTTATACCTTCTTCCCAGAATAATTATTGATAGTAATGATGTTCATGTTCATAACGTCCTGAATTGATAAGCCCTACAAAGTTGTTGTGGTGATCCATTACATTAGAGCACTTCTTAGACATAGTAGGTGTTTGATACGTGGTAGAGCATGTTATATATCATCCTCATCACTCTAGTCATTTCTGCAACCTCCAAAGGCTCAGAATGTCAGATCACTTCCCACCTAGGCAAGAAGTAGAAAAGAAGCTCCCAGACAGGTGGCTTCTGCCCTAGGATCATTGAGGGGTTTGTTCTGCAGGCATGTGCTGTGTTTCAGGTGGCCTCACCCACCAGGCTCCTTGCTGTCTACCTTGTCACAAGCTGATTTCTGCCCTGCTCATCAGTCCACACCTCAGCCCAGTTTGGTCCCAGCAAGGACCAAACCAAAACTATTTATATACTGATATGGTTTGGATTTGTGTCCCTGCCCAAATCTCATGTCAAACTGTAATTCCCAATGTTGGAGGAGGGGCCTGGTGAGAGATGACTGGATCATGGGAGTGAATTTTCCCCTTGCTGTTCTCATGATAGTGGGTGAGTTCTTGCTAGATCTGGTTGTTTAAGAGTGTGTAGCACCGCCCCGCTTCCGCTCTCTTCCCCCTGCTCCATGTAAGACGTGCCTGCTTTCCCTTCGCCTTCCACCATGATTGTAAGTTTCCTGAGGCCTCCCCAGAAGCAGAAGCCTGTATAGCCTGCAGAACCGTGAGCCAATTAAACCTCTTTTCTTTATAAATTACCCAGTTTTAGGTATTTCTTTATAGCAGTGTGAAAATGGACTAATATAGATACTTACCTTTTGAGGTGTCTTTTTTGGTCTGTACATTAATAAAGAACAACATTGGTTTGCTCAATATAGTTTCCCTGTAGTCTTTATAATCACAGTAGTTGGTCAGTTCCACATACCTATGAAGAAGCAGAGATCATTGCAAATGTAACGTACCCTTTCATCTAAATTAGGAAGGGGATGTACTGGACAGGTATCTGCCACAGCCACAGACCTTGGAGGGAAGTTCCTTGAAATGCATCCTTACAGAGGTCACCATATAAACGAATCTTTCTGGTCATGGCTGATTGGCTCAAGGATCAGCGTGCAGCCCACAGGCAGCCATGGCCCTAGGGGTGTCCTGGCATCAACACTTGGCTCTCAGACTTTACCAGATGATCACCAGTATCATCTGTCGTTTGGGCTAAAAGCGTTCATTTGAAGCTATAAGAGCTCTAAGTCCCTCTGAATTGATAATGAATTCGACATAATAGTAGAATTAGCTGAATTTTCTCCAGTGGAGTCATCCTGTTTAACTTGTGGGTCTTGAATTTTCCTTTCCTTCTCCCCACTTCCCCACTAATCCCAAGATAAACCAGCCCCCTCCATAGATTACAGAATCAACCAATATTCATATGAACTATTACTAGTTCACATCTCTCCTACGCTGAACTTGTGTAATTAAAAAACGAAAACAACTGATGTTGGACTTTTCACTACATCCTTGTTAAATTTAGCCTTTTTGGTTTTCATTATTCTCATTTAGGAAGATCTTTCTGAATCCTGACTCTGTCATCCAGCATGTTAGCTTTCTTCCCTGCCCTTCACATCTTCCAAGCAGCCTAGCTACATCCCTGTCAGCATTGTTCATAAAAAGGTCCAAGTGCAGATTAGCTTCCTTCAAGAAGTTAGTTAATTTTCTAACTAAACCCAAGCTCAGATGCCATGTGGATGTAGGTAGGCTGAATGGCCCCCAGCAGGCTGAAGGATGCGTCTGCCGCAGTCTCTCTGAAACACAGAGCTGGTTCCCCATTGACACAGCTGCGAGCATCTGCACGGAGCGAATGGCTGGCTGAGCTGAGCGCGCGGGCTGCCTTTTGCTACACCACAGCATGTTTGTTTCTTATATCTAGTCATCAGCAGAGACAGCTCCAAGCAATTCTTTCTGGCTGATTGTCCTTCCAGTGCCTGACATGAAAATCACAGCCTTGGCGAGAAAACAGCCGCTGCAGGGAGTGGTGCCCACAGTACTCTAGGCATCCCTCACCTGCGTCCACTTCCCACCATCCCTCGGAGGGGCCAGCACACAAGACAGTGACCGGGGCATGTGTCAAGAGCATGCGAGAGAATATCTACCCTGAGGCAGGAAAACACGGCTTCCGCTCGGCTGTCTCCCAGCTTGGTTTCTTAGAAATCTATGTCATTATCTTTCTGCTGGGATTGTCAGACCTGATTTTGAGAGCATTTAAAACCTGACCCCTGATGGAGCCTCTAAAATGCTTCCTGTCTTCTATTTCACCAAGCTTTTAAAGCAGTCTCCACCTCCCACCACATCTGTAGTGGTGGCTGCTTGGGAGCTGTTCCTGGGGTAGGGAGGGGAACATGGGGCTGCAGTGTTCCAGAGAAGAAAAAGGTGGGTGTGGATGTTGATGCTCACGGAGTGGGTGAGGATGGCAGGAGTAGAGGAGAGGACGATGGGAATGGAGGAGGGGCGCTGGGGTGGGGCGCTGGGGTGTTACAAGGGAATGGATGGCCAGGTAAGAGAATGCAGACCCACACATGGCTTTGGTATGGGTCTTCCTTCACCCCTCCCCTGCCCTCATCCTCACCTGGGCAGAACAGGAGAAAGGGGGTGAGATGGGGGAACCTCAGGAGACTGAGGGGAGTGGTGCTGGTGTTGCACATCAGCTGGGAGAGAATTTTCCTGCCCTTTTTTTTATCCCAGTTGACCAACTGCCAAAAGTTACTAGAGAAAGAAAGCAAAGGAGAAGGCAGGAAAAAGAAAACCACCATTTGCTGGGCTCATTCATTCATTCACTGAGTAACTTCATTGAGTCCTGCTGATGAGCCGGGCACCAGGTGAGCATTTACATGTGTCTCATTGCCTTCTTGTGCTGGAGGGGCTCAGAGTCTAGAAAGGGGACAGTGGACGGAGGCAGTGCAGGGCGCCCCTGTGCTCGCCCGTCCCTCTTGCCATCCATCTATTCAGCGGCCAAACACCCAGCACAAATATCATAGATATTTCAGAATTACTATGCAAATATTGCTTCTACATATTGAATATTTATCATAGTTGCTGAAATCATCATTAGGCAGGCAGGTAAGAGTGGCTTGGGAAGGGGGTGAAGAGAAGGTGAAGTATGTTGTTACGTGGGGGGTGAGGATACAGAGGGAGAAAAGAGAAAGAAAACCCCTGTAGCAAAAGAGGAAGGAAAGGGCAAGTCTGGTTGACATAAACATAACAAAATAGATGGGTGATGCGGGAGGAGTTGGGGAGCAGGCTCCACCTATGACCCATTCGAGGCAGGTTTCCCATTATCCTACCATCCTGTTTACATGGAGTTCAGTCATGGTCATTTCAGCTCCTTTACTACATTCCTCGGGGAGATTCCTCTATTCTTTCAATATCTGGAGTCTGATTGTCATTCTTAATGGAAAGCGCATGGCATTTGTGTACAATGCACCCAGAAATCTGCAGTTTTGATGCCTTTTCTGATGACACAAATGCTAGTGCAGTATGTCCCTCTGCGTACAAAATTGATTGACATCCAATGGGTCAGTGATCCCACAGATAAAAATCTCAACTTACAAATGATCTCTGGTTCAGAGAACAATCAGTTTTCCCTGGAATTTGGTGGAAGGCTTTTTTCAATGCTACTGGGCTCAAAGAGCAGGTATTTGGCATGGTCACAGAAGGAAGCCTGCTGGATAGCCACATGTTGAGTGTAATGTATGACCTACACATGAGCTATCCATTTTCAAGCCTGAATTTCATAAAACACCTTGGATAATAAAACTACATGCAACATAATTTAATCTGCCTTTGATGATTCAGGGGTACTTGAATTTCAGCTCCTTAACCAGGCTGTAAACCTCATCACAGTGCATGCCAGTTATCACTGTAGCACAGATGTGTAAAAACACTGCTTATAGAAGACCTCTGATGCCAGAACTTACAGACAAGAGATTGTGCCAAGATCCCTACTTAATAAGCTCCCTAACTCTAACCAGGCCACAGATAAGAAATACCTCATTAATTCCTCCATCCCCAGCCTCCCAGTTATGGTCCAATTGTTAAGCACCTTGAAATTCCATTGAAATAAATAAATGTGAGCATTCACTAAAACACGATAAGATCGGAGAATTTAGTTGTTAAGGTGCACAGATATTTAAGTTTCTGACATGTAATCACTGGTTTTAGTTTAAGACTATCCTTACTAGATTATATTAGGGACTAGTTATTTGATCTTCTTTGTTTGTGTGTTCGTTTGTTTGTTTTTTGAGATGGAGTCTCACTCTTTCACCCAGGCTGTAGTGCACTGGCACAGTCTTGGCTCACTGCAACCTCCGTCTCCCATGTTCAAGCAATTCTACTGCCTCAGCTTCCCAAGTAGCTGGGATTACAGGCGTGCACCACCATGCCCAGCTAATTTTTGTATTTTTAGTAGAGACAAGGGTTTCACCACATTGGCCAGGCTGGTCTCGAACTCCTGACCTCAAATGATCTGCCTGCCTCAGCCTCCCAAAGTGCTGGGATTACAGGTGTGAGCCATCACACCCGGCCTTTAATCATAGATATTTCAGAATTACTAATGCAAATATTGCTTCTACATATTGAATATTTATCATAGTTGCTGAAATTATTATCATTAGGAATGAAAAGCAAACACTTTAAGATAGACAGTTTCTTTAAAATCTCATTTCTTCATTGCTTTACCCTGGCCCCAAAATGCTTCTGGGGTGAAAGTTTCTAAGCTTGGCTTCAATCCAAAGATTAAAAGGCAGGGCAAAGCCGGGCGTGGTGGCTCACATCTGTAATCCCAGCACTTTGGGAGGTCAAGACAGGAGGACTGCTTGAGGCAAGGAGTTGTAGACCAGCCTGGGCAACACAGTTCCAGACCAGCCTAGGAAAACCTTGCCTCTACAACAAATTTTTAAAATTAGCCAGGTGTGGTGGTGCATGCCTATACTCCTAGCAACTCAGGAGGCTGAGGTGGGAGGATTGCTGGAGTCCAGGAATTCCAGGCTGCAGTGAGTTATGACTGCACCACTGCACTCCAGCCTGGGTGACAGAGCAAGACCCTATCTCAACAAACAAACAAACAACCCAAAGCAACCAGCCAAACAAAAAACCCCAGCAGGACAATGTAATGGGAAACACAGTATTTCAAAATAAGATCTAATTCAAGTCCTGATTTGCTGGCTATGTGAACTCAATTCCAGAGCCACAACTCACTATGACCTTGAGGGACTTCTTTAACCTGTCTGCACCTGTTCACTCATCTGTGGAAAGGGCATAACAGTATTTTTTCCCTCATGATGAGTAAATGCAGTACATGCAATGTAGACATACGAATTTGAACCCATAGTAGATGCTTGATAAACATCATGAGTATCTCTAATCCTGGCCAACTTGGCAAACCCATAGGACGAAGCTCTGTAAACTTCTGACTCCCAACCAGGGCTGTGTTCATTTGAGTTCCCAGGAAATAAGGAAAATATCAGCATCTGATAAATGAGCAAGAGTTGCTCCTTCCTTGTTCCAATTTCTTTCCTCATTTTTTCAGTTTAGGAGGCTAAAGGGAACAGCTTAATGACAGCAACATCTGAAAAGGAGGACCAAAAAAGAGCATTGTGTTTTGCTTCTAGCAAATCAGGAGCCACTGAAAGATGGCCCACCTCTAAGACACCCAACTTTCAAAGCTGCCCCAAATTTCCCTTGGCTCTAACAATTTCTGCTCAATGACAAATAGGAATTCAAATCCTTCATGGCCTCCATCAAAGGGTGGGGTGTGTGTGTGTGTGTGTGTGTGTGTTCATTAAAAAAAATATGGACAGTTGAGCAGAGAAAAAGAAGAACACACAGTGCAATAGTCTGTGTAGGAGGCCCAGGAACTGCTTGCCACCATCATAATTCTTTGCTGTGACACTAAGCAAAAGCTTGCAGAGCCATTTTACTCTTGGGGGAAGCAGGCTGCCCCTGCCATGACTTTCCAGTGTTAGCTTGATCGCCTTACACAGAGTCTCGCCCTAATCTCTTTTCCCTTCTTCCCTCCGCCTTCTGCCCTAGTTCTACTGAAATAAAGCAAAATTTTTAGACTTCTCACTCTAATGTGTGTGGCTCACACAGACATTATTCAAGGGTACACATATTCATGCATTCATTCCTTAAGGAATTATTGACACTTAGTGTGTGTAAAACTCTGATGGGGCAGAGAATGATTCATTCATTTATGCATGGAAGGAACGATTACTGAGTACCTACTGTGTGCTGGGCACTGGGGACACAGAGATGAGAAAGGAAACAGCCTTGCTTTTAAGAAGCATATAGTCTCCTAGGGAGACAGATGAGAAAATACACCATTTTGGTATGAAATGATGAATGTATAACCTTCTTGCTCAAAGTGTGATCCTTGGACTAACAGCACTGGAATCACCTGGCATGATGAAAAATCCAGGGCTCCCCCCATAATAAATCAGAATCTGTGTTTTAACAAGGTCTCCAGGAGACTTGCATGCTTATTTAAAGTTTGAGAAGCACTGGTCTAAGACATGGTCCCTGCTATTCATAGGCTTGCAAACTGGTAAATCATTCAAACATACTAATGCCAGAGAAATGCATAGTTCTCTGTATTCACGTGTCCAGGCTCCACTGGGTTCTCCCCTAGTCAGTTAAGCCAAGGGGAGCAAGTCAGGAGGGGCCTGGGGTTATAGCCACGTACTGGGGTAAGATGGGTAGTAGGAGAGATATTGTCCTGTCAAGCCAAACAGCCCACAAGGATTGGACAAGAGCAGGGGCAGGGAGCACCCCAGGAAGAGTCACAGCCTAGCCCATCCATGAGGACTATGGGGTGGCTGCACGCAGGCAGGCAGGCAGGTAGGTGGCAAGGACCAGGGGGGCTGAGAGTAGAAAGGAGACCCAAGTGTGGCTGCAAGTCCAGAGCCTGGCTCTGAAGAAGGCAAGCAGGAAAGATGGTCAGGTGGCACATTGCTGTAGACTCATCAGATCTGAGTGTGATTTCTGTCTCTGTGACCTCAGCTAGTGTTTTAACCTTGCAGACATTCATTTTCCTCACCTGTAGAATCTGGCTAAAAAAAGGCACCCCATGAGTGGCTAAGAGATTCAATAATGTGTGTAAAGCTCTTGGCTTCTGGTGCTGCTTAATGGTATTATTACTATTCCCACTTTATAGTTGAGGAAATGGAGTCCCATGGACAATAAGTAAATTTCCCAAGGTCATTCAGCTCGCAAAGAGCAGAGCCCTTCCTCTAGACTGACTCTCCTAAAAATCTCACAGCTCAATGCATGGATGGTTATTATTTCACCAACATCACTGTGTGTCCTGCTAAGGGGCTGCTGTCCTAAGCAGGTTGCTACATCTAAGACCACATCTTCCAACCTCCCAGCCTCAAGTTGGAATCTCTTCTGAGAACTGGGCCTGGGCCAGCAGACAGAGCCCAGCACTTCCCACTGCAGGATGGAGGTGAGGCTTCCCCCAGTAAACTTCCAAGTGTGTTCCAGCCCTACTGTCCTCATTTTACCCCTATGAGTGCCGCTTCACCTCACCTGCATTCTCCGCCCTGAGTAGGTGTGACTGTCACCCATCCAGGAGCAGGTCACAGCTCTGCTTTTAGTGGCTTCCTTAAAATCACTGCACTTACTTACTTTTGTAGGCTGATTGTACAAAATGTGCACTAGCTGACATAATTCCAGTTATTTATTTGTAGATTCAGGAAATGAGTGAGAAAGCAAGATTATTTCAGGTTCAAAGTAATTTGCTGAAAGCATAGGTTCTCCTGGTTCTCCCACTTAGCAGCATCTTACCTAGGTAAATTACTTAAGCTCTGAGTCCTAATGCTTACATCTGTAAAAAGGAGAAACAACAGTAATGCAAACTTTGTAAACTTTTATGAGATAGTAGCTGTGAAATACTTTACACCATTCGAGTAAATGTTAGTAGCCACCATTTCTATTGTATTTATTTTTATTCTCCAGGCAGCCTCTTTCATGCTAGGGGAGCACCAAAAAGAAGGGACTCCAGGTCTTCTTTGCCAAACGTTTGCCATTATATTTCACCAAGAGGCTGCTTTATAGGAAAAAACATGTGTGTGTGTGTGTGTGTGTGTGTTTGTGTGTGTGTCGTAGTTAATGGTAATTTTGACTTTTAAGTATTGAATGAATGGCTCCCTGAATGACCATTACCCACATCTCGTGTCCTGAGCACATTGTGTTTACAACATGGGCGAAAATCCTGATCTTGAAAGAAAATAATAAAAATAAAGATCTTGCCATAAATCCTACAAAATAGGACAAATATTTTTAAAGTAGGTTTTTGAAGGAGCTTTAGAGCTGGTGGTCATCACTAAACCTTCCCACTATGCTGGATTTCTTTAGGTTACTTAGTAGGTATGTACTTAGAAAAAATGTTAAAGTATTAGAAAATGAACCTAAGTAGGGCTGCTAAAATCATCCTGTTGCTCTCTTAGCGAGTGAATAACCTGAAAGTCAAGGTCGGTGGCTCTTAGCCTTTCGGGGTTCCTTGGAAAAGGGCCTCATGAAAGCCACAGTACATACTTATGAGGTCCCAGAAAGAAATTCTAATTACACCAGGGGCTTATCCCATATGCCAAAAATATTTGTTGAGTTAAAAAGAACTAATTAATTAATAGAGCAAGGATTCTTAACCTGGGTCCAAGTATCTCATGAACATCCTGGATGGTCAGCAAAAATTGGGTATATATTTACATTTCTGGGGAATCTACGTAGAATTCTCAAAAGTTCTATGGTCCAAAATGATTAAGAACCATTTTGCCTTTTGGGATCCCTGGCCATCTTGGTGGCTGCTTTTGGTTAGAGGCCATCCCACATCCAAGGCCAGAATATGGTGGCCGCAAAGAAGACGAAAAGTCACTGGAGTCCATCCACTCTAGGCTCCAACCCATTAAGGGTCAAAAATACAAGCTGGGGCAATCCGGCTCTGAAGATGATAGACAAGGCAAAGTGAAACCGGTCATCCCCACCAACTGCCTGGCCTCGAGGAAATCTGAAATACAGAACTAAGGTGCATACTCTCAAAACTGCCATCTACCACTCCAGCAGTAATAACATTAAATTGGGCACAGCATGTGGAAAATACCATAGCAAGTGCACCCTGGTGTCACTGATCCAGGGAATGCTGAGATTTTTTTTTTTTTTTTTTTTTTTTGAGACAGGGTCTCACTGTGTTGCCTAGGCTGGAGTGCAGTGGCACCATCTCGGCTCACTGCAAGCTCCACCTCCAAGATTCAAGCCATCCACCTCCCACCTCGGCCTCCTGAGCAGCTGGGACCACAGGTGCATGTCACTATGCCCAGCTAATTTTTGTAGACAGGAGGTCTCACTATGTTGCCCAAGCTGGCCTCGAAGTCCTGGACTCAAGCAATCCGCCCACCTCAGCCTCCCAAAGTGCTGGGATTACAGGCATGAGGCACTGCACCCAGCCCTGAGATCTTTGGAAGCATGCCAGAACAGACTGGTGAAAATAAATCATGCAAATCTTTAATAAAACTGGCCAGAGCTTATTTTTCAAAAAGAAGGAAGGAAGGAAGGGAGGGAGGGAGGGAGAGAGGGAAGGAAGTGGGGAGGGAGGGAGGGGAGGGAGGGAGGTTTTATGCTATCTCTAAAGCCAAAAACAACTGGCAAATTTGGCAGCTCAGAGGAACGAAGCTTTAGATATCTGAGTTCTGGCTTCGGCATACCTCCCACCTCCTGATTCCCGAGGGCAGAACCTCTCACTGCTGCCCACAGTCCAGTCCTCCCCCTCTGCCTGGAAGGCTGTCTCCATTTAGACCACATTCCCTCCTGGCCATCCTTCAGGACTGCACACTCAGTTATAAAAGCCTCCTTCCCTGCCTGAGGACAATAGATAGCTCCTTCCATCACCCAAATTATTTTCAGAGGCTCCTTGCTATTTCCCAGGTACAAAAGAAGCCCTCACAGTATTGCTTATACAATGATAGCCTATTATTTGTTGTTTTGTATTTGCACCCTGGTCTGTGTTACCTGGTCACTGTGGCCCAGTTGTTTATTCTAGATTCAAAGCTGTCAGGGGAATCACTGTTGTTTAATTTTCTTTTGTGTAGGAGGTGTTCAAAGCAAAAGTTAGATGACAGACTTCAAAATCATTTCAGATTCTGCAGCACTGTTTGCTACAATTAGGAGAACTGGTTCTGTCAAAACCCTAACTTACGGCTTCGTTCATTCTGGACATTTTTATTTTTCATACCCTGCTCTCAAATACAATGGGTATCTTCTTTTTAAATCTGCACACATCTGACTCAGTTCCTCCCACAGTCCTCCGCTTATGGTTTGGAATTGGAATTTTCATTTCACTAAGAAAGGGAGAAATTCTTGCTGGGGAATGGTTCTTCAGGCATTCAGAGCCCTCACTATCTTTGGAAAAGCAAGGTTTTTTCTCCAAGAGTTTTGAAGACTGCACGTTCAATATCTCATTTTGTTTGCTTCCCTCTCTTGGCTCCCTCCTACCCACAGGGTGCCACAGCACGCTGTCTTTCCCAGTAGCAAAGGCGCTGTGTCTCAAAAGCTGGCTATCTTATTCATTTCTGAGTCAAACTCTAGACCATGCTTGCCTCTTCAGGCACTTGGCTCTCTCAGCACAAATATAACAGGTCTTTGCACTCCAGGCCCTTGCCAAGAGTGAACTCTGGAGGCCTGAGGCCATGTGGAATCAGGCCTGAAGTGCCCTCCTTTACCCTGTGGCACCAAAGCCTGCTTCAGATGGCTGGGCCACATCCTGCCGGTCTGCCAAGAAGAGCTTGGGGGCACTCTGGCCACAACAGTCAAGCATCCTGGGGGCCTCCTTCCCATTAAGGCCCTCAGGTTTCGCACTTATTTCCCCAGAACTTATCTGTGCCTTCCACAGCCCACATGGCCCCGGGCTGGACTTCCAGGGGCTTTGTTCCCTTCTCAGCTGCGGTTTATTTGTTTACTTTTGAAACACGAAGTGAGGCCAGAGATGGGAAACTTTGAGCTTTTGCATGCTTCTCCACTCGGTCTCCTCACTGGAGAGGGCTGGCAGTGCTCAGAATGGTGCATGCCCCCTGCTCCTCACCGCCACCCATGCTCCAAAGCCAGGATGTGAGTCTTGCAGAGCTGCAGACAGCCCCTAAAGGGTGTGCTCCCAATTTGAGCTCATCTGACCCAGTTAAGGAGCCAGAATGGGAGAAGCATCTGCCACTCATGAGCTCTGGCTGGGGGGCCCCTGCCCTCCCCCTCGCCCCCAGTCCTGATGCCCTTCTGGGCGGCTTCAAGCAGCAGCTGCAAAATGTCAGTGCAAGAGGCAGAAGAACCAGGGCGAGCGTGCAGGCTCCGGGTGATAGAAGCAGAAGGAAAGTCTAGAAGCGCACGGAGCAAGGGGCCACGCGGTGTCGCAGGCAGCGAGGACAGCCCAGGCTCCCAGAGACCGCAGCCGGGTGGAGGCGTCTGCGGGTACCAGGCGACGGGCCAGGGCGCACGGCGAGGCCACCCACCTCTTGATGTAGCTGCTGAGGCGGTAGAGCTGCCCGTCGAGGCGCACGAGGCCGTCACCGAAGACGTTGAAGCCCCCCCGCGCCGCCGCCGGCTCCCCGGGCCTGGCCACCACGAGCTGGTCGCCGCTCAGCTGGAAGGCACCGGGCTGCAGGCGCAGCAGCTGAGCCAGCGGCAGCAGGGCCAGCTCGCAGTCGCAGGTCCACAGGCTGCGAAGCTCCCCAGACGAGATGGAGGTCAGGCTCGGCCTGGCCACCGGCTCGCAGGCCGCCCCCGCCATGCCCGCGTCGTCGGTCCTCACACCGCCTGCTTCCGTCCGGTGCCTACAGCCCCCAGCCGGCACCTGATGGTCCCCAGGAGGGGCCGGGCGCCCTGCCTGCGTCAGCCGCGCGCGAGGTGAGGAGGGGGTCGGTCTGCCCGCCTGGCCGGGACGCGGTGGCCGCTCAGGTGCCAGTCTGACCGCCCGGGCGGCCCCTCCCAAGCTGCCACTCGCTGGGAGCCCTGCAGGCACCGCGCGGAGAAAGCGGCCCCGGCGCAGCGCGGCCCCTTTTATCCGCCCTCTGGACGCCCGCCTCGCCCCTGCCGGCCCACGGCCACGACCCCAGAGGCTCGGGGCAGAGTTATCATCGTCTCATAACTTGGCATGCTCGAGTCTGCTCGCAGGCAAGGCTTAGTCATCCCCCTGGGGTCCACTACTCAACACCAGCGCTGGCCCCCGCCCTGCCTGGCGGACACTGCCGGAGGCTGGAGGTGGGGAGAGTCCTCCCCGGGTTCCCAGGCCCTGCCTATGGTGGGCGGCAGGGCGCACAGCACCCATCCTTGCCTAAGACACCACACCCCTGGTGTTGATTGGAGAAGAAGGCAAGGGCTCTGGCCCTACCCATTCCACCTGGGACCCAGAGGCTGTCAAAGGCCAGTGCTGGAACTCCGATCCCCACCTCAGTACCAGACCTCTCACTCAGCCTCAGTTTTCTGCCATTTTAACTCCATCCAGATCGTACCCTGCATTTCCCTCCTTTCAGCCTTTCCTTCAGCTGGTTGCTGGCCCTGGATCCCTTCCCCCTAGAAATCCCACTGATCATCACATCGCTTTTCCATAAAGCCTTCACGAATCCCACGAGGGTTTCATCGCTTTGCTTCTCCTTTCTACTGCACGGTGAACCCTAGACTGCAATGTGCCGTGTAGTGGGGATAGCAGGGTCCTAGCATCCTCCCTTCTCCCCTGCCTCCCCAGTAGGTGGTGATCTCCTTGAGCCCCAGAATATGTTCATTTCTTCAGTCTATAAATATGTGAGTGCTAGCTATGGGCTCATTGATCTCCTGAGGTATGAAAGGAGAACTATATTATTCCATTTAATTAAACACCTATTTCTGCTGCGGAGAAGCCTGGATGGGATGGGAGGAGAATCTAGCCTAGTTTCGAGGCTTTCTGTAGTACTGTGTTTTAGGATTCTAAGCTACATCCCAAAAGTTGAGTAGAACGTAGAGAATATCCTTAGTTAGTCTTTGTGTGCCCCCACATGAACTCTTGTGTAGGTTTAATCAGATGGGATGAAGAGTCCTCCCGCCACATCTCATTTAAATCTCAGAATATAAATGAGCCCCACTCTCTTCTCTTCTTCTAGGTGCACACCTATCCTTTCTCCAGACATGGATCTTTTACCCATGGGATCATTACCCCATCTCTGGGCCTCTCTGAACAAATCTAATTCACTGAGCATGAATTGATCACTACCCACTCAACCTTTTGTGGCGCAGGAAGGATGCTCTACCTGTGAAAAAAGCATCCAGAAGATCTTCTTGCAAAGGGAGGTTTGAGGATCCCTGCAAAGAGAATGGGTCTGGGGTGGGCTGAGACTGTAGACAGGACTCAGAGGCTGGGGCTGTTTTCACAGGGGAGGGATTTGGTGCCAGCAGTTAAATCCATTGTGCCCTATTTAGAACTTCACTCTTGTCCCAAACATTGACAGAGTCATCACTATGCACCAGGGACCATCTTAAGCTCTGAGGTCACACACACACACACACAAGGATCCAATAAGTGCTACCATAGATGTATGGACTAAGCACTATGAGAAATAAGTGGTTCTGCCCCAAGAAGGGTGCTCAAAGGAGGTGACACATGGCTAGACTTCCAATACACAGGGGAGGCTCCCAGGGGAAGGAGCAGCAGCAATAAGGAGATGGGAGAGAAGATTCTGTACCATTCTATGCAAAGAGAGATGCTATGGTTCCATCTGGGGGAGGGGGGAAATTTTTAAACAGCTAGGGCAGACCATCCTATTTGGGATAAGAGGGGTCAGTTTTATATGAGATGAGACCAGAAAGGGCTGTTGGAGCCAGATTGTGACAGACCCTCTGAGTTGTCAGGAATTTGGATTCTTAAGACAATGAGGAGCCTTGGGATGTTTTAAAGAAAGGAAGTGATATAATTATGCCTCAGTTCAGATAGACACCTTTGGTTATGACCAAAGAAGATGTTTTGAAACAGGAAGATCAGAGGCAGAGAAACCAGTTAGGAGATTGATGTAATAATCCAGATAACATATGATGGGGGTCTGAACAGAAGCAGCTGTGGGAATGGAGATGAGGTTTCAACATTTTTGAGTCAGAGTCAGCAGGAAGGATCTTATGAGTAAATAAATGAAAAAGAGCAGAGAGACCCACTTAGTCTCTTGCTTGGGTACCCAGAGAGATGGTGACACCATTAACGAAGCTAGGGTTCACAGGAGGAAGAGTAGGAGTTTGAGGAGAGATAGTGATGAGTTCAGGGGGGACATACTGATTTTGAGCTACTTATGGAACATCAAGGTAGAAAAGTCCAGGAGGCAAGGAGTTAGTTGGGTCTGGCGTTTTGGAAAGACAAGGTCAATGATTGAGATTTGAAAGTCTCTAGATCAAAGACGGGGTTGAAGCCAAAGAAGTGGATGGGGGCATCTAGCTAATACATGATAGGGTAGGAATTTGAACCCAGGCCTTTAGTTTACTTCAACATATGTTAATTGAGCATCTGCTATGTTCAGTGCTTTGCTGGAGATACAGAGTTGAATAGAGGATGGCCCCTGTCCTCAAATAACAGGGAGAAATGCAGGAATCAGCATGAACTAGTCTTCTGGCACCATGTCCAAACATGTGGCTGAAATCTAGTTATATTTTGCCTGTGTCTCCAACCTGCTGGTGGAATACAACCTCAACAACAATAACAGCTGCAGAAGTTGCTTTCAATTAGTAAGTCAAGGAGGGCAGGTCCACTACAGAGCCCTCACCAGCCCCTACTCTCCCCATTCCACATAGATCGAACTCAACAACTCACCCTATGAGCTTCACATAGATCAAGCTCAACAACTCTTGATTGCCCTTAAACCTACACCACACTGTCTATGAATGATTTGGCTTTCTTGAAGGGTAAAATGTTACATCGGGGTTTTATATCAGAATTATATGCATTTGTTTAAGATAAACATACCAGTCCCTCCTATCAAAAAACCGTTTCCTGGGCAGGCACGGTGGCTCACACCTATAATTCCAGTATTCTGGGAGGCCAAGGCATGTGGATCGCCTGAGGTCAGGAGTTCCAGACCAGCCTGGCCAACATGGTGAAATCCCATCTCTACTAAAAATACAAAAATTAGCTGGGTATGGTGTTGAATGCCTGTAATCCTAGCTACTTGGGAGGCTGAGGCAGGAGAATCGCTTGAACCTGGGAGGCAGAGGTTGCAATGAGCCAAGATCGTGCCATTGCACTCCAGCCTGGGTGACAAGAGTCAAACTCCATCTCAAAAAAAAAAATCCGTTTCCTTCATAGTAAGATATCAACACTTAGATCTGAGTAGAAGAATTAAACGAAATTTTTCTTTACCTCACCACAGTTGTGTGATTTTACACTTTTCCTGTATTTTCCAAATAAATGTGTATTGTTTTATACAGAAAAATGATGTTGAGCATAATAAAAATATTTTAAAGATGCTTTCTTGGTATGTTGTCTAGAGGTTTCATTTGATGCGTTTTCAGCAAAACACCTGCATTTCTTTATGGGTAATTTATGCATTACCAAAATGCCAGAGAAAGATATGAAAAAGTGAACAGAAAAAAAATAGTATTCAATGTAATGTAAGCCATTGCTAATAAGTAGAGAGCTAGAGAGATCTTTTCATGTTTAATGTCTTTTTCATTACCCAAGTACCAGCCAGGCAAACAATCACTCCTGGTGACGACCTTTTCAGTCTTTTTTTGGTTTGCTTACATAGTTGTGTTCCTATCGTAGAATTTTTATTCGGCTTTGTGCATTTAACATTATATGTATATTATGTTGTGAAAATTTCATTTTCTTTGTGAATAGTATTTTAAATCACTATGCTATTTTCCATCAAGTGTATATTCTATTGTTTGTCTAGACATTTCTTTACTCTTGAACACTCAGATTGTTTCTTGTTTTTCCTTATAAACAATGCTGCAATAAACATCTTCATACTTTGATTTCGTTTTTCTGTATCCAAGCTCTCAGAGATGGAATTACTGGGACAAATGATATGAGAATGTGCATTGCTCTGGAAACGTGTGTCATTATTCTCCTAAAGGCTGGCACCAATTTGTCTTCTCACCAGCAGTGATTTTTCATGGTTTTAAATCTTTGCAGTTGGGGTAGGGTACCTCACAGCTATTTACGCTACAAGTGAGATTAACAGTTTAGCTATAATGTTACCACTCAAATTTAGAGACTTTATAGCAAGGCAATCACCCATTGGTGAGTCTGTGGCTATGCTCACAGGTAAAAGACAAGATAAAGATTTTGCCATCCTTATGTGTCCCCATTAAGGTAACTGTGCTATGGGGACATCAGCAGCTCACAGGCTCAGTTTCTCAGCTTTGGGGGTCCAAAGTTCATATTCAGAAATTTGATTCAACCTTACCAAATTCACAAAAGATTAAAAATCAATTAGGCACCACCACTGCCACCATTTTTGGATTTTTCTGTCAGCATACAAACATCTACAGGTTTCTTTTGTCTTAAAAAAAATAACTTTTTAAACATTTTAACATCTCACTTTCCCTTTTAGTACATTTCCATCTCTCTTCTTCACTCTATGGTCAAACTCCCTGAAAAAATTCTCTAAATTCCTTGCCTGACATTTACTCCTCAAGACTTTATACCTTGACTTCTGCCCATCACACCTCCTGAAACTGACCAAGTCTCCAATGACCTCCTTGTTACTAAACCTCATAAACACTTTCTGTTTTGATCTCACTAGACTACACTTGTCCCTGCAGTTCTCTCTTCCCTTAGCTTGTGAAGAACTTGCACAATGTAGTGAAAGGTGCAAAGGGTTTAGAGTTGAAAAATCTAACTCTAACATTTGCTAACCATGTCATCTTGAGCAAGTTTCCTAAACTCTCCTGTCGTTCATTTTCTCATTTTTAAAATTAGGGTAATAGAGGGAGAGGCAGGATAGCAACACCGTTAAGAGCTCAGACTTTGGTACCTTGTCACCTGGGTTGGAATCTTGAATCTAGCCTGCAGTCTTGAACACATTACTCCTATGTGTTTCAGTTTCCTCATATGTGAAGTGTGAGGTTTGTAAGGATTTGATGTGTTATGGCAAAGAATTGTCTGACACATAGTAAGTGCAATGTAAGTGTTTGTTTGATGCCTACATCAGGGGACTTCTGTAAGAGTACAATGAGTTGACCGCCCACTCACAGCATCTAGCTCAGTGCCCGGTTCTCGAGTAATAGTGTCAGCTCCCTGTCTTCTCCCACTCTTTCTCCCTCATTTCAGGCCACTCATTTTCCTGAACTGCAGAGTTCTGTCCTTGTCCACCTTTCCTGGATGACTTTGTCCAAATCTTTGGCTCTGATGACCACTTACAAGCTGATGATGTCTGAATCTCTAGCTCCAGGCCAGATTTCTTGTCAGGCTCTCTGACCAATCTACACAACTTCCTGCTAACCTCTCCACATGATTTCCCCCTGGCACCTGCAACTCATCGTCTTCCTCCTGCCCAATGTGCTGTTTCTCCTGTGTTTCTCATCCCAGGGAGGCATCACTATCCCTCCATCCAGCGCTGTGAGGGCATCCTAGACTGCACCCTCTCACTTCCTCCCTCCACCCCTACGCTCTTCTGCTGTTCCTCCACCCCAGTCCTCCTAGCCAACTGGGTGCCTCCACCCACTGACTCTGCCTTCTACAAATCTCAGGAATCTCTTGGTTCCTTCCCACCCCCACTGCCATTGATTTTGCTTAGCTTTCTGCCACTTTTTCTCAGTACTATCTCAGTAGCCTTCATACCAGTCTCCTCTCTCCCAATCCCTCCTACCCACGTCCCCCTAGCAATTCATATACTGAAGTCCTAACACCCAGCACCATAGGATGTGACTGTATTTGGAGATAGTTTAGAAAATTCACTCAGGTCAAATGAGGTCATAAGGGTGGGACTTCAATCCCATAGGACTGGCACCCATATAAGAAGAGAACAGCTCCAGAGTTTGTGGGCATACAGAGGAAAGACCACATGAGGATACAGCAGGTGGCAGCCATCTACAAACCAGGGAGAGAGCCCTCATCGGAAACTGAACTTGCATCTTGCTCTGGTTTGAATGTGTCAAACCAATTCAAAGCAAAGTCCGTGGATTGGAGACTTAATCCCCAAGGCAACAGTGTTGGGAAGTGAGGTCTAATAAGAGGTGATTAGGTCCTGAGGGCACTGCCTCATGCAGGGATTAATGTCATTATCTCAGGAGCCGGTTTGTTATGGACAGTGGGTTATAAAAGTGAGTCTGGTTCTCTCTGATCCTTTCACCTTTTGCCACAGGAGGACACAGCAAGAAGCCTCTCCCAGATGCTGGCACCTTGATCTTGGACTTCTCAGCCTCTGGAACTGTGAGGCAAATACATTTCTGTTCTTTATAAGTTACCCAGTTGGTGGTATTCTGTTATCACAGCATAAACAGACTAAGACACAAAGTTGGTGGCACTTTGTGATGGCTGCCCAAGCTGTCTAAGCCCCTTCCTCATGCTCAGATACACAGCCTTTGCTTAAGGCTGTGGAAGATGGCTTGCAGCTCCCTGAGGGTGCAGCTGGCTTTCCCTTGATGCTGTGGACAAGCTGTTCCTGCCACACAGCTTCCTACTGTCTTCACAGCCCCTCACTCATCTTTTAAGACCCAGTTTCAACATCACCTACTCAAGGCTAATTTTGGTGTCCTTCCTCCTTGTCCCATAGGACAAATGATACATATTGTGTGTCCCCTTACCACATCCTGTACTATAAGTGTTGTGTTATTGATTTACTTGTCTGTCTCACCCTCTAAGCCCAAGAGAAAAGAAAACAGCATCTTATGCCTTTTTATTCCTGGTACAATGTGGTTTCACAGAAGATATCATATTTATTTTTATTGAATGAATGAATAAATGAATGGAAAGCAGCATTGAGTCATGGTTATATATAAAGTTCTGAGAACAGTGCCTGGCATAAATAAGCACTATTGAGTGTTTGTTAAATAAATGAACAAAATATATCTGAACATGTCTCAGATCATTTCTTCTGCAATTGTAACTGTAAAAAGTCTTGTGAAAGCTAAAGTAGGAACATATGGGAAAATAAAAGCCCAGATTTGCAGAGATCCACTCATGCAAATACGTTCAAATTCGAAGTTATTGCATTGATTCCTGACAACTTTAGTCATGGCTAAACTAGAATGGAAAATTTTACTTCCTTCCCTCTGCTTACCTCATTGGGCTCTGCCTGTGTTATTCTCTGAGTTCACTGCTTCCTGTCTTCCCAAACAAACACTCACTTCTGGTGGCAGAGTTCACACAGAAGCTTTCCCAGGCCAGTCAGTTGATCCTGGTTACGTATGTGCTTTTGCACTTTGGTTAAACCTCTTTAATTGCTGGTAGGGTGCTCAGTGCTGTGGGGCACTGGGGCAAATGTAGGTTAGGACATTGCAGCAGCTGGGACCATCCGGTACATGGAGCGTCTGGAGGAGGCGCAAGTGACTTTGGAGAAGAGTGAGTCTGTTAATGTGAACCACGTGTGGGAACCAGGGTACCACTCAATTCTACAAACACTGATGGAATGCTGGCATGGGCTAGGAGTGTGGGACTCCAAGATGCCTAAGACCTGTTCCCTGTCTCCAGGGGCCTCAAGTCAAGCCAGCTACTAGTGGTCAATAAGTGTTGGAGGAGGAGATGGAGGACCTAGGAGGCGGACACGAGCACAGCCAGTTATGTAGGAGAAAGTAAGGATGGAGGGTCTCTAAGCCTAAGAACAGGAGTGTTGGTTAGGTACAGGACACAACTGAGGGCTCATCTAGAACTTTTAATGGGGTTGGATGCAGTTGAAATCACATTTGAGAGGGTATGTTGCAAAGACTTTAAAATTTTCTGTATGCTGTGATGTTTTGGCATTTTAAAAAACCTTTCTGGTTGGTGAGAGATGGCCCCTCCTGGATCTGGCCAATTCTTAGAGAAAGGACTCAGACTGAAGCATGTCTTTGATATGCAAACTAACCAGTGCAGTGCCAGACCTCCTGTATCTGGCCAGTGCATCCCAGGAGGCAGTATTCCTCTGCCTACATCATCCCAGGACCAGGTGCCAGCAACAGAGACCCCTCTTTGTAGCCAAAAGCCTGCCAGAATTATTCAATCTAGCCCATCCAAAACCATTCACCCTGCCCTGCCTTGCCTTTCCCCAGAAACCCCAACAAAGGTTATGGCTTAAATCTCCCCCTCATCCTATCTTCTGCGAGCTCCACCCTGGTGTCTTTCTCATATGGACCAACACAGTGTGTGTGCCCCTTGTCCCTAGGACCTGTGAGTATAATCGGCTTCTTTTTTCCCTGAGCCTCTCCTGCATCTCCTCTTGTGGTTGCACCTGACTATCTTATAAGAGACTAAAAAACCGAGGGATGGCTCTTAGTAACGGTGTCTACAGATAAGATTGGCTTTAGAAAGGGGGTTTCACTAGAAGACCCATCCAACTCTAAAGATTCACACCCTAAAATGGGCAGATTCGGAAAGTCAAGGGGTGAACCCAGGGAATCCCGTAGTATTGTCAAAATTATTGCTGCTCCTGGAACAAAGGGCCAAATTGTTCCTTGGATTTCATGTCTTTCTCCACCCCACTGACAAACAGCATCAACCACAACAACCATAATGAGAATGGCTGACATTTAGTGAAGATTTCCCCATGTCAGACACTGTTCTAAGTGCCTTCAATGGATGATTTTATCTACTCCTCCAAACTATGAACTATTTATATTCCCATTTTATAGAAGGGGAAAAAGAGGCACACGGAGTGCCAGTGACTTGTAACTTGCCCAGCCATACAGCTGATGCAGTGAAGAAGCACTTTTTATAAACCCCTTCCTACCCAAGGCAGCTGAGCTGACAAGATGGAAAAGATGAAAAGCTTCACTCTTCACATCTCTCTGGACTATAGAACAGGAGTGGGAAAAGTATGGTCCACCAGCCAAGTCCAGCCTGCTGCCTATTTTTGTATGACCATGATTAAGAATGTTTTTTCATTTGTATAGAGATTGCACTGAATCTGTAGCTCATTTTGGGTAGTATTGTTAAATAGTTGAAAAAAAACAAAAGAAGAGTAATAATTTTGTGACATGCAAAAATAATACAAAGTAAGCTCACATTTCAAAGTCTTTAAATAAAGTTTTATTGAAACACAGCCACATCCATTTGTTTACATATGGCTGCTTCCATGCTACATAAGCAGAGCTAAGCAGTTGCAACAGAGACTCTCTGGTCCTTAAAGCCTAAAATGTTTACTGCTTACCCTTTTCCAAAGAAGGTTTGCCACTCCCCGCTCTAGAGACCAAACTGGAATTTAGAGTAAGTTATTCTGTCTTCTCTAGGCAACCCTCAGCACCCTTCTCTGTCTCCAGAACTTAAAGTATTCCCCCTCCACATTTAAAAGAATCCGGACCAAAAGAGAATAAAGCCACCCAAAACCCAGACTCCTCATCCCTCAAGTCCTTGTCTTAAAGCTTTAAAAGGAACTTTACACAGTGGCCTTTTTTCTGTTGTTCACATCCTTTGGCATGTTGGTGGGGGCTGTGTTCATGCATTCATTCACCCAGTCATTCATTCATTCCATAAACGTTGATTGAGCCCCTTTGTCCCGGTGCTTTCCAGGGTGGATGAGGGAATAGGAAGTGGGCACTCACTCTCCACAAAGTCAGTATTTACCTCTGGTCTTAGACCCGAACTGCATGGTCAGGCACACACTTCGAACTTGGACAGACCTGAGTTAAGATCCCAGCACTTCCACTTCGGAGGTCTGTGACTCCATGGCAGCCAGGAAACCACTGGGCCCTGCAAAAAGGGGGGATACCCTTAACTCCTTCCCATGTATGCTAGGAGCGGTCAATAAAAAGAATGTGCGGAAAGCACTTTGCACAAGGCAGAGCACAGGGCCAGCCCCCAGAAAATTGTGACCATCATTATGACCGTCACCACCACCAAGGTCCTGAAGAGTCTAAACACGTCCACCTCAGAGTCGATCAAGTTGACAGAGATTTCAGAAATCTGTGTTCTCTTTTAAAAACTTCTATTTATTTAATACCAGGAAACACTGTACTATTTCTAGTCCCCTAGGTATTTGTCACAATCATAAAAGCCAAAACTTTTTGAGTCACAAAAAAAAAAAAAAATAGAGAGAGAATTTTCCTCACATTAAAATCCCCTGTGATTTGGGAAAAAACAAAACAAACAAACAAAAAAAAAAACACTGAGCAGAAATAACAAGAAACCTGGCAATGCCTGGCTGACAACAGCCAGAGGGAGAGGCCCCCTCACATGAGCGGCCTGAATTCCCGGCCTGCATGTCAGGTCTTTGGAATGCTGGGCCTAACGCAATAGTTCCTTTACTAAAAAAAATTGACAGGCATAGAATGTTCAGAAAGAAATAAAATGAAAACGAAAAAGCAAACCCCCCACACACATTTTGTGTCTTTGTGAGGCTTCACAATCAAGGGCTTAGCAGAGAGATGGAGTGGGGAAAGCTAGGCCAGCCCTCCCTTAATCCTATTTTGGCCTGTAAGTTACCGGGACAAGGGAAGAAATCCATGTTTTCTAAACTTTGTAGTTCAAAAACTAAACAAAACAAAAACACTTGTTTTGCTTCACCACTAAGTGATTTGTAAGTGCAGAAAAATCAGAAAGTATTGATTTAATTTTTTCAAATAATAAACAGAAGTCCCCTCTATCATCCCACCACCCAGAGGTAAGCACTGAATGCCAGTTACTGTGCGTCCCCCAAGCCTTTGTCTATCTGTTTAGAGCAGAGGGCATAGAGCTCCCTATGTCACCCAGGGCAGCTGGGTTGGTGCTTAGGACGGAAGACTTAGGGGCCTCAATATCTGGATTCGAATCCTGGCTTTGCCATTCATTAGCTGTGTGACTTTAGGCAAGTGCTTCCCTCTTTCCGCCTCAGTTTCCTCATTTGTGAAATGGAGTTTATTACAGCACTCACTTCTTGGGGTTGTAGGGAGGATTAAATGAATTGTTATATGTAAAGCACTGAGAACCAAGACTGGCACTGTCTCTCTCTCTCCATATATATACACACATATGCATGCACACATAGAAATATATATAATTTGTATGTACACTATGACATATATTTATATATGTGTGTATTTACTAATATGTGTGCATTTTTCCTGAATAAAATTACATCAAACTATTCATGGTACTGTATTTGGTAGCCTTTCTTTTTATGGCTTAATTATGACATCTATGACCCCATATTACCAATAATTTAAGTTGTTTCTCATTTTTCATGATTAAAATAAAAATACCGCCATTTACATTTTTGCACTTGTATCTTTGGCAACTTGTCCAATTACTGGCTGATAATTCACCCCTAACCTGGATCAGATATTATGCTCTTTTTCAAGGATTTTGATACATAATGTCAAACTGATCTCCAAACTAAAATTCCCAAAACCATAGCAGGAAGTTACCTATTTCCCAAAGTCCTAGCCAAAACTGTGTATTATTATTCTATTTTATTTTTCCCCACCACGTTGGAGAATTTTATTGTTTTAATTTTTTTAATTTGTTACCAGGAAGGTTAAAACTTTTTATGTTTATTGGCCATTTTTATTTTTTCTGCTGTGAATTTGCAATTTAGATCCATTGTTAACATATGGAGACATCTTTTCCTTATTTGTTTGCAAGAACTCTTTATATATTAAACATGTTACCTTTTAAAATTTTTATCATTTGCCTTTCTGCTTGATAAATTCCAAAATATATCAGAATATATTTTTTACCATTCAGAAATTTTGAATCTGTGTGTATGTGTGTGTGTGTGTTTTAAGCCCTTGAGTCTAGCAATATTTTTCACTATGACTTTGTCCTGAGATCCCCAGTTATAAAGTTTTTCTCTATTTTCCCCCAAATCATAACAATATTTTTAAAAATTTTCTTCCAATGCATTTATAATTTGATTTTTTAAGATTGAACTTATCTCAAAATTAACTTGCAACTAAAAAGCTGATATGTGTGGTTTCTTCTCTAGACTCAGTGATTCTATAAATTTATCAGTATCCAAGACTGTAATAGATAGATTAAACAAAATTTTGTCTATTTCTTTTTTTTTTTTTTTTTGAAACAGAGTCTTGCTCTGTTGCCCAGGCTGGAGTGCAGTGGTGCGATCTCAGCTCACTGCAAGCTCCGCCTACTGGGTTCAGGTCATTCTCCTGCCTCAGCCTCCCAAGTAGCTGGGATTACAGGCGCCTGCCACCACGCCCGGCTAATTTTTTATATTTTTAGTACAGACGGGGTTTCACCGTGTTAGCCACGATGGTCTCGATCTCCTGACCTCGTGATCCGCCCGCCTTGGCCTCCCAAAGTGCTGGGATTACAGGCGTGAGCCACCGCACCCGGCCCCAAAAATTTGTCTATTTCTTTGAATACCAATGTTCTCCTCTAAAAAGCAAAAACAGTGAAATCTCCTCTGCTTGTAATATTGTGAATAAACATGTTTCGAAAAGTGTCAAATGCTATAGCAGTATAACAATTATGACTAAATTCAGCTTCAGGATGAGAAAGAAGTGAGACACAGGAATGAAACATTTGAGTTCTCCCAAGAAGGGAGAATACTCGGCAATAAGTTTCCTTGATTTGAACTGATGAACTCACTAAGTCACACACTTGGGAGCCATTGGGGGTGGTGTAGGATAAAGGTATTTTCTGAGCATGTCAGTGATACTTTATACATATCACAGATTTGACTTAATACTGCCAAAAAAAAAGACCCACCAAGATTCAAGTTTAATAACTTAAAAAGTAAGAAGAGGTTAATTATCAGGTATTTTATATGAAAAAAATGCATTCCTTAAGTTGTTTTGATTCTCCATAAACCTCAGGCCAAATTTTTTAGATTTATGTAAAACTACCACCTCTATTGCACAGTACTTGCAAGCCTTCTCCCTTTTTTTTTTCTCTAATCAGAGTAGTGAGGATGAGATAGGTTCAGAAGCAGCAAGCCAGGCCACCCCACTCTTGTTCCAACATTCTGGGCTCTGCTCAGAGCCGCCTCCACCCACACCAGAGCCTTGCACAGGAATTCAGTGTGCTGTCACTTGGCGGCCTTTGCCGGAGTGGCCAGAGGGGGCGCTGGCGAGAGCTAACAGCCTCCCACCCTTGTGCTTCTTCCATTGGCCCTGGACGTGAATAAATCATGCCACTGACAACTGATGGGACTCAACTTCAAAGATGAGAGAAATTACCCAAGGGGAAACAACACCAAGTTTATGAGTGAAGAGTTAAGGAGCTGTTCTTAACATTTCTGAAAGGATACCAAGAACCTACTGAATAATCCACAGTCATTCATCTTTTTTATAGTTAGTTTGCTCAGGGTCCTGAAGGACATTATCAGAAACGTGAGACATTTGGAACAGTATTCAAGTATGTGAACTAAAGCTTCCCTCATTTTCTCAGATGAAAGCTAGTAAATGTAGCAATGAGAGATACAAGAGAGCAATGTCCCACCCTCATTAGCTCATTATGGGGCTATGATTGAATTTGAGGAAAAAATCTTGATTCTACAAAATGTGCCCTTCATTTTCTTTTTTCTTTCTGTGCTATTGAACACTTTGAAGATATACCCTTTTTTTCTTCTAAGAAAAGCAAAAAAAAAATAAGTGTGACAACACTTTTTTTCATGACTCTAAGTTTGTCCTACTTATATAAAAAGTACAGAATAACAGCTATCATTTCCTATATGCCTGGACCTATTAAGGTAAATACTATCCATTTTCTAGATAAGAAAAATGACTCTCAGAGAGAGCAGGTTACTTGCCTAAATTGTTGGAGTTAGGATTTGAACCCTGCTCTGTCTCACTCAAAAGCTTTTGCTCTTTCCAGTACTCAAGGATGAAAAGAGGAAATGGAACCTTGCTGAGTTTTTTAAATCCTGAAACAATTTTCATCCATCAATTCTTGGAATCTAATTCTTTGAGGTTTCTATTAGATCTAAAGAGCTAAATTTCTTGGTTGTGTCTTCTTTCATTCCATCCCTGGGGAACTACAATTCAGGCTCTTTCTCTGACTGCTTGGTTAGCTGGTCCCTCATTCCCACAGGGTGATCCTCCTTCTACTTTCTTGTTACTTTGCAATCTGATAGAATCTCAAATCTATATATTGCCTCACTCATGAAGTATGGATTTTTGATCTACTATAATACATGCTAAAATAGTAAAATTCAACTCCTAATGGTCCCCAAAAGATTTGAATGAAAGGACATTCTAACATACAGCCAGAGAGAGACTTAGACATTGAGAAGAATATAATTCAATATTTGTGAGGTATTCAGATGGTACTGAGTACTTATCACAACATGAAACAATTGGCATGACTTTCTACCTCAGAGGTCCCCATTCTCAAGGCAAATACGGCAGAAACTGTGGATATATGCAATAGAAAAGGGATTTGAAACAGCCAGGTGCAGTGACTTATGCCTGTAATCCCAGCACTTTGGGAGGCCGAGGCAGGTGGATCACCTGAGGTCCAGGAGTTCAAGACCAGCCTGGCCAACATGGTGAAACCCCGTCTCTACTAAAAATACAAAAATTAGCCAGGTGTGGTGGCCGGCGCCTGTAATCCCAGCTACTCAGGAAGCTGAGGCAGGAGAATCGCTTGAACCCGGGAGGCAGAGGTTGCAGTGAGCCAAGATTGCGCCACTGTTCTCCAGCCTGGGTGACAAGAGTGAGACTCCATCTTAAAAAAAAAAAAAAAAAAGAGAGAGAGAGATTTGAAAAACAAGGACCCTCCCTAACAAGTCATGGCAGGACTTGACATGTAAATACTATAATCGTTTAACTCTGTGAAACTTTAAAAGAGTATCAGAACATTAGAAATATCAATTTTCTTTGTCTTTTTCACTAGACATACTGGCACAACTGAGCCTCATACCTCTACATAGGCATTTGGTAAATATTTGTTGGAAAAAATGAATGATCAATTACAGCTAAGCCCATTATTCTTTTTACTATTACAGCTCTATTATTTGATTTATTTATTTGTTCAACAAATTTTTATTACATTGAATTGGCAAACACCATAAAAGATGCTGAGAATACAACTTTAAAATGAATACATTCTTCCTGTCCTCATATAACTTTCCTCTTCTACTTAACCATCTGTTTAACCTAGGGCAATGCTTTCACAGTCCCTTTCTTCATATAAAACAAGAGGAGTAACAGCTTTTCTAAATACCTCTATGGAGTTGTTGTGACAATGAAGTAAGATAATACAATTTCTAAACTGTGAAGTTGTATACTAATATGTCATCTACAAATTATACAAGTTAGAATGCAACCAACAAACAGCTTCATTCAAAATAGCTTAAACAATTGAGGGAATTTGTTGGCTCAAGCAACTGAAAATGCCAGATGTAATATTGGCTCCAGATAAGGCTTGATCCAGGAGCTCAACAATGTCACCAAGAACCTTATTTGTTCCTAGCTCTTCACATTGCCCTTTTTGGGGCCAAATTCTAAGGCTGACTCTCTTTGAGATCCCCTATGGCTTCCAGGAGCTCTTAGGGCTGTTGCTTCCTCATTCTAATCCAGAAGGGAAGCAAGGAAGCAGGAGAGCATTCCTGCCTAATGTTTCCAAGGAAAATCTGAAAATTCATTCTGATTGGACCCCCCTTAAGACACATGCCCCCTCTGCAGCCAATATCTGTGTTCCAAGAAATGGAAGGCACGGATTGGCTTAGCTTAGACCTCATGCCTCACTCCCGTCAATAAAGTCAGCTTCCCTGGAATCTCATGGATCCCCCCCAGTGGAAGGTGGTAGGCTGCTTAGAAAAGAACACAGATAAGAGAATAGATGATGAATATGTGACAAACCAACAAACTGCTTGATTTGCTGGAGTTGAAGCAAAAGTCAACCAAATAATACTGCCTAAAATCCATTTTATGATCACAGGTAACTAAGGACAACTAAATATTTGGAAAAAATGGAGGCTTGAGTAGACTTTCTATGGTGTATATGGAAATTATGTATGTAAATAGGACTCTGAAATGTAAGATAATTAACAAAATAATTGACATAATTCACTATTCTACTCCAGATAGTGACCACATAGTTTAAATAAATTTTTGACACATTAAAATTTTGCCTGTCCAATAACAGATACTTTCAAGCATTAAAAAAAAAAAAAAATTTCTGTTTAAATCTCTTACTCAAATCACTAGTCTGGTATGATGATTTCTTATTTCTCTAAATAAATAAAATGTCTTCTACCTCTGAATAAGTTACCTGAATAATGTTGGGTCATACATAGGCCAGCCTTAGACAGGAATACAACCAAGACAGAAGAAAGTCTAAATCCTTAAAAGTTTTGAGGTGATATAAATCACTGAAGTTATCTCAACGGCCCCGAGGAAGGCCTTACACAGAGGAACATACAGCAAAACATCAACAATCTTTGCACTCAACCATCCCCCACCATGTGCATGAGACAAATGGGTTTGTTACCTCATATCCACAGCTGGAGAGTTCCATATAAAGTAATTTAAAAACGCCTCTTACGTAGGTGGAACTCATACCCAGTATATTCACTACATATTGAAAGATTATGGTTTGGGGTCGTATGAAGATCCACCTTACTAAGTCATCGGAGAGCACTTGAGGAAGTAGAGACAGCAATGGCATGATAATTTATGGAGCTCAAAGAATGTTAGTTCTGTTAAAAGAAAAACTTTATAGAAAGTAAATTCAACAGAATTGACTTGAACAAAATGTGATTCATGAATCAGGCAGCACTCAGAAGCACAAGAGGTTCATAGAACTCCAAGTTAGGAGCATGAGCTGTGGCTTTTATAGGCTGAATGCAGAGGTAAAGTGCAGACATAACTTGATTGGTTATGGCTAGGAATTTGCCTTATTTGGACATGGTCTGATCAGCTGACCACCTGTGAATGGCTGAAGCTTGGCTGCTTGTGATTGGCTGAGACTGGCTGTTACAAAAAAATACACTCCTGAGTTAGGTTCTCGTTTGTTTATATACCAAGTTAAGTTGCAGTTCATTGTGTAGGAACTCAAAGTACCTGCACAGCCTCAAGCCAATGGCCTCCTACTTATTACAGTTCTTTGCAAGTGAACTGTCAGACCAAAAAATGGAAATTTCAAGGAAAGTCCTAAAAGGGTCCCAAGTTTCTAAATTTAAAAAAGTAGTCTGTCACTATTGGAGGGATCAGACAACCAGGATCCTGGTGCCAACTATCAAATCGATTGTGATGCTGACATGAAGCCACAATAATAACATGGGTGGGTGGTTTTCATGCCAGGCTCCACAGAGCCTTGGGTGTTCCTTGCAGTCTCCTCACAGGCCATTGCGAGGGAGAAGGGAAGCAGACCTCTGGGGCCTCCACCTCTGCTTCAACTAAAGTGCTGCACTGTATCTCTTACATCTCAAACTTCTAAGATTTTATTTGAAGATTTCCGTTTTCAAAATGGTGGCCCAAACACATACTGCTGCCTTCCCTTCAGCACTAGGTTTTCAGACACAATAGAAAAAATATGTAACAGGCCGGGCGTGGTGGCTCACGCCTGTAATCCAAGCACTTTGGGGTGGTCGAGATGAGGGGATCATTTGAGGTTAGGAGTTGGAGACCAGCCTGGCTAACATGGTGAAACCCCATCACTACTGAAAATACAGAAGTTAGCCAGCCATGTTGGCACTCATCTGTAATCCCAGCTACTGGAGAGGCTGAGACAGGAGAATCGCTGAACCCAGGAGACAGAGGTTGCTGTGAGCCGAGACTGCACCACTGTACTCCAGCCTGGGCAACAGAGTGAGTCAAAAAATAATAATAATAATAATAATAAATTTTAAAAAGTAACAATACTCAGAAAACTAGAAGGGAGACTTTTAGAGAAGGGGGTTTTCAGAAACTGAAAATCCCTAAAAGACCAAAAGGATCAGAGGAAGAAAAAAAAATAGTCAAAGGTGTGTGCAAGAGAGTCCTGCTGCAGAAGGGACAGGTGCCACCAAACATTTGTCCCACCTGGTGGTTGGAATCGAGGACCTGGGTGGCTGAGGTACAAGAGGCAGCGTGCTTATTTGGGAAGGGAAGAACAGAGTCACCCTGGTAGACTCATTCCCCCTGGTGTCACTGTGAATAGAGTGGAGCACAGAAGAAGACAGCTGCATCCACCTCTCCTATCAGCAGTCAGTGCAAATTGAATTAGTCTATGTCACTGTTAATAAAGAAACCTGGCTGGGCGCGGTGGCTCACGCCTGTAATCCCAGCACTTTGGGAGGCTGAGGCAGGTGGATCACCTGAGATCAGGAGTTCAAGACCAGCCTGGCCAACATGGTGAAACCCCATCTCTACTAAAAATCCAAAAAAATTAGCTGAGTGTGGTGATGGGCACCTATAATCCCAGCTATTTGGGAGGCTGAGGCAGGAGAATCCCTTGAATCCGGGAGGCAGAGATTGCAGTGAGCCAAGATTGTGCCACTGTGCTCCAGCCTGGGTGACAAGAGCAAGTCTCTGTCTCAAAAGAAAGAACGAAAGACACCTAAGCAGGATGGCCAAATATCCAAATAAATCCAAGTGCATGGGGGAATCTCCCAACAGGACGCAGGGATAAAGAAATAGAATGGAAGAACGAAAAGTAAGAAATATGGACTTCAGACACAGTAGGTTAAAAAGCCCTCTTTTAAGGGTTCCAGTAGGAAAAAAATTGAGAAGAAGGAGCAGAGCTAACAAAGAAATTACAGAGAAGAATTTCCTAAAACTGTAGTCCTCAAATTGAAAGTTCCCTGGAGGACAAAGCAAGATACATTTTTTTTTAAATGAAACAAATCACCCCCTATAGATTAGAGTAAGCTATCAGAATATCAAGGATAAAGAAAAACTAAAATATTTCAGACAGAAAAAGCAGGTCACCCACTATGGCATGTAAATCAGTCTAACATCACACTTCACTAGCAGCACCCAGTGGAAGAAGACAGTGGAGTAGTCACTTTCTGAAATGCTGAGGAAAAGTGACCTTGTTATAGAATTCTCTACCTAATCAAATTGTCATTCAAGTGTGAGGGGTAAAATTTGATGTTTTTGGACATACAAGACCTGAGAAAGTGTCCCACCCATCAATTGTCCTGAAAGAATTGCTGGACGGTGGAGTCCAGGAAGAAGCAAAGAAATTAGCAAAATTTATAGTTGGTCTTAATAACTATTGAGTATAAAACATATATGTGTGCGTGTGTGTGAGTGTGACGATTTGGAACCCCTTGTTTTGGCTTAAATAAAAGCTTAAAAACCAATGGAAAAAGGGATGAGGTCAAACTTCTGTCTCATATCACCCTCTGGATTAATTCTGTATACACAGGGTGTTTCTTCTCTTACCCTCTGGAGGAGCCAAGTGAATCAGGGGAGTTTCCTTTATGGTCCCTGATGGGCACAGTCTGTCTTCTCTGCCATCTGGATGGCACAGGAGAGATGAACTCTCAGATAGATGACCCTAGGGGGGGAGCTGGACACCTTGTCCTTCATCCTTCCCAGGCCATGTACCCACTGGGAAAGGGCCTTTGAGGGATCATCACACACTGCAGAGGTGAGGAAGGGCATGGGTTCCTCTTCTAAGTAGCATCGGCCTCAGTGAAGCAGCCTCCAGAAGGTGTCCTCCCTGGAGAGGGCTTCGATGGACTTCAATGCCTCCCTCTCTCCTCAGACCTTCACATTTTTCTGGGAAGTTCTCTCACGCCTGTAATCCCAGCAGTTTGGGAGGCTGAGGTGGGCAGATCACCTGAGACCAGGAGTTCAAGACCAGCCTGGCCAACATGGTGAAACCCCATCTCTACAAAAAATACAAAAAACTAGCCAAGTGTGGTCGTGCGTGCCTGTAATTCCAGCTACTCGGGAAGCTGAGGCAGAAGAATCGCTTGAACCCGGGAGGTGGAGGTTGCAGTGAGCCGAGATCACATCACTGCATCCAGCCTGAGTGACAGAGCAAGCAAGACTCTGTCTCAAAAAAAAAAAAAAAAAAAGTATTTGAAGACATGCCCATGACACAGCCTCAGGAGGTCCTGATGGCTTGCATCCTGGGTGGTTGAGATACAGCTTGTTTTTATACATTTTTGGGAGACATAATACATCAATCAGTATATGTAAAATTTACTTTGGTTCCATCTAGAAGAGCAGGACAAGTCAAAGCAAGGTGAGGGTAGAAGGTTAGGGTTGGTGGGGGAGCTTCTAAGTCATAGGTAGATTTAAAGATTTTTTGATCGGCAATTGGTTGAAAGAGTTATTATCATAAAAAGGAATGTCTGGTGGGGCGCGGTGGCTCACGCCTGTAAACCCAGCACTTTGGGTGGCGGAGAGGGGTGGATCACTTGAGACCAGGAGTTTGAGACCAGCCTGGACAAATGGTGAAACCCGTCTCTACTAAAAATTCAAAAATTAGCCAGGCATGGTGGCGTATGCTTGTAATCCCAGCTACTTGGGAGGCTGAGGTGGGAGGATCGCTTGAACACAGGAGGCAGAAGCTGCAGTGGGCCAAGATAATGCCACTGCACTCCAGCCTGGACAATAGAGCAAGACTTCATCTCAAAAAAAAAAAAAAAAAAGGAACATCTGGGTAAATGTCCTTGTGGAGACCAGGGTTTTATCATGCAGATGAAGCCTCCAAGTAGCAGGCTCCAAAGAGAATAGGTTGTAAATGTTTCTTATCAGACTTAAGGTCTGTGTTGATGTTAATGCTGGCTGGCTGTTTCTGAATTCCAAATGGGAGGAGGGTATAATGAGGAATGTCCCACCCCACCTTCCCGTGATGACCTGAACAAGTTCTTCAGGTTAACTTTGGAGTGCCCTTGGCTGAGAGGAGGGGTTCTTTCAGATGACTGGGGGGGCCTTATAATTTTATTTTTGGTCTACAATACAATATTTGTTCGTTTGTGTCTGGCTTATTTCACTTAGCATAATGTCTTCAAGGTTAATCCATGTGATAGCATGTGTCAGATCTTCCTTCCTTTTTAAGGCTGAATATTTTCCATTATATGGACCCCATTTTACTTATCTATTTATCTGCTAATGGACACTTGGGTTGCTTCCACCCTTTGACTACTGTGAATAATGTTGCTATGAACATGGATGTATAACTATCTGTCTGAGTCATTGCTTTCACTTTTCTGGGTATATACCCAGAAGTGGAAATGATGTAGGAGTTAAAAAGACATTATTTAGGCAGATAGTGAGGGTAAGGAAGTCCTCAGTAAGGTTTTCCTTTTAATGAAAAGCAGCCGCCAAATCATTTTCTTTTCTAACAAAGGGTGGCCAGTAAAATCAAGCTGCAGACATAGAAAGGCAGGCTAGAAGTTTGCACAGGTGAATGCTGGCAGTTGTGCCAATAGGAAAGGGGTTACCTGGGAAATAGGCATGTTCAAAATGGCAGTTTCATCTTCCCTTTTCCTTGCCAACCACATGTGCAGCAGGGGGCAGACAACATGGAGCTCGTCAGGCAAATAGCCCATTTGCATAAGATTAGGGTGGGGAAGCCAGCTTCCCTCAAGCTATGTAAACATCACACTAGGTCCAACCAATCTTTGGGCCCTATGTAAATCAGACACCGCCTCCTCAAGCCTTTCTATAAAACCCTGTGCACTCCACGACCAGCCGGAACTCCCACTCAGGTGCCCTTCTCTCTCTCGCAGAAGAGAGAGCTGTTTTCTTTTCTCTTTCTTTTGCCTATTAAACCTCTGCTCCTAAACCCACTTCCTGTGTGTCTGCATACTCGATATCCTTGGCATGAGATGGCGAACCTCAGGTGTTTACCCCAGAGAATGATGTTTCTTTGGAATTGCTGAAACATATGGTAATTCTATGTTTAATTTGTTGAGGCACCACCATATTGTTTTCCATAGTGGCTGCACCATTTTACATTCCTGCCCATTCCCAATGCATCCGGCTTCCAGTTTCTCAATATCCAACACTTGTTATTTTCTATTTTTTTTTTTCATTAGTAGCCTTCCTAATGAGTGTGAAGTGGTATCTCATTGTGATTTTGATTTGCATTTTCCTAATGATTGATTAGTGATGCTGAGCATCTTTTCATATGCTTATTGACCATTTGTATACATATTATCTTTGGACAAATGTCTATTCAAGTCCTTTGCCCATTTTTTATTTGGACTGACTTTGTTGTTGTTGAGTTGCAGGAGTTCTTATTTTTAAATATTTAATTTTTTTTTTTTAGAGACGGGGTCTCACTGTATCAGCTCAGCTGGAGTACAGTGGTGAGATCAGAGCTCACCGCAGCCTCCGGGCTCCTGGTCTCAAGCAATCCGGACCTCAGCCTCCCAAGTAGTGGGGACTACAGGTGTGCACTACCACATCCAGCTAATTATTTTTTTTCTTTTTGTAGAGATGGAGTCCTACTTTGTTTCCCAGGCTGGTCTTGAACTCCTTGCTTCAAGCAATCCTCCCATCTCTGCCTCCCAAAGTGTTGGAATTACAAGCATGAGCCACTGTGCTTGGCCAGGAGTTCTTTATATATTCTGGATATCAATCCCTTATCAGATATATGATTTGCAAATATTTTCTTTGATTCTCCTTGGGTTGCCCCTTCACTCTGTTGATTGTGTCCTTTGATACATTTGAAACCCTCCTGAGCCCTTCCCTCTGGTATCCTGCCCCTGCTCTCAGGCTGCTCTATCCTTTGCATGGGGTTCTTGGGTATCGGGGTACTCCTCCACCTTGTATCCTGCTGCCTCCCTGGGTGGGCTGCACCCACTGAGGGGTGAGGGAGTGGCAGGTGCTTCATTCCTCTGTGATTTCTGCCCCAGTCCTCTTCTAACAAACGCAAATCCTATTATGAGAATTTGCTAACACGTTTTAAAAATACGCAAATGTATTGGGAGCTTATTTCAGAGACAATTTTTATTTTAAAGAAAAAGTAACTTATATATTTTTAAAATCTAGAGAATGTACAACTCCTCTGCCACAACGTGAGGGAGAGAAGTCTGCAGACGGCTGACTGGTGACGACTGAACAAGACGGAAAGGCAAGTCGCTATGCCCGAAGCCTTTGAAGGGAGCCAGCAGGGTCCATGGGAGGTTCAGGACACATATCTGCAGCCCTGCTTCTGGCCCCACCCTTGGGGAAGCCTTTTGCAGGTGATCCTGGGCCTCTGCTGGGGAAGGCCCCAAGAGGTGAAGCATCCTCTGCAGAGGAGAGAGCACATCCGGAAGTAGAAGACAGACCACTGTCTGGGCTCCGTTTAACTGCTGTGATTTGGGATTGTAACTTACTCCCGTAAAGCCTCAGTTTCCCACATGGAAAATCAAATCGATCATTGTTATAACATTTCACTTTTTTGTTATGTGATGTAATTTACACAGTGCTTTCGTATACGTTATCCAATTTAGCGAAATAATACAGAGCAATGCATTTTGAAAAGAATAAAATGCTTAACATATGTGAGGAATTCTTTTTTCCTTTGAAAACTACTCCGGATGGCTTGGCTATTGTTTAGTTAAGAGAATTATACAATTTTTGAGACATGGTTCCTTATCTTGTGTAGGCTGAAAGGCAATTAAACAATTATTCATGTCAGAATCTGAGGTAAATAAAAGGCTGCTTCAAAGAGTCCACTTACGGAGTGAAAAGCAGTTGAGTAGAAACAGAGAGTGGTCTGTAATTTCCTTCTGGAAGGAATATCCACTCCATATGGCCTGAAGCAAGAATTTCAAACTCCTCTGTGGGGAGAAAGAGACAGAAATAAAAACTTTTAAGTTTTTTTACTCCGATTTGTCCCAGCCATTTTCTGAACAGCCTATGGAAGCCATCCGCTCCTCTAAACAAAAATAAGCTAAGAGACAGAAAGAATGATTTGATTTCCGTGTGTAGGGATGGTTCAGTCATAAATCAGTGTATTTTTTCCAAGAGGAAGGTGCCAGCAACAAAAGTTGGTCATAAAAAGGACATTAAACTTTAGTAGTCTCTTCACTGTTCCCTCCCACATCCAGTTGCCAACAGCAGAGACAACTGTGAGACACAGTGAAATGAAGTGACTGCTCCACTGCTGGGCAACAGGAGACCCGGATGCCAGGCTCCCTGGCAGAAGAAATAGAAAGTCAATAGCAAACACAGATGTCTTCCTCCCTACCACATCACCTCCACTTTTCACCATCGCCTGTGTGATACAACCACCCCGCAATGCCTTCCTCAGCCTTTTACTTCTGTTTCCAGTGAGTCAAGAAAAACTTCTCCAGCTTGCCCTGTGGAGATGAATGAGCCCATAATCCACTTACACGTGTGACCTTTACACAGCCAGGACCCCCATAGAGCAGCCAAACATGCAGTCTTGTAAACAAAAGGAATTTCAAGATAACTCTGATCTTTCACTAATTATCCCAAAGCCCAAAGGGGATCCATATACATAGTCCGAAGCCTACTTTAAGGAGGCATCCTCCCCTGTGTATTCCCAGCCCATCCCATAGTTTCCCACTCTGCAGCTCCAAACTCAACTTGTCCCATCACCAGCCCCCAGCCTCTCTTCTTTCCCTCTCCCCATGCCCCACTACCTCTATTTTTTATTATTGCAGATTGACCAAATGTCTATGAAGCTGCAGCAAGGTTTCTTCTTTTTTGGAGCAGGGAATGGGGAGTGATTGGGCTTGGCTGTGACAGATTGTTTTGGCAGGCTCAGTGGGCAGAGGCGGTGAACACCATCCCAGTAAGTAAAGGGACTGTAGGAGCGTAGAGTTCCCTTAGTTCCTGGCTGGAAACCCAGCTCCCTGCCTCCTCCCATCCATCAAGCTGGGAGCCATGACAGTGTCAGAGCCTGAGCTCCAGCCCAGACTTCTGGGTGAAGTGGTCCCATGGAGCAAAGCTTGGTTTGGAAGATTTGGAGAATGGGAAAGAATGTTCTCTTACCACAACCTCTTCCCCACTGCGGCCCCTTCCTAAGCTGCCATTGAAATCTATTTTTGCCAGAGCAAAAAATGGGGGAAGTGGACAGCTTCTGCCAACAGTGAGTTTGTTCCAAGCCCACCCCACAGTCATGGGTTCCTCAGAGTGTCACTGAATCACAGGACTCATGGAAATCTGCCCATGTCATGAAGATAAACCACTGTGATCACTTTTAAAATCTTTCTCATCATGTCCTTGGGAAGATAAAGGGGTGGAACTGAACAGAAAGGGGCAGAGGTGGGACTTTTTTTCACTAACCTTAACCTTCATGCCAAGAACAGAGATCTCTGTTTGAAAGCATGTCTCCGATGACCATTTATTTGCTCTGCCTGGTAAACCTTCGTGTAATGCGTGGCTTTAAGCATTAGTCATTCCCTGCTGGGAAGGAGGTTAGAACTCCAGAAACAAGGCTATTGCAGAACTGGACTGTGTGGGTCACTAAACCACAGGGGAAAGGGTGGAGAAGCAGCTGGTGTCCCGCTTAAAGGTCACAAAGCATTATTTCTACTTTAATACCCAGAGTTCAAGTGGAAATAAACTCAGAAGGTTAAGATCTAAGTGAAAATTAACTGAAGGCAACTGTGCCATTTGGACTCTGAGATGTGCTTGCCTGGGAAAGTGCAAAACACACTGGCTATCTTTCCATGAGCACAGCTGAACAGGAATAGGCATTAATAAGGATAAACATAAAGAAAAAATTGCTAATTATTGGCAGAGAATGCCAAGAAAAGTTGGTGGAATTCTCTTCTTTGGGGACCCTGGGAAAAGAACAGTAACAGTTAGGTACAGAGGCGCCTGGAAGCAAAGAAACTTCTTTCCCTGGGACAGTGGCTCTGTGCTGTGTGTAACCCTGAGTTCTTTAGGTCACTATAGTCTGGGTGAGTGACTCCAGGGTTGTAGGATGCAATAGCCATGCTAATGAAAACTCACTGGTTCTGAGCCCCCTTCCAGAAGTACTGTGGGTACTTTCAGCCTCTTTTCTCCCTGCAGAGTCTCAAAGAGCTCATGTTCTGTCCTTGGTGATTAATACAGATTTCTTGGCTCTTCCCAGCCTGCTAGTCAGTGAACTTAATTTGCCACTTCTGTTGCTAATCATAACTCTTGCCTCAGCATCAAGCTGATCATCCTTGCAGCTGTAGATATTGGCCCTCCTGCACTGGATGCTCGCAGAGAGGGGAAGGCAGTCTCCTAATCACCATTTCTAATAAAAAAACGAGAGGCTTGCATTCTCACTCTCTTGCTGAGCTTCTCCTGATGGAGCTAGCCATGAGGTTCCTGATGGCTGGAGGAAATATGAGGATATCTTCCCCAGAACACCCACCACACCTCTCTCAACAATCAACTCATGTTCCAGGACAGATGCTGTGAACAACAGCAAATGTAGAGCAGGTACTAGAAACTATGATCAGTGCTTTACATAGATGATCTCATTACATCTTTACTGTAAGCCCATGAGGTAGGTACTCTTATGGTCCCTATTCTACAGATGTGCAGAGAACCAGCACCTCAACTCTCTGATTTCAAGTTGAGAGGTTGGGGTTGGCCTGGTTGGCTCTTCAAGTCAAGAGGACATTTTATTCTGTCCCATCAAGTGACCTTTGGGTCACCAAGGCATTAGTTCTCAGTGGATATTGCTGGTGTGCCTGACGGAGGTGGCCATTAGGCCTCCCTCCATTACACATGCCGATAGCTCTTGGTTTTCTTTTATTTGCAATACAATTCAAAAATGTGAATAAAACCTCAAAAAATAGGGAAATGAAGTCTGAACAATAAAAATAGCTGAGATATTGAGTATTTAGTCTTGCCAGGCACTGTTTGCCAAGCACTGTTCTGTGAGGACAGTGCCTGGCAACATTAAATACTCAGTATCTTAGGAGGTAGGTACTATTATCATCCCCATTTTACAGGCCGCCAAGAGGTTAAGTGACTTGCACAAGATTGCACAGCTCTTAATTGGAGAAGCTGGCATTCAAATCCAGCAGTAGCATCGGCCTGTTCCTTGCCAAATACAACAAGGCTTTCTACCTTCTTGGATGTTTATTTCCTACCACACTTTTAAAAACAATTCACCAAACACGTAAGAAGTAGCTAAAACAAGGGGCTCACATTCAATGTGTAATGTAGAGGTGCAGCTTTGTGGTTGGTTCCTTCTTTCAGTTAAGTAATGAAAAATGATACAACACATAAAAATATAACAAAACCGAAAGAGGTGAGTGCCCTAAGGAGGATACAAATACAGCCCTGTGGAAGCTAAAGTGTTGGAAGAGATCCTGCTGAGTTAGGTCCCAAAGAATCACTAGGATCTCCACGAACAGAGATGGGAAACAGACAGTAGCACTGTAAGCAGGAAAAGAACTTCGTGGTGGAAAAGTGTCCTGGGGTCCAGAAATAGTGAGATACTGATATCTGATGGATCAAGTAGGAAGTCATGGATGATTCCAGGATGAAAAAAAATTCATAGATTCATCAGAACAATTAGCAGGTGAAATTTAGCAATATTTTCAACACACCTTCAAAAACACTTGGTAGTGGCACATGGGGCAGAAGAGTCCCATATATATGGATGTCCAGGTTTACACCAGATGTCCTGGCAACCCATCGGGTTAGCAACCCTAACCATTCTCAAGATCCTTGCATGGACAATAAATTATATGACCACCCTGTATCTGGCAAATTGAAAGATAGGGCCCAACACTTAGGTGTATTAACGGTGCTTAAGAAGTCATATTGTGGCCAGGCATGGTGGCTGACACCTGTAATCCCAACACTTTGGGAGGCTGAGGCAGGAGGAGCACCTGCGCCCAGGAATTCCAGAACAGTCTGGGCAACATGGAGAAACCCCATCTCTACAAAAACAAAAAACAAAACATAATTAGCTGGGTGTGGTGGCACACAACTGTAGTCCTAGCTACTCAGGAGACTGAAGTGGGAGGATTACTTCAGCCCAACAGGTTGAGGCTAGAGTGAGCCGTGATAGTGCCACTGCACTCCAGCCCAGGCAACAGAGTGAGAACCTGTCTCAAAACCAACAAACAAAAAACCAAAACAAACCCACAAATAAGTCATATTTTAAAAGCCTACATCTCAATGCCTAGCTAAGCTTTATAAAGAATGCGGGCTCTTTGACACTTGTTTACAATTGCAACCATAGTTGGTTTTGGAAGTGTCAGTTCTTCCCACAACCCTATTTGGTGTGAGCCGTTTTGCACAAGGTAACCCAACTAGTGTCTGCCACAGAGATATGCAGGAAAAGCCAGCCTTTGATGAACAAATAGTCCCCATCTATCTGGAGTTAATGTATAGTAAAGAAAAAACCTGGTTAAACACACACTGGCATAAACTGATAAAGCTAATTTTTATCCAAGCCCACTTTTGGATTTCAAACAACTGAAGTCAAAGAAGTTAATTAAAAACACATAGAGTTGTCAATGAGTTTAAAAATAAAACACAAATTTATTCGAAATAATGAGACTTAACTAACTCTGTGGTAGACTAGTTGGCTAGTCTTTTGCAGAAGAGCCAACCTATTTGTACCTGAGATAAAACATATTCAGAAAGAAGGAAAACTGCAAAGTGGTCCCAGAACAGAGAAAGCAACAAGGAGAAGGCTTAACTGTCCTTTCAACTTTGAGGTGCAATCTGTCTACAGGGCTCCCTTGGGGGAAGCACAAGCTCTTTCTTTTAGTCTGATTTTGTTGATTGATGCTGTGTTGTTGCTGGATTGTATTACTATGTGAAGTTGAAAGGCTTAATGTTAATGTGTCTTAAACTTCAAGACTTGGAATGCATGATCCCATTTAAACTTGACCGTTCTGGGCAATGTGTTTTGATTGGCTGGATGTCTAGCTTGTGCATTTCTGTCATTTCCTAATGTGTGTGGTATGCTTTGAGCACTGCAGACAGGAAACTCACTTTTTCTCTGGCTTTCTTCTGATTTTTCTGTTTCTTGATTATTGGAAAAATGAATAAACACATAAAAATAATAATAAAGTGTCACCCCAAAAGTCTTATCTTTAAAATAATGTGGAATGGCAATGCTAAAAATAAAGCAACTTGAACTAATTTCCACTATGAATAGGGAACAAAGAATCTGCACCTTCCCTGATTTTGGATTCCAGATTCCAAATATTTCATAAATAAAATATGGCCAGCCACATGAATTATAAGGTATATACCATGTGAGTTACATACACAGGGAGAGGTTGTTTTTAAAATTTCCTGCTGGCAAAGTCAGACTTATCCTTCTTTTTTTTTTTTTTTTTTTTGAGACAGAGTCTCACTCTGTCGCCCAGGCTGGAGGGCAGTGGCACAATCTCTGCTCACTGCAAGCTCCACCTCCCGGGCTCACGCCATTCTCCTGCCTCAGCCTCCCGAGTAGCTGGGACTACAGGTGCCCACCACTATACCCGGCTAATTTTTTGTATTTTTAGTAGAGACGGGGTTTCACCGTGTTAGCCAGGATGGTCTCCATCTCCTGACCTCGTGATCCACCCGCCTCGGCCTCCCAAAGTGCTGGGATTACAGGCGTGAGCCACCGCGCCCAGCCAGACTTATTCTCATTGCCACTATTAAACCTGTCAGATAAAACCATTCCAGGATGAAGTTGGAGATACGTCATAGTACATTTTAACCCATTTATGCCTGAGGTTGCAATTTTTTGAGTGTGAAAAATCAGACCCTGGTGATGACCTTGAGCAGTAAGACATAAATAACTCCCACATGCTTAGTGTTCCAATAATGGAACACTAGGCATAAATAGGTTTTAATATAAAAGCTTAAAATTTGTACTCCAAAGTAGGGAAAACTTGATTATATTCATTTACTCTCTATTAGGAGCATCACATCAGCTATATTTTTAAAGGAAGAAAAAGCATGTCATTTCCTTTGTATGCATATCGTCTAAACGGACACTTGGAAGTCAGTATTAGGTGTCAATGAAATGCCACATGATGGAAATAAAATCATCTACATATATAGTTGTACTCCTGTAAATACTTATCTTTGTATCCTCATAAATATTATGAAATACATACGTGAAAGTTTATCTCATAAATAAAATCCAATTTGTTATCAGACATTGAGGGTCTCAGGGAGAAAAAAGACCTTCAAACATATTTGCCTTATGCTTATGTGATTCCTGCATCCTTAGCATGTGATAAGTTGAAACCATAGCATAAAATACTCTAACAGAAATCCCTATGGAAAGCAAGAAACTATTTACCCTAATTAGCCTAGTGGCTTATTTCATAGTCAAGGAGTGTCAAAGATATTGATTTTATTGCAAACTCATACCACCCTTTATTCAGATCTGGGAATGGAGCAGATAGAGTGCCTGGGTCCAAGTTTAAATCTAAACCATCAAAAACAAATACATGAGTGACTGTTAAACTCTGCATGCCAGGCACTATTAGATGCTAGAGATGTAAATGAGCAATACTGTGGTGGGTTAAATGGTGGCCCCTGAAATATATACCCACACCCTAATCCTTGGAAGCTGTGAATGTAACCTTCTTTGGAAAAAAAAGTCTTTGTGGATATAAGTAAGCTAAGGATTTTTAGATGAAATCATCCTAGATTAGCCAGGTGAACCCTAAATCCAGTGACAAGCATTCTATGGGACAAATGGAAGAGCCACACACAGGGAGGAGGAGAAGGCTGTAAGAAGATGGAGGCAGAGGCTGGGTGATGCAGCCGTAGCCACCAAATAACTGGAGCCACCAGAAGTTGGACGAGGCCAGTAAAGGTCCCTGCTAGAACCTTCAGAGGAACACAGCCCAGCCGACAAATTTATTTCAAACATCTGGCCTCCGGAACTGTGGGAGAATAAATTTTGGTTGTTTTAAGTCACCAAGTTTGGGGTAATTTGTTACAGCAGTCCTGGGAAACTAATACAAATAGCATCCCGATATCTAGTTGCTGAAGGACAATATGCAGAGGGGGACAAGTTAGAGGTAAGTTACTTATCTGAAACTCATACCTGTAATCCCAGCACCTTGGGAGGCCAAGACAGGGGGATTGCTTGCATCCAGGAGTTCAAGACCAGCCTGGGCAACATAGCAAGACCTTGTCTCTACAAAAAAAATAAAAACAAAAAAATTAGCCTGGTAAGGTGGCATGAGCCTGTAGTCTCAGATACTCTGGAGGCTGAGGTGGGAGGATCACTTGAGCCCAGGAGTTTGAGTCTGCAGTGACTTCTGATGGCACCACTGCACTCCAGCCTAGGCAACAGAGCAAAAACTACTTCACTACCAGCAAAACAATAGGCAGAAAAATTTACTTGTGTGAATTTTTGAAAATCCAAGTTAGATTAGGACTCCCACACATGTCTTTTCCCAGGCCACTCCGTTTTGGATCCTCCAACTCCAGGTACTGGACTCCTGGGCTCCCTGGGATTTGAAATCAGGCCTTGATACTCCATTTTTTCCAAGCAGAGCTTTTTGAGAGGTCTTGAAGAACAGGCTTGAGTAGAAAGCCATATTTTTTGCACACTTATTTGTTGACCGCACATGTGGAATATGGGCTTTGAAAACCACTCTGTGTGTTGTGACAGCCTCAGCGTGGCCTGGGACACACCCATCGTGAGGCTTCTGCTGTGACTGAGTGTATCAGGCTCAGTAGCGAGCCAGGCTGGACTGACATCCAGAGCAAGGGCTGAGAAAGTTCTCGAGAGAAAATTCCTGTGAGGAAGGATTCTCTCCCGAAGGCCCAGAAACTCCTGAGCTTGTCTGTGAAATGTTACCTATATGTTCACTTTTCTGAGAGAATTTCTGGGGCTTTTATCATCTTTTGAAAAGGTTTCACAGCTTAAGAAACCACGCTGTAAGAACCCAGAATGAGATTTGGTGAGCTTGACCTGTTAGAAAAGCCTCAGTTGTCAGAGCAAAGTAGGATTCCAAATACAAAGATGTGGCTTTAACCTGGCGTGCTCCTGGAGGGGCAAGGCTGGGGCTGAGGGAGGATAGAGCAGACTGGAAGCAAAAACTAGATAGCTGGTCAATGAAGGCTCAAGCAGCCTTGCTGTGGGGCCCCACACAGCGACTAACACAGCAGAGAAAGCTGTTCCCCACCTCCTCCCCAGCCCCGGGCAAGGCTTTGGCACTCTAAGCTACCAGCAGAGATTGGCTGCACTCTCCAGAGTGGAGCACATGCGAGATGCCCCCAAGACCCCCAGAAATCTGGGGGCAGAACCTCAGGAAGCTGCACGTCCTGCTTCAACCTGAGGGGATAACGAAGTCAGCAGAATTCAAGTTTTCAATGTTACTGAAAACTCATTTTCACCCTCAGGTGTGGGAACTTTGGGGCCACACACCATTATGGAATTTGACACAGAATTTATACCCCCAAAGATTATTTATGTTCATCAATTCACATTAGATTGGTTTCAAATTTTAATTTTTGGTACCATGTGGAAAATCCCATAGATGCCTGTAGATTTAGCTACATTTTCCTGTACCTAAAATGGTAACGTTAATGCTCGTTCCCTAACAAACCCCAGATACTACGCTTTTCCAGAGCATTTCAGAATGAAGGAGAGGTGGGGATTATAAGAATATGCACAGTTCTGCCAACCATGACTGGGCATAATTTTCAGGCTCCTGGTAGACCTCCACAGGGGCGGTAGTAGGCTAGACAGGCCTGCCTTCCTCTGGGCTTGATGCTGCCGGCATCTCTGCTTCAGGCTACAATCAGTTACCCAGAGCCTTTTCATCTTTTCACTGAGGAAAACAAGAAAACCAGATCCCTTCTGAAAACACTTGCAGGAAAAGAAAAAAAAAAAAAGAAAGCAAATGCACAGTTTTTGTTGTGCTTTGTTGTTTTATATGGTCTCAACAGAGGCAAGTAAGAATAGATTATATATTTATCTAGAATGGGTTTCCAAAAAAATGGGGAAAGAAGGCTTAGGGAGTTCTTATTTTGTGATTTGTTTAAAAAAACAAAAAAGCTCAAGCCTCAGCCCCAGTCTCTATTGAAAAAAAAGAAAAAAAAATCAGAAAAGAGGAACTTGTTAGGAAGTGGAGTGAATGCTGGCTTCCCCCAGGCCCACTCAACCCCATCACCATGGAGACTCCTGAAGGTTCCAGGAATGACTCACGGGATTCGCTGGCGAAGCCTTTGAAATGGAAGCAGCACGGGAGCACAAAGATGAACTTAGTCTGCAGCCCTTAAAGACTATGCCTTTGCCTCCTGACTGACAGCCTGGGATGTGGATGGCAGGCTACAGAGAACGTGCCCTTCCCTTCTTCCAGATCCTCATTACTTGGGGGCACTTTGCTCATGAGAGCAAAGGTCAAAAAATGTTTTTGCCTTGGATTGGGTTCTTGCCCCACTATTGGAGAAATATTGATGTAAATAAACCCCTGCACCCCACCCCCAGAGTGTGAATACTTAAAAGGGGAGGCTGGGGCCCTTGGGATTAGAGAGAGGGTGGTTTTCAGAAGCCCTGGGCTGGAAAAAGGTGTGGGGGAGCTACAGGCCAAGTTTTTTCTTGGGCAGCTGAAATGTATTCCCCTGGCTGTCCCTCTGGCTACATAAAACTGGCTCACATTAGGTTCCTTCAAAACTCAGGAATGCAGGGTGTTATAAACCGGCTTTGGGTTTCATCTCTGCTGTAGCAAGGCTCTAAATTCAGAGAGCCACAAGAAGACTCCTCAAAGAAAAGAGTCACTCTCTGCCCAGAGTTTTATCCGCTGAATGTCTGTAAATCATAATTGGCAATTTGTGGAACAAGGAGAGCACCCTGCCCGGGGCTGCAATGAGCTCCTGCCCCTGGGAATTCACACAGGACAAGCACAAGCATGGCCGGTGCCCTCGTAAAGAAGCCCCGTTGCTGAATAGCTGAGGTGCTTCTTTCCCAAGGGCCTCAACTATGCAGCAGGGCTTCTTACAGGGAGTCCACACAAATGTTTAAGTTTCTGGGCATGGCAGGCACCCTGGGAGGGATGCCAGCACCCCCAAGTGCCAGCTGCCATTGCTAACCCAGAGCACCCGGTGTCCTCCCCGTCAGGAAGCTCGGCCCAGGCTGAGATGTGGGGTCAGGTTGGGCTGCCCACCCACTCACCCGGCACAGCCATGCTCACCAGCCACCGTGGATAACCTAAGGAGGAAGAGAAACTTCTCTGGTAGGGCCCAGTCCTTGTCTCAGACTCAACAGCACTGAGTCCAAAACTCGAGGGAGTTTGCCAGGGTTGCCTCCATAACACTTTTCTAAAACAGAAGCTCACCAGAATTCCCTCCTCCAAAATGCATAGAAAATACCCTTCTTTCCCTCCAAAGGGAGAACCACCGTGAAGATGCGTATTCTCTCCTTCCCTGCCCTAAATATACATCCTGGTGACTGCAGACCTGCTTAACCATGAAAACAAATGAGAAATAAAGGTCTGAGCAAAGCTGCAGTCGCCTCCTCTCAACTATTTATTCTGATTTCTCGACAAGTGAGTTAATTGGATGGGCCCTGTGACAGACATTCCATACTAAAATTCATAGCTTTCTGCCAAAACAACATATTGTGCGCTGCTATATTTTCCTTGTTGGAACTTGGCGCTGACGTGGGTCCCGAGCAGTTTCATGCGGAAGCGGGGAGACTGAAGGCGCTGAAACAAAGGCGACACCCCCTGAGGCTCCCAGCCGGCCTGTCCTCCGTCCTCTGCAGCAGCACCTGTTCCTTGGCTTTTTTATTGTTACTTGGGCTTTGCAAGGTTCAAGTTCAAAGGGAGCCCCAGGAGTGAAGAAACAGATGCCGGTTTGAGGCCACACCAGCTGGGGCCTCCCTGCAGCCTGGGAAGGGTTTGGGCTGTCTGGCGGCCTTGGTGGGCCCAGCTGCCCGGCTCAGGCAGGTCTTCTCTGCGGAGCCCTGTCCCATGCCCCAGTCCCCATGCGCAGGGCCCTGCGGGGAGGTCCCGTCGCCCCAAGGGAAGGACAGGGCCGGTGCAGGCTTAGGGCTGCGGAGCCCTAGGCGGCCCAGCTGATGCCACCACCGCTGTCCTGAAGGTTCCTTTCCCTTTCAGCAAAAGTCAGCAGCTGCCTCCTCTGATTCAGAGATGTTCCCCCTCTGAAATAGCGCTCTCTTCATTTTCCAGGAATTTCTACCCGTCTCGGTTCCCTCTATCCACCTGCCAGGACCCAGCATCCACCATCCCTCTGCGTCCTAGGCCTTTTCTCCTGAGATTCAAGGAGCACCGGGCCGACATGCCCAGGCCCCCGCTGTCCTCTCAGAAGGGAGGTTGGCCTTCGCACCTTCTCCACTCTGTAGCCATGTCGTGGGCCTTAAACAGGTAGAGAGAGAGGTAGGCTTTTGCTCCCCACGTCAGTCCCCAGAATGCTCATCAGTCAGCAAGCAGGCACCAGCCCCCAGTGCAGCTTCACTACCCCACAACCATCGCCGTGCCAGAACCACAGACTCCCTCCAGACAGCCTCCGATAAGAAGCTCCGTGCCCCTGAGTCCACCTCACAGAGCCCTGACTCCAACCAACAGAACTCCTGACTCCACCCACAAAGCTCTGACTCCACTCCACAGAGCCGTGACTTCACCCCAGAGATCCCTGACTACATCCCACAGAGCCCTGACTCCACTTAACAGAGCCCTGACTCCACCCAACAGAATCCCTGACTCCACCCACAGAGCCCTGTCTCCACCCACAGAATGCCTGACTCCACCCAACAGAGCCCTGACTCCACCTCACAGAGCCCTGACTCCACCAAACAGAACCCCTGACTCCACCCAACAGAGCCCCGACTCCACCCACAAAGCTCTGACTCCACCCAGAGCCCTGACTCCACCCAACAGAGCCGTGACTTCACCCCAGAGAGCCCTGAGTACACCCCACAGAGCCCTGACTCCACCCCACAGAGCCCTGACTCCACCCCACAGAGTTCCTGACTCCACCCAACAGATCCCTGACTCTACCCACAGCCCTGACTCCACCCCACAGCACTGACTCCAGCCCTAAGAGCCCCTGATTCCACCCACAGACTTCCTGACTCCACCCGACAGAGCCCCTGACCACCCCACAGAACCCCTGACGTCGACCCCACAGTGGCCCCTGAAGCTCAATCCCGTGTAGGCCAAGGAGTTATGTGAGCTCCTCACCCCTGTGCTGTCACTGTTTCCCTAATGGCTTCCCTTAGATGACCTCACATAGCATGCGTCACAGACTGAAGGAGCAGAGTAGCATCCTCTCCATTCCAGAGGCAACCGCAGTGGAATGCCATGATTTGCTTATAGTTTCACAGCTTGTAACTGGCAGCAGCTCCAACCAGGGCCCTAGGCTCAGATTCCATGCTCTTTCCAACCTTTCAGGCTCCTAAAGAATTAAAATCAGCCTGGAAAGTGTCTGCCTCTGACTGGGGACATTCGAGTGTGCATATCACCCAAAGGGAAGAGGCAGGAGGAAACGAGCTTCTAGAGTGACAGAAGGAGCTGAGGAATGGAGCCCAATAATAAAGGAAAATTTTAAAAAGAAAATTGACACGAGAGAAGAAAGTCCCTATTTAGAAGAAAATATTTGCTCCATCAGAGCAAAATGCCTCTACATTTCTGCCTGAAACCATCTATATTTCTGAACAGGGCTTGCTCCACCCTACAGTGGAGGAGTGGACTCCACCCTGCAGAACCTTGGTCTCCAGCCCAGCCGTGACCTGGATGCCCTTTCCCTGCCTCTGGCCAGCCCAGATGCATTCCTTCCTGCAAACCCAGCTCAAGTACGTCTTCTCCACAGCCCGTGGTGCACCTTGCCTGCCTCCCGTGTCTCCTCCTCGCTGAAGTCCTCCGGCATATCCACACTATTTGGGGCTGCTTTAATTGGTCCTCACTGGTATTTTGTCTTGAGAAAGTCCTTTGGTTGTTGCATGTGTTTCTGTTTTTGCCCCTTCATCAGATTGTAAAGCCGTCGAAGATGGAAACATTATCTTCTATTTCTCTGTTGGTTTCCAGGAAGCTCCTTTCTGCAGGTCTTCCCTCGACCTCTCAGGATGCACAATCTCAGTCTTTCCTGGCTTGCCTCAGCATTTAACACCCAGTTTGGAGTTTTGGTCCTCTTAGCACTTCTTGTCCTCTCAAGCTACACTCTCTCCAGGCATCCTAACACATGCACATTTGCCACAGCTGCTTACAGCTGAGACTGTTTCCAGCCAAGTATTCAAAGCCATTTCTTAACTTCCAACTGGGCCTTTCCTCCTGAAAAGTTCTGAGGCGACTTCAACTCAGTAGGAACTGAACTGAAGAAATTACCTGTCTCCCAGCCCAGTTCTTTCTCTGGTATCATCTGTCTTTATTAATGCTCCCTCATCCACCCAGTCACCCAGAAACCTGGGATCATCCTAGACTCCTCCCTCCTCATCATCACCACTGTGCCCAGTCCTTCCAGCCCCTCTGAGGGCTGGGGTCTGAGCCAAGCTTTTGACTCAGAGCTTTCCATTTACTCCTCTCCACAATGCTATGGAGAAAGCACTATTTTACCTCTGCCTTAAAAATGAAGACACCCAGTCTGGGCACAGTGGCTTACACCTGTAAGCCCAGCAATTTGGGAGGCTGAGGCGGGCAGATCATTTGAGGTCAGGAGTTTGAGACCCAGCCTGACCAACATGGTGAAACCCCATCTCTACCAAAAATACAAAAATTAGCCAGGCGTGATGGTGCATACCTATAATTCCAGCTACTCTGGAGGCTGAGGCAGGACAGTCCCCTGAACCCAGGAGGCAGAGGCTGCAGTAAGCGGAGATTGCGCCACTGCACTCCAGCCTGGGCAACAGAGTGACACTTTTCCCCCCACCCCCACCAAATACACACAAAGACACTCAGGCTGGGCATAGTGACTCACACCTGTAATCCCAGCACTTTGGGAGGCCAAGGGAAGAGGATCACTTGAGCCCAGGAGTTCAAGACCAGCCTGGGCTACATGTCCTAAAACATTCAAAAATGAGCCAGGTGTGGTGGCATGTGCCTGTGGTCCCAGCTACTTGAGAGGCTGAGGTGGGAGGATCACTTGAGCCCAACAGTTCAAGACTGCAGTGAGCTGTGATCACACCACTGCACTCCAGCCTGGGTGACAGAGCAAGACCCTGTCTTAGAAAAAAAAAAATGAAATGAGGACACCCAGGTTTAGAAAGGGTAAGAAATTTGCCCAAAGTCACACACGGAGTAAGTGGTGGTGTTGAGATTCCCAGCCAGATGAGCTGACCCCAGAGGAGACAAACATCTTCCTGCAGTCAGCCAGTACCCACTCTTCACAGTACAGGGCCCACGAGGTGGAGAAAACCCATTTTATAAGGAGAAAACTGAGGTTCAAAGCAGGTGGTGACCTGAACCAGGCCCACCAGAGTTACGACTGCTCTCACTCCTCTATAGCACAAGCTACCTTTGAGAGAACAGAGCTCCGGATCATTTAAGAGGTTTCCTTCTGTTCAGTGCCAACTGAGTTTAAAATTCCCGTGTGAGTTATGATTATCATTTCCATTGATTCATTTCCATTGATTGAGAATAAAAAGAAGTGGTTTATGTTGCAGCATGAAAGATCTAAATTAGAATTTTTAAAAAAAACCTTCTAGATCTGGAGAGCTGATAGATTTTTCATTTCCTTGCTAAGGGAGTCTATGCAAGCTCTCTCTGGAAATCCTTTGAAATGGCTTAGAGACCTGATGTAGCTAGAATGAGTTTGGAGGAATCCAACATGAAGGTAGCCCAATACTAGGTTGCAAACAGGCTAGATGCTTTTGGGTTTGTAGACATGTTTGATTTGGAACTCCCAGTGTTTTACATGAAAATCCCAAATTCTGGCTTCTTTTGAAAAACCAGTTGATATGACAACCCAAGCCTTTCTGCCCCAGTTGGCCACAGTCCATGCTGGAGCAGGGTCAGCCTGCCTCCTTGGACAGGGCCGGCACACTCCACTTGGCCTCAGCCCCTCCAGCCAGCTTACCTACTGATGTTACCTTCCTGGGCTCTTTAGGCATATGAATTAGTGACCTCAGATGACACTGGTAGGGTCAACCTTTCAAACGTGCACCTTTCCACTTAGCCAAAATCTGAGCTATGCCAGACATTTTGTTAGATAGCATCAGAGCACGGACTAGAAGCTGAATTGCTCTTGCAGTGAAAGGACTGATTCCCACACTCCTATTTTATCCCTACATGAAAACATGGCAAAATCAACTTTCCTTCTTGCTTACCTTCTAGGAAAATCAGAAGTATTCACCAGGTGTTGAAATAGAAACTTATTTCTTATAATTGCCAACTTTGCTGCACTGAGTCACATGTTGATTTCTACCTAATGAAAAATCCAGAGCAGGCTGGAGTCTGACAGATAGAGCCCGATTCGCTATTTACTCTGGTGCTAATCACAATCATGTTTACAGGAAAATGCCCTCATCTGCTTCCAGCAGCTCCAGCCACTCAGCCATGTGAGCGCTGTCTTCAAAGTCAATTGCCTGTCATTTTGCTGATTTATGTTGAGCAACTGCAAGGACCCCTCGAGGTATTTGTAGCTAGCTTGATGATTCCCAGCTTATAAAGTGGCAGTGGGCAGAGCATTTCAGTTCAAATTCCCATCAAGACAGAATTTAAATCCCCAGCCCTGCTGCTCATATTTGCAATGTGAGCACTTTAGATAAGCAGAAACCATCAAACCCTAAATGCTGGGGGAAATACAACCTGGATTTCTTCAAATGGAGCCTAAGCCCAAATCTTCTTTCAGACCTTGGATAGGAAAGTGATTCTAACAGTTTTTAAAAGAGTGATCACATATGCTTTTTCCCAAGAAGTATTAACGACTGAGGCAAGACGGGCACTATCAGATTAGATTGGAGAAGCCGGGAAACGAATTTCCCTCACCGCCTGCCTGGATTCTTAACGTTTCAACCAGCAGAATCTAATTTCTTTGGAATTACTTGCCCTCTAACAGAAGTTTTCTTTTTAAAATGAAAATATTGCCGAAAAGGGAGACCTATTAAATTACTAACCCATTAGCTTCTGGTTTAGCTTCAATCTTAGAGAAGCCCAATTCCTTCTAAACCTGTCTCGCCCTACACTGAAAGTGCTGGAGGTGCAGATCTCAGTGCACTGGCCTTGGCTGCTGAGATTCAGGGAGGTTAGATGGCGGGTAGAGTCACCCATGCGCTGTGGGATGGGGGTCCCTTCCATGCACTCTCCTGGCAAGTCCTGAACCACCAAAGGTGTAAGTGGATGTATTTTTCAGGTTCTCCCTTACAGCACTTTGAAGTCAAACACAAGATTTAAGGATTGCTCACAGCCTGCATTTTCTGTATTTCTGCATTTCTTGTTCACTCAACGTCTCAGGTATTTAATTACATACTCACTGTTAGGGCTCAGGGAAGCTGTTTAGAGGTTCAGCTCAGCCCCTTCGGGTCACAAAACTGAAATACAGTGACTTCCCCAAAGTCAGCAAAGCTCAAGGATCCTTAAGAACCCAGACATGTGAGATACTGAGTAATCCAAACTGAGGCCAACTCCAAAAAAGGGCTCCATTGACTCATCTTTCGGTCATCTCGCTCCAGCTCTCACTTAGAGAAAGTGCGTATTTCTTCCATTTAGAAAAGACTGCTCACGCTTTCCATGTCATTACATTTCTTTATTCCTCTCTTTATATTCCAGCTGCCTTTCTTCGTGTTTTTTGTCACTTGCCCTATTTAGCCATCTCCAAACTAGCTACCTGCCTCCGTGCCATGGAGCATGCTTTTCTGCAGCTCGGCCTCACGATTCTAGGCCAGCTTTTGCACCCCCTACCCCCTCCATGCTTATAAAACTGGGTTCCCTGCTCCCTTTCTGTGTGCTGTTATGCTTCAGAAGCGCCACTGGGTGGCAGTGTCTCAGAGCAGTCCTGGGCCCTGCAACGTGGCTTTGGGCTGGGCTGCTGGTTGCTTGTCTGTTACAGCACAAACAGGCCTGTGTGGACAGGCAGAGCAACGAGACAGCCACAGTGGTGCTCTGGAAAGGATGAGTATTAGATATTAAGGAAACGAGGGACAGAGGTCTGCGTACTGTGTCCTTTCGGAGCTTGCACTAGCCACAAGGCTGACATCTGCCGTCATTCTAACAAAGGAATCTCAAATCCTGAGGCTGTTTGGGAGGTGTCCTTGAAAAGAATGACTATAACCCTTTGCCCTCCCTGTTTTGATTTTCAGCCTACCATTGGGCCCTGATTCATCCATAAAAACAACAACCAAAAAATAAAAAAAAAAGGCAATCCCCGTGAGCATTGTGTGTTTGCTGGACAGGATAGTAATGGCTTAATCCTTCTAATGGCTTTGGTCACTGCAGGATATTAGCTATTAGAAGGGTCTGTTTAAAAGGGGGTGGTGGGGGAAGGTAGGGCCATCTGCTGATTATAGCATGCATGAGGAATGAAGGGAACATTTAAAGAGACACCGTCCATTGATTTAGACACAAATAATTAGTTTGTAGTTGAAAAGGCATATTTAGGGCTTGAATTTTAGTATCTGAATCATTTGCTTAAAGTGCAAATGTGATGTCTCAGACTGGAGATGATCCCAGGAACTATTTGATTCCACCTTTCATGCTTTTTGTAAAGAACTTCTCCGGAGACTAAAAGGAATGTGGCCTGAAATGCATCAACATTGACGTCATGGCTTGGAGTCTGTGGAAGTCAAACCAAATGTTTTTATTATAAACAGGTCAGCCCAGGACCAAACTGTGAAGTACATGTTTGATTTCCATGTGTCCCACCCCCAGCCCCAGCCTTGGCCTCTGCACAGAAAATAGTTCCCAACATCCCACCAGGTGGCCCAGCCCCCTCCTCACTGACTCCCCACTTCACCTTCCCTTCCAGGCCTGACAGCAAACTAAAGCAAAAGAAATCTTCCCAAGGATCGTGGCATATTAGGAAATGAATGCACGCTCTCCATTCAGGAAAGCTGGGGGCAGGCCAACCTCACCTCCCAAACGGGAAAAGCCTAGACTAGAGGTGAGCAGAGACCTGGCTTCCCCTCTAGGCCAGGCCCTGGGTCCATAGGCAACAACTGTTCTGGGAAGTGGGAATTTTATACAGCAATTCAATGAGAAGGAAGATGTGGAGGGATGTATTTGGTATCAAATGCATCCTGTCATCCCACAAAATCAAAACTTTGGTCCCTGAACCAAGAGAACATAAAGCCTTAGGGAAAGACATTTCCTGAATATTGAGAAGTGAATACTGAATAATGTAAGGTGGCGTAGGCTGCCTGTAGTGTCCCGGGAGTAGGTGATGCAGGTGTTGAGAGACAGGCACAGAGAAGCCACCCAGGGAAGCAGAGTCATGGAAGCCACCACGGGAGAGATGAAACACAAGTCAGGTCTTGAAGGAAGAGTAGATTTACCTGGCAAAGGAAAGGAGGGAGGGCATTCCTCGAAGAGCTTATATTAGCAAGATAATGGAGAACGGGAACACACAAGAATGAAAAGATGGCTTACATGGTTGAAGCGGAGAGTCTGAGAAGCGTAGTAGAATAGGTGGCAGTAGATAAGGGTAAGATGGGGAATTCCTGAAGTTGGCTTTTTTTAGACTGCAAGGAACAGAGACACCTGATGTACCTGAAGTGAAGGGGATTGACTCTGAGATGCAGGAATGAGGCAGGAAGAGCACACAGCCCTGCGTCTAAAAACGCAGGGGCAGCCACATTGCCAAACTCCAGGGAGACGGGAATGTAATGTGGGAGCTGAGTATTTTAAAACTTCGTAAATTAATTAAAAATTTGAGGTATGGTAAGGCAAACAGATAGGAGACAACTGCCAGTAAAAAGATAGCTTGTTACTCACGGTTTCCAAGAGGAGAGGACATGCTGTGCCACGTGGGGAGGGGGCACACAGGGGAGCTCCAGAGCGAGTCGGGAGGTCGCCAGAGAGGCTGGACCTGTGGGCGGGGGCCCTTATTGTGGCGCATGCTGGAAGGTGTGGGCAAGGCAGAGCAGGCAGGCTCAGGGTAGGCTGGTTTTAGTGGGCTCTGGGGTATATGGGCTGTCCTTAGTTAGAGACTTGGCCCTGCGGAAGGAGTGATTGGGGCAGGTGAAGAGGTGGCTGGGGTGGGGCTGTGGAGGGGTTGGTTTGCATTTGAAAAGCACATTGTAGGGGGTTGCAAGTTGTTTTCTATCTTTGGAATAATTGGTAACCCTGGGAGGGACAGTCCCTCCACGGCCAGCAAGGCCCAGATGTCAAAGCATCAGAATATAGAAAATAAAAGACGCAATTACTGCACCAAGAGAGCATTCAGAACACGATGTCACTCTGGCGGTGCCCTCGTCTGTGGCTGCCACCAGTGCTCCGGATTGGGTGACCAGCCCTCAACCCCACGCTGACTCTCCTCTGCGGCTCCTGTCTGGAGTTAGACTCCCAGGAGAGGATCAGCTTGTCTCCGTGGCTTCCAGCCAGGCCTGGCTGCTCCTGTTGGGCAGCTCTTTATGTCCGGCCGCGCGTGCCGGCTGCCCGTGAATCAAGCACCCACTCGTTGTCTACTCAATTTATTAGTGGGTCTCTCGGCTTGGCAAGCTATACTCAGAGCCTCCCGTTGGGGGAGGCCTGCACGGGGAGAGACATTCTGAGGATTCCGAGAAGGAGGAACTATGACCAGCACCTCACTTGGCTTTTCCCGTAGAAAGCTTTTGGAAGCCTGGAAATGAGTCTGGGTAACAACTGCAGAAGTGCCCAAGGATTTAAACAGGGCAGTGACATGGGGAAGCATCATTTTTATGAGGAAGATTAATCTGACAATAACATGTGGGACCCACTGGAGAGGGAAGAGGATGCTACAGATCCCAGCACCTGGGTGGGGGGACCACGGGACAGAGAGAAAGGGGAGGTTCCCAAAGAATGGCTGAAGAAAGCATTGACAGAACTTAGTGAGCAACTGGCCGAGGAAGGAGAGGAAGAGGAAGGCACATTGAGACTGCAAGCCTGGTGGGTAGAGAGGAAAATGCCTCACTGACACTGACAATAGCAAAGTATGCAAAAGGAGCAGAGATGACGGAGATTCTTTTTAGATATATAAACTTGTATCGGGAGATGGACACCAATAGCCCCCAACTGTTGCTGAGTGGGAAACAGTGTGTCTGTAGCAATGAGACACTTTGCTGAGTAGACAATTTATTAACTCTTACTTTTTTTACTCATGAGTCCAGTAGATCCATGAACACAATGACCGCATTTAGGTTTTTCCAAGTTTTCTCAGAGCCCAAAGTCTAGGTCTTGAACTCATGGAGATAGGGAGTAAAAGGATGGTTACAAGAGGTTGGGAAGGGGGAGGGGTTGGGGGGTGGCAGGTGAGGATGGTTAATGGGTACAAAAAGTAGTTAGAAAGAATGAATAAGGTGGGATGCGGTGGCTCATGCCTGTAATCCCAGCACATTGGGAGGCCGAGGCAGGTGTATGACTTGAGCTCAGGAGTTCAAGACCAGCCTGGGTAACATGGCAAAACCCCGTCTCTACCAAAAATACAAAAAAAAAATTAGCCGGGCATGGTGGCATGTGCCTGTGGTCCCAGCTACTTGTGAGCTTGAGGTGGGAGGATTGCTTGAGCCTAGGAGGGTGGAGATTGTAGTGAGCCAAGATCATGCCACTGCACTCCAACCTGGGTGACAGAGTGAGACTCCATCTCAAAAAAAAAAAAAAAAAAAAAGGATGAATAAAACCAAGTATTTATAGCACAACAAGGTGACTATAGTCAATAATAATTTAATACATTTAAAAGTAACTAGAAGAGTATAATTGGATTGTTTGTAACAGAAAGGATAAATGCTTGAGGTAATGAATACCCCATTTACCCTGATGTGATTATAATGCATTGCATGTCTGTATCAAAATATCTCAGGTACTCTATAGATACACCTACTTTGTACCCACAAAAATTGAAAATTAAAAAAAAAAATAAGTCCAGGTGTTGGGTCCAGTGTAAATAGGTGCTAACCATACTTATTTAATGTCTTCTGCCCACCTCTGTCCAAGTATGAGTTTTACATAATTAGAAGCATGACTCATACAAATATATACTGAGCACCTGATAAAGACGGATTTCACTCACGAATGAGGGAACCAACAGGGAGGTAAAACTGCCCAAAGACTATTTGTGGAACAGACACTTACATGCTTTCTCAGGAAAGGAATATTGAAACAGGTTTGCTAAGTTAGCTACAAAGCAAGTTATTACCCTGCAGGGCAATATAACTACGACCTTTTAGGTTATCTTTTCCACTGGACAGAAATGTTTGCATCTCCACCAGACAAAAAAAAAAAAAAAAAAAAAATCATTTGCAACTTAACAATCTCCTACAAGTTAACCTCTAACTTCACACAGTTTGGTCCCTAATCAATAGTTAATAGTAGGTCAAACCAGGTGTACTCCCCTAGAGAAGTGGGTGATCCTTGCACAAGCCTCTTAGACAATGTTTCAATATGACACTGAAAGTACTGTAGTCATCCTTTTGCTTTATTTCTAAGTTTGGGATAATTTCTAACTTACATCCTGCCTTAAGATGTTAGATTTCAACTCAAGTGTTGTTTCCTTAAGCCAGCCTTCCTTGGCCTCCCTGACAAGTTCACATCCCCCTGTTCACTTGCTTCCACGGTGTCAGGTATTTCGCCTTCTCGGCGGTTACTTTAAAAATTATTCTGACATTGTAAAAACGGTAAGAAAGACTTTATTCAGGACAATTGCAATAGGTGTCAAGATTCTTGCAACGGGAGAGAGAGAGATGGAGCTCAGCTCCCAATACGATAAGAACAAGTGGAGATTTATAGCCAAGGGGCAGAGTGAGGGGTCGATGGATAGAAAATTACTAAGAGAAGACATCACAGGTAGGAGGATCCTTGCTAAACTGACTTAGGATTCTTGCTGAAGGCAGGGCAGGGTGAACAAAACTGAGGGTGAGGAATGAGGAATTTCATCAACTAGGGAGAGTGATCAGATATCAAGGATGGGGCATTCTTACTAAACTGACTTATTCTTGCTAAACTGATTTTTGCAAAGACTGGGTCATGTAGGCACCATAAGTACAGAACAGGAGCCAAGCTCAAAGCTTGGGCCTAGTTGGGAAGAGTGCTGAGAGGAACCTGACCAGCTTGGTCAAGGAAAGAGTCTTTGTCAGTTACCACTAGTCTATTTTTTTTTTCATATGGAGTTTCGCTCTTGTTGCCCAGGCTGGAGTGCAATGGCGCGATCTCGGCTCACCACAACCTCTGCCTCCTGGGTTCAAGTGATTCTCCTGCCTCAGCCTCCCGAGTAGCTGGGATTACAGTCATGTGCCAGCATGCCCAGCTAATTTTGTATTTTTAGTAGAGATAGGGTTTCTCTATGTTGGTCAGGCTGGTCTCGAACTCCCGACCTCAGGTGATTTGCCCACCTCGTCCTCCCAAAGTGCTGAGATTACACACATGAGCCACCGCACCCTGCCCACTAATCTAATTTTTATGTATCCATGTGACCATGGATTCACAGCTGTCTCCCTTTCTAGACTGTAAGTTCCTTGAGGACAAGGCCATTGTTGACTTCTGCTTACCATGCTCTTTCAGCACCTACGATGGACTTGAGGCACTCAGATGCTCAGTGAATGAATTTACTGAATAAATGAACGAATGAGTGAACGCCTAGTATACTAAAGCCCAGGGAATGTCTTGGAAGACAGGAAACAGACCACACACTGCTGCTGCTAATTCACTAGCCTGGCTGTCGTTATTTCTCTTCTTTGTTTCTATTTGCTCAATTGCACCTTTTCTCATTTGACTGCCTGGCCGGCAGTTTAGCTCTGGGGGAACTCAGAGAAAAGTCAGGCTGTTTGCTCCACAGTGTGCTGGTGCTGACTCAGCCAGCCGGTTCTGCCTGCTGGGGCCTAAACACACTGATCAAAATCCTGGGGAAATGATTTGCTGGAGCCGCTAACCTTTCTCTCTCCTGCAGATGCTTCCTGGTTTGTACTGCCTGACCTCCCTCAAGGTTCTTCCCCATTTCCCAGAAGTTTAGGACTCCCCTGCCAGCCTTAAGTTAAGAGGAGACGCAGGAGGACAGGATGGCCACCTGATAGGTCCATTGTTTACTGTGCCAGGGTGGAGGAGGGAAGAGGAGAGGTCTGCTGAGTTCTGAAGATTGGGAAAGGGCTCCTCTTTTTAGTAGGCAACCTCTTGAAGAATTGTGGTCTGTTTTCCCAATCCCTTCACTTCAATTTCCATTTCTTAGTGGTCATTTCTAATTAGCCTCAGCCAGTACTAGCTGTCAGACCTCCCTGACCCTCCTTCTCTCACTCCATTGTTTGTTCCTTCCAGGATTCCTATTCCTAAAGGCTGGAGGATCCAGGGCTCAGGCCAAGGACCTCTTTTCTTTGGACATTCACTCCTGTTATTGCACCTCTAGGTGACCTGACAGCTTGCCAATGTCTGTTCAGAGCCCAGCCACCTCCCCAGAACGTCAGGCTTGTGTGCTGTGCTAGGCGGCCCCTGAGATGACTCCCATCTTCCTCACTGCCTGGTGTTCACACTGCTTCCTGAGGGTGGGCTGGATTGCTTCCGAGATTAGGCCTCTGTCTTGCTGGCCCTCTCTTGCTCTCCCACTTGCTCACTCTCATGAAGGTCGGCTACTGCGCTGTGAGCCACTCTGGGGAGAGTCTCGCATGCCAAGGAACTGGGGACAGCCTCCAGCCAACAGCTAGCGAGGGCCTGAGGCCCTCAGTCCAACAGCCTAGGAGGAACCCAATCCTGCCAATAGCCACATGCATGAGCTCAGAAACAGATCCGCCCCAGAAGAACCTTCAGATAAGATCACAGCTCCTCAAGTTCAGTCTGTGAGATACCCTGAACCAAACAGGTTGCAGCTAACTCCTAAGCAGATAAGCTGAGCCATCAGTGCTGGCTCAGTCTGGGGAATGGACCTAAAGGTAAGACCCAGCTAAGCCACACTCAGATGGCTTCCCCTACAGAAACTGTAAGATATTATTTGTTGTTTTAAGCCACTGAGTTTAGGAATAATTTGTTACACAGCAGTAAATCAGTAATACTATATTTAACTGCCTACTTAGCTTGGATGCCTAAAGAACATCTCATACTTAACACTGCTAAACCAAATCTTGATTTCCTGTCCTAAGAATTGAGGGAACAGAACACACCAAAGATAAAGAAACATAGACTAAGTAGAACCACTGTGCTCACAGACAGTGCCGAGGGAAATGCAAGGGCTCAGGAGACAGACCTAGCTGAGAAATCTGAGAAGGAATCAGCATGCATGGGGAAGTCAGGAACAACAACGGGCCCATGGACGCCAGGGTGATACCCCAACTCAGGGGGAAGCTCAGGCAACCCTCCTGTTGCTTGTCTGACTACATTACATGGGTTGGTTGAAGTGGTAAACTGTGAGGCTACCTGCACGACACTGCTCCCCAGACACACAGCCTCGGCTCAGCAAGGAAGGACATTGCCATCATGACAAAAAGCTGCAGAAACTCAACATCAGGTGCATGTCATCTCAACCTTAGAAAACCACCTAAAACTCAGTCATGCTGCTTAAACGCTTTTTTGATGAGAATCTGACCGAGCACTGACAGCGTTAAGGAATGCTTTCAGCTTCCTGCCTATGTGGGCAAGTTTGGAATTTTATTCTGACTCTCCCTCAATAAAAGGGGCAAAATTAGAGCTCATCCCCAACATACCTTTGTTCCAGGCAGACATCGGGGGAGAATCTCCAATCTGAAAATTTAGAGATAGGCTCCTTTTGTATGTTTTGTGTTTTTGTAACACCCTATATGAAGACTGTGTGCAAAATAAATTATGTTCTTTCACACATGTGTGCTCATTTGCGCTTCATACAAACTGTGAAATAAATAGAAAACATGCCCTTATGGCCATTTTAAGTGGAAACTGAGGCTCAGCAAAGTGAGTGACTTGCCTAAGATCACTGGCTGGTGTGTTCTGGAACGCACATGAATCAGGCTTCCTGATGTTCAAGCATACAGAACTCACTTGTTCCTTCACAGTGGAGATCGCTGCTCAACCTTTAGCTACATCCACTCCCGATTCATCCACTTGTCTGGAGAACAGGACCATAACCATAGCTGCATTCACCAAGCCACTGAGGAACCTCGAGAGAAAAAACCCTGCAGGAGAAGAGGAAGCCAGATGGGTCCTGCATGGCTCTGTGGTCAGAGGCAGGCGAGCTCCTCCACATGGCCTGGCAGTGGACAGCAGGTTTGTCCCCAGGCCAGCATCTCAGTGGACTGATTGTTTAGCCAAACCCTCTCAGAGATGTGAGCACACAAAGAAGGGATCCTGGTGCCCCATGCAGGGTGTAAGACAAGAGGGTGGTGAGGAACTTCTCTGGTTTCAGGCACATCAGGAGTTCAAGGGTCTCAGGTGTGGTGCTGGAGATTGGCGGAGGTGGGGGTGGCATCAGTGTGAGGCTGTGGGACTCAAAGACACCGCAGCAGTGCCTGGAGGCCAGCTGTGGGCCCCATATACTCACCACCCAGACACGATGAAGCCCTTTGCCTAGCTGGGATACTCACCTTGTGGTTTGCAGATTTTTACAAGAGTGGATGGATTCCATGAGAGGAAACAAGCAAAGGTGCTGAGTTTTGGGTCTAGTTTGGTGCCCAGTGAAAGGGAGGCAGCACCCACAAGAAGGGAGAGAAGGAGGGAGCCGAGAGTGAAGCTTCCAGGGCTTTGCACAAATGCAGCAAGGACTTTAGACCTTGAAGCTGTAGAAGCAGAGGTTCGAGGCAATCCTATCTCAAAAATCCAGGGATGTCACTGATGACCGATTACCCTGATAATGAAATGAAGGCCTGGAAGGTTTCAGGACTTGTCTAGATCATCCAATCCCAAGCCAGGATTCTTTTTATTTCTATCATGATTTTACATGTTACACCAGATCACTCAGCTCAGTGAGAATTCCCCAGCTGTTTCAGGGTGACAGCCTGACATTCACGTGATAAACATCTGGCTCTCCCCAGCCCTTTCTAGCCCAGCTCAATTTATCCTAAATGCCAGTTTCTGCCTGTCCTGCGGATGTCTACTGAATCTAAAGGAATGCTCATTTCCTAAAGGTTTGCTCCTGTTACACGTGAAATGACAGGTCTTTGCAAATTCATCTCTAGCTTATTGATTCTGACAGCATGCTCCAAGGGGCATGGTGTGAGCGTGGACTTCCTGTGAGGAGACCACCCAGGAGTGACGGTGATGTTCTCAAGCTGTGTCTTCCTGGCCAGCACAAGAAGGCACTGGGCACTTCGCTGATAACAGGCAGCAGGCTGTCCATTCATTCATTGGCAGCTAATCCTGCAGCTGAGATCCAAGCTCTAGATTTGTAATGACTTCAGGTCATGGGGCTATTGGCCTCTTTTAAGAACCTTTGAAAAAATGTAGGATGGAGACAAAGTTCAAATCAACCTGCAAAGTGGAAATGTCACAGCAGCCATTCATGCCTTCCTTCTGCACAGTTTGATGAAGTAGACTATGTGGCTAGCTCTGAGCTGCATGCTTGGAATCTGCTGGTGAGCAAGATTACACATGGTCTGTCTTCTAGACTGAAATGCAGGAGGCAGACCAGGCAACTCTTACACTGAAGCACCCAGCAGCCATGCAGCACCGTGGCCCAGGTACTCACAGAGAGGCAGGCAGCCCAGGCAGCCAGAATGCACACACGATTAGCTTGGGTGAGAAAAGCCGAGGGTGCCAGCACAGCAGCAGGCCAGCAATGGGTTGTTAGTGATGTCAAGGTTGTGAAGAAGCTGGTTCTCTGAGAACTGTACTTCAAGAATTTTACTTGTACATCAACCCAGACTCCTGGGAACTTTTCTGCAGATGACGGCAGAGGTGACATGTATTTGAGCACTCATTTCTCCACAACGCCCTGGCTGGGCTTCTTGGATTTCAGCTATCCTCATGAGTCCATGTATTGTGACATTAAAAAGTACAGATCTTAGAAACTGGCATAGCCCTACCTTTTACTAGCTGTGTGATTGTGAACAAGTCTCCTAACATCTCTGAGGCTCAAATTCCTCAATTGCAAAATGAAAATAATTATAGGATTGTTAGAAGATATATCAGTCAGGGTTCTCCAAAAAAAACAGAGCCAATAGGAGGAGTGTGTGTGTGTGTGTGTGTGTGTGTGTGTGTGTGTGTCTTTTATATATAAGAAATTGGTTTTAAGGAATTGGCTCACAAGATTATGGGGCCTAAGGCCAGGTGCGGTGGTTCACGTCTGTGATCCCAGCACTTTGGGAGGCCAAGGCCGGCGGATCACCTGAGGTCAGAAGTTCGAGACCAGCCTGACCACCATGGTGAAACCACATCTCTGCCAAAAATACAAAATTAGCCGGGCGTGGTGGCGCATGCCTGTAATCCCAGCTACTTGGGAGACTGAGGCAGGAATATTGCTTGAACCTGGGAGGCGGAGGTTGCAGTGAGCCTGGGCAACGAGAGCAAAACTCTGTCTAAAAAAAAAAAAAGAAAGGAAAAAAGATTATGGGGCCTAGCAAGACTGCAGTCTATAGGGCAGGCCTGCAGGCTGGACACTCAGGCAGGAGTTGATACTGCAGCCTTGAGGGAGAATTTCTTCTCCTATGAGAAACGTTGGGTTTTGCTCATAAGGCCTTTCACTTGATGGCTGAGGCCCACCCTTTTAATCCCCCTTACTTAAAATCAACTGATGGTAGATGTTAACCACATCTACAAACCACATTTCCACAGCAACACCTAGATAATATTTGACTCCATAACTGGGTGGTAATACTCTAGCCAAGTGGACACGTCAAACTGACCATTGCAGAAGGATGGTCGACGCATCTCCCTTTTGGGAGAGGCATTTAGATAAGCAAAACACTCAGCTCAGTCCTTGTCATAGCGAGTGCTCAATACATTGAAGCGATTTTTATTTTTAAGGTATTCAAAACTATTTGAGGGCCAGATGAGGTGGCGCCTGTAATCCTAGCTCCTCGGGAGATTGAGGTGAAGGGATTGTTTGAGGCCAGGAGTTTGAGGCCAGCCTGGGCAACATAGCAAGACCCTATCTCTGAAAAAGTGAAAAAAATTGAGCATCTGCTATAATCAGCTAAAGTACATCTAATTGCTCACTGACCATGAGCAAGATTGATAATACACTGCCATCCTACCTAGCTTACGTCTCTAGTCTCAATGCCCAGTCCCCTCTAAGCCAGCCCCTGACCATTTGTGTCTCCAAAAGCCCTCTCTCTGGGCTGGCTGGAGGCAGCACAAACTTTGCTGCCACAGATAACTATCAATAAAGAATTCTGTGTCTCCTGCCAGGAAAATGCTCATCTTTATTCAGACACTTAGGTGAGTTTCAGGCCCACCCCTCTATCTATTAGTACCAAGATAAATGTTTTTATTTTTAACCAAGACTTTTACTAGCATTCTCATGGGACCTAATTCTTCAATTCCCTTAAATGACAGCTAATGCCTTTCTCTTCCTGTCTAGTGGAATTCTTTTTTTCCCTGGTATTTTCCATGCTACAGAAGCTTTTGGCTGATGGAAGAGAGGGCTAGGGACCAGAGAAGCTGAGGTATGTCAAACCACAGGTATAACCGAAGCTATTTTACTTCTGGATTTGCCTTTAATAGGACTTTGAGGCAGGCTAGTGTCCTATCATTTTAAAAGAAATGCATCTGAAACAATAGGCGTAATCATGGTGGCACAAGTTTGTTCATGGAGTTTCTCTCCTTCTCTATGTTTTCATCTAGAACTCAAAGATATTCTTGGGGAACAAATGATGCCTGCCCTTATTCTGTATTGTTCCTGTATGGTTAAGATCAGATACAAGTTACACCTGTGAGAATCCGTCCTAAAGGAGAGATGCTGAGAGGCTGCCCACAGGAGAGACACCATGCTCCTTTTGGGAGAGGGTCTACATCACTGTGGTTGAGGATGTAGGCCTTGGCATCAGATTGCATATTCAAATCCTGCCTCTACTGCTTACTGGCCAAGTGACTTGGGCAAGTTTCTTAACCTCTCTTTTCATGCTTCCATTTCTTTATCTGTAAAGTGGATTACTCTAGGATTGAAAGTTATCTAAATATGAAGTACCTGGCACATATTAAGCACTTAGTTTAATTAAATTATTGGTGTTATTATTATTGTAAGTGGTAGAACCCAACTCAAGCAAAGTTAAAGAAAATGGAAATTTATTAGAAAAACAATGTGTCATTTTATAGAGTCAAGGAATTAGCCTTTCTCATTGTGGCTTTGACTTGCATTTCCCTGATGTTTAGCAGTGTTGATTATTTTCTCATACGACTGTTGGCCATTTGCATGTCTTCTTTGGAGAAATGTCTATTCAAATCCTTTGCATGATTCCACTTATATGGGATATCTGAAATAGTCAAACTCATGGCAACAGAGAGTAGAAGAGTAGTTATCAAGGGCTGGGGGGAGGGGGAATGGAGAGTTGACTTTCGATGGGTATAAAGTGTTAGCTGTGCGAGATGAATAAGTTCTAGAGATCTGCTGTACAGCACTGTGTCTACAGTTAACAATACTGTATTGTGCACTTAAAACTGTTAAGAGGATAGATCTTGCGGCAGGTGCTCTTGCCACAAATAAATAAATACATAGAAAAAGACAGCACTTTTAGTTGGACATTATGGCTAGAACGTTGTGGGAGATGACTCACAACAAAAGTAAAGACAGGGAAAACCCTATGCATATTCTACAGAGAAATTGATCCCAAAATACTACCTCAGTATGTATCTGTCTGAGATAGGACATGGAGAAAAAGACACGAGGAAGCTGATTCACTAAGGAAGCGAAATAAAAAATGAACATGATCTGATTGCAGCCAGGGAAGCCTCATCATCATTAATTAGAGAATGTTAGAACATGCAGTTAGGAATGCTTGAAAACAAGTCACCACCAAGGGGATAGAAAGAATCCAGGAAAGGTATTAAGTTGGGGGTACGCCTTGTGAGTGGGAGACCAAGAACGTTCTCTCTCGGGAAGCCAAAGGGCTACCTGACAAGAGTCTGGTCCTAACTCAGGACCAAGATCTGGAGAAACCAGACGGGTCTAAGGTGGTCCTAACTCAGGACCAAGATCTGGAGAAACCAGACGGGTCTAAGGTGGTCCTAACTCAGGACCAAGATCTGGAGAAACCAGACGGGTCTAAGGTGGTCCTAACTCAGGACCAAGATCTGGAGAAACCAGACGGGTCTAAGGTGGTCCTAACTCAGGACCAAGATCTGGAGAAACCAGACGGGTCTAAGGTGGTCCTAACTCAGGACCAAGATCTGGAGAAACCAGACGGGTCTAAGGTGGTCCTAACTCAGGACCAAGATCTGGAGAAACCAGACGGGTCTAAGGTGGTCCTAACTCAGGACCAAGATCTGGAGCAACCAGATGGGTGTAAGGCTCCTCCCAACCTGGGCAGCCCCGCTGAGCAACCAGGACTCAGGCTTGGTCTGGGGAATAGACCTAAGAGTAGAACAGAGAAATGAAACTGGAGACGACGTTAAAACATGCTCTGTATGCAAGACTGAGGCAGTTGAGCCTGGCCATCCAGCTGCACCTTGTAATTTGTCTCCCCACACAGTCTCTGCTCAGGATTTTACATTCTGCCTCAACTCTCAACAACTGACCCAGCACACACCGTAGAACTATATCAGACAGAAGCAAGCTTTTGCTTTTAAATGAAAGTACAGAAACTCAATTTACAGAGAAATCACTGAATGCCTGTGGGATGGCAGAGGACCTGCCAATTGTTTTTTTGGGGGGAAGGGGGAGGGCATCCTATGATCTGAATGCATGTTTTTCCCCCCAAATTCATGTTGAAACTTAATCCCCAATGTGATAGTATTAAGACGTGAGGTCTTTGGGAGGTGATTAGATCATGAGGGCTCCATCCTCATGCATGGGATGAATGCCCTTATTCATAGCTTGAGAGAGCCTATTTGCTCCTTTTCTCCCACCCTGTGAGGACACATAGAGGCACCAACCACGAGGAACCCTCCTCATTATACATGAATCTTCCAGTGCCTTGATCTTGGACTTCTCGGCCTCCAGAACTGTGGACAACAATTTCTGCTATTTGTAAGTTACCCAGCCCAAGATATTTTGTTATAGTAGCCTGAATGGAACAAGACAGGGTTTTTTGTTGTTTTTTTGGTTTTCATTTTTCATTTTTGTTTTGTTTTGAGGGGACTTGGTCCAGTGCTATCTGGACAGCAGGAATAAAATAATAATAATAATAATTTGATTGACATGTATTTATTGAATGTCTTTTATATACCAGGCACTCTTCTTGTAGCTGAGGATCTACAGCACTGAACAAAGAGACAAGGCTGTGTGACCTCATCAAGCTTGCTTTCTGAGAGCCTCTGCACAGCAAAAGAAACTATTGACAGAGCAAACAGACAAACTGCAGAATGGGAGAAAATATTTCTAAACTATGCATCCAGCAAAGGATTAGTACCCAGAAACTATAAGAAACTTAAACAAACCAATAAGCTAACTTGGTTATAAAGTGGGCAAAGTACATGAAAAGACAATTCTCAAAAGAAGACATACATGCAACCAACAAACACATGAAAAAATGCTCAACATCACTAATCATCAGAGAGATGATTAGACACAAAACCACAATGAGATACCACCTCGCACCAGTCAGAATGGCTATTGCTAAAAAGTAAAAAAATAACAGATGTTGGTGAGGTTGTTAAGGGAATAACTCATACACTGTTGGTGGGAATGTAACTTATTTCAGCCCCTGTGGAAAGCAGTTTGGACATTCCTCAAAGAATTAAAAATAGAACTATCATTCAACCTGGCAATCCCATGACTGGGTATATACCCAAAAGAAAATACATCCTTCTCCCAAAAAGACATTTGCACTCATATGTTCATCCTACTACTGTTCACAATAGCAAAAACATGGAATCAACTCAGGTGCCCATCACTGGTAGACTGGATAAAGAAAATGTGGTACATATACACCATGGAATACTACACAGCCATAAAAAAGGATGAAACCATGTCCTTTGCAGCGACATGGCATGGATGCAGCTGGAGACCATTATCCTAAGCAAATTAGTGCAGAAACAGGAAACCAAATACCACATGTTTTCACTTATAAGTGGGAGCTAAACATTGAGTACACAGGACACAAAGATGGGAACAATAAACATGGGGGATCCCAAAAGGTGGGAAAGAGTGGGTCAAGGGTTGAAAAGCTACCTATCGGGTACTATGTTCACTACTTGGGTGACAGGATCATTAGAAGCCCAAACCTCAGCATCATGCAATACACCCGTGTAAGAAACCTGTACAGGTACCCCCTGAATCTAACACTTAAAAAAATTAAAGACAAATATATAAAAATAAATTCACCTTTTGAAAAAAGGCTTACTTTCTAGCTGGGAAAGATTGACAAAAACCAAAATAAGTATGATATGTATGATGTTAGAAAGTTGTAGTCTATGAACAAAAGCAAAGAGAATGGAAACCAATAGTGTTGCTGGGGGTGGGTTATGCAATTTTAAGAACAGATGTCAGGCAACCTTTTGCCGAGAGGGTGACATTGGAGTCAATACCTAAAGGAAGTGAGGGAGTGAGCTAATCACGTGTCTGGAGATAGAATTTCCCAGACAGAGAGAAACAGGACGTTCAAAGGCCCTCAGGTAGAACCTACTTGGTGCGTTGAGGCACAACAAGGAGGCCAATGAAGGTGGGCAGGTTTAGCAAGGGGATAACAGAGGAGATAAGGTGGAGGTGGAGTGCAGATAATGTGGCATCTGGCTATTCAATACTAGGGTCTTGGACCAGCAGCAGCAGCTGAGTGCTTGATAGAAATGCAGAATCTTGGGTTCTACCCCAGACCCACTGAGTCAGAGCTGCACTTTCACAACATCTTCAGTAGCTCATGTGCACATTACAGTTTGTAAAGTGCTGCTGTCGGGCTTGAGCATCCCATTGTTGGGCCTCAGCTATTAACTTTGTGCAATAATATTGGATATCTTCAGAGGGTTCCAAACATTGGAAGAGTGTAATCTGACTTATATTTTAACAGGATCGCCCTGGCCAAAGGGGACAAGAGTGGAAACCCAGAGCCAGTTGGAAGTTTCAGTTCCCTGGTAAGAGGCGATGAGGACTGAGGTTAAGAGGTGGTGGTGAGAAGTGACCAGGTTTGGATACATGGAAGGTAGAGCTGACAGGACTTGCTGATGGACTGGATGTGGGATGTGAGAAAAAGGGAAGATTTGAGGATGACTCCTAGGTTTCAGGCCTAGCTACATTAATTAAGCATTTACTATGTGCCAGACACACTACCTTTTCCTCCATCGCCTCATTTAATCCTTACAATGACCCTCTGAGAATCACTATTATTAATCCCAGAAAGGCTAAGTCACAGAGCTAGTCCATGAAGAAGCCAATTTATGAACCCAGGTGTGCTGCTTCCAAAATCCAAGCTACCCCACTGCTCGAGGCTCACTTCCCTTCCAGCACCCTTAGCTAGACACACTCTGAAATGAAGAGTGAGCAGTAGAGCTGACCATGGCTCCACAGTATACCACCTGTGTGACCCCAGGTAAGCTACTCAACCTCTGGGAGCCTCAGTTCCTCATTTGTAAACTGGGTCTATTAATGCTCCATAGGATTTTTGCAGGATGAGGCAAGATACTGAATGCGAAGCAGTAGGCTGAGGCTGTTGTCTGTTTCCAAACTGCCCTAGGGCTTTTTGCCCACTGCATTATATATATATTTTTTTCTTTCTTTCTTTTAATATCTAACACACATACATGTGTGCACAAAGAACTCAAACCAGATCATGGTCTGATATATCAAAAGAGAAAGGACAAAATGACAGAAATGAAGCCACAGAAATGGGACAAGTGACTAAGAAGCAGAGAAGGCAACCCTGAGCAAAAGAGCAAGGAGGAAACGAAGGATGGGGATGCAGCCAGTGGGAAGGTGAGGAGAAGGACCACAGAACCCATGGAGAAGACTGCATCGAGAGCAGATACCTACCAGTGAAACGTTAGCATTTCCAGCCTTAACAAGGCCTTTCTCATTTTGTATGGCTTTTTCTTCCTGTCCTAAAAGTCCTCGTAGAACAGGAATACTTCTTCTCTATGCATTTTGCAACTCTGACCTCCTAGTTATTACGTAGAGAAGGGCTATAATGCGGTTTGACAGGGCTTTTGTTTTGATTTTTTTCGTTGTTTTTTTTTTCCTCCCAGCAGAGATTTAAAATGACGACATCTACCCAAATACTCAGTCTCCTACTTGTCTCCATCAAGACCCATTTGCTGGCAGCTTTGAGACTGAAACTCTCAAGGGAGAGGGTGAATCATCCCTTCACACGGGGCTTGTCTTCCTCTCACAATCATGAATTCCCACAGAGATGCCGGGAACTTGTGGCTAAGGGCAGACGCTGAGGCTAAAATTGAACATGGGTGCAATGGAGCTGTGCTTAAAAGAGACATAAGGAAATAAGGAGTCGTACGTGTCCTGCTCTGTGGTTAACAAGTTGACTACACTCTCTGCTGATGGAGGGATGGCGACTTCAGGCAGGAAGGGTGAGGGAAGGACTCGGCTCTGGGCTGCCCCACTGTCCACCCATCAACATTGCTGTCTGGATGAATGGGGGATAGATCCCCTGGGGTGGAGGCTGGCTGCTGGGAATTATCCACTTTGGCTTCAAAATGAATTCACTGGGAAGATAGCCATTAGTGCAAAGTATGCTTTTCTCTCAGGAAAATCACCCTACAGATCATCATCATTTTAAGTTTTTCCTTTCCAGTGACCCCTTCTAGGAGTTTTCATTCTTCAAACAAATCATCAATTTGCTGGGAACATAATCATAACAAAAGCTAAAAGTTTCTCTTTTTTTTTTTTTTTGGTTCTTTCCTTCGAACCAGCAATCATCTTATGTGAATGCCCCACTGCCTAAGATCCAAATGAAGTAGAAGCTTGTCTCCTTTTAAAACGGCCGTTAGTGTTCATGGCCAGGTGTCTCTCTCACCTAAGCACAAGTTCTCCCTGTTCCATGGACTGGCAGCTGCTTTATAATATATACTAGTTATATTTTAATGCAATAGCTGGATTCTTATGTCAAGACCTGTGGAAGGTTTAAGGTTTTACCCCAGCTGTGAGCTAACAAGTGTCATGGATTCTGACAGAAGACATGACACTCCTGGATCAGAGACGAAAGATGTTATTATTCACAGCACACTCACTTACTTCAGAGAGTGCTAGCATCTTTGCAGCAGGCGTCCTGCCCCGAGTCCCATGGCGCAACAGGCCCAGATGAGGGCTACACACTCAGTGGGATGCACCTCAGCAGAGGAATCCAGGGTCAAGGGCCCAGCACTTTTTGAGTGCGCAGCAAACATTGCGGCAAGCAGCAGACCAGCCCTTCCCCGTCCTCCTGCAGAGTGAGCAGCTACTTAGTAGTCATGCTGTGAGCACCTGACCTACTTAGGTATCTGTGTGACTAGTTTGGAAACTGCTCAGTATCAGGAGATAGGTAAGCCCTGCAATCTGGCAGCAAGAGTGCACAGCTGAGACCAACATCTTCATCCATCCAGGTGGTCCTTTCCCTAGTCATTCAACTGCATGAGAACTTTTTTTGGTAATGTCTGTGTTACTTTGTAGACAACTAAAAATCCGGCCTGATAACCATATGTCCCAGGCAACCCATGCCTCTAATGAAAATACAATGTTTCTCAGAAGGGGAAATTAGAATTAAATATAAACTATAAACCTTCAGCTTTTTCTTCCTTCTCCCATGTTTGGTCTAAACTAAGTTCATTTAGAGTCATTGAGGCCAAGAAAGGTATTTGGTAGTGGTGTCAGGAGGTGGGAAAGAATGGATACATCCTATTGTTACATGTATCACTAAGAGCAGATGACTAACAAATGTGTTATGTGGTAAGTGTGTTGGAATAACTTTCAACATCATTTACAAATGCTTTTAAAAATGTCATTAAGGCCGGGCATAGTAGCTCATGCCTATAATCACAGCACTTTGGGAGGCTGAGGCAGGAGGGTCACTTGAGGCCAGGAGTTGAGACTAGCTGAGGCAACAAAATGAGACCCCGTCTTTACAAAAAATAAAATTTGCTGGGCGTAGTGGCGCATGCCTGTATTCCCAGCTACTCAGGAGGCTGAGGCAGAGGAATCGTTGGAGCCCAGGAGTTTGAGGTTGCAGTGAGCTATGATCACACCACTGCACTCCACCCTGGGCAACAGAGTGAGACCCTGTCTCCAAAACAAACAAAAAAAGTCATTAAACCTCTCAACATTGTTGGGGGCTTAGGCGCACAGTGTGGGCCTCTGTTACACAGTGTGGCAGGACATTATATCCTTTATTTTCTGATGCTTTGACCTCTAGAGTCATGCTGGTCAAATTCAGTTCCGCCAACTCCTGAAGATAGTAAACAACTCACGCAGGAGGATGCTTTTAAAATGTAAACAAACCAATCCAGAGTTCATACCCAAACCACTTCCTCTATTTGGCTTTCCTGCTCTGAGCCACTATCCACCTCCCCTAATGACCCTAGGGCCAGGGATCAGACGGCTAGGGACAGTCCCTACGCCCCAGAGCCCACTGAAAGGGTTCAAACTAGCCAATCCCAGCCCTGTCCACCCTGCCTCCCTCTTCCTCTGCCCCCAACCCAGTGCTTCCCCACGTGGCACCCCATGCAGGGTGTGCCTTCTTCTCTTAGGAACTGTGAGTAACAAACTATCTCTTCTTCTTCTTCTTCTTTTTTAATTTGTTTAGAGGCAGGATCTTGCCCTGTTGCCCAGGCTGGAGTGCAGTGTCACAACCATAGCTCACTGCATTCTTGAACTCCTGGGTAACAGTGATCCTCCCGCCTCAAGCCTCCTGAGTAGCTGGAACTACAGGCGCACACCATCGTGCCTGGCTACTTTTTTTCATTTTAAATTTTTTGTACAGACAGTGTCTCCCTATGTTGCCCAGGCTGGTCTCAAACTCCTGGCCTCAGCAATCCTCCTGCCTCGGCCTCCCAAAGTGCTGGAATTATAGGCGTAAGCCACTGTGTGCAGCCACAACTATCTTCTCAATGGCAATCATCTTCTGATCTGTTGGCTTTATTGTGGCTCCAATTTCCTGTTAATATGCTATATTTTAAAATAAGCAGTACCATTTGTACTTGGAGAAAGGACTGTGGGTGAGTGGGAAGACAGCCCAGGGTGTCCCATTAGAGTCTCCTTCTCTGTAAGTGCAACAGTGAAGCATTTGTTCATCTAATGTTAATACCCCTGAGAGTCAGGCATCTCACTCAGCTGCCCCCCTGACATTCCCACTGGGGTGCTTCACAGGGATCTCTCGCTGCACTGTACAAAACTGAACCCTAGACCTCTCACCCTCAACACACATACACACACACCACATGCACACACACACACACCACATACACACACACCACATACATACACACACCACATACACACCACATGCACACACACCACAGACACACACACACACCACATACACACCACATGCGCACACACACCACATGCACACACACACCACATGCGCACACACACCACATGCACACACACACCACATGAACACACCACATACACACACACCAGATACACACACACCAGATACACACCACATACACACACACCATATACACACACCACATACACACTACATACATGCACACCACATACACACACACCACATACACGCACCACATACACACACACCACATACACACACACAACATACACATCACATACACATACCCCACATACACACACACACCACATACACACCACATACACGCACACCACATACACACACCACATACACACCACAGACACGCACACCACACACACACACAACATACAAACACACCACATACACACCACAAACACACGCAGCACATACACACCACATACACGCACACCACATACACACACACCACAGACACACACACATCACATACACAAACCACACACACACCAGACACACACACACCACATACACACACCACACGCACACACACACACCATGTACACACCACAGACACACACCACACCCACACCCACACCACACCCACACACACCCACACACACACCACACCCACACACACCACACCCACACACCACACCCACACCCACACACCACACCCACACCCACACCACACCCACACACCACACCCACACACACCACACCCACACCACACCCACACCCACACCCACACCCACACACCCACACCCACACCCACACACCACACCCACACCCACACCACACCCACACCCACACACCCACACCACACCCACACCCACACACCCACACACACACCACAGACACACACCACAGACACACACATCACAGACACACACACCACAGACACACCACATACACACCACAAAAACACACCACAGACACACACACACACCACATACACACACACCACAGACACACACACCACATACACACCTACACACACCACATACATACCACAGACACACACACCACATACACACACCACAGACACTACACCACAGACACACACACACTCCACATACACAACACACACGCACACAACATACACACCACATATAAGCACACCACATAGACACACACCATATGCACACACACCACAGAGCCACGCACCACATACACACACACGACATACACACACCCCTGACACACACCACATACACACCACATACAAACACACACCACATACACACCACATACACGCACACCACATACACACACACCACATACACACACACCACACACACACAACATACACACACCACATACACACACACCACATACACCACATACAAACACACACCACATACACACCACATACACACACACCACAGACACACACACCACAGACACACCACATGCACACCACAGACACACACACCACATATACACACACCACACACACACACCACATACACGCACACCACATGCACACAACACATACATACACACCACATACACACACACTACATACACACACCACATACGCACACCACGTACACACACAACACATACAAAACACATACACACACACCACGTACACACCACATACATGCACACCACATAGACGCACACCACATACACATGCACCACAGACACACACACACCACATGCAAACACACACCACATACACACACACCACAGACACACCACAGACACACACACCATACACACCACATGCACACCAGAAACACACACACCACAGACACACACACCACATACACACATACCACATACACACACCACAGACACACACACCAGACACACACACACACCACATACACACTACATACACACCACATACACACAACATACACCACACACACACCACATACACAACACATACACACCACATATACACACACATCACATACACACACACACCACATACACACACACCACATACATACACACACACACCACATACACATCACATACACACAACATACACCACATACACAGACACACCACATACACGAACACACCACACACACCACATACACACACACCCCAGACACACACACCACTTACACACACACCACATACACACCACAGACACATACACCACATACACAACACACACACACACACCACATACATGCATACCACATACACAACAGGTACACACACACCACATACACAACACAGACACACACACCACATACACACACACCACATACACACCACATATACACAAACCACATACACATCACATACACACACACCACATACACCATATATACACTCACCACATACACAAACACCACATACACGCACACCACATACACACACTCCACATACACACACACACCACATACACACACACACCACATACACACCACATACACACATACCACATACACACCACATACACACACACCACATACACCATATATACACTCACCACATACACACACACCACGTACATACACACACCACACGCACACCACATACACACACACCACATACATGCACACCACATACACGCACACCACATACACACACACCACATACATACACACACCACATACACACACACACCACATACACACACCACATACACACACACACACCACATACACGCACACAGTCTCTCTCTCTCTATTCCTCCTCTCGCATCCCTGCCTCCATACACAGCATCACCATCCATTAAGTTGCTTGATCCAGAAAATTATCTGTCATTCTTGACCTTTCTTATTCCTCCATTCCAATTTATCACTCAACCCTATCAACTCTACCACCAATATATGTCTCAATTATACTTTTTTCTCCATCTCTACTGCTCTAGGCCCAAGCCAGTATCATTTCTAGCCTCGACGGCTTCCACAGCCTCCTCCTCCATTTCTCTATAGAACAACTCAAACCGCCATTTTAAACTATAAATCATGCGCCCTGACTCCCTTGTGTTAAAACCTTAGGCTGTGGTTAGAATAGAATTCATAATCCTTCCTGTGTAGGATCTGACCGTGGACACCTCTTCAATCAGTTCTGGCTGGGTGCAGTGGCTCACGGAGGCTGAGGTGGGTGAATCACCTGAGGTCAGGAGTTCGAGACCAGCCTGGCCAACATGGTGAAACCCCGTCTCTACTAAAAATACAAAATTAGCTGGGTGTGGTGACACACGCCTGTAGTCCCAGCTGCTCGGGAGGCTGAGACAGGAGAATCGCTTGAACGTGGCTGCAGTGAGGCGAGATCGTGCCACCGCACTCCAGCCTGGGCAAGACAGAGTGAGACTCTGTCTCAAAAAAAAAATCAACTCTGACTGCATTACCTTTGCTCACTTACTCCAGCCACCTGAGCCCCCTCCCCCATTTCCTGAACTCCTTTACAGCCTGGAATGCCCTTCTCCCCACACTTGGCCCATGTGGTAGGCATTACTAGCACTTCCCAAGATGTCTGGCTCTCTCTCCTTTCGGGCTCTGTCGCCTTGAAATTAGGCATGGCATGGGGTATGCTGTGGCCAGTGAGATGTCGGTGGATAGGACATGGGTCAGCAGCAGAGGAATTTCGGCATCAGAGTGCATTTCTCCATGCTCTGTTGCCTGCTGTGATGCTGTTGGAAGACAAGTTAACATGGAGATGCTGGAAGATCAAAGCCTCCTGGAACACTGAGCCACATCTGGAAGGCAGCTGCCCTGAGGAGCTGCCCAGATTCTCTACTGACGAATGTGAATGAAAAGTAAAATTTTATTATGTTAAGCCACTGAGACTTGGGGGTTGGTCGTTACTACCTGTTCTGACTAGCACTGCCTGCCTTTTCATCCTTCAAATTTTCATCCTTCCATAAAGAAGCCTTCCCTGACCCTGCCTTACAGAATCTCACACACACACACAACCACACATACAACTGCAGATACACACCGCGACGGACACGTTCCTAAATCCAGTCCCCCCTGTTATTCTCTCATAGCCTTCTTCATTGTTCCTCCACAGTCCTTATCACACTTTGTTAATTACACATTTATTCTGTTTTTATGTGTTCATTACTTGCCTAACCTACCAGACTGTAAACTCCACCTGGGTAGGAATTACGTCCGATTTGTTTACCAGGGAACTTTCACTAATCCTGTGCACAGAGCCTGCACCTAACAGTCACTTAAGCTCCTCTTGAATGAATGAACAAGTGAGTGAATAAGTGAATGAATGTACACTCTGAAGAAAGGGTTGTTCCCTGTGGCAGCTGATATGGTTTGTCCCCTCCCAATCTCACATTGAAATGTAATCCTCTCCCTCTCCCTCCCCCTCCCCCTCCCCCTCCCCCTCCCCCTCCCCCTCTCCCTCTCCGTCTCCACGGTCTCCCTCTGATGCCGAGCCGAAGCTGGACTGTACTGCTGCCATCTCTGCTCACTGCAACCTCCCTGCCTGATTCTCCTGCCTCAGCCTGCCGAGTGCCTGCGATTGCAGGCGCGCGCCGCCACGCCTGACTGGTTTTCGTATTTTTTGGGTGGAGACGGGGTTTCGCTGTGTTGGCCGGGCTGGTCTCCAGCCCCTAACCGCGAGTGATCTGCCAGCCTCGGCCTCCCGAGGTGCCGGGATTGCAGACGGAGTCTCTCAATGGTGCCCAGGCTGGAGTGCAGTGGCGTGATCTCGGCTCGCTACAACATCCACCTCCCAGCAGCCTGCCTTGGCCTCCCAAAGTGCCGAGATTGCAGCCTCTGCCCGGCCGCCACCCCGTCTGGGAAGTGAGGAGCGTCTCTGCCTGGCCGCCCATCATCTGGGATGTGAGGAGCCCCTCTGCCTGGCTGCCCAGTCTGGAAAGTGAGGAGCGTCTCTGCCCAGCCGCCATCCCATCTAGGAAGTGAGGAGCGCCTCTTCCCGGCCGCCATCACATCTAGGAAGTGCGGAGCCTCTCTGCCCGGCCACCCATCGTCTGAGATGTGGGGAGCGCCTCTGCCCTGTCGCCCCGTCCGGGATGTGAGGAGCGTCTCTCCCTGGCCGCCCCGTCTGAGAAGTGAGGAGCCCCTCCGCCCAGCAGCCACCCTGTCTGGGAAGTGAGGAGGGTCTCCGCCCGGCAGCCACCCCGTCCGGGAGGGAGATGGGGGGGTCAGCCCCCCGCCCGGCCAGCCGCCCTGTCCGGGAGGTGGGGGGGTCAGTCCCCCGCCCGGCCAGCCGCCCCGTCCGGGAGGGAGGTGGGGGGGTCAGCCCCCCGCCTGGCTAGCCGCCCCATCCCGGAGGTGAGGGGCGCCTCTGCCTGGCCGCCCCTACTGGGAAGTGAGGAGCCCCTCTGCCCGGCCAGCCGCCCCGTCCGGGAGGGAGGTGGGGGGGGTCAGCCCCCCGCCTGGCCAGCCGCCCCATCCGGGAGGTGAGGGGCGCCTCTGCCCGGACGCCCCTACTGGGAAGTGAGGAGCCCCTCTGCCCGGCCAGCCGCCCCGTCCGGGAGGGAGGTGGGTGGGTCAGCCCCCCGCCCGGCCAGCCGCCCCGTCCCGGAGGGAGGTGGGGGGGTCAGCCCCCCGCCCGGCCAGCCGCCCCGTCCGGGAGGTGAGGGGCGCCTTTGCCCGGCCGCCCCTACTGGGAAGTGAGGAGCCCCTCTGCCCGGCCAGCCGCCCCGTCTGGGAGGGAGGTGGGGGGGGTCAGCCCCCCGCCCGGCCAGCCGCCCCGTCCGGGAAGGAGGTTGGGGGGTCAGCCCCCCGCCCGGCCGGGAAGGAGGTTGGGGGGTCAGCCCCCCGCCCGGCCAGCCACCCCGTCCGGGAGGTGAGGGGCGCCTCTGCCCGGCCGCTCCTACTGGGAAGTGAGGAGCCCCTCTGCCCGGCCACCACCCCGTCTGGGAGGTGTACCCAACAGCTCATTGAGAACGGGCCATGATGACAATGGCGGTTTTGTGGACTAGAAAGGTGGGAAAGGTGGGGAAAAGATTGAGAAATCGGATGGTTGCCGTGTCTGTGTAGAAAGAGGTAGACGTGGGAGACTTTTCATTTTGTTCTGTACTAAGAAAAATTCTTCTGCCTTGGGATCCTGTTGATCTGTGACCTTACCCCCAACCCTGTGCTCTCTGAAACATGTGCTGTGTCCACTCAGGGTTAAATGGATTAAGGGCGGTGCAAGATGTGCTTTGTTAAACAGACGCTTGAAGGCAGCATGCTCGTTAAGAGTCATCACCACTCCCTAATCTCAAGTACCCAGGGACACAAACACTGCGGAAGGCCGTGGGGTCCTCTGCCTAGGAAAACCAGAGACCTTTGTTCACTTGTTTATCTGCTGACCTTCCCTCCACTATTGTCCTGTGACCCTGCCAAATCCCCCTCTGCGAGAAACACCCAAGAATGATCAATAAAAAAAAATAATAATAATAATAAAAAGAAAGAAAGAATTAAACAAGAAAAAAAAAAGACCACAAAAAAAAAAAAAAAAAAAGAAATGTAATCCCCAATGCAGGAGATGGGGCCTGGTGGGAGGTGTCTGTGTCATGGGACCAATGACAGAAGATCCCTCCTGAATCGCTTGGTGCCCTCCTTGTAGTAATGAGTGAGTTCTCACTCTGAGTTCAGAGGAGGTCTGGTTGTTCAAAAGAGTGTGGCACCTGCCCTCTGCCCATGCTCCCAGCCCCAGGGATTTCTTTTGAGGGGCACAAAAATCGACTAAAACAGCAACCACAGCCATTGGTCTTTTATGTCATCATTCTTACATCTCTTCTCTCCTAGCTTCCTCTCCTATTTCACTTGCTGTTCCTGGCCTCTTCTTCTAGCTTGACTCTCCTGATCCCCTTTCTTTTCTGTTCCTTCCCTTCTTTCCACTCTTGTCACTGCCTAAGATGGTGATGCTCACAGCTAAGGAGTTTGCTCACCCTGGCCATAAGACGAAGGGTTAGGATTGGCTAGTCACTGTTTTTAACTAAACAGGGGTAGACACTTGGCCATTGGAACCTAGAATTCTGTCTGTCATTGGCCTTGGGCTCCGTTTGCTCTGCATCCCGCATGTGAACACTGACCGGGGCCTGTTTCCCTCCTACTGCTCCATCTCCAAGAGCAGCATGACAGTCACACATTGCTCAAGCTAGAAATGTGACAGTATCTCAGTCTGTCCTCTCCCTTCCATGTCATATCTAAGCAGCCAGGGAGTCCTGTCTATCCCAAGGCACGCCTCCTGTCCCTTTCCTCTCCACCACACCGCCCCTGCTCATGCCCACTCTTCTGACTGAACTCATTACATTCCCTCCTACCTCGTTTCCCAGGCTCTAAACTCACCTTCTGGGAACCTCTGATCCCTGCTTACATCCATGGCTCCTTCTGCCTCTAAGATAAGATGCATGTACCTTGGCCTGGCCTGCAGGGTCCTCCAGAGCAGGCCCACTTAACCTTGCCATCTTCATCTGGCCCTGCGCCTCACACCCTACGTTCTGGCCATATTGGACCCTAGCAGTTCTCAAAAATATGTGGTGTCCATCCTACTATGAAATTTTATCTTATCTTATGCTAAGACATTCCTGTTAATGGGAGGACTGCCCATGTTTAGCAAAATACGTAGATAAACTGCTTTGAAATAGAAGATAAGCCTCCAAGGACATAGAAGAAAATAAATAAGAGATAGCTGAGCCACACCACATGAGAAATGAACAGAAAGTCTTCCCTTCTTTTTTTTAATGTAAGATACACGCACATATAGAAGAGTAAGTCATATATGTTCAGTTTTAAAAATAATTGTAAAGCAAATACACATGGAACCATCACCAAGGTCAAGATGCAGAGCATGGCCGGGATTCAGAAGCTCGTCCTGGCCACAGCTTCAGGCGAACAGGGTTCGGGGGTGAGAGAAATTGGGAAAGAAGACAGAGGAGCAGGGAAAGCTCAGGATGTGGTGAATTTGCCTGTTTCCTTCAATTTCCAGTAGAAATTCCTAACGTATCTGATAATGGGGAGTGGGCGTGGAAGGTGTTGCAGGAAGCCAAGGGGGTCTATCCCATGCTTGGGTTGACCCTGGACAGAGAAAAAGGAACATCTACAGATGCAGAAAGAAAAATAAGAACTCAAAAGAAATGCAACGGGAGTCAGGGTGAGATCTGGATTGCTAAACTGGGTCATGGCTGTCCTTGATGCCTTTCCCAGACTCACATCCTACTTTCAACTTCCAGAATCATTCCTGTTCCCTGCCAGGGAAAGGTGAGCCCAAAGAAAAAACCGAGCATAAAGTAAAGTGCACATCATTTATTTCTTCAGCATTCACTCACCCATTCATTCAGCAGGCATGTGTTGCACGCCCGGCACTGTGTTAGGGCTGGGGAGACCATAGACACCAAAAGCAGCCGCCATCCTTGGCTTAGGGCTCCTTATGATCCAGCAGTGAGCACTTTCCCCTGAGCCTGGTGTGGAGGAGAATTGGCTACACTGCAGGAGGAAGCCACCCCAGGCTCATTTGGGTCCTTTAAATAAACCCTTTGGTTCTTCTGGGATATGACTGTGTGCTAATTTCATGAGATAGCATGACATTGTCACTGCTTTTTATCCTTCACAATTGCATAGGGCATGTACCAGAGAAAGGAAGAGAGAGAGGAAGTTAGTGCATAAGTGGATAATCCAAGCGAAGTTTCCCTCCTTCCGTTCTCTTTGCAGGTCTATGTATTCCTGTGCTTACCTTGTGCGTGCGTGATGCATGGATGTTGCTGCTAGGGGACATTCATATGGACCTAAGTGTCAAGAACACTGGGAGCCAATAGATCCATTTGGACCCATTTTGGGGACTAAATGCAGGTTTCATACCTCAAGCCTCTACAAGAAGATAAGAAACCCCCACAAAGAAACACTGAGCGCATGCCCAGTAAGTCCAGTTCTGGTGATCATGGCTCTGTCTGCTTATTCTGAGGTGCAGGTGGTTATGGAGATGGGAGAGAAGCTGAACTGGGATGAATCTGGGGAAAACTCTGCAATGTAGAGAAGTTCACCAGCTGCGTAAATGTTTGTAAAAGTTTCCTCGTTTGAATTGAGTTAGAGGTACATTGTCTATCACTGGCAGTAGTAGTTGTCTAAAGTTGCCTAAGGTTCTGAAAATTGGGGCTGTTTCTGCCTTCCCCAATAATCCAGGACCTCAGGGAGAACACAGCTACCTAGAGCATCGTGGGGAGGAAAACCCAGTGCTGGCTTCTGCAATTGGAGGATGAATAGAAACTTCCTTACTCTGAGCCCAGACTAAGAGAAAGTGAGATAAACATTAAGTAGTGTCTTGGCAGTGAGGAGTGAGGAACATCTGCTCTCGGGATGTTGACATTTCTTTAAGGGCTAGATAGCAGAAACTGGCCAACGTCCAACATGCAGGAACCTTGATGCTCCCAACGCTGATTTCTAAGGTCGAAAGCATGGCGTGTGCCACACCCAAGGACGCTCAAGACAGGAGCTCCCATTGCAGTCCTCTACAGCTTTGTTCCCAGGGTTCTTTAGCAGAGTTGATGCCTTGGAGGAGCCGCGGAAGTTCATCTACCTGTGTGCTGGAGCCCAGGAAGGCCCAGCGCATTGGCTGTTTGTGACATGTTCCCTTTCCAGGACGGTGCCTCCCAGTGCCCCCATACCCACGAGGATGCAAGAGTTTGCAGAGCAGCTTCTCAGAGAGGCGCACGGACCCTGGAAGTACTAGCTCAGTTTCCAGCATAGGGTCTGCTGGGAAAGGACGATAACAACCTAGAAAAGAAGTTAGGGTCTCCTTCCAGCTGCTAGGTCCATGGTCACCGCAAAATACAAAATGCTAGACTCTGATGTTATTTGGAAGGAAGCGAGAAAAACACAAATGTCTAATTCTTTGTGCTGTCCTTTTTTTTCTCTTTGAGCACCTCTAAAAGCCTTCCGCCACATCAGAACCAACTTTTTCGTTAAGTTAATGCCTGTACTAAGCGAGGGGTCTGGGTTGGGGGCTGCGCCAGATACCTGAGATCTATGGGTGTACCCTCAAGAAGCCCAAAGTCCAACGGGACAGATAAAATGGGAACATCATTATTACAATCCTGGGCAGAAAGTCATAAATAGAGTTATAAATGCTATATTGGTTAGAGGAAAGAAAGATTATAGATAGGATTTCCTGATAAAATACAAGACACCCAGCTGAATTTGAATTTCAGATAAACAATGCATAAGTTTTAGTATAAGTATGTCACAAACATTGCTTATACTGAAAAAAATTATACATTGCGTAGCACTGTTTATCTGAAATTCAAATTCAGCTGTGTGTCCTGGGTTTTTATGTGGTAAGGCCGTCCACCCTATTTATAGAAGGCTTCATGCTGTAAATAATATTTCATCCACCTTTTAAAGATAGGCAAGGCATGAGCAGATGGAGAGTCATGGGTGCCACGCACTTAGGGTGCTTCTCTGACCTGCTGCAGAGTCTCCCAGCTCACCAAGAAAACTCTGCAGGTTTATAAGGGGTCAAGAAATTGTATTTTTCCTGCCTGTCTCTATGGCCTGTGCCAAGCTGGGAGGGCCGGTCAGTGCAGCAGGCGGGATGGGCCAGGTTATGCTAAGGGGCAACCACGGTCAGCGGCTCATCGTCCTCACTCCAGGCCCCAGGTTGATGAGGGTGGGGGGACAGGACGGGGAGGCCACTATCTAGGACATTGCCAGTTACCATGGCAAAGGGAAAGAATGTTGCAAAGCAAAGCACAGGCTTTTCAAATGCTCACTCAAAAGCAGCACAGTCATTTCCACTCAAAAAATGCCTGCGTTCAAGAAGACAAGAAAATGCAATCCTATCACATGCCTAGGGGGAGAAAAACACGCAGATCTTTGTAGACAGCCCTAAAGATCACCACAGTCAGCTCTGAGTTTCAGTTGTACCAACAGCCTGGCTTCTAACTGCCAAGGATTCCCCAGTGCCAGGAGCTCCCCAGTGCCTGGGGCTCCTCAATGCCAGGAGCCCCCACTGACAGGGACACCCCCTCAGCACCAGGCCCCCGCAATGCAGATACTCCAGTGCCAGAGCCTCCCCAAAGCCAGCCCTCCCACTCCATGTTGTGCTCCAGCGTTTCTGCAGAAGGAAGCCACTGGGTGCAGGGCTGCTTTGTCCTGACATGCTGGGCAGGTAGCTTCACTCCTTAGCAGTCATGATCCCCACCTCCTTCTGGATGTCTCCAAGGGAGGATTAAGAAAACCCCAAATCCCAGCACTTTAGGAGGCCGAGGCGGGTAGATCACTTGAGGTCAGGAGTTCGAGACCAGCCTGGCCAACATGGTGAAACTCCATCTCTACTAAAAATACAAAATTAGCCCGGCATGGTGGTACACGCCTCTAATCCCAGCTGCTCAGGAGGCTGAAGCAGGAGAATCGCTTGAACCCAGGAAGCAAATGTTGCAGTGAGCAGAGATGGTGCCACTGCACTCCAGCCTGGGCAACAAGAGCAAAACTTCGTCTCAAAACAAAAAAAGAAGAAGAAAAAAAGAAAACCCCTAGTAAGGAGTGGCCTGCACCTCAGGGGTTGCCAGTGCCAGGTGATGGGCAACAGGGTGCTCTGGGAAGGAAGGAAAAAAGGAGCTGCCACAGGGTTTTCTCCAATGGCCCAGGGGAAACCCACAGATTCGCCTTTGTGTCTGGAGCCGTTGACCCCAGAACTCACAATGCTCAGTGTTCAGGTCTGCAGGGGCCAAGGTGGTGATGGTCCCCTCGAGCCAGAGCACCAGGGAGCAGCCCCAAGGCTGGCCCAGAGGGTCTCCATTTGGCACCAAAAAGCAGCTGCATTTAAAAATCAACAGGCAAAGGAAATGAAAAACACCCGCCCAGGGCCACCTAGGGGCACCCAGACCCTTGCAGGTTTACGAGGCCTTTCTGGAAAAGGCATGACTAATGTTGTTATTGCCTGGCTGCGCGCCAGCAGTGCTGTCACCGCCTTGCTGAGCCGCAGTCAGGTGTGGGCCAGAGACAAAGGGGCCTCTGTGTGCTGCGGGGACAGGGACGCCGCGGGGGCCGGACAATGGTGTCGGGGAGCCTGGAGAGGTAGCCAGGGCAGGAGGAGGCTGGGGGCCGGTGGATGAAAGGGAGAACCTGGAGCTGCCAAGGCTCACTCGCACCTGAAAAGAGGAGGCGCAGAACCATCTGCTGCGGAGCCAGGGAGGCGGGCACGCAGGAGGGTGGGGGTGGGGGGGATGGGGGTGGGGATGGGAGTGGGGCTGGGGGGAGTGCAGGGTAACAAGCATGCCTCACTCAGCCTTAGTGCCATGCACTGCCACCCAGGACCCTTGACGAAACCCATTCTGGTGGCCCGCTCTATGCAGGTCCTGCCATGGCACTGCAGGTACGTCTGATGTGTGACTTTCACCCTGGCAGCCCTACCACCTAGCCTAGGGATTTCTGTTATCCCCAGGAGATTACAGTGAATGAAACTGAGGCTCAGAGAGGTGAATGACCAGCCCAAGGTCACACCACTGAGGCTGAGGTTCAAATCCAAGTTTGTCCCATTGCAAACAAAACCTATTCCCATAATCATAAGCTGCAGCCAACAGCACTGCAATAAATGCCGTGTCCCTTGCCCCAGAGTAGGGCTGGGACCAGGTGAGCTGAGTCTCACCAGCTCTGGCAAAAAAACAAAACAAAAAAAGGAAAGGAGCACCAGAGAACTCAGTGATCACCATAACTGATATTTTAATGCAAATCAAAATTAATGCAAAATATCCCTGATGAATAAAATATCAAAATTGTAAATAAGACAGGACCCAGCCCCATACTTGGGCTCCCTGAGGGTGAATCCTCCCTCACCTCACCCCAGATGGGCCCTGCCCTCAAGGGCAGCTCACTCCTAAGCAGTCCATGGGTGCCCACTATGCACAGCCTCCATATCATCTTCGTTCCAACAGATAGGGATCCCGTGACCCTGCCACCCATGCCAGTTGGATTACAGGAAGCCCTGATGCAGGTTCACGTATGTCCCCCACCCCAGCGTGGCCCACACTGAACAAAACTGTAAAGGTCTTTGGTGTCCCTGTTTCCCTTCTCAGTGCTAATGTTTGCCTCCATCCCTGGCAACAGTTTTGCTCATAACTGACTCTCAGCGAAGGTTTCAGGTAGTGGTTCACTGGCACTCAGGCCTGGCTGTAGGTGAGAATCTAAACATGTAGCAGGCTGGGTCCCACTGGCCAGTTAAACAGAATTTCTGGGAGTAGGCCCAGGTATCTGTGTTTTGCTTTTGGTTTTGTTTTGTTTGTTTAGAGACAGGATCTTGCTCTGTCACCCATGTTGAAGTGCAGTGGTGCAATCACAGCTCACTACCGCAGCCTTGAACTCCTGGGCTCAAGGGATCCTCCCACCTCAGCCTCCCAAGTAGCCTCCCAAGGACTACAGGCATGCACCACCACGCCCAGCTAATTTATTTATTTTTTGTAGAAACAGAATTTTACTACGTTGCCCAGGCTGGTCTTGAACTCCTCGTCTCAAGGGATCCTCCTGCCTCAGCCTCCCAAAGTGCTGGAATTACAGGTGTAAGCCACCCCGCCCAGCCTGTATCTGCATTCTTGAAGGCTCTCCCGGTGATTCCCAAGAGCAGCCAGTATTGAGAGCCGGGGACAGAAGGACTTAACCATCCTGGGGTGAGAGCTGGAGGTTGCATTATCATAGGGAACTCTCAAAAATGAAAAAATCCTTTATGACCCAATTCTGAACCCAAATGATGGGATTCAGGCTTCAATGGGTGAGGAGACCCCTCCCAGCCTCTCTCAGTCATTGATACAGGCAGATTCTTACTCAAAATAGTAACTGTAGCTTATATCTCAATTCTCTGTCAGCAATAGGAGACCATGATATTAAGAAAAATAGAACTGCCACAGCTTCCAAACCTGATGTCACTCAATGTCCTTAAGGCCTCAGGATGCCCAGCAGGGAACAAAGTTACTACTTGCTCATCTTTGTATTTCCAGGACCTAGCACTGTGCTGACTGGAAAATATATTTGCTAAGTAGATGAATGAAGGATGAATTGTTGCCCATCTCCTTTATTCAACCATTTGTGTGACCTTGGACTGCACCTCAATTCTAGGATTAGAGCATGTGCTCTCTTTCCCCACCCCAGTCCACTCAGCACCTGCTCTCTCCCCTGGGAAGCTCACCTGTCTGGACCACATCAGGGACTCCCTTCCCCTCTGGTCTCTGGTTGGGTGTGGCCAATGAGGGAAGGAAATGGAGTGAGGGTAGACTCCTTCTCCTCAGGGTCACTCCTGGAGCGGCTGCTTCAGACTTTGTCCTGAGTCACTCCTGAGTCACCTGAGAGGTCACTGCTCTTCTCAAGATGGTCTCCTCTGTGTGACTCTGTCCTCCTGCCCCATCCAGGACCTAGGGATGGTGAGAACTTAGCTGTCACTGACCCAGAGCACTGCACTACCCATTGTGGCCTTCCTGCATCCTGCCCACACCTTTGTAAATAAGACCTCCACAAAGTACCCTAATCTGAGCGTGCCATTTGTTTGCTGTTGGGGCCATAACTGATTGCGGGAGGGACTAAAACAAAATTCTCTGATGTAACTTCCCGCTATAAAAAACTCAAATCAATTCCTAGTACCTTTCCATGAAGTTACTTTATTAGGAAGCAAGTTATCTCTGCATAGGATTGGATCCTAAGCATAGCTGAGCTTTTGATGAGAGGCTGAGAAGGAATGGCACTGAGCCTGATAGGCTACTGCTGTGCCACAGGAGACCACTGATGGCTCAATACCCAGGACTGGGACAGTGGCTGGGAAAGGACATGGCTGTGCAAATGTCTTCTCGGGCTATTGGGCTGTGGGCCAAAACTCATTGGGTACGTGGTGGCCGTAGAAATACATCATTTGGCTCCCTCTTCAAGAGAGCCTGCTGCAGGGAATGTGGATGACTGGCAGCCTCCAGCTGCTGCACCTTCAGACCCCCCATAGGCTTCATGCCAAGCCACACTTCCCCTGGGCTGCTCCCAGCACAAGATGAGCACAGCCGGAGTCCCGGAGCCAGGCCATTGCTGCCCAGCACGAGGATCTTCCAATAAATGCATTTTTCTTGGGTCACCCAACTGTCCTGGCCAAGACTTTCTCAGAACATGTTGCAGCCCGAGGCTCCTCTGGTCTAATCTTTCCTTCCTGCTCTCCCTTCTCAGGTGTCAGAGCTGCCTCTCAGTCTGAAGTCTCTCCCAACCTGATCCTGCTCTCCCTTTTAATCATTCACAGGCATTTGCTCTAGTAAATCTCTTGTTTTTCTCATGTCACTTGGCATTGACTGCTCAGAGAACTCACAGTGGGTACCAGGAGTGGTGTGAGGAAAGTGGTGATAAGATGATATTGGAGACTGGCTCACTTGCTGCCCAGCTGGCAAGTCAGACTCCTTCTGGGATGGAAAGTGGGGACTGGATAATCCCAGACTCAGAGTGACAGCCCAAGTGCTGAAGATTTCATAGTCTGCAACCTGTGAAAATGTCTAGGCCAAGGGGGACAACCTTGCCAGTGCTGGACATTGGCATGTACAAGGGAATAATGCCTGCAAGGACAGGGGAGTTGACTAATGGTTACTAATTTGTTCTGACACCCTACAGACAGGTGATGAGGTATGGAAGACAGCCAATGACTAAGACTAAGCCCCTTTCATGCTCCACACACATTTCTCCTGTGTGTCTCATCCTGCCCTGGTATCTGCCTCCCGGGAGACCTGAACTGACTGGGGTGAAAGCAGACCTTCCTTTAAAAGGAACTGTCTTGCCCACAGTGAGTCATGCCAGGAAGCAGCCAGCTCTGGGACAAGGAAAGGGGCCCATGGTGAAGGGAGAACCCTCCTAGAAGCCAGAGGTCCACTGTGACCCTGATTCCGAAGCACAGAAATCTGGGGAACATTTACAATGGCCATGTGGAGGCAGGTTTAGAAGAAAGCAGGAGGCGGCCGGGTGGGGTGGCTCACGCTGTAATCCCAGCACTTTAGGATGCCGAGGTGGGTGGATCATGAGGTCAGGAGTTTGAGACCAGCCTGGCCAACATGGTGAAACCCCGTCTCTACTAAAAATACAAAAATTAGCCAGGCATGGTGGCAGGCACCTGTAATCCCAGCTACTTGGCAAGCTGAGGCAGGAGAATCACTTGAACCCAGGAGGCGGAGGTTGCAGTGAGCCGAGATCGTACCACTGCACTCCAGCCTGGGCAACAGAGTGAGACTCCGTCTCAAAAAAAAAAAAAAAAAGTCCTTTATCACAAAGTTTGAGTCAAGTCTGCTTGCAAGGATCTCATTCTGGAGTCACACTTCCTTTCACTGTTCCCTGAACCATCCCTAGAGCCTTGTTTAAAATCTCAGCCTGGTCCCTGCTCTGTTGAAGGGCAATGAGGCCCTGTTCTGCACCTGAGGAGAGTAGTGTCCTCCCAACTGTGTGGCCAAGGAAAAGGACAGCTGCCATACAACAGGGGTCCCATGGGAACCTCCACTGGGGTGGAGTGGGGGGCAGGATGAGAAGATGGTCCAGCAGCCTTGGGGCGTCTCCCCAGCACATGGAGGAAGCACCAGGAAGCTCTCAGGAAGAGCAGAGGGAAAAGTCAGAGAGGTGCTAGTGTGCAGCTGGAGAGCTGTAGAAGCGTCAGTATCCTAACTGGGTTAAATGGGAACCAGGTGGTCAAGGGGCCTATATGTCCTCCAGCTGGATAATCATAAGCTGACTACGTTAATTTAGCCAGCTAACACTTCCCAGATTTTTCTCTTTCTTGGTCTCCTGTAGTTAGAGCAACTCCCTGACTTTCCTAAGCCTTCCAAATCCAGAACTCCCACCCTTCCAGACCCTGGACCTCTTGGCCTTTTTTTTAACCTGTGTCTTCTGCAACCTTTGATGACAGTAGCGTCCCCAGGGACATTTATTAAAGTGAAAACTCCTGGGGAAATCTCAGAGGTTCCGACCTAGTAGGGCTGAGGTCGGCCTAACAGTGTGAGTTGTAAGAGATACGCCATGTGTTTGCAGGAGACCCAGAGACCGGCCGAAGCCAAAGCCAGTGGTTCTCAGATGCCATCAGCATCAGAGTTGCCTAAAGCACAGAGGGCTGCTCCCTGTCTCCACAGTTTTTTCAAGACCTCTAGATGGGCCCAAGAATCTGCATTTCCAACAAGTTCTCAGGTGGCGACCATGCTGCTGGTTCAGGGACCTCACTTGGAGAATCTTTGCTTTAAGAGATATGCGCTCCTCCCCCTTCAATTCATCACCCACCAGGGAAGAGTAGTCTCATCATGTCTGCTTCTCTAGACCTCTCCAACAAGACAAGAGGCTCCCACAGACTCTTCTCAGCTGTCAGGGACCTGGACCTTTGCAGACCCATCCTTGCTGGGTGGACTGGGGTCACGTCACAGCTTTTTGTCAGAACCATCAAGACAAAGTGTCAAGTAACTGAGTCCCAGTGTATGTGTGACCCACAATTTACTTATAGGAGGGGGCTTAAAAGTGATACCCTGGTTAGAATGAGGGTCCTGAAGGCCTGTCTTGAAGTGTTGACTTCTCAGCAGGTGAACTATTGTTATTTAGATGGTATTTTCTTTAGAGAGGTAAGGTGGGGGTGGGGGAATAAAGTAGATGGAGATTATTAGGGAGAGGGTTAAAGTCCCCCAAGCCACTCCCTGGGATCTGTCCTTGGAATGGGGCAGGGGTATTGAGCCAGGGCCAAAAACTAAGAGGTAAGTCTAAAGAGAACAAGCGGTAAGATTCCAAATCAGGGAGACCCTCGGAGACAGAGGCACACAGGGGAGAGGCCGGGAGGGCTGAGGCTTCATTTACCGTTCAGGCCAGAGAAGCAGGCCTTTTGCAGACCGGGCCTGAATCTTACAGCGGCCTGGCTCCGGCACTGACCGAAACCCAGCCTAGCCACTAGCATGCCCAGGAGGCCGTTAGCACTTTCTGTGCCTGTTCTCAGTCTCCACAACACTACACCTGGGGGTGCGGGAAGCCCAGAATCCGGCACGAGGAGTTGAGAAATATAATTGATCAAGTGAGGCCAGGGATAGTCCCCCTCGCAGAAGATGATTCTCATGATCTGTCTGAGGATTCGGTCAGAGCGTATGGAGAACCCCAGGTGTTGCCTTTTTTCGTTTTTTGTTTTGTTTTTTTTTTTGAGATAGAGTCTCACTCTGTCTCCCAAGCTGGAGTACAGTGGTATGATCTCTGCTCACTACAACCTCCACCTTCCTGGTTCAAGAGATTCTCCTGCCTCAGCCTCCCAAATAACTGGGATTACAGGCACATGCCTAGCTAATTTTTGTGTTTTCATTAGAGACGAAGTTTCACCATGTTGGCCAGGCTGGTGTCAAACTCCTGACCTCAGGTAATCCACCCGCCTCAGCCTCCCAAAGTGCTGGGATTATAGGCATGAGCTACTGCGTCCAACCAATTGCCTTAATTTGGGGGGTCTTTTTGAAGCAAGAGGTATTAAAGGGGGATAGTAAACCTGGAGAAAAGAAGCTCCCACCTAACACTTAACTGGTGTGTTAAGGATCACACAGTTGGACCCTGCCATGGGAGATGAGGACATTAGCAGAATTCCCCAGAACCCGGAGAGACACCTTGCTGTGAGGAAACAAATGCTACTGAAATAGGCAAATAAATAGACGGATGATAGATTAGCTATAGAGAGGTGATAGCGTAGTGAGATGGGATTCGGCGCAATAGAAAGTGTGGCAGGAAGTCTCATTTGACAGAGAAAGAGAGAGAGCCCTAGATATAGACAGATAGATCTCAATTTTTGAGCCTTGGTACTTGTTGGCACCTTGCACCAAATATTTTCATTTCTCCTCCTAGGCACATGGCAGAATTGCATTTCCTAGCTCCCTGAGATTAGGTGACTGTGTGGCTTGGTCTCGACAATGGGAATGTGAACAGAGATGGTGTCACTTCTGTGAGAGAATATCAGGAGCGAGAGTGATTTGCTGCAGTATTTTGACTTCTGTGCTGTCAATCAATAACATCTCAGATGGAAGTTTCTCCGACACTGGGGTGCTAGAAGGAAAACGACGTGGAGCAGAGAACCAGCCAGTTTGTGATAAACATTTACAATAAGCAGTCTAATAAACAAACAACATTTTTAAGTGCTTTTTTCTTTTTCTTTTCTTTTCTTTTTTTTTTTGGGAGGCAGAGTTTCACCCTTGTCGCCCAGGCTGGAGGGCAGAGGCATGATCTCGGCTCACTGCAACCTCCACCTCCCGGATTCAGGCGATTCTCCTGCCTCGGTCTCCTGAGTAGCTGGGATTATAGGCACCTGTCTCCATGCCTGGCTAATTTTTTGTATTTTTACCAGAGACAGGGTTTTGTCGTGATGGCCAGGCTGGTCTCAAACTCCTAACCTCAGGTGATCCACCAGCCTTGGCCTCCCAGCATGTTGGGATTACAGGCGTGAGCCACTGTGCCCAGCAGCTTTTTTCGTTTAGATGCCAGGATTCAGGTAGTTATTTGTTACCACGGTATAACCTAGCCCATCCTAACAAATATGGGAGTGGATCATTTGTCCTCTTGCCTGGCCCCTGTCACTTCTTCTCTGGGACTAAGAAGGATTAGGAAAGAGACATAAAAGTTCATATGTACCCCGTAGGGACTGCTCAGAGATGGGAGCAGAAAGAGGAGATCTTAGAACCAGACGTGATGACTGTCAGAGTGAAGTCCCATGCCCTCACCCCAACCCTTTCCTTCCATTTATATCTTCATTTTTTTCACACAACAAACACTAAATAAAAGCCACACACTCTAGACCTGAGTGTTGTATTCGTTGTTAAAAACAAGGATGAATCAGACACGGCCTCCATCCTGGGGAGCCCATGGTCTGGTGGGTGACAGTAGTGTTAACAAATGATTTCAAGGTTGGTTCAATTGGGGAAGGAGGTACAAAGTGCCCACAGGGCCCTTGTACAGGAAAGATGAGGGGGCATCTGGGCTTGGGAGACCAGCAGGCAGCGCCAAGGTGAAGCCAGAGTATAAATCTGTTGGCACATGCAGTGCCCAGCCCCACCTCTGACTTCTTGTGATCCCGGGGTCTCGTCTCATACAGAGCCACCCCCCGGACCCTGGAGGTGAATCGCTGGCTGCCACTGGCGCTGCGCGGGAGCACAGCCTGTCAGCAGGAACTTGGCAAGTAGAATTGTTTTCAAGCTGGGGAACTAACAGGTTGTTCCCGAGACAAGTTATATTGACCAAATCAAACAGAGGCAATTCTAACACAACCCCCACTGAGGTGTTGATTGGCTGGGCCTCGGCTTTCAGAGTTTTCAGAAGGTCTAAAACACCAAGGAGCAAGGCTACTGCCCCAAGGAACAATGTCAGGGATTACAAACCACTGCCGGACTCTGCCATGAGAAGTGAGGAAGTTAAGCAGAATTCCCCAGAACCCAGGGAGACAGCTTGCTGTGAGGAATCAAATGCTATGGAAATAGGCAAATAAATAGATGACGGTAGATAGATTAGATATAGATAGATAATAGATGATGATGATGCTAGATGATGATAGATAGATGAGAGAAAGACAGAGAAAAAGAGAGAGAGAGTCAATTTGGGGGTACCTAGCCTAAGATTTCTGAGGTCTCTGAGAATGACCCAGTTTCTGAGACAAAAATCTCAGCACAGACTATCATCATTTTATTTTTCTGATTTGTTTCATCTTCAGGTCTTAAAAAGGTATAATAACAAAGTCTTATTTGTTTTGTCATATAATAATCGTTCCTAATGAAAATATCAATGACATCAAATCAGAAAATCTCAGGGGTACAGGTGGCCAGAGATCCATGCTGGGCTTTACACAGAGATACTTCTGACCTTTGCCTTGGTGCACTGCAGTGGTGCCTCTATTCAAAGTAACCAGAAAAACGATATATGCAAATATATCTTGAGCACGATAACAGGAAACAATTAATTTTCCCGCATCTCGTAGTCCCATCTCACCCCTACAGCATAAGACCATTTGTTGACACCGAATACATTTTATTAATGCTTCAAAATAATTACCGCAACTTCACCAGGATGCCTTTGCTAGGAAGAATGACTTGGACCCCTGTAGAATATGACTTAGATGAAGCACCAGAGGGCTCTATTATATGGTGTCGCATGCCAGGGACTCCAGGGACCGCATTAGAGTAAGGAGCTCCCAATCCCCGGAAGCCAATGTGAAACAAATTGGGGGTGTCATCTGGTTAGCATTTTGCCTAGCAAAACTTCCCTTCCTGTGTGACAGGCACCCCTTGATTCAGGGACAGACACAGGGTCAAAAAACTAACTAATCTTCTAAATGAATAATACACTGGCCATCTCCTTGGATAAACAGAAAACTACCTAAACCTAAGGCGCTCTTTGTTTCTTTCTACCTTTCCTCCATATTCCTTTTTGAATTAATTTCTCTCCATCGTTTCTCGTTTGTGTCTCACCTCTTTTCTCTCTTTTCCTGAGGTTCATTCCTCCTTAAAAAGACACAGGACTTCAGCTCAAGTGCCTGCCACAATGTTTGTAAAATCCTGTTCCCCAAAGTGACACTAATGGTCTGTGGAACTTCTCTGGCCCTAATTACTTGGCAGTAGACATCTCAGTGGGCTGCTTCTCCCTGCAATCAGTTCCTTAGGTAATTACCACGAGCCAGAGCTGAAGCCGTGTGCTGAGGAAAGGGTGGCGTTGGGTTAGGCTGAAATGCCTACTCCTGACTTTAACGTGTGCACAGAAAGACAAGCCAATGCTAGCAAGTAAAATATGGAGCAGGAAGGACAGACTGACCCACCACATTACAAAAATCCAAATCACTGCTAATAGAAAAGAAGTCTCTTCTGCAAAGTTAATAATATTATTTCTTTAGACAAATCGCCAAGTCTTGGGTGGTTTCAAATCAACTTGCTTAGTGTGAGGTCTTCACATCTTGACTCTAGAATTCTGTCATGAAATGGGAAAACATCAAAGGACACCAAGGGCCAATGGGTAAGGTTTGCCTGTCTGGTTCATGCTGCCAAAGAGCTAAACTTTCAACATAAAATACATTCAAAATTAAAACAAGCCACAATGCCCCGTTTGTAGAGGCCTCCGTCAGTCTGAATATGTGGTGAGGAAGGCTCTGGAAGGGAAGAAAAACAGTTCTCATTGTGGTTCTGTCTCCTACATTGGACTACTTTGAACTACAATCTTGCAACACCCAATTACTGGCACTGGACTATCATCCTATGTTTTCTGAGCTATGGTTGTTATTGAAATGATCTCTGACCTGTTTTTCATAGTTTCCAGGAGTTGAAAGAGCAATTTCATTTTCTTTTTTCTTTTTTTTTTTTTGAGACTGAGTTTCACTCTTGTTGCCCAGGCTGGAGTGCAATGGCATGATCTCAGCTCACTGCAACTTCCACTTCCCAAGTTCAAACGATCCTCCTGCCTCAGCCTCCCGAGTAGCTGGGATTACAGGCATGCACCACCACGTCTGGCTGATTTTCTATTTTTTAGTAGAGATGGGGTTTCTCCATGTTGGTCAGGCTGGTCTCGAACTCCTGACCTCAGGTGATCCGCCCGCCTCGGCCTCCCAAAGTGCTGGGATTACAGGCGTGAGCCACCACGCCCAGCCAAGCAATTCCATTTTCAAAAGCTTTTAATTTACCCTCCTTTACAAGTTCACACTTAGTGCATCAATCAAGGACATTTTTGCTCTGTTCCTAGCACCTAGGACAGACAGTGCCCAGCACAGAGGAGGACCCCCATACCTACGGATTCAATGTTGGTCGAATGGAATAGAATGGAGCATGTTATGAGGTGATTTGTTTTCAGGCCATGATTTTCTGACTAAATGTTCCAATACTCATTCCAGCAACAAATTCATTAATTCAACAAATATTCATGGAGAGCCAATTTCATGCCAGCCTGGGCCTCTGGGGCCACAATGGTGAGCCAGGCAGGCAACCAGCCTTGTTAAAGACACTGAGAGAGAACCATGGTCTCCACCCTTGAGCTGCTTATAATAGGGTGAGGGAACAGAACAGATCGGAAGCAATTAGAAAACAATTAAGTGTTAAATTATACGCCTCTGACTAGCCCAGGGGAGTCTGGGAGGGAGAAAAAGCTCATGTAGTCATTGCTGTTTTCATGGAAGAGGTGATCTTTGGCTGAGCCTTGAAGGATTCCCTGGATTTGGGATGCAGAGCAGAGTGGGTAGAGTAGAATGTTCCTACAGGGAAGCAGCTACCCGGAACCACTCAAGGAAAACTGAAGTCTTAAAGGCCCAGTTACACCCTGGACCTGAATTGCCCCCAAAGAAAGAACTTGAAATCCTCTGGTGACTTAAAGGAGTTTGAATTGGACTTGGAGATATTTAGTTTCTTCACAAGTCTAACTTTCCTTCCTCTAACATGCTAGAACATGAACTTGCAATGATTTCCTTCAGGCCATTGTCTTGGGAGAGAGGTTGTCAGTCCAGAGGGACTGCATCGGAATCTCCTGGGGACCTTTTCTCCTTGGCTCCAACCACCAGAGTCTCTGATTCAGTAGATATGATAGGATATCCAGGGATCTGTATATTTTTAAAGCTCCCCAAGTGATTTTATTAATCATCTTGGTTTGGGAGCTACTCTCTTAGATTTATTTCAAAGACATTCCCTCTCCGAAATCAGAATAAAAGGTATAGGCATATAGTAACTAAAAAAGTAGGTACGACTTATGTCCATAAATCCCTCTAACAGACAATCTGGAGAATTTATAGGGGAAATAAATCAACCTGACACACTCTACTTCCTTGACCTTCTAAATGAGTCAAAATGATCAAAATTTGGCCAAAATGAATTAAAATTTACCATTATGGAATGGGCACAGCCTGATGAAAGAAAATGAAGGGAGAGATTTTCTCTTTATTTAAAATATTAAAAAGCTGAAGCTGTTAGTGAGTTGGAGTTAACTAATGTACTCCCTTTCCTTATTAAGCTCAATTTGTGTCTCTAATTCAAGGCAAAAAAATGTCCATTTGTATATAAGATGTTCCAAGCATAGAAACCAGGAACAGGCTGAGTCTGATGTCTCACACCTGGAATCCCAGCACTTTGGGAGGCCAAAGCAGGAGGATCGCCTGAGATCAGGAGTTCAAGATCAGCCTAGGCAACATAGTGAGACCCCATCTCTACAAAAATATTTTTAAAATTAGCCAGGTATGGTAGTGGGTGGTCCCAACTACTCTGGAGGCTGAAGCAGGAGGATTGCTTCAGCCCAGGAAGTCAAGGCTGCAGTGAGTCATGATCTCACCACTGCACTCCAGCCTGGTGGACAGAGCAAGACTCCATCTCAAAAACAAAAATAAATAAACAAACAAAACCAATCAAGAAAAGCATATTTATTTCTTTAGTTACGTGAACTGCTTAGAGAATAATGCTCCGTCCGTCAGGATTAAGAGGGTTGAGAGGACGATTATGGATCTGTGTGTGCCATGTTCTATCTCTCAGTCCTCTCCAGACTTTAATAGGCAGTGCTTCTTAATGTTTCAAGATGTCTTCCTGCTCTTAGACTCACCTCACAAATCCCTCGTTCCATTTTCTTTTACATATCTAATTTATACTCTGTGCTGAGGACTGGTTTGCATTTTCTCTCTTTGGCTACGTATTCAATTCCCATTACTGTCAATGGAGTTATGCGCTCAAACTGAAGGCTTAAAATCTACCTGCAAATTCTTCCTTGGCCAACACACACACACACACACACACACACACACACACACACACAGGCTTCTTCCCTTCTCACTGTGATCTTAACTCTTGTTTAATCCAGGACACCAGGGTTCAATTTCTTTGTGAGAGTTCTAAAATCCGACTGAGCTTCCCCTGAGGTGATCACAGTATGTGGAAATTAACTAGTTTCTCCTATTCTGAACCAGTACTGGTTTCAGAGGTCTGAACGGCTCAGAGGACGCACTTATTCTCTGTAGGCATAACTGAAAACTTCGTTTATTACCTGTTCATTATTAGTTCTGAATCACTGGGAGCAAACCTTCATGTATTTATTCATCATCCTCTGCTAGGGGCAGATTATCATTCGATGGCACCTAATTTTCTCCTAAACTTTTTGTCTAAATCGTTTTAACAAATAACCAGCCCAATAATTATGCTGGTGTTCTAGTAACACTAAACAGAAGATGCATTACAAGCACATTCACCAAAAAGCTCGGTCATAAATACTCCACATCATTATTGCTATGATGTCACTGCACTTTCAGCATCCAATTTGATGAGAGCTGTAGGATTCAAGATTTACTTCCGTGAAAACTGATAAGTGTAAAACGTAAGGCCAAAGCACCAGGGCCAATTATATCTACAGTCTTGTTACATTTGTCATAATCCTACAGCAAAAGAAACACCAAACTAATCATTAACTTGACAAGCTATTCACTCCAGACCTGCCTTCCTATTACATGTGCCTTAGAAGATTTGGAGCATTCTTTTCTGTTAGAATTCTTTGTGGTATCAAATAAATACTCCTTTTTTCTTCAAAGCTGACTATTTTGGATTATTCTGATGAGTTGGGAGAGACATCAAAGGTCCTTTCTGTAGGTGAGTCAGTTGGTTCATTCACTTACTGAGTACGTATTATGCAGGCATGTCATGCCAGGCACCATGGATGTGACTGGGAGTACAACAGTGGCAAAACCAGACACAGCCCCTGGTCACATGAAGGCCCAGTCTAGTCAGGGAGACGCAAGAAGTCTGAGTAATGACACCAACAAATAAATAATCCCAAGCGGGGCTGAGATTTAGCATGGAAGAAGTGGCTCTTCAAGAGCAGGTGGCCAGACACCCAGCCTAGGCTGAGGGTCAGGGCAGCTGTGACCAAAAGAGGGAGATGCCTGAGACAGGAAGGAGGAGTGAGGCAGGGATGGCACAGGGAGCGGCAGGTGCCAGAAGCTGGTGGGTGGGGACATAGTACTTGGACATGCTATGCAAAGGGGACAAGGGCACCTGAGCACGAGGAGCCAGGATAGGTACAGACAGGGGCCCGATGTGGTGGAGCCTTGGGAGCACCCTTAGGAATGCAGTCTTTATCTTAAAGGAGACTGGGACCCATAGGTTTTAACAAGGTGAGACGCAATCAGATTTACATATAGAAAAGTGTTTGGGTGAGTAGATTGAATAGAGGAGGACCAAATATGAAGCTGGCTTAGGCATGCAAGGCTGGGGTCTGAGGCCAGGAAACAGAGTGTAGGAACAGCTGGAAATAAGGGGTGGAAGTGAGAATTACAGAGGAGGTGAAAGAAACAGGCACTTGAGAGAGGAGAGATTTCTGAGGAGAGGATTTCTGAGGGGGCGGGTGCGTCAATGAGGACTCCAACACGTCCGACTTGCATAACTTAGTGAGTGCCGTGCCATTCACCAGGAGTGGGCCAGGCTGGAGGGGTGGATGTGGTGAAATATCTGAGTGGTGAGGCTGAGCAGACCTTTGGAGATATGCAGAGGAGAGATGTGGGCTGGAGACATGAACTTGGAATTCATCACCATCTAGATGGTCGTCAATGTCCTGGGCATGAATGATGAGCCAAGGGAGAGAACAGAATGAATCTCGGGTTCCTGGAAAATGACTCTGGAATGTGGGGCTGATATGAGTCATGGAACTTCACATCAAGCTCCTGCATTTCAGGTCCAAACCCATTCACTGCTGTGCAACCCGTCTATGACCGTAACAGCTAAAAATAAAAAGGCTTTGCTCTACACATGAGAAACCTTAGGAAAAAGGCTTCAGTAGGACAGACCATCAAATAACACAGGATTCTGGTGTTTATAAAGTCATTTATCACAGGCCGGGTGCGTGCCTCACACCTGTAGTCCCAGCACTTTGGGAGGCTGAGGCGGGTGGATCACAAAGTCAGGAGTTTAAGACCAGCCTGGCCAAGATGGTGAAACCCCGCCTCTAGTAAAAATACAAAAATTAGCTGGGGGTGGTGGCAGGTGCCTGTAATCCCAGCTACTTGGGAGGCTGAGGCAGAGAATTGCTTGAACCCAAGAGGCAGAGAATTGCTTGAACCCAAGAGGCAGAGGTTGCAGTGAGCCAAGATCACACCACTGCACTCCAGCCTGGGCGACAGAGCGATACTCTGTCTCAAAAAAAAAAAAAAAAGTCGTTTATCACAAAGTTTGAGTCAAGTCTGCCTGCATGTGCCTAACTACGCACACTCCTCCGTGGACCAATTGGCATGGTCAGGCTGAGACAGCCCCTGGGGGACAGGCTTAGTTCCTAATGAGATTGAGACGGAATGGGTCCCAGAAGTTTTCTTTTCATGGTTCACTTGTACAGAATCAAAGATGCTCACTCAGGTCTCTCTGCTCATATATCTTGCTCACTAATTTGATTAACCCCTATCAGCCAAGCCCAGGATATATGGGATCCTGGGACAAAGATCTTTGTTTTTTTTGTTGTTGCCCACTGAGAACATGTTGATCAAGGTGTAGTGTAATTATCAGTCCATGAACTCATCAGCCCACTTTTTGTTGTAGTAAACAAATGCAAATTCGGATTCTTGAGCGCATTTCTTTCTTCCTCTCTGTTTTCAGATACGGGCCCTAATAATCAAATCACTAATCTGCGTATTTTTATGTTGCCTTAACTGGTAGGCAAGCATTCAGAATTTCCTAGTGCACCAGTCACTTGTAAATGTCGGTGGTCTATAGCGTGTTGCACCAGACTGGGGGATGACAAGATGTGAAGAAAAGGCCATTTCTGCCGTATGTCAGAGGCATTCTGGCATATAACCCCATGCACAGAAAGTGGTAGGACCTAAGATATTCACCATCATGTCACAGGTTTTGATTTCCAAAAGCTGGTTCCCCAGAGACTGGTGTCATACTTCTAAGGAAGCCATCTGCAATTTGGTCTGCTACAATCACACAGACTAAAATCCATAGTCCTTCAGACTTTCCTTCAATTTCTTCAATGCCCCATGCCCTCTATTTTGCCTCCTGATTTTTGAGCCTGTTTCTGTCCAGGTTCTTCTTTTCCCCTGTCCTCCCTCTTGGTGTGTCTAAATCTTACTCACCCTCAGGACTCAGGACTCAGCTTAGCTGTCACTTCCTCCAGGAAACCTCTTCTGACCTCTCTTCCTCTTTCAAGCTCCCCCGACGGTTGTTTTCCCAGCACCTCCACTCCCCCACCCTGACGCTAGACCCCAATGGAAACGTCTAAGTACTGAAACTCCCTCTAGACCAACACTCCAGATCAGCTCAGCCAGGACTGCGCAAACATCATCCTCACTGCCATATGCCTCTCGCCTAGTGCCATGTGTTAAATAAGTAAGAATCAAATAGCCAAGGGACTCCTCCATCTCCGACTCTGTGGGAGAGGCAAATCCAGCTGGAAAAATGAAAACAAAACTGGAAGGCCCACAGCCATGCTAGAGGAAGACATAGGACTCTGTGTCTTGCCTAAGGATCCGCTGTGGCTAAGCGAGGAATCGGGACTATAATCAGCTTGTTTCCTATTCTGTGCAGTACACTTCAGCTCTTTTGAGCCTCAATTTCCCCATCTATAAAGTCAGGGTGAGAACATTACCTAATTCCTAGAACTGTTGCCAGGAAAAGTGAGATATGTTTTAAAAAAATCCTAATGAGTCCCTAACACACTCTACAAACATAAGGGAGAAACCTTCAGAATGGGACATCAGGCACTGCTGGTAAAAGGTGAAATGGTACAACTGCGGCAGAGGGAAATATGGCAGTATCCAGCAAGATTACATATACATTTGCCCTTTGAAGAAGCAATCCCACTTCTAGAAATTCATTCCAAAGATAAACTGGCAAAAATACGAAACGTGTGTAACAAATGTGTGTAACTATTTTTTAAAACCTTAATTTAAAAAAAAGCAGTTCCTAAAATCAAAACCAATTGAAACAAATAAACTTAGCTCCATATCTTCTAGATGTTATAACCACACAGAACTATACCAGGTAAATTTAAAACAAAATTATTCCATTATTGCATTGTATGTTTCTTGAGGAATATACTCTAAGGACAGGGACTAGACAAAAAATCTTGAAAATCTAAACTGTTTTCAGTAAAGATATTGTTGGTAATAACATTGGTTTGTATGTGTATTGGGAGATAAAGCAATTTCAGCATGGAAGAAAGAAAAAAACTTACAAAACCAATGAGATTCCGCATATTTCTAAAGTGACTTATCATTGTAAACTCAAGATATAATTTATCCTAAAAAATAAAATGGATTTTAATTCTTACCTCTGACCACTGAAAAGACAAAAATGTATACCTTAGTGGCTTCTAAACAACATTTCCTACTAAAGGGAATGGAGGCTCCTTGGAGAAATGGCTGGTATTAGGTCTGGGGGAGAACATGTGTAAGACAAGCATGAACTTAAGGAAATAAAGAAACTATCAAAGTCACATCAGATGTCAACGGAAAACGCTCCCACCATCAAAGGGTCAGTCTGAGCACCAACAAGAATCCTAAATGCAAGAGATTGAAATGTGTCTAATTTTTTTATAATGATACTAAAAAATAAACAACCTTATTGGTCAACTTTGGAGATGTTGAAGAACCAATTCAATACTTTCAAAAAACTAGAAAATCAAGGGGAAATATCCAGCATTTTTCCTTTCTTTCCTAAATGATCTCTATCTTTGGATAATTGAAGAGTTGATGAGAGTGATTTTTTAACAGAACATATCAGCTAATAAATGGAGAGGGAAGAAAAGAATTAGAATATCACCATTATGCAAGTCCTAAAAAATGAATGGATCTAAACCAGCAATTAGCAATTGGAATTTAAAATTAAAAAAATATAATGTCATTTTCATGAACACCAAAAAATGAAATACTTTGATATAAATCAAACAAAACATGTATAGAATCTATATGTGGAAAACGATACAACTCTGATGAAAACAATCAGAGATCTTAATAAATGGAGTGATATCCCATGTTTACTGATAAGGAAACTCAATATTATTAAGATGCCAATATCCCCCAGCTTCATCTATAGAGTCAATGCAATCCCAATTAAAATTCCAACAAGTTTTTGTGTGGCTATCAAAAAGCTGAATTTTACAGTTTTCATGGAAAGGTGAAAGACCCAAAAAAGCCAACAAAATACTGAAAAAGAGCATAGCCAGAGGACTGACATTACCTGACTTCAATACTTACCATAAAGCTACAGTAATCAGGACAGAGTGATATTGATGAGCGAATAGACAAATAGATCAGTGGAGCAGAACAGAAACAGATCCACACAAATGTAGTCAATTAATTGATCTTTGACAAGGAAACAAAGGCAATTCAGTGGAGAAAGGATAAGCTTTTCAACAAATATTGCGGGAACGACTGGGCATCTACATGCAAAAGAACAATTCTAGATACAGACATTACACCTTCCACAAAAGCTAACTCAAAATGGATTATAGGCCTAACTGTAAAATGCAAAATTATAAAACTCTTAGAAGATAATATAAGAGAAAATATGGGTCACCTTGCATTGGGTGATAATGTTTTAGATGCAAAATCAAATGCATGATCCGTGAGAGGAAAATTTGGGAAGGTGGACTTTATTAAAATTAAAAACTTCTGCTCTGTAAAATGCACTATTAAGAGAATGAACAGACAAAGCCACAGACTGGGAGAAAATATTGTCAAGTGCATATTTAACAAAGGGCTTATATCTAAAATATACAAAGAAGTTTTAGGACTCAACAATGAAAAAAACTCAATTTCATCTGAGCAGAAACTTCACTAAAGAAAACACATAGGGCCGGGCGCGGTGGCTCACGCCTGTAATCCCAGCACTTTGGGAGGCCGAGGCGGGCGGATCACGAGGTCAGGAGATCGAGACCATCCCGGCTAAAACGGTGAAACCCCGTCTCTACTAAAAATACAAAAAATTAGCCGGGCGTAGTGGCGGGCGCCTGTAGTCCCAGCTACTTGGGAGGCTGAGGCAGGAGAATGGTGTGAACCCGGGAGGCGGAGCTTGCAGTGAGCCGAGATCCCGCCACTGCACTCCAGCCTGGGCGACAGAGCGAGACTCCGTCTCAAAAAAAAAAAAAAAAAAAAAAAAAGAAAACACATAGATAGCAAATAAACATATAAAAAAGACATTCCATTGATATCTTATGTCGTGAAGTAAATACAAATTAAAACAACAATGGCACATCATTATACATCTATCAGAATGGCCCAAATCCCAAAAAACTGGTAATACCAAATGTTGTCAAGGATGTGGGATAGAAGGAATTCTTATTCATTGCTGGTAGGAATGCAAAATGGTACAGCCACTTTGAAAAATAGTTTGGTAGTTTCTAAAAAGCTAAACATATTCTAACCAAACAATCCAACAATGATGCTCCTTAATATTTACCTATTTAAGCTGAAAACTTATGTCCACGTAGAAATCTGCATATAAATGTTTATAGAGGTTTTATTCATAGTTGCCGAAAACTGGAACTAATCGAGATGTTCTTCACTCAGTGAACTGATGAACAAACTGTGGCACATCCATACAATGAAATATTTTTCAGTGCTGAAAAGAACTGTGGGCTGTCAAGCTGCAAAAGGACACGGAGGAATCGTAAATGCACATTGCTAAGTGAAAGAAATAAATCTGAAAAGACTGCTTACAGTATGATTCCAACCATATGATGTTCTGCAAAAGGCTAAACTATAGGTATAGTGAAAAGCCCCATGGTTGCCAGGGGTTTAGGTGCAAGGATGGATGAACGGGTGGAGCACAGGAGATTCTTAGGGCAGTGAAACTATTCCCGTGTGATACTTTCATGGTAGAAACATGTCACTACGCATTTGTGAACTGCAGAACCGTATAAAACAGTAAGCCCTAATGTAAACAATGGACTTTAGTTAATAGGAATGGATCAATATTGGTTCATCAACTGCAACAAATATATCACACTAATCCAAATGTTAATTATAGATGAAACTGTGTATGAAAGGGAGTATATTGGAACTCTGTACTATCTGCTCACTTTTTTATAAATTCAAAACTGATTTAAAAATAAAGTCTATTAATTTTTTTAAGTAATGAATCTAGGCCATAATTATCAATGGCTGCTAGCATCAGAAAAAGAGAAGCAACCACACGTGTGCTTTCTGATGGGAGAACACAGTCACCTGTAAAGTAATCTTACCAAAAAACAAGACAACAATAAGACCCGAATGCCATCAAACATTTAGCTCTAACTTCCATTTGGCAGAAAATACTGTTGTATTGTAGAAAATACAGAGGACAAACAACACATCCAATAACAGCACAGAGATGCAATCAGCAAAACCCAGACTCCAGGAAATCCTACAGAACAAACCACACAATTTCTTCAACAAATAATGTGTACAAAAGAGGTGTGGGTGGGAAAGGAAACTCACAGATTAAAAGAGACTTAGGAAGCTGGGCATGGTGATGCATGCCTGTAATCCCAGCGGTTTGGGAGACCGAGGAGGTCCAATCACTTGAGCCTACGAGTTCAAGACCAGCCTGAGCAACACGGTGAAATCCCATCTCTACAAAAGAATATAAAAATTAGCCAAGCATGGTGGTGCACACCTGTAATCCAGGCTACACGGGAGGTTGAGGTGGGAGGATCATCTGAGCCCAAGGAGGTCAGACTGTAGTGAGCCATGATCTGGCCCCCTGTATTCCAGCCTTGGGGACAGAGTGAGACCTTGTCTCAACAACGGCAACAACAACAAAGACTTAAGAGATCTATCAAGCAATTGCAATATATTTGCAACATATTGATCTTATTTAGATCTTGATTCAAACAAATAAATTGAATGGGGGAAAAAATCTAAAATATATAATAATAAACATTTATAAGACAATTGGAAAAACTGAATATTGATTGGATATTTGATGATATTATGGAATTGTTAATATTTTTAGATGTGATCATGATATTGTAGTTTTTTGTTTAAAATTTGAATCCTCTTTTAGAGATAAGTACTGAAATATGAATATGGATGAAATAATTTGTTGATGAGGGTTTGCCTCAAAGAATCCAAGGAGAGGAAAAAAGGATAGGAGAATAGATGAAACAAGATTGGCCATGAGCTGACTTTTGTTGAAACAGGGTGTTGGGGATGGGGGTCCTTCTACGTACTTCGGGGCTGGGGGTCCTTCTACGTACTTCGGGGCTGGGCAGACTGTGACCTGCGGGCCAACTCTAGCCCACCAGCTGTTTTTGCAAGGGTTGGGAACTAAGAAAGATGTTTATATGTTTAAATGGTACAAAAGTCAGGAAAAAAGAAGACTATTAATAACATGTAAAAATTTTGTGAAATTCATATGTCAGCATCCACAAATAAAGTTTTATTAGAAGACATCACCATTCATTTATACACTATCAATAGCTGCTTTTGTGTGACAATAGAGCTGTATAGTTGAGGCGGAGAACATATGGCCTGGGAAACCAAAATTATTTACTATCTGGCCCTGTAAAGAAAAAGTTTTCCACTTCCTATACTGTTCTTTCTAATATAGCATATGTTTGATTTTCCATAATAGAAAGTTAAAGAAAAATCTCCCTATGTTGTTATCTCTCAAATGTGCCCAAATATTAACTAACATTTGAGGGGGCAATGCAGCCACTTTTGCCATGAGGTCTCTAGACACACCCATGCCTCATCCATCCTCCGGAATTCCTCGGCTCTCCAACTCAGAAGGTGTCTGTTACATCGTGAAATAATATTTTTCACTAAATTAATCTTGACCTTAAGTCCAAGGTTGAAATTGCAACATTAGCACATATATGGCTTGGCAGCCCTGGCCGAATTCTCATATTAAATTCTCCATCCTGAGCCATTCTTTGATTATCTGCACCCAAGCTGATGATATTCAAGCAAATGAAACTGTATATTAAAGCTACAAACATTTTACGTGGCCCTTGGCGGCTGTATGCTTGAAGATTGGTGGGACTTTCTTGAAAGCCTGCCAATTTAGACACATGACTTGTAATTGTGAATTCTTCAATTGCAGGTGCTCACACAGCTCTGGGCCCTGCGCTGTGGATTTCTGCTGAGGTCAGGCAAGCCACGCAGATAACCCACTAGGAGCCTCAGTGGCACGGCAGCCGGCTCTACAAATCCTCATCTTGTTGGTTCTAGTGATGAATCCAGTCCTTCGGGATGGGTCTCTGGAAAGTTAATTGGGTAGGGAAGAAAAATGGCGTGCTTTCAAAAAAGCGCCGCAGGATAGTGCCCTCTGCATCTGCCCGTGTTACCCGGCTGCGGCGTCCTGTCAGAAACAGCGTGTCTTGCGTGACAACCAAAGTGTTGGACTGCTGCGAGTGCTGCTAAGGACAGAGTGTGGCTGCTGCCAGCTGGTGTCTCGGGGCAGGCCCCAGACATGCCATGGTACCACCTCTGTCACCCCCTGGCAGGGCCTGTTACCTGGCACCACGCCTGAAGTGTGCCCAGGGAATTACTCCATCATTTTCCTCAGTAGGTTGCTCTCCGCTGATGCTGGCTTCATTCCCGGGCTCAGGGAGGGTGGTGCCGGTGTGTGTGTTTCCCCTCAGATCCCAAAGCACAAGGTGTGAAGGTTCCTGGCAGCAACTTGCTGACTTGGCTTGTTGTGGAATGAGGATGGAAAACTCCAGCAGCAATGAGGAGGCCCACTCACCAACAAGCCAGGCTCCTGCCCGTCACCAACAAGCCAGGCTCCTGCCCGCAGGGTCAGGAAGCTGTGTCCTGTGTCTGGGGCCAGCCTCCTTCAGCTGGGAGTTGGGGGAGGTGAAGGGAATGAAACTCCCATCTGGGCTTTGTTCAGCCTCAGTCAAATGACTAGAAAGAGACGCAGGGCGAGGCTAGAAAGATGCTGTCTGTAAAACTTCCAGAGCCTTTGGGAGAAGGTGAAGATGGGTGCTTTTAAATAGAAAGGCCAGGAAGCAGGGAGACTGAAATGAGAATAAAAGTCAACATTTTCACTGTGCCCCAGGCCCTGTGTGATCCACCTCTGTCTTTTTCTCCACCTAATTTTATGCCACTTTCCCTCACCTCCTCCTTCTGTCCTACTGGTCTTTAATCAGCTGCTCAAATGTGTACAGCCTTAGAGCCTCAGGGCCTTTGCACATGCTGTCCCGCTGCCCAGAATGCCTCATGCTCCCTTCTCCACCTGCCACTCGCTCTCCCACTCCTGGTCTCTACCCTGCCTCTGCCTGTAGCCTGCACTTTCTCTTCCCTTAGTCCCCTGCTCCCCATTAAAGTCAATCTCCCTTGGTTGTGCTATCTCAAGCCTTAGTCTGACTCCTTCATAGCCCCTGATCCAACTTACAGTTGTTTCACTTACTGTTTCATTCATTCATTTTTGTCTCTATCTCCACAACTAGATTATAATTTCTTTCAGGACAGGTACCATGTAAAATTTATTTTCCACAGTATATCCAGCATCTAGCACAGTGCCTGGCACACAGTAGGTGTTCGCTACATGCTTATTGAATGAATGAGGCTGGGTGCAGTGGCTTACGCCTGTAATCCCAGCACTTTGGGAGGCTGAAACGGGTGGATCACCTGAAGTCAGAAGTTTGAGACCAGACTGGCCAACATGGGGAAATGTCTTCTCTACTAAAAATACAAAAATTAGCCGGGCTTGGTGGCATGTGCCTGTAATCCCAGCTACTAGGGAGGCTGAGGCAAGAGAATCGCTTGAACCCAGGAGGCAAAGGTTGCAGTGAGCTGACATCATGCCACTGCGCTCCAGCCTGGGCGACAGAGCAAGACTCTGTCTCAAAAAAAAGAATGAATGAATAACTGATTCAGGACTCACTATGTTAAAGTTTATTTTCTTATTCTCAGCTCCCTCTATAGATTGGCTAAGTGATGTTCTCAGGGCTTGGCTGGTCAGTAAACACATTTTTCAAGGCCCTTCATTTCTCCTCCCCCCTTTTGTTCCCAGTCTTCTGGTCATTTTGATATTCATTAACAACCCTTAACATACAGTAGGCAGAAGGAGTAATTTGCTTCTCATTAACTGGCTAAACTATCATTTGGGAATTACTTATTATTTCAATTATCCATGAGATTTCTGTCCACTTGGAGCAGGCAGTTGCATCAGTCAGAATAGGCCAATTGCTGGAATCTATAACCCCCACACCTCAGAAGCTTAAATTAAGCCACTGAAAGTTTATTTCTCACTCATGCAAAGTTCAATATGAATATTTTAGGTCATGCAGTTTTCCTTGGAGGGATGACTCAAGGGCCCTCCCATCATGTGACATTTCCATGTTCGACACCCAAGATGTCAAAGCATCAAAAAATGAAAAACATGATTAATACCTTTTCTCCAGCTAATCAAGCTAGTTAATGCAGTTCAGTAGATGACAGTCCCATCTAGTGGCAAAAGGCACGTTTGGAGATGATAACTTGCCTTTGGTCACTTGTGTCAATCCCCTCTCCCACCCCCAGGCTCCATCACCCCAACACACAGTCCATCAGCAAGTCCAACTGGCTTCATCTCCAAACCATCCCACACCTACTTCATGGACTCTGCTACCCCCAGACCAAGCTCCTGCCATGTGTTGCCTGAACTATTGCAAAATCCTTCTAGCTGAATGTCCTCCTCCCACCCATCCTTCCATGATCTGTTCTCCACAGAGCAGCCAAAGAGAGTGTTCGGCTATTATTTTATTTTGTTTGTGTGCCGTTTAAAGGGTTCTGTTTCCATTTTTTCCTTTGCTGTATAAAAAGTTACTTTGAAGCCAGTCATGGTGGATCACGCCTGTAATCTCAGCACTTTGGGAAGCTGCGGAAGGAGGATCGCTTGAGGTCAGGAGTTCAAAACCAGCCTGGCCTACATGGTGAAATCCCATCTCTACTAAAAATACAAAAAACAAAAATTAGCCAGGTGTGGTGGTGCGTGCCTGTAATCCCAGCTACTTGGGAGGCTGAGGCAGGCGTATTCCTTGAACCTGGGAGGTGGAGATTGCAGTGAGTTGAGATCGCACCACTGCACTCCAGTCTGGGCAATAGAGCAAGACTCAATCTCAAAAAAAAAAAAAAAAAAAAAAAAAAGAGTTATTTTGAAACTTTTGTTCTAAGAATTTTCAAGCATACACAAAATATACCCAGATACCCAACTGTAATACTTATCAACTCATGGCCAGTCTCGTTTCAGCTACACCCCTCCTCACTGTTCCATTTTCTGTGTACTGTTTTGCAGCAACTCCTTGACAGCAAAGGAGCTCTATAAACCACAAATCAGAGCAAGTTACTTCCTAGCTTAAAAACTTTTAAAAGCTCTGCAGGGCATTTACAATGAAACCTTTCGGCTCATTCTGGCACCCAGAGCCCCGCCTTACTTGGCCTGCTAATCTCTTTAATGGTATTTCCTCACTCTGCCCCAGCCACAGCCACCCTCTATTCCTTGGGCTCACTCAGTTGTATCCCTACCCCAGTGCCTTTGCACTTGCTGCACTGCTGCCTAAACTACTTTACTACTCTACATTTATGTGGCTGGCCCTGCCTGGGCATTCACGGCTCAACTCTCATCTGCTCTGAAAGGCCTCCCCAGCGAGTCTGTCTCTGGAAACACCCCCAGCCCCACTCCTCTAGCCAGCCACTTTCCACCTTAACACTCTGAAACTAGTTTGCTCCTTTAAAAGATGTGTTTGTTCTAGCTAGGTGCAGTGGTGCACACCTGTGTTCGCAGCTACTTAGGAGGCTGAGGCAGGAGGATCACTTGAGCCCAGGAATTCAAGTCCAGCCTGGACAATATAGTGAGACCTCAGCTCTCAGGAAAAGAAAAAAAAAGTGCTTGTTCTAAAATCAAAGGTCCAGAAAAGCAACTAGACTAGTGCATGGCATATGATAAGCACTTAATATTTATTGAGTAAAAACAAACAAGAATACAATTTTAAAGTGTTAGCTTTAGGGCAGTTTTTGAAAATAAATTTTCCTGGTGCATTTATAACAGCATTTGTTAGAAAAAAATATATTTATACAAATTTATTTTTTGAGAGAAAAAATACCACTTGTAGTGCAAAGGCATGTTCTTCCGTGAAAGATCATACATGACTCAGGCTCTGATTCTGCCAAGAGGAAAAGGAAGTCAGGACAACGTGACTATTTTTAGTCCTTAGAAGTAGCCATGCCTCCAGCTAAGATGTGAATGGAGGAATCTGTGGCTTATAAAGTTGATTTGGATGATGAGACCATACTCTGAAGACAAACTCTTAATACCGTGCCATGACAGAAAAACATTAAGGAGACAAGATTCATGAATTCTGAAATGAGAAGTGGAAGTTTAAAAATATATATATATATATATATATTTTGAGATGGAGTCTCACTCTGCGGCCCAGGCTGAATTGTAGTGGTGCCATCTGGCTCACCACAACCTCCGCCTCCCGGATTCAAGCTATTCTCCTGCCTCAGCCTCCCGAGTAGTTAGAATTACAGGCTCGATCCACCATGCCCAGCTAGTTTTTGTATTTTTGGAAGAGACAGAGTTTCACCATGTTGGCCAGGCTGGTCTCGAACTCCTGGCCTGAGGTGATCCGCCCGCCTCAGTCTCCCAAAGTGCTGGGATTATAGGCATGAACCACCACGCCTAGCAAAAGTTAAAAATTTGAGATCGTTAAAGAAAAGCCTCCATTTAAGGCCTTTGAGTATTTGGGGATCCTATTTGATGGAAGGCAAATTGTAAGTGAAATTACATTGTGCTTCCAATTTGCCACTACCAAATTTTAAAACAATATCCACCTGTGCCCTCATCCTCTCCCACCCACATGGGCTCTCCCTCACCCACTGTGCTTCTTCAACCCTTCCCTGTGTTTAGAACTGGACTCTCTCTTCTTTCTGCCTGTAGGAATATTTTTCTAGACCTGATCTTTAGTATTTCTGAATGTGAGTGCATATGGCTTTACACAAAGAATATGTAGTAGAAAAGCTTCGTGTTGATTACATTTGTATTAATCAGGTGCTTTGAAACCCACTAGAAGGGTATCCTCTTATAGTGCTCCTCACATTGATGCCATGGTGTGAGTCCCTGGATCTGGCTGATTTGAAGCAGGAGGTACCTATGCAGGACTGGGTGCTCCCCAGCCTTTCATGCACCCTCCAGCTTTCCAGACAGCTTGGCGGGATGACAGTGTGCCCTCAACCTTCTCCCACACATCCAACGCTTCCAAGGAGAACAAGGGCATCATTGATTTCAGGCGCTGGTAGGAATGTGCAGGGGCGGGCAGGCTTCCAGCACTCAAGCTTCCCTTGAAGATAGAAAATGCAAGGCTACCAGGAGCACTGAGAGGCCCCAGGCTGGGCCCAGCCAGGAATCCACCGGGAAATGCTCTTGCCTGGCTTCCGGAGCCTCAGGGCTGGAGCGGACACAGGGCTCCTGTCTTGGTGCCTTCAGTGGCTGGGCTGGCCTGGGAGTCTGGGGCAGAAGTTTATTTAAAGAACCTACTCTGAGTTCTGTGGGTGGCGCAGATCCAAAAATTTCATATATATTCAATGTCAGACTAAGCATTTTTCTGTGTGGCAGCAAAAATCTTTTACATAATTAGCTCATTTAAGCCTCACACATGTTTATGAGGTAGGATCACTATCATTTTACACTCAGTTGAGGAAACTGAGTCAAAGAGAAGAATGAAACCGACCTGAAATCACACAGCCAGTAACAAGGGGGGCTGGGAATGAACGCAGAGCCCTCCCACCCCAAGGTCCAAGTTCATGGCCGCTAGCAAGCATACAGCCAGCATAGAAGGAGATGAAGAGCACAGACCTTGTACCTTGCTTCCTGGCTCAGATCCCAGCTCTGCCACTTTTCAGCTGCGTGACTTTAGCAGGCTGCTAAACCTTTCTGTGCATCAGTTTTTTTGAGAGTAAAATGAGATAATAATAGGAGCTAGCACATGAGGCTGTATGTGGATTAAATCAATTAATATAAGTGAGTGCTGAAAACAGCCCCTGGTGTGTGTGTGTGTGTGTGTGTGTGTGTGTGTGTGTGTGTGTGTGTGTGTGCTGTGTGTCTGCTGTCGTACATCCTAAATACGACTTCTCATTCCTGCACAATCTTGTTTTGTTAGCTCCTTCTCCACCTGTCAGTGAAGAACATCTAACACCTGAAACCCTTGCCAATTATTTTGGAAAGAGACTTTCTGGAGGAGGTCAGCCAATGCCACTTTCCAGCTGTTGTATCTTCTTTCCATCCAGCTGGACATTGCTAGATGATATCTGCTGCTTGCAAAGGTGCTGGGAGGCCTTGCTTCCAGGGCTTGGTGGGCACCATGTTACCCAGAGGAGACGGTGCCCAGCCAGCCTCTGCCACATGGGTGACTGGGCACCACCCCTGCTGCTGATGCCACTGGCACTCCCCAGGCAGAGGCAGCTCTGTTCTCTGAAGCCCTCATTGTGCCAGAGCCATATGGGGCCACCGCCGGCCACCTGCCTGCAGGGCCTGACATAGCACTTGAGGGAATTGGCTTTTGGTTTTTCCCACAGAATCCATGAACTCATGGGAGGCTGCGCTGTGAGTCAGAAATGAGAATTAACCCTCCTCTCCATTGCCGGAAGCCCTGTTATTATCCCCCAGCCCCATCTTCCTCATTCCCCGACTTCGCCTCCTCCCCACCTCCTTCAGTCAGAAGTCCTCAACCCGACTCCCTGTGAAGGCCCGTGGGATGGCCTTGGGGGACCTGCACTCTAACACTGGACATGTGCAAATCCTGGGAAGATGCTTACAGTTATCAGCATCCTCTCAAAAGAGGTTCATCACCTGAAAAAGTCAAGGACACTGGCTTCTATAGGATGAGCCAACCAGTTAGGTTGCATCCTCCGGGAAAGGCTCCCAGATAGAGTTATGTGTGCAGAGGGGCTATAGCTGAGTAACTCCTGTGGAGGGGCCAGGGGAGAAGTAAGCCAGCCCCACAGAGAGCTCTGGAGCACAGACCACCCAGGAGAGGAATCCCGTGGTGGGCAGAAATGCCAGGCCTTTGGGCCACTGCCTTGCTCTTATGTGGGCCTGGGCCAGCCCAAGGAGGGCACAGTCCTTTTTGAAAGCTGAAGCTTAGTCTGACGAGCTGTGAGTGGACAGCTGTCAGTAGCCACGCTCCTTGTAGCTGGGCCTGGAATCCTTCCTGGAAGGGGAGTGCGGTGCCTGCTGCATGGCCCTGGGCAGCTGCTGTGCACAGCTGCTGGCGGACCCTCACCAAGGTCCATCAGACCTGCCAAGGCAAACCTGAATCCTATATGTGACTCCATCTAAGCCAAGCTGGGACTCTTCCACTCTTAACTTGGAAAATGTGCATTCCCAGCTGCTAGGTCCTGAACTTGACCTGGGGAAGAGAACGACAAGGCCATGCTTGGGCAGGAGAAGCTAGGTGTAGGCAAGGGAATCTTTACCTTATGAATGGGTTGTATACATGTTGCTTGTTGTTTAGAGAGTGGAATACATTTTGTCCTGGAAATCCTACTATAAATGGGGGGATGCGTACCTGGGCCTTCTTGCAAAAGCCTGTTAAATTCCTAATGATGTTGAAATGGTGGGAAGGGTCATCCAGGGAGGACCTCCACGCCCGCCCATCTCCTCTGGGTTGCCCGGGCAATCCTGCAGGAGCCGAGGCTGGACGCAGCTGACCCCAACAGACAGGAGAAACAAGCCAGCACCACCGGAGAGAACCAGGCTGAAAGGGTGACCCAGGGCTTCCGTGGCCTAGAATGAGAGAGACATCGCATGGCGCAAGGTTCCAAGTAGGGTTCGCGGCGGGGAGGGCCCCTGCCGCAAAGGGACTCAGTGTTGTGCGAGGGAGGTGAAGTCGCTTCTTGATCAGCCGTATTTCTTGCCTACACTTGACACCGTCACCAGCCCAGGCGCCTTTCCGGTCACCCTCACGGAAAGGCTCATCCACGCTGGAAGGAGGGAACCTCCTCGTTAACCTCTAGCATGCCGGTGCCTGCCACCCCAGGGCGCGGGAGCCCGCAGGAGCAGGCGTGTGGACGTCCTGAGAGCTGCCACTAGATGGCGCGTCTGCCCTGCCTACTCAGGAGCCCCGCTCAGGGCACCGGGTGCGGGAGCCCGGCTAATTGCCCTCTAATGAGAAGGCTGCTCCCAAAGTGCCCTCCTCGCAGGGAAAGCCCCAGGCTCCTATCAAAGGGAATGGCTTATTTATCCTCTAACGTGAAGAAACTTCCACACAGCATCAATTAAACACATTAAATGTGACCAGAGTGAGAAAACATCTAAAGGATAGAATATTGAATTGTTGCCACTGACAAATATCAAACCACCCATTCTGGTCTCGGTGGCGTGTACAGTTGACCTTGAACAACACAGGTTTGAACTGTGTGTGTCCAGTTAGAGGTGGACCTTCTTCTGCCTCTGCCACCCCTGAGAAGCGGGACCAACCCCTCCTCTTCCTCCTCCTCCTCAGCCTACTCAGAAGACCACAAGGCTGAAGGCCTTCATGGCGATCCACTTCCACTTAATGAGTAGTCGATATACTTTCTCTTCCTTATGATTTTTTAAATAACAATTTCTTTTCTTTAGCTTACTTTATTGTAAGAATATAGTATATAATACATTAACATACAAAATATGTGTGAATCGACTATTTATGTTATCAATAAGGCTTCCAGTCAACAGTAGGCTATTAGTAGTTCAGTTTGGGGGAGTCAAAAGTTGTATATAGATTTTAAACTGTGTGGGGATTGGCACCCCTAAAGCCTTCATTACTCAAGAGTCAACTGTAGGTGGGCCCTGGGAAGGTTCTCAATTTTTTTTTTTTTTTGAGACAGAGTCTGTTTCTGTCACACAGGCTGGAGTGCGGTGGTATGATTTCAGTTCACTGCAACTTCCGCTTCCAGGATTCAAGCAATTCTCCTGCCTCAGCCTCCGAGAAGCTGTGACTACAGGTGCGTGCCACCATGCCCGGATAATTTTTGTATTTTTAGTGGAGACGGGGTTTCGCCATGTTGGCCAGGCTCGTCTCAAACTCCTGACCTCAAGTGATTCACCAGCCTTGGCCTCCCAAAGTGCTGGAATTAAAGGTGTGAGCCACTGTGCCTGGACGGTTCTCAAATTTTCTGAGATCAGATGGAGTCTGCCCCTCCACCTGGCAGGCTGAAGGCTGGGGCTTGCAGAGATGTGGTGTCTGTTACCCCAGACACTGCAGGTGACCTTGCCTCTTACTAACTTTTCTTATCAGTACCATTTGGACCCTCACACTCATGAGGATGTGGGTGATAATGTGGAGGTTAAATAATATGGTCACTGATGATATTTTCTATACTGTCTGTTTGCAGGGCAGAGTCTTACAGATCTGGACCACAGCAGACCTGAATCAAATAAGAATATGCCCAGATATGGGGTATTCGGGAGCAGATTATGAAACAAGGAAACTGAAGTCCTAAGCAGATCCACAGTTCCAAATTCTGAACCGCTTGAGGCCACATCAGATACAGGATGCTATTATGCTATTAGGGCTGTGGCTTAGTACATTATACAGATGGTGGGGAAAGGCCTGCAGGAGAAAGGCCTACCATTCCTGGATTCCAAAAATAGTGGTCTCCTAAGCAATCGATCTGCTTTTATGTTTAATATTCATCTGTTTCCCTTTCCCAGTTAACTCCTAGAGCCAAACTCACGGCCCACAGGAAGGAACCATATCAACCTGCACGGTGTGCTTTTAATTTCCCTCACCTTGTTCCAGCCTCTATTTTATGTTGCCACTCTTTTCTTTCCTTTCTTTTTTGCTCAGGCTTTTAGTACATATTTAACTTTTATTTTATGTCTCCTCCTCTTCAAACCACCTTAAGTCCTTTTTGGAATAGAGCAGAACACAAATAAAATAGGTGTCAGATACATTCTCTCTGTGACCTTGCATTGGGTCAAAGGACTCATGAATGTGTGTTACCTGTAATCTTTTGTGGAAAAGAGGATTTTAAAATTCTCTGCCAGCCTTCCCAAGTGGTGACATTTTCCTATACTACTTCTTTACTATTTCCTTTAATTTTGATTAACCTTTGACTCAGACACCTCTGACTAGTATCTTCTAGACTTTTCTCTTTTGCATGTAATACACAAAGCCTTCTTTTTTTATTTTCTAATTTCAGAAAGTGTATATTAATTTATTAGAGAACTTAGGTGGCTGATTGAAAAAAAAAGGAGGGAGGTACAGATTTAAACTTTTTTCCATCAAGAGTATTGCAAACCAGCAATACCATTTCATTAGTCTGGCTGGTGCTTTCAAAACCTATCAAGGAACAAGGAGAAAGTCACGGCAGGGTCACTCAAAAATTCATCTATCGCCAGGCGTGGTGGCCCATGCCTGGAATCCCAGCACTTTGCCAGGCCGAGGCAGGCTGATCACTTGAAGTCAGGAGATTGAGACCAGCCTGGCCAACATGGTGAAACCCCGTCTTTACCAAAAAGACAAAAATTAGCCAGGCATGGTGGTGTGAATCTGTAGTTCCAGCTACTCTGGAGGTTGAGGCAGGAGAATTGCTTGAGCCCAGGAGGTGGAGGCTGCAGTGAGCCAAAATCGTGCCACTGCACTCTAGCCTGGAAGACAGAGCAACACCCTGTCTCAGAAAAAAAAGAAAGAAAGAGAGAAAGAGAAAAAGGAAAGAAAGACAGAAAGACAGGAAGGAAGGAAGGAAGGAAGGAAGGAAGGAAGGAAGGAAGGAAGGAAGGAAGGAAGGAAAGGAAATAATCGTCTATCCCCTAAGTAATATATGTGGCTGCTCTTGCTATTACAAGTATTGAGAGACTTCTCGAAGGCCTCAATTCCTGAAACTCAAAGATTGCCCCCAAAATCCAGACATGGTAGGTGCTCAGTGCTATCTATTGAATGAATTAATGAAGCCAAACCAAGAGGCTGGGGAAGAATTAATGAATTCATTGGGTCTGTTCATGGCAGTTCTGAGGCCCCAGATGGGACTGATGTATTTTCAAAGACATCAGTCTTTGAAAATTTGCTAAACTGTTGCTGTGGTATTCTCAAGGAGAGAGGGGCTGAGCAGACATGGCTGGTCTCTGAAGAAGGGCAGTTTTGAAGCAGAAAGCATCAGTGGACCAGGAAAACTTCTTTGCAGAAGCCCCTGGAAATGCCATTATTCTATAAAATGAGCCCTTCCCTTTCCTCTTCCACCCACCTCCCCTCCTTCAAGTAGAAATAACTTGCCTCATTCATTCCAGCAAGGAAACCCAAGACCTCGATCCTACAGCCTCTCCTTCCCTATGCTGCCTTCTGAATGTGTGTCCTGAGAGTTTGGTGTTTTTCCCCCTGAAAGATTTTATGTCATTGGCCAGGCCTAAAAAGCTTGAAAGAACAAAGAATATAATTCGTCTGTGGGTTTGGCCTGTCTGAACAACAGATTTCTCTAATCCAGGACAAAAGCTGGACTTGCCAAGGACACACATTTGTAATTAAAATCTGCATTTATATTTGAAAATTTCACCAGTTGGTATTTTTTTTCAAGTCGGCGGACGCATCTCTTTCTCCCTGGCTCCCAGCTCTCGTGCCTTCGCGTTGACTTCTTTTTCAGGATCTTGGCGCACCTAAGCCTTGTGGGGCCTGGCTTTCTAAGGAGCAGCAGAGAATGCTTGGGTGAGGAGGCCTCTCAGCAGGCTGGAAGCGTTTCCTTTCCTATCCAGCCTCCCTCCCTGCCAGGGAATCGTCAAGCCTGAGGGAAGTGCTCCCCCTCCTATGTTTACGAAGCACTAAATTTACGAAGTCATTAATTCCCTTCATAAAGACGGAGCCTAATGGAGTTTTCTATTAGTCATTGAGATCGCGGTTATAACCCTGAAAGATCAAGAAAGCAATCAGGAGTCTAAATTGAAGTGGGAGTCGGGGGGACAGCAAAGACGTTTCTCCTCTTTAGCTGTCAGACTTTCCTGTTTTAAAGGGAAATATTGTGAATATCTTAATCACTACCTCACACATTTGTTTATTATTATTTTTCCTTTTCAGAACATTCAGAAATGTTGTGTAGACGCACAGGATTCATCGTCCAGGCATGTATATCTCAGGGGGCGGTGTTCTTTGTCCTAGTAGCTGAAGCTACCCAAAGATTCCCCCAAAATCCAAACACAGTAGATGCTCAGTGCTATGTGTTGAATGGATACATGAAGGAATGCAGCCAAACCGAGAGGCTGGGGAAGGATTAATGAATTCACGGGCTGTTTGTGGCAGTTCTCTGACCCGAGGCCCCACATGGGACTTTTGTACCTTCAAAGATGTGAAGATTAGCTAAACTGTTGCTGTTTAGCAAATCTTCTAGGGTGAGTTTCTAGGGTGTTTCTAGGGTGAGTGGTCACCTTAGGGAGAGCCAGGGTCAGGGTCACGGCCCCCACAAGGCCAGGCACACAGCCCTGGGGTGCTCTGGACAGGAAAACTAGAAATAGAGGACCCTGTTTTCCCAGTGCCCAAATTACTCAGGCCTCCAGGGAGTCCCTTACCCCATTCGAGGCCATAGAGCTGCAGGGAGCCATCCTGCCCTGAGCCTGCTCGTCTCTTTGCAAGCCCAGGCCACCCACTTTGGGCTTTGGGCGGAGAAGACAGGTGTATTTCTAGTCAAGAGAAGTTTCCCTGCACAGAGTCCAAGGAACGGCCTCCTCTGGGGCCTTACAGGCCCTCCACAGCTCAACAGTGAGCCCAGCAAAGACGCCTCTTGACTTCGGTGTAGCCTCATCTTCCAGAGAATTCCCTGAGATGCCACGTGGCTGTAAGAAACGCTGCTGCAGTCCAAGGAGACAGCAAGGGAAGCTGTGTTGGAGGGAAAGCAGCAGTTTTCAAAATACACCCACAGACTTGTACCAAGACCACCAGGAAGGGAAGCTCATTCGAAATGTAGACTCTCCCCCTACTACCGCCACCATCAGCAGCTCCTGCAAAACCAGAATGTCTAATGCCGGGGAGTGGGGGAGGTCGGCCTTCACTCGAGGAAAGAGGCTTAAAGGGTTTCTTCACCTGTCTGTGGGCCCCTGACACGTGCAGCCCTCCTGGGCTCCAGGAGTGGTCCCAGAAGACTCCCCTTTCAGGTGCAGGAATCCTGGGTTCCACAGCAGGGGTGCTGCCAGTGGCTGCCTGGGACTCCCAGGATATCCCTCCTGGTGAAGCCAGTCAGCAGATCAGAGGTTTCAGTCCTTACTGACTGTGAAATCTAGTGTGTGTGGTCACTCTTTTTACCTCCTTGCTCCTGCGTAAGATCCAAGTGGAGAGTAGAATCTCTCCACCAGCCCCTCCATAGTGTGTTTCAGGTACCCTAGACAGGGCCTCTGTCCCCCTTGGCTACCTACTTGGCACTTGGGGTCTGACCCTGTCCTGTTTACATCCCTGGCGAGGAACCTCCCTGAGCAGTTGTCAGTGGGAGAAATGTACAGGGGGGCACCAGGATCAGGGCTGACTTAAGGGAAGGAATTCCCAACCTCTGGCTGTACAGTGAGGTCAGGGAATCTTGGAGACTGTTGCACCTTTGTGGGACCCATCTCTTTGGAGAGCCTTTTGGAAGGGTGCTGGGATGTTCATCTTTGTGTTAGTCTTTCCACTGGGCCATGCCCATGCTGCTACAGGCTAGTAGCTGGAGCCAAATCCTGGCCCTGCGTCTCACAGCTGTGTGACCTCGGGTCCATTACTCACCTTCTCTGAGCTGGTTTCCCTATCTGTAAAGTAGAAACAATCATAATGATAATGGAGACAATGTTCCTGCAGCGTGAATGAGATAACAAAAGCTCATGTCAGACGCGTAGGTGGTGCTGAAACATGTCTGCTGCTTCTCCCCTCCTCCAGCGTTTCACACTGTGCACCCACACTGGGAACTTAGGGGAGTTCCTGGACCCTCAGGGGAATGATATCACAGAACCATTCTAATTGCCTAAGTCTCACAAGCAATCTGATATGCCTAGTATTTGTTCCTGAGTCTGAGAGGAGATCGTTATTGTTCATCTTTTAAAGCAACAGGTCGCCCAGTCTGTTGACGATACCTCCCATCAAGACATATGCTCCACCAAGCTAGGAGCGGATGATGCCAGAGCCGCCTTGCTTCTTGGATTTTCTTCTGAGCCCCACCGTGCTGGGGAGACTCTGAGCATGGTAAATATTTAAGCACACGTCTTGTGTAACTGTCACAGATCCGGATGCACCGGGAGCCATGGAGCCACAAGCTGGCACCTGTCTAAGTGTCCCAGCTTCGAGAGACGGTGTTTGTGCCAACATTGGGAGTCTGTTGGCGACCAGTGGCTGATAGGTAGCAGAATTCTGTGGTCTGTTAATTGTCTTGGAAGCAAATCCTTGAATTGGGAGAAAGAGAAAGCAACTGTAATTAAAGCTTCCCTTGGGCAGAATTTCCCTGTGCAGGCAGTTGGCACATTTTTTGTGTGCCCGTTAAGCTCCAGGCACTGGGCTAGGAACTTTACGTTCACTGAAGCTTTTAATCCTGGTAACAGCCAAAGAAGAGACTGTTATTGTCACCAAGAAACAAAGGCTCAGAGAGGTTAAATGGTCTGCTCAGAGTTCTACAGCTACTCGGTGTCAGAACTAGGGAATGAAGCCAGAGTTGGGAAATGTAGCTATGAAAAAAGAGAGTTGATATCACCATTTTAAAACCCTGATGCCCTGCCAGCAACATCGCCCAGAGATTGAGATCCTTGAGACCAGGGAGGAGGCTTGTGTTTGCAGGGAATGCCTTTGGGTGCCACCACTAGGTCAGACGCTAAACCACATCCTGATGCCTCATAGATGCCCATTGGGGAAATAGATTCTGTCACGTCTCAAGGTATGTATTTATTAAAACCCATGGGAATGGAAAGACAGCAGAGAAAAAGAAAGTAGAACAACACAGGATGAAGGGGCTGTGCTGCCTACAGTAAACAGAACCCAGGAAGCTGATTACAGCAGAGATGGAGGTCACCTCCCCTTCCTCTGTGCCCCTGCCATCCTCAGCATTCTCCCCCTGCTCCCTGAACAGCCCTTCCTGCCACTCATGGGACACCCTACACATGACACGGCCACTGCCAGGCTCCAGGAGTCTGGATAGGAATAACCAGATACATGATGAGCCTACAGTGTTGTTTTAAAGTTTATCTTATTTATTTATTTTAGGGGCAGGGTCTCACTCTGTCACCCAGGCTGGAGTGCAGTGGCACAATCACAGCTCAATCATAACTCACTCACTGTAGCCTTAGAGTCCTGAGCTCAAGTGATCCTCTTGCCTCAGCCTTCCAAGTAGCTGGGACTATAGGTGTACACCATCAAAACCAGTAATTTATTATTATTCTTTGTAGAGATGCTTTGCTTTGTTGCCCAGGCAGGTCTCCAACTCCTGGCTTTAAGCAATCCGCCCACTTTGGCCTTCCAAAATGTTGGGGTTACAGGAGCAGACATTGTGCCCAGCAAGGTTACAGTTTAAAATAATCACAGAAGTCCCTTTCTGAGAGAGTTCAAAAACAAATGTTATGGAAATTCTGCCAGAAAGATGTATAAGAGCTGGACTTGGGGAAGGTTTTAAGAAAGAGGGACTGGAGTGGGACCCTCACGGGTGAGTAGGGTATAGATAGTTGGGGTGGGGCTGAGGAAAGAAGCTTCTGGGTGTGACCCTATCCTCACAGAGGACAAGAGTGTGGGGAGGGAGAGAGCACAGAGCTCCCACTGGGCACCAGGGGAGGTGAGGGCGATCATGCGTGGTGCGGAAGATCACATAGGACCTTGAGAGCTACTTCTAGCAACAACTGTATTCTGAGTGCCCTTGTGGGGTCTGCTGAAGGGTTTTCAACTAATAGGATGAAATCAACTAGGAATACCAATGGGTCTGTCTGTAAGACCAGGAGCTGCCTTTAGGTCTCCAGCATAGCACATGCTCAGGTGTTATGTATGTGTTGAACTCAATTTAGGTTTATAGATAGATAGGAAAGAACAGGGATATTTGATCTGGTGTAAATCCTACTCTTCATTGGAAATGGAAGTTAATGGTTGTGAACCCCCCAAAAGAAGACAAACCCTGTAGTCACAAAGATTATGAAGTCATCTCAGGTTGATCTCTCTTTGCTGCCTATAGCCTTTCCTGGTAAATAATCAATGTTTCAACAAGTGCAAATCAAAATAACACTTCTTTTGCTCCTGGTTTATAAATGAGTCAGTGCTGAATTCTGATAGTAAGAAGCAAACCCCTATGATAGTCTACGAAGCTTGCCTCAAAGTCTATGCCTACCCTTCGTCCTGGTCTTCCAAGCTTGCTTCCCAAGCCAACCTGACGTGTGGAGAGCTGCTGATCTGAATGAGTACTTAGCTGCCAAAATGTACCCAAAATTGTACAGCAGAAATAATAGTAACATGACATATAGAATGCTAAGAAATCATTACCAAGTGTCATATCAAGAAACGCTGCATGAACTTGGACAAGAAGAGAAGCAAGCTCATTGGTTCAGTGGTTCATGCTGGTGGGGGTACTCTAGCCTCGGGAGCCACTGTTTGGACCGAACATTCCAGCTTGTCTGCCATATGCTTCTCTCTGTATTTTGGCTTCATTCTCACCAAAGGGTTGTGGACCCTTTTCCCCAGCAGTCACACAATCTGACCACCAGCAGCTTCGAGGTTCTTCTTCCTCCTCCAAAAAGGAACATTTCTTTTCTTTCTTTCTTTTTTTTTTTTTTTTGATGGAGTTGCACTCTTGTTGCCCAGGCTGGAGTACAATGGCACAATTGCGGCTCACTGCAACCTCCACCTCCCAGGTTCAAGCAATTCTCCTGCCTCAGCTGCCTCAGCCTCCCAAGTAACTAGGATTACAGACATGTGCCACCATGACTGGCTAATCTTTTGTATTTAGTAGAAATGGGGTTTCACCATGTTGGTTAGGCTGGTCTCAAACTCCTGACCTCAGGTGATCCACCTCCTTCGGCCTCCCAAAGTGCTGGGATTAAAGGCATGAGCCACTGCGCCCAGCCAAAAAAGAAACATTTCTTCCCCACCAGCAGTAGCACAAATAAATCTCAGGGAGAGACCCTGATCAGCCGTGACTGGGTTGGTGTCCTCCCTCAAGGGGACTATGGCCAGAGAGGTGGAGACACAGAAAGGGAGACAACCCCCATTCAGACCACATTGCTGGAGCCTGGGGACCAAAGGCAGTTCTGTCAAAGATGGTAGAAGGGACACAAAGGACCCATTCTGACCCAGGAAGCCAACCAAATGGTGTGCATACCAGCTTGTCATGCATGGAGGCCTGGAAGGGTTCTGTCATTCTCCTGAGTGGCCCTGCCTGGGTTTCCGGGTCCCTGCCTCCAGTTGCTTCTGATTCCTGATGATCAAAAGACCCCACTGATTTTTTTCACCTCTTTGAGTCAAACTGCCCTCTCTGCTGGATCCTTAGCAGTCACTGATGCCCGCAGTTAAAAATTCAACCTTTCATGGGTACAAAGAAAGAAGAAATAAGACCTAGCATTTGCTAGCACAACAGGGTGACTATAGTAAAACATAATTTAATTATACATTTTAAAATAATTAAAAGAATATAATTGGATTGTTTGAAACACAAAGGATAAATACTTGAGGTGATGGATACCCTATTTACCCTGCTGTGATTGTTATGTATGACATTCCTGTATCAAAATATCTCATGTAACCCATAAATATATACACCTACTGTGTACCCACAAAAATTTTAAAAAGTCAGCCTTTCTATAGAGTTAACATTGTGCCAGGTAGGCACAACAATGAGAAATGACAAGAGGAAATGATGAGCTAAAATGCCTATTTTCTCTCACGAAGCGATGTAATACAGAAGCCTTACGTTTTCTGGTTATCTGGCCAAAAGAAATCCTGTCATTGCCCTTGGTTATCAAATAGACCTCATGTTCTTGTCAGTCAGAGAATTGTGGAAATTTGCAGCTTAAAAATGTAAGGTGTGGGTGAAATCAGATTAGGTTTGACTTCATTGTTCAACAGAGGTTCACAGATGGGTCCCCTAATGACTAGGGTTTTGGTGTCCTTGGCCAAGGTTAAGTGACGAGTTAGGTCATCGGTCATTGCCATCCCTAGTGGTTAAAGCTTGGCCAGGAGCAATCCCACTTATTAAGAAAAATGCCTTGCCGAGGGGTAGAACGTTAATTTAATTTAGGGATAGTACAATTGTATCTGCACATTCTGCATTTCACTGTTGATACAGCCTGAGCCTGCCTGGCTGGTTGCAATTGTTTTAAATCCTCTGGCACCATTGATCCCTAATTGACCCCAGATTCCTGAGCGCCAGGAGCAGCCCTGACTTGTTTATTGCTGGCCCTGGGCCACCGTGCGGGTGTCCGCTGAGTTCCGCTGAGCTCAGCCACAAAGGCTGCTCTCTGACTGTGAGTCAGCCTAGCCCACGGCCAGCCAAGCCCATGGCCAGCAGGAGGACCTCCTCCAGCTTTCAAAAACAACAGGGCTTCCCTGTAGCTAAAATGCTTATTTTCTCTTATGAAGCGGTGTAATGCAGAAGCCTTAGTTTTCTGGTTATCTGGCCAGTAGAAATCTGGTCACCCCCTTGGTTATCAAATAGCTGGTTGCTGCTGCCTAGGCAGGCTATAACCTATAAAAATGTTAAAGGCGGTTCACTTCACTCAACGACAAGCTGTCCTTTTGCCCTGGGGGTACCTCCCAAGCCTTAGCCAGCTGGCTTTGAAAGTCTCACGTGGGTGAGTGGGTGCCTGACTGGGTGCAGCTGATGCCCCGATCCCTGATGACAGGTGTCCCCAGTGTCATCTTTATGTACAGAGAAAAGTGAGTTAGTGCTTTGAGAAATCAGCTGTGCACACAAAGAGCAAACCAGGACCCTCTCTGGTCCCAGCTGGTTCTGTTAGAGTGAGCTGGGGTTCTGCGAAACCACATTTGGTATGGGAATGCAAGCTGCAATTTGGTCAAAGGTACATTGACAGCCTGAAGGAGACTGCATTTAAGCCCTACACTAAAACAATGGGGAGCCTGAGTCCAATATTTACTGGGTGTTCCAATAAAGATCTAGAGCACAAAGGCTCTCTGGGGACCTCCATCACAAATAGCGCAGCACACATTCATCTGGCCACATTGGCACTTGTTAGCTCTCAGGCAGATTCAGATGGGGGGTTGGGGGGCGTGTTCCCTCCAAGAATCCTGCTGGCCTACCTTGAAAATCAAAACTGCATGGTCAGATGCAGACAGGAGGAATGTTGCTAAGCTTCGGAAACCACTTAAATACTTTGAACAGAATGGCTCCTCAATTGAGGACAAAAGTATACTTTTCTCTTAAACTGCAAACCTGGAATGTGCCTTCTGATGATTATAGGCAGAGTCCACACTCAAGTGATGGGAACCAGGCCCATGCTCTGCATATGGTGTCCAGGCTGCAGGGCAGCTGTGCCTTAATGAGATCCAGAAGCCTGCTGGCTCCCCAGCAGGCCCTCGGGAGCGAGGGCGTCCAGCACGGGTCCCAAGGGCTCCCCACCCTTCTTGGAGGCTTGGCACCCCGCCTGCCTGACCCCAGGGTTCTGCACATATGCACCGGAGGCAGCCTGGTCCCCCATACACGGATGCTTTAGTTGGATGACCGGAAAGGGGTGTGGTATGGGGGTCAGAGCATCTGAACAGACAGAGCTTTTCCCAGGGCCTCCTCCTTGGCTCAAACCATGACCTGCCTGCATCCAGATCTCCTCTCGCTCTCATTATCACACCAACTGCCTCTGCAAAATGCAGATACACTTTGCTGTTTTTGCACTTGGTAGAAATGACATCTTTTTTTTGAAACATAATAAAGCCCAGTGATAACACAGCTACAATAACATAAGATCAGGCTGGGCATGGTGGCTCACGCCTGTAATCTCAGCACTTTGGGAGGCCGAGGCGGGCGGATCACGAGGTCAGGAGATCAAGACCATCCTGGCTAACATGGTGAAACCCTGTCTCTACTAAACAAAAGAATGCAAAAAAAAAAATTAGCTGGTCATGGTGGCGGGCACCTGTAGTCCCAGCTACTCGGGAGGCTGAGACAGGAGAATGGCGTGAACCCGGGAGGTGGAGCTTGCAGTGAGCCGAGATTGTGCCACTGCACTCCAGCCTGGGCGACAGAGGGAGACTGTGTCTCAAAAAAAAAACAAAAACAAAACAAAACCATAACATCAGATGGGTGTAAATAAGGGGGGTTGATTTCTGCTCTCTGCAGCAGATTTACCTGGTCATTCAATCCATCTGTTGTAACACAAGCCCACACCTTTTTTGAGCCTGAATTTTTTGGGTCCTACTTAGGAAGTTATTATATTTGCTAAGGCCCTGAAGTGTGCATGGAAACATGCAAAGCATGCACAGCCACTCTCCACCTGCTGCCAGGGCCGTGTTGGTGAGATGAAGCTCTGATGAGATGCCACTGCTAAGGAGATTTCAGCATTATGGAGCTCAGATTTTAAATGCCAGCAGATCATTGTCACTAACCGGTAGTCCCCAAAGCATAGAGCAGCAGTGAAAGAGGGTACATGTGGCCCAGGTGATGATATTAGCCTATTGTGGAGGTGACGGCTAGAAAATGGCTCAATGGCCAGCCTGGACACCATATTCAGAGCATGGGCCTGGTTCCCATGCTCTGGAATGTGGATTCTGCCTATAATCATCAGAGGGCACATTCCAGGTTCTTGGTTGACAAGAAAAGTATATTTTTGTCTGCAATTGAGAAATGAAGATAGGACATTTGTTCTAGTCTCCAGAGGACAGCAGAGTCAGACCTACCCTTGTTGACAAGCTGCCTCCTCACACACCTCTGGGAAGGGAAATGTGGCTGGTATTTAATTCTCCACCATTTTGTCTTGGTAGATGTGACAATGGCACCAGACCCAGCTGCTCCCTGAATGCACAACTGTATTTTCCAGCCCTGTGTCCCCCAGCACCATTATCACAGCCATTGGTCCCAGGGATGGAGCGTTCTTGGGTGGAGGGGACCTGCTCATCACATCCTTGCTTTGGCGTCACTGTCAAATGGGAACACTCTCAGCACAGGACTTGCTTCATGGAGGCCCTGACACAACTAGGGCATCAAGGAGCTGCAATTCCTGAATAAGAAAGAAATGCGCCTTCCCACAACTTCAGCACAATCAAGGGAGACATCAGCTACAGAGGAGGACAAGAAGATACTGATTTTCCACATTTAATATTCTTCAGACTTTCCCAGCAAAGAATCACAGCAGAGATGAGGCCTGGCTGCTCTCTTAGGGGAAGTTTGCTCCACTGTCTGCAGTCCTGGCCTCCTTAGAGGTACAGATCTCTCCAGACTTAATTCCAAAGCTGCTGTGGTCCTCCTCAGAGGGGCATCTCACAAACAGGTCAGCAGCCCCAATCTTGTCCTCACAAATAGAATTCCTGTGTACTCCTCTCTGCCTTCTGGCTTCACCCACAGGGAGTGCATTCCAGAATAGACTAGAATGGTCCAGAAGTTTCTGAGAATTCTAGAATGCCTGTACCCTCCTACTGGGAAACCCAGCTTTCTGCAGCAGGACTCTTGCAGATTTCAGAATCCCCCACCTACAGGTTCTTCCCCTACATGAACTGCACCGGAGTTCAGAAATGGGGTGTACTTTCCCCACACTGGGTGTCTCTGTTACCTCACTGCCCAAATTCTCCTGCTGCTCAGAATTTTCTCTCCTGTACCTCCTTTTCCTCCAATTTTCAATCACAGTCCACAGTGGATGTGTAAGAGGCACACCAGGGAGTCTTGTAAGCAACTGGTGACAAAGTCAGGCTTCCCTGGCCTCCCACGGAAGATATATGCTCCTCCTCTGGGCCCTTGGCATTCGATGTAAAAGCTTGATACAGCTTTTACTACATGACATTGCAACTGTTGGAAGCCCCTTCTCTAGAAAGTACTAACTATCATTTATTGAGCACTTCTTATGTGAAAGTGTTCAACATGCATTATTTACAATCCTGTGAGATAGGTGTTCCTTGTCCCTTGCAACAGGTAAAGAAGAGACTGAGGCTCAAAAAATTTAAGTTAACATCAAGATGCCACAGCCTAGTAGAGAAATCAAGCTTTGGCTGGGCAGGCCTGGCACCAAAGCCAGGCTTGCCTCCCTCATCCCTGCTGCCACCCAGCGTCCTGGGGCCTGTAGGTCCGGGCTGAGTCTTTCCTCTCCGTCCTGAGATTTTACCCCAGGACGTGAGACTCTCAGTGCTAAAACAAGAACAGTGTGTCGCCTCTCACGGGAACATGCACACCTGGATGTTAAGGCAGGCCTGAGGCTTAAAATGTGGGTGCCAGGCTGCATGGAGGAAGGAGGAAGAACAGGCCTTGTAGACCAGGACAGCTGTAGGATGGGGATTCCTGTCTCAGGGAAGGATGCATGGTACAAGGGGATGAAGAAGGGAATGTCCTTTGTTGTACACTTTGAGAATAAATGTAAAGTTCCCCCCTTTTCAGAGGATCCCAGCTTTAGCCTCAAGGCCAGAACACAACCCTGACCATTTGGAGGGTGTAGACAGGACTTGCTAGTGGGCTGGATTTGCCAAGTATTAGAGAAATGTTCCTGAGTTTTCCTTCCCTTTTTATGAATCCAAGAAATATAAAGCTAGTTAATTTTTTTTAAAATATTCATGGATCCGTTGGACTCATCTTCCTCCAATGCCCCTCTCTGAGAAGGCTTGAGGGCCCACCTCCCCCAAGACGTAACCCGAGGTCCTTAGGGTGATCGCCCCATCACAAAAGTGTTTTGCAGTTTCTCTCTATGACTCTGCATGTGCTGTGGTCACTGCTTGGCCCAAACCTCCCCCTTCCGCCCACTCCCTACTCATCATCCTTGTCCTTGCTGTGGCTGCTGGGCCACTCACTCGAGGCTTTCCTGCCCACCGCTTCCCTGTCGGGGTGAGATGGGCTTTATCCCTCCGTGTCGTAGATGCGTGCTTAGCTCACCCTCTAGGCTGGGAACCCTGCCAGGAGAGGGTCAGTGACTTCTTATTGCTGGGGTCCCAGTAGCCATGACAGAGTTTGGCATGCAGATGCTCAAGAAATGTTTTGAGGAAACGGAAATAGAGCTATTCAGGGCATGCTGGTAATGGAAATATCCCAGCTTGAAAGATGTTCAGCTCCAGGCTGCAGCCACAGGTGACTCCAGGCTTCCAGACGCTGAGCTTCCCAACAGCTTCTAGCTGGAGTGACTGGGTTCCTAGCTGTTGTGGAGGTTGCTCCTCAGTTGCCATGGGAACCAGCCACTCACAGAGCATCCTTCGCTGGGGTCCCTGAGCTCTGCCCTTACTCCCTGCTGCTGGAGCCTGCTCACAGGCTGCCATGGGAACTGCCCAGGGGCCAGCACCTCCCTCCAGCCCACCCTTGAAGACACCTGGAGCCACAAGATGGGGGCTGGACTTCTGGGGGATAAAGCCACCCTGCTTAGGGTTGCTTTCATGGAGAAAGGCATCCAAGATCCAAAGCAACCAGCAGGAAATGAACTACATCCATGAAATGAAGTGGCTTCGTTTTCAGTAGCCAGTGTGAGGAGGGCAAGAATCAAGAAGCAGGCCAGATGGAAAAATGGAAGAGGAATTAGTTTTCCTTTAACCTCAGAGTGTCTGCTGGGTTGGAGGGAAGACCTGATCCTCGGAAAGGAACACCTGGGGACTTTGTCAGACTTGCCAGGAGTGGGTTCAGGCAGAGATTTTACCAGTTGGCTTTGAGAGGCAATCAATGGGGTATTTCACAAATGAGGAAACTGAAGCTCAGAGAAGTTAAACAAATCCACGTCCCTACCTTCTTCCTGGGCCTGCATTCTCTAATCTTCCTTGTGACTAGTAGTGACCACGTGGCCAGCCAATGTAGCACAGCCAGTGATGAAGGGATGCGTGCCACTTCCAGTCCTGTCCTTCAAAGTCTGCCATGCATGCCACCAAGCTCTCATCCTCTTCTGGTGATGGCCCTGGGGTGACCTTGGAAGTGACCTGATGAAGACAGCAGAACCTCCACAGTCTGAGTCCCTGGGTGGATGTGCTGAGGAGAACTGCCCCACCAACCTCTCCCCCTGCCAGGATTGTGATCTGAACAAGAAAAAACATCCACTGTGATTATACATGTTGTTGAGGTCTATTTGTTCCTGCAATTAGCCTTCCCTAACTGATACATGAGGACAGTCCTGTCTAGCTTCAGCTTCCCTGTACCACATCTCATAGGTCAGCTTGGTTGCAGGGCAACTGGTGGCATCTGAGTTATCTTGGCTAATGTTGGGCTGGCCCAGAGATACTGGGTCAGAGCTACTCTGTTCATCATGATAGCTGCTTTCTGTGGTCTGGAGGGTTCCCAGTAAATTGGCTCCAAGTCAGAACATGAATCTTTCATATGACATGTTCTCAGGGAGATTATGGATTTGCCGCATGGTGTCTGGTACTTAAAAGGTGTTCTGTGAATGCTTATGGATAGATGGATGGATGAGTGGATGGACGGATGAGTTGATGGATGGGTGGGTGGATGGATGGGTGGGTGGGTGGATGGATGGATGGGTGGGTGGGTAGACAGGTGAGTGGATGAGTGGATAGGTGATGATGGCTGGATGGATGGTTTCTACTATAAGGCAGGGGAAGGAGAGAATGTCCTAACATGGACATAGGAGTCTCATTGAGACACTAAAAAATTAGGCAAGGAGAGAGGGCTGCTCATACCAGTGACAACCCTCTCTTGTTATGTGTCAGTAAGTCCCACTTGCTAGAGAAGAGCAGGAGACCAGACACGGGCAAGCCTGGGAGGCAGCAAATGTGTGGTGTAAGCGGCTCCTGCTGCTGGGAATGCCTCATCCCTACCCCCAACCAGGGCAGTGGTTGTCATCTTAGGAAATAAAAATACAGGGTGCCCAGTTAAACTTGAATTTCAGATAAGCACGAACATCTGCCTGTGCAATATTGGGGACATTTTTATACTAAATAAACTATCTTGTACCTGAAATTCAGATTAACTGGGTATCCCGTGTCTGATCTGACAACCCTAAGCCAGGCTGTCCAGCAAGTGACCTTGTATGGACAAAAGGGGAGATAGTGGCATGGGTTGGTTAAAGGCCACTGTTTCAGGGACTCAAGTCCTTCTGTTAGGGGCAGTTTGCCTCTTCTGAATGTCCAGGAGGCAGGAGACCTCTAGCCACTTCATCTGGCCTCTTTCCTGCATTATGGGAAGTATTCTAAGCTTGGAAATGGCAGGTCTGTAAATAGCGGGTGTAAATTAGAGCAGAAAAAAAAACACAAAAATATACCTTTTGACCTTCAGTCCACTGGATACAAAAAGGAAATCCATCCAACCCAGCAACTGTTTATTAAATGTGAAACACACCATTTTATTCATAATAGGAGTTACAGAATGGGAGCACAGGGGACCTTTCTGTTTTTCACCCTAGGAAATATTCTCTACGTGCTTTTGTTCAAGAGTCTTAAACATCATTCACATGCAGTTCCTATCACTGTCATAAAGCTGGCATAAACACAGTTGTGGTCAGCATGGATGCTCGGTCAGCCTTTGTACTGACACTGCTCTTCTCTCTTCACATTCAACACAATTTTTGCTTATTTTCTTGATAGTTCTAGGAATCGTGGGAGAAAATTCTAGAAGTTAAGGGGATCTTGCTTCACCCTTTCCTCCTGCGCTAATCACATCACAAGTCTACATGAAACCTCCATAGTGAGAAAAAAAAAAAAAAAGGGAAGGATGCTAAAGGGATTAGCCAACCCCTTCCTGGGTCGGGAGGACTGGCTGGTCACTTGTCCCCTCGCCCTGGCTGGTGCTGTGATGCCCACGTAATAATGGGACTGAGAGCTGTACCCAATAAGCACATAGTGGCAGAACCTCTGACACAATCACCCCCATTCTCACGAGGTTACTTGTCATTGTCTCCCACTGGTGGCCCTATTTTTTTTTGAGATGGAATTTCACTCTTGTCACCCAGGCTGCAGTGCAGTGGCACAATCTTGACTCACTGCAACCTCCACCTCCCAGTTTCAAGCGATTCTCCTGCCTCAGCCTCCCCAGTAGCTGGGATTACAGGCACCCACCAGCACACCCAGCTAATTTTTGTATTTTTAGTAGAGACAGGGTTTCACCATGTTGGCCAGGCTGGTGTTGAACTCCTTACCTCAGGTGATCCACCTGCCTCAGCCTCCCAAAGTGCTGGGATTACTGGTGTGAGCCACCGTGCCCAGCCAGGCAGCCCTATTTTTATGCTTGCCTCTCTGTAGCCTTTGTCCCACCCAGAAGCCAGAGACATCCTTGTGAAATGCCATTCTCCAGCTGTAAACCTTCCAGTGATTCCCCTGCCTGTTCAAAAATGTCCCAACCCCTTCCGTCGGTCCACGATGCACAGGATTCAAGCCTTCTGACCATGTTCTCCCACCACTCTCATCCCACCCCACAGACACGGCCCCCTTTCTGCTTCTCAAACACACTGAGCTCCATCCCCACGTAGGGTTCCTCATTCACTGAGTACCGGGCCTGAAAAATTCTTGCTGCAGGTGTTTGCCTGGCTGTTGCCCTCTTGTCACTCAGGTCATGGCTGAAAAGTGGCCTTTCGGAACAGCTTTTACTGACCATGAAACCTAAAACAACCCCCTTCCCTTTTCTGCTCCATCTCATCACCCATTTTTATCACAGCACTTACCATGACCTGATAATTTTTTGCTTATTTGTATACCGTCTGTATCCTCAAAAAAGAATGTAAGTTCCTATTTGTCCTTCTTAACCCATATTCCCAGTCCCTGGAACAGAGTGTGGCACATAGTAGGCTTTCAATAAATGAGGAATGAATGTATTGCAGGAACTTTCAAAGCTTCATCATATCACCAGGCACCAAATCCTCGTGAAGACAGCATATATACATGGCTAGTAATAATACTAACAACAGACAGACTCAGGCCTTACTGCAGGCCTAAGCACTTTTCCAGTATAATTCTCTCAATCCTCACAGTAGCCCTGAGAATTCTGCCGTATTATTATCCCATTTTACAGATGAGAACATGAAGCCCAAATGGGAAATGTAACTTCCCGTGGGCACATGGGGATAAGTGAGGAAGTCAGGGTTTGCACCCAGGCAATTCAACTTCAAACTCTAAGCCCTGATCACTAGGCTCTGCTGCAAACACCAAACTGAGCCCCAAGCCTGACACACAAAGAGGACGCATCCAAGCTGGTTTCTGGGAGGTCCATGTGAGGCATTTGGTTGTTTATGTTGGTTTGTTTTATACCATTTGTTGAGTTCTGTTCATACATTCAGTGTCAGGAGGAAATAGGCCCAACTGTGACTTGATACGAATTCAGAGATAGCCAAAGACAGAGGATGGAGGCCAGTGAAGCCTTCTGTATACACCCACTGTCCATTTACCACACACTAGACAGACGTTTTGTGAGTCTGTGCCCTGCAAGGCACCATCCTAGGCTCATTTGTCTGTTAAGAGGTGGTCAGTGCTATGGAGAAACAGAAGCAAGGTAGGGGATTGTGGAGTGCAGAGGGGAGGAGGAGGAGGATGATGTGTTACAGGAGGAGGGTGGCAAGTAGAGCTGGCCTGAGAAGTTCCATGTGGGTGTCCAGAAGTAAGGTGTTTCTGGCATAAGGGACAGCAAGTGTGGAAGCACTGGGGCTTCCTGATGTGTGCAGAGGATGAGCAGGGAGTGGGCCTGAGACAGAGGAGCAGTGGGGAGGGATAAGGTGAGAGAAGAGAGAGGTCTTACAGGCACTGTAAGGATTTTACTCTGAGTCAATGACAAGCCACAGATTGACTTACATGTGTAGAGCCTTGCTCTACACCAGCACAGAGACAGTGTGAGCAGGAGCATGGAAAGTAGAAGATCAGCCATGGTGGTGTTTCTGCCCCTTAGTGGACATTTGTCAATGTCTGGGGACATTTTGGTTGTTGCACCTCAGGAGTGGAGGATGCTATTGGCATGTAGTGAGCAGAGCCCAGGGATGCTGCTGAACATCTTAGAATGCACAGGACAGCCCACCACAATGAAGAATTATCTGGCCCCAAATGTCAAATGTGCTGAGGCCAAGAAACCCCGAGCTAGGGGATTACTGCAATAATCTAGGTGAGAGGTTACTTATTAAATAGCAACTGAGCACCTACTATGTGCTGAGAGCTGAGAACATAGCAATGAGCAAAACAGACAAAGCCCTCTGCCCTCATGGAGCTTTATGCTGCAGTGATGGTGGAAGTTTAGAATGGCATTGGGCAGTGGGGGTGGTGAGAATGGTCAGATCTTAAAAATAATTTTTCGAAGGTAAAACTGACAGGATTTGCTAAGAATGGAATGTGCAGTATGAGAGAAGAGGAGTCAATGTTGATGCCAGGGTTTCATCCTGAGCAATTAGAACAGAGTTACCACTTACTGAGATGGGCCCACTAAGGGAGAAAGTGATTGTGTGGATGGAGAATCAGAGGTTTTGTTTTGGACACATTAAGTAGGGATGAGGGCAATGTGATATTTTAGTCTGGAGGTTAAGAAAGGGATCTCCTTTGGAGAAGACAAATTTTAGAAATTATTAAATGTGAGGAAGATCACTCAGGTATCTGGAGATGTGCAAGAGACTTGTGCAGCAAGCCTGAGCTCTCCATAATTAGGAGGTTGGAGAGTGTCTTAGTCTATTTTGTGTTGCTATAACAGAATACCTGAAGCTGGGTATTCTATTTATAAATTTATTTCTTAAAAAAGAGATTTATTAGACCTAAAACAATAAAAACCCTAGAAGAAAACCTAGGCATTACCATTCAGGACATAGGCATGGGCAAGGACTTCATGTCTAAAACACCAAAAGCAGGGGCAACAAAAGCCAAAATTGACAAATGGGATCTAATTAAACTAAGGAGCTTCTGCACAGCAAAAGAAACTACCATCAGAGTGAAAAGGCAACCTACAAAATGGGAGAAAATTTTCTCAACCTACTCATCTGACAAAGGGCTAATATCCGGAATCTACAATGAACTCAAACAAATTTACAAGAAAAAAACAAACAACCCCATCAAAAAGTGGGCGAAGGACATGAACAGACACTTCTCAAAAGAAGACACTTATGCAGCCAAAAAACACAGGAAAAAATGCTCACCATCACTGGCCATCAGAGAAATGCAAATCAAAACCACAATGAGATACCATCTCACACCAGTTAGAATGACAATAATTAAAAAGTCAGGAAAGAACAGGTGCTGGAGAGGATGTGGAGAAACAGGAACACTTTTACACTGTTGGTGGGACTGTAAACTAGTTCAACCATTGTGGAAGACAGTGTGGCGATTCCTCAGGGATCTAGAACTAGAAATACCATTTGACCCAGCCATCCCATTACTGGGTATATACCCAAAGGACTATAAATCATGCTGCTATAAAGACACATGTACACGTATGTTTACTGCGGCACTATTCACAATAGCAAAGACTTGGAACCAATCCAAATGTCCAACAATGATAGACTGGATTAAGAAAATGTGGCACATATACACTATGGAATACTATGCAGCCATAAAAAATGATGAGTTCATGTCCTTTGTAGGGACATGGATGAAATTGGAAATCATCATTCTCAGTAAACTATCACAGGGACAAAAAACCAAACACTGCATGTTCTCACTCATAGGTGGGAAATGAACAATGAGAACACATGGACACAGGAAGGGGAACATCACACTCTGGGGACTGTTGTGGGATGGGGGGAAGGGGGAGGGATAGCATTAGGAGATATACCTAACGCTAAATGATGAGTTAATGGGTGCAGCACACCAGCATGGCACATGTATACATATGTAATTAACCTGCACATTGTGCACATGTACCCTAAAACTTAAAGTATAATTAAAAAAAAAAGAACTTAAAATGAAAAAAAAAAAAAAGAGAGATTTATATAGCTCATGGTTCTACAGGCTGGGAAGTTCAAGGAGCATGGTGCTAACATCTGCTCCTCATGAAACAGTGGAAGGTCAAAGGAAAGGGGCAAAACTTAGAGGTGTCCTCACTTTGTAACAACCCACCCTCAAAGGGAAACAATCTATTCCCAAGAGAACTAATCCAAGAGTGGGAATTCAATCACTACCTTGAGAACAGTACTAAGCCATTCATGAGGGATCCACCTCCCATGACCCAAACACCTCCCACCAGACCCCAACTCCCAACACAGCCACAGTGGAGATCAAATTTCAATATGAGATCTGGTGGGGATAAACAAACCATATCCAAACCATATTATTCCACCTCTGGCCCCACAAAACTTATGCCCTCCTCATTGTAAAATACAATTATCCCTTCCCAATAGTCTCCAAAAGTCTTAACTTGTTCCGGCATCAACTAGAATGTCTAAAGTCCAAAGTCTCATCTGAGACTCAAGGCAAGCTCCTTCCAACTCTGAGCCTGTAAAATCAAAAACAAGTTTTTTACTTCCAAGATAAACATTCCCATTCCAAAGGGGAAAAAATCAGACAAACTAAAAGAATGACAAGTCCCACACAAGTTCAAAGCCCAGTAGACCGAACATTAAATCTTAAAGCTCCAGGTGCTGCCTCCTAGGCACACTGGTGAAAGGGGTAGGCTCCCAAGACCTTGAGCAGCCCCATCCCCATGGTTTTGCTGGGCAGAGCCCATGTGGGTGCTCCAGGGCTTGAAATCAGACACCTGTAGCTTTCCCAGGCAGGCACTACATGCTGCTAGTAGCTCTACAATTCTGGGGTCTTGAGGGCAGCCCTGCCTTTATAGCTCCACCAACCTTGGTAGGCACTCCCTGTAGTGGCTCTGCCCCTGTGTCAATTTTCTGTCTGGGCTCCCAGGCTTTCTGATACATCCTCTAATATCTAGGAGGAAGCTGCCACGTCTCCACTGCTCTTTCATTCTGTATGTCTGTAGAATTAGTGCCGCATGGAAGCTGCTAAGGCTCAGGGCTTGCTCTCTACAGAGCAGTGGCATGAGTCAAACCTGGGGCCACATGAACCAAGGCTGGAGCATCCAGAATGTGGGGACCAGTGTCCCCAGGCAGCACAGAGACACAGCATCCTGGGCTTGTTCCCCTAAACCAACCTGTCATCTTAGACTTAGACCTCTGGGTCTGTGATGGAAGAGGCGACCTTAAAGATCTTTGAAATGCGTTGGGGACCTTTTTCCCATTGCTTTTTCCCATTGTTCTTTTAGCACCTGGCTTCCGTTTATCCACGCTAATCTCTCTAGCAAGGGGTTTCTCTGCCTCACCTCACCTTTGGGCTCTTTCATTCTCTACCAGAATTTTGGCCAGGCTGTGAATTTTCCAATTTTTTCTGCTCTGTTTCCCTTTTTCTAGTAATTCACTGTAAGCAGTTAGAAGCAAGCACTCAGCAGCCCACGCACTTTGCTGCTTAGAAATTTCTTCCACCAGATATGCTATTCCATCACTCTTAAGTTCAGCTTTCCACAGAGTCCTAGGGCATGGACACAGTGTAGCCAAGTTTTTTGCAATGGCATAACAAGGATGCCTTTTACTCCAGCTCCCAGTAAGTTCTTAATTTCCATCTAAGAGTTCATAAGAATGACCTTTACTATCCATATTTCTATCAGCATTCTGGCTACCACCTCTTAACAAATCTCTAACAATTTCCAAACTTTCCTTCATCTTTTTGTATTTTTTTGAGCCCTCGCCAGAATCATCCTTAATGCTTAATTCATAGCAATATAGTATTTTTCTAGCTGCTTCTTCGAACTCTTCCAGCCTCTGCTCATGACCCAGTTGCAAAGCCACTTCACATTTTCAGATATCTGTGTAGCAACATCCTACTCCTCGGTACCAATTTTCTGTCTTAGTCTCTTTTGTGTTGCCGTAACAGAATACCTGAGGCTGGATAACATCTAAAGAAAAGGGGTGTGTTTAGCTCATAGTTCTACAGGCTGGAAAGCACAAGAAGCTTGGTGCCTGCCTCGGCTCAGTTTCTAGCGAGGACTTTCATGCTGTGTCACAGCATGGCAGAGCATCAAAAGAGAAGCAGACGTGTGTGAAGGAACAAAACCCAAAGATGTCCTCACTTTTTAACACCCCACTCTCATGAAAACTAATGAAGTCTACTGAGAGTGAGAACTCACTCATTACAGAGTGAACAAGTGAATGGCACCAAGGTATTTATGAGGGATCCACAGGCCTTTCACTAGCCCCCTTTCCCAACATTGCCACATTAGGGATCAAATTTCAACATAGTTTTAATGGGGTCAAACCATAGCAGAAAGGAGCTAGCACCAGAGGATGGCATAGAAAGAAAGAAAGAAGCCAAGCAAAGAAAGTGTTTCTAAGATGAAAGAGTGATCAAACCGTGCCAAGTAAATTCTTCTCCAATGCCAAAAAGAAAATCTAAATACCACCCTATCTCCATTTTCTAATATTATGAATTGTTCTAATGAGGCCATCACACAACTTGGTCCACTTATTGACAATCCGCTGAATCATCTCTAAGGATAATTCAATCTGTCCAGGGGGTAATCCAGTTTCTTCAGGGACAATTACTAAACATCTACACTGAGCAATAAATGAAACTGAATGTCTTGCAAGGTGGAAAAATGATTAATACCCAGCTTCTATCTTCATAAAGCTTTCTATCTACTGGGTGAAAAAACGCATTATCCATGAAAGCTTCTGCAACATCAAAAGAAAGTATTCATCCATTGATATTCATTGTTCACTGTATACACAGCACTCTCCTTGTTGCCGAAAACACAAAAGAGAAATGCAAGACAAACTCTGTCCTCTCGTGGAATTTGCAATTTTGTTGGGGGGACTAGTGGAGAAATAAAAGCAGGCAGTCATAGCATGGAGTGTAAATGCACTAGGTGTTTGAAGAAAGAGAGGGCCATTCATATTACAGTGCCTGTTAACTGATCTCTGGCCTGAATTACCTCCCTTTGCTGCAGCTCACACATGGGTTCTAAGGATTCAGGGATGAGGCAAGAAGATGGGAATAAATTAGTATATGACCATGACAACCTCCAGGAAGGGACCCCATAGCACACTGGCAACCCCTAACCCTAAGAGGAGGCTTTTCCGAGATGCTCCGCTTCATGATTAAGCATTCACCAGGACTGGTGCTGGAAGTGAAATGAGGGCCAACGTGGAGCTTATGTTTCCTGATATCTCTTCCCGTTCATTAGCTCCCAACTGTTATTTCCCCAGAAGAAACCAGGTGAAAGAGGTTTTGCGTTTGAAATGTTGAGGCTTTGGAAAAATCAATTTCCACACCAATTTCTCCCTGAGTTCTGATATAGTTACCCAAAAAAACTTCTCGACTCTCCATACCCAAGCATTATAGTGGGAATTTCATCAATTTCTGCATGATGTAACCAAATCCTCACGTTATATTGAGCAAAGCCTCAGTACTCACAGGAACTCTTAATATAAGGGGCAGACAGGTCTCAAAGTGCACGCAGGCATTTGTTTGTTTTAGCCTAATTGTTAAAGTATGGGCCAGACACCAAAGTGGTGGATTTCTGGGCATGGGCAGGTGAAATATGTTTCAACATATTGCAAAATTTAGATACCCTTTCCTATAGAAATTTCAGGCAATTTTTAAGATAAATGTGTATCACTTGAGTAGAAAAGGGATAAGAAAAACTATATATTTTGTAGTTATACCCAAGAATAACTACTCTCTTTGTACCAAGAATTGGTACAAAAAGAAAACTATTCCATTAACACTCAAGATGCCTTGGAAGGAAGATAGAAGGAAAAATATTTCAAAAAAAAATGTCCACTTTCTGTACTCACTTTACCTTTGTTTTGTTAGGTTGCTTTAGCACCTGTAAGATACTTGAATTATCTTTTCTGTCAAAACCATGCCAGAGACAAAAGAAACGTGATCATTTTTCCTTTGGTGCTGACCATATGGGAGTAGGTTATTTTTTCAAATAGCAAAGGACCCTAGAGTTAGAAATTACCTGCAAGTCTTGAAGGCTTATAAGAGAGTTATCAGGAAAATGCCTTAAAGTTGTTTTTCTTAAACAAACTAATAAGAAAAAGACCTTTACTTTTATTTTTCACAGGGTGGAGCCATCCTTTTCTCTTTGGGCCCTGTTCTAAATTGAAAAATTCAGAAAAATAAATGACAAATACAAAGGATCAATTGATTTATTATGATTTTTCTAACCTGACATGTTTTCCATAAATTAGGACAATATTGCTGTGTTTTTAGATTAAAAGACCCAGTTCAATATGTCTGTCTGCAGAAGAGGAAATGAAACATCCTTTCTTGGGCCCCATTATAAGGATGACTTATGACAGGCAGCTGTCAGGCAAGGCATCTGGATTCTGACGGAGCCTGTTTAGACAGTGGTGTTGAAAGCGCTCAAGAATCTGGTGAAAGTCATAGGAATCTTACCACAACCACCCAGCCAAAACAACATGCACAGAATGGATGTCCACATACATACCATTGTGAGGTTAATTTCAGGGTTTTCAAGCCTCCCCACCCTTGAGGTCCATACCCTGATCCCTTACCTATCAGTTCCTATCTATATGATCTGTAGTGAATTACTTGCTCTCTCAAAAGACTCACTTTCCTTCTCTTTAAAATGAGCATGAGATAGTGGTGCCTGGCTTATGGGTTTGTTTTGAAGATTAAAGGTACAGATGTATCTAACCGCTTGGCACCATACCTTACCCATAATGAAGGTTGGTCATTCTGAGCCATTATTATCCTGCTTGTGCTATGAATTTAAGATTCCCTGGTCAAAAAGAATAATATGTGTATTTTATAGTTTATCTGTATCAATTAAAAGGGACAATCTCTATTACAGGTTTTATGGAATAACCATTTAAAGTATGGATTTACTTTACAATGTCCATAACTTACTTTAAAATACCTCAACACTGAGAAATGAATCATGAGTTTGTATTAGTAGAAGCCTCAACTCCAGAGGCATGAAGTTGCTGAAATGGAAACTTCACCTCCACAGGTGGCCAGCTGGTATTCCATCAGAAAGACTTCAGCTCTTCAGATCTCAGTCATCACCTTAGGCTTTGAAAATTAGCATAGTGAGCATCACAAATGGATTTTGATTGATATAAGAGATTTGCTAGTCAGTATGAATACCAGAAATAGGCTTTCGACCGGGCGCGGTGGCTCACGCCTATAATTCCAGCATTTTGGGAGGCTGAGGCGGGCAGGTCACCTGTGGTCGGGAGTTCGAGACCAGCCTGACCAACATGGAGAAACCCCGTCTCTACTAAAAATACAAAATTAGCCTGGCGTGGTGGTGCATGCCTGTAATCCCGGCTACTCTGGAAGCTGAGACAGGAGAATCGCTTGAACCCAGGTGGTGGAGATTGCAGTGAGCCTAGATGGCACCATTGCACTCCAGCCTGGGCAACAAGAGCAAAACTCTGTCTCAAAAAAAAAAAAAAAAAAAAAAAAGGCTCTCAATGGTAAAATTCAAGGTATTCAAGTCTGGTGACTGTGTAAAATATTGTCAGAAATATTGTCAGAGTGCTCCGCACCTGTGCTGAATAGGCAGTAGGAATCTAGTGAGGCCTGTGGCCATGCCCATAGGATCTGCACTGTGGATCCATCCATAGACAGTTCTGCCACCAGCTACTGGTTAGGAGGATTTCTGGTTGCCTAATGCTGACTTCAGGGTATCAGAGTCCTACCTCTGGAATATTGTTGCTTCTCCCTCTAGGGAATTTCATCAGGAGGTGAATCCATCAAGCTCACAGTTTCATGAACTCTCCTGGGCCTGCTTTTTAAAGGAATGTTTGTTTCAAGAACAGTCTGTATTTGGCAGAATTTCTTCTGAGAATTGCTTTTTTGATAACAAGATCTAAAGACATATCTAACTCTCATTCATCTTAAACATCTCAGTGCCATCATATACCCAAAAGAATGCAAGAGTTGTGCATGGACCTATTTGCTAAAGTCAGTTCACAACAGCTTTAAGATAAGATAGACTGAATTTGGATCCCAGATATGCTACTTCCTAGCTCTTTGACCTTGGGCAAATGTCTTCACCAGTAAAACAAGGAAGTTAATATTACCTACTTAATTGGGTTATTAGAGAATTAAATGAGATAAGGCATATGTGATGGTTGATTTTATGTGTCAACCTGACAAGGCTAAGGGATAGCCAAACAGATGGTTAAATATTGCTTCTTAATGTGCTTGTGAGGGTGTTTTCAGAAGATTCAGCATTTTAATCAGTAGACTGAATATAGAAGCTCTGCCCTCACCAATGTGGGCAGGCATCCTCCAATTCGTTGAGGAAAAAAAAGGAAGAAGAAGGGTAAGTTCTCTCCTTCTCTGTTTGAGCTGGGACGTCCATCTTCTTCTGCCTTTGGACATCAGCACTACTGGCTCTTGGGCCTCCAGACCCTGTCTAGTACTTATACCATGCCGATGTCCCCTCCCACACAGGTTCTCAGGCCTTCAGACTTACACTGATCTACACCACCGCTTTCTTGGTTCTCCAGGTTGCAGGCAGCAGATCTTGAGCCTTCTCAGCCTCCGTAATTGTGTGAGCCAATTCTCATAACCAATTAATCAAGCAATCAATCAATTCTATCAGTGCTGTTTCACCAAAGAACCCTGACTAATACAGCGTGCAAAGCACACAGTGCACTTCCGGCTTACGGTAAGAAAGTAACAAATGCATGGTCACGGTTATTATTATGAGTTTAGGTATTCTTCTTTCTTATTATAAACAGCTTTCCAATGTCCTTTAACTTTCATTTTCCATGATGATTTATTTAGAACTATAAATCGAAACTGTTCACTCTTGGGTTTCTGTGACCTACTTTGCTGTGGTGTTTCTGCTGCCTCTCTGACTGCTTCCTGTCCTCCAGCACAATGAAAGTTCTGCAAAGATAGCGACATTGTCTCTGTCATCACCACTGATGCCCAGGACCTATCCATATGCCTGGTATATGGTGGGAGTGCAATTGGGATTTATCTGTACTGAGTCTCCTCAGCACCCAGGCTCAAAACCAAGCATTCTCTCTTATTCTCTCTCCTTTTCCTGATCCCTACCAACCAATCCTGCTTCCTGTTTGCTGTCATTCATAATGTTACACCTTCCATTTTATTTTTCCATTCTGTCAGCTGCCATCTTTGTCTGGGTGCCATCTTGCATTTAGACCGTTGAAATTGTCCCCTACCAATTGTCTCCAGCTGGTTTCCTGTTTCTAGCCTGGCTGGTTTTTATCATCAAACTATCCTCTAGGAAACTGCCAAATTATTTCTATTAAAACCCTGCTTTGCACAAGTTATCTTCCCCTCTCTCTGTGTGTGTCTCTCTCTCTCACACACACACATACTGCACATACACACACACACACACACCCCCCAAACACTTTCAATAACTCACTACTGAAAGCATCCAACAACCTAACTCAGGGACCTTCCTTTCAGGAAATTCTTCATTCCTGTCAAGATGGTTTACTTATTATCTCCAACTGTTCTTCTGTGCCTACTTTTGTTCACAGTCTAGAGGCTCTCAGCCCTTTCCACCAAAGCCTCCCTTAGTGACAGAGGAGGGTGGCTGTAGTACCCAGCCAAAGATGCTGCTTTCAAGTCTTGTGTTTTATATCAAGAAGCCATATGCATTTTGCATTGCTATCACCTAATATATCCATGTTTGTCATAATACCTAAACCTTTTAAATTATAGCCATCCAGTTAGATTGAACGGGCCCAATCTCCAGGGTGAGAGAGATGCGTCGGGTTAAGTCTTTGTGAACCCTCTAGCTCTCACCATGGGGCACAATTCCCCCAGACACCCCCTTTTACTCCCCGTCACTGCTGTCAGTCCCATTCCATAATCTTCTCCCAGGCCTCAGTGAAGTCCTTCCTTTCTATCCTTGACTATTTCTGGCAGCAGTCACTGTCTCCTCGGAGGCCCTGGAGTCCATTCTGCTAGTCCACCATGCTGTAGCTTGAACCACTGAGCAGCTTTCAAGAACAATTTTGTCCCCCCAAATAAAAGGCAGCCTCCTTGAAACAAGGATCCTCTGTTAGACCAGTGTTTATCCCGCCAGGTGCAGCAAGCAGCTCTGGACACAAACAGCTCTCAACACTGTAATCTACAACACTCATCTGCTCGAAAGCGCCTCTTTCACATTTTCATTTCATATGGATTTTTTTGTCTGTTTTTTTCCTCTTTACGTCCTGGACCTCACGGTGGCATCCTCTTCTCCTTTCTCAGGTTTAAGTGAACTAAACACTGAGTTATCTCTCAAAACTGGGAGTTTTTCTGATGCTGTGCTTCCAACACAACAATACAAAAGAGAAATAAGAGTAGTAAACATGGGGGTGGGAGGAAGGGCAAAAATAATGGCTACTTTATTTTTCCTTTCTTTTCTTTCAGCATTTCATCAAGACGAAGCTCCGTGCTCAGCATTTCATTTGCTTTGTTTCATGATAGTATCAATTGGGAATATTTCACTGATGTGAAGTGGAACAGTCTAGAAAAGTACACAGGCAACCCTCAACTCCCCTGCAACCCACCTCCTTTGCCTACCTGTCCACTCTCATTTAATGTCTTAATAATAACCCCACCATATGGGAAAAATGAAGGCGGGGAAGTCATGAAAAGAGAGGCTTTGAAACAAAAGGTTAAAATGAGATGAGGTTCAGACATTAGCGAGGTCCCCATTAACCCAGGTGATTGGAGGGGATGCAGAAAGGATGTGTCAGCTGAACCACAGAATGTTATTATAGCTCTTTCTCTCTCAGCAGGCATCCACCGTACCACACACACACACACACACACACACACACACACACACACCACCTCCTTTCCCCTGACTCCTCTCCCCAGCCTTTTTCTGAGGCTGAAAATTACAAGAATCATCCAGCCTTATGGTGTCAATTACGTTGGCCAGCATTCTTTTAATATGTCACTGCCCAGTGCACTGATAAGTTTAAATATAATTAGGGAGTGTTTTAGTCCATTACGGTTTCTATAAAAAAAACCATAGATTTGGTGGCTTATAAAAAACAAATTAATTTCTCACAGTTCTAGAGGCTGTGAAGTCCAAGATCCAGGCACCGACAGATTGTCTGGAAAAGGCCCATTTCCTGGTGCATAAATGGTGCCCTCTCGCTGTGTTCTCACATGGTGGACAAAGTGAATGAGCTCCCTTGGGCCTATTTTATAAGGACACTAATCCCATTCATGAGGATGCTGTCTTCATGACCTAATTACCTCTCAAAAGGCCGACCTCCTAATATCATCACCTTGGGGGTTAGGATTTCAACACATGAATTTTTGAGGGATGCAAGCATTCAGACCGTAACAAGGAGAGAGGGAGATTATATAATCAGTGGGGCATGGCCTGCTGGGTCCAGGTAAGAATAGACATTTCCAGACAGTTATTGTGGCCATGTTCTGGTTGCCATAGTGCTGACATTGAGGACCCAAATGCATATGCACTAAATTAAGTAATTACACATCAAATGTTTGTTCTTTTGCCCTCTTGTTGATTGGCTGAATGGTTTTTTATAAGTGTGAATCCTGAGAAGGCTTATATTTCATTCTGCTTATGCAATGGGTTCCAGTCCATTAATGGCAAGTCCATTTTAGCAGCAACTTCTTCACAATTAAGGCAAATTTCCATTAAAATTTGTTTACAACAATTGTCAAAAGAGAGACAGAGTTGTGTTCCTTTAGGTAGATCATCTGATTTTCTTAAAGCCTGGTGCTGATTTCTTTTAGGCCAAGTAAGAGTGTGCCAACTTGCAGGACTAGTCAATGTTAACACAAAAGCTTCATATAGACAATATATGCTACCTATCAGCAGAGCATCTAAGTGCTTAGCAAGGATAAGAAGAAAAAAGGATAAACTTCTCTTGGGACTGTGGTCTATTAGCGTGTCAAGCAAATTCTTAATTTGAAGAGCAATTCTGCAGAAATGAACAGAAAGTCCTCTCTAAACATTTTAATAAGAATAACCCCCCGAGCCAATATGCAATTGAGTGCATTACTTTCTAGTAATTTCATTTATACAACAGCTCCACAAGCTGTTTCTTTCTCCATATTCAGATAACCCTAGCCTCTAGGGTGACTGTAAAAGTGATATTTTAATAATGTGCCACATCTGTGATCAGAAATCCATGGTGAAACGCTCTCATGATCATATGCTAACAGCCTCAGATAACTATTTTCCAGATTTAGGCAGGACTGGTTTGATGCTTGTGGTAACTTTCATTGCCACATTTTTCAATATCGTCTGCAAGAAATCATTGCTAAAGATGAGCCCGTAGAATGGGATCCAGCCTTTATTTCAGCTGCGAAGACTTGCCATCTTCCATGGAACTTATAGATCAGCTCTGTTCAATAGGAGTATAATGTGAGCTGAATATGTTATTTAAATTTTTCTAGTAGCCACATTAAAAGTATAAAGACGTGAAATTAAGCCTAACAGTATATTTTATTTAACGCACTATATCTACAAGATTACCATTTCAATATGTAATCAGTGTAAAGCATTATTAATGAGATGTTTTGCATTCCTTTTTCTTTGTATTAACTCTTCAAACTCCGGTGTGCAATTTACATTTACAGCACGTCTCAGTTCAGAGGAGCTACACTTCAAGGGCTCAGGAGCCACACTGACTACGAACTACTGCATTGGGTAGTACAGCTACAGAGCAAAAATCTTCTGAAAAGGTGGTCAACAAACCCCGGATGAAGAACATCTTAACAAGAATGTGAATTTCCAGGCCCTATCCTTGACCTACCAAATCATACCTCTGGGGGTAGCACTAAGGAACTTTCATGTTTTAAGACAGGTTCTGTAGAGGATGCTTTGCTTACTAAAATTTAAGAACATTTCTTAGACTCCCTGTCCCAAATTTGCTTATAGCCCTATAGCCATCACCACCACACCCACCATAAACCCCACCACACGGTCATATAGGTAAGTAGGCACAATTACATAACCCAGTCTGTTCTTTCATACACTCATCAAATATTTTTTTGAGTGCTCATTGTATGCCCGGCCTAACAATATAGGCAAAGCTCCTGCCCTTTGGAAGCTTATATTCTAACGGACAAGGCAAACTGAACAAATAAAGGGGTAAATAAATGATCTAATTTCAGGTGGCAGCGAGTATAAAGAAGTGACACGTGGGTAGGAGGCCGGGGTGGAGGAGGGAGCGTGGAGGAGGAAGGGCCTAGGTGTAGGTGTGGTGGTCAGGGAAGGCTCTGGAGGAGGTGGGTGCTGGGAGACACTGAGTAAAAGGAGGGAGAGGCCCCACTGCATGAGAGAGACCAGTGCATTAGGAAGCCCCATGGTGGGAGCAGCTCCCAGGGCAATGTGGCTGGAACTGAGTGAACGAGCAAGCGAAAGGAGGAGTTGGGAGAGGGGGCAGGGACATATCCGATGGCACAGAGCCTGCATGGCCACGCCAAGGTGTGTGGGAATTATTCCAAGAGCAGCGAGAATTATCTGGGGGATTTTAAGCAAGTGCGTGTAGCATTAACATCTGATGGGCTGGGCACGGTGGCTCATGCCTGTAATCCCAGCACTTTGGGAGGCCAAGGCCGGAGGATCACTTGAGCCCAGGAGTTCAAGAGCAGCCTGGGCAACATAGTGAGGCTTCATCTGTATTAAAAATTAAACAACAACAACAAAAAATTAGCCAGGTATGGTGGTGCCAGTAGTCCCAGCTACTTGGGAGGCTGAGATGGGAGGATTGCTTGAGCCCAGGTGATGGAGGCCGCAGTGAGATGTGATCATGCCATGGCACTCCAGTCTGGGCAACAGAGCAGGAACCTGTCTCAAAAAAAAAAATAAAAAAATAAAATAAATCTGACAGAGGTGGCTATGGAGACTGTCCAGGAGAGAGAATGGTGGGCCCAGGTGACAGGGATAGCAGTGGAGATGGTGAGATGTGGCAGAGGTGGGTTGGCCGTTAAAGGTGGAGCTGATGGAGCTTGGGGATGATTGACTGTGGGTGGGAGGGCGGAAAGGAATGGAGGAAGGTTCCTTTGTTTGGGGCCTGAGTGACCACCAATGGGACAGTTATTGAGATGATGCTATGGCCTGAATGTTGGTGTCCCCCCAAAATTCAAGTTGAAATCGAATCCTCAATGTGATGAGATTAAGAGGTAAGGCCTTTAGGAAGTGATTAGGTCATGAAGGTGGAGCCCTCATGAGTGGTATTAGTGCCTGCGATAGTTTGTAAGTTTCCCCCCTCTAAATCTCAAGTTGAAAGTTAATCCCTAGTGTGGCAGTGTTGGAGGTGGGGTATCGTTGGAGGTGTTTGGGTCATGGAGGCAGGTCGCTCATCAATAGATTAATGTCCTCCCTCAGGAGTCAGTGAGCTCTCACTCTATTAGTTTCCCCAGTGCTGGTTGTTAAAAAGAGCCTGGCATCTCTCCCCTCTCTCTCTCGCTTCTGCCCTCAACACGTGATATCTGCACGTGCCAGCTCTCCTTCGTCTTCCCCCATGACTGGAAGCGACATGAGGCTGTCACCAGATGCAGATGCCCAATCTTGAACTTTCCAGCCACCCAGAATAGTGAGCCACATAAAGATTTTTTTTTTTTAAATAGAGACAAGGTCTTGCCCCGTTACCCGGGTTGGAGTGCAGTGGCTCAATCATAACTCACTGCAGCCTTGAACTCCACCCACCTCAGCCTCTCAAGTGGCCGGGACTACAAGCACACTTTACAACACACAGCTAATTTTTTAAAATTTTAGTAGAGATGGGGTAGATGGGGTCTCACTATCTTGCCTAGGCTGGTCTTGAACTCCTGGCCTCAAACAATCCTGCTGTTTTGGCCTCCTAAAGGATTAGGGTTACAGGATAAGCCTCCATGCCTGGCCACTTTTTAAAATAAAATAAATTACTCAACCTCAGATGTTCCTTTTAGCAACACAAAATGGACTAAGATAGTGACCTTATTAAAAAAAAAAAAAAGAGAGAGAGAGAGAAAGAAAGAAACAAAAAAAAGCCCAAGGAGCTTCTCGTCCTCTCCTTCCACTGTGTAAGGCGGTAGCGATAAGGCACTGTCTATAAACTGGAAAGCAGGACCTCATTAGACACCGAATCTGCCAGAAACTTGATCTTGGATTTCCAGCCTCTAGAACTGTGAGAAGTAAAGTTTTGTTGTTCAAAAGCCCCCAGTTATGGTGTTTTGTTATAGCAGCCTGAGCTGACTACGAGGAAGACAGATGAGGAAAGCATAGGGTAGGGATAATTGTAAAAACCCAGTTGCACAGATTATCTCTTTGCAACCAGGGAGAATCTCAGTATGAATAATCCTATTTTAGTCTAAATGGAGAGGAGGGAGGAGTTCACTTGTATGTCTCAGCTTCATCTGTTCTTTCACTGTGCCCTTTCCCACAGGAGATAGAAAAATGGTTAATGGTGGCTCACGTCTGTAATCCCAGCACTTTGGGAGGCTGAGGTGGGCGGATCACTTGAGGTCAGGAGTTCAAGACCAGCCTGGCCAACATGGCAAAACCTCGTCTCTACTAAAAATACAAAAATTAGCCAGGCGTGGCAGTGTGTGTCTGTAATCCCAGCTACTTGGAGTTGAGGCACAAGAATTACTTGAACCTGGGAGGCAGAGGCTGCAGTGAGCCAGTGAGCAGAGATCAAGCCACTGCACTCCAGCCTGGGTAACAGAGCCAGACCCTGTCTCAAAAAAAAAAAGAAATTTCTCTGTCTGCCAGGAGGTGGAGGAAACCACAGCCTCCTTTCTTCCCAGGTGGTCATACGTATGAATTCACTCACACACACACACTGCTGCTGCCCAAAAACCTCAGCATCACAACCATTCAGCTTCTTTTGACTCAGTGACGTAGGCAGAATCCCAAAATAACCCCCCCGTGACCCACACTTCTGCAGAATCCCCTTCCGTGGAGTGCAGGCAGAACCTGGTTGCAATTTCACTCCTTTCACTAAGTTATGTTATACGGTAAACATGAAGGGACTTTGCAGATGTAATTAAGATCTCTAATCAGTTGACTTAAAGCTCACTTGGGCCTGGCCTAATCAGATAGGCCTTTAAAAAAGGGTCTAAAGTTCACTTAAAAAAAATATGCTAATCATGTTCTCCTATTGGCCTTAAAGACATAAATGGCCATGTTGTAGAGAAACCTGTGCCAGAGAAAAGGCTTCTAGAGACTGAAGACTGTAGGCTTTAGTCTTCCAACTGGAAAGAACTGAATTCTGCCAACAACCAGTGAGCTTGGAAGAGAATCCTGAGCTTCAGCTGAGATCACAGCTTTGGTTGCCCTCTGATTACAGCCTAGTAAGACCTCTGACCCAGAAAAACTGTCAGATAATAAATTTATATTGTTTTGAGTCCCTACATTTGCAAGAATTTGCTATGCAGGAATTGAAAACTAGTGTAATAAAATAATAATAATGGCTTTTATTGAGCACTTATATTGTGCTAAACCTTTTCAATTGCTTTACCTCATTATTCCTCACAACCCCATGAGTTTGGCACTATTATTATCCCAATGTAACACATGCAAAATTGAGGCTTAGGGAGAAGTCACAGAACTGATGGTGGGATACAGCAGGCACTCTGAAGACAGGGAGTTTGAGCATTACACAATGCTGTCTTCAATTAGAAGCTGTCCCTCATCAGAAGCTGTGCACCTGAGACTCCTCTTCATAATTATGAAGGCTGCTCTCCCCTCCCCTTAATGCCTTAGACATGCACTCTGGCCCCAGGCCCCAAGTAGTGCCTCTGATGGGCCATTGCATCATTTCCTCTCCCCACCTTCTGGAAGCCCCACAGTCAGCTTGGACAGCATGACCTCTGAAAGCTAAGATGTCCCCAGGGTCCACTGGGCATATTATAACCTAGCTCACACGTCGGGTGTCTGATTTACTTTAGTTTTCCCAGGATCATCCCAGTTGTAAAACTGAAAGCCCAAAGAGAGTTTGGTGAATGGGTACAAATACACAGTTCAATAGGAGTAAGTTCCAATGTCTGACAGCCGGGTTGGGTGACTGTAGCTAACAAAATGGACTGTCTATTTCAAAATAGCTGGAACTGAGAACTTGAAATGTTCTCAACACATAGAAATGATAATCAAGGTGATGAAGACCCTAAATGCCCTGACTTCATCATTACACAATCCACACACATAATAAAGTATCACATGCACCCCACAAATACCTACAAATATGTGTATCAATAAAAATAATTTTTAAAAAACCGAAAGGACCACATCCCAGGAAAACTCCTCAATGCCAGGCCAATCAGGATTATTGATCACCTGACCACCTTCCAAACCAAGCCCAGGCATGAGAAGGCCTGGGGGCCACTTCCATCCTGCAATGTCCCATGCCTTCCCTATCAGCAAGAAGAAAAGAAAAGCCCAGCTTGGATGGTAGAGCACTGCTCTTTAGAGAGCACTCAGAGCAGAAGCAACTATCCTGAAGCAGTCAATGCCAAGGAGCTCCTGCTGGATGAGGTCTGGCAGTGCAAGCCAGGAGGGGCTTCAGCCTGGACCATCAGACAGGCCTGGAAAGCAAGGCTCATTCAGGCCCTCTCCCTTGAATTGAGAGATCCTCTTGCCTGAGCATCATACATGAGGCACATGGATTCAGGCCTCAGACCACGCCAGACTCCACATTCCATCATCTCTGCTGCCCAAGCAGGCAACTGGAGGAGAGCTGGGGGAGGCTTCACATCCTTCCTAGGATTGTGACTGTCATGATACTCATCTGGGGAATAACACAGACCCACCTATTACTGTCCAGCTCGATTGAGAGTTCAATCCTGATGAATGGCTCCCCTATAAGAGCTGGCTTCTCTGTTGGGGATCCTGGAATCTTGACTACACCCCGCCATCTTCCAAGCTGTGCTGTTTCTGCCAAGTGGCACCTGTCATGACAGTGGCTGGATCACTGTCACTATGAACTGAGTGACCAGTGGGACATTTACTGAGATGGTGCTATGGTCTGAGTGTTTGCACTCTCCCCAAATTCACATGTTGAAATCAAATCCCCAGTGTGATGGCATTAGGTGGTAGGGCCTTTGGGAAGAGGCCCATATTGTGGGACAAATCTGTCCACACTGTGGGAAATGGCTCAACACACATACTTCATTAAATACAGCCAGTTAGCGATTCATAAACTCATTCATTCATTTATTCATTGGTTTGCCAATATTTGGGGGCACGTATGACGGTCCTCGCATTATCTTAGGTTCCCACAGGGAATTACAGAACATTTTAAACTGTATAACATGGAAGTGCTGGGCACGATGCTAGTATATGAAGATACCAACCTAATTCACATGGCTGTGTGAAGAGGGATGGATGTCATAAAAGATCTTCAAGTAATTTTTCCAGAAGCCAGATGTGTATTTTTTTTAATTTGAGATGGAGTCTCACTCTGTTGCCCAAGCTGGAGTGCAGTGGCATGATCTTGGCTCACTGCAACCTCTACCTCCCGGGTTCAAGCAATTCTCCTGCCTCAACCTCCCAAGTAGCTGGGATTATAAGCATCCACCAGCATACCTGGCTAATTTTTGTATTTTTAGTACAGACAGGCTTTCACCATATTGGCCAGGCTGGTCTTAATTCCTGACCTCAAGTGATCCACCTGCCTCGGCCTCCCAAAGTGCTGGGATTACAGGTATGAGCCACCACACCTGGCCAGGATGTGTATTTTTAATATTATCATTTAGTTTGAGGAAAACAAACTAGTCGTTTGTGGGTATAGAGATAAATCCCCCAAAAGCCATTAACAAAACCCCTCAACTATCAGCTTAAAACATGTCTCTGCATTTTATTTTAAGAAAACACAAACCTGGTCACAAAACATCTTCAGAGAACAGGATAAGTGAAGAAACAAACAAAATGCATGGGAATAGCAAATTTGGGGCCACGGTCATGTTCAAGGGGCGGAGCTGACATGACATCATTTTGTTCCCGGAAAAGCAAGGTTAACTCAAGCTGTGAAGCCCAGATGGCCAATAGATTTACAGCCATCTAAAGAAGAGCAGAATGCTCTCAAGAGCTGAATTATGATGACTTGTAGGTATTGATTAGATGAGAACACCAACCCCATATTCAGCAGAGAGTTAGGGAATGAGAAGTAGAGGGGAGATGGTGGTGGAGATCGTCTTTATGTAGTTTTCAAAGTCACTTCCGAAAAAGAAGATGAGGTAATAGTTGAATATGCCAGCAACGGACATGAGGAACAGGAAGAGTATGATGCGTTTCCCAAATATGTAGCCAGGGGTGCTGGAAGAGAAGGAAAAAGAAAACTGTAGATGCAGTGCGAATGACACCAATTTCACACACACAAAAATGTTACCCCTTTTAGATATATGGGGTTTAAATTATAGCTCCCTGGACTCAACAATGCTCCATTTTCCCATTTACTTCATTTGAAGGGTAGAAGTGTCTCAGCTATTACTAGTCATTGAACTTATTTCAAACCCAAGTGAAGAGAGCCTAGACCTCAAAACCCATTACCACGAGGGCTCTGCTGTACCCGCCCCTCTGTGCTCTCATGATTTCCTTAACTCCAGAGCTCCTTGATGGCCTGAAGATGGCAGGTTCTGTTGACCATTGGGCATCCTCACTGAGCATTAGGACCATTAAGACCCTCTCTGCAGCTGCCCATAACGACAGACACGTGTGTAATGCAGGACTGTGTTAGAAGTGAAGTTTAAATGAGCCGATAAAACCGGTGGAATCTGAAAGGTGCTTCGGCATCTGAGGGCTCATTCTATTCTCCTGAGGCTGACTGGAATAATTCATATCTACATTCATGAGACCTGGGCACCCAGCAATGGGAGACAGGCCCTTGCATTTTTGAGTGGAGGGAGAGACTTGGTTTTTGTTGTTATTGTTGTTGTTTGTTTCTTTGTTTTTGAGATAGAGTCTCACTCTGTAGCCCAAGCTGGAGTGCAGTGGTGCAATCTCGGCTCACTGCAACCTCAGTCTTCTGGGCTTAAGTGATTCTCATGCCTCAGCCTCCCAAGTAGCTGCAACTACAGGCGCACGCCACCACTCCCAGCTAACTTTTTGTATTTTAGTAGAGATGAGGTTTCGTCATGTTAGCCAGGCTGGTCTTGAACTCCTGAGCTCAGGCAATCCACTCACCTCGGCCTCCCAAAGTGCTGGGATTATAGGCGTAAACCACCATGCCTAGCGGAGACATGTTTTAATATACTCTATCCTTCTCTCCAAGGCACTAAATCCTAAACTGCATCCCCCAGTGAGATGTGACCTCCTAATGGCATGCAGAGGCCACCCTGTTTCTGCCCTCCCTCTGCAGAGCCCTCCTCTGACTGCCTCCATGGCTGGCCCATCTGAGAGGTGATAACAGGTTGGGAAAGTCCAAATGACTCAGGAGGATTGTTAGTAAAGATCCTGGGAAGGCATCTTTAGGCAATCAGGACCGCACAACAAGATGAGCCAGCTCAGCCCAACAGCTAACTTCGTACTGCCAAGTGCCGTTTCCTGCCATAATCAGAGAGCAGCATTTGGCATCCACAGGTTTAATATTAGAAATTTTATCAATTTGAAAGGCACCCCATATGCTGATAATATAACTCATAATTTTTCTTTTTCTTTTCTTTTTTTTTTTTTGAGACTGAGTCAAGCTCTATTGCCCAGCTGGAGTGCAGTGGCACGATCTCAGATCACTGCAACCTCTGCCTCCCGGGTTCAAGCGATTCTCCTGCCTCAGCCTCCTGAGTAGCTGGGATTACAGGCACCTGCCACCACACCTGGCTAATTTTTGTATTTTTGGTAGAGATGGTGTTTCACCATGTTGGCCAGGCTGGTCTCGAACTCCTGACCTCAGGTGATCTGCCCACCTCGGCCTCCCAAAGTGCTGGGATTACAGGCGTGAGCCACCACGCCCAGCCAACTCATAATTTTTCTACAGCAGGAGTCTGAAAGTCACTCAGCCATTATGTATCAAGCTCCTTGCTACTCAAAGTATGGTCCGTGGACCAGCAGCATCAGCCCCCACACTGGAAACTTGTCAGAAATGGGAAATCTCAGGTCCCTCTGGAACCTAATGAATCAGAATCTGCATTTTAACAAGCTCCCTGTGGGACCCACTCACATCAGAAAAGCACTGCTAGCTGACACCAGCCCTGTTCCTTGGCCAGCTTCATTCTCTCCCTGTTTTCCTGTTCACAGTCATGTTCATGAGATAAGACATCCTAACTAGCTCCTTAAGGGGGAAAATAAACATCCCAAAAGAGGGTGTTGTGGGCTGAATTAGGTCCCTTCCAAAATTCATATGTTGAATCTTTACTCTCAGTTCCTCAGAATGGGACTGTATTTGGAGACAGGGTGTTTAAAGAGATAATTAAGGTAAAATGAACTCATATGGGTGGATCCTCATCCAGTATGACTGGGGTCTTATAAGAAGGGGAGATTTGGACACAGACATGCTCAGTGAGGTGATGATGTGAAGACACAGGTAGAAGGTGGCACTCTATAAGCCAAGGAGAGAGGCTGCAGGAGAAACCGACCCTGCCCACACTTTGATCTTGGACTTCTAGCCTCTAGGACTGTGAGAGAATAAATTCTGTGGTTTGAGCCCCCCAGGCTGCAGTGCTTTGTTATGGCAGCGCCAGCAGATGAGTACAGAGTCCCCTGCTAGTGCTGGTAAGGGAATTGAAAATAAAATAAAGAAGTCCAAGTAAGGGATATTTTTTAGCCAGAGAATAGAGGGTTCAGATAAATTAAATTGTGAAAAGTCAAATATCGTGGTGGCTCAGATTTATCACACGAATGAGGCCACCATATGCTCATTACAGAAACAAGAAAAAGTGATTTGCGAAGCTGTTTTACACTCAAGATAAAACCGAAGTGAAAAATGAAATGGCAGCGCCTCCTGATGAAATAGTGATGCTCTTCAATTCAGGTAGGATTTTTTCCAAGGTCTCAGGGCATGTGGCCCTCGCAGCATAGGACTAGGGTGCTTTAACTCTTCCCAGGCTGTGCACAGGGTGTGGAAGATAAGAGCTCAGCCTCCTGCTCCCTTGTCTGCAGGGCTCAGGGAATGTGACCCCAGGCCGGGCACATCATTAGCTGCACCTTTAAGTCTCTGAAGTTTGGAAATGGGGCCACAGCTGTGGCAAGTGAGCATGGTGGGCAGATACCGAACCTGACCCAGGCTCAGCAAAGCTGCGGAGAACCTGAAATGCTGTGAGCAGGGAAGGAAGACCTTGGGGGCCTAGACAGCGCACACCAGGGTCATTAGCCCTTGAACAAGGAGGACATCTCTTTCATGTTTCTATTTTTTTTTTATACCAACCACAGAAGACTCACTAATCTTTCATTGTTTCTAAAAGTTGGTACATAATCCTAAATGAGTGAGGAAGGTCAGAATTAAATTATTAAGCATCTTTCGGGGCCAGGTATTGTACACCCATGACTTCCTTTAATTCTCACAGCCATCCTATGGGGGCGTATTGTAAACCTATTTTCCATCTAGGCAAACAGAAAAGAGAGGTTGCATGATTTGCCTCAGGTCCCACAGCCAGCAAGAGGCAACACAGGAGTTCAGACCTGCCTGTGTGAGGCCAGAATCCCGTGCTTTGCACTGCAGGGCAAAGGATGCCTTCAGACTTCGGAGACCAGGATTTGGTTATTAGTTTTGAAACAGCTGTGCCCTCCACAGGCAGCATAAAACTTACATGAAAACACAAAAGCATCCTGCTAAATAATTCCCATCTCAAAGGTGCTAACCACTTCTAGGATGAGGCGCCGTAGTGTGGGAGATGGGGGCGCCCAGGCATCCAGAGCCCTGAGTTCCACCCAGGCATCGTGGGTGGCTCATGCCTATAATCCCAGCACTTTGGGAGACTGAGGCTGGCAGATTGCTTGAGTTCAGGAGTTCGAGACCACCCCAGCTCAGCTCTCTGTGGCCCCCCGCCAGTCACCCCCCCTCCTCCACTTCCCACCCCAGGTTCTTAATGTGAACAAAATACGAGGTAGGAACAGAAAACATTACAGTCCCTTCTTGTTTTAAAAATCTGTTCTTTTCAGAATTTAGGGAAGTGTCATTTTAAGCCTGGTGACCTCTAAAGAAAATAAAAATTGTAAGCTCTGTGAGGACAAGATATTTCTCCTCTGCCCACCCACAAATCTCCAATAAATAAGGACCTCTGCAAATATTTCTGAAATGAATGAATCATTTCTCAGAAAAGAGAAGTGAACAGCCTTCAGCGATTCCCAAACTCCAGTGTGTGTAAGAATCACCTAAAGAATGTGTTATCTGAGAATGCAGAATCATCTGAGAATGCAAATTCTCAGGCTTCCTCTGGCAGAGATTCTGATTCATAAGTCTGGGATGGGGCCCAGGAATCTGTATCTTTAATAAGCACCACAGATGATTCTAATACTGTTGTTTGGTGGGTTTCGCTTTTAGAAACAGCAGCCTTGATATCCATCTATGCTCCCCGGCCTTCCAAAAGAAGAATGTTTCTCCTCAAACTCTGGTGAAGTAACACCATACTCCACACTTGGAGGGGCCCACAGACTCTAAAACATTGATGCTGAGGAGGAGAAATGACAACGAGGAATCAGTCTTCTTGCTTTTTGAGAACTAGGTCTATGATTATTTTGGTAAGTTGAATATATTTGGTCTTGCAATGTGCCCCTGGCTCTAGGAGACACCTTGGGTCTCCTTGGGGACAAAGACTCCGTCATGTTCACTGTTACTCCTTCAGCAACTGACCTGGTACCTGGCACAGAGCAGGTAGCAAATATCTACTGAATCAATGTTGAGTGAATGAGGAGTGAGTGAGCAACTCAGGAGGAGGAGGAGTGGGGTAACCTGAGTTCATTGGCCTCAAGAGTTGGCAGTCATTGCCCACCCACCATTGAGCTGAGAACTTCATATTGCCAAGAGGATCAGTAGGAGCCCCAACAGAGGACAGGACTCCATGGGATAGGAAGAGGGAGCAACCCAGTGCCTGCTAGGGAAGGTAGGTAATAAAAGACCAAGAGTCAGTTGCCAGTTGGTGCCAGGTGCCATTGAGTTCAGGCCCAGGTAATAGCTTAAATGAATGGGGAAGAAACCAAGATTCAGGCTGGGCATCATGGGTGGCTTATGCCTATACTCCCAGTACTTTGGGAGGCCGGGGATGGCAGATTGCTTGAGTTCAGCAGTTCGAGACCAGCCTGGCCAACATAGCTAAACCCTATCTCTACTAAAAATACAAAAAATTAGCTGGGTGTGGTAGTGCACACCTGTAGTCTCAGCTACTCAAGAGGCTGAGGTATAAGAATCACTTGAACCTGGGAAGAGGTGGAGGTTGCAGTGAGCCAAGATCAGGCCACTGCACTCCAGTTTGGGTGACAGAGCAAGACTATGTAAGGTGAGGTGAGATGAGGTGATGTGAAGGGAGGGAAGGGAAGGGAAGGGGAAAAGAGAAGAGAAAAAAGAAAAGAAGAGAAAAGAAACGAAACCAAGATTCATCCTTCACTGCTGGGTAGTAACTGCTACAGGTGAACTAAACAGGATAGAGGAAGGGGTCAGAGAGAGTAGGATGAAGGGCTGAAAATAAGAGCCAGAAACTTCTAGAGGGCATTAAAAAGGGAGCTGCAAAATCCTCGCAGGGCAGCCTGAAGCCTGAAGGAAGAAGCTCAGACTGGGGCATTCATTATGGAATGTCTTCCCTACCCACTGGATCAAGGATGACACTGAACTTCCTAAGCGGACAGGGCTGGAGCAACTTCTGGAAAGGGGCAACGGACCATCTGGGGTTCAAGAGAGAAATTCCGGGGGAAGGATCTCATCTAGCAATTCCTCCTCGGTTGGTGAGGTCAAGAACTAAAGCAGGTCCCAAGAGCATTAGGTGTCTGCAGAGTCCAAGTGTGACATAGCCCAGGAACAGAAGAGAGGCCTGGGGAGGAGATGGGCCCAACTGAAGAAGATCTCAGCAAGTAGCTTCTAGACGGCAGGGTTGAAAATCTCCTTGCATTTAACCATAAAGCCCCTCTGGCTTGCATCTATATCAGGCCGTATTTTGGTCTAGATTAGGCTTAGACATTTCTTCTAGTATCTATTACTTCTACTTATGACAGCTGCTCAGAGTGGTTGTGTTAAGCAGTATCTGTGTTAAGAAGGATTCCGAGGCCAGGTTTGGTCTCTGGAAGAAAGAGCACCATGATTCATCAGTAATGCCTACCACGGCCAGAGGGGAGGAGAAGGGGGTCTAGAACCCGCGCAGATGGCGGGTTATGGGGCTGGCAGGATCTTCTTCTTATCACCTAAAGAGGGAGACCAGGGAGGGACACAAGAAGGCAGGCCATTTATATTTCAATGAGGTCCGAAGAAATCTACTATTTTAAAGATTTCTTGTAAATCAATCTCCTATTGTTTATTTTTGCCACCTCTGTTCATTCCCTAATAGGAATCAGTTAGTAAAGCCTTTAAAGTTAAAAGGACATGTGGGTAGGTGGACAAATTTTGTCATGTTCTGCAGATGGTCTCGGAATTAAAGCAGCTGTAGGATCTCAAGCAAGTGGTGACAGATGAAGAGAGGAGCAGTGACTGAGCCACATCCCTGGGACTTTGCAGGGGGTAAGATAGGGCTGCATAGGGAGCCAGGCAAAAGAGAAGACCCTCTTATTTCATTGCTAGACATTCCACCCCCACTCTTAACGAGGTAATCACATGGGAAAAGGCATGATAGAGGTTTTCCAGGGCAAAAGAGAATAAAGAATATCATTTAGGGCAGTGTTGATAAGAATAGGAGAGATAATGGAATTGTGGTTTTAGAGGATAAATAAGAATGCCACTAGAGAGGAATGAAGAAAGAGATGGCACAGGGAAGGATCTGCTGAAAGAACAGTCATTCTTTTTCCAGCTGCAGCCCGGCTCACGGTCTAACCCCGTCAAGTCCTTGAGCTTCACAGGCTCTCAGGTTTTCCAGATATAGCGCTTTCACCCGCTGACCTCCCTAGGATGTCACTGCCTTTATCACTACTGAAGGATGCTATCTAATCATAGAGCCCATTAGCCACTAGAGAGGGGTGCTATTGTAAAAGACAGAGCGGCTGTGAACACAAGGAAGGAAAATGGTGTGGAAGGCTGGGGTCAGCACCTGGGGCAGCAGCCTCACAGAACGTGTTCCTGGCACCTGAAACCATACTAGTGCATTAGGAATTGCAATCTCTAAGGAACTGACGGCATACTCTAACGCCGACATTTCTTCTGTAAGTATTAGCATGTATTTTACTAAAATCTAGATTTCCTAGTCCAGATGTCAGGAAGGTACTGTGCTGCTTTGGGGCTTTCTGTCTGGCAACATCTATAAACAATGCAATGGTGATGCTAGTCAGTTTCACAGTCTCGTGTCTGCATCTTTTTTTTTTTTTTTTTTTTTTTTTTTGAGATGGAGTTTTGCTTTTGTTGCCCAGGCTGGAGTGCAGTGGCGCAATCTCGGCTCACTGCAACCTCTGCCTCCTGGGTTCAAGCGATTCTCCAGCCTCAGCCTATGGAGTAGCTGGGATTACAGGCGCCCACCACCATGCCTGGCTAATGTTTTGTATATTTTTTAGTAGAGACGGGGTTTCACCATGTTGGCCAGGCTGGTCTCAAACTCCTGACCTCAGGTGATCCACCCACCTCAGCCTCCCAAAGTGCTGGGATTATAGGCGTGAGCCGCTGCACCCTGCTGTCATGTCTGCATCTTACTGCATCTTATTTTCCCAACATTCTTTCTTCTGGTCCCTGAAAGATATGTTCCTCAGGACAACTTATCACAAGGTGCAAGCTTTAGTTCTCATTTCTCTAGACAAACAATGAAACATTTCACTCTCAGGAGGCCTGGGAACCCAGACCTAAAATGTCATTCCAGCGCCAGACTCTGCAGGGCGGGAGTGCAGGGTGTGGGGCTGCAAGGCACGTGCAGCAAACAGCACTGAAGCACCCTTTGAAAGCCAGCACCATGCGGAGGAATTGCTTAATAAGAAAACTGGGCAAGTCCCCCCAGCTGTATTTTCAGAGCCTTCAAAGCTCAGGGAAAGAAGAATCAGAGGTCCTAGTCAGCCTTCCCCCTCCCACCCAAGGGGATGCTACGGAGCCGTGAATCTAGTCAAATACTGTTTTGAATTGTCACTCTTCCTGCTCAAAAATCAGGAATCGCTCCACAGTTCTTTAGTAGTCCCAGTTACCTACCTCTGCGTTCTCTCTCCTAGGTAACCGACAAAGTACTTTTGCCTCACAAACAAGTACATCAGTCCAGCAAACGCAGCAGGAACTAAGTGGAGAAATGAAAACACCTGTGTCAGTTTCGTAGCCACCAAAACATGCTGTTAGCCCAATTAGGCAATCAACATTGGTCACAAAATCTAGCAGAAGACACACGCACTTCAGGAAAAGAGCCCAAGGGCTAGAGGAAACCTGAGAACCTTCCTAATACTGGTAACGACCTTATGCCGGCATCATGGCATTGTTTACAACAAACTTGTCCAACCCGGAGCCTGCGGGTCGCACGTGGCCCAGGATGGCTTTGAATACAGCCCAACACAAATTCATAAACTTTCTTAAAAATATGAGATTTTTTTTGCAACGTTTTTTCTTTAGCTCATCAGCTATTGATAGGGTTAGTGTATTCTATGTGTGGCCCAAGACAACTCTTCTTCCAGTGTGGCTCAGGGAACCCAAAAGACTGGACACTCCTGGTTTCCAAGGTATTTGCATATCTATCATCTAACCTGAGTCCTTTCAACATAACTAGTACCCACATTTCTATTTCCAGATGTGGAAACGTGGGTTCAGGTGGTCAACCAGGCTTGCATAAGGCTGTCAGCTCGTAAAAGGGGGCAGAGGGTAGGGCTTAAACCCCAAACCCAGCTCTGAAACTGGTTCTCTTAAAAGTACACCCTTCACCCCTGAGCCTCCCCACAGCACAATGTTTAACCTTTCTTGAACTAACAGCTACCATTTAGAAGAGAAGGACATTCCCTCTGCATTCTAGCCTTTTGGGAAGGAGATTCCCTCTGCGTTCTAGCCTTTTGGGAAGGAGATTCCCTCTGCGTTCTAGCCTTTTGGGAAGGAGATTCCCTCTGCATTCTAGCTTTTTGGGAAGGAGATTCCCTCTGCATTCTAGCTTTTTGGGAAACTGCCAAGAGCAGCACCCCAATAACTCTATGAAGTCCTGAAGGCTTGGAGCTGGGAGTTAACTAAGCTGGAACTAGTGTTATCTAGAGCTACAGATATAAAAGCAATTTAAACACTTCCGCCATTGAGGGAATACTTTTCACCTGCCGCAGTGCTCCTGGCGTTTTGGGAACTTGAGTCTCCAATCCTCCCAGCTCTCTGGTAAGGAGTGTGTTACTGTCACCATTTGACAGACGAGGAAATTTAGGCTTAGGCCACAAGAGCCTAAGACAGATGAGGACATCTGTCTTTTTCCTAGATCATCTCTGAGCCTGGCATAGTGCCTGGCACATAGGGGTGTTCAAAATAATATTTGTCAAATGAATGAAAATAAGTCAGGCCAGTGAAGGCGTGGAATTTGAAGCCAGGTCTTTCTGATTTCAAAACTTTATCACCACCACCTGCATTATCAATAATAACATTTATTGCGCTTCAGATGTTAGGTGGAATCATATGAAATGCTATTTTTGTAGGTCATAAATAGCCAGATATTGGCAGTTTTACATGGCTCAATCTGATATATGCCAAGCACTGTGTCAGGAGCTTTATACATATTATTTCACTCACCATAGGAATGCTACTAGCTAGACCATGGTCCTGTTTTACAATAAGGAAACTGAGGCTTGGAAAAGCTGAGTAACTGCCTGGAGTCACACACCAGCAATGAGTGTCCTTGGATTTGCCTCCAATCAGCCACTCCCCAAAACCCATTTCTTTCCACAATTCCTCCTGCCTTCCAAAATACTATTGTTATCCGGCAGATAAGAAAATCAAAGCAAAAGAGAAACTGTGAACTCTTTTTGAGACGGAGTTTCACTCTTGTTGCCCAGGCTGGAGTGCAATGGTGCTATCTTGGTTCACCGCAACCTCCGCCTCCCAGGTTTAAGTGATTCTCCTGCCTCAGCCTCCCGAGTAGCTGGCATTACAGGCATGCACCACCACGCCCAGCTAATTTTGTATTTTTAGTAGAGACAGGGTTTCTCCATGTTGGTCAGGCTGTTGTCGAACTCCCAACCTCAAGTGACCTGCCTGCCTCGGCCTCCCAAAGTGCTGGGATTACAGGCATGAGCCACTGTGCCTGGCCCATGCTATTCTCTAAAAATCACAAAGCTGTCACAATCACGATTTGCCTTGGGCAAAGTTTTTCCTTATGTTATACCATCTGAATGATTCTGCTCCAACTTACTGGTCCATTTTTCTTTCAATGGGAACCCAATTGAACATGAGCTAACAGAGATTATGGGTGGAAAATGGCCACACTCATACCCCTGTGCAAGGAAGGTGAGTGCCTCCTGCAGGGAAGTGGGCTGCTGGCACCAGGAGGGTACAAATCCAGCCCCTAAAATTCTGATGTTCGTTCAAGCCACTTGTTCCTCTGGGACTTGAGCTTCTGCTCTATAAAGTGAGGGATTTGCACTAGAATTATCTTTGGGTTTCCTTTCTGCTAAAAAAAATTCTACAGTCTACTTTATTCCTAAGAAATGACGATTATCAACCAAGGTTACTGATGCTTTTGTCTGCTGGCAATGACAAAGCTTGTTTTGACAGGAAATACCTATTTCCAGGGCTACGAAACACCTTCAAACTCCCATTGTATTTATCTAGCTACAGCAAGTCCGCATTCATCTAGATCAAGCATCATCTAAGACATAAAAAGAACCATAACTCCTAGTAAGAGCATAGTTTGACTTGATTTTTCAAGTAATGCGAGACATGTTTCCTATTTAACTCAGGAGAGAAAATAGGAAATAAATGGTGAGCTTACTGACAGCCTTCTCAGCACAGAAGGAGTGCCACGTGGTGTCCCTTAAGTGGTTTCTGCTGCCGCCTCACCTCTGCTCTCTATCACTGAACTTGGTTCTCTTCCCATATGGCGCTTCCCACCCTTGTCATTGTCTTCATTCACTGACTTCTGTGGTCCATCTTGCCAGCTGGCCTGTGCCTCACCGCCAGGTGACCTCTAGAAGCTACTCTTTATTTATCACTGTATATCTAGGCACAGGGCTTGGCACAGAGTAGCTCTTCAATATATATTTATTATGTAAATGAATAAAGTAAGAGGATCTTTGTGAAAAATCCAGAATTTTAAGTCAAAAGACCCAGGCACTCATTCTGCCTGTGTTCTTCACCAGCTGAGTAGCTGTACCCAAGTTACTTTATCTCCCTGAGTCAAAGTATCCTGAAAGGTAATAAGGGACATAAAATCCACTCTATCTACTTTACAGAGCGGGGAGACAACAATAAGTCTTAAACAGTTCATCATGGGACTGAGTGTGGCCTTTCTGCCTGTGCCCTCCAGGGCCACAGAAGCTGGCCAGTTCATGCCGATCTGCCACCAGGCACAGTGCCAGGCGTGGCCCCGAAAGGGGACCAAAAGTATGACTGATTTCCACTCAATGTTAAATCAACTCTGGAAGTTGATTTGTCTTTCCAACTTGCTCAAGTCAAGCCTGTGGGCTGCTGATAACTGTGGGAAGGCCGGGGATGTGGCATCCAGCCCGTGGCTCAGTGGAAACATGCCTGAAGGAGGGCCACCACACTGGAAGCTTATTAGCAGAAGAGCCAAGTGACAGCGGTCCCAAAATAGATCCCTCAGGCACTCTCATTTATAATGCCCTTGTATCTGAACTAACACTGCTTAAGGATTCTGAGTCACATTTAGCCTTAAACCACCCTTGTCAGCACAGCAGCTCTCAGCCAGCCACCAGGGAGCAAGCATTAGCAATGCATTATCACACGCGCTCTGCACGGGTGCAGAGCATGCCTGAAACACGGCCTCCCGAGGGCTCTCACCTCTCCAGGGCTTCACAGATGGGAGCCAGAGGTCAGGCAAAGTCCTTTCAACAAAAAGCCTGCCCTTTGAACCTCCTTGAGATGCACTTTATAGAAGGAGAATGAACAAAGGGAAGTCTGAGTTACCTTGGCTGCAAAGTAGCCCCGCAGACCAGAGCACAGCGAGGAAAGTGGGGTACGCATCTACACAGTTCTGGCTGCAGAATAAACAAACAAGGAGAAAAACAATCAGAGACCAAGTTAGTGCAATGTGGTCTGAAAATTACCTGAAAGTTGAAGTTAATAATCACCATCGTGCATGAAACATAAATCCCATTCGTAATTCCACTTACATCTACCCAATAAGATGGGGCAGCCAGCTGCCACCTGGGAAACAAACAATGGTATAAAGCAAACACATGTTCATAATCCATTAACTCTGTTCCTACGGTGATGCGTAAGGGAGACTTGGTTTCTTGATGTATTCCTCTGGCAGGGTTCCTGTTCCTGGCGGTGCCCCTGCGCTTCTTGGAATTGAAGAGTGAGCAATGCAGACAGAGGATGTGGCCACACTGGCATGGGGGTGGTCGGGGAGAAGAGCCCAACTAAGGAAACTTTTCTATCAGATCCACAAATCAGCCCAGGTCTGCAAGCCAGGCTGAGCAAAGAAGGGTGATCTTCAAATGTTAAAGACAACAAAGTCAACTCAAAAAAGCTGGTGCTCAGAAACTTAGCTTACTAAGAGGGTGATCACTGTATGCTGGGCACAGTCCTCACTCCCTGGAGAGTTCTCACTCTACCGTGGATGTTTTGCACCCTTCCTCTCTTTTTAACTCACCATATTCCTGTGAGTTCACATGATAACTGTATGAGTTTCCTCTTGCTGCTGTAACAAGTGGCCACAAACTGAGTGGCTTAAAACAACACGCCTTGTAATCCCAGCAATTTGGGAGGCTGAGGCAGGCAGATCACAAGGTCAGGAGTTCAAGACCAGCCTGGCCAACATGGTGAAACCCTGTCTCTACTAAAAACACAAAAAATAGCCAGGTGTGGTGGCAAGCACCTGTAATCCCAGCTACTCAGGAGGCTGAGGCAGGAGAATCACTTGAACCTGGGAGGCGGAGGTTGCAGCGAGCCAAGATCACACCACTGCACTCCAGCCCAGGCAACAGAGCAAGACTCTGTCTCAAAAAAACAAAAAACACCCTTTTACTATGGTTCAGGATGTCAGAAATCCAAAATAAATCTCAAAGGGCTATAAAGTCAAGATATTAGCAGGGCTGCAATCCTTCTGGAACTTCTAGGGGAGAAACCATTTCCTTGCCTTCTCCAGCTTCTAGAGGTCACCTGTATTCCTTGACTCAGAACCTCCTTCCAACCTGAAAGTCAGGGATGGCCCATCAAATCTTTCTTATTTTGAATGACTCTGACATCTACTCTTATGCCTCCTTCTTCCACATTAAAAAGACCCTTGTGGTTACATCAGGTCCTACCCAGATCATCCAGGATAATCTCTTTATTTTAAGGCCAACTGGCTAGCTGCCTGAATTTCCCCTTGCCATGTAACATAACATATTCACAGGTTCCTAGGATTAGGATGTGGGCATGATTGGTGAGGGGGCCATTATTCTGCCTATCACAATTGCTCTCATGTTTCCAATAAGGAACTCAGGCTTGGAGAAGCTGAATAACTTGCTCAGGGTCATCCAGCTAGGGAGTGGCAAAGCCGGGATTCACACCATAATCAGTCTGTCTCCAAAGCCATGTCTGTTAACTCTTCAACTATACTAAATTAAATCATAGGTGTCCTCCTGAGAAGTCTGCAGTCCAGATCAGGACAATAAATATGCCCATCCATGAAAAACAGTGTAACTAGACTTGAGAGGCATAAAAAGGGAGGGAAATAAATACAGAGGAAAGGTCACTTGACTAGGATTAAAGTCTCCATCCTGACTTTAACCAGCTGTTCACCATTGGCAAAACAATCTCTCTGGATTTAGTTTCCTTATCTGTAAAACTGAGAGACTGATTATAATTCTGAGGTCCATGTGAATTCTCACAGTCCATGGTCGAAGGTGGCAGTTCTCCAGGCATGCTCTCGGGACCAGAGGCGGCAGCAGCATCGAGAACATGTTAGAAATGCAAATGTTCACACCCACCTCAGGCCTTCAGAATTTAAAACTCTGTGTTGGGGCCCAGAAATCTGTTTTAACAAGCCCTCCATGTGATGCTGATGCCTGCTGACGTTTGAGAACCACGGGTTTCATGTGATTATATAGGTAAAAACAAAGATGCAATTTTCAAACTGCTCATGCAAACCATTAGGGTCTCATGCCTCAGTGGTACCACTGAGAACTTGGGAATGGCCAGCCCTTCATCTGTGCCCTGCAGAGAACCCAGAGAGATCAGGTTATCTGCGCCTCACCAATGGAATCTTCGTGGTCCTCTGATGGTCAAAAGATCCTTTTCTGGAGAAGTCTATGAAGGTAACAGATGAGAAACCTACCCTGGAATCCAGGCACAACCAAAAACCAGGAACAGGACAGAAAGAGCAGACCCCTGCTGACCTTGCAAAGTGCTCTGAATCCCAGAATTTCCACTGATCTAATGGACACGGTAGGAGCTCCAAAGGGCAGGAGGCCCCTACAAATTTATCACTGGGGTGAAGTGCTTAGTGAATAAACAGGTCCCCAAGTAACAATTGCAGCAGCTACTGGGCACTGGCATCACATCTATTCTTATATGTTACTAGAGGCACAAAATTGCAGCCTCAGGACTGAGAAAATATGATTCATTTTCCAGTTCAAGAAACTTAGAGAAAAAATTCCTTTTTTGGTTATTCGAATAACATTCTGTGTCTGATGGGGTAAAATATCTGGTGCTCTTATTGTTTAAAAACTTATTAGTACCAAAGATTTCCCCTGCTTCCTTCTCTTTCTCATGTTTCGGGTCTTTGGTTTGTTTTTAAGTAGCGATTTTGTCTGGGTTATGCAAAAGGAAAAAAATTCTTAATTGTCTAAGGGATTTGCTCATTAGAAATGTGAACTGCCTAGTGATTTGACATTGGGTCCGTATTCAACCATTCCTGACTATTAGTTCAAGTCACCTTCGTTCCTAATAAAACATGGTCAGCCTGGAGTTGAATGAAATTCTCCCAGCTGTAAGAAAATGGGTTCCTCCTGTGGATTTCCAGAATATTCTCAGAGCCTTGTTCCTGGCTCTGGCTCAAGCCAGTCCCTCTCGCCATCCAGGACTTCAAGTGCAGCTTCTACCCAAAGCTGCAAGCTTATGTGCCCCTCCTGGAGAGGGGGTTGCTGCTGGGCTGAATTCAAGTGGCTTTAGCCATGACAGCTGCCCAGTGGCTGCTCGTGTAGTCTTTGAAGTTCACATGGTCTGGGCCCAATGCCATGGCTGCCTCTTATGGGCTATGTGAGTGTGGGTGCATTTCCTAGCCTCAATGAGCCTCAGTTTGCTCATCTACAAGAGGTGGATGGAGACATTAGTAATTACTTCCCTAGACTGTTGTGAGAATGAAACAAGGTGAAGTGCCACCTGGCTCACAGTAAGCATTCAATAAGTGGTGGCTATCATTGTTCCAATGTCTTCCTTCTTAACCCCCAGTGGAAATGTCTTTCCTATTGACAAATTATTATTATTCTGGATTTTCTTTTGAGAAATTTTGCGCTATTTTTTCTGCAAAACAGAACTGATGAACCCATTTTGAGTCTCATTCCTTGAGGTCTAAATAGGAGCTACTCAGCAGATCTTGCAACAATTTGCTGTGGTATGTTCAACTTGATGTGCTGCACTATTCATGTTTTTATGGAGAAAAGAATTCGTTGCTATATTCCCTTTCATTTTTCTCCACCTCTGGGAATAAAACATAGAAACTCTTTAGTGTTCCGTTAATTAGTTTGGATTAATTTAAAGTAAGTAAATATAATTAATAACAGTTTATTAATAATAGTGTCAATACTAATTGACAGGATCATTGTAGACCTATCACCTTTAAATAATTTTACAAGTCTATGCCACTTGAAAGTGAGTCTAGGCCAGGCACCAGTGGCTCACGTCTGTAATCTGAGCACTCTGGGAGGCCGAGGCGGGCAGATCACCTGAGGTAAGGAGTTTGAGACCAGGCTGGCCAGCATAGTGAAACCCTGTCTCTACTAAAGATACAAAAATTAGCCGGACATGGTGGTGCATGCTGTAATCCCAGCTACTCAGGAGGCTGAGGCACAAAAATTGCTTAAGCCCGGAAGGCAGAGGTTGCAGTCAGCCAAGATTGCACCACTGCACTCCAGCCTGGTGACAGAGTGAAGCTCCATCTCAAAAAAAAATAAAAATAAAAAACAGAAAGAAAGTGAGTCTAGAATGGACACCAAGAGATAAGAGATGCAGGGAGAAGCGACATGAGGGTGGTATTCCAAAAACATGTTTTGATACACTCTGCAAAAAGTGGGCGGTAGGGGTGTCTGTAGTTAAATAATACATTCCCCTCTTAGAAAACCAAGAATCAGAATACCCTTAAACGTCCTCAAAAGTCTGTCTATAAAGAACTTGTTATCCCCTGTAACACCTGTTAAAAGTCCATGAACTTGTAATCCATTTAGAAAATTACACCTCTCCAGAGACCCTTCTCCTCTCTGCAACCTGTGCTTACTTACACTCACAAAGAGGAATCTTAGGTCAGCTAACAAGGATTTTTCTCCAAAAACCAAACTTTGACCAAGGCTGCTCTAGCCATGCTCATTGGCTGGGAATAGGACATTAAACTGTGTTTTATACATGTGAACAGGCCAGGCACGGTGGCTCACACCTGTAATTCCAACACTTTGAGGGGCCAAGGCGGGTGGATAACCTGAGGTCAGGAGTTCAAGACCAGCCTGACATGGTGAAACCCCGTCTCTACTAAAAATACAAAAATTAGTCAGGCATGGGGGCATGTGCCTATAATCCCAGCTACTCAGGAGGCTGAAGCAGGAGAATAACTTGAACCTGGGAGGCCGAGGTTGCAGTGAGCCAAGATCGTGCCACTGCACTCCAGCCTAGGCAACAGAGTGTGACTCTGTCTTTCAAAAGAATGAATTAATTAGAATTAAAATATACACGTGAACAGAGTCCAGGTCCAATTCCTTTTAGCTCTCAAACCCTGGCTCAGCTCTGCCCTCATGGGAGATGGGTGGAGGGACAGCCCATTAATTAAGGCCAAGTCTGAGCCGATGAGCCACACTGGCTAGTGTATCTGTTCAGCAGCTGCCCCAGAATCTTGAGCTATCTGTATCAGTCAGCAGTTGTGTTTTATGCTAAAAATACATGCATCTGTCTTTTTAATCCACCAGTATCATTTATCCTTCATGCTGTTTTTCCTTGATAGCCATGGTCCCTAAACATTTATGATCCCACACCCCATGAACCAAAAATTTTGAGCATGCAACCTTATAACAAGTATATTTGCATATAAACTATATACACATACTACTGTCCATGTGTATATTAAAAATGAGGAAAGCTTCATGTCTTACTTTTCAGATAGCAAGATTAAATGCATGTTCTTTTCTTCCTGCAGCCTCATGGGTCATCTTGCAACCCTTTTCAGTGCTCTTGGATGCCCCTGGAGAAGCTGCTGCTGGGACGACTTTCTCCTAGAATAACACACAACCCCATTCCCAGTGGTTTCCTGGCACAGGCAAACAGACCAGCTGCCTCTGGCTTTTGCCAGCATGTAGCTGCCTGCTGCATTGATCTTTGACCCTTTTTACAACCCAGACAGGCACACAGATATGTTGCTGGCCCAGGGAGGAAGTGGTCTTTGTAACAGAACCGCAGCAGTGTCCAGACAGTTTTTGTCTTACAGAAAACTCTCCACCCTGCCTGCTTAGTTCCTACCTTTCCATGGCTATCTCTCCCCTCCCTCATCCTTCTCCTTCCCTCTCATGGAGGTTGAGTGTACAGACCCATGGGTTTTGAGAGCTGGGCTGCAGCACCCACACGGTGGGGATGCCCAAGCAGCAACAATCACTTTCCACTCTCCTCTTACGCTTTTTAATCTCTGGCACCCCACAACGACTGTGGAACTTCCAAACGACCTTCCCAAGTGACACAGCATAGCCACCAACCAAAGGGCACTTCTGCAATTTGGAGGCTGGCAACTAGCGAGCCCAGGTCTAAGCACCATGGCTTCTTACAAACAGAGCTGTTCACTCCCGGGGGCACGTGGCAGAAACTACACAGCCTGGCCTGCTCCATTTCTTCTTCATTGCCAGCAAATTGGAAACTTAACTTCTAACCAGATATGGTGAAATTGCACCATAACTTCTCCAAATTGGTTGAGCTGAGGAGTCCATAGGAACACAATGTGACCAGTGAGAATGCAGTCACCTGGCAGAAGTTTTTCTTTCCAAACTGATATAGCATAGTAGGAATGCTTTCTTTGGATTTCGTCTGGGGAGAAGTTTTGACCTTGCCTCATCAAAGACACCTTCTTTGCACCTCTTGCATGTGGATGTGTCCAAGGCGGGACTCTAGTATCTTTCTCTGCAGATGGTGCAAAGAGGCTGACAGCAAGTGACATAATTTCTGTACTCTCCTCCAAATGGTTTTAAAATGTCTTAAATCACACCTTTAAACATCTTAAATTGATTCTGAGAATTAATACATGGAAGACCTAAATGTTAAAATAGAAACCTCTCTATAATCAGTTTAGCAAAGGATTTCCTTGAGGTCAGACTGCTGGAATAGCCCTGGACAGAAGTGCTTGGGAGAAGGGAGTGGAGCCCAGAGCACGTGGGAGCATGGAGAAAGAGGGAGATCTAGGTGGCCCACTGTAGCAGCACTGTGAGTACTCAGGGGCTGTCTGAAAGGGAAAATGCCCACAGAGGGCAAGGGGCCAGGCAATCAACCTGTGACTACCGTACTAATGCGTTCGAGAGTGGCCCAGCGATTTCGGAGCTGAGGGAGCAAAGCAGCCAATGAAAAACTGCAATGGAGGAGATGCCCCCTCCAATCCCCTCATGCCTACACCTCACTGAAACAATTAAAAATACCTAGATGAGGAGAAGGACTGAAGAGAGAGTATATCAGTGAGTGTGATATAGGCCTGTTCAGTCGAGATCCCTTGAAGCCAGTTTAATTCACAGGAAACCAACGGTACCCCTGAAGGGGACCCTCCCTCCCATGGTGCCAGCAGCAAGCCCAGGGACTCCAACCCTGCAGTGTGAATCTTTGTCCTGAGTTTGCACCATTCTTGGCATTCTGAATACATTTTTCTTGGGTGACCATGACTCCCCCTTTGGAAGGATCTCTGGGAACATCAAAGTTGCTCCTGGGATGGAACTGAAGGCCAGCTCCTCCCTTAGCTCTCTAGCATGAGGCCTTCCTCTGTGACAGGCCCCTAGTCCGTAGTCCATAGTCCCCAGCATGCCTGCCACTGGCTGAGCCTTGAAATACACTCTGCATAAAGAAGAGAGGAGCATTTGAATAACATTCATTCGGATTTGCATCCCGAATAGATTGCACCCATCTTTAGGAGCCGCTCAGGTGTTTTCAAACAACCTTTTTATTCAAAGAAAAGAATGAGAGAGGGGGAAAGCACCTGCTAATGTCCCCATTCTTTCTGTTCTTGTTCTAGTTGCTCAAGGAGCCCCCGTGTTAGAAAATGCAGTGGTGTCACCTCCAGACTTCCACCCGCAGGGGAGCAAGGGGTGGGTGAGTTGAAGGCTGTCGTCAGCATGTCCTGCCTGTGGCTTCTGAAGGTGACTGGTGAGTCATGGCTGGTGTTCACAGTAGCAACCCTGGTCTAACCCCACAGGAAATAGGTCAACTTCTCTAACCAAATGACTCTTTCAGATCTTTCTGAAGCTGCAGAGATCACACCTCCCTCCACCAATGTGCCCCATATCCCCACTCCCTTTGTTTTGACACTAGCACTCACTAAGATGATAAAGGGTGTCCACAAAGCCTCTCTGGTGAAGTCCAACCTTCCTCACCTCCCTGGCGCTCAGAAACTTGGCTCAGACAGACATGTGGTATTAAGGGTGGTCATCACTCCTAGAAGGAGGCCCCCCTGCCCATGCCCCCACTTATTAGCAACATCAGGGTTAGGACTCACTTGGCAGTGTAGACCCGCTCAAAGGCAAGTGTTCCGGTCCTCTGGAAGCTCCTCCCATTCTGGGTCCTGCTTTCGTGCTCCACTTTATGGGCAAAGAATCCTGCCAAGGGAAAAGGTTTGCATCTGGTTCATTGTGGGCATGTTCAGGAGCCTGTTACTTCCTTGTTTTACTAGAATGTTAAATGCCTCCTTGACTTGACCTCCAAGCAACCCTAAATGTCCTCCATCAACTGTCATTTAGCAGAAACGTACTCAGCAGCTGCTCTCTACTGAACACTGTGTTTGGTGTTAGAAACACAGTCATGAGCAAGGCACGGCCCCCACTTTCTAGGATCTTACAGTCTAAAGGAATAGACAAACAAGGAAAGCAGACATTCCACACAGCAAAGTGAGTCATGCCAAGATGAGATTGAGTACATGGTGCTTTCAGGGTCAAAGGAGGCAACTTAATTCCATGTTGAGTCACAGAAGGATTCCTTGAGGGAATGACATCTAAGATAAAATCTGAAGAACAAGTAGAAATTAGCCAAGCAGACGGAGGGAGAGGGGCCGCTCTAAGCTAAGAGAACAAAATATGCAAAGGTTCAGGGTAAAGAACTGTCTGTGGTTCAGAATGTTCAGCCAAGGAGGGGGAATGGAGGGCACTGGGGAGGGAATGGGATTTGGTAGAACCACAGACAAGGCCAAAGAGGGAGGTGATGAATCATTCTTTCAATGACATGTATCTATGACCATTTGCCACATGCCAGACATTTAGCTTGCATCCAAGAACAAAACAAAGAGCCTTGGTTTGAGGAACTGATGCTCTGGTGAGGACAGCAGAGGAGGAGACAGATCATCCACATTAAGCAAAATACATAAATTAAAATGATATGGTGTGCTGAGCTATGGGCGAAAGAAGAGCATGGTAAGGGGCCGTTTGAGGCATGCAAGAAGGTGGGGTCGTGAGCCTCAATGAGAAAGAAATAACTGAGCCAGGTCTTCAAGAAGATGACCATTGAGATTTGCCCCTGGGGCCTAGCAGGGTGACTGTGACCTTGCTGAGAGCCGTGTGAAGAAATTCAGAACTTAGTTCCGTCTGAGAGCAACAAGGAATTACTGACAGGTTTAAGCAGAGGAATGTTGTCATCAGAAAGCCACCCTGTCTTTAGTGTGGCAGGAACTTAGCAGAATCAGATCCAGGATAGGGGGATAAGATAGGAATTGACTGGGGTGGTGGCGGTGGGGGTGTCAGAGATGCCAAGGAGACACAGTCTGGAGGGTTTGACTATAGATTGGATGATGGGGGGTGGGGGGGGGGCGGTGAAGGTCTCTCTGCCCCCTCTCCCCTTCTATTTTATTCCTTTACTCCTTTTTCAAGAGTGAAAAAAGGGATACATGTGATTGTCAGGGATCCAACCACAGGGTTCCTTTTCATCAATTTCATATTATCCTCCTCAAAAAGACATTAAAGGGGTGCTTTATTGTGTATAGGAATAAAAGCCTTTCATGTTTTTCTTTTCTACACAAATAACACTCCTTCTGTAGGAATGTGCCCACTTTGAGTGTATCTGTAGGGCTCTCTTACGTAAAGGAAGGGCCCACCTCATCCCAGGCAATGTGGTGGGCACTTGCCATGTATTCCGTCACAGAGCTTTGCACCCACTCTGTGCAATGGGTAGTACTGTTCCCACTCTGTAGGTAAGAACGCTGCAACTTTCCAGAGTCAACCTGCTGCTGGGGAGAGGTGCAGCCGGGACTTCAAACTCTGCGGGGCATATGGGGATGTGTTTCTCCTCTTGCTGTCACCGTGAAGCTCCCTGCAGGATTTCATCAGCTCCACAGGTTTTTGTTTTTTTTTTTTAGATACGGAGTCTCACTCTGTTGCCCAGGCTGGAGTGCAGTGGCGTGATCTCGGCTCACTGCAACCTCCACCTCCAGGGTTCAAGCGATTCTTCTGCCTCAGCCTCCCGAGTAGCTGGGACTACAGGCATGCGTCATCACGCCCGGCTAATTTTTGTATTTTTAGTAGAGTTGGGGTTTCACCATATTGGCCAGGCTGGTCTCGAACTCCTGACCTCGTGATCCACCTGCCTCAGCCTCCCAAAGTGCTGGGATTACAGGCGTGAGCCGCCAGGCCCAGCCAGCTCCACAGGGTTTAATACACCTGTCCATTCAAAAGATCTGTTTTTACCAGAGTATGACAGAAAATGCTGATCATTTTCTTTCTGGAACCCAAGATGGTATTCCCTGCCTCTGAACGCATAATCAACCTTCTATATCTGCGGGTTCTGCATTCCTGGAGTCAACCAACCACTGACCAAAAATATTAAAAAAAAAAAAAAAAAACAGAAAACCATTTGTCTGGACTGAACATGTACAGATTTTTTTTCTTGTTACTGTCTTTTAACAATACAGTATAACAACTGTTTACATAGCATTTACATTCTATCAGGTATTATAAGTAATCTAGGCCACACACAGTGGCTCATGCCTATAATCCCATCACTTTGGGAGGCTGAAGCGGGTAGATCACCTGAGGTCAGGAGTTCAAGACCAGCCAGGCCAACGTGGTGACACCCCATCTCTACTAAAAATACAAAAATTAGCCAGTTGTTGGGGGGTGGGGGTGGGGAGGGGCCTGTAATCCTAGCTACACAGGAGGCTGAGACAGGAGAATTGCTTGAACCCAGGAGGCGGAGGTTGCAGTGAACTGAGATTGCACCATTGCACTCCAGCCTGGGTGACAAGAGTGAAACTCCATCTCAAAAAGAAAAAAAAAAAAAAAAGACAAAACAAGTAATCTAGAGATTATCTAGAGGTTACTTAAAGTATATGGAGGATGTGTCGAGACCATCCTGGCTAACATGGTGAAACCCTGTCTCTACTAAAAAATACAAAAAAAAAATTAGCTGGGCGTGGTGGCAGGCACCTGTAGGCTGAGGCAGGAGAATGGCATGAACCCGGGAGGCGGAGCTTGCAGTGAGCCAAGATCGAGCCACTGTACTCCAGCCAGGGCGACAGAGCAAGACTCCATCTCACAAAAAAAAAAAAAAAAAAAAAAAAAAAAAAAAAAAGGATATGGAGGATGTGTGTAGGTTAAATGCAAATACTATGCCATTTTATATCAGGGACTTGAGCATCCACGAATTTTGGCATCCGAGGGAGGTCATAGAACTAATCCCCCAGGGATACCGAGGGATGACTTTATTAAAAGTCAGAGGTTATTTCTACAACCAGCAGCACGATGTGCCGTACTTCTCTGCATCTGCCTCTCTTCTTTCCCTCCTTGCTCAGAGAACCGAGCCCCTTCCTTTTCTCTAAGGCTGCATCCTCTAACTGTGATCTTGACCCTGTCCATGCCACTGACTTCAAGTCTGTATTTCATTGCTCCTTCTCCCACTTCCAGAATCTTTAATATCATATTCTCTCCTTTTCTTTATCCTGGAAACACGCACAGATCTTCCCTATCCTTTAAACAAAACAAAAACAAACCTGCTTCAGTCCAACATTCAACTAGGGTTTACCGCTCCTTCCTTCTAAGCTAAACTTGGAAGAGTTGGCTGCCTTTGTCTACTCCTCACCGCCCCCTCACTCCCCAACCTCTTGTAATCCTCCAGTATGCTACAGAAACAATACATGCAAAGACCATAAACACACTTATCTCGGCTAGCTGCTAACAGTAAGCCAAAACCAGTGTGAGAGAGAGACAAAGACACAGATAGAGAGATGGCTGCAAACCGTTGTGAGGCATCCGCCGTACGTGGGCACTGCTAGCTACTTTAACTATATCATCTTGTGCAAGACCTTCAGCAACCACAGGTGGAGGTTATCAATCACTCCACTGCTCAGTGAAGGAAACGGAGGGCCAGAGAAGTTAAATAAGTTTCTCAACAAACATAAAGAGATCTTGAGATTTTAGTTAACCACAGAGTTAATATGAGTCAGCAATGACACATAGTTCTCAAAAAAATAACTCATACGTAGATTATTCTAACAGAGTCGATGCCCGGATCTCAGGAACAGCTTCCCTGTACAGAAGACACCTATCTGCATAGGTGTTCTTAGAAAGAACACAGGAAGAGGAGAGGAGACCCAGTGGCAAGGGACTTCAGAAACGTTAGGCCGAAGAGGGGGATATTACAGCTGACACTGTAAACACAGAAAGAGCAGGCACAGTCTAAGTGATTTTAGGGAACAGCACCAGGACTGCTGGGTAAAACGCATAGGGCTGCAGATTTCAGCTCAACATAAGAAAGAACTTCTTGAGCAGGGAGTGCTTGAATGAATGAATTGGAGGCAATATGCATGGAGCAAGTGTCTACTCTCTAAAGTCAGATGATTAGGTTTTAATCCCAGCTTCACGACTCCTGACCTTGGGACTTTCAACCAAATTCTCCATGACTCACTTTGCTTATCTGTAAAACAAGAATAAATAATAGTATGTATTTCTAGGCTGGTTTCATGCCTGTAATCCCAGCACTTTGGGAGGTCGAGGCAGGAGGATGACTTGAGGTCAGGAGTTGGAGGCCAACCTGGCCAACATGGTGAAACCCTGTCCTTACTAAAAATACAAAAATTAGCTGGGCGTGGTGGCACATGCTTGTAGTCCTAGCTACTCAGGAGGCTGAGACATGAGAATCACTTGAGCCTGGGAGGCAGAGGTTGCAGTCAGCTGAGATTGCGCTACTGCACTCCAGCCTGGGTGACAGAGTGAAACTGTCTCAAAAATAACAATAATAATATATATATCTTTATTCACTTGCATACACTTATAAAGACCTGTCTTTGTGCCAGGCAGTGTCCTGGGTGCAGGGGAATAAAGCAGGGAACAAAATAGGTACAGTGAAGGAAAGGTCAGCCTACAGCGGCCCCTCCAGTCTCTGCAAAGGCAGTTGCATGAGTGGGTGAGTGCAAGGATTAAATGGTGCAAAGATTATATGAGATAAAACTAAGCACAGCAGGAAGCGCCATTCTTCACACAACGCAAGCTTTCAATCCATGCAACAATAGGAAAGGCAAGCTTGGAAGTTTGTGAGTTTTCCAAACACTGCAGTGTTCAGGAAGAAGCAGCCGGTGGAGGCGGTGGAGGGGGGTGGTTGGGGGTTACTGTAAGGAAGATTCCTGCTTTGGGGGAACTTCATGAGTCTATGATTCTGCTTCTAGAGCCTGTCAAATCCCAGGTTGGATGGCAAAGTCTTCCAATACGGTGCTTGTGAGGTTTCTTGTGAGTGTGTGTGTGTGTGTTGGGGTGGAACTAGTAACAGCAGCTCCATTTCCCTCCTTAGCACTATGCTCACAAACCCTTATGATTGCAGGGCCATAATGTCGCCAAAACTTGGAGGAGGCTGCCTCTCTTGGGGGAAAGAGGCCGCTGCTAATGCCTGCCAGCTCCCCCTACAACCAGAGCAGATGTGGAACAGCCTCCTGCGGGAGGACATCCTTCCTCTGCCATCACTAAGTGTAGCTCAGGGGCACTGAGCCCCTCCCCTCAGCTCACATTTCTTCCCAATCACTTTCTCCAAATACAGTATGTGCTTCCCAGGTTTGCATCATGTCTAAGCTGCTGGTACCTAGGCAGAAGAAGTTGGAGGCTCTCTGCCTGCTACTCATAAGAAATGCGTCTGTGTAATTAAAACTTGCCCTAAGCCCCAAACTGGGGAGACAGATTTGAGCCCAACTCCTGTCTCCTTGCTGGCCAGCCTTGCAATAAAGCCTTTCTTTTCTCAAAAGCCAATGTCATAGTATTGGCCAATGAGCCCATTTGCTATATTCTCTGGGAAACCAAGTTTTGATAGTTCTGGTCCAGGTTTCTTAGAATCATGTATTTTAAACTCGTTCTGTTTTTCCAAATCTGCATTCTGCTGGATCAAGCTGGAAAGGGTTACAAATTTGAAGATCTTGATGACTAAAACATGTTTGAAAGGCAGAGGAGGACATTGCACCAGGTGGGCCAGCTCTGCCCAATCACAGAAAATCAGGCTCTCAAAGTATAGAGAGAGTGCAGAGCCCAACCCAGTCATGGGCGCATGTGGAACTGTACCTCCTTGTCTTGGGACACAGACTGTGTACAGTGCCTGGTAACACCATGGAAATCTTTTTTTAACTAACAGGAAATGTTCAGAATGGCATTTTGGGGTATGAGGAAGAAGAAAGGCAGGGTTTTTGCATATTTTTTTGAACTCTGTAAGGTAGGTCTATGGTTGCAACATTGAGGTTAATTAGAATTGCAAAGAGAGGCTTGGACATACATCTGGATCTTTGTGATTGCCTAAAAACTCACAGTTAAAAACAAATAGTTGTGTTATCTCCTGAGTTATTTGAATGTTTTGCCCCCTCCATTGAGAGCTATACGAGGGGCTCTTCTGTGGTTTCAAAGGGACCACAGAAACTCCCTTCCTGAACACAGGCAGGACAACTGTGCAAAGTCACTCTGACCACAAATTGCCTCAGCTGGCTCCTAAGGGGCAGCTGTGACAATGGAGGGACAGAGGCAGTGATGTGCAGGCCATCACACTCCAGCCCAAAAAATTAGCTCCCAGCTGGTCCATTCTAGTGTCTCTTCAACCAGGAAGCCCCCAGCACACTCATCACTTCCGGGAACTCTGTTAGTGAGGCCCCTGTGCCCTGTGGTCTGTAAAAAGTCTAGATCTCCATATTGTGGCTGTCAGGACTCAGACATTTGGCCATCTTTAATCTTACCTCTACCTCCCACTTGTCCCACAGAAGAAGACTTAATCCTATCTGTCAAAAAGAATTCGAAATCTCACCACTCACCTCAATCTGAACAGGGTTTGCTAGACCATGATGGCAAAGTCCAGGAGAAAGCCCTGGGCAGAGCAGGGCCAGTTCCCTGGTGCACCTCCATTAGGAGAGGTGAGGAGAACCTGTCCTTGAAACAGAGAGCTCTGAAGCTTCCCACAGTTCAGCTCTGAATTGAGAGGGAGCTGGAGAGAGTGAGCTCAAACTTCGTAGCTGGGTTCAGCCCCAACTGCACAGGCAGGGAGGGGGCACAAGGTCCCCTGTCCACCGATGCTCCTCAGTTTTATTGATGGGTGTCAGGGGAGAGGCCAGAGGGGAGATCCTTCCAGAGCTGAATAAGTGCTAGCCACCTGCCCACCCATACAGCTACCTTTGCAGAGACTGCAGGCATTGCTGCAGGCTGACCTGTCCATCACTGTAGCTGTTTTGTTTCCTGCTCTATCCGCCTGTACCCAGAATACTATCTGGGCCAGAGCAGGGTCTCTGTACATGTATGCGGGTTGAATAATGGAATCCTTGCCAATTTACAGGGCCAAGGGAGCCCTGTGTGAAATCATAATGGCTCAAGAAAATGGTGGCCTAAATAAGCCATTTGTTCCCTCTCTGAGCTACAACTTTGTTGTGTGTAATTTAGTATAAAAATGTTTGGGTCAGAAAGCCACAAAGTGTAGTTCTTGTAGAAAACATACTTGGAGTGTGTGAAGCTGAGCCTTTCTGGTGCAGAGGCTGAGGGGGAGGCTTGCTCTGTGCCCAGAAGGCTACATCACCAGCATCTGTCCACACTCAAGATGGGGGAAAATAGAATATCCCAAAGTGATTAAATACTCAAAGTTCCAAAAACGTGACAGCATGTCAATGTTCAGTAATCACCATAAAGCTACAGCAGCTGCCCTTAGTAATTACTCTTTTTTTCTCTATCTTAATAAATATAAAACACAAAGCCACTGGAGATAGTTATGAAAGTGGTCTGAGGCAGCCCTAACTCAGAACTTTAGGAAGACAGCTCTACACAATTCTCCCTTTTCCAGATCTAGGTATCCTGCTTGTTTTTTGTTGTTGTTGTTGTTTTTAACTAATAGCAGGAATAATGGAAATGCAAACGCTGAACAGGACAATTTTCCTCTCTCTCTCTCTCTTTCTGAAGTATACACTGCATATGAAAAATGCTTCCAAAATTATACGTGCTAGAGAAAAAGAAGGTATCACCAAAAAAAAAAGTTTCTTCAGGAGAAAAAAAGAAAAAAGTAATATAGAGGAAAAATAATAAGATGATTTTTTCTACGCACCTCCCAAAATCACTTTCTTTTTAGACTGCAGATGACTGGTAACTTCAATTGCACTGCAGATGTTAGAAAAGCCCAGTATCTGAGTAAATGTGTATATCATGTTCCCTTTCTAGTCTTCTCACCTTCCACCCCTTGCCTGGCCACATTAATTAATAGTTAAAATGCTGATCATAGACACTTCGGTGAGGGTTTTAGCAAAACCTTCAAGTTGCAGCCCTGGCTCTAAAAATGGGACTGGTAATCACCACAAAAGTGAAAGACTAAGAGGAGGAAAACCCCAAATTTACACAGAAATACACACAACCCTATACATTCAAATAAAAAGAAGAAAATAAAGATAAGGTAAAAGTGTTTGTGCATGCGCACACACAGACACAATTGTTTAAGCCTGACTTCCAAACAACCATCAAAGAAAATCTCCCCTTCTGTTCTTCCCTGAGTGAAGGGCTTTCCTTACCATTCTGGACCACGCTGATGAGGGTGACGATGGCCAACAGGACAACATTGCCTACAGTTTCTTGATCCATGTTTGCTTCAGGCTCCCCAGAGAGGACTGCTCTGCCTCCAGCTGCACAACCTGCCCTGTACAGGAAGGGGAAGTGAGAGCTTGCACTCTTTCATCATTACAATTTCTGAAGATCCCCGGCACAATTACACAGTGCCTTCTTCTTCCTTTTTTTTTTTTTTTTTTTTTTTTTAACTAACCACCAAAATGCCCTGGCTGTGGTTCAGTGTGTCCCACCAGGAGAAGCAGGGCTTGGCAGAGGAGCACGCAAAGCCAGCACACTCTCCTACATTTCCTTGTCATGGGAAACTTCCCTGAGAGTCTCCAGAATGAATCCTGGACCCAAGACCATGACCAGCACGAGCCCAGCACAGGCACCAGAGAATCTGGAAGCTGCCATCATCTCTGACTTCAGCAAAGAGAAAGAAGGGAAAGTAAACCCAAAACTTTCAGGTCAGACAGAGTGGCATAAACCTGTAACCCCAGCATTTTGGGTGGCTGAGGTGGGAAGATTGCTTGGGCCCAGGACTTTGAGGCTACAGTGAGCCAATGATTATGCCACTGCACTCCAGCCTGGGCAACAGAGCAAGACTGTCTCACACACACACACACACGCACACACAAATGTAAAATGAAACTTTAAAAAAATGTATAGAACACCAAAAGATCTGTGCCCCAAATACTGTCCTTCTTTTTTTGAATTCCAAGAAAAAAAGTGAACACTTAACACACGGTAAGTAGCAGCCACATAAGGTTTGAATGAAGGAAGGAATAAATGGCAGTGGGGAGGGACAGCTGATATCTCCATTTCTTCAGAGAAAAGTAATAAAGGGAATTCATAAATTAAACCAAAGAATTCAAACCAAACCAAAGAATTCAGGTAAAAGGCAGAAATGGAGTTACAGATGATCCCTAAGGGAAATTCCCAAAGGGAACTGACTTTTCTGAGGCAATCGCAGAAACACCTTCCTGGAAATTCTTTTCAACTGAATAAGAGTAGAGTGGCTGTGCTTTCTGAGAAAGTATAAGAGTGGACCTGCTGGGTGGGTGAGGTGGCTGCCTGGTATTCTGCAGCTCAGATCAGTGTGAATGGCAATCCCTCTGAGGTTACATGGAAAATGCAAAATACCTGCAATCTTTGTCCCAGACTTAGCTATTTGGCATTGGTTAAGAGGTGCTTTTATCAAAACTTCACTTTGAAAGGGAACATGGACCACTGTAACTAGTGGCAGCAGGGAGGGCTGCATCTCGGCACGGAAGAGGTCAGTGTAGGGGAAGATATTGCTCCCTCATAGGTACAGTGCCAGAGGCCCGCTTCAATGCCCTCGGTTCAGCTGAGAGAGAAAGGCTGATGAAGGCAGCGTGCAGAGTTGTGTGCGGGGAAGCCAGCAGCCAGGGCTGTCGGGCTGGTCATGACACACTTGGGTACTCCCTGAGTACCTAGGGCACTTTGTAGAGTATAGACTTTATATTAGCCAAGGCTCTCCAGAGAAACTGAACCAATATATAAATAAGTCTCCTCATATATATATATTGCAGATTTATAATAGAAATTGGTTCACATGCTCATGGACACCATGAAGTTTCATGGTTTGCCATCTGCAAGCTGGAGACTCAGAAAAGCTGCTGGTGGAGACCAGTCTGCATTCAAAGGCCTGAGCATCAAGGAGGGCAATGGTGCAAGACCCAGTCTGAATCCAAAAGCTGGAGAACAAGGGGCTCCAGTGTCCAAGGGCAGGAGAAGATGGAGGGCAATGGTGCAAGACCCAGTCTGAATCCAAAAGCTGGAGAACAAGGGGCTCCAGTGTCCAAGGGCAGGAGAAGATGGATGGCCCAGCTCAAGAAGAAGAGGGAATTTGCCCTTCTGCCCGCTTTTTGTTCTATTCAGGCCCTCAGTGGATTGATGACACCCACCATATTGGTGAGGGTGGGAATTCTTTACTTAGTCCGCTGATTCCAGTGCTGATCTCTTTCAGAAACACCCTCCCTAACACACCCAGAAAAAAACATTTTACCAGCTACCTGGGCATTTTTTAGCTCAATCAATTTGACATAAAATTAACTACCACAGAGTTATTACAAGATTGGTTAGGGCTCAGCACTTGCAAGATTTGTATATTCACCTTAGTGAGATCCAATTCATACCTGCAGTTTGGTAAGTTTCAGGGGATGTTTAGGTTTTGGTAGCCAAGGAGTTTGAACCCCATAAAGCGTTAGCTCTTCTAACACTTACATCTTAGTGACAATGCATCAGAAATGAAGGCCAGTCCTCTTACAAAGTATTCCAGTTGCAAGCAATAGAAACTTAGCTCAAACTAGTTTAAGCAAAAAGGAGAATTTATTCACTCAAAGAGTCTAAAAATCTGACAGCTGAAGTTGAAAAGAACAGAGATGTGGTTAGGCCTTGGAGCTAGAGAGCTTTCTCTCTCTCTCTCTCCCGCCCTTCCTCTCTTTTTTTTTTTTTTTTTTGAGACGGAGTCTTGCTCTGTTGCCCAGGCTGGAGTGCAGTGGCGCGATCTCAGCTCACTGCAAGCTCTGCCTCCCGGGTTCACGCCATTCTCCTGTCTCAGCCTCCTCAGTAGCTGGGACTACAGGCACCCACCACCACGCCTGGCTAATTTTTTTTATATTTTTTAGTAGAGACGGGGGTTTCACCGTGTTAGCCGGGATGGTCTCGATCTCCTGACCTCGTGATCTGCCCGCCTCGGCCTCCCAAAGTGCTGAGATTACAGGCGTGAGCCACCGCGCCCGGCCCCCTCTTTTTTCTCTCTCTTCTGTCCCTTTCTCTCTCTCTTTCCCTTCTCTCTACCTCTGTCTCTGTCTTTCTTCCAATCTCTCCTCTCGCTCTCTCTCAGCTTCTCTTAGCATGTCAAACGTATTCTCTCTGCAGACCTGTTTCCTGGAGACATCTTCACCAACTGTGGAGTTTTACATTTTACAGCTTCCATCACCTGTCAAAGACTGACTTCTCTCATCTAAACTCTTAGGACAGCCTCATTGGCCCAGGCTGCCCGGGTGTCCATTCTTGGAGAGGTCAACCAGATGGCAGGAGAATGAAGACCCTGGTAGTTCTCACAATTATCATGTGGCAGAGGGGGACTGACTAATCCCGCAAATAAAAATTGGGAGGAGGGAGTGAGAAGTGTATTCACTCTTGCACTTGACTGTCCAATAGTTATAATCCCCAGATTAAAATTTCCAGTTTTTAAAGAAGTTTCTCTATCCTACACGCTTCTGTCTTTTAAACTCATCCCAATCTGCCGGCACATGAAAACAGCACCCACGGGGACCAACGTGGTCAGCCCCCACCATCACTGGAAACCTTCCGGGCTCCGTGGAACGCAGGGACCCCACACCTTCTGGGGCCCCACACCTTCTGGGGCCCCACACATGGGAGAAAAGTCCAGCCATTCGCGCTTTAGAAGGTCGAAAGGCGCCTGGCGAGAGGTGCCGGGCACCCCGCTCTGAGCTCCTTGGAGTCACCCCCAGCCAGCGCGCAGAGCACGTGCAGAGGCCCGGGGATGGAGGGAGTCCACTTCACCCGAGAAGAGCGTGTTAATAGCCGAGACGGCCATTAAATTACAGCGCGCACATTAAGATTCTGGCTGCAGCTGCAGAGGAACACTTATCAGAGGTGAAGCCTTTGGAAATGCCATTCATCTTAATAGAGAGCTGCTGAGACAGAACAAAAAGACAAGGGGCACCGGGAGAGCCGGGGAGGGGAGCGCAGCCCGCCCTGCCTGCCCGGATTCCCGCAGAAGACCGCCTGGCCGCAGTCCAGAGCAGCCCAGAATCCGGAGCCGCTGAGCGGCTGTGTCGTGGGGACCTAGTCTGTACTGGGCATTGTACCCAGAGCCTCACATTTGCCCCTCAGTGCAACCCTCTGAGGGACAAATTACCCCCCTCCCATTGCCCAGAAAGTGAAACTGAGGTTCAGAGGGGTTAAAAATGTGGTCAAGGGCCTGGCACCGTGGCTCACGCCTATAGTCCCAGCACTTTGGAAGGCCGAGGCTAGAGGATGGCTTGAGTCCAGGAGTTGGAGAACAGCCTGGGCAACATAGCAAGACCCCCAACTCTACAAAAGTAAATTAGCTGGACGTGGTGGCACAGACCTGTAGTCCCAGCTACTCGGGGCTGAGGCAGGAGGATCGCTTGAGGCTGTAGAGATGGAGGCTTCAGTGAGCTGTGATCGCAACACTGCATTACAGCCTGGGCAAGAGAGGGAGATCCTGTCTTAAAAAAAAAAAAAAAATGTGGTCAAGGCAAAGACCCACATAGCAAGGAGCAGAACAAGGGTTCAAGCCCAGGCCGGTCTGGCTTTAAAGTCTGGAGTTTTAATCACCCTACGTGCTGCTACCGGAATCGTCTTCAGAACCTGGGCTCCCTGGTCCTTCTGCATTTGTACCTGGCAATCCCCTCACAGGCTAAAGCACTGAGCAATGGCCCCTCAGCCCTGAAGAGAGATTCTTAGAAAGGAAAGAAAGGAAGACATATACACTTCACGGGAAATAACATATCCCCACGACATCTGACCGTTAGCAAAGGTAACTTTACAAGAAATATCCCACAGCGACAGGGCTGCGAGCCCACCCCTCTCCCACCCATCCCCTGCTCCCAGCGCTCTCCGTAATTATGCATATGCTGCACTGATCTGTGTGTGACAGGTTAGTTAGACAAATATGCTGGGAGTAGGCAAGAATAATTAGCACATTCATTAATTAGAGTACTGTTAGTAGTTTGACTGTGAAGGACAACCATTTGTCAACAGAGATCAGGACAGCTGGGGCCAAGCAGTGACTCAGGGGGGCAACAATTCAGGGACGCCGAGGCTCTGCCCAGCTGCTGTTAAAAATCCTAGGAGCTGTGCAGACACTTCGCATCAACATGCCTCCATCGCCATGGCAACGGGGCCACTATGCCCGGCTGTCAGCCTACAACATTCACATAGCCTTCATCCTCACTTCAGGGTGCACGTTGCCATCTCATGACATCTCTTCCCTCCACTCCCCATTCAGGGTTGCCCTCCCTGTTCATTAGGACAAGGATTGACTGGTGGTGAGGGAGAAGGAGCAGGAGGTGGGGTCTGTGCCAGGCAGGGCATAGAGATACAGCCCAGGTCTACAGGCTGGAATTATGGATGGTTACACAACAGTTCCTTTTCATTTCAGTCAGTCTAAAGAATATTCAGACCAATATTGAGCTGAATAGTAAGTGATACGAACAGAGACCAGGCATGGTCTGTTCCAGATGTCACATGCCAATGGTGTCTGTGAGAACCAAATCAACCTGGTTAAAGTGTTGTTTCTCCTTCCCTGGCCACAATCAGGTGGGCTTTCCTTCCATGAACAGCTAGCTCATGGTTCTGAACAGAATTGAACTAAATTGAGATGAATCCTCATGCCATTCTATAGCTGAAGAAACAAAGATAGTGAATTTGCTGTAACCTCATATGCTATTGATTAAACTTCACACATGCTCAGAGTGCTTTACAGATATGACCCTCTTTCTCTAGAATCTTAAGTTGTAAGCTGATCATATCTGCGCTAAGCGAACAAATAGAAGACAAAGTCCATAGCCATTCACACAGACAGATAGCAGGAAGCCAGTGTAGTATCCGCAAAACTTCTTCCTTTTCCCATCACAAACTCACACCACACAGTATATTGCTTATGCATTTGTACGTAAATGAAGCAAATGACCCATGCATGTGGAAAACATCACGTAGTGTGTTGTGTAAGAAAACAAAGGTTAAGGCCGGGCACGGTGGCTCATGCCTATAATCACAAAACTGTGGGAGGCCGAGGCAGGCAGATCACCTGAGGTCAGGAGTTCAAGACAGTCTGGCCAAAATGGCAAAACCCTATCTCTACTAAAAATACAAAAATTAGATGGGCATAGTGGTGCACGCCTACAATCCCAGCCCCTCGGGAGGCTGAGGCAGGAGAATCACTTGAACCCAGGAGGCAGAGATTGCAGTGAGCTGGGATCACGCCACTGCACTCCAGCCTGGGTGACAGAGCGAGACCCCATCTAAAAAAAAAAAAAAAAAAATACAGGTTAGACATGGATTTCTTTGCTCCAGACTTAGCTTTATCTGTTTTGTAGGCAATCCAAGGAAAGGAGGTCAGTCATGGGCATGGCCTGCCTTGGGAACATTCAGTTCTAACAGGATTAAAATTCATGATGCCCATATATGCTCAGTTGATTTTTGACAAAGTAGTTCAATGGGGAAAGGAAAGTCTTTTTAACAAGGGTGCTAGAACAACTGTACATTCTTATGGAAAAGAAAATGAACCTTGACCCTTCCAAAAAATCACACAAATTGTAACTAGAAATGGGTCTTAAACATAAACATAAAAACTAAAAATATAAAGCTTCCAAAAGAAAACATAGGAGAAAGTCTTTGTGACCATGAAGAAGGCAAATTTTTTTTAGATAACACAAAAAGCATGAGCCATCTAAGAAAAAAAAAATCAATAAATTAGACTTCATCAAAATGTAAAACTTCCGCTCTTCAAATAACAACATATATTTTGCTAAAGAAGATATACATATAGCCAATAGGTGCATGAAAAGATGTTAAACATCATTAATCACTAGGGAAATACAAATTAGAACTACAATGAGATAACACAATACATCTATTGGAATGGTCAGCAAGGGTATGGAGCAACTGGAACTATCAATCATTGCTGGTAAGAATGTAAAATGGTAAATGTAAAAATGGCAACATGTTGGGAAGAGTTTGACAGTTTCTTTTTTGTTTGTTTGTTTTTTAGAGACCAGCTTTCTCACTCTGTCACCCAGGCTAGAGTGCAGTGGCGTGATCATAGCTCACTATAACTTCAAAGATCTGGGCTCAGGTGAATCTCCCACCTCAGCCTCCTGAGTAGCTGGGACTACAGACACACACCACCACACGCTGCTAATATTTTTTATTTTGTACAGACAGGGTATCACTGTTACCCAGGCTGTTTGAACTCCTGGCCTCAAGCAATTCCCCCAAGTTGGCAGTTTCTTAAAAGCTAAACATACACTTACCATATGTCCTAGAAATTTCATTCAGGTATTTCATCATTAGAAATGAAAATACATATTCTGTATCAGTCAGGGATTGACCAGAGATGCAGAACCACTAGAAGATATTTTATATTTTTAAATATATATACACAGACATTTTTAAGGGATTTATTATAGGGATTAGACCTTATGCAATTATGGAGGTTGATTAAACAGTCTGAGTGTATTTTTGTTTTCTGGAGTTGCCATAACAAAGTAGCACAAACTGAGTGGCTTAAAACAACAGAAGTGTATTGTTTTACAGTTTTGGGGAATAAAAGTCCAAAATCAAGGTGTCAGCAGGGCTATGCTCCCTGTAAAATCACTAAGGGAGGATTCCTTCTTGCTTTTTCCTGACTTCTGGTTATAATCCTTGGCTGGCAGCTGCCACTGCCTCCATCAGCATATGGTGTTCTCCCTTGGCGTTTCTGTCTTCCTGTGGCTGTCATAGAAGGACATTAGTTGTATTGAATTAGGAGCCCATCCTGAGCCAGTATGCCCTCATCTTAATTAATTATATTTGCAATGATGCTATTCCCAGATGAGGTTACATTCTGAAGTCCTGGCAGGTAGGGCCTCAACCTACCTTTTGGGGAGATACAATTCAACCCTTAACAGTGAGGTTGCTGTTTCTGTGGCTGGTGCTGAATCCTAAAATCTAAAGGGCAGACTGTCAGGAGGGAAAGAAAGGCATGAAGTGTGGGAAGCAAGGACAACCCAAAACCCGCAAGACTGAGCTGACACTGAAATTTGCAAGAAACCACAGGTTGGGCTAGAACCCGTAACTATCACTCACCAACATGAAGCCCCAACTTCAACACTGGGGCTTTCTGCAGGAGAATCTGATGCCCTCATCACGGAGCAGTCAGAGAAACCGAAGGAGTTTCCAGCAGAAGCTGGAACAGCTGTGAACTCACCCACTGACCTAAGCCAACCAGATGATGGACAGATTCCCAACAATGTGAGACAGAGCCACATGCCCTCCCCGACCTGCTTAGTGTAAAAAGATGCTGCTCCTTCACTCCCACCTTCCTCATCTCATGTGAAATGTCTCCAGTGGCCCACACTAATCCAGAGGTACATAGGAAAAGTGAATTTGGGGAAACATGGCTCCAGCGTAGGCCCACTGACACAATACACATCTACCAGGGCTTACCTGGTGTTAGCTTAACATCCATTCGCACCTCTTAACCATGCTAAAGTTGCCTCCCAAAAAGACCGTGGTGACTGTGCACAGTGGCTCACACCTGTAATCCTAGCACTTTGGGAGGTCAAAGCAGGTGGGTCACTTGAGGCCAGGAGTTCAAGACCAGCCTGGCCAACATGGAGAAACACCTTCTCTACTAAAAATACAAAAATTAACCTGGCGCACCTATAATCCCAGCTACTCTGGAGGCTGAGGCTGGAGAATCACTTGAACCCGGGAGGCAGAGGTTGTAGTGAGCCAAGATCGCACCACTGCACTGCAGCCTGGGCCACAGAGTGAGACCTTGGAAAAAAAAAAAAAAGGCAAAATCATGCTTCTGCCTAACAATGAAACTTTCTCTCATCCAACAGAAAATGCACTAACCCTCTTCTCTTTATTCATCTTTGAGTGATATTCATTCTGCTTGTAACTAAGTCGCATTCCCTTTTTGATATCTTGTGACTTAATACTGAGATATAAAGTTAACTACCATTAACACATATTATGTTGTATAGTAGAGAAATTAAGTAGAGGAATAGGAAAAAACTGGTCAGCTGGGTATGGTGGTGCATGCCTGTAGTCCCAGCTACTCGGAGGACTAAATGGTAGAATCAGTTGAGCCCAGGAGTTCAAGACCAGCCTGGGCAACATGGCGAGAGCTCATCTCAAAAAATAATAATAAATAAATAAACTGGTTAATATATGCACAAATACATTTATATCAAGATAAAGAAGACATATTCAACACTATTACCTTCCTCATTTCTCAAATTGGTTGTGTGGTTTTTGACTTACATTTATAACTACCTTCCACTACTCATTCTATATTCCCCTTGGAATTCCCCATGTTCATGAATAGGAATTCCAAGGGGAACACAGATGGAATATAGATGGACATAGATGGACATAGATAAAATATTCTCCTTGGAATATGCCCTCCTCAGTGAGTCCAAGTTCCTTGCCTGGTGACTCAAATCTTCATTCCTGAAGGGCCTGGACCATGATCAGTCCTCTGTGTACTAGGTTGGTGTCACTTTCTATTGACATTAATCACAGACACATAGAGTACATACTCCTCACCCTCATTGTGAAGTGGCAGTCCAATTTCTCCTTGGTAATTAGGATCAGTCACCCTAGGTGAGAAAGGAACCCCCTTCCTTGCTTGTGTATTCACTGGCACGAGGAGATGGCAAACTCAGCTGTCAGTTTAGTGGAACCACCATTGTATTCCCTGATGGAAGCATTCCCCCCACAGGAGCTAAGATTTCTGCAATAGCAGAGCCCAAAGTTACAGGAATGGGAAGGAAAAATTACTACCCGAACACCAGGGTGATAGTGAGAAAAGCCACTCCCATTTTGACCCCATGATTCTTGGACCCATGAATCCTGACAATGGGAGAAATAGCATCATATATTGGTCACTGACTTAAAGCATCCTGCAGGACATAACCCCAGGCCAGCAGGGTGTTGCTACCCAGCTGGTGCTGTAACTGAGCCTTTAAAATCCATTCCACTGTTCTAATCTGGCCACCTGCTTCACTGTGAGGCCAGTGAAGCCCATGATCAGAAGCTCATATCTGTACTTCCTTTGCTGTAAGATTACTTCCTTGGTCAGAAGCAATGGTGGTTGAAATTTTATAACAAATAAAATTAAGCCCATGGATGGTAGGTTTGGCAGAGCATTGTAGTAGTCAGGGAAGGCACATCCATATCCAGAGTAAATGTCTATTCCAGGGAAGACAAAGCACTGCCCCTTCCATGATGGAAATGGTCCAATGTAATCAACCTTCCACCAGTTGGTTTTCTAGCCCAGGGAATGGTGCCATATTGGCGTAGATTTCTATCTTGGCAGGCTGAGCACTCAGCAATGGCTGGAGCCAAATTGGCCTTGATGAGTGGAAATTCATGTTGCTGTGTCCATACATAGCCCTGCCCCCATGGCCATGATATATGTAAGCCCACTGGGCAACAGTGGCTGGGGAAAGAGACTAGCTGATGCTGTCAGAATGAATCATCTTATTCAGCTGATTTTAAAATCCTCTTCTGTTGTGGCTGCTCTTTGGTTAACATTCATATGGGATACATATTCTCATGTTTTGTGTGTGTTCAGAGGTATCCATATGCCTCTTCCCCAGGACTCCTTGTCACCAGTTTTCTAATCATGTCTCTTGGAAGTCCCTGACCATCAGACTAAACGATTAACCACTCTCTGTGATTTTGTGTAGATCTGTAACTCACGGACATCTTCTCTTCTAGGTAAAATGAACACCCACTTGTATTGCTCCAAGTTCTGCTCACTGAGGGGGTTTTCCTTTGGCACTGTCCTTCACGGGCACCCCAGAGTGGAGATGTAGTGCCTCAGCTAGCCACTTTGGGTAGTACCAGCACTATAAACTATGCTCCAATTTGTTTTTTCCTCCATCAAGTGGTCATAGGAAACTCCCCATGAAGCCACAGATGCAGACTGAGGGGAAGCAGTCAACTTGGCAACAGTACTGGCCAGGCCAAGCGCCTGTACTACTTGCTCTTGCAACTTATTTGTGTCTGCAGGACCTACTTGGGCCCAATCTCATATTCCATTTGATGATGGAACACTGCTGTGTGCACCCAACTTTCTGCCTTGGATCAAATGACTCTTGTTCACAATGGAAACTCAGGTCAAAAGACAACACGGTGGCCCATGGTGATGCATTCTGTGTTTATTATTGATAGTAGCTAGAAGATGTTTCTCAAAAGGCGAATAGTTATCTTTGGGGAATGACACAGCTTTGCTCCAAATCATTAGGTGCTATGCTGGGGTTCACCTATAAAGGCACTCCAAAGGCTCCAAACAGCCTCCTTTTCCATCACAGCCACTTTAAGCACCATCATGTCAGTTGTGTCTTAAGGCCTAAGTGGCAGAGTTGTGTCTTAAGGCCTAAGTTGCCCAGCAGCCTGAACTTGTATACAGAGCCTACATTCATTGTTCTGGGGTCTCATTCAAAACTGGCAGTCTTTTAGGATTCAAAATAGTTCAAAGCTGGAAACAACCAAATGCCCATCAGGCAGTAAATGGATAAACAAATTGTGGTATATTCTTATAATGGAATTATCCAGTAATAAAAAGAACAAACTACTGAGGCACAGAACATAGATGAATCTCAAAAACATTACACTGAGCAGAAGAAGACAGACACAAAAGAGTAAATGCTGTATGATTCCATTTGTATGAAACACTAGAAAAGATAAGTACAATTTATAGCAACAGAAAGCAGATTGGTGGTTGCCTGGAGCTGGGGCTAGGGCTGGATATTGACTGGAGAGGGACACGGGAACTTTTTGGGGTAATGGAAATGTCTCATATCTTTATTTTTGGTGATGGTTACATGGTTGTTCACATTTGTCAGAACTTGTCAATCTGTACACTCAAAATGAGTACTTTTATGGTATGTAACTTATACTTCAATAAAATTGATTTTAAAAGAGCATTTCAAAAAAATGTTTAGCTGAGCACAGTGGCATGCACCTGTAGTCCCAGCTACTCGGGAGGCTGAGTTTGGAGGATCGCTTGAGCACAGGAGTTCAAAGCCAGCCTGGGCAACATAGCAAGACCCTGTCTCTAAAAAAATTTAAAAAATTAAAAATGTTTGATGTTTAGTTAGCTCAGTAGTATTTTTCACTTAGGAGTTAAAATGAGTTTCATAGAAACATAAATAACTTTATTTAATAAGGATTTAATAAAGGAATTTATATTAACCAAACTATGGAATGTATGGATTAGAGGATGTCCTGGCTTTGTATTTCAGAAAGATTAGAAATATTGAATGGTGGAAAACTCTCACCCATTCTTTTTACACAGACACGCAATGCTTCCTTTAGAGCCAAGTCAAGTACACAAATACTTTATTATATATCCCTTATTCCTCTGTTTGCTTTGGCCTGTATTTTCAGTAGTTAAGTAATAGGACCATTCATCTGTGACTCTAAGGTAAGGTGACCAGATATCTATGACAAAGGAGAAAAAGCAATACAGTGGAGCAAAGATAGTCTTTTCAACAAATGGTGCTGGAACAACTGGACATCCACATGCAAAAAAATGAATCTAGACACAGACCTTATGTCCCTCACAAAAATCATCAACACATTAGTCTCTCTGTATTTTCTGCTTCTTGTATCTCCTTAGCAATGAGTTGTTGGATTTGAAATAAAATATGATCTTATAGGATTTTCAACATGGCAACTATTTTTAAATATGTATGGTGAGAAGAGTTCCAAGTAATTTGTTACAGGAGTGATCCAGGGTTTTACACTGACCTACTAAAGGAACCATAGCATTAGAAACTGTCTTAGTCCATTTGTGTTGCTATAAAGGAATACCTGAGACTGGATAATTATAAAGAAAAGAAGTTGATTTGGCTCATGGTTCTGCAGGCTGTACAAGAAGCATGGAACCAACATCTGCTTCTGGTGAGGCCTCAGAAATCTTCCACTTATGGCAAAAGGAGAAGGGGAGGTGAAGAGCTTGTAGAGATTACAAGGTGAGAGAGAGGAAGCAAGAGTGAGAGAGGGGTGGAAGGATCCAAGCTCTTTTAACAATCAGTTCTTGCAGGAACCACTAGAATAAAAACTCACTCGTTACTGTGAGAACGGCACCAAGCCATTTATCACTATGACCAAAACACCTCCTACTAGGCCCTGCCTCCAATATTAGGGATAAAATGTCAACATGAGATTTGTAGGGAACAAATATTCAAACTATATCAGATACAGTTTTATGGGCCCAGATCCTAAAGAGGATCAGATGACATCTGGGCAGGAGGACTGTTATATATATCCTCTATGTTCTTTCATTGCCTCACTCATTCAACAAATACTTACTGAGCATATATACCATGTGTCATGCATTGGCTTGGTACCAAGCAATAGACCCAGTTAGTGTTAATATCAGTTAGGATTAAGTTCTTTTGCATATAAACAAAAAAAAATAAAATAGCAATGGCTTAAACACGTAAGCTCTCATTTGCCTCTCATTAAAGGAATTCCAGGGGTAGGCAAGGCAGTGCTGGTGTGGTTCAAGGTGAACAAGAACATAGGTGCCTTCTTTCTTCCTGTTCTACCCATCATAAAGCTGGTTTCTGCCTTAACATCACCTGATTGCCTGAGACAGCTTTGAAGTGTCTGCCATCTGCACCGCATTTTAGGAAGCAGGAAAGAGAAAGAGTAAGAAGTGAAATGAGGAATTATGTCTTCAACGAGCTTTCTTGGAAATCCCACCCTTCAACTTCGACTTCTATCTTATTGGCCAGAATGCTGTTGCATGGCCATTGCTAGCTTCAGAAAAGATGAGGAATGCAATCTGTCAGCCGGGCACTTTACTGCCTTGAATAGAGCTTGGAATGAATGGGAAACATTTTGGGTAGTCAACTATCTCAATCTTTTTTTATAGAGGATGTCAGGAAAATCTTACCAGAGGAAGTGTTGTCTTGGCAAATACAAAAGGAAAGAAGAAACAGTATGTTCAAAGATCCTGAGCAAGAGAAAGTCACCATAAAGTTGAGGACCTGAAAAAATTTCCATTTAGTGGGAAATCTGATTGAAAAGATGATGTGGGAGGGGTTGGGGAACCACATCCCAAAGGGCCATGCCTCTTCCATTAAGGAGTTTCAAAATGATCCTGGGGGCAAAGAGAAGCCACTTGAGGATTTTAAGAGGAGGAGTCTCACAAATGGATTTGCATTGTAGAGCACTCTGGCTGCAGTGTGGAGCATGGATTGAGAGACCAGCACAGAGACAGGGAGAGCAGCTGGGGTCTGTTCCAGAGAAGAGATGGTGGATTAGACTAGGGTGGTGGCCATGGCCTTAGACAGAAGTTTGTGCATTGAGGGTCTGTTTACTAAATAGTAGCACAAGGCTTAGTGAGGGGTTGGGGGTAAGGAAGAGGAGTCAAGAATGGTACTCAGATTTCTCACTTAAAAAAACAGATAAATGTCGGGGCCACTGCCTGAGAAGTCCCTCTCAAGACCCTTTAGCTATCCTCAGTCTTACAGTACTTGGTTGGGGCCATTTGGGAACGTTGCTGAAGTTCTCCTTGCTTGGCTAATTTTGGCTATTCTTGAGTAAATGTTTGATAAGCACCATAGCCCCCAAACAACCCATTTGACAGTTGGATTGAGACATGGCAAAATTAGACTTGATGCAGATGTATGTGTATTAAAAATGAATGCCCTTCTCCTATGGCCTCCTGATAAAGAAGAGAGAAGTGTGTTCGGCTAGCAGAGAGAAGAAGCGTGGGGTGGGATCAACGAAGAGTCCATGAACCCTGTGCAATGGCTGGAGAACTGAATGACAAGCTCCATTTCCCCCATGTGTGTGGCTGTGGGGTCCCCAGATATAGGTTAGGGATGCAGTAACCACACCTCATCTTGGGACTGAATTACAACTCTTTCAACCAAAGAGCATTTGTGCCCACAGAGAAGTGGGAAGGAAAATTAGAAAAGTGGTTGTCCCCTCCATAAAATGCTCTCAGGGTACAGACAACCCATTCTCTTAGGGATGAGCATGGAGAAGAGATTTCTTTTTCTGCCTTTTATTGACAAAAATTTTGCAACATGCAAGGAAATAGGATATTCAGATTAAATGACTGGGCATTCAAATATTCAAAAGTTAAGTTCCTTCCCCCAGCAAAATTAGCCTGACCACATTAACAGAGTATATATTGCATGAAAGTGGTTTAGTTCCTGTTTTCCTTTTGAATAAACTGGCTAAAAATATTACTGTTTGTGGTGTTAAATGGATTTCATAACTAACACAGGATGTGGCTAAATTCATATTACTGTGATAATTTTAATTGAATTTTCTGACTCCTACATGTTTGTCAACTTTTAACACTGTATTAAACATAAGGTTCCAATGTTATTAATATGAAATGCTCACATTCCCTTACAACTGTGATTATATTTTGTTATCATTCCTGAATGTTGTATTAAGTCTATTTAAAAGATATCCCAAGAGACCCTTATATGTTTACTGCATTAGAAGAAAAACAGATGTTCTCACACATCCTGAGAGATAATACAATTTACATTGCGTATGAAGCTTGTTGAGAACCACTTAAAGATCTTTCTAGGTAGCCAGAGGGTTTAAGTAATCCATAGCATCCGACAGCGTATCATATTAGAAAATTAGAAAAAAATGCCAATCACATTTTCCAAATGCAAAAGCACATTTAAAAATTATCCTCTAGAGGCCGGGCGCGGTGGCTCACGCCTGTAATCCCAGCACTTTGGGAGGCCGAGGTGGGCGGATCATGAGGTCAAGAGATCAAGACCACCCTGGCCAACAAGGGGAAACCCCGTCTCTACTAAAAATACGAAAATTATCTGGGCGTGGTGGCATGTGCCTGTAGTCCCAGCTACTTGGGAGGCTGAGGCAGGAGAATTGCTTGAACCCAGGAGGCGGAGGTTGCAGTGAGCCGAGATCACGCCACTGCACTCCAGCCTAGTGACAGAGCAAGACTCCATCTCAAAGAAAAAAAAAAATTATCCTCTGGGAAAAAAAAAAGGGAACAGAGCATTTGAACTACAGTCCTACTGTTCTCAGGCTGTGATTGAATTACAATCACGAATTAGAACTGACATGAGTTTTTCAGCGGAATATCCTGACCAGTCGCCTCACTCACTTGGAACTTGTCCATCGTCTCACTTCTCTAGAAGAAGCCAACAACCTATGACATAGCAAAAGATGACCCTGGACAATCAAAATAGATTAAACAGAGAATAGTCACTAAACAGTATTGACTCTTGGAAATGCCCTAACCAACCTGGTTATTTTATGAAGGATTGTAACAAGCTTAGTTCTCTGAAATCTATACCTAGAGCAGATAATAAGCAAGAAAGTAAGGAGAAATGAGGAGAAAGATACAGAAATATTTGTTGAATGCAGCTAAATGCAAGCAGCCTTACACATATTATTTAATCTTTATGACATCCCTTTGAAGCGGTATGATTATCCCGGTCCTCAGATGAGGTTACTGAGACAGAGAGAGGTCACGCCCTGTGAGTGCACCATGTGCATGCAATGAAGCTGAAATCCTAGCCTAGAGAGTCATCATTACATGACCAACAATTACTAACTTTTATGGAATGTTTTCTAGGTATACCAGATACAGCACTTTATGTCTATTATAACTCTTAATTCTTACAAAGGACTTTAAATCAACCTCCATTATTGTCACCATGCCATAGATGAGTGAATTGAGGCTTGGAAAGTGTAGGTCCCTTTCCCTTCATTGCACAACTAGCTGACAACTGAGACAGGACTCAGACCCGGTCAGTGTGATGCCTGAGTTCGTGGGATTTCACCACAGCCTGCACTGCGCTGACAGGCACGATGGCAACAGAAGTAGCAACTTGATGGCAGAACACAAAAAAATAAAGCTAGACAGGCCAAGACATCCAAAAGATGCTGCTGTCACTCAAGATGAAGGCAGTAGTTTGGATCAAGGGAAGACTGTAAGGCATGTGCCCACATTCTCTGTGAACTTGGGGGAGGGAGTGTCCAGGAGTTCAGTGGTCAGCTATGAGCATAGCAGGAGAGGGCTGTCATGACCTCAAAGGTCAAGGTTTTACAGGAGGCCTGGGAGCTGCATTGGGCAGCTAGGGCGACCCTGATCCCGGCTACTGATGTGACCTCAGCTTCCAGTGTAAACCCCATGTTTTGACACTGAGCTTTGTGGAATGAAGAGAATAAAAGGCCTTTTTTGAGAAGGTGGCAGGGATGGCAGGTTCCAGAGAAAGTAATAGGTGAGAGGAACTTTCAGAGAAGAGGCTGAAGCCACACGAGAGTTTGCAGTTCATGGTGTGAGCATTCCAAAGGGCACAGTGGATGGGTATGCAATGGAGAAAAGGATGGAGGAAGGGGGCAAGGGTGGGTCAGAGACATGGAGAGAAGAACTGAGCAATAAGGCAGTGTGTAGTTGTGGAGTTATTATAGATATGCATATATATATATATATATATATATGCATATCTGTGATAGGTTTTCATCCACAGTTCCTGGCTCATAACTCCCATAGCCCTTACTACAGTCTTGTTATAATGTTGAGTGTGTTAGACCTCAGAGGCAGGCCTCAAAAACAGAATCTTTTGGCCAGATGCAGTGGCTCACACCTGTGATCCCAGCACTTTGGGAGGCTGAGGCAAGTGGATCACCTGAGGTCAGGAGTTTGAGACCAGCCTGACCAACATGGAGAAACCCTGTCTCTATTAAAAATACAAAATTAGCCAGGCATGGTGGCACACGCCTGTAATCCCAGCTACTCGGGAGGCTGAGGCAGGAGAATCGCTTAAACCTGGGAGGCGGAGGTTGCAGTGAGCTGAGATTGTGCCATTGCACTCCACCCTGGGCAACAAGAGTGAAACTCCGTCTCAAAAAAAAAAAGAAAAAATAAACAGAATTTTTCTCACCTACTCCCCCTACCCCTTTCACCTGCCCGTCAAGGCAGGACTCTAATCTTGACCCCACCCCACCTTTCTGACTGTGGGTCTTAAAACCCTCCCCAGAGAAGGTCTTGCCCTATACTCTGGGGAAAGAATGTGGGTGTCTTGAAGCTTCCATAAAAACCCAAGAGGACTGGGTTGGGGAGCTGAACATGTAGAGGCTGATAGGCAGGTGAAGGAGAACTCATTCATGTACTGAGAGGGTGGTGCACCCCCGCTCCACATGGACAGAAGCTCCTGCACTAGGGACCTTTCCACACCTCGCCCTATGCATCTCTTTATCTGCCTACTTTTATCCTTTAAAATGTCCTTCGCAATAAACTGGTAGCTGTGTTTCCCTGAGTTCTGTGAGCCACTCTAGCAAATCAACCAAACCCAAAGAGCGGAGTGGTTGGAACCTCAACTTGAAGTGGATTGGTCAGAAGTTCCAAAGGCCAGCCCTCTGACTGGGAGAAGGAGGGTTTAGGCTTGAGGATCTGACACTATCTCCCAGTAGACAGCATCAGAATCAAATTGGAGGACACCAGCTAGTGTCCACTGCTTGGGGTTTTCCCCCACACCTTTGCTCGCAGAAGTCTTCTGCATTGATGATTGTTGTTATGCTGCTGTAAGTGAAGAGGAAAAACTCAATTTGGGAGTTTTTTCAAAAACAGTAATAAAGAATTTAACCCTGCCCAAAAAGAGGTCTGGCTTCTGCCCTCAGCTTCTGAGAGGTGATCTCTAAGGCTTTGGAACGTCCTGCCTGCTAGAGGTGTTTTCATTTGCCCGGGGACATTGGGTCATGGTGTGTGATTTAGAGCAGGGACTGTGAGTGATGTGTAGCGGTGGAGAGTCTGGGAACAGATCGGCCGCATGGGCAGTCAGCTGTGCTCATGTGACAGAGCCACAGTAAAGACCCTGGACACCAAGGCTTCCCTGGTGGGGAACACTCCCTGTGTGTTGTCACACATCAATGCCAGGAGAGTGGCGCTGTCCGTGACTCCACGGGAGAGGACCGTAGGGGCTCCATGTCAGGCACTGTCCTGGACTCTGTGCTGTGTGCTTCTTCCTTTGGCTGATTTTAATCTGTATTCCCTCCCTATAAGAGATCACAACCATGAGTATAACAACCTTCAGTGAGTTCTGTCAGATCTCCCAGCGAATTATCACAACTCAGGGTGGTTTGGGGAACCCCTTGACTTGTAGTTGGTGTCAAAAGTCAGGATAGTGTTTTGTGGACTGTGTCCCCTCCCACTTCCAGTTGGCTAAAGGTTCACAGGCCATCACTGACTATACAAGGGAGGATGGCTCATTGCAGGGGGGCTGATATTTTAGCCAATGACTAAGGAACACAGAGCTGCAAAGTGAGGTAGATTGACCCCCTTAGTCTCTTAAAGCAACACTTCTCAAAAGCTAATGTTCATACAAATAATGTCGGAATCTGATAAAATGCAGATTCTGATTCTACAGGTCCAAGTGCGGCCTGATCTACATTTCTGATAAGCTGATACAACAGCTCCTTGGAGCACATGTTGAGTAAGAAGATCTTACATCAATGGTTTCCAAACTGTGTTACATGTTAAAATCCCCTTGGGAGTTTTTAATTATCCTCATGCCCAGGCTACACACCATCTAATGGTATGAGGCCGGTGTCCCTTTCCCTGTTGTTGCAGTGTTGGCAGGTAGAGTCAATCAAAGCATGGAGCCAGGTAAAGCTGTGCTCATGATTGAAAAATGCAAGCTAACAATAGAGGTTGAGAGATTGTGTTTTAGAAGGTTGTGAAATAAGAAAAACAAGACTGACAAAGAAGCAAGTAGCTCCACGTGGGATTCTCCTTGTCCTTGGGGATCTCTTCCTTAGCATGTGGTGGCTGTCATCGCCACTCTGACACAGCCCTAGTTACTCAGATCCCTTGCAGCAGCTCAGCTCTGGAGGGGAGCCCGGGCTCAATGGCAGGAGCAGGCAAATGTTGGTCCAAACTCAGCATTGCAGTGACATTCTTATCAGGCCATTAAGTGCTGATATTTTACTATTACTATATATACATATTTCCATCACTTTGAATGCTGGATTCGGTAGCTAGGAAAGGACAGCCTTAGAGGTCAAAGGCCACTTGCCTGAAAATAAGGTCCTGAAAGAAAAAAAACCAGAAGCCCAAGGGGATGATCATGTGTTATGAAAGGAAACTCTATGGAGGGCTTTTCAAAATGCCTCGGCATCTGAACATATCCTCATGGGAAAGACCGCCCCAACACGAATGTGGCCTCCACAGGGTTTCAAGAGGAGTCATGGAAAAGGCAGCTGGGGCCATTTCCTGGGGAATGGGTGACTTCCCACCCCATAAGTGATGTCCCTGCCTCCCCATCCCACTGTGGGCCTCAGAGGTTCAAACTACCTGTTGCATCTGCATGGTGTGGACATAGAGGCAGCCACACTGAGGAGCAAGCAAGAAAGGGCATGCGGATAACCTTGACTCCCAGGGCCCCAGAAGGCACTCACCACCTTCACTCTGGCCACTGCAATGTGGCAGAACTATACTCCCAAAGCCATATTGTTTATTAGAATAATAAGAAAACTATCATACATTAAGTGCAGTAAATGTGCCAGGCACGGGACCAAGTGCTTTGTACCCAATGTCTCATCTAACATGGACAAAACCCAATAAGACAGGTATTATATTATTGCCCTTTTTACAGAGGAAGTGAAGCTTGGAGAGCCCCAGGAACTTGGCCATAGTCATGTGACAAGTTAAAGCCCGGTTCTCAAAGCCAGGCTGCCAGGCTCCAAAGCCAGGGAAACCCAATTGTTTCTGAATGACCAGGGGACTCAAGCAACCGGTCCAAGGTCACATATTGACCTGGAGAAGGAGCAAGGCAGTGAACCCCAGAGAGAGGACAAGCCTCCTATGTGTTGTGGTGCCTCAGGACCTATCAGGAAATGATCTGGCCAGAGAGATGACCCCTTCCAAGCCAAGGGATAGATTCTCAGAACCTTGACACAGCTCTAAGCGGGGAGTACAGTGGGTAATATGATAAGTGCCAGGAACGGAGTTGCCCGCAAAGGAAAATGAACACTGTGGCAAGCCCTAAGTTTCCCAACAGGAACCAGAGGCTGTAAGCTAAGTAAAGTCATTCAACAAGTGCCCAGGGTGTGACGGCGTAAGCTTAGGAGAGACTGGTAGCCTTCTCAGAGGCTACAGATGCCCCAGCAGAACGCCCACCAATGTTTCCCACATCTAGGATCTTCTCCCCTTTGAAGCATCCAAGACAGCCATCAGCAGGCTGGAGACTATGCGCTAGGTCCTGGCTCAAGAACTCCCCACCCCCCACCCCCCACCTCCCACCTCCCACCTCCACCAAGCTCTCTTGCCAGCGGCCACCTCTCCTGGGCAGGAGCCAGAGGAATGCAGGGAGAACAGGAAAGAATGAATGATGCCCCCCAAAATGGAGCATCTGCCCTGGGCAATGACGGGATCCCTCTGGTTCTCACTCAAGTGGATGATGCCCCACATCGACCCGTCAGGTCTCCCTCTCCTGATCCTTCACCCTCAGACTGGGAAACCCTCTCAGTGAGGACAGAGATACAGCTTTTTCCTGCCCAACTGCCTTTCTCAGGAAAGAGTAGAAAGGATCACCCAGCTTCCAATGGAACAGAGAGATGCTGTCAGCTTTTTGTGAATCTCTGAGCACTCAGCTCAGGCCTTTTTTTTTTTTTTTTTTTGAAAGTTAGCACATCCATCACATCCCCTAATGCCTATTCGGCATCTGTTCTCTAAAGAGCCAGGGCTAGGAGTTACCTCCAGGGGTAACTCCTGTTATTTAATGCAAGGCAGAGAGTTCCTTTAGTGTATGCTAGGAGTCTGACACCATAATTCAGATTTATGGAATAAAATTCTAGAAGAAATTTGGTTCAGAAACAGGTAGAGTTTGATATAGATCCTGGGGCCACTCTAGCTGCCCAATACTGCTTCTGGGAGCCTCGGTTCTTAAAAACCACCGAACATGGCCCTGGGCCCAGGTCAAATTTGTAGGAGGCATGGTAGAAGATGCACACACATGCGCGTGTGCGCGCACACACACACACACCAGCACTGATGGCTTATGTTCCCAATGTGCCCCAAGGTGCCAAAGGATTTCCCAAATTCAGAAGTTTTCAGAGTCTTCTGTGTATGCCAGGGAGCATCGTGATTAAATGTGAGCATTTTTGTTTCTGTTGACTTCTGGAGCCTGGTTCACAGTGAAGTCAGTTCTACAGAGTTCTTGCAGAATTGTCCAGATGTGACAGGGTCCTCCTCTTCAAAAACGGGAGATGAGAGGAGGTGTGAGGGGGCAAAGGTGGGGTGCAGGAATCAGGCCATGCAGAGCTGCCCCTCCCTGGAGTCCGGGCCCTTTCAACCCCATCTTTGCCAGAGCTGTGACCCCTTCACCTCCAAATGCCCAGATAATAGGAAGCAATTTCTGTCCTTTTTCTGAGTACCTCTTGCTTCACCAGCCCTCCCCAGACCAAACACACCCCAGACAAGGATGGGGGCAGGTACAGTTTCCAACTGTGACATCGGGGCAGTGCAATGTCAGAGGGCCAGAAGTTACAACATTATCTCACTTACTCATTTCCTTGTACCGTGCAGGGAGGAAGTCCCATAGACTCAAGTCTGTCGAAGGACAGTGTGGACACTTCCTCTTTCCTGACCTTTGTGTCACTCCACTTGATCTACCTCCTACCCACGACCCTCTCTTCAAAGTCCCCGGGGCCTGATGTCCTGGCCCCTTCCCCTCCTTGGGAAATTAATCCTTCCCTCCTCCACCACCAGTTCACCCAGCCCCCAGCCCCTTCTCGTATCTTGGAAAATCCAGCATCTCAGGCTTTGCTCGAACTCACACAGAGTCTCTTTTGCCCAACCTTTGCTAAGTCAGGATTGGAGAAAATGGAAGGCAAAAAGGAAGATTAGTGAGCTCATGCACGCCAGCATGGCCAGAGAGAAGTTGGCCTTAGGCACATCAGAGCCAGGACCCAAATACCCCCGGATGCTCCCTGCCTACAGTCCTGTGTCTGTGCGGGTTAGCTTCTTTCTCTCCAGCTAGAGCTGGGCTCTAGTGCAAGCCTGATGGAGATAGTGGGTGTTTTATTCCAGTTTAGACTCCCCAGCAATGAGAACTGCAACAGACATCCTCTGTTGTTATCTAGGGAAGCAGCCAGTCAAGTGAGACTGGAAGGAAACATATTCCTTCTGTCTGGGCGTGGTGGTTTGTGCCTGTAGTCCCACCACTTAGGGAGTCCAAGACAGGTGGATCACTTGAGCGCAGGAGTTCGAGACCAGCCTGGGCAACATGGTGAAACCCAGTCTCTACTAAAAGAAATATATATTTTATATATATATATATGTGTGTGTGTGTATATATATATGTATGTATATATATGTATGTATGTGTGTGTGTATATATATACACACACACACACACACAAATATACAAAAATTAGCTGGGCATGGTGGGACACACCTGTAATTCCAGCTACTTAGGAGGCTGAGGCAGGAGAATCGCTTGAACCTGGGAGATGGCAGCGGCAGTGAGCCGAGATTGTACCACTGCATTCCAGCCTGGGTGATGGAGTGAGACTGTCTCAAAAACAAATAAACAAACAAAAACATGTTCTTTCTATTAACATCACTTTGTTCCTGGACCTTACAAAATGAGAATCCTGGCACCTTGGTCCTGGCTCACCTTACAAACTCCAGGACTAGTCTGTCTCCGAAACTGTTATCACTGGAATTTTGTTCCCAAAAGATATGTCTATGTTCTAATTCCTGGAACCTCAGAATGTGACCTTATTTGCAAACAGGATCACTGCAGATGTAATTGTTTAAGTTAAGATGAGGTCATAATGGAGTAGCACGGGCCTGTAATCCAATATGACCGATGTTCTTATGAGAAGAAACACAGAGTCAGGCACACTGGGAAAATGCCGTGTGACAATGGAGGCAGAGATGGGAGTGATCCGCCTGCGGGCCAAGGAACACCAGGGATTGCTGGCAACACCAGAAGCTAAGAGAAAACCATGGAGCAGCTTCTCCCCTGGAGCCTTGATTCCAGATTTCTAGCATCCAGAACTATGAGACAATACATGTCTGTTGTGTAAAGCCTCCCAGCTTGTGAGACTAGTTACGGCAACTCTAGAAAATGCAGCAGCCAATATGGTGGTACCAGCTCAGATTGATTCTTTATGATCCCCAAATCTCCCCTGGATAGAAGATGCTTGTGTTTCAATTCATCCCACCAAAATGGAAAATCGTTTTGGTTGAGGCTGCTCTGCTGTTGCTTGGCTACTGTCTCTAAACTCACTATCTTCTAGGAACAAGGATGACATGCTACTCAAGACGAAACAAATGACTCAACAGCAGGCAGTGTAAGTGGATTTACAAGTACTGCAGGCAAGAAATGATACAATATCCTTACTGGAAACTTGAGCAAAGGCCTGCTGTGAGACATGGTAAAACTTTTATATCAGTCAACCTGCTGCAGTCCTTTGCTCTGTCGTGAAGCAAATAATAAAGAAGGCTCTGAGCTCTATGCTGTGCTCATGGACATCTCTGGGGCTCAAACATCTGCCATAATGCTTCCTCCTGCTTTGAGTGTCTAAGACACTCATTAATTTAAGATATCAAGGACATAGGTACTGTTCAGAGATTCAAATTTTGCACACTTAATCAGTGGTCTGAATAAGAGATTGTTGCTGATATTGCAAATGGGTTGCCCAGTAAAATACAGGGCCCCCAATTTAAATTTTAATTTCAGACAAACAATGAATAATTTTTTAGTATCAGCATGCCCCAAATACGGTGTTGTTTTTTAGACAGAATCTCGCTCTGCCACCCAGGCTGGAGTGCAATGGTGTGATCTCTGCTCACTGCAACCCCCGCCTCCAGGGCTCAAGTGATTCTCCTGCCTCAGCCTCGCAAGTAGCTAGGATTACAGGCATTTGCCACCATGCCCAGCTAATTTTTGTATTTTTAGTAGAGATGGGGTTTCACCATGTTGGCCAGGCTGGTTTCGAACTCCTGACCTCAAATGATCCACCTGCCTCAGCCTCCCAAAGTGCTGGGATTACAGGCATGAGCCACCCCGCCTGGCCAGCGTGTAATTTTTATTTGTTAAACCTGGCAACTCTACCTGCAGGGCTGCACTTAGGCCCTAATGCTGCATGTTTAGAGATGTCACAGGATGTGACGGCCATAATGAAATCCTTAATGGCACTATCTGATTGAAAGAAATGTTACATTTGCAATGGCCCAAGAGAAGTTTTTCCACTGTGAGGCTGCATCACCACATGCCACATAATCATACAAAGATTAGAGCATTTTGATGTGCTAATGTGTGGTATAAGAGCAGAAGGAGGAGGACACACTCCCCAACTGCACACACACAAGAAATTTTTAACCATCAGAAATGGTAGAACTACAGAAAGTACATGAAATCAGTTACATAAACATTGACACCTCAGTCAGGTTTCTATTCTCTTTGGCAGTAGCACAATACAGAAAAATCACAAGTTTTTCAAGACAGAAAGCAAATAATATATGGCCTCTCTTAAAATCGTATCAACTCCATCTATAATAGTGAGTCTCTCTTAAAGAAGGTCCACAGGAGTGGGGGTAGCATTGTGGTTGGGGGGTTGTGTAGTTTTCCTGATAAAACTCACATCCTCCTGCATGCCCCTTGCCAGATTGAGAAGCACTGATCTAAAATGCACTGAAGAAGTAAAAGACAATAAAAATATATTCTGGATGTTTTCTTCTGTCTTCCCTCTTCTATTTTAAGAATACATCTTGGAGAGAGGTTAGGGTATGGAATAGAATCAATTTACTTCCCCATCTTGTAGCATCCACACTGTTTAGGTGGGATTGGCTCACCTGCAGCTCCAAGAGTGGGTTCTAATTTGCCCATGCTCATAGGTAAACCTCCCCTTGGCACATTAATGGGTTCATTAATGCAATCAGTGCACAGTGTTCTTCTGGAATATGCCACCTTAAAAATATTCATCTCCCCAGTCTCCATTGCCACCACCAGTGACCATGTGGTCTGTTCTGGTCAATGAAAGATAAATGGAATTCTGGTTGTTGCCTCTGGGAAAGGGTTTCATGGTTTTTGTTTTTTAAATTTTCTCCTGTTAAAAGGGGGTAGACTCATCAGGGCCATTAGCCTGTTCCTTTCTTTCTGCCAGGAACTAAAATAGGATACCAAAGGTGGAGGCGCCATCTTGCCACTTGGAAAACAAAATCCATGAGCCAAAGGAGATGGAACAGAAGGATGAAAGGAGCCAGGCTCTTGATCACTCCCTTGAACAACTTCACCAGCCCTGGTCCATCTAATCCCTGGAAAAAATAATTATTATTATAACCCTATCTGAATCAAAAGAGAAGAAAATTGGCATAAAGGTAGATAAATAGAGCAACAGAACAAAATAGAGAGCCTTGAAATAGATCTCTACTGGCCATAAAATTAAAACTTGATCTACTCGACTGGGCGTGGTGGCTCACGCCTGTAATCCCAGCACTTTGGTAGGCTGAGGTGGGTGAATCGCTTGAGCTCAGGAGCTCCAGACCAGCCTGAGCAACATGGCGAAATCCTGTGTCTACCAAAAATATAAAAAAGTAGCCAAGTGTAGTGGTGCGTGCTTGTGGTCCCAGCTACTTGGGAGGCTGAGGCAGGAGGATCCCTTGAGTCCAGGAGGCAGAGGTTGCAGTGAGCCATGATGGCACCACTACACTCCAGCCTGGGCAACAAGTGAGACCCAGTGTTAAAAACAAAAAACAAAACAAAACAAAACAAAAACAAGTTAATCTACTGAACATAATTTGAAAGTTAGTTTCCACTCATCAAAAGATATTAAGAATGTGAAAAGGCAAACCACAAACTAGGAGAAAATTATTCACAATACATTTATCTGACAAAGGACTTGTATTCCGAAGATATGTACTCCTATAAATGAAAAGCAAAAGACAAACTAAGAAAAAGACAAACAACCCAATGTTTTTAAAGAATGAGCAAAAAGATTGAACGGACATGTCACAGAGGACAGTATAGAAGTGGCTGATAAGCATTTGAAAAGGGGCTTGACATAATTAGTCATCAGAGAAATACAATTATTATAGCCAGAGAGATTTCATATCCACTGGAATGGCTGAAATGTTTAAACTGGCAACAGGAAATGCCAGTGAGCATGTGGAGTAGCTGGAAAACACATACGTTGCTATTGGGAGAGTGAAATAGTACAGCCACGTTGAAAAACTGTTGTGCAGTTGCTTATAATATTAGATGGATGCCTATTTATTACCCAACAATTCTACTTGTAGTTATTTACCTCAGAAAAAGAAAAACATATGAAATGAAAGACTTGTACAAGAATGTTTTTTAACAGCTTTATGCATAATAGGCAAAAATTGCCAACGGTCCAAATGTTCATCAACAAATAAGTGGATAAACAAATTGTAGTATATTTATTCAATAGAACACTAGGAAATATAAATGAAAACACTACTGATACATTCAATAACATGGATGAATCTCATAAACATTACATTGAGCCAAAGGAAGCTTCATACAAAAGATTGCATTCTGTATTATTCCATTTATATGATGCTGTATTATAGAAACATGTAAAACTAAGCTATGGTGAGAGAAATGAGAATGAAGGTTGCCTTGTGGGGAGGAGTTGGGATTGACAAGAAAGGGACAGGACACAATTTCCTATGGTGATAAAATTTTTTTGATGGAATGGTTTTATATAGCTATGTTATTCTACATTTGTCAAAACTCATTGAACTATGCACTTAAAATTTGTGCAATTTGCGTGATGTAAGCAATCTCTCTTTAAAAACTACCCTATTTGGTTAAGCTTCTGCAGTCAGGTTTCTGTTAATGCAGCCAAATGCAATCCTTAACTGATTCAGGGAGGAAGCACTAGAGTTAAAGGCAAAGATAATAAAGGTGAAAGGGACCAGGCGAGGTGGCTCACGTGAGTAATCCCAGCACTTTGGGAGGCTATGGTGGGCAGATCACTTGAGCTCAGAAGTTCAAGACCAGCCTGGGCAACATGGTGAAACCCCATCTCTACCAAAAATACAAAAAATTAGCCAGGCTTGGTGATGTGCACCTATGATCCCAGCTACTTGGGAGGCTGAGGTGGGAGGATTGCTTGAGCACAGAAGGCAGAGGTTGCAGTGAGCCGTAATTGCCCCACTGCACTCCAGCCTGGGTGACAGAGTGAGACCCCGTCTCGAAAAAAAAATAAAATAAAAATAAAAATAGATAAAGGTGAAATGAAGAATCGTCAGAAGGTCGGTACTGTGGAATCCAATGTGACCGCTCTCTCTTAAATCTTCAGAAGCGTGATAAAATGAATTGTATTAATCACATGACTTTATTAGATTTTCTGGTGCAAGTGGGTGGGAAAACTATGGGAAAAAACTGAGCTCTAGGACAAGCTCTATTGGGTGGAGATGGGATTGCATGTGCCTATTCCAAGGGAGCCTCAAGGGCCGGGGGAGGTAAGCTATCAGGCATTTTCTGGCAGCATGGGAAGGGGATCCCTATCCCTGCCCTATTTTCTAGTAGTGACATCCTGCAGTGATTTTGAGTGGATTTAGCTCAGAGCAGTTTTTGCAGCCACATAGGACCCTCTTGTGGAGGATCTTTTCTCTTGACCATAGGATCTGAGATACCAGAATAGATGCCCCATATCAACTAAGACTGACCCTAAGGTTAAGGAAATAAAGTTACCTATGGGTCAAAGGTTCAGGGCCTGGCAGGCATGGCAAATTTCTAAATTCCTACAGCTGAACTCTCTAACAAAAAGAGCTATAAACTTTGATTTACAACCTGGACCACTACAACTCTGACTGGACAGAGGCCTGGCCTTACAAACATTCTTTTTGGATAAGCAGTTGCAGACCTTAAGCCAGTTTCAGCCAGTTTATAGAGGGTGCACACAAACCGTCTTTGTGTCCTCTAGTTCACCTTTTAACATAAAGAGCCAAATTCCACAAATTTTAGTGCCAAAACCCAGTCCCAAAATGAATATGAAAAGTATGTTACATATATGTTTATCTATTATGCAGGCATCAGCTCACCTTATAAATATGTATAGATTTTCCCCAAAAACCTGCTGAATATGTATGGTACCAGTCCTGTGAGGCATAAAACCCAATCTGTCCTTCCCCTCTTCAAAGAGAGAGCACTTTCAGTCCACATTGGAGACTCTCTTCTCTGTTTGCAAACTGGTATTACCAGTAAATTCCTCCTTTGTACTATTTAATAACCATTCTGGTGATCTTTTGGATGAACCCATTATTCTACCCATCAAATACTCTTGTCATCTGGCTCCCAAACCTTTTACACCCCAAGCCCAGTCAGAACTGAGGCTCCAAGAACAAAATCCTGCAGTCGTCCACCTGAACTACACCAGCCAACAGAGACTGTCATGGGGCCATCACATGATTAGCAATGCAACCTAGTGTGTTGATACCAAAACATTCTCCAGCTTTTCTGCAGATCCCAAGGGGGAAAGGAAACATTCTATTACAAATACCTACTGCAGTTTGCAGTTTGTAAGGCAGACACCAGGTGAATGCTTTTGATAATGGTGGTGCTGGTTGGTGGTGCTGATGGTGATAATGGTGATGATTGTATTCCACAAAATAGTGCTGCTTCTTTTTAACTCCTTTTTGATGGAGCCACCAATCTCCTAGAAAGGCATGGGTATAGAAAGTGAGAGAAATTGTGCTCATGATACTCCAGCTTAGCAGTGACAGTGGCCATGCTATTTCTGGGAGGAAAATACATGACAAAGGGGTAATTTCTATCCCAGGCTCTCAAGGTCTCCTACGATAGAGAAACTTCCATTCTCTAACAGAAATGTACCGAGAAATTTAACAGAGACTCTGGCTTCTGTTCCCTGCTCTCTCTCACACTCTATCCCGTTGGAAGAAGACTTGACTCACTGGGTCGATAAGCCTGGGAGAAGATCTGAGCATGTGCAGCTCAGCCCCTTCCCAGCCCTCTCCTCCAGGTGACTCATCCCAGGATATGCATTTCACCTGTCTTTTCCTTCAGGCCATAAGCTGCAAATTAAATGCAAAGCTTCAAAACCCCAAAATTCCAGGTAACCACATTAGTTCAGAGTGTCAGGTGCCTTTTTTTTTTTTTCTAAACTCTAATTCCCCTCAAACACACCAAGGTGGCCTTGGCCATCCTGGGCAGCTTCATCGGCATTCTTGTTTGAACTGCCACGACACCTTCGCTCACACAGGACGCTAAGATGTTACTTGGCCTTCACTTGACACAAATGCTTTGTTATGTATTAAATCCATCATGGTTTTTTTTGTGAGTCCAAAACCACTTTTTAAAAAATACCAGCTGGCATCAAAATAATTTATAAACACATTTATGGATAAGGTGGCAAGGTAGTCCTCCTAGAGGAGGGGCTCATTGGGATAGCAGAGAATATGCTTATCTCAGTTTACATTATCATAAAAATGAAAACACACAACTTAAAAATTCTAGCAGCAAATTCTCACCACTCTGCAAGCGCAGTCATGTCTCTTTTCCAGCCCCAGCTGTGGCCAGACTCCATTTGAGAAGCTGTCCCCCTTTCTCAAGTTTCCTTCCATACTCTTTGCTTTGCCCCAAATCAGACTCCATTTGGAGTGGATCTCACTCCCTCTATCAGATTGCAACGAAGCATGTTATGAATCCCAGACAGTTTTTGCTCAGGCCTATCCTAGGATCTATAATAGCAATGCCTATGTTCGGGTTCTTTTCTAACATTACCTGGCCAAGTATTACCTTCAGGATTTATGTTACTGTCATGTAAGACAATTCCACGAGAAGCTTCCTTCCACTTGGGATATATGAACTGGGTGTTAGCTTCTGGTTTGCATTGATGTTGGTAGGTCTCCACAGCTGGATACAAGGGAGGAAGTAGGCTTTCTATCAAACTCGGGTCTGACTTCATCTCTTCCAATGGATTGGCATTGGAACAGACTCTCGCCCATCAGGCTCCCTGAAGCTCCCTCCTCCACGGGTCACCAGCTGTCAGCTGGGGAAGGAGTTTCAGGAGATGGATGCCACTCTTTAGTCTCTGAAAGACCACATGCTAAAAATATTGATGGCAGAGACTGTCACTCGAGGAACACTTGGCCATGAGGGATATGGGCTGTGAAACAGAGCAGCCCTGCCCTCCAGGGAAAGGTTTCTCAACGAGCCCAGTCTGTGAATGAGCCGAGTGCCCTGCCATCCACTGGGATCTGGAAGCAGGGGGCTCTCTTCCTGGGGAGATAGACGTCTCCACTCTTTTCCTCCTACCCAGCCCTGCCCCCAAACAGGGGCTCACTTCTGTGTTTCCTCTTTGGATAAATGAGATCTTGGTTCTCTCATGTTCCTAAGCTCAAAACCAAAGAATCATCCTTCGCAGCTCCTTCACACTCACTGCCCATATTGACTGCCTCGTTGATCTCACCCATTCCCACCAAGTTCAATTCCCTCATTACCTCTTGCCACACTACTGCTGTGGCCTCTTAAATTATCCCCGCCTCAGTCACTCCTCTTGACAACCCGTATTATGCCCATCACCAGTATTATCATCTTTGTGTCTTTCTAAAAACAGTGCACCATTGCACATAAACAAAGTGCAACTCCCTGAAAATCAAGGTGTTTCCCACACTGTTCCACCAGCCTGCTTTTCTGTATCTGCTATCTATTTCTGCAAAACAAATGACCCCAGAAGTCAGTGGCTTAAAGCAACAACAAAACATTTCTTTTCTCAGTTTCTGTGGGTCAGAAATGCAGGAAGTCTTAGCTGGGCTTTTTTGGCTCAGGGTGTCTCATGGGTTTCAGTCCAGATGTTGGCTGGGGCTGCAGTCACATGAAGGATTGACCTAGCCCCAGAGCAGCTGATCCAAAGGACAGTAAGGGCCAGGCGCGGTTGGCGCATGCCTGTAATCCCAGCACTTTGGGAGGCCGAGGCGGGTGGATCACCTGAGGTCAGGAGTTCAAAACCAGGCTGGCCAATTGACTGCCTCATTGATCTCACCCCGTCTCTACTAAAAATACAAAATTAGCCAGGCATGGTGGCGCATACCTGTAATCACAGCTAGTTGGGAGGCTGAGGCAGGAGAATCACTTGAACCTGGGAGGCAGAGGTTGCAGTGAGCAGAGATCGCACCATTGCACTCCAGCCTGGGCGACAAGGGTGAAACTCGGCACTCCCCTGCCAAAAAAAAAGACAGTAAGGGAATTGGCCACATCTTCTATGAACTGGTCTTAGAAGTCACACACCATCATTCCCACCATATGCAATTGGTCACACAGGCCAACCCTGATACAATGTTGGGGGACACTACACAATAATATGAATACCAGGAAGCAAGGGTCGGCGGGCGCCCAGTGTGGAAGATGGCTGCCACAATTTCCCATCTTGGCCCTCACCCTCTAGTCCTGTGCACCCAGAGTTGTAGCCACTTAAAATGATCCTCCTCCCAATTCCAGCAGCCAGATGCCTAGCTGTCCCCCTGGAGTTTACTCCGCCGAAAGCCTCCCAGGCCCCATAAGCTTTAACGAGCTCCTCCTCTCCTGCCTAACTTAGAGCTTTTACTGCTATTATCGTACTTATCACACTCTGCCTAGGATAATAGTTGGGTGCAAATGTATCTGCCTCCAAAGACTGAAAATTCCTGAAGGACAGAATCCAAGACTTATTCATGTTTTTACCCCATCCTTAGCAAAGCACTTGGAGAAGGAGATGCTCTATAAGAGTTCATTAAATTGAGTTAAATGTGCCTTCCTTCTTGTCAGGGTCACTGGTTGGACTGACTCTTGAAAGAGAAGAGAATGTTTCATTTAGCATTCATACTAAGTGCCAGCTGTTGGGTATGAACATAGTCCTTGCTTTTATAGTGTTTTCAACCTACTGAAACATTTATAAATTCTCACAAATGGCTGGCCAAATGACACTGCATTTAAAAATCTCTATTCTGTCAACTCAGTGTGTTAGAATATTCTGATAGGATTTTAAAAAATACTTTATCTATTTGGAAATGGAGTGTAAGAGGAAAAAAAATTTGCTTAGAAGATTTTATGATCCAGTCTTTCCACTGTATTTTCGGCTTTTTCGTGATGGTTCCCGTTTATTCATTCATACACTCAACATTGACTGAGCAATGTCACTGTGAGGACTTCAAGATAAACAAGATCAGCTTCCTTCCTTTAAGAAACCTGGCTTCTTAGAGCCTAGTGGAGAAGATAAACAGGTACACATATCCCTGCAATGCAACAGCTAGCATGCGGAAGAGGACTAGCATAACAAAAACAGATTCCAACCATGACTCCAAGGATGCTCCTCTCAGTGTGGCATGGCAGGGGAAGAGGGCCCTTCTACTGCTGCAGAAGCCCCTGAGAGCAATAAGCAATAAGCACTACCAACTGCCTCAGAGAAACAAATCTGTGTCTTTTCTGTTCAGCAAGATCTGGGTACCATTGACTGATGCCCAGAACTAAACAAACATCCTTGCCAACACCTCCCTTTTTCTAGGCAGAGAATTGAGAGCCAAGAAAGAAAGTAGTGCTTTGAAAGTTGTGCTTTGAAGTTTGCAAGGTGAGGGAGGGACTTTGGCAGTTTGAGTTCACACAAAAGTCAATCAGTCCTCATCTGAGACTGCCTTAGTGCCCACCACCAGGTGGCCGTTCTGGAGAGGACTGGCGTATACTGGTGGCTCAATCCTAGTGACTCCATTGAATCTAGAACCTGCTGATCTTCCAAGAAGACAGGAAAAAAAAGAAACTTGCTCAGATATTAATTCTTAGGGAATCAGTATTATTCCCGTAATAATCATATTTTTTTAACCAAGAATGAGAACCTGTGGGCGGTTCCATTGTTTGGCACATGGGTCCAGTGATGGGTTGGAATGTTTTCCAATGGTTGGAATGGGTTGGAATGTTTTCCAACCCATTATTGCTGGCTTGTAATCCTGGGACATGTGACTGCTAAACTAAATCTCATAAATGCTCATTTATTTTTAATGCATGTATTTTCATGCATGTGCAATATATCATATGCATAAAAAGAATTAATATGATCTATGCACACTTTAAAGCTTAATAAAAAGAACACCCATTTACCACCACCCTGCTCAAGAAATATATGTCAGTTTATTATTAATAACACTTAAGATTTTTGAGCATTTTTTATGTGCCAGGCACTGTTATAAGCACTCTACATATATATTATCTGATCCATCTTCACAACAACCTTATGATGAGGTTATTGTGGAGGTTATTATTCTCATCATTATACAAACAGAAGGACAAAGCCTCAATTGATTAAGGAGCTTGCTCAAGAACACACAGATAATAAGTGAATGAGCTGGGATGGAAACCTAGACAACCTGACCCTAGAGGCTCAACTTGCAATCACTAAACCATGCAGGGGCCCTTCGCTGCACAGACGGACACTGGGACAAGTTGACCTTACAATAAAATTTTGTAATTTGCAACCAATTTCTCCATGAACTCCTACTCTTCCACAGAGGATGAGTTTGTAACCGCCCAAAGGGTTCGCCTTGCTGGCTGCCTAGACAGAACCAATTTATCAAGACAAGAGAATTGCAATGGAAAAGGAGTAATTCATGCAGAGCCGGAGTTTTATTATTACTCAAATCAGTCTCCTGAGCATTCAGGGATCAGAGTTTTTAAAGATAAGTTGTTATCTGCCTCCAAAGGCAGATTTGGCGAGTAGGGGCCTGGGAAGTAGGGAGTGCTGATTGGTCAGGTTAGAGATGGACTCATGGGGTGATGAAGTGAGTATTTTTCTGTTCCTGGGTGGGATGGCAGAGCTGGTTGAGCCAAATTACCAGTCTGGATGGTGTCAGCTGATCCATCCAGAGCAGGGTCTACAAAATATCTCAAGCACTGGTCTTAGCTTTTACAACAGTGATGTTATCCCCAGGAGCAATTTGGGGAGGTTTAGACTCTTGGAACTGGAGGCTGCATGAACCCTAAACCTTAATTTCTAATCTTGTAGTTAATTTGTTAGTCCTACAATGGCAGACTTGTCCCCAGGCAAGAAGGGGGTCTTTTCAGGAAAGGGCTATTATCAATTTTGTTTCAGAGTTCTACCATGAACTGAATTCCTTCCCAAAGTTAGTTCAGCCCAAAAATGAACAAGGACAGCTTAAAGGTTAGAAGCAAGATGGAGTCGGTTAGGTCTGATCTCTTTCACTGTCATAATTTCCACAGTTATAATTTTTGCATAGCCGGTTTCAAGTTTGTAAGCAGAACCCGGAGAGAAGTGCTGGAGAGGAGTGAGTGAGAAACGTGGAGGGAGGAAGTTGTGGAGGCTGTGCACAGAGGAAACATTTATTTCAGGCTCTGTTTGCAGCTGACAGAGGTGAGAGATTTGGAGACGTGTGGACATACCAGTGACACATTCTTCCTTTCATTTCATGGTTGTTCCATTGTCATCCCATCCTGGACTTACTTAAAATCTGGAGTGATTGTTCAGTGACTATGTCCTGTCTCTTATATAAAAAGGTAAGTGTAATAGTTTGAAAACCTATAAAATTATTCCAAAAAAGGGCCGGGTATGGTGGCTCATGCCTGTAATCCCAGCACTTTGGGAGGCCGAGGCAGGTGGATCACCTGAGGTCGGGAGTTCAAGACCAGCTGACCAACGTGGAGAAATCCCGTCTCTATTAAAAATACAAAATTAGCCAGGCATGGTGGAGCATACCTGCAATCCCAGCTACTCGGGAGGCTGAGGCAGGAGAATCACTTGAACCTGGGAGGCAGCGGTTGTGGTGAGCCGAGGTCGTGCCATTGCACTCCAGCCTGGACAACAAGAGCAAAACTCCATCTCAAAAAAAGAGTTGTTCCAAAGCTTTTGACTGCCTTGTCCTTCCATCTCCTCAGTTCCCCCACAGCCACTGTTCCTTGGCAAAAGATGGTCCTTGCTTTCCTTCATCATGACATGGAAACAAGAGGACTTCCATATTCACCCTGGTAAATGAAAATTACTGTTTACCCACGTGGCCTGTTTGCTTCTGTGTATTGATCATAGAAGAATGCACTGCAAAACAGTAATACATCCATGCCCACTGGAGTACACCCAAGCTGGATTTAAACTATGTGTTCAAGCTGAAGTTTCTCCACATTTTTTCTTTGACATACTCCCTTTCAGTAATAGTTGATAAATATTTATCTCAGGGACTTGAGTCTCTCAATTCCTCTCCTTGCAGCAATCACTGCAAAGGGAAAAGTCAAATACTCCCATTCCTGAAATAGCCAACAACATGCTAGGAATAGTGGCAAAGCCACTCTCCGGGTTGGCAATGGCTTGTGAGAACAGAGATTCTGCAACTCGGGGCCTCTTCCCTGCCAAGGGTCACTTGGATGACCAGGGCAGGGAACAGTGAAGAGAACATGCCATCAAGCCCCCTGGAAAATCTGACCCCCTCAAGTCTTCATGTCAAAGATGTGGAGGAACAATTGGAATGTCTTGATAACTCATGGACAGGCAGGAGCTCTTGCTCAGAGAAGTGATGTCCTAATTGTTACCAGGTGGTTGAAGCTGGATTGGGTCTCATTAATGGCCTGCTTCCTTCTGTGAGGAGGGGCTCCCTGGATGCACAGAAGCCCCTGTCTGCAGAGTGAATGGAAAATAAATCTTGGGACCCCAAAATCACTAAGCTAAAGGGAAAATTTAAACTGAGAACTGCCTTCCATTCCATTCCAAGTCACCCCTCTGCTCACTGAGATAAATGCATATCTGATTGCCTCCTTTGGAAAAGCTAATCAGAAACTCAAAAGAATGCAACATTTTGTCTCTTATCTACCTGTGAACTGGAAGCCCCCTCTCCACTTGGAGTTGTCCGGCCTTTCGGGACCGAACCAATGTTTATCTTACATATATTGACTGATGTCTGTATAAATGTATAAAACCAAGCTGTGCCGCGATCACCTCGGGCACTTGTCTTCAGGACCTCCTGAGGCCGTGTCATGGGTACATCCTCAACTTTGGCAAAATAAGGTTCCTAAATTGACCTGCCTCAGATATTTGGGGTTCACAGCAGGGAGGAGAAGCCCAGCAGAAGAGGGAACCTCTCACCTGAGACAGGGTGCTGGGAAACAAGAACTGCCGGACAGAACAGGCAGGGACTGTGCGGCTCCCATGGTACTGTCCAGAGGTCTGCAGAGAGCCGTGCGTGCCGGGCGTCCAGACACCTGGACCCACTGTAGCAGGACTCACCGATGGGGAGGGGAGTGCTGCAGGCCAGGCTGCCGAGGTGCCACATATTTTCTGTAGGTCCCTGAGAAGAAGAAGAAGTTACGGCCTTTTTTCACTTTTGAACTTCCCTGGGATGTATTTTGCTAAATGAGGAGCCACTGACACTTTATGAAATGTCAAGGAAAATGTTTGTTCAGGTTTCTAGGTGGGGCTGAAGCCAAGGGAAGAGGAGAAGATGGCGGCCCATGTCACAGGCACCTCTGGGCAGGGGTTACAGCAACATTTTCCCAATAAGTTAGCCCAGGGCCCTATCACAGGGCCAAGAGCCAACTAGCGGTTTGATCCTACAAAAGAAACTCCTAGGAAACCAGACCCGTGCTGTGGTTGCCAAAAGCCCGCAAATTAAAAGGACAGAAAGGCAGAAAGGCAGGGCAAAAGAAGATGTAATGATAAAAAATCTCCTAACCACACACATACAGACACATATGCGTCACAGCTATTTTTGCATCAAATTGCAAATTTGATCTCAAAAGAGCCAAAAATGATGTTAGAGCCAGCGCGATCATGGGAATCTTTAACTCTACAAATAACAGTTAAGGAAAAAATAACAGTTTCAATGGATAATATTTATTTTAATCTTAGTAGGGCGGTATGCCAGGGTCTTGACCTCTTTTTGGCGAATGTCAGAAATCAGAGTATCGGTGGAAAGAAAACAAAAGAACTTTTTAAATGACCTAGCTTTAGAATGATAGACAAAAGTCAAGGAAGAAGACATGTTTGAGGCTGAGCCTTGACGCGTCCACAGCAGCCGCCCTGCACATCCTGGCAGGGCTGAAAAGGAAGCATGCACTTTGGTTGATCCCTGACTCTTTTTCCCTTTCTTTGTGCCCGCTCTCACTTTCACTCTCTGCTCTTTCTCCCAGTTCCTCTCCTCCCACTCCTGGACACTCCACTCCCTGAACTATAATTGTGTTTCCTGCCATACCCATCCTTAGAATAACCTCCCACTTCCAGCACCAATCCCTCATCTCTCTACCTTTGGGAACTCTTAGAGTGTAACATTCCTGCATTGACGGCTGGTTCCATACTCCAAAGCACTGAGCAGGTTTGGGCATTGACAGGTTTGCAGGGTACAGATATGAACAAGGCTGGTCCTCCTGGCCTGAGGCAACTCCTAGTCTAGGAGAAGGAAGCTGACTGGAATCCTGACAGAGTGGGCTAAGGCATATTAGAAAGATACAGAGTTAAAACTATGAGTGAGCCGGCATGGTGGGCAGCCGATTTGCAGACAAGGAGGACTTCCTGGAGGAGGCAGTAACTGAGCTGAATCTATTAAGACTGACATGAGAATGTTAGAAAGTTTGGAGAACAGACTTCCACATATTCAAAGAGGGTTATCTTCGTGGTGCTGGGGGCAAAGAGGAAGGGTTGGTGGAGAATTTCAGCACCTTACCTGTACAGCTGCAGGAGCCTCCAGCTCTGCATGCAACTATGCTGTCACTCTGTCCCCAGCTCAGACAACCAACACTGCATTCTCCAGGGTATTTGCCCAGAGACGCAACGGCTACCCCAGACACCGCACCCATAACTCTGAGGGGGATTACTAAGCTTAGAGCAGACAACTTAAAGACCTTCCTTTCCCTGACCTGGAATTTAAAAGCAAACCTCACCCAGGGCCCCCAGGATGTTTGATGCTTGCCCCAGGCCCATCTGTGTGGGACTTCAGGCAGCTTGTCCTTCAGGACTGACTCACGAGTAAAGAAGAGGTAAGAATGCATTAAGGGAGAGAGAGTGCAGATGATCCTTTCAAGAATCTGCCCCCTTGGGCAAGCCACTTCCTCTCTGTGCCTCTGTTTCCTCATCTGTAGAATGAGAAAGTGGACCCTGCCAGCTCAGACGGACTTGTTTTCTTTTTCCTTCCTGTTCTCCTTCAGGGTTTCCATCTTTTGCAATAAGACAGGGCTGTGTCCCAATTCCTGGAAGCTCCTTTCCACCAGCCATCTTTTCTTCTCCTTGACATTGGCTGTTTCCGTGCTTCCCCTCCTTTCCCGTCCCTGCCTCCTTCCTGCTCTTGCTCTTTTTCATGTTCCCCCTTTTTTATTCTTTTTCAGCACTTCACCTTTCCCTCCTCTGCCTGGGCTTTCTAGGGTGAAGCAGCCAGGCAGGGGCCGGTTTCTGAGGTTTCCCTCCTTCCTCTCAGTGGCTTCCAGTGGACACTCGCCCATGCAGAGACAGGAAGTGGGGCTTTCAAACTGCCTGCTCAGCACTGTGGGAGAGCCCTGTCATCTCCGCCGCTGCAGGAAAGAGCCATTAACTCCAGCCTGACTTGCAAAAGGAAATTTAGAATTGCTGAAAGCCTGGCAGACTTGTGTTTATAAAACTGCCCTTTTTTTGGTCATGGTTTATCACAATGCTTGTCTCAAGACAGAAGCTAGTGCCATACCAGGCAGGATGGAGATCAGGTCTGACACTTAGTACACAATCAGTGGTTGATGAATGAGAGAATGAATGATTCTGTTGCAAAGGATGTTTCCCCCTTTTAGAACCATTGTCAGAGAAATGGGTTTTTTAAGATATGCTCCAAATGGAATTTTTAAGATATGCTCCAAATGGAAAGAGAGTAAAACAATGCTATGCATGTAAAATACATTTCCCTTTGAATTTTGGTGCTGGAAGCGTCCTCCCTGCCTTCATTCTCCTATGATACCTCCCAAAGAACCCAGACCAAACACACCTATTGAAACCACTTGTAAAAGTTTAGACTCTACCTAAGCTAACTAAGGTATGCATAGCCGGGCCAACCCCTTCCATTTTGACATTTTCTTCATTTGTTTTCTCTGCGTCTCCTCTCCAAGATCTCTTCTTCAAGCTCCCTGAGAACAAACTGCCAATCGGAACTCCCCTCCTCCCCACAAAAGACACATCCCCTTATGCAAAAGGTGAATTTTTAAATGAATGCGCTAAATTGATCTATTCTTCTTCTCTGTGTTACTCTTGATCTCTTCCTGCATGAAACTCCCTCAGCACTTGGGTTCTGTAGTGCTCACTCAACACTTAATAAATACTGCCTTATATTACTTTAATCCTTTTAATGTACCCATCCAATGCCCCAGCCACAGTGCAAGTTAATGCAAGAACGTGGGCCATGTCTGCAACCCTGGTGCCTATCCACATGTCTAATTCATAGTCAGTGATTCCTTTTTAAATTTTTTATTTTGGTTGATTACACAAGTAAAACATGCTTATGGTAGGATTACATGTTTATTGGCAGAGTAAATCAACAGAGAGAAAAATGCACAATCTCCAAAGCAATTAAAGGAATGCAAATTTTTAAAAATAAAAGACACACTTATACGTGTATTAAATGAAGAAAAATCAATAAAAATGATAAATTGCTATGTGGGAATGATTATAGGAGAGCAGATGTGCTTATACAGCAGAGGGTGGAGGGGTGCTGTCATCTGGTTTAGGATATTTGGAGCACCACCTGGAGACATATGACAGGAAGTCTAACGATCCTCATGGTGTTTAATCTTGATGCGATTGTTCACGCTGGCATCCGAGCATCCTGACCACTGCCCCTGACTGCCCCCACTAATGCTCTCTCAGCCCCTTTCCTTGCCTGTGCCCTCACCATGGATTTCCTTCTGCTTGTGTCTAAGCTCAGCTGCCTCGCCATTCCTCATTCTGCTCTAAAGTATATTTCTCCCTGAGCTAGACTTTGATAATCTGTTCTTGAAGTGTCCTCTTCAGTGTCAGATAAGTTCTGCTCTTGTGCAGGTCCATGTTCCTCCTATCAGGGACTTACAGCAAGCCCTCCAGGCAGAACCAGTCATGAGACATCACCAATTATCAGCAACCCATGTCCAAGCCATGTTGGCCATCCTTTCCTTGCCAGGAGTGTGTAAAGCAAAACTCAACAGCAGAGGCTCAGACATTGCCCATGGAGGTTATCATGGGCCAAACCAGCAGCAGGCATGTGGACTGTATCCCCTTATCCTGCAGAGCAGGCTTGAGGAGGGAAGCCCCAGATATCAGGAAGGGAATGGGCTTGGGAGGCAGGAAGACTTAGGCCCAAGTTTTAAAATTAAAACTCACTTTTACATTTACTTTTCTGATAACAAAATTATACATGTTTATTATAGTAAAATTAGAAAGTAGATGTAAGCAACAAATAAACATAAGTCAATAAATGTGATTCATGACATAAACAGAATTAAAAATGAAAAACGTAATCATTTTAATAGATGCAGAAAAAGCATTCAATAAAATCCAGCCTCCTTTTATGATAAAATCCCTCAACAAACTAGGCATCAAATGAATATATCTCAAAATAGTAAGAATCATCTATGACAAACTCACAGCCAACATCAAAATGAATGGGGAAAAGTTGAAAGCATTTCCCCCTAAAAATTAGAATGAGACAAGGATGCCCACTTTTCACCATTTCTATTCAACATAGTACTAGAAGCCCTAGTCAGAGCAATCAGGCAAGAGAAAGAAATAAAGGGCATCCAAACTGGAAAAGAGAAACTCAAACTACCTCTACCAATGATATGATCTCATACCTAGAAAATCCTAAGGAATCCTCAAAAATCTCCCAGATTTGATAAGTGAATTTAGTAGTGTTAGGTTACAAAATCAATGTACACAAATCACTAGCACTGCTATACACCAATGATGGCCAAGCTCAAAATCAAATCAAGAACTCAATCCCATTTACAATAGCTGCAAAAAATAAAAATAAAATACATAGGAATATACTTAACCAAGGAGGTGAAAGACCCCTACAAGGAGAATTACAAAACACTAATGAAAGAAATAATAGATGACACAAGCAAATGGAGAAACATACCATGCTTATGGATTAGAAGAATCAATATTGTAAAAATGACTATACTACCCAAAGCAATCCACAGATTCAGTGCAACCCTTATCAAAATACCAATGTCATTTTTCACAGAATTAGAAAAACCAATCCTAAAATTTATATGAGACCAAAGAGGGGTCCAAATAGCCAAAGCAATCCTAAGCAAAAAAAGAGCAAATCTGGAGGCATCACATTACCCAACTTCAAATTATACTACGAGGCTATTGTAATCAAAACAGCATGGAACCGGTATAAAAGTAGAATAGCATAGAGAACCCAGAAATAAAACCAAATACCTACAACCAACTGATCTTCAGCCAAACAAACAAAAACATACACTGGGGAAAGGAAATCCTATTCAATAAACAGTGCTGGGAAAATTGGATAGCCACATGTAGTGTAAAAGAATGAAACCGGGTTCCTATCTCTCACCATATACAAAAATTAATTCAAGATGGATTAAAGACATAAATCTAAGACCTGAAACCATAAAAATTCTAGAAGAAAACCTAGGAAAAACTCTTCTGGACATTGGTCTAGGCAAAGAATTTGTGACTAACACCCCAAAAACAAATGCAACAAAATAACAGAAATAAGTAAATGGGACCTAATTATTCTAAAAAGCTTCTGCATAGCAAAAGAAATAACCAACAGAGTAAAGAGACAACCTACAGAATGGGAGAAAGTATTTGCAAACTATACCTCTGACAAAGGACTAATATTCAGAAGCTACAAGGAACTCAAACAAATCAGCAAGAAAAAAAAACAAATAATCACATTAAAAAGTGGGCAAACAACTTCAAGAGATATTTCTTAAAAGAAGATATACAAATGGCCAACAAATATATTTCTTAAATGCTCAACATCACTAATTATCAGGGAAATACAAGTTAAAACCACAGTGAGATACCACCTTACCCCAGCCAGAATGGCCATTATTAAAAAGTCAAAAAACAACCGTTGTTGGTGCCGATGCAGTGAAAATGGAACACATACATTGTTGGTGGGAATGTAAATTAGTACAATCTCTATGGAAAACAATATGGAGATAATATGGAGATTTCTCAAAGAACTAAAAACAGATCTACCATTGGATCAAGCCATCCCACTACTGGGTATCTTCCCAAAGGAAAAGAAATAATTATATAAAAAAGACTCTTTCTCAGTACCTATGGAAGCATAGGGAAGAAAAGAAGGATAAAAGGGAGAAAAAACAGCACTTGCACATGTATGTTTATTGGAGCACAATTCACAATTGCAAAGATATAGAAGCAACCTAAGTGCCCATCAATGGATGAGTGGATAAATGTGTGTGTGTGTGTGTGTGTGTGTGTGTGTGTATGTGTGTGTGTGAGAGAGAGAGATGGACTACTACTCAGTCAAAAAAAGAATGAAATCATGTTATGTGCAGCAACTCAGATGAAATTGGAGGCCACTGACCTAAGTGAAGTAACTCAGGAAGGGAAAACCAACTACCACATGTTCTCACTTCTAAGTGGGAGGTAAGCTCTAAGTGCGCAAAAGCAGGGTGCTATAATGGACATCAGGAGACTCAGAAGTGGGGACAGTGTGGGGGTGAGGAATGAAAAACTACTCATTGGGTACAATGTACACTATTTGGGTGATGGGTACACTAAAAATCCAGACTTCATCACTATACAATTCATCTATGTAACCAAAGCCACTTTTACCCCTAAAACTATTGAAATTTTTTAAAAATATAATAGGGCCAAGTGCAGTAATTCCAGCACTTTGAGAGGCTGAGGTAGGAGGAATGCTTGAAACCAGGAGTTTAAGACCAGCCTAGGCAATAAAGTGAGATTCCATCTTAACAAAAAATAAAAAATAAAATAAAGTAAATTAGTTGGGCACGTTGGTGCATGACTGCAGCTCCAGCTACTCAGGAGACTGAGGCAGGAGGATTGAGCCCTGGAGTGCAAGACTGCAGTGAGCCATGATCACACCACTGCACTGCAGCCTGGATGACAGAGACCCTGTCTCTAAAAAAAGGTAATTAAAATAAATAAATAAACACACACCTATAATCCTATCACCCACTGGTCACCTTCATCACCACCTTGATATGGAGTCTTCCAGGATTCCTCCGTGTGTGTGTGTGTGTGTCATATAACATCAGATTATTGAGATAGTGGGACTCAAAAGGGTGAGCCAGGAATGAGTTTTTCTCTCCCTACACTGTTTTCAATGCCGCTCAACCAGATATCTTTTCCTTATCCCCAAAGCAAAACATCAGCATATCCCATAGCTTTTTTGGTCATTTTTAAATTTTAACTGGTAGTTCATTTTTAGGAATTAAAAATTCAAGTCCAGGCCAGGCGTGGTGGCTCACTCCTATAATCCTAGCACTTGGGGAGGCCGAGGCGGACAGATCACTTGAGGCCAGGAGTTCGAGACCAGCCTGGCCAACACGGTGACGCCCTGTCTCTACTAAAAATACAAAAAAAAAAAAAAATAGCTGGGCATGGTGGCAGGCACCTGTAATCCCGGCTACTCAGGAGACTGTGGTGGGAGGATCGCTTGAACCCGGGAGGCAGAGGCTGTAGTGAGCCAAGATGGCGCCACGGGACTCCAGCCTGGGTGACAGAGCGAGGCTCTGTCTCAAAAAAAAAAAAAAAAAAAAAAAAATTCAAGTCCAGTCTAAATAAAAACTCCTAATTCTCATTCACTTCACAGCTTTTCCCATTCCCCTAGTTCAAGCCTGGCCCAGGGACAGGACCTGCGGGGGAAGGAAGAAGGTGTAGGCCCCCCAGCCCCACCCCGCCTCACCCTATTCTACTTCCTCCCCAGCTTCTACCCGGACAGGATCAATGAGGGGAAATGGGAGAAAGTGCTTTGTGCTTGTGTGTTTGTTTACTTGGCTGTTGCTGTTTGTTGTCTCTACTAGCAAATGCCCTCTGTTATGGCAGGATATGTCTTCCAAATGCTGCCTATTCCTCTCCTGGAACATCTGTGGAGCTTGTGGAGCTTCCACGTGATCCTTCTGCTGGGGACCTCCCAGGAAGAACATGACCTCAGCTCAGATGCCATGGCAGATGCTGAAGACAGAGCAGCTGGAGGCTGTTGGCCAACTGCATTCTTCAACGCTGAGCAGCAAGTTCTTTCTTGAAAGGAGACCCAAATGCACTCCGCGGCTGCCGTGATCACCTATCTCTAGGGATCCAAAAATACGATATATTTTCGGAGGAGCATTGTTAGCCTGTTAGTTCTACCGCTTTTCCCCTCTGCTCCCTCAGTGAGGAGGGAAAAGGGTGCTTCAGTGCCAGCTCAAGCCAAGCAGAAGTGAAACCGGAAAAGTTCCCTTGTCTCCCTCGCAGGACGTGCGATGAGGGTGTGGCTCTCTTCTTCAGTGTCCCGCTGCTCAAACCTCTAGACGGGCAGGCTGTGGGGCTCCCGCCCCATGGCAGCGTCTAGGGGTGGATATTTACAGCTCCTGAAGCCCCAATGAGTGTGTGCTATTGTGTGCTCTTTCAGTTTCGCTGTCTATAGGCAGCTTGTGTTAACCAGCTCAGTTAGACCCTCTACCTTATCACAAGGACAGAGGGCTTTCTGTATCCCAGGTTCTTGCCTTGGTGTACAGGAAGAATCGGATCACAGGTGGGCTTGGAGAATGAGTGCAAGGTTTTATTCAGTGAAAGTATCTCCCAGCAGAGGGGGGAGCCAGAAAGGAGATGGTTTTCCCCTGGAGTCAGCGGCCCAGGCTTCCCTCCGACTGCTCCAGCCACACTCTGCCTCGTTCCGCTGGTCGATGGTGTGCAGGTGTGCTCCTCTCGACGTCCTTTCAATGTCCAGCCGCTCCTGTCTTCTTCCACCGATGTGTGTCTGCCTGCTAGGGTTTGGGGAAGGTGGGGGAGTTTAATAGGTAGATGGGGGCGTGGCAGGCCAGGATGATCTTGGGAAACGCAACCGTTGGGCGAGAAGGCAGGAGTGCCTGTCTTCACCTAGGTCCGTGGGTACAGGCCCCAGGGGGGTGGAGTCCTAGCCAGGAACCATGCCCTGCCCTTCCCAGCACTTCCTTGCCCCCGTCCCCTAAGGGGACTTAGGAGAGATGCTGGTAGAGAGTAGAAGTCCTCCTCTCCCTGGACAGACTTGTGCCTGGTGCTACTGCAGGATTCTTTTACAACCATCGCTTCCCAACACACCTCTTGCACTCATAACTTGATCTTGAGATCTGCTCCCCAGAGGGTCCAACCTGTCAGAGTAATGGAGAAGAATCTCAGAACTGGTTTCCCCAAAGTGTGGTTAATGAAGCAGTTTTAGCTAATCTCTTTTTAGAGTGTGTGAACACTTTTAACATTTTCCCCTCAGCTTTGAAACACGAACACTTAATATTCTGTTACACACCTATATTTATCCTATTACATACTGTATAAGTCAACTTCCACTAGATAATACTGTGGTAACCAAACTCAAAATATCTGTAGCTCAAGAAATGGGGAAACGATTCCCTATTTAATAAATGGTGCTGGGAAAACTGGCCAGCCATATGTAGAAAGCTGAAACTGGAAACCATCCTTACACCTTATACAAAAATTAATTCAAGATGGATTAAAGACTTAAATGTTAGACCTAAAAACCATAAAAACCCTAGAAGAAAACCTAGGCGATACCATTCAGGACATAGGTATGGGCAAGGACTTCATGTCTAAAACACCAAAAGCAATGGCAACAAAAGCCAAAATAGATAAATGGGATCTAATTAAACTAAAGAGCTTCTGCACAGCAAAAGAAACTATCATCAGAGTGAACAGGCAACCTACAGAATGGGAGATAATTTTTGCAACCTACCCATCTGACAAAGGGCTAATATCCAGAATCTACAAAGAACTGAAACAAATTTACAAGAAAAAAAACAAACAACCCCATCAAAAAATGGGCAAACAATATGAACAGACACTACTCAAAAGAAGACATTTATGCAGCCAACAGACACATGAAAAAATGCTCATCATCACTGGTCATCAGAGAAATGCAAATCAAAACCATAATGAGGTACCATCTCAGGCCAATTAGAATGGCAATCATTAAAAAGTCAGGAAACAACAGATTCTGGAGAGGATGTGGAGACATAGGAATAGGAATGCTTTTACACTGATGGTGGGAGTGTAAATTAGTTCAACCACTGTGGAAGACAGTGTGGCGACTCCTCAAGGATCTAGAACTTGAAATACCACTTAACCCAGTGATCCCATTACTGGGTATATATCCAAAGAATTATAAATCATGCTACTATAAAGACACATGCACACATATGTTTATTGCGGCACTATTCACAATAGCAAATACTTGGAACCAACCCAAATGTCCATCAATGATAGACTAGATTAAGAAAATGTGGCACATATACACCATGGAATACCATGCAGCCATAAAAAAGGATGAGTTCATGTCCTTTGCAGGGACACGAATGAAGCTGGAAACCATTATTCTCAGCAAACTATCACAAGGACAGAAAACCAAACACCACATGTTCTCACTCATAGGTGGGAATTGAACAATGAGAACACTTGGACACAGGAAGGGGAACATCACACACTAGGGCTTGTTGAGGGGTGGGGGGCTGGGGAGGGATAGCATTAGGAGAAATACCTAATGTAAATGAGCAGTTGATGGGTGCAGCAAACCAACATGGCACATGTATACCTATGTAATAAACCTGCACATTGTGCAAATGTACCCTAGAACTTAAAGTATAATATGTATTTATATATTACATACATATTATATATATATATATATATATATATATATATATATATATATATATAGCTTACAACAACAAAGTTTTATTTCTAACTCGCTTTATATGTTACTGGACTCCCCCAGCTAGCTTCTCATAACCCAATCTAGGCTGAAGGAACAACTCCATCCTGGACATGCCTTTCTAATGCCAAAGGGAAGAGAGCAAAAAAGCTGGTAGACATGCAATGGTTCACCAAGCTTCTCCCACTCATGTTTTACTGGCCAAAGCAGACCACATGGGGAAACTTGACAACAAGGCAGGGAAGTGCAGTCCTCCTACAGTCACAAGGCAACAAACACGAATATCTCATCCTCCTGCAGTGGAGCAAATATTTGGAAAAAATAAAAAACTGCTGGAGCTGCGGTCTCTGAGAGTCTCTTGGCTTTTCCAACATTATGCCAAAATGGCTGCTGCAGCTCCAGATATCACTGCCCTTTGTCCCCACAGGAAGAAGAAGAAAGAGGCAAAGATAAACAAAAACAACTGCTAGCTTTGGGCTTCATTAGTCAACTTGCTTCAGTCTGTCTTGTTTAAAGAGATGTCTTGGGAGTCTTTCCCAATGACTTTCATTTCCATCTCATTGGCCACCCCTCTCTGCAAGGAAAGTTAGGGTATATTATTTACCCACCACATCCAATGATATTCTGTTATTAAGGAGGCAGGATAATTTGAATATTGGGTGGTCAACTAGCATTTTCTGCCACTCCAACAAAAGAGAGAGATCTATAAATATTTAGAAGATGCAAGACAGACTGAAGCAAGTTGACTAATGAAGCCCGAAGAGAAAACAGTCTAGAATTTTCTGTGGTTGTCGCAAAGACGGTGGAAGCCAATCTACCTAACAGAACCCTAGAAGGTTTCTGGGCTCAGAGTCAGCAACTGAACCCAGGGCAGAAGTAAGAAGTGTGCTGAAAAGAGAGTGACTGCATGAATGTCTACATATGAACAGCAACCCTGCTAGCACCATCTTCTCCATTCCTGTCCAGAGAACAGGCAGTCAGCATTTACCCCTAGGCAAAATAAAACAAAACCCAAAGATACTGAACAAAATATTCAAAGAGAGCTAAGACTCTGGTTCACAGGTTGTCACTGAAGGATTCAGCCTTCTTCTCTCCCTCCTTTGGGCAGCCTGCAACCCTCTTCCTGCCCACCTTACCCAGAGCTCTGAATGTGAAGCCTACTCAGTGGAGACACCTTGCCTGAAAATAGACAATGCAGTGGAAACCCTCACCAGCTCCCCACTCCTCCCGTCTTACCTAGAAGCAAACAACTGGGGTTTACCAGATGTGTGAGTCTGTTTTGCATTGTATAAAGGAATACCTGAAACTGGGTAATTTATAGGAAAGAGTTTATTTGGCTCACAGTTCTACAGGAGGTCCAAGCATGGCACCAGCATCTGCACCGCTTCTGGTGAGGGCTCAGGAAGCTTTTAGTGACAAAGGAAGGGAAGAGGAAGAGCAAGAGAAAGAGCGGAAGGTGCCAGGCTCCTTTAAAAAGCCAGCTCTTGTGTGAACTGCCAGAGCAAGAACTCACTCGTTACGATGGGGAAGGCACCAAGCCATTCAAGAGGGACCCACCTGATGACCCAGACACCTCCCACCAGGCCCCACATCCAACATTGGAGATCACATTTCAATGTGAGATTTGGAGGTGCTGAACATCCAAACTATACAACCAGGCAACTGAGGGACTAAACTCCTGAGCCAGGCACAATGAGGTGGGTGACATCACCCTGAGGGCCAGGCTTTAAGTGAAAAGTCCTGCAGGCTAAGTTATGAGCCTCCCAGTTCTACTGTACTCATGCAACAAGTACGGGTTGCTGTAAAACTGGAACACACAGAGAATCACAAAAGAATGCTGATGAATTTTAAAATTCCACCTACCACCAGTATAAGTAGTAAGTCCTGGAAAGAGGGTGGTGGCCTGGGGTGCTGAAAACTAAAGCTTCATACTGAGGAGTTGAAAGGTAACGTCTAATGTTTCTAAGTAAATAAACAGAGGTAAGAATAGTTTTTCTAGAGTTAGGAAGGTAACCACAAAAAGGGCTGTATAAAGAAACCGTCAGAAAAAAAAAAGTTGTCTCTGAGTTGAGGATTTCAGGAAAGCTGGGAGGCCATTCTCTTCCATTGTAACTTGTTCTGTACTGTTTGATCTGGTGCCATACACATGTACCACTTTATTAAAAACAAATGGAAAAAAGCATATAGGATGATTGTGTCTCCAGTAATGAGGCCTGGAAATTCAGTCGCACTGTAGGCATCAAAGACGTGCTTATTAAGACTCAACAGGATTGGTAAGTTACTAGGAGACATAGCCACCTGGTCAGAAATAATCCAAGACAGAAGCACTTGGAGCCACTGTACAATAAGAGCAAACACTCAGTGGCACTTACTGGAGGCCAGGCTGTCTTGTGAGAGTTGTATTTGCCTATCTTTTCTAACTCATATAACAATTCTAGGACTTGGGTGTGTTTATAGCATCATCCGTGTTTTACAGAGGAGGAAACTAACGCAGAGAAAGAAGCGTGCCCGAGTCCACAGGCTTAGCAAATGGTGTGATCGAATTTTAATATGGTCAGTCTGCCTGCAAAGCTACAACATTAACCACCGGGCAATGCTGCCTGTAAGCTAGTGCCCCAAACATTATCTAAGAGAATATTGAGTCATAACAATAGTGGGAGCTGAGTCCTACATTCTGTAATTATAAAGTCACATTGCTGGGCGCGGTGGCTCATGCCTGTAATCCCAGCACTTTGGGAGGCTGAGGCAGGTGGATCATGAGGTCAGGAGTTCAAGACCAGCCTGACCAACATAGTGAAACCCTGTCTCTACTTAAAAAAAATACAAAAATTAGCCGGGTGCAGTGGCATGCACTTGTAGTCCCAGCTACTCGGGAGGGTGAGGCGGGAGAATCGCTTGAACCCAGGAGGCAGAGGTTGCAGTGAGCCGAGACCATGCCATTGCACTCCAGCCTGGGTGAAAGAGTGAGACTCTGTCTCACAAATAATAATAAAAATAAAATAAATAAAATAAAGTCACACCATTGGCATTCATTTATTTTGGGGGGGAGGGGGACTGATTGTTTTGCCCAAGAAACAGCAGCCCTTGCTCTGCCCACAGCATACACCATCTACAATGTGATCATTTGGGGAATCCGACTGACTAATGCAACTTGATTTCTTGTACAAAGTTTTATACTGCACACTGACAGGCAACGTGCCTGTGAGGGATAACCACTGGGCTGGGAGCCTCGACTCTGTCATCCCTGAATTGCACATCACCCTGAGCAGGTCGCTGGCCTCTAGAGGCTGAGTTTTTGTATTTGTGAGAGGAGAGAGTGCACAACTTGCCTCTGGGCTGTAGTATGGATGTCATAAGGAATGTATGGAAAGGGTCTTGTAAACTGTGACTGTCTATTATGAAATGAAAGATGTTAAAATGCTATTTTCTTTAGGTCACTACCATGACTGGGAACCTTTATTGGATCCCCTCTAAGGCCCCCAATAAAGCCCTGCCTTCACCAAGCTACCAAGCTCACAGGTCCTCCCCACTCTGTTGTTTCATCCAATCTTTCTCTCCCTCTCTCTCTTTTTTTTTTAAAGACAGAGTCTCAGCCAGGTATGGTGGCTCACACCTGTAATCCCAGCACTTTGGGAGGCCGCGGCGGGCAGATCACGAGGTCAGGAGTTTGAGACCAGCCTGACCAACATGGTGAAACCCCGTCTCTACTAAAAATATAAAAATTAGCTGGGTGTGGTGGCACATGCCTGTAATCCCAGCTACTCGGGAGGCTGAGGCAGGAGACTCGCTTGAAGCTGGGAGGCGGAGCTTGCAGTGAGCAGAGATCATGCCACTGCACTCCAGCCTGGGCGACAGACTCCGTCTCAAAAAAAAAGAAGACAGAGTCTCACCCTGTTGCCTAGGCTGGAGTGCAGTGGCATGATCTCTGCTCACTGCAACCTCTGCCTCCCGGATTCAAGCGATTCTCATGCCTCAGCCTCCCAAGTAGCTGTGACTACAGGCACACACCAACACGCCTGGCTAATTTTTGTATTTTTAGTAGAGACGGGGTTGCATTATGTTAGCCAGGCTGGTCTCAAACTCCTGGCCTCAAGTGATCTGCCCACCTTGGCCTCCCAAAGTACTGGGATTACAGGCGTGAGCCACCGTGCCCAGCTTCATCCAATCTTTTTCTTGTCTCCAGGACCGCTCATCTTCATCCCCCCTTTGCCTCACTCAAATTAAACCCTAAATCCTCTGTGGTTTCTGTCAAATCTTGCATTACTTAACCATTACCTCTGTTTTATAATTTAATTATAGAGGCCCCAACCAAGAGAGACAAACATTCTGAGAACTTGTGATTTCCCCAAATGAGAAGAGCCTTAGAGCAGATGACATTTCCCATAAAATGAAAACCCACACTAGAACAAGCAGCCCACTAAGATGTCCATGGCCAGCGTCAGGCTGGCTTGGCTCACCAGCCTAAGGAACTTGCTCCTGTTAACAGTAAGCAATGCTCAGGACAAACCATGGCCCCTCATGGACTCTTGCCAAGAGTTGAAACCTTGAAGGTTAAATCCTATCATATTACAATCCACTAGGAGCAGTAGGTTCTGTCCCAGTTGTTCCTGACCCGGGCTGGGGCTGTCCTTCTAGGGCAGTGGCTCTCCTATTTTTGGTCACAGGACTCCTTGACAACTCTTAAAAAGAAGTACTGAGGACCCCAAGAGCTTTTACTAATGTGGGGCACACTGATCAATACTTACTGTATTAGAAATTAAAACTGAGACCGGGCGTGGTGGTTCACGCCTGTAATCCCAGCACTTTGGGAGGCCGAGGTGGGCAGATCACGAGGTCAGGAGATCGAGACCATCCTGGCTAACATGGTGAAACACCGTCTCTACTAAAAATACAAAAAATTAGCCGGGCGCGGTGGCGGGTGCCTGTAGTCCCAGCTACTCGGGAGGCTGAGGCAGGAGAATGGCGCGAACCAGGGAGGCGGAGCTTGCAGTGAGCTGAGATCGCACCACTGCACTCCAACCTGGGCGACAGAGCGAGACTCCGTCTCAAAAAAAAAAAAAAAAAAAAAGAGATTAAAACTGAGAACTTTAAAAAATATGTCTGTGTATGTATATTTCATTTTTTAATTATAATAATAAACCTATGACTGATAAACTCAAAAACATTTCTAGGAAAAATAACTTTATTTTCTAAAACAAAAATATTGTGAGGAGGATAGCATTGTTTTTTCATTTTTGCAAATCTCTTTCACGTCTGGTTTGATTGAAAAAACTAGGTTCTCATGTTTGCTTCTGCATTCAGTTAGGTTCATTATCACACACTCTGTCACCTGGAAAATGCCACTGTTCACGTGTGAGAAAGTGAGAGTGAAAAAAGACAGATAACATATTAGTATTATTATGACATTAATTTTAACCTTGAAGATCCCCTCAAAGGTCTCAGGGACAATCAGGGGTCCCTGGACCATGTTTTCAGAACAGCTACTTTAAAGAAAGTTTGGAAACATAAGGGCCCTTTCTGATTGTCCCATTTACGAGCAGGCAGAGGTGCCCAGGTGTCAGAATGACCTATTCAGCCCTAGATGGTTCTACACAGGAAAGAACTGCCCAGCCCCAAACAACAGGGTGCCCAGAGAGGAGGCTAGATTAGTTCCTGCGGTAGGTGATCTGGACTTTTGCATATTTGCCCAGCATAACTTTGTAAGAGCTTAATAAACTTTTTTACATTTGTTAAATGAAAATGGTGGAACCAAATTGCAGACGAGATGGCTCACCTAATAATGAATCCAAATCAGATAGCTTTCATCGTGCAGCATTTTAACTACCACAGATTGTGTAACAGAAATTATTGCATGTCCCAGGCAATGCCTAAGGAACTGCTGTTTGTAACACAAACAGTCTGGCAGCAGTTAATCACATGGCTTTCCTCATTTTCTGTTTTAAACTTCTGCTGGACCTATGACCAGTTATCTGTGTGAGATGGTAAGCCTTCGTGTTACTCACTACCCCATAGGAAGGAGCAGATCTGATGGGGTTTCCTGATTAGGGTACCAAAGGAACAGGCAGCACTCTGTATACCTTAGTGGACAATGTCTGAGATAAGCTGTGATAGGCTAGCATCCCTGCAATTTGGTTTTTAAAACCCTATAGTAAATCATAAATCTGACTCGGTGTGGAATCCGTGGAATTAACAGGGATGTCGGGATCTGATTCTAGCCTGGAAGCTCCTGCTTTCTGAGGGCCACACTGGAGGTGCCCTCAGAATTCAGAAGGGTAGATCCTCCCACCCAGCCTCCCTCACCAGCTCCCTGGAGGTAACCAGTAGCTTTTCTCCTGGCTGCCTTTTGATAGTGTTTGTCATCAATCAACTTTATTAGTTGTTTGCTTTTTTTGCATCCTGATTCACCTCCTCAAAACCTCGCCATTATCAAGTCTCTTTGTTGTTCAAAATGTTCAGTGCATCCTGTCGGCACATTGTATAAATATGCCATAGTTGTTTGTACATCATCCTTTGATGACTATCTAGGCCATGTAAAATTTTCTGCAATTATGAGCACCGTTCCTAATGCAGTTTCCAGCCTGGTATTCAAGAGCCTCCATGCTCTGTCACCTATTAGGTTTCTTTACATCAGGCTCCACCCTTTGTAATCCTCTGCTTCAGCTGTGCTCCTGTGTCTGTGCCCACCCATCCACACCTCTGTTCCTTCTCCTTGACAACACTAAAGGATCCTCTCACTTGTGGTCCCTGCTACTGGGGATGCTGAGGCAGGAGGATCTCTTGAGCCCAGGAGTTTGAAGCTGCAGTGAGCTATGATGGCACCACTGTACTCCAGCCTGGGTAAAAAAGCAAGACCCTGACTCTAAAAAAATAAAAATAAAAAAAAAAAAGGATCCTCTCCAGTGTCAGCTCAAGACCTGCTTACTCCATGGCTCTGTACTTACCAGTCCTGTGTGAGAGCGGCCCTCTCACTACACCCTGACTGCGTGTTAGTATTACCTTTCTTTCTCCTTTGCCATTTGGGGAAAGAAATTTTTTATTTCATTTAATTTTGATTTTTGTTGCTAGTGACACTAATGATTGTTCCTGACTCAAATTTGTAAAACGTTTACCATTGGTGCCATGCAGTGGCACTTACAGCCTTGAAACGTTTTTGTGTATATCCTGTTTCTGCAAGTGGATTAATAAAGTAGGCCGAGTGGGGTGGCTCAGGCCTGTAATCCCAGCATTTTGGGAGGCTGAGGTGGAAGGATCGCTTGAGGTCAGGAGTTTGAGACTAGCCTGGCCAACATGGCGAATCCCTGACTCCACTAAATATACAAAAATTAACGGGGTGTGGTGGCCTGCACCTGTAACCCCAGCTAGTCAGGAGGCTGAGGCAGGAGAATCGCTTGAGCCCGGGAGGTGGAGGTTGCAGTGAGCTGAGATTGTGCCACTGCACTCCAACCTGGGCGACAGAGTGAGACTCTGTCTCAAAAAATAAAATTAAATAAAATAAGTAAGTAAAAATTTTAAAATTAAAAATAATACAGTGACCTGCAGTCAGGAATGGCCTCTCGGAGAGTCTTAAATGGAAGGGAGATCCCTGAAGCATCTAGCCCAATTCAGTCAATATCTGCTGGCTGTCATTTAACACAAAATGTATTAAGTATTTGAAAGTATATTTTTTAAAATTTAAAAAGTCTTAATATTCTCCTGTAGATTGAGTTATCCCACCCAAATGAAAACAACTCATAAAAACGAAGAAAAAAAATCAGTGCAAAGAAATTTTTAAAAATATTTTAAAAGGGTAGAAGTTATCTCTAATCTCAGGTACTCCAATTCTTTTTAAATGAAAGCATCTTCATCACTGATGATTCACATCTTGTAAAATTCCCCACAGAAGTGTGCATGGTCCATAGACACCCTTTTCTCAGGTGAGTGAAAGAGTTGAGAAGAGAGACCAGCGTGACAGTTCCACTGTGTTTGGCAAAGCCCCCCGCCGGTGTCCCTACCCACACACAGGCACTCCTCTACCCCTAGACAGAGATCTGGCCAAGCATAACCACCTACCTCCCTCTATCTGTAATTTAGGGAAACTGCTGCTGCCTCTCAACCCTGGCCCCGCAAAAGACTGCTTGCAGCAAATGCTTGAGAACATACTGGAAAAGGAATAAAAATCACCTCCCAGAGATAACCACTAATAATATTTCATAGAACTTTCCAAATACTGCACATGTGCACACACACATCCCATATTGGGGCTCACACCGCATATACAACGTGAAACAAAACTGGAATATAATAATAGTATCTGCCACCTAGGGATGCTGAACTTAAATGAGGTGATGCGTACAAAGTGTTCTAACAGCACCAGCACACAGAAAGATGTATGCAACTACGAATTGTCAGATTATACAGTTCCCCACAGTTCTCCATTCTCCATCTTACCTTTGAACTTTACATTTTGTCATGATCCTATGTTTTTAAATATCCCTTGAAAATATTGTTTTTGATGTCTATATAAGTAATATACTCTATTTTAAAAATATATCACTTTTTTTTTTTTAAGAGACAGAGTCTTGCTTTCTCACTCAGGCTGGAGCGGAGTGGCACAATCATAGCTCACTGCAGCCTTAAATTCCTGGGCTCAAGCAATCCCCCCGCTTCAGCTTCCGGAATAGCTGGGACTACAGGCGTACAGCACCACGCCCAGCTAATTTTTTCTTTTTCTTTTTTTTTTTTTTTTGAGACAGGGTCTCACCCAGGCTGGAGTGCAGTGGCATGATATCAGCTCAATGCAACCTCCGAATCCCGGGTTCAAGTGATTCTCCTACCTCAGTCTGCCGAGTAGCTGGGACTACAGGAACGCACCCCACCCTGGCTAATTTTTGTATTTTTTGTAGAGATGGTGTTACACCATGTTGGCCAGGCTAGTTTCAAACTCCTCACCTCAGGTGATCTGCTCACCTCAGCCTCCCAAAGTGCTGGGATTACAGGCATGAGTTACCATGCCCCACCTAATTTTAAAAAATATGTTGTAGAGACTGGGTCTCGTTATGTTGCCCAGACAGGTTTCAAACTCCTGGCCTCAAGAGATCCTCCTGCCTCAGCCTCCCAAAGTGCTGGGATTACAGGCATGAGCCACCAGCTTAAATATGCCACAATTTATTTATCATTTTTGCCTGTTGCTGGACATTCAGGTTGTTTCTTATTTATAACTATTATAAATAATACTGTGCTGCTGCATTCAAAATTTTGATCACATCCCTGGTTATTTTCTTAGGATGGATTTCTAATATAGAATTTCTAAAATGAGAGGGTATATACATTGTTTAATATGTATATTACCACACTGCTCTCCAATTTTATTCTCATCAGTCCTGTGTGAGAGCAGCCCTCTCACTACACCGTGACTGTGTTTTAGTATTACCTTTCTTTCTCTTTTGCGATTTGGGGAAAGAAATTTTTATTTCATTTAATTTTGATTTTTATTACTAGTGAGACTAAACTTTTATCATATTGGTCATGTGCATTTTTTCTTTGACAAAAATTGTATATATTAATTGTATATGGTATATAATGTGATGTTTTGATGTATACACACACACACACACACACACACACACACACACGTCAAAATGATTAAATCAAACTGTTTAACATATCCAAACATCATTTTTTTGGTGAGAACATTTTTGGTGAGCAATTTTTAAGTACACAATACAGTATTAACTACAGTCACCACGCTGTACAATAGATCCCCAGAACTTACACCTGTCTACCTGAAACTTTGTACCTTTTGACCAACTTCTGCCCATCCCCTCCCCTCCACCCCCACCCCTGCTACTTCCCAGAGTCCCTGGCAACTACCATTCTATTCTCTGCTTGACATTTTTTTTTAATTTGACTTTTTTAGATTCCACACCTAAGTGAGACTATGCAGCATTTGTCTTTCTATGCCTGGCTTATTTCATTTAGTATGTTCTCTAGGCTCATCCATGTTGTTGCAAATGACAGGATTTTCTTCTTTTTTAAGGCTGAATACTACTCCATTGTGTATATGTATCACATGTCCTTTATCCTTTCATCTGCTGATGGGTTGATTCCATATCTTGGCTGTTGTAACTAATGCTGCAATAAACATGGGAGTGCAGACACCTCTTTGGGGTACTGATTTCATTTCCTTTAGATATATACCCAGGGATGGGATTGCTGGATTATATGATAGTTCTATTTTAATATTTTTGAGAACTCCATACTGCTTTCCACAATGGCTGTACCATGTATATATATTTTTTTCTTTGGGGGAATTTTCTGTTCCTGTCCCCATTCTTATTTGTTTTATGTTGTCTTTAATTGAATTGTAAAAAGATTTTGTAAATATCAATTGATAAGTGCTCCTTATGTATTAGGAATTTAGATTTTCTATCACATTTTATTTTGTCCAGTTTACTTCATGGTCCTGGTTTTCATTTCCTCATTGATTCAGTGCATAGTCCCTGCATGCCTGCTATGTGCCAGGCCCTGCTGCAGTGTTGGGGTTACAGCACAGAGCAAAGAGACCAAAACCTCCATCCTCAGCGAACTTACATTTTAGTGGGAGCATGTACACGAGAGTGTAATTTTACAAACAGAAACACCCAGTTCCTGGAATGCCTGTTTTGTAGTTTGATAAGTACCTGTGATTAATTAAATGTTACTGCCCTAGTAATGCTGTTTTCCTTTCAGAAAACCATTGCACCCATGTGAATATGGAAGAAGAAAGACCCCTGAGCTTGGGCTAATGGAGAAAATTAGGTAATATTGTCAAATAAGTATGACTGAGAAGACATCCTTAAGACTTTCAGATGGGATTTAAGGAATCGAGAGCATGCTTAAAGGTTATTTCCTTTTTTTGCCTTCCATCTAGTCCTACAGGAGCCTCTAAAACCTTATAACCACTTGTTCATCCCACAGTCTGGACATGAAGTCTGGAGAAATGAAGTATAAAGGTGGGCTTGATGAGGACAGAGAAGCTTGTGGTCCGATAAACAGAGGGGACTGTCCCAGAAATGGCTTTATGGAATATCTGATACAACAAAGCTAACTTCACATAAGATTCCTTTCCCTCAATCAAGGTATAGAAGAGCCACCAAGACCTTCACCGGGAGCAAAACTCCCTCTACAGCCATGAGTGTGCACATGCGACTCATGGACCAAAGCCTTAGCACTTGGAAATGACTCCAGGGAAAGGCACAAACAGGATCTTGAATTGACTGAGACTGTGTTGACAATAGCAAAATAATAGGGAATCAAAATAGAAATTTTGTGGAGTTACAGAAAAATAAAGGTCTATTTCTTTCTTTTTTTTTCTTTTTTTTTTTTTTGAGACAGTCTTGCTCCATCGCCCAGGCTAAAGTACAGTGGTGCGATCTAGGCTCACTGCAAGCTTCGCCTCCCGGGTTCATGCCATTCTCCTGCCTCAGCCTCCCGAGTAGCTGGGACTACAGGCGCCCGCCACCACGCCCGGCTAATTTTTTGTATTTTTTAGTAGAGACGGGGTTTCACCGTGTTAGCCGGGATGGTCTTGATCTCCTGACCTCATGATCCGCCCTCCTCGGCCTCCCAAAGTGGTGGGATTACGCCACCGTGCCCGGCCTATTTCTTATGTATTTGAAAGATTTTGTTGTTGTTTTTTAAAAAAGGAATCACAAAAAGAGATCATCACCTAAACACTTAAGAAATTCCAGCAATTCTTAAGAAGAAAATGGAAATGCACCCAAAATTCCATTAAAATAGCATAATTTTAAGTTAACTTCTAAAACTGCAATTTGGACGGCATTATCTCTTCCAATATTTCCAAGGTGGAGACCATCAGTTCCTTCTTCATGGATTGGCTGCTCACAAGCACCACATGCCTAAATATCCCTCAAGGGCTAAAATAAAGATAACTAGCTCCAAAAGCTGCCCAGCACACAAGCAAGGACCTTGTGAAAGCAGGATCTCCAGATAGTCCTACTCAAAGATCCACCTTCTTCTCCTCTCCTTGCATGGCACAGGCCCCACTCTGCAAGCCCCCTGGGCCCTTTCCCTCTATCAGTCGCAGCTTCCTCCTTGCTGAAGCAGAAATGGCTCTTGCTGGGAGGAAGTGAGTAAACGAAGGGCCATAGAATTCAGATTGGTGGTGTCTGGAAAAGATGCCCAACACCACTAATCGTTAGAGAAATGCAGAGCAAAACCACAATGAGATGATACTTCATACCCATTAGGATGCCCATTATTTAAAAAAAAAATAGATGAGGAGAAATAGGGACTCTTGTACACTGTTGGTGCGAATGTAAAATGGTACAGCCAATAGCAAACCATGTGATCCAGCTACTCCATCTCTGGGTATATTCCCAAAAGAATTGAAAGCAGGGAATCAGTTATTTGTAGACCCATGTTCATAGCTGCAGGTGGAAGCAACCCTAATGTTCACGGAGAGATGAATGGAAAAGCAAAATGCGATACCTGCATACAGTGCAGCTTATTCAGCCTTATCCAGGAAGGAAATCCTGACACAGGCTACAACGTGGATGGACCTTGAAGACATATGGTAAGTGAAATAAGCCAGCCACAGGCAAACACCGTATGACTCCATTTACATGAGGTCTCTAAGAGTAGTCAAATTCAAAGGGACAGAAAGTAGAATGGTGATTGTTCCGACTAGAGGAGGGGAATCGTGAGTTACCGTGTAATGGGTAGGGAGCTTCTGTTTCGGAAGATGAAAAGGTTCTGGAAATGGATGGCGGTGATAGTTGCATAACAATGTGAATGTACTTAGTGCCACTGAACAGTGCGCCTAAAAAAATTGGCCGGGCACGGTGGCTCACGCCTGTAATGTCATCCCAGCACTTTGGGAGGCGGAGGCGGGCGGATCACGAGGTCAGGAGTACCAGACCAGCCTGGCCAGCATGGCGAAACCCCGCCTCTACTAAAAATACAAAAGTTAGCTGGGCGTGGTGGCAGGCGCCTGTATTCCCAGCTACTCGGGAGGCTGAGGCAGGAATCGCTTGAACCCGGGAGGCGGAGGTTGCAGTGAGCCGAGATCGCGCCATTGCACTCCAGCAACAGGGCAAGACTCCATCTCAAAAAAAAAAAAAAAAAAAAAAAAAAAAAATTCAGAAGTCAGGGAAAGGGAGAAGCCTTCAATGGCCATTTCAAACTGAAAGGCTATCTTAATTGCCAGTCCCTCTATAAGGCTTTTTTGATGTCCCCTAAACTATGCAATCTCAACAGAGGCCATATGCCTCAAAATGGGGTGCAAATTGGTTCTTAGAAGGTGGCAAAAATCATATTCTTTTTATGTACGAAGCACAGATATACATACAGTCTACATTGATACACAGCCTATCTATGTTCGTTGCATTTTACGGGGTGAGAGGTGATGAGATGAAAAACTGTCTAAGGAGAAGGGGCAATAGCGGCAACCCAGAAAAAGGGTTAGGTCCCTTAAGTTTGGGACCTAAGCGCACGTGACTCTCCATCCTTTAAACCTGTACAGCACGTGGTTCTTCCCTCCAAGCGTGTCGTATTCTCTCCGTGCGACCTATTCCCCTTGGCAGGTTCTCCCCTGGGTCCCTGGTTACTGGTGGCGCGCCCGGCCGGCACGGTCCCCGCCGCAGAGCACGCATGGCGCGCAGCCATTGCTGAGAGGATCTTTCCTACCCCGAGTCCGGGCCGACTGCGGACCACTGGCCGCTGCCGCCACGAGGGGCGCGCTTCGTCCCCAGAGAAGCCCGGAGTCACGCGGCCTCGCCCGCCCCCTCCCGCGCGCCGGGGCACAGCCTCTCCCCCCGCGGCGGCCGCTGGGCACCTCGGCCGCTTCCGCTGCCTCCTCGGCGCGCCCCGCGACTTCTCAGCCCGTGCCTGGGGTGGCAACGCCTGGGGTGGCGACGCCCAGGGTGGCTAGAGCGGCTGCCGGCGCCGCGGAAATCTGTACACACCGCAGCGCGGCCTGAGTAACTGGGTCTCTGTGGCGCAATCGGTTAGCGCGTTCGGCTGTTAACCGAAAGGTTGGTGGTTCGAGCCCACCCAGGGACGGTCAGTGCTTCTTTTCCCGAGACAACATTTACCCGATGGTTCATTTTAATAATGAGATTTTTAATCGAATAGGAGCATGATGCTACAACGTTTCTAGGACATGGACAGACAATATCCTCTTAATGTGTGGTGCCTAGTGGCTGGGCCCAAGGGAGAGACTGTGTCTGCACTGGAAGCCATGGTTTGGCAATTCTATTCCTACTACTTATCCAAGGGAAACTTGCACGTGTGCTTCAAGACACCTTCCCAACAATGCTCACAAACGGCAGTGGTAATAGCAAAACAGCAACTCAATTGCCCATTGACTGGTGAATTTATAAATTCCATTGGTGTTTCTCAGAAAAATCTGGCACCACCAAAAAGCAAATGTAGTTATTTAAGATTGTCTTCTTTGCTTCCAAAAGCATGAGCAGCCTTCCAGATGAAAACGTGTAGAGGAGTCATTATAAGCATATGGAAGCTTACCATCTTAAGAAACTATTTATTCAGTTAAGTTCTGTTACAGCTTTTGGACAACGGACTTGAATCTAGGGAAAAATGTTAATGTTTACCTTAGATTGCTGACAGAATTAACCCTGAAATTAAACTCCAGCAGAAATTGTGCGGGTTCCTGTTACAAGTTCTTGAATAACATATTTTCAACTCTGGTCTAACAGAGGACACATATTTTTCAAGCAGAATATTCACATAAGACTTTAAAGATAGAAAAACACATGATAATATGATAACATGATGATATAATTTATTTCTACCAAGATTCAGGTCCTATGGTAGGTGCTTTATCTCTGGGATCTACTTACCTCCAACAGAACTTAGAAGCCTGGAAGAAGGAGTAGTTAATAGAGTCACTAGGCTATCTTTAAAGGAATGCCTTGGCAAATGTTTGCTGATAGTTATCAATCAAATAATTGTCGATAACACAATACCCTCTGTTGTTTAGTTAGTAGCCCTGGAGAAGGAGACACAACGTCGTACTTACGGTGGAATTCCAGGCAACAGAACAAGTAGCTCTCAAAAATTTTCTTAGAGGCCGGGCGCAGTGGCTCACACCTGTAATCCCAGCACTTTGGGAGGCCAAGGTGGGCAGATCATGGGGTCAGGAGTTCAAGACCAGCCTGGCTAACATAGTGAAATCCTGCCTTTATTAAAAATATAAAAATTAACTAGGCATGATGGTGCACACCTGTAGTCCCAGCTACTCAGGAGGCTGAGGCAGGAGAATCACTTGAACCTGAGAGGTGGAGGTTGCAGTAAGCTGAGATCGTGCCACTGCACTCCAGCCTGGGTGACAGAGCAAGGCTCCTTCTCAGAAAAAAAAAAAAAAAAAAAAATGTTCTTAGGTAGGAATCTTTCCGATGCCCATCAAATTCCAAACGTCCTGTCTACACTTCTGGGTAGCTTATAGTAGAAACCACAAAATGAGGGGAAATTAGATCATAAGATAATTTATATACTGTTCAAACCTAGTCTTACATTTCAAGATGCAGGGCATATATTTGCTATCACTACAATTACAGGGACTTAGAAAACATGCCCTTGGAAAACATGCCCTTCCACTTTGAAGCTGAATATATTACCCTAGGCGAGAGCAGAGATCATTTTCTGTTATCAATGATCATTTTTAGGCTCCAAGGGATTTCCTTCAAGATACACTTCAAATTTTTTGTTGTTGTTGTTGTTTTCAGATGGAGTCTTGCACTGTTGCCCAGGCTGGAGTGCAGTGGCACAGTCTCCGCCCACTGCAAGCTCCGCCTCCCGGGTTCATGCCATTCTCCTGCCTCAGCTCCCTGAGTAGCTGGGACTACGGGCGCCCGCCACCACGCCCCGCTAATTTTTTGTACTTTTTTTTTAGTAGAGACGGGGTTTCACCATGTTAGCCAGGATGGTCTCGATCTCCTGACCTCGTGATCCGCCCGCCTTGGCCTCCCAAAGTGCTGGGATTTCAGGCGTGAGCCACCGCTCCCGGCCTCAAATTCTTGAGCTTAGCAAAAGGGCTTCTATAGTCCATACCCTAGTCTCCTACCATGTTCCTTCATGAAAGCTTCACACAGTTACATGCAGTTACCAAGGGTTCCCTGAGTTACCCATGCAGACTTACACGCCCCACCTAGATCCTCTCCCTGCTCTGCCCTTCTCCACCTCCACCCCACTTAGCTGGGAGACATCCGCTGAGGCATCACCTTCTCAGGGAACCTCCCCTGATGCTGCTTCGATCTAATATAGACACCCCTTCTCCCAGCAGTCACCACAACCCCCGGAAACAGTGAGTTGCTTGTCACCTCCACTGAGATATGAACTCCTTGGGAGTAGGGACCAGTTCTTCATTCCCAGTGCTTGCCCCTCTAGCACAGACCTGTCCCCTAGCACATGTTCAGTGCAGAGGCACTCTCTGCCTTCTCAGGGTATGGTTCACAGATGGACAACCAGATAAAAATGCATCTGATGGAGTGTCAGCAAGTCAGCCAAAGAAAAATGTTCCCAGGCCACGAAGTAAGTGGCCAACATAGACTGGGGCTGTGAGCCTTCATTGAGGATTTGAAACAACCCTGAGAGATGTGGGCAGGCAGGTGAGAGGCATTTAAGGCCAAGGAAAATTCCAGACAAAACGAGAGCGAGGGTAAGAAATGAACATAACCAGTACATAGGACAAGTGTACTTCAAGAAGGTGCAGGGGAAATGTTCTTAGCTCCTGGAAGGTCCTTGAATACCTAGGATGTGGCTAACTTTACCCCGTAAGGGAAGGGAGTAACTTATTAGAGATTTCTGTTTCAGGGTAGAATGAAATCTATTTTAGGTGATTAGTGTGGCAGCAATGTAGGGGAAATAGTAGATCAGAGACTAGTTAGGAGGAAATTATATTTCAAACGAGGCACAACGAGGTTCTGGGTTCAAATAGGCCTGGAGAAGGCAGCATGGGTGCAATTCAAGGGAAAATTGGGCAAGTGTTGGGGACTGCAGCAGTGGGGAAGTGTCTATGGTGATGCCTACATTTAGAACCTGGCTGATGCTACTAATAGGAATTCAAAATCTGAAAGGGTCTTAAAGAAACCTAGGAATAAATATTACAAATTGTCCAAACTCTTAGCTTACTTTACATGTGGCTGATTCCCCACCATGGAGTTGCTCTGGAACCTAGAACCTAATTTCAGAAACAATCTTTGGCTTTGGGTTTTTTGGGGTTTTTTTGTTTTTTTTTTGTTTGTTTGTTTTTGCATAAGAAAGCATCTTTCATTGGATTTTGTTTTTCAGTTAAATTTCATTTTAGGTTTAAGTTAAACTTCATTTATTGAAGTCAAACTTCCCAAGAGACTACCTTATGGATACATGGAGCCCTGTGAAAATCCAAATGACAGCCTAAAGACCCTCTCCCTAAAATATCCATATTTAGAGATGAGATTTTGTCCAGTGTCCAAGAGAGTCACAGGCCCTCTAAAACAGAGTTCTTGGCCCCCAGGTTTTGAAGACCTGGCTTTTACTTTATTTATTGGATTTACATTCTAACTACTGATAAAGGCCACAAAGCATGTCAAATCCGAAGTGTTTAGGTACAGAAAAATTACTAAACTGGAGACTTTAAGGTAACACAAAAATAAAAAACCAGAATAGTTTAATACTATTGACAAGTCACAAAGAGAAACAAGTTTGATTTTTTTTGGCTTAGTAATTAAGTAGGTCTATAAAATTAATAATAAAGGACTTGAGACAAAAAAAAAAAAAAAAAGCTGCCTTGAGGTTTTAACACTTAATGCTTTATTGTTGCAATCTGGAATGACCAGCTGGGAGGGGCTTTAATATATTGATCCTTTCAGGGTCATCACTTCTGCGGAGATTTACTCCATCAGCAGATACCAATTTGCATTTTTTCCCTTGTGAGTTACTTTAATGACACCCAGCAAATTGCGATATTTTAGTTACCTCTCTTAGAAATGGAGCCATTTTTCACCATGCTTTTTTAGTAAAAACAAAACAACAAAATTATTTTCTGTCAAAGATAAGAAACTAGTTATTCCCAAACAGGTATATCAAATGCACACTTCAAAATAAGGAGATTCTGAATTACCTTAGCAATAAACTTGAGTACATTATTGTATGTGTGAATATGAACATAATGATCATTTATACTTCATTGAATGATATATTCACTTATACTTGAGTATAGGTCTGATCATTGGAATTCATTGTAATAAATATCACATAGGGCCGAGCATGATGGCTCACACCTATAATCCCAGCACTTTGGGAGGCCGAGGCGGGCGGATTGCCTGAGCTCAGAAATTCAAGACCAGCCTGAGCAACACGGTGAAACCCCATCTCTACTAAAATACAAAAAATTAGCCGGGCGTGGTGGCATGCACCTGTAGTCCCAGCTACTAGGGAGGCTGAGGCAGAAGAATTGCTTGAGCCCAAGAGGCAGAGGCTGCAATGAGCCAAGATCGCGCCACTGCACTCCAGCCTGGGCGACAAAGCGAGACTCCGGCTCTGAATAAATAAAAAAATAACACATACGTGAAAATCTGCCATGGATAAGAGCCAATATACAACTGAAGTTTAAAATATAGAATTTCTCTATTAATTACCAAGCACAGGGATTCTTTACACCACAAGCGCCACAGCCAATGGGACACCAGTTTACAACCGCAAACATTTTGCTATCCTGCTAAACAGGGCTGGTTTATATTGCCTTAAGGCCGAGGGGAGCATTCACTCTGAGGTGAGTTGTGGAGATACTTGAACCTCCTCAGCATATTTAGATAATATCAGCCTCCCAGCCCAGTGAAAAGGCTTGTAAGAAAGAGAAAGCTGGCAAGAAGGGTACTTTACCAAGCTTTTACGTACCTGCACTAACTAAACAGGAAATGCATGTTCGTTTTCGGATTTGAAGTATTTCATAGGGTTCCTTTTCTCCCTATAAGCTCTGGCTTCTGTGTTAATCTACTGATTATTTTGAACTTCTCCAATACTAGATTTATCGTCACTGCAGTGCTTTGCTATCCTGCAAATATTAGTAAGTGCCTTTTCATGGATGTGCCGTGCTTAGAAGCATCCTGAGGCGCCTTTCAGCCACCTTTGCTTCTTCCATGGTTCCTTGAGGGAACACTGGCTGGGGAATTAGGGATGTGAACCTACTGGTGTTTTTGAAAAGCTGTCAAAATAGCAAAATTCCAACAAATCGAGTGTAATAATTTAATTGGCTTTTACTAGCGATACATGAGTCGGGCAGCATCCCATCTATAAATAGAAGGGTACTTCAATGAGCTGAGCAGAGGAGATAGGTTTTACAGGCAGAAATAGACCAAAGAAAGCAGAAACCAAGAATGAAAGCAGATTGGTCATTTCAAAGTTTCTTTCCTTGTAGGATTAAAGCAGAAGAGCCTCATCATGCTGGCTCAGGTTGACCGGGCCTCTTCTAATTGGTTGCTGTGAATCTTTTGCTTTTTTTGAAAAACCGACCTGTTTCAAAGTTCAGTTTGAGTACACAGCACCTAGGACAAGTGAAGCCATTCAGGTTTGGTCTGTTCTTTGGGCCTAGGGCAGGAGCTTAGGCCAAAACAATGGTCTCTTTAAATTTTACTCAATACAGCTAAAAGGGCCGGAGAAACAGTCACAAATATGTTCACTGAGCAGGCCTGTTCAGAGCCCACGAACCATACCTAGGTGACTCTTTAAGTGTGGCAGGGGTGCCCAAACAGGCTTTGCCCCTGAAAACAGCTCAGAATTTAGTCATTAGTTTAATGTCACTTTGGGATGCTTTCTTTAATCCACCAGATTTTTTCCGCCTCTTCTACCATGAACTCCCAAAGCATCCTCTTCCTCCAATGCCATAAGTCATGTCTTTTGGCCCTACCGCCTCTGACTACAGTCTTTGGGACTACAGCCGTTGACTCTAAGCTTGAAGAGGCTGTTCCATTTTGTGTTCTTTTCATCTATAGTATCCAGCAAAACTCTCTAATCAATTGTATCTTTCACTTTTCTTACTCTTTTCCTGACTTACACAGTGCATGATCGTGAAATGGTAGGTGGATGAGAGACTGGCTAAAACTTCATAGACCTTCCTCCTGGTCTTTTTTCTTCTGAAAAATTGGCATTAAATCTTTGTAATTTACACTTTTAATGTGGCGTTCAATAATGTTTCACTGAAAACTTTTCCCTGATAATTTCAATGTACTGTGGGAATTAAATGTAATAACAAATAATATGTGTTGGCCGGGTGTGGCCGGGTGTAGCGGCTCACACCTGTAATCCCAGCACTTTGAGACGCCAAGGTGGGCAGATTGCTTGAGCCCAGGAGTTCGAGACCAGCCTTGGCAACACAGTGAATTTCGGTATTTAACAAAAATACAAAAATTAGCCAGTTTCATAACCTGGTCTCAAAATAAACAAATCAGTAGAATATTTTTTAATTAAAAAATGTTATTAAATGTAGTATGAAAGATATGTGAATGGCGTATTCTAAATGGTTAAAGAATAGTGAAGGTTGTTCAATAAGTATTTGAACAATAAGTTTACTGTTTGGGGAAAAAAATAGTACAAAATAGAAACTTCAGTGTTACACATCAAAATACATTACAAATAATCAAAGATTCATATACCAAAAGAGAAAGCAAAGGAAAAAAAAAAAAGAAACGTAGTTTCATTAGAAGATATATATATTCTTTTGGTGGAAACAATCTTGCTAAAACATGATGCCAGAAGGAAAAGAATGTAAAATAATGTTAAACTTCTACATGTCGAAACATTAAAAATGATGATCAAGCATAAACCAAAATTGCCAAATGACAGAGAAGATTTAATATCGTTACACCTAGAGCTGATATAAATGAGATCCCAATTCAACGACTGGAAGTCTGAAGGGAGCCCACAGAGCTTCTCACACTTCTTGTTCAGACACACCTTGCCCCCAGTCTCTTTCTCCAAAAGATTCCTTGCCTTGTCTTTTAAACTGCCCAGGAGGCCAATCCCAAGAGAGATACAACAATTAGAACTCAGCCTCCCTCGGCTGGGTGTGGTGGCTCACGCCCATAATCCCAGCACTTTGAGAGGCAGGAGAATCCCAAAAACCCTCTCCCCAGGAGACCCCTTCATAAGTTGTACTCTTTTCTTTTTTGTTGTTGTTGTTTTTGAGACAGGGTCTCACTCTGTTGCCCAGGTTGGAGTGCAGTGGCACGATCTCAGCTCACTGCAACCTCTGCTTCCCAGGTTCAAGTGATTCTCTTGCCTCAGCCTCTCAAGTAGCTGGGACTACAGGCACACGCCACCATGCCCAGTTGATTTTTGTATTTTTAGTAGAGATGGGGTTTTGCCATGTTGGTCAGACTGGTCTCAAACTCCTGGCTTCAAGCAATCCTCCCGTCTCGGCCTCCCAAAGTGCTGGGACTACAGGCATGAGCCACTGCACCCAGCCTAAGCTGCACTCTTGATCGCTGTCACCCTGTGAAGACTGAGTCTCCCAGGACACTGAAGCCTAGACCTAACCTCGCCCCCTGACCCTCCCACGGTGCCTTTTGGAATGTGTGGTCTGTCTTTAATCCCACTGCCCCAGTTTTTTTCTGCCAACAGTCCCTTCCCTGCTGTCGTGCTAAATGGAACCTGAATATTCGCTGAATGTCCCTTTACAGCCCTGGCCAGTGGTGGCTGTCTTATCTCCCGCATTCCACATACTTTTGGGCCTGGAGATGAGAGAGGTTCTTCCTTGTTGCCATTTCAGCCACTCCCTCCCCTTCCCACTCAACCCTCCAGTGACTCTGAAACACTTTGGACTGAGCCCCTGCCCCTGCTCCTTTGGCTGTCATCTGCCGTTTTCATGGCGTTCTGCCTGTCCTTGAGGATTTTTGCTCCGGCTCACTGTATATTTCTTTCTGCTAGGGCCACTGCTGCCATTTAGATGACTTTGCCTCACACAGAGACAATCCATGTGCTATCCCAGCCTCTTGGTGCCTCTTTCTCCTCATTTTTCATGAATTCTTGCCAACTCTGGCCCTGCAGTTTCCTTGTCATACTCAGACTTTGTCATCACCTGTAACCTTGCTATCTCCAGAAGCTTAATTTCAAGCACACTACTTTCTAGCCAGCTTACTTCCTCCACAAGTGCCTCTCTGCCATTCTTTGAACCTTGCTCTGACCCACTGAGCTCTGCCACCACTCAGCAGACAGCCACTTCCTGTGTTCCTTACTTATCCATCCCTACAATCATTACCCTTGCAGGAAGCCTTATTCCTTTTCTCCTCTATCTCCTTGTCCCATCTGCCTGACAATTCCTCTACGTTGGCTGAAATTAACTTCACACTTAGTCTCTCTGTCCTGCACCTGAGCAGTTAAATACAACTGGAGAAAAATAAACCACCATCTTGGCTGGTCGCCATTAAATTGATGACCATAAACTTCCCACGGGCTCTCCGCACAGCTTAGCAAGCCCACTGCATGTCCCTATTCAATTCGCTCTCCATTCTGAGACCAATATTTCACACCTGTCTTCCTCCATGTTCAACTCCTTCTCCCCTCACACCCTCAGCTGATGATCTATTTATTTCCCCAAGAAAATAATCAGAAGAGACCGTTCTCATTCTTTTATCAGCAAATCTCTTAGCATCTGAGCCTAAGTACTTTGTCTTTCCTATTAATAAAATAATTTTTCTAGCTCTTAGGGTCACACCGCCTCCTCTTAGACACTGGAATCCCATCCCTGGAGAAGTTTGCCCCCGCAAGCGCCCCTTCTCTCACCTACAACATCCATGTGTCAGCCTCTCCCATCTTCAGAACAGTAACAAAAACCTTGACCTCACATTGCCCTACGAGGCACCAGAAAATGTTTCAAGAGTGAGTCCATAGCTCCACTTTCTCACCATCCCTTCTCTTGAGCCCACTCACACTTGTTCATGTGAAACTGTTCATGTGGAGTTAGCAGAGCTAACTTCCCTATTGCCAGAGCCAGTGGCCAATTACTCTATTACTCTTTTTCAGCAGCATCTGACAGATAATCATCCCTTCCTTTTAAAAAAAAGAAAAGCATTCTTCCTTGTATTTTCAGGGCACCACACTCCTATTGAATGAAGCTAGGCAGGCAACCATGTGACTAAAGGAAGAACATTCCAGGAAGAGCAAAAGTCAGGAGGAGCAAGTGTGCTTGGCCTTTGCCTTGGTCTGCTTGGGCTGCTATCACAAAATATCTTAGACTGGATAATTTATAAATGTTAGAAATTTAGTCTGGGCATGGTGGCTCACGCCTATAATCCAAGCACTTTGGGAGGCCAAGGCAGGCAGATCACTTGAGGTCAGGAGTTTGAGACCAGCCTGGCCAACATGGCAAAACCCTGTCTCTACAAAAAAATACAAAAATTAGTCGGGCATGGTGTCATACACCTATAGTCCCAACCACTTGGGAGGCTTAGGCACCAGAATTGCTTGAACCAGGAAGTGGAGGTTGCAGTGAGCCGAGATGGTGCGACTGCACTCCAGCCTGGATGACGGAGCAAGACTCTGTCTTGAAAAAAATATATATATATTGCTCACAGTTCTATAAACCAGGAAGTCCAAGATCAAGGCACCATTTTTGTTCTTCAGAGCTGTTTTAAGTCCCTAAATGACCCCATCCTATAACATGATCCACACATTCCTAATTCCCAAACGGCTATCTCCAGGGTGTCCCTCTCCGCTGAGCTCCAGTGTTGCAGATCTATCTTCCTATTAAATCATCTCCACTCGAAAGTCTAATAGGAATCTCACACTTAACACACTCCTAATGGGATTATCTTATCCCCTTTAAATTCTTTCCTTCCCAAATCTGACCCATCTCAGGAAATGGCACAATTGCTCAGTCAATAAAACCTGGAGTTCATTTTGACTCCTCTTCTACCTCACAGCCAATGCACATATCGTGTTGGCTCTACTTTTGAAATCCAACAGTAATCCAACTACTCTTGAACACCTCCAGTTACCACCCTAAACTCCAAGGAGATTGTAATAGACTAGGACTCCTATTCAGACCATCTGTAGACAGTCTCCCCACTTCAGTGATCCTTTTAAAACCCAGATCAGATCATGTTACCCTCTTGCCTGAAACTTTCCTGAGGTTATCTATTATTCTCAGCTTAAACAAAGTCCTCACTATGGCCTACAAAGCCATATGAGATCTGGTGTCTGCTAGCCTCTTTACTCATGTCCTAACTCTCCTTCACTGATCACTCTGCTCAACCACACTGGCCTCTTGCTTATCCTCAGTCATGCTGCTGTGGTCTCAATGTTTGTGTCCCCCCAAAATTAGTGAAGTCTAAATCCCCAATCCAACAGTACTAAGAGATGGGGCCACTGGAGAGACGGTTGAGGGCTCTGTGCCCCTCTTATGCCATGTGAGGACAGTGAGAGAACCAGCCATGAAGCAGAGCAGCTTTCACCAGAATGTGCTGATACCTTGATCTTGGACTTCCCAGCTTCTAGAACTATAAGCAATACACTTCTATTATTTATACATTTTACCCAGTCTAAGGTATTTTGTTATAGCAGCCCAAACAGACCAGACACATGCCTAGCACTCACTCTTCATGACTTTTGTTCTCCTGGAACGCTCTTCCTGCAATCACATGGCGAGCTCCCTAACTTTATTGAAGCCTCTTCTCAAACATCACCCACCTCCAAGAAACCTTCCAAGTCTACCTGGTCTAAAATACTTCTCCCTCTCATCCACTCCTCTTCTCCATAGCATTTAGTGCCATCTGACATAAGAATCAGTCCTCGGCCGGGCGCGGTGGCTCACGCCTGTAATCCCAGCACTTTGAGAGGCTGAGGTGGGTGGATTGCCTGAGGTCAGGAGTTCGAGGCTAGCCTGGCCAACATGGTGAAACCCCGTCTGTACTAAAAATACAAAAATTAGCCGGGCATGGTGGTGCAAGCCTGTAATCCCAGCTATTCGGGAGGCTGAGGCAGGAGAATCGCTTGAACCCGGGAGGTGGAGGCTGAACCCGGGAGGCGGAGGTTGCAGTGAGCCGAGATCATGCCATTGCACTCCAGCCTAGGCTACAAGAGTGAAACTCCATCTCCAAAAAAAAAAAGAATCAGTCCTCATTACTCACAGATTCCGTATTTGTGAATTCATTTACTTGCTAAAATTAATTTGTAACCCTAAAAATCAATGCTTTCAGTGCTTCTTGTGGTTATTCGTGGACATGCATGCACAGAACAGAGAAAAATTTGAGTCACAGGACGTGCACATTTCCAGCTGAGGTCAAACAAGTCAATACTCCACCTTCCTCTTTCAGTTCACACTGTAAACAAGTGTATTTTTGGGGGACTAGTGTCTTTGTTATTGTTCCTTTTTTTTTTTTTTTGAGACGCAGTCTCGCTCTGTCGCCCAGGCTGGAGTGCAGTGGCGCAATCTCGGCTCACTTCAAGCTCCGCCTCCCAGGTTCACACCATTCTCTTGCCTCAGCCTCCCGAGTAGCTGGGACTACAGGCGCCTGCCACCTCGCCCGGCTAATTCTTTGTATTTTTAGTAGAGACGGGGTTTCACCGTGTTAGCCAGGATGGTCTTGATCTCCTGACCTCGTGATCCGCCCGCCTCGGCCTCCCTAAGTGATGGGATTACAGGCGTGAGCCACCTTGCCCAGCCTATTGTTGCATTTTTTTGTGCTTTTTGTTGATTTCACTGTTTAAAACGTCCTCAAGTGCAGTGCTGAAGTGCCGTCTAGTGTTCCTAAGCACAGAAAGCTATGATGTGCCTTATGGAGAACACCATGTGTCAGATAAGCTTCGTTCAGGCTGAGTTACAGTGCTGTTGGCCATGTTAATGTAAAGAATCAACCATATAGATCAAATAACATGTCTTTAAACAGAAACAGAAAAGGTTATATAGTGATTGTTTGACAAAAATCTCATGACCACAGGCTAGCAGGAACCTATTTCCCCTAGGAACAGTATTTCAGTTTATACTAATTCAGTGTTCAAGGCAACTTTATTGACCATAACTACTACAAATGACATGAATCAACTGCATGTATCTCCTATTACTACCTAACATTATATATTGATCTCCATGTTTGGAAGGCAAACTCAAAAGGAGCAAGGATTTCCTTCTAGTGTGCTGCCTTATCTCAGGCTGATAACAGTGCTTGGTCCTTAGCAGTAATCTAGAAATATTTGTTGAAAAGATAATTAGTACAAGCAAAGGATAAGCAATTCTTAAACCCACCCCCGCCTCCACCAAAAAAAAAACAAAACAACAACTCAAGTGGACAATAGTTATAGAAAATGTTCAGGCTCACTAGTAATCTTGGAGCACCCAGGATTGGTTCCCCCCTTCCTCCCAATACTACTACCTAGTGTTGGCGAGGGCCCAGGGAAGTCAGTCATGCAATCACCAAAAAACCTTAAATGTGCATTTCCTTTGACCAAGCAACTCCACTCCTGGAAAACAAAACTTGGATCCATGCAAAAATTTATCAACAAGGCTAACTGCTGCAATTAACAATGGCAAGACAGTATAAATCACCTCAGAATCTTAAAACAGTGAAACAATGTTTATCCATTAAAACAGATACAATAGGATCTCACGTTTATTTAAAATCTATATGCATAAAATAGGAAAATGTTTGTAGTCACTAAGTATTAAAATGCATGGTCAAAAATCTTTTTTTTTGGTATTTTCCTAGTTTTTCCTTGACAATATGCACTACTTTTGTCAGAAAAAAAATAAAACAACACAGAAGCTTAGGAGTAAATCTGACAAATAGATTATGAAGTACTGAGTCCCTAGCAAATAATTTTACTGCAAGGACACTGGCTGCCAGCCTTAAACCTCAGTAAGTACTGCTGTTAACTCAAATCTCTACGGCAGTGGTGCTGTTTGGGCATCCTACTTTAAATGAAGCCTGAGGAGTGGAACATATATTGATAAGCTCAGCACTCAACTGCTGTAATAGCCACTCTACTCAATCTCAGCTCCACAACTGAATGAGTACAGTCTCCTTATCTGTAAGATGTGATAAAAGTATCTCACGCACAGGAATGTTGAGGTCTAAATGAAATAACATCTATCTCATATATCACAACCAACATCTAACAAGCCTCACAAGCACTGGTTATTACTCTCTCCCAAAACAGAACTGTTAGATGGTGTCCCACTTTGGTTACAGAAGTAAATGTCTTGGGAAGAAAGATGGTATTTGTGATAACATGTAAAGTTTGTACATCATCACAAAAACAGGTAACTTTTTTCTGCTATCATTTATTTATAGATTTATTGATCACTTAACATTACTAAAGTTCAAGTAACAAGGTTTCTTGCCCTCCTCTGTATGGAGAGATAAAGGAGATAAGTGACATAGGGAAAGTTTACATTCCACAGCACTCTACCGGTGTAACAAACAGGCGTAGGCTCTTACAGAAGGCCACACAACCATAAGGAAAACTGTCACACATTCATATACCGTATACAACTTAAATCTGCATAAACTCTTGAACTAATGATGGTGGCAGGTGCTCCAGTCAGCCTGCTATCATTCCGGCTGCAGCCTTGGAGCAGGCAAGATCTCCACCCTCCTGGGTGCGGGTGCAGACTCAGGCATCCCTGCACTTTTGGGGGCCTGCTTTTGCAGGCTCGGAAGTGCTTGCCTCTGCAGCTTGGCTTCTCCCTGCTATTGGCACCAGCTCTCAGATCAAAGCAGGGGGGTAAGCCTGGAAGCCATGAACAGGGAGGGCCTGAAGGCTGAGGGCCAGGCTGCCAGTCCCACCTGTAGGAGTGGGAACTGGTGCCTTTTCCAGGCCAGTAAGTATGCACTTCCTCCCCCGAGGCCCGTAAAATGCCCCAGGCTCAGCCAGAACTGAGCAGAGGGTGGGACGACCAGCAACAGGGAGGAGCTACCCTCTCTGCTAAGAGCTTCAGAGACCTGTAGAGACGGCAGAACAACCTGCCTATGGATAGAAGCTATCCTCTCCAGGGCCCCGTCTGAGAGCAGCAGGACCTCTGGACAATCTGCCTGCGAACAGAAGCTACCTTCTCCAGGGCTGCTTCTCTGCTGAGAGCTGAGAGGAGTCACCCTCTCCAGGGCCTTTTCTCTGCTGAGAGCTGAACACTTGAGGGACGACCTGCCCGCCGACACAGGGGAGCTGCTCACTGTGGGTCTCCTTCTGAGCTGTTCTAACACTAAATAAAGCTCCTCTTCTTCTTCTTCACCCTTCATTTGTCTGCATATCTGGACACAGGACAAGAACTCGGGCACCGTGGGCAAAGCGCCACGAGCAACAGGTTTCCAGGGGAAGAAAACCACCACAAAGATCACTCATAACACTAACATAACCAAAACTTCAAATCTAAAAATGTAATGCATCCAACTGTACAAACTGTCAGAAACTAGACGCCACTTTTCATCTTTAACATTTTGAAATCCTCATACTCTCACAAGAACAAAATGAAACCAAAAAGGAGAACACATTCAGTGATTTTAATGTGTAAGAAAGATTACATGCTTCATGGGCAGAACCAAAGGTTAAACCTTGCATTTTGTTCATGGTTATTACACAAGTAATTACACAAGTCCAGTGTATAAACACTACCTGAACACATTGTAAGTTCTTCTAATAATAATAAATATTATATGAAAAAAGTTAACAAGCATTAATTCAATAATTCTCAAACAGATATTCATCGAAATGAGGTAGGTCTAATGTGTCATTTGCTAAAGCATTTAATGCTGAGGAGGAAAAAAACTCATCGAAAATATCAGTCTTCATCGGACTCTCCAAGTTTAATGTTCTAACGCAGGCATTATTTGTCAGAGAGTCTGGCTGAACTTCACATGGATTTTTCTTGGTGGGGCTACAATAATTATGGTCCTGTCTCAGATGTGTGTTCTGGGAAACATCATTGAATTCACTTGGTACTGGTGGTGGGATATGACTATCTCCCATTCCCAAATACCTAAAGTCACCTTCCCCATTTTCTGACAGCTCTGTTGAAACAGGTGTAGGAGACAATAATTCCGCTAAAATTTCTTCATGAGTTTGACTACTGTACAGGGAAACACCAGGAACAGTGGTGCATGCAGACTCACTGGCAATATCAATTGGATATGGTAGCTCATTTAACAAGTCCTCTATTGATTCACAATCATTTGGAGACCCATCCTGGGGCACCTGTTCTAGATTTTCACTTCGAACTGTTCTGCTTTGCGGGGAAGACATAAGAGCAGCTAATTTCTTCTTTTCTGCCTTTAGCTTTTTACGAAGTTTTAGACGAAGTTTATGAATCTGACCTTCCACCAAGTCTTCATGGTTTGCTGAAGAAATACCATTCCCATAAGAACTGTGGTTGAGTTGAGCTCCACATGAGGTGCTTCCAGACTTTTCCAAAACTTCTGAAGCAGCATGAGCATGTGGGTGGGCAGCTGTGCCATTAGACGATGGAGGGCCTGCTGGTGGCTTACTGATGGGAGGAGGCTTACTTGCACTCTTACGAGCTTTCTTGGATACGTGGCTGGCCTTCTGGTTTATACCTTTAGTTTTAAAGCCACCAAAATTATTTACCCCTTTAACTGAAGGTTGTAAATCAGTTATAGTGTTTCTATTATGAGCTGAAACACAGAGTGGCATAAAAGAAGCACCCCTGCTTATTAAGCCTTTAACCCAACTTCCCACAAATGGCTTCTTCTGATTTTCTTTCAGAGACTGATTCTGTAATGACTTAGATGTTGTGGTTTGAGAATCTGCTGTAGTTTCTTTTTTCTTCAAATTAGATACCTGAGATGTGACACGTTCTGGTTTTAATTGTTCAGTTTTTGGTGTAAGGAATTGTTTTAACTGAGCGTCCTTCTCAATTTCTACTGACTTCACTCCCTGTATAAGACCAGTAGCATCAGTATTATTCACAGATTTAGTATTTACAGTATCTTCTGTATTCAGCTGTACTGACTGCATGTTTGTATTTACAACTTGGGATGGAAAACTTATGTCCACAAATTGGTCTTGAATAAGCTTTTCATTACATGGAGCTGATACTGAAGAAGCCATTAGTGATTCTTGTGATAGCAAAGTATTGGTTTTGAGAATTCCTGTATTTTCTGCTACAGGTTTATTTTCTAACAGGAAAGCTTCAGAATTTAACTGTGAAACTGAGGCTGTTTTCTGGATAGTTTCTTCAAGTGTCAGAGGTAAAATATTGTCAACCAAACCTTTTGGACCTGAAAGTAAATGATCTCCATGAGTTACAGCTGTGTCCTGTGAAAGAGTACGAGGGGCAACTGATATATCTTTAGGGTGAGTTACTGAGGCTGTTTCAGCTGAGGCAGCATCACCCACAGAACACGATGTTAAAGATACTGGTTTCTCATTACTGAGAGCGTGTTGGTCATTAGTCTTTTTAAGTGGAAGGCAGGCAGCTTCTTTATCTGTCACTTGGGATATTTTTCTTTCCCAAATAACAATATGTATCTCTGAAGCAGGAACTTCAAATTTCTTGTGCCTTTCAGAACATGGGCCTTTTAAGTCATCACATTCCAGCCAACTTCCTGGAAGATGGGAAAGAAGTGAAAGTTAGATATTCAAAAACCACCATCCTAGGTTAACTTTCTTCTGGCCTTTTCAACTGTTGTATCATTGAATACCGACCAAAGGAGAAGACTCTAAAACATGTTCTTGACCTTGTCACCATTGTCTGCCATGTTAAAGTCCTTAGATAGAGTATATTTAATTTTTGGAACTTAGAATTTGGTTATCACCTAATTTATCCAATAACATCAGAAAACAGAATGTTTCATACATATATGTTTTCATGATAAATGAAGCTTGTTACCTGAAGGATCACTATTCGTTTTAATTCTTGTTTTATTTCTGAGCTTCCATTTTCACATTTGTCAAGAGAGAATGAGATGATAGATGACAAGGGAAGAGTTTAAAAACTAGCAGTAGGATGCACTACCAAATACTGAAATATTAATACAAAACTTGGGAAAAGTCCATTACTTAAAGCAGTGTGTCGCTGGCAGTTATTTTTGCCTGAACAATTTCAATGGTGCCAATAGGGAGAGGGGTCCTTATGTAGTCAACTAAAGCATGAATGAGGAGTAAGAAGGTAACCTGTTTAAACCATTCCTTTAAAAAAAAAAAAAGACACCCATTAGGATGGATATTATTAAAAAAAAATAGAAAATAGCAAATGTTGGCAAGGATGTAGAGAAATTGGAATCCTTGTGTAACGCTGGTGGGGATGTAAAATAGTACAACTGCTGTGGAAACAGTCTGGCAGTTCGTCCAAAAATTAAACACAGAATTACCGTTAAGACCCAGCAATTCCTCTTGTAGGTTTATGCCAAAAAGAATGAAAAGCAGGGACTTTCAGTTCCTTGTCCACCAATGTTCACAACAGCATTATTCACAATAGTCAAATGTCCGTAACAGATAAATGGATAATACATACAATGCTACTCAGCCTTAGAAAGGAATGACATTCTGCTACATCCCACAACACAAATGAATCTTGAAAATATGCTGAGTAAAATAAGCCAGACACAAAAGGACAAATAATGTACGATTCCACTTCTATGAGGTATCTAGAATAGACAGATTCACAGAGACAGAAAGTAGAATAGTGGTTACCAGGGCTTTGGGGTGGAAGGATGCGGAGTTATTGTTTAATGAGTAGTTTCTGTTTGGGTTGATGAAAAAGTCCTGATGGTGATGGTGGTTGCACACAATGTATTCAATGCCAATGAATTGTACACTTACAAATGTTAAAATGGTAAATTTTATGTTATTTATATTTTACCACTACAACAAAAAAATACAAAAAGTACGGCTGAGAAGTAAAGGAAGGTGGCTAGGTGCTAACAGGTGGTGTGGGGTTAAGGGAGGGTATATTTCTTTACATTTTACTTACTACCACATGATAATTTGGGAAAAGCTAACCACGGGCTTGGATGAGTAACAACCTTTCTTAATAAATAATCAACAAATATCTGTACTTTCATTAGAAACTTATCAAAACAATCCATACTTCCACTGTATATATCAATATCTACACATCTATGAAACAGAAATAGATACAAGTGTAATGTCATGGTAATTGCGGCACAGCAAATACGTAGCTTACTCTATTTCTATGAAACCAAATGTGATAAATTAATAAATCACGATGTCAAACACCATCGCACTTACTACAAAACATTTCCTATTCCTTGGATTACAACAGTGCACACCCAAAGCACTATATTTTTTTCTAAGGAGTATATTATTTTAGAAAACATTGTTTTAGCAGTAGAGAAGTAATGACCAACACAGTGGTCATCATTTTATGTTGCAAAACATGTTAGAGACACTTACTTAAATATTGAAAGTGCGCTCAGTTTCTCTTTTCCTTATACAAGTACATCTATCCTTTTTTGAAAAAAAGATTTCTCAGAGCACACACAGAAAACTCATTTGACATATCTCCCACAGTCACTTTTTAATGCTCAGAAAGACCTTATCTTAAGATTGTGAGGGATAAAGGGTACTTGCCACCAGACTTCAAAGCCTTCCTACAAAGAACTAATCTTAAGGAATGCAAAGATTAAGAAAGGAGAAAGAGACCTTTCCTTAGTTGTCACTTCAGGCCAATTTAGTTGCCAACAGGCTGGTTAATGTTAAGGTATCACTAGTGACTATCTGAGAACAACAAATGTCTAGGACTCAACACAGACTTAAAACACATTCCCCAAAAAGAAAAATTTACAGACCAAATTAAAATATTTATTAAAATATAAGATATGGCCGGGTGCGGTGGCTCATGCCTGTAATCCCAGCACTTCGGGAGGCCGAGGCGGGTGGGTCACCTGAGGTTGGGAGTTCAAGACCAACCTGACCAACATGGAGAAACCCTGTCTCTACTAAAAATACAAAATTAGCCGGGCATGGTAGCGCCTGCGTGTATTCCGGCTACTCAGGAGGATGAGGCAGGAGAATCACTTGAACCCGGGAGGCAGACGTGGTGGTGAGACAAGACTGCGCCAATACACTCCAGCCTGGGCAACAAGAGCAAAACTCCATCTCAAAAAAAAAAACATATATATATGATCTGATATAAAAAAAGTAAACTGAGCATTACTTTTTTTATGAGAGCATTAGTCACATAACAGACATATGAATGAATAAATGAATTAAAAAGACATATGAATTAAAAAAAGTCACATAACTTTTTTTAATGTGAGCATTAGTCACATAACAGACATATGAATTCTCTGATAAGTTTCAAAAGGGAAAACAAAATATACTCAGAGATGCTAATCCCTCACATACACACAAAACAAAACCGTTCACTAAGCATGTGGTTTATGTGGCTACACTCTTATCTACTACCTGCACCTACCCATTAAATAGACAACTTTATGTATCCTTTGTTTGCCTGTGTCAGTGGTTCTCTACCACATGACCCACACTGGAATCACCTGGGGAGCCTTGAAAACAATGTTTAAAACAGTATTGCCATAGCATGTGCCTGTAGTCCTAGCTACTCAGGAAGCTGAGGCAGGAGGATCACTTGAGCCCAGGAGTTTGAGAACAGCCTGGGCAATATAGTGAGATGCTGTCTCAAAAAAAAAAGAGAGAGAGAGAAGGAATGAAGGAGCAAAGAAGGAGAGAGAGAAAGAGAGAGAGAGAGAGAATGAGAGAGAGGAACGAAGGAAGGAAGGGCGGGTAGGCGGGCCAAAAACCAATACCAAAAACACCCAACATTGATATTTGGGCCTAATCCCCAAGGCTGGTCTAGGGTACAGCCTGCACATTTTTAGAAGCTAAATAAATGATTCTTCCATGCTGTCAGGGTTGGAAACCATGCTGCACCTGAAGTGGATTGATCATTCTTTGAAATGCAAAAAAAGTTAAAATAAGTTGTTTTGTATTGTAAAGAACTACTTCCACTCAAATCTGAAACAGGGTAAAACCTTAAGGTAATAATTACATTTATAACATAAGTTACAGTTTGTAAAGTGCTTTTATAATATGGTATTGTGTCATCCATTCAAACCATCCCCAGGAGGAAAATAGGAAGTGTGAAAGAGTGTCTAAATAACAGAAAATGGTTATATCAAAGTGAGCCCTTATCAATGGCTTGATACAACCCTTTAAGGGGATTGAGTTATCTTGTCTAAGACAAAGTGAACATTATGAGAAAAACAAACTCAATATTTTACCATATCAGACAAATGCAAGGCAAAAATTCCCAAAATCCATAAACTGTGCTTACTTAGCTTTCCACTAAGAAGTTTAATTATTTAAATAAAGGCTTTATCTTGATGGTAGCTGTTAGTAAACTATGTATTTCACAATGACAGAAGGGCTACGTAAGTCTAATGTTTAATAGTCTTAGAAATATGTCTAAAAAATAAAAGCAAAGATGTTAAGTAGGGAAAAAAAAACTGAGCTAACAGTAGTAATCTCATCCTTTGTCTAAAAGAGAAATACACACATGCGCATGTGTTTACCTATAATACATGATGTAAGGAAAGGAAAAAATGAGACAGGATACTAAAACCATCACTTTTAATAGATGCGAGGAGGGGCAGAAGGCAAAGGCGAGAATGGAGAGAGAAAGAGTCAGGACAAAGTTTGTCTTTTTTTATAAAACAAAAACCAAAAAGTCCCCACATGCTAGAATTTAGTTTCTATGCCAATTATCTTAAAAGAAAACCTCTAAACACTTACCATCAGCATCTAAAATCCATGTTATAAAATGATTATTTGCTCGATACTGAATTACAGAAGTTATCTGATAAAGACAGCCTTCAAAATGAAATGCATAGTGCTGCAAGTCATTCTGTGGTAAGCCTTCTACAAAGTGCAACATGAATATGGGAGATACTCTGTGGGAGAGAAAAGCAAGAGAAGTTAAATAAATTTAATGCCATGTGTCTGATTATACAAAAGATGTCTGAAGTGAACTAGTCACACATAACACTTCCAAGGCTAACTGCACTAATTTTTCTTGAGCACCTCCAGATGTGTGCCTTAATTAGAAATGGAGAACTCTCTCTAAGAAGTATGTAACACTAAACCCTTTTCAGAATGGTATCCCAGACAGTTGGAAGTCATCATGCAGTATGACTCTAACACAGACCATTAAACAAAAATTGCTCTGTAAGCAGCAATGCAGCTTTGTCTTAAAAGTCCCATTGTAGCTACTTTGTAAAATCCAAGGAAAAAATCCAGACCTTTTAGAATTTTCTTTGGCATCAAGTGCTGAGATTAATTGCTTTTGTTAAGTGGGGTAGGTAACATGTGAAAGAAAGCAACAAACCTAAGATATTCAAAAAAGCATTAATTTGGCCTATTTCAGTTACCTCAGGAAGCAAAGGGGGCCTGTCAAATTAAAAGTTCTACTTAGGAAAAGTTCAATTTGTAACTAAGTAGAGAAAAAAATACAACATATTGGTCAATTTATTATTAACTTCAAGACAACTATAATTTCAAAATTGTATTTTACCATTACAGCAACATGCTGAACCAGAAAATAGAACCCAATGGGTCTCAAATAACTAAATTTAACAAAGCTCTCAGGATGTAAGAAAAATGTTGAATATCCCCTTTCCCAATATTTAAATAGCTGTCAAAACTTACTTAGTTTATCAAAATTTATTCAGCCTAAATGAATTTGAATCAATGTCCAAACTGCAGATTGTTCAGACTGACAAGGTATAATTTATACATTAATCCTTGTCAATCACTTTATTAGAGAATAATTAAGTCCTCAAAATTTAAGTACCTACAAAATAAAAAGTCCTGCAAACTGTCTATAACACTAAACTTTCCCACTTTAAAAAATCATATCTATTTCATCAAATCTAAGATTTCACTAATTATAAAATGTACCACTATGAAAACATGCTGCCAATTAAACTATATCATGACATCAATTTCACATATTACCATTTCAGACAGGTTAAAATGTGAACTACATGTCTGAATCAATGAACCACAGTAAAACTTGAGATGTATTCTCATAGCGAGACACACAGGCTTTAGGCACCTATCTGACCTTTTTTTTTTTCTTTTTTTGAGACAGACACTAGCTCTGTCACCCAGGTTGGAGTGCAGTGGTGCAATCTCAGCTTACTGCAATCTCCGCCTCCTGGGCTCAAGTGATTCTCCCACCACAGCCTCCTGAGGAGCTGGATTACAGGCATGCGCCACCATACCACACACTACTATTTTTAGTAAAGACAGGGTTTCACCATGTTGGCCAGGCTGGTCTCGAACTGCTGACTTCAAGTGATCTGCCTGCCTTGGCCTCCCAAAGTGCTGGGATTACAGGCATAAGCCACCACGCCTGGCCTGACTCTTTACTAATATTTAGTTCCTTGACCTTATATAATACCTTTCAAGATACTTTCTGAGGCTAGTTACTAAAACAATCTCTTGATCCCTAGAATATGAAATCTCACTAGTTTCCTGCCTTTACATAAGTTTACACGTGGAAAATATCTTAAGACATATTAACGTGATAAATAACGCATGTAAAACCACCTGACACATTTTTATGCTTCTTGTACATTCCAAGTCTTCTATTCTTTTGCAAATTAATAAAAGTAAAAACTGCCAAGACCAAAATCCACACTCAGCCCAATTCCCTGGATGTAGAAGATACTCAGACTCTAGCTGAGTACAAGTACATTCCCCTAGGTAGTAAGAAATGACTTGTCAGAAATCTCCAAAGTCTGCTATGAGATTCAGATAGGATAGAAATTTGATTTTCTTAACCAGCAAAAAAGAGACAACAACTAGAGCAATTATATGTTAAGTTTTAAAATATCCTCTTAATTACACTAGCCTTACTGCCACAAGATCGACCAGTACACCAAAGCTATCCAGGGTCTGATGTGGAGTGAAACGATGCAGAACAGAGATGATGCAGAACAGAGCCATAATGCAGAGTTTTACTACCATGTCGAAAATCTCGGTATGGCCTCCATACTACTTTCTGTAACTATGAAATTTTTTTTTTTTTTTTGGTTTGTTTGTTTTTGAGATGGCGTCTCACTCTGTTGTCCAAGTTGGAGTGCAGGGCACGATCTCAGCTCTCTGCAACCTCCGCCCCCTGGGTTCAAGCGATTCTCCTGCCTTAGCCTCCTGAGTAGCTGGGACTACAGGCGCATGCCACCACACCCAGCTAATTTTTGTATTTTTAGTAGAGATGGGGTTTCACCATGTTGGCCAGATTGGTCTCGAACTCCTGACCTTAGGTAATCCACCCGCCTTGGCCTCCCAAAGTGATTACAGGCATGAGCCACTATGCCCGGCCGAAACTTTGTAAGTTCCAAATGCCTAATGAATTCCAAATTTTTTCCCATTTGTTAACATCTCTGAAGTCGGGATACACCTTAACATTGACAGAACACAGTTAAATAAGCAGCATTTCTTTCTTTTTTTTTTTTTTTTTGAGACAGTCTCACTCTGTTGCCCAGGCTGGAGTGCAGTGGCACAATCTCTGCTCACTGAAACCTTTGCCTCCCCAGTTCAAGCAGTACTAATGTCTCAGCCTCCTGAGTAGCTGGGACAATAGGCATGTGCCACCATATCCAGCTGATTTTTGTATTTTTAGTAGAGATGCGGTTTCACCACGTTGGCCAGGATGGTCTCAAATTCCTAGTCTCAGGTGATCTGTCCGCTTCAGCCTCCCAAAGTGCTGGGACTACAGGCATAAGCCACCATGCCCGGCCAGCATTTCTTTCTTAATGGCATATTTTTAAAATGGTAAAACTTACAAACAGTAGCATCTTGGAGTCAATCAAATAATATCCTTCCCCTTCCCTTTTCTGTTCATTTTCCTCTTTGATTCCCCTAGACTCTAGTGTCCTACTTACAATTCCAGCATGTCTTATTTCCAGCCTCACTTTGGGAGGCCAAGGCAGGTGGATTACCTGAGGTCGGGAGTTCGAGACCAACCTGGCCAACATGGTGAAACCCCATCTCTACTAAACTTTATCCCTAGGTTTTGTTCTCAGACTTCTTCCTACCCACAATGCCTGAACTGTCAGTGAAGGATGATGCTCAGAGTCGAGGAGAGCAAGTTAGGTTCTCCCTCAACCACTGGAAAATTGGATGAAAGGAATTAACCAAACTGGAACCAAAAGAGAACAAGAGACATCAGGCTAAGATCCATTTGAATTCACCTAACATGGGGTTAAACTCCTCCTATTTAAAGATCTATCCTTAGGAAAAGAAAAGAAAATAGAAAAGAGAGAAAGAAAGCACAAGGGAGCTGTGTTAACCTCTGCTACCCAAAGATAGCAGAGAAATATCGCGTCCCTGTGCTACAAAGCATAGCCATAGCCTTGCACTCAAGAGAGACTGTGGCAGTGACCTTTCAAGAGTTTGTCAAGTAAAATGAAATCTGATTCTAAGTTCTTGGTGCTCCATGTCACCATGGTCTGAATGTAACTCCTAAACAACTTAAAGAAAAGTAGCAGATTTGGGCCCGCTAGGCATAATTCACCTGATTTATCAATGGACTCTTTTCCCAATGGGGAGACATTAGAGATGTGGGTTATGTGAGATAAGGTGTCCAAGGAACTTAATTAGTTTTTAGGATTCTATATGTTTTAATTACATATGACACCATGATGAACCCAATTACTTTTAGGTTAGCCCTAAAAACTATATTAAATTTATTTCTAAATTCCATTAGACACAAACAAATCAAGTTATACAAATTTCAAAATTAAAAAAACACAAAGGACTTATATAAAGACCTTGGCATTTAAAATTTAAGTGAAACTTCATACACTAGTTCAATTTACTTTTGAAGAAAACAGGAAATGCCCACATTATAAATTCTGCTCATAAATTGGCCCACTGGAACTCAAAACACATTTTCCATTAAAAGACTTTTACCTAATGAATCCATTTCCAGATCAGAGCATGAATCTTTAAGGGAAGCAACTTATTTGTATAGTTAAAAAATATATATGCTGCAGTGCAACCAATTAACAGATTACACAAAACAATGGTACGAGTCTATGTTCAGTGCTGGGGCACAGGAAAAAGCAGGTATGAACAGCTAGATGAAATCATATACACCAAGCAGCCTAAAGCAGGCCATGGTCCAAGGCAGGATGGCAGACCCCATGCTCTGCTGCTCTTCTCCTCACCTCATCATCAACATTTACATCTCAAAACTGACACCTGGCAGCCAAGACAGATTACAGACTTCTGTAATCTTCAGACAGATACAGACACCTCCTCTTCCTTCCCACTTCGCCCTCCTACACAAATGCTATCAAATAATAGTGAGGGGCAAAAAAGATATGAGTCCAAAAGGACAAAGAAAGGAAAATAAGCAAATAAGAAGTCAAATATTTAGAGGACAGAAAGCAAACAGAGAAGTGGCACCTTACCCAGCAGAACGGGCAAAGTGAAGACATGAGTACTACGGAGTGCATATGTTGATGACAAAGAAGAGCTTATTTTTCCCAGAGAACCCCTAAAGGACTGGATATTTATGGGCAACAGATGTGATAGAATGTGGGGATGAGGCCTTGGGCTAAAAACTACGATAGTGACTGGAAGTGTGTACATAATAAAGAGCACCCTATGCTGCAGGCCCAGAGAGGAACCAGCGCAGACTGCAGCAAAGAGTGAAAGGTGGCAGGAAAGAGTTCCAGGAAAAAAAGGGGAGAGGAACAGAGTAAAAAACTGTGAAGCATCTGAGTATTGAAAATTTATTAATAAGTCTTTAAAGTATTTGGCAAAAACTCACAGTACATAATAAAACAAATGAAAACAAGGCAAATAACAATTCCCGGAAAAATAAGAATTGTAAAAGTGAAACCTAACTATATATACTGCTTGGCTGAAGAGGGAATAACACATGTATATTAATAACAATGCAAACACCGAGTACTGAGTTAGCCAAATACGCAATTGCATTGAAAGGACAGGGAAAGGCTAAACAGAGATGGGGCCCAGGTGTTGGTGTGAGAACCCTAGTCTCAATTACTATAAAAGGAGAACAGACTGCATTACGGTAGAATAGGCACATCAATTTGAAAAGTAAAAGTAAATACTACCTTAATTTGAAGGTTTAAAGTAGATACCTGGAGGAGGGAACAGGGGACTACTGCCCTTTTTCCCTTTTGAGCCTGTAAGCACTGATAAACTGAGGATTTATTACTTCAATGAGAATAAACCTTTAGGAAAGATTCTGAAGGGTTTCTGGCACATTCAAGGGCATAAAGGTTAATGTTCCCGGTTCTTTATTACATCAAATTAGACCTCAAAACATTTCCTTAATGTACGATTAGACTGAAAATGAAGAGTAGAGAGGTTGTGTACATGTGTGAGTGCATTAATGAGACAGAGGGAAACGGCCTGAGATGGAACTGACCTGTGAGTTTAAACAGATGGTTCTCTGGTAATACTGGAAAAGGTAATGCTGACCAACCTCCCCAACTGAGGACAAACAGAAAAGCTGGCAAAATACAATGAAAATATATCTGCTCAAGGCCACTAGATAGCTTTCAAGATGATGAGGAATTAGCATGCTGAGATCTAGGAGAAGATGGAAATTCAGAGAGATGAGCCTGTGGCTTATCTTTGAATCATCTTAGTTCTTGAAATCTGATTAAGGAAATCCCAGAATTCTAGAAACTCCATACACTTGGCAGAGGAGAGAAAAACTGAAGCTTGATATCCTTAAAGGGAGAAAAAAGGCAAAAAGAAGGAAAGACACTAGGAGAGTGGGGCCAGAGAGTCAGCCTAAGTTGGCTTTTCAGTGGCTTCACCGTGACAGTGGGCTCACTGGCCAGATAGAGCGAGGCAGCTGGCAACCCAGAAATATATGTTAACTCAAATTTCAGAAAGGTAAGTTGTTGTCACCATTTTCAATCCTACACATTAAGAAAAATGTAAATCCACCTTCATTTTGTACTAAAAATTATAAGACAATTTTAACTCACTTTTCTAATACCATTTTTCTTATTTGTGATTTACTGTTGCAATTGTTACATGGACCAAAATGGGCAGCATTAAGTGGGTGCCACTCAGGGATGACATTTGTAAAGGTGACCAGACTCTTCATATGCCTATAAAAAAATGACATAACAAATTCATTAACGTTAAATGCATTTACATTAATTTAAACCAATGTCTAAAAGTATTCCTCCCCTTTTTCGTGATTCATACTTTCTTATTTCCCCAAATCATGTTAATATGGCAATGTTCCTCCCTACCTCTAGTAAAGAAGCTCTGTGAAGATGCTCCATGTTAATTTCCCATATCTTTCAACTATGAGATGAAGCAAGAAAAAAAGACAGGGTTCCTCAATGGTATCACTGCATTTTTCACCAGAGAGTCTTTGCTGTGAAGCACTGTCCTGTGCACTGTAGGATGTTAAGCATCATCCCTGGCCTCTCCTCACCAGATGCCAGTAACGGCATCCAGTTGTCTGTAGATGTTGCCAAATGTCCCAAGGGGGAAAAAATAGCCCTTAGTGAAGAACCACTGTTCTAAGGTTGTCAAATTTATTAAGAGCTCACCCCTTACTCAAATAACTCAAACTGGCTAGCCATTACAGACAACCAAAAATGAAAAGGGGATGTTTCCAAACATAAAATCAGGAATACATACAACTTAACTTTTTTTAATCCTTAAAAAAAAAACACACACACACACAGCATTAATTGTGAACAAATTTTGTTTTCACAGGTTACACAAGTTCTAAATTTGCACTTTAGTCTGAATACTTGAGAGCAACGCCATCTAAAAAGATGACCTTTAAAGATGTACACTAAACCTCAACTGCATCCACTTTAATAAAAATATTTGTAATTTAAAGAGCAGCTACTTAAGAGATACAAGCTTCCTTTCTAAACAATAGCAAATACTTATAAATCTTGTGAGGAAGCACTGTCTGTTAAAAACATCAGTAGTCAGGGAGGTTAACATTTTAAAAGCAAAGCAACATAAAGATATCAACAAATGCACTGATTTCTGCTAAATTCTTAAATTTTCAAAGATAATTGTTATGTAAAGGCTCCTACTGTTTAGTTTATAAAAAGGAGACTGTCTCAGCAAGTAAGTGTTAATTCTCCACATGACATCTGACATTTCTGAACACTTAAACTATGTGCAAAGGGCATGGCACTGGACACTCATCTTCCAAACAACTCTCAGAGGCAGGTGCTATTCTTATCCCCATTTTACAGATGGGGAAAGTGACACATAGAGTACAGTGATAAATAACAGACCTGAGATCTGCCTCTGAAGACTATGTTTTTAACTGACTCTGGGTTACACTTTCCAAGTTGAGTAAAAAGCCCTTATGCTGGCACTAAAAACAGCTTCACAAAAACAAAGGAATTTGCTGGACAGTTCTCCTTCAGATTAAGTGGAAATAAGTTTTAAGTTATGACATATTAAAACATATTTAAGAAAACGTCACTTCATTTTAGCTTTCCCTCTATAACTACTTTTATTTTTAGAACAAAGTAAGATTATTTTTAAAAAACAAAAAAGCAAACAAAAGCGGCTAGTGGCTTCCCTCCCTTGAGCTCTCACAGTTTGTGCTATATATCTCTAAAACGCATTTAACATCTTGCATTCAAAGCTAACGTTAAGCAGCCCAAAGATCAGATTAATTACGAAGTCACTGGACCTCTATTATGTGTTCGTGTATTATCTCTCTACCTAATTAGTAAATTTGGCAAAGATACACTATTTCCAGTGCCTGAGTTCCTAACACACAGAAGACACTCAACCGAAAACTGTCAAACAACTAAGATATGGATTCCAGAGAAGCTACAATTAAGCTGATTTTAATCAGCAAGGTTATTTATATTATTTAAAACCCAGGTAGTGATTAAGGAGTATACCACAGTGAGCAAGAAAGTCTTAGAGGCCAGAAGAGCCTAAGTGTGTCTCCTGACTCTGCCACTTACAGTGTGTCATCTTGGGAATCAATCTAACCCCTTTCAAGCTGTCATATCCATACGTGCCAAATGAGGACACTAGGATCTTCCTCACTGAGTTACTGTGAGGAGAAAACCAGAGAATTTATATAAAGCAATGATAGAAGACTGGAAACAGATGTGTTCTCATACTCACTTGCTTACACTAAATTATTTAAGTCCTAGGTATGAATAAAACGTTAATTCTCACCCTGTTCTAGTGGGAGTTTTGGGGACTATTACAAAAGTTTACTCAACAAAAAGCTTAATATGAAAATTTATCTGACCCAATTTTTACATCAGAGTAAAACAGGCCCTTTGGAGAGGGGACGTGGATTTTTCTGCAGAGCAGCCATTATGTATCTTTGTTCCATGGCTTTTAACACGATGAAACTATTTCCCTGTATCACCACCATGCCAATATCGCTCTGTTGCCCACCAGCTGCCATTCCACACATTCATCTGTCTCAGGATGCATAAAGGGACCAAATCCTTGCGATATTCTTTGGATATGTCTGCCAACAGTTAATTTCAATGATAACTTCTCGTCCATAATTTTTTCAACTCAGGAGGGTTAGCTTTGCTCATGGTGTCTACTCTGTGGCCTCCCTTACCCTGTTCTAGTAGATCTGAGTTAACCAGTTAAAAAAAAAACAAAACCTTTGTTGCCTGCATTCCCTGGAGCATCCTCCCAGACTGAACTCTCCTTGACTACTCCTTAAATACCTAAAAAGGATTTCATATTTAGATAATGAATATCTAAGTAATTTTTTTTAATTTTTTTTGAGACGGAGTGTCATTCTTGTTGACCAGGCTGGAGTGCAGTGGTGCAATCTCAGCTCACTGCAACCTCCACCTTCGGGTTTCAAGTTATTCTCCTGCCTCAGCCTCCCGAGTAGCTGGGACTACAGGTGTCCGCCATCATGCCCGGCTAATTTTTGTATTTTCAGTAGAGACAGCGTTTCACCATGTTGGCCAGGCTGGTCTCAAACTCCTGACCTCGTGATCCACCCGCCTCGGCCTACCAAAGTGCTGGGATTACAGATGTGAGCCACTGTGCCCGGCCTTCAAAAGTAATATTTTTATCTCACATTTTACTTGAGTAACTTAGAGAGACTTCAAGTTTTCTAACTTAAGCACTTAAGCTAAAGAAAAGTGTGGCTAGGCATGGTGGCTCACACCTGTAATCCCAGCACTGTGGGAGGCTCAGGTGGCTGGATCACCTGAGGTCAGGAGTTCAAGACCAGCCTGGCCAACATGGCAAAACCCTGTCTCTACTAAAAATACAAAAATCAGCCGGGCGTGGTGGCACACACCTGTAATCCCAGCTACTCAGGAAGCTGAGGAAGGAGAATCGCTTTAACCCAGGAGGTGGAGGCTGCAGTGAGCCGGGATCACGCTGCTGCACTCCAGCCTGTGTGACGGGAGCGAGACTCCAACTCAAAAAAAAAAAAAGGGCGGGGGGGGGTGGAAAGAGTTATTTCTATTGTAATAATTTGAATACACGAACAATTGAGCCAGTCTGGTCATCTTCCTAACTGCCAGCCAGCAACTTTCTCAGGTATGGACCAAGTGAGAATATCCCTCTGGGAATACCTTGCCTCCCTGACTCCTCTTCTAAAACCTATTCCTCTCCTTACGTGGTGGGTACAGGTTGAATATCTCTTATCTGAAATGTATGGGACCAGAAGTGTCTCCAAGATAAAGAGGTAACCTGGGGATGGGACCTGAGCCTAAACACGAAATTCATTATGTTTCATATACACCTTATGCAAAGCCTGAAGGTAACAGGTACATCGATCATGGCCTTTCTAATACGCTGCTGAGAGGCATTAGGAAAAGCAGAAAGTATGGCTGAGAAGACTCATGTGTAGGCTTCTGGAGGTGGCTGGTCTTTCACAGGACTACGGGAAGAAATGGGGAAGCTTGCATTACCTCTGAGAATTGCTGCTAGCCTCCAAGAGCCTAAAACTAGTGTCTATAATGTTAGAAACCTAAAGTAAACAAGCAAAACCCCTCATTTCTAATAGAGGAATAAACAAAAATGCCTACAGTTTCATGGCATTCTGAGAGGTATTCTACTCAGCAAGGACTCTGGAGAAGGGAGGTGTATTATTCCTCTCATCGTCCCTATTTCCCACTGAAGAACTCCTTAGGAAATATCCTACTAGCAGTCTATCAAACGATGAGGTTTTGACCCTTCCAGTTTAAAGAAGCAAGCAAACTGTAGTGTCTGGTGCTCAAATTGTTCTCTTAACCTTAGTGGTGGAGAAACTAGAAGAACCCATTTTAAAAAACAAAAGAAACTAACCTGTTTTGATATTGGTGTCCACACTGCGAACATTCAAAGTCCCAAGAAAAAGAATATAGGAAGAGCTTTTCAATGTGGGTTTCTAGTTTTAAGAGCAGGGGAAATGCAAACACAGGGCTTTCCATATCACCTTCAAAAAGAAAAGGAAGAATTACTGCTCATAATCAATAATGGCAAAAACTAAACCAAAATTGTGAACTATTGTCTTTTCTTACTATATTTACAGCATGAATATGTGTTAATACAGTATGACACAATAAGTCACTCAGAGTTGGGAGAGGGGAAGTTTATAAAGCATTTTTCTAAAAATGTCCATCCTAAAGATTTAATTACCACTTTGATCTCTTTCCTTTTCCTTGGCAGACATTTATGAAAATTTCTTAGGACAAAAAATCCACAAAAGACCCATACTGTCTTCCATCTTTCTAGATTTCTCAGGAAAAAAAAAAAGATCTCGGAACTATGATAAGCCTTAGAGTATATTAAAACAAAAATTGATGAGGTGTGGTGGCTCACACCTTGTAATCCCAGCACACTGGGAGGCCAAGGCAGGAAGACTGCTTGCGTTACCTCTGAGAATTGCTGCCAGCCTCTAGGAACCTAAAACCAGTTTCTATGAACGTTTGAGACCATCCTGGCCAATATAGCGAGGCATTATCTCTACAAAAAATAAAATGAAATAAATTAGCTGAGAGTGGTGCTACACACCTGTAGTCCAAGCTACTTAGGAGGCTAAGGCAGGAGGCTCATTTGAGCCCAGGAATTTGAGGCTGCAGTGAGCTATGATCATGCCGCTGCATACCAGCCTGGGTGACAGAGCGAGACCTCGTCTCTAAAAAAAAAAAAAAAAATTATGGAAATGGTTTGCTACAGATGTTAAAAAATGTAATCAGTGAAACACTGTAGAAACACATCAGAATTGGCCATTTCTATTCTGATCATCTTGTTCCACCTGTGGAGAGGGCGTGGCCACACAATGGTTAAATGACCAGCCTCAACTCTTTGGACTCTTCATCTACCGTTCTTCTTAACTTTTCAGTCTAATCCTTTCCTTTAACAACTTTACAACTGAAGATTTGAATCTTGTTGTCATTGAAAATAACTGAACAGTGAATGCTGGCTTCCAGCTTTGAGACTGGAAAGTAAGGTAAGCAGGAGAATCTACATGTTTCCCATTCTTTTTCCAATTGGTTGCTCTCCTTCCTATTCTCAGAGGAGCTTAGATGCTGCCTTACCGATTTGGCCCAAGAGACTGAGTCCTTCCATCCCTTCCCCTACCCTGCACAGAGCCTCACTTCCATGGTCCAGTTCTCCCCCTAGCCTGGAACTACAGTTGCCTGGAACATGGCCAGGAACAGTCACCTTCCATCCCTTCCCCTACCCTGGACAGAGCCTCACTTCCATGGTCCAGTTCTCCCCCTAGCCTGGAACTACAGTTGCCTGGAACATGGCCAGGAACAGTCACCTTGGCAGGACCACAAGGTAGACAGTAGGTGTTATTACCTAAGCAATAACAATCATGTGGGGTTTCTAAAAATTACTGATTTCCTGAGCCCCTTCCCTGAGATCCTAATTCAAATGTCCCTATGATTGGTATTTACTTTTAAATTCCCTCGGTGCTTTTTAATGCACAATTGAGGTTAAAAATGCTAGATCTGTCTACTGGGAAAAGTACTAGAGAAGCAACTAACAATATGTCCCCTAAATATTCTCCCGGTTCTGAGAACTGCACCCACTCTCAAGAGGTGGAACACCAGCCTACATATTTATATGGAACAGCTCTGCCCTACAATAACTTACCCAGTGGTAGATTCCTAAGTCAAACTACTCAGATTCTCTCTCCCAAGAATATGATCATCCAAGGTAATCAAACAGTATTATATTTCCTTATGATGTACATATTTCTACATGGTAGATGAGTATAATACAAGCGAGTTATACCCTAACCCTAAGCATATTCTATAAATATCAGTAGTTACAAAGGCTATTTTAGTAGTCACCTTTGCGGGATAGTCTCACTGCTACTTTTGAACAAAAACATTAAAAAAAGTTTTTTTGTTTCTTTTTGAGAAGGAGTTTCGCACTTGTTGCTCAGGTTGGAGTGCAATGGCGCAATCTCTGCTCGCTGCAACCACTGCCTCCTGGTTTCAAGCAATTTTCCTGCCTCAGCCTCCCGAGTAGCTGGGATTACAGGCACCTACACCACGTCCGGCTAATTTTTTGTATTTTTAGTAGAGACAGGGTTTCACCATGTTGGCCAGGCTGATCTTGAACTCCTGACCTCAGGTGATCCACCCGCCTCGGCCTCCCAAAGTGCTGGGATTACAGGTGTGAGCCACCGGGCCCAGCCATAAAATAAGTTTTAAAAAGTTTTTTTGTAAGTAGAAATACAAATCAATATCCTAGAAATGAAAATATGCAACACTGTATGCATAAACAGTATGTCATATAGCACAATTTTGTAATTCATTATCAGCCTTTAAATCCGTATTCTATTGTAACTATATATTAACTGAAAAAGCAAACAATTTACATTTCATAATGACAATATAAAATCTTCAGGTCTAAAATACATAAAGTTCTCCATGAATTAAAATATTATGAAAGAGCTCAAAACACATCTTTAAATAAGTTATATGATTACAGAGCATTTCATTAGTAAGATCTTCAGCTAAAATATAGCACCTATCCTTGAATGGGCAGTAAAACAAGAGAGGAATCCTCCTGCACTGAAAAGAGCTGTATGCTTGCCCAATTATTATGATTACACAAAACAATAATTTAAAAATTCCTTCTGTTACATAGAAAACCAGGCCCATGGCGGAGGTGGAGCAAAAGATGTAACTTTGTTCCAAAAATAATTATCAGGGATAAGAAGGGTAGTGACTCAGGCTGGGGGAGAAACCATTCTTTAATTCAACTGGGAACTGAAGTAGGGAGTCTAGAAGGGAAATGGTATCTGCTAAATGCACCACGAAAGCCCTTCCATCTAAACTCTAGGGATCTTACGGAAAAAGCTCCTTTGAAATGAGTATTCGCTCAACAGATCAGTGGCTGGGGGTGATGAACCTGGTGAGAAGTTTTAGAGTGACAGAGTCCTATATCTTGATTGTAGTGAGGGTTACAGAGCTGTACACACTTAAAAACGGTCTTACTATATGTAAATTACACCTTGATATAAAGAAAAAAGAATATTCATTCCATCTGAGGGCCTATCTGATGCATAAATTACAACAGTTCTTCAGGCCTAGAGGAGGAAATGTCAGAAATTTGGCATACGAAAAATCAGACTTTTATAAGAACAGAATAAATATGTATGTATAAGTCCATGAAAAATAAAGCAGATATACAACTATTATATATTAATTTTAATAAAATGTAGGAAAAAAAGTGAAAATTAGGGGGCAGAAGCATGAGTCAAAGAAGTACGTCAAAAGCTGTCCAGCATGTACAAAAGATGCCATGCTTCCCGATATATATATATACACACGCACATACACACACATACACACATATATATATATATATATATATACATTTTTTGAGACGGAGTCTCGCTCTGTCCCCAGGCTGGAATGCAATGGCGTGATCTCAGCTCACTGCAACCTCTGTCTCCCAAGTTCAAGCGATTCTCCTGCCTCAGCCTCCCGAGTAGCTGGAACTACAGGCACACACTACCACGCCCGGCTAATTTTTGTATTTTTAGTAGAGACAGGGTTTCACCATGTTGGCCAGGATGGTCTCAATCTCTTGACCTTGTGATACGCCTGCCTTGGCCTCCCAAAGTGCTGGGATTACAAGCATGAGCCACCAAGCCCAGCCTTATAAAATATATTCTAAGTATATAAATATGTTATAAATATATTGTAAATATATTATAAAATATCATATTTTATAATGATCTGGAAGCATGGTGTCTTTTGTACATGCTAGACAAATCAGTAGCAACAACTGATTTTATTATAAAATATAAATATCATTTTTTAATATAAGTTAAATGTCACTCATTGAGAGAAAAACTAGAAGGCACTGATATTTTACATAATATGGGTTATTACTAATAGGGAGTATCATATTCTGCTACTATAACATTAATAGAAGAGTTAATACAAGGATACAAGAAAAATAAAACAAAAAGCCCTTTCAAAACAAAAACAAACAAAAAAACCCCGCAGCTCCTTTTCGCAATACTAAAAAAATTTAGAAAGGTTTGGACAGACTCTCTAGCTCACTTGCTGCACGCCACTCCCACAGGCCAAAAACCAAGTCACAGAGAACAAAGAGGTCCCATCCTTGTGCCCTTTCTAAAGGCGAGGAAGCTTTCCCAAAAGGCCATCAGCATATTTCTCTTAATATCCACTGGCCAAAACTCTACCACAAGGACATTCCTAAACCAATCACTGGTAGGGAAGTAGAATTACTATGGTTGGTTTAGATGAGATTCTAAACCCTGGGTACATATAACAATCATGTGGGGTTTCTAAAAATTACTGATTTCCTGAGCCCCATCCCTGAGATCCTAATTCAAATGCCCCAGCATTGGCATTTACTTTTAAATTCCCTCGGTGCTTTTTAATGCACAATTGAGGTTAAAAATGCTAGATCTGTCTACTAGGAAACGTACTAGAGAAGCAACTAATGATATGCCCCCTAAAATTCTCCTGGTTCTGAGAACTGCACCCACTCTCAAGAGGTGGAACACCAGCCTACATATTTATATGGAACAGCTCTGCCCTACAATAACTTACCCAGTGGTAGATTCCTAAGTCAAACTACTCAGATTCTCTCTCCCAAGAATATGATCATCCAAGGTAATCAAACAGTATTATATTTCCTTATGAGGTACATATTTCTATATGGTAGATGAGTATAATACAAGTAAGTTTTACCAATTACTTACCTAATGTGCATCTAAGCTGGGGCTGAAGGCTAATAAAAATTTCATCTCTAACTTCATTCAGACAGGTCTCTATCTCTGCAAATATTTCTGAGGTAAGTTTTTTACAATCTCCATCTAAGAAAATACAGAGAACATTATCAATTCCTCATCAATGTATATCTTCCCACAGAAAACTGACACATTCCCAAGAATGAAAGCTGAGTCAGTAAGTTTTGCAAACAGACAAAAAGCAAAACACAAAATTTCCTTAATTCTTTCTCTGTGGTATACCATATATTCCCTTAATATATGCTATCAGCACAATATCATTAGTACTTACTGAATGGGTAAAATCTCAGTGAAAGCCTTTCTCACCCAAATAATCACAGGTCTAGTAAAATAACTAACCTTTCAGATACTATGTCTATCTCTAAAACAGCTAAAGTTACCTCCTTATGTGCAATTACTTATACTACAAATGATGTCTAACCATTTATTCCACTCTGTGTAACTTTTATTGAACTTAGCCAGGTCATAGGAACAGATAAATTTATAAGGAGTCTTAATAAAGTTACAATTATTTCCCAAACTAATATCTCATATTTCCCTTCTATGTCATTTTTGAGGGGTTTGAAGGGGTCTTCAGTGGCAACATAGTGTTTATCCGGTTCCACATCCTGCTTTGTCTACACAAATGTGCTTCATTAAAAACTGACCAGCCTGGGCAACATAGTGAAACCCCTATCTCTTAGAAAAAAAGCTGGGTATGGTGGTACCCACCCGTAGTCCCAGCTACTCAGGAGGCTGAGGTGGGAGGATCATTTGAGCCCAGGAGGGTTAGGGTTCTACAAGCTGCAGTGAGCTGTGATTGTACTACTGCACTCCAGCCTGGGCAAGTGAGATGCTCTCTCAAAAAACAAAAACAAAAACAAAACAACAACAACAAAAAATCTGGCTAGTTATTATACAGTGACTGAAACATAGCACTTGTGTGTGTGTTTGTGTGTTTGGAGACAGGGTCTTGCTATGTTGCCTGGGCTGGTCATTAACTCCTGGGCTCAAGCCATCTTGCAGCCTCAACCTCCTGAGTAGCTGGGCTTACAGGCGCATGCCACTATATTCAGCTGAAACATCGCTTTATTAATCATTCTCCTATTGCCAGACATTTTAGTTGTTTCTTTTTTCACTATTATAAATACTATTGTGATAAATACCTTTGGGCACACATATCTATGTTTTTGATCACTTCTTTATGGTAATATTTATTATCTTCAAAATGGAATTACTGTGACAAGAAACTATCCAAGATTAATAAGAAAATTATTTTGAATAAAAGACTCTACATGCATCTGACTCTACTTACTCTTAAGCTACAAATAGATCTTTTCACTCACATCTCTTATAAATAATTCATACAGCCTGATCACACTCTGCTTATATGTTTCCCTAATGAAATATCTGGATTCTCCTGTAATATGAAATAAGCATTAACCAGAATTTTTGTTATTTGACCATGCCAAAAAAAAAAACTTACATTGCAAAGTAATGCAGCTCAAACATATAATTAACCAGATTATAAAAACTACAATTATTCTGTAAAAAATTAGTAACAGATTAAAAACATAAAATTAAAGTTAATTCCAATATTGAACTGCTGCTCTTCTGCAGCAAACAACTGAACTGTCACCTACTTAACACTGGGGTTTCTGTAATTAGAGAAAGCAGAAATAGAAGAAAAGTCAAAGGCAAAATGCTTGTGAGAAACTGAATTTTAAAAATTGCAAAAAACTGTAAATGACTGACACACACAAAAAAGTTCAGTCTCAAAGAAAACCTACACTGAAACAAAATATTTCTTACCTAACAAAACCATAACGTCTTGAATGTTCTAACCAAAGGTGGTTAGAAAACACTGAGGTATTTTTTCTACATAATGAAAATGGAATTATATATTGGTACAACCATTCTGAAAACTGTATTCAGCAAGACCTTTAATATTCATATTCTAATATCTTTCCTAGGAAACTAGTCAGTAATTAATTCAAAAGATATATGGATATTTGTCCTGGTGTTAATTCACAACAGCAAAAACTAGTAACAGCCTGAATGGTTAACAAGAGGGAAACGATGTATAAGATCCATATAAAAGACTGTATGACCAAACTCAAAATTTTTAGCACATTAATGAATAAGAAAATATCTACAATGTCAAGCAAAGAAAGCTTGGTATGATGTCACATCTGTCCCCAAAATATATATGGCCAAGTAAGATCAGAAAAAATATGCATCAAGACACTTCAAAAGAAGTTGAATAAAAGTGAGGATTCTTGCCCTACAAGGTAGCCATAATAATTTAAAAAGTATGAGTGCTGGGTTAGACAAAGTAACCAAGAGAATAAAATTGAGAGTTAAGGAACAGCTGCACACATACATGATATGTTGATACATGCTAGAGGTGGCATGGCAGATCAAGTGAGAAAATAAAGTGGAGCTACAAAAACTGGCTATGCAAATGGGAAAAAAATGGATCCTTACCTCATACCACACATCAATATGAATTCCAACTGAATGAGAAATTTCAATGTCAAAAGCAAAACTTTATAACTTTTCAGTTAAAATATAGGTGAATGATTTTCTGACCTTGGGAATAGTAATAATTTCTTTAAAAAGCCACAAACATTACTAGCTCCAAATGAAAAGATAAAGACTTCCCTATAAATCAAGACAGTTTTTAAAAAGTAAAAACACAAGCTGCAAACTGGGAGCAGATTCAGCAACACATCTGATGTAACTCTAGCAACAATGATACAAGGAACAAACTCATACAAATCAATTAAAACGTGACAATCAACAGAACAGAACAAATAGGGATAAGATACAAAAGGCATTTCACAGAAGAGGGAACAAATATGAGCAATATATACACATAGAGCCGACAACCTCTTCAAAATGTGGAAACGGCAAATCAAGATCACAGACCATTTTATACCACTCAAATAGCAAAAATCTCAAAAGTGTGAAAATAAACCAAGAAGAATATATGGATCAGGAAGACCTCTTATATACACTATTAATGGGAGAATTGCTTGGTACAACCACTTTGGAAAACAATTGTCATTATCTTGTAAATTTGGACACGAAAGTCTATAATTTTCCATTCCTTTGTTATACAGAAGGGAAACTCATACTGTGCCCCAGGAGACTTGCCCCCCAAATGGTCACAGCAGCAGCATTTATAATGGCAAAAAAACCCCACTGTCCACTGACAGGTAGATGAATATTCTGTTATATTTACAAAATGGAAGTATTATGTAGCAATGAAAAATCAATGAGCCACAACTATAAACAGCCCCATAAATTTTTACAACAAGAAAAAAAGGTCCCAGAAGATCAAAACAAACTAAATTAGGCAATACGAAGTGGTCCCTCTTCATCCGTGTTTTGCTTCCTATGGTTTCAGTTACCTGAACTCAACCGTGGTCTGAAAATATTAAGCGGAAAATTCCAGAAACAATTTATAAGCTTTAAATTTCATGCCATTCTGAGTAGCATCATGAACTCTCTTGCTGTCCTGCTGTGTTCCACTGGCAACGTGAATCTTCCCTTCGTCTAATGTGTCCATGCTGTCTACACTCCTGCCTGTGGTTCACTTAGCAGCCATCTTGGTGATGCGATCTATTGCCATGGTATTGCAGTGCTTGTGTTCAAGCAACCCTTATTTGACTTAATAATGGCCCCAAAGCACGAGCATAGTAATGCTGGCAATTCAGATATGCCAAAGAGAAGCTGTAAAATGCTTCTCTAAGTAAAAAGGTCAAAGTTCTCAACTTAAAGAAAAAAATCATATGCTGAGGTTGCTGAGATCTAAGAACAAATCTCTTATCCATGAAACTGCGAAGAAAGAAAAAGAAATTTGTGCTAATTTTGCTGTTGCATCTCAACTGCTCAAGTTATGGCCACAGTGCCTGATAAGTGTTAAGATGGAAAAAGCATTCAATTTGTGGGTGGAAGACACGATCAGAAACAAATGTTCCAACTGACAGCAACATGTTGAGCCACATTTACTTTACTTTTTTTTTTTTTTTTTTTTTTTTGAGACAGAGTCTCATTCTATCACCCAGGCAGGTTGGAGTGCAGTGGCGTGATCCCAGGTTCAAGTGATTGTTCAACTTCCACCTCCTGGGTTCAAGCAATTCTCCTGCCTCAACCTCCCAGAGTAGCTGTGACTACAGGCGTGTGCCACCATAGCCAGCCAATTTTTGTATTTTTTAGTAGAGATGGGGTTTCACCATGTTGGCCAGGCTGGTCTCGAACTCTTGACCTCATGAGATCTGCCCGCTTCAGCTTCCTAAAGTGCTGGGATTACAGATGTGAGCCACTGCACCTGGCCCACATTTAATTTACTCTTAATTAAACTTGATCATAATTATGTATGTATAGGGAAAAACATTGTATATACAGGGTTCAGTACCATCCATCCCCCATTATCTGAGAGGGATACCTTCCAAGACCCCAGTGGATGCCTAAAACCTTGGATAGTAACTAAACATTTTATATATTATGCTTTTTCCTATAACTACATACCTATGATCAAGTTTTATAATTAGGCATAGTAAGATTAAAACTAATAATAAAATACAACAATTATAACAATATGCTGTAATGAAAGTTATGTGAATGTGGTCTCCCTCTCTCTCAAAATATATTACTGTACTATACTCATCTACTTTCAGACCTCGGGTTAAATGAAACCAAGAAAAGTACAACTACAATAAGGGGAGACTACTGTATACTGTTTAGATAAACACATGTAAGAAAAACTAAGAAAAGATGGAATGATGAAACACATTTCAGATAATGATTACTTATGGGGGGGAGGTAGAGAATGGGATGGGAGGAAACGCATAGGTAAATGTAAGTTATTGGGAATGTTTTAATTCTTCCTGTGTTGGGAGGTGGGTTCATAAGTATCCTATTTTACAGAGAATAAAATGAAAAACATATCCCTTATTGTGCCAAGAGATCTTAGGAGGTTGTGTGATTATGGGTGATTTTTACTCACTTCTTCATTCTGCTTTTCAGTAGTTTAAACACTTAAAACTAACCACTATTATCCTGACACCCTGAGACACAAGCACAGTCTTAGAGTTTTGAAAAAGACTGCCTAGGCCAGGTATGGTGGCTCACACCTGTAATTTCAGCACTTTGGGAGGCCAAGGCAGGCAGATCATGAGGTCTGGAGTTCAAGACCAGCCTGACCAACATGGTGAAACCCTGTCTCTACTAAAAATACAAAAATTAGCTGGGCCTGGTGGTGGGCGCCTGTAGTCCCAGCTACTTGGGAGGCTGAGGCAGAAGAATTGCTTGAACCTGAGAGGCGGAGGTTGCAGTGAGCTGAGATCATGCCATCGCACTCCAGCCTGGGCAACAGAGTGAGGCTCTGTCTTAAAAAAAAAAAAAAAAAAAAAAAAATCACAATAGCAAAGACTTGGAACCAACCCAAATGCCCATCAATGATAGACTGGATAAAGAAAATGTGGCACATATACACCATAGAATACTATGCAGCCATAAAAAAGGATGAGTTCATGTCCTTTGCAGGGACATGGATAAAGCTGGAAACCATCATTCTCAGCAAACTAACACAAGAACAAAAAACCAAACACCATATATTCTCACTCATAAGTGACAGTTGAACAATGAGAACACATGGACACAGGGAGGGGAACATCACACACTGGGGCCTGATGGGGAATGGAGGGGTTGGGGAAGGACAGCATTAGGAGAAATACCTAATATAGGTGACGGGTTGATGGGTGCAACAAACCACCATGGCACACGTATACCTATGTAACAAAACTGCACGTTCTGCACATGTACCCCAGAACTTAAAGTATAAAAAAAAAAAACAAAAAAACTGCCTTTTGGGCAGTCAGGATAATGTAACTGGTATTATCTCAAGCTTCGTGATACTGTTCCTGGGCTCCTTGCTCCCAGGCCTCCAGGAAACAGAAGCAATGGATGACATCTTTCCCACATGCTGGGAGACAAAACTCAACATTAATATTTTTAAGAATTAAAGACAAGTAGGCTGGAATGGTGACTCATGCCTGTAATCCCAGCACTTTGGGAGGCTGAGGCGGGAAGGGTGCTTGCACCCAGGAAATCGAGTCCAGCCTGGGCAAGACAGTGGGGCCACCATCTCACTATCTTAGCTGGCTATGGTGGTGCACGACTGTAGTTCCAGCTACTTGGGAGACTGAGGTGGGAGGCCCACCTGAGCCAGGGAAGTCAAGGCTGCAAGGAGACATGATCATGCCACTGCACTCCAGCCTGGGTGACAGAATGAGACCCTGACTCCAGATGAATAAATAAGTAAATAAAAATAAAATATTAGTACCAACCTTTAACACCACTCAATTGACTGGTATATAGAAGTGTATTTGCTTGATTATATTTTGTAAGCAACCGCCAGAATATAGATTCCTCCTTCGAGCACAGTCCAGTCACGGTGTTCTTTAACTCTTCCGAGTGCACCAAAGCTGACAGGATACAGTCTAACCAACAGAGAGCATAAGCATTTTTCCACTGGACACATAAAGCCTGGGGAAATGATGTACATTTGCTCTCCAGTGGCATTTCCAGTTTAGATGTACATCCTTCATTTTGAGGGGAAGGTCTGCCAGTTCCAGAGACATCAACTGTAGCAGGATCTTTTGTAGTAGCCATGTCAACAGTATCAGCTTCCAAAATCTCATTCCGCTCCAAGGAATCAGCTGTCCTAATTGGATTCTGTTGACCACTACTATCAGGTAAGTTTGACGAGGTTTCGTCATATACTTCTCCATTATGTTTGCTGTTCAAAACTTTTCCACCGTCAATAGCAATATAATTTCTAGTCTTTTTGGAATTTGCTAAAAGAAGTGAATCCTTATAGCTGCTTTCTAAGCTCTTCCTTTTCTGAGGCTTATGTGGAGTGTGACATTCTTCCAAATCAGGAGAAATTAGGTTATTAAGTGATTTAGAGCCCAAAGGATAGATGCACTGGAAAGTAAAAATAAAATGATAAAAACTACACAAATTCAAATAACTTCATGTTTTATAGTTTTCATATCATGAAAAACATGTATAGAATGTTAGCATTGATTTGATGACAGGTTATATTTATACACATAAATTTGAAAAAATTAGAGACAAACAACTACTTAATCAAAAGTTTGGCCTCCAAAAGAATAATTTTTTTCAGGTTAATTTGAACAATCAAGGGTTTAATCTGAGTTACAAAAGGGTAAGCTAATAAGGAAAACATATTTTTGCTTTAATAAAAATCTAATGTTAAGTGAATTTAAAATTTTCAACAACGTAAAGAAACACTATAATGAATGTTACTCTTTTGGGACAGACACTACATTATACTACACATTTTAAAAGTATTTTCAAATTAAAAGTGCACAGAGTAATTTCTGTGTTTCCTATATTTTGAAACTGAATATGCATCTCATAGCACTGCTGTTTTACATCTTTATTGGGTTTAGAGTCCAAGTGGCTGAATTTTAATGACTTCATGAAATCTTACTGTGCATTAACACAATTTATGCCAAATAACAACAATGTAAACATATCACTAAAAGAATCAGTGGGTCTTTCCTAAGTTTAAAAACTACCAGAATATTTTAAATAACAAATTCAAGAACCCTCTACACTAAAGGTCTGCTTTTAAAATATGCCTTCTTTTTCAGGTGGGCATGGCAGTACACTCCCGTATTCCCAGCTACTTGGGAGGCTGAGATGGGAGGATTGCTTAAGCCCAGGAGTTGGAGGCTGCAATGAGCTATGATTGCCCCACTCTACTGCTCCAGCCTGGGCAACAGAGCAAGACCCTGTCTCTAAAATAATAATAATAATAATAATAATAGTTAATTAATGCCTTCTTTTACACAAGTATGGTAGACTACTATCTTGATGGCCCTCCCTATGAACTAGAGAACTACACCTCCTGGTAATTCATGCCCTCCTGCAGCCAGTCCCTACACTGTACAGAGTTGGCTTGGCCCTGTGACTAGCTTTGATGGAACATTAGCACACATGATATACATAGAGGCCTGATAAGCACTGGCTCAAGAGGACAAGCCCTTCTTCTGGAACACTCCTTCTTAGTCCCAGCTATCACACTGTGAAGAGCCCAGCTGGCCTCATGGAGAGAACCTCATGGAAAATAACTGAGACCCCTGGCTGACTATTTGAACTCAACTTCCAGCTAGCAGCTAGTACCAACTGCCAGCCATGTGGACATTTCAGCTGTCCCAGCTGACATGGTGTGATGTGTAAGAATTCCCTAGTCAACTCACATAATCATGTGAAATAATAAATGGAGCCATTAAAATTTTTTTTTGAGACAGGGTCTGGCTCTGTTATCCAGGCTGGAGTATAGTGGCACGATCCCAGCTCACTGCAACCTCTGCCTCCTGGGATCAAGAGATCCTACAACCTTAGCCTCCCAAGTAGCTGGTGCTAAAGGCGCCTGCCACGGTATTTTCTGTAGAGACAAGGTTTCACCACGTTGCCCAGGCTGCTCTCAAACTCCTGGGTTCAAGCAATCTGCCTGCCTCGGCCTCCCAAAGTGCTGGAGTTCCAGATGTGAGCCACCATGCCCAGCCACCATTAAAATTTTTGAGCGACTAAGTTTCAAGGTGATTCGTTTCACACCAACAGATAACTGAAATGCACTAAATCCCCTCAGATAGCCTCTTCTACCAATTGAACATTACACTCATAATACTGCACTTACTATGAAATTCTTTAGTATAAATGGACAAGTTCTAGATTCTTCTGACTTTCCAACTAGCTGCAGTCACCATCAACTAACAACCTGTCAACATGATGCTTTGAGATTACTTCCTAAGTCCTATCATATGTCAGAAAACTGAGAATCCTTTAAAAATAGCATATATGTATTTAAAGCATCATAAAAAGGTACGTATCCAAAAAAAACTCAAAAGCAGAATCTTGAAAAGGTACCTGCACACCCACATTCACTGCAGCATTATTCACAATTCCCAAAAAGTGAAAGCAACTCAAACATCTGCAGATAGGTGAATGGATAAAGAAAATGTGGCATACACATAATGTGGAATATTACTCAACCTTAAAAGTAAGAAACTCCTCATGTCCTTTGCAGAGACATGGATGAAGCTGGAAACCATCATTCTCAGCAAACTAACACAGGAACAGAAAACCAAACACCGCATGTTCTCACTCGTAAGTGGGAGCTGAACAATGAGAACACACGGACACAGAGAGGGGAACATCACACACCGGGGCCTGTCGGCGGGTAGGGGGCTAGGGGAGGGATAGCATTAGGAGAAATACCTAACGTAGATGACAGGCTGACAGGTGCAACAAACCACCATGGCACGTGTATACCTATGTAACAAGCCTGCACGTTCTGCACATGTATCCCAGAACTTAAAGTATAATAAAATAAATAAATAAACAGAAATAAACTGGAGATTAAGACTTAAAAAAGAAAAGGAACTCCTAACTGTATATTCATCCATGCTACAACATGGATGAATCTTGAGGCCATTATGCCAAGTGAAATAAGCCAGTCACAAAAAAGGCAAATACTGTATGATTCCGTTTATATGAGGTACTGAGTCTGATTCATAGAAACATAAACTAGAGGCCGGGTACAGTGGCTCAAGCCTGTAATCCCAGCACTTTGGGAGGCTGAGGCAGGCAGAACACCTGAGGTCAGGAGTTCGAGACCAGCCTGGCCAACATGGTGAAACCCCCGTCTCTACTAAAAATACAAAAAAAAAAAAAAAAAAAAAAATTAGCCAGGCATGGTGGTGCACCCCTGTAGTCCCAGCTACTCAGGAGGCTGAGGGAGGAGAACTGCTTGAACCCGCAGGCAGAAGTTGCAGCGAGCCGAGATCATGCCACTACACTCCAGCCTGGGCGACAGAGACTCCATCTCAAAAGAAAAAAAAAGAAAAGAAACAGAAACTAGAATGGTTGCCAGAAGCTGGGGGAGAGGAAAATGGGAAGTGGTTGTTTAATGGGTACAGAGTTTCAGTTTTGCAAGATGAAAAAAGTTCTAGAGATCTGCTGCACAAGTGAATATACCTAATACTCCTGAACTCTATACATAAAAATGGTTAAGTTGATGAATTTTTTTACAATTTAAAAATTAATACAAATTTTTTTAAGAGAAAAAAAAATCCTGAGACGAAAACCCTTTGTGAATCTCAAGTAGTCAAGATCATGGTATATGCATCCTACTTACACCTCTACTTTATTCAAAACATAATAAACCCTTGGTTCCAAAGGAATGCATATTAAAAAAAAAAAAAGAACAAAACAGTAATAAACCATAAGAGGCCCCGGGACTGCAAAACTTAGTGATTTCCACCCACACTCTTCGCAAGTGTCTTCACTGACTTTTCTCTATATAATCTGTGCTCCCACCATAGGCCAATCTGTAATATAATTTGTCCTTGCCCTGATTTTTCCCTTATAAATTAATGATTTCAGATTTTTATCTTTTTTCTTTTTATAAAATTTTGTTGCCTCTTTCCACATGTTCTAAATATTTGTATCTCTGTATACCTGACTTGTTTCTATTTACAGTGAACATGTATCATTTTTATAACTAGAATAAAGCTTTTAAGCTGTCTTCAAAAAAGTCATAAAAATATACACAAAGCATTAGTATTTTAGCCCAGCGCAACCATCTAGTATCATTTAAAATCCAATGCTGAAAAAAACCTAATCCTGTCTCTTTCACTGAGTTTTGGAGCAGCTTAAGTAAATTCCTGTACTTATTCTTGTGAAATAGGAAAAAGGAAAACATACCATGTCTTCTTATACTTGTATAAGTAATTATCAACAAGGTATGGCCAAAGACAAATTATAATAATAATGTACTCATTTTACAAATGGAGAAAACAAAAAAAGTTTTCTTTGATTACTCAACATTAATGATTTAAAATTTTTATTATAAATTTCATGGGTTTTTAAAAAAGACTAATTAAATGTTCCAAAGTAAACGCTGAATGATAGACTACTCCACGAAAAAAAAAAAGTTAAAACTTCCTACTGTTTAAAAACACTTGAGAGTTTCAATTTGGTATAATTTTGGACCAGTCTTGAATATTAGTGTTTACAAATCAAGGAACATTTTAATGTAAATACCTGACTAAAAGAGGTTTTCCAAATGGTTCTTTGCAATTTACAGCAGAGTAAACTCCAAATTTTATAACGGAACTCTTTGGAAATAATTTGATTCAGAGGACTTATACAGGGATCAGCAAAGTTTACTGATAAAGGGCTAGATAATAAATATTTAGATTTTATGAGCTACATAGTCTGTCACAACTACCCAACTCTGTTGTTGTATGCAAAAGAAGCCATGAACAATACATAAATGATTGAGCATGGCTATGTTCCGGTAAAACTTTATTTATGAACACTGAAATTTGAATTTCATTTAATTTTCACATATTATGAAAGGGTATTCTTCTTTTGATTTATTTATTTATTTATTTATTTATTTATTTATTTTGAGATAGAGTCTCCTCTGTCGCCCAGGCTGGAGTGCAGTGGCTCAAATCTTGGCTCACTGCAACTTCTGCCACTGGCTTCAAGCGACTCTCCTGCCTCAGCCTCCCAAGTAGCTGGGATTACAGGCATATGCCACCACACCCGGCTATTTTGTATTTTTAGTAGAGACAGGTTTTCACCATGTTGGCCAGGCTGGTCTCGAACTCCTGACCTCAAGAGAATCCACCCACCTTGGCCTCCCAAAGTGCTGGGATTACAGGTGTGAAACACTGCACCTGGCCCTTCTTTTGATTTTTTCTGGCATTTTTTATTTTGATATTTTCCTAACCATTTAAAAAACAAAAAAATCATTCCTTGTTTGTGCATCATACAAAATGTCTGCTCACTCCTGGTGTAAACCAATCTACTTCATAAAGTACACTGGGCTCTCATTGCTGACTAGAAATTAAAAAAATAATAATAAATTACTCATGTTCCTTTTTAACATTTCCAAAGTATATACTTAAAATTCTTGATTATATATTTTTTGCTTTATCACTTGAAAAAGAATGCTTCAAAAACCAAAACTCCGGGCTGGGCGTGGTGGCTCACACCTGTAACCCCAGCATTTTGGGAGGCCGAGGTGGGTGGATCACCTGAGGTCAGGAAATCAAGCCCATCCTGGCCATAGTGAAACCCCGTCTCTACTAAAAATACAAAAATTAGCTGGGCTGGGTGGCACATGCCTGTAATCTCACCTACTGAGGAGGCTGAGGCAGGAGAATCCCTTGAACCAGGGAGTCGGAGGTTGCGGTGAGCCGAGATCGCACCACTGCACTCCAGCCTCGTGACAGAGCGAGACTCCGTCTCAAAAAAAAAAAAAAAAAAAACAAAAAACAAAAAACCAACTAAAAATCTATGTAGTACATCTAACTTTAATAGCCAAAAACCTAACTCCTGGGGACAAGGACTTCTCTATTCTTACAGTCCTGATCTTCTCCCCAAAACCTTGCTCTTCCAAGTCTTCCCAGCTCAGTAATTCACGATTCCATTCTTCTAATTTTTCAAGCCAAAAATCTTGGAACTATCCTTGATTCCTCTTTCCAACCCCATATCCCAATCTTTCAGCAAATCCTGTTGGCTTTACCTTCAAAGTATAAATAAACTCCAACCATGCCTCAACACCTCTGCCACCACCCTCTCCCCCAGAATACTGCAACTGCCTTCAACTAGTCCAAAGGGAAAAAAGCTTTTTTTCCTTTCTACTTATCAATCTAAATAAAAAGAAAAGAGAAGCTTCTAAAAAGAAAGTGACATTTATTCAGGAATAAAGTATTCCAATGGGAATACACATGCCATAGTAAACTGTGTGTGTTCAGGGAGGTAAGGGAAGACAAAAGGTTTTTAAAGGAAAATAAGGAGGATCACATACTTGTTTTGAGATAATTACCCTTGGCTACAAGGATCAATAACAAGGATGACACCCGTCCACAGATGGACCAGGCAGTTGCTGGGCAGATGTCCTTGCAGAAGTATTTTCTGTGTATTTATTTCATGATGTATTTTCTGTGTATTTCAGAAGTATTTCATGATGGCCTTTGTGCAAGGGTGTGGTTTTTGCAGAGTCTTTTGAGATATTTTGGTATTTATGCATGAAAGCTCTCTCTTCATAGCCTTTCCTGGATCTATTTGTCTTTTTTTTTTCTTTTAATAGAGACAGGGTCTCACACTCTGTCATCCTGACTGGAATGCAGTGGCACAATCACAGCTCACTGCAGCCTGGACCTCCTGGGCATGGTGCCGTGCACCCGTAGTCCCCCTCCCGGGTAGCTGGGGCTACAGACTCACACCACCATGCCCAGCTAATTTAAATTTTTTTTTTTGTAGAGACAAGGCCACACTATGTTGCATGGGCTGGTCTCCAATTCCTGGGATCAAGCAATCCTCCTGCCTCAGCCTCCCAAAGTGTTGGGATTACAGTTGTCAGCCACTGTGCCTGGCCAGTCAGGATTTTTTTTTCTTTTTTAACACAAGTGACTCCATTTTGATTATGACAATTTTCACATATTCTATCCTCCCAGCACACTTTTGTGACCAGATGTGTGGGGGCTTTTTCCCCACACCAAGCAATTCTCCAGAGGACACCAAATGGGTATCCTATAATCCAATTCCATTTGGATGTTATCTACCTAGAGACCATGTCAGATCCTACAGGTTGAGGGCTCAGTCCCATGACTCCCTCCACTTCAGATGCCAATCCCACATCCAGGCCACCAGTACATCTGACTGACTGGCTACAAAGGTTCCCACTCCCCCTTCTTGGGCATAACTAGTTTGCAAGGACAGCTCGCAGAACTCAAACAAACACTTACTTATGTTTATTGGTTTATCCTAAAGGATATTATAAAGGGTATAGATGAAGAAATGAGTAGGGCAAGGTATGGGACAGAAGAGGTATGAAGCTTCCACTTCCTCTAAGCATACCACCTCCTACACGGCACCAGCCCCCAGCAACCCACTCATTAAATCCAAATCTTGATATTTTTATACAGCTTGATCTCCAGCCCCTCCACTCCTTTCCTGGAGGCCTGTACGTGGGGCTAAAAGTTCTAACCCGTTAATTCTCTAATCATGTGGTCTTTCCAGCTACTTGCCCCATCTGAGGCTATCTACGGCTCCATCCTAAGTCACCACAATAGTATGAACCCCGGTGTTAGCAAACAGGCTCATTCTGAATAACAGGACACTCTTATCATTCAGGAAATTCCAAGACTTTTAGCTCTGTAACGGAAACCATAGACAAGGACCAAATATAATTCATATTATACTATAACTAATCTCCCTGCTTCAGGTCTTGCCCATTACATATATTTTCAACAGTGCAGCCACAGTAATGCTTTTAACACTGAAGTCAACTTATGTCACTCCTCTGCCAACATCTCTGCCATGGTTCCTGGTTTCACCCATAGTAAAAGCCAGAAAGCTTACAATGGCTTATAAGACCCTACTTGGTCCAGCTCCCCCATTATTTTTCTGATCCACCTTCTATCGCTCTGCTGCTTTCATTGCAGTAGCACAAACATGACAGGCAGCCTCCATTCTCTCAGGGCCTTCCTGGAACTTGCTTCCCCTGCCTAGAAAGCTCACTGCTCTTCACCTCTTTCAGGCTTTTGCTCGAATTGCACTTTTCATTGAAGCGTTCCCCTCACCATCCTATTTAAAATTGCAAACTCCCCCTACTTTGGCATTCCAGTCCCTACTGCCTTATTTTTCTCCACAGCACTTTTTATCACCTGACAGAAAAACACATACTTGTTCACTGTCTTTCCCACTCTATGACATAACTTCCTTAAGGGCAAGAAATTTTTGTTTTATTATTGTATCCTAACATTGTATCTGCAACAGTGCCAAACAGTGACACTCATAAAAAAAATTACTGAATATAAACATAAAGAAATTTATATTTGTAGACACGCCTGGGATTACTTTACTTCAAATTATACCCAGCATAAGTATCTATTAACAACCATGTGATTTAGTCTAGTATTTTCCAAACCTGGCTGATGATGATCAGACTCATCCTCAAATGTTACAAAACCACAGAATTCTGGGCCAACTCTATTGAATCAGCATCTGGGGGTGATACTCAGAAATTTATTAAAAGCACTCCAGGTAATTCTGATGAACTGCTAATTTTTTGCTGGAATAAACAGATCTGAAATTAGAAGTCTGTATTCCAACCACAGCTCTGCCACTGTATCAGGATCTTATGTTCCCAAACCCTCTGAAATCAATTTATTTTCTTATTCATGAAATAGGAATACAAATCTTGCAAAGTTCTGAGAATTAAAAGTGTATGAGACAGTCTCATAAACTGTCAAATACAATAAAATGTGGAGTATTACAGAATTTAATGAGCTGCTATATAAAAGCCGTACCAGTCGGTACAAATTACTATAATTCTAAAAGCGATTTAGAGCTTCTAAAAGGATCTTTTAGAATTTACAAGATTCTATACTCTCTTTAGTTCAGAGTATATATACTGGTTTTGGACTAACCAATTTCCAAAATACTCTTCCAGGTACATTAGAAATTCATAACTTTTCCCATCAGTTGCAAAGATAAACCAAAGAGATGAGAGAGTAACTACTATATGCTAATAGCTAACAAGGACCTCCAAAAGGTTAAAAAAAAAGAAAAAAACCTTGAAATGTATTTTCTCCTCTCGCAAATCAAATGGCAATAAAAACGAACATCTTTACGCAACCAAGTAAAGGTAGGTGGAAAAATAACATTGTATACCAGACAGACTTACAAACTGAGATTACATATTAAAAATCTAGTCTAAAAAACAAAAAATGAGTAAACTTTTAAAACAATTAATAAAAAAGCAAAAGAAAAAAGAAAAATCTTATATATACTATATAAGATTAATACTTTACCTGCAGATCCTCACACAAAAAGATAGATTCTTGAAAACTAATTCGGTAAGTCTTTAAGGCTTTTAACTTTCCCTTCTCTCTACAAGCAGGGCAATACTCATCTGATGGAACTTTAGCTGAATCAAAATTCTAAAAGAGAAATAAAGCAAATTAAAATATAGACATTCCTAGAATATATCAAAATATTAAAAGTTAAATGGAAAGGTAACCAGAAAAAATTATAATTTTCAATTACAAGTATCCTGACAAGGTATTTTAAACATGGCAAACAAAAGAAATGCATATAAGCCTTTAAATACAGCTATTATTCCAAAAAGAATTATGTTATAGTTTTAAATATTAAATTTTATGTGTTAAGAATAGTATCAATTTTATTTGCAAGGAAAAAAGTAACATCAATTACCCGGGAGAATTTATGTACCATATTTTCAAAGAACAGTAAATCATAAGGTCTATGTTTTATTTCCACTTTCATGTATCAATAAAACACAGAAAGGTAAACACATTAAAACAATCTTTCGCCATTACTGTAAGATTTCCGTGGAAGACACAATTTTTTAGAAGTTAACTGGTAACATCAAAATTGAATTTAAGTCTCAAAAATAGAGAAAAAAAAAAAACTTTGCACTCAGGCAAAAAATAAGTTCACTAACTTTTCCCAAATACCCCACCATGTGGAGTGAAGATATCCCTATATCAGTCCCTGGTCCAATCACTGGCAAACCATTTCCAATCTTCGGAGAATCCATCATTCCGAGTCATTGGCTAATTTATGTCACTTGAGACATGTCAATATCACTAAGGATTTTTTCAATGAACCCTGGAAAAAAAAAGTCAATAGACAATTAAATAAAAATTCTATTTACTATAAAAAAGAACCATGCTATTTTATAAGACGTATATAGTAAGCAGATTTTGAGGGCTATATGTCCTAGAATAAACATATTCTAAAATTATAATCTTGAAGTGAAAATGATACCTATATTTATAAACCCAGCAAATTTGTGAACAGAGGGTAGTGACTGGCAACAGGACCGGTTTTCATAGCAGACTCATTTGTCAACAAATTAAATAAAACTTGTAGTAGAGGCAGCTACTATTTAAAGCAAACTATATTGACCAGAATTTGAAAGCCTAACTTTTTAGAGTCTATGTACAATTTGAAACAAATATGCCAGCATTATACTGAGAAAAACCCCAGATCCATTGTGCCACTATTTGACAGGAACAAAAGAACCAGTGAACCATATATTCCATACATTCCTATTGTTTTCAACTACCAACATTAATACTTCACCAGTTGGGAAAAATACTACTTATTAAAAGCTGCTAACAAATTATTATTTGTAAATGATCTAATTTACACCACATTTAACTTATTTTGTTATCTGAACAAAAATATAAACACTGTCCTAGTACAAATTACATATGTGGCAAGCTTGTTTTGAGTGCAGTCCTATGGTGCAGAACCACATTTAACAGAGTAAAAATTACAAGAGACCGGAGCTCAGTGTAAGCAAAAAATAATTAAGAGCATTTTAATTGTGGGTTCACAATGATAGGAAAATCAAATACAGGAGACCTTTAGGGCAGAGGAGAATTACCACTTAGCAGAAATGTTGTAAAATAATTCTAGGCATAAGTCTTTCCCAAATCCAAGAATCCATGATTCTATGACACCCATCTCCTGGGAATCGATGGCTCACAATTCACTTTAAAATCTAATTACGCTATTCTGGTTCGGCTATATAAACTTCACAAACCTTTCAAGCCAAGGAATAATTTCAAAAATAAAACTGCTTTTTAAAGAAAGTATCGGCGAATCTTAATTTCCTATTCCTGAAGAAATAACCATAAGACAGAAATTTCTCAACTGCAGCACTACAAATATCTTTGACCAAATAATTGTTTGTGAAGGCTGTTCTATGCACTGACGATGTTTAGCAGCGTCACTGACCTTTACCCTCTAGATCCAACAGCCAAAAGTTTCCTGACTTGCCAAATGTCCCCTGGTAAGCAAAATCACCCCTTCTGGTGAGAACTACTGATGCTAACTTTTTTCTTTCTTTTTAGGCACAGACAACTTATTACCTTTGGCTGGTTCTATTTATAATCTACTTACAAAAGAGAACTATGTAGGAGTCAAACTTACGCTTTTCAGGCTTTGTACCTGCAGATGTTGGTCCAGACACTTACTTGTAAAATTAGTTTCTTCTAAGAATTAAATGAGATAAAGCATGTAAAAAGTTTAGCACCTGACAAATTAAAGTTACTATTTGGTGCTAATTTTATACTTCATTCTGCGTAGAGAAGCAGTACACGTCGTATCATTCTGCGGTACTCTCAAATGGGAAACTAGTAGGCTATGTACCTTGAATAAACTGTTTTTGATGAAAATTTCCATCTACCTGAGGGAACCTAGAAAACTTTTTCAAATCAAACGGTTTTCTCTTTGTCTCTCTCAATTATAAAATATAAAGAGTCTCCAAATCTGCTCTCCTGATTCCATCACCCAACATTTCAGCGGGAAAAACCAGATAGGTTGGTGGTTGAAATCCCGAATATATAGAATCCCCCAAAAGAAAATTCATTTAATACCAGAGGTTTATTTGTCCATATGAGGGACATAAAAAAAATACCAGAGGTGGGCTCCCCAGTTCTTCTTCCAAATACAATTCACTTTGACTTACATACAAAATCCCGGGGGGGATTTTACAACTTAATTTGACCCTAAGTAACTGCTCTTCCTCCCTTCAAAAACAATCTGCTCCTCCTTCCCATATCTCACTTAAATGTGGGCGTCTCCATCCTTCCAAACACACAGACTAGAAAGTCTTGAGTTGTTCCCTATTCTTTATTTCCCTCTTCGCACAGTAAGTCACCAAATTCTGTGGACAGTTCTTTGGAAAGGTCTCAAATCTCTACCTCTTTCCCTTCCATATCACTGTCAAAATGATGCCTCTACAAGTCTGAGCCTGTCAATGCTTAGTTTAAAATTCTCTATTTACTCTAGCCTGATTACAGCAAACTCCGTCCAAACAGCCCAATATAACCTAAAGGTAGTATTATGACCTAAAGCTCATTGTACTGTGAAACCAACCTAGCTTTCCAGTTCTGTCTTCCTCAACTCTACTTCACCCCCAGCATCTTTCTTCTAACATCCCCTTTTCATACTTCTGTGAACCACTTATACTCCAGAAGCCTTAATGTGAATTATTAGCCCAGCATGAACCCAGTTAGATAGCACAATGAACGTGTCAAGGTGGCCCTGGGAATCGCAAAAAGTATTCAATTAAACTTAATTCACACTCCTGTGTGCAAAATGGAGAAACCCAGGGAAACAGCTGTTCGAAGAGGGGGCCTTAAACCCACCCATTTGAGCTCGCCCTCCGAGAGCGAGTAGGCTCGGCACGTGAACTGTCAAAAGCGAGGCCACAACCGACCTGGAAGCCGAGGAACAGGGTCAGCTTTCTGCACCCAGCCCTGTCAGGTACCAAACCCAACTGTCTTGAATCAGAGACGAACAGGACCAAAGGAGGTGAGTTTCAACACCCAAACTAAGAAGCCGAAGGAGGCGCAGGGTCCGTTAACCCTGCCCATCTCCACGCTCCTTGGAAAACGAAAACAAACTCTGGTTTCTCTTCAGCGTTCACCTCTCTGCGCCCAAACGGATCTGTAAGTCCAACTCTATACCTTAATCATCAACCTTTCCCACTTGAACCCCGTCCCAGCCCAGCCCATCCTTTCAGCGCGCCGACTACCCCATAGGTCATCCCAGCTCTGTCTCTTTTCCCAATTTCGAGAGCGGAAAGAAACCCCTCCCTCTTCTCCCTTACCTGCCGCGGGCACTCCCCTTCTTGGTACCGGGTCGATCGGAACTCCTGTTCCAGCTTGATCTCCACCCTAGTTGCAACGTTCAACCCACGTTCCCCTCGGACTGCTCCTCCCCCACTCGCGTCTCCACTAGGAAGGCGGCTTCCGGCTTGAGTCCGCGGCAAAAGAGTCCTCCTTCCTGCTGCACGCTGGGCCTGAAAGGACGGTGGCGTGGCGGGGAAGGTGAAGACGTGAGCACTTCCGGTCGCCCTCCGCAGAGGCGTGGCTGTCCGCCCTGTGGCCGCAGACGCAGTTGCGACTGCGGCGACGAGGAGGGGCGGGGCCGGTGGCTGCTGAGCCCGCCATGTGTGAGTGGCTGGGTTTGGGGAGGCGACGTTTCTGGAAGCTGCTGGAAAGCGCCCGAGTGGCGGAGGTGGCGCCAGCGGCCAGGGGGTGGGGCGTGATTAAAACTAGTGCGCGGCTTTCTGCGGAGGGATTACGCTGACGAAAGAGACCTGCTTGCGCGTCGCTGTTCCGTGGTCCGCGCGAGCGTGGTCGGGAGCCGCTGGTTCCTGGGGTGACCCGCGGAGGTGGGAGAGGGAAGGGCTTCCGAAGCCGGCGGGGGTGCCATGGACCCTCTCCGCCGGCGCGGCCTTCACAGCTGGGCCGCGCCGGGCATCCGTAGTCCGCTCTCCCAAAGCCTCGGTGGAGCTGAAGCTGCCACAGAGTGCATGTTCACAAAGGGTCATCACACACGGAGCTGCCCCTCCCTGTCTCCCTAGAGCCCATCTTCGAGGCCAGGGGCTTTTCTACCAGGATTCTGGGGTGTTTCTCCTCCTTTCCTCCCTCCCAGATCTTCTCACGGTAAGGGGAGCAGCGAAAGCGCAGGGACTTTGCATTCCACGACCCGTTCTGACTAGTCAACAGCCGATCTGTCCCTGCTGCTCTAATTCCAGCTGCCCTGCCTTGTTTTAACTTCAGAGAAAGGGGGAGTTCTCATTTGATAAGTTTAAGCCTTTGCTTTCGTAGGAAGGTCATGTGGCTTAAGGGACATCGTGACCGCGTATGCTATTTCTGCCTGTGCATTCTAAATCTTGGGGGCAGCATATTCCAGAAGTCCTTTTGGTCGATTGGTTCTGTGTCCTAGGATAACAATTTGTAGTTTCTGACCATTTCTTTACAGAAAAACCACAATTGGTATTTTGGACTGCGGGGTTTTTTAGTGGTCTCAAACTAAATGATTATATTCTGGAATAATGCTGACAATTTGGATAGGGTGGTGTGGAGGAAACAAGTCTCGTGTAGAAGAAATTATTTAGTAAAAAGGATTTTAGTTTTTGGTACTTCTGAATGCAAATGGCCAAGGAATCCAGCAGTTTGTTGGGGTTTCTCCAGACAAAAATAGGCTGGTTAGTTTGTTTACCTTTTTCTGTTGCTTTACTAGATTGTTAATGTATTTGTATATTTAAGATCTAGCTAGTTAGGTTTTTCTTTTTTATGAATTGTGATTAAAATTGGAGAAAGTAGTACTTCCTCCTGAAATAGACAAAACTCAGAGGGTTGTTTTCTTGTTCACCACTGCTACTTCCATTTTTAGAATGGAATACACTATTTGTAAAAAACAAACTTGCTGAGTATTAACTCATAAATTGAACAAAACAATTGGTTCAGTTAAAATGTAGCTAAAATTGTAAGACTGCAAAACAACATCACCAAACTGAATTGTATTTTTTAAAACGTTGTCTGCAAAGTTGAATTTTAGTCTTTCAGTGTAAATTTGGTATTTTTTCAGAAGAAAAATTAGTAACAGAAACAAAATGGAGGCGGGGCTTGAGTTGTAAAGAGAAAGGAAGGGATTTTAGTGTGTTCTGTGTTTTCGCTCTAGAGCTTTTTCCTCTTGTAAAAGGTAGTACAAGACTTATAAAGGGAAGAACTTTGGTACAGGAGATCAGCAGAGATTGACTAGAAAACCCCTTTCGTTTATATTATAGAGTAACGGTCCCAAGTTGAGAATACTGTATACATTTCTGGTTATTCCTATATATTTGAAATGCTTTTTTCTACATATCCTGGTCCCAGAGAGAGTGCAGTACCTTCCAGTGGGATTAAAGCTAATTGCGTCCATCGCTTGTCAGCAGTGTGGGACAGAAATTTTATTGACCTATTTCCAGTTATAAACTCACATGATTTAAAGGGAGGAAGCTTTTATTAAATTAATAACTAACGAACAGCTGCAGTAGTTCAGTGCTTCTGTATGATTAGGATTTTCTCTTTTTTTCTCTCATTTTAGCCACTCACGATGTCAGCTCGTGCACCTTCTACTAAGTTAGATTCCTTAACCACAATACAAGTCTTTGGCCCAAACCTGGGATATAAAAGCTACTTGCTATGATTTCTTTTTTAGTCTCATAAAAAAAAAATGAGAGTTGAAGTGACTGACTGCTTTCTAGAAGCACTCTATGAGTACAGTCTGTAATCCCACATCTCAATCTAACATTCAGAAAGCGGTGAAAACCAAAAACTTCTTAAGCTTGGCAACAAAATTCATTTGGTAGCAAAATATGACCTGAACTATTGAGAAGCTGTATATAGTCTTTATCCCATGTGTTTTGCTGAAACTATATTAATATGTTTGATTATGGGGTGCTGCCCTTGGCCCCTGGTATGTGTTATATAATGGTTTATATACCCTGTAACACTTAAAAATTGTATGAAATTCTTATTTCTAAAACACATCCAACCCTTGGGTTTTAGTTAAGGAATTGTAAACCTGTATTCATATTTTTGGCAACACGCTTGTGCTATGCATGTGTATATTTAAAAAAGTAACTTAAGACATTTTAGTTATTTCAGTAAATTCAGATGTGTTAGGATAGAAAAAAATACGTGTATCATATTGTGTGTCTGTCATATCATGCATCTATCATATTGTATACATGCAATGATAGAGGTATGCACAGCATATTTTTAAGTGTAGCCGTATAGTGATCCAAACAAGAAATTAGTAGTTTCAGGGCTTAAGGTTAATTTATACATTAGACTCTAAAATTTAGATAAAACATGACAACTCGGCCGGGCGTGGTGGCTCACACCTGTAATCCCAGCACTTTGGGAGGCTGAGGTGGGTGGATCACGAGGTCAGGAGTTCAAGACCAGCCTGGCCAAGATGGTGAAACCCCGTCTCTACTAAAAAAAAAAAAAAAAAATACAAAAATTAACCGGGCGCGGTGGGAGGCGCCTGTAAACCCAGCTACTCGGGAGGCTAAGGCAGGGAGAATTGCTTGAACCCCGGGGGTCAGAGATTGCAATGAGCTGAGATTACACCACTGCACTCCAGCCTGAGCGACAGAGCAAGACTCCATCTCAAAAAAACAAAAACAAAAACATGACAACTCGTAATGTAGCCCAAACTTACTTGGTTCTGTTTTGCCCCCAGAAAATGAGAAGATGGTGTGATAATAGTCTAAAGTTGATACTGGAATATCTGACATCTAATCCCATCTCTTCTGCTGTGTGACCTTACACAAGTCACTGAATTTTTAATAGTCTAAACTTGATATTGGAATATCTAGCATCTAATCCCATCTCTTCTGCTGTGTGACCTTATGCAAGTCACTGAATTTTTAAGGTCTCAGTTTACAGATCTATAAAATGAGAAGTTTGGAATAGATGGATCTCTTAAGGAGAGTTCCTTATAGTTTCAACATTCCATGTGCAGGTATTTGCTCTTAGAAGTACCACCTGCTTTAAAAAGTTTTTCCTACTAAGGGTGTAATCCCATTTCATCTCAAACTGCTGTCTTGCTGATCTAAACTTGTCATTTTGTTCATAGGTAACACATTCATTCACGTGGTTCAAAATTCAAAAGGTACAAAAGGATACTCAGTCATTTTCTGCCTAGGAAGCAACCAGTGCTACCAGTTTCTGGTATATTTTTCAGAAAAATTTTACACATGTAAGAACAAATAAATTACTATATATATTTTATTTTTCTTCCCTTTTTCTATGTAAATGGTACATACTATGCATAGTGATTATGTACCTTATTTGTTCACTTACCTTAAAAGTTGTTCTGTTATTATTTAAGGTATTTCCTTATTTTTATGGCTGCATAATCTTCCATTTTATAATGTACCATTATTTCATCTACCCTATCCTTTTGAACATTTAGGTGTTTTTTTTTTCCAGATCTTTATTAAAGAGCATTGTGCAATGAAGACCTTTCTACGTACATCATTCTCCACATATGTGAATATATTTGTGCCCTAGCCAATGGTACGGCTGGGTCCTGTCTACTTTGACTTATGTGTTCTCCATGCCAGTATTGTATAGTGGAGTCAACACCCTGTTGACTCTAAAGTAAGCATATGAGATAAATCACATCACCTGAATGGCTGTTTTTTCATGTGAGCCCTGAGAGCATGTATGTACATACATAATATGCATAAGTATGTATATATGAAGCAAGTAGATTATGTGTAGAGACTTTGTCCTAAACAAACAAACAAATAAATCTTTAAACACTAAAATCATGCCACTGAGCAAGATTTACAATGAGCAGCATATGAAAACAGCAATGAGTGATGTAACAACAGGTTTGTTCTTTCCAGCTCATGCTCATTCCAAGGCATGTACTCAATTAGTACTCTTAAGCTGATGTTTTTCTTTAAAATTTTTTGCCAATAATATATGGTTGAATTTATGTAGCATGCAACTTCTAGATATTCCCACTTTACCAGTAAGAAAACAATGTGTAAGGCTAGGCACAGTGGCTCACACCTCTAATCCCAGCACTTTGGGAGGCTGAGGCAAGCAGATCACTTGAGGTCAGGAGTTCGAGGGTGTGGTGGCACATGCCTGTAATCCCAGCTACTCAGGAGGATGAGGCATGAAAATGGCTTGATCCTGGGAGGTAGAGACTGCAGGGACCTGATATTGTGCCTCTGCACTCCAGCCTGGACCACAGAGACCATACTGTCAGAAAAACAAAACAGCAAAAACAAGGCCTAAAAGAAGTAACAATTTACTCAAATTTGCATTAACAAGGTGGCTGACCTGGTACTAAAACCTACATCCTCTCATTTCTAATCCAGGGCTTTTTCCAGTATATTCTCGTAATTGGACATGTAGCTCTAGCAGATCTGAGAATGTCCAGTAATTAGGAACTGCTTTAGGTACAGTCACTCTTCCTAGACTCTAGAGCAACCTAAAGTTCAGAAAGCAGCAGAACGTTTTTCCAGTGACAAAATAACGTTCTATAAGTACTTGTTGAAGTAATCACACAACATGTTGATTAGCAATCAGGAAGCCTCCAAATCAAAAAATTAAGTGCAGATAAAGAAACACTCTTTCCTAATTGGGACATAGTTGTCACTTCAGGGTGAATTGATCAGTCATAAGGACTAGAAGGAATTTAGGATTATTTGGACATAGGTAGTCTTACTTTCCCCAGAGTTCATGCCATCATTTAATTTAGCCAGGAAATTTAAAATAATTGTCAACAGAAAAGGAGAAGTGGTAGAAACAATAGCAAAAGAAAAATGGAAAGTTGGAGGATATGCTTTAGTAACTACATTCACATAGAAGGTTAGATATGCTTTAGTAACTGTATTCGCTTGAAGCTGGCATTGCAGCACATGACTGTCTGCTTTAAGGCCTTAGCTACCTGCTGACAATGCTAGTCCCCTTTTCTTTACATAACTGTCTTCTCATCCTTGGAGTCTTAGCTCGAGTGTCTTGTGTCAAGCTGTCCACCCTATTTGAGGAGCCCTCTGTCCTCTACCCCTACTCTAATTCTTTCTCACCACCTGTTTGTTTTCCTCATAGCATATGTATGTGTGTGTATATATGTGTATGTGTGCGTATGTATATATGTGTATGTGTATATGTATATATACATGTATGTGTGTGTATATATGTATAACACACACACATACACATATATTTTTGGCCCCATAGTAGGTTGTGAGATCTGTAAGAGCAAGGATTACATCTGTTTGGTTCACCATCATCTATATAGTGCCTAGTACATAGTGCATATTTGTTGATGAGTTATCTTGGTGGCTCCCAATTTTCAATTTACATGGCTGACCAAACCTACTTTTAAAACAGAATGTATTAAATAGCCTATTTCATTCATGTTTGTTAGTTCAGACGTATGCATAATTGATACTCTTTTCTTATTGAGAAAGCTATTAACTTTTTCATCAATGGCTTTTTTTTTTTTTTACATTTACTGTTTTTTTAATAAAGGATGTTTTAAAGGGTACAGATGAACAGCCAGATGAAGAGATGCACAGAGCCAAAAAGCTTGTATTTAATGTGCAAAGGACTGCCATAAATGCAGGGAGAATACAACAGTGAATAATGCATAGTCCTTATTCCTAAAGAGAAGTAGAAACGTTTGTAAACAAATAGTTTTCATACAAGGCGGGATGAAATAAGTGCTAAATAGAGTTGTACAGGCAATGTTTTGTAGAAGCTATGGAGGAAAAAATGATTAATTTTAATTATAGGAAGACCCTCACAAAGGTGAATTTTTACTTCAGTCTTCAAAGAAAAATAGAGCACAAGTCCCTATAGATGAGGAATAGGGATGAATAAATGTTTAGCTTCACTTTTTAAAAAGTCCTTAAAATAGCTGTAATCCCAGCACTTTGGAAGGCCGAGGTGGGCAGATCACGAGGTCAGGAGTTCGAGACCAGCCTGGCCAGCATGGTGAAACCCCATCTCTACTAAAAAAACAAAAAATTAGCTGGGCACGTTGGCGCATGCCTGTAGTCCCAGCTACTCAGGAGGCTGAGGCAGGAGCCTCAGATCCAAGATCGCACCACTGCACTCCAGCCTGGGCAATAAAGCGAGACTGCGTCTCAAAAAAAAAGCAGTATTTACCACAAAGGACTCATAACACATTGTTACAAAGCAATCTTTTTAAAAAATGTTAGTTAAAAATAAAATGACTCCAGCCATAAACATTATACTTCTGCAACTGAGGATGACCGTAAAATCACTTAACTGTTTTGACTAGGTTGACAGCTAAATTGAGGGTCAGTTTAATGATTGAATTGTAACTGAGTGCTAATTGGAGCTGGTAATTGTTTAGTAAATGTATCAGTTAAGATACATTATTCATTAGATAAAAACTAATGAATAATGAAAACAGATTCATTTTTTAAAAAGATTTTTAAGCCACTGGTGGTCTTTAATATATGGTTCTCACCACATAAGTTAAAATGGGGACTGTTTTTTGGTGGTCTAATCTGATTTTGTAAGTTTATTTTTGCTTCCCTACCTCTGTTTTGCTAAGCAATATAGACCTTTTCTTCCCACTTTTTTTTTTTTGTTTTAGTGTAGGCATTAGATTTACAGATCTCATTTAAACTTGGCCATATATTAATCTCAGTTTTGTTACTTCATACAAAATATTTAACCTCCCTGAGGCTCAGTTTCACTGATAAAATGAAAACATCTACTAATCCCACTTCTGTTATTTAACTAATTTTGGCCTCAGGCAAATTATTTAACCTCTCTGGGCTTCAGTTTTTCCATGTGTGAAATGAAATTCTCTTAAATGAGGTAAGACATAGAACAATGTCTGGCAGTTAATATGCCCTCACAGCAGATGTTGGTTTTCCCTCACCCTTCCACCTCATCTAAACCCTGCATGTCCTTTACAGATTGCTTTAAATTCTGTTTTCTCTTTCCTTTTCCAACTCCTAGCACTCTCTTCTAGAGTTGTTGCACTTACCATATATACCATGGATTCTTAAATGGGTATTATTACAATTGACCCTTGAGCAACACAGGGGTTAGGGACCACCCTCTCCTTCCCCATGCTTTTGACTGCCCAAAAAACGTAGCTGCTAATAGCCCACTGATGACTGGAAGTTTACTGATAGCATATATTGTTGACTAACGTATTTTGTATGTCATATGTGTTATATACTGTATTCTTACAATAAAGTAAGTTAGAGAAAAAAAGTTACTAAGAAAATCATAAGGAAAAGTAAGTATATTTACTAATCATTAAGTGGAAATGGATCATCATAAAGATCTTCGTCCTTGTCACCTTCACATTGAGTAGACTGAAGAGGAGCTGAGTGGATAAAGAAAATGTTTATGTACATCGTGGAATACTATTCATCCATACAAAGGAACGAAATAATATCTTTTGCAGCAATTTGGATGGAGCTGGAGGCCAGTATTCTAAGTGAAGTAGCTCAGGAATGGGAAACCAAAAATGGTATGTTCTCACTTAAAAGTGGGAGCTAAGCTATAAAAACACAGAGGCATAAGAATCATACAGTGGACTTTGGGGATTCGGGTTGGGGAAGAAGGTTGGATGGGGGTTAAAAGACTACATGTTGGATACAGTGTACACTGCTCAGGTGACAGTTGCACTAAAATCTCAGAAATCACCACTAAAGAACTTATCCATGTAACCAAAAACCACCTGCACCCCCCAAAACTATTGAAATAAACAGGACGGGTTGTTCTTGCTGTCTTAAGCCTCATGGCAGAGGCTTAAGAGCAGGAGCATGTAGGGAGGGAGGGAGGAGAGGCAGGCACACTCGGTGTAACTTTTATTGAAAAAAATCAAATCCATTTTATAAGTGGACCCAGGCAGTTCAAACCTGCATTGTTCAGGGGTCAACTATATATTGGGAACTTGTTAAAACTGCAGCTGCTTGGGTTTCATGCATGATTCCATGAGTTTGGCATGGGGCCTGGGCATCTATATTTTTTTCTCCCTCAGATTTTCTTACGCTTACCAATGATCACGGCCTTTCACCTATTTGTTTTTTGTTTGTTTGTTTTTTTGAGACGGAGTCTGGCTCTGTCACCCAGGCTGGAGTGCAGTGGCGCAATGGCTCACTGCAAGCTCCGCCTTCCGGGTTCACGCCATTCTCCTGCCTCAGCGTCCTGAGTAGCTGGGACTACAGGCTCCCACCACTACGCCGGGCTAATTTTTTGTATTTTTAGTAGAGACGGGGTTTCACACCGTGTTAGCCAGGATGGTCTTGATCTCCTGACCTCGTGATCCACCCGCCTTGGCCTCCCCAAGTGCTGGGATTACAGGCGTGAGCCGCCGCGCCCGGCCTCACCTATTAATCGTGTTTTTTATAGTTTCTGTTTAAAACCAGGTGTTTTAGTTTAAACCTCAAATATACTATAAACTCCATGAGGGCACAAAATTAAACTTAGTTTAGAGGTTGATAAGTAATGCCCCACCTTTTTTATCTGCCTGTGTTTGGATCCAGTTAAATCACATGAAGATTGAAATTAAGTTTACTGAAAAAAGTTGTTTCAAAAGGTAGCTGAGATTTGGAGCAACAACGAGCTGCAAAGAACTAGGCAGATTTAAAATTCGAGTTTTTCTATCAACAAGAATAGAGCTTGTCCCACTACATTTACTGTGTAAGAGAGCAGGCCAAAACAAATGACCCTCTTCAGTCAGCCAAATCCCAAATGGAAAGAAGAGAGGAAGTTGGCCGAGCCTCAGAATTTTTTCTCCCAAACTTGCTGTCAGATCAGTTAGCCCCTCCTATCCTAGAAAGGAGTTAAGAGTAGAGGTCAGCCATGAATATTACGGTAAGGAAGTTTTATGTGGAGTATGAAAGAGCTTTCCTCATGCCCTCAACAGTACTCAATAGGTATTAATGGATTTTTTTTTTAGTACTTTGCATCGGGTTGCTGTGATTTTTAGTACCTAAATAAGTTATGAAGTTACAACTTCAGTTAAATCAGTATGTATTATTGTATTAGTTATATTTTGTTATGTAACAAATTATTCCCCAAACAGCTTAAAACAACAGACATTTGTCATTTCATACATTGTGTATGAAATGATACATGGTCAGGAATCTGGGAGTGGTTTAGCTGAGTGGCTCCAGTTCGGAGCCTCTTATGTGGTTGCAGTCATCTAAAGGCTGCTTGAGTGTCTTCACAAAATGACACCTGGCTTTTCCCCCAGAGCACGTGATCTGAGAGAGAGGCAGAAACCACAGTGTCTTTCACAACCTAACCTCGGAAGTGACCTACTGTCACTGTGCTGTATTCTATGGGTTACACAGACCTACCTACACAAAGGTATGAATACCAAGAGGTGAAGGATTCATTGGAGGCCATCTTGGGGGCCGGCTACCACAATTTTATAACATGTTAATTTCACTGTATACCTCACAGAACAAGTAATTCAGTAATGTCTAATATCCCAATAAAATCGTTTCATGGTAATTTTGTGAAATAATTGTATTTTTATATATATTATAAAATTTGCTAGCTAGAGATTAGGCTGTGAGAATATGTCCAGAGGATGATTCTCTACTACCAGCCCCTTCCTGTCTAGCTCTATTTCTGTATCAGTAATTTATATAGCATGATCAAGAACTACTCTGGTTACATGTTCTTCTAGATAGTCTGTGAAAGTTCAGGTGATTTATAGACAGACTTACCATAAGGTGATTGTATTAGTCTATTTTCACACTGCTGTAAAGAACTACCTGAGACTGGGTAATTTACAAAGAAAAGAGGTTTAATTGACTCACATTTCTGCATGGCTGGGGAGGCCTCAGGAAACTTAAAATCATGGCAGAAGGCAAAGGGGAAGCAAGGCACATCTTACATGGTGGCAGAAGAGAGCGAGCAAGTAGGAGGAAGTCCCATGCGTTTAAACCATCGGAGAACTCTTTCACAAGAACAGCAAGGGGGAAGGCCGCCCCCATGATCCAGTCCTTTCGCACCAGGCTTCTCCTTTGACACGTGGGGATTACAATTCAAGATGAGATTTGGGTGGAGACACAGAGCCAAACCATATGAGTGATAATAGCTACAATTTTGATTTTAGTATGAGTTAATAATTATAGTCTCCTGGGAGGTGCCTCATGCCCATCTACTGATTTATTCAAGTGAGGGTTTCTTTTGCAGTGGTAATAATTAGGATAAGGTGGACTAGATGGCTAGTGAAGGTCATTGAAATAGTCCATAGGCCCAAAGAGCCTAAAAACCATCACTGTAAGCAAGTGGCAGTGCTTTGATTAAAATTCTAATGCCAAAGCTTAAAAGAAGTTCAATAAGTGAAATAAAATGATTATAATTTATTTCTTAAAATATGCTACGTAATCTTACAGTGTAAGTGAGGAAACTTGAAATGTTCATTGAATTCAGGAGTGCAGAATTCATTTGTCTTCTATAGCTATTCAACACAACAGAAAAGATAAATCACTTGAAGATTGTGGCAGAAGATGTTTTAACATAACCTGACAATGCCTAAACATTCTTTGGAATTCTAACCATAAGCATTGTTAGGTCAGTTTGCATTTTAAGTTGCTTTAAGTACTTACAGATGAGTGACCAGTTGTAGAAGCCCAAATATTTGTATAATCAATTTTCTCATCCAGATGTAAGCTGTTTATTACATAGACATAAGCATGTAGAGCATATTATTATCAGACCCAGTGAACTCATTTGGATGTCATAATTTCCAGTCATGTAGGCATATTTGACAACAACTTTCACCCTCAAGTGTTCGGAGGCACTATTTTGCTAATCAGGGAAGAAATTTTAGGAAATTCATTTTGCTTTCCAAATGTAATATGATCAATAAAATGTTTGGTTTGGTTATTGATCAGCTTTAAGACATGCTCTCCTATGAATTCTTAGGGTAAATGAGAGATGGTAGTAGTTTTTTTCTGAATATAGGGTATATAAACCCTGAAAGTTGCTCAGTTGAGTCTTCAGAGCTAATAAGTGATGATAAATGAAAAACAAATCTTGGAATAATTGATTTTCTGAAAATGAAAGGGCAGAGATATAAGGAAATTGGGAAATGTTAGACTATTGTGCCAAGAGTAATAAATGTATTCACTACCCTAAAAAACTATCCTTCTAGAATAGAAAAACAAGTTCAATGGCATGACATAATCAGTCAAATTTATTCTATAGGACAGGTCTTTTCAAACAGTCATCATTATTAATAGAGACCAAAGACACATGACAACCAAATGCTGTGCATGGACTTTGACTTGATCCTGGTTTGCAAATCACATATTGGGGAAATTGTAATATACCCAGCTATATAATATATTTGAGAATATATTTTTAATTTTCCTAGGTGTGTTCATGGTTACTATGGCTATGTAGGAGAATGGACTTATTTTAGGAGATACATCCGAGGTATATTTAGAGGGGAAGTTATCCTCAAACAATACACAGTACATACAGGGAAAACATATGGCATTAAATGTTGAATCTGTGGTAAGAATAAGGGTGGTTGTCAAACAATTCTTTCAGCTTTTTTATATGTTTGCATATGTAAAATGAGAGAAAAAAAAATCCCTCTCTGGAACCATGTTTCTTCACTGAGCTTTGCAAGAAAAGGCCTCAAGAGAATGTATCATTGTTTATGGCTACCACCTCTACCCTTCTTCTGCTGTTCTCTCTCTTGAATTCAGACCTGTGAGACTTTTATTCCTGTCTTCCCACCAAAACTCTCATTTCCACGTCGGCATTGGCCTCCATGTTGCCAGACCTGGTGGTCCTTGCTTAGTCCTCATTTTGCTTGACCTCTAAGCAGCATTTGTTGCAGTCGATCAAATGAGTATAATGATTCTCTCAGACTCTCAGTTCTCCTACTTCTTGGCTTCTCCTTAGTATCTTTTGATGGTTCCTCCTCTTTTTTAAACATCGGAGTGCCTCTGGGCTCGGATCTCGTCTCAATTTGTGTTTAGTTCCTAAATCACCTTATCCTGTTGTATAGCTTTAAATACTATTCAGATGTGGAGACTCCCAAGTTCATATTGCCACCCCAGCCTCTCCCCTGAACTTCAGACTCATTTATCCATCTGCCTACCTGATACATTCACTTGGTGCCAAATAGGCATTCCAAGTTTAATATATCCAGAACTGAGCACGTTGGTCCCATCAGTCTCTTCTGCACAGCCCCAAACAAAGCAAGCACATGCTATTTACCTGCTATTCCACATTCTTCCTCATCTCCGTATGAGGAACGTCGTTCTTCTCATTGCTCAGGCAGTAAACCCTGGTGTCTGATTCCTATTTTCCCCTCATACCTTACATTTAATCCCTCAGCGAATATGGTCACCAGTACTTTAAAAACATTCAGGCCGGGCGCGGTGGCTCACGCCTGCAATCCCAGCACTTTGGGAGGCCGAGGTGGGTGGATCACGGGATCAGGAGATGGAGACCATCCTGGCTAACATGGTGAAACCCTGTCTGTACTAAAAATACAAAAAAATTAGCTGGGTGTGGTGGCACGCGCCCGTAGTCCCAGCTACTCGGGAGGCTGAGGTGGGAGAATGGCGTGAACCCAGGAGGCAGAGCTTGCAGTGAGCCGAGATCACGCCACTGCACTCCAGCCCGGGCGACAGAGCGAGACTCCGTCTCAAAAACAAACAAACAAAAAAACATTGGGAAGCTAAGCACTTCTCCAGCTCTTACCACTGCCATCTCAATCCAAGCTACATTCTAGGACAGATTATAACAGAGTTTCTCAGCCTTGGTACTATCAACGTTTTGGGCCAGCAATGTTGGGGGAAGGGCTGTCTTGTGCATTGTAGGATGTTTAGTAGCATCCCTAGCTTCTACCTGCTAGATGCAAGTAGCACTCCGCCCCAACAGTTGTGACAGCCAGAAATGTCACCAGACATTGCCGAACTGTTCCTTGGGGGGATATTGGATTATGGACCACTGGATTATAGCATTACCCTCCTATTGTTTCTGCTTCCTCTCACCGCCATGCAGCTTATTCTCCATCTAGCAACCAGTGTATCAGATCAAAACATGAATCAGATCATGTCTTGTCTTTTCTTCACAACCTTCCTGTGGCTTCCCATCTCATTAGCGTCAAATCTGTAAGTGCCTACAGATCCCTTCCTGACCAATTTACATACCTGACCCACCCACCCCCCAACTTGGAGAGCAGCTTTTTCTCTTTGTGCAGATTGAAAAGGGCATCGTTTCCACTAGATGGATGCAGCCTCTTCCCCTGCTTTATTTTTCATCACAGCATTATCACCGCTTTACATGTTCTGTTTGTTGAATGCATGGTAAGATGAGAAGTATAATTGTCAAAATGCATACAGTCGTTCCTTGGTATCCATGGATTCCACATCTGTGGATTCAACCAACTGTGGATCCATAATATTAGACGAGAAAAAAAAGCATCTATTCTGAACACGCGTGGACTTTTTTCCTTGTCATTATTCCCTAAACAATACAGTATAACAACTATTTACGTAGTATTTTCATCGTATGAGGTATTATAAACTAGAGATGATTTAAAGGATACAGGAAGATGTGTAGGTTATATGCAAATACTATACCATTTTATGTAAAGGACTTTGTGGCTTAAACATGATTTATTATTTGTCATGATCCTGTAGGTGACTGTAAAGTGCTTCTGCTGGTCTCACCTGGGCTGCTCATGCAGATTTTGATATCCTTAGGGAGTCCTAGAACCAATTCCCCACAGATACTGAGGGATGACTTTTTAGTAAAAAGATAAGTTGCTAAAAGTTCACCTAACCCAATCTGAGAATGTCAAGAAAACCTTAGCATGTTAACATAACCTCAGAGATTCTACAAAGGTCTCCCAGAAGAAACGATGCCTAAATAAGACTTAGTGTGGTCATATAGAAGGAGAGAAAGGGTATTAATAGTAAAGAGAAGGAGAAGGAGTGGAGCCAATGCCCAGTTCAGTTTTGAACTGCCTCCTTGATACTTCCAAGAGGAGATTCTGCCGTCAGGTAGTTAGAGAAACAAGTCTTAATCTCAGGAGAGACAGCTAGACTGTAAACACAGATTTGGGAATAATCACTAGATAAGCAGAAATGAGGGACTGTTTACATGTCAAAATTGGAAGGAAAGCCTTGAAATTTAGTCTGATAAACTAAAGAAACTCCCTAAACAATTTGCCAGAGAGAAAAATACAGAGGAAAATTTAAAACAAAATATAAGGCTGCACGGTGGCTTATACCTGTAATCCTAACACTTGGAGAGGCCAGGGCAGGCAGATTGCTTCAGCCCAGGAATTCAAGATCAGCTTGGGGCAATAAGGCAAAACCTGATCTCTACCAAAAAAATACAAAATTAAGCTGGACGTGGTGGCATGTGCCTGTGGTCCCAGCTCCTTGGGAGGCTGAGGTGGGAGGATCACCTGAACCTGGGGAAGTCGTGCTGCAGAGCTGTGATCACACCACTGCCCTCTGTCCTGGGTGACAGGAAAAGGAAAAACAAGATGGGAGACTGCTAATGTGTTTCTCTCAGACAAGGAAAACAAAACGAGGTAAGGTCATTTGTTCTTGAGGAAGAACAATTATTTAGCTTAAACCAGACTAAAGCAAGGGCAAGAGTTCTAAATCTGAAGAGTTCTAAAACATCAGTGATTATTGAAGTGTTGAGTACAACAGATAATAAAGCCAGCTGGCTATGCTACTCATATAAATTCTAAGGTTATTTTAATTTTTATGCATTATAAAAATCAGTTTTTCAAAGTTGGAAGTTTTTGGAGGAAAAAATGACTTTTAAAGTATGAAGTTTTTCTCCCATTCTTACACTTCTAATTTAGTATTGTAAATGAACATGTTTTTAGTCGAACTGTAATAGTTGTCTAATTTTGTGTAACAAATGCTGCTCCAAATCTTTGTGGTTTAAAAAACATCGTTTATTATTTGTCATGATCTGGTAGGTGACTGGAAGTTTCCTCTGGTCTCACCTGGTTCTGTTCATGTGGCTGTAGTCAGTTAGCAGCTGGGCTGGGGTTGAAGGGTCTAAGTGGGCCTCAGGGACATGTCTGAGACCATGGGGCTGGTGTCCCCGATGACATGTCTGAGGCTGTGGTGCTGGTGCTGGTGTCCCTGGGTGACATGTCTGAGGCCGTGGTGCTGGTGTCCCCGGTGACATGTCTGAGGCTGTGGTGCTGGTGTCCCCGGTGACATGTCTGAGGCTGTGGTGCTGGTATCCCCGGTGACATGTCTGAGGCTGTGGTACTGGTGTCACCTGGCTTGTACGCTCGTACATGTGCACGTCCTGTTCACCCCCCTGCCCCGAGTATGCTCTCTTCCTTCATAGTCTCCCCAGAGTTTTTCTTAACATGGCAACAGGAGTGTTCCAAGAGGGCAAAAGCAAAAACTGCAGGTCTCTTAAGGACTAGTCTTAGAAGTCATACATCATCAGTTCTGCTGCATTCTACCACACTATAATATATGTGGATTAATTCATTTCAACTTCACTACAATGCTATAAAAAGTAGGTAGTTACCTTACAACCCTCATTTTTTTTTTTTTTTTTTTTTTTTTTTTTTTTTTTTTTTTTTTGAGACGGAGTCTCGCTCTGTCGCCCAGGCTGGAGTGCAGTGGCGGGATCTCGGCTCACTGCAAGCTCCGCCTCCCGGGTTCACGCCATTCTCCTGCCTCAGCCTCCCAAGTAGCTGGGACTACAGGCGCCCGCCACTACGCCCGGCTAATTTTTTTGTATTTTTAGTAGAGACGGGGTTTCACCGTTTTAGCCGGGATGGTCTCGATCTCTTGACCTCGTGATCCGCCCGCCTCGGCCTCCCAAAGTGCTGGGATTACAGGCGTGAGCCACCGCGCCCGGCCACAACCCTCATTTTTAAAGTGAGGACACTAAAACTCCGTACTAGTAGTTTGACCACAGGCCCCCAACAGGTAAGACACAGAACCAGGTAGGGTTTCTTTCATGCGTGTCCATGTGAAGAGACACCAAACAGGCTTTGTGTGAGCAACATGGCTATTTATTTCACCTGGGTGCAGGCGGGCTGAGTCAGAAAAGAGAGTCAGCAAAGGGTGGTGGATTATCATTACTTCTTATAGGTTTTGGGATAGGTGGTGAAGTTAAGAGCAATGTTTTGCGGGCAGCGGTGGATCTCACAAATTACATTCTCAAGGGTGGGGAGAATTACAAAGAACCTTCTTAAGGGTGGGGGAAATTATAAAGAACCTTCTTAAGGGTGGCGGAGATTACAAAGTACATTGATCAGTGAGGGTGGGGCAGAAACAAATCACAGTGGTAGAATGTCATTAGTTAAGGTTATTTTTACTTCTTTTGTGGATCTTCAGTTACTTCAGGCCATCTGGATGTATACATGCAAGTCACAGGGGAAGTGATGGCTTGGCTTGGGATCAGAGGCCTGACAGTTTCAATCTCTCCTTTGCTATCAACAAGCTCTGAGATGTTCATTTATCTGAGCCTGTTTCTTCTTCTGTAAAATGGGATTAATACAACTTGAGTGTCCCTTGCCTGAAATGTTTGGGACCAGAAGTGTTTCAGATTTGGGTTTTTTCAGATTTTGAAATATTTGCATTATATTTAGCCAGTTGAGTATCCCTAATCACTTGAACCCAGGAGGCGGAGGTTGCAGTGAGTCAGGATTGCGCCATTGCACTCCAGCCTGGTCAACAAGAGCAAAACTCCGTCTCAGGAAAAAAAAAGCTTCAGATTTTTGGATTAGGAATACTCAACCTATACTATTATACAGAATAATTTTTAGGATTGAATTGAGATGATTTCTAAAATATCTAGCAGAATACTTGATTCCTAGCAGGTACTCAAAAATGTTAATTTCATCACGTTCTTCTTACTGTTCTCGGGTTGCTTTATTAGATGACGGAATGTTTTTATACCTGCTATTTGTCTTATTATCTTAAACAAAATTTGAATGACCTACACCAGAATTATTATTAAAGCAGACAGTGATCTAACATTCCAGTAGCGGAGCAGTAATAAAGAAAATTTCATACTGATGGAATTTATTTTAAGACTGTGATCTGAGCTGTTCTACCCTAAGGTGTTAGTGGCTGATGATCACTTAATAGATTGCTCTGCCAGAGATTATTTACATTTTCAGGGGAAATAAATTGCCAATGAAAGAATAGAAGAATTTTAGGTTTTGTGGCAAGCCAGTGAGGAAACTGTGATTAGGAAAGGGATCTTTCAGTGGTACTCTTTGTGGTCTATCTACCACCATAGATGAGTCCTGGCAAGGTATCGAGTAACTTACCACAGTTTGTATATAATTTATAGATTTGGGTTTCTATAGGAAAAATTGCCTTTAATAAATTCAGATCATCATGCTATATTATTTCATTTGGGTATGACATTTAGATGAGCACAGATGCAGTTACTATACTATAAATCTAACTGTAGTGTTGACAAATTAAGGTCTAGGCCTGTTACGGGCTGAATTGTGCCCCACCCCCAATTCATAGGTTGAAGCCCTAATCCCCTGGAACTCGGAATGTGACTGTATTTGGACACAGGGCCGTAAAAAGGTGATTAAGTTTAAATGAGGTCTTTATGGTGGACCCTAATCCAATATGACTAGTATCTTTATAAGAAGAGGAAATTTGGATACGTGGGGAGACACCAGAAACAGACAGAGGGACAGCTATGTGAGGACATTTCAAGAAAGCAGCCATCTGCAAGTTAAGGAGAGAGGCCTCAGAAACCAAACCAGCCAACAACTTTATCTTAGATTTCCAGCCTCCAGAACTGTGAGAAAATAAATTTCTGTTGGTCCAGCTACCCAGTCTGTAGTGTTATCAGGGTTTTTTTGTTTTTGTTTTTTTGTTTTTGAGACAGAGTTTTGCTCTTGTTGCCCAGGCTGGAGTACAATGGCCTGATCTCAGCTCATCACAACCTCCGCCTCCCAGGTTCAAGCGATTCTCCTGCCTCAGTCTCCCAAGTAGCTGGGATTACAGGCATGAGCCACCACACATGGCTAATTTTGTATTTTTAGTAGAGACGGGGTTTCTCCATGTTGGTCAGACTGGTCTCAAACTCCTGACCTCAGGTGATCCGCCCACCTTGGCCTCATAAAGTACTGGGATTACAGGCGTGAGCCGTTGTGCCCGGCCTGTAGTGTTACGTTACGACAGCCCATGCAAACTAACACAGGGCCCAGTACCAACCCTTACACATGGGTGTTTAATATTTGTTATTTTTTCAAAACTAAAACTGTTGGTTGCTACTTGGGAGGCTGAGGTGGAGGATTGCTTGAGCCCAGGAGTTCAAGTCCAGCCTGGGCAACATAGTGAGACCCCATTCCTTTAAAAAAATTATATATACACACACATACACACACAATATATTATATATGTATATACACATATATATGCATATGCATATATAATATATACATATACGTGTGTACATGTATATATATAAAAGATCTACACACAAACATAAAATAAATAATAAATTTTTGTTGTAGAAAAATCAGGGATGGATTATAGATGCTGTTTCTCATGAAGTAATCAAATTAAGTTTCACAACCCAGCATTTGAAATAGACCATTTTAAAAGAGTCGTCTTATCCTTTATTTTGCCACCAAGGCTGTAGCCCCTTTCCTTCCATTTCTCTGTCCTCTTCACCCCACCCTACACTATCTTGTCCTGTTCCAACATACATGCATATAGGCCAGCTATAGCTCACTTCCTATATTTTCAGGTGTATTTTGTCTAGCAAGCTTTAGTTATTTTTCCTAAGCAACAGGATTATCTTCCATGTTGTTTTTCTATTTCACTTTGTGAAAAATGAGGAGGCCAGTTGAAGAGGGAGAGAAGGCCTTAACATTTATTGAGCACTTATTTTATGCCAGGTACTGTTATTCACTTTACATAAAACATTTCCTTTAGTGAGAAAACAGCAGTGGCCACATTTAGAAAAATGAAAAGCAACAGTGACGATCTTGTAACATTGCTTTAAAATGAGTCTCTGGCCCTTGCCCTACTTTCTGTATATGTGCTTAGCTCTGCCATTATCAGATCTACTGTACCTGGTAGTTATGAAAAGTACATTAATTATTTAAATCTCTAGATGTAAGTCATTTTGTGAGATGACAAACAGCATAACCTTGGGGTATGTGTCTATTAGAATGGGTTTAGAAACAACACAGGGGTACTGGTGCTTCTGAGAGTATGTCATTGATAGTCACAAGTAATTTGCCGGTGCATGCCTTCTTCTTAATGGAAAGGAATTGAAGGAAAAATGTAAAAAGTTGCTAACTTCTAGCCAATTAGACAGTAATTCTGAGGAAGGGACAGCTACTCTAAGGCTATCGGAAGCATGCCTGGGCTGGTGTAAGATGTCCCACCTAGGAGAGAAAATGATTTGAAAAAGATAGTTTCCTTTGGCTTGGAATGCTGAAAGAAAAAGGAGCCCAGGGAAAGGAGGCTTGTTAACCCTACACACCAGGGGTCAGGCTATGAGTCAAATGTGACCTGAGGTCTGTTCCTGTAGTCCGTTGGGATGAGGGTGATTTTTACATTTTTAAGGAGTTATAAAAAAAAAATGTAACAGAAACCTTGTTTGGCCCACAAAGCCTAAAATGTTTACTATCTGACCTTTTGCAGAAAAAGTGTGCTGTTCCTTGCATATAAGTATAGAGGATTATAGAGGGTCTGTTTGTATCTTCAACTGACAGGCTTGTGGTATACTGTAAACAGTTGAGTATGAGAAATCTTCCCAAACATTTGTAGCATTTCATAGGATTATCCTATTTTAGACCAGTGTTAAGAGCTCATTTGTATTAGTTTGCTAGGACTGCTGTAACAAAGTACCACAAATTGGGTAGCTTGAACAACAAAAATTTATTTTCTTACGGTTCTGAAGACTAGAAGTCCAAAATGATGTATTGACATGGTGGGTTTCTTCTGAGGACTGTGAGAACCTGTCCCATGACTCTTCCTAACTTCTGGTGATTTGCTGAAAATCTTTGGTGTCCCTTGGCTTGTAGATGTACCGCCCCGGTCTCTGCCTTCATGTTCATTTGATATTCTCCTTGTTTGTGTGTATCTGTATCCAAATTTCCTTTTTTTTATAAGGACACTGGTCGTATTGGATTAGGTCACTCCATGACCTCTTCTTTATCACTTGCAAAGACCCTATTTCCAAATAAAGTCACATTCACAGGTATTGTAGTTTAGGACTTCAGCATCTTTTGTAAGGGGCATAATCTAACCCATAATATCTTCTAAGCCTTTGTTTTACAGAGAAGAACAGAGAAACTATGAAAGTATAAAGAAGTCATTCAAATCATACAGCTGTCTAGGAGCAGAACCAGTATTCAAATGTAGGTCCACTGACTAACCCAGTATTTGTTCACCTACATACTATATAATATGCAATTGCAGTGTAATGAGGTTCAGTCAAGTGTAATACTTGTTTGTACTAGTTACACTATTCCAGTCATCTTTCCTATGCCTTCCGTTAATCATGGAGCAATAATAAATTATAGATGGATCAGAATTAATTCATTTCTATTACAGAAATGAGCACATCATGCACTATTGTTAGTGTATTCCGTTCTGTATCCTTTGTGTATTCAGTTCTGAAAGAATTTACTCAAGGCCTGCTGTTTGCTAAGGAGTATCTAAGCATACTTGCATAGTAAAGTTGTAGAGAATGTGCCTTAGTCTGGGTTTCTACATTGCCTATTTCAACAGGTTCTAGTCACAACTCTGCTGCGAGTTCTAAACTCAAGTCTTGCTGGTTTTGTTCTTTGATAAATCACTTTCTTAAGCCTTAATTCTCGTGAGTTGTTCCCATGAGATTTTCAGAAACCCCAGGTAACTTTAGGATTCCATGATTCTGTGACTGTGGTGAGACATTTTTTGCATTTGGAGCATCTGATGGCTAAGGAAACCACATGTAACTTCATGCTAAGGCGCGTATGGTAAACCACTATAAAGACAGACTTATCTGGCCAACATGGAGTGATGTTTGTGAATGCTAATTGTAGGGCCCTAGTATGTGATTATAAAAATAATACCAAACAATTACTTGTGACTTTGTAAGTCTTTCTTTATATATATTCTGGTGTGTAATTGATTATAAAGGGAGAGAATATTGTCAGAGTGCCGTATTTTGTATTACAATTACTGGCCAGATTATTCAGTGAAGAACTAAATTAAAAAGGTTACACCCCAGAGATCACCTAATATTTCTTACCATTGGCATACCAAGGAATTGAGTTTAATTGCACCTTCTTCGCACTCCCCTGGTGTTTTCTCTTCTGTGTAGCCAGCTTCCAAGATGGCCCCCAAGGATTCTTGCCTCTTGTTACTCATGCCCTTATGCAGTCCCCTCCCAGACTAAATAGGATTAACTTGTACAGCCAGTAGAATATTGTGTAAATGACAGTATGTCACTTTTGAGGCTAGGTCATGAAAGACATTGTGGCTTCCACTTTCCTGTCTTGGAATACTCACTATGGGGAAGGTCATGAGGACATTCCAGCAGCCCTGTGGAGAGGTCCATGTGATAAGAAACTAAGGTCTCCTCCCAGCACCCAGCAGTAACTTGCCTAGTATGTGAGTGAGCCACCTTGCAATTGGATCGTGCAGCCCTCAAAGCCCTCAGAGCCCTCAAAGGATGGCCGTCCCAGCCGACATCTTGTCTACAGCTGAGCCAGATCCACCCAGTTAAGCTGCTCCTGGATTTCTGACCACAGAAACTTTATGAAATAATAAATGTTTATTGTTTCAAGCTACTAAAGTTAAGGAAATATGCTACGCAGCAATAGATAAAAATACAACCTTTGTTGATTCTGCCTTTTTCTCAGATCATTGTATATATCATCTGCCACTAGATTTTTACTGAGCAGAGCTTGTGTCTGAACTCATTTTTGTAGGCCTTACAGAAGTCGTTACAGCCTTCAATTACTTCTTAGATTGAATGTGGTTGACTTGGATCGTGGCTAGAACATCTGGGTTGCTCCTATTGCTTCTGTTTGGAAAGGTGCAAATTACCTCTACCATTTTATTTAGAAACAAATGCAGTATTTTTAATGAGTTTCATTTAAAAAGAATTTAGATTGTTTGAAATATGTAAAAGAAATAAAAATACAATTTTTTATCTGAGACTACATTTCAACAAAGATCTAAACAAATGGGAGAAGACTCACTAGAACCAGGAAAAACTGTTGAAGGGGGTGGTAATCTTTGAAGAGTTTACTAGATGAAGAATGACCTTTTTTTGCTTGCTTTTATTTTTCATTTGAAAATAACTTCAAATGTAAGTTAAAAAAACAACACAAAGAACGTCTGTATGCCTTTTACCTAGATTCACCTGTCATTAAGATTTTGTCTCATTTGGATGCAAAGCCAAACTACAATGAGACACCATCTCTTACCAGTTCAAAATGGCTACTATTAAAAATCAGAAAAGAACGTATGTTGGCGAGGCCGTGGAGAAAAGGGAACACTTACACGCCGTTGGTGGGAATGCAAATTAGTTCTACCCCTGTGGAGAGCAACTAAAAATAGAAATACTTATCTGAGCTAGCAATCCCATTACTGGGTATATACCCACAGGAAAATAAATCATTCTGCCAGAAAGACACCTGCGCTCAGATGTTCATTGCAGCACCGTTCACAATAGCAAACACATGAAATCAATGTAAGTGCCCATTAATTGATGAGTGGATAAAGAAAATGTGTTACCTATACAACATGGAATACTACACAGCCATTAAAAAGAATGAAATCAAATCCTTTGCAGTGACATGAATGTAACTGGAGGCAATTATCCTAACGGAACTAACGCAGAACAAGAAAACTAAATACTGCATGCTCTCACTTGTAAGTGGGAGATAAGTCTTGGGTACACATGGACATAAAGATGGGAACAGTAGACACTGGGAACTCCAAAAGCAAGGAGGGAGAGCGGGAGGGAGGGGGCAAGGGCTGAAAAACTGCGTGCTGGGTACTGTGTTCACTGTTGTGGCAACAGGAACATTAGAGGTCCAAACCTCAGCTTCACACAATATACCCAAGTAATAACTGCACGTGTATCCCCGGAATCTAAAATTTTAAAAAGCTGAAACTTACAAAATTAAATTTAAAAATAAAGATTTCATCTCATTTGCTTTATCACTTATGCACATGTGTGCCTTGCTCTCTTCCGCTAATACACGTGTGTGTAGATACGTATGTAAATGAATATACACACATTTTTTTCTAAGCCATTTAAGGGTAACTTACATACATCATATCTGTGTGCCTAAATTCTTAGGTGAATAATTCCTAAGAAATACAGTTAGCAACTTCAGCAAGTTTAACATTGATACTCTACTATTGTAATCCAGTTTTGTCAGTCAATTCAATACTGTCCTATATGCCATTTTTTCCTTTCTTGCATTTAACTTTAGTCTCCTTCAATCTGTAACATTTCCATAGCCGTCTTTGTCTTTTATGGCATTGATATTTTTGGAAGAATAAAGACCTCTCCCCACTCCTTTTTTAGTGGAATGTTCCACATTTTGGATCTGTCTGATTTTTTTTATGATTAGACTCGGGTTGTAGATATCTTTTTAAATGTTCTAAAATGTGGAAACAGTAGTCCATTCAAAGGATCAATGTAAAACAAAATTTAGGCCACAGAAACTTTGAAATAATTATTAGAAGCCAAATTGGAAAACCAAAATGTGTTGTAGAATCAACTTCCTAGAAAATGTTTAGAGTAAGATAGTTTTTAGTCTTTCAAGTTTCTATAGATGGGTGGTTCGACAACTGGGTTTTCAAAAATCAAGAAATGTCTTGGCATTGAGGTGAACTTTTGTGGCTTTCTTTAGTTTCATCATGAACTCGGGCTCCCCAAAAGCCAGTGGTATCTTTCTGTAGAAACAGGATTTTTCTTTCAACTTCTGCTAAATTTATTCAACAAACATTACCAAATTCTTGTTATCCTGACATGGAGGTGGTACCTGGGAATACAAAGAAGGGCATAAAAGAGACTTAATATGCCATATTGTTTATTAAAAGATAATCAGAGGCTGACATGCCACAGAGGACAGGAGCAGCTTCTACGGGGGGGTGGTCTGTAACTGCACTGGAGGGGGAATACCTAAATGCTGCTTTCCGCCCAAAGTGGGAAATCCCTGCTGCTCCTGTAAGAGTCACATCTATCTGCAAAGAAAAAACTCTGGCTGGTGCTTGGCATTTTTACCTATTCTCTTGCATTAAAAATGACTAAGCCATACTGAATAGTTTCTCACTTGTAAGTGGGAGATAAGCCTTAGGTACATATGGACATAAAGATGGGAACAGTAGTAAAGGCAATCCCTTTCAGAGACTGGGGGATAAGAGATTATTTCTTTCAATGCTTGAATTCTTGAATTGTTGTTTTGCACTATATGAAGTGTCCCAGGGATTCGCTTTTTTTTTTTTTTTAAAAAAAAGCACTAAATTTTAAATTATCTGTTTTTTCATAATTTTCAACAGTATCACAGGTAAATAGTAAAATTATTTTAAAATGGAAAATGTTTTTTAAGTTTGAAGACAAAGCAACTTTCCATCTTCTGATGCTATGGTCCTGGTTGTGGCTTTGTTCCTGACTTTCTTTAGATTTAAGAAAGATGCTTTGAGATCTTTAGCAAATTCTTAAACAATTCATTTTATCTGAAGACTAACATATTCCCAGCCACAACTTCACTTGTCAGGTTTCTGCAGGGAATAGTTTATTAAACTTGGGGTGCCCAAAATACTGTAACTTAAACCTGGAAATAAAATACCAATATGCTGAACCTGGGATAATTTCTAAGAGTACTACTAAAGATACTTCTATGTTTTTCCAAACATAACATAGGGGAATGGGTATTGGTTGTAGTATGTAGATGTTCTTTAACTTAAATTATATTACCTGGGAAGACTGGTAATTTTCATGTCATTTTCAATATAAGAATAAAGAGAATATAATAATTACCCATTCTAAATTATGTGTTGTACATTTTCTTAATACAGTAACTAAATATGCCAAAGAAAAGGAGCTGTGATTTCATATTATCAGAAATATGACTTTTAAAAGCACCTAGATAACAGAAATTCAAGAAGATCCATGAATGTAATATAGGGGAAAATGTTTTTTTTTTAATTTTGTGGCTAGATATTATTCTATATTGACAAGTATTGACCAAAGAGAAATATTTTATTGATTAAAAATATATTTTAATCAAAATAATTCTCTGATAGGACATTCTAAATAAGCTAATTTTGACAATTTTCCTTCTGTTAAAATTGAGAGGAAAGAACACAGTTGCTTTCTCCCATGCAGTTGAAATGCATTTAACTATAGTATATAATATAACTGGTCTTTCAGATTACCTTAGTTATTGCGCTACCCACAGTAGGACAATATTGTAAAGCATAAGAGAACCTCTGAATCTGATTATAAATGAAATAGAGATTACTTAGAGGTTATTTCTTGTCTATATTGTTAATATAGAATAAGAGTTGACTAGGTAGTCTTACATTTAAAAATCCCTGTTGTGGCCAGGCATGCGTGGTAGGCCAAGGTGGGAGGATCGCTTGAGCCCAGGAGTTAAAGACCAGCCTGGGCAACATGGCAAAACCCCATCTCTACAAAAAATTAGCCAGATGTAGTGGCATGCGCCTGTGGTCCCAACCACTCAGGAGGCTGAGGTGGGAGAATCGCTGAGCCCGAGAGGCAGAGGTTGCAGTGAGCCAAGATTGTGCCACTGCACTCCAGCCTGGCTGACAGAGCAAGACCCTGTTCAAAAAGAAAAAAAAAAAAAAAATCCCTGGTGCTCTTTACAGAGCTTAGAGAGCAGAATGTAGAGTGCTTAAAATTCCTTAGCACAATATATTATATAAAATCGCCAGGTGTTTCTTTTTTATATCAAAACTTACTGGATATCATACATTTTATATGATTAAACCTTAAACAGGCTTCTCTGTAAAAACACTGTGCCTCGGCCAGGCGCGATGGTTCACACCTGTAATCCCAGCACTTTGGGAGGCCGAGGCGGGTGGATCATTTAAGGTCAAGAGTTCAAGACTAGCCTGGCCAACATAGTGAAACCCCGTCTCTACTAAAAATACAAAAGATTAGCTGGGTGTGATGGTGCACACCTGTAATCCCAGCTACTTGGGAGGCTGAGACAGGAGAATTGCTTGAACCCTGGAGGTGGAGGTTGCAGTGAGCCAAGATCATGCCATTGCACTCCAGCCTGGGTGAGAGTGAGGCTTTGTCTCAAAAAAAAAAAAAAAAAAAAAAAGGCCCTGCCTCCTTTTCTAACCTGTTATCCTGCCTTAGTCCACCTTTGTCTTAGTCTATTCAGGCTGCTATAACAAAATACTTTACACTGGATAATTTATAAACAGCAGATATTTATTGCTCACAGTTCTGTAGGCTGAGAAGCCCAAAATCAAGATGTGGCAGATTCAGTGTCTTGGGAGTGCTCACTCTCTGCTTCCAACATGGTGCCTTCGTGGTGTGTCCTCACATGGTGGAAGGGTCAAAGAGGCTACCTCAGGTGCTCATCCTATTCATGAGGGCTCCACCCTCAAAACCAAATTACCTCCTAAAGCCCCAAATTCTTAATACTGTTGCATTGAGGATTAAGATTTCAACATACGAATTTGAGGGGACACAAGTTCAGATCATTGGAACCTTGAATTTCATTCTCTAACAGCATTGAACGGCTTGTCATTTCTTTGCTCACATCTGACTTCTACATCTTACAGTTGCATGTGCAGTATGGTAGCCACTACCCGCACGTGGCTATTTAAATTTAAGTTTAGGCCGGGCGTGGTGACTCACACCTGTATTCTCAGCACTTTGCGGGGAGGCCAAGGCAGGTGGATCACTTGAGCCCGGGAGTTTGAGACTAACTTGGGCAACATGGTGAAACGCCGTCTCTACCAAAAATACAAAAATTAGCCAGTCTCATAACCCAGTCTCTAAATAAATAATAGATTAAAATTTAAAAATAAAATTTAAAGTGCTGTATTAAAAATAAATTTGTTTGAATTCATTAAATTAAATTTAAAATTCAGCCTCTCGGTTGTCGTAGCTATATTCTAAGTACTCAGTGGCCACATGTGCTAGCAGCTACACCTTATTGGACAGTGCAGATATAGAAGATTTCCATCATAGAAAGTGCTGCTGGACAGTGCTACCTTACAGCCCTTTGTTTTAAGTAATCTCTATTTCATTTATAATCAGATTCAGAGACCAGCCTGAGTAACCAACGTAAGTAATCTCTGATTACTTAGGGTGGTCTCCTCTCACTGCCCACCTCTCTCTCTCCTTTCTTATCTATTTAAAGCATTCTTCTTCAAGATTTTTATCAGGTGCAAGAAACATTTTCAGCCAGTCCTGTTCATTCCCAATTTCAGGGTTCTAGCCCTCGAGTCTTCCTTTTTTTTTTTTTGAGACAGAGTCTCACTCTGTTGCCCAGGCTAGAGTGCAGTGGCACAATCTTGGCTCATGGCAACCTCTGCCTCCCAGGTTCAAGTGACTCTAATGCCTCAGCCTCCTGAGTAGCTGGGATTACAGGTGTGTACCACCATTACCAGCTAATTTTTTGTATTTTTAGTAGAGATGGGGTTTCGCTGTGTTGGCCAGGTTGGTGTCAAACTCCTGGGCTCAAGTGATCTTCCTGCCTCAGCCTCCCAGAGTGCTGGGATTACAGGCATGAGCCACCATGCACAGCCTCTGTCATTTTGGCATTATGCCTTTATTATTGACACTTTACTGTGTGAAAATTTAGGTTTCCATATATGTCTTCTCTTCTGACTGTACACTTTTGAAATTTCACCTCCTAAATATTTCTTCAACCCATCTACTTCACTCTAAATATAGTAGAAATGGTACAGGCTTAGGAGTCAAGCAGGTCTCATTTTGAATTCTAGCCCCTCCACTTACAATCTTTGTGACCCTAGACAGCTTTAATCTTGTTGAGCCTTAGTTTCCTAATGCATAAAATAAGAATGATAGGCCGGGCGCGGTGGTTCACGCCTGTAATCCCAGCCCTTTGGGAGGCTGAGGCGGGTGGATCACCTGAGGTTGGGAGTTTGAGACCAGCCTGACCAACATGGAGAAACCCCATCTCTACTAAAAATACAAAATTAGCTGAGCATGATGGCACATGCCTGTAATCCCAGCTACTCGGGAGGCTGAGGCTGGAGAATCGCTTAAACCTGGGAGACAGAGGTTGTGGTGAGCCAAGATCGTGCCATTGCCCTCCAGCCTGGGCAACAAGAGCAAGACTCCGTCTCAAAAAAAAAAAAAAAGTGGTAAACTAGGCATTCAGCTTTACAATTAGAGGCCATATATATCATCAGAAAACAATAGTAAATGTTATTTATTTTTACCGTTTTTTTTTAAACAGAGGCTTGCTCTGTCACCCAGGCTGGAGTGCAGTGGCGCGATGTCGGCTCACTGCAACCTCCGCCTCCCAGATTCAAGCGAGTCTCCTGCCTCAGCCTCCCAAATAGCTGGGACTACAGGCACGAGCCATCATTCACGGCTAATTTCTGTATTTTTAGTAGAGACGGGGTTTCACCATGTTGGCCAGGCTGGTCTCAAACTCTTGACCTCAAGTGATCTACCCACCTTGGCCTCCCAAAGTGCTGGGATTACAGGCATGAGCCGCTGCACCCGGCCTAATTGTGTTTTATCTTCTATTTCTAATGCTTTCATTGTACTCTTTTGACTCAACTTTAAGATCTTTTGTGTCCAAGCACTATCTTAACATCAAACCTTTTAACCATGCAGTTTCCCATTATTCTGTTTTTTCCCCCGCTGCAGAGGAAGATTTCTTTACTGTCCCATTAACATTTCACGCTCAGTCCTGTCTCCGAGTTTTTACATATATTGTATCCCCGATCAGGAACTCCTTTCCCCTGTTCTACATGATCCACCTGCCTATCCTTTGGGATCCAGCCCAGATCTCATCTTCATGAAGTTTTTCCTGATTATTTTAATTTTCAGAATCTAACTATTCTGTACCTCATAATTTATAAATTATGTTATCTTTGCTTTAGTGCGTATGTATAATTATACATTGTCTTTCTGTGTTACTATGTAATATTTTTAACATTATGGTTTCTTGTTTTCTATTTGTGTTAATGTTATTTTCTAAGAATAGATATTATGCTCTTTATTTCCTCTTTGGCAGTGCTGAGCACATGATAAATCTTCAATAAATGTTTGTTTCTTAAATAATATGATAAATAGACTGGCAGACATGCATGACAGCATATGATGGTAATTTTTGTAGGAATTTGTTTGGCTCATAAATTTGTTCACTGCTGATTGATTCATTTTGCATAGTTTGAAGAAGAGCCTTCCATTCTCACACTTGCTTTTTTCCAGAGATTAGTCATTATGTATTGAGCTTCTAGAAGGAGTATTGTAATGGACACAGTAGCTCCCTCATTACCAGTTTGTTCCTCAGAAATATCTCTCTGTTACCCTTTTTCCAGACTCTTCAAGATAAAAGGAAATCCTATCATGTTGTTGTTGATAATGATGGGGTGATACAAGAATTTGTTAATTATAATAGCCCTATGAGAATAAGTAGTTCATTTGCTTGGCTATTCTGTAGTGTGTGAGCATCACATCTTAGTATTTAGCATTGTAATGAACTATATTAGGAGATATAAAAGACATACCTGTACCTCAAAGAACATGCTGGTAGATACAAATCCAAGTTATTTAATAAATCACTAAAAATCCTGTGAATCTTGGTTAAGGACCCCACTAGTCTCATTCATACACACACTTGAGAAATTCAGAAAGCTAAATATTTCTGCTGGGTGTGGTGGCAGGGACCTGTAGTCCCAGCTACTTGGCAAGCTGAGGCAGGAGAATTGCTTGAGGCCAGGATGCTGTAGCGTGCTGTGGTCATGCCTGCAAATAGCCACTGCACTCCAGCCTGGGCAACATAGTGAGACTCCATTTCTTTAAAAAGAAAGAAAGATGACTACCTCTAATTTAAAATTCCAACTTTGATGGTAAACTTTTAGCCATGGCACAGCTGAAAATTTTATTACTATATAAGATGGGAAAATCCCTTGCCACATGCTGTATTTATAAAGTTGTGAGATTATGATTTCTTTGACACCAGTACTGATTTAGCCTATTGTTTTTACAAAGAAATAGTCCTGAGGGAGCACAAGAGGAAGCCCTAGTTTTAATCAAGTAGAGAAGTTATTTATTGTTGGTCCCTGTTTAAAAAATAATAATCCTACAAAGTAAAGTTTTTAAAGAAAATAAATATTACATTTTAATTATAATAACTAGTGAGAAAAGAATTCTTCATAAATTTATAGCAACAAATACTTGGGGGAACAAACATTTATTCAATATATGAATATAAGAATGATAATATTAGTTATTGAGGGAGGTAGGGACAGGTTTGGGAGGGAAAGTCACGAGGTTTATTTTGAACACATTAAGTTTGAGATGCCTATTAAAAGTCCAAGTGGATATGTCAAGTAGATCAATTAAGAAATCATAGGAAAAAGATTGGGATATCTTTTCCCAACCTTTGGGAGGCCAAGGTGGGCAGATCACCTGAGGTCAGGAGTTTAAGACCAGCCTGGACACATGGTGAAACCCCATCTCTACTAAAATAGAAAAATTAGCTGGGTATGGTGGCACACACCTGTAATCCCAGTACTCGGGAGACTGAGGCAGGAAAATTGCTTGAGCCCAGGAGGTGGAACTTGCAGTGAGCCGAGATTGCACCACTGCACTCCAGCCTGGGCAACAGAGCGAAACTCCATCTCAAAAAAAAAAAAAAAAAAAAAAAAAACAAAAAAAACCAGTGATTTCAGTGTTTCAACAGATAGTATCTAAAGCAATGGGACTGATTGACATCGCCCAGGAGCAGTACAGTAAGGGGAGAAAAAAACTAGGTTCAGTCTTTGTTAATGTTCTTAACATTTAGAGGTCAGATAAGGAGAAGCTGATAGAAGAACTGGCTAAAAATGTAGGAGGAAAATAACAGGGTTTCTTAAAAGTTGAGAGTGTTTCAAGGAGGGAATTATCAGCTATGTTAAAGATTGAGTAATTAGCCAGGCATAGCTGTGCATGCCTGTAGTCCCAGCTGAGGTAGAAGGATCTCTTGAACTCAGGGAGGTTAAGGCTGCAGTGAGCTATGATGGCATCACTGCATTCCAGCCTGGGTGACAGAGCAAGACCCAGTCTCTTAAAAAATAACAATAAAAAAAATTAGAAAACAGGAGGTGTCTGCTGGATTTGGCAGCATGAACGTCATTGATGGCCTTCATAAAAGCAGTTTTAGTGGAGAGTACTGAGAACCGATGCCAGATTGGAGTGGGCTAAAGATAAGTGGATCAAGAGGAAACAAGCAACTCCTGAGAAGTTTTGTGGTCAAGAGGAAAGAAATGGGCCAAGGGTTGGAGACCACAGTGACAGGACAGTTTTTTCCCCTTAGTCTGGGATTGTAGATTGTATAGAGCCTGTTTACATACGTGTATTCATGGGAGTGAGCTAGTAGTTAGTCATAAACCTGCAGATATCAGAGCTTTGTGATGTTAAAAAAGATATTTATACTTTTTTAAGTCCCTGCAGAATCAACTATATACTTTTTACTTTTTTTTTTTGAGATGGAGTCTCTGTTACCCAGGCTGGAGTTCGATCTTGGCTGACTGCAACCTCCACCTCCCAGGTTCAAGCGATTCTCCCCCCTCAGCCTCCCGAGTAGCTGGGATTACAGGCATGCGCCACCACTCCCGGCTTATTTTGTATTTTGCATTTTTCACTGTGTTAGCCAGGCTGTTCTTGAATTCCTGACCTTAAGTGATCTGCCCACCTTGGCCTCCCAAAGTGCTGGGATTACAAGCATGAACCACCATGCCCACCCCTGTACTTTTCTTTATAATGGATTTAACATTTCAGCAATGCATTGGGTTTTTTTGTTTGTTTGTTTTGTTTTCTGTTTTTTGTGTTTTTTTGAAACTGGGTCTCTGTCACTCAGGGCTGGAGTGCAGTGGCGCGGGCTACCCAGGGCTCACTGCAGTCTCTACCTTCCAGGCTCAGGTGACCCTCCCACCTTAGCCTCCTGAGTAGCTGGGACTACAGGTGCATGCCACCATGCCTGGCTAATTTTTTTTTTTTTTTAGATGAGGTATCATTCTGTAGCCCAGGCTGGAGTGCAGTGACACAATCACGGCTCACTGCAACCTCAATCTCCTGGGGTCAAGCAGTCCTCCCACCTCTCAGCCTCCTGAGTAGCTGGGACTATAGATGTCTGCTATTATACCCAGCTAATTTTTGTGTTTTTTATAGAGATGGGGTTTTGCCATGTTGGCCAGGCTGGTCTCGAATTCCTGGTATCAAGTGATCCTCCCTCCTCGGCCTTCCACTATGCTAGGATTACAGGCGTGAACCACTGCACCCAGCCTGGATTGCTTTTTATTAATGAAGAAGAGTTCAGTGCATTCTGTCTAGTGATAAATACATATTGCTAGATAAAATTGTGTTAATTGTAAGCATTTTTAGAAGCTATCTGGGTGCTAAAACAATGTAAGAATTCTGGTTGACCAAAATAGTAAATATTTTATTTAAATAATTAGAAAATACTGCAAAAATCAGTAATTAATTACATTTCAAAGTGTTCATTTTGCTGAGAAAATGAAATTATATAAGTAAAATGTGTCATAGCTAGTCAATAAACAAATTTTTATTAAGTACTTGGTATGTTCCAGGAACTGTCTTAGGTGCTGATGATACAGGAATGAAACAGTCTCTGCCCTCAAGGAATGCTGACATTTTAGGAGGTTGGGGAAAGGCAACAAGCACATACTAAGGAAATCTTTATGTGCTGAAATGTACTATGGAGAAAATAAATTGGAATAATGTAGCAGAGAATGACTGGGATAAATACTTTCGCTAAGTTGTCAAGAAAAGCCTCTTTGAGCTAAGATTATATAATGGGTGGAGGAGATTCAAGTCAGAGAAAAGAAAAAGTGCACATGTTCTGAGGTAGGATTGTGTTTGGCTGGTAAAAGGAAGATAAAAAGGTCTTGTGGCTGAAAGATGGAGTAATCTGGCAATAGAATGGAAGGAGCTGTTCAGAGACTTAGTTGGCATGAGATTATTTGAGCCTTGTTGATTAGGGTAAAGAAGTTGGATTTGGGTTTATTTATTTATTATTTTATTTTATTTTGTTTCCTTCCTTCCTTTCTTCCTCTCTCTCTCTCTCTCTTCTTTTCCTTTCCTTCTTTCTTTTTGTTCATTCATTCATTCTTTTCTTTTCTCTTCTTTAGAGACAAGGTCTCACTCTCTCCAGACCAGAGCACCGTGGTGCTGTCATAGCTCACTGGAGCCTCAAATTCCTAGGTTCAAGTGATCCTCCTCCCTCAGCCTCTCAAGTAGTTAAGACAGGACTAAGGATTTCTTCTTTCTTTCTTTCTTTCTTTCTTTCTTTTTTTTTTTTTTTTTGAGACAGAGTCTCGCTCGCTCTGTCACCAGGCAATCTTGGCTCACTGCAACCTTCGCCTCCCGGGTTCAAGCAATTCTCCTGCCTCAGCCTCCCAAGTACCTGAGACTACAGGTGCATGCCACCATGCCCAGCTAATTTTTGTATTTTTAGTAGAGATGGGGTTTCACCATGTTGGCCAGGATGGTCTCGATCTCTTGACCTCATGATCCAGGAGGCCTGCCTTGGCCTCCCAAAGTGATGGGATTACAGGTGTGAGCCACCTTGCCCTGCTTCTTTTTTTTTTTTTTTTTTTTTTTGGAGACCAGGTCTCACTTCATCCAGGCTGAAGTGTAGTGGCATAATCACAGCTCACTGCTGCCTTGACCTCCAGGGCTCAAGTGATCCTCCCAGCTCAGCCGCCCGAGTAGCTGGGACTATAGGTGCACCACCATGCCCAGCTAATTCTTGTATTTTTTGTAGAGATGTAGTTTCACCATGTTGTCTAAGCTGATGTTGAGCTCCTGGCCTCAAGTGATCCTCCCATCTTGGTCTCCCAAAGTGCTGAGATTACAGGCATGAACCATCACACCTGGCCAGGTTGTTTGCTTAATGTGAATTCATTGAAGGGTTTAATCAAGGAAGGGGCATTATTAGATTTATGCTTAGAAAGATCAGTCAGGGTTAGGCACAGTGGCTCATACTTGAAATCCTATCACTTTGGGAGGTTGAGGTGGGAGGATCCCTTGAAGCCAGGAGTTCAAGACCAGCCTGGGCAACATGGCAAGACCCCGTCTCTACAAAAAATTGAAAAAAAAAATAGATCAGTATGGATGCTGTGTGGAATGGAAGCAAGAAGACTCATTCAGAGTCATCTACAGTAGTACAAGTGGGAGATTATGAGATTTCAGACTAAAGTTGTAGCAGCAGAGATAGTAGGATATGTGTTAGATTTAGGTTATATTTGGGAGCCAATGCTGACAGGATGTACTGATGGGTTGGATGTGGGGTGCTGATGGATTGCATATGGGATGTAAGGGAAATGGAATCGTCAAATTCAGCAGAAACATTTGTTAAATACCTGTCGTTACGTGGGGTTATATTAGATAACAAATATACCAATTGATTTAAACAGCTATGGCCCTTCTTCTTGGACTGTAATTTTTCATCACTTCTTCCCATTTTGGTGGATGGTTTTTGTTTTTTTTTTTTAGATGGAGTCTTGCTCTGTCACCCAGGCTGGAGTGCAGTGGCACGATCTCAGCTCACTGCAACCTCCACCTCCCGGGTTCATGCCATTCTCCGGCCTCAGCCTCCCGAGTAGCTGGGACCACAGGCACCCGCCACCACGCCCGGTTAATTTTTTGTATTTTTAGTGGAGACGGGGTTTCACCGTGTCAGCCAGGATGGTCTCAATCTCCTGACCTCGTGATCTGCCCGCCTCGGACTCCCAAAGTGCTGGGATTACAGGCATGAGCCACCACGCCCGGCTGGTGGATGTTTTTTAAACCACCTAAATGATATCATAATTTTCATTCTAGCTTTTAAAATAATGTATTTTTAAATAATGTGTTTTTAAAGATTTTGATTGCAAAATGAAAGAAACAAGGATAAGTTGTGCTAATTCCAATAAAGTATGGAGGCCATGGTTTTAGCAACATTCCTGGATCTCCTCTTGCTTAAGTGTCCAGCTCCTGGCACACGGAAACATCCCACATTAAATCTTCCTTAGGTCTGAATCACCCCATATCTTTGACTGATGTCTTGTTTTGCTACCTTCCTGATGCTGAGTTCACTTTTAGTGCCCATTTGTTCACCCTCACCTCTATTTTCAGATTATATTCTGTTTGCCTTCTCTACCATGATACAGTGATTCTATCAGATAATCATAAAACACTTCCTTCAGTAAGTCCTGGGACACTTTTACCCCCATATCTCCCTACCTTCCCAGAAAGTCTTGAGACTTACTGAAGAAAGAAATCTTTGCCAAGGAGAACCAGGTATAGAAGCATGGTTACTAAAGATGAAATGCATAGCTGAGCACTTGTTCACAAGGGGAAATGGACTCAAAACTTTTCCTGCAGAAAATTCTGACTTTGCCTGCAGGTGTCTCCCTCCTCGTTAAGATGGCCTTCTATCAAAGCAAGAGTCCTGATTGGGAACCCCAATTTCCATTATATTAGTAGATGATCAGCTTTACCACCTGCTGGTCTAACTTCTAATACTTGTGGTTCTGTTCTTAATCAACAATATAGAATACTTGTACACTCCAAGGATCAGCAAACTTTCTGTAAAAGGTCAGATGATAAGTATTTTAGTCTTTGTTAGCCATGTGACCCCTGCCCCAACCACCCAGCTCTGCTGCTGTAGCGCAAAAGCAGCCATTGACAGTGTGAAAATGAGTGGAAATGACCGTATTCTAATAAAACTTTGCAAAAATGAGCAGCAGGCAGGATTCAGCCTGTGGGCCATTATTTGCTATCCCCTTCTCTAGCCTTTGTTAGACAAACTGTTAGTCTGTTCAGCTATCATCAAAAGCTGGGCTGAGAAAAGTGCTATTTATGGAATATGATAAGAAGGGCCCACTGTATGCAGTGGATCTAGAGCAGATTATAGATCTACTCTAAGTAATCTAAGTTATAAGAATCACTTTCTGGATCTGATTCCCTCATTTGTTTGTTAAAATTCTTTTTTTTCTTTTTGTATTAGGCAGGTAGACCTACTGCTGTAAGTCTGCTTTGTCTACAGTAGAAATGCCAAATAGGCTGGCATGGTGACTCATGCCTGTAATCCCACCTCTTTGGCAAGAGGATTCCTTGAGCCCAGGACTTCAAGGTTATAGTGAGCTATGATGCACTCCAGCCTAGGTGACAGAGTGAGACCCTGTCCCAGAAAGAAAATGCCCAGTAGGAAGAATGGCCTCCTATAGCTCCTGATTTCAAGGAAAGGGTGTCTCAATTCTAACGACCAATGAGGATTAGCTACATGGAAAAATACAAGCAGTGGATAAAGACAAGCTATTGAGCAAAACATGATAGAAATTCTCAGAAAGGCTTATCTTTGCTCTTTCTTGCCTCTTTATGTATCATTCTAGTCTCCAATTTTATTCAACTAATAGTTATTAAATGTCTGTTACGTGCAAGGCATGGTGCTATGCATTGTCTCCTGCGAATATCCTTCTATTAGAAAAAAATGCCTGATATAAATGATTGGTATCTGTTTTCCTGCCATATATAGTCCATTCCCTGGCATGTAGGAGATGCTCAATAAATATTTGTGGCTAAATTAATATCTCACATTATAAATCAATAAATTTCTTTTTTTTGGTAAATTGCTCTCCTGTGAATTCCATTATCATGCATCAGTGGATGAATTTTTAAATAAAACAAGCCATAGCTGATGTCTAACTGTGAGCCCAAGGTGATTCCAGATAGCCTGGGATGTCTAATGATTTTAACAAGATTACCAAATATCTTTTTCTTTCTCGTAGTGCCACATCCAGCACTTTAAGTTAAATAAATGCAATATAGGGATTTAGGAGAAAAGAAGTGAGGGCTAGAAACAGGCAACTATTTGCTGGCTAACAAAGCAGAACTTATATTTCTTTTTGAACACCTACTAAGTTCTTGTTTCTGATGTTGCACTAGAACTTTTTAAATGGAAATACTGTGAAATTGTAGTTATTTATATTTACAGATGCAAAACTGAATTGAAGAGAGATTAAGTAATTTATTTGAGGGAAGCCCTGATTGTCTCACTGTCTCTTTGTATCAGAAATAAAGTTGTGGTTTAGGAGACTGATAGTTAGCCTGGTGTCCTATTTCTTTCGTCTTAAGTAAGATTGTATATTCACTTGTATTATTTGTCATTTTCTCCCAATTGAGCGACTTCATTATTGTACCAGATGAACATGACTTTGTAAATAAGTCTTCATTCATTTTAAGCAGTAGTCATTTTTTATTTCACTGTAATCTATCTTTCTGAGATGCCAGCAATGACCTTTTAACCCCAGTTAGTATCAACTATCAATGTAAGCACATTTGACTGAAGAAACTAATTTTTAACTCTCTTATGTGCCAGGTACCATGTTGTTATCATCATCATTGCTAAGATTTATTGAATAAATACTAAGTGCCAGGCATTTACGTACGTTCTCTTATGTATTCCTCACAATACTCTGTGAGGAAGATCCCATTACTGTCCTCAGGGTGACTTTAGTGAGGAAACTAAAACTTGTGGGTAAGGTTAAATGTTTTGTAAAGTATCAGAGCAAGCTATGATATGAATTCAGTCTATCTAACACATTTACTTTTCACATCTCATTTAATCTCCCCAAAATGCTTCATGGTAGACTTATATTATAGCTGAGGTTATTACGAAAATAATAAATTGTACTAAACTAAGAAATGACCATATGCAGTGTTTTCCAAGCCTCTTTTAAAACCACGTTCTACAATGGAACATGCGTTTTACATTCCAGTCCAATATACAGGTACACATGTGTGTGACAGAAACAAAAATTGTGCCCTGTGATTTTTTTACTATCCTCTTTTTCATAATGGATCATGGCCTATAGCGTGAAAAGTGATGATATAATGTGATTCTGTCTTCAGTATATATTTTTAGTATGACAGTATGATATACAGTAAGCCAGAGTTTCTTCTCACTTTTTCTAGCCATTCCGTTCATTAACTTATTTAAAAATTACAAACATATCAAGTGTTTATTATGTCTCAGGTACAGTTCTAGTTCCCAGGACATACAAAGATGAGAATGATTCCGTCCTTGCCCTTGGATTCAAATGGGCAAGACAGACAAAATTATAATAACTTGTGGTAAGTCCTGTGCTATCTGTGTGAACAATGTGCTGTGGAAACAGGAGCAAGCAGCTGATTGCCCCAGTGGATATCTAAGAAAGGCTTCATTAAGGAGTGACTTATGAAATAGGTCATATGGAATGAATGAGAATATCCCAGGCATAAGAGAGAAGGGCATTCCTGACAGAATGAACTGCATATGCAAAGTCAGGGAGGTTTGAAAGCGTTGAACTTGTTCCAGCAACAGTAAGAAAGAAGTTTAGTGTAGCAAGAGTATAGGTATATATAGAGAAGTGAGGTGGAGCCCATTGAAGACCTATGCACCTTGCTAAGGAGGTTAGACTTTCTTCTTATATGGTGAGAAGCCCAGAGAGGTTCCGAATCTAGGATATGTAAGATAGGATATATGTGCTTTAGGATGACCATTCTGTCGGCTGTTTAAAGGATGGTGTGAAGAAAAGAGAGATTAGAGTTAGGAAATCCTTTGCATTGCTTCAAATGGGAAATAAGGACTTCAACTAAGACAGGAGTGATGGGTATGGAAAAGATGGTCTAGATTCCAGAGCTCAATTCCATTCAGTTTGTGGAACATTTACTGACATTTACCATATAGCAGGCTGCTAAACACTGTGATACAAAAAAAAAAAAAAAAAAAAAAAAAAAGAACAAGAACTGGTCTCTGATCTTGAGTTTTCTGTCTAGTGGGGAACAAAGACACACCAACAGGTCACTTCAGTATGATAATGGTTAAGTGTCATAATAAATAAAGGCTTGCAAAAGGTATGAAAGGAGCAAAGATGGGTTCATAACCTACACTAAGGTTCATAAAGCCTTCCTGAGAGGGAAACTTCCAAGCAGAATCAAGGAGAATGAATGGGAGCTGGCCAAGGGAAGCAAAGGGCAAGGACGTTGCAGGCAGAGGGCTGGGGAGAGTCTGCCTGAGGGTCAGGGAACCACCAGGAACTGCACGGAGTCTCTTGCTGCTTACCTCCATGTGGATGAGGAGTGACACGAAGGAGCCTGAGGTTGGAGTGGAAAGTTCACCTGTGTTCCTGTAGTGGAACTTGGGGATTCATATGGAGCCTCTAAGAAATGCTAAGGAAGCTTGGACTTTATCCTGTTGATGGTGGGGAGCCCACTGAAGTGTTTTAAAACATGAGGATGATGTGGGCAGCCTTGTGGCTTAGGTGGTTTATTCTGATAACGGATGAGATAATAGTAGCTCACTTTTCGTTGAATGCTTATAATGTGCCAAGCTGTGTTGTAAGCATTATGCATGTATCGCCTTGTTGAAACAACCCTGCTATTATTAGCCTCATTTCACAGGGAGGTTACTGACACACAGAGAGATTAAGTAACTTGCTCAGATTTACACAGGCAGTGGCAGAATGAGGACTTAATCCGCAGTGATCTGACTCTAACCCACAGTGATACTGCTAGGTAGGTAGATGTGAGAGAGTGGCTGGACTCTAGGGAAGAGAGGATGATGAGCTACTCTGCGGTAACAGAGAGAAGGTCACTGATGAGTCAGCTTGGGCTGCCACAGCAAAATACCACAGACTGGGCGGTGCAAGCAACAGAAATTTTCTCACAGCTCTGGAGGCTGGAAGTCCTCCAGGTGCTATCAGGATTGGGTTTTGGTGAGGACGCTCTTCTGGGCTATATATGGCCTTTTTTTTTTTTTTTTTTAAAGAGACTGGGTCTCATGCTGTCACCCAGGCTGGAGTGCAGAGGTGTGATCATAGCTTGCTGCAGCCTCAAATTCCTGGGCTCAAGCCATCCTCCTGCCTCAGCCTCCTGAGGAGCTGGGACCACAGGTGTGTACCACTGTGTCTGACTATTTTATTTTCTTGTAGAGATGGAGTCTCACTCTGTTGCCCAGGCTGGTCTCAGACTCCTCTCCTTGAGTGATCTTCCCACCTCAGCCTCCCAAAATACTGGGATTACAGGTGTGAGCCCCTGTGCCCAGCTCTAGTCTCTTCTTATAAGGACACTGATCCTATCAGATCAGGGCTCCACCTTTGACCTCACTGAACCTTAATTACTCCTTAGAGGTCACGTCTCTAAATACAGTCACATCAGGGATTAGGACATATGAATTTGGGGGAACACAAATATTCAGTCCATGACAGCGACAATTCTGGAGAGTATTTGAAGATAAAATCAGCACAAGTTGGTAATCGATTTGATGTGGGGAGTGAGGTGGAAGGAGGAGTTTAGGATGACTCTCAGGTTCTCACAAAGATGCAGAGGAGGGGCAAGCCTGTGGGGTGAATGAACAGCAGTTCGGTTGAGGTTACTGTAGTTCAGCACTTGGAAAGCTTCCAGGAGATAGTTGCGATGCTGATGTGGAGAGAGGCAGCGACGTGTGTGGATGGCAGTGGAAGCCACAGGCTGGGTCACATCACCTAGGGAAAACATGTAGAGTGAGAAGACATGTAGGACTGCCAAGATGGAAAAATATTTACGAGGCAAGCAGAAGAAAGCAAAGGGAGACTTAAGAAATAACATACCTTTATCCCTGAACCCAAAGGAAGAGAGAATTCCAGGCAACAGGGAGTGTTTGACACATTCTGCGGCCTCTTTGTATCAAATTTGTATTCTTAGGTGAGAAAAGGGAACAGGCTTAGAATCATAGCTTTTTATTGCCCAGTAGGACCAAAAGAGATGATTTTATAATTCTTTATTCTACAAACAAGGAAGCTGAAGCCCTGCAAAGCCTTGGGATTTGTCTCTTTCATGGTACAGGCAGGAGTAGAATTTAGGTCTCCCAAGCCATTTGACTTCAATCCAGCGCTTTTTACAATACATCAAATAAAATCCACCATTGTGGGGTTTGAAAATTGGGTCTATGTTATAAAAAAAATTACACTAAATGGAGAAAGAAGCATTCAAATTTTATTTGTATATGCATTTGGGGAGAGGAAGACATAGTATAGTATAGAAAATGTCAAAGACTTTGTCTCAGAGGAGAGAATACCAATGTTGGCCTTGATGGTGATGATGAGATTGACTAGTGGAAGAGGGCCTAGAGACAGGGATTCTGTCCTTACCATATTCACAGTGGAAATGGCATGTTACCAGCGGCTCCTGTTATGTCCTGAGCACACTTAAAACGAATTTTTTTTAGAGACAGGGTCTCACTCTGTTGCCCAGGCTGAGTGCAGTGGCTTACTGCAGCCTCAAACTCGTGAGCTCAAGGGATCTTCCTGCCTCAGCCCCTGGAATAGCTGGACTACAGGCAGGTGTCACCATGCACCTAAGCACACATTTTTAAATGTGACTCTGTCTTATGTTTTTTTCCTATCATTGACTAACCCCACATTAGATACATAGCAGTACTGTATTATTAGAAAATTAATTTTAAGTCAGTACCTTATTACAGGCTTGAAACTGACAAACTTCATTACTTGGGGAGAGGAGTGGGTTCTTTTACAGGATTTCAAAATTGCCTTCAGCCACGGAGACTCCCTTAAGTGAAAATTTCTGTCAGTAACAGACAGTTTATCTTAGAATTCAGTTAATGGAGTATGTATTGAGTATCTACTATAAATGAACCACGATGTTGAGCACTTCAGGAGGTATTAATGAATTGAACAGAGTCCCTATGTAAGACATGTATGGCCTGTTGCTAGAGTGAAGGAACAGCGTCATATGAACCTTTAGACTCACAAATATTTTAATGGGGTCAGCGTAGTCAATAGGGCCAGTACATCCTCATCAGTACTTACTGAAAATATGAGCTGACTTCGAGCTGTATTTCTCACTTTCAAATTTTAAAAAACACAAACTGAAGCAAGTTTAACCACCATCATGGTTTGTATGTTAATTGCTTTCTTGTTTTTACTAACTACATAAGCATGAACTTAATATAAAAGGCTACTATTTTTTCATTTTATAACTTTATGGCATGAAAATGTATACGCTGACACTTAAAATAATAAACATATGCACACCATGCAGATACTTTTACTCGGAGTTTATATTTTTGGTAGATTTTAATATATCAATTAAGATAAAATTATACAGAATAACTGATTCCCCAACAGACACATCTTTAGTACGAGGCCATTAATAGAATTTTTATGTAGTATATGCATATTACAAAGAGTACATTGTATGGAAAATAAACCAAGCTAGATTCCTGGATTCCTAGCATGGTTTATTTAATGCAAGTATTAAATTAAAAAGTCTGGTTAGCATGCAGTTAGCATCATAAAAAGAATTTCCACATATGACTATAGTAGTATACATTTCTGCAGTAAGGACAGCCCTCTACAAAATTATGAAGTATGTAGGTATCTTGGCACAACCCATAACATTTTTTATTCCAAATATGAGAATTCTTACCACTGAAGGCATTTCATGAAAAGTTGGATCCATAATTCTCCACTAGTCAAGACTTTCAGTAGAATGAGCACCTTATTACATTCATCTTTATTTTCCTATTTCCTAGCAGGGTCATGGAAATTAGCATATTCTCAATGAAAGTTGATAAATGAATGCATTCTGCTAAAAGTAAACATTGAGAAGAAATTTTTACCGTCGATTATGTTGCCATAGTGCTATTATCACAAGAGAATTCATTTAGCAACCATTTATTGAACATCATCTATGGTAGACAGTGTGTTAGCACTAGGAATACAGAACTTAATAAGATGAGCCTTCCAGCAGTGGGATTGGGCAACAGTGGATGCAAGAGGCAAAAGAACTTCAAACAGTTGTGATAAAGAGGAAAGATAGTAATGCTATCAGAGAAATATCTACAAACAAAATAGTGTTATGCTATTAGAAAAATACAGAGTGCTGTGGGAGCCCAGAAGAGAAATTAATTCCAGTTGGACGTAGGAGTGTTTGTCAGGATTTCATATGGGAAGTGGCTTTTGAGTTAAACTTTGAATATCTCACTGGCATCTTGGGCATCTCAAATCCACTGGGTCTATACTTGTGTTCATCATTTATTCATCATTTTCCCCTTCCACCCATTCATCCCCAGCTTGCATGTCTGATAGTCTTGAACATGATTATTGATATTGCCGTTCACTGCTGGGTCCTTCCTTTTAGAAAATGCTAGATTAGGCCGGGTGCGGTGGCTCACGCCTGTAATCCCAGCACTTTGGGAGGCTGAGTTGGGTAGATCACTTGAGACCAGGAGTTCCAGATCAGCCACGGCAACCTGGTGAAACCTCGTCTCTGCAAAAAATACCAAAAAAATTAGCTGGACGTGTTGGCGCATGCCTGTAGTCCCTGCTACTTGGGAGGCCGAGGTGGGAGGATCACCTAAGCCCATAAAGTTGAGGCTGCAGTGAGCCATGATCGTGCCATTGCACTCCCACCTGGGTGGCACAGTGAGACCCTTTCTCCAAAAAAAAAAAAAAAAAGAAAATGCTAGATTCATTTGACTCCTTTTCTTTCCTCTCCAGTATTTATTTGGTCACTTTAGTTATGTGAAGTTTTGAATAATTTCCAATTTTTTACAAATTATATGGTTTGTATGTAATGAAAAGCTTATCAAAAATGTTTCAGTTTATCAGTCTACTAATCAAATATTTTTAAACTTTTAAAATTATACACAGAAATGTGGTCCTATTTTGAAACAATTCTCTCATTTTTTTCACATTAAAAAGTTCAATTCTGATTTCTAAAAATCAGAAAATCATAAAGAATTTATTATGGAGAAGCTATCCTGGTGTACAATTATGACAGTATTTTTATTTTAAATGATACTGTCCTTCTAAGAATGTGTTTCTGTCAATTTGTCCTTATCTCTACAGAACCCTGAAATTGTAGCACTACTGTAGTGTTTCTAGAGAGTAATACGTTTCTGCTGCCATTTGGAGGAGCCTGCATCACAGAGTAATGAGTTGAGTCTGACTTACAAAGATGCCTCCTTTGCAATTCAGACCCCCCAGAAGAATTTGCAGTCAAATTCCTATAATTAATGAGTTGTGTCTTCTAGATTCCTTTAAGTACTACATCTAATGGAAGTTACAATTATAACTTAATTATTTTAAATAGTAGAGATTCTGATGGTGTGCTTACACCACTGAAACAAAAGATATTCTGAAAACTGAAAGTGAAACTGTCAGCCCTTGGCATCTGTAGTTAACAAACTACTCAAGAGTTTTGTTGCTAGATATCTAGATAATTGTGAGAATAAGCCAAGAGTGTGGGAGGCTTGCTTTGCTCTTCAGATGAAATGGCTTAAGTTTTGCCAAAATCCCTGAAGGGTAATCACGGTCTCTTTTAATCCCAAGTTTCAGATAATACCCACAAATAACTTATTCTTTAGAGTGGTCTTTGGAATTAGAGAAAGCAGAAATGTATTAAAATGTATTTCATTCACTTTGTTCCTGATCCTTACACCAGGGTCAACGGAGTCACTAAGAATTAGCAAAGTTCATTGGTAAGAGATTTACCCTTCTGATATCTTGCTCTGGTGAAATACTAGAAAAATGTCTTAAGAAGTAAAAGGCAGATGTGAGAGTTAAAGGAAATTTCAGTTAATTAGCAGAGTTGCATTAAAATAATCTTACCATGGATCATGAAGTCTTGAATTCTAAATTTGCCTTTGCTGGTATAATCCTAATTAGATATTTTACTTAATTTTTGAAATTTCATAATAAATAACCCAGCTTCTATCAACAAAATGAAGACTTTGCATTTAGAATTGCCTTCAAAATGCAATCAATTCCAATGTCATTACAAAATGTAACTGAACGGTCTCTGAGAGCTAAGTTGAACACTTTATCTCTGAGATGTCGTTGCATTCTATTGCAGTTATTTTCTGACATGTGTGGGGGAAGAAAGGTATTTCCTACTTTGAGCATTTATCAACACACTTACCCTGATACCCATGAACAGTCCCACCTCTGCCTGGCATTGTTTTATACTTGCTGTTGTCACATTCATTCTTCAAGTTTTAACTCAAAGTCAGTTCTTTGAAGTCATGCTTACTCTCCCATCATGAACTTGCAAAATTAGGCCTGAAGCTATTTTATTTGCTCCCAAGTAATATCTGCTATTCAGGTATATATCAACACAGAAATTGCCTCAGGTGTAGTCTCACAATGTAGACAACTGAGTTTATCATACACCAAATTTACTAAAAGCAAATATAAACATACTAATCCATTAAATTATTTTAATATATATACGAAACTCATTATAAGTGTAGGAACGTAAATATTATTATTATACTATAAAAATATAAAGTAATACTTCTAAAATACATATACTCTTCATTTGTTAATCTTCCTTAATCCTGAACTATTTTCATTTTCTGCTTAGGTAATCTTAGTTTTCTGTAGATTCAGATGGATTTAAATGTTTTTTGTAAACCTGCTTGTGGCTTCAAAACCACTAGGCACTATGCCAGCTATTAAAAGTAGATTTTTATTCTACAGCTTAATTGTCCATAATAAAACTTGGCCATTTAGGCTGGGTACGGTGGCTCACGCCTGTAATCCCAGCACTTTGGGAGGCTAAGGCGGGCAGATCACAAGGTCAGGAGTTCAAGACCAGCCTGGCCAGCATGGTGAAACCCCGTCTCTACTAAAAATAAAAAAAATTAGCCGGGCATGGTGGCACATGCCTGTAGTCCCAGCTACTTGGGAGGCTGAGGCAAGAGAATCACCTGAACCCGGGAGGCGGAGGTTGCAGTGAGCCAAGATTGCGCCACTGCACTCCAGCCTGGGCGAGAGAGCGAGACTCCATCTCGGAAAAAAAAAAAAAAAAAACCATTTTTTTGCTAATCCTGGAAGAGGACTTTCTCACACTCATATTACTTTTTTAAGTTGTCAAACTTTCTACATTGTTTCTTGTCTTACCAAAATCAAAATAAAACAATACAGAATAAAATGACTATATATATCACAAATTTTCTTGTGATTGTGCATTCCTAATCAGAATAAGATTTTTCTTCCACCTTCTAGCTACTCTTATTCTTTTAAATTTGAATTTATGAAAATATATGTAATGAATGCACACATTTATTCATGAGCCTGACTTTTGAACATGACTATTTTTAAAAGGCCTATGATACTATTTTTTGAGAATTGATTTATGTGAAAAATCTTACAAGAATATGAAAGTGAAAGCACATTAGGTAATATATTTAGAGAATTGCCTTTATTTAAGAAGAAGGAATTGCATGAAATTAGAACTCCCCCAGAAAATACAGAATATAGAACCATCATCTCTATGGAGTGTGGCCCTTATCTATTTAATGGTATCTTGGTAGAGTGCTTAACACAGGGGCACAAAAAGATGGCCATTTAATAATAGCTTTTAATAACCAGGAGATGAACTTCCTTTGATATGAAGAAGTAACCAACATTACGCTTTTATTCTCATTGTTCCTAAGGGTGTAGGAAGCAGAGCATTTAATACAGTGCTTAAACAAGAAAGCTGCACACAAAATCAGAAGTGTACCATGTAGAAAGATGATTTACAAAAGCTCAATTACATGAAGGATATGTAAGTAGACCCCTATGTGTCAGCGTGTGGATGCAAATTGATAAACACTTACTGAAATTGCTTGTCAGAAAGCTAAGCGATCATAAAGATGCAGAAGTTCAAAGTGAAAAAGTCATCTTAGACTAAGTAAAATGAGAATCCCGTTATGCATTAAGGCAGTTTTGCAATACCTAAAAGTTTTCACTAGCATTTGGAAAGTCATAAGTGAATTTTGTAGAGAATGAGAACTTGAATCATTATTACTTTCTTTCTTCTTTATTTTTAATAGAGAAAAGGTCTCGCTATGTTGACCAGGCTGGGCTTAAACTCCTGGCCTCAAGTGATCCACCCATCTTGGCCTTCCAAAGTGCTGGGAGTAACAGGCATGAGCCATTAGTGTACTTGTTTAAGCAGAGCGAGGCTTCCAGGCAATGCCTCAGACTTCTTTTTCCCTCCTACTCTCTCGTGAGTCATCAAAACCAGTGTGCTGTCCTTCACTTACAAAGAAATCGCTGTTGACCCATCAAGGGGGAATGCACTGGGTTTGTAATAATCTGTTCTGCTTTCTCTCGTCTTCCTCCTACCAAAGCCCATGCATTTACAAACTTCTAGGCAGGCTAGGGAACTGTTGCTGCTGGCTGTAGATCAGGATTGGCATCACCAGACCTAGAGATAAAATGCACGACCTCTAGCCTCATGAACACAAGCACTGATTCAGGTTATAAAGTATTTACATTTGATTTTGGTGTCTTAAAGCCTTCTTATTTACATTTTTTATCTAATCTTCCCACCTCTACAGTTTTCTGCTGCCTAGTAACTTATACTTCTGCTCTTTATCCATGAGAGCGCACTCTGGGAAAGGTGATATAGGAAAGAAGTTGATGTGATTAAGAGCAGGGGCTTTGGAAATCAGACTGAGTAGCTCGAGGCCTGGTTCTGCTACTTAGTAAATATGTCATCTCAGACAAGTGACGCACTTATGAACATTGTCTTCTCAGTGTTCTCATCTATAAAATGGGGATAATGCCTACCTCCCAGAATCCTGTAGAGGTTAAACAAGGTAATGTATTTAAGGTGCCTAGTACACTGCCTAGCATATACAAATGCATACTAGACAGCCAAAATGAAAAAGGAACTAGGCTTGTTTACACTAAGACTGGTGCATTTAACACAGGGATAATGTCTTAGCCCACAAAAATTCACTTTTTTGACAGGATATAAAGACATAATCTCTAGTTATGGAATGAGAAACAGTACACAGTTGGTGGAAAGAGGCCAAGTTTGAAATGGGCCTGTCCGAGCACTTTTATAATCATATAATTCATAGGTACATGCCTGTGTTGCTTAATGCAGAACTACAGACCTTTAACAACTTCTTTTTGCTACGTAAGACTTGGCTGTGTCCTAGGATGAAGGAGTCTAGCTCTGTCACCCAGGCTGGAGTGCAGTGGCATTCACTACAACCTCCACTTCCTGGGTTCAAGCGATTCTTCTGCCTCAGCCTCCTGAGTAACTGGGATTACAGATGCACACCACCATGCCCAACTAATTTTTATTTTTAATAGAGATGGGGTTTCACCATGTTGGCCTGGTTGGTCTCAAACTCCTGACCTCAAGTGATCTCCCCGCCTTAGCCTCCCAAAGTGCTGGGGTTATAGGTCTGAGCCACCACGCCTGGCCCTATTTTTATTTTTTTATACTGTGTATTAGAGTCCTAATACTGCCATTGCCATAACAAATGACACACAAACTTGGTGGCTTAAAACAACAGAAATTGATTCTTCACAGTCCTGGAGGCCAGAAGTTCTGGAGGCTGTGAGGGAGAAATCATCCCATGCATCTCTCCTGGCTTCTGGTTGTAGACAGTCCTTGGCATTCCTTGACTTGTAACTGCATCTATGCTTCCTGCTTCACAAGGCCCTCCCCTCTGTGTCTGTCTCACAGTTCCCTCTACCTTTCTTTTGTAAGGACAAATGTCATTGGATTTAGGGTCCATCCTAAATCAGGATGATCTTATCTCAAGATTCTTTATTACATTTACAAAGACCTTTTTTTCTTTTCTCCTGAGACAGGGAGTCTGACTCTGTCACCCAGGCTGGAGTGGGGTGACATGATCATAGCTCACTGCAGCCTTGAACTCCTTGGGCTTGAGCAGTCCTTCTGCCTCAGCCTCTCAAGTAGCTGGAACTTCAGGTGCATGCCACCACACCTAGCTAATTTTTTATTGCTTATAGAGACGGGGGTCTCAATATGTTGCCTGGGCTGTTCTTGAACTCCTGGGCTCCAACGATTCTCCCACCTTGGCTTCTCAAAGTTCTGGGACTACACATGCACACCACTGCACCTGGCCCCATTTTTCCAAATAAGGTTACATCCACAGTTTCCAGGGTTAACACATGGACATATCTTTTTGGGGGACCACCATTTGGCCCACTACACACTAGGTAAGAGAGAAGAACCAGAATCTGGAAAAATGGGAGGATGAGCTGGTATGGGAGACTATACATCCTGGAAGATTCCACCCAGGGGGAACACTAGAGCTTCACTGCCCGTATGTTGTCATGGGACCATTGAAATTAATTTTCTAGGTACAATTAATCAACTGCCCAATGGACGAGTCTTCATCTTTAGCTGCAGGAGCACAGCAGTTGGGATTTGCCTAATTGTCTTCTTCAAGTGTGTCAATGCTGTTTAGTTCCCAGGACTTGCTAACTACATTTGGGTAAAGAGCAAGCAAGAGAGCTAGAAGTTCCTTCATGTGGTGTGGGCCTGGGAGCCGTGATGGAGTGTTCTAACAAGAAAGAGCTGTAGAAGATTTCAGCAGCTATCAGTATGTTAGCCCCTCAGTTGCCTCACCACCAGCACCCTCTTTTCAGCAGGCATTTACTGGGCCTCAAGTGTGTGTGATTAGAAATTTGGTTAACAGGCTGGGCGCAGTGGTTCATGCCTGCAATCCCAGCACTTTGGGAGGCCGAGGCGGGCGGATCACGAGGTCAGGAGTTTAAGACTAGCCCGGCCAACATGGTGAAACCCCATCTCTACTAAAAGTACAAAAAAATTAGCTGGGTGTGGGGGTGCACACCTGTAATCCCAGCTACTCGGGAGACTGAGGCAGGAGAATTGCTTGAACCAGTACCCAGGAGGCGGAGGTTGCAGTGAACCAAGATCATGCCACTGCACTCCAGCCTGGTGACAGAGTGAGATTCATTCTCAAAAAAAAAAAAAAAAAAATTTGGTTAACAAGTGAAATCAGTGGTTAACAAGTTTTAAAATAAGGTTATATTCTGGACATTTTTGGTTTTTCTTTGAATGGAGCACTGGAAATTGACTACAGGGGCTGAAAAAGGAAAGACTAAAGAAATCATCTAATTTTATTCACCACAGTAGTTTGACTTGTGACCACAGAAAGAACAGTGCTAATACCAGGGCAATTTGCCTGATTCTTGAAACTAGTAACTGTGCCTAAAATAGTTTGGAATGGTAGTTAGCTCGAGAAAATCCAGAGTGGTAGAGAACTGTGACTTTAGGATAAATTTTTCTACCAACTTGCATAGCAAGCTCCCCACCAAAGCAGTGAGTATTGCACAAATTTTTTTAAATCAAAACTCGTGTTCATCAAATCTCTAAACCAAGATATCCTCCACATTAGTTACTACATGATTCCTTTTCGCATTTGTGGTTCTTATCACAGTTTCTATTTAGGTGATGTTTAATTAGCCAATTATTTCAAATATTTCATCACTGCTTACCTTTTAAGGTGCTTTAATTGATTTTTATAAAGACCAAAATTTTGAGGAAGCAAATGACATGATCTAAATGCTGGCTTGGGTGGGTACAATCTCTTTGTTATATAGAATAACTTCTTATTGTCATGGTAAGAAGAGATGAGAATTAAATGCATGGTTTCAAGGAGAAAAATTTGTGGGTATAAATTGGATCGAGATATCATTGCTTCAGAGCAAGGGTCAGCAAACCCAGCCCACTGCCTGTTTCTATATGGCCTACAGGCTAAAAATGGTTGTTACATCTTTAAAAGGTTGGGAAAAAATCAAAAGAATATTTCATGACACATGAAAAGTTTATGAAATTCAAATTTCAGGGTCCACAAATAAAGTTTTTTTGGAACACACCTATTCATGTATGTATTGTGGAGGGTTGCTTTTGCCCTACAGTGGCAGAGTTTATAGCTGGAACAGAAACCATATGTGGCCCAGAAACTCTAAAACATTTACTCTCTGGCCCCTTACAGAAAAAGTTTGCCGACCACTGCTGTAGAGCATGTGTTTGATAAAATTGCTGATTTTTGAAACTTAGTACTGTATAATGAGAACTTGAGCGTGTCCCCTTAAGTTCTAGTTTCACCTGAGGAAAGTAGGGACTCACTGTATCAAATATTAATGGCAAAACCACAATTACTTTGCACCAAACTTAGTAGCAGCCAAGCTTCCCTTCTGCGCACCAAGGGTGGAGTACAAGCCCTTGTCAGCTGGGCGATGCTCCATGGTACTCAGAAAATGGCCCATAACCAAACGGGCCAGGCAGGTAAACCACAGTCTGAATAGGACCCTGCCACCAGCACCACTGACAGACATCCAGTGCCACCAGTGCTGGAAATTATTTCTAAGTTGTCCTTGCATCTTTGCAACATAATCTCAAGGGTTGTGGTCCTGGAAAGAATTTTCTGGTTGACCACAGTGCCCAAACCTGCTTGTTACAGATAGTAGGGAAGTGAGGTAGACACTTAACTCACTCTTAATTTGCTGCTTTTCAGCTCATCCCTCCCATTATGATGCACAAAGAGATCTCACTTAAATGAGAAGCACTCCTAGGCAGCCAGAGAGTAAATATCAGACATCTTTTTTGCTTCTTTAAGTGTGGTCCATGGACCAGCAGCATCAGTGCCCTCTGGAAGCATATCAGACATGCAGACCCAGACCTAACCTAATCAGAATTTGCATTTTAACAAGATCTCCAGGTGATTTGCTTATGCGTTAAAAATTGACAAGCAACACAAATGAAGTTCTAATTTGGCAGGATTTCAGGCAGTATTATGAAGTGACAGGAAATATTTAGGCAGTTTGGGCACATATATTTTTGGCCCTGGGAGGTTACCTATAAGCATGACAGATCTGCCTGACAATCTATGCCCCTGAGTAATGCCTGCTTTTTACAATTTCTTTCTTTCTTAAGCCCTCAGATTTAGAACCTCCAAAATTATAGCATTCCCCTTGACAGCTCACTAGGAGTCCTGATGGTAAAAGTGGGCGGTGAGACAGTGACCATCTAGATGTGTGGGTTGTTTGTAAATAACAGCTTGCCTGTGTAGGTCACAGAGCCAAAAATTATTTTAAAAGGACAAAGGTGAGTTATTGACCTCTAATATAAATTCAAAAATGGAAGCTTGATATGAACCTGGTCACACTTGGATTCAAATCTTAGCTCTGTCTCTTATTTTGTGATTTTTATATAACTTACATAACCTTCCTGAGCCCGAATGTTCTCATCTCTAAAACGGGGTTAATAATTTAAGAGATAATCTATGTAAAGGACGTACCATAGTGCCCAGCCAGGACTATGTACTTCATTAATTGTAGCTATCATGTGTTTTAATTTGCTGCATTAGGAGACCATGGTTCTTTATGCTTTAGTTCACTAAAGTGTTACACATTATCAACTCATTTTGCAGTGGGATTGTTAGAACCACTAATGCTGAATGGTCTATGTTGAGTTTTAGAATTACCGATTCTTAGACATTCAACTTCTCTTTCTGCCTCCAGTTTCTGTACTATGAGGCATCATAGAGTACAGTTGTTTATATCATGAGGTTAATTTGAAAAATTGCAATCATGAATGTTGGAGAGATAAAAGTACATATTTGAAAAACTGCTGAATCCACTAAAGATATTCTTTAAATATGACTTCTGGAATATTGCCACTAGTGGCCACAATAGAAAAATCTCAGCAGAACCTTTCATAAGACAGAAGTGATTACTTTTAGGTATTATAAACCTTCTAAAATTTACTTCCAACAGTCTTTAGTGGTAAAGGTAAACAGATCTCTCCAAGCACAGGGCAGCGGTTTGTTTGTTTGTTTGTTTGTTTTTTGAGACTGAGTCTCTCTCTCTCTGTTGCCCAGGCTGGAGTGCAGTGGTGTATTCTCAGCTCATTGCAACCTCTGCCTCCTGGGTTCAAATGATTCTTGTGCCTCAGCCTCCCGAGTCAGCCTCCCGAGTAGCTGGGACTGCAGGCATAAGCCACCAAAACCCAGCTAAATTTTTTTTTTTTTTTTTTTTTTTGCATTTTTAGTAGAGCCGGGTTTTTGCCATGTTGCCCAGCCTGGTCTTGAACTCCTGGGCTCAAGCAATCCGCTCACCGCGGCCTCCCAGAGTGCTGGGATTACAGGCATGAGCCACTGCACGTGGCTCATGGTTAGTTTCTTAATCATGTCCTATAACTGATCATTTGTCCACTTTTCATTTGAGAATATATCACCTTTTAATATTGATTCCAAAAAAATATGAATTGAAATTATTTTCACAGCTAAAATGTTTTGGCCACCATGCCCACGAAGTTATTAAAATAAATTATTTATTGAAAAGCAAGATAGGTTTCCCATTTACCATTTTAATTTTTATTGTCTTGTAAATTAAAGAACACAGTTATAAAGTAGAGACCCAGCTAATAAAGCTTAAACAAGTTGTTAATAAATGAACTGGGTGCATAAAATCCTTAAACCACATCTTCATTAGCAATGAGGCATCTTTATCCTCAATTGATTAAACGTTTCACTCACATAACAGTTTTGCCAAAGACACCTCTAACATGAAGGTCCTAGGTTACTTCTAACTAGAATCTAAATATAGAACTGCAGAAAAATAATTGTGCTAGCCTTTGAAGTGCATGGCTGTAATGTACCAAAAGAAAGAAATGGGCTTTTAATTTTTATTTGATGTATTTTTTTGAGACAGAGTCTCTCTCAGTGTGTTGCGCAGGCTGGAGTGCAGTGGCACAGTCACAGCACGCTGCAGCCTCAACCTGCTTGGGCTCAAGTGATCCTCCCACCTCAGCTTCCTGAGGAGCTGGGACTACAGGTGTCTGCCACCACACCCAGCTAATTTTAAAATTTTTTAGAGAGATGGGATCTTGCTATGTTGCCCAGGCTGCTGTCAAACTCCTGGAGTTAAGTGATCCTCCTGCCTCAGCCTCCCAAAGTGCCAGGATTACAGGTGTGAGCCACTGCGCCCAGCCACAGCAATGTTTTATTAATAATAGCCAAGCAATGTTATCACTCCTGGCCAGGCAATATAGGGAACACTCTGTCAGAAATAAAATGTGTGGGGATTTTACCCCATTGTTTGAACAGAGAACATCTAGATGCTTCTATAAATGCAGAAATCGATTTGACCTCGAAGCAGAGCTTCCTTGTTCTAGTAAAACTTGCCTGAGTAATTGGCCTTAGAATTACTGGTTGTAATTCCTGCTGTAGACTAGTAAACTCTACTGTTAACAGTACTTGAGGCTTAAAGCCCTGTGCTCTGGAGGCTGACATTTTTTTTACCCCCCAAACCATGTAGAACATACATCGCAGACCTGGCTCTTACATGGCATCGCCATTAACACTTGGTCTACTTCCTTCCTTCTTAGTGCTAATCCTTTATGGTTTGCTGATCTTGTGCCTTCCATAAACCATCTTAACCCTTTGGGAACACACTAGTTCAGATAATAACAGAGGAAACCAGAATCTTTCCCCCTGATTGGCTAGTTATCAAGGCCAAGCGTCTGCCATTGTAATAGTAATACCGTACCGTCTCCAACCAACCCAGCGCCAATTCTATCAGCTTCAGATGTGTTGGCCATGCCCTGACCTCAGTGTCTCTAAGAATGAAGTCTTTGTACCTCTTAGATTCGTAGCCCTGTCACTGGTGTGGAACTGCTTTTCTTTTTCACTATTGGAAATGGATAATTTATACTTCTATTATGTGAAATCGTTCTTGAGAAATATTTATTGTCACTATATAAACTTCTGTATAACAAAAATACTGTAATATAAAAGTAAGTTGATATATAATTTAATTCATATACTTTTCATATAAGAGTACTTTATAGTCATTTACATGGAATTTTATATGTCAACAAGTTTATATATAAATTTTATAAACCTGAGTATTTTATAGTGGTTCTATATAATTTTATATATAAATTTACTTCTATATGAGAGAGTATTTCTTACACAGAAATTTATACAGTGAGAATAAATACATCTTTTTTTTTTTTTTTTGAGACTGAGTCTAGCTCTGTTGCCCAGGCTGGAGTACAGTGGTGCGACCTTGGCTCACTGCAACCTCTGCCTCCTGGGTTCAAGCGATTCTCCTGCCTCAGCCTCCCTAGTAGCTGGGATTACAGGCTTTTGTTTTTAGTAGAGGTGGGATTTTGCCATGTTGACCAGGCCAGTCATGAACTCCTGACCTCAGGTGATCCGCCTGCCTTGGCCTCCCAAAGTGCTTAGATTACAGGCGTGAGCCACTGCGCCCGGCCAAGTATATCACAACTTCTGTATAAGACACTCTTTTCTCTGACTCCATCATTAACCAGGGAGATGATGCAGTCCTTTACCTGATTATATCTCCACATTCACTCAGAAGTTGGGGGACCAGTTGCTGATGTTTTCACTGTCCTTCTGGCCCCTCCCTCATGTCTGCATTTCCTGTGGATGGGATTTTCCTCTCTCATTTCAGTAAATTCCACTATCTTGATGATCCGCTTTGTCTTCTGTCTTCCAGGTCTGTGAACTCCATCCCAGCAGCATTTAAATCATGCTTATGTATTTCAGTCTTAAAGAAAACCTCTTGCTTAGCCACAAATTCCTTTCTGGCGACTCCCCTTTATTTCTAACTATGCCTCTTCAGTGTCTCAGAAGAGTGGTCTGCCCTCTGCTTCCACTCTTACACTTCTCTCTCCTCAGTCTTCAACCCAGTGTCATCTGTCATCGTTCCTACTACTTCACTGACTTTTTTTCTCGCAACAGGGTCTTTCTTTGTCACCAATTGGCTGACTACTTGGCAGCAGTGTCCTTCCTTTAAGAACATCTTCTGCCTCTTCTCCGAGTCCACCATCCTACCTCTCTCATGACAGCTGCTCAGGCTCCTTTGCAAGCCTCTCTTCTTGTGTTGTCACCACAGCCCCACTTAATGTCTGTGTTCCTGGGGAACTTCTCCTATTCTTTCTTCTTTTCTCATTTGACACACACAAGCTAGGTGATCTCAGCTACCTCCATGATCTTAATACCATCAGGTAGAGTTGCCTCTTCCTCCTGAGCTCCAGACTAGAAAGTCACTGTTGACCATTCCCTCCTTTCTGAAAATACTGCCGTCTATTGGCTGCCCTAATTCCAGAATCAGGTTTTCCTCCTACTTTTTTTTACCAAATGTGTCTCAGTCTTCTGAAATCTGTCACTCTCCTGCTTAGAGCCCTTCTGTTGTTGGAATTCAGTATGAATTATAAATCCAGGGGGTACCTGGCTCCCACCGTGGTGCTTCCCTCCTTGCACTAGCTCCAGCTATCCTCATCTGACTCTTCTTTCATTTCTACAGACTTCGCTCTGTTATCTTATGCTGTTGGAGAAAAAAAAAAAAACATATATAACCTGTAGCCAGTTCTGATTTATGAACTCCAGCCTCTACTGGTCTAAGAAGTTATTTCAAATGTCCATCGCTCTTCAACCCATCAGTATTGTCACCTTTCTCATGTCAGTTGACTTTGCCATCTCCTTCATGGAAAAAGAAAAAAGTGAGCCTATCATGCTAGAATTTTCTGAGCCTCTTCTTTAACACTTAGAAATTTATCTCCATGGGAACCTATCCTTTCTTCTTTATTCTCTGTCCTAGGATAGGAAATATGCTCCTACCTCTTTAAGCCCAACCCCAAGCCTTCCCAAATCTTGAGGCGTGCGTTTTAACTTCTCTATTGATATCGGCCTTTGTCTGAAGTGGTTTCATGCAACGTTACACCTTTATACTCCTTGGGAGGAAAAACAGCCCCTCGACTCCACATTTCCTTCTAGCTACTGACCTAATTCTCCTAACCTTCAGATTTGAGCTTCTTGAAAGAGTAGCTTATAATGGGGTATCCCTACTTCCTTATGCCTGCTTGATGACTCAACCCACTGCAGTTAGCTTCTGCTCCCTGATGGAATTGTTCTCGCTAAGGCTACCGATAAGCTTCATATTTGCCAAAACCAAAGGCTGATTTTTAACCTTTATCCTACTTTGTGCCTTCGTGGCATTAGACACTGCTGACCACCCCACCATGGAACTTTTTTCCTGCTTTGACTTACATGACCCTACTTTTTCCTGGTGCTTCTGTCTTTGTAGCTTTTTCCCTTGCAGCCTCTTTGGGGGTGTCCTCTTTTCTTATTCATTCATTCAACAAATGTTTGTGAAGCTGGATCCTGGAGCTGCAGTGGTAGGTGGGATATAATCTCTACCCTCATTGCTACAGGATACAAGAGAAACAATCAAATAATTACACAAATCACTGTAAATAGTTACACACACATTCTGGTAAATGCTGGGAGGGGGTGCCTTGGGGGTCTCAATGGTGAGAAACACGTGACATCTGAGTCATGTGAAGGCATCATCCATCTCACTGTACTACCTTTCCTGCTTTTTGGGAATATGAGATTTTGGTGAATGAATGCATATTCATCTTAGTCATACTCTTAATTGTTTAATAATTGTCAGTCACATACCCTTTCACAATCTGCTGTTTCCAAGTGTAGATATTTTTATCCTTTTAATATAAATTCTTCTCCTCAGTCCCTTGTTAGTAGTTATGGAGAGACTTGGGCTGAAATACATTTTTGTAAATCTTGAGTTCAGTTATGCCTTAGTTGAGCAGCAGCAGCTAGAACTTCCCAGAATTCCAGGTGTCCATCTATTTGCAGCTGAATTCCATCCGCTTTCTTAAAAACTGATTTCCCTATGTGGCTATCTAAATTTAATCTCATGTGTTAGAGCAGGCAGCCTACTACACGCACATCTCTGAACACTACTTTGCAATATGCCATATTGCTGAAGAGGTGTGGACAGAGTACACAGTTGGTTTGAGTCTGGCTTCCATCACTTCATTCTTTTGACAGGTTATTTAAATTCACTGCCCAAGGAAGCAAAACTAGTAAACCAGCAATGAAACTCGGGCCATCTTACCGGGATTGGGAGTTCACCCTGTAAAATAAGCCATGGTCTTGTAAATGACCATTGTCAATGGTGAGGAAAGGTTGTCCCATAGTGTGCTTCCCTAGCCACTCTAGAAGCACAGGAAGCACTGGCCTTGGAGTGAGGCCAGTGCCTAACGTACCTTGGTAAGGAATGATCTAAGGCAGTGCTTCTCAACAGGGGCAATTTTTCCTCCACCCGCACCCCCCACCCCAGGTACATTTGGCAATGTAAGAAACAGACTCACCTATTTCTAGAGAAGTCCTCAAAAGATATTTTTAAAAATTAAAAGTAACTATAGATTCAGAGCTTTCTGGAAAAGTGTACAGATCATTTATTCATTCAACACATTCTGAACACCTACTGTGAGTCACGAGCCAGGGTTAACCTTCAACAAGTTTGGTCCTTGCCCTCAAGAAGATTATAATCCATCTGCATTGGTGGTCCTCAAATTTTACCGTGCATCAGAATCCCTTGGAGGCTTGTGAAAAACTCATTTCTCGGCCCTACTCCCAGAGTTTCTGATTCAGTGGGTCTGGGGTGGGGCCCAAGAATTTGCATTTCTAACAAGTTCAGGATCACACTTGAAAACTATTGCTCTAGGGGAATAAGGAAAGAAAGCTCCTGGGGTTTTGAGGATCAACATTTGCAGTATCTGGGGGACACTTGAATGGCTTGATTCTATCTGTCAGAATGTCTTTTTGGAAAAAGGAAGGTTTCATAGCCCATGGCTGTTAGAGACAGACTTGGTGTTTCACTAACAACTAGGATTATTGCTAAAAGCCCGGACATTTTAATGCCTATTTCTCTAAAGCCAGCAAGGTTGAACATTTTTTCATCTTAAAAAAAAAATCTTTTTTTACATGACTTATGTTTTCATTTCAGTTATTTTTTTAAAAAATTTTCTGCTGAGGTCTTGGTGAGCAAATGGTTTTAAACTCCACACTTTTGGCTAAGAATGAGATGTAAGATATAGACACTAGTTCTTAAAATTCAGCACTGTTCACTTTTGCCAAGTGAATATAAACTGAATTGCATCAAATTACAGAGAACAGTGTATCTAGAATATTGTTTTATTTTATCATTTTTACCTTTCCATTGAAAGATGAAATCAGGCGATCAAAGTAGCAAGGGTTAAGTTTCTAGACTACCACAAATTAGAATTGACAAGAAAAGCTTTCTGATCCATATTTGCCTGGGAAGGCTCCAAGGGAAACACAAGAAGCAGCAACTCAAATCCTGTTCTCTTCATTATCCTTTTTTTTTTAATAGCTCTTGCATAGGCTCGGTTTTTGGAAGTTGTATGCTGCTAATTTAGGTATATATGTCATTACAATTTTAGCATGGATCCTTCTCAGGCATACACAAGAGATGCCAGACATGTGAAAAAAGGAGGGAGCCAAGCACAGGAACCTCAGGGACACTGGCATAACTGTTCTAGAGTCAGAAACCACATGAACACATACCGAATTGATAGACATGAGGTTCAAGTCTATTCTGTGCCCTGTCTCGCTCTCTTCTTAACATCCGCTTCTCTTTCTGGAACTGTATTTCATATAACTCTTTAGGTGAGAACTAGAGCTATTCAGTCAAAGACTAAAAAGAGGCAAGGTTGGACCAAGTTTAAGAATCAGGTAACAATTAGCTTTGTGATGGTTAATGAAATCATTTGTCTCGGCATAGACTCTTCCCCTGGAAGTGTCTTGCAAAAGCTGGTTGTTGGTGAAGTAGGATAGAGAGTTAAGGGAATGGGTTAGATGACTTCCAAAGCCCTTTTATCTACAAGGTGAATCTGTAAGTGTAAGAGTCTTAGGTCAACATTTATTGGAGTGCAGATATGGACAGAGCTCTGTGCTAGGCACTGGGCCGCAGAGACATGAAACATGGTTTTGACCCTTGGAGGCTTGCTCCCTAATCAAGGGGACCAGGTAGACAGACATTTAAATAAAATAAAACAAAAACGCAAAGGAACATAGACTAGGCATTCTTTTTAGCTCTGGAACTCGCGTTGAGGAGGATCACATTGATTACTTTTAGGGTTAACTCCTAGAACTGAGGAGCACCTTATTTCAGTTAGAACTTCCCATATAAAAATAAAGATGAAAACATGGAAAAAGATACCCTTAAAAAATTGGAATTCAGTGCAAATTTTATTAGACTACAAAAACATATCATACAATTATTATTTTAGATATATTTATGTAAAGTCATAAAAGCTATGATTTTTGAAAAACAGCATAAGAAATAATTTTTTAATTTGTTATATAAGTAAATGAACTTTAGCATCTTAAGGATTCAATGATACAGTTTTTAGATTTATTTTTTAAATTGACAAATACCAATTGTACATATTCTTGAGAGCACATAATTATATTTCCATACATATAATTTATAGTTATCAGATCAGGGTAATTCGCACATCCACCATCTCATATGTTTATCATTTCTTTATGTTGAGAATGTGCAATATCCTTCCAGCTATTTGAAACTATATATTGTATTATTATTAACTATAGTCATTCTACAGTGCTGTCGAACACTAGAACTTATTTCTCTTATCTCGCTATAATTTTGTATCTTTTAACAAATCTCTCTGTCACTCTCGTCCCAGCCTCTAGTATCCTCTGTCCTACTTTTTACTTCTATGAGATCAACTTTTTTTAGCTTTCGCATATGAGTGAGAACATGCACTGTTTAACTTTCTGTTCCTGGCTTTTTTCACTTAAAATAATGTCCTCCAGTTTCATCTATATTCCATCAACGATGGGATTTCACTCTTTTTTATGGCTGAATAATACTCCATAGTGTGTATATATCACATTTTCTTCATTCATTCATCTGTTGTTGGACACCTAGGTTGACTCCATATCTTGGCTATTGAGAATAGTGCTGCAGTAGACATGGGATGCAGATATCTCTTCGTTATACTATCAATGACTTGTTTTGTTTTCTTTTTTGAAACAGAGTTTCTCTCTTGTTGCCCAGGCTAGAGTGCAGTGGCAGGATCTCGGCTCACTGCAACCTCCACCTCTCGGGCTCAAGCAATTCTCCTGCCTCAGCTCTCGAGTAGCTGGGATTACAGTTGCTCACCACCACACCTGGCTAATTTTTGTGTTTTTAGTAGAGACAAGGTTTCACTGTGTTGGTCAGGCTGGTCTCAAACTCCCAGTCTCAGGTGATCTGCCCATCTTGGCCTCCCAAAGTGTTGGGATTACAGGCGTGAGCCACCACGCCCAGCCTCAATGACTTGTTTCAATGAATTCTCTCTTTGAAGACATACTGGTATCTCCTGCTTATTGACAATTGTGGCAGCAGCTTCCAAAAGCTGATTTTTCTGACATCTTTGAAACTTTTGGACACTTCTCCCATTGGGAAAATAGAATTTTTCTTTTGAATAATTCTCATTTCCCACTAAGCATATAAGCAACCTGGAGTATCTTGTAAGACCCATACAGATTAATATTTCAAGCATAATAATCCTTATACATTCCTTTTTGACGATGGAGACTATGGTTACGAGTAGCAGTTTTTAAATAAGGACTACTTTTGAGGTCCCAAAGCTTTGAAAACCTGAGGTATAAACAAAACAACATATTCCAATGAGATATTGATATCTAAACTAGTTTTCTTAAATCTGTCATTCAAAGGTTGAGAATTTCTTCCTGAAATTTAGACAATATATTATGGAAATGCGGTTTGTCTTTTTGTAAATTTAGGATGATTCTTTTTAAAAATAATTATAGGCATTGTTTATTCTGTATATTAGTGTAATAGTCAATGCAGTAGCTAGAATTGTGGTTGCTAATAGTCACAAAATCTAGTAAAATTGTGAGTACATGAACCCATCCCAGGAAACTGATGGGACAAGTAGTAAATTTTTTTGACTCTTTAACAAAAATATTTAATGCTGCCAAAAAGTATAAAAATACAGTAGGAATGGCAGTACAACACAAATTAATCTCTCCTAATTTATTTCTTTTACATATTTCTACGTTTCATACACCCATTAAAAACACTTAACAGGCCAATGCGGTGGCTCACGCCTGTAATCCCAGCATTTTGGGAGGCCGAGGCGGGCGGATCACGAGGTCAGGAGATCGAGACCATCCTGGCGAACACGGTGAAACCCCATCTCTACTAAAAATACAAAAAATTAGCCAGGCTTGGTGGCGGGCGCCTGTATTCCCAGCTACTCCGGAGGCTGAGGCAGGAGAATGGCGTGAACCCAGGAGGCGGAGCTTGCAGTGAGCCGAGATCGCGCCACTGTACTCCAGCCTGGGCAACAGAGCAGAGACTCCGTCTCAAAAAAAAAAAAAAAAAAAAAAAAACACAACGACACATCCAATGTAAGGTTCTGCAAAGTCTTCTGCTGGTGGGTGCTCCTCATACCCTGTATGTAAAGTTTACTTTGTAAACAAACAACTGTGAGGCAATCTAGAAGGTTAGCAAGCCTCACTTTAGTTTCTGGAGTGGGCTTCAGGTCTTGTTTTGCACATCAGTGGTTCAAAATTTATAGCTCCAGAATATTCTCAAGTCATGAATATTAGGTGTCTATCTTGGCCTTTTTCTTTTTTGTTCGTTCTCATTTAGCCTCTGTTTCATCTGCTGCACCTTCTGAGCTGTGGTGGCCTTTCTGTCCTCTAGAATATGTTTCCGTAGAGCATTCTCACTGTTCTCTTCCATTGTATCTTGCATTTACTGTACATCGGTCACCTGTCAGTTTTTCTTCTTCTAGACCAATTCTGTTCCCATTGTATTTTTCAGTCATTATTTTGTTCGGTGAATGATCAAAAGCAGGAGCTAAGTTTTCCTTAGAAAATTCTTTCCACCGTTTCTGTATACTAGAATCTACCTTTATACATTTTGCTCCTTCTATTATAGCCATGTATGAGAATCTCAGTTGATCTGGGGTCTGAATAAGACCCATTCAGTATTTTCTCATGTTCAATAACACTTGTTTAATGTTAATATAATCTCCTTTTCCCATCAAAACAAGACAAGCGTCTACCAGAGAGAAGGTGCCCGTGCACCCAGTGCCTTCGCTACAATGGATCACTGCAGGCCCATGGTCAGGGTTCAAGGAGCCAGATTCTCTCACTTTCAACAAGAAATTGAGAAATGAAGCTGGTGATTCAGGGACTCCAAAATCTGGCCAGGTCGTATAATGCAAGTGAGATATTGTTCTGGTTTCACCACTATTGATATTTTCTAATCGTAGTAGATGTACTGTGTAATATGACTTCACATCTTCTGAAAGAGCTTCACATTGAATCCCGTTTCTTTAAACAGCATCTTTTGGTCATCTGTTGGCCAGTACTGCGCACATTTAACCGATTCTTTCTCCACAATGCGGTTCAGCACAACAACTGCTTTGGTCTTCTGCTGCCAAACCGTAAGCCAGAAATGGCAGCACATGTTAGGAAGTGGACCCGGTGTTAAGATGTAACTCCTTCGTGCCTCTTCTATGTCAACTAAGCTGGCATTAATATAATCATTCTCAGTATTCTGCAGTTTAACACGACTGTGATCATATGGGCTTACATCTCTGTATCTATTTCGATTTCTGTTTTCTGGAAACTTGGCCACTCTATGAAGATAGTCATGGGACTCATTTCGAATTTCCAAGTACGGCAGCTGCCAGCGATGCTGAGCATCCAACTCCTTGAACTCCCGCTCAATGATGGTGGGCATGGCTGGGACAAATAGTGAATCTTAAGAGAAATGGAAGAGTGAGGTTGGCTCCTAAGCTGGACAGACACTCAATGTGGTTTATTATAGTCAATCATTACTCAAGGAAGTTGTATATATTCTATTCATATATATATTTGGTAAATTTCTAATTACCATACCCCTATGAAGTCATTACCATACTCCTATAAAGTATTATCTTCATTATAAAGTGAAGAGAGTGAGGCTGAGAGAAGTTAAATTATGTGCCCAAGGTCATGGCTAGTGAATGAGCAAACTTGGTTTCAAAGTCAGGTCTGTCTGGCTCCCAAGCCACCAGTCTTTTACGTTACCACATTGTCTTAGTCTGGGCTCTCCCGAAAGCAAAGCCTGTACAAACAACTTGGAGGTAGGTAGGGAGTTTATTTGGGAATGTGACACCAAGGAATAGACTGTGATAAGACAGAAGAATGACCCCCCGGAAGGAGAGAAAGCCAACCCAAGGGTCCCTTTCAAATTGGCAACCATTATGAATATCTGCTACTTGATCCTGTGGGAGCTTCTGAGGAACCTTTTAACATGCATCTCAGAATTGGCCACCCTGGGCTAAAAATGAGACAAGCATTTTTTCTATGAGCTCCTGTCCCTCAGTGGTCAGGGCAAGCTTACAGGCCTTAACTGTCCTGCATTTCCAGATTGTCCATATCTGAGTGCCAAGTGGTTCCCATGGGACTCCTGTGTCACAGCTCCAATGTAGCCCTGGGGCCAGAAACTAGGGGCAGAGGCCAAAAGCAGGTGCTGTGAGGTTGCATCCGCACAAGGTAGAAGAAGCCCACAGAGACCTGGGTACCATAGCAGTGTTTGAAATAAGAGGTGAAATTGAGAACACGTGATATATTGCTCAGAATGTTTAGAGACACATGACCAGTTACAATGAGAGAGTGGAATGAGAATCTTCAATGTCTCATCATGCATTCATTCATTCATTTATCCATTCAGTCACCAACGAATGCTGGGTAGTATATGAAGTGATAGAAGAATTAAAATGGGTCTAGCTGAGTCTCAGATACGACAGAAAAGAAAATAGACAATATGATAGTGTGTGCTAAGTGCTTCAATAGAAGTATACAAAAAGGTAGTAAAAGTATCGAAGAGAGATACCCAGTGTATTCTGTGTGTGGACAGAGAGGGGGTGTGGGGAGAAGGGAGGTCATTTTCCTAGAGCTTAGTCTTGAAAGATAAATAGAAGTCAGCCAACTGAGGAGAAATATGAGCATCAACTCTATATTCAAATTAAATTTTAGTATTTCAATATTAAATTTCCTAAGTATGATCCTTGTGGTTATGTAAGAGAGTGTCCTATTTTTAGGAGATACTTGCTGAAAAATTTAAGAGTAAAGTGTCATAATGTCTGCAACTTACTCTCAAATGATTCAGCAAAGTAAATATTTGGGGATGGGGAAAAGCAAGTGAACACAAATGTAGCAAAATGTTAATAACTGGTGAATATAACTAAAGGATATGTGTGTGTTTATTGCACTAATCTTACAACTTTTTTAAATTTTCTGAAATAAAAAAAGGAGAGGAGAAAATTAATTGAGGGCCATGGGCAGGGGTTGGGGAGGAGCAGTCTGGGATGGGCTTGTGAGAGGGACACCAATACCTGAGGACGCTTGGGGCATTTTTAAAATTGCAGCGATTGGCCAGGTGCAGTGGCTCACACCTGGAATCCCAGCACTTTGGAGGCCAAGGCAGGAGGATCGTTTGAGACCAGTCTGGGCAACAGAGCAAGACCCCGTCTCTACAGAAAATACAATATTAAATAGCCAGGCATGGTGGCACATGGCTGTGGTCCCAGCTACTCAGGAGGCTGACGTGGGAGGATTGCTTAAGCCCAGGAGTTTGAGGCTGCAATGAACTATGATCGCACCACTGCACTCCAGCCTGGGCAACAGAGCAAGACCCTGTCTCTAAGAAAAGTAAATAAATTGCAGTGGTTAGTGGGACACCATGGGACATAAATGCTCATGATAGAGAAGCAACAAAAATGAGACAAGAAAAGGGAGTGATCTGTGCTAGAGTGTTGGGCTGCATCCTAGAGGCCTGGGTGACATTGAATAATTTCATGCATCTTTTGTGTTTAAATGGTCACTTTAGCAGCAGTTTAATGAGAATGGATTAGAAAAGGCCAAAACTGTGGCAAGAAGTTTAGTTTTTATGTTATGGTATTTAAGGTTACAGGTTCTATAGGCCTACCGGAAAATGGTGCCAAGATAAAGTGAAGACAGCTTTGAAACTGCAGAGGGCAGAAGAGTCAACAGGACTTGGCAATCCCCTATACTCAGTGAGTTCCTAAGATGGACTTGGTTCAGTTCAGTGATGAGCCTTTTAAACCCCAAAGAGAAGGAAGACTTGCGGAGGAAAAAAATTAGTTTTAGAATGTATTTAACCATGAAATAATGAATTAAGGTGCTTAGTTTATACATCAGGGGTTTATTTATCTTTTATCACCATAACTAGTACTGCTTGCATTATAGTAGGTATTCGATAAAATTTTTTAAACTGTGTTTAGAAATCATGATAGTAGATGGTAAAATGCTTTCTTCAGTTGCTGATACTCGGGGGAAATATGTTGTATATTTTAATGTTTTCTCCCTGAGGGCTAAGCATTTGGTGAACATCTGTCTCCTAACACCTGTTGGGCTGGTTTACCTGGCAATCTAAAGTGAACATGTGCCAGGGTAGTGCCACTTAAAGTACCTTCACTTTTTAGAATCTATCAGATGTGTTTAGAATCAGTTTTGTCTTCCACCAGCTAGTTTTCTCAGTTTAGAAAGTACATGTATTTCTACTTCTTAGTAAATGTAATATATGACACATGAATTTAAAGAACGTACAAAGTAGGAAACATTTATATTTCATACAACTTGAATTTTCAAATGCAAAAATTTCCTCTTGGGAGTGAGTCTTATGTTTTGGAGCAGGAATGACAGAACAGATATGGTACCAAAGCCAAGCTCACCTAGATATTGCAGACACACAGGCAAAAGAGGAGGTGGCCCGAGTGTGTCATCCGAGGGTCCCTCGGCATGGGAGCAGTTCCTCTGGTGGGTAGTGAACTGAGCAAAGAGGCAAATGAATGATAGGTAGTTACACAGAGAGAATCCCTACATTAAGGAAGTACGACAAACACGAGGACTCGATTTAGATTCTATGTCTAAGAGCCTTCCTTTGACATCCCTCCCCACCATGTCAGGGAGGATATGTACTCTCATTCCATTCAGTCGTTAGCACTGCTCACACTGGTAATAGCTTCTCGTTGTCTGCTTTCCTCTTTGGACTTTAGATAGCCCCTTGAAAGCCACCCACCTTTGTGTTCCCAGTGTTTAGATTGGTCCCTAGCACAATGTCAGTGTTCTGTAACTTTTACATACATGAATGAACAAATGGACAAATGAACATACATGACTTCCTAAAAGGATGTCATAGCTCCTGATAGTCATGACAGCACTAGTATTAACCTTTGTTTTGTAATGAGTTTCAATTTAATGTTAAGGAAAATATAGGATTTTAAAAACTAGTACACACACATACACATATTCCAGAGTCTTTCTAGTGAGTTTGAATATTAATTTATAAAAGAATCTAACATCACATGCTTTAAAAAATAGTGTTTGTGGCCAGGTGTGGTGGCTCATGCCTGTAACCCCAGCACTTTGGGAGGCTGAGGCAGGCGGATTACTTGGGGTCAGGAGTTCCAGACCAGCCTGGCCAACATGGCAAAACCCCGTCTCTACTAAAAATACAAAAATTAGCCAGGCGTGATGGCGGGCGCCTGCAATCCCAGGTACTCGGGAAGCTGAGGCAGGAGAATTGCTTGAACCCGAGAGGCGGAGGTTGCAGTGAGTCGAGATCATGCCACTGCATTCCAGCCTGGCGTGCAGGCTGAGATGGAGCAAGACTCCATCTCAAAAAAAAAAAAACAAACAATTAGTGTTTGTGCCAGGCACAGTGGCTCATGCCCGTAATCCCAGTACTTTGGGAGGCCGAAGCAGGAGGGTCTGTTGAGGCCAGGAGTTCAAGACTAGCCCGGGCAACATAGTGAAGCCCTGTCCCTACACACACACACACAAAAAGTACAAAAATTACTCAGACATGGTGGCCTGCACCTGTAGTCCCAGCTACTCAGGAGGCTGATGCAGGAGGACCACTTGAGCCCAAGAGCTGCAGTGAGCTGTGATTGTGTACTGCTCTCAGCCTGGGCAACAGCGTGAGAATCTGTTTATTACTCTGAACACTATCACTATTACTGTAAGAGTGATAGAGTTTATTACTAAGTTGTTGTTTTAGAATCTGTCAAATACAGAGATGCTGCCCCAATCTGGTCAGACATTCGTATTTATTTATTTATTCAGACAGCATCTCACTCTGTCACCTAGGCTGGAGTTCAGTGGCTCAATTACGGCTCACTGCACCCTTGACCTCCTGGACCCAAGCGAGCACCTGAGTAGCTGGGACCACAGGTGTATACCAGCATGACCAGCTATTTTTCTTATTTTTTGTAGAGATGGGGTCTCACTCTGTTGCCCAGGCTGGTGTTGAACTCCTGGGCACAAGAGTTCCTCCTACTTGGCCTCCCAAAGTGTTGAGATTACAGGTGTGAGCCATTGCACCCAGCGTCTCTGATTCTTTTGATTCCATTGAAACTAAAGTTTCAGTACATCAAGAAAGAAAGCAGCCCAAAGGAACTCACACCGTCCCTTTATTCACTATCAGGGACAATGTTAATAGGGACCGCTTCCAGCTGTCTGCACAATGTCCTTTACTGTCCAAGACCAGCACTTCCAAGATAGCGTGGTTCATTTGGTCTTAGGAACAGATACTGAGGAGTTGGTCCATAACCCACAGCAAAGCTCTGCAGGCACCTGATACCATGGAGAGGTGTTCTGACATTCTTATACGTCCCCCAAGGCAGAAACTGTAGGTTCTGAGTGACATCTCATCATAATTAGTGGAAGCATTAAGAGGCAAGCAAGCATAATTCTGGGCAGAGAAGGGCTCCCATCATAAGAATTTTGCAAACCGCATACTCTTTTATTTTGTAACAATGCTTGTAATTTATCTTTTGGAAAGAGGCACACAGATCTTGATGTAACTTGTGTAATAGACACTGTTCGCTAATGAAATATCCTTTTCAAATGAAAGGAAAATATTAGTTTCCTAGTCAGGTGCTGTATTAGTCCATTCTCGTGCTGTTAATAAAGATATACCCAAGACTGGGTAATTTATAAAGGAAAGAAGTTTAATTGACTCACAGTTCAGCATGGCTGGGGAGGCCTCAGGAAACTTACAATCGTGGTGGAAGGGGAACCAAAAAGGTCTTTCTTTACATGGCGACAGGAAGGAGAAGTGCCGAGCAAAAGCAGGAAAGCCCCTTATAAAACCGTCAGATCTCATGAGAATTCACTCAGTATCACAAGAACAGCATGAGGGTAACCACCCCCATGATTCAATTACCTCCCACTGGTCCCTCCCACAACACGTGGGGATTATGGGAACTACAATTCAAGATGAGATTTGGGTGAGGACACAGCCAAACTCTATCAGGTGCTTATGATCATTTTAAAACCTGAAACAGTGGTATTCCTATTGCAAATTTTCTTAGAAAAACACCATTAGATAAAATGCAACAAGCAATAAAATAGCATTTTATGTTGTAGAATGATAACTTTTATTTTCTCCTAAACATATTGACTAACCCATATCTTTTTTTGAGACAGAGTCTCACTCACTCTGTTGCTCAGGCTGGACTCCAGTGGCACAATCTTGGCTCACTGCAGCCTCTGCCTCCCGGGTTCAAGCAATCCTCCCTGCTTCAGCCTCCCAAGCAGCTGGGATCACAAGTGTGTGCCACCACGCCTGGCTGATTTTTGTATTTTTAGTAGAGACGGGGTTTCACCACATTGGCCAGGCTGGTCTCAAACTCCTGACTTCAAGTGATCCACCAGCCTTGGCCTCCCAAAGTGAGCCACTGTGCCTAGCCATATCTTTGTATTAAAAAAAAAAAAAATCTAAAGTCCTGTTTGTAAGGACTCTTTTCCCATGGTGTTAGACAGACAACATAATGCTCTATAGCAAACCACCCCAAACTCAGTGGTTTGTATCAACACGTATCTGTTCTCATATTCACAGGTTAAGGTTGGCTGAGGTTTAGCATCTATGGAATGGGCTCAGCTCTTGACTCGGCTTAAGGCTGTGGGTAGAGGAAACCAATCTTGAGTCAGTTGAAAATAAGCTTGCCCTGTGTTTTGTTCATGAGGTTTTGCCAACATACATAATTATTAAACTTTCACTGAAAATGTTTAGCAACAATATTTTTTATGAAATGGGAGGGTAAAGTGAGAAAACTTAAAACTGGAGCAGTGCCTTACCTGTAGTAAGTTCTCAAATAATATTTGGGAAAAGAATAAAACAATGGAATATAAAGAAATCAGAGATGATAAAATTTTCTTAAAACTGTAACTAAGCAAACCTTGGACAAAACCTGACAAAGCTAAGCAGCAGAACACTTTTTCCCCATTGCCTTTGTCATGAGTTATGTGAATAACATCTCAGGAGGACTTCAGGCTTGGCATGGGCCACACACATTATCTCTGCTCCTTGCTGAAAACCCATCAGTAATGCTGAAGGAGTAGGATAGGGATAAAGAATGTTTTGAAAGATGGGAGACACATGGACCAGTGGTAATTAACAGCATGAAACCTACACCTACAAATGTGTGTGTTGTAGGGGGTTAGTTAAGAGTCAAGTTTCAAGAAAGGGGAGCCTTCAGGTACCCCTAAAGGTGGATTCACGGTAGGATTGAAAATTCAATAATTAATGAAATATTGTATAAAGAATAATTAAACTGGACTGGGCATGGTGGCTTATGCCTGTAATCCCAGCACTTTGAAAGGCTGAGGTAGGAGGATCAGTTGAGGCCAGGAGTTCAAGACAAGTCTGGACAACATAGCAAGACCCCATCTCTAAGAAGAAATACAAAAATTAGCTGGGCATGGTGGCACCCGCCTGTAGTTCCAGTTACTCAGAAGGCTGAACTGGGAGCACCACTTGAGCCCAGTAGGTTAAGGCAGCAGTGAGCTTTAATTGTTCCACTGAACTATAGCTTGGACAACAGAGCAAGACCCAGTCTCTAAAAAAAGAGGAAAATCACACTTCCAGATTCCCTCCTCAACAGTGTAGTTAGGAAACCACTTCTCCCCAAGTATAAAACGTGAGGTTGGCCGGGCTCAGTGGCTCACGCCTGTAATCCCAGCATTTTGGGAGGCCAAGGCAGGCAGATCACGAGGTCAGGAGACCAACACCATCCTGGCCAACATGGTGAAACCCCGTCTCTACTAAAATACAAAAAATTAGCCAGGCGTGGCGATGCACACCTGTAGTCCCAGCTACTCGGGAGGCTGAGGCAGGGGAATTGCTTGAACCCGGGAGGCAGAGATTACAGTGGGCTGAGATCACGCTACTGAACTCCAGCCTGGCAACAGAGCAAGACTCCGTCTCAAAACAAACAAACAAAACGTGAGGTTTAGTCTCCAGCAGTGTGCCATAGAACTTTCCGTGATGATGGAAGTGCTTTATATCTGCATTGTCCAACAACTAGTGGCTCAATAGCCACCTGAAATGTAGCCAGTGTGGCTGCACGTGGTGGCTCATACCTGTCATCCCAACACTTTGGGAGGCCGAGGTGGGTGGTTCGCTTGAGCCCAGGAGTTCAAGACCAGCTTGGGCAACATGTTGAAAACCCGTTTCTATAAAAAACACAAAAATTTGCTGGGCATGGTGGCACACACTTGCAGTCCTAGCTACTCAGGAAGTTGAAGCTGAGGCAGGAGGATCTCTTGAGCCCAGGAGGTTGAGGCTACAGTGATCCATGATTGCACCACTGCACTCCAGCCTGGGATACAGAGTAAGACCTTGTCTCAAGAAAAACCCACAAACAAACAAAAATACATGAAATATGGCCAGTGTGACTGAGGAAATGAAGTTTAGTTTTAATTTTGATTTAAATAGCCACATATGGCTAGTGGCTGACATATTGGACAGCGAAGCTCTAGACTCAGGAATACTGGGCACTGCTGAGAATGGGATGGATTCTTTTGCAGAAAAACAGGAAGTGAGTAGAATTCTTCAAGTGACTGCTGAGATCTGTCAACCTCTTCTATTACATGGGGCCCAGGTTGGAGGATTCCTTTCTGACAAAACTATGCTGCCAGATTTATATGAATAACAGAATAATATTAATATTATTAATATATTAATAATAATAATATTCAGTTATTCTCAATAGAGCAGCCGGCACTCTAATTCATCACCCAGTGACAACACCCTCACACAGAGTTAGCATTTGTTATTGTCGTTTTGTTTTGAGATAGGGTCTCACTGTATTGCCCAGGCTGACCTTGAACTCCTGGCTCAAGCAATCCTCCATCCTCAGCCTCACATCCATCAGCATTTTAAATGCCTCGCTCTCAAATCCGACTAGGTAGCCAAGGATCACCATGCATGTGGGGAAAGCTGCCCAGCTGAAATGGAAATCAATGCAAACAGAAGAAAAAGAACTGAAACAAGACATGACAGGGAACATAAGAAAAAAAATAGTTTTTTTAAGAGAGAAGATATTGCAACCTAAAACAAGATCAGAGGCTATATAAAAGATTGGAGGCCAGGAGTGCAGAGGAACACGTTTCTACATCGAGGCGCCTCCTGACTTACCTGAATTCCAACAGAGCACAGTAAGCGCCAGTTCTCTGCCTGTCCTGGATTGGGCCCTGCAGTTGCAGAGAAAGCTCAGGAATAAAAATGGAGGTAAATCTTTAAGTGATTACCTATTCTTCTGACCCACCAGCTACAAATCAGGCGTTCCCACCTCCTTCTCCTCAGGTTCGATTGATTTGACAGAGCAGCTTACAGAGCTCAGGAAAACATTTTACTTATGTTGACCTATTTATTATAGTGGATACAGAGGAACAGATGGGAAAGATGCATAGGGCCAGGTGTGGGGGAAGGGTGCAGAGCTTCCATGCCCTTTTCAGGGGCACCACGTTCCAGGAACCTCCACGTTTTCAGCTGTCTGGAAGCTCTGCGAACCCAGTCCTTTGAGGGTTTTATGGAAGCGTCATTACATAGGCATGATGGACTACATCATTGCCTATTGCTGATCAACTCAACCTTCCGCCCCTCTTCCCTCCCCGGAGGTTGGGGGAGTGAGACTGAAATTCTAACTCTCCAATCTTGCCTTGTTCTTTCTGGTGCCAGCCTCCATCCTGAAGCTACTTAGGGGTCCCCAGCCATTAGTCATCTCATTAGCAAAGCAAGATACCCTTATTGGTCTGGCCGTTCCTAGGGCTTGAGGAACTGTGGCTAGGAAACAGAGATGAAGGCCAGTGGATCACTGGAAGGCTCCCACTATCTCACTTTTGGGGCAGAAGTGGACATTCTGAGGTGAGGAGTGGTTGGTTCAGAACCTCTGACTTGCATGTTCAATCCCAGGCAGAGAGACATCGCTAGGACCTGCCAGGGTGGGTAACCTGCCCACATGGCAGTCACCTGCAGGTGTGGGTGCAGACACATCTAGCTGAGAGTTGAGTGCAACCATTCCAGATGCCCATCCCCAGAAAGAAAATCTCAGACCAGTAAAGCTCTGAATGGAGGTTTGATCTCAATACCAAGGACAATATAAGCAGAGTTGCTTTAAGGATGCTATTGCTGTTGTCCATGGGAAAGACCCTTTATGCCTGAATTATTTTGATTCCAGATTGAAGGAAAAACTGCTAATTTCAGTTCGTTTTATAGAGGCTGGAGTTTTGGGCATTCCTGTTTGACTGTAAACTCTCAATAAGGTAGGGAAATAAATCAGAAATCATGGGTGTACATTTTTAGAGACCTTGACAGACTTATTTTGCAGTTGGGGCTTCAGGGCCCAGAATCTTTTAGCATCCCTGCCCTAGTTGAAATCAGACACACCCTCTCCCTGGTATCCAAACAAAGCTAGTTCAGGTGCTGCCCTGAAGGGATTTGGTTGATGTGAAGTTCCAAGTCCTTAAATTAATCAACAGGAGTACTCTCCTGGATGGGCCTGATTTGATCAGGTGGGTGACATGTAAGTTCTCCTCCTTTACAGGGGAAGACACCAGGACTCGGAGAGTCCCACTTCCCACCTCAGACGCTCTCAAGATGGTGACCTCTCTGGGTTTTAACACCTGGAACAGGCCGGGTGCAGTGGCTCACACCTGTCCATCCCAGCACTTTGGGAGGCTGAGATGGGCAGATCAACTGAGGTTGGGAGTTTGAGACCAGCCTGGCCAACATGGTGAAACCCTATCTCTACTAAAAATACAAAAATTAGCCAGGCGTGGTGGTGCACACCTGTAATCCCAGCTACTCTGGAGGCTGAGGCATGAAAATCGCTTGAACCTGGGAGGCGGAGGTTGCAGTGAGCTGAGATCGCGCCACTGCACTCTAGCCTGGGCAACAGAGTGAGCCTCTGTCTTAAAAAAAAAAAAAAAAAAAAAAAAAAACCTGGAACAGGCAGAGCCTGGAGGATGTGTGTGGACTTCCCATCTGTGCCAAATGTGCTTTGGAGAAAACCCACATAGCTGAATGATTAAAGTCAAGCACGGGAAGGGATCAGCTATGTAGCAGTGCCCTGTGCACCTTGGCGGAAAGGAATTTTTCTGTCCATTGACATTGTAGGTGTTCAGTTTGGAATCTTTCAGTTTTGGGAGTCGCCACCCATCAACTTGTCAGTCCCAAGGGCACTCATGAAGCAGTCGCTCATTGACTCTGCACTGGGGCCGTCCTGCATCACAGTGAGAAATGGGAGACTTCCACAGAGAAAGTGAAGGTCCAAGGTCCAACGTTGTGTGTCCAGAAGAAGGCCAGACTGTGCCCCTGTGGAGTCCTCTGATGAGGCGGATGAGGAATTTTCATTCATTGGGAAATCCAAGGAACAGGAAGCAGAGCCTGAGGAACAGGAGGAGGGCTCAGCCAGCCAGCCAGGCTGTGGCATTTTCAGGACCAGGTGAGTGACGAGAGGAAGAGAGATTGGCCGGCATTGGAAAACAGTGGAGCCTGGAGTGATAGAAGCAGGCAGCTTCAGAAGAGAAGCAGGTGCCTAGCGCCCGGAATGAGCGGATGTCAGTGAAGAAGAAGAGGAAGAAACCGAGGATGAGGAGATGGGGTGGCAGTGCAGCACCCTGTGTCAGGGAGTACAGGAGAGGAGACAGGAGTGTGGGAGGCACAGGGGTGGCAGGGGAGGCGGTGAGGAGGGGCGCCCTGGGGAGCTCAGAGCAGATCTGAGTATGGAGAGTCCACAGACAGTGAGGATGAGACGGAGCCTCGCCTGATGCAGGCCCTCACTGGGAAGGAAGAAGGGCTGAGTGACAGTTCGAGAACCTGAGGCTGAAGCATTGAACCAGAAGGAGCTGGAGCAGGAGGCAAAAGGCACCCTGAGGAGGCATGGTGCCCCCTCCAGACTGTAGGAGACCATGGAAGAGCCTGCGGAGAGCAGGCGGGGCCGCACTACTCTGGATGCGCTCAACACCAAGAGGAGAGTCAGGAGGAGCAGGAGGCATGGAAAGTTCAGAAGCTAAAACAAACAAGGGAGCAGAGACGAGGAAGAAGAGCTTGAGAAGGAGGAAGCAGAAATTGAGCACCTGCGGAAGCTGGCTGAGGAAGAGCAGCAAGCTGAGCTTCAGGCATATGGCAAGGTCATTACCAGCAAAGCCATTCAGGGCAAATATGAGAAATATACAAAAGAGATTTCAGTGCCCCCACCCTGGAGGATCATTTCAACAAAGCCATGCTTCCTAAAGTCATGCAAGAACTTTGGGCACTCTGGTTATACCAAATACACCCATGGTGGGCATTGAGATACCACTTCCTTCTACCCAACACGGGGCCAAGAGAGTACCCAGAACACAAAGTTCTTCAAACAAAAGGTAGCTGAAGCACAAGATGTAGCTGAGCAACCATTTACCAAGAAGCAGAAGACTACTTAGGGGTCAACTCCTTGTTCTCCCAAATGTGGAACTCAAGGGGAAATCTCAGCATCTGGTCCTTGATTTGCTTTTCCTGTTATTTACATGGCCCCTGAATCCAGCCTTTGGACCTACTGCCATGCCTGTGATACTGCGTAGCCCAGTTTTTGAAGGTGCTTTGTGAGATTTAGACTTGTGCTGAAAAATCCCCCAGAAAAGCACTATCCAGGTAGGATTAGAGGCTTCCCACTTACTTCCAGGAAATCTTAGGTTTTATCAATGCTAAGACTTCCCATATTTACATGAGATTGTTCTGATTTTTAATTTTAGAGATGGAGTCTCGCTACGTTGCCCATGTTGGATTTGAACTCCTGGGCTCAAGTGATCCTCCTGCCTCAGCCTCCCAAGTAACTGGGATTACAGGCATGTGCCACCACACACTAGCTCTGAGTTTCGTTTTCCAGCCCCTTAGCTTGGGTCAGAAACATGGGCATGTAAGTGGACAATAAATTTAACCCTTAGGGTTAGGAGTAAAATGCTAGGAAATCTAAATTCATTGAAACTTGTTTTTCATTTTTGGATGACGTCCAGTTTTCTAGATGAACATATTTTTTGATCCATTTATGTGTTTGTATCAAGAAATAAAAGAAACACACACACACACACACCCAAAAGAGAAAAAAACATACAAGAAGGAATGCAGTCTCTGTGCCAGGCCATTCCCAGTGTTTCACTGGTGCCCTGGGGTCCACATGCTTTTTTAAAGAAGACTAGGCCAGGCACAGTGGCTCACGCCTGTAATCCCAGCACTTTGGGAGGCTGAGGCAGGCGGATCACCTGAGGTCGGGAGTTCGAGACCAGCCTGACCAACATGGAGAAACCCTGTCTCTACTAAAAATACAAAATTAGCCGGGCGTGGTGGCAGGTGCCTGTAATCCCAGCTACTCAGGAGGCTGAGGCAGGAGAACTGCTTGAACCCGGGAGGCAGAGGTTGTGATGAGCCAAGATCGCGCCATTGCACTCCAGCTTGGGCAACAAGAGCGAAAACTCCATCTCAAAAAAAAAAAAAAAAAAGACTAAAGTGTGCCAAATTTGCAGTAAATTGGAGAATGTCAGACCTGCCTCTTAGACGTAGAGTGTGGCCAGCACATCCAGGTTCATGACACAGCATTGTCTTTTGAAAGTAATGTGCCAAAGTCAGATGTCAACCGAGGGTTCTACACACAGAATATGGAGAGAGATCTGTAACTCTGATGGAACACGTCTAATTAGCATGCTGGGGAAAGACACATCCCCCAGTGTCGTGCTGCTCAAACTGGCCTGGACCATACCCTACTATCAAAGGAATCAGCCTCACATTTGCTCCTGCTAGGTGAAAGGAGAGTGTCAGAGAAAAGAGGAGCGTCCCTACAGACAGAAGAAGCCTACAGATCTGGATGATCCCCTTGCTGATCAAAATGTTGAAGACTCATATTATGGAATCAATGACCCTATAGCTGATAAGCTTCTAAAGCAGACTTCAACCATGCCTCATCTGGACCCACCAGAGGACAAGACTCTCACCACATTAGACGTGGATGGTCTGGGTGAAACAGATCAGAGAAATCATTTCTACCAGTTAGGAGAGATTGACCATCACTCTAATGCAGAAGCAGCAGGGTGCTTTCACCCAGTTTTCCACAAGGCAGGCTACAGACATGGCTGCTGAGAAGTCCTTTAATAAGTTGATTGCAATCGCCACAGACTCAACGTGAAATCAAGAAGATCTCAAGCAGCCAGAGGAAAAGAAAAAGAAGGACGGAACCACATACTCTGGGATCAAGTTAGAGCCTTTTCCAGGACTGCCATGAGCTCTTCCTCCTGTTGCAGCAGCTACTTCAGCCTACCCCTAAGTGATCCTCCACCACTGTGGTGAACATTGCCCTGCCACCCCCACCACTCCCCGTACTATCAGGTTTGGGGCTACACATGTTCCACCTCATTCCTTTCATGAAGACTCCAGGACCAATCCTTTTCAGGACCCTCAGAGGATGGGAGCTCATGCTGGAAAATACAGCTGCCCCCAGCACATTAGCACTACTCTGGGGCTCTGTGGAAGAAAGGGCACTTAAAACTCCCAGTAAATGAATTTTGGAGTAAATATATTTTTCCTTCCTTCGTAGTTTCCATGGTAGCTGAATATGCTCAGATATGGACAGTCAGTGAAGGACAGCCATGCTTCTCTACACGTGTTCAAAGGATCAATGGCCTTCAAATAAGCTGCCGAGGCCACATCTGGTTACAAATACAACATGACTAATAAAACCTAATGCCTGTTCCCCTCACCTCTGTGAGAATAAGTGGCTGGGTGAATTGGAATGCCTGATGGAGCTGCCATCTCAAAACAAAATGTTCATTTTGTACCTTTTCAGCGGAGGCGGGCAGGGGGAGAATTGATCTTCAGTAAAAAACTTCTGGGCTGGCTGGGCGCAGTGGCTTACGCCTGTAATCCCAGCACTTTGGGAGGCTGAGGCGGGCGGATCACTTAAGGTCAGGAATTGGAGACCATCCAGGCCAACATGGTGAAACCGCATCTCTACTAAAAATACAAAAATTAGCTGGGCATGGTGGCAGGCACCTGTAATCCCAGCTACTAGGGAGGCTGAGGCAGGAGAATCTCTTGAACCCGGGAGGTGGAGGTTGCAGTGAGCCGAGATCGTGCCGTTGCACTCCAGCCTGGGTGACAGAGCGAGACTCCATCTCAAAAAACAAAACAAAACAAAACACCTTTGGGCCATTTTTATGTCCATGGGGGTGTTTTTCTTTGTATCATCTTCGAAAAAAAGAAAAAAGAAAGAAAGGGGGAGAGAGAGAGAAAGGAAGAAAGAAAAAGAAAGAAGGAAAGAGAGAGAGAAAGAGAAAGAAAGAAAAAGAAGAAAGAAAGAAAAAGAAAGAAAAAGAAGAAAGAAAGAAAAAGAAAGAAAGAAAGAAAGGAAAGAAAGAAAGAAAGAAAGGAAAGAAAGAAAGAAAGAAAGGAAGAAAGAAAAAGAAAGAGAGAGAGAAAGAGAAAGAAAGAAAAAGAAGAAAGAAAAAGAAAGAAAGAAAGAAAAAGAAGAAAGAAAAAGAAAGAAAGAAAGAAAGGAAAGAAAGAAAGGAAAGAAAGAAAGGAAAGAAAGAAAGAAAGAAAGAAAGAAAGAAAGAAAGAAAGAAAGAAAGAAAGAAAGAATTGCTAGTACTAGTTACTGCAGTGGTGTCAGGGTGATTTAACTATTGAAGTCATACCCTCAGACAAGTAGAAACCAGCATCCAGCAAAGCCCAAATGCTTTCTTTCCCCTCCTTTTCTTTATTACTAAAGGAATCTGACTGATAGTTTTACTTCTCTATACCACCAAAAAATTAAAATAAAACAATAAAAATTACTTTGTATTCCTGTCAGTCGGATGGAAACACAGATTTCATGGAGCTGTGTATTATTGAAGAAACCCGGTGTCTGGGATGAAATTATTTTCAACAACGTCCTGTAAGACGCTTTCTTTAACAAACAGAAATGAAAAGCATGGAGTGTTTGAATGGAAGACTTGTGACCTGCAGCTGGAACTATGATCTTCCACATTCACCTTTGTGTGTCTTTAGGGGCTCATTGGAATTTCCTGCTCTGGGCAGGGGACTGTCTGTTTGGTCTTAGAAAGTTTGGGTATAACTGTATTATAGATGATAAAGGAAACTTGATGTTGTGTTAAAAAATAAATTTTAAAAAAGAGAAGAAGGGAGAAATCACGAAAGAATTAATTCCAGCAATTTTCACCAAACTGAAGGAAGAATTCAGATTGAAAATGAAAAATGTCTTATGCCGTCCAACAGAACTACATCTGTTCAACAGAGGGCGTGTACAGAAACATTTATGACAGCCCTATCTCTAGTATCCCCAGAATGGAAATAGTCACAAGTCCATCCTCATTAACATTGGATACATCAATTTTATATATATATATATATATATATATATATATATATATATATATATGAACAAGAATGAATGAATTGCCACCACATGCAGCGACGTGGGTGAATCAGACAAAATTAATGGTGAATGAAAGAGACCAGGAGCAAAAGAGTACATTTTTTTTAAAAAATACACATTTTACAATGATTTCATTTCTATAAAAATTCAAAAACAGGCAATCTGATCTATGGTACTGGAAATTACAATAGCAGTTCTCACGAGGAGCAGGTAGTGGCTCTTGGTAGCACTGTTTCTTAATCTAGGTATTAGTTACACAAAATGTTTGTTCATTTTGTAAAATGATTTGTGCTCTTCTGTATGTTATACTTCAGTAAAAACAACGTTTTTCTAAGTTCCATATCAAAACACACCATAGTGAAATTTATGGGGATAGAGAGGAGATGCAAAAAGCTTTGGTTGTGGCTGGGTGACGGTGGGGAGATAAAAGGATCAAGACAGAATAACTTAAGACTTCTTAAAAGTATTACTGGGAACTAAACAAAAAAGGAGAAATGCCTGTAACATTCTAAGGGGAAATTATGTCCAAACTGTCAATCAACTGAGAAGGTAAAATAAAGACATTTCATAAAACATAGTCTCAAAAAATTTTCTGCCTGTGCATCCTTTCTCAGGAAGTTTCTAGAAGACATCACAAATATACGAACAGGGAAGACAGAGGACCCATGGAACGGAGAAGAAGGGAAGAGAATTTCCAAAATGATGGTTGGAAGCAGCTGTAGAGCTGCGGGCTTGGAGATGAATCCAGGCCCTGTGGAGCAGGATCGAGGATGCTGCCAAGAAGTCAGTAGCCCAAGTGGTACGAGAGGAGTTTTAAAGTTCTGTTGGAGAGTATGGTGACAAATAGCGATAGGAACCTAGAAAGCTAAGCAAATGGAAACAAAAAAGATAATTACTAGCTACCGGAAAACAAAAAGATGTCAAGAAAGGAAATGCAATGAGGGTCCACTACAGTGAACAATATTTACACAGTTGTTGAATAATATGAATGTTAATTTAATTTTTAGGCCGGGCATGGTGGCTCACGCCTGTAATCCCAGCACTTTGGGAGGCTGAGGTGGGCAGATCACCTGAGGTCAGGAGTTCGAGACCAGCCTGGCCAACATGGTGAAAGCCTGTCTCCACTAAAAATACAAAAATTAGCCGGGTGTGGTGGCATGTGCCTATAGTCCCAGCTACTCTCAAGGCTGAAGCAGGAGAATCACTTGAACCCAGGAGACAGAGCTTGCAGTGAGCCGAGATCGCACCACTGCACTCCAGTTCAAAAACAAAATTAGTTTTTAAAAATATACATATTGGGAAATTAGGAGAGGAGAAGGGGGAAAGTACATTGCATTGTGAAGCAAAAGTTAAAAAAAAAGTCTGAATCCTAATACCCTATGATAGGAAGTCAATATTATGTTTTATATACTATGCATATATGTTGTTTTGATAATTTTAAAAACACTATGAGGAGAAAAATAATTGGTTAATCTGCAACACAGAATTGTTTATTGCAGTAACTTCTATTTAATTTGAGAAAATAAAACATTTTTCTATCCCTTCTGAAGGAAACCTTTAAGTACACTTTAATTTTTTATCTAGTTCTGTAGTGTACACGGTAAGAAAATCAAATTTAAAATATGCTTCCATTTTCTGAATTACGTTATTGGTAATAATTACAAAAATGGACTTAGATTACTTGAGTGTGTTGCTTAGCTTTTGCCTATATTCCTGTCTTAATCGTGAGCAGAAAATAGGTTTATTTTTGTTTCAGTTTTTGTTTTGAGACAGAGTTTTGCTCTTGTCACCAGGCTGGAGTGCAGTGGCACAATCTCAACTCCCTGCAACCTCTGCCTCCTGGGTTCAAGTGATTCTCCTGCCTCAGCCTCCCAAGTAGCTGGGATAACAGGCATGTGGCACCACGCCTGGCTAATTTTTGTATTTTTAGTAGAGATGTGGTTTCGCCATGTTGGCCAGGCTGGTTTCGAACTCCTGACCTTAGGTGATCTGCCCTCCTCAGCTTCCCAAAGTGCTGGGATTACAGGCGTGAGTCCCTGTGCCCTGCAGGTTTTTTAAAAGTGCACATTAATTCAAATAAGTGGAATGGTAAGATACAATAAGCATGGTATCTTTGCAGTTTTCCTGCTGAAGCAATTAATCCTAGAAACTTCCAGAATTTCAAATGGTAAAGAGAAGCATGGAGGAAAAGATGTTCACCTTTTTTGTGAGTTACTAGTATCAATCATCTTTCCAGCTTAGAGAAAGTAGCAATACATACATATGCAAACACAGTTTTTTCCCCAAAATATTGAATTTCAGAAGTTCTCAATCATTCTCATGAAAACTATTTTTGTTGTTTCCAAATCTTGGCAAGAAACTTGAGAATGAACTAAGCAAACACTGAAGTTCCCTCCTTTTCAAAGTACTGGCAAAGCACAGCTTCGGATGAACTCCATCAAGTGCTGCTGGCTGGCTTGTCAAGACAGAGGCTACAATTCTGTGATAGGGCAGAAAGAGAAAGGCTGAGTGGGGAAGGTTGTACAGAGGACCCTCCTTATCCAAAGATTCATTATGAGAGTCCCTGCAGAAAAGATTAACAAATAATCTAATACCGACTTGTGAAATTAGTCCTCATTCAAGCATCTCTTGCCTCTTAGCATCTGTAAGTCATTGAACAGTCTCTCCAGTGCTGTATACATTAAAGCACAGCAAATGGATAGCACAGTGAAAATGCTAATCTAGAAGGTGGAAAATGTCACGGAGCCTCTGAAAGTGATGTTAGAAAACAGCTTGAACTGGCTGGGCATGGTGGCTCAAACCTGTAATCCTAGCACTTTGGGAGGCCAGGGCGGGCAGATCACCTGAGGCCAGGAGTTCAAGACCAGCCTAGCCAACATGGTGAAACCCCATCTCTACTAAAAGTACAAAAGTTAACTGATGTGGTGGCACATGCCCATAATCCCAGCTGCTCGGGAGGCTGAGGCAGGAGAATAGTTTGAACCTGGAGGCGGAGGTTGCAATGAGCAAAGATGGTGTCAAAAAAAAAAAAAAAAAAAAGCAGCTTGAACCATAGGCTAGAGTTAAACTAATTAACAACATAGAAAAAAAGAGTAAGATAAGGATGATAACATAATAGGTGCTTCCAAAAAGAATGACAAGAATATTTAAAAATTTAAGGGCAGTCCTTGGAAAGTTGACAAGGCTCTCCTTAAATATGTGTGGGGAAAAAAAAATGACCATTTTAATGATCAAGCTATACAAGTCCAACGTGAAGGGTATTATATTGTGCTCGCATCCATTTTTGTAGAGCAGAGCTTTCGCCCAAAGAAGGGAGCCATGGGAGGCTAAAGTGAGAGACGAGACTGAGTTTGGCCTGGGCCGTGGAGTGTGACTGAACTGGCTGAGTGAGCAGGGGAAATGGGACCAGCTCAGGAAGGAACTTGAATCAGAATGAGGAATTTGGACGGTCATCTTTTTCACATGTTCACCAACCTAGGGAGATAAAGATAGTCTTAGGGCCAGGCGCGGTGGCTCACGCATATAATCCCAGCACTTTGGGAGGCAGGCAGATCACCTGAGGTTGGGAGTTCAAGACCAGCCTTACCAACATGGAGAAACCCTGTCTCCACTAAAAATACAAAATTAGCCGGGTGTGGTGGTGCATGCCTGTAATCCCAGCTACTTGGGAGGCTAAGGCAGGAGAATTGCTTGAACCTGGGAGGCGGAGGTTGCGGTGAGCCGAGATCACACCATTGCACTCCAGCCCGGGCAACAAGAGCGAAACTCCATCTTAAAAAAAAAAAAAAAGATAGTCTTTACCAGGATTTACTACAGAATTTTCAAATTGGGGATTTTTTTTTAAATTATGTAAGGGAAAAATTTACAATACATTGCAATTAGCTAATAGAATTATTATTTTATGACACTTCTGTTTTAGTTTTATACATGTGTATACCTGTGTCACAAGGCAAATATTGGTCTTACTGAGAGTCATGTAATCCAAAATTTGGGCCGGGCACAGTGGCTCACACCTGTAATCCTAGAACTTCAGGAGGCCGAGGCCGGTGGATCACTCGAGGTCAGGAGTTTGAGATCAGCCTGGCTAACATGGTGAAATCCCGTCTCCACTAAAAATACAAAAGTTAGCCAGGCCTGGTGGCACACACCTGTAATCCCAGCTACTTGGGAGGCTAAGGCAGGAGAATCACTTGAACCCAGGAGGTGAAGGTTGCAATGACCCAAGATCACACCTCTGCACTCTGGCCTGGGTGACAGAGTGAGACTCTGTCTCAAAAACAACAAAAAACAAAGTTTGAAAGACACTGATATAGAGGAAGCGTTATGGTTCTGTTATAGATGAGAACTCCAGAAGCCCTAACTGAGCCACATTGGAGAACAGCACCAGACTGTGAAGTCTCTGGGCTGTGGTTTCACAAATGTCCCCAGGCTCCAATCCCAGTGCCTCCCTGCATGGTACATTGGCTCCAGGGCCCTTTGCTTGGCCCCACTGCCCACTGCTGCTGAATCCTTCTGTCTCCCCTGCTGCATGTGAATCTGGGTCTCATGGTGGAAAAAATACGTGTTTTGGGCTCAGCTGGACCTGGGTGTGAAGCTTAGTTCAGCCCCTTACTTTACAGGTGAAGTTATGAAGCTATTGTGATACTCTATTGCCTCTTTTGTAAAAGTGGGGGAAATAACACCTATTTCATAGGGTTGTAATGAGGATTTAAAGAATATATGTCACCTCCAATCAAGCTGTATTCTACTTCTAGGAGCTCATCTGTGGAAGTACTCATGTGCACAGATTCACATGCATGGATGGTTGATTGCAGTCTTATAAAACCAAACATCTGGAAGGAGATTAAAAAGCTAATAAGGGGCAGGCATGGTGGCTCACCCCTGTAATCCCAGCCGAGGCAGGTGGATCACTTGAGGTCAGGAGTTTGAGACCAGCCTAGCTAACATGGCGAAACCCCATCTCTACTAAAAACATAAAAATTAGCTGGGCATGATGGTGCATGCCTGTAGTCCCAGCTACTCAGGAGGTTGAGGCAGGAGAATCACTTGAATCTGGCAGGCAGAGGTTGCAGTGAGCTGAGATTGCGCCACTGCACTCCACCCTGGGCGACAGAGTGAGACTCCGTCTCAAAAAACATATATAAAAAATAAAGGATTGATTTATTTTTAATTATGACATAGCAATATAATGGAATACTATGGAGCTATTTAAAAGAATGAAGTATACCTAGGTCTACTTATATGGAAAGATATCTGCGTCACTGCTTAGTGGAAAAAAAACAAGTTGCAAAATCCTGACCCCATTTTTTTTTTTTTTTTTTGAGACAGAGTCTTGCTCTGTCGCCCAGGCTGGAGTACAGTGGTGAGATCTCAGCTCACGGCAACCTCCGCCTCCCGGGTTCAAGCGATTCTCCTGCCTCAGCCTCCTGAGTAGCTGGGATTACAGGTGCACACCACCATGCCGGCTAATTTTTGTACTTTTAGTAGAGACGGGTTTCACCATGTTGATCAGGCTGGTGTCGAACTCCTTACCTTGTGATCTGCTCGCCTCGGCCTCCCAAAGTGCTGGGATTACAGGTGTGAGCCACTGCGCCTGGCCTGATTTTTTAAAAATACATAGATTATGGACATGCATAAAGAAATCTATAATACCATAAACGTGGCTATCTTTGGGAAGTAGAATTATGAAGGACTTTAGATTTCTGTTTTGTAAAATGTTTTATTTATTATTTATTTTATTTATTATTTATTTATTTATTTTGAGACAGTCTTGCCCTATTGCCCAGGCTGGAGTGCAATGGTGAGATCTCGGCTCACTGCAACCTACACCTCCTGGGTTCAAGCCATTCTCCTGCTTCAGCCTCCCGAGTAGTTGGGATTACAGGTGCCCACCACCACGCCCAGCTAATTTTTGTATTTTTAGTAGTAGAGTTTCACCATGTTGGTCAAGCTGGTCTTGAACTCCTGACCTCAGGTGATCCGCCCACCTCGGCCTCCCAAAGTGCTGGGATTACAGGCGTGAGCCACCGCACCAGCTGTAAAATATTTTACAATGAGCATGTGTGACTTTCATATTCAGGAAAAAAATTTCGCTGAAAACACACACACACACACACACACACACACACACACACACACACACACACGTATATGTTACCTAGCATAGCAGTTCCGAGTAGTTAGTGGTTGTTATGAGAGTTCCACTTCCAGCGTGGGTGCGCTACATCTTTAAATATTCCTGTAGCAATGAATAGCCACTGTGCCTAGGGTTTCTGTGTGAATACATACCCTCTTTTTTTATTCTTGATAGATTCATTATTTCAGTTGAGGCCTTGTTCTCTTTTCTTTCATTAGCTTTAATCAGCAGGCTCGGGGCACCTGTCACAGGGGATGCCATCATTCATTTTAATTTTTAAAATTATAGTAGCAATTTAAGCTCATCCTAAACATGAAAAACAAATCTGCAGTTAGTAAAGTAAAACCTTAAAGTCATCAATTTCACCATGCCTTTCAGTCCCACTACCCAAAGATGGCAGTGGTTCAGTGTATGGTCTTCACAGCTTCTGTGCATATGCAAATGTGTGTGTGCACTTGTTTTTTATTTGTCTTTTGAGACAGGGTCTCACTCTTGCCCGGTCTGGAGTGCAGTGGCACAATATCAGCTCACTGCAGCCTCGACCTTCTGGCCTCAGGTGACCTTCTCACCTCAGCCTTCTGAGTAGCTGGGACTACAAACATGTGCCACCACACCCAGCTAATTTTTGTATTTTTTGTAGAGACAGGATTTCGTTATGTTGGCCAGGCTGGTCTTGAACTCCTGGGCTCAAGCAATCTGCCTGCCTCCACCTCCCAAAGTGCTAGGATTACAGGCATGAGCCACCATGCCCAGCTTGCATTTGTGTTCTTGTTGCACCAATAAGATCATGAAGCATATAAAAAAAGTCTTTCCACAACAGAGATTTATATATACTATGTCTTTTTTAAGAACTGCATAATATTCTACTTTGTAGATGTAATTTATTTCACCATTCCCTTATTGACAGAATTTTCACTATTGTTAGCAGAGCTACAAAAATACTTTTACCTATATATTTGCACACTTCAGTGAGCAGATCTGTAAGATAAATTCCTACAGGGGAACTAGTATTGGTCAAAGGGTATCCATGTGGATAATTGTTATCATGTTGCACTGACTTACATTCCCAGCAGTACATGTATGAGTTCCTTTTCCCCTACACACTTTTACCTGCACAAGTTGAGTATTCTTTACACAAAATGCTCAGGACCAGACATGTTTCAGACTTCAGATATTTTAGGATTTTGGAATATTTGCATATACATAATGAGATATCGTGGGCATGGGACCCAAATCTAAACATGAAATTCATTGATGTTTCATATACACTCTATACAGGTAGCCTGAAGGTAATTTTATGCAACATTCTTAGTAATTTTTGTGACCCATCACAAGAAGTCAGGTGTTTTAGAAATTTTAGAAAATTTTGGATTTTGGGTTTTCAGATGAGGGATGCTCAACTGTATTGTGTATTATATATTATTGTCTTATTATTGCTTTTATTTGTTATTATTTTTAAATCTTTGGTAATTCAGTATGTGAAATAATGGGTGTCATTGTTGAATTTGAATTTTTTTCATCAGACTGAAGACATCATTTCTTTATTGCCACCATCCATTTGGAAATGTTATGCACATTCTGCAAATCCAATTGGAAGTCTGGCCTAGAGTTTGGTTAGATGGTGGCAGGGAAATAATATGCTTAGAAACGTGGTCCTGGATAGAATGTTGAGGAAAAGCAGAGAGAGAAGATGTGTGTGGGAGACAGATTGGATAGTGGCATATTTTTTTGCATAGAAATCTGTTAGCTGTATGGCTGCTGTTTCAGCATCCCTGAATCCGCCTGGCTGAAATGGGCCATCTATCTATTCACCTTTGTTCACAACGATAGAAATCGTGTCCAATATTCTCTATGTGCTTTTTCTCACTGAAATCTGGCATCATAATGACTCAGCATCTGGAGGAGCCAATACAAGTGAATCAAGTTTGCGTTCATCACCCAGCAGTGCCTCGTATGCCTAAGGGATTTCATGGAACTTCATTTCAAAATCATAGTTTGAAATGGTCATGTTTCAAACAACTATAAAGAAACTTTAAAATGTGGCAAAATGTGGACAGGGCCTTAAATGTAGGAAGAATGTTCAGATAACTTTGCAAACAGCTTTTTGGTGATAGCTCAGTTACTTCTTGCCTCATTAGTTGTCCTTGGTTCATAGGACATCCGTGACCCAGCATAAGTCAATGATAAAGTTTGTTCCAATACACATTATTTCTCCCTTTCAGAATGAGTGGCCTTGGCAGATGTGAAACCTCTCTGAGCAGGTAATGTCCCTAAAGGGGGCACGCAGAGAGACTGTGCAGGGTCACATTGTGATGGAGATGTGGGTAAAGAAACTCACAGACACCATTGCCTTTTCCATCATTTAGGATGTCTTTACTGCTTTCTTCATTTCACCATCCAGAAATACCGAATTATAAAGGATGTGATTCTTTCTGACTACCCAAGACATCCAAAATTCAATCTTTTTTTTTTTTTTTTTTTTTTTTTTTTTGAGACGCAGTCTCGCCCTGTCGCCCAGGCTGGAGTGCAGTGGCGCGATCTCGGCTCACTGCAAGCTCCGCCTCCCGGGTTCACACCATTCTCCTGCCTCAGCCTACCAAGGAGCTGGGACTAGAGGCGCCCGCCACCACGCCTGGCTAATTTTTTTGTGTTTTTAGTAGAGACGGGGTTTCACCGTGTTAGCCAGGATGGTCTCGATCTCCTGACCTCGTGATCAGCCCACCTCGGTCTCCCAAAGTGCTGGGATTACAGGAGTGAGCCACCGCGCCCGGCCCCAAAATTCAATCTTATGCAAACTTCAGTTGAGGATGTTTCCCCTGATTCTTTCGCAGCTTCCACATCCCAGTAGTTCTCCGTTTTTAACTTATCAGCTGTTCTCTATGGATGTCATGCCTTGAGATGTTATCTTCCAAACACACAGCATACACAACTAACTCATTGTTTCTCTTTTTAGAAAATTAAGCAAATATGTATATAACTGCATATGCGGGCGTCTGGTCAACCAGAGGCAACAAACGTGACCTCACAAGTTTGTGTAAACTCAGTCAAAAGCAAGGGAGCGCAATACGGTAGTCCTTTTATGGGTTAATATGATCTCACCCTCCCCCCACCACAGTAGTGATCTTTCTGTTCCTCAAAAGGGAAGGGCCCTGGGCTGGGAACCCCTTCAGTTATCCCTTCTGAATGGTACAAATCTCCTTCATCCCATCCCTCTGATGGTCCCAGTTGGTTGTGGTTGGCCATGAAAGAAGGTAAATGGCTCAAGATCACTGCACCTCATTCCCCACCTGAAAAAAGACATTTCATATTTACATTTTGCTGGCGATGGGAGCCCTGAGTCAAAACCTGTACGTAGAAAACAGCCCAGGAGACGGGTTGCCTGGTCACTGGCGCTGCAGCACACCGAGTTCCCTGCTCTGGGTCAGGTTGTTAAGACCGCATGAGGATGCGCTGCTGTAAAAGTGCCTGCTTTTTCCAATTTAGGTTCACCAGAGTGCATAAATCCACTGACAGCTCTCTTCAAACAGTTGTTCTCAACTTTAAATAAAATTTTGAAATAACACCTGGTTTGCCTTTTTAAAATTTCAATTTTAAAAGAGACAGGGCAGCAGGAGGGTATAGATTAGGGGGCTATGGAAGGCATTCTACTATGGGGGGAAGAGCACACATCTTTCAGAGTTTGACTTTGAACCTTGACTTCACTAAACATTTGGCTATATGACCTTGGGAAGGTTATTTTTAAGCTTTGATTCCCTTCTCTGGGAGCAGGAATAAGACTCCTTTGGAGTCTTGTGGACATTTATGAATAATAACTTCAGCACAGCATAGGGCTGGGTGTGGGGTCAGGGCTGAGTAAAGGTGAGCTTGCCCATCTCCTCTCCATCTCTTTTTGTGTCACACTGTATCGGCGCCTTCTGTTTCTGCAGTTAAGGGCAGTGCTGGATGTCGTGGTGATGCTGACCCTGAGGAAGTGACAGCCCACTTTCTCAGGGGAAGTGGTGGCATAGACACAGGCAATCATATGTCATTCATAGAAGCAAGTCCCCAGCCACTGTGGACCACCGACATCTGAGGAAGGTGGGAAGAGGCTCAGAGGTAGGAGCTACCACCCCAACTCAGGCGTTACTCACCGAGCTACATGGCAGTCTCAGGGTGGGGACAAAGGTCAGGGGGCCCACCATCCCGAGAGGTTCCTTCCTTGGTGAGCTGACAGGCCAGCTTCTCCCTGAAGTTTCTTACAACTGAAGTTTCAGTTCTGGCAAACAGACTACGGACCTAAGTCCTAGGCCCAGCAACTGCCTTCCCAGGCAGGTCCCATTCCATTTTTGAGATCACTGCTCCTTCTCAGCTTTCTCGCCCGCCTCCCTGGAGAGAGAAGGTTCAGCACCGGATGCACAGCCGCTGCGGCCCCTGCTCTGTGAGGACTCTTGAGCCTCTAGCGGGGAATGACCCATGCTACTTGTTAAAAGGCGGGCTCGGCCCCTCCGGGCTCCTCCTGGCCAAGGAGCCTGCGTAGCTGCAGGATGTAAAGCCAAAGGCCATCAGAAGGATGTGTGGAAAACACTGCGGTTAGGAATGAGCAGACATTCCTAATGGAGCACGGACCTCAGGCTGATTGTGATCTGAGACAAAACAGTGCCAAGTGCTGCTAAATCATTAGAACACTTGTGGATAACAGCAAGAGAAATAAAGACACACAGACTCTCTCACAGGAAGGCTCTGTGGTATGGAGAGGAGCTTTGGCGACAGAGGGCAGAGGCCCCTTTCTGGTTGTCTTGGGACAAGTCATTTAGTGATGGTGGAGCTAGGGCTCGTGGTGGCAGGCTTGCTGTCTCCCCATATCAAGGTCTTGCTGTGTGCCAAGCACTGTCAGGTTCCTCGTAGACGTCATGTCCCAATAGCCCTATGAGGCAGGCACTGTGATTATAGCAATTTGATTTTAATTTTTTTTAGGTTATCTGGTGAGGTTGCAGATCTCTCTGGATGAAGAATCTCAGACTCAGAGGTGAAATGATATGCAGGCAGAACCAGTCTCACTGTTCTCTGTCTTAATGTCTCTCAGCCTTCATTTATCATCTGCAAAATGGGAATAAAAAATACAATCTCATAGAGTTAGAGAAATAATGAATAATTCACAAGTCTGTGGTATATAATATGTGTTTGGGCCAGGCGTAGTGGCTTGCGCCTATAAACCCAGCACTTTGGGAGGCCGAGGCAGGCGCATCACTTGAGGTCAGGAGTTTGAGACCAGCCTGGCCAACATGGTGAAACCCCATCTCTACTAAAAATAGAAAAATGAGCCAGACATGGTGGTGCATGCCTGTAATCCCAGCTACTCAGGAGACTGAGGCGTGAGAATCACTTGAACCTGGAAGGTGGTGGTTGCATTGAGCCAATATCATGCTACTGCCTTCCAGCCTGGGCATCAGAGCAAGACCCTGTCTCAAAAAAAAGAAATAAAAGTTGTTAGATGTGGGTTATTTAATGTTGCATATTGCCTTCCAATTTTAAAAAAAATTGCCAGGCTGAGCACAGTGGCTCATGCCTATAATCCCAACACTTTGGGAGGCCAAAGCGGACAGATCGCTTGAGCTCAGAAGCTCCAGACCAGCCTGGGCAACATGACGAAACCCCCATTATATGGTTAGGCTTTGTGTCCCCCCACAATCTCATCTTGAATTGTAATCCCCACCTGTCAAGGGAGAGACCAGATGGAGGTAATTGAATCACAGGGGCCATTTCCCCATGCTGTTCTTATGGTAGCGAGTGAGTTCCCGTGAGACCTGATGGTTTTTTTTTTTATGTTAATAATGGAGTTTAATATTTTGTTTCTGTGCAATCTTATGAAATACAACTTGTTTTATAAGAATTTTCAACAAAGTATTAGTTTCCTTTTGCAAAAAGTTATTAGTTTGCCATTTAGTAGCTTTTAAGTATGTTGAATTTTTTTACATAATTAAGAACCTCAATATTCTTGTTATCAAAAACATTTAGTGAGTACCTCCATGTGCAAAACAACTGGGCTAAAGAGTCATAGGACAGAGCCCTACTGTCAAGGATCTTTGAGTCTGTCTTGAGAGATACTTTATTCTTTCATCTCTTCCTTTGCTGTGGTTCACATCTGATGTCACAAAAACCAGTGGGGGTTGGGAGTACGCCAAAGAACAAGAATACTGAGACATTTTGCTGCAATATTTTGTGCATCCCTAAAGGCCATTTCTAAATAACAACAATGGTGATGACAACAAAATTACACCTGTCATTTATCAGGAACATACAATGTCAAAGCACTGTGCTGAATGATCATTTATCTTTAAATGATCAGATGCTTTCAATGATCATCCAGTTCTTCCACCTACTCTCTGAGGTTTCTATTCTTATTTTTGCCATTTTATACATGGAGTCTGAGCTTAGAGAGATTAAGAAACTTCTATTATTTTAATAGTTAGCAGAGTTCGGATTTAAACTCAATCCTGTTAGACTTCAAAGCCATATTTGTAACCATTTTACTATGCCGATTTGTTCTGTCTGGCCTACAAATAAGAATGTATTTGTTTGTTTAATACTTATTTGTTGGATATCTACTATGTGATAAAAAAACAACGCATATATAACCACAGGCAAGGTTCCAATTAAGAAATAAATCTTAGGAGGGGCCTGTGGTGAAATACAATGTGACCAAATCTTTATATATCTTTTCAAGTGTATAAACTGCAGATGGTTACAGACATAAATATTGGTAACTTCATATACCAGTTTCAGTTAGCCAAGTCTGTTGAAGAATTTCACCAAATTATTATTATTATTATTATTATTATTTATTTTATTTTATTTTTGAGACAGAGTCTTGCTCTTGTCACCCAGGCTGGAGTGCAATGGCACGATCTTGGTTCACTGCAACCTCTGCCTCCTGGGTTCAAATGATTCTCCTGCCTCAGCCTCCCAAGTAGCTGGGATTACAGGCACCTGATGGTGGTTTTATAAGTGTTTGGTAGTTCCTCCTGCATTCATTCCCTCTCCTGCCGCCTTGTAAAGAAGGTGCCTTGCTTCCCCTTCACCGTCCACCACGATTGTAAGTTTCCTGAAGTCTTCCTAGCCGTGCTCAACTGTGAGTCGATTAAACCTCTTTCCACCCAGTCTCAGGCAGTTCTTCTTTTTTTTCTTTTTTTTTTTTTTTTTTTTAATATACTTTAAGCTCTGGGATACATGTGCAGAACGTGCAGGTTTTATTAATAGGTATACATGTGCTATGGTGGTTTGCTGCACCCATCAACCCATCATCTACATTAGGTATTTGTCCTAATGCTCTCCCTCCCCTTGCTCCCCACCCCTTGACAGGCCCTGGTGTGTGATGTTCCCCTCCCTGTGTCCATGTGTTCTCATTGTTCAACTCCCCCTTACGAGTGAGAGCATGTGGTGTTTGGTTTTCTGTTCCTGTGTTAGTTTGCTGAGAATGATGGTTTCCAGCTTCATCCATGTCCCTGCAAAGGACATGAACTAATCCTTTTTTATGGCTGCATAGTATTCCATGGTGTATATGTGTCCAGCAGTTCTTTATAGCAGTGTGAAAATGGACTAATACACCCCCTCTCTACAAAAGATACAAAAAAAACAGTGGGGGAATGGTGGCACTCTCCTGTAGTCCCAACTACATAGGAAGCTGAAGCAGGAAGATTGCTTGAGTCTGGGAGATTGGGGTTGCAGTGAGCCAAGATGGCACCACTGCACTCCAGCCTGGGCAATAGAGTGAGGCCCCATCTCAAACAAACAAAAAAAAAGGGCCCAACAAAAACAAATGCCAAATGAAGCACCAGATGGTACAAGTAGCAGCTGCTGTAAGCAAGATGAGGGGATAGGCTGAGCATGGCTTACGTGTGAAAAGGACACTGGTTCTTTCAACCACACCAGCATATGCAGAGAGTGGGCCCTATCCTAATATCATTTTGTTGTACAAAGAGTGGTAACATCTTTTGGACAAATCCTGAAAAAAAAAACTTGGCTTCAGTAGATAGATATACCACATGCTGATTAACCTATCTCACTCTGTAACTCCAATAAGATTTTATGGTCCAGTGATTCGAAGTTGACTTTTCCTAGCAAAGTAGGAAAGCTTTATTTAGAGGCCTTTTCCCTTGCTCAGCCAGGGTTGAGCAATGTGCAGAGTTTCTTTGACTAGGAAGGAGTGGTGCTGTAGCACTTAACCTCCAAGGAGATTATTTCATAAAATATTGATTTTTATGCACAAAAAGGAGATAGTTCATGAATAGAAAATGTAAGCGTAAGCAAAATTTTTTCAGTTCTCTCAGTTCATAAACACAAAAAGTAATGAATCCTGTAACCAAGGCTGATGTCTACTGTACCTGCTGGGAGATAGGCAGAGCTAGAAAGTCATTCTTCCCCAATGTTATAACTACAAGAACTGTTGTACCAAAAGTAGACCAACCTGGATGGTACAGCCATTTCCTGTAGGCTGTGAAGGCAAGGCTATAGAATTTGTTGCAAGTTGGGCCAGGCACAGTGGCTCACGCCTGTAATCCCAACACTTTGGGAGGCCGAGGTGGGTGGATCACTTGAACCCAGGAATTCTAGACCACCCTGGGCAGTATGGCGAAACCCTGTCTACTAAAAATACAAAAATGAGCCAGGCACGGCAGTGCATGCTTGTAGTCCCAGCTACTCAGGAGGCAGAGGTGGGAAGAATGCTTGTGCCTGGGAAGTGGAGGTTGCACCACTGCACTAAAGCCAGGGCAATAGAGCAAGACCTTGTCTCAAAAAAAAAAAAAGACTTTTAGACTTGTTTGCCTTCATAACCCAAGCTATAACTGAGCCTTTTCCCAATATCACATCCATCTTACTGAGCTGCTGCAAACCAAAAATATGGTTTCACTAGCTATTGCTGTCTTGCAGATGCCAGTAGCCATGCCATATCACCTAAAGTGGTGTTGTCATACTATGTCCTGACAGCATTTCTGCACCCAGTCCTCCCCCTCCCCAGTTTACCTCTAATTCGTCATCACTCTTGACCTGACTCTATCACAGTTAGGTAGCTATCCTGGGGTTGGAACAGCCCGGAGGGGTAAAAAGGCAATGGTCTCAGAAACTAGAAGCGAGATTATGTCCAGGCACAGTGGCTCACACCTATAATCCCAACACTTTAAGAGGCTGAGATGGGAGGATCACTTGAGCCCAAAAGTTTGAGACCAACATGTCAAGACCCAGTCTCTACAAAAAATAAAGAAGTTAGCTGGGCATGATGGCATCTACCTGCGGTCCCAGCTACTCAAGAGGCTGAGGTGAGAGGATCACTTGAGTCCAGGAGTTCAAGATTGCAGTGAGCTATGATCATACCACTGCACTTCAACCTGGGTGACAGAGCAAGACCTTGTCTTGCCCAAAAAAAAAAAAAAAAAGTATCATAATTATGTTTTAACTCACATTCTGTCACTAAGCTATCTTGAGCAAGTCAGTGAATTACTCTTAATGTTTGTTTCATTGACTGTGTATAAGGAATGTTGATAAATGTTGCAAGGATCAAATGAGAAAATGCAGGTGAAAGTGCTTTAAAAATAAGTGCAATGCCATAATGAGTTATAAGTTCACACCCACTAAGATGGTTCTAATCACAAAAACAGATAATAACAAGTGTTGGACAAGTATGTAGAGAAATTGAAACCCTCATATACTGCTGGTAGGATTGTAAAATGGTTCCTCTGCTTTGGAATACAAGGTGGCTGTTCTTCAAACAGGTAAATATTGACTTATCCTGTGATCCAGCAGTTCTACTTCTAGGGATATACCCAAGAGACGTGAAAACACGTATCTACACAAAATCTTGTACATGAATGCTTATAGCAGCATTATTCATAATAGCCAAAAGCAGAAACCACTCATGTGTCCATCAACTGATGAGTGAATAAATAAAATGTGATATATCCATGCAACTGATATTATTCAACAATAAAAGGATATGAAGGGCTCATATACTACAACATGGATGAACCTTGAAAACATTATGCTAAGGAAAGGAAGCCAGTCACAAAAGACCACATATTGCAATTCCACTTATACAAAATATCCAGAATAGGCAAATCTATAGAGATAAAAAGTAGATTAATGGTGGCCAGGGGCTTGGAGTCAGGGGAGGAATGGATACTAACTACTAATTGGTCCAGGATTTCTTTCTGGGGTAATGAAATTGTACTAAAATTGATTATCAGTACATTCTCAACATACTAAACTCCATTGAATTTTTCATTTTAAGTGGGTAGATTGTATGGTATGTGAATTTCATTTCAATAAAACCGTTCTGGGAAAAAATAAGGGCAACACAAAGGCCATTGATAATAATACTGGGTTTTCAGCAAATGACCAAATGGAACTGAACTCCAGCAAAGATCAGTTCTGGGCTTGATTAACCTCTTACCAACATGTCTGAAATTCAGGACACATAATGGAAGAGGTCTCACAATCTGCTTGCCAGGCCACAGTCGTCATGTCCATGAACATCAAAAGCACTAGTGTCCAAACTTAGAAAATGGGTATCAGTTGCCTGGAATAAAATCCCAGAAGGAAGAGTGAAGCGCTCCTTTCCTTCCTGGGAACCAAATGTTTATGGGAAAAGAGGTGGGGAGAATGATAAATCATCACGTGCTTGCCAATAATCTTCAAGCAGGAATCAAAAATAGGCAAGCAAAGAGCCCAGCCCCAAGAGCTTTTAGTACTGTTGGATTCTCTTAAGAAATGCTGCATCACCAGTGCCCTTGGTGGCACAGAGGACGATACTGAGTGAATAAGCAGTGAAGCAGACTCTGAGTCAAACAAGTGATTCACAAGGCTGAGATTCTGAATGAGAAGACAATTTGGGAATTTTATTTTATTTTATTTTATTTATTTATTTATTGAGACGGAGTCTCACTCTGTGGCCCAGGCTGAAGTGCAGTGGCCTGATCACAGCTCACTGCAACCTCCGCCTCCCAGGTTCAAGTGATTCTCGTGCCTCAGCCACCCAAGTAGCTGGGATTACAGGCATACGCCACCACACCTGACTAATTTTTGTATTTTTAGTGGAAACAGGGTTTCACCATGTTGGCCAGGCTGGTCCCAAACTCCTGGCCTCAAGTGAGCCGCCCGCCTCGGCCTCCCAATGTGCTGGGATTACAGGTGTGAGCCACTGCGCCCAGCCTATTTTTATTTTTTTTGAGACGGAGTCTCACCCTGTTGCCCAGGCTGGAGTGTAGTGGCCCGATCTTGGCTCACTGCAACCTCCACCTCCCAGGTTCAAGTGATTCTCGTGCCTCAGCCTCCAGAGTAGCTGGGATTACAGGCATGTGCCACGATGCCCAGCTAGTTTTTGTATTTTTAGTAGAGATGGGGTTTCACCGTGTTGGCCAGGCTGGTCTCGAACTCCTGAGCTCCAGTGATCCTCCTGCCTTGGCCTCCCAAAGTGCTGGGATTATGGGCATGAGCCACTGTGCCTGGCCAAGAAGACAATTTAGGGATATTTTAAATCCATTTATTTTGCCTATATTTTCCTTTTTATGTATGCAAAAGAGTGTTAAATATTTTAAAAATCTAAGTCTAAAAGAGCAATTTCAAAAAGTATAAAATGGTAAGTGATAAGGAAGCATCATCTCATAGTTTAGTTTAATTAAAGGAACATTTTTCCTTTCTAAGGACTGCATAATATAATGCTGCATCAATGGGCTTACATTTGATCATATTTAGTATTTATTATGAAAGATAGTTCTTGAGGGTGGCAGGAACTGTTTTCTAAGTTCAATGTGACATCTTTAGCTGCTATGTTGATTTTTTTTTTTTTAATTGATGGAGTCTTGCTTTGTCGCCCAGGCTGGAGTGCAGTGGTGCGATCTCAGCTCACTGCAAGCTCCGTCTCCTGGGTTCACGCCATTCTCCTGCCTCAGCCTCCCAAGTAGCTGGGACTACAGGCGCCCGCCACCACGCCTGGCTAATTTTTTTTTTTGTATTTTTAGTAGAGACAGGGTTTCACTGTGTTAGCCGGGATGGTCTCGATCTCCTGACCTCGTGATCCGCCCACCTTGGCCTCCCAAAGTGCTGGGATTACAGGCGTGAACCACCGCGCCCGGCCTTTTTACTTTTTTTTTTTTTTGAGACAGAGTGTCACTCTGTCACTCAGGCTAGAGTGCAGTGGTGTGATCTTGGCTCACTGCAACCTCCATCTCCTGGGTTCAAGCGATTCTTCTGCCTCAGCCTCCCGAGTAGCTGGGACTACAGATGTGTGCCACCACGTCTCCCTAATTTTTGTATTTTTAATAGAGACGGGGTTTCACCATGTTGGCCAGGCTGGTCTTGAACTGCTAGCCTCAAATGATCCACCCGCCTCGGCCTCCCAAAGTGCAGGGATTACAGGCATGAGCCACCGCATCCAGCCTGAAAATTATTATAGCATAATTCTCACTACTCAAGCATTGAAATTTGTTGACACTTATTCCAGGACTGTCTAGAGAATGTTTATTTGGGCTGGGCACAGTGGCTCACACCCATAATCCCAACCCCTTGGGAGGCCAAGGCAGGAGGATCATTTGAGCCCAGGAATTCAAGACCAGCCCCCATCTCTACAAAAATAAAAATAAAAATAAAATAAAATAAAAAATTAGCTGGGTGTGGTGGCATGTAGCTTTTTTTTTTTTTTTTTGTGGTCCCAGCTACTTGGGAGGCTGAGGTGGGAGGCTCGCTTGAGCCTGGGAAGTTGAGGCTGCAGTGAGCCATGCTTGTGGACACTGTGCTCCATCCTAGGCAAGAGAGTGAGACCCTGAATCAAAAAAAAAAAGGTTTCTATGAATGTTAAGAGCTGTGTGCTATCTATTGCTCCCTTACTCTGTGTCAGGCACTGTGCTAAATGCTCTTCAAGCATTTCTCATTGGCACCTAACAATAATAATATGTAGAAGGTATAATACAATTTCTCCTATTTTACAGAAGAGGAAACTGAGGTTAAGGAATATTAAATAACTTTCCCAGAGTCCTTCAGCAACTAAATGACAGAGCTAGGACCTGGATCTGTCTGACTCCAAAAGATCATGCCCTCGATGTTCTGCCAGGACACCTTTATGGCTGATCTAAATTGGGTCTTGAAAATCACAGACAATTCAACACAAAGGGAAATAGGAAAAGACAGCTGGATATAGAAGTGTTTTGTTTTGCTTGTTTCAGACAAGGTCTCTGTTGTCCAGGCTGGAGTACAGTAGCGTGAACACAGCTCACGGCAGCCTTGAATTCCTGGGCTCAAGTAACCTTCCTACCTTGGCATCTCAAGTAGATGGGACTATGGACATGTGCCACCACACCCAGCTATTTTTTTATTTTTATTTTTAGTAGAGATGAAGTCTCGCTATCTTGCCCAGGCTGGTCTTAAATTCCTAGGCTCAAGCGATCCTCCCACCTCAGCCTCCCATAAGTGTTCGGATTACAGGCGTGAGCCACCACACCCAGCCAGATATAAGAGTTAGAAGGCAGTTGCAGACTTCTGGTCTTTCTCTGACTACACTAACAGTCAACTTGGCCAGCTCTGGGTTTTCCATGTTACTCGATGGAAGTCAAAGCAAACACAAGTGAGAATCTACAGTTATAGTTTCCAGTGTTCTCCTGTAAATTCTGCTGGTGAGATATAAAATAAAGTTTCTTTCACATTGATTGTCCCAGCATTCTGGGTTTTTTTGTTTTCTGATTTTTGGTTTTTGTATGCTGAAATACCCGTGGAGAGAACTACAGAGGATTTGAGATGCAGAACCAGAACAAGCATAACCTACAGCAAAATCCCAAATCACAGAACTTCAGAGCAGAAGGCTCTCAGAGGCCAGGCGCAGTGGCTCATGCCTGTAATCCCAATACTTTGAGAGGCCAAGGCGGGCGGATCATTTGAGGTCAGGAGTTCGAGCCTGGCCAACATGGTGAAACCCCATCTCTACTAAAAATACAAAAATTAGCCAGGCATGGTGTAGTCCCAGCTACTCTGGAGGCTGAGGCAGGAGAATCGCTTGAACCCTGGAGGTGGAGGTTGCAGTGAGCTGAGACTGTGCCACTGCACTCCAGTCTGGGTGACAGAGCGAGACTCCGTCTCAAAACACAAACAAAAAGGCTCTGAGAAATTGGTACACATTAAAACCACCTATGCAGCTTTTCCCAGACAGCTGTTGAATGAGAATCTCAGAGCAGGTTGGTATAAGAACTGCATTCTCAGTGGTTCTCAAAATAGGCTTCCTGGACAGCAGCTTCACATCACCTGGGAACTTGTTAGAAACGCATATTTTGGGGGTCTCACCCCAGACCATTGGATCAGAAATTCTGGTGGCAGGGGCCAGCAACCTGTACTTTACCAAGCCTTCCAGGAGGTTCTAAAACCTGCTAAAGTTTGAGAACCACTGAACTAGACCAAGAATTTGGATAGGATTCTAAGGTCATTCCTTCTTTTTGGAAGTACATCACAGCTCTATTTCAAATTCAATTTCTTCACATTCGAAATACTTATTTTCATGTTTTATATACTTGGAACTTTTTTTTAGCATTTATGTATTTAAAAGCACAAGAACCCTAGCCTAAAATTCTGAACCTTATTATTATTATTTTGAGACTGGGTCTCGTTCTGTCACCCAGGCTGGAGGGCAATGGTGTGATCACAGCTCATTGCAGCCTCGATCTCCCAGTCTCAAGTGATCCTCTCACCTTAGCCTTCCAAGTAGCTGGGACTACAGGAGTATACCACCACTCCTGGCTAATTTTTTATTTTTTGTATAGACAGGGTCTCACTATGGTGCTCAGGCTGGTCTCAAACTCATAGACTCAGGCAATCCTCCTGCCTCAGCCTCCCAAAGTGCTGGGATTACAGGCAGGAGGCACTATGCCCAGCCCTGATTCTATTTTTCTACCTCCTCCTTAACATCGACTAAAAATATATTTAAAAGTTTGTCAGTTTTAAGTGTTTTCTGCATTAAATTATAAAGTATTAGATGACAAAACAACCTCTTATATAAAAAAAATTCACTGTGATAATGCACAAATACATATATGGTATGGCTGAAACTATTCTAGAAAATTCCTTGGAACATTTACTTTGCTGTATGGGTATTTTGTTAAAATTAATACAGTTGTTAAAAATCACTTTTCAAATTTGTTGACTCAAGTAAAAAAAAATTAGTGAAAAGTTACTATAGTCCATAAGGAAAGGAGGAAGACACTTTACCAGCTCTTGAATATCTTGAATCAATTTAACTTCTGAAATATTCCTTGTAGTCCTACTATTTTGATTTAATACTTGGTCAGGAGGGAGGAATTTGTTCAGGCCAGCATTTCCCAAATTGCATTTCTGCAAGAGGTCAAAAATTATTTCTCAAAGAAAGATTCTGTCGTAAGTATATTTGGGAGATGCTGTATTAAAAAAATTAAATGGGTAGATTCACTTCATGACTTCATAGAGTTTTTAATACGGTAATATGGACTGTAAATCTCCGGGGGTGAGGGGGGAAGGTGGAGTGTTGTATGTAGCATTTGCCAGACTTTTTAAATAAAAATTTTTAGAAACCAACAAACCATTGTTTCTAAGGACCTCGGAAGTAGGTTTGTTATATAGAATCTTTCTTTGTAATGGTAATTCATGCAAAGAAATTTTACCTGTAAACTCTTTTGATGATTACCTTAGTTTGTAAAATATTCTACTAGCTCATTTTTGGTGTCCTGAAACTACAATGTAGCCCCTGGGTGTATTAAATGTTTCAAGGTGCATCTCTGCTTTAAATAATTCCTTTCATGTTTTCTAAAAACATCCCTTCTAGAATAATGTGGGCTTTTTTTTTTTTTTTTAGCAATTCAATAAATATAAAATGAGCATGACAGATATTGTTCAAATTAAAATCTTTGTTAAAATAGTTTTTAATGTTGATAATAGGCAGAAAAGGCCAGCTGGCATTATGACCTTACTGGCGATAAGATAAAGTTATTTCAATTATTAATGTTTTCTCAGTGAGTATTTATTGAATGTAATGTTAAATTACGTTTTGTTCAATAGTGAAAGCACTGAAGAGAAGTACTATTAGTCTTCTATTGTTGCATGACAAAAATGATCACAAACAGAGGCTTCAAGCAGCACCCACGTATTAGCACACAGTTGTGTAGGTCAGAAGTTCAGTTTGGCATAGTCAGGTTCTCTGCTCAAGGGAACACAAGCCCAAATGAAGGTGTTGGCCAAATTGAGCTCACATCCACTTCCAAGCTCATTCAGGTTCTGTTGGCAGAATCCACTTCCTTGTGGCTCTGTAACTGAGGTCCCACTTTCTTGCTGATCCATAGTAGGGCACTGCTGTCTGGTTCTAAAAGCTGCTTTCAGGTCCTTTTCCTGTGACCCCCAACACCTTCAAGCCAGCAAGGGCGAGTCCTAGTCTTCTTGTGCTTTGAATCTCTGATCCTCCATCTGCCTCCAGCGCTCTGCTTTTAATGATTTAGTATGATGAGGGTCAGGCCCACCTGGGTAATCTCCTGTAGCATTAACTTCAGCTGTGCCATCTAACACAACCTAATCATGGGAGTCAACTCTCGTCATACTCACTTACTCTGCCTGTGTTCAAAGGAGAAAGGATTCTCTAAAGATGAGGCTTAGGGGAGGTCATCGAGGATCATCTTAGAGTTCCGCCTACCACAAAGTGTAATACACATCCCAGTACTCCCAAGTTGAACAGTTAAAAGATGATAGTTAGGCATTGTGACACACACCTGTACTCCCAGCTACTTGGGAGTCTGAGGCGGGAGGATGGCTTGAGCCCAGGAGTTTGAGGCTGCAGTGAGCTATGATGGTGCTGATGAATAGCCACTGTACTGCAGCCTGAGGAACACAGCCAGACCCTCTCTCAAAAAAACTAAACAAAAAGTGAGAAATAGATACACACATATGACCAGAATGTACAGTTTAAAATGAATACTACAATCAGTGCTGCAGTCGTTTATAAAAAGGTGATTGTCAATGGAAAAAGATTGATTAGAAAGGTCACCTAGAGTTTTTAAAAATTGCCAGGTACGGTGGCACATGCCTGTAGTCCTAACTACATGGGAGGCTGAGGTGGGAGGATCACTTGAGCCCAGGAGTTTGAGTCCAAACTCGGTAACATAGTGAGACCCTATCTCTTAAAAAAAAAAAAAAAAAAGATTGAACTAGACCCTGAGGGATAATAATAGCAATGGCTAGCATTGATTGAGCTCTAAACCCCTACTGCAGCTCAGTACAGCTCAGTACTAGGGGTTTATAACTCAATCAATGCTAGCCATTGCTATTATTATCATGAGGTAATGTGCATCCTCATTCAATCATTACAAAAATCCTACGGTTACTCCCATTTTATAGATAAGAACCAGTTAGATGACTTCCATAACAGTCCAGATGAGAGCTATCAAGGGCCTTAGATGAGAGGTGGACCATATGAAGAGAGAGTGGATGGATGAAATTTGGGAAGGCCAGATGCAGTGGTTCACACCTGTAGTCCCAGCACTTTGGGAGCTGAGGCGAGAGGATCACTTGAGGCCAAGAGTTTGAGACCAGCCTAGGCAACATAGAGACACCCCATAGACCCCATTTCTACAAAGACAAAAAGAAATCTGGTGACTCGCTAGATGCATAGTATTGCTATGGTTTGAATGTTTGTCACCTCCAAAACTCATGTTGAAACTTGATCCCCACTGCAACAGTATTGAGAAGTGGGGCCTTTGGGAGGTGATTGGATCATGAGAAGCCTTGTGAATGGGTTAATCCATACATGGATTAATGGGTTATCATGAGAGTGGATTAGTTATCAAGAGAGTGGGTCAAGAAAACTTGGCATTGGCCAAATTAAAGTTGAGTTATCTGTATTACATCCAAGTAGAGATGACCAGTAGAAACTTGGACATACAGGCCTGAGGCTCAGCAGAGAAGTCTTCCCTGAGAGGCAGATTTTTGGAATCTCAGTGCTCTGGAATGATTTCAGCACTGTTGTATTTAAGTTCCCACTACCTTATGCTAGGCCCTAGAAATACAAATATGAAGATACAGATCGTGCCATAGAGAAGATGTGAACTCACACACACCTGTGCAGATGTTTTGGTGTTACAGTGAGCACATGCATAGCATACAATGAGAGCATTCACATGGGGTGACTTCCTGAAGCAGAGGACTCCAGGCAGATGAGAGTAAAACCAGGAGGGAAAAATTGAAGAGACCTTCTACAGACCACATGAAAAGTGACTAAAGAGCCAAAAGCTGGGGTGGCCAGAGAGAAAATGGAATCCAGGTTAAAATCCTGTTGTTTAGTCATGTGGGGTTTTTTGGGTTTTTGTTTTTTGTTTTTGTTTTTTTTGAGATGCAGTCTCACTCTGATGCCCAGGCTGGAGTGCAGTGCAGTGGTGTGATCTCAGCTCACTACAACCTCTGCCTCCCAGGTTCAAGCAATTCTCCTGCCTCAGCCTCCTGAGTAACTGGGACTACAGGTGTCCACCATCACGCCTTGCTAATTTTTGTATTTGTATTAGAGATGGGGTTTCACCACGTTGGCCAGGCTGGTCTTGAACTCCTGACCTCAAATGATTCGCCTACCTTGGCCTCCCAAAGTGCTGGGATTACAGGTGTGAGCCACTGTGTGCGGCCCTAGTCATGTGGTTTTACAATCGTGCACTCAGTATTGAAGGATGCAGGAGACTGGCTCAAAAGGTGCATGGACTGTCCACACAGAGGCCCCTTAGAGCACATTTACCTCGGTCAGTTTACCGTGGTCCTGGAGCTGTTCCTCAGGCTCAGACATGTGATTTACTTGTTAATTATCATTATTATTACTGAGTGGAAGCGGCTCCATTTCTCAGCAGTGGCCTTACTTTAGCCAAGCTCATCAAAACTGATTATCCACGCATATGTATGCAGCTGAAGGCCAATGCATTTGGTCTGCAGGGGGATCTGCAACTGGCAGCCTGTCTGTCTGATCAGGGCCCATGCCATGAAAAACAAGCTGCTCCAGGATTGCTGTGGAATCAAACTACTGAAGGGCATTGTTAGGTGATTTCAGTGTTCACGCATCAGAGCCTGAACTGTCACGTTCATTCTTCAGGGATGTGGGTAGACATCCTCATTGACTTAACAGATGGGTGTTGCCTACTTTTCACTCCTTGGGTTCCCTTTTCTGACCCTTCTAGTCACACTCCTCCCCTAAGCATGTTCAGTGTTTGCCTCTGCTCCCTAAATTACAATCACCTTCAAATCCTACTTCCCTGATATTACTCCCAGATTTTGATTGGAGTTTTGGGTTACCTTGACCTCCTCAGTCACTCATTTACAGAGCAGGCATCCTTTTGATTTACTCTTGCCAATCAATCTTTTTTTTTTTTAAGAGACAAGCTCTCACTATGTTGCCTAGTCTGGTCTCGAACTCCTGAGCTCAAGTGATCCTCCTGCCTCAGCCTCCCCAAGTGCTAGGATTATAGGCATGAGTCACCATGCCTGGCCCCAATTATGTCTATGGTGTGTGGATTTAATCAGGTGCATCTCAGGTAACAACTTTAGCTCTTAAAGGGTAGGCCACAGTCGCCCCCACAAAGAAGAATCAGAGAGGTTAGACCAGGAGGGTAGGCTAAGGTTGAAAAGGCCTTGAAGATGTAGCTAAGGAGATTATGACTTGTCCTCTGAATAGTAGGGAACCTCTAGAGGTGTGTGTTTGGGGCAGTGGGACAGCTTGATGAAATCAATGTTTGGGGCCTGCAGGTAAACTGCACTAGAGTAAGGAGAAACCAAAGGCCGAGAGCCCAGGTAAGAAGCCAGGGCAAGGGAGATAGATGGGACATGCAAGGCCCAGCCTAAGATGGTGCCAAAATCCCAAAAGGAAAAACTGCGTTCAATAGACATTTCACAGAGAGAAGCAAGAAGACTTGGTGTATTAGTCTGTTTTCCATTGCCATAAAGGAATGCCTGAGGCTGGTAATTTATAAAGAAAAGAGGTTTATTTGGCTCACGATTCTGCAGGCTATATAAAAAGCATGGCACCAGCATCTGCTCAGTCTCAGGAAGCTTTCACTCATGGAAGAAGATGAAGGGGGAGCAGGCACGTCACATGGCAAGATAGAGCAAGAGAGAGATGAGGAGGTGCCAGGCTCCTTTAAACAACCAGCTCTCACTCATTACCTCAGGGAGGGCACCAAACCATTCATGAGGGATCCACCCCCATGGCCCAAACACCTCCCACCAGGCCCTGCCTCCAGCGTTGGGGATGACATTTCAACATGAAATTTGGAGAGAAGCAATATCCAAACCGTATCATTTGGTGACTGCTGGGCTGTAGTGGATAATGAAAAGGAAAACATTGATGCCCTGTTTTTCTTTAGTTCTATGATTATTACTGGCAGCATTTCAGGTATCTTTAATTACCATTATACTTGGTTTTAGGTGTGTGTTTATAAGCACTGTATATGTGTAAAGCCGTATTACCTCAGTGTGATGAGTAATAGGGTCTGGCTCCTCCACTCTGGTTCACTTAGTACATTTAAAAGAATGAGCAACTTGTAAAAAACTATCTATTGGCTAGACTCTCTTCTCAAACATCTTAGGAAGAGATGTTCCTGATATACACAATACATTTTGAAGAATAAGGAATAGAATTTGGAGAGAAACTGAGGATACTGGACTGATTGAGGAGGGCTGGAGGAGAATTGATCTCTCAATTAGTAAGCGTTTATTAAGCACTTACTATATGCCCAAGATTGTGCGAGATGCTGTGGAAGCTACAAAAGCCATGTAACAGCTTCTTTTCATGAGGAACTTCATAGCCTCCTCGCGAGTTAGATCTTACTCTGAGAAATAACCAGAAGCAAGCAACATAAAAGGAAATGGAACCGTGCCGCTAAGCCAGAGCATAGAGACCAGTGGTATTTTCATACAAACTGAGTGATGAGCCTCTGGAAGCCATGGCAGAGACAACAACAAGGTCAGAAGGATGGAAAAAAAAAATCATAGCTTGAAAGGAATAGGCAAACTGGGGCTGGTAAGTTTAGTAACGGATTCCAGAGGGATTTATCCTTTCTTTTTTTTCCCAGAGGTTTATTCTTTGCAAAACACTTTTATGTGTATTAATCTCATTTTAGCTTTGACACAATCCAGCAAGGGAGGCAAGGTGGGGATTAAAAATGGGGAAAGGATTTGAGAGAGATTTATGATGTAGAAACAGCAGGATTTTATGACCAATTAATCTTCTGGTTAAGGGTGAGGGAGAGGCAAAGATGCCTACCCCCACTCACTCATTCACTCATAAAATCACTCATACAACAAATACTTGTTGAGGATATATTATGTGTCCTGTCTATCCACTGGTACTGGGCTTGCAGATACCTGGCTGAGGCTATGAGGTCAGTTACGGTGCCCGGCCTGAGCAGGAGGTGGTGGAGGAAGAGTACGGGATGCAGGTGGTTGTTCAGGTTCCAGGGGATTTGGGTTTCCACCCTGTGGATTTGGGAGGGCTATGGGACACACAGGTGAAATTGACAAGTAGGCAATTTTACAGAAAGGTTAGCTTTCTCTGGACAGAGGTCTGGGATATGAAATAGACTATTAATTAGCCTATAGGTAAGAGTTAAAACTGAGAGTGGATTAGGTAACCTCCAGAGATCTTGGTTAAGATACTTAACAATTCAGAGCTTCAGTTTCTTGCTACGGGAAATGAAGAAGATAGTATCTACACCGCGGGTTTATTTTAGATCCAGTGAATATGCATGGACCTTGAATACAGCAGTGCATTATATATGTTGAAAATATTATTGCCAATATTTTACCACTATAGTATCTGCATCTTGTCTCGCCCATCAGTTTAGTAAATTCCTCAAAAACCAAAGTTTTGCACTCATATTCCTGCATTATCTCATTATCTTCATATCCCCAGGCAAAGGTTAAGAGTTAAACATGAATAGGTCTTGACATCTGGGCTTTGGAATAGAAATTAAGAATATTGGGGCACGGCCAGGCGTGGTGGCTCACATCTGTAATCCCAACACTTTGGGAGGCTGAGGCAGGTGAATAATTTGAGGTCAGGAGTTTAAGACCAGCTGGCCAACATTGCGAAACCCCGTCTCAACTAAAAATACAAAAATTAGCTGAGTGTGGTGGTACACACCTGTAGTCCCAGCTACTCAGGAGGCTGAGACACGATAATCATATGAACCCAGGAGGCAGAGGTTGCAGTGAGCCAAGATCACACCACCACACTCCAGCCTGGGTGACAGAGTGAGATTCCATCTCAAAAAAAAAAGAATATTGGTGCTGGGCGCAGTGACTCATGCCTATAATTCCAGCATTTTGAGAGGCCGAGGAGGAAGGATGCCTAAAACCCAAGAGCTAGAGACCAGCCTGGGCAAAATGGTGAGACCCCCATCTCTACAAAAAAGCATGTTTTTAATTAGCAGGGCATGGTGGCGCACCTGTGGTTCCAGCTGCTCCAGCAGCTGAGGCAGAAGGATGGCTTGAACCCAGGAAGTCGAGGCTACAGTGTGCTGTGATAGCACCACTGCACTCCAGCCTGGATGACATAGCAAGACCCTGTCTCAAAACAAAACAAAAATATTGGATTAATTCATGAATATATTTTAGATATGAAAGGTGTATCTGATCAGGAACTGGGGCAGAAAGATAATTATGCAAGGCAGAACGGTGGTGCTGTTGTTGAGTTTGATTTCCAAAAGCACAGCTAATGAATGATTAATGTGAAAAAGTGTTTGCACATAGTCTGACCCTTGAAAAATGAAGGGGAGGGGAAATTTAGAGAAATTTGAGAGAAAAATTCAGGTTATGATTAGACTCCCTGATTGTCAAAATGAAAGGCGGTGAGAAAACCAGGTACCTTTAGGAAAATATTCAAAGCAAATTGGTGGAGACTAGGTTTAGGAGCACTGTTTTAACTGAGTACAAGGATCAAACAGGTGACCAAGGAATGTTTTCAAAGGCCTACTTTTTTGTCATTTTCTTTTCTTTTCTTTTCTTTTTTTCTTGAGAGGGAGTCTTGCTCTGTCATCAGACTGGAGTGCGGTGGTGTGATCTTGGCTCACTGCAACCTCTGCCTCCCAGGTTCAAGCAATTCTCCTGCCTCAGCCTCCCGAGTAGCTAGGACTACAGGCATACACCCCCACGCCCAGCTAATTTTTGTATTTTTATTAGAGATGGGGTTTCACCATGTTGGCCAGGCTGGTCTTGAACTCCTGGCCTCAGCGGATCTGCCTGCCTCAGCCTCCCAAAGCGCTGAGATTACAGGCATGAGCCACTCCGCCTGGCATGTCATTTTCAATTCCATAAGACATGGTATAAACACGACTTTCTTAGATTAATCTATTTTTTGAATGATGTTACTCTAACTCCATGAATTAGAACCTGCCTGGGGAAATAAGGAACATATTTATACTCAGTTTTTAATTTTTCATCCAGTATGATATGGGAGTAACAGTTCAAGGCCATGGCCAGCCACTCCATTTAATTTTCTGGCTCTCATTAATTATTTTTTCTTTTTTAGAGAGAGAGTCTCACTCTGTGGCCCAGGCTGGAATGTAGTAGTGCCGTCATAGCTCGCTGCAGCCTTGAATCCCGGGGCTCAAGCGATCCTCCCGATTCAGCCTTCCTTAATAGCTGGGACTACAGGTGCACACCACCACACCTGGCTAATTTTTTAAAATTTTATGTAGAGATGGAGTCTCACTATGTTTTCTAGGCTGGTCATGAACTCCTAGGCTCAAATGTTCTTCCCACTTCAGCCTCCCAAGCAGCTGGGATTCCAACTCTGGCTCTTGTAATTGATGGGTGCGTAGGGATGTCTTCTGTGTAGGTAACCAAATCTCAGAAGTTAACTAGAGGAAGAAGAATGGTATCCCGGAACTGGAGATTTGCCTACTCTGCTATCAGGAAAACAAGGTGGGGTAGTTTCTTGAAATAGTAATTCTGCTGTGCTAGTCTTCCTTAGACCCCAGGAATGACTGTGAAGAGTCAGTCTGTCTTTCTGCGGTGACAGAAGCTAAAGAAACCAGATACTTTGTTCCCTCATTCAGTCATTCATCAAACATTTGTGCCAGAGAGTGTGGTGATTGCTGGAGAGGGGTGGATGGAGTAATAGTTCTTGCTCCTAGGAATCTTCCAGTCCAGTGGAGAAGATAATACTGGGTTCCAGGTGCCACCTCTGAATACGTGTGTGAGGTGAAATGCCCACCCAGGGTTAGGGCCAGGTTGCCCTTCACACAGGTTGTGACGCTGAAGCTGAGTCTTATGGGATGAGCAGGAAGTGGCCAAATTAGATTGGGAGTTGGAATTCCAGGCAACAGGGAGAGAGCTTAGTGGAGGGTTAAGGCATTTGAGCTATAGTGGAAGACTGCACTTTTATGAGTGAGTGACAGAAGATGGAGCTGGAGTGGTAGTCAGGCTCAGGAGGGCCTTGAATGCCATTCTGATGAATTTGGAATTTTGCCCTGAATATGAACAACAAGGAGGCAAGCACCCTGATCGCTTTGCTTTGGAGGGATCGCCTCCCTATAGACTGAGTCGCCTTCAGAGTGAGGATGGTCTTATTCATCTTTGTAGCCCCATTATTTTCTGACACACATTTCCTGAGCACCTTCGGAGTGAGCACCATGAGAACTAGGGGTGTGGGAGAAATAAGACAGCCTCTGCCACTGGGAGAGGGTGATACCCACACAGCTGTGCAACCTGGGGACAGAAGTGCCAGGTAACCCCAGAGCCTGCAGGAGCGCACCCCACTCAGCAGGAAGATGTGTGTCACTGGCACTTTCCTAAAGCAGGTGAGGCTTTGAGAATGCCAAACCAGCCAGGCCAAGAGAGCTGGAGAGAAGGGAAGGCTGAGAGGGGCAGCTCGAGTGTGGATGGATCAATGGCACCTAGCTAGGTGTGCTGCAGAGAAAGTGCCCGCGGAGAGGCAGAATGACTGACAGAAGGTGGAGGTGGACACGTTGGCCAGAAACAACAAGGACCGGTCTTCGTGTGAGATGGAAGGAGAAGTGTGAGGGCAGATGGGACTACAGGCTGGGGTACAGAGGGGTCAGTGATAGAGAAGGGTTCAATAAATGTTGGCTCAGTCATCGGTTAAGAGGGTAGCCTCCGTGCTACACTTGGGTGGGTCTGGGAACGCAGCTGACCTTTCCTCAGCCAGATTCCTGTTTCCTCTGGCTGTAGCCCTCTCCACAACTGAGGAGAATATGCCCTTCAGTCCAGAAGCTAGAAAGAATGTCAGCAGATCTCAAATGCTTCCACCCAAGACGCCACCCCTGCCCACTCAGCTCATTCCTCCCTGCAAGGCCCCACTAATACCTGTTCAGGTCCCCTGATGCTGCCACCTGGGAAGGGGCTGGAAAGGGCTTGAGGCCTGGCTGCACCTCCCCCGATCCGATCCTGATTCAAAAGGTCTAGCTCTCTGCCTTGGTCAGCCAGTTTAGTCTTTCTGTGGGGACTGTTTTCTTCTCTTCTCAAATCTGTCTCCAGGCCAGGTGCAGTGGCTCACACCTGTAATCTCAGCACTTTGGGAGGCCGAGAGGCAGGCTGATCACCAGACGCCAGGGGTTCAAGACCAGCCTGGCGAACATGACAAAACCCTGTCTCTACTAAAAATACAAAAAAACAAAAAAACTGTCTACTTGATGTCCTCAGACTGCCCCCTGAGAGGATGGGAGTGAGTGAAGACAAAGGGGGGATCCAAAAAGCATGCTTGGCTCTAAGGTGATTGTGTGCACTGAGGTAAGTGCAGATGAAATCATTGCTTCACACTAATCCACTAGATAGGAGTAAGATGGAAACGGGATGGGCCCTGTGTTGAGAACAGTTGAGGTTGAATAACGGGTACAGGGGGTTTCGTTATACTCTACTTTTGCAATTTTCCATAATAAGAAGTTGAAAAATAGGTCGGGCATGGTGGCTCACACCTGTAATCCCAGAACTTTGGGAGGCCAAGGTGGGTGGATCACCTGAGGCCAGGAGTTCGAGACCAGCCTAACCAATATGGTGAAACCCATCTCTATTAAAAATATAAAAATGGTTGGGCGCGGTGGCTTACACCTGTAATCCCAGCACTTTGGGAGGTCAAGGTGGGCTGATCACGAGGTCAGGAGATGGAGACCATCCTGGCTAACACGGTGAAACCCTGTCTCTACTAAAAATACAAAAAATTAGCCAGGCCTGGTGGCACGCACCTGTAATCCCAGCTACTAGGGAGGCTGAGGCAGGAGAATCGTTTGAACCCAGGAGGCGGAGGTTGCAGTGAGCTGAGATGGCGCCACTGTACTCCAGCCTGGGTGACAAGGGCAAGACTCCGTCTCAAACAATAACAACAACAACAACAACGACAACAACAAATATATAAATATATATATATAAATTAGCTGGGCATGGTGGCGGCGCCTGTAGTCCCAGCTACTTGGGAAGCTGAGATAAGAGAATTGCTTAAACCCGGGAGGCAGAGGTTGCAGTGAGCCGAGATCACACCACTGCACTCCAGCCTGGGTGACAGAGTGAGACTCTCTCTCAAAAAGAAAAAAAAATTGAAAAATAAATCGTTGGTATTTTGAAAATGCTGTGAATTGACACTAATACTTCATTTTTGCCAGTCATGTGATAAACGTAATTATTTACCAGTGTAGGGGGAAAAAAGCAAAGAACTGTTTTGTAGGAACACTGCTGGTTTGTAGCTCTCCTTCGTTCTCTCACCTCCAACTCCAGTCTTTGGCCAGTATTATCTGGTATTACCCCTCCTTGGTTTTAATCAGAGTTACCCTTCAACTTCATTCCTCCTGTCTGAGCATGCTTGCCTTTATCTGTTTTTCATCTGTAAGGATAATCCTAGTGTAAGGAACTTCGATTTCAACCTAACCTAAACCTTCCCCTGATCTAAGCTTTTCTTTCCACTGCAGCTATGACTTTGATGTGATGGGGAGTTGCTGGTTGTCATACTTGTTTTCAAATTACCCCTCTTGGATAAATAATTTTTTTTGTCTAGCTTTATCATAAAGGTCTCTGATGTTTTGAAAAGAAGTATCTAGATAACCAACCAGAGAACTGTTGGGGGGAAAAAAAGCAAAACAAAACCAAAAGAAGTATCAGAGCACTGAAAATATGCTTAGCAATATTAAGCGTGAAAAACAAATTTCAGATATGAAAGATTATCTTGGATTGAAACCACATTGTGATTGAGAAACTTGAAGACAAAGTAACTTCATGAGTCAAAAGATAAGAAACCAACTAGCAAGAACAGCAGATGTTTTGGGTGGAGCTTTTGTCACAGGCTGGGGTGGGGTAATTCACATCCAGCCTTCTAACTGTCCTTCCCTCCAGGCCCAACCCATCTCATTCCACCTTCTTCAGGGCTCCTCATTAGCTTCAAGATAAAACCTGAATTTCTTAAAGGGAATATAAGATGACTCTACCTATCTCCCACCTTGTATCTCAAAGTTTCCTTCTTGGAAGCCTTTCTTGACTCCCCTTAAAAAAAAAAATGGTGATTTTTTCCATGGGTGCTCCCAAAACACCAAAATACACAATACATTTCTGTATGTATGTAGGTATGTATGTATGTCTTTATTTTGGAGGCAGGGTCTTGCTATGTTGCCCAGGCTGCAGTGCAGTGGCTATTCACAGGTGTGATCATAGCACACTGCAGCCTTAAACTCCTGGGCTCAAGCAGTCCTCACTCCATGGCCTCCCTCTCCAGTAGCTGGAATTACAGACACTACGGTATCACCCAGCCCTGCAATACCTTTATTATTGTTTTCCCTGCTGCAAGTTCTTTGAGCTCGGACAGTCTTGTTGACCTGTGCAGCACCTAAGCTTAGCACCTAGGAGTTTCTCAAAAAAAAAAAAAAAAAAAAAAAGAAGCTGAGTAGGATCGGTGACCCTACAGAATTGTATTATAGCAGCCGCAAATGAAGATGGCTAATTAAACAAATCTGTAGGCTGGCAACAGAAATGTTACTTTCCTAACAGAAGAGGAACCTTATCCATAAAAGATACAGTATACAGACTATAATAACGATTTATTATTTAATAAAATGATTTATTTTATTATTTATTCATATATTTTTATTGTGTGCTTACTAAGGAGTCAGCCTCTATGCTAAACACTTTATCTACATTACCTTATTTGCATTTATCCTAAACTTTTTTTTTTTATTTTTTGAGACAGAGTCTTGCTCTGTCACCCAGGCTGGAGTGCAGTGGCGCGATCTCGGCTCACTGCAAGCTCCACCTCCCGGGTTCACGCCATTCTCCTGCCTCAGCCTCCTGAGTAGCTGGCACTACAGGCATGTGGCACCACGCCTAGCTAATTTTCTTTTTTTTTGTATTTTTAGTAGAGACGGGGTTTCACTATGTCAGCCAGGATGGTCTCGATCTCCTGACCTCATGATCCCTCGCCTCGGCCTCCCAAAGTGCTGGGATTACAGGTGTGAGCCACCGCTCCTGGCCTATCCTAAACTTTTATCTGTTTGTTTGTATCCCTCTCCTTCACCTCCTTTATATCTCATCAACTCTGTTAAGAGTGTGGAGACTAAGGCCGGACGCCATGGCTCACGCCTGCAATCCCAGCACTTTGGGAGATGGGTGGATTGCTTGACACCAGGAGTTTGAGACCAGCCTGGCCAGCATGGTGAAACCCCATCTCTATTAAAAATACAAAAATTAGCCGGGTATGGTGGCAGGCACCTGTAATCCCAGCTACTTGGGAAGCTGAGGCAGGTGAATCACTTGAATCCAGGAGGCAGAGGTTGCAGTGAGGTGGAGGTTGCAGTGAGCCGGGATTGTGCCACTGTATCCCAGCCTGGGTGACAGAGTGAGACCCTGTCTCAAAATAAAATAAAATAAAATAAAATAAATAAAATAAAGTAAAGTAAAATCTGCATACCTAGATAATAATGCAACACTGCAAATACAGTAAAAAATGTGACTGTACATGTTACGCAAGTGAATTTTATGATGTGCCTATACATCCATGCAGTATGTACATTATATCTCAATAAAACTGGTTTTAAAATCCTATGTAAGGTTTTCTATGTAAATAAACTAAAAATGTCTAGAATAACTGTTAATTGCAAGGAAGGAACTGAGATGGGGGATGGGCCTTAAGGAGAACAAGTTTGATTTTTTTTATCTGTGCACTTCTGTATCTGAATGTTTTCCAGTGAGCATATGTGTTAACTTGTATATTTTTGGTCTGTTTTATTCACTGCTGTAATCCTAGCACCCAGATCAGTGCCTACACGTAGCAGAGGCTCAATAAATATTTGTTAAGTGAATAAATAAATGAATTATACTTTAAATGTAAAAAAACCCAAGTGGAGTACATAATAACTTGATTGGTTTGTGTATGGCTGACTCAAACTTTCTAATTTTTAAAATTCATTTCTAAAATAGATTTATGGAACCAATGCTTTTTAGCAATTTGAGAACTATTCTTGGAATACTCTGAATGGGTCCTGGCTTAAAAAATCCAAGCACTGAATTTGATTTTTGGCTGTAAAATTTGGCTATGAAAGGAGTTTCCCCAGTATATCTTTTAATCAATCTGCTATAAAGCATGTACAATCATTTATTTTTCTTATCTAATATGAGAAAATGAGGTGTTGTAACTGAACATAGCTGTAACTATGTTCAATAGTGACTTGATTTGTATTTGGTATTGCCTTTACATTATCTGATTGATGATTTTTTTAAACAATAGTGAAAGTAAATTTACCAGTAGTTTGCAATCCAGGTTAAAATCTGTATCTGAACACCTCCTTCCCTGATGTACTTGCACGTATATTAAGGTAAATACTTGTTGACACATATCTAAAATGCTGAAATAATATTGTCTATTAGTGTTTAAATGTGGTTACTAATTATGTGATGATTATTTACAACAATCAACCTTTTATCTTGCTATTGCTAAAATGGAAGTTTTTAATTTCTATTTAATGCATTTATAAATATATAAAATAATATATTGATTTTAATCTTACCCTTCTTCTAAAACAGGGGTTCTTAAGCCTTTTGGAGATCCTTAAGGATCTGATAAAAGCAGTGAGGCCTTGCACTGTAAAAACGTACACATTTAGGTTACAGTGAAGGCCAGCCACTGCACTCCAGCCCAGGCAACAGAGCAAGACTTTGTCTCTAAACTAAACTAAACTAAACTAGATGTACACAGTTGAGGATGGTTCCAAACCTAAGGTTAATAACTCTTGTTCTAAATCATTCAAATGCATGGAGCTATCCATAGATACTTCCACATCCAATTTTACATATATATATAGCTTAAAAGTATGTAATTTGACCAAGGTTCCTAGCTTTTTATATTGATGGTGACTTTCACATTTAACCTGTGGCTCTTCAGGGTATCCAATTCATTTATTAGAATATTATACTCAGACACAGTGGGTCACATCTGTAATCTCACATTTTGGGAGGCCAAGGTGGGAGGATCACTTCAGGAGGAGTTCAAGACTAGTCTGGGCAACACTGCAATACCCCATGTCTGCAAAAAAATTTTTTAAAAAATTAGCCAGGTGTGGGCTGAGTGCAGTGGCTCACACCTGTAATCCCAGCACTTTGGGAGGCCAAGGCAAGAAAATCACTTGAGGCCAGGAGTTCTAGACCAGCCTGGCTAACATGGCGAAACCCCATCCCACCTTCTCAGGAGGCTGAGGCAGGAGAATCCCTTGAACCCGGGAGGTGGAGCTTGCAGTGAGCCAAGATCATGCCATTGCACTCCAGCCTGGGCGACAGAGCAAGAATCCATCTCAAAAAAAAAAAAAAAGAAATTAAAAAACAGAAGTTAGCTGGGTGTGATGCTGCACACCTGTGATCCCAGCTACTCAGGAGGCTGAGGCAGGAGAATCGCTTGAACCCAGGAGGCAGAGGTTGAATTGAGCTGAGATCATGCCACTGCACTCCAGCCTGGGCAACAGAATGAGACTCTGTCTCAAAAAAAAAAAAAAAAAAAAAAATTAGCCAGGTGAGGGAGCACACACATGTAGTCCCAGCTATTTGGGAGGCTGAGTGGGGAGGATTGCTTGAGCCCAGGAATTCAGGGCTGAGGTGAGCCATGATTGCACCACTGCACTCCAGCCTGAGCAACAGAATGGGACCCTGTCTCTCAAAACACACACACAAGAATATCATACTCAACTTGCATCTCCTGGTGTCTTAGTTCATTTTCTGTTGCTAAGACAGAATACCTGAGACTCGGTAATTTACAAATTAAAGAAGTTTATTTGACTTATGGTTCAGGAGGCCAGGTAGTCCAAGAACATGGCAGCAGCTTCTGGTGCAAGCTTTCGTGCTGCATCTTAACATGGTGGAAAAGCAGAAGGACAAGCAGGACATGCAAAAGAGACTGCAAGAGTGAGCCAAGCTAGCTTTTATAACAACCTGCTCTGGAGAGGGCTCACTCCTGTGAGAGCCAATTCACTCCCTCGAGAACTCACTTCACCTGATGGCATTAATTTATACCTGAGGGCTCTACCCTCATGACCCAATCATCTCTTAAAGGCCCCATCTCTTAATACTGTTACATTGGCAATTAAGCTTCCAAGACAGGAACTTTGGGGAGACACATTTCCCCAGGCCCGAGGAACTCAGATGGCTCTAGGATGATTGACAGACAGGCTTCAGATTCACTTTAACCAAATCCCAGTGGCTTGGGGCAGGGTTTAGTTTTGTTTAATTGAATTCAGCAGTTTTCTTAATTCTTCAAACAAAGTCACATAATTATTTAAATGTGATATAACTAATGGATTGACTTTTCAAGGTTCCTTTTTGGTCTTAAGATCCTAAGAAGTCCAAGACTAGCAAATATGGTTTTTAAAGAAGAGGGAATCTACAATTAATGAAGGTTTATTTCTCATACTTTGTGCTTCTGCGAGAACAAGAAAAGGGTATTGTGGTTTTTAAATGTGGTTTGGGAAATGTTCATGACAATGGAAAGATCAGTGTTGGGTCAGACTGTGAGGCTGCCTGATACAAAGAGAAACTCAGTTTGAAACAAGAAAAAAGAGAAACGGGAAGGACAAAATGAAGGAAGGGTGAGAGTTGCAATTTTTGAGAAGTAATGATCGAGAGACTTTCTGGTGAAGAGCCACCCAATCTGGAGATCAGAGATTCAACAGACCCATTTCAGGCCAAAGCACACCTATCATTCAGTTGTAGTTAGTAGGAAAACCCAAAGGGTTTGGGATGATTTCTGAACCCATCTTCGGGGCGAAGAATTTGCTGATTCCAGGCTGGGCACATTGGCTCACACCTGTAAGTGTGAGCCAATCCCAGCAGGTTGGGAGGCTGAGGCGGGTGGATCACCTGAGGTCAGGAGTTTGAGACCAGCCTAGCCAACATGGCAAAACCTTGTCTCTACTAAAAATATAAAAATTAGCTGGGCATGGTAGTGCACACCTGTAATCCCAGCTACTTAGGAGACTAAGGCAGGAAAATCACTTGAACCCAGGAGGCGGAGGTTGGAGTGAGCCGAGATTGCACCAGTGCACTCCAGCCTGGGCAACAGAGCAAGACTCCTTCTCAAAAAAAAAAAAAACAAAAAAGAGGCTGGGCGCAGTGGCTCACACTTGTAATCCCAGCACTTTAGGAGGCTGAGACAGGTGGATCACTTGAGGTCAGAAGTTCAAGACCAGTCTGGCCAACATGGTGAAACCCTGTCTCTACTAAAAATACAGAAATTAGCCGGGTATAGTGGCTCATGCCTGTAGTCCCAGCTACTCGGGAGGCTAAGGCAGGAGAATCTCTTGAACACAGGAGGTGGAGGTTTCAGTGAGCCCAGGTCATGCCACTGCACTCCAGCGTGGGCCACAAAGCAAGACTTCGTCTTAATAATAATAATAATAATAATAATAATAATAATAATAATTTGCTGATTCCTTTGCCTAGATTTGTGTATTTGGGGCAAGAATCATTGAAATTGTGTCCTACTCTATAGCTAGACGTGGGGTGGTGGGGGGCATAAAGGGATAGAGTGAGTGATGTAGACCTTGCAAAGGAAGCAAGCCTAGCCATCTCTCCTGATACCCACCACAGCTCTTATCCCTCTCCAGCCCCTCCCGCTCCTGCTGCATCCCAGTGGGACAAGGAAAAGTCAGTGAGAATATAAATTCCAAGAGAATACCATCAAACTTGTCCAACAAAAAGTCTTAATTGACCTTGGGAGGATATATTTTGAGATGGAGTCTCACTCTGTTCCCCAGGCTGGAGTGCAGTGGTGCAATCTCGGCTCACTACAACCTCCACCTCCTGAGTTTAAGTGATTGTCCTGCTTCAGCCTCCCAAGTAGCTGGCAAGAGAAATGCAAATCAAAACCCCAATGAGATACTATCCCACACTAGTCAGAATGGCCATCACTAGAAAGTCAAAAAATAACAGATGCTTGCGAGGTTGTGGAGAGAAGGGGATGCTTACACACTGCTGGTAGGAATGTAAATTAGTCCAGCCACTGTGGAAAGCAGTTTGGCGATTCCTCAAAGAACTTAAAACAGAACTACCATTCCACCCAGCAATTCCATTACTGGGTATATACCCAAAGGACTAGAAATCATTCTACCATAAAGACACACACACATGCGTATGTTCATTGCAGCACTCTTCCCAATAGCATAAGACATGGAATGAACCTAAATGCCCATCAGTGGTAGACTGGATAAGGAAAATGTGGTACATTTACACCATGGAATACTACCCAGCCATAAAAAAGAATAAGATCATATCCTTTGCAGCAAGATGGATAGAGCTGGAGGTCATTACCCTGAGGGAACTAATGCAGGAACAGAAAGTCAGATAGTGCATGTTTCCATCTATAAGTGGGAGCTAAACAGTGAGTACACACGGATACAAAGAGGGGAACAAGAGACACTGGGGCCTACTTGAGGGTGGAGGCTGAGAGGAGGGTGAGGATCAAAAAACTACCCGTCAGGCACCATGCTTATTAACTGGGTAACAAAATAATCTGTACACCAAGCCCCCATGACACAAAATTTACCTATATAACAAACCTGCATGTGTATCCCCGAACCTAAAATGAAAGTTAAAAAAAAAAAACAGCCTGGCCAACATGGTGAAATCCCATCTCTACTAAAAATACAAAAAGAAATTAGCTGGGTGTAGTGGCAGGCACCTGTAATCCCAGCTACTCGGGAGGCTGAGGCAGGAGAATCGCTTGAACCCGGAAGGCGGAGGTTGCAGTGAGCCGAGATCGCACCACTGTACTCAAGCCCGGGTGACAGAGAATCAGTGGTAGATCCAAAAATGGAATGAGTGCGGCATAATCATTCGAAGTGTTCAGTGTGAGTGAAGAGAGGGCAGGGTTGGTGCAGTAGTATTGACAAGTACATCTGCATTGAAGGGTCCTGGTTACAGTGAAACGTGAAGAGGAAGGAGCCAGCGAAAAGAGATAGGGGATCATTTTGGAAAATGAGATGACTGAGGATCAAGGTCTCAGTTTATAATTGAAGGGGAGAAAGACTGAAGGCTGGGGAGGGGATGGCTTTCGTGTGTAGAGGAATATGAGCACTGAATTTCTAAGAAGAGAAGAATAAAAGAGACACTACTTGTGAGGCTCCGGGCATGACGGGAATATTGGTGGGCGGTGTGTGTGGTGTGTGTGTTGCAGGGAGCAGGCATTGATCTGATGGAAGGAATGTCTGTGTGGAAGAGTAAATAGCCACCAGCCTGAAGTTGACCAGTAAAAAATCCCAAAACACATTCAACTGAGTCTTATCCTCTTAAATGACTCCAAGTTTCAAGAAAATTTGCCTGGACAAGCAATCCTCTTCCTCACCCATTAAAGATACTGCATTTTACTTTTGAAAAGCCAACAACAAAGATGCAACACCTTTTTAATAAAGAATCTCCCCCTTTGATGGCTTAGATTTTTAGCTGCCTAGAGAAAGGCAAGCTAGGACGCTGCTTTCTTGGTCCATTCCCCTATACGCTTTTAGGTAAGGTTTTTGTTTGATGCACAGTGTCTGAACTGCCATGTACTTTTGCAAAAGTGCATTTCCTGGGTGTGTGTGTTTTATGGCAATTGCTACCATTTCTTCTAATCACTTGCCACAGGTGTCCCATAGCTATCAGGGGTAGAACTGAGGGTGCAGCGGGGAGGCCCATGTGCCAGGCTGTGAGTCTAGGCAGGTTGTTGGAAACGCAGTTGTTTACTAGGCCTTGGTGTTTGGTACATTACTGATATGAAGCCTGGAGGGAGGACTGGTGTGCAGATGATCTGCATCTGCTATCAGGAGCAAGAAACATTGAATAAATAGGCAAAATTGCTAAGGAAAAAAATGCTCTCCTAACTTCAATTCTTTTCCTTTTCCTTCCTTTGGGCACCCCCATCTTCAGGTGCCCAATAGTGTCATAAAAATGTATTTCTTAAAAAACCCTAAGTGTTTGAGTTGACTCCAAGTTAATATATATCAACATTAAAACTAAAAAAGTTAAAGGCATATTAGGCTGAGTTATAGTAGTAAAACAGCAGAGCAAAGGATACAATGGTCCCACTCTAGATGGTTGTAGAGTCTAGATGATTATATTCTGTTTTAGGCATCCTGTTTTGATAAGGACACTGACCAACTGAACCACAATCAGAGAAAAGCAGCTAGGGTCTGGGAACCACATTACCTGAGAAATGACTCAAGGCCTGGAAAAAGAAGACCGATAGTTATCTTTATATATTAAAGGGTTGTCTGCCACATAGTAAAGGGAAATATTGGCCGGGTGCAGTGGCTCACACCTGTAATCCCAGCACTTTGGGAGGCCAACGCGGGCGGATCACAGGGTCAGGAGATCGAGACCATCCTGGCTAACACGGTGAAACCCCGTCTCTATTAAAAATATAAAAAATTAGCCAGGCGTGGCGGCACGCGCCTGTAGTCCCAACTATTCGGGAGGCTGAGGCGGGAGAATGGTGTGAACCCGGGAGGCAGAGCTTGCAGTGAGCCGAGATGGTGCCACTGCACTCCAGCCTGGGCGACAGAGCGAGACTCCGTCTCCAAAAAAAAAAAAAAAGAAAAGAAAAAGAAAAGGGAAATATTCAGTGTCGCTCTGGAGGACAGAGCTAGGACCAATGGGAGGGAGTGACCAGGAAATATATATTGGATTAAAATAAGAAAGAAATTTCTACGAATTAGAGTTGTTCAAAAGGAGAGTGGAAAAAAGCAAACTGCAGAACAGCATTAGAAGTACAATCCTATTTGACTTTGAAATTGCACACAGAAGTCCTTGAACAGTGGAGAGACAGGATCATTGCTTTAGAAAAACGATACTGGTGGCAAGCTAGAAGGTGCGTGAGAAAAGGAGGTAAGGATGGCAGTGAATAGCCCATTGAAATAGTCCAGCCAAAAGATGATGAGGCCTTAAACTGGGGTAGTAGCAGTGGGCATCATGAATTAGGGATGACCCAATTGTCCGTCGATGGATAAATGGAGAAACAAAATGTAGTCTCTGCATACCATGGAATATGATTCCATCTTAAAGGTGAAGGAAATGCTCACACAGACTACAACATGGATGAACATTGAGGACATTGTGTTAAGTAAAATAAACCAATCACAGAAGTACAAATACTGCATGATTTCTCTTATATGCGGTGGAATATATACTCTTACATACTCTACCACCTAGAGTAGTCAAATTCATAGAGACAGAAAGTAGAATGTTAGTTGGCACAGGGGTTGGGGGAGGGAAAGGGGAGTGGGAGTTAGTATTTAATGGATACAGAGTTTTAATTGGGGAAGATGAAAAAGTTCTGGAGATGGATGGTACTATTGGTTGCACAATCATGTGAATTTACTTAATGCAATTGAACTGTACACTTAAAAGTGGTTAAGGCCGGGAGCAGTAGCTCACGCCTGTAATTCCAGCACTTTGGAAGGCCAAGGCGGGCGGATCACCTGAGGTTGGGAGTTCGAGACCAGCCTGACCAACATGAAGAAACCCTGTCTCTACTAAAAATACAAAATTAGCCAGGCTTGGTGGCGCACGCCTGTAATCCCAGCTACACCGGAGGCTGAGGCAGGAGAATCGCTTGAACCTAGGAGGCGGAGGTTGCAGTGAGCCGAGATCACACCATTGCACTCCAGCCTGGGCAACAAGAGCGAAACTCCATCTCAAAAAAAAAAAGTGGTTAAAATGGTAACTTTTATGTTATGTATATTTTACCACAGTAAAAAACACTTCTAAATTTAAAACAAACAAGGTTAGAGATAAATTTGAGAAAGAGTTTAAAGATACAAATGAAAGTAGAGTAAAGGTGATTGCCAAGCTATCTAGCTTAGCTGATTAGGTAGATGATGAGGCCATTAGCCAAGAAAGAGAACATTAACCAAGAGGACAAACAGATGATTAGGAGCTCAGTTGGAGAAATGTGAAGTTTGAGTGGCCTGCCAAACACTCAATGGGAGATTTTTAAAATAACAACTTTACTGAGTTGTATACAATAAATTGCACCTATTTAAAGTGTGCCATTGAAAGAGTTTTTTTTTTTAATAAAGGCTAGCATTTATTAGATGCTTATTACAGCCATTTTCCCAATTTTTTTTTTTAATGACATTTCACTACGTTGCCCAATCTGGTCTTGAAATCCTGGGCTCAGCAACCCTCCCCCACCTCAGCCTCCTGAGCAGCTGGGATTACAGGTGCACACAACCACACCTGGCTCAATTCAAAGAGTTTTTGTTTTGTTCTATGTAAGAGATGAGTGTCTTGCTTTGATGCCCAGGCTGGAGTGCTGTGGTGTGATCATAGCTCAATGCAGCCTCAAACTCCTGGGCTCAAGAGATCCTCCCATTCAGCCTCACAAGTAGCTGGGACCACAGGCGTGTGCGCCTCGCCTGGCTAATTTTTTCATTTTTATTTTTGTAGAGATGAGGTCTTGCTATCTTGCCCAGGCTGGTCTCAAACTCCTGGCCTCAAGTGATCCTCCCGCTTTGGCCTCCAAAGTGCTAGGATTACAGGCGTGAGCCACTGCACACAGCCAGTTCAATGCACACATCTGTGAACCCACCACAACCAAGGTTCAGAACATTCCTGTCATCCCCCAGATTTTCTCGTTTCCCTTATCCTTCTCCATGTCTGCCCCGGAAAACAACTGAGCTTTCTGCCACTTACCGATTAGTTTGCATTTTCTATAAATGAAAACATATAATATGTAGTTTTGTGAGGAGGTCTGACTTATTTCACTAAGCATAAAGATTTTGAGAGCCATCCATGTTGTGAGCATTAGTAGTTCATTCCTGTTTATTACTGACTCATGTTGCACCTTTTGACTATGCTCCAATTTGTTTATGGCATAAACAAATTGGTTTATGCCAGTTGTTCAACATTTGGTTTGCTTCTAGTTTTTAACTATTACAAATAAACCTACAATGAACATTGCTGTACAAGTCTTTGTGTGAACATATATTTTTATTTTTCCTGGCTGAGTACCCAGAGGCAGAACGACGAGGTTGAATGGCAGGTGTATGTTTAACTTTTTTTTTTTTTTTTTTTTTTTTGAGATGTAGTCTCACTTCGTCACCTGGCCAGGCTGGAGTGCAGTGGCAAGACCTCGGCTCACTGCAACCTCCCCCTCCCAGGTTCAAGCAATTCTCCTGCCTCAGGCTCCTGAGTAGCTGGGACTACAGGCCCACGCTACCACGCCCAGCTAATTTTTGTATTTTTAGTAGAGACAGGGATTCACCATGTTGGCCTGGCTGGTGTCGAACTCCTGACCTCAGGTGATCCGCCTGCCTCAGCCTCCCAAAGTGCTAGGATTATAGGCATGAGCCAGCGTGCCCGGCCATGTTTAACTTTTAAAGAAGCTATCAGTTTTCCAAAGTGCTTGTACCATTTTACATTCCTATCAGCAGTTGTACATCTTCACCAATACTTGGTATTGTCATCATTTTATCTTGAGCCATTCTCATTGGTGTGTAGTGGCATCTCACTGTGGTTTTAATTTGTGTTTTCCAGATAACTAACAATATTGAGCATCTTTTCATGTAACTTCTTTTTATAAAGCATTTGTTTGTCTTTTGCCTACTGAAAAAATTGCATTGCTTTCTTACTGAGTTCTAATAGCCCTTTATACATTCTAGATACCAGTCCATTATATGTATTGCAAATATTTTTTCATTCTATGCTTTATCTTTTTTCATTTTTTTTTAATGTATGAATAATTTTTTTTTGAGATGAGGCTGACTGTGTTGCCCAGGCTGTTCTCAAACTCCTGAGCTCAAGCAACCCTCCCACCTCGGCCTCCCAAACTGCTGGAATTACAGGCATGAACCACTGTGCCTAGCCTTTTCATTTACTTAACATATCTTTCTTTCTTTTTTTTTTTTTAGAGGGAGTCTTGCTCATCGCCCAGGCTGGAGTGCAGTGGTGCAATCTTGGCTCACTGCAACCTCCGCCTCCTGGCTTCAAGCGATTCTCCTGCCTCAGCCTCCCGAGTAGCTGGGACTACAGGTGCATACTACCACGCCTGGCTAATTTTTTGTATGTTTAGTAGAAATGGGGTTTCACCTTGTTAGCCAGGATGGTCTTGATCTCCTGACCTCCTGATCTGCCCGCCTCGGCCTCCCAAAGTGCTGGGATTACAGGCGTAAGCCACCGCACCTGGCCAATGATATCTTTCTAAGAGCAAATTTTTAAGTGTTGACAAGGTTTAGTTTATCAGTTTTCTCTTTTGTGAAAGTTTGCTTTTTTTGTCCTAAGACTTCTCCTCTGTTTAACTCTTGGAGTTTTCTAGATTGTACCCTTAGGTCTCGCATTCATTTTGAGTTGATTTCTGTATGTAGCATGATGTAAAAGTCAAAGTTTATTTCTTTTTTTTTCTTTTTTTTTTTTTGAGATAGGGTCTTGCTTTGTCACCCAAGCTAGACCAGTGGCATCATCATGGCTCGCTGCAACCTCTGCCTCCCAGGCTTAGGTGATCCTCCCACCTCAGCCTCCTGAATAGCTGGAATTACAGGCGTGCACCACCACACACAGCTAATTTTTATATTTTTTGTAGAAATGGGGTTTTGCCATGTTGCCCAGGCTGGCTATCCGCCTGCCTCAGCCTCCTGAAGTGTTGGAATTACAGGCATGAGCCACCGTGCCCAGCCTCAAGGTTTGTTTCTTTTTCCATATGACTACCCAGTTGTTTTAGTAAAATTTGTTGAAAAGTCTTTCCTATGGGCCAGGCGCGGTGGCTCACGCCTGTAATCTCAGCACTTTGGGAGGCCAAGGCAGGCAGATCATCTAAGGTCAGGAGTTCAAGACCAGCCTGGCTAACATGGTGAAACCCCGTTTCTACTAAAAATACAAAAAATTAGCCAGGCGTGGTGCCACACGCCTGTAATCCCAGCTACTCGGGAGGCTGAGGCAGGAGAATCGCTTGAATCTGGGAGGCAGAGGTTGCAGTGAGCCAAGACTGCGCCTTTGCATTCTGGCTTGGGCAACAAGAGCGAAACTCCGTCTCAAAAAAAAAAAAAGTATTTTTGTGCTGAATGTCTTACCAACTTTGTTGAAAATGAATTGAACATATATGTCTGGGACTATTTCTGGTGTCTATTCACTTGCAGGTGAAGATATCTAGTGGAATGCGTGACAGAGGGAATTAGAGCTACTTTTTTGCTGAATACCAGCAGTGTACCTTTGCCTACACACAGAGAAAAGCACGTCTTCAGGAAAGCCTACCTACCAACATCAAGTTTGCATATCATTTCCTGATTTTTTTTTTAAGAGACAGGGTCTTATTCTGTCGCCCAAGCTGGAATGTAGTGGTGTGATCATAGCTCATTGCAGCCTCAAATTCTTGGGCTTAAGCGATCCTCCCACCACAGCCTCCCAAATTCCTAAATTCTTTTTTATTCGCCGAATTCCTAATTTTTTTTTTTTTTTTTCTGTTCAGACAGTCTCACTCTGTTGCCCAGGCTGGAGTGCAGTGGCAAAATGTCAGCTCACTGCAACCTCTGCCTCCCAGGCTCAAGTGATTCTTGCGCCTCAGCCTCCCAAGTAGCTGGGATTATAGGCAAGCACTACCACGCCAACTAACTTTTGCATTTCTATTAGAGACAGGGTTTTGCCGTGTTGGCCAGGCTGGTCTCAAACTCCTAGCCCCAAGTGATCTGCCCACCTCGGCCTCCCAAAGTGCTGGGATTACAGGCATGAACCACCACGCCCAGCCCAAATTCCTAAATTCTTAATTGAAATACTTATCTCATATGACTCTTTGTAGAGCCAAGACCTACAGTGATAAGGCAAGGGAAAATATTAAAACCTCGGTTCAGACTTGGTGAAGGCATAATGGCAAAAAGTATTTGGGATACCTGATTCTTGACAACACTAAACATATTTATTATTTCTGTGAAAAAAATTTACAGGTCAAAGAATTGAAAATGCCTGGAAGATAGCTAAAGGATCTGGAGGCTTTTGGGGCAGACAGTCAGGATCTGGACATCAGCAAACTCTCCAGCTTTTTTTTTTTTTTTTTTTTTTGAGACCAGCGCAGTGGCTGATGCCTGTAATCCCAACATTCTGGGAGGCCGGGGCAGGCGGATCACTTGGGGTCAGGAGTTCGAGGCCAACACGGTGAAACCCCGTCTCTACTAAAATTACAAAAATTAGCCGGGCATGGTGGTGCATGCCTGTAATCCCAGCTACTCAGGAGGCTGAGGCAGGAGAATTGCTGGAACTCAGAAGGCAGAGATTGCAGTGAGCTGAGATCTTGCTACTGCACTCCAGCCTGGGCGACAGAGCGAGACTCCGTCTCAGGAAAAAAAAAAAAAAAAGAAATTCCATTTGAATTGGTCATTTAAAAGGATAGAAGACTGTGCTGAAGAACATGCATTCAGAAGTGAGTGACCCAGTGGGCCAAGGAATCTATTCGTATCCTGACTTTGGCACACATATTAACAGTGTTAACCTCTGTTCCTCCTCCTAGTGAGAGCTACACGTGCTATTAGGTCAAATACATAGCTACTGTTTAACTATGCTTATTTAAAATGAGTAAGTTAAAAATATGTACCGAACAAATCCTTTTCCACTTACACATGCTGTATTTTTTGTTTTTACAACTTTAAATTTCTATCCTCTTCCCACCAGTACAACTGCATCTTCTTGTTAAGAAAATAGTTAACTTAGGAATTAATTTTATATCCTTCAATAAGAGTTTTTTTGTTTGTTCATGTGTTTGAGATGGGGGTCTCACTATATTGCCCAGGCTGGTCTCAAATTCCTGGGCTCAAGTGACTGTCCTGCCTCAACCTACTGAGTAGCTGGGACTACAGGCACGTACTACTGCACCAGGCTTCAACAAGAGTTTTTAGAAGTGCCTAGAAATTAAAGTTCTAGGGTTTTGTACTGTTGAGTTAATGGTGTTTCTGAAGAAAGAGTGTCAAATCCATCAGTTGCTAAGCCTGCTCCCTTAAAGTCACTCAAAAATGTATTTAGACTCCAAGGCAATCAACATAAAGGAAAAATTATTTTTCCCAACATTTGTGTTTCTGAATGCTTGCTGTGCTGAATATTGGCACTGAATGTTCATGTTTAACCTTTTGTCTAATTATTTCATTTCAGGTCCTCCTTTTAGGTCATTATTATTATATGTATATATGTATGTGTATGCATTTCTGTATGTGTGTATGTATGTTAGGTGTGTGGAGGACAGCATAAGCTATCTTTAAGTTTCCCATAATTGAAAAGTTGTATGGGCACAGTGGCTCATACCTGTAATCCCAGCACTTTGGGAGGCTGAGGCAGGAGGATCTCTTGAGCCCAGGAGTTCAAAACCAGCCTGGGCAACATAGTGAGACCCTGTATCTAAAAGTAATAATAATAATAATAATAATAATAATAATAATAATAATAATAATAATAAAATTAAAAATTAGCCAGGCTTGTAGCCCCAGTCACTCAGGAGGCTCAGATGGGAGGATCGCTTGAGCCTGGGAGGGCAAGACTACAGTGAGCTGGGTTTGGGCCACTGCACTCCAGCCTGGGCAACAGAGAGAGACCCTGTCTCAAACAGAAAAGAAAAGAGAAAGTTGATAGCTCCCTGGAATCACATTAAGCCAGTGGATGTCTGTTTACTACTTTGAATCTTTTGGGTCTAAAATTTTTGTAATTATTGCCATAGCAGCAATTCAGATCCATTTCTTAGTGATGTTACAACAACTATCATAATATCCAAATTAGAAAATAAAAATGCTGGTAAGAGTTTGTTTTTGTTTTGTTTAGTGATAGTTTAAATTTTTATTGAATTTTTATTATTTGAAGTTTACTGGTCGGCTATAATTAATGGTGTCTGTTTTACACGCTATTTAGTATATGAAGTTTGTATGACCACCTGGTGTATTTGGATGGGTTCAAAGATTACACAACAATTCTGTAATTCTTTAAAGACTTTGGCAAATGTTTTCTCCCCTCAATTTTAAATCATTGTTTTGTAACGAAATTTTAATTAGAAAAAAATTGTTTCTTTTCTAAGTGCAGGCTTCTCCATTGAGCCAATAAAGAATTTGTTTGAAAATAATTCCCAGCCTCTAGAACTACTAAGAGTATAATTTTTTTCCCTTTAATTAGTAGCTTAGAATTTTTTTTAAACCAATGCCAAATGCAATGTGAGCTCAAGTTTTTAGTTCAGTTCTAAACTTAGAACCCGTGATTTTCAAGTGGGTTCTAAATTTGGCAAAATGTCTTCTCCCTGCCATAGTAGCTGGTGTTTTCCCATTCTTAAGGGTTCATATGTCTTATTTTCTAAGCAAGCAATACTGTTTTCCTTCACTATTTAATAATTTTTCCATTTCCTCTTTGTGGAATACCAAATGTGGTGCAACCTTTTTTAGCCCGTAAAATAAAATAGATACGGCAGCTTTTTGAAAGAAAAAGGGGAGGAAATGGTAAGGGGGAAAAAAGTCATTTAGCTTGCTTCCCTCTTACAAGGAAAAGACATACTGTATGTCTTGGATATTGAATTACACAAAGTTTATATATAGGTTGGTAGAAATCATCAAGTCAGAATTCAGTTCAGGTGCTTATTTTTTCTGCAACCCTCTGCATAAATGCAAAAGAGTCCCAGAACCTTCCTGAGGAAAGGATACGTGAAACAGCATCCCATTCGATCACCACATAAAGAAGCCTGTTCAACAAAGCCATCCTTCCTAGTCTGCTCTTTGCCAAGTATTTCATGGCGCTCCTTGCAGATGAAGGCACCAAGTGTTGAAAGCAGAACTCACTAGGTGCAGTGCTCAGGCCTGGCAAGCTAGGGGCACTGGCCTCTGAAGAGTATAGGTGGTTACTGTGTAGATGTTGTAGGTAGTTGGAAAAAGCCACTTCCATCCACAAAGTGTTGGAGAAAAAGACACCAGGATCTCTCCCCAAAACACAAGACCACATTCACTGCATTCTCACACTCACCTGCATTGATCTCTGCTGTTCAGCTCCCTGGCTCAGGTCTCTCCCTATCATGTCCCTTGTATCCTTTTTTCTCCTGTTACAATTCTTTCATAAAAATAAAATGACCCAGAGGAAATAAGACCGGCATGAAGAAAAAGGTGAAATGAGGTTTTTATTCCCCTCCCGCACCCAACATTTGGAATGCGGTGCAGTCCCTCGGGCAGCACTCCTCTGCAGCAGACTGTATCTGTTGGAGCAGCTTCCCTTTCTTCCCATGATCATGTTGTTTAGGCATTTGTAAATGTCACCCCAACCGAGAGCAACAAGGCTCAAGCTTGCTCTTTCTCAGAGATAGAGCATTTCCCAGCACTTCCCTGGAGGTCTTGGCAAATAGGAATCCCGTTCACTCTAGTCTCTCTGGTCCTACCCTCTTCTCTGCTGGGGAGGAAGAACCATCCAGCTCCTTCTAGCAGCAGGCAGCCTCCAGCAAGAGTGGCCTTGACAGTCCTGTCCAACAGGTTCCCCTGCTTTATTTTTCTCTTGCTTCCCTGGTGCCAAGAGGCGAGGAATACTTAAGATATTTTCCACTCCCAGCCTTCCTGGATACTAAGCATTCAGACTACCAGATTGTGGGCTGTGGCAGCAGTAGATTTTCCAGGATGGACTGCCCTCCCGTCATCCATACCACTGCCATTGGCAGCTGTCTCCTCTCCCCCAGAGCCGGCAAATGTTGGTAGAATTCCATTGACCTCAGCATTCCTAGAGTGGCTAGAATTGACTTGAACATCCAACCTTTAAGGGAATGCAGCAAAGTGAACCAGCCAGTGCACTGCCCATGTGGGACCATATGGGTGATTCGAGCTTGAGGGAGTAAGAAATCGAAATGGGTTCAGATCAGCAGACCAGACTATATGCCAGCCTCTGACCGTGAAGCAAAGGGCCATTCTGTGAGAGAACATTGTTGCTGTACCATGTCAGCCTCAAACTTTTAGGGTAGTGCCACACAACATTCCTGGTTTTCCTTAACAATACCTTATTTATCTGGCCTTGTCTCCAACATCCCTATCTTGGGCCTCTATCATCAGTCATAGTGTTTTCATATTAAATAATCTAATAGAAAAAGCATGAATAGAAATCAAGGGTTCGAGCTTCAGCTCTGCTGTAAGGTGGTGTATGGCCCCGGGCAAGGCACTGACTTTCTCTAGATCCAATTTCTTTCATCTAAGACATAGGGATGCTGGATTTGATTATAACTGTGTTCTAAAATTCCATAAATCTTCCTTAAACTACTACTTACTAGTCTAATGAACAGCAAAGAGTATTTAAAATACTATTGTAAGATACTGTAATATTTTCCCCATAAGCGTCCCTAAGTTACTTTGGTCAAACTTTAAGGAATTCCACTATTTCTAGTCTTGTAGGTTCACCCTACCTGTGCTTTTCATGACTTATCTTCCTCATGCTCCCGCTTTTCCTTTGATGTTAGTGATTGCAGATCTGCTGTCTTTTCTTCTCTTTATCTACTTTTATTTATAAGTCTCAGCATGCACTTGATTATTTTTGTTGCCCATCTCTAGAGAGACCCTCGCTCTAAAAAAAGTCATAGGTACTCAAGGCAGGACACTGGTGTTTTCCGTGTTTTCCGGTGACACCACACAGTTTGGTGGCTTTGTGATGGCTGCGGCATGCTGAGCTGGTGCCCTTTGGGGGCTGCCCCCAGTGTCTCCCAAGTTGCCTTCCTATGTTATAAGTGGGAGTTAGGGTCTCTCATCTTAAAAGTACATTTGAAATGTTTTCCTGCTGGGCACAGTGGTTCACACCTGTAATCCCAGCACTTTGGGAGGCCAATATGGGTGGATTCCTTGAGGTCAGGAGTTTGAGACCAGCCTGACCAACATGGTGAAACCCTTCTCTACTAAAAATACAAAAATTAACTGGGCGTGGTGGCTCATACCTGTAGTCCCAGCTACTTGGGAGGCTGAGGCAGGAGAACCACTTGAACCCGGGAGGTGGGGATTGCAGTAAGCCGAGATTGCACTATGGCACTCCAGCCTGGGCAACAGAGTGAGACTCTGTCTCAAAAAAAAAAAAAAAGAAAAAGAAAAAAAGAAATGTTTTCCATGAAATGCTTCACTCTTTGCTATATTAATACTTATCTCCCATTTTTTGCACATTTACCCAGCTGTGAGAGGTCCTTTGGCTGTTTATCCCCTTGGCTCTTTGTCTCCTGGAAGAAGAGTAATCTATAGAATAAAAGATTGCACTGTGTATTTCCACTTCCATGTCATCTTCCCTTCTCTTCTCTTCTCTTCCCTTCTCTTTTCTTCCCTTCTCTTCTTCTCTCCTCTCCTCTCCTCTCCTCTTTCCTCTTCCTCCTACTCCTCCTCCTTCTTTTCTCTCTCTCTCTTTCTCTCTTTCTTTTTTTGAGACAGGGTCTCACAATGTTTCCTAGGCTAGTTTTGAACTCCTGGGCTCAAGCAGTCCTCCTGCCTTGGCCTCCCAAAGTGCTGGGATTACAGGCGTGAACCACTGCGCCTGGCCCATTTTTTCTTAATGGTGAAAACAAAAAACAAAACAATGTAATAAGCTCTTATACCCATCCCAGTCCCTGAGACAGAGTAGCGGTTGTTGGGGGATGGAGGGTGAGGAACGTGGTGAAGATCCTACTTCAGGAATGGCAAAATAGCATCCTGCTTCACTCAGTTTTAGTAGCAGGTATAGAGTAGTTGGTAGCAAAGCTGGTAATAGACTCTTATTCCTTCATTACTTTCCCCCACTTTATCATTTTAGACATTTAATTATGAATTGAGTGGCTCCTGGAGGTTAGATGCTGGGGAAAATGGGGAAGAAAGCACACCCTGCCCTGCAGGGGCTTACAGAGGTGAAGGTCACAGACGCCTGGGTAGTACAGACCCTGGCCCTGGAGACATTGCCAAGGAGGGGCAGCTCAGGCTGGGATGGGGGGTACCAAGGGACTGCTTCCCCCACAGCCAAGCTCTGAATGGGATGGTCAGGGGCAGCTTCTCAGAGCTGAAAGACAAGCATGAGTTGGACAGGTGTAAGGTTATCCTGCTGGAAAGACATCAAGGCCTGAGAGAGCATGACCATCCCAGGACCTCCCAGTGGCTCAGGATGGGAGCTTCAGCATGGGCAGGACAGAGAAGCAGGGCCTGACCATGAGTGGCCTAGGATGCTCTGCTAAGAGCTGAACATTCGGCTGGGTGCAGTAGCTCAAACCTATAATCCCAGCACTTTGAGAGGCTGAGGCAGGAGGATTGCTTCAGCCCAAGAGTTTGAGACCAGCCTGGGCAACATGGTGAGACACCATCTCTACAAAAAATTTAAAAATTAGTTGGGTGTGGTGGTGCGTGTCTGTGGCCCCAACTACTCAGGAGGCTGAGGAGGGAGGATCGCTTGAGTCCAGGAGGCAGAGGCTGCAGTGAGCCCAGATGATGTCACTGCACTCCAGCCTGGTGACAAAGGGAGACCCTGACTCAAAAAAAAAAAAAAAGAAATTTGCACGTTCTCTTGTGGGCAACAGGGAGTCATGCAGGAATTATTTAAGCAGAGGAACATCACGATCATAATGTCATAATTTACCTTAGAAACGTCACTCGGAGTTTCCTAACACTAAGGCCCAGGGTTGGAGTAGAGTGAGCAGGAGAAGGTGGCCTCGGAAATGAAGGGAAGTGACAGGGATCAGAGACACACATTAAAGAGGTAGGATCCCTAGGACTGGAGGGTTTGCTGGTTGCGGGGAGTGAGGGAAAGGAGGAGTTAATGATGATACTCAGGTTTCTGGGCCGGGCAACTGAGTGAGAGGACCCCCAGAGGAAGTTTTAATGATGAGCACAAAGGTGATTCTTTATGGCCGTGCCAGGCTTCCAAGCCCTGGTGGATGCAGAATGGAGTGGGGTCTTGTGTTTGCTTTGCTCACTCACCTGTGGGTGAGGAGTGCTGGGCTGCTACCCCTTGGCTATATTCTCTGACCTGTCATCTTAACATTAGGACAATTGCTCCTCAATAATTGGTAAAGGACCAGCCATGGTGGCTCACACTATAATTCCAGCACTTTAGGAGGCCGAGGCAGGAGGATTGCTTAAGGCCAGAAGTTCGGGACCAGCCTGGGCAACAGGATATAGCTATACCCTGTCTCTACGGAAAAAAAAAAAAAATAGCTGGTGTTGGTGGTGTGCACTTGTAGTCCTAGATACCCAGGAGGCTGAGGCATGAGGATGGCTTGAGCCCGGGAGGTCAAGGCTACAGTGAGCTATGATCACACCACTGTACTCCAGCCTGGGCAACAGAATAAGACTCTGTCTCTATTTAAACAACAACAAAAAAAAAAATTGGTAAAGACCTCACTTTTTATTTTATTTTTTTTATTTCCCGCAAAGACCCTTGAAGTCGCTACCAATGTCATTTGCTACCTTTGGAGTGCATCTTTCTGATACTGTTGGTTTTAATGACAAAGGCCAGAACGGGAAAGAGACAGACATGGAAGGTGTCGAGTCAGACTTGGCTTCAGAGCCAGAAAGATGGGTTTGGAACACTAGCTGGGTAAGCTTAGGCAACCTTAATTTCCTCACCTGTAAAATAAGGAAAATAACACCCACCCCAAAGGCTTGATGTGATAATTATAATGAGGTAAAGTATTTATGATCCTAGCAGATGGTGAATGCCCAGTAAATATTAGTTTCTGCCCCCTCCTGGCCCCACCATAGACGCTTGCGGCCTGAGCCCCACTGTCTGCTAACTAATAAAACATGAGCTTGGTCTTTACCATCTTGATCTCCCTGTTGCTTTTGTGTGTAGGTTTTTGTTTTATTTAATCTTTCGGACAATGAGAGAAGGGAAGAGAAAAGAGAAAGGGAGAGGAGGAGGGACACGGAATGATACAAACTCAATTTAGAACTTTCCTAAGTGAAAATGTTGCCTGAAAGAGTACCTTCAGGTGTCCTGCCTCAGTTCTTTCTCCAAGAGAAATATTAACCTATGTGACAATAATATGTGTCTACAGTAGCACATTTAAGACTAAGAATACCTCGAGGCAGGCAGATCACTTGAGATCAGGAGTTCAAGACCAGCCTGGCCAATATGGTGAAACCCCGTTTCTACTAAAAATACAAAAATTAGCTGGGCGTGGTGGCACACACCTGTAGTCCCAGATACTCAGGAGGCTGAGGCAGGAGAATCGCTTGAACCTGGGAGGCGGAGGTTGTGGTGAGCCAAGAGGCACCACTGCACTGGTGACAGAGCAAGACTCCATTTCAAAAGAAAAAAAAAAGAAAGACTTAAGAATACCTACATGGAGCTGGCATATCAGGCTAATGAGTAAGACAGAAGCTTCCTGGCCTTCCAAGACTGCGTCCTTTTTCCCTTGAGCACCAGCCTTGGATAACTAGGGTCTGACAGAGGCACGCTTCAAGAGTGGAGCCTCAGTAGAGGTTTACTGTTTTCATCATGATGGCAGATGTGTTGTGTCCCATCCACTGATTTTGCCCCACCGGGGGAGCCAGTCTTCATCCTTGAATCTTATAGTCCTAAGGTATGATGGGATTGGCATCTCAATTTAGAAAAATGCCAGGCCTCCGCCTTGGGTCCTGTCCAAATCTTTCAGCTTTTGGAGATACGCATTCTTTCTTATTACTCCTTCTGGACATAGATAAGATCTAACCCTTCATTTAGCGTTTAGCGGTTAGTGCTTGCAATCTCCCTCAGGCCACCTTTCTTAGATGTTGGGTAGCTTCGGAATGTTTTGGCATTGGCTTCCGCTCTCCAGCCTTCACTCTTCCCCTTCTTGGCATTCTCTTTTTCTGTTGCTGTAGCAGATCTTCTTCTAATCTCATCTGTGTGTTTTTTTTTTCTCCATCAAAAAATCCCTCTGAAAAAGATCGAAAGTTCAGTTCTAGCCACTGAAGAATGTATAGATACATGAAAGTGTTTTTTTGAGTCTTCTAATTGTCTTTAACAAACATACAGTACTTGAAAACAACTTGTTATCATATAATACTTAGGTCAGGACATAGTTTCTACCTGCAAGTTTACATTTATTTCTTAAGGTAAGGTTAAAGAAAAAAAAACACACACAAGAGGAAAAAGATTCAAGAGACTAATATTACACCTCTTTAAAAGGCAGAGCAGGAAACCATAGGGAGAGTCTCACAAAAATCCATTCTTCTGCTTGGGATGAGATTATTGATTTCCTTAGTTACTACTTTTCCCTGAAGTGTTGAAATAAGTGCCTTTTGATGCTTGGACTTGAGAAAAACTTGTTCCCCAAAGCCATTTGGCACGTATAAATCCCAGGAACTAGGTACTTTAGGCACTGTGTTTGCCAAGCATGAGAGAGAAGGGCGGGGAGGGGAGGAGACAGAAAAAGGAGCGAGGGAAGGAGGGAAAGTGGCTGTACTAGGTGCCAGAGGAACCATAGCACTGCGTGAGAGCGACCGACATAGAAGGGAGCAGGTCCTCACTGAGGCCTGGCTCTCCTTCTCTGAGTTCTACCAGCTTCACCCAGGGCATCTACATCACCCACACTGCTCCTGTGAAACTGGGCTAATTTCATGCAAATCTAAATAGGTTTCATCCAAATGTAAAACCTACAGCTGAGTGCAGTGGTCTCCTGTAGTTCCAGCTATTCAGGAGCCTGAGGCAGGAGGATCCCTTGAGCCTGGGCAACATAGTGAGACCCCATCTCTAAAATTAAAATAAACAAACAAATATATATGTAAGGAAAACCTAGACTGAATTCATTGAATTTAGTGAATACACATTTTGTTGTCAAAGTGAATATTCTACACATCTCTAAAATTAAAATAAATGAACAAATATATAAATAAATGAAACGTAGACTGAATTCATTGAATTTAACGAATACATATTTTGGTGTCAAAGTAAATATTCCACACAAGGCAATACATTTTGAAGGAGTTTATGAACTTCTATGATTTCTGGTTATATGTAGAAAATCACATGCTTTAACTTCCGAAAGCATCTTTATTGTCACACAGTAAATATTTAAAAGGAGAGATTGGGTTTTAGCAGCAGAGGAGGGGGAAGGACATTACAGGCCAGAGAAACAGTGTGACCAGAATCTTGAAGGTGGGAAAGTACAAGGTCCAGTTTGATTAGAAATCAGGAGGGCAGCAGGAGGGAAAGCAAGAGAGAAACTGCCAGATTAGGGAGGGCCCTGAGGGCCAGAAGAGGATTTTGTAGTTAATTTGGAAGAAAACATTGTAATTAAATAAAAAGTTTTTAAAGCAGTGGAGCTGTATGCATTAGGAAAATTATAATAACATCCAACATCTGTTGATCATTTACAGTGTTCTAAGCGATTTACACTGTAGGCTGAGCTCTTTAGGTATATGAGCTCATTGAAACTCACAACACTCTTGCAAAGGTGATATCATCATTTTATGGAAGCAGCTGAGGCTCAGAGAGGTTCATTCACTTTGCCCAAGGTGACACAGCTAGTAAGCACCAGGACCAGGATTTTAAACTTAGAGGTGTCCGGTTCCAAAGCCTCCATTCTTAACCACAAAATAATAAATGCCAGAACAAAAGAAGTGAAAAAAAGAATTCAAAAACTCTTGTGACTTAAATGTTACTGAAGTTGGTGTGAGGGGAGAGGAGAAAGGGGAGTCAAAAACAACTGCTAGAATTTGAGCCAGTGTGGGAATTCTGCAGGTAGTGAAATCGGAAAGAGGTAAGGTTTAGAGGGCAAACTGGAGAGCTTGCAAAACTGGTGAGTGGTGGGAATAGGAGTCTGAAGTCCAGGATACAGCCTGGGGCTGGAATGGAAATCAAGGGTCATTTACATAATGACAGTGTTTAAAACGCCTCTAAGAAGAGTTGGTCACTGAGGTCTTAAAGAGAGCAGAAGAGAAGCAAAGATTCGGACTAAGGTCCAAATTACAGGGAAAGAATGAATAGCTATTAGAGAAGACACATCAATAGTGACAAGAGGTAAAAGTTTAGAGCTATGATAAATGTGCATATTTATCTTTACAGGGAATATTTCCCCATAGGGAACAGTTTCTAGAGTAATGCTGAATTTGTAAAATTATCTGAATCTTTGAGTCCTCTAGTAGCACATTTCTTCTCTTAGAAATTGGGATTTGGCCCAGCTATTTGGGAGGCTGAGGCACGAGAATCGCTTGAACCCGGGAGGCAGAGGTTGCAGTGAGCTGAGATCGCGCCACTGCACTCCAGCCTAGGTGACAGAGGGAGACTCTGTCTCAAAAAAAAAAAAAAAGAAAAGAAAAGAAAAGAAAAAAGAAATTGGGATTTGGGGGCTGGGCACCGTGTGGCTCATGCCTATAATCCCAGCACTTTGGGAGGCTGAGGTGGGAAGATCACTTGAGCCCAAGAGTTTGAGGCTGCAGTGAGCTATGATTGTGCCAATGCACTCCAGCCTGGGCAACAGAGCAAGAACCTGTCTCAAAAAAGAAAAGAAAAAGAAAGCAAAGATTATCTTCCATCAGAAATAAATATGATTAACATTTATTAGTATATTCTTTCAGTCTTTTCTGGATTCATACATACTCTTTTTCAAACAGGGATCCTTCTGAAAATAGTTTTTCTCACAAGATATTGTGTATATTTTTGCAAGGCATTCAGTTTAGTATTCATAAGAATTTGATAGTGTTATAATGATAATAATGCATCATAAAGGCAGATTAAAATGCATTTAGCCAAACCTCTCATTGGACATCTAGGTTGTTTCCACATTATAAATAATGCTGCAATTCATAATTTTTTTAATTAAAAATAATTCTTTTTAGAGACAGGGTCTCACTCTGTCCCCAGGCTGGAGTGTGTCTATTCACAGGTACAATGACAGCTCACTGCAGCCTTGAACTCCCGGGCCCAAGTGATCCTCCTGCCTTGGCCTCCCAAAGTACTGGGAATACAGGAGTGAGCCACCATGCCTGGCCACTTTTTACTTATTTCTGAATATTTCCTAGAAGCAAAATCACTGGTCAAATGCCATGAGTGTGTTCAATGCAGAGTTCATTTCTGAACATGACTATCAATTTGCTGGTAGTACTTATGTTAGACTGTAGTGAACCATGCTATCTCTTTCCTACTTCCTCATTTCCATTCTTGTAAGTCAAAAGGAAACCTTACAACAAGGATCAACAGCAACCTTTCAGAAAAAGCATACACGTTTTTTGTTGTTGATTTTTTTTTTCTTTAACACCTTCAGGTATGGGTTAGCAGTCACCCTCTGTTTACCCTTACAAACCGCTTTGGGCACTCAGTGTTTTTTAAACAAAGAGGCCTGGTAACTTGGATGGTAAGGCTGTCTGTCCCAACCGGTCCAGCTCCTCACTGGCAGAGGGACTTCTGCATTTCCAGCCTGTGATTTTAGTTAGAGGCAAATCCAAGGTGGGGAGCCTCACTCAGGTGAGGAAGATATTTGTCAGGTCTGCTAGGATTTCTCTCCCAGGCTTCAGAAATTTGCAAGCATCTTTGCATTTCCTGGCATTCTCTGGCCTGGAATGCTGTTTTTTGTCTTGGGCCTCCCTGGCAGAGCAAGGCAGTCCCCTTTTCTGTCTTCAGAGCCTTTCTCTGGGCTTGGGACAGGCCCACTGTGTTGGCACAAGCTTCATTTGGTCTGCTGGGGAGCTTGGCTGCAGGCTCTGGGTGCTCGGCATCTCCCCTGGCTGCTCCTTTCTGTCCTATTCAATCAGCCTCAGCACCTGCACTTGTCAGTTAGGCCTGATGTTACCCTGGATGGGAAATGGAACTTCTTTACTGTTGCTCTAATTCCATGTTTCACAAACCGCAGGGCCTATGGATGGATTGGGAAGTAAATTTAAAATGTGAAGGAAAAAAAAATCGGAGTCCATCGCAACAATGGTAGGTATTGTTTCATTAAACTTTTTTCAGATTTTATATATGCAAACTGTAAGGGTCCTATTCAAAGACCTTGAAAGCCAAGAATGTGAACTGTGCATTTCAAACGTATGTCAGTATTCCTATGGGGCTGTGATGCATATTTAGGTGGGGAAATGTGATACCGTTTTTATTTTATTAGCTAGGCTAATAACCGCAAGATCATATGGCTTTAGTGGAGAAAACACAAGGCTTTGGACTCAGAACTGGGTCAATATTGTTGCTAACTAGCTGTGTGACCTTGGACAATTCAACGAATCTCTCTGAGCCTCCCTTAGTATTGCCTGTAAAAGACAGATAAGCATCCTGGCCTTATAGGATTACTGTTAGGATTAAACAAAATCTTTTTTTTTTTTTTTTGAGACAGAATCTCGCTCTTTTGCCCAGGCTGGAGCACAGTGGTATGATCTTGGCTCTCTCTAACCTTCGCCTCCTGGGTTCAAGTGATTCTCGTGCCTCAACCTCCCTAGTATCTGGGATCACAGGCACACGCCACCACACTCAGCTAATACTTTTGTACTTTTAGTAGAGCTGGGGTTTTGCCATGTTGGCCAGGCTGGTCTTGAACTCCTGGGCTCAAGTGATCCACCCACCTCTGCCTCCCAAAATGCTGGGATTACAAGCGTGAGCCATCACACCAGCCATAAACAAAATACTCTATGTATAGTGCTTAGCACATGGGAGACACATGCTAAATAAAGCTTGTTGTCTAGTCTTTTGTCTGGGCCATAAGACATCCTCTCTTGGCAGCACAGCCACTCTCTTCCTCATCTCAAGAGTACATGCTGGCTGGGCGCGATGGCTCAGGCCTGTAATCCCAGCACTTTGGGAGGCTGAGGTGGGCAGAACACTTGAGGTCAGGAGTTCGAGACCAGTCTGGCCAACATGGTGAAACCCCATCTCTACTGAAAATACAAAAAATTAGCTGAGTGTGGTGGCTTGCGCCTGTAATCCCACTACTCGGGAGGCTGAGCTTGAGCCTGAGAGGCTGAGGTCGCAATGAGGCTGCACTCCAGCCTGGGCAAAAGAGTAAGACTCTGTCTCAAAATAAAAAAACTGAGAGAGAGTACATGCTACCTGTGTCTCAAAAAAAAAAAAAAAAAAAAAGTACATGCCACCTGCGATATCACAACAGTTCTGTTTCTCAGTTTCCCACTCTATGGTTTGTATGATGACAATAAGTGTTTCCTATAAAAAGAATCTCTGATCAAGAAAATTTCAGAATTACAGTTTACAATCATATGAAATGCTTAGGCCCCAACTCAAATGTCTGCAGGGGCCAGGGAGGTGATATGATTGGGTGAAAAGTCAGGCTAACCACTTAGGGAATGGCGGGGACTGTGGTAAACTTGAGAACCCTGACCTCTTTGAGGGAGGCAGTTACTCTTCATTCCAACCATCCTCCCCATGTGGAAATGTGAACCCAACCTTATCAGATCTCTCACTTTTCAAAAGAAGCCAAATATCTGGATTTTTTATTGTGAAGATTTCTACTGTTTTCTGGGTTTTGTTTGTTTGTTTAGAGACAGGGTCTCTCTCTGTTGCCCAGGCTGGATGGAGTGTGATGGCAGGATCATAGCTCACTGCAGCCTCAAACTCCCGGGCTCAAACAATCCTCCTATCTCAGCCTTCTGAGTGAGTAGGTGGAACTACAGGTGAGCGCCACCACCACACCCAGGGAATTTTTTTTTTTTTTTTTTAGAGATGGTCTCAAACCGGGCACATTGGCTCACACTTGTAATCCCAGCACTTTGGGAGGCTGAGACAGGCAGATCACTTGAGCCCAGGAGTTCAAGACCAGCCCAGGCAACATGGAGAGACCCCCATCTCTACAAAAAATACAAAAACATAATTAACCAGGCATGATGGTGTGCACCTGTAGTCCCAGCTACTTGGGGTGGGGTGAAGGGAGGGGAGAGGTGGGAGGAGACTGCAGTGAGCCGAGGTCACGCCACTGCACTCCAGCCTAGGTGAGACCCTATCTCAAAAAAAAAAAAAAAGAGAGAGAGAGAGACAGTGAGCTGAAGTCGCATCACTGCACTCCAGCCTAGGCGAGACCCTGTCTCAAAAAAAAAAAAAAAAAAAAAGAGAGAGAGAGAGAGAGAGACAGTGAGCCAAGGTTGCACCACTGCACTCCAGCCTAGGCGACAGAGCGAGACTGTCTCAAAAAAAAAAAAAAAGAGAGAGAGAGAGAGAGAGCTGAGGTCGCATCACTGCACTCCAGCCTAAGGGAGACCCTGTCTCAAAAAAAAAAAAAAAAAAAAAACAAAAAAAGAAAAGAAAAAAAAAAGAGAAAGAGAGTGAGCCAAGGTTGCACCATTGCACTCCAGCCTAGGCGAAAGAGCAAGACCCTGTCTCAAAAAAAAAAAAACAAAAAAAGAGAGAGAGAGAGTGCCAAGGTTGCACCATTGCACTCCAGCTTAGGCGATAGAGCGAAACCATCTCAAAAAAAAAAAAAAAAAAAAAGGAGAGAGAGACCATCTCGCTCTGTCGCCCAGGCTGGAGTGCAGTGGTTCAATCACTGCTTACTGCATCCTTGAACTCCTCTTCTGCCTCGGCCTCCCAAAGTGCTAAGATTACAAGTGTGAGCCACCATACCTGCCCAATGTCTACCTTTTTAAAACACCGCTTTGACCGAATGAAACGTCTGTGGGTCAGATAAGGCCAGAGAGGGGCCAGTTTACGCTGTCAGTCCTAACCCTTCATGGCTGGGCATACTCATTACGGTCACCCCCGGCTCTCCAGAAAAGCCTCCCACGGTATCCCTATAAAAGCGCTTGTTTAAAATTACTATAATATTTTGCAGCAAAAATATACTTTAAGCACAGAATATGTAACTCCAATAATAGATGAAAATTCTACCTAATGAAGAGGACCATCTTTTTCACAAGGTGTTAAACACCATGAACAGCAGGAAAGAAATAGGCAAAGTTGGCGAGGGAGTGTTCCATTGTTCCTGTCTTTAGTTAACCAAAACCACTCGTAAGACATTTATTGCTTTTTAAAAAATAGCTTTATCAAAATATGATTCATACACCATGTAATTTACCCACTTACAGTGTACAATTCAATGGTTTTGGGCATATTTACCAGGTCATGCTGCCATTACTATAATCTAATCTGCAACATTTTTGTACCCCTAAAAGAAACTCCATACCCATTAGCAGGCACTCTCTTTTTCCCCAAACCCTGGCAGCCACTAATCTACTTCCCTGTCTATAATATTTCCTGTTCTGGATATTTTATATAAATGGAATCATACAATATGTGGCCTTCTTATGTCTGGGCTCTTTCACTTAGCATAATGTCAAATATATATGTATGTGTATGGATATACCACATTCGATTTATCCACTCATCAGTTGATGGGCATTTGGGTGTTTTCCACTTTTTGACTGTTACAAATGCTGCTGCTATGAAGATTCATGTACAAGTGTGTGTGGACATGTTTTTGTTTCTTTTGGGTATATACCTAGGAGTGGAATTGCTGGGTCAACTGCTATCTATCTGTGTTTAACCTTTTGAGGAACTGTCAGCTTGTTTTCCAAAACACCTGCCCGTTTACATTTCCACAAGTGTGCATAAGGGTTCCAGTTTCTTTCTCCACATGCTCACCCATGCTTGCTACTGTCTATCTCCTTGATTATAGCCATCTGCGTGGGTGTGTGATAAGCATTTATTCTGAAGGTGTAAGGCAGTTTTAATAGAGCAGCTGAATTTGATGTTTGATGTGATTATTGAGATCAAGACCTAATATAGGGATCTTTTCTGAACTTAGATCACCTTTCTGTAAGAACTTTTACTATTGCGTTTTCCACTCGTCATGTGTACCATTCTTTGACTAACCAGAGGACAGGCCTCTTAAGGAAAGGTCTGATATTTTCCCCTTACTAACCAGTAAAATCATCCAATTCTAGAGAACTTATTGATATAAATTAGCTTTGGTACAATTTTCTGTGCCATAGCATTGATGGCTATCATCAATGCTGCCCACGGAGAAGCTGCTGATTTCCCCCCGGAAAACTCGGGCTGAGGCAGGAGGTACTTAAGCAGCTGGGGAAGAGGTTCTCCTTCTCCATACATGAACACATATAGCACCATCTCCCTCTCTTTCGCCTCTGGTCTTTCTTCTTGCCTCTCCATTTAGTCATGAAACATCCTTTCAAGTTAGACTAAGGTAGTGACAGCCCTAAGGAAATGTTGAGGAAACTGAGCATAGACCTCGGTGACTATGAGAGGTCCGTGCATAGTGAATTGAGGGGATTGGATGTCAGTATCCTTGCTTCTAGTCTGGAGTTCACAAACCTGTGCTCTCTTCTTTTCCTAAATGCCTCATTCCTTTATTTTCACTGCCCTAAAAAAAAAAAAAAAAGTTTTCAGTATGTGTGATCCTTAGTATGGTTGTATGGTTATATGGTTGACCTCATCAGACATTTTGGGTTAGCGTTTCCTCTCCTTTTCCGAAACTGGCCTGTTTTGCAAAGCAGACAAGAGAATTCATATAGCTTGACTTTAGGACTCATTGCATTGGGAGAGATCAATATTTTCAACCAATGAAAAACTTACAGCTCCCAGTCTGCATTTTTGTTGTTGTTGTTGTTTTCTGTATTGTTTTGTTTTGTTTTGAAATGGAGTCTTTCTCTGTAGCCCAGGCTGGAGTGCAGTGGCACCATCTCAGCTCACTGCAACCTCTGTCTCCCAGGTTCAAGCGATTCTCATGCCTCAGCCTCCGGAGTAGCTGGGAGTACAGGTGTGCGCCACCATGCCTGGCTAAGTTTTGTATTTTTAGTAGAGATGCGGTTTCAACATGTTGGCCAGGCTGGTCTCAAACCCCTGACCTTAAGTTATCCGCCTGCCTCGGCCTCCCAAAGTGCTGGGATTACCAGTGTGAGCCACTGTGCCTGGCCTTGCATGTCGTATTTTTTTTACGTCAGAGTTTTTTATTTGTATCTTTGTTTTGAGACAGAGTCTCACTCTGTGGCACTCTGGTGTAGTCTCCATTCACTGCAACTTCCGCCCCCTGGGTTCAAGTGATTCTCGTGCTTCAGCCTCCCAGGTAGCTGGGACTACAGGCATGCGCCATCACACCCGGACTCATTTTGGTCTTTTTAGTAGAGACAGGGTTTTGCCGTGTTGGCCAGGCTGGTCTTGAACTCCTGGCCTCAAGTGATCCACCCACTTCTGCCTCCCAAAGTAGTGGGATTACAGGCATAAGCCACCACACCTGGTCACCTTTTAAGTTTTAAAAGCCCATTGGTGGCCAGCCGCGGTGGCTCACGCCTGTAATCCCAGCACTCTGGGAGGCCTTAGGCGGGCGGATCACCTGAGGTCAGGAGTTCAAGACCAGCCTGGCCATGGTGAAACCCCATCTCTACTAAAATTACAAAAAATTAGCCAGGCGTGGTGGTGCGTGCCTGTAATCCCAGCTACTCTGGAGGCTGAGGCAGGAGAATCGCTTGAACCCGGGAGGTGGACGTTGCAGTGAGCCGAGATGGTGCCACTGCACTCCAGCCTGGGCAACAAGAGTGAAACTCCATCTCAAAAAAAAAAAAAAAAAAAAAAAAAAAAAAAGGCCGGGCACGGTGGCTCATGCCTGTAATCCCAGCACTTTGGGAGGCGGAGGCGGGTGGATCACCTGATGTTAGGAGTTCGAGACCAGCCTGGCTAACATGGTGAAATCCCGTCTCTACTAAAAATACAAAAAAAAAAAATTAGCCAGGTGTGGTGGCCCATGCCTATAATCTCTGCTACTTGGGAGGCTGAGGCAGGAGAATCACTTGAACCTGGGAGACAGAGGTTGCAGTGAGCCGAGATCGCGCCACTGCACTCCAGCATAGGCAACAAGAGTGAAACCCCGTCTCAAAAACAAAAAACAAAAAACAAAAAAACAAAAAAACCAACCATTGGTTTGGTTGAACATGGGAGACAAACATTAAATTAAAGATAAAATAAAATAGGCCAGGCGCGCTGGCTCACACCTGTAATTCCAGCACTTTGGGAGGCCAAGGCAGGTGGATCACGAGGTCAGGAGTTCAAGACCGGCCTGTCCAATATAATGAAACCCTGTCTCTACTAAAAATACAAAAATTAGCCATGGCGCGTGCCTGTAGTCCCAGCTACTCAGGAGTCTGAGGCAGAAGAACTGCTTGAACCTGGGAGGTGGAGGTCGCAGTGAGCTGAGACCACACCACTGCACTCCAACCTGGGCAATAGAGCAAGCCTCTGTCTCAAAAAATTAATTAATTAATTAAATATAAATAAATAAATAAATAAATAAGTCTGGGCATGGTGGCTCACACCTGTAATCCCAGCACTTTGGAAGGCTGAGGCGGGTGGATCACCTAAGGTCAGGGGTTCAAGACCAGCCTGGCCAACATGGTGAAACCCCGTCTCTACTAAAAATACAAAAATTAGTTGGGCATGGTGGCACACGCCTGTGATCCTAGCTACTTGGGAGGCTGAGGCAGGAGAATCACTTGAACCCAGGAGGCAGAGGTTGCAGTGAGCCAAGATCGCGCCACCGCCCTCCAACCTGGACGACTGAGTGAGACTCCGTCTCAAAAAAAAAATAAAATAAAACAATAAAAAGCCAATTGGTAACAATCTTTGGGCAGACAATCTTGCAGTTTTCTGTGATAAAGTCTAATTTGGCTTGCCATAGTTCACTGTATCCACCAAGGAATAATCTTGGCCTAATTGGAAACTGGTAAATGCTTAGACTATATGTGTTTCTCTACATTTGAGATCCCCTCTCACCCTCCAACTGTGCCTCTCCCTTTTTAAGTTACGTCAATGAGATGTAATTGGCACCTATCCTCAATCTTAGTATCCTAACATTCGCTTCTTATTCTATTTTCCTGCCTTTTGATTTAGAAAGACCTAAATGCTTTTAGATCTAAAGATAGAAGAGGAAGGTTAAAACAATAATTTGCAATACGTACTCCTTCAGCTATTAATTCATTTATGCAACGGGCTTTATTTAATGCCTGCTGTATGCCAAGTACTCTGCTAGGTGCTTGGGATTCAAAGATAGGGGCTGGGCTCAGTTTCTCATGCCTGTAATCCCAACATTTTGGGAGGCCAAGGAGTTTGAGACCAGCCTGAGCAACATGGAGAGACCCTGCCTCTACAAAAAAAAAAATAGCCAGCACCAGGCACGGTGGTTCATGCCTGTCATCCCAGCACTTTGGGAGGCCAAGGTAGGAGGATCACTTGAGCCCATGAGTTTGAGACCAGCCTGGGCAACATGGAGAGACCTTGTCTCTACAAAAAATAAAAATAAAAATAAATTAGCTGGGGCTGGGCACAGTGGCTCATGCCTGTAATCCCAGCACTTTGGGAGGCCAAGGCGGGCGGATCACAAGGTCAAGAGATGGAGACCATCCTGGCCAACATGGTGAAACCCCGTCTCCACTAAAAATACAAAAATAAGCTGGGCGTGGTGGCACGCGCCTGTAGTCACAGCTGTTCGGGAGGCTGAGGCAGGGGAATCACTTAAACCAAGGACGCAGAGGTTGCAGTGATCCAAGATTGTGCCACTGCACTCCAGCCTGGTGACAGAGGGAGACTCCGTCTCAAATAAATAAATAAATAGGCCGGGCGTGGTGGCACTCACCTGTAGTCCTGGCTTCCCAGGAAGCTGAGGTGGGAGGATGGCTTCAGTCCCAGAAAGTCAAGGCTGCAGTGAGCCGTGATCATGCCACTGCACTGCACTCCAGCCTGGGCAATACAGCCATAACCTGTCTTAGAAAAAAAAAAACAAAAAATACAGAGTTCTTGCCTTTAAGGTGTACAGTGCAGTGGGACAAGCAGATACAACTGGAGAACCACAATTGTGATTGCAGTAATTAATATACACAATATTACAGGATTACAGAAAAGAGGTACGTCCCCTATCCTAGAGGGGATGGAGGAAGGGCATAAAGTACATTAATGACGATCTGTAATTCAGTTGTTTAAATTGAGCATGGGAGAGGGTGTTCAGGCCTCTTCGACTGGATGACTTTGTAATTTGGGATAAAACACCCAATAACTTGGCCGGGTACCAGGGCTCATGCCTGTAATCTTAGCACTTTGGGAGGCTGAGGCGGGCAGATCACTTGAGGTCAGGAGTTCAAGACCAGCCTGACCAACATGGTGAAACCGTCTCTATCAAAAATTCAAAATTACCCAGGCATGGTGGTGCATGCCTGTAGTCCCAGCTACTCGGGAGGCTGAGGCACGAGAATTGCTTGAACCCGGGAGGTGGAGGTTGCAGTGAGCTGAGATCGTGCCATTCCACTCCAGCCTGGGCAACAGAGCAAGACCCTGTCTCATAAAAACAAAAACAACAACAACAAAAACCCAATAACTGTAAAGTAAAATATGTCAACTTGTGACTAAGGATTCATGTGGAAGAAGAAAAGCGTCTAATATCATAAAGGAACATCAAGATTGTGGGGTTAGAGCTAGAAGATGTTGGTTTTATTTTAAAATTTCTGTCTTTTTTATGTTCTTCCCTGCCTATATCACAGAAAATCAAATATAAGAAATGAATTGCCTGCAAGTGGTGGTTTTTAAACTCTTCTCTCTGATATAGTCTCTGTTAAACTTGGGAATAAATAAAGGTACCATCACCAGACTAGGGGAAGATTAGCATTGTTTGAGGTTAGGATTTAAAAAAAACAAAACAAGGCCGGGTGCAGTGGCTCATGCCTGTAATCCCAGCACTTTGGGAGGCCAAGGTGGGCGGATCACCTGAGGTCAAGAGTTCAAGACCAGCCTGACCAACATGGTGAAACCCCGTCTCTACTAAAAATAAAAAATTAGCCGGGCATGGTGGCGCATGCCTGTATTCCCAGCTACTCGGGAGGCTGAGGCAGAAGAATCGATTGAACCAGGAGGTGTAGGTTGCAGTGAGCCGAGATTGCACCGCTGCACTCCAGCCTGGGCAGTAAGAGCAAAACTCTGTCTCAAACAACAACAATAACAACAACAACAAAAAATTCACTAGATTTGCAATCACTGCCTTCATATAAGATTAAAATATGAAGAAAAACTCAAGGTTAACTGCACTTGAGGTTTTCTAAATTATGGGATTGAAGGGGTCTATATAATTTTAAACATTAAAAAAAGTTTAATCTTTACAACCCTGTGGTCCCCTCCATTTTATAGCTGAGAGAATTGAAGCATGGAGGTTTAAAAACATGCCCAAGATCATACAGCTAGTAAGTAGCAGAGCTGGGATTTGCACCCAAGTCTATTCAATTCCAGTGCCTATTACTCACCATATCATCCTGTCAAAATAGAAACCTTGTGTGGGCCCATTGCTCTCAAGATGTCCTGTGGCCATAAATGCACCCTGGCAGGAGCAAGCTGGTATAGACAACCAGTAAAGTGTATGGCCGTGCCAGTACAAAGCCAACACTGCTCCTGGAAAATATTGATAGTGCCATATTCAACTAATCGTCAAATTTTAATATCATCGATGCCACTGAAAGTATCTTAATCATTCTCATGAATATTTTGTAATATGAGACATTGAGAAGATAAGACAGTATTGAAATAAATATCTAGATTTAAAAAATATAAAATTTGAATGATTAGTAGAGGGAAGCAGAGGATAGTAAATATGTGTGAAAATAATAACATAAAAGTTAACTTTAGATATATTATCTTTAAACACTGCATGTGCAGTATACCAATTTATATCCTCTTTAATATTATAGTCTTTTTCATGTGCATGTGTGATATATTGTCCATTCACCAAGACTATAATCCCTGAGTCCGATAGTGTATTTTCTTTTAAAAAGAAATCAACATTAAAACAGGAAAGATTATCTAAGCTTACTCTCAAGTAGTTTAATACATTTGAGGAAATAAATTAGGTTATGGATGCTTATAAGCGATATAAAAAATCAAATTAACACGATGTAGGTGATTTATTCCAAATTTGATCTGTTACATTTGGAGGAATTGGTTGTTGGATTTAGAAGTGTACAAAATACCATTAGAGAGTGAAAAAAAAGGGAAGTCTGTTATAACTGAATAGGGGCGTGGTCTGCTCAGGCTAAAAGGAATAGATAGTAGTTTCATAAAGGACTGATATAACTGTAGAGTCTTCAGAACTGGCCACTACAGCCAGCACATTTTCTCTACAGACGTAAGTATGTCTATTAATACCAGCCAGCTTGGTGAGTTAGAGAAACCACAGCCTGTGGATTTGGGCACATGCACTCTCTGCCTGCATCTAATCCTTCGGGTAACCATATACCTACAACTCCTGTAATCCTAGAGCAGTTACATGGATGCACTAAGTGGTGTGATGGGAGGGAAAGATAGCATCACAAGGATTCGTTTGATTGTAACAGTAATCCACACCAAGTCAAATAAAATAGCCAAACAGTTTAGAATGTGGTCTCTAATGAATTTGCTAATTCTACCAGGGCCTCACAAACATTTCCTGCTAGAGTACCCCATATCAAACCAAGTGGCTGTTCTTTAATTACATGGAATAATTATTTGATTTCCAGGAAGTTAAGACAGTGCTTTGTATTTAAATAAAAAGTTCTAGACATGCTGTGAAACTCGATCAAACCAAGAAAAAGGGTGAAACTGAATGCCTGCTCACTGACTCAAGATTTCAGCTGCTCAGCGAGCCTGACGTGACGGCTTATGAGCCCAGAAAAGGGGTATTTTAAACCCGGCTGGCTGGATCATGTCACTTTCTTATAGAAGCCCTGCCTTTCCAGAGACCTAAAGTGTAACGCAATCAGAGACCTTTGAGGGGCTCGAGGCTCGGCGGCTTCCGCCCCTCAGCACCAGCAGAGACCCCAGTTTTCAGGGGACATGATCCCATAGTGTCGCCCTCACTTTTGAAGGGCCATTAAAAGCCTGGGGCCTCTTATCTCAACGGCTTTGGGCGTGAATGTGGGGCAAGAAGGGGGGGGGAGACCTGTGGGTGTCTCTTTTGCCTGAGGAGTTGGAGACACTTGTGGAAAAGTCAGGCCCTTTTCGCTCCGGCGGCCGCTCCGGTGTGGGGCTGGCTTGGGTTAGACACATGCACACATACACCATAGAGCTCTGCTTTCCCGTAGCAGCTGCTGCCTCTGCCTCTGCCTCTCCCGCCTCAGCCTCTTTGCCCGGCATACACACACATTCAGATTTGCGCGCTGTTTCAATCCTTGATGACGTGTCCCCGGAGACAGCCAATAGCAAACGGGCTCTGGTCAGGACAATGGGAGGTATCGGGCCAATGAGCGAGCCCCGTGAGTTGGCGGTAGCCAATAGGAGCCGCGCTGGCTGGAGAGTAATGTTACAGAGCGGAGAGAGTGAGGAGGCTGCGTCTGGCTCCCGCTCTCACAGCCATTGCAGTACATTGAGCTCCATAGAGACAGCACCGGGGCAAGTGAGAGCCGGACGGGCACTGGGCGACTCTGTGCCTCGCTGAGGGTGAGTCTGGGGCAGCGCCGCGGCGGGGAGAGCGCCTCCGGCAGCTCCCCAGCCCGCGCGGCGGCCGGATCCCCGCGGCCGGGAGCCGGCGGGTCAGGATCCACACAAAGGCAAATGAGGGGGGACCGTGGGGGGAACTGCGCACGGAGCGAGCCTCTGCCCGGGCGCCGGGAACGCTGCCCCGCGCCGGTGCCCCGGCCCTCAGGCAGCCTGAGGCGCCGGGAGCCCCGCGCCCCGCGAGTTTCCACCCCCGGCGGCGTCCGCGCTGACTGGCGCAAAAAAAAAAATTTTTTTTTTAATTAAAAAAATTTTGAACGTGTTTTGGGCCCTCGGGCCGGGCGTTCGGGCGGGCGGCGTGCGCGGAGCGCGGCCGGGGCGGCGGGGCCGGCGCGGCTCGGCGGCGGCGGCGGGAGGGCAGCGGCGGCGCTTCCCCGGGCTGCATTGGCCGCCGCCGCAGCGAGCCGGGCGCTGGCGGGGAGCGCGGCCAGCCGGGCGGGCGGCGGGGCGGGCGGGGCGCCGCGGCGGGCGAGGGCGGCGCGGGGGCCTGGGGGCGGCAGTGCGGGCCCGGCCGGCCTCGGCCCGGTCGCGGCGGCGGCGGCGGCCGGGCGGCGGGGGGAGCGGCGCCGCTGCGCTCGCTGGAACATGGCTGACTCGGGCCCGGCGCTGCTGGCTGGAGAGAAAACAAGGCGGGCGGGCGGGGGAGCTGGGCGCAGCAGTTCCGAGGCAACTTTTTTTTTCCTCTCTCTTTTCACAGCCCCGCGTTCTCCGTGCGGGGGCGGCGGGGCGCGCGGCCCGCGCGGAGGGAGACGGGGAGTGGCGGGCGGGTGGGCCCTCGGGCGGCCCCCACCGCGGCGGGGGGAGGGGAGCGGCGCGGAGGGGAGGGCCCGGCCGCGCGCCCCCCGCCCCTCCCCCGGCCGTAATGGCCGAGTGTGTGCGCCAGAGCGCGGCTCGCACCCCGCCCGCCGCCGCCGCCGCGCCCGCACCCTCGCACTCACACACTCTCTCATACACACACACACACACACACACACACAAAGGGAAGGAGCCATATTCTCGCTCGCGCTCGCCCTCGCGGCGGCGGCGGCGCAGGCGGAGAAGACGCGCAGCGGCCATTCCGTGCGCGCCGGCCCCGGCGGCCGCGGGCGGAGCCAGCCCCCATTTCGAGCGGGGCTTCTCCCTGCGCCGAGCCTGACAAAATGGGGGCGGCGGCGGCGCGGGCCTGCAGGGCCTGCCGGGCGCACGTGGCGGCCTCGGGCCTGGGAGCCGGGCCGCGTCCTCTCTCCTCGGCCGCGCGGCCACCGGCGAAGTTCTAGGGGCGGGGGGCTCGCCCCGCGCAGGAGTCACCCCAACTTTCACGGCTCCAAAAAATACTTCCCGAGTTGGGGGAGGGGGCCACCGAGCCACGAGCAGGAGTGGCTTTTGTCCCTCATCCTTGTTTACTCGGAGAAACTTCAGACCGGACGTGTTTAGTCAGAACAGAAATACATCTCAGGGCCAAACCGATAGGAAACGAGGCTGCCTCGCGGTGGCACCGCCACCCCCCAACCGGGTTCCGAGCACCGGAGCTGGCTGCTGCTCCCTCTTTGGAGCAAAGTTTTATGCAAAGAGGGTGTTTTTTGAAACTTTCGGTGCACGGTGATTTTTTTTTTTTAAGGTCCCATAATTAGGAAGAGTCGACTCGCTTAGGCCCTTGTTTATTCCCTATCTAGTGCAAAGCCACGAATTGGCAGCATGTTTTCTGACCTTTGGTTTGGTTGGTTTAAAATGGTGTTCTAGATTTTAAAATCGTTTAAGTGACCAGTTAGATACTCATTCAGAGCAGACTCGGGCGGATAGATAGGGAATACTGTATGGGTATATCTTTGTGTCTAGACTTTTTGAGATCGCCCTGAAGGACTGTTTTTGTTTTGTTTTGTTTGCTTGGCATAGCCCCTTCAAGGAATTTAATCTCTCGGCCATATTCTTGTCTGATTTTACGGAGGTTGATGTCGCTACTGTGTTAAATAACCAGTACTTTGGTTTTCATTCCCTTACTAAGTACTTTAAGGTCTTATATGTCATAATTTTATTGCTAACATCAAATATTTATTTTATTTTTTAGAAAAATAACTAAACATGGGCAAAGGAGATCCTAAGAAGCCGAGAGGCAAAATGTCATCATATGCATTTTTTGTGCAAACTTGTCGGGAGGAGCATAAGAAGAAGCACCCAGATGCTTCAGTCAACTTCTCAGAGTTTTCTAAGAAGTGCTCAGAGAGGTGGAAGGTAAGAGGGCTTAAAACATGCTAACAAGGTAATTAAAAGACAGTTTCCAATTGAGGATGCAAAAAAAAGCCTAGTTGGCATTCTCGTAGTGGGACGCTATTACATAGCAAAAGACATTGGTTTTGAGGATAATTTACTTAAATGTTACAACTTAAACTTACAAATAATTATTTTGTAGACCATGTCTGCTAAAGAGAAAGGAAAATTTGAAGATATGGCAAAAGCGGACAAGGCCCGTTATGAAAGAGAAATGAAAACCTATATCCCTCCCAAAGGGGAGACAAAAAAGAAGTTCAAGGATCCCAATGCACCCAAGAGGCCTCCGTGAGTATCTTGCCTGTTTTTACTTCCCAGACACGTTTTACAGTAGAATCTGAGAGAAATTTAGCAAGCTACTTTGTCAGTTTAGAGTGTAAATGTACAATCAAAGTTTCTTAGCTAATACTTGTTCATATTGGTTATATTTAAATAGTATAAAATTCCTGTTGGGTGGGAGTGTTCCCAGAGCATTTGAATTAGACATTTGGTCTCCTTTGCCCAGTGTATCTCCTTTTGATCTTTTTATTTCTTGAAAAATACTATCCCTTTGAAATAGTGTAATTGTAGAATGTTCATCTAGGGTTCTAGCTAGTATAAATTAAATAGTTGTAAATTAAGCTTTGGTTGTGAAGGATATTTAGTATATTATAGTATTTGCACCCTGTCCAATGCATCACAGAAATTCACAGGCAGCTTTAAATAGCAATGCAGTGTACACTTGATAGTATTTGTTTTTGTGATCTGTTAACTTAAAATCCTAAAATTAATTTTTTTTTTAGTTCGGCCTTCTTCCTCTTCTGCTCTGAGTATCGCCCAAAAATCAAAGGAGAACATCCTGGCCTGTCCATTGGTGATGTTGCGAAGAAACTGGGAGAGATGTGGAATAACACTGCTGCAGATGACAAGCAGCCTTATGAAAAGAAGGCTGCGAAGCTGAAGGAAAAATATGAAAAGGTAAGAAGTGTGGGTTTGCTTGGTAAAATGATGACAAGTACGCCAGATGTATGATTGTACTTAGTTTGAGGTGTAATAAGTTTTTAGGGTAACAGCTACATTAAGTATGGTGTTGATATAAGTCCTCATCCTTCAAAGAATGCAGAGGACCAAATAAATTAGGGTTTTTTTGACTAAAATGTAATCAGACTCAGACAAAGGCTGTGTACATTTATGTTGGTTTTGTTATTCCCCAGTATCTTGAAGTTCATGAAAATGTTGGTAGTCACTTCAAGTCAAAAATGAGCATTTTCAAATGGCTTGGCATACAGTACAAAAACAGGCTAGACAAAGTAATATAGGCTATATTTTTCTTAGTCATATCCTGAAACATTTATGTTCTTTTCCTTTAGATACTCAAAAAACCACAGCATCACTAAGTTAAATTACAAGTCTGCTGCTCTGTCCAGTAAATTAATAAGATTAAGGAAATCTATAACTCTTATAGTTCAGTAAATTGAAATATTAAATACTTAATTTTCAGCTTTAGTCATTCTGAAAAGTGTTTATTTCTAGATGTTTCTTAACCTAATTGCATGTTTATTGACAAATTACCTTTTTTTTTTAAGACCACATTTCCTACTAAGGATTAAGGTCTGACAGTGTAAACCTGTAGAGTGCTTTTTTGCATTCAGAAGGTGGCAGTGTCTACCCTTTAATCAAAGTCTCTACATTCTGGTTTTAATAGAGTTAGGATGTGGTACATAATTGCACCTCAATGAGGCATAACTTTGCAAATATTAGACTATGCCATTTCATGAGTTATAGATTGTTATAATGATCTTGTATTTTTATGTTCATTTATTGAAGTTCTAGTTATTTCTGGAGTTGCTGTGGATCTACAGATACGTGATATTTTGGTATAACTAGAATCTTGATTTCTTTCATAAAGTTCTGCCATGTTCTATTTCTTTCCTTAATGTTTTTTTCTTCCCTACTGTTTTATCCTCCCTTTGCTTTGGAAGGATATTGCTGCATATCGAGCTAAAGGAAAGCCTGATGCAGCAAAAAAGGGAGTTGTCAAGGCTGAAAAAAGCAAGAAAAAGAAGGAAGAGGAGGAAGATGAGGAAGATGAAGAGGATGAGGAGGAGGAGGAAGATGAAGAAGATGAAGATGAAGAAGAAGATGATGATGATGAATAAGTTGGTTCTAGCGCAGTTTTTTTTTTCTTGTCTATAAAGCATTTAACCCCCCTGTACACAACTCACTCCTTTTAAAGAAAAAAATTGAAATGTAAGGCTGTGTAAGATTTGTTTTTAAACTGTACAGTGTCTTTTTTTGTATAGTTAACACACTACCGAATGTGTCTTTAGATAGCCCTGTCCTGGTGGTATTTTCAATAGCCACTAACCTTGCCTGGTACAGTATGGGGGTTGTAAATTGGCATGGAAATTTAAAGCAGGTTCTTGTTGGTGCACAGCACAAATTAGTTATATATGGGGATGGTAGTTTTTTCATCTTCAGTTGTCTCTGATGCAGCTTATACGAAATAATTGTTGTTCTGTTAACTGAATACCACTCTGTAATTGCAAAAAAAAAAAAAAAGTTGCAGCTGTTTTGTTGACATTCTGAATGCTTCTAAGTAAATACAATTTTTTTTATTAGTATTGTTGTCCTTTTCATAGGTCTGAAATTTTTCTTCTTGAGGGGAAGCTAGTCTTTTGCTTTTGCCCATTTTGAATCACATGAATTATTACAGTGTTTATCCTTTCATATAGTTAGCTAATAAAAAGCTTTTGTCTACACACCCTGCATATCATAATGGGGGTAAAGTTAAGTTGAGATAGTTTTCATCCATAACTGAACATCCAAAATCTTGATCAGTTAAGAAATTTCACATAGCCCACTTACATTTACAAACTGAAGAGTAATCAATCTACTCAAAGCATGGGATTATTAGAATCAAACATTTTGAAAGTCTGTCCTTGAAGGACTAATAGAAAAGTATGTTCTAACCTTTACATGAGGACTCTATTCTTTAACTCCCATTACCATGTAATGGCAGTTATATTTTGCAGTTCCCACATTAAAGAAGACCTGAGAATGTATCCCCAAAAGCGTGAGCTTAAAATACAAGACTGCCATATTAAATTTTTTGTTGACATTAGTCTCAGTGAAGACTATGAAAATGCTGGCTATAGATGTCTTTTCCCATTTATCTAAATATGGACTGCTCAGGAAACGAGACTTTCCATTACAAGTATTTTTAATTAATTGGGCCAGCTTTTCAAACAAAGATGCCACATTCAAAATAGGGTATATTTTCCTATATTACGGTTTGCCCCTTTATAAATCCAAGTAGATAGGAAGAAAGAAGACAAACTTTGCATCTCAGTATGAATTATTCAATTTATTTGAATGATTTTTCTTTACAAAACAAACTCATTCATTAGTCATGTTTATCTGCTTAGGAGTTTAGGGAACAATTTGGCAATTTTGTGGTTTTCGAGATTATCGTTTTCTTAAAGTGCCAGTATTTTAAAATAGCGTTCTTGTAATTTTACACGCTTTTGTGATGGAGTGCTGTTTTGTTATATAATTTAGACTTGGATTCTTTCCATTTGCATTTGTTTATGTAATTTCAGGAGGAATACTGAACATCTGAGTCCTGGATGATACTAATAAACTAATAATTGCAGAGGTTTTAAATACTAGTTAAATGGCTTTCACTTAAGAACTTAAGATTTTGTTACATATTTTTAAATCTTGTTTCTAATAATACCTCTTAGCAGTACCTTTTAAATAAGTATAAGGGATGGCAAAGTTTTTCCCTTTAAAAATACTCACTTTATGCTTATAAATAGGTTAATGGGCTGATAAAAGGTTTTGTCAAACATTGCAAGTATTCGGTGCTATATATAAAGGAGGAAAAACTAGTTTTACTTTCAGAATGATTTAAACAAGATTTTTAAAAACAAGATACATGCAAGCGAACAGCAGGGTTAGTGATAGGCTGCAATTGTGTCGAACATCAGATTTTTTGTTAAGAGGAGCAAATGACTCAATCTGATTTAGATGGAAGTTTCTACTGTATAGAAATCACCATTAATCACCAACATTAATAATTCTGATCCATTTAAAATGAATTCTGGCTCAAGGAGAATTTGTAACTTTAGTAGGTACGTCATGACAACTACCATTTTTTTAAGATGTTGAGAATGGGAACAGTTTTTTTAGGGTTTATTCTTGACCACAGATCTTAAGAAAATGGACAAAACCCCTCTTCAATCTGAAGATTAGTATGGTTTGGTGTTCTAACAGTATCCCCTAGAAGTTGGATGTCTAAAACTCAAGTAAATGGAAGTGGGAGGCAATTTAGATAAGTGTAAAGCCTTGTAACTGAAGATGATTTTTTTTAGAAAGTGTATAGAAACTATTTTAATGCCAAGATAGTTACAGTGCTGTGGGGTTTAAAGACTTTGTTGACATCAAGAAAAGACTAAATCTATAATTAATTGGGCCAACTTTTAAAATGAAGATGCTTTTTAAAACTAATGAACTAAGATGTATAAATCTTAGTTTTTTTGTATTTTAAAGATAGGCATATGGCATATTGATTAACGAGTCAAATTTCCTAACTTTGCTGTGCAAAGGTTGAGAGCTATTGCTGATTAGTTACCACAGTTCTGATGATCGTCCCATCACAGTGTTGTTAATGTTTGCTGTATTTATTAATTTTCTTAAAGTGAAATCTGAAAAATGAAATTTGTGTGTCCTGTGTACCCGAGGGGTAATGATTAAATGATAAAGATAAGAAAAGCGCCCATGTAACACAAACTGCCATTCAACAGGTATTTCCCTTACTACCTAAGGAATTGTAACCATTGCTCAGACATTGTAGGATTTAACTATGTTGAAAACTACAGGAGAGGCCGGGCGCAGTGGCTCACGCCTGTAATCCCAGCACTTTGGGAGGCCAAGGCGGGCAGATCACGAGGTCAGGAGATTGAGACCATCCTGGCTAACGTGGTGAAACCCCGCCTCTACTAAAAATACAAAAAATTAGCCAAGCGTGGTGCTGGGCGCCTGTAGTCCCAGTAACTCAGGAGGCTGAGGCAGGAGAATGGCGTGAACCCGGGAGGCGGAGGTTGCAGTGAGCCGAGATTGTGCCACTGCACTCCAGCCTGGGTGACAGAGCAAGACTCCATCTCAAAAAAAAAAAAAAAACACAGGAGAGACAACTGGTTTTTGAATGAAATACATGGGTACTGCCTTGCTTGACATCACATAGTCCTTGATGAAAGTTCACATTTAGGTCTGCTTGGTACAATACGCCTCCTAAAAAGGTCCTTGATGAAAGTTCACATTTAGGTCTGCTTGGTACAACACGCCTCCTGAAAGGGTCTGATAGCTTTCAGTAGCAGTAAGACACTTGCATGTGATGGTAAGGTATCTGCAAATTTGCACACACCGTACACAGCTTAAGTCTTAGAATTAACTTGCTAAAATGTGAGCCTTTGGTAATTAGGCTGTTTTATTAGGGAGTGTGATAATATTTGAATTTCTTTTCATATTTGTGCTTTGTGTCATTTTCAAATGACCCTTGAAATGTATTTTAAAAGTAGATAAAAGCCAGAAAGTGATTTGATTGTCTATCCAGCAAAAGATGGTGGTTCATTTTCTTGTCCTCTTAATACCAAGGCAGTGCTAATAACACTTGCCACAACTTGGGAAATTCCATGGGTCTATGCCACATTGCTCCCAGAGTAATGAGGCAAAATAGTGCTCTGTTATAGAATTGCTTGTTTCACGATACATCATGACAGATAACCATACAACATGGAATGACACAAACATAATATGCCACACTCCAGAATATGTAATGCTCGTCTTCCAGGGGGGTTCAGTCTAAGGTAATCTCTACCAGGAAGAAATGCTAGATGACTTTAGACATGTGCATTGGTTTGGACCTTCTAATTAGTGGAATTTTTACTTATTTTGACATGAGAGATTACATAGAATCTCTATGTTGCCCAGGTTGGTCTCCAAATCTGCTCAAACAATCCTCCCGCCTCAGTTTCTCAAGTAGCTGGGATTACAGGGACACACCACTGTGCTTAGCTTAAATAGTTGAATTTATTGGGCATCCACTGAAAAGAAGGAAGTAGGAATAAAATCTGCAATAGTATGACTAAACCTGTAAGTGAGCATGAGCAGTGGTGGGCAAGGGTATGCAGACTCTGGAATCCAGAAATAGAAAGTCAGTGGAAAGCCAGGCACAGTGGCTCACACTTATAATCCCAGCACTTTGGGAGGCCGAGGTGGGAGGATCACTTGAGGCCAGGAGTTTGACACTAGCCTGGGCAACATAGTGAGGCCTTGTCTACTAGAAATAAATAATTTTGCAGATATACTAAATACCATTTTAAAAATAAGTGGAAAAGGGATTAGAGAGATCCTTGTAAATTATGTACTCATATTCATTGTTCTCTTTAGTCACATAATTCAGTCATGTACGTGACATTCCACAGTATGGTGCTCCATAATACATATTTTTTCTTTTTTCGATCTCACTTGTATATGATCCATAATATTTTTCATCATTCCCTTACTGATGGACATTTAGATTGTTTCCTATTTTTTGCTGTTTAACAGTACTGCGCTGAACATCTGTACATTTCTCTCAGGCATGTGTGGGTCTTCAGATACCTCAAAAGTAGAACTGCTGAGTCAAAAGACATTTGCATTTAACATTTTGGAAGATGTTGATAAATTGCACCCCACCACCCCCCCCCCCCGCCCACAAAAGCTGTTATTTATGCTGTGAAACATTTTAACAATGATTTTGCAATTAATCAAGATTTTTACTGGTTTTTCTTTGGCTGTATAACTCTATTTTTAAAAACGAGAAATTAAAATACTGAAATACTGTCATTTGTCCAGAGCTACCTGACCAGAATAAGAAACACAGAGAGAATCAACTGAAAGACTCTTAGGACAAGCCACTGCTTTATTTAAACTGCTAAACTATTTCTCAAACTCCTGGCCTCAAACTATCCTCCCTCCCTCCTCGGCCTTGTTGCTGAGATTACAGGCGTGAGAACCACAGTTCCTGGCCTAAACTGCTAAACTATTTCTCTAAAGTTACTGCAGTAACTAAATAAGTAATCCACTGTGTGAAAATGAGGAGGTTCTTTCTCATTTTGATATACTCTGTCCTAAATGGAAGTATGTGGTAGTTTTTTGGTTGGTTTGTTTTATTCTGGGGAGGGTCTTTTCTAGCAGAGATTCTATGTCAATCTTACAGAAGCTGCAGCCAACAGTTTTGGAAATGCAAGTTGTTCAATAAGGTGTAGCAAAAGGAGAAATGTGTGGCCCAGATACTAGCCTTTAGGAGACAAGTGTTTGGAAAGGCAGAATGGATTCTGAGGATTTGCCTTAAATGGAATAAAGTTCACCAGTTCCTTGCTGGAGATGATACTTTATGGCAAAGGACATACTCCAAATGTGCTTATAAATGAAATTGTATTTATATGCTCAAAGTGAAATTAAGCTGGCCGGGCGCAGTGGCTCACGCCTGTAATCCCAGCACTTTGGGAGGCTGAGGCGGGCGGATCATGAGGTCAGGAGATTGAGACCATCCTAGCTAATACGGTGAAACCCCCTCTCTACTAAAAATACAAACAAATTTTCCGGGCGTGGTGGCGGGCGCCTGTAGTCCCAGCTACTTGGGAGGCTGAGGCAGGAGAATGGTGTGAACCTGGTAGGCGGAGCTTGCAGTGAGCCGAGATCGCGCCACTGCACTCCAGCCTGGGTGACAGCGAGACTCCAACTCAAAAAAAAAAAAAAAAAAAGTGAAATTAAGCTTAGTTCCTTAGCGTTACATAGAATCTCTCATTAGAGGCTTTACCGTATTTTGTTTGTTAGCTTTTGCTTTTTGGGTTTTTTTCTCCTTTTCACAGGTGTTGACTGTACCCTGGTTTTGTTTATTGGGTTTCAATTAGAGCTTATTTTATAAAGTGATCTGAACATAACCAAGTAAGAGAATAAAAAACCCTAAAATAAAATAAGGATCTGTTGAGTGTGAGAGAGTGCTCCTAAAGATAAAGAAAAACAAGATGCTCAGTTGCCACAGCCTCAGGTGCCACTGTAATCCCTGGAAGAGATGAAGAGTAAGAACTTGGAGGCTACTCAAAGCAAAGATATTGCAGCTCCCCCACCCCTACACCCCAAGCCCCATTTCCCCAGGCCTTGCTCTGCCACCTGGAATCAGCCTGGCTGGGGCTTGGGCACAGGGAATGGGGCTAGGCACACTTAGGCTCAGAAGCAGAGAGGCTGACCAGAGAGCCTGTTTTCAGGGAGGGACAGAATAAGGCATAGCACTAGTGTAAGGTCCTAGCACATTACAGGCGAAGGGGGTCTAAGGGCTACCGTAGTCTAATCTGTGCATTTTTACAGAGTAGTGGACAGAGGCCCATAGGGATTCAGAGGCTTGCTCAAGGACAAATGGCAGTATCAAAACACTCTAGCAGCACCAGGCTCACAGTAGGTGCAAAAAAGATGTGAGCTCTTTCCCCTTCCCTTAAGGACAGCAACAAAAAGGCTGGAAAACTTCCTCATTGCCCCTCACTTCCAGGCCTGGGTTCTTCTGCTTTGGCTACAATTTTTGCTATGCTAGGATAGCCAGTACATTCTGCCATCACTGAGGTTCTTCTCTGGCTTTCTCCTTTGATTTACTTGGACAGAACATTTCTGAACTGAACCAAACCAAACCAAACAAAAATACTCCCAGTCATGTAGAAAGTTATAGGCTATCTGATTCTAAAGGGCTGGTAATCACTAATATAATAGATGCTGCTTAGGACTGTAGCCTGATCTTCTGGAAGTAGAAGCAAGATGCAATATGCTACACACGACAATAACTTTTGAAAAATCGGTTGCCCTTATTATGAATGAAACTTACATTATTGAAACAAAATAAATAAGAAAACAAAAACCTGTAATTCTACCAGTCAGCAAGACTATTACCATATTATGTGCCCTTCCAGTTTCTATATATAACATGTAATATATATAGATATATAGATATAGATAGATTTTAAAAATTGAGGTGAGACTCATATAACATAAAATTAACCTTTTTTTTTTTTTTTTTTTTGAGACGGAGTCTCGCTCTGTCACCCAGGCTGGAGTGCAGTGGCGCGATCTCGGCTCACTGCAAGTTCCGCCATCCGGGTTCACGCCATTCTCCTGCCTCAGTCTCCCGAGTAGCTGGGACTACAGGTGCCCGCCACTGCGCCCAGCTAATTTCTTGTATTTTTAGTAGAGACGGGGTTTCACTGTGGTCTCGATCTCCTGACCTCGTGATCCGCCTGCCTCGGCCTTCCAAAGTGCTGGGATTACAAGCCTGAGCCATCGCTCCCAGCCCATTCATTCGTTTTTAAGGCTGAATAATATTCTATTGTGTGTATATACCATAATTCCTTATTCATTCATCCAGTGATAAGGTCTTAGGCTGTTTCCACCTTGTGGCTATTGTGAATAATGCTGCTATGAATGTGCGTGTACATGTATTTGTTTGAGTTCTTGTTTTCAATACTTTGGGTATATATCTAGGAGTGGAATTGTCGGGTCATATGGTAATTTTATGACTAGCTTTTTAAGGAACTGCCAAACTGTTCTCCACAGCAGCTGCACCACTTCACATTCCCACCAATGATGTATGAGGGTTTCAATTTCTCTACAACCTTGCCAGCACTTCCTATTTTCTATTTTTTAAAATTATAGCCATCCTAGTAGGTGTGAAGTGGAATCGCATTGTGATTTGATTTGTGTCTCCCTAATGACTGATGATACTGAGTGTCTTTTCATGTGTTTATTGGCCATTTGTATGCTTTGGAGAACTAATTCAAGTTCTTCACCCATATTTAAATTGAGTTGTCTTTTTGTAGTGTTGTGTGCATATAGATATACATACATATATATGTTTTAAAAAATGTTAATAATTTAAAAATACTGCATTTGTAAGCTGCTTTTTCTACTTCACAGTCTATCTTGAACAAAAGTCTATGTCAGCTGGGCACAGTGGCACACACCTATAATCCCAGTACTTTGGGAGGCCAAGGCAGGCGCATCACTTCAGGCCAGGAGTTTGAGACCAGCCTGGCCAACATGGTGAAAGCTTGTCTTTACTATAAATACAAAAATTAGCCAGGTATGGTGGCATGCGCCTATAGTGCCAGCTACTCAGGTGACTGAAGCACAAGAATCGCTTGAACCTGGGAGGCGGAGGTTGCAGTGAACTGAGATGGTGCCACTACACTTCAGCGTGGGCAACAGAGTGAGATCCTGTCTTTAAAAAAATTTAAAAAGTCGGCCGGATGCGGTGGCTCACACCTGTAATCCCAGCACTTTGGGAGGCTGAAGCGGGTGGATCACCTGAGGTCAGGAGTTCGAGACCAGCCTGGCCAACATGGTGAAACCCCGTCTCTACTAAAATACAAAAATAAACTGGGCATGGTGGTGGGTGCTTGTAATCCCAGCTACTTGGGAGCCTGAGGCAGGAGAATTGCTTGAACCCAGGAGTCGGAGGTTGCTGTGAGCCGAGGTCGCACCATTGCACTCTAGTCTGGGCAACAAGAGTAAAACTCCATCTCAAAATAAATAAATAAATAAATATAAATATTAAAAAAGTCTATGTCATCATATATTCTTATTCTGCTGGGCATTATTTTAAGTGCCTGAATGTAAAATACCATAAATTATTCAATCAATTCCATATTATTAGACATTTAGTTTATGATTTTTTACTGTTACATATAAGGTTAACATGACTATCCTTTCTTTATGCTCACACCTTTGCCCATAATTATTTTCTTAGGATATAAATATATTCCTCAAAGGGAAATCACTGAATCAAAAGATGAGCCAAATTTGGTGAATTTTACCAAGCTACCTTTGGAAAGTTTTCACCCAAATGTAACAACTTTTTAAAAGGCTATTCAGACAATTTTACATAGAAGGGATACAAAATAGGGTCATGGTTTCTAAGATTTTATAAAGGTTCAAGCCTACAACAGTGGGGGGAATCGTGAAAGGAGTAAACCTTCAAAAGCAAGCAGATAAAAAGCCTGAAAAACTTGGAAAACCATTGGATTGAAATGTCCATTCCTCTTTATACTTCTGTTACCTTACTACTTTTCAGGTTGGAGATTAACAGAAAGAGCTTTTATATTCAAGTAATTGCAGAACTGCAAAAAGTGAATGCCTAGATCAATTGGAATTGGTAGAAAAACTGAAAATTTTGCACGAGCATTAGAGCTTTTTTGCTTTTTACTTCATTGTGTCACTGTACTTTGTAAAAACCTACATAATCTCCAAAATTTACTAATTAGTAACTGTATCAGATTTTTTTTCTTTAAATAAGGTTAAATAACAACATTTTCACATACTGTTTTAAAACCAAGACGTAGATCAACATTCTTTCAGGCATTTAACAGTGGCCAATAGGCCAACATGAAACTGAATTAATTATGTATAATTTATCCTCTAGACAATCCCATAGGAATCTTTTTCATACATTGATGAGTAATGGATTTTACCCTACATAGGTCACTGAAAAGCAGTGTAAATTTCATGGCTTTTTTGTGTTTGTTTGTTTTTTTTCTGAGATGGAGTCTTGCTCTGTCGCCCAGGCTGGAGTGCAGTGGCACAATCTCAGCTCACCGCAACCTCCGCCTCCTAGGTTCAAGCGATTCTCCTGTCTCAGCCTCCTGAGTAGCTGGGATTACAGGTGCCTGCACCATTCCTGGCTAATTTTTGTATTTTTTAGTAGATACGGGGTTTCACCATGTTGCCAGGCTAGTCTCAACCTCCTGACCTCAAGTGATCCGCCCGCCTCGGCCTCCCGGAGTGCTGGGATTATGGGCGTGAGCCACCATGCCTGGCCTCATGTTTCTTTTAAGCACTTAACTTTTAGAAGGCAGCATTGCAAACTTTCACGTCTGAATTTATATATATTGAGCTTCTATAGATAATTACAGTGTACCTTTAGAAATAATATTGATTTTGGCCAGGCGCAGTGGCTCACACCTGTAATCCCAGCACTTGGGGAGGCCAAGGCAGGCGGATCACGAGGTCAGGAGATCGAGACCATCCTGCCCAACATGGTGAAATCCCCGTCTCTACTAAAAATATAAAAATTAGCTCGGCATGGTGGCATGCACCTGTAGTCCCAGCTACTCGGGAGGCTTAGGCAGGAGAATCGCTTGAACCCGGGAGGCAGAGGTTGCAGTGAGCCAAGATCACACCACTACATTCCAGCCTGGGCGAAAGAGTGAAACTCTGTCTCAAAAATAAATAAATAAATAAATAAAAATATAAAACTTGGGAGTTTTTAAAAAAATTGTTAAGGTCCTAAAGGTTTTTAAATAACTGTACTTAAGAATCAACTGACCCAGGCCAGTCTCTACTAAAAAATCAAAATAATATTGATTTTGGCAGGGCGCGGTGGCTCACGCCTGTAATCCCAGCACTTTGGGAGGCCGAGGCAGGCAGATCACTTGAGGCCAGGTGTCTGAGACCAGCCTGGCCAATGTGATGAAACCCTGTCTCTACTAAAAATACTAAAATTTAGCAGTGCATGGTGGTGCATGCGTGTGATCCCAGCTGCTTGGGAGGCTGAGGCAGGAGAATTGCTTGAACCCAGGAGGCAGAGGTTGCAGAGAGCTGATATCATGCCACTGTACGCTAGCCTGGGCAAAAGAGCAAGACTCCGTCTGAAAAAAAAAACAAAAAACAAAAAACAGAGATGCCATTTTTTTCTTTATTGTTTTTTGCTACATCTTCATTTTCAGGCCAAATCTAATTTGTTCTTACCTCTAGGTCTTAGTAGGCTATTAATAACAATTCTTAAAATCTCACTAAGAAATCATCAAAATATTTCCATTTTATTTTATTATGAATATCTTTTTTTCTATGTTATTTATTCATTTTTTTTTTTATGAGACAGAGTCTTGCTCTGTCACCCAGGCTGGAGTGCAGTGGCACAATCATGGCTCACTACAGTCTAAACTTCCTGGGTTCAAGCAGTCCTCCTACCTCAGCCTCTCAAGTAGGTTAGGACTACAGGCATGCACCACCATGCCTAATTTTTTTAAAATTATTTTTTGTAGAGACAGAGTCTTGCTATGTTGTCCAGGCTGGTCTTGAATTCCTGGCCTCAAGCAATCCTCCCTCCTTGGCCTCCCAAGGCGTAATTCCACCCTCACACCATTTTTTTTCCAGAGATGGGCTGTCCCGCTGCTAAATGAGCTATGTTGTGATTTCACAGCAACAGACTTACAAGGAATAGCTTCTACTGTCAGATATCCAAAGGAATTCCTAAAATTTATTCTCCACCCAAGGGCCCTGGAACCTGGGTCTCCATAGTTTTTGTTTGTTTGTTTGTTTTTGAGATGGAGTTTCACTCTTGTTGCCCAGGCTGGAGTGCAATGGTGCGATCTTGGCTCACTGCAACCTCCGCCTCCCAGGTTCAAGCATTTCTCCTGCCTCAGCCTCCTGAGTAGCTAGGATTACAGGCACCCGCCACCACGCCCGGCTACTTTTTTTTTTTTGTATTCTTAGTAGAGACGGGATTTTACCATGTTGGTCAGGCTGGTCTTGAACTCCTGACATTAGGCAATCCACCCACCTCGGACTCCCAAAGTGCTGGGATTACAGGCGTGAGCCACCGCTCCCGGCCTCCATAGTTTCTTTTCTCTTTAATTCCAGGAAAGACAGCAGTTAGGTGAGTAATGGAAATTATCAGATGAAAATAATAATCTTGTCATCTAATCTAGATTCCTTTCTGTGACCCAATTTTAGCTATTATAAGAACCAGAATAAAACCCATCTGCCATCACTTCAGAAAGTGCCAGGGAAAAAGTCTAAGGAAGGCTTTTATTATTTATTTATTTATTTATTTATTCTTCTTTTTTGAGACAAAGTCTCACTCTATCGCCCAGGCTGGAGTGCAATGACTCAATCATGGCTCACTATAGCCTCAACCCTCTGAGTTCAAGTGATCCTCCCTCCTCGGCCTCTTGAGTAGTGGGACTACAGGTGCACACCACCACGCCCAGCTAATTGCTGATTTTTTGTAGAGACAGGCTCTCTCCATGTTGCCCGGGCTGGTCTCAAACTCCTGGGATCAAGTGATCCTCCCATCTCAGCCTCCCAAAGGCCTGGGATTACAGGCATGAGCCACTGCACCCGGCCCTGAGGAAGATTTTTAAACAATAAACTAGCAAGAGGCCCAGTGAGGTGGCTCACACCTGTAATCAATCTCAGCATTTTGGAAGGCCAAGTTGGGAGGCTTGCTCCAGCCCAGGAGTTCAAGGTTGCAGTGAGCTATGATCATGCCACTGCACTCCAGCTTGGGTGATATAGCAAGACCATGACTCTGAAAGAAAGAAAAAAAAAAGATAATAAATTAGCAAGATATATAGTCATGATAAAGCTGTTTAAAATTATGTTTGCAAGCTAAGTTTACATAGGAAAGAAACATTTGCTGCCTGGTAGAAGAAGTCTCTTCATTTTTAAAAAAGAGATTTTAAAAGAAATTTTATTCATCAAAATGTAGCTGCTACAAGAACTATGATATTGTACCATTCGGTATATGGTCCTCTTACTAGCTTAAAACTTGATGGCATGACTTCGAAAGTGTAAAAATGGTAAAACAAAAACAGGGCAAATGCTCAGCTGTCTTTTCTTTCAGAGAAACTCCAAGGCATGAAGGAAACCCTCAGGTAACAAGTTTGTCCCCTTCATCTGTAAATTCTGCGATGAGGTGACCGACCCATTTCTCCTTTGCTTTCAGGTAGGCTCTGCTGATCCCCTCTCCTCTGTCATTGCCCATGGCTCAGCCTGACTCAATCCTTTCTCAGTGGCCACAGCCAATGCAACTGGGTGCCTGGGCCACCCAGAAGAGTGCAATAGGAAGCTGGTCAGCTCCGGCCACCTTTAGGGTCTGTGCACATCACCCAGGCCTGTCCAATGAGGCCAATAGCTATGGCAGCCGTTTTTTGTTTTTTTTTTTTTCTTTCCTGGATTTTTTCTCTTTTAGTCTCCAAAGATCTGTAGGCAACGGTGTTGGATTCCAGTTCCCTATCTCTAGGCATGTTGCATTCAAACCAAAGGCCTTGTGCAGAAGATTTCTATTTTCCACTTTCTATTAAGACAGCAAGGAGGGGCCGGGTGCAGTGGCTCACACCTGTAATCCCAGCACTTTGGGAAGCTGAGGCAGGCAGATCACCTGAGGTCAGGAGTTCGAGACCAGCCTGACTAACATGGTGAAACCCCATCTCTACTGAAAATACAAAAAATTAGCCGGGCGTGGTGGCGTATGCCTGTAATCCCAGCTACTCAGGAGGCTGGGGCAGGAGAATCACTTGAACCTGGGAGGCAGAGGTTGCAGTGAGCTGAGATCGTGCCATCACACTCCAGCCTGGGTGACAAGAGCAAAACTCCATCTCCCACAACACCTCCAGCATAAAAACAAAACAAAACAAACAAAAAACAAAAACAAAAAAACAAGGTAGTGGGAAGGAAGTCAAAACACAACTCAAATTGCATAATTGTGCCTTTGTTCAAGTGATGTGGTAACATTTATTTTTCTAGTAAGATTGTCAGTTCCAGAAGGGCCAGAACTCCTGTCTTTTGACTGTTCTATCACCTGTGTAGGTGCTCATAAATAAGTGCTTCTTGAGTGAACTCGTCTTCTACTCTGTGACAAATCACAAATTCTAACATGTTGGCTCTAATAGCAAACAAGATACAAGTCATCTCCAAAAACCTAGGTTGGCATATAGCCTGCTACCCAGTTGCCTAGAGGGATTTGGTATAATGCTAGCAAGAAATGGTGATATTTCATTACAATTACAGAAGAAAACATTATGAACTCAGATCTTGGAAAGAACGGACACTAATATGCCCAATGAATATAATTTTCACAGTATGTCCAGGTGTGGATGTCTGTATTAGAAACAATTGTCACTTTTGCTGAGTGTGGTGGTGTGTGTCTATAGTCCCAGCTACTTGGGAGGCTGAGGCAGAAGGATTGCTTAAGCCCAGGAGTTCCAGGATGTAGTGCACAATGACTGTGCCTGTGAATAGCCACTGTACTCCATCCTCGGCAACACAGTGAGACCCCATCTCTAAAAAAAGAAAAGAAATGAAATGACTGTCACTTTTGACAAGCTTTTAAACTTTCAACTAATTTTCTTCTTAAAATATTTAGGTTTAGAGAACACTTGCTTTCAGAGTGAAGTCCTTCAGTTCCATTAACACATAAATTTCATTAATGTCATGAAATCGTCCTTATAAAGGTCTGAATTCTTTCTAAATACAACAGACTACATTGGATCTGTCTGAAAGTCAAATGTGTTGAATTGAACTGAGTCTCAAACTTATCTTAACCACGTTACAGGTGAAAATCTTCTAAATGATTATGCTTGTTACACTATTGTAACTTTCTAGTTACCCTATAATTTTACTTTCTTTTTTTTTTTTCCTTTTTTTCTTTTTGAGACAGAGTTTCACTCTTGTGGCCCAGGCTGAGTGCAATGGTGCAGTCTCGGCTCACTGCAACCTCCGCCTCCTGGGTTCAAGCGATTCTCCTGCCTCAGCCTCCCGAGTAGCTGGGATTACAGGTGCCCGCCACCATGCCTGGCTAATTTTTGTATTTTTAGTAGAGACGGGGCTTCACCATGTTGGCCAGGCTGGTCTCGAACTCCTGACCTCAGGTGATCCGCCCGCCTCGGCCTCCCAAAGTGCTGGGATTACAGGCATGAGCCACTGCGCCCAGCCCCTAATTTTACTTTCTTTAAATGACATGAAATTACATTAAATAGTGACAAGTGGCAGACATCATCAAAAGAAACAGTGAAGACCATTAATATTTTGTCAGACTCTATGCAGTGGGTTGGAAAATACATAAACCCAGGGAGGATGAATTTCTTTACCCTCAAATAGATCCAATTCCTTCCCGTAGGTCGAAGACAACATCTCCAAAGGTAAAAATGAGAAACCCAACAACTACTTGATTGATGAGTAGGCAGCCTGCTAGTAGGGGACTCCTTCACTCATTTACAAATGAGCTGGGCATTGTACTCGGCCCTGCAGATGCAGAGGTAAACAAAACAGACCCATTGCCTCCCTCACAAAGTTTCTAGGAGCTTAGATTTTCACGGAGAAGACAAAACAATGAACAAGCACACACATACCTAAGACAGATCATTTCAGGTGCTGCGCAGGCCCACAAAGATAACACAACAGGGTAATGTGACAGGGGTGAGTTCGAGAGTCTGGAAAGGCCTTTCCAAGGAGAGAATAAGAGTAAGTTCGTTCCCTTTCAAACTGTATTCGTCATTCTGCCTGCTGACTCTATTTCGGTTGGCTTGGTCGAGGACTGGTGGCTGATTAATGTTCAATGACCCACGGGGACAGCCCAGGCCGACAGTTCCTCAAGACCCTGCAGGTCAACGTTTCGCAACTTCCCAAGCCTCTCCCTGCTCCAGAACGAGCCTGACTCCGCTCCCAGTTTTTCCGGTAATCTCCTCACCGCTCCGCTGCTGCATTTTACGCACGCCCTCCAGGGAGCGGTCCTCGGCGTCCAGCTCTCAGGATGTGGAGAGCTGCAAATAGCACCGACAGCTGCAGCTGGAGGTAGCCGCCCGGGAAGCCAGCCAGCTGCTGCCACCACAGGGGCCAGGGCCGGCCGCGGGCCTCCGCACGCCCTTGTGAGCAGCTCAGCGGAACCCTCGACGAGGCGGGCCGACTCGCCAGTGCAAATTACGGCTTTTATTTCCTTCTGGGTGCACACGTGGGGAGGGAGGGAGCTTGGGGAAGGAGAGTGTGCGCCCTTCAACGTTTGCCACTTCTCTTCAAAACTGCCTGGGAAGTAGGTCGGCACCAATAGTCACCTCATTTGCACAAACAGGGACACTGAGGTGAAGGAAGTGACTGCACCGCCTGAACAGAGCCGAGTGACAGGGAAGCAGGAATCCATCCAGTCTCTGTGCTCCTGGAGCCTGGCCTTTTCCTTCCGGTTTTCTTAGTGCTTTTACAGTATCTCCTGACCATTTCCCCCCTGCTACGTGCAGAAGACTCACCTTCTCTGGCCACACTCCTCAACGAGAAAATATGAGGATTACTTACAGAGCCCCACTGGAAATTTGTCTTTAAAGAAGGAAGCCTAGGCCGGGTGTCGTGGCTCACGCCTGTAATCCCAGCACTTTGGGAGGCCGAGGTGGGCAGATCTCCTGAGGTCAGGAATTCGAGACCAGCCTGGCCAACAAGGTGAAACTCTGTCTCTACTAAAAATACAAAAATTAGCTGGGTGTGGTGATGCACACCTGTAATCCCAGTTACTCGGGAGGCTGAGACAGGAGAATCACTTGAACTGGTGGGGCGGAGGTTGCAGTGAGCCGAGATATCGCCCCACTGCACTCAAGCCTGGGGGACAGAGGGAGACTGTCTCAAAAAAAAAAAAAAAAAAGGGCCGGGCGCGGTGGCTCACGCCTGTAATCCCAGCACTTTGGGAGGCCGAGGCGGGCAGATCACTTGAGCTCAGGAGTTCAAGACCAGCCTGGCCAATATGGTGAAACCCCCTCTCTACTAAAAATAAAAAATTAGCTGGGCGTGGAGGCAGGCGCCTGTAATCCCAGCTACTTGGGAGGCTAAGACAGAGTGGGACTCTGTCAAAAAAAAAAAAAAAAAGATTCAGACATGAGACCGTGAAACTGACTACAGTCACTATTGCACTGTTTATAGATGTTGCCAGACAGAAAGCCCCAAAGCAGCAGCAGCATAGTACCTTCCTAACACTTGGATTGGGAAATCTAGATTTTAGTAAAATAACTGGTGATACTTACAGAAGAAATGTTGGAGTTAGAGTATGCCATCAAAAAAAAAAAAGGAATCCTAGCCTGAAAGGTATTTAAAAATGCATTCCCTTGCCCTGCCACACACAGCGGGGAACAGGGATGGGGCCCCAGTCCGTGTGCAAACCCAGGCACACCTTCCCCAAAGGGAAGTGGAAAGGTGACAGGAGGGAAGCTGAAGCAAGGATGTCTTGTTCTTCCTGACGGTGTCCCGCATTTGCTGAGTGGGTGCACTCTTGCATGGGTGTAAGTTCTGCAGGACACAGGCGGCTCTCCAGGCAGCACTGACGGGGCTGATGCTTGGCACTTTGGGGCCTATTCTTCCACGAGGACATGGATTCGCTTCCTTGGGGTTCAGCCTGGTGTGGAAAGGAGTACCGGACCCGCTCAACGCCGCAGAAACTGGGACCCTGAGCACACACCCTAGGTCCAGTCTCCTATGGGAAATGGCCTGACAGGGTATGGGACAGAGCGGCCACTGCTTCCTCTGAGCGAGACAAACTTCTCTCCTGAGGCTATAGGGCTGAATGAAGAAAGTAGACTGCTGAGGTAGGCCCCATTCCCCTGATGATCAGGCAGGGTCCCGGGGGAGCTTCTCAGGGCAGTTTTAGCTCCTCTCTCAGCTTTTAATGCAAAAAAGAGAGACAAAACCTGATTGAGAAATGAGCGTAGAGCAGCAGAGCTGTACACAGGAAACTGGTGCAAATGACCGTGACATTGTAGTGTATTTTCATCTTTCTTCTTTTCATTTTTGTTCTGCAACAAAAAATTGTAATGTTTATAGTTTAAATGTTAAGAATTTAGCTGGTGGGCCAGATGCAATGGTTCACACCTATCATCCCAGAACCTTGGGAGGCTGAGGTGGGAGGATTGCTTGAGGCTAGGAGTTTGAGACCAGCCTGGGCAACAAAGTCAGATCTCCATCTCTACAAAAATTTTTTTGAAAAATAGCTGGGCATGATGGTGCACGCCTGTAGTCCCAGCTACTCAGGAGGCTGAGGTTGGAGGATCGTTTGAGCTCAGAAGTTCGAGGTTGCAGTGAGCTATGATCAGGCCACTGCACTCCAGCCTGGGCAACAGAGCAAGACTGTCAAAACAACAACAACAAAATAATTCAGCTGGTATTCAGTAACACATGATACTTAAGTGGTCTGCCTAAAAAAATAAAATAAAATAAAAATACAACCTTTTTAAACAAACAACCCATACAGGTTGACAGGTCAACACTGAAGACTATGAAATCACAAGATTTGCAGTGAATGAGAAGCACAATTATATTCTTCTTCTTTTTCAGTTAAATTTGAAACACGCTTCAGCAAATATGTATGTGTCTTCCAGGTGGATGTTGCATTTCAGGTTTCCTTTCTGTTGCCTACAGTGCTTTAAGTCTGCTAGAAATTCCCTTGAGAGAGAAGGAGATGTTAATGCAGAATATTAAGTCCTCTGCCTATCACATCCATAAAGCCACGCCTACCTCTCTCCCAGGGGCATGAGAAATTGCTTTCGCGTGCTATTTGGAGAGGCCTTGGCGTCCAGAAACAAAGAAAACCAAGAAACAAAGAAAAGTGATACAAACCAATGCCCTCAAGACATAAGATAAGGAAGTACAAAGACCTAAAGAAGCACTGAGTTTTAAGTCACTGGTTTTAAAAAATAATTCAAGTTAAAGCTTTGGAGTCACTGCATTTGTGACGACTCTCACTTGACCACTTGCTAGTATGGGTATCCTTGGGCAAGTACCCAGCCTCCTGTGCCTCAATTTCTCCATTTGTCAAATGGGCACAACAATCCTACTGACTTTATAAGGTTTCACTGGTATGTGTGAGAATTTAATAAAATAATCCATGGAAAATGCCTGCCATTATGCTTGGCATTTGGTGACAGCTTAATAAATCGTTAGCTATTGCTTTCTTTTCTTTTTCTTTTTTTTTTTTTTTTTTTTTTTGAGATGGGATCTCGCCATGTTGCCCAGGCTGGTCTTGAATTCCTGATCTCAAGGAATTTCTTGAATTCTGAACATTGGAATCATCCAGGGGATTGATGCCTGGGTTCACCCAATGGATTCTGATTGACTTGGTCTGGGTGTGGCTTGGGCTTTGGAAGTTTTAAAAGCATTCCTGGGGATTCTTAATGCTCAGCCAAGTTTGGAAACTAATGCTTTTTGGTGTCACCCTAACCAAAAAGGCAAAGCAGATGTTTATAGTTTAGATCAAATTAAGGCAGTATGTATTTTGAGCTAATAATTTGACTCACTTTACTGCATTAACCACTCAAATTAGCCAAACAACTATTTTTTTCACTGAATTTATAAGTTTTGGCTGATTTGACTAATAAATTAAGCAAAAAGTTTGATTCCTTAAAATCATATGGCCACAAGCTCAAGTAAATTAAATTCATTGGGAACCAGCTATGATTGTAGGTATTTTGAACCATTATGATACATTAGGTATGCATTATTTATTTTATTTTTATTTTTATTTTCATTTTTGAGATGGAGTCTCTCTCTATTGCCCAGGCTGGAGTGCAATGGCGCGATCTCAGCTTACTGCAACCTCTGCCTCCCAGGTTCAAGTGATTCTCACTGCCTTAGCTTCCTGAGTAGCTGGGATTACAGACACGCACCACCACGCCTGGCTAATTTTTGTATTTTTAGTAGAGATGGGGTTTCACCATGTTGGCCAGGCTGGTCTCCTGACCTCGTGATCCGCCCACCTCAGCCTCCCAAAGTGCTGGGATTACAGGTGTGAGCCACCACGCCTGGCCTTAGGTAATGGATATTCCATTAACATGCTGATAGTTTTAGATTTATTTGATCAGTTCATCCAGTACAAACTTGATTCTTCAAACTAATATAGCTACAGTCTAAAGGAAATTGAATTTGTTGGGGACCACCTAGGCTTTTCAGTGTAATTTAGAATATAAATTACTATAGGAATACGCATTATTTTATTCCTGCACATTTGCCAACAAAGTGGATGTTAAATCAAAATGCTATTGTTGGAATGAAACTGATGCTGCCTTGTCCTTTGATCTCATTCTGGGGACTTTTGAAGGTGTGTAGGCTGCTATTGGATTTGTACAGCACTATTGGTTTATTACTAACCACCTCTTTTAAAAATTAATGAGCCTGTTGGTTAACTTAGTGCTTCAGGTCACACTGATCCATCAGATGAATCACAAGTGAGGTAGCACTCTCAGGCTCTATCAACTTCCTGCCAACATTTTCCGTTAGAGGCATGAAATGCTAGATTAGAAAAAGGCCCTGGCCCTTGTTGCCCAGAGTTCTGCATCTGGCCACGGACCTGGGGCATCAGGTGCCACTTTAACTAGTTGAGCAGAGCAAACCTTTCTGCGATGTATCCATAGTTGGACAAAACAGAAGCAACCACTTGTCTCCAGACTCTAAAATATAAAACAGTAATCGGGCAATTATATGTGTATGGTTTATTTTCTCCACTGCAGAATAAGTTATTTGTTTATTAGGTATGTATTTATAAGGGGCAAAAAAATGACATCACTAGAACATGGGGAGCATACAAAAGTTATTTTAATTTCCTCTTTTTTTTTTTTTGAGACAGTCTTTCTCTGTCATCCAGACTGCAGTGCAGTGGTGTGATCTCGGCTCACTGCAAGCTCCGCCTCCCAGTTCAAGAGATCCTTGTGTCTCAGCCTCCAGCTGGGACTACAGGTGTGCGCCACCATGCCTGGCTAATTTTTTTGTATTTTTAGTAGAGATGGGGTTTCACCATGTTGGTTAGGCTGGTCTCGAACTCCTTACCTCAAGTGATTTGCCCACCTCGGCCTCCCAAAGTGCTGGGATTACAGGCGTGAGCCACCATGCCTGGCCTAATTTTCTCCTTTTATGAAAAAAGGAGTTTTGGCTAAAGATTGAGTTTTTTAAAACTTTAGCTAATGGTGGTCAAAAAGGTAGAAAGGGAACTAGTATTTAGTCAATGTCTATTATGTGCAAGTAAGCTCTTTCAGTGCATAATTTTCTTCCTTCCTTCCTTCCTTCCTTCCTTCCTTCCTTTCTTTCTTTCTTTCTTTCTTTCTTTCTTTCTTTCTTTCTTTCTTTCTTTCTTTTTCTTTCTTTCTTCCTTTCTTCCTTTCTTTGTAGAGACAAGGTCTTGCCATATTGCTCAGGCTGGTCTTGAACTCCTGGCCTCAAGTGATCTGATCCTCCCACCTTGGCCTCCCAAAGTGTTGGGATTAGAGACATGAGCGACTGTGCCTGGCCCATAATCTCCTTTAATCCTTACAACTCCTCAAATAGATTCAGTCCCAATTCATAGACAGGATAACTGAGGTTCAGGGAGGTAAAGTAATTTGCCCAAGGTTGCATGGTGTGAAGTCACAAAAGTGGGATTTGAGCTCAAGTTAGTCTGCCCTGGGCCCTATGATCTATCCATTATATCTCAGGGTGACCAACCATCCTGGTTTGCCTAGGACTGAGGGATTTCCCGGAAGGTGAGACTTTGTTTTTAAACCATGACAGTCCTGGAAAGCCAGGAGGACTTGATCCCTCTACTTGGTAACCAGAGGTCACTGCTTCCTTAGCAAGCTAGGGAGATTCCAGGCCCTAGGTCAGTGTCTGATGGGAAGGACACACAGGAGGTCTGGATCTCTCACTTATTTCAGGATTAATGTACCCAACCATGCTACATTCCCACTGGAGAAAGCAAGTTAATGGCACTTCCAGACAAATTACGCACTATATCCTTAGATCATGTAGGTCAAGGGTCAGCAAACCTTTCCTGTAAGGTTCATTTTCAGTCTGCAACTTAGGTCTTCAGTGTTGTGAGTTGTAGGGTCTCTATCACAACTGCTCAGCTCCACCATAGTAGTTGGAAGCAGCCATCGGCAATCCAAAAAGAGCGAGCCTGGCTGTACTCTAAGCAACTTACAGTTACCCAAACTGGAGGCGGGCTGGATTTGGCCCACAGATAGTTTGCCAAACCCTGATGTATGTTATTAATAAAGAATCCTTTGCATAGATAATGTATTTTTGAAGAAGAATTATTTCTGGAAGTTACTTTAATTGGGGTACGGCCAGTGGGCAGTTAGGAGCTCTCTTTTGAACTAACCTATTCATCAATTAGCCATTCCTACTATTTTCTTTTCTTTTTTTTTTGAGACAGGGTCTCACTTTATCACCCAAGCTGGAGTGCAGTGGCACCATTACCACCCACTGCAGGCTTGACCTCCCAGGCTCAAGCGATTCTCCTGTCTCAGCCTCCCAAGTAGCTGGGACTACAGGTGCCAGCCACCACACCTAGCTACTTTATATATTTTTTGTAGAGACAGGGTTTCACCATGTTGCCCAGCCTGGTCTCTAACTCCCAGACTCAAGCAATCCGCCCACCTTGGCCTTCCAAATTGCTGGTATTACAGGTGTGAGCCACCACACCCAGCCCTAATTCCTACTATTTTCTACATTTGGACTATGAAATTTGACTTTTCTAATTCTACTGCGAAATCACATAGTGAGTGTGTAAAAGTGATGGTGTGTGATCCTCTTCACAAATTTCTATTCCCTTCCTTATCTGTTGGGAGACATTAGACACATTCATTTGAAAAATTGTTCTTTTCAACCAGTTCTTTTATTTCCATACACCATTTAAAAAGTAATTCCCACTGCATCTACACAAAGTTAAAATATATTAATTTGCTTCAATATAGCATTTTCTTTATTGTGTGCCAGAAAAATATCACGGAAATTTTCCTGTACTGAAAAGCAAATACCGCTTTTCCACTTGGGCAGCCTCTCCCATCCAATCGTCATTCACATACACCTTCATCATTCACTGGGTTCTCACTGAGCACTCCCTCTTAGCCATGCAGGTGCTCACAGATGTACCCCAAAGAGGAGCGGCGTGCAAAGCAACATGTCTTCAAATTCAAAAGTGACAGTGGGTTTGAGGACAAGAGAGGGGAAGAAATCCAAATTTAGAGGAAGAGTAGCAAGTGGTAAGGCTTGGGCCCAGGAATGAGCCAAGCGCAGGCGGGGAGAATAAATAGATTAGCTCAGCAACAGAAGAGGAGCCCAGCCTTTGGAGACTACAAAGGGTCATAAGGAGGACACAATTATTAAAGTAATGCAGAAGCCACTGTAATTTCTCAAGCAGGAAACTGACAGTGACAAAAATGGTGCTTGGCCAGGTGCAGTGGCTCATATCTGTGATAAGTTAGCCAGGTGTGGTGGCTCACACCTGTAGTCGGGAGGCAGAGGTGGGAAGATTGCCTGAGACCAGGAGCTCAAGGCTGTAGTGAGCTGAGTTCATACCACTGTACTCTAGCCTGGGCAACAGAGCAAGACCCTGTCTCAAAAAAAAAAAAAAAAAAAAAAAAAAAAGCCAGGTGCTGTGGCTCATGTCTGTAGTCCCAGAACTTTGGGAGGCCAAGGCAGATTGATCGCTTGAGCCCACAAGTTCAAGACCATCCTGAGCAACATGCCAAAACCTCATCTCTACAAAACATAAAAAAAAAAAACATTAGCCAGGCGTGGTGGTGTGCCTATAGTCCCAGCTACTCAGGAGGCTTAGGTGGGAGAATCCTTTGAGCCTGAGGTGAAGGCTGCAGTGAACTGAGATCGTGCCACTGCACTCCAGCCTGGGCAACACAGTGACACCCTGTCTCAAACAATAAAAAATAAATGGTGCTTTAGGCAGCGTGTTCTGTGGTTTCCCGGCCATTGGAGGTAAAACACTCACTGGGGCTGGGTCACCATGGGGCAGGCAAAATGGACATTAAGGTCAGGGTCCAAGAAGATTCCACAGGAATCAAGAGGATGATGGTAGTGTCACCAATTCCAGAACAATTGAAAAGATGTGGTGCTCATTTGAGAAAATGGTTTGCATCTTTAGCCTGTGCACATGTGATTTTAGGCTAATTTTCACACGGCCGTCGAGAGACTTGAAAACCTCTAGGTATTTTCATGCTCCTAGAGTGAGGATGTTCTATGGGTGGGTAGAGGTGGGTTATCTGTGTGGGTTTTATGCACTCTTCTTTACAGAGAGGTGGTAGCTGAACCAGGTAAGGAGCTTTCTGTCCTTTCTGACATCTGTTTGCTTAATGATCTCTGCCTACACCCTGTAGAGTTTGAAAAGCAACGTACTAGAACCATGTTTCTTCTGACATACGCTGGCTGTACAATGCACACGCTTTCCGACAATATCCACATCAGACACCTCTCTGCTGATTCTAGGCTCCCAGACTGTGGCTTTTGATTTATCCTGTGAATTGCCTGAATTGCCAGCTCTGGCTAGGCTGGCTTCTGAGCACAGCTATCATCACTCAGGCTGCTGTTCTGTCGCGGCTCAGTCTGTTTTGTCCGTACCACACTGGTTGTCGAACTGTTGATTGGTAAGCTTGCACTTGACTTATGAGAACCAGCTCAAACTGCTTATGACCCTAAAAGAGATTCACTTAAAGAAGGTGCTATGACAATTAAGAATACATCAACACACACTTAGATTAAATATTTAGATAATGCATGCATTAAGCAAAGCACTGTTTTAGTTTGATGATAAAATCAGGATCAGCTAGTCACCTGATAACATTTCATAGCTGCTTAATTTATCAATGAAACTCACTGACTTCAATTTTCCAACCCTACACTTGTAAGAAAGACATTAATATTAAAGATTGTAGTGATACCCAGTAGAGGAGAAGACAGTAATAAATAATTAGCTCCTTTATGCTTCAGTTGCTTTCCTAAATTACTTATGAAACAGCAACAAATACTACTAGTGCCATTGGGAAAGCTGACATTATCCATTTCTTATTTAACAATGGAGTCATTAAAAAAGGAAAGAAAGAGGAAAAGGAGGCTGGGAGTGAGAAACTCATTGTATTTAATACAGATTCTGGTATCTTTTTTTTTTTTTGAGATGAAGTCTCATTCACTTACCCAGGCTGGAGTGCAGTGGTGCAATCTCCACTCACTGCAACCTCTGCTTCCCAGGTTCAAGCCATTCTCCGGCCTCAGCCTCCCAAGCAGCTGGGATTACAGGTGCCCACCACCATGCCTGGCTAATTTTTGTATTTTTTTAGAAGAGACGGGGTTTCAGCATGTTGGCCAGGCTGGTCTGGAACTCCTGACCTCAGGTGATTGGCCCACCTTGGCTTCCCAAAGTGCTGGTACTACAGGCGTGAGCCACCGTGCCCGGCCAGATTCTGGTATTTTGAGAGGCTGCATGTTTGGCTGAAGGATATCAAAAGCTACTAAGCAAGAGAATGGCATTTGTTGTTACCAAAGTAAACAATTTTTATTTCTGTTTTCCATATGCAGGCATATGAGTAAAGAAAACATGCCACATTGTATTTGTACATTTTGGGAAAACATGTAGCCTTATAATCATCATAATATGAAACACATCCCTTATGCGATTAAGTGTTTCATCACTGCTCTGGGAGTTCTGCATTAACAAAGGAGATGGAAATTAGTGGTTCTGAGATATTTCAGTTCCAGTATGAATTCTGATACGGTCCAGATTGAAAGAACCACACCTAAATTGTCTCAGTTATGTGAAAATTTATTTTATAACTGTTTCCAGAGCATGTGGTTCAAATATCACAACTTATCAAATATAAACCTCATTGCCAGGAAATTTTCCTTGAGGCAGACTGAGATTTTTTAAATTTTCTGATCTCTCTAGGGATGGCAATGTCTCCCGTCCTCCATAATCTCCAAGATTTTTTCTCTCTGTCCAAAAGAGGAAAGCTTTGGTGGAGACAAAATCCCTGTCCCCAGATAAACATGCTCAAATGAATACCTTTCCAGAAAGTTCAGATAAATTGAGAGTTCAGATCAAAAGTTCAGATAAATTGAGAGTATTTTTTAAGAATTGTCATTTCCTTACACTCTGTTAACAGTTGTGCCTGCTAGATAAAATGTTTACAATAAACTTTGCAAATCTCCATATTTTGAGAAATCATTTGTGGCATTAAGACTGGAAATAGAAGAAATAAATGAAAATAAGAAATCATTGATAATGTCTATGAAGTCCTCAACAGTGCTTGGCACACAGTATGTGCTCAACAAATATTATAGGTGTTAGCATCATCATATTATTTGGGAATATTTGTATTTAATGAAAAATGGTACATATATATATTTATAAATGTGAACACATATTTATGTACAGAATAGGTATATATAAACAGAAAAGAGTCTGTCTTTCCTAATTGCCAGAAGTAATCTTTGCTTGTGAATTAATTCATTGCTGTTTGCTATTATTTGTTCTTCTGTACAGAGAGTTGGAAAGGAGAGCATACTAGCAGAGGTGTGAAATGGCTCATTTATTTGCATTAATTATTAACTTTGAAGCCTCACCAAAATTGTTCTAATCTTAGCATTGAAGCAACTTTGGTCATTGATGAAATATCTAATCAATGAATTAAAGTCACAAAACATGCTAAGAATGCCACTGTTACCACGTAATAGTGGAATGTGCGAAGGGACTTCAGACATCATCCAGCATAATGCCTTCATTTCACAAGTGAGTAACCTGGGGCCCGAACAAGTAAGGGGACATGTCAGATGGGTCATTCCAAATCTGGACTTTTGCCTCCATATCCAGGCTCTGGCCAGCCACATTATCTGTAAGGCTTTTTACCCTTCTATAAAAACTAAGTCTGGCCAGGTACGGTGACTCACGTCTGTAATCTCGGCACTTTGGGAGGCCGAGGCAGGTGGATCACTTGAGGTCAGGAGATTGAGACCAGCCTGGCCAACATGGCGAAACCCCATCTCTACTAAAAATAGAAAAATTAGCCGGCATGGTGGCTCACGCCTGTAATCCCAGCTACTCAGGAGGCTGAGGCAAGAGAATCACTTGAACTTGGGAGGAGGAGGTTGCAGTGAGCCAAGATCGTGCCAGTGCACTCCAGCCTGGGTGACAGAGCGAGACTCAGTCTTGAAAAACAAACAAACAAACAACAACAACAACCAAAAAAAACCCAAAAAACACAACCAAGCCAAGTCTATCTGATCATGTGAGTCTGTGTGACTCCATTACAGTTGGATTGGCCTCTTGGGGGTGATGGCCTCAAATACTTCTCAAATACAGAGAAAACAAGTTGATTCTAAAATGATGGAAAAGAAGGGGCCCCCACAAGCATCTCTCCTTCACCTCACCTTTTCTGCTTTGCTGTTGTGGATATCCAAAAATATATGGGTGTTCAGGTATATTACCTCACTTTAGGATTAAAAAGTCCATTGTTTTACTTTTGTTTTCTGAGTTTTTTGTTGGTGGTGGTGGTGGTGGTGGTGTTGGTGGTGGTGGTGGTGGTTTTTGGTTTTGTTTTTTTCCAGAGACAAGGTCTTTCTCTTTTGCCTAGGCTGGAGTGCAGTGGTGCCATCATAGTTCAATGCAGCCTCAAATTCCTGGGCTCCAGTGATGCTCCTGCCTTAGCCTCCTGAGTAGCTGGGACTATAGGCATGCACCACTATGCCTCACTAACTTTTTTTTTAGTTTTTTTAGAGATGGGGTTTTGCTATCTTGTCCAGGCTGGTCTTGAACTCCTGGCCTCAAGTGGTCCTCCCACCTCAGCCTCCCAAAGTGCTGGGATTACAGGTGTAAGCCACTGCACCTGGCCACCAAGTATATTTTTAAATGAGGTTTATGAAATAGGTCACGGAATACTTTCTCATATCTAAACATAGACTTTTTAGTGATAATTGGTTATTGATGAGTTCAAGAAACCACTTGTCTCTGATTCTCATGTTCTAAATAGGTGGTCCAGTTGTGCAAATTAGCCTGAAACTACATATGCACAGCCTAAAATGGGGTAAGGGTTGGAGGCTCCTCAAAGGCAGGGTGTAGGTCCCCTTTACAGTTGTATCTCCAGACCCAAGTGCAGCTTTTGGTCATTGGACGTGTTCAATAAAGTTTGTTGGACAACTTAATGAAAGAGTAAACAAATTAAATTTCTGGTTCTCCAAGCTTTTCTTTTTTGTTTTTTTTTTTTTTTTTTTTTTTTTTTGAGACAGAGTCTTGCTCTGTCGCCCAGGCTGGAGTGCAGTGGCGCGATCTCGGTTCACTGCAACCTCTGCCTCCCCAGTTCAAGTAATTCTCCTGCCTCAGCCTCCTGAGTAGCTGGGACTACAGGTGCCTACCACCGAGTCCAGCTAATTATTGTATTTTTAGTAGAGACGGGGTTTCACCATCTTGGCCAGGCTGGTCTTGAACTACTGACCTCGTGATCCACCCGCCTCAGACTTCCAAAGTGCTGGGATTACAGGCATGAGCCACCGCACCTGGCCCCTCCAAGCTTTTCATGGTAATAGAAGAGTATCTTAATACAGAAACAGGCATTTGTGTTTTCTTTTTTCTTCTTTTTTTTTCTTTTTTGAGATAAGGTCTTGCTCTGTCATCCAGGCTGGGATATAGTGGCATAATCATAGTTTGCTGCAGTCTCAACCTCCCAGGCTCAAGTGATCTTCTCACTTCAGCCTCTCAAGCAGCTGGGATCACAGGCATGTGCCACCATAGTTGGCAAACTTTTTTTTGTATTTTTTGTAGAGATGAGGGTCTCACTATGTTGCCCAGGCTGGTCTTAAACTCCTATGCTTAAGTGATCCATCCACCTTGGCTTCTCAACGTGCTGGGATTACAGACATTTGTGTTTTATGAAGTTGTGTCTCTCAAACTTGATGGTCTAGTGGCTACTTTGGTGAGTCCGAAAAATCAACCAAACAAAAAAACAGAAAACAAAAAACCCTTTTAAATTTTTCTAACCTTTTCTAATAGTCACTGCATAGCATCTTCCCATGTGTAAAGGCATATCCTTTGAACTTTAGAGGGTGACGTGGGCATGAGTCTCTGTACCTCATGGATTCCTCAGAATTCTATGTGATTCTGAAATGTTGACCTATTTCTCTTGCTAGTGAGCAAGAGAAATACTGAGGCCAGTAAACTAGCTGTCTTAGCGCCTCACCTCTTCTGGACATATCGCTGGTAAAGCCCATTTCCAAGTGTCTTGCACTAGTGGAGATGTGTGTTGTATGGTGTCCTCATCAAGAAAAAACACATGTTTGCTTGCTGAAATTTTGGACAATTTCCTTCTAACAAAGGCCCTTGCCTGCCTGTCTTTAAAATCCCAGCCTGGGGTAGGCACGGTGGCTCACATCTGTAATCCTAGTGCTTTGGGAGGCTGAGGCGGGATGATCACTTGAGGCCGAAGTTCGAGACCAGCCTGGACAATATAGTGAGACCCTGTCTCTACAAAAAATGTTTAAAAGAAATTAGCCAGCATGGTGGCACATGCCTGTAGTCCCAGCTACTCTGGAGGCTGAGGCAGAAGGATCATTTGAACCCAGGAGCTCAAGGTTACAGTGAGCTATGATCATGCCACTGCACTGCACTCCAGCCTGGGCAACAGAGACCCTGCCTGTAAAATAAATAAATAAATAATAAAAAAAATTAGAATCCCAGCCTGACTTATGACTAAATTTGTTCACTAAGTGGTGAGAGATGCTAACATTAAGTGCTGGTATATATGCTGCATCAGAGATGGCCCTTCCAACAACCATGTGTTGTGAAACTATTTTATGCATGTGGTCCACTAGTAGGAAAAGGCATTCTAGTCAGTACTGTCAAGAGTTCAGGCAGAGGCATGACATATGTATATTTTAAAGAAGGAGCAACAGTTGGGAATGGACAAAAGACACAGCCAGGGCACCCTCAGAAGCCTGTAATTATACTAGTAACCAAACCTTCCCATAGGAGAGCTCATTTTCAGAGAGGTGAAACTGCATCTGAAGACATGTTTCTGAGACATGAATACTGAGATTGCTTTACCTAGGCATTGGCAATAAAACATCTTTATGTTGATCACATCTTTCCCAGAGACATCAGAAAAGAACATGACTCACCTCATTGGTCTAAAAAGGACACTCTGCTTCCCTTCTTAAAACCTTCCATGGTGTTGTTCCACTTTTGGTTTTGAATTATAGAAAGATGAATATTTTTGTCCCTGAGCCAGGAAGGCTGTGTGCCACGTGTCTTTTACACAGCAGCTACATTTCACAAAAAAGTGTTTTTTACCTGATTTTTCCTGTGGCATTTTAGAAATTTGCACTGGACTTTCTAACATTCATTTCTTCTGTCCCCAAGGCACCATCGTGAGTCAGTGGGAGGAAAAACATTAACTTCACTTAAGCCTGGAGAAAGGTTGAGTGGCATGTCCAGAATCACACAGTGACTCAGAATACCTGCCTGGGCAGTTTCTTCATCTGTTAGAAGGTTCACTTTTCAAACAGCAGGAGATATTTATTCATTTTGGAAGTCTCTTCTGTTGTGTTTCTAAATGGTCAACCTCTAGATTAAGGGAGGAAATCACCCAGTTTTCACTAGCTACCACAAGCCAACACAGTGAACATAAAAGCTTGTAGAAAGATTATTCCCTCAGGATAAATCAATAGTTGGTTATCATCATGCTTGAGAAGTGTTTTTGGAAGTGAGCTCAAGCTTTGGAAATTGATTTCATAGAGCAGGTCGGTGTCCTCATGACCACCTGCACCCCAACAGTGTCCCTGCAAGACAAACACCCTGGAGGAGCAAGACCAACATCATTGCCCACCTGACATTTAAAAATTTTCTCATATTTGGGTGAAAGCTGACTTTTCAAATATCTGGTTCACCACTTTTTCAGTCTTTTCTTAGATGCTTGCATTGTAGAAAAATGTTAGGTAGAGAATTAAGGCAATTTAACAATCACTTTCCACACTCCAGAAGTTTAGGATACCACCTTTAGGCCAGCTCATGTTTTTAATCAACTCATGATAACTATTGGTTCTAAATGAAAAGTTTCCCTTTTTATTGTTTAGCTGTGGTTGAAATTTGCATTTTCTCTGAATCAATAAAATAATCTTAGAAGTTGGTTGGCATCCTCTCAGATTTTCCTGCTCCTGTTGGGGCACAAAAATTCTCTTTGGTTCTACTTTACCCTTTGCATGTTAAGCAATCCTAGTTCCCTTACCTCTCCTGATCCTTTCCCCTCTCCTTCCAGCTGATGGCTCCTCTCTCATCCTGCTGGGAGGTTCCTGACTACGTTCTCTGGGGTAGTTCAGAAATCTACCCTCACCAGCAGCCCTCACTCTCCAAAACAAAAACCAGACAACTCTTGGTTTGGTACTTTATTATGCTAAAAATAAAATAAAGAAAAAAAGAAGCACAAAATGACTCATACACATTCCCTCAGACTAACAGGGGGAGTGACTCACCTTCCCTCCTCAGCATGTATCACTCACGTCTTATGGGTTAGGACATGGAATCATGTGTAGGTTTCTCTGCCACTTTCTAGAGCCAGTTAAATTCTAAGATCCTCAAAAGTTTAGTAGTCATAAACTGATTATTAAATGCTTAGGCATCAAATATGGTAATGAAACGAAAATAGGTCTTCCATGAAGACACTGGCTACAACAATGACCAGAGAAGAAAATCCCTGGAATCTTAACATGGTGATTTCTCGTTGCTCACCAAGATGTGTGGGTTTCCCTTCACTGATGATACTCAGGCGAGCTACTCCTACTGCCCATGACAAAGAGAACTCAAGAAGGCAAACTTTCTTTACAAGTTAAAGGTAAAATAAGCTAGATTTATCTTTTTGACAAGTTTAAAATATATACTTAGAATATAATTTATAAAATGCTTAATCTGCTGACTCCAGAGCCTGCAGTGCAGGGTGGGGTGGGGGTGGGCAGCTGCCCACTACACCAGCAGAGCAAGAGTGCAGAGGTGCGGCTCTGCCTCCCACCCCCTTCTGTTCAGACACCCAAGGGGCCCCATGCACCCCTGAAATCACACAACTAGTTTCTACAGATTTTAGATACAAGAAATTATAGACACTGGCTTCAGTTATTCAAAAGCAAGAGCTTGGGCTTTTTGATCCTTTAATTAAAGTTCTTGTTCCAAAAAACATGTGCAAACACAACCTTTAACAGCTCAATTTCTAAAAATTATTTCATAAAAGGAGGAGAGTGAACAATCCTCTATGTATATGTTCTACAGGACAAATCTTATCACCAATTACTAAAGCAGGGAAGTGCAGCTTGTCAAAAAGTCCTTACTGGAGAGGCGGTGGGGGATGGGGGATGGAGAATATGAAAATGTCATTAAGGATGAGAGCCTAGACACTATAAAAGATGCAGCACCTCAGAGCAGCCCAGCCAAAATGAGAGGTGGCAAAGCTACTCTTTTGTCTGTGAAATTTGCATGCGTTTCATTTCCTTTACCAATGCCACCTGAGTCCAAGCCACCTCACCTTCTGTTGTCTCCATTTCAGCCTAAAGACACCCCAATTATGGTGTGAATTCCAGGTATTTCAATCAATTTTTTTTTGTGGGGGGGGGACAGAGTTTTGCTCTTGTTGCCCAGGCTGGAGTGCAATGGCGCAATCTGGGCTCACTGCAGCCTCTGCCTCCAGGGTCCAAACGATTATCCTGCCTCAGCCTCCTGAGTAGCTGGGATTACAGGAGTCTGCCACCACGCCCGGCTACTTTTATTTGTTTATTTATTTTATTTTTAATAGAGATGGGGTTTCACCACGTTGGCCAGGCTGGTCTCGAACTCCTGACCTCAGGTGATCCACCCACCTCAGCTTCCCAAAGTGATAGCATTACAGGTGTGAGCCACCAAACCCGGCTCGCAGGTATTTCAATCTAAATGTCAGTTCAACGGGAAACATCAATTAAAACAAAAATGGATTTCCTACGACTCATCGAATTCCTGTGGCCACTCTCATCCCATCTCCTATCTACATCCACCAAAAAAAAAAAAAAAAAAGCAAGGAATATAGCATACAATCTCTTTTCTTTTATGTTCTCTAAGTAAACCCTGGGTTCTGGTAGGACACTGTGTCAACATCCTGATGTCTGAACTCTTATCCCGTTAGGGTAGCCAGATTTTATGTTTTTAAAACAACAACTAGTCCAGTGTATAGTTCCGTCTATTAATGGCCACTTTTTTTTTTTTTAAGAACATCTTAAATTTTTAATCCTTTCTTTACAGGTTACCTAGACCACTTTTAATTAAGAAAACTGTAGAAAGTTAGTAACTGCTGCAAGCGAACGCCAGACGGTGGCACGTATCAATTTCCACAGAGTCCTGCTTTGCGGGGTGTCTGAATGTACTGCACGGGGTCTCTGCTCACACTTGCTGGAACCAATCGTGGCACATTTTAGTCCACAGGTCGCTTTTCCCCATATTTCTTTGTAAACTCTTCAGCATTCTTACAGAATTTTTTACGGTCGTTAGAGTATTCTTCAGCTAGGTCAGCCCGAAGCGGGTGCTCGGGCTGCGGGTCATTCACCAGTGCTATGAGGGACTGGATTACTTGGTCGGTTTTGGTTGCTGGCTTCCAGTTTTCAGCACTAATTACTGGCAGACAGACCTGCCCCTTTTCGTCGATGTTCGGGTGATAGATCTTTGTTTTAAATGTGATCCTCGGTGGTTTGAATGGGTACTCTGCTGGAAAGTTGATTTCGATTCTGAAGGCCCCCTTATTATACGGAGGGTTGTCAGGAACAATAAGCCCTTGCCAAGTCAATAAATTAGCTTCATCAACCTGGATGTTACGGAAGTTTTCCATTCCACATTTGCGGATTTCTTCAAGCTCCTTCATCAGCCTCCTGCTGGCCGCCATCTTGGATTTGGTGCTGCTTCTTTCCCAGAATGCATCGTGGTAACGGCCACTTTTAATGGTTGTGTATGTATACACTCAAATAACGTTCTGATGTGGCAGTTTGAACTTACGCTGAGCAAAGCAACTTGCCCACTGGTTGGTTAGAGTGATCATCCACAATCCTATACATTATAATTTTTTTTTTTTTTAGCCAGAGTCTCTCTCTGTTGCCCAGGCTGGAGTGCAGTGGCACCATCTCTGCTCATTGCAACCTCAGCCTCCCGGGTTCAAGCCATCCTCTCGCCTCGGCCTCCCAAGTGGCTGTGATTACAGGCACGTGCCACCATGCACAGCTAACTTTTTTTTGTATTTTTAGTAGAGACGAGGTTTCACCATGTTGGCCTGGCTAGTCTCGAACTCCTGACCTCAAGTGATCCGCCCGCGTTAGTCTCCCAAAGTGCTCAGATTATAGACGTGAGCCACTGCACCCGGCTTTACACATTATAATTCTACCTGCATATTCACCTGTTGCCTGACTGAAGGCTGGTATGTCCAGATCAGATTGCTCATCTTGCATTTCACAGCACAAAGTGAGATCCTTGGTGTTTGAATATTTTTTTCTGAGAAATTTCTATTAATCCAGTTCATGTTCTTAACAGGAAGTAATTCAGACATGGGAAATGATAAAATGTATCAACTGAGAGCCAAAGAAGATAATGAATAGAGGTGAAATATACAAATACACTCATGCAAAGGGATAGAAATAATATATTTTGGGGCATTTTCACAAAAACTTATCACTTTAGAGTACAAATGTAAATTATACTTGCTTACCTGAATTTTCAGATATAACTCACTTTGTAGAATATTTAATATATTGAAACCTGTCATTTTAATTATATAATTGGACTTGAATTTCTGTAGAACAAGTATACCCAGAACGACATGAAAAGCTCAGTAAGAAGGCAGCAAAACTTATTTTAAAATCACATATTTAAAGGTAAGATTATCTTTTACAATAAATTATTAATGGCACTACTCAAAATAAGTTATGGAATATGAATGCAAAGTAGTCAGAGTTATTTTTGTATTTGGCATAAGAGCTAAGGAGCTTAAAAAGAAAAGCAGTATTAGAACAACAAAAAAATGGGACAGCAGTCACTTGGCTTCAATAAGACTTCTCTGCAATATTATGTAAGAAAAGAATATACAGGTTGCATTTTTAAAAGTTACCTTGTTGTGGAAGCTTCTGAATTTTGGAAAGGAATGGTTGATTTTGATCAAAGCCTGGAAGAAACACAGACATTTTGAATCAAAATGTAACAGTATACACAGAGAGCTCTCTAGCTATAGATAATAAAATCACCACCTGAGCATAGGCTGTGTAGACCAGGACTAGGAAAGAAGTCCATCTGGCAGGAAAATAAGGTAGGATTCAGAGAGCAAATAAGATTGCAGCAGATGTCAGGGTACAAAATACAATTGAACAAGTACGATTCAAAATAGTATGTTTATATGACCTGTCTTCCCCAACTAAAACCTCCATGTGGGCAGGGATTGTAATTTTGTCCGTTGCTGTATCCCCAGCTTCTGGGCCACTGTCTGACTTATAGGAGGTGCTCCATACATTCCCCCTCCTGACCCCTCACTTTTGTGTAAGCCCCGACTCGCATCCATACTTTTTCTTTTTTGTTTTTTTTGAGGAGGAGTTTCACTCTTGTCTCCCAAGCTAGAGTTCAGTGGTGTGATCTCAGCTCACTGCAACCTCCGCCTCCCAGTTTCAAGCGATTCTCCTGCCTTAGCCTCCCGAGTAATTGGGATTACAGGCACCCACCACCACGCCTGGCTAATTTTTGTATTTTTAGTAGAGATGGGGTTTCGCCGTGTTGGCCAGGCTGGTCTCAAACTCCTGACCTCAGTTGATCCACCTGCCTTGGCCTCCCAAAGTGCTGGGATTACAAGCGTGAGCCACTGTGCCTGGCCTTTTTTCTTTTTTTGAGATGGAGTTTCATTCTTATCACCCAGGCTGGAGTGCAATGGCCCAATCTTGGCTCACTGCAACATCCGCCTCCCAGGTTCAAGCGATTCTCCTGCCTCGGCCTCCCGAGTAGCTGGGATTACAGGCACGCCCGGCAAATTTTTGTTATTTTTAGCAGTGACGGGGTTTCACCATGTTGGCCAGGCTGGTCTTAAAATCCTGACCTCAGGTGATCTGCCTGCCTTGGACTCCCAAAGTGCTGGGATTACAGGCGTGAAACACCACGCCCGGCCTATAAATATTTGATGAGTGAATAAACATAAGCTGAAGTTTCGGAAGACAGATTTGTCCAAGGAAATTAAGTCCCACAAGTATGTGATGAACACCTAAACGGTACTATGGTAAGTGTCTGCATGTAATGCAAAAGTAACTATTATCCAAGACTCAGTAATATGGCATGAGAATGCATGGCGCTGGGTGGGGAGGAGCGACTGTCTTTGGGAAGAAGGCATTAGAGATGGTATTGAATGGTGAGTGGTAGGAAAGGCAGGAACTGGAGCCCAATGCCAGGCCCTGGGCTTTGTATTCCATTCCCAATCTCCCTGCGAACAGGAACCACTTCACCTACCTTTGAATGCCAAGTGCCTGCCTCACTGTGTTTCTAGTAGGTGCTCAATAAATGCCCATGAAGTGATAAGTAGACAATTGGGACCCAGGCAGTGCATCCAATGGAGCTGCAGGATCAGCATGCTGGCCAGGACCAGCCAGGGAATCAACCAGGGCCTATTTCTTTGTTCTCTGTCTCATCTACTTGAACAACTGTGGCCAATCCAGGATGGGCACTGTCAGAGTGTGGTCTAGAACTCCTCCCTGAGGATTAAATGTTAAAATGTTAACCCTCAGGCCCCATTGGGACCTCTTGAATCAAAATCCTGAGGGAGAGAACAGAAACTGGAATGTAACGCAGGTATCCAAGAACTGGGCACTGTGGCTCATGCCTGTAATCCTAGCACTTTGGGAGGCTGAGGTAGGGGGATTGCTTGAGGCCAGGAGTTCAAGACCAGCCTGGGCAACACAGACCTGGTGTCTACAAATAAAACATTAAAAATTAGGTGGGCATGGTAGTACACACCTGTAATCCTAGCTGCTCAGGAGGCTGGACCGGGAAGATCACTGAGCCCAGGAGGTCGAGGCTGCAGTGAGCTATGATTGACTGCACTCAGAAACTGAAATCCCAAGAGCAAGAGAAACAACTATTTTGGGTGGTCACTGTGGGCCAGGTACTGTTCAAGATGCTTTCACATATAGTAATTTTATTTATTTAGTTTTAAATTTGCTGTAAACTCTGAGCAGACATATATATAGTAATTTAATATGCAATAATCCACAGAGGTAGTTTGGTTATAACTATCTGTGTTTGAGGAAACAAGCTCAGGGATAGTATATAACTTGCTTTACACTGAATGGCAAGTAACTATTGGGGATCCAAATTCCTGAGCTTAATTTCAGAGACCACACACTCTCCTACATCTCACGGCACCTTAGGGGAACGCAGAATCCAGGAAACTAGGACATCATGTTGTGCCTGCCTTCAGGAAATGTACAGTCAGCCTCTGGTTGGTTGAATCTGCCTAAAGGAATCTCCAGAAATTGAGATTTGAGGTTTTAACATTACATAATTCTAGATCCTAGAGTGTCAAAGTCATCTGTGACTTTAATAATCCTAATACGTTGACCAAGCACTGGGTGCAGTGGTTTGTCTGAACCAGGACTAATTTTTAGAAAATTCACATGTGCAGAGTGGACAAGTCCCTTAACAGAGTGAAGGCAGAGGTGGGGGAAGACAGCTGGAGAGGTACAGACTGTCACCCTCACACCTAACACTGCTGTTGGCTCCAGCCAACAGTCCCACCCAGGGTGGCCCGGGCTTCTCATGTTTCAGAGAAGCCCAAAGTCCAGCTTTCCATGTGAAACTTAACAATTTCAAAATATCCATAACTAATTCAAAAGTTTAAACTACACCCCGCAGGCCAAACAGGTCTGGAAGACAAGTTCAGGCCCATGGAGCTCCAGCATGCACCCTCTGGTTGGGAACATACAAATCCCAGGGCGTTAAGCTACATAAAGTAACTGGGACATGGTTTAGTGAAAACGGTTTCCATCAGAACCTGTCTGTGCATCTGCTGGCATGAAGGTATATCCCTACCACTATTTCTGGTTTAATTTAGGAAAACATGCATTGCATCGTCTTTCAATTTTATGCAAGTGTATCAGATGTGGCCTGAAGGCCAAATTTTTGTGAACTGGAATTGCATCTTTCTATTACCCTACCTTCCCACCGTAAGGATGCCTCATTCTGGTTTTTGAGTGATCTTTAATGAGCACTGGCCAATTTTAAATATATGATTCCCCGGCCTTTCAGTTTATTTTATTTTTTTGAGACAAGGTCTGGCTGTAGTGCAGTGGTGCTATCTTGGCTCACTACAACCTTCACTTCCCAGGCTCATGCCATCCTCCTGTCTCAGCCTCCCTAATAGCTGGAACTACAGGTGTGCACCACCACACCCAGCTAATACTGTATTTTTTTAGAGATGGAGTTTCACTATGTTGCCCAGGCTGCTCTTGAACTCCTGGACTCAAATGATCCTCCTGCCTCAGCCTCCCAAAGTGCTGGGATTACAGGCGTTGAGCCACCACACCCGGCCCTAGTTTATTTTAAAGGAAAATAGAGTAAACTCTCCGGGGGAAGAACCTCCAGTTTAATAACACTCCATATTGTATCTGCTTTATTGTAATTGTATTTGGAGATTTTCCAGATGGAACTTCTCTGTATAGAAGCCTTAAACCTGCTGTGTTTCAGAGCAGAAGTTATCCATGTCTGTCTGTCTCTGACACACATGCACAAAAACTAGATATGTGATTTACTATACATGACATGATAAACAACATTCTAAAGCAGTAAGTTTAGAACAACAAACTGAGTTTTGTCATTGCTATTATTTAATGATTTTATCATGTTACTTTATGTAGAATGGCTATGGAATAATTAATTAGGTTTTGTTGTGGTTTTTAATATCTCCACAGTCTAAATAATAAACCATTTTCCCGATATTGGCACCGCTTTAGAAGAGATTTTCTTATCTATTTTTTGACAGAGTTAAAAAGGTGCCTCTCCCTCTGTGTCCTAATTTTTGCAACGTGTGTGCATTTATTACGTGTCACCAAGCGAGGCAATGCTAACCTAGCAAAGCAGAAATCATCACCAGAGCAAATTAATGCAATGTCACCCGCTGACCGATGTTAAACGCAGCAGAGACTCACAAGCATCCTTGTGAATGGATTAAAAAGGCACTTACAGGGATGACCCGCAAAGATCCTAGTTTCAAGACACAACAAAAAGCCTCCAGGAAGTGAAGCCAGCAGGTTCTAATCTCATTTATTTTCACGGCTATGTTTTTTTAATTGTAGTTTTCCACTGTAAAACCAAAGAGCATCAAAGGAGAACAGCTTTCCCTCTCCCGGAAGCCTCACGGAGCGGAGTTCCCTGAGCTGCGCGGCCGCCGGTCACGGGGAAGTGCCCCGCGCGCGGAGCTCCCCAAGCGCCCAGCCCTGCCTGCGCCGCAGCCGCCACCACCGCTGCCACCACCGCCGCCGCGGCCAGGGAGCTGCGCTGGGCGGGGCTGGGCTGGGCTGGGCTGGGCTGGGCTGGGCTGGGAGGGGCGGGGCGGGGCGGGGCGGGGCGGGCGTCCGTAGTTATTTATTTATTTAGCGGCTGCAGAAAAGCTCTGCGGCGCTCGCGAAACCCGAAGACTTGCAGGTAGCCAGGCGCTCCCACTCGTCCAACAGCTCCCGGGCTGGCTTGGGAGAAACTAAGGAACTTGCTTCGCCCCCCCGCCGCTCCCTGGGGCCGCTCGCCACCCGCGGAACTTGCCATCCCCGCTCTTCCCCACTTTCTACCCCCACCTCCGCCCGCCCCACCTTCCCCTTTCCCCGCTTTCCCCTCTCCCACCTCCTCCTTCTCTCCCCTCCCACATCCCCGGTCTCCCACTTCCCCCTCCTTCCCGACCCACCTCTCCCTCCTCCCCGCCCCACCTCTCCCTCCTCCCCGCCCCACCTCTCCCTCCTCCCCTTCCTCCTCCTCCCCCCCGCTCCTCTCCTTACCACCTCCTCCGCCCTCCCCCACCTCCTCCCCGGTCCCTTCTCCACCCCCTCTTTCCCCACTCCGCTCCCCGGGCGGCGGGCGGCTCCCTGGCTCCGGCGTGTACAGATTTGGGCAGAATGTGGTTCCAAGGCTCTCGGTCAAGAATTCGGAGGAGGAAAGTTTGCTGGCGGCGCCGCGGCTCACACCACTCCCCGCCCTGGGGGCGGTCCTCGAGGCCGGGCCCCGCCGCCCGTGCTTCCCTTCCCGGAGCCTTCGCTCTTCCCCGGGAAGGCCCGGCCTTACATAAGGGCCCGTGCGCCCGCCCCAGCCCTGTGGGCAGCGCGCTCTTGCTCTGCTCAGTTTAACGAAGATTCTGCTCCTGAAACTTAGTACAGATAAAAAGGGCAGCGGTCCGTTTCATTTTAGACAGGAAAATGAGGGCGCAAAAGGGGACTGAGGGAGAGAGGCCAGAGAACAAGACAGCAGGTTCGTGCTGGTGGCAGGTGGATGGGTAGAAGGTTCCTTGAGAGCGGAATTTCCTATTTGGATGCCTGTGCAGAGGGAAGTGGCTGTAAAGATCAAGTAGCTTTGATAACGCCAAGGTAGCCTGGACAACAGAAGCCCAGGGAAGGAAAGGGGGCGGGACTTATGCTGCCAGAAAGGATGATCACTATCCGGATCTTCAGTAGGACCCGCGCCTCAGCGAGGGCGCGTGTAGAGGAGATGTGGGTATGGGCCATGTGCAGGGAGCATAATGCCTGCGTCTCCAGCGCAGGCCTGGCATACAACAGGCACACCATAAACAGCTAACACGTGGGCACTGTGCTAAAACTTTGCCAACTTGGTTGCATTTAATCCTTAGAACAATTGAGCCCTCCTTACTCCCATTTTACACACGGGAGACTGAGACCTGGATGGGCTAAGTGACTTGGCCATGACCACACAGCTCTTTGCAGCCGACCGAGGACTCAAACCTTGGACTCCAAAACTCATGCTATGGGACAACTTCGTATTTGGGAGGCGTAATACAAAAGGGTTCAGCTTTGGGGCAGAGTGAAGGGGCACCGCGTTTCGAAGATGGGCAGGTAGGCTTGCAGCAGGTGGATATGTATGTTCCCACAGTTCTCTCACACTCACATTTCACCATGGACACAGCAGAGCTTTACCCCTCAGGACGTTACTGAGGCGGTTCATTAGCCCGAGTTTCTGAATTCCTCTACTTCCTCCACAGTGGGTACTTGAGGAGCTGTTGTCTCTGGTTAACCCAAGTCTCCTTGTGGCTCTTTAGGGAAATTCCCTGTGCCCAAGACTGGTATCCATGTGCAGAGTTACTGGACTATCCAACGGGATTAAAAACAATTCCCCAAATTCCCATTCTTCTGGGAATTCGTGGGATTCCTGGCCCACACAATATTTTATAAGGGGCCTAACCTGGAGCCTAAGGATGTGGGTGTGCAGGAGTAATGATGATGGGACATTCTTAGTCTAGCGTGAATGTGTGTCCCTTTGCTGCTTCTCCCCAGCAACTATGAAACACCTGATACTGTTAGGCCCCTCCGATAGTTTCTTTTTAAACGGTTTTGAGATCCCACTAAGGATGTTTTTTTTTGCTTCAGTTGCTATTTTTACTACCGCTTAACATCCACACACTCATACGAACCCAGAAGACACCCTAATCCCCCCCAAAAGTGAGAGAAAGATTTGACATCCCAGCCTGCTAAGGAAGTCAGTGGGAAGCCTGGTTTTCAAATCAAATGTCTACACATGTTCCAATAGAGTACAGAGAAAATCGGTGTTTAAGAGCCCATGTGGTGGGATAATACCTTAGGGTGCTATCTGATAGTTCATTTATTTCTAAACCTAGTGTAGCTGCCATATTGATAATTAAATATCCCATAGGAGCTCTAGGAGGGTCTCCTCGTGTTATCCCTTCTCCTTTTTTTTTAGGGTAAGAACTGAAGCCACCAAAAGGCTTACTATACCACACAACACCCAAGCCTTCCTTTGGGGCATGGGGACAGTGGATCTATGGCTCCTCAGGGTGCCAACCAATTGAAGAAGGAAGCCAGCTCCACTCAACAGCTTCTACAAAGGAAGGGCCACAGGAGAGGGGCTTCAGTGGTTCCAGGCAGCTGCTTCATTCACAACAGAATGGCCATTTTCTCCAGCATGGCCAACTATCCCTAGTCTTTTTGTCATGACAGCCTAGAAGGCAGAAGCTAGGGCCAAGGCGGCTGCTAAGGAATTCCTACTCCTACTGGGGCCTAATGTCAGGCTTTCCTTATATTGTGGAGTGGGCCCTGGAAGATAGTTAGAGACCCTTCCTGCTGGGCACCCTGAAGAGGAGCAAGAGGATCTGGTGAGCAAAATGAAGCAAAAGTGCAGTGCTGGAGCTGACAGCCCTGTTCCCTACTGCACGCAGTTGGCTCAGGGCTGTCCCCCACTTTGGAGCTTCTTGCCACTCACGGGCTACCCTGCACACACTACTTACTGCCCAGGCCTGTCTGCCACCACAGTACCCTGTGCCTGAGACCTTTCCTGGCCTCTGCTGGATCCCAGGCCTAGTATCATTCCTAGGGACTCCAGAGGCAAGTCCAGGCTAATATGCTCTGGGAAAACAATGTACAATGTACATGTTTGCCTTTTGACGTAGATAAATGATACCTGGATCCCAGGTCTGGCTCTGGGGCAGGGGAGCTTCAGGCCTGGCTATGGCAGAACACTGAAGGAGGTACTTTGGGTTTTCACAACCTCTTAAATCATCTCAGAGAGAGAGTGAACAACTTACTTTCACATGCACAAGCTGCCGCTGGCTCTGTCACAAGAAGATGGACTACAAGTAATAAAATCAAGATGAAGTTCTGTGTACATCTTTCCAGCTTACAAGAATTGTAGAAAGTTGAAGATGAAAGGGATATTAAAGAGCATCTCATTCTACCTCCTCATTTTGCAGCTGTAAGAACCGAGGCCCAGGGAGGGGGACTGGGGAAGCCACCATCACACAGCTGCTCCGTGGCAGGAGTTGTGCTAACTTTCTGTGGCTGTTGCCATTACACCCAGCATCTTTTGACTTTTGAAAACAGCGAAGGAGAAATCAGTCCTCCCAGCATCTTCACCTCCCACGACGTTTATTGTTTCCAGCTGTTAAAAATTGGCCCTTTAAAAATGGGTCGTCTTGCCAGTCATTGAGGGTCACCGCGGTGGGGAGTGCTGATTTAGAGGGCGGCAGAACAGGGAGGTGATTGGAGGCATAATTGCCAGTCTCCTCCTTGGCACCTGGGGATTTCTGTCATTCAAGTCTCAGGGTGTGTGCCCTCAGCAAATACTAACCCACAGAGTCAATTGCTAACTGCAGTCATCTGTGCATTTGCCCTCTGGGGATGGAAAGCCATAAGAAATGCCATTTCCTAATCTAGTTGGCCTTGGATGAGAAGATGTTTTTGCCTAATGGAAGCCTTTGGAGAGTGAATAATGTGAATAATGTGTATTTAGGACCTACAGTGCTCCCCAGGATGCTGTAAGGGACCTGGTTATAAAGAAAAAAACCTCACTGATGGTCTTGGCTTTGTCCTTGTCTGAGTTAAGTCCTTTTGGTTGGAAGTAATCAACTTGAGCTGACGTAAGCATTAAGGGACATAGAAGAGTATAGCAGTATCTCATGAAGTCCAAGGGCAGATGGCCTCAAGGTAGCCCGAGAAGCTGCTAGGAACCTAGACAGTCCACCTTCTCCAGCTTTCTTCTCTGCTTCGTGTCTCCCTCTGCAATCCACTTTCTTCTCTGTGAGTAGCTGGGCAGAGGATAATCCCTCAACAACTATCACATCTACATCTTCTCTCCTAAAGAGATTAGCCAAAGGTGAGTGGCTGTCCTCAGTCCAATACCAGATTCCTGGGAGAGGGAATTTGGTTGTCCCAGCCTGGGTCAGGTGCACAGCTTGATCCAATCAGGTGTGCCCAGGAGAGGGTGCCCTGAGACAGGCACATCTGGGGACACTCATCCTCATGAATGACCGGACAGTTCTCCAGGAAAGAAGAGAGAAGAGTGGAGGTCAGACATTTCAAATGTATATTATAGGCATCAAATTAGTTACTGATACAGAAAAATGGCAATGTCTAAGTAGGGGGCTTGAGAAACAGTTCAAACACTGTATAGATTTTGATTATTTGCTTAACTTCCAGGATGATAAATTGTCTATTATGGAGCTGTATTTTTTTTTTGGAGACAGAGTCTTGCTGTTTGGCTGGAGTGCAGTGGCGTGATCTCGGCTCACCACAACCTCCACCTCCAGGTTCAAGCAATTCTCCTGCCTCAGCCTCCCGAGTAGCTGGGATTACAGGTGCCCACCACCAGCCCTGGCTAATTTTTGTATTTTTAGTAGAAACGGGGTTTCACCATGTTGGCCAGGCTGGTCTAGAACTCCTGACCTCAAGTGATCCGCCCTTCTCGGCCTCCCAAAGTGCCAGGATTACAGGCGTGAGCCACCATGCCCAGGTGGAGCTGAATTTTTTTTTTTTTTTTTGAGGTGGGAGGATGGAGTCTCGCTTTTTCGCCCAGGCTGGAGTGCAATGGCACGATCTTGGCTCACTGCAACCTCCGCCTCCCAGGTCCAAGCAATTCTTCTGCCTCAGCCTCCCCAGTAGCTGGGATTACAGGCATGTGCCACCACACCCGGGTAATTTTTGTATTTTTAGTAGAGACAAGGTTTCACCATGTTGGCCAGGCTGGTCTCGAACTCCTGACCTCAAGTGATCCACCCATCGCAGCCTCCCAAAGTGCTAGGATTACAGGCATGAGCCACCGCGCCCAGCCAATCTTTTTATATAGTAGATTTCTTGCAATGTAACCCCTATCCTCTGGGCTTTGTGTAAAAAGTGCATTCAGACAATCTGAGGAGTGTCTTAATTTTTTGTGTGACTATCATATATATTTTCATCCTGTTGAGGTGTGTTTGCTAGGTGGATATTGAACATGAAATCAAAGTATAATTTTAAACTTGTGTTGAAATATATGTGTATAAGCATATGTGCACAATTACCTATATTGTCAAACACCCAACCTGCTTTCCAAAGGATTTGAAGCAAGGTCTAATAAAAACACAGAAAAAGTATGGCCAAGAGCTGTAAACACCAAAAAAAGAAGTAAAGGGCAAGTCGCAAACAGACTGCAGTTGAGCAAAGCTGCAAAGGACTATAATACCAGGCCTGAAGTGGTTGCTAAATGTAGCTCTGAGCTTTCTGACATTCAAAGCCAAAAATAGGTATATTTTATTATTTAAACAGTGTCTACTCTGAGGTCCTCAAAACTCTTTCAGGGGGCCCACAGATCAAAACTATTTTCATAATAACACCAAGACATTGTTTGCATCTTTCATTGTCATTCTCTTAGGAGTGTACAGTGGAGTTTTCCAGAAGGCATATGCCATGTGCATCACCACAGCTTAAATGCAGAAACAGACATGAGGATCTAGCTGTGTCCTACTAAGCCAGACATTCAGGACATCTAAAAGTGTAAAACAATGCCACTCTTCTCACTAACTTTTTTGTTTTGGAAAATATATCTTTCATAAAATATTGATTATGTTGATATATTACGGGTTTGTTGTTATTATTTTAAATGAATTAATAAATAATTTTCTGATTTAATTTCTATTACTGTAAATATTGATGGATATATCCTGTATAAGCAAAAACTCTCTGGGGTTCTCAACTATTTTTAAGAGTGTAAAGGGGTCATTAGAGAACTGCTCAAGAATGTTAGTATTATTTAAAGAGCTTCTGCACAGAAAAACTATCAACAGAGTAAACAAACAAACTACAGAATGGGAGAAAATCTTCACAAGCTGTGCATCTGACAGGGGCTAACATCCAGACTCTATAGGGAACTTAAACATTTCAATGAGTAAACAATAATTAACCCCATTAAAAAGTGGGCAAAGGACATGAACAGACACTTCTCAAAAGAAGACATACAAGCAGCCAACAGACATGAAAAAATGTTCCACATCACTACTCAGAGAAATGCAAATTTAAACCACAGGGAGATACCATCTCACTCTAGTCAGAATGGCTATTATTAAAAAGTCAAAAAAATAATAACAGATGCTGTTGAGGCTGTAGAGAAAATGTAATGCTTATACATTGTTGATGGGAACATAAATTAGTCCAGCCACTGTGGAAAGCAGTTTGGAGATGCCTCAGAGAACTTAGAACTACCATTTGACCCAGCAGTCCCATTACTTGGTACATACCCAAAAGAAAACAAATGTTTCCACCAAAAAGACGCGTGTGCTCATATGTTCACTGCAGCACTATTCACAATAGCAAAGACATGGAATCAATCTAGGGGTCCATCAGTGGTGGGTTAGATAAAGACCATGTGGTACACATACACCATGAAATACTGCCCAGCCATAAAAAAGAACGAAATCATGTCCTTTGCAGCAACATGGATGCAGCTGGAAGCTGTTAGCCCAAGTGAATTAATGCAGGAACAGAAAACCAAATCCTGCATTTTCTCACTTATAAGTGTGAGCTAAACATTGAGTACACGTGGACGTAAAGATGGAAACAGCAGACACTGGAGACTACCAGAGGAAGAAGAAAGGGAGGGAGGAGAAAGGGAGGGAGGAAAAAGGGAGGGAGTCAAGGGCTGAAAAACTACCTATTAGGTACTATGCTCAGAACCTCAGTGATGGGATTAATTGAACCTCAAACCTCAGTGTCACACAATATACTCATGTAACAAGCCTGCATATGTGCCCTCTGAATCTAAAATAAAAGTTGAAATTATTTTTTAAAAAAAGAATATTACTATTATTTAATCATCTGTATTAGTCCGTTCTCACAATGCTGTATATTAATAAAAGTACCTGAGACTGGGTAATTTTTAAGGAAAAGAGTTGACTCACAGTTCTGCATGGCTGAGGAGGCCTCAGGAAACTTAAAATTGTGGTGGAACGGGAAGCTTGCAAGGCATGTCTTACATGGTGGCAGGAGAGAGATAGAGAGAGCAAGGCAGGGGGTTGGGGGGAAAGTGCCACACTTTTAAACCATCAGATCTTGTGAGAACTCACTATCACAAGAACACCATAAAGGAAACTGGCCCCGTGATCCAGTCACCTCCTACTGGGTCCCTCCCCTGACACATGGGGACTGCAATTCGAGATGAGATTTGGATGGGGACACAGAGCCAAACCATATCATGTTTTGAGAAAATTCAGCCTAGGTAAACAAAAATTCATGTTAGAAAGTATTACATTTGTATTACAAAAAGATTTTTCATTTTGGAAATATTAGACTTATGGAGGGGGTGATCAATAACTTTATTGATTGAATGATTGAGCAGTTCATTGTATATTTAAAACATGATTCAAGGCCAGGCGCGGTGGCTCACGCCTGTAATCCCAGCACTTTGGGTGGCTGAGGTGGGCGGATCACGAGGTCAGGAGATCGAGACCATCCTGGCTAATATGGTGAAACCCCGTCTCTACTAAAAAATACAAAAAATTAGCCAGGCGCGGTGGCAGGTACCTGTAGTCCCAGCTACTTGGGAGGCTGAAGCAGGAGAATGGTGTGAACCCGGGAGGCAGAGCTTGCAGTGAGCCGAGATTGCGCCACTGCACTCCAGCCTGGGTGACAGAGCGAGACTCCATCTCAAAAAAAAAATAAATAAATAAAAATAAACATGATTCAGATGATCCCAGTTGACTCAGTTTACCAGTTATATGTATAATACATTTAGGAAAACAAAAGTGTATTGCACAGTTGCAGTAGAAAAGAAGGAAGCATGCTTCCAGGTATGGCTAGTGTCTGCAGTTACGCAAGCCCCAGAATGGGAGGAAATGTCTAGAGTTGGTAAAAGAGCAGCACGAAAGAAAATAGGAACTTCAAAGTTTAAGTGGAACTTAATTTCTTTGACAGCATGGTTGAGCAGAAGGTCAAGGCGGTGCATATAAATTTCAGTAAGACATTAGACAAAAATATTTTACAGTGTTCTTCTTGATTAGCTAATGGAGAGATGTAGGGTAGATCATGGTACAATTAGATTGATTTGCAGCTAGCTGGTTGAACAATCATTTCCCAAAAGTCTTGGTAATGGATCCATTTCAACTTCGACGGGGTTCTTTATAGGCTTACCACGGGGCCCTATCTTAAGCCTCACTCAGTACAATATTGTTATAAGTCATATGCTGGTGAAATCTGTTGTTGACACACAGATAAGAGGAATAGCTTATACATTAAGATGCTAGAACCAGAGGCCAAAAACATCTTAAAAGACTGGAGCAATGTGTCAAGTTTAATAAGATAGAGTTTAATAGGATAGCATTCCACATTCTGGCCCCTAAAAGCTCACTAAACAAGTTCATGATGTTTGGAACATGGCATATTTAAATGACATCAGAATGAGGCAAATACATAAACGTATCTGAGCCAGGTCCAGTGGCTTATATATATAGTCCAAGCTACTTGGGAGGCTGAGGCGGGAGGATTGTTTGAGTCCAGCCTGGGCAACATAGTGAGGACCCATCTCTTTAAAAAAAAAAGTATCTGTAAGGACTTTCCTATGAGTAGGCCACCACTTGATTTATAGGATGAGGTTTCCTGAAGCTTCTTGATGTCAGTAGGTCTTAGGCCAGGGGACAAGAGGGTGAGGTTGTGGAAGAAACCTGCATGGAAAGTATGGCTTAAGAATGCAATATGCGCCCATGCAGTGGCTCACGCCTGTAATCCCAGCACTTTGGGAGACCGAGGTGGGCGGATCACCTGAGGTCAGGAGTTCGAGACCAGCCTGGCCAACATGGTGACACCCCCCCGCCCAATCTCTACTAAAAATACAAAAAAATTAGCTGGGCATGGTGGCATGCACCTGTAATCCCAGCTACTCGGGAGGCTGAGGCAGGAGAATCACTTGAACCCAGGAGGCAGAGGTTGCGATTAGCCGAGATTGCACCACCGCACTGCAGCCTGGGTGACAGAGCAAGACTCCGTCTCAAAAAAAAAAAAAAAAACAACAAAGTGCAGTATGCAAAAGAAAACAGCAAACTCAATAAATGACTTTCTAAAATGTGACGGGAGGCCTCAGAATGTATTAATAGAAATATAATGTCCAGAATAAAGGAGGGGGTGGTCCTGCTTTACTCTGTGCCAGTTAGGCCCCACCTGGAATACTGGAGGCAATTCTGGGTGACCACCTTTTACAGAGACTTTGACCAGCTAAAATATACAGAGAACATAGTAATTAAGATGGAAAGCCTCTTGAAATCATGTCATGTCCCTGCTTTCAAAGTGTGACCCTGCTGGCTACCTCTCAGAGCTCACTTCCTACCTCTTTCCCCTCACTGTTTCCTCTTCACTGATGGCCTCATTGGTATTCCCCAGACATCAAGCATTTATCATTTCAAGGCCTTTTTTTTTTCTCTCCCCAGATATTGACATGGCTCATCCCCTCAGTTCAGGAGATTTTTCTGAAAGTCAGGTCCTTGTCCAAATGTTATGTCCTTAATAGGACCTCTCTTACCTCCCAACCTAAAGAAACACTCTCATTCCCAGTTTCTTTACCCTGCCTTTCTTTCTATATATGTATCACTACCTACATTATATTATAAATGTACCTATTTAACTGTTTATTTTCTGTCTTCCTCAATAGAATATATGTTCCAGGAGGGCTGTGGCTTTGTTTTCCTTTTCCATCATTCAGCCATCCTAGGTACACAATAAGCAGTTTTTGTTTGTTTGTTTGTTTTTTGTTTTTGAAATAGGGTCTCACTTTGTCACCCAGGTTGGAGTGCAGTGGTGCGATCTCGCCTCACTGCAGCCTCGACCTCCTGGGCTCAAGCAATTCTCCCACCTCAGCCCCGCAAGTAGCTGGGACTACAGGCATGTGCCACCACACCCAGCCAATTTTTTTGTATTTTTTGTAGAGACAGGGTTTCACTATGTTGCCCAAGCTAGTCTAGAACTCCTGAGCTCAATCGATTTGCCTGCCTCGGCTTCCCAAAGTGCTAGGATTACAGATTACAGGCATGAGCCATGGCACCCAGCCCTCAACAAGGATTTTTTTTTTTTTTTTTTTTTTGAGACAGTGTCTTGTTCTGTCACCCAGGCTGGAGTGCAGTGGTGCGACCCTGGCTCACTGCAACCTCTGCCTCTTGGGTTCAAGTGATTCTCCTGCCTCAGCCTCCCGAGTAGCTGGGATTACAGGCGTGCACCAACACGTTCAGCTAATTTTTGTATTTTTCATAGAGGTGGGTTTCATCATGTTGGCTAGGCTGGTCTTGAACTCCTGACCTCAAGTGATCCACCTGCCTCGGCCTCCCTAAGTGCTGAGATTACAGGCATGAGCCACTGTGCCCAGCCACAATAAGCAATTTTTAATGGACTTAAGGAATAAAATGAGTCCGTACTGCAAACCTACAAAAGAAAAGCCTCTAAGAGCTGCATTCAAACACGTGGAGGAGCTACTTTGTGGAAGAGGTTTTTCCCACATGGCCAGGACAGAATGATGAGTGAGTGCTCAAGGAAAAAAGATTTGAGAATCTCAGGCTTTGTGGAAAAAAAACATTTCTAAGAGTTGGAAAGGGTGGGTCACTTGGGGTGTCCCTGCCACTGGTTGTATTTCCACGGATTTGAGAAAACCACTTGTCAGGGATACCGTTTGGTTTTTGAATGAGATGATACTTAAGACTGTTTCCTATTCCAAAATTTTATGAGGTTGTCACAGGTTAGGCCACCTCTTTCTTATTAAAAAGTATTTTTAAAATTTGGTCTGCTGAAGTAATTTTCCTATGTGAACACACCTTCAGTGTTTTAAATGTGACCATGGATTCGATTTATAGAAACCATGCCCATTTTCTGAAGCACGGTTTGGACTATGTGAGATTTGGAGGAGGAAGATTTTGGTTTCATGAGAAGTATGTATCACTGTGAGGGCATCTTAAGAATGATTAGGATGTACCTCATTTTTTTAAATCTACATAACCAATGTGCTCATCACCCTTATAAATAGTCATAAATGTTGCTTTCTGGGTATTTTTCTAGATAAGACATTGCATCTGTTCCAAGGAGAATGATTTTAGCACTCAATAGCTGAGAAAGGAAATGAATTATCCCATTGTAACTACTAGGGCAATTTAGGTAGTCAGTCACACCTTGGTATGGACAGACAGACAAAAGAATAAACAAGATTCTGCTATGCTTTTTCAATGAGGCCAAAGTTTTCTTTCTCCCTTTCCTTCCTTCCTTCCTTCCTTCCTTCCTTCCTTCCTTCCTTCCTTCCTCTCTCTTTCTTTGAGTCGGAGTCTCGCTGTCACCCAGGCTGGAGTCCAGTGGCGCAATCTCAGCTCACTGCAACCTCTGCTTCCCGGGTTCAAGCACTTCTCCTGCCTCAGCCTCCCGAGTAGCTGGGACTATAGGCATGCGCCACCATGCCTGGCTAATTTGTTGTGTTTTAGTAGAAATGGGGCTTCACTGTGTTGCCCAGCCTGGTCGAGAACTCCTGAACTCAGGCAATCCACCCACCTCGGCCTCCTAAAGTGCTGGGATTACAGGGGTGAGTCACCACGCCCAGCCCTTTTTTTTTTTTTTTTAAATAGCACTAAATGTTTAATACTAACACAGATCTCAGAGGAAACTGAACAGGGGTCTGGTGTTTTTAGAAAGCAAAACAGACAAACAAACTAATGAAAAAATGTTTGTAGAGGACTTTGTGTTTTTGACTTAGAGGAAAAGGGACAAAATATCAGTGCAGAAGGACTCCAGGCAGCTTCCAGCTCAGATCTCCAGCACTGACTCACTCCCACAGATCTCAAGCAGGCCAGGAGCTGTGATACCGCCTGGAAGTGTGTCGTGGGAATTTGTGATTATTTCTCTGGCTATGTGATGAGATTTTCGCTGCCTAAAATCCCCAGAGGTTAGAACCACATGGCTAGCGTTCTGTTAACCTAGTAAGTGAGAAAAGAAAGTCTTTCCTGGAATTCTGAATTGTAAAAATTTATTTCAAAAAGCAAGCAAAAAAGCCCAAACATAATGTTGGCACATTAAAAACAAGCAAACAACAACAACAGCAACAAAAACCCAACAAAAACTGAGCTACGTAAAGGTAGACACGGGGATATCAGCCAGATACTAGAACAGTTTCATGAGAAAGGAAGGAAAGTATGAGGATGTTTGACACCAGTTCCTAGGAACTTCCCGGGAAATGAATTTGTAGGGGAATAGGATCAGTGAAGGCACAGCAGATCCAAGATCACGATTTGGGATGCCTCTATTCGTCCCAAGAGAGAGGACAACTGATGTTCTTCCCAGGGCAGGAGCACCAGATAGTGGCTTTCCTATGTGACTCTGCATCATGGGGCTTTGGGTCTGATCCCATACCCCAATGCTATCCGCAGGGCCTGTATCCTGGTTCTTTTTGTGCCCTACAATCGGTGGAGTCAAGACACCTAACACTAGGTTCTGCTTGTTTATGTGTTTACAGGCTCACTACCCTTGCTGGGCTGCAAGCTCCTTAAGGACAGGAAGGAATTTTGTCCTCCACGGTATTCCCTGCATCTAGCAGAGTCCCAGTCCCAGAGTAAGCGCTCAGTAAAGAGTTTTCAAGTGTTACTATTAAATGAAGTGAAAAGGTCCAAAGAAATGCAAACCTGGCATTACCCCTGTTCTAACCAGAGGCAAAGTGTGCACTCTTGGTATGAGAGAGGATTTCCCGCTCTTGTGTCTTGGATTTTCAAGTACTGAGCCCCAGGAGTCACCTTGTCGCCTGATAACTCATTTCTTCGGTGATGTGGGTAGCCAAGGCAGGGTCTGAGTCCTTGGTCACTACTGAACCCCCACGACAGCGCCTGGCACCCGGGAGATGATCAGTAGGCATTCGTTGAATAAAATAATAAAAGCGACTGCTCCTGGCCTGACTTCTGCCTAGCAGGCTGCCGTCATTACCCAATAAATTGGCCTCTTTCAAAACAGGACACGTTAGGAAATGGAATTTCCCTAAAAGGAAAAGCCAGTAGGGTGGCAGGCCCCTTTCGCTACGCTTTCTGAGAAGGTGAGAAGGAGAAAGACGGGAAAGGGAGAAAACTTCCCAGGGTGATGGGTCCTGCACTGTCCTTTGATCTTGGGTTTGAGAGCTGAGCCCACTCTCCTGGCCATAAAACCCCAGAAACAAGAGCCAGTAGGTTTGGAGGCCGGCAAGGCATTTCCTCCCCACGTGACGAGGTGGCTCCTCTCCGCGCCTGCCGCAGCGCGCGCAGCTGCCGGCGTTTCAAAGGTGAGGACCGGCAGCCTCGTGGCTGGGCCGCGGTGCGCTCGGGGAGCGGGCAGGCAGGGGGCGGTGCCCGCTCCGGCTCTCGGCGCCCCTCCCCTGCCCGCCCCCTCCTCCTCGCGCCTCCATTTGGTGAACTCACAATAGGTTCCCAAGCCAGGAAAGAGACACCTGCCGGTGGCATGCGGCAATGCGGGGCCCGCGAGTCCTCCCGACACGCAGTCCAGGCCAAGGCCCGCCCTGGAGAACTGAGCAGAGCGGGCCGCGCCGGGACTGCACGCGCTTCTCCTTTGCAAGCCGGTTCTTCATTCAGCTTCCAAGGACACAACATGATCTCATCTTTCGACGCTCTTCCAAACATCTTACAACAGGCATAGGTCCACGTATGGGGGACCCCAAATGTCCCGCCAGGCTGGCCCCCGACGCTGACCGTTCCCGGAGCTGCTGGGCCCGCAGAACACAAGAGCGTTGCTCCGCAGTCAGCGGTCACTAAAATAGAGAGAGCAAAGCCTCATTCGATTTCTTTTATGTTCCCTTAGGCTGGCCAGCTTGTTCTCTGGCCACCCGTGATCCACCTCGTGATCCACCCGCCTCGGACTCCCAAAGTGCTGGGATTACAGGCGTGAGCCACCGCGCCTGGCCTTCTGTAATATATATATATATATTTTATATATATATTATATATATATATATATAATATATAATATATATGGCCTGGTGTGGCGGCTCACGCCTGTAATCCCAGCACTTTGGGAGGCTGAGGTGGGCAGATTGCTTGAGGTCAAGAGTTCGAGACCAGCCTGGGCAACATGGCAAAACCCTGTCTCTACTAAAATTACAAAAATTAGCTGGATATGGTGGCTTCTGCCTATAGTCCCAGCTACTCAGGAGGCTGAGGTAGGAGAATCACTTGAACCCGGGAGGTGGAGGTTGCAGTGAGCCAAGAGTGCACCACTGCACTCCATCCTGGGTGACAGAGTGAGACCCTATCTAAAAAAAAAAAAATAAAAACAACAAAAAAAGAAAATGCCAGAGTGTATCTCACATAGCAAAGGTAGTTTCCAGAAACTTCTGTTTAAGATATATATTGCGGGGGGCGGGTGCACAATATCATCTCTGTGACGTTCTTAATAAAAAAAATGCATAACCTCAGTCCAATCATGAAAAAACATCATACAAACCAAAATTGGGGGACACTCGACAAAACACCTCTTCAAAACTGTCAAGGTCATGAAAGTCAAGGAAAGACTGAGGAAAAAGTCACAGACTACAGGAGACTAAAGAGACAGGCAGCTGAATGCAATGCAGGGTCCTGAATAGGACCCTGGAACTGAAAAGGGGTATCAGTGGAAAGCTGGTGTCTTCAGTTTGGTTGATAGTATCATGCCGATGTTGATTTCCTGAATATGACAATTGTACTATGGTTACACAAGTTGTTAATAGTAGGGGAAGCTGGATGAGGGATATATAAAAATTTCTTGGACTATTGTTGCAACTTTTCTGCAAGTCTAAAATTAGTTCAAAATAAAAATGTGTTTTTGTATGCGTGAACGACAGGGGGCTCGTGATGTAGAATATGTTTCTTATAATGGGCTGTGGTGGAAAATGTTCACAAGCCACCTCCCTTGGGTGTGGAAGGTGTCCGGAGGCACCAGCCTGGGCCAGGCGGTGAGGGTAGCTTCTGGAGCTGAGGTTCCTGGAGGGTTTGTGGGTGTAATGGGGGTGAGTAAGAAGCTGCTGGTGACAGATCATGGTCAGATTTGGTGGTAGCTGGAATGATCACGGTGTCTCTAGGCATTTCAATCCAAGCCACCTATCTGCTGTTTGACAGAGGCTGTAGATTCCAGAAGGGCGAGGAACTCTGACCCCGTGAAGTCTGAGAGGTGGGCATCAGGGATCCTGAAGCTGTCACAGTGCTATTCTGTTACAACCTCAAGCAGCCACTTGTGGGAAGTTATATGTCAGGAAGAGAGACTTTTGGAGGATTGGTGGTGTTTGATAGTCTGGAATTGTGTTATCGCTTTTTTCTTTTCTTTTCTTTTCTTTTTTTTTTTTTTGTGAAGGAGGAGCTAATTTCAGCCCTAAACCATAGTTTCTCTGACTGCCCAAGGCTGTAGGCAGATAAATGTCCCTCTTTCACCAGGAATCTTTCAAGCAACTTGGAGAAATAAAAGGTTTGGTGAGGCAGCTGCTTCTAATACCTATACCCCAGCTTTGAAAACATATGGAATTAGAACAGCAGTTCTTGACTGGCGGTGACTTTGCCCCCCGCCCCGCCCAGGAGACATTTGGCAATGTCAGGAGACATTTTCAGTTGTCACACTGGGAGAGAGTGTATGTGTGTGTGTTACTGGCATCTAGTGGGTAGGGGCCAGGGATGCTGTAAACATCCTACCATGCACAGGACAGCCCCCTCCACCAGCACAGTGGAAAATCATTCAGCCCAAGATGCCAACAGTCCTGAGAATGAGAAACCCTGAGTTAGAGGAGATGAAAAGCCGATGTCTGTATACAGTCCAGAAAGTTGCCTGGGTGCTTTTCACAAAAGAAAGGGTTTTAAGCTCCATTTCTTGGCTTGATTTCAAGTGGATAATTATAACCTGCCTACCTAAAATTTACACTTTAATTTTCAGTGGGTATCTTTCTTCAGTTCATGCTTAAACAAGCTAAATGTGGCTGTGTTCTTGACAACAGGGCAATATTCCATGGCTGAGTCGGTTACAGGTCAACAGTGGGTGAAACAATTGGTCTGCAAAGTGATTTGAAGCCTTCGGGGGCTAAAAAGCACTAAAATAAGAAACCTGGGACATTATCATCATTATTAATTATTAGTGATATTACAGCACTTATTCAGCCACTCTCAGGATTCCCACAGGATTCCCATTAGTGCTAAGGTCAAAATCAGATTCCTGACCTTCAGTCCAACACTACTTAGAATTAATATGTTAGCTGTTAGAAGCCGGGAGCTGTCACGCTGCATGTCCCTGCTGCTCCAGTGTTTGGGAGAGGCTTTGCACTGGAAACATTGAGCTTCAAAGCAAACCTTCAACCTTCTATTTGTACTCACTGTTCCCATATATAGAACAGAGCAGCACACACTTGTCTATTGCTTCAAGGCAAGAGCAAATTCTGAAGGTATTAAATAGAGTCTTACTTCAACCAAACAAGAGAGCCCAGAGAAAGCTAAGGACAAGGTTCTGTCCCTTCCCTTACATTTTAAAGATTTTATTTATTTATTTATTTATTTATTTATTTATTTATTTATTTTTTGAGATGGAGTCTTGCTCTGTTGCCCAGGCTAGAGTACAGTGGTGTGATCTCGGCTCACTGCAACCTCCACCTCCCAGGTTCAAGCGATTCTCCTGCCTCAGCCTCCTGAGTAGCTAGGATTACAGGTATGCACCACTATGCCCGGTTAATTTTCCTATTTTTAGTAGAAATGGGGTTTCACCATGTTGGTCAGGCTGGTCTCGAACTCCTAACTTTGTGATCCGCCCATCTCAGCCTCTCAAAGTGCTGGGATTACAGGCATGAGCCACCGCGCCTGGCCTAGATTATAATAATTTAGAGTGGCAGAATTTAAGATCAGGATCCAAGCTGCAAACTCTTAAACTGAAGGGTTATTGTTTTAGAAGCCACACAGATCAGTTTATGAAACCTGATTTGGCTTTTTTTTTTTTTTTTTTAAAACAGCATTTAAATGTTAAACAAGCCTGGACAGCTACAGACAGGCAACAGGCATAAAAGAAGCAGGCTTAAAAAAATTTTTTTATTTTTGGTGTGTTTGTTCATTTTCCCTGGGATTTCTGTCTTTAGAAAGATAATATCAATTTCATCTTTAGTAACCTGGAGTTTTGGCAAAGTGTGCTTTCTGGAATTTTGAATGGTAATATCTGTCGTTTCTCTGCTTGACACAGCTTTATTTAAATAGCTTTAAAATTGAGACTCCTCTGGCATGACTCTTCCTTTAAAATCCATATAATTTCATAGTACAAGTGCTACCTTTCATATATGGACAAGGTGCCACTGACTTTCTTGATTTTTTACTAGTTGATTCGTCTGTACCCTCTCACGAGGACCCTTAAAAACATGCCTTTCGAAGGTGTTAGCCAAAGTGAGGGGCAGAAAGTTTAGCCAAGGGACAGAGTTTGTCTTTGCAAAGCAAACTGGTGTGTTCCAGACAGAGTCTGAAACCCTGGCTCTCCAGGGGAATCATCGCAACAGAGTTAATATTTATTGGCTATTGAGTGTGTGCCAATGAGTCCCAAATTTTCTGTGGAATGACTCATTTCAGCCTTGCCACAACTCCTCTATTTTACAGCCAGTGAAACTGAGGCTCCAAGAGTTTAGGTATTTTATTGATCTAAGGTCAGGAAGCAGAAAAGACTGCGGGAATCTGAAACAAGCCATCTGTCTCTAGAGCCCTTGCTCTTGACCTTTTCCCAACAAACATGATCTAAAATAAAACATTAATCATATTAGCATGTGATTATTACATAGTTTGATTTTTAAATGGTTCAAACTATTTTCACAACTGTTACCTCTTTTGCTCCAGAGGCATGATGGTAACTAAAATCTTGGAATGTGTCTTTTCGTAAAGATTAGATTTGGAAAAGACACACAAGAAACTCCCTTTTCCAGTGCAACGTTAACGGAAGCCCTACTTGAGCAAATCTGGTGCCCCAGGAGATCACCTCAGTTTATTTTCCTTCTCCCAAAGATAAATGTAGGTGGTGGGGTGTTTTAGGGTTTCTTTCAGTACCGCTTTTATTTTTCTACATTTTTCCTGAACATGATGCAATTGATACCCTTTTGAAGTTTAATTATACCTCCGGCGTCACATTGCATGAAGCATTTTCCTCATGGCTGTGTTTTTGGAAGCTAAGTGCATGGCAGTAACAGCATGTTTATCTTGGAGTTGAGACTTGAGAAGCAAGTTCCTCCCTTGAACACGACCTGAGATATATCACCTCCCCATCTGGGATTCCAACCTTAGGTACATAAGGGAGCCAACGCGTCATTTTAAGAGACAATGGGAGTGAGAAGCCATTTTCCATTAATTTAGATGAAAGCTGATGAGGTGAGGGGCAGCCATCTATCATTTCTAGGGGGTTTTAGTACTAGTATCCTCCCCCAACTGCCTCCCGATTCACTATTCTATAAGTGTGGGGGTCAAGAATGGTTGGCAAATCACCACTTTCAACAATGTCTATTTAGGCTTAAACATGGCCCTCCTGCATCAAGTTGATAATGAACAAGTTGCTAAACAGACACATCTGTGCTTAGGAGACCTGTGGCAACTTGCCGGCATGGCCTAGGGGGCCTTTTGTAATTGGTCCTCGCCTTCCTTTCTGGCCCAAGCACTGGCCACTCCCTATTCTGCAGCTATACCAGGCAGCCTGCACCTCTTTACTCCAGATGGGGTCAAAGGCAAGTCATGGCTACATTTTGGACTTCCAAGGATTGGTTTCCTACTTCTAGCCTGCAAGTTTGAGATTTAGTGGTTCTAGGATGGATGAGGTGGTCCTGGGATGATAACCAACTCATGCAGCCAAACCTTCAAGACACAGAGGAAATTCAATGTCATCATTTAAGGCAGGAGACCCCTCCAAATCTTTCATCCATATGGATCCATTATTCTGGGATGCCTTCTTTCACTTCATCTCTTGAATTATAATATTAATATATTCTTCCTTCAATATTCAGTCATCTCCCAGGAGCAGTGTTCCCCACCCACCTTCTGGATGGGATGTCTGTGCCACGGCCCTTCACACCCTGGGCTTCCCTCAAATGCAGTACGGACCACACGGAGGCCTCCCAGCATGGTTTTATCTACCCCTCCCACTAAACTATATTCAATCATTCTGGCTGATAGTAGGGGATCAATATATTTGTTCAATGAATGAATAATTCTTTCTGGTAGAGGAGCCTATTTGGGAAACAACTCAAGTCAGATTACTTGGTGAATATTGAAGGCCTGGAACAAGCTGAGCTGAAAATGCTCCAAATCTACTTCTGAAGCCAGCTACCCTGTCCCATGGCCATTATCGCTCTCCTGGTTTGTCCTACATTCTTCAAACTCTCCATATTTCAGTGCTGTGAGCATCTCTGTCGGCTCTGGTGGTGTCAAAAGGGCCCCCAAGTAGCTCCCAACTCATTAGTTAAACTTGGCCATGACTGTAGTGGAGAAAGGTGCTAGTCTCTTACGTTGAAGAAGTGGGATCATGAGTAGGGCTAGGCCCACTGTGTGGGGTCTTTCATTTGTAGATTTTCTCATGGCTACCTCTGTGCCCCAACAACATTGTATGCCTGACTGTTTTTTTTTTTTTTTTTTGTGGAGACAAGGGTCTTACCATGTTGCGCAGGCAGTTCTCAAACTCGGGCAGTCAAATGATTCTTCTGTCTCAGCCTCTCGAGTAGCAGGGACTGCAGGCACAGGCCACTGTGCCCAGCTTGCCTGCCTTTTAAAGGGGTGGAGGAATGCTTTTATGCTAGTGGCTGCATAGGACACAGCCATGCTGGGGAGAATTTCCCACTCGGAGACAGCTCTGCATGCAAGCAAAGGAGATGGCCTCCTTCATATGAGATGAGAACGGAAACTGCTTAAAACGAGTCTCTCACCACTCCGTGCAATGAAATTCTACCATCAAATCCAAGTATCTGCCTCGAGGGGCTTGCAGGCCTACAATCTATTAACCTCTCCTAACACATTAGCATTAATTAGTTTGTTCAAGGACAGGTCCATTTGCAGTGTGGAGAAAGGCGCCTGAAAGGTCTGTAATTGCGGAGATGAATAGAAACGTGGGCAGCGTGCGGACCTAAGCTCAGGCCACGATCCTTCTCTTGCCTGGGTTTCGGCCCGTCTCTTTGAGACCTCAGCCAAGCTCTCTAGCTGTGGAGTTTTATCCTCCAGTTTTGGATGGAGAGCACTCATTTTCTTTCTGGGCCCAAATGAAGTGTAAATACTTTAAACTGCCCCCCAAAGCCCGGTAGGTCAGGTGCTGTCAGTAACTAATCATGAAGCTGATCTCCCCCAGTCCCAGCACTCAGCATGAGGGCAGCCCTTCCCATTTCCTCCCCTGTCCCCTGCAGGAATTAATCCCTCAGGCCATCACATTCCCAGTGCATTTTCTTTTTATACTTCTGTGTGTCACTTGGGGCTGTCTGCCTTGAATTAGAGTTATTTGTGTACCTGTGCCTGGTAGCCTCCCCACGACTTGACGATTTGAGCGTCTGAGTGACAGGGCCATCTTTTTCATTTTTCTATTCCTCGGAGCACCCTGCTCAATATTTTACATTTAGGTACTCAATGTGTGGTTTGAATTGAATTGAATGCAACAACTGGGATTTAGATTTGCTGGATGAACCACTACCCTGTGTACCCTCAAAAATACACGAACTTGGGTAAGTTTCACAACTAGGCTGGAGTGGTTGTCAACAGTGAGCCCATGAAAAGGGCTACACACAGCCTGAAATTTTCTAGATAGTCTTGGATCAAAGTAGCCTATCTTGTTCTCTGAGTATATGTACACTTTTTTTTTTTTTGAGACCGAGTCTCGCTCTGTGGCACGATCTTGGCTCACTGCAACCTCCGCCTCCTGGATTCAAGTGATTCTCCTGCCTCAGCCTCCTGAGTAGCTAGGACTACAGGCGCCCGCCACCATGCCTGGCTAATGTTTGTATTTTTAGTAGAGACAGGGTTTCACCATGTTAACCAGGATGGTCTCCATCTCTTGACCTTGTGATCCACCCACCTCAGCCTCCCAAAGTGTTGGGATTACAGGCATGAGCCACTGCACCCAACAAATTTTACACCAGAGGTTTCTAATTTGGGACTTGGAAAGTTAATGGCTATATCTGTGGCACATCAGTATAACAATAATGACAATAATAATGGTAGCCAATAAACATTTGTCAAGTGCCAAGCGCAGAGTTAAGTAAGCGCTCTTTCCTGTAGCCTGACAATTACATGAGGCACTAGGTAGAGAAGTTAGGTGGTATCTTTATTTGTGGCTTTACCATTCATATGTTTTTCCTAATGACTTTTTGGACTCTGACCTGAGGCTCTTCATTGCAGGCTCAGCCCAGGTCTGACTTGGTTGAAGCAGGAGACAAGTTTGCTGGAAAGCTGAAGGAGAACTCTCCCACATCTGATCTGCTTTTGGGTTTATGGGTTGATCAGAGTTTTACTCACAGCAACTGTCAGCTGTTAATAAAGACAACAATTTGATCCCATCCTAACCACCAGCTTAACTTCTTCCAAGGAGGCCTGTGGTTTTTCCAAATGAGGGTTTTCTTTCTTTTCTAGCAACTCAAAATACCCTGTTTATTTATTTTGTTTTATTTATTTGTATTTTATTTTTACCTTGCATTCAAGCTAACAAGTTATGGATCCTATTTACTTAGAGTTATTTAGTACATGCTTTATATAAGTGTGAAATATTCTTGACCGGGCGTGGTGGCTCACGCCTGTAATCCCAGCACTTTGGGAGGCTGAGGTGGGCAGATCACCTGAGATCAGGAGTTTGAGACCAGCCTGGTCAACATGGTGACACCCCATCTCTACTAAAAATACAAAAAAATTAGCTGGGCGTAGTGGTGTGCACCTGTCATCCCAGCTACTCAGGAGGCTGAGGCAGGAGAATCACTTGAACTCTGGAGGCGGAGGTTGCAGTGAGCCAAGATCACACCACTGTAAGCCACCCTGGGCAACAAGAGTGAAAACTCCGTCTCAAAAGAAAAAAAACGTTTGGAATATTCTTTATGGTTTCTTGTAACATGCCCTATTCTATTGTATGTTGTCATAAAATCAAGGCAGAGAACATCTGAAACTTGCTGTCTCATTTTCTCCTATCATGCTTCCTGGGACCTTTTTCCTTCATATCCCATCAAGCCCAGCTCCTGTGCTAATACTCCATCTAGAATTTCCCATAACCTACTGCAAAATCTGTTTCTTAATAGGTGAGGCCAGGCGTGGTGGCTCATGCCTGTAATCCCAACACTTTGGGAGACCAATGTGGGAGGATCACTTGAGCCCAGGAGTTCAAGACCAGCCTGGGCAACATAGAGAGAATCTGTCTCTTTTCCATCGAGGCCATCAGTTACTGTCTTCTAAAGAGAAGGCAAGCCCATTCTCCAGCCCAGGACAGAAAATTGCAGTGATGGATTCACTCATTCCACAAATATTGATTGAATGTTTTCTCTGCAGGGCACGATTGCAGGTGTCAGGGATGCAAGAGTGATTAAGAGAGAGGGGGCCCTGCCCTCATGGAGCCTCACTCCAGAGGGGTAAGTCACCTCCAAGAGGCCAAGCCCTGGGGCCTGATGGGGCTGGGAGAGTGGGGGTAGTAGGGTATTACTCTGATGGGGCTGGGAGAGTGGGGACAGTGGGGCATTACCCGCATGGCTACAATGACCAAGGGCCCTTCTCTCCTGGCCACTAAGGACTAATTAATTTAGCAGCACATGCTTCAGAAACAAGAGTTGAACCTTTGTTGGGAGATACGGGTGGGATCTTGTTTCTTAGGGACCTTGTAAGTCGGCACCGAGGAGTTCTCCCCCTCCAGCCCTGTTTCTGATCCTGCACCAAGAGAAGGCTTTGTGTAGAGGCCACTTCGCTGCTGTCAGCATGACTAAAAACACAGCACAGCTACTCTGGAGTGATCACTCTGTGAACTTTGATCAAAACATTGCACTATTCCAGCATGAGCGCCAGCACCTTCCCCTTCCCTGTTTCCCCATAGCCAGTCTCAGAGGACACTCCGGAGACTCTGGCAGGTAATGCCCAAAAGGCCAGCCTGTCCAAAGTGCCAGAGGGCCGAGGGACAGTTGTGGGGAACCTTCCAAAGAACAGCATGCCAATACTGCTTATGTGCCTCATGAGAGAGGTGTAGGGCCTCTCCTGCTTTGACAGGGCCTAACGTGGGTCTGTGACTGAACAGAGAGCAAAAGCGTGCCCTGAAATTGGCAGAGCCTCTGCTATCCTGAGTCAGCGCTGGCCAGGAGGTCAGGAAGGGGGAGACTGAGAGAAAGGATACAGCTAGCATATTCTTAGTGAAATCTTGGCTGGATTTTGACAGACATTCAATGGCTTCTCTTCCCTCTAGACGTGTAGCCCACACCAAAGGAAAAGGAAGATGGTGAGCTGAAACAGAAGTCAGAAATGCAGGCAAGATATGTCTGCTGGCTAAGGATGGTATTTTATAAAAGCAGCATTGTCTCAGAGAAGGTCCTTGACATACATGTCTGGTGAGCAATGCAGATATCAGAACTTAGGCCCCCAAAAGTGGCCCTATGGCCATCCCTAACCTTGACCTATGCATTGGAAAGAGGGGCACAGTTCATGATGGAGGAAGGGACAGCACAGTCTCTGACCCCAAAACTTAGGATGAGGGTATACTGTATTTTTTTTTTTTTTTGAGACGGAGTCTCACTTTGTCACCCAGGCTGGAGTGCAGTGGTGCAATCTCAGCTCACTGCAACCTCCGCCTCCCGGGTTCAAGTGATTCTCCTGCCTCAGCCTCCCAAGTAGCTGGGACTACGGTGTGCACCACCACACCCGGCTATTTTTTTTTTTATTTTTTTATTTTTAGTAGAGATGGTGTTTCACTATGTTGGCCAGGCTGGTCTCGAACTCCTGACCTCAGGTGATCAGTCTGCCTCGGCTTCCCAAAGTGCTGGGATTATAGGCGTGAGCCACCACGCCCGGCCATATACCATATTTTGAACTAAATTTCTCCCAGCCTATCTCAACAACACTTGCCATAGTTCCTTGTTTTCCTGAGAGAGATAGTAACGGCCATCTTCCCTCTGTAGAAGGAGAGCCTAAGGCAGAAACAAGGTACCATGTCCAGCATTAGTGAGTCTTTAGAAAATCAAAGAATAAAATTTATGTCTTTTTCAAGCTCACCTCTTACAAAGACCTGAACCACCAACAGGGTCAGAATGGCACAGCCTCAGCCAGACGTGGTGGCTCATGCCTATAATCCCAGCACTTTGGGAGTCTCAGGTGGGATTGCTTGAGCCCAGGAGTTTCAGACCAGCCTAGGCAAGATGGTGAGATCCATCTCTACAAATTATTTTTTATTTTTTTGCCAAGTATGATGGCATACACCTGTAGCCCCAGCTACTCGGGGAGAGGCTGAGGTGGGTGGATTCCTTGAGCCCAGGAGTTCGAGGTGACAGTGAGCTTTGATTTCACCGCTGCACTCCAGCCTGAGCTACAAAGGGAGACCCATCTCTAGAAAAAACAAATGGCACAGCCTCTATGGAAAGCGGTACGGTGGGTCCTCGAAAAAATTAAACAGAATTACCATATATCCACCAATCCTACTTTTGGATATTTATCCAAAGTAACTGAAAGCATGACTTCTATTGAAAGGAATTGAAAGGAAATAATTGAAAGGAACTCATGCAGATAATTGTATACCCAGGTTCACAGCAGCATCCTTCACAATGGCCAAAAGATAGAAGCAACCCGAGTGTCCATGGATGGATGAATAGATAAAATGTGGTATACATACAATGGAATATTATCCAGCCTTAAAAAAGGAAGGATATTCTGACATATGCTTCAACATGGATGAATCTTTAAGACATTATGTTAAGTGAAATAAGTCAGTCACATAAGGACAAATACTATGTGACTCTAGTTATATGAGTGTCTAGAGACAACAGCAGAATGGTGGTTACCAGCGGGTAGGGGAATGGAAAATGGAGAGTTAATGTTTAATTGGTCCTAGGCTTAGTACCTGCATGACGAAATAATCTGTACAACAAACCCCTGTGACATGAGTTTGCCGGTGTAACAAACCTGCACATGTACCCCTGAACCTAAAATAAAAGTTAAAAAAAAAAAAAAAAGAAAGAAAGAAAAGTGCCCTTTGCGGTTCCACACAGAGGCGCCAGCCTTGGGCTGAGAGAACTCACTGGTTTGATGGTTATTGGATCGCTCATTAGAGATAACCAAAGCTATTGTTCCTCCCTGATCTTGCCTCTGTAGTTGAGTCATCACCCTTAGAGGCAGAAGAAAGCAAATTATAGCAGGGCTTCTTCAGCATTGGGGTGGGGAAAGTATTAAAACATGCATGGTAAAGATGTCACCTTCTTGGTCGTGGAAAAGCCCTCCTGGGGTAAATCTGCATATATTTGCATATATATATGCACGCATACATCCTAACCTGAAGGGAACATCCAGCTCTTCTCACCTACAAAAAGATGAATCCTTCTGATGTCTCTTTTACAGGGTATGTGGACAATAAAAATTTAACTATTAATGTTGTAGAAATCTAAGGGAAAAAAATCGCAAAATGAACGTGCCATTTAAATTTTAAATTTAAAAACGTCATTTTTAGTGTAAATTCTTTATAGGTAGATAAGAGCATATCTTGAAGACTTTTTAGGAAGGGAGAAGGGGAAATAGTAAAAGGTAACGTCAATCCTAAATCTTTATTTGAAAAGGAGACTGGATCTGTTTTTTTCTCTAACATCAATCCTAAATCTTTATTTGAAAAGGAGACTGGATCTGTTTTTTTCTCTAACATCAATCCTAAATCTTTATTTGAAAAGGAGACTGGATCTGTTTTTTTCTCTAACATCAATCCTAAATCTTTATTTGAAAAGGAGACTGGATGTTTTTTTCTCTAACGTCAATCCTAAATCTTTATTTGAAAAGGAGACTGGATTTGTTTTTTTTTCTCTAATTGTGTGCTGGGCAGTAGTTCTACCTTACTGTACCAAGGGGACTAACAGGGTTTGGAGAAACTAGGCTTCATCTTTTTCCAGGATCATCAGACACTTTCCAGGGGGAAAATGGACTTTCACTTTGGAAAATATAAAATCGTGTTTGTTTTACCTTACGAAACAACTGGAGCCTCTGGAAGACGAGGCTGTACGGTGCGTTGTGTAACCCGCCTGGGGAATCACGTTGCACAGACAAGTCCCACAGGCTTTTACTGCAATAATAAGCTTGATCTTCTTATTCAAATACAAGTAACAACCACAGCCGGCTCCAAGTCACGTGTCCAGGTCACATGGCACACAGACGCAGAAGCCGACTGGCAATCATTAGCCAATGCTTACTACCAGGAAGAAAATCCTGGCATTAAAGACACGAACTCAGTTTTTATAAAACAACCAGGACTGCAAGAGAAGGCATTTGATGTGGGGGTAGGGTGTCATTCTTGTTAAGTGCTTTCCAAGGAAAGGAAAAGAGCCAACACACACTCCCTCCTTTCGCTCTTCTCCCAGAACTTTCCAAACTTGCCCAGCGTAGCCGCCTTTTCCAAACCTGGAGGAGTGCTGGGCTGCAGCATCCGCAGCTCAGGTCTGGGAGCGAGAGGGAGGGGCGGGCTGACTTGGCTCTGGGTCCTAGCCCTTGGGAAATGGAGGGCTGAATTCAGAGCTGAATTTAGTAGAAAGCCAAGTTTTCTCTTCCTTATGAAATTAATGCTTCTGGGTCGATGGAGTTTGGGGAGGGGCGAGGGGTGAGAAGAAGCACTGTGAGCTATGGGGTCCGTCTGGACTTTTTGTTAACATGAAAAACAACATCCAGAATGTGGCTTCTTTAAGTTTTTCTGTGGTAAGAACAGAAACTGCAAGGACTCTGCCTACCTGAATGTTTCCTTGTTCAGCCGTTTGAATTTAGAAAGAAGTTCTTTCACTTTCTCTAACTTGTATAGTGTTACTTTGTGCTTCCAAAAACTGCAGTGATCGAACTGAGTTTGTTTAATTTAGTGTGGAAGTGACAATAGTGGGTGTGAATGAAGAGTTTAGAATCTGCTGGAGGGAAGGGGTAAAGTACAGATAAAAGGCTTTAACGGAAAATTGACAGCCTTTTTTTTTTTTTTTTAACAATCTAGGCGTGTTTTATTTCACAATGCACAGAAAGTGCTTTACCCAAACACTGCAGAACAGACGCAGCCTTAAAAGAAAATCTATTGGTATAGTCAGGATTCTCAATCCTATTTCATTTCGCTCTTTTCAGAAAGAACAACCATACAAAGAATTTCACTGTGTCACTGAAATATAATTATTTCACAAAATTTAGTTAGGAAGTTTGGTTTTCTCCCTCTTCATCTTTTTCTCCATCCTACCCTCTTCAAAAAGCTAAAATACGCCTGTAATCTCAGCACTTTAGGAGGCTGAGATCAGGAGTTCGAGACCAGCCTGGCCAACATGGTGAAGCCCCATCTCTACTAAAAATACAAAAAAAATTATCTGGGCATGGTGGTGTGTGCCTGTAATCCTAGCTACTCGGGAGGCTGAGGCAAGATAATTGCTCAAACCCGGGTGGCAGAGGTTGCAGTGAGCTGAGATTGCGCCACTGCACTCTAGCCTGGGTGACAGAGTGGGACCCCGTCTCAAAAAAAAAAAAAAAAAGCTAAAATAAGAGCATGTGAGCCAAAGGGGTGAATCTAGGTTTCGTAGGTCCTGAAGCTTATGTAATTTGGAAGGAAGAGAATATAAATTCAAACATACAAAATTAGGTATTAAAGTATCACTAAATTTAGAAAAACATATAATTAACTGACTAACATATCTCTAAAATCCTTTCTATCCCACATTTTGGGGCAGATATTCATTGATGGCCTCTTATGTTCCTGAAAGGTGAGAACTTTCATCTTGACCAGTGATCCGTTTAAGTGTACCTACAATTGTACAAGTTTGATGATTGGAAAGCTTTGCCCCAGACTCTTGTAGGACCCTATTTCACATCTTGTTTCCCCCCCTTGCTCTGGGGACATGCACATATCATGATATGATGCTTGAGTCTGAGCCTTTACGACTCCATGCCAGCTAAGTCGGAACGTAGGAATATCCCCAGAAACCTTTTCTAAGCAGTAGCTTGGCTATACGAAAGTGACTGCATCAACCAGGAGCAGTGGCTCGTACCTGTAATCCCAGCACTTTGAGAGACTGAGTTGGGCAGATTGATTGAACCCAGGAGTTTGAGACCAGCCTGGGCAACATGGCCAAACCCAGTCTCTACAAAAAAAATCCAAAAATTAATTGGGTGTGGTGGTATGTGCCTATAGTCCCAGCTACTTGGGAGACTGAGACAGGAGGATTGCTTGCCCCCAGGAGGTCTAGGCTGCAGTGAGCCCTGATCACACCACTGCACTTCAGTCCGGTGATAGAGCGATACCCTGTCTCAAAAGAAAGAAAGAAATTGACTGTATCAGTATATCATAATCAACCCAAAACTAAAGGTAGCTCTAACTTGGGTTCTTTTGCTAGGTCCCCAAAATGCCCATGGCCATTCCAAAGCCACCCAAAAGGAGAGGAAATGTGGCCAAATGGAAGTCAAGGTGGAAAGAGGCAGTGATCTGAAGCAACTAAACATCTTACCATTGCAGAGTTTATAACAGTGAGTGACCATATGCATAGGCTGCTGGGGCCCTGGCTTGAGCCTCCCTGCGGGACGGGTGAAGTGAGAAGCCTGAAGTTTCATTTTCATTAACTTCATGGTAAATCTTCTTCTAGGGACCCCAGGTTCATAATAAGTATTTCAAAAAGTGATTTTCTGGGCTCTAGAAAAGTTGAATATGCTTGTTTAAGGTGAGCTTGCTCTCTGGACATATCGTATGGAATAGGTTGTCAGTGTAAATTCTACTTAATAAAAAGCCTCTATTGGGATCGCAGGACTCAGCCCCAGGAACAGTTCCTCTGTCAGCCAGGCACCCGGGAAAACCATGTGCAAGGAAAGGGAGGAGGGGAGCAGGAGGGACGACTTGGCTCTTGTTCCAGACTAATTTTGTGCACAGCCCCCTATCCAAGCGCTGGATTACACGTATCACACCCTTTGCTTCTCAGGACAGCCCTGCATAGTGACTCTTATTATTTCTCCTGCTCTACAGATGGGAAATGAAGTCTCAGAGAAATTGTTTTCTGCCTACACATGGTGGAAGTATTTCAAAGCTGGAGTTCAAAACCAGGTGTGTCTGCCTCCCCCCAACTCCACTGGTGCCTTCATGGCACAACTCTGACCTTGAACCTTGGGTGAATCAAATGCAGCCCATGCCTTGTGTTCCTTTCCATACTGGAGCTGACTTTATTTGCAGCAGTATGTGGTTATAGCTCCCAGCTCTTTAGCTCTGTTCTTGCAGACCATGATCTCATTGCCTGCTAAAATAATAAGCGAGTGAAGCCAACAGGATTCCCTGACCAGTTTTAAAGTTCCACTCCTCCCCATTGGATGGTAATGATCTTTCCTGACTTTCTCTGCCGATGCCCCCTTGCCCTTACTAATGCCATACTTCACTCTGGGCATGCCCTTCACTCTGGGCATGCCACCCCATTGACTGCCTCTAGACTAGGTCCTATGCCTTTGCCTCACGCGCAGCAGAAAGACTCACCTTGCTGAATCACTCCCTTAGTTTGTCAGGACAGTATTTTGATTTTGGAAAGGCTTATCAGCATGCTGTTTGTCTGGGGGAAAGGAGGCTGTCAGTTCAGGCAATCTGTAGATGTGTTAATTAGCTGGCTGGAAGAAGCCCAAGTGCAAGCATCAGCATCTCCCCTTGCAGAAGAGCTAACCCATCTGATACCATTTCTTGACTGGTGTCCGCCATGCTAGCCATGCTTCATTCCGGGCCGGGCTGTGGACGAGGGCTAACGAGCATTACTGATTTTTTTAGCTCAGAGTTTTTCAACCTCAACACTATTGACATTTTGGGCCAGACTGATGGGTGGGTGGGAGAGCTACCTGTGCATTATAGGATGTTTTGCAACATCCCTGGCTGCTACCAGGTAGCTCCCCTCCCCACTCCCACCTAAGTTGTGATGATCAAAAATAGCCGAATGTCCCCTGCGGGCCAAAATCACTCCTGATTGAGAGCCACTGCTTGAGATCTATCAACAGACTTTGCCATCATCAGCATCCAGTTCTTTAGATTCTTAAAGCAGAGTTGGGAGGTAGCGTGGTTTTTGATATGCTGATAGGAAGGTGACGCAGAGTGGGAGAGTTGTAAACTGGACACAGAGCTAATTCTCTTGGACGACAGTATTGTGAGGAAAAAAGGTAACAATACCTTTGAGTGTAGATGCATACTCATTTCCCCACGGTCAGAGTGAATCTGAGACAGGTGGTGCCTGAAAACTTCAACGTAGTGGTTGAGAGTTCTGTAGTCAGAGACTGGGTTGGAATCCCTACTCCCTAATTAGCCGTGTGACTTTGCACAAGTTACTTTAACTATGCCTCAGTTTCCCTATTTGTAATATGTAATACTAATATCTATATAGTAGAGGTGTTTTAAGAATTACAGCCAGGTGCAGTGGCTCACACCTGTAATCCCAGAACTTTGGGAGGCTGAGGTGGGAGGATTGCCTGAGGTCAGGAGTTTGAGACCAGCCTGGCCAACATGGCGAAAACCTATCTCTACTAAAAACACAAAAAAATTAGCCAGCCATGGTGGCACATGCACACACTCTCAGCTACTTGGGAGGCTGAGGCAGGGGAATTGCTTGATCCCGGAAGGCAGAGGTTGCAGTGAGCTGAGATTGCACCGCTATACTCAAGCCTAGGCAATAGAGCAAGACTCCATCTCAAAAAAAAAAAAAAAAAGAAAGAAAGAAAGAAAGAAAGAAAGAAAAGAATTAAATGACAATGCATGCATTGGTTACACAATGTAAAATAGGTTACACTGGTTAAGCACTTGATACATAGTAAGTGCTTAACCAGTGTATCCTACTTTGCAGATTTCTGAACTAATCTTTGATTTATTATTTTTCTTATTTTTATTTTACTTTGAGGAACAGTCTTCCTCTGTCACCCAGGCTGGAGTGCAGTGGCGTGATCATGGCTCATTGCAACCTCTGCTTCCCGGGTTCAAGTGATCTTCCCTCCTCAGACTCCTGAGTAGCTGGGACTACAGGTGCACATCACCATGCCCGGTTGAATTTTTGCATTTTTAGGAGAGCTGGGGTTTCACCATGTTGCCCAGTCTGGTCTTGAACTCCTGGGTTCAAACGATCCATCTGCCTTAGCCTCCCAAAGTGCTGGGATTACAGGCGTGAGCCACAGCACTTGGCTGTTTTTTTTTTTTTAATGATACAGATAAATATATTTCTGCCCAAATTCTTCAGATAACTTTGCCAGCCTCCAGGTTTGTTGATCTGGAGACAGTGCACTGCAGATCAACTTTAGAATCTCCTTGCTTTTTTTTTTTTTTGAGACAGGGTCTTGCTCTGTTGCCCAGGCTGGAGTGCAGTGGCATGATCCTGGCTCACTGCCACCTCTGCCTCCCAGGTTCAAGCAATTCTCAGCCTCCCAAGTAGCTGGGATTACAGGTGTGCACCACCACACCCAGCTAATTTTTGTATTTTTAGTAGAGATGGGGTTTTGCCATGTTGGCCAGGCTGGTATGGAACTCCTGGCCTCAAGTGATCCTCCTGCCTCGGCCTCCCAAAGTGCTGGGATTACAGGCATGAGCCACCACACCTGGACTCCTTGCTTTTTATAGGAAGTACAGAGCCCATCTCCTTGAGAACGTCCATGATTGTCAACAAAGCTGTGCTTTCCCGAGAAAGGTCAGTCACCACCAAGGACTGGGATCAGGGTTCTTGGCTGCAGGCCTCTTGGTCTAAGGTGTGTTTGCTTTGCTAGTACAGGGTGTTGAGGTGTTTTACAAACACGTTTAACTCCATCATGCCCATGAAAGGGTTTATTAATGTATTCAATTACAAATGAGAGAGTGTTGTTGTTGTTGTTGTTTTAATAGAAAACAGTGACAAAGTAACGAATGCTGCCCTTGGTTATGGACTGAGTCATTCAACATTAGGAAAGGTTCTAAAGGACAAAGGGTAGTTGTGTAATGTATAAAAGCTGCCTTACCTCTGTAGTCAACAATCATCAGCAGTGGATAGAAAACACAGTAGACAAACCCCAAAGGATTTAAAGCGCCATGGCTTGAAGGCAAGACATCCACAGAGTCTACCAGCCCTGTCCGGGAGAATGCCAGCTGTTTGCTTGAAGACTTCGAGCCTAGGAGTGATGAAATGTTTGCCTCAAGCCACGGATATTTCCTCTATATAAGGCGCCTTTGAATTTGCCTGACTTCAAAGCGGAGTGGAGGTTGTGAAGCTGCTAAGGAGATTCTTACAATACTTGCAGATGTTATCTGTCCCAACGGAACTTTCAATGTAGAAAAAAATGGATTTGTTAGGGGAAAACATGCCTGAGAGTGCATTCACCAGTTCAGAGGAGGAGCATGTGCGTGAATTGAAAACATGCCTGTTTGGTGGAAAGAAATCTGAGGGCTGAAAGCTTAAACCCTTCCTAGGCAACTGAACTAACAAACAGTGCACTTAAGAATGATCTTTCAGGACGTAACCTGCTTTTACGTGGAGGAGCTTCTGAACATGAAGAATCTTGCTGCCGCCTGGCAGCTACTTCGTTATTTCTCCACAAATGTGACATGTCAGCTCACATTTGTAAACATGGGTCTCGTTTTTAAAATTCCGAGGGCATAAGCAGATGGTATAGTTGCAGCCTAGACTATATGATCCCGTAATCTTTTGGAGATGATAAAAGAGTGGCTTCCTTAGAGGTTTTAGCTCTGCAGAGCAGGAGCCGAGAGCAGCTCAGAAGAGCACAGGAAAGCAGGTTTGACCCCTGCGGCGATTTACTTCCCTTTCCTCTTTCCTTTTCTAGTCCGGCAAAGTCTAAGGCCTTAGAATTCTAGCCAAACCTACTGGCTGAGGCAGAAGAATGAACAAGAAGCGTCAGCCAGGCCGCTGGCCCAGGCACCAACTCACAGTTGCCCAATAGGATTGAGCTCTGGGGCCGTTTACAAGTCCACGTCATTCCTGTATAAACCTTAGAAGTTTACTGAATAAACCTTAGAATAAGGATATAAGATGACTTATTTTAATATAGTATGTGTCTTTGGAAAATTTTTTATTTTGAAATAACTTTAGACTTACGGAAAAGTAAAAATACTAGACAGGCTGTTTATATATCCCTCACTCGGCTTCCCCTAAGGTTTACATCTTACAGAATGTCAGCACTATAGCACAATGGTCAAAGCCAAGAAAGCAGCTGTGGTAGAGTATGACTAACTAGACTACAGGTTTACTTGGAGTTCACCAGTTTTCCCTCTAAGTCTTTCTTCTGTTTCAAGATCCAAGTGAGGGTCCCATAGTGCATTTAGTCTCTTCAATCTGCAACAGTTCCCCAGTCTTTCCTTGTCATTCATTATTTTGTCACTATTGAAGAAAACCAGTTTGTTATGTTGTAGAATATCCCTCTGTTTGAGTTTCTCGGTTGACTTCCTCCTCTTCTTCTCCTCCTCCTCCTCCTCCTCTTCCTCCTTCTTCTTCTTCTTTCTTCTTCTTCTTCAACAGAGTCTTGCTTTTGTCACCCAGGCTGGTATGCAGTGATGCAATCTCAGCTCTCTGCAACCTCTGCCTCCCGGGTTCAAGCGATTCTCCTGTCTCAGCCTCCTGAGTGGCTGGGATTACAGGCGCCAGGCACCACACCCAGCTAATTTTTGTATTTTTAGTAGAGATGAGGTTTCACCATGCTGGCCAGGCTGGTCTTGAACTCCTGACTTCAAGTGATGTGCCTGCCTTGGCCTCCCAAAGTGCTGGGATTACAGGCGTGAGCCACTGTGCATGGCCAATTTGTTCCTTTTTATTGCTAAATAATATTCCATTTTTTAGGCACTTCAGGTTATTGCTGCCATTCTTTCATAGTGCCTTGAATTAGGCCTAGAGTTATTATTATTATTATTATTTTTTTTTGACACAGAGTTTCACTCTTGTTGCCCAGGCTGGAGTGCAATGGCACGATCTTGGCTCACTGTAACCTCTGCGTCCCAGGTTCAAGCGATTCTCCTGCCTCAGCCTCCCGAGTAGCTGTGATTACAGGCATGCACCACCATGCCCAGATAATTTTGTATTTTTAGTAGAGATGGGGCTTCACCATGTTGGTCAGGCTGGTCTTGAACTCCCAACCACAGTTGATCTGCCTGCCTCAACCTCCCAAAGTGCTGGGATTACAGGCATGAGCCACTGTGCCCGGCCGGCCTAGAGTATTTCAGAGGAAAAAGTGAGACACACACTGCTGCTTTGGTGGCACTTTGGATTCTCCTTTTCCTCAATCTGCCTGCTACTATTTACCTCCCAGAAATACTATTTACTCGCCGGGCGCGGTGGCTCACAGTGTGAGATTCTGTCTCAAAATAAATAAATAAATAAATAAAAGACTGTTTACTTTCCTTTATTTTTTTATTTATTTATTTTTTTGAGACGGAGTCTCGCTCTGTCACCCAGGCCAGACTGCGGACTGCAGTGGCGCAATCTCCGCTCACTGCAATCTCCGCTTCCTGGGTTCACGCCATTCTCCTGCCTCAGCCTCCCGAGTAGCTGGGACTACAGGCGCCCGCCACCGCGCCCGCCTAATTTTTTTTTGTATTTTTAGTAGAGACGGGGTTTCACCTTGTTAGCCAGGATGGTCTCGATCTCCTGACCTCATGATCCACCCGCCTCGGCCTCCCAAAGTGCTGGGATTACAGGCGTGAGCCACCGCGCCCGGCCTCCTTTATTTTTTTTAATTTAAACATTTTAAAAATGTTTATAGAGACACGGTCTTGCTGTGTTGCCCAGGCTGGTGTCAAACTGCTGATCTCAAGTGATCCTTTGCCTTGGCCTCCCAAAATGCTGGGATTACATTCTGTCCAGGTTTTTATAAGTGCAGTTGGGAGAGCCCAGGTGGAGTGTGGGTTTGCCCTCCTACTCAGAATTGGAACCTCTATCCATTGTCTGTTTGGTTTTCTTTTTCTTTCTTTATTTTGTTTGTTTTGTTATGTGTTTTGTTTTGTTTTGTTTTTTGAGACAGGGTCTCCCTCTGTCACCCAGGCTGGAGTGCAATAGTGTGATCATGGCCCACTGCAGCCTTGACCTCCTGGGTTCAAGTGACCCTCCCACCTCAGCCTCCTGAGTAGCCAGAAGTACAGGCATGCAACACCACACTCAGCCTTTTTTTTTTTTTTTTTTTTTTTTTTTTTGTAGAGATAGGGTCTCACTATGTTACCCAAGCTGGTCTTGAACTCCTGGGCTCAAGAGATCCTCCGCCTTGGCCTCCCAAAGTGTTAGGAGTAAAGGCTTGAGCCACTGCACCCAGCCTCTATTAGCTTTTAAATGTCTGAAGTCAGTGTGTTTCCTGATCCTTTTAATTGACTTATTTTCTCTTTATGAAAACCCGTAGGATTTTTTTTTTTGGACATTTCTCATTGATGTTCCTTGGTGTGATTCTATTTTCATCTACTGTCTTGGGCACTTGGTGAGCTTTTCATTCTGGAAATTCACGTCCTTCTGTTCTGGGCAAACTTCTTGATGAATTTTGTCGATGGGTTTCCCTCGATTTCTCTTTTCTCTCTTCCTGAGACTCCTTCTATTATTTAATGTCAGCCCTCCTGGACTCATCCTCTCCTTTTCTCTTTCATTTTATAGCTCTTTGTCTTTTTCCTCTAGCTTCTGGGATACTTCCCATCAACTTGATTTTCCAGCCTCTCTATTTAATTTGTCATCTGTATGCTCCTGTTTTTAATTCTCAAGAGCTCTTCTAGCTGTTGCTGTTCTCTGTGTGGGTTTTTTTCTTTCCTTTTTTATGGATCTTTTGTCATCTCTCTGAGGATATTAATTATTTTGGAGGAAGTTTTCTTCTCCCTGCATACACTCCAGTTTGTCTTTTTCTTCTGTTTGTTTTGTCTGTATCTTCAAGAAAAAGAATTGAGAACCAAAAAGCTAACTGGAAGCTTGGAGCTCAAGGCAGGGTTTGTTGCCTGTGAGCTTCACTGCAGGGTCAGCTGGCGGGCTGGACCATTTGTTGAACAAACCTAATTTCAGTATCTTCTGATGATTTCTCTTGAGCTGGTCAGATTCTCTGGAGCAGAATTTTAGTCTCCTGCCTGGATGCTTAAGATCTGGCCATCAGTGCTCTGGGAGCTAAGCTGGGGGAAGAGGGCCTGGGGGTCTCATCACTCAGCATCCACTGTGTATACAGTCATTTAATCTTCTTGGTTTTGACACGGTACTTTCAGCTTCCCAAGTCCAAATACTTCTGTTTTGCACTCGTAAGAGAGTGAGATGTGTAGACTATGAAGGGGTGGAGGCAAAGAAGCTTCCAGGTGACAAAGAGACAGGGAAGGAATCTCGTTGTATCTCTGGGGTCGCCACCCAGTCCTTGTTTCCACCACCCTCTTTGAACCTCCATTTCCAGAGGTATCTGGTGCTGTTAGGTACCAGGTACCTGAGCTTTGTGAAGATTCTATAGTGAATAAGTTTATCCTTAGCTTTATTAACCACCAACTCCAGGCCTGTTAATTTGTGTTTTCCTCATTTATCACTTATAGAGGCTTCCTAGCTTCTATTCCTTTGTTGCTACTGTCTCCTGTCCCTCCTATTTTTGTAGGATATGTCTTTTAGAAAATTTCTATACTGCAAATTTAGTGTGTTTTGGGAGGAACTACATTAGGTGTGTGTATTCATTCTTGCATCCTAAAGTGGACGTCTAAAATGCATTTTTTTGAAATTACAGAAATCATAACTTGACTCTACAATGGAATGTGGATGCCACCTTGACTTTGCTAGGCCTCGGGTGGACAAGTGACCTGTAAAAGCCACACAGCTAGTTATTGGCAAAGCAGCCATAGAACCCAGGACTCAACTTGCCTAACTCTGTTGGTTCTATATCGTCACAATGCTCTTTATTATCATCATCAAATACACTTTAAAAAAACACTTCTGCTGGGCACAGTGGCTCGAGCCTGTAATCCCAGCACTTTGGGAGGCCAAGGAGGGGTGGATCACCTGAGGTCAGGAGTTCAAGACCAGCTTGACCAACATGGTGAAACCCCTTCTCTACTAAAAATACAAAAATTAGCCAGGCGAGGTGGCACACGCCTGTAGTCCCAGCTACTCGGGAGGCTGAGGCAGGAGAATTGCATGAACCTGGGAGACAGGGGTTGCAGTGAACCAAGATCATGCTACTGCACTCCAGCCTGAGTGACAGAGCAAGACTCTGTCTCAAAAAACAAACAAACAAAAAACCTTTTATTATTTGTTTGTTTGTTTATTTATTTATTTATTTTGCCACCACCCCCAGCTAATTTTTGTATTTTTAGTAGAGACAGGATTTCACTATGTTGGCCAGGTTGGTCTCAAACTCCTGACCTCAGGTGATCCGCCCGCCTCGGCCTCCCAAAGTGCTGGGATTACAGGCATGAGCCACCGTGCCCAGCTATAAATAGTTTAGAATGCACAAGAAGTTGCAAAAATAAGTTGCAGACAGTCTTCACTTGCCCTTTCTCCAGCTTTCCCCATGATGTCATCTTATATAACAATATATGTCAAAACCAGGAGCTTGATGCTGTTATAATAGTCTTAAGTCAGGTGCACACTTTCAAGTAACACTTTTGATGTAAAAATGTGTATATTCTGTTAATAAAAAGCCAGAAAAAGACCTAATCTTGGCCAGGCGTGGTGGCTCACGCCTGTAATCCCAGCACTTTGGGAGGCCAAGGCGGGTGGATCATCTGAGGTCAGAAGTTCGAGACCAGCCTGGCTAACGTGGTGAAACCCTGTCTCTACTAAAAATACAAAAACTAGCTGGGCGTGGTGACGGGCGCCTGAAGTCCCAGCTACTCTGGAGGCTGAGGCAGGAGAATCGCTTGAACCTGGGAGGCAGAGGTTGCAGTGAGCCGAGATCACACCACTGCATTCCAGCCTGGGTGACAGGGTGAGACTCTGTCTCAAGAAAAAACCCAGTCTTTTCCTATTAAGAAACTTACCATCTAAATAAACATCTAAAGATAACTTGCCAAATAACAAAACCCAAGTACAGGTCCAAAATATATTTTAGGGCATTCTTTCAGAAAAGCAAGAAGTGGGAGAAAGGAGAATAGGCTTTGAAATCAGACAAATCTAGGTCTGAGTTGAGCCTTGCTATTGAAGATTTCTGTGTCCCTGGGCAAGGCATTTCCCTGATCCTCATCTGCTTGATTGTAAAATGAAGAATATTACTATCTACTCTTTAAGATTGAGATGGTACATATATATCATACATATGTATATTAACTGCCTAGAACAGTGATTGGCACATAGTAGATATTTAATAAATGGCCAACATAATAAAGATTAATAAAATAAGAATCCCTAAAGTCATAATTCTCTGGTTGCTTGTGTAAGTTCAAGTCCTGCCAAAAGGATAATGTTTGTCTTACTGCAGTATCAGTTCACAAACTGCTCAGCTCCAGCCCAGGTGAGGAGGCTTGCTCCTTCCCCAAATTCCCCAATTCCACATACAAGTCCAAAGGTCTCACCCCACACAGGAAGCTTTCATGACAGGCACAGTAGGAGTGTTCTGGTATTTAAAAGCACATACCAATTCCACATTGAGCTTTAGTAGACTATCTGAATAAAAACACAAGTTAATGTTTGAAGTAGCAACTTGGGGCTTGCAAAGGCCTCCATCGGTCCTTATGCAGATGGTTGTCAGATAAGCCCTGCTTCCCACCACACCTGGTGCCCCGCCTGCCTGACTCTGGCTTAAATTTCCTGCCCTTGGCACTAACCGGAAAGCACTCACAAAGACAGCAGCTGCTGGTATGGTCCCGTGGCAAGGAAGGCACTCCGCCCAAAACCTGCCTTCTGTTTAAGTTGCAAAGCAATGATTGTCCTGTGGGGGTGGGAGGTCTCGGTCAGTGGGGACCAACAGATGGCCCTCAACCAGACTGGACAATGTCCTCATTTGGGTCCATCCAAGTAGCCTGATGGTAAAACCAGACCAGAGGATAAAGAGAAAGCTACTTTTTGATATGTAGCTCTTCTCCGTTCCTATCGCCTATGATGAAAGAATAACTTTCAGGCCTTTCTTTATGTCTCCAGCCCCATTCTTTCCTCCACTTCCCTCCCAAAATCATGTTGCCTTCTGCCTGTTTAATTTATCTGTGTTTTTTATGTTTTTATTTTTTAAAACTATTTATTTATTTATTTATTTATTTTGAGACAGAATCTCACTATGTCACCCAGGCTGGAGTGCAGTGATGTGATCTCAGCTCATTGCAACCTCTGCCTCCAGGTTTAAGCAATTCTCCTGCTCCCAAGTAGCTGGGATTATAGGTGTACACCACCACACCCAGCTAATTTTTTTTTTTTTTGTATTTTTAGTAGAGACAGGGTTTCACCATGTTGGCCAGGCTGGTCTCAAACTCCCGACCTCAGGTGATCTGCCCACCTCGGCCTCCCAAAGTGCTGACATTACAGGTGTGAGCCACTGTGCCCTATTTATATGTGTGTTTTTAAAGGTGTTCAGCTATAGCTTTTGGTAGTTTAATAGAATTGCTAGTTAAAGAAAATCTCTCTTGTATTAGTCACGTAATTCACATAAACCAGAATATCCTAAGGAAATTCGGCTACATCTCAATTAACTGTGTGGTAAGTAAGTGCTGTGACATAAACAGAAAACACGGCTTGTTATGGGCGAAATTGTTTCCCTTCGAAATCCATATGTTGAAGCCTGAACCCCTAATACCTCAGCTTGTAACTACTATATATTTGGAGACAGGATCTTTAAAAAGGTGATTAAGTTAAAATTAGATTATAAAGGCAGGCCTTAATCCAATCTGACTTGTGTCCTCATAAGAAGAGGCAATTAGGACACAGACATTTCCAGAGGCAAGACCATGTGAAGACACAGGGCCATCTATAACTCCAGGAGAGAGGTCACAGGAGAAACTAACCCTCCCCACACCGTGGTCTCAGACTTCAGCCTGCAGAACTGTGGTGTGATAAGCCTCTGTTGTAGGCTAGGCACAGTGGCTCACACCTGTAATCGCAACACCTTGGGAGGCTGAGGTGAGTGGATCACTTGAGGTCAGGAGAAAAGCTTGGCCAACATGGTGAAATCCTGTCTCTACTAAAAATACAAAAATTAGCTGTGTGTGGTGGAGGTGCCTGTAATCCCAGCTGCTTGGGAGGCTGAGGCAGGAGAATCACTTGAACCCGGGAGGCGGAGGTTGCAGTGAGCCAAGATCACACCACTGCACTCCAGCCTGGGCAACAGAGTGAGATTCCGTCTCAAAGTGTCTGCTGTGTGAACCACCCAGTCTGCGGTACAATTCGATCAATTTTGACATATATCTATGCTCATGAAACCATCACCACAATGACAATGAACATATCTGTTCATCATCTCCAAAAGTTTCCTTATGCACTTTTGTAATTCCTCTCTCCCTTCCCCTATTTCCCAGTGCACCATGGAAACTGCTTTTGGTCCCTGTAGATTAATTTGCCATTTCTAGAGTCTTTTGTAAATGGAACCGTACAGTATGCACTCCTTTACCTTGCATAATTCTCTGGAGATTCATCCAGGTGGTTGTGTGTATCAGTAGTTCATTCCTTTTCAGTGCTGAGTAGTATTCCACAGCATAGATAAACCCAGTTTATCCATCTGAGGTAGGAGACCAGCAGGATTTATTTCCCAGTCTCAGGCAGGAAAAAGTGAAGAAACCAGCGGGAACCAGCAAATGACAACAAAAGCCATCCCTAGCTGTCATCATTGCTCATTAGCATAAGACACTCACACCAATGTCATGACAGTTTACAAATGCCATGACAATGACCTAGAAGTTCCCGTCCCTTTCCTAGAAAGTTCTAAATAACCCGCCTCTCAATTTGCTTTAACTGTCCCTTAATTTGCTTGTAATTGAAAGTTGGTATAAGGGGGTAGAAATACAGTTGCCAACAGCTCATTTCTTGCCAACTCTAGATGCACTGTCTATGAGTTAGCCCTGCTCTGCAAGGAGCAGTACTGTTCAGTACAAGATTGCTGTCTAACATGGCAGCTCACCCTTGAATTCTTTCCTGGGCAAAGCCCGGGCTAAGCCCCAGTTTTGGGGCTCGCCTGTCCATCATCACATATACTTATGAAGGCACCCCTTAAAGGCTTCTTATGGTTTTGTGAGATTGTGAATAAGTTATTAAAAGCATTCATGTACAAGTCTTTCATTGTATGAACATATGGTTTTTTTTTCCTTTTGAAAAAATAACTAGAAGTGAAATGGCTGGATCATGTGGTAGGTGTATGTTTAACTTTTTATCTTATTTTTTTTAGATAGAGTCTCATTCTTTCACCCAGGCTGGAGTGCAGTGGCTCGATCTTGGCTCACTGCCACCTCCGCCTCCTGGGTTCAAGTGATTCTCCTGCCTCAGCCTCCTGAGTAGCTGGTACTACAGGTGTGCACCACCACACCTGGCTAATTTTTGTATTTTTTTTTTTTTGGTAGAGGTGGGGTTTTGCCATGTTGGCCAGGCTGGTCTCAAACTCCTGACCTCAGGTGATCCGCCTGCCTCAGCCTCTCAAAGTGCAGGAATTACAGGCAAGAGCCACCACGCCCGGCCGGGTGTATGTTTAATTTTTTAAGAATCGAACTTTTCCAAAATGGCTATATCATTTTGCATGACCCCCAGCTGTGTATGAGAGTTCCAGCTCTTCTTCATCCTTGCCAATACTTGGTAACTGGTCGTTCTGACTTTAGTCATTCAAATAGATGTGTAGTGGCACATCCTTGCGATGCTAATTTGCATTTCCCTAATGATGTTGAGCATCATTGCTATCCATGCATGTTTTTTAATGAAGTATCTGCTCAATGCTTTTACTTATTGTTTTCATTGGATTATTTATTGTCTAACAGAGTTTTGAGAGGTCAGTATGTATTCTGGATACAAGACCTTTATCACATACATACTTTGCAAATATTTTCTCCAGCCTATGGCTTGTGTTTTCATTCTCTTGATAGTGTCATTCAAAGGGCAGAAGTTTTTAATTTCGATGAAGTCAAGTTATCAATCTTTCTTTTATTGCTTGTGCTTTTGGGGTCGTTTCTAAGAAATCCTGGTCTAACCCAATAACACCAAGATTTTCTCCTATGTTTTCTATAAAAATGTTACAGTTTTCAGTTTTACATTTAGGTCTGTGGTCTATTTTGAGTTAATTTTTGTATATGGTACAAGGTATGAATCAAAGTTCTTTTTTTTTTTTTTGCATATGGATGTTCAATAGTTTCAGCACCATTTGTTGAAAAAGACTGTTCCTTCACTGATGAATTGCTTTTATCTCTTTGTCATATCAGTTTCTCCTATGTGTATGAGTATATTTCTGGACTTTTAATTCTGTTCCATTGATATTTGTGTCTGTCTTTATGTCAATCTGTACCACACAGTCTTGATTACTGTAGCTTCATAGTAAGTCTTGAAATTAGGAAGTGTTAATTCTCTAACTTTGCTCTTTTGAGTGTGCTTTGTAGACAGCATATTGATTAATGCTGTTATTGCTACTTGGAGGTCCTTTTGGGTAAACCTAACTCATTTCCTGTCTTAATCCCCTGTGTGGTTCTTAAGGATTTGTGCCTTCTCCTCAAGCCCCTACCCTGCCTTTGCTCCTCTCATTCTTAGTTCTTGACTTTGCCCCTGCCTTGGCCCAAAAGTTAAAGTCATCAGCTAACGATTCTTTTGAGCTCTTATGCTCCTCTGCTATAAGGTCACCTCCATTTGCACTAATCCTTACCTGCTTGGTTCCTAGCTCAGAGAACAATACCAGTTATAATGACAGTTAGCTAATTATAGTTAACAAATATTGAGTTATTTCTATGGGCCAAACACAGATATGCACTTCACACCATTTCTCATTTAATCAGCATAACATTTCTATCAGATGGAGAGATATTATTATTCTCATTTTACAGAAGAGGAAACAGAGGCAACAAGGTTCATTACTTCATTATCTTTTCCATGGTTTTGTAGCTAGAAGGAGATGGAGCTGGCATTCAAGCCCAGGGCTGTGTGATTTCTGTCCCTCCTCCTGGCCAAAGCTAACAATCCCAGCAGTGCTCACAATTTTGTCCCCACGTAGCTGATGGAGAAGCTCGCTCCATTCATTATCCAGTGTCCCACCCCACCCCCACCCCCATTGTCTCTTCTACTTTCCCTCTCCACTTGCTCCTTTCTTTTTTCTTTTTAAAAGATTTTAGAATTATTTATTTATTTTGAGACAGGGACTTGCTCTGTTGCCCAGGCTTACTAAATTTATCTGGGTCCTTTGTAATTTCTGCATTCATCCTAATTTTTTGGAAGAAAAGTTCAAAGTAGCAGAATGTAGTGGCACAATCATAGCTACTGCAGCCTCAAACTCCTGGGCTCAGACAATCCTCCTGCCTCATCCTCCCAAAGCTCTGAGATTACAGGCATGAGTCACTGCACCTGGCCCTTGCTCCTTTTCATCATGGTGCTCACAACAAAATAAGTATTTTCAACTTGGGCTAAGAAGTTAAAGATATCCAACCCTTTTCTGCAGCCAGGCTTGGGTTCTGCAGCTTCATATGTTAAGTTGTGTATTTGATAGCTTCACCAGAATACGTCGGGGGCACCTCAAACATCAAAACAAAACCTACCATCTTCTCTCCAAACCCGCTCTTCTTTCTGAATTCTCTGTCTCAGCAGATGGCTCTTCCAACCATGCAGTAGTCCAAGCCCAAAACCGGCAATGGAAAAACCCAGATTTTGGTTTCAAAACCCTGCTCTGCCACTTACCAGATAGGAGACTATTGGCCCTCAGTTTCCCAATCTGAAAAGTAGGAATAATAGTCCTACCTCACATGGTTGCTTTTAAGGCTAAGTGATCATGTTAGTTGCTCAAAAATAAGAAATTATCATCATTATCATCATTGTCATTATCATTATTATTGTCATTGTCACCTCGTGATGCTTCCTTGCCTAAGTTCTACAAAAATATCCTGCACCCTCCTTTTAATTCCTTTGATTCTGCTGTTACTTTTGCCAAAAGGTTATCCTGACATTCTAGAGCAGTGATTGCTAAAGTGCCAAATCAATCCTTAGAGATTCAGGAAGAAAGTATTAGAACGTTAATTTATATTCATTTAAAAAAATCTCATCTTTTAGGTTTCTATTTATAATTTTTAAATGTTTAATAGAGTATATATAAAATTTAGAAATAAATATAACTATTGAGGGTGCATGTTCAAAATTGTTGCGAAGGCTAGATTATAAAAATAGTTGGGAGGTCACCATTCTTGGCTGGGTAAGGTGACCCTGTTCTTTTCTTCCCCCAGAATGACATGCTGCTTTGTCATTATTTATTGTCTTCCTTATGGACAACATGAGGACAGCGACTGTGATTCAGTCAGGATGAATCTGCAGACAGCAGGATCCACTCTAGTTATAGTAGAAATGGATTTATTAGAGGTGGATGACTTTCAGCAGAGGTCCCTAAACTTAAGGGCATAGCAGAATCACCTAGAAGGCTTGCTAAAGTCAAGCCTACCAGGTCCCGCCCCCAGAGTTTCTGATTCAGCAGGTCTGGGGTGGGGCCCAAGAATTTGCATTTCTAACAAGTTCCCAGGTGCTGCTGGTCCAGAGCCCACCCTTGGAGAACCACTGGGCTATAGAATGATGTCAAGGGCTGGAGAGGGAGGCTACAGAGTGGGTCTAGGTCCAGGTACAGTCTCAGAACCACACTGCAAAACTGGCTTAGTCAGGTAGCTGCTGTATCTGCTGCTTCCACTGTGAACTCAAAAACCACATTGCCTGTGCTGCAGGCCGGAAAGCTGCTGAACCAGGAAGCTGTGCTGATGCTGCTGACTGCCCCTGAGGTTAGAGATTGACTAGACATAGTGCCACTGTCATCCCTGCTGGAGAAGGTCCGAAGCACCTCCACCTCTGTGCTTCCAGAGGGGCACTGTGGTGGCCACTTAAAATGCTCAGGCTATACCATGCACTAGAGCATCTACCTGGGTAAGCTGCTATTATTATTATAATCGACCTGGAAGATTACTCTGGGGAAACCCTAGTGCAAGGGACTTTGGAGGAAGAGGTCTTTGGTGTTTCAGGCTTTGGTGCACAGGAAATCTTGCTAGGAGGTTGGAGTGGTTTTGTGTGAGGTGAGAGCAATGTCTGCTGCAGACTATTTTTCATGTTGGCTCCTGGTATGGTGCCTGAGCTCTAGGACTTGGCACATAGAAGGCCCTCTTCCTTTTCCTTCCTCAACCTGCTAGTCTCAGCCACTCCCCTGAGCACATACAGTATGCTGAAGTGTTTCAGTGTTTCAAGTGGGCTCTTGAGCATGCTAGGTATCCAGGGAGACCAGAATTCTTGCAGTGACAAGTCCGCTGGGGCTATTTCCATCTAGGAGTCAGTCTCACTTAGCTCACTGGGGATCTAGGTTACATGTGTTTTCCCAGAGTGACCTCCCCCTAACCCCCTTCCCTCCACATCCTTGTCTCCAGAGCCTGGAACCCTGGGATGCCACCTTGGTCTTGAGAATCTCAGGCTGAATCCATTTCTAGGAGGGAGACATGAGATTCTTCCACAAATGAGGTGGGGAGGGGTTGGAGGAAACTATTATTTCTAATACACCCTTCAGGCAACAGGTGCAAGCATAGAGAGTTCCAGCTTAAACTTTAGGATGGTATGACAGTGACAGGCATTTAGCAGAAAGTGCACTTCAGGGCTGGGCGCGGTGGCTCACGCCTGCAATCCCAGCACTTTGGGAGGCCGAGAAGGGTGGATCATGAGGTCAGGAGATTGAGACCATCCTGGCTAACACAGTGAAACCCCGTCTCTACTACAAATACAAAAATTAGCCAGGCATGGTGGCACACGCATGTAGTCCCAGCTACTCAGGAGGCTGAGGCAGGAGAATCGCTTGAACCTGGGAGGTGGAGGTTGCAGTGAGCCAAGATCATGCCACTGCACTCCAGCCTGGGCAACAGAGTGAGACTCCGTCTCAAAAAAAAAAAACAAAAAGTGCACTTCGGATTCTGAAGACTGGCCTTTATCCCACAGGCAAGGGATATGCTGTATGACACTCTCCTGATGCTGGGCATGGCTGTGAGCCAAAGCACCCAGGCAGCCCTGCCATCAGAAGGGTAAACCACGGACACCTGATGCCTTCCTGAAGGAAGAGCACTACGCCTGCCAAACCATCAAGCGTTGATGCTCCAGCGCCTTCTACCCGTGGTTCTCCAGCCTCAGCAGAAGAGAGAGAAATTGATGACCCTGTCGTTGTAGCATCCCCATCACCCAGCAATTAATTTTAGTTCAATGCTTCAAACGCTCTTCAGGCGCAGTGTGCGTTCAGCTGTGTCAGCTAATGGTGAGTACCCGGACAACCATTCTGTTTCACATTCAGTACAGTATTCAATAAATCACATGAGATACTCAACACTGTATTATAACATAGATAGGCCTGTGTTACATTATGTTGCCCACTGTAAGCTAATGTAAGTGTTCTGAGCACGTTTAAGGGAGGCGAGGCTGAGCTCTGATATTCGATAGGTTAGGTGTATTCAAAGCATTTTAGACTTTCAATATTTTCAATTTACAATGGCTTTTATAGGGATGTCACTCCACCGTAGGTCGAGGAGAATATGTAGTCAAGTTGCCTGGTCATGAGCACATTTTAGGTCAAGGTGTGTTTTACGCAGCTTCTAGGGTTTGCTCCTTCCTTTTGAGTTTGAGCCTGGGGGTGTGGGTTGAGGATAAAGAGTAGGTGTGGGCCAGGAGTGGTGGCTCACATCTGTAATCCCAGCACTTTGGGAGGCCGAGGTGGGAGGATCTCCTGAGCCCAGGGGTTCGAGATCAGTCTGGGGAAGGGACGAGACCTTGTCTCTACAAAATTAAAATAAAAATAAATAAATTAGCCAGGCCTGGTGGTGCATGCCTGTAGTCCCAGCTACTCAGGAGACTGAAGCAGGAGGATCACTTGAGCCCAGGACTTTGAGGCTGCAGTGAGCTATGATCACGCCACTGCACTCCAGCATGAGCAATAGAGTGAGACCCTGTCTGTATTGAGAGAGAGAGAGAGAGAGAGAGAGAGAGAGAGAGAGAGAGAGAGAGACACACACAGAGAGACAGACAGAGAGAGAACAAAGAGCAGGTGTGATCGGAGCTCAGGAAATCCTCCCTCTGGTAAGTAGTCTCAGCCTTCTATTGAGGCTGCCACCACAGTGCCATCCACAGCTTTTGCAGACCATGACATACGCAAACTGTTGTAAAATTTTGGCAGTGCTCATAGTCTCAGAGCCAAGCTTTGAAACAGAGAGGCAGCAGGAGACAGTGGGAGGAGGGTGGGATTAGAGACAGAAGGTCTCCGGGTTTGAATCTTTTCTCTCTATTGGCTGGTTGTGTGACTCTTGTCTCAGCTTCTTGGGCTGTACAAAGAGAAAACTAACACCTGCCTTAGAGACTTGTGATGATTTAATGTAGAGTGTGTGACATGTTATTGGATATTAGCAATTGCTGATATTTATAATGAAGAGCACTGGAAGCTGTCACAGTTCTCATAGTTTATTTTGCATTTGCTCCTCAGCATCCTCTGCTCATCTCAGTGTCTGTGTGGTCTTAGTGGGATGCTGACTATATTAATACTTGTAAACTTTACTCATTTTCCATCTCAAATGGGACAAGGGATAAAAATTATTTTTTATATTGTATATTTATTTAGTAAGTGAGCACTTTCCATTTTAGGCACTGGAGACACAGAAATGAAAGAGACAACGTGCCCTCAAGGATCTCACAGTGTGTGGTGAGGTGGACACACACACACATATCTAAGCACATGACAGTGAGAGGCACGTGGTCACGAGGTTGTGACGTGGAGCTGAGAGCTCAGAGGAAGGGCTTTGGATCAAGTGTGGTCAGACCACACTCGGCCATGAAAGTCTTTGAAGGTGGGGAAGGGGTGAAGATGGTGAGGGGATTCCACGGCTGGGAGAGGTACACTCCCTACACGTTCTAACCAACTGGCCGTGGGGAGGAAGCTGGAGGTCAGGACACAGGTAGGGCCTGGGTTTTTGCCTCATGTGACTGGGTGGATGGTCACAATTCGGCCATGCTGTCTTTGAACTCAACACCACCAAAATCATAGGATATTCCTAGTAATGTTGATTTCCACTAGATTACTTTTGTTACCAGAGTTTTAAGGGCAGAAGTCTTTGTCCCTTTTTTTCTCTAACAGGAAGCCATTCTGGGCCATTTATTTGCCGTTAACTTACACAGCCCACTGGAGAGTGGAGGGGTGTGAATGTGGGAGCCTGGGTGAGGGCTGCACCGGACTGTCACCAGGACAGTCCTCAATGCTGCCTGACTTAGCCACATTGCCAAAAACATACACCCATAGGTTATGAAATATTCAATACTGTATTGTATGGGAGAAATACAAAGAGGAGAAAGAACTGGGTTGAAAAGGTGGTCTGGTCAGGTATCTCAACCCACTGGCTTATAGACCAGGAACCACTCTAGACAATGCATGTAAGGAACAGAAATGGGAAACAAAAACATTTAAATTGTATTTTTCTCTGATTGCAATAAACTTGGAGGAAAGCTATTTTCTTACTTTGAGCTTTTCTTCCAATTATGATGAATGCAGAGATTAATTACAAAGGACCCGGATAAACTAAAACTCATCTACAGCATTTTTTTTTTTTTTGAGATGGAATCTCGCTCTGTTGCCCCGGCTGGAGTGCAGTGGCGCGATCTCGGCTCACTGCAAGCTCCGCCTCCCGGGTTCACGCCATTCTCCTGCCTCAGCCTCCTGAGTAGCTGGGACAACAGGCACCTGCCACCACGCCCAGCTAATCTTTTTTGTATTTTTAGTAGAGACGGGGTTTCACCTTGTTAGCCAGGATGGTCTCCATCTCCTGACCTCGTGATCTGCCTGCCTTGACCTCCCAAAGTGCTGGGATTACAGGCGTGAGCCACCGCGCCCGGCCTCTACAGCATATTTTAAAAGGCAAAAAGGTATTTTAAAATTCATGTTGGAAGACGTGGGCTCTAGCTGGGGCTGAGACAGATGATTCAACTATATTTTTTATTTTACTGCGCACTGAGGGTTGAAGCTGAAGAGCATGCATGCTTACCATTGTGTGTGCACATGTGTGTATGTGTGTCTTACACCAAAGACTGAAATCTCAAAAAAGCCCCAGGGAGCAGGTGTAACTATTATGCTACAAATGAACAGGTGTATTGTGGATCGCTGTTATATAGTTCTTTTCTTCAAACATACCTTCCTGATATAACGTTTTCTTCCTGAAAGCAAACAGTTTCTACTATTGGATTCTTGAGTGTATCATTAAGCTTCTCCAAACACAAATAACATCTACTATGCTTTAAAAGTAATGGCCCACACAGCTACTTATTTGTGTGACTGTTTATCTGTTTATACCTTTGCCTGTTTTTATCTTCAAGCAAATGGGGGATCTCAGAAGTCTTAATGAAGTAACTATCCCTGAACACTGGGATCAATACTCAGCATCCAGCTGTCAAATCAACACCAAGGTATGTACCGGGGAAAGGAAGGTTTTAGGTGAACTCCTAGCTGCATGTCTGGTTAACCTGCAACCACACAAAGCAGCTGGGGTAAAGGTGTGTCCCGATGCCTTGTGGTGTACTTGGAACTCCACAGCCAAAAGATTAGACGTTGTTTGCTCACTGTGTTCAAAACAAGAGGTGTAAAGGAAGTTCAGCAACAACCGAAAGATGACTCGTAATTTGTAACTGACTGGCTATGCTTGGCGAGCCTGGTGTATTTATAATCTTTCAAAGTCAAGCGCAAAGGCTCCTGAGCCTCATGCGTCACCCAACTGCAGCATTCCTGTTGATCACGCTGGCTGTCACCATAAAGCCTGAGCAAAAGTAAACTTTTCTGTCCCAAGGGTTTCCTTGTACTGAAAGAGCCACTGCTTGCGGCTTTTTACAGGATCACAACCAATGTCTGTTTCATGCGGCAGGTCCCTGGGGACTGTAATTGCAGAAGTATAACCTGGCGGTTATGTCACATGGCCCAAGAAACTGCCAGGAGACCAACATGCTTCCTGCCAGACGACCTTTTGCAGCTGAAGGCACTAGTGCCCCATCTGCGGTCGCTGTCTCTGTATGAACAATTCTCTGATATTCCCTGGGCAAAAAGAGGTGCTTGTTGACAACACTGAGTCAAAACTTGGAACCCTGAGCCCTCAGTCTGCCACCATATCATTTTCCTGTTAATGGAGTGTTAATTAACAAGGGTTTTCGTTTTTATGAAACGAACTGTTTTTAAGTAGGAGGATTTCCTACCTTTGAATCAACTCAGAGCTCATTTCCTACTAAAATGATAGGTGATATCAATATAAGGATGTGGAAGATTTGCCCAGTTTAAGCGTTGGGAATGGAGGCCTAGCTGCATGGCTGAGGGGATTTGGGCCATGCATGGCCTCACTGGTTGAGGACATGGATGCTGGAGATGCTTAGGTCTGGGCTTCTTTGTCTCTTTAGCCTCAGTATTCTCATCTGTAAAATGGGGTGATGTGAGAAGTCGATGAACTAATGCACATGAATAATGACAGCTAATACTTGTGTGGCCCCAACTACATCCCAGGCACTGTTTTTCTGTTAACTCATTTATTCCTCAGAGCAATCCTATGAGGGAGGTACTATTGTGGTCAGTCCCATTTTACAGATGGAAAGCTGAGGCACAGAAAGGTTGGTAACTTGCTCAAGGTCACGCAACTACTAAGTGGCAGACCTGGGATTTGAACCTATGCCTGACTGTGGAGCCCATGTTCTTATGATGCCAAGTTGCACCTTTTGTAAGACAGTCAGTAGGTGGCATACACTTGGTAAGTACTCAGTAACTATCAGAACAGGGTATACAGCGGATCACCTGGAACAGAAGCCATGTTTCTCACCTCTGTTGGCTATGGTGCAAGGCATGGGTGACCTTTAAGGGCCTAATAGTGCTGTCTACTTATCAAAGGCTCAGCTTCTTAGCTGTGGCCACAGGAGACTGGGGCAACCAGAAGTCTGGTAGGGTGTCAAGCCAATAGTCATCCTGGGGATGATGAGATGCCACCAGATTGCTGCTGACTTGGGCCAAGTTGGTGGCAGGCACTTCAGGCCATGGGGGGAACCAGGCATGAGAGCAGGGTGTGGCAGGGAGGAGACACTTGGTCTGTGTGTGTGTGTTTAGGGAGGTAGATGGGAGCCTCAGGTGATTTCGGGTCTTGGGAAAGATAGCTTGGGATGGAGAGTTGGGTCTCAACCCTTGTCTCTCACTCAGGTCTATACCTAACTGGAGACACTGAGAAGAAGAATCAGGGATGAATGCAAGAAGGTGATGTGAGCCATCCCATCCCCACACCTGTGTGTTAAGGAACATGGGGATGTTTTAATAGTAAAGAAATGCCCATAGGATGTTTGGGGGTGGTGATGACTTCCGGTATTTCCTCTCAAAAGGCTAAAAATACTGACAGTCTTGTGCTGAAACTGGCTTTAGATTTTCACCCTGTTTGTCATTCTGCTCTAAGACTGGCTGGGCACTATTCTAGGGGATGGTGATTCAAAGACAGTAGAAAGCACATCCCTTTCCTCAAGATACAACACATAAACATATAATAGAAATCAATAGGGTCATCCAGAAGTAAGCACTGGGGTCATGGGAGCTTTGGGAGGGAAGAGGCAGGGTCAGAGATGGTGGGGGATAACAGCTGAAGGTCAGCCTTTGAGGCAATGGGAGGTGGAAGCATGATCAGGTTTAGGAGAGGAAGGCAAGGGATGAACAGCTGCATCTTGATAGGGCTTAAAATGTCAGTCTAGGCGAGGTAGAAGATAAAGGTGGGGAGGTAGGGCCAGGTGTAATATATATTTTATTAATTTTTTTTTACTTTTTTTTTTTTTTTGAGACGGAGTCTCACTCTGTCACCCAGGCTGGAGTATACTGGTGCCATCTCGCTCACTGTAACCTCCCCTACCTGGGCTCAAGCAATTCTCCGGCCTCAGCATCATCAGTAGCTGGGATTACAGGCGCCCGACACAATGCCTGGCTAATTTTTTGTATTTTTAGTAGATACGGGGTTTTGTCATGTTGGCCAGGCTCGTCTTGAACTCCTGATCTCAGGTGATCCACCTGCCTTGGCCACCCAAAGTGCTGGGATTACAGGCGTGAGCCACCGCACCTGACCTAGGTGTAATATATAAAGGAGTTTGTGCTTTATTGGCTGGTCAGAAATGTTGGTGTCATTAGATGTCTGAGTTGCTTATTTATTATCATTATTTTATTTTTTAGGGAAGTGTCTCACTCTGTCACCAGGCTGGAGTACAGTAGTGTAATTATGGCTCACTGCAGCCTTGAACTCCTGGGCTCAAACCATCCTCCTGCCTCAGCCTCCCAAAGCACTGGGATTACAGGGGTGAGACACCACACCTGGCTCCGAGTTGCTTTGTAAACAGATCCCCCTGGCAGCAGCATGGAGGATGAAATTCATGAGGGAAAAAGCCAAGCCAGGGATATCTGTTACAGTAAATCCAGATGAGATGATGAGGGCTTAAGCTAAGACTGAGATCATGGGAAAGCCAGGTAAAAAAAATAAGTAGGACTTGAAGTTTGATTGGTCATTGAATGAGGGGCCAGGAGACAGAGAATGAGAATTCAAGGATGGCTTCCAGGTTTCCAGCTCAAATGGCCAAGTAGGTTGTGGTAACACCCACTAGTTCACAATCACAGGGAGTGGTAGCTGGGTTGGAGCAGGAAATGATGGGGTTAGCAGGGAACATGCTGAGTTTGAGGTGCCTGATGAGTATTTAGGGGGAAGGTCCAGGAGGCAGTTCCAGAAGTCTTGGCTAACAGCATCTGCATCGAGTGCATTGCTGAAGCCTCAGAGAAGAGATGGGCTCGGCTGGGGAGAGAGTGAGTAGGGGGCAGACCAGTGCTCCAAAGAGAGGACTCGGCAGTGCCGGCAGCCTGAGGCTATGGTGCATCAGCTCAAGGCAACTGGTGTGGCTCTGGCTCTGGTGGGCAAAGATGCTGGGGCCTACACTGGCTTTGCAGGCGAATGGGGCACAGAGGGCCTCTTTCAGGGATTGGTGCATTTGGTCTCAGTTCCAGGTGCAGGGCTGGAGAGAAGGGTGGGACTGAGGAAGAGAAAAAAGTCACAGCCCCCTGCTGGCTACAGGGGTTCTTTAAAAGGGGAGCATTCAAACGTTAGTGAAACATCATTAAAGGTCCTGTTCATTGAGGGTCCAGGTAGCGGTTCTTTTTTTTTTTTTTTTTTTTTTTTTGAGATGGAATCTCACTCTGCTGCCCAGGCTGGAGCGCAGGGGTGCGATCTCCACTCACTGCAACCTCCACCTCTCAGGTTCCAGCGATTCTCCTGCCTCAGCCTCCCAAGCAGCTGGGATTACAGGTGCCCGCCACCACACCCGGCTAATTTTTGTGTTTTTAGTAGAGATGGGGCTTTGCCATGTTAGTCAGGCTGGTCTCAAACTCCTGACCTCAGGTGATCCGCCCGTCTCGGCCTCCCAAAGTGCTGGGATTACAGGCGTGAGCTACTGCGCCCGGCCCCAGGTAGCGGTTTTTAAGCAGATGAAGGGGTAGAACTCACCTGTCTGGCTTTTTGCAATTGTACATGCGCTCCTCCTCCCACGGGCCTGAGATTCTCACAGGTGTGTGATAGGCGTGGGAGTTGTCCTTCGGGAGCTGGCAGTGGGGGGTCCATTTTGTGGACCAGAGTCTCCCTGGGATGATTCTGATACATCCTTACCCGACGGAGAATGCACCATTTGCGGTGAGGGAAGCAGTGCTAATGGGAGAGAAGGCTTGGGACCCTCCTTTGTATTTTGCACCCCTAGGTTGAACCATTTTCCATCAGGACTTAAAGTGTCTCGCTCCAGCCTAGTAACAGCACAGTCCCACCATTTAGAATCTCCACAAGTTCATTCACACTGCAGGTCAACAGCAGGTCAACAACCACATAATCATCACTCAGCCACACGGCGTGTGAGGGAGGTGAGGGGCAACACCTGAAGCCATGGGACTTTTTGTAGAACACAATGAAACATTGACGTAATTTTTTCTCTTTTTTTGAGACAGCGTTTCACTCGTCGCCCAGCCTAGAGTGCAATGGCGCTATTTCGGCTCATTATAACCTCCGCCTCCCGGGTTCAAGCAATTCTTCTGCTTCAGCGTCCCAAGTAGCTGGGATTACAGGTGAGCACCATCATGCCTGGCTAATTTTGTATTTTTAGTGGAGATGGGGTTTCACCATACTGGCCAGGCCGGTTTCAAACTCCTGACCTCAGGCGATCCGCCCTCCTTGGCCTCCCAAAGTGCTGGGATTACAGGGATGAGCCACCACCGCGCCCGGCCTTGATGTACTTTTTCTATTAAATGATCTAAGAACAATTTTACGGGCAGAAAGTATGACTGTAATAAATGTATGCAATCCAAAACTACCACCCACCATCTATGAAAATACAAAAATCAAGCTGTCATGCCAAATCTAACTGGTTACTTCTGTTTCTCTGCTAATAGTCGTTAGCTACACTCATTTATTTGTTTTATTGTGACAGTGTCCACTGTCAGATAAGTAAGAGCAGGTGCTGAAATTTTAAGAAACATTTGAGGGAACATTTTCAATGGAATCTGTTGAAGTTGAGGTGCCTTTAGTACACTAGTATAACTGCATCACCCCTGAGTGTTAGCGATAAGTGCAATGATTTAATTTTACTGTGGAACTCCCAAGTCCAGCTTATGGAATAAATTCCGGATCATAGTTTGAGAACTACTGGCTTAAAGGGTCCCATTTCTTGCTTCTTTAAGTGTCAAACAGTGACTGTGAGATATATATATATATATATATATATATTCCTGGCCCAAGTGATGGGCAAGCTTCAAAGCAGTTGAGGACTCCAGTCAAAACTAACTGTGCCCCCTGAGTGTTCTAGCTCTGAGGATTTGGTCCCTGGCTTCTTCCTTCAATCTGCACCATCAAGAAGCATTCTTGGCCAGGTGCAGTGCCTCACACCTGTAATCCCAGCACTTTGGGAGGCCGAAGTGGGTGGGTCACTTGAGGTCAGGAGTTTGAGACCAGCCTGGCCAACATGGTGAAACCTCATCTCTAACTAAAAATACCAAAATTAGCTGGGAGTGATGGCCTATGCCTGTAATCCCAGCTACTCAGGAGGCTGAGGCACAAGAACTGCTTGAACCTGGTAAGAGGAGGTTGCAGTGAGCCGAGATCATACCACTGCACTCCAGCCTGGCCAACTGAACGAGACTCTGTCTCAGAGAAAGAAAAAAAGAAAAAAAATCTTCTAGGCTCTGCACATAGGCCATGTGCTAAAATCAGCATTCCAAGGGCCAGAAGGACTCCTAGAGGCATCTTTCAGATGCTGACACTAGTTCAGAGCCTCACAGATAGCTCCAGTTTCTGCCTAAGTACCTTCAGGGACTGGGAGCTCACTACTTCCCCCAAAAAAGGTTCTTATGAACCATCATCTCCTATCTCCACCCTCTAAAACCACCCAGTTCTTAACTTCTGCTTTGTTTTTGCTATCAGCACTCTCTGCCTTGTATTGTTGTTATTTGGATACTTAACTGTCACACAGTGGTAAGGGCTTAGGTTTTGGAACCACTTGCATTAGAATCCCAGCTCCGTATTTATCTCCACCATTTACCAGCCATGTGACCTTGGCAAATTACTTAACCTCTCTGAGCCTCAGTTATCGCCTATATGGGATGGGAATAACCTTAGGGTCTATTTCAAGGATTATTCGGAGGCCTAAGGTAATGGGAGGAATCTGCTTGACATGTAGAAAGCTCTCAGTACAGCATAGATATTATTATTATTCCTCTGCTAGACTACAAAATCTCTGAGGGCAGGGACCTCTTCTTGGATATCTTTGAACCCCTCCATAACAGTGGGCAAAGTGTCTGTCAGAGGGTTTTAATGAATGCATCACACAAAAGAGACCGTACTGAACAAGAGAGACAGGAAGCTTGGATAATTATTTGAATATCTACAGTCATCAGAAGGCTTATAAATGTAAAGCCAAAGCTCCTGCCAAAGAAATGTGTGGAGCAGAAAAGAAAACCCAGAGCAGAATGTCAAGAGCAAGGATGTGTTGGGACAGGAAATGAAGACGAGATTGGGAGAGGTCATGCAGAATCAGGTCACATTCTGGAGGGAAGAAGGAGCAAAGGCACATGATGAGAGAGTGCTAATTAAGGTGGCCAAAGAGAACAGTGTGGTGCTGTAAATGCCGGCAGAGCAAGGAGCCCTGCTGCCAGCCTGACCCAACACAGTCACGTTGATGAAAATGGAAAAGGATGGCTGGAGGTAATGATAATGTATTACAGATTGCAAAATCGCTAGAAGAGAGGGTTTTGAATGTTCTCATCCCAAAGAAATAATAAATGTTTAAGGTGCTGGATGTGTTAATTACCTTGATTCGATCATTACACAATGTACACTTGTACTGAAACATCACATTGTACCCCATAAGTATGTGCAATCATGTCAATCATAAATTTAAAAATTAAATTTTTTAAAAAAGGAAAAACAATCTTTCCACCACACAAATCATTTTCTGAGCCTGCACATTGGCATTCATCTTTCCTCCTACGCTTGTGGCCTTAAAGAGGAGGAGTATGATTGGCAGCGTGGCAGCCTCTCGATATTTACGGACCCTAGCGCTCACTCCTGGCTTCAATGGTGTTTTCAGCTGGAGCCTCTTCCTGCCATTCCTTTCCTCTCTGCATGGCTGCTGATGCTCATCCGGGAGCAGGAAATGAGTGCATTCTTGGGCTTTTCTGCAATTAGTCTTCTAAAGAGAAAAACAAAACCAAACAAGAAAGAAAACTGAAGGTTTAGGGATATTCTAAAAACTTTTACAGGCTGGCCATTGATGGAGGCCAGTAAAGAACGGTGGAGGCTGGCGACTCAGCCCCTCTGGATTGGGGGTTTGTGGGAATTTATCTCGGGCTCTCTTATGTTTATTCTACACTTCCAAATAACTTTGAAGGTTTATTTGGAGATTCCAATATGGGAGAGGAGGCCCTTGCAAACTCTTGAGTGTGCAGCGCCCCATTTTTTGGGGGGAGAAAATGGCTTTGGGAGAGCATGCAGAGGGGATAGGGCACTCAAATCTCCACCCCATAGATCACTGTGTCGCCTCTCAGGTAGGGGTGTGCTGAATAAATTAAAGGTATTATTGTAAGTTGGAAGTGTGCTAGAGCCAGGTTGCAGAGGCACACTCTCAAATCCGCCTTCAGTGAAACCACAGAAATATCCAAATACTACACATGGGGGCTTTTTTTCCCCTTCCCTGAGAATCAGCTGGTAATTTACTGGCATGTCACTGCATATAAACAAAATCCAAGAGGAATCAGTTAACCTGCTGGACTGAACAAGGAGTTTGGCATAAAACTGGCCAGATAAACAGATAAGGCTGATTGTGTTATGTCTCCCTTCCTTAATGGAAGCCTGATAGGAATGAGGCCCACGGTGACTCAGCAGTTAGTTCCCTTTACTGCGTAGCCTTGGAAGTAATGGAGTGGGCTTTCATGATTTTGCTTCTTTCTTCTTTTCCACTGAAATGGAGGCCTTCAGTTGCAAAGTTCTCCATTGTCAGATTACGCTGCCTGATGGGCATGAAAAGTCCACAAAAGAGAATTTTCTGATGTGAGAATGGAGGGTGTTGCCTGCAACTACCCCAGATCCCTGCGGTGGCAGTTTAAGGTAGGTGGGAAGGCTCTAGACGTGTGGGACTGGAGTCTTGTGTTCTTTGCCTCAAAGCTGAATTCTGACTCCTCTTTCAGCCTTATACCAATTTCCCTTAAGTGACCGTCTGCACATAGAGGTGCTATTGAGGCTGGAGAGTGGTGAGTTCAGCTTCAAGGTGCACTCTAGAGATAGGGCTTGGGCCTGTGTGTATTTTTGGAATTGCTCTCCAAACATTCCAAAAACTGAAAGCTTCGAGGTCCACTCCACCAGCTGACCTAGTTTTTCAGCTAAAAGACCATGGCCTGGCCTCCTAAAGTCGTATATCTATAGATTCCAGCCAGGTGGGACCCATGGTGCCCATTTTGTTAATTCCAAAGACACAGCATGGTGTAGGAGAAAAAGGATGGAATTTCAAATACAGAAGTTTGGAGTCAGACTTATGTTGAAGGCAAAATGAATCTTTTGTGTCAAAGTCAGAAGGGGCCGGGGGTTTACTGAGAAAGGGCACAAGGAGACGTTCTGAGTGATGGAAACATCTTTCCCCTTTTGGGGTGGTAGTTACACAAAGTGCATCCCTTTGTCAAAATTGATCAGACTGAATACTGAAGGTCTGTGTCTTATTGAATGTAAATTATACAGCAGTTTTTAAAAGGACAGATTCCAGTCCTGGCCCTGCCTCTTATTTACCATCTAGAGAAGTTCCTCACCTCTTTGAGACTCAGTTTCTTTTTCTATTAAATGGAAGTAGTGCTTATACCCATGCTTATACTCAATACGATCATGCAAGCAAAAGCGCTTTGTAAATGACAAAAAGCCTCGATAAGCGGATCACTCCTATCGTTATTCTTTCCATCCAGCCGCCTCCTGGAGCAGATTGTTAAGCTGATGCGAGTCTGGGCTCTGCCTCACCACTTGTCTCAGAGGTTAGTGTTTATCTATTTTAAGGAGACTCTGGAGATATCAAAATGCTGCAGAAAAGCAAATGGAATATGGATTTGCCAGGGAGAGGAGGGCGGGCTGGAAGGGAACAGCTGGGGAGAAAACTATCAATCCAGCTCAGCAGCAGGGCCGGGCGGGTGCCGAAATGGAGTCGCTAAATGCCTGAGAGAGAATCGTGACCAGTAAAAGCAGCATGAGTTTAAAAAAAAAAAAGAAAAAAAATCACATCTTGCCGAACAAATTGGGTCACATTCATGATGGAGTTAGTCACTGAGAGCACAGATGGGAAAGCAGTTTTAGGGCAAAATGCAAAAGATTTGGGGACCCTGGTGACTCAGCTGAACGTGGCAAAGGTCACTTGGGCATCCTGGCCTGGGCTGGGGGTTAAATAAAGGCTCTTCCTGTGGCTCCTGCTGTGAGTCTTATCATACTTTTGATTTGAACTTGAACTTGATCTTTACTCCTAATGGCCACCACAAGCTACTTTTTTTTTTTTTTTTTTTTTGAGACAGGGTCTTGCTCTGTTGCCCTGGTGTTGCCCAAGCTCACTGCAACCTCAACTTCCTGGGCTCAAGCAATCCTCCAACCTCAGTCTCTCAAGCGGCTGGGACTACAGGCATGCACCACCATGCCTGGCTAATTTTTAAAATTTATTTTGTAGAGACGAGGGTCTCACTATATTGCTCAAGCTGGTCTTGAGGCTCACCTCAGCCTCCCAAACAACTGGGATTGCAGACATGAGACACTGAGTCTGGCCTACAAACTACCTTTACATCAGAATCAAGAGCACAGTGTACAGTTTTAAAAAGGAAAATCATAGAGAGAAGTCAAGTTAAGTGGAGGCTGAGAAAGCAGGAAGGCCATTCTGTAGTTCACCCTCGGAATTCAAGTGGGAGAGGACAACCGCCTAAACCCAGCCAAGCTTCTTCGTGATTATGCTGGCAAAGTCCTTTCAGTTTAGAAACTTTTAACCCCAGAGCCAATGTCCTTTGACACTAAAATCCTATAAGATGATTGAACAGTGTCAAAATAAATGTTAAATTGTTAGCCACTAAAATAAAGTTAAAATAGGGAAAGATTTAACAGGAAGAAATAATCTAAAAGAGAAATCTGATGTGCGAAATTTTGATTTTATCCTCATTATAAACATTTTGGTGCTTTCTGCTAGCTATTTCTGCCAAGAAATGTGATATGTTGAAAAAGAGGAGGAAATGTACTCTCTCTAGATGCTGTGACTATAAAAGTCTGTTTAAAATGATAGGAATCAGTCAAGGTTCTCCCAGTGACCAAGGTTGTAAAATTAGAATCTTAAACTACCAAATCAGGGTGAGAAAAAAATTTTCAACAAAAGCAACATTTAAATTTATTTTATTATAATTTCCATTATCCCACAATGTTTGCATTTTCTCTGGACACATCAAATTTCTTTCTTTTTCTTTTCTTTCTTTCTTTCTTTTTTTTTTTTTTTGAGACGGAGTCTCACTCTGTTGCCGGGTTGCAGTGACGTGGTGCGATCTCAGCTCACTGCAACCTCCACCTCCCAGGTTCAAGCGATTTACCTGCCTCAGCCACTCAAGTAACTGGGACTACAGGTGTGCGCCACCATACCCAGCTAATTTTTGTATTTTTAGTAGAGACGGGGTTCACCGTGTTGGCCAGGATGATCTCAATCTCTTGACCTCATTATCCGCCCGCCTCAGCCTCCCAAAGTGTGGGGATTACAGGCGTGAGCCACCGCACCCAGCCCACACATGGGATTTCTTAAGTTGTTAATTCCCTACCCTAAAATACATCCTTATTGGAGCAAAGCAGGGGACTGAGGAGAGATCAGGTGGGGTGAGGGGCACCGTGAGAAGGCAGGGCATCTTTCCCGCGACCTCTGAATCTGAGAGATGCTGACGGTGCATCAGTATATCAATGTCAATACCCAGGATGCTGAATGAAGCCTAGGTTGGAGGATCCTTCCAAACCCAGGTCTTTGTCTTGCTGGAAATCTTGTGCCTCTTCTCCTCTGCCATCCTGTCTCCCACCTCAACACTTGAGCTCTACTGCTCTGTTAATTAGCACATGGAGTCTGAGATTGGGCCTTTTGCATCCAGGCACTGGCTTCATATGGTTCCTCAACCCCCTTTGTTCCCAGGTCTTCAGGAACCATGTAAGATGCAACCTCCCCCCTAGGTCTCTTGTGGGCAGGGACTCCTTAGAGGATTTCTCCTTCCAATGCCCTGGCTTTGGGGCTGACAGACTTGGGTTTGACTTGGCTCCATCCCTTATTGGCCAGTTAGATAAGCTCTGTGAACGCTGACTTCCCTGCCTTGGAGGGTGGCACACTGACAGAAGTAGCCGATACCCATGAGCTGTAATTAGCTCAACACTTTTGGCAGTGACTTGATGGGAGAGCTCGATGGCAAGTTGCCCAATAGGTGACAGGAAACCAATGGATGTGAACTAAGAAGAGGGATCCATGATCCCCAGTCATAAATTTGGGACATGACTGGGATAGCCCAAAACAAAGGCTGTGTTCTTGTCCCAGATCAGCTTTCCAAGTGCAGGACTGGGACGTGTGGTTCAATGGCAACACGTGTGAAATAGATTTAGAAGTGTCTGGTCCACAGTGACCTCCTAATGGGGACTGGGACAGGACAGGGTAATCTGGGTCAGGGTTCTTCAGTTGCAAGCAAACTGAAACGGACTCTAAATCAGAAAAGGGATCTTTCTGGAAAGGTATGGAATAGTTGTTGGATGCTGAAGAACCAAGCTGCAGGAAAAAGAGAACACCCCCCACAACCCCACCCCTGAAATGGGGTTATCAGAACTTCTCTGTTCCACTGTTTTCTGTTACATTTTTCTTCCAAATGCTCAAGACTCTGGAAGCCAGAATCTTAAGGCTTAAACTGGGTTCTGTGTGCTACTGTCCTCTGAGTAGGAGGGGCAGGGAGAACCAAGACTTCTCAGAATAAGGAAGAACAGCTCTCTAATGAGAAATCACAGTGCTTTTACCCAAAAAAGTGGGAGGGTTTGCTTGACAGGCCAAAGCAAGGGATCTCCGGGATGCTGATTTTAGAAAGGTGCACAGAAAAACAGGGAGATGATTCCACCCTACTCCTTCCTGGCCGAGTTCTGGGCAACACACTTTCAGAGACTTTTGACTGCTTGGAGTGAGAAGGGATAGGTTCAAAAGCAGCAATTAAGATGCAAATATCTGAAAAACATGACATATAAGCAAGGTTGAGAGAACTGAAGTGATCAAACCCAAAGGAGAGAAGACCAAGTTGGCATCTAATTGCAGCCTTCAGGCTCTGTGAGGCTTAGAATGTAGATGGAGGACAATTTTGCATTCACTGGTTGTGAAAGGAAGACCTAAAATCAAGAAACAGGAACAGATTAAAGAGGAACAGATTTTATCCCATTATATGTAAGATCTTTCCAAGGAATGAAATGAACTGGGTTGTAAGGTAGGGAACTTCCCATTTCTGGGAAACCTCGGATGCTCAGTTACCTTTAGCAATAAGCGCATTCCTCACAATGGATCACAACACACTTGGGCGCCATGGCCCTGCTGCTGAAGATGCTGACCTAATCATGGTAATTCAGGGCCAGAAACTGCACTCCCTATTTGGCCACATCTGCCAAAGAGCACATTTCTGAATGTGGAGTTCCAGACATGGGCAATGTGAGTGATGATGGGGAGAACAGGAAAGAACTCCTCTGTACCCCTAACCACCTGCCCAGGCCCTACGTGGTGCAAGCCTGCCATGCGGAGTGCCTTACATGACAGCACTGCTTCACCAGAGGACTTCTTTTGGGATGTGTTGCATTGACCCACTTCCTTCTACACACCTTCCAATGGGAATGACATGACGTCTTCCTTTACCTCTGAACAATATTCAATAAATACATATTGAGTCTCTACAGTGATACCTATGATTAGGAAACTAGAGTATACATATTTCAAAACATCATGTTGTACATGATAAATATATATTTTTTTGTCACTTAAAACATAAAAATAAATAAAAAGGAAGCTAGGGTATCAGAGTTGGAAGGGCCTTTTGTGATCAGTGTGTTTACAGTGCTTGAATATACCCAGTGGCATTTCTGACAAGTTGATTTGTAGCCTGGTCTTGATTCCTTTCTGAAACTCACAACCTCCTAAAGTCGTCCACATACCACTTGAGTGGTTTTGGTTGCTAAAATTCTTTCTTACTGTAGGCTAAAATCTACTCACAATTTGGCCATATCTATCAAAATTTAAAATGCACAAACCCTTTGACCAGCATTCTACCTCTGACAATTTATCCTACAGATATAGTCCCCATGGGCTCAAAGACATGTGTACAAAGATATTCATTGCAGCAAAGGGCTGGAAATAATTTAAACGTTTGACCGGGGACTGATGAAATAAATTATGGAATATCTGTACTATGAGAAACCAAGAGGCTGTTAAAAAAATTAAACCATTCTCATGCACTGACAGGGAAAAATCTAAAATTCATGTCGATTTGTGAGAAAGAGAGACTAGCTAAATAATATGTAGAGAATAATTCCATTTATGTGATAGAAAAAAAGGAGATACATGAACATACGCTTAGGTTGTATATGGAAAGATATTGGTAACTGTTTGCCTCTGCTGAGGGCATCTGTGGTAACTGGTTTCAGGGGTGGAAGGAAGAATTTTAGGTTTATACATGTATGTATATACGTATGTGTGTTTATATGCATGTATGTGTGTGTGTGTATATATATATATATTTTTTTCTTTTTTTAGACAGAGTCTTGCTCTGTCACCTAGGCTGGAGTGCAGTGGTGCCATCACAGCTCACTGCAGCCTCGACCTCCCCGTGCTCAAGTGATCCTCACACCTCAGCCTCCCGAGTAGCCGCGATCACAAGTATGTGCCACCACATGCTGCTAATTTTTGTAGTTTTTGTAGAGATGAGGTTTTGCCATGTGGCCCAGGCTAGTCTCAAACTCCTGGGCTCAAGTGATCTGCCCAGTTCAGCCTCCCAAAGTGCTGAGATTACAGGCATGAGCCACCATGCCTGGCTGCGTGTATATATTGCAATTTTTTTTTTTTTAACTCTGTGCATGTATCATTTTAAAAACTTCTTTAAAAACCTGCCGTCTTAAATCCTAGCACAGGGTCCACCTGGTTCTACCTCATAAAGCTGTGCAGAACACCTCTAATCTTTCTTCTGTAACAGCATGCATTTGCAAACTTCTACCATGGGCCCTTTATATCCCGTCTTCTACAGGTTAAACAAACACAGTTCTTTACATCAATGCTTCCGTCCCTGGCCATCTGGTCTCCTGTCCCCTCCAGACCCAAAACCATGGGCTGGGCTGCAGCAAAATGAGGGTGTACTCAGTGCACTGAGGCCCATGTACCATGAGAGATGGTGAGTGATATCAGGGAGAGGAACATCTGCAGAGGCAGCGCTGCCCTGGGAGGCCCTGTCCCAAGCAGTAGTGGGAGCATCTGGAAGGGGTGAATAGGGAGTGTGGGCTGGGCTGGGCTGGGCTGGGATGGAAGGGAGGCTAAGCATGCAGACACCAGCTTTGCTAAGCTGCGCAGTGCATAAGGGTCCCCCTAAAGGGACTAGTTTGCTAGAATAAAAGAGAAAAACCAGAATCTCCTACATTTACATGGCTACTTTATAATTCTCAAGGCATTTTTTACAAACTGCATTACATTTGTTACTTATCACAGTGCTTTAAGTTAGGTATTCAGGAATTATTTTTCTCATTTCAGGAGAAAGCCTTGGCCGGAGTTTAAGGATTTGGGGCTGGGCACAGTGGCTCGTGCCTGTAATCCTAGCACTTTGGGAGGCCAAGGCAGGAGGATCACTTGAGGCCAAGAGTTTGAGACCAGCCTGAGCAACATAGTGAGACTCTCATTTCTAAAAATAAAAAAGTTAGGCCTGGCACAGTGGCTCATGCCTATAATCCCAGCAGTTTGGGAAGCTGAATCAAGAGGATCACTTGAGGCCAGGAGTTTGAGCCCAGCCTGGTCAACATAGTGAGACTTTATCACTACAAAAAGTTTTTATTTATTTATTTTTTTTGAGACAGGGTCTCGATTCATCACTTAGGCTGGAGTGGAGTGTGCAATCACAGCTCACAGCTCACAGCAGCCTCGACCTCCTGGGTTCAAGCCATCCTCCCACCTCAGCCTCCTGAGTAGCTGGGACTACAGGCATACACCACCATGTCTGGCTAAATTTTTGTACTTTTTGTAGAGACAGGGTTTCGCCATGTTGCCCAGGCTGGTCTCTAGCTCCTGGGCTCAAGCAATCTGCCTGCCTCAGCCTCCCAGAGGCCTGGAACTACAGGCGTGAGCCGCTGCTCTTGGCCATTTTTAATTTAAGAGACAGAGTCTCGCTTTGTTACCCAGGCTGGAGTGCAGTACCCTTACTGCAGCCTTGAACTACTGGGCTCAAGCCATCCTCCCACCTCAGCCTCTCAAGTAGCTGGGACTACAGGTGTGTGTCCCCATGCCCAGCTGACTGAGCTACCACCATGCCACTGCATGCCAGTTGTGACAAAGTGAGACCCTGTCTCTAAAAAATAATTAAATAAAATGTTTAATGGTGTTCTGGGTCCTTACTTCATGGACACTTTCCACTATGCAGCCTGCCACTGATTTCATGTAAAGGCAAAACCAAAAGAGATCCTTTGCTAAATTATCCCAAGTCTTACAATATGGAGATTGGAAAATGTTTTCTATCGAGATAGAGGAAACTGACTGGATGATTTTGCCAGATCATCATGCACATTGGTGAGTTCCAAGGCCCCACCTCCACCCCATAAGACCCTAGGTTAGGCAGGAACACTGGGGGACCCCTTTGTCTCCATTGGCCACACCTGGGCCTGCCTCTACCAAAGGGTAAGAGACCAGTTAAGCTTCTCATGTTGGGGAAAGACAAGTCCCCTCCCTATGGCTGCATAGAAGGAGTTCAGTGTATCCTTAGGGCCGGGGGCATCTGTGGCCTGGGCTTTATACCTTGAGGAATCTCTGTTCTGCAGGGTCTAGATGCTCAGAGTGGCAGCTGAGAGGCAGGAAGGAAGAGGTAAAGAGGGCCACTGGCAGCCCTGGTTACAAAATTCGGGTATCAGGTGCCCCCAGCCAGCCTAGGATATGCAAGTCGCCCAGGCCTGGCTCTTCCTGCAGTCGGCACACGTTCGGGAGGCTGCTTGTCAGCCTCTAGTAACTTTATTTTCCTCTTTTAGGATGCTCTCCCTGGCCATTTTAACCTAATGGATCAGGATAAACAAGTTAGGGAAGCAGAAGGAAGAGCACATAGGAGCATTTCCTTGCAGGCTGGAGTACTAGGGTCCCCCAGGGAATAAGAAAAGGGCTTCTCTTCTTGCTCATAGGAAAATACATTTTACTAGATGAGATACTCTCTGGTGTTCTGAACTGGCAAACACTGGGCCAGGGAGAAAGGAGGCCAGGAGAGGAAGGTGGAGAGGTTTCTGCTGGAATTTGGGCCTTCGGGCCACTCGCTGATAGATCTGGTTGCAGGGGGCGATATTTAAAATGTTTAACAGGCGGGCCTGACCCATCAGACCTGTCACCGCAGGGCCTCCAGAGTCAGCTCCCGGAGGCCCCCTGCTGGGCCATATATGCCCCCGTTTGGTTGCAGGATGGTGGGGAGGTGTGGGGGCTCCAGGGGAGGGGCCAGGGCCTGGGCTGCTTACCACCCAGTGTGGAAGCATTTCTATGTGAGCACAAGGTGTGGCTGCAGCCCTTCACAGCAGCTGAATGTCAGCCCTGGTGGGGTTAGCAGCCGGTGGTCCTGCTGGCCTCTCAGGTTGCCTGGCACTCCCTATATGCTTATTCCAAATCATGCCAGCCTCATGCAGATCCCGGGCAGAATTGCAAACAAAAGACTTGTTTGCAGAATTGCAAAATTCTCCCATCCAGAGCCAGGCCATGCACAAATGTCCCAGTGTATGGTGGGGTGGCCTCTTTGCCTGCAGTAACTCGTGCAATTCTGACATGAGGAGCAAGCAGTTCTTGCTTTATCAGGAGGAATCTTCCTCTCCCTTTATCACCCTCTGGTTCCAGGATACCGTGTACATTTCCGCCCCCATCGCCGTGCAGCTGGAACACACTGTCAGAATGAATGCCTCATTGCATCAGGAATCCAGAGCTCTTCGTCTGTAAAACAGGAGGGGTGGGCTTCCAGAACCACTAACAGATGTCTAAGTGAAAAAAACTCCACACCTGCCCAACCGCCAGCTTCCTTTCTCATTCTTGAGGGCTCCCAGTAACAAGACATTAGAAAAATGTGTTGTGCGAGCTGCGGTTTCCACTTTCCCTGAAGCCTAGCTATCTAATCTCCTGGGAGTGAGAAATCAGGCAGCGAATTGTCTAAGATGGGAGGCAAGAGGTGCCATAGGAGGCCATGTACATGTTGCCCAGGAGGCCTGGTCGCCCAGGACGCCTGCTTCTGCAAACCCAATCGGGGATGACAGCATGGGCTGGCCAAGGCGGGTCTTGACAGAGAAGCCCATGAAAATCCCTGCTGGTTGTCTTAGTCTGAAAACTTCTGCTCTGATGACGCTTGACATGGCAAAGCTTTATTTCATTATTTTTATGTTTATACATATTATTTTTTGCCCTTTATTTTTCCTTTTTGAGACAGAGTCTCCCTCTTTCTCCCAGGTTGGAATGCAGTGGCGCAATCTCCACTCACTGCAACCTCCACTTCCCAGGTTCAAGCAATTCTTGTGTCTCAGTCTCCTGAGTAGCTGGGGTTACAGGCGCACACCACTACACTATTTTTTTTTTTTTTTTTTTTTTGGTATTTTTAGTAGAGATAGGTTTCACCATGTTTGCCAGGCTGGTCTGGAACTCCCGGCCTCAAGTTATCTGCCCTCCTCAGCCTCCCAAAATGCTGGGATTACAGGCGTGAGCCACTGTGCCCGGCCTATTTCTACATATTATTTTTACTTCTAATCCACATATATAGTTTTAAAATTCAGATATTTACAAGCTTTAGTAAAAATTCATAGCCTTGTAGCCTCCTGCCCCCCCATTCTTGCCTTCAGGTACTGCTGCCCAGAGTCAGCCACTGTCTATGACTCCTGGTATTTGCAGCAATCATTCCAAATGATGTGCTTATAGAGTTGTATCTTTCTAAAGCTTAGAAATGATCTCCTGACTTACTGGAAGATGAAGAGGTAGCTTTTTCCTCCTCCCCCCAGGACGTGCTTCTTCCTCACTAAGGAACAGAGTTCCTGTATTTCTATCTATTTTACATGCATGCCTTTGATTATAAGGTTTGCCATTATTTTATGAGGCACTACAAAAGAAGAGAAGTGCAAGTAAAGTAACTATGATGCAACACTTTCTCATCACATTGACTAAAAAATGTGTTCTGATTTCCAAAATGTTAAAATGGGAAAAATATGTGCATTTTAGAATATTACAAATTACAGGACAGCACATCTTCTGATAAAATCCCTGGTCAGTATTTGTATTATTTTGCCTATGTAAATATTGTCTGCAGTGTACTGCGTTTACATTTCTGCTCATGTATATCTTTTCTCCTCGGGAGTTAATAATTGCCTTGTCTTTTTTAATTCATAGGGTTTTTTTTTTTTTTGGCATTTATGAGTAATTCATTCCCAAGCTCTCCTCAGTGTGGTGAACACACTAGTAATCTTGCCATTGCATTTCTCTTCCTGTGCAGACGTCCTCCGGGAACTATCCTTCTGCTTCAAACTCAGGCTGGTTTCTCCTCAGGTCCACTATAGTTACAGCCCAGATTTCAGCGTCCTCCTGGAAATCATTTTTCCTTCTCTCCTGTGTTAGATTCCCTGTTTCCTAGAGCTTGTATCTTTTTCTTGGTTAATTCTTTGTTTTGTTGGAGCACATCCTCTAGTAGCTTCCTGAGAAAGGGTTCATGGCAGCTAAATATTTGGAGACCTTGTAAATGTCCCTTGCACTTGTCTGGGCATAGAACTCAACTTCAGGAATATTTTTTCTTCATGTTAGAGGCTTTCTTCAAATGTCTGGTGATTTACTGTTGACACTCAAGTGACGTGTGCATGAGTGAAGCTTGTCAACCAATGGGCTCATTGTCAGGTGATTCAGTGGAGAGCTGGATGTTTCATTAAGGAACCCACTAGGTCATTCTCTATAAGTCTTTTTTCTCCAACTGGTCAGCTTCCCTAATGATGAATCCTCGAATCTTCTGCCCATGGGGTAGAACCCTCATTGCCAACATTCTGGGATCTAAGAGGGGGAAGGAGGCTGTGGTGTCCTATAATCCAGAGTGCAGTTGGGTGCAGTGGCTCACTCAGGAGTCCCAGCCACTTGGGAGGCTGAGGCAGGAGGTCTGCTTGAGACCAGGAGTTCAAGACCAGCCTGGGCAACATAGTGAGACCCCATCTCTACAAAATACGAAAATTAGCTGGGCATGTTGGCATGTTCCCATGGTCCCAGCTACTCAGGAATTTGAGGCTGCGGGGAGCCACGATCATGCCATTGTACTTTAGCCTGGGTGACAGCAAGACAAAACAACAATGACGATAAAGCACGGAGTGTCTTTTAATTCCGTTTCTATGGTGTGTCACACGCCGGGTCTTGGTTGTGCCTGGTGTCCTTGAGTCCAGTCCCTCTCGGATTCAACCTTTCCTCCCGAGGCTGGGCAGGGACAGTGGTGTGACAGTGCAGCTGTGCATAGGCCTACATAGGGATGGAAATAAATGTGGAGTCTTATAGCTCCATGTACAAATTCTCAACACATTTGTTTTCAGCCCACCTGCACCCATGTTCTGCACAGAGGGAACCAATTTCTGCTTTTTCTAAGATTCTGTGGTGTAGCTGATTTGCTTCTTACAGATTTCTCTCCCTTTGAGCTTAGGTTGCAGCTTTATCTTCTCTGCTAAATTAGTTGCTTCTCATTCATCTGCTTTTTTTTTTTATTTCCATAACATTGTTAACATTTTTATCTACTGTTGTCTCTGTTCCTATTTTCTCTTTATACTTATGGGTCTAGGCAGTGGTGTGCTGGTAAGTGCTTGATAAAACAGCTCTTGCGGGGAAGGGAGGAACCCTGAGTGGTAGCAGTCCAATTTCTGTGGTGTAAATATTCCTAATGTGGCTAATTTCAAGGCACCAAAAGGACATCCCTGAACATGCAGTTGGAAAGAAAAGCAAAGTAGCACACCATTATCCAGATGGTTTCTGGCTTAAAATGGTTCCACTTAACGATTTTTTGACTTTACGATGGTGTGAAAGTGATACACATTCAGTAGAAACAGTACTTCAGTACAGTATTCAGGAAATCACATGAGATATTCAACACTTTATTATAAAATAAGCTATACGTTACATGATTTTGCCCAACTGTAGGCTAATGTAAGTGCTCTGAGCTCGTTTAAGGTAGGTTAGGCTAAGCTCTGATGTTCAGTAGGTTAGGTGTATTAAATGACTTTCTGGTTTATGATACTTTCTTTCTTTCTTTTTCTTTTTTTTTTTTTTTTTGAGATGGAGTCTTGCTCTGTCACTCAGGCTGGAGTACAGTGGCACAATCTCAGCTCAAATGCAACCTCTGCCTCCTGGGTTCAAGCAATTCTTCTGTCTCAGCCTCCTGAGTAGCTGGGACTACAGGCACCTGCCACCATACACAGATAATTTTTGTATTTTTAGTAGAGACAGGGTTTCACCATAGTAGTCAGGCTGGTCTTGAACTCCTGACCTCAGGTGATCCACATGCCTCAGCCTCTCAAGGTGCCAGGATTACAGGTGTGAGCCACCGTGCCTGGCCTGGTTTATGATCTTTTCAACTTAAAATGAGTTTATCATAAGTCAAGAAGCATCTGTGTAATATTTCCACTATACACATACAGTAGACATGAACAATAGAAAAAAGTAACCTTAAGAGAATATATAATTATAAAAATATTATGAAGTGACGAGTATTGAGATTTTATTAGCTTTATTTATTTATTTATTTACTGAGATGGAGTTTCTCTCTGTCGTCCAGGCTGGAATGCAGTGGTGCGATCTCGGCTCACTGCAACCTCTGCCTCCCAGTTCAAGCGATCCTCGTGCCTCAGCCTCCTGAGTAGCTGAGATTACAGGCACCTGCCACCATGCCTGGCTAATTTTTGTATTTGTAGTAGAGACAGGATTTCACTATGTTGGCCAGGCTGGTCTCAAACTCCTGACCTCAGGTGACCCGCCTGTCTTGGCTTCCCAAAATGCTGGGATTATAGGTGTGAGCCACCCCACCTGGCCTTTATTAACTTTATTTTTAACATAATTTTAAAAATTGTAAGCCTATACAGTTTAGTTTTTTAAATAGCTATGTGCAACAACCAGCTAGCAAAATTCCCGACAATTTAACAATCAGTTCTCAAAAGTCAGTGTCAGCTGGCCCTAATGCACCACTGAGTTTATGCCTTTGTAATGGTTTTCTTATCTTTTCAGTATATTAATCAATTGTTTTTAAATTTATTTCTCTATAGCATACAGTTACCTCTCCTCACATATTGTTAACACATTGGTAATCCATCCAAAATTCACATTGTCTAATTGTAGCTCTCAAACTGTGGTGAAGAAAAGATGACACCTCAGTAGAATGAGATGATGCTTGACATGAGGGATAAATAAAAGGGTTAAAATAAAATGAGGTGAGGGGAGGTCATCAGTATCCACAGGTGGTCAAAGAAAAGTGGTGTCAACACGATTGGGCAGAAGGAGACTGATACAGTTACTGCCTTGTCCCAGCAACACAATTGCTAGCAATACAGTTGCTAGGACAAGGTGGTAACAGTACCAAACTTCCAGTTCCCATTTAATCTCAGCTTTTTTTGTTTTTTGGGATTTTTGTTTGAGATGGAGTTTCACTCTGTCGCACAGGCTGGGCACGATCTCGGCCCACTGCAACCTCCACCTTCTGGGTTCAAGCAATTGTCCTGTCTCAGCCTCCCAAGTAGCTGGGAATAAAGGCGCCTGCCACCACACCGGGCTAGTTTTTGTATCTTTCATAGAGACAGGGTTTCACCATGTTGGCCAGGCTGGTCTCAAACTCCTGACTTCAGGTAATCCACCCACCTCAGCTTCCCAAAGTGATAGGATTACAGGTGTGACCCACTGTGCCTGGCTAATCTCAGTTTTTAAGAAGATACCATTTAATACATCTGTGTTTCTTAGCAATTCTCTGAAGTGCTTCCAAGCAACATCTTACTCTAAACATATATGACCATGAAGTGTCTGTATAATAAGACCAAGTGCCTACATAGAGCCCTTCATGAGATGAGCTCAAAGCATTTTACCAACAGTACCTCGTTAAGTCTTACCAAACCTCTGTGGGAATTGAGGGGGAACATCATTATTTCTGTTTTACTGATGGATAAAGCAGAGGCCTTAAAGCAAACCAACAGTAGCTGAGGCCAACTTGTTTGTCTGCAAATCCAATGTTCTATCTTTTCATGACAACACAATCTTGAACACCAAGTTATATTTTCTGCCTCTATATAGCTACGTGGAGGGTACAGTTTTATCTGAAATATCAATGAATTATTTGAAGTCCTGAATTGTATGATTCTGGTTTTTACCTTTGTTGACCCCCTCACACCTTCTCGCCTGTGTGATTTGCTAGCATCTTATGGTGTTAATACCAAAGACCTACCTAGTTACTTTTAATTGCAATTAAAGTGATTAAAAGTAATTGCACAGCCAGGCACGGTGGCTCACGCCTGTAATCCCAGCACTTTGGGTGGCTGAGGTGGGTGGATCACCTGAGGTCAGCAGTTCGAAACCAGCCTGGCCAACATGGCGAAACCCCATCTCTACTAAAAATACAAAAATTAGCCGGGTGTGGTGGCAGGCACCTGTAATCCCAGCTACTCGGGAGGCTGAGGCATGAGAATCACTTGAACTCAGGAGGTGGAGGTTACAGTGAGCCGAGATCACACCATTGCACTGCAGCCTGGGCAACAGAGTGAGACTCCATCTCAAAAAAAACCCAATAAATAATAAATAAATAAATGTAATTACACAAACCACGATTACTTTTGCACCAACCTAATTATCCAACATAACTCCAGTCTGGCTGTAGAAATAGGGGAGTGTTGAAACCAGAGGGCTGCACCATTCGGGTACAAAGGAGAAGATCAGGTACTGTGGTTTGGTCTCTGTGTTGAGCAGATAACAAAGCTTTAATAATTGCCCAAATAGACAATGGACATTTTGAGCATTTATTATGTGCAAGATATGAAATTTAGTATTCTATACTTATTGGCACATTTAAATTATTTTCACAATGACAATTTGTGGTTGGTATTAGCATTATCCCTGTTTTTCAGATAAAGTAAAGCCTACAGGGTCTGAGTAAGTTTCACAAAGACACAGCTAGTGAGTGGTTTGAACCAAAGGCTGTCCAGCTCTAGGTCCATGTGCTTTTAGGGGCTATTGTCTGCCTTTCTGCTCCATCTTTTAATAACACAGCTGGCCTCTTGGCTATGGGAATTAGTGTAGGGATGGACCTGGCACCCAGCAGAGTCCTAAACCAGGGTTCTCCTAGCTGGACCTAGCAGAAGAACCCTTTCTTCCTTGGTCACAGAGTCATTCGGCTGTTTCCCCGGTAAGGTGGGCTGCCATGTCTACTGCTCTGTGAAGAAAGCCCTCTGTAGGAGGAGAGAATGAAATCTACATGCAAAGAGAAAAGCAGAGATTATGATGGGGAGGCTGGGTGTGGTGGTTCACGCCTGTAATCTCAGCACTTTTAGAGGCCGAGGCGGGTGGATCACTTGAGGCCAGGAGTTTGAGAACAGCTTGGCCAACATGGTGAAACCTTGTCTCTTCAAAAAAATTAGCCAGGTGTGGTGGCACATGCCTGTAATCCCAGCTACTCAGGAGGCTGAGACATGAGAATCACTTGAATCCAGGAGGCAGAGGCTGCAGTGAGCTGAGATCGTGCCATTGCACTCCAGCCTGGGGGACAGAGTGAGACCGTGTCTCAAAAAAAAAAAAAAAAGGGAGAAGAATTCTGATGGCGTTCAAATCCTTGACTTCAATCCCTGACCCTGTTATCTAAACTAGCCTGAGTTCAGCTTTTGCCACTAGCCCACTGGGAGTGTCCTGAGTTACACAGGGTTTATATACCACACTATCCAGCTGCCACCTGTATCAAGTTGACCAGGATAGGGGAGTTCGCCACTGGGTCCCTTGGACTTACCCCAGTTGGTGTCAAATCTTTAAGCAGGTAAACTTTCCCCACAATACAACCCTTCTTCCACTTTTTTTTTTTTTTTTTTGAGTTGGGGGTCTTGCTCTGTCACCCAGGCTGGAATGCAGTGGCACAATCATAGCCTACTGCAGCCTTGAACTCCTGGGCTCACGTGATCCTCCCTCTTCAGCCTCCTGAGTAGCTGGGACAACAGGTGTACACCACCATGCCCCAACCCTTCTTCCACTTTGGAATATACTCTGTATCACACCCATAAGATTCTTCTCCATCTCTTGTTACTTGGCCAAGCCTCCTAATGCAAATACAGCACAGTATGTAGTGACAATGTGGACATCTTAGTGTTGACAGGCATTACTTCATATTCTGACCTCAAGAGGCAGGACAGCAGTCATGGAACTAACAATATGAACAATACGATGACATTCCTGACTTCAGCTGGGGGTCTCCTAACTGTATGATTTCACAGGCCAGATTATTACGATTTTTTTGGATGGGACAGGGGTGGGGAGAACATCATAGAGCTGCCAACTTTTTATTTTGTCAAACAGGGCTAGTAGACTTAAATTTATCCTTCCCCAACTCTTCATTCGTTTACTTAACAGGTCTAGAAAACACTCTTCTGTCATCCCTGAGGTTAAGCAACCTTACTAAGTCACTGGAAAAATATAAAAAGTCACATGAATTCTTCCACTCCACTTCACCTGATACCTTTGGTTACTGTCTTAGTCCATTTGTGTTGCTGTAAAGAAATATCTGAGGCTGGGTAATTTATGAAGAAAAGAGATTTATTTCGCTCACAGTTCTGCAGGCTGTACAAGAAGCATGGCACCAGCATCTGCCTCTGGGGAGGGCCTCAGGCTGCTTCTACTCATGGCAAGAGGCAAAGGGAAGCTGGTATGTAGAGACCACGGGGTGAGAGAGAGAGCAAGAGAGAGAGGAGAGGTACTGGGCTTTTTATTTAACAACTAGCACCTCCGGGAACTAAGAAAATGAGATCTCACTCGTTACCAAGAAGTCAGCACCAAGCCATTCATGAGGGATCTGCCTCATGACTCAAAATACTTCCTATTAAGCCCCACCTCCTAACAACACCACATTGGGGATCAAATTTCAATATGAAATTTATTGGGGTCAAATAAACCATAATCAAACTATAGCAATTACCTTCCAAAATTTAGAGGCAAGTATATGGAGACTGTCAGTTGACCTTGTTGGTAATAATTTTTTTAGTTAGCTGGAAGCTAGAAAGGGCAGAAAGAGGTGAAGAGGAAGCTGTGGCCATGGAGGTTAATGTGGTCTGGGCTTGGGGTAGGTGTGGTGAGTGGAGGTTGACAACAGGTACAGCTTGTACTGCAAGGGCTGGGTAGCACAGGAGCTAAGGGAGGTGGGAGGGCCCGCAGAGCCCAGGTCCTATGCTGGGTGTTCTCTGACGAGCTCTGGAATGAAGTAGGCATGGGCAGTTGTTAAGGCTTTAAATCCCTCGATGTTAGGCCTTGAGGGACTGTGATTTCTCCCCACATCACTTCCCCTTAACCAAGTAGTAAACTACATTTGGCCAAAATTGTGCCTTTAGGACAATAGCCAGAGCAAGACGCAGAGCAAATCTATGACAGCCACGCTAACACTGCACATAGGACCAGACACAGAGAAAAAGCCTTCTCAGTGTGCACAGTGTCTGCATCTAAGCAAAATAAGTCTATCAGAATCTCCTTGAAACTGCTGCCAGGGAAATCTGAAAGCTTCTAGTAAGCAAAGCACAATGAAATGGAAATGAGTTATAGAGTACCCATTACCTCTAGTTTAATGTGCAATTGATAAGCTCTTTTACTTACTGTACCACCTGTTTTATTTTAATGAAAGGAAAAATTAGCTATTAGAGCTTTCGTGGACTCATTTGCAACCATGGTCTCCCAACTGTATTTCTTTGAGATGGCTTTAAGTTCCTGAGTCCCCAGTTCTCTGACTGAGGTAGTGGTGGTGGGCTGTGTTGGGGAGGCAGGCCTTTGATTGGGGAATGTGGTCAGTGACCTTCAAGATGGCCTGTGATGGTCCCCACCTCCTGGTGTTCACCCTTGGTGTAGTCCCCTCCCACACTGTGGCAGAGTTGATCTATGTGACCAATAGGACACAGCAGAACCCAGTGGAGTTTATTTTTAAGATTAGTTCTCATGTTCTCCCTCTCTCTCTCTCTCCCCTCATCTATCAGATCACTAATTCTCAAGCCAGCTCTCATGTCAAAAGGACATGCAGACAGTCTATGGAGAGGCCATGGGGACTCTAGCCAACAGCCAGTGAGGGCCTGAAGCCATGAACACTGTGAGCACACTTGGAAGTGGCTCCTCCAGCCCCAGTCAAGCCTTCAGGTGACTGCAGCCCTGACTTGACAGCAACCTTGTGAGAGCCCCTGAGTCAGCCCCACCTTACTAGTTTCCAGACCCTCAGATGCTGTGAGAGGTCACACACATTTGCTGTGCCAAGCTACTGTGTTTGGGGGTAATTTGTTACACAGCAATAGAAAACGTAATACAGAGAGTACAGTACCCATTACCTCTAGTTTAATGTGCAATTGATAAGCTCTTTACTTACTGTACCACCTGTTTTATTTTAATGAAAGGAAAAATTAGCTACTAGAGCTTTTGTGGATTCATTTTGTGGATTCAGAGGGAAGATAGTATCTTCTTGACTCAAGAGGAGGCCCTCATTACTTCTGCTGGGAGAACTGTCCATGTCCCTGATTAGAGTGGTTGGGGCATTCTCACTTCCTTTGCTAGACTGGGGGTACTGGTGTTTTGAATTAGATACAGAAAGGATTTTGCCTACATTCATTGCTGCATGCCTGTAACCCTTGTCATTTGGAGGCATGGATCAGGAAGCGCACACAGAATCTAGAGGATGATGCAGATCAGTTCTTCTTGTCCCTGTTCCATCTTGGTGGGGGCGGCAGGAAACATTTTTGTGCACTTGTAAGCTTCTGAAACTGGTATAAATGAGAAAAAAATAAGCTTTCTTTCTTATTATAAACACAAAATACCTGTGGTGTAAAAGATAAAAAGGCAAAACTATTCACCACCAATGATTCCACCATCCAGATACAAATACTGTTAACAACTGGAGCATATCATACTCCTATCTAGGTATATATATTTTACACAAATAGACAATATAATAAGTGCTATTGTATGACTTTTTTCATTACATATATTATGAGGCTGTGTTTATGTGACTAATATATCTTGTCATCTGCAATTATAATTTTAAATGGTTGCATGATACCCATTATACAGATGTGTCATAATTTCTTAAGCCAGTCACCTTTTGTTGGATTAAATTTGTTTTTATTTTTGCTATTATAAGGATTGCTAAAAAGAATATGCTTGTAGCAAATATTTGTACCTACCTTGACTTTCCTTCTTATGATAAATTATTAAAATAGAATGGTTGGACTAAAGCATGTATACATTCTATTTTATTTATTTTATTTTATTTTATTTTTTGAGACGGAGTCTCTCTCTGTTGCCCAGGTTATAGTGCAGTCATGTGCTCTCAGCTCCGCTCAGCAACCTCTGCCTCCCAGATTCAAGCGATTCTCCTGCCTCAGCCTCCTGAGTAGCTGGGATTACCGGCGCCCACCATCATGCCTGGCTAATTTTATAATTTTAGTAGAGATGGGGTTTCGCCATGTTGGCCAGGCTGACCTCTAACTCTTGACCTCAGGTGATCCACCTGCCTCGATCTCCCAAAGTGCTGGGATTACAGGCGTGAGCCACCGTGCCCGGCCTAAAGCATATATACATTTTAAATGCATTCCCATATATTACCAAATTGCTTTCCAGAAAGTTTGTACCAGTCTATACTCATTGAAATTTATTAGTGTCTATTTCCTTGTACCCTTGCCAGCACTGAGTAATAATTTTAAAAAAATCTTTCTGGCCTTCTATTTATATGGGAAACATAGGGACTTTTCAAGAAGTCTAGCTTATATTCAAAATTTGGCAGCAGCTGGCCAGGCGCCATGGCTCACATCTGTAATCCCAGCACTTTGGGAGGCTGAGGCTGGAGGATCACTTGAGCCCAGAAGTTTGAGTCTAGCCCGGTCAACATAGTGGGTCCTTGTCTCTACAAAAAATACAAAAATTAGCTGGGTGTGTTGCTGTGCACCTGTAGTCCTAACTACTCAGGAGGTTGAATTGGGAGGATCCCTTGAGCCTGGGAGGTTGAGGCTGGAGTGAGCTATGATTGTACAACTGTATTCCAGCCTGAGCAACAGAGCAAGACCCTGTCAGAAAGAAAAGGTAAGAAGAGAAGAGAAAAGGTAGGAAGAAAGGAGAGGAGACGAGAGGAGAGGAGAGGAGGAAAGGAAGGAAGAAATTGGCAGCAGCTTTGAGGGTGAGCAAGCTCTACTATAATCCAATGCCCAGTCAAGGGTGAGAGAAATGAAGAAATGAATTGACTGTTTCTCCCAGATTATGCTTAGAAGATGACAGGAAGAATGTTGAAAATAATATGTATGTGTTCAGGATGTAAGAAAGATCAAACATAAAATATTCAAATCTCTTGGCCCTGTAATTATACTTCTGACAGTTTAGCTTAAATAAAAATTCCAGTGAAAGGGAAAAGGGTATATACACCAAAAAAGTTTATTAACAGTACTTATTTTTTTTTCTAAGACCTAGGTGAAAACAAAACATTACTTATATTAGGGAAACACTACAAACACTTAACAGAAGAGAAATAGTTTAAGAAACTGGGGTATATCAACTTGAAGGAATATTATACAGTTGTTAAATTCGTAAAGGTTATATAGAAACATGCAAATATGTTTATGATGTAATTAGTCATATAAAGGTTATATAGAAACATATATGTTTATGATATAATGTGAGGTATAAAAAGAAATACATACAATTTTTAGCATTTAAAAATATGTACTAGTTAAATCCACATCAACAAGACTGGAAGGAAATATAAAACTACTAATCGTTGTGAAAGAGAGTGGCATCCTATCTTTGAATTTTTTTTTTTCCTGCATTGATTGCTTTTATTTAGGAAAGACCTGATGTCATATGGAAGCCAAGAAGAAACTCTTGTCCAATTTGTAGGGAAAGCAGAGAGACAGAGAGACAGAGAGAGCTTCAGCTTGGTTTCAAAACAAGGATGGAAATACAGAACAACTTAAGTTACCAGCACACTTCATAACAATTAAAAATCATCTCGCTTCTTCCTTCTGCCAGCATAATTTTGGGCTCACAGGTGGATTGACCTGACCTCCAAGAAATGTGTGACAAGGACTCGCCCCTTACCTCCTCAGTTACAGCACGTTTGGTGTTTATGTGAAGCTGGTGGCTTTCAGTATCATGGTGAAAATTTTCTTTTAGGTCATAATTGCTTAACTACAATGAAAAGTATTGATTTTGGAAAAGGCTCATCTTCCCAAAGAGGTTCACTTCAGGAGGTGAATTAATGTGCTCCAGGGACAGTCATGGAAAATGCTTGGCCACACTGGCCGTGTTCTGTAGCCAGGCATTGCTGAACAGTGCAGAGAAAGGCGCTGGAGGCAGACAGAGCTGGGCTGGAAGCCAGGCTCCACTTCATACCAGAAGTATGAGCCCGGGCAAGTTATTGAACTTCTACAGCTTAGTTTACGTAGCTGTGAAAATGGATGAATAATGCCTGCTTGTGCTGTTGTTAGGGAGGGGACGCCTGCTTGGAGGCGAGTATGCAGTAGGTGCTCAGTGAGTGGTGATGAGATAAAAAGCAATGCTGCTCATTTTCTATATTTCTCTTTTCATACTTATTGAGATTACAATGGAGAGAAGGGACACCAGCTTAAAAGAAAACATTTGCAAATCTGTTTCTGATAAATGGAAATGAGAGCAACTGTAAACCACATGAGTCTGTCCAGGACAGAAGAGAGTGAGTGAAGGAAGGCTTTCTCAGCTGGGTGGTTATGTGAGCAGCGCCTCTACTGCCTCTCTGTTAAGTAATTTATCTGGACATCTTGATTGATAATGATGTGGCACTAAAAAACGAAAAGGCATCACAAAACTGCAAACCCTCTGCTTGCACTGTGGGAATAAAATTGGTCACGAAAAGGTGATGGCCACAAAAATCTGGTGGCGGGGTGGGGGGCGGGGGGTGCGGGGAATAGAAAATCTTACATAATATCTATTCCTGTGTTATTTTTTTAAAATCAGTTTATACAGTCTAATTTTTAAAAACAAAAGCTAGATTTTAGCTCTTCTCAATCCAGTGATTTGAAATCAGCCTGAAGAGAGCAAGGTGCATTGAATTTGCTATGACATCAACCGAATTTGTCAATTTCATTTGGATTTCCAGAATGTCCAGTGCTAGGAGACTCATAAGTTGGAGAGAAACGGCCTGATTTATAGAAACTGAGCGAGACTCCGGACCACCTGATGCAGAGAAACCTGTGACCTGAAAAAGTCTATTTGTGTTTCCTCTAGGAATCTCGGCCAAGAAGACAGGGACAAGCTCCCAACTCTGACTACCCCTTTTACAGGGAAAAAAAAAAAATCCCGTGCCTTCTTTGCAGCAAGTGACAAATCCTTGTCATATCGAGATGGCTTTTCCTCCTCCTCTTCAAACATCTTTTAGCAGCAACAGCAGCTCAAGTAACTGGAATTATTTCAGAGTTAAAATGCAGGCTTTGTAGACCCTCTTAGACAGACAGATTCAATTTCAAAGGAAACTTCTTTGGCTGGGTACTCAGTGAGTGTTACACAGGGATTTGGGGAGTTAATATTCACTGTTTCTGTTGTTGGAGAAAAGGAAAGCAGAGTTGCTCTTTCTCATTACTCTCCCCAACGCACATCTGTTTCCTCTCGTATCTTGGAATTAGGAAGATGGAGGAGACTTAAGTGGTGACCCACCTAGCCTCCTGATGCATGCTGGGCTCACTTTAAAACTCCCAAAACAGATGGCAGTTGATCACGGTTTTAAAGATCCCAGCATAGACTTTCTGCAGCCTCCCTTGTTAGCCACTATCAGCGCTTAACATTCTGTCATCTGAATAACTCCTTAAAAATGATAGCAATGGTAGTAGAAATTTAAAAGGAACCTCCCAAAAAACATGCAAAAGCTTACCACCCCAGTAAATCACCCGCAACAATGTCGCAACAGTTTAAATTTACTGCAGAGAGAGCTGAAGTTTAGGAGACACAGCTTTATAATATTTTTGAGAGATAGTTGAGTGCAAATGAGTCCTGTTCCTCTTGCATCAGGGCCTGCTCCACTGAGTCATCCTGCCTTCAGAAGCTTCCAGCTAAGTGGCAGGCCCCGGCCATAGGCTCCCTGTGTCCCCAGCCTCCAGAGAACACACAATGTTCTCATCGCCCTTAGCTCCATTCCAGAAGGGGCCTGCAGTTCTGCAGCTTATCAGGGGTCTACTGGGAAGTGAGATGTCACTGTCCCTTTCTGGCCCTGCATTGTCTGTGAGTGGCTCTCCTGGATTAAGAGTTGGCAAAGTATGGCCAGTGGCCAGGACTGGCCTGCTGCCTGTTTTTGTTTAACCCGTGAGCTAAGAATAGTTTTTACCTATTTTAAGTAGTTGAAAAAAAAATCAAGAGAAGAATACTATTTCGTGATATGTGAAAAATCACATGAAATTCAAATGTAAGTGTCCATAAATAAAGTCTTACTGGAAGACAGCCTTGCTCATTTATTTCTGTCTCATTCGCTACTGTCTGCGGCTGCCTTCACGCTACAATGGCAGTACTGAGTAGTTGTGACGGGCACTGTATGACAGCAAATCCTAAAGTATTTGCCATCTGGCCCTTCACAGAAAAAGTTTGCTGACCCTGGCTTTCGAGCCTCTCATCACTTTGGGATTCATCTCTTTACTTTCCCCAGAGTGAGGGAGGCAGTAACGTTCCTCGTGAGTGCTTAGTCCTTGCTCCCAAGGCAATAAACCCCCCAAAACCCCTCTCTTTCTGCAGTCTTCTTGTTGGCTTGATAGTGGTAGGGCTGGTTCAGCCAAGGTCACAGTTGGAGGGCAGGAAGGGGGTACAGCGAAGGACGACGGGGGTGTCTTCTCTAGTCCTGTTTGCAGCAATCTTTAGAATGCAAAATAATTAAGAAGAAACTGCTGTTTTTTGGCTGTGGGATGCAATTCGAATTCTGGAAAATTAGAATCAACAGAACGTGGGATGTGGGAGTCCAGGACAACTCCCCTGTTTTGGCTGTGTTTGGTGCCATGTGTGGAGGTGGGAGAGATGGGAGAAAGAAGAGGTTTGGGCAGGGGGAGGGAAGAATCAAGATTCTGCTTTGAATGGACGAAGGTTGTGGTTTGTTGAGAGGACAACTAGATAACTGGCCACTTGAAGATGGGATGGAAGTCTGAATCTGCAAGGAGTCACAGATGAATGGTATGGAAAGCTGTGGTAGTGGATGAGATCATACGAACGGTGGGTGCAGATGGAAACGAGAAGCCATCTAAGGACTCGTAATGGGCTCCTCAACACTTGGAAGTTGGGTAGAGGAAGAAGACCGCATGAGGGCAGGATCCTGAATGTTCCACTCACTGCTATATCCCTAGCACTGGTTACAGTGCTTGGCACACACTGCATGCTCAATAAATTATTTGTTGCCCATATAAGTGAACGTGAATTCCAATGGACTAGCATCTTCCACTCTCAACATAAACAAAAACAACAGCAACATTGCAATTCCCTATCTTCTCTTCCCTGATCTCTTTCTCATTCTGTCTCTCCTTCCCTTTTCCTCTGCCTTCCTGTTGCCTTCTCTGATATGAGTTAAATTTATCAGGGGTGTCCAGGTACCCGGCTATTCTTGAGCATTCCTTATCTGGCTACAACTCTGGGTGACACTGGTTACTAGTTTAGTGAACGAGCCAACATATATTCTTCTTTTTGTCTACATAGTTTTTTTTAATGTTAAACTTGTTCCTATTGCACCTCACTCTTTATGAACTGTCAGTTAATGCTATTTTGGCTCTATTCCTACCTTAGACGGATGCTTGACAACTTGGTGTCATCTGACCTTAATTAGGACATTCTTGGTTAAGACATTGTTGGTGTAAAGAGAGAGATGTTCAGTATGGGGTCCTCTCTGACATGAGTAAGGTCACAGAGGATGTCCCTAGGTGGAGGCTGAGTCATCGATAGGCTGCCTTTTGGGTGATATTATTCAGCTCTTTGTGCCTGCACTTAAGACAGAAGAGAGTCTCTCTTATTTCCTTCTATCTAATTGATGAAAAGTCATTTGTGATGGAATCTAAGGTCAGATTCCAGCACAAAGAGATTACATCTCTTGCTCATTCTTTATCTACATGGCCTATCTACCATCAAAGAAAATTAAATTGGTCTGCCAAGATCTGATCTACACATACCATTGAGATGAGTGCAAATTGATTGCTTGTTTTTGCTAGAGTCACTCTTGGCACAGAAGAGAAGTGGACTTCTATCAATCACGGCCTGCTTGGGAGTTGCGTGGGGTGGGGCGAGGGACGTTAGAGAGACTTGACAAGGCTGGAGGCCATGTTCAGCACCAGGCATTATGCCAAGCACTTGACAAGGATTTTCTCAACTAATATTCACAAATGCCCAGCGAGGTTGGTATGATTACATCTGCTTTCTAGTTAAGGAAACTGAGGCTGAGAAGGCAGAGTGTCATGTTTGAGGTCACACACTGGTAAGTGGCAGAAGCAGAACGGGAACTTCACATCCTTCACGCTGAGTCCAGCAGTTATAAATGTGTGGTATTCCAAACAGTATCGCATTGCAGGGAAGACAATCTTTAAACTCCCAAAGCTTCAAACATAACCAGGATACAGATCACTTCCAAATGTTTAGCTCTGCCCTCTAAAATCCAGCCGACATCTCCAACTGCCTTCTGGACATTTCTACTAGGACATCCTTCTAAAGGCTAGAGCACAATGTAGAAACTCAAATAACCATCTTCCCTTCAAAATCCTGGCCTCTGCTCCTCACTGTCCCGTTTCTTCATGGTATGTCATTCTGCCAAACTTCTCAAAACCTGAGTTATTCTGAATCTCTCCTCAGAGATTGTATCCCTAAAACATTTCTTATCTCCATCTCTATCTCCATTTTCACTATCACTACCATTTTGGCCTTTGTCACCTAGGGCTGGGATGACCAAAACAATGAAACATATCTTTCCCCAGCTGTCACAATTTAAACGCTGCTTCATCAAGTCAGAGCCTTAACTATGGGCCTCAATTTTGTCTGAATATTGGAATCACCTGGAGAGTTTAAGCAGCACTACAAATTCTCTATGAATGCTCTCCCCTTTCAGCATTACCAGGGTCATATAAGATGTGTTTGTATCTGGGAGACCAATGATGTCGTTGTAGGTTCTGGAGGTCAGACATAGTATCTAAGCATTAAGAAGGCACGGCCCTAGTCATACTCTTGTTTCTTTGGGCTGGATGAAGGCATGTAGGCTTGGCTGCCAATAAAGAGTCAAGTGGGAGAAACTTAACAACATTGCACGTTTCACTTTTCATTATTCCCCCGAAGGTATCTGCTGTGTTTTCCAGTGACTCAGCAGGTGGTAGTGCCTCCGTGAGGCCTCTGACCTTTCCACTAAAGGGCTACGCTTCAGACTTGTCAGCTTCTCATGTTAGGTCTTCTGCAGCTTTCTTGGAGCTTTCTTCCAGAAGACAGCTAGTTGGTTGGCAAATCTGGTCAATTATCCCAGAATATAATAGCTAAGTTTCTTAATTTGCATTCCATATAACACTAGTACTATGAGGCACTCTACAAAAAGGAGAATTCCATGGCCAAATAATCCTAGCAAATCTCTTGGAGTGGCACTTTAGCATGTTAAAGGCTTTGAGAAGATCTGCATTGCAAAGGTTTATTGATTTAGTTTGTTCCATTATTTTCCAAACGTATTTCACCATGGAACTCCTTTATTTTCAAGCACCATTCTAATAGAGCTAAGAGGCCAATGTCTGTGAGATATGATTTCTGATCGGTTAAAGCATGGGAAAATGGCTGCTGATAATATACGTCAATTGTAACAAACATCCTAATTTCAGAGACATTAAAATGTGAAAGCTTGTGCATCTTAGTCTTAGTTAAATCCAGCCATACAAAGTCACTTCCCTTGGGACTAGGGTTTTGTGGAACACCTGCGGGGAACTGCTGAGCAAGATGGCTCTATTTTAACAGGGGTGTTCTGGATATGACCAAACATGGGCAAGGTGGTAGAAAGGGCAGGCAGTGGAGGCACTGGAGGGGAGAAGGGATTTCCAGCAGCTGCCACTGCTCTGTGTTCAAGAGGACTGGCCTGGGAAGGAAGGAATGATGTCTTCATTGCCAGCAGCCTGGGCTCTGGTGGGCAGAAGAGTGTGATGACTCCAGTCCCCCGAGAAAGAGCCTTCTGGCTTGCCAGGTGAGAGGTATCATGAAACAGAAGAAGGTGCATATATGTTGTCATCAGGTGGCAGGGGAGGGGTGGTGGTGAAGAAGCTGATGGGAAGTGGTGTTGAGCCCCAGCTGTGCCCTATTGTGGTGGTGTGAATTTGAGGAAATATATATATATATACACACACACACACACACACACACACGTACATATATATTTACACAAATTTCTTTATATATATATATATATATATTTTTTTTTTTTTTTTTTTTTTGAGACAGAGTCTCACTCTGTTGCCCAGGCTGGAGTGCAGTGGCATGATCTTGACTCACTGCAGCCTCTGCCTCCTGGGCTCAAGTGATTCTCCTGCCTCAGCCTGCCAAGTAGCTGGGATTACGGTTGCATGCCACCATGCCTGGTTACTTTTTTGTATTTTTAGTAGAGACGGTTCACCATGTTGGCCAGGCTGATCTCGAACTCCTGACCTCAGTTGATCCACCTGCCTCGACCTCCTGAAATGCTGGGATTACAGGCGTGAGCCCCGCACCCGGCCAGTTGAGGGAGTTTCTTAAGCGACCTGAACATCCATATCTTAGTACATCAGTCGAACTACCATGATGATAACGATCAGACAGATTCTGTTTATGCTGTGTATAATAGAAAGCTGACTACGGTGGTGGACCCAAGTAAGGTCTTTTTCTCACACTTCTCAGGAAGTCCAGAGGTAGGCATTTTGGGGGGTGCTGGGAACATCTGTGACTCAGGTTGCTTCTTTCTTCCTGCTGCTTTCTCGAAGTGAAGCTTTTGTCTTCACACTGGCCTCTTCGTGGCCACACGATGGCTGCTCTACCTCCCACCTAACTCTGCATTCCAGGCAGGAAGGGAAAAAGGGGAAGCTCCTATACTAGGAAAGCAAAGCCATTCCCAGAAATCTCCAGCCAACTTCCAGCTAGAACCCCCTGGCCAGCATCTTAGCTACCAGTCTGATCAGACAAGCATTAGGGGGCACTTTGCCACCGTGAACAAAATTGGGATTTGTCAGAAAGGAAGAAGGTGAATGCAGATACTGGGTCCGTGCCTAGTAGCATCGGCCACAAATGTTGGTCGATTACCGGGCTCTGGGAGGTAAGAATGCGCTAACACACACAGATGTGCCCAGCTCTGTGCCGGACACAGAATGGACCCGCTACAGATGCTCTTCTTTCCACACCTCCACCCTGCTGATAATGTTTGATGGCTGTCCCCATCTTCATGGTTGGAAAATCTGTTGTAATTTGTGGTTTTACCACAAGGGGGCATGTAACCAGGAGGGAGTCAGAATCTTGGCTGTGCAGCCTTTGGTCCAACATGCACAGTGGAGGAGAAATCGATTGGATGTTTTGCAACAGGAAGCCCAGGGTGGACGCCAACTGGTAACTGGGCATCCAGACACGATATTGTGTTTCGTTGGAGAAAGTCAGTGTCTGGGCTAAAGTCCTTCCCCGACTACCCAAGTGGATTGCTCTCTTGTCCTCTGCGCTCCCAGAAGGATCGCTACCTAAGTTATTTGCACGGCTTTATGACATATCTTTGTTATTTCCCCGTGTTTACGTCCTGTGTCTCCGACCATGCTATGAACTCATTTAGGACAAGTCTGGCTTCTTGTCCCCTTTGTCCATGCTGTCCCTACCCCTGATCCTCTGACAGTCCAGTGCCTTGGGAGCCAGCCAGGTGAGCACCCTACAATGTACGCAATCCCTGCCCCTGCCTGACAGAACTCACATCTAAAAAAAAAAAAAATTGGGAAATAATGGGTCAAAGTAATGATCAGCAGTGGCTACTCACCTGAAAAAAAAAAAAAAAGCAACCATTTATCTTGTGCCTTCATAGAAGTACACACCTTTGATGAATTTGTCAAAAAATCAACCCTGAATCCAATCAAGCTTCTAGATATAACCACCAATTTACAGGACATAAAGGAGAGGAACATGTTAAATGATACCACAGAAATGCAATTAGCAAGAACCAGACTGTGGGAAACCCTACAGGACAAAATGACCCAGTTTCCTCAACAAATACATTGCCAGGAATCTAACAAATGTGGAAGACAAGCCCATAGATTAAAAGATGTTTAACAGAGATATCAACCAGTTGTGATATATATTTTATTTGGTTCCTGATCTGAACAAACTGTAGAAAAATATTTGAGGCAATTAAAGAAATTTAAAAACGGACATTGACCTTATCTATCTCCACTCCTCTTCAAATATAAGTTCCTAAAGTGTCCAGTTTACAAGTCAATTCACTCCTGGACAATCTAATATATATTTTAAACACTGGCCTGACTGAGAAATTATGTTTTTTTTTAGGTGTCATAATGATATTGTGATATGTTTTTTGAAAGAGTCCTTATCTTTTAAGGATGCATACTGAAATATTTTAGAGATAAAATGATATTAGGGATTTGCTTTAAAATAACACAGTATGGATGGAGGGGAATGGCTGGTTAATTCATTACAGATGAATTAAGACTAGCTAGCCAAGGACTCATGGTTGTGGAAGCTGGATGACAGACGCATAAAAGATCATTGTCTTAAACGCTCTAACTTTTGGTTATGTTTGAAATGTTCATAATAAAAAGAAAAGAAAAAGCTGAAAAAGGAAGAATCACTGGGCTAACCAAGCCATACCCATGGCTGACAGAGGTGGATTTACTATGGAACTGATGAAATGCAAGTGTGTGAGCCTGTCACCAGAGCAGGCCCCTCCCAAGGGAATTGTGCATTCATCATTTTTCTGAAGGAGGGCTCCCCAAATGGTAAAAGCTTGAGGCCTCACAAACCTTCCATCTACCCTTGATGGCAGGCAGCTGATGGACTCCTGCTTCAGACATTCAGTGAATATTTGCCGTTTTTGTTTGTTTATTTTTTCTGACAGAGTTAGGATCTCATTATGTTGTCAGGCTGGTCTCAAACCCCCGGGCTCAAGTGATCCACCCACCTCAGCCTCCCGAGTAGCTGGGACTACAGGTTTGCACCACTGTACCTGGCTAAAAGCAGTTGATATTGAAGATTTTCAAACTTACACAAAAGTAGACACACATCATATAATAAACCTCATGGGCTCTTCCCCCATTTAAGTTCTCAACATTTTGCTATAGTTACACCTTTTTTCTCCTCTTCCTTTTTCTTTTTCTTCCTCTCTTCCTCTTTCTTCTTTTCCACTAAGTAGTTCTGTTTCTCCATTTTCTTTCATAACCTCAATATCATTATCATACCTAACAAAATTAATAATTCTTTAATATTATTTAAGACTGAACCCATGTTCAAACTTTCCCAATTGCCTCAAAATGGTTGGTTCTTAAGCAAAAATCTCCAATCAATGTCCGAAACATGAAATAAGAGCCATTAATGAATCATCCCTCTTTTTGCATTAAACATTAGCTTAAGTCACACTTTCCTCCTCCACACCAGGTGGTACTGTATGAAAATACTAAGGTTGACCTTTTTGCAAAATGTAATTGTGCATGTAAATTTAAAATGGTTATATTTATCAATGGCTACTAATGGTGAGTAAACAAGGTATAAGCATGTTAGCTGAAAGAAGAGCTTATTTGAAATATAAATAAGACAACTCATGCATTTGCTCTCTGTTCCTTTTTTCTGCAAATAGCCTGCACTCTGCTGTTAACAGTGACCTTTCCTTCTAGCCCTGTCATTCTATAATTATCTAATATGTTATGTGTGCTTTGCATACTATGTAGACTATACTACACAGAATAGAATGCATATTGTATGCAGTCTGCTAGGCTTACTACCTTTTAATAGTTTACTAGGCATAAAAAGGTTAAGAACCAATAAAGGGCATGCACGCTGCATTAGTCAGCTCTCGCTGTCATAAAAAATATCACTGACCAGGTGGCTTAAAACAACAGAAATTTATTTTCTCACTGTTCTGTAGACTAGAAGTCCAATATCAAGGTGCCAGTAAATTTTGTTTCTGGTGAGGCCTCTCTTCCTGGCTTGCCTGACGGTGCCTTCTCGCCTTGTCCTCACATGGCCTTTCCTCTGTGTGTGTGCTCACATGTGCAGAGAAAGACAGCTCTCTGGTGTCCCTTCTCCTAAGGACACCAGTCCTGTGGGATTCGGGCCCCACCCTTATGATCTCATTTAAACTTAGTTACCACCTTAAAGGCCCTATCTCCAAATACAGTCACCTTGGGGATTAGGGATGCAACATGAATTGTTGGGGGGACACAATTGAGACAATACCGTGTGCAATGCACACACACACACACACCCTTAGGATAAGAGAGAATGAGGAGGAGAGAGGGGAGATGCTCAATGCATTGAAAATGAGGTCTTTAGGGACCTTATTAAGCACACTGCCTCTATGGCATATAGAGAGTAAGCCACATATTAAATTATCCAGCAGTGAATTGACTTGTAAACTGGACACTTTAGGAACCTGTATTTGAAGAGGAGGGAAGATAGATAGGATCAATGTCATTTTTTTTTTCTGAATATATATGTATTCTAAGGAGAGTGAATAAGTGAGTGGGGGACATTGACTGATACTGTATCTGGAAGGAATCTCAAGAAATCATCTGATTTAATGGTTGAAGGTAAGAATCAGTTCTGATGAAGAAGAGGATCACTGATTCAGAATAGAAAGGGGATTGCTTTTCGGAGACTGGTGAGATGCTGGCACTGCAGAGAAATGGGTTAAGGGAAGGTCAGGATTTTAGAAAAGGATACAATTATGTGAAGCTAGGAGTGGCTGGGAAGCCTTCATGTGACTTAGATCATTTTCAAAAGATGACATCCATGAAGTGACTGAAACAAAGGAGGTGACACATGGGCTGTGGGGTTGGAACTACAGTGTCATCTGCATTCTTTGACTTCCATGACTGTCTAAATTTCTGTGCAAATGCAGAACAACAAGACCCTGGACTGTTACTGGCAAGTTGAATGTGTGGGCGCCCTGCCACCAACCCTCAGCTTTCTGGCCAGAGATGTGCTGAAGGGCTCTTCTACTGTTTTCGCTGTGGATAGACATTTATCTTCTGCCTTTCAGAAACCACGCAGGAGATGTGCCTTGCTCAGGGTTTCCATGGGGCGGGCTGGGGCAGTGAGCCAGCCAACCTTTGAAATTGAAGAAGCACAGAAGGCCCATGCCCTTGGGCCGTACTAGTGATCTCAGCAACTGAGACTGAGTTTGATCCTCCAAGCATCTGAGAGATGTTTTATTGTGTCGGTTCCTGGAATAAAGGGAGTATCTTTTTGGGACAAGCACAATAACTTTTGAAAAAGTGCAGGAAAATACTTGCTCCAGAGCTGTTAGGTTTAAAAATGAACAACATGTTGAGAAATCTTTAATTTCTTGAACCTCTGTTTTAAAAAAGAAACCTCCTGATTTTAGAATTCCTTTTGTTGACAAATTAGACTTTGGAATTGTGTGAAGGAAGAACTTTTGCTTTTATTCAAGAATTCATATGTAATTGTCAAGAACTTTGAAGGGGTTGAGATTTTACCCCACTTGCAAGCTAACAAGTTAGCTATTCCAAGTTAGTTTCATGGATAGTGGGAAAAGACGTGAGACTGTTGAGTCAGGGAGATGGTTTATTATCTGCAGCCATAGCAGTAGATAAACTGTCAGCGTGCTTTAAAGAATTTATACTGGCGGCCGGGCGCGGTGGCTCACGCCTGTAATCCCAGCACTTTGGGAGGCCGAGGCGGGCGGATCACGAGGTCAGGAGATCGAGACCATCCCGGCTAAAACGGTGAAACCCCGTCTCTACTAAAAATACAAAAAATTAGCCGGGCGTAGTGGCGGACGCCTGTAGTCCCAGCTACTTGGGAGGCTGAGGCAGGAGAATGGCGTGAACCCGGGAGGCGGAGCTTGCAGTGAGCCGAGATCCCGCCACTGCACTCCAGCCGGGGCGACAGAGCGAGACTCCGTCTCAAAAAAAAAAAAAAAAAAGAATTTATACTGGCTCCCCACGTCTCAAAAGAGTGATTGAAGAGGGTCAGATTATACATGCAAATGCAGTGGGTTGCATTTTAGGACAGGAATTCTGAGCTTAGGGGACCTGAACAAAGGGCAGTAAGCATGCACGCCCTTGATTTCAGGATTACTTATTATCTCTATCTTCCAAGGATGTAGGCAAACCTACCCTTTGCTCCCAAGGTACATATGATCTCTGTTTTCAAGTTTGTTCACTACAGAAACATCCTTCAAAAGATAGGCCAGAGCAAAGGACAGGCAGTGTTTCTACTCAAAATATACAGAAATGCAGCCCGGCATGGTGGCTCACACCTGTAATCTCAGCACTTTGGGAGGCTGAGGCAGGTGGATCACTTGAGCCCATGAGTTCAAGAACAGCCTGGGCAACATGGTGAAACCCAGTCTCTACTAAAACAAACAAACAAACAATACAAAATTTAGCAGGGCATGGTGGTGCGTGCCTGTAATCCCAGCTACTCAGGAGGCTGAGGTGGGAGGATCGCTTGAACCGGGAAGGTGGAAGTTTCCCTGAGCCGAGATCTCGCCACTACACTCCAGCCTGAGTGATAGAGCAAGACCCTCCCTCAAAACAAAAACAAAAACAAAAACAAAAACAAAAACAAAAACAAAAAAAATACAGAAATGCAAGAGATCCACAGATAATTATATCCCAACAGTAATATGTCATTTAAAACTTAAATTCCTAATAAATTGAATGAAAATGAATAGTTTTACTGTACCTTATTTTCAGTTGTGCCCCAAATCCTCTCTGCAACTCCCCCTTTTTTGAAAACAGTGGTCTTGAAGAGTTTTCTGAATGTCTTATCATTATTGATGCCCCTGGGCCAAAGAAACTTCTTAAACACTGCCGGAGTCTTCTGTATACCGTGGTTTCTGCTTTAATTGTTTCTACCTCAGATTCCTTCTGGCTTAAATATTTCCTCTTTCATGCCTCTGTCCAGGTGACTACCTGCTAGTTATTACCTCTTCTCCACTCCCTGGACTCAGCAATGTTTTCTATCTTCCTACTCCCAACATTTGGTTATTCTGGGTTTCGTGTCATTTGCTCTTGCCTACACGATTTATGAAAGAAGACAAATCCTGACCTTGATCAACTCCACTCCTGAATGCCTTGGCCTCTATCACTGCATAAAGCTGGAAAGAATCTTAAAAGCTGTCTGGTCCAACCTGCTCATTTTACAGATCTGTGGGGCTCTGTGGTCAAATGAACAAAGGAAATACTAAGTTTAAAAAGTTAAACAGGTGCAACCACTTTGGAGAGCTGTTTGGCAGTTTTTATAACATTGAACATATATACCCTATGGTCCAGCAATTTCACTTCTACATGTTTACCCAAGAAAAATGAAAACATATGTCTACAAAAAGACTTACATAAGAATGTTCATACCAGCCTTACTCATTATAGTCAAAACTTGGAAACCACCCAAATATCCATCAACAGGATAATGGATAAACAAATTATGAGATATGTGTGTATATATATATATATATATAATCTCTCTATATATTACAATATAGATGTATATAATCTATCACACTTATTTACATACACAATGCAATACAACTCAACAATGAAAAAAAGAACTACTAATATACACAACAGCATTGACACAACTAAAATATCTTCACACTGAGCAAAAGAAGCAAGCCACACAAAAATACATGTGGCATAGTCCAAGAACAAGCAAAGGCAGATGATGCTGATGAGCGGTAAGACAGTGGTTGTCTCTGAGTGCGGACAGTGGGTTGGCTGGAATCGGGCATGGAGAAACTTTCTGGGGTGATGGAAATATTCTACATCTTGTTTTGGGTAGCAGTAAACTGAGCATTAAACTCTCAAATATTATTGAGTTGAATACAAGACCTGTGCATATGTTCATTCTACCTCAACTATATATTAAAAAATTAAACATTTCTTTACTCTGCGGCTTTCCAGAGGATTTAATAAGCAAATATGTATTGTGCATCTTTAAGAAGGAGACACAGCCTAGAGTGTTTTTTAAACGTGTTTGAGGAGGGGACATTATTTGAAGGAGCATCTCATGGAACAGGAAACACTGTAGAGGAGTGATGTTTTCGTTCGAATATTGACTTTAGAGCATCTCACCAGGACTATGTTTTCTGCTGTGATTTCCTTCCTTCTGCTCAGCCTAGAGATGGACTGCTCGTGCCAATCCATGGGGCAGGGGGGCAGGGGGATGAGGTGCCTGCTGTGGCCCAATTCTCCTGCCTTCCTGTTACCAGACTGGAGCCCTCCATTGGCACCCTGCCCTCTCTAGGCCACTGGATCACCACCACCTTTGCCTGCTGTCAGAGCTAAGAGACCCACTTGGGCATCTGCTGTATTTGCAGAATTGTATCAGTCACACGGTTCATTTATTCAGCCATGGGTGCATGCATTCACTTACTTACAACCTATATCTCTATGAGTGCCTCCACATGTCTATCACTGTGCAGTTCCCTGGAGACACAAAACTGAGTAAGGCATAATGCCTGCCTTAAGGGGGAAAGAGTCACACAAACACAGTTTTGCTTTTTTTTTTGAGATGGAGTCTCTCTCTGTTGCCCAGGCTGGAGAGGCGTGATCTCGGCTCACTGCAAGCTCCAGCCTCCCAGGTTCATGCCATTCTCCTGCCTCAGCCTCCTGAGTAGCTGTGACTACAGGTGCCTGCCACCATGCCTGGCTAATTTTTTGTGTATTTTGAGTAAAGATGGGGTTTCATCATGTTAGCCAGGATGGTCTCGATCTCCTGACCTCATGATCCTCCCGCCTTGGCCTCCCAAAGTGCGGGGATTACAGGCATGAGCCACCGCGCCCAGCCACAAACACGGTTTTTAAACAATGCAGAACTGCAGTATTAGAGCAATGCCTAAGGTCTTATTTTTATTTTATCCCTTCTCCTGCAAACATGCGATTCTCTTTTCCTCCTATGGGTCTGCCAAAGGCGAAAATAAGAATACCAACCACCTGATACAAAAGGACAATTATTACTTTGACCAAAAGGATATCTGCTGCAAGAGAAATACTCTAGACATCAGTGGAGTGGTAGGGTAGTGCAGCAGGTAGGGGCTCCAGGGCCTGCTGGGGCTTTGCTGCACATTTTGGGGTGCAGCAGCTAGGAAGGAAACACAGAAGTGGGTGCTCCAATGATGAGGTGACACCTAGATATATAAGTCCTGATCTTCATAAGTTCAATGGTTTTTTTTCTTATCTTGTTTCTCAGGAGGGGCGAAGGGAGGTGAGCTTTATAGATTTTGTAGAAGAGGGCAGTCCCACAAAATGCCTCCTGACTTCTTATTCATTGTTCAGCTCAAACGTGTGATATTTTCTGAGCTTGAACTGGCAGTGGGGCAGGTGGGGAGGGTAAATTCAGCTGTGAGCTGCACACTCAAGGGCAGCAGAAACAACCGGGCATTGGCCTTGTCAATGACCTTCACAAGCAGGTGTCCAAGGAAGGTGGTGAAGTATTATTCAGTATTATTTAGACTAGAAGGTTCTTAGAGAGGAACATCTCTTGTTTATTGGCCTAAAAAAAATTAACATGCAGCAAGATTGACCTTGGGTGTGTGTAGAATTCTACGCCTTTTAATGAGTGTAGAGAATCAGGTTGCAGAACAGCTTCATCACACCAAAATGTCTTCATGCTGTCCCATTTTAATCACACCCTCATCCCACCCCGAACCCTAGCAACCACTGATCTATTCTCTGTTGCCAAATTTTTATTTTTGAAATTGCTATATAAATGAAATCATTACAGTACATAACCTTTTGAGTCTAGTTTCTTTCACACGAGGTAACTGTCTGTAGATCTTTCTTTAGTAATTCTTCTACAGCACGACTGCTGCCAAAAATTCTCTTATTTTTCATGTATCTGATAATGTTCTTATTCCACCTTCATTCCTGAAGGATATTTTCTTAGAATATAGAATTCTAGGGTGACAATTTTTTTTCTTTCAGCATTTTATCATCTTGCCTCCAATTGTTTTAGATGAGAATTCCACAGTCATTTAATTGTTCCTCTATAAATAGTGTGTTGGTTTTCTCTGACTGTTTTAATATTTTCGGGGCTGGTTTTAGTTCTTAGCAGTTTCATTAGAATGTTTGGGCATAGGTTCCTCTGGGTTTGTCCTGTTTGGAGTTCACTGAATTTCTATAGGTTTGTGCTTTTTGCCAAATTTGGGAAGTTTCCAGTCTTTATTTTTTGAGTATTTTTCTGTACCACACTTTTTCCTGTCCTTTTGGAGCTCTGATGACACAAATATTAGGCTTTTGGGGAATTGTTTCACAGGACCCTGAAGTTCTGGGTGGTTTTTAATTTTTTTTTTAATTTTTACTTTTCTCAATCTTTATTCTCTTTGCTAAAGCTTTCTAGAGTGTTGGTTCTTACTTCTTAGAGCACTTTTATAAAAGTCGCTTTAATTTCTTGTCAAATAACTATCACATTTGTGTTTTCTTCATATTGACATCCATTGATTGTCTTTTCTCTCATGAGTTGAGATTTTCCTGGTTCACATGGCGACTAGTTTTGAAGCATATCATGAGCATTTTGAATATTATATTATGAGACACTAGGTCTTGTTTCAATCTGTACAGGTTTGTTCATTTACTTATGTTTTTTTAGCAGGCAATTGACACAATTGGTTTAGACTGCAAGTTCTGATCAGCTTTCTGTGGTTGTGGTTGCAATGTCAGTTCTATTTTCAAAGTCACTGTGGTCCTGTTCACGTTTCTCCTGGGTGCCTATTATTTCATGGTCAGGATGGGACCTAGATAGCGATGTAGCTGTTAATTCAGTTCTCAAAGTCTCTGTTATGATGTTTGTGATCAAATCCAAGAATGCACAGCTCAAGGGTGTGCCCACAAGCCAGCAAATAACTGTCTGGGTTCGTTTTCCCAAGCTCCTTTCTCTCTACCATCTCCCTGGCACTTTCCAGTTTCCCAGGATTCACCTTTTTGGCTATCCATCCAGAAAACTGGAGCCTTATCACCCTGCTCTTCTGTGCACTCACTGTGACTCTGCCCTGTCCAGGACCAAGTGGTGGGAGCCCAGAGAAAAGAAAAAGCATGGTCTTGGGACCATGATTCCTTTGACTGAAGAGGAAGGTCCCGCTTCGACAGCATATTCTGTGCTGTGGGCCTTCCATGCTGTGGCTGCCACTGCCAGAAGACTCTTCTCTCACCTTGAGTCTGAACTAGAAGGTTTATGCTGGAACCCTCCCTGTCACAAAGGCTGCCTTGAGTCCTGTCCAGGGAATACAGAGGGTAAACATGGTAAATCCACAGTCAATTGGTGATACTTTTGAATTCTGGTTTTCTCCCACAATCTACCTGCTACTGTTTACTTTTTCAAGAGTTCTCAAGCAGCTGCACCAAGCATTCTGTCCAGGTGTTATAGATATATTCTATGGGAGAACCAGAACCAAAACCTGTTCCTGGATTTTTGCAGAGCCATTTCCCCAGTATCTCCTTGGTCTGAGATCTGGGGACATTTTCCAGGTTGCAAAGGTAGAATGGATACATCATCCTGAGAGTTTATGATGGCAATTGTTAAATATGTGAGTTTGTATGTTCATGTGTATATGAGTATTTATTAAGTACTGAAAATAGACATTGCAGGTGAATTCAGGCAATATGAAAGCTACAAAGGGGAACCAAATCCTTGTTTCCAAACTGGAGTGGTGGTCACCTCCTCATGTTCCTAAACCACTGCAGAGGGGAAGAGAGCTTTTTCCACCTGTTCAGCAGATACAGTACTGTAGGTAACAGCTTGCCAGCAGACCTATTGTTCTATTGGGCAAATATAATATTCTAGCCATGGAGCTGTCAGCTCTGCATCAACTTGCAGGTACCATCGAAACCTTTTTTTCTTTTCCTTTTATTCATTTCTTCTTCCTGCCCCTTGTTATGGAGCAATGTGATGTTAGGACACACATGATTAGATCTAGGTAACAGAAAGTGATGGGTGGAGTGTTGATGAAAAGGAATGAGGTTCTTACGTGTTGTAAATGTTGTGATCCAGGCTGGGGCAATCTTTAGGTTGGGGGTGGGAGTTGCAGTGCAGAAAACCCTTGATTGATAAAGATATAGATGTGCTTGCCAATGTCACCCAAGGGATAAACAGCTTGCCCGCCATAAAATCTCATTAGTCCTGCCAGGTGAATGAAGAAATGTAAAGATGTGTGGCCCCAGTCTAACTAAAGCCATCATCTCAAGAATGTCTCAGCAGTGTGTTATGGGTCTGTTTGAAGATTTCAATTTACCTGTAGTAGGTTTGCTTTCTTTCTTTCCACTAGAGGAAAACATTCAGCTTGTTTTATTGTTTTGGATTCATTTTCAGAGGACCAAAAATATCATAGCCCTCTCTCCAAAAAAAAAAAAAAAAAAAGTAAAAATACCAACCGTTTGACTGTCCTCCCCAGCACACACACAATCTTAAAGGAGATTTCAGTTTGTGCAACAATGGGTCACTTTTGTGGATGTACAAGTTGAATGAGATAGTTGTGAATTCATTTGTGGTGGAAAAACATGCTGAGAATTTGAAAATGTCTCTGAAGAAAAGACATTGTATTATATTTTCCTTTTTGACATATTTGGTGAGTATAAGAAACATCATCAATTCTTTCAACAAATGTTTACTAGGAACCTCTGAATGCACGGTCAGTGTTAGGAGCTACAAGAGATGTAGAGGATACACCAAGAGCAAGGGCCTTACTCTCTCAGAGCTTCCAATCTGCCTGTAAAGACGATATAGTTGTAGGTGGTGTTGTCTGAGTGTTCACTCAGTTGCCAGGTCAGAAAGCTTGGCCAAGCTTCAGCTTCACTGGTTCCTCACTTCCCATATTCAATTGGTTGCCAAGTCATCTTGATCCTATTTCCAAAATGCTTCTCAAATTTACTTGGTTTCCCTCCTCCTACTGCTGCTGCAACTCTATCAGGCTTTCACTTACTTCAATTGCCCAGATCATAGCAATTTCCTTCTAACCAACCTCCAATCAAGTCATGTATCTGGTCATGACTTTTCCCTATTCAAAATTTTTTCATGGTTCTTTATTATGTCCAGAATAAGGCCCACAGCTCCTTAGCACATACATTATTCTGGTCCAAACTTCCTCTTTCATGTCTGTCTTCCACTGGACCTGTAACATGAGGTGCTCTCTGAGAAGACCACGGATTTGCCCACTCCTATGCCTTTGTTCTTGTTATTCTTCTGCTTATAGTCCTCTCCTTTTTTTTTTTCTGCCAAGCAAAATCAAACTTGTTCTTCAATACAAGGTCAAATGCTGCTTCTTCAGTGTGGCCAGTCACCGGTTATAGCTCCCATTTCTAGGCTCCTGTAGAACTTTGTTTAGGTATCATTTATTCATACATTCATTTGATGTATTCATTAAGTAATACTTTATTACTGGGCAATAGACTAGCTGCTGAGAATGCAAAGGTAAGACATCATTCCTGGCCTCAAGGGACTTAGTCTAGTGGGGAGATGAATTTGAACATAATAAGCATATGCAATGAGAAAAGATAGTGGTTATAATGGATGTGTGGACAAAGGTGTGTGTGTGTCTATGGGAGGTCCAGCAGAAGCAGCCACTAAATCTGCCTAGAGGAACTTCCATAGGACACAGCATTTGAGCTGAGGCTTGGTGGTCGGTTAGGGTTTTCCTGGTAGACAAGTAGAGGCAGGAGATTTCAGGTAGAAGAGCACAGCGAAGGCACTGAACCATGCAGAGCAAGGCACCCGAAGAAGGAGAGTCCACATTCACAGGTGCAAAGCGTGAGGGCAGCTGTAAGGTTTGTAAGGCAGCATACAAGACAGATGCCGAAGCAGAGGCTGTGTGACTCCATCCAGAGACGATGACCAGGGAGGGGTTCCTGCAATGTGTGGGAGGTTAGACTAACTGCTGGGATTAGATTCCAGGAACAAAAGCATCTCAGAAATATGTGTGCTTAAAAAAAATGTAGATAAGGGCTGGGCGTGGTGGCTCACGCCTGTTATCCAAGCACTTTGAGAGGCCAAGGTGGGAGGATCACCTGAGGTCAGGAGTTCAAGACCAGCCTGGCCAACATGGTGAAACCCCACCTCTACTAAAAATACAAAAATTAACTGGGCATGGTGGCAAGCGCCTATAATCCCAGCTACTCGGGAGGCTGAGGCAGGGAGAACTGCTTGAACCTGGGAGGCGGAGGTTGCAGTGAGCTGAGATTGCCCCACTGCATTCCAGCCTGGGTATCAGGGAGAGACTCCGTCTCAAAAAGAAAAAAAAAAAAAAGTAGATAAGTCTGTTGGAACCATTTTTAATTTAAAGGGTACTCTCGCTCCCCCAAATGACAGCAGTACTAATCATATAGCAACATATTTGTTTCTGAGTGCTTAGACCAATATGTGAATTAAATTAATTCTTCCCACTCTTTTTCACTACCTTCTCTTTATCTTCTTTCTTCCTTTCCTGGGAATTACTGTAAGATAGTACTTATGGTATATATTTAACTGATGTTGAATTTTGACTGGAAATAGTAAGTCTAAAATCTAAAAATAATTAGAGGAATATTCCATACCTATTACTATAAAAATCAACTAAATCTATCTTATTTTTAGCCATGTGACTCTTCATTATGTTTCTGCTTCCCACCCGATGTGGACTACGGCTCACACACAGGCGTGCACACACACAGAGCTTCCCCGTTGCCGATATAAAACACAATTGCTAGATTCCTAGCCCCATCCCCACTGATTTGGGAGGAGGCAGGTGAAGCTCAAGAATGTCTAACACAGGCTCCCAGGTGACGCCCAGGCTGCCAATCCGGAGACCACTCTTTGAATCACATTTCTCTACGTGCTGCTATCTCCATTATTAAACTCTAAACATATGGATTAGAGAACACTAATCCATATGTTACTTGCTGAGTTGAAAGGCATTTTAAGAGGTTATCTAGACTAATCATCACTTTGAGCTACTATCCAAGGCTACTCCAATGAGGTGCCAAGTAAATGCAGTTAAATGTAGTTTCAAGTCCCCGTCCTCATAGAGATAGAACTTGGTTGTTCTGGGTATCACATTTTGTTAATCTTGCATAAGAAACAATCCCGTGACACAGTATATGTTATCACGCATATAACAAATGACACATGAACTTCCAAACCACAGTAGTTAATGCCTGGGGACAAAGGTAACTGGCTAATTGAGCTTCTTTAACTTGACTTTCAAATAATTGCCACCTCTCTGTATCCTCAACCATTAAACCTATTTATTTTTCTCATGAACTTTACTGAGGACTGATTTAGGTACAATAAGTTGCACCCATTTAAAGTGTACACCAGTCTAACTTTTAAAACTACTAAATTACTAATGACTTATTAATTTAAAATTATTCATCAATATGAGTAAAAATATTTTTAGAAAGCCTACACAACTGGAAAATACTACATGCTTTTAGAAGGAGGGAGACATATGATTTTCTATTTTTGGAATCTATCGGGTACACATGATAGAAAGGCAAGTGGGAGTAAATGGAAATCAGGATGAGACTGTCCACAAGGACCTTGGAAAACCTTGGAGGTGCATCTGGCATCTGGTGCTCCTGAACTTGGCTTGGTGTGCTCAGATAGCAAAGGCTGCTCTGGGAGGATTTGGGCTGTGAGAATGGAGCGAAGGGGATGAGTCTTTGTCATGCTTTCACGGCTGTCTGTCACTTCCTTTATGTTCCCAATGTCCCCACCCTGGTAGGCCCCGTCTGAGTTATACCTAGATTATTATTAAAAACCATCAGCGTTTCTCCTTGACTCCTGTCTCTCCCCATATAAACCTATATTGCATCTGTGTTTATGCCACTTTCCAACTAACAAAACTTCAGAGACTCTCAGGGTGAAGTCAGAATCTTCCCTCTGGCATTTGAACCCCTCAACTGCATAACCTGTGCCTCATCCACCGATGTCACCTAATTTCAGAGGCAAATCACCTGCGGCAGATGAACGGCTCTGTTGACTTGCTCTTACCTTCATGTCTTCCTGCCTGCTGGAAAATCCCTTCATTTTCCTTACCTTTATTTCATGGTCCAAATGAAGTTCTCTATCAACTTCATGCACACAATGGAGACTTGATTCCCTCAGAATTCCCTCTCCCCATTTTTCTAGTTCTCACCTTCTGAACTACTCGTTTTATACATAATCATGAACTGCTTTGGATTTGTGTTTAATAGTTCATGGGCATATGTTCTGTCTCTCAAGTGGAATATAAACTGCTTGAAGGTCAGGGACCATGCTGTGGAATACTTCTTGGATTTTAGGATTGTTAAGTAATTACAGTAATAAAAAAGATACCTTAATGTATAACTAAATGTCTTGAGACTTTCCACATAAATCCATGAATCTGAAAACAATCTTTTGTTAGACCATGTATCTTGTTTTTTTTATTTTAAAAATATGCTATTTTTATAGGCACTAAGGGAATGCAGAGTAGTGACAATAATGATGAACATTTATTGTGTTTTTACTGAGTGTTGTGCACTTTCCTCAGTGCTATGCTGTGCCTTAATCCTCCTGACAACACACAGAGACTGGTGCTATTATTATCCCCATTCTATAGCCACGGAAACTAAGGCACAAAGGGTGAAGTCATTGGCAAGGTCAGAAAGCCAAACTTGAGGGAGCTGGGCCTGGTGCCCACCAGCTTAACCACAGCACACACTGCAACTCATTCATACGAGAAACACACGAAATGTAGGCTGTGTTGAGAAATAAATAGCAGAATTGTAATTAGGGGCCAGAGGAAAAGGGTGTGAAGACCATGTCAAGATTTATGCCTGTGAGATGGTGAGTAGGAACATGTCCTCTCTGTAATGAAGGTGTTATATTCTAATAAACGCAGGAGAAGGAAGAGTTCATTATCGGTAGGATCTATTTTTAGATCCTTTTTCTTATGTCATTACGAAGAAAATATAAAGTCTCCCATTTGATTGCTCTGTATATGACAGGTCTGATCTTTTTTTTTTTTTTAAGATTCTCTATCTAAACTGTATTTTCCTGAGTGTTTCCATTAAAAATCTCCTTTTCAAGCCCAGCAAATGTTTAATCTTTTCTACTTTAATAGCTGGAAATTCTCCCTTGGGGGTCGTAAGCTCTTTAAATATTTTTAGGTTGCCAGATTTCTTCTGTCGGCTCTCCAGGAAGCCAATTTTGTTCCTAAGAGTAGTCCAGCTCTGTCCTTTGCACACTCACTGCATCACAATAAAATGCTGCCTAATTACCGCCTTTGTGGGATCCCAGAGGTGTATTTGTCTCCAGGCTATTGCTGCGGACTATAAACTCTTCTCAGATGAGAGATAAACCTCTTCATTATTTAAGCCTCCAGGTCTGGTAACAGGAGTTTACTCCATACAAATTGTTTCCAGTCTTGTAAAAGAAGTGATCAAATGAGACATGCAACTCACCTTGAGATAATTTCTAAAGGGAGTAGTTAACAGAATCTTTCTTCTGGGTGGTGCCCAGTTCGAAAGGGATACTGAAAAGTCAAATCCTTTTATTATCTTGTGTCTTCATTTCTAGTTGGAGAAGGGAGTTGAGAGGTAAACAGATGAGGAAGTGTTACTTCTCCTGCGAAGACATAAAGTCTAGTATACTCTAGTGGATATTTTCTTCTAACTATGGCTTCTTTAAGAAATTTGAGTCAAATAGCTAAACCTATGTTTTTACTAGAAACTATTTTAATAGATAATATATTTATATTTATAAAATAAATGTATGCTTATTTGGCTTAACCCTAAAGTGAAACATCATATAAAACATGTATAATTTGTAGACACATTGGAATTCAATGGAAAAATACATTATTAAATAATGTATGATTATTTCCTTATTATCCATGGGGAAAATTACAGAATTGGCCACTCGTCGGCTACGTGCTTATCCTCTGAGATTTTTTTCTTTTAAAATAGGAGGTATTCACTTTTCTAATCACCGTGAATAGGAAGTCCTGTGGAATGTTTTCAAGGGGAGCTTAGTGGAGGAACAGTGATGGGGATGGGGGGCTCTGTGCTGCTCAGATTCTCGCTGTGTGCACCATCTTATCTGTCAACAGTGGCAGTTCAGGAAAAAGGGCAGCTATCTAAGTGATGGTGGCATTTAGAATCTTTGTGGTTTGAGCTCTCAGTCCAACTCTTGGATTTCTCTCCCAAGTGACCTCAGACCTATTTGACTTACGTACTACATTTCTGGAAAAAGCAGATGGATTTTTCCAGAACCACAAGCTGTGTTCTTTTAAAACTGTGATCACTTTCAGCAGCCACTGAGATGTACAAATAGTCCAAAGAGCAGTGGTTGCCAACCTTGGCTGCATATTAGAATCACTTGGGAAACTTTAAAAAAATACTGGTGCCCAGTTCCTCCCCACCAGATTAAATTTTAATTGGCCAGGGTGGGACCTAGACACCTGCATGTGTGAAGCTCCCCAGGGGATTCCAGTGTGCTACAACTTAGAGAATCACTGCTCTAAAGACATGCTGAGAAGAAAGACCTTCCCCTTCCCTCACTGGCTGGCTGCTTGTGCACCTTTAGACATGGTAGCAACAGGGGTGTTATACAGGTGATAATAAGCTGCAAAATTACTGAATGGCTGCAATGAAAGGCACTGTCAAAGCAAAGAGGTTATAACGAGTATTACTCTTATTATTTTATTAGAAAACATTGCTAATACCAGACATCTATGGATTACCAGCTCAGTTATGAAGCACTTTCACATATACCACCTTTTTTGTCCTCATAGGCACCCTGTGAGGCAGAGAGGGAAGGTATGATTATGTACATTTTTTTTTTTTTTTGAGATGGAGTCTTGCCCTGTCACCAGGCTGGAATGCAGTGGCCCGATCTCGGCTCACTACAACCTCCACCTCCTGGGTTCAAGTGATTCTCCTGCCTCAGCCTCCCGAGTAGCTGGGACTACAGGCATGTGCCACCACACCCAGCTAATTTTTTTGTACTTTTAGTAGAGACAGTGTTTCACCATATTAGCCAGGATGGTCTTAATCTCCTGACCTTGTGATCCGCCCGCCTCGGCCTCCCAAAGTGCTGGGATTACAGGCGTGAGCTACCGCGCCCGGCCGATTATGTACATTTTTTATAAGTGAGTAAATGAAGGTCAGAAGGTTGAATGGGGCCAAACCTGGTGGCTCATGCCTGTAATCCCAGCACTTTGGGAGGATCCCTTGAGCCTAGGAGTTCAAGACCAGTCTGGGCAACACAGCAAGACCCGTCTCTACAATAAATTTAAAAAATTAGCCAGGTGTGGTTGGCACACATCTATGTAGTCCCAGCTATTCAAGAGGCTGAGGCAGAAGGATCGCTTGAGCCCAGGAGTTCAAGGATGCAGTGAGCTATGATCGTACCACTGCGCTCCAAACTGGGTGACAGAGTGAGACCCTGTCTTTTTTTTTTTTTTAAAAAAAAAAGGTAAACGACATGTCCAAGATCATACACCTTAATAGCTGGCAGACTTGGGGTTAGAGTCCAAGTTTTTTTGTTGCTATTCCCTTTCAACAAATTGGCACTATTATACCTTAGAATCCCAAACAGTCCTAGTCAGTTGCTGTGTGATCCACAGTTGTTTAACCTCTGTGAACCTCAGTTTCCTCACCTACAAAATGGGTATAATACTTGTACCTATTTTACAAGGCTGCTCTGAGCTCAAATAAGCTGAAAAAAGATAAAGCGTCTCACAGACTATAAAAATAGATACAAATATAAGCTGTTGCTATTATTATAACTAGTAGGAGAAGGCAGTAGTTTGAGAGAGGTCATGTTATTTATGATGCTGTTATCCTGCTCTTAGGATTTTAAATTAAGCCCAAAACAAGGAGAACATATCTTATTCTTTTTAATATAGTCTGCATTTGTTTTTGACCTAGTTTGTTTATTCACTAATTCAACATCCAGGGTTGCAGAATTGACCTGAGCAGACCAGGCTTCCGAGGGTCAAAAAAGCGTCTGAAGGAGAGACACTGAGTGCATTCTGGGTTCACATTCCCCTCCTCTACTGCATTCCTGAATTTTCTGCCTCACAGCGGCATCTGAAGCAGTGGCTGTATGTGTCCTTAACCACCCTTCAAGTCCACAACATGTCATATTACCTCATTTTGGCTCCCTGGGACTATTTTGGAGGACCTGAATTAGTCATGTGGGGTACTTGATTAAAAATCACTTGAACAGCCCTTTTCTTTTGCTCAACACTGGGTCTCTCTGTTTGAGAGCAGACCTGGGTTAGAAGAGCAATGCCTGAGGTTTCTCTCGTAAGAGATGAAAATAGGGAATCAGTTAAGAAAAAAAGGCCGGGCGCGGTGGCTCACGTCTGTAATCCCAGCGCTTTGGGAGTCTGAGGCGGGCGGATCACAAGGTCAGGAGATCGAGACCATCCTGGCTAATACGGTGAAACCCCATCTCTATTAAAAATACAAAAAAATTAGCAGGGCATGGTGGCAGGCGCCTGTAGTCCCAGCTACTCAGGAGGCTGAGGCAGGAGAATGGCGTGAACCCGGGAGGCGGAGGTTGCAGTGAGCCGAGATCGCGCCACTGCACTCCAGCCTGGGCGACAGAGTGAGACTCTGTCTCAAAAAAAAAAAAAAAAAAAAAAAAGAAAAAAGATGAAAGAAATGGGTTCTTTAAATCTCACTTTCATCATTCAATCCACTGTCAGTGAGACATCTGATGGTACTTAGTTGCAGATATAAAGAATCCTCATTTATAAGTACAGGTCATTTTATACCTATTTTTTTTCATTTAGCACTGTCAAGTTCCACTATTTTTTTCATAATTCTCTCCAGCACAGTGCTCTATGTATAATAGATCTTCAATAAATGTTATCAGGAACTTCTTTCTCTATTCTTAATCTCTATGACATTCATTCATTTGTTCATATAAGAAACATCTATTAGGTTTTGACTTTATGTCAGGCACTATGCTAGGGCTGGGGATACGAAACTGTAGAGACCTACTCCCCATTCTTAAGGAACTTGTCTAGTGGGAAAACAGAGAAGTGAACAGATGATTCAATTCAGAGTAAGTGCTGTGATGGTGGGGGCACAGGGTTCTATGGGGCACATGGAAAGAAGACTGGGGTCAGGCAATGGGTTCCAGAGGCAATGCCTGAGCTGATTCTTGAGGGGCAAAGAGGAGCTGGGAAGGTGACAGGTACAGTAGGGGAAGGTGGGTATAGGCAGAAGGAGGACATGTGTAGGCACAGAGGTCTGGGAGCATAAGGAGGCAGAAAACAAGGAAGAGAGAGCAGGCCAGGTCACCATGTACTCTGCACTGCATCCTGCAGGCTGTGTTTGCTACACCTACTAGTAGTTCATGAATTAAATGTAAATGAAATAGGATAGAGAACATCAGAGCACAGGACAGTAACAGGACAGTAACTGAGGCCCTCAGTCCAACAACCTGCAAGGAACTGAATTCTGGCAACCACCATGAGAGCCTGGAAGCAGATCCTTCCCATGTCAAGCCTTCAAAAGAGATCCCAGCCCTGGATGACAACCTTGACTGCAGCCTCATGAGACATCCTAGAGCAGAGAAGTCACTAAGCTGTGACTGGATTCCTGACCCACAGAAACTGTGAAGTAAATATGCATTGTTTTGAGCAAGTTTGTGGTAATTTGTTATGCAGCAATAGATAACCAACATGCAGCCTAATTTATATTTGACTTCCTCTGCTTCCTTAGCTTCAGCCTTACATTCCTGACTTGACAACCCTCATACAGTGACACCTACATCAAACCCAAATACGCTTTCATACATTCACACTCATCAGAGCAGCAAAAATAGAAATGTCAGATAATTCCAAGATATGATGAAGTGGGAATTCTCTTACATTGCTGTTCTGACAGTACATGAATACAGTTACTTTAGGGAACATTGATGAAATCTAGGAAAACTGAAGATGAACCCTTTGCTATCTATCATTCTACTTCTTGGATAAACTCTCCAAAACCTTTCACACATACGTACATGGAAATATTCAAGAATGTTTATTGTACAACCTTTGGTATTAGTGAAGGATAGAAATAAACTAGTCATCAAAGGAAACAGATGAATGGTATTATATGGTTACGGCAATTAAAATGAGTGAACTAAATCTATTAATGTATAAATCTCAGAAATATATTGTTGAATAAAAAAAGGCAACCTCAAGAAAGCATAGTATAACAACATTTATAGAAAGCTTGAAAATATGCAAAATGATATTATGTAATGCCTGTAATATACAGATATGTAATAATAGTAAAAGAACATGAATCCAAAAATAACATCAAAATCAGGATGTGGTGAGTACCAGGGTTTCTTTTTTGTTATGCAACTCTCTATAATTCTTTTTTGTGTTTTAAATTAAAAAAAACTAAAATGCTTTTCTGTCATGAAGGTGTAAATCCTGGAACAGATCGAGAAGGAAGAAACATATGGTTCTTCCAAATCTTATGTAATTGCCATACTTACTTTATTTCATCTTAACTTCACTTTCAGACAGTAAGAACAGGTAACCAGTAATTTGGGAAAAAGGGATCAAGATGAGGTTGAGTAAGTGCTGTTAGAATCCTTTATTGTCAGTGATGATTTTTTTGGAAATGTGAAAATTGAGGTGAGACTTGAGAAAGGAGTGAGGCAGACCAGCGAACATAAGGAGAGAATATCAGGGAGAATCAGATGATGAACAGTTTGCTTGAATAGTTAACCATTTAGGAACGATTCATGTAAGCCAACGTTTATGATTTTGTATCATTTATGCACATAAATCACAAAGATGACCTCAAATGCATGAGAAACAGGAGGGAAGAAAGGAAATGGAATTTTCCTCCAAAACTCATCACTCTCAATTCTCTATAGTGGAAGTAGAACAGACTTAAGAAAAATAGGAAAAGAAAGGATTTCAGACATGGGAGGGGCCCTGGAGAGGGCTTGCATCTCCTTAGAAGGGGAAACGGGATCCCAGCTGTACTGCTCCTTTTTCATTCATACTTGAAATGTTCTGTGGTTGGGGTTGCCTGGCACAACGCTGTCTTCTATGAATAGAAAACCTGATCACAAGCTGCTCTTCCTCTGTGACATGCCACCTACATTGTAACATGCTTCAGTGGGTAAATCAGAGGATGACATGCTTTTCAATTCACTAGAAGATTCTCTGCATGGCACAAACGAAGTAACTCTTGCCAACATTTGCCTGAGTAATTCACTTTGAGTTATGTATTCTTCTACCAAATGCAAGGTCCTAAAACAGTTAGGTGAAAAAAGTGTTGCTAATGTCTTAGTATCTAGCAGAGTATCTGCAATGACTTACTGCAGTGCTCAATGAAAATACTATTCCTCCAGCTATCACAGATGACTATATATCCATTCATTGAGTTATGTGCCCACAACACTCCAAGTGTTACAAATCCACTTAACAGCCTCAAGTCCTGGGTTTTCTGTTCATATTTCTGAATTAGCATAAAGAAATGCAAAATCACAAGCAAGGAGAATCCTCATAGATCGCTGCCAAGAGGTTTTGTGTTTATCTTGGCATACATAAGAAATATTTTGAGTTCCTGAAATGTGGAGCAGTTCTTTTTATTAGGAATATGTGATTAAGTGAGTTTCACTTCTAATGGGAGACTGAGGCATAAGTATAGTAAGTTCACGAATAAAATAGAGCAAAAGCCTCATTTTGACTGGATAAGGCAAAAACATAGGTATTAGGTATTAGTATAAGGTTCTTCATTTCCTCCTCTTGTCTACTAGCTCTTTGGATTACATGAGAGAAAAGGCAGCATCAGAGAGAGAAAATTGACACCTTGAAAATCCACCTTTTAAATCCTTCTCTTCCACTCAGTCAAGTTCCATTTCACTGTATGAGGTCTCTGGTAGTAGTTCCCGGCTTTCTTCATCATTAACTTTCTGCTTCCTCTCACTTGCTAATAACGAGTAAAACTGTAACAAGTAAAGAAGCTGAATTTCTGCATATCTGAGAGAGGACAGATTCCATATGGGTTCAGGCCATACTCTGATGGACAACTGCAGGCTCACCGCTAGTGATCCCTACAGGTCAGGCTGTGACTGGGGTCCAACAGTGACAACTGCTATAGTGGAACAGGATCTTTGCTTTTCATGGACCTGAAATCCAGAGTACCTCTACATGTTAGGACTGGCCCCTTAGCTGCATCTCAGGTCATCTGGCTATTTAAGAACTCCCAATCCTCTAAAGCAGTGTTTCTTAAACCCTTTTGATGGACACTTATGGCAGGAAGTACATCTTACTTAACAATCCATATTAGTCAGGGTTCAGTCAGGAAAAAAGAAACTTTAAGTAGGTATTTTAAGAGCAAGAATTTAGCACAGGGAATTGATTAGACAGATGTTCAAGGACTGAAAAATTAAAAAAGGAACACTGGAGTAATACATAGGTTATAACTGCAAGAAGCAGCTCCCGCCTGAAGGGCTGGAGATCAAAGGGAGGAGAGGAGGTTGGGGTTTGTAGGAAAGGCCTGTTGAAGCTGGGGCACAGGCTCCTGAAGAGGGACACTGTCTGGCTGCTGCTGCAGGTAATGCTTTGGGGAGGAGGGAGAAGAGATGCGATGAGGCTGGTTGAGATACAATAAGAAGCTGGAGACAAGTAAAACTGCCACCAGGCTAAAAGTCTGTGGCAGGAGTGATGCTGCCAAGCATAGCAGGCTGTCAGGAAGGAGCAAGTTGCTTCCCTCTCCTCCAGCCTTGTGCTCTTCCTCTGGTCCTGCTGTGCTGCCCCAGCCTCTCCACCCAGATGACAGAGGAGAAATGTGGTTTGCACAATTCTAGCCCCACCAACACAAAGCAGAGGACAGAGGGTAGGTTTGAAGCTGAAAGATGACAGCTCAGTAACTGCCATACGATACTTGACCCTAACCATGCACATACCCTCTGGATTTCATTTTCTACCGCATTCTATTGCATTCTACTTTACCCTACACTACCTTACCTTATCACTTTTTAAATATGACAAAGCCGGAAGAGACCCATCACATTGACTTCATGACCTACTAATAGACTGTGACCCACAGTGAGGAAAACTCTGCTCTAGATCTTTACGGTAAGAGGGCCTGAACGTTGGAATTCAGTGCTACTTACATACTGAATTCCTTCCACAGCAACAGCGACTTAAGGAATTACCTCCCAAGGTACTCCTCCACTGAATATGTATGGGGGCCCACAGTTATAGGCTTCAGGGAAATTTATATCAAGAGGCTGCAAATGTCCTGCATAGTACTAGAAGAGGGAGAGCTACCAGATAAAGGAAGTTTTGCTAAGGGGAAAAGATAAAAGAACTACCAATCAAAAACATTTATTGTGCCCTTATTATATGTAGAGTATTATGAAGGTGTTTTTGAGAATACCCAGAAATACACGTTGGAGGAGCTTGAAATATAGTGAGAAAAGACAAAAAGCCAATGAGTAAACAATACTGAGCAGCCACTCAGCAGTATGGTCAGCTGTCAAGGGAGTGAGATTGGCAGGAAATATTCTGAGCACAGAGCAGGGTGATATGACTGAGCAGGAATGATCTGGAAAGGTTTCATGTGAAGGTTTGTTTTCAGAATACGTAGACCTTAGATAGGGTAAGGCGCTGGTATCTTAGACGAAGAGAACAGAAGTAACAGAACAAGTTAAGGAAGAGTGGGCCTGCTTGTGCAGTGCTGGAACTTGTGGATCAGAACTAGCAAGAGAAATTGGAGCATCACCCACGGCCAAGGCGGAAGCTTGCAAATGGAAAAGGTGTAGTGACTGAACCTTGGCAACTATCCTCACATTTAAGAAGCAGGTAAAAGAGCTGGTGAATAACATAATGAAGTCTGGTTGGAAAGCTCTGAAGAGATCCAAGGTCAAGGACCCACCAAGGAGGGTAGTCAGCAAAGTCAAATGCCAGAGAGGCCAAGAACTCTAAGAACTGAGGAAAGACCTCAACTGTAAACCAGATGCGCTGTAAATGAGGGTGGTGGCTCTTGACCACACTGCCTGTGTGGATTAATGTGCTACTACTTTCAGCTCCATCTTTTGGATTTGTATAGGGTGTTTAACTATCACTTGAACAGGTCCAAAGTATCTGGTGAAAACAATAAACTATGGTTTACTATCGGTCCTTATTCGTTCCTACCTGTCCATAGCCATGCGAGGCATTTTAAGGCTGTGCTTCAGTGGCTTGTGGTCTTCCCTCCCGCGACTGCCCACCTCCAACTCACTTTTGTGACAGCTTTTGTTTGTGCTGCTGTCATCCATTCTCAAGTGGCCTGTCCTGCTGAGCTGATTTTCTGGGATCCTGGCTTCACAAAACAAGGAGCGTTATGCATTGGGACCTTGTCTTTGGAGACTTCGTCATGGCTGTAGGCTGCACTACAACCTTGGCCAGCTGCCTTGCAAAGAAAGACAAGTGATCGGTCACAAGGGAAACCAGATCAGGGAGAGATGGATCCGGTGAACCTATCATCCCTACTACAAACATGTGTTCAGCTGGTAGCAGATCAGTAACATCTTCTCCAGGAGTAAAGGAGAATTTATTTACATGCTCATTACATATGCAGAGTTGTGACCAAATTGCTGCAGGTGACAGGTCCAAGTTCCTATAAGGATGTCCTATGGCTTCATACCAGACTTTGTTCCGGACTTCATCTCTTAAGTGCTGTCATTTCTTCTGTACAAGCTATGGTTACTTTGGTTTCTTTTCTTCCTCTTAGACAGCAGATTCCAGCTATTATCACATAGCTTCCTCATTTATACTAGAGTAAACCATTATTATGGATGTAAGAAAATGGGTTTCATAAGTGAACCCACTGTGAAGGTAGCCAGGACAGGTGTATTAGTCCGTTTTCATGCTGCTAATAAAGACATAACCAAGACAGGGTAATTTATAAAGGAAAGAGTTTTAATGGACTCAGTTCCACATGGCTGGGGAGGCCTCACAATCATGGCGGAAGATGAAGGAAGAGCAAAGGGGCTTCTTACACAGTGGCAGGCAAAAGAGCTTGTGTAGGGGAACTCCCATTTATAAAGCCATCAGATCTCATGAGACTTATTCACTACCATAAGAACAGTACGGGTGAAACCGCGCCCATGATTCAATTATCCCCACCTGGCCCTGCCCTTGACAGGTGGGAATTATTACAATAAAGTGAGAGGTGGGTGGGGACACAGCCAAACTATATCAACAGGTCATGTACGTAAGCTGCTTAATATTTATTGAGCAGCTACACTGTGGACTGAATCAAATAGAATATGAGGATACATATGTGAAAAAATATTATTTTAATAGCTGGCTCCAGAGTTCCTCTTGGGAAGTTACTTTGTGTAGGAAAAAACTTTGGTAAACAGTTTAGGAATGGCAGGTAGCTATGAAGGCACAGATTAGGAGATGGAAATAAAAGTATTGTATAAAGAGAGGAGAGGAGGGGAGAGATGGGACCAGAAAGATGGTACAATAGTGGGAGGTTACAGGTTATGATGAAAAAATGGGGGTAGGTGGTAGGTGGATAAAAATATCATGGGAGGAACTGAAGGACTTTTAAGAGCAGGGATTTCTAATTTTAGGTTTTTTGCATCCTTAATTTAAAACCACTTATCTGCTCCAAACCTTCTAAAGAGTTGGCTATAGAAACAACCAAAGAAAAGGGGCTGATTTCGAAATTATGTGTCAGCAGGAGTAGAGAGAGGAGAGTTGTAAGAGGTGATATGTGGAGAGGTCTAAGTGTTCAGGAAAAGCAAGAACTGAGAGCCAGAAGTGACGGTGCAATCCTTGAGAGGACATTGGCCGTGGGGAACACCACAAGGTGGATAAGGGACTCAGTCAAGTTCAAGAAAATCTCTGTGGTAGGATGACTCAGCTGGATTACAGGAGCCATTTTTGTTATTTTCAACCATAATTTTTCAGGAGATATTCATTACTAGAAAATGACAAGGTCACGAATTCACTCCCCTTCCTCTTTTTTTCTATTAAATTTCTGGGCCTCAGTTTTCCCATCTATAAAATCTAGAGATTGGGCCTAGAATATCTCTGTAGTTTCCATTAGAGTCTATAGCTCTAATAATAATAACAACACATTTTTATGTTCTCTTTTGAGGTAAATTTACATGCAGTGAAATGTACAAATCTTAAATGTCCCATTCCAAGAGTTTTGACAAGTGCATATACTTCTGTAACCGAAACTCTTAGCTATAGAATTTTTTCATCACTACAAAAAATTCTCTCAAACTCCTCCCCGACAGCCAACCACTATTCTGACTTTTATCACTATTGATTAAATAATTAATATTTAATAGCTATTGTTAAATGCTAAGCTTTGTTTTATAGAGCTTCATCAGTATTAATGCGTGTATTTCTTACAAGAGTTGCAAGATGGATATCTCCATTTTTGCAGATCAAAACGTTAAGAGGTGAGAAAGGCGCCTCTGGTCATCAGCTACCAAGCACAGGGGCAGGACGTGAACTAAGAATTCGTTTTAGAAGCCCACGCTCTTAACCTGTTTATCCTAGAGTCCACAAACGATTGCCAAGAAACAGCATAAATCCAAATTCAGTCGAAAGCAATGCCATTTGCAAATTCTAAAACCTCCTGAATAATCCTAAAGGCCATATGCATTCCATCTTATCGAAGGATTCCCTTCTATCCCCCTCCCCAGAGAATGGAGAAAGGGGGTGCGAAAGACTTCAATTCGGTTTGACTGGAGAAAAACACAGAGGTGGCGTAGGATCCACACATCCCTTGGGGGCAGACCCAGCGGCGGACGCCTGGACAGGCGGCGGGAAAGGCGCTGCGACGCCCCGGGTGCCCCCTCCTTCGACGCCACTGGCATCACCTCCGAAAGCAGCAGGCACGAAGGTGCCCTGCCACGGGGGCTGGACGCAGTGGAGGCAGGCTCATCAAGCACGACCAGAGCTCAGTCGGCCACACGTCCTCCTCAATGTCACTGTCTCCCTGCTCTCCCACCCCGCGCCGCTGCACCTCCCTCCCCCCGGCAACCTGGGCGGGAGTCCCAAGCTCCGCCCCAGAGCGGACTCACAGCCCCCGCGCTCCCTCCCGCGCTGCGCCCACCGCGCGGCCGCGGCTGCCATGGCAACACTACGCCGCCGCCGCCTTTTCACGCACGTCGCGAGCTAACGGACTCGGCGGCGGCGGCGGCGGCGGCCTGCGCCCCACCCGCACCCCATCTGGACCGCATCGCTGAATGTGCCCGGACCTGCGCCTTCTGGGTAATGAATCCGAGAGAAAGGGGCGAGGGCGAGACAGCAGGTGGTGGAGGGCTCTAGCCAACAGCCCCTCTCGGCCTCCCACTGCCGGAGACGCCAGGGCAGTGGGCTGCGGGGTTCCTCGGGCGCTGGCTCCCGTGCGGGGACGGGGAGGGGCGCGGGAGCGCCAGGCTCGCGGTGCATCATGGGAATTGTAGTTCAGCGACTCCTCGGGCTCGCGGTCTTGGTGGGGTAGCTCGGACTGGCGAACTACAAAGCCCGGCGGCCCCGACCGCCGGGAAAGACCGATAAACTTTGAGCGGACCGGGACAGAAAAAAAAATCTCTCTTTGTCTTGAGGGGGCTGTTGAGTGGTCGCGGACCTGGGCTCTGTGCGTTGGGAAAGGGAAGTGGAGGTGAGCCTCGGGCTTCCCGCCCTGTAGCTGGGCCCGCCCCAGTTGCAGCGCTCAGCCCCACCCCGGCTGGGCCACCGCCCTGCACAGTCTCAGGGATGAGCAGCCGCCCAAGCTGCAGGGCCTCGGGTCTTCGGCGCCTCTGACCCTCGCAGGTTGCTGCCTTTCGGTGCAGAACCGTATGTATGTCACACATTGGATGTGAGACCTGAGAAACCGTGTTTTAACAGGTTTTTCTCCTTTCCTGGATACGTTTATTTCTGGGTTAGTCATGTTTGTTTTAAAGTAGCTCAGAGGTGTTTGCATATTAAACCCATCAATTGGTAATTACTCAAAGGGCAGTAATGTTTAAAGGTTAAGTGTGGAAATAGATAAAAAGATGTCATTGCGATTATATGGTGGTATCTGGCATTTTTAACTTTTTGCATTTTTGAATTTTATTTCTTGAGGTTCAAGGTTGTGAAATGAGTGCTCCACCCCACCCCCCCCTTGCCAGCCTGAACACTGCCTACACATATTTTGATTAGTTCAGCTTTAAATTACTAGTAACTTTTAAAAACAGACTTTTTTAGCAGTAGGCAGCAATAATTCTTTGATTATTCCAGTGTTATTCAGAATTTCTCAGCATGTTTTCGGAAGGAAAAATACCATGTTTTAATTATTTAGTTAATTCTTTATATATTTTTTATGTTCAGGAGTACACTTGAGTCCTTAGAGTTGACTCAAAGACTTGCTGGTAAAGGAAGCTGACACAGATTTACGAAACCTTCCTTGACGACCCTTTAAAATTTTTTAATAGGTAGATAACCATCCTAGAAATTTGCTGCTTTATGGAGTAAGTTGGAGAATTGTTGATATTATTGTGAGTTTGTGTGTGTGTGTGTTTAAAAACAAAAAGACCACAAATCCTATAAAACTTTCTCTTAATTAAAATGAAGTTGACCTGTGTAAATTTTACTTGAGGTTGCAATTTTGTACAAGGAGGAGATGGAAAGTAGGTTTAGTAAGACAGGTAGAAAACAAAATTGAGGCCTTATGTGATACAACATAAGGTTTGAAGTATTTTATTTATTCATTCAAAATGTGTTAGGAACCTATGTGCCAGGCATTATGCCAGGTGGTGAGAATAAAGAGATGAAAAAAGATAGTCTGTATCCTGCATGGGCAGTCTTGTCATCACAGTAGTGTGGTAGAGATAAGTGCAAGTTGCTCTAGGAGCCCAGAGGAAATAATCACATAACAGTAACATTTATTGAATATGTCAGGTGCTGTGAGGAGTATTTTGCATGCAACTCCTTACTTAATCCTCAAAACAGTTGGTGAAGTAGTTACTGATTTTTAGAGATGAGGAAACAGGCTTTAGAGGCCTTGCTCAAAATCATAGCTGGTAACGTGTGAACCTGGGATTTCAGCCCAGGTGGGTCTGGTCCTGATCTCAAGCACTGACCATTCTCTGTCATTTAGTAGAAAGATCCTGACTCTGTCTAAGGAAGTCAGGGGAGGCCTTCAGTGTGATTTGACTTTTAACTTGTGTTAAAATAGTTGAATAAGCTTTCACTGGAGTGATGATGAGGAAAGTCATTCTAGGACAAATGGATGGCACAAAATAAGCAAAGGATAGATTGAAGAATCAGTATTTTGTATTTGGGAAACGCTAGGTAGTTCTGAATGACTGGATCCCAGAATACTTGCAATTAGTGGGTGAGGCCAGATCTTAAAGTACTTGGCACCATATTCAGAGTTTAGAATTTTTCTTGATATAGGGCAGTCATTGAAGAATTTTAGCTAGAGTGGTGGTGGCGTCAGATTTGTATTTTAGAAAGATAACTCCAGCCCCAGTGTAGAGAATGGACCTGGGAGGGGAAACATTACAGGTAGTAGAAAAGCCAGTTGTATAATAGAAAAAAACAAAGTCCAGTAGAGAAGTGAAGAGAGTCTGAATTAAGCATTTGGAGTTACAGAAAGACATGGATTCAAGGAATATTTAAGAGATAAAATTGATATGACTTGATAAGAGTTTGGATGTTGGGAGTTAGATTTGGAACTCTTAGCTGATTGATTCCTCAGTTTCTGGCTAGCATGACTGAGGTAATAGTGAATCCGTTGATTGAGATGAGGAGGAGCTGGTTTTTATTGGGGTGAAATATAAAGATATTAGTTGAGTTTTGAGCATTTGTTAGAGGTTCCTATGGGATATTCAGGTGGAGGTGCATTTTAGTCTGGAGTTCAGAGAGAGCAGGCTGGAGTTAGAAGTTTGCATATAGATAAGTAATTAAAGCTACAAGGGAGAATGGACCAGCTCACATTGGAGTAATGAGTAGAAAAGAAAAAGGAAGAGGTTTGGATATGGAACTCTCATTTAAGAAATGTGTGTAGGCCGGGCGCAGTGGCTCGCGCCTGTAATCCCAGCACTTTGGAAGGCTGAGGCGGGCAGATCAGGAGATCAAGAGATCGAGACCATCCTGGCCAAGATGGTGAAACCTCGTTTCTCCTAAAAATATAAAAATTAGCTAGACATGGTGGCGCACACCTATAGTCCCAGCTACTCAGGAGGCTGAGGCAGGAGAATAGCTTGAACCCAGGAGGCAGAGGTTGCAGTGAGCCAAGATCATGCTGCTGCACTCCAGCCTGGTGACAGAGCGAGACTCCGTGTCAGGAAAAAAAAAAAAAAAAAGAGTTGTGTGTATGTGTTTGCGGGAGGAGCCTACAAATGAGACCCTAGTTAGGAGGCATAGAGGAAGAAGAACTGGGAGAGAGCATAACAAAGGAGGGGAAAATAAGGAAAGAAAGTAAGTTGTCTAATTTTGTGTCTCCAACTTATTTTCTGCATGATCATAGGCAGGTCTCCAAATCTGTACCCTTATTTCATATGAGGTGTTAATACTATTTATTTGATTTTGGGAAGTTGAAACAGTTTAGTGGAGGTAAACCCTAAAGTGCTCAACAACTGAAAGCATTTCTTCTCCCACTTCCTTACTAACAGTGTGGCAGGACTGCCAGTTCTGTCTGATAGAAAGGCCCTGTTCTAGACTTTACTTGACCATATTAAGCAGGTGGATCAGGTAGTAGTTATATTACAAAGTGATGATTAGAGTCTGAGGACTAATCAATTTTTTAAAATGAAGCTTCCGTTAATGCTATAAAATGTTATTGTATAGGGCATTAATACCAATGTACTTTTGCCTTGTTTTCATCTTCAAAGAAACAGGAAGTTCCACTAGATAATATGAGAGCTCAATGGCTCTAAAATTCTTCAATTCTGACAGTATTTAATGTCTGGACTGATTTGTGATTTCACTGATATTTGAGCATCTGTAAATGAAAATATGTTTATATTTTAATGTGCTCAAGAGTATTTCATTTTATTTTTATTTTTTGGAGACAGGGTCTGACTCTGTCACCTAGGCTGGAATGCAATGGTGCAGTCATAGCTCACAGCAGCCTTGAACTCCTGGGCTCAAGCAGCCTTCCTGTCTCAGCCTCCCCAGTGGCTGGGATTTCAGGCATGTGGCCACACCCGGCTCAACATTATTTTAAACATTTTTCTCTTCAGTGATAACTATACTTATATATGGTAGTCCCAGGGAAATTGTGCCCTAGAATACCTGATAAAAGTGAGATATGGGCATTTGCCAGATAAATTCAAGGCATAGATTGTGAGAGTAGTTTAAAAAAAATGGAGTAGTTTTTCAAGGTGGTTTAATCTTCACTGGATGTCTTTAGATATGTTTCTTTTGCTGGGGTATGGTTTGATTGTGGTCCTAACTGAACGGATGGCAAAGGAGTAAATGACCTTTTAAGTCCTTTTGTAACTTTGTTCTGTCCATTAGTAATTGTAAAAGCTCCTATTAGGCAGCCTATTAAAAAGTGAGCTTTGGTTTGAAATCTTATTCTTTTTAATATTTTGCTATGAAGCTGTTTTTAGTGAGCACTTTTTATAGTTTTTAATCATATCTCAGTATTGTTTTGCATTTTGTAAAGAATTTAATGCTTAGTTGCTGATCCCCCAATTGTATTTACTTCCCAGGGTATTATAGAACTCTTTAGAATGGTTATTTTGTGGACATTTATCAAACACATGTGCCTTGCATTTGAGTTCAAGAAACATTATTGTGTGTCTTTATGTCAAACAGTGCACCAAATGATACATGATACATGAATAAGATCTGGCCCCTCTCTCAAAGGATGTTACATTTCAGTCAGTGCTCAAACTAGTTTTGGTATACTCACTCTTGTGTTTTTTAAGGAAATCATCTCCAAAAAACAATGTATTTTATTTCTTATTTTCTTAGCTTTTACGTGTTTGAGGGACAAACAATATAACTTCATTTGCTGTATTTCAATAAGTTGTTCCTTTATTCTCGTTTATTCCTGTCTCTGTGAGTGTCTTTATATGTCAGTATTCTTTTCTTTCTGATGTTTTACTCTTTCCATTTTTCCTGGTGATTTGGCAGTAGGAAGAGAAATGAATGAGAGAATCAGTAGTGACTGTTTTTTTTTTCTGACCTACTTCTGTGAGAGTATGGATGACTGGTATTTAACACATAATTCCTGATATTTTTATACTTGTATTTTCTCTGCATTATTAGATATTATTTGAAGTCAAGAATTTTATGTTAGTGAACTCCACGTGGCCTTACATTGTTTCTTATATGTATATAGGTTATTTGCTTAATGTGGTAGGTGCTTACTAATTAGTTTAGATTGAATGATGAATGGATGAGTAAGTAAATATGATTATAAAATTACTTGTTCAAAGACTACTTGAGTCTGGGTGTGGTGGCTCTTGCTTGTTATCCCAGCACTTTGGGAGGCTGAGAGGGGCAGAAAGCTTGAGTCCAGGAGTTTGAGACAAGTTGCCTGGGCAACATGGCGAGACATCATCTCTGCAAAAAATACAAAAATTAGCCAGGCGTGGCTGCGCACACCCGTGGTCCCAGCTACTCAGGAGGCTGAGGTGGGAGGATTGGTTGAGACTGGGAGGTCCAGGTTGCAGTGAGCTGAGATTGCACCATTGCACTCCAGGCTGGGCGACAGAGTGAGACCTTGCCTCAAAAATAAATAAATACATACATACATACTTCATAAAATACAGTAATATGAAGCAGATGGTTTTGAAAGGTTTTAGGCTGTTCAAAGCACTATGAAATTAAAAAACAAGTAGTATTTAATTATATAGGCAACCACAACAAAATATCTTTATTTCTGTTAATAAGCCTTTTATATTTATTTTTAGATTAGCTGCGTAACTTTAAAGGAATTTGAGGCAGTAAATTGTAATGAGCCAGGAGGACAGGCTCTGAGTTAGACACATCTGGGTTCAAATCCAGGCTCTATGGGCAAATTATTTAAATTCTTTAAAGCCTCAGTCACCTCCTCTGCTAAATGGTGGGTAACTGTTACTGTTTTGTAGTGTTATAAGGATTAGATGAGATAATGCCTAGAAAAACATTTTTATCGTATTACTTGGTGGGGAGTTAGCATTCAATAAACATCGCTACTATTATTTTTGTGCTAAAAAGGGTATTTATGCAATTAGATAAAGTTTATAGGGTTTTTTTTGTTTGTTTTTTTCAGACAGAGTCTCACTCTTGTCGCCCAGGTTGGAGTGCAGTGGCGCCATCTCGGCTCACTGCAACCTCCGTCTCCTGGGTTCAAGCTTCTGCCGCCTCAGCCTCCTGAGTAGCTGGGACCACAGGCACTCGCTACCACGCCCCGCTAATTTTTGTACTTTTTTAGTAGAGACGGGGTTTTGCCATGTTGGCCAGGCTGGTCTTGAACTCCTGACCTCAGGAGATCCGCCTGTCTAGGCCTCCCAAAGTGCTGGGATTACAGGCGTGAGCCACCATGCCTGGCCAAGTTTATAGTTTAAGCTGTCATCTTGAGACACAGTAACAGATGATCCACATTTTCTGTCCTTTGTAATATTTTAAAGCTGCCAGTAGAATTTAGAACATGAGCAGAAATTACTGTGATGGTTACTTTTGAGAAACGTTTAAGCTCTTAGAACCCTATATTAGTATCTAGATTCTTTTATGTTTATGAACAGTTTTTTTTTGTTTCTAAAATATTTGAGAAGTGATTTGTATACATGTAAAAAATAAATGAAAAGCCTTAATTACTACATACATTCTTCTGTAATGTCTGGGTTTGTGGTTGTTTTCTTTATTATTCATGGCAAACTGTAGTCCTTGAGACTATTACCCAAAATAAAGAGATGGGAGGTATTGTGGTTTTCAAAATTAACTATTTGGTTGATTAGTACTCACATAGTAGGTTCATTTATTGTGCTTGAAACATACTTCAGGATGCATTAATTTGAGAAGTCATGGTTATGTGTTTCCTTAATTGCTTTTATTTATAGCAGCCATTGTATGACATAAACTGGACTTCGGTGATTTGGAGAAACTTTTTTTTTTTTCATTAAGCATGTAAAGCCTGGACATATTGATAAAATTCATTGTGGTACAAAATATTGAAAATAAAACTTGATTTGTTGTTTTGCTTACCACTGTTCTAATTAGTGTTATTTAGTTCACATTGCTATAGTTCAGGTTACTTAGGTGTTTCTGAAATAGGCATCTACTTTCAGGAATTTACAACTTTTAGGAGGAAAAGGAACAATAGGAGAAAAATATGGAAGTGTCAGAATAAAAATAGTTTAAAGCAGAAATTATTTTCTTAGCCTCATATGTATTGTAAGTATAACTGAATTAGATTGACATCATTCACATAAAATTAGTTTAAAAAATGTTTTGTTTCCTCTTCAAAAACCATTACTGTGGAGACAAAAGAATGATAAATATTATGATTTCATTTGTAAAAGGAATTATGAGTGACATCCCTGGTGGGATTGGGTTCTGGATACAAGCTAGCTTTTCATTTTTTCAATTATATGTCTTAGTCTTGGCATGAGATAAAAAATTCAAGTATGTTGGGAGAGAATGTGTGTGTGTGTGTGTTGTGGGTGATGGTAGATTTAAAGGAGAGAACAGAAAGGTTGGAGATGTAGCTGAAAAGATGGCTTTATGTGTTACATTTAGATCTGAGTCATGAAACAGTTACAAAAATAATTATCTGGAACCAGATAAAGCAGTATTCCTTCTTGATCTGAGCATGAACTTGGACTGAGCTCTTCTCAGTCTGAGCCTAGAACTCTCCTTGAAGGTATTATCTGGAGCATTCTGTATAGGGCAACTTTGCTGGGTCAGTTCAGCAGTAAATACTGTAAGAAGATGCTTAATTTATTTTTGAATACATAATCTCAAAATAAGAGACATTGTCAAATATTAGACATTGCTAAAATATTTTGTCTTTAGATTTAACCTGACATTTTAAAAAGACCTAGAAATTCTTCTAATTTATATTAAAGGAGATTTAAAAAACTATGTTTCAAGATTATGACTAAAAATAATTTTAGTATAGCTTCTAGAAATTTATAATGAAAATTGAATCAGTTGATTTCTTTTTTTCAGAGGAAAAATTAACTGCTTCAGTTATCTGCATTGATGTTGAGTGTAGAGTAAAAATATTCCTTATATTGATTCAGTGTTGTATGTGAGGAATGATGTTAACATATGATCACATTTAATTTTTAAAATAACCTTATGATAAATATTATTTTTCCTATTTTGTAGACAGAATTGAGGCTTATTGAAATTATATGATTTGCCTGAGGTCACAACTAAAAATTTATGGTGCCTGGATTCATATCCAGGCTTTTCTGTCTGAAATTTTTATGTGGCCTTTATCAAACATAAACTTGAATGGTTTGGTATACAATTCTAGGTTGCCAACCCCCTACACCCTTACCCCTTGGAAGATATTATTTCATTGTCTCCAGGCTCCCACTGTTCCTCTTGAAAAGTTAGCTGTCAATATAATTTCTTTCCTTTGTATATAATTTGTCATTTCTTTCTGTTTTAAATGTTCTTCAGTCTTACTACCTTGTCTCTAGGTGTGAACTTTGATTTGCTTTGAAACTGAAAATTATTGTCTTCTGTTAGTTTTGGAAAATTCTCAGCCACTGTATTTTTGAATTTTGCCTTTCTTTTTTCTCCTGGAATTCATAATAGACATACATGATGGATCTTCTCTTTCTACTCTGTTGCATTTCTTAATCTTATTTACTTATTCTCTATATGCTGCATTCTGGTCAGTTTCTGCAGCTCTGTCTTCTGGTTTATTGATTCTCCTTTTATCTGTGTCTAATCTCTTGCTTCCTCAGTCCACTGAGTTTTGTTTTTATTTCAGTGACTATATATTTTAATGCCAGAAGTTCTTTTTGATTATTTTTCAAATAAGCTTATTTATTTTAAAATTTCTTGTCCCTATGTCTTTAAATGTACTTATTTTACAGTAGCTAAAAAGGCCTTAATTTTGCTTTATGTTGTATTAATTCTCCCTCATAGTGGATTGCTTTCTTTGTATCTTGTAATTTTAGATGTAAACTCAGTGGAAATAAAGTAAAGCCTGGGTAAATGATATGTCCTGTACTTTTGTGATTTGTTTCTGTGAAGTGCGCTATGGAGAACTGATGAGTGAATAAACAAATTTTAGTATGTCTATATAATGGGATACTACTCAGCAATAAAAAGTAATTACTGATACATATAAGGGCATAGTTGAATCTCAAAAGCATTATTCTAAATGAAGGAAATCAGAGTATATACCATATGAGTTTATTTATTTTGCATTCTAGAACTGACAAAACTGCAGGCATACTTGAGAGATACTGTGGGCTTTGTTTCAGACCATTTTGGTAAAGCAAATATTGCGATAAAGCTAGTCACACAAATTTTCTGGTTTCCCAGTGCATATAAAAGTTACGTTTACACTATACTATAGTTTATTAAGTGTGCAATAACATTACGTCTAAAAAATGTACATGTCTCAATTTAAAAATACTTTAAAAATTTTTAACTTTTATTTTAGATTTAGGGGGTACATCTGCACGTTTGTTACATGGGTATATTGCATGATGCTGAGGTTTGGGATATGAATGATCCCGTCACCCAGAGAGTGAGTGTAGTAGCCAAAAGATAGTTTTCCAACTCTTGCCTGCCTCCCTCCCACCTCTATTAGTTTCCAGTGTCTGTTGTTGCCATCTTTATGTCTAGGAGTATCCAATGTTTAGCTCCCACTTATATGTAAGAATATGTAGTACTTGGTTTTCTGTTCCTGCATTTATTTGTTAAGGATAATGGCCTCCAGCTACATCCATGTTGCTGCAAAGGGCATGATTTTGTTCTTTTTTAAGACCATATAGTATTCCATGGTATATATGTACCACGTTTTCTTTATCCAATCCACTGTTGATGGATACCGAGATTGATTCCATGGCTTTGCTATTGTGAATAGTGCTGCAGTGAAGATACGAGTGCATGTGTCTTTTTGGTAGAATGATTGGTTTTCTTTTGGGTATATACCCAGTAATGGGACTGCTGGGTCAAATGGTAGTTCCGTTTTAAGTTCTTTGAGAAATCTCTAAACTGCTTTCCATACCAACAATGTATAAGTATTCCCTTTTCGCTGCAGCCTTGCCAGCATCTGTTGTTAAAAAAGACTGTATTGCTAAAAAATGCTAACAATTATCTGAGCCTCAGCAAGTCTTAATCTTTTTATTGGTGGGGGGATCTTATCTTGATGGCTGCTGACAGATCAGGGTAGTGGTTGCTGAAGGTTGGGGTGGCTGTGGCAATTTCTTCTTCCTCCTTCTTCTCTTTTTCCTCTCTTCCTACTCCTCCTCATCCTTCTTCCTTCCTCCTCCTTCTTTTCTTTTTTCTTTTTTTTTTTTTTTAGAGGCAGGGTCTCACTCTGTCACCCAGGCTGGAGGGCTGGAGCGTAGTGGTGTGATCATAACTTACTGCAGCCTCAAACTCTCAGACTCAAGCGATCATCCCGCCCCAGCCTCTTGAGTAGCTAGGACCACATGTGACTAATTTTTTTTTTCTTGTCCCTAATACTTTATTGGTCACCTCTAGGCCTGTGTGCTGCTGGGCGGGCTCGGGAGTGGGCGTCACTATTCAGCTCCCAGGAGGAGGCATGAGAAGGCCTTGGCCTAGCCCTCCAGGGTCCCAGACTGTGGTGTTTGGAGGGGCAGGTCTGGCCTTTCCTGGGTCAGCACAGGGCACCTAGGTAGGGGCACAGGTGAGCACCCAGCACAGGCACCTAGGTAGGGGCACAAGCTCACTATCCATTGGCCAGCCTAATTTTGTTTGGAGAAATATTCCTCGCCGTCATCCACGTTGAGCTTAATTGTGTCACTGCCAAGCTTCCAGCCAGCAGGACAAACTTCCCTGTGCTCGTCCGTGTACTGGATGGTCTGGACCAGCTGCAGAGCCTCATCCAATGAGCGTCCCACAGGCAAATCATTAACAGTGATCTGGCAAAGGACACCCTTGCCATCAATGATAAAGAGGCCCCAGTAGGCAATGCACTCATCTGTTTTCAGCTCACCGTAATCCTCAGATTGCCACATTAGCAAGCAGGGGGATGTTCAGGGGGCCCAAGCCTCCCTCCTTCCGGGGGATGTTAATCCAAGCCAGGTGGGTGAACTGAGAGTCCACCAAGATGCCCAGCACTTCGCAGCCCAGCTTGCGGAAGTCCTCGGCATGGCTGCTGACTGCAGTGATCTCCGTGGGGCACACAAAAGTGAAGTCCAGAGGGTAGAAAAAGAGGACCACGTACTTCCCTTTGTAGTCTGACAGCTTCACCTCTTTGAAGGCGCCATCCACCATGGATGTGGCCTTGAAGTTAGGGGCAGGCTTTCCCATGCACGCATTACCTGAGGCCATGACTGAACAAGCTGTGTGGGCAAAGGCTAGATGCACGGACGATCACGTGCGTGGACCCGCGTTCTCAGTGCCCATGTGACTAATTAAAATTTTTTTTTTTTTTTTTTTAGAATTGGCATCTTGCTATGTTGCCCAGGCTGGTCTTGAACTTCTAGCCTCAAGTGATACTCCTGCCTTGGCCTCCCAAAGTGTTGGGATTACTGGCATGACCCAATGTGCCTGGCCCAGGGCAATTCTTAAAATAACAACAAAGTTTGGTGGACGTATTGACTCTTCCTTTTGTGAAAAATTTCTCCATAGCATGCAATTATACTGTTTGATAGCATTTTACCCACAGTAGCAATTCTTTCACAATTGGAGTCAATCCTCTCCAAACCCTGCTGCTGCTTTATCAACTAGGATTATGTAGTAATCTAAATCCTTTATTGTTATTTCAACAGTGTTCACAAGCATCTTCACCAGGAGTAGATTGCAGCTCAAGAAGCCACTTTCTTTGCTCATGCATAAGAAACAACTCATCCATTCAAGTTTTTTTTTTAATTTTTTGTAGAGATGGGGTCTTGCTGTGTTGCCCAGGCTGGTCTTGAACTCCTGGTCTTAAGTGATCCTTTTGCCTTGGCCTCCCGAAATGTTGAGATTACGGGTGTGAGCCACTGTGCCCTACCCCGTTTATGTTTTGTCATGAGATTGCAGCAATTCAGTCACATCTACAAGCTCCACTTCTAATGCTAGTTCTCTTGCTTTTTCTACCACATCTGCAGTGATTTCCTCCAATAAAGTCTTGAAACCCTCAGAGTCATCCATGAGGACTGGAATCAATTTCTGTAACACTCCTGTTAGTGTTAATGTTTTGACATCCTCCCTTGAATCACAAATGTTCTTACTGGCATCTAGAAGGGTGACTCTGTTCCAGAAAGTGTTCAATTTACTTTGCCCAGTTTCATCAAAGGAAATCACTATCTATGGCACCTATAGCCTTAAAAAATGTATTTCTTAAATAATAAGATTTGAAAGTTGAAATAACTCCTTTATCCATGGCCTGCAGAATGGATAAGCAGGCATGAAAACAGCATTTATCTCTTTGTACATCTACATCAGAGCTCTTTGGTGACCAGGTGCATTGTCAGTGAGTGGCAATATTTTTAAAGGAATCTTTTTTTCTGAGCCATAGCTCTCAAAGTTGGGCTTAAAATATTCAGTAAGCCATACTGTAAACAGATGTGCTGTCATCTAGACTTTGCTATTCCATTTACAGAGCACAGGCAGAGTAGCTTCAGCATAACTCTTAAGGGCCCTAGGATCTTCATATTAGTAAATGAGCATTGGCTTCAACTTCAAGTCGTCAGCTAAATCAGCCCCTGACACGAGAGCCAGCCTGTCCTTTAAGGCTTTGAACCCAGGCATTCACTTTTCCTCTCTAGCCAGGAAAGTCTTAGATGAAATATTTTTCCAATAGAAGGCTATTTTGTCTACATTGAAAATCTGTTGTTTAGTGTAGCCACCTTCATCAATGATCTTAGCTAGTTCTAGACAACTTGCTGCAGCTTCTACATTAGCACTTGCTGCTTCACCTTGCACTTTTGTGTTATGGAAAAGGCTTCTTTCCTTAAACCTCATAAACCAGTCTCTACTTGCTTCATACTTCTGCAGCATCCTCACCTCTTTCAGCCTTCATAGAATTGAAGACAATTAGGGTCTTGTTCTGGATTAGGCTTTGGCTTAAGGGAATATTGTGGCTGGTTTAATCTTCTGTCCAGACCACTCACACTTTCTCCATATCAGCAATAAGGCTGTTTTGCTTTCTCATCATTCATATGTTCACTGGAGTAGCACTTTTAATTTCTTTCAAGAACTTCTTCTTTGCATTTACAACTTGGCTCTTTGGCACGAGAGATCTACCTCTTGCCCTATCTTAGCTTTCAACATGCCTTGCTTGCTAAGCTTAGTCATTTCTGGCCCTTGATTTCAAGTGAGAGACATGCAACTATTCCCTTTCACTTGAACACTTAGAGGCTATTGTAGGGTTCTTCATTGGCCTAATTTCAGTATTGTGTCTCCGGGAAAAGGAGGCCCGAGGAGAAGAGAGAGAGAGGGCAACAGCCTATTGGTAGGGCAGTCAGAACACAGTATTTATCAATTATATTCACCTTGCTATAGGGCATGGTTTGTGGTGCCCCAATACAATTACAACAGTAACATCACTGATCACTATTAACAGATATAATAAAAATGGAGAAGTTTGGAATATTGTGAGAATTACCAAAATGTGACATAGAGACACAAAGTGAGCACATGCTGTTAGAAAAATGGCACCGGTAGACTTGCTGGATGCACAGTTGCCATGAATCTTCAAATTGTAAAAAATGGTGTCTGCGAAGTGCAGTAAAATGAGGCGCGGTAAACTGAGGTGGGCCTGTGTAGGGAGAAGGGAACAGGAGAGTGCATGGTGAGAGTTGGAGGTCAAATACAAAGTGGCAAAAGGGAGTTTTCTGGGGTGATGGAAATGTTCTTTACCTTTGTTGTGGTGGTAGTGGTGGTTATGCAGTTTATAAAGTTTTCAAAACTCATCAACTGTACACTTAAAATTAGTGGAATTAATTGTATGAAAATTATACCTCAATAAAGCTGATTTTTAAAAAGCAGGCAGAATTCATCTGTGGTATCAGAATAGTGATTAAAGTACTGACTGGGAGGGATGAAGGATCCTTCTGGGGAGTTGGAAGTGTTCTGTATTTTGAAGGGGTGTTGCCGGGGTGTACACAGTGTATGTGCACAGTGTAAAAGGTCATTGAGCTGCACACTTAAGACTTGTGCACTTTAAGTTATATACCTCAATAAAAAAGGAAAAAGTTCTAAAGAAGGATTATAATATAAAGTTGAGAACATCTCCAAGAAAGTAGAGCAAAAGGACAGAGAGGTGGAAAAAAGGAGGGAAAAACTAAGAAAATTAGAGGACCAGCTGAGGAAGTCTAATTCCTGGATAAAAGGCATTTCACAGCAGAAAAAAAATGGAAAGAAATTTTTAATGAAATTCAGGAAAGAAATTTTAATAATTCAGAATATTTCCTAAAATGGAAAGACATTAATTTCTACATTGAAAGAACCCCAGATAGACCCATTTCAAAGCATATCATCAAAAATTTTAGAAAACTCATGTCAAAGAGAAGTTTCCAGAAAAGGGGAAAAACAAGTGATATATAACGAATTAGGAATTTAAATGACTTCAGTCTTCTTAACCTAATATTGAAACCTAAAATGTATTAGGGAAATGCCATAAAAATTCTCAAGGAAAATTATTTCCAAACTAAGATTCAGTAGCCAGGCAAATTCTCATGGAAGTATGAGGGTAGAATAAAGGTATTTACAGACATGCACAGTTGCAAAAATTTTTTCTCCCAACTGTAGAAAATGTGCTCCATAAAGGTAAGAGAGTGAAAAAAGAAAGAGAAAGACATGTGATACATAAAAAAAGGACAGCATAGAGGAGGCAGAAGGGCTCCCCAGGATGAAGGGAGGTACCAAGTTGAACAGCCTTGGAGGGTAGAAAGAGATAGTGTCTTTCTCCAGAGCAAAGGTCAGGTTTGCTTACAGCCTTGGAAGATACAGTATCTCCCTTTGGAACAAGGGGTAGGGAAGCATAAAACTTAATAGATTCAGGTTCTCTAAGCTTAGGCCTCCTCTCCTGTAATGCAGACTACTTCCTTTGCAGGTGTTACATGGCCCTTTTCAAATTGCCCCATGGGAATTGGGGCTTGGGGAACTGATGGAAAAAAAAAAAATACCTTGGGTTAGGTTGTCTTCTGGAAGCTTTATAGTTTTAACTCTTACATTTAGGTCAGTAATCCATTTGAGTTAATTTTTGTATGTGATGTGAAGTAAGGGTTGAGATTCAGTTTTTGTTTTGCATATGGATAGCCACTTTGTTTCAGGACCCTTTTGCTGGAAAAAATTGTCCTTCCCTCATTGAATTGCTCTGGCACTTTGGTTGAAAATTAGTTGGCTTTGTATGTATGAATCTGTTTCTTGACTCTCTAGTTTCTTTCACTGATCTTTGTGTCTGCCTTTATGTCAGTTCCACACTGTCTTGATTACCGTAACTTTATTTTTTTTTGAGATGGAGTTTCGCTCTTGTTGCCTTGGCTGGAGTGCAGTGGCGCGATCTCGGCTCACTGCAACCTCCTCCTTCCAGGTCAAAGCAGTTCTCCTGCCTCAGCCTCCCGAGTAGCTGGGATTACAGGCATGCCCCACCGCACCCGGCTAGTTTTATATTTTTAGTAGAGACGAGGTTTCTTCATGTTGGTCAGGCTGGTCTTGAACTCTCAACCTTAGGTGATCCACTCTCCTCGGCTTCCCAAAGTGCTGGGATTACAGGCATGAGTCACCGTGCCCGGCCATGATTACTGTAACTTTATAGTAAATTTTAAAATCATGTAGTAGACATCCACCCCCAACAGGCATTTTTCCCCTCAACCCCTTAGAAGTACCCCACCTGAATACATCTGTGTTAGTAAGTCCTACTTTATTGTTTTTCAGAACTTTTGTCTATTTTGTGTTCTTTCATTTCCATGTAAGTTTTAGAATCAGCTTGTCAATTTTTCCTAAAAAGGCTGCTGGGATTTTGATTGGGATTCCATTGACTCTATGGGTCACTTTCAAGATAATTTGACATCTTACGCATATTGAGTGTTTTTATTCATAAACACATACACACATATCTATTAATTTAGGTCATCTTTAATTCTCTTAGATTTTAATAGTTCTCAGGTTACAGATCTTGCACATATTTTGTTAAATTTATCCCTGAATATTTAATATTTTTTGGATGATTTTACTCTTTTTAGTTTCCAGTTATTTCTTGTATGTGGAAATAAGATTGATTTTTGTACACTGACCTCTTATGCTGCAACCTTACACAACTCGTTTATTAGTTCTGGAGCTATTTGCAGATTCCCTAGGATTTTCTCCACTGACAATCATGTTTTCTGTAAATAAAAGCAGCTTTACTTCTTTTCCAATCTGCATGCCTTTTATTTTTGTATCGCCTTATTGCACTGGTTAGAACCTCAGTTCTAATGTGGAATAGAAGGGGTGAGAGCAAATATCCTTGTCTTGTTCTTGATCTTGGAGAGCATTTAGTCTTTCACAATACATATGCTAGCCGTAGGTATTTCATAGATGTCCATTACTCGGTTGAGTAAATTGCCTTTTATTCTTAGTTTGCTAAGCATTCTTATGAATTATGTTGAATTTTGTCAAATACATTTTCTGTATCTATTGAGATGATTTATAATGTTTCATTTTTATTCTCTTAAAATTGTATTGATTGGTTTTAAAATAAACCATCTTGAATTCTTGGGGAAAACGTCACTGGGTCATAATACATTATCTATTTCGTCACTGGGTCATAATACATTATCTATTTTACATATTGCTGGATTTGATTAGCTAAAATTTAAAGATTTTTTGTATCTATGTTTTTAAGGGATATTGATATTGTAATTTTCTGATAAGATCTTTGTCTGATTTTGGTGTAAGGCTAACACTGGCTTTAAAATATGAGTTGGATAGCCAAAAGAACTATGGCAAAAAAAGGAAAAAAAAAGAGTTGGAAATATTTCTACCTCTTCTGTATTCAATTTCATTAATTGATAAAGGAGTATTCCGATTAACTACTCTGTCTCTTCTTGGGCAAGCTTTGGTGTGTGACCATCATAGAATTTGTCCATTTCATTAAACTCTCTTTTGTCTTTCAGTAGCTCCAAGGTTTGTAGTGATAGCCCTCCTTCATTTTTTGTTTTGGTAATGTGTATTTTTTTTTTTCTCTCTTTCCTGGTCAATCCTACTAGAGGTTTATTCATTTTATTGATATTTGTGAAGAACCTGCTTTTGGCTACATTGAAATTTTCTCTTGTTTTTCTGTTTTCTATTTCATTGATTTCTTCCCTCAACTTTATTACATTGTTCCTTCTGCTTCTTTTGGTTTTAATTTGCTTCCCTTGCTAGATTCTTAAGATAGAAGCTGAAAGCAAGAGTCGGCAAACTGCAGTCCAGGGGCCAAATCCAGCTTGCCACTTGTTCTTGAATGGCTCATGAATCAGGAATGATTTTTGCATTTTTATAAGGTTGAAGAAAAATCAAAAGAAGAATACTATTTTGTGACATGTGGAAATTAAATGAAATTCAGATTTCATTGTCCACATATAAGGTTTTATTGGAACACAACCACACTTAGTTGTTTACAAATTGTCTCTGGCTGCTTTTGTGCTGGAATGGCAAAGTTGAGGGGTTGTGACAGAAACCATGTGGCATTCTCATTGCTTTTGCACTGCTGTTTCTGAACTGTAATCACTGTTTTAAGTGCCATGCATATCACTGTGCTGTGACATTTTACTTTATTATCAATGCATACACATCATGTCAAAACAAGAAAAGATGAAAAAAATAGACTTGGAATGTTATACTTTTAAAGCATGCTGAAGCATGGATTATTGAGTTATGACAAGGCATTGTATTATGCAGTGATACTATAGCTGTGTTAAATACAATATACACTGATATTACCAGACTCTGCATTCATCACAATATTCCCAACTCACAGGAAAGTAATGGTCAGAAAAATGAGAAAACATAAAAAGGAATATCTTATTCCAGTAGAATTTCTTTACAAAATTAGAAAATAAAAATCAGGCTGCACCCAGAGTAAACTTCCAAGTGGCTCATTTGTTAACCAAGCAAGGAAGTCATTTATCAATAGTGAAGTAACTAAATTGTGTTGGTTACAACAGGCGCAGAATTGTGTCTGGAGAAGGTAAACTTAAGACTGTTAGTCTTTTGGCAAGAAGAGTTGCTCAAAGAATTGAGGACATCAATAATCAATTAAAAAGGCAAATTATTTTGAGTGGTTTTCCTTGGCTTTTGATGAGTTGACAGATGTTACCAATACTGCTCAGTTGTTTATTTGAAAAGTCAAGGCTGAGTTTGAAGTGTTAAATAATCTTAATGAATAGTGTGTGTAGAATAGCTAAAGATAAGAATATTTCAAAAAGTTGAGAAAACACTAATGGCATGCAACCTGAATGAAGTGTAGTCTGCTAAGATGTGTTATAACTGATGGTAGTAAAAATTTGTATAGAATAGAAAAGAATTCAGGTGGACAAATAAAGCTGTGAAAGTGTAAGAAGTTTGAAGTCTACAGTTACTTATTTTATTTCTTAGCAGGTATTTTGCAGAGAATGTTTGAATCTATCATGTAATCTTGAACCAGTAGTGTCAACATTTGCTCTTGTGGACTTAACCATTGTCAGTTCTAGGAATTTTTGTCAGAAATAGAAGCTGAATATTCTCACTTGCCCTGCTGTACAGCAATTTGATGGTTTAATAGTTGTAAGGCTTTATTGCAAACTTTTGAATTTAGAAGTGAGATTGAAATTTTTCTGAATGTGAGAAACTGCTGTCAATCTGAATATTGAACGCTGAATGGCTTTAGAAATCAATTTGTGATGCAGACTCAATAGTATTTCTTAATGAATTCAACCTAAAATTACAAGACAAAACAGTTGTTATATCAAAACTAATACTGCAGTAAAGTTATTTCAATGGCAACCACTATTCTTTGAATCACAAGTAATATCAAGTAATTTTATATAGCTTTCCATGCTGTTATAAGTTAAAGCAAAGAAGTAAGGTCTCCATTCCTACCCAGTTTGCAATAGGTATGTTTTCTGAGTTCAAACTACAGTTTCAGCAGCATTTTTTAGAACTCGATGTAAGTGCCAAGGAAATTTCCATTTAACTGTGCAGTTGAGGCACTTCTTATTTAACCTTTAATTGGAATGATTAATCTGCAAATAATGGCACGTAAATACTAAGAGTAAATCCTTTAGATGCCTTCCAAACAATGATTATGCTGAATTGAAATCATATGCTTGTGACTACTATCAGTATAAAGTAGCACCTAACCTACTTTGAAAAGTAGACATTTTCAAACATGAAATGTATTGTATTCAAGGTAAACATTAGAATGTATGAACATTTGTGATTGATTTTGATGATAGGGAATACTAACTTTGAATCCCAACTAAGTGAAATATTGTCCCTAAAAAGAGTTTCATTCTTCTCCTTAGTCAACCTGTCTTACAGAAAGTTGTACTCTGTTATTGTTTCTATAATATTTTGAATTGCATCGATAAGAATTATGGAATTTTTTGTCTCATTATATAAGTAGTTATATAATATCCTTCATTTTGTTTGTTAGCTGTCAAAGCCTAAAATATTTACTTGTTAGGTCTTTTACAGGAAAAGTTTGGCAACCCCTGATTTGTATCAGGATATTTTTATCTTTTATAGTTTTGTGTCTGTATTTGTAAGTAGGATTTATGCTTTTGTTTCACAATGACTTTAAAGGGAAATAATTTATAGAGCATCTTTGTTTCTACTGGATTTATTAATTACATATTATTCATTATAATAAGGCCATATTGTTTCGTGTTAATGTTCTAAATTTGAAGATGACACTTTGTGTGGTTGTCCTGTATTCTGTGGATAGATCCACTGGACATTGAAATTTGTTACTGTGTAAAAGTAGTTGTATTAGTCCATTCTCATGCTGCTATGAAGAAATACCTGAGACTGGGTAATTTATAAAGAAAAGAGGTTTAAGTGACTCACAGTTCTGCATGGTTGGGGAGGCCGCAGGAAACTTACAATCATGGCGGAAGGCACCTCTTCACAGGGCTGCAGGAGAGAGAATGAATGCCAGCAGGGGAAATGGCAGATGCTTATAAACCCATCAGATCTCATGAGACTCACACATTATCATGAGAACAGCATGGGGGAACCACCCCCATGATCCAGTCACCTCCATGTGCTCCTGCCCTTGACATGTGATTATTACAATTCAAGGTGAGATTTGGGTGGGAACACAGAGCCAAACCATATCATCCTGCCTGTGGCCCTTCCCAAATCTTATGTCCTCACATTGCAAATCATTCCTTTCCAACCGTCCCCCAAAGTCTTAACCCATTCCAGACTCAAAAGTCCAAATCCAAAGTCTCATCTGAGACAAGGCAAGTTCCTTCCACCTATGAGCCTGCTTCAAAAGCAAGTTAGTTACTTTCTAGATATAAGGGGAGTATAAGCATTGGGTAAATATACCTGTTCCAAATGGGAGAAATTGGCTAAAACAAAGGGATATAGGCCATGCAGTTCTGAAATCCAATCGGGCAGTCATTAAACCTTAAACTTCCAAAATTATCTCCTTTGACTCCACGTCTGACATCCAGGTCACACTGATGTCAGAGGTAGGTTCCCATGGCCTTGGGCAGCTCCACCCCTGTGGCTTTGCAGGGTACATCCCCACCTTCTGGCTGCTTTCACAGCTGACCTTGAGTGTCTGTGGCTTTTCCAGATGCATAATGCAAGCTGTCAGTGGATCTACCATTCCGGGATCTGTAGGATGGTGGCCCTCTTCTTACAGCTCCACTAGGCAGTGCCCTAGTGGGGACTCAGTGGAAGTTCCAGCCACACATTTCCCTTCCACACTTCCCTAGCAGAGGTTCTCCATGAGGGTCCTGCCCCTGCAGCAGACTTCTGCCTGGACCTCCAGGCATTTCCATACATCCTCTGAAATCTAGGTGGAGGTTCCCAAACCTCAGTTCTCATCCTGTGCACTTGCAGGCCCAGCACCATGTGGAAGCTGCCAAAACTTGGGGCTTGTACCCTCTGAAGCCATGGCCTGAGTTGTACCTTGGCCCCTTTTAGCCATGGCTGGAGTGGCTGGGTGCAGAGCACCAAGTCCCGAGGCTGCACACAGCAGAGGGGCCCTGGACCCAGCCCAGGAAACCCATTTTTCCCTCTTAGGCCTCTGGGCTTGTGATGGGAGGGGTTGCCGACATCTCTGACATGCCCTGGAGGCATTTTCCCCATTGTCTTGGTGATTAGCTTTTGATTCCTTGTTACTTATGCAAATTTCTGCAGCTGGCTTGAATTTCTCCCCAGAAAATGGGTTTTTCTTTTCTATTGCATTGTCAGGCTACACATTTTCTAAACCTCTATTCACTGCTTCCCTTTTAAACATAAATTCCAATTCCAAACCATATCTTTGTGAATGCTTAAAACTGTATGCTTTTAAGAGCAATCCCCCCTTCCAAATCACCTCTTGAACACTTTGCTGCTTAGAAATTTATTCTGCCAGATACCATAAACACCTCTCTCAAGTTCAAAGTTCCACAAATCTCTAGGGCAGGGACAAAATGCTGCCAGTCTCTTTGCCAAAGCACAGCAAGGACAAGTTCTTCTTCATCTGCAACCACCTCAGCTTGAACTTCATTGTCCATATCACTATCATCATTTTGGTCAAAACCATTCAGCAAGTCTCTAGGAAGTTCCAGAGTTTCCCACATTTTTCTGTGTTCTTCTGAGCCCTCCAAACTGTTCCAACCTCTGCCTGCTACCCAGTTCCAAAGTCACTTCCACATTTTCAGGTATCCTTGTAGCAGCACACCACTCCTGGTACTAGTCTACTGTATTAGTCCTTTCTCACACTGCTGTGAAGAAAAACTTGAGACTGGGTAATTTATAAAGAAAAGAGGTTTAATTGACTCCCAGTTCTGCATGGCTGGGGAGGCTCAGAAAACTTAGAATCATGGGGGAAGGCACCTCTTCACAGGGCAGCAGGAGAGAGAATGCATGCCAGCAGGGGGAATACCAGATGCTTATAAAACCATCAGATCTCATGAGACTTACTCATTATCACAAGAACAGCATGGAGGAAACTGTCCCCTTGATCCGTTACCACCACGTGGTCCTGCCCTTGACACGTGGTGATTATTACAATTTAAGGTGAGATTTGGGTGGGGACACAGAGCCAACCCGTATTAGTAGTGTACTATTTGTTGCAGTGTGATTCTCAAGTAATACAACTCTGCCTTCATGGAACCTTATAAGAGGAAAATAACATGCCAAACACATAAACATTTGTTTTTAAAAATGTGTTGGAGTCCTTTGAAATGCCTAGAACTAGTGATGGTTAATTTTCAGGAAGAATTTTTGAGTCCCTGAAGAACAGATAAGAGATTGAGAGTCAGAGTAGAAGAGTCAGGCTCCCCAAACCAAAGTTTAATTCCCTGAAGAAGGCATAGAGTAGTATTTTGATTTTCTTCTTTATGTGTATTCATTGGTTTACTGTTCCTGGAAATCAGAAGGCAATTTTGACACTTTCTCAGGATATCATTCTCCTGTAACTCTGGACTTGCTATTCTTTTTAGTCTTGGGAGGAAAGTATCTTTGCATAGAAGCCTTGGATGATTCTAGGAGACTTTTGGAAAGCCTGGAAGAAAAGCCAGAATTACTGGACTGGAGAGCTTTGGTGGAAGCCAGAAATCTAGAGGGTATTCTAACTAACATCTTATAGAAAGGAAAATAACAATAGTTATTTGCATGGCCAAAAAGATATAGAGAATGATGGGGTCTTAGAAGATTACAAATTGGGGTTCAGAGAGTGTAATTTATAGGTGTTTGCTTAGATTTAAGTTTGAGGCAATTACATGAGTATAAATGGTACATGGACAACTATAGACTGTTCTTTAAAATGTATTCTTTAAGTATAACTTTTTATTCTTGGGGCCAAGAAGTTTTAGTGATAACTAGTTTTTATAGTTTCAACTGACTTCAGTAGAAAATATATTCATATATTTATGTGATATTCATATTTTTTATATTGTCAAGAATAAATTGAATAAAAAAAAATTTCATCTGTTATTGCAGCCTATGGTAATTATAAAGGAATAAGGAAAACTAGTGTCCGGTTTTATGTACCTGTAAGTAAATCAGTAGTTCAGAGCTGTGTAACCTTTCTCCCTATTATTTCCGTGGGTGTTCTTTTGTAATCTCCTTTGTACTTCCAAATTTGAAAACGTTGTTTAGTGTTGTAAGATGCATTCAGATAACCTCAAAGAATGGTAACTATTTTGACTTTCAAAGTAGTTCTAGACTGGGCGCAGTGGCTCACGCCTGTAATCCCAGCACTTTGGGAGGCTTAGGTGGGTGGATCACCTAAGGACAGGAGTTCAAGACCAGCCTGGCCAACACAGTGAAACCCATCTCTACTAAAAATACAAAAATTAGCCGGGCATGGTGGTGCACCCCTATAGTTGCAGCTACTCAGGAATCACTTGAACCTGGGAGGTGGAGGTTGCAGTGAGTCAAGATCATGCTGCTGCACTCCAATCTGGGCAATAAAGTGAGTCTCTGTTTCAAAAAAAAAAAAAAAAGTAGTTTTAAACATATTTTAAAGAATAATAAATGTTTTAAAGTCAGTGCTGAAAATTTTTAAAAAGTCATTATATTTTATGTTTAGGTCTCTGAAAGAAGATGAATTTGGCTGAGATTTGTGATAATGCAAAGAAAGGAAGAGAATATGCCCTTCTTGGAAATTACGACTCATCAATGGTATATTACCAGGGGGTGATGCAGCAGATTCAGAGACATTGCCAGTCAGTCAGAGATCCAGCTATCAAAGGCAAATGGCAACAGGTAAGATGGTATTAAAGTATTAGATGAGTTAGGATGGCAGTACCCTATTATACTTGAGAGATTAGAGTTGGAAAATCTAATTTTGAGTTTGAGATGGAAATAGTGCCTATTTATCTCAATACTGAAATACATTTAAAATATACTCTTGAATAATTTTCTAGTATCTTACCTGGTTAATGTTTTTTGATCATATATTTCGTGAGGGATGTTTTGAAAATATTTAATTCCAATTGAATCTACTTTAACTTTTTTCTCTTTTCATGATCAGTTACCTAATTGTGTGACTGCAAACTTTTGAAATAAAGTATTTCATTCATTCATTCCTTTTTTTTTTTTTTTTTTTTTTTTTGAGACAGAGTCTTGTTCTGTCGCCCAGGCCGGAGTGCAGTGGCGCAATCTCGGCTCACTGCAACCTCTGCCTCCCAGGTTCAAGCAGTTCTCCTCCTCAGCCTCCGGAGTAGCTGGGACTACAGGCATGTGCCACCACGCCCAGTTAATTTTTGTGTTTTTAGTAGAAACAGGGTTTCACCATGTTGGCCAGGCTGGTCTTGAATTCCTGACCTAGTGATCCACCCACCTCAGCCTCCCAAAGTGCTGGGATTACAAGCGTGAGCCGCTGTACCTGGCCCATTTTTTCTTTTTTTTTTTTCTTTTTTTTTTTGAGACGGAGTCTTACTCTGTTTCCCAGGCTGGAGTGCAGTGGCGCGATCTCGGCTCACTGTAAGCTCCACCTCCCGGGTTCACGCCATTCTCCTGCCTCAGCCTCCCGAGTAGCTGGGACTACATGCGCCCACCACCACGCCTGGCTAATTTTTTCTATTTTTTAGTAGAGATGGGGTTTCACCGTGTTAGCCAGGATGGTCTCGATCTCCTGACCTCGTGATCCGCCTGCCTCGGCCTCCCAAAGTGCTGGGATTACAAGCATGAGCCACCACGCCAGGCCTCTTTCTTTCTTTCTTTCTTTTTTTTTTTTTTAAAGAGACAGGGTTTTGCTCTGTCACCCAGGCTAGAGTGCAGTGGTGCCATCACAGCTCACTGCAGCCTCAAACTCCTGGGCTCAAGCGATCTTCCCATCTCAGCTTCCCAAGTAGCTAGGGGGACAGGTTCACACCACCATGTCCAGCAAATTTTTAAATTTTTTGTAAGGACTGAGTCTTGCTATGTTGCCCAGGGTGGTCTCAAACTCCTGGCTTCCAGTGATCCTCCTGCCTTGGCCTCTCAAAGCACTGGTATTACATGTGTGAGCCACTGTGCTGGACCTGAAATAAAGTATTCATACTTGCCCTTTTCCCTTTCATATTTACATGTTGTTTTGACCCATTTTGCAAAACTCTTTTGAAAGACTCCTTAAAAATACAAATGAGTCAGTAATCTAATAAAAAACATTACTATATTTGCTGTCTTTTGACTATATAATTTGATTATTTAATAAGACAGTTAAAAACTTGAATTTTAATTTGCCTACTTACCGTTTTTTAAATTTAATGTTTTAATTGATCAGTACCTTTTAGCATAGTTCTTGCTTTGCTGTTCTAATTCCAAATTAATTGTAACTTTTAAAAAAGAATTTTTTTTTTTTTTACAAATAATACTTATAAGCAATATATCTTTAAGGAAATAAAAGCATCTTCAATGATGTTTAAACAAAATTGGCTTTTGTTTTATAAGGACTTATTATTTAAGCTCGTGTTTTTCACCTGTTATACTAAAACAACGTAACATCCTTTTTAGAAAACGTTAAGTAAAAAAAATACAGAACACTCCAGGAGTTTGTGTGCATCTCGTGCAGGGAACATGCTGGTCTTCTCTGTGTTATTCCAATTTTAGTGTATGTGCTGCCAATGCAGACACTCCCCACTTAGTGTTAAAATTTAAAATCTTCTAAAAATTAAAAGTACAAAGTCAAGTGTTTCTTTGAAGTTTCCATTTTATGTACTAATGCCTTTCAAGTGTTTCTTCTAATTTTTCCATTAGTCAGAAATTGATGTTTTCCTAAGTTTTGAGGGTAAATTTGACTTATTTTCCAACTTAAATGTTACCAAGTTATATTGATTGAGAACAATATACTTGCTCCAACTCAGGCTCAAATTTTTAGTTGTTTTCTTCTATCCTTCCTATTAGCCACAGGCAGGGTATTTTATTAATCTATTATGGAAATGTTTTTTATATATTCTGAATTGTGTGTGTTAAATAGTGACCATTTCTACTCAGACATTTCTACTATGTTTCTTTCCACTGGGTTCTGAAATTACATTTCTTCCACTATAGCATATTCTGTAATTGCATGTATTAGCTGTTGAATTTTACCTAGCTTTTTCTTTGGATCTGTAACTCCTTCATATGTTCCTTTTAATATATCATTCAATATAAAGATGAGGGAAAATTTCTTATACTCTGCTTTACAGTGTGACGTGCTTTCTGGTTAAAAAAAAAAGAATTGTTAAAATGAATTTATAATTGTAATTTTCTTTTCTTTTCTTTTTTTTTTTTTTTGACATGGATTCTTGCTCTGTTGCCCAGGCTGGAGTGCAGGAGCGTGATTGTAGCCTCGAACTCCTGGGCTCAAGTGATCCTTCTGCCTCAGCCTCCTGAGTAGCTAGGACTATAGACTCGCACTAGGACTACAGACTCATGCTGTCATGCCTGGACTAATTTTTTTGTTTCCCCAGGCTGGTCTTGAATGTAATTTTTAATCTTTATCTGTTTGCTTTGGAAAATTAGTTTGGGCTCAAAGTTTGCAAACACAAGAATTTCCTCATAGTATGTGTTCAGTTAAATTTTTTAAATACAGGAAAAATCTTGTCTTTGAAATCAAAATAAACTTTACTCAGAACTCAAAATAATTTAAATAAGGCAAAAATAATTCAGATTTCAGGTGAAGGAGAATTTAAATAAAAACTGGAAGTTTGTAATTCATAGTATAATACTGCTTCTAGCTTTCAGACACTCATGACAGGCGTTTTATATTTAGTGATATTGGGAATAGGAAATGCTGTTGAAAATTTTGGCTTAATTTTTGGGAATCTATTTATAAATATATTAAAAGTATTTAGCACAATATTTTAGATTTCTTGGAATGTTTAACTTGTTACCTACTTAGTTGCTTGTTTTAAATTGTATTAATGATCATCACGTTCTTTGGTAGAAATGGAATTCCGTTATGAAAGATATATAACTACTTATTAAAAGGTATAGAATTATGATTTTTTCAAACTAATTTCTACCCTTTTCTCAGTATTACTTGAAATAGTTCTTTGTATTTATGAATGTTTTAATGATTCATTTTTCACCCTTTGACATTAAGAAAACGTGCACTCTATAGTAATTTATTATTTACAATTTATGAAGTATTTAAACAGCTTCTAGCATAAAGCCTATTTTTTTTTTTTAAGGTTCGGCAGGAATTATTGGAGGAATATGAACAAGTTAAAAGTATTGTCAGCACTTTAGAAAGTTTTAAAATTGACAAGCCTCCAGATTTCCCTGTGTCCTGTCAAGATGAACCATTTAGAGATCCTGCTGTTTGGCCACCCCCTGTTCCTGCAGAACACAGGTAAATAGGACTTTATATTCTCTTTAGGTGCTTCTAGTTAATTGATGTTCACAGTGAAGCATGTTTTGAACAAAGTATGAAAAATTATTTTTGGGGACATGTAATTTCAGTATCTGTTTTTAATATTCACATTTATACATTTACAGTTTTGTATTTGATAAAGTACAGAAGTAAATGACTTGTTACATATCTTGCTTTTAGAATGCTTTATTACGCTAATAACAATAGATGCCTATTGCTAGTCCTAAAATTTATCAGTTAAGAGAGGTCTTTTGGGTTTCGTAATGGCAGCATCAAAACTTGGATAGTTTTGCTTTTTTGCTTGAGGAGACTCTAACAACTTCAAATGAAGTAGTGGAGAAATTGAATTTTCCTAGTTGGGCCTACAGTCAATTTCCAGAGTTTTAGTGTAGAAGGAACCTTACCGATAATGTTTAAGAGGCTTATTACTTAAAGGTTACATTCCTCAGTGTGGCATCTCCCACCAGTTTTCTCTAATACCCAGCCTGTGCATCATTTACGTTAAACCTCTCTCTTTTTGCCTTTTTTTGGTCATCTTGTCTGTGCAGTCTCTTCTTTCTTCAAGGAATACCCATAATCCCCATCTCCAAACAACTCATATTCATTCAAGTCTCAACTCAACTGACTATCCCCTCTGCAGCCTCTTTTGATTTGCCCAGACATAGCAGTTTGTTCATAGTGGTTATCATGTTGCATTTATTTGTTGCTTCAAAAGATTTGCAAGGACAAGGACCATGGTTTTATTTACTTAAAAATTAAATAATAAACTTTCATTGCTAACGCAGGGTTTGGCACGTAGTAGGCATTCAACCAACATTGAATGAGTTAACACCATTAGTTTCACAAGGAAACTGAAGCCTGAGAGGCCCTAATCATGCTAGATCAGGATGTGAGTTTAGGTCTTTCTGGCTTTCTGTCTGCTTTATTATGGCCAGAGTATTGCACCGTAGAAAATACGTTTTCCTTTGGCCAGTAACTGTAATCATCTGTTGAAATTTTCTAAAAACATTTTAAGAACTATGAAAAGCATTTAATTTATTCCTTTGGATTTTTTCCACTGAATTACAGATAATTTTGTGATTTTCATTGTGAAAACAGTAGATGAGGATTCTTTTTTAAGGTCTACAACAATGTATTTTTCCTCTGATGTAACCACCTTCAGGTGTTTTATACTAGGGTAACCCATATCCCTCAAAAGGCAGTGTTTTAAGAGTCATACAGTGTTACCATGGAAGTTCCAAAATAAATACTGAAAGAAAGAATGACATTTTAGCCTACTATAACTTGAAATTTTCCTGTATGTATGTACAATGAAATACCTTGTTTTTTACTGAAAGTCATTAATTCTGAAATATACTTCTAGTTTAAACCTAAGAGCTGATAATAACTTCAAATATAGGACTATCTGCTCTGAATTGCTAGAGCACCATGATTCATTTCAAACAGCAGTGTCCGCAGATAATAACTAACATTGATGGCTCAAACTGAATAAAAAGTTGTGGATGACATTTTCCCATTGATGACTACTAATCTCAAAACATATCACTACAGTGACACTAGTCCAGTTATTTTCTTTTCTTTGTCCTTTCTTAACTGTTCATAACATAGATCTGACTTATTTTTGTACTTGTTTTTAAATCCCTTTTCTAAATGAAAGTGAAAGATGAATGGACCAGAATGTATTTCTCTGATTCTCCTTTCTTTGTACTAAATTTTTAAAAAAGTTTTCTTTGTGCATAGCCATTGTATGTGTGTTTTTTTTTTCCTCTTTGGATCAGAAACCCTGAATAAAAGCAAATCTCAGATTGTATATTGTCTGGAAAAAAAAAGATTTTCATTCCCATGTATACCATCAACAACAATAAGAAAACAACAACTCCACAAGGTTCTACTAGAGAAGGAAATATAATACATTGAGTAATAGCATGGGATTAATAGTTTAAAACTTTATGAATAAAGTTTCTATGTAAGCAACAACAGTGGGTCCTTCATCAATTAACAATATAAGGCAAATGTTAATGAATTAAATCTTTTTTTTTTTTTTTTTTTTTTTTTTTTTGAGACGGAGTCTCGCTCTGTCCCCCAGGCTGGAGTGCAGTGGCGCAATCTCGGCTCACTGCAAGCTCCGCCTCCCGGGTTCACGCCATTCTCCTGCCTCAGCCTCCCAAGTAGCTGGGACTACAGGCGCCCGCCACTACGCCCGGCTAATTTTTTGTATTTTTAGTAGAGACGGGGTTTCACCGTTTTAGCCGGGATGGTCTCGATCTCCTGACCTCGTGATCCGCCCGCCTCGGCCTCCCAAAGTGCTGGGATTACAGGCGTGAGCCACCGTGCCCGGCCTGAATTAAATCTTATGCTGGTTTGTGGCACAGAATGTATGCAAGGGCTGATAAAATAAATATTCAGATTGCAAATTTAGACTTAAAGGTTATGGAAGGTTAGAGTTGTATAATAATATTTTTCTTGTTTTATAAACTTCGTTTCTTCTCCAGGTCACATAAAACAAATATAATAAGATTTTCACTTAGCGATAGTGAATGTTAGATAACAGTCATTGGATATTCTTGGTTTAATGGAAAGACGTTTGACTTGAGTTGATGAGATTGTGAATTCTGCTTCTGAAACCTACTTGCTTTGTGACCTTGAGCAAGCTATTTAACCTCTCTAAACATTAGTCTCACTATCTGTAAAATGGGGATCTCTACTTCATGGAATTGAATAAAAAAAATTAAGACAGCAACTGGCATGTAATAAGTAATTAAAATTAATGGTCACCTCTGAAATAAAGGACTACAGCATTCTTTCAGAGAAATAGCAAGAATAACAGTTAAAAATGATAGCCTCATTCATAAAACAAGTCATTTTATTTTCTCCCTGCAGATTCTTCATAATTCCTTAGTTTCCTGAAACATTTCAATAACTCTGCAGAGAGGATATGGCTTTTTAAATGTCCAAGTCTTAAGCAGTTGGTGATTATTTTCAGGGAAAGGATGATAGCTAATAATTATTAGTCACTTCCTGTATGTGTTATATGCATTATTTTATTTAAAACTCAAGTGATCCCATGAAGTTTAGGTACTGTTATTGTATATGCATATTATCATCACTAATTTATTATTATGAACCCCATTTACAGTAGAGGAAACTGAAGCTTATAGTTTGTAATTTTTCCAAAGTCATCTGAACAAGAAAGTAGCAGAGCCAGGATTTGAACCCAAGTCTCTTTCATCTTCAGGAGTCTTATTTGTATGCACTCTGCTATATTACTTTTGCATATATACTCAGTGGGTATGTTATGGGTATATTTTGATACACGTCTGTATATCCTGGTATTATCTACTTGTTAACATTCTTACTAGTGGTGGAAGAATAAAGAAACTGAAAATGCTTAATGAAATTTTGATATTTTAAAGGTAACTAAAAAGAACTTTCTAAGCAAGTACCACACTGAAATTACAATTTAAGTCAATAGGAAAATATAATATTTACTTCATCTTGTTTTGTTTTTTCTTTTTTTTTTTTTTTGCCATCTCTCACCTTGTAATTTACCCTGTTTTATACAAAGCATTTCAGAGATGCTTCTGATGTGATTGGCATTAGCCACTAATTTGGTAGCTCTGTTTATGGTTCTGTTCTTTTCACTTCATTGACTTTTAACACACACTTCTCCATTCCTATTGCTGACTACCAAGGTAATCTGTGTACTGTGGTTTTCCATCGGTGGTTTTGCCACATTGTTTGAAGTTCTACTTCTGTGTCATGCATCTGCTGAGTTTAATCATAATTAAGGTTTAAATCACCAGCAGTTGCTTGGATAAATCAAAATAATATTTTAAAATTTTGATTGATTGCCTTAAATGTGAGGAAACTGAGCTACAAAAGTAGGATCGTGGTGGTAGGTAGTGGAAATTTTAGAATTAAACTCCAAAGAGATGAAGTCTCTAGCTCATTCTTGGTGTCCTAAAATATTTCTTGTATTAACGAAATGATTTTATAATAGTTTACATGTAGGCTTATTAACTACATTTTCTTTAATGAGTTGGTTTCTTCCAGTAATACCTGAAGCCATGAAAGTAGTATTTTCTATATTGCAGCAGTATTCAACATGGTATATATTCAATAAGCTATTCTTTATTTAGCTTAAAAAATAAATATGGTAGGTCCTTTTTTCCCCCAACTTTATTGAGGTATAATTGACAATTAAAAATTGTATATATTTAAGGTATACAGGTTGATTATTTGATATATATATATATTTTTTGAAATATTTATCACAATAAGCTAATTAGCATATCAATTACCTCACATTTCTTTTGTTTTTCATTTTGTGGTGAGAACACTTAAGATCTACCCTCTTAGCAGATTCAGGTATACAGTATTGTTAACTACAGTCACCTTGCTGTACATTAGATATCTAGAACTTATCTTGCATGACTGAAACTTTGTACCCTTTGACCAATATCACCCCATTTTCTTCTCCCCTAGCCCCTGGTAATAACCACTCTACTCTCTTTCTATGAGTTTGACTCTTTTTATATTTCACATATAAGTGAGTAATATGGTTTTGATGTTTGTCCCATTAATCCCATGTTGAAATGTGACCTCCATTGTTGGAGATGGGGCCTGGTGGGAGATACAGGATCATGGGGACAGATTCCTCATGAATGGCTTAGTACCATTTCCTTGGTAATGAATGAGTTCTTGCTCAGTTCACATGAGATCTGATTGTTTACAAGAGTGCAGCACTGCCCCCGCAACCTCTCTTGCTCACTCTTTTGCCATGTGATATGCTGGCTTCCCCCTTTGCCTTCTGCCATGGTTGTAAGCTTCCTGAGGTCTCACCATAAGCCAAGCAGATGTTGGTGTTGTGCTTGTACAGCCTGCAGAACTATGAGTCAAGTAAACCTCTATTTATAAATTACCCATCCTCAGGTATTTCTGTATAGCAATGCAAAACAAAAACAAACAAAAAACAAAAACAGACTAACACAGTCAGATCACGTAGTATGTGTCTTTCTGTATCTGGCCTGTTTCACCTGCCACAAGGAAATGGTAGGATTTCCTTCTCTTAAGGTTGAATAATATTCCTGTGTGTGTGTGTGTGTGTGTGTGTGTGTGTGTGTGTGTGTGTGTGCGCGCGCGCGCGCGCGTATGTGTGTGCACACACCCCGCCCCCAACATATATGCACACATTTTCTTTATCCATTCATCTGTCAATGTATGTTTAGTTTGTTTCCATATTTGGCTATTACAGTAATGCTGAAATGAACATGAGAGTGCAGAGATCTGACACACTGATTTCATTTTCTTTGGCTGTATGCTCAGAAGTGGGATTGCTGGATCATAAGGTAGTTCTATTTAATTTTTTGAGGACTCTCCATACTGTTCTTTATAATGGATATGTAGTACCAATTTATTCCAAGTGGTAGGTCTTTCAAAGTTACATCTTTTGGGAGAGGTAGCAGTAAGAACAGGACACACAAGCCTGAAATTATTTTATTTCTTCTGTATAGGTGTGCTAAAACTCTAATAGGCCTTCTCAAGAACCAAGGGCAATGGTATACTGTGTTTCTGTATACATATAGATAGGAAGATTGATTTTTTTTTAAGATCAAATTAGTGCTATTCTGTAGAATTTCAGCAAAGAGGAAATTTTTATTGACTTGGTATTAAAGTTGTTGTCTTATGTTTCTTTGGGTACTCAGAGAGATTAACTGGCAGTATTTTACATCCCAAATTGCAGTGAAAAGATCAATTAAGGTCAAAGTCAAGTACTGATAGAGAATAAACTATCATTCATACATACAGGTATTTCACCCAGGCTCTGGCTCAGTTATTTTCCTGGGATTAGAAGGTTGGGGAGCAAGTTTTTCTATCAGTTCCACTACTAATTTAGTGATCCTGCAAGTTCCTTTCTGTATACCTCATTTTCCTTTCTGTAAAATGTATATTGAAGTGAGATTGCTTTGTAGGATGCTGGCCTCTGGATGCCTAGTATTGTGCCTGGTGCCGTCCCACATACGGTGGGATGCAGAAATAGACATGTTCCCTGCTCTCTTAGGCTTACGATTTTGTAGATGGGTGTGAGAGCCATTACTGAGTTAGAATGGACTGGATTTGGTGATTAATGAGATACACAGAATGAGAGAAAAATTGGAGCAGATAATATCTAGATCAAGCTGTTGAATAGGAGTTAGAAATGAGAACCAGACTTTGAGAGAGATTAGGATTCGTGTAGTTATTTCAGAATCATCAGGAACTAATGACAAAGAAATTTTAAGTTCATTCTTTATATGATGGAATAGGTTATTTGCCTAATACTATTGGCAGATTGAGATTATACTCATTTTCTTAAAATTCTGGAGTCATATTATCTTCTAAAATTCTGTTTCTGAAGTATGGGATGGACCCTATTTTTAGACTGAGTAGAATGTAAGTAGCAGGGCTGATTAAGCACACTAATAACTGACATTTAGTGAGTTCTTAACTGTGAACCAGGTATTGTGCTTTTACGTGGTTTCTTTTTAAATCTTCATAGCCATCCTTAAAATAGGTACTATTGTTACCATCCCTATTTTTTAGAAGACGACACTGAGGCTTAAAGATTCTAAGTTACTTTATCAAATGAGTGTAGGTCAGATAGGATAAGGATTGAGAATTGGCATGGATTTAGCAGCAGGAGATCACTGGTGGCCTTGTTGCACAGTTTTGGTGAAATGGTAGAGAATGATGGAATGGGTTCAGAGAACGCAGAGAGAGGAGCAGAAGATGATAAGTATGCACAGCTCCCTCAATGAGTCTGGCTGAAAAAGGGAGCCAGGAAAGTGAATGCTAGCTGGGGAAGACAAGTAGTTGAGGTTTGTTGTTTTAGAGAGAAAGGAATAACAGGATGTTTGTGTGCTGATGGGAATGCTGCAGTAGAAAGAGGAAAGTTGATGATGCATGGGCTAGATGGACAACTGCTGGAGCAATGCCCTTGAGGTGACAAGAGGAGATGGGATCTAATGCACATGTAGAGGGAGTGCATGGGCAGCTGGCTCAGAGTCACAGTAGGGAGGCAGGGGTATGTAAGGGTGTGGTTGTAGAGAGGTGGGCAGATATAGAGGTGAGCGCTTATGCAATCATTTCAGCAAGGAGAAAAATGTAAGCAAGACTATCTGAGATTGAGAACAGAGGGTGTTTTTCAGGGTCTAAATTCTGATCCAGTGTGTTCCAAGGGTGGGAGGACGTTCCATTTGGTTATTTTATTTTATTGTTCCTTTTATGTAAGATTTCTCTGGCGAGCGTTTATATTATTTTATAGAACTCAGTGGTCACTCTTAAGTTTCCATTCTCCAGTTCTAGGTATGTAATACAATAAGTGCCTAAAAACTTGGCATTTCTGTCTTTTTTTTTAATGTTACAGAAAAGGCAACTGAAAGACAGAAATTATAATTCATTAAAGATTAAGTAGTGGGAACAAGATAGTGGTAAGTCAGAATGAAGCCATAACACGTTACTTTTACATTTTTGTTGAAAAGATCTTTGCCTTGCTGCATGTTAGTGATTGTCATCTCCCCTCTTCCTTGCAAACTGCTGTTTAAGGTGTAGTATACATTTGTTGCCCTTCACTGCCCCTTTTTTCTTTTTTTCTTTCTTTTTTTTGAGACCAAGTCTTGCTGTGTCGCCCAGGCTGAAGTGCAGTGGCGCAATCTCAGCTCACTGCAACCTCCGCCTCCTGGGTTCAAGCAATTCTCCTGCCTCAGCCTCCTGAGTAGCTGGGATTACAGGCGTGAGCCACCACACCTGGCTAATTTTTGTATTTTTAGTAGAGACGGGGTTTCACCATGTCAGTCAGGCTGATCTCGAACTCCTGACCTCATGATCTGCCCGCCTCGGCCTCCCAAAGTGCTGGGATTATAGGCATGAGCCACTGCTCCCGGCCCCTTTTTTCTTAATTACAAGAAATCCTGCTGCTCTTCAGTCATTGCAGTATTAGGACTGAATTCTTGAAAATACCAAATAACTTCCTCACTTAATAATGAAAATGCCTCTTCTCTGGACTTACATTGTTTAACCTTCATAATACTTGATAATGTTGACCATCTTCTTTGGAACTCTCTTTTTCCCTCCTAAGGCTTCTGTGACATTACACAACTCTGTTTTTTTTTTTTTTTTTTTTTTCCTCTTTTCTTTTATTCTGACTGCAGCTTCTTTTATCTCTTCCACTTGTTGCTCCCTAGTCCTTAGCTTTGTGAGCCCTATGGAGCCAAAGAGCAGTAGAAAGAAGGTCCTTACCCTCCAGGAGCTCATGTTTTCTTTGCACAGAACTTGACAATCCACCAGGCTACAAGGGTTCTGATATAGTTTGGATCTATGTCCCTGCCTACATCTCATGTTGAATTGTAATCTCTAATGTTGGTGGAGGGGCCTGGTGGAAGGTGATTAGATCATGGGGGTGGATTTCCCCCTTTGGTGCTGTTCTCATGATAGGGTTCTCAAGAGATCTGGTTGTTAAAAAGTGTGTAGCACCTCCCTGACCTTCCGCCCGCACCCCCCAACCTCTTGCTGCTCTGGCCATGTGATGTGTCTTCTTCCCCTTCACCTTCTGCCATGATTGTAAGTTTCCTGAGGCCTCTCCAGAAGCTGAGCAGATGCCAGTTTCCTGTACAGCCTGCTGAACTGTGAACCAATTACACTTCTTTTCTTTGTAAATTACCCAGTCTCAGGTATTTCTTTATAGCAGTGCAAGAACAGGTTCTTGTCCTAGCCCTACCACATGGCTTCTCTGAGGACAAATCATTCAACCTGTCCCTCATTTTCCTCCTCTATAAGTTGGGGATCAGTATGAAAATTACTTCGTAGGGTTATTATGAGAATTAAATGATTTAACCCATGTAAAGTGTGAAGAACATCTGGACACATAGGAAGAGCTCAGGATGTGTTTGCCATTTTCATTGCCTATCCCTTACTTCCACCCCACTTGATGTTCACATGGCAAATGCCCTCACCTCATTTGTTCAAATGTCACTCACATAGAAAGCCCTACCCTGACCACCTTATTTAAAGTATTTACCCCTTCACTGTCACCACTCTTGTTCCCTTAGTCAGCTTTATTTTTCTTTTTTTTTTTTTATTTTATTATTTTTTGTTTATTGATCATTCTTGGGTGTTTCTCGCAGAGGGGGATTTGGCAGGGTCATAGGACAATAGTGGAGGGAAGGTCAGCAGATAAACAAGTGAACAAAGGTCTCTGGTTTTCCTAGGCAGAGGACCCTGCGGCCTTCCGCAGTGTTTGTGTCCCTGGGTACTTGAGATTAGGGAGTGGTGATGACTCTTAAGGAGCATGCTGCCTTCAAGCATCTGTTTAACAAAGCACATCTTGCACCGCCCTTAATCCATTTAACCCTGAGTGGACACAGCACATGTTTCAGAGAGCACAGGGTTGGGGGTAAGGTCACAGATCAACAGGATAAGAATTTTTCTTAGTACAGAGCAAAATGAAAAGTCTCCCATGTCTACCTCTTTCTACACAGACACGGCAACCATCCGATTTCTCAATCTTTTCCCCACCTTTCCCCGCTTTCTATTCCACAAAACCGCCATTGTCATCATGGCCCGTTCTCAATGAGCTGTTGGGTACACCTCCCAGACGGGGTGGTGGCCGGGCAGAGGGGCTCCTCACTTCCCAGTAGGGGAGGCCGGGCAGAGGCGCCCCTCACCTCCCGGGTGGGGCGGCTGGCCGGGCGGGGGGCTGACCCCCCACCTCCCTCCTGGACGGGGTGGCTGGCCGGGCGGGGGGGCTGACCCCCCAACCTCCCTCCCGGACGGGGCGGCTGGCCGGGCGGGGGGCTGACCCCCCACCTCCTTCCCGGACGAGGCGGCTGGCTGGGCAGAGAGGCTCCTCACTTCCCAGTAGGGGCGGCCGGGCAGAGGCGCCCCTCACCTCCCGGACGGGGCGGCTGGCCGGGCGGGGGGCTGACCCCCCCCACCTCCCTCCCGGATGGGGCGGCTGGCCGGGCGGGGGGCTGACACCCCCACCTCCCTCCCGGACGGGGCGGCTGGCCGGGCAGAGGGGCTCCTCACTTCCCAGTAGGGGTGGCCGGGCAGAGGTGCCCCTCACCTCCCGGACGGGGCGGCTGGCCGGGCAGGGGGCTGACCCCCCCCTCCTGGACGGGGTGGCTGCCGGGCGGAGACGCTCCTCACTTCCCAGACGGGGTGGCTGCCGGGCGGAGGGGCTCCTCACTTCTCAGATGGGGCGGCTGCCGGGCGGAGGGGCTCCTCACTTCTCAGACGGGGCGGTTGCCAGGCGGAGGGTCTCCTCTCTTCTCAGACGGGGCGGCCGGGCAGAGACGCTCCTCACCTCCCAGACGGGGTCGCGGCCGGGTAGAGGCGCTCCTCACATCCCAGACGATGGGCGGCCAGGCAGAGGCGCTCCTCACTTCCTAGATGGGATGGCGGCCGGGCAGAGACGCTCCTCACTTTCCAGACTGGGCAGCCAGGCAGAGGGGCTCCTCACGTCCCAGACGATGGGCAGCCAGGCAGAGACGCTCCTCACTTCCTAGACGGGGTGGCGGCCGGGCAGAGACTGCAATCTCGGCACTTTGGGTGGCCAAGGCAGGCGGAGGTTGTAGCGAGCCGAGATCACGCCACTGCACTCCAGCCTGGGCACCATTGAGCACTGAGTGAACCAGACTCCGTCTGCAATCCCGGCACCTCGGGAGGCCGAGGCTGGTGGATCACTCGCGGTTAGGAGCTGGAGACCAGCCCGGCCAACACAGCGAAACCCCGTCTCCACCAAAAAAATACGAAAACCAGTCAGGCGTGGCTGCGTGCGCCTGCAATCGCAGGCACTCAGCAGGCTGAGGCAGGAGAATCAGGCAGGGAGGTTGCAGTGGGCCGAGATGGCAGCAGTACAGTCCAGCTTCGGCTCGGCATCAGAGGGAGACCATGGAAAGAGAGGGAGAGAGAGACCGTGGGGAGAGGGGGAGGGGGAGAGGGAGAGGGAGCAGCTTTATTTTTCTTTATAGTACTCATTGTCACCTGATATTATTATATTATATATTATACTATATTGTGTGTGTGTTACCATTCCTGCTAGATTGTAAGCTTTGTAAGGTCAGGGCCTTTTATTTGTTTGCTGCTTTACCCCCAGCACCAAGAATATTGCCTGCCACAGTGTAAGTATTCAGTAAGTATTTGTTGAAAGAATGAGTAAGTAGAATGCTTATTTAGGTTTATTCATGCGTTTGCCAATGGTTTTGTTTACCATTTCTTGCATTTCACTATTTCTAGATTCAGTTTCATCTTTGCTGAAGAATAGTAGTTTTTACAGCCAAGGTCTCTATTAGTGGTAAACTAACAGTTCTTTTCTCAAAATATCTGTATTTTCCTGTCACTCTTACATGATATTTTAGTATAAAATACTAGTTTGGTAGTTAGTCTCTATGCTTTGAAGATGACATTAGTAATAGTATTTTGTCTTCTGGCTTGTGTTATTAGTCTGTTTGTTGTTTGTTTATAGGTAACTTTTTTTCTCATTGGTTTTAAGGTTTTTTCTGTCTTTGTGTTAAACAGTGTCACTGTGAATTATTTAAATGTAGATTTATTTTTATTTATACTACTTAAGACTTGTGCATCTTTTGCTCGAAAATTTTTAAATGCTTCTGATCATATTAAACATATTTATTTTGTAGTCTATAGCTGGCAGTTCTCTTATCAAAGTTATTGAGAGTCATCTTGCTTTTTGTTATTTCTGGTGAGCCTTGTTTGTGGTAAAGTTGAGAATGTTTCTTCAGTAAGGGTTTAACAAGTCATTTCAATATGTGGCTTGTTTGGAAGAAGTTGTCACTCCTGAGACATCTGTGTTTGCTTCAGCCAGGTGCCTTAGGGATGTTACCTGCGTAGGCCCACTTTTAGGCCCACTTTCTCTGCTTAAGGTAGTGTAAAATTGAGTCATAAATCACATGAGGATGGGCCCTTTGCTACTATATCTAGGGGGCACTTTCGCTTCACTCCACAAATGTAGAACATAGACCCAAGTAGAAAAATGTACTTTTATTTCTTCTGTCTTTAAAATTCTACGCTTTTACCAAGGTGGTTGTCCTTTGAGGGTCCTGGCTTTATGTGGTAGTCTCAATTCAACTTCTTTGACTTGTGTGGGGCTACGACCCTGTCTCAGATCTCACTTGTGTCAATAAATCTCCAGCCCTCGGATGTCTGAGGCCCAAAACACTGAAGGACTGCCATGTCTTTAGCTCATGTGCTTCTATTTCTCTCTCTCTCTTTCTTGGCTGTTAGGTATTTCACTTACCTTATGGTAAGATCAGCTATGTATGTAAAAGGATATTGGTTACATTTTACTTAGAATTCCTGCATGTTTTATTGTGGGAAGGTTTTCAGCTTATTTATTTTTGTTGTCACTGCATATTATTTTTGTAGTTCTATTATCAGTTCTTGAGGGGCTTATCTTACAATTTGTTTTCTTTGTGTGACTTGTTTATATTTGAGTTGAGGACTCTTCTTCAGCAAGGCTTTAGTTGTAGGGTTTATGTGAACAGAAAGAGATGTCTAGTATAATTGTAAAATATGTATGTACATTCAGCTAAATTATAGGCTTGGTGAATGCTGGCAGTATGTCACATGCTTTTAGTATCCACTTGGTTTTATAAATCAGTAGAATAATCTCAGAAGTTGACGATAAACTGGACAAAGACCTGTGAGAATTTATCTAAAGTTCAACTGACACTATTTTATTATCTGTAGAGTAGAAGTTGTATAGTCCTGATAATATGAAAAAATATCATTGTTCGTCAAGTTTTAAAGTCTTTAGAGTTAGGCAAAAAATAAATTAAGTATCTTAGGTTTTTCAAGTTCAGAGATTTTTAGAATTTAATGGTAAAGGCAACGACCTATCTGTGGAGCCAAAGAAAAGCAAGATACAGGCAGTGATTAACTTGCCTGGGAATGATGGAATTCCATCATTAGTGAAAGGTTTAGTAGTTTTCACACCCCTTGCCCCACTCTCAAAATGATTGAATGAATGGCTTAGCAACTCTAAATAAGATTTAGTATGGCTCATCCGAAACACTGACAAGAATCCACTCAATATCCCAGCTTAAATAACTGTTGTGGGTAACATCAAAATGCTAGGAATCCAACCCCCAACATATTAAATGGGATTGTATAATTTTTGGTGTGAGAAGTATGTCTGTACCTCCAGATCTTAAACCATCTGAAATTTCTGGTTTACTATTACCTTGGTTAAGTTGGATGATAAGTGTTTTCTGTAGTAGTTAAGCAGATCTTTTAACTCCAGGGAGATTTAAAATTAAGGCTAGGCATGTCTAAGAGGATAAAAACTGGTAATATTTTTCTGTTAAAGGATATGTGTATATTTGCATATTTATTTTTTATGTATTTGGAATATTTAAGAAAATGGGCTAATGAGGGTGACATGCATGCAATTCCACTTTAAATGTATTATGGAATGATTTAGACTTGTGATTTTTTTCATGCATGAAAATGCATGTTAAGTACTTTATTGGAACTCTTAGGAGAAATTTAATATTATCTTATTTGTAAACTTAATTTATTATGTTTATAAAAGTAATTATATGTAAATTATGCTTTACTAAGTAAGGCAAGAACTAAGAAGAAAATATATTAAATTTATAAATGTTGGTTACAAAATTGTGGTGGCATTTTATTAACCAGGTTTGTAATTGGGACCAAGCATTATTTTAACATCTCTTAAAAGCGGGCCAGGTGCAGTGGCTCACCCCTGTAATCCCAGCACTTTGGGAGGCCGAGGTGGGCGGATCACTTGAGGACAGGAGTTCAAGACCAGCTTGGCCCACATGGTGAAACCCTGTCTCCACAAAAATACAGAAATTAGCTGGGCATAGTGGCACATTCCTGTAATCCCAGCTGAGGCAGAAGAATCGCTTGAACCTGGGAGGTAGAGGTTGCAGTGAGCTGAGAGTGGGCCACTGCACTCCAGCCTGGGTGGCAGAGTGAGTGAGACTTTTTTTTTTTTTTTTTTTTTTTTGAGATGGAGTTTCATTCATCTTGCCCAGGCTGGAGTGCAGTGGCACAAACTCGGCTCATGGCAACCTCCACCTCCTGGGTTCAAGCAATTCTCCTGCCCCCGCCTCTCAAGTAGCTGGGATTATAGGCACGTGCCACCATGCCTGGCAAATTTTTTGTATTTTTAGTAGAGACGGAGTTTCCCCATGTTGGGCAGGCTGGTCTCGAACTCCTGACCTCAGGTGATCTGCCCGCCTCAGCCTCCCAAAGTGCTGGGATTACAGGTGTGAGCCACCACGCCTGGCCAAGAGACTGATTTAAAAAAAAAAAAAATCTCTTAAAAGGGACTTCTAAAATCTGCTAGGCTCATAAGTAGAAAAAAAAACTAGCTGAATCTGAAAGCTTTAAGGAAAAACTTATTTTTTGCATAGTTAAATTTAATAAGTTGAATATTTTAAAAATCAAAGTAAGCCTCTGAAGAGTATTCTCTGCACAAAAAGCACCCTTGAGGATACAAAACAACTCATATCAACTTGTATCATAACGTTGTCTGTGGTGCTCAATATATTTCTGAATGTGATTGATTTGCTTAGATAATGAGGGAATGCTTTTTTTTCTTTTTTTTTAATTTTTTTATTTTTTATTTTTTAAATTTATTATTATTATACTTTAAATTTTAGGGTACATGTGCACAATGTGCAGGTTAGTTACATATGTATACATATGCCATGCTGGTGCGCTGCACCCACTAACTCGTCATCTAGCGTTAGGTATATCTCCCAATGCTATCCCTCCCCCGTCCCCCCACCCCACAACAGTCCCCAGAGTGTGATGTTCCCCTTCCTGTGTCCATGTGTTCTCATTGTTCAATTCCCACCTATGAGTGAGAATATGCGGTGTTTGGTTTTTTGTTCTTGCGATAGTTTACTGAGAATGATGATTTCCAATTTCATCCATGTCCCTACAAGGGACGTGAACTCATCATTTTTTATGGCTGCATAGTATTCCATGGTGTATATGTGCCACATTTTCTTAATCCAGTCTATCATTGTTGGACATTTGGGTTGGTTCCAAGTCTTTGCTATTGTGAATAATGCCGCAATAAACATACATGTGCATGTGTCTTTATAGCAGCATGATTTATAGTCCTTTGGGTATATACCCAGTAATGGGATGGCTGGGTCAAATGGTATTTCTAGTTCTAGATCCCTGAGGAATCGCCACACTGACTTCCACAATGGTTGAACTAGTTTACAGTCCCACCAACAGTGTAAAAGTGTTCCTATTTCTCCACATCCTCTCCAGCACCTGTTGTTTCCTGACTTTTTAATGATTGCCATTCTAACTGGTGTGAGATGGTATCTCATTGTGGTTTTGATTTGCGTTTCTCTGATGGCCAGTGATGATGAGCATTTTTTCATGTGTTGTTTGGCTGCATAAATGTCTTCTTTTGAGAAGTGTCTGTTCATGTCCTTAACCCACTTTTTGATGGGGTTGTTTGTTTTTTTCTTGTAAATTTGAGTTCATTGTAGATTCTGGATATTAGCCCTTTGTCAGATGAGTAGGTTGTGAAAATTTTCTCCCATTTTGTAGGTTGCCTGTTCACTCTGATGGTAGTTTCTTTTGCTGTGCAGAAGCTCTTTAGTTTAATTAGATCCCATTTGTCAATTTTGTCTTTTGTTGCCATTGCTTTTGGTGTTTTAGACATGAAGTCCTTGCCCATGCCTATGTCCTGAATGGTAATGCCTAGGTTTTCTTCTAGGGTTTTTATGGTTTTAGGTCTAACATTTAAGTCTTTAATCCATCTTGAATTAATTTTTGTATAAGGTGTAAGGAAGGGATCCAGTTTCAGCTTTCTACATATGGCTAGCCAGTCTTCCCAGCACCATTTATTAAATAGGGAATCCTTTCCCCATTGCTTGTTTTTCTGAGGTTTGTCAAAGATCAGATAGTTGTAGATATGCGGCGTTATTTCTGAGGGCTCTGTTTTGTTCCGTTGATCTATATCTCTGTTTTGGTACCAGTACCATGCTGTTTTGGTTACTGTAGCCTTGTAGTATAGTTTGAAGTCAGGTAGTGTGATGCCTCCAGCTTTGTTCTTTTGGCTTAGGATTGACTTTGCGATGTGGGCTCTTTTTTGGTTCCATATGAACTTTAAAGTAGTTTTTTCCAATTCTGTGAAGAAAGTCATTGGTAGCTTGATGGGGATGGCATTGAATCTGTAAATTACCTTGGGCAGTATGGCCATTTTCACGATATTGATTCTTCCTACCCATGAGCATGGAATGTTCTTCCATTTGTTTGTATCCTCTTTTATTTCCTTGAGCAGTGGTTTGTAGTTCTCCTTGAAGAGGTCCTTCACATCCCTTGTAAGTTGGATTCCTAGGTATTTTATTCTCTTTGAAGCAATTGTGAATGGGAGTTCACTCATGATTTGGTTCTCTCATGATTTTGTCTGTTGTTGGTGTATAAGAATGCTTGTGATTTTTGTACATTGATTTTGTATACTGAGACTTTGCTGAAGTTGCTTATCAGCTTAAGGAGATTTTGGGCTGAGACGATGGGGTTTTCTAGATATACAATCATGTCGTCTGCAAACAGGGACAATTTGACTTCCTCTTTTCCTAATTGAATACCCTTTATTTCCTTCTCCTGCCTAATTGCCCTGGCCAGAACTTCCAACACTATGTTGAATAGGAGTGGTGAGAGAGGGCATCCCTGTCTTGTGCCCGTTTTCAAAGGGAATGCTTCCAGTTTTTGCCCATTCAGTATGATATTGGCTGTGAGTTTGTCATGAATAGCTCTTATTATTTTGAGATACGTCCCATCAATACCTAATTTATTGAGAGTTTTTAGCATGAAGCGTTGTTGAATTTTGTCAAAGGCCTTTTCTGCATCTATTGAGATAATCATGTGGTTTTTGTCTATGGTTCTGTTTATATGCTGGATTACATTTATTGATTTGTGTATATTGAACCAGCCTTGCATCCCAGGGATGAAGCCCACTTGATCATGGTGGATAAGCTTTTAGATGTACTGCTGGATTCGGTTTGCCAGTATTTTATTGAGGATTTTTGCATCAATGTTCATCAAGGATATTGGTCTGAAATTCTCTTTTTTGGGTGTGTCTCTGCCCGGCTTTGGTATCAGGATGATGCTGGCCTCATAAAATGAGTTAGGGAGGATTCCCTCTTTTTCTATTGATTGGAATAGTTTCAGAAGGAATGGTACCAGTTCCTCCTTGTACCTCTGGTAGAATTCGGCTGTGAATCCATCTGGTCCTGGACTCTTTTTGGTTGGTAAGCTATTGATTATTGCCACAATTTCAGCTCCTGTTATTGGTCTATTCAGAGATTCAACTTCTTCCTGGTTTAGTCTTGGGAGGGTGTATGTGTCGAGGAATTTATCCATTTCTTCTAGATTTTCTAGTTTATTTGCGTAGAGGTGTTTATAGTATTCTCTGATGGTAGTTTGTATTTCTGTGGGATCGGTGGTGATATCCCCTTTACCATTTTTTATTGCATCTATTTGATTCTTCTCTCTTTTCTTCTTTATCAGTCTTGCTAGCGGTCTATCCATTTTTTTGATCCTTTCAAAAAACCAGTTCCTGGATTCATTAATTTTTTGAAGGGTTTTTTGTGTCTCTATTTCCTTCAGTTCTGCTCTGATTTTAGTTATTTCTTGCCTTCTGCTGGCTTTTGAATGTGTTTGCTCTTGCTTTTCTAGTTCTTTTAATTGTGATGTTAGGGTGTCAATTTTGAATCTTTCCTGCTTTCTCTTGTGGGCATTTAGTGCTATAAATTTCCCTCTACACACTGCTTTGAATGCGTCCCAGAGATTCTGGTATGTTGTGTCTTTGTTCTCGTTGGTTTCAAAGAACATCTTTATTTCTGCCTTCATTTCGTTATGTACCCAGTAGTCATTCAGGAGCAGGTTGTTCAGTTTCCGTGTAGTTGAGCGGTTTTGAGTGAGATTCTTAATCCTGAGTTCTAGTTTGATTGCACTGTGGTCTGAGAGATAGTTTGTTATAATTTCTGTTCTTTTACATTTGATGAGGAGAACTTTACTTCCAAGTATGTGGTCAATTTTGGAATAGGTGTGGTGTGGTGCTGAAAAAAATGTATATTCTGTTGATTTGGGGTGGAGAGTTCTGTAGATGTCTATTAGGTCCGCTTGGTGCAGAGCTGAGTTCAATACCTGGGTATCCTTGTTGACTTTCTGTCTCGTTGATCTGTCTAATGTTGACAGTGGGGTGTTAAAGTCTCCCATTATTAATGTGTGGGAGTCTTAAGTCTCTTTGTAGGTCACTCAGGACTTGCTGTATGAATCTGGGTGCTCCTGTATTGGGTGCATATATATTTAGGATAGTTAGCTGTTCTTGTTGAATTGATCCCTTTACCATTATGTAATGGCCTTCTTTGTCTCTTTTGATCTTTGTTGGTTTAAAGTCTGTTTTATCAGAGACTAGGATTGCAACCCCTGCCTATTTTTGTTTTCCATTTGCTTGGTAGATCTTCCTCCATCCTTTTATTTTGAGCCTATGTGTGTCTCTGCACGTGAGATGGGTCTCCTGAATACAGCACACTGATGGGTCTTGACTCTATCCAATTTGCCAGTCTGTGTCTTTTAACTGGAGCATTTAGTCCATTTACATTGAAAGTTAATATTGTTATGTGTGAATTTGATCCTGTCATTATGATGTTAGCTGGTTATTTTGCTCGTTAGTTGATGCAGTTTCTTCCTAGTCTCGATGGTCTTTACATTTTGGCATGATTTTGCAGCGGCTGGTATCGGTTGTTCCTTTCCATGTTTAGTGCTTCCTTAAGGAGCTCTTTTAGGGCAGGCCTGGTGGTGACAAAATCTCTCAGCATTTGCTTGTCTGTAAAGTATTTTATTTCTCCCTCACTATGAAGCTTAGTTTGGCTGGATATGAAATTCTGGGTTGAAAATTATTTTCTTTAAGAATGTTGAATATTGGCCCCCACTCTCTTCTGGCTTGTAGAGTTTCTGCCGAGAGATCCGCTGTTAGTCTGATGGGCTTCCCTTTGTGGGTAACCCGACCTTTCTCTCTGGCTGCCCTTAACATTTTTTCCTTCATTTCAACTTTGGTGAATCTGACAATTATGTGTCTTGGAGTTGCTCTTCTCGAGGAGTATCTTTGTGGCGTTCTCTGTATTTCCTGAATCTGTATGTTGGCCTGCCTTGCTAGATTGGGGAAGTTCTCCTGGATGATATCCTGCAGAGTGTTTTCCAACTTGGTTCCATTCTCCCGTCACTTTCAGGTACACAAATCAGATGTAGATTTGGTCTTTTCACATAGTCCCATATTTCTTGGAGGCTTTGCTCATTTCTTTTTATCCTTTTTTCTCTAAATTTCCCTTCTCGCTTCATTTCATTCACTTCATCTTCCATCGCTGATACCCTTTCTTCCAGTTGATCTCATCGGCTCCTGAGGCTTCTGCATTCTTTGCGTAGTTCTCGAGCCTTGGTTTTCAGCTCCATCAGTTCCTTTAAGCACTTCTCTGTGTTGGTTATTCTAGTTATACATTCTTCTAAACTTTTTTCAAAGTTTTCAACTTCTTTGCCTTTGGTTTGAATTTCCCCCCATAGCTCAGAGTAATTTGATCGTCTGAAGCCTTCTCTCAGCTCATCAAAGTCATTCTCCGTCCAGCTTTGTTGCGTTGCTGGTGAGGAACTGCATTCCTTTGGAGGAGGAGAGGCACTCTGCTTTTTAGAGTTTCCAGTTTTTCTGCTCTGTTTTTTTCCCCATCTTTGTGGTTTTATCTACTTTTGGTCTTTGATGATGGTGATGTACAGATGGGTTTTTGGTGTGGATGTCCTTTCTGTTTGTTAGTTTTCCTTCTAACAGACAGGACCCTCAGCTGCAGGTCTGTTGGAGTACCCAGCCGTGTGAGGTGTCAGTCTGCCCCTGCTGGGGGGTACCTCCCAGTTAGGCTGCTGGGGGGTCGGGGTCAGGGACCCACTTGAGGAGGCAGTCTGCCTGTTCTCAGATCTCCAGCTGCGTGCTGGGAGAACCACTGCTCTCTTCAAAGCTGTGAGACAGGGATATTTAAGTCTGTAGAGGTTACTGCTGTCTTTTTGTTTGTCTGTGCCCTGCCCCCAGAGGTGGAGCCTACAGAGGCAGGCAGGCCTCCTTGAGTTGTGGTGGGCTCCACCCAGTTCGAGCTTCCCGGCTGCTTTGTTTACCTAAGCAAGCCTGGGCAATGGTGGGCGCCCCTCCCCCAGCCTTGCTGCTGCCTTGCAGTTTGATCTCAGACTGCTGTGCTAGCAATCAGCAAGACTCCGTGGGCATAGGACCCTCCGAGCCAGGTGCGGGATATAATCTCCTGGTGCCGCGTTTTTTAAGACCGTCAGAAAAGCGCAGCATTCAGGTGGGAGTGACCCGATTTTCCAGGTGCCGTCTGTCACCCCTTTCTTTGACTAGGAAAGGGAACTCCCTGACCCCTCGCTCTTCCCGAGTGAGGCAATGCCTTGCCCTGCTTCGGCTCGTGCACGGTGCGCACACCCACTGACCTGCGCCCACTGTCTGGCACTCCCTAGTGAGATGAACCCAGTACCTCAGATGGAAATGCAGAAATCACTGGTCTTTTGCGTCGCTCACACTGGGAGCTGTAGACCGGAGCTGTTCCTATTGGGCCATCTTGGCTCCTCCCCCCACTTTTTTTTTTTTCTTTGAGATGGAGCCTTGCTGTGTGGCCCAGGCTGGAATGCAGTGGCACGATCTCAACTCACTGCAACCTTTGCCTCTCAGATTCAAGTGATTCTCCTGCCTCAGCCTCCTGAGTAGCTGGGATTACAGGTGCCCACCGCCATGTACAGCTGATTTTTGTATTTTTAGTAGAGACAGGGTTTCGCCATGTTGGCATGGCTGGTCTGGAACTCCTGACCTGTAGTGATCTGCCTGTCTCGGCCTCCCAGAGTGCTGGGATTACAAGTGTGAGCCACTGTGTCCGACCCTTAATACAGCCTTTTACGTTGTATAGCATAGTGCCTTTCATTCATTAAGATTTAGCTATTTGTTGAAAGAATTAATAATATTTTAAAGATTCCTACTTACGATACTTGTTTATAATCTGATAGCAAATAATTAAAAAATTCTAAAGTCCTTTTTAGAACCAGAAGTTATCCTTAATGATTAAATTCTGGAAAGTTACTTGGTTTGTGAAGACACCACTGAAATTTAGTAGAAAAAGGTGGGTCCTATCAGTAAATGCTTCTGGGGTAATTGATTATCCATTTGGGTGAAAAAAAATCGAGATACTCTTCTTCCCCACCTCACGTCGTACAAAAATTAATATAAAATAACCAATACCTAAAATATTAAAAGTAATAAAGTAAAACTTCTAGAAGAAAACATGGGAGGGATATCATCATGATCTTGCGGTAGGCAAAGATTTATTAAACTGGCCACTAAAGCATTAAATATAAAATATTGATAAATTGGACTTACAGAATCATGACCTCTTTATCAAGAAAGATACCATTAAGAGAGGTAAAATACCTTTATAACAGACTTGCACCTGTACATGTACCCCTGAATCTAAAATAAAAGTTGAAAATAAAATGCAAAAATAAAGAAAAGAGCAAATCACACACTGGGAGAAGATATTTGCAAAGCATATATGTGACATAGGACTCGTATCTAGACTATATAAAGCAGTACCAATAACATTTACAAATAATATTGATATTTAATATAGCTTTGAAAGAGGAAGTATTGGATTTCGAAGGAGATGAGGCTTATTTGCATGTGATAGAATAAGGCATATTTCTTATTCCTATAGGGAAATCTCAAATAGGAGAATTGAACACAGCACAGATATTTTTGTCTTTCACCTGCAGATCTAACCAGTTATTCTCTAAATTTGAAGTGCCGTAAGCTAGTACTGTGTCAGTCTGTTTGACCATTAGAGCAGAGGTCAAGGATGCTATGTAATCCTACTAAAGTCTATTTTTACAGAGAGACTAGTAAAAGAAGCCTTGAGACCTTTATTGTTTACACAGCCTGGAAGCTGTCACTGAGTCCTTAAATTGAAGCATGACATTGTGCAGTGATGTGCTAGTGGACAAAGAAGTACAGAACAGAATCAAGGATGTCCTTTGGGAAGTCCACAGAGTCTGTTACAAATGTAATATCCAATTGCAGTGAGATGGAACTGAAGACTTACAAAGCAGAGGCACACTTCCTATGAGACAGGGGCCTTGCCACAAACGACACGTCTGGCTTCTTGAGCAGTTTCACTCAGACTATTTAGGAGCCCATCAGAATATTCAGTGGCAGAACAAGGTCAGTAATGGCAAACACTCAGAATGCAGCCTGTGTAAGAGCTTTGAACCAATTCTTCCACAATACAGCTTTACTGAGCGGGATTTGTGTGGAGAATGGACTACAGCAGGACTCCTAGGCGGCCATTGAATCGCAAGCTGAGGTGGGGAAAGCGCAAGCTGAGGAGGCAGAAGGAATGTTGTCTGAGACCTGCTGCAGTGCACCCTGAGCAGTGAGGTCACAGCAAGCCCAGCCATGGGCAAGCAGCCTGGCATCCAGCTGGGAGGGATGGGATTGCTGTTGGTGAGCAGAGGCTCTGGCTAGCTCTTGAGTCTAAAAAGCAGGACCACAAAGAAAACAGACTATTTAAATAGCAGGTGAAGCCGCTTACAAAAGAGCAAACTTGATGCAAATTCTGTGTGGAAAAGATTGTTGGTCTCATTTTATTGTCTTTGGCCATACCCATAAATCTGACTCAGGAAAGACATTTATATGTACACAAGTGTATACAAATAAAAGTAAAGTTTTACTCTATTACTTTCCACCCCTTCATCCAAAAAAAAAAAATTAGGTCAAAAAACAGTGGTCACATTGAAATACTAGAAATAGAGCAATTTAACAATTACAATTTTTTATTCTTTACCAGACTCGTCACATTTTTATTTTATAGGTAGAATGCTTAAAAGACTACTAATGTCCTAAAGATGATAATGTAATAATACTTTAAATTTTAAAATGCCTCATAGCCATTACTATGCACTATTTTGTAGTTGCTTTCCTGAGGATTTCTTTCACAAGATTGCTTGTCTTTGTCTCCTCCTAGGGTCAGTGTGGTAGAGGCCATATACCACCTAATGGGTGCCTCAGTAAATACTTGTTTAACTGGACTGAACTCCAAGGATTAAGATGTCAGTGTATGTTTACCTCATAGATAGACATACGGTTTTTGCCGGCCTTCTAGAAATTTCACGATGTAGTCTAATTCCAACATCTAAATATGCTGTATCAGACTCACAACATGTTAACACATTTTTTTTTCTTTTTTTTTCTTTTTCTTACTGTTTTGGCCCTTAGTTTGCAACCTTCATGGCTTTTTATCCATTTTCCTATCTTTGAATTATGCATATGTGTCACCTTTTCTGATATGAGGAACGGAACTCCATGATGAGTTAGGTGAATTATAAGTGTGAGGCTGGAAAGGGGATAATAATAGATATGGCATGTGGTTAAAAATGGAATACACATATGGGATCTAGAGGGCTACAGATACATACATAGCTATAGAAAGAGAAAAGGTAGGAAAACAGAGGTAGAGACATTTCAAGAGAGAACTAAGATTAGACACGAAGTGATAGAGTCCCTTTCCCAAGAATCAAAAAGAGACAAAAACTGTGCTGAGAAGCCTCAAAACTTTAATGTTTGCAGGAGACAAGTTCCACAGTAGATGAAACAAAATATGTTATTTTGCATGCATACTTATATGTATTTATCAAAATTTTTAATCACATTTGGAGGACTGTATAATTTGAATGATTCTGTGATTTTTAGACATTCTCAAAACATGAATATTTTAAAACATAATTACTTAAAGAAGATTTCATTGTTAGCTCTGCCATTTGTAATTTGATGAATGAAATGTTTAATTTTCCATTATAGAAGCAGAGAAAATCATCTTGGTTGTAAAACAGAAATTAGTAAACTGTACAAATAGACTTATTTAGAACTTCTGTCCTTACAGCTTTTAATGCTTTTTTCTAAAAAAAAGTTACTTATTCTTGGTTTAGGACAGTAATGAATAAAATTATTGCCTTTCCATTATGTTGTTAAGATTATTAGATAGGGATAGTCTGTGTTGCCCTCTATTGGTGATTAATAATTAACTTTTGACAGAATAATTGCTGCTTTATGTGTCATTTGTGTGTATTTAATAATTGTATCAGCCAGTATATTTTAGAAAAAAGAATTTGGGAAAACTAACCTAATAGTTGTGGCCATGAATTGGCCAAAGGTGAAAAAATTAGCTTTCGGGCTTTTTGATTTAACAATTTTATTGACTAAGATAGTATTGACATACTTTTGCCTTTGATTAATTTTAATTTTAATTTTAATTTTTTTTTTTTTTTTTTTGTCAGAGCTCCACCTCAGATCAGGCGTCCCAATCGAGAAGTAAGACCTCTGAGGAAAGAAATGGCAGGAGTAGGAGCCCGGGGACCTGTAGGCCGAGCACATCCTATATCAAAGAGTGAAAAGCCTTCTACAAGTAGGGACAAGGACTATAGAGCAAGAGGGAGAGATGACAAGGCAAGATGCTGTCTTTCTGTAATTCACTCACTTGAAGCCCAGGACTTTTGGTGGATGTTATGATTTTTGTTGGCTTTTCAAGATACCCTGGTTTTGACGTGGAAGAGTTAGAAAAAAGTCTCATTCAAAGCCTAAGTAGTCTTTGTATTTTGAAGGCCATGCTGCAATGCAAATCACCTCAGAGGCGTAGTAAATATCTATATACACATACATGTATAAAAATATTTAGTGAAATGGATCCCTTGTAAGAAAAAATACGGCTTTAAAACTTTTTTGAAAAATATTTTAATAAGTATTCTGAATAGAAATGAGCAATAAATGAAAATAGTTATGGGGAAAGACAAGAAGGTAGATGTATCTGTTCACAGAATAAGATGAGGGATATGATTTACTACTGCCAAAAATAAGTATCTTTGATTTATCTGTAGATTATAGTAGAACAAGATTTTTTTTCTTTTCCTTGAGAAGATTCCCCTTGCTTAGGGTTCATTGTGCACACGTACTTATTTAGGAAATTGATTGGTGAATAAACATAGTATTCGGTGGAAATTGTACTTCCCTTAAAATGGACTTAGGACAGTGGGTTGAAGATAATCTTACAGATTAAGGAGGTAGCCAGGATGATCTGATGTGTCTCTTAGGCCTTAATTTTAGTAAAAAGAGAAAAATTTTTAAGTGATAGTATTTCCTGTTTCCACCGTGATGTCATAAATGAATGATAATGTAATCAAATTGCCACAGAAAAGTTTTATTTTACTAGTTAGAGATTCAGGATCTGTCATCACATTCAGGCCATGATATGTATAATAAAGATATATCTAATAACAAGTGGTTATCCATCAAAACTGTATTTGAATATTTTTATTACGTGTAATTTTGATCTGTAGGTAAGGACTCCAGACCAACTTCCTAGGTCTTATAGCCATAATACATAGACCAAGATAGAATAAAATTGGTGTTTTCTGAATATTTCTATTTATGAGATAGTTCAAAGACATATTCTACCTCCCTGCCTCAATAGGACACTGAAAATGAATTAGATTTTTTTAATGTTTGTAGTTTGTGGGAGCTTTTATGCCATGAAACAGCAAGTGATTCTATTTCAGATCCTTTTTGGGATTAGTGAAGGGTAGTAATAAATACATTAACTTTTAAAATTTGTTCCCTCCATTATCAAAAGCCACATAAATGGATACTTGAAACTCTTTATCTTAAATATTATTTTTGTTTCTTTTCTTCATTTTTATGCAGCTAACATTGGTTTGCATTATAGAGAATACAGTACCGGCTGAAATCCAACCTCCAGTTTGCTAGTAGCTTTTAGATAAACCTTTAGAACAGGGTAAGGAACTTTCAGTCTTGAATTTACATAAGAGAAACCATGGTGACGGTTTACTGGATGCTGCTTTGCTGGGCACCGTTCAAAGTGATTAAACAGTAATTCATGAAGCAATCCCGTGAAGTAGGTGTCTTACTATCCCGACTTTACAGATGAAGAAACTGTGGTACAGAGCGCTAAAACTTGCCAGCGTCTCACAGTGAGACATGGATACTGGAAGAATGGAATTTGTGAAGTCACACATCTTTTTCCTGTTTAACCTTAAGATTTTTCATGTTATGTAGTTCCCCACCTACCAAGCTAGATGAAAAGTCTGGATTGGATTTACCAAAAGAGATCCAGAACAATTAAATGTTGGTTTTTAAATGTGACTCTTAAGCAAAGAACAAAATAATCAAGCAGCATTTTTTGAATGTCAAATACATTTTTTTTTTTTTTTTTTTTTGAGATGGAGTCTCGCTCTTGCCCAGGCTGGAGTGCAGTGGCACAACCTCAGCTCACTGCAGGCTCCACCTCCCAGGTTCACGTCATTCTCCTGCCTCAGCCTCCCAAGTAGCTGGGACTACAGGCACCCGCTACCATGCCCGGCTAATTTTTTTTGTATTTTTAGTGGAGGCGTTGTTTCACCATGTTAGCCAGGATGGTCAATACATTTTTTTTCCTGGAAATTATAAATTGTCTTTCATTTATAATGTTATCAAATGATTTTCTAAATCTTAGTTATTCTTTCATTGACATGTAAGTACTCAGAATGTCACTAGAAAGTAACCCTTTTATGTAAGAAAAGAAAAGAACTCCGCAGTTGTTTGGAGATAAAAGATATGTTCTGAGTCACTGTGGAAACAGAGGGGACTACAGTTTTTCAAAACAAACTCATGCAAACTTCATAAGCCTTTGAAAGGTATATTTGACTCAGTTACAATTTTTGTAACCACACAAATATTCATTAGGATACTGAAGTTCCTGAAACTCACTGAAGGCTGCGATAGGTTTTGAGGCAGCTTAGGTGAAACTAATAGATACCCACTTCTGCTAAAAGCTCATTTGAAAATGAGTGTTGGGGCCAGGGGCAGTGGCTCACGCCTGTAATCCCAGCACTTTGGGAGGCCAAGGCAGGTGAATCACTTTAGCCCAGGAGTTCAAGACCAGCCTGGGCAACATAGTGTAACCCCGTCTCTACTAAAAACACAAAAATTAGCTGGGTGTGGTGGTGCATGCCTGTAATCCCAGCTACTTGGGAGGCTGAGGCATGAGAATCGCTTGAACCTGGGAGGGAGGCAGAGGTTGCAGTGAGCTGAGATCCAGCCACTGCACTCCAGCTTGGGCAACAGAGCGAGACTTGGTCTCAAAAAAAAAAAAAAGAAAGGAAAATTAGTGTTGTTTGGAAGTACCCTCAGAGATATGGGAGTCCCCAGTGTTTATTGTATTTGTTTTTCTTAAGATCAGTTTTGTGTATTGCTGCCAGCTTTAAAATTGAAGCAGAGTAGAACAGAAAACTCAGTTTATTGCCCATAAGTACAGTATTATTTTGATAAAAATATATACAAATTTATTCATATGTTTATGTACACCAGCTCATGATCCAGAATGCATTTATTACTTTGTGCCTGGGTCAGAATTTTGAAAGCTGCTGCAGCACTCTAACTATGTACTTAACTTTATAGATGTAAAAAAAATTGAGGATAAGAGAAGTTAGACATATCTTGCTTAAGGTCCCTGGTATATTTTTGGATTTTTAATTTGGTGTTGGGAACTGTATGATGGAACAACTAATAATAGCAGTAGTAGCAAATGTTAGTCTTCCTTGAGCGCACTTATCCTTTTTGAAGCTTTCTACAAAAAAAGCCCGCTTTGAAGCTTTTTACATTTATTGGTTTATTTGATCCCTGCATAATCCTGTGAGCTCAGCATTATTTTTCCTGTTTTATGTGTAGAGAAATTGAGACACTGAAGTCTTAACTGCAAATAGATGGTGAACTAGGATTTGAACCTTGTCTATGTGTAATACCTGAGTTTTTTAATCATTATGCTATACAGACTCTTATTTGAAAATGCTTACTGTCTTCTTATAATAATACGAGTTTATTTTCTGAGACTGATTATGTCTTTTTTCTTTTTCTTTTTTAAAATTACTGACAGGCTTCAGGTTAGATCCAAGCTTAAAATGCTGTTTTTCAGTAAGTAACAATCACTTTGCATAGTGATCTATTGTTGAGGCTTTATCATTTTCCCCCCTGAGGTCTACAGGGTCATCCATAAGGCTAGTTAGTACTCTGTTTATTGGACACATCTTTATTAAGTGCACATTTGTGTCAGTAATACTTCTAGGTGCTAGAAATACAAACGTTAATGAAATGTAGCTCCTGGCCTGAATAAATTAACTTTTAAGCTATATTTTTTCTGTTTTATTTCAGTGTGTCTGGTCTCTTCCTACTATGACAAAATAGCTTACACAGGGTAATTTAGAAGGAGTAGAAATTTATTTCTCACAGTTTTGGAGGCTGGGAAGTCTAAAATCAAGCCACTAGCAGATTTGGTATCTGCTGAGGGTCTGTTCCTTCTAGATGGCACCTTCTTATGTGTCCTTACAGGATGGAAGGGGCCAACAGGCTCCCTTGGGAATCTTTTATTAGGGCACTAATTCTGTTCATGAGGGCAGAAGCCTCATTGACCTAACCACCTTCCAAAAACCCTGTCTCCTAATAACATCACATTGGGGCTTAGATACCAACATGAATTTTGGAAGGACACAAACATTTAGACCATAGCACCTGGGAAAATCGGATTTATTATTATTTTGCTATTTAAGCTTAGAGTCAGATATATACATAGAAGTAACGAAAGGATTTTTTTTACTTAAGAAGGATAATCTAAAAGTAAAATATTAGGTAGCAGAAGAAATGTTTTTGTTTTGTAACCTTAATTTATAAAACTCTGATTCTCAAGTATTTTTTTTTTTTTTTTTTTTGAGGCAGAGTCTTGCTCTGTCGCCCAGAGACTGGAGTGCAGTGGCGCGATCTCGGCTCGCTGCAAGCTCTGCCTCCTGGGTTCACACCATTCTCCTGCCTCAGCCTCCCGAGTAGCTGGGACTACAGGCGGCCGCCACCACGCCCAGCTATTTTTTTGTACTTTTAGTAGAGATGGGGTTTCACCGTGTTATCCAGGATGGTCTCGATCTCCTGACCTCGTGATCCGCCCGCCTCGGCCTCCCGAAGTGCTGGGATTACAGGCGTGAACCACTGCGCCCAGCCAAGTATTTTTAAGATTATAGTTTTATGGTTAATTAACTCAGTGAAATGAGCAGTACTTCCATTATCTCATGATTAAAGCTATATATGCTTCTAAATAGAATTCAGATTAAAGTATGGCAAATTATATTCTCTGAATTCATTTTAAAGTTGTTAAAGGACTTTATTTCATTAAATTGTGCATAACAAATGGCCATTTATCATGAGAAGACTTTCCTTCTCATGAGTAAGTCTAGGGATATCTGATATGGAGAGATGTTGCAAACTAGATTGACATATTCTTTTGAGAGCTATTGATTGATTATACAAATGAACAGTGACTTCATAGAAAATATTTCTACTGAAGAAAAGTGCACAAATTGTATACTTTTTTGATGAATAATGATAATCTAGCCAGTGGTGTATATTAGTAACTACTTTTATGAAAAAAAGGTGTATGTGTGTATACACATTAAAGAATAAGATGATAATGAAACAATAAAAACATGCTAGAGCTTTACTCATTGATCAATGACTTGAGCAGTTTTCAAATACTGGAAGAATAATCAGATTTTTTATGCTATTTACAGTGTAACAACAGCAAAAATGACATGCTTTTAAGTTTAGTCTGCATTATTAACATTTTCCCCATTACTTTTCTAAATCTAGACAGTCAGGAAAACAATAAATCAAGCCCTGATTTATAGCATTTGCTAATTCTGTGATATAAATACCACCTGTATGATGGATTTCAACATCATGTCACTGAACTCATAGTTGAGATGAGTTTGGGTAGCAGCCTACCATTCTATGGTGTTTCCACCATAGAGATACAATAAACTATGGAACCTCAAGATAATAGGTAATAGTAAAATAATTAGGATGTGAGGAGTTTTGCGTATTTATTTCCTTTTTTAAAAATACAACTTATTCAAAGTTTGTGTAATTTAATATTTATTAATGGCTGCATTTCACGGCTGGCTCACAAAATTTCTGAAAATTTAGTAGCTGGCTCTCAAAAACTAGTAAGAAACAACTTCAGCATCTCACTGCATGTAAGCCTTGTAATTCAATGTAACCATCAGCTCTGGGGTCAAGAAATCGAACATTTGGCACCTCAGAAGCCATATTCATGATCCCTCCCAATCCTTGCCACTTACCTCTTTCCCAAAGGTAACCACTGTTCTGATTTCTAATGCCATAAATTAATTATGCCCATTTTGGAACTTTATGTACAGTAAGTATTCTTTTGTGTCCAGCTTTTTTTGTTCAAGGTGTATTTGTGAGATTATTTCATGGTGTTGTATATATTTGTAGTTTATTTTCATTGTCATATAGTAGTATATCACAGTTAAAATCTGTTTTCTTATTAATGGATATTTGGGTTGCTTTTAGCTTGAGACTCTTGTGAGTAATGCTGCTTTGGATGGTTTTCTGCTTATCCTTTGACATATATATGCATGAATTTCTAGTGAGCATATACCTAGGAGTGGAACTGCTGGGTCATAGGATATGCATAAATTAAACTAGGGAAGAACACCAGTTTCCAAAGTGGTTATACAAGTTTTCCCTCTTACCTACAGAGGGGAAGTTTCAGTTGCTCCACATCCTTGTCAACACTTGATGTTGTCAGTCTTTTTTTTTTTTTGAGACAGAATTTCGCTCTTGTCGCCTAGGTTGGAGTTCAATGGTGCAATCTGGGCTCACTGCAACCTCCGCCTCCCAGGTTCAAGCAATTCTCCTGCCTCAGCCTTCCAAGTAGCTGGGATTACAGGCATCTGCCACCACAGCCGGCTAATTTTTGTAATTTTTTTTTTTTTTTGAGACGGAGTCTCGCTCTGTTGCCCAGGCTGGAGTGCAGTGGCACCATCTGGGCTCACTGCAAGCTCCGCCTCCTGCGTTCACGCCATTCTCCTGCCTCAGCCTCCTGAGTAGCTGGGAATACAGGTGCCCACCACCACGCCCGGCTAATTTTTTGTATTTTTGGTAGAGATGGGGTTTCACTGTGTTAGCCAGGATGGTCTTGATCTCCTGACCTCGTGATCCACCCGTCTCGGCCTCCCAAAGTGCTGGGATTACAGGCGTGAGCCCCCGCACCTGGCCAATTTTTGTATTATTAGTAGAGATGGGGTTTCACCACGTTGGCCAGGCTGGTCTCGAACTCCTGACCTCAGGTGATCCACCTGCCTTGGCCTCCCAAAGTGCTGGGAATCCAGGCGTGAGCCATTGCGCCCGGCGTTGTCAGTCTTTTTTAGGTATAATCATATCTCATTGTGATTTTCCCAGGATATTTGCCATGTGGTGTGTATTTACCTGATAATTTATGAAGTTGAAAACCTTTTCATATGTTCATTGGCTATTTGTATCATCATGACTTGTTTTTAAGAAACATCTTTTTCTGTCCTTTGAATATTAAGTTGCTCCACAAATTTTGTCTCTGGTGGTAGCTAATTTATAGTGCTGGGTTTTGTTTTTATTTTTTTTACCTTGTTGTACTAGATTATAGTAAAGTAGTTTTTATATCTAAATAACTATTTGACCAAACTTGTGATTTAGAATTCTAAACCCATTTGTGGAAATATGTGCTATTCTGGTTTTTTACTCACCCACCGTTGTTTTTTTCCTGTGCAAATGTCAGCTTAGTCTTTGACAGGGATGAGTCTTAGGTCATAGGAAGAGTTGCATTCAAATATTTTAACCTCTTATTCAGAAGACTAATACACATACTTTTCTTAGACTGAACAGTCTTTCTGTATTTCAGCCTTGCCAAGTGAGAGTGCTTTAGCTTCTTGATTTTAGAATTTGTATATCCTTATTGAACTATCTTAAGTTTCCCACTTTCAAGGCTGTCTTAATAGGAGTGCATGAGCTCTTATTTAATGTGGTATTTGGTATTTCTTATATGGTAAGATTAAATGTGGGGCCTTAATAGCCGTATATGTTTTTTCTTATCCTCTCTCAGACTCTACCACTCATTTTAGCCATTCTGTATACTACAGAAAGTGTAAAATAAAACATGAGAGAACACACTGTCCCTGGCTTGTTGGCATCAGAGCAGCCAGAGAGTTCCTCTTAAATATAGGTCAGATTGTGTCTTCTGCTCATAACTTTCAGTGGCTTCTTATCTTAGATTAAATGCCAAGTCCTTATAATGGTCTACAAGGCTCTGCATAGTCTGGCATCCATTTCTTCTTTGACCTCATCTTCTTTCTCCCCTCCTCTCATTTCTTTCTGTTGGTTTCTGTGTTGTTCCTCAGATTTGTGAAGTATATGCTGACTGTGGCAAATTTGAACTTGCTGTTCTGTCTCTGTTTTACTATATATTTTACTTATTAATATATTGTGCCTCCTAACTTGAGTATATGCCTCATGAGGGCAGGGGTTTCTGTTTGGTTCACTGCGATATCCTCAGTGCTTAGAATAGTGCTTGGCACATAGTACTGGCAAATATTGTTGAAAGAACATACGTATTGATAGGTGTGCAGAATGATATGGATTCATAATTTCAATTTAAATGTATTAACACTCAAATGCAGGGCATGATACTGAAATTAGTAAGCACTGTTTGCATTTATTAACTTATTTTACTTTGTAAAATAAAGTCTTAAGAGTGGGATGCAATTTAGAAACCTTGTCTAACTTTTTCCTTTGTTGTTTCTCACACTGGGGTAAGAGTAGCCCAGGGGTGTGCAGCAGTATGCTAGGGTACAAAGTGGTTGAAAGCACTGATTCTGGAGCTGTATTCCCTAGGATCTAGCTGCGTGTCCTTGGGCAATTTACTTACCTTTTCTGTGCCTTGGTTTTCTCATCTATGAGATGGAAATAATAAGAGTACCTACCTCATAGGACTTTTAGGATTAATAAGAGAGTTAATATATATCCAGTGCTTAGAACAATACGTGGCACATTGTGTAGGCAGTATATGAGTTTTAGTTATCATTGTAACATGAAAGTGGGGAACTAACACAGATATGAAATAGAATTCAAAATCACTTTTTAAAAAAAGAAATAATTGCCATTCTAATTGTGTGAGATGGTATCTCATTGTGGTTTTGATTTGCATTTCTCTAATGACCAGTGATGATGAACTTTTTTCATGTTTGTTGGCCACATAAATATCTTCTTTTGAGAAGTGTCTGTTCATATCCTTTGCCCACTTTTTGATGGGGTTATTTGTGTTTTTTTCTTGTAAATTTAAGTTCCTTGTGGATTGTGGATATTATTAGCCCTTTGTCAGATGGATAGATTGCAAAAATTGTCTCCCATTCTGTAGGTTGCCTGTTTGCTCTGATGATAGTTTCTTTTGCTGTGCAGAAGCTCTTTAGTTTAATTAGATCCCATTTGTCAATTTCGGCTTTTGTTGCCATTGCTTTGGTGTTTTAGTCATGAAGTCTTTACCCATGCCTATGTCCTGAATGGTATTGCCTAGGTTTTCTTCTAGGGTTTTTATGGTTTTAGGTGTTAGTTTAAGTCTTAAATCCATCTTGAGTTAATTTTGGTATAAGGTGTAAGGAAGGGGTCCAGTTTCAGTTTTCTGCATATGGCTAGCCAATTTTCCCAACACCGTCTATTAAATAGGGAATCCTTTCCCCATTGCTTGTTTTTGTCAGGTTTGTCAAAGATCAGATGGTTGTAGATGTGTGGCATTATTTCTGAGGCCTCTGTTCTGTTCCATTGGTCTATATATCTGTTTTGGTACCACCATGCTGTTTTGGTTACTGTAGCCTTGTAGTATAGTTTGAAGTCAAGGTAGCATGATGCCTCCAGCTTTGTTCTTTTTGCTTAGGATTGTCTTGGCTATATGGGCTCTTTTTGGTTCCATATGAAATTTAAAGTAGTTTTTTTCTAATTCTGTGAAGAAAGTCAATGGTAGCTAATGGGGATAGCATTGAATCTGTAAATTACGTTGGGCAGTATGGCCATTTTCACGATATTGATTCTTCTATCCATGAGCATGGAATGTTTTTCCATTAGTTTGCGTCCTCTCTTGTATCCTTGAGTAGTGGCTCGTAGTTCTCCTTGAAGAGGTCCTACACATCCCTTGTAAGTTGTATTCCTAGGTATTTTATTCTCTTTGTAGCAGTTGTGAATGGAAGTTCACTCATGATTTGGCTCTCTATTATTGTTGTATAGGAATGCTTGTGATTTTTGCACGTTGATTTTTGTATCCTGAGACTTTGCTGAAGTTGCTTATCAGCTTAAGGAGATTTTGGGCTGAGACGATAGGGTTTTCTAAATATATAGTCATGTCATCTGCAAACAGAGACAATTTGACTTTCTCTCTTCCTATTTGAATCCCCTTTATTTCTTTCTCTTTCCTGATTGCCCTGGCCAGAACTTCCAATACTGTGTTGAATAGGAGTGGTGAGAGAGGGCATCCTTGTCTTGTGCCAGTATTCAAAGGGAATGCTTCCAGCTTTTGCCCATTCAGTGTGATATTGGCTGTGGGTTTGTCATGAATAGCTCTTATTATTTTGAGATATGTTCCATCGATACCTAGTATATTGGGAGTTTTTAGCATGAAGGGGTGTTGAATTTTATCGAAGGCCTTTTCTGCATGTATTGAGATTATCACGTGGTTTTTGTCATTGATTCTGTTTATGTGATGGATTACATTTTTGATTTGCGTATGTTGAACTAGCCCTGCATCCCAGGGGTGAAGCCAACTTGATCGTGGTGGATAAGCTTTTTGATGTGCTGCTGGATTCGGTTTGCCAGTATTTTATTGAGAATTTTTGCTTTGATGTTCATCGGGAATATTGGCCTGCAATTATCTTTTTTTGTTGTGACTCTGCCAGGTTTTGGTATCAGGAAGAGGCTGGCCTCATAAAATGAGCTAGGGAAGAGTCCCTTTTTTTTTTTTAATTGTTTGGAATAGTTTCAGAAGGAATTATACCAGCTCCTCTTTTTACCTCTGGTAGAATTTGGCTGTGAATCCGTCTGGTCCTGGGCTTTTTTTTGGTTGGTAGGCTATTAATTACTGTCTCAATTTCAGAACTTGTTATTGGTCTAGTCAGGGATTTGACTTCTTCCTGGTTTAGTCTTGGGAGGGTGTATGTGTCCAGGAATTTATCCATTTCTTCTAGATTTTCTGGTTTATTTGCGTAGAGGTGTTTATAGTATTCTCTGATGGTAGTTTGTATTTCTGTGGAATCAGTGGTGATATCCGTTTTATCATTTTTTATTATGTCTATTTGATTCTTCTGTCTTTTCTTTATTAGTCTGGCTAGCAGTCTATCTGTTTTGCTAATCTTTTCAAAAAACCAGCTCCTTGATTCATTGATTTTTTGAAGGGTTTGCTGGAAAGGATATGGAGAAATAGGAACGCTTTTACACTGTTGGTGGGACTGTAAACTAGTTCAACCATTGTGGAAGACAGTGTGGCGATTCCTCAAGGATCTAGAACCAGAAATACCCTTTGATCCAGCAATCCCATTACAGGGTATATACCCAAAGGATTATAAATCATTCTATAAAGACACATGTACACGTATGTTTATTGCAGCACTATTCACAATAGCAAAGACTTGGAACCAACCCAAATGCCCATCAGTGGTAGACTGGATGAAGAAAATGTGGCACATATACCATGGAATACTATGCAGCCATAAAAAAGGATGAGTTCATGTCCTTTGCAGGGACATGGATGAAGCTGGAAACCATCATTCTCAGCAAACTAACACAGGAACAGAAAACCAAACACTACATATTCTCACTCATAAGTGGGAGTTGAACAATGAGAAGACATGGATACAGGGAGGGGAACATCACACACTGGGGCCTGTTGGGGGGTGGGGGACTAGGGGAAGGATAACATGAGGAGAAATACCTAATGTAGATGATGGGTTGATGGGTGCAGCAAATGACCATGGCACGTGTATACCTATGGAACAAACCTGCACGTTCTGCACATGTATCCTAGAACTTAAAGTATAATTTAAAAAAAAGAAAAATAATGAGATTTCCAAGAAATTTTGCACTTTCCTTGGGCCATTGAAATCAGGCAACAGATGAATAAATTAGGCAAGTGAGAGGCAGTGGCTTTACAGGAAAAAGATCAGCTATAATTAAGCTTAGACATCCGTGTGACTATGACCCAGTGATTTTTATTACTAATTGGCCAGTAATTTCCGATGCGTGGTAGCTTACTACCTAATGAGTTGATTCGTCTGTTGGACAGAATCTATTGTTAGAAAATTCTTTCTTTTGCTGATCTGAAATCTATCTCTTTTGTTACTGGCCCTTGCTTTTTTTTTTTTTTTTTTTTTTTTTGGCTTAATACCTAGTAGGCCTGTTGGTTGTATTGCCCCATTAGAATTTACTTCTTCAGCTTAAATGTCTCTAGTTTCCTTGGTCTTCCTCCATATGACATGGGTTTTGAACCCTTTATCATCTTGATTATTCTTCCCTGGGTGTAATTTATCAGTATTTCTCTTAAAATGCAAGACCCAGAGCTAGTAACTGATCATGTTTTACTTAATCTGCCAGTGTGAGAGGTTGCATAGTAAAATGTAAGAAACATTTGCATTTTAGGGCAAACTATATCATTAATTGGCTCTGTAATATTTGGTTAGTCACTTTGAGCCTAATTTTCCTCAAATAGAAGATTATCCAACACTAATGAAAGATGAGTAACAAAGCTTTCTTGATATGGGAAATTTTGATGTTAGTAAAAAGAAGCTAAAATATTTTGCTTTCATGAGAAAAAAAGTATATCAACCTTCATGCTAAAAATCAAATTCTTGCTAATGTTGACCTTAGTCAACTCATATGAAAATCTAAGGAAAGAATTCTAAGATCATTTCAGTGACATTGCAGTTAGTAGTATTTATGTACACTTAGTAATATCTTGGAGAGGTTAGCTTTATTTCCTTTAACTAATAGTTTCCTTTAGGTATTGCATTTAATCTAGCTGTTTATATTTGATGTCTGTATTCTAATTTAAGTATTTTTTATGAAGAATAACTGTCACCCATTTTACTGATTTCCTGGCATAACCAAATTAATTTTAGTTTTCCTATGTCTGTTTTTTATAACCTCACCATTTTGATTTGAAAACGTTTCCAGAATCTTTTTTGTAGTCCTCGATCGGTATTCAAGTCTCATGTGTACCACTGAGAAACTTTGGGTTCTCGGGCAGGTCATTTAACTGGCCTATACACACACTTCTTCTTCAGTGTAGTGAGAGGCTTTTAGTTCTTTGATTCTCCTCCTCTACCCCGTCCTCTATAGGAGCCAGAAGAAATCCAAACTCACCTCTGCCCATATCTTCAACCTCTTTCTTCTGCGCAATACATTTTATTATACTGGCTACTCAGGTTTTTTCACAGCACTTCACAGTTTATGTGTGTTTTTGCTTTATTTACTTGTTACTCGTTTCCCCCACTAGACTAGATGCTTGATGAGGGCAGATAATGTATTTTCATTCACTGCTCTAAAACCTAATGCACAATAGCATGTATTGCACGTAGAAGATGCCCAAATATTTACTGTTTTTAAAATCCTATGATACTCCTATTACTTTCAGATAGGCATGCAGCTTTTTCTTTCTCCTGAGGTAGTGTTTATTAAGTTCTTTCCAGCCACTTGGACATTCATATTAAAATGAAATTTTAATTTTAACTTGATAAGTGTAAATTACAGTGCCATATGAAGGCTCAAGCTCCAGATATGTCAGTTTCTGTTGTATTCTTTCGTTGATACGTTTCTAGAATAGTTTTTAAATGATTACAGAATGTTCCTAGTGATTTGTTTGAATATGACTTGGTAGCCTTGGCCTATCTGTACTATAAAATTTGACTCTAGCCTAAGCTTAAGTTTGTTGATGTTATGTTTCTTGTGTAGGTGCCAAAAATTTACTCCTTTTAATATTGTCAGTATTGATATCTGTCATCTGGAATGCAAGAATCTTCGGGAAAATTTACTAATAAATTTAATGCTACCGCCATACTGCCCAGAAATAATTTATTTTTTTGGGTGAAGTACCAGAATACTGTTTGGTCACTTACCTAGTGGCTTGAAGGAACCAGAGCATCTGTCCAAGGGAGCCATTTAGTTTCCTCCAGCACTTATGATTGAGCCTTTTGACTATCTCAGAAGTGGGATTGGAGAAGTTTGTCTTGTTCTCTTGTCTCTTTTCCGGTTGAAGTTTAGGAGATTGACTCATTTTGACCATTTTCTTGTTTTGTTTTTACTCTAGGCAGTAACTGGGGCTAAAGCTCTGGGGAGGCACTTGGCTGTGCTTGCTGAAGTATTTCCATAGTTGGACTGTCTCTGGCAAATAAGTGAATTTCATTTAAAGCTCGTCAAAGCTGTGTGAATCTTGGCAGAACCCCATAGAAACCATAGCATAAAATTTCTTTTAAAACAACTATATTATTAAATGAAGAATTTGGGGTAAAGCATATTGCTTTAATGGTCTTAATACTATTTAAAAAGATCCTTCCACATTAATATTCAAAATGTTTTCTAGTAGTGGTGGAAATCCTCTGCGTCTACCAGTTCAAAGGTAGGCTTTCCCAGTCTTTTGGGATCTAGCAAGGATCAGTTTAGTCTTACCTGCATGCAACTGTTCCTGCAAGAATGTAGATTTGAAGTTTTTAATAAAGTTGACCAGTTCATGTATTTCTGATGAATTAAATAGAGGAGAATGGCATTTGAGTAATCAGAAAATACTACCTTAAAATAATAAAAATTATTTAGAAAGTGATGGCATTATAATGTTTTCAAAGCGTAATGATGTTAACTAAATTATCCATTACTGACTAGTACTTTTTTTTTATACCTATCCCCAGGGAAGGAAGAATATGCAAGATGGTGCAAGTGATGGTGAAATGCCAAAATTTGATGGTGCTGGTTATGATAAGGATCTGGTGGAAGCCCTTGAAAGAGACATTGTATCCAGGAATCCTAGCATTCATTGGTTAGAGTCTTTCAAATTATTGAATTAAAGTAGAGGAGAACACAAATTATAGGTTGTCTTGGTGTGTGAGTTTTCTCTTGTTATTCATTAATCTGATTATGACCACATCTATAATATGAAAGTATAGAATTGACGAGACAGTTCTGTCGAATGTAACCAAGGACATTTTACATGTTAATTTGAAGTTGATGTGTAACTGACAAGTTGTTAATTCAATGACATGTCCTCATTAATAACTAATGTTTTCACTGATCTTTTTATGCAGTAAGAATTAGAATAATGTTCTTACTATGAGAATAATTTCATAAGTAAAAAAAAATTAAAAGAATTAGTTTTGACCATAAATCAAAGATCCCTGAGTAAACATTATGAAAGTTTGCTGTTCTTTCAAAGGGATGACATAGCAGATCTGGAAGAAGCTAAGAAGTTGCTAAGGGAAGCTGTTGTTCTTCCAATGTGGATGCCTGACTTTTTCAAAGGGATTAGAAGGCCATGGAAGGTGAGAATTTATTAAATTGGTTTTGATATAAGAATGCTACTTGGCACTGGAATGAAAGGCAGCATTGCTGTAGTTTTTGATGTATTTAACCCATTTTGAAAAGGTTGGGAGAAGTTTATGTACACCCAAAACACCTGGATTTGAATTTGTAGTTGTGATGTGTTACATCTGCATAGCAGGAGAGATGGGCTTGGAGTGTTGAAACTATATAGTCTTTAGGTCACTTCACTCAGGGATGCTGAGCTAGAGATTAGTTTTAAGAATTTTCTGGATGTATGGTTCTATAAATAAAAAGTTAAGCAGATTAAGCAGAAATAATATATGGTCTTATAGAAGAAAGGTGTGATCAAACAGTTTTCAAAAGTTGGAATATTTCTCACTGATGGTTAATTATTTTGTTTTACTTGTCACTGACTTGAAAACAAATGTTTTTTCTAAAAAGAGGTCTTTAGCTGTGTTTTAAAAAACTACTTCTTGGCTGGGTACCGTGGCTTACACCTGTAATCCCAGCACTTTGGGAGGCTGAGGAGGGTGGATCACGAGGCCAGGAGATCGAGACCATCCTGCCCAACATGGTGAAACCTCATCTTTACGAAAAATACAAAAATTAGCTGGGCGTGGTGGTGCATGCCTGTAATCCCAGCTACTCGGGAGGCTGAGGCAGGAGAATTGCTTGAACCCGCGAGTTGGAGTTTGCAATGAGCCAAGATCGCGCAACTGCACTCCAGCCTGGCAACAGAGTGAGACTCCATCTCAAAAAAAAAAAAAAAAAAATCACTTCTGTATCATTACAAAATATCTGACTTTATCAATTTATTTTGTCCTTGCTGTGCTTTTGTAGTATTTATTGGCAAACTGGATTAAGAAAATAAAGATATATTTCTAAAGAATCTTTTTCCTGACCAAATAATTTTTTTCTGCAACAGTAGAATAAAATTCTTGAATAGAACTATTACGTTTTTTTAAAAGGTTATGTCTGAATTTTTTAGGGATTTGTGAGAATAGATTATTTACTGAAATGGGACAATAAATGTATTTTATTTATTTTTTGAGACTGAGTCTCACTCTGTTGCCCAGGCTGGTGTGCAGTGGCATGATCTTGGCTCACTGCAACCTCTGCCTCCTGGGTTCAAGCAATTCTTGTGCCTCAGCCTCCTGAGTAGCTGCAATTACAGATGCGTGCCACCATGCCCAGCTAATTTTTGTATTTTTGGTAGAGGCTGGGTTTTGCCATGTTGGCCAGGTTGGTCTTGAACTCCTGGCCTCAAGTGAACCTCCCACCTTGGTCTCCCGAAGTGCTGGGATTACAAGCATAAACCACTGTTTCAGGCCTGATAAATGTATTTTAAAGAATACATGAAAATAAGGAGACCTCAGAAATTTTTCAAGCTTCTAAAATTGGTCTCAAAATGTAAATTCCAGAATTTCAGAACTGGAATGAGTCTTTGAGATCATCTCAAATCCCCACTATTTGGCATACTAGAAAATTGAAGTCCAAATAGGTTGTGACAACCATAATAGACCTTTAGAAAATTTAAAATTCAATGTGTGTCAGCTTCTTAGGTTTATATGTGCCTTTCTGCGGCACACTTTCTCCTGCATTGTGTGATACCATTCCTTTATCCGTCAAGCACTTATTTAGCCCTGTTATAAACAGGGTTCCTTGTTTTTCAAGACATAGTCCCTGAGCTATGAGACATCCTAAATGGAGAGTTGGGCAGTTACATATAGCTTTCAGTGTTAGGCACTAGCAGAGCCTAATGGGTGGTACAGTCCACATGTGCTTGGAAAGCTCAGCAAAGCACAAAAATGACATGATTAAAGAAGGCTTTATGCTTGAGGACGTGGGATTCAAGCTACAATTTGTAGGGTTGTGAGGATTTCGCTATGTTGGAGGAGACATTTTGGAGATGTAGGAACTTAGAGGGGGATGAATGATGTGGGCAGTGGAATATAGTGAGAAAGTGTAAGTGTTTTTGGGAAATAGATGCATTGAAGTTTTGTAAGGAAGGCAGCATAGAATATTGGTAAGGGGTACAGATCCTGGATCCAGACTGGGTACATGTGAATTCAAGCCCTTTCCACTTATTCTGTGATCTTGAGCAAGTTATGAAACATCTCCATGACTCAGTTTCCTTATCTATAAAATGGGAATAATAATGGTTATCTCATAGGATATAGTGAGGTTAAAATGAATTAATGAGGCCTTAGAACTATGTAAATGTTGAAAATATAAATTAGTGGAAGATTCAAATGGGAAGGTAGGTTGAGGCCAGATTGTATTTCCCAGGAGTTCGATTCTTTTTCTGTAGGTGTTTGGGAGACCTCTTTGAGCAGGTAGGTAGCATAGTTAAATTAGTGAGTTGGGAAAAACAACCTGGTTGCAATGAGCACAGAAAGACGGGAGGCAAAGAGCACGTTCAGAAGTGATTGGCAGTAGTTTAGGCTTAAAATTCAAAGAGCCTGAATTGGGATGGTGATTATGAATTAGGAATGGAAGGACAGATGCTAGTGATATTTAATGAAGGAAGTTGGTAACCTTTTGGATGTAATATATGTGTCAAGAAGGCAGGGGCAAAGATAATTGGCTTTTGCCTATGGCAAAATAGTGATGATAACATAAATGTGGAGCTCAGGAAGGGAGAAAGACACTGGTTTATTGTTCTTGATGTTGAAAGTTCAGTAGGAGCAGGGGGTGCTTCTGGGGAAAGAGATAAGGAATTATTTTTGAGTTTTAAATTTTGGTATAATATTAATGTGGAAATGCACCAAGTTAGAAATACAGGGCTGAAGCTTGTGAGAGAGGTAAAAGATGAACATATTAAGTGCCTTTTCAAAAATACGTTATCTCTGGGATGAACTTTTCTCTAACAGAATAATATTGAGGTCCTTCTTTACAAGTTTTAAGATCAGATTATATGATTTTTATAAAGGCAACATTTAAAATTGTACTTAGAAAATAAGGAGATGCCCAAGAAATAGACTACTGTATTTTCAGTGCTGAAGTATATAAACATATGCTTGAATCACTCTTACATTGAGACTCTGTTCATCTATCCATTTATCATCCAGCCTATCTTAGCACTTCTCAGACTGCACCATAATTTATCCATATTTTCTAATAGATTAAAAGTCTCTTGAGGATTTATATGTGATTCCTGACAGATTCGACTTTTTTTCCTCAGGGCCTAGTACTTAGTAAGCATTGGATAAATTTACACTGGGTAAATACATATTTATTGAGTATTTACCTTGTGTCACATGATAGGCTAAGTGCAGAGGATACCAAAATGAGTGAATAATAGCCCCCAAGAAGCTCATGGTCTTTGGGTGATTAAGCATGTATTTAATGGAGGCCATGTGGTAAGTGCAGTATTTGTTGAGGACAGTGTGACTAGTGTCTGATAGAGTAATGAACACACTGCTATGGCAGAAGAGAGGAAGAGGGACTTAGTCTGCTGTGGAGAATAATATCAGGGATGGCCTCCCAGAGCAGGTGACCCTGAGCTGAGACTTGAAAGATGAATAGAAGTTAAACAGGCAGATGTGATGAAGAAAGGCTCTAAGGCAGAGTGGATATCAGGTACAAACACATGAAAAGTGTAAGAGAACATAGTATATGTGAGGAATCTTGTGTAGTTCAGTGTGGCTGGAAGTATAGAGTGTTTATATGGGACATAGTAACAAAAGACACTGCTGGAATGGTTGGTGTGACCTACTTCTCACAAAGAGCCCTGCATGCCATGCTAAAGATGTCAGTGAGCCATTGAAGAGTTTTTAGTAGAAGGGTGATTTGCAAGTGTAGGAAGATCTCTTTTCTGTAGCAGTATGGAGGACAGGTTGGGGATGGACATAGATGGATATGAAAAAGTAATCTGATCAGGAGGTTGTTGAAATAATCTAGCCAAACAATGAGGACAAATGCCTGCAGAAAGTCATGGGCTTTTTGGTTAGTGAAAAATGAATGGATTTGTGAGAGATGTTTAGAAGGTATCAGTGACTGATTGTTTACAGGGATGCGGGAGAGAGACAAGTTGTATGACTCCCAGATTCCAGGCTTGAATTGAATGACTTCTGACATCACCTACCCAGAGTAGGGCCAAACTTCACAGGTTGAGAGCACAGTTTTCCACAAGACTGCCCTCACTTCAGACACTAGCTACAAACTTGGGGGTCCCCAGGTCACTCTTATGACCAGCTGGCTACAAATTCAGGAGTTCCCACTACCCTCTTAGGTTTGATAATTCTCTAGAATGACTCACAGAACTTAGGGAAGCCTTACAGTCGAGCCCAGGACGACATAGGCATGAACATCGTGGGTCCCCTTACACATGGCTTTTCTTCTGCCTCTGCTGCCCCAGAGACAACAAGACAGCCCCTCCTTTTCCTTCTCCTCCTTAGCCTATCCAAGGTGAAGACCTTTAAGGTGATACACTTCCATTTAATGAATAATAAATATATTTTCTCATAATTTTCTTAATAATGTTTTCTTTTTTCTAGCTTTATTGTAAGAATACCATATACAATACATATACAAAATATGTGTTTACAATTTTTGTTATCAGCAAGTCTTCAAATCAATAATAGGCTATTCAATGATTTTTTTTTTTTGGGAATCAAACGTTATATGCAGATTTTTGACAGTGTGGGGGATTGGTGCCCCAACCCCTGAGTTATTCAGGGAGCAGCTGTACTTACGATGACAGTGTTATTATAGCCAAAGGATGTAAATCAGAATCAGCCAAAAGGAGAAACTTACAGGGCGAGATCTAGAAGGATGCTGAAGGTGACGCTTCTTTCGCCCTCTCTTCCTGGAGTCAGGATGCTTTGCTCTCCTGGATGTGTGACAATATGGAGATTGTTGCATCACATGGACATGTGATAGTACTGTTATAGTTTGGATATAGTTTGGATATTTGTCCCACCAAATCTCATGTTGAAATTTGATTCTTGATGTGGTAGTGTTGGGAGGTGGTGCCTGATGGGAGGAGTTTGGGCCATGGGGGCAGATCCCTCATGAATGGCATGGTGCCAGCCTCATGGTAATGAGCAAGTTCTTACTCTGTTCATTCTCATGAGAACTGGCTGTTTCCCCTTTCTCTTGTTTCTGTTCTTGCCATGTGAGTTCTGCATGCTGCTGGCTCCTTTTCACCTTACTCTGTAAGTGGAAGCAGCATGAGGCCATCACTAGAAGCTGAATGGGTGCAGGCACCATGCTTCCCGTACAGCCTGCAGAACTGTGAGCCAAATAAACCTTTTTTTCTTTAAAATTACCCAGCCTCAGGTATTTCTTTGTAGCAACACAAATGGACTGAGAGAAATACACAGAATATTGCCAGTTAAGGAAGCTCACGTGATCAATTGAATGATTGCCCATGGTTCTTAATCTCTTGTTCTCTTCCTCTTCCCAGAGGTTGAGTTGATACCACATGGCTCAAAGCCCCAGCTCTCTAATCACATGGTTGGTTTTCCTGGCATGGTCATCCCCCATCCTGAGTAGTCTTGTTGGCATAAACTATATAGGGGGCCACCATGAGTCACCTCATTAGCATAAAATTTCAGGGCCTATTGTGATAACAACAATAATCCTGTCGCTAGGGTAATTCCAAGGATTTAGAGGCTATTTTCCAGGGACTGGAGACAAAGGCCAGCTAAATTCTTTATTATACAGGGTACAGGGAACTGATATTGGAAATAGAGAAAGGAGCAGGCTTAAATAGAAACAAAATGTGTTTCAGTAAATACTCAGCAGCTAATTCAAAATAGAGGCCTGGAGCTTCAGATAGAGTGTGAGTGTAAAATTGTGAGATATAAAGGGTGGTTGATGATCTGGGTATGGATGAGTTTGTTCAGGAGTTTTGTAAAGGGAAAGGTTTAGAATTGCTTTGGGAATATAAAGGGCAGAGGAAAGAGGAGATCTGAGGCAGTGAACATAGCCAGAGAGCAGAAGTGTCAGGAAAAGAGCAGTGTCAGGGTTTCAAGAAGAGGGGAATGAATACCATGTATCAGCAGCATCAAAGGTCAGAGAGAAGTGAAGGAGGTGCAACTGAAGAGTGACCATTAGGTTAGTAAATGAAGTATTTTTAGTGAATTGGTGAAGACTAAAGTCATGTGGTAGCTTATGAGGAAGAAATAGCATAAACCATTGAAGGTTGGCTGTGAGAGGAAGGAGAGGTGAATAGTAGCTAGAGGATTTGTAGAGTCAAGTGAAGGAATTTTTTTGTCTCAATTTTATCTGTTTTTTAAACATTTTTTGTGTTTTTGAATTGATACATAACAGATGTACATACTTTTGGGGCTCGTGATAATTTAATACATTCACATAATTTGTAAAGATCCAATCAGTATAAATGGGATATCCACCACCTTTAACATTTGTCTTCATGCTAAGAACATTCAAATTATTCTCTTCTAGTTATTTTGAAATATACAAGAGACTATTGTAAACTATGGTCACCCTACTGATCTATCAAGCTGTGCTCATTAATCAGCCTCTCTTAATTCTCCCTTGACCCCTACCCTTCCCAGCCTCTGGTAACCACCAGTCTATTCTGTCTTCATGAGATCCTTTCTTAGCTCCCACAAATGAATGAAAACATGTGATATGTGTCTTTTTGTGCTTGGTGTATTTCATTTGACATAACGACCTCCACCTCCATCCATGTTGCTATAAATGACACGATTTTATTCTTTTTATGGCTGAATAGTATTCCGTTTTGTATATATACCACATTTTCTTTTTCCATTCATCCATTGTTGGGCACTTAGGTTGATTTTGTATTTTGGCTGTTGTGAATAGTGCTGTGATAAACACAGGAGTGCAAATAATTCTTCGACATATCGATTTCTTTTTTTTTTTTTGTATATATTCCCGGTAGTGGAATTGCTGGATCATATGGTAGATCTGCTTTTAGTTTTTTGAGGAACCTCCACACAGTTTTCCACAGTGGCTCCCACCAACAGTATAGGAGCATTCCCCTTTTTCCATACCTGACCATCATCTATTATTAGCTATCTTTTTGATGAAAGCCATTTTAATTGGAGCGAGATGATCTCATTTTGGTTTTAACTTGAATTTCTCTAATGATTAGTGATGTTGAGCATTTTTTCATGTATCTATTGGACATTTGTATGTCTTCTTTTGAGAAATGTCTATTTTGACCTTTTGCCCATTTTAAAATTGGATTATTTGTCTTTTTGCTATTGAGTTGCTTGAGCTGCTTATGTGTTCTGGTTACTAATCCCTTGTCAGATGGATATTTTGCATATATTTTCTCCCATTGTGGGGGTGTCTCTTTGTTGTTTCCTTTGCTGTGCAGAAGCTTTTTAGTTTGATATAATCTATTTATCTGTTTTTGCTTTGGTTGCCTGTGCTTTTGAGGTCTTACACAAAAAAAATCTGCCTGGACTGATGTCCTGTAGCATTTCCCCAGTGTTTTCTTCTAGCAGTTTCATAGTTTGAGGTTTTTAACCTATTTTGATTTTATTTTTGTATATGGTCTTTAATCCATTTTGATGTTTGTAAATGGTGAGAGATCAGCATCTAGTTTCATTCTTCTGCATATGGCTATCCAGTTTTTCCAGCAACATTTATTGAAGAGACTGTTCTTTCCTTAAGGGATTTTTGTAATGTGGCAGATTAAAGTATATTTGTATACCGAGGGGAAAGAGCCAGTAGACAAAGAGATACAGGAAAGAGAGAAATTAATTAAAGGAGTAATGTCATGAGGAGGTGAAGTTTATAAATATCGTACAGTAGCTATAAACAGCTGCTAATGTTAGAAATTAACTCCTATAGGAGGTGGCCACATTAATGGCATTACAGGATGGCCCTCTCAGAGAGCATGGAAAAAGGCATCGGAGAAATAAGAACTTTGCTCTGGTTATGCCTATAGCATCAATTGGTCGTTTTCATGGTTTTTAAAATCTCAACCTCATGCAAAGTTGAGGGCTCCCTAACAAAGCAAAAAAATATTTTTGTAAAACTAGTGTTTCAAATTTTAGTGATTCCTGGTTGATCTGTGTTAAAATTCTATAGCTAGAAAAGCATTTGGACAGTTTCTGAATTTGGAGTTTATGAAACTTTGACATACACATAGTTTTCAAAGCCTAAATCCCCAGAAGCTTGTCAAACCAAAGTAGCAATTGGATCAGAATTCCTCTTAAGGAATCACCAGGTATTATGCAAAAAATTTAGTGTGAGCTATGTATTTAAACTCTATTAAAAATTCTGGAAGAAAATAATTATTTAAGAACCCATTAGTTTTTAAGACTAGAGAGTTGGATTCTTTGAATAATTTTTATTCTTCACTGATTTCTTTTTATAGAATACTTTTATGTTTGTTTTCAAAACTAAGAAGTAACTGAAGTTTAGTTTTTATTCTGTACTGGTTCTTTCATCACTATTACTATTTTATATAAGCTAACGCATTAAAATGATACAAATCTTGCTAATTTGATTATGTTTGAATTACCACTGGATTTTTTACTGTTAACCTTATTAACTCATAAATGGGTCTTTATTTTTTACTGAAAGCTGTGTATTATAAATGCACTGTGGAAGATAGGTTCTGTCCCTTATAGAGGGTAAAGAATGTGTAATTCTGCCACATGTGATAGAAAATGTCTTATTTTTATTATGTGTAAACAGAACAGTTGCTTTTAAGCAGTGCTGAATATTATATGTATATGTCATATGCTAGGTTCAGGAAACTGAGATTATATCTAAATATATGAGAAACTTGTTTGTTGTCTAGTCTTTTTGTTAGGTTATCTCTGACTACCTCTGGCTTGAGACATTTTGTGAAATTTCTTCATTTTTTCTAGCTATAAAATAATACTCTTACTAAATGCATCATGATTTTACTGTGACAATTTTGAGTTTATCTTTTGATGGAAAAATCTCAATGTACATTAATAGCTGATGATAATTTATAAAAAAATTTTTTAATCTGATAAATCATTTAATTTGTCTTTTGAAATTTCAGGGTGTACTGATGGTTGGACCCCCAGGCACTGGTAAAACTATGCTAGCTAAAGCTGTTGCCACTGAATGTGGTACAACATTCTTCAACGTTTCGTCTTCTACACTGACATCTAAATACAGAGGTGAATCTGAGAAGTTAGTTCGTCTGTTGTTTGAGATGGTGAGTGACGATATATTCAGATTTCAAAGTAGTGTGTGTAGGCCTATGATGCCCCCATAAATCAGTTCTGTCCACCTGGAATCTTTTTTGAAAAGGGCAGTGTAGTTCTATTTTAATAGTTCTTGACACACTGATGAGAATTGGGGTGATGGGTTTTGTGGGGTAGTTGGTGTATCTTCAGTGTATCTTTTTCTTTAAGGTAAAGCAAGGCCTTTTGGCATCCTGTCCACTCAGGGTGGAAGAAGAGACTTTGGTCGTATATGTGGGTTGACTGGTATTTCTGGATCTCTAGGGAGCTGATGGAACAGAAGAATATTTTCATATGTATTTTAAAAATCAGAGTCTGACCCGTCATTAAAGTTTATTCCTTTTTCATATGGGATTTGCAGTAACTTAAGAATGTATATTTGAGGATTGAGGTTGATTTATTTTTGAAAAATTTTTCCATTATGGAAATTTCCAGATATGAAAGTAGAAAGCATAGTACAATGAACCCCTATGTATCTATCACCCAGCTTCACCAGCCATATAACCTTTATTTTTAGAAATTTCTTTTTTCTCATGGGAATGATTGATTTAGCCTTTGCCATAACCAGATGATGGCATTAAAACAGTGAGAAGTTTCTGCTCTCTTTTGCCATTGTTTTAAAAGATTTTTTTAAATACTCCAATTGTTTTATGAGATTATTGAATGATTTCTTTAAAATATTTTCATAAAGGCTAGATTTTATGCCCCTACCACGATCTTCATTGATGAGATAGATTCTATCTGCAGTCGAAGAGGAACCTCTGATGAACATGAGGCAAGTCGCAGGGTCAAGTCTGAACTGCTCATTCAGATGGATGGTAATTGATATTTAATTATTGTTTCAAAACTCTCATTTTTAAATATTTTGTGTAAACTCATAATCAATGGATGGATTAGAAGGCAGCCTGAGTTTAATTATTTGTTCATTCACCCATTTATTTGTTCATTTGTTCATGCACTCAGAAAGCATTTCTTGCATACTTGTTAGAGATCATGCACCATTTCAGATTCTGAGGTTACAAAGAAAAAGGCTACTATGGCCTTCAAGGAGCTTACTGTTTGGAGCAAAGTTTCTGGAGGCATGATCTAGAGTCCTAGGGATCTTTGAGACCCTTTAAAGAATCTGCAAGGTCAAAACTATTTTCATAGGAATATCAAGTCATTGTTTGCCTTTTCTTTTTCACTCTCATTCTCTCACAAGTGTACAGTAGAGTTTTCGAGAGGCTGTAAGACGTAGGGTATCATAAAAAGAAAGCAGAAGCAGATATGAGAATCCAGCTTTTCTCTAGATAGACATTAAAGAGATTTGCAAAAATGTTAAAAAAAAAAAAAAAAAAGCCCCTCTTCTTTTTTTTAATATTTTGGAAAACATACTTTTCATAAACATATGTAAATAAGTAATGAATTTATCATTATTTTTAAGTGAATTAATATTTTTAAATTTCAATTTTAGGTTTTTTCCATACAATTTACCCATGCACCATCTATTTTAAGTTTTAAAGATATTGATAGATACACTCCACACACAAAAAAGCTCTTTGGGGTTCTCAATAATTTTTTTTGTTTAAGGTTCAGAGTCTTGCTGTGTTGTCCAGGCTGGAGTACAGTGGTGTGAACACAGCTCACTGCAGCCTTGACCTCCTGGGCTCAAGCAATCCTCCTGCCTCAGCCTCCTAAGTAGCTGGGACCACAGGCACATGCCACCACATCTGGCTAAGTTTTATTTTTTGTAAAGACAGGGTCTCTCCATGTTTCCCAGGCTGTAGTTGAACTCTTGAGCTGAGATGATCCTCTGGACTCAGCCTCTCAAAGTGCTAGGATTATAGACATGAGCCACTGCACCCAGCCTCAGTAATTTTTAAGAGTATAAAAGGGTCCTGAGATCAAAAAGTTTGAGAACCACTGATCTGGATGGGAAGCAGGCAACTGATCAGATGAGTATAATACATTATGGTACATTCTGGCGTAGAAGTAAAGTCTGGGTGCAGTGGAAAACACAGGAGAGGCACCACCAAGACCAGGGGAGTCATGGAAAGAGATAGCCAAGTTGGACTTTGAAGCATTGATAGGAGTTATCAGGACAGAGAAAAAGGGCCCTGAGGAGCCATAGAAGGAAAAGGGTTATGGGCTCAGAGCTGCTGTTTAGAGATAAGTTAGCTGTGTGGTAGACAAGAGGCCGTTCAAGCAAAACATTAGAACAGATAAAATACATTAAAAAATATCCAGGGTGAGGGACTGAGTGCAATGGCTCATGCCTGTAGTCCCAGCACTTTGGGAGGCTGAGGTAGGAGGATCACTTGAGGCCAGGAGTTCAAAACCAGCCTGGTTAACATAGCAAGACTTTAACGTAGCAAAAACTTTAAAAAGTAGCTGGATGTGGTGGCATGTGCCTGTAGTCCCAGCTACTCAGGAGGCTGAGGTGGGAGGATAGCTTGAGCGCAGGAGTTTGAGGCCACAGCGAGCTGTAATTGTGCCATGGCACTCCAGCCTGGGCAACAGGGCAAGAACCTGTCTCATAACAACAACAACAACAAAACACCAACAATATCCAAGTTGTGTTGTTTCAAAACAGTCACGGTTATTCATCAACTGTGGATACTTACTGAATACTTACAATGTACTATGAGACCCTTCCCTCAGTGAGTTTACCATGTTAACTTTTGCTAAAGTATGAGAGAAAGGAATGAGTATGTTTTATTTTTGAAGTGGGGTATAGGAGAAAACATTAGGTGTTTAAAATTGGAAAAGGAAATCACTGAATACAAATTTAGTCAGCTGAATTTCATTGAGGGATATTTGTGACTATTGTTGATTATTAGTTGGACAGCTTGATTCTTTGTCATAATGACCGAAGTAGGAGTTTCATAATAAGAAAATATTATATGTTTCAGTGAGCTGAGATCATGCCAGAGCACTCCAGCCTGAACAACAGAACCAGACCTTGTTTTTTTAAAAAATACTGTATTGAACTAGGTTGCTTTAAGTCCACTAGCACTTTATTATGCTAGACTAGAAAGTCTTATCAATAAAGTTTATGGGGTTTTTTTATCTTTTATTTCTCACTACATATTTTCTAAAGTTTCTGTTGTGTGACCTGAAATTTTTTATTCTAAAATTTTAATTCTGAAAAGGAGACACTGTGTATATACATGTAGTTGGTTTGGTTATTTTTATCTGTGATTACTGGGTTCATTCTTAAATGTCTTATTTATTTTTTACAGGTCACTTAAAAGTTTAAAGGACAACATCATGGAAATATAACCTGTCTTTCAAAATTATAATTGCATGCTAGAATATTAAGTAAATGTGAACCCTCTGTTTTCACTTCTTGAGAAAATAGATTAAAAACTAAAATAAAATTTTTGCGGAACTTTATGATTTAAAAGAAATAAGAGGAATAAAACAGAGCCTAATCTCCCATACCTTTTCTTTTAGGAGGAAAATACATTCATTTTCTTACAGAAAAATGGATGTTTTTATTGGATTAAAATCCTGCACTAGGTTGCACAAGAAAAAAAAAAGAAAGAAAAAAAAAATCCCACACTAGGTTATGTGAATTCTTCTACTTCTTTGTTTTGTAGTTATCTGTTAGTGTGTCTGGTTTTGCCACCACACAGAGGTCAGGACTGCACTTTCTTTATCGTTGATTCTGCCACTTTGGCTAAAAGAAATGTTAATTGAATGAAAGAATAAAGAGTTGTAAGAAAAACACTATCTTTTCCTCCCTTACTGTGTATAGGAGTTGGAGGAGCTTTAGAAAATGATGATCCTTCCAAAATGGTTATGGTATTGGCTGCTACTAATTTCCCGTGGGACATTGATGAAGCTTTGCGAAGAAGGTTAGAAAAAAGGATATATATACCTCTCCCAACAGGTATGATGTCTTCTCTATTTTGAGCTTTCTGTTACTTTTTGTTACCTTTCCCATGTATCTAAATCTTTATTCCATTGCCATTCTGCTTAAAGAAGTTTATAGCATCACAAAATTAATTTGTAGTAGATGTGAACACAGGCCACAGTACTCTATTGAAATTTCTTATGTTTCAGAGAAATTCTTAAGTTTGGAACAATATTCATCTTAATAAATATGGTAGCACTTTTAAGTTTTCACTTTTCAACTTGAAGTTTTTTTGGATCTTTTTCAGAATATGCTGTTTTGGAGAGAGAGAGAGTGTGTGTGTGTGTGTACACATATTTATTTATTTATTTTGTGACACAGTCTTATTCTGTTGCCCAGGCTGGAGTGCAGAGGCATGATCTCAGGTCACTGCAACCTCCACCTCCTAAGTTCAAGTGATTCTTGTGCCTTAGCCTTCCAAATAGCTGGGATTACAGGTGTGTACCACCACACCCAGCTAATTTTGGTGTTTTTAGTAGAGACAGGGTTTTGCCATGTTGTCTAGGCTGGTCTTGAACTCCTGGCTTCAAGTGATTTCCCGCCTCGGCCTCATAAAGTGCTGGGATTACCGGTGTGAACCACCACGCCCAGCCTGGAAAATATAGTTTCATCCTGTTAATAAATGCTGAAATATCCATGAATGAATGTTTTCTTTTTATTTTGAGGTAAAATTTACATACAATGAAATGTACTTAAGTATATAATTTGATGAGTACAAATCTGTACACCTGTTTAATCAATACCCTAATCAAGATGTAGGGCATTTCTATCATCCTGTAAAGTTCTGTGTGCCCCTACCAGCTAATCCTCCAATAGGCATTCACTGTACGTGATTTTTATCACCATAGATTAGTTCTTTCTCTTGTTAAACTTCATATAAATGGAATCGTGACTGCATGTACTCACTGTGTCTGGCTACTTTCACTTGAGGTTCATCCATGTGATCACATGTATCAGCAGCTTATTCCTGGTATGATTATACCACAATTTGTTTATTCTCCTTTTGATTGGTATTTAAGTTATTCCTAGTTTTTTGGCTATTATGAATAAAGCTGTAAACTTTCTGGTACGTATCTTTTTTATGGATGAATGTTTTCAATTCTTTTGGATAATATAAGAAAAGAAAAGATGGGTCATAGGGTAGGCATATGTTTAGCTTTTATAGGAAATACCCAAACTGTTTTTCAGAATGGTCATACCATTTTGTATTCCATCATCAATAAATGAGAATTCAAATACTTCCATATCCTTGCCAACATGTGGTGTTGTCACTATTTTAATTTCAGTCATTCTAGTAAGTATGAAATGCTGTCTCATGATTTTAATTGGTATTTCTCTGATGACTTACGTTGAGTACCTTTTTATGTGCTTTTTATGGTCATGGTATACTTTTTGTATAGTGTCATTTCTTTTTCCCAGTTTTTAATTGGATTATTTGTTGTTTTATTAATGCTTTTTATGTTATTAGATCTGTGCATTGTGCATATTTTCTTCCAGTTTGTAGTTTGCCTTTTGATTTTCTTTATGGTATCTCTTAATAAGCAGACATTTTAAATTTTGATGAAGTCCTGTTGACAATTTTTTTTAATGAATAGTACTTTTTGTGTCTTAAGAAATCTTGTCTATCCCAAAGCTGCAAAGTTTTTCTCCTGTTTTCTTTTGGAAACTGTATTTATATCTGTGATTCCTCTTGAATGAATTTGTGTGTGTGTGTGTGTGTGTGTGTGTGTGTGTGTGTGTAGATGAGTCATTTTTTTCATATGTATATGCAGTTGTATCATCACTTACTGAAAGGAGTTTTCTTTTTTCATTGAATTACTTCGGCACCTTCATTGAAAATTATTTTGTTGTGTATGTGTGGGTCTATTTCTGAATACTATTCTGTTCCATTGTATTTTAAATACACACACATATGGTTATCTAAGTTATTTGTTTTTTTCTTGAGCAAGCTTTGGTAACTTGTGCCTTTCAAATAATTTGTCTATTTTTTTTATAAGTTGTCAGATTTGTTTGGATTTGACCTAATGTGAATGTGGAAGCTGATTAAATAGTTATGGGAGATTGTGGAAGCTGATTATATAGTTCATGTCTGGTTCTGGAACTTGAAGTCAGTAAGGAGGGCACTTAGGAAGAGATGATGAATGTGAAGTGGTAGAAGTAAGGACAAACTCTACCTGTGGGGGTGGAATCCATGAGGATACATTGGAATCTATGTTGAACTCTTTTTTTCCACTGAGACTCCTAACCTTGATGAATGGACTTTCCTACAGAAGAAGCTAGCTAAATGTATACCTGGCTCAAAAGTCAAAAAAGGTGAAGGAAGAAATGTGGCAGAAACTACCAAGAGCTGAAGGTGGAAGTGCTGCCCCACACTAATAAGGAGAACCAAGAAATAAGTGACAGTATGTGCCAGCTTTCTGAGATGATTAATTTTTGCCTTTCACATCTCAGACATGACTCATGTGGTCCACACTAACCCAGAGCTATGCAATAAAGAGAATTCTGGGAAATGAAATTCCAGCTTCACTTAAGTTGGCATAATACAAATCTACACACCTTATTTTCCTTTTATTGGCCATAGGATCTGTAGTGATGGCTCATTTTTCATTCCTAATATTAGTAATTTATCTCTATTCTTCATCATTTTTGGTTGAAATTTATCAATATTGTTAATCTTTTCAAATAACCAAATTTTTGCTTTGTTAATTTTCTACTTTCTATTTCAATGATTTCTTCTCTGTTAAAAAAATTTTTTTTTTGCTTTACACTTTGAGTATAATTTTTTCTATCTGAAGTTAGAAACTAAGGTTATTGGTTTTAGGAACCACCCTTCCCCACTTTTTTTTTTTTTTAAGAGACAGAGTCTTGCTCTGTTACCCAGGCTGGAGTTCAGTGGCATGATCTTAGCTCACTGCAGCCTCAAACTTTTGGGATCAACAGATCCTCCCACCTCAGCCTCTTGAGTAGGGACTACAAACACATGTCACTGTGCCTGGCTAATTTTTTTATTTTTATTTTTTGTAGAGACAGAGGCTTGCCGTGTTTCCCAGGCTGGTCTCAAACTCCTGGCCTCAAGCAATCCTCCCAGTAGCACTGGGATTACAGATGTGAGCTACTGCACCTGGCCTTTTTTTCTTTTTTAAATTTGCACATTTTAAAGCTATAAATTTCTCATTAAGTACTGCTTTGCTTTTATCTCACAAATTTTGCTATATCATATTTTTTCTACTATTAAGTTAGAACTGTTTTCTAATTTTCCTTTTTTATCCCCTTTCTTTGGTCCTTTAGTTATTTAGCATTTAAATTGGTTTGGGAGCCAAATAATTGGGGTGTTTTCTAGATATCTTATTGTTGATTTTTACTTTAATTCATTGCAGTTAGGAACATACTCTGTAAGATGTCAATTTTTGAACTTCTTGAGATTTGTGATTCAGCATATAGTCTGTCTTGGTGAATGCTCCAGATGCAATTGAATAGAATGTTTATTCTGAGCTTGTTATAACATTCTATAAATGTCAGCTAGATGAAGTTGGTGTGTTAGTATTATTCAAATAATAAGATCCTTGCTGATTTTTTAGTCTAGTTTTTCTGTCAGTTACTGAGAGTGGCTTATGGAAATCTTCATCTATGACTGGGAACTTGTTCATTTCTCCCTTTCGTTTTTTCAGTTTCTGCTTTATGTTTTGCTTCATGTGTTTTGATGTTCTGTTGTTAAGTAAATAAATTATCATTGTTACATCTTCTCGGTCCTATTACCATTATGCAATGCCTCTGTATCTCTGAGAATACACTTTGACTTGGTATCTGCTTTGACTGCTTTTAATTTAGCCTTACCGTCTTTCTTTTCCTATTGTTGTTGTGCTATATCTGCTTTTTATCTTTAATTTTTACCCTACCCTGTCTTTATATTTACGGTGCAGTTTTTTTTTTTTTTTTTTTTTTTTTTGAGATGGAGTCTCGCTCTGTCACCCTGGCTGGAGTGCAGTGGCAGGATCTGGGCTCACTGCAAGCTCTGCCTCCCAGGTTCACACCATTCTCCTGCCTCAGCCTCCCGAGTAGCTGGGACCACAGGCGCCTGCCACCATTCCCGGCTAATTTTTTGTATTTTTAGTAGTAGAGACGGAGTTTCACCGTGTTAGCCAGGATGGTCTCGATCTCCTGACCTTGTGATCCGCCCGCCTTGGCCTCCCGAAGTGCTGGGATTACAGGTGTGTACAGTGCAGTTTTTATAGACAGCATATAGTTGAGCCTTGCTATTTGTCCAGTCTGTATCTCTTTTTTGTTTGTTTGTTTAAGTCGGAGCCTCACTCTGTTGCCCAGGCGGGAGTGCAGTGGCGCGATCTGGGCTTACTGCAACCTCTGCCTCCCAGGTTCAAGTGATTCTGCTGCCTCAGCCTCCTGAGTAGCTGGGACTACAGGCATGTGCCACTATGCCTGGCTAATTTTTTTATATTATTAGTAGAGACGGGGTTTCGCCATGTTGTCCAGGCTGGTCTTGAACTCCTGAGCTCAGGTGATTCACCCACCTTGGCCTCCCAAAGTGCTGAGATTACGGGCATGAGCCACTGCACCTGGCTGTCTCTGCTTTTTAATAGGAGTATTTAGTCCATTTAAATTTAATGTAATTGGTGATATGACTGTGTTTAAGTCTGCCATCTTGCTATTTGTACTGTTTGTTTCTCTGTACCCCCCTTGCTAATTTCTTTTGGGCTAATTGACTGTTTTTACTATTCATTTTAATGCCATTATTGGATTTTTAGCTATACCTGACTATATTTATTTTAGCAGTTGCTCTAGCAATTACAGTATGCATCGTGCCAGCCATGTGAGAGCTACCCTTGGATGACTGTAGTTCTGGTCCATGTATTAACTGTGACTTCCTGCGAGACCTTGTATTAGTCAGAGTCCTGCAGAGAAACAGAACCAACAGGATGTGTATATATAAAGAGGTTTATTTTAGGCAGTTGGCTCACACGATTATGGGGGCTGGTAAGTCCAAAATCTGTACACTGAGCTGGCAGGTTAGAGGCCCAGGAAGAGCTGATACTGCAGTTCAGGTCCAAAGGCTATCAGGCTGGAGACCCAGGGAGAGCCAGTGTTGCAGTTGAAATCTGAAGGCCATTTGCTGAATTTCTTCTTCCCAGTGTGGGCGGTGGGGGCAGTGTCGCGGTTCAGTGTTGTGTTTTATTCAGACCTTCCATTGGTTAGATGAGGCCCACCCACATTAGGAAGGGCAATCTGCTTTACTCAAAGTCCACCAATTTAAATGTTAATCTCATTGAAAAACATGTTCACAGACACATTCAGAATAATTTTTCTTTTTCTTTTTTCTTTCTGAGATGGAGTTTCACTCTTGTTGCCCGGGCTGGAGGGCAATGGCGCAATCTTACCTCACTGCAACCTCCGCCTCCTGGGTTCAAGGGATTCTCCTGCCTCAGGCTCCCAAGTAGCTGGGATTACAGGTGTGTGCCACTGCACCTGGCTAATTTTATACTTTTAATAGAGACAGGGTTTCCTCATGTTGGTCAGGCTGGTCTTGAACTGCTGACCTCAAGTGATCCACCAGCCTCCACCTCTCAAAGTGCTGGGATTACAAACATGAGCCACTGTGCCAGTCCCAGAATAATTTTTTATCCACTGTTTGGGCACCATTGCCCAGCCAAGTTGACGTATAAAATTAACCATCACAGACCCCAAGCTGGAACTTTCTAGCTACGCCACTCTTAAATTCTTGGCACACAGAAACTTTGAGGATAATAAATAGTTATGTAAAGTCTGTAAGTTTTAGTAAAATTTTTTATTCAGAAATGGATAATCTACCACTTTATAGTTTTTGTCAGCTAATTTTAGCAATTGAATCATTTGTTTTTGTTAGCTACTTTTTAATTCTCTTCAGTGTGGGCCATATTTTTCTGCTTCTTCACATATCCAATAATTTTACTGTATGTGCTACATTGTAGGGATTACAGATTATGTATTTTCCTTTAAATAGTGATCTGGCAGGCATTCAGATTACTGGCAGAACTAAGAAAAATCAGTATTCAGTTCTTCACTGCCTGTTGGCCAATACATGCAAACAGTTTTCTTTATATTCTGTCTCATTTTGTAGTTGTTTACCATAGGGGGCAAGTTTGGTAACAGTTATTTCATCATGGCTAGAAGTGGAAACCTCACCTACAAATTTTGAAACTTAATTTTTGTAACATATTCCTTGATCACTTTTTTGACTAGACCCCAAGGCTTGTATAACATAATTACTTGATAGATTTTTTAGCTCACAGATTCCATCTTATATTATCTTTTCTGGCTGTTACTCTGTATTCTAATAATTTAATAATGTCATTACTTAAAAAGAAAACTTTTCTTTTTCTTAAAATAGTGCTTTATTTCGCTGGGTGTTGTTGCTCACGCCTGTAATCCCAGCACTCTGGGAGGCCAATGTGGGCAGATCACCTGAGGTCAGGAGTTTGAGACCAGCCTGACCGATATGAGAAACCCTGTCTCTATTAAACATACAAAAGTTAGCCAGACGTGGTAGCAGGTGCCTGTAATTCCAGCTACTCAGGCGGCTGAGGCAGGAGAATCAACTTGAACCCACGAGGTGGAGGTTGCAGTCAGCCGAGATCACACCACAGCACTCCAGCCTGGGTGACAGAGTGAGACTCCATCTCAAAAAAAAACAAAAAACAAGAAAAAGAATTTACTGATTGAGCTCATAAAATAATACGCTTATTTAAAGCAACAACAGAAGCAATTAGATTTAGAACCTATAAGCCATGCTGGAATATTGCAACTCTGAGAATTAACTCCTTAATACCTGGCTCATACACAAGTTGAAATTCGAGCGTTTTTTTCCTTATTTGTGATTTTAAAAGTTTCTTCCCATTCTTTTTCTCTTCATCCATGTTTTTGTTTGTTTGTTTTTTTGAGATGGAGTCTTGCTCTGTTGCCCAGGTTGGGGTGCAGTGGCGTGGTTTCGGCTCACTGCAATCTCCACCTCCCGCATTCAAGCAATTCTCCTGCCTCAGCCTCCCAAGTAGCCAGGATTACAGGCACACGACCCCACACCCAGCTAACTTTGGTATTTTTAGTAGAGACGGGGTTTCACCATGTTGGCCAGGCTGGTCTCCAACTCCTGACCTCAAGTGATCCACCTGCATCCACCTCCCAAAGTGTTGGGATTACAAGCATAAGCCACTGTGCCCAGCCCATGTTTTGTTTTCTAAACAAAATATGTGTATGATATCTAATATATTTGAAAGTTTAATTTTACTACCATATTACAGTGATTATAAATAAAAATTGATACCAGTGGAGGGAATAAAATTTTTGCTGCTCGAACTGTCAGTCACATTATTCAAACTTTTGTTTTTTGAACTTTAATTCTTCACTATAATAAAGGGAGAAAAACATAAGTAGAAAATAATTGATGACAGCAAGTTTCTGAACTGCTAAGGAAAGCTTAGGTATTAGGGGAAAGACATACTTTATATTGGTATAAAGGTAGGAACTCCATTTCCTTTGGAATTATAGAAGAAGAAAATAAACACGGCTAAGAGGCTTCCTTCTAAACTTGTTTTTCTTTATGAAAAGTTTGTAACAGTAATTACTTTGGGGTGCTTCTCTTTGTTTATTGTGGATCTGAAGGTGTGTACCTTATGATCATGAAACCTGGGAAATGCTTTTTCCCCAAGGGGCTCCCAAACCAATAATTATAATTAGAACTCCATTCTTTTTCTTTTATCTATATTAATTCATCAACAAGTGTTCATTTAGCTCTTTGCTATATGAAAGACATTTGTTAGGAACTGTGGGAATATAAATAATGTTCATTCCTTGTTGTTAAAGAACTGCTTTGGAAGCCAGACATATACTTACCCTAACTGCAGTAAAACAGTGGAATGCATGAGCCGAGAGCTCTGCACAGTATTTTTGGAACGGACAGGGAGGAATCCCAAATTCTGACTGGTGTACTTAAGGGAGACTTCATGGAGGAAGTTGCATTTTAACTGAATTTTCATAGAGAAAAGTAGAATCGAAGCCATGGGTGCTTGAAAATGAATAGATAGATAGGTTTTGGGGCTGGAGCCACCAGATAGGATAAAAAGGCCTGGAAGAGATTGAACAATAAATAAAATTTAAGAAGATGAGAGATCTGAAAAGAATGATTTTGGAAATCCAGGGTAAAATTAATGGAAATAAAAGTAAAATGTATTAAAATTTAAAAAAATTGGACATTTTATGAACAAAACCAACTGTGAATAAGAATTTTTATTTGAAAAAGGCAAAGATTATAAGAAACAGGATAGATGAAATCAGAAAGCCATCTAATGTAATTAGATGTAATGCCTCTTTATATAATTTCCATAAAGAAATACCCATATTTATTTAAGAATTAGAAATTGGTGGTAAGAAAAGCCAATATATCACTTACTCTTGCAGTTTAACAAACCACTCCAAAATTTAATGAGACAAAATAATTGTATTATTCTCACATTGGATGGGGCACAGTGGAGATGGTTTGTGTCTGTTCCATGATGCCTTGGGTCGTGGTTGGGGGTGACTCCACAGCTGGGGCCTGGGATCCTGTGGAATGTCTTCATTCACAAGCCTAGATCTCTGCTGGGCCATGTTACCTGTGGCCTTGGGATATTTGGATCTCATAGATGGTAGCTTAGTGCTCCAAATGTGATTGTTCCACTGGATAAGGTGGAAATGGCATCGAATTTTATGAATTACCCTTGGAGGTTATGTAATGTCCCTTCTGCTCATACTTCTGACATTCTCAGGCCCACACCAATTCAAGGGGAGGGGAATTAGACTGCCTCTGGTTTGGGGAGTGGTAGGATCACATTGTAGAAATGGGTGTGGGATGAGAGAGAACTGTTACTGCTGTCTTGGTAAATACAATTTGCTGTAGTCAACAGAAGGCAAAATAATAGGCACAAGTGAGTTCTAATGTTCTTACCTTAAGGCTCTTTTCATTTTAAGCATCTAAATTATGGCAGCAACTACCTGTTGAGCCCAATGTACTCCTTTCTCAACCTCTCTTCATTTAGTTCTGTTTTGCTTTTAGGCTGACCTCCTAAACACCAAGGTATTATAGTCCTTTCAACTCGGGGTGACTCTGACTTCCTATTACATCAGGGTCAGGTCCTTTATATATATATATATATATATATTCCTTTTACTGCAAGTTCACATCTTATGTATCCTATCTGTGTCTATTTGCATCTATCAGTATTTTATTGTATTTTTCTACTTACCTTTTTCCCCCATTCTGCTGCACGCATGCTTCTTCCTACTTCTGTGTTGTTATCTGTGGTACTCCCATTTCCCAGGTTCTCTCTTCCCTTCTCTTTAAATTTTACTGATTTTTCAAAGCCGACGTTACAGCATGTGGACATCACGCAGTCTTCTCGCCCTGGCCTGTCTCGTGTCCCCAGGTGTTTCATCTGGGTTGGTGATTTCCCAGATGTCCCTCAGGAAAAGGACACTTCTGTCTCCCCAGAGTCCTGTTTGTTGACTGACTGGTGGTGGGGGCTGTGAACATTTATTGAGTATTTACCATGGGCCAGGCTTTGCATGCATCAACTCACCTAACCGTCATGACAGCTTTATAAGGTAGATTCTGTTCTTATTTTACTTAGGAAACTTGAGGACCCAGAGGCTAAGTGAGAGCAGGCATGTGAGTCCAGAGCCCAGATAGGCAGGCCCAGAATGTAGTTGTTGTCTCCTGTACTGGACTGCCTGGTATATTCAAGAGGAGTTGTATAAGGAGTGTATGATTCCTCTAACAACATTTATTTAAATTTAGAATGTGTGTTAATTTTGTGATACAGGATTGGCAGTTTGTTACACTATGATTAACAACACATTAATCCCTTGTTAAATCTTTTCACAAGCTTATTGAATATCAATTCAGTTTTTGTTTGAGATGGAGTCTTGCTCTGTTGCCCAGGCTGGAGTGCAGTGGCGCGATCTCAGCTCACTGCAAGCTCCGCCCCCTGAGTTCACGCCATTCTCCTGCCTCCCCCTCCCGAGTAGCTGGGATTACAGTTGTCCGCCACCACGCCTGGCTAATTTTTTTTGTATTTTTAGTAGACACAGGGTTTCACCGTGTTAGCCGGGATGGTCTCGATCTCCTGACCTCATGATCCTCCCGCCTCGGCCTCCCAAAGTGCTGGGATTACAGGCGTGAGCCGCCGCGCCTGGCCATCAACTCAGTTTTATGGAGCTGGTAAATCTTAAGAATATTCTAAAAAATTACTGACATAACCAGTTTTAAGTTACTTGTTCCCCACCCCCCCGCCACCAATCATAGTTACTAGGGAAACAGAATATGCTTTCTGCTAAGCTTCAGTACCACTAGGTCCTCACTTACGAACAGGTTTATGTATGTTCATTTTAAGTTGGCTGTCTGGAACTTTGTTTCAGTGGGAGAATATATTAAACTTTGTGTTAAGGAACTTAGGCCAGGCACAGTGAAACGTTTGATTTACACATACAGTGGTATTCTAATATTGGGTCTGTAAGAATGAAAAGGGGTATTTGTTCATTGTCATTCACTGGCTCTATGTGGAACATTGTGTAATGATGCTCTTATGTTAACATCAGTTCTTACCTGGACATCAGGCGCACATCAGCCTTCTGTATCGGTAGGCACAGGAGCTTCCTCCCCTCACCCCTTTCTCTCCCTACCCCTCCTGCCACCAGCCTGACTGGAGGACTTCTTTGGCTCTAAACCACATGTCGAGCAGGTGTACTCCCTGCGAGCCTGTTGGCTGGGATCAAGGATGGGGGCTCCTGGGATTAGGGAACTGTGGAGGTAGACGTTTTCCAGTCCTGCCCTTTCTGTTTTCTGGTAATCCCAAATCACACCTGCTTGCTGCTTTTGGCACTGCTCTGCTTGGTCTCACTGTGTGTTTGTGGTGTGTGAAACATAACTCAATACAGAAACAGTTCCTAAAATGTTTAGTTTATCCAGTAGCTGGTGAAGCAGACAGCCCTGTTACCCGCTCCAGGAGAAGTGGAGCCTCCCTGGAACTCAGCAGCTCCCAGCGTGTTCCCTCCCAGCATGGTTCCTTCCTGCCCTCTGCTGGGGGTCACCACCTTTCCCTTACAGTGATTTCCTTTTATGGAGATAATGTATTGCTTTTCCATATAATTTCATCACCTAACAATGTATCCCCAAGCAAAGTTTTACCTCCTTTTAAACTTTACATAAATGAAATCATACTGATTGTGTTCATTTGTATCTTGCCTCTTTTGCTCAATGTATTTTAAGATTTATCCATGTTACCACATATATATACCACATATAAGGCTGCCACCTCACATTCATTTTTGTTACTGTGTGGTATTCTGTCATATTCGTTTGCTAGGGCTACCATAACAAATATCAAAGATTGGGTGGCTTAAACAACAGAAGTTAATTTTCTTTTTTTTAAAATTTTATTATTATTATACTTTAAGTTTTAGGGTACATGTGCACAATGGGCAGGTTAGTTACATATGTATACATGTGCCATGCTGGTGTGCTGCACCCATTAACTCGTCATTTAGCATTAGGTGTATCTTCTAATGCTATCCCTCCCCACTCCCCCCACCCCACAACAGTCCCCAGAGTGTGATGTTCCCCTTCCTGTGTCCATGTGTTCTCATTGTTCAATTCCCACCTATGAGTGAGAACATGCGGTGTTTGGTTTTTTGTTCTTGTGATAGTTTACTGAGAATGATGATTTCTAGTTTCATCCATGTCCCTACAAAGGACATGAACTCATCATTTTTTATGGCTGCATAGTATTCCATGGTGTATATGTGCCACATTTTCTTTATCCACATTATCATTGTTGGACATTTGGGTTGGTTCCAAGTCTTTGCTATTGTGAATAATGCCACAATAAACATACGTGTGCATGTGTCTTTATAGCAGCATGATTTATAGTCCTTTGGGTATATACCCACTAATGGGATGGCTGGGTCAAATGGTATTTGTAGTTGTATATCCCTGAGGAATCACCACACTGACTTCCACAATGGTTGAACTAGTTTACGGTCCCATCAACAGTGTAAAAGTGTTCCTATTTCTCCACATCCTCTCCAGCACCTGTTGTTTCCTGACTTTTTAATGATTGCCATTCTAACTGGTGTGAGATGGTATCTCATTGTGGTTTTGATTTGCATTTCTCTGATGGCCAGTGATGATGAGCATTTTTTTCATGTGTTTTTTGGCTGCATAAATGTCTTCTTTTGAGAAGTGTCTGTTCATGTCCTTCGCCCACTTTTTGATGGGGTTGTTTGTTTTTTTCTTGTAAATTTGTTTGAGTTCATTGTAGATTCTGGATATTAGCCCTTTGTCAGATGAGTAGGTTGTGAAAATTTTCTCCCATTTTGTAGGTTGCCTCTTTTCTCTGATGGTAGTTTCTTTTGCTGTGCAGAAGCTCTTTAGTTTAATTAGATCCCATTTGTCAATTTTGTCTTTTGTTGCCATTGCTTTTGGTGTTTTAGACGTGAAGTCCTTGCCCATGCCTATGTCCTGAATGGTAATGCCTAGGTTTTCTTCTAGGGTTTTTATGGTTTTAGGTCTAACGTTTAAGTCTTTAATCCATCTTGAATTAATTTTTGTATAAGGTGTAAGGAAGGGATCCAGTTTCAGCTTTCTACATATGGCTAGCAAGTTTTCCCAGCACCATTTATTAAATAGGGAATCCTTTCCCCATTGCTTGTTTTTCTGAGGTTTGTCAAAGATCAGATAGTTGTAGATATGCGGCATTATTTCTGAGGACTCTGTTCTGTTCCATTGATCTATATCTCTGTTCTGGTACCAGTACCATGCTGTTTTGGTTACTGTAGCCTTGTAGTATAGTTTGAAGTCAGGTAGCTTGATGCCTCCAGCTTTGTTCTTTTGGCTTAGGATTGACTTGGCGACGTGGGCTCTTTTTTGGTTCCATATGAACTTTAAAGTAGTTTTTTCCAATTCTGTGAAGAAAGTCATTGGTAGCTTGATGGGGATGGCATTAAATCTATAAATTACCTTGGGCAGTATGGCCATTTTCACGATATTGATTCTTCCTACCCATGAGCATGGAATGTTCTTCCATTTCTTTGTATCCTCTTTTATTTCATTGAGGAGTGGTTTGTAGTTCTTCTTGAAGAGGTCCTTCATGTCCCTTGTAAGTTGGATTCCTAGGTATTTTATTCTCTTTGAAGCAATTGTGAATGGGAGTTCACTCATGATTTGGCTCTGTTTGTCTGTTATTGGTGTATAAGAATGCTTGTGATTTTTGTACATTGATTTTGTATCCTGAGACTTTGCTGAAGTTGCTTATCAGCTTAAGGAGATTTTGGGCTGAGACGATGGGGTTTTCTAGATATACAGTCATGTCATCTGCAAACAGGGACAATTTGACTTCCTCTTTTCCTAATTGAATACCCTTTATTTCCTTCTCCTGCCTAATTGCCCTGGCCAGAACTTCCAACACTATGTTGAATAGGAGTGGTGAGAGAGGGCATCCCTGTCTTGTGCCCGTTTTCAAAGGGAATGCTTCCAGTTTTTGCCCATTCAATATGATATTGGCTGTGAGTTTGTCATAGGTAGCTCTTATTATTTTGAGATACGTCCCATCAATACCTAATTTATTGAGAGTTTTTAGCATGAAGGGTTGTTGAATTTTGTCAAAGGCCTTTTCTGCATCTATTGAGATAATCATGTGGTTTTTGTCTATGGTTCTGTTTATATGCTGGATTACATTTATTGATTTGTGTATGTTGAACCAGCCTTGCATCCCAGGGTTGAAGCCCATTTGATCATGGTGGATAAGCTTTTAGATGTGCTGCTGGATTCGGTTTGCCAGTATTTTATTGAGGATTTTTGCATCAATGTTCATCAAGGATATTGGTCTAAAATTCTCTTTTTTGGGTGTGTCTCTGCCCGGCTTTGGTATCAGGATGATGCTGGCCTCATAAAATGAGTTAGGGAGGATTCCCTCTTTTTCTATTGATTGGAATAGTTTCAGAAGGAATGGTACCAGTTCCTCCTTGTACCTCTGGTGGAATTCGGCTATGAATCCATCTGGTCCTGGACTCTTTTTGGTTGGTAAGCTATTGATTATTGCCACAATTTCAGCTCCTGTTATTGGTCTATTCAGAGATTCAACTTCTTCCTGGTTTAGTCTTGGGAGGGTGTATGTGTCGAGGAATTTATCCATTTCTTCTAGATTTTCTAGTTTATTTGCGTAGAGGTGTTTGTAGTATTCTCTGATGGTAGTTTGTATTTTCTCATAGTACCGGAAGCTAGAAGTACAAGACCAAGGTGTAGGCAGGGTGGTTGCACTCTGGGGCCTCTCTCCTTGGCCTATAGGTGGCCATCTTGTCCCGGCGTCTTCATGTGGTCTTCCCCTTAGGGGTTTTTGTGTCCTAACCGCTTCTTCTTATAAGGACACCAGTCATGTTGGATTAGAGCCCACCCATATGACCTCATTTTACCTTAATTACCTCTCCTGTCTCTAAATACAGTCACATTCTGAAGTACTGGGGGTTAGGAGTTGCCTAAAAATTTTGAGGGACATGGTTTAACCCATACCATCTATTATGTGATTATATCAAAATGTATCCATCATATTGTTTGGTGGACATTTTAATTATTTCTTGTTTTAGGCTATTATGAACAGTGCTACTGTGAACATTTTCATACATGTATAGTGGTAAGAATGCCAGAATGGAGCATTCCATCCTAGGAGTGAATTGCTAGGTAGTGCCGCACAGCTGCAGTATTAATAGATGAATTCAATATGTTTTCCAAAGTGCTTGTGTTGCAGGATCCTTGGTGGCACCTTTGCTGGAGTTTTGCTTGAGCCCAGCGTTCTGACCACTGGGCCTGGCAGGCTGAGCTCGGCTGGAGCTACTGGCCCTGATCCCACGCCGGCCAAGGGCAAGCCAGGCACAGAGTGGTGAGGGGTGCATGAGCAAGCAAGCACCAGGGTCCGGCCACTGTGCATTGCCAGGCACGCTGGCTATTGGGTAGTCTGACTTTTTCTTGCTGATTTTTAGAAATTCCTTAAATATTCTTGATACAAGTCTTTGGTTGCTTATATATGTTACAAATATCTTCTCAAACTCTGTAACTTATCTGTTTTCACTGTGTCGACAGTATCTTTTGATGAATAGAAGTTCCTCATTTTAATGTGGTCAGTTTATCAATCTTTTCCTTGTTGATTTTTTTTGAATATATGTCTTGAGAATACTTCCCTGAGGTCATTGAGATATTCTTCTCTGTTATAAAATACTTACAACTTTGCATTTAGATGTAATATATCTGGCACTGATTTTTGTGCACAGTATGATGTAGGACCTGATTTCATTTTTTTCCCTGTGGATAGTCAGCTGTTCTTACATCATTAATTGAAAAGACACTCCTTCCCCTCACGGCCTGAACCACCTCTGTCATAAATTCAGTGTCTGTAATTATGCTTCGGTCTGCTGCTGGGCACCCCGTTCTGTACTATTGATCTATTTGTCTATTTCCACAAGAGGGTCACACTGCTTTGAGTCCTATACCTTTGTAGTAAGTCTTAAAATCTGATAGAGCATTTCTTTCCACTTTGCTGTTGCTCTTCCAGAGCATCTTGGCTGTTCTTGGTTCTTTCCATTTCTGTGAACATTTTGGTATCTGCCCGTTAGTTTTTACAGATAGACCTTTTAGGAGGATCTTTATTGGAATGCTTTGGCTGTATAAGATCAATTGGGGGAGAATTGTCAATTTCATGAAAGACAAAACAAAATGAACCAAAAAGTAAACACTGGGGAACTGTTTTAGATGAAAGAAGGTGAATGAGACATAGTAACTGACTGCAATGTGTTATGGTTTGTAAAAGTTATAAAGGCTTGGGACAAATAGGGAAACTTTGCTTTGAATTGTGTATTAGACACTAATATTCCAGTATTAAATCTCCTGATAAGGGTGAGAAATGCTATGTCTACCTTTTTTCTTAGGAGATACATGCTGGGGAATTTAAGGTGAAGTGTTGTGATGCCTGCAGCTAGCGCTCAATTCAAAAAGTTGAGGGAGGAGAGATGACGAGCCAGCTAGAGTGATAATGGCAAAATGTTAGCAATTGGTGAATCTCAGTGAAAGGGAAATGGGTATTCATTGATTTTCTTTTCCTGTATATATGGCATTTTTCAAAATAAAAGTAGAAGAAAATTAAATTTCATTTTGTATCTCAGGAAATAGTAGAGCGCCAGATAAACTAGTAATGCATTATCTTAGTGTGCTGTGCTAAGCAGATTTGCCACTAAAAGCACTAGTGAAATGGCAAGCATGATTGGTTATTTTAAAAATTCTCTAGTATGTTTGAACTTATTCAGTTCACATTTAAATCATACTGGAACAGCAAATGTCTGTGGGCTGGCTCTCCAAGTAAAAAATACATTAATGAGCTTTTTGTGCCAATTACTGATTTTCAGGAAATGTTCTTTAAACTACTGATAAGAGTTCTGGAGATCCATGTCATACTAACAGGTGAGCAAAGTAATTCATAGGAGTTACACTTGATGCAGTGTAATTTTGTAACACCAGGCTAAGTATTTTTTTTTTGAGAAGCATTTCCGGTGCTTGAAAACTGATATTTATATTTTTCATGAAGAATCTCAGATTCTTTGTTCTCATAGTAGGTATCTTCACAGTCTTTAAAGAAAACCTAGGTGGTTTTTGGTGTTTTTTTTTTTTTTTTTTTTCAATTTTTAGTTACTGCAACAGAGGCACATAGGAATTTAAATGATTCCATGAGTCATGCAGTGAATTGGTAATAATACTAATGGACACACAGTTATTGACTCTTCTTTGCATTGGCCTCATTTTTCCCCCAAATGTTAATATGTCATTTCTCAGCAAAATTATTTGTAAAGTAAAACATCTAACAACACCACCAAAATCTTGTAACAGCAAAAGGAAGAGCTGAGCTTCTGAAGATCAACCTTCGTGAGGTCGAATTAGATCCTGATATTCAACTGGAAGATATAGCCGAGAAGATTGAGGGCTATTCTGGTGCTGACATCACTAATGTTTGCAGGTATTTTTTTAATGATCTGTGATTTTAGACATTAGTTATAGACTTCGCAGGAGGACTGGTCTTAAAGTCAATGTAGTTAGCCCAGTGTAGTTAGACATGAAAGCAGCTACCCATTTCTTTAAAATGGTTTCCCATTTGTCCCTTTTTTTTTACATATAACTTTATTTTTCATTGTGAGATGAAAATTATATAGCAGTGGTCGTTGATGTTTTTGATCTTTGGATTTTTAAGAAATTGTTGTGTCGGTGGCTTACGCCTCTAATCCCAGCACTTTGGGAGGCCGAGGCGGGTGGATCACGAGGTCAGGAGATCGAGACCATCCTGGCTAACACGGTGAAACCCCGCCTCTACTAAAAAATACAAAAAATTAGCCAGGTGTGGTGGCGGACACCTGTAGTTCCAGCTACTCGGGAGGCTGAGGCAGGAGAATGGCATGAACCCGGGAGGTGGAGCTTGCAGTGAGCCGAGATCGCGCCACTGCACTCCAACCTGGGCAACAGAGCGAGACTCTGTCTCAAAAAAGAAAAAAAAAGAAATTATTGTGTCTAACTCGATAATAATGACTTTGACAACCTAAGATTAGTTTAGCTTTGTGTTGGAGCCTTTCTGCATCAACCTAAAGTAATATTATTTAGTTTTTGTTGGCATTATTTAAACACATGCAAATGAGCAAAAATGATCAGCGTAAGCTGGGGAAGATACACGTTTAAAATTTTTTCAGTTTAGCGACATCATAAGTTTTAGACAGTTCCTGTCACTGCAGTTATTTTTTTTCTTATTTTTCTAACTGCACTTAAATTGACTTTAGTAGCCTTTCTTTAAAGCCACAGCATCTGTTTTTCTCACCTTTTCTGCTCGCATTTTTCCCATGTGCATCCAAGTTTAGTGGCATACAATAAGGTTGCAATAGTTCCTACTGCTACTATAGCAAAATATTTAAGAACTTGACATTTTTGTTGGCTTGGCCTTCCTAATAGCTTTTTTGTGATTATGAATTATCCTTTTCTTCCAGACCTTCATATTTATTTATAGTTGGTCAAAGAGAGCTGCACATGGGATCAAGAGAAGCCAGAGTTTATGCCTTCAGTTGCCTACAAATACTCCATGTAGGGAATTCCATGTCCACTATATGTGGATATTCATGTTTCAGAGGGAGTGATTCGTGTCTTTATTCCTCTATTTAGGCTGTAGACAAACTGGTCTGTGGTTTGAATTATCTTAACATTAGCCATATGTTCATTTCCAAGTGTACAATTCAGTATTTCAAAATTTGACTTCAGTTTCCTAAACTTCTTGGCTGTCTTTGAGGAGCAAGTGGAGAAAAGAAAATTCAGTACTATTCGAGCTTAACTTAGACTTTTAGGGTTCGTTAACTATACATTTCATGTTTTTGGTTGTTTGCATCCTGTCTTAACTTCTGCTGAACCCCCAGGATGTTTCTTAAGTGGAAAATTCTAAGAAGCCTCATAAAAACATATAAAATAATCTTTTGATTTTTTTTTCATAACTTTGTTACAATTGAAAGTGTTTAAAACATGTGCAAAAATTACTGTTGACTGATTTTGGTATATTTTTAGGGATGCCTCTTTAATGGCAATGAGACGGCGTATCAATGGCTTAAGTCCAGAAGAAATCCGTGCACTTTCTAAAGAGGAACTTCAGATGCCTGTTACCAAAGGAGACTTTGAATTGGCCCTAAAGAAAATTGCTAAGTCTGTCTCTGCTGCAGACTTGGAGAAGTATGAAAAATGGATGGTTGAATTTGGATCTGCTTGAATTTCTGTCAGCTCTTTAATTTCTGGTATTTTTGTTGATAAAATACGAAGAAATTCCTGCAATTTTTAAAAAACAAGTTTGGAATTTTTTTCAGTGGAGTGGTTTTCGCTTAAAGGAAAAAAAAATCTAAAACTGCGAAGAATACTAAATGTAGTTGAGAAATAATTGATGGCGAGAGTTTGCTAGTCTCCCTCCCCGGCTTTGTGCTGGTATTCCACGTATTCCTGCATTAATATTGCACACCCAAACCAGTCTATCAGGGAGGCTGAAGCAAGGGCGCAGTGTGATATTTTAGGAATACAGAAGATTTAGAAATACCCCTATTTCTCATTTGCAGTTTTTTTTTCCAATTCTGTGCTCTGTCAACATGAGGGACCTATCTATGTATGTTGACTTTTAACATCAAAATTGGATTTGTGTCAAACATTCATTGTTAAGAGAAGAATGACAGTATATTTTGGAGGAAATAATGAATTTACTAATTAAACCTTTAGAATTTATGACTTACTGTTAGAGTCTGTCATATGGTTAGAATTTTTACTTCCGCTACCCCTGCCATTTCTTCTGCTAGCTACTTCATAATATCTTGAGCTTTACTGAGGAATATTCTCACGCTCTGTGGTATTTGAATCATTTTGCCAGGTCATTTCTCTGTCTTTAGTATTTTTTGCTGGTGCTTCTTACATTTAATATGGAAAGGTGGGAAGAATATTACTGCATTAGATGTAATTCTTCATTCTAGACTTCCAAGTTTGTTTTCACTTTTTTGTGTGTGCGTGAAGGAGTCTGTGTCACCCAGGCTGTGTAGTGCAGTGGTTGATCTTGGCTCACTGCAACCTCTGCCTCCTAGATTCAAGCAATTCTCCTGTCTCAGCCTCCCAAGTAGCTGGGATTACAGGTGCGCACCACCATGCCTGGCTGTGTTTTCACTTTTCTTTCAACATGTTCAACCAGATATATAGCCATTATTTTTCTCAGCTCCAGCATTGTTTGATTTTTCTTGAGTTTGATTTTAGTATTTGAGATAAATACTTTTACATTCTAAACAAGTCCACTCTCTGTGGCTAACGCAAAACAAATGAAATCTTTATTGTTTTCCAAACAGCTAGTTTAACAAAACAGCATCATACATAGTGAATGATGTTCATTGGAAAATTCTAAAATTTGTCCTTGTCTAGGTTGAGAACTTTTACACACACTAAGATAAAGATAGAAATCTGACATGCTCACTCAATTCAGCAGGAATTACACATTAGAAAGAAGCCAGAAAAATAAATGGCATATATCCAATCACAAGTAAATGATCCTGGCGTTAGTTTTTATGATTACATGTGTCTCATTAGGCAATTTATGCTTTAATGGTCAAGCTTTTAAAAATTTGTATTTGATAACATCCTGAATTCTCAGTTTCGAATAGTGCCTACTGGTTTAAAACTAAAAATAATACAGCTTTTTGGACATTTAACCAAGATACTAAGAAGGTTTTTTTTAAAAAAAGAGATTTGATTATTTTTCCCTGCTAAAAACTGTAAATGCCTTATGTTCTTTTCAGATAACTTAAGTCTGACCTAAACTCCAGTATTCATCTGATGCTGTAAATTGCCCTTCTTTCTGAGACACAGATTATAAGATGCCAGATCATAAGACATCATGATTTTATTGTAATTGAATTCTTCCTAAAAATTGAGAGGTTTCCTTTTATTAACTTTTAAAATAAAGAAATAAGTAGTTTCATTACGATTATTTTGCAAACTATTGCCAGTCAGAAATGCACTTTTTTTTTCCCTGAAGTTTTAGGAGCCGTCACTAAAACATTAGTCTTGTGATTGTTAAAACTTGTTTGTAATGGGTTGGTGCAAAAGTAATTGTGGTTTTTCCATTACTTTCAATGGCAAAAACCGCAATTACTTTTGCACCAGCCTAACAATAGTTGATTAGTTAGACCTTTTCTGGGTTTTGTATTGATTATCTTGGTGTGCATTTAATTATTTTTCTGAATTCTTCATGGATAATGACATAGTAATTGTGATTCTTTTAATACCAGTTAAGCAGTATTTGGCAACTTAAACTTCCTGGGAGCCTAACTTTACTATGTTAAGTGAGTCAGGTGTGCTTTTTATTTCCCTTGTTTCTCATTTTGCCCTGTCAGTGGATGGTAGATGCTTTGTATATCTTAAATCCCTTAAAGGATCTTAAAGACATCCCTCAGGTGTTCTATTTAACTTTTATTTTATTTTATTTTATTTATTTATTTATTTTGAGACTGAGTCTTGCTCTGTCGCCCAGGCTGGAGTGCAGTGGCATGATCTCGGCTCACTGCAACTTCTGCCTCCCAGGTTCAAGCCATTCTCCTGCCTCGGCCTCCTGAGTAGCTGGGATTACAGTTGCCGCCACACCCGGCTTATTTTTTTGTATTTTTAGTAGAGGCAGAGTTTCACCATGTTGGCCAGGCTAGTCTCGAACTCCTGACCTCAGATGATCCGCCCACATTGGCCTCCCAAAGTGCTGGGATTACAGGTGTGATCCACCGCACCTGGCCCTAACTTTTAATATACAACACACACACACACACACACACACACACACACACACACACACACACACACACACACACTATTTCAGAAGACAGTGTGTTGCCTTACCCAGAATGAGTGCTAGGATTACAGGCGTGAGACAGACACACATACACACACATACACACACACAGAGTCTTTATTGCAGAAGACAGTGTGTTGCCTTATAGGCGTGAGACACACACACACACACACACACACACACACACACACACAGTCTTTATTGCAGAAGACAGTGTGTTGCCTTACCAGAATGAGTGCTTGGATTACAGGCGTGAGCCACTGTGCCCAGCCCTAACTTTTAATGTACATCACACACACACTCACACTCACATACACACACACACACACACTCTGACTGTCTTTATTGCAGAAGACAGTGTGTTGCCTTACCCAGAATGAGATTGAATTGTTTTGCTTCGTTTTGTTTTGTTATTCAGTGTTGCGGTAGCAGATGCATTATCAAAGGAAAAATATTTGGCTCCTTTAATTCCTCTGAAAACATGAGTATTTTGAGTTCTGCAGCACAATGACTGTAGGACTAAGCTAAGTCTGCTTTGCAGATATCTGATCAGATAGTCCCTTCATTCTGTAGACGTGTATTGGTTGGTCCAAGACACAGTGAGTAGGAGCTCTGTGGACCAAGACAAAGCTGGACTAGAGAGTACAGTTCAAACTTGGCAGTTTCTCTAACGACTCTGTATAGCTTCTGGCTTCTACTACTGAAACAAGAGTTTAGATCACTGATGGAGAGGCATAGTAATCTGTTTGTGCTTTGGAAAAATATATAAAAGTTTTTTTCCCCTATTTTTTGCACTTTAAATCTGTTTTGAAATTAGAACTGATATACATTTATTTGAATAATGTGTAACTATTATGGATCTATTTTAATGAACAATTTTTACCATTTCCCAAGCTGCCTGTTTATTATAAGCATGACATGTTTACTATAAACCTTTTGCCCCCATAATTTCTTTTTTTAAAGGAAATTAATATTAGTAAAATAAACACCTCTTTAATGGAAGCTGCAACCTTCTAGTGATCCAAGTAGACAATAGATGGTGGCATCACAGACTTTATCTACACACTTTCGGGTCTGACCACTACCTCCCACAATACCTAGCCATTTTGGAAGGGGAAAACATGCGGTGGTCTAGCTGTATAGCTCAGGGCTTAATTTCAGCTTCTGAGATTGTGATGTCATATTTCACTCTCAAAACATAGGCTGAAAGCACGAATTACTCAAAAAGTAAGCAAACCAATACCTGGTGAATCTATGGACAGTCATACACATACATCAGGGGAAAATGTGTGTGTACAACCCAAATTTACAGTATGATTGTCATTCTTTGACTTTGTTTTGTATAGCCTGACTCTGTTGAACATGAAATTATTAGTACTCTAGGTTTTGGACAGCTTGAGTTCATTTGAATTCCTTCCTTAGGAATAAGTTTTTATATACACTGCTAAATGTGTGATGAGAATCATAAAACACTAACCAGCTGAGGTAGCTGTGATTCACTTTCCCCCCACCCTAACTTGAGATAAAATGAAGGACTAGGCAAGTATTTCATGTTGTGTGAGTGGACTTCGGTTCCTTCAGTATTGTCTAGGTTATTGAGTCTTTCTTTGCCTAATAGTGGATTCCCACTCTTAAGATAACTTTTATTAGTGATAAATCAGTTTAGGGTATATTCTGTATGACAGGCATAAAATGTTAAGGGTGAATGCTGGCCTTTTCCAAGAAAAGGCCACCTTAACTTGTATGAGGAAAAAATCCTAACTATTCTCTTTTTTGTATCTTTTTTTCCGTAACTGTTTTGATTGTATATTTTAAAGAAACCACTTAATTTGTGATGCACGTAATATTTGTGTGAACCTGAGAATATGTCACAATAGGAAAAAGCAGAAATTATACTTAGGGGACATGTTAGGGGGGTAAAAATATTTAAGCCTCGAATGTTTTACTGTCATCTCCACTAACTATTTTTACAGAAAAAGCTAAAAACTCTGTTGTAATTATTGTAAGTTTACTTATTTATACTTTTAAATTAGGCTTTTCATACTTAAATTTTTTTGACATTTGCTTTTAATATTTGTTTCTTAATGTGGAAATTGTGTATTTTAATAATCAAATTATTAGGATAATAGATATATTTTTAAACATTCACCTCATTAACAAATAGATCTTTGAATTTTTATTAGGTTTTTTGGCTCCAGACAACTGTTTAGCTTTAATGATATTTCTAAATTCCCAGTGACTTATTAATAAAAACAGGAAAAATATTTAGGTAATGTCATAAAATTTATTTTACCTTTCTCATTTTCTGAGAAAATAAATGAAAAAAACCCTAGATATTGCTTTATTACCAACAGTGTGTAGGTTTTTGTACATATGGAAATTTGACACAAAAAAATAGGGAATTTGTATAGAGAAGTTTCCCTCTTATAAAAGGACTCCCATTTGATTGTTCGAAACTATAAAATGCACTTTTACTTTACCATATCTGAAATGACAAAATATCGCCCTTTGGAAAACCTGACTCTTTGCACGTGTAATTCCCAGAGTCTACCTCAGTTAACCAGGCTTAGTTTTAGGCAGGAATGAATTGAATTAAATTCAGTTCATCATCTATGCAGATTTGTTTCTTTTAAGCACATCCTTCCCTCCTGCTGTTGCCCTCCTCCCATTAACTTTTCTTTTTAATCTTGAAATTGTTTAAAATATTCCATCTTTCTTTCTCTAGCAAAGTGTTTGTATTCCAAATAAGGCCTCTGTGAAATGTCTGAATTACTTTTCCCGTCTTTGTTATGGTCAGCTTCATTATTTGGATGTATTGCATTCAAAGCAGCAGTTCCAAACATAACACACATCTATTTTCTTAGAGTTTTGTAAATACAAACTAACCTGATGACATTAAAAATTGTGGATCCTACATGTTCCTATGTTCATTCTCTAAAAACCTGAGTAACTTTATGAAAACACACAAACCTGGAAAAACATCACATTTTTGTCACATTTTTACTGACAAATGTATATTCATATGATGGTACGGCAGCAGGGAGTGGCCCCCAGTTAACATGGCTGTGAGTGGACACAGTGTCTCGCAGGATCACTGCATGTTATGATGGCTTGTAAGTGCGTTGTTAAGACTTTTGTTTCAGTGTTTGTCTCCCAGTATTTGAACCTAATTTAAAGAAAAAGACGTTTCCAAGTTGTATTTATTAAATGTGTTTTTCCTTACCTTTTGTGCTGCTACTTTGCTAATCTCATTAGCTTAGCTGTGTTTGTGCATAGGTTATATTTGGTAATAAATTTATAGAGTGTTGGTTGTCATCGCTTTCTTTGTGGTTCATTTTGACCTATAGTCACGGGTGCACTTCTTGCCACCAGTGGGAGCAACAAACCCCTCACTAGTAAGGGATGGCTTTCCCCAGATTTTTGTTCTCATAAAATCACATATTATAAACCTGACATTTTGTATTTGCTGTGCTTATGCCAATAATTTCAAGGTTGATGCAGGTAAGATGTGTGTTTTTTCAGTTAATTCCAACTGGCATAATCAATACACTTGTCTTATTTGTGTAGCACCATTGCAAAGTAGATGTTCCATATGGTGCATTTTCTAGATGACTAAGTCTTACTTTATGACCTCCTCCAAACAATTTTTTTAGTTAATAGACTTTATTTTTTTTAGAGCAGTTTTATGTTTACAGAAAAATTGAGCAGAAAATTTGGAGCTCCCATTTACTTACAACCCCCGCCCCAGTTTCTCCTCTTACTAACATCTTACATTAGTGTGGTATATTTGTTATAATTGATCAACTGATGTTGATGCATTATTATTCAGTAATTGACAGTAGTTGACATTAGGGTTCACTTTGTGTTATACACTTTTATGGGTTTTGACAAAAGCATAATGTCATGTATCCATCTTTACAACAGCAGACAAAATCGTTTCACTGCTTAAAAATTCCCTGTGTTCCACCTATTCATTTTTCCCTCGCCTCCCAATTCCTGGCAACCACTGAGCCTTTTAGTGACTCTCTAGTTTTGTCTTTTCCAGAATGTCATATAGTTGGAATCGTATGTAGCTGTTTCAGACAGGCTTCTTTTACTTAGCAGTATGCATTTAAGTTTCCATGTCTTCCTGTAGCACGATAGCTCATTTCTTTTTAGCACTGAATAACACTCCATTGTCTGGATGTACCACAATTTGTTTATCCATTCACCTACTCAAGGACATCTTGTTTGCATCCAAGTTTTAGCGATTATGAGTAAAACTGCTATAAACATTCATGTGCAGGTTTTTGCAAGTGCATAAGTTTTCAACTTGAGTAAATACGAATGTGATTGCCAGAACGTATGGTAAGAGTATGTATAGTTTTATAAGAAGCTACCAGACTATCTTCCAAAGTGGCTGTACCGTTACATATTCCCACTTGCAATGGATAAAGGTTTCTGTTGCTCCACATCCTCATCAGCATGTGGTAGTGTCGGTAGTTTGGGTTTTGCCATTCTAATAGCAATAATGAGGCTAACAAGCCTAACAGCTGTTTCACTAGGTTCACTGATAGGTGTGTAACGGTACCTCATTGTTTCCATTGCAGTTTCCAGATGATGTGGAACATTTTTTCACATGCTTATCAATTTGAAACTTTGCTAAAGCATATCACATTTGTTCCTTGAGTTTGTAAACTGAAGAATTGGAACTTACCCTTTTCTTTAGGATTCAGAGTTGTTATGAGGTCAGTCAGTCCCTTGTTTTATGCCACTCTCTGCAGTTAGTGGAGGGGTAGCACAGCTTTTTTTTTTCTTTAAAGCTCTCTCACTGACTGGTCTTTGAATTTTGATGTTTGCTTTTATAACATTTCCACTGGTCTCTTATCAGCCTTTCTTCCTCTTCAGTGTCCTATTTCTAGTCTTCAGTGAACCTAGAGAAATAGTTGTTAGGCTTGTTAGCATCATGTGTAAATGAGTACTGCAGTTTAGGGATGAGGAGTGGTAGGGAGGTCTATTCTTTGGGCTCTAGTGCTGTGTGTCGTTTCTCTGGGCTATCCGCGGCCTTTTTACCTCTATCTTTGGATCCCAGAAGTGCTCCTGGTGGACCAAGTGTGAAGTAGATATTTTTGCATAATTATGCTGCCATGCAGTTGTGTAATATTTATAACTGGAAGGGACCTAGCAACAATTTAATGCCATGGCCCCAGCCGTAATTTTCTTCCTGTGGCTTTAAGTGAGGTTTCGGTCTCTTGGGGGGTATAAAGAAAAAGAATTAGGTTAAGTGGGACAAAGACAGGAGACATTTGTGGCTAGAGCCCTCCCACTCTCCCTGCAGTCCTTTCTCCAGTGCATATGACCAGTGCCACCTGTGACTGACCTGGCTCCCATGGCAGAGCATGGCACAGTGTTGGAGTGTTTGCCCAGAGATGCCAGGAATTTAACTAGAAATCGTGAGGGAAGATGGAAGCATTGCCTGGCTCCGTCTCTTCCCAGCATCAGCTGCTACCTTTCTAATGATAAGCAGAAAGGCAGGGTGGGCTCAGGTCTCACCTGGCTGGTTCCAACAACTGATGCCCCAAGGCTGGAGGCTGGTACTCAGGTGCTCCTCCCCCTCCCTGGCTGGATGTCACCACTTCAACTGCACCTGGCCAGGCAGACGTGGGGCTTCACCTGGGCATTCCTCTGGCTCCTGCTACACCCAGAACAGGGCAGAAAGGGATCAGGGGAGAGAGCACATGTGCTTGGTGGTTACTTCTTATCCTTTTTACAATCAGAAAAGCTTGATGGGCAACTCTTTCCTAGTTTTACCCATTCTAATATCTTCTTAAGACCTTCCCTGTAAGTTTTGAGAGACTCACCAGCAACCTACAGCATTGAGAGCTGAAATTAAGAGCAAATGACTTGGTCCCCTCATCTTACAGGTGAAGAGTTGAACCCATGAAAATTTAAAAATATATGTTCAAGATCATATTCTGACCTGGAAGCAGAACTTATATCTGTTTCTGATCTTGAAGAATGCTGCAGACAAGGCTTAAAGCAAGTCAGATGGCAGAACATTTGTTAAGGACCTTTAAGACTCTAGCAGATACCAATACAATTACCCGAGCTGATGATGGTTAAAAATAAGAAATGTAAGATAAGTTGACATCATAGGATTGGAACTAACATAATGTTTGTGCTAGATATTTTTATTTACTAAATTCATACATTAGCCCTAAAAGATATATTTATTCTTATTCTTTTTCTTCAGAAGAGAAAACTGAGGCTTATAGAGTGACTTGCTCTAGTTGAACGGCTCCTAAGAAGTGAAGAAGGATAGGAACCTAGGTCAGTTTGGTTCCAGAACCCATTCCCTTGCCATATTCTAAGCTTACTCTCAACAATGTTAAAAACACACAAAAAGCACTCAGTTTTTAAAATGTTGCATTCACCCATTTTTCTGAGGTTATGAATCAATTTTTAACCTTCCCTTTCTCTTAATGCTTTTTTGTCAGATTTTTAGGTAGACTACTGTGATAGGTTCTGTTTCAGAATTTATGTTAATAAGGCAAGAAAAGAGGGCTCTTTTGGGATTTAAATGCATTTGAGACTAATGGCTGCCGTTTGCTCTATCACAGTGCAAATATATACCTATTGTTTTTAAGGGCAATGCTTAATGAAATGAACTAATCATTTTAAGAATTCCCATGAATCATATTTGGGCCACCAACTTAGGTGACATTGAGCTCTAACAGTTACTTTTATTCCTGGGATCTCCAGCAGTCCTCTGCTGACTGGATGACAGCTTCAGAGTCCTTAGCTGGACGCATAGTTGTCATAGGGGCTTCACCAAGTCATGGATGGGGCTCATTGTTCAACTTTGAAGCACCAGAACAAAGTTAATTCTGAATGTTCAAAATACCATGGCCACACCATCTGAACACACCTAATCTCGTCTGAATATTCAAAACGTCTGTCAATTACTACATCTTAAATAATTTTTTAAACAAATAACCATGGTATGACCACTGTATTCCATAACAAAAATCCTAAACTATAGTGTTAGTAATTATTACGTAATTAGATGTGGATGAATTGAACTTCATTTGGGTTTTGTAAAATACCTCAAGCTATTTTCCAAACATTTTGAAATATGTTTTGTAACATTTCTCAAATATACTTTACTAAACATATTTCCTTTAATTTTTAAATCCTTTTTAAAGTGTTTGTTTAAGGGGAAATTTAATCCATATGTTTCTGATTCATTTACACTTATCAAAGTTGTTTCTTAAGAAGAATTAGCTTTCTAAGAAGCCTGAGGAACTCTTCTCATGAATTCTGTTAGCCCTTAAAAGCCTTTTTCCAATCAAAACTTTTTTCCCCAAAGATAAATAAATGTGGATGAAATGTTTTAGTTTGGTTTGCAATACAAAGCCCATATTTCAAAATCTAACCTAGTTGTGAATTTAGGATAATAAACTATTCTGCCTTTACCATAAGAATTCACCTCATTTGTTGCTCTTCAAAGCAACTAACTGCAAAGGGTTTGCAATAACTGTGCTCTCTTGAAAACGCAGAACACTGACATTCCATACTGTGTTCTCAAATTCATAGCAAAGGTGACAGAGGTGGGCGGCTGAGCAAACATATTAAACTAAGTCAGCTAGTTATTGGGGATCTACCATGTATGCCAAATATGTATACAGTACATAGTCACACATATACATACATGTGAAAATACTCATTTAAGGTTTGTGTGTGTTTACCTGTGCTTACAAATTTTAACAAAATTTATTTTGTATTTTGTATTAATTATTCTGAAGTGACTACAATTGTTCTCATCTCTATTTAGAAATATTTTTCGCCTGAGATTTAGTTCAACACGTTTCTGTTGCCTAGCAGTAGGTTTTTGAGAATAGCTTTTTGTATAGCCTTAATTGAACAGGTTGATTGCATGAAATCTTCTTAGCAAAAGTAAAGTCATCACAGTGAAGGTAAAAGGAACTATGTTGACAACTAATTGGATAGAATGTCATAAACCGCAGTGGATCTGGAAGAGATTTGCAGAAACGTAGCAACAAAAGAAGGGAGTTTGTTCAAGGCAGCTAGAAACCGCATTCAGAAATATTCGTGTTAAAAGAAAGGCACCATTTTCCTTGGTTCTCATTAGGGAATTGTGTAAAATACATATTTGTTCATCACAAGAAATAATCAGTTCCTATTTTTAGTGGAAACTTTTTCCCTGAGTTGTTTAGTATGGGATTATTAGACAATAAAAACATCTTTTGTGTACTTTTCAAAATATAAACTAATTTCTTACATATTTCATTAGTTCGCGCCATAGATGAATTCTTAGTATTTTAGGAAAAAACTTTCATGGTAATTCCTTTTTAAAACCAGCACTTAAAATTGTCTTTATTTAAATCAAAATGCAAAACCTCTTGCATTAAGGGAGACTTTTACCTTTTACTTTGTATTTTTTCATATGATAATTATTTACTTTGTAAAAGAAATATAAAATTATAAAAAATTTTTAAAGCAATATTTGTAGACATCAAATCAGTGTCTGCCCTTCTGTCTCCCAGAAGCCCTTGGCCTAAGTAAGAGTCAATCATAGCTCTTGACCCCATTTCATTTGACCCATAGGGCAGGATTGTGTTGACCACTGTCACTGTCACTCTCACCTAGGACAGTGCTCTTCAGGCTTTGTTAACAATAAAGTGTGTGTGAGTTACACACTGTTACTATGTTGGTAGTTTAAGGATACTTGTAAATTATAGTAGTGCTTGTATATAATTTATAAAAATCCATGAAATGTAGAAATATGGAAGACTATAATGTGAAGACACTGAAAAGTAATCTTACTGCTACAAAATCCTTCCAAAAAATAGGAGTAATATTTTCATTGAGAGCCATGACATTAAATATACTTTATTTTTTTTTAAATCTTAGGATAACAATTTAGGGACAATGATTTCATTTTTATTTCAATGCTTAGTTTTAATGACTGTTACAGCTAAAAGTGTAACTTCACAAAGGTGTGTAGATCCAAGTGGAAGAAACAGATTATTGGCTGCAATCTGAAGTAATGAGCTTCATTTTAAAATCATGCCCACTAAGCAGAAGTGTTTATTTGGCTATTTGCGTCTTTCTTGATGTCAGTTCTTGCAAATTAATTGAAAGGTTGCATTTTATGTTGAATGTTCAGAACCTATTGCACCTCTTCATTTGGAAGATTTTAAAACAAACAGGACAATTATTTTAAGTTGCACATATTAGAGTTCTTAAAAAAGAGGCTCAGTGTTTTTGACAACAAAATCATGTAACAATGGAAAAACATTTCCCAACATCACTTTTCTTTATGTAACATGGATTTCTTTCATATAGTAATTATTTTCTCATCCCTTTTTTAAAAAAAGAATAAAGTTGTAGAGTAGAGGAAGTAAGCATTTCATTTAACCTAAATATGTATATGAGCCTGTTTCTGTGCATACAGCAAAAATTTAATAAAACAATAGCTTTGCCTTTATTATATATGATACATTCTGACATTTTCTAATTGGTTTCATTTTGTAAAATTCCTGGACCTGCCCCAGGAAATTGATTTCATTACTTGTTAATGGTGGACAGCTTGCAATTTCAGACCTCCTCCTGGACTGCAGGGTGCCACTGGCTGCAGCCCTGGCCCTCTCCCAGCTTCCTCTGTGCGGATTACTCAGTGACGCATTTGATGAGTGGCCTGGTGAGCAGCAGCAGCCATGCCTGGTTTCCTGGCCACCTGGGGGCTCATCCTTCATGCTATTCCTGACAGGCCATTGTGAGTCTCTTTATCGTTTGAACCTGGCCAATCAGGTTCTCAGGGTCAGGCCCTGGGCATCTGCCCTCTCTCTGCCTTCCTCCCTAACCCTCAAATGCCTGGGGATTCTAACTATCCCAGTGGTGGTTTTCTTGATTTTGATCAGTCTAGACATGATAGTTCTTGAAAGATTTAAGACACGCTTAATTTCTGTTGAGTTTTTATTTCTCCTCAGTCTTAAAATTATTCCTGACTTCTAGATATGATATGAATATGTCACTGTTCATTCCTTTTTAAAAAGTCAGCAGTGATCCCTGTGCCAGTGTCAAAAACAGTTTCTCCATCTGATGTTAAAAACATCCCCTGGGGAAGGACCAGCTCACTGTGCTTCTTGTGCTAGTATAGGACATTTAGATAGCTGCCAGCTCCCTAGGGCAACACAGCTGCTTGGTGACCTCTCTTTGTTCCTGGAAAAGGAATAGGGCTCTTCAGTTATAGTACATGGTATTGGAATCGTTCAAGGGAGGACCAAGAGAGGAACAGAGACTCTTAGTCACTAACAGGAAAGTGTTAAGGTTTGAGAGTCAGACTGGAAGGAAGAATCAAGGAAGGAGAGGATCGAGTTTTCAAGGGAAAGGAATCCTTATGTGTTCTGCTGTGAGTGGGTGAAGAAGGTTGACAGAAGCCACAAATAGTTGGTCTTATTTGGACTGTGCCTCCTGTGGCCAAGGCACTGTTCCTGCTATTTGGCTAGATACTTATTGGCTATTTAAAACAGGCCTCTTTTGGATCATGAGATGTATTTGGGTATTGTGAGAACTTCAAGTCTGCAGTCAGAAAACAATTCTAGCCTCAGCTGTACCACTTCTAAGCTGTGGGACTTTGGGCAAGTTACTTATCCTCTCTGTGGCTGTGTTATCTCACCTCAAAATGGAGATGATAACAGGACCTTCCTTTGTAGGACCATTGGGAAGATTAAATGAGATACTGAATTTAAAGTGCTTATCACGGCACCATACAAACCCTTAATGTTAGCTGCAGTGATGTGCGAGGGCTGGTACATACCAGGCTGTCCCAAAGCCAACTGTGGAATGTTAAGGAATGTCGCAAGCCTTTCCACCGTTGATAGCTGAAACTGTAGCCGCGGTGAGAGGATTCACACATGGAAATTGGCAAACACTACACATCAGGGCTTTACCTATCCCCTATCCCCCTGGAAGAGTTAGTTTACCAGCGTATCACAGGTTAGCTCTTTTTATTTTTGTGGAGTTTTTTTCCCCACTGCAAGTAATGCGGGTCCACGTGTGTACCCTGGCTCTTTGTCGCTCCCTCTGAAAAAAGTGGATGCAGTGAGGGTAATACTCCTAAGCTTGCCAGTCGTTGTGAACAGGTCAGTCTGACTTTCAGTGAGCCATTTTTGACTCAAAGAGTGAATGGCTGTTTTGGGGTCTGCCAAAATTAGGGGCCCTTCTCTTCCCTGAACTAGACTATATACTCTGATACTTTTATCGCAGTGTTACAGAAGTCTTAGGATACTAGTAGTGGACAAAAATATTCCCCTTCCCTTTTATTCCCTGAGAAATACAGTCTGAGCTGTATCTAGGCAATACCCACACTGCCTTCAGACTTTTTCCGAAGTGGAGTTCATCAATCATCCAGGAGGCTCTGAGCCCCATGATTGGCATGGCTTACCTAGTGGCCGTGGTAGACATATGCGCATGGAGGCATTTTGCTGAGGGCTTGTGAGAGCTATTTGGCACCTTTTCCAGCAAAGGTGGGAGAGGAAGGAGGAGAAGAGGTTCTGTTCTCACCTATTTTAATACCCGAACCAAAAAATGGAAGTTGCTGGTAGCACTGAATTAGAACTCTTGCCTCATTTAGCACACTAATCATCAAAAGTCTCTATTTTCAATAGAAGCAAAGCATAATTTCTCAATAAAGAGGCACTTCAAATAGGGGATTTACAAACATTACACATTGTCTTTCCTGTTGCAGCTATGAAACATACCTTCTAGAGAAAATCACACAGATTTTGTTTACTTTGCTTAAGAATTGCAGACTAGAGTCATGATTTGTTAGTCTCATTTGCTTTTCACAAGAAAAAGCATTATATAATGTCCGAGGGTCTCAGGTTCCATAACGGGGACTTTCCCAAGGTCTTTCATAACGAAAGTTTCTGTGCAGCCCATGGGAGATTACACAGGGAGGGAGTCTGGAGACTCTCACGAGGACTTATTTTTGTCTATTCTAATTTGAATCTCATACAAGTATTTCTATAGGCCTATTATTTACACCTATATATCAGTCCAACTTACTGAATGCCAACAAATTTGAGACACAACTCCTGTCCTCAAGGAACTCATGTCCTGGTAGAGAAAGCCATGAAGCAGTCATAGGATACTGTGTGTGGTTATAACAGCATGCACCTGAGAAATGGTCTGGAGGAGGTGAGGTCAGCCACGTGCTGAAGCAAGCAGAGGTGTTTGCCAGGTGGCTAAGGAGGGAATATTAACCCAGGGGTGGGTGATGGTCCCCACCTTCCGGATGATTTACTGTATAGTTGCGTTTGCCCCTTAGCATGATTTCTTTGACAGCTGTTGATGGAGAGCTCTGTGAGGACGAGGAGCGCTCTCATTGTTGCCTCCTCCACAGGGTTTTGCAAGTTGTAGGTGCTCAAATCCCCGATGGGAAATGAGAACCTTAGCATACAAAAAAAAAAAAAAAAAAAAAAAACCTCCTTTCTTCACTAGGACCCTGTATGCAAAGCAGTTCCGAAGAGCACTGATAGGAAAAACTGAATTCACTGCATGATGACAACAGAGCTGGGATTCAAAATCAGCTCCTAAGCAGTAATCTGGAGCAAAGTCATTGTCTAGTCTGTGGACATGATCAAGATGCATACAAAATTCAATTTTCTTTCATATTTTGTAGCTTGAAGGTGCCTTATATTGATTTCTGTTTTTTGCTTTGCTTTGTTTTGTTTTGTTTTATTTTGTTTTGAGATGGAGTCTCACTCTGTTGCCCAGGCTGGAGTGCGATGGTGCGATCTCAGCTCACTGCAACCTCTGCCTCCCTGTTTTGAGCGATTCTCCCGCCTCAGCCTCCCGAGTAGCTAGGATTACAGGCACCCACCATCACACACGGCTAATTTTTGTAGAGATGGGGTTTCACCACGTTGGCCAGGCTGGTCTCAAACTCCTGACCTCGGGTGATCTGCATGCCTTGGCCTCCCAAAGTGCTGGGGTTGCAGGCGTGAGCCACTGCACCCGGCTGATTTCTGTTTACTGAGTCCCTGATAAAACTGCTTTGCTTGCTTTCTCAAGAGGGAAGGTGGCTGCCCCACAGCAGCAGGTCCTGCAGCCATGCTGACTTGGCAAAAGCATTCCTCTCAGTGCTTTAATATTTACCTGCCGTGGATGATGATACAGCTGCCGGTCACAATATCTTTTCAGTGCTACATTTCCCTCCATTTTTCCAGGCCCACATCTGGTCTTAGCCCATCTTGAAGTTGTCTATGAGGTAGAATTTGTTCCACTTGTGAACTGAGCCTATTTTGAAACTCAAAAGGTGCTTCCTAATTTGCAGTTGTATATTAGATTCACACATCTCAGATTGAAATTCGCACAATGTGTTTTGCATTACTCACACTTAATAGTAATTTCTTTTGGCTATTGCCCTCAGGCTGTATGAGAAAAAAATAGATTTGAGCTTTTTATTTTGACTGTGTTCACAGACTGTAAATCTAATTAGTTCTCTGGGATTTTTTCTCTTAAAGTCACAGGCACATTGCTCTCTGGACAAAGACTGATAAACAGGGGCAGGTTTAGGTAAGACTAACCATGTTCGTCTTACCTAAATTGTCCTGGCATTTCACTTGGAAAATTCATCTCTTTTTCCTGCCCTAATTTGCTGCATCAGGTTGATGTGTGTTGCCGGTAGATATGGTACCCACCTGTGAAATGGTGAGGAAAATTATGTCCAGATTAGGTAATGCTTTCAGATTCCTCTATTACAGATTATTGACTCCAGTGTTTCTCAGACTGAGCTAGAGAGTTCATTTGTTCTGGGAGAAATTTTTAAATGACTTGTGTTTTGATTCAGAGCAGCAACCACAAGAAATATGAACACAGTCTGGCCCATGGCGATGACCTCTCCGAATTGAGATTCAAGGTCACATGACTTGGCTCCAGGGATAGGACCAAAGTCTGCAACTTAGAGGATTCAGTAATTAAGGAGTGGCCTGGGTTTTCCAGATGATGAGTCCAGAGTCCTCCTTTGGCCGATTGAATTCTAACTGGAGATATGGTGAATGAGGGGCATGGCCATGACAACTGTGTCATGCCAGCCCCAAATTCCTGTGGGAAGCAGCTGGCACTACATATTTGGATAGTTGTGTATCATTGGTGTCCATGGTTCTTTTGAAATGGCAAGGCTTCTGCTGCCAGGAGCTCTCATTCTGAGGGTGTGTGTCGGTCAAGCCATCCCTGTCATTCTTTGTATCACATATGCCCAGTGAAGGGTGATGAGTCAGCCAGCTTCCTCTAAGTAAGACTGAGCTAATCAAATAACCCCAAGATCCCAGTGGTTTGAATGAAAAAGGTATTTCTTGTTCACATACATATGTCACCTGCAGTTCTGCTATGGCTGTGATTTTGCTCTGCGCATCATCTCATTTTGAGAACCAGGATGTCTTCAGTAATCTCTATTCTGGTGGCATAGGAAAAAGAGCAAGAGGGCTCAGCAACATTCAGGGGCTCTAAGACTTCTCTTCGATGTGCCATATGTCACTTCTGCTCGGGTTCCATTGGCCAAAACAAGTCATACAGCCAAACTTCCTGTCATTAGAACCAGGAAATGTTACTCTCTTTGCAAGGCTTCCCATGGCAGTGGGTGATGTGCCATCCTCTACCAGGGAGGGAGACTGTGTGGTTGAGAACAATAACACGCTCTACTCTGGGGCATCCGGCTCCTGTGCACCTCACAGCCAGCCAATTGCCCACCACTCTGGTTGACTGGGCTATTCAGTTTGAATTCCTGTTTTTCATTTACATTTTTTCTTATTTGGGAGTTTCAGAATTGGAAAGTCGGAAAGCTTTAGGGTTGGGTGGACATTTAGAGATCTTATCTAGTGCTCTGGCTTTTCTTTTTTCTTTTCCTTTTTTTTTTTTTTTTTTTTTTTTGAGACAGAGTCTGGCTCTGTTGCCCAGGCTGGAGCGCAATAGTGTAATCTCTGCTCACTGCAACCTCCGCCTCCCAGGTTCAAGCAATTCTCCTGCCTCAACCTCTCGAGTAGCTGAAATTACAGGCACCCACCACCACACCCGGTTCATTTTTGTATTTTTAGTAGAGGCAGGGTTTCACCACGTTGGCCAGGCTGGTCTCAAACTCCTGACATCACGTGATCTGCCGGCCTCAGCCTCCCAAAGTGTTGGGATTACAGGCGTGAGCCACCACCCCTGGCCTGCTCTGGCTTCTCTAGTAGGGGAACTGAGGCCTAGTGAGGTGATTGGCTCCAGATCACACAACAGGACTTCACTGCAGTACTTTCTTCATAACATCAGCTTGGGAAAATAAAATGTTAGAGAAGAATTGCTACTTTCCCAATTGGAAAATAAAATGCTCAATTGTTCCTGATATCTTACCCCTTTCTGGGAGAGAAATAAAACACAACCTGAGTGGTCAGTTTCAGAAGGAAAACTTGCTCACATTTTCCCTAAGTGATGGGTGTTAGGAAAGCAATCTGATTAAACTTTATTATGCATTTTGAGATTCTAGCATTTTATGTATCCTACGTACATAAGTCATTTTGACTTCCCCAATCTTTTCTCTCTCTGGCTGCAATTTCTAACTATCTCTATGTACAAAATCTATACACATAATGGTTTTCAACCAGGGGGATTATTAGAACAACTTGGGGAGCTTTAAAAAATACACATGCTTGGCCGGAAGCGGTGGCTCACGCCTCTAATCCCAGCACTTTGGGAGGCCAAGGTGGGCAGATCGCAAGGTCAGGAAATCGAGACCATCCTGGCTAACAGGGTGAAACCCTGTCTCTACTAAAAAAAAAAATACAAAAAATTAGCCGGGTATGGTGGCACGCTCCTGTAGTCCCAGCTACTCGGGAGGCTGAGGCAGGAGAATCACTTGAACCCAGGAGGCAGAGGTTGCAGTGAGCCAAGATTGTGCCACTGCACTCCAGCCTGGGCAACACAGTGAAACTCCGTCTTAAAAAAATGGCCGGGCGCCGTAGCTCACGCCTGTAATCCCAGCACTTTGGGAGGCTGAGGCGGGTGGATCATGAGGTCAGGAGATTGAGACCATCCTGGCTAACACGGTGAAACCCCGTCTCTACTAAAAATACAAAAAACTTAGCCAGGCGTGGTGGCCGGCGCCTGTAGTCCCAGCTACTCGGGAGGCTGAGGCAGGAGAATGGCGTGAACCCGGGAGGCGGAGCTTGCAATGAGCCGAGATTGTGGCACTGCACTCCAGCCTGGGCAACAGAGCGAGACTCCGTCTCAAAAAAAAAAAAAAATATATATATATATATATACACACACACACACACACGCTTAAACCCCTTAAACCCCTTTCCTTGAGATCGATCTGGTAGGTTTGGGGGCATCTGAAGTTTTGAAGATCTTCCTGGGTGATTTGAATCGACATCCCTGGCAAAGAACTCTTGCATAGGAAAGCCTGCTTTGTTGCTTGCCTTAATAGATGGAGGTACTTACTTTTCATGTTAGTTTCTTAATAATACTAGAATCGGTTTCCCAGGAGCTAATTCTTTAGTTTATTTTCTCTTAAATTGAACAAGTATTCTTAGATTCTGTGATCCCTGCCCAAATTTCTAGCTTGTAAATTCAGCCACTTCCAGGGATTGGAAACACTTGGACAAAGATACACTATAATCCTTGGAATTTCTTGGTTTAAAAAAGGGGAGAAGTTACCCCTAAACCTGGCCCTAATTCCCTCCCCTGTGTCCCATCTTCCTTCTTTTCAGACCTCTTTTTATTCAAGTCTACCCCAGGGATTTTTGTCTGTGTAGGGAAATTATTTCAATTTTTGTGAATGTCTCATTCCTATTTAATTTCCATGTAGCACTACCATGACAGTGCATATCATTAAAATGTATTAATTACTTTGCTGTACATTTTATTTAATTTCTAATGCTGAACTCCGTGTGTTGCCCTGATACCATGTCTGTCTGCCCACAAATTAAGAAAACAAATGGGGACAGTTGTCTGCTAACATATTATTTGTGTTTGACAGTTTGGCACCATGCAATAAAGCCCAAGCGTAAACAAAAATTCTGAGTTTGCTGGCATGGCCAGAGCCAGGTAGTTGGGTAGTCTCACTTCACATTTTGATTTCAAATCAATTTCCATCTTCCCAGCCCTTTACCAGAATAGGAGTATGTGTTTCTTTGGGGACAGAAGAAAGCTCTTTGCCAAGGCACTTGGTAACACCTCCAGTGATGTCTTTGTGGACAGGTAGAGAAATGCAACTTAGATGATAGGTGGGTTCTTGACTGGTTGAATGATGGCATCAAAGGATATTAGTTAATGGACCTATTCTGAACGAGAAAAAAGACTTCAATTCCATGTTACAGAGCCTTGTATTTGACCCCGTTCTCCAAGTGTTTTAATTGAAGGTGAAGATGAAGATGTCAAACTTCCAGATGACCCAAAGCTGGGACGTACAGATTTACATTTAGGATAAGGACTCAGTAGGATGGAAGAAAGAGCTGAAATGAGCAAAATGAAATGAGTTAGGAACAAATATAAAATCCTACACTTATCAATTGCCTGATGCATAAGATAGGGAGACCCAGTATACTAGCCATTACGTGCTAAAGGCCGGCTCCCATATGCATCACTGGGAGGATTCCAGCTTCCCAGAAGTTGATCAGGAGGATCCCAGAGGACCTGTAGGACCTTTCAAGGTCTCTTGAAGGCTCTAATCATCTAAAAGGCGAGCGAGAAGAACCCTGGAACACCCAGGCCCACCCAGTAACCCACACTCACAGCACTTTATGCTTTCCCTGAGTCCAGCACTTGCCACAGGGCCGTACAGTTAGGTTACTTGTGTGTCTGTCTTGGACCATAAACGGAAAACTTCTCTAGGATAAGGACCACATTTTACCCCTTTCTAAGTTCCCAGGGCCATGGTGCCTGCACAGGCTCGGAGCAGGGAGTCCTCATGGGTACAGATTTCTACTTCATTTTCTTCACTGCTGTACCCACGGGACTTAGAACAATGTTTGGCATAAGTAGACCTCAATACATGTTTGTTGAAAGAATGAGTGACACATACAGATGCTTAGTAAATCTTAGCCATTCATCCTCAGCGTGGTGTGGCGTGTCCGATGAATAAATCACTACCTATTATTCTAAAGGCTTCAGGAACTTCACATCCTATTTTTTTCTTATGCTTCTCAGTTCTTAGTCTGTTCCCATCTCTGATTTTAGTGTGAATGTAGTTATAAAAGCCGAAATAGGACAAAGCTGGGTGATCCTTTGTAAAGACATACTCCCAATGTAATGACCATCATCACACATTAGCAGGAAGTTGGTGCACAGGCTGAAGCAAGATGGGTCTGGGTTCAGGTTTTGACTGGGACAGAGATTTACGGCTTTGGAGAAATCTCATTTTTTTGAAGTGCTGATTTTCTCATAAATGTGGATAAAACACTGACTCCAGAGGGTAGATATGGTATGTATAACACAAAGTATCATCTTAATAAATGTCACTATTATCATTTCAACAAGGCATTGGTTCACATAAGAGCTATGAGTACAGGGGAAAAACTCTAGGGTGGATCAGGGAAAAACAAATTGGAAATTGCTGAAGGCTTGCCTTCAAGGCTTAATTATTCTGTATGTTAAAGCACCTTTTCCTGTTAGACAAGCAGGCTCCTCAGGGGCGGGAAAACAGAGGCCCTGCAGCGCTGAGGGAGCTCTGGTCTCCATGGTAACTGCACATTAGATCCTGATGCGGGCACACCTGGCATTCTAAGGTTGCTCCCGCATATGGTACCTCATATATTTCATTTCTTAAAAAACTTGCCTTGACCTCCCTGCTACTGCACACAAACTCCTTCACACACACACACACACACAACACCCTTTGTCTAATCCACAGCCACTGAAGCGATATAAGCCTGTCACAGAGATCGGAAACACAGTTCCCAAAGCCATTTAATCAAACAAAGGGCCAGAACGGTTATTCTTGCTTCAAAGTCATGCCCAGAAGAGAAGTACCTGAAAGATGCCTTTTCTATGAGACTGACGTAGACTCTGGTGCCCCCGCTCTGGCTTGTTAATAAAGCAGCCCCATTCATAACCTGCTAAAGCAGAATCACATCATTGACCATGACTCATGACACCATTTGAAAAAGTGGCCTCTCAAAATTCTCCCTACAGATAAACGGCCATTAAATCCTCTGCTTTGAACTAGTTTAAAAGAAAAAAGATTTCCTGGTAGGATTAAACAAAAAAGTGCAGACAGCCTGTAGTTACCATGTGACACAACCAAAGAACTGTGGCTGCTTAGAGATTTCCAGCTCTGCTTCAGAAACCGATGTTTAAAAACTTCTTGTTAAAAAAATGTCAGAAACTGGGGACAAAAGTCACTGTTCCTTGAAACATATCAAAGTCTTCCTTTCAATGGTCATCTTACTGATTTGGTTCCTTCACACTATATTTCCCAAAAATCCCATTTAAATTAACCACGCATGCTGCTCCAGCATGCTTGGCTGCAACCACAGCACCTTGTGTGTGTTACGCTTCATAAGGGCCTTCAAAGACAGTGTCTTAAAAAGCCACCGTTGAGAAATGTTAGAACTTAGAATCTAGAAATGTTGGCTTACTTATGGTCCTTATGGTGTTTTTCTTGTAAGCACCTTGGAAAGCCTAGTGAGTAAGAAATAATAACCAAATGTATTCACCCAACATGGGAAAGTGAGCTGTGCTCTATAAAGTTTGTAGTTTATGTTTTGAAAACTGGCTTAATGTACAAGGTTCCTGGATCATTACTTAATTTTAATTTGTGGGAAAGGCATTATGTTTAAAGCAATAAAAACTTTTTCTTCCATGTCACAGCAACCTTTTGGCAAACTCACCGGCTCTTTCTCTCAGCTACTTTTCCACCCCATTTGGTTATGAGGAAACATTGTGATTGCCTTGTAACCCCAAAGGAAACTGCAGGTCTGATGGCGCATTTGTTAGTCTCATTTGCAGGTCTGATGGCACATATATGACCTCTCCTAAACATGCCAACTATAATCAGACTTTTGATTCCAACCAAGGTGAAGTAGCCCTATTCCTCCCAGCTCCTTCCTCTTGCAACTAAAGACCCTGGACATGACACAACAAGAAAGCATAAAAAGATCCTAAAGGGCAGAAAAAACATGGCAGACTTCTCAGTGTCCTCAGAACTGGAGGAGAAACACAGTGGTGGGTCCCCCAGGTTTTTTTTATTGCTTCCTGTATATTCCAGACAGGGATCCAACATAAGGCTTCAACCCAGAGCTGCCAACAAAAATCTCCAAGAAAAGCCTGTGCCCCATACCCCAAACACTGAGAAATGGGTGACCTAACAGCAGAACACATTTCCGGCAATATCTGTCCCCCTTAAGCTAAACACCAATGGAAAAACTACATCCCCCCGATATGGTTTGGCTCTGTGTCCCCACCCAAATCTCATCTTGAATTGTATTCCCATAATTCCCATGAGTTGTGGGAGAGACCTGGTGGGAGATAATTGAATCATAGGGGCACTTTCTCCCATACTGTTCTCATGATAGTGAATAAGTCTCATGAGATCTGATGGTTTTAAAAATGGGAGTTTCCCTGCACAAGCTCTCTCTCTTTGCCTGCTGCCATCCATGTAAGATGTGACTTGTTCCTCCTTGCCTTCCACCATGATTGTGAGGCCTCCCCAGCCACGTGGAACTGTAAGTCTGTTAAACCTTTTACTTTTGTAAATTGCCCAGTCTTGGGTATGTCTTTATCAGCAGCATGAAAAATGGACTAATATATGCCTTAGCCTGGAATTTCAGCAGGGCTGAGCTGGGAGATGATGTACCACAGCCTTCCTGCCCTGCCAGAGTAGGTAATAGCACTTGAATTAACCTACTCAATAGGGCTAAGCAGATCCCTCATCTCTTGTCTCTGACATGGTGCTGGGAGCACCTGCTGGGTGCTTTCTGTGGGCTGAATGGGTAGTTAGACTTCCATCCTCTGCTCTGTGGAAGCAGATGGTGCTCTTATTTCCCCATTAGGATCATGTAGAATGAAGTCCAGTGGCTAGCAGAGCCTCACACCTGGTATTAAAGAGGCAGAATGAAGTAGGAGGTGGCACTAGCTGATTCTGATTTCCCTTCCCCTTCCTAGGTGTCAGTGGGGCCCAGGGGGGAAACAGCCCACACCCTTGGAGGTAAGGGGGCAAGGTGAGTTTATGCCCTGCCCTATTTTTGCTGGGAAGGTATCTGTGGGGTTGAGCCATAAATTTACAGATTTAAGAGACTGAGTGAAACCCAAAAGGGTTAAACCAAAATGCTGTGAAACTCATACTAAGATACATCATAATTAAACTTCAAAAGTTAAAGACAAAAAAAAATTCTTGAAGGTGCCCAGAAAGAAACAGTCATTACTTGTAGTGGAACACCAGTTCAAATGACAGTGGATTTCTCATCTGGCCAGAAGGAACTGGGCAACATTTTTTAAGTATTAAAAGAGCTGCCAACTGCAAATTCTCTATCAAGGGAAAACATCTTTCAAGAATGAAGGGGAAATAAAGAACATTATCAGACAAAAACTAAGAGAATTTGTTGTTAGCAGACCTATTTTTTAAGAATGACTAAAGGAAGTTTTATACATAAGGGAAATAATAACAGAAGAAGGCCTGGAACTTCAAAAAGGAAGAAAGGATATCAGAGTGGGTAAAAATAGGAGAAAATAGGCTATCCTACTTCTCGTGAGTTCCTTAAATCATATTTGATGGTTGAAGCAGAAATTTTAGCACCATCTAATGTGGTGTTCAGTATAGGTATAGAAAATACTTGAGACAATTATATCTAAAAAGCAGGGAAAGTAAAGGGACAAGAATGGAAGTAAGGTTTCTATTCTTCAGTCAAGTGGTAAACTTCAATACCAGTAGACTGTGATAAGCTATGTGTGTATCTTGTAATATCTATAGCAACCACTAAGAAAATGGTGCAAAACAAGATACTTGAAAACACTGTAAATACAAGTCATGTGCCACATAATGATGTTTCAGTCAGTGATGGATCACATCTACAATGGTGGCCCATAACATTATAATGGAGCTGAAAATCTTCTATTTCCTAGTAATGATGTAGCCACTGTAACTTCATAGCGTGGCGCATTGGTCATATATTTGTGGTGATGCTGGTGTGAACAAACCTATTGTGCTGTCAGTCATTTAAAAAGTAAAAAGAATATATATATATAAATGTAAAAATAGAAAAATCTGATAGAATTTAAGATTTACATCTTATTCTATATATCTTCTAGAAAGAAAATATTTTATACTGTTATACAATGGGTGTGTGTTTTAAGCTGTTACTATAAAAGTCAAAAAGTTAAAAACATTGAAGGATAAAGTTGAAAACTTTATATCAAGCTAAGGTTAATTTATTGTTGAAGAAAATTTTTTTAAGTAAATTTAGTGCAGTCTGTGTCTAGTGTTTATAAAAATTGTACCATACTACAACAAAAAGTGGACAGTAATGTCCTAGGCCTTCACATTCACTCACCACTCACTCACATCCACAGCAACTTTCAGTCCTACAGACCCCATTCACGGTAAGTGCCTGATACAGGTGTACCATTTTTTAATCTTATATACTATATTTTTACTGTACCTTTTTAATATTTGATATGTTTAGATCCACAAATGCTTACCATTATGTTACGGTTGCCTGCAATATTCAGTACAGCACCATGCTGTACAAGTTTGTAGCCTAGGAGCAATAGGCTATATCATACAGCCTAGGTGTGTAGTAGGCTATGCCACCTAGGTTTATGTGAGGACACTTTTGATGTTCACAAAATGACAAAATTACCTAATGTCACATTTATCAGAATGTATTCCCAATGTTAAGTGACACATGACTGTACATCAGATGAAATCCTAAAAAATACTCAAGTAACCCATTGGAAGATAAGAGAAATGGAGGAATTAGAAACAAAAGAAACAATAGAAAACAATAAAATGGCAGATTTAAACCCTAAGACATCAACAATTACCTTAGATATAAATGGTCTAAATATACCAATTAAAAGACAGAAATTGACTGAGTGGATTAAAAAAGCATGATTCAACCTATGCAGTCTACTTCAAATACAACAACATAGGTAAAGGGATAGAAAAAGATATACCATGCAAACATTAATTTTAAAAAATGCAGGAGTGTCTATATTCTTATCTGATAAAGCAGACTTCAGAGCAAGTTACTAGAGACAAAGGAGGGACATTTCCTAATGCTGGAAGGCTTAAGCCACGGGGAAGATACCGGGAAGATACCAAACAGTAACATAAAGACCCAGATACCAAACAGTAACATAAAGACCCAATCGCAGCCCTGGTTGGTGTCTTTCATTATTCACAGGACTGAAGAGCTTTTGAGAGTAAAGATCACAGTGGCTGGTCTCGGCTCACACCTCCTGCCCCAGGATGTGCTTTAGGAATGTTGTTAACTAACTGTAGTGGAAGACAATTGCTCTTGCAGTCTGGCTCACAAGTCTACACTCCTCTTCAGGAAAGGCCTCCAGGGAGTGAGGAGTCTGTAGCAACTGAGTGGCCCCAGGAAGCAGGGCTAGTGTGGACTGGCTCCCTCTTGAGTTGTGGTGGGGGCTTGCTTTCCCAGCATGCTCTCTTGGCTGTTTTGCTAGAGTCTCCCTTTGGGCACCTGCGCCCTAAATGTAGAGAAAATGCCCATAAGCTACTCTGCATCCCTTTTATAGGTCCTCCCAAGAAACCTTGGAGTTCTTAATGCAAATAACTTCCCAGCTCTTGAGAGACATATGTAGATTAGGCCCCACAGTGACCCCATGCAAGAAACCATATCCATAAATAATCCCAACTTGAAGACCCGCCGGGGTCAACCAGCGAACCATTTGATTAAGTAATGCATTGAAATGCAGCGAGGTCCCATGTCACGACGGGAATGTAAATCTGAGGGGGAATGGCCGGAAGTAAGTGGAAACTTCTTGTGTTTGTATGATGATGATACTTGGTGGTCGGAAAGGAAATTATTTATTTGGGAAATCTCCGCAGTGGCATTATGAGATCACCAGTATATTGTTAATGGTTTCTGTGCTCGTGCTTTTTAGTTTAGCATTTGCTCTGTACCTAAAATTTATAGGACATGCTGTGGTGGCAGGTTTGCCTGGTGAGCCTAGTGAGGTGGGCCAGCAGGTGAGGCCAGAGTGAATGAAGCTGTGGCCTCAGAGGGGAGGTTTGCCCCTGGGCCTTTTAGGGAGAAGGGCTGCATCCTGGGCTGCGGGACCAGACAACTCAGAGATCCAGCCCAAACATTCCTGACCACATCCTCCTCCTGAGTCCGTCCTTGTTCAGGTTTCTATGGTGGCACCTGTTTTGTTTCGTTTTTTTCGAGACAGAGTCTTGCTCTGTCGCCCAGGCTGTAGTGCAGTGGTGAGATATCGGCTCACTGCAACCTCTGCTTCCCGGGTTCAAGCAATTCTCCTGCCTCAGCCTCCCGAGTAGCTGGGACTACAGGCACCGCCACCATGCCCAGATATTTTTTTGAATTTTTAGTAGAGACAGGGTTTCCTCATGTTAGCCAGGATGGTCTCGATCTCCTGACCTCGTGATCTGCCTGCCTCGGCCTCCCAAAGTGCTGGGATTACAGGCATGAGCCACCACTCCTGGCCACTATGGTGGCATCTTTACTGTGGGGCCCAGACTTCAAACTTCTGCTGTCCGTGACCCTCCTAACCCAGGCCTTCTCCTCACAGTAGCCTGAACCCATGGGCTCAGGCAGCAGTATTAACCCCACACCATGCCTCTCTGCATAGGGGCTTGCCTCTCCTTCCTCATCCATGTCGCTGGCTTCTGCATTTGTCCAGCACCTCACCTTTGGGATTCATCTAGTGGGCCTCTCTAGTGTTGAGCCTTGACATTCGCCTGGGCCCATCTGTACCAGCCCTTGGCTGCTCCTGGTCATCGCCCACCCTGGTAATAGCCTCTTTGACCTGAGCCCCCACTGGATGCTCCAGCACCTCCTCCCTTCTTTTCTTCCCCTCATCCATCCTCACCCATGAATAGTCACTGCAAGAATCCGCTTAGCATTTCCATGACCCCACCTTGGCAGAGGCCACCATCCTTTGCATCCTGCACACCTCACTATATGCATGGCCTTCGTGCTAAAGGACAGGATGGCACGTTGATTAACAGGAGGCTCTGCAGCCCAGCTGCTGCCCAGTTCGAATCCTGGCTTCACCGGTATCTAGCTGTGTGACCCTGGGCAAGTTAGTGAGCCTTTCTCTGCCTCTGAGGTCCTTATCTATAAAATCTAGATCATAATTGTAGCTCCCCTACAAGGCTACTGGGAAGAGTAATGAATTAATCTATATAAAGTATTTAGAACAGGGCCTTACACACAATAAGTGGTAGGTGTTTACTGTTTTGCTAAGTTAATCTTTAAGAGGTAAGCCAGCTTGTAAAAGCTCACCTCTGTCCCCTGTAGGAATACGCTATTGCACCATGCTTAGCATGCTATGGCCACCCAGCCTGAACGCGAAGGCTAACATCAAAACCAGGTTGAATAGAGGTGATGGGAATTCTGGATGCTTTTCTGTCTAATTTTTGAAGAGTGATGTCTTCCCTGAAAGAGTTAAAGTTAATATTAGCTCCTGAAGCAGATGGCTCTTGAAGAACAACCAATGGAAGAAATGCCTTCAAAGACTGGGTGGCATTTTCTCAAATTCTCAATCTCCTGTCAACCAACTGGGGAATCTTCACTCCAGAGCTCTTCTGAGTGGGTCTTTCTGCAGCTGGCTTGTCACCACAGCACAGGGCTCCTTGTCTCTCAGGGTTGAGCTGTTGCCTCTCATTCTTAGCCACAGGTGGCCTCTCCACCCTGCTAAGGATGTTTGTGTTCCTTGCAGGAAAGACCTTAATTTATTTTGCAATATTATTGTGCTTCTATTTAGTTTCTTTTCTCCAGCAGAAGAGGGAAGAAAGAAGTGCTTCAAAGCTGCATGTCACCACTGAGAACAGACAAATTCCTGAGACAGGCCCAAAAGTCACAGCCGGTGGCCTCATCACCTGGAGAGCCTGGCCTCTCTGGCTGCCAGCCCACCTGTGCCCCCACCCTTGCCCATACACTGGCCTTTGATCATCCACACTCAGCAGGATCACACAGCCCACCTTCCTAACACTGCTGTGCCAGGTGCTGCCTGCTGCATCTGGGGCTAGTGGCTCAGGCTTCAGCCCAGGACTGTTTCTTGTGATGATGGAAACACCTGGCTCTTTGTCCCTAATTGTCCTGGCCTCACGGCAGGAATCTCAGCAGACCATGTCCTACAGCTAGGATCATTATGGAGTGATGGGGACTAGGACAGAAAGGCTTGGAAGAGGGAGGGGTCAGTGCTTGCTGGGGGGTAGGAGCGGCGGGGGATGGAAGTAGGGGGAGGATCCGAAGAGGCTTCCCCGGAAAGATGATGCTGGGCTGAGTTTTCAAAGATGAGTGGGTGTTCACCAGCGGACTGCAGGGGAAGGGCGTGGAGAATTGCAGGTAGAGGAAGCACTTGGAGCAAAGATGCGGCAGCACAGGGCTATGCACAGGGTGAAGGGTGCAGTGAGGGGTGAGAGGGCAAGGGGTATCCCACACTCCGGGGGTGACTCTGGATGGCACCCCAACCCTAAAGTGCAGAGCTGCACTAAAAATCATTCACTCTGGCTGGTCCAACAGGCCAGGTTTTGGTCCAACAGGCCAGGTTTTGCCTGCAAAATAACCAGAAGCCTCCCGTGACAGACCCAGGGGTGTGCTGGAACAAGGCCATCTTTCAGGTCCAGGAGGAGATAGGCCAGCATTGCTAGGCAGGCAAGCTCTGCACAGAGAAGGCAGCTGGAGGACGCTCAGAGGAAAGCCTCGGCCTGAAGAACAGGCAGGCCTTCTGGAGGGAGGTGTGCCATCGAGTCAGGCCCACCCACCTGTAGGATGAGCCAGGCCAAGTGAAGCTAAGTTTACCCTCCCTCAAGGCAGGAATTTCAAAGAACCATCCTGGACAGGTCCTCTGTAGTGTTTAATTACCCATTATAATCCATTAGCTAGTTAGACATTGATATTTAATTAATTAAGCATTTATCAAATGGCATCTATATGCCAGGCATTGCACATCCCATAGGGGATTAAAGAAGTTGTAAAACATGGTCCCTGTTCCCCAGGAGCTCAAGGCTGGGGAGATGGATCCATACACAAGTGCTACCAGTACCATGTGATCTGTGCTGGAGCCACAGCTGTGGCCACAGAGAAAGGCAGACACTCTCTTTGCTGGCAAGAAGCTAGGGGTGGGAAGGGCATAAGAGATGCTTCTGAGAAAGAGTATCATGGAGCCGAGTCTTGGAGTGTTAGTAGAAATTTAATCAGTGGAAGGGTGTGAAACAACCTTCAAGTCAGCTACAACAGCTTTTTCAAAGGCATGAAGTTATGCAAACCGTAGTGTGTGGGGGGAGCATCTAGTAAAGGCTTGTTAATTCACAGCATGTCCCATCACTCCCCACCTCCCAAACCCATGGCCGATGAGCCAACCAACCACAGCAATCTCTCCTCTTCCTCCTCTGCAAAGGGTTCCAGGCAGGTATAACAAATCTACAGAATCAGTGCTCTTGGCCATCCTGGGATTCACATTTTTGTGTTGCTACATTAGAAGGCAGGAGATGATGTTGGGAGAGTCGTCTGGGGCCAGTACATACTGAGCCTGTGTCATTCTGAACTCCATCCTTCTGCTGATGACAGCCCCACCCACCTGCCCCTCACCTGCCGGTTAGCACAAACTTCAGTCTCCCCAGGATTGTCTCACCGTTCCTTGTCTCTCTTCAGATCCATGCCTGCTTCTCTTGCACATCTGAAGTTTCTCCAGCATTGATTTTTTGGGGAAACATTCAGGCTCTTGTCAATAGACACCAGCTCTCTTCTTTAGAAACCACAGGCCTGAGCCTCTTGGTATTATATATGACATGCAAAGCAAGTACTCTAAGGTAGAATTATTCTATGGTGAACTATTGCCACACTCAGCTTCATTTAAGAAAACGTTTGCAATATTGAAACTCTGGAAACTTATTAATCAACCACTGGTCTTTGATTCTCTACATAAAAGCTTGCCCCAGAATGGCCTATATAAGGGTGTGTCGCCCACCTCTGAAGAATGTGTAAAAGAACCACCTCAAGGCACAAAAAGGTAAAAACTGGCTCCTGAGAGGGCAAATCTCAACTCCAAGTGGTACGACACTAGATGATGTTATAATCCTATCCTTCGAAACTTCTGGTTTGATAACATTAAAAAAATGGATGTTCTCTTCAGGTGAGCATATGTTCTGCAGTGCCGAGTGACTTGTGATGACATGGTCTTCCTCTCATGTGCCAGTAACCTTTCTCAGGAGGAAGCAAAACCTGCTGTCCAGTTATAATCAGAAAGTACAGCTCAATATTCATACCCAGTATACATTTTGCTAAATGTTACTGGTTTTGGCAACTCTCTTCAGCATCCAGGAGGACTGTTTAAATCCCCCTAAGCAGGTTAACTTTTCTGAAGGTGTATTTGATGACCAGCCCATTTTAGCAGGTCACATAATGTGGCCATTCAAAACCACACATTTTAGAAACCATGTTAAAGCTCTCCTAGGCCTTGTCTTGTCTCTACAGGGGAAGGCCTGGGGTTTTAACTGGGCACTTCAGCACTTGGACATATTCAGGAAATCGTTTCCTGAGAAAAGTCTTGGCCCTGCGTCCAGGTTCTCCTCTAATCCACCCTGGGTGGAGATGAGATGATCTTTCATCCAGGCTGGATGATCTTTCATCCAGTAATTGACTGAATTATATCAAAATGTAATTGGCTCTTCAGTTTTCACAAGAAATTTGTAATTTTGCTTCCTACAATCATTGCCAGCAAAGCTTTGGGCCTTCTTTTCAGTCAATCACCCAGAATACCTGCCTGTCAAGCAAGTCACCTGTTGTTATCAGACTTTTTCTAACTCCTGTGTTGCATGAATAAACACAGCAATAAGGAAGATGAGTTTCAATAAAGAGCCAAAGGGCCTGATAACCTTTCTTTCCTCTAAGTGGCTCTTGGAGATGAGGGGACATACCCTTTCCCAACAATGGAGTCTGGGGGAGGTGGGCTTGGAAAAGGAATATTTAAATTTATATAATTTCATTTTTGCAAAGTGAAAAATGACCTATCATTTTTAAAAATAAAAACTGCAGAACGTGAAGCTCTGTGGATTCTTCTGGCAGATAGAACTAATGGAATTGCAAAGCTCATCCTTTGTGCATCCCCCATGAGTGGGCTGAGCTTCTTATGTTTATCAAGAAATAGGGCACAAGTTTAAAGGATGGTGCGAGATGGCTCTAGACTCCCTAATTAAACTCTACTCCGGAATGGGGAGACCAGACAACATGCAAATAACAGTGGAAACTTCCTTCTAGTTGAGCCGCATTGGTACCAAATAGTAAAGGAATAAAGCTTGGTGTGACTCACCATTCAGAAAGCTGTATTGGAGAGCATCAAGGAAGATGGTAGCAGAAGTTCAGAGAGAGGTGCAGCAAGGAAATTGCCAAAGCCAGACACCAGGGAGGGAGATGTGGCTGGAAACCCAGTGAGAACAGCTGGGCTTTCCTTGGCATGCAATAGACACCACCAAGGCATTAGTGCTCAGCTCACATTCTCCTCATTCATTGGGTCACCCTTATGTGTAGTGTGTGAACATCTAACATCATGCCAACTTGATCACCAGAAAGCTACCTACCCAGGCTATGCTGTACTGGTTCCCCAGGGAAATCCCATCAAAGACCTACAAATCCTTGGCACCCTTGACTTTGAAAGAGGATCCATGTAAGGAACAATCATATAAAATCACTATTATATAAAGACCTATATATGACTGGTTCCTTTCAAAATGGAGGCCTTATAAATTGATGAACTTCCTTCTATTACATATTGAAAGCTGTACAACTTGTGTGTTTCTTGTTTTGCCTTAGCTCTTAGCTAGATTTTTTGTGCTCAGTCATAAAAGGTATATTGGCTTAGGTTTTTAGATACAACTCTCTCCCAATTTTTATTGCTTTGTAGTTGGTCTTAAAAAAACCTTTAAAAATCGATTTTTATTTTTTATAACTTTTCATTTTCTTTGCCTGTGTCCTTTTTTGGATATAGATGGCGTACCATATAAACAGTTCTCTAGAAATAATTTCACACAGTGGTTTCTATTACAAACTGTCTTACCTAAAGATATCCTTTTCTTTAAACGTGACACTTCCACACATTTAAGATTTAAAAATAGCTCTATACGCAGGTTTTATTACACACACACACACACACACACACACACGTAGCCACAGTCTTAAAAATCCACAAAGATAGGATACTCTAAGCAATATTTTAAAGAAAAGCTACCTTAGCACTTGGATATTCCTTTGAAAAAGACCATTGAAATTCATTTTGTTCAATTCCTTATCTTCGTACCTTAATTATAAATAAGAAAAAAGTCACAGCAATCTGCACTGTGTAGTGGGCGTCTGCTCTGCCCCAGGTACTGTGCCGATGCTCACCCACCTTATTGTTAATCCCCACCCACAACCCTGTGTAAAAGGAATTACTTAACTTATTTCATAGATTAATAAACTGAGGCTCACACAGGCTGGGCGCCTTGACTAAGCTCACAGTTAGTCATTTAATAACCTAATAATAATGTTTTAAATAACTATTATCAGACCTAATCTATCAGAGTCCTTTGAGGCCGTGGTTGTAACCACCTAGTACCCTAATTTTTCTTCTTCTTCTTCTTCTTCTTCTTTTTTTTTTTTTTGAAATGGAGTTTCACTCTTGTTGCCCAGGCTGGAGTGGAGTGCAATGGCACGATCTCAGCTCACCACAACCTCCTCCTCCCAGATTCAAGTGATTCTCCTGCCTCAGCCTCCTGAGTAGTGGGGATCAGAGGCATGTGCCACCATGCCCAGCTAATTTTATATTTTTTAGTAGAGACGGGGTTTCTTCATGTTGGTCAGGCTGGTCTTGAACTCCCGACCTTAGGTGATCCGCCCACATTGGCCTCCCAAAGTGCTGGGATTACAGGCGTGAGCCACCATGCCCGGCTAGTACCCCCATTTTTCTAAGAGATACTTTATTTTTTTTCCTCTCTCTTTTTTCTCTTTCCTACTTTTCCACACTTCCTACTTAGCCCTTTAGAAATGTAATCATAGCCTTTTACCTCCTCTTCACCAGACGCTCCCTACAGGGCAAGTTCATCTAACTATGTGCTTAGAAGCTCCAGAGCAGAACTCTCACCCACCAGGAGGCTGCCTGAAGAGATAACAGCCCATTTACAACCAAAGTATGCACACTAGAGTTTTTGACCACCTTTACAACCTATTTTTTCCCAGGAAGACACCAACTCAACTGGCCAGTAGATAAGGCACTGAAGGGAGTACACAGACCCCCGCCACATCCCACTCACCGGCTCACTTCCACCACTGTGTAGTCCCCACACTTTAAAATTGCCCACTTCCTTTTTTTTCACTCTGTCACCCAGGCTGGAGTGCAACAGCACGATCTCGGCTCACTGCAACCTCTGCCTTCTGGGTTCAAGTGATTCTCATGCCTCAGCCTCCCTAGTAGCTGGGATTACAGGTGCCCGCCACCACGCTTGGCTCTTTTTTGTATTTGTAGAAGAGGCGGGGTTTTCCCATGTTGGCCAGGCTGGTCTCGAACTCCTGACCTCAGGTGATCCACCTGCCTCAGCCTCCCAGAGTGCTGGGATTACAGGTGTGAGCCACTGCGCCCAGCCAAAATTGCCCACTTTCTGCTCCAAAAGTGAAGTGGTACCCATAAAGCAGGAAGCCTGTGTACTTCTTCCCCTAAAGTAGCTTTGGAATAAAAAGTCACTTTCTTTCTACCAGACCTTGCTCTTCTTAATTGGATTCGGAAGAACCTGCAATTCAGTGACATGGTGATTAGCGGAATGCCTGTTGGCCTAGTAAGCAAGTAACCTTTGCAAACATTTATAGGTTTGTGGGGTGTGTGTGCACATGTGTGTGGGGGGATAACTTTGGACCCTCTTGTTATTGCCCCATGATTGGTAGTTCTATTTCAAACTCTGTTTTTCTGCCTGCTTTCTTGGAGCTCCTAATAAGGCGATTGGAGTACAGACTCTTCTGCTTGGCAGATTCTCGTTTCCTCTCACCCCACCCATTTTGTACTTCAATATTGCAGTTTCCAACAGTAGGATGCCTGGTTTTTGGATGACATTAATGAGTTAAGAGCAGCAGATTTATAAACGTGTGAGTTTCTTATTAGGCTAAAAGTCATTTGGTTTTCATTTTTTGTTAACTCTATGTTTAATCATCCTAAAACCAAATTGTCTTTTTCAACCCAAATAAATGATTTCCTTCTTAGATCCAAGAGCTTTCAGGCTTTGAAGATAAAAGGACAGGCTGTTTCACAGCTCAAAACTTTCCATGACATGTTGCAGAGACAGGAAGCGAATTTGCAATCCTGGGCGCATTCTAAGAGGTTCATTCCAGAGAGAGGTATCTGATTCAAAAGCAGCGACCCTTGCTTCCTAAACTGTGAAGGACACCCAACTGCTCCGTAGTCCTCCTCAGAGTCAGAAGTGAGCGTGCAATGGCGCCGCACTGACACCAACACCCCCACTCGGCAGAGCCTGTGGAGGATGCACTGAGGAGCTAGACTACGGCCAACCACGATGACGTCATAAAGGGAAGGGTAGCATCCGCTTGGAAAATGGGACACAGATATTTGTCAGCAACACTAAAAATTAAAGGCCTCACACGGAAAAACTGGGTTAAAATACAAACTTCAATGTATTATTGTTTTATCTTCTCAAGGAGAACTGGGAAGTAATGATCCACACATTTGTCATGCTCAACAGAGCCTTAAGGGAAGTTAACACAGAGCGTTAAACACCATCTATTAAAGAATCGCATTTCACAATAGTGAGTAAAAGGAAAAAACCTTAGCAAACGAAGGAGGCCATTCTTCCCCCCAGTTTATTTTCATGCTCAAACTAATCTATTAGTTACAAGAGGGGAAGAAAGACAAAAGTTTTTAAAATTTAGGTATAATAGAATTGTTTTTCTCTTGCGACATACTGTTTTAAGTCCCTTTATTCAGAATGCCACCTTACAGTGATGCAATACAGAGGACGCTAACACTACACGCCTTCTTAGTTGTCAGGCAGGGACCCTGCGAGTCTTTTAGCCCTGCAAGACTACAGGGCCAGGTTTAGACAATATATTCAACTTTTAAAAAGTTACTGGACACAAGCAAAAAGGTGCCAATTCCCAGTTGAACCATTTTTTTTAATGGTCACTTGGGCCCCACCTATGGACGTCCTTCAGGAAACAGGCCTGTGAAGAAACCACCTGTGCAGCGTGTCGGTGAAAGAGGACAGAGGGCATCGTGGATGTCATTCAGCCTCCAAATGGAAACCTATAGATATGACACATGAAAGTGTCTGGACTCACACAGCCTCACTCTAGTGACTTCCGCTGGCCACTGGACTTTTCCACTCAATGGACATTTACGAAGTACCTAGTGTGGCGGAAGACTGTCTTAAGCAACTGTCGGGTATGTGGAAAGGGAAGAAGACCAATTCCACTCCTTTAGTGTTTGTAAGAGACTAGCGTTGCACTTAAATGCATAATGACCCTTACATTAGCATAATTAATAGCACTCTTGTCACTTGCTAGAAATGCATCTATGTAGCTATTGAAGCCTTAAGCTGCTCACAGCTATTTGAAAGGTACAGCTAGGAGGCTGCCATGCAGGTGTGCCTAGCAGCAAAGGGTGAGGTTGCTGGAGTCAGACCCCTGGGTTCATGTCCCAGCTTCACTGCCACCTTGCCGCTGCAGGACCAGGGCAAGTTACTTGCCTGATATTTCTCCCGCTGGCTCCTTTCTTGTTAGGGCCAAGCTACCTGGAGTCTGGACTGCCGGGCCCCCCGGCTCTACTCTCTAACCACCACCTATGGACTCCTGCCTGCTTCATCTTCATCAAACACCTCTTGGCATGCACGTCACTTTCTCTTTGGCCCAAAAATATTTAATGGCCCCCATAATGAAAAGTTAAATTCATTAGCAGGTTTAAATTAATTAAACAGGCAAAAAATAAAATTCACTAGCAAAGTATTTAAAACCCTCCCAAATGCGTCTCCTTTGTCTCTCCCCTGCCCCTTCTCGTTACCTTCCAACACACTGCTTTCTTTCTGACCTTCAAGCCTTTCTCAGTTTCTCCTCTCCCTAAAGTCTTGCCTTCCTGGAGCTCCTTGGCCACCTTGAGGACAGCCCCTGCATCTTAGAGCAGTGACTGCTGGCCTCACTTCCTTGACTTTGATTTTAGTTTTCCTGGAAACAACGTTGTCTTTTTCTACTTTCCAGCCCATTTCTCCTCACTGGACACTTGAGCTTCTTAGGAACCAGGCCGGTGCCTCCCATGCCTCCCGCCTTGCCTCCTGGCATCTCCAGCACCCACATAGCACCGTGTGGTCTCAGGCAAGGCTGCTGCTGGTGGGCTGTGTCCCAAGAGGTGACCGGGGCACTCACAGAGAATGCAGCTCGTGTACTCAGACAGGCATGGACTGGCCTTGTCTATTTTACTCTGTGAGCAGGTCTGAACCTGGAAATGCTCTTTTCTTTATTTTAGTCTTGAGAAAGATTCATTTTGTTGTGAATGCTGTCTCTACAAAGGGAGAGTCCTTGTTGGGACTAGGATAAAATTATCAAAATTAGTCCCAGAAACAGCAGTAATTTAGGAATGCCTTACCTTATCCTGAGGTCGTTTATTCAGCAAAGGTTGATGTGCCTTGCTAGTGAGAAGCACCCTGCAAGCTATTGGAATCACCGTTCCTGTCTTCCAGGACTGGGAAGAGAGGCAGATAAATGCATGGACATATTTTTTTCCAGAGTCAGAAGTGCTGCAGGAGCATAGGCACGTGGTGTGGGTGCCCCCGGGAGAGACACCTCACACAGTCAGGAGGGTGCAGGGAAATTTCCTGCGGAGGGGCTGTCTCAAAAGATGGACGGGAATCAGTAGAGAAGGGGAGGCAGAGAGGCTATACCAGTCAGAAGGAACGGTGGGTATGAAGGCCGGGAGGTGAGAAGAGAGCATGGTGCACTCTTAGAAACAACAGAGGAAGTTTAGAGCGCCACACGCACGAGGGTGGGGTAGGTGGTGCAGGGGCCGGATTATAAAAAACTGGCAATGCTGTGTTGAGGATTTAGACTCAGAATAGAGTATTTTGACAGGCAGCCTCTGAGACAGCTTCTGGGAAGTGTTCCCTCCTCTTCTATTTTTTGGAAGAATCTGTGAAAGATTGATGTTAATTCTTCATTAAATGTTTGGTAGAATTCATCAGTGAAGCCATCTGGTCATGGGCTTTTATTTCGTGGGACATTTTTTGATGACTAATTCAACATCTTTCTTGTTATAGGTATATTCAGATTTTTCTCTTTCTGAGTTTCAGCAGTTTGTGCGTTTCTATAAATGTGTCCATTTCATCTAGGTTATCTAATTTGTTGGCATATAACTGCTTGTAGTATTTCCTTCAAACTCTAGTTTTGCAAGTAATGCCCTTTCTCCGTACCTGATTTTAGTAATTTGAGTCTTCTCTCTTTTTTTCTTGGTCAGTTTAGTTAAATGTTTTGTGATTTTGGAGATCATTTGGTTTTATCGATTTTTCTCTATTTTAAAAATTCTCCATTTTATTTATTTTCTTTCTAATCTTTATTATTTTCTTCCTGATGCTTATTTTTGGGTTTAGTTTGTTTTTCTAATTTCTGAGGATGGAATGTTAGATTATTAATATGAGACTTTTCCTTTTTTCTTAAAAATACATGTTTACAGCTACGAAATTCCCTATAAGCACTGCTTTAGTGCATCCTTCATTGTTGCTATGTTGTGTTTTCATTTTCATTCATCTCAAAGCATTTTTAAGTTTATTATGGGAATTGGCTCACACGACTTTAGAGGCCCAGAAGTTCCCTGATAGGCTCTCTGGAAGTCAGATTCTGCTCCATCCCCTGGGCCTGTTGTTGTTGCTGTTTGTTGCTATTATTTTACTCAGGGATATTTCTAAATATCTTCTGTAAAGTCTATATTCTTTATCATGTTTAGCCACTGAGCTCTCTGCTCAATCAGCTCAGTGGTCAGTTAATGAATGGACAGAGGTTTCCTTGAACGCCAGTGACCAGTAAATCTCCCAGTCCTTGGAAAGCTGCTGTGTGTGCACGTTGGACACTCCTTCAACACTCAGCCAGGCAGTTGAAACTGTGCCTTAGCTTTCACTTTCTGGTTTTACAGAGCCCCAAGATCAGCCAGAAGTGAGCTCTTGGGGCCTTCTTAGGTCTTTTCTGAGCATGTGCACAGCCCTGGACACATGCAGAGTCCTACACATGCCCATGACCTTCTAGATGCCCAGAAAGTGGGTGAAGCTTGTCTAAGACCCCATGGAGAGCTCATTCCCCAGATTTTACTTTTATGGTTTTTGATCAGCTTATTGTCTGCCCAACTGTGATCCACAGCCTTAGGCAGCCACAAAGCACCCAGCCAGAAAGTTAAACAACAGTCTCTAATTTTTTTATTTTTATTTTTTTACAAACACCCCTGGAGAAAAGCCTTTTGCACTAGGTGAGCTCTAAGTCAGGTCTAATAAAGATGACCTTATAAGTGCAGTCTTCCAGGGGACTACTAGAGAGGCTAACTAATGACGATTCCATGGGAATGAGGCTTTAAAGGACCCCCGACTCCATTTCTCTCTCTCTGATAGCTACCAGGCTGCTGTCTTTTACTGTGATTGTTAGTTTTCTAGGGAACCACCACGTGGGAGATAGGGAGATAGGAATAGGGCAAGTTGAAACACCACAAAGTTTGCTGTTCATACCAAGACTCAGCCATTTTAATTAAATAAAAGCTTCCCGGATTATTCCAAGCCTTTGGTGGTTAACTTTCAGAGTTCTAGAAAAGTTGATTTTGACATTTTTTGCCAGTTTTCTTGCCTTTTTTTTTGAGGAGAGAATTTTTTGATTGTCAATTATTAATTGGTCAATTATTAGTCCATTTGGATGATCTGTTATCAATCAGTTTTATGTTCAGAGGATCACTCTGGTCCTAGTATGTGGAAGACACTGGGGTTTGAGGAAGGCTGGAGTGAGAGGATTGAGTTGGGAGTTTCATGGTCAACAGGCAACAGATGATGGAAACCTGCACTGAGGCGGTAGCAGCGGAGACACCACCCAGACAGTTCAGATGTGCCAGATGATTACAGCTTGCCAGGTTCTGTGTTCAGTGCTTTGCTTCCTCTTTTGTACATCATCGTACCTATTTTAACAATGATAAAAGTATTAATACCTTGCCCAAGGTCACACAGCTAAAATGGGGTTAGAGCAGGTTTTGGAATCTATATTTGTGTGACTTTAAAATCCATGTTTATAATCACTACCCTGCATTTCTAGATGCAGGCTTAATGACTATAGTAAAAAAATTATTCATTTGACAAACATTTATTGATGACATGTTATGTGCAGGTACTATTCTGGGGGCTGGGGAAATAATAGTGAACAATATAGAAAAAAACTGGCCAGGCATGGTGGCTTACGCCTATAATTCCAGCACTTTAGGAGGCCAAGACAGGGGGATTATTTGAGGTCAGGAGTTTGAGACCAGCCTGGCCAACATGGTGAAACCCCATCTCTACTAAAAATACAAAAATTAGCCAGGCTGGTGGTGCATGCCTGTAACCCCAGCTACTAGGGAGGCTAAGGCAGGAGAATCACTTGAACCCAGGAGACAGAGGTTGCAGAGAGCTGAGATAGTGCCACTACACTCCAGGCTGGGCAATAGAGTGAGACTGCATCTCAAAAAAAAAAAAAAAAAAAAAAAAAGAAAAAAACTCCCTGTTCTCATGGTGCTTACATTCTCATTGGCAAAGGCAGACAATGAAAAAGATATATATGTGTGCGTTATCTTATGTAGGGTAGTGACACATGTTAAAATACAATAAGGAGAGAAAGAGGGCATTGGGTGGGTGTGGGTGGATGTTTGTATTAGTCCGTTTTCACACTGTTGATAAAAACATACCCGAGACTAGGCAAATTACAAAAGAAAGAGGTTTAATGGACTTACAGTTTCACATGGCTGGGGAGGCCTCACAATCATGATGGAAGGCAAGGAGGAGCAAGTCGCATCTTATGTGGATGGTGGCAGGCAAAGAGAGAGCTTGGGCAGGGTAACTCCTTCTTATAAAACCATCAGGTCTCATGAGGCATATTCACTATCACGAGAACAGCACAAGAAAGACCTGACCCCCAGGATTCAATTACATCCCACTGGGTCCTTCCCACAGCACGTGGGAATTCAAGACGAGATTTGGGTGGGGACACAGACAAACCATGTCAATGTTTAAATAAAGTAGCCAGGTAAGGCCTCACTTGAGAGCGATGTTTGAGTAAGGACCTGAAGTCGGGGGAGGAGTCACATGTATATTCAGGTGAACAGTATTGCGGGCAGAGGAAGCAGCAAGTGGGCGCAAAGGCCCTGAGTGGGAACAGCAAGGAGCTTGGGTGGTGAATGAAGCTGATTGAGCGCAGGGGAAGAGTCTGAGGAGATGAGGACAGAGAAGGAATGAGGATTCAGATCCCTCGGACCTTGCAGGCCACTGACAGGAGTTTGACTTTGCAGAGCAACGTGATTAGAAGGATGACTGATTTTTGTGTTGAGAACAGGGAGACAAGGCCAGAAGCTGAAAGGCCAGGCAGGAAGCTGTGCAGTAATCCAGGAAAGAGCAGTAGCAGTGTGGCCAGAAGTGGGAGCAGCAGCAAGGTGAGAAGCAGTCAGCCTCTGTAGACTGTATTTTGCAGGTGGAGCTTACAGGATTTACTGAGGGCCTGGAGGTAGGGAGTGTGGAAAGAAAACTGTCAAGGATGACTTCAAGTTGTTGGGCTTGAGCAACTGGAAGGATGGAGTTGTCCTTGCTGAGATGCGGCAGAGTGGGAGGAAGAGGTCTGGGGAATTGGAGCAAGGCTGAGTCTGGGGCTGTTTCGCTTGAGTTACTGATTCAACATCCTCACGGAGCTTCCTAGTAGGCAGATGTATAAACAAGTCTGTCGTTGAGGGAAGGCATGAACATATAGATGGCATTGAAAGCCATGAGTCTGGATGAGCAGGAGTAGGCGGGACGAGAGGACCCAGAAATGACCAATACCAGCCTCCTGGTTCAGGGTGTGAGGGTTGGACAGCATGGACGAGAATACTGGAGAAGCACAGCCCTCTGTCCCTCCTCAGCCTTGTCTCCCACCCTGTCTGCCTCTATAGAGGTATTATTGCATTAATGACATTCACATTAACAACCTTGATTCATAAATAGAAATAAATGAGCAAAGCAACAGCGCGGGGTGAGGCTGAGCACCCAGGTGTGCACTCTGCACTCGGTGCTCCCTCTTGGGCCATCTCAGTAAAGTTCCCTGTACTTCCAGAGGGCAAAGAGCTCTGACGTTAATTTTTAAAAGATTTCTACCAAAGAAAGTGAAACCTTAATTAAGCGTACATCTGAAATTCAAACAGATCAGCTCAGTTTTTGGTAAAATGAATTCACATGGACTAGCTCTTGCCCAGGGACATTGGATAAATGAGAATTGCTGCGTGTGAGTTAAATCAAGGTAGGGGGAGTTGGGAATCAGGGGAAGGAATTCATTCAAGTCCTCCTAGTCCAGGATCAATGACCATCCATTCATTCCTCAGCACTCTCCCCAGGCTGACAATGGGCACGGTTTGCTGGAGAGAGTTCGTATTCCCTGCTCGTATTAATCTTCCCTTTCCAGGGAGCTTGCCAGTTTGCTGAGGAAAACGCACGTCCCGTCAGCATTGCGGATGTGAATGAGAGCTCTTTGTTCCTCTTGCTCCTCCTGGTGACTGGCCCTCTGCTCTCCCAGAGGGACACCATCTTTTTAATCATTTGCCGCATACGGTTGGCTCAACCCAACCAAGCTTTTCTCTGCGCATCTTGTTGCTGCAATCTGTGGTTATAGTTCTTAAAGAAGAGGATGTGTTTTTCTATCCCCAAGGAATGAAGATTTCCACTTGGCATTGTTTTCCACCATCGTGTTTTTGTTGTTGTTGTAGAAATGGAGCAGAAAATCACTGCTGTTCTTTTATTGCCCAACTGTCCATGCCACTTCCAGTCCTCGGGAAGAAAATTGTTTTTGCAGATTTTATTCAGACATTTGGGTTACTCTTTACTGAAATCTTCACCATTCTTTCCTCTGACCAACTCATAATTCTGTGATGGAAAAAAAACCCCACTATTTTCATATCAGTGAAAAACCATCTGCTATTGTCTCCTTTCATTATTTTGCAAGCCATCACTTTGTCACAGGATATTTGTGAAACAGATGAAATGTTTATGCATATGTCATGCAACTTTACATTTTTAAAAAATTATTCCTGAGCTTTACCTATGTAGCAAACACAATGCTTATAGATAGTACTTCCTTCAATCTTCACAGCAACCAGGTGAGGAAACTTGTTTTTAATCCGATTTTATTAATGAGGCAACTGAAGCCAGAGAACTTGAATATCTTGCCGAAGGCCACACACAAGCTCAGCAGTGAGTGCTCTTCACAATGGCATCTGCTGCCCCTCATGAGATCAACTGCACCTCACAGCAAGAAGCTCTTATTTTCCAAGTTTGTGCATTTTGCATACCAATCACAATTTGAACCAAAATACTTCATGCTTCATTTTTGCCAAAGAGTTTAACACAGTGCATGTCAACTCCTAAAGAGATGCTGCACAGACTCATGCAACCAATTACACTAAGAGTAACAGGTTTGTGTAGGATGGTAAGGCTTAGAACTCCTTTTAAATGGTTTATTTTTCAAACCTGTAGCCCTGATTTAGAGCAAGCATTTTGTACCACTTGAAAGTTTTTGATTATACAACAACCAAAGAGTTATAAAATTTGAGCTATAGTAGCATGACAGGTTAACTCCAGCCAAGAGGCTCAGGTGAAAGAAAGACATGGTGGCAATGAGGAATTTCCATTAAATCTTAATTTCTTTCAGACTCCTAGCAGATACCCTCTCTAGAAGAGGGGGAGTTGGTCAAAAATGTCTTAAACTCATTTGGCAGATATTGGGAGCACCTGCTTACTAAGGTTCTAGGTTGAATGATTAGGGATAGATTTTGACAACGTGCTTGACTTGGTCATAGACTTACATAGTTACACTGGACAAGTCACAGAGACATTTTAAGGGATAAGCAAGATATAAATAGAAGTTCTGTTTTGTCCCGTGACCTGCAGGATCCTCTTGGTTGTCCCTGGGATGCAAGCGCCCTGCCGTGGGACCACTGCCTTCATGGTCACCACTTCCATCTCACTGATTCTTGTTTTTTCTAGGCTCTGGGAATCCACCTGCTCTTCAGATTGACACATTCTTTCGTTAGATATAAATACCTTCAATCAGATTACGGTGACGTCTCCGGGCCTTGGAGCCATTCTCTCTCTCTAAGCAGACTCTCTGCATCCTGACTGATTTACGGTTTGCCTCAGCAATCGGATTTCCTCCAGTTCTAAGCCCTCCAGGGCACATGTCAATCTCCTGTTAGGCTTGCAGCCTGCACTTTCCGTTTGCCTCCCAAGCTTTCCTCTGTGAAACCCTGTTCATTCTTCTCATGCATAATTTCCATTTCCCCACAGAGGCCGTAAACTCCACGAGGATATAGATTAATCTAAAATCTGTCTGTTTTCCTAGTGCCAAGTATGGTGCTTAGGAACAGCAGGGATTTCTTAAAGTTTGCTGATATTAGAACTTTCCACATCGACACGTGGTCAAATAGAAAACTCACAACTCATAATTGCTTCAGATCTTATAAATTCAAGTCTTGCAATTAAGCATAAAGGTAAATAGAATTCTAATACAATTTTTAAAAAAGACTTTTGCGTTAATAGCCTTCCTAGTTGCCCTTCTGGAAACTCCTCAGGAAGGAAAACATGTAAACGTCCTGACATGTGCCTGAGCTGAACTTTGCTCATTGATGGCTGGCCACAGTGTTTTAGTTCTTCCAAAAACTCCTCCTTTTGGTTTATTTGCCAACAGACTTCAGCTTCTTGAGCAAAGTGGCCTCCAGCCTCAACCTTAGCCTGGAGTTGCTGGAATTGGCCCTGAGGTGTTGCCAGACCTGACATTGAAAGAAGAGCAAAGGCAAGGCTGGAAGGATCTTAGAGAAGTTTCCACACTGAAGAGGTTACAAGAAAGAGGAAGCTCCCATAGTTCCTGCCCACAGGGAGACACACTCATAGTTAATGAGCATCTGTTATGTGCCAGGCACTGTTCTAGTATCTCTTCTAGTATCTAGTATCTCTAGTATTTTTCTCTATATCACAGAGCTGGTAGGTGTGTGGTGGAGCCAGAATTGGAACCCAGGTCCATCGGACTCGGAAAGACCAGGGCTTCATCTAGCATCTCCTGCTAGGCCTGGGGATTCCAGAAAATGGCCCATTTTTTAGCATCTTTCCTTGACTCTTCTACCTCTATCAGAAAGTGTCTTTGCCCTGTTTTCCTGGTAGCGTTCCTTTCTGATTAAGGTGGACTGGCAGTACGAAGGTTGTGATTAGTGATCGTGGGCCCACATCCCTCTCTGGCAACCTAGGTACATTCGACGCAGGTTTCTTAGGGCTACGCATAACACAACTGTGACAGAAGATATTTGAGGGCAGGCTAGCCTGTGCGGCTGATATAGTTTGGATGTTTTTCCCCTCAAAATCTCATGTTAAAATGTGATCCCCAATGTTGGAGGTGGGGCCTGGTGGGAGGTGTTTGGGTCATGGGGTGGATTCCTCATGAAAGGCTTGATGCCGTCCTCGGTAATGAGTGAGTTCTTGTTCTGTTAGTTCACCTGACAGCTGGTTGTTGAAAGGAGCCTGGCACCGCCCCACGTCTCTCTCTTGTCCCCCTGTTACCATGTGACATGCCTGCTCCGTCTTCACCTTCCATCATGATTGTAAGCTTCCTGAGGCCTCACCAGAAGCTGAGCAGATGCCAGTGCCATGCATGTACACAGCCTGCAGAACCATGAGCCAAATAAACGTCTTTTCTTTCTAAATTACCCAGCCTCAATATTCCTTTATAGCAATGCAAAACAGACTCACCAGGGGCTTTCTCAGATCACGTCACATAAACGGCCGTCTCTTGCGGCACACTTCTAGGCCTGTTGGGGTTTGTCAGGTTTAAGTCCTGGCAACAGTGGGAGACTAATTATGGATAATTACACTCTCCGCAGTCCTTACCTCGGGCTACATTGTAAAGACCACCAATGCACATAAGAACTGATTCTATTTGTTGCTTAATTAGAATGGAGGAGCAGTGAGCTGTTTTAAGAGAAATGTGTCTCTCCTTGTGCCGGCCCTTCCTTCAAGTTTAATTGAGATGTTTAGAGTTGTCGGTGCTTTTGAACATGATCTCAGTAAACTTTGCTCATTGATGGCTGGCCACAGTGTTTTATTTCTTCCCAAAACTCCTCCTTTTGGTTTATTTGCCAACAGACTTCAGCTTCTTGAGCAAAGTTACTGATGAGGGTTTTGCCCAAGAAGCCAAAGTCTGTTGGCAAACAAACCAAAAGGAGAAGATTTTTGTCTGTTTGTTTTTTTGACAGAGTCTTGCTCTGCTGTCCAGGCTGGAGTGCAATGGCATGATCTCAGCTCACTGCAACCTCTACCTCCCAGGTTCAAGTGATTCTCCTGCCTTAGCCTCCCAGGTAGCCGGGATTACAGGCACACACTACCATGCCTGGCTAATTTTTTATATTTTTAGTAGAGACAGGGTTTTGCCATGTTGGCCAGGGCTAGTCTCGAACTGCTGACCTCAGCAGATCCGACTTGCCTCAGCCTCCCAAAGTGCTGGGATTATAGGTGTGAGCCACCACACCCAGATGGAGTTTTAATACTGTACAAAATTGCACTCCTCTTCACCGAAGTGGGTTCAGGCGTCGTGTCATCCTATGTGTATCCTGTCCTCTGGTCTTTCTAAGCCATGGAAAAGTAGTCTCTCTGCTCTTTGAGCCCCATTCAACTTCAAAATGCAACAGAAATTTCAACAAGGTAGTACCTTTGTGTGTGCAGAGCCCCATTGTAGGTTCAGTGATGGGACAGGTGGAAGGTGCTATCTCTAATGGTGACAAATGACAGGCTGCCCACATTCTGAACACTCGATGCTTTTGAAATGTCCTTACTTCATTTACTTTTTTTTTTTGAGACAGAGTCTCGCTCTGTCATCTAGTCTGGAGTGCAATGGCGCGATCTTGGCTCACTGCAACCTCCGCCTCCTGGGTTCAAGTGATTCTCTGTGCCTTAGCCTCCTGAGTAGCTGGGATTACAGGTACCTGCCACCACGCCTGGCTAATTTTTGTATTTTTAGTAGAGATGGGGTTTTGCCATGTTGGCCAGGCTGGTCTCGAACTCCCAACCTCAGGTGATCCACCCACCTCTGCCTCCCAAAGTGCTGGGGTTACAGGTGTGAGCCACTGTGCCCAGCCTCATGGATGTCAATGAGGAAGGCATTGCTATCCCCATTTTACAGATAAGAAAGCTGGTCGGGTGTGGTGGCTCACACCTGTAATCCCAGCACTTTGGGAGGCTGAGGCAGGTGGATCGCCTGAGGCCAGGAGTTCGAGACCAGCCTGACCAATATAGCGAAACTCTGTCTCTACTAAAAATACAAAAATTAGCCGGGTGTGGTGGCATGCGCCTGTAGTCTCAGCTACTCGGGAGGCTGAGACAGGAGAATGGCATGAACCCGGGAGAACTGCTTGAATCTGGGAGGCGGAGGTTGCAGGGGAGACTCCGTCTCAAAAAAAAAAAAAAAAAACCTGAGGGTCAGAGAGCCTGAGTTACATGGTTGTTAGTGAAAGAGCCAGGATTTGAAGTCAGGCCTGGCCCCAAAGCTCATGCTCTTTCCACAGCCTTTGAACTCAGGTGACTGTGTGGCCTTCAGTGCTGATGGGCATGGGGTTGGGGATGATGGCTGGTGGCCTTTATTGCACGGCCATTGCGCATTAATCCTAGATTGACATACAACTCCTTGCCAAATCTGAGGAGTTTATTTGTAGTTCTTTCAACCTATCTCTGTATTGGGAGCTATAGTTTTGTTCTCTTCTCAATTGATGTTCTCTTCTCATCTAGCTCCCAGTCAGTAAACCCTGTCAGGTGTGTTTTAGGGTCTGACAGACATGGGCAACTTCACTTTCCTGTACCAGATGGTAATTTTGTTCATTTTACTCCAACGAGATGGGAATTAGAGGACATAAAAGACCAGCCAATAGGTTTCATGTTCCTTTTTATTTTTCCCCACTACAATGCAATGTCAAGTACTATCCAGGTCATACCTGCATGGCGGGATTCTTCGATGAGCCAAGCAGTCCTGGGCCCCAGAGCTGGGGCTGATCCTGTAGAGATGAGGGTGGACACGTCAGATTTACTCATGCATCTCAGCCCAGTCTTTGCAAGAACAGTTCCAGCCCGTTCTAGCAAAAGAGAGAGAGAGTGTGTGTATGTGTGTGTGTGTGTGTGTGTGTGTGTGTGTGTGTGACCTTTTCCCCAGGGAAGAATTGTAGGTCCCTAGTAACATCTCATCATAACTTTATTTTATCTTAATCAGCCACAGGGATGAGTTTCTCTCCAATTCACTGATAGAGACATTGTCAAAAGAGCAAATATAAATGATTCCTTTTCTTTTGAGACGGAGTCTCGCTCTGTTGCCCAGACTGGAGTGCAGTGGCATGATCTTGGCTCACTGCAACCTCCACCTCCCAGGTTCAAGCAATTCTCCTGCCTCAGCCTCCAAAGTAGCGGGGATTACAGGTGCCTGCTACCACGCCTGGCTAATTTTTGTATTTTCAGTAGAGACGGGGTTTCATCATGTTGGCCAGGCTGGTCTCGAACTCCTGACCTCAGGTGATCTGCCCGCCTCAGCCTCCCAAAGTGCTGGGATTACAAGCGTGAGCCACTGTGGCCAGCAATATAAATGATTCCTAAAGAGGAATGGGGGAATCTTCAAGCACGGATTTGCTGGTATAGTATTTCTTCTCCCTTGATGCAGAGACATCACTCCTCCCTTGTGAAGAGCCCATAGTCTTGGCTTGTTGATCTCATTGGCTTCCCAAGAGAAGGATGAATCATTATGCGGTGGTGTCAGGGTGACTCCAGCCACATGGGGGGATTCCCCTGACTGAAGTGCTTCCCACAGAATGTGAAGATCTTAGGCTTTCTGCTTTTCTCATGTTACAAAGGAAGAAACAGAGACCCTCGAGGTGGCAGGATGAGTCAACGTCACAGGGTGAGCAGGAGAGCCAGGACAGGCCCCTGGCAGGGCACTGAGCTCCTCTGGTGGGCCTTTGACCTCCCAGCAGGAAAATATCAACAGCCCTGTTTGTTCCATGTCCTCTGGGGACGTTTGTGAGAAAAGTCCATGCAGCTCTACACAAAAGCACAGAGCAGTGCTCTTTAAAAGAAGTGTTGTTCTAAAATAAAGATCTTCTAGGAAACTGCATCTCCAAAAGACAGTGTGGGGTGGTAGGAAGAGCGCTGGATGGAGGTCAGACCGTTTTGTCCTGTTTTCACCATGAATCATTTGCATGACCTTGGGGAAGTCATTTTACCTCCGGGGACTTTGGTTTATAAAATGAAGCAGTTGAGCTCGATGGGGTGGTTTTCCAATTTATCTGATGGTGGAGCAACTTCTGAAATTCCCCAATGGTGGAAAACTTTTCTTAGGAACCCAGTATATAAAACAGATAAAACGGGAGCTGCACTTGTTGAAGATCGGGTGAACACAGGGCCAGGAATCCACTCACTCTGGGCACCTTCCCAAACCCCAGACTTCCCAGGGACCCACAGGGCTCCACACAGTGCCGGAGTCGCTGCAGGCCTCCCTCACACACTGCCATATTTCTTACCAGGAGATGGCTCTCTTACCTCATTTCCAAACTGTACTACTTGGAGGAAAAGTTATTGATCAAACTAGTTTGTGGTCTTGCTGAGGAAAAATGCCTTCTGAACTCAGCTGGAGGAAACCACCAGGCAATGTGCCCTCATTGACCCTGCCCTGTGGTTTATAACAATGGGCCACCAGCATCCATGACTGGAGACCCTCCTCCCATTCTGCCATTCTGCCTCCTGAAGAATGCACTCCTAGACTAGCATGGAAGACATGGATCTTTTCTACCCCCAACATCCCAATGAGACCATCCTTAAATCAATGAAGCATAGCACTAAGGTCTGAATGTTTGTGCCTCTACCCCAATTCATATGCAAAATCCTAACCCCCCAGGTGATGGTATCAGCAGATGGGGCCTTTTGAGAGGTGATCAGGTCATGAGGACAGAGCCCTCATGAATGGGACTAGTACCCTTAGAAAAGAGACTGCAGAGAGCTAGCCAGTGCATACCACCATGTGAGGACACATGGAAGGTGTCATCTATGAGGAAGAGGCCCTCACCAGACACTGCTAGTGGCTTGATCTTGGACTTCCCAGCCTCTGGAACTGTGGGAAACAAATGTTTGTTGTTTATAAGCTGCCTCATTTATGGTATTTTTGTTATGCCAGCCCAAATGAAGAAAACAGAATATTTTTTTCTGTTTCAGAAAAAAATTTTCTGAATTTTTTTTCTGTTTCAGGAAAACAGAATAATTTTTAAAATACCTAAATGAGCATTAAAGTAAAATAGGAACAGTCACTTCCAAGATGGTTGGCTACAGTGTTCTTCTCCAACTAACCCTCCCCTTGAGAACAACTAGAAAACTGCATAAAATATTTTCGAAACTCTGCTGAGGGTATCAGAGTGCTCCCAGGGCAGTGAGGACTTGAGGAACCAAAATCAAGAGGAGAAGGGGATCACAGAGAGGGTGCCGGACATTCAGGTCCACTTTCCCTGCTGAAGCATTTGCCAATTCAGAGTGTCGGTGGAGGGGCTGAGAAGCTGAGTAGAACTTTGGGCAGTCTCACAGGGCTGGGGAAACACACCTCAGTGTTCAGGCCCTGCTGTGCAGGAGGCGGCCAGGCAAGCACTCCAGACTTTCAGGTGGGGCAGCGGACGGGATATCCCCAGGCAAAACGCTGAACCAGAAATAGACCCATCTTCACAAAGACCGAAACCAGCTTTGAATCAGCTCATCCAGTCTGGCTTAAGACAATCTGCCCCTGGCCTAAATGCCTGCCAAAAGCAAAAGTAAATCCTCTGCAGGCAGGCGGATAACATCATCTAGTATCTCAGATTATATCAATGATGTTGTATTTAGAATATCTGGTATTCAAAACAGAGAGATAGGTGTGAGACCCAGTTTGGGAACTGGCCCGGGGGTCTGGTTCAGCATATGATTTCTCATGAGGTGGGCAGTTCTTTGCAGAGGGGCCCATGTGATGGTGCTAACAGTGTTAGCTGCGGTGCAGAGGATGGTGTGAGCTGTGCACACTCTCTCATCTTCTCCAAACAACAGCTCGGGTGTCGCTGTTGTGATCTTTCTCATTTCACAGGTGAGAACACAGGCTGGGGGGTCTGACTTATGTCTATCTGACTACATAGCCTGCTTCTCCGCAGGGGCTCTTATTTGTGAATGTTGTGGGGTGACGGGCTCAAGGAAGATACTCACTCTGCGACTTAGCTTCAGGGCCTGGCTTAAGACTTGTTAAAGGAAACACTCATTTATCGGACGTCACATGCAGACAGCTCCTGGGTCTAAGAGGTACAGAGCACCACATCTGCAGGGGCGGCATGTCATACCACTTGGCTGGAGCTCCAGTGTCAACTTGCTGACGGCTGCTAATGCTGAGCAACGGTTGCCCGAACGTGGGACTGAATTCCTCCTCATCTCCTGGGAGGCCGGCATGGAAGGTGAAGCAGATGCCTTCACACCTCTGGGACCATGGACTGGGGGCCCTGCAGTGGGTTTCCCAGGCACGCCCTCAGGGAGTCCAAGCAGAAACCTGGAGCCCCGAGAAAGCTCTCTTGGGAAGTCACTGGGAGCTGCAGGATGTTCTTAGCAAGCACCTCATTCAGAGGGTTTTGAATTGGGCTCCTTGGGCCCTGGAAGTTCTTTGGAGCAATGCGGGGTGGGGCGGGGGAAAGGGGACAGGAGGGCTCGGCCCTGCCCAGCCCCGGATAAGCAGTATGTTTCACCCTGATCTGCTTTTTACATTGATGTTACACATAAGATTTTATTGTTTAAAATGTTTAACTTTTTTTTAATTTAAAAAAAGAGTCCAACTCTTTTTTTAAAAAGCTGCAAGATGGCCTTTCTGATCTAAGCTTATTGGAGAGATGAATATCTCAGGCCCAGTGAGGGTAGCTGATGTCTCCACACACAGAGACAATGGCAGAGCCATGAGCGTGGTTTTTCCCGACGACTTCCCCTGCCCTGAGTCAGGCCTGTAAAGACGGTACTAAAATATACACTGGATGATGTGTGTTGATGCTGAGCCTAGAAGACACGCCAGATTGTCCTCTACCCCAGACAGAAAGTAGTGACAGCCAGGCTCCAGAGGCAGGTATGGGCCAGCTAGTTATGACGGTGTTTTAATAGCAGGGCAGGGTTAAGGTCAGGAAGTTCTCTTCCTCTGAAATAGCTGGCCCCACAGCACAATGCCTGCCGGTCTGATGCCTAGGTCCAAGGCAAGAGGCGGCTTCCTCTTGGCCAGGACCCGCCTGGTCCTCAGCCTCCTTCGCTCTTCCCTTCCCTGAACCCCTTCCCAGAGTGGGGTTGGGGCAGGGGTCACCGACAGAGCCTCTTCTAGTTCTTATTTCCCCTTCCAGAGCCCTCCTCAGAACTCACCGGTGACTGTCAACAAAATGCCCCTAATTTAACTTTGGGAGTAATGAATCAATCTGGGTAAAATACCTATGCATTTTAGGAAGAAGAGAGAGCATTTCGGTGTCTCCTCCATCTTCTGTGAGTCAGGGCCTGCTCAGGTGGCCAGAGCAGGCACCTCAAGGAGAAATGCCTCAGCCCGTGTGGAGGTCACAAATTCCAAAAACATTCTTCTCCCCACAACTTTTTCCCCTTTAATGACACTTGCTATAAATTGCCAGATACTTTAAGTACTTAGGGCTGACTGCTTTTCCTCTTCCCAGCCACCACCCCTTCTGAGGGCAGCCCCGTGTCTTCTCTTCATTTCCATCCCAGCACACCAGCCTGCCACCCGGGCACCACCTTGGATGCTTCAGTCTCCTCACTCCCCACTTCCAGTGTATCGCCCACTCAGAAGTCCTTCTTGAGTCCTTTCCCTCTCCTCCACCCTCCTACCAGGGCTTTAGCTCAGGGGCACCCTCTTTTGCCAGCACACGCCCCTCTCCAGATTGACTGGCAGGTGCCCCCTCCATGGGGCAGAGGTAGATCACCAAGCTCTCATTTGGGCCACGGGCTGGCCTCCCAGCACCTCTGCATCGATGCTCATCCGTTCTGCCCATCACGAGGATACTGACTTCCCCTCCTGTGTGCTGGTATCACGCTTTGCCAGCATACACGACGGCAGAGGACACAGACCTGGACATGACTTCCTGGGTCATATAGACCAACTGGGGAGACCAGCAGCAGCCAGGGAGAAACACACCTGTGCTTTCTCCCTGTGCTCCATCCTCTAGATCAGGAGGCCGGGGTGTCCTTGAGGAGGAGGGAGGCTCAGAGGGCTGAAGGGGACAATTCAGCCAGGTGGCGAGGGGAGGGGAGATGCCAAAGGTCTGGAGGTGCTCATGTGCCCTGCCTGCAGGGGGAGGCGGGGTGAGTGGAGCACAATGGGCGGGGGGAGCCTGGTGAGGGCTGACACTGGCGAGGACCTGCGGGAGCTGGTGTGGGATCTGGAACAATCCAGCGTGAGGCCCAGGGTATGGACTTGGGGTCCGACTGCCTAGGTCCAAATCCGGGCTCTATCCCTCACTAGTCTGTGATTGGGCCAGAGCCTTCACCTCCCTGGACCTCCGTTTCCTCACTGTAAAGTGGGACGGTGTGATAATAGACATCTTACCTTCAGAGTTGTGTGGGGAGAAGGAATGAACTGCGGAAAGCCTCTAGCAGACGGCCCACTGAACCGTGAGCGCGGTCCTGCTGACTGAGGGGCTCTGCGCAGCCTCACGGCCTCGCTGCGCTCTCAAGGCCGCTCGTGGTTGTGTGGAGATCACAGCAATGGGGGCGAGAGTGGACGCCGGAGTGCAGGTGGGGCTGGTGCAGACCTCCAGGTGCGGGTAACGGGGACTGGCCCGGGGTGGTGACGGGGGAGATGCAGGGAATGGGCAGACAGGAGAGATACTTGGGGCAAGAACAAACAGGACTTGCTGATGGAGTCGGTATGGGGTGGGGGTGCAATAAGGGACATTGACCCTCAGGTGTGTGGGCTTGGAAACTAGGAGCGTGACGAGATTGTGCATCTGAGAAGTTTCTCTGACTTGCCCAAGGTCACACAAGGTGTAGGTGGCAGAGCTGGGGTTGTTCTGACAACGAGGTGCGGTTCTTTCCTCTGCACAAGCCGGCTTCCTGGGATCGTGGCTCTTCTGGGGAGAGGGACCTTGGAGAGCGCCTGCCTTCGGGCAGGAGAATCTCCACTGGACGAGAGAGAATCTGGAGGTCAGGTGGTTTTCTGGAACGCACATAGCCAGGGAGGGGGAAGCAGGCAGGGGCTGCATCTGGCTGCCTGGGGTGGGCAGGCACTCTCTGTTCCATGCCACACAGAGAGTCCCCAAGGCCTTTCTGAAAAGCTCTTCCCAGCCCTTCCGTGATAAACAACCTGCTGTCCCCGGCTCCGGGCGGGAAGAATCTAAGGGGAGACGCTCCTCCGTTAGTCACGCAAGCTTGCCTGGGTGGTTAGCACAATGAAGCCGTCAAGCCACTAGGCAGGAAGGGCGGGAGCTGGCGTTTCAAGCACCGCTGCCCACCCGAGGGATGTGCAGGGTAGCAACAGCCCACGCCGGCGGTGGGGAGCAGCCTGGTCACCCACAGGAGCTTGTGAGGCCCGAGGAGTGTCCGTGTGGCAAGGCCCCTGCCCCAGCTTTTCATTTATGAAACAGAGCGTGACCTCCAGAACTCACTGGGGTTCTGTATGACGGAGCTCCCCGCGTTGGGCAAGCAGGGTGACCCCGTCCTCCATCATGGCTCTCTCACTGTGACGCCGACCCTCGGTCCCCACGCTCGGCTTGCAGTAGAACGTTTCCTCTCTCCAGGTTGTCATGACAATTTTCACTGAGAAGCTGTTTCTGTAGAGGGAGCAAAAAAAGAAACAGGGGGAAATGCTTATTAAAGCCAGGCCTAGTGAGTCTGAGGATTTCAGTGGTGTCTTTACATTCTCAGTGGCTTCTGAAGAAAAAGTGGAATTTCTGTCCTCTACACCAGCTGGCTGCTAGGAACTTTGCTGTTATATAGAGGCAATGCATGAAGTCCAGAATCCATTACATTATACTAATTATAGTAATAATGATAATAACAATTAAATGTGAGCCTTCAAAGGCAGGTCCCCTCCGGCAGAATCCATTAAGGAGAATGGGTGTAATTATTCGGGCAGTGGAGGCACAGTGCAATTTTAGGGGTGGTCAGTGTTATCCTGATAACAATCCCATTCTCTCCTCCTTCGTCACTGGCCATCTGGCCTTCCAGTGTCTTCTCCCCAGATCTCAACCATCTGTCCATCAATGTCTCACTAATTATTGCAAACAATTCTGTGTAAAATGAGAAGAAAGTAAAGGTTAACTTTCCCATTTTACAGATTAGTCATTGTCTTCCTGAACAAACAGTGAGGAAACCCAGGGGAGGTGACCCCTCAGTGAATGTATCCTACAGAAGAGCCGGATCTGGAACTCTGCTTGAGCAAGCCAGTGTAAAAATTACAACAGCTTACTGAGGTTTCTATTTTTCCTTATTTTTCTCTCTGCACTAAACAAACACACATTCATTGTGGTAAATCTGAAATACATAGAAAAGCCTAAAAGAAAAATCACCCCAAATCTTAATGTCTGGGATTAAACCTAATACCGAGGAATACCTTGTCCACCCAAGCTTGGTGGCTGATGTGAGTCAGGTCAGGAGGGATTGGGAGGTACAGTTCTGTCTTCACGCCCCCCTCCTGGAAGGCTGCAGACTTCTGGAGCTGCATCCATACCCATACAGCTCTAGAACCTCCGCCTGTGTGGGGTTGCGTGTCAAACACTGGAGCTTCTGGAGCTGCCTGGGCTTTGGCTCATTAGAACTCAGGGATGAAGTAGAAACTGTAGGTCCCTGCTGAAGAGCATCCAGTCTTTCCATTCATCCGTTGAGCATGCACCAAGGCATTGAGAGGATAGAGATGATGTTGTGAGGATACAGATAGAGATATAAAGAAGCTGTAGTCCTTATCTTTAAGCAGCTTGCAGACTAACTTGGGAAACAGATGCTTGAATGAACTAGTAAAACTGTGCTCAGCAATGCGCTTCATTTTACGGATGAGCAGAGGGAGGCAGAAATGCAACGTGGTTGTTAGGGTCTGAGTGCAGCAAGTCCCCATTTCAAGATCAAATTTCAGGTGATAGACAACCTCCAAGGTACCCCCCAATGACCCTTGATTTTTGCACCTCATATGGTCTCTTCCCACGCTGCATCAGGGTTGGTCTGTGAGGCCAGCTGATGTGGCAGAGCTGATGATATGTGACTTCCAAGGCTGGGCAGGAAAGGCATTGAGGCTTCCACCTTGTTTTGTGGATCACTTGTTCAGAGGGAAGTCAGCCAAAATATTCTGTGAATTCTCAAATAGCCCTGTGCAGAAGCTGATATTGAGAGCATGGAGGCTTCCTGCTAAAGGCCAGCATCAGCTTGTCAGCCACACAGGTGAGGCTGGGAGAGGATCCTCAGTCCTGATCAAGACTTCAGATGAGATCACAGCCCTGGCTGACATCTGACTGCAACTTCATGAGAGACCCTGAGCCACAGCCCCCAGCCCAGCCACTCCTGAATTTCTGGTCCACAGAAACTGTAAGAGATGTAAATAAATTATTATTGCTGCTTTTAAGCCACTAAATTTTAGGATGATTTGTTATGTAGTATTTGACAAAAAATACAGTATCTCTAGTTTCTCTCCCCCACATACACAGTGTTCATTTTGTGCCGTACACCAGGCTAAGGGATTTGCATTTGTAATCTGATTTAATCCTCACAACAGTAAGGCGGTAATGCCTATGAGGTGAGTATCAGTCTTATTTCCATCTGACAGATGAGGGTGCGAGGACGTAGAGAGGGGAAGGAGTTTGCTCAAGGTCAGGCAGCTATAAACTGGCAGTGCCTGCATTTGAAGTCAATGCTGCCTGACCCCAAAGCCCAAGCTCTTAACCACAACAGGTCTTGTGTTTTCTTGTAAATGCTCAGCCTAGGAAATATTTGTTGATGTTATATGCCACAGACACTGCCAGAGCCTGAGATACGCACCTGTCCCATGGTGCTGAGGGTGGGCTCTGGCAACATCATCGTAGCTAGTGGCCTCTCATTGAAGGCCCCAGGCCCCCTTCCTCATATCAGACCCTGCCTCCTTTCTCCAGATTCCAGGCTGCTGACTCCTTGGGTCTCTTTCCTCCACTGCTCCCTGACTGGCAGCAAAGAGACACAGGGTCTCAGCTGTCCCCAAAGACACACCCACAGGCCCTGTCTGTGGGAAGAGTTTTCTTGGTCACTGCCAGAGAACATGCTGGGAAAATGAAAATAAGCAACAGTGGAGAAGTCGTAAAGGTCACAGAAGCCCATAATGTTTCTGGAGTCCTGGTCCTTCACACAACATTTGTTACAAATCTGCCTTGTGCCAGGCACTTTTCTGGGCAGGCGGCGCAGATCGGCGAAGAAAGCAGACAGTGGTCCCACCTTGAGGGAGTTTAAATGGAGAGAGAGGGCAGTCAACAGTCATCTAAATTCGACAGGCTGCTCAGGGGAGAGTGCTGTGGAGGACAGGAAGGCGAGCCGAATGAAAGCGGCTGCGTGTGCTGGTGAGGCAGGACAGGCTGGGCATTGATCAAGGGGCTCATACAGAGGGCGAAGGGGTTGGTAGAGTGACTGACTGTCCCTGCTTGCCCAGGACTGAGGGGCTATGGGAGTTTTCATGTTAAAACCTAGAAAATCCTGGGCTGAGACAAAGCAGCCATGCTAAAAGTTGGTCAAGCAGATACTGGGGAAGATTGCCCAGGGAAACCGCTAGATCAGCCAGGGTTGATTTTGGCCCTGGGGGACATTTGGCAACATCTGGAGACATTTTTGGCTGCAAACCTTGGTGAGGGTTGGGGGTGCTATTGGCATCTGGCGGGCAGAGACCAGAGATGATGCTAAACTTTCTACAGTACACAGGACAGCCTTCTCCAATAAAGAATTCATTATTTGGCCCCAAATATCCAAGTTGACATATCTTGAGCTAGATTCTTGGTCTTTCATTCCTGATTCACTTCTGAAATTTCATTTGCCTTTTGCTTTCCCTTTCTTCTCCTGGGGGAGGAATATTTCTCTGGTCACACCTGAAGATAAAGGCCTTACTCCTCTTCCTTCAGAAAGTGCCTCCTCTCCAAATACCTCAGCACGGGGATGTGAAATGCAAACCCAGACAGACCAGCAGGGCCCTGCCTGCTGGGTGCTGTCCCCATCTCCCTGTGCCTCCAGCCCAGCCACTGCTAGTTCATCTTTCCAGTGAAAATCCTGTAGGTTCTCTCAGTGTCTGGCCACTCAGCAGCCCCTCCAATCTCTCCAGGAGGCTACAGGCACAAGCTGGATTCTCCCATGCAATAGGCCTATGTGGTCTGTGCTGGATGGCAGCCCTTCAGCAGAAAGTTCTGGGATGGTCTATGGACTCCAGCTTAGGTGACCAGGCTCTATGAAAGAGAGGGTGTATTGTATTGACCCTTTGTGCCACACTGGGAATTGGAGAAGTCAAGATATTGTCCTAGTCCCTTAGAAAATAATTGGGGCCAAGACTTCCTGGCATCAGGCATTTGGAAATACTCCAGGGTACCATGACTGACACTTGACCCCCATTCGTTTTACCTCTGACCAACCCCCGTGCTGCTGGCAGAGAAGGGAAGCTGGCAGCTAAGATGTCCTAAGCCACTGGCAGCCCAAGTCCTTTGCCTCATGGCCAATCTGTGAGGCAGAAGCTGGGTTTCGTAGAGCCCCAGTTTCCCTGGAATATTCTCAGATCAAGAGGGATTAGAATGTATTCAGTTTGCAGATTTTGGATTCTCTGAGGTCTTTATATAAGTTCAGTGAGGGCTGAGATCTTTTAAACATTTATCAATGAAACCCAAGTTTTTACCAAGCCTCTACTATGCCCAGCCCATAGTAGAGGCTTGGTAAAAACTTGGTGAACTGAGTATCATTAATAGACTGGAGTGGCCCCCTCCCATGCCCTGCTGCAGGATGCTCTGTCAGAGGCTTCTTCTCAGGCATATGAGGCTCAGGGACACTCATCCCTGCCTGACCTCCTCGGTGGCTGACTCGTCATCCCAGATCCTGATCTTGCTGTCCCTGCCTGAGCATGCAGTGCTTCCTGAGGTTCCCCTAGTCTTCCCCATTTCTGCATCACCAGGGCTGAGCACAGCCCCTGGCACATAGTAGATGCTCAATAAATATAGGTTGGTTGATGGAAGGAGTCAAGCTCTCCTTGGCTCTATACCAAGAGCCAACCTGCATGGGCACAGGACGTAGCTCTTCACTTGGACCTGGGGGATGAAGGACTGTTGGATTCGATCTATTTTGTACAAATCTGGCTTCCCAGAATGTGAAACATGAGACTGGCTCCCTGGCTCACCATCCGCCTGCCTCTTCCCATTGCCAGGCTGAGAATCACCACTGGTGACAAATGCTGGACGGCCTGGCTGACAAGTGGTCCTGCGTGAGCAAGGCACTGGCAGCTCTGAGTGCCAAGCTTTGGCTTCCTGTGCATTTGGGGCTGCGCATTTGGAGAAGATCCACCACTTAACAGAGGGGAGCTGCTGGAGTGACAAGCAGCATCCTCACGCCAGGAGAGCTTCCTGCCCAGAACGTATGGTATATGTCCAAGGGCTCTCAAGGTACCCGAAGCCATGCCAGTTGCAATAATTAAGCAGTAAGACCCAAGCGAATAGGTTTGCTGTGGCTGCATGACAGCCAGATGCCTGGGGTGTGAACTGAGGCCCGCCTCACACTGAAAACTGTCTTGTTGCGACTATAAAATCGTCAGTGACAAATGGAAGGAATGATCGTGCTGGTGATTTGGTGCTAACGTGGCAGCTCACTCCAAGGACTTCCACACGTCATCTCCTCCACCCTGACAGCATCTCAGGAAGGCAGGAAGTTGGCCCGACCTCTGCCTTCCACTATCCAGATGGACACCCGCCACCTGGGGCCTGGGCCTAAGCCAAGTGCCTCCGCATAGGTGGACTTAATGTTCCTAATCCCCTGCCCAAAGCCCCATCTTTGCCCCATGCTTTTCAGGCTATGAGTACCAGGCCCTGGGTGAGTCATTCTCAGATGTCATCTATGTCAAGTCTCATAGCAGCTCTACTATGTAGGGTTCTATTAGCCCCATTCCACAGGTGAAAAAACTGAGGCTCAGAAGTGTCAAGTTATTTACCCAGGCCACAGAGCCAGTCAGTGCCAAGGAGGGAGTGCAGCCCAGCTCTGCTGATCTCTAAAGCTTGTGCTCTCAACTACCACAATTTCCTGCCTTTTTTAAACAAACAAAAGTGGGCGTTATAACTGGGTGTTGTATTTCCTGTAACAAAGTACCCAAACTATAACTGGGTGGCTTAAAACAACAGAAATTTATTATCTCACAGTTCTGGGGCTGAAAGTACCAAATCAAGGGGTTTGCAGGGCTGTGCTCTCTTGAGGGCTCTGGGGGAGAATCTGTTTGCTGCCCCTCTCTTGGCTGCTGGAGTGTCTGGCAATCTCTGGGGTTTCTTGGCTCACAGCTGGGCAACTCCAACCCCCCATCTTCACAAGGCATTTTCATGTGTGTGTTTTCACAAGGCCATCTTTTTATCAGGACATGAGTTGCCCTGGACTAAAAGCCCACCCTACTCCAGTATGACCATATTTTAATTTAACTCGTCATATCTGCAATGACCCTATTTCCAGATAAGGTCACACTCAGAGGTAGCGGGGATTAGGACTTCAACATATCCATTTTGGGAGGCACAGTGTACTCTCTAACAGATGTAATAATAGTTTAAAATCAAGATGGAACATAAAACAAAGGGGAAGTAACTTTGACTTACAGCTGGATGGATGTCACACAACCCCTAAGGGAAAGGCATGAGAGGTGGTTTCTTCCTTGGACTTTGCAAACACAAGTGCCAGCCCAAGGCTCCCCAGGGCCCTCTAGGGGAGTCCTGCTCAGAGCCAGGCCCTAGAAAGACTTCCTCAAGTGCCTCAAACCTCCCAGTTCTGCAACATCTGCTTGGGTTAAATTTGATGTATTGGCCATTAGCCGCCTCCCCAATGACCCCCTCCCCATGCCACCCCCTAAAAGTAACCCAAAACAAAACAACAACCTTATGATGGCCAGGATGGCTGTATAAACGAGTTTGAAGAGAAGAAAGAGGGTGACACACAGAGATTTCTCAAGAGCAGAAGGGAGGCAGAGACAGGCTGACTTATTGTTGGTGATAGAAATTCATCTTATTAAGGAGTAATGAACGGTTTTGCTTGGGAATTAATCACCAAAGCCTTCTCCCTGGAGTAAGAAGAAATAGAAAATGCCAGAATAAAGGCGTGCTGGAGAGGCTGTGATGGCAGCTCTAGCAGAGGCTCCTGATGGGGGCTGCACACTGAAATCATGTAGGGGGGATTTTAAAAAGACCCATGTTCAGCTACGCCCCAGACTGATGACAGCAGAATTTCTGGGGTGGGACTCAGGTATCTGTACTTTTCTAAAGCTTCCTAGGTGATGCCAATGTGAGGCCCGGGTTGAGAACCACTGAGCTAGAGGGTCGCATCTAGCTCCTTGACCTTCTCCACCGTGAGGCAGGGGCAGGTGGTAAGAGCAGCCCATCTGCCTGTCACCCTGCCGAGCCTTCCGTGTATTTCCTGCTCAGCTGGCATCAGCCAAGTGGACACTTCTTTCTGGGGTCTTTCATTTCTTAGCCCTGTTTCCTCTCCTCTGGTGTTGGGGTGAAATGAGAGATTCTGGAAACTTTGGTGAGATCATTTTGAGTGTCTCTTCTATATAGAAAGACCTATACCAACTGTAAAAACAAATTTTTTTTTGAGACAAGGTCTTGCTCTGTTACCCAGGCTGGAGTGCAGTGGCATGATCATAGCTCACTGCAACCTCAACCTTCCGGGCTCAAGTGATCCCTCCATCTCAGCCTCCTGAGTAAGTGGGACAGTGGGACTACAGGCTTGTGCCACCATGCCCAGCTTTTTTTTTTTTTTTTTTTTTTTTTTTTTTTTTTTTTTTTTTTAGACACGGGGTCTTGCTGTGTTGCAAAGCAGCTCTTGAACTCCTAGGCTCAAGTGATCTTCCTGTCTTGGCCTCCCAAAGTGTTGGGGTTGCAGGCATGAGCCACCATGCCCAGCCTAAAAACAGACTTCTACTGCAAATAAATTGGTACAGCAGCCTTTCCTGAGCCTTAAAGCATTCCAGTTCCCAGAGGGTAGGGGTTCAGCATGATATGAGACACAGTGAGGCCCAGGTGTGGGTGAGTGTCTGTTTCATTCCTTACTTGGTGATAAACACAGTTGAAAGCTTGATGGTTTCTGTTCATATCAAAATGTCCTCGGGTCAAAACAAGAGTAAAGCGAGTGTGTCGGAATGTCCCTGGTAACAAAATGACTGTGTCAAATTGACGAGAATCCTCTTGAGAGAGGCCTAGGGGACAACTGGAGGCCTGAGTCGGAAACAGCCTCTGCCAGGGGGCCGCTCAAATCCATATCCTTCTGCTGCTGCATAGACCAAGCTTGTTCCCTGCGATCTACCTGTTCTCGCTTGAGTCTATAGCCACATTGAGATAAATTGCACAATGGATGCTGATCGGGGGGATGTTTTGAGAGCTGGGTCCATGCCAACAACTCCAGAGTAAACTGAAGGCAGCCAGCTGGGTGGGCACAAGCCTTCGTAAACCAGATCAGCTGTGGCTGCAACAGAGTCTCTAGGGGTCATGAGCAGCCTCATTCATACCAAGGAAAACCTCGGGCCACATCTGGGCAGAGGTTCTCCCCAGACCCCCCACGGCCCCCGTAATGACAAATACTTTTTGTCATTTGTAACTTTCCTTTATTTTCCTGAAATAGATTTTTAAAAAATCCTTATATTACTCTAACATTAATATAAATAGAAACTATAAGGAAAGGAATTGATAATAATACATTCCACTTAAAAAAATATAAAGGCTCAGGCATGTCTAACCAGACAACCTAACAAGGAGCTCAGAAGCTTGGACATACGTGTAAAGTCACTATGAATGGGACCACAAATGCAGACTGAACTTTTCCAATCACAAGTCGGATGCCATGAGCGGAGCCGCTGTTGACATGTATTTCTGAAATTGTGAACAGCTCTTGGGAGGGTTCTGAAATAAACTTGGTAGTTGCACTTCTGAAAATTTCAGTTTATATTTAAACAGTTCAAAAATGCTTCGTGTTTTTATGTAAAATGCAGTTTGTTTCTAAGCTTAGATGATTGTAAACATCAATATCCCAAGGACTCGAGAAAACTCTTCATTGTGTGGGTGGTCCCTCACGTTTCAGGACGTCTAGTGTCCCTGGTGACATTCCTGCATTATGGCTTCTAGAAATGTCTCCTTCCCCAAATGGTAGTTCTGTCCCCGCTGGGAATCAACTTACATGGATGGTGAGTCTTTGCTTCCTAAACCTCAGTCTGGCGAAGAGCTTGGTGCTCGACCTTCATTTCACCTTCTTTTCTTCTTCCTCTTCTTCCTTTTCTCAGAGGGCACCAGCAGCTCTCTGGCTTTCTTGGGGGTGGTCAGCTCTTCACTCATGGTGGTCTCCTCACTTCCCTTCCCTGCTGCAGTGGAGAAGGCTACTTTCTCTTCCAATGACCACTGATTTTTATTTGATTACCAGAAGACAGCAGATCTTGTCTTGAAAATCTTGGACCAGTTCCCCAATGCTGTGCTAGACAACTTGTGAGTGGCACTCCCAGATGTCACAACCAACAATCTCCTGAACACCTTCTCCTTCCAACTCAGCAATTACTGTTAGTTCTACTATCCTTAGGTCTAGCAGTGTAGAAGTGTTCTTCCCCTAATTTCTCTGAAATAGACTAAATAGTGGACATGAAATTTCTGCGTGTATAAGAATGACCTAGAAAGTGTGCATGAATTTCAGATTCTCAGGGCTTGCCCCCAGAGATGTGAATCCAGTGAGTGTGGGAGCCTGCATTTTTAACAAGCAGCTCCAGCCTGCACTTTTTGAGACACTGTCTGGTTCTGCAGATGGGTGTGGAGGTGATAAGGTCTTCATCAAAATAGACTGGGAGGGGTCCACCCCGGTAATTAGGGACTCCAAAGTGGATATCCACTTAGGGTCTTGCACCTTGTCTGGGACACTAATACACATGTATATGGCACGGGGGGTGGTGGAGGTCTGTGGCACAGACTTCTATGCATTCTCCCCTCCTTTTAGAACTTACCTCAGTTTTTTGCTGGGCACAAGACAGTCTGCCTGTATTAAAGACTACATTGTCCAGACTCCCTTTCAGCTAGGCATGGCCATGTGACAGAATTGTGGCCAATGGAATGTAAGCAGAAGTGGTGGCTACAACTTCCAGGAAGTGGAAGTTTAAGAAGAGGGGCTGTGCCCTTTTATTTCCTTTCTCTTTCCTACTTGCAGGAATAGGGTGTAGATACCCTAGGAGACCTCAGGAACAGAAGACACAGAAGATCTGCTGGATGGAAGCAGCCTGGGTCCCTGGCTCTGCAGTCTCCATAACTGCCTGGGATGTACTGACCAACTCCAGCCTTTGAGGGAATATTAGAGAGACAAAGACTTCCATCTTGTTTAAGCCACTGCTATTTTGTTTTGATTTTTTCAGTGACTCATAGTTGAAGCCAAAGTTTCCTAATACTTTGTCTCAGCTGAAAATGAACCAGCGCTCGGCTTAGGATTTAGCTGTCAGGAGAGCTGCCCAAAGGGTCTGAAGTTCCTTCTGGGCAATTGCTTCCCTTAAAGGAAGAACGCGGTCTCTCCCCACCCTGCACCCCATAGGAAGAGTGTCTGTGGCCATCAGTTCCCTGGCCACATTTCTTCTCTGTCCCTGCCTTTCCCACAGTTCACACACCCTAAGATTGAGTCTGGGGTCAGGTGGCTGGGGGTGATGGTGGAGGTCTAGATAAGCAAACCAGGCAGAAGAAAGGGGAGGGGTGTCAGGTGCTTCTGGCATTGGCTCAGGATCTGAAGACTTTGATGCATCAGCGGGGCCCAAGCTTCCGGTGAAAATGGGGTGCCCTTCCCAGATCCAAGGAGGGCCCCAGTGCCCCTGACACTCCCTTGGAGTAGCCTCAGGACAGCAGCCACTGCTTGCCAGGAGCTCACAGCCTCAGGAACACCAGCAACAGCAGGAGCACAGGAGTGGGAGGAGTCCCAGTGGGCAGCTTGGGGTGCTCCTGAGGGCACCTCACACATCCTTAGAGACCCTGAGAAGTAAGCCAGGGAGGCCATTCCAGGCCCTGCAAAACATCAGATGGAGCCGGGGCAGGAGGGACACCCAATCTCAGGGACGTGGCTTGGGGAATGCAGGCCCCTTGAGAAGCCTTGCTGGGTCTGTGTACAAGCTGGTCTGCCAGGCCACATGTGGACACCCCCCTGTGGAGGACGCGCCCCGCCAAGCTCTGCTCCAGCCACCTTCCCCCGCCCACTGCACACTTCCCCGGCCGCTGTCTGGTCTGAAGGACGTGTCTGTTTATAAGAGGCTCTGCTTGCCCTGGAGGTTCAGAGCATGCTTTTCCTTTTCCCTCTGCATGTGCGCACACCTCCGGCAGAAGCAGAGAAAAGGGCTTAATGACTCATGGAGACACATGCTTGGCAGCTTCTTCTGTTTCTTTTCATGTGCCAAACAAGACACCCATGGAAATGGCCCTGTGGTTTTTGAATGGAGGCCCTATAAAATCACAACATCTGATATTCCTGATCTAGGGACTTGCAGGAATCCTGAAGCTGAATTCCAGAGCAAGGTTTCAAAGAAAGCCTGCAGGAAGAGGCAGCTGTGACGGGGCTTGGCAAGCAGGCTGGACTGGTAGCACTTTTGTGGCTCCCTGTCAAGGGCGGTGGGGTTGGATGATGCCCTCTGGGACAGAGTTGAGGGTTGGAGCATTCTCTGAATATTTCAGGAAATCACCGACTGTGACCTCACGGCTCTTTGGCTGTGTGTTTTCATTAAGCTTAACCTGTGTCTGGACTGATGGAGAAACTTGTGGATTCCCCAGCAGAATACTCAGCTGGGGTTTTAGACCACAGGAAGCTATTTTCATGGTTAGAAAAAAAGGATCTGGGGCTGGGTGTTGGTGGCTCATGCTTGTAATCTCAGTACTTTGGGAGGCTGAGGCAGGAGGATCACTTGAAGCTGGAAGTTCAAGACCAGCCTGGGCAACATAGTGAGACCCTGTCTCTACAAAAAATTTTTAAAGATTAGCTGGGCGTGGTAGTGTGCACCTGCAGTCCTAGCTACTTGAGAGACTAAGGCAGGAGGACTGCTTGAGCCCAGGAGGTTGAGGCTGCTGTGAGCTATAATTGAGCCATGGCACTCCAGCCTGGGTGACAGAGCAACACCCTGTCTCTAAAAAAGAAAAAAAAATGCATAGCTGGTACCATCCTCCTGAGCCTTTCCTATCATATGTAGAGATCTCCTGGCAGCCCCTCGTGAGAGCTGTTCTTTCCTCTCAGAACTGTCTTTTCTGGACTAAAATGTCCAGGAGCTGCTTCCAGGTTGCCTGGGATACCAAATGGCTTAATAACCCTGATGAGGCTGAGAGAGTATAAAACGATGATCAAAAGGAGCATCTGCCCTCGAGATGTCCTCTGAGCTTGGCAGAAGATTTCATGTTTGAGCAAGTGAATCATCTGACCTGCGAGCCACCCTCTAAAAGCCAGGGTGTGAAAGAAATCAGGCCAGGTCAGAGAAATCAGGCTGCGGGCAAATGGGGATGCTAATAAAAATAGGAAACGTGACATTCCACTGTACCTGTGCTCTTATTCATAAATCCGAGTGCCTCCAGAACTGTGAGATGTTCAGGTGTTTGGAACACATGGAGCCCCCCCTTTCCGTTCCCCCCACACATGTCCGGTAATTTATCTACACATCTGACTATGCAGACCAAAGGAAAAGACCATCTCGGTCTAGCAATGACAAGGTGCAGAACACCTTACTCAGGCAAAACACCTTCCCTCTCTGGTTCTCAGTCTCTTCAGGTGAAAATGAGGGGGTCTGACTGGCTGTTCTGTGGGTTTCCTTTCAGTTCTCAATGCTTTATGACTCCAAGATTTTTTTCAGATCAATTTCTTGAGACAATCAAATATTGACTAAGGCAGGCGCAATGATAAGCACTGGAGATACACGGTGAATACGACGGTATCCCAGCTTCAGAGCCCAGTGGGTAACACAGGTGCAGAAGTCAATTCTTAGAACCCAGTGAGGTGAAGGAGACCAGAGTGACAGGCAAGTTGCTTATGGGCGCACAGAAGAGGGTGTTCTGCTGAGTGTTCAGGGCAGGACGTGGGTGCTGCGTCTGGAGGGTGGGTAGCAGGCCTCCTGCAGGTGGTCACGAGCTCCGACAGGGGATGGGAAGTGGGGGTCTGCACATTGTTCATTACGAAAGAGGAACGAGGACATTCCAGGACCTGAGGCTGAGTGGTGAGGGACCTTGTGGCACGATCAGATTTGTATTCTCAGGTCATCATGTGGGCAGCGTGGAGGCTGTTTTTTTTTTTTTTTTTTTTTTTTTTTTTTTTTTAAGACGGAGTCTCGCTCTGTTGCCCAGGCTGGAGTGCAGTGGCGCCATCTTGGCTCACTGCAAGCTCCGCCTCCCGGGTTCACGCCATTCTCCTGCCTCAGCCTCCCGAGTAGCTGGGACTACAGGCGGCCGCCACCACACCTGGCAAATTTTTTGTATTTTTAGTAGAGACAGGGTTTCACTGTGTTAGCCAGGATGATCTCGATCTCCTGACCTCGTGATCCGCCTGCCTCGGCCTCCCAAAGTCCTGGGATTACAGGTGTGAACCACCACGCCCGGCCGAGGCTGTTTTGGAGGAAGCAAGACTGAGAGCTTGGAGACCAGATAGCAGATTGTTACTGTAATCCGTGTGGAAGCAAGTAATAGCCTGTGCTAAGGAGGTGACGTAGAAGGAGGTGCGGGAGGAGGATGCAGCTGTGGGAGGAGGTGGGGTCTACAGGGCTTGGGTGGTTGATGGGATCTGGTGAGCGGGTGAAGCGCAGGAGTCAGGATGAGGCCTGGAGTTTAGACGACCAGCTGGACAGCGTAGCCATTGGCCTGGAGAAGGAAGAGAGAGGAAGAGCAGATTCCGGTATTGGGGTGGGTAGCTTACCTGTGCATTTGGGATCTGCTGTGATGAGGGTGACTGGAGGGCGCCCGGGTAAATGGATGTGTCCAACAGAGAGCTCAGGACATGCGCCTGTGCATTGGGAGACCGATGGGACCAAGACACAGACTTGGGGGTTGGCAGCACACAGTAGGCTGCATAGAGATGAAACTGCCTGAGGAAAGTGTGTGGAGGGAGAGGAAGGCACCCCCAGGCTGGGTCCTGGGGGTGTCAAGGTTTGGAGATAAACACTGGAGGTGACAGATACCCTAAACACCCCGACATGATCATCACACAGTCTAGGCATCCATCAAAACAGCACACGTACCCCATAAATACATGCACTTATTGTGTATCAATAAAAAAGATTCGCAGAGCAGAATGAGTAAGGATAGTTAACAAAGGAGACCCTCTCAGCCTAGAGGAGGACGGGGACCCAGGTATGACATGAAACCCAAGGGCCACAGTTGAGAGGGAGAGCGGCCGGACATCAAGCAGCACTGAGAAGATTCGGCAGAAGCAGCGGAATTGAGCGATGGACCAACACCATTCACCACCTCAGAGGGTGGAAGAGAGTCTCTGAGAGGAGGAAAGAGAAGAGAGAGTGCCCATGCTGTCCCCACTTTTTTAAGAGTTAGCAACAGTGTATTGTACATTGTATTTGTTTTTTTTTTCTTTTATTTTAAGTTCTGGGATACATGTGCAAAATGTGCAGGTTTGTTACATAGGTATACATGTGCCCTGGTGGTTTGCTGCACCTTTCAACCCCTCATCTAGGTTTTGAGTCCTGCACGCATTAGGTATTTGTCCTAATGCTTTCCCTCCCCTTGCCCCCCACCCCCCGATAGGCCCTAGTGTGTGATGTTCCCCTCCCTGTGTCCATGTGTTCTGATTGTTCAACTCCCACTTATGAGTGAGAACATACGGTGTTTGGTTTTCTGTTCCTGTGTTAGTTTGCTGAGAATGATGGCTTCCAGCTTCTCCATGTCCCTGCAAAGGACATTATCTCATTCTTTTTTATGGCTGAATAGTATTCCATATGTGCCACATTTTCTTTATCCAGTCTATCGTTGATGGGCATTTGGGTGGGTTCCAAGTCTTTGCTATTGTAAATAGTGCTTCAATAAACATACACGTGCATGTGTCTTTATAGTAGAGTGATTTATCATCCTTTGGGTATGCCATCAGAGTGAACAGGCAACCTACAGAATGGGAGAAAATTTTTGCAGTCCACCCATCTGACAAAAGTCTGGTATCCAGAATCTACAAGGAACTTAAACACATTTACAAGAAAAAAACAAACAACCCCATCAAAAAGTGGGCAAAGGCTATGAACAGACACTTCTCAAAAGAAGACATTTATGCAGCCAATAAACATATGAAAAAAAGCTCATCATCACTGGTCATTAGAGAAATGCAAATCAAAACCACAATGAGATACCATCTCGCTCCAGTCAGAATGGCAATTATTAAAAAGTCAGGAAACAATGGGTGCTGGCAAGGCTCTGGAGAAATAGGAACGCTTTTACACTGTTGATGGGAGTGTAAATTAGTTCAACCATTGTGGAAGATGGTGTGGCGATTCCTCAAGGATCTAGAGCCCATGCCCCTTTGAATAACATGAGCAGCTCTGCAGGAGTGTGGGCCATCAGCCGCGGGCTTATCTGCCCAGCCCATGCACTTCCGCCCTCGCCTGCCACTGTTCTGTAGTCCTGTGAGTTCCCCTGCTCCTAAGAAACTGTGTTTGGGAATGTCACAGATTTCCTCCAGTAGGAAGATGCCACACTTGGCCTCTCTTGACTCGGAAATTCTTGTCTCCCTGAAGTTCTCAAGTCACTCCTAGAGCACCAAGCTTCAAGCTGGCTGTGCTTGGGACAGAGGTCAGGGCGAGCCCAGGCCAACACACCCCAAGTCTCACCTCCCTCCAGTACTCCCCCCACATTCACACAGACTTCATTTTGAAAAAATCTAAGCCTACAGAAAAGTTGAAAGAATGGCACAATGAATATATCCATTGTCTGGATTCATGAATTAACATTTTGCCACATTTGTTCTCTCTCTCCCTTTTCCCTCTTTTTACCCTCCCTCCTCTCTCCACAGAAATACCCCAAGAGGTTCACAGTGACACCTCACCCCATTATCGGTGACGCTAACTTTGATAGCAAGTAATGGCAGCTCAGTCTTCCAGGGGAATGACATCTTTTGCATTTGTAACTGATGAGAAATATGTGGAGTGTTGCTTTAAGGTCACGTGAATCTCCTGTTCCCCAGCACCCTTCAGCAATGCTTTTTGCATCTGATGATCCTGCCTGAGTCATTTATGATGTTGGTGGCTGCAAAATTCAATCCCTTTGCTTTGTTTTGGGCACCACTGTAGATTCGTGGATTTTTTTTTTTTTTTTGAGATGAAGTCTCGCTCTGTCGCCCAGGCTGGAATGCAGTGGCGCAATCTCGGCTCACTGCAACCTCCGCCTCCCAGGTTCAAGCAATTCTTCTGCCTCAGCCTCCTGAGTAGCTGGGATTACAGGCACCTGCCATCACGCCCAGCTAAATTTTGTATTTTTAGTAGAGATGGGGTTTTACCACGTTGGCCAGGCGGTAAACATCCATTTGTGGATGTTTTAAAGTTCAATGTCGTATCATCTATTAACCATCATCACCATTTTAATGGTCATATTGTCTCAAGTTTGGTCAGCAGCCCCTCCAGCTGGCTCTGATGAACTTCTGATGAGTCTCCCTCCATCTCAGCACTTCTCTACTCCCTGGAACAGCAAAATGCTCTATGCCCACCCATTAGTTTTCTTATCCCTAGCCTGGAATTGGCCATTTCTCTAAAAAGCCCTGACATCATGTGGTGGGGAATGTATTTAGAAAACAAAACATGTGTGTTAGTGTGTTTATTGCTATTGGGATGTCACTGCTTCTAGGATCTTCAGTACTTTTTAAAAAATTTTTAAGATGATAACAGCTGAAGCTTATTTCCCGGCTCTGTGCTAGGCTGTCCACAGGCAGCATTTTATTTCAGCCTCACACCAACCCCATGAGGTAGGTGCTGTTATTATCCTCATTCCACATTTGAGCAAACCAAGTTTAAAGAGTGCAGGAGACTCCTGAAATCAGGATCCAAGTCCGAATCCAGAATCCACTCTTCCAACCATAGCCTCCATCTTGAGGACCTGCGATCTGCCTGTCGTGGTGCAAACATTCTTTATCACTAATCTCACAATAATGCTGCCAAGAAATATGCTCCCATTATACAGATGGGGAAGCCTGAGAATCACAGAGGGCACATGCTCTGCCTGAGGTCATCAGCTGGCAGAGCCAGAGCCAGATCGTGAATTCCAGCCAGGGTCTCTGCTTCCCCTCCCCACCCACAGTCCTCACGTTGTGTCCTGCTTGGGTTCTGGGACCAGACTGTTTTGAGGAAAGGTGTCTGAGACGCACCCAAGGCACTCTTGGGCTCTGTCCCTGCCTTGCCAGCTTCTCCTCACCTCCTGGAACCATGGACGAGTTGAGATGAGAGAGAGGGCCAGGAGCAGCCGGCGAGGACACACAGCTGTGCTTGTGGATGGAGCTCTGGTTTCTCTGTGTGCTGGTGGCAGTGGTGGAATTTCCTCAGCTGAGAAGTGCAGACCTGGGAGCAGACATCAGCCACCACCCTGTGTGTGGCTGCTCTGTAGGCCTGAGGTGCCCAGATCAGAGTGGAGAGGACAGGCTTGCTGTGGATTGTGAGGTTGGAGCACAGGGTGCCAGAGGCAACAGACGTGGATTGTAGTCTCATCTCTATCACTTGTTATCTGTAAGATCTTGGGTTAGTTTTTCATGAAAACCTCCAAGCCTCAGTTATCTCATCTGAAAAATGGGGATAACAGTATTTACTTACCCCCCAGGGTCGCTGGGAGGATAAGATAACATGCATGGAGTGGAGGGCCTGATCCACTGTAAGTGTGTGAATTAACACCATCTGGCATCACTGCCACTTCGTTAAGGCTGGAGGCACCAGATGGGAGCGCCAGGGAGAAGATGCCTTGCCACACAGCTGGCTGGCGCCAGGCTCACCCTCTCCTGAATCCAGTGGGTCTCTCTATAACTGAGCCAGTGGCTTTTAAAAAAATTAATTACTTTTAAATTAAGTTCATGAGAGGAAACAGTTTCAAAGCTGCCTCCAGTCCTTGTGTAACTCTTGTCACAGTGGGAGAGACGGTGAGTTGAGGGTGGGGACGGGGCTCAGGGTGGGAATGGAGAAGGAGACAGGGAAGGAAGGAGGGTTGGCGGCCTCTGGGGTGGACAGCAGGAGGCCTGGGCACCTGCCTGGGGTTCTTCCTCCAGCTGCCCACTACACATCTGCACTTGGAGGTCAGCCCTGGATGGAAAGAACTCTTGGACTTCCCTGCAAACCAGTGTCCGCCCATCTTCCTTGTCTCAGTAAATGGCCATCCAGGCATCTGCTTATTTAGGCCCCAAACCTCACAGGCATCCTTCACCCCTTCATCCTTCGTCCCCTACAACCAGAATCAGTTGGCAGGTATGTGCTGGCTGCTCTTCCAAGATCGTTCTTACATATATTGTCTTCTTGCTCCCGCTAATGCAGATGTTAGGCAGAAGGAGGCCATGCATCAGCAGGATGGCTGAGACCAGGTGGAGAGCAGGCTAGGGCCAGCTCAGGCAGATGACACCCTCAGTCACCCCAGCCACCCCGGGGCTCCAGCACAGTCCCCCACTGCCCTGTCCCCCAAGGTTAGAGCCACCATGGGAAGGAGGAGAGCGAGGGCCTGAGAACCCAGCTGAGAGTGCAGCAGTGCGGGGTGTCTGTCTCCCCCTTGGGCTGGAAGTGGCCCTTTCCCAAGGTTTTCCCGGGAGTGGAGTTGAAGTCTCTGTCTATGGGGGCTTGAGCCGTGCAGGGCATTTTCTCTCACACTGTCCCTGGGGGCAGGCCACATCCCTTCTTGCCTGGATCACTGATGTCCAGTGGCTCATTGGTTTGGTTTCCTCGCTGCCCCTCTCTGGCCCATTCTACAGCCAGCAGCCAGCGTGACCTCCTGAAAACACGCATGGGGTCACATTCCTCACCAGATTCCAGCCTGTTCCCACCTGAGACTGAAGCTGGGCCCTTGGCTGGAAGGAGCTGCCCCCGCAATGGTTGGAGAGCTCTCCTTGCTAATGGGTGTTCAACAATCAATGCAGATTTGGCTTCACACGGCTTCCCCAGGCTGGTTGCCTGCCCTGCACCACCCACACCAGCGCTGCCTCCCCAGGTCAGCTTTCTTTTCCATGTTGCCCTGTTTTGACCACATTTCTCACCCACTGGATTTATCTTCCTCCTTTAATCACTCACTTGCGTGTAGTTGACTTGCTGCTTCTCTCCTCCTAGGGCTCAAATTCATTAGAGTGAGGGCTTGGTCTTATACCCCGCTGTTCCTGGCATATAGTAGGTGTTCAATTAAACATCTGTTAGGGGGTGGAGTTGCTGGCAGGGAACACGTTGTCCAGGACCTTTCTTTTTGCAGAGGACTGAATAAGCTCATAAGAGATGGCTTTGTGTCTTTCTCAGGAGCTGCCCTAAGGCTTTGTAACCCTCCACATTAGGACTTTCTTTCTGCTCTGTCAGGCTCATATTTGTTTTCACTGAATCATGGTTTTACAGCCAAACCAGCACAGCATAGCAGTTAAGGCTAGGGCAGGGGTTTGGCTAGAGCAGGGGTTTGGATGACAGTTAAATCTGGGTTTAGAGCCAGGTTCTGCAACTTGCTAGCTTTGCAAAGCTCCGAAAGTTACTTCACCTCTTAGAGCCTCTGTCTTCTTGGCTGTAAAGTGGGGTGTCTTACAGAGTTGTGACAATTCAATAAAGTGATAAAAACAAAGCCATTAGCACAGTGCATGGTAGCCAGAAGGGCCACAAAATATTTCTCCACTATTATGAGATCTGAAGATGGTGGCAGAGGGCGCAGTGCCTGGCTTTCTGGAGATCAGTGGATGTCTTTATGGCCACTGCTTTAAATCCTCTGTGGGTGACCTTTCCCCTGTTGTTCGTCTCTGCTCACATGGATGAAGCTGAGGCCCCCAGAGGAACCCTGGAAGCCACAGAGCTGGCAGGACCTAGGGCCCCTGCCCCTTGCCCCTGCTGACGGAAGGAGTCACTCACTGAACGAGCTGCCCCATCTGGCAGGAGTGTTGTCTGTCGGGAGGCCGTGTGTCCCTGGTTACAATGCAGTCACTGTCCAGTGGCCTGTCACCGGCCAGGACAAAGCTAGCCTGTTTTGGTCATTAGCTGTTGCTCTTTCAAAATAAAGAGAAGCCACAACTGAGTCTTTACCGAAGTTATTTTTAGATTTCTGGCTTCATAACAACCCTGGAATTTCTTATTTTCTCCTACTCTTCCTTTTATTTTGTTTTATTTTTTTTAAAAGCAGACAAGTCAACCTAGAACATTGAATAAATAACCCACCAGAGACAGCACGGAACGATCCGAGGCCACAAAACACATCACTTGTCCCTGGGTGATCTAAGGAGGTAAACGAACCTCTTTGGTTACAAGAACCTCAGCTGTCCAGAGACACCTGCCGGACACAGACTCCACTATGGGGCTCCCAGCTCTGGCCCGGTGGCTAGACGGGGCGTCAGGACAGGGCCACCACCTCCTGGGCTGGCACTGGAGGCGTGTTTCCAGCAGGTGTGTTTCCAGCGGTTGCTTGCTTTTTGTCCTGGGCCTTATCAACAGGGTGGAGTGAAAGGGAGCTTCCAGGGGAGGGCTCTCAAAGAAACACGCCTGCGCGGCCCTGCGGCTGGGGCGTCCCAGGCAGGCAGCACAGGCGGTCCTCACTGAGCTCTGTCTTCTGCTCCAGAAGGAGGATCAGCCCCAGAACCACAGGGAGATGCACTTTTACCAGGACCCATGGGCTCCCTCCCGGCAAGGACCAATAAAGTGATTAAATGAAAAGAAGTAAAACCCTCGGCTCAGGCAGCCAGCAGAGGCTGGGCCTTCAGGGTCACTAAGGATACGTGCAAAACCGCCTGCCCACAGCGCTGTGGCCTGCCTCGGTTGACAGTCACGCATAAGCCGGCCTGCCTTAGGTGGCCGAGGAAGGGAAGAAGTGGAATCATGGAAAACATCCTCCCAGTGGACAAGGGCGTCAAATGGCTGGTCCTCCAGGACAGGAGAGAAGAGAGTCTAAACCAAGAACCCCAGCCCGCTGGCTCTGGGGAAAGAGGGTGGCTGGAGAGACTGCCCCGGCGGCCTAGGAGGAGTGATCCCCGGGACCTTCTCCCAGCACGGCCCACCCAGTGCAGGGACGGCAGCGCCACCAACTCTCTGGGCTCTCGGTCCTGCCTCCGGGTCCCCGTCGCTATGGCCTGGACCTCTGCCCCCACCCAACATGGAGCCCCTTAAGAGCAGGGACGGGTCTCACTCCTCTCTGCCGTCCTCACCCCGGCTCTACGTCCAACCCTCAGTGAGTGCCCCCCCAAGTACTGAATAATGAATAAACGCATGTGCACCGAGGACGTGCGAGGCGTTCGTTTCTCCACCAGCCCTTCCTGGCCCTCTCTGCAGAGGCAAAGGCTGAGAGGAGCTTCCTTGCCAGTTCTGGGGGCGGGTCCCTGGTCAGGCGCGTTTCATCTCAGCACACAGCAGCCCAAGCGAGGCTCTCTCTCAAACAAGGAGAAGCCGCCCCCTGCTGGCCGCAGCCGATAGTGTCACACAAGGCAAGCAGGAGCCCTCTCAAAGGAGCCGGCTGCCAGCTTGGTGCTTACAATGGGCTGGCTGTGCAGGAAGAATGAGTTCAAGAGAGCTATTGTACAACGAGGTAACTAGAGTTAATAACAAGATATTATATCCTTAAAAGTTGCTAGGAGAGTAGATTTTAAGTCTTCTCATTGCAAAAATGGTGTGTGAGATAATGCATAATTAGCTCGATTTAGCCAGTCCACAAGGTACACATATTTCAAAACATTACATTGTACACGATAAATATAAACAATTTATATTTGTCGATTAAAAATAAATTTAAAAACACAGTTTTAAAAAGCTGAGATTTTCCTCCCCTTCTATTTTACTCATTTCTTTCCTATACCCAAACTCCTGCCATTTCCAGTTACTAACCCTGTGAATACTAGGTGAAAGTTAGCAATTTGTGTTGGATATAATTTCATCTCAGAAGACAAGGAAAAGGTGAACAACTATAGGAAAGGAAATAAAAAATAATCATTAAACTCTCAAAACAAACTCACCACCAGGGTTATGAATTTTTAGAACTGATCATCTATTTTCATGTAACAGAGAAATTCATATTCTTTGAGAAGGAGCTATTTCTTCTCTAACACAAAAGGGAAAGCGTTTATTAATAACTGACATTTGACAAGAGGGCACGGCATGTGCATTCCTGTTTGTGGGTGAGTTTGGTAAACAACAAGTCTCTTTTTTTTTTTTTTTTTTTGAGACGGAGTCTCGCTCTGTCACCCAGGCTGGAGAGCAGTGGCACAATCTCGGCTCACTGAAGCCTTCGCAGCCTCCATCTCCTGGGTTCAAGCGATTCTCCTGCCTCAGCCTCCCAAGTAGCTGGGATTACAAGCGCCTGCTACCACGCCGGCCGGTTAATTTTTGTATTTTTTAGTAGAGACGGGGTTTCACCATGTTGGTCAGGCTGGTCTCAAACTCCTGACCTCAGGTGATCCACCCGCCTCAGCCTCCCAGAGTGCAGGGATTACAGGCGTGAGCCACCGCGCCTGGCCAACATCTCGTCTTTTGACAACAGCCTCTCTGAAGGTTTGGGTCCATGTGCCTAGCATGGCCACAAGGGGTGCAAGGTCTTGGAGAACATGGGATAATTTCTTGGTTTCAGAATTCACATCCAGGTTTTCAATATCTTCATTTTGTTGTGATCATGTTAAATAACTTCCATTGCAAAAGGTGCTCAGAACCTGTGCCGAGCTAGTGTGAGTGAAGACACAGCTTGTCCTTGCAAAGTTGCGTCTGCAAACAGAGCAACCTGATCTTTGAAGGTATCCTGGAAATCCACAGAGAGAGCTCCTTTCCCATCACTCAGCTCAGTATTAGCCGTGCATCACAGTGAAAAGAGCGTGGGTTTTGGAGTCACACAGGCTTCTGTCCAAATCATGGCTTTGCTGTTTGCTAGCTGGGACTCAGGCCGCTTCTTTAGCTTCTCTGAGCCTGATTCCTCTTCTGTAAAATTGAGGTACAATGTAGAACATAAGGTGGTGGTGACAATCAGGTGTGGCATTTATTTGTTTTATTTATTTATTATTTATTTATTTGAGACGGAATCTCACTCTGTCACCCAGGCTGGAGTGCAGTGGCACCATCTCGGCTCACTGCAACCTCCGCCTCCCGGATTCAAGCAATTCTCCTGCCTCAGCCTCTTGAGTAGCTGGGACTACAGCCGCGCGCCACCGCACCCGGCAAATTTTTTGTATTTTTTAGTAGAGATGGGTTTCACCATGTTGCCCGGGTTGGTCTCAAACTCCTGAGCTCAGGCAATCCACCTGCCTAGGCCTCCCAAAGTGCTGGGATTACAGGTTTGAGCCACCGCGCCCGGCCCAGGTGTGGCAGTTCTAAAGGTGGAGGTTACCTCCGTAAATGGTGCCCAGTGATTATTAACGGTGTTTGGCCACTATCAGTTCTGGGTGTCAGAGATGCCTACAGCACACAGGGATTACATTTCTGTTGACTAAAAATCTACACTAGTTTCACAATTGGATTATGAAGTTTGGGTTCTCAGAGAGATACTTTTCCTCCTTTCTTTTCTGGAGTGACACTTTTATCCCACCCTGCTGCAGGGCAGTCCGTGAGCATCGAGGCTTCCTCAGGCCTGTGCCTTACCACCTCCCTGATGTGAATTGGATTTGCTGTCACTACCTTAGCTGGTAGTCTTCAAACTATTCTGACCATGCTTCTCTATGATGAAAAATGTTGGGGCAGGTGTACCCTCATCTACGTATGTTTATTTTAAATTACAAATATGCGGCCGGGTGTAGTGACTCACGCCCAGCACTTTGGGAGGCCGAGGTGGGCAGATTGCTGGAGCTCAGGAGTTCGAGACCAGCCTGGCCAACATGGTGAAACCCTGTCTCTACTAAAAATACAAAAAAAATTAGCTAGGCATGGTTGGCAGGCACCTGTAATCCCAGCTACCTGGGAGGCTGAGTCAGGAGAATTGCTTGAACCCGGGAGGTGGAGGTTGCAGTGAACTGAGATTGTGCCATTGCACTCCAGCCTGGGTGACAGAGGAAAACTCTGTCTCAAAAAAAAAAATTACAAATATGCATACATATGCACACACATATTCTACTGTCCATTTATTTATCACATATTTATGTAACTCAAGCTTTTATTCTTAAACAAAATAATTATGAATAGAATTTTTACTTTCATCTTCCCATATTGGAGTAGATTTACTTGGGCATCTGCTTCGGAGACCCCATGTCCTCAGGGTCTGGGAAGGGTCAAATTGCCCAGCCTCTAGACACCATGATTCCCTTCATCCTGGCATCACCACATCACCATCCTGCTACTCTCACAGGAAGCTACATTTCCCTCAGTTTCCAAGTGTTCATGTCTCGATGACATGAGTGGATTTGCCATCCATTCATTGATTGAGTCATGAGCCCTACAAACATTCATGGGGAGGGTCCTGTTGAAGAAACTTCACATTATGCCCTGAGGTAAAGAGGGGGGAGGTCAGAAGGGTGTATTCGGATGGCCTCTCTGACTTCCTGATGCTAACAGCTTTCTCAGAGGTTATTGTGAGGCCCAACCACTATCATGCTTGGAAAGCTCCCAAGGCGGAGGAGAGGGGCATGTGGTGAGGACTGTGGGAGGGTTATTGCCTCTCCTGCATGCCACTTCCATCTGTCTATGGAATAGCAGTTACAATACCTGCATCTGCACCAATGATGCTTCTGCTGCCTTCCCAAGGATGGTGGAGTGTGAAGTGCTATGACCACCCTCAGCAATGAATGTTCAAGAATCACTCACTGATCACATCATTTATGATTAAGATTTGGACACTGATATATAACAACTATTAGTGATTCTTTGGAAGACTGGTATGCATTTCTAGATTCTATTCACTTAAAGTTTTAAAAGTTTTAAGCAATTGGCTGGGCATGGTGGCTCACGCCTATAATCCCAGCACTTTGGGAGGCTGAGGTGGGTGGATCACCTGAGGTCAGGAGTTGGAAACCAGCCTGGCCAACATGGCAAAACCCCATCTCTACTAAAAATACAAAAATTAGCTGGGCGTGGTGGTGGTTGCCTGTAATCCCAGCTACTCGGGAGGCTGAGGCAGGAGAATGGCGTGAACCCAGGAGGCGGAGGTTGCAGTAACCCGAGATTGTGCCACTGCACTCCAGCCTGGACCACAGAGCGAGACTCCATCTCAAAAAAAAAAAGAGCAAGATGAAACTTCATGAAGACAGACCAACAGCATGGAAAAAAAGGATGACTAGAAAGGAGAAAAGTGAAAACTGCAGGAATAGTCAAACTGCAGAGCCAGATGGGGTTCATCAACCAGCGATATGCACATACAGGTTCTGAGACAGGAAATGTGGGCTGCAAGCATGAGCAGAGCAAGATGGGAGAATCTTACACCTATTCAATCAACACAGTGGTGGTTTGCTAATAATTACACAGACGTTCTGCCAAGCCATACACCCTACCTGCTACAGCTAGTTAGTGTTGCCATTATCATCACTGTTGCAACTGCAACCTTGAGAAGTTCAGGGCCTAGTTGGGAAGACATACCTAACAAGCTGTAAGAGTTCCTTGCCCCCTTGCTGGCCAGCCCAGGGGCCTTTACCATGTTCTCCCCACATCCGTAAATAAACTTCCTCCGCTACACTGTAAAAAAAAAAAAAAAAAGAAAAGAAAAAGAGTTCCTACAAGTTAATTAGTATAACAGATGTCTGAATAATCGACTATGTGATGCATAAAAGAAGTAACTTCTGGGGGTCAGGGAAGATTCTGGAGGGGCAGGGACATTTGAACTGGGCCTTGAAGACTATGTAGGAGTGCATGAGGTAGAGAACAGGAGAAGTGTATTCTGGGTAGGGGAATGGGGAGCAGCATGTGCCAAGACCCAGATCATGGAAGAACTTGGCAGGTGTTGAGGAGTGAAAGATTAGTGTGGAAGGAGATAAGGGAGAGTGTGTGAGTTGGATAGCATATAAAGCTAATGAAGTATGTTACATAAAGTTCATGTGAGCTGGGCTAACACATTCCAACTCTGCTATGTTGACAACAAAGGTCTTTAAGCAGGCAGTAACAGAACTGCCATGCTCACTGGCTAACTTCTGAATTCAGAGTCTCGCTCCCAGGCAAGTGAGCTATTGAGGCTGCCCTGGATGGGTTGGCATCATTTTGGGCCTGGTCTTCAATCATCCATGTTCAGAGACTGACTCTAAAACACCGTGTGATTTCTACTGGGGCAGCCCTGCCGTAATTCTTAGTGCCTCATGGTTTGCTTGGAGGCCCTAAAAGTGCCTAGAGGTTCCATGGGTGACTGAGTCCTCAATCAGATCTCTTGCCCCACTGAAGGAAATGGTCCCTTCTGACCAGTGACTGACCACCTGGCTTCTGGGTAGAGTTCAGTGTTGAGAGAAGGAATGAGTTGGGTCTTCCATTGGGCTTGGCGTTTTGCTGCCATAAATGGAATCCCAGCCTGCAGCAGCATCTGACACTCAGAGGTGACTGAATGCTAAAGGCACTTTGGAGCTCCCAAACCATGTTGGTGCCGGGGAGTGGGAGGAGAGAGAGGCCCCCTCTCTCAGCTTCAGGGGGATCTACGCAGGAAGTAGCCCAATGGAGTAGCGGTTGGAGTCTTCATTTGGAGTAAATCTAGGTTTGACTTCTATCTCAGCCACTTACTAATGAAGTGACCTCACGAGTGATTCATCCTCCTTGTGCCTCAGGTTCTCCTCTGTAAAGCGGAATGGCAATAGCCTTCTTATTAGGTTCTAGTGCAGATTTATTGCAATTTAATGAAATAACATATAAAATGCTTAGCATAGAGACTGGCATCCAGTAGTTAATAAATGGTAGCTGTTACTGACTTATTCAAGATAAGGTCTCTTTAGTGACAACCTCTTTCCTCCTCATGATTCCCAGCCTTCCGCCTGGCTTTGCTTCTCTGTGTGCCTGGCAGCTGGCTGCCACCCCTTTGTCAACTCTGGCTACTCAGCTTTGCTGCCTGGAAAAGATCTGCAAGGCTCCAGCCTCTAATAGGGCTCTGATCTAGCCTCAAAAGCATGAAGTGTCAAGACCTGGTGAACAGCTCTGGAGCTTTGGTGCAGCACAGAAGCTCTCGGGTGCACTGTCGGCCTTTGGCTGGCTGTGGTTTATGGGTTGGGTAGCTTTATAGCTTGTGGCCATGCAGGAAGAGATCTTCACAGCCCTGTTTTGGGAACACCATTAGGAGCTGTGGGACTGATAATGCTGCCTGGAAAAGCAGGGACAGGGAGCCAGGGAGAATCCTCCTCCTGTCGCACCCTCTGGCTGGGCTTAGGAAAATGTCATCCAGAGTGAAAACTTAGGGATAAGCTCAGATGAGATTGTTTCTGGAGGTCATGATCAATAGGGCAGTGTGCAGGCACCTATCTGAGAGCTTGGAGTTAAATCGGTGTGCTCCCCATTGCCTCTTCTAGGCTAGGCCTTTAGTCCACACGTAGGGTAGGACTCATAGAAACACTAGATTCCAGTTCTCTAAGTTCCAGCAGCAGGCGAATAAAGTGGCATTGATACAGGTAGAAGCCACACAAGATCAATCACATTCTGATCAATAAAAAGAGGACTTTCACGAACACCCAACACTCCTCAGAGACGGACAGGCCCCGTGAGGGCTTCTAAGCATCCTAGGCTGGGTGAATTCAAGCACAGAGGGTGGGCAGCTTGCAAAACAGACATGCATTTTTGGGGTTTACACTAATTTGGGCTTTGAAATGCTTCAAACCATGAAAGGCTCTGGTGGAATACATTTAGAGACTGCATTTCTTTGCTCTCACTGTGTGCCTTTGGCCAAACCTTAATATTGCCAGGCCTCAGGTTTCTCACTGTAATAGGAAGGGATTCAACTGGGCGATTTCCACAATTCTTCCAGCTCCCAAATCTATCAATTACATGTAAAGATCTGGGAAAAGAAATAATAGAAAAAAAATACACTTTTTTTTTCTTTTGGGAAAAGGTTTTACCTTTCTTTAAAATTGAAAAAGGAAAAATTTTGGAGAATGCATTTTTGAAATAACTAATAAAATCTTTCAGCTAAGTTATTTGCTTATTATTCCCATCCTTGATTCTTCCAACATTGCTTTTTAAAATAGACAATTAGAATTGTTTTATGTTACCAGTTCCTTCCAATTCCTGAACTCCGGGAACATTCTGTACAATGCAACCCACAGACTCCCAAGCAAGATGCACTTCTATGAGCTTCAGAAGATGTTTTTATTGTTTTGCCCAGGGCCTCCTTTGCTCTGAAGTATCCTTGCCAAGCCTATGAGAATGACTCACATCGGCCAGCACCTTTTATCCATCTACAGTGCTTTTCCAAGCTGCATTTACAAAGCAAACACTTCACTCTCCTTGTGCAATACCTAGGGGTGGGAGAAGTGACTGGAAGCAGAGAACCCTAGAAGTTCAACACACACACACACACACACACACACTCACACCACACACACACAGCTCAGGGCAAAGTGACTCTCCAAAGCAGTTAGGTACCAGCATTAATTTACAGAAGGCAGAAAAACATTCTCCAGAGGACCAAGCTAATGCACTGCTGAAAACTGGACATTAGGATGGAAATGCATGATTTATAGAGTGTCTATTCCGTGCCAGGCACTGCTGGACTTGCTACATATGTGAATGGAGAAGCAGGTGCATTTACTACTTAGGTGGGATGAGTGACGGAAGTCATGCAGATTATGGGTCACTGAATGAGGGGCCTTGGACAAGTTGCCTACGCACTCCATGCCTCCATTTCCTCATCTAGAAGTACAGATAACAATAGTCCCAATGTTATGGGATTGTCATAAGAATTAAATAAGACATGTAAATAACAGTGCAGTGCCTGGCTCAGACTAAGCACTCAATACATGTTAGCACTTCTTGTTATGTTTTCTTATTTAATCTCCGCAAAATCCCTGTAAATTGGCAGTGTTAGATCTATTTTATAGATAAAAATATTGATGCTCAGAAAAGTGGCCTACTTATCCTGGTGGCTCAGGAAGTGAGTGAGCTTAGCCCCAGGTCCTCTCGCTTCCGGGATAGTTTCCGCCTGCAGCCCCAAGGAGGGTCCTCGGCGCCCCAGGAGCAAACAGACCGACTCCGGCCTCTCAGCGCTTTCCACATCTCTTCAGGGGCTTGCACTTTTGTTCTCTCTGCTGAAAGAGTGAACCGACCGTGAATGGCCTTCAGCCACTTCCTCACCAAACCCTGGACTTGGGTCTGTTTCCAAAGATGGTTGCCGTGCATGCAAAACACTCAAGCATCACAAAACCAGACAGAGCTTTAGAGATCCTTTCAAGAATATCCCACGGCTTCTCAAGAGGACAACCGGGGCCCAGAGAAGTGGGCACCCAGGTCACATCTCAGAGCTGGACCAGAATCTGTTCTCCTGACAGCTCCTCCGAGGGTCTTCCTGCGATGCCTCCACACCTCGCACAGGCTGGTGTTCCTTGTTCCCATCTGGTCTTCAGACTTCCGTCTTACTTGTCTTTCCTTCAAAGGCCGTCTCTGTATCTCACCCAGGGAAAGCATTACTGCTTTCAAGGCCCTGGCTGCACACTGTCCATGCGTACATCACCTACTCAGTGCTGGGTGCATGCCAGGCTCCACTCTGTGCCCAAGGAGACCTGTGAGTGCCCAGACAGATGGTTCCCTGCACTCCCAGAGTGAGAGGAGGAGACGATAAACAAGTAAAATATGCAGAGACGTGAAATCACCAGCGGTTTGAACAAGTGCGCTGCACGTGATGCAGAGGCTGGTGTGGTGCCTGGGTGGTGCCCCAGTGGGGACGGGTGGTCAGGTCACCTCTCTGGAGCAGGGCTGTTCCGTCTAAGGTCTAAATCATGAGGTGAGCCATCCTGTTGAGGTGGCAGCAGCTCAACCCAGGCAAAGGGAAGAGCCAGCGCCGGGACGGCAGACCAGAATGAGACCTGGGAGTGCCAGGGGAGAGTAAGGGGCGGGAGGAGAGGGTCGGGCTGGAGGTGGATGTGGCAGGAGGGCTAAGGTGTCCTGAGCTCCCATCAGGGCTGGCCTCTTACTCAGAGAACTGCAGCAGCCACGGTGGGTGCAAAGCAAGGGAAAGACATGGCAGAATTTACTTTTTGAACATAACTAGTGGCTACTGTGGGGAATAGATTTTAGGGGACTTATTAATAAGCTTTGCCATGGGAAGATACGTCCCCAGGTTTACCAAAGCCTACCATGGTTCACATGTGAGTTCTTGCTCACATTTCTGGAGAGCCAAGGGCCCTGCTGTGCTCCAGCTGCCTTCTCTCCCCAGGACCAGGCTGAAGGGGGAGCCCCTGACACAGGTGGAACCAGGGCCCACGAGCCCTGCCACCCGCAACCAAAGCAAGTCCCAAGGCCCAGGCCAAAGTGGATGAGGCTGAGAGGGACAGTCCTTTCAGCAAGAATGAAGGGGTGCATGGCTGCGAACCATGACATGGCCACCCAGGGAGGCAGGCGGGACCCAGGAGCCAGGGAGAACATGGCTGTTCGATGGAGGATGACGGTGGCTTAGGCCCCATGAGGAGCCTGGCGATGGACAGAGGAGAAAGCTCGGAGGATGTTTGAGAAGTCAAGTCAATATATACCGTGTGGAAAGGGCTATCGGGAGAGAGGAGAATCAAGAATAACTTCAGATTTTTGGAATGAGTCATCGAGTGGATGGTGGTGCCACTCACAGAGACAAGGATGGCCAAGGTCAGCTTGGTCATGTCAGTGAAGGCGCTCATGAACCGTCTACATGGAGACCTCCAGGAGGCTGCTGGGCCCCAGAGCTGCAGTTTTGAGGGAATAGGGGAGAGACGACCGACTGCCTGCCTTCGTTCAGGTTTCCTGCCCATCCTCATGTGTCCTTTCAGAGGAGGAGAATTTCTGAACATCTGATGCCATGGAGGTGGAAGGAGCTGGTATTTTTAAAGTAGGAAGTATTAGGAAGTAAAGTTAAAATATTTATGAGTTTTCAAGGTATTTATAGTTGTAGGTTCCTTTGTGAGCTTAGGAGCACACAAGTCAATGAAGGAGGGCTTGTAGGCAGAGGCCGGCCTGGTGTGGGGTGGGCTATTGGAGCCCAAGCACTGTGACGGCTGTCCTTGGCAGGGTGGGAATCAGAGTAGGGAGAGGAGGACGAACCTCCCCAGGGAAGCGGGCCTGATGTGGGTGTCCCCACAGGCAGTGTGAGTGCAGGGTGCGTGGTTGTGGGGATGGGGGTTGGCCACCTACAAGGGGATTGGTCAAATGAAGGGATATATTAAGGTTAATAGGAATCCAGCTTCTCACTGTCAGGGAAAGGAGGAAAACTAGAGTTTCCAGTTGGATTAGAATTGGAGGTATTTGTGGGATCTCACAGTTTTCAATAAATAATGTATTCATCTTCTTGGGCTGCTCTCACAACATACTGCTGATTTAGTGGCTTAAACAACAGATATTTATTTTCTCACAATTATATTAGACACTATAATTTGGTAGTTAAGCCATTTTTAAACTATAACTTGGTAGCTATAGTTTAAAAATACTTCCTCATAAAATAATGATTATAACAAAGAGGAAATGAGTGATCTTCCAGAGAACATGACTGACACCAATCTAATGAGGTGATTAAAGTGAACATTATTAGTAATAGGACAAATCAAAATTTCCTGCCGCCTGATAGGATGCAATGAGAACACAGCATTGCATTTGTGAGATTTCTTCTGAAGATGTCTAACCTGTATGCAATCACAAGGGAACGTCACACAAACCCAATATGAGTGACATTATACTAAATAACTAGCTTGTCATCTTCAAAGTGTGGAGGTCTTGAGAGACAAGAGAAGACTGAGGAACACTTCCAGTCTGAAAGAGACCAAGGAGACAGAGCCTGCTAAGTGATTCAGAACCGGGTCCTTTATCTAGAGTGGGCCAAATGATGAGGCTTGAATGGGGTCCAGGGTTCTAATGCATCAACATTAATTTCCTATGTTGGTGGTGGCACGTGGCTATGTAGATGCAAGTCTTTGTTTGTAGGAAATATGCATGAAAATATTCAGGGGGCTGGTGCAGCAGATCGGCTATGCTGCTTATTCTCAAATGGTCCAGGAGCAAGAAAAGCTCTTTGAACTGAGCTTATAGTTCATGACTTAATAAAAAGTTTAAGACTATTTTATTCATATTTCATAAATCATAAAGCTGAGAGACCTTTCAGTCTAAATCACCTAAATTTTAGAGATGAGAAAACTCAGGCCCAAAGAACTTAAGTGAACTCCCCAAGGTCCCACAGCTAGTTAGTGAGGAAGCCAGCCCTGGTGCCCTTGCTTCCTGTGGGCTGGACCACAGAATGTTCCACTACATGCCCCTGAGGCTAGGGGACACCCAAGAGAAGAGGAATCATGAAAGCAGTTTATCTAGAGCTGGAAGCTCAAATTCATGGATAAAGATATTCAAGCACAGAGAAGCTAGGTAGCTTTACTGGACTTAGTTCCTTTACTGTGTATCTGGTACTACTTACTCTGCCCACATGTAGTCATCCTTTTCACAGGGATCATGCCAACGCTTTGCTAAAAAATGCAATCCTATGTCTAACGAAATTCCTTGACCTGCTAGTTTGGTAGCTGTATACAATTTATTCAAAATGTTGTGTCATATTTAGGTTTATAACCCATAATAGACTCTTCATGGTACCACTTTCTTTACTTCTGCTCATAAGTCATCTACTTAACACTCAGTTCTAGAATTGCCTTGGCAATGGATATAGCACTTGAGTTCTGCTTAGTTTGTTCTTAGAAGCACATGGTTGGGTTCACCACATTCTTCAGTTCATGATGCACTGGATCATTGGCTCCTCAGAGCCCCATCTCATTCATTCATGTGTGCAGGCAGGCATTTATTTTATTGGCCTCCATTCCCCATTTCTTTTCTCCTGTCCCTCACAGGCAACTATTCTAATGTGTTCCCTGTTTGTAGTTATCAGCATGTGTTCTCTCAAAAACAAAGTGTTTAAAGGCACATATCGTTGAAGGCACACAAACATCCTCTAGCTCATCACTTCTCATTTCTTGACTCAACACTATCCTTTCAAAGCTCCGTTCATGTTGCCGCGTGTACATGTCGTCTGTTCCTCCCAACTCTGATAGAGTATTTCAGAGTGTACCTTTTTCACTTGTGCTCCTCCACCTCCATGGATGACACCTACTGCCACAGAAAGAACTGCAGCAAGTCTCTTTGTGCATGGTCCCTTAGGGTGTGTGGAAGGATTTTTTCTATGATTCATGTCCAGGGGTGGTATTGTTGGGAAATAGAAGACAGGTACATTTAATTTGATGAAGTATTGCTCTCCAAATTGGCTGTACCAGTCTACAAACCCCCAGCAAGGCCCAAGAATTCCAACATTCCTACATCCCCACCACCACTTGACATTATCCAGTTTCCTGGTTTTGGCCAGTTGAGTGAATAGAAGTGATATCTCATTGCTATTTAATTTGTATTTCTCTACTAATGAGTTTAAACATCTCTTCACATGCCTGTTATTCAGGGGGGTTTCCTCTCCTGCAAATTGCCTCTTCTGAGCCTTTGTTTTTTGAGCAGAGGGGGTTTCCATCATTTTTGTTGATTTGCAAGGTTCTTGCATATTTTAGATACTGTTTCCTAGTTATTTTTGACATTGCAAGTGTCTTCTCCCAATCTTTCATCTGTCTCATAACCTTGTTCTTCTTTGAATAGAACCCTTTGAGTGGGATGTGTTCAAATTCATTAAGCTTTTCCCTTATGCTTTGCACTTTTGAGGTTTTGTTTAAGAAGCATTTCCCCACCTCTAGGCCTCCAAGATCCTCTCTGGGACACTGCAGCTGCTTTCAAATTGAATGTGACAACAAGCACATGTTGTGTGCTTTGCACCTGCACAACCTCTTCCTCATGGTTGGACCTGCAACTTTAGCTTCAAGCCTGGCATCTGAGTCTGGGCCTCTTATCGATGAGGATACAAACCCTTCCCTACTGTTGTCCACACAATCCTCACCAGCATGTGTTATGCTTCAACCCCAGATATTCATGCCCCTCCTGCACCTCTCTGCTAATGTCACACTTTCTCCTTTTTCCAAAGTGCTTTTTGCTCTTCCCTTCACTAGATTTGGCCATCTTTCAAAGCCTGCTTCTTCAAAAACAAAACCAAAAACTGGTGAATCTAGCCTTCTTTGATCCCTTTGTTTCTACCCTTTTATCCATATTTTAAAAATCATGATTGGAACCTTATTTCCTAACGATTACATGTGTGCTCTGCTTTCTCCCTGGGGATCATCGTCCATCTTATATTTATTTTGCCCATGGCTCCTGGGCAGTGCTCTTAGGAGGCACCTAATAAATGCTCTCTCTCCAAATTCAAGCTGCTGCCAAAGACCGATTACTTAAGCCTCCAAAACCTTTTTAAAAATGCATTCCTTCCTCTCCATCTCCAAAGCCACATCCGTGCCTGGGTTTAATCATTGCACGCTCAGACTTTTACAACCTTGTGTGCCTTCTTTCTTCCTGTCTGCCTCGGCTCCAGTGAGAGCTGAGAACAGCCGCAAAATCACCCAGCCTCAGAATCTGGGTTCAAAGAATCTTACACAGCATTGAATCCACCCTGCCTCAGGGCTTGAATTCTCTTGACAATATTCACATTCCTAACAAATGGCTGCACAGTCTCTGCTTGAATACCTTCAGCCACGGTGGAGTCACTATCTTCTGAGGCTGTCCATTCCCTCTTTGTCCAGACAGTGCTTCCTTATTTCAAGCTGAAACTCGCCACCTTGCATCTTACAACTGGAATCCTAACTTTTCCTGTTGGTACCATTCAGAAAACTCTTAATGCCTCTTTTGGTAAATGTATCTCCCAAATTGTGGTGCTCAGAACCAAACACAGTATGATCAAGTGAAGAATGAAAGAGAACTCTCTTCTCTTACCCTGTGTTAGTTTCCTGGGGCTGCTATAACAAATTTACTGCAAACTTAGTGGCTTAAAACAACAGATATTGTCCAGGCACGGTGGCTCATGCCTGTAATCCCAGCACTTTGGGAGGCCCGGGGGGGCGGATCACGAGGTCAGGAGATTGAGACCATCCTGGCTAACATGGTGAAACCCTGTTTCTACTAAAAATACAAAAAATTAGCCTGGCCTGGTGGCATGTGCCTGTAGTCCCAGCTACTCGGGAGGCTGAGGCAGGAGAATCGCTTGAGCCTGGGAGGCAGAGGTTGCCGTGAGCTGAGATCGAACCACTGCAGTCCAGCCCGGGTGTCGGAGTGAGACTCTGTCTGAAAAAAACAAACAAACAAACAAACAAACAAAACAAACAAAAAAAACCCCAAAAACCAGATGTTTATTCTCTCACAGTTCTGGAGACCAGAATTCCAAAATCAGTATCACGGAGCTCAAACCAGGGCTATGCTCCCTCCAGAGGCTCCAGGAGAGAATCTGCTCCTTGCCTCTCCCAGCTTCCAGGGGCTGCCGACATTCGTTGACTGCATCACTCTGATCTTTGAGGCCAGCATCTGCAAAGCTCTCTCTGCTGTGTCTTTATATTTCCTTCTGTTTTGTGTGTGGTCAAATCACCCTCTGCCTCTCTGGTATAAGAATGCATGTGATTGTATTTAGGACCCAACTGGATAGTCTCCCCATCTTAACATCCTTAATTCAATCACACTTGCAAAGACCTCCTTCCCCTTCTCTCCATATAAAGGAACATTCCCCGTTTCCAGGGATTAGATATCTTCGGTTGAGAGGAGGGGATTTTTTTCACTCTACCACAAGGTTGTCTACCTTGAAAGACAACACTTCTGTAAGAGAGCCTAGCATCTCTTTAGTGTTTCTGGTGGTCACATCAAATTGTTGACTTTTATACTGAGCACATTGTCTTTACAGACCCCAATTCATTTGCATCGGTGCTTACTAAGCACATTGTCTTTACAGACTCTAATTCATTTGCATTGGTGCTTACTAAATATATTGTCTTTACAGACCCTAATTCATTTGCATTGGTGCTGTTGATTGCTTGATCCTGACAACAATATGTTATCTCAAATAAACGACACGTTGTTGGCTTTAAACTGCAGTTCCAATTCTGTTGATACCTTCTGATATGGTTTGGCTCTGTGTCCCCACCCAAATCTCATCTGGAATTGTAATCCCCATGTGTCAAGGGACGGACCTGGTTGGAGGTGGTTGGGGGTGATTGGATCATGGGGGCAGTTTCCCCCATGCTGTTCTTGTGATTGTGAGGGAGTTCTCACGAGATCTGGTTTAATAGTGACAGTTTCCTCTGCGTGTGCTATCTCTCTCGCCTGCCACCATGTAAGAAGTGCCCTGCTTCCCCTTCACCTTCCACCATGATTGTAAGTTTCCTGAGGCCTCTCCAGCCTTGTAGAACCGTGTGTCAATTAAACCTCTTCTGTTTACAAATTACCCAGTCTCAGGTATTCTTTATAGCAGTGTGAAAATGGACTAATACATTTTCTCAGACCTATCAAACAGGTGGGATTGCTGTCAACTTAATTAAATTCATAGTTTTAAAATTTGGTGAGTATTTGTTTAGTCTTATCAGTGATCATGGAGATGTTTAGTGGGCCTGACAGTGCAGAACCCTGTGGCACATCACCGGAAGCCTCTCTCTGGGTTCCATTGAACCTAGTCCCTTCCCCTTTTGTCCTATCTGACTCTTTTCATAGTCTCCATTGCTGATTTATGCAGGGCGTCTTGCACTGGATAGAAGTTGGGAGTTACGATTTTGTATTTTTTCAAGCTTTATTTCTTATATTCCAAGCCCTATTTTAAATTCATTCTTTTAGATCTACTCTGACTCTTTTAAACCTAGTTAAATCTGACACCGCAGCGAAGATAAGATTAGCGTCGTGGTTCTCAAACTTCAGAGTGCATTGGAATCACCTGAGGGTTTGCTAAAACACGGGTGCCAGGCCCCATCTTCAGAGTTTCAGATTCAGTAGTTCTGGGGCAAAACCTGAGAATTTGTATTCCTAAGTCCCCAGGTGCTGCTGCTGCTGTTGGTCTGAGAACCACACTTTGAGAACCACTACTATAAAATATCCTTCCATATGTCTTTATATAAACAAAGACGCTAGGACTTTTACCCCTTCCACTAAGAATGTTTGGCCACAAGAGCTCTTTAATATTTGCTAAATAATAATGCAAATACTGCTTGCTGTCTTTGGTGTTAGGTGTTTAGTTTGGTTTGGCCCAATTAGATCAGAAAAGTTATTCTTTCACCAACATATGGGTAGCAAACTATCTTCTTTACGTAATTCTTTGTCTTCAAATTATTCCATGTCGTCTCTAATTAGAAAGCACTTGTAAACACTTGATGACTTGAATTAAAAGGCTTAACACAAAGCCTAAAGTGTTGCCTATGCTGTCTCTCATCCATATTTTGTAGATTTAAGATCACTCCCTATCTGCACTTGTGAGCCATCTCTGCTCCCTGGATCCATGTCAACCTGTTTCTGTTCCTCCTAACTGCCCCCTATCCCCCAGCTGCCACTGGGAAGCATAATGGCAGGGCCGTGGGCTGGCTCCCTCCAGAAGCTGTTGCTCTGACAACTGAGTGATGGGAAGAAAGCCTGGGCCATCCAAGCTGGTGGCTTCAGGAAGGGTGGAGGACAGTCTCCACGCTGCTGCTGCCGAGTGCTGATGAAGAGACTTCCTCTGAGGCCGGCTCGGCCCTGAGCCTCCCAGGAGACCCACCATCTGTCTTAGCTTCTCTGCCTCTCCCGGTTTTACAAGAGGTGGGAAACCCAGGCCCAGAGGGACACAACCCAACCTTGCTGATTTGGTCTACAAAGGATCTGTCAATTTACTTTGCAAAGTAAGTCATTGGTATTTACTTTCTCCTCCTCCTCCTTCTTTTGCCGTCCATTCAGAAATGTCTGAATGATCACTGCTGCGTCAGCCTCTGTGAAATTCAACTCTGTACACAATCAACAGAACAGATGTCCACACAGAGTAAGTTACAAGAGGGAGTCCATATCACAAAGCTAACTGCCTGACTTAGATGGCTGAAATTCCCAGGCATTTCCACATTTATACATTGTATTCGGGGAATAAAACAAAAGGCTGCTGCTAAGGTCTGAATGTTTGTGTCCTCTCAAAATTCACGTTAAAACTGAACTCCCAAGGTGATGGCATTAGCAGGCAGGGCCTTTGGGAAGTGATTAGGTCACCCTGATGAACGGGATTAGTGCCCTTATAGAAGAGATCCCAGGGAACGCTCTTCCTCCTTCTCCCAGGTAAGGACACAGCTAGGAGGCACCATCTATGAACCGGAGAGCAGGCTTTCCCCAGACACTGAATCAGCTGGCACCTTGATCTGGGACTTCCCAGCCCCAAGAACTGTGAGAAATCAGTTTCTATTGTTTATAAGCTACCAGTCTAGGGTATTTTGCTATAGCAGCCTGACTATAGCAGCTGGATTAGGATTGCCATTTAGAGTTATAAGCTTTTTCAGATGTTCATATAAAGACATTTTACTTATCATTTGTTTTCATTAAATTAAGTAAATAAAAATTTTTAAAGTTACTCAAACTGTGTTCTATGGTGCTTTAATTTAACTTTCTTATTCATTACCCTACTTATTCATTCCTTATTCCAGATAAAAGCCTTTGTGAAGGTCAGTGTTATGTATTTAATATATTTAAGAAAACGTTGCATTTATAACTCATTCATTCCTTGCCAAAGTATCCGTGGTTCCAGGAGAAAGAGCCAACGCGGCTATATTTGCCCCGCAGACAAGTAAGTGTTTCGTTGCCATTGGGTTCACGACATGCAGGTGCATAACATTCTCTGCCTGCACTTTCCGGGCCTTACTTACCATTCTTCCTTTCTATCGCATCTCCTTTCTTTCATTCCTTAAGCCTGTGGGAATCCTGCCACCAAGCCCTCTGATGGGAAAATGCGTCCACTGTTTTCTTTAGCTGAAAACTACCCCTAAACTACTGAAGGGGAAAGCCCAGCGCTGGGGAACCGGTGTCCGCCAGGGGGAGCCGTGGTTTCTGTCTGGGGACGCAGCGCTCCGGGCCAGCACCTGGCTGCGACGGCTGCGCGGGGACGCAGTGCGCGCGCCTCACGCGCCGCGAGCTGACTCAGGCTTGCAGGTTGCAGCGGCGCTCGCCTGCCTGGGCGCTGCGGCTCGCGGGGTGCCGGCCTGCAGCCAGGGGCACGGGGCCTGGCGCAGAGCCAGGCGACGAGCGACGGGGGCTTGAACCAGCTTGGGCCCCGCGACCTGCCCCGGCCGGGGGTGGACGGCGCGGCGCCGGGCAGCGAGCACCTGGGCGGGGACGCGCTCGGTGAACGGGGTCACAGAGTCACTAATGGCTCCCGCCACCCCCGCCGCCGCCGCCGCCTCCCGCAGCCGCCCGCGCGGCGGAGGAAATGGACCTGCCAGAGGATTGATCTCCCTGGGAAATGGCTGCGTCGGCGCTGCGGTTCCAAGGAGTCTGGCAGCCTCGCTGCAGTGTCCTTCCAGAGCCATCCCCTGCAGCCCTCGTGCCTCTCTGCCCTTTTTTTCCTCTTACAAAAACAAAATGTTTCTAAATTTCCAGCCAGGGGGCCCTATCCTCAATAGATCTGTCATTCACTGGGGCCCTTGAAATCATGGGTCATTGCAAGCAATTTTCTAAACTTCGTTTTTAGCTGGGGAAACTCCCCAGGGTCTGTGGTCAAGGGAGAGCAGGGGTATTTAAAAGCTGACCCTTGTAACCCACTGCTCTCCCTTCTCCTTTGAAGATAAAGGGAGGGCGGGGTTCTGAACACTGACTCGAGGAAGTTTGGGAATTCTCGTGCCCACGTTCCTGCTAAGGAGTGGCTAGTGGAGCGTGAGAGCAGTTACTGTGAGCCAGACCCGTGCTAAGCCCCACATTGAAGGCATTTCGTGCTCCAAGGAATCCGATCACTCTCATTTTACAGAGGACAAAATCAGGGCTCAGCGAGGCCTGGTCATTTGCCAAAGCTTACACACCTAGGCTCTGCCAGAGGCACCCTTGTCACTTAACTCCCCGACTGAGTCCCCTTAACCTCCACCCAGAGAGGAGAGGTTCCCGGAGTGGTTTAAGAGATAACAACTCCCCTATTGACGGGGGCGAGGAGTAGGCAAAGTGGGATCCCCAAGCCATTGCCAGAGACTTCCGGGTTCAAGAGTGGTTCAAGAGTCCTTGTGTACAAAAAGAGCAGATAAAGAGTTTGCTTCAGGCACTCTCAGCATCAAAGTCACCTAACATTTGCCCAGCTTAGGGGGTGGGGGGAGTTTGGGGGGTATATCAGTTTGCTAGGCATAGTATAATATCATAGACTGGGTGGCTTAGACAACAGACATAGATGTTCTCACTGTTCTGGAGGCTGGACGTCCGAGATAAAGATGTAGTCCGGGCGTGTTTCTCCAGGGCCTCCTTGGCTGCCTTTTGCTGTGTGCTCACATGGGTTTTCCTCTGTGCATGCACTTGTCTATGTCCAGATTTCCTCTTTGTATGAGGACACCAGTCAGATGGGATTAGGGCCTACTCTAAGACCTCATCTTAACTTAATTAACTCTGTAAAGCTCTTATCTCCAAATACAGTTACATTCTGAGGCACTAGACGGCAACAGGATTTTTTGGGGGGGGGTGGGGAGAGGGGTAAAATTCAGCCCTAAGAGGGGTCCAAATAAATGTTACTTGTAAGATACCACACCTTGAAAAATGTGTGTTCCTATTCCGTATGTAAATCAGTCAGGTTTTTATTTTTGCACATAAACATCTTTCCGAAGAACAGAGAGCCCTGAGAAAAATGCCCAAGCACTCTGTACTCTGTCTATTCATTGTTTTTTAGGAGTCATGAGTCTTTGGTTTGGCTCAAGCAAAATCATGTGTGAAATCCAATAAATGGGAAGTCTTTATTGCTCAACCGCTTTTGAAAAATATCTATCATTGAGGCCAGTTTTTTTTTTTCTCCTGTCAGGTCTCATGATTTTCTACTGAAACCAACTCTGGAGTAAAAGGCTTACGTTGGCAGGAGAGTGTAGTACCTAAGGGCGGACGCTAGATGACGCCCCGGGTAGAGGCAGGGAGGAAACAAAATGTCTGCAGCCTCAGCTCAGGCTTTGATTCGGCTGGAATGCGTTCATTCATTCTTGAAGTTGGAGTTTTTCAATCAAAATGAAACCTACTGCTCTGACTCTAATGGAAAAGTCAGGGTTTTGTTTTGTTTTGTTTTTTAATGGTAATGAGCAGTATGTGATCTAATCGAGGAATTATAATTGATCGATGCTAAAGTGATTATTACCAGGAGCTCTCGTTTTTCTGTTAGACATCTTCAGTGGCTGTTCTCTTTAGGAGAGCACGTGCTTCCTAATCTCTTCCTCCCCTCGTTCCTGCAGGGCTCCCTGCCTCCCAGGTGCAGGCTCTCCCTCTGCAGTGGCTGAGCAAAGTCTCACGTCTCTGCTGAATACACCGGCATGTCTGTAGGCGGGGGACCGTGTCAATTGAGTTGTATGACATAATGTTGGAAAAAGAGGGGCTTCCGCAGAGAAGAAGATGAAAAGGTGCTTGTGACCTGGAATGCTTATTATGCCAAATTTCCCAGGCCAAGAACTGTGGCGCTGCATCTTAATTTAGTTCTGGGTTTGGAGCCGTGCGGCATCAGGATGGGAGAAATGGCTACAGAAATGACTCCCACAGCTTCTCATTCATTTGTTCCCCTGGGGTATTGCCAGGTTGGGAGAGGGAGGCTGTAGGTTACAGCGATGTCTCCTCCACCTTAGTGTACAAAGGAAAGGGCAGGACAACAGATGGTTTATGCATTACTTGAAAATGTTCTCCTGAACCGTCCATACTGTCTTTAGTCTGCGGGGTCCAGAGTCACATCAGGCTTATCTTTTAACACTGAGTGCTCTGCACTCTTATATTCACTGGGAAAAGCTGGATTGTGCAGTGATTCCCAATCCTGGCTCCATGTTTCACCATTCGTGCTGCATGGTCTCCAGCTATTTCCCGTCCCCATTCGTTCTTCGTCCTTCTCTGCCCTGTGCAGACCCCTAGAAGCTGTTCTTTGTGACCTGCTCCAGTCCCTGTTCCCCTCTCTTGCCCTCTTGCTTCTTAGCTGGGCTTGGCCATTGGATGGAAGGGAGAGAAGTGAGGGTGTCTCTTCTGTTCTCCCCCTGCTGGCAGTGGTGGGTCCTTCTGGGGCCCCAGCTCCAGTTAGGCAGCCCCATGCCCTGCTGCTAGCTCTCCCTGGTTTGCTAGAACACCGCTTTCTGCCTTTGCCCCTTCAGGCTTCAGGGTGAAACGGCTTCCAGCTCTGCCATCCCTAGTTAGTTTGTTTATGCCTCCCCAGGCCTCTGTAAATCATCTCTTCATTAAACTCTCTTCTGTCAGCCTTTTGAGGGGCTGGCTCTTCCCAGCAAGCCTTTGTTTGAATCACTGTCCAAGCAAAGTGGGATTCATAGCTGAACTCTTTGAGCCTCCGTTTCCTTCTTTCTGAAGTGAGAAAATTTATGGCTGGGTGCAGTGGCTCAAGCCTGCAATCCCAGCACTTTGGGATGTCAAGGCAGGAGGATTCATTGAGGCCAGGAGTTTGAGACCAGCCTGGATAACATAATGAGACCCTGTCTCTACAAAAAACAAGAAACAACAACAACAACAACAACAAAACCTAGCTAGATGTTGCGGCATGCACCTGTGGTCCCAGCTACTCAAGAAGCTGAGGAAGGAGGATCCCTTGAGCACCGGAGGTTGAGGCTGCAGTGTGTTGTGATCATGTCACTGCCCTCCAACCTAGATGACAGAGGGAGACTCTGTCTCAAATAATAATAATAATAATAATAATAATGGGAAAATTATTAATACTACCTACCTTATTGGTTGTGAGGATTAAAACTAGTGGCATTCAACAGGTATTCATTTCACATAAAAGATTCCACTTACCAGCATAATGAATGGCATAAGTCAGGTACTTGATAAATGTTTTTATTCATTTGTTTTGACTTTTTTATGAATGGAGAGATTAATGAATTCACACTGAAGCACCTTAGGTTTGAACAGTAAGTCAATGAGTGCCATGCTCACCTGATGCCAGCAGGCAGCATGGTTCAGAGCAGAGACTCCGGTGCCAGATTGCCTGCAGGAAATCTTGGGCCTTCCAAGCTCCCTGTGAGCAGTCTGTGCCTCAGTTCCCTCATCTGTTCAGTGTGGCTGGTGTTAGGAACCCTTCTCCTGTGGGTGGAGAGAGGATGGATGAAGTCATGTGCATCAGGCATGTGTTTTTGATGTTTTCTGGAATGTAGGAACCAAAGCTGCCCCCTCCTTCCCTCTTCGTGGCTCCTCCCTTCATAATGGAAGCTGCCGAAGTCCAGCTGCTGTTTGCGCGTGTGCAGACCCAGGATCCTCTGAGACAAAGCAGCAAGGTTCAGCGGGAACCCTGCAGGTGGCAAGGGAGCAAGGGTCTCATCTGTCTTAGCAGTAGCTTGAGATTGGCCCCTGCAACTCCGTGGCAGGAATTTAGAAGCTGTGTGAGGACAATGGAGAGAAGGGACTAGGCCCAAACTCTTCACTCAACAGGGGGCAGGCTGGGAGGTTCTGGACCACATGCTCAGAGTCAGCAGTCAGGCCAGATGGAACAAGAGGTCGGCAGCTGGACTACATGGCCGTCTCTTGGGCTATTTGGCCTTCACTTCGCCTGGGAGGATGACGGGGCAGGTCCCTGGACAGAGCAGCTTCTGGGCTTCTGGACAATCTCAGGCTGCTCTGTGGCTGCTGGAGATGAAAGGGTCTTGCCAGTCATGTTTTGCCTTCCTGCCAAAGTGGAGAGTTGTCCTGTCCATCCTCAAGGCCCCTGATGTTGGTTGGAATTTACCGTATACTCTTGCAGCTTCCTTTATTACCACTCACTTCTGCGAGGCTGGAGTGGACCTCGTCTTGTTTGTCATATGAGTGCTCAGGTTTTCCATCATGCTGCAGTCCAGCGGGTGCCATGAATGTCTGCTGAGTGTTGCTGTCACAGAGAGAGGGGAGTTGGTTGTGACTGCCCAGTCACCAGTGTTTTTGTGGGTTTCTGGCAGGGCTAGTGGGACCACTCTGCAAATGAAACTTCTGTTAATATTATCTCAGTGCTTTATTAACTAAATTCCTAAGATAAAGTCCAGAAAGACCCATGTTAGACAGAAATCAGCACCATGTTGCCTAGAATTCCCGAGAACAGCGAGTGTGCTCTCAGGACCGAACCACCTCGCACATGCCTTTGTGTAGCGTGAACACTTTTGAATGTGTTGAATGCTTTTGAATGAGTTACCGTTTCTTCACTCTTGGAACTTTCCATCTCTTTGCCACTTTTGTTTCCTGTTCACAGACCCTGTCTAATTCTCCCATGCCTTTCCAAAGTTTGGATTGTTAGCACTAGAATGATTATTTCTTGGTAAATTCTTTTATTCTTAATTTCTTAAATTCTTTTAACATAAATGCACATAAATTATGTTAGAGTTTATGCTCTTTTGTTTTACAATAGCGTTTTATTACAAAGGCACATTTGAGCTGAGATATAATCTGACCTCCTGGGCTTTTGTGTGTTTATCCCATTATTCACATTTTTTGTCCTTAGCTTTTTGTAGATTTTCGAGTGGGCCACCTCTCTTTGTCCTTATTGCATGTCAGCTTGTTTTTGACAAGTCATTTTTCTGATTTTAGAATGACTCTTTGACATCTCAGCCACTGTGCAAAGAAGGCAATGTCCCTTCTCCCCTCCTCCTTATGTTCCCTGCAAATTTAATGAGATGGTCTTCGATTTCCTTACTTCAGCTGCGGGTGGATGTATGAAGTGCCCCATGTCCAGGCCTGATCCCTTTGGGGGGACCCTCATGGAGCACCTCCCTGGAATAAACTGTGACTTTGACCTCCCCTTCTGGCCTCTTGGGCCACTAAGCTTTCCTCTGGGCTCCTTTCCCTTGCAGGCTAACCCCAGGGGCCTGTGACATCAGAACTCCATCCCCAGTGCTGTGCCAAGGTGAGTCTGCTTCTGCTGGGAGTTATTACGAGATGAAACCTGAGGGAGGAAGGCCAGGTATTTCCTGAACGTCATGGAACACGAGGCCCAGGTGATTCAGCGAGGTCAGAGTCTGCTGTGGTGGCGGTGGCGGCAGTTGGCAGAGGGGAGCCTGGAGGGAGGTGGGGAGTTAACGACTGCCTGCCTCCTCCCTGACCCCGCCTGCCTCTCAGCTCTAACATGCCTGTGATTTCATCATGCACACCTTTGTCAACAATCCATTTAGCAACCAAATTATACACCGGGTAATTATAGCTTCCAGCCTCATGTCAGGAGTCCCCTGCTCAACAGCGTGCTCCTGGTGATACTGCCACCCGTAACGGGTACTGGCTTTGCTAACATCCTGACGAGACGTCGGGGAGAGACGGGAAGTGGCAGGTGGGTTGCCCTGACTTATGTTAATTGTCTATGTCAGGCCTGCGGGTCTTGTTTTGACAGTCCCAAAATTATGTTTGGACTGCTGATTAGATCAATATGGGAAACTGGGCCAGAGGAGTTTCTCTGTGAGGAAAAAACAATCTGGGTAAGATCAGATCCTCAGGTGTGAAGGAGGGAGTCTCTTTTCACAGCCCCCTTGACCTTCCCGTCTCACTTGGAGCTGCCCCTCTCTGTCCCAGCTGCAAAAATGGACCCAGGAAACACGGTGGAGGGTAGGAGCTATGGGGTGGGCAGAGTCATAGCAGGGGACAGGGCTGCCTTGGAGGCCAGCCCATGCATTCACAAGGATGTATTCAAGGTTTAGTCTGAGCCCTCACTTTGTGGCTTTATAGATGATTGTTTTAATAGGGCGCAGTGAGGAGGGAGGGGCACAACCCCAGAGATGGCAGCAATGTGGGTGGCTGGGAGACGTGGCCACAGCTAAAGACAACCTGGGCATGGCTCTGAGTCAGCAAAGGGGGATATTTTTCTCAGATTTATTAAAAGTGGTAGCTGCTGGTGATGCTTGGGTTTATAACCTTACCATTTATTTATATCTGATGATTCCCCACTTCCTTTTTTAAAAAAAAAAAGTTAAGATCTTGTTCGGTTGCCCAGGCTGAAGTGCAGTGGTGCCGTCACGGCTCACTGGAGCCTTGAACTCCTAGGCTCAAGTGATCCTCCTGCCTCAGCCTCCTGAGTAACTGGGACTATGGGTGTACACCACCATGTCATGCTAATTTTTAAATGTTTTGTAGAGATGGGATCTCACTGTGTTGCCCACGCTGGTTTCAAACTCCTAGCCTCAAGCAATCCTCCTGCCTCAGCCTCCTGAAGCCCTGGGATTACAAGCATAAGCCACCGCCCCCGGCCAGATCACATGATTCTTTACATCTCTGCTGACAGATTTCATCACTGGTGCTGAGTGCAGGGAGTCCCGCAGCCACTTACACGTGTTGCATTGCCGGGCAATACAGGCCTGTGTGACTTGCTATTCTATGGCTGGGCTTCTGCCTGCAGATGCCTGGTTTCTCCACTGCCAAGGCTCATGGTCTGACACATCCAGGAAATTCAACAGTGAGGATGCAATGACAATGAGTCGTGCATGAGGGTTCCCGGGCCTCGCTCCCCTGCCCATCAGAGAAGGCTTGGCATCTCAGCTGACTCGCCCTCTGCTGCCCTGGGAAGGGGGCCGCCATGGTCAGAATGCCTCTCTGCTTACTTGGGCTATGGCTGGGGAGGAGTTCTTCAGGAAATCTTGAGGAGAGAGGTGCTGGAGTATGAGGACAATAGGTGGAAAGGGAAGGAAATTTAAGGAAGTATTTCTGTGGGCCATGTGTCTCTGTTTCAGCATTTAAGAACGCATATAAGGAACTTCAGTTATTTTGCAATGACTCTTGTTGCTGGGTGGTGATTCTTGACTCCACCATTGGTTGAGTCTTGACTGCAGGCATCGCAGCTTCAGGGGGATTACGGAACACCAGCGCACAGAAGAAGTACACGGTAACTGATAGTTAGACAACAGTCACGTTGCCCCTTGTGTTTCTGGAAACCCTGGGAATAAAGGTGATCTGGCTCAGCTCATATCCTTGGGAGCTTTAGCACACAAGCAGACCCAGAGATACAGGCTTGGATCTGAATCTAGGAGGCCCAGCAGGAATGGACGGGAAAACATTCATTTCTCTCGGAACGTCTCATGAAAGCTCTATTTCTAGGGCCATGTTCACTGTGTATTCAGGGAACTCTGCCTGTTGTTTTCATGTCCATTTCTGTAACTGTCAGAACTATGATCCCATTTTAAAATTTGCCTGAGTGCTTCCTCAAATGCAATGGATAATTTCCTTAACTATACTATTAGCATAAATTTGCATATTTATTTCATAATTAAAATGAGTAAGAATAAAAGGCTAATTACACCAAAATTGCATGAGTCACCATAATTAAAACTGTAGAAAATAATTTTACTTATAAATTTCAAAATCTTGAGTGATCTGTTATTCATCATCGCATGTTCATTCTCATCTTACCTCTATTTCATCCTGAATGCTGGGGTGGGAGGACTCCAGGTACGATGGAGCTGGAATTGGAAGGTGTTCTTGGACCTCAGGGAGACTAGAATCAGATGGAGGGAAGAAAGTCAATCCAATGGATTTGTGTAGAAATCACACCCAAACCAAAGGGTATCAGGCACAGGCATCTTTGGTAGTATTGGCAAGGCTCTAGGTCTCACGTGGGATGGTGGGTTTATTATTATGTTTCATAATCAGATATTGGATTCATAATTGAATCAATATTATTGGATTATTTTAATGTACTGAATATGACTACATTTTTTGAAGAAGAAGATAATGAGCAAATGTGTTTTTGAATTTCCTTCTAACTTCTAATCCATCCTGCTTTATGCCACCAAACAAGTCTTCCTAAAACACTGATTTTAACCATGTCGTGGCCTGAACACAGTCATCAGTGACTCTACCTGTAGACAGATAGAACTCCACCTTCCTTACCTGGCATTTGAGGCTCCCAACTTGTTTTTCTGTGTCTAATTTCTTCACAGAATCTTTCATGAAATAAGCTACCCTCACTGTCCTGTGAATGTGATTTTTGTGTTCTTAATGTTGCACCTTTGCTCACACCATCATCCTCACCTCCCCTGATAACATCAACACTATTAGGTACTTACTGTGTATCAGGCACTCTTGTTCACTAGGAAAATAAAGAAATGGTCCTTATCCTTAGTCTTTCCACGCCCAGCTCGAATACATTCCCATTGATTGATTCATTCATTCAGGACGCAGTATATCTAATCTAGGACCCTGTTCTAGAAGCTGTGAGGGAAACAGGGTTGAGTGAGAACCAGTTCCTTCCCTCCAGAGGCCCCATGCTGGAACTCTGCTTGGTTCCCTTCATGAAACTTTATGCTCTCCTCTCCCCACTGAAGCCCATGGAAATCTAGCTTTTCTCAGAATTTCTAATGGAACAAAGCAAAAACTGACTCAAGTGTTCCTTTTATTTATTTACTTGATTTTCTAAGGTTGGGCAAGATAGAGGAGGAAAGGACTCTACCTCATGGCTTGTCCAGAAGAGGGCAGGGCCACCCCTGCAGCCAGGCCTCCCGGGCCCTGGAGGTAGGAGGGGGACGATGGCCTCTAAGAGCACTCTGAGACCAGGAGCCTGTTCTCTCGGGCCTGAAGGCTTCGCTTCCACTGTTCTACGCTGCCGCCCTGGCCTGGCCACCTCCCCTCCACTGTGTGGCTGGCTTTTCTCTGCCTTCTGCTGCCTGATGGGATCTCCCACTCACCTCCACGAGGATCTGAGAGGAAAGGGTGCTGAGGAGAGGAGCGTGGAGTGGGCAGGCTCTTGATGCCAAGCCAAGAATCTGCATGGCTCATTTGAAACTTCGCAGTGCCCTTTATCTCTTGTTCTCTTTTATGTATAAGCTCGTCTTTCTCCCATACAGTTGTAAACCCCAAAGGGTAGGGACTGTATTCGGTTCCTTATTTATATCCTGTAAGACAGTGACTCTCAAACTCATCAGAATCACCTGGGGAGTTTTAAAAACTTGATTCCTCCAGAAACCATAAAGACCAAAGATTTAAAAATATCACCATATTAAAACAGAATGAAGCAAAATCCTTCTGTAAAGCTAAACAAACAAACAAACTCATGAATCAGTCAGAAGAAATTATAAACAAGGGGAAAACAGTATTTGGAATATAGATGGAAGACACACTAATTTCTTTAATTTGCAACAAATGTCTATAAATAAGAAATATACAAACAACTCAATAAATGCTGGGCCAGGAATCTGAACTGGCAGAACATGGAAAAGAAATACCAGTGACCAAGAAACATATGAAGAGCTGCTCATCCTTCCTCAGAAATAAAGAGACGCAAATCAGAACAATGCCAGACCACTTTTCATGAATCTGATTAGCAAAAATTATAAAGTTTCATGATGCCCATTGCTGATGAGAGTATGGAAGCAGATGCCAGTGAATGCAAACTTGGTGGATTTTGGCACCTGTGTGACAAGGTGGGGCGGTGGTTCTCACACCTGCATGAGCTTCTGAATCACATGATGAACTTTTAAAAACATAGATTCTCTGCGCCCCCATCCCATACTGCCATAAGGCACCCGCGTGTAACTAAGGGCACAATTTGTGAAGTTCGAAATGGTAATAGAGACCAGACTAGTAAATTTCAACTAAAGGAATTTTGTCAACATACATCAACATTTTTAAAACATGAGTAACCTTTGACCCAGCAATTCTACTGATGGGAGCTGATTCTGAAATTTCCCACAGAAGAGTATCAACGTCGGCAAGAATGGATGCCCACAGCAGCATTATTTGTATAGCAAACAACCTCAATGTCCATCAATAGGAACCTGGATAAATAAACTGTGGCACACTCTTAGATCTTTTAAAGAGATTTAGTAGGAACTCCATTTGCTGATATAGAGCAGTCTCTGAGTTATGTTGTGCAATGAAAAAATCAAGCAGCAGAGCAGTATAAATGGTGTAATCCATTTTCCACATAACTTTTAAAATGACACACCATATACTTTGGTAAATGCACAAATTCTTTTTCAATGGAAAATCTACAAGAAGCTGATAACAGTGGCAACTTTGAGGGAAGGATGAGAAGAGAGGTTCTTACCTTTCATTCAGTACTGCTTGATTTTCCTACTTCCTACTTTGTGCATTGATTAGTTTTAGTGGAGAACTTCAGTAAGTGTCATCTGAAAGGTGGAGTTATGGGACAATTTTGGTTTCTCCTTTAGAGTTTTCTGTAAAGGATATTCAATAATTGAAGATTCTCAGGCCATATACCAGATACACCAAGTTTGGGTGGAGATGCTGGCATGGGACTCTAGAAATCAGCTTGTCGTGTGATTCTGCTCATCAGTCAGGTTTGAGACTCACTGCAGAAGATTCTGGAAGAAAAATGCTCTCTTCTCTAGCTCAGGGGTTATGAGGATGAGAGGGTGGGGTGGCTGCAGCCCTTTTGTTTCCATGAAAGGAGAACCTGAATGACCTTGTGCAACCTAAGGTCAAAGAAATGCATGGCTGGCAAGTAAACCACAGAGAGGAACTTGTCCGCTGGTACATCAGTAGGCCACAGAATCATGCCTTTCCCGAAGAAGGACGTCCTGTGTCTAGACTTTTCAGTTATGAAGCCAATACGTCCTCTTTGTTGTTTAATGCAGCTTGAGTTAGGTCTTTTGTCACATGCAATATTAAGAATCCTAACTGATAGACCTCCACTGAGACAAGCTGAGTATGTCTTTATCTCTTGCAGACTGAAATTGCCTAATTTATAAAGTATTTCATGATGTTTGCAAGATAAACCCTTGTCTGCTGCCTTGGGCTACATCTGATGATTGCCTGCAATATTTCTGCCTCTAGAAATGAACTGTCAAACCAAGAAGTATGTCCTTGGAATGCATCCTCCACTTTAGCAAAAGAATTATGTGTTTTGTTTGCTCTTCATCATGTAACTCTTGAATAAATTTGGATGCAACAGATTAAGGGCATAACCAGGAAATATTTCTTGTGATATAACTGATATCTGGGTTTGTTCACTTAATCATTCATTTGACAAACATGTGATGAGGGCTCACCATGAGCCGGATACCTTGCTAGGCATTGGGTGGGTATACAATGGAGAACAAAGCAGACATGTTCTCTGCCCTCATAGAGGTTGTAAGCTAATGGGAGAGACAGATATTAAACCAATAACCAATAATCACACAAACAAGAAATTTATGCATTTAGATAACTGCATGAAATGAAAGTCCTGAGTCCTATTAGAAAGTGTAACAGGGATTTCTAACCTCTATGAAGAGACACAGGAGAGCTTGACTCAACTTGAGAGACTGAAAAGGACCGTGTAGCCAGCGAAGTGCATGAGGGGCAGTTCTGCAGGAAAAAGGGCTGGAGAGACAGGCAGGGGCAGAACACAGATGCCTTGCATCCCTGTTAAGGATTTTGTATTTTATCCCAAGTGAGATGAACAACACTGAAGGCAGTGACATGGAGCAGGAGAGTGACATAATCTAGATTCTGTTTTTAAAATTATATCTTTGTCTATTGTGTAGCAAATGGATCAGAGAGGCCAATAGTAGAAACAGCGAGACCAGTTAGTGGGTGTTGCAGAAATCCAGGTGAGAGTTTCTGGGGCTGTTTGGATTCAGGTGATGGTGTAGAGTGAAGAGAGTGGAAGAAAGTGGACATATTCTTTTAGGCAGAATCTGGAAGGCAAGGGGAAGGATTGGTTATGTGTATGTTGGCAGGCAGGAGGGAGTGAGGAAGCTGTCCAGGAGAACCACTAGCTTACTGACTTGGGCCATTTGACTGACTGGGGAGGGACAATGGGACCTGGGAGTTTTTTTTTGTTTGTTTGTTTTGTTTTGTTTTGTTTTGTTTTAGATGGAGTCTCGCTCTGTCACCCAGGCTGGAGTGCTGCGGTGCGATCTCGGCTCACTGCAAGCTCCGCCTCCTTGGTTCACGGCATTCTCCTGCCTCAGCCTCCCGAGTAGCTGGGACTACAGGCACCCACCACCACGCCTGGCTAATTTTTTTATATTTTTAGTAGAGACAGGGTTTCACCGTGTTAGCCAGGATGGTTTCGATCTCCTGACCTCGTGATCCGCCCGCCTCAGTCTCCCAAAGTGCTGGGATTACAGGCGTGAGCCACCGCACCTGGCCTCATTTTGGTTTTTATTTGTGCAGGCATATCATTTGCCAGGACAGTTAGCAATGCCATCTTCCTGTCACAACTAATTGACCATACCAGCTCCTTATTCAAGATAGGCTTTTCTAAACTTGTCTGGAAGTCACTCCATCGTGGGATAACAAGTCTCACTCCTCTTTTAGAAGAGCAAGAAAAAAAAAGGTGGGGCAGAACCCAAAGCAACATTAGGAAAATTGGGGCAGAGAAATTGGGCATGCAAGATGAGAATGTCTGGAGAATCAGCCCTTCCTTGAGACCCCGACACTTTCTTAGCTTGGGCTCATTACTTCTCACGTTAACCTCTGCACCCTGCAAAGGCTGCCTCCCGGAGGTGGTGGGGGGTGGAGGGGGAAATCCTAGAGCCATAGTGCTTTTATTTTCCAATTTTTCAAGATTTGCATTCCTTTGATATATGAATACTAGACACATCTAGGTTTTTTAAAAAATTATTATCTTATTTTCAACAAACTGTAGTAACAGCTGCATAAAATTCTTTTTTGGAAAAAAGGAAGAAAACATACTCATGATTCTATGACCCGAGTACAACAATGGCTTCTTTTTATAATTTTTATTTTGCGCATAACCTCCCAGTCCTTAGTATATTAATTCAGTTCACCAAATTCTTTTTTTTTTTTTTTTTTTGATACGGAGTCTCGCTCTGTCACCCAGCCTGGATTGCAGTGGCATGATCTCGGCTCACTGCAACATCTGCCTTCCGGGTTCAAGTGATTCTCCCGCCTCAGCCTCCTGAGTAGCTGGGATTACAGGCATGCGCCACCATGCCCAGCTAATTTTTGTATTTTTGGTAGAGATGGGGTTTCACCATTTTGGTCAATGCCAAATTCTTATTAAGCGCTTACTACATGCCAAGTATTGTTCTCAGCATCAGGGATACAGAAGTGAACAAAACAGACAAAAGTCAAGAAGCATGCATATTTCAAATAGTTATAGTATAATATGCCATCTTCAATTAAATCTTTATGAATTTTAAATGTTATTTACATTTTTCTTAGCTACCATTTAGTGCTTGCATGTTACACTAATATGTTAAGAATATAATGTATTAAAACATTCATCAATGGGAAGCCACAGGCTCTTTGCAAATAGGGACTAGGAATGATGTTTTACCACTGCATCCCCAGGCCCTAGCACAATGCCTGATAGACAGAAGGTGCTTGGCAAATAATAGCTGGAATGGGTCCTTGTTTCTAGTTTGGGAATAGCAATAATGCTGCAGTAATCATCTTTGTATCTGGAGGTTTTGGCTTATGTTGAATTATTTCCCAAAGACAGATCTTTTCAAACTTTCCCACCAAAGTTCTAGTAGCAACAGAAAATGCACATTGGAGGGCTATAAATGGTGACTATAAAATATACATATATTGAAATATGATTAAATTGATGGGTGTGGAAAAATGTTTGTAACCCACAGCACTGAGTCCTTTCCACTCACTGCTATGTACCCCTGGGGAGACTAACATCCTGATTTGACCTGCACAGCAGGTGTGAGATACATGCCTGGGAGTGGGGCCTCTCGGCCAAAGGCTGTTCATCTTGATAGTTACTGCTGCGCATTACCATATTGCTTCCCTAACATTTTACAGCTATTTCTACGGCTACAGACATCATTGTGTGAGCAGACCAGTTTCAACTCAGTATTGCCAGAGCCGGTATTGTTAGGATTTGATTGTGTCTTCTAAAGATGTTGAAGCTTAAACCACCAGAACTTTTCAATGTGACCTTATTTGGAAATAAGGTTTTTGCAGATGACCAAAATAAGATGAGATCATTAGGGTGGGCCCTAATCCAATATGATTGTTGTCCTTACAAAAAAGGGGAAATTTGGACGCAGAGACAGGTGCACAGACAGGGAGGGCACTACTTGCAGATGAAGGCAGAGATGGGGTGAAGCATCCATAAACCGAGGAGCACAGAGACTGCCCGTGAAGCCCCAGAAGCTGGAGACAGAGGCCTGGGGCTGAGGTTGCCTCAGTCCTCAGAAGAAACCAGCCCTGCCCTCACCTTGATCTTGGGCTTCTGGCCTCCAGAATTGTGAGACAATAAATTTCTGTTGTTTAAGCCACTCAGTTTGTGGTATTTTGTTATGGAAGCCCTAGCAAACTAACAAAGATGTTTTATAATTTTTTTTTACAGTATAAAACTGTATATACTTTTTTTTACAACCTAGTAGGTATCAAATGACCCCTCAAGCCTGCTTTGTTTTTTATTTCATAACTTGAGAGAACAAACACTTTCCTGTGAAGTTTATTTTCTTATTGAACTTTTCCTTGACTGTGTCTTTCCTGGGGTGAGGTCTATCTCCACTAAGAATGTGCCTGGGTCAGTATGTGCTCATTAAATGAAGAATTAAGAATCCATTAATAGCCGGGCGCGGTGGCTCACGCCTGTAATCCCAGCACTTTGGGAGGCCGAGACGGGCGGATCACGAGGTCAGGTGATCGAGACCATCCTGGTTAACACGATGAAACCCCGTCTCTACTAAAAATACAAAAAAATTAGCCGGGTGTGGTGGCGGGTGCCTGTAGTCCCAGCTACTCCGGAGGCTGAGGCAGGAGAATGGCGTGAACCCGGGAGGCGGAGCTTGGAGTGAGCCAAGATCGCGCCACGGCACTCCAGCCTGGGTGACAGAGCGAGACTCCGTCTCAAAAAAAAAAAAAAAAAAAAAAAAAAAAAAAAAAAAAAAGAATCCATTAATAGCCTAATTGAATGTGATTCAATAAAATATGCCTGACCAAAGAAAGTACACTCTCTGATACTAACATTTCCTGTTAGCGCCCGTGATTACTCTGGATTTGCTGAAACGAGAGCCGGGAGACAGTTCTTCAGAGATCATTACTTTGCCCACACCATCGAGACAGATCTGTCCGGGAGTGTGAGCTCATTATGTGTCTGTCTTGCCCTAATAGATGGCACAATCCTTTAGGGAAGGCCGGGGAGGGATTTACTCACCTTCTTAATCCCCATCCCAGTAGTGCCTGGCACACAGTGGAGGCTCCATACAAGCTTGAGACGTGAGCATGGGATAGAAAATTGCATCTGCTTCTGAGAATGTGAAAGGGGCTGTCTGAAAACTGACCCTACATTATTAGTTCGGGTACTAATGGTAGCGGCCACAGTAGACAAACCTTCAAGTCTCAGGTTTAGATCTCACTCTCAAAGCCTGATGTGGGTTCGGTGGCTCTCTGCTTTCTTGCAGCTACTCCTCTGTAGAGGATGAGAGAGATGGAGGCCTCCAGGACAGGGAAAGAAAGAGATGGAGAAGCCACACTAGCTCTTAATGACCTCAGCCTGGGTGGAAGCCCGAAGCTGCTGCTCAGATTTCTTTGGCCACACTAGTCATGCAGCCCCAACCTAATGTCGGGGGAGGAGGGAGACAGGACAAGAGGTGGAGGAGTGTAGGTGAGTGTTGTCTCTGGCACTGTTATTCTGAACAGCAACTGGCCAGATGAGTGCATTTGTGCAGGTGTAAGGATGTTCACAATGGAAATCTCTTTAAAAGGAGCTTTTTTAAAAAATCAGAGTTTTCATCCAGAAGAGAAAAGTGAAAGATGGTTTGCTTTCGAAATGCCAGAAGTCTCTTGAGAAAACTGGGCCTGGGGTGTCTGGGCAGAGGCTAAGGGTTCCCAATGAGGGGATTGTTGGAGGTTGGGAGGAGTTGCCTGGTGGTGACCTTGCTTGGCAGTGAGGGACGGCTTCCAGTTCGGAATGTTAGGCTACACTTCCACACCTTCTCAGCACTCAGGCCGAGGATCCTGGATGCATTTCCAATTCCAATGTCTTTTGAAATCTGTCTTTTCTCTCTGAAAGAAATGACTGTTATTGATTAGTAAAAGCTTGCTGTTTTCGCTTAAGGCTCTCAGTCATTTCTAATTATGGCTCCAACCTGGATGTCTTTTTAAAACTCACTTCTTCAGGAGGGGACGTTGGTCTGGACAGCAGCACGGGGTCTGGGTCTTGCTGCACGAGCTCAGCACCAAATTTATCACTGGTTTGCTTCTCCAGCCCCACTGAGCAAGGCATCTGTGATCCTTGAGTCTAAAAGTGATAGCAGTGCCCTGTTTCACAATTTTGTCACAAGGCTAAGACTCATACAACTGGAAGTGATGACAATTTCTGCTATTTAAGTGCCTGTTTCATGGATAGCCCAATGCTAATGATTTATATAAGTTATTTCTAAACCTTACAAAGTCAGGATTATGATCACACCTACTTTACATGTAAGAAAAATGGAAGCTTTGGGAGGTTAAAGATATAGGCCAGGCGCGGTGGCTCACACCTGTAGTCCTAGCACTTTGGGAGGCTGAGGCGGGCAGATAACCTGAGGTCAGGAGTTCAGCCACAGGTAACATGGTGAAACCTCATTGCTACTAAAAATACAAAAAATTGGCTGGGTGTGGTGGTGCGCTCCTGTAATCCCAGCTACTCAGGAGGCTGAGGCAGGAGAATCGCTTGAACCCAGGAGGCTGAGGTTGCAGTGAGCCGAGATCGTGCCATTGCACTCAAGCTTGGACAATCAGAAAGAAACTCCATCTCAGAAAAAAAAAAAAAAAAGAAGTTGTAACTAGTTCAAAGTTACAGCAAATGATGGAGTCAGTTTCAAATTCGCCGGATACGAATTTGGTTATATGACTGTTAACTTTATAGTCATATACTCATATTTATGTTATATGACTGTTACTTTATAGTGAAGGAATGACTGTTACTTTATGGTCATATACTCATATTTATGTTATATGACTGTTACTTTATAGTGAAGAAAGGGGCTTCAGGGACACTGTGGGACCCTCCCAAAGTGACCCAGTTTATTATTGATAAAACAACAACCAAGCCTGGGGCTCATGAATGTCAGTCCAGTGTTCACCTACGGCCCCATGTTACCCAATGCACATTTATGCATGATTCCCTTATCATTAGACAAGAGTAGATTTATGTTCACAGGAGGAAGTCAGGAGCCCTTGGGGGGCAAGTGGGCACTTATCCAGTAGCCCGTGAGTACCTTGACCCCTTTGCAGGGAGGCCCAATCCTCACCTGTAAATAGCCTCATTGGCTGGAGCCTTGGGACTTGGAAGGCACCTGTGATATTCTGAAATATATGTTTGGTCTTCATCTCCCATTTTCTGAAATATAATTGCTAAAAACCTTAGAATCTCTGGAGTGGTAAGAGTGTATTTTTGTATGCTAGTGAGATGACTGGTGGCTGGGGTCCCCAGGTAGCCTCAGGATGGGGCTGATCACTAGAAAGAGCAAGGCAGGATTAGACGGTTGGGGCTCTCAGCCATGCCCTCCATCAATGGGGCAGGGAGGAACTGAATTGGTCACCAACTAATGATGTTGTAATCAATCATGTCCATGTAATGAAGTCTCCAGAAAAACCAAGAAGGACTGAATTTAGGGAGCTTCCAGAGAGCTGAACACATGAAGGCTCTTGGGGGATGGTGGCCCAGAGGCTCTGAGCTCTTCCTGCATTGCCTTGCCCTGTGCATCTCTCCACCTGGCTGTTCATCTGTAGCCTTTGTAACATCCTTTAAAATAAATAAGTAAACATAAGTAAAGTGTTTCCCTGGGTCCTGCGAATCACTCTAGCAAATTAGTCAAACCCAAGGAGGGAGTGTTGGGAACCCTGACTTGTAAAATCTATAGCTGGTCCATCGGAAGCTCAGGCCATAACTTGGGCTTGCGATTGGCATCTGCAGTGGGGGCAGTCCTGTGGGACTGAGCCCTCAACCTGTGGGATTAGATGCTTTCTCCAGGTAGATAGGATCAGACTTGAATTGAATTATAGAACACTGGGCTGCTGTCCACTGCAGAACTGATTTTTGTTTTGTGCGGGGAAAAAACTCTATACATCTGGTGTCAGAATTGCATTGAATAGTGAGTGAGAGTAGGGAAAACACTGTTTTTTTCCTATCTTTTGGCGCTCAACATTACATTCTGATGTCCACCTTTTTAAGGTGTTTTGGTTTTAATAAAAAGAGAGCAGCCAGGTGCGGTGGCTCACACCTGTAATCCCAGCACTTTGGGAGGCCAAGGCGGGTGGATCACTTGAGGTCAGGAGTTCAAGACTAGCCTGGCCAACATGGTGAAACCCCATCTCTACTAACAATACAAAAATTTGCTGGGCGTGGTGGCAGGTGCCTGTAATCCCAGCTACTTGGGAGGCGGAGGCAGGAGAATCACTTGAACCTGGGAGGTGGAGGTTGCAGTGAGCCGAGATTTTGCCACTGCACTCCAGCTTGGGCAACAGAGCAAGAGTCTGTCTCAAAACCATAAAAATAAAAATAAAAGAATAAAAAGAGAGCAAGGGAGGAGAATAATAAGAAACATTAGAAGAGACATACCTTCATGAGGTGCTATGGACTGAATACTTGTGTCCTGTCCCCTGCCCCAGAATTCAAGTGTTGAAATTCTAACCCCCAGTGTGATGGTGTTAGGAGGTGGGGCCTTTGAAGGTGATTAGGTCATGAGGGTGGAGCCTTCATGAATGGGGTTAATGCCCTTATAAAAGGGACCCCAGAGAACTCTCTTGCCCTCTTTCTGTCATATGAGGAGACAAAGAGAAGATGGCTGTTGTATTAGTCCATTCTCAAGTTGCTGATAAAGACATACCCAAGACTGGTTAATTTATAAAGGAAAGAGGTTTAATTGACTCATGTTCAGCATGGCTGGGGAGGCCTTAGGAGACTTACAATCATGGTGGGAGGGAAAGCAAACACATCCTTCTTCACATGGTGGCAGGAAGAAGAACTGCCAAGCAAAGGCAGAAAAGCCTCTTATAAAGCCATCAGATCTCATGAGAACTCACTCACTATCATGAGAACAGCATGGGGGTAACTGCCCCCATGATTCAATTACCTCCCACAGTGTCCCTCCCATGACATGTGGGGATTATGGGAACTACAATTCAAGATGAGATTTGGGTGGGGACACAGCCAAATCATATCAGCTGTCTACAACCCAGAAGAGAGCCCCATGTTGGTGCCCTGATCTCAGACTTCTACCCTCTAGCACTGTGGGAAATAGATTTATGTTGTTTGTAAGCCATCCAGTTTATGGTACTTTGTTATAACAGCCCAAACCTAATAAAACATGGAGTTACCTTCTAGTCAAGTTAGGAATCCTTGACTCAGGTCAAACTTGGCCACCCTCACACAGTAGGTACTTTACAGATCTTTGTGAGGGTTAGCATAATGATGAAATGTTAGGCCATTCTGTCACAGACGTGTCCTGTGAAGCAGTCCAGAGCTGTTCTGGTCAGCCCAGCCTTGGCACTTTTTCTCGGCACTCAGCAATCAGAACTCACTCAGTCAGGGCCACAGCCTCACTCAATCTCCATAACAGTAATGTGAGGTGGGCACTGTGTTGAACAGAGTTTCTAACTTACAATTACTTAAATAATATAGATATTTATCACCAAACTTAACAAGAAGCGTGGTGGTAAGGGATTCCACAATTGTGTCAGCAGTTCAACAATGTGTTGGTGTCTCTGAGACTCTTCAGGTCACTCACTGTGGCAAGATGACCCCTGCAGGGTTGAGCATCGCACTCGCATGTGAAAACATCCATCTCCCAGGCAAAAGCTGGCCTCCTCTTCCAGCTCACTGGCCAAATCAGGTCACATAACACCCTGGACGAACACCTGGCTGAGGGAGGAAATTGCTGCAAGGATTCAGGGCAGGCATGATTCATTGCCACAAAGGACCCAGCTCTGAGGGCAAGGGAGGACCATGGCTACCCCAGAGCACCTGTCCACAGGGCCTGCCGCAGGCGTGTTCTCAACATATGCACAGGTTAGTGTGGCTAACAGGGGCAGAGAGGTATGGACACGCAGCCTCGATGCATGGGGGAAGATATAGAGCAACTCTGCTGTGTTGTTTGAGACAATCTTGAAAGATAAGTAGAAGTCTGTCAGGAGGATGTGGAGGGTGTGTGTGTGTATGCATGCACATGTGTGTGGTGTGTAGAAAGAAAGTAAAGGGAGAGGTGATCTAAGCAGAAGGACCTGCTTGTGCAAAGTCATGGCTGCATTCATTTATTACAAGCATGCATGGAGTGGAGTGGCAGAAGGTGAAGCCGAACAGGTGTGTCAAGGCCAAATGATGAAGGGTCTTCCAGATGAGATAGGGGAGGGCTGGGAGCAAACAAAAGGAGACACAGAAGGTTACCTTATCTGTTACCTAGTGCCTACTATGGGCTGCTGCAGGTAGCTGTGTTTCTCACTTAATCCTCCAAGTAACTGAGTGAGATGGTGCGTTAATCAGCTTGTGCTGCGATGACAAATAAACATAAGCTAGTAGGTGGGTTTAAACAACAGAAATTTGCTCCTCAGAGTTCTGGAGGCTGGAAGTCTGAGATCAGGGAGCCAGCATGGTTGTATTCTGGTGAGGGCTCTCTTCCTGACTTGCAGGCAGCCAACCTTCTTGCTGTGTCCTCACAAGGTAGGGAGAGAAAAAGAAAAAGAGAAAGTTCTCTTCCTCTTCTTATAAAGCCACACTCCTATCAGATTAGGGTGCCACCCTGTGACCTCGTTTAACCTTAATTATCTCCTAGAGCCCCAATCTCCAGAGAGAGTCACACTGTGGATTAGAACTTCAACCTATGAATCTTGGGAGGACACAATTTAGTCCATAGCAGACCAGGATTCCCATTTTATAGGTGAGAAGATTGAGGCTCAGAATGGCAACTACTTGTCTGAGGCCATTCTATCGTCACTGGTGGATCTGAGCATCAGGGCTCCATCTGCCCAATGTCAGGGCAGGTGCAGTGGCTGCATGTCAGCACCTGTAACTTCAGCCTTTTTTTGGGGTCCCCAAGATTTGTGGAGGTGCCTCAGGCAAGAGCGTGTCTTTGGTGGTAGTTATGGGGAGTGCGAGACTGGGAGGGTGGGGTTTGAGGCTTTTCAGCCTGGGCTGCCAGGGAGAGCTCTGCCACCAAGCTTCAAGCACATAAACTTCACTTTGACTGCTTTTATGGGTTAGGATTTGGCGTAAAATTCTCTTTGATAGAATCTGTGGAGGATGGGCCTGGAACCTGGTCTGTTGACTTCAGTCAAGGGCCTTCTCCAAGACAGGTCCTGGAGTCCCAGGAGGGTACTGTATTAGTTTCTCAGGGCTGCTTTTCAATATGACAACAAAACAACAGAATTTATTCTCTTACAGCTCTGGAAGCTAGAAGTCTGAAATCAAAGAGTCATTGGCAAAGTTGGTTCCTTCTGGATGCTCTGAGGGAGAATCTGTTCCATGCCTTTCTCTTAACTTCTAGTGGCTCCAGGCATTCCTTGGCTTGTCTCTGCCTTCATGCCCATGTGGCCTTCCCCTGTGGGCTCTCTCCTCCATGTCTCTGTATCTCAAATCTCTCCTTTCTCTTATAAGGGCACCAGATGACCTCATCTCAAGATCTTCAGCTTAATTACACCTGCAAAAACTCTGTTTCCAAAAAGGGACACATTCACAAATACTGGAGATTAGGACTTGGACATACCTTTTTGGGGGACACGATTCAATCATTGCAATTGGCCAATTCCAGTTTAGCAAATACAAGACGAATGTGGCTGATCCGAAAGGAGTATTTACTATTATCTGTCCCCTCTGGCCCTCTATGAAGTCACTGCCTAAAACAATAATTTATCTCTATGACCAAGGATCTCACTGTCACTAGCAAATTCTTCTGACCTCCTGGTTGGGTAGGGATGAATAATATGGCAGCAGAGGAGAGAAGCACATCATGGTGGACTTAGCACATGACACTTCAATTGCAGGTTGGTTCTCTCACCTCCCAAGTCAACCTCCCTCCTGGTATCACACTTGAACATTACCCAGCACCTGGTCCTTACTGAGACAAGAACCCGAAGTGAGAGAACAACAAAGAAATATGATAAAGAGAAATGAAATGTTTAATCGAGTCCCAAATTGCTTTTCTGGATGCAACATCAACTAAAATATGAAATGGAAAGGGCTGTGCTTTTAGGCAGGCTGAGACACGCCTTAAAATACAAAGTGGGCTGCTTAATGTGAGCAGAAGGAGGACTTGAAAGGCACCCCATGAGGAAGCTCGACCAGTCTTGGCTTCACTTGGCAGAGCCAGTGAGACCACAGGAAGTCCAGTGGCCAGTGACAGGCAGGACATGTGACAGCCCTGTGAACAAAAGTTCTCTGAAAAGGAATTTGGGGCAAAGAGACTTTATTCCAGTGAACAGTTTGCAAACTGGAGAGATGCAGGCTTCCCTGTAAAACAAAAGGGCATTCCAGAGATCAAAGGGACGGTTCAGGTTTTATAGTTGAGAAGTTCCCACCCAGGTTCCTAATCAGGCCCATTTATGCAAATGAAGGATTCATAGTTGTTTAGTTTTGATTGGTTGATGCAGCTGAGTTCTGACTGGCTGATACAGCTGATCCCTGATGGGTCGATATGGTTGAGCCCTGATAAGTTAATAGGTGAGCTCTGGTTGGTTTGTGCAGGTGAGCTCTGAGAGTCCCAAAGTTAAACTGCGGTGTGGATTCTTTGGGGAACTCCAAGTACATGTGTGACCTGTAGTCAGCAAATGACTTGATGTAAAAATTAGGCTCGGTTAGTCACATGGAATCCATCTTGAAGAATTGGCTCTTTCAGGTTCACATTTATTCATATTCCCCCTCTCACCTGAAACCTGTTTGCAGACAGCACTGATGATTGAATAGGTTGGTTGCATTCCATCACAGCACCAGGGTGGTTTGCTGTCTACTCCAGGTTCATCTAGTCCTGTGCAGGGATCCTAGTGGCAGGGCAAGTAGCCAGCTGAGCAACTAGAGCCATTTACTTATGAGAGGCCCTCAAGTACCTGTTGAGTTTGAATCAAAGTCTTTTGGGTTTAGTTGGTTCCAGTTTCCGGCTGGAGTGAGTTTAAATTATCAAGGTGTTGGGTCAGCATGATTCTGGTGGGACTCTCTTGAAGACATCTGTTAAAACAGGCTAGAACAATTTTAAAGAGGAGCCAAATGCTTAGCCCAAACATGTGAAGGGTCATTAAGACTCACAGGGCAAAAGAAATCCTATATTGGGAGGAGCCAGCTGAAAATATCTGGAAATTGGAAACTTATTCCAGTAAGTCCAGCCAAGAGGCTTTCTGAAGATGCACCTTTCAGAGACTTGGCCAGCTTTAGGATCTTAGATGTCTCTAATTCAACCTGACTAGAAGTATTTACCCACGTGCAGCAGGAAATGTTAGCAACAGCACAAACACCACCCTGTGCAACAAGGTGCTAGACTAAAGCAATGCAGTTGTCTAGGACCACCCAAGTGAGGGGAATCTAGGGAGCTCTGTTGTGCCCTGATGGCTCAGGTGGTGGGTTGGGAAATTCTGTTAATAATGTGAGAGAGGCTTCTGATTATATATGTATTCCAAGCAGGGCCTAATCCAAACCAAGACTCCGGAAGCCCTCCTAACCTAGCTCCTTCACTAGGCTTAACCCCTCCAGGTAAATTGCATCCTTCAGAGTGCCCACAACTATCATCAAAATCTGAGGGGTCACCACCTGTTTGGATTGTGCCCAAAGACTCTCTGGTGGCTCTTGGAGAGCAGGTTGGGTAGCATTGTTAAGGCTCACTGAAAAGATGCTAATTTGGGTAAAAGTCATGTCTGTGGCAAAATCTCCTGGTGAGGATAACTCAAGCGTTATTTCCCCCTTTTGGGAGAAAGAAATTTGGGCATGGCAGATTTCTAAGAAGTCCCCTTCCAGGAGGGTTATGGGAGCCAATAGGATAAGCAAAAAGCAATGACTGCTAATGAGGGGTCCCAGCTGGAAGGGAATAGCTAGAGATTTAGGAGCTGTCATAGGCCGATTGGTTATCCTGGCCATTTAGATGAATTGAGAACTCTGGGAAGAGAACATTGAAAGCAAGGTAAGTTAAGAATGCACAGTGGAGTCCCAGAGCTCTGACTGGTTTGACTCCAGCTTCAATATCTAATTCCCCTAGTTGGCTAGTTTTTTGTTGTTGTTGTTGTTGTTGTTATTGTTTTGTTTTTCGTTTTCGAGATGGAGTCTTGCTCTGTCGCCTAGGCTTGAGTACAGTGGCACAATCTTGGCTCACTGCAACCTCCACCTTCCAGGTTCAAGTGATTCTCCTGCCTCAGCCTCCAACTGGGATTATAGGTGCGCACCACCACACACAGCTAATTTTTGTATTTTTAGTAGAGATGGGATTTCACCATGTCGGCCAGGCTGGTCTCGAACTCCTGGCCTCAAGTAATCCACCTGCCTCGGCCTCCCAAAGTGCTGGGATTACAGGCATGAGCCACCATGCCCGGCCTGGTTAATTTTAAGACAGAAAGGGAAATCCTCTGAAGGTCCCCATAGCATCCCTAGTCTTGCTTAGGAGGAGAGGGTTGAGGGACTTTACTGGGATTTAGTTGTAGCCAAATATTGAAGAAAATTAGGAAATCAGGATCTAGTCCAATATACAGGCAGATAACAAGAACTTAAAAATAATTCAAGCCCAGCCTGGCTAACACAGTGAAACCCTGTCTCTACTAAAAATACAAAAAAAATTAGCCAGGCGTGGCGGTGCATGCCTGTAGTCCCAGCTACTTGGGAGGCTAAGGCAGGAGAATCGCTTGAACCCTGGAGGTGGAGGTTGCAGCGTCAAAATCGTGCCACTGCACCCCAGCCTGGGTGACAGAAGGAGACACTGTCTCAAAAAAAAAAAAAAAAAAAATTCACAGGGCTGCAATCTAATCACAGGTGTATTAAAGTTTTCCCCAGATACATAACTTTTTCTCTCCATATTGATCATATAGGAATCTCAAATTTCTTAACTTCCTAAGCCTAAGAAATCAAACCAAGCCAGGCTTTAGATTTTACTTACAGTCTTTAGGTTCTTGAACCTGCCAGGAAGGGACAATTTTTACTCACTTACTGTAAGGCTGGAAACTCTATTTTTTTTTTTTTTTTGAGAGGGAGTCTTGCTCTGTCGCCCAGGCTGGAGTGCAGTGGCGAGCTTGCAGTGGGCGCTCCGATTCCCGGGTTCAGGCCATTTTCCTGCCTCAGCCTCCTGAGTAGCTGAGACTACCGGTGCCCGCCCCCACGCCCGCCTAATTTTTTGTATTTTTAGTAGAGATGGGGTTTCACCATGTTAGCCAGGATGGTCTCGATCTCCTGACCTCATGATCCGCCCGCCTTGGCTTCCCAAAGTGCTGGGATTACAGGCATGAGCCACTGCGCCAGGCCCCAAGGCTGGAAACTCTTAAAGGCAGGTGATATGCTTTGGATCTGTGTCCCCATCAAATCACATGTCAAATTGTAATCCCCAGTGGGGCCTGGTGGGAGGTGATTGGATCATAGGGACGCAGTTCTCATGAATGGTTTAGCACCATCTGCTCAGTGCTGTTCTAGTGATGGTGAGTGAGTGAGTTATCAAGACATATGGTGGTTTTAAAAGTGTGTAGTACCTCCCCCCTCTCTCTCTTCCTCCTGCTCTGGCAATGTGACATGCCTACTTCCCCTTTACCTTCCACCATGATGATAAGTTTCCAGAGGCCTCCCCAGAAGCTGAGCAGATGGCCAGCATCATGCTTCCTGTATAGCCTGCAGAACTGTGGGCCAATTAAACTTCTTTTCTTTATAAATTACCCAGTCTCAGGTATTTCTTTATAGCAGTCCAAGAACAGACTAATGCACCAGGCATTTTACTATGCACATTCTTAAGTACAATATTTCAGTCAAAACCCTGGCCATATAACCAACATTTCCCATTGTGTCCTGCTTATAAAGAGGGAGTGGATTTTTATTAAACTTATGGAAAAAAATAAGACAAATTTTTTTTAATAAGACAAAAAAGATAAACTCACAAATAGTTTCTGAACTTTGGAGAGATCAAATAGAAAACGCAAATGCTTCCACCTTTGTTCACAAAAGTATACTACTTTACCAAATTATTGCAAACTATAGACATCTTATGGAAAAAAGTTTGTTAAATCTGGAAAATAAAACATTTAAATAAAGAACCAACAATGTTTTAAAATATAAGTCATAAAAACGTTATGCTTATCATTACTTAATTTCATGTAATTAATTTTGTTTTGCTTGAGTTTGGTTAGCAGATCCATGAAAAGCAATTTGTTGCAATATCTGATTGCAAATGCTCCCAGAGAATAATTTAAAATAATAACTGTGGATGACAAAAATCCATAACAGTCATGGTAAAAAAAAAAATCTAATGAGCTTTGGCCGGGCACAGTGGCTCATGCCTGTAATCCTAGCACTTCGGGAGGCCGAGGCGGGCGGATCACGAGGTCAGGAGATCGAGACCATCCTGGCTAACACAGTGAAAACCCATCTCTACTAAAAATACAAAAATTAGCCTGGCCTGGTGGCAGGCACCTGTAGTCCCAGCTATTCGGGAGGCTGAGGCAGGAGAATGGTGTGAACCCGGGAGTCGGAGCTTGCAGTGAGCCGAGATCTCGCCACTGCACTGCAGCCTGGACAACAGAGTGAGACTCTGTCTCAAAAACAACAACAACAACAACAACAACAAACTAATGAGCATTTACAACTGATAAGGAAATTTAGTTTTTCTGTGGCATACAAAAATTTAAGATAATTTAAGTCATCACTGATAATGCATATCACAATGTGTTGGAGTTGTAGAAATCTCATCTAATTTTGGAACATATTAAAAAAAATTTTTTTGAGACAGGGTCTCCATCTGTCACCCAGGCTGGAGTGTAGTGGCACAAACATGACTCATTACAGCCTTGACCTCTTAGGCTCAAGTGATCCTCCTGCCTCAGCCTCCCATGCAGCAGAGACCACAGGCACACACCATCACACTCAGCGAATTTTTAAACATTTTGTAGAGATGGGGGTCTCATTTTCTTGCCTAGTCTGGTTTTGAACTCCTGGGCTCAAGCATCCTCCTGCCTCGTTCTTCCAAAGTGCTGCAATTACATGCATAAGCCACTACGCCTGGCTAGAACACATTTTAATAACACGTTTACACAAATGTAACTTAAAGGACATTAAACACCATTTCTTATTTGTCAGTGATTCCAGAAGATTTATCAAATAAGCCCGATCATTTGATATCTCCATAAAATGAGAAATTCTTTGATGCTCTCCAGGGGCCCAACTTCAAAATCCTCAAGTTAATTTTAGGTGATAGATAATTTAGGATTTTGATCCTAGAAAAACCTGTCAAAGATGTCAAAAACTTTCAAAGTACTTAAACAGAATCACAGGTCATTGTAAAATAATGGTTGTTTAACTACAGTGATAATCAAAAGACTTCAAAAACAATACAAAAAGTTACATGGATGTAAAAACCTTAAACTTTTTAAAGCTCTGTTATTCTAAGTCATAAAATACTCAACAAAGACAACATACAAAACAGAAAATTATTTTGGTCAAACACATAATATTTGTTTCCTAGGCCAGTTACCTAAAAGGCAATGAAAAGAAAACCTCCTGCAGCGTGATTCCTTCTCCTTACAGGAAGCCCATTAAGATAACCTGGAAGTTACACCTGATAGAAATGGGACTTGAATTTAATCAGGCATAGGAAGAGTGTGTCCAGGGTTATGGCCATGAGTGTACACCATATTATAGAGGAATGTAAACAAGAGAACTAGTACCTTGAGCTGGAGAATATGTTGTTCTTATTAACAGTATAGGGGCATATTTTTTTCCAGTCAGAAGTGCTGCAAGAGCATAGGCACATGGTGTGGGTGCCCTCAGGAGGGACACCTCACACAGTCAGGAGGGGTGCAGGGAAATTTCATGCAGAGGAGCTGTCTCAAAGATGGACAGGGGGCCAGGCACGGTGGCTCACATCTGTAATCCCAGCAATTTGGGAGGCTGAGGCAATCTAATCACTTGAGGCCAGGAGTTTGAGACCAGCCTCACCAACATGGTGAAACCCCATCTCTACTAAAAATAGAAAAATTAGCTGGGTGTGGTGGTGGGTGCCTGTAATCCCAGCTACTCAGGTGGCTGAGGTGGGAGAATCACTTGAACCCGGGAGGCAGAGGCTGCATGCAGTGAGCTGAGATTGTGCCACTGCACTCCAGCCTAGGCATCAGAGTAAGACTCTGTCTCAAAACCAAAAACCAAAATGCAGTATAGGAAGTTTTCTGGTGAATGTAAATTCAGGCACATTAAGAAAAGCCCAAAGTACAGAATCAGGTTGTACTGGAGAAAACACTGACTTTCTAGACCTTCAAGATACACATTTTATCATCAGGCCATAATGACAGAGTTTGAACCAGAGAAAAGGTGAAAGGAGCTGGTGAAAAGATTGAAAGAGAGGGTTAGCACTCAGCCAAGCAAAAAGATATACTTTTTCAAGGGTAGAAAGAAGGAGAGCTGTATTTCCAGTATGAAACTAGGGAAATTAGATAGCTTTCAAGAAGAAATGTGGCAGAATTAGAAACTTTGTAGTTTAAAGGATGGTAGTTAAGGAAATAGATTTCAAAAATAAAATAAAAACCTCTTGCAATTTTACGAAGAACACATAAATATTTTCAGAAAACCTTGTTCCAACACAGGGGATCAAATTTTTAAATTCTACATTAGTACATTTCTAACATCAAAACTCAATCCTTAGAAAGAACTATAAACAATTTTCTTCCAGTTGTAGCCAAACTGACCACATTGAACATTCCTTTTACAAACTTTCTTTTCATAAACCTTATCATGATTTACTTAGATCATGTATGACATGCTTGGACTTTCCACTTTGTCCTACGCTTCCTTTTTCTTAAATAACAAGTCATTTTACTGTAGGACAAAAATTTATTGCACAAAACTCTCATACAAAATTATTCTCTTATTATCCTTCCTTTCTAAAAACACATCCTCATTTCCTTATATACTTTGCATATAGAAATGTTTTTCTTATATCTAAATTACAATGGTAACTCTTAGTAACCTTAATTTTTAATAAAAACTAGGAAATAAGTATGCTAAGGTGTCAGATATGTACTATTTGTGGATACACATTTCATAATTTTTAGAAACATAAGCTTTCTAACAGAACAGTTTTTAAATGTGGAGCAGGACATTTACTAACAAATCTAAATAGCTTTTGTTTCTCTGAAATAATAAGCCAAAAGTATATGAGCCTAAACTGATATTCAGCAATCAATGTCTTAACATTAACTTATTTGGAAATAATCTAGATATTTAATGAATATCTATCATTTAATTTAGCTTAGCAAAACTCTAGGGGAAGAGTTACTAAAGATATTTGAGAAGCCCTTCCAAGTAAACATATTACAAAACATCCGTTACCAAAATTCATTTACTAAACTTTCATCCCATTTACATACATTTAATTCATTTACTTAATGTATTTAGAAAACTTTGTAAGACACTACAAGAATCTAGCAACTATCCCAAGCTAAATTTTCTATCAACCAATTTTATATTACTCTCTGCCAGGCAAGTATCATAAAAGCAGGAACCCTAAAGTGAAATCCATGCATACTTTGCTGATACCTCAGAAGACACAGCCCCATCAAACCAACAATATTAGACTAGTCCCATCTGCCAGTTGAAAAGCAACTGGGCTTATTTGTTTAATATTCTAGTACTCATTTATTTATAAACCAATTTGGTGTCGTGTAGACCAGTGGTCTACAACCTTTTTTGGCACCAGGCACTCGTTTCATGGAAAGCAATTTTTCCACAGATGGGGTGGGGGATGGTTTTGGGATGAAACTGTTCCACCTCAGATCATCAGGCATTAGATTCTCATAAGGAACACGCAACCTAGATCCCTTGCATGCACAGTTCACAATAGGATTTGTGCTCCTAAGAGAATCTAATGCTGCCTCTGATCTGACAGGAGGTGGAGCTCAGGCTGTAATGCTTGCTTGCCCACTGCTTGCCTCCTGCTGTGTGGCCCAGTTCCTAACAGGCTACAGACAAGTACCAGTATGTGGGCTGGGGGCTGGGAACCCCTGATGTAGACAGTATACAGACATGTATACATATGTGTACATAAAAATGGAGAGAGACACAAATAAAGACCTTACAGCTTTAGTTTTAAAATTTTAGCCATGAGTCAGATAAAACCCACTAGTTTAAAAGGACAGTTGAACTCAAATAGTATCTCTATAAAGGGAACAACTGAAGTTTACCTGTCCCACATGGCTGAAGCCCTTACGGAATTTTAGAGAAAACAGAGTAGCAAGCACAGAGAGAATTCAAGTGTCTCAAGAAGTCTGGGGGTATTAGAGAAGGACCAAAATGGATGCTAAATCTACACAAAATCATAGGAATCATCAGAGGATTCCACAAGGAAATACACAGACAAGTCCAGAGAAAATGTAGAAACTTTTTCAAAATAACAGGTGAAAGAGTGAAAGAGGATGGAGGGAGTGAAGGATAAAGCAGAGGTGGCAAAAAACAGGTGCAGAGGATGGCAGAGTGGCAGGAATGGGGTTAGTGGGAGAGACTTTTTTTTTTTTGAGATGGAGTCTTACTCTATCACCCAGGCTGGAGTGCAGTGGCACAACCTCGGCTCACTGCAACCTCCCCCTTCTGGGTTCAACCGATTCTCCTGCCTCAGCCTCCCGAGTAGCTGGGATTACAGGTATGTGCCACCACGCCCAGCTAATTTTTGTATTATTAGTATTCATGGGGTTTCACCATGTTGGTCAGGTTGGTCTTGAACTCCTCACCTCAGGTGATCCACCTGCCTCGGCTTCCCAAAGTGCTGGGATTACAGGTGTTGAGCCATTGTGCCCAGCCGAAGAGAGATCTTTCAAAGACGTTTAACAGCTTTGGCTTCAGTCTCTTCAGTGCTAATCTGTCTTTCTGCTTCATTAAGATATTCAATTTGGAATTATTTTATCGAAGAAAGGCAATGGTAACCTCTTCATTCCATTTAGAACTTTCAACTGCCAGTTGGGCTTCTCATAGTCTCTGGTAAATTCAGTGTCTTCTTTGTTCTAATTGTGTATGCATATAGGCAAGTTTAGGAGTTCAAAAGAGCCCCCCCCCTTTTTTTGCCAACAAAGTTTAAGATTATCCTGGGTAATTTTTGTCCAGAGTCCTAGCCAATTACAACTCCCTGGAACATAATTTTTGCTCATAATGCCATTAAGTGCATTCACATTGTTGTGCAACCTTCACCACCATCTACTTTCAGAGCTTTATCTTTCCAAACTGAAACTCTGCACCCATTAAACAATAACTCCCCATTTCCCCCTCTCTCCAGCTCCATCTTCAACAATTTTCAAATAGCAGGTTGACATGGTGCTTGCTAGGCTTAAGATGAAAGGCATTAGAAGCAGCGGTGTGAAAGCAAGATCATGAGGCAGGTAGAGAAGAGGATCAGGGTTCCCTCCTCATATATTGCTTTCCTCACCGACCCAAAGCATGGCCCTGCTAGCACACCTGCGCCCCATCCCTTGCCAGCTCACACCCCTGTTAGAATTCAGCCATGCCTCTGCTCCTTGGACAGGAATTGAAAAATGGAAGGAAGAAAAGGCGGCCTGTCCTACCATGGTATCTGCCATTGCCTAAGAGAAGAGAAGCATTTTAAAAGTGGAATAACATAGCAACGTATCCCAAGCAATCTTTTTTATCACAGCAGGTCTCACTGTCTGAAATAGCCCATCCATGCAGTTAATGCTTTGGGGAGGAGCTGACAAAGTGCTTTTTTCCACAAAAGCCATTGTCATTTCCATGTTCTCAAATTCAACCCTCACATTCTACCAAAAAGGAAATTGCTATGGGTTGGTGTTACTCAAGTTTCTGATCCATTTAAGTTTCTGCTGTTATCAGAGTGGTTCTGCAGCATCAGAGGATTTAAAAATCTGGACTAGGGCATACAGATGTGGTCCACTTGGGGACCCTCATGGGAATAAATTAAATACAGGTTCTACTGGAAACACAGCCTCTGTGTTCACAAGATGCCTTCAGGTGTGCTGAAGAGTCTGACTTGGTTCTTTTTGCCTCATGGGCTTCCCAGGCTGAGAACCTTCATACTCTCTTAATAAAACAAACAAAATGGGAGTGGGTGGGTGCTGAACAAAAGACAGCCATGTTTCCAACAGTGAGAGGGCTCAAACCTTGGTCACAAGTTCCCATCATTGTGTGGAAAGCACTGGGAAGGTGAGAGTCGTGCCTCACCTTCGCGGTAAGCCCAAGGACCTGGCACTTTGCTACCATGTAGAGTGAAGATGTTTGCCAATGGCTGAATAAGTGAAGAAACAGATCACGCTGCTCCTCGATGAGTGCAGTGTTCAGTGCATTGTGAAATGAATGAAGGCCAGTGTTCATGGCACACCAGTTATTCCACAGAATTTTAAATTTCAAAAGCAGAATCAGAGAACAAGGGGATATGGGCTGCTAGTCAGCCCAAGGCTGCCTCATCTGCCATCATCTGTGACTTGGGATTTCCCAGATGCATGCTGTGGATCCCAATGTCTGTATGTGGGGTGGGGTTGGGGGGAAGGTGGGGGCAGGGACCCTAACAGGAGGGACCTCTTGGCCACACCAACTTTGAACATTAAAATGGTTTTTAAAAGATGCCTAGGCTGGGTGTGGTGACTCATGCCTGTAATTCCAGCACTTTGGGAAGCTGAGGTGGGCTGATCACCTGAGGTCAGGAGTTCAAGACCAGCCTGGACAACCATGGCCAACATGGTGAAACCCCATCTCTACTAAAAATACAAAAATTAGCCAGGCACAGTGGTGGGAACCTGTAATCCCAGCTACCTGGGGGGCTGAGGCAGGAGAATCGCTTGAACCCAGGAGGCGGAAGTTGCAGTGAACCAAGATCATGCCACTGCACTCCAGCCTGAGTGACAGCGAGGCTCCATCTCGAAAAAAAAAAAAAAAGCCTGAAACAGTGAAACTGCATCATGAAGTGGCCCCAAAATCAAAGGAGAATGCAAACTCTATGGAGGTAGATGTTTGGGGGTTTTGTTTACTGCTGTATTCCGAATCTCTAGAACGTCTGGCATATAGTAGATGCTTAAAAATATGATTTTGAATGAATGAATGAGAAGCTCCTGCTATAAGTGCTGGGGTCAGCATTACACAGGAAACTTACATCTTACTACCTTTGAAAAATCTTTAGAAAGAGTCACCTCTGTTGAAGTTGTAGATAAGAAAACACAGCATTCAGCCTCTGCAAGGGAAGAAAACACAGTCTGCCTGAGGCCGCCTTCCCTCCCCTACTAGCCCCAATCAAGTCTTCAGATGAGACTGTAGCCCAGCCAATATCTTGTTTGCAACCAAAGAGGGATCCCCTCTCTTTCAGGAGAGACCTTGAGTGTCTCTTGTAATGCCTGTATTGGACACTTTTCATCTTTTTTGATGCTGAGGATTTGAAACCCCTTGATAAGTCTGAAGAATTCCTTGCCATATGGATCTGTGTGGGAGGGACAGTCTGTTTTCTGCCATAGTAACTGAAATAACCAAATGCTTGTTTTCCATAGCAGAGACTGCTAGCTGACCAATAACCCCACTTTCTTTTTTTCCTCCCTGAGGCACACAGCCAGGTTACAGCCTCCGTTGCAGTTGGGCCATGTGACTGAATTCTAACCAATGGCATAGAGCCACCTTCGGGCCTGGCCAATAAAACCTCCCATGCATGGCCGTCTCTCTCCCATTTGCTGGATGTCTCTACCTTGGGCAGCCTTAGGAGCCATATGTTGAAGATGATCCCTTACATCCCTATAAAATGGCATAGATTTGAGGGATTCCCCCACCCCATGGCTGGACATTCTGTGAGATTCTCAGCCAGGATCAATTTCTGTTGCTTGCAAATAAGAACCCAGACTTATACACTGTCAATACAAAGCATCTGCCTATAAAGAAGTTATTTTATAGGTAAATTCAATTGTTAGCCCAGAATATGGTGATCACTGTAGCTGGTCATAGTTTACACAGCACTTATGGAAATTGTTAATACAACACCATTGGCTGTTGGCTGTGACGTGTGGCCTGGAATTAATTCTGACTTTGAAAAGCCTGTGTATGAAGATAACAGGCCATATATCAAATACTTCAGACTGGCTCCCTGGAGAAGAGAAGGGAAGCAGAGATCAGGGAAGAAAGAGAAAAGTAAAATAATAATTAAAAGGGGAAAAATCTAATTGTAACAATATACAAACGCATAGCTCCTACTATCCATCAGTCAGAGGTCTAAGTATTTTTTGTACAATAACCATTTTACCCTTACAACAGGCTTGCAGTGGTAGGCACCATTGCTAACCCTAGTTAACAGAGAGCTGTCGCCAAGGCCACATGGCCACTAAGTGATAGAGCCAGTGTTTGAGAGAAGCAGTTCTTAGTCACGGCTGCACTGACAAGAACCGACGCATCCGGCTAACTCAACTTTCTCTGCCCTTAAAGTACGATCGAGACAACTAAAAACAACTAAGAAAATAAAATAAAAGCTAGTAATGCTTGGCAGGGCACTTGAAATAATTTGAGTAAGGCACTTAATTTTCCCTCCAGTAGCACCGAGAATCTTGATTTCCTAGGTCATGTCAGGTAAAGAACTTGATTGCGGGAGCTTCTTAAAATGGCCTGAGGCGTTCTGGCTGCCTGCCCAATCTGGCTGCAGCCCGAGGCTCTGCCTCAGTTATCTGCAGCACCCAGGTTGTCAGAGCCAACGATCTCTGCAAATTGCCTTTGTTTGTGGGTTGAGCTGACCAAATATGTGGACAGGAAGCCCACCTGAAGGGTATTCGCATGGCTCATCACTTCCCAATGAAAAGGCTGAAAGGGGGAGGTGAGTACCAGGGGCAAGGGGGATCATTTGTGTTGTTGGGAGGAAGAGGAAAATAACTGTTGCCAAGATGCATCAGACCCTGACGAGTATATTCTCCCTGGGGCTGGCAGAGTGATGATAGTTAGCTGCGGCTTTTAATGAAAATGGCAAAGGAAGAGCTTTGGAGGAAGGAGGGTCTCTATGGACTGTTTCATAAGCATCTAGGGTAATTGCTGGGATCCAGGCCATGGCATTGGTGTCTGTCCTCCCACCCTTCATTGACCACTAGACCATTTCCTCTGGGACCATCTGGAGTGGATTTGTCTCCAGGCCTCCTGAAGTGCTGGGCCACAGAGCAGGGAGCTGTCACTCCCCACCCATGGTGGAGGCGCCTGACATTCTACACAGGGGCAGCTTCTCAAAAGACCAAGGCCCTTCCAGGTTAAAAGATCTGGGAGCTGGAGGGAGCGATGTTTTCTCTGCTGGGGGCGCCGTTTCCATGTGTGCATTGGAGCCGTTCACACCTGCAGCCTGAGACCTGAGGGTCTCATGGAAGTCCTGCAGGCTTCTTCCCTGCCCACCACACTCCAGAAATCAAGGCTGAACCCTGTAACTTTTCCAAGGCACCCAGCTTTCTGTGGAAGAATCCAGAACTGTTTGTCTGGTACTGTGCTGCTACTCACCGTATCCCATCTATAGCTGCCACGTTACCAGGTACCGGGGACTGGGGACTCCAGGGCAGGGAATTAATTGTCTAAGAGTTGGGCTGTCGAATCAGGCTATGAGGAGGGGCAGCCTAGCTTTGCCACTGAGTCGCATCACCTCTGCCTTAAGCTCTCCGTGCCTCAGTTTCTTTCCAAGGTAACAATAGTCACCACTTCACAGGTGGTTGTGAGCCGCACATGAGTTAATGTAGGGGAAGCCCATGGAGCACAGCACATGGTAAGTATGAGGTTAAGTGTTAGTTGTCATGACGACAGTGACCTTTCTGCGTGACATGCATGCAGGAGTACATGAATAATAATAACACAGATGCTAATAGCCAGCCCCTACCACGTGCTCACTGCACTCCAGCTTCTCTTCATGCGGGAAAGCCTCCTCGCCCCCTCACCTGATTAGCTCCAGCTCATTCTTTGGGCCCCAGCTCACGTGTTGTTGCTAGGCCGGATATGGGCTCTTTCTACTCCCCTTAACACCCTTTTCTTAATTTTACCATGATGCCTCCCGTCCTGCACTGTTGCTGTTTCCTTATCATTGTAGGTAAGCTCCTGGAGTGGGGACCAGGCCTTTTGTGGTTGCATCCCAGCATTTAGCAGTGACCTGACATGCCGGCTTTGCTGAAGGAATCAGAATTTTTCTAGCTCCAGTGCCTCTGTTGTTCCTTCTGGGAACCAGAAGGGGAAGTTGAGCCCTGGCCAGGGGCTGGAGGGGCCTGGCATCCACAGGCTTCCTGCCCCAGATCACAGCCCCACCAGCAGTGGAAGGCCCTGTTGACAGACTCCTATATTGCAGCAGGGGCCTGAGGCCAGTCACCCACCCCATTCCCTGCACCAGACCTAAAGTCATTTAGAGTCAACAAGAAAGCCTGTCCTCCATGGAAGCTTCATGAGATAAGCATATTTCAGGTGTAATTGGTGTTGGTGAGGGGGCAGTTGGGCGTGATAAATAACAATGCCAGCTCAGTCTCATTAAGCTCTCCCTGTGAAACTTGGTGCCCCGCAGAACGGAAAGCACTCCCCAGTGTGGCTCTGAATGGCTCCTATCTTAAAAATTTATTTAACACAAACAGTTACATTAATGCAAAAGGCAAGTCATTGACACTATAAATAACTTAAGCTAAGTCCTGCTGACAGTGGGAAGTCTGACACATGAAATACTACAATGTTCTCAGCTCTGAATGAGGCAGTGACATTAACATTATCTTCCAGATTCAAAGAAGGGCCACAGGAGCCCAGCAAGCCCCCTGGCAAGGTGGCGTCCTTCCCCACAGACCCATGAGAGAAGCTTTAGAAAAAGGGTGTGGAGGCTGAGCAATGACCCTCCCCCCCACCCCCAAAGATGTCCCCATCCTAACCCCTGGACCTGTGAATATGTCATCCTTCATGGCAAAAGGGACTTTGCAGATATGATTAAATTAAAGACCTTGAGATGGGGCATTAATCTGGATTATCTAGGAGGTCCAGTGTCATCTCAGGGGTCCTTAGAAAAGAAAGGGAGAGGTGGGAAATTCAGAGGGGGAGATGTGAAGATAGAAGCAGAAGTTGGAAAGGGGGAGGTTTGAAGATGCTACGCTGCACTGCTGGCTTTGCAGATGGAGGAAGGTGCCATGAGCCAAGGAATGCAGGTGGAAAAGGCAGATAAATATGTCCTTTTCTAAGGCCTGCAGATGGAACACAGCCCCACTGACTTTTTGATTTTAGAACTTCTTTTTATTTTTTGAGACGGAGTCTCGCTCTGTCGCCCAGGCTGGAGTGCAATGGTGCAATCTCGGCTCATTGCAACCTCCGCCTCCAGGGCTCAAGCGATTCTCCTGCCTCAGCCTCCCAAGTAGCTGGGTAATTTTTGTATTTTTAGTAGAGATGAGGTTTCATCATGTTGGCCAGGCTGGTCTCGAATTTCTCACCTGAGGTGATCCACCCACCTCAGCCTCCCAAAGTGCTAGGATTACAGGCGTGAGCCACCGTGCCTGGCTGATTTTAGAACTTCTGAGCTCCAGAACCGTGAGATGCTTTTATGTTGTTCTAAGCCACTGACTTTGTGGTGGTTTCCTACAGCAGCATAGGAAATTCATGCAGTAGGCAATGTCTCTAAAATGCTTCCAACTCAAACCTCTCTTCATTGTGCAGTCCTTTCCCACTTCTTCCTTGGTTTCTGGAGCAGGGTTGTGGCTGGGGGGGATGGTTTAGGAGGAGGTGATGACAACCTCAGTGCCTGCCACCCACCCACCCATATGTGACGAAGTTGCACTGCCTGGCAAAACTTTCAACAGCAGCCATTGTTTGTCTTATTTTGGTTTTGTCGGGGGAGAAGCCTTATTTCTTAACACTTTTGCATTAAAAATACTCCTGCATGATTCCTGTCCCCCGTCCTCCCCTACCCAGCCCCTGTTGTTGGTTGTTCTGTCTGGTGACACCCTAGCTCCCCTCCCCTTACACCTGGGCCACCAGCCTTTTCCAAATGTGGGAGGTCACATCTGTCAGTTGCACTAGGGTGGAGTCTTGGTGCTGCCTGGTGGAGGTGACTGGCTCAGAGATGCTAACTGTCCCTCTGCCTCCAGCAGCCTCCCTCCACCAGGACTGCTCAAAATTTAATGTTGCCAAGTAAACCTGCAGATTTTCTTAAAACACAGATTACATGCAGTGGTCTGGGGTGGTGCTGAGAGTCTGCATTTCTAACAAGCTTCAGAGGGTGCCCACAATGCTGAGTCTGGGCCACACTCGGAGTAGGAAGGACACAGAGGGCTGAGGTTCAATGTATGCAGGCCTGGCATCTGTTCACATGGGCACATGGCTTTACTTGAATCTTGCTACTCGAAGTGTGGTCCCCAAAGAGGCAGCATTGGCATATCCTGAAAACTTGTTAGAAATGCAGTCTCCCAGACCCCATCCCTCCGACCTGTTGAATAAGAACCTACAGTTTTACAAGATCCCCAGGTGATTCCTATGCGCTGAACTTGGCGAGGCACTGCCCTAGAGCCTGTTTCTCAGCCTTTGGCATGCAGCAGAAACGTGTGGAGAGCTTGTTAAAAGATATTGCGGGGCCCCACTCTCTGAATTTATGTTTCACTTTACCATGAATGGGTCCCAGATATTTGTATTTCTAACAAGTTCCCAGGTGATGCTGATGCAGCCGGCCCGGGGGCCCCACAGTGAGAACCACTGCCTCAGAGTAAGACCCTAGCTCGAGACGGGTGGCCAACACATCCCAACCAGAAGTTCTAGAATGGGCCCCAGGGACACATTTGCTCCAGCTTTGAATTCTGAGATCTGCCCATTTTCTTTTATGCCGATTTTTTGGCAGTTTCCTATAAATAGCAAATGCACTTTCCTTTTATGGATTTTTTTTTTTTAATGAGCAACAGGTGCTTGCTGCAGCTCTGCATGCAACTGTTTGACCTTGACAAGAAATTCTATGTCTCTAGGCCTTCATTTCTTCATCAAGAAAATGAGGAGGTTAAATGAGGATCATAAAATTCTGTGTTTTAGGGCCTACTTTTGATATCTCAGGTGAAAACAGAAGCTTAAAATTACTGAATCTTGGCTTTTTCATTAATTCTTGGTCATATCGATGATTTATTGAAGTCAGGAATGCAATCCTCAACTATAAGTGATAGATGGGATAATAAAATCCTTTTTTGCCCCAGTTTTATTTATTGTCAAAACAATATTATAAAAGAGTGAAGACAATCTGAGAGATTAAAAATTTTATTCCACTCTAACACAACAGCTGTTTTCATTTTGCTGGGTTCCCTTCACGTTGTGGGTAATCTTAGAGCAGGCGTACATTTGTATGCTGCATCTTAGTGTTTGGCCGTAAACATGCCACCAGCAATATATAAATAAATTAGCTTCACTATGAAGTCACTACCTTTGGCATTTAGCATTGTTTGGCTAATGTGACAAATGCAATTGGTACCTCATTGATGTTTTCAGTTGTAATGTTTTATTATTAGAGATGTTGACCATTTTTTTCATGTGTTTGTTTACTGTATGCATTTCACTGAGTTTCCTTATCTGAGGATTGTCTGTTGATGAGGAGGCCATTGAAAAACACCCAGCACTAGGCCTGGCAGCCAATAACAATCTCAACACAGTAGTTTGCCATCTTCCTAAGCCTCATTTCTTCCTCTGGGAAATAGTAAGGCAGTGGGAAGGTTGGATGAGATAGTTTGTGACAAGGGTCTAGCACTGTGTCTGGCATATAGAAAGGGTGGTTTCTAGTGTTCTTTGCCCATCTGCCAGGGTTTAATGTTCTAAATTTAATGGATATCCACTTTAATAGTGACATTTCATGAACACATGGGGAAAAAGTGGTGTCTTGTTGAATTCAGTAGCCCAGTCTTCTGAATTTGCAAAATGAGGATCATAATATATCTACTCACTGAATTGTGATGATTAAAGATGATGATACTTGTAAAGCACTTAGCCTTGTGCCTGGCACACAGGAAACCTTCCATGAATGTTAGCTTTATTATATGCTTTGTCACATCTATAGCCAAAGAGATTATTATTTTTAATTTTAATGATCTTTACCAGGTTGCGTTCCAAAAATGTAAAGTGGATCTTTTTTTTTTTTTTTTTTTTTTGAGACGGAGTCTCGCTCTGTCGCCCAGGCTGGAGTGCAGTGGCACGATCTCGGCTCACTGCAAGCTCCACCTCCCAGGTTCATGCCATTCTCCTGCCTCAGCCTCCCAAGTAGCTGGGACTACAGGCACCCGCCACCGCGCCCAGCTAACTTTTTGTATTTTTAGTAGAGACAGGGTTTCACCCCGTTAGCCAGGATGGTCTTGATCTCCTGACCTCGTGATCCTCCCGCCTCAGCCTCCCAAAGTGCTGGGATTACAGGCGTGAGCCACCGCGCTCAGCCCAAGTGGATCTTATTTAAATTTAGAAGAATATTCTGAACTTTGAATGGAAAGACTTAGTTGCATTTTGAACGTCTCAAGCAACACAGTGTACTATACTTGTTTCTGAAGCTCTCGTTTAAAGAAACAAGGAAAAAGCATTGTGAAATAAAGGCATTTGCATAGTATCAAGCAGAAATAACTATGGTCAAGGGGAAAGCATCTTTTTAAAATCCCTATTTGTTGGTGGTAAATACTGCTTTGCAGATATATGAACAGAATCTCTTGAGGGAATTTCACTCAACATTACAAAACAGATTTACCAGGGATCTTGGATTAACCATGAAGGATTTAAAATTGAAGTCATGTATACATACATATTTTTTATATGTGCCTGAAAATAGGGGTCCCTAAGGAGGAGACTTCTCATTTCCTATGACACAGCAAATCAATAACAACACCTGTGTGTCTAAAGCGCTTTATGGTCTGCAAGGCATTTTCTTATACATTTTCCAGTTTGATTCTCACAATGATCCATGAGGGACAGGAAGCAGGTTTAATAATTCTAATGTTAGAGATGGGAACACTGACCTACACAGAATTTCTGGCTTGTTCAAGATCCCCATGGCTAGTAGCAGAGCCAGGTCTCTCTGTAGATCCATGGGCTCCAGAGCTGGGTCTGTGCTCACCACATTGCAACTAGCTCCACCAAAACTCATTGCCTATAACAACCAATGTGTCATATGTTCATAACACAAACATTAGTCAAACACACCCTGATCAATGTAGGTGTGGAAAGAGTATTTTTGAACCCCTAAACGTAATTCCCAATCCATTTTCAAAAGACTAGCCACGCCAGCAAAGGCAAGAATGCACAAAGTGCCATTGAAGATGATAAGACTGCCACCCGGCCCACTTCCACCTGGAGCTACACTGTGATTCATTTGGCCATGTCACAGTGCACATTCCTTTGTTTTCAGGAACTTAGAGATCTCTTAAGTAAGCACAGGGCGTGTTTGTTAAAGATGCTGATATGGTAAAAGAACAGTACACAAATCCGCGCCCTGGGAGGACGTCCCACAGGTGAGGACTTGCAAGGTCTCCAACTGGATTCCCTTCTTATAGAGCCAGCAGAATGGGCCTTGGAAAGTCACGTTACTGATACGGAGAAAGGACATGCCAGGCACTATTCCCTCCTCCCTGCCATAGTTGTTGTTTATGAAGGTTCTTCTGGGCACGTGACCTAGAGTAACCCCATGAAACTAGCACTGAAGCTTCCAGATGATGTGATAAGATTACAAATGCTGGCTGCTTCAGGCAAGGTTAGACAAATAGCCTTCTTAGATATACATGGTAAATACTGATAATTGTGTGTTCACGTATGTTTTATGTCATAGGCAGAGTTCATTCCTGCTGCAGAGTTGTCCTTGGCTAGAAAGATACCATTGGTCACTCTCTGTTATTGCTGCTGCTTTTCTCCTCCCATATCCACTGGGGTATCTAAAAACCTCTGGACTGTGGGTCAAGAGACTGGGTGGGAGACAGGTTCCAATGCTCATAGTCATGTGTTCATGGACAAGGCAGTTTCCATCTCCCAGCTCTGCTTCCTTAACAGTGAAGTGGAGACAGCCATGTTTATTCTTCCTACACAGGTAAGTGGGGCAAAGGTGGTAATGAGTGTGAAAGAGTGTTGACAATCCGAAGGAACTAATTTCTTTTCTGGAAATTGTTTTCATTTGATGTTTTTCAAATTGTAAACATATGACATATTAGTTGTTATAGGCAAAACAGTTCAAAGACATATAGAGAAAATTCTCACCATTATTAACTTCTAATCTTACCTTCCTGAGATATCCAAAGTCTACACACAACTGTTCACGATGCTCATACAAGCACATGCAGGCAAATATACACATAAACTGGGCTTTGGGTTTATTTCTTTTTACTGAAACAGGATCGTACTATTGTAGGAGTTATTAAGAAATTATTTTAGGCAGATAGAGAGGAAAAAGAGTCCTTGAAAAATTTTCGTTTTTAAAGCAGCTCTTAGAGCCAGGCTGGCAACCTTTGATATGCAAATGCAGGATATTAGAAACTGGGTCTACCCAAACATGGCGATTCCCCTGGCCTTCTTACCCTTGCCCCACATGTTCCTGGCATCAAGGCCACCCCCACATATCCCTACGTGTGTAGAACATCATGGCGCCCTGCATGCATATTAAAAGGCTAGGGTGGGAGGGCCAGCTTTTCCGCAGGCTACATGAATGACATGCCTGGTCAAACCAATCCCCTGAGCCCTGTACAAATCAGACACCGCCTCCTCCAGCCTCTATATATACCTGGCTGGTTTCCACTCTGCTTGGGGTTCTCTCTCTCGGCTTTGGAGCCCCCCTCCCTCTGTCTCTCTACGGGGGAGCTTCTTCCTTCTTTCTTGGCTATTAAATTCTCTGCTCCTTAAAACCACTCCACGTGTGTCCTTGTTGTTTCATCTAATTCAACGTGAGACAAGAGCCCTGGTGTTCCTCCACTCATCGGAGCCATATCATTACCAAACACATGGCTCTGCAACGTGCTTTATTATTTCATGATTAAGCACAAACATTTCTACATGTTTGTGGATTTTAAACTTAGTTTTGTTTCCTTAATTTCTTTATACACACACACACACACCTGTGTGTATGTCAGTTACATATGGAATCATTTAAAAAAAAAAACTTTCCCTCCCTTCCCCAACTACCCCTAATCCCATAATCCCATTACCCTTTCCTATGTATCTTTCATACTTTCCTCCGTGTTCATATAATCTATAAAATACTTACACACATATACATTTCTGCAAAGTTTTTAAAAAATTTGTTTCAAAAATGCAATGGGACACAACTATTCTTATATCAATCAATGAAACCTAATGAAAACACCTATAATTTAACTGGATTGGTGCATGATTTTTAATGCCTATTATTTTATGGGGTGAAGGTAGTTTTGTCTGGTAAAGATATAACCCCAGCTCTCTCAGGGAAAGCCCTGACTGCTAGTGTTTGCTGATATCCGTGCCCTAAATATTCCCACCATGGCTCATTTCAAGCTACCAATGTGATGGCTGGGTGGAGCCGAGTTGAGAAGAGTTCTGTGCAGGATCTCTGGAGACAGCTCCAGCAAACTACTGGGAGGAAGTTCCATAATGAATTCAGGTTCTCTCTATTGATGGACATTCACTTTGTTTCCAGATTTTCTTCCTCCACTACAAAGAGTGATATATTACAGCAACCTTATAACTACATTCTTCAAATTGATTCTTTTATTTCTAACAGCTAGATTCCCCAGGAGTGAGACTGTTGATTCATAAAGAATGCAGATTAAAAAAATTAGTAAGTGCTGCCAGATTGTTTTTCAAACAGCTTTCTTAAAAGGCTGTATATAGTTCCGATTTCTTTTTTTTTTTGAGATGGAGTTCCACTCTGTCACCGGGCTGGAGTGCAGTGGCACAATCTCGGCTCACTGCAACCTCCGACTCCTGGGTTCAAGTGATTCTCTTGCCTCAGCTTCCCGAGTAGCTGGGATTACAGGTGCACGCCACCATGCCTGGCAAATTTTTTTGTATTTTTTGTAGAGATGGGGTTTCGCCATGTTGACCAGACTGGTCTCAAACTCCTGACCTCAGCTGATCAGCCCGCCTCAGCCTCCCAAAGTGCTGGAATTACAGGTGTGAGCCACTGTGCCTGGCCGTCATGTCTGCATCTTACTGCATCTTATTTTCCCATCACTCTGTAATTCAGATCTGTACCAGTAATGTAAGAGGGCACTCTTTTCCCTGGCATTTCTGAGAGCAGCTGGTATTAGATTTCTTTCATAATTTTTGTCAGTCTATGGATTTAAAGTGGGAACTCATTGTTTATTGTAACTTATTTTCTGTTTCCCTGATCTCAATCACATCTAAACTTCATGTTTTTGGTCATTTGGATTTGGCAGTTTAGATCCGTCAAAAGACAACATTACAACAAATGTAAAGATCTCATTTGGCTTCATTTGCAATTCTAGAATTGGGCAATACCTCACTCCATAAAACAAAATAATGTTCCAATGAATTGAGCAGAGGAGATTGGCTTTAGAGAGAGTAAAAGGGCTGAATAGAGCAGAAACAGAGAACAAAAAGCAGATTGGCCACTTCAAAGTTACTTTTCTTTTACAATGGTGACAGAGAGACAAAACAATAGAAAGATAATTCATTGGTTAACACCAGATTACTTCCGGTTAAGAATTAAAGCAGAAAGAAGGCCATTATTATGCCAACTGAAGGTTGGAAATTGACCTGTTTGGGGAACTGGCTGCTACCTCTCCCTCCTAATTTCTTGGAAGGTCAGAGAACAACTTATTGTTTTACTTGGGTCACATGGGACATTAGCATGAGTGACTCTATTTGGATTTTTAGTCTGGTCTGGTGGGGCCTAGTGCAGGAGCTTAGTCCTAAACAGTGCCCTCCTATACTTGTTACTTAACAATTCCTCTTTTGGTTAAGTGCTCACCTAGGCGAGAATCTGACCAAAACACAGGACACTGGTGCTGCTCTCAGTTACCATCATTCTGGGTTTCCAGTCTCAACACACCCTTCATAGGCTGCAGTGTCCTCATGATCGTACATCTCTCTGCGTTTCTGTAACTTAGATGAAGAAAGAATATTTGATGTTCGACAGATGTTTGTATACAAACATTTAAAACTTTTTGAGAGGATACAGCGCACCAGGGAGACTACTTTTATAACTATTAGGAGGATATTATGATTACCAGGTTGTACCAAGTGTTTGGAGTATGCTGCCTAGGCAGAGTCCCCATGAACTGAACCAGCCACAATTGAATAAATCAAGGATTGAGCCAGAGAAGGAATCTACCCATTTTAACCAAGTCGCCTGTCTGTTAACTTTTTGCAACTGAGTCACAATACCCAATGTATTCATCTGTGTACAAGAAAAATTGTCAGCAACTACACAGATTTCTCCCTGTTTAGTTAGTAGGTAGCAGTTTTATCATCTAGCACCCCAGGAAAGGCTTAAATTAGAGCAGAGAGTGTTAACTCTATAAAAAACACCACTATAATTTGAACAAACAGTTGTGTTAGGGATGTTGCTGAAGTACCCATTACATGAACTAAAGGATCTCTTAGGTCCTGTAAAGATTTGGGTTTAACCTGACATATCCGCTACTCTTCCAAGTTACTCACCGATCCACCAAAAACCACTGATCTTGAAATCCTAACTACAGTGTCATCCTGCCAAATGAATGAAGTGGGCATAGGTGAGAAAACTTTGAGAGGGGTAAGAGCCTTATTACACTGGGGGTTTTGCTCCAGCAATCGTGGGAAAAGCTGTCCACAGAATGAAGTCAGCAGCTTCTCATTCTGGTTTGTAGTTTGAATGTCTTTGGTTGAACTGTCTTATGGCATTTGACGTTTCTGTGAACACTCTGTGTAGGCCCACACATCAGGCATGAAACTTAGCCCTTGAAATTTACATTAAGTTGTCCAGCTTATAGGGCTTCAGAAACACAGTGGTTCCCATTCTTCATGGGGAGCTGTACCCAGATATTAGAGAAAACTAGAATTCATAATCCAGTCTGGTCTCCAGGTAGATAATGAAAAATTGAAAACAATAAGCACGGCTACTATCTAATAACGGGTGTACTATCGTTTTCTTTTTAAAAATAAATTTTTTATCCACAATCATCTCATTTCTACCAAGGATAATCATGGTAAGACAAATAGGTTTGTAAAATAAGTTTATTCTCCAACTTGGCCTAGTTATTTGCATAAGTGCACCAAGGATAACCACATTGGCTTCTTTTAAATTCGCTTTGCTAGAAATTTTGATAAGGAATCTCAGATTGGACGTTTAAAACCTCTCAGTGCTAGGAGGCCAAACCAAGGCAAACATCATCCTTTACCTGTAATATCTAATAGCTTGAGGTTCCTGGGCCTGCCAGGAAGTGACAACTTTTTACTCCTTCACTGTAAGGCTAGAAACACTTGAAACCAGGCATTCTATGCATCTTCTCAAATACGACATTCCAACCAAAGCCCTAGTAGTATAACCAGTGTTTCCAATTGTATCCTGCTATAAAGAAAGCAATTCTTAATGAACTCATGCAAATAACCATGTTGCCATAAAAATAAGAATACTCAGGTATACTTTCCAAATTTTGGAGGGATCATGTAGGGAGGAAAAGCAAATATCTCAATTTTTGTTTACCAATGTATACTTCACCAAATTCTTGTAAACTGTAGATAGCTTTAAAGAAAAATAAAGTTGTTTTTTTTTTTTTAAAAAAATCTGGAAGACAAAACATTGAAAGAACCAGAAATGTTTCAAATAAAAAGCTATAAAAACCGTAATTCTTTTTTATCAGTTTATTCTATCTCATGTAATTAATTTTTGGTCTGTTTGATCCTGGTTGATAGTTTCACAAACCCATCAATTATTTCATTAGTTTTAGAAATTCTTACAAGCCCAATGGTATCTCAAAATTATCAGAAACCTGTACTTGTCAGAAGTCTTTTCATCCTTTCCATGAACTTCCTTGAAGACCAAAAGCTTTAGAATTATAGTTGCTTGCAAAGAGCTTTCAGAAAAAGTATCAGAATAAACCAATTTAACTATGGACAACAAGACTTAAAATGGTTAAAAAATCTCATCAGGTTTTAAACCACAATTCTCATTATGAGAGTTCATAATGATGCAATTGACAGGGAAATTTGTTATTTCCGTGGTGTACAACATTTTAGCATAATAATCAACATTATGACTGATAACACTTATGCCAAGACATATTTTGGAACACATGTTAATAACATACCCATATATATACAACTCAAAGAAAATTAAACATCATTTCTTATTTTGATATTTCCCGTGTAATTTATCAAATAAGACCAACGGGTGTAATATCTGTTTTATAGACACTTTCAGATGTTCCAGGGCCCTCTGGGGTATCCCAAAATTAATTCAAGGTCAAAAATACTTAATTTAAAAACTTTAAAATTTGATTTCAGAAAGTGTCAAAATAAAGGTTCAAATTATTTGATCAAAAACAGGATCATAGGCCACTGTGAAATACCAGTCAAGCCTTTAACCAGAGTGATATTAAAAGACTTCGAAAGAAGTTACATATTTGCAAAACAACAACAACAACAGACCTTTAACTCAGTTTTCTTAAGTAATCAAAGACTTGATGAAGACAGTGTAGAGCACAGGAAATTATTTTGATAAAACACAAAAATCTCCCTTTCCCCTACTCACTGGTTCCTTTCTGCCTTGTTTCTATTTCCTTCCTATATCTATGTTTTGAAACAACATTAAAATAATCTCTGAATTAGACGAAATTATTCTTTTCTTCAAAAAAACTCAAACTATGGCGTATCCTTATGCTTTCTTTATAACTTTCCTCAAAAAACATATCACTTTCCTTGTATGCTTGGCATACGGAATTGTTTCCCTATTTTTAGTAATTTTAATTGCATATATTAATTAGATATTTTAATCTTTAGCAATTACAAAGCAGCATTTTGTAAACTATCACCATTTCATAATATCTGCTTCTTCATAACACAATTTTTCAGTGTGAAGCAGAACATATTTACCAACAGATCTAAACACATTTTGTTTTTGTATAAAATCGAAGAAAACAAAAAATAAACTTACGCTCAGCAATTTATGTTTCAGTATTTTATCTTGCTTAGAAATTATTCAGACATTGCCGGGTGCGGTGGCTCACGCCTGTAGTCCCAGCACTTTGGGAGGCCGAGGCGGGCGGATCACAAGGTCAGGAGATCGAGACCATCCTGGCTAACACGGTGAAACCCCATCTCTACTAAAAATACAAAAAAAATTAGCCAGGCGTGGTGGCGGACGCCTGTAGTCCCAGCTACTCGGGAGGCTAAGGCAGGAGAATGGCGTGAACCCGGGAGTTGGAGGTTGCAGTGAGCGGAGATCGCGCCACTGCACTCCAGCCTGGGCGACAGAGCGAGACTCCGTCTCAAAAAAAAAGAAAGAAATTATTCAGAAGTTTCATGAATCTACTACCTAATCATGACACCACTTAAAAATAAGTTAAAGAAACAATGAAAAGTTCATTTACAAACTTTTATCCCATTTACGTTCACCTAATTTACTCCTTCTTAACAATTAAGTTTAAAATGGTCATGAAATAAAGCTAGCCACCGGCTCAAGTTATTTCTCAGTGAGTCAAGGGGAGCTACTGTGTGCTGTGGTTTAGAGAAGACACAGGCAGCCTGTGTCACACACCTCCCTCCCCCAGGCCACAGCAGCCCAGTGCAGGGCCTGTACCACAGTCTCATAGCCTGGCTGGTCAATGTCCCGGAACTGTTTCCTATGGAGAGAAGAAAGGGAGCAACAATGGGCTCTGTGTTCTCCTTTGCTCCCAAAACTGCTTCAGTTTGGTGTCACCAAGTAACCTTGCTAGGGAGGTGGTCAGATCCAGGCAAGAAATCACTGACGACTCTGGTGCCAAGCACACTGTCCCAGGTTCTGGAAACACCAAGGAACACAACACGATCCCTTCCCAAGGTGTGTGAACTTTCTGGAGAGGAAAGACACAGTAAATAATAAGCATAATAAATGTTAACTGATGGTTATACAGCATTGTGAACATACTTAACACCACTGAATCGTATACTTAAATTTGGTTAAAATGGTAACTTTTATGTTATGTATATTTTATCAAAATAAAATAAACCAAAATAGTTTTTTTAAAAAAGTAAGCTGTATAGTCTGTTTGAAGGTGGTAAGTGCTATAAAAAAGAACCAGCACAGCGAGATGAGAGAGATGGGACCTGGCAGGGGGAATCTGAGAAGGGTTTCTACCATTTAGACTTCTAAGATGTCAATAATTTTTTTTTCCCCCAAGACAGAGTCTTACTCTGTTGCCCAGGCTGGAGTGCAGTGGCGCCATCTCGGCTCACTGCAACCTCTGCCTCCCAGGTTCAAGCAATTCTTGGTCCTCAGCCTCCCAAGTAGCTGGGATCACAGGCGCCCACCACCACCCACACCTGGCTAATTTTTGTATTTTTAGTAGAGATGGGGTTTCACCATGTTGGCCAGGCTCGTCTCAGACTCCTGACCTCAGGAGATCTGCCCACCTCGGCCTCCCAAAATACTGGGATTTCAGGCGTGAGCCACCGCACCCAGCCTGATGTCAAGGAGAAATTTTAACATCTTGACGGCAACTTTTTGGAATGGGAAACAATAGTTTCGGGTTGTATCGTTACCTCATTTAATATTATATCAAACTTACAAATTTTAAAAACTCTCATTCACTGGGCTTTGAAGTTTAAGCTACAAATCCTGTAATTCTGTTTTAAAAAATAGTAAATTTTAATAATTACTACCAAAAGGCATTTGCAATTTAACTAAATTTCCTTATTGGGTCTCAGGAATTCTAAAATATGGTGCTTTGGCAGATTGAGTATTTTAAGCTGAAGGCATGTGGGAGACAGTGCCTGCAGGAAGGCCTCTCTGATCCTCCCCAGCCCTTCTCTCCTGCAACGGGTTATAAAACCCAGGATTTTCTGACCTTCCCCTGAGGCAGGTCATAAGACTGTCATTCAAGAGGTGCATTTCCTCTACCTGGAGGACAGGAGCACTGTCCTCCTCCTCCAGAGATAGTGGACAGGACCACTATCTCTGAAGATACCAGTGCCCCGGTCACACGAATAATCTGAACAAACATGCCTTGCTAAGTTCCCTCCAGTTTATGACACTTAGCTCATACCCTCTTTGTGCTATCACATTTCTCCATGCTTCATCAAACCTGGCATAAAAACATCTGTTTCTTTGGGTCTTCATTTTCTTATGAAGGCTCCCGTTTCATGTAAAACTTATATTACACACATTTGCATGTGTGTCTTTTATAGGGGCTATAGCCATGGACCAAAGATAGGTAGAAGAAATAATATTTTTTCTTCCCTCCACTCTTAAACATCTATTTTAGTTTCTTCCTTAGTACTCCAAGTGGACTAACAAAGACTTCCCCAAAATGTAAGTAATTTTTATAAATATGATTAACTCAAACTTATAAATATAATGACTCATAAATTATCTTAGACATTCCAATGTTGTTTACTGCTTTCTTTTATAATTTTCACCTTAAAAATCTTAAGTCAAAATCAATCTCTCGATTATATATCAAATCGAAATTGCAAGGCTAATCTGTCAGCTGCTCCAACATACCAATTTCTCTCTCTCTCTTTTTTTTTTGAGACAGAGTCTCGTTGCTCTGTTGCCCAGGCTGGAGTGCAGTGGTGCAATCTCAGCTCACTACAACCTCCACCTCCAGGGTTCCAATGATTCCCCTGCCTCAGCCTCCCAAGTAGCTGGGATTACAGGTGTGCACCACCATGTCCAACTAATTTTTTTTGTATTTTTAGTACAGATGGGGTTTCTTCATGTTGGCCAGGCTGGTCTTGAACTCCTGACCTTAAACGATCCCTACCTTGACCTCCTAAAGTGCTGGGATTACAGATGTGAGCCACCATACCTGGCCCCAATATACCAATTGCTCTTAAACATGATGAGTAGTATAAATGACATTATTCCTGCACTCATATATAAAGAGATGGGTTTGATTTCCTTCACCATCTCAATCCCTAATTTTAGCTTTTTGGATTTGTGAATCACTTACCTTCTAAGGAGATAGCTGTCTGCAGCAAGCTGGGGTTTCCATCTTGGGAGAGTGAAGTTAGGCATTCTTTAGAGATTTTTGGCCAGAAAATAGGATTTGATTCATGCCCAAGATGGTGTGACACCATGAACCATAATTGGAACTCTGAGTTCTGCAACAGATTCACCTAATTCTTCCTTCTGATTGCAACTTTTACCTCCTCCCTCTCTGGGTGTGGACAAATCCATTCATTGATTGGCTGATTTTACATTGCTTTGAAAGATGTTTGCATTTCTTTGGCTCTTTTAAGACATTTTAATGTATTCCTGTCTGACTTTAAAGAACCTTTAAGACTATTAGCCTTTCGGTCATGCCTTTATGATTCTTTTGTAACTTCATAACTTTATTGCCTGATTTGGCAAAAGAATGCTGGGTTCTTTTCATATTTTCCCATCTTGCAGGTGTGTGACTTCTACAACTACTTAAAAAGCATCCAGCCAGGCACAGTGGCTCATGTCTGTAATCCCAGCACTTCAGGAGGCCAAGGTGGGCGGATCACGAGGTCAGGAGTTCGAGACCAGTCTGGCCAACATGGTGAAACCCTGTCTCTACTAATAATACAAAAATTAGCCAGGCGTGGTGGCGTGCGCCTGTAGTCCCACCTACTTGGGAGGATGAGGCAGGAGAATTGCTTAAACCGGGGAGGTGGAGGTTGCAGTGAACCGAGATTGCACCACTGCACTCCAGCCTGGGTGATGAAGCAAGACTCCGTCTCAAGGAAAAAAAAAAAGCATCTAGTTGGATGCTTAGTATCTCTTATGTTTTTGACTTTATGATCATGTTGGAAAAGAAAATATTTCTTTTCCTCACCCATCCTTAGGCTTATGTCTGAGATGCCTATAACAAGAGAAAAGCATACAAATTTATTGAATATAAATTTTGCATAACACGGGAGACTTTTCGAAATGAACACTCAAAGAAATAGGTAAACCTGTGTATTTTTTTATGATAGGTTTGACGAAGAAGTGGACAGTTGTGGAGAAGTGTGACTGGATTAAAAATGATGATTTAATGGTAATGAATGGGGAGGAGTGTAGCAAAACCTGTCTGTTAGATTCTTCTCTGTGACCATGTGTCTTCAGAGATAAGGGTGTTCCTTTCCTCTGGGTAGAGAAAGGACACCTCTCAAATGAGGGTCTTAAGATCCGCTTCAGGGGAAAATGATGGGAGAAAGTCAGAGAATGACCTTCCTAGGTTTTATGACCTGCTTCGGGAAAGAAAAAATGGAGAGAAGAGGGTGGCCTTCTTGCCTCTGCTCTTTTCTCAAATGCCAAGTAGTGTTAAAAGCATTTAGGGAGGGTCTCCAAGGATTATAGAAATTTAATCAACTTGAGCAATCAGCCTGTTTTAGAGCCTCCTGCCCTGAAGCCTATTCTTCCCCAAACCCTCTGTGGAATGAGGTCGTCTTGGTGGTTTCAACCAGCTCCTGACAGATCCCAGCAACTTACAGATGAAAGCAAGTGACCTTTCCTCATTACTGTGATGAAGTCTCCACCCCTGAGGAGCTAGAGTTTCATCACCATGATGTGCGACCTATGCACCGGCATGATGACTCACTACACGCACCACTGAGACCCCTCTTCTACATGTGATGATGCACCCTCTCCCCTCTCCATCACTCCATAAAACCCTCCCATCACTTTCCCTAGGGGAGAGACTGCTTTGAAGAATGCTCCCAGTGTCCTCCTTACTTGAGCCAAGTAATAAACCTCCTATTAATAAAAACCTGTGCTCTCATGGAGAGTAGTTTACTACTTGCTAGGTGACTAACCCCTGGTATTTTTTTTGTAACAGTGCCATATTTTGGGGTAACATGTCCTGGACCCCATCATTCACAACACTAACATCATACTAATGACAAGGAGAAAAGCTTTGTTATCCTTGAGGTGTTCTTTCTGTCTTTTAAAAATTACTTAATATTTAAATCGATAATTCATGTGCATGTTTGAACTTTAAAATTAGAAAAGAACAAAGAGTGAAAAGGAACTCTCCCTCTGTCCTCTGTCCCCAGCCTCCCATGGCTCTTTCCTGGAGGGACTGTTGTCATAATTTGCATTTCCTTCTAGGGATTCTGTGCATTTATAGGAATATATAGGGTGCACATACACATGCAGCCCCCTTAATATCCTAAGTGTACATGTAACTGAAATGCAGGTTAGTAGCTTGCAGATTGCAGAGTCCAATTAATAAGCGTGAAGTGTGGTATAAAGAAAGTGATTTACTTCCAAAGCTAGCTTAGGGGAAGACGCACAGGTGTCCCATCTTTAAATGTACTGCTTCACTTTTGGAGCAGAAAGCAGCAGGCAAGGCAAGGGAGCCCATTTGTTAGCTCCAGTGCCTTACCTACCATGCAGTCAAGGTGGTGACTGCTGGTGCCTTTGAGGGCAGGTCTAGGCCAAAAACTCCCCAGGTGGGAGGGAGTTTCATGTCTCTGGAGGCAATCTTCTAGTGGGAGAGTTTCATAGAATTCAGCTGTTATCTCTCAAGGCAACCTCCTGACGGGTGAGAGTTCTGTAGCAGGCATATTTTGGTCTATAAATCAACTATTAGTTAGATGAACTTGCCCTGTGGGGAGTATCTGATGAAGGGAGGGGTAAAAGGCTATATTCGCATTTCTAAAGGGCTAAGTAGGAAGTGGGGAGCCAGGGGAATGAAAAAGGGAGGCAGCGAGAGAGACAGACAGAGAGAGAGAGAGAATTAAACTCCCTCTTAGAAAAATGGGAGACTCAGTTACAAACTCTCACTGCCAAGTTTCATTCCATTTCTATGGGATTTGGGTGCCATATTCACTCTGGCTACGTCCTGCTGAAAGGGGGTGTAGTCATTGGGCGTCAGAATGGAACTGATCTACTTTGAGTTGGAAACATTCATGAGTACCTGGACTTACAGATGATGTTTGTTGAAGCAATATGGTGTGTAGTCTTGAGAGTCTCTGGGAAAACCTGTCTTGTGTTCCCATAGAGAGAGCATAACAGCAGTAAACGCCGCAACAGAGGGATATGCTTATCCCTTCAGTCAGGGTCAATTTTACAAGCAGCTTTTGCCACCAGGATGGTCTGACTGGGCCAGGATGCTAAATCCTAGTGACAATGTGGGTCAGACATAGCTTTGATTTGTTAGTGCAGGTTTTACAGAGCTATCTGAGACATTTCCTGAATTCTTAATTATGTAGCTTCCCCACTGCCAATTCTAACCAGATACGATGACAGGTTGGCTAAGTATATATATTTAACAGGCTAAAGAAGGAGTTACGAATACTCATGAAAGTGGTCTAAGCCCTGTCTAGTTCTTGAGAATGGACCAGCTTAGTTAAATAGCTGTGTCTCATCCAGGAAGTAGCATCGCAGGTGGGTTAGCCCTCTGCACTTGATGAAGGCAAATAGATTTTGAATAATAGGCATTTCTATGGAAACAGAAGAACAACAAAAGTTAATGTTGGGCACAATCTATCCAGATATTAGACTCAAAGCATCTTTAGGTACAGAGGAGGAAGGCAGTGGCAGTCTGCCACTATGGCACTACAGTCTGCCATACTACAAAGAATAATGTAGTAGTAATTTCATTGAGTCCAAATCAGAAAAATGGAAGAAAATTTTGAAAGTGTTAATTTGAGACCTGTAGCCCAGAAAGAATTCAAGATTCAGTCCAAATTGCAAAAAGATAAAAATTGAAAACAATGGACAAGGCTAGGATCTGACACATAATTTTTCTCTCTCCAGTACCCATTTTTACTAAAGATAAATCATAGCAGAACAAATTTATTTGAAAAATATATTTTAGTCTTGTTATACTTGGCCTGAGTTTTTGCATTAAGTATAACAAGAATACTTATTTGTCATATAGGCTTTTTAAAAAAATTGGCTTTGCTGGAACTTTGTTCCATAGGAATCTCAGATTAGACTTTTTAAAGTCTTGAGCCCAGCCACAGATTTATCTGTGCCTACAAATATCTACATGGATTGAGTGATTTCCTCTCCTTGAGGTCCCAGGAAAACTTGAGACTCCTGGGCCCATCAGAAAGTGACATTCTTTACTTACCACAGGTCAGGACACCTTGTATAGTGACTGTATAGCCAAAGTATGAGACCAGCTTTCCCACGGGGATTTTTATTGGCTCTATAAGTCAACTTTGATTCCTTAAAGCAATCTGTTTAAACCTCGAAGTATGCCATTCCAGTCAAAACTTTGGTAAAATAACCAGTGTCTTAAATGATGTTCTGTTACAAAAGAAAACAGATTGTATTGAACTTATGCAAATAACTATAGTGCCATAAATTAAGTATACTTACAAATAGTTTTCAAATTCTGGAGAAACCAGGTAGAGAGAGAGAAATACACTCCAAATTTTTCTCATGGAAATGTACTTTATCCAATTGATAAACGCTGCAAATAGCTTTTTTTAAAAGGTTTTCTTGACTCTGAAAAACAAAACAAAAAGAATAAACAAATGTTTTAAAAAGTCATAAAATATTATTTCAATCTTCGGTTAGTTAAGTCCATTCAATTAACTTCTGTTCTGCCTTACATTGGATCAGGAATCCTCATGAACACATCAGTTCTCCATGAGAGTCCCAGAGTTTTTCTCTCTATTCCAATGGTGCAATCTCTACAGTTATCAGAAAGCAATATTTAAGGGTACTCCTCAAAGTTATATATCTGATTATAAACTGCTCTGTAAAAGGATCAAAGTAAAACAGCAATTGTGGATGATGAGTCTTAGAACAGTTATGGTAAAAGACACAATTGACTAGGAATTGGTTACTTCTGTGGCATATACCAATTTTACATAATAATCATAATTGCTACTGATAACATATACTAAGACATATTAGAATCACAGGAATCTCATACAATTTTGGTACTTATACTAATAATACATTTATATAAATATTATCCAAAGAAGGTTAAACACCATTTCATACTTGACAATGCTTCCTGTGTGATTTTAATGTGCCAAGTAAGCCAAATATGTCTCTTTTGGACTTTAGGGTATCTAATAGCTAAAAGGGATAACCAGGTGAATAAAAAGAAAGACTAAATTTAGAATTTGACTTTGGAAAGTTTGTTAAATATTAAAATTTTAAACACTTGGTATTACAAAATAAAATCCCCAGGTCACTATAACCAAAAGGGAAAAATCTTTACTCACTGATAGAGAGGAGACTCAGCTTTCCAAACAAAACCCAATAAAGACAGCATGAGGCCAGCTGAATCTGTCTCTTTTCTCTTCCCTTTTTTTGTCATTTATTCGAAAGGCAAGCAAAAACCTTTCATTATCTCTTAATATTATATGAAAATACTGTTCAAAACAGAAAGCCAAATTTTGCCTTTGCATTAATGTACTATTAACATTAAACCCAATTCTTACTAAAACAAACAAATCTATCTGATCTTAATTACTTTGACCATAAGGTAAGATTTCCATAAACCTTTTATAACCCTTTACAATTTTCTGTTAAACAGCATATCAATTCTCTAAGAAAACCCTGTTATTCAGACCAACAGGCTCAGATTCTGGCCCTGCATCAGGGTGCTTTTATTTCAATGTTTAATTTATGGAAGAGCTAGAAAATGTTCCTCAAATTTTAGCCAACTTGCTCACACTCACATAACTTATTTTATAAGATTAATCTTTCACAAATCTTTTGCAACTTATTTAAGCCTTCAGTTTTGTCCGATTACTGTCTTAGGTTAGGATGATCCTTAAAAATCTCTGAATTATACAAAATTACATCCCCTTTAACAAAAAACATATTTTCAAACCTTCTTATAACCTTTACCAAAAACACATTCTACTTTCCTTATACACCTTGCATGTAAAACTGTTTCTCCTGTAGTCTCAAGTACATGTTACAATGTCAACTCTTAATAACTTTTATTTTTGGTGAAAGACCTGTTAAGTAAGTGATTTTAATCTTGTATCAGATTGTAGAGCCCAGGACAAAGACAGACAATGTCTAATTCTGCCCAGCCTAGCCAGGGGACCTGGCTAACTCCATACGTCCCCAGGCCTTACCTAGAATTTAATGGCTGTAAAATAGACAGGTCAAATAATTACTAAAGAATCACAGAAGGAGTTTATGACCTCAAAGCATCTAGCAAATAGTATCTGACCTACCCTATTTAGACCAAATGTCTAAACTTTGAAGACATTTCTATTTAACTTTACCAATGACCTTTTAAACTGTCTTTATTTTTCAAAGATCATTAGAGTCATGTGACTTAAAGGCATTAAAGTTTCTATTTTTCTTACAATATATTTGATTTAAGCACATATTATTTTTAAGCCAATTAATTAGAGCTCTTTTGTATAAATATCACACACACAACACATATATACAGACAGAAGCAAATCTGGTAGGGTGAGAAAAGATTAGATACAAGAGGAAGGAGGAAGAGATAGGAGTAAATGGAAAATCAGACAGAATTCCATCAACTGAGAAGTTTATAGCAGGGGAGCAAGGGCTTTAAAACAGAATCTGTGCACATATAGCCCAAATATTAGCCTAATTATGTCATTTCCAATTACAGAGCTCTCAAAATAAAAAGTATTTTAAAATATTTTATTACCATATTGTAGCCAGGACAAATGGCTGGCATCTCTGGCTTTTGAGATTTTCATTTCTTCTTCCCAAAGATATTCTCTCAAGTGGAACCAATACCCCTTAACTCAGGTTACAACTTAACTACAGATGCATGAGGTATCTTCAAAGAATGGCAAACAATTTTCACAAGATCTAGAATTTCCCCTAAGGTAGCTCAGAGAAAATAAAATTCAAGACAGGAAATCAGAAGCCATCCATGGAGGGGAAAAGAATCAATAAATAGCAAAAGTTTCACAACTCTCAAACTAGAAAGGACTTATTCCCAAAGCCAGAACTGAACCTAGGCCACCAGTGTGAAAGGGTAAAGGCTTAGCTACGGAGCTATAGTACAAGGTGACTGCTATTGCTTTTCCAAGAATCTAGTGTAGTCATTTTTGAGCTTGCAAGGGACTTCATTCAAGAGAATTAAGGCTAGCTATAACATTATCATGTGCCCCTTTTAGACCCAAGAGTCAAAGCCCTGTAACTTAACAGCACAAGGACTTTAAAAGCAATACAGAAAGTTACATGGATGCAATAAGCTTTTCGAGTTCATAATTTGAATTCACTTTTGTATAACTTTTGAATTAGACAAAATCATTCTTTTTCCCATTAAGAACACATCTTCTTTGGAATATTTTATATAAACCTAAGAAGCATGAAATCCTGAACTGCCTGTCAGATACTAATATTTATAGATGAGAATCATTCCACAATTTTGGAACATGTTTCCCATATAATAACCCTTTCTTTTTCTTTTTTTTTTTTTTTTTTGCAACGGAGTCTTGCTCTGTCTCCCAGGCTGGAGTGCAGTGGCGCAATCTCGGCTCACTGCAAGCTCCGCCTCCTGGGTTCACACCATTCTCCTGCTTCAGCCTCCCAAGTAGCTGGGACTACAGGCGCCCGCAACCACGCCCGGTTAATTTTTTTGTATTTTTGAGTAGAGATGGGGTTTCACCGTGTTAGCCAGGATGGTCTTGATCTCCTGACCTTGTGATCTGCCCACCTCAGCCTCCCAAAGTGCTGGGATTACAGGCGTGAATAATAACCCTTTCTTAATTGGAACTGATCCAGACATACATTAAGCATCCAAAATGATTTTAAGATTTTATGTTATTTAAAAAGTTTACTTACAAGCATTTATCTCATTTATATGTACCTAATTTTCCCATTTTAAACATTTATTTAGAATTACCTTTGAAAATTGATATTACACAAAGATGGTCATTATTTTATTTCCCTGTTAACTGTTTTTAAAGCTTGTGAACATCAGGCGTTTAAGTAAGAATCTTAAAGTTAAACACGTGGTCATTTTGTCAATAAATTCACAATGTGTCCGGAGTTGGTTCCTTCTGGTGGATTCTTGGTCTCGCTGACTTCAAGAATGACGCCGTGGACCTTCATGGTGAGTGTTACAGCTCAGACCCAAAGAGTGAGTAGCAGCAAGAGCTATTGTGAAAAGCAAAAGAACAAAGCTTCCACAGCATGGAAGGGGACCCCAGCGGGTTGCTGCTGCTGGCTGGGGGTGCCCAGCTTTTATTCCCTTATTTGTCCCCGCCCATGTCCTGCTGATTGGTCCATTTTACAGAGGGCTGACTGGTCCATTTTACAGAGTACTAATTGGTCCATTTTACAGAGTGCTGATTGGTGCGCTTACAATTCTTTAGCTAGACACAGAGCACTGATTGGTGCGTTTTTACAGAGTGCTGATTGCTGCATTTACAATCTTTTAGCTAGACACAGAGCACTGATTGGTGCGTTTTTACAGAGTGCTGCTGCTGCATTTATAATTCTTTAGCTGGACACAGATCACTGGTGTGTTTACAATCCTCTAGCTAGACAGAAAGGTTCTCCAAGTCCCCACTCGACCCAGGAAGTCCAGCTGGCTTCACCTCTCAAGATTTAGCTGTTTTCATTAAACAATGTTAAATGCCTTACTTATCAAAAATTACATAAATAAATGTTATAAGAGTTATTAAGAAATTATTTTAGGCAGATAGAGAGGAAAAGGTGTCCTTGGAAGTTTTTGTTTCTTTTAACGCAGCTCCAGAAACGTTTCTTGTCTAATAGGAAAGCCCTGGCTCTCAGAGCAGGGCAGCAAGCTTTGATATGTAAATGCCTGCCATAAGAAACTGGGTCCACCCAAACTTGGTGATTTCCACTGCCTTCTTCCCCTTGCCCTCACATGTGCCTGGCAACATGGCCACCCCCACATATCACTATGTGTGTAGAACATCATGGCACCCTGCATTTACATATTAAAAGGGTAGGGTGGGAGGGCCAGGTTTTTCGCGGGCTACTACAGGAATGACATGCCTGGTCAAACCAACCCCCTGAGCCCTATGCAAAACAGACACCACCTCCTCTTGCCTCCTCATATAAGCAGCCACTTTTCCGCTGCCCTTGGGGTTTTCTCTTTGTTCTTATCCCCCCTCCCTCGGTCTCTGTATGGGGGAGCTGTTTTCTCCTTCCTGCCTTCCTTCTTTCTTGCCTATTAAACTTTTCACTCCTTAAAAACCACTCCGCGTGTGTCCGTGTTGTTCTATCAAAATCAGCGCGAGACTAAGGATCCTGGTGTTCCTTCAGTCATCAGAGCTGTGTTATAAAGATCATTCCATTTTGGGTTGGGCTTATAATTTTATAATTCTTATGCCAAATTTTGACACCTAATAATATCTGGCAGAGATAAATATGAAACCACTTGATCAATAAATTCAAACAAAAATGTATGTTGACAATTCTTAAGACACTTCTAATATTATTTTATCAATGATTTAAAAGCCAGCTTATTTATTAAAGATAAGCATTTGGGCTTATTCACTTAACTTATGAGTACTCCCTAACTTTAAGCCAGTGTGTACTTCGTGGCTAAAATACATAACAAGATACATATACATACACAGAAACACACACATACACTCTCAAAAAAGACAAGCAGGAAAGAAAATAGAGGAAGATACAGCCTAACCAGCCTTCATGTAGGAGGCAGGTTTTCTAAGTGAGGTGTGAGAAAAAAGGGAGAGGAAGAAAAAAGGTGGTGACCAAAAGGAAATTCTGGAGCCTTCTATTAATAGCCACCACACAGTGTGAGGCTGCTACCCCCACTATTCTCATTTATCTTCCATAAAGTAGGGATCAGGGTCCATACACAAAGTAATACATTTGCAAACAAATAGCCTGTTTCCAAATGAGTCCCAATCAAGGGGACTGGGTGAGATCCTGAATTCCCTTCCTCAGTTCTAAAGGGCTCCATGGGTCTCTGAGTCTGATCTGAGTAAAACTCCTATGGTACTGCAGACACAAACAAATACAAGCGCATAAAATGCTCAAATGGTGTCACTAACAGCCACGTCTTAAGTAGAGCACAGCCCTAGCAACACCCCAAAAGAGGTATAGGGTGGGTGGGCACATTTCCAACAAACTTACCCAGTTCCAAAATTTGCTGTTTTTTTTTTTTTCTTCTAGAGGTCACTTTCTTCGTACCAGTGAAGCACTGAAGGCAGCAAATATCGTGCCAGGAGGCAAAACAGATGTTCCCCCAAAACAAAAATGTTTATGGCAGCTGCTGGGAAGTTCTGTAACACTCCCATCACAGGGTCTGCTAGCCATGAGCATCTGGACCCACAGGCAACCCCCGACCTTGCCCAGTAGTGAAATTGAGTTGACAGGCTTGGATCACCCAGGGCAGGCAGCGTTCCCTACATGGGCCACCAAAATTGTAACCAAAATGCAGGTTAGTTGCTCGCCACTTACAGAGAGTCCTATTAACAAGGGCAATGTATGGTATAAAGAAAGTGATTTATTTTCAAAGGTAGCTAAGGGGAAGAAGCACAGGTGTCCCCTTTAAATGTACCACTTCGCTTTTGGAGCAGAAAGCAGGCACTTTTAAAACGCAGGGTGGGGCGGGGGGCAGCAGTGAGCAAGGCAGCGGGGTCTATGTGTTAGCTCCAGTGCCTTATCTATTATGCAGTAGGTCACTGGTGACCACTGGTGCCTTTATGGGCAGGACTAGGCCAGAAATGCCCCAGATGGGGGAGAGTTTTATAGCTCTTGAGGCGGCTTCCTGGTGAGGGGGAGTCTCATAGAAATCAGCGGTATCTCTTGAGGCAACTTCCTGAGGGGCGGGAGTTCCACAGCAGGCATACTTTGGTCTGTAAATCAACTGTTAATTTTCAAGGAGTTAGATGAACTTGCCCTGTAGGGAGTATCTGGTGAAGGCGGGTGGGGTAAAAGGCTATATTTGCATTTCTAAAGGGCTAAGTAGGAAGTGGGGAACCAGGGAAATGAGAAAAGAAGAGAGAAAATATAATCATTAAACTACTTTTTAGAAAAATGGGGGTACCAGTTACATATACATGGTAGCATACTGTTCACATTGTGCTGCACCTGTTTTGTTTATTTGTTGCTTAACAGTACCTATTGGTGCTAGACCCGTAGCAATACATACAGAGCTGCCTTTTTCTTCTTAATGACTGTTAGTTGCTGTTTCTTGACCTCAAATTTGTTAGGAATTGCAGTTTGCAGCTTCCCTTGTACATAGGGTGGCTACATACCTGGTTGTGGTCACTGAGTTATATGCATGAGTGTATTGGGTGGGGCTTCTGGGAAAGATGTTGTTTTCCAGATAAAAAGAGGCAGACTTTCTCCCCTTCCTCCTTCTTCCTCCTAGAAAGCAGCTATGATGCCCCCAGAGCACAGCAGCCATGTTGTGAGCATAAGGAAGGAAGTTCACACTCAGGATGCTCAAGCTGAGGAGTGGAAGGTGACAGGGCAGAGCCATCGCATCTGTGCTGGGCCACCTATCTCTGGACTTTGTATTACCTGTGAAAGGAAACTCCTTATTTATGATACTATTTAATTGTCTGGATGTATTATTATTTATTTAACTAGTCTTCTATAGATGAAAAATTCTGTGATTAAAAAAAAACCTTGTACTATGCTGCTTTTCCATGTATAAGAATATTATCTATCTATAGGGTAAATTCTTATAATTAGATCCACTGAGTCAAAGGTAGATATATCTTTTTTTATTATTATTATTTTGAGACGGAGTTTCACTCATTGCCCAGGATGGAGTGCAATGGCATGATCTCAGCTCACTGCAACCTACGCTTCCCAGGTTCAAGCAATTCTCCTTCCTCGGCCTCCCAGGTAGCTGGGATTACAGGCATGCACCACCATACCTGGCTATTTTTTATTTTTATTTTTAATAGAGATGGGGTTTCACCATGTTGACCAGGCTGGTTTTGAACTCCTAACCTCAGGTGATCCAAGAGGTAGATATATCTTAAACTTTGGTTGGCCTTGCTGAGTTTTTCTCCATAGAGATTATATCAATTCTTGGAGAATTCTTAATGTGCTGAGGAAAAGTCATCGATATTAAGGCTTCCTGACATATATGATAAAAAATTAACTCTATTTTAGAATTTCTCCTGGTAAAGTAATTTGCTTTTCTCCTTTGGAAGGAGGGCGGCTTCAATAGACCCTATAACAAGAGTATAAGATACTATAAGATTCACATACTAATTGAAAGGAATTTATGAAAGCAATCATGAACTGTGAAATCCTTTCCCAAAATTGACCTTAGGGCCATATATCAGATACAAATCATATTTCCTTTTAGCGAAGACCCTCTTCCCTTCTTTTCTAACACAACAGGCTACTGATGCAATTCAACAAACATATTTTGGGCACCTACTGGGTGTCAGGCACCAACCTTGGTGCTGGAAAAAGAGGGATGCTATAGTGGGTTGAATTATTTCCTTCAAAAAGATCTGTTTATATTCTACCGTCTGGTACCTGTGGATGGGACCTTGTTTGGAATAGGGTCTTCGAGTAAGTCAAGTTAAGATGAGGTCATACGGAGTTAATGTGGGCCTTAAATCCAATGATTGGTGTCTTTATAAGGGAAAGGAGAGGGAGATTTGGATGTATAGACACAAAGTGAAGAAAGCCATGCAAAGACAGAGGCTGAGATTGGTTATGCTGCCATAAACCAAGGAAAGCCAAGGATTGCCAGGAGCCACCTGAATCTGGGATGACACAAGGAAAGATTCTTCCCTGGAGCCTACAGAGGGAGCATGGCCTTGCCAACACCTTGATTTCAGACTTCTAGCTTCCAGAACAGTGAAAGAATACATTTCTGTTGTTTTAAGCCACCCAATTTGTGGTACTTTGTCATGGCAGTCCTAGCAAACAAACACAGACACCAGAGTACATTACCTTCTAGGAAGTGGAGGGGCCACTATTTCCTTCATGACTTTAGTGATGTTCCTAGCATGTGTGTCTATGATCAACCCAGTCACACTGCATGGATCATTGTCTGTTTCATGCCTATCTCCCCCGTCTAGGTTGGGTTTCCTTGGGGGAGTAACTCTATCTGATTTGTTCCTTTATCTCTAGAGTTGGGGAAAGTGGCTGACACTTGGCAAGTGTTCACTAAATATGGCCAAGCTCTGTATCGGTTCATCAATGAATCATCTTTCTTGAGAGGAGGAGGAGCCTGGGCAGCACCTTAGGGCTGAAGAGTTCTGTCATCGCCAGACACACACTCACTGTGAAGAGTTCTGTCATCGCCGAACATGCACTTGCTGATTTGCTACCACTGACCTGGCTCTGGCTCCTCACTTTCCCCTTTCTGCCAATGAGATTATTCTTACTGTCACCAGGACAAACATAGTCACCTTTGCCCCCTTCCCATCCCCTGCCAGGCACTAGTTTCTGCCCAGCCTTTTTTGTCTTGTCTCTGGAGCCCTTTCTCCTTAACACCCTCCCTGGCACCCCATCCTCCCCTGTGACCCCACTCTCCTTGGTGACCCCAATTTTCAGCTCCATGCTGATAATCTCTAGAACCTTATCATGGGCTCAGATGACATGACTTCCAGACTCATCTCTGCAATCCTGCCTCACATCTCTGCCAGTTCATCTTGGAGGTGCTGAACTCAACCTGTCTACCTGATCTCATAATTTTCCCCACCAAACCTTCACCTCCTCTAATGCTTCCCATATAACTACACTGTTTAAAACTACAGGAATCCTAGATATTGCAAAAGAACTCCTTTCCATGGTTCACACAGCCCTTCACAATCTGACCTGCTTCCAGCTTTTCTGGCTTGCTTTGCTCCTCCCACATTGAAGGGTCCTTCAGTTCTTCAAAATGGCTGACCCTCTTCTACCTCCTGACCTTGGCACTTACTGTTCCCTCTGCAGGAAATATTCCTCTCTCCCTTCTTATTCTGACTGCCGTCAATTCATTCTTCCCATCTGTGTTTAAGTCCTCCTTCCTTGGGGAAGATTGATTTTTATAATCATCATCCACATCACTGAATCTCCCGTTGTGCAATTCCATTGCACCTTGACCTTCCTCTTTCTAACATGCCTCACACTGGTAATTGTTAGTTTTAATATCTATATTCATTTATAGATGGCAAAATTGTTTTTTTGTTGTGTTTTGTTTCGTTTTTGAGACGGAGTCTTGCTCTGTTGCCCAGACTGGAGTGCAATGGCATGATCTTGGCTCACTGCAACCTCCGTCTCCCAGGTGCAGGAGATTCTCCTGCCTCAGCCTCCCAAGTAGTAGCTGGGATTATAGGCACCCACCACCATGCCGAGATAATTTTGTATTTTAGTAGAGATGGGGTTTCACCATGTTGATCAGGCTGGTCTCGAACTCCTGACCAGGTGGTCCACCTGCCTCGGTCACCCAAAGTGTTGGGATTACAGGTGTGAGCCACCATGCCCAGCCTAGATTGCAAAGTTGTATAAGGCTAGGGACCACTATATCTCCAGAGCCTAGCACAGTCCTCTCCACATTTTAGGTGTTCGATATATGTTTGTCTAATGAATGAGTGAATCTCCAGGAGACATAGTAAATGCTAACTAAAAATTGGTTTAATTAATCAATGTAAATAAATTGTTATATATGTCAGTTGCAATCACTCTACTTTAATCCTTTATCAACTCAAAACTGGATTTTTGCAATGTCACCTTTACCAGTCTCTCTGCTTCAACTTACACTGTGTAATTACATTCAGGTCAACTGTTGCAAAGCATCACTTTCATTAGGTAACTCTCCAGAAGAAAATTCATTCACAGCTCCCCAGTACATTTAGAGCAAAGTCCAAACTCCATGGCTATGCTGATCCCTACAAAATATTTAGCATAGACTTCAGATGCTGTGTGCTAGAGTTAAGGTGGCCACTCATGGGCTTCTGTGGGCTAGCCTGGTGTTGAACCAGCATTGTGTGTTTGGAGAAAGCATCCTGTTTACAAATGAATGTTTGGAAATGCAGCCTGTTATTAGGTATGAGGTTGCTTGGTGTTTGAAGTTGATTGTTCCTAAAGGTCACCAGGCAATGTCTCCAAGCAGTCAGCACATGGGCTTTCAATCATCTTTAACTAGTAGTCATGCTTGGGAGGGCTTAAAAGAGTAAGAGAATACGTTTTGCATGTATTTGCATGGCTTACTCTCCTGAAGCTTTCAAATTTTAAATGAAATGATTACTTGTTTGCCTGATAACTTTTTAAAAATAGTAGAAAGCCCATTGTCCTTAGGCTTAAGAATAGCTGGGTCTGACCTTTCTTCATTTGGAAGATGCTGTCTCTGCAGCCTTTGTGGTTTCAACTTGCTGATTACAGCTTGTGTAGGTGGGAGGAGGCATGGCTAGTGGTTTCTTTTTGGCTGTGGGTATAATTGTTGGTCTGGGTATGAACCGTGATCCAGCCTTACAAGCAGCTGGCAGCCCCTAGCTTAAACCATCTTTGGGTACTTCCTCTCAGACATGCCTAGCCAGAGGCACACAGATGGAGGTCTGAGCAAACTGGAAAGCTGGAGGCTTTAGCTTTGGCATGTGAGTGTTCATTTTCTACTCCCTCCTACCTTTGGGCATCCACCATTCATGCTATCTTAAGCCCTCTTGCCCATCAAAGCCCTCTTGCAAATCATCCAGTGTCAGTTCGTTATGTTAGAGAGACAGGATAGCGTGCTTAAAAGGGAGACCTCTGGTGTCAGCCAAAGCTGGATTTTCATCTCTGTTGTACTATGAACTGTGAACTTTGGACAATTTAGTTAACCTCTCTAGCTTCAGTTTCTTCATCTGTACAATGCAGGTATTAGCATTTAGAGCCATGTTGAGGATTACATGCAATGACTTGAGCAAACATCTGCCTGTGATACAGTAAGTTCTCACTAAGCATCAGCTATTATTATTAAACATGTTTTAGTGTGACTGAGTTGAATTGGGTTTGAATTTTAAGCTTGGTTGCTAGTCTGAAGAGGGAGGGCTTTATTGCTAGAGCCACTGGGAAGATGTGGGTGGCTGTGAAAGAGGTGTGTTAGGAAAAGCTTCCTCCCCTAGATTGGCCAATAGTGGCATGCTATAGTACTGAAGACCTAGTCCCAGGAGTTGCTGGGCCTTGAGGGACAGACACAGGCCTAGCTTTTTTGGGGCACCCTGGAACATGAAGCCACCCTGACTCCATCCTAGGATGAGTCTTCCTGACTCATTACGTGTCAAATGTCACCTTCTCCATCCCCTATCCTGCTTCTCTTTCCCTACATTCTGGAACAGAGGATGTTTGAAATTCAGAATTCACTTCTGAATTATGCCTTGTTCTACCACTCCTGGGTGGGCTGTCCCAATCTACGTGCTATTTTGACCATGCAGGTAATCCCCTTTCACACATACACAGGGCCTTGTAGCCAGGGTTCCTGTGACTTCAGGCCTGGGACATAAATGGGAAAGGTGTTCCAAGTCCCGATGGGAAGCAGAGCATCAGGAAATCTGGGGTGTGGCCAAGGGACCTGGACAGATGCCTGAAGTCAGGGGAAGAGGTTTCTGGAAGTTCAGGCATCAAGACAAGGGTGAGGAATATGAGGTGCATCGCAGGGATGACCTAATTAATTCTGCTTTGTGGAGAACTCTCAAGCTTGCATGTAAAAGACTCCTGCCCACAGCATCTTAAAGACAACAGACGTCTGACTTCGCTTCCTCCCACCCCCGGAACTGGACCAGCATTGCAAGCCACTCTTGGATTTATTGTTCATAGGAATGGCATCTACACTTTCTGTTTGTCAAGCACTAACTATGTGCTGGGAATACATTCATTGAATGCATTCTCTTCTTGAATCCTTACAACAAATCAATAAATTAGCTACTATTATTACCTCCATTTTACAGATGAGGAAATGGAGGCTTACTAAGTGGCTTAAGGTTAGCTAAGGTCACTGAGCTAGGTAGCTATCCTATATTTGGCTCATGGCCAGTTCAAGCTTGGAATCATCTCACTGCACATACTACTTCCTGATTGTTGTATTGGTTACAGGCTACTGGTGTTTTTGCAATGGGACAGAAATTTTTGGACCCCAAACATTTCAGAAAGGCTCACGCCTGTTGCTCCTTCATCTTCCCTCCATGTGTGACTTGCATTGGCTATGACTGAGTCTCCACTGCTCACCTGGCTCGGATTGTGACCTGCCCTTGTCAGGATGTCTGTTCTTCCAGTTTGAACTTTCTTAGCTGCCTGATTCCCACCTCCAGTTACCCCTGTGCCTGTGCTGTCTGCTCAACAGCAGCCCATTTATGCTTCTGGTATCTGTTCCCAGAAGGGCCTTGTCCTGGCCTCCTTCTCTAGGCCTCTGGTCAGTCTACATTGCCGCTTCTCTCTCTTTCACCTCCAAGGCCGCTGATCATGACATCTCTCATTCCCTGGGTGTATCTCTACCCCAGCCCAGGCCCTTGAGGACTGGCTCTTCTGCTACAGTGAGTTCTCCCTGCCTAGACGACAGAGCCAGGGAGAGAGAGTGGGGGTTCGTGGGACCCAGGTCTATAGAGTTAACCTCTACCTTTGTCTTTTGCTTAATTATTAAAATGCATATTACAGTAGAGACAATGGGGACCACCGTGTTTGATTACAAACACACAGGAAAAATTGTAAACACTTGTAGCAGGTCAATCACTTATTTGTTAGTACACCCATCACACTCATACATTGCATTTCTGTGTGATTATCATGTAATCAATCAATGAAAAATTTGTCCTTGGATAAAATAGCATGTTAGCTTTGTTAGGTTAATTTTAGTTTTTATTTATTTACAACCCTAAACTCTATCTTATATAGCCTTGCCCTTCCTGGATAGATAGTGATTGACTGTATTTATTTGGCCACAACTAAAGCTTACTAGGTAGTGTTGGTCTGACTTATCATGTCGGTGCTTTGCTGGGGAACTTCCCAGAGAGAGTTCACAGCCCTGAGAGTGAGTCCAAAGGAGGAGGCTTCCCCTACCTTCTCCACAACAAGAACAAACATGCCTATGTGAAAATAGAGTAGGAAGGGCACCTCATCCCAGCAGAATGTGGAGGGGACATATTTCTGGGTGATTCTGGTCAATGCTTCTACCATTGTAGAAGAGACCCATTTTGAGTCTACATTGTGATTGATATTGACTAATTAGCCAGGTTTGTGTTACTTAATTTCATTTGTTAGTGTAGATTTTTCCTTAAGAAACAATAAAAGCAATCCAGTTCAGGATTTTATTCTTGGATGAGGAGCTGGGCTGAGGACATGATCCCTGTTTGGTGTAGATGGAACCCACTCAATCACCAAGTCATTCCGCAAGGGCAGGGGCAATGCTGGCCAAGTCTGCCCTCTGACAAGGGGACACTGAAAGTGATCAAATTGCTGGGATGGGGAAGAGGCCTCTTTAGCAATGACCTGGGCAATATGCATCTCTGCAAATTGAGGGAGGGAAAGAGAGCTCTAGAGGCCAAGCCCGCAGGCCAGGGTGGCTCACTTTCACTTCACTGCCTGTCGAATCAGGCCCCAGGAGTGTCTTCCACAAGCCTGGCACTAATGTCACTTCACTGAGCCCTTACTGTAAGTATCAATAGTTAGTAATAGACTGATCCTTTATTCCTCCTTTATCCTTGGTAGTGGCCCTTTGACAATATAAGAGATTACAGATGTGTGAGAGAGAAATTTGCCCAACTGCACACCATTCTCAAATATTTATTTATTCTTTTCCAGCTCTGGTTAAATTTCTAAACTAAAGGGAAGGCAGATGGCTTCTTAAAAATAAAAATAGACTTCATTCCCCGAAGTTGCCCAGCCTTGTTTGAAGGGCTGAACCTGGTGTTTGAAAGATTCTGAAGACACGCGTGTAGTTTTATGTTGCATGCTGCAGTGAGATGGACAACCATAGATCTGTGAAAATGACCACGGGAAAGCTCAGGATACTCCAGAGAACAGACTCCCAGGGGCCTTCCTGCCATGCCCATGATCAAGGTCTGCAGGAGGAACAGGATTGTGGGAAAGAACAAGAGCATGAGACCCAGACTGTTTTGGGGCTGAATCTTGGTCTAGCTGTTGTGTGACCTTGAGCCTCAGTGTGCTCACCTGTAAAACGAGTTGCATGAAGACTCAGTGAAATAGTGTGTATTAGTGATCTATTGCTGTGTAACAAATGACCCCAAAACTTAGTAACTTAATACAGCACCATGGGTTATCTCACAGTTTCTGTGGCTCAGGAATCTTGGTGCAGCTTAACAGGTCCTCTAACTCAGTGGCTCCTGAGACAACAGTCAGGGTGTCTTCTGGGTTGCAGTCATCTCAAGGTTCAGTGGGGGAAAGAGCTGCTTGCAAGCTCACTCATGTTGTTGTTAGCAGGCCTCAGTTTCTGTTGGGCCTCCTCCCTCTGACTGATGCTCAGGACTGTGAACTTCCTCTGGGAATTTCCCCAGCAAAGCACCAATATGTTAGGTTAGACCAACCCTACCTAGTAGGTTTTCACTGTGGCTGAATAGATATGGTCAAACAATATCTGTGGCCTCAGGTCCTTACAGCAGTTGGCTGGGGATGGTCCTCATTCCTTGCCCTGTGGGGGTCTCCAGAGGGCAGCTCACAACAGCAAAGCTTGTTTCCTGAGAGCAAGTCCTGGAGAAGAGCCAGAGGGAGAAGGAATTCCAGCAAGAAGGAAGTCACAGCCTTTTATAACCTGACCTCAGAAATACAACCTATTTCACCTGCCCTATTTTATTGTGAAGCAAGACACAGTCTGCTCACAAAAACAAGGGACTGTAGAAGGGTGTGAATGCCAGGAGGCAGGGATCATTAGGAGTCATTTGCAAGCAGCCTACTGCATGATGTGTGCATACAGTGTGTATCCTTGCTTCACATGGCGGGCACTCAGTTAATGTTAGCAGCCTCCCTGCTCTAGTTTACATGGACTTTTAGAGCTCCTGTGCTATAATGGCAACTCTGCTTGGATGAGGTATAACCTGTGGTCCTTGGGAATCTTCTGCAAGCCACAGAGCTACACGGATTTTTCAGTCTTCCCCTCCTGGCAGTGTGGCCTATGAGGAGAGTATGAGTCCACATAGTGGCCAGCGCTAAGCCCAGAGGTAGCCGGTCCCTTCTTAGGTAGTTCCTGCTGGAGTCCAATATACCAGAGACAGATTTTGCCTTCACCAGGACATACGGAGCTCTTACAATGTTCTGGGAAGCATCAGGAAGCAAAACACATTGAAGGTCCTGCTCACATGGATCTTGCATGTTAGTGAGGGCAGATAGACATCAAGCAAAACAAATAAGAACAACACAGGCATTTCCCTCCTCAGGCTGTACTGCCTGATGGGCTTTTCCTGCCTGCTGCACAAAGACCACAGCATTGCAGTAAAGAAAAACTTTAATAGACGCAAGTCTGGCCACGCCATGTAGGAGATGGAGTTAGTACTCAAGTCAGTCTCCCCAAAGGCCCTTAGTTCCTAACTAAGGGTTTTTCAAAGGCAGTTTGGGAAAAGGGGTGGAAGTGACTATGGAGTGGGTGCCTGCTGCCAGTTGTTTGGGTGGATATGAAATCATAGGAGATTGAAGATCTCCTCTAATACTGAATTGCTGCCAGCAGGGATCACCAGAGGGAGGTTGGCAGGTCCAGGTGGAGCCATGGGTGTCAGACATGCAAAAATCCTGAAAAGATATCTCAAAAGGCCAATCTACAACAGTGGTGTTATCTGCAGGAGTGGCTGGCAATCATTTGTGTCTACGTCTTAGCCGAATCAGGCTCCTCTCTTCTCCCTAGCCTAATGGGCTTTCATTAGATTTACAAAGGCGATTGAGTTTAGGGGAACACCTGTCATCATTTAAACTATAAAGTAGATGTGTCTCAAAGTTAACTTGGCCTAAGCCCAGGAATGATTAAGGGAAAGGCAAGATGGGGTTGTCGGTTAAATCAGATCTCTTTTACTGTCATAATTTTCTCATTCATATAATTTTTGCAAAGGCAGTCTCAAGATCAGCAATCTGTTGCTGAAAATTAGACATTCTGTGCAAAAACCCAGCCTGGAAGTCCATTTCTCCTTATGTTAAATGGAGGAAATGGTGATGTGTTACAAGAACACCAAAACCTCTAGCCACTTCCCTAACACATAACCTAAACACAGTTAACACCTGTAGAATATATTATTATGAATGCCTAAATCATCACTTGTCTTGGTCTCTAATCAATTAACAAGGTTGTTAACAGTCATCCTGTGTGCAGCAACAAATCCGTTTGCACACCATGCCATACATAGCCTTACCTTTTTTTTTTTCTTTTGAGATGGAGTCTTGCTCTGTTGCCCAGGCTGGGGTGCAGTGGCATGATCTCGGCTCACCGCAACCTCCGCCTCCTGGGTTCAAGTGATTTTCCTACCTCAGCCTCCCAGATAGCTGGGATTACAGGGGCCCACCACGTCCAGCTAATTTTTGTATTTTTAGTAGAGACGGGGCTTTGCCATGTTGGCCAGGCTGGTCTCGAACTCTTGACCTCAGCTGATCCACCTGCCTCAGCCTCCCAAAGTGCTGGGATTACAGGTGTGAGCCACTGTGCCTGGCCCATAGCCTTACCTTTAAGGTGAGTCCTGGCAAATAAATAAGACGTATAGCCAGTAATTTAATACTTTTAAGCAAAAATATGGGTAAAATTTACAGTAACTTTTTATTTTTAGAGTAAAAAATAAAGCAATTTCCTGAAATGAACTGTTATTCACTAAGCAAAGAATTTTGAGACTGGAGAGAGAAAAACCTCGAGATGCACAGTCCTTGCTGTCACGCAGCTTGCCTTTCAAAACACCTGCACACACTTCTGACATTCTACCAATTGTATTTCTATTGTAACTGGAGATTCTCCTGCACATCATTTTACTAAAGATGTCACATTGAGCTAGCAGGACATAAGTGTACATTTTTCCTATATTATTGTAGACTGAAGAAAATATTGCTTTGAGAGATGTACATATTCTTTGAAGTTTGGATACTAAAGACCAGAGGGACCCCACTGTTAGAATATTAACTTAGAGGGGGATCTCTTGAGATAGCCCCTGTAAGTTAATATTCTAATGGTAGGATAGAGGCAGTGAGATATGCCACAGGGAAAACTAAGTGAGGGAGGGGGTAGGTAACAAGTTGCAATTTGAAATAATGTAGCCAGCAAAATGGGGGGTGTTTTAATAGAATCCTAAAGGATAAGAAGCAAGCAATGTGAATTTGGTGTGGGGGAGAGTACCTTAGGTAGACAGAATAGCAAATGCAAAGCCTGTGAGGCAGAAGGTGCTCTAGAATGTTCTAGAAAAAGCAACGGGGAGTGGGTTCCCCTGTGAGCACAGTGAGGCAGCCTAGCAGGAGATGTGATCAGAGACATAAGGATGGTGGGTGGGGGAGGGCTCCACACCATTTTTACCCTGAATGAGAATGGAAGCCACTGGAACGTTTGCGCTATTCTCAGTCTTAGAGTAATTGGAGATCTTCAAGGGTAGGGCAGGGTTGCTGCCTCCATCTCCAACCAATTAAGTTGTGGCCGCCACATTTTCCCTGCTGAACCGAGATCTGCAGCAAGCAGGAGGGCATGGACTGAGCACAGGGAGATATAAAGAATCCAAGCAGCATTGGGCTTCACCCTGACCTCCCTCAGAAAATGGCTTGGGTGCAGAATGTCCAGGATGAGCATTGGGGGGAGTTTGCTCTCCATAGTTTTCTTGCAGGGAGGGGCGCATGCCAGGGCTTATTGCCCAAGAGGCACCAGAGGCAGTCAATGTGCGGGGATTTTACAGGTGCTGGGAAGGGACCTCCCTCTTTATTTCCTCAAATATGGCCCACTTGATTGCCCTCCAACACAGTTCTGAAGCCATCACTCCTCCCCCTTTTGTATGTAGGGTTGACCATGGAATCCACATGCAGAATGCATTTAGGGGGTAAGTAGGGAGGGTAGGAGTTGCTCAGAAGGACCTGCCATGCTCAGTGCTTTATGTACATGAGCTCACCTAGCTCAGCAACCTGATGAGGTCATTATTTTTATTCCCATTTTATAAGTGAGAAAACTGAGGCTCAAGAGGTAGAGTAACTTATCCAGCATTAAAGAACAAATAAGTTTACTATGTGGGGTTCAAACCCTGGAGCTTCTGATGGCAGAGCCAACCCTCTTCACACCGCTCTGCACAAACTGACACATGGCCAGCATTGACCTCAAATATCATGGCTGATTGATGGGATTAGACAAAGTCAGGGTCAGGGCTGCTAGTGGTCGGGTGTTTTCCCCTGACAACAGGTCTGTGAGGAATACCCAAGGGCAGAGGATAAGCCTGTTTGGCAGGGAAGGGCATGGGGGGCTTAGAGTGAGTGGCAGGTGGGGGCTGGATATAAATGCGGGAATAAAGTGTTTCCTGTCTTCTTGGGAGAACAGGGCCAGTCACCCTTCTGGCTTCCCCAGTGGGTGGTCCACCTCCTGCCCCACCGCATTGTGCCTTCATTGTATTTAGCTTGGCAATCTTTTAAATTAATGATGTAGAGTTCTCTAAATGAATCCTGCCACCAATGCTCACACATTTCAGGGAAAGATCCATTGCTTGGGAGTTAGTGCTAAAGAAAAGCCATTTTATAAGAAATTTGGTTCCATTAGCCATGTAAAAGAAAATGGGAAAGAAAGGAGTGTTAGACATTCTCCCTTTCCTGTTTTTCATGACAGAGTGATTCCAAATAAACATGGAGTACAAAATCACAGCTGGTTTTTCTTTTAATGCTGAAGTATGGGAAAATCTTTAATTTTTACCAGTCCTGGGGGCTGAAGGTATGAAACTTTGCTAAATAGGATGCACCCACCAAGGATATTTTATTAGCTCTACTCTCCAACGGTGCTTTCAATTTTAAAACAGTTGCTTTAAAAAGCCTCTGGGGGCAGGCACAGCAATCTCAGTTAATCCTATAATAATAAAAACCAGCCGCTAAAATGCTGCTGTAACAATAATGACCAACACACAGGCTTGAAGATGGATTGCACGGAGGATTTCCTGCCAAGGAGTATTAGGGAGGCACCATGACTCCCCCTCCTTCCTTAGCAAGCAGTCCAAGGCTGAGCCTCCCTGTCTGGGCTTTACTGAGCTTGCCTGGAGGCAGAGATACATGAGGTAACCCCCCAGCATCCTTTTGCATTCTGTGGGTCTGAAAATATCCCAGGTGACCTCATCTATCCCGGTGGGAACTGCCTTTTCCATTCGGGGTTGACTGGGTGAAAATTCAACAAAGTTATTCAACAAATATTTACTCCACAGTCACCATTTGGAAAGTCTGGGGCGAGTTTTGGGAGGGGAAAGGATGAAAAATGGGTCATTGATCCTATATTCAAAGAACTGAGGTCTAATGAGAGACAGAGGGATGTTCCTAGGAACCTAGTGCCAAATGAAACAGGTAGGTGGGAAAAGCTGCAGCCACTTGTGCAGGGCGTTAGGAGGAAAGAATCATCTGTGATGGGTCCAGGGATGAATAAAGGCTTCCGGAAGAGGCAGCAACTGCGATGACTTTTTGAAGAGCAAGGGGATTTTGGTGGCTGGAGAAGGGCAGAGGAGCTCCAGGTTGAGGAAATGGTAAGAACAGAGACATAGGGCTGTGGGGTGTGGATCTGTGTAGTTCCTCCTGGCAGCATCAGTAGAGTCAGGAGATGTGTGGAAGACGGTGCCGGAGGCGTGAAAGAGGAGGGGCCCAAGACAGACAGCCTTGAAGCCACACTCAGGAGTTTGGACTTTACCTTGTAGATGACAATGAAGATTTGAAAGGAGGGAATGGGCTAAACCTTAGGAAAGCAAATCCGATGACGGTGAAATTAAAAAGAAAAATACATTTTAGATGCATCTTATATTTTGTCTACAAGGTCACAGGAACCTGGTTTTGTCAGTCCATCTCAGGAATAGAGTTCCATATGGGAAACTGGTGTTAAGGCAGCCCAAACACCTCCTCATTTAGATCCCAAACACCATAGGGCCATTTTTGTCCTTTAGTCATCTAGGAAGCCAGGCATGCACTGGAATTTTCCAGGGAGGTTCCCTTCATAAGTGGCCATTGATAGTATTGAAAACAGAATTCTGAATTCTAGGCCCTGAGATTGTGAAATGTCTCTGTGTGGTTTGGCTCCACTGCTGGTGTCCAGTTTTACATCACTGACTTTATAAGGGCCTTAGGTATCGTGAGAAAGGATTGGCCATAACCACATATGTGTGCGCTCAGGCACACACACACACATACACACACATAACGGGAATTGATGTGAAAATCCACTTTCCAGAGTTGTGTTCTCGGATAGGTATATATTGATCCCAGAAATATGTAACCACACTGATGTCTAACATGAGCCCTGACCAGCATGTGTTAAAAAAAAACAAGACTTTTTTACCCTTTAAATATAGAGTTTTAGAAATGTAGCAAGAGGAAAAAAAAAGACTGAGAAGAAAAGGAATTGGCCAGAAAAATAGATTGTAGAAATTCAAAGGGCAAAGTATTCTCTTGCAGTTCGGGAGGTCTGTGGCCGGTGGGTTGGATGTGGATGCCAGGCATTTGCTGGCAGCCTAAGGTGGAGAGAAAACCTGGTCCAGATTGTCAGGAAGGGAAGGGGGACCCCAGGCGGGAGGCAGAGCCAAGGAGCGTCCTGAGGATTGGAGTCAATGTGGGCATAGGAAGCGCCTCGCCAGACACCCAGAATCTTCCCAGGAGCTAGGATTGCCATAGGCAACAAAAATCACAACCAAAACAACAAGAAGAACCAAAGCTTGGAAGCCCAGCTAAATTTGAATTCAGATAAACAAGTACTTTTTTAGTACAAGTGTACAATATTTGGGACACACAGTAAACATTATTTGTTGTTTATCATAAATTCGAAGTTAACTGGGCATCCTGTACATGGTCTGGACAAGACCTAATCACGAAGCATCACTCAAAGCAGGAGTGCCTGGGAGCCAGGCCTCAAGGCCACCATCAAGGGCCACAGTGTGGGATCAGGGGCCCTGGGTCAGCCCCGAGCACAGGGTCGGCTAAAGCTGCCTGTGGCAGCGCGAAAGGAGACTAAGTTTCTGAGATGATCTGAAGGAGTCTGTACAGTACCGGCCAGCTGTGAATATGCCTCCATCATTTTCATGACGAATTATTTTTTTCTCATTGATTTTCATGCAGGTTGAGTTTTATTTGCAAGACCATTGGAGGCTATTTCGCTTCTTTTGATTTCATTTGTTTTTTTCACCCTGCCTTGTACTCTACTCCTTAGTCATTATGCACAAGCGACGTTCTATCATCATTAGCTGAATGTATTGTGTCCAAACTCACTCTAGGCACAAGCCTTGGGGTGGTTGGCATTGAAGACAGGAATTCTTTCTCCTGATCCCCCGCAATTGCTTTGGTGCAGGGCTGGGTGTGTGAGAGCTTAGGTGGCTATGGAAGCAAAGTCAGAGCGACCCTGTCATTTCTTCTCCCATCAATTCACCTCTTCAGAAATTCATTCAACAAATACTGACCGAGGAGCTACCATGTTGGTTGGTGCATCCCAATCTCAAAGAGAACAGAAGAGAAGCAGGCATGCTCCTTGCCCTTGAGGAAGCTCTATTTCTTTCTTTCTTTCTTTCTTTCTTTCTTTCTTTCTTTCTTTCTTTCTTTCTTTCTTTCTTTCCTTCCTTCCTTCCTTCCTTCCTTCCTTCCTTCCTTCCTTCTTTCTTTCTTTCTTTCTTTCTTTCTTTCTTTCTTTCTTTCTTTCTTTTTTTTTTTTGAGGTGGAGTTTCGCCCTCGTTGCCTGGGCTGGAGTTCAGTGGAATGATCTCAGCTCACCGCAACCTCTGCCTCCTGGATTCAAGCGATTCTCCTGCCTCAGCCTCTGGAATAGCTGGGATTACAGGCACCCGCCACCACACCCAGCTAATTCAGCTAATTTTTTTTATTTTCAGTAGAGACGGGGTTTCACCATGTTAGCTAGGCTGGTCTCGGACTCCTGACCTCAGGTGATCCACCAACCTTGGCCTCCCAAAGTGCTGGGATTACAGGCGCGAGTTACTGTGCCTGGCCAGAAGCTCTATTTCAACAAGTACTTCGTGTGGGGTGCAGGGGTGTCCGTGGGGGGAAAGGTTGAGGGAAGAGGTAGCTATTTGCGACCCGAAACGCGGTGACAGCGAGAGGTCAGTGCTGGGCAGACAGATGAGTGAATATTAATACAAGAGTGTGCAGGTGATAGAAAGTGGGTGTGTCTGAGGACCTGAAAGGAATTCAGGTGGGCCAGAGCATGGGCTGCCAGAAAGCAACAGAGAGAGGAGGCTGGGGAGGAAGTGGGGTCTGTGTCTCCATGGACTTTGTTTTTGATATTTGTATTCATACAACTGGACTCAGGGGTGTTCCTGCACCTGTCGAGCTTTCCTTTCCTCTCTACATAATGAGATTAGGGTAATCAGCCAAGGCAGCCAGCTTTGAAGGAACAATGTATTAGTGGAGAATAATCTGTAAACAATAAATTACTAATACTAATAGACAATCAGTATAGCCTAAGGAGTTTGTTAACGCCAAGTTCTATGAGACACACCCCTCACTGCATGTTATAGAAAACACCAGACTCACACCCTAAACCCACCACGCACGGAGCCTGGCACCCAATAAATTTGGTTGAACTGAATGGAAAAAGTAATTATCAATGTCAGTTGCTAAGGGCTACAGGAGACAGTGAAGAGAAAGGGGAGAGGGTTTTTGAAGGAACCAGAGATCAGTTTGTCAGGGACCACACCACGGTCTTGTCTTAGAAGTTGTAATGGATCGAACAAGCAGCGTTCTGACTTCATACTGAGTCTGCAATTCAAATGAAATAAAGTTCATAAACGGATTCATTCCAACCCAATTTGTTTCGCTTGGTACATTTTAAACTCGATTTGATAAATGCAACTCAATACACAGCAAATAAATTGTTTACAAATCTTATTGCCTACTTAAGATTTTCATCCCTGTAGATACTACAAGAAAAACAAAAAACCTCGAGCACAGGATATCTATAAATATTGGAGACAGTTTATCATTAAATGGACCAAAAGAAAACCCTAGTGAGCATTACCTAAATAAATTCAATTTGTATTTTTCTTCCTTTTTTTAAACCTCATGGAAATTATATACACTCTAAAGAAAAGTATTGGGAATTGGTGGAAAGCTATTTAAAAATACTTAAGACAAAGCGTAATTTAAAATGCTTAGGACATATAAACTTCATTTGGAGGAAAATCAAGCATTAAACAAAAATACTTTCTTACTTCAGCCCTTGTTATTGAAAATCCTTCTAAATTGCTTATTTATTCCACTTTCTTGCTTCAGTGAGTAAAGAACTTTGAATCTATGTTAATCATTCTTTCACAGCCATGGATCTGGTCTTGTTTTGGGCAACATGGACACACGGAACATGATCATGAAACCACAGTTACATAACATCAATCTGAGAGGGATCCAGGGAGATAATGTTGTAATCCCCTATGTTATCAAAGGGAAAAGAGAATTCTAGAGAGGCAAAGGACTTGCATCAGATCTAGCGAGAGCCAGACACAGCTTTCCCTCTTCCCATGCTGGATTCCTTCCACCATTCATATTACACATCTGCGCAGTCACATACAGTGGGGCTGGATCTACATTTATGTAACGTAAGTGCCACATGCAATTCTTTTCTGGGCAGTAATGCAAAAAGGATAATGCAAACAGATACTTGCTTGAAAGTATTTCTGCTCTAAGACAGGAGATAGGGAGGACACTCATGAAGAGCTTCCTGTCATAAATGTGGTTCATTCATTCTTAAAATCTGCCCTCTCTGCAAGCAGACATCCTTTCCTTCTCTGCCCTCACAGACAATGGGCCACTCTCTTCCTTCTCCTTTCTTTCTCATTTGAGCTATAAAAGGGAAATGATACCCTCTCCAGTTGCCTTTTATTTCATGGTCTGCATTTGGGAGAGACATGGTTTGGCTTCTCCACAGACAGACACTGTGTGCCAGGAAGCTTGAGTCCGTTTCCAATAACTGTGCTGCTGTTCCTGAGGGTTGGATGAGGAGCTCCAGCAGCGGATGTCTTCCCTGTCGTGCTACATGCCATAGCCATCCTACTCAAGTGTCTCCCTCTCCTTCCTCTTGAAGGCCCTTCTTTTGACAGGGAGGTAGGGGAGGAGGTGGCTGGGTTTTTGTTTTACTGTGCTATAAATATCACTGACTCATTCACCATTATAGTTTCCAGACCATCCATTCATGCAAGTTATTCATTCTTCATCCAACCAGTGTTTCTTTAACAAACATCTGTTGATGACCTACTTAAGCTAAGCACTGGGGATGCTTAACAATGACTCAGGCAGAGCCCTGCCCTTGAAGAGCGCACATTTTATGGCTTTATCAGACAGAGTGGTGGAGGGAGATCGTCCTTCAAAAGATTTGTCTAAGGAAAGTTTAGTGAGCGGACTACTTGTGAGGGTTGGCAGGGTTAAGGGACCCCATGAGGGATGTTCAGGCCCCTAGGGGTAGTAACTGGAGCAGCCATTGCTAGCCCAGCCCTAAGGGACAGAGGGGAAATAGTGTTATCAGTGCCAGTGGCCATTGAGCCCCAAAGAAGATTCTGTCAAGAAGATCCACCCAACAGGAGCTGTAGCCAGAAAAAATGTCAGCCTTTGCCAGGCTGCCTTTGGCAGGGAAGAAATGGGAGGTGGGGACACATACCTTGACCTCTCTCTCCCCTCATCTTCAGCCTCCTGTGGCTGAACCCAACTGGTAGGGGGCAAGCAAGCTGGCATGATGTAGACTTAGCATTAGCTTCCAGGGCACAGAGCATGCAGAAAAAGGTGGACAGTGCACCAGGGAACCAAGGAGCATAATCAGTAGAGTGTCCCCTTTGTCACCTGTGGGTGGAAGTTGGAGGATTTAATGTGTTCCCATTGCAGTCCCAGCCATGGCTGGTGAGCTCTCAAATGTGTACCACACAGCACTGAACTGGGGAGGGCTCAGTGGATGCATTCGCTGGGAATCATTGCCAGAAACCCACTCTCACACCAATAGCTGGCTCTGGGGTCTGGACCCTTCCTGACGGTCTGCAGATATGAAGACTTACTCCAGGAGCCAAAATAAAGAGGCAGTGGTGTAACCACGTGGGGGTCAGGGAGAGTCTGAACAAAGATGACAGGAGGAGCTGCCTTGGAACTGCATCATAATCACACACAAAATATAACAAGGTTTTGTCCTTGAGCAATTTATAATCTCACTCAGGAGAGCAAACCCATGTGGAAAAATAACAAACAATAACAACAAAGCAAAAACAAAAGCAGTGAAGGCAGAGGCCCAGTAGCAAGCAATTTAATAGTGGTAAATACAGCCCATTCCTCTTCTCTGCTGGCAGGTGGGGCGGCTACCTGCAGACAGTGACATCGCAGTGTTCTATGCTACTTGCTGCTGCCTGCTGCAAACACACACAAGCACACACATGCATGCAGACAGACAAGTGCACACACGTAAGTGCACATGCATGCACACAGAGGTGAACACATGTGCATGCATAAGACACACAATGTATTCACACACACACCCATGCACACACAAACACATGCATATATGCATATATATGTGAGCACAGAGATGCACAAATATGCACCACACAGACACAGAGATACACATGCTCACACCTGCACACACACGTGTGAGCACACATTATGCATGCCCGCACACAACATAAGCTACGTTTCCACTGCTACAGCAGCTTGTGGCAATTTTCTTTATCAGCCTTTGCAAATGAACCCATGAAAATATGAGGGAGAGATGGAGAGGTGATAGAAGATTGGCAGACACACACAGTGCTAGTGGTGCCCAGGCTCCATTTTCAGTAGCCATGGTCCTTTTTGAATCCTGGGTTATTTTAGAAAAAAACAAAGGCTTGTCTTCCTTTGCTGGATCCTTGGTGATTTTATTGATATTCTGATGTCCAACTGAACACTATGGGAATTAGGGAACTCAGGTGTCTTCAGTCCATTTTGTGCTCTATAACAGAATACCACAGACTGGCTAATTCATAAAAATCAGAAAATAATTCCTTACAGTTCTAGAGGCTGGACATTCCCAGATCAAGGTGCCGGCCAGTTTGGTGTCTGGGGAGGGTTTGATCTCTGCTTCCAAGATGGCACCTTGAAACCTGCATCCTCTGGAGGGGACAAATGCTGTGTCCTTACATGGCAGAAAAGCAGAAGAGAGTGAACCCAGTCCTATGATGGAAGGCATGGGAGCCCCATTAACAGGGAGAAAAGAGAGGATGGTTTGCCAGTGCCACCGCCTTTATCTTTCCTTGGAAGAGGTTTGCCTCTGGACGTTCCTTTCACCCTCCTCTTGATACTCAGTTCAGCACCTTGGTTCCCGGGAGGTGTGAAACTTACACAGATACTGCATTTCAGATGGCACTGAGCCTCACAAAGGATGTAGACTGGCAATTAACACCCAGTGGGGCACATAATACCTGTTGGATAAAGAAGCGCCTAGGCGTGGGGCAGAGATATCAATGTTAGCTGTCACTTACAATCCAGCCAATCCATCTTTTAACTTCTATTTCAGGGTCATTCTTCAGAATAATGGAGGTAGCACCTACTGCTGAAGCTTAGCCTATATTCGCTACCTTCCTGAGACTCTTCCAAGGCTCTGTCTTCTCCCCAGGAGTGCCACCTTAGGTTCCCAGGCCCCTTGACTTGATGCTTTATTATTATTATTATTTTTTATTTTTATTTTTTTTCAGATTGATTTTTTTTTATTATACTTTAAGTTTTAGGGTACATGTGCACATTGTGCAGGTTAGTTACATATGTATACATGTGCCATGCTGGTGCGCTGCACCCACTAACTCGTCATCTAGCATTAGGTATATCTCCCGATGTTATCCCTCCCCCCTCCCCCACCCCACAACAGTCCCCAGAGTGTGATATTCCCCTTCCTGTGTCCATGTGTTCTCATTGTTCAATTCCCACCTATGAGTGAGAATATGCGGTGTTTGGTTTTTTGTTCTTGCGATAGTTTACTGAGAATGATGCTTTATTATATGATATGGTTTGGCTGTGTCCCCACCCAAATCTCATCTTGAACCATAATCCCCATGTGTCATGGAAGGCACCCGTTGGGAGGTAATTGAATCATGGAGGCGGTTGCCTCCATGCTGTTCTCATGATAGTGAGTGAGTTCTCATGAGATCTGATGGTTTTATAAGGGGCGTTCTCCTCTACTTGGCTCTGTGCTTCTTGCTGCCGCCATGTGAAAAAGGATGCATTTGCTTCCCCTTCCGCCATGATTGTAGGTTTCCTGAGGCCTCTTGAGCCATGCTGAATTGTGAGTCAATTAAACCTCTTTCCTTCATAAATGACCCAGTCTCAGGTATGCCTTTATTAGCAGCATAAGAACGAACTAGTACAGTATGTAAACTGATATTTCATGTCACTAGAGGCTCCTCATGAAAGCTACCCCCTCTAGTTGACCTATCTTACGTACTATGTTAATAAAAAATGATTCATGTTGCAATGCCCTTGGGAATAATCAGGGTCACACCTAGCTATGCTGTTGCCAAACCCCACACTGATTATGTATGACAGTGAGGGAAACCACCCCACTCACCACCCCCTAAGACTTCATTTGCACACCAAGCAAACTTCTGTCTGAGGAGGGCAAAATCCACTTAGGCCTGGGCAGTTTCTATGTCCTCTCTGGGCAGTTTGACAGTCGGCACAGACCATGGCCACTCTCTCTCTGCAAGACTCAGCTTTCCAAAAACCTCTCCTCACCCACTGGCCCGGAGCAAACAGCACTCCAGGAGGAGTCAGGGATGGAGGAGTCAGGGAGCATGATGCCAACATAGGAAATAAAAAGAATTGTAAACCATGCACTCTCTTTTTTGGGATGAGATGTCAAGAAAGCTTTTTTCAGTTGTAGAAATTCCTTTAAAATAAACAAAAAAAGTGGGTTGCATGCTTTTGTGATCCTTGCTGTTCTTTTTCTCCTTTTCATTTTCACTGCAAGAATTCATAACCAGGCTAAAGAACAAGTCTTCCTACATAATATAAAAGCAGTAGAACTGCTGGTGATATTAATAATACTTCATATTTATAGAGTAATTTTTCATCTTTAAAGTCCTTTATAAATATTAACTAATTAACCCCCTTAGCAACAAAGTACTTTCCTTGTTTGCTTCTGGGCATAGAGTCAGTAGTGGACTGAATTATAATTCTCCCTGTGGAGTGATTTGGTATCTTTTTCAAATAGACAACATTGGATGAGATACTTTTTATGTCCAATTCTGATGTCAAATTTTATTTATTTATTTACTTATTTATTTATTGAGGCAGAGTCTAGCTCTCTCGCACAGGTTGGAGTGCAGTGGCATGATCCCTGCTCACTGCAACTTCTGCCTCCCAGATTCAAGCAATTCTCCTGCCTCAGGCTTCCAGGCAGCTGGGATTACAGGTGCTCGCCACCATGCCTGGCTAATTTTTGTATTTTTAGTAGAGATGGGGTTTCACCATGTTGGCCAGGCTAGTCTCGAACGCCTGACCTCAAGTGATCCGCCCACCTCAGCCTCCCAAAGTGCTGGGATTACAGGCGTGAGCCAATGCGCCCAGCCTGAAGTCAAATTTTAAAAATCACTATTAAAGAATGGACAGGGGGAAGAATTCCAGCCACAGCCAATCTGTCCCTGTTGTCAGCCTGCCTGTGCTAAAAAGGCAGGAAGTGTTTTCAGCGCTGAATCTCAGCTATGGCTTTCTGAGTATCAACCATGCCCTAGATGCTATCATCTCTAATGGCATAAATAGAAAATTCCAGAAACAAACATCCTTGATTCTATTTGTGTGTATTTGAAAATAAAACTGGCATCAATGCTAATATTGCTATGAGCTATTATTGCCTTGGTGTATTCTCCTCTTTCCTTTTTGAGGCCTGGATCAATAGAGCAGGAAAGACACTGGGTAAAAGACGAACTCCTTCCTCTTGCCCACTCTTGGTCTCCATCCTCTTCTCCTCCTCCTGCAATAAAGCTCATTTTCTGGTAGCCCTATTGTCTAGAACATTTGCTGGCACCTAGTCATTGCTCAATAAATACTGAATGGAGAACACGCCTTGGAGAACTCAAGGAATTCAATATTGTCTAAAGCACAGGTGCGCCAGTCAGTCACTTGTACCCCAGGCATGGCCCAGTGGTCTCTGAAATGCAAGTAATCAGGCTTCACATGTCCTAGAGGCCCATTCTATTTTAACCAGAGCCTGGTTGGTAGCCTGTGAGCAGAAGCTGGCTCCATAAATGATGCAAAGGAGAAAAAAGGCCATGAAAGTTCCTACCCAACACAAGTGCAGAAGCAGGCCCCCCTTCCCAGCTTTCAGACACTCCCCGGACACTGCATCCTGCTCTTCCTAAGGCCCCTCCCTTCTTCCCTCTGTGTGATTCTCTTTGGTTTTTATTTTAAGCAGATTTTATTTTAGAGCAGTTGGCTGAGCAGTGGGTTACCTTGCATGTTTAGCTGGGGCTCCAAACTTTCCTGGGAAGTCTCTGATTTTAGAACAGACCCAGGGAATTGCTAAGGATTCTTGCCAGTCCAGGCTCCCAAGCCACACAACACTGTCTTGAATGGCCACCTTGGCCTTCCACAAACTGGCTATCAGCAATAACTCCCTCTACTTGTTTTTCCTAACCATTGTCATATCCTTCCCCACTAGAAGATACGCTTCATGAGAACAGAAACCCTGTCTTTCTTGTGCATTGCTCCATCAACAGGCCTAGAATAGTGCCTGGAACATAGCACAGAACTAACTGAATGAGTGATTGCGTGAATGAATAATTGCTATGGCTTCAAGCTAAGCTATGACCATCTCTCAGACCACTGCAGTGCTCTCTTGACTCATCTCCCAACATCTACTCTTGATCCCTCCAATTATTTCTTCACTCTGTTACCAGCTCAATTCTTTAAAAACACACAACTCACTCTCCCAGCTAATGACTTTTCGGGGGTCACAGTTTAGATCATATTCCCTAATGGCCTGCACAGTCCCACCTACCCCTTCAGCCTCCTCCTGCAGCCCTATGCTGTCTGCTGTGGCCATGCTGGCCTTCTTTCATCCGGGGATATTCCCACCATTCTCAGAGCCTGTGCTTGGGACATTCTGTGGCTCACCTAAAATGACCTCCACATATCCTGCCAATTTCATCTTAAACACAGCTTCTTTATGCACCGTTTCCTGACTCCTTGGTCTGGGTGTACTTTGTAACTCTCATCGCAGCTCATACTTTTCCTTTGTATTACTAATTCTAGTTTGTAATTACATAGTTACTTCCTCTTTTTTATAATAAATGAGCAGCTGATTCCCCAGTACCCATGAGCACCATATCTGTGAGCACTCAGCACTGTATCTGAGTCTGCAGACCTAACATGGGGCTTGAAACTGTATGGGAAAAATAACCCCCATAGCTTCTGACTTGGAACAGATTCCTATAACAACAAACAGATTAACAGGAGAAAAGCAAACAGAAGCTTATGAACATGTACATTTCACACGTATATGGGAAATACCCAGCACTGGGTACTTCTCAAAGAGGTAACTTTGAATTCCAACTTATGTAGCATCTTCAACAAAGCACAGTGCTTTTTTTTTTTTTTTGAGACGGAGTCTCACCCTGTTGCCCAGGCTGGAGTGCAATGGTGTGATCTTGGCTCACTGCAACCTCCACCTCCTGGGTTCAAGTGATTCTCCTGCCTCAGCCTCCCAAGTAGCTGGGATTACAGGTGCGTGCCACCACGCCTGGCTAATTTTTTGTATCTTTAGTAGAGACACGGTTTCAGCATGTTGGCCAGGCTGACCTTGTGATTCGCCTGCCTTGGCCTCCCAAATTGCTGGGATTACAGGCGTGAGCCACTGTGCCTGGCCCATGGTGCATTTTTATACAAGTGACAAGACAAAAAAAAAAAAGGACTTTGAGTCTGCAGGGGCGGCAACTTCAGAGAAGGCAAATAACTGTCAGATAAAAGCGAATTAGTAGAGCTTGTTAAAGTAGATTCCTCTGGTATCATTGCCAGGCCTGTAAGAGTCTAACATGGTCTTCTTTGTTTAACTTTTGTTCTTCCTGGTAGAAGTGCAGCAGAATACCTTTTGTTTTTGTGAATCTGTGCCCTGCTTTTAGGCAAAGACAGAGAGGGCAGAGATCTTTCATATATCAGCTCCTTAATTGCCTTTAGCTCCACAATCCTTCATATTTTGGGGTGGCATATTTTGGCCTCCCACAGAACATACTTGGCACTGAATATATTATTTGATAGTTTTGGTGAGTCTCCATTTGATCCTGGAGATCCATTATCCACCATCTCTGCCCTGCTTCGTGCTCCGAAGGCTGATCCTAATGAACGGCATCACTCTGGGTTCTTAACCCTCTGGCTGCTGATGAGGTCGGGCCCATGGAGGCTCCAGTAGGCCATGGGAGAGGGAGAGGAGAGAGTAAGGTGTCTCTCCCATGCCCACCTTGTGGGCTGCAGCTGGCAGTGGATGTGCTCCTTGACCTCCAGCCCAGCTCCTGCTGGCAGCCCCTCTCCTGCCTCTGGGTTTCTCCCCTGGTTCCAACAAAACACTCTTCTGTTGCTGCCCACTGTTGCTAGTGCCTGCACTGGGTGCACCACCCACTCTCGCTAAAGAGTCTGCCTGAGTCTTCTTCAATTCCATGCTGGGGTTGTGCCATGTTTTTTCTGCCAAGTCCCTGACTAAGATGACCATCGTGACCCCTTCTCACACTGGAGGAAACTGGCTCCGTTCATGCAGCTAGCTGGGAACTGAGTCACAATTCAAACCAAGTCTGTTGACTTGTAAAGTCCACGTGTTCTTCACTACTCCACACTGCCCTGAAATTCCTCCTCCCCTGGGACTAGTTTAGAACTGAAGCCACAATATGGAATTAACTAGAGGTGTTCCTAAACACGTAGTGAAGCACTTTACAGATTTCACATACCTGCAGCTCCTGGGTGGGTTTGCATTTAGCTCTCAGCCCCTCACTGGTCTTGGAGTCATCTGAGGAACCTGAGAGTTGATTCCGTTCGGGCTCCTCACCCTCATCCTTTGGGCTAGCCATCGTTGTTCTGCGCTGACTTGTGTTGCCAACTTCTCTATCCAACCAGACTCATCCACCCTATCAGGTGATGGGTGTCAAAGTCAACTCATAGCTACTCTGCCTAGAAAAGGGCAAAGTGAAATCACTGAAGTAGAATGAAAACATTGTATTTCTGTGGGGCGGGCTTAAAGCCTAGATGACGGGTTTATGGGTGCAGCAAACCACCATGGCACGTGTATACCTATGTAACAAACCCGCACGTTCTGTACATGTATTCCAGAACTTAAAGTATAATAATAATGAAGAAAAGAAAACATTGCATTTCTACTGCTCTGGATCTTACGATCTCTAATTGCTTTTGCAGCAAACCAGGATACCCAGGCACTGTGAGGGTAACATTCTCCTGTGTGACTGATGAAACTGCCCTCACTTCTCACAGATGCCCTTTGGAAAGCTGCCTGCTCAGTCTGGTGAGGTGGAGTGCTAGAACTCAGGCATGGGACACCCTTCCCATGTCCTCACAGTCCTCTATGGCTGTGTCCACTCTCTCATTTTTAAACCTTGACCACACCCAGGGTTAGGAGTCCCTGTTTGTAATAGAATTCTATTTTGACAAAGGCTTTGCTGACAGATACTCTCCTACCCCCAGCCCTGCTGCATGTAGGTTGCAGTGTCAGCAAGCCACAAGCCAAACTCAAAGATCTTCCAAGCCTTAATGAGAACTGGACATGAAGCCAGCTTCCTTTGAAAACCCCCACATTATTTAGAACTTTGAAGCTTGCAGGAGAGGCAGAGACAAAAGATGTCATGCTCATTAAAACATCTTGGCTCATGACATAGTGGGGTGTTGTGGACATTGGAGTTGAGTGGACCTGGTTCTAATGTCACTGTACCACTGCCTGGGGGCCCTGGGTCACACAGTTGGAAATGCGGAGCCAGGACTCAAACCCTTGGACCAACTGCTTGGCTTCTCCCTGAGCCTTGGGTTTCTCATCTGTAAAATGGACCAAGCATATCTACCTCAGAGGGTTGTAGGTAGTGTTGAATAATTACCCTAGAGGATGTGTGTGCCGAACTTAACTTGGCACTTAGTAAATACTTGATAACTTCTAGCTCCCCTTTCTTTCCTTTTCACGATGGTAAATGTGCTTGGGGCATCTATTCTGGGTTCATTCTCTAAGAATTTAAACCAAGCATCCATCCAGATATTCAGATCCCTGGCAGAGGAGATCTAATGAGGACTCCACAAGGGCCTCACCCTCACCCAGCCGTCCCTCCAGGTTACAATGAGTTCTTGCCCACACCCTCACCATTCGAACTTTATTTACCAAACGGAGCATTGCAACGCAGCCTTGTTGCCATGGACAACAGTGACTGTCCTGCTATTATTCAGAACGCTGCAATATTATCTCTCCACAATAGAGAGAAAAGAGAACATGTTCTAATAAAGAGTGAGTATGAAAAGGCTCAATGACATCAGGATACTCCAAATACCAAATCTAAATGCTAATGTCATAAGAAGGAAGCACATTTACACCAGGGTGGCAAATGGCCTATGCTAGCCAGTTGGCCACATCTTCAGCCCCGTTTTCTTTCTTTCTTTCCTTCTTTTCTTTATTTCCTTTTTTTATTTCTTTACTTCCTTCTTTTCTTTCTTTCCTCCCTTTCTTTCCCTTCTTTTCTCTTTCTTTCTTTCTCTCTTTCTTTTTTCTTTCTTTTCTTTCTTTCCTTCCTTCCTTCCTTCCTTCCTTCCTTCCTTCCTTCCTTCCTTCCTTCCTTCCTTCCTTTCTCTCTTTCTCTCTCCTTTCTTTCCCTCCTTCCCTCCCTCCCTTCCTTCCTCCCTCCCTTCCTTCCTTCCTTTCTTTGGACAGAGTCTCGCTCTGTCGCCCAGGCTGGAGTTCAGTGGCATGATCTCGGCTCACTGCAACCTCCGCCTCCCAGGTTCAAGTGATTCTCTTGCCTCAACCTCCCGAGAAGCTGGGATTACAGGCGCCCACCATGCCTGGCTAACATTTGTATTTTTTAGTAGAGTCAGGGATTTACCATATTGGCCAGGCTGGTCTCGAACTCCTGACCTCAGGTGATCTGCCTGCCTCAGCCTCCCAAAGTGCTGGGATTACAGGTGTGAGCCACCGTGCCCAACCCAGCCCCTTGTTTTCTGGCCCAGAAACATCCCAGTGTATTGCTATTGCAGAAATCTGGAAGGAAGTTCATAGTCCAGGAGCCTGACCTTTCATGTGCCAGTGGCTGGGCTCTTATCACTCTCTCAGGCCGCGATGATGTGCCCTCACATGTGCTATCAGGGATGGCTGGTGCGCCAGCTCTGTTACTCCTCACCCCATAGGGCAGCCCGGGAGGAAGTGAGACTGGGCCCCACCAGCAGGTCAAGTCAGCTTCAAAGGCTGGTACCAGGAAGCCAGACGGTCAGGGGAAAGATGACATTCCCTGGGTAGATCTGACAAACAGCCTTATGAATTCCAGGGTAAAGAAAAGGGGCCCTCTCAAAGGGAAGAGCACAGTGACCAAGCTGAGGTCAAGACCTAGATGTCAGACAGACTGCAGCCACCCTGGGCCAATCTGCAAAGGGTCCGATAAGGAGACAATGCTCTGCTCTCAGCTATCCTGGAGGGTGGATGGCCCCAGGCTCCAGGAAGGAGTCCTCTGGGATGCAGGAGGATTGAGCCACCAATCAAAACCAGCAATTCAAACTTGGAAGAGAAGTGCAAAGGCCAAGATAAGGGGAGGGAGAGCTTCTGCATGGGCAGTAAGTCATGTCCTAACACCTGCCGAAGAAAACCAGGGTCATTCAGAAGTTAAAGTGGAGAAGACAAATTTTATTTGGGACCATTGCAATAGGGGGAGAGAGGCCCCAGTGAAGAACTGGGCTCTGTTCTGAGTACCTGGATAAGTGCGGATGCATAGCCAAGGAGCAGGGGGCAGGAGATGGAAAATTGCTAAGATGAGACATCAAATCTGTGGGGAATTCTGGCTGAACCAACCAAACAGGATTCCTGCTGAAGGCAGTCCAGGGTGATCAGATACCAAGGGTGAAGAGTCAAGCATTTTGATCAGATACAGAGGGTGACCGGGTGACAACAATGGGAGATTCTTACTAAACTGCCTTGACAGCATTATTTGCTGAAACTGGATTTTACAAGGAAGCAGACACAGGCCTAGGAGTAGATTCAGAAGCCTGACTAAAGTTTGGCCAAGCAAAGAATCTTTGTCACACCCCAGGAAGTCTCTCCTTGGATCTGGATAGTTCAGAAGCAGAAGAAAAAGGAAACCCTGTCCCCTGACCCAGACTCAGGCAAGTCTAACGTGCACCTCGTGGAGCCATAAAGGAAGCAGGGACTGAGTTGCTGAGAAGGGGAGAGACTCCCTCCTCTCGACGCTGGCCTGTGTCTAAGGCTGCCTGTAAGAAAGGTACTAGGATCACGAAGGAAGCCAGCCTATCACCTGGCTGGGTGAGAAGATGGAGAACACAGAGGCAGAGAAAGCCCTCCTAGCAGCCTGCAGAGCAGGAGTTGTTATGGAGACCGTTCTAGCTGCTCTGCTGTGACAAGGAGTAATTTCATGTCAAGAGCATGCCCTGGAATGGAAGGCAGGGCTGTGGCTCAGAGGACGCGGCTCCCAGTGGAAAGATGGAGGTGGTGAGCCGTGGGGAACGCTCTCTGCCTGCTTTTGGGAGTCCTCCCTGTGTAGCGCCTCATGACCGAGAAAGCAAACACTAGTGGAACTTGGAGCATTGTGGTGAAAATCAGTAGTTTCCAACTGGATGGGATCAAAAAGAAGTTCCTACTTAAACATTTAGCCTCAGAAGTAGATTTTTTAAAACGAAGCCGCAGTTAATGTGCTGATGAACTGAAGATTGAACTTGAGCTTCACATTCTGTCTTTGGCTGTGAACAAATAACAAATAAGTGCTCCCGTTGTATGGGCTCAGCATGTTCTTGGGAGACTGCTTTAAATCTTATTATTTTATAGTCTTCTGCAATCTTTCTAGATGTCTATTATATGTTTGGAAAGTTACTCCGACTTAAAAAAAAACCTAGATCTTACTCTGTTTAAAATGAAGACATTAAAGAGTAGATTAACCCTTTAAAAACTAGATATTTAAAAGGGAAGTTGTAATTTTCTGGTTGAGTGATTCATACATTTCGATTTCAGCCCTAAGAGGCAGAGCATGGGTTCAGGATGAGGCATTTCAGGCTGGAGCTGGGAGGAGCTGTATTTCCTGCCTGGCACTTGATCCTTTAACTTCATCATCTCTTCCCTAAACACTGTCTTTTCAAAATGCCAGCCTTTAAGTGAATCTTCTCAGAATGCCATTTATCTTTGGTGCTATCTATTAATTGTCAGTTTATTTGGCCAACCTAGTTTGCCTGGGGTTGACAGATCTGTTTAACATCCTCTTTAAGGTGAAACTGGCTTATCTTTACAGAAAGTGTTAGCAGGTGCCTGCTCCAAGGATCGTCACCTTGATTTATTATTTCCTCAACAGCAAATCTCCAATAATGGTTTTCTTTAAGCCATATCTGTACTTCTGTTTTTCCCCTGTGTGTATTTTCAGTCCCTTTCTTGTTTCTGTTTCTTAAGTGCTGTGTGGATTCAGGGGTCAGGAAGCCTCGGGAGCTCAGCTCAGCCCTGTCCATTTGCCCCAGAACCGCAGATGGGCAAGGTCATTTCCCAGGCATCGGGGCTGGTGGTGGGAAGACACCAGGTGGTGAAGGTGACCGTGACCTTCAGGAGGGGATGCTGGCTCCAGCTCTTCTCTTGGCTGCCAGGTTCTCATGGCCTTTGGGAGGACCTCCCAGGATGGTCTGGAGCAGGTGCCGGGGAGCACCCCACACAGAATCCAGATGCTCTCCTAGTCATGTTGGCAGTCCCAGCCAGGCACTGTCCAAGGTCCCCAAGGTGGGCAAGGGCTTGGGGGCAGGATTCAGGGAAGGCAGTGAGGCCTGAGTGATTCCCCAAACTCAGACCCAGAGCTTCTCCCAGGAGGTACCCGTCCTTCAGCTTCTCCCAAAGTTCGGAGGCCTGAGGCCTGAGGGAAGTGTCTTCAGCACTGATTTGCTCTTTGTCTCTGGAGCTGGAGATGAATCATCTGCTCTCCCTTTGCCTTCCAGTTTAAAATAATTCCATGAGTAATACACTTAATATTTTCCATCTTAAGAGAAACTCTGAAAGGTAAGACAGACTGCACAGGTGTTGGGTAGTTTTCACCACATTTTAAAAAAATATATGTATTGATAATAAAATATCTCTCTCTCTCTCACACACACACACACTTACTTCCATTATCAACCTCTGACCTAGCCATGTGTGAGGACAAGGAAAACATCATATTGGTGTTTCTGAGTAAGATCGTTAAGGACTTGTTATTTGGAGGAAAGGAAAGAAAGAAAAGTGAAAACAGTGAGTGGAAGTTTTAGCTCTTCCTGAATTACTGAATGACAATAATACTAAATTAGCCTCCTCAGAAATGTTAAGGGACATTGAAAATATGAACTATGAAAGAGCAGGACAGAATTTCCTCGTGGGTGGAATAAATCAGGCTACCAGGCTGTGTGTGTGTGTGTGTGTGTGTGTGTGTAGAGAGAGAGAGAGAGAGAGAGAGGTCATAAAGAGACAAAAAGAGAGAAAGCCCCCTCCGTTCTTACAACTACAGTGCTAATTGCTAATGGCCAAAACTACTACAGAGAAGCACGTTGGCTGTGAAGCCCTGTCACTCATCGTGCTGTACTATTCTTGCTGGTTTATTTCAGGCGGGGTGACAATACCAAGCCCGTGGCATTCACGTTGGTTCCGTTTGTGTGGGGATGAGGAGGTGTGGGCGTGCGGGGGCCAAGCTCCCTGGATCTGTACATCTGAGCTCTGCCTTCCCTCAGGGCTGCCACTCTGAGGAGCATGTGGGTTGTGATCCTTTTGTTCTTTTGGAAGAAAAAAGAATGTGCTCCTGGTAAAAATAGTATTTTAAAGGCTTTGAGAAATAACTATGCTGCATCCGATCAGAAGATAAGGGACCCCCTGGAAAGGCTGGGGGTGCTGGGGAGGATGGAGTCCCCCTGCATCTCCCCCACCCCGGGCAATTCCCCCTGCCCTGGGTTTCCTTCTGCAACGATGTCAGCAGAGTGAGCCCAGGACTCCCACCTCCTTCTCCTGTCACTTGCTGTGATGATATAAAGAAAGTTCATTTGCTCAGGAAATTCCCCTGGAGGTAGGAGACAATGCCTGGGCTGATTGTTCTAGGCTCAACCTGCCTGTGTCTGCTCCTGATTCTTAAAGTGTCCCTCATTGCCTCTTTTTGTCACCTCTGCTCCCTTGCTTCTACCTATCTTTTTCGTCCCGTGTATTCTCCTCATATGTCATTTAAGAATTTCAAACCTGCTCATTGAATTCCACATTCCAAGTTCACAAATATTTGTGCATTTTATCTTCAGCAGCATTGTCTTCCTCATTTGAGTGTGGCAAGTTTATAAGAATTTCAGCTTCTGCTGGGCGAGGAGGCTCATGCATGTAATCCCAGCACTTTGGGAGGCCGAGGCGGGCTGATCACCTCAGGTCAGGAGTTCGAGACCAGCCCGACCAACATGGTGAAACCCCATTTCTACTAAAAATACAGACATTAGCCAGGCCTGGTGTTGCACACCAGTAATCCCAGCTACCTGGGAGGCTGAGGCAGGAGGATGGCTTGAACCCAGGAGGTAGAGGTTGCAGTGAGCCAAGATTGCGTCACTGCACTCCAATCTGGGCAACAGAGTGAGACACTGTCTAAAAAAAAAAAAAAAGAAAGAAAGAAAGAAAGAAAGAAAGAAAGAAAGAAAGAAAGAAAGAAAGAATTTCAGCTTCCCCTGGGAAAACAGACTCTGGGGGCTTATCCAGGAAGGATGCAGTTGGGTGCCAGGAGGGGACATACCTCCTGTCCTTTGGCCCCATAGCACTTTTATCTTTTTTCATAACATGTTCTTACTCTTTGATGGCAGGAACCAGGTCTTTAGGTGAGCTAAATAAAATACAATCAAGAAAATAAAAATAAAAGCTCCTGGCGATGGGTAGGGACCGCCTCTCCTGCCACCAGTCTTGGATCCTTAGTTTGTTCCCTGCATGCTTGGCACTGGCCTTGCACAGTCCACATGCTCAGTCAGGGGGGTGCCCCCACTCCTGACCTCGGAGGAGGAGTGGAGGAAGGATGAGGGGAAGAGACCCTGGACAATGAGTCCCATCATTTTAGAGCATCCTTCTTCTGGACAACACCAATAGTAGCTAACCTCAGAGCTCTCATCGTCCAAGCCTTTTTATTTTATAGGGAAAAAATGAGACTAAGAGATGTTATGTTATTTGCCCAATAACTTAGAGTTACTGGATCTTAGAGATGGTGCTAGAACCCAGATATCTGGGTTGTTTGCTCACAGCTCTTTCCACCAGGCCACAATGCCCCTGTGAATATGCACTAAGACAAAACCATCTGGTCACTTAAAATAATTTTTTGTACTTTTGTACTTTTCACAGGAGTTGCCTACAGGGGACTAAGACACTGCAAAATCAGTGATGCCGTGCCGCGGGGCTGGACGTTAGCTTAGAGATCCCGTGCTGCAGCTCCTTCGGGATACTCAGAAGGAGACGAAGGGCGTGATCAGGGCCCCAGAATGGAATTAGGACTGTCCAGTTTATTGTTCTCAATTTTGCTGCCTTCAGAAAATAGCCCTTAAAAATCAAAATAGGTTCCCTTTTTGTTGTATAAATCAGGACATTTTTGATGAGACTGATCTTAATTTTCTTTGAAGATAGCCCCGCTTTTCATTCATCAGGAGTATTTGATTCTGTAGACATTCATTGTGTGCTCATGCTGTGCCAGGCACAGGCTTGATGCTGTGAGATTCCCCACCCCTGGTGGCCAGCCAGCATTCCTGTCTGCTCACAGCTGGGCTTGGGTCTCTGCTTCCGAACTAAGTGCAGCATTCAGGCTGCCCATGGCCCTACCCCTGGCCCAGTGCTCACCTCTAGGCGGTAGTAGCTGGAGTGCACAGCTGTTGACGAGAATCCCACAGGGCAATGCCTTTAGCTTCTAGGCTTAGATGTCATATCTGTGGCTTATAGGACTGGGTGTTGAAGAAGCTTGCTTGAGATTAGTGTGGGGAGCAAATAAAACTACACCTGGCCTTCAATCCAGGCCATGGAAGTGTATTGGGAAGGGGGGTCTTTCGGGAACTGCATGATTGTGGCAGCTCCATAACTTCAAACATGGCGGGGGTAGGACACGAGTCCTTGGAGGGGCTGCAGGGGGAGGGGTTCTGAGTGTGCAGGAAACACACAGTTTCTACTTGGCATTTGCGTTTTGGGGGTTGGTTGTTGGGGCACCTGATGGAAATGGTTTTGGGGGTAGCTTATGCCATTGTTACGGGCTGAATTGTGTCCCCACAAGATTTGTATGCTGAAGTCTAACCCCTCGTACCTAAGGATGTGCTGTATTTGGAAAAGGGTCTTTAAAGAGGACATGAAGCTCAAATGAGGTCATGAGGGTGAGCCCTAATCCAGTATGCCTGGTGTCCTTGTAAGAAGAGGAGATTAGGGCACAGGTGCGGAGCCAACACTTGGAGGCGGAGGTCATCTACAAAACAGGGGAGAAGTCTCACGGGAAACCAACCCTGAAGATCCCTTGTACTGGGCTTCCAGCCTCCAGGATTGTGAGAAAATAAGTTTCTGTCATTTAAGCCACACATTTCTGTGGGATCTTGTTATGCCAGCCCTAGCAAACTAATGCAGTCTTTATAGTCAGGATTCTGCTGGCAAAGAGAACCAACATACTGTTGACTCTTGAACAGCATGGGTATTAGGGATGCTGAGCTTCCTTGCAGTCACAAATCCACATATAACTTTTGACTCCACCAGAACTTAACTACTAATGGCCTTCTGTTGACCATAAGCCTAACCAATAACATAAGCAGTCAATTGACACATACTTCTTATGTTATACATTTTATACACTGTATTCTTACACTAAAGTAAGCCAGAGAAAAGAAAATGTTATTAAGAAAATCCTAAACAAGAGAAAATATATCTACTATTCATTAAGTGGAAGTGGATCATCATAAAGGTCTTCATCCTCGTCGTCTTCACATTGAGTAGGCTAAGGAGGAGGCGGGGTTGGTCTTACTGTCTTAGGGGTGGCAGAGGCAGAAGAGGCAAAGGAGATGGGGGAGGGGCAGGAGAGGCAGACACACTTGGTGTAACTTTTATTGAAAAAAATGCGAGTATGAATGGACTCACAAAACAATGTTAGTATAAGTTCACACTCATGCTGTTCAAGGGTCAAGTGTGTGTCTGTGTATAAAAGGACACTTATCGGGAACTGGCTCACACAATTATGAAGGCCAAGAAGTCCTATGATCTGCTGTCTGCCAGCTGGAGAGTTGGGACAGCTGGTGATGTAATTCAGTCTGAATCCAAAGGCCTGAGAACCAGGAGCCAATGGTGTGACTCCCAGTCTGAGGCCAAAGGCCCAAGAACCGGAGAAGGAAGCTGTGTAAGTCCTGGAGTCTAAAAACCCAAAAACCGGGCACTCTGATGTCGAGGGTGGAAGAAGATGGTTGTCTCAGCTCAAGAAGAGGAAGGACTTCACCCTTCCTCTGCCTTTCTGCTCTATCCAAGCCCTCAATGGATAGGCTGGTGCATGCCAACATTAGTGAGGGCAGATGTTTATGCAGCCCACCAATTCCCATGCTCATCTGCTCCAGCGGCACCCCACAGACATTTCACCAGCTACCTGGGCATCCCTAAGCCTGGTCAAGTTGACACATACAATGAACCATCACTCGGCCCTTCTCAGCCACCCTAGGACAGCCCATGTCTCGCATGGTGGAAGATGGCACCCTGAGCATCTCCGCTGCTCTGTCACTAAGTGGCTTGGAGGGAAATACGTGAATATTGCTTACATGTTTGAACTGCTTGGATGTAAAATAGGTGCAAAGAGCCTTTGGAATTTCTAAGCCATGGCCAAAAGGGCTGGGATCAGTTAGGGAACCAGCAGGGAGCACCCCTGTGGTAGGCAGTGGTAGGAGCACTAGAGTGTGGGTGGCCGGGATGTGGAACAGGAGCAAGAGCAGGCACAGAGGAGAGGCCACAAGGGACCAGAAGCAAAGAAAACTGATGAGCACTGGGAACTAAAAACCTATGCAATTTTCCCCTAAGACCTTCATCATCCCCAAAGAGGTGGGATGGGGGGAAACAAGAGGTGTCAGCTGTGGTGCACACACTCTGAATCACGCTGTCAATGCTTTCTTCTGTCAACATTATCTGATTTAGATACCAGCCCAGTTCTCTGCCACCCTGGTGCTCACTGTGCACACTCCTGTCATGACGACTGGACAGTGTGGGATACTTTCCAAAGGCCACAGAACATGCAGGCTTGTCCTCCCTCAGGAAAATTGAGATCAATAAGATCAGCTGTCCTGAGAAAATTGCCTTGGCCAAAAGGTTTGGGATGAATCTTCAAAGTGATTCCACATGTTTGTATGGTGCCCGAGGGGACATGCCCCATGTTAACACCACAATCTCATTCCCTCCTCGTTGCCCCTTGAGAAGCAGGTCTGGTAGTGCAGAAAGAGCACAGGGCTTTGGACTCAGGCACCTGGCTTTAAATCCCAGCTCCACTAGGTACCCTGTTTTACTTTGGGCTTCCATTACTGGGACAAAAAGGGCTTTGAGATGCAGATGAAGCTTCAGGGTCAATTAGAATAAGAAATCTTTCTTGTGACATTTTATTCTCATTTTTCAGAAAATTATTGCAACCCTGTGATAACAGTGGTATGACAGCTGCCCCTTTGACATGGCCCCTTGGCACTTCAGGGGAGGCACTCTGGAAGGCTCCTGGCATGTACAAGCTCTCTGCTGTCAGCAGGCGAAGCAGGCACCATCCCATCTGTCTCAGAGGAAACCAAACCTGAGATGACAGATAGGTATGAGGCTGAACCCCAAGTTTGCTCCTTCTCCTCCAGCTCCCCTTCCTTCATACTGCAAATCTGCCTTCAGGAAATATTTCTATCTCTCCATAGAATACCCAGCTATGTCTTTTGCCAGAAACAAAAAAGTGCATGCGCTGACACTGCCCACAGGAATTGGTCGGTTTTCTCTCAGCTAAAATGCTGCCCACAGAGAGCAAATATTAGGATTCCTAAAACTCAGAGCTCTCAGGAAGATGGGGAAGCAGCCCAAAATGGGGGTTCCAAACCCTGCCAGATTCTATTCACTATATTTGTGGTCTTGATGAAATGATCCAGCCTCGGTAGATTCAGCTTCCTTATATATAAAACAGGAGAACAATACCATCTTTCTTGCTGAGATATTATCAGGCAGAACTTACGAACTTCAAAGAACTTAAGAGACAGCCAGAGGTGTACAGCTCCATGGCAGAACAACACGTTAGCCTTGCTGTTGTTATCACAGAATCACCACTGTTCATGTAAAAACATTTTGACAGTGTCTGGAAAAATCTCATCTAGTAGGAATAATCAAGTCTACCCAAGGAGGAAGTGTTATAAAGGACATGTAATGCTTCACTCATTTGGCTATATGACAATTTTTAATTGAGATTCTCTATGCCCAGCAATAGGATTGCAGTGATGAGCAAGAAACACATAAACCTTTCCTCTAGAAGCTTATAGACTACAAGGCATGGGACAGGGGAACCAGAAAAGGCAGATGGAGAAATCCCAACGTTATTGGGGGTATGCAAGACATGAGTACCATTTTCACTTTTATCTTGGTCTCCTTGCTGTCCATGGAGTCAGCTATAGTGAGCGTCTATTGTTTCGTCTCCCCAACATCCAGCTGTTCTCTGGTAAAGCTTCTGATTGGTTACCCACCCACTCCCATGCCCATTCCAGGAGGCTGGGGTGGGGCTGACCTCACCCCTGGGATCCAGGGTATGGACACGTTACCCAGGCTGGACCCATTACCCACCTCATCTGCCTGGCTCCAATGAACTGGTATAGGGATAGGGTTGCCAGATAAAATACATGATGTCTATTTAATTGAATTCAAATTTAAATTTGGATTTTAGGTAAATAAGGAATTTCTTATATATGTTCCAAATATTGCATGGGGCAGAACTATGCCAAGAAATTATTCATTGTTTATCTGAAATTCAAATTTGATGGACATCCTTTATTTTTATTTGCAAAATCTGGCAACTTTATTCAGAAAGGAAAATGAGAGCCTTTCCTGGGACATTTTTGGAGTTGTTAGCAAACAGGACACTCTTTCCCTGCTAGAATTGTGATAGCTGCGGTTACCCATGTTTGGGGGAGCCATCCTGAGAAAGGAGTTGACACACGAGGCAGAGCTGCGGGATGGGAAGAAGTATCTGCGTCAGGTCTTCAGAGCCTCCTGTCCAGCCATCCTGATGGAACCCGGCTTTTCTAGCTAGGTGAGCAGGTGCTGTTCCTTTGCCATTTGCAATGGAAAAAGCCCTGTTCAGAACATTCTGCATGCATTCCCAACTCTGTACGGCACCTCCAACTTCCCCCATTTTAAGGGACTTTCTTCCTATCAAAATCTTTTTCATTCCTCAAAGAGTCCACTCAACTCTAATCTTCTCCAGAATTTGTTCGCCGACTATTCAAAAAAACCTGCACACAGTATCCAGGGTCACACACACAGGTCACTTTTGTATCCTGGAATGTCGTATGTCTAGCCCAAAGGCTTGGCTTATTTTAAAGCCCTAGATGCTCTCTAGGCTTCAATTTTCTTCAAATCACCTGAAGCCCCAATACCCTTCTGGAGTAGATTTAGTTAACTGATCGTGAGCAGACGCAGGGAGCAGTCACGACAAGTCAGTACCGTCTCTCTTGAAGTGGCAGGACACCTTGTAAAGTCCCTTGTATGTGGGGTCAGGAGTCTAGGGTTTGAGTCAAGCCACTTTCACTGACACCTCTCTGGCCAGGACACCCTTGTACTCACAGGAGGACTTGTATGAGTGCTCACTGTGGGTACCCGGCCAGGACACGCTAGTACTCACAGGAGGACTCGTGTGAGTGCTCACTGTGGGTACTCGGCCAGGACACATTAGCACTCACAGGAGGACTTGCGTGAGTGCTCACAGTGCGTACTAGGCCAAGACACCCTTGTATTCACAGGAGGACTTGTAGCAGTGCTCACTGTGGGTACTCAGCCAGGACATACTGGTACTCACAGGAGGACTCATGTGAGTGCTCACTGTGGGTACTCGGCCAGGACATGCTAGTACTCACAGGAGGACTCTTGTGAAAGCTCACTGTCGGTACTCATGCAGGTACTCTCATCTTCTATTTCCTCCTCTGTAAAGTACTGAGGTGTCCAGCATCTAACATATGTTTCCAATGCCATGGTTCATGACCCAAACTCATGCTGATAGATCCAAGGATTGCCATAAGACAAAGAATGTCTGGATTTCAGAAAAGTATTTTACAAAGTTCTCATGAGCTTTAGGAGAATCTTCTCTTTAGGATAGAGAAAAAGAAATCAAAATTCAATCTAAATGAGAGGAGATGTGTACAACATGTGTACAAGAATTCATAGAGACAGGTGTTCTTAGAGGGGAGATGTGGTCAGCCACAGGGCTTGTTCTATATCCTGGGATTTATCAACAATTTAAGGTAATTGAAAGCAATCTTACCAACTTCCAGGTGGCACAGAACTGGGAGGAATGGCCAATACATTGGAAAAGAGAAATGAGACTCAGACCAATTTGATATTCCAAATCCATGGTTTATAGCAAATTATATAAACGTATATATATCCAACTGGTTAAAAAACAGGTCAACCATGTAAATGCAAAATAGAGATGTGGTTCATGTGAAAAAGACATGTTAGGTTTATGACAAACAGAATACGAATCATCAGTAGCTGTCCAAAGAGCAAATGCAATGGTAACTTGGGTTATCAGCTCTGCAGAGCCTGGTTCGAGGGACATAAGAGCTGGCTGTGCCCTGAGCTGAACACATCCTTTTGTTACTAATATTATTACTGGGGCTCCTCTCAAGGAGATGAGGGTGTGATGGGATAAGTATGGAAATTGCCCTTCCATGGTTCATTCAGCTGTGCATGTCCTTATTCATTCTGCAAATAGACTCAGCCTTGATCAGTAGTGACCTGGAATCCTTTCTGACGTGAGGTAGAAGTATAAATAAATATAGACAAATAAATAAAATATGCCAGAAAGTGTGCTCCAATAAAGTGGGAATTTCAGGCCCTCCACGAAGAGCTGGAAGAGAGGAGCTTACTGGGAACAGGGGCCAGAGAAAGGGGGAATCTGGGAGGGTGGGCCACAGCAATGGTGGCTTCAGGTCAGACTTTTCAAGGTAGAGGCTGCGTTCATCACACTCCACGGTTCAGGGCACCCTGACATCTCTCCTTGTATGTATTGATTCCTTTATTCCATTTCGTCTCCATTCAGCACCCAGGAGGCAACACTTTTAATGGGTTTATGTGTGTCCTTTGATTTGTATGGGTTCTTGAAAACCCATGTGTGTGTGATTGCTTTGTGCCACTTTTACATAAATAATGTGTTATGTATCTCTTTATAATGTGCTATGATTCTCTTTCTTGCTTTTTTTCATTCAAGTCTATGTTTTCAGAACTAATCAGGTGACTGTGCAGTCCATCATCATTATTCATGATTCTGTATTTGTGAATTTGCCTACTCAATAAAATGCATCTGTGACCCAAAAATCAACAGTCAAGGCACTTTCACAGTCACTTTCGGATATGCCCAGAGCACTGGAAGATTTGCGTTGCCAGATGTGCAAGCCCCCAGCTAAGGTGGAATGAGACAGTGTTCTGCCTTCTTGTTTCTGCCCTCATAATGTAAACAACTGTCCTTTTTGCAGTCTGTTTAGTGCTATGCTTTTCACATTTTTATGCTTTTTTTGGGGATAATTCTGCTGTTGGAAATGGCCCCCAAGCACAGTGCTAAGTGCTGCCTAGTGTTTCCAAGTGCAGTAGGCCGTGATGCCCCTAATGAAGAAAACACATGTGTTGAAAAAGCTTTATTCAAGCATGGGAGTTAGTGCTGTTGGCCGTGAGTTCAGTGCTAATGAATCAACAATATAGATAAAATATTGTGCCTTTAAATAGCAGCACACATAAGCAAGGTTATATATTGATAAGTTGATGAAAGTGTTGTGAGCTATGGCTCACAGGAACCTAACTCTGTATTTCCCCTGGAAGCAATGGTTCAGTGTTTACTAACTCAATGTTCACAGACTTTACAGAACAGAGCTATTATACATAACAAAAATTGACTGTCACTCTCTTTCACTGCATCTCACTGTTGTGTAGTACTCCATATCACACTTTGTGTTACTTATCCACTCCCATAATAATGGACACACTCAGTCCCCATAAACAAGACTATAACAAGCATCCTCATGTATCTTCCTTCAGAGATGAGTGTGAGAACTTCTCTGGAGGCATTCCCAGGAATGGAATCTCCTAGTCCTAGGGTAAGTGCATTTTACCAAGTACTGCTGGATTGCTCTGAAGAAGGGCTACCCCATTTACCTCTCAGCAGCATCGTACAAGAGTCTTGTCTTCCCTACAGCCCTGCCATGACATGCCTGCCATCTTCAACTTTCTAATTTTTGCTAATCTGATGGGTGTAAAGTCATAATTCATTATAGTTTTTATTTTATGTCTCTAATCAAATGAGCTTGAGCATTTATTCATTTGCTTTTTATTTTGGATTTCCTGTTTAATGACTTGCCTATTCATACTCTTTGTCCATTTATCTGTTGAGGTCCCTGTGATTGATTTGCAAAAGTTTCTTGTATATTTTAGATATTTGAACCACATCAGATGTTGACATTTTAAATATATTCTCCTGAGTTGTCACTTGCCTTTTAATTGTGTCCATGATTTCTTCATTAAATGGAAATCCTTAACATTGATATAATCAAGGAATATAACTTTGAACCTGAGCCCTGAAAAATGGGTGATTTCTAGCAGGAGGAGAAGGGGTGGAAATTTAGGCATAAGCTTCCATAAGAGAGGTCCTAACATTGAAGAGCCAAAGGCAACTGAAATTTTTTCAAACAGAAAAGATAAAATACAGACAGCAAAAAAGTTATTTCACCCAAAGGGCTGTGTGTCAAGGAGGCTTTAGACATAGTCTATCCCCAAATAACAAAGAGTTCCCTGGGTGATGGGGAGCTCCCGCTTCCTCCAGATGGCCATGCACAGGCTGTAAGAGAGTCAGGAGTGCCACATGGAACCACAGTCTTTATAAGCCCTGAAGGTACTGACAGTTCTGAGAGCTCAGAGCCTCTGGATGGGATAGAAGAGGAGGAAATTCCACAGAGATTGTTCTGTCCCTTAACCAAGCAATTCCTCATGCCCATGCAATGCTCACCTGGCTGAGCTAGTCTTCCCAGCATCTCTCAACAAGTAGGAGCACTTTCACACTGCACCCCACTCCACCTCTTACTCAGACAGGCACAACTCATTAATCGCATGGACATGGCATTAGGCAAGCCCTTTCTGTGACTTTTTGTTTTTAATTCACAATTTAGACTTTTAATTGGTTCCCCTAATTCTAGGTTCTAAATCTGGAGAAAGGTACAGGAAGGGGTGAAGGTAAAATGTCGAATAGACCCCAGTACAGTCATGAAGCAGAGAGAAAAGAGAGTTTCTGTCTTTCATTCACCCATTCATTCACTCACTCATTCATTCACATTGGTTGTATACTAGTGAGTGTATCCTCCATGCCAAGCACTAGGCATAGAACTGGAACAGAATGAACAGCAAGAGTGAGCAGAACAGATGTTGTCCTACCCTCATGGAGCTTACAGTCCAGAGGGGCAAACATTTACGTAACACCAAATCTACAAACGTATTCACACTCTCACCCACCTTCTCCCTCCTTTCTTCCTTTAAAAGTAGTGAGACGAATAAGGAAAATGCAAATTATAATGAAATAAAACTACCATTGCATCTACTGCATTGTCAAATATCCAGAAGTTTGATGGCATATTCTGTTGGTAGACTATAGGACAACAGGCAGGCTCGTACGTTGCTGATGGGAAAGCAAAGGAGTGCAGCTCCTATGGAGGAAAATTTGGCAATATGGAGCAAAGTTATATATATATTTAACCCTTTCACCTAGCAATCCCACTCCTAAGAAAATAACCCTAAGATAGGCTGGTGAAAATACAATATGCATGCAAAGCTATTTAGTACAGTACTTCTTGTAGTAGCCAAAGATCGGAAAAACAAACCAAATGTCCATCACTAGGGGAATTAGTTGAAGAAGGCAAATCCACACAATGGAGAATCAAGCATTATAAAAAAGGAATGAGGAATGCTGCACATTCTAGTAGGGAGAAATTGGAAAAGTTGAGAATAGTGTATATAGTATGCTACCTTATATCTTAGAATAGGCGCGAATAGTGTGTGTGTGTATATATATATGTACTATTTTAAAATTTTAATGGAAGGATGTACCAAAAACTAACAAATGTGCTTACCTGTGTAGGAAGGAGGAAACCAAGTGATGGGTAAGACAGTAGACCTTATTTTACAAATTTGACTTTGCAGCCAACGAAATGTTTTATTAGAACAAAATTTAATAAGCAAACTGAGTTTCCCCAAAATATTGAACTCAGAATAAAACAACTGAGCTTAAATGTATATAAACATGGTGACTTAACCACACAAAAAGGAATTATTTCAATTGACTTTAAAACATAGTAATTATTTATTTATTTTATTTTGGTTTTTTGAGATGGAGTTTCGCTGATGTCACCCCGGCTATAGTGCAGCGGCATGATCTCATGATCTCATGATCTTGGCTCACTGCAACTTCTGCCTCCCAGGTTCAAGCAATTCTCGTGCCTCAGCCTCCCGAGTAGCTGGGATTACAGGTGTGCATCACCACGCCTGACTAAATTTTGTATTTTCAGTACAGATGGGGTTTCACCATGTTGGCCAGGCTGGTCTTGAACTCCTGACCTCAGGTGATCCACCCATCTCAGCCTCCTAAAGTGCTGGGATTACAGGCATGAGCCACCGAGCCCTGCCAAAACATAGTAATTAGACTATGCATGTTTATTAGGATTCATATCCCAAGGATTACAAGAGTCACAAAGAAACCCAAAACTGTTTCCAGCAATATTATGGTTGGCAATAATATTGTTAGTAAATATTACTAGTAATAATATTATTATTACAGATAATGTTGTTATTTTGGAGTTTATAAATATATAAAATGATTCTATTTTAACTGCATGTGTGATAAAATTATAACACAGACACATGCAATAAGATAAACCAAGTAATTCATTATAATAAAGTTATTGGCCAAGAACAGAAGTTTTTAGCGTAAAAGAAGAGAAATAATGCCAAAACTCGTGATATATTTTCTCTTAGTTTGTTCTTCTAGCTCAATCCACTGAAAAGGTCTAGAGACAGTAATCGCCTGGTAGCAATGAGTATGCCTATCACTCACATTATGGTCTTGAAACATCATTTTCCACTAAAAAGAGCTAGAAGCTCTTGCAGAAATGACAGTTTGCCTGCCTGGGACAAGATGAACCCGGAACATTTTATTAAACCAAAAAGCAAGAAAGTCTTCAAATGATTGGAGATTCTTTCAGGTGGCTCAGGAGTCATCTGGAGGGGACTGTTCCTGGCCAAAGATGGGGAAAGTTAATCATTGCAAAGATTAAGAACAGCAATGGATAGAGATGTCGTAAACATCTAGAAATCCATAGCTATAATCATACTAACGTTACAAAACCTCACTAGTCGCCTTTGGAAGATACTAGGGAGCCACTCAATATTCTAGAAACTAGTAAATACAGAGAAAGAACCAAGCACGCATTCTGTATTTCCTCTGTGAACTGCACCTCAGGATAACCAAGTACTTGGTGAAGGAAAGTATCTCTCTCTCTCTCAATATTCCCATCAAAAGCAGCAGAAGAAATACCTATTAGTTTCCTACAGCTGCCATAACAAAGAACCATAAACTAAGTGGTTCAAACAGCAGCAATGTACTGTCTCCCTGTTCTGGAGGCTGGAAGTCTGAGATCAAGGTGTTGGCAGGGCCGTGCTCCTTCTGAAAGCACTGAAGAAGGATCTGGGCCAGGCCCTCTCCTGGTTGTGGCAGCAGAACTCCAATCTTCACTCGCCTACTCCCTGTGTGCTTATGCATCTGTCTCTGCATTCAAATCTCCTCTTTTCACAGCACCAGCTATATTGGATAAACGGCCCATCCTACTCCAAAAGGACCTCATCTTAACTAATTCCATCTGCAACAAACTTATTTCCAAATAAGTTTGTATGCTGAGGTTAGGACAGGAGGATAGGACTTCAGCATATGAATTTTGGGGTAATACAATTCCCTCCATGACAGAATGATGGAATTACAGCAATGGCCATCCACAACTGCCAAGACAACAGGTAAAGAGCTAATGAGGAACTTGCAGGATGGAGCAGCCTGACCCCACCAAACCCTGCAATCAACTTTAACACCACCAGACTCAGGAAAAACAGACATCATGGCCCAGATGTGATGTAACAGGAAACACAGAGAAACCCGGGAGGCACTCTTGCCTCTCCCTCCTTCAACCCCCCACCCCAAACCCCAAACCAGACCAAACCAAACCAACAAAAAACTACCACCACCAGACCTGAATCTTCAGATGTTAGATGTAAGCTGGCAATTTAGAGGAGTTATCAGTGAGAGAAGAATGTGTTAAATGACACCTTGGGTATGTCACCAGCAAAATCCAGAAAGTGTGAAGTTCTGTAAGTCAAAAGACCTGGTTTCCTCAACAAATGTTAAGAGGAAAAAAAGGGAGGAAGAAGCCCCCTTTAAAAAGCATATCAGCCAAATTCAGTATGTGTGACTTGCTTTGGTTTTGATTTGAACAAGCCAGCTGTTAAAAATAAAAGCCTGTAAGGGACAATTGGAGAAATGTATACACTAAGTAAATACTTCATGATGCTAATAAATTATTAAGCATGATAATAGTTTTGTTATAAGTTTTTAACTCCTCATTTTTAAGGCATACGTACTGAAGTATTTGTGAATGGAAAGTTATCATGTCTTGGATTTGTTTCCAAATAATCTGGGGAGGGGTGATAAATTGATTGGGATTATAGATGAAATGAAACTGGCCCTGTGGTGAAGCTGGGGTGATGGGTATACGGGGTTTCAGTATACTATTTTCTCTACCTTTGTGGGTTTGCAATTTTCCATAATAAAGTGTTAAAAAATTGATGAGGTGGCTCTCCTCCTATAAAAGTCTTATCTATTCATCTCTCTTCTGGATGCCATCCCATCTTATCTTCTCAAGGATTTAGCTCTCTGTTTATTGCCTCTTTGAGCATTGTAAATCTCTCTCTCTTTCAATCTCTCTCTCTCCTGAGTCATCTCCACAGATTATAAACATGCTCCACCATCTCCCATCCAAAAGAAAGGAAAAAATGGAAAACCAACTTTAGTTTCTCCCTTGGCCCTTCTAATCTGTCTTCATCCATCCAATGATTTTATTCTCCTGCACAGCCCTAACTTCTCTTCATAGAGGTAAACTTTCTAATTCCTCACCATCCATTCACTCTCCAATCCACTGCCATCTGGCTGCTGCTGGAACATGGGTACCATCTTCCATGACCTCCACAGCATCCACTGCAGCAGCTGCTGCTCTGCCTCTCATCTGTGCTGACCTGGTTCCGTGTCGCTCTCCTACTGCACACTGTCCATCTGTCCTCTCTCACTGAGCACTCCCTCCATGCAGCTACTTTCAATTCCTCCAGCTGTCCCTATGACATCCCAGGAGCAGCACCTTCCCCAAGGCTCTTCCCTAGGGAGGCTCCTCCCACACCTCAGGACTTCAGGGTGACCTTCTCCATCCTTCTGCCCAATGAGGTCCCTCCTCCAATCTTTGTAATTGCTTCCATTTCACTTCTCTTATAGCACTTATTACAAATTGCAATCATCTTTTTTATTTGCTTATTTCTTGCTGGACTTTCAACTCCACATGGAGAGGAACCAAATTGGTTTTGTTCATCACTGTCGTCCCAGCAAACAGTATAGTTCCTGGCACACACGGGCATGTAAAAAATATTTGCTGAATGGAAACATTAAATGATACATTAATCAAATGATTACACAAATTAATATAATTGCAAATTGTGAAAAGCAGTATGGAAAAAAGGCACATTCCGATTCTCAATCTGGTTTGAGAGGGTGGGTCACCAAAGCTTCCTGGAATTGCAAGTGAGCTGAGATCTGGATGGAGGGAGGTATTGGGGAGATGTGGGGCAAACATAAAAAGAAAAGGTCAGCAGACCCTAGGGAAAAGGCTCAAGGACTTTTGAAACCAAAAAGCTGCCTAAGGATCAGAGATTCAAGGTTTCCTTTACATGTGAGTCTGTGGGTGATTCTTAGGAGTGAGTGGGCAATGAGGGGAAGCCAAGGTCAATGCTGTCTGGGCTACATTTAACCACTTGTTTACCAGCAGAAGAGGAAGCTCTAGCAAGGCTTCCTGCTCCTCACAGTGTGTGGAGTGCTTTAGGGAGCAGTCAGGGCTGAGCTGAAGCCTTGGCCCCAAACACCAGCTGAGCTGGGGAAGCTTTCTCCATGCCCCAAACTGGGAGCTGGTTCCTGCCTTTGCTTCACATCCTCCTGTGTGATGCAAGCCATGCTGACACAGACATGTCTGTGTCAACATTACTGTCTAATTCACTTTTGCTCAACAGACTTCCTGTGCTCAGATCTCTAGGTTTTGCCTTAGGGATGGTCAGGGTTCAAACATGTCTTCCCTAAAGTCAGCTTTTAAGGACAGGCATCAGAGGTTTTATGTACCCAACAACAACCAAAAGAGGTGGGAGATTGCAGGTGCTTCAGACAGATCCCGAAGGAACAAAGGATGGATGAAGGGCTTCTGAAAGTCATCCAAATACGCGCGCGCACACACACGTGCGCACGCACGCACACACACGTGCGCATGCATGCACATGCGCACACACGCACACGCACACAGACGCACATGCACACACGCACACACACACACAGACACGCACACATGCATGCACATACACACAGAGAAAAAGTAAAAAGTTTCCTCGAATACATAACCTGTCCTCTGACTCAGTAACTCTGCTTCTAGGAGCCAGCCCTATGGAAGTAATCAGAGGCAGGCAGCAATGAATGCACTAGTATGAGTGCTTTAATGCTATTTACAAAGTAAAAAAATTAGGAAAACAAAAACAAGAGAGGGCTAAATAAATTAAAGCATGCCTAAACTAGTATGTAGCCATTACAATTATGTTTATAAATACATTTTAATTGCTTGGAAAATGCTTGCAATGTTAAATGAAGATAATAAAATGAATAAATAACTATACAATATGAATTCAAATATTTGAGTTTCTCTCTATATATTAGATGGATGGATGGATGCAAAGGAAAAAGATTAGACAGAAATAATTATAGTTATTTCTGGTTGGTGAAAATTATGTTATTTTAATTTTTTATACTTTATTTTTAACCAAACACGTATTATACAACTATAAATAAACAGTAAGAAGCTTCTTCATTTATTCATGTTTTTGTTTACTGTAGTAAAATATACATAACAGGCTGGGTGCGGTGGCTCATGCCTGTATTCCTAGCACTTGGGGAGACTGAGGTGGGCGGATCATGAGGTCAGGAGTTCGAGACCAGCCTTACCACCATGGGGAAACCCTGTCTCTACTAAATATTCAAAAATTAGTTGGGCGTGGTGGTGCCCACCTGTAATCCCAGCTACTCGGGAGGCTGAGGCAGGAGAATCTCCTGAACCCGGGAGGCAGAGGTTGCAGTGAGCTGAGATTGCTCCACTGTACTCCGGCCTGCGCAACAGTGAGACTCCGTCTCAAAAAAAAAAAAAAAAAAAAAAAAATATATATATATAAATGTATATACATAAAATTTTTCAGTTTAACCATTTTGAAGCACACATTTCATTGGCATAAAGTACACTCACATTGCTGTGCAACCCTCACCGCCATCCACGTTCAGAAGTCTCTCATCTTCCCAAACAGAAACTCTGTACCCATTAAACTTTTCATTTCCTCCTCCCTGCAGCCCCTGGCCACCACCACTGTTCTCTATGTCTCAATTTGACTGTTCTAGGTAGCTCACATGTGTTGAATCATACAGTATTTGTTCTTCTTTTGTGTCTGCTTATTTCATTTAGCATAATGTCCTCAAGGCTCATCCATCATCCATGTCTGACTCATTTTTTAAGTATTTTAGTGTTACTCCTACAATCTGTTAGGTCACACTGCTAATCTACAGAGATCTCCAACAAGGTCTTTTGTAAGAGACTCGATGGACTCAAATATTTTGTTTACAGTATAAGGGTTCCTCTCACAGAGCCTCTGGAAGGGATGTGAAGAGGCCATATTAACATCACCCACCCATAAATACCTACCTTCACTTTGCCACCAGGAGCAAGTAACTGGAGATGTTGCATTTCTGTATTTAGTCTTGAGAAGCAGTGAGTGGAAGATGAAGCTAGGATTCATTTTGATTAAAAAAAGGTCTGGAAGGAGCTTTGAAAACATGTAATAAAATCCTCTTGCTTAACAGAGGCTCGGGGAACCTAAATGAATTGCTTCCATTTGCACAAGGTGGGCAATACAGTGTCATGATCACAAGTTTCAAGTTTGGCTTCTATTACAGCCCAGCCAGCCTCTGGGAATCACATGGGCCTCGGGAGATTACTGCAGAAATCCAGATCCCAGTGTCCTCATCTACAATATAGGAGCTGCTATGGTTTGAATGTGCCCCCCAAATTTCACATGTTGGAAACTTAATCCCCAATGTGGCAGTATTAAAATCACCTTTAAGAGGTGATTGGATCATGACAGCTCTGCCAGCATGAATAGAATAATCTGTTTATGAATTAGTGGGTTAATGGGTTAATGGGTTATCACAGAAAGGGAGCTGATGTCTTTATAAGAAGAGGAAGAGAGACCTGAGCACATGAGCACACTCAGCCCCCTCGCCGTGTGATGCCACCTCAAGACTCTGCAGAGAGTCCCCACCAGCAAGAATGTCCACACCAGATGCATGCTCTCAACCTGGGACTTCATAATTGTGAGCAGCCTCCATAACTGTAAGCAGTAAGTGCCTTTTCTTTATAAATTATCCAGTTTCAGATATTCTGTTATAAGCAACAGAAAACAGACTAATGCAGGCACCATAACTGTACCCATTTCATACAATTGGACAGGTACAGTTTAAGGTGCCTGAATTAATGCCTGGCAATAATAAATGATCAACAATGGTAAGTGCTATTATTATTATTATTATTATTATTATTATTATTATTATTATTATCAGGGTCTTGCTCTGCCACACAGGCTAGAGTGCAGTGGCAACATCATAGCTCACAGCATCCTTGACCTTCTGGGCCCAAGTGATTCTCCTGCCTCAGGCTCCCAAGTAGCTAGAACTACAGGCATGTGCCACCATGCCTGGCCAAAGTGCTATTATTAAATCAAATGTATTATTATTGTTAGGACAGGAGATTCCATCTACATGAGTTTGTACCTGCGCTGGAGGAATAAGGAAGCAGGCACCAAAATCACTGATTTGCAACTTATATCAGCCTGGGCGATAGAGCTAGACCCTGTCTCAAATAAATACACACACACACACACACACACACACACACACACGTATATATGTATATATATGAAATGAAATATATATATGTATATATATAAAATGTGTGTATATATGTGTGTATGTATATAATGTGTGTATATATATATGTATATAATGAAATGAGTGCAGTTATGGTGCCTGCATTAGTCTGTTTTCTGTTGCTTATAACAGAATATCTGAAACTGGATAATATACATATGTATTATATATAATATACATATATATATATTTGAGACAGGGTCTACCTCTATCGCCCAGGCTGAAGTACAGCAGCATAATCATGGCTCACTGCAGCCTTGACCTGCTGTGCTTAAGCAATCCTCTCACCTCAACTGCCCAAGTAGTTGGAAATACAGACGTACGTCATTATGTCTGGCTGATTTTGTTTTATTTTTCGTAGAGACAAGATCACACTGTGTCAGCCAGGCTGGTCTTGAACCCCTGAGCTCAAGCGATCCACCCGCCTTGGCCTCTCAAAGTACTAGGATTATAGGCATGAGCCACCGTGACCGGGCCCAAGTTACATTTAATGTGAAGGAACAAAAGGTCTACATTTCTGGAACTTTCTGTACATTGTAACTTTCAAGATTAGTCACAATTCCCTTCACAACCCAGATGTGTAACCTTCTACTGCTTGTCCTCCTCCTCCAGAGGTGTCTGTGTGTTCGTAGAGTTTTCTCATCTGTTTCTCCCACTGCAGAAAGATCTCTGTGCTGCTCGGCTCTGGTTGTCTGCCTTGCCTGGCGGAGGGGAGACACCCAGACGGCTTCTCCTTACGCGGTTCTGCCGCCCAAACTCCAAAGCACAGGGAGTGGTCCAATTAAAAACCTGGGCACGTAAGGAAAGGCAAGCATTAAAGGCCAACTCTGTTGTGCTTAAAAAAAGAAGAAGAAGAAAGAGAAACGAAAAAGAATAACAGCATGTAAATATTGTGTTTCGGGTTCTCTCGTGCTAACTAAGGAATATGGACAGCTGTTTTGAATGGGCTTAGCAACTATTCATTTTGAGTGGAACCTCCTTGACAGACTAGAATGAACGAGAAAGAATGCCTTGAGGAGAACCTCCTTATTCAGGCACAGCCCCAGCATTGCTCCTTTTAGCCGTCTGCTGCCTTCCCAGACGTTGTGGGCGAGGCGAGCTGTGCCCGAAGAAGACGCCTCTTTTAGAGGGCATCTGTGTGAGTGCGGACATAGGCAGGCTCAGGCACCAAGTGTACACTTCCAGAGTGTCATTTTCATTCTGAAGCGTTGAAGTGTCTTATTCATTTCTGAAAACATGTGTGCCGGCTTGGCGTCTTGCTCAGGGGGCATGAAACAAATCAGGATGGAGAGGAAAATGACCAGAGCCCACATTTCCTAATTATGTGTTTTCTCTCCCCCATCCCTTCCCATCTCCACTCTTACCCCGCCCTCCTGCAGCCCCGTTAACATGACAGGTTTGGAAAGGTTTTCCCCCTGCACCCTCTTGGCAGTCCCTCTGGGCTCAGGGTTTCTGCGCTGCTTATGAATTCAGGATGCACGGGCTGTGCATCGGTGCTGCTCCCTGGCTTGGCTGAGACCACCTGGCTCTGCCAAGGACTTTGAAACATGCAAGCCGGAAGAGGAAACAATATCTCTGTTGAGAACAACTGCCCTTGGCCTGAATCCGTCAAATAGGATTTATTGGGAAAGGAGGAGGGAAGGCAAGAGGAGGGAGAAAAATATACACAGTATATTAAGTAAACACAAGTCCAGGTATGGCTCAGCATTGCAGGGAATGGCAGTGAAAATAGGAACCTTAGGCCTGTTTTCAACACACAGCCTAATGGAAACTTCTACTTCAAGCCAGATTACAGAGTTTCATCCTCAACAAGTGTGCTGGGCATGATCCCGGGCCTTCTGCAGATGTGGTCTCATTTAACTCTCCCAAAGAACATTGGCAGGGCCATCCCATTATTTTTGATAAAACTGAGACTCGGAAAGTCAATGCGACCACCAAGGCTGCAGCTCCTAGGACTCAGGTCTTCTGGATGTGTGCCCAGTGGTTACCCTGACTCCACCAGAAAAGAAAAAGTAATCACTCTTAAAAAGTATGGCCGGGCACGGTGGCTCACACCTGTAATCCCAGAATTTTGGGAGGCCGAGGCAGGCGGATCACCTGAGGTCAGGAGTTTGAGACCAGCCTGGCCACCATGGCGAAACCTCATCTCTACTAAAAATACAAAAATTAGCAAGGTATAGTGGTGGCAGGTGCCTGTAATCCCAGCTACTCGGGAGACTGAGGCAAGAGAATTGCTTGAGCCTGGGAGGTAGAGGTTGCAGTGAGCCGAGATCGCACCACTGCACTCCAGCCTGGGCGACAGAGTGAGACTCGGTCTCAAAAAAAAAAAAAGATTTACCTGAGGTTATAATTAGCCATGGTAACGTAAATGTTAACGTTAGGGGAAACTGGGTGAGAACTCTCTGCACAGTCTTTGCAACTTCTCTGTAAACCTAAAACTATTCCAAAATAAAAAGTTTATTTTAAACAAATAGGCCGCAATCTGGCAGTATAAACACTTCCAAAAGGGATGCAATACAGATAATGCCTGTCAGCCTGCTATTTTGTCCATCTTTAAATTAGCGTTGAGTAGCACAGGGCCTGCACAGTCAGCGTTTGTTAAGTGCCACCAGGGCTGTGCTGCTCACAGGAAGAAAACCAGAGGGGGCTGTGCAGTGCAGTAATCGGGCCCTGATACAGACTAGGGGGTCACGGGCAGCTTCTCTGAGAAAATAGTATGTACACATTTTAACTTACTGATTTATGAGTGTGCTGATAAGTATATTATATTGTTATGTGTTGTATTAGTCTGCTCTCGCACTACTATAAAGAAATACTTGATATTGCATAGTTTATAAAGAAAAGAGGTTTGATTGGCTTACAGTTCTGTAGGCCATACAGGCAGCATAGTGGCTTCTGCTTCTGGGGAAGCCTCAGGAAACTTACAGTCATGGTGAGGGCAAAGGGGAAGCGGGCATGTCTTACGTGGCTGGAGCAAGAGCAAGAGAGAAACGGGAGGTGCTACACACTTTTAAACAACCAGATCTTGTGATAAGTCACTCACCACCATGAGAACAGCACCAAGAGGATGGTCCTAAACCATTCATGAAGGATCTACCTGCATGATCCAATCACTTCCCACCAGGCCCCACCTCCAACACTGGGAACTACAGTTCAACATGAGATTTGGGTGGGGACATAGATCCAGGCCATTTCACATGTTGAAACTACTTTCAGTGTGTGCTGTGTCTTTTAGCTTTATCATATCTTTGCCATGAAAATACATTTTTTAAAATGACAATTAGAAGCCTCCCTCAGTCTCTAAAATGACAGAGAGACTGTCACTTGGAGTTAGTGTGATTTGGGGGAAGAAGACATTTTGGAGCCAGAAAGATGTGAGTTCAAACCTCAGTGAATGGACTGAGGTGTCCGGCTGCATAATCTTGGATGATTGTTCTGGGTCTCTTAACTTCAGGTTCTTCCTATGTAGAGATAATCATACCTACTTGACAGGCTCATGAACATTAAAATATATAAATAGATGGTATTTACTGATACCTTGTATGTGCTCAGGAAATGAATTAATTGATGAATGATTACATATTATCAAGATTTAAAATTTAAAATTCACTGGGAGCAGTGGCTCATACCTGCACTTCTAGTGACTCTGGAGGCTGAGGTAAGAGGATGGCTTGAGCCCAGGAGTTTGAGGTTGCAGTGAGCTATGATTATGCCATTGCACTCCAGCCTGGGCAACATAGCAACAACTGATCTCTACAAAAAAAAAAAATAATAAAAAATTAGTTGGGCATGGTGGTGCAATCTCGTAAGTTCCTAGCTACTTGGGAGGCTAAGGTGGGAGGATTGCTTAAGCCCAGGAGTTCAAGGCTGCGGTGAGCTATGATTGAACCACTGCATACCAGCCTGGGTGACAAGAGTAAGACCCTGTCTCTGAAAAATAAAAATAAAAATAAATTCACACTAATTTAACAAAAAAAATCAAGCATTGATAAAGGGAAAAAAGTCTACTGGTTATGGTTAAAGAAATTGCACGAATAATTATGGCAAATTCTACAGGTTCTCATCAGTCAGTGTTTTGAGCTGATCTTGAGCACGGTGGGGGGGCATCCAGGCACAAGTATGAGTGTTGGGTATCAAACAGATCTGAAAGCAGCTCATCTCCCCCACAGGTGCTCACTATGAGCAGATCCGGGTTGACACAGGCACTTAGAGCTGTAGGCATCCTGTAGGCTCCCAGTGGCAGGGCTGTGGGAAGTCCCAGTGGGGCAGGCAGAAGTATTTCTATGCCTACAATGGGACTGTGGCTGCGATTTGTCATGAGGCTCTAAAATTCTTCACCCTTGGTCTTCTTCTTCTTCTTCTTCTTCTTCTTTTTTTTTTTGTAGAGATGGGGTCTTGCTATGTTGTCCAGGTTTGTCTCGAATTCCTGGCCTCAAGGGATCCTCCAGACTTGGCCTTCCAAAGTGCTGAGATTACAGGCAAGAACCACAAGTACCCAGCCCACCCTTGGTCATTGAAGGAAGATAGAATGCCAGAGAGTTGTCTAAGGAGGGCCCACCATGACCAGCTGCAGCACCCAGGTATGCTGGAGGGGTAGGCAGCCAGCCTGCCCATGGTGTGGCACATCCCTCGGAGAATCATGTGCCCTTCCACACGGGAGTATGGCATCCTGGAGAGGCATAAAATCTCCTTCTGTTCTTGAAGGGCCAAATTGTCTTTTTTATTAGCCATCTCTATACCCGGCTGTTGTCTTTACTGTCTCATAAAATTAGCCTGACAGCCAAGGAAAGCGAAGGCAGACGCATGGCCTGAATTTATTAGCCTGAATCTGATTCCCCAAACAGCAACCTGGAAGAAATTCTGCCTATCACTCACTCAGATTTCTTTTTTCTCACTCACTCAGTCGTCAGCAGAAAATGCCGTATTGTTGCAGAAGGGAAGCTCACGCCTGGGGCAGCCTCCTCTTCTATAAAACGTGTATATGTGAGGGGTAGGAGGTGGGCAGAGGGTGGACTAGATCAGTGCTTCCCAAAATCTGTCTGAACCTCAATCAGCTGTTTAAAAATACGGATTCCTGGGTCCCGTCTCTAATGTGCTAAGTGAGAGGCTATTCAGGTAGAACCCAGAAATCTGAATTTTTGAAAGCTCCCCTTGATGGTTTTGCTAATCAGTCAAGATTGGGCATCATGGATCTACCAGGTTACTTTGGTCTGGAACATTGTAGATTCTGGAAGCCCAGCTCCTCCCCTAAACCATAGTTGTCAGTCCCATCTCTGTATAAAAACTAGAAATCATTTTCTAACAACCCAGAGAAGCTCTACACTCAAAGGAGTTTGTTTGCCTAAAATGGCTTCAAAATTTTCTCCTCCCCACGGATCAGTTGGCATCAGGGACAACAAACACACCATGGCCGTGTCTATCCGAGGTGTGGCCTGAAGCTTAGGAGCACTGGCATCACCTGGGAACTTGTTAGAAATGCTGATTCTGGGGCCCCATTCCACACCTCCTGAATCACAATCTCCACTTGACCAGGATCCCTGGGCGACCCGAACATGGTAGACCCATCATGGCCAATCTTGACTGATTAGCAAAACCATCAAGGGGAGCTTTCAAAAATTCAGATTTCTGGGTTCTACCTAAATAGCCTCTCACTTAGCATATTAGAGACGGGACCCAGGAATCTGTATTTTTAAAAAGCTGATTGAGGTTCAGACAGATTTTGGGAAGCACTGATCTAGTCCACCCTCTGCCCACCTCCTGCCCCTCACACACACACACAGTCTGAGACAGTGCTGGTGTCGATTACTGCTTCTCAACTGGGCTGCGTGTGAGAATCATCTGGAGAGTTTTTAAAACTACTGATGCTTGAATCCCAAGCCCGGGGATCAGGGAGGATTTTATATTCCCCAGGTGACTCTTAACGAGCAGCAAAGCAACAACAGGATAAATGGTTTAAAATTAAAAGGCAAATGAGCTTTGGGGAAGGAATGTGGAGGGGGTTGTGGCGAGGGGTTCTGTATCTCATCACTGATTTGGCTTTCTTCCTTCATTAAATGGATAAAATCATAAAACAGAGAAAGAAACAAACATTTCTTCCACAAACAGAACTGGCCCTGAAACCCTCCTGAAACTGGCAGACAGGAGGAAAGCAAGGCGGAGGATGCTAGGATATGAACTGTCTCACTGTCATGAGACCATTTCCAGTTTTTCTTGGAGCCTGAGCAGATGAGGCAGCACTTTCGGGGACAGGCTCATCTCTCCCCTGCCTTGGAGCGGGGCATTCCCAAGTCACAGACACTGTGCGAGTACACCCCATGACAGGGAACCTCTCTCTCCCTCTAACGGGAAAGTGCTTCTTCTGCTCTGGCTGAAGCAGATTCTCTTTCTGTCGGAAGCTAAGTATGCATTGTATAGCTATTGGGATATAATAACCATCCATTTTGGAAAAATAACAAAAGGCTTTTATGAAACTCCAATTCTGTGAACTTTGACAAAACTTGATTCCCAATTATATCAAGACTCTCACAAACCTGTTTCATCGAAACTTTCAGAGTTCTTGCCCACCCCCAGAGGCCATCTCCACTGCGTCCAGCCAGATAGAAGAGATAGTTCCAGATCCTTCCATGTGGGCTCATAGAGGGAACTGGGGGCCGGGGGAGGGTGTCAGAGGGCTCAGATTTGACTTGGCTTAGACATGACCCCAGAGATTGCCAGTTTTCTCACCTGGATTCTATCTACCCACTCTGTGGAACGCAGAGCAATTGCACCTGGGTGAAGGTTAGTGAGTCCAAGTGCATGAGGCAGCACTGTGGGCTTTCCCTGAGTCTGAAGAAGCCCGAGGCCTGGTGTTAAGGTCCCTGAGTTCTCAGCCCACCCCAGACCCTGCAGCGCTGTGGGAGATGCTCCTCCCCTGGCTTTGCTTAGAGATGGATCTGAGGTCACCCAGGGACCCACAGCTGCATCCTCCGCAGCGTTCTGACTAACCCTGAGTCAAGTGTTAGGGCTCAGAAAAGCTTCAACAATAAAAATAGCTCCAGGAAAGTGGCAGCTTCAATTCTTCCTGCCTTCGTGTGGGTGAGTGCCTCTTTCCACACCACTCACTGGGAGGCTCTTGGGAAACACATCTGAAACTCCAAATGAAAAGAACGGATCCAGTTAACTCTCCCAGACTTAGGGGTAAAAACTGAAGCTCAGAAGCATCATAATTGTTAAATGATGGCAGCTTGTTCTGGTGGCCTGACCGCCCCTTCTCTGGAACAGCTGGGCTGTACATTGAGTTGGGACATCATCCGCAGAGGACTTTTTAGATGGACTTGAGATGACCAATCCAGAGGAAAAATAGCCGTGACAGCTGAGACCTGGTAGTAGAGCCCAGAGACCCCACAACAGGCTCACGTGACTTGAGGTTGGCTGTAAATGTGAGTACTAGAGAAGGGAGCTGGGCTCACTCTCCGGGCCTCTGCCGTCTGGAGCTGTCCTCCTGGTGCCCTCAGGGTGGCCCTGAGGAAGGTGCTGGGCTTCTGGCTCCAGGGCTCCATCAAGAGCAAAGGAGAGGTGAGGCCTCCAGGCTATTGAGGAAGAACCCTCTGACACCGTGACTCTTTTAGGATTTTCAACCCAGGAAAAGAAAAAAAGAAAAGAATGCTTGTGACAGTATAAGATGCTATTTCAGGACAAGAAACAGTATTTTGGGTGAATCTAAGGGAGTCATTTTGTGAAGTTTCAGACAGAAGCAACAACAACAACAAAAATTTAAACAGAGAGCCCAAGAGGGTTGGCATGGCCTCATCAAGAAGAGGTTTGCATCAGAATCTTCCATAAAAAGCCTGAAAAGCAGCACAAAGTGCGGACCAGAGGGAGAACATGCTGTAGTTATCAGAGCATCCCCTGCTGGCGGCCTTGCCCACCCAGAAAACACATTTGGCTTCAGACACCAAGGATGCAGGGGACAGAGAAAGAGACACAGACAGACAGAAACAGAGAGAAGCTCGGAAAATAACTCTACGCTGTATTCATTCTTACTGAGTGCTTACCATGGAGCAAGATGCTCTACTAGCTCCTGGGACAAAAAGACATTCTAATTTTCATTGCTAAGGGGCAACTTTTTTTTTTTTTTTTTTTCTTGAGACAAGAGTCTCACTCTGTCACCCAGGCTGGAGTGCAGTGCTGCAATCTCGGCTCACTGCAACCTCCACCTCCCATGTTCAAGCAATTATCCTGCCTCAGCTTCCTGAGTAGCTGGGATTACCGGCACTTTTCCGAGTCTCCTTTGCCTTCCACCATGATTGGAAGCTTCCTGACGTCTCTCCAGAAGCAGAGGCTGCTACGCTTCCTGTCCAGCCTGCAGAATCGTGAGCCAGTTAAACCTCTTTTCTTATGCATTACCCAGTCTCAGGTAGTTCTTCACAGCAGTGTGAGAATGAACTAACACAACAGTAGCCGGCCCAGAGTAGCTGTTCATAGTAGTGGACTCTTGGGATTAAAATCACCAGCTAATTTTTGTATTTTTTGTGTGTTTTAGTAGAGATGGGGTTTCGCCATGTTGGCCAGGCTGGTCTTGAACTCTTGACCTCAGGTGATCCACCTGCCTCGGCCTCCCAAAGTGCTGGGATTACAGATGTGAGCCACTGTGCCTGGCCTGCAACTTTTGATTTTAATCCCAAGAGTCCACTATTATGAATAGCTACTCTGGACTAGCTACTATTATGAAACCCATTGCCTCATTTCATCCCCATGACAAAGCTATGAACTGAACTGCACTGGACATTGGATAGGAGCATAGACATTGTGTTAGTTCATTCTCACACTGCTATGAAGAACTACCTGAGACTGGGTAATGCATAAGAAAAGAGGTTTAATTGGCTCACAGTTCTGCAGGCTGGACAGGAAGCATAGCAGCCTCTGCTTCTGGAGAGACCTCAGGAAGCTTCCATCATGGGGGAAGGCAAAGGAGACTCAGGCACATCTCATGGCTAAAGCAGGAGCAAGAGAATGAGAAGGGAGGTGCAACACACTTTTAAATGACCAGATCTCTCAAGAACTCACTCACTATTGCAAGAACAGTACCAAGGAGATGGTACTAAACCATTCCATTCATGAGAACTCCACCCATGATCCAGTCACCTCCCACCAGGCCTCACCTCCAAAACTTGGGATTACAATTGAACATGGAATTTGGATGGGGACACAGTTCCAAGCCATATGAACATTAGAGCTAGATCAGGCTTCAAAGCCAGCCTTGGCCACTTATTTGCTGTGTGGCCTTGGATGATTTGCTTGACCTCTCTGTGGCTCAGTTTCTTCGTCTATAAAATAAAAGTAGTACTCACGTCTACCTTGCGAGATTGTTGTGATGATTACATAAATATATATATAATATATATTTGTACTATATACTAATGTATATTATATATATATATATATATATATATAGCACCTAGAAAAGTGACTGGGATACAGTAAACACCATATAAATTTTGGGTATTGTTATCGTCCCCATTTTACCCATGACAAAATAATCCTAGAGAGGTGAACCACGTGGCTGGGCAGCTGGGCTCTGAGCTCAGGACTCACTGCCTTAAACATCTAGCAGGATTATCCCAAAGAGCTTTGTGACTTGTGAGGTTACTGCCAGTATTGCCTCTTGCAGGAGCGTGTGCAGGGCCTGCTGCTCGCCTTAGGCACCAGCAAGTAATTTATCTGAATGGGGTTCCATGCTGTGGTTATGGACAGACGCCCTGACTCACTGTGACCCATACGGAGATGAGTGGCTGGCTGTGCAGTGGCAACCACAGCATTCCTGCATCCCTAAACGACTGATGTCAGCTTGGCCCTCTGGAACCCAGTGGTCTGTGCCAGCTTTCCAGAACCTTCCTTATGCTCCCCTAGGGAAGATGTTTCTCTGTTGCCTCCGGGTCTTGAAAGTGTTATTTGTAGACATGATTTAAAAAGTACTCACACCTGGGTCCCACTCCTGGCGATTCTGATTTAGCTGGCATGGAGTATGTCCTGAGTATTCATTTTTTCCAACTTATCCAGATGATTTTAATGTGCAGAAAATTTGAGAACCACTGGCCGAAGCAGTCCCCTGATAGAAGATGTGACCACGTCCCTTGCATCCGCTGTCTCCTTCCTAATTCCCACAGGGTTACGTGGCATCTGGAAACTAAGAGACTGGATTTCCTCCCTTGCAGCAAGGTGTGGCTGTGTGATTTATTTTTTTGAGGATGAGATGTGCCTCTTTAGGTACCCCCTCTCTCCTCATTCTTCCGGCAGGTGGAGAGTAGACACAGGATGGGGACTCTAACCCCCATCAGAGAAGAGCCTTTCTCTGGTGATGAGGCAGTGATGTAGATAAAGCCTGCATCCCAAGCCACCCCGAGGATTGGAGTCACCTGCCTGCCCTGGGTTGCCCACCTAATGAGAGAAAAATAACATTTCATCTGTTTGAGCCTCTGTGATTTTAGTTCTCTTTGTTAATACAGCTAAGGTTGTATTCCAGAAAATGACTACTGGATTTTTTTTTTTTTTTTTTTTTTGGAGACAGAGTTTTGCTCTTGTTGCCCAGGCCGGAGTGCAATAGCATGATCTTGGCTCACCACAACCTCCGCCTCCCGGATTCAAGTGATTCTCCTGCCTCAGCCTCCCAAGTAGCTGGGATTACAGGCATGCACCACCACGCCTGGCTAATTTTGTAGTTTTAGTAGAGACAGGGTTTCTTCATGTTGGTCAGGCTGGACTCAAACTCCTGACCTTAGGTGATCCGCCCGACTTGGCCTCCCAAAGTACTGGGATTACAGGTGTGAGCCACTGCGCCCGGCCTACTGTGTTGTTTTTAAGCAGGGTTGAGTGTCACAGTCACCCAAGAAACTTTAAAAATACAGATGGAGCAAGATGGCTCACTAGAGACGCCTGGCATCCATCCTCCCAATAAGAAAGGACCAAGGCAGCAAATAAACAGCTAAGGCTTGACTGGAGTCATACAGGAGAGCACTGAAGTGAATCAGGGGAGTGAAGATGCACCTGTGGTGGTTGGACGTCCAGGAGGACCCGTTGCAGGCACCTGGCCTCTACAGCCCTGGCTCCCCTGCCCAGGTCATTTGAAGTCAGGGGGACTTCCTGTTACAGGTAAAAAGATAAGCAGAAGATCTCCACCAGCCCTCACTGTCACTGCAAACACCTAGAGTCCTTGTTACAGGAGAATCCCATAGTCATCACAAGCCGTGAGTCCAGTTTGAAGGGCTGCTGGGAATCCATGCAGCTGTGTTGAACCAGGCGAGCAGCATAAGATGTGCATGCCCCACCCACTCCATGAGCCAAGCTGCTGCAGCACGGCACCATCTTGAGACCAGAGGCACAACTGGAGAGCACCTGCTTTGGGGGCCAGTAGATACTGCACCTGTCTAGCCCTGGGGCTCCATCTTTATGCCAAGCCCAGGTGGGTGGCTGAACACTACAATCCCAGCTGTGCATAGCTTGGGCCCATGGGCCCAGGATCAGCTGTGACTCTGGTCTGCACAGCAGGAAAAACAACCCCTGCCGTCACACTTCCAACTGGAGGAATAGTCTGCCAGTCCCATCCAGGGTGAACCCACTCTTGAGCCGCCCAAACCGCTGCATGCCCTCCTCCAGGCAGAAGAAGCCCCTGAGCCTCCGAGCAGCTGATATGCCCCTGGGTCAGCAGAGTGGCTACATGCCCATGTTCAAGGCCTGTGAAACAGCCCCACAGAGTCCCCTTGCCCGCGCCCCCCAACACACACACAGATACACCCATGGCCTGCCCAACAGCCTTGTGCCCATAATAAGGGCCTGAGAAACAGTCTCACAAGCTGCCCCTGGCAGGCACCCTCCCAGACCAGCCAACCAGCCAAGAGCCCATTTCCAGACCTAAGAAACAGCCCCATGGGCCAACATTGGTGAGCACACCCCTGAGCCAGCCAGGCAGCCTTGCACCTATGTCCCAGACCTGAGAAACAACCCTGTGGCTGCCCCTGGCAGACAGGCCTCTAACTTGCTGAGCAGCTGTGCTCTCACTCCTGAGCCCAAGGAACAGCCCTACAGACCACCTCTGGCGGGCATGCCCCAGGCCAATTAAGCAGCCCTGCGCCTGCATCCTGAGCCTATGAAACAGCCCCATAGGGCAATCCTTCCCCTGCAGAAATGCCCCCAAGCCAGAGGAACAGCCATGCAGCTGTGTTACAGGCCCAAGAAAAATCTCTGTGTCCACGCCCTGCAGACATTACCCCAGGCCAATTGAACAGCCATGTGCCAATATCCCAAACCTGAAAAACATTTTTTGGGCCACCCGCAGGAGACATACCTCCAGGTCATTCAAGCAGCTGTGTGCATACACCCTGGGCCCAAGGAGCAGGCTGCATCTGGTGGGCATCTGACTGAGCAGCCCTGTGCCTGCATCCAAGACATATGAGATAGCCCCGTGGGCCAAACCCCACAGAAACACCCCCAGGCCAGCCAAGCAGCCATGTGGTTGTGTCCTGGGCCTGAGAAACAATCCCATGGGTCACCCCCAGAAAACACAACTCCAGGCTAGCTGAGCAGCCATATACCTGCATACCAGGCCTGAAAAACAGCTCTGCAGGCTCCTCCTGTGAGGCACACCCCAAGGCTGGCCAAACAACTATTGTCTATGCTCTTGGTCAAAGTAACAGCCCTGTGGCCCCAATCCCAGTGAGCCAGAGCCCAAGTTGGCCAACATACCATATGCACACATGCATGCCCAACCTCAGAAACAGGGCTAATGATCTCACCCCTGGCAAAACTGTACATCATAGCCACAAACTCTGTCAGCCTAGGACACTGAGAAACTTGCAAATGCCACTAGTGTGGCTTACAGCTGAAGAAATGACATGAAGACTACACTACTGCATTGACCTAGAACCAAAGTCAATGCACCCCACTGATACCTGAAGACCTATTCATATGACTAAGTCTTTCCCTATGAAACCTACTCTGTAAAACTGGAAAAGACAACTTTTCCACTAGATGTATAGAAATTATCATAGGGACATATCAATCATGAAAAAGCAAGGAAACATGTCACCTCCAATGGAAAATAATAATTCTCCAGTAACAGACCCCAATCATAAGGAAACATATGAAATGCCAGAAATAGGATTCAAAACAATAGTCTTAAGGAAACTTAATGAGATACAAGAGAATACAGATAAATAATTCAACAAAATCAGAAAAACAATTCATGATTTGAATGAAAAATTTAACAAAACAATAGATATCATATAAAAGAACAAAAACAGAAATTATGCAGCTGAAGAATGTAACGAATGTAATAAAAAAAATACATCAAGATCGTCAATAACATACTAGACCAAGCAGAAGCAAGAATTCCTGAACTTGAAGACAGGTCTTTTGAAATAACATAGGCAGACAAGAAAGAAGAAAAATAATAAAAAAGAATAAAGAAAGCCTATAGGGTTTATGGAATACCAATAAGGGAACAAACATTCATATTGTGGGTGTTCCAGGAGAAGAGAAGGAAAAAAGTGAGGAAAACATATTTAATAAAATAATAGCAGAAAATGTTCCAAGTCTTGTGAGAGAGATGGATGTCTATTTCCAGGAAGCTCATGGAACTCCAAATAGATTCAACACAAATAGGTTCTCTCCAAGGCACATTATATAGTGTGCCCTGTCAAAAGTCAAAGACAAAAAAAAAAAAGGATTTCAGAAGCAGCAAAAAAGAAGTGTCAAGTCACATATGAAGGGATCCCAATTAGACTAACAGCAGATTTCTCAGCAGAAATCTTACAGGCTGGGAGATAATAGGATGATATATTCAAAGTATTTAAAGAAAAAAAAAAGACCCTGACAGCCAATAATATTATGTGCCAGCCAAGAATATTATATGCTATTCTGAAGGATAGCAAAACTATCCTTCAGAAGTGAAGGAGAAATGAAATCTTTCACAGACAAACAAAAACTAAGGAAATTCATCACCACTAGACTGGCCTTACAAGAAATACTCGAGGGAGTCTTACATTTCAAGGTGAAGAGATGATAAACCACCATTATGAAAACAGGTGAAACTATAAATCTCACTGGTAGAGCTGATACACAAAGGAGAAAGAGAAACAAAACATCTTATCACTGCAGTAAACCACCCAACTGCAAAAATAAACAATAAGAGAGGAAGTAAGGAACAAAGGATATATAAAACAACCAGAAAGTAATCAACAAGATTAAAAGAGTTAAGTACTCATCTATTGATAATAACCTTGAATGAAAATGGGTTAAATTCCCCATTTAAAAGATATAGACTGGCCAGACGCAGTGGCTCCCTGTAATCTCAGCACTTTGGGAGGCCAAGGTGTGTGGATCACCTGAGGTCAGGAGTTTGAGACCAGCCTGACCAACATGGTGAAAACCCATCTCTACTAAAAATACAAAATTAGTCAGGTATGGTGGCGCATGCCTGTAATCTCAGCTACTTGGGAGGGTAAGGAAGGAGAATTCGCTTGAACCTGGGAGGCGGAGGTTGCAGTGAGCCGAGATTGCACCACTGCACTCCAGCCTGGTGACAGAGCGAGACTCCATCTCAAAAAACAAACAAACAAAGAAAATAAACAAAAAGTCAGATTTAAATTGCACCATAGACCAAATGGACCTAACAAACATTTACAGAACTTTTCACCCAACACCTGCAAAATACATTCTTTTCATTAGCACAAGGAACATTCTCCAGGAATGACTATATGTTAGGACACAAATAAGTCTCAAAAAGTTTTTAAAACTCAAAATCATATCAAGTATCTCATTTGACTACAATAAAATAGAATTAGTTATCAATAACAGGAGGAACATTCAAAACTACATAAATACATAGAAATTAAATCAATGCTTCTGAAAAACCAATGGGTGAAGAAAAAAATTGGGAATAAAATTTTATAGCTGAGAAGAGACTCCATCCTAACTCATTCTGTGAAGCCAGCATCAACCAGATATCAAAACCTGTCAAAGACAAAATGAAAAAAGAAAACTACAGGCCAATATCCCTGAATCCCTGATGAAGATAGACACAAAAATTTTTAACAAAATACTAGCAAACCAAATTCAACAGCACATCAAAAAGTTAATTCACAAAGATCAAGTAGGCTTCATTCCTGGGATGGAAGGTTGGTTCAACAAATGCAAATCAATAAATATCAATAAATGTGATTCACCACATAAGACAGTTAAAAACAGAAACCATATGATCATCTCAATAGACACAAAAACATTTTTGATAAAATCCAACATCCCTTCATGACAAAAACCCTCAAGAAACTAGAAATCTAAGGAACATAACTCAAAATAACAAGAGCCACATATGACAAACCCACAGCCAACATCATACTGAACGGGCAAAAACCGGAAGCATTTCCAATGAGAACTGGAACAAGACAAGGATACCCATTCTCACCACGCCTATTCAACATAGTACTGGAAGTCCCAGCCAGAGCAATCAGGCAAAAGAAAGAAATAAAAGGCATTCAGAAAGGAATGGAAAAAGTCAAACTATCTCTCTTCATGGATGACAGGAATTCTATTCTTAGAAAGCCCTGAAGACTCCACCAAAAGGCTCCTGGAACTGATGAACAACTTCAGTAAAGTTTCGAGATACAAAAGTCAACCTACAAAAATCAGTAGCATTTCTATACACCAATAATGTTTAAGCTGAGAGTCAAATCGAGAATGCAATCTCATTTACAATAGCAAGAAAAAGAATACACCTAACCAAGGAGGTAACAGATCTCTACAAGGAAAACTACAAAACACTACTCAAGGAAATCAGAGATGACACAAACAAATGGAAAAATATTCCATACTCATGGATTGGAAGAATCACTATCCGTAAAATGACCATACTGCCCAAAGCAATCTATAAATTCAATGCCATTCCTATCAAACTACCAACATCATTTTTTCACAGAACCAGAAAAAACTATTCTAAAATTCATATGGAGCCAAAAAAGAACCCAAATAGCCAAAGCAATCCTAAGCAAAAAGAACAAAGCTAGAGGCATCACATTACCTAACTTCAAACGATACTATAAGGCCAAAGTAACCAAAACAGCAGGTACAGGTACAAAAACAGACACATAGACCAAAAAACAGAATAGAGAATCCAGAAATAAAGCTACACACCTACAGCCATCTGGTCTTCAACAAAGTTGACCAAAACAAGCAATGGGGAAAGGACTCCCTGTTCAAAAACTGGTGCTGGGATAGCTGGCTAGCCATATGCAAAAAAAATAAAAAAATAAACAAATAAACTGAACTCCTACCTTTTACCATATACAAAAATTATCTCAAGATGTATTAAATATTTAAATGTAAGAACTCAAACTATAAGAATCCTAGAAGAAGATCTAGAAAACACCATCCTGAACATTGGGAGAAAATTTATAACTAAATCCTCAAAAGCAATTGCAATGAAAACTAAAATTGACAAGTGAGACCTAATTAAACTAAAGAGCTTCTGCACAGCAAAAGAAATTGTCAACAGAGTAAACAAACAACCTACAGAATGGGAGAAAATATTCATAAACTATGCATCTAACAAAGGCCTAATATCCAGAATCCATAAGCAACTTACTTAAACAAGCCGAAACCAAATAATCCTATTAAAAAATGGGCAAAAGACATGAATTTCTCAAAAGGAGACATACAAGGGGCCAACAATCATATGAAAAAAATGCTCTACATCACTAATCATCAAAGAAATGCAAATCAAAGCCACAATAAGATACGATCTCACACCAGTTAGAAAGCCATTATTAAAGAGTCAAAAACAAAACAAAACAAAACAAAACAAAACAGATGTTGGCAAGGCTGTGGAGAACACGGAACGCTTATACACTGTTGGTGGGAATGTAAATTAGTTCAGCCACCGTGGAAAGCAATTTGAAGTTTTCCCAAAGAACTTAAAACAGAGCTATCATTTGATCCAGAAATACCATTACTGGGTAGATATCCAAAGGAAAACAGATTGTTCTACCAAAAAGACACATGTACTTGCATGTTCATTACGGTACTATTCACAAAAGCAAAGATATGGAATCAACGTAGGTACCCATCAGTGGTGGAACGGATAAAGATAAGATGGTACGTATACACCATGACACAGCCACAAAAAATGATGAAATCACGTCATTTGGATGCATGGATGCAGCTTGAGGTCATTATCCTAAGTGAATTAACCTAGGAACAGAACACGGGCTATCATACGTTCTCATTTACAAGTGAGAGCTCAACATTATGTATTCATGGACATAGAAACTGGGGACTACTAGAAACGGGAGGGAGGGAGGGAGGTGGCAAGGGTTGAAAAACTATTAGGTACTATGCTCAGTACCTGGGTGATGTGATCATTTGTACCCCAGACCTCAGCATCACCCAGTATACAAACATGGACAGGTACCTTCTGAATCTAAAATAAAAGTTGAAAAAATATAAAATAAAATAAAATAATTTTTCAAAGTTTTGGCATGTGAGAATTAATACTCTTAGTTTTATTTGGAAATGTAACATTTATATTCCAGTGTAAGGTGAAAAATATATGCACAAAAGTACATTCAATAATTTTAAATATAATGCCTTTTGTATCATATAATTTTTCCTTTCTGTGAAATTTACAAATCTTGTTTGAAGAAAACAATGTCAAAATTATGTTACAAGTCATTGAATTATACAATTCAAATTGGTGAATTTTAATGTATATAAACTATACTTTAATAAAGTTGGTTAAAAATTGAAAAACAATTTAAAAATTAAAACAAATTTTAAAGGATAAAATTTTTTAGATCCTTGAAATGAATGAAAATAGAAACACAACATACCAAAACCTATGGGCACAACATAAATGGTATTAACAGACAAACGTATAGTAATAAACGCCTACATCAAAAAACTAGAAAGATTTCAAGTAAACAAGCTCCAGGAGCTAGAAAAGCAAGAACAAACAAAACCAAAAATTAGTAGACGAAAAGAAATAATAAATATCAGAGAAGAAATAAAGAAAATTGAGACAAAAAAATTACAAAAGATAATGTAACAAAAAGTTGATTTTCTGAAAAAATAAAATTGACAAACCATTAACTAGACTACACAGGGGAAACACTTCAGGACTTTGGTCTGGAAAAAGAGTTTATGAATAAGACCTCAAAAGCAAAAGCATAGGCAACTAAGGCAAAAATAAACAAGTGGGATTATATCAAACAAAAAAGCTTCTACACAGCAAAGGAAATAATCAACAGAAGGAAAAGATGACCTACAGAATGGAAGAAAACATTTGCAAACTGTTCATGTGACAGGGGATTAATATCAGAATATACAAGGAGCTCAAACCTCTCAACCACCAAAAAAATAGCAACAACAATCTGATGGGCACATGATCTGAACAGACATATCTCAAAAGAAAACATACCAATGACCAACAGACATATGAACAAATACTCAGCATCACTAATCATCAAGGAAATGCAGATCAAAACTATAATGAGATTTCATCTTATCCTAGTTAGAATAACTATTATCAAAAAGACAAAAAATAACAAATGTTGGTGAAGATGTGGGGAAAAGAGAAGGGCAAGAAATGTAAACTAGTACAGCCACCATGGAGAACAGTGTGGAGGCTCCTCAAAAACCTACAAATAGAACTACCGTATGATCCAGCAATCTCACTACCAGGGATTTATCAGAAGGGAAGGAAATCAGTATATCAAAGAGACATCTGCACCCCATGTTTATTGCAGAACTATTCACTATAGCCAAGATATGGAATCAACCTAGATGTCCAACAATAGATGAATGGATAAAGAAAATGTGGCATATATGCACCATGGAATAATATTTGGTCATAAAAAAGGAGTGAAATCCTGTCATTCACGACAAAGTGGATGAAACTGAAGGATATTTTGTTAGGTGAAATAAGCCCAGAACAGAAAGTTAAACACTGCATGTTCTCACGCATGTGTAGAAGCTAAAAATAATTGCTCTCATAGCGGTAAAAAGTAGAATAGCGGATAGGAGAGGCTGGGAAGAGTAGTGGGAGGGAGGCAAAGGGAGTGATTTGTTAAAGGATACAAAGTCACGGCTAGACAGGAAGAATAAATTCTAGTGTTCTGTACCACAGTAGGATGACTATAATTAACGATAATACATAGTTTCAGATAGCTAGAAGGAGGATATTAAATGTTCCTAACACAAAGAAATGGTAAATGTTTGAGATGATGGATATGCTAATTACCCTGATCTGATCACTCTACCTTATATGTATTGAAACATCACTTTGTACCCCCGTGAATATATATAATTATTACTTGTCAATTAAAACAATAAAAATTTTTTAAAAATACAGATACCCAAGACCCACCAGAGACTTAGCACATCAAAATCTCTGGGAATGGGCAAGGGCATTTTAAAGCTCCACGGGCGATGTAAGGCCCTACCTGATGAAGATCCGCTAAGAGAAACAGCCAAGATAGTTTGTTCCACTGGTCAGACGCCCCAGAGCTCAGGTCCCTGGGAGGGTCTTCAACTAGGTAGGCAGCCCAGCCAGGTGCACCCTCCCTTTGCAGGGTTCCTGGAGCACATCTGTCCCCTCTGATTGTCCAGCATTCAGCCCTTCCTGGATGGCGTTGATAGCACCTTGTTGTCTTGTGTTGTTCTCTCTGACTGAGCTTCAATTTGCATGCAGCAACTGTGTCTTGCCCCTTCTGTGTCCCCAGCAGCACCTAGCCTGACTCTGGGCCCACCAGAGGAACTCAGTGTGCATTTGCCGATTGATTCCAGTAAGCCAAGAAATGAAGGGCCACAAGGAAAGAGAGAGGGACCAATGAGAAGTCCCCATTTCCTCAGCCTTCCAGCAGCAAGACATAGCTGACAAAGTGAGTTGTTCTCAAAAGGCTGATATTTTGAATCAGAAAAGAAGGCTTGCAAAATGCATATTTACAAATGTCCTTCTTTTAGCATGAAAGGTTGCTATGGAGACCTGTGACGGTGACACGAATTTCTGGCTTAAGACGGTGTTGGGCTCCTTGTATTAAGCCAGGTAGGTTGCTGGGCTTGTGCTGCTGCAGCTGCAGAGGCTGGATGGCACCCACAAGTGCCTGGGGACACAGGAAGAGAAATCCCTCAACGTGGAAAGTCTTCCAGCACTAAGGATGCTATGTTCTCTTCCAAAATGGATAATTAGTCAAGGCAAGCAGCATCTGTCTCCCAAGACCAAATCCTCTTTATTTCAAAGCCTTCACATATGTGAACCACCCCAACCCCAATCTGGCTTTGGCTGGCAGGACTTGGCCTTTAGATTACACAAACTCAGTTCATCCTCCAGATTCCAGACAAGCAGGAGGAGCTCCCAAGGCCTTTATCCAATGCCTGTGTCTGCTCATAAAAACAATCCAATTATCAAGACCGTTGGCACTGCTGCTGCTTTACAGGAGGCATACAGGATGCTAATAATTGCACCATCTAATTGCATGGAGCCCTTTCCTAAACCGTAAAGATCTACACCAAGCTCCAATTGAACTACATTTTCTCAATTCACATGCCAAAGACAAAACAAGAGTAATCGTGCAGAGATCATATCAAGGAAGAAAATATTGCTTTGAACCCCATGTGAATGCTTCCTCAGCTCTGAAGCCCAGACTATCTGCTTTTAGGGCTGATGGCAGAGTCTTTGAATGAGCCCTGAGTAGGGGTGTGGAAGTGAGCCTCGCCTAGTGCTGTGTCATTTGACTGTAATACAAGTTTCTCCAGAATAAGGACTAGGTCTTTTATTTTGCTTTTGTCTCATATAGGAAACTGGTTGGTATACTCAGTGACATATTGCTTGGACTTTGGGACATCTTCCCTTCTGAGAATGTGAACTGGTGTCTCAGTGTGTGTGAGGACTTGACATCTCTCTGCCTGTCCATGTAGTATCCTTCTACTATCAAAGAGTGCACACTGCTTTCAGGACACAGAGGGATACAGCAAAGCAGCCATCCCATAGACTGTGCCCTCAGGGCCTATTAATGCCTATTTCTTCAAGTGTTGTATAAGAGCTCTTCTGCTTTTCTTGCCTAACAGAAATTAAGGTAGATTAAGAGGTGTATGGGTTGAGAACTAGCATGAAACACTGAATTGATCCAAAGAGACTAACTGGAAATGCCTGGAATAGATGACTTCACTCTAGCCTCTCCTGCTACCCCACCTCCCACTTACCCTAATTGATATTTGAGTGTTTTGTAATGACAAAGCCCCACACTGTTGCTGAGGAGAACTGCTAACACTCACTCGTGCTTCTTCAAAGGTGCTTGTCCCTTGTGGTTGAGAATCGTGAATCAGTTGAGCACCTTCTCAGTTGAGGAAGACAAGAAAGAAGAGAATGCCCAAGGTGAGCTTTAATGCAGAGGGCAGCTCAGCAACCACCACTTATTCTTCACTGAACCCAGAATAGAATAAGGCAAGTTCTAACAGAATTAGGCAAGGTTGGCTGGGCACCGTGGCTCACGCCTGTAATCCCAGCACTTTGGGAGGCCAAGGTAGGTGGATCACCTGAAGTCAGGAGTTTAACGCCAGCCTGGCCAACATGGTGAAACCCCATCTCTACCAAAAAATACAAAAAATTAGCTGGATATGGTGTTGCACGCCTGTAGTCTCAGCTACTCAGGAGAATGAGGTAGGAGAATCGCTTGAACCTGGGAGGCAGAGGTTGCAGTGAGCCAAGAGCCAAGATGGCACCACTGCACTCCAGCCTGGGTGACAGAGTGAGAACCTGTCTTTTTAAAAAAAAAACAAAAACAAAAAACAGAATTAGGCAAGACTAAAGGCAGAAAGCAGCTCATGCTTCTCAGGACCATGACTTTGGACTGGGCCACTTGGAAGTACCTTTGAATGATGTCTCAATCCATTGACACTTGGCTCCATGCATGCATGCTCACTGGGTGCAGAGGCTTTACCATCACTGCACCTGATGTCCTGCTTCCCCAGAAGCTTGCTCTGTCCCAGCAGCAGTTTCTAATAATGTCCCTGAATTAGCCAATGTTTCATTTTCCGAAATGGCAGCCATTTTTGTTGACTCTAGGTAATAACCCTGCCAGGAAATTTCTTAGCACTGTATGCCTGCGGCTAACCCAGATCCCACTGGTGGAATCCTGCTCATGGGCTTGATGGACCCAATCACAGCCTTGGCTTCTGTCTTGGGGGTTGGGGTAGTGAGATTGGGAGCATAACTAAAAAAGCTCTAGGATCTCACAGGCGTGGAAATCAGATCTGAGCTCCACCACTTGCTACTTGTGTGACCGCTAAGTCTCAGTTTCTTATGTATGAAGTGGGAATAGCAATAGCTCCTATCTCATAGGATTCTTGTGAAGATTAAATAAAATACTACATAGATGGTGATTAGCCCAGTTCCTTGCCCATACTAATACTATTATTAATAATAATAATAATTTTAATATTCTGGTGCACAGAGTTTGATTGATCAAAATTTGTCATTCATGAAACACTGTCACCATTGCTCCTTCCTTGTCCCCATCCCCTGGCACCTTCACCCCAGAGCGACCATTTTTACCTACCATACTTATTCATTCCTTTGTTTTGTTTCCTATGGTTGCTTTAAAAAAAAAAAAATATATATATATATATATATATATATATATATTCACCTATGCAATATGTTACTTAGTTTTGCTTTGTTTTTGAACTTTATAAAGAGAGTATCAGGCTCTATGTAGTTATCTGGGACTTGCTTTTTTCACTCAATGTTACCAACTAATGATATGGTAATGTTACCAACATTCATCTGTGTTGATGAATGTGACTATGATTCATTCATTGTCCATTGTTGCATAATATTCTCACATGTAACTACAGCACAATAAATATATTCATTCTCCTATTCTTGGGCACTTGGGGTTTTTTCGTAAATAGTTATATTGAGTTATAATTCAAATATCACACAAGTCATCTATTTAAAGTGTACACATTCAATGGCTTTGAGGATATTCATGAAGTGGAGTAACCATCACGACAATCAATTTTAGAACATTTGCATCAACCCCAATAAGAAATCTCATGTATCCATTAGCAGTAACTCCCCTCCTTTCCGCAATTCCTTCAGCCCCTGACAACCTACTTTCTCTCTAATGTACTTTCTGTCTCTACAGATTTTTCTATTCTGGACATTTCACATCAATGGAATTCTATACGATGTGGCCTTTGTGACTGGCTTCCTTCACTCTGCAGAATATTTTCAAGGCTCCATATTGGAGGATGTGTCAGCACTTAACTGTATTGCCAAGTAATTTCCTGCATTTTACTTATCTGTTCCTTTGTTTATGGACATTTGAGTTATTTGTTTATAGTTTTCTGCACTTACTAACAGTGTTATTATGAACATCAGACCACATTATTCCCTGGGCACACGTGCAAGAGTTTCTCTAGGGTATATTCTTGGAGCTGTTGAACTGTAAGGAAGGCAAACCTTCAACTCTACAAGATCGTGCCAAATTACTTCCCAAAACATTTTGACAGTTTACACTCTCCCCAGCAATATAAAATATATCACTGACCCACACATTACTAATATTTGGCACAGCCAGAATGTCCAGTTTTCGTAAAGCTTGTTTACTTTTTTAAAATTTATTTTAAATGATCAAGCCACTGCTCTACATTTGACCCATTACCTGATAATGAGATTCTAATGGAGATCTGGACAGAAACGGCTGCTTGCTCGATGGCTTCCTCCATAATTAGCAGCTCATCTCTGTAATAGTTCTAGCTTTTACTTCCTGACCCAGAATTTTGATGTTACTGTTTATAGCACTGTGCTTTCTTCCCAGATGGGCTCTATGTTCCATCTACTGGCTGGTCCCAGAGTCTCATTCTACCTCTTCCCAGGCAGAGAGGAGACAGGGCTGTCCCGTATCTTTGATCTTGGTAATACACAGCCCCACGTACACACACATGTGTGCGTGCACACACACACATCATACACACAAACACATTCATACCCTGAGCCTCCAGCCACATCTAAACAGGAGGATGAGAGCAAGCAGGAAGCCATTTTGATGGTGTCAAACCCAGAGAGAAACCCCACTTCATTTGAATGGCTCATCCTATGAATGCCAGAAAAGGAGGGCACTCTCAGGGTTTGCTTTTGTACCGTCTGTCAATTTCCAGGCCATCAAATTCAAGTTATGGTGAATGTGCTTGTAATTCCCATGCACTGAATTCTCTCCAGAACCTCATTTTATTTACTTACTGTCTTTCCCATTAATTAAATTTCAATAGCATTTTCCCTCCAGAGGGCCCTACAAATGACTTCTATAATAAACACTTCATGAAAAGACTAACTCTGAAAGTCAGTAGAGCCAATAGAAGCAGAAGAGAGACTGTGAAGAACAAAGGGACTTGGGGAAGGGGGCTTTTAGGATGGCAGTGGACGAGTAAGTTCTCGCCTTGCACCTGCCCCTGGAGAAGGGACATGCGGCTCAGTTGGGTGTGGTCAGCAAACCCCTCCAGCTCATAGCTTCTTCAGGGCCAAGGGCACCTTGCCTCTGATCTTGCTCACATCCAGTGACTGAATGAGGAGCTGGTCTCAAAGCCTGCCCCTTCAGCCTAGCTCCTTGGGTTAGCCAAGGCTCGGCCAGGCCTGCACTGCTGTTTTCTCGAGCTGTCCTAGTTGCTCCTGCTCCCTCTTGCAGAGGTTGACCCCTACTCAACATCTTGCACCCCAACTGTTTCCACGTTGGTTTCTGGAGAATCTATGTTTGTGTGACTACATTATGAACTATTTAGGGAATCTCAAATTGTTCTACTTAGCTTTTGCAATTTTTTTTTCAAATATAAATAGTACTGAAATTCATATCCTTATGAACGTCTTTCTCACATCCTAAGATAGAAGGTATCCTCAGAGCTAATTCCTAAAATGGACTGGGTCAAAATGTTAGGCACATTTTAAGGCTTTTAATGCTTATTTGCAAATTGCCTTCAGAAATGTCAAGCCAATTACCACTCCCTGCAAAAATATATGATAGTGTAGGAGAGTCTATGTCTCTGAGTCTACAATGACATTTCTTTTTTTCTGTTTTTTTTTTTTTTTTTTTTTTTTTTGAGATAGAGTCTCGCTCTGTTGCCCAGGCTGGAGTGCAGTGGTGCGATCTCAGCTCACTGCAACCTCTGCCTCCTGGGTTCAAGTGATTCTTCTGTCTCAGCCTCCCAAGTAGCTGGGATTACAGGCACCCACCACCATGCCAGGCTAATTTTTGTATTTTTAGTAGAGACAGGATTTCACCGTGTTGGCCATGCTGGTCTTGAACTCCTAACCTCAAGTGATCCTCTCGCTTTGGCCTCCCAAAGTGCTGGAATTATAGGCATGAGCCACCACGCCCGGCGGATGATGGCATTTCATGTTTGTAAAATTGTTCCATGCGCATGGAGATGGTTATATTATTTTTGTTTTAGTTTTTATTTCTTTGATTACTTGTAAAACTGAATGTTTTTTGTAAGTGGGAAGCAGCAAAAGGCTGTGTAAGATAAGAAGGAAGGTAGAGGTATAGGAAAAGAAAAGAAAAACAATGTTTCAAGAAGAACAAATTTTTTAACAGTTTTATTAAGGTAAACTTGACCTATAATAAACCACATATATTTAAGGTATACAATTCGGTAAGTTTTGAAATATGGACATACCTGTGAGGCCATCACAAAAATTGAGATACTGAATATATCTATGGCCCACTAAAGCTTCCCCCATCTGTTTGTAATCTTACCCTATCATTCACCACTTCCACCCCACCCACCACTCCCAGGCAACTACTGTTCTGTTTTTTGTCACTATGGATTAGGTTTCATTTTCAAGCATTTTATTTAAAAGAACTCTATACTGCTGATTATACTTTTGTCTGACTTATTTTACTCACATAAATATTTTATAATTCATCCATGTTGTTGCATGAATCAACAATTCATTCCTTTTTATTGCTGAGAAGTATTATTTTGTATGGATATACCACAATTTGTTTATCCATTCACATCCTGATGGACATTTGCGTTATTTCCATTTTTGGCTATTACTAAAAAGTTAGTGTATACATTCATGTTACTGAGTGTGCATGGATGTATGCTTTGATTTCTCTTGGGCAAGTAGAGTGGCATGTCTGTGTCCCGTTGTTTCAGGTAGGAAGGTTAATCTTTTGACAAGAAGCCTATTTGACCTCTTTTTTTTTTAGACAAAGTTTCACTCTGTCACCCAGGCTGGAGTGCAGTGGTGCGATCTTGGCTCACTGCAACCTCTGCCTCCCAGGTTCAAGCAATTCTGCTGCCTCAGCCTCCTGAGTAGCTGGGACTACAGGCATGTGCCACCATGCCCAGCTAATTTTTTTGTATTTTTAGTAGAGACAGAGTTTCACCGTGTTAGCCAGGATGGTCTTGATCTCCTGACCTCATGAATCGCCTGCCTCGGCCTCCCAAAGTGCTGGGATTACAGTCATGAACCACCACACCCAACCCATTTGACCAATTTTTAGAGCTCATGTTGTAAGACAGATACATTGAAGATAGGGTACCTTGGCTCTGATGCTGAACATTTTTTAACTGTTTACATTTTCATTTCTTCTTTTTCTTTTCCACCACTATGAATTTAACCCTTTTCCTTTCCAACAGCTGAATATGGATATTCAGCTGTTGCCCTTGCAAAGGAATAGAGTTGTTCCCCTTGCAGTAGCAGCCTTCAGCCTCAGAGATTTTTTTTACAGTCTTAGGGTAGAAGCAGAAGTGGGCCAGGCTAGAAGCTTCAGGAAGGATCCCCCAAATCTCCAGGCTAGATCACATTAAAACATTGTTGGCCATGGAGACGCAGTCCTCACTGAAGCCAGTTCTGTGGCTGGGGCTGAATATCCTGACTTCTGCCCTCCTAAAACTTATGCCGTGAGACTGTCCTGGATACACAGGTATGTGTTTGAAGCTGGAGGAAGACTCTGAGGTTTGCCAGTGGGCCTGTCAACTGACTGGGGCAGGTCCAAGACACCGGGATTCCAGGATCAATTCTAGGGCTCACTTTGGCCTTGGCTGCTGTGCCCTCCTGCCCTTCAGTGAATTCCTCATCAGTCTAGGTTTCAACTATGAGTGAAACTCTGAGTAGTTTTAACATAGCAGCCAGGGATTTGAAAGTATCTTTGTCTTGTGAGCCTGATGTCCAAGGCCCATCATCCCGCCTGGCATGACAGACTTTCCTCCATTCCACACCACTCACTAACCACCAGGCCCCACTGCCACTCTGTGGCAGGCCCTGCTCAAAGCATGACGTTCTTTCAGCCTCCTTGCATCCTGTAAGACATAGCTATATTATCTACTACATAGTTAAGGAAACTGGGCCTCAAAACGGTTAAATCACTTGCCCAACATAATTTAGTAGTGGCAGAGGCAGGATTTAAAACTCAGCCTAAAGTTGCAGGGAAGGAAACAACTTTTTCCCCTATTCTCCTAGATCCTCCAGCTGGGATCTGCAAATTAGACTGAGAAAGACAGATCAACAAGAAAACGCAAACAAGAGTGTGTTAACACATGAAGTGCACATACATGCAGGAGAGACTCAGTGACGGGTAACTCTAAGGAATGGTTAGAACTTGGGCTTATATGTAACCGCCCAACGTGTTCACCTTGCCCACTGTCTGGACAGAGCTGATTTATCAAGGCATAAGAATTGCAATAGTGACAGAGTTGGCCGGGCGCGGTGGCTCACGCCTGTAATCCCAGCACTTTGGGAGGCCGAGGCGGGCGGATCACGAGGTCAGGAGATCGAGACCATCCTGGCTAACACGGTGAAACCCCGTCTCTACTAAAAATACAAAAAATTAGCCGGGCGTGGTGGTGGGCGCCTGTAATCCCAGCTACTCGGGAGGCTGAGGCAGGAGAATGGCATGAACCCAAGAGGCGGAGCTTGCAGTGAGCCGGGATAGCGCCACTGCAGTCCAGCTTGGGCGAAAGAGTGAGACTCCGTCTCAAAAAAAAAAAAAAAAATAGTGACAGAGTTATTCACGCAGAGCCGGCTGTGTAGGAGACTGGAGTTTTATTATTACTCAAATCAGTCTCCCCAAGCGTTTGGGGATCAGAGTTCTTAAGGATAATTTGGTGGGCTGATTGGTTGGGTAGGAGATGAAATTATAGGGAGTTAAAGCTGTCCTCTTGCTCTGAGTCTGTTTCTGAGTGGGGGCAACATGATCAGAAGAGCCAGGTTATTGATCTGGGTGGTACCAGCCGATCCATCAAGTGCAATATCTCAAACACTGATCTTAGGTTTTACAATAGTGATGTTATCCCTAGGAGCAATTTGGGGAGGGTCAGAATTTTGTATCCTCCAGAGGCATAACTCTTAAACCATAATTTATAATCTTTCAACTAATTTGTTAGTCCTACAAAGGCAGGCTAGTCTTCAGGCAAGAAAGGGGTTTGTTTTGAAAAAAGGCTATTATTGTCTTTGTTTTAAACAATAAACTAAAAACTAAGTTCCTCCCAAAGTTAGTCCAGCCTACGCCCAGGAATGAACAAGGACAGCTTGAAGATTAGATGCAAGATGGAGTTGGTTAGGTCAGATCTCTTTCACTGTCTCAGTTACAATTTTGCAATGGTGGTTTCATATATAACAGTTTAATAAAAAATACAATAAATTGGTAGAAAAGTGACAAGATAAAGGAAAAATGATTTATGCTTTAGGGACAGCAAACAGTAACAAAGTAACTAGATAAGGGAAACTAATGAAAAATAAGGGTTGTTTTAGCCAGTTTGTTTTGTAGATTCCTCTGCTGCTGTATCTGGGTATTGCCTCCAGTGATTAAGAATCACTGATTAAAATTGTCCTGCCCTTCCTGGTAGAAAAGGGGAGGGCAGAAATTTTGTCTTTTGTCTCCTTCTTTTCAATTTCCTTCCACTCAAAATAATTATTATATCAAAGTGGCATATTTTGGGATGGCATACTCTGAATCCCTCATAAGTAATAATGACGGAGAATTTTTCAGAATGAACAACAAGCACCAAACCAAAGAACCAGGAAGCTTAAAGAATACTAACCAGGATTAATGCCAAAAACTATGCCTAGGCATATTACATTCAAACTGCAGAAAACCAAAGACAAGGAAAAAATCTTGAAAAAAGCCAGAGGGAGAAAAAGAAACAGAGGAGCAAAGGTAAGAATTACATTGGATTTCTCATCAGAAACCATGAAAGCAAGAAGAAAACTTGGTGAAATATTTAAAGTATTGATCGTATCCAGTGAAATTATCCTTCAAAAGTAAAAGAGAAATAAAGACTTTCTCAGGCAAACAAAAATTGAGAGAATTTGTTGCCAGTAGACCTACCTTGCAGGAAATATTAAAAGTTTTTCAGAGAGAAGGAAAATTATACAGGCCAAAAACTCAGATCTACATAAAGAAAGGAAGAGTGTCAGAGAAGGAATAAATGAAGGCACAGATGATTGTAGCATATAATTAAGTGAACTGAATGACAGAAATGTTATGAGTTGGGAAGGAGGAATTGGGATAGTCTGTTTTAAGGTAACTGAACTGTCCATGAAACAATGTAGTATTACTTGAAAGTGAACTTAGATTCATTGTAAACATACATTGTGAACTCTACGGTAACCACTTACAAAAAAATTAAAAGACATATAATTGATTTTCTAAGATAGAAAAGACAACAGAATCATATAAAAGGCTGCATTAAAAACATAAGCCTATTGAGTTTTAGCTCTTATTAACACAAAAGGCACAATCAATGAAAGAAAAGATTGTAAGTTGGACTTTATTAAAACTAAACACTTCTGCTCTACAAAATATGCTGTTAAGAGAATGAAAAGACAAGCCACAGATTTGGAGAAAACATTTGCAAGACACATATCTGATAAAAGACTTGTATCCAGAATATACAATTAACTCTTTAAGCTTTATAATAAGACACAAGCAATCTAATTTTAAAATAACCAAAAGATCTAAATAGACACCTCACCAAAGAAGCTATACAGATGGCAAGTAAGCACGTAAAAAGATGCTCAACTAGGGAAATGCAAATTAATCAATGAGATACATTACACACATTAGAATGACTAAAACTGAAAACACTTTTCAGTTAGCCAGGAGGGCTATGTTCTGTTGATCTCTTGCACAGCATGGTGACTATAGTTAACAATAACGTATTATATATTTCAAAATTGCTAAAAGAGTGGATTTTAAATGTTTTCACCATGAAGAAGTAACTATGTGAGGTGATGGATGTATCAATTAACCTGCTTTGATTATTCCACAATGTATACATGTATTGAACCATCACACCGAATCTTATAAATATATACAATTATTATTTGTCAATAAAAATGAAATATTTTTTTAAAAAACACTGACAATACCAAATGTTGGTGAGAATATGTAGCAACAAGAACTCTCATCCAATGCTGGTGGGAATGCAAAATTGTACACCCATTATGGAGGAGAGTTTGTCAGGCTCTTACAAATCTAAATATAGTCTTACTGTACAATCCAGGAACCACTTTCCTCAACAGTAATCCAACTGAGTTGAAAACATGTCCATACGAAAACCTACACGCATAAATGTTTATAGCAGCTTTATTCATAATCACCAAAAATTGAAAGCCAACAAGATGACCTTCAATAGGTGGATGGATAAAGAAATTAGTACATTCACACAATGGAATATTATTCAGTAATAAAAAAAATAAGCTATCAAGCCAAAAACTGACATGGAAGAAAGTCAGCTGCATACTGCTAAGTGGAAGAAGTCAGTCTGAAAGGTTGCATACTAAATAATTCCAACCATATGACATTCTGGAAAAGTCAACAGTATAGAGACAATAAAAAGATCAGTGGTTGCTAGGTATATGGGGGAAAAGGGAGAGGAATAAGTAGGTGAAGCACAGGGAATTTTTAGAACAGTGAAACTTTTCTGTATGATACCGTAATGGTGAATACATGACATCATGCATTTGTGAAAATCTATGGAACTGTAGAACACAAAGAGTGAACCTTAATGTAACTATGAACTTGTTAATAATAATGTATCAATGTTGGTTTATTTGTTTTTTGTGTGTGTGTGTGTGTGTTTTGTTTGTTTGTTTGTTTCTTGAGACGAAGTCTCACTCTGTTGCCAGGCTGAAGAACAGTGGCATGATCTCGGCTCGCTGCAACCTATGCCTTCTGGGTTCAAGCAATTCTCCTGCCTCATGCTCCTGAGTAGCTGGGACTACAGGCGTGTGCCACCATGCCCAGCTAATATTTGTATTTTTAGTAGAGATAGGGTTTCACCATGTTGCCCAGGATGGTCTTGATCTCCGCCCACTTTGGCCTCCCAAAGTTCTGGGATTACAGGTGTGAGCCACCGTGCCTGGCCTCAATGTTGGTTTATTAATTGTAACTATTGTACCACCCTAAGGCAAGATGTTAATAATAGGGGAAACTGTGTGTAGGAGAAGAGGATATAAGGGAACACTGCACTATCTGCTCAATTGGCCTGTAAATCTTAAATTATTCTAAAAATAACATCTATTGATTTTTAAAAATATAAAAAAAGTCAAGGACAGACAAAAACATTCAAGAAAATCAACTACAAAGTACGTTCAACAACAACAACAGTATGCCTGCTTTCAAATTCTTACTCATCCTCTCTGCAAACCACCTCAAATCCCATATTCTTGGCTGGGGCCTGGTTGTCCAATCTAGCTCATGCCAAAATCCTGTCTTGAAGCAGGGGAGTCATGCTTCAATTCTATGACTCAGAAGTTCTCCAAATGTAGTTGAGATAAAGCTTGTTAAGAATGTAGCATCCTGGACCTGAGGTCTAGTGATTCTGACTCAACGGGACTCTATAATCTGCATTTTCCTTAAGATCGTTAGTGACTCTGAGGTATCCTCTGAGGGTTGCTACAGCTGCTGATGGAGTGCTGCGGCGGTATGATGTTTTCTCACTAAAGTGAGTCTACCCTTTTGCTGGTTTCAAGAAGAGTTTTTTGAAAGTCCACTGCCATAATGCTTCCGAAAGATCAGATCTCTATACCTGCCTGAACTAAATCAATACATCTTTGCCTTTTGGGAATTAAACTTTCGGCCTCCCCTACAACTGGCCTTGCTGTGGTCCCATCACACATCAAGTCCAGACCTATGCAAATGATATTTATTTTGGTGATGGGATTGGTCATACTGAGGAGTGCCAGGAAAGACGTGAACACTAGACATTCATTCTGCAAATGTTTACCAAGTAACCTGCTACGTATCCCAGTGACTGGAGCCTTGTCTTTGCTCCCTCAGGACCCATTTTCTGGTTCTCCTGGGGACTATGTGTGTCAATGTAGTGCTGGAAGTTCTAGTCAGTGCAATAAGGCAAGAAAAGGAAATAAAAGATATAGATCAGGAAGAAAGAAGCAAAGCTGTCTCTATTTGCAGAAGACATAATTGTCTACGTAGAAAAATCTGGAGAAATCTACTGTATAGAATTGGTCCTAAATCTTTAAATGTCTAGTAAAATTCTCCAGTGGAACCATCTGGTCCTGTAAATTTCTTTTTTGGGAATACTTGACTTATGAATTCAATTTTCTTAATAGTTATATGACTATTTAAATTATCTATTTTATATTAACTTGTGGGAGTATGTGTTTTTTCAAGGTATTAGGTCATTTCATGTAAGCTGTCAAATTTATGTGTGTTTACAGTTGTTTATAGTATTCCCTTATATTATTCCATTAATACCTTTTTGATATCTGCAGGGTCTTGTTTCATTCCTGATACAAGTAACCTGTGTATTTCCCTTTTCCTCTCTGTCAGTTTTGCTAGAAGGGAATTTTTTTTGCCAATTTTACTGATATTCTTGAAGAGACAGCTGTTTGTTTCATTGATTTTTAAAAATTGTTTTTCTAGTTTTAATTTCATTGATTTTTGCTCTTGTCTTTATTATTTCCTTCTGCTTGCTTTAAATTTGTTTTGCTCTTCTTTTTTCTAGGTTCTTGAGACAGAAGCTTAGATTATTGATTTCAGACTTTTTCTCCTTTCCTAATGTATATATTCAGTGCTATGAATTTTCCTCTCAACACTGTTTTAGTTGTGTTTCACAAATTTTTATACGTTGTATTTTCATTTTCATTCAATATATTTCTAAAGTTCCCCTGAGACTCCCTCTTTGATTCATAGATTTAGAAGTGTGTTGTTTAGTTTCCGAATGTTTAATGATTTTTCTGTTATCTTACGGTTATGTCTAGTTTGATTCTATTATAGCTGGAGAACTCACTCTGCATGATTTCAATTCTTTCAAATTCCTTAAAGGTTTCTCTCATGGCCTAGGTGTTGTCTATCATGGTATATGTTTCATGAGCACTTGCAACAAATGTGTATTCTACTGGTATTAGGTAGACTCTTCTATAAATGTCATCAACCTGTTGGTCAATGATGTCATTGAGTTCTTACACATCTTGCTGGTTTTCTGCTGAATTGTTCTGTTAATTTTTCCAAGACAGACATCGAAGTCTCCAACTGTAATTGTGACTTTGTCTATTTCTGTCAGTTATTGCTTCACATAGTTTGAAGCCCTGTTGTTTACTGCATACACATTTAGGATTGCTGTGATTTCTTGGTGGATTGACTGTTTTTATTATTATATAATGTCTCTCTGTTTCTGGTTATTTCTTTTGCTCCGAAGTCTATTTTACGTGATATAGTATAGCCACTCCTGCTTTCTTTTGTTTGCATAATGTATCTTTTCCTATCCTTTTACTTTCATCCTACCTATATAGTTATAGTTGAAGTAAATTTATTGTGGACTGCAGATAGTAGGAACCTGTTTTTTGATTAATTCCACCAATCCCTGTCTTTTAATTGGTGTATTTACCATTTACATTTAATGTAGTCATTGATATATTAGACCTTAAATCTGCCATTTGTACAATCCTTTCCTGTACAATCTAGGTGAATATTTTTATTAAAATATTTGCAGATATTTTTATAATTCTTAGAAGGAGGATTAGAGGGAGAGAATTCTACTTCGTATTAGTCAGGGTCCGTGTGTGTGTGTAATTTACTTTATAAAATTGGTTCACACAATTGTGGGGGCTGGCAACTCTAAAATCTGTAGGACAGGCCAGCAGGTTGGAAACTAAGGTAGGAGTTAATGATGCAATCTTTTCTTCTACAGGACACCTTGGTTTTTGCTATTAAGGCCTTCAACTTTTTGAATGAGGCACCACACACATTATTGTGGCTAATCTCCTTTACCTAAAGACAATTGGTTGTAAATATAACCATATGTACAAAATGTCTTCACAACAACACCTAGATTAGTGTTAGATTTAATAACTGGGTACTATAGCCTAGACACGTTGATACATAAAGCTAACCATTACAGACTTCACCCCATTTATTTTCCGATTTAGGTAAGGTGAGAGTTTCTTAAGAGGTAAAATCAAGTATTGGTTGTTTTTCTGTTCAACTAAAACATAGCAGGCTACTGAATTATTGGAGGATTTGACAGTCTCGTGTGTCGACCTAACATTTCATAACCCGAGGCAGGGCAGTTTTTAAAACCTATAACATAAAGCATAAATGAATGGAAATTTGGAATCTCAATTCTGCATTTAACATTGTCTCAAGTATTTGAAATTACTTATCTTCTATAACCAAGCTGACTGTTAGTACAATAGTGTTTGGAAAGAAAACTGCCCCTTGATTTTAGCTCTCCCAGTCAGAATGGGGTGCTAAGTATGACAGCTTTTGCAGAGGCAGCATAATTTTTTTGTCCTGGTAACTTTCTCAGTTTGCAATGAAATATTGGAGACTTGTGAGTATATGGTGAATTAATAGGACTTTAGAGCAAACACAACAATATTTGAAAATAATAGTGATTAATAGCCTCTTCTAAAGGAAATTTGCTTTCAGATTTAAGCTGGAAAGGCACTGGGATAACTGGAAAAGGATTACAATCATGTGGCTTTTTGGATTTTAGTACTTGCATTATGAATTACATGTATCTTGTTCATGATATCTTTTTACTAAAAAAAAAGTTTTAAAACCAGAGAAATCTCAATGATGAAGAAAGCATCCAGAAAAAAATAATTAAAAAAAAGAATAAGTTAGTAATTTCATTAGGGAAAGTAAGACCATTCTTTTAAAACAGAGAATTCAAGAAAATAAGTGACTATGTGCAAAACATGTGCTATGAAAGTGAGGGAGGATACAGGATGCTGTGAAAGTGAAGAAGTCCTGTGGCCTTTGGGGAGGGAGAGACACACTGTGGGTAGAGGTCCTGCTCAGGGACTCAGAGAGGAGGTAGAACTTGAGTGAGAAATTGAGAAAAGCCTTTGAGTGAGCAGAAATGGAAAGAAGGCCTCCCAGGAAGGGGTCACAGCATAGGCAAAGGTATGGTTAGAAAAGCTACGTTGGCCGGGTAAGTAAGGAGCTTGGGGCAGCAGGTGCTTGTGGAGCAATAGAGGCCCAGGCCATGGGGCCACCCCCAAGGGAAGGAAGACTGCCCTGTGCTCTGAGGTGGGCTCCACTCTCATCCAAATCAGTTCCTCCACCCGTGTCTCACCAGGCCTCAATGGGCCTCTGTATCATCAACAGCAATGCATTACTAACGGCAGAAGATGTTCTATTCTTCCCAGGATCATCAATAAAACTGCAAACAGTCCTTGGAAGAGGAGTCATGCAATAATGCCTCACCAGGGTTATTTTCTGAGAAGAAGCCTCAAGGAGTTCTTGGGGTGGAAGTGGAGACAGGTCGAGAGAAAGTGGAAAATTGCAATTTATCCAGAGCCTGCTGTTGCTTTGATGTTTGTGGTGAGGCTTTAAGAGGGAGAGAGTAATGAGGGGAGCTGTGATGAAAACACGTAGACTGACACCCAGTTGGAGGAACAGAGACTAGAGATGAGAAGCGCTTCATGGGGGAATATCCCAATTGGAGCTGCAGGGCCTGAAGGATGGGAGGTCTTGTGTGAACACATTGTGAGTGAATGACTGAGTACACAAATGAAGCAGGTGGACTAGAAAGCAAGCAATTTTCCCTAAAGGACCTTTTCACTGTAGTACAGTGACATGGTATTTTCTAAGTCAGAACTCCTTTAAGGACCTTATCAAGTGTATAAATTGCCCTTCCCAGAAAAATGTATATATGCAAATGAAAATAATTTTATAATCATTTCAGACAATTTAGAGAACTTTCCCCACCCCAAAAGTCCACGAAACTCTCCTGATTATCTTCAGACATTTAAAGGAATGTCATAAGGTGAGAGACTTCTGTGTGATTCTCCTGTAGGAAAACACTGGGACAAGGAGATGAATTTGGGTCCTAGATGCATGGAACAAGTGTCAGTTGCTCTGGAACCCTTGGGGAAAGCAGGATCTCCACCGGCTAATGTAACCACCAGAGGGGTTCCTCCTGCCCAGTGCATAGAGAAAGACCGCAGCATTGCAGTAAAGGAAGTGTTTAATAGACACAAGGCTGGCCATGCTACGTGGGAGATAGAGTTAGTATTCAAATCGTCTTGTCTCAAAGCTAGCAGGTTAGGGGTTTTTCAAAAGCAGTTTCCGGAAGGGTTGGGGGAGGCTAGGCTTGCTGCTGATTGGTTGGGGTGGAGACGAAATCATAAGGGGTGGAGGCTGCCCTCTGGTGTGCTGAACCTCTTCTGCATGGGGCCACAGGAGTGAGGTTAGGGGTCCAGGTGAGACCATGGATGTCAGATATGCAAAAAAACAAAAAACAAAAAACAAACAAAAAACCCTGGAAAGGTATCTCAAAAGGCCGATCTACAATAGTGGTGTTATCTGAAGGCATAATCGGAGAAGGTGCATATCTTATAACTTCTGGAACATGGCTGACAATCGTTTGTCTCTGCGCCTTAGCAGGACTCCAGCTCCCCTCCTCCACACAGCCTGATGGCCTCCCATTGGCTTTACAAAAGCAGATGAGTTTTGGCGGAGGCCTATTATCATGTAAACTACAGCCTAAATGTCTCTTAAAGTTAGCTTGGCCCAAAAGCCCAGGGATAATTAAAAAAGGAAAGGCAAGATGGGTGGTGGGTTACTGCAGATCACTGATACCATTTTTGCAAAGGTGGTTTCACTATCATGGCTGAAAATCCATTATCACTAGTGGCCTGGCCCCCTTTCCTTTCCAGGGGCATATAAGAGTCCAGGGTGAAAGGGTATTGCATCCTGCCACGTGTGTCCTGGAGGTCACCTCGGCTGTGCTTGAAGTGGGTCCTCACCTGCCTGGGGCTGTGGCTCTATCACCTGCAGGGACCTCCACCAGACTAGAGTCATCCTTCAGAGGCATCTGCCTGTCTGGAGCTGCACTTACCCTAAGGAGCCATCACCTGACCCTGCTGGCCCTGGTCCTCAGTGGTTAGCTCTTCATGGCCATCCCCACCTGAGGATGGGTCATCTCAGAGAGGCCTCCCTTAGAGAGGCCAGGTCCCTGAGGAACATGCAGCTCCCCTGTCCCCTTCTCACCTCTGAGTTCCAACTACCTACTTTCAGGGTGGCCAACTCCCTCTTCTCCTTTCTCTCCCTCATTCTTTCCCTTCTGAAAAACCCTAGCTTCAAACATGAACACCTATGTGTGTTTGTGCCCCTGGCACCCACCATTTTTTCTCATTTTACCATCAACTCCTGCTCCTAAAGGCATTATTTCTATCAGGACAAGGAGATTCTAGGCCAGCATTGTATAATACAAATACGATGCTGGCCACACACTTAATTTTAATTTTCTAGTGACCGCATTCAAAAATAGAAACAGGGAAATTAATTTTAATAACAAATTTTATTTAACCCAATATGTCCAAAATATCATTTCCATACGGGATCAACATAAAAAGTTACTATTGAGATAGTTGGTATTCTTTTTTTTTTTTATATGCAAAGTCTTCAAAATCTGGTGTGGGTTTGCACTGACAGCACATCTCAATTCAAAGCAGACACATTACAGCTGCTCAAAGGCTGCACGTGGCTGTCCCATTAGACACAGGGGTGGATCCCAGAGTGTGGCTGTGTGGGTTACTGGAAAAGGGAAAGATTCATTTTAGTTATACAAGGCCAAAACAGTATGAACAAAGGTTGGGGTAATTTCTCAATGGGTCGTTGTGCTATATTAAAATTTTTTATTTTTATTTTTATTTTTTTTGAGACAGAGTCTCACTCTGTTGCCCAGGCTGGAGTGCAGTGGTGCAATCTCAGCTCACTGCAATCTCCGCCTCCCGGGTTCAAGCAATTCTCCTGCCTCAGCCTCTCGAGTAGCTGGGATTACATGCGCGTGCCACCACGCCTGGCTAATTTTTTGTATTTTTAGTAGAGACGGGGTTTCACCATGTTAGACAGGATGGTCTTGATCACCTGATCTCGTCCCTCCCAAAAGCGCTGGGATTACAGGTGTGAGCCACCATGCCCGGCCCTATATTAAATTATTAATAAACGACTTGGTACTTAAAGGATAATCCTGGACCATAAAAAAGGCCATTCTAGGGAAATGGAGAAATGAGATGGTGGGAAAAAGAGGGAGGAGCAAGTATCATAAACAGGCTTCAAAGAGCCACTCCCGGGACCCCAGGTTTCCTCTGTCTCAACTGTGCATGGACCAGTCTGCTCCTGGTAATGAATCCAGGCAAGCCTGGAAGACCGAATGTGGGCCACCAACCTCTTCTCTGCCTCCTGTACCAGGACTCGAGATCCTGGGGTGAATTTTAGTGGCCTCCCCATTATTCTCATGCTTGGTTGCACATCAGACTCACCTGAAGAGTTAAAAGACCTCTGACTCCCAAAGTGTTGTATTAATGTTAAATTTGCTGGAGTAGGTAACTGTACTATGGTTATGTAGGAGGATGTCTCTTAGGAGTTACACACTGAAGTATTTTGAGGTCAAGGACCGTGATGTAACTAATCTTCAAATGGCCCAGAAAAAAATATTTTAAAATATTATGGGTGAATGTGTATATGTGTGTGTATTGAAAGATACAGAAAAATAATTAAGCAAATAGGTTAAAATGTTCACAATCAGTGTAGAGGACATATGGGTATTCTTTGTAGTAGTTTTATTCTAACAACTTCTCAGAGTTTAAAATTAGTTCCAAAAACAGTTTTAAAAACATCCTTTTAAACTTGATTCCCAGGGCCTACCCCTAGAGGTTCTGGTTTAATTGGCGGGTTTTTTTTAAGGCTCCCAGGTGACTCTGAAGTGTCCTAAGGTTGAGGACCCAGTGGCTCTGAGTCAGAGAAGCACCCACCTCTCCCCCTCCCTCTTCAGGCTTCCAGGCTCAGCCCACCACTGTGAATGGGCTTTAGCAGAGATATGATCAGCATTTTAGCTTGTGGTTGCTTTGTTTTGTTTTGTTTTTAACAGAGTCTTGCTCTGTCGCCCAGGCTGGAGTGCAGTGGCACAATCTCAGCTCACTGCAACCTCCTCCCAGGTTCAAGCGATTTTCCTGCCTCATCCTGGGTAAAATTACAGGCGCCCGCCACAACGCCCGGATAATTTTTTGTATTTTTAGTAGAGACCAGTTTTCACCATGTTAGCCAGGATGGTCTCAATCTCCTGACCTCATGATCTGCCCGCCTCAGCCTCCCAAAGTGCTAGGATTACAGGCGTGAGCCACCGCACCCAGCCACTTGTGGTATTTTGTCACCTACAGGAACACAGAGTCATGTAGAAGAAAGCATCCTCTTTAGCGATCCTCAAGGCACTGGTGGTGTGCCATGCAGCTGTTGAATATTCATTGCCCACAAATTTTCCACAGGGCTGGACATATTGTCTGTCCACTGCCGGTCCAGGCTGTCTGCTGCCACTTTGTAACTGCTCAGCTGTCTGCATCGCTTTCATCAGAGGCGGCCTGTTTGCTGGAAAGCTGTACCGGAGGTCATGGGCTGAGTGGTTGCTTAACACCTGTGCCTCCTTTTAGGGGCTGGCTCGGGAATGGGCGAGGAGTGGGGATGAAGGACCCTGCCTTTCTCCTCCAGGAAAGCACTTAGAGGAGCTGGGGGCCGGGGGACTGAGCTCAGGTGGTAACTGGAGAAAAAGCCCCCCGGGGACCCCCGCTCCAACTGCACACTTCAGCTGAGAGCTGATTTGTTCCTTTTCTGCTTTCAATGATTAGAAACGCAGCCTGGTCCAGTCTATCCAGCTTCACTCATCCCTTCACTCATCCCTTGAGACCACTGGCACGAATTTGTGAAGTGAGAAGGGCATTCTGGGGCTGCATAATGGAGCCTCCCTCTGGGACCATTAGATGCCCTGAGGGGTGGCTCACCTGAACTCATTAACACCTTTTAAAGCCATGGCAGCTCTGGCTGACTCACGTTCTGTGAGGTCCACCAAGAGCTACCAGATCTTTTTTGGCCTTGTGTCTGCCTCATCTTCTCAGTGCTGTGTTTGCATGATGGGATTTTTGTTTCTAAGCAGACTCAGAGGCCCTATCTTTACAGGACTGAACCTCTCTGCTCTGTGACCTGGAGCAGGTTCCAGGACCTGGCTGGTCTTCGGTCAGGCTCCGGGAGAGCAGTGAAGTCCCTGTCTCTATTTCGTCTTTGCATATGCCTCCCCTCCACAAAGAAGGCACCCAGGGACTAATTTACACTGGGACCAGGACAAACTTGGGAGTGAAGCAGTGACAGCACGATGTCACTAAAGATGGGGAGAGAATGGAGGGCAGGGAAGACAGGAGAGCAGGGCAGCAGGTCACATGCAGAGCAGCAAAGAGGCAGGAGGAACAGAAGGGTGTGAGCCATATGGAACAGGGTGTGGGATCATTACCAACTAAGAAACCACAATGGTGCTGGGGGCATTGTTGAAACCACCTTTGCAAAATTATGACTGAGACAGTGAAAGAGATCTAACTTAACCAGCACCATCTTGCTTCTAAACTCTAAGCTGTTCTTGTTCATTCCTGGGCATAGGCTGAACTAACTTTGGGAGAAACTTAGTTTATAGTTTAAACAAAAATGGTAACAGCCCTTTCCCAAAGCAGACCTTCTTCTTGCCTGGGGACTAGATTGCCTTTGTAGGACCAACATTAGCCACCAGATTCGAAATTATGGTTTACGAGGCATGCAGCTGGAGGCTACAAGATTCTGACCCTCCCTAAACTGCTCTTAAGATCAGTGCATGAGATATTTTGCAGACCCTGCACCTGATGGATCAGCCGGCCCCACCCAGATCAATAAACTGGCTCATCTGATCTTGTGGCCTCTATCCAGGAACTGACTGAGCACAAGAAGACAGCTCCAACTCCCTATGATTTCATCCCTGACCAATCAGCATTCCTGGCTCACTGGCTACCCCTGCCCACCAAGTTATCCTTAAAAACTCTGCTACCTGAATGCTCGGGGAGACTGATTTGAGTAATAAACTCCAGTTTCCCACACAGCCGCCTCTGCGTGAATTACTTTTTCTCTATGGCAATTCCCCTGTCTTGATGAATTGGCTCTGTCTAGGCAGCGGGCTAGATAAATCCCTTGGGCAGTTACATTGTGAACTATACAAAAATAAATTCCACATGAATGCACTCACACAGGACCTGCCGAAATGGTGCCTAGAACCACGGAGCAGTTAGCTAGGCTAGGGCAGGGCAGGGAATAGGCTGGAATGAGCTGATGATGTACGGGGTTGCGGGTGGTGGGGTGGATGATATCTGATGGTCTTTGATGGTTCTCAGAGGAGGTGGCGTTTGGATTGGGCTGCCAACCCAGAAGAGGTGAGCAGGCTTTTGACTGTCGTAGGGGAAAAGCTTAGGCTTGATAAAGGAGACCTGGGCCAAATTCCCTGGACTTGCTGGGAGAACTTGCACAAGCATTTAAGAGTTCTTCTCTTTTTGCCTATAAAATGACTTTCAATGATGATAGAGTTGGAACAGATTTGGGGCCCTTGCTACCAAATCACCTTCTTCCTACTGTTTTCCAGGATCCATTCAAATGCAAACACTCGGGAGTGGGAGGCAAGTGGGCTGAGGAGGTGGAGGAGCTGGCCCAGGTCCTTAAAGCACTGCAAAGTCACACTCTAGGCCCAGGGATGAGGTGGATTTTAGGGGGAAGCTTAGAAGCCTGGCTCACTGGAGAGTGCCCCAGATCTGGCTCTTATGGGCAAGGCAGCTGCTGTGTCAGCTTGGCTCTGGGTGGTCTGAGGATGAAGAGAATCTTCCCTAAAGCCCAAGGAGCCTGGGGTTCTCCCAAAGCAAATCTTTGAAGGCCTCACTTTGCCCCTCCTTTTTCTTTGACCTTGTCTTTGCATTAGAAATACATTCTAAAGCCTTCCCAACTCAAGACACATTGGCCCCTTTGTTCCTATTTTGGGTGCATAGCTCATACTTTTTGTTGTTTGCACTTTTCAGAGGGTTGCAATCTGACCTTATGTCTCATGCCCATTCTGTCCCTGTAACCATCCTGTTATAAAAGCTATATGTTGTGTGGGAATGAAGCCATGAGCTCAGCTCTGTGCCCTGGGAGCAGGGAAGCTGTGAGAAGTCAGCTCTCTGAAGCCCCTCTACCTGCAGAAGATAGGGACGGGGCAGGGTTGGGGCTGTCTATGGGGAGGATGTGGCAAAGGTCTGCAGGCTATGTACGCACTTCCTACCTCAAGCCCAGGTTGTAAGAACTCAGGTGTAACCATCCCTGCAAATGATTGGGCACTGGGCCCAGTGGGTTTGCTGTGACAATGATGGAAGCTGGGGCAGGCATCCAGGGAGCCTTGTCAGTATTGGGCTGTCTTTCAATACTAGAGAAGCAACATTAATTCTGTGTATTGGAGAACTCGCTTCCTATTTCCTTGTGACCCAGTCTCTAATAACTTTATGCCTGTTGGCCAGTCTGTAAGCTTTCTTAGGAAAGGAGCAAATAGTATTTTTCTTTACTGAGCCCTGCAGTGTTTAAGAAAGCACTGAGCCCGTAGCAGCACTCAACAAAATAAGTACTGGCTAAATAAGTAGAAGACAATGCACCTCTGAGGATGTTTAGAGTTTTACAGTAAAGCATCAGAGCAAGGGGGTGGGGCACATCTGTCCAGGGCTTTTTAGGGCAGGAGAGGAGAGAAAGACCAGAATAAACGTATTGAGTAGTTGCAGTGTCATTTTTTTTGTGATTTATTTGAGGACAATATATAGATAAAAATCCCCACTTGTGCCATTTCTCCAAGTCATTTGTGCCCATTCTTCTTTTCTTCTGAACAAGGTCATTTGTTCCTTCACAGTCCTGGAAGTAGTGCTATGAGTCTTGGTCCTGGCCCTGGGGTGGGAGTTGGAGAGGCTACCCTCTCACACACTTCCACAGGAAAATCCATCTCTTGTACCTACAACTTAGAGCTAACCAAATGTCTATTCAGTGCAAGATCAATCTGCCCTGTGATTGCCTCTGCCCTCCAAAATGGACTGGAATATTTAAAGAAGAAATGCCTCAAATGAATGAGTAAGGTTGACAGAACAGTCTTAATAAAGTTTCCCTCTTCCCGTTATTTCCCCAAGGTGTTGAAGCCTGGATGTGGTTTGATTTTGTTTCTCTTGCTATTGATTTTTTTGCTCAGCAGTGTCTTGCTGAGAGAGGATCCCGACTCAATGGAGTCGAGGCTCATTGTTTAATCTCCCCCTTCCTGGCTGAACTCTCCCATTCGGACAAATCTCACTAGGGCAATAGAGCTGCTCTTATCGAACTTGCTCTACTCCATCATTCCCCTCTGATGTACTGGAGTAGTTGCTGATGAAGAAACTTATTTTTCAAATATAGAAACCTAAGCTGCTGGTTCCCAACACAGAAGGAGCAGAGTGAAATTACAACCCGCAGGCAGTTTGCATCTGAGCTCTCCAACAGTAAGCACACAGCGTGTTGTGAATAATAAAACCATATCCTTGTAACTCTCTTTCTCTCAGGAGTGCAGAGCAGTTTGCCAACATGATCATATCAATCCTTACAATATTTATATAAGGCAGGCATGAGGTTCCGACGTTCTCCGTGGACTCCTCCAGCCCCAGTATGAAGAGGGGATGGCGGGTGGGTTGCATCTCCCTTCAGCCCCCCTGTCTCAGCGGCGTCTGGCTCAATAAGCCCTGGCCCTTCTGAGTGTTGCCTTTGTAAAAAATGTACTATGTGGGTGGGGATAATTAGGAATATTAAAATGCCTTGCTTCACCAATTGAGGAAGAGGAAACAAAATGTTTCCCAGGCATGTATCTCAGAGGGATTGAAAGTGTTACAGACACTAATGCATCTCAGCCATCTGCTCCTGTGTTGAGGTATCCTCTGCACTCTCTGCTACCCTAGCGTTCATGTGCTGGGCAGGATGCAGCTGGTGACATTCAATCTGTCCCTGCCTCCAGCATCAGAGGACACATCCCTGGGAACTCAGGCAGCCCAGGCAGCAGGGGTCCCTTGCAGGTCAACAACACACTCCTTTCCATCACGTTTGAGCTGGAACTCAGCAACTCTGCAAAATTTTAGTTCCTCTTTTTCTTCATTTTTCCCTTCCTCCCCTCTTTTCTTATTCTCCCTGCCTTTCCTTCAGCCTCTTCTTATTTTAATTGGCCTCCAAGCTCTGAGTCTGCCCTTCTTCACACTTTCTTCTCAACTCTTTCCTTTCCATTTCTCTATTCATCTTTTTTACCTTTCTTGTCTGAGGATATGAGTTGAAATGAATCCTTTAGTGAGAAGGTGACTCGATTTACATGCAGAATTTCAACGCTTTCAAACCTCTCTTGTTTGTGAACCTGTTGGAAAGCACTGATGGCCATGCAGGCAGCAGGTGTAGAGAGTGATCCTCTCAACGCTTGGTAGCTGAGAACAATTCATATTTATCATACTGGCTTTGGTCAAGTCAAGTGTGAATGGTGTTTGACTGTACTCATTTTACTTTTTTTTTTTTTTTTTTTTTTGAGATGGAGTTTTGCTCTGTTGCCCAGGCTGGAGTGCAATGGCACAATCTCAGCTCACTGCAACATCCACCTCCTGGGTTCAAGTGATTCTCCTGTCTCAGCCTCCTGAGTAGCTGGGATTACAGGTGTACACCACTATGCCCAGCTAATTTTTGGTGTTTTTAGGAGAGACAGGATTTCACCATGTTGGTCAGGCTGGTCTTGAACTCCTGACCTCAGGTGATCCACCCACCTCGGCCTCCCAAAGTGCTAGGATTACAGGCGTGAGACACCGCACCTGACTTTTTTAACATAAAAAAAGTGCTTAAAGCTTGGATCAACTCCTCTTCTGATTGATCAGTATTTCTGGGCATAGTGTTTTTTGTTTGTTTGTTTGTGTTTATACTTGTTATCTGGATATGTTTTGGGATCAAATAAATACCAAATCACAGAGGTTATCGAATAGAGTTCTTTAAAAAAATATTTTCACAGCCGGGCCAGGTGGCTCATGTCTGTAATCCCAGCACTTTGGGAGGCTGAGGTGGGTGGATAAAACCTGAGGTCAGGAGTTCGAGACCAGCCTGGCCAACATGGTGAAACCCCATCTCTACTAAAAATAAAAAAACTTAGCCGGGCATAGTGGTGGGCACCTGTAATCCTAGTGACTTGGGAGGCTGAGGCAGGAGAATCACTTGAACCCAGGAGGTAGAGGTTACAGTGAGCCAAGATCACACCACTGCACTCCAGCCTGGGAAACAAGAGTGAAACTCCGTCTCAAAAAATATATATATATACTTTCACATCTCCATTGGAAATTTTTAAAAGAAACTTTTTTTTTCTGTTTAATTGATGCCAGGTACTCAACTCCCAATGCCATCACTCCCACCAATGCAGACTCAGAGGAAGAGTTGCAGGAAGCAGGGATCCTACTGGTCTTTCTGTCACTATAACCCAGCCCTGGCATGGAGCCTAGCACATGGTAGGGGCTCAAAGGACATTTGCTGAATGCATGAGTGAGTAAGTCAGCTGAGGGTGCCATGGAGGGGGCTAGAGGACGCTGTGCTGCAACCAAGAGCTCAGGGCATCCTGCTGTCCTTGGAGCAGAGGGAGGTTTTGCTGGGACAACAGAAGACCAGAGAAAGTGAAAATCACACTTTGTTCTTGCCCAGATATCTCAACCCCTCTGCCATCCAAAAATCACATTTCTGTTTGGTATACTAAATGTTTATTGAAACTTTTGCTATATGTAGACTCTATGTTAAACTCTAGGGATACCAAAATAAACAGGACATTTTCTCTACCGGCAAAGATCTCTCAGTATGGTAAGAAAAAGAATGATTTTTTAACTAAAAGGTTATACCTCCATGTGTTACATTTTGGACTAAGCTGAAGCAATATTTTATTTTTTTAAATCAGGTAGATGAATCAGTTTGAATTGCCATTCTGTGTGTCTCTCTATTTCCTAAATATTTTGCGCTGAAATAGCACAAGAACAGCGGCACATTCCCACAGACGGCCCCTGACGGGACTGTGTTTGGGCCGAGTCCATATTTCCTCCGTCTCTTGCATCATTTGTTCTTTGCCCTTTGCAAATCTCAGCACCATTTCCTCCAGAGCAGCTCCTGGAATTTTCGATGGGAGCTGTCACCTGGAACCAGCGAGCTTTCTCTTTCATACCTGTCATAGAAGGAGCTCACTTCTCACGAAGACCCGCCCATTTTACCCCCGACCCCGCTGTGACGTTAGGGAAAGTTTCCTTCTCTAGAAGTGTCTAGAAACATGCTTGGCTTTAACTAATGCATCTAGAGTGTCCCATCTGTTTAACAGCACTTTGCTCAAGGAGCCCACGTACTTGTGTTCCACTTCCTGCCTTGGCGACAGTCTCCGCAGGACAAGCCCGGCCCATCGCAGAAGCCCCGTGTCCTGTAGATGAATGAGAACTTAGACAGCTAACATTCTACCTGATGCTGGAACTCAAGGTCCTTGACAAATGACCATGTAGCTTACATTCTGAGAAGTGACAGTGACCTCTCCATTGTTGGAGAGTGCCATTTCCAATTCTGAGCACTTTAGTTTGTTAGAAAGCTTTTTTCAGCAAGTTGTTTTCGTCTATTGAACTCAAAATCAACCTCCTTGCCACTTCCTTCCTTATTTACTTCCTCTGTCTTTCCCTTGACATTTACTCACTCTTTGCTCCTCTTCTGTCTTGTCCTAAAATAAAACCGATTTATTCCTTCGTCCTCACAACACCTCCTCCAATATTTGAAGACAGGAAGATAGTTCCTTGTTTTCTCTCTTCCAAGCTAAACACACTCAGAGCCTCCGGCCAGCCTAGATCAGGAACCGTTTCTAAAGCCCTCAGCACCTCCACCCTGCCTTTCTAAATGAGACATCTTAATTATAATGCCTTGTAGCGAACATTATTTTCCAATTATCATCTGACCAGCATATAGTGTTACTGTTACTTATTATCTGGACACGGTATTTTTATTTAATGGAGCTTACAATTACATTCGCTTTTTAAAGCGACTGCATTACTCTGTTGGATCACATGAGCTTTTGGCCGAAGAAAAAGTCCAGATATTTTGAAAACAGAACTGATGGCAATTAAAGCAGATCTCCCCCGTTATGCCATTGCGCAATCAATTTCTGGACCTAAATGTGTTGGTACAATACCAGCTATATTGACGTAAGGGTATTCTTCAGAGTCATCCCAAGCTAGTTTCTGGCTTGTCACTGGAACCCAAGCTCTACCTCTGTACCCGGTGCCTGCCCACTGGAATGTAAGGTCCTCAGTTTCAGCAGCCCAGCTTGGGTTGAGACAACATCTCTGCTTTTTTTTTTTTTTTTTTTTTTTGAGACAGAGTTCTGCTCTTTCGCCCAGCCTGGAGTGAAGTGGTGCAATCTCAGCTCACTGCAACCTCTCCCCCACCACCCCATCAAGGGTTCAAGTGATTCTCCTGCCTCAGCCTCCTGAGTAGCTGGGATTATAGGCACCTGCCACCATGCCTGGTCAATTTTTGTATTTTTTTTTTAGTGGAGATGGAGTTTTGCATTGTTGGCTAGGCTAGTCTCGAACTCCTAATCTCAGGTGATCCCCTGGCCTCAGCTTCCCAAAGTGCTAGGATTACAGGCTCTGCTTCTTTTTTAATTTTACCTAGTACCAAGCACAAACTGTGGAAGAAGTCAATTCCTAATTAATATTTGTTGAATGGCTGAATGAATGCATCGTATGAGGCTTTACTAACAACAGTTGTTTCCCAGAACGAGCTAAGATTGCCATGAAATGCATAGACTCCTTGCATGCTTTATGTTGTATTTCTTTAGATTTTTTTCTTAAGAAAACCATGGATTCATTCTAGTCATGGAAAACCCCCATACTTCCCAGAGAACTTTGAGCAATTTTCTCTTTAAAGAAAGGGGTGACCCATTTACTGTACTCATCATTATAGTTTAGTTGCTAGAGTTACTTTCTAAGCACACCAGGACAAGAATATTATCTTTCTGATATGTTGGCATAAAAAACGATGTTGAGAAAAGCACATAGACCATCATCACATCCCTTGGCACCAGCAATTTCTAAGCAGTATGGCCAGAGCCATTGCTGTGAGTAGGTTTTTCCTGGCTGAGACCAACCAGGCCTGGGGAAAATAACTTGCAAGTTATCTAAACCAGCAAATACTTGCAAGAAGGTAACAGGAGGGCAGATTTTGTTGTCCATTCCTATATCCATCATTGTCAAAGCAATTATTTTTAAAGATCGTGTGGCTTCTACTACAATCACTCTAACCTACTGCCACTGAAGGAATTGGTATTACGGATGTTCTCCTGAGACCTATAGTCTCTGTTTCAGCCTTTGGAGACTTTGAATGAAAAAAAAAAAAATTCAAAGAAAGGCTGGGTGGAGCAATGTGTGTGCTAATACAATCCCTTGCCCAGCTTGTCTCCTCAGAAGCCTAAAACTAACAGGACATCCTGCACAATGAGGCCGCTTGTCTTTAGGAGTCTGCAAGGGCTGTGTCTTATCTGGTAATAAGACATGAGGGCGTTCTCTGAAATAATAGAGAAAAAACTTGGAGGGCGAGAAAATAGATATGTTTAACTCTCTGAAGAAATAAAAATGGTAAATAGGAAATGGGTTTTCTTTCTACTTTATTTTAGCTGTGCAGGCTGTTCCAAACCCTGGGATGAGAATTCTCAACATCTTTACCACTTGGGGTGGACAGAGTGAGCCTAATTTCCTCTTCCATGAAATTCTCCTAAACCTTAGAGTCAAGAAGGCCTTCGTCACATCAAGCAGTGCTGTACTGAATCACTAAATTGGAGTGAGGCTTATACTGGGTGTGGTTCAATATCCCTTATTAAAAAGAAAGTGATGAGTTTAATAAAAATTTAACTGAGCCTCCTGCCTTTCGGTGTTCCTTAGATACTATGGAAATGGCTGGGGCGTGCTGAGCTAAGTTGCTAGGATAGGAAGCTGAGGAAGGGTGTTTAGACCCCTGTGTGTTTCGAAATAGTTGATCACCCTGGTCACTGCATCCCCCAGACTCTCAAGATTCTATGCTTGGCAGGACAATGTTTATAGTGATTAAAAGTACACACTTTGGAGTCAACTAGACATGGATTCCAATCCCAGACTGATAGGGTTTGTCTCTGTGTCCCCACCCAAATCTCATGTTGAATTTTAATTCTCAATGTTGGAGGTGGGGCCTGGTGGGAGGTGATTGGATCGTGAGGTGGTTTCTAATGGTTTAGCACCACCACCCTAGTGCTGTCTTGTGATCGAGTTCTCAAGAGACCTCAAAAGTATATAGCACCTCCCCCTTCGCTCTCTTCCTCCTGCTCCAAACATGTAGGACGTGCCTGCTTCCCCTTTGTCTTCTGCCATGAAAGTAAGTTTCCCGAGGCCTCCCTAGCCAGGCTTCCTGTATGGCCTGCAGAACCATGAGCCAATTAAACCTCTTTTCTTCATAAATTGCCCAGTCTCAGGTAGTTCTTTTTTTTTTTTTTTCTTTTTTGAGACAGAGTCTTGCTCTTTTGCCCAGGCAGGAGTGCAATGGCACAATCTCAGCTCACTGCAACCTCCGCCTCCTGGGTTCAAATGATTCTCCTGCCTCAACCTCCTGATTAGCTGGGATTACAGGCATGCACCACCATGCCTGGCTAATTTTTGTATTTTTAGTAGAGATGCGGTTTCACCACATTGGCCAGGCTGGTCTCAAACTCTTGACCTCGTGATCCCTCCACCTCAGCCTCCCAAAGTGTTGGGATTACAGGCATGATCCACCTTGCCCAGCCATCAGGTAGTTCTTTATAGCAATGTGAGAATGGACCAATACACAGACACACCACTTACTGACTATGAAATCATGAGCAAGTCAGTTGAACTCTCTGGACCTTGGTTTTTCTTACTGTAAAATAGTGATGCTGTCTCCTAAGTCTATTGTGAGCAATAAATTAATTAATGCCTGTTAATTAGTTATCACAGAGCCTGGCATGCAATAAAATATTAAAACTCTTTTTTAGCTGGGTACAGTGGCTCACGCCTGTAATCCCAGCACTTTGGGAGACCAAGGAAGGAAGATTGCTTGGGCCCAGGAGTTCGAGACCAGCCTGGGCAACATGGCAAAATCTTGTCTCTACAAAAAAAAAAAAAAATTTAGCTGAGTGTGCTGGCGCATGCACGTAGTCCCAACTGCTCAGGAGGCTGAGGTGGGAGGATTGTTTGAGCCCAGGAGACAGAGGCCATGAGCCGATATTACACCATGCCACTGCACTCCAGCCTGGGTGACAGAGTGAGAGCACGTCTCAAAAATCAAACAAACAAAACAACAACAACAACAACAAAATCACGTAATCTTTTAAAAAAAGTTAACTGTTGTTACAGTAGGAGCTGAGAGAAGATATATTTTTGACAATGTGAAGCTATTCCCAAGAGACCAGAATATTTAATGAGATATTACTGTTTGCATAACCCCACAGGACGCATCATGGAATATGTAGAGGAAGGAAACATTTCAGCATCAACAGCTTTCCTCTGGGTTTTCTTGTTTGTGGCATTCTAATCATTAGAAAATTGAAGCTGTAAACAGATGTTCATTTTCTGGAATACAAGGAAACACTCTCTGAATTGGTAATTGAAATCTACACATAAGCCTACAGCATCATATTTGTATTATTACTATCAAAATTCTCAGCACCAAAAAACATGCATAAGAGCTACATCAAGGACTTGCCTTGGAGTGCCCTCCTCCCCAGCTCTTGCCTACATTCTGGAGAGATACTAAGCTGCCCAGTTAAGTCATGTACCATGAAACAGCAGGGAGAAAAAAGAGAAAGAAAGACCTACATATACCACAGGCCAAATGGACACCTCCCAGGACGGAGAGCCTGAGACTGTGAGACCCAACAGGGTTGCAGGGCATGGGTTCCCAAAGGCTCTGGCCTCTGCTTGGGAGCTAAAGAAGCCTGGAAGCTTGGAGTAAATCGTGGGTGTTATTTTCAGTTGCTGAGTAAGTTATTAAGAGTAACCAAAAAGAGAAATATGCGTGAGACTGGATTGCAGGAGGAGGAAAGTGAGGTACCTCCATGCAGGGCGTGCAGAGATGGGAGACAGAGAGAAACAGACAGAAAACGAGAAAGACAGAAAACGAGAAAAACAGAAAGAGACGGAGAGACAGAGAAAGAGAGAAATGGAGAAAGAGGTAACAGAGACAGAGAAACAAGAAACAGAGGGAAACAGAGATGGAAACAGACACAAAAACAGAGAGAGACAGAAAGACAGAGAGAGAGACAGAGAGAGAGAGAGAGAGAGAGAGATACACAGACTCCTCCCAGGAACCCAGATCTGGCCCCTTTAGGACATAAGGACAAAGTGGTTAAGGAAAAGAGGGAATTCAGGGTCTCATTTTCTTTAAGAGTTGGAGCCTTTCTCTAGGGTCAGGATACACTGAAATAGGTTCATCTTGAGTTGCAAGCACCCCTACTTTCCGTGTCATAAACTACGAATCAGGAGGATGGCAGAGCAAGGTGGGGCGGATACATGCCAGGTGCCAGTCCCCACTGCATCAGCACGGGGAGAACCCAGCTGCTCATGGCTTCAAAGGAACCTACGGGGTCTCCAGAGTCCTGGGCAGTGCTGCAGAGCACCACGCTCCCTTCCCCTGGACCTGGTTGGCTGGGCAGAGACACAGATCTTGGCAAGACCAGGGCTATAACTTCAGTGCCCGGGATAACAACCAACCCGAGAACACTAATAATTTAACCCAGCAACTGAAAATAACACCCATAATTTACTCCTAGCTTCCGACTTCCCTTAGCTCTCAAAACAGTCTTTAGAGCCTCCAGGAATCTCTGTGTGCCACAGTCCCTCTATTTACCCCTTCCTGCCAGTGGGGTTTTCCTCGGAGCCCTCCTCCTGCAGGGCATGGCGAGGTGAGACTATGAAGGCCACTGTCCCTGAGCAGCCACCGCCAGGGCACTCGCTCCTCTGCTGGTGGGGCTTGGAGGACCGTGGCCAATATACAGAAACGTCCAGGAAGGTGCCTCTTGGATGGTAATATCACTTTTCACTCATGGCAAGTTTCATTTGGACTAAAAACAAGTGAGTATGTCTTCCTTTTCCCTCCCCCAAATCTAGATGTAGGGGTGTCAGGTCTCCCCCTTCACGTCTGTGGCGGTGGAAGGAGGTGGGAGGAGGTAGGAGAAGCTGGCCCCACACAGGAGAATGTGGCTTGCTGTCTTCTCCCCTCCCGGAGCTGCCCACGGCTGTGGATTAAGCAGGAGTGGAGAGGCGCTCCAGACTCTTCCTTTCACTTCCTGCACTGACAGATCAATTTGGAGTAATTTATTTATAAGCTGGATTAGTAAGTCTCCATAGAGTAAACACAGTGCTCCTGAATATAGAAATGTAGAGGAATCCCTTCCCAGCTGTTCCCAGGCTGGAGCTAAATGCTTTGGGGATGAGGACGTGGGAGGGATGAGGAAGGTGTGTCACCCAGGCACACTCAGGGTTCCTGGGCCACAGCAAACAGAAAGCAAGAGCCGAGCCACCCCGCCAGGAACAGATGTCCAAAAACAGTCTTCATGAAATCCCTCCTCCCTCCGGAATCCTGTCCCCGGCTCCGGGGTGGGCTCACAGTGACTGCTCTGTGCCACAGAGGACACAGAGTGCTCTTACGAACGTCCTTGGTCCTCTCTCTAGAATGACCTATCCAGAGCACACCTTTGAGTCTCTGCCATTTGGTAATACAATGGGCGGTTTAATATAAAAAGAAACCCACGCCTGGTCTCTGAAACGCGCTGGCCTGCGCTGGCGGTGGGAGACAAAAGACTCATCGCTAAGCACAACCCTCCACTCTGTCAAACGCAATGGGAGAGATTCTAAAATGAGGCTGGTCATCACCTGCTCTGGGACCCCGGGCCCTCCTCATATTGAGAAGAGATGCCTTGTTACAAGGCCCTGTCACATGATTTTTCTCTCTCTGTGCAGGAAGATGGTTTTCATAAATAGCAAAAGGTCTGTCTGTGGGACAGTCATTTACCCGTGCTTCTAGAAAAAATCCTTGCTCTGCTGGCCACTAAAGATGAATAGGCCCCAGCCTTGAGGCTCGGGACTGGCCACGAGGCAGCTGCAGAAGAGCACTAACCTGGACACAGCCAGAGAGGTGCACAGGGACAGCCGCTTCTGAGAATTTCACTCCACACGTGACGGCCAGAGGAAAGGGAGAATTGATGTGGCAGGTCCTGAGCTGGGACATGAGAAGCCATGGCCAGGTCAGTCTTCCACGACTCTTCTTGTGCCAGTACCTTGTGGAACTGATATAATTCTGGATGTATGAGCAGTTTTCATACAACACTCTCCCTAAAGCATCGTAATACCTGGGACGGAGAAGGGCTTTTCGAAGGCTACTCTGCCTATGTGCCAACTCTGCCCTACTCTCTTGCTGATGCTAAGAACCAGTGTAGGGGAGAAAAGGTAACATCTTTTCCTCACCCATTTCTAGGCTCATGGCTGAGGCCCCTGTAACAAAAGATAGCGCAACAAGAAAAAAGCATACAAATTGATTTAGTGTAAGTTTTATGCGACACAGAAGTCTTCAGCAAGGAAGACCCCCGAAGGAAGGTCTTTTATGTTAGGTTTGATGCAGAGTGGACAACAATGGATAAGTGTAATTGGACAAAGGGGCATGATCTAATGGTCATAAATTTTTTTTCTTTTTTTGTTGAGACAGAGTCTTACTCTGTCACCCAGGCTGGAGTGCAGTGGCATGATCTTGATTCACTGCAACCTCCACCTCCTAGGTTCAAGTGATTCTCCTGCTTCAGCCTACCAAGGAGCTCGAATTATAGGCGCGTGCCATGGCACCCAGCTAATTTTTGTATTTTTAATAGAAATGGGGTTTCACAGTGTTAGCCAGGCTGGTCTCGAATTCCTGACCTCAGTTGATCCACCCATCTCGGCCTCCCAAAGTGCTGGGATTATAGGCGTGAGCCACCCTACTAATGGTTATTAATTGAGGAGAACTAGTCAGGCCTACTTGCTCAGATTCTTCTATGTGTCCCCGAGTTTTCAGATAGGGACATTCCTTTCCTCCAGGTGTGGAGGGGGGGTACCATCACAAGAGGGTCTTATTACTTCCTTTAGTCATTGATGGCATGCTTCAGGGGAGAAGAGTAGGAGAAGGTCAGAGAGAACTGTGTCTGCTGCTTTCTTAAATGCCAAGGTGCCGTATTTTGCATAGCATGTCCTGAACCCAATCACTAGCCGTGCAGTGATGACTCCATTGAAATTCAGGTGGTGTGAAGTCCTCTAGGAGCCCCATTAGAATTAAACAGATTGTTCAGATTCTTTAGAATTAGAGGGACCCTGACAGATACGTGTGTCTGCCCAAACACACACATGTGGAAAAGAACAGAGCTAGAAAGGCCTCCGAGAGGAGATGGTATTTGAGCTGCAGCTTGTAGCAAAAGTCGAACTGTTCCAGTCAGACAAGAGAGGGGATCGAAACAAACTCTGAAGCCAAGAGCACCAAGGAGGGTTATCAGGTAGGTGTGGAGCAGACTTTTGCTCCTCCGCAGAGGTCCTGCTTTTGTGTACAAACTTCAGCTTGCGAGCTTAGAGCAGAGAGGAACTTGGGAACATTCAGTCCAGACGTCTTTTTATAGATAAGGAAGCTGGGGCTCAGAGAAGGTCAAACAGATTGTCTAAGCACAATTACTTTGCTGCTGAAGGAGAGAAGCATTTTGTTCCACAAAGCCCTAATATGCATGGGATGAACACAACCTAACATACATCTTGCTTGACACCTGTGATGTTTGGCCCACATACAGCACCTCACTTGGTGTTGTATCTGTATGGAAATAAATGGCCTGTTAGGCTGAAATGATCTATGGACGACCTTCAGGGCTTTGGAGATGGTCTCTTTCAGGGCAGGTCACTTTAAAACCAATAATATGGAAGCAGGGAAGATGCCTCTGGTGGCTAAGGAAGTCTGTCTCCTGCATTTTTATGCTGGGCACTTTTCATTAGATAAGTAAGTATATGTCAGAAAAACGTGAAAAAAAACCCATCTGTGTCTATAACTAATTAAAAAGATGTGTGATCAACAAACACCCTCTTCTCCTACAACCAGGGAACAAACAGCTCATTACTTTCCTTAAAAGCCATCCTGGAAACCTTTCCCGGGGAAAATGCGCTGAGCATTGATTATCTATCTACACCCATCATAGCCACACGGCACATTATTCCATTTGTTGGGAGACCTTACTTTACCGGTTGCAGACCAAGTTTCCAGAGTAGAAAGCATGGTCTTAGTCTCACCCCAACTAATGGTTCTTCAGAGGTCTCCCAAAACTCCTGCCGCCTCTTCTGCACGTTAATGAAAATAAATGGCACCAATCTCAATGTTCTTTGCCTCAGACCAAATGGGGCCAGGAGCTTAGAAGCAAGAAGCTGAGGCATCAGCAGGGTACTCCCAGGACAGGGCTTCCTTTGGCTGTGATCATTACGTGATTCCCTGACAGGCTGCTGTTTTCGTCGACGGTGTCCGTAACTCACTGACTGAAATCTTTGACCTCTGTAGTACAGATGGGATCCATTTGCTGCCAGTAATGATGTGTGACCTCTTGGTGAAGGCAGGGGAAGAAAAGAAGCTGAAGAGATCTTCAATATTTTTGAGAATGCATTACAGGGATTCAAGAGTGTCAAAAAGAGACATGGGTGATGAGGAAAGGAATAAACTACTCGCTTTTTTTTTTTTTTTTTTTTTTTTTTTTTTTTTTTTTTTGAGACGGAGTCTTGCTCTGTCGCCCAGGCTGGAGTGCAATGTCGTGATCTTGGCTCACTGCAACCTCCACCTCCCAGGTTCAAGCGATTCTCCTGCCTCAGCCTCCCAAGTTGCTGGGACTACAGGCGCCCACCAACACGCCCAGCTAATTTTTGTATTTTTAGTAGAGACGGGGTTTCTCCATGTTGGCCAGGCTGGTCTCGAACTCCTGACTTCAGGTGATCCACCCACCTTGGCTTCCCAAAGTGCTGGGATCACAGGCGTGAGCCACCGCACCTGGCCACTACTACCATCTTTTAACAGAAGTTCAGAGCTTCACACGGGTAGAATCATGTATGGAAAGGATTTGATGAAGATTCAGGGTGGAACATGCCCTGGGGCAGCACACAGTCAGAGCCATAATTCAAGGCCCTTTTCAGCTCATCACCTTATTTCTTTCCTTAAGATTTCCCAAGTGAGGCCTGGCACTGTGGCTCACATCTGTAATCCCAGCATTTTGGGAGGCTGAGGTGGGCAGATCGCTTGAGCCCAGAGTTCCAGACCAGCCTGGGCAACATGGTGAAACCCCATCTCTGCAAAAAGCACAAAAATCAGCCGGGCGCGGTGGCACAAGCCTGTAGTCCCAGCTACCTGAAAGGGTGAGGTGGGAGGATCACTTGAGCCTGGCAAGCTGAGGCTGCAGTAAGCCGTGAGCATGTCACTGCACTCCAGCCTGGGTGACAGAGTGAGACCCTGTCTTAAAAAAAAGAAAAGATTTCCCAAGTGAGGGCCCAGCTCTTCTCCAGCACTTCTCAAGGCACCGACCACCAGCCAAGGGCACCCTCTCCCTCCTTCATCGCTGAATGCTCCTGGTCAGCCAGAAGGAGGGGTGTGAAGGCCTCAGCAGGTTGATGCCTGCACCGCCTCCTTCACAGGCTCACAGAGAAAGCCCCTGCTCTTCAGACTGGGGAAGCATCTTCGTTCCTCTTTATTCATCTTCCCAGTACCCACAGAGACTAGCAGAGTGTACTGTACAAAGAGGGTAACAGATATTTGTAGAATATTCCTTGAAGAAATGAATGGAGAAACATCGACAGGGTATGGTTCTAATACGCTCACATTGACCTCTTCCACCAGGTTTGAAGATATTATTTCCCTTTCCTCTCAGTCCCAGTGGTCCTGAGGCCCAGGTTGGAGCCACTGTTCTCTCACCCACCTGAAAGCTGACTCATCAACTTCCCTGGATCCCAGACATGGATTTTCCCTGAAACCAACTCTTCCTGTCTTGGGAAGCCGGCTCAGGTCAGTGCCTGACCGTTTCCTGGGAGAGGCTCTGGTAAGGCCAGCCTCGGCCTTTCCTTCATCTACTTCTGCTCCGAGAAAGTTCCTCATTCTTTTTTCTCTTTAGACATTACGTTATTTTTCCTGCTAAGTGTTACGGTAACACATAGTAATCATAGAAAATTTGCAAAATAAAAGAAAGTATAAAGAAACAAACCAACGAAACCCCCCAATGATTTCTAAAGGGCCTGTGTTTCTAGTCCTTGCTCCATTCGGGTCCCCTCCTTTCTTCTGCAAACTTCCTGCTTGTAATCCTCTTTGTGGGAGGACTCTCACATTAGCATTTCAGGTCTCTTTATCTTTGGAGCCAAATATTAGCATAAGAATTAGCATATTATAACCCAATTACTTTTCAGTTACAAACAATCTCAACCAGATTGGGGTTATTCTTAATTTGCATAGTTTTGACAAGGGGGTGAGAGATGCAATGGGAAACTGTGGTGTTCTCAAGTAAACATAACAAAGGTTTGCTTTGGAGATGAATGTGGCTTGGAAACAAATAAAAAGATAAGACATAATGAGAGGATGTGGAGGCTTCTGCGATGGGTGAGTGCTGTTCTGCCCAGAGAACCATGGAATAAATGATTTCTCACCATCCCTTCCAGCCTCTTATAATGTAACATGGTTTCAGGAAAATAATAGGGCTTATCGAGAGAGTTCTCTCATAGCAGAACAGGCCAGCTGCCAGTTCCCTGTAGGTCTTCATGAAGTTTACCCAGGATCCCTGTCAAGGGAGACAGTGAAGAACTTCAGGATACTTCAGGAGACTCTCCATCCCCATCTTCCCAGGAAGCTGGGTGTCTCCCAGGACAATGCATCTAAATACCTACATAGATGGGCATCAGTGAGCTAACACATGCTTGGTCAGTGTAAGAGAATAACCAAATTGCCACTATTCCAGAATAGGCGTGCTATCTAATTACCATAAGATCCCAAGAATCTATTGCAGATCTACCATATGGACAGAGCTGTACTAGGTAGGTACAGCCTAGTTAGTGAATGCTTCTTAGGATCAGTATGAAAATGAGACCAAGAGAACTCTTATTGAGGGATCTGAATCAGATATAAACAGCAGGATCACTAGATTTTCTCGGAGAGGGCAAAGTGGACTTTCTAGTGTTATGCAAATGTTGGATATCTACAAGCTTTCACCCCCAGACTCCACAAAGCATGAGTGAGCACTGTAGATTTCACTAAACACTATGTTAGGGAGATGGAGACGAAGTTACAGAGCACAACACATGGTATTTCACTGTAAAATTTCTTATTAGACATCTCTTTCCTAGTCTTTGTTCTCAGCATTAAACATTTTCTCTTTATTTAACAACCTTTCATTGGTTTCAACCTCTGGTCCTGCACTGTACTGAGAGCTTCTGAGGTTGTGCGGAGCCAGGCACATGCCTGGGTGGGTGCAACCCCAATGACCAAGGAGCTGGCCAAGCTGGTTGAGGTGAGGAGATACCGACCAGGGAGAAAGAAGGCAGGACATGGGCAAAGGCAGAGATACCGTACTGGCTGTGGCTGTGCAGTGTCATGCCAGAAGTGACAAAAGATGAGACGTTGCCTGCAACTGTGAGGGAGCTTTGCCTTCATCTGTAGAGACTCAGAAGTTCATCAAAGGACTTATTTACTGGTCTGGTTTCCATCTTTACTTTTGTCTGCCTTGGCCTCCATGTGTTCTGGAAACGTATCAGTGATAACTTCTAGCCAAATACCTGTCACATATTTGAAAGCAATAATGTTTCGTTACTTGAGTTTTCCTCTTTAGCTTCAGTAGTTCTGACTCTTTAGCCTTTCCTCATGGGGCCTCTTTTCCATCATGAGTCCTGCCCTTTTGTTTGTGTCATTCTTCTCTGGATTGTCTCAAGTCTTTCCATGTACTTTGAAAAGTGCAGTAATCCAAATGGCATGTGGCTCCCTATGAGCGGGAAGCATAAGAAAATGACTTCTAGCTTCCCATACAATTTTCTCTTTAATGTGTTGTAGAATTATAATTTGTGCCCCAGAATAACACAATACGGTTGGCATGTTTTCCAGCTTGGAGTGGGTTATAATTTCTAACCATTCCCCCTATTTTTACCAGCTGGTCTCTAGACAGCTTATATGAATCCACATCCATTGATCTTAGTGTGCCAGTTAGCATTACTGTCCAGGGTCCATTTTGTTTTAATCATCTTAGTTTATATTTTACTGTACATCTGCCATAAATCCTGGATTTCTTCCCTTCTACCCACAGAAAAATCTGGTTCTAGAAAATAAGGTGCTGGGTGTCTTCTGAACATAGCTTAAACAATGCATTGTCTGCAAGCCTTAGAAGTAGCTAAAAGGCAAGCTCTGCGGATTATTTACAGGTGACTTATCAGTGTCTCAAATCTAAATTCTGATTATTATGCAATTCCCTCTTTTTAGGCTGTCATCATTTTTCATTACTTAAGGACTATCTCGGCTCTTGGGCCTTCACTAAATTGTTACTGTCAGGATTTGGGGAGTTATTTTGAAACCTATCAGCAGTGGGTGACCTCCTGGCATCCTGATTCAGAGTTTTCCATAATCCCCACTACTACAATTGTTAAATTGTTACCTGTGTAAAGCCTCCTCCTTTTTATAATTGAGTAAAATTAATTTCCTTTCTTCCTGGTGTAAATTTAGTTGATCTCATTTACCCTTTGTTAGGAAATGGTAATGTGTTGATTAAATTAAGGGCTTCACATGGATTTAGAATAGTTTTATGTGGGGAGGAGTTGCCGGGAGATTTTCTCAGAGGCTGATAAATAGCTAAAGAGAAATAGAGAGTTAACAGTGACATGAAGAGAGAAATACAAAGCTTTTTTGAATGTGCAAGCAGCTGTTAGCTTAAGGACATTGGTTACATATGAATTTTAGCTTTGGATTGAGAGTTTTCTAGTGTAAAGTTCAAATGCTGAAGACCTCTGGGAATGGTGCCACCATTTTTCTTCTGTTTAATCCTAACTAGAAAAGGTAGGGGAGGAAATAGTGCATAGGGTTTTTTTTCTTCCCATTAAAACAAAAATTGGTGTAAAAAGGAGTGAAGAGTTATGGAGAAGGCTCAAATCATTATATGCAGGAAGATTTCATTCATTAGAGAGAGTACATTTAATAGAACAGTAACTTTTCTTTTGTTTTCGTGTGTGTGTGTGTGTGTGTGTGTGTGTGTGTGTGTGTGTGTGTCAGAGTTTCGCTCTTGTAGCCCATGCTGGAGGGCAGTGGTGCGATTTCAGCTCACTGCAACCTCCACCTCCTGGGTTCAAGTGATTCTCCTGCCTCAGCTTTCTGAGTAGCTGAGATTACAGGCATGCACCACCACACCTGGCAAGTTTTTGTATTTTTAGTAGAGATGGGGTTTCACTACATTGGGAAGGCTGGTCTCAAACTCCTGACCTCAGGTGATCCGCCTACCTCGGCCTCCCAAAGTGCTGGCATTACAGGCGTGAGCCACCACGCCTAGCCAGAACAGTAACTTTTCAATGAGCTTTCCCAACTGTCTCTCTGGTGATAACCCTGTCGGGGATCCAGGGCAAGTCCTGCCACCCCCATCGTATAGTGGGGGATGAGCTTGGGGTTCCAGAGTGAGGTAGAGGCTGAGCTAGAGGTGAGCCTGTGCACATCTTACTGTCAGCACCACCTTCACCCAGCGCCATCACCAAAGATCACATCAGTAGGATTCAGGATGGAGACCAAAAGAGCCAAGAGAAGGCAGTGAAGACATTGCATAATGCTTATTAGTGAAGGTAACCACTCTTTCAAGGCTATCTGTGTCCTAGTCAAGGCACTGGTGACACACCGAATAACACAGTGGATGCAGCCTGACGTATCCCACTGTGAGTGACACTATGAATGAAGGCTACGCTGAGAAATCTGAAAGGTGCAGTAAAGGAAAAGGGAGAAACTGGCAAGACAAAGGGGAATTCAATCAAGACGTGTAAGTGGCTCTTCAAATTTCATACACCTGACTGACCTAATGGTTAAAAACTCAACGGCTGTGCTTATTCATTTATTCACTGATATTTTAAAACAAAAGTATCTTGAGCACCAGCTGCATGGCAGGTACTGTAGCTGGAGGCAAGAGATCCAGGGAGCATGGACATGGGCCCTGGCTGGAGCATCTTGGAAGGACAGTGGAGGCAACGACCATGTGGGTTGGGACTAAGGTCTTGCCTGGTGACATCTGAGCTCTCCTCAGCCTCCAAGTCCTCTCTCAAAGCCACAGCTTCATCCTTCTGCCCTTACACCTCGCTGATTTGCCTGATACCCTCTCTAAACTCCCCTTGCACTATGCCCTGTGTCACATGCTCCTCTGTGATTTAGTTTTTAATGACTTTCCCTATTCTAGAGCATCCTTCAACACATCCAAAGGGCAGAAACAATGCCTTTTCCCGCACACGAGGCCTCCTCCATGGTGGGGAGTTTGTGCATATTTTCATTTTTTGCCAACTCATCGTCACAGATCAATCTCCCTCTTATTCATGTGTCCCTTACAATTTTAGTAGATCCTCACATCCCTAAGCTTGGATCCTTTCCTTTCAGAGGCTTTGCATACCGCATTTCCCTAACAACTCTATAACCACGGGGTGCTTCTAGGAGTTTTGGTCTTCCCTTTTTGAGGCTTGGCCAAGATCATAAACCAGACCTAAGGGTGCCCACCTCTGTCAGGTGAAGAGGACACAGCAAAGCCACCTAAAATTGTCTCCTCCACTGGTTTTTCACATTATCTGAACCTCCACTATCATATTTACTCTTGTCACAGTCACTGTGTGAGAAAAATAATTTTTTTAAGAGTGGAAATGAGAAGATGAAAAGGGAAAAGGAAAGCATCACAATGCCACCCTTTGAGCCAAGAACTTTATTTAATTTTTTCCATGTCATATGGAATTGTACGTAGTTTCAGGTTTTCTTTTAAAAGCCTTTTGGCTCTTGAGTCAGGCTAGAATCCTAGATATGAATCCCACCTCTGCTCATTACTAGCTGGGTGATTTGGGGCAAGGGGCTGAACCTCTCTGTGCCTCAGTTTTCTCATCTGTAAAATGTGATTAACAGCAGCACCTACCTCATAAGGTTGTTGTAGGATTAAATGAGTTAATACAGTAAAGTGCCTGGCACATAGTGAGCACTCAGAAAAATGCTGGCTGTTATGAGGAAAGCAGGATATCTGGGCAGGATTGACAAAGGAGTGTGGCCGCACAACCACACAGATTTCTGTCAATTGTCTACGTAATAACTGTTGCTTCCAAGCAGCTCTCTGGCCAAGCCTTCCCCTGGGGACCCGGGCACTAAGGACACGAGGAAGCCCAGTGGAAAGGCCAGGCCAAGGGAGCGCTGAGGTCTGGGCCTGGCTGAGCATCTCCATGAGGGGCCCTCCGACAGCAGGTGGGAGGGCGAGATCAGGGCAAAGGGGGCCTGTGAGGAAGAGGGGATCATTACAGAGAGAACCAAGAGGAGTACAGGGTCAGCTCAGCCCACTTAGCACCTTTGCACCTGCCGGCCCTGATGACCGGCCATGATCGTTCCATTTTGGGGCTTTTGAAGAGGTGGGGAGGTCCTGGGCCCAGCCAGGACGAGACTGGGGAGTGTTCTGCGGCTGAGTTTGGCTGTGTAATTAAAGCCCTGGTGTCTAGTGCCGAGAAGAAAAGAGAAAACAGCATTGGAACCCAACTGGCAGATGTGCTTGTTGTGCTGAGAGAAATTCACAGAACCTTGTGGTGCCATCTGGCTGAGAGCTGACTGTTTGCATGATGCAGTTCTCACTTAAGGAGGTGAAGCATCAAACTCCCTGGCCCCACCCACCTGCCTCTGCATCTGGGCAGCTGAAGGTAAGGGCACTCAGCAGCCCCGATGTAATGCCACATCCCAGTGTGCTCAGGAGGAAGCCACCAATCTTTGTTCTCTGCCTAAGGAAAGAAAAACAGCTAAAACAAAGCATTCTAGGACTGACCTTTGGTACAATGTTGGAAATATGAAAGAAATATAAATGTAACATTTTAAATTTCTGAAACGAGGAATAATTATCAATTTCATATACACAAAGTAAGCCCAGTAGGCAGGCCTACTAGAGCAGTGGTCTCCAAATTTTTTGGCATTAGGGACGGGTTTCATGGAAGACAATTTTTCCACAGATGGGGTCCGGGGGATGATTTTGGAATGAAACTGTTTTGCCTCATCCTCAGGCATTAGATTCTCATAAGAAGCACCCAACCTAGAGCCCTCACTTGCGCAATTCACAATAGAGTTCACGCTTCTATGAGACTCTTATGCTACCGGCTGATCCGACAGGAGGCAGAGCTCACGTGGTAACGCTCACTTGCCCACCGCTCACCCCCGGTTGTGTGGCCCGGTTCCTAACAGGCCACAGACTGGGACTGGGACCTGCCCGAGGCTGTGGGGTTGGGGATCCCTGTGCTAGAGGCTCTCAGAAGCATTCTCCATCTCCAGATAATATTCTGTCCCTCCACATGTGAAGGAGACACAGAGCTTTCCTGATGGAGCCTGGCAGGTCTGTCTGTCTTTATACACACCCATTGTATAGAGAAGTATTCTGGATCCAGGGTATATCATGATCATTGTCAATTTTCAGAACATCTCCTGGGCTGGTGAACTGTGGTTAGATAATAAAGAGTTGCTGGTGAAATGCCTCAGGGTGTGGTTAGAAAAAAGAAAGAAAAACAAGTGGTAATATAGGGTGCGGGGGGAGGTATGGGGAGGCTGGGTAACTGTGATTTTTAACTCAAGAAGGAAAAAGGGAGAGGAGAAAAAATGAAGACTCTATAGCTCATCTAGAGTGAGCCAAATTGGATCCCAAACACTAACACTTAATGCACTAAAAACTGTATAATTCAAACATCTCTCAACACAGAAGATGGGTACCACGTGTGTAACAAAACATAATTGAGCTGAGGTGAATCCCTGTCCTTAAAAGAGGTTTATAAGCTAATAGTGGTGATGAAGGTGAGGAAGACTCTTAGTTCCACTCAGAAAGTGAGAGGATCTGAATACTCCAGAAAAGGAAAAAGATAAGAGGAGAGATGAAATGAGATTGGCAAATTGTTGATGATTGTTGAAACTGAGCAATGAGTATTGAAAGGCAGGGATCATTACCTGACTCTTCTATCCAGGAGGCCGTTAGTGGACCAGGAAGTCAGGACAAGATCTGAGGTGAAGAGCTGGTGAGGAGTGAGACAGCTGCCAAGGTCCACCTTGTTCCCCTAAGGAGCTGAGCTCTTTCTCTTCCTTCCTTTTAGACAGGTTCATTAAAGCTGGCCCACTCCACATGACCTAGAAGGACTGGGTCAACCCTGAAAGGTTTGCTCCATAGCCCAGAATGACAACCTCTGACATCACAAATGCAGGATTGGAGAAGGCATAGTTGGCATGCAAGCCGTATTGATTTTTTTACAAATCAGAGCTTCATGCTTGCTGCTGAGAACATTTCACCGGGCCACGAAGCTGCTGCAGGAAGTTTTCAAGTCCTCTCCTCTACACCGTGACCTTAACTTAGAGAGCACTCTCAGCCCCTCCTCCCATCCCCCCGCACCTGCCCAGGTGGGCCCCACTGCTCTCCACACCCACACCCACCTGGTCGTTGCTCTCTACCGAGGAGGCTCTCCCTGCTTTGCTGTGCTTTTGTCAACTTTCCTGCAGCTTCCCTGTTCTGGGAGGCTGAGCTAGAGTGGAAACGACCAGCTTCCCCAAACAGGCAGCTCCGAGAAGGCGTCTGCTCCGCGTCTGCTCCCACTGAGCCAAGGTCCAGCCCAAACGCTCAAATTAGAGCTTGTTAGCCAATTGCTGAAAAACTGCAGGGGGACTCATTTGTAAGCAAACTAATGAGACATCCCAGGATAGAAAGCCTGGTTTTATTTTTAGCATTTCAGAGCTGACACCCCAAACACCTCTATAACCACCTGCCAGTCTGAAGAGGGAACAAGCAGAGCTCAGGATGTGGTGCCGTGCGAGGGCGGTAAGTGGAAGGAAGCAGCGCATGGGGAGGGTGCCTTGGAGACCAGAGGAGCACAGCAAGGGGAGGATGCTCAGCTCTCACACCTGCTCTGTCTTGGTCATAATGAAAAAACAGCTCTGACACAGGGAGTGTGTCAGAACACCACAGTACCCTCTGGGACTGTGTGGGAAAACAAAAAACAAAAACCAAAACAAGGGAGACTCCTTCCCTCTTAACCTCAAATGGTCCCTCTTAACTCCAGACCCTTGAGCGTCTTGCTCCGCCACTGCATGGGGCAGGTGCAATGTACTCTGTGATCTGTGATCTCCTTGCTATATTCCTGGCAGGGGCTCTGCTACTGTGGGCTTTCACAGCATGACTCCAGCCTTGCTGCACTCAGGCCTCACTGTCACCAAGTGGGCTGGGGCTGCCCACCAGGGGGGCATGCAGGGCCTTTCCCTCTCCCCATGCCCTGGTCTCAGGTACACTGCTGCTGCATGCCAGCTCTTTTCTGCTGCATCCTATGCAGCCACTGGGCCACTTGCTCCTCCCAGGCAAATGCTGAAGAGACACTCTGCTCTTCAGCAGATTGGTGCACACCTATATTTAGCCACATTGTGGAATATAGTGACAATGATACTTTGTACTCAGGAGACACCTTTTATCAGAGGAGTGTGATGCACTCTGCAAACATCATCAGCACGGCACCCTTGGGGAGGAAAGACTGTGCCAAGTCTTCCAATCCCCAGGCTTACAGCTAGAGAGATTGAAGCCAGGGAGGCGGGGTGTCACCAGAATCTCCTAATGAGTCAGGAGGCCTGAACGGAGTGATGAGGTGCTCCTGGAAGGTTTTCATCACACCTGCCTCTTTCTGAGCCTGCAGAGCCTATAGTTCCCCCTAGAGCTGGTCCTCTCTCCCTCCCTGGCACAAAAGTGTTCCTTTGCTCACACAGCTGTCCCTGTGCCTGGACACACTTGTAACTTGACTTTAAAAGCCATCTGCCAGCTCACTAGAAACACAGACATGCTGTCTGTGCTGGGGCTTACATTTGCATCACCGCGGTACCTCGATGCTCAGGACAGATATTTCTACTCAAATCTATACCTTGCCTGAATGGAGCTATGAGGGTGTGACCCAGAGGAAGTGCTGTGAAACTCTGCATAAAGAGATTAGTTCAGATGCCCTCTCTTTTATGACACAGGGTAACCAATCAGATACTCCACTTCCCAGAAGTGGCTGGACACAGACTGCCCTGTAGTAGAGAGACAAAGCAGTGGGATGAGTGGGTCCTACGTAGGGATCCTCAGGGATTCCTTGGGCACAAGCAGGATCTCTCTTCTCAGAAAGAGCCAACAATACCATATGTTAGAAGCTCAAAACCAACTGTATTCTTTTCATTCTGTTATCACTGATAATTACTAGCATGCCTTTGTAGCAGATGCAACGGATGTGGCAACATTTCTCATGCCTTAGCAAGGCCGAAATGGCAAAAAGCAATGCTAACCAAAGGGTCTTTGGATAGAGAGTGTTCTGTGTAGGGGTAGAACAGTGCTTTGGTTCTGGACACAGGCTTTATATTCCCCAGACCCCAATATAAACCCCACTACATACCCTGTGCCACAACTGATGATTGACATGACTTCATAGTGAGGCGCAGTCTATGTCCTCCCTCCTCAAACCCAAGCAGATATTTGCAAATTCCTGTACCACTAGCTTATGGTGGACATGATGGGGTGTGACTTCCAAGACTAGAGTATAAAAGGCAATACCACGTCCATCTTGGCACCTTGCATTGCTCCCATGGCGAAGCCAACCTCCACGCCCTACACTCAGCAGCTCTGTTGGATAAGCCTGTGTGGAGAGAACAGAGACCTCCAGCCTCCAGCCTGTCCCAGCTTCCCAGGCAGGTGTGTGGTTGGGCCATCTTAGGAGCAGGCTGTCTAGCCCCATCACGACGTCAAATGATGGCAGGCCTAGCCAACTCATGACTGCAATTGTGATAGGGACCTCCCAGGGAGAACTACCAGACCAAGTCCTTCCTGAATTCCTCATCAACAAAGACAGAAATCATTTTTGTTTTTTAAGCTACTATGTTTGGGGGTGATGGTGTTATATAACTAAAACGCCATGGGGCAATTCGAAGCAGAAGGGTGCAGTGAGACGATGCATGGGGGAGAATCCATCTGGCCACTGTGTAGAGAACGGACTGCAGAGGAGCAAGGATCGGGGCAGGATGACCAACTATGAAAAACAGCCATAGCGGTAGTAATTATGCCTACTTCATAGAAGCATTTAAAGTATTCCATGAGATACCAGAGGTACAGTGCCTAATAATGCCTGTCTCAGAGTAGTAGCAATGATGGGCATGTCTCATTTTATTGTGCTTTGCTGTATTGCACTCTGCAGATACTGTGTTTTGTACACATTGAAGGTTTGCAGCAACCCTGTGTCAAGCAAGTATATCAGGGCCATTTTTCCAACAATAGCACTCACTTCATGACTCTGTGTCACATTTTGGTAATTCTCGCAATATTTTACATTATTATTATATCTGTTTTGATGATCTGTGATCAGTGATCTTTAATGTTACTATTGTAATTGTTTTGGTGTGCCACCAATTGCACCCACATAAGACAGCAAACTCAATCAATAAATGTATGTGTTCAGACTGCCCTGCAAATTGGCCATTACCCCATCTCTCTCCCTTTCCTTGGGCCTCCCTATTCCCTGAGACACAATAATATTGAAATTGGAACAATTAATAACCCTACAATGTCCTCTAAGTGTTTAAGTGGAAGGAAGAGTCGCATGTCTCCCACTTGACTTTGAAAGCTAGAAAAGATTCCGCTTATTAAGGAAGGCAGGCCAAAAACCTAGTTCGGCTGAAAGTGAGGCCTCTTGCTCCAAACCGTTAGCCAAGTTGTAAATGCAAAGAAAAAGTTCTTGAAAGAAATTTAAAATGTTACTCCAGTGAACACATGAATGATAAAACAGAGAAACAGCCTTATTGTTGATATGGAGAAAGTTTGACTGGTCTGGGTGGAAGTTCAAACCAGCCACAACATTCCCTTTAGCCGAAGCCTAATCCAGAGGAAGGCCCTAACTCTCTTCAATTCTGTGGAGGCTGAGAGTGGTGAGGAAGTGGCAGAAGAAAAGTTTGAAGTTAGGAGAGGTTGGTTCATGAGGTTTAAGGAAAGACGCTGTATCTATAACATAAGAGCGCAAGGTGAAACTGCAAGTGCTGATATAGAACCTACAGCAAGTTATGTAGATGCTCTAGCTAAGATCACTGATGGAGGTGGCTGCTCTGAACAATAGATTTTCAATGTATTCAAAACAGCCTTCTATTGGAAGAAGAAGCCATCTAGGACTTTCATAGCTAGAGAGGAGAAGTCAATGCCTAGCTTCAAAGCTTCAAGCGACAGGCTGACTCTCTTCTCAGGGGCTAATGTAGCTGATGATTTCAAGGTGAAGCAAGTGCTCATTGACTGTTCTAAAAATCCTTTGTCCCTTAAGAATTATGCTAAGTTTACTCTTCCTGTGTTTTGTAAATTGAACACAAAGTTTAGATGATAGCACATCTGTTTACAGCATATTTTGTTTACTGAATATTTTAAGCCAAAAATTAAGACATATTACTGAGAAAAAAACATTTCTTTCAAAATATTACTCATTACTTAGGTGCTTATTGACAGCCCACCTGTTCACAAAGGAGCTCTGATGGAGATGTACAAGGAAATGAATGTTGTTTTTCTGATAGTTTACATATAGTCATTCTGCAGCCCATGGATCAAGGAGTCATTTTGACTTTCAAGTCTTATTATTTAAGAAGTACATTTTGTAAGGTTATAACTGCTTAGTGATTCCTCTGACAGATCTAGACAAAGTAAACTGAAAACCTTCTGGAAAAGATTCACCATTCTATATGCCATTAAGAACATCTGTGATTCTTGGGAGGAAGTCAAAATATCAACACTAACCAGAGTCTGGAAGAAGTTGATTCCAGTCCTCCTGGATGACTTTGAGGGGTTCAAGACTTCAGCTGAGGAAGTCACTGGAAATAGCAAGAGAACTAGAATTAGAAGAGAAGCCTGTAAGTGAGACTGGATTGCTGCAATCTCATGATCAAACTTTAAGGGATGAGGAGTTGCTTCTTATGCACAACCAAAGACAGTGGTTTCTTAAGGTGCTGTGAACATCGTTGAAACGACAACAAAGTATTTACTCCAAAAACTTAGTTGACAAAAGGGTAAAATGTGGGTAAAATGCTATCAAACAGCACTGTATACCACAGAGAAATCTTCATGAAAGGAAGAGTCAACTGGTGCCACAAACTTCACTGTTTTCTTATTTTAAGAAATTGCCACAGTCACCCCAACCTTCAGCCACCATCACCCGGATCAGTCAGCAGCCATAACATTGAGAAGTATCCTCTACCAGCAAAAAGATGACTACTTGCTGAAGGTTCAGATGATTGTTCGCATTTTTTTTTAGCAACAAAGTATTTTAATTAAGGTATGTACATTGTTTTCATAGACATAATGCTATTGCACAGACTAGAGTATACTTTAACCATAGCTTTTGTATGCACTGGGAAGCCAAAACAATGTGCAACTCACTTTATTGTGATTTTGCTTTATTGCAGTGGTCTGGCACAGGACTCACAATATGTGTGAGGTATGCCCGTGTTAACTATCATCAGGGTAGTCAAAGGTGCTATGAGAAGGTAGGGGTAGTGGGACACAGACAAAGGAGAGTCTTTTTTTTTTTTTTTTTTGAGACGGAGTCTCACTTTATCGCCCAGGCTGGTGTGCAGTGGCGCGATCTCGGCCCACTACAAGCTCCGCCTCCCAGGTTCACACCATTCTCCTGCCTCAGCCTCCTGAGTAGCTGGGACTACAGGTGCCCGCCACCACGCCTGGCTAATTTTTCGTATTTTTTAGTAGAGACGGGGTTTCACCGTGTTAGCCAGGATGGTCTTGACCTCCTGACCTGATGATCCACCTGCCTCGGCCTCCCAGAGTGCTAGGATTACAGGCGTGAGCTGCCGTGCCCAGCCGAGTCATTCTTAAAAGTGGATACTTATGCCCCTCTTCCCTTTATATCCTCCCTGCTTTGAATGCTGTATCATTTAGAATTAAGTTCAGCCAAAGGGGCTGGGTGTGGTGGCTCATGCCTGTAATCCCAGTACTTTGGGAGGCTGAGGTGAGCAGATTGCTTGAGCCCAGGAGTTTGAGACCAGCCTGGGCAGCATGGTGAAACCCCATCTCTACAATAAATGCAAAAAAATTAGCCAGGTGTGGTGGTGCACACCTGTGGTCCCAGCTACCTGGGAGGCTGAGGTGGGAGAACACCTGAGCCCAGGAGGTCAACGCTGCAGTGAGTTGTGACTATACTTGCTGCACTCCAGCCTGGGTGATAGAGGCTCTGTCTCAACAACAACAACAACAAAAGTTCAGCCAAAGGAATAGGAAACCCAAAATAGCAGTCGCTTAAGTAAAGCAAAAATTTAGGTCTCTCCACTGTAAAAAGTCTGGAAGTAAGCAGTTCAGGGTTGGTTTGGTGACTCTGTAGTGACAGGGACTCAGGCTCCTTGTGACTTTTGCCTTACCACATGCAGCTTCCATTCCCAAGGTCACCTCATGGTCCACAATTGCCACTGGAGTGCCAACCATTACATCTGAATTCCAGCTACCTGAATGAAGAGGGGGACAAAGACGAGCATGTCCCTTCCATTTAAGGACATGTCAGAAGTTGCATACATCAGTTCCACTTGCATCTCGCTGGTCAGAACTAGGTCACATGGTTACACCAATTGGCAAAGGAGGCTAGAAAATGTATAGTCAGTCTTTATTCTGTGAAGTCAAGTGCACAGTTAAAACCTAGGGGCTCTATTACTAAGAAGAGGAAAAAGAATACTGGAGAAACAGCAAGCAGTCTACCATGTATGGACATCAGCAGATGCCCAATCCCCAGTATCGAGCATACTCAAAGACAGAAAAGGCTGTGTTTCCAACAGAAATCTAGGTAGGGGTTTGTACCATGCCTCAGATTCTCTGGGTTTCACATCTCTAAGGTCTTTGGCCCCTTTTTCTATTCCAGCTGCTGCGTGCTGAGCAACTCTGCACGGGCTGTGACCAACTTCTCAGGAGCTTGAAACTGCCTCCCATCCTAGGCATGCATGAGCAACTGCTTAGTGCCTCGCCTCCAGCCTGGGGCTTTTCTGTTGAGCTCTGTCGTGAGACATCCACGGACCACATAGTGTCTACCTGTGTCCATCCAGAAGCAAGGGGCATCACCATCTGCCGTGCCAACCTTTGACCCATAGACGAATGCAGCAAATGGCTAAACTGTATCCCTCTTTTCCCACAGAAGGGCTGTCCTGAGATGCAGCCATTCACATGGCCTGTCAGAAGATGGACCTGCAAGATTGCATCATCGATTGAGCTGAAAATCCAGCAGTAGCGAGCTCAGTTACCCATTATTGGCTCTCCCTCTTTTTCTGCCTTGCTCCCCTCTTCCCTCACTCTTCTGTCCTTAGGAAGGCACTCCCCAATCTAGAAATAGCACACATACTTTGCCTCAGGCTCTGCTTTCTAGGGAAGTCAGGCTAAGGCAGGTAGGTCTCTTCCCTCCGTCCAGGCTCCCTTCCTCCCTCCTCCCCATTTCCCATTGTGCTTCTGGTTGAAGAATGCACAGTTCTGGTTAACAGAACTGAAATGGGTCTTCAGGCAGGTTCAAATGAAGTCCTTCCTGGTCTAATGCTTTCTAATCTTTGTATCCCAGACAAAATCAGCCTCTCAGGTTTAACAAGGTTTCTGGTTATCTCAAGTGAAAACAAAACAAAACAAAACAAACAAAAAAACAAAAACAAAAACAACTTTCACATTTTTTAAATAGCCATTTCTTTTTCTTTTCTTTCTTTCTTTTTTTTTTTTTTTGAGACAAATTTTTTTTTTGCTCTGTTGCCCAGACTGGAGTGCAATGGTGCAATCTCGGCTCACTGCAACCTCCACCTCCCGGGTTCAAGCAAGTCTCCTGCCTCAGCCTCCCAAGTAGCTGGGATTACAGGAACCTGCCACCACACCTGGCTAATGTTTGTATTTTTAGTAGAGATGAGGTTTCACTGTGTTGGCCAGGGCTGGTCTCAAACTCTTGACCTCAGGTGATCCATCCGCCTTGGCCTCCCAAAGTGCAGGGATTACAGGTGTGAGCCACTGCGCCTGGCCTAAAATGGCCTTTTCTAATCAGCTTTTTTTATGAAGAAAATTTATTTGCAGGGCTCCTTTTTGATAGACTAAACTGAATACATAAAGAAATATAGGGATAAAATCCAGTTTCCCCAGAAACTTCATTTCAACTTCTCTGCCATGCCCCCACATCCATGCATTTTTTGGTTCTCTCTTCTGCTGGTCCTCATTTGGACACCATGGTTGTGTCTATAACACCTGTGTTATTACTACAGGGGATATAGTAATGCTTAGCACTTTTCATTGTGAACTAATTCTCAACACAAATGTAGTTCACAGGAAAGTAGGCAATGCTTTTATTTCTGGAAAGAGAAAAGTCCATAAAGAACATAGAAGTATTAGGTGCTAGTTCCTTCCCTGCATTCTCATTCAGCAACCTACTAATGATTTTAAAGCACTTGGGGGACATTTGGTTAAAAGAAAATGAGTTTCATAAGCAAGTGGTGTCACTTTATGGAGATTATACTAATTGAGATCATTTATTTCTGAAAGAGTAGCCCAACTTAATGGGACTTAAAGCACCAAATATCTATAATCTCTCTGACTCCCACAGAGAAGACCACCCTGTTTGGAGCAGCAATACTGCTCCTTAAAGTAATATAGGTTGAGCATCCCTAATCCAAAAATCTGAAATCCAAAATTATCCAGAATCTAAAACTTTTTTGGTTGCCAACATGCCACCACAAGTGGAAAATTCCGCACCTGGCCTTAGGTGACAGATGGCAGCTAAAACACAGTCAAAGCTTTGTTTCAGGCACAAACTCATTTAAAATATTGTATAAAATTACCTCCAGGCCATGTGCATAAGATGTATATGAAACATAAATGAATTTCGTGTTTGTTCAGACTTGGGTCCCACCACCAAGATACCTCATTATGTATATGCAAATATTCCAAAATCCAATATATATATATATATATATATATATATATATATATATATATATTCCAAATCTGATAAGAGATGCACACCCTGTAGAGCAAATCCAGATCTGTTCTGAGTTGGAAGTTCAGAAACTAATTCAGCAATGACTACACTTCTGGTGCTTGCAGTATCCCATAATTAGTTGGATGTCATAATAATCCCTATTCTCTTTTTTACAATGGCACTCTTACATCTTACAAAATACTTTAAAGGATTTAATGTTATTTTAAGAATTTTTGGATAAGTTCTTTAAGCCCACTGACAAAATTGAAACAATCCTGGGGGCTTGTGAAATCTGGGTTGGAGATTGTAGAACTTTGTTTTTAGAAGTATCATCTTTCCCTGAATCTTTCATTACCTACCTGATTTATTCAACTCTAATTTTGCAATAAAATGGAATTCTTTTTCTCTCAAATTTGTTTCCTTAAATCAGAATACCCAATCTAATTCCCATCTGTAGATCTGCAGCTTGTGGAATCATTTCATGTCATTCTTTTTAAATTGGCCAACAGCATCCATTTAACAAGCTATTTCCCATAGCAAAGATATCCTTAGTTATGATTTTGGATTTAAGCTGCACTAAAATATAAGGAAATATTGAAACCTTTGAAGAAAGCACTAACTTTACTTCCTTCTTCCAGATCTAGGGATCCCTGGTTACTCCTGAATTACTCCCATCATCCAAAGCTGCTCTCTTCTGCTTATATATAATTTGAGGGAAGCACAATTCTAAGAAGTTACGAACCACCCCTAAGTTATGACTTTTCTAAACATTCCAAGTATTATGATGACTTTCAGACTGGAGATTTGTGCTATCTGCCCAGTCAAAGTCAGCCAGCCATGGTGCATTCAGAACATGTGTTGTCAACAAAAACTGGCATCATAGAAGTGGCTAAAGGTGTACCTCACAGGCCTGGCATCAGGTTCATCAGAGGCACTGCACGTTGAGAAACAGTGGGGTAAAGTGACATCACCAAGGTGAACAGGTGAAATTCAGCTCCACCTTCAAAAGTTATTCTTAGGGAAGAAAATCATCTCTTCTCTCTTCCTCCTTCGGCTCCTGTTGGCCGGTGCCTTCCTGAACCTGAAGAATATCTTTGCTCTTTCCAACTCCCACATTCAAAACAGAGTCTTACAACTCAGCCACATTTTCTGCTGAGCCAGCCAGTGGGAACAAACACCAAGGTCTGTGGCAACCAAAGGTGTATGTGTGTGTGTGTGAGTGTGTGTGTGAGAGAGTGTGTGTGAGAGAGAATGTGAGTACATATTTATTTGTGTTTGTGTGTAGTGTGAGTGGGTGTATGTGTCTGAGTGTTTGCATGTGCGTGAGAGTGTCTATGTGTGTGTTGATATGTGCATTTGTGTGTTGTGAGTGTATGGTTGTGTTTGTGTCTGTGTGTGTGGTATGAGTGTGTGCATGTGTATCTCTGCATGTGTGTTTTTGTGGGGTTTGTGTGTATGCATTAATGTGTGTGGGGGCGGTATGTGTGTGTTTCTGTGTGTGTGTGTGTATTGCTTTTCTTCTAGTCTCCTCCTCCACGCCATCAGCCCACGCAATCCACACCTCATAAAACAGAACCCACATCTCCATCCTACTACAAGGAACTGGAGAAAAAAGAAAAAAAAACAAGCAACAAACCCTCCTGCCAGTCAGAGCCCAAGGAGAAAACTGGATGTAGATTTCAATCCACCCTCCCAGGTCTGCAGGTGTGAGAGAAGGTCACCTTTCTTGAATATCATGACAGTTTTCAGTGTGTGTGACTCATCTATGTTATTCCAGTTCTCCTTCATTAGGGGGATAAAATGCTTTTCTATATTTAATGAATGCCAGTGATTCAGGAGTTTGAGAGAGGTGGGCCCTAATTAGTCAAGCAGGGTTTCCATTACACAGAAAGCTTGAAAGGAAGGATTTTGGCTATTCCTGTGCCAGCAGCCAGAAGCCCAAGCCACACCAGAATAGGGAGGCGTCGTTTTGTTGTCAGTCACCAAGAGAACCAGAGAAAGAGTTGTGAAACCAGGCTAAGGCCCTGGCACTGGCTTCCTTGTCTGTAAAATGTGAGTGCTAGACTGGAGTTCTGGATCTCTGCCAGCTCACAGATGATATGACTCTCTAAAGTATTTGGTCAATATTAGGCAGTCCCCACTGGAAAGCTGGCTTAATAGACAACTTGCAGGCTTAGTCCTGAGAAAGCCTCATGACGTTACTAAGGAATATAGTAGAGAATCCAAAGAGGAGAGGGAGAACTCTACCTACTTTGGTGGAATAAATAGGGTTTTTTAATGAGAGAAGAGTAAGCCCTAGCCCAAATTGTGTAGCAGCCACGGTTCACGTCCAGCTCCTGCATAATCCTTTTTCCCTATCAATCTCAGTAAAGGATTTAAAATCAGTGACTTCTTGTTTTGATGGTTTTGAAGTCACTGTTTTTCCGTCAAAGGGGTATGTGCATTTAAGTTTTATTTTCAGCTGTGGGGTGGAAGGCCTCTCTCTGTGGCAGGAACTGCAGGCATGAGCAGTGGCTGGGGGAATGGGTGTGCACAGCTGCAGCCTCAAGGTCTCAAGCCTGATGTCCTTACTTCTGGTGCAGGGACTTTGTAGATTGGGAGGCCCATTCTCTCTCTCTCTCTCTCTCTCTCTCGCTCGCTCTCGCTCTTGCTCTGACTCTCTCCCTCTCTGCTGATGGCTTATGCTTTCCCTCAAGAAGCACTCAGAACTTTCTGCGGCCGCTCCTTGCTGAGTACAGCTGGCAATCCAGATGCCCCAAGTCCCCCAGCAGGAGTCCTTCCCAGAGGAGTCCTTCCTCCATGGAAAGACACACCAGGAAGCCCTCCTTGGCAGAGGGCTGCCCTCTTTTGCCCTGAGCACCCTGGAGCGAGGCTGGAGTAGCTAGGAGCATGATGAGCAAGTGGGGCTCTCCTCTCTGTTTGCATTCCATTTGATGAGGCAGCTGGCGAAGCTTCTCCCCCGTCTCAGCTGCAGGGTGAGCAGACTGCGGCTGCTGCCTCTGATGTGCTCACCGGAGCATCACCTGCCTCCAGCCAGGAATTCCACCTGTTCCAGTGACACCAAAGATGTGAAGGAAGGATGTCCTCATCCACCTCAAACAACTCCCAAATGAATTTCCTTCTTTTGAGGGGGCTAGCGACAGGAAAAAACATGGCATCACCAGGCACTGAGCACTTTAAGCAGACAGAGCCTCTTGTAAAATAGGAAGCGGAGAGCCTTTAAGTCGCACATGGCATTAGCTGCCATGTCTTGAATTTGGGCAGCCAGTCCAGGCAGGCAAACCCAGCTGGAGAGGAGCAGGACAGGGTGCCCAGCAGGGGGCGCTGTATTGCACGTGCCCCCGGAGACAAAGGCTGCCAATGGAGGGGTGGGTCCTAGCCCCAGCAAGGACGCCAGGAGTGTGACTCAGGTGCTGTTGTTGGTTAGAGGAGTGGCTAAGGCAGGAGAAATCCTGAATCATGCTGTGGCCACGTGGCACCAGGATCACACACTTGGTGAGATTGTGCTCATGCCCTGAGCCATTTCCTCATCCAAAACAAATATTTGAGTTTAAAGAGCTGAGTAAAGCTGCAGAACGTTTTGTAGATTTATCACATTTTCTCTGCTGCAACTAGAGGCCTTGGAGAGCCTTACTTGTGGCAGTCCACACAAGAACCTTGTTTCTGTAAGTAGTTTGCACTGAAAGCCAGTGACTTCATACATAAAGAATGTTCTCTCTGGCTGGCTCGCCCAGTCTCCACTTCTTCTGTTTTGTTTGTGTAATTGGTGCCTAGACAGAATTTTCAAAAGCATTCACCCAAAACTGAAGGGCCATGGGGTATATGGCTTGGGAACAGTCTCCTTCTCCAGCCTCGCATGCCATTCTAGGGCTAGCCTGGCGTTCCCCAGCTCAGAGAAGGAACCCAGCAAGTGCATGACTGTTGGAAGGCAGGTGTTTGTCCTGTTTCTGTCGCAGGCATGATATGTGATCTGGGTGACTTACTTACCCTCTCTAGCTATTAGTTTCCTAACCTGTAAAAATTATGTCCAAGATCCTGTCCAGCTAAACTTTTAAGCCTGTCTGGATTAGGCTCAAGGCATTTTGGGGCTTGTGGAAGCAGCTCAAAGTTGGATCTGTGGTTTGAGTCTCCTTGGGGTGTCCTCTACCTAAGCCAGAACTCGGGCTCTGGAGCAAATGGAGCCAGTCCTCAGAATCACCTTGATATTTCATGGGCCTTTCATGTGGGTTTTTAAGTGACTTAAAAACCCGGGCTGTTAGAAAAACAACAGCAACCACCAGAGACCATCTGGAACTAGAAGAGTCTAAGGGAACAAAGAAAGAGGGAATCTAAGAGGACATGGGTAAAGGGGGATTCCTCAGAGCAACTGCTTCACAGCAGTCATTTTATGATGAGATTTCCATTTTTCCAATACTCGTATCTCCAAAACACATATTCCGTCTCTCTCTCTTCAGAGATCACATTGCCTCTGCCTTTTGGCATTATCTGCCATGTCTCAAATTTAATCAGCCTTTTTTCCCCTTTGTCTTGGCAATAGAACCACTGGTCTCAATGCTTAGACTGTGAGTCTTGCAGTTCAAAGAGAGAATTGAGTCAGCAGAACAGGACTGACTCAGCATTCCCAGGTTGGCCACAGTGGGGCCAATTCTCTGGTCCATATTTTGGCCTAATTCCCATTGAAATCCAATGCCCAGTAAGAAGTACAAGCTTTACATCTACAATTATGAACAAAGGTTTTTAAGCGGCTACAGGGCAAAAAATAGGGATCTGCATCTCTCTATCAGCAATTACCCTAGACTTATTATTATAATAGCCCAACTGTCCGTGCAGTTGCTCACGTGGGCCCAGGGGCCAGGCCATTCCTATGCATGCCCTCAGCTCAGCCCTCCCCACTCATGGCTGATGGGATCAGGCCTACCACTCATCATGAGTTAGGGAGGAGAAATGAGAAATGGAGAGCTGGAAAGATTTTATGTGTTCTTCTTCCCCTACTACTCACCACTAGTTCATGTTTTTATTACTTAGTAGTAAGTTATCCTGAAGAAGTACTTTACTGTTACAGAAATAGAAGGAAAACCAAGAGGTATTAAGAATGCTGAGTCATCATGGGAGCTTGGACGGAGTGACCAGGGGTGAAGTTACAAAAGGTGAAATGTACATCTCTGGGTATCAATAGTAGGATATTCTGGAGATTGAATTGCCCCGAATTACAGCTTGTTACTCGAGAAATAAGGGCCCAAGGGACCTGTGGTGGAAGTGGTAAGCTATCTAGTGATTTGCAGGGGTTATCAACCCTGGATCTGCATGAGAAATGCTCCACAAAAATTAGTCACAGCTATACCGCACCCACTGAACGACGGTTTCTGGAGGGCGGGTCTCAGGCATCAACATCTTTAAAGGCTCAAGATGATCTCAATGCACAGCTAGGAATAAGAACACCAAAACATAGCAAGTACTTTTTTCTCCACTAAGGAAGGAAATTAAGAAATGTCCCAAAAGCTGGAAAGAGACTGTTATAGCATGAAATAAATAAAATTCTATTTTTTTTCTTTTGAGGCGGAGTCTCGCTCTGTCTTCCAGGCTGGAGTGCAGTGGTGCGATCTCGGCTCACTACAACCTCCGCCTCTCAGGTTCAAGCGATTCTCCTGCCTCAGCCTCCCAAATAGCTGGGACTACAGGCGCCTGCCACCACATTCAGCTAATTTTTTGTATTTTTAGTAGAGACGTGTTTTCACCGTGTTAGCCAGGATGGTCTCCATCTCCTGACCTCGTGATCTATCTGCCTCGGCCTCCCAAAGTGCTGGGGTTACATCCGTGAGCCACTGCGCCTGGCCAAAATTCTATTTTTATAAATTATTGATGCTAGTAGCAAGTAACACTCATTATGTGTCAAGTTGTGCACTAAATGCTGAACTTGCATAAATTCACTTAATTCTGATAATCCTTCTGAAAGGACTTATTATTATTAGACCCATTTTACAGAGAAGGACAGCAAGTCTTACATGTAGTGACTTGTCCAAGGCAAACAAATTGAGACGTAGCAGGTGAAAGGCGCATATGTGTAAGGAGTGTGGAAAATACCAAGATAAGTAAAACATAGGCTGACTCTCAAGTTGCTGGCTTTGAGTGTCAGAGCAAATGACCAAAAGTCCAAAGCAACATGACAACTGTCATAGAGCTACAAAGTGATGGAACCACAGGAGAGGCAGAATTAGTCAGGACTTTGTAGTGGAGTTTGAGCCTTAAAGAATGAGCTCCAGATTCTGCTAGGCAGGGATGGCCACCCACTGGTGGCAGGAGGAGGAGATTCCTGGGAAAAAGCATAGTGCCTAGAAATCCAAGAAAGCAGCTGAAAGCTGGCAAATGGCCTGGTCAGATTAAGGTTAAAAAAAGAAGGTAATATAAGGCTAGGAAGGGCAGTTGTCCTAAATTGTGGGATTTTAAGTGGGATCTAGGAGGAAACAGGGCACCCTGCAGGTATCTGCACAGGGCATGTGATGGAGCAGTGTTTCCAGAGGAGCTGCCAACCTGGGAGCCTCTGGAACCTCCTCTAAAGGGGCGTGAAGCAGGGTTGGACCACTGCACTCCCAGTGGACCACAGAAGAAGGAAAGAAGGCTGAAGCCATCTGGGAAGATATTAAGCCTACAGCCCTCATATTTGATCATGCCGTCTTGGAGCTACTCTACACCCTCCCACAAAGCCTACCTTATTGTCAGGAACCACACCCCTGGCCCTGTCAGATCACTGGATTACCCCATGTATCATTTTTCTTTGTTAGCTGAGGTTGCTGTTAATTGTTTTTTAATGTGAAAGAGGGTGTGCAGCTATGTTCTATATGTATTTTGGATTTTTGTTGCTCACATATTTATTTAGATATTGCACTTTTTCTTTGTCTGTGATGACACATGATATTTGATTTTTTTCATGAAGGGGGGAAGTGAAGAAAATGAGAATATGGGCTTCTGAGCTAGGTGAGACTTCCTTATATTTCCATAAGCAAAGCATATCAAATTTTCCATGGGAGAACCTCTTGGGATTCTGGGGGTGTGGCCTATTGCAGCGCCCTAAAAGGATACATTTCTTTGCAGTTTTGTGTTTTATTTTTAAATGTCATGTAAATCCTCTAATCCCATAATATATCCAACCCTTCCTGTTATGCTGTACCAGGTTTATCCTGTGACTTGTTGACCGCTGGCTCACCCCTATGGACCTGTTTCTGATGAGAGGCCATCCTGATTGTTTCTGTCCAGGGCTGGGTTATTGATTTGGACATGAGTCACTTGAAAGACAGCTCTAAACTGTCTATTTCACTGTGATCAAAGAAACATACATTTGACTAAGAAGCCTTATGTCTTCTTTTTATTGTATAGCTTAGCAGTTGCAAGATGTTAACATATATGTCACATTGACCGCTGCGTGGAAAAATGCTCTCCAATTAAAGATCTCTTTGTTTACAACAAGGTCCATGGAGACAGATTGCTAACAAAGTCCAATCGCCCTCTCCATTGTGCAAAACCTACATGCAGGGAGTCTAAGGAGGGAAGAGGAGTTTTAGAGGGAACAGAGGGGGGTTGGTCATTTGCCAATATAGGTTGGCAGCAGGAAACTATCCTTGACTAATTATCTTTGGGTAAAATAGGTACCTTCTTTAGAGCTCTATCCTCACACACAGTAACACCTCTTGCTCCAAAGGCTTGTGACCTCCCAGGTACACCTTCAGTTGCTTCCTCTCAAGTCATCAGCTTTTGTCCTCTAATACAGACTTGTCAGCTCAGCTTTTCTATGATTTTCCTCCTCTATCCCCCACCCCCAACCCCCTTTTTTTTTTAAGATAAGGTTTAACTCTGTTGCCCAAGTTGGAGTGCCATGGTATGATCACAGCTCACTGCAGCCATGAACTCCTGGGCTCAAATGATCCTCCTGCCACAGCCTTCCACGTAGCTGGGACCACAGGTGTGTGCCATCACACCCGGCTAATTCTTAAATTATTTGTAGAGACAGGGTCTTGCTATGTTCCCCAGGCTGGTCTTGAACTCCTGGGCTCAAGTGATCCTCCTGCCTCAGCCTCCCAAAGTGCTGGGATTACAGGCATGAGCCACCTCACCTGGCCCTTTATCCCGTCTTAATGAGGGGGTTAAGAGAGTCCATCTTTCTACTCCATCTGTCTCTTCTTGGTCTTCTCCAGAGATGTTGCCTCTTTAACAGAGTATTAATGTCAGTGTTCCCCTAGATCCTGCCTCTCTTCTTCACTTCGACTGAACGAGGGCCTTCTCCTCACCAGTCCTTGTCCCTGGCCCGCCTCTATAGGGCACAGTCATGTTTGATGGGTGCCCTCCCCTGAAGGATGCTGCGGCTGCTCACCACTGAGCCCTTCTGCTGGGAGGGGGCCTCCCCAGGCTCCTCCTGCCCTGAACCTGCTCTGGGGCTCCTGCTGTGACCTCAGTTCAGCTCTTCCAATGACCAATGACCACAGTTGGTAATGGCTTAGGGTTTATTCCGAATGTTTCATTGCTAGCCCATCTATTTTCTTTTCTGGTCAAGCTAAGTTACAGTGGTTAATATATATTAGTGACTCATTAAATATTTCTTGATTTCGATATGCCTCCGTCAGAGACCTGGAGCCACAGAAACACTCATACATGAGCCAAGAAGAAAAAAATTGTGTGGCAGCTGCCCAGCTCTGCTCTGCAACCATGCGCTTCCTGTTTACTGACTAAGACCTGATGAACCTGTATCTACTACTGCCCAGGGCACATTAAAGTCACCACAACCCCTGCTAGATGACTATTTTGATATGGAGGGGAAAGAATTGCTCCCCTCAGCCCATGGGGATAAATTTAGGACCATCACTGGCCAGCCTTATGTCCTTGCCTGAGGAGTTGGAACTGGGAACCAAAAGGGAAAGTTCACCTGACTTGGAAACGTGCACACAAGCAGTCTCTCAACACTGTGACGTTTATAGTGAAGGAAGCATCACCGAAGAGAGTTGCGTTTCATTCGGATGGCCTGGCCATAATAAACTGTCCTGAATGGAACACTTTCATGGGTCTGCTTTGGGGATAGTTGGAGCAAAGTCGAATCTGTTACCTGAAGTCAGGTTTGGAGATGGGCAAATGATTGCAGAGAGGACCTGGAAGCAGGAGGGAAAACACTGGTCTCCAGTGAGAGGCCCTCAGGGTATGGGGAGAAGATAAGAAGTCAACTCTCACCACAGGTGAACTGGAAGGAGAACAGCTACCCAAAGACCCAAGTGTTGGGTGGGTAGACGTCTGACCGTGTACCTGGTCAAGCTCTTCAAGTCCTTGTGGGAGGGATGGAAGCCACTCCAGAGGCAGGATCTCAGCTGTAGCCTGAGGCTGGTAGGTCAAGCAGCAACAGCAGGGAGGTTGCAGAGTGCCCTTACAGAGCAGCTTAATTGTGGAGAGAGCAACCATAGAGCAGATCCTGGCCAGTAGGGCTTTTTCTAGACTCCATTCCCCCAGCTTCCTGAGTTTCTGCTCATGACAGTTGAAAATAATTACCAAAGATACAATGGGGAGGAAGCTGCATTCTTTCTTTTTTAACTACCCACCATCAGCTTTTCTAGAAAGCGACTTTCATGCTCTCTACCCAACAGTGAAAAATTGTGAATGAAAAGATCATTTCTTTGCAAAAACAGACATAATTTCACAAGGAGTGCATCCAAAGCAATGAAGCTTTGTTTCTGGGTTCCATGGACCAGTTAAATGAACCACATAAGAGAGAGCCATTTAGAACAGGCCCTGCTGTTGAGCACACTTCATGAAAAGGGGCTCGGAGTCATATTGCACAAAGGTTTTCTTAGGAAGCCGGGCCTTCACTGATGCTTGTCCAAACGACTCACTGTTCTCTACATGTGAATGGGATGTGTTGTTGTCATGGTTACAGTTAACAGAAATTCAATTCAACATAATGACATATATATACATCAATGGTGACATCAGACTTGACCCCTTTATGTCTGAAAAGAAACACTAGTGCCTCTCTTTGGAGGTTCTGTTGGGGCTTTATGAAGCTCTGTGCAGCTTTGGGCTTCCATACATTCATTTAATTTATAGTTATTGAAGTCTACTATGTGGCAGACACTATGCTGGCACTACAGATACTGGAATAAATGATCCAGTCTCTGCCCTTAAGGAGCTTAGAATCTGGGAGGAAAAATAAGACCAACGAGTCTATCACATGGGGCAAGGGTATTGTGAACAGGAAGGTACTATAAAGGCAATCCTGAAAGGATGCATTCTTCAGATAAGAAGTTCTAGCTTGTTTGAATTATGGCAAATGGAGTGCATTAGTGTTCTATTGGCCTTGTAACAAATTACATTAGTGGCTTAAAGGAACACAAATTTATTATCTTACAACTCTATAGTTAGAATTCTGACGTGGGTGTCAATGGGTTATAATCAAGGTATCAGCAGAGCTGTGTTCCTTTTTGGGGGGCTCTAAGGGGAATCCATTCACTTGTCTTTTCCAGCTTCTAGAGGCTGTCCCCACCCCTTGGCTCATGGCCCCTTCCTCCATCTTCAAAGCCAGCCACGGTGCGTGTCTCTGACCATTCTTCCACAGTTACGGCTCCCTCTGATGACAGCTGGGAAAGGCCTTCTCGTTTTTAAGAACGATGTGATTAGATTGAGTCCTCCTGGATAATCCAGGCTCATCTCACTATCTCAGGGCCTGAAACTTAACCACACTTGCAAGGTGAAATATTTACCAGTGCTAGGGATGAGGATGTGGACATCTTTGGGAACCATTATTCTTCCTGTCACACTGAGGAAAGATTTGTCACTGTAGAGATCTTATTTCTATATTTTTTTTTCCTTTTTTGTTTTTTCATTCATTACCCAACAGAGATGCTCTTTGCTATCAAAACACCATTGCCTGTGGTGGTGGGTGCAGGAATGTATTGGGCAGAGCTGCTGGAGTGGGGAGGGGAGTAGTTACTTCAATATCTCCTGATAGAATGTGGAGTTTGGGAAAGATAACTCAATTTAATATCTATATTTGAAAGGAATAATAAAGTCATGTCACATAATGCTAACTATAGGAGGCAAAGCTCAACCAAATATTCTTGGCCAGTGAAGCTAAGCAGAGATGTGGCAGCTCCATTGCCTATGATTGGGAACAGGGCCAAGGAGTGGGGGTGGACATTGAGGAGGACACTTCCCTGGGGGATTTATATCAGACTCTTTCCAGAGAAGATGGAAAAGCATTGAGTTAGGCCAGGATAAAAGGCTTCTAACGAGTGTCCCCACCCCCATGCTCTCTTTAGTCTAACCCATTTTCAATTTTTTTTTCTTACCCAGTCATGGGTTCCTTTGAAAAATACTGTGCTGAGGTGTTTTATTTGTAGCTGCAGGTCTGGAGCTGGTATTGGCAATACCTGGCACAGGGCAGGTTCTCAGTAAATGTTTGCCGAATGAATGAAATACAGTGAATGATTGCTGTTCATGTTACTCCTGTCCCAGAACCTGCAACAGCCCCCCATTATTCACTGAATAAAATCCAGTTGTTCCAAACTTGCTCCCCCATTCCCTTCCATCAGCTTATATCTCCCCAGGTCCAAACCCTCTCTTTTCCAAGGCTGTATTATCAGCCCAAGTCTGCTTTGGCTGCCATGACAAAGTACTACAGACTGGTGGCTTAAACAACAGAAATGTATTTTCCGGAAACTAGATGTTTGAAATCAAGGTGCCAGCAGGGTTGGTTCCTTCTGATGCCTCTCTCCTTGGCTGGTAGATGGCTGTCTTCTCCCTGCATCTTCACGTTGTCCTCCTTCTGCCTCTTGGTGTCCAAATGTCCTCTTCTTATAAGGACAATGGTCATATTGGATTAGGGCCCACCCTGATGATCTCATTTAAAATTACCTCTTTAAAGGCCTTATCTTCAAATATAGCCACATTTGGGATACCAGGGACTAATATTCCAACCTACAAATTTTGTGAAAACATAATTGAGCCCATAGCAAATGCTTATCTCATTCCTTTCTTTATAGTCTTCTCTGATTCTTTTTTCCTTATCTCTTTTCTTCCTATCTTCTCTGCACCAAATTTTTCCCACCTTGCTCAGTGCGCACGCACACACACACACAAACACATTCACACTCATCCTATAAGTCATTTCTCTCTTCTGAATAACTATAGCCCTAAATATTATTCTTGTGGTACTTACCACTTTTATCTTGTATTATATTATCTTGTGTTATACTTTACCTTGTATTATACCACCTTGTCTTATATTATTATACATATTATATGTGTTATTTCCTCAACTAGAGTGTAAGTTCCTTCTGGGAAGTCCCTAATTTTTTTCTCTCTTACATGGCTTGACACAATGTCTTGAACATAGTAAATGCTCAAGAAATATCTGATGAGTGAATGAAGATGGTAGGAGATAATTAAGAAGCAGTCACTTGAGTATGGGATGAGTTAAATATATTACAGATACATTTATTTCTCGCTTGAGTAACAGTTCCTAGAGGGCAAGAAATCAGAATCATGGATGCTTTATGATGAGACTAATAATGTACACCAGAAAAGCTGGCTGGTCCCACAGCAGCGTAGTCCAGTGGTATGGCCAAGAGACATTGAGCACCATTGCTGAGAGCACCAGTTCTGGAGCTGGACTGCCTGGGTTTGACCTTGTCTATGTGCTATAATTTGGATGTGGTTTGTCCCCAGCAAAACTCACGTTAAAATTTAATTGACAATGTAGCTGTGTTGGGAGGTGGTGCCTTTAAGAGGTGATTAAGTCTTAGGATAGATTAACGCCTTTCTTGAAAGACTGGGTTAGTCTTGCAGGAATGGATTAGTTCCTCCAAGAGCAGGTTGTTGGAAAGTGAAGTAACAATTTTTTTGCTCTTTCCACACATCTGGTTCCCCTTTCATTTCTCTGTGATGTTTTGACCCAGCATGAGGATCTCACCAGAAGCCATCAGAGGCAGCCACCTGACCTTGAATTTCGCAGCCTGCAGAACCATGAGCTAAATAAACCTATTTCTTTATAGAGGCTTTTTGCTTTAGCAACACAAAATGAACTAAGACACTGTGTGACCCTGAAAAACTTACATATCCTGTGTCTCAGTTTCCTCATGTATCAATTGAGATAATATATGTATCCTCCTCATAGGCTCTGTGGCCCTTAACATAGAGCCTGGCACATAGTAGGCACACAGTACATGTTGGCTATTATTATCACCAGTGATTTCAGATGGCTTTAAAGTGCCACTGACTTCTACCCTTTAAATGGAGTCATTATATTTCACTGCAAAAATAGGATAAGTTCTTCAAAAACATGACACTTCCTCCCAAGGATCTGCAATTAGCTTTGGGTATTATTCTCCTTTATGTGTGTGTTTCTGGACATCGTGCAGGAAAAGCAGGTAGAACTTGTTCACGTAGTGGTTGGGTCTTTGTGAAATGTGACAGCCAAGTCCCTGATTATTCTCAGAAACGTCAGAATTCACTGGATGTGACTGGGCTTGACAGTTCAATGGCTAATTAACTCTAAACACTGCTTCTTGGGTTACCTCATTTGAAATTCTTGGTCACTTATTTTCTTCAGTCTTCTAAAAAATCCATTTAGCCGTTTTAAAGAAGGTAGGAATGTGGCATGCAACAGATCGGTGGTGAGGGAGTGCCTCAGCCAGAACCTTGTACCCTGTGGAGGTGCAAGTGAGGTGTAGGTAATCAGGGTTGTCCCTCTCCAAGGCCTGCTCTTGAAACGTGGAGGGAGCCTCAGCATGTGCAAGACTCCCAGAGAAAGTCACACCAGCCAATACTGAGTTCTGATTTTTCTGCTTCAGAGAAGGCTTTCTTTTCTCTTTTGCCTTGACCTTTTCCAATGAGAGAATTTTCTCAGGACTTGCCTTTTTTACCCAAAAGCCTCATTAAAAACAAATAGAAAATATGCTAAATGAAATAAGCCAGTCACAAAAGAACATAGATTGTATGATTCCATTTATATGAACTATCTGGAACAGGCAAGTTCATAGACAGCAAGTAGATTAGAGGTTACCAGGGGCTGGGCGGAGAGAGGAATGGGGAGTTATTGCTTAATGGGTACAGAGTTTCAGTGTAGGGTGATGTGAGGAAAGGGTTTTAGAAATGCATAGCGGTTGATCCGGCACTGTGGCTCACTCCTGTAATCCCAGCACTTTGGGAGGCCGAGGCAGGTGGATTATTTGAGGTCAGGAGTTCGAGATGGGTGGATCACAGGGTCAGGAGATCAAGACCATCCTGGCCATCATGGTGACAATATATCTATCTCTACTAAAAATACAAAAATTAGCTGGGTATGGTAGCACACACCTTTAATCCCAACTACTCGGGAGGCTGAGGCAAGAGAATTACTTGAAGCAGGGAGTTGGCGGTTGCAGTGAGCCAAGATTGCGCCGCTGCACTCCAGCCTGGTGACAGAGTGAGACTCCATCTCAAAAAAAAAAAAAAAAAAATGCATAGTGGTGGTGGAAGCACAACATTGTGAGTGTAATCGATGCCACTAAACTCAAAATGCTTAAATGGCATATTTCATGTTACGTATATTTTAGCCCAATTTTTTAAATGTTGAAAAGCAAAGAAAAAAGCATTGTCCTCACCCAATCACATATAGGACTGTCCATGCTCAGACTCCTGCAGATGGGCCAGATGTACCACATGAGGTGAAGCTCACAGAACACATGGGGCTTGCTGCCTGACCTCCGTACCTTTGCACCTGCTGGTGCCTCTACACGAAATGTTCTCTCTCTCCTGTCTCCCTGGCAAACTCCTGTCATCTTTAGAACCACAAGTTAATTGTTCTCCTCTCTGTAAAGTCTTCCTGATTCTCTTTCCCGTACCTTTACAGGAAGAGCTGCTTACCTCCTCCTTTGTGACTTTTTGTGCGTTATGCCATTACAGTGCTTACCAGACTCAATTGCAATTTATTTTCCTTTTATGAATATCAACTTACAATACATACAGTAAAATTCACTCCTTTTAGGGTACATTTCTGTGAGTTTTGATAAATACAGTTAGTAGTGTAATCAACACCAACAACATAGTTTCATTACTGCCCCCACCCAAAAAATCCCTTACATCTCTCTGTAGTTGATTCCTCCCCCCAGCTCCTGATCTGTTTTTGGTCTCTCTAGTTTGGCCTCTCTATATGACATTTTCAAAAATGTCATACAATTGAAATCATGCAGTATGTATTACAGTCTATTGCCACTTGTTCTTGTTTGTATAGCTGTCTCATTCTAAACTTGAGCTCCCAATATCAGACCTTGTCTTACTTATTTTTTCCCTGCACCAAGCATGGTGTGTGCTCCATGGCGGTGTTCTGTGCCTGTCAGTAAAATGATTGAATGAAAGCATGACGTTAGAACCTGTTTCTAATAAAAACAATCCCAGCACAGTGTCCTTGTCATGGGGTTCAGTGGGAGGCTCCAGGCAGGAGCAGAAGCAGCTGGTTGCAAGGCGGTCATGACCAGACGCAGCAGAGAGAAGTGAAGTCCCCCCAGCCCTTCCTTCCAGGGGAGTGACAAGGAGCTGAATGCAGGGAGGCAATTGGCAGCAGGCTGCCTGGAGCTGGAGCCCTTCTTCCTGCCAGCAATGGTCACCCATGAGGCCACCACAGCCCCACGAGGCCACACCCATCCACAGTATCACTAGACTGGGCAGTCTGGTCCTGACCCAGGACTTTCCTGTTGCAAGGCACCTCTGGGACTCCCGGTCAGCCAGCCAAGGAGCAGCCCAGAGGGATCCAAGCATGGGCAGTAACGAACCAGGATGTTGGGAGGAGCAGGTTCAGAACCTCAGAACCACCTAGCTTTTGCCTTTTCCTGAATCCTCCTCTATTCCCACCTCTCCCCACTCATTCCTACCTCCACCCTCACACTCAAAGCCACACATATCCAGAGGATCTTTTGCTTGGTCTGTACCACCCTAATTTCAAGGCAATAAGGAATGCCATGTAGCCATTTGAGTTGCTATTTTCCACTATGGTTTTCTATTTTGCCTTCATGGGGGACCCTGGGGAAACCCTCATCCCCCACATCCCCATCTTGTAGTTATGGTCTCAATAGGAACAAAAGTTCTGCATTCCTATTATTCCTCTTTCCTTCCATGCTTTGTTAAATCTTTTATTAGCCCCTCAAAGAGAGCTCCTTGAAGGCCAGTAGCACAGCCAAGTCCTGGGACCTTTGTGTGAGCACCATCTGTGATTAAAGAGAAATCATAACACAGTAAGGGCCATATGATAAACACTAAAGAAATGACTGTTAAATAAACTGACTCAATAATTCATGATCAAACAAATATGGATTATGGAAGCTGCCTTCATCTTTATTGACCCTCAGTTTGGAATGACCACTGCCTCTGGATCATATCCTGGGGCAGAGCAAGAAGAAACCATTCACTCCTTAAGGTATGAGTAACTTCAGTTCAATAATTATTAGGCAAAAGGGTAGAAACCTGTGGTTAAAATGACACGTGGAGAATATGGCATGAATGTTGACTCTATTTCTTATTATTGCAACAATTGAGAATTGTCTTCTACAATAACTTTATTACTTTGTTTTTCAGTGGAAGTGAAAATTTTTTTAAAATTCTGTTCTGGGTCAGAGGACCAAGAACATGTTCCAGGATTTTCACATTCAAAGTTGCGTTTCTTCTTAAATGTATAGCCTTTGCATCATCAACCCAACAGATGTGTCTTGACTGTCTCTTTTAACTCCGAATGCTGTTTAGGATACAGAAAAAAAAGGAAGAGAATTGCCTGAAAAGTCCTGCAGGTGTTCAAGTCCTGCTGTTCAGAGAAACCCTGCTCATATATGCACCTTGGTGGCCGATGGAATCTCCTCTTCAGATGACAAATCGCTAATTCGGGTCCCAGCCTTAGAACTGCACTGCTTATAGGTGCATTTTATAGCAATGCATTGTGTATACTCATTAGATTGAATTTACCGATTTCACAAGCATGTGCTGGGGAACCAGGGACATAAATGCACAGTGACAATATCTAAGGTTCCATAGAGGGAGAAATGCACCTACAACAGTAACTTGAAGTGAAGGAACCAAGTGGAAGCTGCCATTAGAGGCTCCCAGACAAAGAGCCAGGGCTCGACTGCCTCTTCAGAGGCCTGGGATCATCACACCAATCAGCAGGCACTCTGGGGTGTGATACAGCTTGCTGCAAAGGATCCTCTAGGCTAACCGTGACTCATTGGCCTTAGGCTCCCACTGCCTGTTCCCATGAGGTTGGAGAAAGAACATGGGCTTTGAGCAAACAGAGCTGGAATCCTGGTTCTGTTCTGGACTGGTGTGAGATTTCCAACATTTCCAACTTGACCTCTCTCAGCTTTTGCTTGTCTGGAATATGGTGCTAATGCCCCCTGCCCCCTAGGATGGCAGGAAGTATTCCATTAGATATTGTACAGAAAGATCTCACAAAGCATATAGGAGGTGTAATGCCTTTCCCTCCCCCTGCCTACCTCCAAAGAATGAGAGGCCCTGCCAAAGCACACCCACAGGGCAACACAGTACATCACTGCCAGGCAGCAGAGCAAGCACATCTTAATAGGGCCAGACCTGGGAAGGTCTGGAGTGTGGAACACTGCGAGGGTTTTTGCTGCAGGTTGGAGATAACCAGTGGGTGGCCCCAGGGTGATGGTTGTACTTATGGGGCTCACTAGGACAGAGGACAGAGGTAAAAAGTGGAGGGAGGAAATCAAAATAAACCTGGTCTCACATCACACTGGACCTACAGCTAGTCCTACACACACAGTCTAACATTTGCTCCTGATGCTAGAGCCCAGGCGATGCCCTTGTTTATAACACAGAGCTCTTGTCTGCCCCCTCCTTAGTCCTGCACCAGCCAGACACAGGGCTTTGACTTCTCCCCTTGCTCGTCTTTTAGATCATTAGCCCTGAAATGCTCCTGGCTGGTTGTCCCAGGGGTTCACCGAGAGCAAATTTGTGGCAGGCAGAAAGAAGGGACTGGAACAACACATGAATGGCAGTCTGTCGAGATGGTCATTCATCAGGTCTCGGAATCGAATCTGAAAAACCATCTGCCTTTGTCTTCCATGAGGATTCTGCATTGGAGAGGGGAATGGCCCTCCTCGGTGCCTCCTCCACGGTGGCTGAGAGAAGCCAGCCATCTGGTGACATGGTGGGAGGCAGTGGGGGAAGGGGGGTCTACTCGGACACCTAGGCGAGGGGATGGCTTTGTGTTCATAATCACTACAGCCCCACTCTGCTCATGGGGCCTCATTTCTCAATGCTAGGCCAAGCAAACATTCTCACTGTGCTCTTGCTCATTCTTTGCTTTGTGCTTTTGGCTGCTTAACTTTTGAATGCCAGGCCAAACTTTTAAATGCATGTATATTTCTGGCAACACTCCATGGGAGCATTTATTGCACTGAATGCAAAATAGGAGACTCTACTTCGTGCTGGGACTCAGAAAACCCCCAAGGAAGGAGGCGACACTATCATCTCAATCAAGGACCCCTGGAAGGCATGATGTCACTTCGACTTATCCCAAACTCAAGATTTAATCATGATAAGCCAAATAAATATGATTGATAGTCTCTCTATGTAATTCAATCACAAAATCAAGGACCCCTGGAAGGCATGATGTCACTTCGACTTATCCCAAACTCAAGATTTAATCATGATAAGCCAAATAAATATGATTGATAGTCTCTCTATGTAATTCAATCACACATGTCCCAGTAGCAGGGAAGCATTTGGACCACGTTGCCAGTTTTTTCTTATTTAACCATCCTGATGGCTCAGGGGTAGTACCAATAAGATATTAGTTTCCCTGGAGAAATTTTCTTCTAATCATGCATATTGAGCTTGAAGCCTTTAGGCACAGGCAGATTCTGATAATTTATTTTTTTCACCTGAAGCTATTTTTTGTTTTTGTTTTACTCACAGGTTCGTAGTGTTTATTACATTCGCTAGAGAAAATTCTCTCCACTTTCCACACTTCATGTCCTCAGTCATTTTGGCATAAGACAGGATGTGGCTTTCCAGCTGCCTCCAGCCACGCCTTTGGAAGTGAGAGATGGCAGCTCCCAGCCTCCCCGTGCCTGCAGTCCAGATGTGAGAGCGTGAGAAGCTGTCTTCCTGAGCTAGAATGAAATTTGGGTGATTCAGTCTCATTTAGCATTGCCTACAGAAAGGTTTTTCTTTTCAGGGGCATTTTTAAAAGATAGGAACTATTATTCTCCAGGTAAATCGCAGTCAGGAGCTAATTTCATAACATCTACCATCATTGACCATTTTTGGCTTGGGTTAAAAAAAGAAGTAAATTAAATTAAATAAACATCCACCATCATCTCCAAGGCCTACTTATGTTAGAGAACGTGTAGCTAGTTAGAGAGACAAGAGTCAGATGGAGAGCGTCTTCATTCCACACATCGAGAGTAAATCAGTGAAGTGCCTCTGAAATATTCAAAAAAAGTAAGAAATCTGGATATAAAAGTAGACTAGGTCAACATGAGCCTCCAGGGTCCTGTAGCTATTGGGCTAGCACAGAGCCTAGGATTAATGTGAATCTATCTCACTTGGACTGCCATGGGAATTTTCCTGCGTATTTGTCACACAATTTGATTCGGGTTGTCCCACTGCCCGAGGAAGCTGGGCTGCGTGTGAGATTTGTTTGGAAGCAGTAACGAATCCAATTGGAGATGAAGGTCTAGGTTTGAGGAGCAAGCACTTCTAGCCACAAAAAATATCCAAATAAGGATGGAGGGGCGAGAACAGTCAAATGTAGCTTACTCATGGTTTTCAATAGGTATGCTTTCAGTTTTCTTCTTCATCATCAAGGTGCTAGCAGTATTGCATCAGCATCCATATAAAGAAAGGGAGATGCAACAGGGAGCCGCAGGGAAAGCTCTGACTGAGGAGTTGGGAGTGTGAGGGATCTGCTATCCTGAGCTGGGCGGCCACAGAGAAGTCTTGGACGCCTCTGGCTGCACTGCAAAAGTCTGTTGGTTTATGTTTCTAAGTGATCATCATGTCTTTAGAAATTAGCTATGCAGATGAGCTCTCTCCAGATGTTTGTTGGAAGATTTTAGTAAGTACAGATGCTCCTTGACTTACAATGGGGTCACATCCTAATAAACCCATCATAAATTGAAAATATTATAAGTCGAAAATTCATTTAATATACCTAACCTACCAAACATCACAGCTGAACATAGCCTTCCTTAAACGTGCTCAGAACACTTGCATTAGCCTACAATTGGGCAAAATTATCTAACACAAATCCTGTTTTATAATAAAGTGTTAGATCTCTCATATAATCTATTGAATACTGTACTAAAAGTGAAAAACAATGGTTGTATGGGTACTAGAAATACAGTTTCCACTGAATGCATGTCACTTTCACTTCATCATAAACTTGAAAAATCATTCATCAAGGAATGTCTGTAGTTGTTTTGGGTTGAATTGTGTCCCCCAGAAAGATACGTTCATGTATCTTTCTAACCCTGTAAATGTGACCTTATGTTGAAACAGAATCTGTGCAGATGTCATCAAGTTAAGATGAGGTTATACTGGATTAGTGTGGACTCTAATCCAGTGACTGGTGTCCTTATAAAGAGGGGAGTTTGGACACAGACGTAGAAAGAATGCTATGTGACAAGGGAGGTAGAGAAGGTAGGGACTGGAGTTGTGTGCCTACAAGCCAAGGAACACCAAGGATTGCCAGGCAAATACCAGAATCTAAGAGAGAGACTTGGAATGGACTCTCCCTCAACCCCCAGAAAGAACCAACCCTGCCATCCTGTTGAAGGGAACACTACGGTCCCAGAAGTGACCACACCTTGATCCTGAACTTCTGGCCTCCAGAACTGTAAAAGAATAAATTTCTGTTGTTTTAAGCCACCCAGTTTGTGGTACATTGTCATGACAGCCCTAGGAATCTAACACAGCAGTCGTCTCACACACAGGCCAATATAACTAGTTTAGAACAAGATTCATTACATCTGTTAGATGTCAAGGGAATATTTTTTGGTCTCGATGATGGCAAATGTATTTTGATAATACTACTGACCTTGCAATTTTTACTGGGAGTTTTTGGAATGTATATTCATTTCGTGCTCCTAAAAAGATTAAGCATGCATGAGTGCATGGACACATCTATCAATCCACTACGTGGCATTTCATTAAAAAAATAAATAAATAAAATCAGGCTGGGCATGGTGGTTCACACCTGTAACCCCAGCACTATGGGAGGCTGAGGCGGGTGGATCACCTGAGGTCAGGAGTTCGAGACCAGCCTGACCAACATGGTGAAATCCCATTTCTACTTAAAATACAAAAATTAGCCAGGTGTGGTGGTGGGCACCTGTAATCTTAGCTACTCGGGAGGCTGAGGCAGGAGAATTGCTTGGACCCAGGCGGTGGAGGTTGCAGTGAGCTAAGATTGTGCCATTGCACTCCAGCCTGGGCAACAAGAGTGAAATTCCGTCTCAAAAAAAAAAAAAAAAAAAAAAAAAAGAAATCCTGTTTTTTAGTATCAGGAAATGAATTAAATACTTCATCTATTTTCTACAAAAAGGTGACCTATGTTTACATTTTCAACCTCATATTTAACAGTGATTGTGCAATGTTATTGCATTCTCTCGTTAGCCACTCCCAGGCAGTGGAAATGTTGGCTTGCCAGCTCTCAGTGGAGAAGTAAATTGCCCTCTGACAGTGCTGGTGAGGCGCCACTCTATTTAAAGGCAATTTGAGGAAGAGTGATCATCTCCTGTGTGGGGAAGGCCAAGTTAAGACTTCTGTTCAGATCCACTGGAATTTACATAGCTACACCAACTAGAGGACACTTCCACCTTGGTTCATGCTACACAAAAAGAAGCAGACCCCTGACAACTATTTGGTGATTGGCATAAATGAAGACTCACTGAACTTGAATGTGGGCCTCAAAACTGATTTTTATTTTGACTTAATTATCTGGCTTAAGACTTTTCTTTTTTACTGATTGGCCTGATTTTCACAGTCATGTTGTCATTTTTCTTATCAGCTCACTGAAACAGCCTCGGAGTCATGTACAATTCAATGTACATGTACACAGTTCAATGCTGCCCTTCAAAACTTTCTGTCCTACCATCATTTCTTTTTTGTTTTTGTTTTCCAGAATACAACTCATTCAAGTAAGAAGAACTGAAGGGAGCTTTTAAAAAATGATTCTGAAAGAGTTTATATGATCACTGGGAAATATATATACTATTTCTTTAAATAAATAATATTTAAAAAAATAAAGTGGAATATGAAAATCAGCCTGTGATTTTTAAGTAATCATGTTTTTAAAAAGCAGCTTTTTTAAATGGGACATTTTCAAATCTAATTTATAAAATTATTGTTTGAATTAGAAAAAGAGAATTTCTGGCACCTCTGCAGTTGAGAACTTTATGTGCCCTGCAATTAACAAGAGAGACTAAACTACACATTGCTGGTTGGTTAACTGGGTAAAATAAGATAGTCTTTAAACTGGAAAACAATTTTCCATCCTTTTCTGTAGAAAGTGTGCTTTTCAGAAGATATATATGTATATATTCATCACATGTATATTACAGACAAATAATCCTAAGTGTAGAATCTTAACTGAAAATATATGAATTATCAGCCAGGGGCGGTGGCTCACACCTGTAATCCCATCACTTTGGGAGACTGAGGCAGGCAGATCATGAGGTCAAGAGATCAAGACCATCCTGACCAACATGGTGAAACCCCGTCTCTACTAAAAGTAGAAAAAGTTAGCCGGGCGTGGTGGCACGCACCTGTAGTCCCAGCTACTTGGGAGGCTGAAGCAGGAGAATCACTTGAACCCTGGAGGCAGAGGTTGCAGTGAGCCAAGATCGCACCACTGCACTCCAGCCTGGCTACAGAGTAAGACTGTCTCAAAAAAAAAAAAAAAAAAAAAAAAATATATATATATATATATATATATATATATATATGAACTGTCGATATCCACAGGGTTATATCTAAGATGGTAGGATTATAAATGGTTTCTCCCTTTTTTTCTACTCTTCTGTATTTTCTATAGCAATTATGTAGTACTATTATAATGATAAAATATGATTAATTGTTAAAATGAACTGAGAACAAACGTGATTCTATGAGACATGTCTACAGACAGCTGGGAAACAGCCATGGGTGACAGAATCTGCTGTTACACTGTTACAAGGATAAGAAGTGGCCCAATTTGGGTGAAAAATGCTCACACCAAGGCCAAGAGACAGAGCAGCAGCAGGCTCTCCAGGTGAATTCTTCGCTGGCCAATGGCCCCAGACCGGCCTTCTCGAGGCTAACGTGTCATGGAGTCCAAGCTGGCACCATTTTTGTTGTGTCAAGCTCATTTTGTCTTTAATCTGAGCCTGCTTTGATGTGTTCAAATGAAATGCTGAGAATTTTTAGAGCAGAGAAAGCAATGAAGAGCCTGGCTCCCCAGTCTGTCCATCTGGATAGACACTTTGAATCCAGAAAGCTTCTGGCACCTTCACAGTTGAGAACTTTATGTGCCCTGGAATCAGCAAGAAAAACTAAACTATTTATCATAGGATATCTGGCCTGGCAGGATGAAAAAGGCGGTCTTCAAATTGAAGTAACAGGCTTACTTTTACTGCAGGAGTGTGTTTTGCAGAGGATATACTTAAAAGACAAAAATATTAATCCTGAGAATATCAAGGAGACTGCTAAGGAGGACTTTCACACTTTCATTTATTTGTTTATCACTCACTCATTCATTCATGCAGTTAATTAACCCCAGCTGGGTGCGGGTGTGTGGCCAGTCCTCAAAGCAGTGGTTCTGAAAGCATGGGTCCAGAACTAGAAGCACAGGCATCACCTGAGAACTTCTTAGAGATGCAAATTCTCAGAGTCAACCCCTAGACTGCAGAATTGAAGTCTCCAGGGGTGTGGCTCAGCAATGTGCATTTTAACAAGCCCTCCAGATGATTCCTGTAACTGCTAAAGTTCGAGGACCACAGGTGTTATGCATGGGTGTGTTGCAGTGGAGCTGGAAAGGAATTGCTGTTAAGTATTTCAGCTGGGCACAGTGGCTCACAACTGTGATCCCAGTACTTTGGGAGGCTAAGGTGGGAGGATTGTTTGAACCAGAAGTTCGAGGCCAGTGTGGGCAACATGGCAAGACCCCCATCTCTAAAAACATTATTTTTTTTTTTAAAAAAAAAAAAAAGGACAGTAGTGTGTGAGGTGGGCCTGGTGGCTCATGCCTATAATTTTAGCACTTTGGGAGGCCAAGGCAGGAGGACTGCTTGAGCTCAGGAGTTTAAGATCAACCTGGGCTACACAGTGAGACCTTGTCTCCACAAAAAATAAACAAAATTAGCCACGATGGTGGTATACACCTCTGGTCCTCTACTCAAGAGGCTGAGGTGAGAGCATCACTTGAGCCCCAGAAGTCAAGGCTACAGTGAGCTATGAGCCATTATTGTGCCACCACACTCCAGCCTGGGTGTCAGAGCGAGAGCTTATCTCTACAAAAAAAAAAAGAACAATAGTGTGTGGAAGAAGCTCATTGTTCTAGGGAAGCACAGAGTGCAAGGCAACTCCATCACCCCATGGAGAGGACTTTCCACAGCCTATTTCTTTGCACTGAATGATTCCACTCTTAGGATGAAATGTGCAGTCTTCTTGATCCAATATTGTATTGATTTGAAGTGTCCATTCCAAGTGGCTTCCAGAAGGAAGTAAAACAACTCAAATTAAAAAATATCTCCATTCTTTCTTGCTTATGTTCTTTGATCAAGTTGTCTTTGTGCTCTTATGAAATGGCTACAGCCCAGTCCTCACAGCCCAACATAAGTTTGCCAAAAGATACTCTGGGAATCCTAAATGGTTATCAATGATGTCACCTGATAGGCAGCATTAGATGTCCACACGATGCACTTAGAACAAACACTTCCTACATACAATGACACTCATTTTCTTTCGTTTTCCTCTTCTCTTCTTTTTTCCTCCCTACATCATCTTTAGCTGAGAAGGTAGTAATGCTGCAGACGAGCTCTCCTTATCAAATGTATCAGGCCTGGACACAGCTGTGTGGGAAGCAAGGCTGCTTGCGATGTCAGCCGCCTCCAGGATCTCCTGGGTCAAAAGGACTTATTTTGCAGTTGAATCTGTTGTGTCTCATGTTTTTCTGCTTCTCTGGAGAGGAATGCCCAAAGAGGCGTGGCTGAGAGGTTAACCACAGTTATGCAGACAACAGCTGGCTGCTTTTCTCATCGCTTCCTAAGGGTTTAATTTTGGATCCTGTCCAAATAGCTATGTTTTGGATAGAAAGTGGGAAAACAGCCCAATTGAGATTGCTTTAGTTGCCTATATGATGGACATCATCCTCATAGGTTTCAACTGGAGGCTTGAGGTTATGTTTTCAATGACTAATATATGTCTTTATTTAAATTCCATCACAGGAAAACCTAATACCTGCTAGTCACAGCTGTTGAAAATTGTATAACTACAGTCTACCATTAATCGAATGCTTGCAATGTGCTAGGCGTTATGTTGATATTTCCTGCTATAACCACATGTCAACTATCTAAAGGAGGTTTTATTACCCCATTTTGCAGCTATGGAAACTGAAGCTGAGAGAGATTAAGTAATTTGTTCAGGGTTATATAGCAAGTAAGTTGCAAGATTGGAATTTGATTCAGGTGTGTCTGACTCCACCCTGTTATGGCGTCTCTCTGATATCCCTGTAGTGAAGGGATAAAATGATGACATTCATTTGGTTAAAGAACACTGATTCCGTCTTCTAGAAATGTGCTCTGGCCAGGCTCAGACACAGCATTCTAGACCAATGACTGCATCACTGATTTCTTATCAGCCTAAAGCTGATCAAATTGCAGGGGAATTTACTGATAAATGATAGATTCCAGAGCTGGCAAACAGGTTTTTCGCGCCAATTCTGATTATTTTTTCATGCACGCATGAAGTGCTGTGTTGAGAAAGTGTCTGAGGCCACATGTGAGCCCAGGGGCAAGGTGTACTCTGATGGATAAGGTGACATCTGGCCTGGCATCAAGAGAGGCAACTACAGAGGATATGATAAATATTTTGTAATATTTGATATATTGAATTGGGTGCCAAGTGTCCTAAAATTTAGGCTCAGACCTTGAATTTAGATTTTATAATAATTGCCATTGAAAATTAAGTATCATAAAAATGCGCTCAGTAAAATGTGGTGTTACCTCATCAGTTCTGTGTGATGTGGGAGATGATGAAACACCACAATAGATTGGATTAGAATTGATGCAAGCATGCTTCATTCTAAGGAAACCTACACTCAAAAGATTACAAATTATGAGATTCTCAACCTTACAAAAGGATTACTGGGATGCTTTTAAAGAGTAACATCACCTCAGCACTACCCCAAACACACCCAATGCATGCAAAGAGTCTTTCATGATCCCATTCAAGATGGAAGAGGGAGTCAGAATAAGAAACTAAACTTGCTATTGTTGGCATATTGTTAATACTATCCAATGTGATCTACAGATTCAATGCAATCCTTATGAAAATTCCAATGACGTTTTTCACAGAAATAGAAAAATAATCCCCAAATTTGTCCAAAACCACAAAAGACCCCAAATGGCCAAAGCAATAATGAGCAAAAAGAACAAAGCTGGAGACATCACAGTACCTGATTTCAAACTATACTATAAAGCTACAGTAATCAAAACAGTATTGTACTTGAATCTTAAATTCAGCTGATTTTAAAAAGAGAGAGAGAAAAAAAAGTATGGTACTGGCATAAAAACAGACACACAGACCAGTGGAACAGAACAGAGAGCCCAGAAATAGATCTTTGCATTTGTGGTCCATTGATTTTCAATGAAAGTGCCAAGAACACACAATGAAGGAAGGGCAGTCTCTTCAATAAATAGTACTGAGACAACTGTATATCCACTTGCAGAAGAACAAAATTGGACCCTTATCTCACACAACATGCAAAAATCTAACCAAAATGGATTAAAGACTTAAATGTAGGACCTGGAATTGTAAAACTACTAGAAGAAAACATAGGGGACAAGCTCCATGACATTGGTCTGGGCAATGATTTTTTTTGGATATGATACCAAAAGCACAGGCAACAAAAACAAAATTAGACAAATGGAATTGCATCAAACTAAAAAGCTTCTGCACAGCAAAGAAAACAATGGAGTGAGGGGACAACCTATGGAATAGAAGAAAATATTTGCAAACCACACATCCAATAAGGGGTTAATATTCAAAATATATAAGGAACGCAAAGAACTCAACAGTAAGAAAGCAAATAACCAGACTAAAAATAGGCAATGGATATGAATAGATATTCCTCAAAAGAAGATATACAGATGGCCAACAGGTATATGAAAAATGCCCAAATCATTAATCATTAGAGAAATGCAAATTAAAACCATAATCAGATATCACCTCACACCTGTCAGAATGGCGATTATGAAAAAGATGAAAGATAACAAGCGTTGGCAGGGATGTGGAGAAAGGAAACCCTTGTACACTGTCAATGGGAATGTGTTAATGGGGACACACATTAGTACAGTCATTATGGAAAACAATATGGAGGTTCCTCAAAAAATTAAAAATAGAACTACCATATGACCCAGCAATCCCATTACTGGGTATATATCCAAGGGAAATGAGATCAGTATGGTAAAGAGATATCTGCAGTCCCATGTTTATTGCACCACTAATCACAATAGCCAAGATATGGAATCAACCTAAGTGTCCATTGATGGGTGAATGGATAAAGAAAATGTGGTATTTATACAACAGAATACTATTCACCATAAAAAGAAGGAAATCATGTCATTTGTGACAACAAAGATTAACCTGGAGGACATTATGTTAAGTGAAAGAAGTCAAGCACAGAAAGACAAATATCACATGATCTCACTTACATGTGAAATCTGAAAAAGGTGGACTCTGAAGTAGAGAGGAGAATGGTGGTTACCAAGTACTGGGGAGTGGGGTTGCTGGGAAGATGTTGGTCAAAGAATACAAAATTTCAGTTAGACAGGAGGAGTAAGTTCAATAGATCTATTGTATAACATGCTGACTATAATGAATAACAATATATTGTATTCTTGAAAATTGCTAAGAAAATGTACTTCAAGTGTTCTCACCACAAAAAAATGAAAAGTATATGAGGTAATTAATATGTTAATTCACTCAATTTAGCTGTTCCAAAAATATACGCATATTTCAAAACAACATGTTGCACATGATAAATATACAAAATTTTTATTTGTCAATTTAAAAATAAATAAAAGAAGCTAAAGTGTTGGGAGACTACTTATTAAAGAGCAATCAGGAATAAGCATTTATAAAGCTATTAGGCAAGAGGAACTCTTATTCAATGTATAGAGCCCAACTACTTGGGATGCTGAGGCAGGAGAGTTGCTTCAGCCCAGGAATCCGAGGCTACAGTGAGCTATGATTGTCCGTGTGAGTAGCTGCTACACTCCAACCTGGGAAAAACAGTTAGACCCTGTCTCTAAAAACAAAAAGCAAAATTTATGTGCATGACTATTTTTTTTTCTTTTGAGACAGAGTCTCGCTCTGCGCCCAGGTTGGATGGAGTGCAGTGGCGCGATCTCCACTCACTGCAAGCTCCACCTTCCAGAATACATCTATCAAGGAAAGGCTTCACTATTGATATTCTTGAGGTGAAAGAAAATGTCAGTAGATGAGAAAGATCTTTATACCAAATCTTCAACATCTTCAGTTGAGTTGATTTTCACAACATGCCCTTGGACTTGGATGATGCTGCATCCTCCATGTGGTCTGACATCTCCAGCAAGATTTGGCACACTGTGGATGGAGCAAACCTGCCTCTGGAATCAAATCATTATGCCAAGGCATCCAGGCTGAGGGTAACCCAGGATGAAATGTTTCCCAAGATCACTGGGACCTTCCTACCCACATGAGGTCATCAACTGAGACTGGCTTTCTCCAGACCAGACTTGGAGGTTGATGCTATCTTCACAAGTGTGCAAAAGTCAATAAGAGTTTTGTGTAACTTTGCTCAGGATACTTTGAAAAATTGTTTAATTTTTTATTTCTGGTTATGCATATTTTCAACTATTAAAACCATGCAAGAATCACTGTTCACTAATTAAAACAATAATTTCATATTGAGAACATCTTGTAAATTCAAAATAATTGGGGGGTACTCTTTATATTTAATGTGCTTTCAAAGTACATCTGCAATGTACTTTACTACCAGAAGAAGAGGTGACCATATGGCACACAATCCGAGTTTTAAAGCATGCAAAGTTAATTTGACATTTCACCTATCATTGACAGTGACTTTACAGAGGCAGTTTTCTTTTGGGTAACACGGTACTTCACAACATCCTGGATGTACCCAGTGGTCACTGAAGCAATTCTTTGAACCAGCCCCATGCATGACCAATAAACTCTCACAGAGGGAGTGGATGCAATGGGCCAGGATGGGGATAGAAAGCTGAGAACAACATGTATAGCTGTACAGCACAGTGTCCCCTAATCATTTGGAAGAATAACCTTACTGGAGGCAATATATACTTACAGAAATTAACTTTTTCACTACTTCATACTGGTGGAGGAAAAAAAGAAGAAATTAATTTATACTCTATACAGTCTTGCACAAAATATTAGATTTAAAAAGCATTAGGTTTAAAAACATTAGGCTAAATAAAATCTTATTTGATCTAAAAAAGTATTTATCTACTTCCCTCATGGTCCTCCCATTCCCCGTTCTGCTGCTCCTCACATCTCCGGCCAAAGATAACAAAAACCTGCCCCCATAATCGCCGCGTTACTATGCCACATGATAAGAAACACAGGTTGACTACAACCAGGCGCACGCTTCCATATGTATATTACTGAAACAAAGGGCTCGTGAAACAATAGTTATCCTTATTGCGTATGATGCACTCTGATGTTTTCTATTTGATTTTGTTTTTTGAAACATGCTGCAAGTCAGCTGGGAACATCACTGTTCCAGAACATTCTGTGATGATGGAGACGTTCTATAGCGCCACTGTCCGTTACAGAATCTACCAGCCACGTGTGTCTATTGAGCACTTGAAATGTCTAACGAGCATTGAAGAAATGAATTTTAATTTTACTTTAAATAAAATTACATTTAAAGGTAAATAGCCATATTTAAATTTAAAAAGCCATGAGGATGGGCCAGTGGCTATTGTACTGAACAAGTCAGCTTTGAAAAGTTCTTTGGTAGTATTTAATAAAGTTAAATATGCCCCTACCCCAGAACCCAGCCATTCTACTCCTAGGGGGAAAAAGCACTCGAGTCACATAACACTGTTCTAGAAATGGAATTCTCTGCAAGTCTGGCTGCTGAAACTGTCTGTTGTAACCTGAGACAGGTTTTATCTGTAACTGCTGAAATAACTTATTCAACTCTAGGACCAATTTTGCCCGCTGCTGTCGCCCACAGATGAGAGCTTCCCAGCTCCCCAAAACCATCCTAGTGTCAATGAACTTTCTCAAAGAGTAATATGTAACATTTCTCTTTCCTACAAAACCTCCATCCTTCGTTTGTTCTTCAGACCTACCAAAGACCACCCAGTCTGTGTGTATCCCCTGAATTGCAATTCTTTCCTCCCAAGGAAAGCATTAAATATATTCGTCTCTACCTTTTTATTCTGACTTTGACAATACCCAAGGAAAATAAGTGACTATGTCCATGAAAGAATATGCAATATAATACCACAAAACTGGAAAGAACTCATTGTTAGTCAATGGTAGAATTAATTTTTAAAAGTATAGTGTTGTCATACAATAAAATACCATAAAGCTATTTTAAACAAGAGTAAACTCATACCATAAGAACATAATGTTTGAGTGAAAGAAGCCAGACAAAAGAGTTTACACTGTGTGATTTCACTTATACAGTGCTTAAGAATAGGCAAAATAATCTATGGTGATAGAAGTTGCCTCTAGGGGTGGGTGAATACTGACTGGACAGTCACTTTAAGGAACCTTCTGGGGTGATGGAAATGTTCTATATCATGATTTGGGTGTTGGTTACATGGGTATATACACATGTTAAAAAATCAGAGTTATACATTTGAGATTTATGTGCATTATTCTAAACTGTATAATAGGAAAAAAACTTTTTTTCTATTATATTCTTAACAGAACACTTCTGACACCAGATGTGTGGGGTTTTTTTTCCCTCTGTACACAAAGCAATTCTCCAGTGTCTTATAATTCAATTCAATTTGGACACTACCTGCAGATAGTGTCAGATCTTCCACTGGTTAAGAGCTCAGTTCCACAAAACTGTCCCCACTTCAGACACCAGCCACAGGCCCCACATTGTGACCTGTGCTTCTGACCAACCAGCTATAAATCAGGGTTCCTATGCCCTTCTCATTGAGTTCAATAATTTGCCAGAGGCCAGGCACCACTGGTGGCTCACGCCTATAATCCTAGCACTTTGGGAGGCTGAGTTGGGTTGATCACCTGAGGTCAGGAGTTTGAGACCAGCCTGGCCAACATGGTAAAACCCTGTCTCTATTGAAAATACAAAAAATTAGCCAGGCATGGTGGTGCGCCTGTAGTTCTAGATACTCAGAATGCTGAGGCAGAAGAATCGCTTGAACCCGGGAGGCAGAGGTTGCAGTGAGCTGAGATCGCATCATTGCACTCCAGCCTGGGTGACAGAGTGAGACCCCATCTCAAAATATAACAATAATAATAATAATACTTTGCCAGGGGTGCTCACAAAACTCAGGGAAATACTTGTGTTGACCCATTTATTATAAAGAATATTAGAAAGGCTACAGATGAATAGCCAGATGGAAGAGAACATAGGGCAAGGTATGTGGGAAGGAGCTAGGAGCTTCCATGATTTCTTGAGGTGCACCACCCTCCAGACACCTCCACAGGTTCAGCAACTCTGAACCCTGTCCTTTTGGGTTTTGATGGAGGTTTCATTATGTAGGCATGATTGATTATGTCACTGACCTTGGTGATCAGCTTAACCTTCAGCCCCTCTCCCCTCCCCAGAAGTCAGGGAATGGGGCTGAAAGTTCCAACCATCAAATCGCAAGTCTGGTCCCCCAGAAGCCAGCTCCCATCCTGAGTCTATCTAGGAGTCCCCAGCCATCAGTCATTTATTAACATTCCAGAAAGGCACTTATTACTCAGAGATTCCAGGGGTTTTAGGAGCTCTGGGTCAGGAAACAGGACAAAAACCAAATATCTACTTTGTATTATACATCATGGTATCACAATTATACTTCAATAAAAAATATTTTAAGCAGGGCATGGTGGCATGTGCCCATAGTCCCATCTAGGGAGGCCAAGGCAGGAAGATTGCTCAGCCCCAGGAGTTGGAAGCCACCCTGGTCAATATAGCAAGACCCCATCTCTAAAAACTGTCTTGTCTTGTCTTTTCCTTTCCTTTCCTCTTCTTTTCTTTTCTTTTGAATCTTTTCTTTTCAAAAGAGGGTCTCACTCTGTCACCCAGGCTGGAGTGTCATGGCGTGATCAGGGCTCACTGCAGCCTTGATCTCCCAGGCTCAAGTGATCCTCCCACCTCAGTACCACCCTCCACCTCCCCCCCGCCCCCCGCCAAGTAGCTGGGACTACAGGCATGCGCCCCACTCACCACTAATTATTATTATTTTTTTTAAGTAGAGATGGGGTCTCTTCATATTGCCCAGGCTGGTCTCAAACTCCTGGATTCAAGCAATCTGCCCACCTTGGCCTCCCAAAGTGCTGGGATTACAGGCATGAGCCACTCTGCTTGGCCTTGTATATATGAATTTTGAAGTAGTTGGTTCTTAGCCCTTAGATTGATTGCAAATCTACTAATGGGTAGGGACCCCGTTTGAAGAACAGTGCTGAAACAAGATATACTCAGCATTCTACCCAAGGGCATGACTCTCTCATGGAAAGGAAGGGCAGAATATTAAAAAGTATTTTATTCTAGCCTGGATTTCTCTGCATTTGCTCCCTGTCTCACCTTGCTCCTGTATTCTGATGTTTTTCTGCCTTTGTATAGAAGAGCTGCTATGACTATATATGAAATCAAATCAACTGACCCATCACCCCCAGGCCTTTTCCCCTTTATTGTATATGGTTCTCTCTGTTCTGCTTCTCCCACCTCTACCTGCTTGCATGGTCCCGGTATGACATGGTGAGAATAGAGGAGGTGAATGCAGGAATAAGCAAGGGACTCTGCAGTCATGAGCTGGCACTTTATTTCACCTTCTCCCCCTGCTGCTGCCTCCTTACATGCAGAAAGTGGCTGGGCTGGCTCATGCTCCCTGCAGACAGAGGCCAAACTAGTGGCAGGAAGTGCTGTCTTCCTCACTCAGCCAGAAAGGTAATGGGTCTGTACCACACTTGCCTAATAGCTGATGTTCTGCCTGACACTACCCGTGTGCCCACTGAGGACCAACAAGGCCAGGTGTCCCAGCACTACAAGCAACACACAGGCGGCCTGAAGGAAGCCAGGGCAAATAGTTGTCCATGACAACACTGGGATGGGAAGTGCCCGGGAAGAGAAAGCAACCAGCAGAGGAGCACCTTAGGGGCCAAGAGAGAAAGAAGCAGGAATGTAGACACTAAATGGCAAAGGCAAGATGCAGAAGCATGGGGTCCAGGGAGAATGCAAGCGGCCAGAGAATGGGTGGGAGTGTGCCCATGCACACACAGGCAGAGACCACCTGATTAGGGGGATGGCGAGGAGAACTGAGTAGTATTCCAGTCGTTTAAATTGAAAGAAGCTGTGTTTTAATAAATTTTCCAACAGGGAGTCAGGTAACATGTATATATATGTATATGGACACACACACACACACACATATCTGATCCCTGAGAAAGCTTTGTAAAATAATGAAGCCCAAACTATTAAAGTATTAACTGAAATTCAGAGTTTTCATCTCAATTTTCTCTAGAGCATCTGGCAACCAGATGACAAAATTTTCAGTTTTGTTCAAGTATGTATGGGGTAGATGATTAACCAGTTAATCAATTTAATCTGCCTCAGCAACATTGTTATCTAGGTCATGTGGGGAAGCTTGACCATTCCTGAAGTATGTTGAGAGATGGTGAATGCCTCCTTTGTAAACTCTCATTGACTCTAACAAGCCCCAAGTTATCATATCCAGCTTATTGGTGCTTGTGAGGCCAAAAAATTAACAGTTTGAAGTAAATGCAACATGAATCCCTCCTAACCAACAAGTAATTGTTCCATAAGGCTCAATAATAATACATTTATTTATAACTAAATAATTTTATTACTAAATATATTTAATTTATAACTAAATATATTAATTTAATTTATAGATGTATTTAATATAAATATTTCACTATATAAATGCTTTTTATTATATATTACAAATACATTTTATCTGTTTTACAAATAATATATAATGTTTATATTATATATAATTTTTATATATTATAGATATAATTTTTTATATTTATGTTTTTATATCTATATTATATAATGTCACTTATATAGTGTCATATACAATATATGTTTTATATAACATATAATGTCTTAGATATATAACATATATGCAATGTCTCATATATATATATATATATATATATATATATATATATATACACGTTATATATGATATGTATAAAATGCCAGCCCCTTAATGTACACAGTGAGTTATCATGGGAATTTCCAATAAGTTTGTGAAGACAGAAACAGTGGTCTATATATGGTAATGGCAGTTAATCTGTGCAGAATAAAGAGAACCTAAATTAATTTGAAATAAATTAAAAAGAGCTTTGTCTTTTCTTTTTAAAATTCAATCAGTAAAGACTTAACATAGAAAATATTGGCAGTAGATTTCTGTGGCTTTTGCCACCTATATAAAAAGACTGATATGGCTAAAATCTTTTTTAAAAAGTAATCCAAAAAAACTGTCATCTGACAGGGTAAAAGTTGTTGGTGTTCATCACTGGCACACTTAGGTTTTCAATTGTGTTGATGCTGCCAATTCAGAGTGATATTTGTGGCAGACCTGGGGAGTGAAAATGGGTGAAGAAGACGGATAATGAGTTTAAACGAATTTGGTATCAGTGATAACTGCAGACCTTAGGAAAATGTTTTCTTTGCCAAGAGAAAAGAAGCTATTAAACTGTGAATAGAGCTCATATAGAGTGTTGAAAATCAACACGGAGTGGGGCAGTACTGCTACAATCACCTGGGAAACCATGGCAGTTGCTAGGGCCTCCCGTTGCTTCTAATGAGAACGGTGTGGTTCAGAGTCAGCGTGAGCAGTGTGCCATCAGCCAGGCCGAGGCCACGGTCACAGGCAGCGTTCGCCTCTTTAGGCAGACAATGCACAATGGTGCCTAGCTAGGCCTTGCATAAACCACATTCTCCAGAGAGTCAGCATTGATTTTGAGCAATTACTTCCATACTCCCGGGGCTCAGTAAAACCAGGAGCATCCTGTTCTGATCCAAACTCCCTTTTCTTCTTCTGAATGAAGGGAAATCTCTGCGTCATGATTTCCAATATTAAAAAAGCAATGCTGGGAAGGGGCAAGCTTGCAATTAATATTGCATCCATTTCCATTGGTGTCTGAAAGGTTCCGTGAAGCCTTTGTCTTTCAATGATGGAAAATGAGCTTCTCAAAAATTAAAGATTTTTAAAAATTCATATGATGGTGAAGGATGAACTGATACAAGGAAGTTCTTATCTTGGCAAATGACACAGACTATGCCTATACTGGTTCAACCATATGGGAGAAAAGAATAAATTGTCTTCCAGATATTTTATCTGCATAATATGAAAAACTTCTTTGATTGAATTTTTCACTTTTCATTCAGATGTTTGATGTTATAGACAAAGTCACAGATATGAGAATATGAGAAGAAAATGAAAGGTGTGCAAAAATACATCATCAAAAATGCTTTTTGATGATAATAAAGTTTCCCCTTAATATTTTAGAGTTTTCTCCCAAGCAAGATTTGATGGGTTTCGTATTTATATAGGACATATATTAGCATGTTTTTGACCTTAGAAGCTGCTGATCTCGATGTTTAAAAATCAAAGAGGAAAGAGCTGCAGACTGGAGTTTGAAATGTCCTCATCATGAAAACCTTGTTCCTGGTGGTTGTTTTAGCAAATAAGTTGTTAAACAAAAGTAGAAGCTAATGCAAAAAAACTAAGATCAAAGGGGAAAAAATCATGAAGTTGGAGGAAAGGCACATACGTAAGAGAGCGCCAGTAGGAAATAGAGAAACAAATATGATAGGCTTGAAAGGCCTGTGGGTTTGAGACCTTCTTAGGAAGAAATTTGGGTACCAGACTTGGGAACATATATTTATTTCACTAGGCACTGAAAAGCCATTCAGTGTTTCTTTTTAAATTTTCTGTTTATTAGCTGCCAACAACAGAATCTACTCTGCCTAGTCCAAGTTGAAAGAGAAGTTAACAAACTTCTTATTAAACTAGCTTATAGAATCTTCAGGTGAGCTAAACAGTCAGGCTCTGAAGATAGGTAAAAAGAGCTGCTGTAGTGAAAACACACCTCACTAACACTCCTGAGGCTCAGGAAACCCCACGCTGCAGTTGACAGAAGAATGGATCCCTATACACAGTACCCCCTCGTAGTACTCACTGTTGGTTCTACCTCTCCTGCAGGAGCCCGAGGTAACTGTGATTCATAGAACTGAAATGACATACCTGAGCATTAGCTCCAAGGGAGTCTGGGAATATGAGCTTTATACTTTAGGCAAGCATGACCCAGAATATTGGAGGATGTTCAAAGATCTTCTGCAGATCTGCACAAATGACAAGTGTCCACCACAAGAATTATGCCACTGTAGCTGTGCTTTAGGAAAAGTAATTTGCCATGATTTGTGTAGAAAGGATTGGGGTAGGCCAGGTACTGTGATTCACGCCTATAATCCCAGCACTTTGGGAGGCCAAAGCAGGAGGATCACTTGAGTCCCAGAATTAAAGACTGGCTTGGGCAACATGGCAAAAGTCTGTCTCTGCAAGAAACACAAAAATTAATCTGGTGTGGTGGTGTGTGCCTGTAGTGCCAGCTACTCTGGAGTCTGAGGTGGGAGGATCGATTGAGCCCAGGGAAGTCAAGGCTGCAGTGAGCTGTGATAACACCACTGCACTCCAACCTAAGTGACAAAGTGAGACTCTATCTCAAAAAAGAAATAATTAAATAAATAAATAAATAAATAAAATAAAGGACTATAGTAGAAAAAGCCTGGATGTGAATAGACAAGTTACAAGCCTATTGGAATTGTCAAGGGAAACAGTAATAAGGTCTCACCTTGTGTAGTAGACACACAAGGAAAGAGAAGATTCTGGAATTACTGAAGAGACAAAACTGGAAACATTTAGCAATGATGCCATCAGTAGAAATAGGGAAGTCAGGAGGAGGTGCCATTCTGAAGTGGAGGACTGAGTCCAGCCTGGGACACGATCAATTTGGAAAGCAGGATGCACAGCTGGACAAACCCAGCACACGTTAGGATGGTAGAGCTGGAGCTTGGAGAGAAGCATCCAGAGACATAGGCACTAGAGTCACCCACAAAGAAATGGAAGTTGAAAGGACAGGACTGGGAGGGTGTAGTTCAAAGTTTGTGTTTTCATTTCCCTTGAAAATTGGTTTATTTGCATGTTGTCTGCTATCATGATTTAAGGATAGTTTAGCCCACAGCCTTCTTACCCTGCACCTGCAGCAAAAATAAACCAACGGAAATTTCATTCTTATCCAAGTAACACATTATTTGCTGTCTTGAGGAACCGGTCACCTGTCTTCAAATGATTCCCCTATTCTGTTTTTTTTTTTGTTGTCGTTGTTGTTGTTGTTTTTCTTTTTTGTTTTGTTTTGTTTTGTTTTGAGACAGGATCTTACTCTGTTACCCAGGCTGGAGTGCAATGGCATAATCATAGCTCACTGCAGCCTCAATCTCCCAGGTTCAAGCAGTCCTCCTGCCTCAGCCTCCCAAGTAGCTGGGACTACAGACATGTGCCACCATGTCCAGCTGTTTTTTATTTTTTTGTAGAGACGGTGTCTTACTATGTTGCCCAGGCTGGTCTCAAACTCCTGGGCTCAAGTGATCCTCCCACCTCGGCCTCCCAAACTGCTGAGATGCAGGCATGAGCTACTGCACCTGGCTTGATTCCCTATTCTTTATGTAACTCTGCCTTAGGGTTGTGAAGACTTAGTTGTTTGTGTCTGGGTGCAGGGGAGTATCATAAATAAGGAAAGCCAAGCCTTGTTTTTATTGCAGCCATTTTTCACCTGGTCTCAGAAAACACTGACACAGTCTACAGTCAAGAGTCTACATCACAAAAGAAAAAAAAGCTTTGGAGTCTCAAATCTGAGCAAGTCTCTATTGGGGGAGAGGGAGGGGCTTGTTTCCAACTATTCAAGTGCCATGAGCGCTTGCAGCGCGGGGCCTCACTGTCCCACATTGCCATTTTCTAGTTTTCTAACAATGAGGCCTTCTCTGAGGCCCCAGAGAAAGAGACCCTCTGGACAGTGAATGGGAGGCTTGTTACCCACAAAGAGTAAACTAAGGAGTTGGGACCAGCATTTTCTTTTAAATCAAGGAACACTTTTGTTTTGAGGGACAAAACTGTCTCAGAGCAGCCTGAGCTGCTCCACGGGGATGGAACCTGAGCCTCCCCTCCCCGCTGATCAGGACAGCAGGGCTGCCCACCGGACTGACCAGGGCCAGGGTCACCAGCAGCATGGGAAGGATCCCAAAGCCAACCCCACCCTGGCAAATGGGGGCCAGTCAACTGCTCCAGGTCATCAACTTGGGCACAAAGTCATGAGGGCCCTCCTTCCTTCTGATAACTCACCTCCTGACATGGAATCCCCTTAGAAGATGCTAGAGAGACCAACCTACACACACAAATGGATGGCCTGCTACAGAAACAACTCTCCCAACATGCTGTGCCATTCTTGCTTTCTGAAAAGGAAGAGGATCTGCAGCTGCCCAGCAGGGAGGAAGCTACTGGCACCTGGTCGTTGAGACCAGAGGAGTGCTACTTCTATACACCAAGCAATCTAGTCCTCTCCACATGAAGTAGTAAATAGTTGAGTCAGTTTCAGAACTCTGTCTTCCCAGAGAGCATCAGGGCATTATTACGTAATATCTTGGAGCACCACAAATGTACATTATCCTGAACAGTAACTAATATTGTTCCTGAGGCAGAAAGAGTCCTTCACCCAGCTCGAAAAATGATAGAACAGCTCAGGCAGGGCAGGGCAAGGGTTTAGGGCCTCCTTCAGGAGACAGATGACTCTGACCGGGGATCAGGGTCAGGGCTGGCATCTCTGCTCTGGCTAAAATTCAAATTTTACATGTATCTCTATGAGGTGGGCATTTTGCTGTCAAAGGTTTTATGGATGGTTCTAGATGTGGAAACAGATTATTAAAAGGAAAAGCAAAGCCTTGCTTGGCAGAGCTTACACTTCTCAAGCATTGACCTGAGCCTTAAATTTTGCAACTGTAATTTTAGAGGATGCAGGACACACATCCTGTTTTGGAGGCTGTTTTGGAGGAGCAGGAAGACAAAAAAAGAGATGCTGTGGACTCAGTTCTCAAAGGCAAGTGGTGGCAGAACACCAGGAAGAAATCAGTTAGCGGGGTAAGTATCCACATGGATCACTTTCCTTCCAAATGGAGGCATATTCTTAGGCAGATTTTTGACGGGCCTCTCGGGACCTCCAGTAGTGGCTGCATTAACATGTTGGCCCTGACAGGGCACTTGGGGTTGGGACTCACAGTGCTTCTGTCCAGCAGAGCTGTGATAGACAAAGAAGGTGATGTTTGCTGCAGAAACCTTCAAAGTCTCCTCAGCAGCAGCAGCAGCCGTAAATCTAGGGTCAGTTTTTCTGCCCCTCAGGCACTAAACAAGCCACAGTGAGTGAGTGTCTCATGGTCCCGCAAATAAGGAAATGTATCCCAGATACAGTTGGTGGCACCCTCAGAGGAAAGTCAAGATTACAAAGGGACTGGATATGTCAGAAGAAGAGAGGAGTGAGACAGAAAAGCAAAAGAGAAGTCTTGGGGGGCTCTGAGGCAAGCTGCGGGGTAGAAAACCTGTGTTGCTTCTTGTTTCACACTGGCCAGAATCCTGTAAAGTTGTTGTTTACCCAGCAGCCACTAAGCAAATGTCCCTTCTTGGGCGGTCTAGTCCAGTCCCTAGGTGGAGGTGGAGAGAATAAGACAAAGGACAGGGTGACATGAGCCCACTGACCTTTCACCTCGTCACGTATTTGTGGGTGGTCTGATTTTCCCTGAGCTGCAGAAAAACCTCAGTGGCCCAAGCACGTGTCAGAGCTTCCTCCCACCATCAGGAGTTTTGCCTTCTTGCCAGGTCTGGCTGCACGAATCACCTTCACACCTATCCTTCTTCCTCTGACAGGCTGCTGATAACAGCATCATCATCTCTGTAGAGGTTTACAGACCATACAGCACACATCTGTTAACCCTTCCCACAGGCCAGGGACTAGTTATCATTGTTCTTATGTTCTCACTACAGAACCTGAGGTCCAGAGAGGTTGAGAGTCTTGTCCAACATCATACCATTTAAAGAAAAAATCATTGGCATCTAGCATTTATTGAGCACTTGCTACTTTCCAGATAAGTGCTTTATTTGGATTTATTATTCTCATAACAACCCAGTGTTGTTGGCGTATTATTGTCTGCAGGGTACAGGTGAGGAAGCTGAGAGCGTGCACACATCTTGACCATAGGTTCGCATGTGTGGGACACCAGTAGTGTGTGAAGTGGGCAGCCTGACCTCACAGCCTTCCCTCTTCTGTGTCTCTGCCACAGCTAGAAACTGGCAAAGGCAGAATTTGAATGGAGGTCCCAGCCCACCTTTCCCACGAGGCTGGCGCTTCTCAAACCTGAATGTGTACATTGCCATGAATCACCCGGGGATGTTGTTCAAATGTGGGTTCTGACCCCACAGGTCTGAGACATGGCCCAGGGTTCTGCGTTTTTTAATGAGCTCCCTCCCAGGTGACACTGATACTATGGGACCGCAGACTCCGCTGTGAGTAATGATGTTCTATACTATTGTCACAGGGTAAACCCCCAAACTGGGGCTCAGCCTCGGAGGCCACGTGGGTGTTTGGCTTCACATAGGAAAGAATTCAAGAGTGAGCCAACAGAGTAAAGTGAAAGCAAGTTTCTTAAAAAGTAAAGGAATAAAAGGGTGGCTACCCCATAGGCAGAGTAGCATTTGGGGGCTGCTCGACTGACTATACTTATGGTTATTTCTTGATTAGATGCTGAACAGGGGGTGGATTATTCATGTTTTCTGGGAAAGAGGTGGGGAGGTCCTGGAAATGAGGATTCTTCCCCCTTTTGGATCATGTAGGGTAACTTCAGGAAGTTGCCATGGCATTTGTAAACTGTCCTGGTGCTGGTGGGAGGTTCCTTTAGTATGCTAATGTATTATAAGTAGTGTATAATGAGTAATGAGGATGACTAGAGGTTGCTTTCCTTGCCCTCTTGGTTTTGGTGGGTTTTGGCTGGCTTCTATACTGCATCCTGTTTTATCAGCGGGGTCTTGTCACCTGTGTCTGATTCCTATCTCACTATAGCTACTTTTTTTCTTTTCTTTTTTCTTTTTTTTTTTTTTGGACAGAGTTTTGCTCTGTTGCCCAGGCTGGAGTGCAGTGGCAGGATCACCACTGGGCCTCCCCGGCTCAAGTGATTCTCCCACCTCAGCCTCTCAAGTTGCTGGGACTATAGGTGCTCACCACAGTGCCCAGCTAATTTTTTTGTTTTGTTTTGTTTAGAGATGGGGGTTTCAATACATTGCCGAGGCTGGTCTTGAAATTCTGGCTTCAAATGTTCTTCCCTCCTGGGCTTCCCAAAGTGTTGGGATTACAGGCATGAGCCACTGCACCTGCGGCTACTCTTTGTGATCTCTGACTGCCAAATCCCTTGCACCTGACCCCTATACACACTGTTGTCCTACCTTCTCTTATACATACATTTGAAGGCCTATTTGAATAGACCTTCAAATCTGACTTAGTCCATGGTTGCATCCAGTAGGGCAATGGCCCTTTACTGGGAATTAATATAATAATAATTTGAGGGGCTCTTCCAATGCAAAAACAGCTTTGCCTCAATTGCAGAGATTTCTGATTCAATCTACAGTAATGGGAGCGGGGTTGGGGATTAGCATAGTGTGAGTCTCTGCCCTTTGCAGTATAAATCAATCCACCCTTTCTCATGTGCTTTCGATTCATCCATTACCCAAGTGATCTACATAGTAAGACCCCAGAAAATAGGCTAGCAAAATCAGAGTTCTCCTCAGTGGTGAATACTTACCCTGAATGGTTTTTCTCCACCACAGCTGGATAGGCCGACTTCTCTGCTAATCACACTATGCATGTACAGGATTGGCTCTCTTGCCTCCACCCCACCTCCAATGACATAATCACTTATAATCAATCATAGGCTTTCCTCTCTTGCCACGTGTAGACGTGGCCAATATGCATAAATATGAGCCTTTTGGGGAAGGATAAAAACCACTTCTAATCTGACAAGTATAAGGCTGAAGTAGCATTGATGATTTTTCTCTTCCCCAAGTCCTCATCCCCAGTAATGTAGCCGCTCTGAGCCTTGGCTGAGAAATAAGAATTCTTATAGAGGACTCCTTTCACTTTAAGGATTTTCAAAGACCAGCTCCCTGTGTGGTTACGTTTTCCTCTGATTTTTTTTTTCTGCAGTTCTAAAGAAAGCCTCACATTGAGAAAAACTAGAAAGGCATGATTCAGTGATGTCAAATGCTCTCAGGATTCCTCCTTCCAAAGTCTTTGTTAATTGTACCCAGTATCTATAGTGATAAATTTAAAGACACAGGAAACAGCGGGATCCCAAAGACACTAGACTATTGTATTGTCCCATTAAGTTGAAACAATGGAGCAGAGTCTTGAGCCTGTCTCCAGGGCAACAGAAAATGCCAGTCACAGTCAGGTGGACTTTCTGATGAATTTTTTAAAAATAGAGTTGCACATACTTTGTTATTTTAAAGAAAGTTAACTCATAAACCTTTAGGTGCAATTAAAAATACTTTGAACCGAAAATGTCCTTGATTTAATTGCAAGCTTTCTTTTTTTGGTATTTTTTTTATTCCCATAGCCAAATAAAATTCTCACACCAGGGGAAAAAGACCCTATGGAAAGACCAAAAAATGACATATTAGCAAAAAGCTGAATTTTATTTAAATATGTGTGTTGGTATTTAAATATCAGCAGCTGAATTAGCAATGGGCATTCTGACATGTGTTCTTCTGTTTCTATCACCAATCTAATTCACTTTGCTCTGGACTTAGGGCTGGACCTTCTAAAAAGCCCAAGACCATCAAATATAAGTCAGGAACTATGAAAAATCCACAATGGTCCTGTGTGTCCTACTGGTGACTCTGCCCTCAGCTTCTCGGTTTGGCCTTGTCTCTCTCTGGCCCTAGCCTGCCCTCTGCGCTCAGCAAATTCCTTGCCATCACCTCTCGTGCATGACCACTCATTTTGGCAGCATTTTTCCTGGCTGACCTCAGCATTCTCTTTTGGATATGATTTTAAGCACTCGCTCTCCAGAAGTATTTATGATAGCTAGAAATAAAACAATTCTAGAGCTGTGCTATCCAATATGGTACTTATTAGTCATATGCAGTTGCTTATATTATTTAAAATTAAATAGGCTGGACGCGGTGGCTCATCCCTGTAATCCCAGCACTTTGGGAGACTGAGGCGGGCAGATCACCTGAGGTCAGGAGTTCGAGACCAGCCTGGCCGACATGGTGAAAGCCCGTCTCTACTACAAAAAATGAAAATTAGCCGGGCATGGTGGGGCGACGCCTGTGATCCCAGCTACTTGAGAGGCTGAGGCAGGAGAATTGCTTAAGCCTGGGAGACAGAGGTTGCAGTGAGCCGAGATCACACCATTGCACTCCTGCCTGGGCAACATGAGTGAGATTCTGTCTCAAAACACATAAATAAAAATTAAATTAAATTAAATTAAAACATTCAGTTCCTCAGTTGCACTAGCCACATTTCAAGTACTCAATAGCCATATGCAATGGACAGCACAGATATAGAACATTCCCTTCATTGCAGAAAGTTCTGTTGAACAGTACTGACTTACAGACACTCTTAGTCTCATCCCAACCCCAATGGGCTGACCAATTTGATGTTAGTATCTTTCTGCAGTTCCCTCAATCCAAATCGTGTGAAACTGAAATCCCTAAAGTCTGAAACAATCTTGTTAGCATTCTCTTGAGATAGTCCCAGGATGGTTCAAAGTTCCTTCACATAACTTCTGAATGCCTATTAGCCCCATTCTGGCTATCTAGAGCTCCAAAGACACTGGGTAGTTGGATCATTAGTGAAGAAGATTTAGGTTTAGGAACTCACAGCAGCGTACTGTTCTAGGACCAGTAGAGTACCACATTTATTACTACCCATTTAGGCAGAGCCAGACTATATTAGTTTGCTGCTTATGTGCCTTTTATTAATCAACATGCCTAACATTCCACCATTAGAAATTTATTCATTTGGGCCTTACAGATATCTTCTTTATTCCCCATACTGGGAGAGAGTATATGGACTATACTGGTTAGGGCAGATTGAGAGAGAGAGTTAAGTACGGAGACACACATTGTCGATGTCGTTGCTTGGCTTACTCCCCACACCCCCACAACACAACCCCTTGGGTGTGAGAACAGAAGTAAGGCTCTGCAGTGCCTTGCCATATGTCAGATATCATAAAGGAGAAACTACTTCTAAATGTTAGCCACTATATACCCAATACAATGCTGGGCCCGTAAGTGCTCACTACCATATCTGATGGGTTAAATTATAGATCGTTTTAATAATATTTTAATACATTAGAATTAAAATCTAATATATTTGAATCACTCTGAAGTATGTTCACCCATCATGAATTCAAAATTAATTTTTAAGTGCCTAAAGCGAGTTTTTTCATGCTTTTTTGACTTAGTGAGCAAAAATCATTCCATCCACACCTGCCACCCCAAACAAAACTTCTTCATTTTATTTACTCCTTTGCTTATTTATTCATTCAACAGCAACTTTTGTGTACCTACTCAAGATTGTCCAGTCTCAACAAAGTTGAATAATACCCCTTGGTCTAGAAGCTTGGCAGATGACCATTGTTGAAGGAAAAACTTTAGACAAATTAAATTTAACACAGCTTAATTGAGCAAGGGACAACTCAAGAATCAGGCAACTCTTACAACCAGGAGAGGTTTAATGAGACTGTAGAACTGCCAAGTGGCTGGATAACATTTATAGACAGGAAAAAGGAAATGATGTACAGAAAATAGAAGTGAGGTACAGAGAGAGCTGGACTGGTTTCAGCTTGGCATTTGCCTTATTGGAACCCAGTTTGAACATTTGGCCACAAGGAATTGACTGAAGCTTGGCTTCTGTGATTGGCTGAGACTTTTAGCTCTTTGTTACCGGAATATACTCCTAAATTAGGTTTTCAGTTTGTGTATGGACTAGGCTAGGTTGCAGTTCTTTACATAGGATTTCCACAGAGGCCTCTAAAGCCCACATTTAGTTTGATTTAACACTATGTAATTCCCACGTGGACCTGCAACTTCTAGAATAGAAGACTTCTGGCCCCTTGCTACCTCTGATTTGCATCCTCCGTTCCAAGTTCCTGAATCTCAGTCTATCAGTTAGAATTCATCCTGGGTGCCTAATTGAGGGAAGCCTAAATAATAGTAGCCTACACAAGACAGACAATTTCCCTCTCAGCTGAAAAGCCAGAGTTGGCCTTCAGGACTAATACAGACAGCTCCCGGTCTTCTAGAATCCAGGCTGCTTCCACTTTGCTGTTTCACTAACCTTAGTGCCTTACTTCCTGACCTAAGATCTGCATTCCAGGTGACAGGAAGAAAGAAAAGGAAAGAAGAGCATTCCCTCACTCGTTTAGGAGGCTTCCTCTTAATCTCACTGGGCAGGATTTAGTCCTTGGCTGCACCTAGCTGCAAAAGAGGCTGGGAAATTTCATCCTTTCCCCCTCAGGCTTCTGATACAAAAGTAAGAGTCTAGAATGGACAGTGGGGTAGACACCTAGCAATCTCTGTAGCCTACCACATGCTGTGCCCAAGGCACTGTCCTACTAGAAATATACTACCTACAGCTGCAAAAGTAATAATCCATGTCCTCTGATAATGGAAACAAAAGCCATTAAGTGCAAATAATATTATTCACATCACCAACATTCTTTCAATCATGTATATTGTAAAGTGCTAATCTTATCTTTTGAATGCTTGCTTGTTACTGTAAAACACGAGTAAAATTGATGTTTGTAGGCATGACTATTATAAACTCTCACATATATTAAAACAAAACCCTTGCAAAGGCAATAGCAAAGCTATAAAGAACTAAAAGCTATAGAATTAGTACATCTACGTTTTTACATATTAAAAAAATCCATTAAATTGGTCATATTGACCATGGTATTTTAAATTTCCAATTATCCTGCTGATTGCCAAATCTTAGAATAGGACATAGAAAATGGGGAAATAAATTATTGTTACCATAAGAACGCTAATTTTTTAGATCATAACTTTGAAATAACTCCATGTCTTCAGTTTTTAGGCATAAAAGGAAGAAAGAGAGCGGAGTGGAAAAGCCAGCGTGTGGAACACAGTAACAAAGTCCAAGGAGGCTTTGATGTTAATACCTGGCAGAGTTAAAAGAGGAGCAGTTCAAACCTCACCTGCTGCTAATATTCAATTGGGGATAATTAAACCACCATCAGGTTTCCCAAGCAGAGAACAGATACATTTTCTCATGAGATGGAAAGTGCTTCTCTACGTCCTGCCCAAATAATACCCAAACACATGCAAAGAACTTCTCTTTAAATTGAGACTTGTTGAAGTTAACTGTTTGGAGCCAGTGTTTCACTTGCTTTCACCCTAAGGTCTGAGGTAGATCCTGATCTGCAGCAAAGTCCCCCTCCCTGTCCTGAGTTTCTGGGTTCCCAGGGTAACCCCGCCTAGTCAAACTCCAGGAGGTTGCCGGGGTGTTGCTTCTTTTCTCAGTCTCCCAGGGATCCTGGCCCTCTCCCCACCACTGACTGCCATGTCCCTGTGCGTCCTGGCTCCCCCTGGCACCCTGTCACCACTGCTAGTCATTCATAGGCTCCCTAGTCTTGCTCCTCAATGACACAAATCATAGATTTCTGGCCAGCACTGGCTAAAATCAGTAGAAATGATGAAGCATGGTGATCCCCAACAGTGGGACCAGCTCAGATGGGGGCTGTAATCCCATGGTAGAGACTTACATCTCCCAGTAGCCTTTCTCTCCCTTTCCATAGTAATGGAACCCATAATTTTAGCTGTGCACATGGCCACCCAAAATAAAGATCACATTTTCCAATTTCTTCTGCAGCTAAATTTTTTTTTTTTTTTTTTTGAGATGGAGTCTTGCTCTGTCACTCAGGCTGGAGTGCAGTGGCAGGATTTCAGCTCACTGAAACCTCCACTTCCCGGGTTCAAGCGATTCTCTAACCTCAGCCTCCTGAGTAGCTGGGACTATAGGCATGCACCACCATGCCCAGCTAATTTTTGTATTTTTAGTAGAGATGGGGTTTCACCATATTGGTCAGGCTGCTCTCCAACTCCTGACCTCATGATCCACCCACCTTGGCCTCCCAAAGTGCTGGGATTACAGGCATGAGCCACTGCGCCCGGCCTCCTGCAGCTAAATTTAAGAGCACATGTCTAAGTTCTGGCCAGTAAGAACATAAGTGGAAATGGAAGAGAGAAGTTGTGTCCTTTGCTTCTGTTTCTTCTCTTCTGTTGGTGAGAATGTAAAGGCAATGACCAGAGCTCCAGCAGCTATCTGGAGCCATGAAATGGCCTAGAGAGTGAAAATTATGCATGAGACAAAAAATAAAGTTGACAAAGTTTGGGTTCTCCAGACACTATGGAGTACAACCTAGCTCAGAACTAACTGCCTCTGAACTTACAAAACATAAGAGAGAAATAATGTTCTTTCCTGCTTAAGTAAGAACTGTTACATGTTAGCTTCAGCCAAATTTAATCCTTACTATATGCTAAAAACATGCAACTGGCCATAGTCAAAATAGTGACTGGATGAATTGGGTTTTCATCTTCTGGGCCTTCTCCTTTGTTCCTTCTCCCAAGCCCCCTGACTCTCTGATGCCCTCTGTCCCCTCTACATGGATACCCTCCCTTGCAGCTCGCTGCTTTGCAATTTTCTAATCGTTTGTCTTCTATCCAGATTTACACATCCTATATCCCATTGCTTCGGGATCTGGCAGTGACTGGCTAGGCAATGTGATAATAAAACATATACTAAGTTATTAACAGGAAATAATGGGTGTTCTTATTCCAACATAGCATCCTAACAGGGGCTTGAGTGACTAACCCAAGGAATGACTAACATGGGCACTCTGGCAGGTAATTATGGAGGGATTTTTAAATAGGCAGTCTTATTGACATTTGATATAAGAAATACAGTTCTGCAGACTGTCAGGCAACTCCAAGTTTACACACATAGCATGTCAGATTGAATTAGGATTTCCAGATACTTAGCTTTCTCCTTATATTGCTTGCTAGTGCAAAACCATACCAATGATGTTCAAAATAAAATACATGGAGACTGGTGGGAGGAGGAAGTATGGAAATTGACAGTTTGAAAACTTTCCAATTTTTCAGAAGTGATATATTTTTAAATTTTGCTTTCTATAGAAAGTATTACTTTTGCACCAACCTATAGAAATTGTGTTTTAAAAAGACCCCCATATCTAACATAACAATGTGCGTTAAAATCTTAGGTTGCTCCTGTAATCTGCATCAGCTAGCCCTCAACCACTCCAAATAAGCATACAATCTAAGTAAAAACGATGTGCTCCATATGAAAACACCACTTGTGGACATCGCCCGACTCCTGGTCCTTCCAAGAAAATTGTGACCCTCCACCCCCCAATGCCCTTCTATATGGAAATTATGGGGCTACCATTGACTGACACATATCATCTTTCTTACTTCTCCATCATCAAATCCAAATCTGCTAATAATTGGTGAAAAGGTGATGGTTTGTTGTTATTTCCGTAGCATATTCTAGTGGGCTTTTCTTTAACATCTTATAACTTATAGCCAGCTAACAGGCAGGGAAATACATAATAAAGGAGTTCAGGAGACTGCCTGGCTCATCAAATACTGCCTGAATAAATATGCACTTTTGCTTGGCTCCCATTGGTCTCACTTCCGGTAGAAATAGAGTAATTTGAACCTATGCCCTGGACCCCAAAGCAACAGCTTATGAAAGACTTGTAATTGTAAACCAACTTCCTTAAAGATAGCAATGCCTTGAAATGCAGGACTGGCCTTGGAAATTAGGGAGGCAAGTAACTTCATGCTAAACCCTTTATCTTTCCTTTCCTCGCCCTTTATCTTATCATCCTCTTCCTTCTCCCTTTCTCTTTCATGCCACTGCTATTTACAACAATAGACTCCTGGTAGGAAATGTGTTAAAAAAATTAAAATAAGTTACCCACAATAAAAAGCATATATATATGTCTTAAGCTACTTTCCTCTCTTCTTATTTTCACTTTAAGAAGTGTCCCTTGCTATATAATTATGGTTGTTGTTCTAAGCCCTTACCTAGTAAGCTCACCAAATCAGAATGAACCTTGAGCTTAGAGTCCCTGGACACACACACAGTTGAGAACTGGAAGAACACTGGTTGGCTGTCAGCACTCTCCTAGGCGTTGTCGGGGAGGACAAGGCATCTCGTGCCGTGACTGCCACAATTAACTGGTAGTCTTGTGGGAGACAAGGCAGAATGGATGAAACAATCACAGAACAATGCCAACGGAAGATAATTAACAATGATGTCACGCTATAAATCAGTCCTTGAAATAATGACCTACATGTCTAAAAATAGAGCTCAGGTGAGTAAGAAATTAGGTGGGTAGAGAGGTATAAGAACAGGGCAGGTCCAGTGGGGGATGTGTGAGCCATGCCACCTTCAGAGACAGTATGCAGAACTGCTAAAGGCAGTTATTTAGGTCAGAACTTAATCCTGTTGCAGGTCTTTTGTGAATTCTCAGTTTTGAGGCATTCAGCACTGGTTAAAAGGAAAAGGACTCTGATGTGTGCCCCTTCTTACTTCCCTACAAGTGGGAAAGCCACTCAGGTGACAGCATAGGGATGACCTGCAAATGTCTTCTTCTCCAGCCAAATCCAGGATGCAAGGACGGGAAGGAAAGAGAGTTACTTCCACTAAAAAGCTATTAGAGGGAAATAAGTGAACATGAAATAAGGTTTTAATTTTACTTCCAAGCCATATTATGTATATGTAATGTCTAATTCTAATCTTTTTGTAAAATGAGCAATAATTTAGATGCACTGAAGTCAATATTTAATTACACATGAGTTCAAAATAATTTGTCCCTTTGCAAATGTAAAATTTTTGCCAGTAGGAAAAAAAATCCAGTCTAAAAGAAGTATGATTTTACTTCTAATTCTATATTTAAATAAAATTTACCTTTAAACCTTGGTTTAAATTGTGCAGGTCCATTAATTTATAACTTGCGTGCAATAAAATAGGGAGAAAATCTCGGCTCGAGATTTTGGTGTGATCTCGGCTCACCACAACCTCCACCTCCCAGGTTCAAGCAATTCTCCTGCCTCAGCCTCCCGAATAGCTGGGATTATAGACATGGGCCACCACGCCCAGCTAATTTTTTGTATTTTTAGTAGAGATGGGGTTTCTCCATGTTGGTCAGGCTGGTCTCAAACTCCCAACCTCGGGTGATCCACCCGTCTCAGCCTCCCAAAGTGCTGGAATTACAGGCATGAGCCAGCAAGCCTGGCCGATTTACTATTTTTAACAAAACTGTGTAATTAAGTTGTAATCTGCAGTGATACAGGTTTACTGAACATCCCCAATTTTTCATTAACTCACTCATCCTGTGTTTTCCCATTTAGATGAGTTGAAATGCACATTGGGAACTATTTGAAAACATTCAATTTTTAAATTCTACTGGACCCTCCCTATAACTCTTCACCTATCTCAAGATTCTGAATTAGAATAAATTCTCCTTTACGTACTTTAGTAACCATATTATTTCGGCCAAGATCTCAGGTTAGCAATTTATAATTATCTTCCCACGTCAAACAGGTCTTCATTGGCTGATAAACCATTCTGCCTCTCCAAAGCTGAGATGTTTGAGTGCATATGTAGTGGATGTCTGCTTTTCAGTCATTCTTAAAGAAGCTGCTGCTGAGCCAGTTGATCTCTGTAAAAGTTGCAATAGCTTGTATCTTTTAGGCTTTCTTTAGTAAGTGGTTAGAATCTTTGGCCATTTGCATGGCATTGCCAGCTTTACCAGTAGAAGGACTCTTGGTATAAATTAAATGTAGGTAAGCCAAATTATTTTAAATGCAATAGCGCTTTCAAATAAATCCTTTAGTTGCTCCTTTGCAAAGTGAAGGATTCTCTTACAAAGCCAATAATTACTTCCTAATGCATGGGTTTTGCAAATCTGGAATTTAATCCATCAGGTTTGCTTAAAGCAGATAGATCTTTATTTGCTCATCTGAGGGTTGGTCTTTTGGCTTAGTGTTAATTTAAAGAATAAAACAATCAAGAAAGAATGCTCTAATTGGACTCTTATTTTGGCAGCATTGCTGATTAATGTGTAAAGAGTAATTTGGTGTCAGTGGAAGGGAATGTAAGGTATGGAGGTGGGCTGAGCAGACTGTGCCTCAAAGCAATATGGCCAAGATTGGAGCATAGCCACAGTTTGCATACCTTTTATTTTCTCTTTAAATTTACCAGGATGTTTGGGAGGTTACACCCTAAGAAAACAAACAAACAAAAATCCAATATTCCACATCGCTGAAACAAGAAGAGCAAACCTGCCACTGCTTCTGTTTCTAAAGTGGTAGCAACAAGAGTAGATGAATCTAGCACGAAGAGATACGTAGGCAGAGCAAGCAAGTATCCAAGTTGGTGTTGTAAATCAAAACCACTTGGATGGAAAAGGACAAAATCAGTAGGAGAAGCATGTTTTGCTGACCTGGAGAATACAAAACTAAAAATAAGACCTTCTTCCTCTTGAGAAAGGCTGAACTGTGTCCTTTAAATTTATCCTTTGTGCTCCTCACTCCCATGGTTCCATCTTATATTGCTGCCATTTGATCCTCCAGGGAGGAAAAGAATCCTGCTTTGTCCCTGCCAGACCTTCAAAGCAAACGTAGCCCTTTGTTTCAGAGCTCTTTTTCCTTCACAAAATGCTGATACAGTTTCTACAAATCGAGGAAATCTGATGGCGGGAGTGGGGGCAGGTTTTGCAGAAAAAGAATTTTCCTTCCTGAAACCAAGACAGGATAAATTTAAAGTCAACTCCCCAGGGATAGGAACTGTGCTAATTTGGTGGCCTAGACCCTATGTGCTTTAAGAATTCCTTTCTGGGACTCTATGCCAAGCCGTGTAAAAATTAGGGGGGAAAATCTATCCCACCTAAATGCTCTGGCCCTCCGGCTATCTAAATTTTTTTCAAGATTTTTAGCTGAATGTTCTTCAAGGTGATGCATTTTCAAAAGGAAACCTCCAATTCTAACTGCTCAGCTCAATCAACCTCTTTGAACTTTCCTTTGGGTTCTCTAAATCCTCAGTGTGCTTTACTGCTTGAAATTGAGCGAGTGGGCATTTCAGGGGATCAATCAAAGATAATAGGAGAGTTCTGAGCTTTTATAGTTTAAAAGAATGCTGTTTTCAGAAATCGTGAACAAGAGCACTATTATGAACATTTAATTATTTCTATGAATACATTACAAACTCCTCCATCACTAGAATGTAATAACTAAAAACTGCTTTATAATGACATTTAAATGGATTTCATTCCATGAAAATGAGACTTTCAAATCAGACAGGCAAACAATGACATTTTCCCCCATTGTTTCCTCAAAACTGTTGCTCCATCAAAACAGAAGAGGAATGTTGTTCCTGACATGTAAGACATAATACAAACATCACTTTCATGATAGTTTCAGGACCCTAGTTTGTAATATTTCAGGTTGCCTCCAGCTACTTCAAAATATTGTGAAATTCCTTCAACAAACAACCCTAAATAAAGTTTAACACACTTCAGTTGAAAAAAATGATACATGGCATGAAGGATTTTTAGAGGTTGAAGCATAAATCACCAATTATATAAATGTATTCGTACTATTGTATATATATTCAAAATATACATTTGTGTCAATTGCCAAGAGCCCAAAGTCCTGGGCTCTAAATGATATTAGATTGAGCTGGAATTCTCAGAAGTAAGAAAGTAAATGAACATTTAAAATACATTCAGCTGTATTTAAGAAATATTTGCGCAAGTTATGGACTTTTTCTTTATTTTATTTTATTTTATTTTTTTTGGAGATGGAGTCTCGTTCTGTTGCCCAGGCTGGAGTGCAGTGGCAAGATCTCGGCTAACTGCAACCTCCGCCTCCCGGGTTGAAGCAATTCTCCTGTCTCAGCCTCCTGAGTAGCTGGAACTACAGGCACATGCTGCCATGCCCGGCTAATTTTTTTTTGTATTTTTAGTGGAGACGGGGTTTCACCATGTTGCCCAGGCTGGTTTCGAACTCCTGAGCTCAGGCAATCCACCCACCTTGGCCTCCCAAAGTGCTAGGATTACAGGCGTGAGCCACTGTACCCGGCTGGCTTTTTCTTTTTCTTCCTGAATATACCTGGACTTTGGGCAATTGCTTTTTATGAGTTTCCCAAGAAGCTGAGTTTAGTAAGAAAGGGGATTTGAAGGTCATATTCAAGTACTTATTCCAACTTGGGTAAAAATGTTAAATGGGGAGAGTTTTTTTTTTTTTTTTAAACCTACGTGTTGTGACATAGCCTTATAATGGAAAAATATGTAGCCATTCAGTATGATATTTACAAAGAATTGTGATGCTGGTAAAGTGTCTATGCTAGTGAAAAAAAAAGTCAAGATTTCAAATTTTATATCTAGTATGAGTTCTAATATCTAAAAGAAATGTAGAAAACAATACTAACAGGGGTGGGGATTGGTGGTAGGGGTTGGAAAGGTTAGGGGTGGGATTTGTTTTTCTGGCTTTATGTCTTTTCACATTTTTCTAATGAGGATGCATTACTTTTGTATTTGTGATTTTTCACCAAGTTTTTTTTTTTAATTCATTTCTATGCCTTCTCTAGACCCAGTAATTTTTAATCCTTTTGTTATTTTTGCAAAGGTTCAAGTTAAAGAAGCCCTCTAGGTGTTGTCATAATAAATAGAGTATCCCAAGAACTATTGTGGTCAAAACCCAGTTGCACAGAAAGCGTGGATCAAATGGCTTACTTAGGCAGGTTTTCATCTAGACACAGCACATGGTACATTGTGTATGTCTGTTAAATGGCTGTCACTGATTATTAAGGGTTACATTTTAATGAGTAAACAAAAGATACTCTTTGTATTCCTCCAGGAAAAACCACATGGCTTAGAGTCTAGTGAACAACAGCTTAAAGGGGAATACAGGTAGAAAACAGAAGACAGTTCCAAAAGGGAGACTTAATTTTTATTTCCATGAAAGCTGAGCATCAGAAGAGACCTATTTTTTGGGTCAGAGACGTTTAACTGGGAGCTCTGTCAGACCTGGGACTAGAATCGAGAGCCCAGCAGAAACACTGCTCTGGTATTCAGGAAGAATAGCTTGGCTTGGAATGGGAAGAAGAGTGGGACTCAAGAATACAGACTTTGCAGGAGTCCAGCAGAAATCAGTTGGTAAAAACAGACCTGACTCGTGAGGCTGGACAGAGTCCTCCACGCCTTGGGATCTGAGTCACTGGAACCAAACTAGACTCTATTTTACTTCCTATAACCACCTGCCTGGACAGATTGCACCCTTGTCAGTTACCATCAGGGGAGAGTTGTTTTCTTCACCACGGTCACAAAGACTGGCCTTCATGTGTGTGCTATCATGGTGATGACTTCCCAGGGAGGAAAGTACAGGGAGGATGAGAAACTTTTTGGCCAATGGGAGCAGGAAGAACTTCAAGCTCTCCAGGAGATAAAAGCAAAGTCACAGGGCTCTGTGCTGCTGAAGCACACTTCTGGATATACCTGCCACAAGCAGCAACGCTAATTAAATTGGCATTCCTTATCACCACTGCAGTAGCTCCTCAGGAATATTTATATTTTGGCATATAAGTCTGTCTCTATAATATCATCATTGTGTTTTCTGTAATCCTTTCTCTTATGTGACCACCTGCAGTGGCTGCTGCAGGGGGGCAATTTGGCTGGTCCTGCCGACTCCATCTTAAATGAACCCAGCATCCAACCTCTTGTCCTCCTCTGCTCCCTCCCACCCACATAGTCTAAGTTTTCATCATTTCTTTTTATAAAAAATTTATTAAATTGGTGCAAAATTGCGGTTTCGGACCGTGAATTTTAAAATCATTATAACTAGGCTTAAACACATATTTATTAATCAAAATAGGAACCATTACAATCAACACATTTTTGCCAATAGGAAATAAGTTTGTTTATATTGTAGCATAAAAAACTGTGCTTTGGGATTCGACAAACTCTTGGAAAGCATTTTCTGCATCTTGCTGGCTGTGGAAACGTTTTCCCTGCAAAAAGTTGTTGAAATGCTTGAAGAAGTAAGTGGTAGTTGGTTGGCGAGAGGTCAGGTGAATATGGCAGATGAGGCAAATCTTCGTAGGCCAATTTGTTCAACTTTGGAAGTGCTGGTTGTGCAATCTACAGTCGGGCATTGCCATGGAGAATAACTGGGCACTTTCTGTTGACCACTGCTGCTGCAGGTGTTGCAGTTTTCAGCGCATCTCACCGATTTGCTGAGCATATTTCTCAGATGTAATAGTTCCACCAGGATTCAGAAAGCCGTAGTGGATCAGACCAGCAGCAGACCACCAAACAGTGACCATACCTTTTTTTGGTGCAAGTTTAGCTTAAAATGCTTTGGTGCTTCTACTTGGTCCAGCCACTGAGCTGGTCATTGCCAGTTGTCATATAAAATCCACATTTTGCCGCACCTCACAATCCAATCGAGAAATGGTTTGTTGTTGTGTAGAATAAGAGAAGATGACATTTCAAAACGATGATTTTTTTATTTTCACTTAGCTCATGAGGCACCCTTTTTCACTCTTCCAATTTCCTTCAAATGCTGACCCTAGAGTGGTCGACGTTGAGTTCTTCGCAACTTCTCATGTAGTTAGGAGAATCAGCTTCGATGATTGCTCTCAGTTGGTCATTGTCAACTTCCAATGGCTGGTCACTACTCTCCTCATCTTCAAGGCTCTCATCTCCTTTGCAAAACTTCTGCATGGTAAGTTCATGAGCAGTTCCTTGGCCAAATATGTTGTCAATGTTGAGAGTTGTCTCTGCTGCTTTAAGACCCATTTTGAATTCGAATAAGAAAATCGCTTGAATTTGCATTTTCTCTAACATCATTTTCATAGTCTAAACAGCAAGTAATAAGTCATTAGCAAAAAAAGCAAGAAATGTACATTAAAATGATGTATAACATAACCACATTTATTTAAGAATGTATTTCAGTACCAAATGGCAAATTTCAACAATGCAAAAACCGCAGTTACGTTTGCACCAACCTCATACAAATGAAGATCAAATATATTTAATGTATACAATGTGATTTGACATGCATTTTCGTTGAGTAATGATGACCATAATAGAATGGATAAACAAATCCATGACCACCCATGCTGCACCTTAAATCTTCAGAACTTGTTCATCTTATAACTGAAAGTTTGTACCCTTTGACCAACACCTCCAGCTCTGCCAGCCTTTGGCAACCATTATTCTACTCTCTGCTTCTGTTAGTTCAAAAGTCATCACCATTTCTCACCTAAATGATGGTAAAAGTCTCCAGATGATCTCCCTGCCTCTCCTCACATCCTTCTATAATCCATTCACCATATAGCAGCCAGAGTGATTGATATAAAATGTAAATCAGATGTTGATACTGCCCTGCTTCAACCCCACACATTCTCCCCATGCATTGCAGCAACACAAACTCTTTGCCAGGTCTACAGGGACCTGCATGAACTGCTTAACTTTGACCTCTCTAATGTCATACCATGCCATTTTCTCCCACACACAGCAAGCTAAAACTACACCAGTCTTCTCCTGTTTCTTGAACCTACCAAGCCTGTTCCCATCTTGGGGTCTTAGCATTTGAGAGTCCCTTTGCTGGAAAAATTCTCTGTGGTTTTAGTTTGATTTTTGTTATAGTATTTTTTTCTTTTTTTAATGCTAGGTTTTCAAATACAATTACCATATATCATTACTTTGCAAAATCATAACATTTTGCTAAGCAAGGTGACCACAGTGTTTTGCAGCCACATTGAGATCTGAAAGCTTGCATAGAAAGGTGGGGACAGGTGTCTGGCCTGGGGAGGAACACAGCTGACTGGCTCCCCAGCAGGCCTCTGGGGTGACATCTCCTAGGAAACCTTACCAAAATCTAGGTTCTGGACCTCAATTCTCCTCCTACTCCTATGTGGCTTTTCTTCTTCCCTTCAGGACTCATCACAAGCATCTCTCTTCAGAGAAACCTTTCTAATCACCCAATCTGAGTTAACCTGTCCCCTCACTCTGTCTTCCTGGGCCATTTTATTCATACCACTTAGCACAATCTCAGGTGGCCTTATCAATTTCAGTTATTTATTTGCTTGTTTTCTTACCTGTTTATTTTTTTGTCTTTCCATATCAGAATGCCAGCTTCATAAGAGCAGGGGATTTGTGTCTTCTGTTTCCTGCTGTGGCCCGGATGTCCAACACTGTAGCTTTCCAAAGACAGTGCTAAGGGTTTGTACTAGCACAGTTAACAGGAAATTTTTATTACCTTTCTGCAATGTACCCAATTTTCCAAAAGACTTCTATGTCCTGAACTGCATTTATGCAGTTTTTACTAACAGATTTTCCCGTGAGATAATCAATGCCGTCATATTCTAGCCCAAATCTAAAACATCTGATATTTGAGTCTCCTGGGCAGCCTTATCAGTCATAAATAAACAATTTCTTTTACCTTTTTAAAAGTATTCGATTCCTCCGTACTCTCTTTTCTTTCCTGTTTTGTTTTGTTTGTTTGTTTGTTCGTTTGAGTCAGGGTTTTGCTTTGTTGCTCAAGCTGGAGTGCAGTGGCATGGTCACGGCTCACTGCAGCCTCAACCTCCCAGGCTCAAGCAATCCTCCCAACCACCTCAGCCTCCTGAGTAGCTGGGACTACAGGCATGCTCCACAACACCTAGCAAATTTTTAAATTTTTGGTGGAGATGGGGTCTCACTCTGTTGCCCGGACTGGCCTGCTCTCTTTCCCATCACCATCTTTTCAGATCCCTGGCATCAAGAACCCCAAGCTGGAAACTGAGTGGGTTAACTTTCAAGGGCTTTGCCACTCTACAATCCTGTGATTCTTTGGGCCACCAGAATATGTCAGCTAATCAAAAACTAAAAACGTCACCCTACATCCAGAAACATGCTTTCCCTCAGTTGTCTATGCAGGTAAAGCGAATTCAAGATCCACAGCTAGTCGGGTTAGTTGAGCTAAAAACAAAGGCTAACGCCAACCAATAAACAAATTTTTAAAAAACTAAAAAGAAAAAAAAAAAAGAGCTAAAAACAAAGGAGCCCATCGCTTTAACTAAAGAGTCCATGGTGAATCATCCCATAAAAGACAATCTGTTCCAAAAATCACAGGTCTCTGTCCTTGATATGAAAGCTTTGTCATATCTTGCAGTCAGCAAATCAAGTTTTTATAAGAATGAAAATAAACACGCTCGTGGTGCTATAAATAAAAGGTGAATAGGGAACAAGCTCAAAGGCATGCCAACGCCACTGAAGCACAGAGGATCATTACGCAGCTGTTCAGAGAATCCCAGCACGCCCCTGACAATGGAGGTGCCGATGATTTGTAATTAAGAATTTTAATTTCATCCTTGACCTCATAAGAATCATCACTAATACAATTTGTTTGTAAACTTGAGCCTTCACACATTCTACTACCACAAGACCTGGAACAAACTAGCACAGGCTTGTGTGAAGAGCATCCACATACTCAAATATAATTGGAGTTTAAATTTGTGAAAAGATGAACACCACCAACAATAACAACAAAACGTTTCCCAGATATCTTCATGACCATTATTTGGCATATTCCAAAGGAATAACCTGATTTAGAGTAAACTATGTTAATTTAATTACCATGCAATGTAAGTCCAGAAGAATCACCAGGTAGAGGGTGAAATCAACTCAGGCTTCCAACAAAATCATCCTTCATTTTCCTCAATAGGCACCTGGAAGAAAATTTGAATTTAAAATCTGACCGGCACATCTTTAATTTTTAGAACACTGTTTTCATTGTTGTTGTTTTGAGACGGGGTTTTACTCTACCACCCAGGCTGGAGTGCAGTGGTGCAATCTTGGCTCACTGAAACCTCTGCCTCCTGGGCTTAAGCGATCCTCTTGCCTCCGCCTCCCAAGTAGATGGGCCTGCAGGTGCATGCCACCACGCCTGGCTAATGTTTGTGTTTTTTGTAGAGACAGGGTTTCGCCACGTATCCGAGGCTAGTCTCGGACTCCTGGACTCAAGCCATCTGCCTGCCTTGGCCTCCCAAAGGGCTAGGATTACAGACATGAGCCACTGTGCCTGGCCCTAAACTCTTAAAAACAGAAAGGGCTTTGGGCCACTTGCTTGCATCCAAACAGGACAGAGCTGGCAAGAAAAAAAAGGATAAAAAGTCAGTAGATCTGTCCAGGCCTCCAAGCATTTTACAGTGTCAGGAGGTGTGTTTAAACTTGCCATTGTTATACACTAATAAATGTTAGCGGTGTGGTTAGTTTTTAAATAAATGGTAAAATTTGATTTCACATTTTTTTTTTTACTACTTTCCAATGCAGAGTTGCCTGTAATCACATTTGTGCAGAAGGGAGGAACACCCTTCCTGGAATAAGACAAACCGAGAGTGGAATTTGACGGATAAACTGTGTCTTTAAAAGAAAGTAAACCCAAAGGCCAGCATTTTATTAAACCAATAATTTACTTCTGGGTCCCTGAAGCTGCTTACCTTTTTTTTATGTTTATGGAAGAAAAGTGAATATGCATGAGCTAAGGAGAGTGAAGCTCCTGTTCTTCTGACGTCTTAACTCTGTGTTAGTGAGTTAGTGCAAATTGCCACATGGTACCTTTTCTGATCATCCCCTCCCCTTCTCTTTAATCCTTAGAGTTAAACAGGCATGAGTATGAATCCCAGTGACCACAAGAAAGTTATTTAGCTTCTGAGTCTCTTTTATTCACCTGTAAAAATGGGCATTTCAACGGGTTGTTGTAGCGATTAGGTGAACTGAAGTATTTATACTTTAATAAATAAATCTGGTGCTTCACAAGTCCTTTTTACTTGTGCCTGACACATGGAAGTCACCTGGGGACTGTCAGTGCCATCCAATTTTCCTTCTGCTTCTGCTCCTTTTTCTTTCTATTCTCCTTTTGTTTTTGTTTTTGTTTGTTTTTGGCTCGTCCTCACCTTCTACATCCTCAACACAGCAGATGTGTGGTAGAGCCCAGGGAGGTTCGTGGGGACTATTCCATGTTCTTTCCCCTTCTGCTGCCTGATGAAAACCCCATGCAGTATGAAAAATTGCAAGGAAAAGAGCTCCACCAATCCATTCATTTCCATGCCCTTGTAATTGGTGCAATTCCCTTTGGACAAGGTAACTAAACAGATCAGGCATAATAAACAAATGCAAGAGTTGAGAGCTATGAGGGTGGGAAAGTTCAACAACACCTGCCCTGGGCTCCCCTAAAGAGAAGCAGAACACCGTATGGACACCCTCTCCTGCCTCTTGCCCAAGGCATGGCCTCTGTGCTTGTTGCTGCTGCTTTTCTATTAGCTCACCCTTTTGCAAACTTTGTCTATGAGTATACTGCTTCTCTCTCTCCCACTTCCCTTCCGTTAATGTTTGATTGTATTCTACATAGCACCCAGACGTTTTTGGATTCAAGTGCCCTGAGCTCCCTAGGATTCAGGGAAACGACAACTTTGATTATCAATAATAGAGATTCCAATTGGTCATGGAAATTGCTGGAGTTAACAATTCAAATCTTCAGACTAGCATTGTGCACAACATGAGCATCACCCAGTACATCTTTGTTCAAATTGCTGCAATGTTTTGAAGTAGTTGCAAAATAAAGTGTTTTAGGGAAATCTCTCATGTTGGATTTTCTATGAGTAGAAAGTAACTTTTTTCTCAACTGAAGCTGGTTTAGGACCTATGCATGTTTTAATTTTCAAACTAAATCAGGGGGTTTATTATTTCAATTCTGTTTAAATATATCAGGACACGCATTCAGTGAAATAAAATTGTGAAATGTGCTCCTGGGGCTTTAAGAAAAATGAGAGGTCCTGAGACTCACGTGGACAATGACAGTGCTGGGCGAGGTGGTTGAAGCAGGGTTGCAGCACAGGTGTGTCGCTTCCTGGAGCTGTTCTGGGATGGATGTGTGGAGAAGCCAGGGAAATGCCTAGACTCTCACACTGAAAATTGCCTCTCTAGCTCTGTGGACCGCTTCATTGACACCACTCTTACCATCCCAGTCGGCTTGCCCAGATTGTACAGAAAGGAGGGCAGTAGGCCATCCCCTGGGAGGATGAGAAGCAGCAAAGGACTTCTGATTAAGCAGACTGAAGAGCCAGTGGGGGAAGGTTGTCAACCCATTGTCAGGTCAGCAGCTGGCTGCTATCAAGTTTGTTGGTGTTAAAAAGTAACAGAACAAATGTTTAAAAAGTGAAATTTATTTATTTGGAATTCAGAAATTCCATGTTGTAGCACATCAGTAATTCAATAAATGTGAATTCTCAAAAAAATTAATAAAACTGCAGTGTCACTGTCTTTTCCATGAAATCCTGGTCTCACTGAAGTACTTCTAGTTCCACTGTAAGGTCACTTGGATATAAGATCAAGGATGGAATTGTGACAATAGAGAAAATAACAGCAGGAGATATACAGACGAACATTTCATGAAAAACCTACCCACAAAGACAAGATGATAAATTCCTCTCCAAATCTCCAGATAACTTTGAAAATGTCAGAACTGGGCATACCCAGGAGCTGGAGGCAGGCTGTGTTTGTAATTCAGAACATAGCAATTCCTGCCTGACTCTATTTTCTTTGCTTACCCAAGACAATCCAAGGAATCTTGTAAAGTAGTGGTATTTCCCCAACAGGCGGATGTTAGGAGAGTCCTAAGAGATAAAAAGCACAGGTCCAGAGCCTTCCTAGTTTCTTCAGCTGAACAATCCAATTCATAGCATTTATTGAGCAACTACTACAAGCTGAACCCTGATGATGTGCAGGTAAGGTTAGAACCTTAGATGTTTATGCATGACACTTCCTTTAAGTGAAGAATACCTGGAAACTTCTGCCCCTAGCACTTCACTTGGTGAGCTGCTTCTTTTCATTCGGGTCTCTGCTAAAGTGCCGTCTTTTCCAAGGCCTTCTCTGACCATCTATCCTTGAGTTGACTACCTTCCTTGTCACTCTTCATTTCATTACCCAATTTTACTTTATTTATAGATCTATGACTACCTAAAATTATCTTGTATATTCGTGTGTTTACTTGTTGGGTTTATTAGCTGTCTCCTTACGAAAACAGAGGCTGCATGAGAGCAGGGCCTCACCTGTCCAGCTCCGTGCTCTCGCCTGGTGCCTGACACAGGTATGTGAATGGATGCCAAAGCAGGACACACTTGCCAAAGTGCTATTAGTCAAGGGCTGCTGCAGGCCACACTGGACTCCAATGTCTTCCCCTTGGTCTTTCAGAGGCTGAAACTGAGATTGGTTGAGGTGTGGGGAAGGTTGTGGACTCCTTCCTGGAGGGCACTGAGTTTCAGAGAATGAGCAGGAGTTAGCCAGGTGGTGGAGCAGGGGAAATATATGCCAGGCAGAGGAAACAGTTCGTGCCCCGGGCGCAGTGGCGCATGCCTGTAGTCCAGCTACTTCGGAGGCTGAGGCCGGAGGATCGCTTGTGCCCAGGAATTCTGGGCTGTAGTGGCTGTGCCGATCGGATGTCCGTACTAAGTTTGGCATTAAGATGGTGACCTCGGCCGGGCGTGGTGGCTCACGCCTGTAATCCCAGCATTTTGAGATGCCGAGGCAGGCGGATCACTTGAGGTCAGGAGCTCCAGACCAGCCTGGCCAATATGGTGAAACCCCGTCTCTACTGAAAATAGAAAAGTTAGCCGGGCATGGTGGCGCATGCCTGTGGTCCCACCTAGAATCGCTTGAACTGGGGAGGTGGAGGTTGCAGTGAGCTGAGATCGTGCCACTGCACTCCAGCCTGGGTGACAGAGCGAGACCCTGTCTCGAAAAAAAAAAAAAAAGAAAAGAAACAAAAAAGATGGTGACCTCCTGGGAGCAGGGAAACACCAAGTTGCCTAAGGAGGGGTGAGCCCGCCCAGGTCAGAAATGGAAACAGCTCATACAAAGGCATGGTTCCCTTGAAAGAAGGTATCACATTCTTAGATTTGCAAAATGTTTGCTGTAACTGAAGCAGGCACTGAAGGGTGAAGAGAGGTAAAAAATTGAGTGGAGGGAAAGAAAAAGAAGGAAATATAGAGAGAGAGACCAAATACTGAGGGAGATAAACTAAGGTATTTGGAATGTGATTAAAAGATTTTTAAGTAAAGAGTCAATAAAACAGTGGTAAAGACCAATCAGGGCTTTTGAGTCAGTCAAACCTGGGTCCAAGTCCCAGTTCCACTACTTATAAGCCATGTGCCCTACTATCTAAACCTCAGTTTCTTCATCTGTAAAATGGGGATAATGATAAAACCCCACCTCACACATTTGTTGTGAAGAGTAATGTATACAAAGTTATTTGGCCCTGCGATGGGCACATAAAAATGTTCAAGTACTTTTAGTTTGGAAGGTTATTATTGGGGATATCATGAAAACTTTCTATTTTAGAAAACACCTTCTGACATAGGTACACAGCAGGCATTGACAGGTGTACAGATTTCATGATGGGAAATCTTTTTAAAAACTTTATTGATTATAGCTGATGCATAATAACCCATTTCTTTTTTTTTTTTGAGACAGAGTCTTGCTCTGTCACCCAAGCTGGAGCACAGTGGTGCGATTTCAGCTCACTACAGTCTTGACCTCCTGGGCTCAAGCAATCCTCCTCCTTTAGCCTCCCCAGTGGCTAGAACTACAGGTGTGCACCACCATACCCAGCTAATTGTTAAATTTTTTTTGAAAAGATGGGGTCTCCATATGCTGCCCAGGCTGGTCTTGAATTCCTGGGTCCAAGTGGTCCTCCTGCGTTGGTCTTCCAAAGTGTTGGGATTACTGGTGTGAGCCACTGTGCCCAGCCAAACTGTACATTTTTAGTAAACTATTTGTAAAACATTTCTAAAAAACATTAGTGACTAAGGTAGAAAGCCAACTTAAAATATATATGTATAATAAAAATGACCTATTATCACCATTTCAGAATAAAGTATTTTATCACCAAAGAGGCAGGAAGAACGTTCTCTCCAAACAAAGGGTGAATGTTTATTTAAATTGAAAAAAGAAATTACTTTTTGAAAAACTCACTGCATTCTTCATCATTTTGCCCCAGATTAATAAAAATTTGATCCTGGATTGGTGTTTGGGAGGCTCTAATATTCAGACTTTATTAGAGGGTGTGAACCTGGATGTAGGGAGGCACCATGGATGGCAATTGGTCCCAGAAAGAACTTGTGAACGAATGAACGAAGTAAGATTTTCCAAATGGGTATGGAAATGTGGGTGATCAACTCAAGAAATATTAAGAAGGTAGAATGTGTACGACTTGGATGTTGGGGATGTGTGACGGGAAAAACTCCAGGATGGACGACGGGAAGAAGCTGGTACCACACAGGAAGGGAGGAGGCTTAGTAAGTAGACATGTGGTGCTTTCATTTGCAATGTGCTGACTTGGGAGCTCCAGCAGGACATCCTAGTGGAGGGGTCTCATGGGAAGTTGGGATTTTTGAGTCTGGAGCAGTTGATGCCTGAGATGCAAAAGTGGACGTCTTCAGCTTCAGGGAGGCAGTGGAGGCCACTGCTGTGGAGGCTGCTCAGAGTGAGAAGAGGGAAGGGAAGGAGGGAGATAGAGGGAAGCGGAGGGAAGAGGGAAGGGGAAAGAGACCAGAATGAACACTGTAGGGAACGTCAACATTTGAGGGTCTGATGTAGTATGGAAATTCGTGAAGGAGATGGAAAGAGAGCAAAGAGAGAGTCACAAAACCTGGAAAGGGTGTTATTGTAGAAAACTATGTTCCATTTTTGAAAAGATAATATCAGTGAGCATTTCCAGAATGCCTTCTATCTATCAGGGACTGTGCTAAGTGCTTTACAAACTATTTCCTCTGGCTCTCCTAACAACCCTATGAAGTAGCTACCATTCTTAACCATTTCTACAGTTGAGATACTCACATTTTACCCAAATGAAGTCAGCAACGCCCACAATGCTAGTGAGTGGTAGAGCTGGAATCCTGTCCCATGCGGTTTGAGTCCAGAGCTCATCCAAGGGCGAGGGAGTGGTCTCTTCTGTCAAGGAATCCGAGTGTTGGTCAACAATGACAAGGCCTGAAATGTATCTGTGGTATTTGACTGTTATAAATCCTAGCTTGAGGGTCTGAGTGAGGTGTGAGGGAAGGCGAAAAAGAAGAATGCCACATGGAAGTGGATAGAGCCACCATATGTGGTCTTGATATATGTGCACCGTATAACTCCAGGGATGCCATTGACATCAATCACAGTATGAGCCACTCCTGGAGTTATGTTGTGTACAGTCTGCATAGCCCTTTGCAGCAGCCCTGCCTGAGGGTTACATGGAGTACCGAGGAGGCGCTCCCACATACTTTGAAGAAGTGTGGTGTTAAGGGAAAGAACAAGAGAGGGTAGGAGTTAGAGCAAGAGCACTGAGAAATGAGAAGGCCCTGTTTTTCAAGATGGGAGAGGCTTGAGCCTATTTCCACTCTGAAGAGAAGAAGCTTGGTTTGCCTGGGGTAGCCCCAACTTACCTGTTGTTGCTAGGAATGATTAATAGTACCATTTCCCCGTGAATATTTCCTGATTTGGACAATATATTATATGGCCCCCATAGGTAGGAGAACCCTGGGAGCAGGAGACAGAAGATGTAAGAGATGGAAGGATTGTTTGTCAGAATAAGATTCTGGAGACAGAGGGAGTGGCTATGGGGCAGGTAGAGGGTTTTAGAAGGGAGGGGGATAGGGCTTCCCTGAAGCAGGAGGGTGATGAGGTCAGAGTAAGTGTGGACAGCAACGGGTAAGGGAATGGATACAAATGTGTGAAATTTTTTACTTGATCCCTTTTCTTTGTGAAGTAAGTGGCCCTAAAGTTACAGTTTGGGGTTCAAATTCCCAGGCCCAATTTGCTTTACTCTGTTAGTCATGAGGCCAACCTTTTCATAAATGTGACTCCATTGGTCTCTATATGAAAAGGTGGCCAATGTAGATAGATCTGTGCTGAGCGTGGACAAATAACTGAAAACACATGCTCTAAGAGAAGTTAGTTCAGTAGTGTTTCCATTACATATGAAGAGCAGTATCCCATTTCATTATGATAATTCTAATACTAGCATATGATGTGCTAGAAAGTGTTCTAAGTTTTAAATTTATATGTTTTGATGTAAGATTCTAAATGTATCCACTTTTCTACTTTTAATTATTCCTTTTAAAAACTTTATTTATTTATTTATTTATTTATTTAAAAACATTTTTTAGAATCAGTCTTGCCCAGGCTGGAGTTCAGTGGCACGATCACAGCTCACTACAACCTCAAACTCCTGGGCTCAAGCGATCCTCCCACCTCAGCCTCCCAAGTAGCTGGGACTACAGTTGTGCACCATGCCCAGCTAATTTTTAAAATTTTTGTAAAGACAGGCTTTCACTATGTTGCCTGGGCTGGTCTCAAGCTCCTGGGCTCAAGAGAACTTCCTGCCTCAGCCTCCCATAATGTTGGGATTACAGGCATGAGCCACTGCAGCCACTGCACCCAGGCCCCTCTTTTTTTAAATACATGAGAAACTTATTCAAGCTTCCATAGCTAGTAAATGGCAGACCAAGGATGTGAATCCAGGGCCCACACTCAACTAATATGTCTAAATCATGTCTGAATCCTCTAAATTAATATTAATTAATTTAATTAATCAAGTTAAATTAATCATGTCTGAATCCTCTAAAAAAGATGAGCCAGTAATCTGATATGAAGGCTCCTGGCATGCTAGACCAGATGCCAAGCAGAACAGGGTCATCATTTCTTTATGTTGTTGCTACCCCCGTAAGAGAGTTAGGCCCCTGGCTCTTCCGTGAAGTCTCTCGTGAGCATGCTGGAGGAGGTGCATGCTAACTAGATTGTTCAGTTTAGGAAACACAGTCATGAAATTCAACCACGTTGCCCAATAAGGCCTGACTCAGGAACTGAATGAGCAATGACAGAGGCCACTCTCTGGCTGCAGCCATTCTCCAACTGTGGTGACCACTCTGTTAATGTGGAAGGCTTCAAGAGCAAATGTGAGGCTTGCAAGAAACCTCTCTTGGATTCTTTATTTTGTCCTATCAAATATTAATATAATATAATACATTTATTGATAAGCCATGCCACTATCTTCTTTGGTGAATATAAAACAACACAATTTGAATGTGTGGAATAAACAATCAATCAAGTAATCAATAAAAACTGGTGTCAAAACCTTATGGCATGACTATGCTAGAGGTTATTGGGGTACAAGAGAAATGGGATTTACAGTTCATGACACAAGATTAATGTTAAGAGTACACTTGCCTACACTGAGGAAAATATAATTCTTATATAGGATTTTTTTAAAAATCAGGGGTCGAGTATGGTGGACTAGCTCAAAAGATTCTGGAGGCTGAGGGAGGAGGATCACTAGAGTCCAGGAGGTAGAGTTCAGCCTGAGCAAAATGGTGAGACCCTCAACTTTAAGAAAAAAAAATTGATAGAGTTTTATTACTTTTGGCTGAAAAATTTTTTTGTTGGCTGGGCATGGTGGCTCACCCCTGTAATTCCAACACTTTGGGAGGCCGAGGCAGGTGGATCACTTGAGGTCAGGAGTTCGAGACCAGCCTGGTCAACATGGCAAGACCCCCATCTCTACTAAGAATACAAAAATTAGCCAAGCGTGGTGGTGCGTGCCTGTAATCCCAGCTACTCGGGAGGCTGAATCAGGAGAATCGCTTGAACCTGGGAGGTGGAGGTTGTGGTGAGCTGAGATCGCACCACTGCACTCCAGCCTTGGTGACAGAGCAAGACTCTGTCTCAAAAAAAAAAAAAAATGTCGTTATTGAATAGCCCTATGATAATGGGTTGATCTCTATGGCAATGAAAACCAGTAATAATGATTATGTCTTATGATATCAATTTGATGATAAATTCTACATTTATTTGACATGATTTAACATAAAATTATATAATAATTCAACATTACATAATGTTGCTAGAATTTGTTTTGTCTTTCTATTTCTTGGAACAACTTAGAGGAAACTCATTCTCATGTACACTTGAAAATTACAAAGAAATTGTGGCTGCTTCTCAAGAAGTTTCTGTTTCCTCATTTGTGAGAAGACAAAAAAGGGTGGAGATGATATCATCATGAAGCATCCTTCCAGCTCCAGCACTGGATGATTCAATGACCTCATAGCGTTGGTAAAGTGAGGTCAGGTCAGGAAGAAAGGCATTAAGGGGCATCAGCAAGATACAAAATTCGAGGATTCTTTTTCTAGTAGCCTGTGCATTCTTAGACTACCCCACTCACATTGTTGTTGGCAAAATAGTAAAAAACACGTTACCATTAAAAAATGTAACTCGTTTTTTCCAAAGGGGAACTTCTCCAACCTTAACATGAAAATCATTCCTCTTGCCATTGGCATATTCTTTTAGTCATGGGAGAGCCATTGAGTTAAGCCTTGGATATCATTTCTGTGGAAACCAGACACAGCTCTAGGTCTGAAGATAACATGAAGAAGGTAATCCTTGACTTTACAGAATCACAGACCTGGGAAGGGATTTTAAGACATCACATGTTCATCTCTGTAATGCACTTAGAAGATTTTTTTTGAGTGCTATTCACTAGGTTAAGCCCTGGGGATACAAAGATGACTAAAACCCAGCTCCAGCCCTTAAGGAGTGTACACATAGTTGGAGACACCAGGCATAAACTGATGGAAAGATGAATGATAGTGAAAGAGACAAATATCATTCTATTGCTGGTATAACTAGCAATTTAAAAAGAGAGAGAGAGAGACAAAGTCAAAGCTGCCAAACGGTAGCAAAACTGGGTGTTGCCTCTTTCTACATTCATGATGGACAGCCCAGGAGTGGTATTATGGCAGTAAATTGTCTGTGAATAAGAATACGATTTCTAAAGTTTAACAGATTGGTATTTGCACTCAAGTGATTCTAAAACCAAGGTTTTACTCCAGGGCCAAGACAATGAGTCTAGTGTCCTCCAGCAACCTCTCAAATGAGTGCTTTTTTAGGGGGAACAGTTGGAGAATGAGTAAGGGCTGCCGGTGTTGGTCCCCACCCCAGAGGGGAGAAACACCTGGGCTGCAATGAGGGCTTCCTGGGCCGAGTTGCACACAAGTCCCAAACCTAACTAACTGTGCCTGCTGCCCTGTTTCTGCTTGCTCAGCATCCACCCTTCAAAAATGTTTGTTTCCTATGCATACAAAAAGGCCTGTAATCCTAGCACTTTGGGAGGCTGAGGTGGGCGGATCACTGGAGGTCGGGAGTTCAAGACCAGCCTGACCAACGTGGAGAAACCCCGTCTCTACTAAAAATACAAAATTAGCTGGGCGTGGTGGCGCTTACCTGTAATCCCAGCTACTCGGGAGGGTGAGGCAGGAGAATCGCTTGAACCTGGGAGGGGGAGGTTGCAGTGAGTCGAGAACACACCATTGCACTCCAGCCTGGGCAACAAGAGTGAAACTCTGTCTCAAAAAAAAAAAAAAAAAATCTGAATCTGATAAAAATCATCAAAATATAAAACGAACAACCACAAAGTACATTTTTTAACCTAAAAAATCAGCATGCATAGGCAGAAATGTTTCCAAATTTTATAAATATGAGGGGTTTCCTATCTGATTGGAATGTGAGTTTGTGTGTGGGTGTGGGAGGGTGTGAAGGGGGGGCTGTGAGGGTGTTGCTGAGGCTGTGTTTGTATAGCAAACACTCATTTTTACTTGGATTGTATCTTTACTTAGAGTATAGCAGAGTTAGTTGACTTTGGAAAATACCAATGTCAGGCCCAGCCCTGGAGAGTCAATGATATTGAGAGGCTAAGACCTCCCTGCAGTCGCCACTGTGCACTGCCACTGCGTCAAGGTTATGCATGTATATTACATACAAGCTGATACAGCTGTAGAGACACATAAGGGCTGGAGGTGGTAGTGGGAAAGCTGGATTCTCAAGTACAGGTAGCATTCTAAGCAGGTAAAACCCTTTTGGAAAGTAATTTCACTATGCAATTCAAGCACTAAGGGAATGCTCAGAGACTTTGTGGCCAGTAATAGCAGTTTCTGAACTCTCACCTAAACAAGTAATTCAAAATGCAGATTTATAAGCACAAATAGTGAACAACTGCAAGCAATCTTATGCCTGCCAAATAGAAAATGATTACATATGTACCAATCAATATGCAATGTAAGAGTGTGTAGCTCTTAAAAATGAAAAAGAGCAATTGAAAGATGACATAGTCATTTGTAAAAATACACATTTTTATTTAAAAGAAAAAACCTTTGCTTTTAATATTTAAAAGAAAAAACCTTTGCTTTTAATATTTAAAAGAAAAACTTACGTATATCATAAATGTGTGATATCATGTACACACACACACACACACACAATCCTGGAAGGAAATATACCAAAACCCAAAAATAGATCCTGTAATTTCCAGAATTGCTATAATACCGATGTTACTCTTTATTTTAAAAACAGAAAGGGAAATACATTTTTACTGGGTTAAATATATATTGTGTAGTAGAATGATGAAAAGTCCTCCTTGTTTTTATAGAATTTTGTTGGCAGGAGGTGGGTAGTGAAAAAAGCTTTGCACTGGGAGTCAACCTGGTAGCCCATGACACTGGTAGGTTTCCTGATCTGCAAAACAAGGAGATGGCATTTGATGATCTCTGAGACCCCTTAAGAGTTTTAAAATTATGTGAGTCCAAGAGGTCATACAACATGACAACTGAGCCAAAACATACAGACAAAAAGTATTGTTGGAGTTCACAGACCTTTTCTTTTTATCCTATTATATAAACAGATCTTATCACGACACTCTCCAGCTTAAAACCTTTTAATGGCTTCCTTTTGCTATGAGAGTAAATCCAAACTGCTCAGCCTAAGTTACAAAGCCTTTGGTGATTTACCTCTAGTTTCTCTCTCCTAACCTTCTCTGACCCCAGTCCTGCCTCGATTCCCAGAAGTAGCCATCTGAGCTTTAGCCACTTCCCTTCTCTGCCTCACTCTGCCCTGAGTCTAGGTCCATGTGTTTTCTTCCTGATTACCCTGCCTGTTCACTTGGCTTTCACCTGGTTAAACTCCACACGCCTCAAGGCTGAGTTTGCTTTATTTCCTCTGTGCTTTCAAAGTGCCTAGTGCATATTCCTGTGGTAGCATTTAGCAACTCACCATATGGCATTTTAATTTTCACCTTACTTGTCTGTGTTTCTTACTGGACTCTGAGCAAAGTGGGAAGCGTCTTGAGACGGAAACTAGGGCTGCATCAGGGAAAGGTCAATCTCTTAGTTATTAGGTTGGTGCATGAATACAATGGCATAGGGAGTGGGAGGAGAGAGCAGTGTGCTATGATTGTTCCTCAGACCACTCACGACTGTGGCCATGGGTCACCTTTATAAATCACATTACCTTCAGGTGAGCACTCTCATAAGAGAAACTAACTGGGAAAAGGTGGGGAGCTGGGCAGAAGGAATCTGGCATATGCAGTGTTTCTCCACTGCACATTAGAATTGCTTTAGAGATTTGGAACATACCAGTGTCAGGCCCCACCCTGAACAGTCTGATTTGGTTGGTCTGGAGGAGGGCTCAGGTATTTGCCTTTTTAAATGACTCCCAGCGATTCTTTTTTTCTTTAATATTTTAATTTGACAAATCATGATGTATACATTCATGGGGTACGCTGTGATGCTTTGATATGTCTATGCAACCCGGAATGATTACATCAAGCTGATGAGCGTTAACTATCACTTCCTTTACATAACCTTCCTCATCATTTTTTGTGGTGAGACATCTGAAACTTACTCAATGATTTTGAGACATACACCTACATTATTGTTGACTATAGTCCTTCTGCTATGCAACAGTTCTCAAAACTTACTCCTCCTGTCTAACTGGAATTTTGTACCCTTTGATTGACAACTCGCCATTCCTCCCCACTCCCACTCCCTCAACTTCTGGTAACCATCATGCTTAAGATATGGAATCAGCCTAAGTGTCTATGAACAGATGAATGGATAAAGAAAATGTGGTATATAAACACAATGGAATACTATTCAACCATAAAAAGGAAGAAATCCTGTCATTTGCAATAGTATGGATGAAACTGGAGGCCATTATGTTAAGTGAAATAAGCCAGGCACAGAAAGATAAATACCGCATGATTTCACTTATATGTGGAATTCCAGTGATTCTTATAGGAAGCAAGTTGAGAATCTCTGTTTAGGAAAGTGTGGGGTTAAAGAGCTGGAGGTATCTGCCATATGTGTATGGGAGTAAAAAGAGGTCACCCAGCCTGTCCTATCTATTCCTTTGCTTTACACGATTGAATTTTATTCTTTATATTGCAAACTGCTTCAGAGGACAATTCTCAAATCTAAACACACATTCATTCTGCTCCAGCAAGAGTAAAGACTAAGGGAGGAAAATCTATTACAAAACCATTCAGTAAATTATCTCTAGTTTCAGAGGAAAGCCCTTGGCCACTTGTGGTAGGGAATCAACATTTCTTTTTTTCTTTTTTTCTGGAGACGGAGTTTTGCTCTTGTTGCCCGGGCTGGAGTCCAGTGGCGTGATCTCGGCTCACTGCAACCTCTGCCTCCCAGGTTCAAGTGATTCTCCCGCCTCAGCCTCCTGAGTAGCTGGGATTACAGGCGTCTGCCACCACTCCCAGCTAATTTTTTTTGTATTTTTAGTAGAGACAGGGTTTCGCTGTGTTGGCCAGGCTGGTCTCAAACTCCTGATCTCAGGTGATCTACCCGCCTTGGCCTCCCAAAGGGCTGGGATTACAGGCATGAGCCGCTGCACGTGGCAGAATCAACATTTCTTGAGACCCCTTCTATGTTAGAGGTTTTCACATAGTTTTCTCATGGGAAGTACAGAATAATTTTACTAAGTCTTTGAAGTGACTCTTACATTGGCTAGAATCAAATAAAAGACTTAAAGCAGAACCTTAGGCATGGGTAGAGTTGTGATTGCCCTCACACTGGGCCCCTGCCCCTGGGCCATGACCAGAACACATAGGGTTCCAGCTGCCCTTTGATAGGAAACTCCACACTGTGTCTGGGGGTCTGGGTACCTGCAGATCAGGCCAGCCTTGAGCAAAACTGAATGGAGATGGCAAAGGCTGTCTCTGCTTCTTATGGCATTTTCCTACTCTCTGATCCTTTGTAAATGACAGAGCATGGCATCATGAGATAATCAACTAAAGAACCACATGATAAAAGTTTACTGGTTTCACAGAAAGTAATTCTTCCATTTAGTTATTTTAACTTCATGAGGTTCCTTGAGAAGATCCTTCAGGAATGATCTTAAGATGGGAGCCATTTTAGACACTTACATGGTAGATGGGGGAGATATATTTGTTAACAAATGTATGAGATATAGTTTACATATTATAAAATCCACTCATTTCTCAATAGCTCTATGGTAGAAACAATTGACGTGTCTATCCATGGATAAATGAATACATAAAATGTGGTATATACATACAATGGAAAATTAATCAGCCATACAAGGGAAGGAAATCCTGACATGTTATAATATGGATAAATCTTGAAGACATTTTTCTAAGTGAAATAAGCTAGCCACAAAAAGACAAATACCATATGATTCTATTCATATGAAGTACTCAGAGTAGTAAAAAAACATAGAAACAGAAAGTAGAATGGTGTTTGGGAGAGACAGAAAGGGGAGTTGGTGCTTAATGAGTTCAGGGAGCAAGATGAAAAGAGTTCTGTGAATGGATGGTGGTGGTGGTTGCACAGTGTGAACGTACTTAATGCCACTGAACTGAAAATGTAAAAAAGACTAAGATGTTAAATTTTATGTTATGTGTATTTTGCTACATTTTAACAAATAAAAAATTACTCATTTAAAGTGTACAATCCAGTGGTTTCCTGTGTATTTACAGAGTTCTACAACCATCGCCAAAATCTAATTTTAGGTTGTCATCATTCCACCTTCCCTGTTCCCCCAAAATCCCTCCTACCCATAAGTAGTCACTTAGGGAAGATATTTTTAACAGGCCATCGGTGTCATGCCCTATTTTTCCAGGACTTGACACTCATAGACTCTTAGAAGGGACCTTAGAGATTTAGTTCAAGCTTCTCAGATGAAGAAATTGAAACTCAGAGAGGCAAAAGGTCACATAACTAATTCGTGGCAGAGCCAGGTCTTTTGACTTCCTATGAAGTTATTTTTCCCATTACAAAAATGCTGTGTCATTCACTTTCTTCCAACTGATGCTGACAATAGATTCCTGGTGTCAAGAAGATGCTACCTTTTCCTGCTTGGGACAGCTGAACTCCTTTCTACAGCCTCCCACCTCACCCGCCTGAGCTGGGAAGCAAAGAGAAAAGAAAGAGTGGAAAAATCTGCAACTGTGTCCAATAATGTTACCTCATGCCTTAACAATGTTAGGGATGAGTTATAATGAGTTTTATTGAGAATAATGTCTCAGCCCCTCTTAGAAGAGTAATTGGAAACACAGCGACTTTTGAAAGACATTGCCTTTTGTAAAGGTGGCAGTGGTAACCTGCAGCAAACAGCAACTCTTGCCTTTCTACTTACAGTGGCACTTAGGCCCGGCAGTGCCATGGCCAGGCAGTGCCATGGCCAGGGAGGTCATTGGATAAAAGTTGGAGTCAAGGGTATGGTGGAGGGACTAACTCTGTGAGTTAGAGCTTTCAAAATGTGCTCCAATATTCCTTCTGAGCTCATTGGTCAATTGAAGTATTTTCACCTGCCCTTATTTCCTGGGGGGCTGGTGTAGGGGTAGGGGGACTCTGTGGTTGCTAAACATTGCAAATGAGCAACCAAGTAACAAAGGCCATGGAAAATCACGTAACTATGGACTTGGAAATATCTAGACAAAGTCCTGAAGCCTAATCACAGTGAGATTTGGGCCTCTCTTCTCTTCTGGCCTTTGGTTTTTCGGAGAATTTGATCTATCTTCCTCAGGGTGATATAGGCCCTTAGGAGTGTTTGGAATTTCTCCACCCAGGCTACTCAAGAGGCAGGTACTCTAAATGTCCTGTGGGTTTCCAACTGATGAGAAACCCAACTGGAGAGATTGCTGTGGGGAATCACGTAGGCTTCTAGACAATGAGCTCCCTGAGGACAGTGACTGGATTCTGCCTCTTTTCAACAGCCCTATAGACAAGGATGTAATAACCCCCATTGCCAACCCAAGACCTTGGCATTTCTGCCACATGATGCTGCTGTTCGCTACAGTGACTCATTTTTAAACTCCTAGTGCCTAGCAGAGTGCCTGGCACATTTGTTTGCTGAATGAGAGAATGAGTAGTGACATTTCATATCAAATGATGCATTATTATTTACAAAGTGATTTATTTCCCATGCATGAACTCATCCTCATAACTACCCCTACTTTACCCCGGAAGGTAGGCAAGACCATTTTACAGATGAGGTCACACAGCTGTAGGTTGGAGAGGTGGCTTTCAGACTCTAAATTCATTGGCATTTATATATAGGCATCATATTGAGACTGCCCTTTCTAAAGTACTCTGTCAAAGGACTAAGAGATATGAATAGGGATTCAGATGTTGACCTCAGATTTAGGAACAAAATGCAGAAATCACAAATGTCCATCTGAATGGTGTCTCAACAATGGCATTATTTTCTCCTATTTGCTAATCACTGCAAGGCATATAGGTTTTCAATTACATTATGAGTTACATAGAATAGAATTTAGGGTCCAGATGGGTAAACTGGTGAATCCCCATGAAGTTTGTAGTAGCTATTTCCTGATACAGATTTGATATAATAACACTGTTGTATGTAATACAGTTTTGGTAATTTCAGTTAAGTAGATTGTAGCTTTATTGCCCTGGGTCTTCAAGGAAACACATGTTCAAATATTCTCACTGCTTAATGAGATCCTTGTTCCTGTTGAACTTATGTGACCTTATTGGAAATCAATGATTGCTTTTGTTCTTCAAAATGTAATGTTGAGGAGACCTAGATGAAATCACTCTACAAAATGCATTGAGATTGCAGGATGTGGAGAATGTGCTGTAATTAAAATGAATGATTCTGCTTGGAGGTACAGCATATTTTAGCTCTGTGTGCATATCGTGCATAAGGGAATTTCTCTATGCAGAATTATTTTCTCCCAACAATTCTCATGATCACAGCACTCCTGGTAGCAGGTATCACTTAACTCCTGGGCAGCAGCTTGTCCAAAGCAAGGGAAAGGGAGCTTTCCTTTCCTCGCAACTGTTGCTATGGGGGGCGTGGCTTCGGAGCTGGGTGAGGAGGCGTTCGGCGGCTCCCTCCCCCCCCCACCCTCGTAGACTACACTTCCCGTGATGCTCGAGGGAATGGTCTCCGTGGTGACGCACTTGGTGTCCGCGGAGGGAGGACGAGGACGGGGGCGGCGGCTGCTGCGAGGGGGGGCCCGTGCTCTCCCCGTTTCCCTTAGTCGCACTCAGGCAGCCGCCGCCGCCGCCGCTGCCGCCATGTTGGTTTGAGAGGCGATGACAGGAGGCGGCCGCGGCGTGTGGGACTGAAAAGTGAAGGAGGAGGAGGAGAAACAAAGCTCTGAGAGGAAACCATTCCCGGGCTGAGGAGAAGGAGGACCCGGCCTCTTCCGGGGACCAGCCGAAGTCGGCGTCGCCCGGAGCTCGCGAGGCCGGGGAGGGGAGGGGAAGGGAAGGCGGAGACCGGGGAGGCGGCGGCGGGGAAGGCGGAGGCAGAAGAGGAGTGGCGAGGAGCCGGAGACGATGCGCCCCGACCCCAGCTGCTGTCCGGAGGCGCCCGCGGCCTGAGCCCAGAGGGGCTGTGGAGTGTCCCGGCCGGCCCCGAGCACCCCCGCGCTGTCGGTCCCCCGCTCCGGTCTTTCGCTTTGGCTTCCAACTAGTTAAATGCCCTTGAGCGCGGGTTTCCGCGGCCCGGCTCTTCGCCCCCGCGGCGCGAGTTGAGCCGTTTCCCCGCGCTGTCCGCGCGGGCGCTCCGACAGCGGCTCTGCAGGGTCCGCGGCCAGCGTCCGGCCACCGCTCGGCCGCCACTCAAGGCTCACGCGTCGATGTGTAGCTACATAGTTATCTGTGTACATCCACGCTGGGGCATTTTTCTCCTGCTTAATGAGGACTTGACTCGGGAGCAAGTGTGAATCATTGCCGGGGCTGGGAAAGGAGGAAGGCGCATTTAACCCCCTCCCACCCCTCTCCATGTCCGTGTGTCACTCGGCTCGGTCCACCTGGCGCGGCCGGTCCTGGGGCTGCTGCTGCTGTTGACGACGACGACGACGACGGGGGCTGCCTCTGCTGTCCCGGGAGTTTCCTCCTGCTCCGGCCACACAGCTCCTGGGGATTGTTCCTCTTCGAACCAGAACCTCGGCCTGACCGGCACTTTGGCTCCAAAATAACTTTATTTTTGGGGGAGAAAGCACATCACGAACCAGTCAAAATCGTGGTTTATTTCTGTAACGTGAAGACTTCTGCTCTTTTTTCTTTGTTTGTTTTTTTCGTAAACATCTGGGTGTATATCAAACGGCAAGATGTCCAGTAATGTCCCGGCGGATATGGTAAGTGACGGATAAGTTATGACACTGATTTAATTGTGGTTTCCAATCTTATTTAATCGGAAAGACGGCAGGCGTGGGGCGAAGATTTGCTGGGGACTGTCGAAAAGCCACTGTGCTGAGCGATTTGGAGAAGTTGGAGCTTCTGGTTTCCCCCTTTTAGGAAGTACTGCTTTTAATATGGGTTCTCTCATTTGGTCGTGTTTTCTAAAGCATTGAAGATAGTGGAGAAGTAGGGAAATGTATCATGGTAGCTTGAGGGGACAAAACATCTCCCTCTTCGCTAGAAGCCTCCGAACACTAGTATTTTAACGTTTCTGAAAACGTCAGGGACAGTGGGCAGAGCTGAGGACGGGTGTCCCTACGAGAGAATAGGTAGGGAAACGGGAATCTTGCTTTATGACACAGACGAGATCGTCATTGCAGTAGGGACGAACTTGATATTTTTCAAGAACAGGGATGCACATCTCTTCAAGAAAAAGTATGTTAGAATTTGCTGTGAGGTTTTTGAAATGTCTGAATACGGATGGCAACAGAAATATAAAGATATTTTGGGATTTTCAGAAACGTAGGCTGACCCTGTATTGGTACTTACAATGAATATTCCAGGGCTTTTTAATGCCAGATATTTATTAATAGTAGATTCCATATTAGACATAAAGCTAAGGAAACATAGTATTGAGCCTCGATCACTGAGTGTTGAGAACTTGAAACAAAAAGTACTGTTGTTTATTGACGCCTTTCTTTGTTTTGTTTATAAAGGGTAAGGTTGTGAGTCGGTTGACTAACAGTAACCGTGTAACCTTACAGTGCTGGGGCTGGGCTTGTGTGAGTGTGAAGTTACATTTTGCAGTCCTAAGGACAAACATAATGCATTTAATTACCAGGAAGAGGAATAATCCTGTTTATGAAAGAATTGAAGTTAACGTAGTTGTGCTCACATATGTTAACATTTGAGTGTTTGTGTATTCAGTGGAAACAAATTGAACTTTGCTGATGATTAAATTTTATTTTATTTTTTAATTTTAATTTAATTTTAATTTAATTTTTATTTTTTGAGACGGAGTTTTGCTCTTGTTGCCCAGGCTGGAGTGCAATGGCGCGATCTCGGCTCACTGCAACCTCTGCCTCCTGGGTTCAAGCGATTCTCCTGCCTCAGCCTCCCAAGTAACTGGGATTACAGGTGCCCACCACCACACCTGGCTAATTTTTTTTTTTTTTTTTTTTTTTTTTTGTGGAGACAGGGTTTCACCATGTTGGCCAGGCTGGTCTCAAACTCCTGACCTCAGATGATCCACCCATCTTGGCCTCCCAAAGTGCTGGGATTACAGGCGTGAGCCACTGCGCCCAGCCTGCTGATGATTAAATTTTAAAACGCCAGATGTTTCTAGAGGAGCAAACCTCATATACAGATTTTATAACAAAAATTAAATGATTCTAAATGGCTTATTTTGACCTTGGTTTAAAGGAATTTTGCTCTTGTTTAATTTCCCATTGAATGCAAAGGAAACACAGTGTTCTGTCTCTGGGGGTGGCCACATAACAGCTTTACAGTCTCCTTCCTGAGTCCTAAAACTCGTGCGTTGTCCTTTTAGTTTTCGCTTCTCTTCTGGTGTGCACACATGAAATAGCCTCCTGCCTGGTTAAGTACGGCTGGACAAGCTTTCCTCCATACTGCTCTTGAAGTTGCCGGGAGCGGTCTCTAGACAGAGCTGGGAAATGCTATTTCCCTTGTTTGATGAGTGATCTGTGGGTTCATCGCCTCGAGCAAAGATTTGCTCTCTCGAAAGCCTCCATTTTATATCATCAAGCACAGTGCAAAATAGGTTAACCTTAAGTACCGTCTATTCTCTCACAGACGTTGGAATGAAATAGATGTGTTATTAAAACAGTGCCGCTACTTCCTTTAGGTCCAGTGAAGAAAAGCTGGAATGTGCGTGGCATCAGTCACAGATTGAGATGATTTGGGAAATACTGTTTCCAAGTCAGAGAGAGGGTTTGGAGGCTGATGTTAGGATCAGAGGACTGGGAAGTAGGAGCAGGGTTTTATTAATATCTGCAATTATAAAATATAACAGTTTATCTGTTTGAGACTGGATGTTAAGGCCTTGATTCTGTGGTGCTTTGAGATCCTTTGATTAAAGGTGATATGCAAGGGCAAAGCAATATTATGTAATAAATATATAATGCCCTGATGATGCTATTTCAGAGTGGGTACTAACGTACAGCACAGGTTTGATTGTTCTGAGTATTTTTTTATGTCTTGTTTTCTACTGTTCAACTGGTTAGAGGTTAAGATTTTCTCTTTGTGAAAGTCTTTTAAACGTTCGTTTATTACTTAACTTTGCATTTTTGCTTAAGAAGTCTATCATTTGCTATGTGCCTAGAATTCTCAACTTTTTGAAATATAACATGACAAATACTGGTTAGAAGTTGTCGATTAAATGCTTCATGATTATTAAACTCTTAATACCATGAATTGACAATTGATTTTAGTTTACATTCATGACAACAATTTACCGCTCCAAACCTTGAAGAGCTCCTCTCACCACTCCCACAGCAAAGCTAATGACATATATCCCTTGCAGCATAACTCTAAATTGATCAGGATATGTACTGTTAAATACATTTTTGCTAGATGCAGTAAAATGTTAAGCTTTCTCCTAGTTGACAGTATGTGCTGTCAACTGTGCTGAAACAAATGTTACACTTTTTTACTTTTTGGTGGTGGTGTCATTTCTATTGAAGTCAATCTTTTATATGTTAATGGTGCTTGTCAGTTGTATAGGAAAATCCTGTTGGGGAGATGGGATGGAGTGGTGAAGTTAACCCCTATCATGTTTCCAATAGAGATAATTTATTCTCGAGCTACAATAATTGCTAAATCAATTGATGTTTTTGGTAAAGTCTTTTTATGGCCGTGATTATGACTCACTTTAAAATAGATTTTTTAGCTTTGGTTTTTGTTTTGTAGGTAGAACTCCCATTTAAAATTTATTTTTGAACATCCAGTAAATTTTTGTGTTTAGCATAAGGAGTCTCATTTTTAATGATCCAAATGTCAATTTTTTGGATGAGGGAGTGGCACCCGTAGTGAATGGATTTGCTGTACCCTTTAAAACATAATTTGTAGTTGGTACTTTTACTACATTCTGCAATATATATGTCCTATAAATATTACAAGTGTATTTACTTGAAATGTTGGTTTTTCTTTGCTAAGAGTGATTGAGTTTGAACTAGATTTAATAACATCTTAGTGTAGTAACTTATTTGTGAAAAAATCTGAAAATATCTCAACAGAATATCATTATAATATATTGTATTTAAATGATGTATTTATTTATTTATGTTGCAGCCAAGATCATAGTTCATGATGCGGCTATATTCATTGTTTATAGTTGCAGTGTGACTTATGTTAACCACTGTAGGTTTTTTGCAAGAAAATATTTACTGCCTGTGTTAGTAATAAGGCCTAAGACTGGGCAAGCAATGGTAATTTTGTTTTCTGGATTGGTAAAGTTATCAAGAAATACATTCTTGTTTTTATAAGAGTATTGTATACAACATTTAGGCTACTATTTAGAGCTTTGGACTAAAATTATACTTTATCTATTACATTGAAAACTTTAAGAGAGAAATTGACAGTGTGAGAATAATGGCAAAGCAATTTTGTGATTCAAAACATTTTAGTTGATAAAACGGTCAAAGAAAAGCCCCGTATCTTTAACAACTGTAATGTAAAAATTGTAGCAGATCAATTTGTAATAGGAGTTGAATCAGATAATGACAATTCAAGTTTTTTCCAGTATATTTTATGTGCTTAATGAATATTTTTATTGTAACTTTTGTTATATCACTTCCATTCATGTAAGAATTATTGGAGCCCTCTTGTGGACAGGAAATTACTAAAATACATTTCCTTTCAAAGTGAACTTTTATCACTTTTCCAAGTTAAAGTAAAATGACATATGTTGAATATACCAGGAGAAAATGCCATGAAAGGAAAAGGTCCAGAAAATAGAAAAGTATACTGAGATTTAATGCCCAGGGACTTTTTCCTCTTTAGTTACAGCTCCTTTTTATTTTTCTTTCTATTCCTGATGATTCTTATTTCAGGTTTAAGTTGGAGGGTTTTATAAAGCCAAAAGGTAGATAAGTACTGTTTACATATATGTGTGACTTGAATAGCTTAATAAATAATATATTAAGAATTGAATGTTTCTCTGAATTTTTACTTGAATGTCTCCTATTTGGTATTTTGAATTAGACATTTTTATTAAGAAAACAGATGACATTGTTTCCCACAGCTTTGAATTCCTTCTTTCTAGCTCTGAATCCTACCCCAGCTTGTGTCTAAAATGGTCTTTAGTTCATTTTAGGCCACAGTGATCTTTCCTTCTTGTAAACCATTTTTCTTTAGTGCTTTTGACATTCCTCTTACACAGGTATCAAATTTCTATGGATATAGTATCACTTTTATTTCACCTCTGATATTTTTTAGACATTCAGAAATTGTTGAGTGACTTTCTTGACTCACAAACTATTACTGTCTTCGTTACTTACAGAAAAAAATAAATATTGTTCCGTAGTAATAGTGGTGTTAAATATGAAGTCTATAATGTCTGCTTCTGTTATCACTTGGAATATGAAAAATATATATTTATAGTATTAAAACTTGAAGTTATTTTAAATTAGTGGATAAAATACTGATGGTGCTAATAGTTTTCACAATATAGAACATTAAATATGTTTTAGGAGACTGAAGCATATACTTAGTAAATGTGCTCTTTGATTTTCTAAGTCATCTTATTCTGGGAGGGAAAAATGAAGAGTGACTGTAGAATTCATGGTAACCTGGAAACCTTGGGTAATAAGTCATTCCGAACCAGTAAATTTTCTGAATACTTGGAGGTTGAGTGTTAAGATAGCCCAATCTAACAATGTTGGATTACCATTGCATTTGCTTAAATGAAATATACTATGCATAATTTAACTTATTTTTGATGACTTAGAGCTATGATTTGAATAATATTGCTTGCATTCAATCAGTGTTTATTGGGTACCTGTCTGTGTAATATGGTAGTAGTATTAACAGGCATAAGCTACAACTATAATACCCTCGGCACCTAATATAGATTGTGAAGCTTTATGCCCCTTCACTAGATCAGTAATTTACAAAATGAGGTGAAGCAAGTCAATTTTGAGAAGTAAATATGAGAACTTCTGTTTGTTTATTTTGTCCCCCAAAAGGGAAAAGAATTGAGCTTTTCTATTCATACTATGTGAATTGGCTGTGAGGTTCTCCTAGGTCCACCTGCATTCAGGTGGTCACTGAGAGTGTGGTTTGCTGAGGGAAGATGTGTGAATTCTAGAATGTAGATGCCAGCAACAGCACCATGAGTTTCTCAGAGTTTTTCCAGTTTTTCTGTTATATAGTCCCTTTAAAAATACTTTTTAAAAGAAGAATCTATGATACTTCTTATTGAGATGGGGAACAGAGGTTTGCTGTCAAAGCATTTAAGAGTTGTAGAACTCAAAGATTAATCACACATTTTTATTACAAAAGATGAGTATTCTATATGCTGTTCTTATCCGTGATGACAAGAGGCTACCAAAAATAAAAATCTAGCGGATGTGTTTGGGAAAAAATCCCCAAGTTGTCACTTCAAGGCAAAATCGACATTTTAAACAGTAAGTGAGAAAGTACCTGCTTTTCAAAAGAAACATGTTATGGAGAACATTTTGAAAGCATGTTGAAGTATTTACAGTCTGTTGAAAATCTTCCTTACAATGAATTTTAATTGACTTTGGACCATTTATTGGAAAGCCAAACATTTTAATTTGTAAACATTCTTATTGCAGTCAGGAAAAAGAAAATTTTAATAACATTGACATCAGGTAGCTGACTTTGAATAAAAATGTTTGCGTATTTGGTGATAGAATGAAAAAGTAATATGATTTAGTAAGTTAGTAAGTGACATGTTCTTCTATATAGATCTCATCTTTGTAAGATAAGTTTTTCAGGTATGACTTATGACAGCTCTTAAAACCAAGTGCAAAATACATTGAACTTCACAAAAGAAGAAACTAAGATTTAAAAAAATGGAGATATATTTAATAATAATGCTCACCTAATATGTTAATAGTAATAGCATTTTTAGTGATTGAAAGATTAAAACAAGTTAATATTTAAAATAGTTGATAGTTAAAATAGTAAAGTAAAAACAAAATTTTAATCTTTTAATTTCTGTTTTTAGTATATGTTTTATACTATGTGTATGTTTATAAATGAAAACACATATACTATAGGTATGTGCCTCAAGTATTTTATATTTGGGATCTTCAGTCAAAAAAATGTAGGAGCCACTGCACTAGATGACTAAAGATTTCTGAGCATTTTAACTTCTTGTGTTTGATAGTTAGAAGTTTTCTGTCTCCTGCCTTGTTGAGCAGCTGTTTTTTCCTGTGATCAGTGTGCCTACTTATTCCTAACCATTTACAGTTGCTGGTTTTAATTTGCTATGGGTGTGGAAACCATATTTCCAAAGTTTATTAAAAATAATATGTGTTTAAAATGAGCAAATGGTGTCTGAGTAGGATTTTAGGAGTTACCTCACAGTAAAGTGAGTATCTTTTGTTTCATGGACTTGATCATATCTGTTTTGGTTGCTTAGAATTCTCTTTTTAGGAGGGCTAATTTTCTGGCTGTTAGTTATGTTTTGCAGAGATGCAGTTTCTTGATAGTGAAGAACTGCTTAGGTGATAAAAAAATTACACATAACTTTACTTTGAGCTCGTAGAGGAGAGAGAACTAATATTTGTTGTGTACTTTCTAGTACCAGGCAGATGCTTGGCATTTTACATTATAGCATTTAATTTAATCCTTACAGTCACCCTGGATAAATATGGTTGGTATATAGATAAAGAAACTCTTAATACCCACCAGGTGAAGACCACCAGGAATGCATCTGTGGTGAAACAAGTTAGGTTGACTGTTTTGCAGCTAGGAAGAGCGTATGCCAGATCCTGCCAAGTGTCAGTAAAAGAGAATGGGAGGGCTGGGCACGGTGGCTCACACCTGTAATCCCAACATTTTGGGAGGCCGAGGTGGGTGGATCACTTGAGGTCAGGAGTTCGAGACCACCCTGACCAACATGGTGAAACCCCCATCTCTACTAAAAATACAAAAATTAGCTGGGCATTGTGGCAGGCGTCTGTAATCGCAGCTACTCCGGAGGCTGAGGCAGGAGAATCACTTGAACCCAGGAGGTGGAGGTTGCAGTGAGCAGAGGTTGCAGTGAGCTGAGATTGCGCCACTGCACTCCAGCCTGGGCGACAGAGTAAGACTCTGTCTCTAAAAAAAAAAAAAAAAAAAAAAAAGAAAGAGAATGGGAGGAGTTTTCAGTAGGGTTTGGGCTGTGCTGGAAGCAGGGACTCCTGGACTGAATGCTATCGTACATCAACTGGAGGTGGGTTAGTAATTGGGTCTTTCAGCAGTCTTTGTTTAGGAGACAGGATAAATGAAGGGGATTTGGAAAGTCATTGGTGAGAAAACATAATCACTTACAGAATGGGAGATTGTTGGTCATTTTGGAGCTGCAGTGTGGCCATAGGAAAAACTTTTTACCTGTTGGTCTTCTATCTTTCAGATATCACAGTCTGATTATCAACCGAGCTCATTTTTACTTTCTCACAGCCTAGGTTCAGAGAGGGTAAGGAACTTGTTTGAGATCACATAGCGAGGAAGAAGTTGAGCTAGAATAGGAGTTTGGGTCTGGTGGCAATAGTGATAAACATCTACACCCCTCCCCACAACGGTAACTGAGCAAACATTACTGAATCCCTCAGGCACATTATCCTAAGAATGCCTTAGATTCCTTCCCAATACCTTGCTCCAGGGAGTCCCTACTGATTGGTCTGAGCTAGCATGGTAGAAATGAAACCTACTTCATATATCTTTGTAATAAACTATGTAACATCTGGATTGGAATGATTTTAATTAAGGTTGGTTGTCTTACTAATTGGTAAAATTAAAGGGAGTTTCCTTTAAACTTGTTGGAACTTTGAGTCTTCTTATGTATATATTTGTTACACAGTGGATTTTTCTTAAAAAGTACTACTTTGAATGCTTTATATATATATGTAACAAATAGATTGACTTGTAAAGGATTTAGTGATTTCGGGGCATTTTGTTTTTGTCTCCATACTTTTAACTGCATATATATATGTAGAGAGAGAGAGAGAGAGAGAGAGATTCTCTATTGGTTGGTCAAATCTAGTAGCATTTTTGGTCTTAAGTAAATATATATTTGGGTAATTTTCTGACTAGATTTTGAGAAGAAAATGTTCTTTCTGCTGAAGAAAATTGTTGAAGTTTGACATTAACATTTTTGTTTATGTACTTAAGATGGCAATTTATTGTGTCTAGACAAAATGTTCTTATGATATATGTTTTTCTTTACTTTCATATAAAATTAGTGTTTTTCTTTGCCTTAGAAATAGTCTTGCTTTTGTATCCTGCTATTCTCATTGTCATGTTAAATCAAGTTTAGCCTAAAGCTGCCTCCTTACATATTTAAAGCTCAGCCTATATTATGAACATCTATCTATGCAAATAAGTATAGAACCGTATTATAATTTTGAACCGATTATGATAGATGTATATAAATTATTTAGCGAATTCCATATTCATGAGCATTTAGAAGCTATTACAAACAATGACATAATGGATATTCTTAAACATATCTCTGTGCCTTGTCTGATTATTCCCTTAGGACAAAACTCTTAGTAATGTAGTTGCTCTGTCAAAAAATATGTGTTAATTTTGGGATGGGTGGGAAAGAGAAGGATATATATTTCCTAATTTTAAAACATCCTTGAATTTCTGGATAAACCTAGCTTTTAATTTTACATTACTCAAATGGTATATGCTAGATAATACTTCATTGAGTTTTTTTTTGTTCATGAAAACAATTGGCTAGCAATTTTAATTTCTTGTAAAGTATTTGACAGATTTAGGTATCAAGGTTATGCTGACCTCATAAGATGAGTTGGGAAATGCTTTTTAATACTCTGGAAGAATTTGTGAAGATTGATTTTATTCCATCCACAAATGTTTGAAAGAATTCACTGGTGAAGCCCTCTGGAGTTTTCTTGTGAAGATTATTGATTGTATTTCGTCAGTACATAAAAAGCTATTCATATTTTCTATTTCTTTGTCAATTTTGACAAGTTTTGCTTTTCAAGAGATTTGTCCATTTTGTCTGAATTTTCCAGTTCAGCTTAAGGTTTTTGTGTGTGTGTGTGTATCCTTTTATAATTGTTTTGGTATTTGTAGTATCTATGATCTCTCCTTTTCAAAATCTGCTTATTGTAATTTGGGTCTCTTTGTACGCAGTCTTTTCAGAGTCCATTTTCAGATAAATGTTGTTTTTAACTTTTTACTGATTTCTGCCTTTACCTTTATTTCTTCTATTTAAAAAAATGATAATTTTCTGTACTTTTAAAAGTTTTTTGAGATGAGTACTTAAGTCATTAATTGTCAGCTTATTTATTTTTTAAAATCTTCTTTTTTTTTTTTTTTCCCCCGAGACGGAGTCTCACTCTGTCGCCCAGGCTAGAATGCAGTGGCTCCATCTCTGCTCACTGCAAGCTCCGCCTCCCGGGTTCACGCCATTCTCCTGCCTCAGCCTCCCGAGTAACTGGGACTACAGGCACCCGCCACCACGCCCAGCTAATTTTTTGTATTTTTAGTAGAGACGGGGTCTCACCGTGTTAGCCAGGGTGGTCTCAATCTCCTGACCTCGTGATCCTCCCGCCTCAGCCTCCCAAAGTGCTGGGATTACAGGCGTGAGCCACTGCGCCCGGCCTATTTTTTAAAATCTTTTTAAGAGATGGGGGTCTCACTGTGTTGGCCAAGCTGGTTTCTGAACTCCTGCGTTCAACTGCTCCTTCCTCCTTAGCCTCCCAAGTAGCTGAGAATACAGATGTGCAGACCACTGTGCCTGGCTCCTTTGTGGGGTTTTTTTGGAATATTTTTGGAATTTAAAAAATGTATATGAAATTCCCTCTAAATGCAACTTAGATGGATCTTACAAGTTTGTTGTATATTATTTTTATTATCATTCAATAAAGCATATTTTAAAACTTCCCTTGTGCTCTCAGCATTTGGGGATTTTCTAGCTATATTTTTGTTATTGATTTCTAGTTTGGTGTCTGTTGTGGTCTGGAATCATTCTATGATTTCACTTGTGGGTAATTTGTTGACACTTGCTTTATGGTCAGTTTTAGAAAATTGACAGTGTGCCATATATAGCAATTAAATTTATTAATCATGTTCAATCTATTGTATCACACTTGACTTTTTTTGTCTTTTTTAAATCACTCAATTGAGAAACTTGTGTTAACATTGCCAAATATGTGAGGATTTGTCTGTATGTTTTTAGTTCTCTCAAATTGTGCCTCATATTTGGAGGCTAAGTTATTAGCTACAAATAAATTTATGATTGTTCTGTCTTCCTGTCTAGTAACATTTTTTGCTTTAAAGTTTTTTTCCAGAGGGGATGTTAATATAGCATTCTTTTTTTTTCTATCCATTTCCTTTAAATCTCTCTTCGTCCTTATACGTAAGATGAATCTCTTTAAGCATCATATAGTTGGGTTTTTGCTTTTTTACTAAGTTTGATAATCTCTGGTTTACCTTTAATGTAATTACTGTACCACATTATTTGGGTTTGAATTTACAGTTTTGCAATTTGTATTTTACTTCCATCATTAAGTCCTTTATAACTTTCCCTTCCATTTTGTTTTCTTTTGGATTAATCAAACAGTTTCCCATATACCTTTCTCTCAGCTTCTCTGTTATAAATTCTTTTACTATCTTTACTGGTTAGCATAGAGATTACAATGTTCATCTTTAACTTTTTTGTCTGTCATAAATTTTTGCCTTTGCCACTTCAGGGTAATGGAATGGCCTTTTAATTTAATTCCATTTACCCCTCTTCCAGTCTTTGCTTTGTTTTCAACCCCAAAGATGTCATTATTATTATTGTTAAAGTAATTATAACAGTGGTAATAAGAGTAATGTTGTTGTTAAAATAATCATTGCTCATTTCACTTTGTCCTCAAATTTACCTTTCTGGAGGTCTTCATTTCTTTCTTTTTGATTGTATGTGCATCTGGGTAATTATCGTTTTATCCAAGGAACTTTTAGTGCAGGTCTTCTGGTAATGAATTCCCTGTTTTGGTTTGCCTGAAAATGTGTTCATTTTACCTTCACTTTTAAAGGGTCCCTACTTTATGCACCTTCAAGATGTTATTTTATCATCACCTGGCTGCCACTGTTTATGTTAACTCAGGCTTTTGATTTTATTGTTACTCCTTTGAAGTTAATGTGTTTTCCTTTGGCTGTTTTAAAGATTATATCTTGTCTTTGGTTTTCACCAATTTTACTATTGATGTGCTCTTGTGTAGCTTTTTTTTTTGTAATCTACATAAAGCTTGTAGAGTATCTTGAGGTCCTGAGTCAATCTTTGGCTTACTATCTTTTGTCATTTGGGAATTAGCTAAAATTATTATTATTATTATTATTATTATTATTGAGACAGAGTCTTGCTGGTGTGCAGTGGTGCAATTTCAGTTCCCTGCAACCTCCGCCTCCTGGGTTCAAGTGATTCTAGTGCCTCAGCCTCCCTAGTAGCTGGGATTACAGGCGCATATCACCACGCCCGGCTAATTTTTGTATTTTTCATAGAGACGTGGTTTTGCCGTATTGGCCAGGCTGTTCTCAAACTCCTGGCCTCAAGTGATCCGCCTGCCTCAGCCTCCCAAAATGTTGGGATTACAAGCATGATTACAAAGTGTTGGGATTACAGGCATGATTACAGGCATGATTACAAAGTGTTGGGATTATAGGCACCTGGCCCGGGAATTAGCTAATATTCTTTAAGTATTATTTCTATTCAATTGTCTTCTTTCCTTATGGGACTACAATTACGTGTATGTTAGGTCATGTCACTGTTTCCATTCTTTTTTCCCCTTCTCGTAAGCCTAGAGATTTTCTAGCAACCTATCTTCATGTTCACTTGTATTTTCACTGTCCAGTATCCAGTTATTTCTAATTATTGAGTTTTTAATTTTAGTTTTTGTATTTTTTATCCTAAAATTTACATAGATTCAAATTCTTATGTTTTCATCTGTTTTCTTGAGTATATTAACTACTGTTGCAAAATTCCTGTCTGATGACCGTCATACCTAGATTGTCTGTGAGCCTGTTTCTGTTGTTTTGTTTTTGATTATTTGATCCTTTTTCCTTGGGTGCCTGGCAATGTTTTATTAACATTGTGATGAAAAATTATAGAGAATCTGAATTATGGTTATGTTTCTCCGTATAGGATTTAATATCCTCTGGTGAGTAGTTAGAAAAACATTGATTACTTTGATTCGTAAGTGACTGATAAGACATGAGCCTGAATTCAGGGCAGTCAGGAAATTCTGATAGCCTCACTATTGGTGGACTACTGGTGTATAGCCCTTAGCTAAGGTCTCAGTTGAAAGTTTGCCATGTTTACCAAGATACCTCTTCCTTGGCAAGTCCTGAATTTCAGGTATCATGAGGCTGATGAAAGCTATTTTTAAAACCTCTTTTCAACATCTTTTTGTTGGGATTTTCTGAATTTCAGTCCATGCTGTTTACAATTCAGCACATTCCTGGAGAGGAAAAGTTGAACAGAATATTGGGCCCCTTTCTTTGAGGTTCCTTTTTATTTTCCTGAGATCCTCAATTCCTGGCCCTTTGGTGGTACAACATCCACTTTTTGTGTCTTCCCAGCCCAGTGAGATTCATACAAGTTCTGGGATGCTGCTTTCTGCTTGGCCTTTTGCTCTGTACTGGTAATTGGCAAATACCTCAAGGGGGAATTGAAGGGAGATCTTCAAAGTGTTTCCCTTCTCTAAGGGATCTTGGCTCCTCAAGTCCTGACCCTTGGTTGTTCTCCGGAAACCTTCAAATAGCTGGGGATTTAGGGGCATTTTATATCACTTTTATAGTTGTTTTCCATGGGAAATTTGGTCTGATATTGCTGTTCTCTCATAGGTAGCCTAATTGCCTTTTCTTTTCGTACCCTGGTTTTATTTTATTTATTTATTTATTTATTTGTTTATTTATTTATTTTTGCTGTTTTGTGCTGTAGAATTGGCAGTCCTCTCTCTCTTTTATCCTTCTAGTTGCTAAGAACTGCTAAAACTAATTACTATGTTACTTACCATGGCACCATCAGCCAAGCAGTTGCTTAAGTCAGACGTCTCTTGGAGCCATCCTTGATTCCTCTCTTTTCCTCATTCTTTATATTCAGTCACTTTCAAAGTATATCTAGAATCCATCTACTTCTCTTCATCATGCTACCAACCTAGTTCAAGTACCCTCTCTCTCCTGGACTATTGTATTAATCTTGGAACTAATCCTTCTACTTTGATTCACATTCCCTGTAGTACCTTTTCCAAAAATACCTTGAGTGTTTTCCATTGAAGAATAAATTTCCATAGAATAAAATTACAAATCCTTTCCTTGGGCCTTCAGGGTCCTGCATGATCTAGCTCCTGTCTAACATGACTATGTCATCTCATTTGATTTGCTATGCTTTAATTGTATTGGCTCCCTTTCAGTTCCTCAAACATGCTACAAGCCCTATCCCACAGCAAGGCTGAGTCTTTGCCTTGGATATTCATCAATATACTTTTTTTTTTTTTTTTTTTTTTTTTTTTGAGACAGCGTCTAGCTCTGTTGCCAGGCTGGAGTGCAGTGGCGCGATCTCAACTCACTGCAACCTCCGCCTCCCAGGTTCGAGTGATTCTCCTGCCTCAGCCTCCCGAGTAGATGGGACTACAGGCACGCACCACCGCACCCAGCTAATTATTGTGTTTTTAGTAGAGATGGGGATTCACCATGTTGGCCAGGATGGTCTTGATTTCTTGACCTCATGATCCAGCTGCCTGGGCCTCCCAAAGTGGGAGCCACCCACTGGGAGTTACTAGGATTACAGGCGTGAGCCACTGCACCTGGCCTGGATATTTATCAGCATACTTCTATACCCTCTCTGCATCACAGAGTCTTTGCTTAGGATGCTCATCAGTATACTTCTATACCCTCTCTGCATCTGCATGGGTAGTTTTTCTTTCTTCAGAGAAGCTTTTCCTGACATCTAAAGTTGAGAGCCTTTACTCCCTTGGTTTCTGTTGCAAGACCATATTGATTTCTTCTGGAGCATGTATCACACTTTGTAATTCAGTTATTTGTCCTCCCCAGTAGGCCATAGATTCCAGGAGGGTGGAGATATATATATATATATATATATATATATATATATATATATATATATATATATATATATATTTATATATATATATATATTTATATATATATATATATTTATATTTATATATTTTATTTGCTGCCATGACCAGTACTTAGTATAGTGCCTTTTGTATAGTAGATTTTTCATAAATGTTTGTGGATTAAAGGAGTAAGATGATCGCTTACAGACACTGTGCCAAGCTTATTACTTGAAACAAATTTAATCCATCGGAAAACTCTCAAAACAATCCTGTCAGGTAGGTAGGTGCTACTATTAACTTCATTTCATTGATAGAGAAAGTGAAGCTTAGTAATGTTTGATTATTTTCCTGAAGCCAGCTAGCTAAGTAGCCTTTTTTGTGTTCTTGGAGTTTTTACTTTTCTAACTTTTTGACCATTCTTCACTTTGTCATATCCTCTTTACTATATTTTAAAGCCAGTGGTTACAGTTATACTAATACTCTGATATTTCAACCTCAGCTTCTTGCCTTTGCTTAACATTTAATTTTTAACATTTTAAATTAGCATGTAATTTAATAATTTAAATGTGAATTTTAACATTTTTTTATCATTAAGCCAAAATGTCAGAAAATAAATTTGAAATTTGAATGGAAGTTTTGAGAAAGCATTAACTGAAGTTTGGTGTCTTTAATAGGACTTAAGTACTTTAAGTGGTGGATTTGCTATGTGGCTATCAATTATTGTGAGTGATTTTTCCAGCTATAAAATCTTTCTCATTATTTTGTGACTGTAAAGAGAAAGACTGTATTATAATTATATATATTTGAATATATTATGTCATATATGAAGAAAACATTTTTGAGCCTTTTATATTTAAAGAACTATTTAGTTATCCATATTTTTTCATTTGAGCATCCAAAAAGATCAACAGATTTTTCATGTTAGGTATCATTTTTATGATTACATACTAGTCTACATGTATTCATTCTGTTCTTCTTACTCCTTTTTTTTTTTTTTTCTTGAGACAGAGTCTTGCTCTGTCACCCAGGCTGGAGTGCACTGTGGCGCGATCTCAGCTCACTGGAAGCTCCTGGGTTCAAGTGATTCTCCTGCCTCAGCCTCCTGAGTAGCTGGGATTACAGGCACGCGCCACCTGTGCCTGGCTAATTTTTGTAGTCTTAGTACAGACGGGGTTTCACCATGTTGGCCAGGCTGGTCTCGAACTCTTGACCTCGTGATCTGCCCGCTGCGGCCTCCCAAAGTGCTGAGATTACAGGCGTGAGCCACTGCGTTATTTATTCAGACAGTCAATAAGTACTTGTTGAGTACCTCCTATGTGTCAGATGCTTTTTTAGGTGCTGGTGTATAGTGGTGAATGAAGCAAACAAATCCTTCTCCTAATAGAGTTTACATTTAAATAGTAAAGATACAGACATTGAACAAAATAAGTGAAATATATTGTATATTAGATGGTGGTAAGTATTACAGAGAAAAATAAAGCAGTAAAGGGGGTTGGGAGTGCTGAGTATGTCTGTGTTCAGTTTTAAATAGTGGGATCAGGGAAGGGCTCACAGAGATGTTGACATTTATGCAGGAGTCTAAAGGAGGTGGGGAGCAAGCCATGCAGCTATCTTAGGGAATTATATTGTAGGCAGAGGGAATATTGCCTCATTGGAGTCTTTGTTCTTTTTAAATCTCACAGTGTGTCTTCTGCCATGTTCTCAAATTTTTATGTTTCTTGTGGTATTTGTTTTCTGTCCTGTGTGATCTAAGTGGTCTCATTATTTTCCTCACTAATTTGGGCAGCAAACATTTTTGGGTGCCAGTGTCCTAGATAGATCCCATCAATAAAGCCAATCATTTTTCTCTAATATGTTTCAAATCAATTTCCTCTTTTATCTCCACTACTTTTTAACCCGATCTCCATCCAGACGTCTTTTTATTTTAGTCATCCACTGCGGTCCGCCTTCCACCGTTTTCCCAGATTTGTCTATGGAAAATACAGATCTCAGTGTCTGACTGTACTACCTACTAATGGCTGGCTATCACTCACATGCTAATCCAGGCCAACCTTCTTACCATGACAGCATTAATGCTCTTGTCTTGGCAGTTGGGCCGCATTCCAGCCTCATCTCCTGTTGGCCCCTTGTATGTACCCTGTGTTTGAGTTGTAATGAACCCCTGCTTGTCCATAATCTTTCTTTTAACTCCTGTGCTTCTCTCTCATCCTTTGCAGAGCCTTCACTTTCTGCTTAAAGTGGACCTTGACTTCTCTTTATCTTGCTCCATTTGCACCTGAAACTTGTCCTCAACTGCAGTGCTAATTCCTTGGTAATGTTTTATAACTTTGTCAGGCAGCTAGACACTGTAAGTATAGAACATGCTGGGAAATCCAAATTAAAAATGACAGTTGGCACAAAGCTGACTTCTGGGAGGGACCAAGGAAAAGTAGCCAGAGTGGCAGGATAGCTGCTTCCATCACGGATTGCCAGCAATGTAAAGCGTAGACTCCAGAGGAACAGTGCTAACTTAAATTAACTATGCAGGCATCAGTACTTCTGGTTCTGATGGCCCGGGGATTTCTAAGTAGTAGTGAGTCTCAGCATTATTTGTTATACAGTCTACTGCTAGATGAACAAGGCTAAGTCTACAGAGAAGGTAAATTATAGAAATTAGGCCCCGTCTCTACTAAAAATACAAAAAATTAGCCGGGCGCGGTGGTGGGGTCCTGTAGTCCCAGCTACTCGGGAGGCTGACGCAGGAGAATGGCGTGAACCCGGGAGGCGGAGCTTGCAGTGAGCCGAGATAGCGCCACTGCAGTCTGGCCTGGGCGAAAGAGCGAGACTCCGTCTTAAAAAAAAAAAAAAAAAGAAATTAGGTAAAAGGATTGGAATCTTAGCTAATTGGTCTGAAATTCAGAGCTAGGCCACAGAATTAGTTGCTCTTTCATAAATTTCATTACCTGTACTCTAGCAATTGTAAGTGTTTTTATGTGTTTCTCCCACTAAACAGACTATGTACTTACTCTGAGGGCAGAGAGGCCTCATCTTTCTAAACTGCTGTGTCTAGCACAGTGCCTACTAAATAAGGAAAACTCAATGAATGTTGAATTAGCACTGCAGGTGTCTGATAGAACTTAGCACAATCATGGAAATGTTCTTTATTGTGTCGTCTAGTAAGGTAGCCACGTGCTGGGCTACTTGTGTCTATTGGGCACTTTCTTCATGGCTAGTGTTTGAGGAAGCGAATTTTTACTTATGTTTAATTTTAATGAAAATATCTATGTGTATCTAGTGGCTACTATTATTGGACAGTGCACTTGTATGGTTTATATAATACTTTCAGTGGACTAAAAAGATCTTTGACTTTTTTTGTTTTTTTGTTTGTTTGTTTTTGACTTGTATTCCAAGTGGTCCCAGACTGCTAAGCTTTTTGTTTTACTTTTTGTGATTTTTTAGTTTTTTTCTTCTCTTAATGTCAGCGTTCTTTTTTTTTCTATCATTAAGTAAGCTGTCATCAGCCTTTCTTTTAACTTTTCTGATTTTAGTCAACTATCATATAGAAAGACATATAATCAAGCTTGTAGAATTATCTTTTTTTTTTTTTTTTTCTTTTGAGACGGAGTTTTGCTCTTGTTGCCCAGGCTGGAGTACAATGACGCGATCTTGGCTCACCGCAACCTCCGTCTCCCTGGTTCAAGCGATTCTCCTGCCTCAGCCTCCCGAATAGCTGGGATTACAGGCATGCACTACCACCCCGGCTAATTTTGTATTTTTAGTAGAGACGGGTTTTCTCCATGTTGGTCAGGCTGGTCTTGAACTCCTGACCTCAGGTGATCCACCCACCTCGGCCTCCCAAAGTGCTGGGATTACAGGCGTGAGCCACCGCGCCCAGCAAGAATTATCTTTTTTAAAAGAGCAAGTAGTATAGGAATCTGTGAGTCATTTTACCTCTCCTTAACTTCTGTAAGAGTGTGAAATTACTCATCAGGAAAGAAGAGAAGTCTAAAAAGTATAAATTTTTGTGAGCATTCAGTTGAAAAAATATCAATATGAGATTAGATGAGTCACCAAGGGAGGGAGGGAGGATACCCTGAAGGCACAACCCCTCTATTTGGGAAAAAGGGAATTATGAACGTGAGAAAAGGAACAGAGTTATAGGAAAAAAGAAAAAAAAAATGCTGGATTGTCATTTAAGGCATATAGGGAGAAACTCAAGGAGGCAGATTTGTCAACAACAGCAGATACAGCAAGGAGGTGAGGAATATTGTATAATTTGGTGAAAGCTATATGGGTCTCAATATATTATCAAGTATTTCAATGTGGTCAAGAGTGTTTTTAATATAATTCTTGTAGTTTTCTTCCATACTGATATGCTAGGCATAGAAGGATTCAGTATGTGCATTTTTTTGAAAGTCATTTTTTCCATTCTTGTGCCTGTATCTATATTTTCCAAACACTTTCTAATTGTCAAAATACCTTTGCTTTGCTACTGCATATAATCAGGACAGGCATTAATAGTACTTGCTTTTTGCTCTGAAATTATTCCTTTTTAATCTTACAAAGGTGAATATTTCTATTACAGAATAGTAGGGCTGTTGGTTCAGTAGCAGTCATCTAGTTCATGCTTTGATGCAGAGATTGCGAAGAGATGTTGTTTCTTGTTAAATTCTTTGTACCCAGAGAAGGAGTTTTACTAAAAAATTGGGAAATTAGATTCCCAGCTGTCATAGGAGGGAAGCAAATGGCTTTTTCATTCCCCAAAGTACTGTCTACCTTACTCCTTTGGGACTTCGAACAGGCAGCCAAGAAAAATCAAAAGCTGGGAAAACTTTTTCCCTAAATACCTTTATTCTGGGTTCATTGATAAGTTGTATGTACTGCAGATTGCAGATGTAAGCCTGTTATTATATTTTTGCTTTTCAAATTATGGCAACACATGAGTCATTTCTGGAAGAAATGCTTACATATCTCATTTCTCAATTAGAACCACTAGATGGACAGCTGAAGTCTCCCTTGAGTAGTTCAAGTGGCTATCCCAGGATGGACAAAAGGGATAGCAGTCTACTCTGAAACTGTAAAACCCTTTTTTTGTTCCCCAGGTGACTTGAATAACTTATATAACTTATAATTACCTGAGAAGCACACCAAAAATAATCACAAGTGCAAAAGGGAGGTTTTCCAGAATAGGCACATCAGATTATTACAAAGAAAAGAGCAATGGTATATCCACTTTCGCTCTGTTTGAAAACATAGTATATGTGTGGTCACATATTAGATGATTAATTTAAGCTAGAAGAGTAACTTTCCCAAATTGACCATTCTTAACATTTTAAGAAAATAATTTAATTAAAAATAATATGAGTAGGGGGTGGTTCCAAGATGGCCGAATAGGAACAGCACCAGTCTACAGCTCCCAGCCTGAGCGACGCAGAAGATGGGTGATTTCTGCATTTCCAACTGAGGTACTGGGTTCATCTCACTGGGGCTTGTCATATAGTGGGTGCAGGACAATGGGTGCAGCCCACCGAGCGTGAGCCGAAGCAGGGCGAGGCATCACCTCACCCGGGAAGTGCAAGGGGTCAAGGAATTCCCTTTCCTAGCCAAGGGAAGCTGTGACAGATGGCACCTGGGAAATTGGGTCACTCCCACCCTAATACTGTGTTTTTCCAACGGTCTTAGCAAACGGAACACCAGAAGATTATATCCCGCGCCTGGCTTGGAGGGTCCCACGCCCACGGAGCCTTGCTCATTGCTAGCACAGCAGTCTGAGATTGAACTGCAAGGCAGCAGCGAGGCTGGGGGAGGGGCGCCCGCCATTGCTGAGGCTTGAGTAGGTAAACAAAGCGGCCTAGAAGCTTGAACTGGCTGGAGCCCACCACAGCTCAGGGAGGCCTGCCTGCCTCTGTAGACTCTACCTCTGGGGGCAGGGCACAGCCGAACAAAAGGCAGCAGAAACCTCTGCAGACTTAAATGTCCCTGTCTGACAGCTTTGAAGAGAGTAGTGGTTCTCCCAGCACGGAGTTTCAGATCTGAGAATGGACAGACTGCCTCCTCAAGTGGGTCCCTGACCCCCTAGTAGCCTACTGGGAGGCACCCTACTGGGAGGCACCCCCTAGTAGGGGCAGACTGACACCTCACAGGGCCAGGTACCCCTCTGAGACGAAGCTTCCAGAGGAACGATCAGGCAGCAACATTTGCTTTTGAGCAATATTCGCTGTTCTGCAGCCTCCGCTGCTGATACCCAGGCAAACAGGGTCTGGAGTGGACCTCCAGCAAACTACAACAGACCTTCCGCTGAGGGTCCTGACTCTTAGAAGGAAAACTAACAAACAGAAAGGACATCCACACCAAAACCCCATCTGTACGTCACCATCGTCAAAGACCAAAGGTAGATAAAACCACAAAAATGGGGAAAAAACAGAGCAGAAAAGCCGAAAATTCTAAAAATCAGAGCGCCTGTTTCCCTCCAAACAATGCAGCTCCTCGCCAGCAAGGGAACAAAGCTGGACGGAGAATGACTTTGACGAGTTGAGAGAAGAAGGCTTCAGATGATCAGACTTCTCCGAGCTAAAGGAGGAAGTTTGAACCCATTGCAGAGAAGCTAAAAACCTTGAAAAAAGATTAGACGAATGGCTAACTAGAATAACCAGTGTAGAGAAGTCCTTAAATGACCTGATGGAGCTGAAAACCATGGCATGAGAACTACGTGACAAATGCACAAGCCTCAGTAGCCGATTCGATCAGCTGGAAGAAAGGGTGTCAGTGATTGAAGATCAAATGAATGAAATGAAGGGGGAAGAGAAGTTTAGAGAAAAAAGAGTAAAAAACGAACAAAGCCTCCAAGAAATACGGGACTATGTGAATAGACCAAATCTACATCTGATTGGTGTACCTGAAAGTGATGGGGAGAATGGAACCAAGTTGGAAAACACTCTGCAGAATATTATCCAGGAGAACTTCCCCAACCTAGCAATGCAGGCCAACATTCAAATTCAGGAAATACAGAGGATGCCACAAAGATACTCCTCGAGAAGGGCAACTCCAAGACACATAATTATCAGATTCACCAAGTTGAAATGAAGGAAAAAATGTTAAGGGCAGCCAGAGAGAAAGGTCGGGTTACCCACAAAGGGAAGCCCATCAGACTAACAGCTGATCTCTTGGCAGAAACTCTACAAGCCAGAAGAGAGTGGGGGCCAATATTCAACATTCTTAAAGAAAAGAATTTTCAACCCAGAATTTCATATCCAGCCAAACTAAGCTTCGTAAGTGAAGAAGAAATAAAATCCTTTACAAACAAGCAAATGCTGAGAGATTTTGTCACCACCAGGCCTGCCCTAAAAGAGCTCCTGAAGGAAGCACTAAACATGGAAAGCAACAACAGGTACCAGCCACTGCAAAAACATGCCAAATAGTAAAGACCATCAATGCTAGGAAGAAACTGCATCAACTAATGAGCAAACTAACCAGCTAACATCATAATGACAGGATCAAATTCACACATAACAATATTAACCTTAAATGTAAATGGACTAAATGCTCCAATTAAAAGACACAGACTGGCAAATTGGATAAAGAGTCAAGACCCATCAGTGTGCTGTATTCAGGAAACCCATCTCATGTGCAGAGACACACATAGGCTCAAAATAAAGGGATGGAGGAAGATCTGCCAAGCAAATAGAAAACAAAAAAATGCAGGGGTTGCAATCCTAGTCTCTGATAAAACAGAGTTTAAACCAGCAAAGATCAAAAGAGACAAGGCCGTTACATAATGGTAAAGGGATCAATTCAACAAGAGGAGCTAACTATCCTAAATATATATGTACCCAATATAGGAGCACCCAGATTCATAAAGCAAATCCTTGGAGACCTACAAAGAGAATTAGACTCCCACACAATAACAATGGGAGACTTTAACACCCCACTGTCAACATTAGACAGATCAACGAGACAAAGTTAACAAGGATATCCAGGAATTGAACTCAGCTCTGCACCAAGCGGACCTAATAGACATCTACAGAACTCTCCACTGCAAATCAGCAGAATATACATTCTTCTCAGCACCACATCGCACTTATTCCAAAATTGACCACATAGTTGGAAGTAAAGCACTCCTCAGCAAATGTAAAAGAACAGAAATTATAACAAACTGTCTCTCAGACCACAGTGCAATCAAACTAGAACTCAGGATTAAGAAACTCACTCAAAACCACACAACTGCATGGAAACTGAACAGCAAGCTCCGGAATGACTACTGGGTACATAACGAAATGAAGGCAGAAATAAAGATGTTCTTTGAAACCCATGAGAACAAAGACACAACATACCAGAATCTCAGGGACACATTTAAAGCAGTGTGTAGAGGGAAATATATAGCACTAAATGCCCACAAGAGAAAGCAGGAAAGATCTAAAATTGACACCCTAACATCACAATTAAAAGAACTAGAGAAGCAAGAGCAAACACATTCAAAAGCTAGCAGAAGGCAAGAAATAACTAAGATCAGAGCAGAACTGAAGGAGATAGAGACACAAAAAACCCTTCAAAAAATCAATAATCCAGGAGCTGGTTTTTTGAAAGGATCAACAAAATTGAGAGATTGCTAGCAAGACTAATAAAGAAGAATCAAATAGAAGCAATAAAAAATAATAAAGGGGATATCACCACTGATCCCACAGAAATACAAACTACCATCAGAGAATACTATAAACACCTCTACGCAAATAAACTAGAAAATCTAGAAGAAATGGATAAATTCCTGGACACATACACCCTCCCGAGACTAAACCAGGAAGAAGTTGAATCCCTGAATAGACCAATAACAGGCTCTGAAATTCAGGCAATGATTAATAGCTTACCAACCAAAAACAGTCCAGGACTAGCCAAATTCGCAGCCGAATTCTAGCAGAGGTACAAGGAGGAGCTGGTACCATTCCTTCTGAAACTATTCCAATCAATAGAAAAAGAGGGAATCCTCCCTAACTCATTTTATGAGGCCAGCATCATCCTGACACCAAAGTCCGGCAGAGTACACAACAAAAAAGGAGAATTTTAGACCAATATCCCTGATGAACATCGATGCAAAAATCCTCAATAAAATACTGGCAAACTGAATCCAGCAGCACATCAAAGAGCTTATCCACCATGATCAAGTGGGCTTCATCCCTGGGATGCAAGGCTGGTTCAGCATATGCAAATCAATAAACATAATCCAGCATATAAACAGAACCAAAGACAAAAACCACATGATTATCTCAATAGATGCAGAAAAGGCCTTTGACAAAATTCAACAGCCCTTCATGCTAAACATTCTCAATAAATTAGATATTGATGGGACGTATCTCAAAATAATAAGAGCTATCTATGACAAACCCACAGCCAATATCATACTGAATGGGCAAAAACTGGAAGCATTCCCTTTGAAAACTGGCACAAGACAGGGATGCCCTCTCTCACCACTTCTATTCAACATAGTGTTGGAATTTCTGGCCAGAGCAATCGGGCAGGAGAAAGAAAGGGTATTCAATTAGGAAAAGAAGTTAAATTGTCCCTGTTTGCAGATGACATGATTGTATATTTAGAAAACCCCGTCGTCTCAGCCCAAAATCTCCTTAAGCTGATAAGCAACTTCAGCAAAGTCTCAGGTTACAAAATCAATGTGCAAAAATCACAAGCATTCTTATACACCAATAACAGACAAACAGAGAGCCAAATCATGAGTGAAATCCCATTCACAATTGCTTCAAAGAGAATAAAATACCTAGGAATCCAACTTACAAGGGATGTGAAGGACCTCTTCAAGGAGAACTACAAACCACTGCTCAACGAAATAAAAGAGGACACAAGCAAATGGAAGAACATTCCATGCTGATGGATAGGAATAATCAATATCGTGAAAATGGCCATACTGCCCAAGGTAATTTATAGATTCAATGCCATCCCCATCAAGCTACCAATGACTTTCTTCACAGAATTGGAATAAACTAAAGTTCATATGGAACCAAAAAAGAGCCCACATTGCCAAGACAATCCTAAGCCAAAAGAACAAAGCTGGAGGCATCACATTACCTGACTTCAAACTACATTACAAGGCTACAGTAACCAAAACAGCATAGTAGTGGTTCCAAAACAGAGATATAGACCAATGGAACAGAACAGAGCCCTCAGAAATAATACCACACATCTACAACCATCTGATCTTTGACAAACCTGACAAAAGCAAGAAATGGGGAAAGGATTGCCTATTTAACAAATGGTGCTGGGAAGACTGGCTAGCCATATGTAGAAAGCTGAAACTGGATCCCTTCCTTACACCTTATACAAAAATTAATTCAAGATGGATTAAAGATTTAAATGTTAGACCTAAAACCATAAAAACCCTAGAAGAAAACCTAGGCAGTACCATTCAGGACATAGGCATGGGCAAGGACTTCATGTCTAAAACACCAAAAGCAATGGCAACAAAAGCCAAAATTCACAAATGGGATCTAATTAAACTAAAGAGCTTCTGCACAGCAAAAGAAACTACCACCAGAGTGAACAGGCAACCTACAGAATGGGAGAAAATTTTTGCAATCTACTCATCTGATAAAAGGCTAATATCCAGAATCTACAAAGAACTCAAACAAATTTACAAGAAAAAAAACAACCCCAGCAACAAGTGGGCGAAGGATATGAACAGACACTTCTCAAAAGAAGACATTTATGCAGCCAATGGGCACGTGAAGAAATGCTCATCATCACTGGCCATCAGAGAAATGCAAATCAAAACCACAATGAGATACCATCTCACACCAGTTAGAATGGTGATCATTAAAAAGCCAGGAAACAACAGGTGCTGGAGAGGATGTGGAGAAATAGGAACACTTTTACAGTGTTGGTGGGACTGTAAAACTAGTTGAACCATTGTGGAAGACAGTGTGGTGATTCCTCAAGGATCTAGAACTAGAAATACCATTTGACCCAGCCATCCCATTACTGGGTATATACCCAAAGGATTATAAATCATGCTGCTATAAAGACACATGCACATGTATGTTCATTGCAGCACTATTCACAATAGCAAAGACTTGGAACCAACCCATATGTCCATCAGTGATAGTCTGGATTAAGAAAGTGTGGCACATATACACCATGGAATACTATGCAGCCATAAACAAGGATGAGTTCATGTCCTTTGTAGGGACATGGATGAAGCTGGAAACCATCATTCTCAGCAAACTATCGCAAGGACAGAAAACCAAACACCGCATGTTCTCACTCATAGGTGGGAATTGAACAATGAGAACACTTGAACACAGGAAGGGGAACATCACACACTGGGGCCTGTGGTTGGATGGGGGGAGGGGGGAGGGATAGCATTAGGAGATACACCTAATGTAAATGACGAGTTAATGGGTGCAGCACACCAACATGGCACATGTATACATGTGTAACCTGCACATTGTGCGCATGTACCCTAGAACTTAAAGTATAATAAAAATAAATAGAAAAATGAGTAATTTCTTATAAGTTTAAAATTGATGTGAATCTTTTAGAAGGAAAGGTAATTATCATTATGCAGTGTCAACTAGGTTAATGTGGTTGCCACTCAGTTATCCTCCATAGTAAAATTAATGACATTTATTCTTTCTGTGATTTCTCAATGTACTTGACCAGTGGTTCCTAAAGAGAAGTGTTTATGTATCTTGTCCCAATTTGTCCTTTCTTGGCCATACTGTATTTATTTTTATCTGTCTACACTTAAAGATCTAAATTTGCAGCCGGGCGCAGTGGCTCACGCCTGTAATCCCAGCAGTTTGGGAGGCCGAAGGCGGGCGGATCACCTGAGGTCGGGAGTTGGAGACCAGCCTGACAAACATGGAGAAACCCGTCTCTTCTAAAAATACAAAATTAGCCGGGCGTGGTGGCGCATGCCTGTAACCCCACCTACTTGGGAGGCTGAGGCAGGAGAATCGCTTGAACCCGGGAGATGGAGGTTGCAGTGAGTTGAGATCACACCATTGCACTCCAGCCTGGGCAACAGGAGCGAACTCCTTCTCAAAGAAAAAAAAGAAAACAAAACTAAATTTACTATTTGGTTTATTATTCTTTCATTCTAATTTTGTAATTAATTAGAAAAGCAATAAGATTATTGTAAAACTTGTAAAATAGAAAACATTTTAAGGAAAATAATACCATTTATAAAATTCTTCTTCTTACATATGAATACTATTCATGTTTTTTCTCTCTACGCTCCACATTTTTTATGTGTGATGTGATGTGTGTGTTTGTGTTTGTGTGTGTGTATACAGTTGATAATTCATTTTGAAATGTTCTAATTTGGGGAGATCTTAAAGATCAAATTTAATTATGTGCCCTTTTGTGTGCCCTTTTGTGTAGGCAATTTACACTCACTCAAAAGAAAACCTTTAGTTCTTTGAGTTTTTCACAGGATAGTACAGGCTTCTTTTTAACACATCATAGCTGTACCGTATTTCCTTTTTAAAATGCAGTCTTTGGCCAGGTGTGGTGGTTCGTGCCTGTAATCCCAGCTACTGGTGAGTCTGAGATGGGATGATCACTTGAGCCCAGTAGTTTGAGACTGCAGTGAGCTGTGATTACGCCACTGCACTCCACCTCAGGTGATTCTATGGAGTAATATGGTTGTGCCAGTGACTAGAAACACTTTTCTAATTTTAATCCTGTAATTTCACTAAGATAGAAGCAAATTAGAACTCTCCTAAACTAGACTATTTCAGTAGAATCAAAAGGAGCAGAGGTTTGAGTTTATATTTGAGATTTGTGGGATGCTTATTTTAAAATCTTTGAGATCTCACAAAAGGACTGTTTTGTTTTTAACTGTTCCCTCCTCCAGTCAGTACTTTATCCTATTGCTAGGTTTGTAAATACATATATGGTATGTGTATACATCTCTGTAGTATACAACACCTTTGAAAAGAATCTTTAGATTTCAATTATATTTTACTTACTCCCCCTTTCACCAGCTAAAAGTAAATGAAGTAAAAACAAATCTCTAAATGTGTGATTACAAAATTTACACATACATTTATCTTTTCAGAAATCACATTTGCATAAAGTTCATTGAGTTCAATGTCTGCTAATTTATAAGATAGTTTCCCTACCATATATATTCAACCAAGGCAGCATATTCCAGTGGTGGTATTGTTAATTATATCAGAATTAAGAACATCAACACTTTCTCAAAAGTACTGAATGAGAGCAAGTTTCTGGATCTTCTAATTCAGGTAATTTAATTTAACAAAGAGCTTTAGGACTAGTTGTAATCACCTAGCAATTACTCATAAAATTGTTTTTAATTTCATCTATGTTCCTTGAGAGCCACTGTGTTGATGATTCTGTTTTGGGGATTTATGTGCAGTCAGATAATTCATATTTTGTATTTCTGTACGAAATCAATGGAACAAGACAAAAGTAAACTTACAGAAAATTAGTAAAAAATTTTCATATGGTCTCGTACTAGAGAATATAAAGCAAATAAAAGATTTTTATTGGCTAAAAACTAAACTTTGCTACCTGTGGAGTACGTATGTAATGAATAAATGATACACATACAAAGTGTTAGAAAGCTCAACCAAAGAAGTTAGCATGTTCTTTTGGAAATGAGAATGTCTTCATGTTCCAGTGACATTTAGTATCTGGAATGCAGTAGTAGCCCGATCTTACTTTAGAGGTTTTAAAGTTAGATTTACCAATAAATGTCTGCAAAAGGTATTACATCTGGCTTCCTGAGCAATTTGACTAGTTACCCAAGAGTTGTGATTACTATGACATGACGCAGTACAGCTGTAAAAAATAAAGACAAATTTAAGTTTAGTCCTGGTATGTATACACAGCTTTGCTATATTACAAGAAGGGTATTTTCTTTGTGATGAGTTTAGTGTAATAAATCAAACACATATATAACCTATAAGTAATAGGTTAAAAAAGTATAAATATATTGAAACACTGCTCAGATTTCATAGTCTTTTTTTTAACAAAGCTTTTTTGGTACTTAGTAAGCTTCTTCTTTGTGTTATTTTTTAATAGTGAAATACCAGTTGCTGGCATCTATTGAGTGCCCAGGTGGGCACTGTTTTATGCTTCACACATGTTTACTCAGTAAAATTTCCCTACAATGCTATTAGGTAGGTATTATTATTATCCCCATTTTACAGATAAGGAAGCTGAAACATGGAGATTTTAAAGCAGTTTTCTGGTAACTGGTGGAGCCAGGATTCAAACCCTGGCATTCTGTTTCCAGAGCCTATCATGTGACAGTCTGTTATTCCCAGAATTCTGGGAAGGCATACTCTGCTATTAAATACTATATATATTAGAAATAAGGCAGTTCATTTTATATATGCATGTGGTAAGATTATAGAACAAAAAGACAACAGTCATTTAACAAATAATAGCAAATAAGCTGAAGGGTTGACTTCAGTAACTTTAGAATGTAGTTATGTTTACTGTTTTTCTCATGGTCAGAACCTAATATGTTGATTTAAGCAATGTCTATAGTTAATTCATTAGAATGAAAGGACAGAAATGTAGTGGATGATAACTCAAGGGAGAAAAAAGCTTGATATAATAGTTTTTAAATGTTTAATACTATTTCAAATATAGGAACCATGAGTGAAAAATAAACTCCAGGATCGCAAGGAATCTGGGGAGTATCCTAAACTCAGAGTTCATTCTGAGTTACTATAAAAAGTCTGAGGACTTCAGGCCAGGCATGGTGGCTCACTCCTGTAATCTCAGCACTTTGGGAGGCCGAGGCAGGCGGATCACCTGAGGTCAGGAGTTCAAGACCAGCCTGGCCAACGTGGTGAAACCCCATCTCTACAAAAATGCAAAAATTAGCTGGGCATGATGGCACATGCCTGTTGTCCCAGATACTTGGGAGGCTGAGGCAAGAGAATTGCTTGAACCTGGGAGGCAGAGGTTGCAGTGAGCCGAGATCGAGCCACTGAGCTCTCCAGCCTGGGTGACAGAGCAAGACTCCATCTCAAAAAAAAAAAAAAAAAAAAAAAGGAACTCTGAGGGCCTCTCAGTGGGATTCTAATTTCTGATACATCTTTCTTTTCAGGGTCACTCGCATACTACTATTAGGACTTCATTAGAGAAGCTTCTTTCCAGAAAAGAAAGAAAAAGCCATATGTTGGAATAAGTTAAGAAACATTGTTAGGCTTATGGGAACACCATAAATCATCCTATAAAGCTTATTTGTAGAACCTTTTACGTTTTTGAAATGGTTGACATTTTATCTTTGCAGTTGTCTATAGAAAAGTTTTGGGGGTAGGGATTGGGGAAAAAGGATTATTGTCCTTGAATTATCTCCTGTGATAGAGGTCTCAGGTCTTGAAATCAGCCCTTTGACGTTAATGAATCTTTATCATTAATTCTTGGGGGTGGGGGCGGTGGTGTGGTCCTTGGATTCTTTCTAAATCATTTCTCTCCAACTTGGAAATATGGTTCTCTTCTAACTTTTACCTTTTTTAAAAAAAGTGATGTCTTTTCTGGTAGAAGAAATTTTATTTTTGAAAAATGCTCATAAAAAGAAAGCTACATACTTTGCAGTATCCTAGTATTTTAATTCATTATCATAAGTAAGCAGTAATTATATAGGTTCTATTACAGAAAGTATAACTGCTTTATTGTATTAAATCTTCTAGTCCTGTGATTGGTAGGTTAATTTTTTTCCAGCTTTGTAGAAGTACCATTGTAACAATCTCCTTAGTTTATGGACTTGGCCAAATGTTGTATTCACAGGTAACTGTTTCTTTTGAACTCTGAGCATCTTTCTTTATCCCAGGATTTCTGATATGGATAGCCTTGATGTGGTTAAGGGTAAATGCAACAAAATCACCTTACTTGGCCTTTGCCTTTCGTTTTACGCTTCATAGTTCTCCTTTTCTGTCCCAAAGCTAAACATGGGGTTTAACTCTCTCAGATTATATTTAGAGAGTCACTTAGGTGGGATTTTCTAAGCACTTTTATTTTAACTTTCATGAAAAATTTCAAACATACAGAAGTAGAGAGAATATTATAATAAAACTTCCATGTATCCATATCTCAGCTTCAACAGTTGTCACCTCATAGACAGTAATGTTTTATCTGTATTTGTACTTGCTCTACTTGCTCCTTCTAAATTATTTTGAATCAAATTCCACATCTTTCATAAATATTCCCAGATATGTAATATATAGTGATTATTTTTAAAACAACCATAATACTCTTATCACACCTTAAAAATTAGCAGCAATTACCTAATATTATCAAACACACAGATATAAAGCATGTAAAGATGCTGCTATCTTTTAGCAATTGAAAAATTAACATTTCAGAATGTGATTAGTGTTAAAGTGGTTTTTGTCTTGTGAACATTGTGAAGGGGAGAACGCATGGGAAAGGTCTTTTTAAATTCTGTCTGAGACAGTATTCTTAGAGTTCTGGGTTTTTTAGTCTTAAACTAAAATGAATTAAGTCTCAATTTGCTATCAAAATATACAAGCTGTTATACATTGGCCACTAAGGTGAAGTGCAAGCACACTTGTGATAGGCGTATTATGTGAAGTCAGAACTTTAAAAATAAGGAAACAAACACTTTTTTGAAAGGCTGGAAAAACTTCCTTAACATTTAAAAATAGTTCTTAAACAGAGAAAAATTTGTCAGGTGATTGATTGGCCTTAATTTGAGAAATTATTAGTTTTCATCTTCCTTTTTTATTGGAAGGAAAAGGAAGAAAATAGTTATTTGTGTACTTCTGATCAAGTGACCTAAACAGTTTTCTTTTTCCTTTGCTCTGTAAAAGATTAGTAGTCGTTTAAATAATTGATGTTAAGTGTCTCTGAATTCCTGTGTTTTGAAGGCTTTGCACATATTAACTTTCTCTTCCTGACTGAAAAGGATGTGTGTGATAGTATCTTTTTACTTAGTTAGTCTAAATTTAGATTTCTTGATCATGAATTAGAAAGCCTGTGAGTATATGTGAATGTTAGAGTATGACTGTTTTCTTATTTTTAGCTACTTTTGCTGCTGAACTTCCTTTTTTCACTGCTTGGTGCAGTTAAGGGTAAATGCAGAGCTGATTCTGGTGTAATGCAGCTTCTAGGACAGAACATTTGCATATAATATGTTCTATACCAGGAATTTGAAATGGGGACTAAATGCAATTTGTGAATGAAGCACCTTAATTTGCTAAACTAGGAGCTATGTCAGATTTTAAAAAATAAAGTTTTGCTGTCAGTTCAGGCTAGTATAAGTTATTTTCTGTAACTCAAATGATAAAAGCAAAAGTTTAAAACATTCTCTGGATCAAATCTAATTTTGAATTCCTGGCTTACAGAGAAAGCACTTGTTTATGTCTGGTTGCCATTTACCCAGCTCCCTGCTCTCCCATCTGTCAGAATGCTGACCCAGTTTGGGATTAGAATAGGGATTTACCACACGCACAAGTTTATACATGCATGCACACATGTACATGTGAATTTGTACGTATTTCACTTAACAAATTGGATTTTAGCATTGATCTTCTGCTAAATGGAATTTTAAAAAAATTATCTATGATTACTTTGCTTTTAGAGTTGGATTACAGATTACATTGAAAAAAATAGAAAACCTCCAGAAACGCTTTCCTTTCTAATACATTTCAGCTATTTTGCCTCTGGTCTCTTTCCTGTTCCTCCCCTGACCCATTCTTATTTCCATCACCTCAGCCGGCTTTATCATCATAACCCTGTACCCCTCCCCTACCAAGTAGAGCAGGGACTAAGCAGTGATTAAAACATTGGAGCAAACCTGAATGGCTTAATTCATTTAAAAAATTCGAAGGTTCTGCTGCCCATTTATCCATCAGATAAGAGGCAAAACAAACAGAAAAACTTAGCTTTAGTTATTACAGTTTATGTTTTCATCTTACGCGTGTTGCATACCAAGCTATGGTAACTGTAGACTTCCCCAAATGACATTCAGATTCTAAACTAGAAAATGCTTTTATTTATTTACTCCAGAATAAATAAAATGTCGCAGACAAGAAGGTAATGTATTTTCCTCCTAAAGTGACTTTAAAGATTGAGGTGGTTTAGTATTTAGCACTGAAACTTGGAATCAAACAGTTCTCAGTACAAAATGTCCAGGAATAATGAGGAAACGGCATGGCAGCACTGCCATGGTTTTTGTCTTTGGGGGATTGTTGTATGCAGGCAGGATAACTTTTGCGTCTCACATCTTGAATCCAGAGGTGATAGATAACCCTAATTTACCTAGCAGTTAGGTATAGCAGCAGTCTGCTACCTAGAGTTTATCCAAGAACAAGGAAATAGCAAATGTCTCCAAGCAATAAAAATATTACACAGATTCTTGTAACCAAATTTATAAACTTTACTCCTAGAAGATTTTCAGAGTTCAACATTGTTCCTTTTTTTTTTTTTTTTTTTTTTTTTTTTGAGACAGGGTCTTGCTCAGTCACCCAGCCTGGAGTACAGTGGCACAAACACAGTTTACTGCAACCATGAACTCATGGGCTCAAACAATCCTCCCACCTCAGCCTCCTGAGTAGTTGGGACCACAGGCATGTGCCACCATGCCCAACAATTTTTTTTTTTGTAGATACAAAATCTCACCATGTTGCCCGGGCTGGTCTCAAACTCTTGGGCTTATTCAATCCTCCTACCTTGTCCTCCCAAAGTGCTGGGATTACAGGCATGAGCCAATGTACCTGGCTCATTTACTTTTATTTTAGACACATTTGCTATTATTTTAGGTAAACAGTTTAAAACTGATTACTTCAGCACATAGCAAGAGATTTGTTTTAGATAGTCAAAACAGTCAGCTTATATGGTAAAAATTCCTTATTGTTACTTGGTTCTAAAAGTAAATTCCCTAAACTCTGTGGTTATATTCCATAATTTAGTCAGTTTCTTCAATACCATATTGCTTTAATTGAGGAGAAGGGACTCTAGACAAAGTAATGTAATAATATTAATATTATTCAATAATAAAATTGTAATATGTTTACAGAGTGCTTTTTGCTTTTCAGTTAAAATACTTTCATTCATATTGTCTTATTTAAAAATAGATTATTTCTTCTTAGTCAGATCCTGGTGACAGTGGGGAAAAAAATCCTACAAAGCTAACAGAATTCGTAGCATAGCATTCTGAAGTTTAGTGGAAAATAGCCCTGAGCACCTACCTAATATGTCCTAAAAGCATCATTGTGTGATAAATGATATTTATGATGACTCCATGCAGAAACTGGTTATTTGATAGATATTGAAAGGTGTTAAACTTACCTACATCAGAAATGTATAGATTATTCAGCTGTTCTCAAGTTGAGGTAGCTCCCAAAGATAAAGCTAAGATAGACCTGTATGAGTTCAGTTCCTTCATTGCAGTAGGTAAGTTATCCAGACATCTTTCATTGAGTGCTTTTCTATTTGAATTGGCATCTTGTTTAATCACTTTGTGAATGACATGGAAACCCACTCATCTGGTAACTTTTAGATAGATTTTTAGGCAATTCAGAAAGCACACTGAGAATTTCCCTAAAATGTCAGTAACATTGCCTGAAGTTTTATTTTATGGTTCTGGGTTGGAAAGACAGTACATATTTGGGAATAAAGTGGCATTCAGAAGAGCAACAATAAAATGGGGTTTTGTTTGTTTAGTTTAGCTGTGGGTTATACATATTCCTTGGCTTCTAGACCTCACAAATTTATTTGTTCAGGAAGTTATTAACACATTTCTAACTTGGATAAAATACTTTTAATATCTTTGATCTATGGTAGGTGGGTAATTCATGGTCATTTCCCAAAGTATGTATTTATCATTTTTGGTATCCAGACTAGAGGATCTCAGAAGTTTGAAGCTGATTTATTATATGAGATATTTCTCCCCCCCACACACCCATTTCCCACTCATCTAACTCGTTCTATTTGAAATCTCAGCTGAGTCTTTAGAATTCTCTGGGATGCTGTTTCAGACCCTTGTAAATCTGTATTGGTGCTCACTCTTTGTGCCCCAGTGACACAGGATTTCTGTTGTAGTACACACTGGATTGACATTTCAATTGCTACTGTGTTTTGCGCAGAGTTAGGACAATTCATAGGGGATGGGAACTAATAGTTGGTGAACTAACACAGTAATAATAATCTTAAATATTTGCCCAACATATATTTAATAGAAGAGGAATAAACTGATTTTATAACATTTCTATATAGAAACAAATACCTACTAATTCGTTTTCTACTGGCCAATGCAGGGTCAGTTTTCTAGAAATAATTAGACAAAACATTTCTGAAGGTTTGGTAGTTTTAATCCCTTAGATCTTATTGCATGATTTTTCTGAACCAGGCAGCTTTCTAAAGGCCATTTAAAATTACACAATAAAATTTAATTAATTCTGGTAAAAATATATTGTTCAGTTTTGGAACTTCTGCTGACTGCAACCACACATGGCCAATCATATTCCAGTGGTGTATTTCTGGACAGCAGCCCGCCTAGGTCATTCTTTAATAAAACTCTGGTCTATCTCATTAGCTTATGTGCTGGGACAGCATGGCACATGGGCATCTTATTCAACTTTATAATAGGCCCTTACATCTTGGGCCTATTACAGTGCTTGGAAAAGAGTGGGTGTTAATATTTATTTGATGACTTGTTGAAAGAGTATTAAAGTTTTTCTCTTTACTCATGTACAAAATTTGGCTTGGCATCCCAAATAAAATTTTTATTATTTTTTATTATATAGTTGTTATATATCTCTATATATTAAATGATTATTTATGATAACAGTAGAAGCTCTTAATAGGTTTTCATGTCATTGCCATTAATTTGTTCTAGATTTTCTGTTTGGTAGAATATAAATTTGTTTTCCTTGAGAACGTCTGTAAGCTAGCAGGCAGGCTCAGTTTTAGTTAAGGACTGATGAGTAAAATTTGTAACTGCTGAAAGACCTTGTATGATTTTTGATATTTGAAGTAATTAAAACAACCTGTATTTATTCTTATTGGCTGTGCAATATAACTTCACAAAATCTACAGCAAAATAACATTAGATACTCTTTAAAAAAAAGAAAGATTCTAAATTAGACCTAAAACTACTGTTTCTTCTTGGATTAGACCTAATAACTCAGAATAGAAAGTAACCCTCTTGAATAAGCTGAAGAAGCGTGATTTGCATGCATTCCTTCTTTTGTAACTCTGAACATTATTTCATTAGATAACCAGAACAGTGTCACTAATATTCATTAATTACATCTTTTTCTTCTGAGGATTTTAATTTTATTTCAAAAGTGGCTCTGAGTCTTCTTCCCCAAAGCATATGAGAATATTGTGGTGGTGTTTAAAGGTTGCTTTATTTCTTGAAAATAATGATGCAAAGTGAATTTAAAAAGTAGCAGTTTGAGGAATTGAATACAGTCATCTCTCAGTATGAGGGAAGGATTTGTTCAGGACCCTACCATCACCCAATGCCAAAATCCACAGATGCTTCAAGTCCGTGATATAAAATGGTGCAGTATTTGCATATAACCTATGCACGTCCTTTCCTGTATGTTAAATTATCTCTAGATTACTTACAACTAATACAATTTAATGTTGTTCTATGTATTGTTTTTTATTTGCATTATTTTTAATTGTTGCATTGTTTTCAGTGTTTTCCAAATATTTTCAATCTGTGGTTGGTTGAACCTGTGAATGCAGAGTCTCGAGGATAAAGCCAACTTTACAACTTTTCATATTTTACTTAAATAAATATGCCTTTGCCTTAAGTTGTTTTGGTATTTCCCAGGCTTTGGTTCTTACTGAAGATAATTACTTTTTTCATTGTAAAAAAAGATTTATGACTTTCAAGAAGAAAAATAATTTCTGAGCAAAGAGAAAATGAAGAAGAATACTATGATTGGGCTAGCTGGAGAAGCGTTTCCTGACGTTCTATGCAATTACTGAAGTTTGGCTGTAATTTGGCTCTCAGCAAGGCAAAGGGAGATATCTGATTGATAATAAGATTCATAGTATTCATAAATTAAAACTATAGCAATTGCTTAGGAAAAGAAATTTTTTTCCTGACACTGAAGTCTGAGAGAAATGTCTTACATAGGCCCTTATAAAGGAGACATTGACTAGTTCTCTCCAAGTAAATGTAATGGGTATTTTTAATGACGTAACTCTTAGTCACAATTGGGTAAAAATGACTCTTTAGAAAATAGCACTGTCCAATAGAAATAGAACACAACATATGTAATTTTAAATTTTCTGGTAGCCACATTAAAGTTAAAAGACAACAGGTAAAATTAATTTTAATAACATTTCACTTGATATATCCAAAATATTATAATTTCAACATCTAATTGATACAAAATTATTGATAGTGTTTTACCTTTTTTCATACTAAGTCTTCAGAATCTAAGGTGCATTATACTTAGAGCACATCTGAATTCAGATGTCAGATTTTCATTAGAAATAGTCTATATTTCATAAAATTTACAGTTGAAAAAATAAATTCATATATCCAAGTTCCAAACATGCTTAAGGTTTTCTGGTAACTGAATCTCATATATCAATTTTTAAATTTAAATTAATTTCAAGTGCTCAATAGCTGTATATGGCCAGTAGCTACTGTATGGAATAGTGCAATTCTAGAGTATCTAGAGTTAGAAAAATCTTACCTAGGAGTACACATCAGAATCACCTGATACCTTCAACATATATGACCTTGGAAATGATTCAGTATGTCTGGGGTGGTGCCTTGGAGTATGTATTTTGGAAAGTTCCACAAATATATTCTGATTTATACACTTGGCTAAGAGTGTATTAATCCAGAAGAGAAAATGAGCTGCATATACTTAAAGTGATATAACCATGAGTAGTGGTTCTTGCAGGTAGGCTTTGTACAAGAGTTCAGCAATAAGAGCCCAAAGTGCAGATATTCAACATTCCCAGCCTGAAAACTCTTAGAATTGAATTTTGAATTGGCTAAACCCTGTGCTGATTTGAAAGGGAAGGTTTACATGGGGAATAAATAATGGTAAGACTGTCAATACATTCAGAGAATTGTGGACTTCAAGACTTAAACCGTGTGGCTTGGAGAGGCTTCTTGAAGGATACAGGAATTAAGCTAGGCCTTTTACAAATTGATAAGATTTAGATGGGGGAGCATTTCAAGTAGAGGAACATTAGTACGAGTTCAACCTATATTGGAGAAGAAATTTTGAAGTGAGATGGAGCCGGAGTAAGGGATAAAATTTTGAATTTTGTTTATTTAAAGGGCAGCATGAAGATACTTGGATATTTGAGAGAAGATAGAGAGTGTATCAGTTAGGAATGCTTTTAGCTGCAAAAACAACCAACCAAAAAAACACAAAAACCCCAAACAACCCCAACTAATAGTGACTTTATCACTAAAGATATTTAATTATCTCACATAACAAGAAATTGGGAAAAAGGCATTCTGGCTAGTCTAGCAGCTTAGTGATGTTATCAAGCAGCCAGGTATTTTTCATTATTGGAGGTAGCCTTTTTATCCTTGTGCTTGTTGCTCAGTACTTTCAAGATAGCTGTGTGCTCTAGGTATCACAACCAGTTGAAAGACAAGAAGAGCAACTGGTGAGGAATGGCATGGAGGGCATGGCAGGGACAGTCTATCTACCAGTTTCCTTCCGCAGCTCTCTCTTCTTTGCAGCATAGGATTAAATTTCCTAGAAGCCCCCATCAGTCTTCCATACACCTCTTTGTCCAGAACTAGGTCACATGGCTAGTACTAGTTGCAGTGGAGTTTACTGTAGCTCTAATGTCCTCTTAACTGTGTTAAACATTGCTTCATTTTAAAATACTCTTAGGAAGGAATGAAACAAACATGGCATGTATCAATTAATATTGAGTTTAGCAATTAGTAACTGCAAAATCACACTTAGTAGATTAAAATAAGTAAAGAGTTTATATTATTCTGCAACAAGAAATTTGGAAAGTGGCAGTCCAGGGCTAGTACAGTGGCCTGAGAAGTACCCTCGAGGGACCAGTATCCTCCTGTCTACTTGCTCTGCTTTCCTTAGTTTATGGATTTCCTCCCCATGGTCCAAAGATTATCGTATAATAATTCCAAAGATCACATTGTGTTCTGGGTGGTGAAAAAGTGGATGGGCAAAAGGCTTTTCCCTAGCAGTGCTTTGAGAAATGACCCTTCCTCCCCAGGTACTTTAACCTGTACCACCATTGACTTGAACGATGTCAAGGGTCTATACATAGCTAGTAAAAGTTGAGTACGTTTTCCAGGTCTTTATTGTAAAGGCCCAAAATTCATAATTTTTAACAGTGAGCAAAAGAACACATTCCCACATTGTAGCCAGCCTTTCAAACTAAGTCATTTTGTATCCTTCTGTTGTGTGCGCAGCTACTTCTTCCTAAGCAGAGTGCTGGTTTCCAATCATAGCTTGCATTATAAACAACATCAGTTCAAATAAGGCAAATCATGTTCCTTAATTTAAAATATCTAATTCACACGTAGAAAACTCACTGTTACACTAAAAATACCTGTATTTTCACTTAGTAGAATATTAACTAGTTATTAAATATTTACAAAGGCTTTGCACAAAATGTACTATACACCACTGGTCTTCAGTTTACAAATCCAAAAGATGCCTTGTCTTCATCTTACTTGGCCTCTCAGCAGCACTTAAAACAGTACAGCATCTGGCCTTTTAAACACTTTCTTCTTTTGGTTTCTGTGACCCCATATACATGATTTTCTTACTGTCTCATTAGCTATTCCCTCTCAGTTTCTTTGGCCAACTCTTTATTTGCTTTTTAAATATTAGCCTTCTTCAGAGCTCAGTCTGTGCTCTCTTCTATCTCTCTCTTTTCTAGAATTGGATCAGTTCCCAGGCTAAATACCACTTAAATGCTGATGACCCCCAAATGTGTATTTCTAGCCCAGACAATCTCCTCTGAATTCCTTAATCACGTGGCCAGTTATTTTTAACATCTCCACTTTTTAAAAAACAAATTTAGGATTGATCCTATTGATACCATCATCATTCTCCCAGTTGCTCAATCAGGTATGTGGAATAACCTTAATTCCTCAGTTTCTCCATTATTCATATCACATACCTCAGCAAGTTGTATTTTTTACTCCTAAAATATACAGTGGGCCTTTCATATTCATAGGTTCTGTGTCTGTGGATTAACCAACTGTGAATTGAAAATATCCAGGAAAAAAAAATTTCACAAAGTTTCAAAAAGCAAAACTTGAATTTTCTGCAGTCTGAACACTATGTTGGATCCACACAAATAAATTAATATATAGTCATTTGTATTAGGTATTAAAAGTAATTTAGAGTGATTTAAAGTATATAGGAGGATGTGCTAGGTTATATGGAAATACTGTGTTATTTTAGATCAGGAACCAGAGCGTCCTTGGTTTTTGTTATCTGTGGGCGGGGGTCAGAAGGCAGGGTCCTGAAACATAGACCCCACTAATGCCTAGAGATGACTCTATATTTAGTGGAAACATATCTTCTTCACTGCCTCCATCCCTGTCCAGGCTTTTGTCATCTCAACTAAACTCTTGCAAAGTCTTCTAAGGGGTCTGTCAGCTTCTGTTCCTAAGGAAAGAATGCTCTATCCGTACAACAGCCATGATGACCTTCAGTGTAAATTGGACCATGCTCCACTGCTGAAAACTTTTTAATGGTTTCACAGTCCACTTTAATATTTAAATTCCTTCCCAGGCTGTGTGAGATCTGACTCTTGCTTGCTCTTCAGCCTTATTGGTGGCTGTCTTCCTCAGTTACCATTCTGTGCTGATTTATTTATTTTTTCCTCAGATGTGCCAAGGCTTTTTCTTTTCTGCTTTGGAGTTTTTATGCATGAAGTTCCCACTGCCTAAACTGTTCTACCACCTACTCTTTGCATTTCTGACTCCTTCTTCAGGTCTCAGTGCAAGTATCCCTTTCTCAAGCTCCCTCTCCCCAGGTTCCCTATTCTAGGACCCTGTTGACCCTGTTACTTCTTTATAGCATTTTCCCACAAGTTGTCTTTTGTTTGTTTGCTTGTTTACCTGTCTTCATCGCTGTACTGTTAGTTCCATGTTTTCAGACATCCATCTATGTTTTACATCATGTGTACCCAGTAGGTGTCTAGGGTAGGTGCTCAAAATTTTTGAATGCATGATTAATACCTTGTAGAGATGTTTATATTATTTTGAGGAAAAGAAAGATTTATATTCTATTGAGCATGATCATACTGTGTTAAAAATATAAATAGTCTTTAGTTAATCCAATTTTTTTTCAATTAAAAGTTAAAAACTCTTCCAACTTGCACTTTTATACCTGGGCACAACGGGAGATCATTGAATGCAACTACTACTTCCATAAGAAGGGAACATAGAAAATAATATGCTACTTTATATTTTTACAGAAAGTTACAGAGCTTAGAAAATACATACATATTGTCTCATTTGAGCTTTACAATAGTGTTCTGAGTAGTTAGGATATTTAACTTTGTGTAAGCATTGGTCTTGCTACTAGGCATGTGACTTTGGGAGGTAAGTCATTTGCAAAATGAGACAATGAGGGTGGTGTGGGTATCCATAGAATTAATATATATGAAAATATTTTGTAAACTACACAAAACAAAACAGATGTTGGTGATAATGGTATTAACACTAAGAAACTTAGCTTCCAGGACAGTTAAGTGGCATGTCTAGGATGTCACAGCTATTAAGTAGTATGATTGATAACCAAACCCAGGCTGTACAGTGAAATGGAAAAATCAAAAGGTTGAGTGGTAACATATTAGAATGTCTTCATAAATCATATGTGTGAGGTGGGGGGAGTGGGAGCTTGGGTTTTGAAATTTTGTAATTAATTTAAAGTAGTCATGTCATCCTTTATTAAATGGTCATATATGCACTGTATGCATTGAGTATACACTGAGCAAATAAGAATACTATGACACCTTTTTATAAATTTGATACAAAATTAACTTGCTAGCTATATATTAAATATTTAGTTTTTCCCATCTTAAGAGTTGGAAGGAAAATGGAAGGTGATTTTTAATGGTCTAGAATAGATTGTAATGAAAGCTGCTTAAGCAGCTTCTTTTTGTTCATTTTTCCCTTTAGCAAACAGAGGCTTTGAGAATTTCCTCATATATACCTGATTTCTCTTAGAAGCACTATGAAAGCTGTTTTAATGCATGTTTGTTAATCATTGTGGTTTTTACCCACTACAAAGAATTTATAAAATAGACTATTGTAATACGTTTAACCATTAAGTAGCAATAGACAATTCTTTTAAAATTTGAAAAATGAAGGAAATATTAAAAAGTGGCAAAAAGTCATCCATATTGTTACCTCCCAAAGATAGCCTTTGTAAATATTTTGGTTTCTGTCTTGCCAATCTTGCAGTTAACTGTTAGAGATAAGTCTTGAATCAACTTTTTCCTTCTCTTTTTCAGAATTCCTTTTTTTATTTTTTCAGAACAGCAATCATAGCTGATTGCTTCCTTGAGGGCTATATTTGATCTGAACAGTGATGCTATTAAGACTACACTAGATACTATACTTACAGTTATTAGATTAAGTCATACTTCATTGAACAGCAATGTAAACAGTTACTTGGATAATAATAACTACTGAATAAAAAGGAGCTCTAAAAATTCATAGAATTAATAGGAAAAACTGGTTGTAGAATTGTGGTTGAAGTCAATAATTTGGTGGAGAGCAGAAAACAAAGAGATAAAAGGCAATGAGAATTGAAGTCTGAGGTACTTAAATCACAGAACTCAGGAGCAGTAAGGCAGCTGGACTGGCAGTCTCGATTCTTATGCAGCTCACCAGTTTGTGGGCTAGGGAATTGAGCCTTGAGCAGTGAAGTGACTTACCCAAGATTATATAGTCAGCTAGTTTAAAAGCCAGGACTAGGAGAGTCCAAGGTTCCTGACTTACAGTTTAACCTTCGTTTCCCATACAAGAAGTAGCAAGAACTGGGCTTGACATTATAGAAAATGAATTATACAAATATTAACTTTATACAGTTTGTGGTACCTAGGTTCTCTTTAACAATAGTTGGGTCTCTGTGGAAAAGGAAAGAAAATATGGTAAACTTTCAGATTCAAATGCCCAAATTCATATTCTTACCAATTCCTTTTTGGTATCATTACTCTTTCTTTGTGATTTCATCATTCTGAAGTACACTACATATTAGAATAACTGATAATTATAATTGAATTGATAAAATATGGTATATATTAAATATTAGTTTGGAAATACAATCTCACAGTAGGAAAGAACAAGATAGAGGTTATTATAAAACTTAAAAATTGCACCATAGACACAAAAGCTACTGAAGAAAGCATTACAGATCACAAAAGACAATAAAGTGAATTATGAGTTTGCACGTGTATCACTGGGTCAGGAGAGATGACAAAGCCATGGCCATTATAATATCCCTTCAGGCAGTGATCACGTGAAGCCAGTTTTGGAGTGAGGAAAATGCTTTTTAATATTTCTGAATTTAAGCCAAAGAACGCCTCAGTATTTATAATGAAGCAAAGATCTTGGTCTAATTTAAGAAGGTGTTAGACTGGGGTCAGTAAATATATGGCACTCTTGCACCTCAGCACTGCACCCACCATACTCCCTGCCCCCCAGCCCTACCCTTTACTTATGACAGACATGGATGATTAATAACAACTCATTTTCCACTAAACCTAGAGATGGTTTAAGATCCTTCTTAGGGGAGCATATTTTCAGCAGCTCCTGTAAATTAATGATTGGCAAGAGTGATAAAATTTGTTTTCCAGGCCGGCATTAGATATTTTCTGGATATTTTTCTTGCTAAAGTAGACTAATGTAAAAGTAAGTCAATCAATAACCATACAAGAAGAGCTAACTACTCACTTGCTGAGTAATAAAGGTTTTTTCTCTATAGCACAGTTTTATGTAATTGGATGCTAGTGTGTAATTTTACTAATATAGAAATACAAGATACTACTTTGTGGGGTTTTTTGGTTTTGTTTTTTGGTTTTGAGACAGCGTGTTGATCTGTCACCCAGGCTGGAGTGCAGTGGTGCAATCTTGACTCACTGCAACCTCTGCCTCGTGGGCTCAAGCTATTCTCCTGCCTCAGCCTCCCAAGCAGCTGGGACTACAGGCACACGCCACCATGCCCAGCTAATTTTTTGTATTTTAATTAGAAATGGAGTTTTACTGTGTTGGCCAGGCTGGTCTCAAACTCCTGACTTCAGGTGATCTGCCCACCTTGGCCTCCAAAGTGCTGGGATTACAGGCATGAGCCACCATGTCCGGCCACAAGGTACTACTTTGGATGCATACCACTTTATTTTAGAATGGCATTTGTAATGCCATAGTTTTCTGGAAATCCTTAGTAGTTTTAGAAAATGGTAGAATTTTTAAGAATTTATTTAAAAGTCTAGCCTGTATATAACTTAATGTTGGATAATTGCATGGAAAATGTATATAATGAATAGGTGAAATCATGTTCTATCATCTCAGCTTCTTGAATGTTGTGATGTTTCAACCATTCATTCAATTAAAAATATGGGAGGGCAAGTTATAATTAAGCCAAACCAGTTGTACTAGGGAGTGATTTTCCCCCCAAGTTAAAGGAGACTATTTTTTATTAAAAAGATAGATAGCATATATAGTCATGTTTCTCAAAGAGAAGGTAGTATTGGGGGTGTAAGAGCCGTTTTCTAAGTGGAGATGCCCATGCTTTCATCCCAGAGGACAGACATATCAGACTCTTGGAAGAGGGGGCCCGGGCCAAGAAATATAATTTGAAAAAGCTCCCTAGGTGATTTTGAATCTACCTTGCCCTCAAGGACTGCTGAAATCTAGGAACTTTAAGAATTTAGATTCTAAAATTGAGTTTGTTTTCCAGACAGAATTCCCAAGAGAGAATTACTGTGGAAAGCTGCTGTAGACCATTTAATCCATCCATTGTGATAAAATGGCAGACATTCTTAGTTTGATATAGGTGTATGTTTTACATAAATCTTAGTATTTCAAATATTTTAAATACCTCTTAATTATTGAGTAGTCTCTTTAGAGAGTTGTTTTTTATTTAAATCATTGGCTTTGCTTAATTAAATGGTCCCAAATTTCTGAATCAGATGGCTATTTTGATATTTAATAATCTGGCTCTTTCAAGTTAGTACTGTTACCTGAGATACAGAATTATATGTAACCAAGTTGTATATATATGTGCATGTGTATTTCAGGCCACATGCACATGTGTTGTGTATGTTCAGATCATTAGAAGGTAGGAATGATCGAATGCATTATAAGCTGTTTCTGTAATCTCTGTTGTTTATAGCTATAAATCATGTTCATTGTGGAAATTTGGAAAAATGTGAAAAGTTTAAAGTAGAAATCTGAAATAACTCATTATGCTATCACCTGGAAATAACATCTGTTCTGTTATTCAGTTTCTTCCTGGTTCGATCTTTGGAGGTTCTGTTTCCAGGAGTTTATCCATTTGTTCTAGGTTTTTTTAGACTGTGTGCATAGAAGTATTAATAGTAGTCTCCCAGGATTTTTTTTGTATTACTGTGGGGTCAGTGGTGATGCTCCCTTTGTCATTTCTTATTTGGATCTTCTCCCTTTTTTCTAGCTAGTAGTCTAATTTAATCTTCAAATAACCAACTCCTGGATTTGTTGATCTTTTGTATGGTTTTTCACATCTCAGTTTCCTTCATTTCAGCTCTAATTTTGGCTATTTCTTGTCTTCGGCTAGTTTTGGGCTTAATTTGCTCTTATTTCTCTAATTCTTCTAGGTGTAATGTTAGGTTGTTAATTTGAGATCTTTCAGACTTTTTGATATGGTTATTTAGTGGTATAAACTTCTCTCTTTATAAACTTCCATCTTTAGCTGTGTCCCAGAGATTTTGGTATGTTATATCTTTGTTCTCATTAGTTTCAAAGCATTTCTTGATGTCTGCCTTAATTTTATTGTTTACCCAAAGGTCATTCAGGAGTAGGTTGTTCAATTTACCTGTAATTGTATGGTTTTGAGTGATTTTCTTAGTATTAAGTTCTATTTTTAATGAGCTATGGTCCAAGAGTATGGCAGTATAATTTCAGGTTTTTTTTTTTTTATTTAGCTGAGGATTGTCTTATGGCTGATTGTGTGTTCTATTTTAAAGTATGTGCCATGTGCAGATGAGAAGAATGTATATTCTGAAGAATATACATTCTGAAGAATGTATGTTTTTTGGTGAAGAGTTCTGTAGATGTCTGTTAGGTCTTTTTTGGTCAAGTATCAAGTTCAGGTCTTGAAAATCTTTGCTAATTTTCTGCCTTGATTATCTGCTTAATATAGTCAGTGGGATGTTGAAGCCTCAAACTATTATTGTGTGGAGATCTAAGTCTCTTTGTAGGTCTTTAAGAACTTGTTTTATCAGTCTGAGTGCTCCTGTGTTGGGTGCAGATATGTTTAGGATAGTTAGATCTTGTTGAATTGATCCCTTTACTGTTATATAACGTCCATCTTTGTGTTTTTTGATCTTTGTGGGTTTACAGTCTGTTTTGTCTGAAATTAGGATTGAAACCCCTTCTCCCTTTTTTTTTTCTGTTTTCCATTTGCTTGGTAGATTTTTCTCCATCCCTTACTTTGAGCCTCTGGATGTCATTGCGTGTAAGATGAGTCTCTTAGAGACAGCGTACCAATGGATCTTGCTTCTTTATCCGGCCTGCCACTCTATGCCTTTTAATTGGGGCATTTAACCCATTTACAGTCAAGGTTAATATTGATATGTGTGGATTTGATCCTGTCATTGTATTGTTAGCTGGTTATCATGTAGACTTGTTTGCATCATTCTTTTATAGTGTCAGTGGTCTGTGTACTTTTGTTTTTTTAGTATGTACTTCTGTGTGTTTCTGTAGTGGCTAGTAATGGTCTTCTTTCCTTTCCATATTTAGCACTCCTTTAAGGACCTCTGGTAAGTTAGGTCTGGTGGTGACAAATTCACTTAGCATTTGCCTATCTAAAAAGGATCTTATTTATTTCTCCTTTGCTTATTAAACTTAGTTTGGCTGGATTTGAAATTCTTGGTTGGAAATTCTTTTCTTATAGAATGCTGAATATATTTGTATAAGTGAATGATTTGTATAAGTGACCTGCCTCTTCTCTCTAGCTGCTTTTAACATTTTTTATTCCATTTTGACCTTGGAGAATCTGATGACTGTGTGTCTTGGGGATGGTATTCTTATGTAGTATCTTTCAGGGATTCTCTGCATTTCCTGAATTTGAATGTTGGCCTCTTTAGTGAAGTTGGGGAAATTTTCATGGACAATATCCTGAAATATGTTTCCCAAGTTGCTTACTTTCTTCCCCTTTCAGGAATGCCAGTTAGTCATAGATTTAGTCTCTTTATTTCATAACCCTGTATTTCTCAGGAGTTTCGTTCATTCTTTTTTATTCTCTTTTTTGTTGTTTTTGTCTGACTGAGTTCAGCAAACCAGTCCTCAGGCTTTGAGACTCTTGCCTCAACTTGGCTTATTCTGCCATTAATACTTGCAATTGCATTATGAAATTCTTTTAGTGTGTTTTTCACCTCTATCAGATCAGTTTGGTCATTTCTTATAATGACCACTTCATCTATCAGCTCCTGCATCATTTTATTGTACTCCTTAGATTAGGTTTCATCTTTCTCCTGAACCTTGATGATCTTCATTTGTATCTCTATTCTGAATTATATTTCTGTGATTTCACCCCAGTTGGAGGACCCCTGCTGGGAACTAGCGTGGTCATTTGGAAGAAAGAAGACAGGCTGGCATTTTGGGTTGCCAAAGTTCATGCACTGGTTCTTTCTTCTCTGTGTGGGCTGATGTTCTTTAACTGTGGTGTAACTCGAGTACAGTCAGTTAACTTCTTTTCTGGATGTTTTCAGAAGGCCAAAGCTTTGTGCCTTGTCCTTTTATTTGTGCAGGGTCTTTATTTGTCACTGAGTTCTTGTCCTTGGTTTCACAGCAGGGTGTATTAGCAAAGTATTTTTGGTGTTGAAGTTTAAGCTGTGATCCAGTAGATGGTGCTTAAGCATAATGGCTAGTAGGTAGGCTGTTGCTCCACTGCGTGGCCCCTCTGTATTTCCTCACCACTGCAGCTGTGCTTCCTCTCCCTGCTCTGAAAGTGTGGGCTCCTCTCCCACTTAAGTGGTGGCTGCAAATCTGGCCTTCATACTCCCAGGCTGCACACTGCTGCCCTTGGATGAGCTCAGGCTTCATGTTCCCTTCCCAGTTTGGAGGCAACAGGGGAAGGGACCTTGGCAGTGGCTGTGGCAGAGGGCCTTTCACTTGCCTCTTGGGGCTCCACCCCAGAGAAATGCAGACCCTCTATCAATCAGTGTGTTCGGCCTGGGGTGGGGTGGCTGCATAGTGGGCTCAAGCCAGGGAACCCTGCCTGGTGACGTTGAGCAATGGGGAAAGAGGACTTTGCGGGGAGACAGTCTGGCCTCTTCTTAGGGTGGCTATGACTTGCTAAAGGTATAGTTAAAGCACTCAGGGTCTTCACTCCTTCCCCGGTCCGAGGGCAACAAGGGCAGTACAACTGAAGTGGTAGAGGGGCTTTCAGTTGTCTCTGAGAGCGAAATCAGAGAAATGCTGAGCCGTTGCTAGTGGGAATGTTCAGCCAAGGATTGGGGAGACTGCACTGCTGGCCCAAGCTTGGGGCTCTGCTTGCTGAAAAATGCGGGGGTTGAGGGCTCATAATGAGAAGAAGCTGAGCTCCTCTGTACAATGACTGTCATGCTTTAAGTGTGAATAAAGCTCTCAGGCTCTTCGTTTCTTCTCCAGTCCAAGAGCAGCAGGGGCAGAACCGCTGCTATTGGTTGCCTCTGGGAGCCCCTCCCCAGGGAAACACAGAGTTACTAGCAGTGGGAATGCTTAGCTGGGGGTAGGATGGCTATTCTGTGGTTCTGAGAGCGGGTGTGCCTGTTGAAGAGTGGGGAGTGGGGTCTCACAGAGAAAAGAGACTGGGCTCCTCTCCATAGGGTGGCTGTGGCATGCCAGAGTTGCCATCAGGCCCTCTGTTCCTTCCTCAGCTTGAGGGTGGCAAGGGCAGTACCCCTGCATCTGCAATGGCAGAGGGGCTGTGGGTTGTCTCTGGGATTTTCTCAGAGAAATGCAGAGCTGCCACCCACTGGTGTTCGGGTAGGGGCAGGGTGGATGTGCTGGGGGTCCAGGTTGAGAGGCACCCTGTCCCTACCCGGAGGTGAAAATCCATATGGAAAACAGTCTGGCCCTTTTTCCATAAGGCTGCTGCACCGTGGGGGGGTCCCTGTCAGTCCCCAGCCACTAAGCTGCCTTCTAAGCCTGAGGGCAACAGGAAAGAGGTCTGTTGAGCAGCAAAAATGGCTGTCTGCTCCCTCTGGGAGATCCATCCCAGGGAGGTTCAGAGCTGCTACCAGCCTGAGTGTTTGTTACTTAGGGCAATGTTGCTCCAACGATTTAGCAGACCGGCAGGTAACTATCCTGCCGAAAGGTTGACTTGACTTATTCCATCCATATTTTATAAATTTTTATGGCTGCATAATATTCTTTCAAGTTAGTCTGCCATATTTTTTCTTTTATCTTCTTTTTTTTAGTTGTATTAAAACATTCACACTTTATCATTGTTAGGATTTTAGAAGACAACATTTTTATATGTCATAGCTTTTTTTCTTCTGCCTCTTTTGAATTATTTACATTGAATCAATTTCTAGGAATGGAATCTCAGTTAAAAAGAGGGAATATTTTTTACAGCTTATGATATTAATTGCCAAATGACTTTTCAAACAGGCTTACACTGTTCAAGTGCTCCTCTCTCTCCTCAAATCTGCCTACTCATTGGCCATCAGAACTTACTAACTCATTCAGTCAGGGTTAGGAGGAGAAATAAGAGGCTGAAATTTAAATCCATCAGTCTTGTTACTTTGTTGCTGTCTCGTCATATTTTCAGCAGAGCAAGATGTCAACACTAGCATTTCAAAATATATCTTAAAAATTAAATGTGAAATTCAGTGATTTATTGATTTGAATTGACCGCAGGGTGTTTGCGGAAGTAAAACTTAAATAATCATGAATATAAGCTCGAAAAGGAATTACTGTTCAGCAATTGGATTTTAAAATAAACTTTTGAAACCTTTGGATGTTAGTATAGTCATCCCCCTATTCCCTGCCCTAGTCATCCTAGAAAATTTTATTCTCAGTCCATTGGTTCTGCCATTGCATAAAATACTTTGACTTTTTTGGCTTTTTTTTTTCAATACCCACAATGTGACAAATTTTGTCCTTTGATACTTGGACTTATTTTGAAAATAAGCAAAAATTATTCAAAACAAAGTCTAAAATAAAATGGTGATAAACTGCATGGTATTATTCTAGGCTTAAAAGAAAAAGCCAAATGTGATTTGTAAAATAATAAGGCAAGTTTTGTAAATAAATGCCATGTAGAAGTGAGGTGATGGAGAACAACAGAGGGAAATAACTTCTAAACTAGGTTTCAAAATACTTCCAAAATACAGGATTTGACTCTTTTTTTCCCTTCAATGGCAGCAATTGTGCACATCCAGTCCAAAGGTACCGCTTTGAAGAACCACTCATATGCATGTAAAAAGTTCTATTTTTGTTACAGACTCATAATTTTATAGTCTTAGTGTATGGGAGCAAAGAAAATAATATGTGATCATGTAATTTATTGCATTTAGGTACCTTTTAGACATTTTTACTTAACCATATAACATCTTCAGTTAGTCTTATTTTCAAATGATTTTAAATATCCTATTTGCTGAGTAGTTTAAAATGTGTGAAGTTGTTGTATTGCTCTAGATTTCTCCAAGAATGTGCTCTTGATGGTTTATCACAGTAAAGGTATGAATTAAGTAATACATTACTTAGCCGTGATTCTCAACCAAGGCAATTTTGCCCCCTAGGAGACATTTGGCAATGTCTGCATACTTTTTTTTATTGCCACAACTTTGCCGGGGGCAGGGGGAAGGGGAAGGTGGCAAGGGTGGAATGCCACTGATATCTAGTGGATAGAAGCAAGAGATGATATTATACCTCCTACAATGCACAAAACAGCTCCCCCCACTACCCAAATGAAGAATTTATCTGGTCTAAAATATCAGTTGTGCTGAGGTTGAGAAACCCTATCTTAGCCTAAGATCTTGGGTTCAGAAACAGAGCTGTATTCAGTTTCCCACTTACCTTTGGCAAGATATTTAACCTCATTCAAGCTTCAGTTTCCTTATCTGGAAAATAAAGAGAATAATATCTACCTTATATAAATATCGTTAGCACAATTTCTGAGACCGTGGTAAGCAGGCAACACATACTGTTCTCATTGTTATCACTACCAATAATATCAAGCATGTGAAAAATTACTAAAATTATAACGTTTGATGAGTACTTAAACGCATCTATAGTTTTTTGGGGTTTCTCTTAATTTTGCTCATTTAAGAAGAATTCACATATCCTTTGTGAAATAGCTGTGCTGTTGCAAGTATGACTACTTAGAAGTTTTTGTTTTCCACATATTTTCTAATTACACTTGATTCAGACTACTCTATTCATACTTGTATTATCAAAATAATAAGGCTTAAATGCTGTGAAAAATTTGTAGAATGATTGCACATATTTAGAGGACTCAGTCTTTAGAATAAGGACTGTTAGTAAGCTTATGGACTGTGGCCTCTTCTTTTTTAGAGCTGCATCTACAGTAGTAGCTATGGCTTATTAGAGATCTTGTCTGTGATCATGGTAATTATGGTATTTTTCTCTTTCTTTCTAATGGCCCCCTGAGGATTTTATTGACATACTTTAGGGAGGACAATCAGCTGATTTAGTACTTGTACCATGCCTTCATTAAAGATGTTTAGGGTCGGGCGCGGTGGCTCACACCTGTAATCCCAACACTTTGGGAGGCTGAGGTGGTCGGATCACCTGAGGTCAGGAGTTTGAGACCAGCCTGACCAACATGGTGAAACCCCGTCTCTACTAAAAATACAAAAAATTAGCTGAGCATGGGGATGGGTGCCTGTAATCTAGCTACTCCGGAGGCTGAGGCAGGAGAATCGCTTGAACTCAAGAGGCAGAGGTTGCAGCGAGCCAAGATCGTGTCACTGCACTCTAGCCTGGGCACAACAGAGCAAGACTCAGTCTCCAAAAAAAAAATATATATTTAATATGCCATCAAAAAAAAAAACTACATTGTGAAAAACTGGGTAATGGTGGAAAAGAAAAAGTAGAAGGAAGCAAAGACAGAGGAATAGAGGGCATCATGATTCATGATTCCTCCCCTTGAAGAGTTTATAGTCTAGTTGACATGATATTTAAGTAATCCTCATGGATTTACAGACCTAAATGTTTGGCAGATTTCATGTATTAATAGAAGGAAGGAAGTATTAATAACTGAGCAATGTTAGGAAAAGGACAAACCAGGGACAGCCATTTTCCTTAATTGAATCTTATTAACCCTTACATTTAAGCATAAGACTAACAACAGTTTTAAGACTTAGAACTTACATGATCATATTTATTTTATTTGATCTTTGCAGTAGTCATAAAAGGTAAATCAACACTTACGTAATGTGCCTCCCAAATGCATGTAGGTAATGTATGTAATGTCAAATTAGAGATTTGAAAATGAATTGGTAAAAATGTAATGGCAAAAAAAATGTATTGGGGAATGTCAGTGCAGAATTTGAAGGGTTCTTTCTCCAGCACTATCTTGGCCGGTGTAAATGATTGTATTTCGAGACCTTAAAGAGGATTAGGGGGATTCACCAGAGAACCACATCCTGGTGAAAATATTGTATAGAGACATTAAATTCCTATAATTCTAAGATTCTGTCTGTACCTTCAAATCACATTTTAGTCACTAACTAAGCCTGCTTCTTTGACCATGAACATCATATCTCTTTCACAAGGAAGCAAAGTACCTAGCATTTAATTTTCTTTCTCTTTTTCCTTTTCTGACCTGAAGAAATGTACAGTTTCATTGGGGAGACAAAGACCAACCAGCCAACAGAAAACTGATACTAAAATATGAAGAATAAGAAAAATACATTAAGAATTTTTTTCTTTAGAGCCTGTTTGATAATGTTTTCAATAAATAACTTCTACTAATTTATAAATAATTAATTTATAAATACGTTAACTGCTTATTCCATGCCAGTATAATTGAAAAGTCAGTGGTTAAAGAGACATTTAGACTATGTTCTCTTTATATGACCCACGCTTCCTGCCTTTAAGTTTTTTCCTAAAATCTTCCTGTTATTTTTCTAAATCTAGAATATGAAGCCCTTGAGGAATAGCAGCTGAGTTTAAACAGTACCTAGTGAAAGGCTGAAAGAATCCTCAAACCTTCTAGAAGAATGACCTTAACTGTTGTGATCAGAATGGAGACCAAGTCATGGTAGAGATCCAAGATGAAATCATTTTATCACCTAAAAGATTGTCAGCGTTTTTGATTATAGCCATCTTAGTGGGTTGGAGATAGTATTTCACTGTGGTTTTGATTTTTATTTTCCTAATGACTAAATCATGCTGAGCATCTTTTCATGTGCTTATTGGGCAGTGTCACTTCCAATTTAAAATATGTAATTGAGTAATGATTTTGCTTGGGATTTTTAGGAGAAATGCTTATAAGTTTATTTGTAGTACCATAACATTTATGAGAATTTAAGGTTGACCATTTTTATAAGTTTAGTTTATTAGATTTATAAGAATTATAGGTAATTGGGAAGATTCACCAGCAGTTAGTGGAAATATCTAAAGAAGAAATTGAATCTGTTTAATTTATAATTGCAGTTTAAAATCTAAATAATTGAAAGCCAGTGGTAAGTGATACATTTTGACAGATTTGTAAGTTAAGTAAAAACTTAAAGGTAACTTTAAAAACTGGGACTAATTTTTTGAATTTTTTTTGTAATTTTCATAAATCAAATATTAATTAAAAAATAAAATTAAACTTCTAGATTTTATTTTCTGTGCACAAAAACTACTCCTGGCACAAAAACCACTTCCAAGGGCTCCAAAAGCAGCTCTCATCTTCAGCCTTTTAGCAAATGACTTAATTTTTATCGTCTAATTATTTATATTAGGCCAGCTCTAACATGCTTCTTCCTTTGCGGTAGATCTTTCAAGTTTTATCTTCTGTTCTCTTTTCAGGCTTTCTAATTATAAGAACCGAACAATAGAACTAAGTATTTTAAAATGCCATTAAAAAGAAAAACTTAAAATTCTTCTCCTTATTTAAAAAAAAAAAAGAGAGATCAAAGTCTTCCTCTGCCACCCAGGCTGTAGTGCAGTGACACAGTCATAGCTCGTTGTAGCCTCAAACTTCTGGGCTCCAGTGATCCTCTTACCTCAGCCTTCCAAGTAACTGGGACTGCAGGTGCTTACCACCACACATGGCTCTCTCTCTTTTTTTTTTTTTTTTTTTTTTCTGAGATGAGGCCTTGCTATGTTGCCCAGGCTGGTCTTGAACTCCTGGCCTCAAGTGATCCTCCTGCCTCAGCCTCCCTAGTAGCTGCGATTACAGGCACAAGCTGCCACCTCTCCTTAGGGTTGCAGTGAGAATTAAATAAGTCAATATATAAACACCTAAAAGAGGATCTGGCAAGAGGTATATGGATTAGCAGTTATTAATAGTGTTATTACCTATTAATAATGTTACTAATTGTTAATAATATAACTAATGTTAGTCACTAATGTTACTAATATTATTAATAATGTTACTTACTAAATCCTGACTAGAGGATCTAGTAAGAGTTATATGTATTAGCAGTTATTAATGTTACTACTATGTACTGCATATTAAGTATATATTTTTTATATTATTAGGTTAAATTCTTAGGAGTTCCCTAGGATATTTGCTGCCATATATAGCTCATTTTTTCCCCTTTGGAAAATATAATCCAGGTTACAAACAATGGATTTACAAGTTAAGCCTTTAGGACATAAAAGTTTATAAATCAGCATTGGTTAGGCTCCAGATTATTTAGTATTTGCTAGATTAAATCCAGTAGTAGAGTTATCCCTTGAAGGCATTAGGTCTTATGCACATAAAAGTTTATGTATGAATATATGTGATCAAAATCACTAACTCCATTCATGAGCGAATAGCCTGAGTACTTGAATTTGAAATGAATGTTTGCTGTCTTATCATTTAAGAGTGTCAAGATAAGAATGTTTTGGCTACAATTTGTAATAATTGTAAGTCTCTTTGAGTAGAATTCTGCCTTTGTTATTTTATAGTCTTTATGCATGCATTTAATTCTTCCCTGTACCTGCTGCAAGAAAAATGTACTCAAATGCATAGCCAATTTCATGATTTCAGAAGCACATATTGAAGTGTACCTGCTAATTTCTGTTGCTTTTGCAGGTCTTGAATATTTAAGCATTGATATGATAAGTGCCTGATAAATACATTTTGCATGGATAAATTAATATACAGGATTAACTAGAGCAAGATACATCGGAGAAAGGGCACCCAGTGCCCAGGAAGACCCATTAGTAGATTACTTACCTAGTCATAAGAGTCTAAACTAGGATGCTGACAGGTGAATGGAGGAAAAATAAAAGATAAACACTGCAGAAGAAAAATTAATAAAACCTGGTGACTGCGTAGCTCTATAAAAATAGTTGTGATTAAAATACAATTTAAAATCATATCTGCTACCAGCCATGTTCTTTATATCTTCTTCTAACTTCTAGGATCATTATTATTCTCTAAATTCAGTTAACCTATACCTGGGTACTTAGTTTTCACCTAACAAACATAACTAAAGTAGGTCAGAAAAGGTCAACATGCATATAGGTAGGGGTGCGTGTGTGTGTGTGTGTGTGTAGTGTTAGTAAAGATTCCCTCTTATTAATGTTGAATTGCTATTGAAGAAAAGTGAGAAAGTAATTTTATTCCTTAAGAAAGCAGCTTTTATGGCATAGTCATGCTTTCTAAAACTTTTAAGATAAAGTAAGGATAATACCTTCAGTATTGGTAAGTGTTCAAACATTAACATCTTGACTATTCTGAAAATAAGATAATATCTAATAGGCCAGGTGCAGTGGCTCACACTTGTAATCCCAGCACTTCGGGAGGGTGAGGCGAGTGGATCTCTTGAGGCCAGGAGTTTAAGACCAGCCTGGCCAACGTGGCGAAACCTTATCTCTACTAAAAACCTAAAAAATTAACTGGGCGTGGTGTCACACACCTGTAATCCCAGCTACTTGGGAGGCTGAGGCAGGAAAATCTCTTGAACCTGGGGGGTGGAGGTTGCAGTGAGCCAAGATTGTGCCACTGCATTCTAGCCTGGGCGACAAAGCAAGATTCTGTCTCAAAAAAAGGAAAAGAAAAGCCAATAGAAGAAATGAAAGTGTTAGTAACACTTAGTAACACACATTGGTTCTTGTAATGAGAGGTCCAGAGACTAATTTAAATCTTTTCCAGACTTTGTATCCGTTTTATGGTGTTAGTTACTCTGAGTTATCATTGATATATGGTAGCAACTTCTGGCATCCCTCACATATTCTTGAGGATTGTAGGTGTAGATAATTGTAGATAATAGAAGTGAGTATAGGCTATATCATTGATTAAAAATAGAATATTTGAGTAATTTATAAAGAGGAAATTTAGAATATTAAAGTAATAAGAAGAAAACTAAAATAAATAAATAGAACATTGCTAAGTAAATAGTTCACGTCAAAGGGTTGCCATACCTATACCAATTTATTTGGAATTCTATCTTGTCTTTTATAACCTTAGATAATTCTTTAAAAACTCTGAGCCTGTTTCTAAATTTGCAAAAAATATGTGATATTTTCTAGCTCAGTGCCAGGGATCCATTAGTTCTTGAATTGTGTCTCTAACAATGATGCATTCTGGTCTTTTCATGTCCATGGCTTTGGATAATTGTCTAATCTGCATATACCAATCTTTCCTATTTATGAATATTATTTCTGCTGTCTGTTAGTCGTTGACTTTTCCCCAGGAGTTTATCTGTTCTTTTCCTTAGCTGTTTCTTTTTAAAATTTTTCCTTTCAATTTTAATTTGCGCTTTACTATTCTATAGTTCTCTTCTTTATTTCCCCTCTTTGAAGCCATCTGCTGCCATTTGTTTTGCTTTCTGTATTGTAATACGAAGTGTTTTGATGCTGCTAGATTTATATTCTCTAACAATGAGTTTATGAGCATTCTGCTTTTTAAAACAAACATAGTGTGATGCCTTTACCTCTAATAAATAGCACTTAATGATTATGTTAATTAGCATTCTTAGCTTAGAAAGTATGCACAGATGCAGAATTTTGTGCTGTATTTTATATTATGTAGTGACAGGGATGTATTTGTCACTTTTGCTTGTCGTTTTTCCTGCTTGTTATGCAAAGCTGCCCTGCTGAATAATTTGTCATACCAATTCTAAGTAAATTGATAAATTATGTATTAGCATTTTAAAATTTAATTAATAACTATTAATAAAACACCATTGTATTCAAGTAAGAATTCATGAGTATTCCAGAGACATCTATGTATAAATAAGAACTTCAATATTAAGAGCACGTGAGATCATGGCTTTCTGGGGCACCACTAAGTGACAGTGTCACTAGTCACAGGTTGATGCAAATTGTCTGAGCTGAATAGGACTGCAAAGCAGAGGCAGTGTGAAACAATCGTTTTCTTCATAGACAGACAGACTGTATTCTTTTAAACAGGAGAGCTTGCTATCACTTTTGAATAATAAGTTAACTGACAACATACTGTAAAGAATAGGATGATTTATTTATTTATTTATTTTTATTTTTTTCCCTCTTTAGAGAAATTGGTTTTTATTATCACTGTGGTCTGTTCCAGAGCTTGTATTCCAAAATAGTTGTGGGAAATAGTCTGTTATCACTCAACTGTGTATAACGGTAAAAAATATTAGAAAACATTTTTTCTTGGTAATTATTGGTAGATCCACTTGGTGGTTATACACGAAGTGTCCAGTTACATGTATATCTTTGAAATATTTTAGTAATGTTGGCTATAGTTTGGCACACATACTCTAGTACATTATTCATTCATCCTTTCAAAGTATTAAATACCTACTTTTTTCAAGCACTGTGACTGAGGTTGACTATATGAATTAACTTGAATTATTTTTCCTTTTTTGATTTAAAAGCAGGATTTAATCGAGAAACAAAACACAACCAATGGAACCTCATGTCCACAATTGTTCTGTAGCCACATACGCATAATAAATGTGCCTGGTGTAAGAGAAATAAGACCAGTTTAAGTTTTCAGATTGATTTTCTACCTTCAAGGACCATGATTTAATTGGGGGAGTTGGTAGGATATGGACATAAATGGTTTCTTGCTACAATAACAGATGTGATATATGTAGGATGACCTTATAATTTATTGTCTAAATTGAGGTACTTTTGAGAGTGAAAGGGGGCATAGTAATAGTGAGACAGCAAACATGAGTCAGAATTGTCCTAGGCAAGCATGGACCCTATGGTGACAGTGATTGGATATGCCAGTGATTGGATGGAAACTCTGAGGAAGGAAGGAGTAGTGTAGGTTTGAGTGGTCACTTAGGCTTCAAAGGTGACCTCAGAACCGAACAAGAACAATCAGAAAGTCATTCTGGTGATTCTTGCCAGGATAGGATTTATAATGAATATATTGCTTTGGCTGAAATAGGAATTTGGATAGGGAATTAGCAGTAGTTGGACTGAAGAGTTTGGATTGTAAATATTTGATCTTAAGAGTTACTTAACCTTAGTGTCCCAGTTTACCATCTATAAAACGGAGATAACAGTACCTGTCTTATAGGGTCCTATGATGTTCAACTGTGTACCTCATAGAAAGTACTGTGCAGCACTTGTAAGTGATTAGTAAATGTTAGCTGTCTAGAACACCCTGACAGAATTTTAAACTTTTAAGAATGTTTTTGAGAGTACAGGATGGATTGGGCTGAGAAACTGACAGAGAGAATTTGAAAGAATTAGTAATTGGGTAAGGGCAAGTGAGAAAAAAGGGCAGGAGTAAATGATGACTGAGCTTTCATGCCTAAAGGACTGAGAGACCAGGAGAATTCAGCAGAAATAAATAAGTCAGGAAAGATATCTGTTGTTAAGAAATAAGTTCAGTTTTAAACATATCAAATTTGAGGGGACAGTAAGCTATCTACCCGATCAGAAATGGACAGCTAGCAGACGGAGAAATGAAAATGGCGCTTCATGGATAATTAGTTTGGGAATATTCCAAATGGGTGACAGTGGAAGCCTTGGGAGTGAATGAGATCTCTCAAGGATGGAGCAGGGACTGGGAGAGAGACTGATGAGGGAACCTTGGAAAAACCCATATTTGGATTATAAAAGGAAGAAAAACCAACTGAAAGAGAGGATCAAAGGATTAAACAAGCAGGAATAGTCTTCCCGAAGGATGTTTAACCAAACACTAGTTCTGTGGGGTGGGTAACAGGTAATATGGGAAAGAAAATTGGTTCTGTAGTTAAATACTCATTCACTGCAAGAATTCTGTGCCCTTTTAATATGTTAACATGCATGACACATCTCCAAGAAGGAAACATATAAAGTAGTGTTTTGTAGATTTACCTGACGTCAGAACCCCTTTCTCCCCAGAATACCTCTTGGGGGTTGGTGTTCCAGAAAACATAACTTTGGGAATTATAGGAACCTAATGAGGAAAGACGTTTAAGAAGTAAGGAGTTAAATTGTGTGGAATGTTACAGAGACTAAGGAAGATGACAAATGAGAAGAAGGTTTTTGATGTTTTCATTAGATGGTCATAAGTAACCTTTAGGAGCACAGTTCAGTAGCATGGCTTCAATAGACACAGGTTTAAAAGGAATGAAAGATAAAGAGTTAGTGATAAAGAAATTAGAGCATTGGATTTATGTAATTTTACCTCTATTCAAGTCTAAAGTGTGACTGATAAGAATGAATTGGTCATTATTGAATGTTTATGTGTCCTATGTATATTATTATATTCCTAAATAACGTTCTCTTTTTACTTAATGATTTTCAGATATTAGTGAGGAACTTTAACAGTCATCTAGAACAATACCTCTGAGGACCATTAGTTTCCTTTTCATAGGGTGAAGTCATACATTAAAATGATCTTATTTTCTAGCCATGGCATCAAGCATTAAACCATTTCCCCATGTTTTCTTAAAAGTATGGGGAAAGATGCACCTTTTTAAATTCTGTGTTTTTACAGTGTCCATCTTATGTGAATTTTATTCTAATATTAAAGACCATCTCTGGGTATATTCTGCTCTTTCATGCAACAGTGATACAAATATTTAATTGATAGTTATGCTATAAAAGGGGGAGTCATTCTTACATTCCCCCGAACAATAAGTAGATTATTTTAATATCAGCTATTTTAACATTTTTAAAGGTAACAATGCTATGTCATAGGACTTCTGACTGACTTTCCATTACAAGTAAAATTTTGTTTCTACATCAATACATTATGCCCAACATATTTGAAAAAAAGCAAATAAACTTGAATTTCAGTGACCTGGTTGTGTTAGCCCCATTGCCTGCTGAGGTGGCTGAATGCCTTACAGCAAACCCAGAGTACTGTAGAGCTAGCAACTGTGTTTGATCATCTCTGTATTTTCTGGCGCATCTAGCCTAGTGCCTTTTTAACACACATTTGTGTGTTCAGTCTTTTGAAGAATCAGCTGAAAGTAGAACAATCTTGAACACACTAATAATACAGGTATAGCTCTCCTCCCTCTTAGAGATTTTGGCATATGAAAGATTCTGAATTTTGCAGTGAAGAAACTTACTTGAATTGAAATTTTCTTTTATATTTTTAAATTGTGATAAAATACATATAACATAAAGTGTACCATCTTAACCATTTTAAAGTGTGCAATTCAGTGGTATTTTACATTTGTGAAGTTTTGCTACCATCACCACAATCTGTCTCCAGAACTCTTTTCATTTTGCAAAACTGAAACTCTATGCCCATTAAACAATAATTCCCGCCGGGCGTGGTGGCTCACACCTGTAATCCCAGCACTTTGGGAGGACGAGGCTGGTGGATCACCTGAGGTCGAAAGTTTGAAACTAGCCTGACCAACATGGTGAAATCCCATCTCTACTAAAAATGCAAAATTAGCTGGGTGTGGTGGTGCATGCCTGTAATCCCAGCCACTTGAGAGGCTGAGGCAGGAAAATCTCTTGAGCCCAGGAGGTGGAGGTTGCGGTGAGCCGAGATTGCGCCGTTACACTCCAGCCTGGGCAACAAGAGCAAAACTCCGTCTCAAACACACACACACACGCACACACGTGCGCGTGCGCGCGCGCGCGCACACACACACACACACACACACACACACACACTTCCCCATTAAGCCCTACCTCCATTCCCTGGCAACTGCATTGTTTGAATTTTTTAACCCATTTCCAAACTTATTTCACAGTAATTAAGAATTCTTTTTTTCTTAGCATCTACTTATATTCCCTAGAAGTTCCATGGGTCAGAGAAATGCAGGATTAGTTTTCAGTTAGTATATAGCAGATTAATTAAGGAGTATTTTGTCTCAAAAGTTGTGTAAATCCTAAGAGAAAACAAGCTTTTCTGGAGAGGCTATTCGAATAAGATAGAAATCAAATATTTAGAAAGAAATAGGAGGAGTCTTGAGAGGGTGTTTTGGGGTGGCATCGAAGTATGCTGGAACAAGTCCTGACCTAGGAAGAAGAAAACCCAGGTTCTAGCCAGCCTCTCAGGGCATCTCTGTCCTTGTCTTTTCCTTATCTATGAACTGGATGAATTCTGAGACTCCTAGTTTTAAAAATTGTTCTGTGTTGAATGATTGAGGAATATTGTGAAAGGCATAGAATTTAAAGTAGTACTGAGAATTTGATAATAGCATAGAATAAGTAGGAGAGAGGGAATCTGGGAATTGACACAACAAAGGAGCAGACATCTCAAAGGGGATATTGTGGAAGGCTCAAATAATGGTAAGGCTAAGACAAATAAGTGTAGACATAAAAGATTTATCCTGTATCATACCTGGATTTATTGGAGTAACTAGATGGTTAGAGAGAAGAGAAAGTACTATATAGTAGGTTCTGGAAATGTGCCTTGCGCTAGAACTATTCAAAAGAAAACGGGTGCCTAGTTGATCTTCAGTAAATACTGGTTAATTTCAGGCTGTCTTATCCAAAAAACTTCCACCATCATGCCGTCACTAATGGGAGGTGGACAGAGGAAATAGAATTGTCATCTTCCTGAAATACATGAAACTCCATCATGAATATATACTACTCTAACCCTCCCTGCTGTCCTCTCTAGTGCTTTGCCTTTACCATTTCCCTTTCTCCTTTCTTAGTTTAGTATCTTCAGCATTTGGGTGACAGAAACAATTGTACTAAACAGCTGTTCTTAATTTAATGAGCCATGTGACCTAAAGATACTCCCCAAAACAAAGATTTCTCTAGAAATCAATCCAGTGCCCTAGAGAAAGTACTTTTGAATTCATTCAAATTTGTTATTTAAGTTAATAGTATGTATAGAAAACCAAAGGGCTACCATTGCACATTGAAATCCGGTTAAAGCTGTTACCTTGTATCCTAGATGCAAGGGATATCCTACAGTCAGGTTTTAAAGTGATACCATAATTTAATTTCAGAATCAATATGTTCTGTAAGCTTACAGGATTTTGAACTTGCAAAAAAAGTAATTTTAACAATAATTTGCAAGAATTCTCAATAAAACATACTGTCAGTCTTCTCATGGAATTTTAATTTTATCAAAGTTTCCCAAACTGAAAGTAAATGTACATTTTAAAGTACTAAAGGAAAGAGCATTATATAGTTAGCGTTATGTGATTTACTAAACTGATGATGGATATAATGATGATAATTTGTGATAATATCTAACTATTAGGGACTTACGTGCTGGGCACTAAATGCTTTATGAATTGTGAGTTTTATATTTTGATTCTGAAATGTATTTATAAGAACCCAAAGTTTTCTTTGTTTCTTCACTGATGAAGAAAAAAAAAACAGTTTACATAGAAAGCAAGGAGGCTAATTAACTATTCCTGTTCATTCATCTCTATAGCCCAACAGCTTTTTGTTCATGTTGAGTGTTCCCCCAAAAATATTTTAGCTAATAAGTAGTTGAATGGTTTCTATAATTCAAAAATTATTAAATGTTGCTTTGGAATGTAGTTTTCCACCTACATTTTAAAATGAGTCAAAATATTCTGCAAGTTCACATTCCAAGTAAATGATATGTTGTAAAAGTTTTATTTGGGAACTTAAGCTAGAGGACTCTCTGACCTCTCTTATCTACCTCATAGGGTAGGTAAATGTTTCCACAAGTAAAAACAGGAATCTCACTGAGTGTTCTACCTATAAGGATTTGATATTAACATTTAATAAATATTAGAATCTACATCATAACTAAATGCTAAACAGAATATAGAAAAAGATCCCGTAGCTTCTTCCATCCATTTAGCATATCTAAATGTACCCTAGTTTACAACTTCATGCCTTAGTCTACTGAATACAAGTAAATTCATAGTTAGGAATTCAGATGTATTATAGGTTAAAATCTGTTTTCACAGATGGCTTAAATTACTTCTTCGCAAATATGATTGCTGCCCCATTTCGGTGGGGGAGAGAAATCCTTTCTTGACTTCTCCAGTTCTATTTTGAAATTCTTTTTCTACTCTTTTTTTCAAAAAATGGGTCATTATTTCATCCAGGATGATTAGATGGCCAAAGGATTTTTTAATGCCATTCCCTCTCAGACATCTATAAGCTAGAATGTGTGAATCGGGGTAGAGGGTGAGGAGTGCAAAGCATTCTAGGCAGAAGGAAAAACCTGTGTAAAGGCCTTGGGGCAAGTAAGAAATTAACAGTTTTGACTGAAAGACCCCTGTGGTTGGAGCCTAGTGAGGGGAAGAGTGGTGGAGATGATGCTGGAGAATAAGCAGGTCCATATAGGGACCATGGTACAGAGTTGCTGAGTCAGTTGGTCTTTAGTAGAGTGATATGGTAGCTAGGTGCTGTGGGCTCAGATGCACCTGGGCTCAAATCACAGCTTATCTGCTTACTAGAGTCTCTAAACTCTGTCCCACAACTCTAGAATGGGAGAGTAATACCTTTTTCAGAGATGGGCTAGGTAGAATAACCAAGTGCAGTACCTGAAATATACTACACCACTCAATAAATGGCAAGCTATTATTTTTACTTTTTATAACTCACTGTTCCACACCCTACTCAGGAATCTCAGACCCACTGCTGCTTCCTTTTTATTATTTTTAAAATTCGTCCAGCAAATATTTATCAAGCACTTACAATTACATATCCTAACTATCCCTCCCTCCTGTAGTTATCTGTTTGTATGTCTCTCATAGCTTCAAGGTTATGAGATCCTCAAGGAGTTTCATATTAACCTTTTGCAATCCAGGTACCAAGCAGTGTCTGTTTTAGAAAATGTTTGAATAAATGAATAAAAGAAAGTTTATGAAATACGTAATTACCATATTTTAGCGCTGCAATTGTTTGAATAATTTTTATTTTAAATCAGTCTTACATAGGAAAATGAATATATCGCTTCCTCATTCTTTGTTTCTTTTACAGTACAGTTAGCAAAAATTCAAAATATGCCCTTTATAAATTCATAACTCTAGAAAATGTTTATTTTAAAATTTACATATTAAAATAAGTCACTGATAGGTTTATATCTTCTAGATCAAGTAGCTGTTTTAATATGATGTTATTTTTTAAAAACTATTCATTTTCAAATGTCAATAAGAAAAATAACCAGAGACCGACATAAACACCAAATTATAAAAAGTTGAGCACTTAAAAAAAATCTTTTTAAGACAATTATAAATTAACCATGCAGTTTTCAGAAATAATACAGAGAAATCCCCAACACTGTTCACCCAGTTTTCCCTAATGGTAACATCTTACATAATCACAGTGCAGTATCACAACAAGAAATTGATAATGATAGGCCAGGCATGGAGGCTCATGCCTGTAATTCTAGCACTTTGGGAGGCTGAGGCAGGTGGATCACCTGAGGTCAGGAGTTCAAGACCAGCCTGGTCAATATGGTGAAACCCCATCTCTACTAAAAATACAAAAATTAGCCGGGCATGGTGGCGTGCACCTGTAGTCCCAGCTACTTGGGAAGCTGAGGCAGAAGAATTGCCTGAACCCGGGAGCCGGAGGTTGCGGCGAGCCGAGATCCCGCCACTGCACTCCAGCCTGGGTGACAGAGTGAGACTCCGTCTCAAAAGAAATTGGTAATGATAAAATTCACAGACTTTATTAATATTTGTCCAGTTTTATATGCATTTATTTGTGTGTGTGTGTGTGCATGTGTGTATGTGTTTAGTTCTATGCAGTTTTATCACAAATAGATTCCTGTACCAACTACTACAGCCAAGATACAGGACAGTTCCATCACAAGGATTCTTTGTGCTACCCTTTTATAGGCAAAGTAACCCTTCCTGTCTCCCCTTCCAGCTGGCCATTCTCCATCTCTATAATTTTGTCATTTCAAGAATATTGTATAAGTGGGATCATATAGTATGTTACCTTTTAAGCATAATTCCCTTGATATAAGTCGGGAGTTGTTTTTTTTTTTTTCCAAAGATTTGCAAAAAGGGTCTAATACCTTTCCCACTGGCTACCTGCTGCTTGTTGCCATTTAGCAAAGAAGGCAGGAATGAGCAGTAGAAAGGCAAAGGGTGCTTCTGTTGATGGTTTTCCCTAAGGAAGACTGGCATGTGAAGTAAGAGTATCCCAATACTCATTTTATTCTTAAGAGATTCTCAGAGGAGAAGTGGGAATTCTTTTTCTGATCAACGTATTTGTCTTTTGGTAGAAAACAGCCTTTTTAAAGGGCATGGTCCATCTCTGTAATTATATTTTATATCCAAAGACCATTCTAGTCAGTTCCATCTTCCATCCTCCCTCTTTCTTTCCCGTCATTTTTTTCCATCCTGACCAACTAAAAACATATTATTTTATAAACTAAGTTCTATATGTAATTTCCCCAAATTGATACTATCTAACAAATAGAAATGGCAGTTTGACTAAAAATGGTTCTAACTTGAAATTACATGCATTGAAGAGTTCTTGTTGTATCCATTGGCCTTACAGGAAATCATCATGGTAGTTCTGCCTCACTAATAGTCTTGTCTGATTTGTTTTGTCTCAAAAGTAAATATAAAAAATATATAATTCATTTGAATGATCTAAATGCCATCTCTTAGGAACTTTACTACATAATAGCTCTCATACCAAGTCAGAGTCCTTATTACCAGTTTTCTTTTAGACAGGTATGTACACAAAGTATATAACATTTTAAGCTGTAAATAAGTCTTATTTTTAACCCATTATTGATGTGTCAAGGATCCCATTACCCTACAAGCAGAGGTTTTTAAATGTATTTTATACTTAGACTTAGCTTGGCTTCAAAGAAGTAAAAAGGCCTTTCACTAATAAATATTTAAGTAATAAGTACTTAATATTTTAAAGGAACAAGCTCACATTTATAGAAATTGTCATACATTTACTGAGAGGAGCTACAATTAACATTATTTATCTGAATAAGCCCTGGAAGATTCTTATTATAGCATAGGAACAATTAACTAATAACCAGCCCGGTATCCAGTTATCTGCGTGATTGCTTTCAAGATTTCTTCTAAAGGAAATTATGGGAATCCAGTGTTTTTCTCCATCTTTCTTACAGTCCTAAGGTATACTTGACAAGCATACTGAGGCAGATTCATGGCTCTAGTCTAGTAGCAAGCTTGTCTCATAGATATAAGCATAGGCCCAATTAAGACCAATCTGTTAATTGTCTATATCTATTAACCTAGTCCGTTTGAAAAGTAGACCCAAATGTATACGTTAATACGGTAACTTAGAATTAATTTTACTTTTCAAAATACCTGACTAAATGATAGCATTTATGTTAACTCTGGCATGTTGCTGACAGTAAAGATCCAGAGCCCAAAACAAATTAAAGATTGAGGTGTTCACGCATTTGAACTATCTGCATGACCACAGCACTACCAAGAAACAATTATTATCCATTCCTGTTCTACATACTATGCCACTCATTCAATACAATGCCAGAATGCTGAAGCCTAGGTTTGAATCAGCTCTGACCTTTCTAGTCTGCACTTTCAGTTGCATCTTAAAACTGAAAAAACAGAAATATTAGTCAACAGTTACTGGCTGAGCACCTACTACTATGTGCCAAACACTGATCCAGGCACTGGATGTTTCAGGCAAGAGTTACTTTACTCAGCAGTGCAGTGCTGTGGGTTTATTGTTGCTCTTTTCAATTTTGGACATAAGCTTCTTTCCTGAAGCAGTTTTGCTATAAGACTTGATAAATTTTTAGACTTATGTATTTACACAGTTACTGTTGCAGTTGTCATTTTCTCCCCCTTCCCCACCCAGAAGGGTGATTAGGTTTCCTCTGAGTAGAAGATTTTAAAATCTTAACCTGCTTTTTGTTCTCATTTTATACTTCCAAACTACTTTCAAACTCTACTGTGAGTTAACAAACTCAAATGTTTTCTGGAACTAGGCAGTTTCCTGAGTGTCTGAAGCAGGCCAGGGGGAGTAAGGAGGGAGTAGTAGGGTCTGTGTCAAACCGAAGATTCATACCCACCTATAAACATTAAAATAATATTTTTTAAATTTGGTTCAAACATATTTAGAGGCTATGAGTTTCCAACATTCTGAACATCTAGATAAATATGAACTCTTTAGACCATTGATTTTTGAAATATGAAAGTGTAATATCAGTTTATTGGCAACTGTGATGTGTGTTAGTTTTAAATTAGGAAATGCTGAGAATTTTGTGGCAGGAACCCAGTTAAATTTATGGAGTACAGTATGTGTGTCTTGTTTTGTCTTGTTTTGGTTTGGTTTGGTTTTCCTCTCACAAGCTTTTAAGCTTGTGAGTGGAAAAAAAGAGATTGGGAATGTTCAAAGATAATTGAACATTATCTAGAACATCTAGAACAAGGACATCTAGAACAGAAGGTCTTAGGTTCAATGAATAGTCTTCAAAGGATCCATGAATATCTTATAACTTTATTTTTAAATGTTGTATTTCTATATTTCTGTGCTTAATGTTTTCTATAAAAAGTAGGCTTTGTTGATTTATGTTTATTTTATTTTTTTTTTTAGAGATGGGGTCTCATTCTGTCACCCAGGCTGGAGTGCAATGGCATGATCATTGCACTGTATCCCCACAGCCTCGAACTCTGGGTGCAAGTAATCCTCCTGCCTCAGCCTCCAGAGTAGCTAGTACTATAGGCATGTGCCACCACACCTGGCTTTTTTTTTTTTTTTTTTTTTTTAATTTTTTGTAGAGACAGGGTCGCAATTTGTTGCCTAGGCTGGTCTCAAACTCCTGGCCTCAAGCTGTCCTCCTGCTTCAGTCTCCCAAAGTGCTGAGATTACAGCCGTGAGCTACTGCACCTGGCCAACTTCATTTTTTAGAGCAGTTCTAGGTTCACAGCAAAATTGAGAAGGTGGCAGAGATTTCCCATTTACATTTTTCCCCCATGCATGCACGGCCTCCCCTATTATCAGCGTTCCCCCACCAGAGCGGTATTTATTACAATTGATATGCTTATTTGTCTACTTAAGAAAATCATTTATATTTCTTTGAAAGCCCATACCGATACAGTACTTGATAGCGTTAACTTTTTAAAATATTAATAGTTTATTAGGAATATCCTGAAATGATTGAGTACTCTTTGAATTAAATGTTACTCTATTTTAAAAGTAATACAGACTTAATGTGAAAATTAGAAAATGCAGGAATACATGAAGAAACTAAAGATGAAATAAGGACTGTTATATTTGGTACATATCCTTCAAGACTTTAGTTTGTACATATATATGTGTGAGATATACACATCCATGCTATTGAAATATAACCAGAGTTCTGCTTTGTATTTTAGGGTTTTAAACTGTCAGAAGCACTATTTATTTATTTATTTATTTTGAGGCAGAGTTTTGCTCTTGTTGCCCAGGCTGGAGTGCAGTAGTGTGATCTCGGCTCACTGCAACCTCTGCCTCTGGGGTTCAAGTGATTCTCCTGCCTCAGCCTCCCAAGTAGCCGGGACTACAAGCGCGCATCACCATGCTCTGCTAATATTTTGTATTTTTATTAGAGACCGGGTTTCACCAGGTTGGCCAGGCTGGTCTCGAACTCCTGACCTCAGGTGATCCACTTGACTCAGCCTCGCAAAGTGCTGGGATTACAGGCGTGAGCCACCGCGCCTGGCTAGCACTTTTATTTAATTCAAAGTTATAAACTTACAAACTGCTGTACCAGAGAGGCAAGAAACCAAGTTGCTGTAATAAAACATTTTGGCAGCAAGAGAGTCCTGATCTCTTTATATGGAATGACAGGAAAACAAAGTAGAAAAATTTGTCACTGAAGATAGAAAATATAGGATAGGTAGGATAGGTAAATGTAGTCTTAGTTATACCTTTTCTCAACCTTATTAGTAAACAGGTTACTTGTTTAGCAACCCATGAATATTCTATATTTCGTAGCCTGTTATAGCACAGCAAAGGAATTTATAACGAAACTTGAATAAACAAGATGTTTTTAGATCCAAGTAATTTAGTTTTTAGTTTTTGTTGATTTTTTTGTCAACCTTCTCACCAATCAGTTTCTATTTTATCAAAAGCTGCTTCCCGTTTTAAAGGGAGCCTCACATTTCTTATTTGCTATATATATATATATAACTTATTATATATATATACACACACACACACACATATATATATATATATATATATATTTTTTTTTTTTTTTGAGACAGAGTCTCGCTCTGTCGCCCAGGCTGGAGTGCAGTGGCACAATCTTGGCTCACTGCAAGCTCCACCTCCCAGGTTCACGCCATTCTCCTGCCTCAGCCTCCCGAGTAGCTGGGACTACAGGTGCCCGCCACCATGCCTGGCTAATTTTTTGTGTTTTTAGTAGAGACGGGGTTTCACTGTGTTAGCCAGGATGGTCTCGATCTCCTGATCTTGTGATCCTCCCGCCTTGGCCTCCCAAAGTGCTGGGATTACAGGCGTGAGCCACCGCGCCTGGTTTATATTTTTCTTTGTGTGTATTATTCAACTTAGGCTGCCACAGCAAAATACAGTAGACAGGCAAAATACCATTGCCTTCTTGCTCTCCCCACCTGGAGGGCAGGAAGAGAAGAGGGAGAGAGCATAGGAGCCGAGCTCTTTCTCTTCTTATAAGGCCGCTGTGGTACAGACGAGGACCTCACCCTTACGATCTCACTTTAACTTTAATTACCCTATCCTCCAGACACAGTCACTTTGGGAGGTAAAACTTCAATACAGATTTTGGGGAGATGCGAGTCAGTCCATAGCAAATAGGCATGTGTTCTGTTGTTCCCACAATACTGTTTTATACCTGGCTGCTTTCTCTCACTTAATATATTGTGGCTATCTGTTCATGTCAGATCATACAGGTCTTTATCTCATGTCGTTTAACAGCTGCATGGATTTCCATGGTAAGGATATACTATCATTTATTTTCCCATTTCCATATTGATAGACATCAGGGAAAATCAAAAGTAGGCTTTGGTGTCACCTTTACAGATCCTAAAGACTAAATCTATTTCCTTTCATCATTTTTAAATATTATAATTTGAGTAAAAGCCCAATGGAAATTAATTTTAAGCTTAAAAAATTTTAAGAAGTATTAAGTTCACATAATTTGCATAACTCTTAATTAGAAAGCTTGAATTTAATTATATTTTTTCTAGTTAAACACAAGTGGCTGAACTACTAGGGGCAGAATTTCTTGGGCATTAATGACTGAAGAACCTTAAATATTCCGTATAAGTTCATAGGGTAATATGTATTTGTTATTCATACATTAAGAGAAAACCATGAGTAGTAATGTATCTGTGAGGACTGAAATTCATATTGTGTTGCATAGATGTTAGGTTCCTTGCTTGAAGAATTGCTCATTACTGATTTGCTATAGGAAATAAACAAGGTGGTACTTTCGTAGAGTGTAATCATTCTTGCAGACTACTTCTTGAACTTATTCAAGTGGAACTCAAAGTTTTTGGATCACTTCTTTACAGCAACATGTTATCAGATCTCTTCCTGTATTCAGCTATTTGGTATAATTCCATTCTAATTAGAAAAAGCAGCAAGAAATTCTTATTGGGCATATTGAAAGGGTTTTTCACCTGGAATGTAGATTATTTTCTTTTATCTTCTAAAAAACTTTTAATTGAAATATGTAGATAGAATACAGGTTCTAATATGAAATCTACTTCCACTCCATCTAATGTGAAATTCATTTGCATTACATTGAATCCAGAAATGTGTACATGCATTTTTATAGGGGAGATATTTTATAACTTTCAACAAAATTTTCAAATAATAAATTATCAAATTGGTGAGGTGCTGGGAGTGACATTGGCCATGGTGGTAGTAAACATAGTAAATCAGTGACTGCTGTAATAGGCACCAATTTATTCATTGTAGACTCTGACATCTTAAAGATTTTCTGGTATTTTTAATAAGAAAAAAAATTAGTAACTAAAAAGGAGAGCTTGGGTAACCTGGGACCTGGCACAATTCAAACTGGTGCAATGAGGTTCTCTGTTCTTTATATATAAAGAAACTAGGCTAGATGGCCTTACCAGGGCACAGCTCTGGACTGGACCCAACTTTTAGTAGGATCTTACTTACTCTTTTAACAAAGGCCAGGAGTAATAGGAACAACACTTGTATTTCTGTGACTTACAGGGAAATACATAGATATGGTGTTTTTTAAAAATAATATTAAATTAATTACAACAGATAAAAATTAAACATTTGGGAAATACATTAACAATGGTATAAGCAAATATATATTGACTTGGAAATGTGAAGCCAGTAGATCTCAAACACTTTAATTCTGTTATCCCCCTTAGGGTTATCACTGAGGTTGAATTTATATCCTTTGTCCCATGTGTCCTACCTTACTCCCCCTAAAAAATATATGGTCATGCAGTTGGGGCTAAAAGAGCTACTATTATTGATTCTTTCTTTAACCATGATAAAGTTCTTTAAAATTAAAGTTTCTTGGCTGGGCACAGTGGCTCACACCTGTAATCCCAGCAGTTCGAGAGGCTAAGGTGGGCAGATCACTTGAGGTCAGGAGTTCAAGACCAGCCTGGCCAACATAGTGAAACCTCATCTCTACTAAAAACACAAAAATTAGCTGGGCGTGGTGGTGAGCACCTGTAATCCCAGCTACTTGGGAGGCTGAGGCAGGAGAATGGATTGAGCTTGGGAGGCCGAGGTTGCAGTGAGCCAAGATTGTACCACTACACTCCAGCCTGGGTGACAGAGCAGAGACTCTGTCTCAAAAAAACATACATAGTTTATTGTTAATTCGTCTAGGTTTTAATAATTTTCATAGGAAAAAAACTTGTATATAGTTTATTTTCTTTTAATTATATTTTTTAAGAAGTAGAATATCAACTAAATTTTTTTTCTGTTTAGTGACGAGACCTGCAGTGTCAACATTTTTATTAATTTTTGGGTAAAAATGTATATTCTATAATAATAGTGATAACTTGCAAAAGTTCAATTCTGAACATTGTTGGAGTGATTAAATTTAAAAGTGTAATGAATTTTGGTTTTCCTTTGTTCATTTATTATGGCAAATATGTCTGACACACACACACACCCTTTAAATAATAGGAAATAAAATCAAATATCAAATTCCCATTCTTTTTAAAAAAGTTTTATAGAATTTAAATAAAAACCACAATATGGCATTGGTAATAATTTAGGATGTGATTGAAATGAAAAGCCTTTGAGTCTTCTTTTTTACTTAAAAAATTTTTAGATTTATGTTAAAAGAATCATTGTCTTCTTTCAGATAAATTTGCGCCTCATTTTGGTAAGCGGAAAAACAAAAGAGTTCCTGTTTTCTCCTAACGATTCTGCTTCTGACATTGCAAAGCATGTATATGACAATTGGCCAATGGGTGAGTGATATTTTTCTCTTGAGTATGAATAATGTTGATTCTTATGCCCTACCTTGTCTCACAAACATTTTGAAACTGTTATATAACATTTAAAAGAACAACCGAAAATTGAGAGTATAAGGCTCAGATTTAGAGGATCATTGTACCCTTCCTTATCTTGCTCTTCAGCAGTCTCATTCCCAAATGGTAAAGGAGCCCAGAATGCAATGGCTCTGCTTCTGTCTTAGAACTGTTTTAACGTAAGTGAAAAAAATTTTTTTTTTTTTTTTTTTTTTTTTTTTTTTTGAGATGGAGTCTCGCTATGTCGCCAGGCTGGAGTGCAGTGGCGTGATCTTAGCTCACCGCAACCTCTGCCTCCCGGGCTCAAGTGATTCCCCTACCTCAGCCTCCCGAGTAGCTGGGACTTCAGGCACGTGCCACCACACCCAGCTAATTTTTGTATTTTTGGTAGAAACAGGGTTTCACCATGTCGGCCAGGATGGTCTCGATCTCTTGACCTTGTGATCCACCCACCTCGGCCTCCCAAAGTGTTAGGATTACAGGCGTGAGCCACCGTGCCTAGCCAAAAAATATTTTTAATAAAGAAAAATGCAGCCAGGGATGGTGGCTCATACCTGTAATCCCAGCACTTTGGGAGACCAAAGCAGGAGGATTGCTTGAAGCTAGGAGTGTGAGACCAGCCTGTGCAACATAGCAAGATGTCATCACTGCTAAAAATTTAAAAATTAGCCAGGCATGGTAGCACATGCCTGTAGTCCCAGCTACTTGGGAGGCTGAGGCAGGAGGATCACTTGAGGCCAGGAATTTGAGGCTGCCATGAGCAATTATCACACCACTACATTCCTGCCTGAGCAACAGAGCAAGACCCTGTCTCAAAAAAAAAAAAAAAAAAAGAAAGAAAAGAAAAAAAAGAAAAAAAAACACAAAATAGTGAATATACACACACCTTCATATCAGTAAACCTATTTTTACCAAAACACAAAGAGGAAAGAACAACTATTTTTAACAGATAATACATTCTCTGTGGTCTTCTCTAGATAGCCTATTTAAAATTAAGTTTGAAACAAAGTTAACTTCTAATTCATGTCAGTTCTTATGTTCTCTGAACTACTATAAGGTCAAGATAATTAATGTCTGTCTGTGCTTTCCATTTTCAAGCCAGTAACCATAACAATCTTGGAAAATGTGTTTGGTATTTCTTATTTTCTTTGATTTTTTTTTTATATAATAAGACCGTCAGCTGGGCGTGGTGGCTCACGTCTATAATCCCAGGTCTTTGGGAGGCTGAGACAGGCAGATCACTTGAGGTCAAGGAGTTCAAGACCAACCTGGCCAACATGGTGAAACCCCGTCTCTACTAAAAATACAAAATTTAGCTGGGCATGGTGGTGCACCCCTGTAATCCAAGCTACTCAGGAGGCTGAGGCAGGAGAATCTCTTGAACCCGAGAGGCAGAGCTTGCAGTGAGCTGACATTATGCGTCTGTACTCCCGCCTGGGTGACAGAGCAAGACTCTGTCTCAAAAAAAAAATTGCCTCCCTCAAGTGAATTGTTGGTTTATTTTCTTCCTTTGAACTTCCCCAGTGTCATCTTGATCCTTATGTCATGTATCATAGTGATATGATTTTTTTCAGCTGATTTCACTTAATTTTATTAGCAGTAGCAATTTGAACTTTTAAAGGACAAGACTTATTTTGACAAAGAACATAGTATATGTACAAAATGAGTCAATTAGATTAGTGTTTCTCAACCTTAAATAATATACGGAGCTTTTCTAGAGGAAGATAATTCTTGTAGATCTCTAGTTGCTGACTTAAATTATTTTTATTATAATGCGTATTTTAAAATGTAGAAACTTAAACCCAGTTAAAACTCTTTATTCTTCTTAACTCATATACACAATCATAAAACTAAAAAAGATTGATTCAGAAAATGCAAATATAACTCTGAAACCAATAATGTTCAAGTTAACAACATTAATGTGCTAGATGATGTATTTTTGCCAAAGCCAGCTCACTGCTTACAGCATGAATACTGTTGAGTTTGTCATGCCTATGTTCCTACATAGTGTTTGATGACCAGGTTGTCTGTAGAGTCACCATAAAACCTTTATTTATACAGTATAACAAATTGTTACTCAGTTTTCTCATAGGTAGAATGCATCATTTACTTGTTAAGTGAACCCCTGTTCTGATCTCATTAGCCTCCTAACAATTAAAGAAGTACTGACTGCTTGGCACCAGTACAGTCATAAATTTAATGCACACGTGAGTACTAAAACCCCAAGGCTGCACTTGGGTTATAAAGTCACTATTTAAATCATCTAGACAATCTCCTCCAGATTTCATTAAAATGAAAATACAGATTTTCCAGATTTTCATTAAAAAAAAAAATACAATTTAAAACTTCTTGAAGAGGACTTTTAGACCCTAAGGACATGTCTTGGTGGATTCATAGGCCTAAATTTAAGAAATACTGATTTATACAAATACTTTCAACTACTGGATCTTTCTTCACATTAGTAACCAAGCGGCTAGTTTCTAAGTCAGGGAGATACTGAAGCTATAAAGGTTATAGCTAAGAAAGAATTTCAGAAAAGCTAAAGATATTTGGGATCTAAGAATATTGGCTATTCTTTATAGCCAGGCAGGAATAGATAACTATCAGTATGAAAAGCATTTTTAAATACCCAAGAATGATGTTGTTCTAAGTGTGATACAAAAAGATTACCTTTATGAGATTTTTTTTGGGGGGAGCGGTCATAGTAAGTAATAGCTTTTGATATATGGATATTATAGAAAACATAACACAAGGCAGAAAAAGGGTAATCACTCTGAAATTTATTTGGGCAGTATTGTAACTTAAGGTAAAAGAAATACTTTTACTTTCATAATTACTTACTTAGATATTAAAATTAGTTTAAATTCAAGTATAAGTCTTTGCCATAAATAGTATCCCAAATGAACAGACCATCTACCAGTACTGAATATTGATTGTATCAGTGGATGTTCCCTTATTTTCAAAAAAAAGATTTTGATTCCCAGTATTTCCTCAGGTTGCCAAATCTACTCAGCAGTTTTAGACACTGCAAGGAATAAAGAGAAATACTTTAATTTTTATTTTACATAAAATACTTAAATTAAAAATCTAAGTCTATATTGTATCACATAATGTACTAAAGATCAGCAAATTAAATACTTATTGATGTTAATAACAAATGTGTGGCAAATATTAATAGCAGAAAATACTTCGTGCAACATACTTGTTGAAGGAATTAGTTTTCCTTAGCATACCCTTCTGCTATTTAGTGGAAATATTACTAACAGGTGGAATAGTCAGACACATAGCTATTATTGGGTCAAAGGTTCAAAAAAATCTTGTTATACTTAGGATATGTTAATAACACCTGAAATTCTTCATTTAAGCTATATTCTAAGATTTCTCTAAATTTTAGATCCCTGGAGAGGGGAAGGGAGATAGCATATTACACCAGTGAAGTACGTGGAAATCATGACACTCTGTATAAGATAATGAAACATGGGGCTTCAGGTTTCTGCATCTCAAAAAAAAAATTCAAGTATTTTTAGAATATCAGTCTTTGTTTCCTGTGAATTAAACAATTACTGTCATTTACCTTTGTATCTATGGAGCACTTCCATCTTGACCAGAAATATTCTATTAAACAATAATTTTGGAATTGATGAATTCAAAGCAATTCATACTATAGTGTTAGAGACTTATTTGATCTTTCTTCTAGAATAGGAGGGACCTGGGAACAATGGGATCAGAAGGCAACAAAGCCTTACAGGAGACAGAAGAGGGAAGAGACTAAAGGCATGGAGCGGGGGCAGGAAATGACGGATTCATTTCTCCTCTGCTCATTTCTGCTGTGCCTAAGTTACCTATAGGCAGTGGTTTTATCAAATTCACATTCATCATTTTGAATAGTCAAAAAAAGGGCAAAAGAAAAGTCTCTAGTTACTTCCTTTATCTTCTGTCACTCTTTCAGAATACTTTAAACTATTTTTTTGTGTTAACCATTATCTCTTTCTATAGGAAACAAACACATTAGAATTGTTGACAAAAAAGACAAAGGAATTCTCAGATCATTACTAAACTCAAAGCTTAAATTGTTACATCTGCAAGCTCATGAAAATTACTAAACCTTTACCCTATCATAACACTAGTGTCCTTAAACCTTTATTTTAATGGAGTGGTTTCCATCTTTTACAATAATATAAATTATAGGCTGAAGTTAAATATTCTGTTACCCATTCTGCCTACCAGTTTGTCTTATTTTCTTTGTGTGTACACTTTTCTAGCTTTCATGTTTGTACAGTACCTCCAAATATATATAATTTTTTTGGTTTCTTCCAAGTCTTCATTTTGGGTGAGGTGAACTAAAGTTGTATCTTCTCTAATGTTTACTAACTGACTTCAGATAGACAATAAGATAATATATCAACATTATCCAAAAGTAAACAGTTTTTTTGTTATTCTCAATATCAATATATTAACTGTTTTTTAGATCTTTGTTAAGCCTGCTGTTTTCTAGCCTTAAATGTACATTTTAACAGGTACAAATATTGGAGCATTATAATACTATGTGTTAATTACTGGTAATTGAAATTAATTTTAAAATGATATTTCTTTTTACTCAGTAGGTCTTTCCCAACTCATTTGTATTAACTTTAAACTTGGGGACTACAATTTGGTACATTTTAGTATTCTTTAAGAAGCAAAACGAGTCTTTTTGCAGCTCTTGCTACTTAAAAGAATAAGTAATAACCAAGGTTGCGGTAAATGTATGAATAGTGACTGTTTCTAATAGTAGTAGGAAGCTCCAAGGGCCTTCTTTGTACTCTAACTGATTTGGATCTGAATTTTTAAAACAATATAGTAGTACCTTAATTATATGTTGGAATATACCTAACCAGTACACTGGATTCTTTTCAGACTGGGAAGAAGAGCAGGTCAGCAGTCCAAATATTCTACGACTTATTTATCAAGGACGATTTCTACATGGAAATGTCACATTAGGAGGTAACAGCCACCTTTGTAATGGGATTTAATGTCTGTCTCATGGTAGCATGATTCGCTTGTTTTAAATGTTAATGTCTTTGAATTTGCTAAAAAAAATGATAAATTCAAACTATGAATTCTGCCTATTTCTGGTATGCCTACTCCTTCACATTGTATATTCTGTTAAATTTAGTTTTAGGACTGTAGTAAGTATTTACTACCTTGTGAAATAAACTCTATCCCAGTATAGGTAGGATTCTATACCTACTATTTTTTAAATGTAACGTTATTATATTTCCAAATAATATATAATTCAGATGTAGTATTTTAAACTTAAGACTGGACACACAAACTAGGAAAAATTTATGATAGTTTTCAAATATATGAAGGGATGTTTTCAGATGTTTCTACCTGATACAGTTGCTAATCATGTGAGAATAAAGTAGGTGGCTGACATTAGAGCAGCATTTTAGCATAATAGTTGAAAGAACAGATTTTGGAACTAGACTATTTAAGTTATATGTTAGCTGCACTACTTACTGGCTGTGTAAACCTTGGGCAAGTGACTTAACCAACCTGTGTTCCAGTTTCCTCATCAGTAAAATGGAATTACAGTAGTGCCTACCTCATAGGTTAAGAAGGGTAAATTACTTTATATATTCAAAGTGCTTACGTGCATAAATGGTGCTTGGCACATAGTAAACACCTTAATTGTTAGCTATTATTGTTCTTTATATATGATTGGAGAAATGTAGCTCAATATTGCCCCCTTATGGGGTATATTTTCTACCATCAACAGGATTTGATGGTAGTTTTGAAAATAGGTATTTCAAATATATTCAGATAATTGGAAACGTATAGGCAAATGAAATGGTCTATCTAAATATATATTTCACTGAATATAGTCTGAGTTTTTCCTCTAAACCTAATATTTAATCTATTTTTCCTTAAAGGTAGAATATTTGCATTCATTCATTCAGCATGTATTTATTAAATTCTTATGGGCCAACACTGTGCTAAGCACTTGGGAATACAGGATTGAATAAGACAGAAGCTCTCCCTTCAGGTTGCTCTAGTATTACATAGGACAAACAGATAAAATGCACTGGTAAAAATCCTGGGCAATAAGGGCTAAAGTAGATGAATGCAAATGATTTTATGACAATGTCAAGTGAGTAAAACATTTCAGGCTGTAATCTCACACTGAGTTTCACTGGTAGTATTATAACTGGTCTAAAAAATGCTGCTATCTACTAAGAGATATCTGGCACTTTAAAATGGAGCTTTTTTGATTTGTAGCTTTTTTTTTATAGCTTTTGTATAAATAGATGGACCAACTCTTAATGCTCTTCATGTAAGAATTGACTGTTAGCTCCCTGGCTATATTGTACATTCATTAAGGATGGGACCATGTTCTAGTCTTTTTAAAATTCTCCATGGCTCATACAAGATCTTATGTGAATTAAAAATTGGTAAATGTTGGTTGAATTTAATCTATCGATTATATGAGTGAACCTTGAAATGCTCCATTTCCCTTTTGAGTATTGATCTATGTGAGCAATTTCCCACCAACTCCATTCCTTAATTATCTTTTCTGTTGTGACCTCAGAGTTTGAACTTCATATTAAAGCTCATAGAATTTGTGTTAAAATCAAAACTATTGATTTATTCCCACTAAAGTATAATTTTTTACCAGTATTTTTTTGAAATCTGTTTTAGAATAATGAACAGATTGACTTATGTAATTATTATTGTAATTCTGTGTTGCTGTCCTTCTTTTCAAAAACAATAAACTATCTCTAGTGTAGAAGCATGGCCTGGACCTCCGCGTTAATAATTGTAGCTGGATGTTTGAGCAAGTTTGGATAACAACATTCAACTATTTGTCTTTTGGGTCTCAGTTTTTCTTTTTAGCCTCCCTGTGTTCTTCAATGTGAATAATAAAGAAGATAGCACACAGGGAAATACAACCATCTTTAAATATTTGAGTGGCCTGTGTGGAAGAAGGCTTTGTGTGGCCCTAGAACTTGCTCTGTATAGCCCTGTGAATTAGACTTAGGATCAGTAACTGAAAATCAAAGACAGTTTTCTCTTCAATATAGGAAAGAATATGTGAACATGTTGAGCTACCTAAAGAAAGAATAGACTGCCAGGGAAAGTTAGTGAGATCTTGTTATAGGTAGTGGTCAAGCAGTGGATGACCACGAAGTAGTGGGTATACAGCCATGGGTGGAATTCAGCCATTATGCAGACAAAGTAGGAAGCCTGGGCATTCTCTGCCATTCTTGAAATTTTCTGCTTAAGTTTCAGGTTGAAATGTTTGGTTATCAAATGTCTTAAAACATAGCCCTGAATCCCCCCTTTTTAAAATAGAACCTTTATAGCCATATAGAGTTTCATTTCATTAAAGGAAAGGTGTGACAGCAGCCTTGTTAATCGGAGGGTGAAGAAGATGATCAGCTAAAGCTTTGGCATTCAGTATGGCCCAGATTAGCATTTCCAAAAATGTGGCTCTGAAATAGTGGGCATGAGACTCATCTAGGATACTTATTTTAAAATGCAGATTTCTGCATGCCCTCTCTCCCCAACCCCCATCTCCTAATTTTACTAGTGAATTGAATTCCTGGGTGATTTTTATGTACGCTAAAGGTTGAAAACCTCTATTCTGGATATTGTACTGTGTCATAGGAGAGAGCAGAAGCATCCACAGTGAAAGGAAGAAAACGCATTTTAGATTCTGGTATTCCTCTTCTTTCACATTTTTAAATGTTATTAACATCAATACCTACTATTTCTAGTTAAAATTCAGATGGAGAAGAAAAATAATAGCTCCCACGCATTACATTTGTAACTTCAAATGGTAAGCCTCTCAGGAGCTTTCCAGGCCTGTCTTGACATTTTTTACATATATATCTCAGTTTACCTACCTTTTTTCTCAGATTCATTTTCCTTGCTATCTCAAAATGATGATGGTAGTATATACTGAATGCTTTCTTTGTACCAAGTTCTGTGCAAAGCACTTTGCTTGGATTGTTTGATTTAATGGACACAGCTACAAAGGGCAGGTAATGGAATTAGTATCTCCAGTTTAGTTGAGGAAACAGAAGCTTAGAGGGTAAGTAACTTGCTGAGAGTTACACAGTTGGAAGTAGCAGAGATGAAAATTTGTAATCCAGGTCTGTCTTATTAGAGTCAAGAAGACGGGTATGAGAATGATATACAGCTTGGTATGTGTACATTTTAAGTTCAGTTCAAGGTTTGAAATGTTGATCAGGCTTTCCCAACTATTTAGTGAAAATTTTAATAACATAAAGTCTTACTTACATTTTGATTTAAGTCAGGCCTAGGAAGTTATTCTAAAAGCCTCCCTTTTTTCATTATGTATTTATGGGCCATCGTGCTTCATTTGAACATCAGAGGTTAAAAGTGTAGACCAAATAATGGCTGGCCAACTTTAAATGAGATTGGAACTCACCTTGAATATATGAAATAGTACTAGTGTTGAAGATAATTAGGATTCTTTTTAAAATCTGCATGTTAACCATCATCCTATAGAGCAGGTTTTAAAAAGCAGGTAGCTGGAGTGGAGGATCATTATTGCTAAGTGATGATCTTAGGCCTTACTTCAGTTTGTAGTTTTTGAAGAGAGGGTAGTTTGAGGTGTCAGAACTAAAACATAACAACTATAGAAACAGTTCTAGAAGCTAAATATACCAGCTGCTTCTAATTTTATACACAGAGTAACAAAGGGATTTACCATGAAACTCAGTATTTGTATTTGCCTTAGTGGACATGGGTGTGTGTTCTATGTCTGAAATATTTCATGATAAAATTTATTAAATTTATGAGTGAAAAAATGTTATAAAGACTTGATTAGGAAACAGTGATTATTGATAATGCCAAGAAAGTGATTATTTTAACCTAATCTTTTTAAGAAAGTTCTTTTCTAATGGACGAATACAGGGTGAGAATAAATGTTTAAAATCAAGTTTATTTCTTGCATTTCTACATCATAGTAGCCTGTTCAGTGCAGTAATTTTATTAGGCAATAGACAAGTAATTAGATTTAGAAATGAATATCTCTTAATCTAAACTTTTACCTAATATAGAAAAGAGTATTCTTTTAAAAAAAATTTAATCCTTTCTCCTCTAAAGGTGGCCTCTGATATTAGCCAATTACATATTTTTTCTTATATCATCTCTTAATATGGATAAATGTGTCAAGCAAATGGCTATATAACTGCAAAAAATAATTTCTAAATTTTAAATGTTATTTCTGATAATATTAACCTAATTTTGTGAAGGTACTCTGAGTTAAGTTGAATCTGTTAAAGAAGTCATAAAAAAGCAATCAATTTTTAAAATGGTTTTAAATCTGGATAGTGATTTTAATAGGTCGATATATGTGTAACTAATCATCTTTTGCTTTTCACATAGCATTAAAACTTCCTTTTGGCAAAACAACAGTGATGCATTTGGTGGCCAGAGAGACATTACCAGAGCCAAACTCTCAAGGTAAGCCATGCACTGGAAAAGTATCTCAGTTGAGGCACAAAGACAGGCATTCAAAAATGCTAGGTTTTTCTTGGATATGCTGAGGGAAGGGAAGTTTGCATAGTTTATGAATAGAGATTGTCAAGCAAATAACCAGACATTTTTGAAACATGCTAAAATTAAAAGAACATTTATTACAGCTTCTTAATTTTGAAAAATGCAAACATTTTTAAAAACTCAAAACTACTACTTCCTACACTTGATTGCCTAGCCCATTTTCCCCTCCAGTTCTAGAATTTTTATAAACGAGGCTCTTCTTCGTTTTCCCTAGGTCAGAGGAATCGTGAGAAGACTGGAGAGAGTAATTGTTGTGTAATCCTGTAAACACTGTCTGCCTAGTGTGATGTGATATAGTCTTTGTCTTTCATGCTGCTGGGACAGAAAAGACCCGACATTGCTTCAGAAACCGTTCAGAACAGTCTGCCTGTAAACACATGGAACTGAATTACCACATGAACACTGTCATCTTTTCTCATGAAAGTAAAAAGAACCAAGAACATTTTTCACTCTGATTTTTTATTTCTTGTATTTTTTGTTGAGCTGTTTTAACACATATTGGTTTTTGAATGCAGTCAATCTCCAGGGGAAAAGTTAACAAGTTATCTTTCGTAGCAGAAACCATTTTGCTGCCACAAAATTTTCATCATCAGAACTAATAAATCAAGTGTTCCAAATACAATTTGCATTAAAAAGATTGGCATTATTTTCCTCATCAGCAGAATTTATAACAGTGTGTGGTATCTAGAAATACTTATATATACAATTCCACACTGGAAGACACTCAGCAATTAATGAAGTTAATTACTGGGCCAACTTGAGAGGAAAAAATGGAAAAGAAACTAAAATGTTGGGTGAATTCTACCAAAGTCAGCCGTGGTGGCTGCACTGGCACAGAATACTAAACTGAGTGTGACTATTTTCACTGCAACAAATGAAAAAACAAAATGTGCCTGTTTAAAGCACTCAGTAGAGGGCTGATGAAACTAATTTTTTTTCCTTTAAGACATGCACTCTTGAGTCCTACAGTAACTGAGTGTTTGTTTAGACAGCACAAGAAGGGGTGAGAGTGCGTCTCCTAGCCTTAATGTGGGAGGGTAGTTTCAGTCACTCATCGGCTTTCATTATTGTGCAGAAATATTAGAAAACCTCATTGATCAATTTTATGTATTTGAATATCAGCAAATTGAAATTTTCCATAATTATCATTAATTTGTAACCACATCCAGTGTCATGCTTACTCCTTAGAGTTCAGATGAATTCTTAAAATTAAAAAAAAACTCCATAGTACTAATTTTGTTTCTTTATATAGTTTGCGTTTGATATTAGTGCTTGCAATTGTATTAAAGTCAAAAGCTGATTTTTATGGCATACACAAGAATGCCACTTTTTCTTTTATTTCATACCAATAATTTAAAGATTGATATGCTAAAAACAATTTGCACAGCACTAAAGCATGAGCTACTTTCATCTAAACCTGTAAAAATATGAAAGATTTTTATATTTTTTCACTGGGAAGAAATTCTTCCTGGATGAAATTACAAATATGTGTAGAATATATTTAATAAAAGACTTATAAAATACCTAACTACAGGACTTAAAATATAGATTGGCGCGTAGTATACAGAACAATATTCCATATAAATAAGTTTAGCCTTTATAAAAATGAAGTTGCAGGCTGACATTACATTCTGTACTAAGTGTCAACAGCCCTTACAAACATTAAATGTAAATGGTTTCAAATGGTCAGCGTTGTTTAAATGTAATCATGTTATTTTATTCATTGTTAATGCTTTGATGAAAAGGCTTTATATGCAGTAGATCTACGAAAATATTGTTCATACTGATCAGAATTAAATTTGTATAGAGCAGAGTTTTAAAATGAATGTAAATAGCACTAAACGTTTTCTTTCTGCAACCTGTACTTACAGATTCTTCCTGTAAACTAAATAAAAAAAAAATGATAGTGCATTTTGGTGGTAATTTTAAAGGTCTTGATTAGGTCAATAATTGTTTAAGCACCGTCTCATTCATGTTTTCTACTTTCATTTCTTAAGCTTTTAAAATTCATTTAATTAATATTCTGTTGTTGTTTTGGGGAGTATTCCCAATGTATCTTTGATATTTAACCTGGTTAATTTGTGGACAGTCACAACAATGGATAGAATTATGTAGTCTCCGTTATCACTAAAATGTTATCTTCAAGAGATGTTAAATATTTATATGCTTTGTTGACTAGCTGAAATGTGAATTCTGTTAGTGTTGACTAAAGAATCTGGTAGTTGCTTAATTGGGCAATTAAACAATTTATGGCTCTATTTTGTAAAACAAACTACTGGTAATTATTTTTAATACCTATTTTCATTCTGATTACTCTTTTTTTAAGTTAAAGACTATCAGTTAATTAAGATTGAGTTTTTATGATGGTTAAAAATAATTCTCTATTGGTTTTTCAATATATTTTTCTGTGTGTTCTCAGATTATATATTTCCCTCAATTTAGAGTTTGCTAAGTGAAATAAACTGGTTCACTAGTAGAGAAAGAATTACGTCGCTTAATACCTAATATCATAGTTGTACAATATGAAAAAAAAGAATAAAAAGTAGCAGTAAAATTATATACTGAAAACACCAAAAATTTAGATGCCTTAATAGTATATACGTGAAATACTCAGCTGTCCCTTTAAAAATAATTCCTTGGACTGCCTGGTGGTTAAAATACGATTCCTCATATCCAAGGCTACTTTTGAAGATCCCTCTGCCAAAAATATAGCTCACTTATCTAAAGGTGAGAGCTGCATAGATCCAGTAATGTACATAAAGCCTGAATGATGAGCCTATGTCCCTGCCTAACGCTGGTGTCTCACTCATCTCTTTTACCTAAATTGTCCTGAACTTTGTTAAGTGTTCTGGACAAGGCCAAGCTTTTCTTTATTAAAACCTCAGCATGTCTCCCTGATCTGAACTATTTGCTTTCTCTTCAAGATAAGTTGTATTTTACCATGGAAAAATACAGTATCTAACATTACCATTCACGTTAAATGAAGTTTCCTCATAACATTTATCTTTAGTTTTATGAAGTCATCGTGACCAATGTTACAGTAATTTCTGTTAGCTGATTGTGGTAAACAATGTTTAATGTGAAAAGAAATTAAAACTTTCTTCATCTGTTGTAGAATATTTCTCTTCTTTAAAATGGCTTCTATTCATAATTCTGGTGTATTTGCCTATTCTTTATTTCACTACTGTTTATGTCTTTTTTTCTTTCTTCAGTTAATGATACTCTTCAGTAAAAATCAACATTGAGCCAGCCTTTGCTATAGTTTAGCAAAATCAAAGGGAAGTATCAGCCAAAATTTAATATGCCTTCATACCGTTTTTATTTGTAACTTTTTCGAGCATTCCAGTTTGTTTTCCATTTTTGTGTTATAATATGGTCACTTGTTAGCCAAATGGAGTGATTGGGGTGGAGTGATTGGGGTGGGGGAGAAGGCACATGACCTATAATTACAAACACAGCTATAATTGAAACACAGCTGCAGGCTGTGCTGGAGTCTAGGCACAGTTTTTGTGGCCAGGGTAGGGTGGGGTTCTTGGGTGTGAGCAGTGGTAGTTGGGTGTGACTCCTGGCTTACCCTGACCCCCTGCCAGTTGGTGTGTTTCCTTCAGAAGGCAGTGGCTTCTATGAGGCTTTTACACAGGAGGTGGTTGACTTCTGAAAGAGATCATGGATAGAACTAAATGAGAAACACTTAGTTCTTAAATATCAGAGTTTAAAGCAGTACTGAAATGTGAAAACCAATTTCACTTACTACATTATTTTATAGTCTTCGACAGTGATGTCAGATGTTTGTCTTTTAATATTTTTCATATTCCTCTTTTTCAAAATGACAGCTTTCAAGAAATATGGAGTAGGCATAGTAAATTCCCATTTGGGGAAAGGAAATGCCCATCTCTTCCACGTGAGTCAACCAATAAAAAAGGAGTTGGGTAAACACATTTTCTAAAATGGCTCTGGAAGTGGTTTGTTGTTAGAAGTCTTAGAAGAGTCTGGCTGGTTTTAGAATGTAGTAATTACACATTCAAACATTATTTGGTATCTTTTATTTTCTACACATGTTCTTGAAGCTTATTTGATGTAAGGGAAGTCTTACAATGAAGTGGGAGAAACTTTGCTATAGTTAAATAATACAAGGAGGCAGCAGAACCTGGAGGGGAACCGGGACAAGCCGCAGCAGAGTGGGACCCTCAGAATTCTTGTAGGAACATACAGGAAGACATCTGGGAGTTGGCCAGTTCTCAGTTGTCTGCCAGACGAGATAGTTTTTCTTCTTCCCTGCATGCTGGAACCTGTTTCCCCTTATGTCCTTCCTTACCACATGGTTTTCCGTGGGCATCACTCACCTGGGTTCCATTAGGGTGCCACTCCCCCAGTGTTTCTCAGGAGCATTTTTTTTTAAGTCTGATAATTTTAACACATCTACATTTTGACTGATGCTGTTCGTCAGTCCTCAGAGTTCAGAAAACCACAAGAATAGCTGGGCTTTGGAGTCAAGCCTGACTTTGTTCTGGGTGATTTTGAAGAAGTTACTTAATATCTGAGCTTCAGTTTTTTCATTTATAAAAATTAACACATAGTTTAGAGGGTTGTAAGGTTTATTTTAAAATAAATATTTAGAGCACTGATTTGTCTGAGAACTCATGCAAGCTAGCAAACCTGTCAGAAGGCCTTATGTTGGAAATAAAGTGCTGGGCATCAACGTATACTCTAAACTTTATGGAAGTAGCTTATGAAAAGGCCAGAGAAAATGTGGATGATGCTGTGTTCATTTAAAAGGAAGATGAGTGGGGACATCTCAAAAATAAGCTCTGGAATAGAAGGAAAATAGGGGACCCAGTAATGACACAGCTTCAGATGTGTATATGCGAGGTACCAGGTCATACATAGAGCTTAGACATGTTAACATAAGGACATAAACATAACTGTCAAAATCTGAGATGCTATTTGTTACTAGGGTACAAAAATACACTGTTCAAAAGAAATGGGTCTAATAAAGGTGGGAAACTATATCAAGAATACACAAAGGGAACTTAGACCTGAGAGGGAAAGTAAATGAGGAGTATGTGAATAATGAAAAAAGACAAAAATATGATTGTCAGGTTATATTGTACTTTTTCTTCATCAGATTAAGGCTATGGATTTCTGTTCTGAATCTGCAACAGGAAAACACAGAGACAAGACATGGTAGTGATGCAGTAGTTGGGCTATAAAAGACCTTGCTGGGTGTCTTGTTTGCTAAGAGTCCGATTAACTCTTGACTTGCTGATAATGCCATCCCATTAGGTTACCAGAAGTAACAAAACTGCTGCTCTGGGATTCATTTTGGCCCCGTGGGAAAGAATGATTCTAGAGGAAATGTTAGGAGCCTGCAGCGAACATAGGTGTGCACTCAAATGTTAGTAATGATGAGACTAAGGCAGACACTGGTGGTTGCTTCTCCAGCATCGCTGCTGCTTCCTTGCCAGGATATTGAGGAGTAACTGCTTTCCCCCACCTTGTGGCTTAGGGAAGTAGGACGTTATCCCAGCTCTGTCACCTTTGGTGTAATTGCTTTAGAAGTGGCCATGGGACTCCATCCTGGCAAAGGAGACATGAGGAAACTCTGCTGAGGGTGTTTCTGGGGAAAGTTCCTTCACTCCCAAGGAGACCTTGCAAGAGACTCTTTTTGCCTGTTTACATTATTTTGCCTGAACTTGATGACTGAAACTGCTATAGCCACATTTGGACCCAGAAGGGAGCTAACCTGAGGGCAAAGCCAGCACATTGAAGCTGTAGAGGAGAAAGGAAAAAACCTGCCCTTGCAGAGCTGCTGATTCTTTTTTAGCTTTTAAGTTCAGGCGCACATGTGCAGGTTTGTTATATAGGTAAACTCATGTCACAGGGGTTTGTTATACAGATTATTTCTTCACCCGGGTATTAAGTCTAGTACCCATTAGTTATTTTTCCTGATCCTCTCCCTCCCACCTTCTACCCTCTGGTAGGCCCCAGGGTCTGTTTTTCCCCTCTATGTGTCCATGTGTTCTTATCATTTAGCTCCTACTTATAAGTAAGAACATGCAGCATTTGGTTTTCTGTTCCTGCATTAGGTTCATAAGGATAATTATCTCCAGCTCCATCCCTGTCCCTGCAAAGGACATGATCTTATTCTTTTTTCATGGCTGCATAGTATTCCATGCTGCCTATGTACCACATTTTCTTTATCCAGTCTACCACTGATGGGCATTTAGGTTGATTCCATGTCTTTTCTGTTGGGAAGAGTGCTGCATGAACACATGCATGCATGTATCTTTAGGATAGAACGATTTATATTCCTTTGCATATATACCCAGTAATGGGATTGCTACGTCGAATAGTATTTCTGTTTTAAGTGTTTGAGGAAACGCCACACTTTTCCACAATGGTTCAACTAATTTACACTCCCACCAACAGTGTATAAGTGTTCCCTTCTACACAACCTCTCCAGAATGTGTTATTTTTTGACTTTAGTTACCTTTCATTATTTTTGAGACAGGGTCTCACTCTGGCCCAGGATGGAGTGCAGCGGCGTGAGCTTGGCTCACTGCAACCTCTGCCTCCTGGACTCAAGTGATCCTCCCACCTTAGCCTCGTGAGTAGCTGGGGCTACAGGCTTGTGGCTGGCTAATTTTTTATATTTATAGGGATGAGGTTTCTCCATGTTGCCCAGGCTGGTCTCAAACTCTCATGCTCAAGCAATCCACCAGCCTCAGCCTCCCAAAGTGCTGGGATTACAGGCAAGAGCCACCACACCCAGCCAATATTTGACTTTTAATAATAGCCATTCTGACTGTTGTGAAATGGTATTTCATTGTGGTTTTGATTTGCATTTCTCTAATGATCAGCGATGAGCTTTTTTTATACACTTCTTGGCCACGTGTATGTTCTCTTTTGAAAAGTGTTCATGTCTTTTGCCCATTTTTTAATGGGGTTGTTTATTTTATTCTTGTAAATTTGTTTAAGTTCCTGATGGATGCTAGATATGAGACCTTTGTCAGATGCATAGTTTACAAAATTTTTCTCCCATTCTGTAGCTTGTCTGTTTACTCTGTTAATAGTTTCTTTTCCTGTGCAGAGGCTCTTAAGTTTGATTAAATCCCATTTGTCAATTTTTGCTTTTGTTATGATTGATTGTGGTGTCTTCCTTATGAAATCTTTGCCCATTCCTATGTCCAGGATGGCATTGCCAAGGTTGTCTTCCAGGATTTTTATAGTTTCAGGTTTTATATTTAAGTCTTTATTCCGTCTTGAGTTGATTTTTTGTGGTGTAAGGAAGGGGTCCAGCTTCAGTTTTCTGCATATGGCTAGCCAGTTATCCCAGCACCATTTATTGAATAGGGAGTCCTTTCCCCACTGCTTGTTTTTGTCAGGTTTGTCGGAGATCAGATGGCCATAGAGTGTGGCCTCATTTCTGGGCTCTCTATTCCATTCCATTGGTCTATGTGCCTGTTTTTATACCAGTACCATGCTGTTTTGGTTACTGTAGCCTTGCAGTATAGTTTAAAGTCAGGTGGCATGATGCCTCTGATGTCTCCAGCATTGTTCTTTTTGCTTAGGATTGCCTTGGATATTGGGGCTCTTTTTTGGTTCCATATGGGATTTAAAATAGTTTTTTTTCTGGTTCTGGGAAGAATGTCATTGGTAGTTTGATAGGAATACCATTGAATCTATACATTGGAGGAGCTGCTGACTTTGCTAATTGTGGGGCCCGATGCTCTGTACTTCTTGAGAAGTAGTCTGTTCATTGGCGCTTTTTCCAGTTCAAAGCATGATATACATAGAAGACAGTGTTAGGCATCAACATCTACTCCAAACCTTATGAAATAAGCTTACAAAAAGATGAGATAAAATATGAAGATGCTTCTGTGTATTCAGATCTCTGAAAAATAAGTATCTGCTATATAGTCACAAATTATTCTGATGAAGGGAAAAGAGGTATCTAAAGAGACCATTGTGGCTACAAGTCAGCTCTCCAATCTCATAATTTTAAAAGACACGAACAGAAAGTGGGAGTTTGGATATATAAATCAAGGATGAATATAAGTGCCAAACACCTCTGAGAATAATGTTGGAAAGGCCTGGGATGAGCTAGAGTTGACAGAAAAATAATAAAAACTACATATTTGTTATGGTCACACAAAAGACAGCAGGGATACATCCCATGGTTCTCAAGTGTGGCTGTACATTAGAATCACTTAGGGAGTTATAATTTTTTACTTTTCAATATCGATGCCTGGGCCTCATACCACCCACCTTAAATCTGAACACCTATGGCTTGGAGCAGATGCCCTAGAAGGGAGCACACTCTAAAGCTGGGAATAAGAACAGTTAATGTGGAACTGGAAACCAACCGAGGTGATGAAGACAGGAAGCAGGTGCCCAGCTACCTTGGTTCAAGTCACCAGACCCAGTTAAAGTTATATTTCCGAGTTCTAAAGGACCTCATGCACTCTGAGTAACCTGTTCCTCTCCCAGTTTCATTGTCAGAAGTGGAGGGCAAGCCCCAGGCACTCTGTCGCAACCTCACCATTATCATCTGCTCTGAGACCACAAGGAACCGCAGACAGCCACGTCACCTCTCAGCGTCCTCACTGGAGTCTCTCTGTGGGCCCAGGACATCCCCTTTTCTATTCCCATTTTCTGTCACACACCATCCCCCATTCCAGAAACCCTTCACTGGCCTCTGGAGGTCAGGCTCCATTGGAAACTTGCCATATGCCCTCGACCTCCTCTCTGAAAGTTACCTTCACTTTCTTGCTCTGACCCCTGACTCCCCTGAGGGCACTGCCTCCTTTGCCATCCTGGGAGTGTTCTGTATTTTAAGGCTGTCATTTATTGACTGTTTACTTAGTGACAAGCACTGTTCTGTGGTCGTGACGTAGGTCCATTTTACAGATGATAAAACAGGCCCAGAGAAGTCCCATTTATTCTTTGAACATTGAAGTTTCATTTTCTCACGCAAAGACTACTCTTAAAAATATGACATAATTTTTTTCTGTTTTTTAAAATTGATATTTTTCCATTGTAGGACTGTAATCTCATGATTACAGAAAAGTATGAGGTGAAAAAAAAATGAATCCCACTATCCAAAATCAGCTCTTAATATCTTGGTGAATTTCCACTAGTCCTCTTTATTAATATGTATACATTAAAATAAAAATAAAAGAGTACTATATACAGAGTTTGTATGTGATTTTCATCTTTACATATCACAAGCATATTCCCAGAATATTAAATCTTTGAAAACGCATTTGCTTATAGCTCTACAATACTCCATTTTATAGGCATGCCATTTTCATCTATTTAATGTTAAAACCAAGTGAAATAGCACTACAGCCCTGCCAGAAGGGCTAAAATGAAAAGGACTGACAATAGCAAGTGTCAGGATTCAGAGCAACTGAAATACTCAGATATTCTTAGGTGGAATGTAAGTTGAACAATCATTTCACAAAACTTTTGTAGTATCTACCGAAGCTAAAAGTATATTTATACCCTCTGATGTAACAATTATACCCCAGGATAAATATCCAGCATGAAGAATGCATCTGTCCATTGGAGACAAGCACAAGAGAGCCACTTCATTAAGAAACTACAAGCAACACAATGTCCATTAACAACAGAATGGGTTTTTAAATGGTGGTGTGTGTTCATACAATGAAATATCACAAAGCGACATAACACACTACTGCTACATGAAAAAACTTCAAGGAAAGAAGCTTCAAGGGAAGAAACTTGAAGGGAAAAAACTTCAAGGGAAGACGTAAAATAATATATACTGTATGAGCTCTAAATAAAGTTCATAAACAGGCAAAACTAGCCTATGATGATGAAGTCAGAAAAATGGCCACTTTTTGTGGGGGATGCTATTGACCAGGAGAGAGAATGAGAGGACCTCCTGGGGTGCTGAAAATATCCTGTATCTTGAAATGAATGGTGGTTCCGTGGGAGTATTAATACCCCCACATAAAAACTAATCAAACTTGTATTAGTCCATTCTTGCATAGCTATAAAGAAATACCTGAGCTAGGAGTGGTGGCTCATGCCTGTAATCCCAGCACTTTGGGAGGCTGAGGCGGGCGGATCGCCTGAGGTCAGGAGTTTGAGACTAGCCTGGCCAACATGGTGAAACCCCATCTCTACTAAAAATACAAAACTTAGCCTGGCATGGTGGCATGTGCCTGTAATCCTAGCTACTCAGGAAGCTGAGGCAGGAGAATCGCTTGAACCTGGGAGGTGGAGGTTGCCGTGAGCTGAGATCGCACCATTGCACTCCAGCCTGGGCAACAGAGTGAGACTCCATCTCAAAAAAAAATACAAAAAAACCTGAGACTGGGTAATCTATACAGAGGTTTAATTGGCTTATGGTTCTGCAGGCTGTACAGGAAATATGGTACTGGGATCTGCTCAGCTTCTGGGGAGGCCTCAAGGAGCTTTTACTCATGGTGGAAGGTGAAGTGGTAGCAAGAGAGAGAACAGGTGGACCAGGGGAGGTGCCACACACTTCAACCAGCTCTCATGTGGACTCACTATCTCGAGGGCAGCACTGAGCCACGAGGGATCTGCCCCCATGACCCAAACACCTCCCACCAGGCCCACCTCCAACACTGGGGATCACAATTCAATATGAGATTTGGGCAGGGACAAATATTCAAACTATATCAAAGCTGTACCCTTAATATTTGTACAGTTTATTGTATGTAATTTCTGGATATATAAAGTTAAATCTCAGCAAAAGCAAAGCAAAAAGAAGGACATTTAAGGAGCACCTACCATGTGCCAGGAAATATGCAAGGCACTAGGAATCCACTGGCAATAGTCCAGGCCGCCTCTGAGCTTGCTGTACTTCAACCATTAGCCTAATTTTGAACATATAGACCATTTCAAATATTTCCACACGTAAGTTAATAGAAATTGTAAAGGAAAGTGTCAAATGCTTGACTCTATGAAGGATGTAAAATGTAAAAATCTCCACAAGTTTGTATTTGAAAACTTCCAAACCTATAGAAAAGCTGTCAAAATAGCTTAATAAAAACTTACATACCCTTCATCTATATATTTGGCATTTGTTAACATTTTGCCACATTTGTTCCATATAGCTATGGACAGAGAGAGAGAGATGTAATAGAGACAGAATTTGGGGGCAAGAGCTGTCTTTTCAAAGTGCAGATCTCATGACACTTGAAACCTAAACACTAAAATATATATTTCCTAAGACTAAGGACACTCCTTTTCAGTGCACATTCAGAAAATTGAACATTGATTCAAAGTATATTATCTGAAATACAGCCAATATTAAATTTTCCCCAATTGTCCCAATAATGCTCTTTGTTTCTGTTTTTCCCCAATCAAGCATCATGCATTTCATTTGTTATATTTCTTCCATCTTTTTCCACTGTGAGAATGCCCTGGAGTTTTCTTTTCTTTCAAACTCTCTTGAGAGGCTTTGAGTCTTTTAATTCCACATCCCGAGACGGAGTCTCACTCTGTCTCCCAGGCTGGAGTGCAGTGGCGCGATCTTGGCTCACTGCAAGCCCCGCCTCCCGGGTTCACGCCATTCTCCTGCCTCAGCCTCCCGAGTAGCTGAGACTACAGGCGCCCACCACCACGCCCGGCTAATTTTTTTTTTTTTTTTTTTTGTAGTTTTAGTAGAGTCGGGGTTTCACCATGTTAGCCAGGATGGTCTCGATCTCCTGACCTCGTGATCCGCCTGCCTCAGCCTCCCAAAGTGCTGGGATTACAGGAGTGAGCCACAGCGCCAGGTCCCAAGTAGGAATTTTAAAGATATCTTTTAATTATCGATTTTCAAATTAATTCCACTACAGACTGAAAACATTCTCTGTATAATTTTAATTAAGTGTATTGAAATTTGCTGCATGGCCCAGCACAGGATCTATTCTAGTAAAAATTCCATGTGCCCTATAATAGGATATATATTAGGGATAAAAGTGAATGCTGCTATTATTGAATGTTGTTTTCTATAAATCTCAATTAGGTCAAACTTGTTGATAGTGTTGTTCAGGTCTTACTGATTTTCTGTCTGTTTGTTCTATCTATTACTGAGAGAACTGTTGAAATTTCCAACTATAAATCTGGATTTCTCTAATTCTCCTTTTTATTTTGCCAGCTTTTGCTTCATGCATTTGAAGCTGTGTAATTAGGCGCATACACAATTAGGATTGCTGTATCTCTTTGTTCTTTTTTTTTTTTTTGAGACAGAGTTTCGCTCTTGTTGCCTAGGCTGGAATGCAATGGCGTGATCTTGGCTCACTGCAACCTCTGCCTCCCGGGTTCAAGCGATTCTCCTGCCTCAGCCTCCCGAGTAGCTGGAATTACAGGCATGCTCCACCACACCTGCCTAATTTTGTATTTTTAGTAGAGACGGGGTTTCTCCATGTTGGTCAGGCTGGTCTCGAACTCCCAACCTCAGGTGATCCACCTGCCTCAGCCTCCCAAAGTGCTGGGATTACAGGCATGAGCCACGGTGCCCAGCCTCTTTGTTCCTTTTATCATTATATTTATCTTCATTTCTGATGATGATGCAGGGCAGGTGAGCCCCAAAATTGAGGCTTAGTCAGGGAAGGTTTTTGGCTTTGTCCAGGAAAAAACTTAATGGTGAGCTGGCAGTATCAGACAGCAACTTTTATTGAAGTGGCAGTGCGTGGTAGCAGCAAAGGGGCCTGCTCCTTGCAGAGCAGGGCAGGGAGGCACGGAGGGAGGGATACCCCATAGTCATTGTGTCCAGAGTAGTAGTTTAGAGGCAGTTTCGTAGTCATATTTATATTTATTTTTAATTATATGCAAATGATGGGGCAGATTATGCAGACATGTTTAGAAAAAGAGCTGTAACTTTCCGCTCGCTGAGTCATTGTCATGGAAAGGGGTGGTAAGTTCTGGGTGTTGCCATGGCAATGGTAAACTGACAGGCACACTGGTAGGCATGATGGAAAGGTGTTTCTGCCCTGTCCCTGTTTTAGCTAGTCCTCAATTTGGTCCAGTGTCTGAGCCACATCTCTTATTTCAATGTTACTTTTCCTAAATTCTATTTTTTCCTGATACTAACATTGAAACTGCCTTTGCAAAATTATAACTAAGGAAATTATGACAGTGAAAGAGATCAGACCTAACCAACTCCATCTTGCTTCTAACCTCTAAACTGTCCTTGCCCATTCCTGGGTATAGGCTGAACTAGCCTTGGGAAGGAACTTAGTTTAGAGTTTAAATAATAGCCCTTCCCAAAAGTGAAACTGTTCTTGCAAAACAAATAAAAGGCCACCAGCCACGAAGTAAGGATGAGAGGGACTGGAATTCTCAGTATTACCAGACATTATTCCGGAGGTCATAAGCTGGCAAATTCCCCAGTTACTCTTGAAGATAACATCACCATTGTGAACCTAAGATTGGTCTGTTGAGATGTCTTTTCAGGTTTTTGCATTTCTGACAACTGGGTGTCCCCAGCCTGGACCTGCCAACCAGTCCTGTGGCCCCCATCAAGGAACTGACTCAGTGCAAGAGGACAGCTTTGACTCCCTGTGATTTCACCCCCAAGCCAACCAATCAGCACTCCCGACCCACTGGCCCTACCCACCAAATTATCCTTAAAAACTCTGATCCCTGAGTTTTCAGGGAGACTGACTTGAATAATAATAAAACTCCAGTCTCCCACACAGCCGGCTCCGCATAAATTACGCTTTCTTCACCACAAGTCCTTGTCTTGATAAATCGGCTCTGTCTAGACAGCGGGCAAGGTGAGCCCATTGGGCGGTCACAACATCACCCCTTCAGTTTTCTCATGACTATTGAGCTTACATAGTGTATCTTTTTTCGTTCTTTATTTTTAACCTATTTGTGTGTTTAAAGTATGTTTCTTATATACTGTGTATAGAAGGTTACTATTTTTACAAGAACTATTCAATCTCTACCTTTTAATTGGAGTGCTTTTACTATTTACTTTTTTTTTTTTTTTTTTGAGACAGTCTTGCTCTGTCAGGCTGGAGCACAGTGGTGTGATCTTGACTCACTGCAACCTCTGCCTCCCAGGTTCAAGCAATTCTCCTGCCTCAGCCTCCCGAGTAGCTGAGATTACAGACATGCACCACCACACCAGCTAATTTTCATATTTTTAGTAGAGATGGGGTTTCGCCAGGTTGTCCAGGCTGGTCTCGAATTCCTGGCCTCAAGCAATCCACCTGCCTCAGCCTCCCAAAGTGCTGGGTTTACAGGTGTGAGCCACCACGCCTAGCCTTTTTACTATTTACATTTAATGTAATTATGGACATATCAGTTTAATGTCTTGACATTGTGAAAACCAGTTGTGACAAACTAAAGATTGTCTCATCTGTTCCTTTTCTAGATCAAGTATTTTTCTTTTTTTAATTTATAAATGGAAAGCTTATATCAAAGTATTTTTAATTCTAACTCTACGATTGACTTAATAGCTATACCATTTCCTTTCTTTTAGTGGCTGTTCTAGGGCTTACAATATACATTTGAAGTTTTCACAGTCTACCTTCAATAACATCACACTATTTCACGTGTAATTCAAGACCTGAAAGCAGATTACTTCCACTTCTCCATATCTGTCTTTTGTGCTCTCATGCCATACATTTTGCCTTTGTATGTTATAAATCTCAGAACGTATAATCATTGTTTTAAACAGCCAGTTATCTTTTAAAGAAATAAAAAGATGACTTTTGAAAATGCTTTTATATTTGCCCACATATTTACCAGTTCTTAAACTCTACATTAGATATGACTATCCATTGGATGTCATTTTCTTTCAATCTTTTGCCTTTTAAAAATATCCTTCCTTGGAACCTTTTTTTTTTTTTTTTTACATAAGGCTATGTTGTTCTCAACATTTTTTAGTGTTGAAATAAAATCCAAATAATCAGAGAGCTCCTGGAATATATGATGTGATCAGAAGATGGAGCAGTAATTTAAAACTGATTTTAGGCTCTGTGTGACCCAACATTGTTGAAGGGCTGCCAAAAAGCAAGTTCTATCTCAGACTTTATTAACAGGACAATAAGTCTCAGGATATAAACAATAATGTTGTGCTCCAATTTCACTGATGACATGGAACGTTGTGTTCAGTTCTAGGTTCCACATTTCAAGGTGATTGACACATCTGAAGTATGTTCACAGATGACCGAGCAGGATCATGTAGGATCTAGAAATGGTGTCAGGGTGGGGCTGTCAGAGGAAGTGGATTTCAAATATTTGAAGGGCCGCTAGGTCAAAAGGCATCATACCTATTGAGAGTCGCTGCAGTGGTCAGAACAGAGCTAATGGGCAGAATTTGCAAGTAGACAAAATTTGATTCAGTTTGGCTCAGCACTGTGCAAAAAGGAAAGGAGCTATTTTTGATAGTGAGTTTCCATCGCAGGAGGTGTTCAAGCAGAAGCTGTCAGGAAGCAAAAATGCCCTGCCTAGTAGGGAGGAGAGAGAAGAGTCATGTATTGGACATAAGGATGAATTAGTTTACATCCAAGCACCTTTTCCAAATCTGATTCCATCCCTCCTTAATTTCTCTGTTAGTTCCTGCCTTTCTTCCTTTTGTCAGTGTTATTTTCCTGCCTATACACATTCCTATTTTCATCTTTAGGCAGCCCATCCCTTCCCTGCCATGTCCTTTCTAGTATGTTTTTCCTTGACAAGTCAGGATGATCTTGGGACTTGTACTTAATTACAAAGACTCCTTACATCATCAGTTTCTCCAAAGAACCACTTTCCTGTTGTAACTAAAGTGTGACCATCCCTTAGTATATTGTCTAAGCCAAGATTCCCTACAGAGTAGAGGCTTGGACAAAGCTTACATGCCAAGACTAGGGAAATATTGTGGAAAGAAGGTGTATATAAACCAGGCTCCATACAGAAGGCTGGGCTCCTTGTATTCCATGGCCTTACTTTATTCTCATTTTTCTCCAGTTTTGCTTACTCAACTTTAGAATATAGTTTTCTCAAAATAAGATTTCAAGGCAGTGATCATGGCTTGGGGCACTTTGTTTCCTATTTTTTTTAATTTTTTTTTTAGATGAAGTCTTGCTCTGTCACTCAGGCAGGAGTGCAGTGGTGCAATCTTGGCTCATTGCAACCTCCGCTTCCCGGGCTCAAGCAATTCTCCTGCCTCAGCCTTCCGAGTAGCTGGGATTACAGGCGCCCACCATCACGACTGGCTAATTTTTGTATTTTTAGTAGAGACAGGGTTTCACCATGTTGGTCAGGCTGGTCTCAAACTCCTGACCTCAGGTGATTTGCCCACCTCATCCTCCCAAAGTGTTGGGATTACAGGCGTGAGCCACCACGCCTGGCCAGTTTCCTACTTTTAGACGTGTTTTCCTAGTCAGCTGTGCTCACTCATCCTCAGTCCCTAAGTCTGATGGTGGCCTGTGCCCACAGCAATGAGTGTAGACTCACTGGACCCATGCTTTCAAAGGCAGCTCCCTCCACCTCTTGGGGGTGGTTTCCCTTGTGAAAGGAAAATATCTTGGGGCCCCAATACCACTGAGCTAAAGGGAAGAGTCAAGCTGGAAACTGCTTAGGGCAAATTTGTTTCCCATTCTATTCAAAGTCACCCCTCTGCTCACTGAGATAAATACATATCTGATTGCCTTTTTTGGAGTGGCTAATCAGAATGCATCCATTTGTCTCTTATCTGCCTATGACCTGGAAGCCCCCTCCTTGCTTCGAGTTGTCCCGCCTTTCCAGACCGAACCAATGTTCATCCGAACATTGGTTGAACCGAACATATGGTTCAACCAACCATATGTTGATTGATGTCTCATGTCTCCCTAAAATGTAGAAAACCAAACTGAGCTCTGGCCACCTTGGGCACGTGTCGTCAGGACCTCCTGAGGCTGTGTCATGGGCGTGCATCCTCAATCTTGGCAAAACAAACTTCCTAAATTAACTGAGACCTGTCTCAGATTTTCGGGGTTCACACCCTCTTAATGTGATTTTCTGCTTTATCCTCATGTTGGATCAGAAAAAGGCATGTGTGTGACTCGAGAAGCTATGTGTGATGGTCAATTTTATGTTTGACTTCACTAGGCCACAGGGTGCCCAGATGTTTGGTCAAACGTGTGGGTGTTTCCGTTAGAGTTTTGTGGATGAAGTTAGTGTTAAATCAGTAGACTCAGTAGAACTGATTGTCCTTCCCATGTGGGTGGGCCTCATCCCATCAGTGGAAGGCTAGACTAGAACAAAAGGACTGATTCTCCACAGTATAAAGAGGATTCTTCCTGCCTGACATTGGCTTTTTCCTGCCTTTGGACTCGAATTGAAATGTTAGTCCGGGCCTCAAGTCTGCCAGCATTTGGAACTGCACTGCTGTCTCTCCCGGGGCTCCAGCTGGCCAATTCCCCCTGCAGAGCTTGGGACTTGCCAGCCTCCGTAATTGTGGGAGCCAGTGCTTTGTAATAACTCCCTTTCTCTCTGTGTATACATCCTGTTGGTTTTGCTTCTCTGGAGAACCCTGACTAACACACTGTGCAACTGAGAACTCTCATGAAAAGTAAAACATTCAGCAACGTGGGTGGGGGCTCCTGCCATAATAGCTCCCGAGAACAGGACATTTTCAGAGACCTTGCCTCACTCTTCCTTGTTTATTTGGTTTTCTGGCTTTGTCTGAGGTATCTTATTTTTCTTTTGAGACAGGCTCTTGCTGTGTCACCCAGGCTGCAGTGCAGTGATGCAATCATGGCTCACTGCAGTCTCAACCTCCCAGGCTCCAGCAATCCTCCCACCTCAGCCTCCCAAGTAGGAGGCTGGGATCACAGGCATGCTCCACCACATCTGGCTAATTAAAAAAAAAATTTTTGTACAGATAGGGTGTCTATGTTGCCCAGGCTGGTCTTGAACTCTGCCTTAATCTCCCAAAGTGCTGGGATTACAGGTGTGAGCCACCATGCCTGTCCTGTGGGATTCTTATCCTCTGACATCAGAGGTCCGGCTGTATTACTATAACATGTTGCAGGACTGGACAGTAAAACCCTTTCTGCTATAATATTGACTGCCGCCTGTGTTCTAAGCATTAGGTGAGCTAGTAAGGATTCCAAGTCACATGAAGTGATCTCTGCTCTCAAGAAGCCCATAGTCTAGTGGGGAAGATGGCAAGCAGAGCTTACAAACCAGCAATTGCAGGATAACCTAACAAATAAGACAGCATATACACAAGACATCACAAGAACACAATGGGTAGGTACCCAACCCCAAATAAGGAAACCAGGAATGGCTTTCAGAAGATGATATTCAACAGGAATCCTTACAAATGAGTAGGACTTGTGCATTAGTGTTTATAGCAGCATTGCTCACAACAGCCAAAGGGTGGAAATGACCCAAATGTTCATCAAAGGACATACAAAATGTAGCGTATACAAGATGCAAATGGATATACAAAACGTAGCATTATATACAAAATGCAAATGGATATATAACATGTAGCAGGTACAATGGAATATTAGCCTTAACAAGGAAGGAAATTCTGCCACGTGCTATAAAATGTGTGAACCTAGAAAACGTTATGCTAAATAAAATAAGCCAGTCATAGAGGGACAAATACTGTGTGATCCCGCTCATGTGAGGTCCCAAGAGCAGGTAAATTCATAGAGACAGAAAGTAGAATGGTGGTTGCCAGGGGCTAAGAATGGGACGTTGTTGTTTGTTGAGTACAGAGCTTCAGTTTGGAACAGTGAGAAGGTTCTGGGAATTCAAAGTGGTGATGGATGCATAACATTGTGAATGTACTTAACACCTTTGAATTATACACTTAAAACTGGTCAAAATGGAGCTGGGTGAGGTGGCTCAGGCCTACAATTCCAGCACTTTGGGAGGCCAAGGCAAGAGGATTGAGCCCAGCAGTTTGGGACCAGCCTGGGCAACATAGCGAGACCCCATCTCTACAAAAAAAACAAAAATTAGCCAGGCATGGTGGTGCGTGCCTGTAGTCCCAGATACTTACGAGTCTGAGGCAGGAGGATCACTTGAGCCCAGCAGTTCGAAGCTGTAGTGAGCCATGATCACACCACTGCACTTCAGCCTGGGTGACAGAGCAAGATCCCAGCCCTTAAAAAAGAAATGGTTGAAATGGTAAATTTTGTTATATGCACTTTTCCACCAAAAAAAAAAAATAATAAAAAAACAACGAGTAGGCATGAACCAGGAAAAGGAGCACGGTGTAGAGTCAGAGGGAGGGGGAAGAAGGGTGGGGCAAGCAGAAGGGCAAAGGCCTGGAACTGGGGAGAGTGAACTGACCAGAAAATTACAAGCAGTTCCATATGGCTAGAGCATGGAAGACATGACTTTGATGGGGAGGAATTAAAAAAGGGGAGGCTGGAAAAGTAAGCGAAGAATGTGACTGAGGAACCTTGGAAGCCTTGCCAATGACTTTGAAGTTTGGGCTTTTTTCAAAGACATTTGCACAGGTATCATCCACATTCACATCACGCGGAATGAACTCTGGTTGTCACCTTGGCATATTTCCCTTCAGTCTTTATATTGTAAGAAATTATAAATTTTTGTTTAAAAAATTTTTACTATAACAAATTCAAACAGTCCTAAACATGAAGAGATGAAAATGTTTCACATTACCCCAAGCCCCTCACTCTTTTTTTTTTTTTTTAATTTTAGGAGACAGGATCTCACTATGTTGCCCAGGTTGGTCTCCAACTTCTGGCCTCAAGTGAGCCTCCCACTTCGGCCTCCCATAGTGCTGGGATTACAGGTGTGAGCCACTGCACTCGGCCCATCACTCTTAAGTAAGAATATTAACTGAATATTTTTCTTTCATATAGAAAGCTGAAATGGTTAATAAACAAAATCACATTTAAAAACTTGGGATCATGTAATTGCAGCCACTTACCATTTTTAGGTATTTAATTTTAGTTAAATTTAACATAAGAAACTGAAGTGAAACCAAAGGACTCACTGACTGTCACATAAAAATGTCTTCACCACTAGAGGATTATTTCTTAAAGATCTGTCTAGGATTAAGAAAAGAGTAATTATGAGGGAAACAGAAGAGACTGGCATTCTTGTTTGTATTATACTTTACATGTCAATTTCAGAAAATACTGACTCCCCGCTATGAAAGACGAAAATGTTAATACTTCTTCCACCTAACCCCCTCCATATTTTGTAGGTTACGTGATTATTTCAAAACGTTCCATGCCAGGTGCAGTGGTTCACGCCTGTAATTCCAGCATTTTGGGAGGCCGAGGCAGGTGGATAACCTGAGGCCAGGAGTTTGAGACCAGCCTGGCCAACATGGTGAAACCCCGTCTCTACTAAAAATACAAAAACTAGCCAGGTGTGGTGGTGGGTGCCTGTAATCCCAGCTACTCGGGGGGCTGAGGCAGGTGAATTGCTTGAACCCAGGAGATGGAGTTTGCAGTGAGCCAAGATCGCACCACTGCACTCCAGCCTGGGCGACAAGTGCAAAACTCCGTCTCAAAAAAAAAAAAAAAGTTCCAGGTTTCCAACACTTGCACTGTGCTTTTTAATTAGTGTTCTCCTAATCGTTCAGTTTTAATTCAATATTTAAACGGGTTCTACTTACTTGTCAGTCTTTTATCAGGGCTTCCCTACTCCTTGTCATTCTTGTTTGTTTTTAAATCATGATTCACCTAAAATTGGTAACTTTTTTTGCTTGTTTTTTTTGTCTGTTTTTTTTTTGTTTTTGAGACAGAGTCTCGTTCTGTCGCCCAGGCTGGAGGACAATGGCACGATCTTGGCTCCTGCAACCTCCACCTCCCGAGCTCAAACAATTCTCGTGTTTCAGCCTCCCGAGTAGCCGGGATTAAAGGCACGTGCCACCACACCCAGCTAATTTTTGTATTTTTAGTAGAGATGGGGTTCTGCCTTGTTGGCCAGGCTGGTCTCGAACTCCTAACGTTTTATCATAAAATATTTTTTCGAGAAGATTCATGACATTGTGTGGAGATGTCTGCCTGTTGCCTTTCCATTTGAACAGCACCTTGACAGGGTACAATAGTCTCAGGTCACACTTTCCTTTGGAACTTTGTTGACATTACTCCGTTGTTTTATGGCTTTGATTGCTGTGAAGAGTTCTCAGGCTGGTCTAATTTGTTTCTGTTGTAGTTGATTTCTGTTGCAGTTGACTTGTGTTTTTCTGGATGCCTGGAGATTTTTTGGCACAGAACCTCCTGGAGTATCAAAATCTCCAAGAACATGGCGTGTGCTTTTAATCTCAGAGTCAATCCTGCCTGGGAGAGCCCAAGTAGATATCTCTGAGTAAATCTTCTCCACCCCTTTTCAATCCTCTGCTTCAGGAACACACGATTGTTCTTATGTCAGTTTCTCTTCTTTTCTGTACCATATCCATTCTCCTCTCTGATTTAACATTTCTGTTGTCTTCGTTTGCGTGCACTGAGATTACAGGAGATCTTTCTTCTGTGCCACTGTGCTTGGTTTCAGCTATGTCTAGTCCTTTGATTTTTAAAAAATCTGCACTTTAGTTGTCTAATTCCAATGTTCTGGAGTTTGAGGAAATGGGGTGGGGGAATAGAAGGAAAAGGCAGAAAGCTCGACTGCGGCCATGTGCAGCCTATTGGAGAAGCTGCGCCCCGCTCTCTGCTGCTGTGTTGCTGTGTGGAACCTGGGATCACTCCGCCTGGCTGCAGGGGTGGGGTGGGAATGGCAGATGTCAACATTCCCACATGGGGCTTCAGATTGTTCTCCCAATTTAGGCGTAGTCCTGGAACCCTCCTTTCTGCTAGGGAGTCAGCTCTGTGTTTCACTTTTGACCATTTCTCCCATTCCTCTGCCCCTCAGTATCCCCAGTCTCTCCCTTGACTCTTTGACTCTTTGTAAAGTGCTCTATTTACTTCTCAGGCTGGTGGTCACAAAGAGGGGAAAATAGCAAAGTCTATTGACTCTCCATGTTTTAAATAGTTATTTTAAAATGTTCCTTTCGGTGATCACTCTCCATCTTTGACTTTTCCTTCTCATTCATTTGCTAGTCATTCACTGGGCACGTATCACTTGCCATGCACCGGGAGAGATACTTGCAGTTCAAGGACAAGTGGCATAGTCTCTGCTCATGGAGTTTATGGTTCATTTTATTTCTCATTTCATTAATCACCAAATCTTCTCAATTTGCTATTAGTTATTATCCTCTTCCTCTCTACTCTTGTCAGCATGTTCCAAGCCTTCATTATCTCTTACATATATTATGGAATCACCTCCTATACATTCCTCCTTATCCAAGAATTCCTGGTGACAAGTCTAGCCTGCATAATATTTTTAGAGAAATCATTTCAAAATCACTTTCTTCATGACTCTCTTCTAGCCAAGAAATTATCAGCAGCTCCTTACCTGTGACCACGCAAGCCCAAGCTCCCGATCACAGGTCCCTGTCCTGTGGCTCCAAGCTCTCCACATGCAGTGAATACTGTGGAGTGGCTTGTTCAGCATCCATTCCAAACCCTTCCAGCATTCCTTTCACAAGTTGCCCAAATTGAGAGCTAAAAATTACATTTTTCTGACTCTACTGCAGCTAGAATCCCAGCTGTGAGAAGATTCCGACTGTCAGATGCACTTGGTGAGTTTTGATTCAAGGCTGAGGTATGTGGAAGAGAACTGGGGGGTGAAGCATCCATTTTGCCGGCGTGGGTTGCGACAAGGGCAGAGGGTCTGGTTTGGAGGCAGTGGCTTCCTGGTCTGGAGGCAGCTTCTTAATGTGGCAGCTGCCTGGTCATGACAGAACCCTCCGCTCTCTTGGTGACCACTTCTATAGTGTGGTTAAGAGTCATTCTTGGTTGGCCAGGTGCGGTGGCTCACACCTCTAATCCCAGCACTTTGGGAGGCCAAGGTGGGTAGATCACCTAAGGTCAAGAGTTGGAGACCAGCCTGGCCAACATGGTGAAACCCTGTCTCTACTAAAAATACAAAAGTTAGCTGGGCTGGTGGCCAATGCCTGTAATCCCAGCTACTTGGGATGCTGAGACAAGAGAATCACTTGAACCCGGGAGGCAGAGGTTGCAGTGAGCCGAGACTGCACCACTGCACTCCAGCCTGGGCAACAAGAGTGAAACTCCATCTCAAAAAAAAAAAAAAAAGAAAAAAAAACAGTCATTCTTGGAAGCTTAACCTAGAGACTAGAGACTATTTGTTTCTTCCTTCCATTGTCCAAGTAACGTATACTGCTAACCCCTTTCTGCTTTAACTGTCTAGCCTGGCATCTGGTTCCTGCGATTATTATCTCTGACCAATCAATGTATTCTACTATCCAACTTTAATCCTCACTTTCCCCCAAAACTTATCAGGCTAGTCTCCTCTCTGGTTCCAGGAATACATCCTGTTCACTCCCACCCCTGGGCCTTCACTCTCATTCTCATTTGGCCCCTGCCCTGTAATGATCTCCACTGGGTCCTCTAATTCCAGATCTACAGCCATATCTGTCTCCTGGAGCTTTCTTTGACCCCCTATTGTTCCTACTGATCATCTCCAAAGGACAGGAAGGCACAGCCCTGAGAGTTGGGTGCAGGTTTATAGTCTCGACTCTTCCACAGTCCAATTGCAATACTGGAAAAACCAGCCCTCAGTTTCCTTCGCCATCAAACCTGGAGGCTGGACCACATGAACACTGCATTCTCTTCTAGTTCTAAAGTTGTTAAGACTCTTACAGCTCCAAGAAAAGCCACTTTCCAATTCAAGAGAGCCAGGCTGCTCTTAAACACATTTTATTTCAAATTCTGTGACATCTTTATTTCCTGACACCTTTTTTCTGCAAGGTTGACTGTGCACATGTGGAATTGTTTATTTTAATTGCTGGAAAGTCCCTGCAGCTGGCAGAGCCAGGCATTGAGTGATGAGGAACAGAATCTTTTTTTTAACAAGGCAATTTCTTCTCCGAGTGTGGTCACTGCTTTATGGACAAAATAAACAACCTGCATATGTTCAATTACCCGGCTTGTCTACTGAGACCTCCTGGCCATTTCGAAGGCCTGATTGGTGAGGATCCAAAACAAGCTCTCAGTCCACGTTCCAAGAAAGGCAGATGACGAGGCCCAGAGGACACAACGCTGGGCCATGCTGGGCCTCATTAGAGGCTCCACGAAAGTCAGCATGGAGGAGCAAACGCTTCGGAGCCTCGGGGGTGATTGACTTGGCAGAACAATTAGGTCTTGGTGTGAGATCATTCCCAGCCTTTTCCTTCGGAGTAAGAAAGAGAATGTGCTGATTTCCACACCACTGCAGAGGCTGTCACGGTCACGGAGCGGCAGGAAGGAGCACACCAGAAGCCTCTCTAGGCAGGTCCGCCACTCACCAGGCATGGGAGACGCTCAGTTAGTTTTTATGCCCATTTGTCCCAACTATTCTTAGCCTACTCTTTACCAAGAGCTACATCCCTACATTGCATTATTTGAATCATACTATGGAAGGCCTTCCTGGAACTTGATTGCAGTGTTATCTTTATTTGTTTATTTATTTTTTTGAGACAGAGTTTCACTCTCATTGCCTAGGCTGGAGTGCAGTGGCGTGATCTCGGCTGTGAACTCCGCCTCCCGGGCTCAAGTGATTCTCCTGCTTCAGACTCCCAAGTAGCTGGGATTACAGGCACCTGCCACCATGCCCAGCTAATTTTTTGTATTTTTAGTAGGGACAGGGTTTCACCATGTTGGCCAGGCTGGTCTCGAACTCCTGAGCTCAGGTGATCCGCCAGCCTCAGCCTTCCAAAGTGCTGGGATTACAGGCATGAGGCACCACATCTGGCCAGTGTTATCCTTATTTTTTTTATTTTTATTATTATTATTTTTAAGATGGAGTCTGGCTCGGTCGCCCAGGCTGGCGACCTGGGCATGGTGCAGTGGCACGATCTCAGCTCACTGCAAGCTCCGCCTCCTGGGTTCACGCCATTCTCCTGCCTCAGCCTCCCGAGTAGCTGGGACTACAGGCGCCTGCCACCACACCTGGCTAATTTTTTTGCATTTTTAGTAGAGACGGGGTTTCACCGTGTCAGCCAGGATGGTCTCTATCTCCTGATCTTGTGCTCCTCCTGCCTCGGCCTCCCAAAGTGCTGGGATTACAGGGGTGAGCCACCACGCCCGGCCTATCCTTATTTTTAAATTATTATTTTTATTTTTCAGAAATGGGGTCTCTGTTACCCAGACTGGAGTACAGTGGTCCAATTGTGGCTCACTGCAGCCTCAAACTCCTGGGGTCAGGCGATCTTCCCACCTCAGCTTCCTGAGTAGCTTGTGCCACCATGCCCAGCTAATTTTTTTATTTTCAGTAGAGATGGAGTCTCACTATGTAGTCCAGGTTGGTCTCAAACTCTTAGGCTCAAGTGATCCTCCCATCTCTGCCTCCCAAAGTGCTAGAATTACCTTTGATCAAGGGATGACATAAAAAATAACCAGCTGGAAAATGCCTCTCGTTTCTTCATATGCACCTTACATATGCATCTCGGAAGCCATGGATGCTACTTTAACAAACAAAGCACTTAAGTGGCCTAATTTGGGGTCAGGAATGACTCCAGACTTTTATCCTATTTCTATCTTTTTTGTTCTCTTCAGTGCATTGGTGCCTTCTCTTACACACACACACACACACACACACACACACACACACACACACATAAAACCTTGGCCCAGATTCACGTGTCTGGGAGGCCTGGCCCTGCTGGTTGATTCTGACCCTGGCCTGGGACTGCCTTGCGGTTTTTTTTCTAGTAATTGCCACTCACTCCACATATTGCCCCTACTCCTGGACACCTATCTCCTACAACCTGAACCCACGTCATCTTGACCCCTCTTCCCAAGGGAGGGAGATTAAACAGTTCCTGAGTGGTAGAAAACATCGGACATAATTATAGTGATCCCATAATTGCAAAAGATTTTCATAGAAAATTTCTCAGAAAGTTTATCTTGATGAATTGCTTTGACCTATGACCCACTGTAGCTATTTTTGGCTTATGTGTTCATGAGTGCACTGCAGAGATGGACAGGGCATCCACACCAAACAGGAAAATAAACATTAAAATTGGGGCTTTGTGTTGTCTGACCCGCAGCTGCAAAAATGCCAGGATTTTAAGCAACAGGACAGGTAGAGCCTAGCCCTACCGGATGGGGTAGGTGCATGGGGTAGGGACCAAATGCAAATTTGGTCCCTGGTCTCAATTCCCCAAAACTGCTATGGGGATCCCCAAGACGAGCTCCCAAGTAAAAGGTAAGAACTGTAGCTGTAAATATTTGAGAATGGTCTCTAAGATCATAGACAATAGTGAAAGCCAGAAAAGAATGTTATTGCACAGCTTGTGCCTGACTCAGGAACAAATGCTAAGCCAGTTCAAAATATGCACCCACCTACAGATAGGCTTGTGCTGGTAAGCTTGAGTGCATCGATGCAAAGCTCGCTGCTTCTGATCCAAACTCTTCTCACTGATCTGCATTACTTTAAGCAAATGATGATTTGAGTAGCACTCAAGAAAACATTTGATTCATTGGAGGTAGAATGGGACATTCTGCAGTGCAAGAAACAGACCTGATTTCTGTCACCCAAGATCCTACACATTCTTATCAGGAGGAGAGACAGCAAAAAAGGACAAGAAACTAAAGAGAATCAAATTCAGCTATGATTTATAGGAAGGGGAGCCATATGTCCCACTGATGCCCATGGCCTGAGTGTAGCTGTTAACAGTGCCCCCTTTCACTCTTTTATTGATTGATTGATTGAGGCAGAGTCTTGCTCTGTTGCCCAGGCTGGAGTGCAGTGGTGTGATCTCAGCTCACTGCAACCTCTGCTTTCTGGGTTTGAGCAGTTCTTCTGCCCCAGCCTCCCCAGTAGCTGGGATTACAGGCGCCTGCCACCACACTTGGCTAACCTTTGTATTTTTAGTAGAGATGGGGTTTTACCATGATGGCCAGGCTGGTCTCAAACTCTTGACCTTAAGTGATCCAGCCGCCTTGGCCTCCCAAAGTGCTGGGATTACAGGCGTGAGCCACTGCGCTGGTCCTCACTCTTTATTGATACCTACTGTATTGTTTTGCTAGGACTGTCATAACAAAGTACCTCCAATTGGGTGGCTGAAACACAGACATCTACTGTCTCCCAGTACTGGAGGCGAGAAGACTGAGCCCCAGGTGTCTGTAGGATTGGTCCCTCTGAGGGCCGAGAGGGACTCCAGGCCTCTCTCCAGCGCCCGGTGGCTGGCTGGCCATCTTGGCTTTCCTCGGCTTACAGACACATCACCCCAGTCTCCGATTTCGTGTTCACATGGCATTCTCCCTGTGTGTGTCTGAGTCCAAATCTCCCTTTTTTTTTTTTTTTTTTTTTTTTTTTTTTGAGACGGAGTCTTGCTCTGTCGCCCAGGCTGGAGTGCAGTGGTGCGATCTCGGCTCACTGCAAGCTCCGCCTCCCGGGTTCACGCCATTCTCCTGCCTCAGCCTCCGGAGCAGCTGGGACTACAGGTGCCCGCCACTACGCCCGGATAATTTTTTTCTTTTTTTTCTTTTTTTTTTTTTTTTTTGTATTTTTAGTAGAGACAGGGTTTCACCATGTTAGCCAGGATGGTCTCGATCTCCTGACCTCGTTGATCCATCCGCCTCGGCCTCCTAAAGTGCTGGGATTACAGGCGTGAGCCACCGCGCCTGGCATCTCCTCTTTTTTATAAGGACACCAGTCACCTTGGATTAGGGCCCACCCTATTCCAGCATCACCTCATTTTAACCAACTACATCAGCAATGACTCTATTTCCAAATAAGGTCACATTCTGAGGTCCTGGGGGTAGGACTTCTTCAACGTATGAACTTTGGTAGGACATAATTCAACCCGTAATACCTACTATGTGGCAAACTCATGTGGATGCTGAGAGACAGAGGAGACAGGGCAATGGAACCATGAATGAAGTTCCATGCGAGCATGAAGGAGAGGCTTAGAGAAGCCGCATTTGAGTACTAGGTTGACAGGCACAACCTTCACATTGTATCCTAGTGATGCTGAGGGGGATTTTTGTATCTAAAATTTAGTTTCTGAGAATACATTTTCAAAGTCACGTGCCCACCTATAGTGCAAAGCTGCGCAGTTGTCGTTAAAACCAATACACTGTGGAGCATAAACAGGTTAGAACTGAAAACGGAAACACTGTGTTAGGGGCCGAATTGTGCTCCTAAGATTCCTATGCTGAAGTCCATCCCCTAGTCCCTCAGAATGTAACCATTTTTGGAGACAAGGTCTTTTAAGTTAAAATATAGGGTGAGTTCTAATGGAATATGATTGTGTCTTTTTTTTTTTTTTTTTTTTTTTTTGAGGCGAAGTCTCACTCTGTGGCCAGGCTGGAGTGTAGTGGCGTGATCTCAGCTTGCCGCAACCTCCACCCGCTGCGTTCAAGCAATTCTCCTGCCTCAGCTTCCCAAGTAGCTGGGACTACAGGTGTGCGCCACCATGCCCAGCTAATTTTTGTATTTTTAGTAGAGATGGGGGTTTCACCATGTTGGCCAGGATGGTCTCGATCTCTTGACCTTGTGATCCACCCACCTTGGCCTCCCAAAGTGCTGGGATTACAGGTGTGAGCCATCGCACCTGGCCAATTGTGTCTTTATAAGAAATGGGGATGAGGACACACAGGGAAAAAAGAGAGCTCAGGGCTGCACATGCACAGAGGAAAGGCCGTATGAGGACTGGGGAAGATGGCCTTCTGCACACCAAAGAGAGAGGCCGCAGAAGAAGCCACACCTGCCAACACTTTCATGCTGTACTTCCAGCCTCCAGAACTGTGAGAAAATAAAACCCTGCTGTTTAGGCCACCCGGCTGTGGTACTTTGCTATGGTAGCCTAATACATACTGTGATTAGTTCAGAATCCTCGTGGGCTTTCTGTTTGTTTGTTTCTTGTTTGTTATTAGTCTTGTTTTGCTTGTTAATGTATAACTTCAAAATAATACATGAATACATCCACTTTCTGCCCAAACCTCCTCTTCTCTCCCATGTTGCCACTGTTTCAGTTTGCAGTGTGCAAACGTATACATAGATAGGATTCTTTTTAAAATGAATGTGATGGTATTGTGCATAGTATTCTACAACTGAGTAATGTAGCTCTGAGGCTTTCTATATTTTAACATTTTCCTTATTGATGTACTTTTAAATTGTTTCCAGTGTTTGCTATTGAAGTCTATTTTTAAAAAAATAGCTCCTTAGGAATGGTTGATGGTTTAAATAGTCCAGTTTCTTTAAACTTGCATGGGGAATAGAATGGTTATTTTGAATAAACTCCATGCCTCTGAAAATTGAAAAAATAACCAAAGTCCTCAGTTTCTTAAGAATTCAGCAAAGCCATATTCCTTAATTTTATGGTTTCAATTTTTAAAAACTTCAATAAAACAGTGTAACATTTTCCAACACATAGACCTTACACCCAAACCTAAATGTATTTCTGACTTTTTAGTGCTTAATTCCCTGAAATGTGGGTTGAATGTGGCCTGCAAGGCTTGGTGGGACCCTGCGTTTTATTTATTTATTTCTTTATCTATTTATTTTATTTTATTTTTAAGACAGAGTCTCACTCTGTGGCCCAGGCTGGAGTGCAGTGGTGCGATCTCGGCTCTCTGCAACCTCTGCCTCCTGGGTTCAAGCGATTCTCCTGCCTCAGCCTCCCAAGTAGCTGGGATTACAGGCGCCTGCCACCATGCCCGGCTTTTTTTTTTTTTTTTTTTTTTTTTAATAGAGACGGGGTTTTGTTATGTTGGCCAGGCTGGTCTCTAACTCCTGACCTCAGGTGATCCACCCACCTCAGCCTCCCAAAGTGCTGGGATCACAGGCATGAGCCACGGCGCCTGGCCAACTCTGCGTTTTTAGTCTTTAGCTAGAATACTTAGAATGTACAAGGCCTGGTGGCTATTTGCATTTTATTGTAACCTAGTATGGGTCCGAATTGTTTTGAATTAAAATCAACCCTTGGACTAAGAAAGGCTGATATAATTTATTTCAGGCTTCGAGTGACATACCAGATGTGACAGCCCCTTGGATTTGTCTTTACCTTTGAGAGATTTGACTCTTAAGTGTTTTACAATACTTTGGGTGCATACAATTGTTTTAATCTGTTTCCAAAGGATTTTTACTTCATCTGTAAAATCTTGGTCTCTTTATCTTGGTCTCCAAGATTATAGACAAGAGTGAAAGCCAGAAATAAATGTTACTGCACAACTTGTTCATGACTCAGGAACAAATGCTGAGCTAGTTCAAAATATGCACCTACAGATACACTTGTGCTGGTAAGCTTGAGTGCGTCATTGTAGAGCTCGCTAATATTGTCACGATTGCTTAGTTAATTATTACTCGGGCATTTTACCCATCCAATTTAGCAGGGAGTAACTTTTATTTGAAGTCGAAAGCAAAGGCAAACAGAATAATCTGATAGGATGTGTGCTGAATTTGAAAATCTAGGAATTTTATTTAAAAATCAATTTGAGACAAACAGCATACAAAATGTCCTAATGCAAGTTGATATTATTAATAAGTACCTAGTGGATTGTAATTAGAATATACAACCTTAACTAAAAATAGTAATAATTTGGTCGGGCACAGTGGCTCACGCCTGTAATCCCAGCACTTTGGGAGGCCAAGGCGGGCGGATCACGAGGTCAGGAGATAGAGACCATCCTGGCTAACACGGTGAAACCCCGTCTCTACTACAAATACAAAAAATTAGCCGGGTGTGGTGGCGGGCACCTGTAGTCCCAGCTACTCGGGAGGCTGAGGCAGGAGAATGGCGTGAACCCGGGAGGCGGAGCTTGCAGTGAGCGGAGATCGCCCCACTGCACTCCAGCCTGGGCGACAGAGCGAGACTCCGTCTCAAAACAAACAAACAAATAAAATTTAAAGATAATTCTTTCAAATACTTATGGCATCAATTAAAATATGAACCGTGTGGTTCTGTGCACAAAAAACAGTAAAAGCTTTTATTTTAAATCATCATCAACACTCCCATCCCTCCCTCCAAAGCTTCATCAGTTTCTCCATAGATGATGAATTCGCTAAGAAGCTGCAGTTGAGGAGAGTCAAGTTAGGTTTCTGAAAATGTTAACCAGTAGTAGAATAACAGTAGCAGTATTACTGATAGCAATAACAGGATAGTAATAACAGTAGTAGTATTGATAGTAATAACAGGAGTACTGATTATTTAATTTAATGAACAAAACATCTGCAATTAAAATTGTACAGAATTTTTGGTGTTTCCAGGGATTTGAACTTAGAGAAAGCCTCGATAGAAGTTCCCATCAAGGAGGTTCTCTTCTCTCCACTTAGCCGGTCAAGTGCCCTTGGGGCAAGAGCAAGGAAGAGACCACCCTTCTCCATTTTATATTCAGCTAGGAGCAAGTGACAGAAGGTAGGGCAGCTCTGCATGGTGCCCTCCCTGGTCCCTTGTTGGGATCACTTTTTACAACCTTGAACTTGGCTCTGAAATTCTATCCCAGGTCCAGTACAGCACGAAGCCGCCTGACCCTTCTCTCTTAGAGACGCTGGAGCTGGTTATTGCCAAAGTGCAGTTTCTGGTGGCTCCTGGCATCAGGAAGGGAGGCAGAGTGGAAAGGCTTTGGTGTCTGACTGGCATGGGCTCAGCTATTGGCTCCCACTCTCACTAGCTGTGGGATCTGGGGGAAATTATTTAACCTCTTTAAACCCTAGTGTCCTCAACTGAAAATAGTACCAGTGCTACCGGCACAGTAGGACGACTGTGGTGATTAAAGGGACACACACCACGTGTCCCATGCAGGGTCCTCATGTTTCCGGGAATGAGTAACCACAGAACCTCTGCTTGGATCAGGCACACTTGGATCAGCCCAGTCCAGATTGGAGGAGATGAGCTGCGAACACCTTGATCCTCAAACCTTGATCATCAGGAAGCATCCTGTGATAGACAGGGTGCCTGTGATAAGTAGCATCCTGTGATAGGCAGGCACAAGCATCCTGTGATAGATCAGCTGTCGGCTGCTGGGGCCAGGCAAGGGTGGCTATCGCTGCATTCAAACAAAACAACAAAGCTGTCATGTTGTCCACTCTGTTTAGATTTATAATAAAGTAGTAGCACTGGTACTGATATTTTTATGAGTGTGGAATTTATTTTAAAAATTAGTCAAAATGGCTGGGTGCAGTGGCTCACGCCTATTATCCCAGCACTCTGGGAGGTTGAGGTGGGCAGATTGCTTTAGCCCAGGAGTTCCAAACCAGCCTGGGCAACATGGGGAAAACCCATCTCTACAAAAAATACAGAAATCAGCTGGGCGTGGTGGAACATGCCTAATACACTCCCAGCTACTTGGGGGGCTGAGGTGGGAGGATTGCTTGAGCCTGAGAGACAGAGGTTGCCATGAGCCGATATTATGCCAGTGCACTCCAGCCTGGGTGACAGTGGGAGACCCTGTCCCAAAAAAAAAAAAAAAAATAGTGAAAGCAAATATTCAATACCTTACACATCAGAGAAATTATAAACATGTTACAAACAGCAATAAAAACATTTATAATTGTTATATTTTATCAAACACTAAATTATTAAACACTAATTAAAAATGAGATACTCAAAAAATAAGCAAAATCCACATAAAATGAAGAACATTTAATAAAAAATATTTGAAAATAATATAATTTGATATTTTTTAAAGTTCATCTGAAAAAATAAATTTATCTTAAATAATAGAGTGGCTCAGTGGTGCCATTGTTGAATGGTGAACATATTTTTATTGAAAATGTTGCAACCATTGAGAAAATGCTTTCTCACCTTTCACTAGTTAGAGACATTGTGAGGAAATAACTTTAAATATCTCCTTAGACTCCCGCTTCAAGGAATCTCATCTGCTTGATAACTCTGAAGGATTCTTTTTAAATAACTTCTTGGGGTTTTTTTGGTGAGGGAGGGTGGGGTGGTCAGCAGGTCAGCAGCAGAAACTTTTTGATGGCAAGTTGTAGTTTTGTTCCCAAAAAAGAATCTCAGTTTTGTTTTCACTCTTTTCTTTTTTTCACATGTAGATACAGATTCCTTGGCAGTTTCCTATCCACTTCAATAATATTCTACTTAGATCCTATTTGCTAGGAACATTTTTGATCAGAGTAAGAGAGAGTCTTGCCATAGAAATTTTCCTCCTCTTGTACCTACCAAAGGAATGTAGCTTTGTTCTGTTTGAAAATTCATGCAGGCTGGGTGCCGTGGCTCATACCTCTAATCCCAGCACTTTGGGAGGCCAAGGCTGGCGGATCGCCTGAGGTCAGGAGTTTAAGACCAGCCTGGCCAACATGGCAATACCCCGTCTCTACTAAAAATACAAAAATTAGTTGGGCATGGTGGCAGGTGCCATAATCCCAGCTACTCAGGAGGCTGAGGCAGGAGAATCACTTGAACCCAGGAGGCAGAGGTTGCAGTGAGCTGAGATCTCACCATTGCACTCCAGCCTGGGCAACACAGTGAGTCTCTGTCTCAAAAAAAAAAAAAAAAAAGAAAGAAAAGAAAATAAATGCAGCATGGAATTCTCTGAGTTCATCTTAAGACATAACATGATCTCAATTCCAAGTCATTTAAATATTTCAAAAAAAGTTTCACCCACAGAACATTTATAGTTCAGCACTCAAAATTAGAGCACTGACTGACATAATGTTAGTTATCTTGATGCTATTTGTACTCGTTATTCAAAAACCATTCCTTGAGCATATATTATCTGCCAGGTCTTGGGCTAGCCATTAATGAGAACTAGAGAACATAACAGATGTTTTTATTCCTGTCCTTGGAGTCTCTCTAATGTGAGACACAGTAAACAATTAAACAAATAAATGATTACAAATGATCATTTGTACTCGGAGAGAAATAGCTGAGTGCTAAAAAGCAAATGTCTTTCTGAGGAGGTGATATTTAGGCTGAGTCATAAATGATTAGAAAAAAGATAAGAACCACCAAGCAATTAGAGAAAAGTGTTTCCAAGCAGGGGAAAGAGTGAGTGCAAAGGCCCCAGGGCAGGGAAGAGCTATGTGTAGTCCAAGAACACGGGGGCCATGTGACTGGTGCAGAGCAAAAGAGCAGGAGACAGTCATGGGATGAGGCTGTGAGGTTAAGAGGAGCCTGAATAGGCAGAAGCTTGTTGGCCTTTATCCTCAGGGCAGTGGAACATCAGTGAAAGGATTTCAGTAGGGAAGTGACATAATCTGCCTTTCAAAGAACACTGTGGAAAATGGTGGGAGGTGGCAAAAGAGGAAGTAGGGAGACCCGTGAGGGGGCTGCTGCCACTGGCCACATGAGACGGGACTGTGGCTTTGACCCGGATGGTTGTGGTGGAGATAAAGAGAGATGGGCTTGTACCAGATATATTTTGAAATCTAGCCGACAGAACTTAACACTGGGTTAGACTGAGGTTAGATAGAGGAGAACAGACATGTGAGTCCGGGATGGTATGCAGTAATTAGGGGCGCTAGTACCCAAGTGAATGGCAGTGCCTCTTGCAGAGACAAGAAGATATGGGGAGGATCAGATTTGGACTGAGTGAAGGGCTTCAAAATTCCTGTTTTCATGTCTGAATTGGAGATGTCTATAAGACATCTAGATGGAAATGCTGATCACTGAAACTACTTAAAGGGAGCACATAGACAGACACCATAAGAGAAACCAGGACCCAACCTTGATGATGCTCAACAGCTAGGGAGCAAAGGGAGGAGAAGCCCGCAGAGGAGAATGAGAGAGGTCAGGTAGTAGCTGCAAAACCAAGAGAGTGCAGGACCTTAGAGGGCAAGAGCGATGCCCAGATACTCAAAAAAGGATAAGGTTTCAAGAGGAATGGATGAGTATGTCCTATAGAGCAACTTAAAGACCAAAACGCCCCTTGAAGTTGGCAATATGGAGGCTCTTGGTGATCTAGTCCCGCACAGCTTCAGTGGAGAGGTAGGTGTACAGGGTGGGTGGACGCTCTACAGGAGTGCGCTGGTGAGACGGCACACAACTTTTGCAGACAGCTCTTTGGAGAACTTTTCCTTTTTGCCAAGCAAAGGGGTGCAGAACAGAGCCCCACACTACCAGGAAAAAAGGACAATCACTTTTCCCAATTAACCACTTTCAACCCCTCAGCTAGACACCTTTCCCAAACGGCAGAAGCCTCTCCCTCTGCCTCCACCCCTGACCTTTCTCCTAATGGTCTGGATGTGGGTGGGAAGGAGAAGGAACCACTTGCTTTTGTCCTCCATGTGGACACCTGTTCATCCTACTGCCCAGGATTCATCTCCCCCTCCTTCTGCTAATGAGCCCCAACCCCTGCCCCACCTGGTTTTTGACTCCAGCTAGCTCAAATTAAGTTTCTATCACTTTCAAGCAAGAGACCCTAATGAATTCACCCTTTCCTCTCAAAAGGCTCAAGGCCAGCTTTTCTTGGCTTTCTCACTTAGCCAACAATGAGGTAGGACATGAAAAATGCTAAGAAATGGCACAGAGTAGAAAATTAAGAACTTGTAGGAACACAATCATTCTCACAATGTTTTGTTTTCTCAGATTTTATTTTGTTAAACTAACCGCGTTATGGGAAATTGCCAATGGAGGAATATTGACTTTTCAAAGCAGAGTAGTGCTTTAGAAAGAGATTATGTGGCTTTTATTGAAATTGCAGGATAGCTTTATTTTTTACATGCCCACTATAGTGGCCTGGGGAGGGAGGAGAATGTGTAATAAATGTGAGGAAAGGAATAAAGGGAATTTTATTAAGGGTGGGATGCTAGGACATGAAGATTCTAGCTCTTACATAACTGCAGAAGTGTAGAAATTGGGTGTCAGGAACAAAAAGAAATAAACAATGTAAGATGCAGCAAATTTAATGGATTTTAATATCGCCAGCCAGTTAGACTCTCCTTTGCAGACCAACATCTTTTCCCTATTTGCAGGAAAACTTCAAAGCCTCAGGCTGGCATCAGGATATCAGAATATTCAAACTTCAGTGAAGACATTTCCTGGAATCCAGCACCTAACTCACATCCCTCTTTCCCCTCATCTTCCCATGCCCTGTCACCAAAACCCAAACATGATGGGAAAGAAGAAGGGTTTCCTTTTTGCTCATATGCTTGCTATGCCTCCCAACAATACAATATATTCCTCAACTTTCCCCAAGTCCCACGTCCCATCACATCGGGCAGTTCCAAGCCATGGGAGTCTGGGCAGACACAGGAGAATGCATGCTTTTTTCTCTCGAAGCCTTCATGGGAAATTCCCAGAATTCTATGGCATAAAGCTGTCTATTTTGTTCACTCTCTATTTCCGGAGCCTACGCAGTACCTGGTACGTGGTAGACACTCAATAGCATTTCTTGAAGGAATAAATGGAGGACTAAATGAAGTTTTCCAGAGGAGACACTCACATGCCAAACATCCTATGTCCATGTCCAGATGCTTCCATTTACCTCTGAAGAAATTTCTCCTGTTTGTTTTTGTATCTTTCTTCCTTGAAGTGGAAAAAAAGTCAAAATGGAGAAATGACATTTTTGTCAAATCATGAGGCATGAAAGTAAAAGGACCAGAGTGTGGCAAATCTGGGAAGGTGACGACGTTTGATGCCTGACTCCCCTGCCAGGGTCTCATCCGCAGTGCCTGCCTCCTGACCACCTCTCCATTTCTCTTTCCTCCTGCCTGTCTCTTGCTTCCCCATCCCACTCCCCTGATCTCCAGGGCTCAGCTGTCCATTCAGCTGCCTAAAATGTAGCTCATGAGGACTGAGCCCTCCTAGAATTATTTGAATTTAGTGGAAGATTCTTGAAGAGCAGCCCACATGAGGGGTAACATTTCCAGAGGGGAGGAGCAGGTGACTTAGGAAGACTTAATTCTCCCACCTCAAATTATCCCAGAGGCAGCTATGTATTCCAGCCATTCAGAAGGCTCTATCCACCCATCGATCATGTTGATGAATAAAATTGGATTAGGACCCAATGGATTCTCATATCACCAGCCAGTTAAACTCCCCTTGGCAGATGAACATCTTTTCCCTATTTGCAGCAAAGCCTCAAAGACAGCCTGGCATCAAACCACCAGAATATTGCAAACTTCAATATTGCAAGATTGTCTTCAATGAGGAACTACCATCCATTCACCCATCTATTCCATTCATTCATTCGCTAAAGACCAGTGGTGAAAAAGAGAACTACATGTCAGTCCTCCAGCAGCTTACAGAATCAGGGAGAGAGAGAGATAGTAACCAACTAACCCAAGAAGTGAAAGAAACACCTGAGATAAAGGGAGGCAGGATATGGGGGTTCATCCTGCAGGAACCACAGAAGCTGGGTAGGTCGAGAGGTGTCTACCAGAGGAAGGAAGAGAAGGAGTTAAGGGTGGAGAAAAGGGAGAGGAGATTCCATGAGGAGAGAGCATGGCTTATTTGAGGTACAGAAAGCAGGCTGCAGTGGCTGCAGTGCAAATATCCAGGTGGACAGAAAAGAAAAAACCAGACCATTTGAGCTCTTCGGGGCTATATTGAATATTTTTATCTTAAGCGCAATAGAAAGCCATGGGCCATTTCAAGTGGGAGAGGTGCAGTGATGCTGGTGCACACTGAGATGTTTTAAAGCTATTCACACATGACTGGGCTTTTCTTCTTTTGCACTCGTAAGTCAGAGCATCTCTTGCTGGGGTGAATTAAGACGGTGCTTTCTTGGAAAGCAAAGACAGAGCCAGGGTCAATGTTCCACCATCGACTTCCACTTCAGAGATCATAGAAATAACCAAAGCTCTGATTTTTAAGAGCAGAGCTTTTAGTGACTCAAAAGGCAGAGCCCTGAAAAGAGCAGGGCAACAAAGTTCATTCAAAGGTGAGTAGACAGTGATCAGCTGGAGTAAATGCAGGAGGAGGGGAGTGGACTAAGAGGAGAAGAACAGAGGCCAGAGGGCCTTCTTGACCTGTGGGAACCACATCAAGAGCAAAGAAGAGCCTGTGTGGAGAGACTGCTCACCCTCTGCCCCCAAAAACATCAGGGAGTCTGTGGGGACCCAGCCAGGCTTCCCTAACCCAGCCACAGACTGCCCATATCTGGGGGAAAGCATGTGGCTTGTCAGTGGCCTGGGCTGAGGGGCCATCTTCCCAATTGCCTGCACTTTGCTGTCACTAACCCAGCAGAGGCAACACCCCTTTTTGTTCAGTCCATCCAAACTATCCTCTCAATTAAATTGCTGATGACCTATGTACATTCCCTTCCCAGAGAGAAAATAGTAACAAGGACATACCCAAATGGGCTAGTGATGCTTTAGATGGAAGAGATCCCTCATTTCTGTATGTGGATGAGAATAACAGAACACCCTGGGCTAAGATAGCATTCAGACCCATTCCTGCTATTAATGTAATTCCTTTCCAAGGTCACCCTTGCTGCTGGATGGAGAGCTAAGTGCCACGTGGCCAGAGCAAAGGCTGTGAGAACAGGCAGGAGGTCATTGCAGTGGCCCAGAGAAAAAGTGGCAGTAGCTTGGCTCAGATGGTGGTGGCACTGAGGATGAAGCGAAGGACGGGATTTTAAGATGTTATTGAGATCCACAGATAGGGTTTAATGAAGGAGCAGAGGAGGAGAGTCAGATAATTGTATTACTTAGGTCTCTCCTATAATGCTGAATAACAACTCCAAATTCTCAGTGGCTTACAATAATCATTTATTTTTCTTGTTAATAGTTCTGCAGGTTGGCTGGGGCATTTCTGCTTCAGGTTGCAAGTGAGGTTCAGGGCATCCCTTTGTGTCTCTTGTTCTAGGACCTGCAGCAACACAGGGCAAGCTCTTCATGGTTAATAGAAGAAGGGCAAGAGGCCACACCGAAGCACACAGCCCATTCCAAGTCACTGGCAAGACAAAGCCTAAAAAGTGTCTTTGTGTATCCATCAGCCACAGGACACCAAATGGCATAGCCCAAAGACAGTGACAGAGGGAATTAAACTCTGACCCAGGGAAGCCATGGCAAGGATGAATTGTGAGCAAATAACGCTTTCTGTCTTAAGAATCAAGGATGGCTCCTGAGTTTCTGGCTTGCACAGCTAGATAGTGGTGTCCTTCACTGAGAAAGGGAGCACCAGAAATGGAGCCGGTTTGGGAGAGATCATCAGCTCAACCTTAGACATTTGGGTTCAGAATCCTTTGGATACCAAAGTGGCAGAAGCTATAGAGAAGTCTGGCCTGGAGGTATAGATTTGGGAGTTGTGGCGAAGGCTACTAGTTGTCCCCTACCATTTATTCACTTACTCTTCTTCTTTAGTATTAGAACATGTGATTTTTAACTGGTCACCGTATCTCCCTTGAGCTCAGGTGGTCATCTGACTAAATTTTAACCAATGAAATATAAGGAGTGTCATATATGACTTCCAGAAAGTATCCTTAAAGGAACAACTGTGCCCATTTTCTTGCTCCTGCTGGCAGAAATGTGATTTTGATGACTGGAACCCAAGAAGTCATCTTGGACCATGAAGTAAAAGTCCTATGTTAACAACAGAAGAGCAACAAGACAGAAGACCAGTTCCCTAATCATCATATTGCTGCCATGCCAGCTCTGGCCTGCCTTTGTCTTTGTGAGTAAGAAATACACTTTTATAGTATTTATATTACCGATATTTAGGGTTTTCTGTTACCTGCAGTCAAATTCAATCCTAACTATAACAAGAGTCACAGAAACAGAGAGGTCCTGGAAGCCATGGAATTTGAAATCAGGTTTCCAATGAGACGGTAAGGAGTGACAAGTGAAACACGAAGAGAGCCAAGGACTGAGCTTTGAGGACCACAGCATGTAATGGCCAAGCAGAGGAGATACATCTCAGGACACAGGGACAGAAAACAAGTAGCCCAAGAGGAAGAAGACAAACGAGAATGGGCTATCATGGACATGAAAGGAAGAGAGTGTCTCAAGGAGAAGGGAATGGCTAAAAGTGGGAATCGTGCTGACAAGCTGTTAGGTGACTACAGCAGACAAGAGTTAAGCTCAGTGTATGGCATGGCTATAAGAAAACTCTGTTATGGCCATTAAAACACACTTTTTAAACAATTTTCCAAATATTCTTAAACTGTTATCTACTCTGATCACTGTTGAATATGCTTTAGGAAGAACTATCTAGTTCTAGCCTGACAGTAGAAGATAGCCAAAACTGATGAAGGAAGCAGATAAGCCTCAACGTCACTTTTTTCCTTAAACTTAGTTCTCCTCTCCACCCTCACTGCCTTTGCCTTCCTCCAGACCTTCTAACAAGTCCCCGCCTCTCTGGCCTCTCTTGTCCCTTCCCTACACTGCTTCTCATCATTTTTCTGATAAGAGATCTGATAACTCTTGCTCAAAACTTACTTGCTCAGAATTCTTCCAGAAATCTCTATTGACTATGTTATAAATTTCAGATTCTTTAATCAGGTATACTAATCTTTCAAGATACAACCCCAAGCTTTATCTCCAGGTTCATATTTCTACGTTATATCTCAGCAACATTAACTTACAAGCCCAAGTCAACATCTAACTGCAATCAAGTAAGACCTCAGTGGATACCACTCAGCTGTGACTAGTCAACCCACAGACCAATGGGAGATAATAAAATGTTGTTTTAAGATATTAGTAAAACTTAAGGCACTAAGTTTTGAGATGGTATGTTCTGTTTGTTTGTTTTTTAAAATGGAGACTCACTCTGTTGCCCAGGCTGGAGTGCAGTGGCATGATCTCAGCTCACTGCAACCTCCACCCCTGCCGGGTTCAAGCAATTCTCATGTCTCAGCCTCCCAAATAGCTGGGATTACAGGTGCATGCCACCACGTATGGCTAATTTTTGTATTTTTTAGTAGAGATGGGGTTTCACCATGTTGGCCAGGTTGGTTTTAAACTCCTGACCTCAAGCAATCCACCCACATCAGCCTCTCAAAGTGCTGGGATTACAGGTATGAGCCACCACACCCAGCCCGGATGGTATGTTAAGCAGCAATAGATAAGTAGAACAGAAATTGGTACCAGGAGTAGGATGTTACCATTAAAAACTTAAAACATATGGCATTGGCTTTGGAACAGGCCATGGCCTATAGAGTCTCTAAATGGTTATTACTGGGGATTGTAAGAATAGTGAGGAGATGATTACTGAAACCAAAGAAAAAGATTGACATGATGTAGTGGCAGAAGGTTTAGTACAGCTTTCACCTGCAGAAATGTGGAAAATAAAAAAATGTGCCTAACAGACACAGGATTTAGCTAATGAGATTTCAGGTAGAATGTTGAAAGGATCAACTGATTTCATCTAGTCATGTATGATAAGGGATGGAGAGAGAAGTGAGCTAAAGAAGGAATAGTTCTGTTTTCAAATACAACTTCGAGAAAACATAAAGTAGCCAGGACTTTCTGGGTTCAAAATGTAACTGTTTCATATTCCCAGCCTCCCTATCCCGCAAACTATTTTCAGAGTAAGTAGGCATAAGGTAAATGACTCTTTTAAGGATGTGGCTCTACAGCACAATTCACAATAGCAAAGATATGAAACCAACATAAGTGCCCATCAGCCAATGAATAGATAAAATGTGGTATAGATACACAATGGAATACTACTCAGCCATAAAATGGAAAAAAATAATGTATTTTGCAGTAACTTGCATGAGCTGGAGGCCATCATACTAAGTGAAGTAACTCAGAAATGGAAAACCAAATATCATGTTCTCACTTATAACTGGGAGCTAAGCCACGAGGACACAAAGGCATAAGAATGATACAATGGACTTTGGGATCTCAGCGGAGAAGGTTGGGATGGGGGTGAGGGAAAAAAGACTATTGGGCACAGTGCACATTGCTCAGGTGGTGGTGCACTGAAATGTCAGAAATCACCACTAAAGAACTTATCCTTATAACCAAAAGCCACCTGTACTCCAAAAACTATTAGAATTTTAAAAAAGGATGTGGCTCTATTCTAAGACTTCACAGGGATTTAGGGCACACCTCATAGACCTCTCAGTCAAAAGACCTCTAAGAATCTCAGTTATTAGTAAAGCATCCTAACTCAAAGACATACAGGGCTCTGTCTCAAAAATATTTGTGAATATAATAATACACCAAATTTTGGTGTTAACACCAAACTTATTCCTAGAATATCCACATTTTTATGAGATTTGGCTTGCTGCAGTTTGCTCTTGCAGCTTGGAGTAAATGCAAGAGAAAAGGTTCAGAAATGGAAAGAAGCCTCTGAACTTCCAAACTCACATGGGCAGGAAGCAGGCTAAGGAAGTTCGCTATTCAGCTGCAAGTAGAGGTGTTTCTTACAGGGGCAAAACAAAGAACCATGGAGAATAACTCCCTGAGAGCAGGAACTTGCTATAATTTAGAACCAAAGACATACACATACTTAGCTGGATTTCAGAATTGCTATGATCAATGACTGCCATGTGTCTCCCATTTCTCCCCAATTTTGAACAGCAGTGTCTATTACAGCTACCTTATACTCAACACACAGCTACCCCACTGTATGTTGAGTACATATGAAAGAGGCAGATAGTCTTTTTAGTTTCCAGTTGCCCATATTGACAGGAAACTCTGAGAAACCCCATCTGAGGAGCCTCCTTTGCACATGGACTTGATATAGATAACAAGATCCTAGCCTTCCAATCTGATTCTGATTATGCTTTTGGAGTGTTGAGGAAGGAGGTGAATTACTGTGCTCATAGGGCAGATTGTGGCAAATTGTTATTTTTTTATTTTTATTTTTTTGCGACAGAATCTCACTCTGTCACCCAGGCTGGAGTGCGTGGTGCGATCTTGGCCCACTGCAACCTTTGCCAGGCAACCTTCGCCTCCCGGGCTCAAGTGATTCTTCGGCCTCAGCCTCCTGAGCAGCTGGGATTACAGGTGCCCACCACCATGCCTGGCTAATTTTTGTATTTTTAGTAGAGACAGGGTTTCACCATGCTGGCCAGGCTGGTCTCGAACTCCTGACCTCAACTGGTCCACCTGTCTTGGCCTCCCAAAGTGCTGGGATTACAGGCATGAGCCACCACTCCTGGACAGCAGATTTTATTTTCCAAAGATGGTCACAATAGTATTTCCATCCCACTAACTCTTCTGCATTGTGAAACTTGACACTCTCTCATCAAGAGGTGAAGATACATTCTCTTTGCCTCCTTCAATTGGCAAAGGCTTTGTGTCTGCTTTGACCAATAGAATACAGCAGAAATGATGCTGTGCCCTTCTAGGCATAGTCCTCAACTAGCCTGGCATTCCACTTAGGCCTTTTAGAACACTTGCTCTCAAGACTTCCTTGTTCAACCAGCCACTACATGGTGAGGAACCCAAGACAACGGAGAGGCCACAGCCAACAGCCAGCATCAACCACCAACTATGTGAGTGCACCATCTTGGATGTCCAGCCCCAGTTGACCCTTCAGCTCACTGCAGCCCCAGCCAACCCCTGACCAAAACTGCATGAGAGACTCCCAAGTTAGGCTACAGGCCATGAGAGATAATAATAAATTGCTGTTTTTAATGCTACTAAATTTTGAAGTGCTTTGTTAGTTCCTCAATACTTATTTGTTGAATTTATGACTGAATTCAGTGCAGCTCAGAATGTTTAAGGCAAATAATAAAATAAAGAACAAAGAAAGATATTGATACCGTATGTTAAGTGGCAGGGTTATCTATTTGAATGTTTTTGGCTTCAGGTAATAGATGACCCCTCCACCCCCTGCAAATGGCTTAAATTAGGGGTTGGCAAACTTTTTTCTTTTTTTTTTGTAAAGGGCCAGATAGAAAATATTTTAGGCTTTGCCTTTGTAGCAGCTACACAACTCTGCCACTGTAACAAAGGCAGCTATGGTCAATCGTAAACAAATGAGCATGGCTGTGTTTTAATAAAACTATTTATAAAAAGAGATAGCAGGCCTATTTGGCCCATACACCATAGTTTGCTGACTCTTGACTCAAACAATGAGAAAACATTATTTTGTAACAAGAAGTGAAAGCGGTTAATTCAATAGATCGACAATATCAGCATGAACATGAATTCTTTCCACCTTTCTGCTCTGTCATCTCCAATTTTGCAGGTTTTGTCCTCAGGCTAGTCCCCTCATGGTCATGAGATGGCTGCTGCAGCTCCAAGCATCACATCCTAACACGCATGTCCCAATCAGGGAGACAGAATATTACTTTTTCATATCCCTTTTGAACTTTTCAAGAGGCCCTACAGCTGACTTCTCACCCCTCATTGGCCAGAAGTGCATCTCATGACCATGCATAAACCAGGAGTTACCATAATTGGCTTAATCCCAGACTACTCAAGCTTTACCCTCTGGGAAGCTTCACCCAATACAGGAATAAATGGAGTTCCCTTAGCAAGGAGTATAGCTATTGAGTAGGTGATCAACTGTGGCTGCCACATAGAGTTACCATGGGAAGTAGGGAAGGAAATGGATGGATAGAGATAGAAACTTGGGGCAGAATGAGATTAGAAGTGGTATCAGGTTCCAGATGGAATAAAGGGTAGAAGAGTAAGTGTAGAGTGCCTCAACCGCACTTTTTTTAAAAAAAACAAAAGCAAAAGACTCACCTCTTGGCATAAATCCCAAAAGGTAACAGACTTGCCATCCAGCTGAAGCTGAAACTGGGTGGAGTGAAGGATTTTGCCAACACACAACCTCTTCCTTTGCTAGGGAAGAGTAGTCAAGTGAGGATGAAAGAACCTGCTGAAAGATGCTGCTAAAACAAAACACCGTTTCCCTCTGCAAGTGCCCGAGCCACCCTGTGACTCTGAGCGGACAAGGCCAGTATCCCGGGGGACCCACAGGGGTGATGGCAGGAGGTGAGGCTGTTCAGGAGCCTCCACTCATTCTGGGGGCCTGTCTCCCACTGCAGGCCACACATGAGACCTGGAGCCACACACACTGGGTGTGTGTAGCAGGGAGAACCTCTGCAGAATCAGGGGAGAACAGTTTCATTGTTTACTGATCAGCAGGGTGTGGGGAACTTATGCAAACGCAGCCGCCTCTGCAGATTGTGGGTTGCAGGAGGGCTGTGGGCACCACGGCACTGCTGCCCTTTCCCTGGTGGCCTTCGGCTCTCTGTGAACTCCAGGCAGCCAGGCATGGCCAAGCCCACGTACACAGGAAGCTTCAGCCTGAATTCAGACTCTGAATCCACTTAAGGTCACCTCCATGGAGTTTTCCCTAGGCCCCTCCACAGGGGACACTGCCGCTGTCTGTTTGGTCTCCCCACCCTCACCCTGGTCTCCACTCCCCTGCTTGTCCATCTCCCTTGAGAGGCTGTGACTGCCTTATTTGAACATCACCCTCAGCTACCACCATCCTGGCCCATGAATGTCTCCAAGTCGGTGTCTGATGGATAGAGGTAAGGGAGGAAGTCAGCCCTCCTGACTGTCTCCTGGGCACCTGGCACTGGGGCCACTGTTTCTGCCAAGCCCGAAGCTTGCAATGGTGCCCTTGAGTTGAAGCTTCCACCACACTGGGCAGTCCAGGCTGCTTGCTTAGTCTTGAGTGCTGACCAGCCAGGAAGAGTGCGGGCCTCAGCGGTCGGCACGCTTCCAGCCTGTGCTGCGAATAGCCTTCACTCTTCCCTTTTCCCATGTGCCTTCCGATGAACCACCGCCCTGCGTGATGGTTCTCTAGTGGAATGTGCATCCTCAGCACTTGTTCTGTGGCTCCTGGGACGGCTTCTAGCCCAGCCCCCACCACACTGCGCAGACTGTATGTGTAACTGGCTTGCCACCGCTCTGTGAGTGTGGGAGTGCCTGGGAATCATTTCTGAACCCCGGGCCTGCTAAGCACATCACAAATGTTTGGGAAACAGATGAATCAGCAATGTTTCTGTTACACACATACACACCATTCAGTGCCCCCAGAAGCAAGTGTGTTGGAGAATGCTAATGTATTTACTCCTCAACCCAGGCTTCTCCCAAGCCCCTCTGTGCAAAGCCATGAAGTGGCCCACATGCCTCCAGGAAGGCTGCAAGCTTTGCGTACTTGCCCCTGAGCACCCACTGATCCACCTGGAGCCTCTAGGTCCTGCTTAATGCTGCCCACTCCAGGAGACATGGGTGGCAGCCATAAGCCTCCAGCAAGACACCCACACAGAGCCGCTCACTCTGCCGTGGCCTCCCATGCAGTCTAGCACCCAGCAAAACAGGCAGGACCCTGAGTCTCACAAACCTACCATGCACAGGATCCTGGAGTGGACCAAGGCAAGCAGGGTAAGGAGGCAGCTGTGGCACTTCTGGAAGGGGAAAAGATGTCTGTTCTCACATAATGATTTCTCATTGAGCTCGAGCCAGGGGCCAGGCCCTGTGGAAGCATGCAGCTCCCACGATTTCCCTTAATACAGCACCCTATGCCAGGAGCATTTCAACCAAGCTGCACCCCCAATTCACAGAGGACAAAACCGAGGCTTGGGAAGGTTAGACGACTTGTCATAGAACATGCAGCTGGCAGGCAGGAGAGCCAAGATCAGAGCCAGCTAGCTTACCCCAAAGTCCGTTTTCTTAATCACTGATCCATTTTCATTAAGCACTTAATGCCTGCTTGCATTAATCAGTGCCTTGACCAGCAGCCATGGAGCACTTCCCTCTGTGGACACAGCCTGGTTAAGGTGCTGCCTCTCTCGGAAGGAGTGGAAGCAGATTCCACATACAGCAGGCACAGTGCACAGGGTGGGGACTTGGCCCTGGTGGACAGTGGGCTCAGGGGGGCCCCAGGCCTTGGGATCCAGGGCAGAAGCCTCAGGACAGCAGAAACCCTTGCTCTGCATTGCCTGGACCTCGCTTCCCCAGCGGAGGAGCTGAGCTCCTGACAGCCGCACTCACAGCCTTGCTATTTCACCTTAACCTCCTTCTCTTTCTTGCCTTATCATCTACAAGAGCAGCTGTAGTGCAACGCCTTCTGGAAATGAGTCCAGGTCAGAGTCACTGACCTCCTAACGTACCTGTGCATGGTGCTGTTGGGGCCACTTTCTTGTCCACCTGAGAGGCAGCATCTGTGCCTGGGAAATCTGAGGGGCTTGATCCTTGCCATGTCCCCAGTTGTGAGAAAAGGGATGTCTGAGACCATGAGTGGGGGCCGTTGGTGGCCACCATGAGCATCTCTATGTCCTACTGTGCCCCTTCCCCTGCCAGAGCTTGGGTATAGAGTTTGACTGCAAATACATCCAGATGAGCCTCATCATTGCATCGTCGGTCCTCTTCCTCCACCTCCTTGCATCTGCCCAGGTGTGCTGATCACTCACTGGCCTCTGCCATTCCTCCTGTCTGGCCGTTGTGCTTTGGCCTGGTAGTTAAACCACAACGTATTTACTCAAGTTCCTTTATCTCCAGCCTCTGAGGTTTGAATGTCTTCAGCACCTTTTCCTCCCTCCTCCTGCAGAGGCCATCTTAGGAAAGCGGTGTTTCTCGGGGTCTCTGCACACAGGGCTCTGCTTCTCTGTAAGACTTGAATAGTCACAGAAATGAGGATACCTGTTCTCAGCGTGCATCCGTCCTGGGCCCAGCAGAACTGCTCGACACAGCACTGCACCCACACTGCTGCCCTTCACTGCGTTCACATCTGTCCCCAGCTCCCCAATGCCCAGGACATACAGGCACCGTGCTCAGTCGCCCAAAATACACCAAACACATCTCTTCACGTCCCACCAGAGTGTGACAGTCATTATCTTTCTTTGTTATGTTTATTCAAATGTCTGGCTTCCCACTCTACTGCAGGCTCTATAAGAACAGCAGCCTATTCTCTGTGTCCCCAGAGCTCAGGTACCCTGGAGATATTTGTTGAATGAGCTTATATGAGGAAGCAGAGGGATATGGTAAAGGAGCCCAGTGTATTTATTCAGAAGATCTGAGTGCCAGCCCTGCTGCAGACCACCTATGTGACATTAGGAAGCCCCTTTCACAACTATTAAATGCCCTGTCTCCCAAAAGCGATTGCATGGAAGAGGTGAGGTCTATGTAAGGGTCTTTTCTAAACTGTGGTGTCTGAATTAATACGCACTATAGGAATAGCCCCAAACTGGAAACAACCCTGACGTCCTTCAATGGGCGAATGGTTAAACACAATGTGTTACATCCACACCACAGGATTCTACTCAGCAATGAAAGTAAATGGACTGTTGATGCACACAACAGTGCACAGACCTCATGCAAGCTTCGCCAAGTGAGGAAAGCCAATTGCAGAAGGTAACGACTGTATGATTCCACTGATTTAACATTACGGAAATGACAAGATTATAGAAATGGAAAGCAGAGTAGAGTTCCCCCAGGGGCTAATGAGCAGGTGGGGGCTGTAAAAACCAAACATGAGGGATCCTTGTGGTGATGGAAATGTCCTATCTTGAGTGCAACGATGCCAATATCCTGGTTGTGATACTGTTCAATGGTTTTGCAAGACGATAGCATGGAGGGGACTGAATACTCCCTTGTATGATTTCCTGCAACTTCATGTGCAAATCTCAAAATTAAAACTTTACAAAGATGCATTCTAGTTATGTATTTGAGTTAGAAGTTTATAAGATTATAACTTATTTGATTGCTCCAATCATGTCAGCTATTTTATCCACTGTAGTTCATTTAGTCTTATTCTGTACCACTGTTTTCTTATTTTATAAATGATAAAAGTTGGCACTGGCAATGTTGAGGTTGCAAAAATAGCAGAGCTGGGGTTTGGATCCCTGAACCACTGCATAGTCATCTGCTCTTAGGACAATGAGGCACTGTTGGGATATGAGCCCAAGCAGCACTTACCACTCAAGCCACCTCTTAGTATATTTTATTAAGTTCAAAAATTAACAGCAATGACAAGACTAACTAAAAAGCCATTCCTCAGGGTTTCTTTTGTAGACGATGAAAATCTTCTGGAAACAGATAGTGGTGATGGTTGCACATATCTGTGGATATACTGAAAAACACTGAACTGTACACTTCAAAAGGATAAATTTCATGATATGAGATTTATATCTTAATTTTAAAAATCTCTCCTCTCTATCAAAAAATTATTACTGTGATCTAGAAGTCAGAGACTGACCTCAGAAAATAGTGGTAGAGGGAAGAAAATCTCTAAGGAAGAACTAACTTATTAAATGAAAGTGGAGACAGTGGCAAAGACATTGAAAATGCCTGAGGTTTTGAGCCAAGTGACAAGAATAGAGAGGAAGGAAGCCCAGGAGAAGAACATAATGGATATGTTGAATTTGAGACGACAGCAGGCTGTCCTAGGGACCTCCAGTGGGTGAAGTAGGGACCCAGCGTTTGGAAGAGAAGTCATGGCGATTTGGGCTCCAGGAGCAGATGAACTAGCCCAGCTAGATGGAATCAAGACAGTAGGTCATTTATTACTAGGAGATAGGCTGGGAGGAATTAATCTCTACGAGGAAAGTAGAGGTCAGCGTGTGAAACCTGCCATCTCCAACATACTGAATTCACAATTTTTCTTCTCTCCTTCAAAGGGGGAAGCCAGGTTTGGTGAGAGAACACGACTCAGAGAAGCACTGTGAGAAAAACATCTTCCCCTAGGGATGTTTATTGCCTGGTTTCCCCTGTCTCTCCTGGTTATGGTCCTGAGAGGAGTCTTGGAACACAGACAAGATGGCTTTGGTGTTAAAAATTATTATTCACTTTTTTAAAGCAACATATTCTAAAACCCAGGTTTTCTCAAGTTTTTAAGTCAAATTTAACAAATCTTATTATTTTACTTATAAATCTATTATTATTATTATTATTTTTTGAATTGGAGTTTTGCTCTTGTTGCCCAAGTGGGAGTGCAATGGCACCATCTCGGCTCACTGCAACCTCCGCCTCCCGAGTCCAAGCCATTCTCCTGCTTCAGCCTTCCGAGTATCTGGGATTACAGGCACGTGCCACCACGCCTGGCTAATTTTTTGTATTTCAACTAAAGAAACAGGGTTTCTCAATGTGGGCCAGGCTGGTCTCGAACTCCTGACCTCAGGTGACTTGCCCACCTCGGCCTCCCAAAGTGCTGGGATTACAGGCGTGAGCCACCGCGCCTGGCCTAAATCTATTAATATTATATTCATAGTTTACCAGAAGACTTTAGAACTTAATTAAATTCCCTTGAGCATTTCATAGTAATTTTATAATTAAAATGTACTTAATTTTCTTTTTAGGCACATTGGTTGTCTAATAAACAACACTTTTCTAAATAAATAATGCTTGCAAAATGAATGTCAATCCTTACACATATATCATGGGAATGAAATTATCTATCTTAAACAGTCACCACTAGCTGCATCTAGTAACCCCACAGAGCCAAGCAGCCTTGGGAGTGGCCAGCCCTTTGGTGCTTTGGGAAAGGGTTGGCATGGGAAGACAGCTGTTCCCTGTAAAAGCAAAAGAACAAAGGATGCAGTACAAACCTGACCATGAGAAATTTCCAAGTTGTCCATAGAACTGGTCCTTCCTTAGGCCATACCTTCCAACAGGAAGACTAGCAGGGTGGCCTCCTGTGTCTATCCACACATCAAACTTGGAGCATCTTTCTGTTCGCCTCATCTGCCTGTCCAGAGGTCATCCACTGCCCAAGATGAATTCAAGACCTCTGCCCTTGGTTGCCCAGGTCTTCAGTAATGACCCCATCTCTGAAGATTGCTTTGTGTACTCTCTCTCTCACTCTTCTGTTTCAGATTGTATATCTTTTCAACTAATTCATACGTGATTTAAAGGCAAGTGATTCCTACTTTCCTTTTAAGTTCCACCATGCTTGTCATGGTGCTAGCCACACAGTACAAATAGTACTCAGTATTTTATAGAATCCATCGCTCATGATGGGACCCATCCTTTTGTTTTGGTATCTGTAATCAACATGAAAACACTCCAGCATAAACTCTATGAGATCATGCAGTTGCTGGTTAGTGAAAGCTTCAATTCTAGAGAAGTCAGTTGGTAGTTTCGAGAATCCACACTCCAGAAATGACACTCTCCAGAAGCAGGTGCAACAAATGCTTCTGATACCCAATTCTCGAGCAATACTTGAGGCTTTATTAATAAATATGGCAAATGTCTGAAAGAATATTGATGAGCAAAATTAGTTGCTAACTGATTAATGTTATAAATATTAGAAATGGGCCTCATTGTTGAAAATAAAGGCATTCAGGAAGTATGAGCTGGTGAAAATATTTTAAAGATACACCCCACCCCGCACAGAGAATAGAAATCTAGTGACATCTGGAGCCTGTACTCACACAGACGACACTCAGGCTCAATCCATAAAGAGCCCTGTGTCTAGCCATGGCTTTGGGAGCACCCCTCCCAAAAGTGTCTGATACTGACTATGAAAGTAAGAGCCTGCATCAGGGTGGTGTTGTGTGTGCCTTGGGGTTCTTTCACACAAGGTGGGTCCATCTGAACTACAGGGAGCTGAGACATCAACAAACTTACAAAACAGATTGTATGAAATCTTTTATGCCTCCTTTTTCATAAATGTTTGGCTTTTAAAAAGCAAACATGTAGCAGAATTTGATCTGAGATTTGCTTTAACTAAAACCTGGTAGCCAGGCTGCAGGGAGTTCTAATCTGCTCCCAACAACACCCACCACAGAGACCCTAAGAGCTGGGCATGACCAATAGTTTGCCTTTTATCGGTTTACATGAGATTCAGACCAATTAAGGGGTTTCTGTGTTTAGAAAAAGCTTGGCAAGAAGGAATTTATATGGTTCCTTTTGAGTTTCCATGAGTCTCCTGCTGACTCTCTTTGAGGGAGTTCATGCTCTGCCTTGCACAAGGATCTCCTGTAAAGACATCAGAATACAATCACCCTTTGGGTCAAATGGCCTTCAAATGATATCCACATGGAGCTCCAGGAAATCAGCCCTTGGGGACTGACTTCAAGATGGATCCTTCCTGATCCATGTTCTACACAGTGATAAACAGCCAGGTTCCAGATCCTGCAAACATTTGCCTAATGTGCAGGAGGCAATGTCATTTACGTTTTCTCATTTATTCTTCAAAGAAGCCCTGTGAGATAGTTATTATTGTCTTTATTTTGCAGATGAGGAAACTGAAGGCTGAGTAAAAGATTTGTCCAGGGACTCACACTAGTAAAAGACAGAGTTAAGACTCAAGACAGGTCTTCCAGGCTCACTTCCCACAGCAGCAGTTTCTACATCTGACACTGATGGTTTTGTCGACAAGCCTCTTTCTTCCCTGTTGCTTCCTGACAACGACTTACACTATTCCAAGAGTGCTCACAGTCAAAAGAAACCCAGACTAAGCAAGACTGTATTCAGACTGAAGGACATTCCTTAAAGCCACAGGAAGGTGTTTAAAATCCAGAGTCCAGAATAGGGAAGTCCACGGGGTTCCTCACTCTTCGATAGGACAGCTGGGAAGCCCAGGAGAATGGCATTAGTGTGGACTGATGGTTGAGGCCCAAGAGCTCCAGCTCTGAAGCTGATGTGAGGCCTGCCCCATGCCAGCTTATAGCTCACACTTCAACCAATCAATCACACTCCATGTGATTGTTCTTCAGGGAGACAGTAAAATCTCAGATATGCTTTATTCTGGATGAAATGTTGGGCCACAAGTCTGGAAGACTGTCATCTTGTCACAGTTTAGCCGGTGGCTCCATCCTGGGCACTCACCCCCTATCAGCCTTGAGCACTTTGGCAGGAGATGCACAAATATTTAGAGCAGTGTAGAGGACTGGCTTTCCCCAACAGAGGAGGCCTCCAACCACGGTGTCAGCGATTGCAGGCCTTACAGTTCTATGGCTGGGCGTGCTGGTGGCTGCAGTTTAATAAGGGGATAGACTTGGCCATTTACAAAATGTGTCTCTAGGATTCTGTACATCATTGACTCCTGCCCCGAGTGACCAAAGATGATCCCTGCTCCCCATAGGCTTACTGCCAAGCACAGGACAGCAGGCAGGAACGATTACTGCCTTCTCGCATTACTCGTGGTAAATCTGGTACCTCTGGGTGCAAGGAGCTGAGGACAAAGAACTTCAAGCACTCAGGAATAGGAGAGGTTGCTTCTGGCTGGGCAGGTCGGGGAGGTAGCCAGGGGACCCTGGGGTGGGTGTTGAAAATTATCCTGGGAAAGAGTCCCCGAGGATTCCCCTTGAAATGCCTAAGCAGTCATCTTCACTTCAGCCAAGCCCAGGCAGTGAGGCAAAACCATTTCTCTTATTTTGCTTTCTCCCATGGTCAAAGCCTGAAAATGCAGGGGTCATTCTCAAGTGGCCCTTGCTATGGAGCTGAGGACCCTGAGTAGCAGAGGCTGATGTACCAGAGACATGTATAGCCTCACAGGTGGCAGGGACCGGAGAGAGCCAAATGCTTATGCCCAAAGGCTACAGTAAGAAACATTGACTGTGACTGTTCCTTCAGTCCAAAGTTAACACTGATCAGCAGGTACCTGAGGTCTGAAAGCCATTTTATTAACCCAGACACAGTTTAGGTATGAGGCATGTGAGGTGTAAGAAGTGTGCTTACGATTTTTAAAGACTCCCTTGAGGAGTCCAGGAGGCTTGGCTAACAGGAATTCCTTCTGAATTGCATGGGAGTCAGCATTTACCTGCAATTCCAGATCTTCCCCACTAGAGTGCAGCAGTGCACAGCCAGCTCTGACTTCAGAAATCACTTTAATTTGGAATTCATTTATTAATAGAAATCTGTATACTTGTCTTTACAAGAAAAAGAAAAGGCATGGGCTGAGGCACACGTACCATAAAGACAAAATCCAGAAGTATATTACTTTAGGAACCAAAGTTATGTAACCCTTTTAAGCCTCCGTGAATCTGAGCTTGCAGGGGTTTGTGAGAAAGAAAGCAGAGCTTCTCAATTTTTCATGCTCATACAAGTCACCTGGACATCTTGTTAAATGCAGATTCTGATTTGGGAAGTGAGGGCTGAGAATCTGTGTTTCTAACATGCTCCGGGTGATGCTGCTAGTCCGTGAACCCCACAGACTTTCAGGAGCAAGTGATCAGAGCACTGTCTTATCCAGGGTCTTCACACATGCTGTTGCCTCCCACAAGGAGGGTCCCCACTTTGTGGCACAGAGTAAAAGTTTATTAAGCAATATCAAATGTATATTATGTCCCTCAAGGTGCAGACATGCACTGTCTGAGGAAAGCCCAAGCAGAAGGCAAATCCAGGATTGGCAGAGCCAGACCAAAACCTTTCTATATGTTCCCCTTGGGGAAAAAGAGGAGGAAATTGCACTTTTTATGAACGAGTTTAGCCTGGCTTCCTTTTGATTCCACACTCATTATGTACTACCTGTAGTATTTAATATAGTTAATGTAATGTTGATCATGAATAAAGCAGAGGGAGTTTTAGAAGGCTTGACCTTCAGGGTTAACCTATGGTGGTGGGACAATTGTTGGTGACATTGGATCCTTCTCTTACTCAGGCCTTCAAACCAATGGCTCCTCTGGGGTGACTTCGGTCAAGGTGAGACTGGTTTTGTCCTCTCTGTCCTCAGGTTTGACCAGGGGCTCTTCATGCTGCCCACAGGATGCGTGTAGAGTGCTCCATCTGGCCTCCAGGTTCTATGGCTCCTCCCTCTCCTCGATCCCCTGGACTTTCATTGGACTCTTCATACCTGGGAACCAGGTGGAGCAGTCTGCATGCAACCTATGGGGTAGTGTGAAGAGCACTTGTCTTTGGAGCCAAGAAGCCTGGAGATAACGGGAGACCATGCCACCAGGTGGCTAGCATTTGGCAGTTGGAGATGCCCTCTATTGACATCACCTGGGTGCTTGTTTAAAATGTGGCTTTATGGGACTCATTGAATTAAGACCCCTGGAAGTGGATTAGAGAGCCCCCCATCCCACCTTTTTTTGTGAGACAGTCTCACTCTGTTGCCCAGGCTGGAGTGCAATGGTGCAATCTCAGCTCACTGCAACCTCTCCCTCCCAGGTTCAAGCAATTCTCCTGCCTCAGCCTCCCAAGTAGCTGGGATTACAGGTACCCACCACAACGCCCGGCTAATTTTTTGTATTTTTAGTAGAGACAGGGTTTCGCCATGTTGGTCAGGCTGGCCTCGAACTCCTGCCCTCAGGTGATCCACCCGCCTTGGCCTCCCAAAGTGCTGGGATTACAGGCATGAGCCACCACACCCAGCCTAGATAGCCCTTTTGCATACTGAATTTTGAGACTTGCTTCTCAGCAGGAAGCCAGGGATCCCTTTGGGAGAGCATGAATGGCAAAGAGGTACCTGCCTTTGGCTCTGGAAGTGATGGGCAACTTTCCCATGAGCAAGGAACCCTGGAGCACTTGTATTTTTGCCCCAGTGGCAAGAACACCTGCTCTGTAAGGACTCCACTGAGTCCCAGCTAAGGGGCTTGTTTCTTTCCCTGGTGGGGTGAAGGGAGCAGCTTTTCCTCCTTAAAATGCCATACCCATTTCATTGGTGCTGCTGCCTTTCCTGGACCTTTAAGATGAGGCAAGAGATAACGGTCTTAAACATGCTACACACCTTGAAAATACGGAGGACTCTGTACAAATAGCACCCTGTAAACCAAAAATAAAATATAAGGCCCCCCAACTGACTCAATGGACCTCTCCTCTCAGCCAAGGGGATTCCAAAGTAAACCTGAAAAACTAGTTTAGGCCATGATGGGAAGGGGGGCAGTGGTTAGATACGCTTCATTATACTCTCCTGCCTTTGGAATTCAGGAACAACTGACCAGCATTAAATTAAAACAAAGATCTTAAGATTAACGAAACAGACTCTTGGTAGCAATAAGTTACCAAATTCCAACCTGACTCTAGCATAACATCACATGACAGATAGCAGGCCCTGAAAAAAATCAAAGTATTTTCCCTTTAAATGTATTTCTTGGACATATTTTGAAACGGCACTGCAAAGCTGTCTCTTGGGGAAATTTACATTCTCCCCTTTCCAGGTCTTTTTCTGATCCTGGAGAGATTAGCTGAGAGTCTAGCATCTTTGAAAAGTCTGAGTAGGAAGCATTTGCCATCTATTGCCTCTAAGGGCAGCTACCTATAGGACTTTACAGAATAAGAACTTTGGTCTCCACAACCCTTTATCTTAACCGAGACACTCCTTTCTATTGATTCCAGGTCTTTAGATAATAACTTAATTCTCTCGACCAATTGCCAATCAGGAACTCTTTGAATCTACCTGTGACCTGTAAGCCCCTGCTCCAAGTTGTCCTGTCTTTCCAGACCGAACCAACGTACACCTTACATGTATTGAATGATGTCTGCCTATAACTTCTCTTTCCCTAAAATGTAGGAAATCAAGCTAGAACCCTACCACCTTGGGCACATGTTCTTAGGACCTCCTGGAGCTGTATGTCACGGGTCATGGTCCTCACATTTCGCTCAGAATAATTCCCTTCAAATTATTTTACAGAGTTTGGCTTTTTCAACAACAACTTGAACCAGCAAGAAAGTGTGGAAAATAGTGCTGATGAGAAAAATCCAGTTTTCTAGGCTAGAGGCATGGATCTGCCCAAATGCTGAGAGGCTTCTCCTACATGGCTCACCGTTACTAGAAGTGGTGTGTGGCCGAGCTTGTGCAGAATATCATATCAGGACATACCTGCAACAGTTAGTCTAGGCCAGATCTTTTGACTGTGGGAGAGATTGGCTCCTAGGACCTGCGTGTAAGATATTTTCCATGCTGTTAGTAAATCAATGGCCATTTTCCCCCCAATGAATGAATTTGGGAATAGTACCCGAATCAGAAAATTTCTGAGGATTTCTCCTGGAATTCCAAGGATCTGTAAATCCTGTGGCTGGCTGGGAGCCTACTCTGATGATCTTTAATGCAGAAGAGGATGTATTTGAGCATCTGGCCTGGAAATCGACTAAATGTATCTATAGCATAATTGGTTCAGAAAGAGCTGGAAGACAAATTGAGAATGGTGGGTGTAAATAGAAGAAAAGGTGGCAGAAGGGGAGCCAGATGGATAAGCTGAGACACAAAACACACACAAGCAAAGGCTGCTTGGGATGCCAGCAGAGCACATTTGCATCTGGGGTCCAGAACAGGGCAGTCACAAGGGAGTCTCCTTGGCTTGGAGTTGTCTAGACCCAACATCCAGCTCCCAGGACAGAGCCTGCCCCTAAACAGCAAGAACCCAACCACCTTCCACATGGGGCAATCCCTGACCACACTGGGATAGGTGGTCCAAATTGGCTTTATTAGTGAATTCAGAACACAAACAATTCATAGAAAAATCAGTGGATTTCTTAGAGAATTTAGGCTCAAGGCTGATGCAGAGGTCTCATCAGAGACAGATTAGGGAAAGATGATTTCTTGGTTGCTATATATAATTTTTCCTTTTGCACGGTGCCATTCCAAGGCAGCCTAAATACATTCTGTTTGCAGTGCTGGCAGGGTGTGGTAGAGTATCTTGCATGTGGTGGGCCCTCAATACTATGTTTGGTGATAGAGAGATTTCCTTATTTGATCAAGCCTTGCTGCATCCAGGAGGGAATCAATAGTTAAAAATGTCTGCTGCTGAATTGCTTCTCAGGCTCATTTGCCGGCGGTGAGTGACAGAGGGTGTTGCCAAGCAGGCTTAACTTCTATCTGCACCCGACAGATACCTATAATTAAAAAATTATACATTTTGTATTTACTTACAAACACTGAAGCAATTTTCAGAGTGTCAAAAACAGCCTGGGAGAGAGCATCGCAGTGAGAGGTGACATTGAGCCAGGTGCATTAAGAGCACAACAATAAATAATCACGTTGCCCTTTTCAGAGCTGCGACGCATGACCCGTCCAATTAAGCCTCCTGCAGTCTCCTTCTGATGGCCCATAGTTCACAACATCCTTCCCACATTTGTTATAACAGCTTTGTTTTCTGTATCCGCTTTCTTTCACAGTTTGCACCCCATGCAGTCAAATTTCGTGCTTCCAAAATGAAAAATAAAACGGCTAGTTCTCGTCTCTTTGGGGGAAATTAGTCTTATTTCTCCCATAAATCATAAGCATGCTTCAGCCGTAAACAGAGCATTAGCAACTCTGGAAGTACATTAACTTTCGGGTATTGGCAAGACCTGAGGTTACTGAGAGTGATTTATTTGTTGATTTTGACTTAGGGAGGGGAAGGCAGGTAGCTGCAGAGTGGGTGGGAGGTGTGGATTATTAACCATTTCAGTAGAAGGAAGTAAGTTCTCATCCGGGCAGCCCCGGTTTATGCTGGTTGTCACAGCATAAGTATTAAGAGCATCCCTTTCCCTCTAAAAGTGTCCCAGCTTGGATGATAAATTATATGGTCACTCTGATTAAAGTGCAGTGAAAATAAGGAGCAAAATCTTGTTTTGTGAATGAAGCCAGACACAAAAGGCCACATGTTGTGTGATCTCATTTATATGAAATGTCCAGAATAAGCAAATCCATAGAGGCAGAAAGTGGATTAGTGGTTGCCAGGGGCTGGGGGTTCCTGGGGGAAATGGGAAATGATTGCTAATGGGTATGAGATTTCTTTTTGGGGTGAGAGAAATGTTCTAAAATTGATTGTGGTGATGGCTGCATGACTCTGTGAATATCCTAAAAACCATTGAATTGTACATGTTAAATGGGCACATGGGATGGCACATAGATTATAGGTCAACAAAGCTGTTCTATTAAAACAAAAGTTAAAAAAAAAGTTAAACTACATAAATCCCACAAAGGGAAAACAAACAAACAAACAAAAAGCTTGCATTCTGTCTTTCTGCTCATGAGCACTCTACCCTCTCAGGGCTGGTCCCTCTGAAACAGCTGATTCATTTGAAGGATGTGGTGGCACATGCGGGGATCTGCAGGGCCAGCCTCTTGCATACAACTGTATTTTTATGACCTTGTTGGAGCAAGAAAGGGAGCGTGAGTTTCCCACAGTCATTGCTGAACATCAAGGTGTGTGCGTTGGCCTTTAAATGGCAGGGGAGCTGGCCGGGGGACCAGCAGGAACATCAGGTACATAAAGAGCCCAGCAATGACGGCTTGGCTGGAAGGAAGAAGACGGAGGATTCTGATAGGGACTCACCCTTGCCCAGTCATGTCCAATGCCACTGAGTTCCCATTTAGGGAGAAGAAGAGAGGAGTTATAGGATGTGTGTGAAGGTAGGCGTGGGGGGGAGCAGGAGTTTCAGCCTCCCCAGAGGAATTGAGCCCATGATTCCGCAGGTAGCACAGGGGTGGGGCCAGATCTGCCCTCTGAGGTCAGGAACTCTAGGGAACACAGGACAGCCACTGAGGGGCCTCTTGATGCTTAGACCTCTCAGCCTAGTGCTTTGAAAGGGATTATGGGACCTAGAATGAGCCCTGTTCCTGATCCATCTCCCAGCATTGGGATCCTCCTTCAAAAGAAGGGAGTTGAAACGTGTGAGGAAACTAAACATTAACCCTGCACATTTGTATATCCTCACCCCCTAGAACAGAGTCTGGCGCTCAGGAGTATGTGGTTGGACAGATGCACAACACACAGGGTTCAGATGAGCTGATAAGGTTCCCTGGGGTAGCCTGTGTCCCAACCCAAGGCCCAGGGCATTTGGTCTGGGTCACCAACAGAGGGTGCTAGACACCTTCAGAACAAGGCTGGGTCTGGGGCCGGGGCCTCTCTGGAGGTGATGGAGTTCTCTCCTCATTGCAGACAGAGGTGGAGCCGGGGCAGGACTTGAGCCCCAGTATCCACACATTCAGCGAAGGGAGGAGACAAACCTGTTCCCTGCTTGGGCATTTCCCCAGCATCACAAAAGGAAAACCAACCCCTTGAGTGGATAGAGGATAGGATCTGTGTTGGGTTTGCTCACTGGTCTATCCCCAAGGGCCTGCACACAGTGCCTGGACAGAGAGGGCATGTGAGAGTAGGAGGGAATGTGGGAAAACCAGACAGGAGCGGGGCCACAGTGTTCTGAGGCTTTATCTCTGGCCTTTGCCTAGTGAGTCTTGGAAACAAGAGTTACACATGAACTCCTGTACACCACACAGTGGAGTCTGTGCCTGGCCTGGTCTTTCAGCCGGATAGAGCTAGGTACGGACAAGGCCCAAGCAGGTCTCACTAGCTTGGCAGAGAGGACAATTTCCAGGAACTTGCACCTCTTCACACCACCCCATTCCCCAAACCAAGTCCACAAAAACAGAGGAGACAAAGCAAAGAAGGAACAGAGCAAAAATGAGATCAAAACCCTCCTACAGAGGGCCAGCACTTTAGGCCACCATGTCTTCAGGTGAGAGTGTCCATTTGATGTTTTGAGAGTCAGAGATGGGGCTGCTGGGGCCACAGGTGAATCCAGGAATGGAAGAAATGGAACTGAATGCATCTTCTGTTGAGCTGCTCGTCATATAGTTTTCTGTGTTTCACATACTTGTCTATTTTTCCCTTTATTGCAAGGAAATACTCGTTGTGTGCAAGGAAATCAGCAGGAAAAGAGGGCAGTTAGGAGTCAATGGGAGAGCCAGACAAACAAGGGAATGCTGTTCTTCAGAAGACGAAGCCTGGCAACTACCACCCAGGGCTGGCGGTGAAACACTAACACATCCGCAGGCATCCCCTCTGTGGGAAGCAGTCTTGCCACGTGCAAGGTTGCTCAAGGACAAATGTTGTAAGGACAAATCAAAAGAGCTTATGATGTTGTCCAGTGCGAGTCGCTCACAGTAGCACATTCTGCTGAGAGGGTCGGGTGTTATAACAGTGAATTGATGAGGAGGAGTTGAAAAGTTTCTTTTTCCTGTGGGTTTAGAGTTCCCGCATAAGCTTGAACAGTTGAAAGTGCTTGTGAATTCCTTATTTTTTGTTTTAAATTCTCCTGAGACATGTTCCATAGGATCTTAGGATTTTAGAATGGAAAGGAAAAAACAATGAGACTTTCAAAGTCTCTTCCTTATATTTACAGCTGGAGAAAGCCAAACACTGTGGTGGCTAGTGTCTGACCCACACCTCAATACACACACCACACACACATACTCACTTATCCACTCACACAGAGAAAAAAGAGTAGTAAGGATGAATCTTCCTGATATTAAATACCAACCAAAGGCCATTGCTTTGCATCTTGTTTATGGCTCTGCAGCTCATGTTAGGGGCCCAGCTCTCCCAGTGGCTGTCGAGTTCCCTGAGCACCACCAGCCCTCTTGCCAGAGAGTGTGAGTCTTGGCCATGTGGTGCCTCCCTTGCTTCTCAAGGACTTGGAAAATGTTCTTAGAGTGAAACTAGAAAAATTTACCCATAAAGGATTAGCCATCTGTGAGAAATAACTAAGAAGAATTATTGGTAAACATGTCACCAAAGACATTGGAAACATCCAAAACTCAAGCTGACTCAAGGAGGAAATGCAGCCTCTGGTGATAATAGAGTATGAGGGGTCCTAGCCATGCCCTGTTTGGAGAAGGGCAGTGAGAATCCACAGGATGGCTTGCTCTGTAGGCCAAAGGCATGGAGAAAAGGGTGGAAGTCAGGGAAGCCAGGCTCACCTCCCCTTCTCCCCACACACAGGGAGCTGGGGTGCTGGTTAAACCTCCAGAAGCCACCCAGCAAGTCTGTCCCCAGAGTCAGGAGGGAGATTCCCTCCCAGCACCTGGGCCAGGAGAACATTCTGAATGTCGACCAACACCAGCATCTGATTTTCTGCCCTGGAACTGTCTACAGAGGCAGAATGCCCTGAGCAGGTGGTGGCCTCCCCTTCTCAGTGCATTTCTCACTGTAAGTGCATAACTTGTTACTCTGGGGTGGGGGAAGTATAAATAGTAAAACAGGCCCAAGACAAGAGCAGTGCTCTCTTTATTAGTTTTCTGGGGCTACTGTAACAAATGACCACAAATTGAGTGACTTAAAACAACAGAAATTCATTCTCTCACAGTTCTGGAAGTCAACAGTTGGGAATCAAGGTATCAGAAAGGTCACACTTCCTCTGAAGGTTCTAGGGAATAATCCCTGTTTGCCTCTTTCAGCTCCTGGTGGCTCCAGGCTTATTGGCTTGTGGCTGCATCACTCCAGTCTCTGCTTCCTTCTTCAGGCAGCCTTCTCCCCTGTGCATCAAATCTCTCCCAACTTTCTCTTAATAAGGATACCTGTCATTGGACTTAGGGCCCACCCTAAATCCAGGATGATTTCATCTCAAGATCCTTAACTTAATGACATCTGTAAAGACACTTTTTCTAAATAAGGTCACAGTCACAGGTTAGAACTTGGCCATATCTTTTTGGGGGCCATGATTCAACCCACTACACTGACCCACATCAGTGTCCCAGGCCTGCCATGCTAGGTCAGCCTCTGGGGGATGCACATTTTCACAGGGATAGCCAACCCATGGAACTGTGCGGGGCAAACTGCCTTCATCAAGGTTGCCCCTTGTTGTAGCATCGTGCTCTTATTTTAAGCTAATTTTGCTGACCACTTCAGCTCTGTCATTGCATGCGAAAATGCACCCGTGAAGTTGTCCCTAGCTGGTCCCCACTGCCTGCAAACCAAATGCTCAGCCTTGAGGAGCACGTCACATGACAGACAGAGTCAACTTTCAGAAAACGTCTGGGAAATTTCCCCTTCTGCAGTCAAGAAGCATCTAGAGAACTTTGGGTATTCCTGGATATGGAGTAAAAAAAGAGGCTTGGCTAAACTCATTTATTAAAAAATGCAATATCCTCATGTTTTTTTCCCAAGGGGAACATACAAAGGGCTTGTCCCGGCTCTGCCAATCCTGGATTTGCCTTCCACTCTGGCTTTCCTTCTGACAGTGCAGGTCAGCACCTCCAGGGACAGCAGCTCTGCACAGACAGGCTCAGCCTCAGAGCAGCTGCCAGGCATGGAAGAAGCTCAAAGTGCTTCAGCCCATGCTTCAGTGAGTGTCTGGCAACCAGGAATAGATAAGGAACGGTAATAGCCACTTAGAGGCAGGACACACAGTGTGTCAGGCCTTAAAATCTAGATTCAGACTGGGTTTAAACGTTGGACCTGCCACTGGCCAGTGATATGACAGTGACCAGATTCCTTACTGTCTCTGAGCTTCATCTGAAAAGTGAGCAGTTGTGAAGACTGAACAAGTTTCCCAGGTAAACTGCTGAACATTCTGTGCCTGGCTCTCGGTGTGTGTTCAGCAAGCATTCTTTGTTAAGGCTGTTCTAATTATTAAGAGGAAGGAAATTGGCCAATTCCACCCCTTTATCAGATCCCTCAAAGCCCAGGGCTAATGGATTGGAAACAGAACTGTGAAATAGTCACCTCCACCCCATGAACTCCTGCACTTTCTCACCTCTCTTGTCATTGCAAATGCATTTTCAGTCACTCAGAGACTTTGCCTTGATCGTCTAATTTGTGTAAAATAATGCAAGGTTGGTTTTCTAGATCTAAGGAGCCAGGAGGAAAGAAATTATGATGACGGGCTCTGCCATTGTCTCCTACCAGTAGTCCTGGAGGTCTGGAAGAGCTTCAAGCTACACGTTGCCTTCTCAATCTGCCACTCTCTTGCAGAGTGCTCTGAACAGGAACTATTAATAATTGCTACCCAACTAAAGAGCCCAGTGCAGCCCACAGAATACTTGACAAAAGGCCCAGCCAGGAGAGCTTAACTGGGGACTGGGGAAGAAAGGACCAAATGCTTCTTGCAAGTGACGTCCTCACTACTGCAACGTAACAGGACCCAGCGCACGAGGCATTTGTCTGATCCTCACTCCACCAACAGAAAGCAATTGGCGTGGAACCTCCCTGTCATCAGCTCCCATGCAGTCCTGAATAAACCCTCTCGCCTTGATCCACTCACCCCTCACGCACCTCCTCCCCCATCAGATGGCTTTTTTCTCCCTTTCCTCCAATGCCAAGTTATTTCTACCCCAGGGCCTTTGAACAACCTCCACCTCCCGTCAGATACACTTTTTCTCAGACCTTTGCAGGGCTGGATCCATCTCCTCACTCAAGTCTCAACTCAAACATCACCTCCTCCAAGGCTATGTGGTCTAAATAAATACTCCCACTCCTTCCCTGGTCAATGAGCCTGTTTTGTTTTCTTCATAGCACTTCTCTGTATTTGATATGGTCTTATTCTGTGTTTACAGTTTGTTGCCTGTTTTCGTTTCCCAGGAGGTCAAAGGGCTCTGTTAAGGTATGCACATTGTCAAGTTCCCAAGCGCTAATAAAGAGGGTCTGCAGGAGGCAGAGGAGGAGAGGGAGGACCTGGATGCTGAGGCTGGTGAATGACGTTACTGGGGGAGCTGAGGAGGATTGGGAAGAGCATTCCAGGTGAGGGTATCAGCAGAAACGAAGCTCGGAGGCCTGAATGTTGGTGAGACCGTCAATGCTGAGTGATGACACTGGCCCTTGGCAATGAGACTTGACTGCTACTGCTCTGGCAACTTCAAGTCCTGCCCAGGGTGGATGGGAACGGGGATGAGGAATGCACCCAGGAGGGTTTTGGTGGAGTCCTGGAAGCCTGTGGGAGGCCAGGAAACAGCGATGGCGAAGGAGTGGAGACCCCGGGGTCATCGCTGCGAGCTACAGCACAAGCCCGGGAGCAGGAAATGAGTCACTGGAGGCTCCCAGAGGCAGTCGGCAGGGCGAAACTTTTAAGCCAGATCCCGCAGTAAAGCAAGCCCCGACTCTCCCTGAGAGGGAGGCATTATATAATAACTGTCCGCAGAGGGAGAGGCTGGGTGCGTGCATCAGGAAGGGTGGAAAGACAGCTCTTACTTAATCACAGTGCTGATCCATTGCTCAACTCACAGAATGCATCTTTTCCATCTGCCAGGGGCCAAGAGTTGGGTTATTGGCTCTGCCTCCAGCTGCATCTCAGCGACCGGCATTTCCTTGGTTTTCTGTTTTTATGGGATTAGGCTGCTCACTCCCTCATCTGACTCTTAAGGAAACAGGGAAGATTATCTGATTAATATCTGTAAAGTTCTTTGGAGACCCATTGAGAATGAACCAAAGATTACTGGAATAGCAATACTGTACTTTGAGTTGACATGGCTATTTTTTGAAAAACGTTAAATAGCCTTGCTGATGATGGAGCAGATTTTCTTACAGTATAGTTCAACTTTCATTCTTTAGCCTCCAGAGACGTAAGTTGAACCTGGACCCAGGATCACAGTGATGTTACTTATTCACTTATTGGGTTGTTAATATTTTTAGTACTGAGTTGTAGAGTTCTTGGTATGTTTCAAATATAAATCATTTGTCAGATAAGTATATATATGTGTGTGTGTGTTTGTCCCATATATATCTCCAATTTATGGTTTACCTATTAATTTTCTTGAGCTCTTTTTGATGAGCAGAACTTTTACATTTTATATATGTATATAAATTTATTTCAATAGCTTTTGGGGTACAAATGTTTTTTGGTTACATGGATGAATTGTACAGTGTTGAAGTCTGAGATTTTAGTACATTCGTCACCCCAGTAGTGTACATTGTACCTCATCCACTTCTGAGCCTCCGAAGTACATTATACCACTCTGTATGCCTTTGTGTACCCACAGCTTAGATCGCACTTTTAAGTGAGAACATACCATTTTTGGTTTCCCATTCCTGAGTTACTTCACTTGGAATAATGGCTTCCAGCTCCATACAAGTTGCTGCAAAAGACATTATTTTGTTCTTTTTTATAGCCAAGTAATAGTCCATGGTATTGGCCGGGCGTGGTGGCTCACGCCTGTAATCCCAGCACTTTGGGAGGCCGAGGCAGGTGGATCACCTGAGGTCAGGAGTTTGAGACCAGTCTGGCCAGCATGGTGAAACCCTGTCTCTACTAAAAATACAAAATTTGCCGGGCATAGTGATGTGCATCTGTAATCCCAGCCACTCAGGAGGCTGAGGCAGGAGAATCACTTGAACCTGGGAGGCGGAGGTTGCTGTGAGCTGACATCGCACCATTGCACTCCAGCCTGGGCAAAAAGAGCAAAACTCCATCTCAAAAATAAAAAAAAAAGTAAAAAATAGTCCATGGTATGTGTGTGTGTGTGTATATGTGTATATATATATACATACATACATATATATATACATACATATATATATATATGACATTTTCTTTATCCACTCATTGGTTGATGGATACTTAGGTTGATTCCATTGCAATTGTGAATTATGCTGTGATAAATATCATATAGATGTCTTTTTGATATAATGACTTATTTTCCTTTGGGTAGATACCCAGTAGGGGGGTTGCTGGATTGAATGGTAGATCTGCTTTTAGTTCTTTAAGAAATCTTCATACTATTTTCCATAATGGTTGTACTGATTTACCCTCCCACCAGCTGTGTACATGTTTTTCACCATATCCATATCAGCATCTACTGTTTTTTGACTTTTTAATAATGGCCTTTCTGGCTGTGATAAGGTGGTATCTCACTGTGGCTTTAATTTGCATTTTCCTGATGATTAGTGATGTTGAGCATTTTTTCTTATATTTATTGGCCATGTGTATATCTTCTTTTGAGAAATGTCTATTCATGTCCTTTGCCCACTTTTTGATGGGATTATTTGTGGGTTTTTTCTTGTTGATTTCTTTGAATTCCTTGTGGATTCTAGACACTAGTCCTTTGTCAGATACAAAGTTTGCAAATATTTTCTCCCATTCTATGGGCTGTCTGTTTACTCTACTACTTATTTCTTTTGCTGTGCAGAAGCTTTTTAGTTTAGTTAGGTCCCATGTATTTATTTTTGTTTTTGTTGCATTTGCTTTTGGGGTCATCGTCATAATTCTTTGCCTAGGCCAATGTCCAGAAGAGTTTTTCTTAGGTTTTCTTCTAGAATTTTTATGGTTTCAGGTCTTAGACTTAAGTCTTTGATCCGGCTTGAGTTGATTTTTGTATAAAGTGAAAGATAGAGATCTAGTTTCATTCTTCTGCATGTGGCTATCCAGTTTTCTCAGCACCACTTATTGAATAGGGTATCATTTCCCTGATTTATGTTGCTGTATGCTTTGTTGATGATCAGTTCAACAAAGTATTTGGCTGTATTTCTGAGTTCTCTACTCTGTTCCATTGGTCTATGTATCTATTTTTATACCAATACCTTGCTGTTTTGGTAACTACAGACTTGTAGTATAATTTGAAGTCAGGTAATGTGATTGTTTCAGATTTGTTCTTTTTCTTAGGATCACTTTGGCTATTAGGATTGTTTTTTTCTAATTCCCTGAAAAATGGTACTGGTATTTTAATAGGAATTAGATTGAATCTGGAGATTGCGTTGGGCAGTATGGTCATTTTTACAATATTGATTCTCCCAATCCATGACCGTGAGATATATTTCCATTTGTTTGTGTCATTTATGATTTCTTTCAGCAGTGTTTCGTAGTTCTCTTTATAGAGATATTTCACCTCCTTGGTTAAGTATATTCCAGGCATTTTTTTATAGCTATCGTAAAAGGGATTGAGCTCTTGATTTGATTCTCAACTTGATTGTTGTTGGTGTATAGCAGTGCTACTGCTTTGTGTACATTGATTTTGTAACCTGAGACTTTATTAAATTCACTTATTAAATCTCAGAATTTTTTGGAGGAGTCCTTAGAGTTTTGTAGGTATAAGATCATATTATTAAGCAAACAGGGATAGTTTGAATTTCTCTTTTCCAATCTGGATGCCTTTATTTCTTTCTTTTGCCTAATTGCTCTTGATAGGACTTCTATGTCGAATAGAAGTGGTGAAAGTGGGCATCCTTGTCTTGTTTCAGCTCTTATGGGGAATGCTTTCAACTTTTCCCCATTTAGTATGATGTCGGCTGTGGGTTTGTCATATGCAGCTTTCATTATTTTGAGATATGTTCCTTCTATGCCTAGTTTGTTGAGGGTTTTTATCATAAAAGTTTGCTGGGTTTTATCACATGTTTTTCTGCACCTATTGAGGTGATCATATGGTTTTTGTTTTTAATTCTGCTTGTGTGATGTATCTCATTTATTGACTTATGTGTGTTAAACCATCCTGCATCTCTGGGCTGAGACCCACTTGATGATGATGTATTGTCTTTTTGATGTGCTATTAGATGCAGTTTGCTGGTATTTTGTTGAGGATTTTAGCATCTATGTTCATCAGGGATGTTGGTCTGTAGTTTTCTTTTTTGTTATGTCCTTTCCTTGTTTGGGTATTGGGGTGATACTGGCTTCATAGAATGAGTTAGTGAGGAGTTCCTCTTTCTCAATCTTTTGGAATAGTTTCAGTAGGATTGTTACCAATTCTAAAGGCCTGGTAGAATTTGGCTGTGAATCCATCTGAAACTGGGCTTTTCTTTTGTTTGTTTGCAGTTTTTAAAAAATTACTGATTCAGCCTTACTGCCTGACTGCTAGGATAAAAATCACAGACTTTTCCCGCTGAGCCCAGCACTGCACCTGTGCCTCTACTAAAAGAAACTTTCTGCAAGCAGAACATTCTGGGACTCAAGGCTTGCTCTCTGAATTCTTTTGTCCCACAGGTTGCTCCCTTGATGTGGTGCATTCCCCCTTCCCCTAGAAGTAGGAGTCCCTGAGAGCCAGACTACTGGAAACATTGCTACTCCTATGGGTCTAGCTGCCCAGTGGGGCTGTCACACTCCAAGCTGGTGTTGGGGAATGCCTGCAAGGGATCCAGAGATGTGATCTGTCCTCAAGTCTCTCAACAGTGGGTACCAGCACCAGTTCTGACAAGGGTGGCAGGAGAGTGATGTAGACTCTGTGAGATTCCTTGGTTATAGTCTTAGTGCACTGGCTTTCTCAAATGCTGGTTGTGGTAGGAATGAACTGGTCACGTGTACAGACTCAGGAATCCTGGTTAGCCAGGGTGATGCAGGCAATGGAGATAGCTGAGGTCACACACAAGTGGTATAAATATATATATATATATGTGTGGTATAAATATATAGTGGTATATATATCATATTTTATATATATATTTATACATATAATTTTCCCTTTGTATATAATTTTTATAATTATGCAATTTATATATACATAGTTCTATAATATATGAAACAAGATATATAATGGAATATTATTCAGCATTTTAAAAATGACATTATATTAAGTGAAATTAGCTAGATCAAAAAGGACAAATAGTGTACTCAAATTAGTCATATTCATAAAGACAGAAAGTAAAATAGTGGTTACCAGGGGCTGGGCAGAGGAGAGAATGAGGAGTTACTATTTAATGGGTATAGAGTTTCAGTCTGGAATGATGAAAGAGTTTTAATATGGATGGTGGTGATGGTTATATAACAATGAAAATGTACTTAATACCACTAAATTGTACACTTAAAAAGGGTTAAAATGGTAAATGTCATGTAAATTTTACCACAAAAAATAATAGTAAATACCAGCAAGGGTACTTCATTCCTTATTTTATAGGAGAGGAAAACAAGGCACAGATACCAAGGAACTTGCTCAAAGCCGTAGAGCTAGGGAGGGGCAGAATTAGAACATGCCTACACAAAACGAGCTTCCAACCTGTGCTCCCAGCAGTTTCCTGTATTGTCCCTTTCAAAGGTATTTTTTGTGGTAATATTTATAACAGCACAAATTCACACAATTTAAATGTCCAACGATTTGGCTGAATTGTGGACTATCCATTTAGTATATTATAGAACCATTAAACTTACATTTCTGAAGAATTTTCTAATAACATGGATAAATTATCTACAATTTATTTACACACTAAGTGGGGAAAATGTCAGTATATAAAAGTGAAATAAATTATGATCCCAGTTTTATTTTTTTAAATTATACAAAGACATAGTTTAAGTACGGTTAAGCATTAAAAGAAGGGATTATATTCAAGTTATAATGAGTTTATTTTGGAATTGTAAAATTTGAAGTTTTGTTTTTTCGAATACTTTTCTGAGTGTTTCTGTATTCATTATCTAATTGCTGTGTAACAAATTATCCCCAAATTTAGTAACTTATATAAATAATAAGCACTTCTTTTCTGTCACAGTTTCTGCGGGCCAGGACTTTGGAAACAGGTGGACTGATAGCTCTAGCTTGAGATTTCTCATGAGGATCAGTCAGACGTGTCAGGGCTGTGGTCACTTGAAGGCTCAACTGGGGCTGGAAGATCTGCTTCCAGGGAGTCTCATTCACGTGGCTGGCAGGGTGGGTCCCCTCCACAGTTGTCTTGGAGTGTCTTCACAACACAGCAGCTGACTTGCCCCAGAGCAAATCCTACCTGCAAAACCAAGGAGGACGCTTCAATGCCTTCTATGACCTGGCCTCAGCTATCACACATTGTCACTTCCACAGTATTCTATGAGAACCACAGACTAATCCTAATTCATGCGAGGGGACTGTACATGGGAGTGAGTTCCAGGAGGTGTTCGTCATCTTGGAGGCTGCTTCTGCAGTGTCAAATTTTGTAAACAAATGTGCGACAATGTAGAATCAGGATTATGCCTCTGGGTATTCCTCCTCACAACCCATAATCTTAGTCTAATGATGAGAAAACATCAAGCAAACCCAAATTGAGAGATATTCTACAACATACCTGGCCAGCACTCAAAACTTCCAGGGTGCCGATAAACAAGGAAAGACTGAGAAGGTTGGAGGAGACTAAGGAGACGTGATGATTTAATGTAATGTGGGATTCTGGATGAGATCCTGGAACAGAAAAAGGACACTAGTAGAAATACTGGTGAAATACAAATAATGCCTGAAGTTTCATTGATGATACTGTACCAATGTTAATTTCTTGTTTTTGACAAATGTACCATGGTAATGAAAGGGTTTAACATTAGTGGAAACTGCATGGGAGGTATATGAGAACTGTGTGTACTCTATTTGCAACTTTTCCATAAAATTAAAACTATTCCAAAATGAAAAGTTTATTTAAAAAAGAAATATATTTATTTAAAAAAGAAATATATTAATAATATATTTATTTAAAAAGAAATATATTAATAATATATTTCTTTTTAAAATAAAATTTTAAAATTAAATATTAATAAATATAAATTAAAATATTAATATACTTTTTATTTTGGAATAGTTTTAATTTTACAGAAAAGTTGCAAATAGAGTACACACAGTTCTCATATACCTCCCATGCAGTTTCCACTAATGTTAACCCCTTTCATTACTATGGTACATTTGTCAAAAACAAGAAATTAACATTGGTACAGTATAATAAAAAATAATAATAAAATAAATAATAATAAAAACATTAAAAAGAAATATAGTTTAAAGTAAAGGTAAATATTTGACTGATTGGATTTATTTTAGAAGCAAAGGGGAATCTTGCTCTTAATAAGAAAGCAGAAAATTCAAAAAGGGGTCATGCAGAGCAGAGAACCACTGCCATTGGGAAGCTCAGCTCCCAATAAGTTTAATGGTTCTATAATACACTAAATGGATGGTCCACAATTGAGCCAAATGTTTGGACATTTAAATTGTTTCCATATTTGTGCTATTATAAATATTACCACAAAAATACCTCAATGCCTTTAAATGCAAATGTGATGATATGCACTATGAATTCTCAAGAGGGAAAGCTATTTCTTATGGAATAAATTTCAATGAAAAGCTATCAAAAGGAACTTTTCTCACGTATCCTTTGTTATCTTATGTGTTTTCAGCCTGATCATCGATGGTTCTAATCAGATGTCTGAGTTTGTCCTCAATGTTTCAAAGCTTGGCTCAGCAATAAAGGGTCTTTGGCCTTCTGTCTTTCAAGGGTGCCCTTGTTCTGTCAACAAGCACTTGCCGAGCACCTCCAGTGGGGCAAGGGCAGTGCCAGGAGCTAGTCACAAAGGTGATCAATACAGGCCCCTACTCTCCAGCTCACCTTTACTTGGAGAGATAAAAGAAACTGATCTAAACCAATTTGGCTTATGAGTGTCAGGTCCTTTTTGGTGGATGATGATGGCTTTCAATGATTAGGGGAATCCCTCAGATGCCTTGGTCCAACCGCCTCACTACAAAGTAAAGCGTTAAAATGAAAGCAAATTATAGGCCCCATTCCACAACATGAATCAACTTTCATTAGCAAGCAGGTAGAGAGCTGGTCACTCAACCTGTTCTGTTATTTTGGTGACTTCAATCTCTGTTCTTTCAGGCCCTCCAACAAACACCCTGCAGGAAAGTTTCACTAAAGGCAAATGCGACTGTATCCTGACAGTAGGTCAACTAAATCAAATCAATGGCAGAAGCTTCTTGTAGGTGGAAGGCCCAGGGACGAGCCGAGTTTAGACCTTGAGCGTGCTCTGTTCTACCCATGAAAGGGCAGAGATGCCTGTATTAGTCTTTCTGGCCCACCATGTAGCTTGAACTCCGCCCATTCTGTAAGTGGAAAATTACTTTCCGCATCCCTTACCCAAAGAGCAGGTCCTCTGGTGCAGATTCGGATGAGGATATTTGAAGTTGCTGCAGCCCGTCTGGGCTGTGGACTCCTTTTAGGGCTTTTCATATGTTTGCTAACCACTCTTCATGTATGGGTTCCTGACTAAGATTCTTCAAATACTAACTAAAAGCTCCAGGTTGTTGATAAAAATTGACACACACATGTTATACTGTTAGAGAAACATAACACAAAAATTAAAATAATTCAAATACAATGATAGGAGCAAATGTCTGTAAAAAGCACTCTAAGAACCCAGAGGCGGAGCCGGGTGAGGAATTGGTGAGGCTCTCAGTGGTGGTGTTAGGGAAGCTTCTAGAGGAGCCAATCTGAAGCAAAACTCCAAAGGATGGACAGATGTTTCTCAGGGGCCAAGGGGAGAAAGGGATTCTAGGCACAGGGAGCCACTAAGGAAGGACAGAGAGCAGGAGAGAGTTGGTTACAGACAGACATGGCATGGGATCTCAGCAGGAGAGGTGGTGGGCATAGAGATTAGAATGGGAGCCAGGTGCCTGGAGTCCCAGCTATTTGGGAGGCTGAGGCAGGAGGATCCATTAAGCCCAGGAGTTCCAGGTTGCAGTGAGCTGTGAATGCACCACTGCACTCCAGCTTGGGTGACAGAATGAGACCCCATCTCTAAAAAAAATTTAAAAGGGAGGGATTGAAAAGGGGAGGGAATCCAAGTCTTGAAGGCCACCCTAGACTGAGAAGTGTGGATTTGATCCTGTGGGTAAGGGCCATTTGAAGATTTTGAGTAGCATTTAAAGTGCACAACTAGATTGATATTTTCTTTTTTTTTTTTTTTTTTAGGCAGACTCTCACTGTTGCCTAGGCTGGTGTGCAGTGGTGCGATCTCAGCTCACTGAAACCTCCGACTCCCGGGTTCAAGCAATTCTCCTGCCTCAGCCTCCCGAGTAGTTGGGATTACAGGCACATGCCACTACACCGGGATAATTTTTTGTATTTTTAGTAGAGATGGGGTTTCACCATGTTGTTAGGCTGATCTTGAACTCCTGACCTCAGATGATCCACCCTCCTTGGCCTTCCAAAGTGCTGGGATTACAGGCATGAGCCACCGTGCCTGGCCCAGATTGATCTTTTCAAATGTTATCTCTGGCAGTCATGCGGAGAAGAAGTGAAAGGGAGGAGAAATTGGAATTAGGGTGACAGAACTTGTAGGAACAATTCTGGCAACAGATGTCGATCATGAGGTGAGGAAGTGGTAGGAAAGTTACCTTTCTGAGCATTTCCTTGGAGCCACGCTGTATGTTGAGCACTTTACATCTATAGAATCATTTCATCCTCACAACCTTAGGAGGTAGGTACTATACTATGTCCATTTTAGACACGAAGGGAGTGAGGTCTAGATAAGCTTGCCAGATAAAATACAAGATATCCGGTTATATTTGAATTTCAGGCAAGCCAGTAACACTTTGCTGGTATACATACGTCTCATGCAATATTTCGTTTTCTAAATCTGGCACCCGAAGGCCCAGAAAGGTGACACAAGTTGCCCAAGATGTCCTAGCCGCCAAGTGGCAGCGCCAGAATTGGACTCCCGGGCAGGTGAGAGCCTGCACTTGGCTCCACCCTGCCTGGCTGTGCCGCCTCTCACAGGTGGAGCTGGTTGGGCTCTCAGACAACAGAGAGGGCTTGCAGGAGCAGAACCTTGGCCAGGCCACTGGAGTTCATCTTCAGGCAGCTTCGTTTGCCCTTTCTCTCTGGCCGCTTCATTTATTTATTTATTTATTTTTTATTATACTTACAGCAGGTCTGCAAACCTCCTATAAGCTATCTTAGTGCTGACAGCAAAATCTTGGCTTGTGACTAAGTCACTAAATCCCCGGAACTCGAAGGTATCTCTGCCCTAGGGTTCAGAACATTTTTCCAGCTCTCCCCTCCCAGTGAGCACTGTAATTAGGAACTTATTCAGACCTGATCTGCAGACAATATGCATTGACAGCTCTGCATACCTGTTCCCACTGGCCTGGGATAGAAAGCGCAACTTAAACAGAACTGTTTTAAGAGATTTAATAAGGTTTCACCTGAGGCACAAAATACAATTGTACTTTCAACACTGGAATGTTTCAAACGTTTGACAAATGAATATTGGGTGCTGGTAATACTGTGAAGTGCAGGGCAGAAATGTTACTCTTTGGAGTTACTATCCTTACTAGTTTCATTTAAAAGACAGATATCAAAAAACAGACCCACAGCAACACAATGAATGTTGCAAGGAGGGAATACAGAGGAGCGGGTGGGAGTCCAGGAAGAAGGTGGGGTCATGAGGATCTGGCTGCTCACAAACCGCCCCATCAGCACTGCTGGAGAGCTCATTAGGAATGCAGAATCAGGGACCCCAACCAGACCTACCGATTCAGACCCTGCATTTTTCTTTTTGTTTGTTTTTTGTTTTTCTGAGACAGGGTCTCAATCTGTCACCCAGGCTGCTGTGCAGTGGGGCAATCATAGCTCACGCAGCCTCGAATTTCTGGGATCAAACAATCTTCCTGCTTGTAGCTGGGACTGCAGGCATATGCCACCATACTTGGCTAGTTTTATTATTTTTATTTTTGCAGAGACAGGCTCTTGCTATGTTGACAAAGCTGGTCTTGAACTTGTGGGTTCAAACGATCCTCTCACCTTGGCCTCCCAAAGTGCTGGGATTACAGGCGTGAGCAACCACAACCAGACTTAATAAGATCTCCAGATGAGTCCTGTGCACATTCAAGAGACATGACATTGAATAATAAGCACCGTTCACTCCAGAGATGACACATGAAATGAATCTAGGAGGAATAGCTTTCCAGGTAGGGTTTAGAGGGAAGGCATTAGAGGGAGAGGAGGCAGTAAGCAAGGGCATAAAGAAAAGAGACACACTCAGGAAATGACCCAAAACTTTGGTACATCCAGAGCCCAGTGGTACATGGGGAGCAGTAGGCGGGAGCCTGCAAAGGTTGGCAAAGATGCCTTAGAGAGGGGAAGATGGTGAGTGGCTTTGTTGCCACACGAGAGGGTTGGAGCTTTTAAAATAAAATTGTTCAAACATACAAAAAAGTATCAGTAACAAGCATAAAATACAATAATGAGTATCAACTGTAAATAAAACCTTACAGATCAGCCTCCTGTGTATTCCCACCCACCTGCATTCCATTCTTCTCCCTTCCTCCTGAACCTGACTTCTGTTCTGAGTTTGGCCTTACCATTCTTATGGATGTTTTTCATGATCTTCACACATGTGTTTGTATAGATAAACAATACAGGATTGTTTTGCATGCTATTTTACTAATATGTATTTTACTACAGTTTTACTTTCTGTTCGACACTATGTTTTTTAAGACTTATTGTTGAGGCTGGACACAGTGGCTCACGTCAGTAATCCTAGCACTTTGGGAGGCTGAGGCAGTGGATCATTTGAGATCAGAAGTTTGAGACCAGCCTGACCAACATGGTGAAACCCCTTCTCTACTGAAAATACAAAAGTTAGCTGGGCATGGTGGCATGCACCTGTAATCCCAGCTACTTGGGAGGCTGAGGCAGGAGAATTGCTTGAGCCTGGGAGGCAGAGGTTGCAGTGAGCCTCCGTCTCCAAAAAAAAAAAAAAAAAAGAAAGAAAAAAAAAAAGACTTAACATGCACAAGGCCCTAGTTAATTCATTTTTGACTACCTTAGAGTACTTCTTTGGATGAATATGTCACTATTGATTCTCCTAATGATGGATATTTTGTTGTTTCCAGTATAGACAATGCTGAAATGAGGCTGGTATGAGTCTCCTTGTACACATGCTTGAGTTTCTGTAGGGAACATTTCTAGGAGCAGAGTTGCTGGGTTATAGAATATGCACCTCTTCAACTTCTCTAGATACCATCATATTGTTTGCCAAAATGTTTGTACTGATTTACATTCCTACTAGGATAGCAAGAAAGTTTCTGTTTCCCACATTCTCTCCAACACTTGATACTGTCACATTTAAACATTTTTGCATGAGAGTGGGATACACTCTCATACACATGAGATACACGAGAGTGGGATACAAAGTGGAAACACTGATGACAGTGGGATAACATCTCTTATATGCTTTTGTTTGTTCAATTACTAGTGAAGTTGAGCATGTCATTGTATATTTACCATCTATTAGTTTTCCTCTTCTGTGAATTGCCAGTATACACCCATTGCCCACCTATCTCTTGGGTTGGTTGGCTGGAATTGATATGTAGGGTTATTAATATATTCTGGGCAGTACTCCATGATTAGTTATCTGTATTTACAATTTTTCTCCCAGGCTTGGTTGGCCTTCTTGTGGTGTTTACAGTGTTTTTTGTTATACTTCAGCTTTAAATTTCAGTATAATCGAATGGATCTATGTTTTCCTTTTTGTTTTGTGTATATGCTTTGGACTTTATTCCCTTCCTTGATGTTATAACAATATCCTCCTATAGTCTTCTTCTAAAAGTTTTAAAGTTTTGTTTTTCACATTTAGGTCTATTTTTATGCTTTTTCATATGGACAGTCAGTTGTCCCATTGCTACTTACTGAATAGTCCACTCTTTGCTTCTGAGCTATAACGTCACTTCTGTCATAGATCAAGGTTACTCAGGTGCAGGGTCCATTGCTCTCTGTCCTGTGAGTCTGTGTACCTTTTCCTGCCTCTATGCCATAGTCCTACTGACGGAGCCTTAGAAAAAGGGAGACATCTGAAAGGTCAGTGCTTCCAATATTTGCCGTAAATTTTTTGCCTTTGCTGGTTGGCATGGAGTGTGGGGTCATCTTGTTAAAGTGCACACACACTCAACACTCACACTCACTGAATTCTACTGCACTGAACATATAGAATAATTTGGAGGGAGATTGGCATCTTTGCAGTAGTCATCCCATCCACAAACATGAACTTATTTTTCATTTATTAGGTCTTGCTATGTCTTTCTATAAAGTTGCCTTTATTTTAATTTTAGAGACAAGAGTTCTCTCTGTCACCAACTGGAAGGCAGTGACACAAACATGGCTCACTGCAGTTTGTACTTCCTGGCCTCAAGTGATCCTCTCACCTCCATCTTCAGAGTAGCTGGGACTACAGGTGTGTGCCACAAGCCTGGCTAACTTTTAAAAATTTTTTCTGTAGAAACAGGGTCTTGCCGTGTTGCCCAGGCTGGTCTGAAACTCCTGGCCTCAAGCAATCCTCCTACCTCAGCCTCCCAAAGTACTGGGATTACAGATGTGAGCCATTGAGTGTGGCCTCTATAAAGTTTTATAATTTTCCAGGTAAAGGTCTTGGACATCTTTGGATTTTTTTCCTTAAGTACTTTATATTTTCTCTTGCTATTGTAAATGATTTCTTATTTTAAATTATATTTTCTGGTTTTGTTTTGTTTTTCAGATGATTTGTGCTTTCAGAACAATTATACTTATGAATTGATCATTACACTTATAAATATGAATAACCTTACTAGAAGCACATCATTACCAGATTCAATTGTTGATTTGCTTGTCCTGCGTTCAACAATAGATACAACCAGTTTTGTGCTAACTCATTTGCTCATCTGCCCCTTTTACTAATCACTCATCTCCTAGTTTCACTGTGGGTCCGATGACTCCTTCTACATGGTAGCAGTTTCTTCTTTCACTTCTGGAAAAATCAATAATGTTTGCTTTGCTTTGTGGGTTCTACATAGAACTGTCTGTGAGAGCTTTGCTGATTCAGTTCATTTCCTCAAGCAGCTAAAATTAAGTAAAAAAAAAAAAAACACGTAGGTGGCTCCTTCTGTTTTCCAGATTAGCTCACAGGTACTGCACATTCAGCTAATTGCCCTTAGTCCATACATTCATGTCACTAAGACAGTTTTAAAACAGACTTTTGTCCCCCTCTAAGTCTTTGATACTCATTTTAACTTCCCTAGAATCTAAAACTTGAAGGGAAGAAACACCATGGTTTGTCTTGGGGCTGTGGTCCTTGATCTTAAGAGAAAAAAAAGGAAAAAGTCCTGCTGGAATATTAGGCCCCTTCTTCTCCATCCCTCCCACCACTGACACTGCCTTCTCCCGGCTGTCTTCATCTCCTTCCACGTATTAGTTTCATATTGCTACCGTAACATATCACTGCAAACTTGAGTGCTTAAAGAAACACCTGTTTACCATCTCACCGTTCTGGAGGTCAGAAGTCTTGTGGATCTCACTGGGCTAAAACCAAGGTGTCAGCAGGGCTGAATTCCTTTGGGGGCCTCCAGAGGAGAATCCGTTCCCTTACATTTTCTGCCGTCTAGAGGTTGCCGACCTTCCTCGGCTCCCGATCCCCTTCTGCTTCATCCAAGTTATCCATTGCCTGCTGTGTCACTGGGACCCTGCTTGCTTCATTACATCTTCTCTGGCTCTGACTCTCCTGGCTCCCTCTGTCACCTGTAAGAACCTTCGAGATTACATTGGCCCTGCCTGGATAATCTAGGGTAACCTCCATGGCAAGGTCCTTAACATCATCAAATCTGCCAAATCCCTTTGCCAAATGAAGTAACATTTTCACTTATTAGGTCTTGCTATGTATATAAAAGTCAACCATGTAGTGTTCAAATATTTCCAGGTTCCAAGAATTAGGTCGTGAACATCTTGTAGGAAGGGCATTATTCTGCTTAGTGCACTACTTAGACCAATATTTTGTAAATCAAAAGCTCTGATTCATAGAATCAATTTTGTGATTTGGAACCAGCATTTTTTAAAAAACAAAACCAGAGCACTTTGCTTCTAATAAGGTTAAGTATTGTTACATTGAGTAAGGATTTATGTTGTTTCATAGACTTTGTGTTCCCTTGATATGTATGTATCTGTCACTGGTTACTGACATAAATATAAAATGAATTTCTTTCTGTGAGTTGTGATTTTTTTAAAAAAAAAACTATAGAATTATCATAATAGCCTCCTAATTGGTCTTTCTGCCTCCAGGCTCTGCAGTCCATCCTCCACACTGCTGCCAAAAAGCTCTTTCTAAAAATAAATTGGACATGCCATTCTGCTTAAAAATTTCTAATGGCCCTCCATAGTGGAGCTAGATCTCCCCAGCTCCTCCAGATGCACTGTTCACTCCCCTCCGGCACCTGACCATCATGGAGGGCTTCAATCAGGCTCCTCGATTTTGACTACTACTTGGGTATGGGCAAAGGGAGCCATTGGCAAGAGTCAGAGGGCTGGAAGACAGAGTCGTTTAGGGTGTTTTTCCTCCAGCATCTTCCCTGGCAGGCAAGCCAGCTTCATGGTCACTCAGCCTGTACAGTTGCACAGGGCCCCACGCTCAGAAAGGCTCCACACTTGGTTTAACCGCCTACTGTTGCCATCTTGGAACTCGGACTAATTTTTGAGCAAGGGGCCTTCGTTTTCATTTTGCACTGGGCCCTGCAAGTTATGTCACCATTTCTGCTTTCAGGGTATATGTTGCAGTAACAATGTTCCTTTCCCAAAGGCACAGCTCTTATCTGAGACCCATTTCCTACAACCACACCTGTTGGGTTCCAGTAACCGCTTGTCCATGTGCCCTGGCAGTCCTGGCAGTTCCTGCTTTTGCTGGCCCTGGAGCACTTCACATCCCTTGTTCATTTTTCTCAATCCTGCCCACTCTTCAAATAGTCCCTTCGTTAAACACATTTCACCCCTTTCAAGAGTGCCATTTATTTCCCTCAAGACCTTGACTAATAAAAAAGGTCCACAGGATAATATCCAAAGTCTAAGCCTTATTGTCTAAGTCTAGCCCCTCCCTATCCTTTTAGTGAATCTACCATGTTGTCTCGTTCATGCTATGATCCCGCACCATCACACTTCATGTTGTTTTCACAAATATGCTACACCTCTTCAGGTCTTTAGTCTTCTCCAGTTGCTAAGGATTCCCCAGGAAATCATTTCCCCCTCTTCTCTAGTAATACAATTTAAGCTGGGCACATTGCTATCCAGACTAAGACAACACATTCCAGCTTCTCTCGTAGAAAGTGTGGCCATGTGACTAAATTCTGGCTAATGATACCTAAGTCGAAGTGCTGTGTATGTGACAGATTCCAGGAACCTTCCCTAACAGACTCCTGGAACATGACCTCTGCTGGTTCTTCATTCTTTCTTCCATCCTGTGGCCTCAGATGTGGGCCATCTTAGACTATGAGGATGAGAAGTATGTATACTCTAGGGATGGCAGAATAATAATTTAGAAGGAGCCTATGTCTCTGAGGATTTATAGAACCAACCTCTGGACAAAATGCCTAGAGGCCTAAAGACTCATATAAGGAAGGAATAAGTCATCCTTTTAAGCCACTGATATTTGGGTTTTCTATTTTTTTTAACCAATAAACTTGATCATAATTAATGCCATAGTTATCACCATTCATTAAATAAATCTTTATTAACACCTACCTGTGGGCTGGGCCCTATTATGGGCTCTGAGATTAATTTTGAATAAGCTAGTAACAGTGGGGCCATGTGCAGGTGGAGCTAATGGTAATTTGAGGCTGTCAGGGACAGAGAGGAAAAGACCACCAACTGGGAATGCATATTTAGAAGAACTAACAAGGCTGGGAAGAACATAGATGAGACTTCAAGACAGAACTCAGGCAATGACAGAGAAGCCAAAGTCCCAGAGAACACAAGAAGTTATAACCTGCAAAAAGTAAAATTCAACCATATACTGCCCAAAATGGACATTATTAGACCAAGCGACTGGGAAAGGTTAAAAGGAAAATGACAGACAAAATTTACTGTGCAAATATAAGCAAAAACGGAGCAGCGGCTGAATCCTTAATATCAAATGAAGACTACAAAGAGAAAGCATTTGAAGGACAAGGCCCTTCTACAAAAGCCACCCCAGTCCTAGGTGACTTCCCTGATGAATTCTACCAAATATGTAAGGAGGAGATAATACCAATTCTACACAAGTTCTTCTATGAAAATAGAGGAGGAAGGAACCACTACCCAATTCATTTTGTGAGGCCAATTCTTTGATACAAAAACATGACAAGGACATTACAAGAAAACTACAGATCAGCTTCTCTCATGAACACCAATACAAAAGTCCTGAACAAAAGACTAGCAAATTAAATCCCGCAACAGAGGGTATCTCACATTGCCAAAAGGCAGAAAGTGCTTAAAGACTAAAGGGAACATGTGGAAAGGACCCAAAAGCTGACTTGAAGGAGCTCCCACTGGCCAAACTTGACACAATTTGAGCATCAAAAAGAATAATAATGGATTAATAACAATGGATTATAGTAACGGATTACAGCTTATTGAATAAAAGAGAACCCATGAGCTTTTACTTGTACTACAATAAAAAGTGGGCAAGGAAATGCTCTTTACAAAAGCACACTTAGCTGATTAATACAGAAGGAATAATAGAAAAATCAGCAGTTTGCAATTCTCAATGTAATAATTCAGATAAGGATCATGAATAGCTGCTGAAATAATTGAATAAAATGTGAATGAATATACACAGTCTAGAAGTATCATCCTACATATTACTTATAAATTACAAAATGTGAAAAGAACTTTTCAAACAGAGAGATCTGGCAGATGACAAGAGAAAACAAGTGACACAACTTAATGTATTTGCCATTGCCACAAAAATACTGCATCATGAGCCTCCCCAAAGTTAATGACTTGTAAATGGTGACCATTTATTTTTATAACTTACGTATCTGTGAGTTGTCTGGAATTTGGTGGATCGAGGTTGGGCTGGGCTAAGCTAGGTGGCTCTGCTGATCTTGGCTTGGTTCACTCAATTATCTGCAGGTCAGCTGGGGAGCTCTGCCTTAGTCTTGGGCTAAGGAAGCTTTGCTGACAATACTGCTCATATGTCTCATTTATCCCCCCTGAAATCAATGGGCTAGCCCGGACACATTCTCCTTGCACTAGCGGAAGTACCGGAGAGCAGCCCAATTACATAAGCATTTTCCAAGATTCTCCTCACACTATATCTGTTAACATTCCATTGTCCAAAGCAAGTCATACGACTGAACCCAAGAGCAGTAGATTGCAACCTGCTTCACAGCAGGGTAGGGGGTGCTGGAAAATGATGTGGTTTGACTTTGGTTTAATTAAAAGTTGAGGGAAAGAGGGGAGATTGGATTCAGAGATGCTAAGAGCTCTTCGGGCTCTGACATTCTAGGATTTAACCATATAACCCCTTCCCCAAGTATGGGGCAAACAAGAAATGAGAGGAGCAAAGAGTAAGGTTATTTCAACTGCTGTAGGCCACTAGAGTGATTGGAACTGTCTGGATGATAATGCATCTGAAGTGCTCCTAACTTAGGCAGAGATTAGGCCTTAATTAATGCCATACCTTAGGCCTTAATCTCTGCCTAAGTTATCACAGAAAAATACGCATTACATTACTATAAATAAGTAACTTTTCCCAGCCTTCTCCTTTCAATTTGTCATTTACAATTCAGAGTAATCATAGTGGCACATTTTAAATCAAGCAGAGAAATATGAATATATATATATATGATAAATGCATATATTTCTGGAAGGGTGCTTCAGTTTCATGGGAAAAAACAAACAGCCAAGGAAGGTGAGAAATTAGAAAAGCAGTAAAATTCATAGTCAGCCAGAAAACTTAATTCATTCTAATATGAATAAGAGAACAATGCAGTGGTTGTGATTCATAGACTGAATCACTTCAGTGCATTGCCAGTTATATAAAGGATGGATTCTGAGACAGTAAGGTGCTGCCATGTAACATCAGAATGAACACAATTCACATCACAAATTCTATTCTGAGGCTGCCAGCCTTTATGGAACTTTGCATGCAACCACGAAGGAGACATTTGGGGACAGGGAAGGGAGAGACAGTATGCCTGGGATAGAGACTCACATGTCTGAAACAGAATATTACAGCCTCTAAAAATAGGTGCTCAGTAACCACTCTGTCAAGAAATAATATGCCACAAAGTTATGCTTTCCACTTAGGAAATGTGAAAGGACTTTTCTTTTACTCTGCTCTGATGTATCATAAGAGAGTAAAACAAACCAACCTTCAAAATCTGGAAATGCAAGGACTCAGAATTCAGACAGAGGAGAATTCTGTGCCTTCTCCATCTCTATTTTCTTTTAGTTCAAAAGAAATTGAACTAGCAAGAGTAATCAAATCCTTTAGGTAAGAGTTGAGTCTCTTGGAGGGCTTGGGGGTCTGGCTTTCCACAAAGCCCGTGCCTTGAGCAAAATACCCCTACCCCCTCCTCACTCTTACCTTCAATCAGAGCTCTTATCAAATAATTATTATAAAAGAATTCCTTTGAATTAAAGATACTTCATTCATAAACTACTGCAGATGCTAATGGGAATGGGAAGGAGAATAGGAAAAAGGATAGGGTGAAGGAAAATGTTATGGACTAAGCTGTGGCCCCCACAATTCATAGGCTGAAGCTCTAACCCCCATGTGACTGTATTTGGAGACAGGGCCTTTAAGGAGATGATTAAGGTTAAATGAGGTCATAGGATGGGGCCCTAATCCAATAAGACTGGTGCCCTTATAAGAAGAGGAAGAGACACGGGATGTGGACAGAGAGAAAAAGCCCATGAGGCACAGCAAGAAGGTGGCCATCTGCAAACCAAGGAGAGAGGTGTCAGGAGAAACCAACCCTGCCAACATCTTGATCCTCAACTCCCAGCCTCCAGAGCCATGAGAAAATAAATTGTGGTTGTTTGAGGCACCTACTCGTGGTACTTTGTCACAGTAGTTAGTCCAAGCAGACTAATACGGGAGCTATGTTTATTAATCAACCACGAGGTGGCAAGTGCTGAGAACAACACTTAATGCATCCATTAACTGAATCCTCACAATAGCCCTGCAAGACAGGTAATGTAGAGAAAACTGAAGCTCAGAGAGAAGCAACTTGCTCAAGGTCACCCAGTGCAGGACTCTAAAGCTGAACTCATGCCTACTTGATTTCAAATGTAAACTGTTTTCATTGTATTCGAGGTTCTGAAATATTGGTGTATTGTATTCGAGGTTCAGAATCATTGGGGAGCTTCTGGAAACTTCAGAGGCTTCTATCCAACTCAAGACCTGCTGAATGAGCTTAGGATGGGACCTGCCCTCTCTGCTTTTCCTAAGTTGCCGGGGGAAGGCGATTCACAACATGCCATCATTTATGAGGCTGTGTGAGCAGAAGTCTCCTGCCTGGTGGTTTTTCAGGGTTCTGTGGGTAGAGAAGCAGCTGTCTGAACTAGTCAAGCTAATTTGCCATCTTTCTTCACCTCTCAACTTTACTAGAATTCCAGGAGATATGATTTTCATTAGCCTTTATGGAGGAAGTTTCCAGCAACATCAATTTAAAATACAAAAATCCACTCTGACCTGCCCATAATCGTGGGTAATCACACAACCATATGGTCCTGAGTTTCTGAGGGTTCATCCTACTCTACATTCTGAGGTATCCATATTCGAGTGTAAAAATTATCAGCAGGGAAATCTCTGCAGTCTCTGACCCATTTGCTGTCAGCCACATCCAGTACAACAAAATTTCAGCAGCACAAAAATGCATCATTGTTTTTGGAAAATGAATACTCCTTAATTCTTAATATTTTGTGAGTTTGGAATTCTCTTTATTGTATTCTCATAAAGTTGTATGCACCCATAGTTATTTCTGGCCATTGGATGATCATTTTGTGCAGTGAAATCAGACAAATACCAGATATTGCCTGGCTATGTCTCCTGAACTCTCTATTCTCATAGAGAAAGATACTCACTTGTTTGGGCCATCCCATTATTTTCTTAACATCAAAGAATAGCTTTTCTCAGCACACGTCATATCCCTGAAGGTGTGGATTTGCCAGACTGCTTCACTATTGATAGAGACAGGAGATAGTCAACGTCTCCAGCAAAACTCCACCTTCAAGCCTAAAACAGCCTGAAGGCTGAAAAACCGAACTGCTGGTCCTGGATGAAGCCCGCCCTTTCCCGACTGATGCTCTCTATGTAATGCCCACCTGCGTGCTGGGGGAAGAGGATGGAGCCAGGGAAAGTTCACCCTGTTTACAGTGGGGGAGGAGCCTGGCCTCTTGGGGTCCTGTGTGGTGGCCTGGGATTCAATCTGTAAGGTGGGGGCCTGCCAGCAGGACTCTCACTTTGCTGAGAGTTCCTCTTTCTTTTTTTCCTTTTCACCCAATAAACCCTGCCCTACTCACACTACAAGGTGCCTGAGTCTAAATTTTCCTGGTTGTGTGACAAGAACCCGGTTTTTTCTACAACACAATCAGACAGGAACATAATTTGCTAGTATGTGATTTTCTTGAGGCCCAATTCTTGATTTTTTTTCCCACTATTTTAGGAATGCAATAAATTCAGAAACTCAGTTTGGCTTCAAGGACTGTTAGCTAGTTTCCTAACAGCGTCTCTAGGGAAAAAGAGGGAGTAAGAGGAACCGAGAAGATGGCAAAAATCAATGGAGTCTATGTGAATTATTAGTGCCTTCCCTCCCTCAAATATCATGAGACAGGTTGGAGTGTGCTCTTAGCATATGGAGAGCCAGTGGGCAGTCAGATGCCAATCAATGGTAGGACTGCAGGCAGGGGCATCCTTGCCAACTGCAGATGGGGACGGAGGCAGCTGGAGGGAAAGCAGAGCTCCTGCTTTGTTCTAGTTCATCTTTGTCAGAGGGAAACAAATGCAGGAAGAACACTGCACCCCAAAAGAGCCATGGCAGAGAACAGTATGCAGCACCGAAAAGAAAAGCAGGCTCTGCTGAAGGAATGAGTTTACGCTAAGATCTCTGAAAGATAGACTTTTTTTTTTTTTGAGATGGAGTTTCACTCTTGTTGCCCAGGCTGGAGTGTAGTGCATCCTCCACCTCCTGGGTTCTAGTGATTCTCCTGCCTCAGCCTCCCGAGTAGCTGGGATTACAGGTGCACACCACCATGCCCGGCTCATTTTGTATTTTAAGTAGAGAAGGGCTTTCACTATGTTGGTCAGGCTGGTCTCGAACTCCTGACCTCAGGTGATCCACTCGCCTCAGCCTCCCAAAGTGCTAGGATTACAGGTGTGAGCCACCACACCTGGCCAAATTATATACTTTAAAATGGTGAATTTTATGGCATGTGAATTATTATCCTCAATTTTAAAAGATTGTAAGAGAAAAAAAATCTGCACAAAAGGATTTCATGTGAGACACACAAAGAAGGAAAAGAAAGGTGTGGAGGAAGAGTAAGGAAGCACCAAGTGATGGGAGATGCTCACAGCCTGACAAGGGGCAGCCTGACTCTCAGTGCCCTGTGCCCGCACACAGCAAGTGTCCAAGCATGCACTGGGGCAGATGATGAGTCCCACTTTCTGCTGGAGATTCTCATTCCCAAGGAGTTGTAGAAAAAGAGCTTTTGTCTCAAAGCAGCCATAAAGTGGCAGGCTTGCCAAGATTTGATACTTATATCTTCCATGACTACCCAAGGGATAAAAAGGGACCCCTCTTTAGGTCAGGACCATAGGACCACAGCTCTGTTCCTCACATGTGACCCTGCTTCTGCTCAGCCGGGAAACACCCAACTCCTGACGCTCTGAGATGAATGGCCCTTAGAAAAATCTACTTCATCTCAGTTATAAACGAACCACATGTGCAGCCTCTTTGGAGTCAGCTTAAATCATAAAACCAGCTCCATTGCTCAGTTTTGACCTGTTTGTGCTGGCCCATTTAGCTCCTTGTCTCAGCACTCAGCCCTCGAGCCAAGAGACCTGCTGGTTCTCCAGGCATAACTAACAAAAAGGTCCCAAGGACCCCAGCTGGTGACTGTCACCCTTCTGTTCCCACACTTGGAATGTCTTGCACAAGTCTCTGGGCACATGATTCTAGGGCAAGTTTAACACGTCGCGATTCCCACCAAAATTTTTCCATTAAGATCATAGTTGTCTCTCTAATCATGGAAGTTTTCCTTCCAAACATTCCTGTCCCTTCTAGCCCAGGACGTTAGTCCTTGCTTCTTGCCCACCTTAAGTGATCAATGCCCAGAAAAGATGAACAAGATGCATGAGTAAAAACTCACATTACATTCGGAAGTGCAATGTGGAAATATATGTACCTATAGGAGTAGAAAATGTTCTGGAAGAAGATACACTCAGCCAGAGAGATTGGCTATCTTTGATGAGGGGCGTGAAGCTGGAACAGGGATCACACCCCCCCAGCCCCTGCCAAAAAAAAAAAATAGTGCTTTCCTCTTACTATTTCTTTTTTATGTATATCTTTATCATTTAAATTATAGCAAGAAATACTTCTATGAGTGGAGAAAATTTTAATTGCATGAAATAATTCTTGTCTGGAGCAAAAAAGGGCATACGGACATAAATAATTTATGAGAACTGAATTAGCTCCCAAAGCCCTCATATTTGAGTCTACTTTTCTTAGAAAGAATATGCTATGCTATATTTAAGATATGTAAGAAAAGGGCTAGGGAATAACATGACGCTCATGTTCTCATCACCCAGCTCAAGCTATAAAACATGGCCAGTACAGTGAAGTGCCCTGTGAACTCCTCCCTTGTGGAGTCTACTCCATAATTCCAAGAGAAGTGAGAACTGCTCTTCGTCATTCTGTGGCCAACCCAGTAACTAATGTAGCAGTTGTCCTGTGTGATGCAGATGGAAATTCCAGAAAATGCCTCTCAGGAAGTAGAGAGAAGGGATTTAAGGAAAGCCTTGGGCTGATTAATTACCATTTTGTGTTATCTGCAGTAATGCTTTCTTCCTTTGGCAAGAGGGTATCAGTTGAGAGGATGTCTGAAATAAAATCAGCCAAGTGCTCTGTGTGCCGCAGACCCACACCAGCCATGCAGTGATTGGCTCTACTTCCTGTGAACACGTTCACCAGGATCACCAGGTCCGCTGTGGCTGGGTGATGAGGAGTTGGCTGTCATCCACTCATTTACTGAATGTACGTCAGGGAAGGCCATCTAATCAGCGTTCCACCGGGAGGCGGCTCTGTGACCCTGTAGTTCAATGACACTGTTGCTTTCTGAAAACTGTAAATCAAAGGAAGCAGAGATTGCTGGTGAATGAAACCTTTTGTTTTCTTTTTATTAGCACTTGAAATTACCTTTTCTCTAGTGCATTTTTATGTTTGGTGAGTTCAAGAACAATGGCTGTGTCTTTGGAAATTAATGATGTAGTTAAAAAATCTGTCCCCCCTAGAGCCCTTGCTGGTGGTCACAAGGTGTGTTTCATCTTCTTTTTCCAGCAGAGTTGATGAAGCCCAAGTTGATTTAATGTAGATAAGCTAAAGAATGCTCACAAATGGGTATACATAAGAAACGCACTAAGATTTTTCCAAATGACAATGACCCATCCCTCTCCACACACATACACACACTTTTGTTTTTGCTAATTATTCCTTCAGGTTTTTGTGGTTATTGTTTGTTTTCTTGGAAAAATGCAATGTAAATAATGCACAGTATGTTCATATACCTGTACGTTGGTGCCAGGTGTGAAAGCGTGTACTTCCTCTCAGTTTGTAGTCATACCTAGAATGGCATAGAAATCCTCTTTATGGGCCGGGCGCGGGGACTCACGCCTGTAATCCCAGCAGTTTGGGAGGTCGAAGCGAGCGGATCACAAGGTCAAGATATTGAGGCCATCCTGGCCAACATGGTGAAACCTCGTCTCTACTAAAAATACAAAAATTAGCTGGGCGTGGTGGCAAGCACCTGTAGTCCCAGCTACTCAGGAGGCTGAGGCAGGAGAATCGCTTGAACCCAGAAGGTGGAGGTTGCAGTGAGCTAAGATTGGGCCACTGCACTCCAGCCTGGGTGACAGAGAGAGACTCTGTCTCAAAAAAAAAAAAGAAATTCTCTTTACAAGGATGCAGCACTCTGCTAACTGCTAGCATCAGCTTTATGTGTCAATTCGAAAAGGTTCCGATGCAAAGGGATGGCTAACCCATGCCAGAATGATGCCTCTTATCTCCCCATGTTTAAAGAGAGAACTGCTCATTGGCTCTGCTCCCCACATTGAGGCACCAGGATGGAGATTGGAAATAATTCATGAATGAAAATATCAGAAGCAGACCCATGTAGTTTGGGTTTTTCTCCTTAATACCATCCACAGGATTCCTCTAACTTGAAAAATTTTAAACACAATAAAAGCATCAAGTAAGAACAACTGAAACATATTCTTTATCTATCTATCTAAAATCATAATATATGGCATCTAGAATCATACATATATTATGCAATTCACTAAAAAGTCAATATAGATATAGCCAAATATACCGTACATTTCATGTTTGAACTGTTTGAAAACAGTTATGTTTTCAAAATGGCTCCACCACCAATCTCTGCTCCCTGCCCCTGCTCCCCACCGGCTGGCCAGGAGAGCAGGGGGTGAGGTGTTTCTGCTCCAATTCCAATCATTCTCTTCTTTCACCATCCTGATTAAGTGTCTCTGATGTACTTCTCAGTCTCATCCACCTTTCATGCCGATGTGGTCATGACATTTGTCCTAACAAATCAGATAATATAATATATGGGCCATAATTATTTTGCCCTCATTTTATAGACAGAAGAAATGAGGCCAGAGATGCTATAACTTGCCCAAGATTCCTTAATGCTGAAGTCAGAGTGCATAATTCTGAATTCCTTGCACCCGGGCACCATTCTCCTCCCTAGAGCACCCTTGTCTTCAAAGGGAGACTGGACAATGCTCATTAAGGAAGGGCTAATTGACTAGTGCACGTAGGGGAACTCCCCCCACTGCCTACAGGCATCGAGTGTCAGGAGAAAACACCCACCTCATAGGCCTCAGCTTTGACATCGTACATTTCATTAGAGACAGTAAAACCATATTCTTAGAATGTTTTTACCGAGATTTGAGAATTGACACTTGCTTTAACAAATGTCCGTTTCACAGAATCTCAGAAAACCGGAAGTCCTATGGATTTGCACCATGTTTGGATCTGTCATCGTTTCTTAGCAATTGTGTCACCATTTCAGGCCAGCCGGAGATAGGCCAGAAAAATGAGAACATTAGCCAGGAGAGCCTGATGCCCTTGATTTCATACCTGCTTTCATGGAGTTAACATCAGGCTTTTTTTTTTGGCCAGTGATGATTAATCCTTATAATGATTCAGTTTTCTTTTGCCACAGCTTGTCTAAAATACTTTTCTTGCATAGTTCTCTGGTTAAAAAAAAAAATACTAAGACAACAAATGAATAGAAAGGGAAATTTTTAGCCATTTCCACGGGATGAGGCTAAACTCAGAGCCCAGTTTCACCTTCCCCTTTAATGGGACTGGTGCCAACCAGGTAAAACTGCAAGCAAAGCAGGGAGATGCCGCTCTACCAGAACGAAGCTGATCGTCCTTCTTCTCCTGACAGAGGGCACTCTGGAAGCGGCTGCCACACGCTGTGCCTGCCATTGCTCCGGAGACAATGGGTTGGTTGCCCTTTCTAGCCTCACACATTGGTCAATTCTCTCAACACTGCATTTTGGAAGACAGTTCGTGAGACGGAGCTACTACTTCTCTGCCTTAACCTGAGAAGGTTTTTGATGGGAGAGAATGGGGTGTAGCCTCCTCTAGAATACTCCTTGTATTCCTCCTGTGTCTGAAGCTTGTCCTGGTGATCATACAAGGAAGTGTTCAACATACCAGGGAGTGTTCAGGGCAATACTCTTTGTCCCTTTCAGGCTGACAGGGCTCTGGATAATTTCTGAGAGGCCAAGTCATGGGCAGTGAGGTCGCATCCCTGGAATGCCATGTGGACACATTATGGTGTTGGCAATTTTTCCTGGCCTGGGGGTGACGTGTACCCACCTTCAGAAGACTGAGAGCTCCTGGAGCGGAGGAGACCTCTGGTTTACAGATCCCTTTTCCCACTCCGAGTTCACAGTCCTCATGGAGATAAGAAGGTCTGAGTAGACAGCTTGCATGAGGCAGACCAGAGTGTCCTGTGGGATCAAAAAAATAAGTCCATAATTTTTTTTTTTTTTGAGACACTTTGTCACCCAGGCTGGAGTGCAGGGGCTTGATCTTGGCTCACTGCAGCCTTGATCTCCCACGTTCAAGCAATCCCCCTGCCTCAGCCCCCCAAATAGTTGGTACTATAGGCTCTCACCACCACACCTGGCTAATTTTTTTTTTTTTTTTTTTTTTTTGGAGATGGAGTCTCGCTGTGTGCTCAGGCTGAAGTGCAATGGTGCGATCTCAGCTCACTGCAACCTCCACCTCCCAGGTTCAAGTGATTCTCCTTCCTCAGCCTCCTGAGTAGCTGGGATTACAGACGTGCACCACCATGCCTGGCTCATTTTGTACTTTTAGTAGATACGGGGTTTCTCCATGTTGGTCAGGCTGGTCTCAAACTCCTGATCTCAGTTGATCCGCCCATCTCAGCTTCCGAAAGTGCTGGTATTACAGGTGTGAGCCACCACACCCGGCCAATTTTTGTATTTTTTTTTAGAGACGAGGTTTTGCCATGTTGCCTAGGGTGGTCTTGAACTCCTGAGCTCAAAGGATCCACCCACCTCGGCCTCCCAGTGTGCTGGGATTACAGGCCTAAGCCACCGCCCCCAGCCAGTCCAGTCATTTTCAACCACCAAATTCGATTTCTCATTCACACTTCCTGTGCATCAAAGTTTGGCTGCAGCTCTGTTGAACGCACCTTCCCTTTGGGCCTGGGACTGCCATCACAGCCTGTGTGTGGGACATGGCTGGTTAACTCAGCAGAGGGGAAGGAGGATATGGAAATCATGGCCCTGCTCCTAAAACATCTCCCTGGAATGGGTGCAAGGCTCTCCTGCTCATGGTTCATTGGCCAAAGCAACTCATATGGCCACTGTTAGGTGGGGACTTATAAGCCTCCCACAGGCAAGGATAGTGGATATTTGTGAATAACAAAACAATTAGTAATGCTAATTAAATGCTTGGTCTTTAGTATTGAGCACTTCCAGTTCACTGGCCATTTGGTAGACCACTGACCACCAAACCTGACTATTCCTAGCTGTCACCAAAACCACTATTTAGTTGGTACTTGGTCTGCTTTGAACTACATCTGTCTAGATTAATTTTTTCCTTTACCCTTAATTACATAAATAATGCATAAATATATTTTTGTTGTAAAATATTCAAACAATAAAAATAAAATAAGAACAGCATGGCCGGGCGCAGTGGCTCACGCCTGTAATCCCAGCACTTTGGGAGGCCGAGGGGGGTGGATCACGAGGTCAGGAGATCGAGACCATCCTGGCTAACATGGTGAAACCCTGTCTCTACTAAAAATACAAAAAAATTAGCCAGGCGCAGTGGGGGGCACATGTAGTCCCAGCTACACCGGGAGGCTGAGGCAGGAGAATGGCGTGAACCCGGGAAGTGGAGCTTGCAGTGAGCCTAGATTGTGCCACTGCACTCCAGCCTGGGTGACAGAGCCAGACTCCGTTTCAATTTAAACAAAACAAAACAAAACAAAACAAAACAAAACAAAACAGTATGGTGGTTTCCATAAAATTAAAAGTAGAACTGTCATATGATCCAGCAATCTCAGTACCGATTATACTGTAGTTTCCCCTTATCTGTGATTTCAGCTACCCATGGTCAACCTTAGTCTGAAAATGTTAAATGGGAAATTCCAGAAATAGACAATTCATAAGTTTTAAATCACTTGTCATTCTGAGTAGTGTGATGAAATCCCGCTAGGTCAGTTCTATCCCACCCAGGACATAAATCTTCTCCTTGTCCAGTGTCTACACTCCCTATTCATGAGTCACTTAATAGCCATCTCGGTGGTGCTGTGTTTAATCCTTATTATACTTAATAATGGCCCCAAAGTGCCATAGTAGTAATATTGACATATTGGTTATAACTGTTCTGTTTTGTTATGAGTTATTGCTGTTAATCACTTACAGTGCCTAATTTATAAATTAAACTTGATCATAAGTATGTTATGTACAGGGAAAAAAACACAGTAGGGTTTGGTACTATCTGCAGTTTCAGGAAGCCTCTGGGAGTCTTGCAATGTATCCTAAGGAACAAGTAAGCAGGGATTACTATAGATCCGAAAGAAGTGAAAGCAGGATCTCAAACTTATATTTGCACACCCAAATTCATAGCAGTATTAGTCACAATAGCCAAAGGGGGGCTATTGTATCCATTGACAGATGAATGAATAAATGAAATGTGGTGTATCCATACAATGAAATATTATTCAGCCTTAAAAAAGGAGGAAATCCTGACACATGCTGCAATGTGAAGACATTATGCTAAGTAAAATATGCCACCCAGCAAAAGACAAATACTATGTGTTAGGAAGATTAGGGATGGGGTCTGGGTTTCACTATGTGATTCTATTTATATGAGATGTCTAAAATAGTCAAATTCATAGAATCAGAAAGTAGAATGGTGGTCACCAGGAGCTGGAGGGAGGGGGAAATTGGGGTTTGTTGTTTTTTATTTTTTATTTATTTATGTATTTATGCACGTATGTATGTATGTATTGTGAGACAGAGTCTTGCTCTGTGGCCCGGGCTGGAGTGCAGTGGCACCATCTTGGCTCGCTGCAACCTCCACCTCCAAGGTTCAAGCGATTCTCCTGCTTCAGCCTTCTGAGTAGCTGGGATTACAGGCACCCTCTACCATGCCCAGCTAATTTTTGTATTTTTAGTAGAGACGAAGTTTCACCATGTTGGCCAGGCTGGTCTCGAACTCCTGACCTCAAATGATCCACCTGCCTCGGCCTCCCAAAGTGCTGGGATTACAGGCATGAGCCACCGTGCCCGGCCTGGGTTTGTTGTTCAACGGGCACAGCGTTTCAGTTTTGCAAAATGAAAAAAGTCTGGAGATCTGTTGCACAGTAAAGTGAATACACTAAACACTGCTGAACTGTACACTTGAAAATGATTAAGATGGTAAATTTTATGTGTTTTTTACCACAATTAAAATGTTTTAAATTTTAAAAGAAAAAATAAGGTAAGGGTTTCATGACCACCTTCCATTCGCATTTACATCGCCACAGGTAACATCAGCTTACCAATTTGGAGTGTATTTTTTTTTTAATACTTTAAGTCCTGGGATACAAGTGCAGAACGTGCAGGTTTGTTACATAGGTATACATGTGCCATGGTGATTTGCCCATCAACCCGTCATCTCCATTAGGAATTTCTCCTAATGCTCTCCCTCCCCTTGCCCCCGACCCTGCGACAGGCCCCAGTGTGTGATGTTCCCCTCCCTGTGTCCATCTGTTCTCATTGTTCAGCTCCCACTTATGAGTGAGAACATACGGTGTTTGGTTTTCTGTTCCTTTGCTGAGAATGATATTTCCAGCTTCATCCATGTCCCTGCAAAGGACATGAACTCATCCATTTTTATGGCTGCATAGTACTCCATGTTGTATATGTGCCACATTTTCTTTATCCAGTCTAACATTGATGGGCATTTGGGTTGGTTCCAAGTCTTTGCTGTTGTGAATAGTGCTGCAATAAACATACGTGTGCTTGTTTCTTTATAGTAGAATGATTTAAAATATTTGGGTATATACCTAGTAATGGGATTGCTGGGTCAAATGGTATTTCTAGTTCTAGAACCTTGAGGAATCGCCAGAGTATCTTCCACAATGGCTGAACTAATTTACACTCCCACCAACAGTGTAAAAATGTTCCTATTTCTCCACATCCTCTCTAGCATCTGTTGTTTCCTGACTTTTTAATGATCACCATTCTAACTGGCATGAGAGGGTATCTCATTGTGGTTTTGATTTGCATTTCTCTAATGATCAGTGATGATGAGCTTTTTTCATATGTTTGTAGGCCACATAAATGTCTTCTTTTGAAAAGTGTCTCTTCATATCCTTCACCCACATTTGGATAGGGTTGTTTGTTATTTTCTTGTAAATTTGTTTAAGTTCCTTGTAGATTCTGGATATTAGCCCTTTGTCAGATGGATAGATTGCAAAAATTTTCTCCCATTCTGTAGGTTGCCTGTTCATTCTGATGATAGTTTCTTTTGCTGTGCAGAAGCTCTTTAGTTTAATTAGATCCATGTGTCAATTTTGACTTTTGTTGCAATTGCTTTTGGTGTTTTAGTCATGAAGTCTTTGCCCATGCCTATGTCCTGAATGGCATTGCCTAGGTTTTCTTCTAGGGTTTTTATGGTTTTAGTTCTGATGTTTACATCTTTAATCCATCCTGAGTTAATTTTTGTATATGGTGTAAGGAAGGGGTCCAGTTTCAGTTTTCTGCATATGGGTAGCCAGTTTAACCAACACCATTTATTAAATAGGGAATCCTTTCCCCATTGCTTGTTTCTGTCAGGTTTGTCAAAGATTAGATGGTTGTAGATGTGTGGTGTTATTTCTGAGGCCTCTGTTCTGTTCCATTGGTCTATATATCTGTTTTGGTACCAGTACCATGCTGCTTTGGTTACTGTAGACTTGTAGCATAGTTTGAAGTCAGGTAGCATGATGCCTTCAGCTTTGTTCTTTTTGCTTAGGATTGTCTTGGGTATACGGGCTCTTTTTTGGTTCCATATGAAATTTTAAGTAGTTATTTTCTAATTCTGTGAAGAAAGTCAATGGTAGCTTGATGGGGATAAGATTGAATTTATAAAGTACTTTGAGTGCAGTATGGCTATTTTCACGATATTGATTCTTCCTATCCATGAGCATGGAATATTTTTCCATTTGTTTGTGTCATCTCTTATTTCTCTTTTTTTTTTCTTTTTTTTCTTTTATTATTATACTTTAAGTTTTAGGGTACATGTGCACATTGTGCAGGTTAGTTACATATGTATACATGTGCCATGCTGGCACACTGCACCCACTAACTCGTCATCCAGCATTAGGTATATCTCCCAAAGCTATCCCTCCCTCCTCCCCCCACCCCACAACAGTCCCCAGAGTGTGATGTTCCCCTTCCTGTGTCCATGTGATCTCATTGCTCAATTCCCACCTATGAGTGAGAATATGTGGTGTTTGGTTTTTTGTTCTTGCGATAGTTTACTGAGAATGATGATTTCCACTTTCATCCATGTCCCTACAAAGGACATGAACTCATCATTTTTTTATGGCTGCATAGTATTCCATGGTGTATATGTGCCACATTTTGTTAATCCAGTCTATCATTGTTGGACATTTGGGTTGGTTCCAAGTCTTTGCTATTGTGAATAGTGCTGCAATAAACATACGTGTGCATGTGTGTTTATAGCAGCATGATTTATAGTCCTTTGGGTATATACCCAGTAATGGGATGGCTGGGTCAAATGGTATTTCTAGTTCTAGATCCCTGAGGAATCGCCACACTGACTTCCACAATGGTTGAACTAGTTTACAGTCCCGCCAACAGTGTAAAAGTGTTCCTATTCCTCCACATCCTCTCTAGCACCTGTTGTTTCCTGACTTTTTAATGATTGCCATTCTAACTGGTGTGAGATGGTATCTCATTGTGGTTTTGATTTGCATTTCTCTGATGGCCAGTGATGATGAGCATTTTTTCATGTGTTTTTTGGCTGCATAAATGTCTTCTTTTGAGAAGTGTCTGTTCATGTCCTTTGCCCACTTTTTGATGGGGTTGTTTTTTTCTTGTAAATTTATTTGAGTTCATTGTAGATTCTGGATATTAGCCCTTTGTCAGATGAGTAGGTTGCAAAAATTTTCTCCCATTTTGTAGGTTGCCTGTTCACTCTGATGGTAGTTTCTTTTGCTGTACAGAAGCTCTTTAGTTTAATTAGATCCCATTTGTCAATTTTGTCTTTTGTTGCCATTGCTTTTGGTGTTTTAGACATGAAGTCCTTGCCCACGCCTATGTCCTGAATGGTAATGCCTAGGTTTTCTTCTAGGGTTTTTATGGTTTTAGGTCTAACATTTAAGTCTTTAATCCATCTTGAATTGATTTTTGTATAAGGTGTAAGGAAGGGATCCAGTTTCAGCTTTCTACATATGGCTAGCCAGTTTTCCCAGCACCATTTATTAAATAGGGAATCCTTTCCCCATTGCTTGTTTTTCTCAGGTTTGTCAAAGATCAGATAGTTGTAGATATGCGGCATTATTTCTGAGGGCTCTGTTCTGTTCCATTGATCTATATCTCTGTTTTGGTACCAGTACCATGCTGTTTTGGTTACTGTAGCCTTGTAGTATAGTTTGAAGTCAGGTAGTGTGATGCCTCCAGCTTTGTTCTTTTGGCTTAGGATTGACTTGGCGATGCGGGCTCTTTTTTGGTTCCATATGAACTTTAAAGTAGTTTTTTCCAATTCTGTGAAGAAAGGCATTGGTAGCTTGATGGGGATGGCATTGAATCTATAAATTACCTTGGGCAGTATGGCCATTTTCACGATATTGATTCTTCCTACCCATGAGCATGGAGTGTTCTTCCATTTGTTTGTATCCTCTTTTATTTCCTTGAGCAGTGGTTTGTAGTTCTCCTTGAAGAGGTCCTTCACATCCCTTGTAAGCTGGATTCCTAGGTATTTTATTCTCTTTGAAGCAATTGTGAATGGGAGTTCACTCATGATTTGGCTCTCTGTTTGTCTGTTGTTGGTGTATAAGAATGCTTGTGATTTTTGTACATTGATTTTGTATCCTGAGACTTTGCTGAAGTTGCTTATCAGCTTAAGGAGATTTTGGGCTGAGACAATGGGGTTTTCTAGATATACAATCATGTCGTCTGCAAACAGGGACAATTTGATTTCATCTTTTCCTAATTGAATACCCTTTATTTTCTTCTCCTGCCTAATTGCCCTGGCCAGAACTTCCAACACTATGTTGAATAGGAGTGGTGAGAGAGGGCATCCCTGTCTTGTGCCAGTTTTCAAAGGGAATGCTTCCAGTTTTTGCCCATTCAGTATGATATTGGCTGTGGGTTTGTCATAGATAGCTCTTATTATTTTGAAATATGTCCCATCAATACCTAATTTATTGAGAGTTTTTAGCATGAAGGGTTGTTGAATTTTGTCAAAGGCCTTTTCTGCATCTATTGAGATAATCATGTGGTTTTTGTCTTTGGCTCTGTTTATATGCTGGATTACATTTATTGATTTGCATATATTGAACCAGCCTTGCATCCCAGGGATAAAGCACACTTGATCATGGTGGATAAGCTTTTTGATGTGCTGCTGGATTCGTTTTGCCAGTATTGTATTGAGGATTTTCACATCGACGTTCATCAGGGATATTGGATATTGAAATTTTCTTTTTTTATGTGTCTCTGCCAGGTTTTGGTATCAGAATGATGCTGGCCTCATAAAATGAGTTAGAGAGGAGTCCCTGTTTTTCTAGTTTTTGGAATAGTTTCAGAAGGAATGGTGCCAGCTCTTCTTTGTACTTCTGGTAGAATTCAGCAGTGAATCTATCTGGTCCTGGGCTTTTTTTGGTTGGTAGGCTATTAATTACTGCCTCAATTTCAGAACTTGACATTGGTCTATTCAGGGATTCAACTTCTTCTTGGTTTAGTCTTGGGAGGGTATTTGTGTCCAGGAATTATCCATTTCTTCTAGATTTTCTAGTTTATTTGCATAGAGGTGTTTATAGTATTCTCTGACAGTAGTTTGTATTTCTGTGGGATCAGTGGTGATCTCCAGTTTATCATTTTTTATTGTGTCTATGTCATTATTCTCTCTTTTCTTCTTTATCAGTCTGGCTAGTGGTCTATCTATTTTGTTAATCTTTTCAAAAAACCAGCTCCTGGATTCATTGATTTTTAGAAGGGTTTTTTCGGGTCTCTATCTCCTTCCCTTCTGTTCTGATCTTAGTTATTTCTTGTTTTCTGCTAGCTTTTGAATTTGTTTGCTCTTGCTTCTCTAGTTCTTTTAATTGTGATGTTAGGGTGTCAATTTTAGATCTTTCCAGCTTTCTCCTGTGGGCATTTAGTGCCATAAATTTCCCTCTAAACTCTGCTTTATGTGTCTCAGAGATTCTGGTATGTTGCGTCTTTCTTTTTATTGGTTTCAAAAACTTATTTATTTCTGCCTTAATTTCCTTATTTACCCAGTAGTCATTGAGGACCAGGTTGTGCAGTTCCCATGAAGTTGTGCGGTTTTGAGTGAGTTTCTTAGTCCTGAGTTCTAATTTGATTGCACTGTGGTCTGAGAGACTGTTTGTCATGATTTCTGTTCTTTTGCATTTCCTGAGGAGTGTTTTACTTCCAATTATGTGGTCCATTTTAGAATATGTGCTATCTGGTGCTGAGAAGAATGTATATTCTGTTGATTTGGGGTGGAGAGTTTTGTAGATGTCTATTAGGTCCACTTGGTCCAGAGCTGAGTTCAAGTCCTGAATATTCTTGTTAATTTTCTGTCTTGTTGATCTGTCTAATATTGACAGTGGGTGCTAAAGTCTCCCATTATTATTGTGTGGGAGTCTAAGTCTCTTTGTGGGTCTCTAAGAACTTACTTTATGAATCTGGGTGCTCCTGTATTGGGTGCATATATATTTAAGATAGTTAGCTCTTCTTGTTGCATTGATCCTTTTACTGTTATGTAATGCCTTTCTTTGTATTTTTTAATCTTTGTTGATTTAAAGTCTGTTTTATCAGAGACTAGGATTGCAACCTCTGCTCTTTTTTTTTGCTTTACATTTGCTTGGTAAATATTCCTCCATCCCTTTATTTTGAGCCTATGTACGTCTTTGCACATGAGATGGGTCTCCTGAATACAGCACACTAATGAATCTTGAGTCTTTATCCAATTTGCCAGTGTGTCTTTTAATTGGGGGATTTAGCCCGTTTACATTTAAGGTTAATATTGCTATGTGTGAATTTGATCCTGTCATTATGATGCTAGCTGGTTATTTTGCCTGTTAGTTGATGCAGTTTCTTCACAGTGTCGATGGTCTTTACAATTTGGTATGTTTTTGCAGTGGCTGGTACCGGTTGTTCCTTTCCATATTTAGTGCTTCCTTCAGGAGCTTTGTAAGGCAGGCCTGATGGTGACAAAATCTCTCAGCATTTGCTTGTCTGTCAAGGATTTTATTTCTCCTTCACTTATGAAGCTTAGTTTGGCTGGATATGAAATTCTGGGTTGAAAATTCTTTCTTTAAGAATGTTGAATATTGTCCCTCACTCTCTTCTGGCTTGTAGAGTTTCTGCCAAGAGATCCTCTGTTAGTCTGATGGGCTTCCCTCTGTGGGTAACCCAACCTTTCTCTCTGGCTGCCTTTAACATTTTTTTTCCTTCATTTCAACCTTGGTGAATCTGATGCTTATGTGTCTTGGGGTTGCTGTTCTCAAGGAGTATCTTTGTGGTGTTCTCTGTATTTCCTGAATTTGAATGTTGGCCTATCTTGCTAGCTTGGGGAAGTTCTCCTGGATAATACCCTGAAGTGCTTTCCAACTTGGTTTCATTCTCCCCGTCACTTTCAGGTACACCAATCAAATGTAGGTTTGGTCTTTTCACATGGTCCCATATTTCTTGGACGCTTTGCTCATTCCTTTTCATTCTTTTTTCTCTGATCTTGTCTTCTTGCTTTATTTCATTAAGTTGATCTTCAATCTCTGATATCCTTTCTTCCGCTTGATCAATTTGGCTATTGATACTTGTGTATTGTTCACGAAGTTCTCGTGCTGTGTTTTTCAGCTCCATCAAGTCATTTATATTCTTCTTTAGACTGGTTATTCTAGTTAGCAATTCCTATAACCTTTTATCAAGGTTCTTAGTGTCCTTGCATTGGGTTAGAACATGCTCCTTTAGCTCGGAGGCATTTGTTATTACCCACATTTGAAACCTACTTCTGTTAATTTGTCAAACTCATTCTCCATCCAGTTTTGTTCCATTGCTGGCGAGGAGTTGTGATCCTTTGAAGGAGAAGAGGCATTCTGGTTTTTGGCATTTTCAGCCTTTTTGCACTAGTTTTCCCTCATCTTCGAGGATTTATCCACCTTTGGTCTTTGCTGCTGGTGACCTTCGGATGGAGTTTTTTTGTGGTCGTCCTTTTTGTTGATGTTGATGCTATTGCTTTCTGTTTGTTAATTTTCCTTCTAACAGTCAGGCCCCTGTTCTGCAGGTCTACTGGAGTTTTCTGGGGGTCCACTCCAGACCCTGTTTGCCTGGGTATCACCAGTGGAGGCTGCAGAATTGCAAAGTTTGCTGCTTGGTATTTCATCTGGAAGCTTTGTCCCAGAGGAGCACCTGCCAGATGCTAGAAGGAGCTCTCCTGTGTGAGGTGTCTGTAGACCCCTGCTGGGAGGTGTCTCCCCATCAGGAGGCATGGGGGTCAGGGACCCACTTGAGGAAGCAGTCTGCCTCTTAGCAGAGCTTGAGAGCTGTGCTGGGAGATCTGCTGCACTCTTCAGAGCTGGCAGGCAGGAAAGTTTACATCTGCTGAAGCTCTACCCACAGCTGCCCCTTCCCCCAGGTGCTCTGTCCCAGGGAGATGGGAGTTTTATCTGTAAGCCCCTGACAGGAGCTGCTGCCTTTCTTTCAGAGATGCCCTGCCCAGAGAGGAGGAATCTAGAGAGGCAGTCTGGCTACAGAGGTTTTGAGGTGCCGTGGTGGGCCCTACCCAGTCTGAACTTCCTGGCAGCTTTGCTTACACTGTAAGGGGAAAACTGCCTACTCAAGCCTCAGTAATGGTGGACGCCCCTTTTCCCACCAAGCTCCAGTTCCAAGGTCAACTTCAGACTGCTGTGCTGGCAGCGAGAATTTCAAGCCAGTGGATCTTAGCTTGCTGGGCTCTGTGGGGGTGGTTTCCACTGAGCAAGACCACTTGGCTCCCTGGCTTCAGCCCCCTTTCCAGGAGAGTGAACAGTTCTGTCTTGCTAGCATTCCAGACACCAGTGGGGTATGAAAAAAAAACTCCTGCAGCTAGCTCGGTGTCTGCCCAGATTTGTGCTTGAAACCCAGGGCCCTTGGGGCATAGGCACCTGAGGGAATCTCCTGGACTGTGGGTTGGGAAGACCTTGGGAAAAACATAGTATCTGGGCCAGGTGACACAGTCCCTCATGGCACAGTCCCTCATGGCTTCCCTTGGCTATGGGAGGGAGTTCCCCCACTCCTTGTGCTTCCCAGGTGAGGTGATGCCCCACCCTGCTTCTGCTCACCCTCCATGGGCTGCACCCACTGTCTAACTAGTCCCATTGAGATCAACTGGGTACCTCGGTTGGAAATGCAGAAATCACCCACCTTCTGCATTGGTCTCACTGGGAGCTGGAGACCAGAGCTGCTCCTATTTGGCCATCTTGCCCAGGAGTCTGGGGTGTATTCTTACAGATATTTTAAAATGTGTTTACATAGATACCAACATAGGCAAAAATAGAAGTAAACAGTTTTGTGTAGATTTTTAAATTTAGCATAGTATATTACATAACATGGTATTTCCCAACAATATGCTTTTTAAATTTAACAGTATATGTCTTAGATATATTTCAGTGCTCATATATATTGATCAAGCTTTTTAAAAATTGCCACAATGAGCCATAGTATAAAAGTATAACAGATTATTTAACCACTCTTAATAGACATTTAAGTTGGTTTCCAATTTTTTCACTGCTACAATCAATATTTCAAGTTTATATGCAAGTATTTCTCCACATTAGATAACTAGAAGTGGATTTTTGGATCATCTGGTATGTATATTTAACATTTTAATTTCTACTGCCATGTTGTACCTCAAAAGAGCTGTGCCACTTATAATGCAGGAAAATACTGTTTCCCCACTTCCTCATTAATGCTTGCTAAGATCAGTCTCTTCCGTTTTTGCCAAACTGATGGGTGGAAGTGATATCTCATTGCTGCTCTAATTTGCATTTCTCTGATTGCTTTGAAATTGAGGATCTTTTCCTTCCATTGCTGGTCATTTGCATGTTTTCCTCTAAATTGTCTTTTCAGAATCTTTGTCCACTTTTCTTTTGCATTTTCTCTTACTGATCTGTAGGAATTGATTATATATTCTGTATATTCATTCTTAGTCTCATATTATATATGTTGCAAATACCTTCTTGCACCATTTATTTTCCAACACCATTTATTGAATTTTTTACTTACTGGTCCCAAGTGCGACCTTTGTCATTTACTAAATTTCTATATATACATAGGTCTGTTTCTAGACTCTAAATTATGTTCCATTGATTTCTTTATTTCCCCCCTTATGTCACACTTTTTAAATTATTATAACTTATAGTGTACTTTGATAGCCTCCTTAGTCTCCTATTTCAAAATAGACTTTGCTGGTCTGGTACATGTTCTCTTCCAAATAAAAATGTAAAACCATTTGACATGTGTTGTAAGATTTGAGATGGGGAGGAGGTTTTGAGTGGTATTGCAAAGAATTTATAGATTAATTTGGGGACAATTGACCTTTTTAAAATATTGAGTCATCCAAATTAGGAACGTGATATAACTCTCCATTTATTCAGTTTTTTCTTTAATAAGTTTTTTTTATCCTTATGAGTGTTATATTTTGCTTATTATTCCTAGGAATTTTAGAGGTTTTTTTTTTTTTTTTTTTTTTTTGAGACGGAGTCTCGCTCTGTTGCCCAGGCCGGACTGCGGACTGCAGTGGCGCAATCTCGGCTCACTGCAAGCTCCGCTTCCCGGGTTCACGCCATTCTCCTGCCTCAGCCTCCCGAGTAGCTGGGACTACAGGCGCCCGCCACTGCGCCCAGCTAATTTTTTGTATTTTTAGTAGAGACGGGGTTTCACCTTGTTAGCCAGGATGGTCTCGATTTCCTGACCTCATGATCCACCCGCCTCGGCCTCCCAAAGTGCTGGGATTACAGGCGTGAGCCACCGCGCCCGGCCATTTTAGAGGTTTTATTGGTGGTGTAAATGCAATTATTTTTTCAATTTCTAATGGTTTTGGTAAGCAAATTGAGAAGCTATTACTTTTCATATGTTGATTTTATATGCATTCACATTCACATTTATATGTTAAATAGGGTTTTAATTTATTTTCTTGGACTTCATGGGTAGATAATTATATCATTCTAAATCAAATACATTTTTGGTTTTTCTTGTCAATATTCATGTTTTTGTTTTTTCCTTATCACATTGGCCAAGGATGTCCAGCACAGTGAATGACGCAGCAGCCTTTCCTTGTTCCATTAATAGTAATGCTTCTAATTTTTCATCATTTATTATGGTATTTGCAATAGGTTTCTGTCATATATACCTATTACATCAGACTCCAAATAAGAAATTGATAACATTTTGAAATAGCATAATCTGAGAAGAGTTTGTTTATAAAGAGTAGATCCTCATTATTCACGATTCTATATTTGCAAATTTACCTACTTGTTAAAATTTATTTGTAACCCTATTACCAATAACCACCTTACTTTCTCAGTAATTCATGAACATTAATACACAGAATGGTGAAAAACAAATGGAGTCACCAAAGTGCATCTTCCTAGCTGATGTCAAACAAGGCGACATCTGCCTTGTTGTTTAAGCTCTCATAAGTAAGCATGCATTTTTTCGTGGTTTATCTAGTACCACATGTTTTGAATTTCTGTGCTTTTTCTTGTGATTTTTCTGTTTAAAATGGCCCCGAAACACATTGCTGAGGTGCTGTCTATTTAGTGAAAGAAGTTGTTGACGAAAAGAGTCAAACTCTGTAAAATATTTTAAGAGATTTATTCTGAGCCAAATATGAGTGACCATGGCCCATGACACAGCTCTCAGGAGGTCCTGAGAACATGTGCCAAGGTGGTTGGGGTATAGCTTGGTTTTATATACTTTTGGGAGGCATGAGACATGAATCAAAACATTTAAGAAATACATTGGTTTGGTTCAGAAAGGTGGGACAACTCAAAGTGGGGGCTTCCAGGCTATAGGTAAATTTAAACATTTTCTGGTTGACAATTTGTTGAGTTTACTGGAAGACCTGGGATCAATAGAAAAGAAATGTTCAGGTTAAGATAAAGGATTGTGGAGACCAAGTTTTGTTGTGCAGAGGAAGCTCTCAGATAGCAGACTTTAGAGACAGCAGATTGTAAAATGTTTCTTATTGGACTTAAAAGCGTGCCTGACTCTTGGTTGATTATCTCCTGGATTTGGAAAGGAAGGAAGGAAAACAAAGGGGATTCTCTATAGAATGTAGATTTTCCCACAAGACACTTTGCAGGGCAAGTTTAAGATATGGCAGAGAAACATGTTTTGGAATAGAACATTTTGATTTTCTTTCTTGTTATTCCAGAGTTACATTGGAAAATAAATCACGATATACAAGGTTAAATAAAACCCATCTGATGAGAATTTGTGGTTTGTAGGACATGATTCCCCAGACTCCTTAGATAGGAGTTTCTGCAAGATAAAAAAAAAAAGTCAGAGTTTAGTCCTCAAAGGCTATGATGTGCCTTAAGGAGAAAATAGGTGTGTTGGAGAAGCTTCATTCAGGCATGAGTTATAGTGCTGTTGGCTGTAAGTTCAATGTTAATGAGTCAATGATATAGATTAAATATGTGTAAGAAACACATAGAAAGCAAGGTTATGTATCAATTGGTTAATGAAAATATTTGACCAGAGGCTCACAGGTACCTAACCTTGTATTTCCTCTAGGAGTGATGATTTGGTATTTGTTAATTCAGTGTTTGTAATGATTTTGTAGTACACATCTACCTCCAATAACAAGAATTTGCTGTATTGACAAAGGTTCAGGTAAAGGGTACCACAAGGGATAGAGAAGCAATCCAGGGCTCAGGAGCAGCTGCACTTCCAACACCTCTAAGGGAGAGGGTTGAGGAGGGAACACGTGCCAGAACGCAGAAGGAAGAGTCTGTGGAGTCCACTGCCTTGAGAGCTCCAGCAACTACTCAGGTGACCTTGCAGGGAGGAGATCCAGAAACAAATACCCTGACCCACTCTCCTCTTTCCTCCAGCTTCTTGGTGAGGTTCCTGTTAGTTTCAGGAGGAAACCAGAGGACCCACCAGGAGAGTAGAAACCTTTGCCAGGGTCTCTGCAGATGAATGAAAACTGGAACTTACGGGCCCAGGGAATACAGCCAGCATGGTACATCAGTTGAAGGAAGGGTCTGTATATTCCCAACTTACTAAAGAGCCTTTATTTTTCTTTAAAAAAAAAAAGGAATTGTTGAATTTTATACAATTATTTTTCAGCATTTATAGTTTCTCCTTTAATCTGTTAAGGTTAGTATTATATTAATAGATTTTCTAATGTGAAGCTACCTTCAATTACTGGATAATTTAATTTGACTACCTTGTCTTATCTTTTTAATAACTTGAGTCAGTTTGTTAATGTTTTATTTTGGATTTTTTTTGAAGGGACGGTCAATTGCGATTGAAATTGGCCTCTAGTTTTCCTTTCTAGTTTTAGTACCATGGTAAATCTAGCCTCCAAAAATTATGTTAGAAGATTTCCATTTTTTCTACTCTGTAATAGTTTTTATAATGTTGGAATTATCTCTTCCTTGAATAATTTTTAGAACCCAACACTTTCTGAGCAATTTCTTCTTACAGTTTTATCAAATTTCATTTTCTTCCTTTACTTTTTCTTTATTATATTATTCTTTAATCCCCCAAAATGCATGCAGTAATATGCACAACAACTTTAAAGTAGACATACAAAGTAAAGATGCTCTCCTTGTTCTTGCTGTGTTACTATCCACTAAGATGACCAATATTGATATCTTGGGTGCATCCTTTCCCACCCTGCTCCACACTCATTCAAATGTACACAAATAAGTAAAGTGTGTGTGTTTTTTAATGGATCACATTATACACATTGTAAAAAGTAAAGTAGAGGTTCCTCTTCAAAGACTTTCCTCCCCATTTAATTAGGAATAAATAGTAACTTCTTTTAGAAGCAAAATTTATTCAAAGACCTGTGCTAACATTCTTAAATATCTGCTAGCCATGATAAAGAAATCAACGTTCTTTAGTTCTTAGCTCCCACAATTTAGCTTAAATATTTGTCCTGTCATGCTTATACTAGTCCAAGCCAGCATTAGGTCATAGCCTGTTCCTCTTCCTTATTTGAAGGTGTTTTTACCTTTCTCAGCATTCCACAAGTTACTTCCTCCTTCCTTTGTTCTCCTCTACCTTTGCCTCTTTTAAAAAGTTGTAAGTTGCTAGCCAATCGGGACAAATACAGAATGTGAGGTCCTGTTCCAGCCAATGGAAACCAGACACAGCAGTAGAGTGGACACATCAGGTTATAAATGACCCTGTCTCCTTTGTTCAGTGTACTCTCATGGCAAAACTGCTGGCGAGTGTACCCTTTCTGCAGAAAGTATAAAAATGGCCTTGCCGAGCAAATTAAATTTAATGTTCAAGTGCTGTTTCTTTACAGCACTGGGGAACAAGCATTTCAAACAACATTATTCTGCAATTTCTTTTATTCTCTGCAACTAGTATATAATTAATATCCTTCCAGGTAATACAGATAGTGTAACTCATTGTGTGTAATAGCTGCCTAATAGTCCATTGTATGAACACACCATGGGTTAATTGCACATCCACCATTCCTTTATAGATGGAGAGTTAGGCTTGCTTTCTCTTTTCTTTTCTTTCTTTCTTTTTCTTCCTTCCTTCCTGCCTGCCTGCCTTCCTTCCTTCCTTCCTCCTTCCTTCCTTTCTTTCTTTCTTTCTTTCTTCCTTTCTTCCTTTCTTCCTTTCTTCCTTTCTTTCTTTCTTTCTTTCTTTCTTTCTTTCTTCTTTCTTTCTTCGAGACGACGTCTCACTGTTGCCGATGCTGGAGTGCAGTGGCACAATCTTGGCTGAATGCAACCTCTGCCTCCTGGGTTCAAGCAATTCTTCTGTCTCAGCCTCCTGAGTAGCTGAGACTACAGGTACTCACCACCACACTTGGCTAACTTTTGTATTTTTAGTAGAGATGGGGTTTCACCATATTGGTCAGGCTGGTCTTGAACTCCTGACCTCCAGTGATCTGCCTGCCTTGGCCTCCCAAAGTGCTGGGATTACAGACGTGAGCCACCACGCCCAGCCCTTTTTGTTGTTGTTGTTACTACAAATATTGTCTCTGTAAATATCTTTGTATACCAGTACTTTTATTTTTATAAAATAGATTCTGAAAAAAGTGGGATGACTGAGTAAGGAGAATCTAAATTAACAAGATGCAAAACAAGGCTCAATTCTAACCTGAGGTTCCAGGAGTCAGAGTAAAGAAGTGGTGATGCTTTTCCCATTCCACAGGGTCCTGCAACAGAATATGCAGCTTGCAAAGGATGGATTAACAGCTGGTTTCAAAAGCCAGAGGGCAACACCCACTTAAGAGCCAGAGGGTAGAAGAGGCTGGGGCTGAGGGAGGCTTTTTTGGAGAGAGTTCTTGGAGGGTTGTGGCAGTTTCCTTCTCATGGCCCAAGGAGGCAGGGAGGAGGGCCCTTTCCCCCCATCTCAAACTGGTGAGAAGAGCTTCAGGAGACCATAGGGAGAACTACAGATGTGTCCCCTGAAGTTTGAGATCACAATAAAGGGTTTCTAACTCTTGCCCCCAAAATAATTCTCCAGGTGAGGGGCTGACTGCAGTCCCCTAAGGCAGCAAAGTGAAAAACTGTATTGGCCTGCACCACACTTCCACTGATGCAGGGGACAGGAAACTGTGGGTGCTTCCTGTGGACTAGAAGTAGTCTATGCAGGACAGAGGTGGCCTGGAGCAATTGTGAATCTTACTCAAGAGGTTCCTCGCTTTTACACTGTTGATGGGAGTGTAAATTAGTTCAACCATCTTGGAAGACAGTGTGGCGATTCCTCAAAGACCCAGAAGCAGAAATACCATAAGACGCAGTAATCCCATTACTACTTATATACCCAAAGGAACACAAATCTTTCTATTATAAAGATACGTGCATGCATATGTTCATTGCAGCACTATTCACAATAGCAAAGACATGGAATCAACCCAAATGCCCATCAATGACAGACTGCAAAAAGAAAATGTGCTACATATACACTATGGACTACTATGCAGCCAAAAAGAGGAATGAGAGCATGTCCTTTGCAGGGACATGGATGGAGCTGGAAGCCGTTATCCTCAGCAAACTAACACAGGAACAGAAAACCAAATACTGCATGTTCTCACTTATAAGTGGGAGCTGAATGATGAGACCACATTGTGGGGGATGGGGAACAACACGCACTGGGGCCTGTTGGAAAGGTGGGTGGGGGGAGAGAGAGCATCAGGAAGAATAGCTAATGGATGCTGGGCTTGATACTTAGGTGACGGGTTGATCTGTGCAGTAAACCTCCATGGCACACATTTACCTATGTAACAAACCTGCACATCCTGCACATGTACCCCAGAACTTAAACTAAAAGTTGGAAACTAAAAAAAAATAAGTTCTTGGAGAGAGATGGATCCAAATACAGGGAGTGTTTCTGGAAAACCCCATATATGCAGAGAAAGAAATTAAAAGTGGCCATGTAGGCAGCACTTGGCACATCACAGAAATAGCAACTGGGGGCTCCTAGTGGTAAAACCCCAAGGAAAAGGTATTTTGGGGGGTGGGGTGAAGCTGACTCTAAAGACCCACAGAATCCAAAGTGTGTCCAACCCCAGCTCATAACTGTCCCAAACAAGCAAATCGTTTCCTGACTTCCTAATCCAGAGGCATCAGAAACCTGGGCCAGGCTGCAGGAGTGGAGAAGCAAGCCCACTCTCTGTCTCTGGCCAGCACCAGCCTGGGCTGGGAGAAGCTGCAAGTAGAACCCAGAGTTTTGATGTTTACACCAGGACTGGACATTACAAATGTCAACATGAGACTGTTTTGTGAATAAAAGTGATGATTTCTAAAAACCTAATAGTGATGGGAAAGGTTATGTACACTGCCTGGGATTTTAGGTGGAGACAAAAAAGGAAACCATAAGACAGCTTTGAAGTGCCCATGGGAGGGGGCACTTTCTGCCTGCACCCGCTGGTGTGCTGCTTTTTCATGACATATGAGTTAATCAGTGTAATAAATACTGTCAGACTGCTTTCCGAAAACACTTGTACAGTTCAAACATCTACCAGCAATACATGAGAATGCTTCCAGAACTGAGCCTTTGCCAATATTACTTTTCATTGTCACAATTCTGTTGAATAAAATTGTGTTGCTTAATTTGCTATGCTCGGCTCACATACAAGATCAAGTTCATCAAGGAAGGACAGTAAAATCTCAGAATTCACCACTATATAATTCATCCATGTAACCCAAAATCACTTGTATCCCAAAAGCTATTGAAATAAAATTTTTTAAGCTGGAATGGACATTAGAAACTACTGAGGCAGCCAGGCGTGGTGGCTCACACCTGTAATCCTAGCATTTTGGGAGGCCGAGGCAGGTGGATCACCTGGTATCAGAAGTTCAAGACTAGCCTGGCCAACATGGTGAAACCCCGTCTCTACTAAAAAAAATACAAAAATTAGCTGGTCATGGTGGCAGGTGCCTGTAATCCCAGCTACGTGGGAGTCTGAGGCAGGAGAATCCCTTGAACCCAGGAGGCAGGGGTTGAAGTGAGCCAAGATCACACCATTGCACTCCAGCCTGGGTGACAAGAGCAAGACTCCATCTAAAAGAGAAAGGAAAGAAAGAAAGAAAGAAAGAAAGAAAGAAAGAAAGAAAGAAAGAAAGAAAGAAAGAAAGATAGATTACTGAAGCCTAGAGAGTCAGAGGACATGTCAAAATCTCAAAGTAAATTGTTACCATCTATTGGTAGAACAGTTTTCAGATTCACGCCTTTCATAGAAGCAAATTTCTACCTGAAAATCTACCTTTTAAAAGGAAAGATAGGCAAGGTGTGGTGGTTCATGCCTGTAATCCCAGCATTTTGGGAGGCCAAGGCATGCAGATCGCTTGAATCCAGGAATTTGAGACCAGCCTGGGCAACATGATAAAACCCCATCTTTACCAAAAATTACAAAAAATTATCCCAGTGTGGTTGCCTGTGTCGGCTACTTGGGAGGCTGAGGTAGGCTCAAGTCCCATCTTGGGCCTGGGAGGCAGAGGTTGCAGTCAGCCAAGACTGTGTCACTGTGCTGGGTTACAGAGTGAGATCCCGTATCAAAAAAAAAAGGAAGGATAATCCACTATGACTCTAAAATTTTAGGCAATATGATGTCTTCATTATCAAGGTGATATGATATGGATTTGTGTCACTGACCAAATCTCATGTCGAATTGGAGGAGGGGCCTGGTGGGAGGTGATTGGATCATGGGGGCAGATTTCTCCCTTGCTATTATTGTGATAGTGATTGAGCTCTCATGAGATCTGATGGTTTAAAAGTGTGTATCACTTCCCCCTTCACTCTCTCTCTCTCCTGCCACCATGTGAAGAAGGCGCTTGCTTCCTCTTTCACTTTTCGCCATGATTGTAAGTTTCCTGAGGCCTCCCAGTCATGCTTCTTATTAAGTCCACAGAACTGTGAGTCAATTAAACCTCCTTTCTTCATAAATTACCCAGCCTCAGGTAGTTCTTTACAGCAGTGTGAAAACAGATAATACACAAGATTACTAATTTTATGTATTAGGTTCCTGCAAGATACACCTCAAATATTTAGTGCTTTGATATGCACTGATATCCAGATTTGCTTAATAGAGACTCACTGAGTTCTTCTCATTGAAATTTTATTTTTAAATTTTTCTTATTTATTTTTGAGACAGTGGTTTCATTTTGTCACCTAGAGTGGTCTTGAACTCCTAGACTCAAGTGATCCTCTCACCTTGGTCTCCCAATTAGCTAGGACTACAGACGCCTGCCACCTCGACTGGCTCTCCCTAGTTTAGAACCTCAAATGTCCACTTTTTTAGAGAATCAAGTTATGCCTGTTTGTGGTTGAACAGATACATATAAGAACAAAATAGTCCCCAAAGTGCAAGGCTTTCGCTACTAGTTAGTTACCTAAGAAGCTGCTGTAACACACATATCTTCCAAAACATATGTCTAGCTGAGTGGGTCTCATAACCCCATGGTGCATGCCTTCAAAAGTTCTTCACCTCTGCCCAGAGGCAGTAGGAGAGGAAGACTTCATCTCTGCTCCCTTCTTCTTCCTATGGATCGGAATATGCCAGCCAATGACACCAGAAAAATAACCAGAGAAGATTTTTGAAGAGCAAAAAATAAGATCATTTTATTCTTACTCAAAGGGAATAAGAAGCAAAACCCCACAATGAACACCATATGTGTCTCCTTCAGTAGGAGCCCAGCTGTTCTTATGCCCCTTGGATAGTGTTTTACTTCCCAAATGCAAATTCATTCCAGTTTATTCCAGTTTAATTGGTTAAACTCGGCATGCAGTCTTAGGATTTCCTTATGCATCATGTCCAGGAAGACTATATAGATTTTGTGTGGAATTTAAGGATTTCTTACACAAAGAGCATGCTTCCTCTGCAGTTCTTTCAGGTCAATCTTCTCCAAATTGCAATTGTATGATTATCACTCTTAAATTAGTCACAGTTTCTCTTCTCTGTTATTCACTCCATTCTATGGCAATGGCTAATCCCAAGCCCTACTGCAGAAAAAGAAAATGATACAGAGATTACATTGCTTTGAAGGGTCAGTCATTATGAGTCACAGTAGCTGAGGTACAAGTGGCATGTGGCCATAATTGAAAGCAGCGGTCCCAAATCTTTTTGGCACCAGGAGCCTGTTTCATGGAAGACAATTTTTCCATGGACAGGGTAGGGAGGATGGTTTCAGGGTGACTCAAGTGCATTACATTTATTGTGCACTGTATTTCTATTATTATTACATTGTATTATATAATGAAATAATTATACAACTCACCATAATATAGAATCAGTAGGAGCCCTGAGCTGGTTTTCCTGAAACTAAATAGTCCCTTCTGGGGGTGACAGGAGACAGTGACAGATCATCAGGCATTAGATTCTCATAAAGAGCATGAAACCTAGATCGCTCTCATGCATAGCTCACAATAGGGTTTGCGCTCCTGTGAGAATCTAATGATGCTGCTGATGTAACAGGAGGTGGAGCTCAAGTGGTAATGTGAGCAATGGGGAGTGGCTATAAATACAGGTGAAACTTCACTCACTCGCCCACCACTCACTTCTTGCTGTGCGGCCTGGTTACTAATAGGCCATGGACGGGTCCGTGGCCTGGAGACTGGGGACCCCTGATTTAAAGAACATATTGCTAACTGAAAAAAAATTTTGGTTTTTACAGAAATAGCATCACCAATAGAGATTAGGAGTACACATCTAAAAATGAGAATTTCTTCAATTTCTTATAGTATTTAATCAATACCCTCTGCCCTTAGTAGCTGCTAACCAACTCTTGTCTGCTTTCTCACAGATAGCCAGTGTCAAAATCGTCATTTCTTCTCACTCTCTGTTCCTTACATCTCTCCTCCACTGTGCAGTTGAGTGCATTCTCCCCCACCCCCTTGTAGGATGTGGCAGCATTGATTCCCTGCATTCTCCACCGCCTTGCAGCCATTCCTCTTCTGTCTGCTCACACTACCCCAGCCTTAAAAACACCTCCTTTTCTCCCCTCTGAGTTTGAAAGCTACTGCCTTTCTCTCTCGTTCCCTTTATTGGCAAGTGCCTATTCATTTACTCATTTTATAAATTGCTAAAGCTCCAAGCTTGTAGCAACATCAAACAGAACTGTAGTAGGTAAGTTAAGATCCCTCAGTCTCCTTTCCCACCACTTCCAGGTGGCAGCCACTGTTCACAGTTCAGTGTGTATTTTTCTTAGATGTTTATAATATGTAACAGATATGTACCTGTTTGTGTTGTAGACTTATTTTACACAAATGAGACCACATTACACAATACTGCAGCCTGCTTTTTTTGTTGTCTTAAATGACTTGGAAAGTGTAAACAGTACAGAAGTATATGTTATAAAACATAAAAGCCCTCTTGTGGTATATTTACCCACAAAGCCAAGCTGTCCTGTCACAAAAAAAAAAAAAAGTAAAAGAAAAAAGGTCATTACCCAAGTAATTGCAAAGCAATTTGAATATTCAATTATTACAGTCTCCTCTTTTTTCTCTCCATCACTCTTTACACACACACATCACACACACACACTCTCTCTCTCTCCCCCTCTCTCTCTACTACGGACATTCAGGTCCATAGATTTTTACTCTCACAAGCAGTACTGCAATAAGCAGCATATACACTTTTGTGCGTGTACTTTTGTGTATGTGAAAATATTCTGCAGCCTGCATTTCTAGAAGTGAAAATGCTGCATTAGAATGGCGTGCATTTGAAATTGTGTTAGATCCTGACGGATTGCCTTCCAAACAGCTCTACCAATTTGTACTCTCGTTAGCAGTGAATGAGAGTGACTATGTCTTCACATCCACATTAATATTGTGTAGTATCAGGCAAGGCACGGTGGCTCACATCTGTAATTCCAGCACTTTGGGAGGCTGAGACAGGCGTGCGCCCCCAAGCCTGGCTGATTTTTGTATTTTTAGTAGAGACAGGTTTCACCACGTTGGACAGGCTGGTCTCGAACTCCTGACCTCAAGTGATCTGCCTGCCTTGGGGTCCCAAAGTGCTGGGATTACAAGCATGAGCCACCATGCCAGGCCTTTTTTTTTTCTTTTAAACTTCCTTAGTGCTGAAAGAAAAACACTGTTAACTAATGATTTTATATGCAGCAAATTTGTCCTTCAAAAATGAAGGAGTTAAACAAAAAATGAGAAAATTCATCACTAGCAGATCTGACCTACAGGAAATACTAAAAGGAGTTCTTCAGGATGAAATGATGGGACAGTAACTAACGTCTAAGTTAACAAATGAAGGACACCAGAGAAGGACACTATGTGGATAATACTAAGACAGCATAAACATGTTTTGGTTTGAGCTTTTTATCTCCTGATTTAAAGATAAATGTACAATGCAATAATTATAAAGCTATCTTGTTAGGCCTATAATTTACAAAGATGTAATTTGTATGACAACCAAAGTACAAAAGGAAGGAGGAAATGTAGTATAATGGAGGAAAATTTTTCTAGACTAGTGAAATGAGGTTGATATTAACCCAAATTAGATTGTCTTAAATTAAGATTTTATTATAATCTTCAGGGCAACTACTAAGAAAATAAAAACACATGGGGAAAATAATAAATAAAGTGGCATACTAGAAAATATCTATTTAACACAAAAGAAGTTAGCGATGGAGAAACAGAAAAACAAAAATGATGTAAGACTCAAAGAAAATAAATTTTAAAATGGCAGTCAAAAACTCTTTTACTAGTAATTACGTTAAATATAAATGGACCAAACAGTCCAATCAAAACATAAAAATTAGAAGAATAGATTTTTTAAGAAACCAAATATGATCCAAGTATATGCTATTGAAAAGAAGCAAAATTCAGATTTAAAGACACAATAGGTTGAAAGAAAAAGGATGGAAGAAAATATGCTGGGTTAATGATAATCAAAAGAGAGTTGGAGTGGGTATACCAATATGAGACAAAACAGACCTTTAAAACAAAATTTGGCACTAGAGGCAACACAGGACATTTTATAATGTTAAAAGGGTCAATCCAGCTGGGTGTGGTGGTTCATGTCTGTAATCCCAACACCAGCACTTTGGGAGGCCAAGGCAGGAGGATTCCTTGAGCCCAGGAGTCTGAGATCAGCCAAGATAACATAGCAAGACCCCATTTCTAGAAAAAAAATTTAAAAATTAGCTGGGCATGGTGTTGTTTGCCTGTAGTCCTATACTCAGAAGAATGAGGTTGGAGGATCACTTAAACCCAAGAGGTCAAGGCTGCAGTGAGCCATGGTTGTGCCACTACAGTCAAGCCTGGACAACAGAGCAAGAACCAAGACTTTGTCCCTTTAAAAAAGGAGAGATCAATCCATCAAGAAGATATACCAATTAAAACATATGTGTACCTGCTAAGGTTTGAATGGTGGTGTCCCCTTCAAAATTCATGTTGAAACTTAACCTCCAATTCAACAGTATTAACAGCTGTAACCTTTGGGAGGTGATTAAGTCACCTCAACCGTCACAAGTGGGATTAGCACCATTATAAAAGGGATCCAAGATAATGAGAGCAATGTTGAGGACACAGCATTCATTCCCTCCAGAGGATGCAGCAATATGGCGCTATCATGGAAGCAGAAAGCAGCCCTCACCAGACATGCAGCCTTTCAGCACCTTGATCTTAGATTTCCCAGCTTCCAGGACTGTAAGAAATAAATTTCTATTATTTATAGATTATCCAGTGTGTGGTACTTTGTTACAGCAGCACAAAGATAGCACCTAACAACAAAGCCCAAAAATGCGTGAAGTAAAAACTGATTGATGGAATTGAATAGAGAAACAGGCAATTCAACAATCACAGTTGGAGATAAAAATAACCCACTTTTCAATAACAGATAAAGCAACTAGACTGAACATCAACAAGGAAACAGAAGACTTGAACAATATTACTGTGAAGTAAAAGCACAAACTGCATTTCTTCTGTTCTCATAATACAATGTATGAAGTTTTTTCCCCCACACAGCAAGAAAGCAATCAGTTCTGCAGCAGACACCAGCTGGGTGTCCTTCAGTTCAATACTGACACTATCTACCTGGAGATAGCATCAGATCCCACAATTTGAGGCCTCAGTTTTACAAGACAGCCCCCCACTTCTGATGCCAATCATAAACCCCAGGTTGTTTTTGATCTGTGCTTCTGACCAACTAGCTATAAATCAGGGTTATCACAATTTCCTCCTTGGGTTTCATTAGTTTGCTAAAGTGGTTTACAGAACTCAGGGAAACACTTTCATTTACCAATTGGTTATAAAGGATATTATAAAGGATAAAGATGAAGAGATGCATAGGGTGAGGTATAGAAAAGGGTGTGGAGTTTCCATGCCCTCCCCCGGTATGCCACTCTCCAGGAACCTCCATATGTTCAGCTGTCTGGAAGCTCCTCGTACTCTGTCCTCCTGCCTCTTTTATGGAGACTTCATTAGAAAGGCACAATTGAAGCACAGACAACCAGGTAGAAATGTGATTGAACAAAAAGTTATGATCTAATACTAACAGACTAAGTGGGCAAACCCAGGCAGGTCTATGTGTTCAGATTCTTCTTGGCCTCTCTGTGCATCATAGGGCAGAACCCTTTCTGAAATAAGGGTCTTATGACCCACAATCAACCAAGGTAGAGCAGATAACTTCTTCATGGTCAGCTACAAGATGGAAAGGTGGGGAAAGATTACTCCCTTGGAGAGAATAAAGGACAGGCGAAAGGAAGGCAGAAGGTCAGAGAGAGATTCTGCTTTCCAAGGTCTTCCTCTGAGGCATAAAGCACCCCAACATTATAACAAAAGACTCTTTCACCTTTATTACTCTGAGGCACTCCAAAGCTGCTTAAGGAACCAAGGACAAGAGGCCAAATACCTTAATTTGCTTTAGTCTCTTAGGAAGTAACAAGGGCTATGGCAATTATATATATAAATATATTTATAAAACTATTTTATATTATATAATATATAACTATAATATATATTACATAATATAGTTATATAAATTATATAATATATAATATATAATATGTATAATAATTATATATAATATATACTATATTATATATAATATATACTATATTATATATAATATATACTATATTATATATATTATATAATATATTATATATATCTATATAAAATATATTATATAATATATATAATAGATATAATATGTTATATATACTATATAAAATATATATTATATTATATATATATTATATTTTATATAATATATATAATATATTATATAAAAATATATATATTATATACATATTTTTAAATTATATATATATAATTTTTTTTTTGAGATGGAGTCTCACTTTTCTTGCCCAGGCTGGAGTGCAATGATGTCATCTCGGCTCACTGTAACCTCTGCCTCCTGGGCTCAAGCGATTCTCCTGCCTCGGCCTCCTGAGTAGCTGGGATTACAGGTACATGCCATCATGCCCTGCTAATTTTTGTATTTTTAGCAGAGATAGGTTTCACCATGTTGGCTAGGCTGGTCTTGAACTCCTTACCTCAAGTGATTTGCCCACCTTAGCCTCCCAAAGTGCTGGGATTACAGGCATGAGCCACCACACCTGGCCAAATATTTTATATATTATATATATAATGTGTGTGTCTGTGTATAAAATAAGTGAGCTAGACATAATAAACATCAATGGAATACTCCACACAACCACAACAGAATATATATTTTCTCAAGTGGCAGTAGAACAGTCTCCTGGATAAACTATGTCAAGCCATAAAACAAGACTCAATAAATTTAACATAATTTAATTCAAACAATGCTCTCTGACTACAGTGGTGCCAAACTATAAGTCAGTAACAAAAGGAAATTTGGGAAATTTACAAATATGTCAAAATTAAACAACATACTCCAAAATAACCAATGGGTTTTAGAATAAATCACAATAAAAATTAGAAAATACCTTAAGATAAATGAAAATGAAACACAACATACCAAAATGTATGGGATGCAACAAAAGCAGTGCTCAGAGAGAAATTTATAGCTGTAAAAACCTACATTAAAAAGTAGATCTCAAATCAATATCCCAACCTTCTACCTTAAGAAACTAGAAAAAGAAGAGAAAGTGAAACCCAAATTAACAAAACCAAAAGTTAGTTCTTTGACAAGATCAACAAAATTTACTAACTTGTATCTAGAATGAGGAAGAAGAAAGAAGATTCAAATTCCTAAAATCAGACATGAAAGCGGGGTCATTACCACTAACACCACGGAAATAAAAAGGATAAAAAGAGGTTACTGTAAGCAATTGTGTGTCAACAAATTTGATAGCCTACTAATGGACAAATTCCTAGAAATGCACTACCAAAACTGACTCAAGAAGAAATAGAGAATCTGAATAGACCTATAATAAGTAAAGAGATTAAATCAGTAACCAAAAACCTCCAAAAAAGAAAAGCCCAGAACTGAAGACTCTGTGAGTAAATTCTACGAAACATTTACAGAAAAATTAACATCCATCCTTCATGACCTCTTCCAAAATGTAAGAGGAGGAAACACTTCCCAACTTAATTCTATGAAGCCAGCATTACCTTGATAGCAAACCAGGCAATGACATCACAGGAAAATAAACCTATATCCAATATATTTTATTAATATAAATGCAAAAATCCTCAACAAAATAGTAACAAACTAAATCTGCAAGAAATAAAAATAATTATACACACTGACCAAGTAGGACTTATTTCTAAAGTGAAATACTTGTGAAAATTCATAAAGAACAAAAATTATGTGATCATCTCATAGACTAAGAAAAAGCATTTGAAAAACTTCCAACAGCCTTTCATCATAAAACAACCAACCAGGAATAGAAGGGAACTTCGTCCTCAACCTAATAAAGGAGCAAAATCTACAGTCAACATCATACGTAATGTCGAAGGACTAAAAGCCTTTCCCCTAAGATCAGGAATAAGACATAGACGTCTGCTTTCACCCCTTCTATTCAAAATGGTATTGTAGGTTCTACCCAAAGTAGTCAAGAAAAAGAAATAAAAGATATCCAGTGGAAAAAGACAAAGTAATATCTTTATTTGCAGACGATATGATCTTATACATAGAAAGTGCTAAGACACACACACACACACACACACTATTAGAACTAATAAATTAGTTCAAAGATACAAGATGTTATTACATGATTTTTCATGGATAGTGTATATAAATGCAATGAAACTAGAGATAATCTAATAGACATATATATATCTAGATATATTTTATATATATATTAAACATTGTGTGCCATGAAAATGAAACACAGCATACCAAAACTTACGGAATGCAACAAAAGTGGTGGTCAGAAAGAAATTTGTAGCTGTAAAAACCTACATTAAAAAGTAGTTCTCGAGCTCCGGTCTACAGCTCCCAGCGTGAGCGACGCAGAAGACGGTGATTTCTGCATTTCCATCTGAGGTACCGGGTTCATCTCACTAGGGAGTGCCAGACAGTGGGCGCAGGCCAGTGTGTGTGCGCACCGTGCGCGAGCCGAAGCAGGGCGAGGCATTGCCTCACCTGGGAAGCGCAAGGGGTCAGGGAGTTCCCTTTCCGAGTCAAAGAAAGGGGTGACGGACGCACCTGGAAAATCGGGTCACTCCCACCCGAATATTGCGCTTTTCAGACCGGCTTAAGAAACGGCGCACCACGAGACTATATCCCACACCTGGCTCGGAGGGTCCTACGCCCACGGAATCTCGCTGATTGCTAGCACAGCAGTCTGAGATCAAACTGCAAGGCGGCAACGAGGCTGGGGGAGGGGCGCCCGCCATTGCCCAGGCTTGCTTAGGTAAACAAAGCAGCCGGGAAGCTCGAACTGGGTGGAGCCCACCACAGCTCAAGGAGGCCTGCCTGCCTCTGTAGGCTCCACCTCTGGGGGCAGGGCACAGACAAACAAAAAGACAGCAGTAACCTCTGCAGACTTAAGTGTCCCTGTCTGACAGCTTTGAAGAGAGCAGTGGTTCTCCCAGGACGCAGCTGGAGATCTGAGAACGGGCAGACTGCCTCCTCAAGTGGGTCCCTGACTCCTGACCCCCGAGCAGCCTAACTGGGAGGCACCCCCCAGCAGGGGCACACTGACACCTCACACGGCAGGGTATTCCAACAGACCTGCAGCTGAGGGTCCTGTCTGTTAGAAGGAAAACTAACAACCAGAAAGGACATCTACACCGAAAACCCATCTGTACATCACCATCATCAAAGACCAAAAGTAGATAAAACCACAAAGATGGGGAAAAAACAGAACAGAAAAACTGGAAACTCTAAAACGCAGAGCGCCTCTCCTCCTCCAAAGGAACGCAGTTCCTCACCAGCAACAGAACAAAGCTGGATGGAGAATGATTTTGACGAGCTGAGAGAAGAAGGCTTCAGACGATCAAATTACTCTGAGCTACGGGAGGACATTCAAACCAAAGGCAAAGAAGTTGAAAACTTTGAAAAAAATTTAGAAGAATGTATAACTAGAATAACCAATACAGAGAAGTGCTTAAAGGAGCTGATGGAGCTGAAAACCAAGGCTCGAGAACTACGTGAAGAATGCAGAAGCCTCAGGAGCCGATGCGATCAACTGGAAGAAAGGGTATCAGCAATGGAAGATGAAATGAATGAAATGAAGCGAGAAGGGAAGTTTAGAGAAAAAAGAATAAAAAGAAATGAGCAAAGCCTCCAAGAAATATGGGACTATGTGAAAAGACCAAATCTACGTCTGATTGGTGTACCTGAAAGTGATGTGGAGAATGGAACCAAGTTGGAAAACACTCTGCAGGATATTATCCAGGAGAACTTCCCCAATCTAGCAAGGCAGGCCAACGTTCAGATTCAGGAAATACAGAGAACGCCACAAAGATACTCCTCGAGAAGAGCAACTCCAAGACACATAATTGTCAGATTCACCAAAGTTGAAATGAAGGAAAAAATGTTAAGGGCAGCCAGAGAGAAAGGTCGGGTTACCCTCAAAGGAAAGCCCATCAGACTAACAGCGGATCTCTCGGCAGAAACCCTACAAGCCAGAAGAGAGTGGGGGCCAATATTCAACATTCTTAAAGAAAAGAATTTTCAACCCAGAATTTCATATCCAGCCAAATTAAGCTTCATAAGTGAAGGAGAAATAAAATACTTTATAGACAAGCAAATGTTGAGAGATTTTGTCACCACCAGGCCTGCCCTAAAAGAGCTCCTGAAGGAAGCGCTAAACATGGAAAGGAACAACCGGTACCAGCCGCTGCAAAATCATGCCAAAATGTAAAGACCATCGAGACTAGGAAGAAACTGCATCAACTAATGAGCAAAATCACCAGCTAACATCATAATGACAGGATCAAATTCACACATAACAATATTAACTTTAAATATAAATGGACTAAATTCTGCAATTAAAAGACACAGACTGGCAAGTTGGATAAAGAGTCAAGACCCATCAGTGTGCTGTATTCAGGAAACCCATCTCACGTGCAGAGACACACATAGGCTCAAAATAAAAGGATGGAGGAAGATCTACCAAGCCAATGGAAAACAAAAAAAGGCAGGGGTTGCAATCCTAGTCTCTGACAAAACAGACTTTAAACCAACAAAGATCAAAAGAGACAAAGAAGGCCATTACATAATGGTAAAGGGATCAATTCAACAAGAGGAGCTAACTATCCTAAATATTTATGCACCCAATACAGGAGCACCCAGATTCATAAAGCAAGTCCTCAGTGACCTACAAAGAGACTTAGACTCCCACACATTAATAATGGGAGACTTTAACACCCCACTGTCAACATTAGACAGATCAACGAGACAGAAAGTCAACAAGGATACCCAGGAATTGAACTCAGCTCTGCACCAAGCAGACCTAATAGACATCTACAGAACTCTCCACCCCAAATCAACAGAATATACATTTTTTTCAGCACCACACCACACCTATTCCAAAATTGACCACATAGTTGGAAGTAAAGCTCTCCTCAGCAAATGTAAAAGAACAGAAATTATAACAAACTATCTCTCAGACCACAGTGCAATCAAACTAGAACTCAGGATTAAGAATCTCACTCAAAGCCGCTCAACTACATGGAAACTGAACAACCTGCTCCTGAATGACTACTGGGTACATAACGAAATGAAGGCAGAAATAAAGATGTTCTTTGAAACCAACGAGAACAAAGACACCACATACCAGAATCTCTGGGACGCATTCAAAGCAGTGTGTAGAGGGAAATTTATAGCACTAAATGCCTACAAGAGAAAGCAGGAAAGATCCAAAATTGACACCCTAACATCACAATTAAAAGAACTAGAAAAGCAAGAGCAAACACATTCAAAAGCTAGCAGAAGGCAAGAAATAACTAAAATCAGAGCAGAACTGAAGGAAATAGAGACACAAAAAACCCTTCAAAAAATCAATGAATCCAGGAGCTGGTTTTTTGAAAGGATCAACAAAATTGATAGACCGCTAGCAAGACTAATAAAGAAAAAGAGAGAGAAGAATCAAATAGACACAATAAAAAATGATAAAGGGGATATCACCACCGATCCCACAGAAATACAAACTACCATCAGAGAATACTACAAACACCTCTACGCAAATAAACTAGAAAATCTAGAAGAAATGGATACATTCCTCGACACATACACTCTCCCAAGACTAAACCAGGAAGAAGTTGAATCTCTGAATAGACCAATAACAGGCTCTGAAATTGTGGCAATAATCAATAGTTTACCAACCAAAAAGAGTCCAGGACCAGATGGATTCACAGCCGAATTCTACCAGAGGTACATGGAGGAACTGGTACCATTCCTTCTGAAACTATTCCAATCAATAGAAAAAGAGGGAATCCTCCCTAACTCATTTTATGAGGCCAGCATCATTCTGATACCAAAGCCGGGCAGAGACACAACCAAAAAAGAGAATTTTAGACCAATATCCTTGATGAACATTGATGCAAAAATCCTCAATAAAATACTGGCAAACCGAATCCAGCAGCACATCAAAAAGCTTATCCACCATGATCAAGTGGGCTTCATCCCTGGGATGCAAGGCTGGTTCAATATACGCAAATCAATAAATGTAATCCAGCATATAAACAGAGCCAAAGACAAAAACCACATGATTATCTCAATAGATGCAGAAAAAGCCTTTGACAAAATTCAACAACCCTTCATGCTAAAAACTCTCAATAAATTAGGTATTGATGGGACGTATTTCAAAATAATAAGAGCTATCTATGACAAACCCACAGCCAATATCATACTGAATGGGCAAAAACTGGAAGCATTCCCTTTGAAAACCGGCACAAGACAGGGATGCCCTCTCTCACCACTCCTATTCAACATAGTGTTGGAAGTTCTGGCCAGGGCAATCAGGCAGGAGAAGGAAATAAAGGGTATTCAATTAGGAAAAGAGGAAGTCAAATTGTCCCTGTTTGCAGACGACATGATTGTTTATCTAGAAAACCCCATCGTCTCAGCCCAAAATCTCCTTAAGCTGATAAGCAACTTCAGCAAAGTCTCAGGATACAAAATCAATGTACAAAAATCACAAGCATTCTTATACACCAACAACAGACAAACAGAGAGCCAGATCATGGGTGAACTCCCATTCACAATTGCTTCAAAGAGAATAAAATACCTAGGAATCCAGCTTACAAGGGATGTGAAGGACCTCTTCAAGGAGAACTACAAACCACTGCTCAAGGAAATAAAAGAGGAGACAAACAAATGGAAGAACATTCCATGCTCATGGGTAGGAAGAATCAATATCGTGAAAATGGCCATACTGCCCAAGGTAATTTACAGATTCAATGCCATCCCCATCAAGCTACCAATGACTTTCTTCACAGAATTGGAAAAAACTACTTTAAAGTTCATATGGAACCAAAAAAGAGCCCGCATCGCCAAGTCAATCCTAAGCCAAAAGAACAAAGCTGGAGGCATCACACTACCTGACTTCAAACTATACTACAAGGCTACAGTAACCAAAACAGCATGGTACTGGTACCAAAACAGAGATATAGATCAATGGAACAGAACAGAGCCCTCAGAAATAATGCCGCATATCTACAACTATCTGATCTTTGACAAACCTGAGAAAAACAAGCAATGGGGAAAGGATTCCCTATTTAATAAATGGTGCTGGGAAAACTGGCTAGCCATATGTAGAAAGCTGAAACTGGATCCCTTCCTTACACCTTATACAAAAATCAATTCAAGATGGATTAAAGATTTAAACGTTAAACCTAAAACCATAAAAACCCTAGAAGAAAACCTAGGCATTACCATTCAGGACATAGGCGTGGGCAAGGACTTCATGTCCAAAACACCAAAAGCAATGGCAACAAAAGACAAAATTGACAAATGGGATCTAATTAAACTAAAGAGCTTCTGCACAGCAAAAGAAACTACCATCAGAGTGAACAGGCAACCTACAACATGGGAGAAAATTTTTGCAACCTACTCATCTGACAAAGGGCTAATATCCAGAATCTACAATGAACTCAAACAAATTTACAAGAAAAAAACAAACAACCCCATCAAAAAGTGGGTGAAGGACATGAACAGACACTTCTCAAAAGAAGACATTTATGCAGCCAAAAAACACATGAAGAAATGCTCATCATCACTGGCCATCAGAGAAATGCAAATCAAAACCACTATGAGATATCATCTCACACCAGTTAGAATGGCAATCATTAAAAAGTCAGGAAACAACAGGTGCTGGAGAGGATGCGGAGAAATAGGAACACTTTTACACTGTTGGTGGGACTGTAAACTAGTTCAACCATTGTGGAAGTCAGTGTGGCGATTCCTCAGGGATCTAGAACTAGAAATACCATTTGACCCAGCCATCCCATTACTGGGTATATACCCAAATGAGTATAAATCATGCTGCTATAAAGACACATGCACACGTATGTTTATTGCGGCACTATTCACAATAGCAAAGACTTGGAACCAACCCAAATGTCCAACAATGATAGACTGGATTAAGAAAATGTGGCACATATACACCATGGAATACTATGCAGCCATAAAAAATGATGAGTTCATATCCTTTGTAGGGACATGGATGAAATTGGAAACCATCATTCTCAGTAAACTATCGCAAGAACAAAAAACCAAACACCGCATATTCTCACTCATAGGTGGGAATTGAACAATGAGATCACATGGACACAGGAAGGGGAATATCACACTCTGGGGACTGTGGTGGGGTCGGGGGAGGGGGGAGGGATAGCATTGGGAGATATACCTAATGCTAGATGACACATTAGTGGGTGCAGCGCACCAGCATGGCACATGTATACATATGTAACTAACCTGCACAATGTGCACATGTACCCTAAAACTTAGAGTATAATAAAAAAAAAAAAAAAAAAAAAAAAGTAGTTCTCAAATCAATATCCAAACCTTCAACCTTAAGATCCTGTATCTATTTAGATATATTTTATATACATTAGATAAAATCTAATAAATGATATATAATCTAACACATACTATATATTAGATAAAATCTAATCATTCTAGTGGAACTATTAGAACATTAGTTCTAAATACAGATTATTTTAGATTTTTTAGGGATATAATTTTTTTATATTATTTCTGAATAATGATAATTCTCTTTCTTTCTATAATTTGTTTCTTTTTCTTCACATTATGTACTGACTAGAATATCCAGTAAAATGTTTAATAGAAATAGTTAATGATGAGCATCCTGGTCTGATCCCTGATACCAGAACAAAAGCTTTCAACACTTGCCCAATAAGTATGATATTGGCTGTAGGTTTTTGGTGGATACAACTTATCAGTTTCTTTCTATTTCTACTTTGCCAAGAGTTTTTCCCCCACTTCCTTCCTGTATCATGAATAAGTGTTTTTTTTATCAAATACCCTTTCCAAGTCCATTGAGTTGATTGTGTCATTTTTCTTCTTTGTGTTGCTAATTTTGTAAGTTACATAGATTTTACCCCCTTTAAGTTAACTTTCTAGAACAAACTGTTGGGGCTCAGAAACTGATACCCCAAAATATGATGCCTTGAAATGCTGAACTGAACGAGAAGCCTCAAGGCCTCTCTGGGCTTCCCCCATCTTGTCTCTCAATCCTCTGTCTCTCCCAAAGCACAGGATGGAGTTGTTCTCTGAACTTCCCTTATCTGCCTAAAGTCTGGGCTCACCGAAGAAGAAAACAATGACCTCTGCTCCCTTCCCTGAGTTTTATAAACTGAACTTATATTGCAGGAAGAAACACTGAAGTCTGTCAACACGCCTGAACAGACTTGTCACAAACCACTATGTGCTCTGCAAGCCCAGCTAACTTTGTCCCAGGCCATTACGTTTTTCAGTCTCATTGAATTCCCCTAAAAATCATTTACTATCCCCCTAAAATCATCCACACTTTCCTATCTTCCTTTCCCCTAAGAAGAAGGGTATGTAAGCATCTGTACCCCTTTGGCCTATTGTGTGGTGGGTTAATCATTCTGGGATGGCTCCCCCTCCCTGCACATTAATATATTCATATGCCTTTTCTCCTCTTCATCTGCCTCTGTCAGTTGATTTTCAGAGTTCTCTCTTGGCCTCAACAAAACCGAACTTGGTCATGCTGTATTATCCTTTCTTAAAATATCCTCATTGGGATTTTGTATCAATTTTGTGATGGATCATAAAACTATTAGATTGACCCATATGCAATCGCTGATATTCAATCATTTTTGATTGACACCAACAGCCTTTTCAGAAGGTTTGACCTAATTGTTGTAGAGTATTCCTACTTTGGTTTTTCTCTGTAAGAGTTTGTTATAAATTAGCATTATTGCGTTCCTAAATGTCCAGAAGAATATATTGGCAAAGCTATTGGGTTTTATAGATCATATTCTTTAATCCTTATGTGGCTTTCAGATTTTCTATTTTTGTCCCAATATTGGTAAGTTATACTTTTATCTAACAAATTTAAACATTTCCTCTAAATTTTCAAAATATTGTTTTAAAGTTGTTCATCACAAATGGAGCTGGAGGCCATCATCCTTAGAAAACTAACGCAGCCAGAAAATCAAATACCACATTCTCTCACTTGTAAGTGGGACTAAATGATGAGGACACACGAACACAAAGAACGAAACAACAGACCCTGGGGCCTACTTGAGGGTGGAGGGTAGGAGGAGGGAGAGCATCAGTCAGAAAAAAAATAACTGTTGAGTATTTGGCTTGGTACCTAGGTGATGAAATAATTTGTACAACAAACCCCCATGGCACAAGTTTGCCAATATAACAAACCTGCGCATGTACCCCTGAACCTAAAATAAAAGTTAAAATAAGTAAATAAAGTTGTTCATGCTATCTTCTCATGGTGTTTTCATGTTTATGAGGTCTGTGGTATTTCTACTTTTCTATTTTTCATTGATTCTTTACATCTTTTCTCTTTTTTTCTTAATGTTGCCATGGGTTCATCAACTTATTAGTCTTCTCAAATAATCTATCTTTTATTTTGTCATTCCTCTCTATTTTATTTTCTATTATATTAAGTCTTGTGGCTACATTTATTATTTCTTCCTTACATAATTTTGGAGTTTACTTTAATGTTCTTTTTTTTTTCTCATGACAGTTATTTAAATAATTGAGCTGGGCACGGTGGCTCATGCCTGTAATCCCAGCACTTTGGGAGGCCGAGGCGGGCAGATCACAAGGTCAAGCGATCGAGACCATCCTGGCCAACATGGTGAAACCTCGTCTCTACTAAAAATACAAAAATTAGCTGGGCGTGGTGGTGCACACCTGTAGTCTCAGCTACTTGGGAGGCTGAGGCAGGAAAATCACTTGAATTCGGGAGGCAGAGGTTACAGTGAGCCGAGATCATACCACTGCTCTCCAGCCTGGCAACAGAGTGAGACTCTGTCTCAAAAATAAATCAATAAGTAAAAATAATTGAATGTCCACCTTTCTTCTTTTCAAACATATGCATATAAACTTATAGATTTCCCTCTAACAACATTTTAGCTATATCCTACAAGTTTTGAAATGTAACATTTTTGACATTTTTCAATTTAAAATATTTTAAAATATTCATTGTGATATTTTCATTGACTGGTGGGTTATTTAGAAGTTTATGTCTTAATGGCCAAACATGTAGCGATTTTCTAGTTATGTTTGTTGTTTCTAGTTTAATTGCATTTAATAGAAGAAAATTTTTTGTATGACTTAAGTTCTTTGACACGTGTCAATATTTGATTTCTGATTTCACTTATAGCAATTTTTTATAAATATTTCATGTGCATTTGAAAATAACAGATAGTCTGCTATTATTGAGCATGAGTGTTGTATATTTGACAATTAGATCAGCTTGACTCATTATTGTGTTCAGATTTTCTGTATCCCAACTGAATTTTTGTTTGCTTGTTCTACCATTGACTAGAAGAGGTGCGCAAAGTATCCTACTATAGTTGTGAACTTCTCCTCTTAGGATCTGTCAATTTTTCCCTTACATATTTTGAAGCTGTGTTATTACATATGTTCAGATATATAATTATTATAGCTCTTTGGTGAACTAGCTCATTTATCATAAGGAATTTCTCTCTATACTCACAGTAATGTTTTTTGCCTTAAAGTCTGTTTGATACTAATGTAGTTACTACTATGTTAATCTTTTGATAGATGTTTGCATGGCATGTTACATCTTTTCCCATCCTGATGTTTTCTATACTTTACTTGTAAAGCAGTAAACACAAGAGGCTGAGGTGGGAGGATTGCGTGAGCCCAGAAAGTTGAGGATGCAGTGAACCATGGTCAGGCCAGTGCACTCCAGTATGACCACAGAGCGAGACCATATCTCAAACAAAAAAAGCAGTAAAAAGGTGATATTGTTTTTATCTTAATGTGGTTTGGCAGTCTTAACCTTTAATCAAAAAATTAATCTTTTACATTCGTTATAATTGCTGTATTTTTATTATAAATATGCTACTTGATTATTTGGTTATTTTTCACCCTCTTTCAAAAGGACTTTCAAATATTTTATTTAACTCTATTCATCCCCCATCCATACCTTTATGCCATTGTTATATTTTAATTGTACATATTTGAAAATCATAAAACATTGTTTTTCACTTACTTTTTTTTTTTTTTTTTTTTACTGCTCTTCATTTCTTCCTACATCTCTGAATTTCTATCATCTATCTGGGATCATTTTTCTTTTGCCTGAAGAATACCTTTTAGCATTTCCTTTAGTTCAGATCTTCTTATGATGAATTATCTCAGTTTTTGTTTCCATAATTATTTATTTTTTTCTTCAACTTTTATTTTGTGTTCTGGGTTACATGTGCAGGATGTGCAGGTTTGTTACATAGGTAGTTTGCTGCACAGATCAACCCATCATCTAGCTGTTAAGCCCAGCATCCATTAGCTATTCTTCTTGATGCTCTCCCAACCCCCACCACACCTGACAAGCCCCAGTGTGTGTTGCTCCCCTCCATGTGTCTATGTGTTCTCATCGTTCACCTCCCACTTACAAGTGAGAACATGCAGTGTTTGATTTTCTGTTCCTGCAGTAATTTACTGAGGATAACGGCCTCCAGCCCCATCCATGTCCCTGCAAAGGACATGATCTCATTCCTTTTTATGCCTGCATAGTAGTCCATAGTTTATATATACCACATTTTCTTTATCGAGTCTATCACTGATGGGCATTTGGGTTGATTCCATGTCTTTGCTATCGTGAATAGCGCTACAATGAACATACATATGTATGTATCTTTATAATAGAATGATTTCTATTCTTTTGGGTATATAGCCAGTAAAGGGATTGCTGGGTCAAATGGTATTTCTGCTTCTAGATCTTTGAGGAATTACCACACTGTCTCCTACACTTTTGAATTAATTTACATGCCCACCAACAGTGTAAAAGCATTCCTTTTTCTCCACAACCTTGACAGTATCTGCTGTTTCTTAACTATTTAATAATCACCACTCTGGGTGGCTGGCAAGATGGCTAAATAGGAACTGCTGTGGTCTGCGGCTCCCAGTGAGATCAACACAGAAGGTGGGTGATTTCCGCTTTTCCAACTGAAGTACACAGCTCATCTCATTAGGACTGGTTAGATAGTGGGTGCAGCCCACAGAGGGTGAGCCAAAGCAGGGTGGGGTGTTGCCTCACCCGGGAAGCACAAGGGGTTGGGGAACTCCCTCCCCTAGTCAAGGGAAGCCATAAGGGACTGTGCCATGAGGGACTGTGCTATCCAGCCCAGATACTTCGCTATTCCCATGGTCTTCCCAACCCACAGATAGGGAGATTCCCTCATGTGCCTATGCCATGAGGACCCTGGGTTTCAAGCACAAAACTGGGCAGCTATTTTGGCAGACACAGAGCTAGCTGCAGGAGATTTTTTTTCATACCCCATTGACACCTGGAAAGCCAGCAAGAGAGAACCATTCACTCCCCTGGAAAGGGGGCTGAAGCCAGGGAGCCAAATGGCCTAGCTCAGCAAATCCCACCCCCAGGAAGCCCAGGAAGCTAAGATCCACTGGCTTGAAATTCTCGCTGCCAGCACAGCAGTCTGAAGTTGACCTGGGATGCACCAGCTTGCTCGGGGGAGGGTTGTCTGCCATTACTGAGGCTTGAGTAGGCGGTTTTCACCTCACAGTGTAAAGAAAGCCACTGGGAAGTTCGAACTGGGCGGAGCCCACCTCAATGCTGCAAAGCTGCTGTAGCCAGACTGCCTCTCTTGATTCCTCCTCTCTGGGCAGGGCATCTCTAAAAGAAAGGCAGCAGCCCCAGTCAGGGGCTTATAGATAAAACTCCCATCTCCCTGGGACAGAGCACCTGGGGGAAGAAGTGGCTGTGGGCATAGCTTCAGCAGACTTAAACCTTCCTGCATGCTGGCTCTGAAGAAAGCAGCAGATCTCCCAGAATAGTGCTCGAGCTCTGCTAAGGGACAGACTGCCTCCTCAAGTGGGTCCCTGACCCCTGTGCCTCCTGACAACAAGACGCCTCCCAGCAGGGGTAGACAGACACCTCATACAGGAGAGCTCTGGCTGGCATCTGGCGAGTGCCCCTCTGGGACCAAGCTTCAGAGGAGGAACAGGCAGCAATCTTTGCTGTTCTGCAGCCTCTGCTGGTGATACCCAGGCAAAGAGGGTCTGGAGTGAACCTCCAGCAAACTCCAGCAGACCTGCAGCAAAGGGGCCTGACTGGTAGAAGGAAAACTAACAAACAGAAAGGAATAATATCAACATCAACAAAAAGGATGCCCACACTGAAACCCCATCTGAAGGTCACCAACATCAAAGACCAAAAGTAGATAAATCCACAAAGATGAGGAAAAACCAGTGCAAAAACGGCTGAAAATTCCAAAAACCAGAATGCCTCTCCACCTCTAAATGATCACAACTCCTCGCCAGCAAGGGAACAAAACTGGGTGAAGAATGAGTTTGCCAAACTGACAGAAGTGGGCTTCAAAAAGTGGATAATAACAAACTCCCCCGAGCTAAAGGAGCACATTTTAACCCAATGCAAGGAAGCTAAGAACCTTGAAAAAAGTTTAGAGGAATTGCTAACTAGAATAACCAGTCTAGAAAAGAATGTAAATGACCTGATGGAGCTGAAAAACACAGCATAAGAACTTCATGTAGCATACACAAATATAATTAGCTGAATTGATCAAGTGGAAGGAAGGATATCAGAGACTGAATATCAACTTAATGAAATAAAGCAAGAAGACCAGATTAGAGAAAAAAGAATGAAAAGGAATGAGCAAAGCCTCCAAGAAATATGGAACTATGTGAAAAGACCAAACCTACATTTGATTGATGCACCTGAAAGTGACGGAGAGAATGGAACCAAGTTGGAAAGCACTCTTCAGAATATTATCCAGGAGAACTTCCCCAACCTAGCAAGACAGGCCAACATTCAAATTCAGGAAATATGGAGACCACCACAAAGATACTCATCAAGAAGAGCAACCCCAATCTACATAATTGTCAGATTCACCAAGGTTGAAATGAAGGAAAAAATGTTAAGGGCAGCCAGAGAGAAAGGTCGGGTTACCCGTAAAGGGAAGCCCATCAGACTAACCAGACTAACCGTGCATCTCTCTGCAGAAATCCTACAAGCCACAAGAGAGTGGGGGCCAATATTCAACATTCTTAAAGGAAAGAATTTTCAACCCAGAATTTATATCGAGCCAAACTAAGCTTCATAAGTGAAGGAGAAATAAATCCTTGACAGACAAGCAAATGCTGAGAGATTTTGTCACCACCAGGCCTGCCTTAGAAGAGCTCCTAAGGAAGCACTAAATATGGAAAGGAACAACTGGTACCAGCCACTGCAAAAACATGACAAATTGTAAAGGCCATTGACACTGTGAAGAAACTGCATCAACTAACAGGCAAAATAACCAGCTAGCATCATAATGACAGGATCAAATTCACACATAACAATATTAACCTTAAGTGTAAATGGGCTAAATGCCCCAGTTAAAAGACACTGACTGGCAAATTAGATAAAGATTTAAGACCCATCAGTGTGCTGTATTCAGGAAACACATCTCACATGCAAAGACACACATAGCCTCAAAATAAAGAAATGGAGGAATATTTACCAAGCAAATGGAAAGCAAAAAAAAAAAAAAAAAAAGCAGGGGTTGCAATCCAGTCTCTGATAAAACAGACTTTAAACCAACAAGAATCAAAACAACAGCAACAACAACAAAAACAGAAGGGCATTACATAATGGTAAAGGGATCAAGGCTACAAGAAGAACTAATTATCCTAAATATATATGTACCCAATACAGGAGCATCCAGATTCATGAAGCAAGTTCTTAGAGACCTACAAAGAGACTTAGACTCCCACACAATAATAGTGGGAGACTTTAGCACCCCATTGTCAATATTAGATCAGCAAGACAGAAAATTAACAAGGATATTCAGAACTTGAACTCAGCTCTGCACCAAGTGGAGCTAATAGGCATCTACAGATTCTCCACCCAAAATCAACAGAATATACATTCTTCTCAGCACCACATCACACTTATTCTAAAATTGACCACATAACTGGAAGTAAAACATTCCTCAGTGAATGCAAAAGAACTGAAATAATAACAAACATTCTCTCAGATCACAGTCCAATCAAATTAGAACTCAGGATTAAGAAACTCACTCAAAGTCACACAAATACATGGAAACTGAACAACCTGCTCTCGAATGACTACCAGGTACATAACAAAATTGAGGCAGAAATGAATAAGTTCTCTGAAACCAATGAGAACAAAGACTCAACATACCAGAATCTCTGGTATGCAGCTAAAACAGTGTTTAGAGGGAAATTTATAGCACTAAATACCCACAAAAGAAAGCAGGAGAGATCAAAAATTGGCACCCTAATGTCACAATTGAAAGAACTAGAGAAGCAAGAGCAAACAAATTCAAAAGCTAGCAGAAGACAAGAAATAACTAAGATCAGAGCAGAACTGAAGAAGATAGAGACGCGAAAAACCTTTAAAAAAATCAGTGAACCCAGGAGCTGGTTTTTTGAAAAGATTAACAGAATAGATAGACTGCTAGCCAGACTAATAAAGAAGAAAAGAGAGAAGAATCAAATAGACACAATAAAAAATGATAAAGGGGATATCACCACTGAACCCACAGAAATACAGACTACGTCAGAGAATACTATAAACACCCTTATGCAAATAAACTAGAAAACCTAGAAGAAATGGATAAATTCCTGGACATATACATCCTCCCAAGACTAAACCAGGAAGAAGTCAAATCCCTAAATAGACCTGAAATTGAGGCAGTACTTAATAGCCTACAAACCAAAAAAAAGCCCAGGAACAGATGGATTCACAGTCAAATTCTGCCAGAGTTAGAAAGAGGAGCTGGTGGCTGGGTGCGGTGGCTCACGTCTGTAATCCCAGCACTTTGGGAGGCCGAGGCGGGCAGAACACGAGGTCAGGAGATCGAGACCATCCTGGTTAACACGGTGAAATCCCATCTCTTTTTGGTATTTTTAATACCAAAAAATTAGCCAGGCATGGTGGCGGGTGCCTGTAATCCCAGCTACTCGTGAGGCTGAGGCAGGAGAATGGTGTGAACCCAGGAGGCAGAGCTTGCAGTCAGCCGAGATTGTGCCACTACACTCCAGCATGGGGGACAGAGGACAGAGCGAGACTCTGTCTCAAAAAAAAAGAAAGAAAAAGAAAGAAAGAGGAGCTGGTACCATTCCTTCTGAAACTATTCCAAACAATAGAAAAAGAGAGACTCCTCCCTAACTCATTTTATGAGGCCAGCATCATCCCAATACCAAACCCTGGCAGAGACACACACAAAAAAGAAAATATCCCTGATGAACATTGATGCAAAAATCCTCAATAAAACACTGGCAAACCGAATCCAGCAGCACATCAAAAAGCTTATCCACTATGATCGAGTTGGCTTTTTCCCTGGGATGCAAGGCTGGTTCAACATACTCAAATCAATAAATGTAATCCATCACATAAACAGAACCAATAACAAAAACCACATGATTATCTCAATAGATGCAGAAAAGGCCTTCGATAAAATTCAACACTCCTTCATGCTAAAAACTCTCAATAAACTAGGTATTTATGGAATGTATCTCAAAACAATAATAGCTATTTATGACAAACCCACAGCCAATATCATACTGAATGGACAAAAGCTGGAAGCGTTGCCTTTGAAAACCAGCACAAGGCAAGGATGCCCTCTCTCACCACTTCTATTCAACATAGTATTGGAAGTTCTGGCCAGGGCAATCAGGCAAGACAAAGAAATAAAGTATATTCAAATAGGAAAAGAGGAAGTCAAATTATGTCTCTTTGCAGATTATATGATTGTATATTTAGAAAACCCCATCATCTCTTTAAGTTGATAAGCAACTTGAGCAAAGTCTCAGGATACAAAATCAATGTGCAAAAATCACAAGCATTCCTATACACCAATAATAGACAAACAGAGAGCCAAATCATAAGTGAAGTCCCATTCACAATTGCTACAAAGAGAACAAAATACCTAGGAATACAACTTACAAGGTATGTAAAGGACCTCTTCAAGGAGAACCACAAACCACTGCTCAAGGAAATAAGAAAGGACACAAACAAATGGAAAAACATTCCATGATCATGGGTAGGAAGAATCAATATTGTGAAAATGAGCATACTGCCCAAAGTAATTCAAAGATTCAATGCTATCCCCATCAAGCAACCATTGACTTTCTTCGCAGAATTAGAAAAAACTACTTTAAATTTCATATGGAATGAAAAAAGAGCCTGTATAGCCAAGACAATCCTAAGCAAAAAGAACAAAGCTGGAGGCATCACGCTACCTAACTTCAAACTATACTACAAGTCTACCGTAACCAAAACAGCATAGTACTGGTACCAAAGCAGATTTATAGACCAAAGGAACAGAACAGAAGCCTCAGAAATAATGCCACACATCTACAGCCATCTAATCTTTGACAAACCTGACAAAAGCAAGCAATGGGGAAAGGATTCCCTATTTAATAAATGATGTTGGGAAAGCTGGCTAACCATAGGCAGAAAACTGAAACTGGACCCCTTCCTTATGCCTTATATAAAAATTAACTCAAGATGGATTAAATACTTAGATGTAAGAACTAAAAGCATAAAAACCCTAGAAGAAAACCTAGGCAATACCATTCAGGACATAGGCATGGGCAAAGACTTCATGACTAAAACACCAAAAGCATGGTAACAAAAGCCAAAATTGAAAAATGGGATCTAATTAAACCAAAGAGCTTCTGCACAACAAAAGAAACTATCATCAGATTATACAGGCAACCTACAGATGGGAGAAAATTTTTGCAATCTATCCATCTGACAAAGGGCTAATGTCCAGAATCTGCAAGGAACTTAAACAAATTTACAAGAAAAAAACAACCCCATCAAAAAGTGGGCAAAGGATATGAACAGACACTTCTCAAAAGAAGACATTTATACAGCCTACAGATTTGTGAAAGAAAAGCTCATCATCACAGGTTATTAGAGAAATGCAAATCAAAACCACAGTGAGAAACCATCTCATGCCAGTTAGAATGGCGATCGTTAGAAACTCAGAAAACAATAGATGCTGGAGAGGATGTGGAGAAATAGGAACAATTTTACACTGTTGGTGGGACTGTACATTAGTTCAACCATTGTCGAAGACAGTGTGGCAAATCCTCAAGGATCTAGAACTAGAAATACTGTTTGACCCAGCAATCCCATTACTAGGTACATACCCAAAGATTATAAATCATTCTACTATAAAGACACATGCACATGTATGTTTATTGCAACACTATTCACAATAGCAAAGACTTGGAACCAACCCAAATGCCCATCAATGATAGACTGGATAAAGAAAATGTGGCACATATACACCATGAAATATTATGCGCCATAAAAAAGGATGAGTTCATATCCTTTGCAGGAACATGGAAGAAGCTGGAAACCATCATTTTCAGCAAACTAACACAGGAACAGAAAACCAAATACTGCATGTTTTCGCTCATAAGTGGGAGTTGAACAATAAGAACACACAGACACAGGGAGGGGAACGTCACACACTGGGGTCTGTTGGGGGTTGGGTGGCTAGGGGAGGGATAGCATTAGGAGAAATACCTAATGTAGATGACGGGTTGATGGGTGTAGCAAGCCACCATGGCACATGTATACCTATGTAACAAACTTGAACATACTGCACATGTATCCCAGAATTTAAAGTATAATTTTTTTTAAAAAGTGTCATAAATAAACTTTATTTTCCTCTTAAAAAAGTAATCACCACTCTGACTGGCATGAGATGGTATCTCATTTTGGTTTTAGGTTTTTGTGCATTTCTTTAACAATGAGTGATGTTGAGCTTTTTTTATATGTTTGTTGGCTGCATGAATGTCTTCTTTTTAGAAGTGTCTGTTCGTGTCCTTTGCCCACTTTTTAATGGGGTTGTTTTTTTCTTGTAAATTTATTTAAGTTTCTTGTAGATGCTGGATATTAGATCTTTGTCAGATGGATAGACTGCAAAATTTTTCTCCCATTCTGTAGGTTGTCTGTTCACTCTGATGATAATTTCTTTTGCTGTACAGAGCTCTTTAGTTTAATTAGATCCCATTTGTCAATTTTTGCTTTAGTTGCAATTGTTTTTGACATTTTTGGCATGAAATCTTTGCCTGTGCCTATGCCTTGAATGGTATTGCCTATTTCTTCTACGGTTTTTATAGTTTTGGGTTTTACATTTAAGTGTTTAATCCATCTTGAGTTAATATTTGTATATGGTGTAAAGTAGGGGTCCAGTTTCTGCATATGGCTGGCCAGCTCTTCCAGCACCATTTATTAAATAGGGAATCCTTTTCCCACTGCTTCTTTTTGTCAGATTTGTCAGTGATCAGGTGGGTGTAGGTGTGTGGTCTTATCTCTCAGTTCTCTATTCTGTTCCATTGGTCTATGTATCTGTTTTTGTACAAGTACCATGCTCTTTTGGTTACTGTAGCCTTATTAGTATGGTTTGAAGTTGGGTAGCATGATGCCTCCAGCTTTGTTCCTTCTGCTTAGGATTGTCTTGGCTATTCGGGCTCTTTTTGGATTCCATGTGAATTTTAAAATAGTTTTTTTCTAATTCTGTGAAGAATATCAGTGGTAATTTAATGAGAATACCATTGAATCTATAAATTTGGGCAGTATGGTCATTTTCATGATATTGATTCTTCCTATCCATGAGCATGGAATGTATTTTCATTTGTTTGTGTCCTTTCTGATTTCCCTGAGCAGTGGTTTGTAGTTCTCCTTGAAGAGGTCCTTCACTTCCCTTGTTAGCTGTATTCCTACGTATTTTATTCTCTTTGTAGGAATTGTGCATGGAAATTCATTCATTATTTGGCCCTCTGCTTGCCTATTGTTTGTGTATAGGAATCCTTATGATTTTTGCACATTGATTTTGTATCCTAAGACATTGCTGAAGTTGCTTATGAGCTTAAGAAGCTTTTGGGCTAAGACAATGGGGTTTTCTAGATATAGGATCATATAATCTTCAAACAAAGATAATTCAACTTCCTCTCTTTCTTTTTTTTTTTTTTTTTTTTTTTTTGAGACAGAGTCTCACTCTGTTACCCAGGCTTCGACTTCCTCTCTTTCTATTTGAATGCTCTTTATTGCTTTCTCTTGCCTGATTGCCCTGGCCAGAACTTCCAATACTATGTTGAATAGGATTGATGAGAGGGCATCCTTGTCTTGTGCCAGTTTTCAAGGGAAATGTTTCTAGCTTTTGCCCATTCAGTATGATATTGGCTGTCGATTTGTCATATATGGCTGTTATTATTTTGAGGTATGCTCCTTCAATACCTAGTTTATTTAGAGTTTTTAACATGAAAAGATGTTGAATTTTATCAAAGGCCTTTTCTGTGTCTATTGAGATAATCATGTGGTTTTTGTTCTGTTTATATGATGAAATACATTTATTGATTTGCATATGTTGAACCAATCTTGTATCTCAGGGAAGAAGCCACCTTGATCATGGTGGATAAGCTCTTTGATGTGCTGCTGGATTCAGTTTGCCAGTATTTTACTGAGGATTTTTGCATCGATGTTCATTGGGGATATTGGCCTGAAGTTTTGGTTTTTTGTTGTATGTCTGCTATAAGGTTGTGGTATCAAGATGATGCTGGCCTCATAAAATGAGTTAGGGAGGAGTCCTTCCTTTTCAATTGTTTGGAATAGTCTCAGTAGAAATGGTACCAGCTCTTCTTTGTACCTCTGGTAGAATTCAGCTGTGAATCTGTCTGGTCCTGGGCTTTTTTTGGTTGGTAGACAATTTATTACTGCTTCAATTTGAGAATTCTTTATTGGTCTATTCAGGGATTCAGTTTCTCCCTGGTTCAGTCTTGGGGGTGGTGTGTGTGTCCAGAAATGTATCCATTTCTTCTAGATTTTCCAGTTTATGTGCATAAAAGTGTTTATAGTATTCTCTAATGTTTGTTTGCATTTCTGTGGGATCAGTGGCGATATCCCCCTTATCATTTCTGATTGTGTCTATTTGATTCTTCTCTCTTTTCTTCTTTGTTAGTCTAGCTAGTGGTCTATTAATTTTTAAAAAAGAAAGCTCCTGGATTTGTTGAATTTTTGAAGGGTTTTTCGTGTCTCTATCTCCTTCAGTTCTGCTCTGATCTTGGTTATTTCTTGTCTTCTGCTAGCCTTGGGGTTTGTTTGCTCTTGGTTCTCTAGTTCTTTTAGTAGTAATGTTAGGTTGTTGATTTGAGATCTTTCTAGCTTTTTCACATGGGCATTTAGTGCTATAAATTACCTTCTTAACACTGCTTTAGCTGGGTCCCAGAGATCCTGGAATGTTGTCTTTTTGTTCTCACTAGTTTCAAAGAACTTCTTGATTTCTGCGTTAATTTCATTATTTACCCAAGAGCCATTTAGGAGCAGGTTGTTCAATTTCCATATAGTTGTGTGACTTTGAGTGAGCTTCTTAATCTTGAGCTCTTATTTGATTGCACTGTGGTCTGAGAAACTATTTGTTATGATTTCAGTTGTTTTGCATTTGCTGAGGAGTGTTTTACTTTCAATTGTCTGATCAATTTTAGGTAAGTGCTATGTGGTGATGAGAAGAATGTATAGTCTGTTGTTTTTGGGTGGAGAGTTCCATAGGTATCTATTAGGTCCACTTGATTCAGAATTGAGTTCAGGCCGTGAATATCTTTGTTAATTGTCCATCTTGATGATCTGTCTAATATTGTCAGTGGGGTGTTAAAGTCTCCCACTATTATTTGGTGGGAGTCTAAGTCTCTTAGTAGGTCTCTAAAAACTTGTTTTATGGATCTGGGTATTTCTGTATTGGGTGTATATGTATTTAGGATAGTTAGCTCTTCTTGTTCAATTGAACACTTTACCATTATATAATGCCCTTCTTTGTCTTCTTTGATTTTAGCTGGTTTAAAGTCTGTTTTGTCAGAAACTAGGATTGCAACCCCTCCTTTTTTCTGCTTTCCATTTGCTTGGTAAATTTTCCTCCATCCCTTTATTTTGAGCCTCCGTGTGTCTTTGAACGTGAGGTGAGTCTCTTGAAGACAGCATACCAATGGGGCTTAAGTCTTTATCCATCTTGCCAATCTGTGTCTTTTAATTGGGGCATTTAACCCATTTACATTTAAGGTTAATATTGTTATGTGTGAATTTGATCCCGTCATCATGATGCTAGCCAGTTATTTTGCAGACTTGTTTATGTGGTTGCTTCATAGTGTCACTGGTCTGTGTACTTTAGTGTATTTTTGTAATGGATAATATAGTTTTTCCTTTCCATATTTAGTGCTTCTTTCAGGAGCTCTTGCAAGGCAGACCTTGTGGTGATGAATTTCCTCAGTGTTTGTTTGTCTGAAAAGGATCTTATTTCTCCTTTGCTTATGAAGCTTAATTTGGCTGGTAATGAAATTCTGGGTTGGAAATTCTTTTCTTTAAGAATGTTGAATATTGGCCTCCAATCTCTTCTGGCTTCTAGGGTTTCTGCTGAGAGGTCTGCTGTTAGTTTGATAGGCTTCCCTTTGTAGGTGACCTGGCCTTTCTCTCTGGTTGCCCTTAACATTTTTTCCTTCATTTGACCTCACAGAATCTGATGATTATGTGTCTTGGGGTTGATCTTCTCATGGAGGATGTTACTAGGATTCTCTGAATTTCCTGAATTTGAATATTGGTCTGTCTTGCTAGGTTGTGGAAGTTCTCCCGGATGATATCCTGAAGTATGTTTTCCTACTTGGTTTCATTTTTCCCTTCCCTTTCAGGAACACCAGTCAGTTGTAGGTTCAGTCTTTTTACATAATCCCATATTTCTCAGAGGTTTTACTCATTCTATTGCATTATTTTTTCTCTATTCTTGTCTGTCTGTCTGTCTGATTTCAGAAAGATAATCTTCTAGCTCTAAGATTTTTTTCTTTTGCATGGTCTATTCTGCTATTTATACTTGTGATTGCATTGTGAATTTCTTGTGTTGTGTTTTTCAGCTCTATCAGATCAGTTATGCCCCTCTCTAAATTGGCTATTCTGTTACCAACTCCTGTATAGTTTAATCATGATGCTTAGCTTCTTTGCATTGGATTAGAACATGCTCCTTTAGCTCAGTGAAGTTCATTATTGCTTTCTGAAGCCTACTTCTGTGAATTCAGCCATCTCAGCCTCAACCCAGTTCTGTGCCCTTGCTGGAAAGGTGTTGCAGTCATTTGGAAGAGAAGAGGCACTCTGGCTTTTTGAGTTTTTAGCATTTTTGTATTGATTCTTTCTCATCTTTGTGGGCTTACCTACCTTCGATTTTTGAGATTGCTGACTTTTGAATGGGGTTTTTGCAGGATCTTTTTGTTGATGTTGTTGTTGTTGCTCTCTCTCTTTTTTTTTAATTGGTCAGCCCACTCTTCTGTAGGGCTGCTGTGGTTTACTGGGGGTTCACTCCATATCCTAGTTACCTCTATCCCTCCCACACCTGGAGGTATCACCAGTGAAGGCTGTGAAACAGCAAAGATGGCAGGCCGCTCCTTCCTCTGGGAGCTCCATCTCAGGAGAGCATTAACTTGATCCTGGCCTGAACGCTCCTGTAGGAGGAGTCTAGAGACCCCTGTTGGGAAGTCTCACCCAATCAGGAGGAATGGGATCAGAGACCCACTTAAAGTAGCAATCTTGCTGCCCCTTGGCAGGGCAGGTGCGCTGCACTGTGGGGGGAGCCCCCTTGTCCAGACTGCCTAGACTCTCTAGAGCCAGAGGCTAGAAAGACTAAGTCAGCTGAAACACAGAGCCTGTGGCTGGCCCTTCCCCTGGGGCTCTGTCACAGGAAGAGATCAGAGTTCTGGTCTGGACCGCCTGGACTTCCCGGAGCCAGCATGCTAGAATGGCCCACTCAAACCACAGAGATGGCAGCCGCCCCTCCCCTGGGGAACTCAGTCTGTCTCAGGCAGTCTCCAGCCTACTGCCACTGGCCAGCTGGAATTCCAAGCCAGTGTGTCCTAAATTGTGAGGTGCCATTGGAGTGGGGCCATCAGAACAACTCTGCTTGGCTCCCTGGATTCAGCCCCCTTCCTAGGGGAATGCACGAATGGAACTCCCACCTCACCAGAATCCCCAGGGCCAGAGTACACAAAACTCCTGGGTCTCTGTGCATGCGTGAGTGTCCACTTCCCCAAGACTCCACACAGCTCTTTGCTTCGGACCTAAGTCTCTGGTGGCTCAGGTATCTCCTGATCCACAGGTTGCAAAGATACATGGGAAAAAAGTGGTTTCCTGGGCAGGGCCTCACAGTCACTCACTACTTCCCTTGGCTGGGGGTGGGGTCTCCCTGGCTTTGTGCTGCTTCAGGTGGGTTGTCGCCTCAACCTGCTTTTCCTTGCTCTCCATGGGTCAAGCTGTCTGCCTAGAACAAGAAAGAACTTGGATGCCTCAGTTGAAAGTACAGAATTCACTTGCCATTTTCACTCCTCTCGGTGAGAGCTGCAGACTGAAGCTTCTAATTGGCCATCTTGGTCCGCCTCCCGCGTGATTATTTTTGTTTCATTTTCATTCTTTTTTGTTTGTTTGTTTGTTTTAAGAGATGAGGTCTCCCTATGTGGCTCAGGCTAGGCTTGAACTCCTGGGCTCAAGTGATCCTCCTGCCTTACCATCCAGACTAGCTAGGACTACAGGTATGCATCACCATGCCCGCCCAGCCTCTCCTTCATTCTTGAAGGATATTTTCACTGGAATTTCTTGGAATTCACAAAATATCTTAGAATTGAAAAAATTTTAAGATGATAAATATTAACTTTTAGTCATTTAACTTAATTCCATTGTCATTTTTTATTCCATTTCACTGAAAAGTGAGATGCCAGTCTAATTATTGCTCTTTTGAAGTAATTTTTTTTCCTATGGTGATTTCCAAGATTTTCCTGTTTTCCTTTGGTTTTTAACAGTTTTACATGCTTTGCCTAAGCATAGTTTTCTTTTGGTTAATGTTGCTTTGAATATGTATAGACTTTTCTCAATCTGTGATTGATGTCTTTCATTAGTTTTGGAAATTTCTTGGCTATTATCTCTTCAAATATTATTATTATTGTTATCATTAGGGACAGAGTCTCACACTGTTGTGAGAGTGCTGGAGTGCAGTGGTATGATCAGAATTCACTGCAGCCTCCAACTCCTGGGCTCAAGTAATCCTCCTGCCTCAGCCTCCCAAGTAGCTAGGACTACAGGCACACAACCACACCCACCTAATTTTTTTCTTTCTTCTTATTTATTTATTTATTTTATTTTTTTTGGAGAGACAGGGTCTTTCTTTGTTGCCCTGGCTGGTCTCTCACTCCTGGTCTCAAGCAATCCTCCCCATTTGGCCTCTCAAAATGTTGGGATTAAAGGCATGAGCCACTATGTGCAGCCCAAGTATTATTTTGACCTCATTATGGGTCTTCTTTCCTTCTGGGACTTCAACTGAATACTCTCACCATACCCTCTTTTTCTCTCACTCTTTCTTCTGGATTTTCTGTCCTTTCTGTTTCATATTCATCATGCTAGATATGCATATACATGAATCATTTTTTCTCGTCTGTCTTTCAATTCGCTAATTCTCTCTTTAGCTCTCAGTCTAAATTCCTGTCAAATTCACCCATTGAATTATAAAATATAGTCATTGTCTTTTTCAGTTCTAGAACTGCCATTTGGTTCTTTTTTTTTTTTCAGTTTCTAATCCTCTGTCAAAAATCTCTATCTTTTATTGAATATAGTAAATTTGGTTATTTTACAGTTAATATTTGATATCACCATGATTTTATATTGGTGGACTGTTGATTTTGCCGGCCTGCTGTTTCTGGTGATTTTCTATCATGCTATTGTTTCTCTTTATATTCTAAAAATGTTTCATTGAGTGCTGGAGATTGTATTTGGAAACTATTTTGTAGATAATTTGATGTTTGCTTCTGCCAGCTGCCTGGGAGTAATAACAATCTGGAATCATTTTAGTGTAGTTTCAGGAATTGATACAATTCAAATATGAACAGTGGTCCTTGAAAGGATCTTTCTACTTGTAGTTTACCCTTTTTCTAGGATTCAGCCCACAAGGTTGCGACTCAAAACAAGAGAAGTTCACCGAAGTTCCCCCTCAATCTTGGCAGCACCTGGACCCCAATCCTTATTTCATCTGCCTCTGGTACTGTTAAGAGACCTTCTCAGCCTCTCGGCAGCCTCCATCTAAAATTGAAAAATGCTTCCAAGGAAAAAGCAGCCTCAAAGTCAAGAGAAAAAGGAGGTTCCTCTTCCTAGCCTCCCCTTTTCCTCCTAAAACATGGGCTAGCAACTTTTCACTGTCTCACTTTCTCTTGCTTGTATTCAAGCAGATACCTTTTATTTTGGCTACCTTATAGTCGGCAGAATGAGAGGTCTGAATAACCTAGTCTATCATTACCAGAAGCCTTAATTTAGTTTTTTAAATATTTATTTATTTATTTATTTACATGTAAATCACGGTAATATATATAAAAAACATAAAATTTACCATTTTAAGTGTACAGTACAGTGGCATTAAATACTCACATTGTTGTGCAACCATTACCACCATTCATCTCCAGAACTTCTTTATCTTTCCAAACTGAAATTCCATACTCGATTAAACAATAACTCCTCATTCCCCACTTCCCCTGGCCCTTGGCAATCACCATTCTATTTTCTGTCTCTATAAATTGGACTGCTCTAGGTACCTCATATAAGTGGACTCATACTGTATTTATCTTTTTTTGACTGGCTTATTTCACTTAGCATAATGTCTTCAAGCTTCATCCATGTTACAGTATGTGTCAGAATTTCCTTCTTTTTTAAGTTTAGATCATGTTTTATTGTATGTACAAACCACATTTTGCTTATCCATTCATCTGTTGATGGACAACTGGGTTGCTTCCACCTCTTGGCTATTATGAATAATATTGCTATGAATATAGATGTCCAAATATAGTCATACATCCCATAATAGCATTTTAGTCAACAACAAACTATATGTAAAACAGTGGTTCCATAAGATAATAATGGAGCTGATAAATTCCTATCACCAAGTGACATCATAGCATAATAATGTTGTAGCACAATGACTCTATTTTTTTTGAGATGAAGCCTTGCTCTGTCACCAGGCTGGAGTGCGGTGGCGCGATCTCAGCTCACTGCAACTTCCGCCTCCCAGGTTCAAGCGATTCTCCTGCCTCAGCTTCCTGAGTAGCTGGGACAACAGGCGCATGCCACCACGCCAGGCTAATTTTTTGTATTTTAGTAGAGACAGGGTTTCCCCATGTTGGCCAGGATGGTCTCGATCTCCTGACCTTGTGATCCAGCCACCTTGGCCTCCCGAAGTGCTGGGATTACAGGCGTGAGCCACTGAGCCCGGCCAACATTATTTTAAAAATAAATTTAGTGTAGTCTAAATGTACAGTGTTTCTAAAGTCTACAGTTGAGTACAGTAATGTCCTAGGCTTTCACATCCTCACCACTTATTTGCTGACTCACTCAGAGGAACTTCCAGTCCCCAAGTTCCATTCATGGTAAGTGCCCTATGTAGGTATACCATTTTTTATCTTCTGAATTATGTTTTTACTGTCTCTTTTCTATATTTAGATATGTTTAGATATCTGGGTACTTACCATTGTGTTACAATTGCCTACAGTATTCAGTAAGGAAACATGCTGTATATAGTACAGGTTTGTAGCCTAGGTATATAGTAGGCTCTATTATCTAGGTTTGTGTAAGTATACTCTATGATGTTCACACAATGATAAACTGCCTAACAATGCATTTCTGAGAACATATTCCTGTCATTAAATAACACATGATTGTAACTGAGTCCTTGCTTTCATTTCTTTTGGGTATATATCCAGACAGGGGATTGTTGAACCATATAGTAATTCTATGTTTCATATTTTGGGAAACCACACACTATTTTCCATAGTAGCTGCAACATTTTACATTCCCACCAACAATGCACAAGGATTCTAATTTCTCTTCACCAACACTTATTTTCTGGTTTTTTTTTTTTTTTTTTTTTTGGTAATAGCCACCATAATGGGTGTGATCAATTGAGTTTTAGTTTCAGTTATTATATTTTTTCATTTCTAGAGTTCTATTCCATTTTTTTCAAACATCTGTTTTATTTATTTAACACTGCTAAAGATAGTTATTTTATATCTGGGTGTGATATTTCTCTATCTGAAGTTTTGCACATCTGTTTCTATTGTCTGTTACTGATTATTTCACTGATGGTGCCTTTTTAGTCTGTGTTTAGATGATTTAAAATTATGAGTTGATCATTTTATTTAGGCATTTATTCATGGGAATTTTTCCCACGTACCCTTGCTTGAAGGTACATTCTTCTAAATAAGATTTGTGTTTGCTTTTGCCAGCAACTAGGAGGCACTGCCAATATGAGACTTCTTTAAATTTAATCCTGGCTTGAGATTGTTCAGATCACTACCAATATGAACTTGTACCGAAATTTATGTGGGGTCCAGACTGAGATGATGAATTCTCAATAAAGACTGCTATTACCCCTCCAACAAGCATCAAGTTCAAGACGAGGAGGTTTCTCCATTGTTTCCATTTGCATATCAGTTTTTATTTCTTTTTCATCCCATCATGAAATGTTGCCCTTGGGGTCCCAGCTAAATGCAGAAGTGGGTATCTCCTTATAGGAGTAAATCTTACAGATTTACTAATTTTAGTAGATGCTCAGCTTTATTTCCTTGCCTGGACCTAATTAATTTGAGAGATATTTTATATTCCCAGTGGAAAAAAGGACTACAGCAAAGGTATACATTCTTCTTCAGTTAGTGTGTAGTCTTAAAGTAATTCCATTCAACATTCCAGAGTTCTGTGTATGGCAGGGAAGAATGTGGTAAAATGATTCTCAGAATAAATCAGTATGAAAAATAAGAATTTTAGAAAGAAGAATGGGAAGACAGAAGAATTTACCTACTTGACAGCAAGCTACATCACTAAGTTGTCCAAAGAAAAATGATACAATAATTAACAATAATTCCATGGAAGAGCCTAAATAGAGTAAACCCTAAAATATAACCTTAATGTATGATAAATGACTCATCACAAGTCATTAAGAAATTGATTCTTCAGCAAATGGTGTTTGTAAAATATAAAACTGAGATTTATATTCTTACTTCATTGCATACACTGGAGTAAATTTGCCATAAATTAAACAACTGAAAATACAAGAACCTGTAAAATTTATTTTATATGAATGAATGAATAATCTCTAGTCAGAAAAAACTTTCTAAGGATGGAAGCAATTAGAGAAATAACAAAAGGAAAGATAACTAGATACAAATGAAAAGTCTGTACAGCAAAAGACATAACAACTTAAAGCTAACAACAACTGTAGGGAAAATTCTTTTTTAATTTTAATTTTAATTTTTTATTTCAGTAGGTTTTTGGGGAACAGGTGGTGTTTGGTTACACTGATAAATTCTTTAGCAGTAAATTTAGTGATTTTGGTGCACCTATCACATGTGCAGTGCACACTGTACCAAATGTGTTGTCTTTTATCCCTCATCCCCTCCCAACCTTTTCCCTGAGTCCCCAAAGTTCACTGTATCGTTGTTATGCCTTTGCGTCCTCATAGCTTAGCTCCCTCTTATGAATGAGAATATACGATGTTTGGTTTTCCATTCCTGAGTTACTTCACTTAGAATAATGGTCTCAAATTCCATCCAAGTGACTGTGAATGCCATTGTTTTGTTCTTTTTATGGCTGAGTAGTATTCCATATATATATTTTCTTTATCTACTCATTGATTGATGGGCATTTGGGCTACTTTCATATTTTTGCAATTGTGAATTGTGCTTTCATAAACATGTGTGCAAATATCTTTTTCGTATAACAACTTCTTTTCCTCTGGATAGATACCCAGAAGTAACATTGCTGGATCAAATGGCAGATTTACTTTTAGTTCTTTAAGGAATCACCACACTGTTTCCCATAGTGGTTGCACTAGTTTACATTTTCACCAGCAGTGTAAAAATATTTATTTTCACCACATCCACGCCAACATTTATTATTTTTTGATTTTTTGATTATAGTCATATTTGCAGAAGTAAGGTGGTATCACATTGTGATTTTGATTTACATTTCCCAGACAATCAGTGGTATCAAGCATTTTTTCATATGTTTGTTGGCCATTTGTATACCTTCTTTTGAGAATTGTCTATTCATGTCCTTAGCCCAGTTTTTGCTGGAATTGTTTGTTTTTTTCTTGCTGATTTGTTTGAGTTCTTCATAGATTCTGGATATTAGTCCTTTGTCAGATGCATATTTGTGAAGATTTTCACCACTGTGGGTTGTCTGTTTACTCTGCTGATTATTTCTTTTGCTGTGCAGAAGCATTTTAGTTTAATTAAGTCCCATCTATTTATTTTTGTTTTTGTTGCATTTGCTTTTGGGTTCTTGGCCATGAAGTCTTTGCTTAAGCCAATGTCTAGAAGGTTTTTTTATGTTATCTTCTAGGATTTTTATAGCTTCAGGCTTTACATTAAAGTCTTTGATCCACCTTTAGTTGATTTTTTATAAGATGAGAGATGAAGATACAGTTTCATTCTTCCACATGCGGCTTGCCAATTATCCCAGCACCGTTTGTTGAATAGGGTGTCCTTTCCCCACTTTACGTTTTTTTTTTTGCTTTGTTGAAAATCAGTTGGCTGTAAGTATTTAGCTTTATTTCTGGGTTCTCTATTCTGTTCCATTGGTCTATGTGCTTATTTTTATACCAGTACCATGATGTTTTGGTGACTATAGCTTTATAGTATAGTTTGAAGTCAGGTAATGTGATGCCTCCAGATTTGTTCTTTTTGCTTTGTCATGCTTTGGGTATGCGGGCTATTTTTTGGTTGCATATGGATTTTAAGATTGTTTTTTCTAGTTCTGTGAAGAGTGATGGTGGTATTTTGATGGGAATTGCATTGAATTTGTAGATTGCTTTTGGCAGTATAGTCATTTTCACAATATTGATTCTACCCTCTCATGAGTGGGGGATGTGTTTCCATTTGTTTGTGTCATCTATGATTTCTTTCAGCAGTATTTTGTCATTTTCCTTGTAGAGGTCTTTCACCACCTTGGTTAGATATATTCCTAAGTATTTTATTTTATTCAAAGCTATTGTAAAGGATGTTGAGTTTTTTATTTGATTCTCAGCTTGGTCGCTGTTGACATATAGCAGTGCTATTGATTTGTGTACATTGATTTTTGTATCCTGAAACTTTACTGAATTAATTTATCAGATCTAGGAGCTTTTGGGATGAATCTTTAGGGTTTTCTAGGTATATGATCATATCATTGGCAAACAGCAAGAGTTTGACTTCCTCTTTACCAATTTGGATGCTCTTTATTTCTTTCTCTTGTCTGATTGCTCTGGCTAAGACTTCCAGTACTATGTTGAATAGAAGTAGTGAAAGTGGGCATCCTTGTCTTGCTCCAGTTCTCAGGGGGAATGTGTTCAGCTCTTCCCCATTCAGTGTAATGTTGGCTGTGGGATTGTCATAGATGGCTTTTATTACCTTAAAGTATTTCCCTTCTATGCTGATTTTACTGAGGGTTTTAATCTTATAGCAATGCTGGATTTTGTCAAATGCTTTTTCTGTGTCTGTTGAGATGATCATATGATTTTCTTTTAATTCTATTTATGTGTTGTATCACGTAAACAGAATTGCATATGTTAAACCACCCCTGCATCCCTGGTATGAAACCCACTTGATTATTATGGATTATCTTTTTTATATGCTGTTGAGTACAGTTAGCTAGTATTTTGTTAGGGATTTTTGCACCTACGTTCATCAGAGATATTGGTCTGTAGTTTTCTTTTTTTGTTATATCCTTTCCTGGTTTTGGTATTATGGTGATACTGGCTTCATAGAATGATTTAAAGAAGATGCCCTCTTTATCTTGTAGAATAGTGTCAGTAGGGTTGCTACCAATTCTTCTATGAATGTCTGATAGAATTCAGCTGTGAATCTGTCTTGTCCTAGACTTTTCTGTTGACAATTTTTTAAATTGCTATTTCAATTTTGCTGCTTGCTGTTGGTCTGTTCAGAGTATCTATTTCTTCCTGGTTTAATCTAGGAGGGTTGTATGCTTCCAGGAATTTATCCATCTTCTCTATGTTTTCTAGTTTGTGTGTGTAAAGGTGTTCATAGCAGCCTTGAATGATCTTTTGTATTTCTGTGGTATCAGTTGTAATACCTCCTGTTTCATTTCTAATTGAGCTTATTTGGATCTCCCCTCTTCTTTTCTTGGTTAATCCTGCTAATGGTCTATCAATTTTGTTTATCTTTTCAAAGAACCAGCTTTTTGCTTACTTTATCTTTTGTATTGTTTTTCTTTGTTGTTTTAATTTCATTTAGTTCTGCTCTAATCTTTGTTGTTTCTTTTCTTCTGTTGGGTTTTGGTTTGGTTTGTTGTTTCTCTAGTTCCTTGAGGTGTAACCTTAGATTGTCTATTTGTGCTCCTTCAGGCTTTTCGATGTACACACTCAATGCTTTCCTCTTAGCACCGCTTTTGCTGTATCATAGAGGTTTTGATAGGTTGTGTCACTATTATCATTCAGTTCAAAGAATTTTTTAAATTTCTATCTTGATTTCATTGTTGACCCAATGATCATTCAGGAGCAGGTTATTTAATTTCCACATATTTGCATGGTTTTAAGGGTTCCTTTTGGAGTTGATTTCCAATTTTATTCTACTGTGGTCGGAGGACTTGATGTAATTTTGATCTACTTAAATTTATTGAGACTTGTTTTATGGTCTTTCTTGGAGAATGTTCCATGTGATGCTGAATAGACTGTATATTCTGCAGTTGTTGGGTAGAATGTTCTGTAAGTATCTGTTAAGTCAATATGTTCTAGGGTATAGTTTAAGCTCATTGTTTCTTTGTTGACTTTCCATCTTAATGGGCTGTCTAGTGCTATCAGTGGAGTACTGAAGTCCCCCACTATTACTGTGTTGCTGTCAATCTCATTTCTTAGGTCTAGCAGTAATTATTTTATAAATTTGGGAGCACCAGTGTTAGGTGCATATATATTTAGATTGTGATACTTTCCTGTTGGACTAGTCCTTTTATCATTATATAAGGTCCTTCTTTGTCTTTTTAAACTGTTGTTTATTTAAAGTCGGTTTTGTATGATATTAAAATATTTACTTCTGATTGCTTTTGGTGTCCATTGGCATGGAATATCTTTTTCCATCCCTCTACCTTAAGTTTATGTAAGTCCTTATGTGTTAGGTGAGTCCCCTGAAGACAGCAGAAACTTGGTTGGTGAATTCTTATCCATTCTGACATTCTGTGTCTGTTAAGTGGAGCATTTAGTCCATTTACATTCAATGTTAGTGTTGAGATGTGAAGTGCTATTCTATTTATTGTGCTATTTGTTGCCTGAAGATCTTGTTTTTTTCATTGTGTTAATGTTATAGAGGTCCTGTGATATTTATGCTTTAAAGAGGCTCTATTTTGATGTATTTCGAGGATTTGTTTCAAGATTTAGAGCTCCTTTTAGCAGTTCTTATAGTGTTGACTTGGTGGTGGAGAATTCTCTCAGCGTTTGTTTGTCTGGAAAAGTCTGTTTGTTAGTTTGGTCGTTTAACATAATCCCAAACTTATTGGGGGCTTTGTTCATTTTTTAAAATTATTTTTTCTGTTTGTCAGATTGGGTTAATTCAAAAGTCTTATCTTGGAGCTCTGAAATTCTTTCTTCTACTTGTTCAATTATATTGCTGAGAGTTTCCAGTGTATTTTGCATTTGTTTAAGTGTGTTTTTCATTTCCAGAAGTTGTAATTGTTCTTTATTTATGCTATCTATTTCTGTGGAGATTTTTCTGTCCTTATCATGTATCATTTTTTTAAATTTAAGTTGGTATTCACTTTCTCTGGTGCCTCCTTTAGTAGCTTAATAATTGACCTTTTGAATTCTTTTTGTGGCAATTCAGAAATTTCTTATTTGTTTGGATCCATTGCTAGTGAGTTAGTGTAATCTTTTGGGGGCGTTAAAGAATCTTGTTTTCTCATATTACCAGAATTGTTTTTCTGGTTCCTTCTCTTTTGGGTAGACTATGACAGAGGGAAGATCTAGGGCTCAAGGGCTGTTGTTCAGATTCTACTATCCCATAGGGTGTTCCCTTGATGTGTTCTCCCTGCTTCCCCTAGGGATGGGGCTTCCACTTCAGGAAAAATTCTAAACAATGTGAAAAAAGGGAGCAAACACTCTCTCTATCCTTATACCATATGATATTGCTTCATTACATCAAAATATTTTAGTTTATCCTTTGTAACCAAACTCTTTTATACAGCCCTCAAAATGCTGCCTCCAAGTATCAGAAGCATGTCAGGTAACCTGGACAAGGATGAGGACATAATGCTTTTTGTTATTTCCTGCAGATCCAAGTTTGATCTGTTATAATTTTCCTGCAGGCTGCAGAACATCCTTTAGCATTTCTTATAGTGCAAGGCTGCTGGCAACAAATTTCTCAGTTCTCTTTTATTTGAAAATAACTTTATTTCCCTCTTAAGATATTTTTCTGTATATAGAATTCTGGGTTGATACTTTGGAGTTTTTTTTTTATTGCCATCCCATTGTGTTCTGGCCTCCATTGCTTCTGATGAGAATTCACAAATCATTCTTAATGGTTTTTCCCCCAGTTTATGATGTGTCTTTTTTTTGCCCTGTGTCTGCTTTCAAAAATATCTTTTTGGTGTTCTTCAGTTTGACTATGGCCCCTTAGATATCTTCTCTTTCTATTGGTCCTGCTTCTGATTTGCTAAGCTTCTCGGATTTATAAGTAGATTTTTAAAATCAAATTCAAAAAAATTTTGCCATTGTTTCTTCCTTATTTGTTGTGTGTGATTTTCAGATCGAAATAAATATATCCTTCTACAGCATAGAGTCTTGAAGTATCTGAGCTTTACAATGCCTCCCTCTTACGGGCTAGAAGGTCATTTGGCCAACTCATTTAAGCATTCAGTACTTTAGTTTTCTCTTCTACAGGAGAGGAAATTAAAATCCTCATGGGATTCCATTGACAGGTCAATGCAATGTTGTGTATAAAGGACATAGAAAGTATAAGTAAATGGTGGGCATTATTTTGTTTAAAGCATTTCTCCAAGAAGCCTTGCTCAAAATGCACATATAATGAATTATCCTCTGTTAACATCCTAAGACTCATTTGTTGAATTTCCCGACAAATGGCAAAGCCCCAAATAAATGTATATATTCTTTTGTTGGGTGTGGAGGAGTGAAGCACAGGAAAAGTTCCCAGCATGGGCCCCAGGGTTCTGGTAGAGAAGGCAAAGGCAAGTGAACACAGATATTCCAATCAGTATTGATCAACAGCCTGCCTCTCCTGACCTGTGGATATGAGAACCAGTTTATTAATCCTTATGATCAAATGTGTATTACATACAAGATAATGGGCAAAATTAGCAATTTCCATATTGCAATATATTTGGCTGCAGCAAAACAAAAAGGTAGAACAGATGTACTGTCAGAATTAAAGTCTTCCAGTTCTCTCCACTCAATTGTCATTGGTTTAATCTGACAAATGTTTGCGTTAGGCCTCGGTTCTTTGTCTATGCATAAATTCTAGCACCAGAAAAACAACAATGTCATAACTGCAAGAGATAAACAAGGTTTCTAAATTACCTGTTTCATTCCTTTATGTTGCTTGGAATGCTAATGTCAGTCTGATAAAGGCTGGCTCATTGTGAGGAAACATGTGTCTCTGTTGGTGCAGGTTGCTCCTGAGTTGTTCCCTGAGTGATTACTGTGACAGGCAGATAGAAATCAATGCTGGAAATGAGTGGGACAGAAAGATGTGTACTGGGAGGACAGATGTGCAGATTAGGGGTAGAGTTGACATATACTAGAAGGCAGGAGATAAGGATACATGTTAAGTGAGAGAATGAGAGCCCAGCCATAACATGAGTCTGCACGTTCATATGGATGAATGAGCCCAAGAAGATGTTGGAATGTTGCCCATGGTATCTGCCAACATCTATTGGCATATATTGTTCCTTTTAATTGACAATGTGTCTCATGAATGGAAAGAGATTTTTGGTATGAACAGAAGGTCAGGAACCACTGCAAGCACACCTAGGCTACTATAGAGTCAATTAAGTTCTTTCTTCTTCAAGTTTTAAAATTCTACTCAGAATCAATCAGCAAATCAGCAGTTACATTGACTATTACATCAATGCTTTATGTACAGATCTTTAAAAACCTCAAGGGTTCTCACATGAGAACAGAAATAAGCAAATCAAAACCTTCAAAGAAAGAACGTACCAACCAGGGGGAGAAATTTGTATTTTTGGTCCTTACGATAGCCGATTAAAATTTTACTCAGCCAACCTGATGGATGGTCGATGATGAGATGATACACTGTTCAGGACAGTTAACAAATAACTCTCTCTGATCAAAACTAAAGCAGAAAGTCTAGTTAAGTGTAAAATAACCTCAGCTGGGCATGTCTGTAATCCCAGCACTTTGGGAGGATGAGGCATGCAGATCACTTAGGGTCAGGAGTTTGAGACCAGACTGGCCAACATGATGAAACCCCATCTCTACTGAAAATACAAAAATTAGCCAGGCGTGGTTGCACGTGCCTGTAATCCCAGCTACTCAGCAGGCTGAGTAGGAGAATCACTTGAACCCCGGGGGGTGGAGGTTGCAGTGAGCTGAGACGGTGCCACTGTGCTCCAGCCTGGGGTGACAGGGCGAGACTCCGTCTCAAAAAAAAAAAAAAAAGAGAAAAAAGAAAAAAAAGAATAAAATAGTCTCTTAAAACAGGCACAGCAATGATCCCAGCTCTGTGCCATGCTGAATGATCGAGCCTGATCTAGTGAGAACCGCTGCAGAACATAGGGATAGTCTACCTGATGCAGAAACTGGAACCCTTGAGAAGAAACTCCACCTTAGGGGAAAAAGTCTAAGTCCACAGTCTGGTTCAAGGCTAGCACCAAGGGGGAAGGGCGTTCCTGGTGATAGCCCGGTTGCTCATATTGTGTCCTTCAGCCTAGTTCCCAGGACTCATGGGGAGAGGAGACTAAGAAAATGAGAGAGAGTGAAGCATGACAAGTCTATCCAGGCGGTGAGAGCACAGGCAGCACTGATGCGTGGTGTTGTGTGGCTGTGCGACACAACTGGCCACACTGGACATGAAGCTTACTTTCCCTACCTGGAGTAACACCAGAGCGTAGGGCAGACATAGCTGGAGAGATGACTGGGGTTGAACTGTGGATGTGGTACAGATCCTCTTGGGCCCTCGGGGAGTGTGTCGGGAGATGTTTGAATGAGTGAGGGTGTGGCATACATAGTGGATACCTGATAATTCCTTGTCTGCTCACATTTCCTTCCTTCGGAAGTTGATTCTTCCTCTATCCCTGGATGCTTATGGAGCTGCCAATCTCCCCCAGCACCGACAGCCCTCATAGTCCACAGAGATAGGTATGTGACCCAGGCTAACCAACAAGAGAATACCATTCTTACCGGAATCGTGAGAGATGCACAGACTTGGGCATAGGACCCTAGCAGAGCCAATCGGAGGCCTTTCGCGGGGCTGAAATGATGGCTGCAAGGGGTCTCCATCGATGATGCAATCTGTAAAGACCATTCTTCCTACCAATGGAGAGATCTGTCAGAAAATCATAAAGTCACCAGGGAAACTTTGAGATGGAGAGAATGAGACAGTTTTTGAGGACCCGGCTCCAGCCATATATACACGTGGCTCAAATCCTAAACATTTCAGTTACATAATGATGAAATTTCAAAATTTCTGAAATTCTTTTACACCTTGTTTAATCTTATGGATGACTTACAATTGAGCGACTCCTGACTAACATAGAGGAAGGATTATTTGTTTCTGTTTTTGACCATTTGAAACGGTGAGCAGCTGTGATCTGTGGAAACACATATCTCAGAGGAAGAAGGCAGAACAAATCACCCCTTCCTCAGTCTTACACCTAATATCTCTAATTGTTCTAGGGAAATTTTTAATATGTATATAAATATTTGTCTGAAAATTATTTTAAAAAGTGACGACGACCGGTGAATCCCACGTGTCCAGGAGTGCTTCCTTCAAGTATTCGTGTCTCCCTTCTCTGGAATGGAGCCTTATAGCAGGGGATAGGGGACCCTGATTTCCAACAGCCTGCAATGATCCCAGGGCATCCAGAAATGAGGGGAATGGGGCCAGGCGCAGTGGCTCATGCCTGTAATCCTAGCACTTTGGGAGGCCAATGTGGGCGGATCACAAGGTCAGGAGTTCGAGACCAGCCTGACCAACATGGTGAAACCCCATCTCTACTAAAAATACAAAAATTAGCCAGGCGTGGTGGTTAGCACCTATAATCCCAACTACTAAGGAGGCTGAGGCAGGAGAATCGCTTGAACCCTGGAGGCAGAGGTTGCAGTGAGCCAAGATCGTGCCACTGTACTCCAGCCTCGGTGACAAAGTGAGACTCCATCTCCAAAAAAAAAAAGAAAAAAGAAATGAGGGGAATAGGAGTTAATGAAATGGAAGCTGTCTGTCTTTTGGGGATAATGAGATTTCTGATCTGTATCCAGTTAGGGAGGAGTTGGGGAGAAGACAGTGTGGCTTTATCCTTACATCACTGTTTCATGTAGAACCTGTCATTTTCATCAGGCCATTCAGCATTCACACATCCATGCAATGTCTGAGTGCCTGCTCCAGGCTGACATTCTGCATGGCACACAATGGTGGGAAGATAGGACACTGCCTTTATGGAATTTATAGCCTAGATGGGAAAGATAGACAAGCAATTAATGATGAAATGTGATATGTGTTATGAATGAGACAGTATTAATGTATTTGATTAATGTAGTTGACTGTATTAATCAACTCTTAGTGACAAGTGAGAGAATTCAAATTCAAGCTAGCTTAAATAAAAAGAAGCTATTACTGACTGCATAATAGCCCTGGGTACAGATGTCTTCAGGTTTGGCTGGATCCAGCACACCAGTGGTGTAATCCTGTCTCCCTCTTCCCCCATCTTTATGTCTCTCTGACCTCTGCTTTCTTCTACATCTGCTTTATTCTCAGGCAGCCTTTCTTGCTGGCAAAGATAGCCCCTGGCAACTCCAGAAATTCATTATCCTAAGTATAATGAGATCCTGAGATCTCTTAAAAAAGAAATCCTCTCTCTCCCAGTCTCCATAGCAATCCTTCAATTATTCAGTTGGTCCATGCCCACCACTGGATCAATATTATGCCCAGAGATTAAAGGTTTTATTTGCAGCTGTCTGGTTTACAGGTGAACCCAAGGCTGCACTAAGAATCTAGGAGGTGTGTTCTTAAAGATTTTAGGGACATCCCCTAAAGATGTTATGCATACTTTATACCATGAGCTATGGGAACACATAACAGGGCAAATATCCTGCTGTAGGGCATCAGGAGAGACTTATTAGAGGAAGCTGATGTGAAGATTGAGTAATCATTCTTTTTTTTCCCTTTAGAAACAGAATCTCACTTGTTGCCCAGGCTGGAGTACAGTGTCACAATCATATTTCACTGCAGCCTCAAACTCCTGGGCTCAAGTGATCCTCTTGCCTCAGCCTCTGGAGTAGCTGGCACTACAGGCGCACTTTCCAGCATGCCTGGCTGAATTCTTATATCAATAGCTAATGTTTATTGAACCCTCGCTATGTGCCAGGCACTGTGCAAAGCACTTCACATATATTAACTCACTTAATCTTCACCACAACCTCTGAAATAAAAACCAGTATTTTGTCCCTTTTAGAGAAAATAAAAATGAGGCACAGAGAAGTTAAAGAACATATTCACAGCCCTATAGGTAGTAAATGAATAGGGTGTTGGGTAAGGTTAGTGGGAGGAAAGAAAGATCCAGGTGAGAAATAGCATGTGGACAGACCCAGAGGAATCACTGAGGAATCATAGCCTGGACTATGGGAGGACAAGGTGCTCTGCAAATTGGAGATGTCAGCAAGCCCATTTCCCCACTGTCTTGACTGTACTTTCAGAGTATTGTTTTCAGAGACTCATATGCACATGCAGTTTGCCAAGGATCTGGATGATAAGCTGCACTGAATTCCTGGCTCATTTCTAGAAACATGACCCAATGCTCTGATCAAAAAGTATACCTTGATTAAAACTGATCTTTTGAAAAAGACTGCTAGGTATGACCTATTATTCTCATGGTTTTAACAACATTGCAATAATTGTGATGTTGCTTGTTGCAGTTGGCTGACTCTATTTGGCAAGTGGGCTAATTTTAGAGAGATCAGCCAACCTAATTTATCTGCAACCTTTCCCTTGGTCCTGAATTCGTTGGTACTCCAGTCACTTGGGTTTTTTTGTTTGTTTTGTTTCTTCATTGTTGTCCTATTGGAGTGCTCTTCTGGGCATAGATCAAACACCAGTGGCTACACTTCTGGATGTCTTTCACTTAATAACAGGTCACCATCCCCACCGTGAGTGCTCTGGGACCCAAAGTCTGGAACCATCCTGTAGAGAAACACGGTATGTATGCACCACTCCTCAGCATAAGGACACAGTGTCAGAAGTGCTGTATTTCTATTTACAGAAGCATTTGGAGGGAAAGCATCTCTTAAAACCTGCACTGAGCTGGGTGTAGTGGCACATGTCTGTAGTTCCAGCTCCTCAGGAGGCAGAGGTGGGAAAATTGCTTGAGTTCAAGAGTCTGAGGCTTGTGGTCATCATTAGGGTCAAGCCATCTGAAATCTCATTCTGTAGTATGATTGGGAAAGATGGAAGAGAAGTTAACAATGTTTGAAAAGACCATATAGAGGCATTGTTGGATGCTGTTCAGGTACAGTAACAACCATTTGACTACCTTTAGCCACCATGCTGCTCTTTGAGTGAACTATGTCTTTGCTACATGAACAACTAAGATCTGCTTTAATCTTTACTTCCTTAAAGAGACCTCAACCAAAGGCTCACCAGAATGCAGGATTTATATCAAGCATATTTAACAGCCAATATGGCACAGGCATCAACCAATCAAAACAGGTGCTGAGCTATAAGCAATGGTTCAGTTGAAATTGTGCTCACCAACTGACTCTCAGCCCTGCTGGTTGGGATCAGGTAGTCTCTATTCATCCAAGAGACAGTATCCGATATCTACTGCAAGACAACCAGATAGTCCTCTGGGCAAGTGGCTCTCAGTGGAGGCTGATTTTGCCTTCCAGGGGACATTGGCAATGTCTGAAGACATTTTTGGTTGTGGTATCTGCTGGGTAGAGGCCAGGGATCCTGCTAACTATCCTACAAGTCTCAGAGCAACAACAACAAAAAATTATCTGTCCCAAATTTTCCTAGTAGTGAGGTTGGGAAACTCTCCTTTTGGTGATACCCTTAGCATGAGCAATAGCTTCCCATGCTGTGAATCACAGCAAACCTTTACAAGATAGTCTTCATGGCAGAGTCCTATCAGTTTATCATCTTGGGGGTGGGCCATCAGTTCACAATAAGAAGCCATTTATAAATACCACTGCTCCTGTGGCTTTTTTCCACACTAAACTCTACTAGTCAAACAATAAAATGGCTAGGCACCGATAAAGGTGTTCTGCTGTTGTTTTCTTATATCAGCAGAGCATGCATCAGGTGAAAATTATTTATGGTAACAACAATAATGATAGGTAGCTTTTATGAAGTTATTATTATTATATGCCAGGCACTTCTTAAGGAGCTTTCAGGCTTTATCTCAATTTTTGCGGAAGCTCGTTAGATGTCCCATTTTTCTGATGAGGAAACTGAGGCCTAGAGAGTTCAGTGACCTGCTGAAAGTCACTCTGTCTCTACTATGTGTGTTCTCAGCCACTGTATTGTCCACGCACCCCTGATAGCCCACTCTTGTAGGAATGTTCTGTGTCAAATGCAAACGGAAGAGACCTAATTCCAAGGCTGTGAGATTAGGGTATTTCAAGGCAGGAATGGGACGTCTAAGGAATGGGCAAACTGTTTAGAAGTCCAAAATGTCTTCATATATAATATATACGGGTTATATTTATGCTTCATAGAGTCAAAGCTTCTGAAGTGTTCAAGTGAGCTGAAATCTCTTATGCCTTTTTCTCTCTTAATGCAGCAAGAAAGCCTTATCTGTGATGAGGATTTTCAGATGAAAGAACTACTGTGGTTAGGCTTGGCCCAGGATGGAACATCACTCATGTGGCACACCCTTCTAGAAATCCAAAGAAGGGGATGGCTTCTGTCAAATCAAATCCCTGCAGACATTAGCTAAACCCCACAAAACACATTGATCAGGTGAGCCACCTCCAGTGCCACCGAGAGCCCTACGGTTTACAGGCAGGTGTTCCCTGGTTGAGAGAGACACATGTGTTTTAGTGGAAATGGCCATGGAAGAGAGTCAGAAATCTTAGTACAGGCCTTGCTACACTTTCTTTGATTTCCTTTCTTTTCACAAGAAGGGGAGAGAAAGGAAGAGTCAGAGGATAGAAGAAAGAAGAGAGGGGAGGAGGGAGCTAGTGATTTGACGTTTCCTTTTACGCACTCATCTCATCTCATCCTCACAGTGATCGGTCAAGGCTAAACACTGTTGTCCTCCTTTATGGAGACTTTAAGAGGTTCACTAACTTGACCAAGGTCACATAGCTGGTTGATGAGGGAGTTCAGATTCACACCCATGCCTGTCCAATGCCAAAAGCTCTGCTTTTTTTCCTCTCTGCCACTCTGCTCACAGTGGGACGTCCCAGCCTTTGGGAGCTGATAGCATTGTGCTCCTATCAGTCAGAGCAAGTGGATTGCTTGTGTTGGCAGCACATCTACTGAACTGCAAATGACAGGGACGAGGATGACGTGGAGACTCTCGAAGGCTTTCCTATTTTCTGCATTGGGCACAGGAGCCAAGAGGGAGGACAGCAATTGCAGGAAACACCTTAAAAGCAACAAATTGATAAATAAACAAATGGAAGCTTCAGCCTTAAGTCGTGAAAGGAGCCTGGCACTGTCAGTAAGAGGGCCTGGTTCTGCCTCTGCTGGGTCCTGTGACCTTGAGGGCTGCATGGGGCGCCCCGTGTAGCTGAAAAACCAGAGGTTTGCTTGGGCCATTGTTAGTCCTGTCTCTTTCAGCTCTGACAGTCAATCTTCTGTTTAAATATGATTTCCACTATATTAGTCTGTTCAGGTTTCTATAACAAAATACCACAGACTGGAAGGCTTAAACAACAGACACTTACTATGTCATAGTTCTGGAGAAGAGAAGTCTAAGATCAATATGCCTACAGGTTTGGTTTGTTCTGAGGCCTGTCTCCTTGACTTGCAGACAGCCGTCTTCTCATTGTGTCCTCACATGGTCTGTGCGTAAGCCTCCCTGGTCTCTGCAGGTCCTAATCTCTTCTTCTTCTAAGGACACTAGTCAGATTGGATTAAGGCCCACCCTAATGACCTCATTTTAGCTTGTTTGTCTCTTTAGAGGTCCCATCCCCAAATACAATTACATTCAGAGACATTGGGGATTCGGATTTCAAGATATAATTTTGAGGAGGATGCAGTGCAGCCCATAACATACCATATGTTCCAGAATGTTCTCATGTGCTTTATAAATTTAAGTGTCAATGGCTATAACATTCATATGCTAAAAAATGTAGCAAAGGTATGGGAAATTAGTTAAGCACTTGTTTCATGGCACACAAAAAACTTCTAAACACTAAAGAAACTAAGGAAAGGTGAGTGAGGAAGCATCCTCTTGGTGATAATGATGACCAAGGCCCAGGTTAGAGGTCACCATCAGGGCTCGAATGCTCACCTGGCAAGCTGCCTGTGCCTAAATCTCCAGCTAAACAGGGGAAACCTGAAGACATTTGTTGGAAAATGTGATACGAAAGGAAAAAAGCACTGAAGGGAATCAAGGCAGCTTGGGGAAAAAATAATTTGTTGGACTGCCTCACACTTATTTTAATATAGTTAACCCTGGAACAATGTGGGGCTTAGGGGTGCCAACTCCTCACACATGGAAAATTCATGTATAATCCCTCAAAACTTAACTACTAATAGCCTACTGTTGATCAGAAGCCTTACTGATGACATAAACAGTTGGTTAACGTATATTTTGTGTGTTACCTGTATTATAGATTGTATTCTTACGATAGGGTAAGCTAAAGGACAGAAAATATCATTAAGAAAATCCTAAGGAACAGAAAATATATTTACTAGTCATTAAGTGAAAGTGGATTATCATCAAGGTCATCATCCTCATTTTCACATTGAGTAGGCTGAGGAGGAGGAAGAAGAGGAGGGGTTGGTCTTGCTCCCTCAGGGCTGGCAGAGGCTGAAGAAATGCAGGAGGTGGAAAGGGAGGCGGGAGAGGCAGGCACCCTTGGTGTAACTTTTATATTTAAAAAAATCCATGTATGAGTGGACCTGCCCAGTTCAATCCTACATTGTTCAAGGGTCAACAGTATTTTTATTTTCAACTACTTATGGGGAGGATAGGCTCTTATTACCTTTTCAGAGCTTGTTACCCTGGTTACCTTCTTACCTAGTGCCAATGGCCTGAAAATCTTGTCAACAGTTGGATGCCAGGCCTGAGCCCTTTCCTAACAAACAACAAGGGACAGCAGGAGTTGAGAAGGGAGGCTTGGATGTTCCTTGGCTTGTATAGATTTGTTTGGGACAATGAGGCTGAAGATGAAATTTTGTTTTTTGGTAAAATTCTAATTTTTAATAACATCTATTGAGTTTATTGTAAATTTTCAATGTAGAAAATTGAGGTAAGTATACAAAAGAATTAAAACTTCCTGTAGGGACAACATTTGTATATGTTTCTGCCCTGTTTATGTATACTACATATATGCATGAATATAATATAGGCTTATATTTGTGGACATGTACATATGAGTATGTATATATAAAAATTGGAAGTATATTACAGACAAAATATTATACCCCATTCTCATACTATAGTCTGAGTCCCTTCCACCATTTTAAATACTATTTGAAAACATGATATTTAATGGCTGTTTAATATTTATATTCCATTTTGTGAAGGTGGTAGGGAAACAAGAGCATAGGAGAGGTAGGGTGACAGCATGTTAAAATCAACTCTGTCTCGAAACTAGCAAGGCACATTCCTTGCCAGTCACAACCCATGGTCATAAGATGTTTACAACTAAAGAAGCAGCCTAATAATGCCCGCAAGGACAAACTCCTATGATAACGAAATGCCCAGATGTCCTAATATCACATAACAAAATATGCTTTTAAAATAATTACAGTCATGCTTTGATGTACTTACACACAAAAATGTCAAAGATAACTTTTTAAAAATCAGCAAATTACTAAAATTTGTCTCACTGTCGGCCCATCTGCAGGTAGACATAACTCAGCTTTTACGTAGATAAGACCCCTGTGTAAGAAGAGTTTAAAACAAAGACACTTTCTGAGGATGCCCTACCCTGCAGCTGAGTAGCCTTCAATAAGCTACCTCTTCTCACTGCACTCTGTGACTTGTCTTGAATTCCCTCCTGTGCGAGATCCAATAACCCTCTCCTGGGGTTGGATCGGGACCCCTTTTTCTGGCAACAAAAGCATCTTAATGTATTTAACCAACCCTTTGCTTGTGGGTATCTGAAATTTCCTCTTTTGCTACAATAAGTGACCCCATGATAGACATACATGTATCTAAACCTTTGTGAGCATCTCTCATCATTTTCCTATAGCTGTGTGTGATGGTTAATATTAAGTGTCAACTTGGTTGGATTGAAGGATGCTTAGATAGCTGGTAAAGTATTGTTTCTGGGTGTATCTGTGAGGGTGTTGCCAGAGGAGATTAACACCTGAGTCAGTGGACTGGGAGAGGAAGGCCCACCCTCAATCTAGGTGAGTACCATCCAATCGGCTACTAGTGCACCTGGAACAAAAGCAGGCAGAAGGTGGGATAAGCTGCCTTGCTGAGTCTTCCAGCCTTCATCTTTCTCCCGTGCTGGATGCTTCCTGCCCTCGAACATAAGAATCCAGCTTCTTCATCCTTTGGACTCTTGGACTTACACCAGTGGTTTGCCAGGGGCTCTTGGAGCTTCAGCCACAGCTTTCCTAATTTTGAAGCTTTGGGACTCGGACTGAGCCACTACTGGGTTCCTGCCTCCTCAGCTTGCAGATGACCTATTGTGGGCCTTCACTTTGTGATCATGTGAGTCAATTCTCCTTAATAAACTCTCTTTCATATGTACATGTATCCTATTAGTTCTCTCCCTCTGGAGAGCCCTAATACACTGTATTTTCTTACAAAGATGTATATTGTGAGAAAGTCCTCTTCTCTTGAGAGTACATTGTTTATGCTGGAGAGAAAGCACTTTCTGCCATCCCACAGGCATGCATGCAGCTGGTTTCGAAGGTCTCCTCAAAATTTTGGCAGGATTAAATTTTATTCTGTACTAAATGACCGTAGTCAAATCCTCTAAGCCCAACAGCTACACTTTTAAAAATCCAAGTGTTTGTCGGTTGTTGCTCTCTGTCTTTTTTGCAATCCTTTAGAGGCACTCTTTTCTCAAGGTGCTTCTAATTCTTCCTCTCTGACATGGGTGGAATGTTCCTAGCATGGGAAAGCTGTGTGAATCAAGACTCTTGGACATAAGTGACAGAAACCCAAGATGAAGTGGTGTCAGCAAAAAACGGGGTGGTGGCTAGTGAGCACTGGAACAGGGATCGAGGGCTACTAACTCTCACTTTGTGGCTCCTCTTTGATTTCTCTGTCTGTGTCCACTTTATTCTCTCAGACTGGCTTATTCCCCGGGGCCGGAACCGAAGATGCTGGCAGCACCTGGCTGATGTCTGCCCAGCACTGTCCACGGGGATCAAAGAGACTTCTTATTCCAGTTCCAAAAGTCCTCGGCAAGGAAGGCTTTTGTCCATCCTGAGGGCCCTCCCTACAGCCAGGGGATGGTCAGCCAGGAGCTTTCTACCCCCAACAAAATTTCTATGCCGTGGAGATGGGGTTTTTTGAGACGGAAGTTCCTCTTGAAGTCACACTAACTAGTAGGGAAATTCAAGAGCAGAATTTCCCAGAAGAGAAAGTAGTACTGGCTCCAAGAGAATGGATGGGAGCTTAATGGTCAACATTAAGGACCCCCGAAGAACACAGTGACAGTTGTGTTCCTTACCTCCCCACCTGGACCCCTAGAAAGCTAGGATGGTGAAGTTTTACCACTAAATCCTTGCAGGGCTAACTACAGACCGCTCTTCCCTGCAAAGACTTGTTCATTGTGAAGGCCAAAGAATATCCCTTTATGGAAGAAAAAGAAAGCATTTAGCATTTCATATCACCCCACAAATCAGTCTAGTGTCATGCATGATAACCGTGTTCACTGGGCATTTGCTATGGGACAGACGTGGCACTAAATGTTTTATGTGAATATTGTCATTTATACATCACAGGAACTGATAGCTCTGTCTTACAAAGGAGCAAACTGAACCTTGGAGAAAGGTAAAGTAATTGCCTAAGTATATGTGGCTCAGAAACTGCAAGGCCAGGATTTGAACTCATGTACTCCAACTCCAGAGCCCACATGCTTAACCTATCCCATACACTGCCTTAAAACACTCCAGAAAATGGAGGGCTCCATTTGCTTAATCTTCTTAATAATACCTATTTTTGATTGGCACTTTCTATACATAGAACTATGTCAGGTACTTTACATACATATATACATACATTTATTTAATAGAATTTTTAAGAGCAGTTTTAGGTTTACAAAAATATTGAGCAGAAGGTACATAAAGTTTCCATATACCCCCTTCATCACAGCCCTCCCCCACCAGTTTCTCCTGTTATATGAACATCTTGATTAGTGAGGTGCATTCATTACAATTGATGAGTCAATAATGATATATTATTTTTTATTTTTATTTTTTGAGATGGAGTTTCGCTCTTGTCACCCAGGCTGGAGTGCAATGGCACAATCTTGGCTCACTGCAACCTCCGCCTCCCGGGTTCAAGTGATTCTCCTGCCTCAGCCTGCCGAGTAGCTGGGATTACAGGTCCCTGCCACCATGCCTGGTTAATTTTTGTATTTTTAATGCAGACGGGATTTCGCCATGTTGGCCAGGCTAGTCTTGAACTCCTGACCTCAGGTGATCAGCCTTTTGGCTTCCCAAAGTGCTGGGAGTACAGGCATGAGCCAGCGCACCTGGCCAATACTGATACATTATTATTAGCTAAATTTCATAGTTTACATTACAGTTTATTCTTTGTATTGTACGTCCTATGGGTTTTGACAAATGCTGGATGACATGTATCCACCATTACATTATCATACAGAAGTTATACAGTCCTAAAAATCCCCTGTGCCCCACCTATTCATCCTTCCCCTCACAAGCCCCTGGCAATTACTGATCTTTTTACTGTCTCCACTGTTTTGCCTTTTCCAGAACATCATATAGTTGAAATCACATAGTATGTAGCTTTTTCAGATTGGCTCATTTCACTTAGAAACATGTATGTTTCCTCCATGTCCTTTCGTGGCTCAATACATTGTATGGATGTACCACAGTTTGTTCACCTACCTACTGAAGGACAGTTTGATTGCTTCCAAGTTTTGGCAATTATGAACAAAACTGCTATAAATATCGCTGTACAGGTTTTTGTGTGGACATACATTTTCAATGCATTTGGATAAATACCAAGGAGCCTGACTGCTAGATAGTGTGGTGAGACTATGTTTAGTTTTGTAAAAAACTGTCACATTGTCTTCCAAAGTGGCTGTACTGTTTCGCATCCTCACTGGCAATGAATGAGAGTTTGTTGCGCCATATCCTCGCCCGCATTTGATGCTGCCAATGTTTTGGATTTTAGTTATTCAATAGTTGTGTAGTAGTATCTCTTTGCTTTAATCTGCAATTTCTCCGATAGTATATGATGTTAAATATTTTTCCATATGCTTATTTGTTATATGTGTATTGTCTTTGATGAAGGGTCTATTCAGATCTTTTGTCTATTTTTATTTATTTATTTATTTATTTATTTATTTATTTTTGGGACAGCATTTCACTCTTGTCGCCCAGGCTACAGTGCAATGGCGTGCTCTTGGCTCACTGCAACCTCCACCTCCCAGGTTCCAGTGATTCTCCTGTATCAGCCTCCCAAGTAGCTGGGATTACAGGTGCCTGTCATCATGCATGGCTAATTTTTTGTATTTTTATTAAAGACAGGGTTTCACCATGTTGGCCAGGCTGGTCTCAAACTCCTGACCTCAGGTGATCCACCTGTATCGGTCTCCCAAAGTGCTGGGATTCCAGGCGTGAGCCACCGCGCCCTGCTGTGTTTTTAAAGTGAGGTGTTTTCTTATTACTCAGTTTTAAGAGTCCTTTGTGTATTTTGGATACCAGTCCTTTATCAGATATGTATTTTGCAAAGATTTTCTCCCAGCCTGTGGCTTGTCTTTTCATTGCCTTAACATTGTCTTTGCAGACCAGAAGGTTTTAACTTTAATGAAGGCCAACTTGGCAATCATTTCTTTCATAGATAATGCTTTTGCTGTTGTATCTAAAAAGCCATTGGTAGATTTCCTCCTATGTTATCTTCTAAGCATTTTATAGGTTTGTGTTTTACATTTAGGCCTATGATCTGTTTTGAGTTAATTGCTGTGTAAGATGTTAAAGTCTGTGTCTAGATTTATTTTTTGCATGTGGCGGTCCAGGTCCAGTTGTTCCAGGACCATTTGTTGAGGAGACTATCTTGTCTCCATTGACTTGTCTTAGCCACTCTGGATCAGCTATTTGTGTGGGTCTAGGCTACTGTTTGGGTTTCGATGTTTGTGCCCTCCAGACCTCATGTTGAAATTTGATCCCCAATGTTGAAGGTGGAACCTAATGGGAGGTATTTGGTTCACGGGTGTGGATCCTTCATGAAATGTCCTTCCTGGGGGTAGGTGGGACGGGGAGATGAATTTTCACTCTATTAGATGACTCTGGAGCTGGTTATTTAAAGGAACCGGGCCCTTCTCTCCTCTCCCTCTTGCTTATACTCTTGTCATGTGATCTCTGCACACACGCACACTCCCTTTCATCTTTTGCCATGAGTGGAAGCAGCCTGAAGCCCTCTCCACATGCAGATGTCCAATCTTGAACTTTCCAGCCATTAGAATTGTGAGCCAAATAAACCATTTTTTCTTTATAAATTACCCAGACTCGAGTATTCCATTATAGCAATACAAAACAAACTAAGTCTATTTCTGAGCTCTATATTCTGTTCATCTTTATACACATTTTTCATCCTTACCATGAAGTTCGTATGTATCCAGCAGGTAGTAAAATTCTTATTTCGAAAATGAGGAAACTGAGGCACAGAGTGAGCAGGGCCCCTCTCCCCAGGCCAGCAGCTGGTTAGAATTGAAACCCACATCTGCCTGGCTTTGATTCTGTGCACTTTCCTTGCCCCCAAGGTGCCTAATGGTGCTAGAAAGAGACTTAGTATGTCAACCTTAACCTTAGATGTTGCTCTCTAGGGCCTAAATTGTAGCATCTCCCTTTCTTAATGGTTGCTGGAATCTTGGGCAGCTGCTCTTTGATTGTAATCAAGGCTGCCTGTCACTCACGGTTTCTCTGAACCTGTAATGTGAGTCTTGACCTGCCTAAAAACTGGCTTTGCTTAAAACATGTAGCCCTCTTTATCAGCATCCTCTAATGTTTTGCTGAGATCTTGTGCGTAACTATTTTTTCCCTGGTTCATACTGAATCCTTTTTGCTGAGAAGTCACTTGCTCATGGGGCTTGTCTTATTGTCTTTTTGAAGACAGGACCTTGCTGAGTGGGATTGCTAAACGGAGCACAGTGCTAAAAATCTCCTGGGTTAAATGTCACCATACTCCCATCAGGGCCTGGAGCACTTGCTCTCAGAATTTACAAACATTAACTCATGTTGGCGCTCTGTGTTGCCCAAGGAGAGCATCTCTACAATTTATGAAATTCTATTTTACTGCCAGAAGTCAGCAAAGAGAAAAAGAAAGAAAGAGAGGCAGAAAGAGAAAATTCCACAGTCATATTTCAAACACCAAGGGATAGATTTTTTTCTTAAGAATATAAGATTTACAAGCTCCAAACAGGAGTGAAATAGTTTGCAGAAGCTCTCACAGCAAATGAACTGGTAGAGTTCAGATTCAAATCCTGATCTGGTGCCAAGGGCAAAGCAGGTGGTCTTTAATCCTACCAGGCTTCTCTCTGTGAGAAGGGGACATGCTTACTGTGGCCTCAGCAGACAGAGTAGGCTGCGTGGGATCTGGGAGATCTTCTGTGAATGGAAGGCATCATTTCACCACTGTGCAATTGAACTAAGATACATTGTTTTATTTATTTTTTATTGATTTTTATTATTATTTTTTTGAGACGGAGTCTCGCTCTGTCACCAGGCTGGGGCGCAGTGGTGCGATCTTGGCTCACTGCAACCGCCGCCTCCTGGGTTCAAGTGATTCTCCTGCCTCAGCCTCCCGAGTAGTTGGGACTACAGGCGTGCGCTACCACGCCCAGATCATTTTTGTATTTTCAGTAGAGACGGGGTTTCACCATGTTGGCCAGGATGGTGTCAATCTGCTGACCTCATGATCTGCCTGCCTTGCCCTCCCAAAGTGCTGGATTACAGGCGTGAGCCACCGTGACAGGCCAGATTTGTTGCTTTAAAACAAAGCATATATGGTGGCTTACTATGATGTCAAGCACTGTTCAAAGCACATTACAAAGCTGGGCAGGATGGTGCTCGCCTATATTTCCAGCTACTGGGGAAGCTAAAGTGAGGCGATCGCTTGAGCCTAGGAGTTCAAGGCTGCAGTGAGCTATGATGTTGCCACTGCACTCCAACTTGGTGACAGAGTGAGACCCACTCTCTAAAACAAAGACAAAAACACATTTTACAACTGCTAAGCCATCTGCATGTGTTCATTAAAACTTTTTCTGGGGACTTTTTCTGGCTCATCCCTGTAGTCCCGATGCTAGGGGAGGTTGAGGCAAAATGATCGCTAGACAGCTGGTATTTGAGGCCAGCCTATGCAACATATCAAAAACCCGTGTCTATATGTAGAAAAAATATTAACTAGGCGTGATGACACAAGCCTGTAGTTCCATCTGCTTGGGAGGCTGAGGCAGGAGGATGGCTTGAGCCTGGGAATTTGAAGTTCCAGTGAGCTATGATTGTACCGCTGCATTCCAGCCTGGGTGACAGAGTGAGACCCCTGTCTCTAAAAAACAAACAAATGACAACAGCAACAACAACAGAACACTTTTTCTGAAGCTAGCACCATGCAGTTATGTACTTTATAAATTGCTAGTCTAATTCCAAGGGAATAGTTCAGCAGCTGATATTTGAGAAGGACCTGTAGAAAGGATTCAAAGACCACGGACACCGTCCACTGTTTTTCTGTTTTCCTATAAGATAGAAGAAGGATGGCATTATTAATTTATGCCCTGTTTACCTATCCCAAGTCCCAGATCACTGGATCTTTAAAGATTATGATTCTCGCTTGGCTTTTGGTACAAAAGGAGACAAGGAGGGAGCTTAAAAGGTGAGCACGGTGTGATTCAGGACTGAAGCTTCTGCCACTTCCTGGGGGGTAACTGCAAAAGTGAGCCGTTCTGACTAGCCGTTTGTGCATTTGCCACTGCCAAGGGGGCACAGGTAGATTCAAGCTTTGGGGCTCTTCTGACAACTGGCAAGGATAAGGTATTAGCAAGGGCAAAGGAATAGTAATAAAATAATCCAATAACAAAGACATGAAGATTTATAATAATTTTTAGGCCGGTGCAGTGTTTCAGGACTGTAATCCTAGGGCGCTTTGGGAGGCCCAGGCGGGAGGATCGCTTGAGGCCAGGATTTCGAGGTTAAGGTGAACTGCGCTCCAGCCTGGGCAATAGAGTAACACCCTGTCTCTAAAATGAAAAGAAAACAGTTTAAACCTTTTAAGTGCATACCAAATCTTTTATTTTGGAGAAGGAAAACTGGTCTCGAGTTCCGTGTGAGCTCCCTGGGGCCCGCCGGGAGGGGGTTGGCACGGCCGGACCTGCAGCACTAGTTCTGGCCAGGGCGCTGTGGGATCTGCAGGGGACCACAGGATGCTGTGGCGCGGTGCGCTCAGATTGGCGGAGAAACGGCCACACGCCTACGGAGCTACTGAGAAGGCGAGCGGAGGCGCAGCCCGCCCGCCCGCCGCGGGAACCCCAGGTTGGGGCGCTGGGCGCGCGAAGACTCAGCCGCCCCGCCCACCAAGGGCGCGTCGGTCCCCGGCCGCAGCCTCTGGGCTGGCAGCCGCCGCCGCGCCGCGCTCCCATTGGTGCCCGGCGGTGACGCGGCCGAGCGGGCCGGGGCTGCCTGGTCCGGGGGCGGGCGTGGGGCGCGGGGCGCGGAGCGCGAGGGGCGGGGGCCGGGCGCACTGCTGATGAAACCTGGCGCCGGAACCCGCCAGCCCTCGGCGCCCATTCAGTCCGCGCAGGCAGGTGTGAGCAGCGGGTCAACTACCTGGCAGGCGCGCACGCGGCCGCGGGCTCCCGCTAACCGCAGCCTCCACTCCTCTCCCCGCGCGCCGCGCCCCCGCCCCGCCCCGCCCCGCCCGGTCTCGCCGGCCGAGCGTCCGTTGGTCCTTGAGCGCGTCCGACAGTCTGTCTGTTCGCGATCCTGCCGGAGCCCCGCCGCCGCCGGCTTGGTGAGTGCCCGGCCCCGCCAACGCAGGGGGCAGCTCCTTGGGCCCGGGTCATCACGGAGGGGGCCCTGGCGCCGCGTGGGGCCGCGGCAGGGCGGCGCGGGAGTGGCGAGGGCCCCCGCGCCGGGAACGCTGCCATCCTCTGGGAAGGGCCAGGACCAGGGCCGGGCGGGCCCCGGAGTGGGCGAGCGGGGCTGGTGCCCATGCGACTGTCGCCTCCACGGAGTCCATTTTGGCTCCCTGAAACCGCGGCGTGGTGCATGATGCAACACCGAGTGAGTAAGCGTGGGCGATCTGGCGATGCCCGCTCCGCGCGCCTGTCCGGGGACCCGCGCGCCGCTACGCACGGGGTGGTCGGGGTGCGTAGGCGGGCGGCGGGCACGGGGGCCAGACTGGGAGGCACACGGAGCCCGCCGGCGGCGAGGAGACCTTCCCTTACATGGCGCGGTGCAGAGCACCCCGCCCCGCCACGAGGTCCGGGGATGTGTCATCAGCCGTGGGTGGGGACTCTGCCCGGCCGCCCGGAGGGTGGTCCCGCGGCAGGTGGCCGGCCCAGGGACTCTGCTGCCATCCCCGCCCGGTGGCCGCCCTGACCTAGGGCGCCTGGCTCTCCGCTTGTCCCTAGAACCCGGGACGCGCCGCCTGCACCTCTCGTCTGGGTCCCCAAGATTGCTTTGAGGAAGTCTCCCCTAGGTGGGCTTCCTTGTGACCCAGTGTGGCCTGGAAAGGCCGGGTTCCTCAAGCCCTCCACATGGTTTGGAATGAGAGGAAGTTCTTCCGCCTTTAGCAAGACACCGTATTCTCAGGGTGTTCCTTTCTGCGTAGTAGAAAACTTCCCAGGCATGGGCAGGTCAGAGTCATTCTAAAACCTGCGCGTACACAGAGCGGCAGCTGCACTGTAGTACTACAACAGCCTGCTGGTTCAGCTCCTGACCCTTTCCAGGGGATGGGGGAACCAGACAGCAGTTGTGTTTGACTTGTGTGACTAGGATAGTCAGACATGTGCCTTCAGGAAAAAAATAAATAAATAACCTACATTTCCCAATACTCACGTCATCACCGCCATGCCCTCATGTGTTGGGTTTTAGTCCAGACATAGTTACCAGATGGTTGAGATTTCAATCCCAGGTGTATCTCCCTAAAGAATGTGCCTTTTATCTTACTTACATTCGACTAGTAGAATTGTGTATGTCGGCCTCTGGCCGAATGCCCTAATTGTATTTAATTCGAATTATAATTTATCTGGGATTTTTCCTAACATTTCTTGCCCTTTATGTTTGGTTCAGATAATAGGAAACCATGATACATTTATTCCTCTGGTATTTTTAGTTGATCTCAGTGGAAATTACCATGATTTTTATATGAACACACCCTCCTGTTATTAAAACAAAAGGTCTTATTTAAGTCACACGAACAGAATAGAAACTTAGGGGAAAGGTCAACAATAGATTAAAATGGTTTTAAAAATAGGTTTAGCATATTACGATCATGTTTAATTATTATAAAGGTAAAATTCAAAGGATGTCAAAGGAGTTTTGAGTAAAGAGGAAAGGGCTTAGTAAGTAGATCAGAAATGTACTCCCTTGTCTGGGTCTGGATCCTAGAGCCACGTGCTCCTGTACATATGATTACTTGCTTTAGGTGAAAAAAAAAAAGAAAGGCTTGAAAGACAAGACTGTTGACTTCAGGGAGTTACAATTTTCTATTTGGTAGAAGAACTCATTCTTTGATGGAATTAAATACGTGTTGATTGATTATTCTGGTCTGTAGTTTATTTTAACCAAAGTCCATACAAATAGATAATTATGTTGGAGGGCTCAGAATTATGTCCAATTAAATTAATCCTTTCTCATTATCAACCATGTATTTGGAGGGATTGCTATTAATCCTAGGGACAAATTTGAAATGTGAATAAGTGCATCCTTGTTATGGAGAAAAATATTGTTTCCCTCTAACCTTGGAGATACTTGAGTCTCGGAGTTATCTCTTCCAGAGGCATCTTCAGAGATGCCTATCACTCCACCTGCCTCTTGGTCCTCACTCCAAGCAAGACCTTCCGATAGGATGTGGTGTTTTTCTGTATAGTTGGCCCCTGCAGACCTGGATAGATTTTAAAGGCAGATCCAATAGGATTGGCCGGTGGATTCATGGAAGGACGAGAAAGGTCAAATATGACTCCAAGCACATCGGAGTTGCTGTATTAATGAGATGGGAAGGCTGAGCAAAGAACGTGTTGGATGGAAGAGGGACTTTTTGAAAGTCACAACTGACCTTTTTAGAACTCTTATCCCCAGGGTCAGGGCTGGAAGATGTATCTTCTTGGGGCCCCTCTCAGGTGCCTGCCTGTGTGTTGCAGCCACCCGTCCAGGCTGCTGGCCTCCTTCCCCTTCACCTAGCTTTACTGGCTCCTCTCGCCAAATCTGGGGGGTCTCTTCAGCCTCTGTCTCCTTGCTGCCCATGGCCTCCCTTTGCTCCCCTGCCGCCTTCTAGTGGGCCGCCTGGTGGTGGACTTGTCCTGTGGGATGGAGACCCTCCATACATGGGGTTCAAAGGTCCTGGGGTATTCCTGGATCTTCAGGACATCTGCCTACCCTCAGGTTTCCCAGGCCTCGGGTGGGGAGGCATCAGATCCCTGGCCAACCTGCTATCCACCCCAGGGTTTAGACCTCTCTTCCCGTGAGGGAACAGAGTAGTAGCTTCATTTGTGGCAGATTATCTGCCTTGTGATAAACTTTAGTGGCCTCCCTTTCTGTTTTGCCATAATCTGCCTCCTCCCCCACTCCCATACCCATCTACAAAGCAGCCTTGAAAATAACCACCCCTGTGGTTCAGTGTGGGTCATGATCTGTCAATCCAGGCTTAGTACATTTCCAAATGGAATTACCAGAAGGATGGGCATCAAACTGGGAAAATGATTTGGTGGCTTGCTAGCCGTGTTCCTTTTTCTCCCAAGGCATTCGTTCAGATGTGCAGTGTTGGCAGACCCAGGGGATGCCATTTACCTGGCCCACTGGTCGAGATTTGGTCATCCCAGGAACTTGGGCTTCAGAAAAGATGTTTCTGGGCTTTGGACCAGATTCTGGCTGGTCTGTGGTTTGCCCCTCCTGCCACACCCAGTGGCTTTCATTGGGCTTTTTTCCTCTAGTTATTGTCAGGAACAGTGGGGAATGGCAGGTATTGCATTTGGTGAACACACTGGATAACTGGAATCAGAGCCGTGTGACTGAGGGAAGAGGCCTTCACAGCTTCAATGCAGAATGGGATGATTATCTGCCCTGAAACGAAGGATGCTTCTTTGAGGGGAGTTGGGACCAATACTGGGAACAGCACCGCTCCTGGCTTCTCTGGCTTTGCTTCTCTCTGAAGTAATTTAGACTTCGTGAACCTTACATACTGGCTCCATCTGTATATTGGGAGAGCCTGTCCCTCTCAGCCTCACAGTAGTGAAGTTAGGAAGCATGGAGTCCACAGTGTTCTTTGAAAGAATCAAGGCACCAAGTCCATGCATTTACATTTCTCTCTTGAGATCAGTCCTTTTGTTAGCAGCCTGCAATTCTGACCACGGCAACCAAAAATTTCTGACCGTGGCAACCAAAAATCAAGCGCGAGGAAACCTGGGGGTTTATTTGGAGGTGGGAGAGGATGTCCCTTCTTCTGGTAGGACTATGTCTGGCTACATTGTCTTTCCATTTTTTTCTGATTGTCCCCTTGCCCCCCTCCCTTTTCTGGGGGCACAGAGGGCATGGCAATTTTGTTTCCTAGCTTTCCATATTCCTACTGCAGTGCTTTCTTCAGAATACTTGTTCAGATCGGATTCTTGGCTGTGAGGGCAACCAGCTGCTTTCCTGTTTCTTTAAAAGTGGATCCCACACTGCCGTGTCCTGCACAGTGAGTTCTGCATTGTAGAAACCATCTAGCAGTGGTGACTCAGGGAGTGGCCTCTGCTCGGTATGGGGCCTCTGCAACATGAGGTTATGGGGCTTCTACGCTGTGGGGTCAAAGGAGACATCATGATCCCTACTGGCAGAAAGAGCAGAGCCCCAGAGTGGGTTCCACTTACGGGGTCAGTGTCTTTTCTGAGATATTCCTCAGAACCACATTTAAATTCTTTTTCATATTGTTTGCATAATAATTGCCTTCTAGTGCCTACTTTATAGGACTGAGAGGATTTAAATGAGATAATCCATGTTATGGATTTAACACAGCCTCTGGCACAAGTCTAAATGTTGCATGTAAGTGTTAACTATTATACTGGAAAGAAGGCTCAGTTCCTTGATTTAGGTGTGGGAGAAAAATATATATATATTTTGAGATAGGGTCACACTCTGTCACCCAGGCTGGAGTGCAGTGGTGCAGTCACAGCTTGTATTAGCCTCCACCTCCTGGGATCAAGCGATCCTCCCACCTCAGCCTCTGAGGTACCTGGAACCATAGGTGTGTACCACCACACCCGGCTAATTTTTATTTTTTATTTTTTGGTAGAGAAGGGATCTCATTATGTTGCCCAGGCTGGTCTCAAACTCCTGGCCTCAAGTGATCCACCTGCCTCGCCTCCCTAAAGTGCTAGGTTTATGGTCGTGAGCCACTTAGCCTAGCCCTGAGAAAAATAATTTTTACAACAACTTAATTTCGCTCTCTCATTTTACCAAGGCATTAAAATGTTGTGCTCTTTCCTTGGGTGGGTTTCTAAATTAGAAGGGGCAGACATAGTCCCAGGGTGCTGGAGGAGGGATGCGGGCCTCTGAGGCATCTGCTGACAGGTTCACCATCCCATCTGGTCCCAGGTCTGAGGGAAGGAACAATAGTCTCTGGGCTGTTTTGGCTCTGACTGCCTGGATGGACTTGAAGCCATCTCTCTTTGGAATCCTGATGTCTCCCTGAGCATGGGGTGCAGGTTTGCTTAGGACTCAGACCCATGCACCTTGCGCTCAGTGACTTCTAGGACTCCTGGGAAACAGAGCTCTCAGCCCCTTTCTTAGTGTTTGCTGTGTGTGGGTATGTGTATGTTTATGTGTATGTGTATGTGTATGTGTATATGTATGTGTGTGTGTTTGGTGGGGGGCAGGACGGGAGTGACTGCCCTGGCTACAGTCATCCCAAACATGTTGTTCAAATTACTCCGAAGCCCTTGGGTTTTAGAAAAAGCAAAGCTGAAAAGCTGAAACTCTGGGCCGTGTTTCCCACCTCACTCATCCCGTGCTTGGGTCTGTAGGATAGGATGTCTCCATACAGCACAGGGGTGGTGGGCGACACCCACCTGGGGGCAGCAGTGAGAAGGCAGGGGCTCATCCTCCCCACAAAGTGGCTGGAGTTGATCTGTTATGGACGTGTTCGAAGTGTCCTTCTCTGCATCTTGTCTGCTTACTGAGTGCCATTAGCCAAAGTCTGTTAGGCCAAGTAGGAAGGAAGGGAGGGGCCCTGGGGCTAGGTAAGATCAATCATTGCAAGCACTTATTTAGTGCTCACCATGTACTCTGCGCTTTATCTATGTTTCATTTGAATCTTCCTAACCACCCAGTGGGATCGGCCCTTCTGGTGTGACTGATGGGGAGAGGGGAAGGCAGGTGGCCCACGGGCACACAGGTAGGCAGTCAGTGGCAGAGTGAAGATTGGAACCCAGATGTCTGCCTGTACCTGGACTCCAGCCTGTCTCGGGATAGGCCTGGCCTGGCCTGCCCTGTGTACACTGAGTGGGAGGCAGACAGATCTGAAGCCCATCTGCCTGCGTCCCTCTGTTTCTGGCTGAGTCCAGGTGGTGCTGGCACCGGTCACCCGCCCCAACGCTGGAGGGCACCCTGCCTCCCCTCTCTTTGCCCTGATTTCCCTCTGCTGTCTCTGAAAGTGGGTCTTCCCCCTCCCAAGTCCAGGCACCTGGCACAGCTGGAGCCCTGGGGTCCTTGGGGCAGCTGCGCTGGGACGTGGCCAGTGTCAGGAGCCGGTGTGTGTGACGGAGGCTGGGCTGCATTCTTTCTGGGTCAGTAGTTTGGCATTTACATCACCAGCCTTTGGCTGGATGCAATGCCTCCTGCCCAGACCACAATGGAGCCTTGTTTGATTTATCACCATCCAGCCACGCCCACACTCCACCTCCATCTCCACCTGGGGAGACCCCTTTGCAGGGGGTCTTGTGGAAATCAGAGACTGTTCGTAGGGGAAAGTCAGCTTCCTTTTCTGTGTTCCATCCTTCTTAAGGCCAGTGGCCGCTGTCATCCTGCCCTTGGCTTGGCTTTGCTGATTTCTACAATATCTTGCGGAGGTGCCCCCTTTCCTTAGAGGATGCATCTTTAACACTCTCAGAGAGGCTGGGGCAGGAGCTGTCCACACCAGGGCCTGCAGCAAGGGCCCGTCTTCCCCAAAGTGACTTGGGAGAGTCTTCCTGGCCCGCAGCTTTTCCACAGTGTCAGGGACACCTCCTGCCCTCCCTTGGGATGAGGCCTGGTCTAGGAGCTGGGGGCGTTAGGGTGCAGTTTCTGGGACCCAGTGAAGGCCCCTGGGAAAGACTGGCAGTTAGAGTTAGGAGAACTCTTCCCTCATCCCTTTTGCCCTTCTCCTTTTCCCCTTTTCTTTTTCAGCAGTTTTTGGATAACATTTCAAACTTAAAGAAAAGTTGCAGAGGCCAGGCATGGTGGCTCACGCCTGTAATCCCAGCACTTTGGGAGGCTGAGGCAAACAGATCACTTGAGGCCAGGAGTTTGAGACCAGCCCTGGCCAACATGGTGAAACTCATGTCTACGAAAAATACAAAAGTTAGCCTGGTGTTGGTGGCGCATGCCTATAGTTGCAGCTACTCGGGAGGCTGAGACACAGGAATCACTTGAACCCGGGAGGCGGAGGTTGCAGGGAGCCGAGATCACACCACTGCACTCCAGCCTGGGTAACAGAGTGAGATACTGTCTCAAAAAAAAAAAAAGAAAGAAAAGAAAAGAAAATTTGCAGGAGTGCAAGGAACTCCTGGGTACCGTCTCTCAGATGCACAGGTGGGTTATGTTTTGCCTCCTTCTATTCTCTCTCCACCCCACACAAACTCACATGCACACAGACACATACATTTTTTTCTGAACCATTTGAGAGTCAGCTGAAGACGTCATGCCATTTTATTTGCCCTCTATACTTCAGTGTATATTTCCTAAGAACAAGGCTCTTCTCTCACATAACCATGGTACAATAGCAAAGTCAGGAAATTTAACATTAATACAACCCTGCGATCTAGGCCACAGTCCATATTTGACTTGCAGTCGTCCACATAATGTCCTTTATAGCTAAGTATTTTTGGGGAAGGAGTTTTGCAGTGTGGGGGTTCTTTCAAAAGAGGTGTGATTTTCTACCTCATAAGCCTTTTTAAGAAAAAGTGTTTCTAAAAGTTAGAATGTTTGTTGTGGAAAATTTGGAAACTACAGAAAATTAAAAGAAGGAGAAAATAAAACCCATTCATAATTCCAGCTCAGAGGCTGAGTGATCGACCAGAAAGGTGGTGGAAAGACTTTCTCAGCTCCTTCAGCTCTGGTGACCTGGCCACACAGACTCGTGATCCCTCCACCACCCACACACTAGTCAGGAGCCCCGCAGCCAAGTCCTGGGGCTGTGGGAGGAGCCGGCCCCTGTCTGGAGCTGACGGTCTTTCATGCTCCTGCCCACCCCTTGGGCAGGTGCCCACCGAGCAGGCAGACTTAACCAGCCTTGGTGGTGCCTTTGTGGTGCATATCCTCCAGGTGGGGAAGGGTGGAGATCGTTAATAAATATCCAGAACTTGTTTGAGACTTGAAAAGAAATGTTGCAGGCCCACTCTTGTCTGGTCTATACCCCTTGCTTCCTGGACTTGGCAGAGGTTAAGGATGGGGCCTGGAGCGTGATTGAGGGAAACAGCACTGGCCCCATATCAGTGAGCTCTTGGGTGCTTCATGTGGTTGTTAGACTTGCCTTTTAATGAGCCTCTTGGCCCCTACCAGTGGGCTACGGAAGAAATAAAATGTGAAATTTTACCATGTGAAGTTTGCTGTTTGCCAATGACTGTGCTTCTCAAAAGTTCCTAGGGAAAGGTTTTAAAACTGGTGCAGGTAGTGAAGTTTGGATCTCGCTTCCCTGCTTTGTCCGCTTAGGTGGTCCATTCGCCATAACAGCTGGAACTGAGAGTGGCTCTCCCCTTTCCTGGCCCAGAACGGGTCTTTGCTAAGCGAGTCTGGTTTCTGGAAGGATTTTGTTCTTAGAAGCTACTACGTCATTGTCCTCAGCTCCCCATCATTTGTACCTCAGTTTCCCTGAGCTGTAAGTCTATGTTATGTGTGAAAATGGGCCTCTGAAGGTCATGATCAAAAGCCTTGAGTATTTTTCCATGTGTTTGTTTTTTCTACTCCGGCCCCAGACCCTCTCCTTGAAGGAGCTGGCCTTGAGAGTGACTTCGGTGGGCAGCCGCCCAGACTCCACACACCCTGCTGAGTCCACGTAACGCCCAACCTGGACGGGCCAGAGCTGAAGGGCTACTCTTCAAAGAAACCCTTTGAAGTGCAAACATTTCCTTTCCTGAAAAGAAGGGAAATTGAAATGAAAACGTATTGTTCTGTGCAGACAATGTTCTCTTCGATCAAAGAGGGAGTGGGGCTTATAAAGGGAGATGCACAAATTAGAGCTTGATGTGGCCAGTGGTGTGGATGTGAATATTCATCCCTGTGGAGGAAAATAGTGGGGTCTCTGAGATTTGTAAGATTGTATTTTCCTTTTTTTTCTTCTTTTTCCTTAAGGCTCTGAATCTAGGTCTAACGTTCTATTTAATGATGTCTCTCCTTTGTGTTTTTATCTTGTGGTAAGCATTTGGGAGTGTCTTTCAGTAAATCATGATACCATTTCCATGTTAGAATACTATGTAGCCAGTAAGAATGGCGTTTTCAAAGAACATTTGATTTTGTGGGAGAAACTTTAATGTTAAAAGTGAAACCATCTGGGTGCAATTTCCCATGTTCCGTGTTAGCTTAATGAGATATATGTATTTGCACAGAAAGAAAAGACTGGAAAAATTGGACTTTGTTTTTCTCACTGCAGTGTTTGTGGCACCTAAAATAGTGCTCAAGAAATATTTATTGAATGACTATTCTTATAATTAGTAAAACTGTATTTAAAGGAGGAATGTCTTTGAGCTAATGTTTTGGCAGGTGGATGGGACAATATATTATTTTAAGTTTCTGTTGTAATTTTGCCCTAGCAGCTCAGTTCTGGTAGATTTTGTTCTTTGGCACACATACATACCCCATTTTGCACTTTGGTACAAATTATACTGTGAATGGGTGACTTTGACATTTATATTTTTGGAAGAATCCAGTTCTACTGAAATCAGAGTATCAGATGTTGTCTTTTTCCTAATGTTCCCAGATGGGGTAGAATTACAGCTTCTTCTTACTTACTCTGTAACTAAGGAACCTTTGGGCCAGTTTGTCCTGTCCTGTGGTTGAGAATTTTTGCCTGGTTTGCCCAGGGTTTCTCATCCTTGAGCATCCAAGGCTACCAAGATACACTGTTCATATGTCGTCCTGGTTTCTAATGGATAGTTATCTAAAAATGCAGCTTCCCATTCTTACCTGCACTGTAGGTTAGCTTGGAAGATGTCCATCCCTGGTCTCAGTGGTCTTGTTCAGGGAGGGTGACTGTCACAGCTGTCCTTTCCTCTCTGGTGAGATTGTTTCATTCCTCCTTCAGGCACTTGGGATTCAGAGCCCTGTTGGCTGCCTCTTCTGTACTGTCAGCTTAGCACAGGATTCTGGAAGCCCGGTGCTGGGAAAGCCTTTCTCTGGGCTGTTTGGGATGGGACTACTGGTTACCCGCACACACTGGTACTCACTGGGTGTTCCCGAGGATGGCGGCTTTTAAACTTCTTTGACCGCAGTCTACAATAAGAACTAAATTTACATTGTAATCAAGTACACACACAGAGGCACACATATTGATATATAGATAAAATGAAAATTTTTATGAAACAGTACTCATTTTTACTATCTGTGATACGCTGAGATAATTTTTATTCTTTTCTATTTCATTACAAGAAAAATTCCTCGTGGCAACTTGGAGTTTGCAAAACACACTAGGTTTAGACATATGAGCCACACCTCACCTGCAACTCCACCACATTGTCCTGAATTTCATGTTCACTGCTGGCACTAGGGGATGGGAGTCAATTCTCCATCCAGACCAGTTAGGGCAAAGAAAGTTGAAGAGTCAAGGTTTCTTTTTGTGGTGATTTAGGAGTTTCTGACTGAAGGGGACATTATTCTCTGTGATGATGCCCAAGAAAGTGAGTAGGTTTTCAGGGCAGACCTGTGTGAATTCCCCAGTGTGGTTTGCTTTTGCATACTGGGGTATCTGTCCTTCGTTAACCTGACACAGTGGTGTCCCAAAGGTGGCCTGGTCAGGCTGTATGTGAGTTTTTAGAAATGGGCCATACATTTGTTAATTTCAGTGCTCTGATTTTCTTTGAGTTTATTTTATTCAGCGTGATGCGACGAAGAACCTGTCTGAAAGAGTTAAGGATTTTGGGGAAGAAGAGTGAGAAAAGATACTCATAGAAATGTTATTTTTTGACTAAATCTTATGGGTTAATATCGAACGGTATTGAAACTATATTAACAATAGCAGCCATACCATTAAATAGTTCTTCTTGAAAAGGTTGGATGGACTTTTGCTTAAGAAATGCTTGAATGTTTTTTCTTTTTTTTTCTTAGAAAATAAATGTCTTTAAGTCTGTGTATATAATTCACAAAACAATTGTAAATCAAGGGAATTGACTCTGCCTAACAAAGGTACAATGACATAACAGAACTAGAACAAGATAAATGGCCTCATTTATTGAAACAATGTGCAAATGTCTGTCCTTGTTCTTGGGAAGTTTCTTTTATTTACTATGCTTCTCAATAAAAATAAATTTGTTGTGAGAACTCAGAGTGCTTACTTTACAGTACTCTTAAAAATTCATATAGAAGTTACAAATATTGGCCAGGTGTGGTGGCTCATACCTGTAATCCCAGCACTTTGGGAGGCCGAGGCAGGCAGATCACCTGAGGTCAGGAGTTTGAGACCAGCCTGGCCAACATGGTGAAACCCCGTCTCTACTAAAAATACAAAAAATTAGCTGGGCATGGTGGCGCAGTACAGCTCCCGAGTAGCTGTAGTCCTAGCAGAGGGCTGGGTCCCAGCTACTAGGGAGATTGAGGCAGGAGAATCACTTAAGCCCAGGAGGTGGAGGTTGCAGTGAGACGAGATCGTGCCATTGCACTCCAGCCTGGGCAACAGAGTGAGACTCCGTCTCAAAAAAAAAAAAGAAAAAAAAAGTTACAAATATTACCATCACCATTGTTGGTATTTGAGAAGAAACCTCATGAACTTGATCTGATGCTGTTATATATGTTAACGTTTGAAATAAATGATGACTCTGTTATTGCAAGTGTACCACACTTCCCCCACAAATCTATAACCTCACAGTTTCAGCAGCTAGGTTTTTTGTTTGTTTGTTTGTTTTTTTAACTTTTGTTGGAAGACATTTCTTTTTTCAGATTGCTTTCTTTCCAGAGGGCAATCTTGGGAGAAATTAAGCAAGAGCACTCATTAGTTCTGTGAGTAATTTTATTGAACTGGGAAGAATGTCTGTCTTGCTGGTCTCAGAGTTTGATACAATTAGAATTTTAGAAAATTATCAGATCTAATTTGTGCTGGGATTCAGGCCTAATTACTGAAAGACTCTGTGGTCTGATGAGTCAAGGTGAGGGCATTGCCGTCTCATGTTTCTTGGGTGATTTGGAGTAGGGCAGTGGCCAGGGGAGGTGAAAGCTCTCTGCACAAATCCAAGTCACTTTCCTGCGGCTCCTGGTTGCCCATGAGTGGTCCTGTGTGGAGCATCTGCAAGGGAGGTCTTGCTGAGTCACCCTGCATAGAGTTTGAGTTGCTGGAAGAGTTGAAGTCTACTAAGAGCTGCTGGCCTTGACCCACAGAGGTCCCAGCAAGAGTCTCTTTCCAGCAAAGTGTCCTGCTGTGTGAAGGAAGAAAGCACGATTCCACCCTGGGGAGGTACTTGGGAGCAGGGACAGAGGGAAAGCATGGGTTTCTCAACACGGATGCTTTGTGGGAGCAAGCAATACTGCCCCATATCCAAATGAGCAGTGACTCAAACATTTGAGTTCTGGGAATTGCCCTTGTTCCTAGACTTCCTTGAAGGAACAGAACTGTGGGGGCACACTTTTACTGTGCATGCGGGCACGGGTGTGGGCTCCTTTACAGTTCTGGGGTGGGGCCTGAAGGCCACATCGCTGCCAGGTCTAGACCTAATGAGGGACCTGCACCTAAAGATGCAAGCTGTGTAAAATAAAAAGTTGAAAAGTTAAACCTGGGGATAAGACTAACTGGAGCGTATTGTTTCTGGAAATGTAGCACACAAAGCAGGAAACATTTCCATTGTAGTTGTGTACATTGGGTGCATTTTGTAACAGTCCTGTTCATTATGACTGTTACTCCTTCATTGCTATCTAAAGAGCGTGTAGGTAGCTAAGGTCATATGGATTGGGCAGAAGTGGCAGTAGGAGTGGGCAGTAAGGATAGAAGGAACGTATCTCAGTGAGTGTGCAAGTTAAGTACTTGGCATAATGTAATAGTGCCTTTCATATCCTAAGGTCATACTGTGGGTATCTTTAAACTGTCTAGACCACACGTGCATACAAATCCTCCCCTGGGGATCTCCTGAAATGCACATTCTGATTTGGGAGCTCAGGGAGGGGGTCTGAGAGACTGCATTTCTAACCAGCTCTCAGGGTCACTGGGAGTAGCAAGCACCTCCAAAACTGCTGGAACCTGGAACAACTGCAGGGAGACCTGATCTGCCCATTAGACCACATCTCCCTGAGGGTCTGGGATGCATGTGTCTTTGTGCCTCCTGTACCAAGAGCAGTGCCTGCTAGGAAGTGGATGCTCAAAATGATCTTTTCAACTGAACTGAAGAGGCTGCTGTCCCAGAGTCCGTTTACGTTAGTGGCCTTGGGACGGCAGGGGTGTGGCGACCCAGTCATAGCCTGTACACTTATTTCGGCCCAGCTTGGTTATCGCTTTACAGCCGTCTGCAGATAGGATGTGTGAATTTGGCAGCAGAGGCGGGGCTTCTGGCACCGGCAAGGAGTGATAGCTGAGGGCTTGGCAGTGAGGACAAGGACAGAACACCCATGGAAGAGAGGGAAGAACTCAGTAACTACTGCCATCAGGGATAATTAGCCGAGTGGCAAGCAGCCCTCCTCATTTCAAGAGGTCTGTGTTGTACACCCACATGCAACTCTGTGCCTCAGTTTCCTCATTTGAAAAATGGAGAAACTTACAGTTCCCCTCTTGTAGGTTATATTAAGGATTGAAGCTTTTAGCGCCTTGCCAGGCTTAGCACGAGAGGGCAATAAACATGAGTTGCAATTAGGATTGGTGTGTAAAGGGTTAAGCCCCAGCCTTCAGGGAGGTTTCTCCGAGAAGAAAAATCCCATTCCTGAGGTTGCACATAAATGTGTTGGTATTTTGCCGCTAAAGGAGTAGGTGTAAATTAACATGCAAAGTGATTCCTCCAGAAGGCTGGGGGTGGTGAAATGGGCGAAGGAGAGGTTGCTACTTGTTCGTCATCCTCAGGAAATTCTTAATGGAAGAGGCAGATGTCAGGAGCTTTCTAATTAATGGGCAGATGAGGTGGGAGATGAACCTGTCTTGGGGGTGTGCCTCAGGGGCAGGCATGGCGCTGCCAGAGCTAGCACTGGGGTGAAGTTCCAGGGACCCTTGCCCGTAAGACCTTAAACCAGAATGCCACTTAGAGGGGACAGCGCATGCTTGGCTGTATGCTGTAGTGTTTAAGCCTCTTTGCAGCTGACTTATATTTGGTTCTTTAAAAGTCTTAGAAGTGGCTGGCTAAAGGTAACGGGGTGCTGAAGCATGGCTCCCACACATCTCTGTCACCCCAAAGGTGCTGGGCACGAGTATTCAGGGAAACCTTGGCTGTGTCTGACCTATGTTTACTTCAGAGCTTTATGCCTAGCACGGGGGTTTGCACAGGGACATTGAAAGTAAGGAAGAAGAGAGCAAAGTAGATGGGTCTCTCGGAAGGCTTTGAAGGGGTCCCAAGCTTCTGTATTTTCTGCAAACGCCTGTGAAAACTCCCAGAACATTCCTTGATCAAAATGGTTTTCTTGTACCTTCTCACAGGGAGAGAAGCGAGGGTGGGGGCAGGGTCGGGATGTCATGGGAATGGAACGTTCTTAAGCTCAGTTGTATGTGATTTTTATTTTTCTCTGTTGCCTGGTTCATTAATTCATAAACTCCCTTAGAAGGCTAAACAGTTCATTAGAAATATCCTATTTCTGTTAAATAGCATAGAAACATGTCATTTACATTTTTCTTTAAAACTCAGAACTTGAGATCACTTCTGTAAAATGTGAGCCAAGGCTGGCTCTTCTCCGGGAGGCTCTGGCGGTGGTGGGAATGTGGGGTTCAGGGGATAGAGGGCACTTGCAGTTTACCCTGTGACTTTGGGTAGCTTTTGAATTTTTGAGCCGTGTGTGTATTGCCTTGTTGAAAATCCCATCATGGCATTGCTTCTTTGGGGAAATCTGATTTCGTTTGTATGGTACCTCTTGCAGGAATGTAGAGGGTAGCTTTTAATCACCTTCAGTCTCTAGAAACTGGCATATTATTCATTTGCCTCAGCAGGCGTTAAGATTAACAACATATTCCATGGGTGAAACTTCGCAGTTGGGCCCAGGAATAGTCTCTCTGCTTTATAGCACTCATCACCTTGCTGGAGAGGGAAAATCAATCAGGTAAGGAGACATGTCTTGATTGTTTAGTGAAGCAGCCACGTGAGGAAATTAAGACTTGTTTCCAGGTGTGAAAAAGGCCTATGAAGGAGGAGGCTCTGCCAGCCATTGAAAGTGTGTTCTCCGCATGTGTTTATGTATTGTCTGGGCATGAAGAGGGGTAACATGGAATAGATCTCAAAACGGGGAGGCAGTTATGAAGCCACTGAGAAATAAATGTAGAAAAGCAGAGAGGAAGCACGGTGTAGGAATCCTGGACTCTTAACAGAGCTTGAAGTACCTTGGAGCCTGAGAACCCAGACATGTCCCCTCCTGCCTGGCCTCGGGAGTCCTCCTGGGGACTTATCACACTTGCTGCATGGCAGTTCCTGGATGCACTGGCCCCTCAGCAGTCACGGCCTGGAGTTAGAGAGACCTTCACCCCACAGGCTCAGCCATGGACTCATGTGATCCTGGGCAAGAGGCAGGTTCTCCAGGCCACATTTTTTGCCTTGGGGGTCTGAAGAGCTTGCACTAAGATGCTACCCTCTGTGAGGTTTCCAGCCCTAAACAGGAAGTCAGGGACATTCCATGATTATGGATCCGCCAAAGAGCTCTGAGCAGTTTGGTGACCATGCTGTGAAAGTGGATGTTGAGTGGGAACAACCACGATCAGATCTAGTAGGAACAATGGGTCTGGTAGGAGGACGATGACAGAGACCTCTAGTAGAGAAGTGTTACTTTGCCTGTGTTAGCCCAGAAACATGGAGCAGGGCACCGGTTCGACCAGAAGGAGCAGAATGGCTCTTGTAAAAATAAAAAGCACTTGGTACCAGCATGCTTGTGGTCCACCAGGTTTGTGCCCCATCAGAGGAATACTCCGGAGGAACTTGGGCCGTTCAGAATAGTGTATTTCCAGTGCAGCTCTGGAAAGAGTGAGCAGTCGTGGACCAAACATTTCATGGTCTGATGAAAAGCTAGTGGATGCTGGCCAGGTGCAGTGGCACTTTGGAAGGCTGAGGCGGGTGGATCACCTGAGGTCAGGAGTTTGAGACTAGCCTGGCCAATATGGCAAAACCCTGTCTCTAATAAAAATATAAAAAAATTAGCCAGGCATGGTGGTGTGTGCCTGTAGTACCAGCTACTCGGGAGGCTGAGGCAAGAGAATCGCTTGAACTCAGGAGGCGGAGGTTGCAGTGAACCAAGATTGCAACACTGCATTCCAGTCTGGGCAACAGAGTGAGACTCCATCTCAAAAAAAAAAAAAAATTGCTAGTGGATGCTTATCCATTCATGACAGGGGCAGCCGTTTCCTGGTGTCAGATCCCTGGCCGTGGTGTCCTGTTGTGCGGGGCGCCTCAGGTGGAGTTTGGAATGTCGGGATAGGCCATGAGAAGTTTCAGTTCCATACTATCTCACCAGGGAGGAAGCCTGAGAGAAGTTATTTTTCAAAAGGATTAGTGAGCCATACACATCAAAATATATACAGGCTTCATCAAAGGAAAGAGACCCAGCTTGAATTGAGGATGAAGCATTTCCACAGCAGAGTCTGGCCGAAGCTCTGTGTTGAGATATCTAGAGAGAGCTGTCTGCTGCCTGAAAGGTTTCTTGTAGAAAACCCTTCATGGTGGCACCACTTGTATCTGTTTCTCTTCTGCCCTCCTGAGGGACATACTTTTCCCCAGCGGAATGAAGAAAAAGGCAATATTGAAAGATGTGTGAGAGCGAGAGTTCTTGCCTGCTGCCAGGCCCCGCCTGCGGAGAGAAGGGCAGGGCTGTGGAAAGAGGCCTTGGGTCTGAGAACAAGAGGACTCATTAAAGTCTGTGGCTTTTGACAGGCTGTGACAGGGAGCCGGGGTATTGAGGGATCACTTTTCCAGCATTGGTGGATCCTTAGTGGGTTTGGAGCTCTCAGAGTACCCAGTGAAAAGGCACCGGGCAAGAGCTACCCGGGGTGCCCGGTTGAACCAGTAGCTTGCCGTGTCCTCTCCAGGGAGAAATAGTTCAGGACAGATTGTGCCAGATTTGCATTCCTCTCTGCAGCCCTTCCAGGGCTTTTGAACCACGGCTGGGCTCTGGGCAGACTCAGCTGGGGACAGACGGTGGACACTCGGCACCTTTCTTGGGCCTCACAACGTTTGCCCAAGGTCCTTTAGGTTTGCCTTAGCAGATGTGATCCTGCCGATGACAGGGTATTCTTATCTACACTTGCAGATGTGTGTGTATTAAAATAACACGCCCTTGGATTGAACAGAGCACACTCAGCTGTGCCACTGAGTTCACGTAAGGTTTGCAGTAGGACAAAGGATGGCAAAGAGTTCGATTTGCAAAAAACAAAAAAAAAACTTCAGTTGTGCAGCCCAAGTTCAGATGTCTTAAATATCTGCTCTCCGGACAGAAATCTGATAAGGGTTGTGCTACAGGAGAGGGGAAATCTCATTTGCCAGCCCCTAAGAAGGCTTGGCTTTTGTTTGGGGATGGCAAGGACTTCCTAAGAGGGTTGACTGAAAGATCCCGAAAATGAGAGTAAGAAATGCCCTCAGAGTCTCAAATGCCACAGGCCACAGCAAGGAGAACCACGGACTTAGTGACCAGCTCTAGAAGTCAGCACGTGTTCCTTCTCAGAACTTGCAAATGTTTTAGAACAAATGAAAAGCAAACAGGACTTTCCACAGCTGGTGACAAACTGACCCAAGCAGAGGGAGTGGAGGAGGAGAGGGTCTCGAGCTCCAGAAGAACGTGGTTCTCCTTGGTTGCCCAGCACGCGGGGGCTAGCGGTGCTTGGGGTGATCACAAATCTTTTGCAAATGCTGTCATGGGGCATGCCAGCCCACAAAGCCTGCTTTGTGAGCTCCTCCAAAGACAGGACACTCGGCCAGAGACGACTAAGGTTGACCAAGATATTATTTCTTGTGATCTTGGCCGTCCAAGTACAGGCTATGTGGCATTTCAGTGAGGAGCAGGACAACTTGGTGGCCAAGAGGCCCGTCAGAGCTGCCTGGCTTGCATTCTGCACGTCATTGCAAAGCAAGTTGCAGCCCCAGCGTGGACACAACTCTCTTGGAGACAAATTTCAGATTTCCCTGTTCTCTCCAGTGTGTGTTTTCCACCTGTCCCCCTTTACTTGGGACTTCCCAGAGCCACACGCCCAGAAGACACTGCCACTCTTCAGTTAGTGTCACTTCTCCTACACTGGGCATCCAGCTTCCTCCACAGCCTCACCAACCCCCTCACCAGCGAGGTACTTGGAGCTGACTCGTGTATTTGGCTCCAACTGTGGGAGCCTGCTGAATCTGGCGCCTGGCTCTGGCTAACCCTGACCTAGTTGGGTGGGAGTTCAGAGTCAGAGCTGGATGCCAGCCTGGCCACCAGCTTGAGGTGTGGAGAAAAGCCCCAGACGTCTTCACCAACAAAGTGGCTGGGAGAGAAGGTGGCTACTGAGGTGCAGGGAGAGGAAGCCCCTGCCCCATCCGACCATTGAGTTCACTGTACCTTTTGCCGATTCAGGCTACAGTAAAAGACCTTATGCCAAATTTCATTTGAATTTTAGAATTCACCTTGTGTTTCACTCTGGATAAAGCAATTTGTAAACTTCTGTAATGGTATTTAAATTTAGGTGATTAAAAAAAGACAACCAGTGATGGAGGTGACAGGCTAGGACCAGGGCCCCTCTGACCCAGAGCTACCTGAATGGGAAGAGGAGTAGAGGTGTTGGCGCCAGACAGACCTGGGTTCTAGCCTGGTCTCTGGTGCTGACCGGCTGTAGGAACCTGCTGCAGGCCTTCCTCTGCCCACTTGCCAGGTGCCAACTTCCAGGGTGTCTGAGAATCGAGGCAATGGTTGGCCAATTCTCAGTACAGAGCTGCGCATTTATCAGTTGGGCAGCAGATACCAGTTTCCTTTTTTTTTTCCTCCTCATTCTTTCATTTAGTTTCAAATGGCACTAGAGATGGTGCATCTGTTGTCCTGGAAGCCCACAGGGCACTCACGGAACAAGGCCGCTCAGCAAATGAACAGACCAAGTGGACCATCGGGATGGCCCAGACATCCTGTCCTGTCCCCTCCTTCTCTCACTTTCTGCAGCTCCACCAAGTATAGGTTTGATTTGAACTTGGTACTATTGGTGTCAGCCTTTGGAATGTAGGGAGAGTGTATGACCCTGAGAAACAGTGATACAATGCAAGTAACTGATTCCCAATTTCAACACCATGTCAGTTGCATTAGCTAGTTCTCTGCTGTTAGAAAATTGTTCAGTCTTATCTGAATATAGTTTGTGTGGTTCTTCCTACCTGCAGGAAGCTTTAAATTTCTTTTGTTTTCTTTCCTTTTTTTTTTTTTTAAAAAACAGGATCTCATACTGATACCCAGGCTGAAGTGCAGTGGCGTGATCACAGCTCACTGCAGCCTTGACCTCCTGGGTTGAAGCAATCCTCCTGCCTCAGCTTCCTGAATAACTGGGACTACAGGTGCACTCCACCACACCTGGTTAATTTTTTAGAATAGTTTTTGTAGAGACAGAGCTTTGCTATGTTCTCCAAGCTATTCTCAAACTCCTGGCCTCAAGGGATCCTCCTATTTCAGCCTCCGAGAGTGCTAGGATTATAGGCATGAGCTACCACACGTGGCCTAAATTTCTTGATAATTCCACCAGTTATCAAGCCATGAGTTCATGTTGTTGTTCATGTGAGCACTAGGCAACATTAAACATTAATGATATTTGGTGAAAATTAATAAAAGATGTACTTTCAGCTCTGAATGGGGAGCTCTGTAGGCCTTTCTGGAAGTTGCAGGGCAGAGGCAGGTGACCACAGTGGGCACTCATGTCCCTCAAACAGGGACAGAAATCTCTTTCTTTGAGCCAACTTTGAAAAAGTTTGTACTGTATTGAAAATAGACTACATTTGGAATCTAAACTTTTTAGACATTGGTATGAAAAACCTTTGGTTTAGTTTGTACGTAAACTTACTTTTAGGCTCACTGTTAACTGTGTCATAAAATACCTAAAAGTAGATATTTTACGGGATTCGGGGGCAGAAGTATGGCACATTTGTTTTATGGCAAGTAATACTTAATAGCATATCCAAGAGCTAAATACATCTTTAGTTCAGACTCTTATTTAAGTTTGTAAATTCTAAAGTTGAGTCCTTTAGCACAAAGGAAAGTTTACAGAAGCAAAACAAGTAAAGGTTTCTCTTTAAAAATTCAAAATATACTGGGGATTTATCATAAGTTAGAGGCAGTATACAGCACTCGGCTTTTAAAACTATGTCTTCTTCTTTTTTTGTTGTTTGAGTTTACTGTTTTGAGAAGATCTGCCTGGGCATTCTTCCAGCACAGAGCAAGAGAAATTGGCACCGGGTAGAATAATACCTTTATATATAAATAAGAAAATCATGGTGTTCTTAGGTGTTTGTTTGATTAAATGCTCCTGTAACTAAAGAACAGTTGCAACGGTAACACAAAGGGGCCTAGAAAAAGTGCCTTCTGAACAAGATTAGCTTGAGTTTAGGAGGTGGTAGCTTTTCTTCTCTGCTTTATTTTTGTGAATCTTAGCATATGCTTCATTAGGTAGAACAGGTGTTTTTGTTCATTTGTTTGGTTTGGGCCCAGGACAGATACTTGTGATTTGTGCTGCAAATAATCCTCTGCTGACAGACTGGTTAAAAAGTAAAGAAGTATTAGCTGCTCTGGCCACGCACGGTGGCTCATGCCGGTAATCCCAGCACTTTGGGAGGCCGAGGCAGGTGGATCACGAGGTCAGGAGATCGAGACCATCCTGGCCAACATGGTGAAACCCCGTCTATACTGAAATACAAAAAAATTAGCCAGTCATGGTGGCGCGCACCTGTAGTCCCAGCTACTTGGGAGGCTGAGGCAGGGGAATGGCGTGAACCCAGGAGGCGGAGCTTGCAGTGAGCCGAGATCGCACCACTGCACTCAAGCCTGGTGACAGAGCAAGACTCCGTCTCAAAAAAAAAAAAAAAAAAAAGCATTAGCTGCTCCAGTGAGTGCTACGAAATGTTAAGGTTTACCCTAGACCTTGGCTTTCCATTTTTATGTAAGATTTCAAATTTCAAAACAGGCTCTTTGAGAAGACAGCCTCCATTCATGTATTCATGTGTTCCACAGGTATTGGGTGAGCTCCTACAGGTGCTGGCACTGACTTTCCCAGGTTCTTGCCCTTATGGGCCATAACTCCCACAGATGAGTTCGTGTTCTTGTTCACGTGAGCACTAGGCAACATTAAGCGTCAGTGATATTTGGTGAAAATTAATAAAAAATGTACTTTCAGCTCTGAATGGGGAGCTCTGTAGGCCTTTCTGGAAGTTGCAAGGCATCTCCCACAGCTAGAGTGATAACACAGGCAGTTGGTCAAGAACCCTGTTTTTTAATGATTAAGTGAATGAAAGAGAATGTCACACTCTTACCATCTATCTTCATCCCTTTGTAAACTAAGCTCCTACTATTCTACTAAAACTGCTCACAATTTCAATTTCCTCTCTCTTGAATTAGACAATATCCTGATTTTGTCTCAGTCCTCACCCCCTGTGGTGTCTCTGAAACATTTAATACGATTGGCCATTCCTTTCTACAGATTCTCTAATTTTCTGGGTCTGTTGAAGGAGGCTTTCTTTGTTTTCAGCATGTGAGAGAGCTTGTCAAAGAATGGAGTCATTGCTTGTTAGTAGCTGGGTACGCAGAAATGCCTGTGGAAGTCAGGGTTCATGGTCTGCGGCTAGAAAGGTGCTGGGCAAAGGGGAGGTGTTCAGGCCTGAGGCCTGAGCTGTCAGTACCAAACCAGGGTTACCAGGTTTAGCAATAAAAATACTGGATGCCCAGTTAAATTTGAATTATAAATAAGCAATGGATACTTTTTTTAGTATAACTTTTTTATACTAAAAGATTATTTGTTGGCAATATTTGGGACATCATTGTGATATATTTGGGGCATACTTACATTAACCAATTATTGGTCATTCACATGAAATTTAGATTTAACTGGGCAGTCCTGTATTTGATCTGACAGCTCTTTGCTAAGTTACCATCCAGTCACATTGTCTTTTGTGGCTCCTGGTGCACTTTGAAAGGGGACGATGTGGGCCTTAAGGCAGACACACAGAGTCAGACACTCTCTGGCTTTAGAGAAGTCCGTCTGCCTTTGGACTCTAGAATTGCACCTCCCCATCATCTGTGTGCTACTTCCTCCTTCAGCTGCCAGAGTGTGGTGTTCCCCGCGATTCTGGTAACAGCTGCCTTCTTTTCTCCCAGGGATCTCACTCCCGGCAACACGTGCCTCTGGGTGTGCTCCACATCCAAGTTCCTCGTTTCAGATTCTCACAGCCCCACCTGCTTGCCAGATAGTTCTATCTGTTCTGTTGGACACAGGACATGTGGCAAGACTGCTTTTTGATCCGAGGATATTTTGACTGTCATTTAGGAATATAAATATTTTATCAGATATATGTCATCACCAAAGAATTTTTTGATGACAATATTGTCCTGAGTGACCTTCAGTTTAAATCATTGTGTTTTTAGAGCACAAATAAACCATTTACATTTTTCATGTTTCGTGACATTATTCTCTCCAGGATAGATTATTTGCTATCTGCATTTTCAAGAAAGGTTTCTTGTATTTACCAGCCACTTGTCTGTGGCAGATCTGACAGCTTTGAGCTTCTGTCTCTGTTTCTCCTGGACCACTTATCCCTTCCAAGTGGAGTTTTCCTCCATCAAATTGTGCAGCTTTAGATGTTGATTACCATGTTGAGTTGGCCCTTGCGGTTGTGTGTGTTGGCTGCTTCTGGTTGGTGTGGTTGGTGTGCACAGTCCCATGCAGGTTTCCCAGGATCACCTTCCCCGCCCAGTGCTGGTCAACTGTAGTGCTCGTGCCCATGTTTTATGAGCTTCTGATCACTTTGTAGATTACAAACTAGGGCAGAGAACGACTGGGGGAACCAGAGCGGTAGGGCCACAGTGCCTTACTGAGGGCCACCCTCAGCTCAGATTCAGTGCTTCCAAATCCAAGTTTAGGATTTCAGAGTTACCTTGGGCTCATTCCCTTCATATTGATGATAACTGATGGCATCCGGCCAGTCCTTCCTCCCCTGCCCCTCACATGGTCTTCTTGCTTTTCGTTCTAGTCCCACGCCCTGGTGCCGCGGGTCCTGAGTGTTTCTTCCCACTCCCCACCCTCTGTCTTTCCAGCATCCTCCTGGGTGGCCTCTGTACTTTTTCTCCCCTGTTAAATTACACTGGCACCTGCCCCTTTAGGTGGCGCCTGCCATTATTGACAGCGTGTGCGTGGAGTAGAAAATCCAATGAGTGACTCTTGTGTGAAGCGTCCTGGCTCTGCCCTGAGGGCTGGGGGGCCCGCACTGGTCCACTGGGCTTCTCTGGGCACAGATGTGACTTGGTGTGGGACCAGATGGCCTAGACAGCGTGTCGCACTTGGAGTCGTGCTTGGGACCCACAGGCGGCCGCTGCACCCTCACCACCTGCGTTTTGGGGCAGTGTCATGCATGCCACAGGCAGCCTCAGACCTGGGCATTGGTGCCTCCTTGGCCACTGGCCATCAGGCCTGCTTCCCTTGTGACATTTCACTTTGACCTTTCCTTTGAAGGTTTTTGAAGCAACACTGTACACGCAAAGGTCAACAAAGAAGAGTGGATGATAGGTGGACAGAAATGTAAGTTAAAAGGCAGGAAGTGAGGCTGCTTAATACAAGCAGGTTGGAGGGGATGAGCAAAACAAAAAATGCCCTTGAAATGATTCTTTAATCATTTGTCTTTAGAGACGTAAAGCGGGATATGGAAAACAAACATTTCCATTCAATGTATACACAGTTTGCAAAACAAATAACTGGGCTTTGTGAGTGTCCAGACCTCCTGGAAGGAGGAAAGCGGCTCTGGACTGGGCAATCCTTTTCCGCCTGAGTTCAGAGTGGAAGAAATTGGAGAAGCCGCCCCTCTGGTGGAATAGGTAAAGCAAAAGCCTTTCATTTCCTTAATGAAGTGTAATGCTTCCAAATTTGGCCCAAAAGCCAAACTGAGATGGAAAGGCCTCTGGGTGAGCGGGACTATCCATGAGTGAGGACCCCCCGGCAGATGTCTGATGGTCACTTCATTGCGATCTAGAAAGGCCACAGCCATGGCCAGCTCTTCACCACCCTGCATTCAGGCACCGCCAAGGGCTTTGGTGGTTGATGCTATAGAGCCTGGGACCTTTACATGTTTAAATGTTTTAAAATTAAAATCGGCCATAAAATGTCATTATGTTATGTTTTTATAATTTTCCCATTTTGTTTATGTTTGTAATAGTTTTAAGTCAATTTTAATATTTCTGGGCAACAGCCCTCAAGTCTTCCACCATCTGAATCAGGGCAGATGGAAATACATCAAACAATAACCTTATTTTATTTTTTAAACTGTATATTTGTATAGTACTTTGGTGATTACAAAATACAATTTTTGCTATTTTAATGGCAAAAACTGCAATTATTTTTGCACCAACCTAATACCTTCATATGGTATGGCAAAAACAGTTATCATTTTGGGTACTTAATCTTCACAGCACTTTATAAGTTGGCTACTAATGAGATGTCTTATACATTAAGAAACTAATAATAGTAATATAGTTAACATATAGCGCATACTATGCACCAGGTGCTCTGCAGTGCTTTACATATATAAATTCATTGAAACCTCCTCATCTTGCAAAGGAGAAAAGGGAGACTCAAAGAAATTAAATAACTTGCCCATCTTTTTTTTTTTTTTTTGAGACAAAGTCTCTCTTTGTTGCCCAGACCCAAGTGCAGTGGCATGATCATGGCTCACTGCCACCTCTACCTCCCTAGGCTCAAGTGATCCTCCCGTCTCAGCCTCCTTGGTTGCTGGGACTATAAGCACAAGCCACCATCTCTCGCTAATTTTTTTTTCCTGTATTTTGTAGAGACTTGGTTTTGCTATGTTGCCCAGGCTGGTCTCCAACTCCGGGGCTCAAGCCATCCATCCGCCTGACTTGGCCTCCCAAAGTGCTGGGATTATAGACGTGAGCCACCGTGCCCGGTCCCATCATGTTTTGAATCCAGTTTAACCTGAGAGTTTAACTTCTATCTGTCTCACTGTCTCTTGAGCCTCACAGGAGGAACAAGATGGAGGTAGGGGGGCGGGTGTGGGTGACACTGTCATTATCCCCGCTTCAGATGGTAGAACTGAAACAGCAACATAGCGTAACTTGTTCAAGTTCACACAGCGAGGGCAGGGCTTCTGATTCCTCATCAGTTCCGTGAGCAAATATGAAATGGGACATGGAAAGAATTTTTCTATTCAATGGCAAGTCAATAACGTTGCTTGATGCAAACTGCTAGGCCTTTGTACCCAGGCACGTGGCAGGCCGTGGCCTCCTCCTCCATGCTGAGTTCGGGGCAGAGGAGGTTCAGCAGAGGGACCACTGCACATAGCAGAGCAGCCATTCGTTTAATGCCAGAGGAACATGTGAATGAGCTTCCCCAGGATTCACAGGCAGGTGGGGAGCTGCTAGGTAATTTCACCTGCTGGCCCACCCAGGTAATGTGATTATGTGAATGTGGCATTCAGGGAGTTCTGTATGATGTTAGAAAACTTTTGTTTCTGGTTCTGTTTTTCTTTTAATTTGTGTAATGTGACCAGGACGTCTGTGGCCAGGCTAGCCAGCAGCCGTGTGCTTTGTTTGCTGGTTGGAGCCTGGCCAGCCATGGAGGTGGATCTGCGGGCCTTTGGGGCGACTCCTGCCTCAGCCTCCTAGAGCTCTGATAAGCACCGCTGAAACTCTTTGAGGTTCAGTGTTCTCATTTATGAAATGAGGACTGATGGTTGCTTTTCTAGGTATGTGAAAGACCTAGCACAGTGTCTGCTGCATACCAGCTGCTCAGATGTTATTGCATTACATTGAAGAATTTTTTAAAAATCTGTCTTGATAGTGCAATGTGTTGTTGTAACCTATCACTAGACTCACTGTGGGTACTCTTGAGAATGGGCTAGTGGTGATTAATCTGGTGTCCTTAGGAGCTCGATTTAGAAGGAGGAGGGCTATCATGTGATTATTGCAGCCCCCGCCTCATGAGGTCAAGCCCTCACACTTGCAGTGGGCCTGGTAGCTGCAGACATCCAGAGCTCACTGCCCCTAAGGCTGTTGCCATCAGGGGCCCTGCAGGGAGCAGAGTGCATTCTCAGGATGGGCAGTTTGAGGTGAGTTTAAATAAAGTGACTTTTTACAAAGGCAGGGCAGGGGGTTCACAGCCTGGAGTAGTGAGGGGGCCCTAACCACTTCTAACACCCTCAACCTGAGGGGAAGGGATGGTTTTGAGGCTGCACCTGGCTTGGTGAAGGGCCGATCTCCAATGAGACAGCCCGCAGAGAGGGTCCTCCTTCGCCTCACTCCTCCCTGCCAGTGCCCAGAGAGCTCGGGATGCATACAGGTGGGCCTCGTAGTGGGGAAGGCAGGGAGTGGCTCTGGGGGCAAACAGGATGCGATTTCAGACATGGGGCAGAGAGCCAGGTGCCCTCGGCTGAGCTGAGGACAAAAACAAGTCAGATGAGTTGTGCAGCCCACATTTTTCTTTGCTTTAGATAGGAGTCCGTTCTTAAAATGGAATCAAAGTGACTGGACAGAGACCCGTTTTGATGAATTTAAGCTGGTGGCTTGTTGGGTAATCTTCCTTCGCTTGCTTAGAAGCCTGGAGACCTGTGTTCAGGCGCGTCTGAGTCACTTGGTGTATTAGGACTTGAGTTGCCCTGTGGTAAAATAAAGGGACGGACTTGATCAGGGCTTATCAAGCAAGTGGTCTACAGGGCCAGGTAGCACATATTTTAGGCTTTGCGGCCACACAAGGTCTCAGTCTCATGATCATCATCTCCTTTTTCTTCTTTCTCTTTTTTCTCCTTCCCCTTCTTTAAAAACACAATCTTTTACAAATAAAAATCATTCATAATTCATGGTCAATACAAAAGTGGGCGAAGCGCCATTGTGTGTCAGCTCCTGGACTAGATCGTCACTCCCCTGTGTGCTTTGTGCACTGCTGTGTGCAAGGTGATTTTAGGGAATGCACATGCGTTTTTATTTTAATGGTATGTGAGTTCTAATGTGTATTAGGAAAAATAGATGACTAGCACCTTAAGAGTTCACTACCCATAGTTGTAGCTACGCGGGGCCCTCCAGGAAACAGTTGGCTCTCGCAGGCTGAGTGGTGGATGTGAGTTTTAAGACCTGATTCCAGGTAATTTTGGTGGTGCTCCATTTATGAGAGTAATACATCGTCGTGGTTTTTTAAAAATTTGCCTAAATTATTAAAAGATGGATTCCTTTAAGGAGAAATATTATAAGGGACAGTGTCCATACCACACAGAGCAGAACCTCACAGAAGAGGTACGGGGTAGACTGTGGTCTGGAGTGGATTAGATCAGCTCACTCCTCCCCAACACCACATTCCTTGATTATCCCACGTTTTAGATGTAGCCTGTTGGGAGCATTTCACATTGATGAAAATATTCTCAGCACTTTGAGAAGTTTTGTGTAAGTTTAGAGGAGAAAACAAGAGGGCAGAGCCATTTTTTCGATGGAGTCCTGACTGGCAGGTGCCAGGCATGTGGGGTGCCTGCCCACCCTGCCCCTCTGTGAAGAGCTGTCCCCTGGGTGGGAGCTCTTTGGAGTCAATCCCTCCTAGAAGTTAGGGCCACCTCACCCTCAAGGGCATGCACGTTCCAGCAACACAGCTAGTGATTTAGGCCCAGGAGAACAAATTAAGTCCAAAAAAAAAAGAGGCCAAGACTTGCAAGAGCTTGCTTAATTCCCTTTGGTAATTACTGGCTGTCAGTCTCCTTGAGCCTGAGCCTGTGCTGCTCTCCCGAGCTCCTGGCCACACCCGAGACTTATTTGTCTTTGTGGGCTTCTTTAGAACTGCCGCACTGTCCGGGTTGCATCCGTGGGAGGGATGCCCGCCTGCAGGGAGTTGTACCCAGCAGCTTGTAAACACCCAGGAGTGTGGCAGGAGCTTACCTGTCAGGTGTGCCTTGGCAGAGAAAAGGCTGCGGCCAAGCCCTTTGAGCATTCCGAACATTCAGTGTGGGAAGCATCCCAAAATTTGTCTCCCACTCACTGAGTTGGGCATGTCTTTTCCTATCCTCCCGGATGACTTTTTTGCCCTGGTAGTGAGCCCTGATGGCCTTAGGAAATACTGGGCTGGGCTAACAGACTGTTCCATTTTGACTGCCTGATGAGCTTTTACTCTTCTGCTTACCTATGTAAGCCACCCTATTCTTTTTGAGATCCTGGACCATAGGTATCCACAGAGTGAGAGGGCTTCCCTTCCCCCACACCCTGTTTTGACCTAAAAGCTTAAAAACCACGTGTATGGCATTATTTAAACCAAAAAATGCTGCAACCTGCCCCATTTTTATTATTCTGCGCCCTGTCACCATGAAATATTTAAGCTGCGTATTAAAACAGGAGCTTGTATTTGCAATGTAACAGAACACCAGAAGATGAGGCGGCAGTTGTAGGGAGAGTTTATCAAATAGGAGCTAATTTCACCCTCGTGAAACTCTCAAAGCAGAATGACGGTTACATGTAATAAATAGCTTGTGCAAGTAGAGTGGAGAGCCTCTTACCAACGGCAACTGGAGCCATGATGATTGATTTCTAGGGGAGTGGGGTGGTAGAGTTTTGACTTGAAGCAGAATTAAAGTATGTGGGAGAAAGTGCTGCCTTAGCAACCGAACTTGAATAGAAGTTCAAGTTCAAATCTGCCTGTCATGGTTAGTGGGAAAACTATACTGGGGTCCCTTTGGATAGGGCTCCTCTTGACTTTTTTTACAAAAAATAGTTTTATAAATCTGATTTACATAGTATAAAGCTCACCTATTGAAAGTATAAATTCAGTGATTTTTAGCAAATTCACAGGATTATGCAGCCATCGCCCTAATTCTGGAATATTTTCGTCACCCCTAAAAGGAAACTCGTACCCATTAACAGTCATTCCCCACCCGTAGCCAAGCCGTACACAACCACTTATTTCCTTTTTATCTCTATCCTGGACATTTCATATAAGTGGCATGACACGGAATGTGACCCTTTATGTCTGGCTTCTTTCACTTAGCATCGTGTTTTCAAGGTTCATCCGTGTTGCAGCATATGTCAGAATGTCATTGCTTTTTATGGCTGAATAATATTCCTTTGTCTGGATGTACCACATTTCGTTTATCCATTCAGCAGTCGATGGACGTTTGGGTTGTTTCTGCTTTTTGCCTATTATGAATAATGCTACTGTGAACATTGGTGTACATTTTCATGTGGACACTTGCTTTCCTTTATCTTGAGCATTGACCTTAATGGAATTGCTGTATTGTACCTCTGTGCACTTTTTGAGGAATCTTCTTAGTTGTTTTGTTCTTCCGTTTTGAATTGTAAGTATTTTTTAATTGTGGGACAATACACAGAACAAAAATTACCATCTTAGCCATTTTTAAGTGTGCAGTTCAATCACATTAACTACATTTACATTGTTGTACAACCATCGCTGCTGCCATCCTTTTCTTGGGTTTTGGCGAAACAGTCCACACCATCTCTTAGGCCCCAGAAAGGATAAATAACTTTGGCTTTGACTCAGCAAAGAGGTGGGTTAGTAATGATCTAACTCACTGCCTTTTGAGAGGTGTGAGAGTCTAGACAGGGTGATGGTTCCTTGGCCCAGAACCGCAGGATCCCTTCTCTGTATAGATGCTGCTGCGTTAGGAAGCTTTGGATAAGAGGAGCAGGATGGGGATAACTTGAAGAGGCTGCCCGAGAACTGGGAGCAGGGAAATGGTAAGGTGGGCTACTGTCTGCATCCTGGGGGAGCCCACCGGGCATGTTTGAGGGACACTGTCTTTCCCGGGCTTTTCTCCAGGGCATAAGTAGGTGCACAGAGGCTTCTTTTTGTGTGTGGTGGACTGAGATCCACCTGTGTCCTGGCAGATGGCAGAAAGGGATCCTGAGTATAAAGGTATGTGGATCAGATTTACTGAGTCACTGGAGAGTGTACAAGTGTGGACCAAAGTGTGTAAGTGTGTTTAAGGAAGACCGTCATAGACCTATAAGAGGTCCTGGAGAAGGTGGGCCTAGACCATCAACAGCAGGCCCCCTCTTCCCCACCTCTTGGGAGGCCAATGCCCTGGTGCTCCTTGAACCCTTTGTGCTCCTCCAGGCCCTGTTCTGGGAACGCCTGCTGGGTCTGTTGGCCCTGCCCTGAAGTACTCCCCAGGCCTCCTTTCTCTCTCTGCTGGCCATCTTGAGATTACCCTGCTGTATTGTATTTGTATTGTTTGTATTGTACTCATGCATCTTCATGAGCAGCTCTCTTATCTTCTCAGTAACATAGTCACCTCCTCACTGGAAAGGTCTGTATTTTATACTCTTTTGGGTTAAGTCACTGGCAGACAGAAACATCAATATCCTAATTCAGGATGGATGCCACAGTCTGCCCAGTTAGCTCATTAATTAGATAATTCTTTAAAAATATTGACAAACCATTAATTAAGAGCTGATTATTCACACATCAAACAATTCTTCACTTAAACTAGAGGATTTCTTTAAATAGCAGCTCCCCCTGGCTGCATTTATCTCTTTGTGTAGTTTATTAGCTATTTGGCAGAGAAATTTCAGAATGCCAGCTACAAGCCAGTGCAGTTGAAGAACAGAATGTAATGGAGGGAAAGTATTTCTGGAAGCATGTCATTTATTCAAAGAAATTATCTAAGAATGTATTTCTTTTGAAAAGTGCTTAATATATTTATATATGTAATCTCTATTTATTTTCTTAAATAATTCTGTGAATGTAGCAGTATTTTCTGCATTGGAGAAGGCAGGATATTGAGATTCAGAGTAATTTGCCCAGGCTTATTCAGCTAGTCCATGGTTGAGCAGGGATTGATATCAATGTCTTCCTCAGGACCTGTGCCTCCTCATCCCATTGCCTCTGACTGCATTTGCTAAGTGGGAGGATCGTCCTTGCATCTAATTAAACTTGTACTATAATTTCATTATGGCTCTTGCCCTAGGGGAGCTATTATAAGTCTGGCATAGAGTTTCAGTAGTATTGAAAATAATGGAGCATCGTGGATTTAGAGTTAGACGCACACACTGAGGTTTGAGCCGAGATTCCGCTTCATAGAACCTACTTTATGCAGCTGGTTTTTTCACATGTGAAGCAATTGTAACAGCTGTATAACCTTCAAAGGCTTGGCTTAAGTATTAAATGAGATTACATACTCATTTAAGAAGAAGTGCCTTAGGAGAGGGCACTGGTGCATCGTAGGCACTTAATAGCAGTGTTAGCCTTTGTTATTATTATTGTCAGTGGGCCTATAACTGACTTCACGGGTGCATTTATTGTTGGCTGAGCCAGAGGTGAGCTGTGCAGGATAGTTGGTGAGAGCATGTCAAATGGAAGGCGGGAAATGACTGAGTGGAAAATCAGTGTATTCTTCCAGACCACCCCTTCCTCCAGCCCTTGTCCTCCCTTCCTCTTTCTCCCCACTATTTTCCTGTGTTAGTCATGGTTTTCCTTTTACCATCTTGAGAGGATTCTGGCATTCCGTGACTGTGTGGTCCTTCCAGCTCTCCGAGCTTAGGACTTGGTGTTTTTAAATTCTCATTGGCCGGCAGAGCATCACTTGGAGAGAAGCTGCCCTCCCCATGGTGAAAACTGCCTCTCACCGGCTCAAGATGGCCTTCCCCCAGGAGCACCAAAACCCTGTCTTTTTTGTGACAGGAGGACTTTTTAATAAATTGGCAGTGGTGCCTTAGTTTCAGAGTTGAGCTACCTTTCCTGAGCATCAGCATCTCATCCATAAAGTGGGGATGGGTATCCCTGCATGTGCTGGGAGACCCATGGACAGCACAGGGTAGTGCTGGCAGTCCCGTCTCTTCAAGCTGCCCATCTTCTCCATGCTGCCTGCAGGGCGAAGGCATCCCCAACAGTTGGACAAGCTGTCAGTTTCACTCTTAGAAACCAGAGCCTGGATTCATTGCGATGGGAAACTTGTCTTCGTCTCCTACGTCTTTTCATCCTTTACTGCTGTTCTTCCCCTGTTTCTTCTTAGTTATTCTCCTATCTGGTTCAGGGACATCGAGGGTGTTCTCCAGGGGCGTGATGACAGAGTTTCGCTTTCCTGTAAATATGTTTGTGCCTATTTTGCAGACAATATTTGTAATTTTTAATATTACAATTTAAATAGTGAAACATCAAAAAACCCACTTAAGTAAATTTGTAGAACATTTTGCCGTCCACCGTTGCACACGGTAAGGCAGGCTTTCTCTACCTTGGCACATCATGGATCATTCTTTGTTGAGGGAACTGCCCTGTGCATGGTAGGATTTAGCTGTATCCTTAGCCTCTGCCTGCTAGTTGACCACCATCCTTCAATTGCGACAACCTAAAATGTCTCCAGACATTGTCAGATGTCCTTCAGGGACAGAGTCACCCCCAGTTGAGAGCCACTGCACTGCAGCCCCCGACTCTGTCCTCCCGGCCTCTCTCGTTGCCCCTTTTGGAGCCATCATTAGATTTACACCAGTTGGTTAGAATGGCTTTCTCTAGCCTTTTGCAGTGCACAGCACAGAAGGAGTTTGTAGCCTTTTCTCAGAGTATTTTGCATCTCAAAGGAAGGATGAATCATGCAATTTTGAGCCAAATGGTCTTTTCCTGGGTGCAAAATGAGCTGGAGTAATTTTAATTATTGAAGGGCTGGAGGTAGGATAAATATCTTACTGTTTCTTCCTTGACCACATTTCCTTTAGCATTTGTAAGTATTATAGAACCACAAATATTATATAGATTGTGTGGTCTTTTCAACAGCTTTTGCGTTTACATTTTATTGCTGCCTCAGGGATTGGACAGGAACTGGTATAGGTTCCAAATAACAGTGGAACCATGACAGATATTAGAAATTAGGAGAATACCACAACAATGATAACTGTGCGAGGTAATGCATATGTTAGTTGGCCAGGTTCAGTCATTTCACAGTGTACCGGTTGAGGATACCTTATCCAAAATGCTTGGAACCAGGAGCATTTCGGATTTGGGATTTTTTCAGATTGAACTATTTGCATTATACTTACCAGTTGGACATTCCTAATCCAAAAAAGTCTGAAACTGAAAATGCTCCAGCGAGCGTTTCCTTTGAGCATCATGTTGGTGCTCAAAGTTTCAGATTTTGAAGCATTTCAGATTTTGGATTTTTGGATCAGAGACACCCAACCTGTGTATACACTTTAAAATATGATGTTGTACATAGTAAATACATACAATTTTGTCTGTCAATGTGAAATATAAAATGAAATAATCTTAAAGAAAGTAGGGGAAGAACTATTGACATTCTCACGTGGAGACGAATCCATTCTATGAGTTTGCCTGGGAACTGTTGAGTAACAGCTGGAACATTCACTGTCATCAGGTGAAGGACAGGGCGTGATCATTGGGAAACTGGCAGGCTGAGAATATGCTATGCTGGGATGGAACTACGGAAGTCAGGAAGTGTGGGTCCGTCAGGAATGCAGGGGAACGTGATACTTGACAGTTTTGGTTTCTAGTACCATCCATTTGTGAGCCTTGCCATTACTCTGTATTACTGCAGTTAACAAGAGTCTGGATAAATCTAAGATTTGGACTTTCAGGACTGGAAGGCTCAAGGACAGAGGGGATGCCCCCGTTTCTGTGGTCCAGAAAACCCTTTGGGAATTGCAGCTTTCAGTGTGTCTGCAGAACAGCCGCTGGGATGGTCAGCCATTGATGCAGTCCGGTGGTGCCATGTGTGGGGCCCATCACAAAAGGGGCAGAAGGGCCTCAGACCTCGAGAGCCTCAGAGGGCAGTTCTGGATTCTTCGGTGATGCCTGGGGCCTGCCCTTGTGGTTCCAGGGACGCTGAGGTCTTTATTGTGCACATTAGGTTTTGATTTCTGTCCTCCATCACTCTCCTTGAACAGAAAAGTTATTTCAGTCTCTTAGCCCAATGCTTTTAACAAAAAACTCATGGAAATTTCAAGACAATATTTATGTCAAAGGATAAATTAAACTAATTGTAGTTTGCCTTTTCAGACTAGAAACCCCCTCTTTTTACAACACTCTGACACCCCCGACATATCCCCTCGGGAGCTGCCTGGGCTGTTCCACAGGAATCTGGCCATCCCAAAGGGCTTGACTGTCACCAGAATCATTGGTTGTAGCTATTGGTTGACTTCACAGAGTTCTCCCCACTGCCTTGAACTGTGGTCCCTTGTAGCTTCATTCTTGATACCCCCTCAGCGCGTCACCACTAACTGTGACGTCGACCTCCTGCTGGGAAGGAGCACCTGTGTGTATAGTTGGGGTTCATTCTGTTTCTCCTTGTTTCATGCAGTTACTTTAGGAGATGAGAAGTGTGCTGCCGTCATTAGTGTTTGGTCCGTTCTTAGTTTTTGAAGAGGCATTCCCATTAATAGAACATTAACTCCTCAAAGATGGGGATTTTGGTCTAGTTAGTTCACTGCTGCATCCCCAGTTTCTGGAACTACACCTGGCACTCAGTACATAACTGTTGAGTGAAGAATAGGATAAGAACAGGCGAAACCGCTTTGTAAGTTGCCAAAAAGTTGGGCATTATGTTTAATAAAATAAATATAAAGATTTTTTTAGTGGTTCTTATAAGTGTACTTAGTGGAAAGACCTGACTCCTTTTGATTTATAAATCGTTCAGTGGGATATGTTTTCTGATATTTTGGGGTTATTTTATGCCCGGATTTTCTCTTGGCCTGCCAGGTGTCCACTGTAAATATACAGTCATGAGCCCCATAATGATGTTTTGGTTGATCGTAGACCTCATCTATGACAGTAGTTCCATAAGGTTATAATAGATCTGAAAAATTCCTGTTGCTTATTGATGTCTTAGCCTTTGTGACATTGTCCTGCTACACGTTACTCATGTGTTTTTGGTGGTGCTGGGGTTAACAGACATACTGCATTGCCAGCCATCTAAAAGTATAGCACATGCAATTAGGTACAGTACATAATCCTTGATAATAAATGACTGTGTTATTGGGTTTTTACTATGTAATAGTAATACATACATACATAGTAATATATATGTATATATTAATGTAATATAATTAATTAATGTAATATATGTATGTATATATTATGTATATATGTAAATACTAGGTATTTACTATACTATTTATCGTTATTTTAGCGTGTAGTCCTACTTACAAGAAAAGTTAACTGTAAAATCACCTCAGGCAGGTATTTCAGGAAGTATTTCAGAAGAAGGCATTGTTATCACAGGAGATCACAGCTCCTTGTGTGTTCCTGCCCCTGAAGACCTTCCGGTGGGACAAGACGTAGAGGTGGAAGACAGTGACATTGATCATCCTGGCTATGTGTAGGCCCAGGCTAATGTGTTTGTCTGCATCTTGGTTTTTAAGAAAAAAGTTGAAAAAGTAAAAAAAAACAAAAAAATTCAAAATAGAAAAAGCTTATAGAATAAGGACATAAAAAATATTTTTGTACTTCTGTGTAATGTTTTGTGTTTTAAGCTGTGTTATTATGAAAAAGTAAGAGTTTTAAAAAAAAGGTCCGGGTGCAATGGCTCACGCCTGTAATCCCAGCACTTTGGGAGGCCGAGGCGGGCGGATCACAAGGTCAGGAGATTGAGACCATCCTGGCTAACACGGTGAAACCCCGTCTCTACTAAAAATACAAAAAATTATCCGGGCGCGGTGGCGGGCGCCTGTAGTCCCAGCTTCTTGGGAGGCTGAGGCAGGAGAATGGCGTGAACCTGGGAGGCGGAGCTTGCAGTGAGCCGAGATCGCGCCACTGCACTCCAGCCTGAGCGACAGAGCGAGACTCCATCTCAAAAAAAAAAAAAGAGTTACAAAAAAGTTTGTAAAGTAAAAATGTTGCGGTAAGCTAAGCTTAATTTATGACTGAAGAAGGAAAAATATTTTTTACACATTTAGTGTAGCTTCAGTGTACAGTGTTCCTCAAGTCTCCAGCAGTGTGCAGTCATGTCCTAGGCCTTCACATTCACTCCCCGTCACTCACATTCACTCCCCCTCACTCACATTCACTCCCCGTCACTCACATTCACTCCCCCTCACTCACATTCACTCCCCCCTCACTCACATTCACTCCCCCTCACTCACATTCACTCCCCCTCACTCACATTCACTCCCCCTCACTCACATTCTCTCCCCCTCACTCACATTCACTCCCCCTCACTCACATTCACTCCCCCTCACTCACATTCACTCCCCCTCACTCACATTCTCTCCCCCTCACTCACATTCTCTCCCCCTCACTCACATTCACTCCCCCTCACTCACATTCTCTCCCCCCTCACTCACATTCACTCCCCGTCACTCACATTCACTCCCCCTCACTCACATTCTCTCCCCCTCACTCACATTCTCTCCCCCTCACTCACATTCACTCCCCCTCACTCACATTCACTCCCCCTCACTCACATTCACTCCCCCTCACTCACATTCACTCCCCCCTCATTCAGATTCACTCTGCCTCACTCACATTCTCTCCCCCTCACTCACATTCTCTCCCCCTCACTCACATTCACTCCCCCTCACTCACATTCTCTCCCCCCTCACATTCACTCCCCCCTCATTCAGATTCACTCTGCCTCACTCACATTCTCTCCCCCTCACTCACATTCTCTCCCCCTCACTCACATTCACTCCCCCTCACTCACATTCACTCCCCCTCACTCACATTCACTCCCCCTCACTCACATTCACTCCCCCCTCATTCAGATTCACTCTGCCTCACTCACATTCTCTCCCCCTCACTCACATTCTCTCCCCCTCACTCACATTCTCTCCCCCTCACTCACATTCTCTCCCCCCTCACATTCACTCCCCCCTCATTCAGATTCACTCCCCCTCACTCACATTCACTCCCCCTCACTCACATTCTCTCCCGCTCACTCACATTCTCTCCCCCTCATTCACATTCACTCCCCCCTCACTCACATTCACTCCCCCTCACTCACATTCACTCCCCCCACTCACATTCTCTCCCCATCACTCACATTCTCTCCCCCTCATTCACATTCTCTCCCCCTCACTCACATTCACTCCCCCTCACTCACATTCACTCCCCCCTCACTCACATTCACTCCCCCTCACTCACATTCTCTCCCCCTCACTCACATTCACTCCCCCTCACTCACATTCTCTCCACCTCACTCACATTCTCTCCCCCTCATTCACATTCACTCCCCCCTCACTCACATTCACTCCCCCTCACTCACATTCACTCCCCCTCACTCACATTCACTCCCCCCTCACTCACATTCACTCCCCCTCACTCACATTCACTCCCCCTCACTCACATTCACTCCCCCCTCACTCACATTCACTCCCCCTCACTCACATTCTCTCCCCCTCACTCACATTCACTCCCCCTCACTCACATTCACTCCCCCTCACTCACATTCACTCCCCCCTCACTCACATTCACTCCCCCCTACTCACATTCACTCCCCCCACTCACATTCACTCCCCCCATACACATTCACTCCCCCTCACTCACATTCACTCCCCCTCACATTCACTTTCCCCCTCATTCGCATTCACTCCCCCTCATTCACATTCACTCCCCCCACTCACATTCACTCCCCCCTACTCACATTCACTCCCCCCACTCACATTCACTCCCCCTTCACTCACATTCACTCCCCCCTACTCACATTCACTCCCCCCACTCACATTCACTCCCCCCCATACACATTCACTCCCCCTCACTCACATTCACTCCCCCTCACATTCACTTTCCCCCTCATTCACATTCACTCCTCCCTCACTCATATTCACTCCTCCCTCACATTCACTCCTCCTCACTCACATTCACTCTCCTCCTCATTCACATTCACTCCCCCCCACTCATATTCACTCTCCCTCATTCACATTCACTCCCCCCTCACTCATTGACACTCAGGGCAACTTGCAGTCCTGCAGGCTTCGTTCATGGTAAGTTCATGGTACCAATTTTTATCTTTTGTATCTTATTCTTGCTATACCTTTTCTATGTTTCCATTCACAGATACTTACCATTGTGTGACTGTTGCCTACAGTATTCAGTACAGTAACATGCTGTACAGGTTTGTAGGCTAGGAGCCAAGGCTATCCCATGCAGCCTAGGTGTGCAGTAGGCTATCCCACCTAGGTTTCTGTCAGTACACTCTAAGTACACTCCAGGATGTTCACACAAGGATGAAATCGCCTAAAGGTGCATTTCTCAGAACACATCCCTATCATTAAGTCATGACACATGACTGTATTATAATATAGCCACATGGTGTCACAATCACACTTTTATAGTCCCCACGTACCCCTGGAAGCCCATCAAGAGTAGTGTTGGAATGCTGCTTGCGATATTTATGAAACAAATGGAATTAAACTCTTTACGTCTGAGGCGTAGCATTGCATTACTCTGCTTTTAACAAAGGAATTTTCAAATCTCAAAAATTACAATAAATTGGTTGGAACATTCTTGGATTAAAGAAAAGCAGTGTTAATGAATTTATTTGCTATGCATTCCAGTCCCATTAATCCTGATGAGTTCATCCTGGCTTAACATATGGCATGCCTTTCTTTAGACTTTTAAGTTTAGCATGAACTGCTTTTATACCACGACAGGAGACTATGACTGGAGCAAGCGTTACTGTGGCAGGCTGCTGAATTCATGCCTAAGAGGCAGGAGAGCAGCGTTCTTCCTGTTGAGCATATATTAAGCTTGGCTGTGTTCATTTCACTGGGCAACCTTACAAGCAGTGGTTCTCAAACTGTTGGGTCTGGAACCCCTCTGACACCCTTAAAGAGTATGGAGGACTCCAAGAAGCTTTCCTTATGTGGGTTGTGTCTATCAATACTTATGAATTGGAAATTAAAATTTTGGCCGGGTGCAGTGGCATACCTCTGTAATCCCAGCACTTTGAGAGGCTGAGGCAGGTGGATTGCTTGAGCTGAGGAATTTGAGACCAACCTGGGCAATGTGGCAAAACCCTGTTTCTACAAAAAATACAAAAATTAGCCAGGCGTGGTGGTGTGCACCTGTAGTCCCAGCTACTTGGGGGGCTGATGTGGGAGAATCACCTGAGTCTAGGGAGGTCGAGGCAGCAGTGAGCCAAGATTGTGCCACTGCATTCTGTCGCCTGAGTGACAGAGTGAGACCCTGTCTAAAAAAAAAGAAAATTAAAATTTAGAACAACTTGAAATAAATGTCTTAATTTACCTAAAATAACAAGGATTAACCCATTTTGTGTTACTATAAGTAACATTTTTATGAAAAATAGCTATTTTCCAGAACAAAAAAAAAATCAGTGAGAAGAGTGGCATTGTTTTACATATTTGCCAGTGTCTTTAATGTTTAGCTTATGGCAGCTGGATTCATATATGTGCTTCTGCATTCAGTCAGTTTGGACGTGTTGTTTTAGTTGAAGTATATAAGGAAAATATGGCTTCACAGGGATGTACCTAGAAAGGGAGGAACACTTTAGTGGCCTTTTCAGGTAATTGTAGATATTCTTCCTTGATACTATATTAAAACTCCACAGGCAATCGTGGGTTCCGCTGTGGAATCTGAAGCCATCTCGGTAAGCTCTTTGTTCTAAAATAATGGGTCTGTCCTGCACTTCAAATCAGTCTGCACATTTAGGATTCTGTTTTACTGAATTACGTGGATCTTCCAAATGCTGGCACATTTCATCATATATTTTTAAAATATCCCATTTGTTAACATCACCCCCAGTGTCATCAGAAAATTCAACTTTTAGGGAGCTGTCCACATCTTGGTGACGAATACAAGTTTTCTGAAATTCCCATTTTTTTCTTGAAAGTTCAAATTTTATCACTCGCAGCAAATGTTGTCAGTTGTTTCCCTTCTAGATTCTGCCCGCCCCCCCTTTTTTTTTCCAGAGTTAACTTTTTAAACTACGAATCCCAATCATGGCCCCTTGGCAGCCACCCTGCAGTGGGGCACCAGGATGCTGTGTCCCTGGTGGGCTGTGAGCCTGACTTTATCAACCTTCATGGTTCTCGGTGCTCTCATGGTACATGATAGAGCATCAAGAAATAGCAGTAACTGACAGTTAGGGACATTTGGTTGTGGACTGTGTTTTAAATACTATTGAATTAATGTTCAGTTCCACTGGTGTGATCATGGCATTACAGTTTGGTAACACAATGTAATTCTTTTTTTTTTTTTTTTTTTTTTTTGAGACGGAGTCTCGCTCTGTCGCCCAGGCTGGAGTGCAGTGGCGGGATCTCGGCTCACTGCAAGCTCCTCCTCCCGGGTTCACGCCATTCTCCTGCCTCAGCCTCCCAAGTAGCTGGGACTACAGGCGCCCGCCACTACGCCCGGCTAATTTTTTGTATTTTTAGTAGAGACGGGGTTTCACCATTTTAGCCGGGATGGTCTCGATCTCCTGACCTCGTGATCCGCCCGCCTCGGCCTCCCAAAGTGCTGGGATTACAGGCGTGAGCCACCGCGCCCGGCCCACAATGTAATTCTTAGCAGTTACTTATTGACATATGTAGAGGTCAGTTGTCATGGTGGCTATAGCTTGCTTATCACGATGGTCATGAGGAAAGCATATATTTGTCTAAAGAGGGATAAAGCAAATATGGCAAAACATTAAATATTGGGAAGTGTAGATAAAGAGTAAGTATTCATTCAACTTCTGTAGGTTTGACATTTTCAACATAGAAAGTGAAAAGGAATGAAATATCAGTGTGGGATGAATTATCAATGTATGAAAGACGATGTAGGTGGGAATAGAATAAGATTCCAATTGTGGGAAATCTGGTTTGCTGCTGTCTAAGTTATAAAACTGTAGCTGTTGATTAGCATCTTTATGTGCATTTTTTGTGTAATGATAATCTTGTCTGGGTTCACATTAGGTGCAAATCATATTTCAGACAGCTTAATTAAACCTCTTCAGCTCCTGGGTGAGTGCAAGAATCTGTGCAGAGTGTAAATGGTAAGATTTAGAAAACAAAGGACTTTATATGCCATGCATCTATGAGGTTCTTCGTAGCGTGTCCTCAGGCTGCGTTCATACCAGGTACTCCCAGTCACTGGCCAGCACGATTCCATTCCAAGGCAACAAGGTCCTGCATCCCAGATTTAGGATAACCTTCTGCCCATGCTGAGACTCTTGGTGTTACGGGCACGTGTATGCTTTGTGCTGCCATGGCAGCTGTTAATAGTACCCATAGAACTCCATCACTAAATTCTCGATTGTACGAATTGGAGTCCAAGTGTTTTCAGAAGACACCAGCTAAGGTTTTCTGCCCCTGCTGGCCTTGCTGGTCAATACCAGTGTCAGGAGCGGACTCGTTCCCCTTCATGGCGCCTGACCGGGGCCTCAGAGCTTTTGCATGCCTACGACTATGCCCTAGATTTGTGGAAATTGCCGGTGTGACGCTTTTCTATCTTCCTCTTTGAAATATGAGAGTCAGTTTCAGAGGTAAAGCGGTGGAATCTCTGGTGCGGAGGGCATCTATTCTGGCTCCCCATCTTCTCCCTGAATTCCCCCGATGATGCCCCATGGTGGGCCCCTTTGCCGTCAACCCTGTCTTCAGTTGCTGTTAAGGTGGCATGTGCTTCCCGCTGCAGGGCTGAGCTGAATCCGTTTTCACTGTACCAGCCACAGACTTAGAGATTCTGAGGTTGAAACTGAACATATCTGATGGCTCTTCCTTGCCTTTCAGGATTCTGAAACCTTCCTTGTATCCCTCCTGAGACATCTTTGCTGCAAGATCGAGGCTGTCCTCTGGTGAGAAGGTGGTGAGGCTTCCCGTCATATTCCAGGTACAGTCTGCCTGTCAGCACGACAGCAGAATATATGTTATTCTGTTTTGTACTAGAATATGTTATTCATTTAGACTGCTAGTTGTCTGTTGACTTTTTAAGTTAACTGTCAACTAAAACCCCCAGTTGTCTTCTTTTTTAGATTTCCAAATGCTGTAATTTTTCAGACTCATGTGGCTACCTGTCCAGACCCATTGACCCAGCAGAAAACAAGCTTGTCTTCTCACTTTAGTGTGTTCCTTAAATTCCTGCATTTCCTTCAGACAGAACTCTTCATATCCTACGGCTGGCCAGGCCTTCCGTCCCTGAGGCCTGGTCACCAGGGTAGGCTCTGGGGAAGGATCAGCCTGGAGCTGTCCCTCATCATTCCTGGCATGGACATTGGGCGCTGTGTCTCGTGCTCTGTGTGCCACCCAGCTCCTGGGCACTGGCTTGCAGCACAGCGGCTGTGATGCGTCCTGCCATGTTTCTCTCTGTGACTCTTGGAGTCTTTGCACTTCTCAAGGTCAAGGGCTGCTTCCAGTTTTCTTCCTGCCCCAGAACTTTTCATCTTGCTCCCATTCTTCTCACTCTTCTCCTTACTCCTCTTTCTCTCCCTTTTACTTAGGAATTCTGCTGTAACTCGTTCTTGGTTTAGGTGCTGTAACCATCTGCTCTAGGGCAGTGGTATTTCAGGCTGTTCCTTGCAGCTTGAGAGTTAATTCCAAGTGGGCATAAGAGCCAAGTGGGGCAGGGGGGCGGTCAAGGCTGGCCAGTGAGGCTGTCTGTCCCCTAACTCTCTTTAAATATGAGTAGCTTCATTTTTATCTGATTCTTCTATTTGGGTTTGGCATAGCATGTAGTTTGGGTGCCGAGACCAGCTTGGTCGGAGACCCTAACCCAGCGGCGCTAGAGGAATTGAAGAAACACACACAGAAATATAGAATGTGGAGTGGGAAATTGGGGCTGACGGCCTTCAGAGCTGAGAGCCTCGAACAGAGATTTACCCACATATTTATTGACAGCAAGCCAGTGATAAGCATTATTTCTATAGATTATAGATTTACTAAAAGTATTCCTTACGGGAAACAAAGGGATGGGTCTGGCTAGTTATCTGCAGCAGGAACATGTCCTTAAGGCACAGATCGGTCTTGATAATGTTTGTGGTTTAGGAACACCTTTAAGCGGTTTTCCATCCTCGGTGGGCCAGGTGTTCCTTGCCCTCATTCCGGTAAACCAACGACCTTCAATGTGGGCGTCATGGCCATCATGGACATGTCACAGTGCTGCAGAGATTTTGTTTATGGCCAGTTTTGGGGCCAGTTTTTGGCCAGATTTGGGGGCCTGTTCCCAACATTTGGGAAAAAGAGTTCCACTATAAAATACTTTAAACTAATTGCTCTGGTCATTTTTCCATTAAACTAAAAATGTTTACTGAGTATGGAGTCTTCATCATTATCATTGATATTTTATCACAAAAAATAGAGGGAAAACTCTTCAGTTGAGGGAAAGTGTGTGTGTGTGTCTGTGTGTGTGTGTGTGTGTGTGTGTGTGTGTGTAATGACCCTCACCTGACTTGTCTCCCACTCTCTTACATTCTTAACAGTCATTTGAGGCAGTTCATATCGTTAATTCTGAGACTATGGCTATATTAGGAATGCACACATACTTAGGCTCAGCAGCCCACACAGAGTTCTTAATCAGAAGGACTTCTGGGGGATATAGCCAGTGACCTTTGCCACATGTAAGCAACTTTGAGCAGCCTGCCTTGAAATAAGAATTAAGGAGGAAGGAGGGGCTGCCCATAAGCTTCAAGTTCCTGGGGAGGATTAGGCTATAAGTAAGCACCTTGTTTATGAGGCTGCTACTACCTTGTAAATGTCAGAAACAAAGGTGCAGAATTACCAGGTGCACCTTCCCAAAGGCGGTGGGTAAAATTAGCTGCTGGCCAGCAGGGAAGTGGGAGGACATTCTGCACAGGCCAGAAGCCACTGTGTGTTGGGGTATGTGAGCCTTGAGCACCCTTTTCTTTCCTTCCCTGTTTAGGTGCTTAATTAGTAGCATGACTTAAATTAGAGTGAGTTCATTCTGCATTCTTCCCCGCGCCGCCCCAGTCAGATGTGTTTCTGCTGTCTTAACAGACTATTTTAGAACATCTTCTGGTGTTACCTAACACTGGGGCTGGGCGTTGACACCTGAGTGAATAGCCTAAGTCAGAGTCTTCCGCTTCTTGGGCTGGGCAGTGCATTATCAAGGTGTGAGGGGAAGCCCTTGGGTGGTGTTGGGGCACAAGTCTTGAACCCTGTCTGAATTGGGGGAATTTATGGCTTACTGGGCACCGCCATGATGTCATCTTTTCCTGTTGAAGAGAATCAGGCCAGGTGCCAGATGGTAACATAGTTGCCACATCTCCTGGAGGCCTTTCGGTCTTGGCCACGCTTGTTGTTTGGTTTATCACATTCTGTCTTCTCTCTTCTGTTCTGTTCCCTGCTCTTCCTCAGCCTCTGCAAAGAGGGAGGGCACACAGTAGGTGCATAATAGGTGGTTGTTGCATGGATCGATCATTGTGAACAGTTACTTGCTTGCTTCTTTCTTTCCAGACTGTGCACTCTGAGGGCAGGGACGATGTGTGGTCTCATCTTTATAGCTCCCATAACTTCCTACGACCATGGCCCAAGGAAGATCACCCAATTTTTAAAAAAATGAAATAACAGCTACTTAATGTATGCCATTTTTCCAGGAGGAGGAAATTACTTTCAAATCATTCAGACTCCATTAAGATGAAATAGCTTCAGGCGAAGTTGTGGTTATCCCCACCATTGAAGCAATGTATTAAAGAAAGGTTGCTGCTCTGGTTCTTAGCCCCCCAAGGATTCAGTGAGCAAATGAACACCAGTTCACTCATTATCACACAAGAGTGTTTGGACCATTTATTAGTCATCTGTTTCTCTGGCTTAAAACAACACACATCTTACTTTCTCAATGTTTCTGTGGGCCAGGAATCAGCAGGAGTCAGAGCTCAGCTGGCGCCTATGCTTGGGGTCTCACAGGGCTACAGTCTGGATGCTGGCCTGGGCTTGGTTTTCATCTGGAGGCTTGACTGGAGAAGTGTCCTCTTCCACATTCCCTCAGGTTGTTGGCTGAATTCACGTTCTCTAGTTGTAGAACTGAGTCCTGGCCTCTTTTTGGCCGACATGCAGGCTGCTGTCAGCTCCCAGAGGCCACTCGCAGTTCCTAGCAGCTGCCTGCATCTCCCAGAAGCCATCTGCAGTTGGTTGTCACATGGGCTTCCCCAGCATGGCTGCTTGTCTCATCAAGCCAGCCCAGCACAGGTCACCTTTCCTTAATCCTTGAAAGGGGGAGTTGAAAAGTGATTTCCATCTGCTGTCTATTTTTATAAGAAATTATTTTGCTCCTTGATTTTTTTTCTACATTTGTCCCTGATTTTAAGTCTTCTACAGGGTCACAGCCCCACAGGACTCATTTACCCTTGCAGCCAGCATGGATGCCCTGAGCCGTCACTGGCCCTGCTGGCTGGTGGGTGGCTCTGGAGTGCCCAGTCCGACTTTAGGAGCGAGGTGGGTTAAATGGCTTTTTGTGAGCTGCCTTGGAATTTAACTGCAGTTTTGTCATGTTGTTTGTATACGAAAATGTGGTCTTGGGTCTCAGATGACTGGCATGTCAGTGAACTTTTAGCAGGCAAGAGGTCCTTACAGTAGGTTTTTCTGTGGCAGTGGAGACTGCAGAGAATATTATTTGGGGCATATGTTAAAATGTCTCTTTTCAGCCTTTAAGAATTCCTTAAAAAACAATAGAAGTGGCTGGGCATGGTTGCTCACATCTGTAATCCCAGGACTTTGTGAGGCTGAGGTGGGTGGATCACTTGGGGTCGTTCAAGACCAGCCTGGCCAACATGGTGAAACCCCGTCTCTACTAAAAAAATACAAAAATTAACTGGGTGTGGTGATGTGTGCCTCTAGTCCCAGCTACTCAGGAGGCTGAGGTGGGAGGATTGCTTGAACCCAGGAGGCGGAGGCTACAGTGAGCCGAGATGGTGCCCCTGCACTCCAGCCTGGGCTACAGAGCAAGACTCCATCTCAGAAAACAAACAAACAATAGATGTAACCTGTGCTCTCCTTTTCTCCTGATTCTGTGAAAATGTAGAGTCTGACTGTCACAAAGCCATAACCAAAAAAGGAACAATTTTGATTATGCCCGGTTTGGAATATTTGAGTTGAATGTTGGCATATTGAGGGGCTGGCTCTGGGGTCAATTTGGGGTGGCACTCCAGAGTGACAGTGTGTGGTCATGGTATTGGTCTGGTGCCTTCGATGAAAGCAATGCAGGTGGCACTGCCTGTGACAGATGATAAAATATGGACCACGTGGTGTGCTGAAAGGGCCACTCCACCCTTCACCCCCTCTGGCACTCTCATGCGGTGGGAAGGAATGGCACTGGTCCCGCATCCTGGGCTGCCTTGTTCTTCGCTGGCTTCCTCCTGGTCCACGGGTACGGTTTTCTCCTGGTCTTTGATCATTCAGGTGAGCATGCGGGCAATTGGCCATTTGTTTCCAGATACCTGAAAGGAATTTCAGGTAAATTGAATTGCATTCTCCTCTCTGATAGAGGCTATTCTCTTAGTGCCCACTAGCACGTCCGCTCCACGTAAAGAGGAGGCCTCCTCATTAGAAAAGTACAACCAGTACTTGTTGAAGACTGAAGACAGGCAAGGTGGTCAGCCAGGCCAAGAGGCTGTGACATTCCTTTCAGATTAGAAGTCAGATTAAAAGTGTGTTCCTTCTGGAGTGAGTGTCTGAAATTCTGGTCACCAGTGAAAAAGTGTGGTTGTGAGTAGGGCAGGAAGACCTACCATAAAATGTGGCGTTTCCTGGTGGGAATTACTTATGCATGACATGAACTGCGTAGATAATCCCCATGGTAACTACGGGTGTGTGTTTTACGTGTGTGTCAGGGCTCTTTGAGAATAAAACAGGGACCGGGGAACAAATAGATCAATATGAAAGGTCACAGCATTTGCTTACGCAAAGGTGTTATATTAGTTGGATTAAAATATTGTGCTGTAAGGCAAGCATATTGATTTCCTACCTAAAAGGAGAAGGCTGGACCTTGAGAAGCTGGAAGTCCTCGTGCTCTGTATTTTTCCCCTCCGGTGTTTCTTACATAGACCAGGTTAGTCTGCCCAAGATCATGTTTTATGGATGCTCTTCCTTTGCTTAAAACTTTTGCTTCTAAATAAAGGTGTAAATCCCTTAGCTGGCCACTGAAGACCCCTAAAGGGGCCACCCTGCCCTGCCCCAAGTCACAGATCACAGACCAGGGTGCCAGCCTCGCCCGGTTACTGACATGCCACCTGTTGTCCAGTGGGCATGGGTTCCATCTCCCCAGTGAGGCTGTTACCTGTCAAAAGGTAAGGAAGGGGTGAACCGCAAAATTCACTTGCGTTCCTTCCAATGTATAGCTCCTAACCGTGTGTGCCTAACGTTTTAGACAGCACCAGCTTTTGAATAGCCTGTGAACTACTCCTAAGTCTGTTCTTTGGTACTCATATCAGCTTTTCTGGTGGAGGCTATCGGGTGAGAGAGGGTTGCTTTTCAGTCTGACTTGCCATTGATTCAGACTTAGGCCCAGAGAAGTGTCTCAGGACACCACCGGGAGAGTTAAGGACAGGTCTGCCTGTTACACTTCCGTGACTCTTGGCTGTTTTTCTATGTCATTATCAAATATGGCTGAATATTGACAGTTTCATAGGGCTCAACCTAATCCCATATAAAAGACGCTTTAACTAGTTAACATGTGGCTGTCACTTACAGCATTTTGGGGCTGTCCTGGCACTGGGGTTGTGGAGTAGGGTACTTGGTGCAGGTAGTGGAGTTTCCTCGGTGTTTTTTGGGTCAGCCCCAGACGAAGTCCTTTGTTTTTACATTTAATTTTGGAAATTTCCAAACATGCACAAATGAGAAAAGCATAATGAAGCCCCGTGTACCCGCTTATCAGCTTCTCCTAGACAGACTCGAGGTGGGCTTGGCTTGTCCTGGGACCCTCATGCCTTCCTTTGTTCTCCCTCTTTGTTGGTTTCATTACAAGAGATTTTCTTTCCCTTAATTCAGAAGCATTACATACTCATTATTTAAAAATTGTCGAAATATGGAAGGAACCACTCATAATCTTCTGTCTAGAGACAAATGCCTCACTTCTTCCTGCACTACAATTCTTTGTATACACTTATTTTTATGTTATAATTTTTTTTAAGGATTGCTATAATGTTGTTTTGACACTTTTTCTCTAATGTAACACGTAATCCATCTGCTTTATCTGCCACTTCCTTCCACATACCCTTTCCAGGCCTCTGCTATCTGTATCCTTTCCACAACTTTCCGCCGAAGCCCCGGTTGGGTCCTGCAGCCAAAATTACCCACTTTTCCTCAGTCCCAGATAAAGTTCCTGTTACCTCACAGCCAGCGGGTCTTGGCTAGCAGCTGGCTGGATGGGAAGTGGATGGATTACGTTGATTCACTCCACGGCATGAATAATAATGGGCTTCATTTTTACAGGGGTATCACATTTAAGAAGAGGTTGTCACTTAACTCATGACTCTTTTATATTTGTAGGATTTCAGACAGGGTAACAAATAAAGTAAGAATTATCAGGCAGCAGGGAGAATGAGCTTGGTCAAAGTTGAGTCAGTTTGGCACCTGGCAGGGAATAGGGTTTCAGGAATTAGATGACCTGGGTTCAAATCCTGGCTTCACTATTACAAGTTACGTGACAGCAGGCAATATAATCTGCCAGCTACACTCCGCGCTCTTATTCTTACAAGAGGATTAGCAATTGTGACTCGATTGCTTCCTTGTGGGGATTTAATGCAGCAGTGCATGTGTGTGGCGTGGAGCTGGTGTTGTGTGATGTTGGCTGTTTCTAGCAGGCCCCGCTCACTGTGAGGCTGTTCTTCAGGTCATTTCCTGGGCTGTGCCCCATTGTTCATAGCTTTTCTTTGTCTCCTCTCGAACCAGTGAATTTTCTAGGAGTTCCAAGTTTTTTTCACAAAAAAAAGTTGCTCGTGATGGTGGGGAGACTGGGGGAGAAGTGAAAATTTCCAGGAGTTTATGGATTAAGGTGTTCCCAGGCCTATGTGTGAATTGGTGGACTGCCTGAGTTTATTAAAGGTTTGTTGAGTGAATAAATGAGTGAGTGGGAAAATATCAGTCTGTGAATGTCCAGTGAAAATTAAGTTAGGTTGGCATGGAACCCTCTGCTTTGCTCTCGTTTGCAATGCTGATTCTCCTTTTGCTTTTGGAAGAGGAAATATTTAGAAGGAGGGAAAGAAAACTAATTTAACTGCCAGGAAACCTTAGAGGCTCAGAAAATTAAAGTGCCAGTGTTCTAATCTTGGGGGAACTTTGTTTAAAACATTTCTTTTTAAATAAATGAACAAATTTGTTTAAAGAACAAGTTTCTTCTGAGATGTGAGAGCCAGTTCCATAGCCATTTCCAAGGCCCGAATGCAGTGCCGGCAGGGAACTTAAAGCCTGTTTCGTGGAAGCTCCCACTGTGTAGGGCCAGCTCCCTGGTTGGTTCTGGCTCACTGACGCTGCACTTGCGAGGCAGTGGAGAGTCTCCCTGCGGACCTGCCCACAGGTTGTGCAGACTGATGTTTTCTTTCCATGCTGCCCAAGTGTGATGAAAAGGCACGTGTCAGAGGAGCCCTGGCTCCAATAGGATAGGATAGGATAGGATACCTGTTTTTGTTGTAACACATTTCTGCACACAGGGCGTGGGCGTCTCTCCTGATGAAGCACCGCCCTCCCGAGTGATGATGGAAACACATCGAAAGACATCAACTCTCCACTCATCCTGCTGGCTTCAGGAGGAAACACTTTTCGGGTGTTCTCTGGTTTTTGTGAAGATGTCCTTGATAGCTTTTCCACTGGCTTCTCGTTTTTTATGTCATCTTTGATTTGAGTAAACAGAATTGGAAGACTTGAGCTGAGTGGAGTAGGTGGTACTTACAGTGACTGTGGCAAAGTTTCGATGAAGGGAAACCCTGGTGACGGGAACCTTAAGCTGATGGGGATTGTCTGCCCTCTGCTTCTGTGAGGCAGAGACAGGTGACCAACAGGTTGTAATTGGGATTTAAAAGAAAAATATTATTATGAGGAATTAATAGCTACTCATGGGGTGATGCTGATGGTTCTTTGCATTTGAAGAGCAGCGAGTTCTGTTTTCTGGGCGTTTCCTAGTACATTGTCTCATGTGAGCCTCACAGCACCTTGCAGTGGCAGGACTGTCCATCCCCATTTTACACACGTAGAAACAGAGACCTTGACGTTGTGCCTTGTTGAACACAATGAATTTGGGCCTATGGAAACCTGGACAGGAAGAGTGGTAGGGACCTGAGCTGGTCCCCACAGTGGCATGGGGGCGATAGTCTGATTGGGGTGAAGGGGGTGGGCAGAGGGTGCAGCCTGTGACAGAGGTTACCTGTGAGGAGACGGGCTTGGAGAGGGCTTCCTAGACAAGACTGTTGCTTTAGATTTTAATCTGTAACTAGCATCTTTTTATATTTATATTCATTTAGAGAAACAAATTTATTCGTTGGTGAATGAAACCATTCAGTATTCAGCTAATAAGATCTCTTTTGATAGAAAGACCCTCACAAGTTGTTGATGGTCATGGTGATGATTACCTGAGACAAAAGTGGGTGCCCTATTAGCTTCCTGAATTTCAGGTCATTGGTGATTACTGACTGCTGCGTGTGCTGTGGTCCTGTCAATACTATTTGGTGCCTGCTAGGTGCCAGGGGCATAGAAGGATGATCAGGATGCAGCCCTTGCCCTGGGGGAGCATCTTGAGGGGGCCGAGTTGAGTCAGTGGGAAGAGCTTGCCCCCCCCCCCCGATGAGGCAGGTGCGATGTCACCTGTGCCCCCTACGACAGGGCACAGTGCCATCTGTGCCCTCTTCTGTATTTTACACCCTCTCCCCACTGCCCTCGCCGCCATGCCATTCCCCAGAATTTGTTGATCTAATTCAGAGAGCAGTTCAAGGCTTTGGAGGCAGTGAGACTTGAACCCCAACTGCACCTTTCATTGGTCAAATGCCCTTGGGGACGTTCCTTGGGAGAATGTTATAGAAGTTATTTGATTTGTGCTGGGGCCAGGCATTATTACTTAAAAAAATCTCCCCAGATGATTCTAATGTGCAACCAGCATTGAGAATTACTGAGTTGTAATCAAGCCTGCGTCTCCTTGTCTCTAGAATGCAAAGTATTGCCTACCTGATAAGGGGGCGAAAAGATGAAGTAAAATGTAAAGGACTTTCATTTGGCTGGTGCTCCAGGATGTTAGGTGTTTTTAGTTATTACTATTGTTTTCTCATTGAAAGCGTGACATGTCATTCTAGACTACACAGCAAATGATGGAAAAGAAGAAAATAACAACAAAAACATGCGTATAATCTCAGTTAATATTTTAGGATTTTACACCCACATACGTACTCATTGGTATTATATTATGTTCTTTTGGACTTGATGTTTTCTCATGACATTAAAAGTTGAAAACGGTTTACTGACTGCAAACCATTTCAGCAACAGATTCACGCTGTAAAGATCGCACTGGGTTCCTTCCTGAGACAGCATTGTCTACTTTCGGCCTGTGGGTTATTTGTTTATTTGTTTGGGCCTCTTCGTGGTGTGAGTGGGTGGGATCCCGGCGCTCCCATGTTGCTTTAACCTGGCTGAGGCCCGATGCTGTGGTCTTTGCCATGCCTGCACTGGGGCCTCTGTTGGCAGTTGTTCTTGGCTGGGCAACTTCCCCACTGTGCCTGGAAGCTGTTCTGCAGTTGGTGGCTGCTCAGCCCAAGGAATGGCACCTGTGGTAGAGCCTCATGTCCTCTCCTCCCCGCATGTCCCCGCCTCTCCCCCACTCTGTCCTCCTGCAGAACCTCTGATCCTTGCCTCCTCTCCACCCCCTCCCTCCTCCTGTAGAACCTCTGATCCCTGCCTCCTCCCCACCCCTCTTCCTCCTCCTGCGGAACCTGTGATCCCTGCCTCCTCCCCACCCCTCTCCCTCCTCCTGCGGAACCTCTGATCCCTGCCTCCTCCCCACCCTTCTCCCTCCTCCTGGGGAACCTCTGATCCCTGCCTCCTTCCGCACCCCTCTCCATGTAATGTTGCTTTTGCTGTAAGACTTAGAGTGGTGGGCTGTAAACTTTGTCTATGGGACCTCAGAGGTCCCTGGGAACTTCTGCCATCAGCCCTGTTGAGTCAGTAGGCAGAAGCGTGTGGCGGGGAGGCAGGGCTCTCAGGCTTTCTGATTGTGAAGTCAGGGAGGCCTGAAGGACTGAAACCCCTGGTTGAGTCATCACCCTGGCCCTTGGGCCCCCTTGTGCCAGACTTGAGCAGTCACATTGCCTGCAGCTTGTGGATTTTAGAAGAGTGTAAAGTGTCTTTGTAACCAAGGCCTCCAGCTCGATATATGGAAGTGCCCAAATGGCTCTGTGCCTCTGTACTTCTTGATGGAAGGCCACCTTTTTTCCCCCATGAAAGTAGTGGCCTTTTGAGACAGACCTTTTCTTTGTCCCACACTCTCCTTTGGGACCCTAGTGCTCCAGGAGTGTATGTTCATAGCCTCGCACCCCCCGCAACCCCACCACTCTGTGCTTTCCAAGAATAAGGACTGGGGGTTTGCCCATTTCTCTTAAACCCCAGTTGTCACAGTGCTTTGCACATAACAGGCATGGGATCAGTCACTTTGGGTGGAATTTAGTTATATCCTTAGCGTGTCACTAGCTGCCTGGAGTCAGCCAGATGTAGACCCCAGGGCCTTTAAAAGAGTCCAAGCTCAGAAGTCATATTTCATTGTAGGCAGAGCCGCTGCCCAGTGAGACTGGGGCCTTGCACTGTGCCGTTGTTTCTTTCTCTGCCGCTCACTGCACAAGTGGACGATTGGTTTTTTTTTTAAGCTGCATAATTTTGAACCACCCTTCCCATCCTCATACTTTTGAGTATGAGGATTCTTTGATTTACTCTCTCCAATTCAATTTTCTTATGGTCGTGGAGCTCATTTAGTCTTTTTTTTTTTTTTGAAACAGGGTCTCCCTCTGTCTGGAGTGCTGGAGTGCGGTGTGTGATCACGGTTCACTGCAGTCTTGATTTCCTGGGCTCAAGCCATCCTCCTGGCTCAGCCTCCTGAGTAGCTGGGACCACAGATGCATACCACAGTGCCCAGCTAATTTTAAATTTTTTGTAGAGATGATGTCTTGCCATGTGGCCCAGGCTGGTTTCGAATGAGCCCACGTAGTCTTTTTTTTTGAGACAGATTTCGCTGTTGTCACCCAGGCTGGAGTGCAATGGCGTGATCTCGGCTCACTGTAACCTCTGCCTTCCAGGTTCAAGCAATTCTCCTGCCTCAGCCTCCCGGGTAGCTGGGATTACAGGCGCCTGCCACCACGCCCAGCTAATTTTTGTATTTTTAGTAGAGATGGTGTTTCACCATGTTGGCCAGGCTGGTCTCCAACTCTTGACCTCAGGTGATCCACCCACCTCGGCCTCCCAAAGTGCTGGGATTACAGGTGTGAGCCACCGCGCCTGGCCGAGTTCATGTAGTCTTTAGTGACGCTTTGCACAGTGAAAGGTATTCTCTGCCTGTACTCCCCGTAGGTGAACATGCCTTCTGCAATGCAGAATGACTTTGGAAAGATTGTATGTGTTTTTTTTTATGATAAAAATAAAATAGAATTTTTAAAGAGAATTTTGAAAAGTATTATGATAGTGAATAGTAAAATTACTGCTACTAATATTTTGATATACTTTTTATCTGGCATTTAAAGAATACATATGTACTTTGTTTATCCAAAAATATATACTTTTGTAGTATTTTTCTGTGAACCTGTCATGAACATTTCTTCATTGTCCATACATAGTCTAGAAAGACATTCTTAATGGCTACATTATTTTGTCATATTTTATTACAAGTTATTCATAATTTTTCCTACTCTTGGACGGGAAGGGTTTTTCTCATTTTTTCCACTTCTCTTAGTGACATCATGTTAACATCCAGAATGATGTTAAACTGTATTCAACATTAGTGAGCATGTTACTCATGATTTTCCCAGTTATGCTAGTCTCTATTTGTCAGTCTTCTATACATTGTACGTGAATTGAATGTTTATGAATAGGGGTTTTCCCTTTGCTATGTACTAAACTTGTTAAGATCAATCCTCCTATCTGCTCCCTGCCCCTCACGCCCAAATTGGCAGTGGCTTCTGACGACAGGAGAAAGACTGTGGTCTACCATTGTACCAGACTCAGTTCACCTGGGATTAATGAGTCCCTGTTAGGTCAGTTATGACCTGTCCTCTGATGGTCTTAGGCACTGACCACGGTTAATTTCCTTTTCTGTTCTGAGTCTCTTTCTGCCTGTTAAGGGACCTCCATTGCTCCTTCTCAAGACCGTGTTCAGTTCTGTCTCTTCCTTACCTCTTTTTTTATAACACCATGCCTACCTCCTTCCGTCTCCATCCTTAGTGTCCGCTAGTCCCATCTGATCTGACTTGTTTTTCAAAATGTAAGTTCTTGCACCTGGGCCTCCTAACATCTGGGGGGAAGTGGATCCTGCTTTGAGATCACTTCCTTCCACACAGGTTTTGCCCTTGTCATTGAGACTCCACGTCCTCTCTCATCGTGGCCAGCATCCCCTTCTCCCACCTGTGGCTGCAGCTCACTCAGCTGTGTGAGCCCTGCCCCTTCTGTGCACACTCAGTCTGGAACACTCCTTGACTGCTGAGCAGCTGCCCACATGCCAGCCATGAGGTTGACCAGCCACTCTTGTTGAGGAAAGCTGAAAAGACGCCATTGACTATGCCCACCCATTCATGATATCCTATAATAGTAATACCACCCTAATAAAGACAGAGATTCCTTAGCCTGATACAAACGTAGACCACAGTCTTTCTCCTGCGAGGGTGAAAGATTTCCCTCTGGATGGCTCCCACCAGGTGCCTGGAGAAAGGGGTCGACTGGGGCCTGGCCATTCTGAAGGCCACTGAAAGGGGAAGCTAAAAGCATTGGCTTCTTAAAGATCCCAAGATGAAGATTTTCTTGAAAGAAGGGCATTTCCGAGTGTCGTATAACAGCTTGCTTTTGACTCCTCCTGGCCCCCAGGGAAGCCATTAAGCTGGAATGTATCAGTGGTGGAATGATCCGTTAAATTCAAGGTGAAAACGTCACACCATTCACCCTGTCACTTGTATCAGAAATCTTTAAAATAGAACATAAGAGAGTCTTTATCTCAAATTCTGACTCATTGGGTCATTTTACTCCTGGTGTTATGTAGTGGTTACTAGAATAGAATGCAGAGTTAGAATTCCTGTGGGAAACGTGCTTTTCTGAGGATACCCCTCAGGTAAGTGTTCTTTGATAATAAATGACAGGGAGCAAGAGGGATCCGAGACCCTTGGGCTTGCAAGATTTCCATCAAACCCTCAAATAAAAGGAGGCATCAACTGTTGTATAAATTCCTCCCCACCTAATTTCCAGGTGATGCTCTCAAAGTATTCTGGCAACTTTCTGTGTAAACCCCAACAGCAGGAAGTCTCTACCAACCTGACTTTGCTTGCTGGGGTTGGAATGGTTAGCTAAGTCTGTGCGGAGTAGCTTCGTGCAGCCTCACTGTTGGTTGAACAACCAGCTTTGGAGTCCTGGCATGAATGTAAGAGCTGGTATAATGTGTACAAAATGCTGACAGATAAAACCACTTGGAGAACAGGTTTTTGCATTACTTCCAAGGAGACAGGATATTTCTTAAAATAAACCCAGGACAGAGTAAGTGTCTCATTTTCTCCTACCCTGGGAAGTAGGAATGAACACCTAGCCTGAGACATTTACATTCTCCAGATTATCAGCCCTGGGCTTCTCAGCAGCAGTTGGCTGCATCTTTGTTCCAGTGTCTTCCAAAGGAATTCAGTTTGCCCTCTCCCTAGATAGCAAGCAATACTTAAGAAGTAACCAAGGTAAAAGTAATCTCCTGTAGGGGTCCCAGTTGTCCCCACCCCACCCCACTGAGACCCAAGCACTTCCCTCCAGCACTTCCCTGGGCTTGGTGTGGGGGAAACAGGCCAAGAACTATACCCGGATAAAACGGGCCGCTGCGTACCTATTCAGGGGAAATGAGCGCAGCTGTGCACAGGTGTCTCACCAGAAAGTCCCTTTTCACATTATGTTAGAAAACCGTTATCTGTATCTAAGCTTACAGTAATTTAATAACCTGCCCCTTCATTTTGAAGGGGGTTCAGAGGTCCCCCCAGCATAAGTTGCTTGGTTCTTTGGGTTCTCAACTGGCAGCAGTGATCTGTGCTGTGGTGACATACGTGCATGTGTGCACATAGGCTTTGCATCTGCGCACCTCCATGGACGTCATTTGTCCTCTTATGCGAGCAGCCGGCTCACATTCGCCTTCCGTTCTACAGAGGCCCAGAACTATGTTAACTGGAGTGTGTCTGGGCTCTGGTGCGCTCCTTGCCAAGAATCTGTTTGGTTCCTCTTGTGGCTTTGGTTCTGCCTAGGACAACAGCACGTTTTTGAGAAAGGAGTGCAAAAAGGAAATAGCCCTCCTGAAAAGCCCAGGACAGAGAAAGGCAGGGCGACCCCTTCTCACCTTCTGGGCGCGCTTAGGTTATGTTATCCTGTGAGGCCTAGGAAAGAAAATGCTATTGAGTAGCTTTGTCTCTCCCTTGCACTTGGCCTTTAGTGTTTTATGGAGAGAATCTGCTTATTCTTGAGCAGAAGTGACATCTGGGAGAGGTTGGGAGCAGGCAGGCACTGTCTGTGCATCCCCTAGCCACATTTCCCAGCCAGATCCGAAACAAGAGCTTTCACACCCTGTTTCTCTTCAAGGCTCCGTCTACTTAAACGACTCCCTCCCTGCCAAAAGGGATATTGAGAAGTGACTTCGCAGCAATTTTTGCACATCTCCCAGCACAGGCTTTTCAGCTGAGGGCTATGTTGCAATGTTGCATTTTCCCTTCCAACTTACTATCCACGCAATTGTTTACTAAACGCTTTGTTGTGCTTTGCAATTTGACTTGAATAAATCTGGCTAATTCCCCAAAAGGAAGAAAAGAAAAAGGCATTTCCAGGAGAAATCACTCCCTGAGCCTGCAGATCCTGGGGTCCCAGCAGCACTAGGTCCTTGGTTCCTGCTCCTCCTCCTCCCTAGTGCCACTCGGAGGCTCTCACTTAACTGCCTAGGAAGCCGCAGGCATCCCTGTGTTGCTGAGACACCTCAGAACTGCTCTGGCATGAGAGCTTGCTGAAGCAGTCCCTTGTGTTGCTGAAAGCAACCTGGGAAGCCATCCATCTCTCTGCTTGCTCTTCTCTTGGCCTCAGGGGCCCTTTTCCTGCTCTTCTCAAACTCTAGGTTCTGATTTTCCCACTCCATCACTGTTCCACAAGCAGCGCTCCCTCCTCATTTCCTCCCCACTTTGCCCCACTTGCTAAACCATGATATCATTTCCTTCCTACCTGTGATACTGCCGGAACTCCAGAGGAGGACTGCGCCTGCAGAGCCTGTGACCCTGTTTGACATTTGGCTCTCTGAGCTGTTTTCCCCATCTATGTAACAAAGGGATAGGATCAGATGATTTTTATTCCCCATTCTAGCTCAAAATTTTATGAGTCTTGAGATTATTCTCTTCCTTTGGCCTGTCAGATAAAACAGAGCAGGCACCATCCCCAGTTGCTGCACGACCTGGAGCTGATCAGTGATGCGACCATTGCTGAGGGGCCCTGAGCTGCAGTGTGGGGAGGCCCTGCTGCACTGCGCCCGCCCGGCAGCTGAGGGTGCAAAGGTGTGGGCAGGCAGGGAAGTGTTCAAGTCGTTAGGCACGGACTTTTCTAGACTTGTTATCTCAATTGATTTAATTGCAGCCAAGTTAGGTCAATAAATACCAACTGATGATCAACATGAACGATTGGTGATTTTTTGTGTGTACCTTAGTAGCCAAAAGTCATGACGATAGCATATCTGTGCACATGCTGTTGTTTTGTCTTAGATTTTTAAAATAAACTCTGTTTTAGGATAGTGTTAGATTTATAGAAGAATTGTGAAGAGTACAGAGCTTGCATGTGCCCCTCACCATTTCCCATTAGGAACGTGTATCTTACTTTGGTGGGTACATTGGTTACAATCAATATTGATGTGCTGTCACTAACTGACATCCATATTTGATTCAGGTTTCCCTCATTTTCCCCAGGTGTCCTTTTTCTGTCCCAGGATCCCATATAGGATCCCACATTGCATTTAGTCCTCACATCTCCTTAGCTCCTCTAGGCTCTGACATTTCTCAGACTTTCCTAGTTTTTGATGACCTTGACAGAACCAGTCAGGTATTTTGTAGAACAGGATGTGTCCGGTGGTTTTCCCATGGTTAGCCTGGGGCTGTGGGTTTTTGGGGGAAAGACTGTGGAGATGAAGTGCCCCTCTCATCACATCGCTCTGCCAACATGACTGTCACTGTTATTGGCCTCGGTCACCTGCCGCAGGCGGTGGTCCTCGGGTTTCTCCACTGAAGAGTTTATCTGTTTTCCCACCCCCACCCTTCCATCCTGGACTCTATGGAAGGAAGTCTCTTCCCTTCAGATGTGGGGAGCAAAGCTCCCCCTTTTTGAGGGTGGCTGCTGGCCTGTCCTTGCCAAGGGCTCACCTGTCGCATCTGGTCGGGCAAGGTGGGCCCGTAGGTTGGAGGAAAGCAATCTCAGAGCCATCCCACAAGGCACAAGGTGTCCTGGGCCCTAATGGGGCATGTCCCATGTGAGGGTGGGATGGATGAATACATGTCCTCTCATGATAAGTGCCCAAGAGCATATCAGATATGCATATATATCATATACCACAGAGCACATTGGGCTGACATTTCAGCCCAGAAGAAAAGTGCTTCCTGTAGTAGTAACAGTGACGAAAAGCCCTCACTTGTAATAACTCAACATTTTTCTGCTTCGACCTACCTCTGTGTTACCTTAAAAGTGAAAACAACTTGCTCCTTACCCTCAGGGGATCCTAGAAAGATCTAGAAAAACATTGTTATTGCCATTCAGGGCCTCTGAGTTTTAATAATTTAATAATTTAATTTAGTAATGAAATTAAGATATGGTTTGGTTTGCTTTCTATTACAGCATACTTGAACTAACACCTTGTTTTTCCTGGTGTATTATCTGATGACTGAGTGTAGGAACAATGTCATTAATGTGTGTTTCCTCTACTGCATAATTTCCACCCATGGAAGAGTCTCCATTAAGAGGACCTGCTACAAATGTGGAAGCTCAGAGACCTCGAAATGAAGTCATCTGTATCTGTTGGCCTGCTGGGTTAATTCTGTATGTGCTGGTGAAACTGGAGAAGTCTGCGTGCTTCTGACAATTGATGGTGGAATTCTACGAATTAAAGCGTTTTAGCAGGAAATGATTATGAAGGACCTGATCACTGTCTGTGTTTCCATAATGTGATAAGATTAGAGTAATGGGTGAAATGAGGAGCAATCAGGAAACATCTTTGTTCTTTTTCAACAGCTCTGAACAGCAACATGGGGTGCAAAGTCCTGCTCAACATTGGGCAGCAGATGCTGCGGCGGAAGGTGGTGGACTGTAGCCGGGAGGAGACGCGGCTGTCTCGCTGCCTGAACACTTTTGATCTGGTGGCCCTCGGGGTGGGCAGCACACTGGGTGCTGGTGTCTACGTCCTGGCTGGAGCTGTGGCCCGTGAGAATGCAGGCCCTGCCATTGTCATCTCCTTCCTGATCGCTGCGCTGGCCTCAGTGCTGGCTGGCCTGTGCTATGGCGAGTTTGGTGCTCGGGTCCCCAAGACGGGCTCAGCTTACCTCTACAGCTATGTCACCGTTGGAGAGCTCTGGGCCTTCATCACCGGCTGGAACTTAATCCTCTCCTACATCATCGGTAGGTCCCAGGGGTCCGGAGCTCGTGCCCTCTACCACTTTTCTGTTTGTTCCCACCTCCAAAGTGTGGGTGGATGCCCCACAGGGAGGTCATTCTTGTTAACACGAGAGGCACAGAATTAATAGGATGTTTCTGATTCATTTAGAGGTATTTAGTTTCTTTTAGTAGGTTTTTAAATTACTAGAGTAAATGCATCACTGATAGAGAAAAATTGGGAAAATAAAGAAAAGCATGAAGAAGAAAGTAGAAATACCCTGCCTGACAACATGGAGAAACTAATTCTCTCATTCATTCATTCATTCTTTTAATAAATGTTCATTGAGTACCTGCTCTGGGCTGGGCATTGTGCTAGATACTAGGGATCCCATGAAGGCATAAGACACTCTGTGTTCAGAAGTTTACTGTCTACAGATACAACTATGGTTAACATTTTTGTGAATTTAAATGTGTATTTTTCTACAGTGTATCTCTTTATAAAACAATATATAGTAAACATTTCTCATATCATTAGCTATTTTTCCACAGTAACATTTCTAATGCTTGCCTACCATTGTATAGATTTATATACACAGCGTAATGTATTGGTGTCTTTATGGGATGTTCAGATTGTTTCCATTATGTTGTTGCTGTTGTTATTAACAGTTAATTACTTTATGTCTTTGGGCTTAGCCATGATTCTTTTCCTTAAAACTGTCTAAGGAGCAGAATGGCTGTCAGTGGGTCTGCGTGTTTTTAAGGCCTTTGTTGACTGTGATCCTCCACGTAGCCAGGGGCCCCTTTCCCTGCAGTGTGGGCACTGGGCATCGGCCTGTAACACATCCACCCAGCAAATAAGGAAGCAAATGTAGAAAATCTTTCCGGTTTGCCAGGTAAACACGCTTTGCTTCTCTTTATGCTTTTTTGTATTTTGATTACAACTGAAGTTGAACACATCAACTTAAAAGAAACAAAAACCTAAGTCTCAGAAGCAAAGGGTACAAACGGCCACTCAACATGCCATTTATTTTTTTTTTTCTCAAACTTTTTGGTAATAGCGAAAAAACAGTAAGACCTGTTAAGTTGAGCCATGTGGGTTCCGCCTTGCTTCTGTGTCAGCTCCCACTGGACCCCACCACACCCTCCCTGGCCACACATGCTGCCTGCTGGGATCCTCGCAGCCCTGGGCTCCCCACAGCCCTATCTCTGCATGGGGGGCATCACTCCCCCTTCACCAGGACAGCTGGGGGAGGGCACACACTCACATTCTCCGAGCAGCACCTTCTCTTTCTTTCCAGCAGCTGCAGTATCTGCTGAGAGCCAACATAGCTTAGTCTTCTGGGTTCTAAAATAAAATTCACAATGTTTTCTTTCAATGCCACATCAAAACTTAACAACCACACATGGTTCTCACAAGCTGAAGTCTCTCACTGGGAATGTAGCTATTGTAAATGGACCGTTATGTTTCCAGAGGATTTACCTGAGCATAAAATATACATTGAGCATGAAATGCTTGCAGCTTCTAGACCAACAAATGTAAGGCTCTGCGAGAGTGCCGTTTGCTTGTGTGAAACCATTTGCATGCATTATAAAAATGTGTTCTCAGCCTTAGCTGCTGGGAAGGGCAGTTTTTCCAGCAAACATTTTTTTAAAAGGCATAATTCAGAAATTGGGAGTGGATAGGCTGGGAAGAAAGGCTGGGGTAGCCCCTGTCACTGAGCAGGACAGGGTTTGGGAGCCACGTTTGCCATAAGCCAGCTGCTTTGGGGGTGACAGGGAGATGGTGAGACCATTTTTACAGAATTCATAATAGATTGGCTGCTTAGGAGGAAGAAATGTGGTTAAACTTCTGAGTTGTTGGAAAGATACTTACTTATCATAAGACCAAATAGTGAAATTGAATCTCTGCAGATCACTGTGGCAATATGCTGTGGATAATTAGGACCATGGTCACCGACAAGGCCCGCTTTGAAAATAAAGGAAAACGCTCTATGAAAATGCTGGAATTTTAGTGACATTTCCTGAGAAACACCAATGGAAACACATTCTGACACCCTTTAGAATTATGTGAGAGGAGAGAATGAGAGTGAAAGACAGCAGCCAACTATTGTTGGCATTTTGAGTGCTGCCCTGTTGGTGTTCTTCGGCACCGGAGGGTGCAGGCTGAGGGGAGAACGAGGAGGGCTGGGGTCTGTCTGCTGTCCTGCACTCTGGGGATGCTGTGGCCTCCGAATCAGGTTCAGGCAAAAAGTGGCAGAGGTGGCTGATGCCAACACTGAGATGAGCAAGTGGCTTTGTCCCTGAGATGGAGTTCAGCCCCTTCAAGGACTTCCTAGGGCCCCTCTTCTTGCTGAGAGAAGAATTATGGTGCAGGCACCATCATCTCTGCAGCCAAGGGGTTCCTAGAAAAGAGGCTTCCTAAGCAGCATTCCTCCAGACTGCCAGCTGCACCCCAGGAGTGCATTATGAAATCAATTTTTCATGAGTTGTCATCAATGTTTACTTTTTTTAATGAAACAAAGTAGGTAGCATTAAATATTATCAGAGTGCCTCTCAGGTGGTAAGGGTAACACTCGTTTTGCGAACTTTTTATTCGGATATATATATTTGATAGAATACACCTGTGTATATTGGGTAGGATGTGAAGTGCATTCCTCTGTAGGCCCTAGAAGCCTTCTCGCACTTAGCACTAGTCGACCGTCACTTCTGGCTCAGCATACACTGTGGTCTGGCTGCTGCTGCCAGATTCCAGTGCACCGTCGGTGACTCCTGCAATGATGTTATCAACATGGAGCTCCACTACAAATACCTGGCTAACAGTTGTCCTCACATCTCCTCTGTTGTGTGTGCTTTGTGGCAGGTACTTCAAGCGTAGCGAGGGCCTGGAGCGCCACCTTCGACGAGCTGATAGGCAGACCCATCGGGGAGTTCTCACGGACACACATGACTCTGAACGCCCCCGGCGTGCTGGCTGAAAACCCCGACATATTCGCAGTGATCATAATTCTCATCTTGACAGGTAAAGCCCACACTTAAAAAGAGATCGGGTCAGAGTGATGGGCAAAGGTTTGGTGAGAGGCTCCTGTTAAGTTCCTTTCTTTACTTATCTCTTTAACCATAACCCCCATTTCTTTTTGTTTTGTTTTTGTACTGCATGCAGGCATCTTTATTTGTTCCTGTCTTCATTGCTTCTTATAGATTCAGATAGGGCCGGCCTGCTTCATAGCTGTTGAATTGTGTGCCATTTCATTAAAAGAGAATCTTAGGTGTTTAGCCTAGCTGTTTGTGGAATAAGATTTTGTCTGCACTGCAGGCTTTTTGTGTGAGTGTCCTGGGAATAAAAGTTCTTTTGACTCAGTGGATGACCATTTGGAAAGCAAAACTGTCATTCATCAGCCAGGAAAATGTGGAGGAATGAGCTCCGTCTGGAACACTAATGTGTGCCTGGGGCGTCTGAAGATGACTTGGATGGTTTTTACACCTAACAACCATCAAAACACCCTTTCAGTAAATAAGTTTCATGACAGAGTTGTGGTTACAGAATTTGAAAAATCCCAGAGACTGCCTGAACACAGCTGATGGCAACTTCTTGCTAGTGACATTTGTGCGTGTCTTGGCCAGTGCAGCGCGAGTTTTGCTCTGTGGGGCTCCATAAACATGAAGCTGAAATGCAGATAAATTCTCATTTGGGGTTAGAAAATCTTGGATGAGTTTTAAAAATGACATGCCTTATTTTACACACCACATAATTGAAATAACTTCACTCAGGCTGGTCTCAGCAGTATTTCTGGTCCAGCTGGCAGAAACATGCATCAGAAAGTAAGTCTGCACTAGTGAGATTTCATTTTAATAAACCTGAGAGGGAGGGACACTAAAGAAACAATATATTGTTGTTTGTTGAGGTGTTCTCCCTGTGATTAATTACACAATTCTCTTCTAACATCTGTACTTTATAATTCAATCTCAAAAGTACAGCAGTTTTTATTTTATTTTATTTTATTTTATATTTGAGACAGAGTCTTGTTCTGTCACCCAGGCTGGAGTGCAGTTGCGCGATCTTGGCTCACTGCAACCTCTGCCTCCTGGGTTCAAGCGATTCTCACACCTCAGCCTCCCCAGTAGCTGCGATTACAGACACGCACCACCACACCCAGTTAATCTTTTATATTTTTAGTAGAGGTAAGGTTTTGCCATATTGGCCAGGCTGGTCTGGAACTCCTGACCTCAAAAGATCTGCCTGCTTCCCAAAGTATTGGGATTACAGGCGTGAGCGACCGCACCTAGCCAATTTTTATTTTAAAACGATGAGAGGCGTCCATGGCAGAGCAGTGGTCTCAAATCCTGGCTGTGTTCGAGTGGTACCAACCCCTTCTGTGCCACTTTTCTTGCCCAGCAGAGAGTTCAGCTATGGAAGTACCCGAATGACCTCTTCACCCTAAGGTGGTGCTGGGGCATGTGCCTCAAAGGCAGTGCTGTCAGAGGTTCCTGGGCATCTTTATTACTTATAGTTTTCTTTAAAAAAAAAACGTGAGTTTGCAAGCTAGAGCTAGCCTAGCTCAGATGTTATTTTATATGCACTGAGTCCAACGAAGAACCATGTGTGTTAGTGGTTCCAGAACCATAGCTAGTTGTTATTGTTAATATCACTAACATCCCAAAGTCAACCAGAATAATTTCCTCTTCTGAAAAATGTCCATTCTCCCAGGAAACTATGCAAAGTCTTTCTTCCTGGAATTGTTCCTAGAGGTTGTTTCCCAGCAACGCATCCTTTTAGTGAGAGGGAGCGGCTTGGTGTGCGGGTCCAGGCTTTCCCCTCCCTATGAGAGGGGCTCATGCTCCAGATCTCTGCAGTTCTCGGGTGCCCCTTGGGTGGGCTTCTCAGTTCCCAAGGGTATCTGGAGGTCACCTAGGAGGGCCTGGGAAGCACCCACAACCTTGGTGATTTAAACCCCTGATCCCCGCCCCCAGAAAGATAATTAATCCACCCCATTCCCAGAGGCTCACAGAGGTCTGCAGAGGCTCGATGCACTTGGATTCTTTTTCAGTCGCCTTCTTATCCCCATCCAGGAAGGACCTTCCCAGTTTGTGGTTAACACTCAGACAAAGTTTTGTGTCTATGCACTTTTTCAGGACTTTTAACTCTTGGTGTGAAAGAGTCGGCCATGGTCAACAAAATATTCACTTGTATTAACGTCCTGGTCCTGGGCTTCATAATGGTGTCAGGATTTGTGAAAGGATCGGTTAAAAACTGGCAGCTCACGGAGGAGGATTTTGGGAACACATCAGGCCGTCTCTGTTTGAACAAGTGAGTTGCTGCTTCTGACCATTTTTCTTAGTTGACATTTAATGACATAGATTGTATGGGGGATATAACTGGCTAGGATGGCATGTGCTTTTAAGAAAACATTATTTGAGGATATTTTGTTAATTGTTTTGTGTTTTTGCAGTGAAGTAGCTGAGGGTATTTTGTATGTATCAAGTTTGTGTGAAGGTTTATTCCCCTGAAATGGAAAGACTATTGTATGACAAGAAAGACTGAGGAAAAGAAAATCATCACCCTAATTCCAAATTGTGTATCATTCAGGATTCTTGTCAGACTCATTAAATGATCCCTCTTTCCCCAGATTCTGTTTGATGGCCAACTTTGGAATTTTGTGTTCAGAAAAGATTTTTCTCTGCAGTGCCGTGGTGACCTCACTTCACCTTTAAATACCTTCCTATTAGATTAATAATGTAGAGGGAAGAGAAATAGGTGAAACTATTTTTGAAGGTTTTCAGAATGACTGAAGTGTCAGAATGTGAGCACAATAGTCTTTCGCCGACATTTGACTTGTGCTGCTCAAGCCCTGGCGACAGTGGCCCCATCACCCTCATGTCTCTGACACAGACATCCGGAACTGGAGGTGACAGCTCCACCCTGTGCCATCTCAGGTCTCTCGCCCAGCCCTCATTGAAAGCTCAGATAACCTAGGAAAAAAAAGCCAAACAGTCATATCTTTTTTATCTTTGTTGTCAGATCTCCATGTAATTCTTTAGGTCTCAGGATGGACAATGGGGACTTGGATTTTGTGTGTGATTCTTCATTAAGACTGAAGGTTGAAACTGCTATGATAAAGAGACCCCCTCCAACTGCCACAATGGAGTGTGGCTTTAAAGAAGAGATGTTTCCAGTCCTGAAGTGAGCAGTCCGCGTTGGCTGGCCAGCTTTGCCACAGGCCTCTGTGGACCTAGACATCTTCTGTCTTGCTCCATCTTCCCCCAGGACATTGTCCTCATCTGCCTGGTCAGAGCTGGCTGTAGGCACGAGCATGACCCAGCTCTTCCAGAAGGGAAAAGAGAGCGTAGAGGAGAGTGCTCAGGTCTGTTCAGGACAGACCAGAAGACACACAGACATTCCATTGGCAAGAGTCCACTGGGGGCCACATAGAGCTGCAAGGGAGGCTGAGAAGCACTATCTCACATTGGGAATCTTAGCAGTCACGTATGCCCAGTTGGTCACTGGTTCAGGGCCAGGTGCCAGCCATGTCGCCCAGTATTGTTACCAGTGGGCAGGCATTGATGTGTGACTACTTGAATGGAAACAGGAAACTATGGCATTCGGTGCACGAAACTTCACTAACACTAATATTTTGTGGTTAGCAGTTCTAATAAAACTGCTTTCCTAAACTCTGTTATGGAGAACTGAGGCCTTTGAATATGTCATCCCGAGCATTTCAGAGTCATATTTATGCCAAATTTATGGGTGTCCATTAATCTAGGGTGGAGTGAAGCCAATTCCAAATATGTGTTGAAGTAACGTGTAGCCTTTGAAAACTCAGAGCATATTCGACCGGTTGCTAGTTATAGGTCAGGAATGAAATATATAGGGCACCTCTTGTTAACTGGTTGCCAATCGAGATTTAATTTTATTATTTTTATGAAGAGATTGTGCCAGCCAATGGTATTTACTTTCACTGGTCATCCTCATGCTGGTACCCTAGTAATGATGAGCTAGCTGTACCGGCCCCCAGACAAAGCAGCATTTGTTGCCCCAATCCCTGATCATAGGTGGGGCCCCCTTAGCTACATCTGACGGCCTCACTGCCAGGGCCCAGCCCCCTGACCACAGGGACGGCAGGGGATCGGCCATGTTAGGAGGTGGAGTTCTGCAGGACTGGAGCCTCCTTGGCATGCTCTATTATGTTGTTAAAATATCTAAGCAACTTTCTTTCTTTTTTTTTTCCAGCCGTAGCTTTGTGTTTCTGACAACAGCCATGTAGTCTTGCATGACATTGCTGGTTCCTCTGAAATAGTAGGGCACTGCCCAACCAATCCATATAACATGCAGGAGCTTCCGCTTGCATGGGAGGCCGTGAGACCACATGGGTTTGTGATTTTAGGATGCTGTCTCCTAGCCGCCTGGGAAGGCCCCCAGGAACTAGGTCGGTCTGTCTGTTGGTCTGTGAAGAGGAGTGTTAGTTACCCTGCAGTCTGGATGGCTCTTCGTGCCTTTGACTCAGGCTGCCGCTGGCATTCCCATCCAGTGTTCTGTGGACATAGCAATAGTGAAGCATCAACCCTGCATGGAAGCCTGTTGAGAAGGTTTTGTTGGATGGTGTCTGCCAGTTAGGATGGAAGCCCCAAAATAACATTGGCTTCAACAAGATAAGGCTTTGGTTTTCTTTGGTTAACCTCTGGGGTTGGTCAGTCCAGCTTGTCGCTTCACCCAGCCAGGAATCCAGGCCAGGCGCCCCAGGGCTGAAGGCGGCTTCTCCAGCTCCAGTCAGCGGGATGGAGAAGGGAACAGCAGAGGGTCCCCTCCCTCCCCACTTCGTCTCCTGGACATTTCTCAGCAGATGCAGACACCACTTCTGCTCAAACATCCTCCATCAGAACTTAGCCAGATGGCTACTCCTTGCAGCTAGTGACTCTGGGAAACACACAGTCCTGATTCTTAAGGCTCATATGTCCAGCTGAAATAATTAAAGTTTCCATTACCACGTAGAAGAACAGGGGAGTGTGGCTTTTGAGCACAACTAACAGTTGATGTCAGGGTGGCTGGTGTGAGGGTGGCGGAGCCCTGCTGCAGGAAGTTCACCACTGATGCAGTGGGAGACCCTCGGGCCTGACCCCTTTCTATGCCAGGCATTGTCTTTGCTGCTTCTGAGCGACCAGCTGAGTGGAACACAGAAGGGCTGGTCAAAGGCTGCAGGGCAGGGAGCGCTGAGCTGAGACCAGGACTCAAGCTCACTTTGTCTCGGGGCGACATTTGCTGGGTGAGGGCTCTTGGCAGCCCCTCTCTTTCACATGTGAGTTGCCAGATGATGAGTGAACACAACTGCCACACGCATGTAAAAGGTTAATTATTGATTACATAGAAAGAGACCCTTAGTAAATATCTCTACGTTTTGGTTTGCGCCTCTGTAGAATGGATTCTGTGGTTATTTTGTGTTGATACTCTGCCACTGGCATCAGTAACACCCAATCTTTTCTTAAAGGTGGAATTTAACTTTTTGAGTTGGTAAAATACTACGTGGTTCATAACGCTTTAAAAAAGATTTACAATGCGTTCCTTTCTTCATCCACCTCATCTCCCACCCCCACAGGTAAACTTTCTAATTGTGTGTGTGTGTGTAAGCTTCCAGTTTCTCCCTGTGTAAGCACAAGCAAATGTAAATATGTATATTTTATTTCTGTTTTCTTACACAAAACGCGGCACTCCGTATATATTGTTCTGCACCTTGCATTCTTGCTTACTAGCATGCCCTGCAGATTTTTTTTTTTTTTTTTTAATCAGGCCCTTGTTCATTGTTATGGTTGCCCAGGGTCCCGGCACCCGGGTCCTCCTGAAGTCGGCTGTGGGTCCTCCTGAGGTCAGGTGTAGCGGCGCAGTACGAGGAGCAGGTGTGGCAGGGTCACAGTCAGCAGGGAGGTTTACGGATGCTCACGGTTGCACACAGCTCTGGAGTTGGCGCAGCACAGCACGTGCCTTCACCCCCATTCTGTAACCTGGAGGATTATCCAGTCTCTTCTGCAACTGTCCTGAGGAGCCGGGGAGGATGCCTTTTGTTTTGCCTCCTCGCTTTGCGCTCACCCATCGCCCTTGCTTCCTTCTCTCCATGCTTTTATTGTTGTGTGTGCTTTACCTGTCTGCGTGAGGAAGACACATTCCAGCCCTTCTTAGTCCCCTTCTGTGAGTTCATCTCTTTCTGGGATTTAATCATGTATGCAGTTCCCTGCACTTTCCACTTGCCCTGAAATGGAGGTTTCAGGACCTTTCTAGGTGCCTCTGCCTCATGGTTGCCTAAAGCTCATCTATCCATGATAGCATTCATTTATTTATTTATTTTTTAATTTTTAAAAATTATTTTAGAGACAGGATTTTGCTGTGTTGCACAGGCTGGGGTGCAGTTGCGCAGGCTGGGGTGCAGTGGCACAATCATGGCTCAAAGCAGCCTCAAACTCCTGGGCTCGAGCAATCCTCTTGCCTCAGTTTCCCAAGTAGCTGGGACTATAGTCATATGCCACCACACCCAGCTAATCAGAAAAAAATTTTTTTTTTGTACTAATGGGGTCTCACTATGTTGCCCAAGCTGGTCCCTAACTTATGGCCTCAGGTGATTCTCCCGCCTCGGCCTCCCATAGTGGGCATGCATTTATTTTAACGCAAGGCCATGTTGGTAGCTCTTGATGTCATAGGAGCTGAGTGGGGATCTGGGGGCTTTTCACTGCCCGTCTGTCACCCTGGCCGCCACAGGGCACCAAAGTGGGGCCCACAGAAGCCATTTTGACTCTTGAGTTCCCCTCCTCCCTTGGCCTCATCCTCCCCCTCTTGAGCCATTTGGTTGTCACCTGCTTTGTCTTCAGCATAGGCCACTGAGTAACAGAAGCCGTTTGCCAGGGTGGGAGTGGGTGGCCGGCGGGGCCTCTGGCCTGAGAGGCGAGGGGATTTGGATGAGTTGGGCACAGCTCCACTCCAGCCCTTTGCTGTCCTGCGGCCCTGCTGACTTGTCTGTCCTGGGATGCTTGGTTTTGAACTTGGGTTGCTAGTTTTAGTCATACTCTAACACAACAAACTAAAATTTTGTTTGGCCACAGTTTTTCCTGCGTCCATCACTTGTACATTTCTGGGGGTTTCCTCTCGTTACTGTTTATGGGACCACAGTAAACCCCACATCTACATGAGCTTTCTCATGCATGTACTTCCAGCGTCTTCATGGCAGTTTCTGTAACTGAGAGCTGTGATGATCCTCTAGGAATTAGTAAGGCTTAATCCCCATTAGAAAGTAGTTGGGTCCATCCTGTCTGTCTGTCTGTTTTATCAGCCAGTGAGTAAATCCCATTGAAAGCAAAGTTCACCAAATGGGCTGCCCAGCCAACCTGAGGGATGTCAGTGTTTATAGGACTGGGAGCATCCTACAGGGTTCCTCTCTTCATGCTGACAAGGTTTAGGGCAGGTTGTCCTGTGCAGCTGGGTGGCTGTCAATATGGTTGAGTGGGGGCAACAGAGGTGGGTGGTGAGCGTCCTCTTGGGCTCCAGGCCAGCCAGTGGGACCCTGGCACAGGACAGAAAGCCTGCGGCCCTGGGGCTGGCAAAGGTGTGGGAGTAGGGACTGCCCTTCTTGAACCACAAGGAGTGCAATTGCTTTTCGGGTGGCAGCAGAGGGTTGGATGCAGAAAGCTTAGGGTTACTTGGTGACCAGCAGGGGCTATGTGCCTCCTGACCAGGGGACAGTGGCCAGGGAAGCCGCCTGCACTGACTGCATGGTGCACCCCCAGAACACAGCATGTGGGGGGACAGGCCAGGGCTTTGTACATCAGGGAACAAGGGCTTGAAGGACCCCCGACAGGGCCCTGGGAGGGGCCATAGCGCCACACTGAACCTGGGCACCGTGTCTCGGCACAGGTGTCAGATTTATGGGACTGTTTTCTGAATGTTTAAGCAGCCTGCTTCTTCTGGACTCCTGAGTTTGTAAACTGTGCTTATTTTGCTTTTGCGTTCATCAGTGTAGCAAAGATGTGCTGAGCCCCTCCCGTGGGCCAGTGCCCAGCTGTGCCCGGGCCCCACACACCTGGCAAAAGCTGCGCCCTCCTGGACTCCACCTTGTGCATACAGGCAGTTAAGGAATGCCTTTGCTGACAAAGACTTTTATTTTAGCCTTAGTTTCTCTGGAATTGTTTGTTTTGAGATTGAGTTACTGGTAAATATGGGACCCGGGGTAGGACTGGCTGGCGGCTCTGCATCCTTCCTCCGAGGGGCCCTGGGGAGAAGGGTGTGGGACTGGCCGCGTGGCTGGTTTCTCCCCCATTTCCTGTTGGACCCCTGCCTCATAGTCCCCACGTCTCCCTACCCTAGTCATTGTTTAGAAGATGCTTCTGGAAGGGGCGATACTCTGCACCCTTGTGACCCTGGGCCACGAACAGCAGGGAGGCCTGCACACACGGAGTTAGCATGCAGTGGCTGGACTCAGCGTCTGAAGCCCAGGGCCTGGCAGCGGTAACAGGGAGGGCTGACTGCCAGGTTCCGCTCATATCAGGAGATGAGCACAGCTCCTTACGCCAGACTGCGCAGCGAGTGACGTGACATTTGTTTGCGGCTCTTTTTTCTAGTGACACAAAAGAAGGGAAGCCCGGTGTTGGTGGATTCATGCCCTTCGGGTTCTCTGGTGTCCTGTCGGGGGCAGCGACTTGCTTCTATGCCTTCGTGGGCTTTGACTGCATCGCCACCACAGGTATGTCCGCCAGCCACTGCGGTCCCGGGTCCTCCTGCACCCTGGGCAAACAAGCCAATGCTTGCCATTTCCCTCCTTGCTGGCACGGTCCAGTCGCCGCTCTTTCACACATGAGCAACATGTAGATTTGTAGCTTCCTGCCAAGCCCTCCCACCCCCAAACCATTATCACATCCCCAACTGTCAACACCTGATGAAAGCTGGATCTTGAATAAGGCTAAGGTTCCGCTGTTAGAATGGGATCATAGCTGTGTGGCTGTGGCCTGATTTCATATCTGAGCGTCTTCCGGGAGGAGTGAGGCTATTCACAACATTGTCATCCTGGCGGACTGAATAGGCCAGGCTTCAGTGAGCCTCCCAGATTTTCTCTGCCAAAGGAAACAAGTCTCTTCCTTGGCTGCATCACCACATTCAGGCCGAGAACACTGTTGCAGGGCCATGGGCTGTCTGATGTGTCTTCCTGAGCACCACCCCTCTGCTCCCGGAAGCACAGGAGGCCCCAGTGCCCACAGGGCTGAGTGCTGGAGGGAGGTTTCTCGTAGGGTCACGTGGGTTCCGGGGCACTGAGAGGCCTTGGGTGTCATGTGGGCAGATACACTGCCTCTTGCTGTGTGCCCTCCTCCGCTGACCCCTTGTGCTTCTAGGTGAAGAGGTGAAGAACCCACAGAAGGCCATCCCCGTGGGGATCGTGGCGTCCCTCTTGATCTGCTTCATCGCCTACTTTGGGGTGTCGGCTGCCCTCACGCTCATGATGCCCTACTTCTGCCTGGACAATAACAGCCCCCTGCCCGACGCCTTTAAGCACGTGGGCTGGGAAGGTGCCAAGTACGCAGTGGCCGTGGGCTCCCTCTGCGCTCTTTCCGCCAGGTGAGAGGCCTTTCTGTGGTGGCTGCTCCTAGGGGTGGAACCACCAGCAGGGGTTAGGCTATAGCAGGCCAGGTACAGCCATGCGAGACACACATCGGCTGCCAGCATTCTTTACCCTTGAAATAGACCCAGTACCCAACCCAGCTTTGATCATGTGGCTTTTCCCTTGTTGGCCAGTATTCATCATCCCAAGAGTTGTGTTATTGAGAAGAACCTGAGGCTGGCTTTTCAGCATCATCTGCTTAGCAAGGGACTGGTTCTCTGTCCCTAAATCTGGCCACTGGAACAGGCCCGCTGTTTGAACACCATATTTTGGCCCTCAGTTTAGCTGTCATGCAGAAGCTACTTTGATGAAGGGAATAAGTGCCTTTTAATGAGAAACATTTTCACCAATCGTATTTCCTCTTAGCCTGTATAAACAGAGCTATTTGGTAAATATTGATTTACCACAGGGAAATCTTCATGAATGCAGTGATGCTTGTATTTTCTGTTTGATTCAGCTAGAAATAATTGCAGGAATAAATACAGTTTTCCATCTGTAAAGACTGTACTGGGTCTCATGCTAGTGTATGTTAGATAGATGTTCCCTATTCTTTACCTTAATCCTTATTCACAGTGTGTGCTCTTTCTGGGATTGATTTATTAAATGCCAAGTCTTTTAGCCACAGGCCTCACCCAGCGTGGAGGGACGGCAGCTCTTGGTGAGCTCAGACTCCCTCTCCTCCGTGGTAAACCGAGCATGGCTGGATGTGGTGCCTTTATCCCTTATGAGCCAGGTTCACTCACGCGGTTTGCCTCTCCCCATCTAGTCTTCTAGGTTCCATGTTTCCCATGCCTCGGGTTATCTATGCCATGGCTGAGGATGGACTGCTATTTAAATTCTTAGCCAACGTCAATGATAGGACCAAAACACCAATAATCGCCACATTAGCCTCGGGTGCCGTTGCTGGTGAGTACTAGAACTCATTTCACATGGAAATGTTTTAACAATGGAGTCATTACTCCCTAGGGAGACGTCTTGCGCAGTTCTGGTCTGTGAGTAATCTTAACTGGTCTTTTTAACTCCTGGTTTTTATACTTGGAGCCTGGTTCATTGAAAGTTGACTGACCTTTTGACAAAAGGCAGAGGCCCGTTTGACAGAGGATGGGAGAGAATTTTTGAACAGTTTGCACTCTGGTTTTCATCTCAATGGGCGGAGCTTAGAACACACAGTATTCGAAAACCTTTTCTCCCCATTTCTGGACGTTTCCCTGAGTAGTCAAGGGCAGGCTGACACCTTCCTGCATGACACAGGCCAAGGGAGACCTCGCCAGTACCTGGAAATTCGGCGTCCATTTCTGAATTCTCTGGAAAACAAGTGTCCCTTATGATCAGTGTTTTATGAAATGTGCCGCCTCTTCCCCAGAGAGTATCAAGGGTGCTGCTGATGAAGCCACTTGCCCCTAAGTTTATACGTAATAGCAGACCCAGTGGAGTTTCATCTTGTCAGATGAGCCTCATCGCTGAGAGGACCATTTTGATGGATGAAATCAGTGGACTAATCTGAGCCGTGTAGGTGTTCCAGGGCCCCAGATGAAGGAAAGGAGAACCTACAAGGAAGCTCGTGTGCACACTGTACCTGTGGTCTATGTCTCCTCCTTTCGCGATTGCATTTCATAGCCCCGAGAGGCAGACGCCCGCCCCTTTCGCAATTGCATTTCGTAGCCCCAAAAGGCAGACGTCAGCCCACTGTACAGATGTAGAAGTGGAGGCCCAGGGAGGTGAAGCGAGGATGTGCACCCAGGGCGGTGGAGCGGCCTTGTGATTCCAGGGTTGTTTTTATGCCAAAGTAGCCAAGCTCCTTCCAGAGTCTGAGCAGAGCAGTGGGTCTTTTTGGCAAATTAGGGCATGTGAGATCAGTCACAGTTTCTAACACAGCGACTTGTCAAATAGCCATTGGTAAGGCACTTGACCTTCTTAAATGAATGAATTATTCACTAAGTTTTATTAGCATTTATGCCTTTAGCAAACTGTGCTTAGTTTTGTGGATTAATATTGTATAATAAAACACACCTATTTTTAAATTATGAAACATTTTCTTATGTGATTCTATGCTCTTGAGAGTGACCACAGTGGTCAGATTGAGAGGCACTATACATCAGAATGTGACCAGTATATTTACAGGATTAAGGACTTGGAAATAGTCATTGTTTTCTCAGGCTTTACGTGGAATTTGATCATATTAAAGACTGGCCTTAATTTCCTTCCCCTGCTGATAGAGGGAGATCAAATCATGCTCTTTGAAGTGACTGTAAAGTACATGCCATTCACAAAATCCAGGATTTACCCTTTTCATTTGGTGGGAGTGGTAAATAAGTATTTGGTTTTCTAAAATCACCTCACATGGAAGAAATTAGTCTCAAGTTTCCCGTGAGTAGGAACATCGGCATTTGTGGCATGCACAGTTGGGCGCTGTTCTGATTATCCAAAAGGCCCTCCCTCATTGCTCTTTAATTTTGTGTTTTATTCTCCATTTAAATTTGTTTTAGTTGCAGTGATCTAGAGGGGCTTGAGAGATATTTGTGGAAAAATAATGGCTTTGTGTTTATATTTTAGCTTGTGTTGATTGCATGTGTTTTGAAAATATCCCAAAGCAGATGTAGCCAAGTTGTTTTTTAATGAGTACTTGACATACACACCCATGTGAATAGACACGTATACTCTCACAACGCTCACAAAAGATGTTCAAATAAGGGTGCAGGTTTTAATTCATTTTAAAGGCAAGGGACACAGTGAAGGGGCTGATACTATATTGTTTGAGAACAACTCTTCAGATTTCTTCCACGTGAAGTGACTTCACATGTGAAGAACTCTGCTCTCCTGCCCGCCTGCCTGGGTTAGGACCTCCTGTGAGTCCTCCCAGAGCACCAGACTTGCCCTTCTTTATCACCCAGCACTGTTGTCCACTAATGCCTGTGTCTTGGTGGGGTACACTCAGGAAGGCTGGGGACTGTGGTCTGCCCTGTTCAATAGTGAGTACCTAGAACCCAATGATGGGCACACTCTGACCGGAGCTGGATGGATGGAAGATGGGTAGATGGATAGATGCTGAATGGATGGATGGGTGGATCGGATGGATGAATGGATGGATGGATAGATAGATGGATGAGATGGATGGGAGATGGGCAGATGGATGAGATGGATTGATGGATGGATGGTGAGTGGATGAATGGAAGATAGGTGGACAGATGGATTGATGGAGAATGGATGGACCGATAGGATGGATGATGGATGGATGCACATGAGTCTGTGAATCAGCATGGTCTAGAGGAAGACACACAGGACTCAGAGTCATAAGAACCCAGTTCACATCCTTATACCCTATGCTTGTGAACTGTGTGACCTTAGATGAGTCTCCTAACCTTTGTGAATGTTTATATCTATAATGTAGGGATGGCTTACAAAGTTGCCATTAAAATCACAAGAATGAAGGGATTCTCTATACAAATGTTAATGATGATTACTGTCTGTTGAGGACTGTGTCTGTGATTTAATCACAAGCTTAAAGGGAAGCTTGACTTCCCTTTAAGCTGTGTCTTTCCATGGGAAGGCCAGGGAGGGGGTGGGAGTAAAAGCAGCCCCCTTCGCTGCCCTGGATGGTGGGCGGCAGTGGTGGTCCTGGTTGTCATTGCATGCAGATGGCCCTCCACAGATCCTGGTGTCTGTCTCTTCCCAGCTGTGATGGCCTTCCTCTTTGACCTGAAGGACTTGGTGGACCTCATGTCCATTGGCACTCTCCTGGCTTACTCGTTGGTGGCTGCCTGTGTGTTGGTCTTACGGTATGTATGGCTTTTGGGGGTCTCATGACAGAAATGCAGATGCACCTGGTAGCCTTTTCACAGTTCAGCTATGGTTTATGTGATGAATGAAACTTTTAGGTTGGTGATAGCTCCATTGGGAGCTGCCAAGGAGAGGGGAGGACCTGGGTTGAGAGCCCAGTTAGGAGGACGTCCTTGGCAAGAGTTGGGTGGCCCCTCACCCCCCTCTATCATGTGCCCTCATTTTTATGGCTAAATGTTGGGTGGATAGAGACAGATTCTCGGTCCAACTATTAGGCCAGGATCCTGGGATCAGAAGGTTTGAAGACTGATTGCAACTTGGTTCAGATTCTTGGGACAGAGAGGATTGAGGGCTGCCCTGGTAGGAGTTAGGAAAACCCAAGGCCTGTGAAACCCAGCTCAGCATAATGCTTCTGCAGCTTCGTTGCGCTGTGGCTGGAGGAATGAATCCCATTATGTGGCATGGCGTGCCCTAGGTTGATGTTCAGAGACACTGTGGAGTCAGCTTGTTATAGCCTGGTGGGGGCCAGGCAAGCCTCTCCCAGTCACAGTAAAGCTGCTCTGGGCCTAGGCTTGGTGTCTCGGTGTTCTCACCTGCCTCAGCACCCACTCCCAAAGCACATCCCTGCGCAGCTTCCATCCTGAGAACCTGTGCTCATGGAGACGCTCAGCACTGGTCTCCCCTCAAGAGCCTCCTCATTTCTTTTCAGGGATTCCCACCTGCAAGGCCATTGATTGCATTTCCAAGGTGTTCAGCAGCTGATGCACATAAAACCCGGGCTGAGCCTTAGCAGAAGCTCTTTAGAATCAGCTAAGACTATTGGGGACCCCTTATTCCTCCCAAGGGGCCCAATGCTAGAATATTCTCTGAGGTCTCCCACTTTCTTAATTGACCGAGTGGGGTTGCACAAGTGAATCCATACAAAAATGGTTAATATCTTTATACTCCCTCTTAGAATTGATCATATGCAAAATAATTCATACAGAACTCTGTGTTTCAAAGCTGGTGGAAAAGATTTGCACTCTGTTCATTTCGGGTGGGAAGATAAGGCACCTCATTCAGAATGGATGCTCCACTAGCAGGTAGCTCATGTCTTGGAAATCACGCTGCAGGCTCGGCCCTCCAACAAGCCACATAGAATTATTTACCCTAAGGTACTTGGAGTTTTAAAATAAATTGATCCAATTAAGTCACACAAATAGAATTTCTCAAATCCATCTAGCCTGCAGCCACATTTCTCTGGCTCTCTGTGCCAAATAGGATCCTGGCATTACTGCTTCCTATTTCTCTCCTTCCCTTTTGCTCCCTACAGCAGTAATTTTGTGGGAAGTGGCCTAGTATCTTTAGCATCTGAGGGCCGCTGCCACTTCTCAGAGCAAGAGAGATCCTCTCAGGGTATTCCTCTGGGCTGCTCATGGTGGAGGTCATGTCGCCCCGAAGGAGAGACCATGGAGGATGTTCCCCAGAAGCAACAGCGGGAGGTGGTGTTCCCGGTCTCTCCTCGTCTATCTACAATGCAGCATTTGACTATATCCTTCCCATTTTATACCTTGTGTCCCGGGCAGCTCACTTTGGAGGCTTATTGAGAACTTGAGTTGGTGCACGTCATTTTGCTTGAAGCAGATGTGGCGGTCACGCAATGCCTTTCTTCCCAGGTACCAGCCAGAGCAGCCTAACCTGGTATACCAGATGGCCAGTACTTCCGACGAGTTAGATCCAGCAGACCAAAATGAATTGGCAAGCACCAATGATTCCCAGCTGGGCTTTTTACCAGAGGCAGAGATGTTCTCTTTGAAAACCATACTCTCACCCAAAAACATGGAGCCTTCCAAAATCTCTGGGCTAATTGTGAACATTTCAACCAGCCTCATAGGTAAGAGCTAGCCCTTCCCTGGGGCCTTGCTTGTTGGCATTGCATGGTTTCTAGGCAGTGGAGCTGGAGTTGGGGGAAGGTGCCAGAGAAGATGAGCATCTGTCTTGCTCCTGGACTGGGACATAGTTACTCTGTGTTAACTGTAGTTGTGCCTTCGGAAATGGAGCCTCTCTCTCCACAAGTTTAGGGGAGAACAGTGGATGCCTGTGGGAAATTGGGAAATGGTTGAGTTGCAGCTTGCTGTCTTTTCCTTCCCCCTTAGCTGTTCTCATCATCACCTTCTGCATTGTGACCGTGCTTGGAAGGGAGGCTCTCACCAAAGGGGCGCTGTGGGCAGTCTTTCTGCTCGCAGGGTCTGCCCTCCTCTGTGCCGTGGTCACGGGCGTCATCTGGAGGCAGCCCGAGAGCAAGACCAAGCTCTCATTTAAGGTGAGCAGCTCGGCCTAGGGAAGGAACCCTGGTACACAGACCCTGGCCCTCCTGATGCCTGGCCAGCCCTGCGTGGGCTCAGCCGGGCCTGGGTGCTCCCGAGGAAGGTTTTTGCTAGCCAGCTTCAGGTAAGATGGGGCAGGGGTCCTGAAGGCACAGAGAGGACCAGACCCTGGAAGGAGGCAGCAGCCCTTCTCCCCTGGACGTTTCCCTGAGTAGTCAAGGGCAGGCTGACACCTTCCTGCATGACACAGGCCAAGAGAGACCTCGCCAGTCCCTGGATATTCGGCATCTATTTCTGAATTCTCTGGAAAATAAATGTCCCTTGTGATCAGTGTTTTATGAAATGTGCTGCCTCTTCCCCAGACAGTATCAAGGGTGCTGCTCATGAAGCCACTTGCCCCTAAGTTTATACATAATAGCAGACCCAGTGGAGCAGTCCCTCCGGGGTGGTGGGATGCTTCTCGTAAATGTCTGCTCAAGTTGATGCATGAGTTTTCCAAGCCTTGGAGACGGGCAAGGCTTCTGCATTTTTAGATTACACAAATAATAAAAAAGGTTGTTGACCTTAGAGGTAAAGTGGAGGTCCGTCTTCTAGTCCTTTCTTTAGCAGGAGAATCGCAACAGAGAAAAATGAGAATGGAGTTCATTTGGCCATTCAGAGCTTAGAATCAAATCCCCACCTACTAAGATGTACCCTTGGGTGTGTTTGTGTGTGTGTTTGGGTGCGGGCTGTGTGTGGGGTGTGGGAGTGGGGGTGGGCACTCCCTCTCTCTTCCCCACACTCGCCCGACGGTCCCTGTCACTCTCAGTTGTGCTGCCTTTACTAGACAGTTTTACTGAACTATTGGAACCGGCGCCACTGCCATGGATTGAAGCCACCTCCTGTCTCTTCAGGTTCCCTTCCTGCCAGTGCTCCCCATCCTGAGCATCTTCGTGAACGTCTATCTCATGATGCAGCTGGACCAGGGCACCTGGGTCCGGTTTGCTGTGTGGATGCTGATAGGTATGTGATGCTGCTGCCAGCACGTCCAAGATCCTGGCTTCCCCTGGGGGTCTCCCTTGTTTCAGATTTCATAACAGAATGACGCACATCCAGTCAGCAGCTTTCTCGAAGATAATGCTGAATCCCTGGTAGGCTGTGAGTCCTCTCCTCCCTGTTAGATACTTTTTGTTTCCATTGCTTCTTGTCCAAACTATTTATTCTTTTGGGCAAGACCTTGATATTAACAGGAACAAGGTGATGAGTCTGCTGCAGATAAGGTACCAGTTATTTTCACCCCAGACAGGAAAGTCTGGCCTGTGCCTCCTGGCCCCCTGGCCTGCCCAGCACCAAATTGGTACGGGCACTAGGCCCAGGCAGGGTGGATGTCATGGGCTCCTCTGTGATTGCGTCTTCTCTGTGGAGGGAGAGTGCTTTGGAGCCTATGGGAGATGCCACTAGGGTGGGGAGCTTCCACATGAGATAGATCACCAGGGGTGGGTGCAGCCTGTAGTCCCACGCCTCTGGGCATCTCACCCCAGGGGCTGGAGGGGAGGATCTCATTTCCTTCCCCTCAGCATCTGAGTCATAGTGCTGATAGCCAGGAAAGTGGCCCTGGCCATTGCCCCTCAGGACCATGTCCCTACAGCCTCGCAGCCCTGAGTTTGCATGCTACGGGCAGATGGCTGCTGCCTCATCTCCCAGGGCCCTCGAGGGGTGCTTTTCCTCCAGGAAATACTTTGCGGCCCACTGTCTGCTGGCAGCCGGGTGGGTCCTCATTCCCTGCAAAGTCCAGCCTGTTAGACAGACGTCTCCTAGAGCCTTTCTGAGAAAAAGCTGCTCACAGCTCACTGGCCACTTCCTCCAGGCCTGGTGAAGGCAGAGGGGCGCCTCTTCCCAGCATCCCTGTCAAAGTCCCTGTGTGCAGGAGCCTGAGCTCCTTTCCTGGGCTGTGGGTGGCTGAGTCCTTGCTTTAAGGCCTGTTTTCCTGTGTCAGCCACACAAGGTGGCCCCAGCCCCTGGGCAGGTGGTAAGAAGCATAGGTCCTGGACCCACCCTGGAGTCCCGTGTGCAGGAACAGGCTGTGGACTCCTATGTGAAGTCCATTCCTGGGGCTCAGTGTCTCCTGCAGTCTGACGCTCAGTTATGTGGAGAAATGGGCAGTGGGACTGTCCAGGCTGAGAGCCTGGAGACCTCCAGCACCTGCGGGAAACCCCATCTCCATAGTGCACATTCTCGATACTCTCGTGGCCTCCGGGGGCATCAGGGGGCTAAGCTGAAGGACCCGATGGCCTCTGGTGGCCCTGGCCCAGCTGCTCTGTCTGCTCAGGAAACACCGCAGCATAAGGCCGTCCAGAGGAACGTAGGGCTTTGCCAGATGTCGAAGCAGACAGTGGCCTTCGTGTGGCAGCTGCTCCAGATGTGGAAAGGTCACAGGGGCCGCTGGCTGCGGGCTCATGCCAGGCAGGGGCAGGCCGCCTGAGAGGGTTTGCTGTGGGACCGCCCTGGGCTCTGAGCCCTGCCTGCGGTGGTGCAACCGGCGGTCTGTTCACGCCCGTCTCTGCTGTCGGCCCGCAGGCTTCATCATCTACTTTGGCTATGGCCTGTGGCACAGCGAGGAGGCGTCCCTGGATGCCGACCAAGCAAGGACTCCTGACGGCAACTTGGACCAGTGCAAGTGACGCACAGCCCCGCCCCCCGGAGGTGGCAGCAGCCCCGAGGGACGCCCCCAGAGGACCGGGAGGCACCCCACCCTCCCCACCAGTGCAACAGAAACCACCTGCGTCCACACCCTCACTGCAGCCAAAGGTGCAATTACTTGACCTGCAGCCCCAGCCCACCCTCGGCTCTGCAGCCGGTTCTCCGGGCCCTGGTCACCTCCAGACAGCTGCCTGGCCGGGGCCACTAGGCTGCGGCTGGCCACTGTGTCTCCTCACTTCTCTGAACAAAGCAGTTCCTCCCCTACCAGCTCAGCCCCGAGCTGCCGCAGCCTCAGGCAGAACGGAGGTCACCTTCTCTCCTTATCTTGGGAACCAGGCCTTCCTCCCGGGGACTGTTCTGGGATTGAAATTGTGCATACTCCAAACTTTCGCAGCCATCTTCCCGCTCAGCCCCAGACACCCAGCAATCAAGCCAGATGAGTACCACAAAACAGTGTGTCCCCAGCAGCTCCCCACCCCAGAGCCAAATGACAGTAGTGCACTTAAAAAGGAAAATCAGGCCTGTTGTCCTTCTCCGGTTGCATTCAGATGGGTCATTAGGGCCGGACCCTGCCTGCCCCTTGGCTTCTCAGGGCTTTGCTCTGACACCATGACAGCTGCCCGGGGCTGAGGGCAGCTGGCTCCACTCAAATGAGGAAGAAGGGATCACTCCCATTAGGGCCTGCTTTGCTTATGCATGTGTGTGCACATGCATGTAAACCAGGGACCTTCAGCTCACGGCCTCCAGGCCTGGGCCAGTTCTTGCTGCTCCTGCCGTCTCCCCCGACTGGCTGTGTCCTGAGTAACTGGAACATGAGACAGTATCTGCAGGACTGGCCCCATGGTGGCCGAGTCAGAAGTCTGTTTCCTGTGAGTCGCCACCGTTCACTCAGTCTTGCCCTCCCATGCTTTGGAGCCAGTCTGGTGGCTCCTGTAAGGTTCTCAAGGCTGGTGGCAGCTCAGTCTGGGGTCAGGACATGTCGGGGTCATGCGTTTCTGGCCCTGACATAAGCTGTCTGGCCTCTCTGTGACATGATGAAATTGAAATCAATCCACAGTCCATGAAATTGTGACACTCCACCAGATTAAGTTAGGGCATAACATTAACTTGGAAATGGCCATGTCATCACCCCTGCGGCTGTCCTATAGCTGAGATGCGTGGGTCGCAGGGGAGGTGATTTCTAGGCATATTGCTGTCCCTTTTGTGTATCTGTCATCCGGATGCTTCGGACCCCACGCCTCTGCAAGTGGGAGAGACCCGAGCATCCTCCCCACCCCCATAGCTCCAGTGCACGCCACCCCCGTCTTGCCTGGGTCGGGGCCTGCGGCCAGCACCATTTCACACACACTCCTTGTAGATGGGAGCCAGAGGAAACCTGAACGTGGGTGGAGCGTTCCACTGAGTCTACTTCAGGAGACAGAAGGCCCATGCTGATGGGGGAGGAGGAGGGATGTGGGCATTTTGGACACCAGGGGAAATGGAAATGCTGCTTTCAAAACTTAGTTTCCTTTCCATTTCTTCCTAGTCTGGCCTTTGACACAAATCTGGTAGAAAGAAGCCTGATAAATTGAGGGCACTTGTACCCTCCCTGTGCCCCCAGAAGGTTCTTGGAGAGAAGTGCAAGAATTTGTGAACACGGCGGTGGAGGGCGGGTGGATGGCCATGGGCTGAGCCTCCGTATCAGGCCTGCTCACCTTGCTGGGAGCTTTATTCTGATCTCATTTTGAATGTTCCAGAGGGAGCATCATAAGAGCCCAGAGCTCCGATTTCCAAAGAGTGATATTGACATTTATGGAGATTGGTGTTGTAACATATTTTGATAAATACTAACTTATTTTGTTGGGGTTTTGGTTGTCTCTTGTCTTAGGACCTGGTAGTTATTTGCTTGATTTTTTTTTCCGTTATTTTCTACATAGGCAAAGAGAATTCGAGGGATAGACAGTCTCCAAGAAAAGTGAAGTGGTGGGAGAGAATTGCTTTTTTCTTTTTTTTCTTTTCTCTAGTTTTTCTTTCTGGCTGAGATTTCCGTGCAAGACAGCACCCAATAGACTATTTAGAGTTGACATTTGACATTTTAATGGGCGCCATGGCTCATTTTGTAGATTGAGAAGGTGCGTCTCCCCTGCTCCAAGTCTCATCATGACAGCGTGCTGACAGCTGGGAGTCTGTGGCCTTCCTCACGCAGAGGCCTTAAAGCTGGACACAGAAGCACGCCTAGGCTGGGCAGGGATGGGACCCATGCCCCCTCCTTAGAGGACGGGCTTCCTGGTTAGGAAAGGACACGTGGGGGTGCCTTGCATAATAGTTCACTGGTCACCGTGCTTTTATGAGTAGTGTTTTTGTGCACTTGCCAGGGGTTTTCTCTCTGTGTGAGAGGGGAGTGATTTAAGCAATGGTGTCTGGAGTAAGCCTTACAATTTTAATAGACTTTTTCTTATCATATCCCTCATTTCTTTCCCTGAAATAAAAATACACACAAGCAAAAAAAAAATGATAGTTTCACATCTCTTAGTTCCCTTGCCCAAACAAGAATATTCTTAGTTCCACTGGCCAGGATTTTCCTACATAGTCAGAACTTACACATTACTAGAGGCACACCCACCAAGGAGTATTGTGTCTACTTTTATCTGTGCACCAGCCACAAATACCCACATTGGAAAGACCCATTTGTGATGGGTAAACATCCCTTCCTGTCTCCCACAACCCCTGTGACTGCCCTGCATGTGTTCATGACCTCCGAAGGCCCAAATTCATGAAGCAGCAAACCCAGCAGATCTCCACCCCCCTGCCTCAGGACCTCTGCTGAAGAGGGGGATGAAGTGGGTCTCCAGGGAGGCAGTGGGGGCCTTGTTGGCAGCTGGCTCGGGAGCCGGCTTACAGGAGGGCAGCTCTGCAGTTGGGAGGGGCACCGTCCGGAGGAGACCAGGCCTCTACACACCCCCCACTCTACTTATCATCCCTGCTCACACACCCTTGTCCAAGGCTTTATGCATCGGATTTATTTTTCCAAATCAAGAGGACAGTGATAGATGCATTTTCCCCAGGCTGTCTCAGAAAGGTCGCTAAATGTATACTGTTGTCAGAATTGCTGAGATCTCCCCCCACTTTTGGTTTTTGCAGCAGTAAAAACTCTTTCCACTGTGACTTATTTTCTCTCTCAGGCAGCCAGCCACCTGGTCCCTTGTGCTGACTCTAGCACAGTGGCCAGGATCCAATACGAGTCCAGGGGTGACCGCAGGATGGTGGGGGCAGCGGGCTTCTCCACCTACCCCAGCCACCAAGGCCCTGACGCACTGCCTCCTGCACCTTCAGCACATCCCTGTGCACAGCTGGAAGGGTGCATGGCCCGCTCACCTTTGTTCAGATGGGTGGAAACGCTGATGATACCAGCTCCTCCCTGCCGTGCCCCTGCCACGGAGCAGGCATTGTGAACTGGCTGGTGTTTGCAGTCCCACGTGGCATGGCCTCCAGCCCAACCCACAGTGGAGACTGGAGACAGGGCAATGAGTCTGGTGGGGGGCACGTGGACATGCCCCATAGGGGCCCCACCCAGACTTAACAGGCAAGGTCCTGGGCATTGCGCGACGCAGGACTCAATGCTAAAGCAAGCCTGCCTGGCTCTGTGCCAGGGCCCCTCTTCTGATTCACACATCCCATTTTTACACAGACCCTTCCTTCTTAATAAAGGCTGACAGTTCTGTTGGCAGCCAAGAACCCACACCATGAAGACAGGGAGTGAGGGGCCTTTGTGCCCAACTCCAGCACAGCTGCGTTCTGGGGTGTGTGAGAGGCATGTTCGTGTCTGTGCGCTGGTGGTCTCGTGAGACAGTTCCGAGGACGGGGAAATTGCAGGGTGGTGGGGGCGTGAGGCTTATATGTGGAACTGATGCAGAGTTCGCCTGCAGACGGATCTGGATATACACTATGTATAATTGTTACGTGTAATTTAAAATATATCTGTTTGCCATCGTCATGAGAAGATTATATGTAAGGCTCTGAAGGGAGAGGGAGATGTACATTCTGCCAGGCTCCTGGGGACCTTATCCGAGTCATGAAATTGATTACTGTTGATCCAGTGGTGCAAGAAGCTACACTCCATGTGTCATCACGCTTATGACTCCTAATGTATTTTTAAGGCAAAAAATGTCAGCCGACTCCATCTTCACCCCTCGATTCCTCGAGTCCAGCCTTTCTGTGCCAGTGCTTCACTGAGCCACAACGCTCTCGCCATCGGGACCCGGCTGGGCCTGGAGTCTCGGGGCACAGTTGCCATGGAGCCCTCCTGGGTCATTCTACAAATGTGCTGAGTGCCAGCTGAAAACCCCACAGGAGATGGAGTACCTTGGCCAAGCTTAAAGAGAAGATTTTCTCAGGGTATTTATTAGTGTGTCCAGCAGGGTCAGGAAGCAGGATGGAAAGATGCACTCAGACTGTTAATTTATTAACAAGGCAAATGATTTTGTGTTTCTTGATGACAGACTATTAAGTTTGGGACTTATTTTCCCATTTGAGAAGTTATAATATATATTTAAGATGATAAGTTTCCTGCTTAAGTTGTGCCTTTCAGCTTCAATGAGTTTAAGGAGCACTAAGGGTAATGATACCAATGAGGGTTGGTTTATTATCAAACCTGAATAGCTGTGGTTTCTCCAGTAAATATTTTCTTCTACTGAACATGGAGCCATTATTAAGAGTTGTGTGTTTTTTATTATGTACATTTGTATATTTTTTTGCTTGTTTGATGTTCTATTTTTCTAATAGTTTTCTTTTAGTTTCTTAAAGTTGTGATACTAGATTTAGATTCTGATGCTAACTGCAAATCAGGTTGGTCTCTGCTGGGTCTCTCCTGCTTTTATTTTACTTTAAGGACAAGTGTAGTTGTCGTCCACCACCTTTCAAAAAATGTGAAACTGCCCTGCCTCCCCTTTTTGCTGACAACACTGTGTACATTGACCACTTCCTACCATACTTTATGTTGTAAAATCAAACTCTTTTGTGGTACATTATCTCATGCTTCTGCAAATTCGAATAAATTCTATGGCTTCCATGTGCATGGTGTGATCTCAAGAATCCTAGTGGGTCTCTCCTGGGACCCAGGCCTGGAAGTGCCCCATGGAGAGTTCCAGATCCCGCTCTGCTTCCCCACAGCCCGTGACTTTAGTCCTATCTTCTCACTTTCCTGTAGCCATTTGGGGAAAATCCTTATTCCAACAATTTGAGCCTCAACCAGAGAATCCCTTGAGCCCCCATTTTGGATCTCTGATACTGTCTGCAGATTTATTTGGCTTTGGGGCCACAGAGGTCTTCCTTCCAACCAAGCTGTTGGGATAAAGCAGCTCAGAGGCTGCCAGTTGTCAGGCATTTGCTGAAGGACTTGGTCTCTGGCAACAAAACGCCCTCACCTGTTGCCGCCCCAGTCTGTGCTGGCCTGCACATACACTATCCTGTTAGAGGGAGCAGAGTGCATGCAGGGCGGAGGGGCTGTCGGGGAGTGTAGCTATCCTGGTAATTGTTACTATCTCACTCCCTCAACTCCCTTGAGAAAGGATCCATTTTTGCACTAGAGGCAAATTCAGTCAAGTGAGCCTTAATTCCCAGACAGTAAAAGGCAGTGATTCACAGCAGCTATACCAGAAGATCTGCTGCCCAGAAGATAAGGTTTGACCTTTGAGTTTTGTCAGCTGATGGATGGTGCTGAAAGCAGACACCCAGGGAGCTGTGCAGAGAGGAAGGCAGGCGAGCTGCTCTCCGGGCCCCAGCGTGCCTATGATCTGGAATATGTGATGAGCGTCTGCACCTGAAAGCATCATGCACATTTCGTGTTCCTTGGCCACACAGAAAGCCAGACCACAGAGCTTGCGTGGTGGGTAAGCAAGCTCGTGCAGCGTGCCCCTGGGACACAGGTTGGGCGTGGTTTCTGGCCCAGTGTAATTACTGCGGGAGGTTCTGCTGCTGCAGAACCTGATTCACAAAAGGGGCCAGCTTCGCAAAGCAGCCCAGAGAGCCTGATAGATTCCAGAACTGGGAAATAAGCATGGGGCATGCCTTGTTCCTGGATTTTTGTATGTGTCCTCTGGTCCCTAAGGATGACTTTGAGCCAAGTGCAAGGTGGACCCCAGTTCCTGCAGCGCCACACTGCCACCTAGTGGCTACTGCTTGGTGCCGCACAGACAGCTTGAAAAGGCCATGCCAAGTCTTTCAGCACTCTCTTCGAAAATCCTGACCGGTGGCTCCTCAAGGTCCTGTGGGGCGATGCCAGGCTGTAGGCTTGAGGGGTACCACCTGGAGAAAGTTTTCCCTTGCACATTTTGGTTATGAAGCACCTCTGGTCATTCAAAAGCTGCCTCCAAATGGCATTCGCAGCAACAAGGAAGCCTGTGGAGCCATGGCCTGGGGTGCTGGCCTGGCTTCCAACTTCAGCCCAGCCCTTACACCACACAGACCTGGGCAGGGTCTGAGGCTGCAGCAGGGAGGGCTGGAACCAACTACAGATAATCCCATCAACCCCTGTTCAAAGGGAACAGTTCAGTTTTACCAAATTAAGCCTGTCCACTCAGCCATAAATACAGCCATTTAAAAAACACAACGTGAGGAAAAGTCTTCAGGAATGAAACAGGCAGTATGTTTGCTGATGAGGGGAACAGCTTTTTGGCTCTTGGTGTGGCTGAGCACTTAATCCCAGTGGATCTGAGACTGCGTGGGGAAGAAAAAGCTGTGCTGGGTGGGACTTTGCCATGGATGCTTTTAAATTCTCCTTAAAACAATGCACCTGATGATGAGTGCCAGCTGGTTCTGAACCGCTGCTCCCACAGTGCAGGAGGAGGGACGAAGCCCAGTGCCTGCCGCGTGAATTTGGCGGTGCAGTCATGTGAGAAGCCGCTATGCACAGTCAGCAGCTGCGTGGCAGGTGCTCTCTTCGTGTCTGTGGTGTGAGTGCCTTAGAGGGAGGAGGCATGGGCACCCAGGAGGTCTGCAGACATACAAGGGACAGGGCTGTCTGAGCTCGGAGCTGTAGGGCATCCCGACCCTGCCTGGCGCTGGCACTGGAAAAAGCTTCCCGACTTAGTGAGTGAGGAAGATTGGCCTGCATCATCACGCTGCGGTGGGAGTGACCCAAGCCTGGCCTCAGAAACACCAGGTGTCTGTCTTGGTTTTATTTTATGAGGTTTGGGGCAAGAGGTTTGAAAGATGCAGACTGGCTAACAAAAATGTATTTAGCAAATTTAATTTAAGTGAATTAACATGCTCTGTCTTAACCACCAGAATGGCTTACCAGCCTTCGGGATTGTGTGTAGTGTGTGTGTATCTGTGTGTGTATGTAAGCATTTGACAGACTCTCACGTGGGCAGGATTCTCACCACTTGGTGGTTACAGATGAGGTGACAGGGTGCAATCCCAGAGTCATTGCTCGAAGTGTACACACTGATGCAGCAATGGCTTTGAGAACATCCTTCAACTTCAATCGCAGGTGGGAAGCTGTCCAACCATTTGGTTTCCACCTGTGCTTAACTCCGTAACTCCCTTCTTGCTAGGGGGATGCAAGTCTCCCACGAAGGGAGAGCCAGCTCTCAGGGCTCCTTGGCACAGAGGAGGTCAGTGAGTGAGTTGACTTCCAGAGTCTCCTCTGCCTACTGCAAATGAGCCGTGGAAGGGGACACCATTCTCCATGGACAGTGGAAAGCTGGCTCTAATCTCACCTCCTGCTCGTGTTGGTGGCTGCCACCCATTTGCTCCTTTGTTATGTGGAGGTGCTGCCAGCTGCCTTGTTTACCGCATAAGGTGGGGTAAGGACAATGGGAGGGGGTCATTATGAAAGTGAAGGGTGCTCAAGACACCCCAAAAGAAACAAACAGGTTAGGACACGTGGCCAGATAGATAGATTATTAATAACTAGATTGCCATCGATATACTGGGATGACCCAGAGGTGGCCCTGGGGTGTTCCCTGTGAGGTCCGGAAGTGAATTTGTGTCTCCAAAGGGTCTGTTGTTCACTACTTGTTCAGGAGGGACTTGCTGATCTCGCTGAAATAGCTGCCACTCCCACAGACCCTGCAAAACCACCACAGGGAACCTGCGAACCCAGCTGTCTCCCTTGTGATGGTGCCAGACACCTGTGGGACACTTCGAGGTCCAGCTGGCTAAACCGGCTGCAGCCCAAACTGAAGGCCATCGGGATGGGGGGAGCAAGCACTTTCAGGTTGAAATGAGTGAATGACCTTTTATGTCCTCCTTCCAGCCAACTCCAGCGCACCCGGCCTTGCAGAGCAGAGGCACTGAGCTCCCAAGTCCAGGGGAGGGGCTGCTCAAGCCCCCAGGCTGGAGGGGTGGGCGCAGGGACCTGGGACCTGCGGAGTCAGGGGAGAGGGGGTCTCTACAAGACTTCTCTCACGGACCATCACCCAACCCCGGCACACACAGAAAAGGGGTCCAGCCTGCAAACGCCACCCCCCTTGCCTCCCTGCCTGGGATCCCCAGCCTGAGAGGGACAGGTCTCCAGTTACATCAAGTAGATATCGCAGAAAGTCCCTCAAGTTTATTTTAATAGGCTTTAAACACAAATATGCAACACAAACTGTAGGGGCAGGAAAAGGGATGTTGTGACCCCATTCATTCAACTAATCACGGCCAGGGCTGCCCCCACCCCCATCCATTCTGACATCCAGCCAGAACCTTGTCCCAGCATGTGGTGGGCAGGGGCGGCGGTCGGGGGGCAGGCCGCCCACGCATCTCCCAAATGCCACGAAGAGACAGGTGGTATCTGGTGGGTCTGTCTGAGGCAGGTGCAGAGGCTGCAGCATCCGAACGTGGAAACGTCGCTCCAGCCTGGAAGGGGACAGAGGCAGACGCCACGTGGAGAGAAATCCGAATTCTGATGGTGTGGGGGGGTGGAAGAATTGAGAAGGAGGCACAGCAGCTGCCGCCCCATGTGTTTCGGGAGCGGTGATGGCTCAGATGAGGAGCCATACATGATGGGTGTCCGTAACAAAAGAAAAAAAACAAACAAACCACGAAGCCAGGGCCACGTGGAAATTAGCTCAAGTACCCAAGGTCAGGGCAGGTTAGGGCAAAGCTCTCACCGAAGTCCACCTAATGAGGAATTACTTAGTGCTAACGATGCTACAACTCTGACCACAGCAGCCTAATACACTGTACCACGTTCTAGCATCACACGGAAGTCAGTATTGCTGTGTAACTGCATTTAGCAGGTGCGGCTATGTAAGCGGTTCCTAATTCGGACAGCTAAGCTGTAACTGAATTTGTGTTTGCAGGTTGTGCCTGCTACTAGAATAAATACTTGTGTATTTAGTCAATGTGGCAAGATCTACTCTAATGGAATGCCCAACTCAATATCACAGTATCATGCAGAGCCACTAAAGCAAAGAGAAATGGTGGTGTTTCCATGTGGATTTACTGTGTACGTCCCCAGAAGGAGCAAGACCCTTGGAGGTTGGCTGGAGATGCACCTGAGGCCCGGAAGCCCAGCGTGGACTCATCCTAGGGCCAGGGACCATGTCTGCCTTCACGTTGGCAACACGTGTGCCGAGCAGGCGTGCCCTGGACAAGCCGACCCCGTCCGCGGGCTGTTTTCTTCCCCGTTCCATGGCTCCGGCCCCTGCAGGACCCCCTCATGGTTCTTCTCGCCTTGGGCACGCTCAAAGACAGGCCTGTGCTCAGGACAATTTTGGGGGGGTCTCAGGGAGAAAGTGCAGGGTCTTTGTCACATACAGGAAACAAGGGCATCATCATCATCACCATATCTGTTAAAACTACTTCTTCCTTTTGTGTATCATGCTCCTAATCTTCCACACCACTACATGAGTACTGTTCATATCCTAATTCTACCATTTTAGAGACAGATGCCAGTCCAGGAGCTGGTGCCCCCTGGCTGGCTGTTTCACTGGGCTCCTCTGTTTGGGAGAACCTTCTGGGTCTAAGATGGGAGCACGGTCAGCAGCAGCGTTGCCTGATCATCCAGCAGGAAGTGCAAGTGGGTTTCTGGGTGGTCGTGTGATGATCTAGCACAGCTCAGAACTGGTCCCCCGGGACAGAAATGGTGTTTTTTTTTTCTGGAAGCCCCTGCTAGAACCCCTGAGCCATCTCAATGTGCAGTGAAGGGGTTGAGTTGTAGAACCAAACTGAAGGGGGGCTGCTAGGAAATGGGGGCCTGAGGGTCCTATTTCAAAGAGTTGATCATTTACAGCATCGCATCAGAGTGAACCACATGGAAAGCTGGAGTGATGTTCCCCCTCTGTGCCTGGTCAAAATACAGACCTTGGCAGCAATTTCCTTCATGAGGATGGAGCGCGAATGGGCACAGTCATCTGCAAGGTCATCCTCACTCTTACTCAAAGGTCATGCTCTGCCATGTTTTCCGGAGGGTGCAACAATAGCTTAATGACCGAGTCTGAGATGCCATTTAGGAAAAAAGCAAAACTTGTGTTTACAAGACTATCAGAGATGAGTCACTGTCATGGGTAACATCTGCAAAACTGCTAAACCCCCTTAGGGTTTCCCACTGCTCTCCCTTATCCGCTCATGACAGGAGTATCAATAATTAAAACTTGCGAATGGAATAATAGTGATCTCACATCATGTTGACTGAGAAGCTGATTGTTCCAAAGGCAGTTACCGTTCACAAATAGCTGGTGTTCGTGTTAAAGAGAGTACCACTTGGTGGTGAGTTGAAAGGCGCTTCTTCTCTGTATCTTTTTTTTTTTCCTTTTTCTATTTTGGGTAGAAATATTCCTGGGAAGCTAGATAGAAATGCATTTTCATTTCCCAATAATTCTTAGGCACAAGTTAGAAAACTGCTGACCTTCACTAAAATATGTCAGCACTTCATGTTATAAAAAATGAAATTCAGAACCGCAGCATGTGTATATACGTATATCTAAATATACACACATATCGGTGCAGTACACAATGATTATTCAATGTATATTGAAAACTGAGCTTTTTGTAACTAACCTGAAATTCTGCAGTGAAAGTTCATTGCTCAAGAACAATTGCAAGTGTCTTTCTTTTGGCTCTAACTATGGTAAAACGTTTGCACATCAGACTTTACCATTTACACATTCCTAAGTGCCGACACCAGGGCAGTCTTACACGGGGATCAGAGGAGGACGCGCCTAGGATGCATTCGCAGCTACTGAGCATGCGCACAGGGCCAGCTCCGGCGGCACCGGGTCGGTGCTCCCTCAGGGTGGAGACCGGAGGACGAGAAGCCGGAGCTCCCGCAGGCCGTGTAGTGGCGTCATCTGGGTGTTGTGCTGACTCTGGCCGGAGAGGAGGGCCCCGAGGAGGAGCCGCGGTAAACGGGAGATGTGGGCGAGAGTTTAATCGGACTGGTCGGGTCCCCAGTTTGGAGCTTCCAAAGCAGCTCTTCATTGGTTCGGCTCAATCTCTTCTTCTCCTGGGTTTCCTTCTCAACATATTCCTGGAGGTTAGCATTTTCCTCCGACAGCTGTCTGCATGGGCACAATGACAAATAAGTAGCAATCATGCTAGTGGACACTGAACCTGAGGTCAGGACAATGGTGCAGGGCAAAGGGAGGAGGCCATGATGACCGCAGGGAGAACAGGGACCAGGGTGACCCAGTGACCAAGAACTTTGGTTGAATCATGATTTCCATTTGGCCCAATGACACATCTGTTCCCAGAGCCTCTCTGGCCAATACCCATCATCCCACAGGCCCTCTGCCCGGTCAGGGGAGGCACTGGCTGTCCACTGGACAGAGCAAAGGCCAGCGACTGAAAGGAGGGAAGCGGAGAGCTGGAGTGGGTATGCTGCCCGGAAGCTCCGAAAGGAGAGACAGCCGCGCAGCTGGCAATTGACAATGACAACAGCACAATAGCAGTGAAGAGCCGCGGGCCTTCCTGAGACTGCCAGGAAGCTGGGGGTGCCTTCTCCTGGCCTCCCTGCCCCAGGCTTGTGCCTCCACGATGGCAGGTGTCCTCCCCTGCTGGAAATGCTGCTCTAGGGGTCTGTGTCTGCCTGCTAGACTGGGAGCTCCGGAGGACAGAGGCCAAGGCTCTGCATGCTGAACTCCCAGCATCCAGCTGGTGCTAGGCACGTAACAGATGCTCAGTTAATGTTTGCCGATAAAGGCTGGTGGGTGAAAAAATGAATCCGAATTGCTTGCTTTGTTGCATTTTTGAAGAATGACAGCACCTCTGAGGAACTGACAGGAATAAGTACATATGCATTTTAAAGCTGGACAGACTGAAGTCCAGAAAAATCACCTCTGTTGGATAAAGTCTGCACTTGCTCTGCTGACAAGGGCACCTTTGCAGCTTCCGGAGCAAAGAGAGCTTGCTGCCCCCAGCACAGCCTTTCCTATGTGCCTCTGAGGTGAGAACAAAATGCCTGCACTAGGGGCTTAGTTATGGGGGCAATGGCTGTGTGTCCATTCATGCATGTGTGCAAGAGCGTATGTATGTGAGAGAATGTACATGTGAGAATAAGCATGTACATGTGAAGAAAAGCATGCACGTGTGAGTGTGCAAACAGGGCATGTGAATAGGTGTGAGGGATTGTATGAGTATATGAGTGTGTGCGTAAGTGTATGAGAGTGTGCCTGAGTGGGAATATGCAAGTGTGTGTGTGAGTGAGCAGTGCCTGTGTGAGTGCATGTGAGTGTATGCATATGCACGAGTTATGTGTGCAAGGGTAACACACCATGGGTGAGCATTGAGGAGCCTAGCTGAGTTGAGTGGGCAAGGGTTCAGGCCTGGGTCTTACTGATATGGCTCAGCCCTCATGGGAGAGCAGCTGATGAAGCCAAAACCCTGCTTTATCCCCGCATTGTGCTGTGTGAGGGAGGAGCCTGAACACCCTTCCTTGAAAGCTGGGGCACCTCAGAGCGTGGCCCCACAGGGACAGGCGAGACCTGGATGGAAATTGTGAATTTCTGGAAGTTGGGGTATCAGCCAGTGGTGGCTCTCTTTTTAGCCTGGGAACACCCAGCTGGCCCTCCTCTCCTAATCTCTTCCAAAAATAAACCCCTTCCCCTCCCAGTGCTGCAGGAGGACCCTGCTGCACACTTTTGCTGATTTCACTCATTTCTCTCAAGGTGGGGCCCGTTGATATGTGGCCAGGAATAGGCAAGATGGCCGCAGGGGTTTGTTCTTGTTCTTCAGGTCTTGGGGAAAACAGCAAGAGACTGTGGGGAAAGACTCACAGGCCAGAGTGAGGGAAACTGGATGTTGCAACAAAAAGAAGCTCAAGAGGAAAGTCACTTTGTAGGTGACACCCAGCCCACCTACCTGGTGACAACTGTGTTTTGGTCAATCCTTGCTTTGAGGTCTTCGTTCTGCTGTTGGAGAACCTGGATCTTTTCTTCTAGGATAATGTTCTTTTCTGCCTACAAAGGAAACAGTGTTTAAGAGGTTCTAGCAAGGCCATAAAATCGGGAGTAAACCGGTGCCCTCAGCTCTGGGCATTGGAGGATTATCAAGAACAGCATTTTGCAAACATCAGTTCGCAATGCTTTAGTGGGTTTTAAAATCAGGTCAGAGGAATGTGACCAGCATTTCTTCTTTAAATGAAACAGAATAGAAAATGCCCATGTGCACTGTAGGTAGCAAATTTCAGATATTTTTATTTTATATATATTATGTATCAATGTGTGTGTGTGTGTGTGTGTGTGTGTGTGTGTGTGTGTGTGTTTCTGATGTAAAATGTATTTCTTATAGTGAATGTCCTCAGGCCCTTGCCATTGTCAGAGATAAGCCATGAATACCACTAGGACCTCATTTGACTACTGGGTCTCATGGCTCTTCCCAAAGGGTCAACCACACTGCAGCAGCATCCTTGGCCAGCCTTGCGTGCACGACATTACATTCTGAATCAATGGAGGGAGGAAATCTAAATAATGTAAGCACGCTTTTTCCTTTTGAGGCTACAGGCAGCCAGGAATGCAAAGCGCAAGAGCAGCTGGGTACATTATCCCCAAATCCCATCATCCCATGGCTGTTACTCCCCGGCAATTGATGCCTTTCCCTCTGTTAGCGTGTCCTCGAGGGCCTGAGACCTAGCTGAAGTACAGTTTGATTCTAAGACCAATTTAGAAATAAATTATTTCCTGAAAAGAATGTGACAAGTTCACTGTTAATGTAGTTAATCTTTAAAGAAAACTGTCCCTTTTCCATGAACAGGACTTAGGAATCCTAGCCACAGGACTGGCCTCTGTCCCCGCTCTTTAGCAAGACACCTCACCCAGCCCTCACTTTTGCTCCCAGGAGATGAAGTGATCGAGTAGATTCTTTTTTGCCTGGAAAGGTTTCTGGGATGAGAAGCCATATGGGCAGGCAGAAAGCCTGGAGGATGGCTAAAATCAGCCAAGTAAACCCAGAGGTTTGCTGGTGACCCAATGCAAATGGCCAAGCCAGGAGGGGGAAGATGGGTGGCTGCTCTCAGAACAGCTGGTCCCCACACTGGCAAGGCTGCAAGGCAGGGTTCAGCTGAGGCAGGCGCTGTCCTGTAGCTCCCCGCCAGCCCTAGGCCTGGCCTGAGCTGGGAAGTCCTGGGCTGCTGGAGGGTGCAGAGTGGTCAGCATCGCCCAGAATCTTGGCGACAATCCAGCATCATCTGGTCTGCCCCCATTAACTGCACCCGTGCAGCAAGAGATGTCTGCAAAAAGGGATGCTTCCAGAGAGAGAGGTGACATGGCCACCAAATGCAATGGGTGGCCCTAGATCAGCCCCTGGCTTGGTTATACAGATGCAAGGGACATTTCACAAATGGGGAATTTCGATGAGATGATCAGTTCCTGCCTGAGATGGCAAGCTAAGGATATAAAACACTTATACAGTATAATATGTTGGCCATGTGGGTGGGTGGGTGTGTGCCTGTGCACATGTGCACGCAGATACTACCTTACAGAGAAAAAGTTCTGGAAAGTATAAGCACTGGTAGGAATATGATGTTATAATCTGCTTATTTTTTGTTTATCTTATTTCATAATTTTCCACAGTACACATATTTACTTTTGTTAGTATCAAAAGTTTATTTTTAAAGTAACAATAATAAAGGGAAAAAATAAGAATCTGAGATCCTGGGGCCAATTTCCAGATCAAGATGGGCTGCCCTTGGAAGGAGGCTTCTCCTCCACTCCCTTTGCACACTTTTCTGGGACTCTAGCCCTGGCTGGGGGCTTGTGCCCCAGGGTAGAGGGTGAAATCCTGGGTGTTCTGTGCCCCCTAGGGAGTGCCCTTTGCTAGCTCTGCAGGAGCCAGGCTGGTGGGCTGAGGTGGGCGAGTGTGGGTCAGAGCTAGGACTCTGTTCTGGACTGAATGTTTGTGTCCCCCCAAATTCCTGTGCTGAAACCTAACCCCCAAAGTGATGGTATTAGGAGGCAGAGAACTGGGGAGGGGATTAGGTCCTGAGGGTGAGCCCCTGTGAATGGGATTAATAGCCTTATAAAAAGGGCCCCAGGGAGATCCCTGGCCCCTTCTGCCTTGTGAGGACTGGAAGCACTGGGCCAGGGCTCCTTAGCTCCATCTCCGCATCTGTAAAGCGGCTGGTGGCGGCAGCTGCTCCACAGGCAGCCGTAGGAGTTAGGCGCAGGCTCGGGGAAAGTGCTCCGTGCAGTGTCTGGGCATCAGGGATGCTGCATTGTGCTGGGTCCCCACACGTCCCCAAGAGAGGGCGAGAAGACAGCACAACTGTGGGAAAACCAGGGCGAAGCAGAAAGAGACTGCCCATCAGGAAGGCTCCAGAGTTGGACAAGGTGAGGCCACCTCCAAGATTCCTTATGAGAGCTCCTGGATTCCTGGGAAAGGCCAGCTGTGGGATTTTCTGCTTGGGTGTAAGCAATGGGCAGGTAAGGGACACACCTGGCTGAACACCATCAACGATGACATCAGTGATGACAGCAGGAATGTCATGGAGGTTACTCTCCCGAGCAAACAGACCAACTCACCAGCTTTTCCAGCTCAAGAATCTTCTTTTCTTGCTCGTGTATTTGCTGATTCTTCATTTCTAATACCTGCTTCAGACTCTTCATGTCTTCTTCCAAGTGCTGATAAGGAGCCAATGCAATCTACAGAGGCAGAGAGCCATGAGCTGTTGACCAGGATTCCCGGCAAAACCCAGTATTAACCAATGTCACGAATCCAGCTAAATCTATCCTCCTGGGACAAGCGCCCTGATGGCAACTGCAACACCAAAGAGAGAGGATGCTCACAGCCTTCCCTGATAAAGGGGCCCTGCTAGTTTCCTGCTGAGAACCCTCCTAAAATCCAGTTCTGTGGGGGAACAGGTGAGACATGGCCATCAACCACTGGCAAGTCTGACTCCAGAATTGCTGGGGGCTGCCAGCCTGTGCCCAGCAGGGAATTCATGGGGTAGAAAGAGTAAACCCAACACTGGCTTTTAACATTCACCCGGCCGACTTGATTCACCAGGTAGCTGGGACTCTTATAGGTCCCACCTATGCCCATAAAAAGCTCAGGCATAGGAAATGAGCAAAGTGGTTTAAGAAGCAGAAAAGCCATTTTAGAAAAAGTCATGTTGGAGTAGTGCTGCAGGATATAACAAATTAAAATATAGTGTGTCCTGTTAAATCCAAATTCAGATAAATGACATTTTAAAAAATTCAGTATAAGTATTGCATGGGACATACTTATACTCAAAAATTTATTTATCTGTAATTCAAGTTTAACTGGGTGTCCTGTATTTTATTTGGCAACCCCATGTTAGAGGGAAGGAGTTTTGCCAGCTTTTCTGGAAAAAATTCCCCTCAACTGAACGCATGCTGCAGCCAAGGCTGCCCCATGTCAGCTTAAAAAGTTGCGGGAGAATGGGCTGGAAGGGGTGGTCAGGCCAGCGGAGGGGGGTTTCCAGACCATGCTTATCATAGGAGCCCCACGACTCCAGCTGGGGAATGCTGTGGAATTTGGCAAAAATAACACGTAGCTGGAGAAACCCACAGCTGCTGTCTGTCTCAGGGGAGAGCTGCTGACAGGAATTGTTTAAAAATCCAGGGGAGGTCGTGACCAGCTGTCACTTCAGCAGCGGATTCACAGAGAGGCCTTGTCTTGGGACGAGACTGCTGAGGGAGTCCCTCGGCCTTGCTGGGGCGGGGTTCCTGCGGGGCTGGAAGCCTGGAATCCAGAAACGACCTCCAGCTGCTCCTCTGTGTTCTTCCTCAAGGCCTCTTCGAAGCGGCGGGCTCTGTCCCGCAGAGACTGGCTCTGGAAGGTCAGCGTGTCCACCTGGTCCTGCAAGTAATGATACAAGGAGTCCAGCTGGGGCCACTACAGACAGCAGCCACCACAGCCTGGGCAGCTGTGATCAGCAGGCCACCACTGTGCCCTGGGCATCCTCAGAGTGTTTCCCTTGGGGCTGAAGAAAGAGGTGCCAAAGGAGAGCCCCCACAACCACACAACAGAGGATGGTTTCCCCCAACGCCTGCCCTCGGCTCCCTCCTTCTTAGTGCTTTGTCAGGAAGACACCACAAAAACACTGAACTGGAGGCATTTCACAACATCTGACCCCACAGAGGCAGACAGTCCTCGGAGAGAATCCTCAGAGGTGCCTCTTGTCCAGGAGGCACCTAGCCCCTGGCTTTGGGAAGGACCGCGATGAATGTATTTCAAAGATGTATTCTCATTTAGGAAGCTCAATTCAGATCCCTTCAAACCCTCCTTGACTTCTTTCTCTCCCTTGGGACCCCTCCCACATCAACAAACCTTCTAATCACCAAGTCCATAATCAACTCCTGCCATCCTGCCTCCTGAATGTCCCTAGAACCCACAGAGTCCCCTGAGCTCAGGCCACTCTGCCGGCTCCTTCCTGGCACGGTTCCTCTTTTTCTCTGAATTACCACTCTTTTGCCCTCACACTGCAGTCAGGCACTCTTTCTAATGTGCAAACCGGAACCTGTCCTTCCCCTATCTCCTCCTCCACTGCCCTCAAGGTGCAGTGCACACTCCCTAACACAGCATCCTCCCAGCCCCGCTGCCTCCCTTTCCTCTCGCAGCCAGCTCTCCTGCTGGCAGTGCCTACCTCCAGCCAGCTCCCTCTCACTCCCGCTTCACTCTGGCTCCCACACAGTCTTCCTGGCCTCAGGACTGGGTTGCATGTCCTTAATAGGAGCTGCCACGTAAGCTGAGTCCACACAGTCTCCTCCTCCCTGCTCAGACCTGCCCCGTGGCCAGACTGGCGCTCCCAGCCCTCAACCTTCCCATGCCTGTCAGCTAGGCAGGCAGCTGGCTGCTCTCCACCTGCAGGCTGAAGGAATACAGGCATGTCTATGGAGACACTGCACCCCTTCCCCAGGTCCCAGGGCAGATGCACCTGCACTGACCCTGCCCCACTCAGCTCTGGCCATGACTCTCAGGACCACAGGCTGGGAAAGGACCACTGATGCCCAAGGAGACCTTCACCCTTCATGTCTCACTCATGCAGACCAGTCCAAAGCTCTTTGCACAGGACCATTTCTGTAATATCAAAACACAGAAACTAGGGTCTCCCATGAACTCTTCTAAAAAATATATAGATATAGATATAGATATATAGATACACACACACACACACACACATATAAAGAGAGAGAGAGAGAAAAAGAGAGACAAAGACAGAGACAGAGACAGGGTCTCACTCTGTCGCCCAGGCTAGAGTGCAGTGGTATGATCTTGGCTCACTGCAACCTCCACCTCCCAGACTCAAGTGATCCTCCCATCTCAGCCTTCCAAGTAGCTGGGACTACAGGCGTGCACCACCACACCCAGCTAATGTTTGTATTTTTAGTAGAGATGGGGTTTTGCCATGTTGCCCAGGCTGGTCTCGAACTCCTGACCTCAAGTGATCCACCCACCTCGGCCTCCCAGAGTGTCGGGATTACAGGCATGAGCCACCATTCCTAGCCTCCCATGAACTTTTCTGGCAAGAGAAATGGTATCATCCCACCAAATAATAGGAAGTGATATTGTGAATGCTAATAAGTGCACACAGTGACACTAACATGCGAAGTGCTGGGCTTGACTGCTTGCTTTCTTATGGTGGAGGACCCTCTCTGCAAACCTCCCTGAGTAGGTTTCTTTTCCTCTTTTTTGTTCTCTTTTCCAGTTACTTCCTTTTTTTTTTTTTTTTTTTTTTTTTGACAAAGACTCACTCTGTCACCCAGGTTGGAGTGCAGTGGCATGATCTCAGCTCACTGCAACCTAAGCCTGCCGGGTTCAAGTGATTCTCGTGCCTCAGCCTCCCAAGTAGCTGGGATTACAGGCCCCCACCACCACATCTGACTTAAGTTTTTTTTTTTTTTTTTTTTTTTTTGAGACGGAGTTTTGCTCTTGTCCAGGTTGGAGTGCAGTGGCGCGATCACGGCTCACTGCTACCTCTGCCTCCGGGGTTCAAGCGATTCTCCTGCCTCAGCCTCCCGAGTAGCTGGGATTACAGGCATGCACCACCACGTCCAGCTAATTTTGTATTTTTGGTAGAGACAGGGTTTTACCATGTTGTCCAGGCTGGTCTCAAACTCTGACCTTAGGTGATCTGCCCGCCTCAGCCTCCCAAAGTGCTGGGAATACAAACGTGAGCCAATGTGCCTGACCCACATCCGACTAATTTTTTTGTATTTTTAGTAGAGACAGGTTTCACCATGTTGGCCAGGCTGGTCTTGAAGTCCTGACCTCAGGTGATCTGCCCCCCTCGACCTCCCAAAGTGCTGGGATTACAGGCATAAGCCACCGTGCCCAGCCTACTTCCATTTTATTTTTAAGAAATAGAAGTTCCCACAGTGCCATGAAATGCAAATGCCGGTGCATTAGTGCAGTACGCCGCAGGTGGGGGCTTGCGCGCCTATGAGCTGAAATGTTCATCACAGCCTGGGCAGTGTAGCAGGTGACCTAGCACAGGTCACCTGCTACACTGACTATAAAAATGACTCTCCCTCCATGGCTCCTACACCAAACCTCCTCAGTGCTGCCAGAGAAAGCATTTCTTTTAAGCCTCTTTCCCTCCATTAAAAAAACAAAACAACAGCAAACTCGTCAGGCAATTACAACATAGGATGGATCTAAAATACCAAACTGATGTTTCTGCCTTATTCACCATCACTCAAAAGAGATCTACAGGGACAGAGTGTGCTATTGCAACTAACTTGGGCTGGCTTCTTTATGTCATGCTAAGAGGCACAAAGACCTGGCTGGAGCCAACCAACAGCATGACAATAATCACAATAAATGTAACAATGCTTGTTATTATTACAATAGTTACAACAGCTGCCACTTATTAGCAGTGATCTAAGCCAACCCAGGGCTATCCACTTTTCACACGTTATTTCCCTTAATCTGTTCACACCTTGAGAAAGATACTGTCATCATCCTTATTTTAAAGAGTAAACTAAGGTTTACAGAGGCTACATAACTCTCCAAGATGTGAAAGCTAGTAAGAGCTAGTGCAGCGGGGATTTAAACAAAAACTCAAATCTCTAACCACCAAACCTGTTTCTCCAGGTGCCTGTAGACCAAGGAGGTTGGCTTGAGCAATTCCACCCTCCTTGCACCAAATAACCTCCAGCCCAAACGGATTCTGCTGGACAGTCACAACAAACATATGCCCAGTTCAGGACCATCTGGTGTCAGTGGCAGGGCGCAGACTCCCAGACAAGACAAAACTCTCATTTCTTTGGGTTTGGGATTGGATGGGATTTTTGTGATATCGCTGTATGGCCGTCACTTTCCTGATTTGTGTTCCTTTAAGGATAGCGCAACTATTGGTGCAGGATGTGTATACGAGGAAGGCAGTCTGGGGTTCATTGGCCAACGGCAAACCACACAAGCACTGTGCAGGCATAACACATTTTAGTTTTTGAAGAGTACACTGGAGAGTGTGACCCTGGGTCTCTCCACAATCCTGGACTCTTGATGGGGCAGGCTCAGTGCCACGTATGTTGCCAGAGGAAAGTGAGCCATCGAAGAAGCAGAATTCCTGCCTACGTGTTACAGCTATGGGATTCACCTCCCACAATTTCCAGATGAGAGTGTGCCTAACATTTAAAAAATAATTTTGCTGTGATTGGAATTGCTACACTTGGAAATGGAAGCAGGGCCCCTAGCGTCCCCCTGGCTTCCCAGGCAGCTCTTCCATGGGGCTGGGGGTTGTCAATGTCTTTTCACAGAGGCAGCTACCTCGGTCTCTGTAAGGCAGGAAGGAGACACAGGTGATCTGGGACACCTGCATTCTCTCCTTAGAGGCCTGCAGGACACCAGGCAGCTCCTCTGGCATCTGAGACCAGCGTTTCCTAAAGGTGGCAGTGAGAGGAAGAGAAGGTGCTTTTCGTCTCAGCCACCTCCAGGTAACTGCAGCCCCTTTTATAAGTCTCAGAGCACGTTCTGTGAATTCTGACCTGCACAACCCTCCTTGCACCGTTACCCCTGCCTAGAACACTCTCTTCCCCCAGTCCTCCTCTTGCTTTGAACATAGCTCAGTTACTCCTTGGATACTCCAGACCACACCAAGTGCAGAGTAATCTCTCTGAATGTCTGTAGCATTCACCAACTGTATTATTCATTTGGTGCAAGTATGTGTTACCTGTTGTCTGATACTATTTGCATCACAGCTTTCTGAGCAGACAGCACATTTCTTAAGAGTAGCGAGTATGACTTATTTACCTTATATTCTATTGTTTAGTACAGGATTTAGTACACAGTAGGTGCTGAATGAATGTTTGTGGGTGGGAATAATGATGCTGCCATTATCTCGATACCAGGTAAGAAAATTAAAGAAATACTAACCTGCAATGACAGCCGCAGTTTTTCAAAATTTTCTTCCAATTCTTTCTTTTCAAGCTCATGAGTGGACATCAATTCTGGAAAGAAGACATTAAATTGTCAAGTTGGTCTTTCTTTTGAAAAGGATAAAACAAGGCTCTTTTGGCAGACTTAAGACCTGTGACTTCAGGTAAATAAATGACTCCCGTATAGCAGATTCAAGCCTAAGGGGACTCCTCCACTGGTTTGAAATTGTATGTCATGACCAGGTTAGTATTCAGGAGAGAGAAAGAAAGAAGGGACTGGGGAAAGGGAGGGAAAAAGAAGATGGGGGCAGATAGAACGCATATGAACACACACAGACCACACACTACACACACACGCAAACATCACACACCCGTCACATACACACCACATGCCACACATACACATACACACCTACCACACATCACATACACACCACATGCCACACACATCTACCACACACAATCACATACACACATGCCACACACATACACACCTACCACACATCACATACACACCACACACACATACACACCTACCACACACATCACATACACACCACACACACATACACACCTACCACACACATCACATACACACACACACCACACACATACACACCTACCACGCATTCACATACACATGGCACACATACACACCTACCACACACATCACATACACACACACTACACACACACCTACCACACACATTCACATACACACCATACACCACACACACCTACCACACACATCACATACACACACACTACATGCCACACACACACCTACCACACACACATCACATACACACACTACACGCCACGCACACATACACACCCACCACACACACATCACATACATGGCACATGCCACACACACACACCTACCACACACACACACCTACCCCACACACATCACATACGCTACATACAACAGCACATACATACATCACACACATACCACACGCACACACACACCCCACACGCCCCACACACACCTACCACACACATCACACGAATACACCACACTCCACACACACCACACACAATCGCATACACACTACATGCCACACACACATACACACCTACTAATCACATACACACACTATATGCCACACACACACACCTGTCACACACACCCCCACACACTCCCCCACATACATATACCACACACACACCCCCACACATACCACACACATCATGCCTCCCACACCCCCACATACACACACTACACACATCCCACATACATACCATACAAACCTACACCACACACCCACTACACACACACCACACACATTCCTCCACACCCCCACATATATATACTACACACACCACACACATATATACCATATACACACCTACCACACACGCATAACACACCCACACACACTAATCACACCCTCATAACCTGCCACGCCTGCACACCTCCAAATCCATACACATTTACACAAGGACACACTTACATGCCCTCCCCCATCCTTACAGCACCCACACCTTTGTACATAACATACCCACACCCCCACCATACACCACATACACACACCACACACCACACACTCCCCATAAACACACCACACATATACACACACATGCACACCCACACACTGCACACACTATAAACACCCGCACACATACCACACACACACTCCCACATCCCCATGCCTCCCACCACACACACACACACAAACCCGCATCCCCCCATACCTCCCACACCACACACACACACACACACACATCCACACTTCTACATTCAGCTATACCACCATCCTGCCCAAGTCATATCCTTTGTTCACGTTATTCATTGATTCTCTAAACTGTTCTCATGGCAAAATAACTAGGTAATTAACATTAAATCCTATTTTCTTCCCCTCCCAGGATCACTCTTCCTTCCCACTGCGAAGCAGCCATCTGGGGCTGAGGAAAGCAGCGGAGCTGCGAGCAGCCATCCTGCCAGCCGGGCTTACCAGCCAGGCTCAGTGCTGTGTCTACACGGACACCTTGGTAGCCTCTTGGCTGCACTCGGAGAACTATACGTCCCTGGGATTTGCTTCAGCAAAGATTCGGTGTTAAGACAACTCAGATGCAAGGAAGAACTACTTGGACTGCTTCCTCTTGGAGGGTTTGAAACAATTCTGTTCCGTGAAAAGTGTCATTCCAGCAATAATTTGCAAGTTAGGCAGAAAGAGATGTCATGTAAGAGTTATTAAGCAAATGGATTCTGTTTTCCTCCTGATGGGAAGAGTCTTATTAGCTGGGTGAAGCCCATCTCATTCTGGCTACACAAGCAATTTGTTTTCATGTTATAATGAGAGGGAAGAGGGTCTCATTAATCGGCCTGCATCATATGCTCAGAATGGTAGCGTACTGGAGGCCGACAATTACCATTCTGGGTGGCGTGTGCTGCAATTAGGAAAAACTTTGTGGTTTTCATTGACCCAAATCTTTTAACTAATGGTGGTAAGGGTCACTAAGAAATCCAGTTGTTATAGCTGACGTTTACATTTGGAAAAGAAATGTTTGTGTTGATTTCATTGATAGAGAACCATATGGCCTTTCCGGTCTGCCTGCCTCTGACTAAATGATTAGTGTTACAGTCATCGAGAGCAGCATCCTGACCATAATAATAAATTTTTTAGCTACCATTACCTACACGCACATGGCCTTGACATCATTTATAATTCAAAGACCTGGAATGTGGTGTCTGAGTGAGACTTCGTTAGTCAGAAAAATCCACCAGATTTATGTGAAAATCCAGAAAGAAAAGGCAACACCATGGCTCACTGCACCATTTCCACTCACGTTCTTTCTTGTGAGACCAGCTTCCTCTAGTGACAGATTTCAGGGCGTTTTCAAAGGATCCCAATGCCCCAAGGGAAAAGAAGAGGCAGTATCCATTCTGAAGATGACATAAACCATTGCTAACTGTGTCTTCATCATGTATTTCTTTATTTCAAGCTCATGACACTGTCTCACGCTTAATACGGTGTTTAACACAATGGTCCTCAAGTTTTCCTGCGTATTAGAATCACCTAGGGAGTTTTAAAGCCTTCTGATGCCTGGGCTGCACCCCAGAGCAATTAAATTGGAATATCAGAGGTAAGAGCCACACATCAGTATATTTTTAAAAACTTCCAGGTGGTTCCAATGTGTAGCCGAGGGTAGAGACCAGTACTCTCAGTGTGAAACACACTACCAGGACCGAGGCAATCCATTTAACTAGTCCCCAGGAAAATACCATCCCTTGCCTCCAGCTTGGTCACTTACTAATAGTTCCCAGAGGTAGTGGGGGTGGTGCTTGAGGGTGACAATAACACAGACCTTGGTTATGGCACACTGGGTCTTGTTCACAGAGAACATTTTAACAATAATAAAAACTCTGATGCTAATTCTCAAATTGTAAAAGTTTATCAATGTATTGTTAACTGTCATTGCTTTTAATACACACTTTTTTTTTGAGGCGGAGTTTCGCTCTTGTTGCTGGAGTGCAATGGCGCAATCTTGACTCACTGCAACCTCTGCCTCCCAGGGTTCAGGCGATTCTCCTGCCTCAACCTCCCGTGTAGCCAGCCCACCGCGCCTGGCTAATTTTTGTATTTTTGGTAGAGACGGGGTTTTGCCATGTTTGCCAGGCTGGTCTTGAACTCCTGACCTCAGGTGATCCACCTGCCTCAGCCTCCCAAAGTGCTGGGATTACGGGTGTGAGCCACGGCTCCCGGCCTTTAATACACACTTTAACAACCAGCTGACTGGGAGGGAAAAGTAAAGCGAGAGAAAGTTGAAAAATAAACTGTACATATTAATGTAAATGCATGTGAAAGTGTAAAATGCTGCCTCTTTCACAAAGGAAAATCTCACTGGAACTTAGTAATGATGCTGTTATGACCCACGTAAAACCCAAAGATAATTCAAAGTTACAAAAATGTAGAAAGAAAGATCTGGAGACTTAACGCACACCCACGGTGAATGTGGTCTATGAGTGTAAGCTCTGGATACCCCGATCCAACCAGATGCTGCAGTGGCCCGGAGAACATCATAAATATGAAGAAAGTGTATCCATGCCGGGGCTTCCATTTGTTTTTATAAGGCAATAAACATCATAAAGCCTAGCCGGGTGTGGTAGTGGGCACCTGTAATCCCAGCTACTCGGGCTGGAGGCTCCAGCTGGGGCTGGAGAATCGCTTGAACCCAGGAGGCAGAAGTTTCAGTGAGCTGAGATCGCACCACTGCACTCCAGCCTGGGCAACAAAGTGAGACTCTGTCTCAAAAAAAAAAAAAAAAAAAAAGAGGAAAAAAAAAAGTGCACGATTTCCATGCCTGCTTTAGACAGTGGCCCTCAAGTGTGGCTACACATTAGAATCCCCTAAGGAGTCTTAAGAAATCTTGATGTTTACACTGCACTATGGACCAAGGACATCAGAATCCCTGGGGTGGGACTGAGGCTGGCATTGGTCTTTTGTTACCGCTCCCCAGGGGACGGGGAATTCCAGTATTCATCAAGGTTGAGGATAACTGCATTGGAGGAAAGAAGCAGCTAACTACCTGGATCCTTAATTCCTATCTCTTCTTTTCCCAGGAGCCAACAGGAAAAAATGCACCAGGAGGGAAAGACAGGAAAGGAGGGACAAGAGAGGAAGGGGGGCTCCACACATCTGCAGCAGGAAAGGCTCGGATTGCACCACCCACCCCTGCCTGCTGCACACGAGGCTGGGAGCTACCTTGGACTTTGTGGTCGTGGTCATCCTGCAGGATTGTGATGGCAACTGTGTGGTTATTTTCCATCTCTAGGAGAGCAGCATCATGGCTGGCGGTGAGATCTTCCACCTGGAGGAGAGTCGCAGTTACTGGTTAGACAGAGAGCTGCTTGGAGAACAGAAGTGGAATTCCGTGAGTGGAAAAGGTCCGTGACCCAAAACATCAATGACAAGTCACAGCCTTGTGCCGAAGCAGGAGAGCTGGACTTTGGTGGTGATGTGGCAGCCCTCGGAATCACGGGGAGGTCACTGCCACAACCTGGCTCTTTGTAGGGGGGTCCAACTCCAGGCAGGGGATCACTGCCTGAGGTACCTCTTTAGAGTCCTGAGTGTGGCTCCTGGACCATCCCCTTCCCACTGCTTGTCCACGCGCTTGCACCGCTATGAGCGATGACGGCAAAGGAAAAGAAAAGCGTCCTCCCTACGAGGTGGTCTGTTTCCCAGTGGCAGGGGGAGCTACGGTACACAAGGTAAGTGGAGGGAACGAATACTTATTAGGCTGTCCGAGATAGGCTACTCTACTTAACCCTCAGAGCCACCTTATGAAGTATATCTTTTTATGCCCAATTGACAGATGTGGAAACTGAGGCTAAGAGAAATATGAAACGTTTTGCCCAAGGGCTAATAAATGGCAGAGCTAACAGTGAGACCCAGGTCTGTCTGACTCCAAAGGCGAGGCTCTTTCTAATGCACTGTTGTTTTGTGTTCACCTCCCCCAAGCAAGACTAGCAACGAACACCTTAGGATTCTCTCGCCAATACCAGGTGAGGCTGGCAGGTCTGTGTGTCTGTTTTTAAACATAAGGTTGCCCACCAGATTATAACTTGGACCTTCTGCTCAGGCAATGTGGTGCTCCTGGGAAGGGCTGCTGCCTCCCAGCTGCAGGAACACGTCTAGCAGTTTAATCGCAAGTAGTGCAGCCAGTCCAGTCCAGGATTCTTCATTTTCATGTTTCCTGACCCCCTCCCCTACCCCTCACCTGCCTGCCTACCAGGTTTACTGTTTTTGTTATTGTCATTGTGGCTGTTGTTTTAACTTCAAATGTATGACTTGCAGGAGTAATTGTCTAAAACGACCTCTCCCTATGATTGCAAATCTCTCCTGGATGCACTACAACGGTGTTTATCCAAATTCTCTGTCAGTGATCCACTGTAAAAATCACCATTGTACACAATATCACAGTGCACACACCCACACACAACCATACCCAAAACCAAAGTTTCACAAAAACAAAACTTCCCCTTCCATTTGGAAAAATCTGGTTTAAAAATGTTTCCTCTATTTTACTTTGTTTTACAAAACGCTAGTTAGAGGCCACTACATTTATTTCACAAGCTAATAATGCATCAAAACTTGGCATTTGAAAACCACTGAACTAGAAAATGTGCACTGGTCTTGAAGCTCCTTGGTGGCCCAGTTAAGAAGACATTGCTTCTAGCTGGTCATATTCAGCCACCTCTGGGCTCCCACATTTCTCTGGGGGAGAATTCACAGGCTAACCTTTGATCTGAATGGAGAAAGGGCTCTCCCCAAGAAAGGAAGCCTGACTGTGAAGTTGACACGTGAGGATATATTTGTTTTAAAAAAGGGTGGTTTCCCATTCTGCATACTATAATTTCATCAAACAATTATCCTGACTTCTCTCTCTTATGGTAAATGAGAACTTCATCCACTAAAACAAATATCACTGAGCAAAACCTACAGCAGACCCATGGCATTAGGAAAGCTGCATCGCAGTGTGAGAACGGACGTGGTGCACAATGGCTCACTCCCATTTAAAGGCCATTCTTGATCAAACCGTATTTACTTGAAGCTCAGAGCTATGAACCCACCAGGAGAAAGGCTGATTACAACAGTATTTAATTGTCCAATTCCTGTTTATAGGAGGTTTTCATGGAATCTTTGTCCAAAACCTTTCAATCTGTTGGAAAAATAAATCACTGGTTTAAAAAAGGAAATATCTTTTCTTTCTGCTCCATTACAGGTGTCACTTAGGCCATGGCACACTGTAAAAACACAGGCCCCCGCTTCCCCCGCCCCCACCCCACACACTGTTTGGAGGGTTGCTACACAGTTCAGGAGAGCAAAAAACCTTTCATCGGCCCTTGGCGTGATTCTAATTTATTCGGTGCTTACACAAATGATCATGAGTGGTTTCAGAAAAGACAGACAGATGGAAGAACTAAGTTTCAGAAGAGTCCCATGAGTCCCAGGAGGTGGATGTGCCCTGACTGGCAGTACTACACTGTGTTTGTGGCATCAATGTATGCCATTCTGGCTTGCTGGAAGGTATGCCTTTGAGTCATTGGTGATGGAATACCACGCCCATTGTATTAAGGGTAATGTAATGGCATGATATATTCCTTACAACCTTTCCGAGGTGCTTTTATGAATGAAATACTGACCTCTTAACTCCAAAAGTTCATATGGAATTAGAGAAATGCCCAGTATGTTAGGAAGGAAACTAATGGGAGCCCATGAGTCAAAAAATCTGAACACAATAATCCCCGCTCTTTAGTAATTCAGGTTTCATGCAACTTTATGGTTTTTAAAAAATGTTATCTCAAAGAGGAAGGAGCTGTCTACTGTTGGCCATCCTCTTTCTTGTCATAGTATTAATCCATATAACGTCTTCTCCTATGGTTCTTGGCTTCTTTCTACAGCACAGGTTCACATTTATGAAGCAGCCAATAAGAATTCCCAGCCTGAGAGGACCTTGGAACCAGAAGGAATTGGAGGAGATTTAAACAAGCTGACCCAAGGAAAGCACAAGATCTTTCTATGCATTGAAGATCACCAAATCAAAGATAAAAGTGCTCGACCATTATGGCCTATGGCAAACTCGGGCTGGCTGAAGCATCCTTCTCTTCCATTTAGAACCCTGGTGAGGCCCCTTAGACCACCACTGGGCTGTCCTCCTCCCTCCTCAGAGACAGAGTTCTGGGCTGGGCCATGGAGGTGTCTGTCAACACGGCAGTAGTCCTCGTTCTATGGAAAACCAGCTGTTCCCTGTGACACGACTCCATTCCCGCAGCTGCCTGCTATTCAGCTGGGCTGACGGACAGCAGAGCACAGGGTTGGAAGACCACCCTCTCAGACAGGTAAGAATACAGCTGTGGGTTGACTTCATTTAGCCATTTACAAAATGCAATGATCTAGGGCTTTGGCAAGTCACTTAGAGAAGACTTAGATTTCAAATGAAGAAACGTGTGTTTTACATTGTCTCAGCTTTACTCATTAAACCCAAACCAGATTAAACTCCCATTTGCGCCCATCCTACATGGGATGAGAGAGAGGGAGGCTGCCCAGGCCCACTCTCTCCCACGCTCTTAATGACTTTCCTTTTTAGATAACGAGGGGGCCCTCCTTCACTTGGTCCAGGCTTACAGTATCCTGGACACCGGCTCAGAGCCATGCCAGAGCTCCCAGTCTGCTGTCATCCCATGCGGGGCTGTGCCTTTGCCCCTCTGCAGCCCTCCACACAGGCAGGTGTTGACAGAGGCGCCATCTCCACTGCACCGCCTCCTCCCGGAGCATGGAACCTCTGGGCTGTGATGGCAGGCTCTGGTGCTGAGAGACAAGGGCCCCCAGGGATCTCTTTCTATTTGATTAGAGAGAATGTGGTTTCCGCTGCATGGCAGCTATGAGCCTGCTCTGCAGGAGGGCTAAGGAGGCATAATGCAGATGAGGGACAAAGTGGCCTCTGTGAATTTGGATTAATCCTGGGATGCTCTTCCTTTAGTCATTTAGTCTAAAATGATTTCCTTACGAAAGCATAGAAGGTGTATCCTGGATATGAGACAAAGCAAATTTAAACTCCAAAGGCTGAGCTCTGCTGCTCCCTATGGAGGAGGAATCTCTGCTGAGACTTGATGGAGCAGAATCATCATGCATCCAGACTGGCAGTCCCTGAAGTGAGTGGCTCTGGAGCAAGTTGTGGAGTAAGACAAACTTAGGGTCTTGGAGGAATGGGTCAAAGGTCACAAGCCTGATCTTTGCATGCCAGGCTCTGTGGCTGCCTATGTGTGGGGACAGCCAAAGGCAGCCCAGAAACTAGGGCTGGAAGCTGGGCCGAACATGTTTGGGGCAAAAAAGGAAAATGCATGTGTGTTTACAGTGAGTCTGTTTTGCGTGCTTTGACAAAGGGAAGCTGTGGCAATTTGGCATCTGTTAATGTGCAGCTTGCTACAGAAGGAGAGCTGGCTTTCACATGTTAAACACCTTTATAATTGCACCTTTAAAATAAGAGTTATACCTTGTCTTTAAACTCACTTAAGAAAGCCAAGAGGCAACACCACCCCCTCAGGTCCCCCTCAGCGCCCCTCCCTCAGGTCCTTAACTCGAGCCAGCAGGGTCCTGCAGCTCCCGTGATGCTTGCGGTTCTGGGCCCTGGCTGTACACAGAAATTCCCTGGGAGGGCCCAAAAACAACCCGCTGCCAGGCCTCATCAGTGATTCTGATTCAATTAGTGTCAGGGCAGGCTGAGAAGCGGTGTTCTAACCAGTTCTCCAAGTGACCCACCTGTGTAGCCGGAGCACATGCCGTGGGCAGAGAGCCAGCCCATGCCCTGTGAGATGGCGGGGGGCCAAGCAAGAAGCAGCTCTGGCTGGCTTTGTCACGACGGAGGTGCTGCTGCAAAGCCGGAGGTCAGCCTGCCTCGGCCGGCGAGTCCCAATTTGAGTAAAGTGATATTTGCGGCCTCAGAAAATCCTGCGTGTCAGAACTGAAGCAGCACCTGCCCCTGCTGCCAGATGTTGGGGGCCACTGGGTCATGAGGAGATGCCAGGCCAGTGAACCTGATTTTTAAGGTTCCAGAAGGACAGAGATGTCGTTATCTGTGGGGTTAGCATTGCCCAATGCAACCGTCCCTGAGAAGGAGGCCCCAAGAGTGGAGAGTCCACCATGGACCCTGAAACCACGGATCATCCTAATCTCCATCTCAGTCACACCCTTGAGTCTCCTCTCCCACTAAACAGAAACACTGATTCTATCTGGTAGTTAGACTGTTGGCCTGGGGTGCATTTCATCTTCCTCACTTCCTGCATGTTCTCTGCTAGGGAAACTGAAGCCTGGGGAAACAGCCAACGTTCTGCAGCAGGAGCAGAATCAGGGGCCTGAATAATTCACAGGCTTCACTCTCCGGTTCCCCCAAACCAATGGGTTTGTGTTGGAAAGATTCAGTCAAATGTAAAGCATTCAGATATGATTTCTGACATTTCCAGCTGTGAGGATAAGATGTGAAACTCTCAATTCCTCCACACCCTGTCTGCATTTCTCACCTGTGTGACAGTTCCTTGGGCACTTATCTCGAAGCTTCCTCAATGGATAGATAAGCAAGCCCACATTTTATAAATCTTAGTATCTCTTGCAGTATCCTGTCATGGTGCTTTGCGTACATACAATGCACATTCCATAGATATTCTTTGCACAGGTGAATGAGTAAATAAATAAATGGCTTTTGCTATCATAAAGGATCATGAACAGAGCGCAGGGCTCTCATACAACAGAGCGTGTTTGAATTATGCCCAGGTAGCTTATGTAAGTCATTTTCGTGTGGAAAAGTCAAGGGCTTCTTTCCTTTCATCGCTCCAGTTTGAAATCTCTAAAAGGCCGCCGTGTCCCGGCTTTAAAAAGAGGTGAAGCACATCTCTCGGCACATGCTTCTGCATAGGTGAGGCCTCAGCGAGGCGTCCTGGCCCCTGAGTGGAGATGCTCCCCTCAGCCGTGCCTCAGCTCCAGGGCACCATCACGAGAGGCTTCGTTCAGGGTCTCCTGCCTGCGGACCACCTCTTACGTCTCCTCCTCACCTTCTGGTGTCGTCTCAACCAACTCAGACCTTCAGATCAGAGGCCTTTGGTAAATATGGGTATAAACGTGTTCTGTGTAAAACTGGGAATGAATAGCCCATAGATACAGAGGCACAGAACAAGCTGGTATTCATACCAGGTTTGAGATGTATAAAGCGGCCGTAAAATGAGTAAGACTGTAGACAGCAGCACGTGCAAATGTCTACTGACTGGAGTTACATGCAGACAGGCTGGGAGGCACGACACCGGGGGTTCAGTTTCTCATCTTAACACCAACAGGTAACTTCAGCTGTAACCTATTCTGTTTCATAGTCTCTATGGTCTAACCCACCTCAAACAGGGAGGTGTGTCTGGCTTTTATAGGCCTCTAGGAAAGAAGAATGACTAACCTGAGATACTGTGTAGAACAAAATGCCATAAAGTAAGAGAGGTTTTTATTACCATGACAGTAATTAGTATTACTCTGAAATTTCTCCCAGGTCCCCTAAGATTCACAAGCCTCTTCTGGGGCAGTGGGAGGGCTGGGTGGGTATTGTCGTCTGAGATGTCCATTTGGAAGCAGCCGAGGAGGGTAGCCCAAGGGTTTCGGACAATGAAGGCCACTCGACACTAACCTGAATGTCAAGTGAGATTTAAAGGGTGCTCTTCACAAATGTCAACTTACCTTAAGCATATCATAAGCACACTATATAAAGCAACACACCAATTAGAGGGTGGGGACGAAGCCATCGGAGCTGGAGAACTTAGAAACAAGAGAAAAGAAAGGAGCAGCAGTGCTCATGGAAGCGGGGGTGGTGGTGGGGGGTACACTGAATCGTCCGCCTGCCTCTCATCAGCGCTAACGGCAGTCATGGACAAGATAGCTGCCGTGGGGGTGGCAGCACCTGCCTCCTTCTAGCTTTCATACTGACAAGCTCCCTGGGAATTATCCTCTGGTTAGTCCATGGATGCATTTTCCTCTCCAGTAAGGTTTCTGGGCGAAGGTTAACCATGGGCATTCATTCTTTCATTCAGCAAATGGATATTGTGTGGTACTCTGCCAGGCATGGATCCAGGTGCCAGGATCCAGCAGGAGAGTTGGCAGGCAATTCTAACTTAGTGGCTGACAGCAGGGGTGTGGAACCAGACTGGCTGAACCCTGGCTTTTCCATGGCCAGCTCTGTGAATTCTGGCAAATTATTGAACCATGGGGGCTTGGCTTTCTTCCGTGTAAAATGGGAATAAGAATGGTACCTTCCTCGTTAGGGGAACTGTGAGGACTACATGAGTCAGTTCCTGTAAAGAGCTTAGAGCAGTGTCTGGTGTAGGACGAGTGCTACATACATGTTTGCTTGTTATTCTCTCTGCCCTCATGGAATAGAAAGATGATAAATAAGGTAGAAAAGCAAAAATGTATGTGTTAGTGATAAGTGCTGAAGGAACACTAATACTGGGAGGGGGACAGAAAGAGTGTGTATGTGGTTGGGGGAGGAATAATAATTTTGGATAAAGGTCTCACTGAGCAAGGTGACAGAGAAAAGTCTGGAAGGGAGGGCAAGAGGCAGCCATGCACTGTCTAGAGGGAGAGCATTCCAGGCAGAGGGCACAGCAAGTGTGAAAACCCTGAGGAAGAGTGAAGGAGGCCACAGTGGCTGGAGGAGAAGAGAGGAGCGGGGAGAAAGGAGAAAGCAACTCAGAAAGTGAACTGTTCAGAAAGCTCACCTACTGAATAGGACTTCTTGCTAATGTGGCACTGGATCCCCGCCGCCCGCCACCTGCATCACCCAACAGCAGAGCTCGAGCCGCACTGCAGACTGACCTGCTCCTGGTGTTGACACCGGATGCTCAGCAGCTGGTCACCGTGCTCCTCCTGCAGGCGCGCCATTTCCGCCTCGAATTGCAGCTGCAGCCGCTCCTCCAGCTCCTGGAGCTCGGCCTGCTGCTGCCAGCCCAGCCTCTTCACCTCGTCCTCGAACCGCCTCTCCAGCTCCTCCTTCTCCTTTTGTAGTTTCTCGCACTTTGCTGTATGGAAGGCTGGGCGCAAAGCACAAGATCTTTCTTTAAAAAATGGCCGTAGGAGGCATGGGAAGGACTCAGCCTCCATGGTCAGATCATCAAGGCTGGCGTAATAAACAGGGCGAGGTCCTCTGACTTCTGCAGGGCTACACAGTTTGTAAAGTGCTTTCCTTTCCACCCATTAGATCCTCACAACAGACCCTGGATGTTGAGAAGCTGCAGCCTCATGGAGGTCTGGAGACTTGCCCAAGGTCATCCAGCGGCTGGAGAAGGAGCTGGGAAGGCAAATCTGGGCTTTCTGATTGCAAGGCCTCTAGGGCAGGTTGTCACAAGGTCCGTGGTCCACAGACATAAAAAATATTGGGCGTTTGGTAAAAATGTAGACTCTGAAATACGCCCTGGGTGAATCAGAGCCCATGAGGCAGGAATTCAGGATCTCAACTTTTAGCAAAACCCCTGGGTGACTCTTACGTCCATCAAGACTTGAGAGCTGCACACTATGGAAGCTGGAGATAGGAATAGGGCCTGGCGCCTAAGGCTATTCTCTTCTAGCTAAAATGCCAAACAGGATGATCTCAGAGCAGGTGTGGGGGTTTCCTTTCAGGTACCCTGAAGTTTTCTACTCGGTATCTCTTTTGCATAGACACTCCACCCCTAATCACAGATTCATGGTTTGCTTCAGGTGTGCCAGCTGACAACAGGGCATGAGGCAATGACAGCGGCCACCATCGCTCCTGCCTGAGCTCACTCTCCAAGCCTGCTCTGTCTTAGTGTCTGTGCCTCCCCTGTGCTGTGGGCAAAAGCCAAGTGCTTCCATTCTAAAGACCTCTCCCTGAGCTGCACACCTGCTTCCAAGACCTTGACAATCGACTACATCTAGGTCAAATGGAACCGATTCCACACACACCCAAATGCAAATGCCGAGCTACACAGACACATCATTTACATTCTACAAAGGTCTACCATGCTCGCTGCTCTGTGCTACGAACTGGGGAGACATTGGCATTTACGTTAAAATAGAGTTGAGCAGGTACAGGTGCTGATTAGCTGTAATCCACACCCTAGTGGTGGTTACTGATGACAGGAATATGCATCCAAGGTTGCTAGATAGCATTTGAAACACCCTAATCAGAAGTCCCACGCTATAGAGGCAGCTAATTAAAGGGCTTCTTTGCCACATTTGGCTCTGAAAAGTTTAATTAGCATAAGGGATGTTAACGTTTTCTTCTTCTGGTGAAATAAGTGATGGATTCGCTAGATATTACACAGGCACCTTGCCCTTGTGTGAAGGGTGTGTCCTAACATCCTTCACACAGCCCAGCAGCCTAACACTGTCCCCAGTGGTCTTCCTATCCTACCCGAGGGCTTCCATTGGGCCAGTGTCCCACATCCCATCATTTAATGGAGGACTCTGATCTCCCAATGCAATCAGGGCCCACCGAGGGCAGAGTGGTTGGAGCTGTTCCATTCCATGTGTAGGCAGTAAGGAGATGCGCTGTAGGTAGAGAATTTACAAGCGAAAAACAAACTGACTTTAAAAGACCCTGGCTTTTGATTAGCGCCGTGCACCAATAATTCTAAACAATATTGATGGAAAAAGACTCCTCCTCAAAAAAGGCTTTTGTTGCTCTAAGTTCTGAACAATTGCTACAGTGACTTACCTTTCAGGTTTTTGAACTCTTGAGGGCTTTTTATTTTTTAAATCACACAGAGAAAACATAGAAGTACAGTACAAGGACATTATTGTATAATTGGAACCATTTGAGAGTAAGATGCTGACCTGCTGAACATGAACCTCATATCTCCCCATGTACATTCCCTACAAATAAGGGCTTTCCCCAACTTAACCACCGCACTGTCATGAAAATCAGGAAAGAAACATTGCTACAATAGTGCTGCCCAGTGCTCAGACCTACTTCAGTTTCACGAGTTACTCCGATGACGTCCTTTCTAGAAAAGGAATCCAGCCCTGAATCACAAGTTGCACCAAAGGAGGCTCCTGTCTCCTTAGTCTCCTTCAGGCTGGGACAGTTCCTCAGTCTTTCCTTGACTTTTAGAACCTGGACACTATTTTAAAGATAACTGGCCAGGAATCTTGTAGAATGTTTCTGAATTTAGTGCATCTGATGTTTTCTTCTTATCCCATTGAGCTTATGCCTGTTTGGCAGGAATATTACAGAAGTAGCACTGAATTCTTCTCAATTAATAAATTTAAATATTATCGTGAAAATGGAAATTTCTTCTTTTTAAATTATTTATGTAGTGAGTCAGGAAAATAATGTGTATTACTGATTATTACATGGTGATGCTGAAAATAATTTTGTGGTATAGAAGACAAGGTGTTAAAAATGGTCCAATTTGATACCCAAAATGGACCAATTATATATATATATAATTGTCACATCTGCTGCAAGTAGATCTTTTAGGTGAGGTATTTCTAAGGAACAAAGAGATGGAATGCACCAAGCTTCAGAGCACAGGTAGGAAGCTGACATTTTGCTTGTCTGCTAATAATTATTAGTATGAAAGGCAGACTTGGTCAGAGACTTTGTGGTACCTTGTACTGAGGTTGTGGCAGGGGACCCCCAGGGTCCTCCCCTTCCTCTGATCACTGGAGGCTACAGTCCCCACACAAGGAACTTAATGAACAATGACTGATAGGCAATGTGGCTCAGGTGTGGTGGCAGGGGTGAGGACATGCCTGTTCCCAGGAGTTCTGTGACCCCAGCTTACTTGAGCTCCAGCTCTCCCTAAAGACCCTCCAACTAAGAAAAAGTAATCAGGATTCCACCAGGGAGTTGAGCTAGCGAACAAAGCTCTTAGGAATCACAGAAGAGGTAAGAGGTAGATATATAAAGATAGGTTTATCCTGAGATGACTGGGTGTTGAGAGAATAGAACAAAGACCATAGAATGTCAATTAAAAAACGGTGATTGACAGATTGACACAAAGTCAAATTAATTCAAGTAGAGAAGCAAGAATTTTATCTACATTGAGAGAAAGCACAAAGTCACCCTACAGACAAAAACACAGGCTCCTGCTGCTCACTAGGGCAGCCCAGGGAACAAGCTCCATGTGGACTTCCCAGTGCACGGGGCCTGTCTGCAAAGTGCTCTTTCCTCTAAAATTCAATGTGCAGTAGCTTCATAGTGGCTTTTGCCTCACGTATCATGTACCTGTGGATGGGATAACTAAAGCAGTGACATCGATGTGTTTGCTTGTATTTAGGTTTACCAAGAAGCTCACTGAGAGGCGACACAAACGGCCAAGAACATGAAAAGACGGTCAGTGCCCTTGCAGATGGAAGCAGGCAATCATTTTTCACCTGCAAGGCTGATAAAGATGAAATGTTCTGATAATACAGGAAGAGTATAAGGAAACTGTCACTCGATGGACTCCAGGTGAAATATAACTAATCCAGCTGCCTTGGAGGGAAAAGATATCTTTCAAAATTGAAATGACAGGAATGGCAGCATTATGGGTGGGAGATAAAGAATCTGGGTTTCTTTCAGGGGTGATGAAAATGTTCTAAAACGGATTGTGGTGACAGTTTTCCACAACTCGGAATATACTGAAAACCACCACATTGTATACTTAAATGGGTGGGTTGTATGGTATGTGAATTATATCTCAATAAAATTTTTACCAAAAGAGAGGAAGAACATTTTTAAAAAACTAACATAACATGGAATATATCTCAGAGGATAAATTTAGATGTTTTTATAGAAGGAAAGTTCATATTCTGATTTTAAAACTCTAGATAACAATGGTGAAGATAAATGCTGGCAAAATAAAACAATGAAAACCCTACCACAACACTGTTGTATATACAAACACACATACATATATACATATATGGATATCCAGTCATGCATTGCTTAATGATGGGGATACGTTCTGACAAATGCTTTATTAGGAAATTTCATCATTGTGCAAACATCATGGAGTGTAGGCATAGCCTACTACCCACCGAGGCCATATGGTGTAGCCTACTGTTCCTAGGCTACAAACCTGTAGAGCATGTTACTGTACTGAATACTGTAGGAAGTTATAACACAATGCTAAGTATTTGTGAATCTAATCATATCTACACATTAACAAGGTACAGTTAAAATACGGTATAAAAGATAAAAAACGGTACACCTGCACGGGGTACTTACCATGAATGAAGCCTGCAGGACTGGAGGCTCCTCTGGGTAAGTCAGTGAATGATGAGTGAATGTGAGGGCCTACGACATGACTGTACACTACTATAGACTTTAGAAACACCATACACTTAGGCTACACTAAATTTATTTAAAAAAATTTTTCTGTGCTCAAGATAAGTTAACTTCAGCTTACCATAACCGTTTTACTTGACAAACTTTTTGATTTTTTCAAACTTTTTGACTCTTTTGTAATAACACTTAGCCTAAAATGCACATACACTGTAAAGCTGTTCAAACATGGTTTTTCTTTATATCATTATTCTAAAAGCTTTTTTCTATTTTTAAAATTTTTATTTACTTTTTTACTTTTTAAGCTTTTTTGTTAAAAACTAAGACACAAATGCATATATTAGCGTAAGCCTACACAGGCTCAGGACCATCAATATCTCCATCTTCCAACTCCACATCTTGTCCCACTGGAAGGTCTTCAGGGGCAGTAACATCCATGGAGCTGTCATCTCCTAGGAAAACAATGCCTTCTTCGGCAGTACCTCCTGAAGGACCTGCCTGAGGATGTTTTGCAGTAAATTTTGTTTTATAATAAATAGAAGGAGCACCCTCTAAAATAATTATAAAAATATAGCATAGTAAATACATAAACCAGTAACAAAGTCATTTATATTATCAAGTATTATGTACTAAACATAATTATATGTGCTAGACTTTTATACGATTGGCAGCACATTAGGTTTGTTTATACCAGCATCACCACAAAGATGTGAGTAATGCATTGTGCTATGAGGCTCTGACGTCACCGGGTGATAGAAATTTTTCAGCTGCATTATAATCTTGTGGGACCACCTTTGTACATGAGGTCTGTTGTTGACTGCAATGTTGTTATGTGGTGCATGGCTGTACATGGAACCTAGGAATCATTCTTACCACTTCTTAGCTAGAGATACATTGAGCACATAAAACTCAAATGAAAATAATAAGAAAAATGCTAATCATTTATTTTGTTTTTAGAAAGTACTGTTTTGCATGGGAAAAAATTATTTATCACGTGCCAAGATCAGTAGCTTTAACTCCAGAAGATCAAGGCAATAAGTTGGCTTGTGTAGGTGGAATAAAACAGACAGAACACATATAAATGAATAAAAACAACTTATTCACATTGATGAAAAAATTAAATGACACATATCTTTTAATACAATAATTTCACAAGTGCACAAAAATCTGAGTCAAGGACAACCACTATAGCATAATTTGCCTTAGGGAACTAGTAGGGGGCTACTCAAATTATGATGAGTAGGTTGAATCCTGTGCCAATGGGATATAGATAACCAGTAAAAAAAATAAGGCAAATCTTTTTGTAGTATCATGGAATGACCTCCGTAATATATTGTTAAACCAAGAAAAGGCAACAAGCAAAACAGTGTAATTGTAAAATTACATTTGTGATAAAAAGTGTATCTATATTTCTACTCTTTCTCCTTTGGGAGGTTGGGTGCCAAGGTACAGGGATTCACTGTATGTTGAATTCCTGTCATGATATATATTTCATTAAATCCCTGTTTATTGTTTGCATGACTTAGAAGTAAAAAGATTTTTAAAATTATTGTCATAATTAAAGAGAAGTCTGGGTTTTCAAAAGTTCTGGTAAAAGTTCAATTTCACTTAGTTTTATCCATGTCAGTGATAGGACGATTCATGGACCAGGCACTCTACTAGAGGCTCAGAAATGATTGGGTTTCATTCTAGGGCTGTCCCTGAACTGCACTGTTGTCTTAAATAAATCACAAACTGGGTACACCTCAGTTTTGCTGTCTATAAAGTGGCAAAGTAATCACTTTTTGCACATATAGCTCCAATCCCCAAATTCCCAATTGCTATTATAAAATGAGAGGTGATGCTTACATTCTTCCAATGGCTCTCTGTTGTAAGCCCTAGGCCTGTAGAAAATATTGGATAATAAGAGCAGCTGGCACCAGGGGAAATGGCTCCAATAATGGAGTCCCTAAAGAAATAAATATCCTGTTGCCTCTAGTAAACCTTCAGAAGTCTATCTATTTGGGCACTTTTCAGACAGAGATTAATGTAAGCTAATTTAATAGCATTAGACAACACCTGGAGTTTCACTTTCATTATTTATTTCTACTCACGTAAAAACATTTAATCCTTTAGAGTGAAAGGCAGACACCACTATCATAAACCCCTACAATCTAGGGAGCTGAGAAAATAAATATTCAAATAATCAGATTATGATTGGCCAAGAGAATATATCATTTCTAATTTATAAGCATAGATTTGAAAAGCAAAAGTAGGATTATAATCTGTTGTACAGTTTTAAATAACTGATGATTATTGACAATGAATAATACACACACATCTGATATAAAAATACCTAAAATATTATTAAAACTGCATTCTGAACATCCTCCGACATATATAATATATAAAGATATCAATCTACCAACTTCTTAGTGTAAACCAGTAAGATGTAGTGTGATCCTTGAAACAACAGCAGAGTAAAATTGCTGTTGGAACCATTTATAAGACAAGCTTAATTTCAACCACAGTTCATAAATTGAGTAGGAGAACACTCAGCGAGTAAGATCAATTTGCTCTCAACGACTGTCCCAAGTGTCTTCTGCATAATTGTAACTTTACATTGGTTTTCCAAAGAGGCAGCCAAAATAGGTGGTTACGGAACTAGACTGAAACAAAAGAGAACTATCTGGCTCTACAGCTCGTAATAAAATCTTAAATAAGAATATTATGTGGCCTTTTAGGTCATAGCAAATGCTTTATAATAGCTATAAAATAAATGATGAACCAATACTTTGTGTGTATATATAATATATATACATGTTACCATTATATATACACACATATAGTATATATTATTTACATATTTACATGCACATTATACATATTTAGGTCACTATAATAGTCACTATCATTACATACTGATGATAGACAATACCACAGTTAGATAAAAGATTAAGTTGTTTCTTCAAGAGATTGGGAGTAATTGAAAAGACAAAATAACTGTCAAGGACAAAATTTAATTTAAAAAATTACCCTTAATGTCACTACACAAAGAAAATGAAAATTTAAATTGTGTAATCCCTTCATAGCATTTCAGTGGTGTGAATTCTTAATATCCTGTTAGGAATTTCCCATGTCTTCCTACCTAACATTTTATGGCTACTTTATATTCTCATGTTCGTGTAACACAATTTATATTCTCTCATTATTGCACAATTAGTTTGTTTCCAAGATTTGCCATTATAGACAAATGCAACAAACATGTTCACCCATATATCATTTTGCTTTTTTCATTTAGGATACATTCCTAGGTGTAAAATTACATGGGATTAGATATTATGAGCATCTTTATGCAGTGTAGTTTTTCTTTTTTGGTGGCACAGATCCTTGTAACAAACCTGTGACCACCAGGCGGAGCTATGCTGCCTGAAAAATGCCCCCTGGTGGCAAATGTCTTTGTCCAAACCCGTTAGGTCACAGGAACATCCGCAAGGTGGTCAGGGTGGGTTGCATGAAACACAGCTGCCTGGGATCCCGGACACACTACCCTGTAGAGCCCTACTCTCTCTAATTACTGATTTTTGATGACAATGTTAAGAAGTGAGAAAGGAACGGCTGAAAATGAAGGATGAAAGTTCATGGACCATGGCTGGGCACGGTGGCTCACGCCTGTAATCCCAGCACTTTGGGAGGCTGAGGCAGGCAGAACACCTGAGGTCAGGAGATGGAGACCAGCCTGGCCATGGTGAAACCCCATCTCTACTAAAAATATAAACATTAACCAGGCTTGGTGGCACGTGCCTGTAATCCCAGATACTTGGGAGGCTGAGGCAGGAGAATCGCTTGAACTCGGGAGGCAGAGGTTACAGTGAGCCGAGATCATGCCACTGCACTCCAGCCTGGGTGACAGAGCAAGACTTCATCTCAAAAAGAAAAACAACAGAAAGTTCATGGACCAAGAGTGAAAGAACAGGAGTCACTGGGACTCTTGTCATCTCTGCAGGTCCCTGCAGCATCTCTCGGGCCTGGTGACCAAAAGGGAGCTGGCGCTGTGAAAATCACAGGTGGCATCTGCGAGTGCTTCCTGGGTGCCAAGCACCTGCCTCATACCGTTACCCACAGTAAGCCTACTAGGGGTCCCGTAAGTAGCCTAATCCATTTGCAAAGAGCAGGCAGGGGCTCAGAAAGAGGAACTAAGTGACCTAAGATCAATGTGTCGGGGGGGGCTGGGCCTGCAGAGCAGAGGCTGGAGCATAAGCTGAAGCCTCTCCTCTTGTCCACGCCTCCAGTGGGGGCCTCCATGATGCACCCGTGTGGTAATAGTGGGAGGGAGGACAATGCCTCACCATAGCTTCCTAAAAACAACCACTGTTGTAAACTGCAACACATCTCTTTACCTGTCTGTCTCCCGCAGCAGTGGGCAAGGACAGTTGCTATCCTCATTTTTGTATCTGTGTTCAGATAGGCAGGCCAACAGTCAATAAACTGGCGTTGACTTTATGTCATCTCTTGTGTGACAAGCATAGTTCTTGGCATAGTGGAGAACAGATGCTGTCATGGCGGGCAAACAAATGAGCAAAAAATGTAGGAAGCAAAATTTCATTTTATTTTATTATTATTATTATTATTTTTGAGATGGAGTCTCGCTCTGTTGCTGGAGTGCAGTGATGTGATCTTGGCTCACAACATCCTCTGCCTTCTGGGTTCAAGCGATTCTCCTGCCTCAGCCTCCCGAGTAGCTGGGATTACAGGCACGCGCCACCAAGCCCAGCTAATTTGTGTATTTTTAGTAGAGATGGGGTTTCACCATGTTGGCCAGGCCGGTCTCAAACTCCTGACCTCAAGTGAGCTGCCCGCCTCAGCCTCCCAAAGTGTTATGATCACAGGTGTGAGCCACCCCGCCCCGCCAGGAAGCAAAATTTCAGATAGTAAAAATTTTAGATAAGTGCAGTAAAGAAAGTGAAATAGAAGCAAGGCTAGGGAAAGACCGGGGAAAGGGGAAGGCAAGTTCAGCTGGGGTGGATAAAGAAGGCTGTTCGGAGAAGACACCATTCAAACAGACTTGAATGACAGAGAAGAATGTGGAGAGATGGGGAAAGGGAGTCCCAGTTAGAAGGAACTGCAAGTACCAAGGTCTTAAGATGGGAAAAATTCTAGCATACTGCGGAGAGAAAGACAACCAGTGGGGCCTGAGTGCCCATGGAGGAGAGCAGAAGGAGGTGAAGTTCCAGAGGAAGGTAGGGACTTATCATGCAGGGCCTGTGGCCCCTCAAAAGAGTTAGGGTTATGCTCAGGTAACAGTGGAAAGTCCCCAGAGAGTATCAAACGGGATAACAGGAACGAATGAAGCTTTTAAATCCCTCTGGTAGTTGCATGGAGAACAGACTGTAGGAGGCAAGGATGGAAGCGAGGCAATCAGTGAGGAGAATGTGTTTGGAGCCCAGGTGGTGAGATTCAGTGATGACTTGGACTCAGGCTGTTGCATGGGGAGGAATGGATTGATGGGGGATGCATTTGGGAGGCAAAGACAAATTGACTTGCTTATGGATGGGATGAGGGAGGTGCAGGACAGACAGTAATCTTACAGTGGAATTCCCCTCTGGGTCACAATCCTCAGGAAGGGCGTTTCTGGATGTTAGAGGTTGTCAGTTAGTATGAAAAATATAAAATTCAAGACTGCTAAATTTTGATAAGCCTTTCATGATTAGTGATAGTATCACCTGGTTCACATGCTGTGGTGTATTTTATACAGTACTGAGTTATTAAAAGCATGGAGCCTCAGGATGGACTCTAGTTATTAAACTCCCCCAGTGCGGTGGGGTAGGTTAATAGTTGTGTTTTTCTCCCTGAGGGTCTGTAAACAGTTTGTGAAAGGATATTTGAGATTTGGCTGTACTAAGGTGAAGGGCATTTTGGGCATTAGGAGTCTGGGATGGGATGTAAAAAATACATAAATATTTCTTATCAAGGTGGCATTTTAAAGGGCACTGATGTTTTCCTTCCCTGTGAGCCAAACTTTGAGAACACAGACCCCAAACTGGATGACTACAGAGGCCTCCAGATCCCCTAATCCATGTCAGGAGTGCTGCATTGAAATCTCACCCCTTCTTTCTTTTTTTTTTAAAAAAACTAAATTTTATTTATTTTTATTATTAATTTTTAGAGACAGGGTCTTGCTCTGTCACCCAGGCTGGAGTGCAGTGGCACAATCATGACTCACTGCAGCCTGTAACTCTTGGGCTCAAACGATCCTCCCGCTTTGGCCTTCCAAATTTCTGGGATTATGGGTGTGAGCCACTGCACCCAGCCTTCTTTCTTTCTTTCTTTCTTTTTTTTTTTTTTGAGACATAGTCTTGCTCTGTTGCCCAGGCTGGAGTGCAGTGGCGCGATCTTGGCTCACTGCAACTTCTGCCTCCCAGGTTCACGCCATTCTCCTGCCTCAGCCTCCCCAGTAGCTGGGACTACAGGCGCCCACCACCACGCCCAACTAATTTTTTGTATTTTTAGTAGAGACAGGGTTTCACTGCATTAGCCAGGATGGTCTCCACTCCTGACCTCGTGATCCACCAGCCTCGGCCTCCCAAAGTGCTGGGATTACAGGCGTGAGCCACCACGCCTGGCCGCCTTCTTTCTTAAAGAATTTACTGTACGCTGAATCCTGCAGGTCAGAGTTTCCCGATAAAGAGAGATTAGAAGGGGTGGGTGGAAAAAGTGAAAAGTCCAGGAAGGGGAGTGGTCACAGGAGGGAGAAGGACAAAGCAGAAGCCAGGCAGGAGAGGCGGGGCAGGAGCCTCTGGCCCAGGCTCCGTCCACACCAGCCATGGGAGCTTCAGCAAGGCACAGGCCTCTCAGGGGCCCAGCATTCTCATCCGTCAAACGAGGAGGTTGGGCACCTTCAGTATTCAGCCCCTTTCTGTCCTAGCATCCTAAAATTCTATGGGTATTGTGATGATGCAGGGGTATCTATTACATCCACTATTGTCTGTTAAAGCTAACAGGGAAAGGTGTACCAGTTTTTATTATAATTTCCTTCCAAAATGGGCCCCTGAAGAGATAAGCTTCAATTACAGGACAAACATGCTTTTGCAGAATCACTTCATGTCCCAGTGACATGAGGAATTCATAGCAATATCAATGCCTGGCATCTGTATGAGTTTCATAGTTTATAAAGGTTCTTAACACACAATATTAATTTGTTTAACCTTCACTGCATATTGCAAAGATGGGTGAAGCAGGCATTTTCCCCCTGATTTACTAGATGAAATAGAGGCTTGGAGGGGTTCAGTGACTCATCTAAGCTAACACAGCTAGAAAGAGACAAGCCAGGACTCAGTCCAGGTGTTCAAATCTCAGTAATGTGTGTGTGTGTGTGTGTGTGTGTGTATTTTGAGACAGGGTCTCACCCTGTCACCGGGGCTGGAGTGCAGTGATGCAATCTCAACTCTCTGCAACCTCTGTGCAGCCCAGGTTCAAACAATTTTCCTGCCTCAGCCTCCTGAGTAGCTGGGATTACAGGTGCCCGCCACCACAACTGGCTACTTTTTGTATTTTTAGTAGAGACAAGGTTTCACCATGTTGGCCAGGCTGGTCTAGAACTGCTGACCACAAGTAATCCTCCCACCTCAGCCTCCCAAAGTGCTGGGATTACAGGCGTGAGCCACTGTGCCCAGCCTCAGTAATGCTCTTTTGAAGAATAAAAATATTGTTATTCTGCCATATGCTTTGGAAGAAAGGAAACAAAGAAATATAAGGAAAAGCAGAATAAAAATCCTGATTAGTTTAAAGCTCTTTTTTAGTAATAAATACTTGGCCATTTTATGTACTCTTTTGGGATTTTTTTGTGTTTTTTTGAGGCAGGGTCTCCCTCTGTCACCAAGGCTGGAGTGCAGTGGTGTGATCATAGCTCAATGTAGCCTCCACCTCCTGGGCTCACATGATCCTCCCACCTCATCTCCCACCACCGATGCTGGGACTATAGGTGTGCGCCACCACACCTGGCTAATTTTTGTATTTTCTTGTAGAGACAGGGTTTCTCAGTGTTGCCTCAGCTGGTCTTGAACTCCTTGACTCAAGCTATCCACTTGCCTCAGCCTCCCAAAGTGCTGGGATTACAGGCGTGAGCCACTGCGCCTGGCCGCATTTTATGCATTCTTAAACTAGAGGATAAGCATTTCAACAAATGGATAATGACTGATCCTGTGTGCGAATATAATTGCAAGGTTATAACCTTCTTGGTCTGAGAGGAGAAAAATACAAGAATGATTTATGGAGGCAAAGGAAGAAAGGGGAAATGGATTTAAGAGGATGGTTATAATTATGAGTTTTTGCAAAGAAAAAAAAATGCTGTCCAAGTGAGAACTAATAACACTACTGCCCATAAACAGGAAATGGCTTTAATAGGAAATGGTTTTGCAGAGAGCCCATTTCTTCCTCTCCTCCAGGTTAATTTGGGCTTGCAGAGTTTTCAGATCTCCACGGCACCGGTTCATATAATACACTACATGGGGGCCATCCAGAAGGCCCGGGCAGTGGAAAGGCCAGATAATAGCTCCCTGTGATTGCAGTGGTCATTTTCTAGTTTTAATTCTTTTTTTCCTGTGCAAAGTGGCATTAAAAAATGATTTTTAATTTTATCTCAAATGAATATTTGTTACATAAATTGTAAGGTACCATCATCTCCATGTTGAACATCCCTTTTAGAAAGAGCTTTTAAAAAATGACTGAAAAATGTTTAAACACAGGCAAAAGTTTTAAGTTTGCGACCACTCTTCGCTATGTAGAATTGCCCTGTGGGGTTCTAAAAAATGAACTCCCGTGACCCAATCATTTAATAAGCTTCACAGCTTGGAGGGCCTCTTTCCACAGCCTGTTGCTAACTTCATTCCTCTATCCCATAGTCTGGGTGACCTTATTTGCTCTTAGGTGAGTAGGAGACCAAATGGCTGCTAGATAATAAATCTAAATGCATTTGATGGTAATAGGTTCAAAATTTTATTCCTTTTTTTTTTAGGTTGTCAAATGCAAAGCATATTTTCCACAGGATGTGGAAGGCACCTCTCTTTCTTTCTTTTCTTTTTTTTTTTTTTTTTTTTGAGATGAGGTCTCACTTTGTCACTGAGGCTGGAGTACAGTGGTGCAATCTCAACTCACTGCAAACTCCGCCTCCCAGGCTCAAGTGATCGTCCCACTCCAGCTGCCCTAGTAGCTGGGACTATAGACACGCACCACCACACCTGGCTAATTTTTTGTAGTTTGGTAGAGATGGGGTTTCACCATGTTGCCTATGCTGGTCTCGAACTCCTGAGCTCAAGTGATCCACTTGCCTCAGCCTCCCAAAGTGCTGGGATTACAGGCGTGAGCCACCACACCTGGCCGTATGATTGTCTTTCTTTATTACTCATCAGTTTATGGCTTTTAATTTTGCACAGGAATGGATTTATGTTTTAAATCTACAGAACCTAACTTTAAACAGGAAAGGCATGATTTTCCTTATCAACTCATCCCAGCTTCTCCTGATTACAACCAAATACATCAAACGGATTCCTAGGAACAAAAGAGATCACCTTGAATTGTTTCCACCCAGGAACTTTTAGGCATAGACACAGAAGAAGCAAGGCTTTCAGGCAGTTATCAATAGCCCAAGAGTGTGTTGATGGCAATGGCTAATAAAAATGTCTGTCCACTGCCCTGGCTAGACCTCAGCTGGGCTGCCTTCAACTACAGATTCCTATCACTTGATGCAATGCCAGGCATATGGCACATTTCCATAAATATGTGCTGACTTGAAACAAAGCAAGGAGATACCTTCCTGCAGAGTCCTCAAAAGGTGGGAGGTGGCCTGTTCCCAAAGGGCAGGCCTGTCTGAGACAGCGGCATTGGAAAGCCACACCCCTTCCAGGACAGTGTCCAACCTTCAGATGCTGGATGTCCTGGCTAATGGGTGTGTGTCCCTACTGTAGGTGTGAATCCCATTTCATTGGTAACTGTCTCCTCCTGGAATGCATCTAGAACAGAACAGCATTCACGGGAATTGCTGCACTCATGGTTGCGGTTTCTCCATGCAGCCCTGGCTTCCTGCCAGCAGGCAGACTGTTCTAACTTAGTAACAAAGACAGAGTGGACATTTAGAGAAGCGACCTTTAACTAGAAAATGAAGGTAATGCAACCTTATGGAGCAGAGGCCAGGATTAAATGTATTTATGTTCACGAAGCCCCCAGCATGCCGGCTGGCTGGCTCTGCCCCTTGCCAAGGTCACTGATGGTCAAGTGGAACAAGCAGGGACTGAGGAGTTTTGGGACGTGAGGCCAGAAAGAATGGTGAGTTGGAGGAAAAACAGCAACAAGTTGGGACCAGATGAGGCATCACCCAGACCCCAGGGCAGGAAACAGGGCTGGACATGGAAATCCTCAATGGGGTGGAAATACTAGTGTGCAAAGATTATAATTTTAAGGGTAGCCTACGCGATTACCTGGTGTTAAATGCGTTACCGGGGATGCCTCCAGCTATGGCATTTCTCCCAGTGCTGCGGTAAGTAAAGCACAAGTGTCTAAGAGCATGGGCTTTCGTGTCCAATGCACTGGAGCTTGAGGCCTGTTCACTGCTTACCAGCTGATGCTCCTGTGCAGGGAGTTAAGCCCTCTAAGCCTCACCGTCCTTATCTATAAAATGAGGATTGCACCAGGACTTCCCTCCTAGGGCTACCGTGAGGTTTAAATGGGATAATTCATAGTAAGTGCTCAGCACCATGCCTGGCCTCTACTAGTAATTCAATAAATATTAGCTGAGGCATTCACTGTTGATGGCTTCACAGCTAATGGGTACTGAGCCCTCATTCTGTGCCGGCTGCTCTACTGTGTCCTCTGTGTAGAGAGGGTTATTGAACGTCACAAAAGTTCTGTGAAGTAGGTGTGATTCCTGCTTAATTTTCCCAAATGAAAAAAGAGGAATCTGGGCGCAGAACCAAGTCCACCTGAATCTGTGGAATCTCAAATCTATGCCTTTAACTGCCGCATCATCCTGTCCCAAGCCAGTGCTTCTCAAACTCGAGCATGCGTTAGAATTAGCATGGCTGCTTAAAACAGATTTCTAAGCCTTATACCCAGAGTTTCTGATTCAGCAGGGGCTGAGAATCTGCATTTCTAACACATTCCCAGGTGATGCTGATGCTGCTGGTCCAGAGGCCACACTTTGAGAATCACTGCTGTAAGCAGACAGTGCTTCTTAAGCTGCAATACCAATTATCGGAGGATCCTGTTAAAATGCAGACGCTAATTCAGGTTGTGAATTAGCTGGGGTGGAATCTGAGAGTCTGCACTTCAAACAAGCCCCCAGGTATAGTAACGCTGCTGCCCTAGGGACCACCCTTGGAATCACAAGGCCCTAGGTCTCCATACTCAGGACTCAGGACCACAGAGCCCTGCCAGCTCTGGTGTGTGAAATACCAACAGCCTTTATCACTTGTGCCAGGAAGGCTGCTTAAAAACAGAGCAGAGGGCAGACAGTGCCCTATCACTGATTACAGGGACCTGCCCAGGGCTGCCACACTGACTCTCCTACATGTCTGAATTCTAGATCTTCCTGTTCTCTCTCCCTGGCTTAAGCCCCAACTCCTGGCCTTAGAACTGTTTGTTCACACTTGGGTCCGAGGCTGTGCCCTCCTGGCTAGTGGAGTCTCAGGTTACTGAATTTGCTTCCAGGCTTCCGCCTTCAGCTTCTCATCCTCCACATCTCTTAGAGTCACAGAGTGATCCCTTTCTGCTCTCAGGCACCTGCTCACAGCCGTCCTCTCCACACCTGTTCCCAGCCTCCTTGCAGGCACCTTCCACATCTGCAAGAATGGCTTGCTCAACACCACAACCTTCAGATCCTGTCCACAGCCAGCAGCCAGGACCTCCAGAGTCTGCAGGAATGGCTCTACCACGCCATCTCCACCAGCCAACATCTATCGTTTCTTTTCTTTTCTTTTCTTTTCTTTTGAGACACAGTCTCATCTGTCACCCATGCTGGAGTGCAGTGGTGCGATCTTGGCTTACTGCAACCTCTGCCTCCCAGGTTCAAGCGATTGCCTTAGCTTGCTGAGTAGCTGGGATTACAGGTACGTGCCACCACACCTGGCTAATTTTCATATTTTTAGTAGAGATGGGGTTTCGCCATGTTGGCCAGGCTGGTCTGGAACTCCTGACCTCAAGTGATATGCCCGCCTCGGCCCCCCGAAGTGCTGGGATTACAGGCATGAGCCACCCCATCTATCATTTTGAAGGCTCCCTTTTCTTTGCCCAGAAGAGGCTCTGTGGTGAAGTGGTCAACAGTGTGGGCTCAGGAGGCAGAGCACCTGGGATTGAATCTACCTCTGGTCTTCGGTGGCTGTGACCTAGGGCAAGTCACCTAGCTCTGGGCCTCAACTTCCTCAGCTACAAAATGCCCCAATAGGGCGTGTGCCCTTGGAGCCTACTTCACTGGGAAAACTGAAGTCAACAGGCACAAAGCTCTCCTGTTCCTCATTCTGAAACTAAAAAAAATCTTCCTTCTAGAAGTGTCTTATTCAAGGTGATATTCCTTGATGACCATTTCTCACACTCTTGGACCTGTGACCTCTCTAGGAGTCTCCTGTGGCCGCTCTAACAAATTCCCACAAACTTAGGGGCTTAAAACAACTCCTCTTTATGACCCCACAGTCCTGGAGGTCAGAAGCCTGAACTGGTCTCACTAGGCTCAAATCAAGGTGTCAGCAGGGGTGTGCTCCCTTTGGTGGCTCCCAGGAGAATACATATCCTCCCCTTTTCCAGCCCCTCGAGGCCACCTGTATTCCTTGGCTCATGGCCCCTTCCTCCATCAGATGCACCAACAGTGCAGAATCTGCAAATTAGCAAATCTCTCTGTGACCTCTGCTTCCATCCTCACACCTTCTTCTCCATCTCTGAGCCTATAACTTCCCTCTTACAAGAAGCATTATGATTCCAGTGGGCCCCAAAGGATACTCTCCCCATCTCAAGATCCTTGAGTTAATCATACCTGCAAAGTCCATTAACCACAGGAGGTTAACACAGGCTCTGGGGACTAGAACGAGGACATCATCGGGGATGTCGTTCAGCCTGGTGCACCTTCTCAATTTCTCCTGCACCTCATTCCCTGCGATTCCCTCTGGCACTAGGGGTTTCACTCGGTCTCCATACACACAGCCTCTACAAATGGTGGTGTCTCTCTCATCTTTCTCAAGCAGAACAAGACCACACAAAAGCACAGCCTTCCTTCCTATGATGTCCTCTAGCTATGTGGTTACCCTCCATTTCTCTCCCTCTTTATAGTCTTCCTTACAAAACAAACGCAGGTCTCCTGTCCCTGCCTCAAATTCCCTATCTCCCACTGACTTTCAAATTACTGCAATCAGGCCATGTCAGCTCTGCCTTTTCACTACATCTGGAATTTGGCCACATCTCCCCTCCTCACCACCACCACCCTGGCTGCAGCCACCACTATCTCTCACCCATATAACTGCAATGGCCCCAACTGTTTTCTCTCCACTGTTCCAGTCCTTGTCTCCTGTACCATTTAATCTCAGCACAGCAGCCAAAGCGACTCTGAAGACTATAGATGGAGCATGTTGCTCCTTTGCTTAAAGCCCTCACCTCCCTCAGGTCAACGCCAAGTCCTGCACCATCTGGACTCTGTAGCCTCCTGACTTCATTTCTCGGTCCTCTCCTCTGTTCACTCTGCTCCAGCCACACTTTGCCATTTCTTGAACACTTTTAAGCCCGTGGTTCTCAAAAGAGGATCCCCAGACCAACAACATTAGCAGCACCTGAAAGCATGTTGAAATGCAAATTCTTGGGCTCCACCCTCTTCCCCTGAATCTGAAACACTGGAGGTGGGACCCAGGAATCTGCATTTTCACAAGCCCTCCAAGTGGTTCTGATGCTTAAGAGCCTCAGGGCCTTTGTACTTGTGATTTTCCTTGCATGGAAATCCCTTCTCCCAGCTCCCTCAGCAGACACCTGGCTCCTTCTTTTTGGGTCTGGATCTGAGCCCCTGGAATCCCTCCCCCAGGCTCAGAGACATGAGCATCAGCAGACCAATAGCCCCTTGTCAGTCTGAGATTCAGTCCATAGAGCGCCTTAGCCAAGCTTCTAAGTTTTAATATTAAATAATTCCAACCTCTTCCTGAGTATCCCAGCTGCTTCTTACAGCTACATTCATGATAACTTAGAGTTCTCTTGATTTTCAAATGCCTAATTAACAATTCTTTATATTAAATTCTCACTGGTAGAATATCTGGTGTGGTTTCTGCCTGCTGATAGTACTCTGCCTGATATTCTGGAGAACTCTGGGGTCTACACACAACTCCATGCAAATGTGGCCACAAGCAAATTGTCCTGTTTCCACCAGTGAGAACAGAGTGGAACGGAAGAAGATTCCTTGTCATTCCAACTGCTTTCTGTTGAATGTACTTTGATATGCACTTTGTCTGTATATGTGTGAGGTATTTGTATGTATCTTTGTATACTGTAGGGTTGCTTCCTGGGATGGAGTGATTTGTTATCTAAAATAAAACCCTTTAAATGACCCCCTACTATGGCTTGAATGTATCACCCCAAAAAGCATGTATTAGGAGCTTAATCCCCAATGCAACAGTGTTGAGAGGTGGGACCTTTAAGGGGCTATTGACTCATGAGGGCTCTGCCCTCCATATATAGATTAATGTCATTATCATGGGAGAGGGTTATCATGGGAGTGAGTTTCTGATAAAAGAATGAGTTCACCCCCCCTTCCCTTCTCTCTCTCTCTGTCCTGCCCTCACTCTCTCTCTTGCACTTTTCCTTCTGCCTTCTGCCATGGTATGATACAGCAAGTTGGCCCTTACCAGAAGCAGGCCCTCAACCTTGGACTTCCCAGCCTCCAGAACTGTAAGAAATTAATCTCTGTTCTTTATCAATTCCAGTCTCAGACACTATTATAACAGCACAAAATGGACTAAGACACCCCTAAGAAACTACCTGGTTTAGAAACTCACTAAAGAAAAGAGAAAAATCCCACAGAAAAATACAAAATGCTTTTGCCAATTTTTTTTTTTTTTTTAGATTGTTGACTTTCCTTCAAGGAGTGGAACTATATTAAGTCTATGAATGTGTCTGTGAATATTTTTTAGTAAGAAAAAAATCAGTCTATCCCCTGATCTCACTAAAAAAAGTTGAGTAACTGTAAAGAAGGACCACACTTTGAGCCTTTCCTGGGCCTTGTGTGTCTGCATCTGGCCCCATCTGGTCAAGTCCTTCGTGCGTTCACATCATCTGAGAACAGAGGATACATTTCTCAACACGACAGATGAAGCCCTTCATAAACTCATTGTTGCTGGGAATGATTTAAGAAGGAAAAACAGGACTTGAGGATAGAAAAGGGAGAGAACATGGATGGCACAGCAGAAATGGAGGCTTTTGCAGTGAAGCTCTGATGGGAAGAAAAAAGTGAAGGAAAGTAAACTTGGACCTAAACATTGAATGCCCAGCCTGTCAGGAGGAGAGAGCTGAAAAACAAGAACAAGTTGCTGATGCCTGCGCTTTAGGACAGTGTCTCTGGGAGTAATGGGCGGGATTGGGGGTTGGGGGAGAACCAACAAATCCAGTCCTAATATTGGCAGCCATTATGATTGGAGTGGAGAAACAGAGTTTAAAACAAAACAAAAACTCTGAGGATGCATGAGAGGCACAGCACTTGTAGGAAAAACAGGCATGGTTTTGGAGCCTGATAACCCTCAAGTCAACCCCCTTCTGTACAACTTCTAGCCTCGGGCAAGTCAATTGACTGTTTCTCTGAGCCTCAATATTCTCATCTGTAAAACAGAGATAACATGACCTAACTTGCAGGGTTATTGTGAACATCAGAAACTATGCATTTATGCTCCTTGATATTTCATTGGCATTCAGTAAATGGCAGCTTTGATTATGAATGATATACCTGTGGTCTGCAAGCATCTGCGGAATGGCCCAGGGAGGGTGTGACAGAGGGGATGGTGGACTTGAGTCTTCCAGGAAGCCTGGGGAGGTTGGTGGAGTGAAGAGAGGGACAGAACAGTTTAGGAAGAGGCAGGAGAAGTTGGCAGAACTTCCAAGGGGCATGTGGCTATCTTATGGGAGTAGCAGGAGTTGTGTGTGGGTGGGCAGACAGCAGTCTGAGGATGCTGTGCTAAAAAGCCTGAATTCTAGCTAACCTATGAATGATAGAAAGTCACAGAAGGATCTCTTTATCATAGTGGTTTGATTTTTATTTTTTGCATGCTAAAAAAAATTCAAGCATTATGAAAGTGAATGCAATAAAAAGTAAATTTCCCTCTCACTCCAGACCCTCCAGCTAGACAACTGGTGTTCCTGCTGGAGGAAAACATGTTTCTAGTTACTGACAGATTTTAATCAGGGAGGGGAAGTCAGATTTGTTTTTCAAATGTATCCCCAGTGGTGGCAGTCAGGAGGGTAGACTTAGGGGCAAGGGTAGGGGTAAGGACTAGTGAGGAGGCTTTTGCAGTAAGAAAGACTAAGTCACTATAATAATAACGAGGAAGAAGCAGAATTAGAACACACTTCCGAATTATAATCAACAAACTGATGACCTGTTGGATGTAAAGTATGAAGGAGAGGAGGGAGAGAGCTGATGATGACTCCCTGATCAAGTATCAGCTTATTCTGTAAATTGTGGCATGTCAATAACTGAGCCACAAAGTTGTGGTTCAACTTTTAAATACCCCCGCCGTCCTCATCTCCCTTTCTTTATTTTGTGAATAATTGTCTGCAAGTTTTAACCAAAATGGCTTCCCCACTAGAGGCTCCATTTTCCAATCTCCTTGGAAGCTTCGTGCAGGCAAGTGACTCCGCTTGGGTCCAAGCGATGCGAAGAAGTGACGTGTGCAACTTCTAGATCATACAGGGAAACTTCTGGCCCTTTGCTTTCTCTTTCTCTTTCCCTTAGGCTGAAATATGCCCTTTGTGGGCATCACTCTCAGCCATCCATGAGGACAGCAACCTAGGGACAGTGGCGATGAGTCCCTGATGCCGTTGTGGAGCAGAGAAGCACGGCCACCCATAGGCCTCTCAACTTTGGACTATTACATGGGAGTAAAATATCCCTCTATATCATTTATTTCATTATGTTTGGGGGTTTCTGTTACAGAAGCTTAGTCTGCACTTGAACTAACATAGGCATATAGGAGGAGAAGCAGAGATATGTTTTATTCTGTTTTCTTTTGAGGTGGGGAGTGTGCAGTGGGTGGAAATAAGACTTTTGACTATGGAGAGTTGTCCTGCCTGTGGTTCACCAAGAGGTGAGCTCATAAGAGAGAGATTAGGGCTAGAGATTGGGAGAGAGTGGTTTATAGGTGGTAGTTAAAGCTGTAGGGGTAGATGAGATCATCAGAGAGATCATGGAAAGTGAAGGCCTAAGACAGCATCTAGGACAAATATTTTAAGGAAAAAGCACTTACCTCATTTTCTGTTACAATCTTTTGCTGGCATGCATGTTTTCTCACCTGATTATAAATTCTCTGGGTTCATGAATTATAGCTTACGAATCCCTGAATAAAACCCCTAGAATACTTTTATGCGGAACAGACATTCAAAATTATCTTAAGAACAGCACTTTTAAAATACTTTATATGTTGGCAATAGATTTACTTTCTATTTTTCCATTTCATGACTGTAGACTTAGGCCATTCTGAGTCAGTCTTTAAGTGCTGAGATTTAGAAGACAGGTCAGAAACACAAAGGAGTGAGGTGGGCCAGGTGGGACATGTGGCAAGCATGAGACAGCCCAAGGGCTGGGGTGAAGGCAGCAGGTGCCATTCAATAAGAAGACACATAGCACTATAGAAAATGGGCCACAGATGCTTCACAAAAGAAGATACACAGATAGCCAGTTGTCACATAAAAAGTGCTCGGCCAGGTGCAGTGGCTCACGCCTATAATCCCAGCACTTTGGGAGGCCGAGGCAGGCGGATCATGAGGTCAGGAGATCAAGACCATCCTGGCTAACATGGTGAAACCTTCTCTCTACTAAAAATCTACATTTAAAAAAAAGTGCTCAATATCATTAGCGACCAGAGAAATGCAGGTTAAAACCATCATGAGATACTTTTTCACACTTACTAGAATGACTAAAACAACAACAAGAAAATTACTGACAAATGTTGGCAAGAATGTAGAGGGACTGGGGCCCTCGAAGATTGCTGGGGAGGGTGCAAAATGGTACAACCATTTTGGAGAACTGTTTGGTGTTTTCTCTAATGTTAAACTCACATCTAACCTATGACCAGCAATTCTATATGTAGGGATTTACCTGAGAGAAATGAGAAAATGTATGTCCACAAAAGGCTTGTAATAAGGATATTCATAACAGCCTTATTTATAATAGCAAGACAGTGGAAACCACCCACATGTCTACCAGCAGAAGAACAGATAAATGCATTGTGGTGTATAGTTACTCATGCAAATGGAATGCTAGTCAACAATAAAAAGGAGCAAACCACAGATACACTCAGCACTGTGGATTAATCTCTTATGTGGAGCAATAGCAGCCAGACACAGAAGAATATATACTATCCATATGAAATCCAAGAACAGGTAAAACTAATGTATGGTGATAGAAATAAGAAAGGAGTTGCTTTAGAAGAAGGGGGGCTTGGCTGGAAAGAGGCATGAGGGAACTTTCTGGTGCAATGTAAATATCCTATATCTTGTTTTGGGTGGTGATTACATAGATGTATTCATAGCCCAAACTTCTCAAACTGAACATTTAAAAATAAACAAATTCAAAACAACAAAAAGAATAGTCTTTTTTTTTTTTTTTTGAATGGAGTCTCGCTGTCGCCCAGGCTGGAGTGCAGTGTCGCGATCTCGGCTCACTGCAAGCTCCGCCCCCTGGGTTCACGCCATTCTCCTGCCTCAGCCTCCCGAGTAGCTGGGACTACAGGTGCCTGCCACCATGCCTGGCTAATTTTTTTTTTTAATATATTTTTAGTAGAGACGGGGTTTCACCATGTTAGCCAGGATGGTCTCCATCTCCTGACCTCGTGATTCGCCCGCCTCAGCCTCCCAAAGTGCTGGGATTACAGGCGTGAGCCACCGTGCCCGGCCTAGTCTTTTATATTTATCCACATATTTACCATTTTGACCATCTTAATTATTTCCTATACATCTAAGTTTCCATCATTTTTAAAGGATATTTTCTCAAGATATAGAATTCTGGTTGACAGTTTTTTTTCTTTCTTTCATCACTTAATACAAATGTCATTCCACTGCCTTCTGGGCTCTGTTCATTTCTGATAAGGCCAACTGTCATTTACATCCTTGTTCCCCTACATGTAATGTGTGTCTTCACTGGGTGCTTTTTAGCATTTCCTCTTTATATCTGATTTTCAGCCCCTTGGCTCTGGTGTGCTTCGGTGTGGCTTTCTTTGCATTTATCCTGCTTGGGTTTCACTTAGCTTCTTGGGTCTTCAGGTTGCTCTTTTAAAATCAAACTCAGGATATTTCTGCCCATTATTTCTTCAAGTATTTTTTCCCTTCAATCTCCTCCCTCTTGTCCTTCTGAAAACTCAGTTACACATCTGTTAGACCTGGTTGCTATAGTCCCACAGATCACTGGGACTGTCCATTTTTTAAGCATTTTTTCTCTCTGTTCTTCTGATTGGCTAATATCTGTTGATCTATCTTCAATTTACTGACTCTTTTCTGCAGTCTCCAATCTGCTTAAAAGCCCATCGGTGAATGATTTATTTCAGAGGTTCTGTTTTTGGTTCTAACATTTCTATTTGGTTCTTTTATAATAGTTTTTATTTCTCTGTTGTGCTTCTCTACCTGTTTACTCATAACATTCCTCTATTTCTAGAAGTGCTAGAACGTGTTTATAATAGCTTTTACATTTTTTTATCTGCTAATTACAACATCTGGAGCATTTCAATACCCATTTCTTTCTCTTTTTTACACAACTTTATTTTTATTTTTATTTTGAGACAGGGTCTTGCTCTGTTGCCCAGACTGGAGTGCAGTGGTGTAATCATAGCTCACTGCAACCTCAACCTTCCGGGCTCCAGCAATCCTTCCACCTCAGCCTCCTGAGCAGCTGGGACTACCAGTGTGCACCACCATGCCCAGCTAATTTTTGTATTTTTTGTAGAGATGGGGTTTTGCCATGTTGCCAAGGCTGGTTTCGAACTCCTGAACTCAAGCAATTCACCTGCCTTGGCCCCCAAAAGTGCTGGGATTTCAGGTGTGAGCTAACATACCTGACCCTCAATACCCATTTCTACTGACTACTTTTTTCCTTGATTATAGCCTTGCTTCTTTGTATGTCTATTTTTGTTTATGCATGCTCAACATTGTGGATGATGTATTGCAGGGAGTTGGTATGACACTGTCTTCCTTTAATGGGCATTGAGTGTGTTGTTCTGGCAGGCAGTTAACTTACTGGATTCCTTTGATTCTGTCACACATGGTTTTATTTGTCTTTCGCGCTAGACAGACACTTGTTCTAGATAATGGTCATTCTACAGACTGGCCTTTCTCAGGTCTCAACTGATTGCTCACAGTACTTGGTGAGACTCTTCCCACCCTGACTGGGCTGGAATTCCCGTATTTCCCAGCACTGCACAACCAGAGGAACCTCCACTCAGTGCTCAGACCTGCTTCAGCTGCCCCCTGCAGGCCCTCTGAATATGTGCAGCCTACCCTTCAGCTAAGATCACACGGGAAACCCCCCATGTAATCCCTGGGGCTCTCCTTTGCTCAGCTTACTCCTGTCCAGTGCTCACCCCACTAGTAGCTAGAGGAATTCCCAGTCACTTCAATTGCCCTGTACTCTGGTGTTTACCTCTTCGGCCCAGCAAGATGGCAGCCACTACCTGGACACCTCCCACGCCCAGGTTTGGTGAGTAGCCCCAGGCAGTAAGCTGACTCATTTCATGTGCTTCCCTTTTCCCAAGGATTACAGGCTATGGTGTCAAATGTGCAGTGCTTAGAAACAGTTGCCTCATGTTTGGTCTGCTTTATAGCTGTGTACTGGTGGTTATCACATCCAGTAACAGTTATGCTATTATGGCTAGAAGCAGAAGACAGGGCATGAAGAGTTGGTACAAGCTTCCAGGTGATTCTAATAGGATTCCCTCTCCTCCCATGGGGATGTCTAAAGACTGAGGAACTAGAAAAGAAATAGTTATGCAGATAGCTCCTCAGGGGTATCTCGGCAAGATGCCATTAGTATTTATACAGCACACGACTGACTTTGGTCCACTGAGCAGCCACTGATTACAATTTTGGCTTTCTAAAATTGATCAAGTGTAGGGAAGAATCATTTGTTCACTGATTCCTGCGTTTCCTTGCTACGGCCTTTTCTGGACCCCTGACTGGGTAACAACCCTCCTCTAAACTCCTAGACCACTATCACCTTGCTCCCAGGTAGATCTGCCTACAAAGAGACATATTTCTTATTGTAAATTAATAAATTGGCAATTTGATTTTCTACATCGTGCTCCAGTAAACTTAGTTAAAAGTATTTCCCTGAAAGTCAGAACCATTCCTGGTGTACTAACAAGGAAAATTTAAAAAGCTGGACCACAGGGAATCCACTAAGGTAAGCGCCTGCACTTAGCTGCCAGCCTGGTCTCTCCAGATGACACCTCACCTGGAATCATCTTTCTGACTGGCTAAACTCTGACCATGTTCTTCATCAGGACCTTTGTAAAAAGAAAACAGCTGTATTGAAGAGCCCTGGCTCTTCATCAGATTCATACCGAAACTTAGGCTTCAGTAGTAGTCACCTACTTAGGTCTTTACATGATTAGTTGCAATGCAGAATTGGTCAAGTTATCATCTTGTTCAACAGATTGACGTCCTTTGACCGAAAAAGAAAAAGTGCAATTCTTATCAAAAAGAGACTTGACTACTATATAAACATACACTGCAGTTTATATATTTGTTCAAATCATCTGCCAAATTAAGCAAATAGACTGATAGTACATTTAATACCTAACCATGGCCCTGGTGGTATCAGTGGTTCTTTGAGTGAATCAGGCTAATTCTTAATGGCTTAGACATGACACAAAAAAATCACATGTTAAAAAAATCTGCCAAGAATCATTTGAGCCTCATATCCCAGACACCGGCCCTGCTTTTTATGCAAGCAATAGTAAGTTTCATAAACATGAACTCATTTGCTCTACTCCTCCTGCTTAGAGATAGCCATATGGAAACAGAACTGTCTTCACTGTTTTTCCTGTTTCCCAGTAGAGAGATTAAGTCAATGTTGTCATTAATGCTGTCTCTGAAACTGATCAAGTGTATGGAAGAATCATTTGTTCACTGACTCCTACATTTCCTTTAAGCTGTTTTTCCCCTACCTCCTTTTCTGAACCCCTGACTGGGTTACAAACCCTCCTCCGAACTCCCAGACCACCAGTACCTTGCTCCCTACACTGGATATGAATGACCTGCTATGTGTCTGTCTCTCCAATACACAGGCATTTCAGGAGCTCAGAGCCCTGGTCACATCTTTCTTTTCCTCCTGGCATAGCAAAGGGTACATCTGTGTTCAATCAAGTTTATAAAATGAAGCAGTTGAATTCCCCACATTCATTGTGCTAATCCCTGGGCCAGAGGCTTAACATATCCTGAAAAATAAGAGGTTCACGAGAAACTCAACTGAGTCGATTATGTTTGCATAATTTGCATGTGATTGTCTGTAATTTACAACATATATTTTGCAAATGCTCTTCAGCCATTTCCAGGTTATATCTGTAACACGTTATGTCTTTTTCTTGCTATTTATTATCTTCTCTCAGACACCAATTTAGATCTTACAAAGCAAAGATGGCCTGATATGGTTATGGTGGGAAGAGATAAGGATGCAGCTCTGTTCTTCTTAATAGGTATGTGATTTGGGGTTTGCTTCTATTCTGTATAGCCATGATGTATTTACTGTGAAACTGATGGTGGTATTATCTCCCTTGCCTATCTACTACTGTTGTTGTCAGGATCAAATGCAATAATGTGTGAAAGAGCTTTGTAAACTATACACCACTATTTAAATATTAGATTTATGGAGTCCCAAACCAGTGGAGGCAGCTGACTCTGTTTCCAGAAGCTGCTTGTCCCCAGGGTGACTTAGGGGTTGCCCTTGGTATTGGAGCTATTCTAGCCAGTCAGTTCAGGTTAGTTAAAGATTAAACTCACAGATTTAAAAATATTAACATTAGCAGGCACAGTGGCTCACATCTGTAATCCCAGCACTTTGGGAGGCTGAGGCAGGAGGATCATTTGAGTCCAGGAGTTCGAGACCAGCCTGGGCAACACAGTGAGACCCTGTCTCTACAAAATATATATATATATACACACACACACACACACACACACACACACACATATATATATATATATACACAGTTGGGTGTAGTAGCATACACCTGTAGTCCCAGCTACTCTGCAGGCTGAGGCAGGAGGATCACTTGAGCCCAGGAGTTACAATTGCACGTCTGCACTCCAGCCTAGGTGACAGAGCAAGGCTCTGTCTCAAAAATAATAGCATATATCAGAAAAAAGTTATCTTTATCTTTATTCATAAAAGAGTAAACATTTTAAAGGGTTACAAAACAAACACCTCCACATAAAATAACCAGAAAGCGTTATGCATATAGATGTAAAAGAATTTTATAAATATCAAAAAATATGTTGCTGCCAACTGGAATGAATTATTTTCTCAAAGTGTAGCAGTTTTGTGAAATTGTAGCTGATAATGTATTTTCCATGGCAACCAAACCCAGTCTCTGGTACATTTAAGGGAGTTTGCAGTATTGATATTACTATGCATGGGTAAGCACCTGTTTGGGATAGAAACTAAAATGACTTTAGAAAATTATATTTACTGGCATAAAATCTAATCACGGCAGTTGACATCACTGGTTTGAAATTTTCCCAGCTTAGAACTGATATTATTTTCCTATAAGAGGGGCAGGTAATTCCCAGACCTAGTCATGCTGAGTGGTCCATTGTGCAAGGAAATCAGTAATTTTATTTGAAGCTATATTGTCACTCTCAAATTTCTGACAGTAGTCTGGGCATGGAGGCTCATGCCTATAATCCCAGCACTTTGGGAGGCTGAGGCGGGTGGATCACCTGAGGTCAGGAGTTTGAGACCAGCCTGGAGAAATATGGTGAAACCCTGTCTCTACTAAAAATACAAAAAAAATTAGCTGGGTATGGTGGCACATACCTGTAATCCCAGCTACTTGGGAGGCTGAGGCAGGAGAATTGCTTGAATCCAGGAGGCGGAGGTTGCAGTAAGCTGAGATTGTGCCACTGCATTCTAGCCTGGGCAACAAGAGCAAAACTCCATCTCAAAAAAAAAAAAAATTGGACAGTACACGAAACCTACTAAATCTAAACCTTCTTTCAAATAATACTCCTCACCTCACCATCACCTTACCTAGGAAAGAGCTTGGTATATATTTCTGGTGCCCTCTAAATATTGTTGGGCAAATTGAATGAGAAGATCCAACTCTGCTAATCAGAGAGAATTTTGCATTCCACAGATTTTGATATGTTGTGTTTTTATTTAATCTGACATATTTCCTAATTTATCTTGTGGTTTCCTCTTTGACCTATGTGCTATTTGGATGTTGTTTAATTTCCAAATGTTTGGAGGTTTTTTTTTCAGATATTTTTATGTTATTGATTTATAGACTATATTATAGTTCAAAACATTTTGTATACTTTGAATTCTTTTATATTTGTTGAAGTTTGTTTTATGGCTCAGAATATGGTCTGTGTTGCCAAATGTTTCACATGTATTTGAAAAAGATGTGTATTCTGTTGCTGTTGGATAGAGCATTCTGTAACGTCAGTAAGGTCAAGTTGGAAGATAGCGTTGTTCAGGTCTTCTACAGCTGACTGATTTTCTGCCTGCTTTTTCTATTGTTACTCAGAGTGGAGTACTGGAGTCTCCAATCATAACTGTAGATTTGTCTATTTCTCCTTTCAGTTCTATCAATTTTTGCTTCATGTGTTTTGAAGCTCTATTGTTCGGTATGTAGGTATTTGGTATTGTTATGTCTTTTTGGTAAATGAACCTCTTTTTCATTATGTAATGGCCAACTTCATTCCTAGCAATATTCCTGGCTCTGAAGTCTACTTTGTGTGATATGAATATAGACATTCCAATTTTCTTTTGATTGATGTTAGTATAGTATATATTTTTTTCATCCTTTCACTGTTAACTTATTTGTGTCTTTATATTTGAAGCAGGTTTATTTTAGGCAGCATGTAGCCAAGTCTTGCTTTTCTTTTTTTATCCAATCTGACAAACTCTGTCTTTTAGTTGGTGTGCTTAGAACAGATATTTTTATGAATCAGAAAACGTACATTCTTTTTGTGATCCCAAGGTTCGTTATTTTTTCTGCTGGTTTCTTGGTTTCTTAATTTTGAGTCAGCTTCTTTAAAGCTGGGCGAGAGAGGAAACAGCAGAATCTAATCTGAAATTTAAGGGAATTAACACACACTGAGCACCCACTATTCTTCCAAACATTCTGCTAGATCCTTTGCCCTCACCTACCTCATACTTACATACGACAGGACTACTATCCCCATCTAAGTGTTGAGGCAATTGAGGACCTATGACATAGGGTGCTAGTCACATTCTCCCCTTCTTCCATAGTAATAAAATAATATCTGGGCAAGGTCACCAACGAGAAAAAAAGCACATTTCTCCAGCTCCATTGTGGCTAAATTTGACTTGTGACTTAGTTCTGGCCAAAGAGATGTATAGTCAAGTGCAGTTCCTGGACACTTCCCCCCAGAGAGAGCAGACCCACTTTCTCTGCTTCTTTGTTCATTCCTTCTTCCAGCCTGCCACCTGGAATATAGATGTGATGACTGTCACACCAAGTGTCACACTGCACCGTGGTCGGGGGGCATCATGGTCCTCCACCTTGCGGTCATAGGACAGTGGCTGTAAGGAGCCTGGGTCCCCGAGGACGGGGAGCAGAACCACAGCTGCTCCTCAGCGCTCACCTTCTGACTCTTATGTAAGAGAGAAATGAACAGCTGCCTTAAGCTACCATTGTTTCGGGATTTTGTTATTCATGCCTGAACCCAATCCTAATGGATATAGTCTAGGACCAATTAAATCACACTGTGTTATAATCCATGTTTGGACAGATTTATACTAGCATCTATCATGGTTTTATGTAGAAGTCATATGGAGTTAGGAGTAACAACTATTTTATTTTGTTTATCTGATATTTTAATTTACCAAATTAAAAATTGGAAAAAAAAAAACCACTTGGTGGTCAGGGTGCGAATGCTATAGATACTTAGATACTGTATGTGGGAAGAATTTAAGACTTTTGTCCCACACCAGCTGTACGCTGTTAGGAAATCACTTACTCTTTCTGACCCTCAGTTTTCTTATGTATAAAATATGGATACCAATACCTCCTTTACTGTTTGAATAAATAAAACATGTCATATGGAAGAGCTTGGAGGTACTAAGCACTGTGTAACTATAAGAGATTATAATCATTACGACCAGAAGATAATTTTTTTGGATAACCATGAATGGTAAATCATCTCACAAATACCTTCCACTGTATGTGTGTGTATGTGTGGGCTACTAGTCATAAATGAGAGCATACTGAAAAATGCATGCTAGTTAATAACTTAAGAACATAATAAATAACAATTCAGTGCTCACTGCCGCAAACTTATATTCCTACCATACGTTAATATCAAGCTCTCAAAATTTTTTTCTATATCTTTATTTTATATTATAGAAAACATTCAGGTATTGTTTTGCTATAGTTCAATAAACTGACCTTAATCAAAACATGGATTTAACTATTTGGATTTCTGTACAATACCTGAGAAACTCTGCTAGAAAGAGTGCTTTAGGCCAGGTACAGTGGCTCATGCCTGTAATCCCAACACTTTGGGAGGCCGAGGTGGGCGGATCACTTGAGGTCAGGAGTTCAAGACCAGCCTGGCAAACATGGCGAAACCCCAACTCTACTAAAAATACAAAAACTAGCCGGGCGTGGTGGCCCGTGTCTGTAATCCTAGCTACTAGGGAACCTGAGGCAGGAGAATCGCTTGAACTCGGGAGACGGAGGTGGCAGTGAGCCGAGGTCACACCACTGCACTCCAGTTTGGGTGAGAGTGAGACTCCATCTTAAAAAAAAAAAAAAAAAAAAGAGCACTCTGTTTTTCAACTGTATTTCATTTTAAGTATTTTTAAAGTGTTCAGAAAACATAAAAAAGTAAAGTCCATCTTAAATCTGAACTCAGAAGGAAGATGAAAACCAGTGGCCTGGCTTGGGTGGGGACACCGAGAACAGAGGCTGTCACAAGCTCTGAAAGGGGTACAGGCACAGGAGGCAGCTTTGTCCAGCAGTACTGGGGACTGGGGGCAGCTGCAGGTGAATTGGGCAATATCTGGGCAAGCTCACCAAGGGGAAAAAAAAGACATTTCCCCATTTCCACTGTGGCTAAATTTGCCTTGTGACTTAGTTCTGGCCAATGAAGCCAGCAGCTGGGGTGATTGAGAACTTCAAAGTTAAGAGCCAATTTCACACCACATTCAGATAGTCACAGCTTTGAGCAGCCCCAGGAAAGAGCGTGACAGGTGTTTTGCTGGGGAAGTATCATTGGTTCATTCACATCAACAGGCCTTCCAGTCTGGCTGGCAGGGCAGCAGGGTTAGCTAGGGGTGCCAGCCAGAAGGCTCCATTGTATCACCGCTGCATTGCATGTTTTCTGTCTGGTGGAGTTTGTTTAATTCATGTTGATTTTTAAGACTCAGGTTTTCTAATAAGGCAGTCACAATGTGACTGTGATGTCATTTTCTCTCTCAGCTTGGCTAGGGAGAGAACCTTAAACATCTACCTGATGGCAGTAAACAAAACTTGAGGCATATGATCTCGAAAGGAGATAATCCTTTCTGAGGAAGAGCATCTTATAAACCGATTTCAGTGCTTACAAATACATCAGTGCTCTTCAATTATTCAATATTCGACTTTGAAATTTGGAGTGTGGTGTTCCATCAGAAAAATCAAGGGTCATATTTTATTTTCTGGAACATTTTTAAATGTGATTAAAAAATCAAATATTAAATATATTTCTAGCATCTCTGCTTTTCCTCCCTGGGTGTGGTGCTGGATTCTGGTTTCCTGGGGATCCAAAATGCCCTTTAATCCCCACAACCACCACCACCTGGGGAAGCCTTTTCCAGGGACACACCCAATTCCCGTAAACCCCACAGACAAGAGCCATCACCCATGGAGGGTGAGTTGAGGATGAGATACTTTATGACCAGCATTAAAAAAAAAAAAAAAAAATGGAGACAACAGTTTAGATACCCCAAGGCCAACCACCTAGAGCCAGGTAACCAAAACTTAAGTCACCCTGATTTCCCCAAACGGGTAATTATCCTAGCCCTAAACGAAACACACAAGTAAGCTTTTGGTCTTTATAAGCATGATTCAATGAAATCAAACCAATCAGCTACAGATGAATCAGCTCAAATAGCTCTATTTGCCTTAAAAAAGAATATATGACAGCCAATCATGAAAAAAGTCAAAATACTCCCCCTTTATGCTCTAGAAACTGCTGCAACTGCTATAAAACTGAGCCGTAGTGGCATTTTTTGGTTTGAGGTCTCCCGGTTCATGACGTATTCTTTTGTATGCATCATATACTCTTTAAAATCTAACTTGATCTGATTTCATTTTTGACACCAGAGTGCCCTGTCTCCAAGGAAACACATGTTGAGTATACCTTATCTGAAATGCTTGGCACCAGAAGCATTTCACATTTCTGATTTTTTTTTATTTTGGAATATTTGCATTATACTTACTAGTTGAGCATCCCTAATTTAAAAATCTTAAATCCGAAAGTATCCAATCAGCATTTCTTTTGAGCATCAGGTCGGTGCTCAAGAGGTTTTGGATTTTGGAGCATTTCAGATTTTGGATTTTTGAACTGTGGATAATCAACATGTACAATGTAACACAAATATGAGCAAATTCAGCCACTCCATAGGGACTCTACTCTTGAACCATAAAAGCTCCGTCCTAAACCACACCCTGATATACACTTAGATATTATGTGTCTCTTCTCATTTGTGTGTATGTGTGTGTGCATGGGAGGGAGAGAGAGAAAATTTAATTTCCTCTTTATAAGGCAACCCTAGCAACACTAAGATGAAATCCACCATAATCTTGATTTACAGAATAAATATCCAACACGTTTTGCATTACAGATACACTTGGGACAAATGTAAAATCCTCCCAAAATTATCAGTCAGTGCTTTTGAGAATATATTCCCAAGAAAATAACAAAAGAGGTAAAAAGTAATTTGCAAACACTATACTTGTTGCATAACAGCAAAAAATGGTAAAAATCCAAATGCTCAAAGAAAAGGAACTTACTGTAGTTTGTCAGCACTATAGAACATTTTATGGCTATGAAATGACAAGTATGAAGACTCTGATATATAGAAAGAGAAATGTGTGCAAAGTTTTTCCTCTGGTGCTTTTTGCACATGTCCCAGCTTTAGCCAAGATCTTTGAAACAAATCTGTAGACTGATCCCTAAAATGAAATGGATAGGGTACTGTCACTCTGGTCTGGACCAGCCCTAAAACCCTATGACTTCTCTGCCTGCTCCATACAAGGTGCTCAGAACCTCGCTAAATGAGTGAATCATTCTCCATGACTGTAGGACCTGGTCTGGGTGTGGTATAAAATATATTTGGTCCTTCTCCCCAGTTTCTGGCACAAGTCTCTAATATGCTTGGAGTTTTTCGAGTGGTAGGATTACCTTTTGTGACTCATAATGATTCCCTTTCAATCACACCTGAGTTTATGCTAACGATGACTTAGGGTAGGGTCCCTGTTTGACTTTAGGATGGGGCTGGTCACCAGAAGGAACAAGTCATTAGAGGATTGGAACTTTCAGTCCCACCCACCAACTTCCAGGGACAGAGGGAGAGGAAGAGGCTGGGGATAGAATTATATAAACTCTCTCTTTTTTTTTTTTGGAGACAGAGTCTTGCTCCGTCACTCAGGCTGGAGTGCAGTGGCACAATCTTGGCTCACTGCAACATCCGCCTCCCAGGTTCAAGCAATTCTCCTGCCTCAGCCTCCCGAGTAGCTGGGATTACAGGTGCTTGCCACCATACCTGGCTAATTTTTTTTTTGTATTTTTAGTAGAGATGGGGTTCGCCATGGCCAGGCTGGCCTTGAACTCCTGGCCTCAAGTGATCTACCTGCCTTGGCCTTCCAAAGTGCTGGGATTATAAGCATGAGCCACTGTGCCTGGCCAGAATTATATAAACTCTTGAACATGATTCAACGGGCTTCAGGGTTGGTGAGTATACCAAGTGCAGGGAAGATGGTGCACCCAGAGGGCATGGAAACTCCCCACCTCACCCCCTGCCATATACCTTGCTCTATGCATCATTCTAGTGAATTATCAAACCTAAGGAGGCAGTTATGGCAACCTCTGAGTTTATAGCAGATTGGACAGAACCTTGGGTGGCCACTGAGACTTAGGACTGGTTTCTGAGGTGGAGGTGGTCTTGTGGGACTGAGCCCTCAACCTGGGAGTCTATACTAACACTGGGTCCTTAGTGTCAGAACTGAATGGAATCACTGGACACTCAGCTGATGAGGAAGAATTGGCCATCAGTATGGAGAAACCCTCCACACCCCGGGCATCAGAAAACAGCACTCACTAGGGCATGTCCTCAAGGTTTATTTGTAAATCAATTGCCAGGAAATTCCTACTTAAAAACTATTGGAGATTATCTTCCAGTGTGTGAGGACACAAGTCAAGTCTCTGGTAGAGGGCACTATGCAAACTACAGACCTTCTAGAAGATACAGTCGTGATACCACCAGAGATGTCACAAATGGGAAGGTATAAATGGGCAGTGTCTGCAAATGTACTGGGGATTACTTTCCATGCTTAGCTCCCCAAAGTCCATCTAACCAGGAGGGTAGCTGACTTGAGAAGACTGAGTCCCCCAGGCAGACAGGCAAAGGCAAAGGAAGGAGGCGGGAGTGAAGGAAGGGGATATCCTCTGTCATTTCTCAGAAACCAGGCCAGCCTCTGTATAATTTCCAAACAGGTACAATTTGTCTTTTGCATCTTCCTTTTCTGCACTTTTCCCCACCCACCTGTGCCACTCTCCCTTGGCCTGCCTTGCTGCCCAGGGCCCCCCATGATGGGATCCTGCCCTCCTGGGCTTATCCCAAATGATATACTCCCTGCCTCAACCCTGTCCCTGGCCCAAATCAAACTCCCTGTTCCTTCAGTGTAGTTCATTGAATCTCCAACTTCACTGTACTTAATAAGGGGGCTTTAAAAAAAATGGCCCAGGCCTCACCTTCAAATATTTTGATTCTGTTGCCTAGGGCAGCACTGCAGGTGAGTCTAACATGCATCAGGCCTGTGAACACAGACAAAGCTGATTCTGACCAGATGCTAAAGGCTTTTTTTTGTTTGTTTGTTTTGAGACAGAGTTTTGCTCTTGTTGCCCAGGCTGGAGTACAATGGCGCAATCTCGGCTCACTGTCACCTCTCCGCCTTCCGGGTTCAAGCGATTCTCCTGCCTCAGACTCCTCACTAGCTGGGATTACAGGCACCCACCACCACACCTAGCTAATTTTTAATTTTTATTTTTAGTAGAGATGGGGTTTGACCACGTTGGCCAGGCTGGTCTCCAACTCCTGACCTCAGGTGATCCATCTGCTTCAGCCTCCCAAAGTGCTGGGATTATAGGTGTGAGCCGCTGTGCTCAGTCCAGATGCTAAAGCTTTGGATTGCATTTATTCACCTCAGAAGTTGGGACAATGGATGGGTATTTATTAACAGATATTGGTGGAATTTAGGGCAGCAGTTTAATGGATATGAAACAGTTTAAGCAGCAATTTTTAGATTTGGGAGACAGGGCAGCCCTGTTCTGGAATGTGCAATAAATACATCTAACTATTCTGACTTTCTGCACCTTCTTCCCTTCTTCCTTGTCTGAATTCAGAGCCTTAGAAATTCCATCTCCCCCATGTCCCCCCACATCCCTCCACGTCCAGCTCCCATTAGACTCAGCTGACAAGAGCCTTAACTTAGGACAGGACTGGTGCTAAGGGGAAGGGACTGGCCATACTACCCTCTCTGGGCCACCTGTAAGCCAGGTTTGCATGTTCAATGCTCTTCTCCCATCAAGAGAATACACTGCATGTCTAGAAGCCAGAGCTTATGCGCTTTACGGTTGACAGTTGATCCCCACATTCCCCTCCGTCTTTCTTCTCTCACCAATGCAATCTCAGCTGCAGACTGGGTGCTTGCTGCTGAAGTGTGTGCCAGGGATGAAAGCTGGGCTGAAGGAACCAGGCGGTGGTGCTGCCAAGGCCTTCCGCCCTCCCTCCAGTAGCTTTTTCATCTGGCAGGTAATTCTGGTTCTATTCTTGGCACTTAGGCAGAAATCAAATAAGATTTCAACCCAAAACTCAATGTAATCCTTGTGTAGCGCCTGCTGCATTTAGAAGCTTCAGGAAAGCACAGAGAGAAGCAGCCTTGCACTTGGCACACCCGGCACCCAACCCAATTGCATCAGGGGACACAGGGCCCCCAGAGCCAAAGCTTGCCCATGGGGAGTGCAGAAGTCTCTCTAGGGAGAAATTCACCCTGGAGTGGAAATTTCCATCTTTTATCTTTGGTTTCAAGGTGCTACACACCGGATAGTTATGAGAGTCACCTTTACAGACTGCTTCATCGGCATTATCTTCTTTAATTGACTTTCCATTTTATGAAGGGGAACTTGTGGGACAGAGAGGTCTACCAGCTCGCCCCACCTGAACCTAAAGCCCATGCTCAGAACTGCCAAGCCTTGGAACCCCCTAGAAACTCATCTATTTCATAGAGAAGCATACTCTGGGATTGGCTTATAGCATTTCAGGGCTACAGACTTGACAGCCCTCATATAATTCAATGCTTTTCTATCTTAACTAAGACCAACATATCTTGCTAAAAGAGGAGGAAAGGCAGCAGGAGCTATAAATTACAGGGGGTAACACTGCACATTGTTCTAGCTGAACTATAACTCATAAGCATCTTTCAGTTCCTGAGTCTCTGAAGACCCAACCTTCCTCATGCTCAAGTCTCTCGGCCACTGAGGGCAGGGAAGTGTCCTCAAGCCTGTGGTTTGCAAACTGTGTGCTGAGGCACCCTGGGCCACTGCAGCAAATCACAGGGCACTGCAGGGTTTCTTCTATCAATACTTCCGAGGGAAACACACCAATGCTGCCTCCCTGTGCTGGTTTGGGGGATTCAGAGTTTTGACATTAGCTCATCACTAGCTCACACTTCATCCCCTTTCATGATATCATATCTTTGCAAAGCTGAGGTTTTGGCTGCTGCTGTGATAAAAAGTATGCAGTGAAAATCAGTGTGAAACAAGATGCAAGGATAGCCTTATCCAATCAGATGCCAAGGTCTGAGACGTTGTGTGGGGCCCAATCACAAGCAAGTCATTGTGGTTCCTTAAGAATAAAACAAAAATATATTGTTTTCTTTCCATTTATGTTCAGTTTTTCAAACGGCCACAAAGTTGTTAGAACATACACACTTAAGTGGCTTAGACTTACCTCCTTTCTAAATAGAGCTGGGAGGTATTTATTTGGCCTTGATACTGTGAAAAAAAATTACTGAGACACTGTGGTCGCTGTGAATTGAGAATTTTGGAACCTCTACCCTAGGCCTCTGAGCTGCCCCCACAGTGTCATCAGGGGCCATCTCCAAGGGTCTCTACCTCTACAAGGTGGGGAGGGGCAGATTCCAGAAGGGGATGAGGCAAGGTCTCCCAGCTGTCTCCACCTCCACATCCCCTGGGAACTGACCTGAAGGTCAGCAGAGGTGAAACCTGTTCTTTGGCAGCTTCGCTCAGGAGGAGAGGCCTCAGAGTCACCTCCAACTGAGGACAGGCCCTAAAGCCGGTGAGTGGAGAAGGGGGTCTTTGCAGTTCATCAGGTGAGGATTTTTTTGATTAAAAAAAATCCTTTTTGATAAGGTAGTTTCCATCAGTGGGGAAGGAGGCAGAAGGTCCTTTTAAAGGAACCATGGGAGTCATCGAGGAGGATGGCTCCCATGTGTGCATGTGTGTGTGCACACATGTACAATGTGTGCATGCACGGGAGGGCAGCCAATCACATGGGACCCATGGCTCCACGGGTGAAGGGTGGTGAGTCCTTCCTTAGAGAAGAACAGAAACAGTCCCTGGCATTGGGCAGGGTCACCAGTGAGTGTACCAGGAGCTTCCCTTCAGGAAAAAGTGGGGGCCACTCTCAACACGGGTCTTTGAGGCCAGATGTGGGCATCTGGATCATGAGGCGTGGCCACATTGGTGAAGAAACAGATGGGGACACAGAGGCTTCAATCATGGAGGCCTTGGCAATGAGGTCATCACTGCAGCTGTCACTGTGAATGCTGCTTGGGGTGATACCCAACAAATAGAAATTAGGCTCAATCTCCATAAAAACAACAACAATGGCAAAGAGGAAGGATGAGACTTCTCCAGCAAGCGTCTGCGGGGAGTGGGGCCACTTTCTCCCCTCCCGCTCCTCTTTCCAGCCAGGTCACATATGGCTCCCATGGACCTCAGCTTTCCAGGGTTCCTCACACCCTGCCTTTCCTAGCCGACTGTTGGAAGAAGCCTACATCTGGCGTCAACCCCTGGGCTTCTCCTGGTGGGGGAGAAGGGGTGTCCGGGTGTAGGTGTCCCTGCAGCAGTAGCAGGGTCCTGCTGCTCCGGATCACACACTAGCAAGTCTGGGAAGGGGCCTGTTATTTGTTGTTTCCCCACAAGCATCTGCTGTCCTTAGAGAGGAGAAGAGACCATTGCAGACCTACTTTAATGTTAAAAGAAGTCACAGAACTCACAGGGGAGAAAAAGAAAACATTTTAACAAAGGGAGAGAGGAATACAAAGGGTTGGGGAAAGCTATGCTTGGATCTCACTATTCTGTCCACTGCACACCTGAGGGCCTGTGGTCCCTGGGGAAGTTCAGCCTTCTGCCTATCCGCATGGCTGGCTACTTGCCAAGGACACCTGGGATTGCTCCAATCCCTTCACTCACGGAGGAAGCCACACCTGCACATGGTGGGCTGCTCCCAGGACCACACTAGATGGAGGAGGAGTGCTCACTGGTAAAGAGAATAGCGGGCAATAGGAACAGACCATGTGTATTTCAGCTTTGCTGACTGATTCCTGGGGAAAGAGAATAACAGATGGTCGAGAGGGAAGATGGGATCAAGCAATGAGAATATGGCAAATACCTGGTCCTGTCCTTGACCTACGGTGAAAGCCACATCCCCAGGGTTTGGGGATCATTTTATTTGTAAGGTCTCCGTGGTCCAGACTGAACCAAACCGTTTCATCAGCCAAATATTAGAAATTTCAACATGAACTCTCGTATTTTTAATCCAACCAGATTTGTGCTTTTGACCTTGTTCTAGATCACAGAGTATTTCACGACAGGGTAGACAGTGGCAGGAAGCCATGGAACATCTGCATCTTGCAGACAGCACCTCGTTTTATAAGAGGGGACCCAGATAGATCAGTGCAGACTGATGTATGAGCTGCCATCTGCAAATAGCACAGTCAAGACCTGATGAGTTCCACTGTGAACTGTTAGGAAGCTGTCTTTATAACAACGGAGACGTGAAAATTATGGTTCCCCGCTAAGGCTACAGCAGCCCACCACTGTGCTGGGTGAGATACTTCATTCATCTAGGCAGGTTTGCACTGGCTTATTACAGGAGGCATAATTGCTTTTGGTACACATTCACAGGAATCAGGAAAAGACATTCTTTATGCTCCTCATTGTCAATGCCCTACTTACCAACTTCATCCCTGATGTTTGCAAGTTCGATTGACAGCTCTTTTTCTTTCACAAGGGCACTTTCATTCTGAAAAAACAAAAACGGATACCGAGAGTCCCCTAGTTTTATGCTAGATAAGCACTTTCACATGATTAATTAATGAATCGTATTAAGCAAATATTTATAAGTCTAGTCCTTAAGGAGATAATTTTCACATTATATAAGCATGTAAAAACTTACAAAGTCAAGTCTGACTCATTCATTTGTATCCCATTCAAATGGCAAAGCTTGCATCATAATATTAATAATACCCGTGGTTGTGTTTTTGTCTAGATTACACTCCTGTATATCATCCTGCATTAATTCTTTGCAAATTTGTGTCCCACCCATTAATCTATTGCCATATATTATTGTACAGTGTTTATTATTATCACTACTATGAGATTTCCGACCATTAAAAAAGTCTGTGCCATATTTCTCTGAGGGCCAAATGCTTGTTTTACCAACTGTTTTTTAAACTTACCCTTTTGTCCATACATGATTAGCTACTTAATCAATAATAAAGATCAGGGCAGAAGGCTTAGCATGAAACATTTCTCTTTGTAATACCACCAACAACAATATTTAAGGTTTCCAAGTTTTTTGTTCCACTGTCAGCATCAATAGATGAAAAAAGGAAATCTCAGGCTTGAAATACCATTTAGTGCAAAAAATGCCCCGTATAACTAAATGACTGCTAAGTTGTTTTCAAATCAAATACATCCTCTGATATAAAGTAGGGAAGTAGTTGAAGATGTGCTGAATTTGTAATCTGCGTTATTGAGTCACTATAAACAGCATATTATGATTTTATTACTCACAATTACCAGAAAAGATGTGCTATATAAATTCTCTTCAAGTTTGAGATACCAAAACTACAGGCCTTCAAAGAAAGTCTCTGTCATTCTGTAGCATGGACTCTCGAAGCAAAGTGATTTCCGGGGAGGGAATTTTGAGTAAAATGTGGACCGAATACCTAGCATGAGTATCATCGGGGCCTTGAGAATGTTCTTTCTTCCTTAACCACCGTTGCCTTTGGTTTCAGCACCTCTGAAGGACGTGTGTGGAATGTGACCAGACAGTTCTCACAATATTGTTTCTGGTGTGCTGTTTTTAGACGCAGGGAACAAGTGTGCTGCTTTGGGTTGGTGGGAGGGTCTCGGGTTATCCAGAGGGCATTTGCTAAGCTGTGTCATAATATTCATCATGCCAAAAATAAAACTCTATTTCATAATACACTGAGAGCTATTTTCATTGTGGGAGTCAAAAATTATTAGCTAATAGTTTCCTTAAGAAAATGCAGCAATAGATCTGTCCCTGAGGGAAATGGACCCTGCTATAGTCTGAAGGTATGTGTCCCCCTAAATCCCCCTAAAATTCATGTTGAAATCCTCACCTCCAAGCTGATGATATTAGGAGGTGGGGCTTCTGGGAAGTGATCAGGTCATGAGGGTGGAGCCCTCAGGAATAAAATTAGAGGGATCCCAGGGAGCTGCCTTGCCCCTTCCTCCGTGTGAGGATACAGCCAGAAGGTACTAATGTTTACGGGAAAGTGGCCCGCACCTGACACTGAAACTGCTGGAGCCTAGATCTTGGGCTTCCCAGACTGCAGAATTGTGAGAAATAAATTTCTGTTATTTATAAACCACCCAGTTTATAACATTTAGTTACAGCATCCCAAAGACACTAAGACAGACCCAACGGACACCTCCCATCTCATTTCTGAAGTTCTCTCCTTCCATCCCAGCCCATAGCATCCTTGTTTTCCCTGAATTTCAGAGTTAACAACTACATCTGAGAGCATGTATTTTATTGCATAATCCTACTCTGTATCTCAATATTCCTACTCTAATGCTACACCCACTGTGCAGGGTTGTCATGAGGATTAAATTAATGTATGTGATGTAGTTAGTGTCCAGCATTTAGCAAGCTCATACAAGTGTAAGTTGTTATTATATTTCTGTTTCCTTTTATTTCATTTGCAACTGGATAACACCCTATATATAATAGGTGCTTTTCCATATTAATTATCTAAATGCATTTAGAATTTGCATATCAGTCTTATACTTTTTTTTTTTTTTTTGAGATAAGATCTCGCTCTGTCACCTAGCCTGGAATGCAGTGGTGTAATCATGGCTCACTGCAACCTCTACCTCCCAGGCTCAATGTATCCTCACACCTCAGCCTCCCAAGTAGCAGGGACTACAGGTGCATGCCACCATGCCCAGCTAATTTTCTGTATTTTTAGTAGAGACGAGGTTTCACCATGTTGCTCAGGATGGTCACAAATTCCTGGGCCTAAGCAATCTGTCCAATCTGTGGCTGCCACAGTACTGGGATTACAGGTGTGAGCCACCGTGCCTGGCCTTATGCTCTGTTTTTGTAAGCACCTTCCTGGTCTGCCCTGATTTTGCTTAATTTTTGACGTGGTTCAGAGATTGGAGAAGCCAGAACAGGGAACATGTTCTAATCAGACCGATCACAGGGATTACATACTCATTCTAACAGCAGTATAATATGACCAGATGACAATCAATGTGTTCCTGTAGGTTAAGCAAATTTGGTATTTTGGAGAGCACTAATTTTGGTACTGACCCTGAAATAATCTTAACCTAGTGGAAAAACCAACTTGCTTTTACTGTCAAGAATAGTTCTGAATACTCATATTCTCTAATTCCTAAACACGTTCCTAAATAATTATCTAAACACAGCCAGAGAATTGAAATAGTATGCTTATCAGTCCAGAAATAGCATTATACAGTGTTCACTCTCAGAGTAATGAGAGTTGCAAAGACTTAGACTGGGCCAGGCAGTGAACAATCAGAAAATAACAAAAACAACAAATCAACTCTAATTTCTAACTGAAAGCCAACATCTCCCCCAGCTCCCTGTCATGGCCCCTGCTGGACGTTATCAGAGTCATGCCCTAGGGATCTCTCACATCATAACAAATCAGTCCACACTCCCAGCCACAGAAGAATCAGGCCTGTGGGGAAGGAGTGGCTGGAAGGCCCTATGAGAGGGACAGGCCTCTTCGGTATGGCGCTGACTATGAGGGAGACTGCTGATGAAGACCTTCAGACTTGTATCACTTTGGTGAAAACCTAATGCTGATGTTTTGTGGTCAGGCCTTCCCTGTCCATCTGTTGCTTTAGGAGAAACACAAATAAGATTGATGGAAACCAAGTGAGAATGTAAAAAAAAAAAAAAAGCAAGAAAAGAAAGGAAGGAAGGGGATGGGGAGAGAGAGAGGCAAGGAAGTGGAAAGGAGATAGAAGTGAGATTAGAGACCTTGTACCATCTCCATTTGGGGAAGCAGAGGCTATTAAAACAGATCACGAAGACCCAATGAAAATGACCCCATCCACCCTTTTGCAAGTTCAGGCTCTAAAACCAGCCAGTTCCAAACTATAGTCATTAGATGGCTTTTCAAGGAAGGGTTGGCTGCCAAAATAAGCAACAAACCTGATGACTCAAATGTCAAGGAAAATAACTTAACTCTGGCAAGTTCTGGCTAAGTATTATTTACTAATTACTACAGGTGATTCATGCTGTCCACCACCAAACACTCTCTGTAGTCCAGGCACAATGTTAGGTAAGCCCTTTATGTCATTTACTCCTCCAGACACTGTCCAGAGCATCCCGGGTCTTATTTCCCTTTATGGAGGAGGAAACTGGGACTCTATGGTGAAGTGGCTGGCCCCTGCACAACCCACCAGGAAATGGCAAAGGCAGGAGTTTCCACCCATCGTCCACACTCTTCATCAAACACGAGCACACCAAGATTTCCCCTCCTAGCCATGCTTAGATAGATGCAACAACAAGATCCAAATTGCACTGAGCCTCGGCCTGGATCTGAGCACTTATTACCATGAAGCTTTTCATGTCTGACTGGGAGAGAGGCAGGGTCCGCTCCTGACTACTCTGTCTCAATGAAAGAATGCCCTGGCTGCATTCACATCCCACTCCACAGCCTGAACTGCCTGTCTGTGTCCTGGGTGTTGTTTTGTGAGTTGCACATTAGTCTGTTTCCAGCGTCTGGACCCATTTCAGCATCGCTTACTTGGGCTATAACTTCTGAGAGAGTAGTTGTTTAGTTTTCCCCACCAGCTTCTAGAAGGATGCTGTCTGATGACCTCTGAATATGTTGCTGCTGAAGATGCTGGCACAGCTCTGCTCTGGCTCGCTGAGGCCAGCCTGCGCAGTTTGGCGACAGCCCTTCCTCCATAAGTGCTTGTTTTTGAAATGATATCAACTCTTCTAATTTATGAATCCTCTGCATAAAGTAAGTTACTTTTTGCTTCCTGCAAGCCAAACCAGAATGACGTAGTACCACCCTGCAATGAAATGAGTCAATAGCTGTGACTGCAGGAACACTGTTCCTTAGGCAAGAGTGAACTTAAAGGAATCTTCCATTTACTGCTCTTTGCCTCAAAAAGTTATTCCTCCATCCATCAAGGTTCAACAGAATCCAGTGTGATCTTGCAAGGCCCTTAGGTTCTGTTGAACACCCGGGACTCCCTTGGAAAGGATCTCAAGTCATTACTCCCCTCCATTCCCCAAACTATGCCTGGTCTGGGTGATGACACTGTGGGTTGACTGAAATATGATCAAGGCCTCCTCTAAGGGCCCAGGGTTAGATCAGTGCCTCTCTAAATGGGGGATGAGTGGAAAATTCCTAATGAGTGCCAAGTACATGAGCTCCTGTTTTCACTCAAGAGGGCTAAAAATAGAACTCAGTGTTAATCATCCAAACTGTCCTGGTGATATAGTCCAGAAATTGCAAAGCCTAACGAGGCCACTCCTCTAAAATTCTGTTTATTCTATGACAGGCTTCACTGGAAACTGACACTTTAAGAACATTTATCTAAGCCCCAAAACAGCAGCTGTTTCTTCTTAGCTACCTCTTTCATTTGTTCATGTACCGCTCTCCTTTGCACGCTGAGTTCTCCATTCATTCTGGTGTGGTCTATCTCTTATTCACAGATGGAATGCAAGACAAGCTACTCCTATGAAACATCCAACTCACTCCCTGTACATCTTGCCTTAAACATACCCCTGCAAGTCTGCTACAGTGAAGCCTACACTTCTTTTTAGACATGGCTCCCAATCTAAGACTTTTTGCAAACTCGCGGGGATATTGCCTTTCACTTTTCCTTGCTAGAGCAGCCTTGCAAAGCAGACAACCCACTAATCATCCCATTAACCTCAAGCAATCAGATGTGTGGCCAAAGCCCAGGCAAGCCTGCCATACTCTGTTATTTTAACATGTGTGGTCAATGGGCGTTATCTCTTCTGATGGTTGATGCTACCCCGTGAAGCTGGTGGTAATGGGAAGTGAAAACGCCTGTCCTTGTTAGCATCATCCGTGTGATTCTCTGCTTGGGCATCAGCCACCTGTGCCACTCCTCAAATTAGAAACCAACAGAACAGCTATTTACTACTAAAACTGAACGCTGGGTAAATCTGAGGTGCTTTCACCCCAGTTCATCCAGAAATAGGAAATGTATACCAAATAACACATACTCACTGAGTGCCTACTATGTGCCTGGCAGACATTTCTGCTCTCAAGAAGCTTGACGTCCAGAGAGTCAGTAAATGGATGAACAATTACAGAACACTGTGATCTAACCCAGCAGGGCAAGGCTGTCTTGGAGATTTAAACTGAGAGCAGCAGCATATGCAGAGAGCACCCCAGGCAAAATAGCACCTGGGACTTTTTGGGAACCTCTCTCAGCCCATCAGATGGGCCCCTTTTCCCTCTAACTTTCTGCCTCTGGTCTATGAAATTCCCTGCAGGAATTCTTGGTTGGCTACATGGGGTACTGAGGACAATTTCATCAAACTCACTGCAGATTTGAGCATTTTCATCAGCTCCTTCTTCCCCACCTGATTTTTTTTAAAAAAGAAAATACATATATATGTAAATTTAAAAATATACACGTAAGCCCAAAGACTTCCAAATAATCTTTCCTATATTTTTAGCCTGCTCTGAAATCCGTGTGGATCAGGAAAATCCAACCCTGTGAGCTGGGCCATTTTTTCCCAAGCTAAACCATCGAACCACAACAGGAAATTAAATAAGAGAGCTATAGAATTCTGGTATTTGATGAAACCTCCAGATCTTTTAAAATTGTGAATTTAAAAAATTCAAATGTGGCACACATGCACACTAAATTGCAAAAAGGTTAAAGGTTTTTTTACGCTTCTCAGAAACATTATTGCTTTTTTACGTAGGGCTCTATGAGTTTAAATTAGGGTTTAAAATCAACATGGTAGAACTTCATCTTCATAGGAAAACACTCTCTTTTGTATTTCAAAATGAACCAGCTGCAAGGAAACAGCAACAAAATACAAGTATCTGAGTTGTTTTCATACCACCTTTTGTGGCTATCGCACTCGTTTTCAATACTAATACTATGAAGATTGGCCAGATCCATAATATATAATAGCTCTGTGGAAAAATCCCATAGGAGGTGGATTGACCTTTTGTTTTTCATTTCAGTTATTATAGCTTTAAAGCAGCACTGATAGCATGCCTTGAGTTAATCAATAAGTATTATTTCTTCCACATATAATTAACACTAGGGCCTCTGTGTTTTTGTATAATGATCTGCTTTTCTGCTGTGAAATGAAATTTCATATAGGCTTGTCAGAAACAAAGTATCCTTCCCATTTAATACTCTTCAATACATTTCAGTGTCTACTTGTATGAAAAACGAGCAAAGTCATACCGTGTATTAGAAGAAATCAAAATGATTACAAATGCATAATTTCAGCCTTTGCCTTTGTGCATGTGGGGAAGAGTCACTGGGTAAAAAGACATCTAGCTTTCCCAAGAGGCTGTAGTTAATAAGGGAATATCACATCATACCTGGATTACTAATGAACAATGGCAAAGGACAGAGATTAATGGGGCCAAGGAGAAGAAATGCTGATCCAAAGAAGTCATGCTGGGAAATTCTGGTCTCAGAGTAAGTGCAGGAGAAGGGAGAATTAGCCAGTTGCCTGCGTTTTAATCCATTTGTGTATCACTTAAGAAGTTTCTTGATCCTTCTGGATTCTATCTTCCTCTAATAACCCTCCCAAATTTATTACTGTCAGAGCACATACACATACCTGGGAGGAACAGTGAGGTGCCTCTCCCAACTCCCACCCCTGCCAAGAATTTAGAGACAAGGTAAATAAGACTAGCCTCTGAGATTAGAATCAAGGCTAGGGTAGAGATATGCAAATTAACCCCTAAAGGGACAGGACCATACCTAAACCAGCAAGTGTTGCTGTTGGACTGAATCTATAACATGGTCTGAGGAATAACAGGTCCATTACAAGAGGAGTTGGACAGTGAAGGGAGCTTAGGAAAGGCAGTCACCAGGGCCAGGAACATTTCAGGGGAGCGGGGATATGGGAGATGAGCCCAGAAGGCTTTTGAGGCCACCAGATTCTTATAGAGCAACTCGCTGGCTCAGATTCCATTCGCATCAAGGCTTCTTATGAGCTAGACTTTTGACTCTAAAAAGAAATAACATGTTTATCAGGCTTGTTATTGTTTGCTTGTCAGTTATATTTCGTATTGTTAAAAAGGAAGCTCGTATTATAGTTTATACATCTAGTTTATTCCTCTTAATAACTCAACAATTCTAACAATCATCAGCTCAGGAAGGTTATGGATAAGGAGTTTCTGTGCATGTAGAGCTCCTGGCTTCATCCTGGATCAGGTTGAGTCTGTAGGTGAATGGGCCCTTTGGGATCCATCTGGGTCATATCATTCCTTTCAAATACCTGTGGACGAGTCTTTCTACAGACTGCATCTCTGCTCAAAAGCCCAAGATAGATCCCTACTTTTTATTTAGCTCAAGTTTAAAAACCTGGGTCTTTGGCCAGGCATGGTGGCTCACACCTATTATCCCAACATTTTGGGTGGCCGAGGTGGGTGGATCACTTGAGCCAAAAAGTTTGAGACAAACTTGGGCAATATAGCGAGACCCCAGCTCTGCCAAAAAAAAAAAAAAAAAAAAAATAGCTGAGCGTGGTAGTGCACACTTGTGGTCCCAGCTACTTGGGAAGCTGAGGTGGGAAGATTGTTTGAGTCTGGGAGTTCAAGTTTATAGTGAGCCATGATCACACCACTGCACTCCAGACTGGGTGACAGAGGGAGACCCTATCTCAAACAAAACAAAACAAAAAACAAATCAACCAACAAAAAACCTGGGTCTGGCTTTCATGCTGGAAATTTCCCCACACTCCCTATGCACCATATCTCCCACTGTGTTTACCATGAGGTTGCCCCTCTCATGTTTCATAAAATGAGGCTAAAAGACCTTTCCTTATGTGCTCCTTGCTTGGAATACATTCCTTCTCTTTAGTTTAATAAAATTCCACCCATTCTTCAAAGGGTAATTCATGTTCCACTTTTGCCAAGAAACCTTGCCTATGGTTCTAGCCTGACTTCTCCTTTCACTAAATTCCAGAAACAGGTATGGTCAGTACCGCATAACTTTCACTTAATTATACTCCAGTCTTGTGCTAATGTTTAATTGTTCTGTGTGTGTTATTGTTGCCTACCCACTTATAAGTTCTCTGGAAAAGGTAGAAATACAACCAAACCAATTATCGGTAAACTACATAAGGGCCGGCCATGCCTTTTAAGAATTATTTGATGGTCCCAATAGTAACAAAGCACAGAGTAAACCAGTAATAAATATTTCCAATGGATAGGTCTTTATAAGTTGGAAATACATAAGCACAAACAACTTTTAAACAATTTGTTCACTTAATTTTTTTCATTATATACTCTAGGCAAGATTCCAGTTTCCCCTAATAAATTAATGCTAAATAAGCATCCTCATATTCATAATTTTTAGTTGATATTCAGTTTTCGGTCAGATCTCTGAAACTGATTACTTTAAAAGTATCTTTAATTGTCCCACCATGTTTTTCAGAACAGCTTTAGCTGCACTATGATCAAACTGTTAAATTGTTTTGATTTCTCAAAATGAAGTTTGCTATTTTGATCTATATGAAGTTCTGAGGAGATATTTATTGTTTTAACGTTTATTAAGCTAGGTTAAGGTAATCAGAAACAACTCTATCAACAATTTTACCAGGCCTCTTTTAAACTGTGTATCAACATTATTGGGGTTGTTAGAGTTGATTAACAGATTGAAGAACTTTGTTGTGGGATTTGGGAATTCTGATTTCTAGAGTTTGAAGTTGGAATGGAATCCTATCATGCTCCTAGTATACAATACCTGGCCCAATAGGTAACTATCAATTAAATAAATGATTTTGGCATACTGCCTGTGAAGTTATTCTGCAAAGTAGGCAACTACATAAAACAATGTGTTTTTTAATTTAAAAAGAAAGTCCTCAATTCATTAAAAGAGCACCTGTGAAAATATATGTATAAAACTTCAAATGGGAATACTATTCTGAAATATAGCAAAGAAAAGACAAGAAATGTAGGTGTGAACATAATGAAAAAGCTGGTAAAAGCAGTGTAAGTTTTAAAGTTTTCATCAGTAAAAAATAATTTGTATAGAACTGGAAGTTTCAAAGCTAAAACACTGGAAAGTTACTTAAACATCATACTGCTAAAGAGATGAAGTAACATTAAATTATCTTCCAAAATCTCTGAATTCAAGAATGACATAGGGATAATCATTTTCAAGAACTTGATTTAAAACAAAATAGGGAAACAATGTAAAACAAAATAGGGAAACAGACTCCTTTCGAAACATACTTTCTCAAACCAAAAGTCCTCCATATTACAGCCTCTATTTCTAAAACTTTTGCATTAGGATTTAGAAATATGAAATTTATAATACTGTTTTACATGTAGCAAATCTTTCCCTTTTATTGTAATTATTGTTGTAAGTCTTCAATACTCTTTTGTGACCACTTCGCAAAAGGCTTAATCACTTCAGTGTTAGATGTGCAGACAATTGAGCGCAAATGCTTTATATTTCTTTTTGTTAAAAGCACATAAATGTGTATATAAATATTTTAGTTCATACTCATGGTAGCAAAGCCAAATCCACTGAAGTAGTTATTTCTATTAGAGCAAAACTAGTAAGTGACTTTTAAGGTATCAGTTTAATTTTCCTAGGTGGTAAGTAACCCTACTTTAGGTCAAAGTTCATAAGCAGACTGGTAACTAAGATGCTCCCAAGTGACCGCTTTTTGATGAGCATGTATATTAAGCCATATATTTTCCTTCTCCTGGTCACATACCTCAAGCTATCTAGATAGCTGATGTCCACATGAGTAGGAAGAAGGCAATTTCAACAATTCAATTGTGAAATCCCATTTCATGCATCTTGTAGAAATCCAAATATGCATGACAATAAAGTATCTCACAGAGACAAGAGTTCTTGCCAACAGATTTCTAGTAATGAAATTAAAAGCATATCCTAATCCCTCTGCTAGCTCACAAGAGTAGGCAAATGTCAAAAGCAAAGAAAGGCTTTGTGTTGGAATTGCTATATAATTCTCATGCATACTCTATTTTCAGTTCCCTGGCTGTGAATTTTTCTCCTGTGAAGACTTGAACACACCCTCAGACTCTCTCTGGCTTTTTAAGTTTTCACTTCTATGTTTATTCATCTCTCTGTGATGCAAAGAAGTACAGAGAGAACAACTATACTGTGTGCTTTCTTCTCTGATGTGAAGAATGTAAATTACAAGAATGAGTGCTGTTTTGAAAAAAGAGTGGTAAACTTTCAAAGTTAGCACTTGGCGAAGAAAAACATGCCTAACTAATCTAAATTCCCCAGTGGAACGTCTTAGGTTTCACAGGTACATTAAAATGCATTAAGAATATTGCAAAGATCTCTTGGCAGTTCTGATTTCAAGATGTTGGAGCAGAATCCTACTATTTCAGGAAAATGCAACAGTTACATTTGAGACTGCAGGAATACAGAATTATGTAAGGCACTGCAGAGTATGTGAGACCAAATGTTTCTGTGAACACCACTCACAATTCAGCACATTGGAACGAGTAAAGGGAGCCTCCTGTTCACCAACAAAGCGCACACGCATGCTAGGGGGACAGGCACCGAGGTGGCTGGCTCACGGCTTTCTCTCTGCCCTTGCAAAGGAGGAGGGGGAAGAAGAGAGAGGGAAGGCAAAGTACCGTCTTGTCCAGGCACTGAAGGCAGTTATAAGGCTTGCAGCAGCAATGGCCCATCCCGGCAGGCTGGCTGGCAAGGGGACCTCCTTCATTCAAGGTGTCAGCGGGCAACTCCTAAGCCGAGGTACCGGCACACACGAAAGGGGCGCGCCGCTGGGAGCTGTCACAACTTCCATGTGGTTCCCTTGGCTACCTTATTTCTCCTAAACTTCAGGAATCCAGGAGGCAGAGGAATGAGAGGAGGAGGAGAGCAGGGCAGCAGCGATCAGATCTTGCTGCTGCGGGAGGGAGGGCGGGCGGGAGCCAGGAAGGGAGGGGACAGGCAGGAGGGAGGGTCACTTTGCCACTGGAGTCCTCAGGGTGAGGCAAATCAATAGTCGCATAACCACAGAGCATTTACCAATGCCGGCTCCCTAAAAGGACAGCCTGCTCTCCTCTGGGTGCGCGGCCGCTCCCAGCCCTCCCCTGGCGGGGATGCGCCTCCGCACCGCGCAGACACGCCTGGAGCGGACGCAGGAAGCACAAAAGGCGAGCCTGGGCTTCAGGGCACTGCCTGGGGACGCCCGAAAGGGCTGCCAGGGCTTGGCTCTGCTGCAATCCTAGCTCCTATTTTTCTGGGAAGTAAAAATATTTATAAACGTGATGTATATGGCCTCTCCTCCCATGAAACTCTTCTCAGAATATTTGTTGCTAATGGGAACCGCCAATTTCTCATTTTCTAATTTGCATGCCATGAACAATTTTTTTTGCCTTCTTTGATGAAATCTTCATATTTAAAATATAACTGTGAAGTCGCTTGCCTAGGCTGACATACACACACCATTCAACTGGCTTGAGTAATTAAAATTGGGGCTTGGGGCAGGTATCTCTCCTAGGCAAACTGGCATAAAAGCCTTGAAGGACTTGATCTTTCTAGTTTTTCACACAGTTAAAAATCAGAAAAGGAAAGAATCAGGGAGCAAATGTTTGTTTTTGTTTTCTCAAAAAAGACTTGGTATTTAAAAATATATTTGTGTAATCCTGAAAGTAAAAGAAGCAAATATTTACATGATTGATTTTATATGCCCTGATACCCCTCAGAGGAGAAATCTTGAAATTTCTCATGTTTAGAAATACACAATTACAGTTTTGCCCACTAAATTGCCTAAGGCTGTAAACAGACAATAGTTGTTAGAACTAGATGATTTTACTAACTTAACTGAGATTTTCCAAGCAGATTTTAATTAAGTAGTATAGGCTCAGAGAAAGGCAAGTATTTAGTGATCACATAGGAACAGACTGGAATGTTTGCCTTAAACTTGAAAGAATAAACGGAAACCTTTCTTTAAAGCTAACAGGTAAATTAGCATAATCCTTCAGGAAGGCGACTTGGCTGTACCTATCAAAATATTGAATGTACGCACACCTTGACCCAACATTTGCACGTCTATGCTATAATAATATTCACATAAATACACAAGCTTGTATGCATAAGGATCTTCAATTCAGCATCGTTGGTAACAGCATAAAAATGTGGAATATTTTAGATTTTCAATGCCTTTCTATTATATGGAAAGATGATATACATTGTTGACTGAGAAAGCAAAGTTTTATAAAAAAACAAAGCAAACATACACATTTGCATATGTTTGGAATAAAGCTTTGGAAAGATTCACACATTCATGGAATAGCAGCCGACCCTTAAGGAATGGAAAACAGGAGGGAGTGAATGTCCACTTTTTACCCTCTCGTGAGCATGTTTTATTTTTACTGTTTTAAAACAAAGTGTGCCAGGGAAAAGGCAGGGACCCCCATCTGGGCTCTGTGATGTTGTGAGGTCCAGAGCTCCTTCCTGCTCACTTGGGCTAATGCTCCTTGGCAGTGAGCTTGGGCAGACCTCAGAGGGAAAGAAGCTCACAGTACCTTGAGCTCAAACCTGGGCTGAAAGCTGTTCCTAGGGCTTTTGAAATCTGTGAGAAAAACTTTATGTTGCAAAAAGTGGTGGCTTAGTATACCCCCACGCTCATAGCAGCATTATTCACAATAGCCAAAACGTGGAAGCAACCAGAACATCCACCAACAGAAGAATGGATAAACAAAATGTGGTGTATGCATGCAGTGGAACATTAGTCAGCCTTAAAAAGGAAGGAAATTCTGACAGGTGCTACAAAACATGCCTAACTAATCTGACACGTGCTACAAAACAAGCCAAACTCATCTAAATTCGTCTTAGGATGAATGAAACTTGAGGATATCATGTTAAGTGAAATAAGCCAGTCACAAAAGGACAAATACTGTACGATTCCACTTATATGAAGTACCTAGAGTGGTCGAATTCACAGAGACAGAAAGTGGAATGGTGGCTGCCAAGGGCTGGGGACAGGGAGAAGTAGGGAATTGTTGAATGAATACAGAGTTTTAGTCTTAGAAGATGAAAAATTCTGGATTCGCACTACAATGCGAATATACAGACTGTTCCCCACTTATGATGGTTCCATTTATGACTGTTCCACTTTACGATGGCGTAACACATTCAGAAAACTCCTTGACTTACAATGGGGCTAAAGCAGGATAAATCCCTCGTAAACTGAAAATACCGTTAAGTTGAAAGTGCATTGTCATAACCCTGTTGTAAGTTGAGGATCATGTGTACTTAACAATAAACTGTACACTCAAAAATAGTTAAGATGGCGAATCTTTTGTTATATTTTATCACAGTTTTTCTAAAAGAGAAGTGGTAGCTTGCATTTATCCGGAGGCAAACAGCTCCTGAGCTGCAGGTATGGATTAAATCAAGACAGAGCAAAGCCCTATTGTGGACAGAGCCAGGTGGGGTGGGAAGGCCTGCAAAGCTAACTAAACTCCCTACATTGATTTAAAGAATGCTTTCTTCCAGCTCAGTCGTCTTCCTGCAGATAGTTCCCTTTAGGAAACAGTTTTATTCTAAATTAGAGTTTAGAGTGCTCTATACTAGAAAATTACTTCTTATTCTTAGGAGATGTATGAGAGCCCTTGCTAACCAGTTGCTCACAGGAGATTAGCACGAGACTGGAGGATCTACACAAAGAGAGGCCATTTTCAGCTTCTCTTCTTGGGCACAGAGGGCACTGAAGGGCACGGCACTTCCGTAGTCCAGTCCTTCCTATGTTGGTGAAATCGCACATGTACTATGATCTCAGTGCACATGACCCAGATTCTGAGAAATGTATTCATGTTGTAGAATTGTGCCTTGTTTTCTTTACATGTTATAAAAATTTCAAACATACTGAAAAATAGAGGTAAATACCAAAGGTCTTCATATCCCTATTTCCAGGTTCAACCGTCATCAAGGTGTTGGCACACTTGTTTCATCTATCCTTTTTTACTTCTATTTTTTTACTTTTTCTTCATATACCCATCACCCCAATTCAGCAATTACCAAGACTGTTACCTTATTTTCACTTGTCCCTTGTCTTTCTTTTTTCTTTGTTAAAGTATTTCTTTCTTTTTTTTGTATGTTTGTTTGTTTGTTTGTTGAGACAGAGTCTCACTCTGTCACCCAGGCTGGAGTGCAGTGGTGCCATCTCAGCTTAATGCAAACTCCGCCTCCCAGGTTTAAGCAATTCTCAGCCTCCCAAGTAGCTGGGATTACAGGTGCGTGCCATCACGCCCAGGTAATTCTTGTATTTTAGTAGAGATGGGGTTTCACCATGTTGGCCAGGCTGGTCTCAAACTCCTTACCTCAAGTGATCTGCCCACCTTGGCCTCCCAAAGTGCTGGGATTACAGGTGTGAGCCACTGCACCTGGTCTGTTAAAATATTTCTATGTTAAAGTATTTTCTAAGCAAAACCCTACATGCTGTAGTATGCATTGCTAAAAATTATGAACATTTTCTTACCTAACCACAATGCCATTAAAACAATAAAAGTGACAATAATTCCTTGGTATCCAATACCTAGCTCATAAAAAAATTTTGCTGGTTTCTAAAAAAAAAATTTTCCTGGTTTCTTTGTTTGAATCAGGATCCAAACTAGGTCTATGTATTACATCAGGTTTTAAGTATCTTGGGTCTCCTATGAACAGCAATCCCCACCCCTCCTCTCCTTTTGCTGCCATGCCATTGACTTGTTCAGAAACTGGGTCAGCCGCCCTGTAGAATGTCCTACATGCTGGATTTGCCTCTTTGTTTCTTTGTAATGTCACTTCACCTGTTCCTGCATCCTTTTAAGTGAAATTTAGCTCTCAAATCTGGGTTAGATTCAAGTTCAATTTTGGGGATAACATCTCAGAGGTGATGCTGTGTGCTTCATGTTTCATTCTGTCGGGAAGCACACTGTGTCTGGGTGTTCCAATTTTAGTGAGCTAGAGTGGATCAGGATGTGATAGCCTCATCTCCACTGTTAAGTTCCCCATCAACCTTTCATATAATGGCTTCATTTGTTAATAATTATTACCTGAATCAATTATTTCACTGGGGACTGCAACATAATGTTCTGATTATTTTTGTCTTTTTGCATTTATTAGATGGAATTTTTATATAAAAAAAGAATTTTTCTTCAACTGGGGTGACTTCTTTGATATACATTTTTAAATTGATACATATTTGTACACATTTATGGGGTACGTTATATTTTGATACATGCATACAATATGTAGTAATCAAATCAGTGTAATTAGGATATCTATCACTGCAAACATTTATCATTTCTTTGTGTTGGGAACATTCTAAATCTTATCTTCTAGCTATTTTGAAATATACAATAAATTATTGTTGGCCAGGCATGGTGGCTCACACTTATGATCCCAGCACTTATGGAGGCCGAGGTGGGCAGATCACTTTGAGGTCAGGAGTTTGAGACCAGCCCAGCCAACATGGTGAAACCCCATCTCTACTAAAAAAAAAAAAAAATTAGCCAGGCATGGTGGCAGGCACCTGTAATCCCAGCTATTCAGGAGGCTGAGGCAGGAGAATCCCTTGAACCCTGGAGGCCGAGGTTGCCGTGAGCCGAGATCGTGTCACTGCATTGTAGCCTGGGCGACAAAAGTGAGACTCCATCTCAGAAAAAAAAAAAAAAAATTACTGTTAACTACAGTCACCCTACTGTGCTATCCAACACTAGAACTTATTCTATCTAACTATATGTTTGTACAACTAGGGCAATTTTAATTTCCTGCAATATAGTTTGTACAGGAAGGACAGGATAAATGCCTAATCATCTTTTACATGCCAATTTCCTGAATAAAGACTGTGGAAATGGTACCCAATGAGGTTGTTGTTGAGATTGTTGTTTGTTTCCTCTCACCTTTTAAAAACATCATTATAAATTATAAACTCATGTTTTTATTTTGACATACACAATATGTTTTAGTCCATTGCACTAATTACTGTTTTTTGATGCTCAGTGTATCCCCTTTTTGGCCTGCAGCCCTTCTTTTTGGTCCCTCTGTCCTTTTAGCACAACTCACTCGTCTACCTTCCTTGCTTCCTGACACAAGAAATCCTAGGCTCATCTTATGTATTTCCTCCTCCAGTTGTGCAGTCATCTATCCTTGCTAGGAGCCCTAGTTCCTTCTAGCTGGCAATGACAATTAGGTACCACAAACAATGGGTGCTGTTTGTTGTCTTTTGAGAGCCACTTGAAGGGAGCGAGATTTCTTTTGAAGGAAGTGAGCCTTCCCATAGACAAAATGTCCTTTGAAGAAATCACTGAATAAATCAGCATGGGGCCTTGGGCTAGGCTGAGAAGGAAGCAGCTCCTTCTCTTGGAGCTTTCAGAGGCTGGGGCCTAAATTCCAGGTAGAGGAAAAATACTCAGTGAAATTCATTTTGAGAGAGATAAACTGGTCCTGATAATATGGCAGCAAGCTAAGGGCCATGTAGGGAGGTCCCCTCTGAATAAAAATTCTCCAGGGACTCACCCAAATGCTTGGATACCTGAAAAAAGACTAAACTTGAAGGCAAATACAATGAAGGTTTAGACTGTTGTAATTTGGCATAAAAAGAAACCATGGGCTGGGCGTGGTGACTCACGCCTGTAATCCCAGCACTTTGGGAGGCCAAGGCAGGTATCACCTGAGGTCAGGAGTTTGAGACCAGCCTGGCCAACAGGGTGAAACCCTGTCTCTATTAAAAATTGTAATCCTAGCTACCCAGGAGGCTGAGGCAGGAGAATTGCTTGAACCCAGGAGGCAGAGGTTGCAGTAAGCTGAGATCATGCCACTACACTTCAGCCCAGGCAACAGAGAAACAGGGCCAGATTCCATCTCAAAAAAAAAAAAAAAAAAAAAAAAAGAAAAGAAATCATGACATCACAGGCTTATGAAATTTGGGACATTTTGGCTCCCAATATTTAAAAAAGTTTGCGGTGATTTTTACTCCTGGCATATTTTCTTGCATTGAAGTAGCAACAAACATTTAGAAAAGTCATAGGAAAGCCTAATGGTGGGTCTCCTTGGAGAAAACTTTATGAACACTGTGTTTTGGAGCAATAACTAATGATAAGCATTACCTACCTGATCGACAACAGATGCCCGGCCCTGTGCTTAACGGCTTGTGCACTGTATCTCACGTAACTCTCACAAAACTCTGTGAGATAAGCACTATTATCATCTCCATTTTACAGATGAGTAAATGAGGCTCTGAGGTTGCACAGCCTGTCAGGTGTACATAAAGCCAGGAAGTGATTATGAGGGGTCATGAACTCGGATCTAACTCTAAAGCTTATGTCTTAAGCCACTACGCTTTACTAACTGCATTGTAATTTGGAAGCCTTCCATCTACAAGGCCTGTAGAACTTCAGGCTTGTGTGATAACCTGGATAAGGAATCTGGGCATAGGGAAATGTAAAAGGAAATTCAGACATATAAATGGAATTGCCCCATATTTTTCTATCTTAGAGCAAGAGCCTCTATGTCAATGCTTTATAAAAAGTACATTTACAAACAAATATACAAACAACCTAAAAACTGACATAGTAGAAACATGCAGGTCAATGTTAAAATGTTCAATTTTATTAGTTCTGTTTCTTTGTCTTCCTTAAACTTGGAATTCCTTTCCCTCCCCTGCCCTCCGTCATTGTAGTCAGGCTCAAGTTTCCTTGGCTTAAACTCTGCTCCCCAGTACTCCTTAGCACCACCTCACCTCCTCCAGGGCTCTGCCCAACCCTCCAATTTGGAGTGAATTCCCTCTTTCTCTGTGATTTCATGCATTCCATATGCTCTTGCCCCAGGATTTCCTGCCTGATATCATAATAATTGTCTATCTTTGTCTTCTACAAAGTATCACAGCCTCCTTGCTATGCCACACTCATGTTTACACCCAGGACACCTATGACCTGCCTTGAAGATAGGTCTCTATGAACATTTCCTAGGGCAATGCAGGATGGGACCTTGAAGGAGTCAAAGCCGAAGGTGGCTCTGTGGCAGAGGCATTTTGGTGTTCTATGCAGTTTGTGAACCTTGGTACCATTTGCAGGAGGTCAAAGAGTTAAAAATTGTATCGCAGTCTCACTATTTATTTCAAGAGAAAACCATGAAAAATGATCATGAAAGAATCTCTTACAAATTGTCAAGGCAACCATCTGTTTATTTGGGTTCCTCCATCCAGACCCCTCCTTTTTCCATGCATCTAAAATATGAGCAGGATCTCTAGGGCTGGATCTTAGCAAAGGGGACTGCCAGGGCCAGGAAAATATGCGTAGCTTTTACCAAACACAATCCATCTAGATTTTAATGAGGTGGGAATGGGCTGCAAAGGAAAAATAGAAAACAGAAATTTTTAAACTGGGAATGATGGGTAGTTACGATCATCCACACACAGACAATAGATGCTCTGAAGCACCTTTGATATAATAACCAGGATTTAGAAAATTAAAAGAGAAAAAAGAAGAGAGAAATGGCATATGTGTTTTTGCTCTGAGATATGTTCTCAGATACTTGTCAAAAGAGAACTAAAAAAATTTCACTTCTCTGTAATACCCAAATAGGAAGGTTGCTACTGATGTAAGATAATCTTTTTTTCCCTGTCTGTTAGTTTTTGACAGTACCCTTTTTTTCCCTTTTAAGTCAGTGACTAGGATGATTACAGGAGAGGCAGCCTCCTTAAGTTTCTGTATATTTGGAGGAGCTGACTACTCTCATAAGAGAAGTGAAATTCAAAATTATCTTTACTAGCTAGATGAATAGGTTGGACAATATTGGACAACTGATAGGTAAAATCAGATAGAGGGATGGGAAGCAGCTGGCAGAGACCCCAAGTGCATCTGTCTATTTGACATACGTTAAATAGAAAGAATGATCCCAGTGAACCATAAGCTGAATATCAGTCAACAAACAATGTGACTCTTGCTATAAAGAAAGAACGGAGGCTGGGTGCAGTGGCTCATACCTGTAATCCCAGCACTTTGGGAGGCCAAGGCAGGTGATCACTTGAGGTCAGGAGCTTGAAACCAGCCTGGCCAACATGGTGAAACCCTCTCTCTACTAAAAATACAAAAATTAGCTGGGCGCGGCAGCGGGGGCCTGAAATCCCAGCTACTTGGGAGGCTGAGGCAGGAGAATCGCTTGAACTGAAGAGGCAGAGGTTGCATTGAGCTGAGATCGCACCACTGCACTCCGGCCTGGGTGACAGAGTGAGACTCTGTCTCAAAAAAAAAAAAGGAAAGAAAGAAAAGAAAGAAAAAGAAAGAAAGAAAGAAAGAAAGTAAGTTAAGGAAGGAAGGAAGAAAAAAGAGCAGTTTCAACATAGATATCAGGATAGATTTCAGTTTGATTTTCAGCTGGGTGATTTTGGGTAGGTTACTTAACTCTCTCAGAACCTCAGTTTTCTTCTCTATAAGATGGAGATAAAACTATCTACTATATAAGGTTTCTGGAATGGTTTTCTAATTTGATTAAATTTGAAGATGCTAATGACTCTATTTTCAGTAGAAAAGAGAGCACTGATAGTCCACAGCTGAACTGTTTATGGGAAGATGCAAAATATCAGCATTGGATACTCATCAGTCACTTAAAAGAAGCAAGGCTGCTTCTGTACATGACAGTTTCAATTTTTTGTTTAATTAATGAACATAATGATGTTGGCTGGTTGCTCCTAATGTCACTAGACACAGCAGTGCAAGAAAAGGATGATCTCAGGGATTCAAATTCCCAGCTCAAGTGTTGCCTAAATAACGTAAGAACTTCTACATGTGTCCTGAAGAAGACCCTTATCCTTTTAACTGCAGGGCTGACATTGCTGAAACTCAAACACAAAATTTCATTCTGCCACTGGCTGAATGACAACACAAGTTGAACCCCAGCAACAGTAGCTATTGTCTACTGTTAAAGTGAAAGCACTGCTTTGGAAAGAATGGGAGCCCGTGAACTGGGATGGAGACATGTGGGAAGGCCCTGATGAAACTGAGGACATGGATTCTGCTGAGTGTTCTCTGCCAGTGGAAGAGGTCTCCTCAGCCCTGGCAGAACTGGTCTCCCCACCTCCAATGGAAGTGGCCACCCTAACCCCAGAGGAAATGGCCTTCCCACCTTCAGTGGTATCAATGGTATCAACCTCTCCACCTCCAGTCTTTCCACCTCTGTTCTGAGGGGATTAACCCCACACTACCTGAGGAAACTGTAATGGTCTCTCCTGAGGCAGATGCTGTGCAAGACTACGTTGACTCTCCCCAGGATCCACCCTGCCACTCCTCTTTGCTTCTAGACCTGTAATGAGACTCGAGTCCCAGCAGGTGCCTAAAGATGAGGTACAATGTATGACCCATGAGGAGGGGCATGACATTCCAAAGGAACTACTGGATTTTTCTAATTTATACAGGCAGAAATCCAAGCAACATGTGTAAAGATGGACACTAAGTGTATGGAATAACGGTGAAAGAAACAAAAAGTTAGGTCAGGCTGAATTTACTGATCTGGGCTCACTAAACAGAGATTCTGATTTAATGTTGCAGCTTCAGGAGTCCAAAAGGGCTCTAACAGTTTGGCTGGCTGAAACACAGACCAAAAGGTAGCCATAGTGAGTGAACTGAACATGCTGGCCATGTCTTGGTTTAATGTAGAGAAAGGGATTCAAAAGCTGAGAGAGAATGGCATGGCAGAGTGGATTTGTCACTTGAGACCTACCCACCCACACGGGGAGGGTCTAGAACGCGGACATTTCACCACAACTGTGAGAAATAAATTTGTGAAGGGAGCTCCAACATCTTAGAAGAACTCTGTGATCCTTCTTCTATGTAAGTCAGATCTCACAGTAACTGGACTGGGAAACCTAAATGCAGCGGGGGTATCTGAACCCTAGGGAAGCGGGGCCAGGTGGAGGCACTCAACTGCTAAAGGCAAGATATGTATGGTTACTGTCATAGACAGCAGAGTCCAAACAGCAATCTGAATAATCTAACTTATGCAGAACTACGGAAGTTGGCTAGCTGATCATGATATTCCTAGAAGTGAAATAGATAGGAAGCCAATTAAATTCTTACTTGATCTGTATGAGCAGAAAAGTTCTGGGTCAAGTGAACAAAGTCTAACCTTAACCATAAAGACAGAGAGTCATGGCCACTCAATTAATTCCCAGACTTGGGCCAGTTTACAGACTCAGAACCCTTTGAATGAAGGGGAAGCTGGATATCCTTGAGGAAATCCCTTCCTCAAGGACCCCAAGACACTACTGAAAATTTCTACTGAAAAATGTAATCTTTTTTCCAGCCTCTAGGGGACCTATTGCCTTTTACCGAGGTAACTGTTCACTGGGAGAAAAGAAATAATCATATTTTTCAAGGACTATTGGGCACTGGCTCTAAACTGACACTAATGCCCGAGACCCCAAACATTGCTGTGGTTTACCAGTTAGAGCAGGGGCTTACGGAGGTCAGGTGATCAACAGAGTTTTAGCTCAGGTCAGGAAATGTAGGCAAGACAAAAGAGTACCAAAAAATCAAAAGATACAAATCCCTTGTTCCAGTTACCCCCCAACTCCACTAAAAAGTCTGGACTTTGTTCCAAGACAAAAGGCACCAAATTAGGACTCTTAAGAAGCAAACCAATACTGCAAAAATAAATGGAAAAAACTGAATAAGCAGATACAGAGTTATTACAAAGAACTAGAAAATAAGATCCAACACATCTCAACTGTTGAAATTTTTTTCCAAGAAAATAGCCATGAAGCAAGAACATTCAAAATGAGTTAAATGTACTAAAACTGGCATTTGGGATATGAAAAAAGATCTTGAATAAAAAATACAAAATGAATAATATAAATGGACAAAGAACAAAAATATAATAAAGAGTTGATTAATTTAGGAAAGCAATGAAAGAAAATGACAAAGTTATCTCAAAAATGAAGATTAAATTACAAGGTGCCCAGAGTAAGATAAACTAACATGAAAATTTACTAAGGGGCATTTTAAAAGGTAGGAAAACAACCAAGAACATAAAAATGAGAAAAATAAAAGAATACCAAAGGTCACAGGGAAAACAGAGAAAATGGAAAACAGATAAAGAAGGATTAATACATAATTAGACTATCTGAAAAGAAAAAATAAACCAATACTAAAATAGTTTGGATTTCACCCTCTCTAAATCTCCTGTTGAAATGTGGTCCCCAGTGTTGAAGGTGGGACCTGGTGGAAGGTGTATGGGTCATGGGGAAGAATCTCTCATAAATGGCTTGAAGCCCTCCCCATGGTAAGGAGTTTGCATGAGAGCTGGTCATTTAATAAGCCTGCACCTCACTCTTCTCTCTCTTGCCCCCTTTCTCTCCATGTGATGCACTGGCTCCCCCTTCACGTTCCACCATGATTGTAAGCTTTCTGAGGTCCTCACCCAAAGCCAAACAGAAACAGATGCAGGTGCCATGCTTGCACAACCTGCAGAACTGTGAGCCATAAACCTCTAAATTATAAATTATCCAGCCTCAGGTATTCCTTTACAGCATTGCAAAATGGACCAATACAAATGCTTAAAACTATAATATAAGAAAACTTTTCAGATAATTGAAACGTACTATTGAAAGGGCCCACTGGGTACTTGGGAAAGTTAACCCAGAGATAGCAACTCTAAGACTTATTAAACCTGTTAGAATTCAGAGACTGAAAACAAAACAAAACAAAACAAAACAAAACCTCTAGGCAAAAAGGTCACTTAATTATAAGGGCAAAAGTATTCGATATTCAGAGCAAGACAACAAATAGAGCAGTATTTTAAAAACAAACAGACAAAAAGCTCAACGAAAGAAAATATAGATCTTCATTTTATATAAAGTTAAGTTGTCCAAGTATCAAGGCTACTGGCAAAGTGTGAAACACACAAAACCTTAGGGAATCTTGAAACTGTGAGTTTTTTCTTGAGGCATTGGATAGTGTATGAGCTTTATTCACCTGATAGGTGACTGGAAATTTTTCAGCAAAAGGACTGATATTAGCATATATAAATATATGCTATATATAATATGTGCTATATATATATGCTATACATAATATGTGCTATATATATGCTATATATATGTGCTACATATATGTTATATATAATTATAGATCTAAGACAAAAAGTCAAATTGAAGGTTGAAGACTAATGTACAAATGCTATATGTCTTGACAAATAGAAATAATGCAATTAAAAACTGGCTAAGGGATGGAAGACAGAATAAAGAGAGTAAAATAAGTTCATTCATTGTTGTAGAGGCAACAGGTGGGAGTTGAAGATACAATTAAAAACTGGTGGCCAGGCATGGTGGCTCACACCTGTAATTACAGCACTTTAGGAGGCCAAGGCGGGTGGATCACCTGAGGTCAAGAGTTCAAGACCAGCCTGGCCAACATGGTGACACCCTGTCCATACTAAAAATACAAAAAAAAAAAAAAAAAATTAGTGGGGTGTGGCGGTGAGTGCCTGTAATCCCAGCTACTCGGGAGGCTGAGGCAGGAGAATCACTTGATGGGAGGCAGAGGTTGCAGTAAGCTGAGATCGTGTCACTCCAGCCTGGGTGACAAGAGTGAAACTCCATCTTAAAGTAAAATAAAATAAAATAAAATCTGGCAAGCTAGGTGCTCAAAGGTTAACTAAGAAAACGGGACAATGGACATTCAAAAAGGTGCAAATATAACCACTAGAACAACAACAACAAACTTCTTAAATTTCATTTTTCATAATTGAAGAGTAAAGCAGATAAAAGAAACACAAGAAATATGCATAATATATATAATTATAAAACATTATGTAGACTCAGACCAAACATATCAGCTATACCAATAAATCTAATGGACTAAAATCACCATTGGAAAGAAACACATTTTCTGTTCAGCTCACAATTTAAAAGACTCAACTATATACAACATCCAAGATATATAAAACAAAGTGATTAAGAAGGCAAATTATAAATGGATAGATAAAGCAATTCCAGGAAAATGGAAACAACAAGAAAGCAGAGGTAGCAATCTGATATCCAACGAATAAGGATTCAAGACTAAAAATGTTAAACACAACAAAAATTAGCACCTTTTAATGCTGAAAGCCAAAATCGTGATGAAGATGTAACACTTATAAATATTTATGCTCCAAAAAACACAGTAGCCAACTTTATGAAGGAGTTTTTCTACTCTTGATTCAAAATGGATAAAGTGGATTAAGAAACCCTCAACATAATCCATTATGTAAATCTTATAGCTATATATTGAACTTTATACTTTGATAATAGTGACTATACCTGTTTTTCAAATGCCTTGAAACCATTTATCAAAATTGATCACAAAGAAAATACTAGTAAGTTCCATGAGTTAGAAATATTACAAACAACATACTGAACACAATGCAAAAAGGAAAAAAAGAAATTATTAACCAAAACTAAAAACAAAAAGATCTTCCACCTGAAAAATTCAGGAAGCCTATTAAACAACTCTTGAGTGAAAGGGAAAATGCAAACTGAAATTAAAGAATTTCTAAAAAAAAAAACCAAACCAAAAAAACCCCCCAAACCGAAACATATCGGACACATTTAAAGCATATATCAGAGGAAAATTTATAGAATGAAACACTTTCATAAGTAAAATATAAAAAAGTAAATAAATGACTTAAATACCTAGTTAAAAAACTAGAATACAACAAAATAAACCAAAAGGAAGCAATTAGAAGGAAATAATAAAGATAAAAGCAGAAATTATTAAAGTAAAGAATAGAAAACCAGTAGACTTACTTGAAAAACATTAACAAAATAGCAACTGCTAACCAACCTGAACAGGGAAAAAGAACACAAATAACAAAATAATAAATGACAAGGGAAAATAGAAAATAATTAACAACCGTAAGATATATTTGAAATTCTATATTAAAGACATAGGTTCCCAAAATTGAGCCCATCAGAGAAAGTTTAAATAGAGCAAATTTCCCATAATATACAAAAACAATTATTAAACAACTATTGCATACAAAAAACATCAGGGCCAAATATTTTCACTACAGTCTTCTTTTTTTTTTTTTTTTTTTAATTTTTTTTTTTATTATACTCTAAGTTTTAGGGTACATGTGCACATTGTGCAGGTTAGTTACATATGTATACATGTGCCATGCTGGTGCGCTGCACCCACTAACGTGTCATCTAGCATTAGGTATATCTCCCAATGCTATCCCTCCCCCCTCCCCCGACCCCACCACAGTCCCCAGAGTGTGATATTCCCCTTCCTGTGTCCATGTGATCTCATTGTTCAATTCCCACCTATGAGTGAGAATATGCGGTGTTTGGTTTTTTGTTCTTGCGATAGTTTACTGAGAATGATGGTTTCCAATTTCATCCATGTCCCTACAAAGGACATGAACTCATCATTTTTTATGGCTGCATAGTATTCCATGGTGTATATGTGCCACATTTTCTTAATCCAGTCTATCATTGTTGGACATTTGGGTTGGTTCCAAGTCTTTGCTATTGTGAATAGTGCCACAATAAACATACGTGTGCATGTGTCTTTATAGCAGCATGATTTATAGTCATTTGGGTATATACCCAGTAATGGGATGGCTGGGTCAAATGGTATTTCTAGTTCTAGATCCCTGAGGAATCGCCACACTGACTTCCACAATGGTTGAACTAGTTTACGGTCCCACCAACAGTGTAAAAGTGTTCCTATTTCTCCACATCCTCTCCAGCACCTGTTGTTTCCTGACTTTTTAATGATTGCCATTCTAACTGGTGTGAGATGATATCTCATAGTGGTTTTGATTTGCATTTCTCTGATGGCCAGTGATGATGAGCATTTCTTCATGTGTTTTTTGGCTGCATAAATGTCTTCTTTTGAGAAGTGTCTGTTCATGTCCTTCGCCCACTTTTTGATGGGGTTGTTTGTTTTTTTCTTGTAAATTTGTTTGAGTTCATTGTAGATTCTGGATATTAGCCCTTTGTCAGATGAGTAGGTTGCGAAAATTTTCTCCCATGTTGTAGGTTGCCTGTTCACTCTGATGGTAGTTTCTTTTGCTGTGCAGAAGCTCTTTAGTTTAATTAGATCCCATTTGTCAATTTTGGCTTTTGTTGCCATTGCTTTTGGTGTTTTGGACATGAAGTCCTTGCCCACGCCTATGTCCTGAATGGTAATGCCTAGGTTTTCTTCTAGGGTTTTTATGGTTTTAGGTCTAACGTTTAAATCTACAGTCTTCTACCAAACCTTCAAAGATGAGATAGTTCCAGTGTTCTATAAATTGCCCTTGAGCTTTAAAAATGCAGAAGGCAAAATAATGTTCCCCTTCCCCTAAAAGATGCCCAAGTCTGAATCCCCAGAACCTATAAGTATGTTATGTTGTATAGCAAAGAGGAATTAAGACTGTAGATAAAATTAAGGTTCTGATTAGCTGATTAGCTGAATTTACCTAGGGAGATTATCCTGGATTATCAAAGAGGGCCCCATGTAATTATAATAGTCCTTAAATATGGAAGAGGGAAGGAAAGAATCAGTGTCAGAGACATGTAATATGAGAAAAACTCAACCGTTGCTGGCTTTTAAGATGGAACTGGGCCATGAGTCCAGGAATATGGGTAGCCTGTGAAGCTGGTAAAGACGAGAAAGTGGATTTTGCCCCAGAGCCTCCAGAAATGAATGCAACCTGCCAATACATGACATGATCATAGCTCAGCATAACCTTGAACTCCTGGGCTCAAGCAATCCTCCTGCCTCAGCCTCCGGAGTAGCCAGAACTACAGTCACAAGCCACCATGCCAGGCTAATTTTTAAAAATTTTTTGAAGAGACAGGGTCTTGCTGTGTTGCCCAGGCTGGTCTCGAACTCCTATGCTCAAGCAATCCCCCTGTCTCAGCCTCCCAAAGCTCTGGGAATTACAGGTATGAGTCACTGCACTTGTCCTTCCTTATTCTTTTAATAATTAAGTATGACCTAATTTTTATACCTAAACCTGATGAAACTCTACAAAAAGAGTAGAAAAAAGGAAAACTGGAGACCAATGTCACTCATGAATACAGATGCAAACGACTGTATAATAGCAAACACAATCTAACACCACAGAATGGAAATAATACATTGTGACCAATTGGGACTTAAGCCAGTAATTTAAGGTTGGTTCCATATTAGAAAACCAATACTGATAGATCTAAGGGGAAAATATTATTATCTCCATAGATGCTGACAAAGTCTTCAACAAAAATTTGATATCCATTCCAGTTAACAGCACTCAAGAAAACAGGAAATGAAGTGTTTTCTTAACTTGATAAAACACCTTAACCTGATAAAAATCCTTAGTTCTAAAGCCACTATTTTACTGAATGTGTAAACAATAGAAGAATTTACATTCAAATCAGGAACAAAGCAAGGATTCCTACTGTCTGCCACCACTATTCATATCATACTAGTGGTATAAGCCAATGTAATTAGAAAAGAGAAATTAATTAGAGGCATACAATTTGGTAAAAAAGTAAAACAGTCTCTATTTTTACATAATATGACAATGTAACTACAAAGCCCTACAAAATCAACAGTGAATGATAAAACTGACTCACACAGTACAATAATTCAATAAGGTAGCAAAATATAAAAGTAACAAAAATCAATAGCCTTCATATGCACAAACATGAATTATTTAGAGAACGCAATGGAAGAGAAAGTCCAATTTAGAAAAGCAGCAAAGAACATTAAATACACAGGAAGAAGCTCATCAAAAATATGCAAAACATCTCTCTGAGGAAAACTTTAAATGAGTCTGAAAAGACACAAAAGTAGACTTAGACAAATGAATGGAAATCATTTCCTGTTCTTGGAAGGATGACTCAGCATCACAAATAAAGATGTCAGTTCTCACTAGGTTAAGTAAGTTTAATGTAATCTCTGTGAAAACACCAACAAATCTGTGTTTTATGGAGTTAGACATATTGATACTAAAGTTCATTTGGCAAAAGCAACATGCGTGCAAGAATATCCAGAAAAATTAAGGAACATTTATGCAGAGGGTCTAGATCTATCAGACATTAAAACATACCACAAAGCCTCTATAATTAAAACAATGTGGTACTGGCTTATGTGTATACCATAGACTGGTGGAATAGAACAGAAAGCTCAGAAATAGACCTAAGGACATATGGAAATTTATTATAAGATAAAGCTGGCATCTTAAATCGCTGAGACAAAGATAAACATTTTAATAAGTAGTGCTGGGTAGCCATTTGAATAAAGATAAAATTAGGTCTACATTACACCTTGTGCCCCGGAACAAACTCCAAATAGATAAGGGATCTAAATTTCAAAATAAAACCACAAAAATACCAAAAAGAAAACAAAAACCCCCAAAACCATGAGTGAATTTCTCTTTTAACAATAGTGTGGGGTTGGGCACAGTGGCTCAAGCCTGTGAGCATGAGCCAGCACTTTGGGAGGCCAATGCAGGTAGATCACCTGAGGTCAGGAGTTCAACACCAGCTGGGCCAACATGGCGAAACCCCACCTCTACTAAAATTACAAAAATTAGCCGGGTGTGGTGGCATGTGCCTGTAACTCCAGCTACTCTGGAGGCTGAGGCACAAGAATTGCTTGAACCCGGGAGGCAGAGGCTGCAGTGAGCCGAGATCGTGCCACTGCACTCCAGCCTGGGCAACAGGGTGAGACTCTGTCTCAAAACAAACAAACAAACAAACAAACAAACAAACAAAACCAATAGTGTGGGAATGACTTTATAACTATGACTAAAAAAACTATGCAATAAAAAACTAATAAATGTGACTATATAATTTTTTTATAAGTTTGGATGAGGAAAATTACCATAGACATAGTCAAAAAAATAACTGACAAACTAGGAGAAAATGTTTGCACCATGTGTCACAGATAAAGGGGTAATATCTGTAATATATAAAAAACTCTTTCAAAATGACAAAACCAAGGATCAAAAACCCAACAGAAAAATTAACAACTTAGAAGAAATATAAAATGGCCCTTAAACATATAAAAATTGTTCTAAGTTTCATATAACTAGAAAAATGCAAACTAAAACAACATTGAGATACCATTTCTCACCTACTTGGCTGCAACTAAAAACTACAGCCTGGGCGCGGTGGCTCACGCCTGTAATCCCAGCACTTTGGGAGGCCGAGGCGGGCGGATCACCTGAGGTCAGGAGTTCAAGACCAGCCTGGCCAACATGGTGAAATCCCATCTCTACTAAAAATACAAAAAAATTAGTCGGTCATGGTGGCGGGCACCTGTAATCCCAGCTACTTGGGAGGCTGAGGCATGAGAATCGCTTGAACCCAGGAGGCAGAGGTTGCAGTGAGCTGAGACGGTGCCATTGCACTCCAGCTTGGGCAACAAGAATGAAATTCTGTCTCAAAAAAAAAAAAAAGTACAACAGCATATTCGATGGGCAAGGGTTCGAGGAAACAGTCACTCTTAAACGTTGCTGGTGTGAATGCAATCTGATCCAATTTTTTGTAGGCGAATTTGGCAAAATCTAATAAAACTATACATGTACTTTCTTTTTAATCTAGAAATTGTACATCTAGGATTTTACCCTGAGGATATATCTTTAACAATACACAAGGTCATTCATTATAGCATTTGTAATTGCAAAATATTAAAATCCAACCTAAATGCCCCTTCCTAGGAGAATGGTCCAACAACTTATGGTATAGTCACTCAATGGAGTACTATGGTTGTTAAAAAAAAAAAAAAAGACGAATGAAGAAAATGTCCATGAACTTATCTGGCATGATTTCCAGAGTATATTGTAAAGCAAAGAAGGCAGGATGTAAAATAATATTCACACTGTAGTATCCTATCTTTTGTGTAAGAAAGAGCATAAGGAAATAAACATGAATCTGCTCCTTTGGATAGGGGTGATAGACCAGCTAATCCCACCACTACAGAGGGTTGATGGGAATGAAACAGAAACAATAGGAGAACCAATGTGTCACATACTCATCAAACTAATCATTAAAATCAACCCAGATGTATGGGGAATCCAAAAGGGAATACAATGAATCTAACTTGTTTTTTTAAAACAAATGAATTATATTAATGACATTAAAGCAAATGGGGAAGAAAAAAATTAACCTAAGTAACTTTGGAAAACAGTATCTTAACTATATAGCATATAAGGCTAAAGATAATAATAACTATACACAAATGGGTGAACAATTTGATTTTTTGTTTTTTTTGAGACAGTTTCACTCTGTCCCCTAGGCTGGAGTACAGTGGCGCAATCTCAGCTCACTGCAACCTCTGCCTCTTGGGTTCAAGTGATTCTCCTGCCTCAGCCTCCCGAGTAGCTGAGATTACAGGTGCTACCACACCTGGCTAATTTTTGTATTTTTAGTAGAGACAGGGTTTCACCATGTTGGCCAGGCTGGTCTCAAACTCCTGACCTCAGGTGATCCACCCGCCTCGGCCTCTCAAAGTGCTGGGATTACAGGTGTGAGCCACCATGCCCAGCTATAAGTGGATGAACAATTGAAACTACTTTGTGCTTAGTTTAGGATAGAGCAAAAGAGTAAGTATATTGTGTGTAATAATAGCCATGTTTTTCATTGTTGGAGAAAGAAGAGTTTCTCACTGCTGAGGAATTGCGTTAAAAATAAGCAAATTGGACACACTAGAACAAACCCTGTGGTGTTGGATTGGAATTCAAGGTCTCAGTATGAACTCATGTTTTTAGTATATATACAAGTAGACAGATACACACGTGTAGAAACTTGCTAAATGACATAGATTTGCATTGCACACAAATGAGAAAAGAATGGGCTATTCAATAAATGAGGCTAGGACAATGGTTATCTATATGAAAAAAAAAAAGTCATGATTTACCTCACCCCATAACAAAAACTGTTTCCAGTTATATTAAAAACTTAAACATGGGCTAGGTTTTGTGGCTCACACCTGTAATTCCAGCACTTTGGATGGTCAAGGAGGGAGGATCACCCAAGCTCAGGGGTTCAAGACCAGCCTGGAGAACACAGCAAGACCTCATCTCTACTACAAATAAAAAACATTTAGCTGAGCATGGTGGCCTGTGCCCATAGTCCCAGCTACTCAGGAGGCTGGGGTGGGAGGATCGCTTGAGCCCAGGAGATGGAGGCCGCAGTGAGCTATGATTGTACCATGGCACTCCAGCCTGTGCAACTCAGCAAGACCCTGTGTCAAAATAATTTTTTTTTAAACCTGAAATTAAACATGTTAAAACATTTAAAAAGATTATAACAAAATATCATTATGCCCTGTTTAGGGAGGGTTTTTTTTTAATCAAGACACAAAAAAAGCACAAGCAATAAAGAAAAATAATGATACATTATATACCCGTTAAAATTAGAAGTTTAGTTTAGAAAAGACACTAAAAATGAAGTGGTAAGTCACAAACTGGAAGAAAATGATTGTAATATGTATAATCCACAAATAAACTAGTATCCAGAATATGTAGAAACTATTTCTAATTGGTAAGCTAAATATAACACGATAGAAAAAAGAACAAAGGATATGAAAAAGCAATTCTCAGAAGAAATGCAAATAATCCATAAACATACAAAAACATAATTCTTAAATAATAATTAGTGAAATGCAAATAAAAGCCACAATATGACACCGATTCAAACCAACAGATTGGCAAAAGTTAGGGTCTGATGATATCTCAGTTGGCTAGTACGTGGAGTAAACGGTACATTCATACATAGCTGGTAGAAGTATAAATTAGTACAATCAGGGCCAGGCGTGGTGGCTTATGCCCGTAATCCCAGCACTTTGGGAGGCTGCGGCAGGTGAATCACTTGGGGTCAGGAATTCAAGACCAGCCTGGCCAACATGGTGAAACCCCATCTCTACTAAAAAAACAAAAAGTTAGCTGGGTGTGGTGGCGGGTGCCTGTTATCCCAGCTACCCAGGAGGCTGAGGCAGGAGAATCCCTTGAACCTGGGAGGCAGAGGCTGCAGTGAGCCAAGATCGCGCCATTGCACTCCAGCCTGGGCAACAAGAGCGAAACTCCATCTCAAAATAAATAAATAAATAAATAAATAAATAAATAAATAAATAAATAAGTACAATCACTCTGGAGAATAATGTGGTAATATAAGAAAATGGAAGCTATATGCACACTTTGAATCAGTAATTCCACGTCTAAATATATACTTTAGAGAGAAACTTTTGCACAGGTGCACAACTTGACATGTTTAAAAATGTTCAGCTCATTTTTAATAGTGAAAACCCAAACAATCTAAATATCTTTTACTTATTATTTTTGAGATGCAGTCTCGCTCTGTTGCCCAGGCTGGAGTGCCATGGCACGACCTCAGCTCACTGCAACCCCTGCCTCTGGTGTTCAAGCAATTCTCCTGCCTCAGCCTCTAGAGTAGCTGGGATTACAGGCGCCCACCACCACGCCTGGCTAATTTTTTGTATTTTTAGTAGACACAGGGTTTCACCATGTTGGCCAGGCTGGTCTCAAACTCCTGACCTCAAGTGATCACCCGCTTTGGCCTCCCAAAGTGCTGGGATTACAGGCGTGAGCCACTGTGCCCGGCCTAAATGTCTTTCAATTAAACACTGGATCCCTAAATTATGGCATATTGATACAGTGAAACATACAGCAGAGAAAACAGATGAATCAGATCTAAATGTATCAACCTAGAAACATTTCAAAGATATAAGTTTGTATGTAGGATGATGCTTACAGCATGATATTTATATAGAGTAAAAATAGGCAAACACCTATACTTTTTTATGTTATCCAATATTTATCTGGTAAAAATACAAAAACATTCTTGGGAATGCAGCAGGTGGCCTTGAAGATGGCCCCAGTGATTCCCATCTTCTGATATTACACCTGTTGTGGTCCTGTCCCACACCATATGAGGTTTGGTCTGTGTCACCAGTAGTATATAGCAGAGGTGATGGTATGTCACTTCCAAGTTAGATTAAAAGACTTGTAGCTTCCATCCTAAGCATCTCATTCTCATTCTCCCTCTGATCTGTTGCTGGGGGTACAGTGGGGGTGAGGGAAGCCCTAGGGAAAGCCCCTGTGGTGAGGAATTGAAGCCTCCAGTTCACAGCCAGCAAGGATCTGAGGTCTGCCAACAGGTAAGTGAACTTGGAGGAGAATTCTCCAGCCCCAGTCCAGCTTTGATGTGACTGCAGCTTCTGACAACAGCCTGACCTTGTGAGCAATCCTGAGCCAGAATCGCCAGCTTCTACTGGCTAAGTCTCTCCCAGATACCCGACCCTCAGTGGGGTAGTAAGTGTTTGTTGTTCTCAGCTGCTCAGCTGGGGGTAATTTGTTATGCAACAATAGATAACTAAGACAGGGTAGGTTTCTTCTTGTAAGGGACGGTCACAGGATCATGGAGAGGTGCACAGCAGGCTATGCCTCTATCTGAAATATGTTATTTTAAAAATAAAATATCTAAAGCAAATATGGCAAGATGTTAAGGCTTATTAAACATAGTTAAGGCCAGGCGCAGTGACTCACGCCTGTAATCCCAGCACTGTGGGAGGCTGAGGCGGGCGGATCATGTGAGGTCAGGAGTTTGAGACCAGCCTGGCCAACATGGTGAAACCCCGTCTCTACTAAAAATACAAAAATTAGTCAGGCATGGTGGCAGGCGCCTGTAACCCCAGCTACTCTAGAGGCTGAGGCAGGAGAGTCGCTTAAACCCGGGAGGCGGAGGTTGCAGTGAGCCGAGATCACGCCACTGCACTCCAACCTGGGCGACAGAGCAAGACTCAGTCTCAAAAAAAAAAAAAAAGTAGTTAATTAGCCCATGGTCGTCATAATATAATTCTTTATAATTTTATGCCTGCTTGGAATATCTCACACACACATCAGAGCTTCGCAAGTGTTGCATCTCGCTGGTAGCAAGACATTCCCCACTGCCATGGCAAACGTGCAGTGGGCGACTCTGCTCTCTCACTACCAAACATGCCAAGTCTTTTTGGAAAGGGTTCTTACGTCATTTACACTGAATTAAAATATAGAACTTCAGAAGCTGACTTTTATTGAGTGGGCTGTGCTATGTAATTTGGATTTCCGTTACAATAAATGAGAAACTGTACTGGACTTCATCTTTTTATTTAAAAATTGTGATGCTTATGAACTTTCTAAAAGCCATCATATTTGGATAGTAAAGAAGTCAAAAACAGGTTGTCAATATGATTGAAAGTTGAAGAATGCTGTTTAGTTTCTGGTAAATGATTTAATTAAGAAGCAAATCAAAATGCTCCAGCCATAGCTATTTAACATGATTATAAGTGCTGATTATTCAAATTTGAAATTCATTAGTCGCAAATTCTCCAAGGACATTAAGTTACTCCTCAGTGTCAAGAAGAACAGGTGATTCTACTCTTTCATTGAATTGCTGGATTATTTTCTTTTCCAGGGCATAGGAAAGCAGCAGATTTACTGGTCAGTATTTAAAGAAAGATTAGGCATACTTTAGCTCTACAATCAATACAGGAAAGGCAAACAATAAGAAAGGCTTCTTGAGGCTTACTAACTATGCCTAAAATTAAATAAAAAGAACTTGTCATCGCTGCACGTCTCCAGTGTCCTCTCTTTTACAGTGATGTGAGGATCCCAGGATAATGACTTTCAGGCACAGCAGAAGGAAACCCAGGTTTCCTCTTCTTTAGCTTAGCTTATTAAGTTAGCTCAGACTACTACTTAGAGCCTATCTTCTTTCTGGCAACTAAACAACACTTCTGTCTCATTTATTTTATCATGAGGCCAAGCTCTCTAGGGTAAGGGATAAAGCACATCTTTACCCTTTATGCCTCTTCATTCTGTTTATACTTTGTGTTTAAGCTCTAGAGGTAGTTCAGGAACGCTGAAGTGAAGAGGTGTGAGTACGAGACTGAATTTACCAGTTAGGTGACCTCGGTTTGAGGAAAATAAGCCACAAATCCACCTGTGGCTCTAAGAACAATGTTAAAATTGTATCTGTGGAGAGGGATGAGGTTAGGGAGGAGACGGGGGACAAATACTGGTCTTGAATCTCAAGTCAAGGAGCTTGCCCTTTATCTTATTGACCCTGTGAGGCTGGCAAGCTGCATCAAGCCATTTTCCTGCCTCAGCCTCTCGAGTAGCTGGGATTACAGGCACCCGCCACCATGCCCTGCTAACTTTTTGTTTTTGTTTTTTCGAGACAGGGTCTCACTCTATTACTCACACTGGAGTGCGGTGGCGCAATCACAGATCACTGCAGCCTCGACCTCTCCAGGCTCAGGTGATCCTCCCACCTCAGCCTCCCGAGTAGCTGGGACTACAGGCACACACCACCACACTCGGCTAATTTTTGTACTTTTTTTTTTTTTTTTGTAGAGATGGAGTTTTACCATGCAGGCCAGGCTGGTTGCTGGAAGATTTTTAATAGGGGAGGGACATGGTCAGATCGGTGTTTTAGGCAGTTCTTTCTCTGAAGCAACCAAGACTTGAAACCACTGTAGTAGATGGATGTAGTAAATAAGAGTATAGATGGAGTGTCCTGGAAGGATAAATATATATATAGGTATACAAAGATGGGAAAAATATGAGGAAGAGTTTAGATGGAATGTCCTGGAAGGATAAATATATATATAGGTATACAAAGATGGGAAAAATATGAGGAAGAGTAAGGAAGGCAGGAGAAACCAGATAGATAGGTAGGGAGATAGATGGATCGAAAGAATAAGGAATTGGCTTACATAATTGTAGAGGCTGAGAAGTTCCAAGATCTGAAGTCAGCAAGCTGAAGACCCAAGAGCACTGATGGTCTAGCTCCAGGCTGAAACTGGTATACTGAAGACTCAGCAAGAACCGACGTTTCAATATGAGCCAGTAGGCAGGAAAAACAAAATCAATGTCCCACTTCACAGGCAGTCAGGTAGAACCAGTTCTCTCTTCCTCAGCCTTTTTGTTCTCTTAGGGCCTTCGACTAATTGGACGAGGGCCACTCACATTTGGGAGGGCAATCAGCTTTACTCAGTCCACCAAATCCTATGTTCATCTCAACTGGATACACCCTCATAGACACAACCAGAATAATGTTTGACCAAATGTCTGGGCACCCATGGCCTAATCAAAATGTGCAAAATTTGCCATCACAGAGTATTCCCAGTTTCCTAGTTTAGGTGATCGTGGTGCCAAAATACAAAGAATAGTGCAGATACAGGGTGGACAGGGGCCTGGAGAGGGAAGGGACACAAGATTGGAGCAGGAAGGAATCAGGAGGGTAAGAGCTGCTGAAGAAACACACAAGAGGAGTGGTAATGGAACAGGGACCCAAAAGTAGTGGCCAGTTCTTATCAAGGCACAAGTCTGTGTGCACAGGGCCCAGGGGCAAAGGGAAGATACTATACTTAATTTGAATTGGAGGATAGGGCTATTTATCCCTTAAGACAAGTGAGAAGCAAGTGAGATGGGCTGAGGACATGCATCTAACTCCCCTCCTTCCCTCCTGAAGTTCAGTCTTAAGTACTGGGGCTGGGCGCGGTGGCTCACGCCTGTAATCCCAGCACCTTGGGAGGCCGAGGCAGGCAGATCACGAGGTCAGGAGATTGAGACCATCCTGGGCAACATGGTGAAACCTCATCTCTACTAAAAATACAAAAATTAGCTGGGCGTGGTGGCATGTGCCTGTAATCCCAGCTACTCTGGAGGCTGAAGCAGGAGAATTGCTTGAACCTGGGAGGCGGAGGTTGCAGTGAGGTGAGATCGTGACAGAGCGAGACTCCATCTGAAAAAATACATACATACATAAATAAAAAGATCTTAAGTATGTATTGGAAGGAAATACAGGGAAGTGAAAAAACAGTACTGCAGACCAACCTCATGGAGAACTGGAATATTATAAGGAGACAAAATAGCTCTGGCAACTTAATAATATGAATGATTCAAGCAGGGGCCCTGCTGAGGTCATCCTCCTCCAGCAACAGGTGTTCCTTGCTTCCCACCCCTGCAACTCCGCCATCGGCATGATTCAGCTTCTTCCTGTATCTTCTGTTTGTTTTTCTGTGGCTGCTGCCCACTATTATCTCTGTAGTCTTTTATCTCTCGTGTTTTATGCTTACCATGAATTTTACTGCCTCTTGGCTTTCGCTTACTGCTTTCTCTTTCTCAGCTTCTGGCTCTACTACCATCTGCTGACACTCTACATCTGAAAAACCAAGTCCCTAAGAGAGAGGCTCTGCTTGGTTCAAGCAGGCACTCTCCAGGACAGAGCATGCTATTTGGTAGAGTTCTTGTGTTAACTGCTGGTCAAATTTGTAGAGCCTAGAGTGGTGGGGTCTGGGGACTAAGCACAGTGACGTCATCAAAGGGCACTCAAGGATCACAGATGACTCTCCTATATAGATAGTTGTAGACAGAGAGTTGAATGGAGTAACAAGTCTGTACACAGACTTCATATCCAGAAATGCACAGAACTAATATGAAAAAAGTATGAATATGTATATATACATCCATATATATTATGTATATAAGTGTCTGTACACACACACACAACTCAAGTATTGAGTAAATGAGGTAATACCATTTCTTGTTCCTGATTCAATGACCCTATATTCCAAAGCTGCCAATTGTCTCCAAATTAATATACAAATCCGGTGCAATTAAAATTTAAATCCCAATGAGCTTTTCTTTCAAATTTGACAGGTTGTTTTCACACTTCAACTGGAGGAGAAAATGTAAGAGAATATTTATGAAAATGTTTCAAAAATAACAATGGCGAGGAGCAAATACTTGACATAGATAATTTTGTTATAAACCATAGTGGATAAAACTATGGGGTTCTGGCACAGATATAAACAAGCTGATCCACGGAACAAAAAAAGAGCCAGAAACAGAACCGTTCATATTTTGGAACTTAATGCTATAATAAGGGTGGCATTTCAAATCCATGGGGGATGCTGGAGTATTCAATCAGTGGTGTTGAGACAGCAGCCTACTTATATGGGGAAAAAACCCCTCTATCTCAAGTCATGCACCAAAATACATTTCATATGGAGCCAAAATGTAAACAGAAAAACGAAAACTTTTGCTGTATCAGAGGCAAATATCTAAGAGTATCATAATCTTTGGGAGGACCTAAGTATGAATCAAACCCATAAGACATAAAGGGAACAGTCATAGATTTCACTATATAAAAGTAAAATCTTATATATGTTAAAAGACAGCATAATCAAAGTAAAAAATCTATAAAGAAAATATTTGTGGCCGGGCATGGTGGCTCACACCTGTAATCCCAGCACTTTGGGAGGCCTAGGTGGGTGCGTCACCCGAGGCTGGTGGAACACCTGAGGCCAGGAGTTTGAGACCAGCCTGGCCGACACGGTGAGACCGTCTCTACTAAAAATGTAAAAATTAGCCAGTCACGGCGGTGTGTGCCCGTAGTCCCAGGTATTCAGGAGGATGAGGCAGGAGAATTGTTTGACCCTGAGAGGTGGCGTTTGCAGTGAGCTGAGACTGTGCCACTGCACTCCAGCCTGGGTGACAGAGCAAGACTCCAGCTCAAAAAAAGAAGAAGAAAAGAAAATATTTGCAACACATACAATAGACACAACGCTAGGCTCTCTAATACGTAATTTATCACAAATCAATATGCAAAAGATGAACAATCTGAGGAGGAAAGAATGAGCAGGGGATGGGAAGTGCTTTCTCTCTTTGAGGAATAGCATAGTGCAAAGATTTGACATTCTTAACAAGTATAACTTTCACAGGTTCTAATGATTAGGGGAAAAATGTATACCTATATACACTCTGCCAAATTACCATGTGTATCCTTGAACTCCTAAGCGTATTTCCTGGGGAGAGGGTTTGCTAAACGTATAGGAATGAATAGCTAATGACACTTTGGTTATTAACCCTGGTTATTGTTGACATAGGGCCATCTGATGACCCTCTATTCAGTCCATGAAGGGAACAAAGGCCAGATGTGACAGATTTCCAGAACAGATTACTGTCTTCTTCTTTGATTAGATATTAGGTGTTTTCAATTTGTTGAGCAAATATCATGGTAAGCATATACACCATCTCATCTTTTCCAGAACTTCAGGTCTTTATCAATTCACAATTTCTGTGCTGCTTAGAGATGCTCTTAAGATCTCAACTGATTCATAAATGCTGCGAGGGCAAAGTCTCATCTTTATTTCTTCTTTGTTGCCCCCCACCATGTCACTGGAGCTCTTCACGCATGCTGTACACCGCTGACCACTTATATAGATACATGTGTAACTAAACATGGAGATATATATCCACTTCCAGATGCAACATTCCTTCTATCTCAGACCTTTCTGAGATTATTTTCCTCATTTTCAAGTTCCTTTAAGGAGAGTGTGTGGGTGGGTAAATCTTTAAATCTTTGTCTAAAAAATCTCTTGATTTTTGAAAGCTGGTTTCACTGAAAGTCCTGTTACAGACTGGCAGATTCTTTTCCCCACCATCCTCTCCCTTCCATTGTTGTTGGTAAGGCATTCATTCACAGCATTCATTCTCAGCCTATCTGCTTCTCCTTTTGTAGATACTCCTTTTCTATGATTAATATACAAGCCTTCTTTTTGTCTTTCATGTTCTGCAATTTCACCACACGGTGGTTAGGTATGAATGTCTCTTTATTCACCTTGCTTCATTATTCCTTTTTAACTCCGAGTATTCATGCTACTTATGAATTTCCTGTTGATTTGTTTATGGCTTTAATTTTCATTTACTTGCCATTTGTTCTCCTTTGGGTTTTACTTATTAATTCTGAAAAATTCTTAGTCACTATTGTTTTTAATAATGCCTCTTCCAATTCTCTCTGTTCTTTTTTTCTGGAACTTTCATACGTTGGCCCACTTCATTCTATCCTTGGAGTTTCTTAACATCTTTGATATTTTTCCTTTCTTGGTCTTTCTGGGTTACACTTTGGGTAATTTCTTCAAATTTTCAGTTCATGAATTATCTATTCTGTAACTGAGCTCCATTAAGTTTTGATTTCAGTTCTATTTCCAAGTTCTTGAATTTCTGATTCTTTGATAATTTTTGATAATCTTTGAACCGTGTATTGGATTCCTTCTGTCAGAGTTGTTTGAACGAGGGCAACTGCATCTTGAATAGGAGATGGGAAAATGAGGCTGAGACCTACTGGGCTGCATTCCCAGATGGTTAAGGCATTCTAAGTCACAGGATGAGACAGGAGGTCGGCACAAGATACAGGTAATAAAGACCTTGCTGATAAAACAGGTTGCAGTAAAGAACCTGGTCAAGACCCACCAAAACCAAGATAGAGACGAGAGTGTCCTTTGGTCGTCCTTGCTGCTACACTCTCACCAGAGCCATGACAGTTTACAAATGCTGTGACAACGTCAGGAAGTTACTCTATATGATCTATAAAGGGGAAGCATGAATAATCCACCACTTGTTTAGCATATCATCAAGAAATAACCATAAAAATGGGCACCCAGCAGCCCTCGGGGCTGCTCTGTCTGTGGAGCAGCCATTCTTTTATTCCTCTACTTTATTAATAAACTTGCTTTCACTTCACTGTACGGACTCGCCCTGAATTCTTTCTTGTGCAAGATCCAAGAACCCTCTCTTGGGTTCTTGGGGATCTAGACCCCTTTCCTGTAATACTTCTCTTTGTAAAAACCCATTATTATAGATCCTTATTTTGAGCACAATTTATGATAATTCTAATTTCAGAAGTCTTCTGCATGTGGTTCTGTTGTTGTCTCTACTGACCCTAATGTTGGGCTGTTTATGTGTGGGTTGTGTGTGTGTTTTGTGATTTTTTAAAAAAATTGTGTGCTTCTCTTTTCAGCACTTTATGTGTGGGAAACCTTTGAGGTCTGGTTTGAGAATCCATTCCTCTAGGAGCTTTTCCTTTTATTCCTTCTGCAGCAGTACTTCAGGTCCAAGTTTATTTCCAATTTAGATTTTTTGCTTTTAGTTTTTCAGACCAGGTAAATAGTAGAATGAGAGACATCTGGGCTGGGCAGTGGACACAGATTATCAGGGGAAACTCTTAATTTTTCGCTCTTTTTTTTTTTCTTTTTCTTTCTTTTTTTTTTTTTAATTTTGAGACAGAGTCTCACTCTGTTGCCCAGGCTGGAGTACAGTGGTGTGATCTCTGCTTACTGCAACCTCCACCTCCTGGGTTCAAGCAATTCTCCCTGCCTCAGCCTCCCAAGTAGCTGGGATTACAGACATCTGCCACCACGCCTGGCTAAATTTTGCATTTTTACTAGAGACGAGATTTCGCCATGTTGGCCAGGCTGGTCTCGAACTCCTGACCTCAGGTGGTCCACCCGCCTCAGCCGCCCAAAGTGCTGGGATTATAGGCATGAGCCACCATGCCTGGCCCTTTTTCTTTGCTTCAGCATGACCTTTTAAATTTTATTTTGAAATTATAAGTCATATCAAACACACAGAGAAGTATAGCAAGTAATATAACAGATATGTGTATTTACAATACCAACATAAAACAGATGGTTTTTGCTCTATTTGTTTACAATTCTCTTTCTAATTTCTGATTATTTTATGATTCTCTGTTTTTTGGAAAAACATACATGTCAATTCACATTAACAAAATACAACAATTATGTTCAAAGATTGAAATGTGAAAGAATATAATGATTTTACTCTAATATATATTAAACAAACCTGGTTTAATTTATAAAGAGGATTACTGGTTTGAGTCAGGGTGTACAGGAAAAGGTAAGCATTTGGAATACTTGTGGAGAGAAACTGGAAGGAAATGACAAAAGGGTTGATAAAGAGCTCTGAGAGATCAACTGCAGTAGGAGGCACAGGTTGGGAATGGCTGGCAATTGTGGGTACCCACACTGCAGGGTCCACCTATGACTGGAGGTCTGCTTTGTGGGTCCAGCAGAAGGACAAAAAATTAGGAAAACTACCAGTAAAGTAATTCACAGCAGTGCTTCTCAGATTTAGTGTGGACACAAATCACCTGGGGCTCTTGCTAGAATGCAGATTCTGACTGACTGGGCCTAGGATGGGGCCTGAGACCATGCATTTCCAAAACGTTCCCAGACATCGCCAATGCTGCTGGTCTGGAGACTCCCCCTGGAGTAGCCAAGTGGTACTGGTTATGGGGGGAATGAGATAAGAAGGGTCTTGGCACAGTAGAAGAAAATAGAGGCGCCAAGAAACTGGAAGTAGGTCTGTACACATTGAAGCATTGAAGAGGGACTGCAGGAGGAAGGGATGAGAGCTGGGCAAAGAAAAAAGAGTGGTAGAGAGTGAGGCATGACAGCTTAGAGGATCTGTTGTAGGGCAGGTCTGGGTTAAGACAGAATCTAGCCCACAACTTTGGGAGTGGCTGATCAAGTGGAGCTGTAAAGGGATCTGGAGTTAAGAAGGTCAAGGATTGGAGGGTCAGTTGTAAGTTGTTGGTTGGGCTGTCAACCTAGTGAAACCTACAGTCATTTTGATATGGTCCAAACAGCCCTGCCATTTCCCTATCCTGCTTCCCTTACTCCCTTATAGGTTTTCCTAGAGCACAACTCCCCAATAATTCATGTGCTTCAAGAACCCTGTCTTGGACTCTGCCTCTAAGGAAGTTCATAAGAGGGATGAGGTACCCACAGGCAAAGAGAAAGACTGTCTTTTATTTGATGGCCAGGGATTGCAGGGATGAAGACCATGTTTCAATGTCACTGGCCTCAAGTATCCTAACTGGATGTGGGTCCTACACAGTGACTGTGTGATCTTAAAAGCAACAGTGAGGTTGCCCCCATGATCCTGGCTCACAGTGGGCTGAACAAGGATGAAAACCTTGTTTTGCTCCCTTGTTACTGGCTTATTAGCACCCTAGAAGTATTTGATGTAAGGAATTGCAGACATGCAGTTACATAATAGGAGTAAATATTTTTGACAGGAGGTGCTACAAGCCTCCTAAGCCACACTATATGACAAGAATGCAGTGGACTTGGATTCCCTTCTCATGTACCACGCAGGCAGAATGGTAGCTACACAATAAATCCTAATGAATTTAATTTCATTAACCAAGCACTGTGATAGTCACAATCTTAATTTCTAATATTACATTTTTGGACGTATGTTATAAATCATTCTTTTCAAGGCATGAATTTATTCAACACATATTACTGAATGCCCACTATATGCCAGGCACTAGTCTAGGCTCAGCTGATAGTGACTCTGGAATTTTTTTCAACACAGCACTTACCTCTACATATTTAAATGCCAGAAAACTGAAAAAATACATACAAGGAGTTATTACATATTAATTATATGTTCAGTGTGTTGGTGCTTTTGAATGTTTGCATGTCTTGGGAGGTGGCACTCCTTCTTTTTGGATTAGAAGATGATTATAAAGATGATGCAGACCACGTGACAATTCTTTTTAAAAAGTCTTTTTCTTTTCATCACAACTGGCCAAATTCTGCCCCCAGTGGGTGTCCAACAAATGCCGGTGACTTAGTGACATCTTAACCACAGCTGAGCACATGTACATAAAAATACAAGTTTTTTGGTCCACAAACAACTGTGATTTGTTTCATGAAGCCCAAAATTGTTTCTGTAGAGGAGTACTTGCTCAGTGTTATTTCATTTCAAACCTGACAGCATGAGACTGCAAAAAGGATTCTTTTCCTTCCCTTTCTCAGTGTACTGATAATAAATTTTGAAGAGTACCAGTTTCGTAAAAAGACTAGAAAGACATCATATTCTAAAAGCATAACAGGACAGTGTGCCCCTAGCATAATGAATATATTGATGAATTCTGACAAAAACAGTTATGTTCTTGTCTTCTCATAACAGCTATTTAAGCAAAACAAGTCAGATCCCCAGAAGGGTTTGTTAAGTTGCAGTCCAGCAAAGCCTAGTGGACTGATTATAAATATGGATTTCAGGCATTCTGATTCATAATCCTGGCCTTGCCATGCATAAGTGCAGCAGATTTGCTTAATACAGCAAACCCTGGCTGTGACTTTGCAGGTACCCTTTGAGTGAGGAGACCCTACCTTCTCAACTGACATCTCCCTCTTCTTTTCCTCATCTCAGTTAACAGCACCACAATTCACTCACTGTGCAGACTGACAATCAAGGAGACGTCTCTGATTCCTCTTTCCCTTTACTGCCTCCCTACAATCTAATCCACCAACACTGAGTGCTCCATTTTCAAAATACATCCCAACTTTATCTTTCACCACATCCTTCGCCAACACCTTGGTCGAAAGCAGCAGGGCTCTCACCTGGGTTACACCAACAGCCTCCAGACTGAACAAGGTGGTCAGACATGACCCATTATACCCTCAAGCCTTCAGAACTCAGGCACAACTGACCAGCATTAACATTAAAATAGACATCTTAAGACTGGAAAAACAGACTCTTTGTAGCAATAAGACATCAAATTCCAACCTGACTCTAGTATAGCATCTCATGACAGATAGCAGGCCCTGAAAGAAATCAAAGTATTTTATCCCAAAATATATTTCTTTGACATATTTTGAAATGGCACTGCAAAGCTGTCTCTTGTGGGAACAACCTATATTCTGTAGAGCAGTGGCCCCCAACCTTGTTGGCACCAGGGACTGATTTCGTGAAAGGGGCAATTTTTCCACAGACAGGCGGGTGGGGGGTGTTTCAGGATGAAACTGTTCCACCTTAGATCATCAGGCATTAGATTCCCATAAAGGAGGGCGCAACCTAGATCCCTCACATGCACCGTTAACAACAGGGTTTGTGTTCCTATGAGAATCGAATGCTGCTGCTGATCCGACAGGAGGCAGAGCTCAGGAGGTAAAGCTTGCGCTCGCCCACTGCTCACCTCCTGCACACCTCCCGCTGTTAGCCTGGTTCCTAACAGGCCACAGAACCAGGATGGGTACCAGTTCGTGGCCAGGGGGTTGGGGATCCCTGCTGGGGAGAATCCCCTTCCCTTTCCAGGTCTTTTCCTGATCCAGGAGAGATTAACTAAGAGTCTGGAACCTTTTTGATCTGATAAGAGACATTTACCATGTATTCTCTCTGAAGCCTGCTTCCTGGAGGCTTCACCTGCATAATAAGGACTGTAGTTGCCACAACCCCTTACCTTAACCCAGACATTACTTTCTATTGATTCCACATCTTTAGATAGTAACTTAAACTCTTTCAACCAATTGCCAATCGTCCACCTAAGACCTGGAAGCCTCCCCTCCCCTCTGCTTCTAGTTGTCCCACCTTTCTGGACCAAACCAATGATTACCTGTACACCTTACAGGTATTGATGGATGTCTGCCTGTAACTTTTGTCCCCCTAAAATGTATAAAAATCAAGTTGTAACCCAATCACCTTGGGCACATGTTCTCAGGACATTATGAGAGTGTGCCTCGAGCCCTGGTCACACATATTTGGCTCAGAATAAACCTCTTTAAATATTTTATAAAGTTTGACTTTTTTCTTTGACACTGTAGTATCAACCCTGTGGACAAAATCATATAGGAGCTGTGAAAGGAAAATAAATCTTGGGGCTCCCAAATCACTAAGCTAAAGGGAAAAGTCAAGCTGAAAACTGTTTAGGGCAAACCTGCCTCCCATTCTGTCCAAAGTCATACCTCTGCTCACTGAGATACATGCATATCTGATTGCCTCCTTTGGAAAAGCTAATCAGAAACTTAAAAGAATGCAACCGTTTGTCTTTTATCTACCTATGACCTGGAAGCCCCCTCCCGACTTCGAGTTGTCCCGCCTTTTCCAGACCCAACCAATGTTCATCTTACATTTATTGATTGATGGCTCATGTCTCCCTAAAATATATAAAACCAAGCTGTTCTTGGACTATCTTGGGCACATGTCGTCAGGACCTCCTGAGGCTGTGTCACGGGCATGCGTTCTTAACTTTGGCAAAATAAACTTCCTAAATTGACTGAGACTTGTCTCAGATATTCAGGGTTCACAGAACACAGCCTGAGTTTTGTCTTCAGTGTCACTGAGAACTGTGATCTTTTCCCCATGTGGCTTCTGCGTTGGTGGCTGCCTGACTGCAGGGGAAGGGAAGGACTCAGCATCTTGCTGGGGTTCTGAGCACAGAACCTCCCTGACAAGAGAACAGCCAGCCAGGTGTTATTCATCAGAAAGTTATGGGGTAGCTGCAGGTCCATTTTGGGAGAGGACGCTAAAGTAAAAGTTTTTAAAGGTAATGGTTCCACTTGGGAGCTGGGAAATGGAGCGGGAGCGACAAGATGTGCTCAAGGTCACTCCAGAAATTACTGTCAGAGAAGGAAAAACAAATGGCATGTGGTGTCTGGACTCACTGTGCTACTTCTCAGATCAGAGGTTGCCCAGCAGTGTTCTGGCGAACCCTAAGAATCAGTAGAAACTACAACATACAAAAATAATAACAGAGGTCTCTGGAGGCTTTGCTGGACTGCAAGCCACTTATTCTGTCTTTGTCACTGCTTTGCTCACAGCTGGCCCTGGCGCAGTACTGAGAGATGCTACCTTCATTCCTGCTTCTTGGGGGAGTGCTGGGACAGTCTCATGTATGGATTTCTTTAGTTCAGTTTACTAAATTAAATAGATGTCTTTTCTTCTTTTGGTTAAAATCATTCTGAATTCCCAAGTTTCAGATATCATTGCATAGATGCCACTTATCGGTTTTTTAAGTTAATTTTTTATTGTGGTAAAATACATATATGATGAAATTTACCATTGTAACCATTTTTAAGTACACTTCAGTGGCATTTTTACATCCACATTGCTGTGTGATATCACCACCATCCATCTCCAGAACTTTTTTATTATCCCAGGTTGAAACTGGACATTTTTCCCTCCTTGAAACTCCTGGTAATCACCCTTGTTCTTTCTCTCTCTATAAATCTGACTACTCTAGGGACCTCCCTATGTCCACTTATCAGTTGTACCAGTTGCTGAGCTAGGAGCATTTAAAAACATCACTATCTTAAAACTCATATAAATATACACCAGAAAGTGTGAATTTTACTGTAGGTAAACAATTCCTCAATATGCCTGACTTTAAACAAATTCATTCCTTAATTTCCCCAGGGCAAGAGCCGTCCAGACAGGGCATGAGAGGAGATGTCTCCTCAGCTGTGTGTCCTGTGAGTCGGGAGTTCAGCTCTGTTTTGCCTGCACTCTGCACAGATCCCAAAGGCTGAAAGTGCACGTGCTGCAACTGAACAAACCTTGAAGGCATTATGCTGGGTGAAATAAGCCAGTCACAAGCAGACAAACACTGTCATTCCACTTCTATGAGGAATCCAGGCACCAGAGAAGGTCAAATTCCTAGAGACAGAAAATAGAATGGTGGTGGCCAGGGGCTGCGGGAAGAGGGGAATGGGGAGTTATTATTCAATAGGTACAAAGTTTCAGTTTGGAAAGATAACAAGTGTTTTTTTGGTTTTTTTTTTTTTGGTTTGTTTTTTTTTTTTTGAGACAGAGTCTTGCTCTGTCGCCCAGGCTGGATTGCAGTGGTGCAACCTCGGCTCACTGCAACCTCCACCTCCTGGGTTCAAGTGATTCTCCTGCCTCAGCCTCCAGAGCAGCTGAGATTACAGGCCGTGCCACCACACCTGGCTAATTTTTTTTAGTAGAGACAGGTTTCACCATGTTGGCCAGGCTGGTCTCAAATTCCTGACCTCAGGTGATCTGCCTGCCTCAGCCTCCCAAAGTGCTATTATAGGTGTGAGCCACTGCGCCCGGCCAAAGGTGACAAAGTTCTGAAGATGGATGATGGTGACAACTGTACAACAATATGAATGTATGAAATGCCACTGAATTGGACACCTAAAATGATTAAAATCGTAGCTTTTAATCGTAGCTTTTGTTGTGTATTTATGTTTAGTTTTTATTTACTTATTTTATCATTTATTTACTATATTTATATTTTGCCACAATTAAAACTGAAAAAAAAAAACATTTTAAAAAAGCAAACAAAGACCAAAGAAAGATCAAGAGTGTGAGAAAGGAAGATTCCCTAAATCTCTCAAGAGCATCACCATTCTGAGATATTGCCCCTGAAGCCATGTGGAATAAAGAATCAGACCTATTTGACTTCTCCTTCTGGGCATTACATGCAGCTCCTTACTCCAGTGGAATTCCCGTCAGGCACTGCAATGCCCTGGGGAAGATGGTACCATTTACATGGTGAACATCCACTACAGTTGTAACCGGAGTCTTTAGGGGTCCACTGAGCCTGAAGCCCACTGTAAATATAAACAGCCCCTCAGATAGTTCTCAGAAGTAATCTGGTGTCCAACCTGGCCAACATGGTGAAACCCTGTCTCTACTAAAAATACAAAAATTAGCTGAGTGTGGTGGTGTGTGCCTGTAATCCCAGCTACTTGGGAGGCTAAGGCACAAGAATCACTTGAACCCGGGACATGGAAGTTGCAGTGAGCCAGGATCACGCCACTGCACTCTGGCCTGGGTGACAGAGTGAGACTCTGTCTCAAAATAATAATAACAATAATAATAATCTGGGATGGGCACACGGTGGCTCATGCCTCTAATCCCAGCACTTTGGGAGGCCAAGGCAGGTGTGCAGGTCAGGAGTTCGAGACCAGCCCGACCAATATGGTGAAACCCCGTCTCTACTAAAAATACAATAATTAGCTGGGCATAGTGGTGTGCGCCTGTAGTCCCAGCTATTCCAGAGGCTGAGGCAGGAGAATTGCTTGAACCTGGGAGGCAGAGGTTGCAGTGAGCCAAGGTCGTGCCACTGCACTCCAGCCTGGGTGACAGAGCGACACTACATCTCAATCATCATCATCATCATCATCATCATCATCATCATCATCATCACCATTTGGTGGGACTATCTGCAGTTGTTCTGTTCCTAAACCAACACCGATTTTACCCCAACGGGGACCCTAATACATATTTTCTTTCTTTCTTTTTTTTTTTTTTGAGATGGAGTCTCGCCCTGTCACCCAGGCTGGAGTGCAGTGATGCCATCTCGGCTCACTCAGCTTCTGCCTCCTGGGTTCCAGCGATTCTCCTGCCTCAGCCTCCTGGGTAGCTGGGATAATAGGCACGTGCCACCATGCCTGTTAATTTTTGTATTTTCAGTAGAGACAGGGTTTTACCATGTTGGCCAGGCTGGTCTCGAACTCCTGACCTCAAGTGATCCACCTGCCTCGGCCTCCCAAAGTGCTGGGATTACAGGTGTGAGCCACAGCAACCGGCCACATTATTTTCAAACTTAATGGAAATGAATCTTACAAATCCACTTTTCTTCCAATATGTAAGTTGATTTGACTCATAAGCCACCCTTGACCCTCTTATACACTCCTGATCCTATAAATAATTTGGGCCTTGTGAATCTTTACTCTTACTTATGTCTAGTCCTTTCACTCCATTAGAAAAAATATATATTCATAAACACACACACACACAAGTGTGTGTGTGTATATATATATAGTCAGTATATATGTTTGTGTGTGTATGTGTATATATATGTGTATGTGTACATATACGTATGTGTATATGTATGTGTATATATGTATGTGTATATATACACATACATACATACACATACATGTATGTGTATATATACACATACATACATACACATACATGTATGTGTATATACACAGATATATACACATACACATATACATACATATATACACATATACATACATATATACACATATGTATGTATATATACACATATGTATGTATATATACACATATGTATGTATATATACACATATGTATGTATATATACACATATGTATGTATATATACACATATGTATGTATATACATATACACACATATGTATGTATATACATATACACACATATGTATGTATATACATATACACACATATGTATGTATATATACATATACACATATACACATATATACATACATATATGTATATATACATATACATATATACGTATATACATACACATATGTGTATACATATATACACACATATGTATACGTATACACACATATGTATACGTATACACACATATGTACACATATACACACGTGTATACATATACACACGTGTATACATATATACACATACACACACGTGTATACATATATACACATACACACACGTGTATACATATACACATACACACACGTGTATACATACACATACACACACGTGTATACATACACACACACGTGTATACATATATACACACACGTGTATACATATATACACACACGTGCATACATATATACACACACGTGCATACATATATACACACATATGTGTATACATATATACACATATACACACATATGTGTATACATATATACATATATACACACATGTGTATACATATATATACACACATACATATATACATACATATATTTGAAAAAATATATATCTATATAGATATATAGATATATATATAGTCAAAACAATCTTTGGTTTCTCCTCTCTGTCAGGAAAACTGTGATTAAAACAACTTAGATCATTTCCAATGAGAATAAAGGCATCAAGTATGTAACATTCTTTATGAAATGTTAATTAGCGGAGTTTACAGATTATCACTGCTATGAGGAAAGAAGGGGGTGGATGGATGTGGGTGGGCCCATATAATGGCAGTTCCATTAGGAAATACTGCTGGGGGCAAGACAACAGCCTGGGGCAAGCTATATACGTACAATGAGACATAAAATATAGATATGCCTTTTTCAGTTCAAATGGACACAAAAGTTGAGAATGGGCCCATCAAAAATCATGTACCAAGGGAGCCAAACTCAAATTCTACTAAGAGGCGATAATCCAATATAAGTCACTGACAGAACACGAGCCTTAAGATATTTCTCTAATTTTTTAGCCCAACTTACAATGCCTGCTTTGTAAGTTGGCTTAATTTTTTTTATTTTAAATTTTTTTAAATTTTAATTTTATTTTTAAAAGGTGACTTAATTATTTTTTTATTTTTAAAATAAAATGATTCCCAGCAGGAAAGTCTAAATTGACTTTGACAATTATAAACAATGTTAACTTTCAGCTGTTTGTTAAGTTGGGAGCCAAAAGAAAACAATAAATGAATCCAAGTTCCTTGTATGTAGATGGAGGCCAGACTTGGGCCCCTAGAGAAGGAAGTTTAGCCTCAGTAATCATTCTGTCTAGGTCGATTACAAATGAGGGCAACTAGATGCTACTTTGCTGGATTCCTATGTTTAAAACACTCAAGTTGCTACATTCGATCAAGTGTTGACTCATTTTACCCACAAAATTAATCAGGTAAACGACAAAAAAGTACGAAGACAACAAAGCCAACCTCCCCGACTCCATCTTTATTTTCCCACTGGTGATATTAGCAACTTCATGGTACCTGTCACGGTGCTAAACTGAAAATCAACTCTGGTAAATACATGGGGATTGGGTCAAAGAGACCTGGAATGGTTACAACCTCCCCATCCTGGTCATCTGCCCAAACACCTGGATTAATTCCATGGAGACTGGAGTTGGGGGACAGTCCTTCTTGGGCTCTGGGGGTAGGGGCCATGCTGGGTCCTCAGAGCCATAGGTGTGCGGTAAACAGGCACTTATTGCAACACAAAGTTTTGTGCTCTGGTAAACACATGTTCAGAGTGAAGCGATGGCCCAATTGTGTATATGTGCTGGATATCTAGTTGTGAAAGGCTAACAGAGTGTCTAGTCTTCCTTTGAGTAACTGTAAATAGGTCTAACATGGTTGTAACATGCTGACTGCCTTTCACGGGACTTCAGATCACTAGATGGTGGAATGGAGGCTGCCAGTCTCAGTAAGTGGCTTTGCCATGCGAGCATTAAGCAATCTGAAGCCAAGGTCTCCCTAAACACCTTCCCCAAACATCCCCCATAACTAATCTTTCACCAAGGCCTACTGGTTTTTCCCACACACGTGTCTCCTAACGTCACCCGCCTCGCTCCTGCTTACTTTTGTCCAGGACGCCATCATCTCTCGCCTTGTTCCTTTAACAGCCCCTCGCGGGTCTCCCTCACTTCACTCTGGCCAGAGCCTCTCCCCTCCTTTGTTTGTTCTGTACAAGAGTGATCTTCAGGGGCTCATGACCTAGATTGTCACATGTCTGCCCCACAGCTTAACTGGCTTTCTCTTGTTCTTAGGGGAAGAGCCTTCATTCACCTGCCCACCTGTTATGCCCCTGCCTAGTCCAGCCTGATAGTCTCTTCTCCATCCTTCCTGCTTAGGCTCTTAGAGGCCTTCTCCAACCGCAGGGCTTGGTGCTGAAGCTCCCGCCACTTGCAATCCGCATCATGTTACCTCTGCGTCTGCCCAACGGATTGTTCAGCTCTCAGCTCAGTGGTCACTTCTTTAGAACTGTTTCCTTCATCTCTTCAAGGTCAGCTCTGCCTTCCATGTGCAGCCACTGTGCAGTGGGCCTCTCTCCTGAGCCACTTATGACACGTCTGTAAAGTTCTGAATTTACGCATATCTTTCAGGTTATATGTAAACTCAGTCAGGGCAGGAGCTGCTACCCTGCCCCCCAATTCAATCCCCAGTGCCTAGCATCCTGCCTAGCACATAGTAAGCACTAAGTAAAGATCTGTGGAATGAACAAATGAAAACTCTGAGATTCTGGGCCTTTATACTTTTAAACCCTTAGAGTGGTAAATCTACCCAGACACAAATAGCGAGGCTGGAGGAATTGCCTTTGAACCCCTCCCCTCCGTGAGTGGAAAGAGCAGGCCTTATCAGGATCTGTAGTCTGCTCCCAACTCAGCTCTGACCTTTGCAAACCCAGCAGGGAGGAGCCATCATGCATTTCCATCTCTAAAATCTCTGCTATTTAGAATGTAGGCTAATTGGAGTTACTCTTATGGGGAGTAACTGGGCAGTTGGACTCACTGCTCTAGAACAATGTACATAATATACATGAATAAATACAGAAGAAAATTAACTCATTAAAAAATCTGTTGACAAATAGAAAGTGACAAAGTCTCTCTCCTTGACCAAACTTTGGTTAGACTCCTCTGAGCCTCTTTTCAACCAGGCCTCCTCCTTGAGGCATGTCTTCCACCTGCCCAGTCCAGCTGGAGCAAGAATCTGGCTAACTCATTTTAGTGAGAATCGCCCCTGCCCTTGTTATCTGATCACTCTCCATTGCTGATCAAAGTCCTCATCCCTCACCTAGATCTCTGATCACCCTGTCCTACCTTCAGCAAGAAACCTGTCAAGTCAGATTAGTGCAAATCCCTTACCCTTGATGTCTCCTCTTAGAAATGTTCCATCCCCTGACCCTTCGCCGTGCCCATGGGCTATAAGTCACTGGCTGTCTTTGTAGTATTCACAGTTGAGTCCCATCTCCCTCTCCTATTGCAAAAGTCTTGATGTTGATCACAATAGTCCTGAATAAAGTCTACCTTAGTTTTAACAAGTGTCAGGATAACTTTTTTTCTCTAACAAAAGGAAAGATTTTTCCTGATGAGGGTCTTATACCTTGACACTTTGCATGGATTGAGTAATGCATTCTCTCCATGCATTATTCAAAATTAATTTTAAATTTCTTCATTCATTCATTCATTTATTCAGAGCATTCTGTGTAGGTAACTCCTTTATCTTTCCCACATTTACTGAGGGTCCAAGAAGCTGAGGGCCCCTGTGCTATTATAGGCTTCATTATAAAATGTGCTACATGGACTGAAATGAGATTCCCTGTTTGAGACAGAGAGACAGTTCACTTCATCCCATGTGGGACAGTGCTAGGAAAGGTTTTATCAGAAAAATGAGTCATATCTTTCTCCCAGTGGGTAGGAGTCCTTCCATTTTGGCAAACAAGAAAATGTCTCACTTTGGCTCATGCTTGGAAGAGATGATGAGAATTCTGGGTGCGGGTGGTTCTATCCCTGATTGGCTCAGAACACTGCAGCTCTACCCAGACAATCATTTGTCCCCAAGCTGGGGAAAAAGGACAGACAACAACCAGGAAGGAAGGGCTCAGCAGCAGCAGCAACAGGCAAACTTGCATTAGAGACTTCAGACTGGGGAATATGGGGCAACTGCCAAGGATGGATTGGATGGGGCAGGGAGGCTAAAGGAATTCCCTGTCCCCATTTGTGCCCTTTCTGAAGGGTAGAGGAAGACACCTAAGAAAAGGTTTATGGAGCGTTCTAATTGCTTCCTTCCATGGACCTTTTCTTGTGGTCCTGACATCTCTACTTTTTGGCCTCCTCTGTGCCTGGGCATTTGGGTCACAAGGACATCCTGGGAATCTGCAGGTGTGAAACACCGAGCACCCAGTGCTGCTCTGAGCATCGCTCTTCAGAGAGCAGGGACAGGCCACAGAGCTACCCTAGGGACCACAGGGACAATGAAATCAGACATGATCTTCTGGTTGGACCATAAAAGAACATGGGTTGTGCTGGTATTGTGGTAGCACGGCCTAGTATTTCTCACAAATGTCGGCACATTTTCAGCCAGCCTTATGATGCTTCTGAGACTTTATCTTGTACCAACAACTGGAGCCTGGAAGCCTGTGTTGGTCTTGCTCCCTGCTGAACTCTGGAGCCCAGCAGAGTGGCTGGTCCACCCTGGACCCTCACGACAAATGTAACGAACAGACAAATGTGAATGGGATCAGGATTAAAATTGCATCCCAACACTAGCATTAAAAACTGATATAGCAGTCCTCACAACTGTACTTTTCAAAGCATAGCTAGGTGTTTTTAGGCCACCAGCATGGCTTGAACAGGAGCTGTGGTCTGTTTTCAGCTAGAAATAACTGTTAAAGGTAAGCAGTTTAAACTAAGACAGGCTAGGGGCACTGTTGGCTGGAGTCCCAGGCTGGGGGCTGCCATGTTTGAAGGATATCCAGGCTGGCAGGAAAGCCTGTGTCTCGTTAAAGCATTGGACGTCAGCAGTGTGTACCCTGGGGAGATGTCAGCAGCTGTGCAGACAGGTCTCATGTACCCAAGCTGTTGTCAGGACTGCAGATAAGAGGAACAAACCACACAGAACACGGTCCTTGGTAATCATGAGTAGCAGAGGCCTTTATCTTAATCCTTTAGCTCTTGAGAGACCCAGACTTTGCTAAAGGACATGGGAATTCAGAATCCAGCTTGGCCTGAGCTTCTCTCATGGCCTGTTTGGGTTTCCTCTCTACATGCTGAAACAGCATCCAGATCATGAATGCGTGCACCAGGTAAAGTCCTGCTTCTGAGGCTATTTTCTTCTGAACAGAATGTAACAGGTCAGATCTTGGATTACAAAAAGCTGGTATTTTTAATTGAGTAAGGGTCATAAATAATTATAATTCTAACAGAAAGTTCAGATGATATCAGAAATCTAATGGACACGGGATTTCCCCTGGGCTTGGATAAGTAAATGGAACTCATCATTACTTTGTTGCACTACGAAAGTTTCTTCCCATAGAAGACTATTCTTTTGGCTGTAATATTTCCCCTTATTGTCTACCTTTCTCCAGATATATTCACAGAAATAGAGTATTTTATAAATAACTACAGATTTTTTTTCTCCCTTTGGGGATTTTGCTGAATGCACTGAAAAAGCATTCATTAGCTTAAAGGTATTTTTCAAAATGCAACCCCACTCCAGGTTTCATTATATACAATATAGGTCAACTTATTTTAAATGGCCCCAAAGTGGCTGTCCCTGAACTACTTTATATGTTTTGCTGAGTAAGTTTTCCTATTACTGAGAAAAAGTGGACAGTTAGAAGCTAAAGACAAATGTTTCCTCTATGTAAGTGGCCTGTGGATGGTTATCCAGGACAGTAATAAGCAGATGGAACTGGAAGATGCTGCATCTCCAGGTGCCGCATCTCCTTTTCCAGCAGATTTGAATGGCCTGCCCTCCCTTGGCACAGTCCGTGCTCTTGGCAGAGAGAGATTCCTTCTTGCCGGGCTTCTGCGTGCACCTTCTGATGGGACCTAACATGCTATGGGCTGGTTCTGCCCTGCAAAAGGGAGGGAAGGTGGCAGGCCTGGTGTGGCAGGAATGCAAAGCTGAAAGCCCCAGGATGAGAAATCTTCCCTACACAGACACACTTTTTACTCAAATCAGAAGACATTTTCCCATGTGAAACAAAATTTGAAAAGAGTCACTTAGTCATCCTTGCCTTAGAAACACGTCCCTGCCTTCGCTAGGCACAGTGTTTATTCTCTCTTGCTGCAGGGCCTCCAGAGGAGCTCACTGGGTCACCCTGCTACTGCCCATACTTGAGATGACCATGAACTTAAAATAGACCTCACATGTTTCCTTTTCCTTTAGTATTCACATCTATTTTAAAATATGATTTTTACTAAGATGGCTGGTAGGCATTACACTGCCTAAAGACCTGCATGAGAAAAATAAATACACACACACACACACACACACACACACACACACACTCAATTTTCCTATCATTTAAACTTGTGTTTGCCATTTGCTATGACTTGTATGTCATTTAACAAGACTAGAAGAAGCCAAGGAAACAGCCAAAAATACAAAGAATATATATCCATCATTAAATACATGTCTGTGTTAAGTGGCTAGACTCTGTGGCCCAATATTATCAAATAGGTGCACTGCAATCTACACTCAATCTACAACCTCGCTGCGTCCCCACACGGCTTAGTGTTTATTCCAACTCTGTTCTCTTGCTCGTGTTGCTGTATCACTGCCTCCTCTCTCCTCTGTCCCTCAGTCAGCCAGGTTTCTCTCATTTGAGCCTATTTTTTTTTCAGGAAGCCTCTCCACTCATTTCCAGAGCACTGTGATCTTTGGTAATTAATCACACACTGACTTAAATCTTCCCATTGTGTCATGTGTTCATTTAATCTCACAAACGAGGCCAATTCCGTAAAGGAAAGTGCTGTGTCTTACATGAAGGCAGAATCTTTTCGGACCCAGCATATGAAGGCTCACAGCAGGTGCTCAGTGACTTCTTAAAGCAAATGTTGACAAGATGTGCTGGCCAGTGGTTTTAAGAGCGCCAGTTTTATTTGGCCTACTTAACACCTTCACTTGATGTTTCAAAGGCACCACAAACTGTACAGTCTAAGAACTCAGTTCGTAAACTTCTGTGGATTCCACTCTTTTGGGCCAAAGACCTAGACCTCATCCTTTGTAGCTACCTTTTCTCTACTCCCTACTTACTCCAACATACCACCAATCCTAGGCAACTTACCTCCCAATTATCTCTTCCACCACCCATCGACTTCACGCCATCTCCACCATGCTGGTCCAGGCCCCCATCACCCTCCCCCATGTGGACTACTGCATGGTCTGCTCTTCAGTCTCCCTGCCTATCTGTCCCCCAAGTGTGAGTCTTCTCAGATCACCCTCCACTCAGAGGATCCGCTTTTGCTCTTAGATAAGGGCCAGGGTCTCCACCACTGCTTAGGAGGTGCTGCAAGGCCCGACCTGTCAACCATCTCCCCAGAATAGTTCCTCCCATTCCCTTCACCCAACCTGCAGGCAATATTGTTTCCTGACCTCTTGGACTGGATCACAGTCCCTGATACTGCCTTTTATATTTATGTTCATGGTGACTTGATCGATTCCTCCAACACACCTCCAGCTCTGTGAGGGCATAGAGCATGCGTGTTCTGCTCTCTGTTGTATTCCCCGTTCTGAGCAGAGTTTCCAGCCCAGGAGACACGCAATGATTATTTCTTGAATGATGGACATCAGCACAACGTGATAGAGTATTTCCAACTTTCATGTCTGTTATCTCACGTCACCCTCATTATATTCTCACTTTACTCATGAGGTGATCAAAATAGGGAGAGGTTCTGTACATTTTTCCAGGCTCCATGAAACAGAGAAAGGGTCTGTGCAGATGAGGGTCAGAGCTGAGACAAGTTTCTGTGCTTCCTCTACATTGTGTTTTCTCACTTGATCGTATCATTGCAAACCTAAACGACTGGGAGGCAGCAGAACGTCATGATGAACGTGGGCTTTGATGTTGGAATGACCTTGCTTCAGATCCCAGCCCTGTTCCAATTTAATAGTGTGACTTTAGGCAAAGTAATTCATCTCTCGAAGCTAATGGCAGTGCCCACACAAGGCTGTCATGAGAATTAAATATGGAAATGTACAGTTAGCCTTACTCCAGTGCTTGCCACATAGTAAACATATGTAAATGTTAGCAAATAAAAATAATGAATAAACAGTATATGATTCCTCTTAGTTGCAATACCTATAAGTAATTCTTATATTTTGACAGGTTATTTTCTATACTGTAACTACGCTATATGCTATAAGCACTATAGCCTCTAATTTTACACAATATCAAACCTTGCTTTATTGTGTTGGGAATTTTGGGCATTTTCCTCCTTTGCTTGCCACAGTTGCAAACTTTCTTCTCACTCTATCTAGTCTACTTTATCTGTCCTAAGTTTTTTCCTGGCACAGAGCTTCCTCTCTCCTCCTCAATACCAGCATCTGTATCTGGGCAGAAGCCCAGATACATGCCCCTGAGAGCCCAGCTGTAGGTTCCCAGCTGCAGAAAGGATCCTAGGCAGCTTCAAGTCTCATTTGGGTTGTTCCACCTCTTTCTTCCCTTGCTACAGCATCATCCTCCTAAAATCAATGTAGATTTTCCTAGAGGGGCATGCACAAGCTGACAGTCACAGCTGCCCTCCAGCATGAGAGTCAGCAGCCAAAGCTGATGTCTTTTTTTTTTTTTTTTTTTTTTTTTTGAGACGGAGTCTCGCTCTGTCGCCCAGGCCAGACTGCGGACTGCAGTGGCGCAATCTCGGCTCACTGCAAGCTCCACTTCCCGGGTTCACGCCATTCTCCTGCCTCAGCCTCCCGAGTAGCTGGGACTACAGGTGCCCGCCACCGCGCCCGGCTAATTTTTTGTATTTTTAGTAGAGACGGGGTTTCACCTTGTTAGCCAGGATGGTCTCGATCTCCTGACCTCATGATCCACCCGCCTCGGCCTCCCAAAGTGCTGGGATTACAGGCGTGAGCCACCGCGCCCGGCCAGCTGATGTCTTTTATCTTCACTGATAAAGGGACTGACCCATGAACCCATCTCCTCTCGTGTGTTCCTTCTTCTAGCTGAACAATTCAATCTATTAGGAATGGAAGTTAGTGAGACAATCAACACATCACGACTCACTGGTTATGCCAAGTCAAACCCCCAGAGAAATGAGTAGGGCAGAGGAATCCTCTTCTTCTTGGGAACTCCCCACTTCAAACTATTTGTCTTTAAAGATGAAGCAAGTGTTTACATATGTTGCTTCAAATAACAAAATTCACAGTAGCACAAGGGAGTTTACAGTCTGAAACTATTCTGTAATGTCACTGAGATTCACGGCTGTCTGGCATAAGGGTCAGTGTTGGCTGTTCTGAGCCAGTGTTCCCCAATGGAAGGTGTCTCTACCTGCCTGCCATGGAGCAGGGGTGCCTTGAGAACTGAGTGACTGGACCACCCTCGTTATTCCTTCTTGGTGTGAGAAGCAGTGTGGAACAGAGGGACAAGGAGCACAGGGTGACAGTCAGCCACCTTCCAGTCCTGGTGCTGCCACTCATCAGCTGTGCAATGAGCTCCAATTTCCATCTGCAAGACTGTCTCACATACAGTTATTGTTACAGCCCTGGGGCCTCATCTGGAGGCCAGAACACATTACCAGTCAAAAAACACTCACACCACCAGTTTCTTCTATTTTCAGTTACATTTTTCTAAAAGGCATGTGACATGTATGAACTTCATAACTTCAAAAGTACAATTTTATTTTTCTTTGACTACCTTTAATCTCTACCCTTATGTCTGTTTCTCCTCAGTATTGGGAAACGTGATCTTTTTGCTTTTAGGTAAAGAGTAAAATGCCATAATTTCTCAATAATTTCTCAATTCAGGCTTACATAAGCCAGCCACTTTTCAGTTTGAAAGCTCTCTCCTGGGTTTTTTCTTCTCTCCTTCTCCACCCTGAGTGGATTCCTTGCTTGAGAGGACATGTATGATGACGGTAAGAACAGGCACTTGTTCCCTTCTGGTATTAGGGGACTCTTTCCACCCCACTCCTGAGGCTGCCAGCCTTTGCATTTTGCTCATCTGGAGGGACCCAGAGGAGTTGCCTTTTACACCACGGCCACAGTGCACAGCCAGGCTGTGGGAATCATGGTCCTTGGCTGTGTTCTCGCAGCGTCCTGTAGGTGGCCTTTGGTGGTCAGGTCCATGTAGGTCCCCTGTCCCATCTTGTTCTGACCCACTCTTCTATAGGTCTAATGGCTCCCCCAGCCCCTTCTCCAGGCATGAGGATGGTACCAGCATAGCTCTCCATCCCCTCTGAGTCTTCCAGGAGACTCATGCTACCTCTCCACTCCAGCAGCCTTGGCTCTGCCACTCTCCCACTGTGGCTTATGACCAAAAGTCAATGAAGTCCATAATCACCAACAGTCCAAGTGAAGTGTATTAGTCTGTTCTCATGCTGCTGTGAATACCTGAGACTGGGTAATTTATAAAGGAAAGAGGTTTAATTGACTTACAGTTCCGCAGGGCTGGGGAGGCCTCAGGAAACTTACAATGATGGTGGAGGGGGAAGCAAACACGTCCTTCTTCACATGGCAGCAGGAAGGAGAAGTACAGAGCAAAGTGGAGAAAAGCCCTTTATAAAACCATCAGATCTTGTGAGAACTCATTTGCCATCATGAGAACAGCATGGGGGGACCACCCCCATGATCTAATCACTTCCAATGAGGTCCCTCCCCCAACACATGGGGATTACAATTCCAATTACAATTCAAGATGAGATTTGGGTGGGGACACAGAGCTAGACCATAGCATGAAGTGAGCAAGGCATGGGTCCCCACCACTCTGAAATCTCCCAAATTATGGGGGTTCCACTGAGTCCTCCAGGACTCAGCCTGAGGCAGGAGGTGCAAAACAGACTAATGCTGAACTCTTGTGATTCCCTTTCCTAGCATGGATCATTTCCATCTAACTGAAGGTGAATGAGAGACTAAAGATTAATTTCTGCCCAGGTTCACTGTTTTTTTCAAATCTTTTTCTTGCAGCCTTTTCAGAGTGAAGCTGAGAACAGGAGTTTTTGCCGAGCTCTGGGCCATCTTAATGGGGAGGTGCCTGTGTGCCTGCTGGCCAAGTCAGAGGGGGCACGAGCACGGCAGGGAGTGCTCTGAAAGTTATTCACTTCAAATCAGCACTGCAAACTAGCCCGCTACAGACACAATCAGTTCCCACAAACAAGTGAGACCCTCATCCCACGGAGCACAAATATGTTTAACGTTCCTGTAAATTTCAAGCCAATAACACCCAAAGGACAATAAGAAAACAACCATATGAATTATCGCTTTTTTCTTTTTTTAATTTATTATAAAAATTAACATACAGTAACACTGACTTTGTGCTTTGTGTGCAATTGACTTTTTTGTGTATAGGGCTATAAATGTAAACACATATACAGATGCATATAAATAACACCAAAATCAGAATACAAAACAGCTTCACTATTCTAAAACCTCCCTTTGCACACACTCCCCCATCTCTAACCTCCAGCAACTACTAATCTGTTCTCTGTCACTATAGTTTTTTCTTTTGTAAAATCTTATATAAATGAAACCAGACAGTGCGTAACCTTTCGAGACCAGCTTCTTTCACTCAGCATGTTCTGAGAATCATCCAAGTTGTTCTGTATACCAACAGCCCATTCTTTGTTAATCTGCAGGGATAGCCTCTCTTCCATTGCCGATGCTGACAATTTTGTCTTTTTCTTTCTTTGTCAGTCTTACTATAGGTTTATCAGTTTCATTGACCACTTCAAAGAACCAGCTTTTAGTTTCATTGATTTTCTCCTTGATTTTTATGTTTTCCATTTCATTAATTTCTCCTCCTATCTTCATTTCCTTTCCTTTAGTTGCTTTGGGTTTGTTTTGCTTTCCTGTTTCTACTTCATTCAAGTAGAAGCTTATTGATTTGAGTCTTTCTTCTTTTTCATTATGTGCATGTAATGCCATAAATACCTTTCTAGGCACTACTTTAGCCATATGCCACACATTTTGATATGTTGTATTTTGATTTTCCATCAGTTCAAAATATTTTCTAATTTTCCTCAAAAGTTCCTCTTTGACCCATGGTTTACTTAGAAGTGTGTAATTTAACATCCAAGTGTTTAAAGATTTTCCTATTATTGTCTTATTGGTTTGTGTTTAACTCACAAATCAATGAGACAAAATCTTTTTTGTACAACAAAGTATGTCAGAGAACATACTTTGTACAATTTCATTGTTTTAAATTTGTTAGTTTTAGGACCCAGAATGTGGTCTCTCTTGGCAAATGTTCCATGTACACTTGAAAGGAATGTGTATTCTGCTGTTGTTGGGTAGAGTATTTTACAAACATCAAGATGATCCTGTTGGTATTACTCAGTTCTTCCATATCCTTGGTAATTTTCTGCCTACAACTTCTGTTTACTACTGAGCCAGGGGTGTTGAAATCTCAAAGCAGAATTTGGATTCACCTATTTTGCTGTTCAGTTCTCTCAGTTTTTGCTTGATGTGCTTTAAAGGTCTGTAGTTAGATGCAAACACATTTAGGATTGTTACATCTGCTTGGTGAGTGGACCCTTTCATCATTCTTCTTCTTCTATGATACTTCTTCTATCATACTTCTTCTTCTATGAATATAGCTACTCCAGTTTTTCATTTGTGGTTTCATGTTACATCGTTTTCCATCCTTTCACTTTGAACTTACGTATATCATTATATTTGAAGCCAGTTTCTTGTTGACAACATATAGGTAGATCATGCTTTTATAGTCATTATTGCCACACATACTATGACAATCTTTATCTTTTAATTGGCTTGTTTAGATAACGTTGGCAACCTTTTTCTGAAAGCAGCAGATAACATTGGGCTTTGTGTACTATATAACATTTTACAAAACTCTGCTGTTGTGAGAAAGCAGCTATAGACAATAAGCAAAGTAATGAATGTGGCTGTGTTGCAATAAAACTTTACTTACAAAAATAAATTTATATTTTTATTGAAATATGTGTCACCCCTGGTTGAAATCATTACATTACATTTAATGTAATTATTGATATGTTTGAACTCAGACCTACCATTTTATTATTTTCTATTCTCTGTGTTTATGTTCCTCTGTCTCCCCTTTCCTACCTTCCTTTGGGTTATTTGCACATTTTTTAGTATTCCATTTTAAGTGCTTTATTGTATTTTTGACTACATCTCAAATAACGTTTTAGTTGTTGGTCTGGGAATTATGATAGGCAAACTTCTCACAGTCTAGTTAGAGTCAATATCTAACCACCACAAGTGGATGTAGAAAACTTGGAACCATCTGGATCCCTCTAGCCTCTCCACATGTAGTCATTATCTTCTGAATCATATCTACGTGCAACCTCCATCAGACAATGTTATAATTTTGGCTTTTAACCTTGAATATACTTTAAAGAACTCAATAGGGAAAGAAGAGTCTATTATATTTACTCAGTTATTTACTATTTCTATTGCTTCATTCTTGTTATTCTAAGTTTTCTTCTGGTATCATTTCCCATTAAATAAATAAATAAATATATATACACACACACACACACACACATATATATATATACACACACATACATACACACACACACACATATATGTTTAAATAGCTTGTGGGGTATTAGTGGTTTCTGGTTACATGAATGGATTATAAAGTGGTGAAGTCTGAGATTTTGGTGCACCCATCACCTGAGTAGTGTACATTGTACCCAATATGTAGTATTTCATCCCTCGTGCCTTTCCCGCGCTCTCCACTTCTGAGTCTCCAATGTCCATTATACCACTCTGTATGCCTTTGCATACCCATAGCTTAGCTCCACTTATAAGTGAGAACATACGGTATTTGGTTTCCATTACTGAGTAACCCCCCTTAGAATAATGGCCTCCAGCTCTGTCCAAGTTGCTGCAAAAGACATTATTCTTTTTTATAGCTGAGTGGTATTTCATGGTGTGTGTATATATATATATATATATATATATATATACGTATATATATATATATATACGTATATATATATATGTATATATATATATACGTATATATATATATATACACGTATATATATATATATATATATAGTAGGCTGGTGCAAAGGTGATTGCGGTTTTTGCCATTAAAAGTAAGTAATTGCGGTTGTTGCCATTAAAAGTAAGTAATTGCGGTTTTTGCCATTAAAAGTAAGTAATTGCGGTTTTTGCCATTAAAAGTAAGTAATTGCGGTTTTTGCCATTAAAAGTAAGTAATTGCGGGTTTGCCATTAAAACCGCAAAAGTAATGGCTTTCTTCTCTCTGGAACTCCTATTAAAAACTCCTTTTTAAATTGTCTGTTATGTTCCTGAGGCTCTGTTCTTTAAAAATTATTTTCTTTCTGTTGTTCAGATTGGACAGTTTCTACTGCTCTATCTTCAAGTTCACTGACTTTTTTCTCTGTCATTTCCACCCAGTGAGTTTCTTATTAAAAGTAATGGCAAAAACCACGATTACTTTTGCACCAATCTAAAACCACATTTTCTTTATCCACTCATCAGGTGATAAGCATTTAGGTTGGTTCCATATCTTAGCAATTTCTTTAACAGTTCTTTTAGATCAGGGTTGCAGACAGTGAATTCTTTTAGCTTTTCTTTATGTGAGAATGTCTTTATTTCATCTTCTTATTTTATTTTTTTTGAGACAGAGTTTCACTCTTGTCACCCAGGCTGGAGTGCAATGGCATGATCTCGGCTCACTGCAACCTCCTCCTCCCAGGTTCAAGTGATTCTCCTGTCTCAGCCTCCCGAGTAGCTGGGATTACAGGTCAGCCTCCCGAGTAGCTGGGATTACAGGTGTGTGCCACCACACCTGGCTAATTTTTGTATTTTTAGTAGACATGGGGTTTCCTGTGTTGGCCAGGCTGGTCTCGAACTCCTGACCTCAGGTGATCCACCCACCTTGGCCTCCCAAAGTGCTGGGATTACAGGCGTGAGCCTCCATGCCCGGCCTATTTCATCTTCATTTATAAAGTATATTTTCACTGGATATAGAATTGTGGGTTGATGTTTGTTTCACTACTTTGAAAATGTGCCACTGTCTTCAGGCCTTCATAATTTATGATGAGAAATCTGCAGTCATTTGAATTGTTGTTCCCCGATAGGTAATGTGTAATTTTTCTTTGACTGCTTACAGTATTTTTTGTCTTTAGTTTTTAGCAGTTTAATTAGAATATATCTAGATATGAATTTCCTTGGGCTTATCCTGTTTGTGGTTCACTGAGCTTCCTGAATGTGTAGGTTTATTTCTTTCAACAAATTTGGGAAGTTTTCAGCCATTATTTCTTCACATATTTTCTCTGCACCACATTCTTTCTTCTCTCTGGAACGCCTATTACAAAAATATTAGACCTTTTTAAAATTGTCTGTTAGGTTTCTGAGGCTCTGTTCTTTAAAAATTATTTTCTTTCTGTTGTTCAGATTGGACAATTTCTACTGATCTATCTTCAAGTTCACTGACTTTTTTCTCCATCATTTCCATCCAGTTATTTTGGTTATTGTATTTTTTAGCTCTAAAATTTCCACTTGTTTCTTCTGTGTATCTTTTCTTCCTTTGATACATCTTTCTTTGAAGAATTTCAAGGGTAACTGCTTGTACTTCCTGAAGCATTCTGCAATAGCTACTTTTAACATTTTTTGTCAAATAAATGCAACATCTGTGTCATCATGGTTTTACTGTTTGTTGATTAGCTTTTCCCATATAAGCTGAGGATTTCCTGATTCTTTGTATGCTAAATAGTTTTAAATTGTGTTCTAAGCATTTTGAATATTACATCATAAGACTCCTCTGGGCCTTGCTTAAATCTAATGAATAATCAGCAGCAGGCAGTCAGTGAGGTAGAGTTCAGGTTATCAGTTCCATCCAGCCTTCTGTAAGTTGTGCTTCCAAAGTTAGCTCCGTTTTCAAAGCTTTTGAAGTACTATTAGGATCCATACCTCATGTGCCTCCCACAATGGCCAGTCTAGCACTCTGGTGATGGTTTGCTCTGTAGTTCAATTCTCAAAGTCCGTGTATGCTGTTAGGATGAGATTCACATACAGCTCAGGGGTGAGCCCAGGGGTTCAAAAACAATTTAAGGGGTCATTTTCCCACGTTCCTCCTTTGCCTCAATATCTGCTATCCTTTCCAGTTCCCTGGGTGCCCCCCTTGTTAGTCCTCGAGCCAAAAAGCTGGGCCTTTAGTTACCCTGCTCTATGCACTTTTCACAACTGCACTCCTGTTTGTGGACAGATGGTATGTGTACATGGAGATAATAAAAACAGGGACCACAGCTCCTGCAAGCAAATGGGAAAGTTTCCTTCCCTTACAGTTTCCCTCTGGCAGGTTGGTGCTACCACCACTGCAAGGCTACACAGATTAGGGTATGGGGAAATGAAGAAGAAAAATGAGACTTCATTAGCTGTCTCTGAGTTCTAGGAGTTCCCTTTCCCACTTCTCGAGTCAGACCTAAAAAGTTTCTCCTGGAGCTCTTTCTGTCCAGGTCCAGGTGACCACTTCCAGGTTTCAAGCTGAACTGACTTCAAGTCAGAGAATACTGGAAAGAAAAACTTGTATGTTCACCACTAATTTTATGATACTTTCAATTCAACTCTTCTTTCTAATCTGCCCACTGCATATCCTTTTAAGTTCTCAAATAGCTGCTTGATGCATTTGGTCCAGTTGTTTGTAGCTGAATTTAGTGGGAGAAGAAGGGTGGAGTGTGCTTCCTCCCTCTTACCCTGAACTGGAACTCAACTGAGATCTTTCGGATCCCTTGCTTAGTTTGTGTGTTGGGTCTTCATATAAGTAATGGTCATTCTGAGGAGCTTCTATTGATGATAACATACATATGGATCTGAAGAAGAAAAAAAATCCAGATCATATAAAGAAGAAAAATATTTGGGTTATCTTAGGTATGAAAATTAGCTTTGGCCTTCACTTTTGAGGGAAACATAGCAGCTTGTGGCTGTCACTTAATAACCACCTGCTGTAACACCTGAATATCTTTCATGGCTTTATCTGGGCATGGTGGATGTTCTTCTGTGGATGGGTGTTTGTCACCAGGTGTAGGTAGAGTGTTGATCTTCTGGTCAACCTTATAGTTAATCTTAACATATAATAATTGTTACCTAGGATCTGGTAATTTAGGGCAGCAAGAAATCAACAAGGTACTAGTCCATGCCCTTTCACTCATGGTGTCAAATTGTTCAATGGAGCTTGGCTTATCATTGCAGATACTGAATGCTGTTCTTCATTGTCACAAGTCAGACATCTCAGCATGAGGTCAAGATGCTATTTTGCATTGATATTTTGGTCTGTTGGTGCTGCTAGACGTGATAAATCAATTTCACGTCTTTGTCAATAGAATACCAAAGCAAGAAAAGTGGCAGGTGCACACTAGATTTGGAGGCAGGGGACCCTCGTGAAGTCTTTCCCCAGCCAGCTTTATTGAGGTACAATTGATGAATAAAATTTCTATAAATTTAAGGTGTACAAAGTGCTATTTTGATACACATCTACACTGTGAAATGATTACCACAATCAAGCTAATTAACACATCCATCACCTCACAGTTACCTTTTGTGCTTGTGTGTGTGTGTGGGGGGGGGGGCGGGGGTTGAGGACACTTAAGATCTACTCTCTTAGCAAATTTCATGTATACAGTACAGAATTATTAACTGTAATCACCATGCTGAACATTAGGCCTCCAGAAATTATCTGCACAAAGTCTTGATTCTACAGCTTATTGATCATGAGACCTATGGCAAGGAACAACTTCTCTTCCTCTGTTTCTTTACCTGGAAAACAGGAATACTAAGAGTTCTCCTGCCTATCTTTTGGCAGTGCTGAGAAGATCAAAGGAGGTGTTTTGAAACAATTAGGTGGGATATTTGATTGGAATTTTCTTAAAGGGAAGTCCTATGTCATATCCATTCTATTATTTGGAGAACTACCAGGTTTTTCAGAAACATTTTATGAATAAAATAATAAAATATTATTTGATCAAGGCAACCTGAGTTATCTATAACATGGGTATCAAAATACCTTCATCAAAAGGTTAATGTGAAGAGGCCGGGCACAGTGGCTCACGCCTGTAATCCCAGCACTTTGGAAGGCCGAGGCAAGCAGATCGCCTGAGGTCAGGAGTTTGAGACCAGCCTGGCCAACATGGTGAAACCCCATCTCTACTAAAAATACAAAAATTAGTTGGGCATGGTGGCGGGCGCCTGTAATCCCAGCTACTCAGGAGGCTCAGGCAGAAGAATCACTTGAACCCAGGAAGCAGAGGTTGCAGTAAGCTAGGATCACACCACTGCACTCCAGCCTGGGCAAGAGAGCGAGACTCCATCTCAAAAAAGGGGGGGGGGGTGGTTAATGTGAAGATATTAAATGAAATAATATGCATTAAAAAATAAAAAGCATATCAGTGCTCAGAATACATCAGGTGTTTACAATTATTTTTCCTCTAAATCCTGGAAGCTTTTCAGCAGATTTTTGAGGTTGAAGAAACAGGACTCTCAGAACTGCAATAATTGAACATCACCTGAGCACACAAGTCACTGGAACCCAATAGAATCAGCCTAAAATATCAATAGTTACCTTCATGTTTCTTATGTTTTCTTGAAGAACAGACTCCTTTATCATTATGTGTCCCTCTTTATCTGCGGTAATCTTGTTCTACAGTCTGCCTTGTCTGAAATTAATGGAGCTATTCCAATTTTCCTTTGATTAGTGTTAGCATGGTGTATGTTTCTCCATCCCTTTACTTCTAATTTGAGCTATATATTCAAATTGGTTTTTATTTTGGTGGACAATATATAATTGGGTGTTATCTTAGTCCATTTTCTGATTCTATAACAGAATACCACAGACTGGGTAACCCATAAAGGAAGGAAGTTTATTTTGTTCACAGTCTGGAGGCTGGGAAGTCCAAGAGCATAGCACTGGCATCTGGTGTAGCTTATTCCATGGCAGAAGGGAGGATGGAAGGCAAAAGTGAATGCATGACACGGAGGGACAAGATAGGAGCCAAATATATCAAGAGTCCACTCCAGGATAATGCCATTAATCCCTTAATGAGGGTGTAGCCTAATCACTTCTTTCTTTCTTTCAAGAGACAGGGTCTCCAGCTATGTTGCCCAGGCTGGAGTGCAGAGGCTATTCACGGGTGCAATCATAGAGCACTATAGCCTTGCATCCTGGGCTCAAGTGATCCTCCTGCCTCAGCCTCCTGAGTAGCTGTGACTACAGATGCACACCACCACACCCAGCCGAATCACATCTTAAAGGCCCTACCTCCTAATACTGTTACAATGGCAATTAAGTTTCCAATACATCAACTTTTGGGGGACACATGCAAACCATAGCACGTTTTTTAAAAAACCATTTTCTCTCTCTCTTTTAGAGATGAGGTTTTGCCATGTTGCCCAGGCTGGTCTCAAACTCCTGGGCTCAAGCGATCCACCCACCTCAGCCTCCCAAAGTGCTGGGATTATAGGCATGAGCCACTATGCCTAGCCAGATCTCTATCTTTTAACTGGGGCTGTTTAGACCATTCACATTAAAAGTGATTATGGATATCTTTGAATTACTATTGACCATCTTTGTAATTATTTTCTATTTATTGCACTTGTTTGTTTCTTTTTTCCTTTCTTTTTCTTCCTCCTTCATGCTTTTAAAATAAATACAGAATTCTGACCCTGAGTTTTAACCTGAAACAAAAATTGGGGAAATATTATTGAAGAAGAATTTGAGAAATAATATCACCTCCTATCTATTTTGTCAGCATAATACTTATGATAAATCTTTGTTCTCAAGAGAATACTGTCGTGTAATAGAGTTTCACTATTTTGGATTTTAAATGTTTTTCTTTCTTCTCCTGGGAGGGCAGAAGTGATGTGTTTTTACTCTCTCCAGGGACTGGATCACAGGTATACACTTTTACTGTTAGGTTTGTGCCATATATAATTGCTTTTATGAATTACCTCATAGGCAAACTGCTTGCAGTGTACCACATAAATCTTATTCTTGCTGTTTTAGTGATTTGATGGTCAGGAATAAAATGAAAAATGAAAGGAGCTGAGCTGTGTGTTCTTAATTTCAAACCTCGTTTCAATCAGGTTTGTGGAATAGGCAGGACTGTAGTTGACACTTTAGGGAGCCAAAGGGAGGAGAGCGGCATTTGCTTTCTGTAAAACTCTCTGGAATTTAAGGTAATACTTGACATGAGTTCTTTTCTCCGGGCACAGATTTTCATTTCTAGACAATGTCCTGTAGATGGTGCCATTGCCACTCCTCACAGGGTAGAAGAACGGGCTTCTCTACGGGCTGAAACGAGGCAGAACTTTGCTAAATAAACCGTTTGATAATAGAGGAACCAGGAAAAGCTGGTTGTCCTTACCTCTTTACAGATACTCTTGCCAAACTGCCAAAGTCTAGGGTACTTCCTCATTCTGTAACCTTTTTTTTCCCGCTGCCTGGTACCTGGTATCTGTAACCTTTTCTTCTGCTGTCTGGTTCCTGGTATTGTAAATCACTCTCACCTGTCAGAGATGCCCCCTCCGTTTGGCTTCTGAGAGGTGGGATTCTCCCCTTTCCTGCAACCCCTCTCACCAGCTCCTCTCTCTCCTTGCCAGGCCTACTGCTCCTTACCTGGCCCCATGAAGGATGCACAGGCATTTCCCAAGATGCTGTCCCAGGTCAGCTTCCCTCCTCTGCATACACCCTCCTGTGAATCTCATCCCTTTCACATCACTGTATGTAAACCACCCCGAGCTTGCTTCTCTAGAGCCTCCCTTTTCTCTCCTGACATCTACACCTCTGCTTAATTCCCTCATGGAGATCTCAGCATTACCAAAGAGAAAGAGTCCCAGAAATCAACACAGGGGGCTGTACCAGCTCTGGAGGGATGCAGGATGGTAGGAAGCATAAAGTACATTATTTTTTTGAATTATTTTTTATGGATACATATTTATACCTATGTATGGGGTGTATCTGATATTTTGATACATGCATTGAATGTTTAATGATCCAATCAGGGAATTTAGGATATTCGTCACCTCAAACATTTATCATTTCTTTGTGGTGGAAATGTTTCAAATCTTCTCTTCTGGCTATTTTGAAATATAACAATATATTGTTGTTAATACAGTCACCCTACTATGCTATCAAACATTAGAACTGATTCTTTCTATCTAACTGTAAGCATTAACTAAATTAATGTAAAAGAAGCAGCAATTCAGAGCCACCTTGCACTTCCTGGAGAGGATGGGTGGGACACAGGGTACTGTGTCCCACCTGCTGTCCCAGGGGGTGGGACAGGTGATACATGGGTTAGAAGCAGATTCTGGGGCTGGGTGCAGTGGCTCACGCCCATAATACCAGCACTTTGGGAGGTCGAGGTGGGCAGATCACGAGGTCAGGAGATCGAGACCATCCTGGCTAACATGGTGAAACCCTGTCTCCACTAAAAATACAAAAAATTAGCCGGGTGCGGTGGCAGGCACCTGTAGTCCCAGCTACTTGGGAGGATGAGGCAGGAGAATGGTGTGAACCCGGAAGGTGGAGCTTGCAGAGAGCCGAGATAGCGCCACTGCCGTCCAGCCTGGGTGAAAGAGTGAGACTCCATCTCAAAAAAAAAAAAAAGAAGTAGATTCTAGGAGGAAAAAAAAGAAAAGCTACAGGTCCCTTGGCATTGCTTTATTTTTCCCTGGACTTGAGGGCTCATTGATGCATACAATGTACAGTTCCGGAGCAGATTTCTTCAAAGGAACCCATGACCCCTTTAAACATTTCTGAGCTGTATATGCACATAATTCCTAGGTTCTCAGCAGTTTGTGATTTCTGTGTGGGTGTTGCTGGGGCTGGGGTGGGGTGGGTTCATCCTTTATCGTCTGGGCATCTTGAATCCACTTAGTTGTCAGGTTCACAGCCTCAGGCTCTGTATCTGCCCTCTCCTTTCCATCGGGACCCCAGGTCCCCCTGACCCTTCTCACCTCTTGCCTGGATTTTTATTCCACTGGCAGAGATGTGCTTTCCCTACCTGGGGTTTTCTTGCTGCCATCCATCTCAAACTGCGTTAATCTTCCTAAAACACAGCGCTGCAGCTGCTGTCCAAAACTCAGGGCCTCCTGCCTGCCTCCACCAGTGCCTCCTCTCTTTTATTTAAGATTCAAGGCCCTGAACTCTTCAGCCTCATTCCCCACCATCATCATCACCAAAGCTTTAGGCAAATTAGACTCTTCACCTTCCACAGAGTGGTCCTGCCCTCTCCCCACACTGCACCGCTCTCTGCTCAAGTTCTTCCTGCTGTCCCGGAAGGCCCAATTCCTCCACCTTTGCCTGCTGAGGTCCTATGTGATCCTTGGCCCATTTCACAAGCCACGTTCCTCTCTCAAGGCGCCCCTACCCCAGGTACCCTGCCTGCTTGACAGGCTTCACAGTCCACTCTGTTGTCCATGATTTCAGTGAGCATCTCTTCCCAGAACTGGAACTCAGGGGCCGAGATGTGGTTTTCAAGTCATCCATTTACCAAGCGGATGGACCATAGACAGAATGATTAGGATGGACCATTCCCTATCTTTGGAATTGGAGATGATTCAGAGTGTGTGTGTATTAAGGAGGAGGCAGAGGGATGCAGACACAGGGAGGGAGGCTCACATCACAAACTGCTACAGGAGATGAGGTGCTGGTTTTAGGCCCACATAAGAAGGTACTCCAAGAGCCACCAGGTCTCTTAACTCCTGCTAGAAACCAGACGCCAAAGGAACCAAGGAGAGGGCTCAGCCTTGACAGGCAACTACTGGAGGGCTATCTCTCTCCCTGTCTCTCTTTGCACTTGGTGGTGTCCCCAAGGAATAATATGCTAGAAACAGACTCATGATTCAGATGCTCCACAAAGGTTTGTTATTTAAATGATTTTTCCCAAAGAGAATAATCTAACTTATATTTTCAAAACCGTGATGGTCCCATACCAGGTATGCTTAGAGTGGGCCGCAGGGATCAATAGGCATACTCTACCCCCTGAGGAAGGGCAGAGCACTTTCTGGTGCTTAAGTGTCATGCTCTACCAACTGAGCTAGCGGGCGATGATTTTCTGGTATTTAAATGATAACGCTTGATATGGTTTGGCTGTGTCCCCACCCAAATCTCATCTTGAATTGTAGCTTCCACAATTCCCACATGTTATGGGAGGGACCTGGTGGGAGGTAACTGAATCATGGGGGTGGGTCTTTCCCATGCCATTCTTGTGATAGTAAGTCTCACAAGATCTGATGGTTTTATAAAGGGGAGTTTCCCTGCACAAGTTCTCTTCTCTTCTCTGCCGCCATGTGAGATGTGCCTTTCACCTTCTGCCATGATTGTGAGGCCTTCCCAGCCACGTGGAACTGTGAGTTCATTAAACCTCTTTCTTTTGTAAATTGCCCAGTCTCAAGTATGTCTTTGTCAGCAGTATGAAAACGGACTAATAGAACAACCCACAGAGTCAGAGGCACTGAATTAAATCACAGAGCCTGGGCCTGACAGCCCCTTCATTATAGTCTTGTCCTTGAAACTGGACCCTTAGTAACTCCATTTTATAGAAAAACTGAGGTCTAGGAAAGTGAATAAACTCATCTCTCGCAGGGAAGAGGTTCTGGGGCTGAGAAAACCATATCTCCTCTTGTTAGAGAGTCATGATTTTTGAATATTGTCTTTCCTTTGACTTGTGTTTAGTTGGAGGGGAGTTTACAGCATTTATTTTCAAATAAGTCGCCAGTGACATTTAAGTGAAGAATTGGTATCTGCCAGAGGCCATGGGTCTAGAAAGGTTGAGTGGGATGGCCAGGTGACATTCCATACCTCATCTGCTCTGTGGCCTCTCTGGCTACAGGAAGGCTATGCTGAATTCTGTATCCCAGAATATCTTAAAGGCACGCACTTTTACTACAGACCAGGTTTAACCAACTGCCCACCAGGATCTGGGGAAAACCTCAGGCCTCTTCTGCAAAGCAGCAGCTGAAATTCACCTTTCTTCTCCCATGGCACCTATCTGCCTTCAAAAAAGTGACATTTAATTACACACACACACACACACAAACCCAAACAAAAAAACGTATTGATGACAAAGCATAAGTGAGATGAGCTGAATGGGGCAATTAGTTTTCACCTTGGTCAGGTATCTGTTCTCATCTTATTGCACCTTATTGTGAAATGTATATTATCATCAATAGAGGTGGGTTTTATCAGGCTTCAGTATCAAGGATCTTCCATGAATGTTGAGAAGACTTCGCTATTCTGAGTTTCATTTTCCACTGACCATGATGTTTTGCACAACTGACACCACAGGCCAAGGGTTCTTATTACTTCAAAGAGCTGCTTGGCATATCTGGAGGATTCTGTCCCTTGATATTGGGAATATTTTGATGTTTGGGGGTTGTGCTAAAAACTTCCTTTAGCTGAAGTCCTATGAGTAAAAGCATACAGACGCTCATGGTTCTTTTATCAAAGCACTGTGGGGGCACTTATTTTTGTGACACATAATATTCTTTCAGAACAACAACCATAGGAACCATTAATTTACCTTGAATTTACCACTTCACTAGCACTCTCTACTGTGTTATGTGCTGAATAGCTGTCAGAAATGCCACCTTAAGTGCTCACATTTTCTTTAAGCCTTTGGTTATTCAAGATAAAATTAAGGGAAGAGAAGATAATCGCAGAGCATCGTTTATAAGTGGGAGAGGCACAAAACACTATGTTTAAATGACCATGTTTTGGATTTAGGAAGCAACAAAGAGCTTGATGTTTTCAATTCTGATAAGGTATAATTACTGCTCTGAGAGCTCCACTCAGTGGGAAAATCTCTGAAATGTGAAGTCCTTTGGCTGGTGGACGTAATAGCTTCTCTACTGCTTTAGCTCAAGGGCAACATTCATTCTGATGAATCCCTGAATTTAAAATCTGAATGCATTAAACAGATAAAGCTAGCAAGCCTTTATTTTCCAAAGGGGTTCTACTGCTGTCTCTTCTCTCCTGCCCTTTAACAGACACCCTGTCCTGACCCATGAATCAACCAGGTGTTATGGAGCACTCAAGGTGAGCTGGGGCCAGCTTCACTATGAGGAGTTTGCAATCCATGCTAGAGCAATCACTGCACTTTTAAAAACAGTTCCCCAGGGCCTAAATCTCTATTCAGAAGTCATTAACTAATTTACCAAGGGCTTAAAGATATGCAGGGAGCGGGGGCACTCTGCAGACAGCAGGCATCGGGTGTTCTCGTCCCAATACGCTCTTCCTTCCTCTTTGCTCACCCCACATTCTGCTCCTCTCTCCATCCTGCTCTTCCAAGACTCCTTCCCATTATCAAGGATGAGGCTTCCACTTGAGCACATAGTATTTTTTTTATGGCAACAGCTTAAACCATTAGGTCATTTTCTGTGTGTTTAACTTTTAGATTATTGTTTCACCTGTTTTGCAATTGTGCGTTTCCCCCCTTAATACATAAAAAGCACCTTGATGATTGTGAAGAGAGGGAGAAGTAGCATCATAATATAGTGGAAAAACATGAGTGTTGGGTGTGGCCTGGCCTGTATTTGTATCTTGGCTCCATCACTTTCTAATTATGTTGTCTTCAGAGGACTATGCAATCTCCCCAAACCTCAGTTTCCCCAGGCATCACATGAGGATGATATCTACAACAGCTATGGTTGTTGTGAGGGTTAAAATAATGCCTGTTAAGTGCCCAGGACATAGTAGATGGTCAATAAATAAGAGCTCTATTGTTAAAGTTCTGCCTCTTACTTTTTTGAATCCTCCCTACCTACCCACCCCATATGGTAGAGACAGAGTTGCTAAAGATTGTCTACTAATATATGTGAACTGAAGGTGAAAGGTTGAAGTTCAAATATACAAAATATATAAAAAATATACATACCCCTAACTAACAACAACAAGACACAGATAAAGCAAATATGGCAGAATGTTAATAAATGTTAAATATGGATTATGGGGTATCTGGGTTTTATTCTTTCCACTATTCTATATTAAATTTTTTTTGTGATAAAAGGTAAAATAATAAAAGCCTTAAAATATATACACACTCTGAGAAGAAGGAGGTTGGTGAATTATTAATTTTTTAGTAAGTTTAGAAAGTCCAAAAATGCTTGACATATTCATTTTGAGGTCTTTTATGCCTAAACTATTTAATAACATGTAAAAAAATTCAAAACCATCATCTACAATCACATTCATAAAGTTAACAAAGAAGACAAGAATAGATATGAAAAATACTGAATAAGTATAATAAATCTTATTAAAAGTAACATGAAAATCCATGTACCCTCAGGTAATGTGTATAAAACTCCATGCTGCAGGGTGAGGACCATCCTGTGGACTGTTTCATGGGAGAGCCACCAGGGGATGCTAAAGAGTAGCATTACGGGGAACCACACAGCAAAAGCACCATCACACCATTCAACCTGACCCTAAGGAGCGCGAGTCCGTCCCTGAGAGTCACACTCATTACTACACCACTTGGGGGTCTGGGAGCATGGATACAGCAGATCTGTTTGGCCCGTGGTGAGGAACATACCTTGCTGCAGGGGCAGAGCTGCCTGCAACCAGCACAAGTGTGAGGCTGCTGTTGGCACCTAAGTGTGGCATCTTAGAATCCCTGGACGCTGGGCTGAGGCTGTGTTAGAGCTGACAACTTTCACAGCTACTCTGCCAGGAGCTATAAAGCATGGGGCAGAAAAGGGAGATTCTTATCTGGGCTTCTAATTCTTTTTCTCTAGTGGTGAGGCTTACTTCCAACACATATTTAAATTAATGGCATCAGCATATTCAGGTAAAAATATATAGCAGCAACTGAAGAGCTATACTAGAAAATTATTTTCATTTTCATTTTAAAAAATGTATTTTGAGATGGAGTCTCCCTCTGTCACCAAGGCTGGAGTGCAGTGGAGCAATCTCGGTTCACTGCAACCTCCGTCTCCTGGGTTCAAGCAATACTCCTGCCTCAGCCTCCCAAGTAGTTGGGATCACAGGCACGTGCCACCACACTCGGCTAATTTTTTTAATTTTTTTTATTTTTGGTAGAGATGGGGTTTCACCATGTTGGCCAGGCTGCTCGAGCCTGGCCACTGAAAATTATTTTCTTAAATTATTTTTAAAGTACATTCCAGGCCAAGCTCTTCAAGGGCTTTGACTGTGTTTTCACCTTCTCCCACTTGAGAGTAAAATCCTTGAGGTAGATCCTGACAGATTTCTTTGTACTCAGAAAAGAATGTTTGATTGAATATTTGTTAAAAAAGTGCCTTTGCCAGCTGGGCATGGTGGCTCATGCCTGTAATCACAGTGCTTTAGGAGGCTGAGGCAGGAGGATCACTTGAGGCCAGGAGTTTGAGACCAGCCTAGAAAACATAGTGAGACCCATCTCTATAAAGCATCTTTGCACATTAATTCACTACATTCTCACAATGACTTTGTGAAGAGTTATTATGAATTCTATTTTAAATGGAGAAAACTGAGATTCAAAGTTAATGACTCAGCCAGGGGGAAAGAGAACAAGGACAGGGATGTTATTCCTACAGTGATGATGACGAAGTGCACAGAGGCAGGAACTTGCTCAAGGTCTCACCACTGGATAGGGGCAGAGATGGAACTGACTCTGGGTTAGCACTGCGTCCTCTCTCCACCAGAGCATGCTGTGCAGATAAATATGCTACAGTGTACAAAAGATACACGTGCATTCCTTACAGGATGGAATTCTGGCAGGGCCTTCTAACTGGTAGAACAAAGAGATCATGCATTTTCAGGCTATACAGGTCATGCTTCCTCAAAGCTGGCATGCTTGGCTCAGACAAGATCTCATTCACAATAATAATGCATGGGTTTCTCACAAGGGTGACATGGGGTACCTTGGGTTCTCCTGACCTGGTAACTTCAAAGGGCTCCATTGTTGAAGGTTTCAGGGCTGCTTTGCCTCTATTTTCCCAGGTTCTCCACCCCATGTCACACCTCCTGGTCTAATTCAGTATTACTAGCAAATTCTCAAATCCATCACCTTAAACTACATGGCATGCATGACGGCCTGCATAAAAGCCACTGATTATGTTCAATTAGGACTTTAACTTTTTAAAAAAAAAACATTTTATCTTCTGTTTTTTCTTCTGGCATTTATCTGGAGAGAAAGATAGCGTAGAGATCAGAAAGACAGAGAAAAAAATACATTGTGTGGGAGGTGAAATGCCACGGTCATTTTTGAAGCCCATTTGGAGTTACTGGTTGTGATTTACTGAAAAGAAAATGAAATTCATGTCCACCATCCATCTTGCTGAAATGTCATGCCAAGTGTAGCTGTAGTAGCAGAGAGGTCCAGTGGAGATGCCTGCAAATCACCTGCCAGCCGCTGTTGGTCTCTGGTTTGAGAGCCACATGCATGCTACAGAGAAGTAAAACTCCTGGTCTGCAGGCCAACAAGGAATTTTCCTGGAACATGGAAGTGCATAACTACAGGGAACTGACCCCTAATTTTGGCAGTTACTCTCTCCCCTGCCATGATCCCAAAAGTGGGGCCTAAAAGTTCCAACTTCTAAAACACGGAACATATTATCAATATATTATATCAATATCTATTGCTTTGTCCATCATATGAAACCTTTATCAAGGGCTTGTTCTGACTCTTTGGATGATGTCTGGAAGGCAGAGTCCCAGAGCAGGCAGTGTGACTAAAACAGGGTCACTGAACTTCAAGGAACAGCCCTGTTTTCCTCTTTAGGTACAACTTGACAGTCAGTGGGAAATACGACGAATCACCTTCCCTAATTACAAAAATGCTCATCTTGACCATGGCCAGTCAGGCCTCTTGGGCTCCTTGAAGACGTGTTTGTAACTTTAATTCTTACGGGGGGGGGGGGGTGTTCGGCTACTTTATGCAAGCTTACCAGATCACGTCATGCATCGTGACTAGACCAGAAAGGAAGGTATGAAATTCACATTGGCCATTTTCTGCTGGGGTTAAAATTCTGGTTGGGGAGGAGGCTGAAACTATTGGTAAAATGGAAATTTCAGGGCTGTCTACTCATCTTGTCATTTAATACCACAACAGATTGATAAATGGCTCTTTCTGTTGAAAGCTTTAAACAAACAAAAATAATAACAACAAAAAAGAGCAGCTCAGGCTTCTATACTGGAGTAGAGGGGAAGGTGAAGGATGTCATAAAAGGCCAAAAAGGAGCTGCCAGGGGACATGGAGCCACTTCACATTCTTCTGCTTTTCTTTTCAAATTGACCAGATATTTCGTTAATTCACTTTCTTATTTGGAGAGCATTTATACAGCACTTTTACTTCCTCCCATGTATAGATACCAGGAGGTCCATATGTGCATCTCAAAAATGTGCACTTATGTTTATGCTTTTTCTCCCCCAAGCACACCTTGGTGACTTCAAGGTGGAGAACAAATGCAGTGGGACACTAGGCTCCCACCTCTGTTCCCTGGGGAAAGGCTGGGATGCTTATCTGCTCCATGGTTAATAACAGATTCAGTATACACACACAGATCCAGACATTTGCAGAGGAGAAACCAACCTCCCTGCATTTTCAGAAAAATTGAGGGCACAAGGAGAATCCGAACCTCACCCCATGCTGCTCTGGGAACTGTGAGCATGGCCTTGAGAAGAGTCCCAGGCCAAGCACATTCCATTGCCCATCAACAGCCGACGTGAACGGTACTGGGGCCCTGTCTCCCTTTGTTGTGATGTGAGCAGTAATGTCGGAAAGTGACCATCTCCCCTCGAAAATGCAAACTACCACACGCTCCATTTCCTGCAAAGATCCCACCTTCAAAAATGTTCCTGTATATCCTTTCCTTTCATTTTTTACATAATTTCGTATTTTGGAATGAAGATTATTAATGATCCTTCCCAGACGTATTTCTTTCACACCTAAGGATAAACGTGGCTCCCCAAAGATGATGGGATGCCTCAGGAGATTCTGCCTGAACTCCTGAAAATCCAAACTCCACTCTGATCAAAACTCAAACCCAAAACAGCAACATACACAAACAACCGTCACCATCACCACACTCTCCTCCAACCAAAATGCCCTTGGACCTTCACGAAATGGGGCCTCACCTTTCTAAAGAAATGCTGCGTGGCCACGGCGAGGGCATCAAAGCCGCAGATGGCCCTCTTCAGCTCCCCTTGCGCAACGCCCAGCTGTCTGGTCTGCTGCTCACACCGCTCCTTCAGCCGCAGCACCAGCTGCCGCTCAGCCTCACGGGCCTGCGGGTCCGGCTTGGGCGGAAACCCATTTCGAGCTGCCGCAGTCCTCTGCTTTGGGTATCCTGTGAGAAAGAAAACCAAACCCCGGTCACCTGTGAAAAAACACTCAGTACACATGTGACAACGGCTTCTTATTACACAAGGAGTTCTTCAAGTGGTAGAGAAGAAATTGCCCACGGTTTGTCATTTTTAAGGATTGAAAAGAAAAAACAGTCAGGGACTAAAATTATTGTTCCATTAATGTGGTTGTTAAGTGCAAGGTTTCGTGCTTGGAAAAAGGATAACAGACAAAATTGCCAAATTCCTTCCAGCTTCCGACACTTCTTCTAGGCTTGCTTGGAGAGAGAGAAGCTTTTTTTTTTTTTTTCTTAAAGGAGATTACTCTTTGACAATGTCTAATGGGAAATTAATCAATCAATCCAGATAGAAGTCAGACTTATAATCGTCTAGCAACCTTTTAATTGGGCACCAGAGAATAACACCTCGATGCCCCTTTCTTCGCCGTAGAGGCTGCTCTAGTGACCCTTTTCTTCAATGTCACGTCCAAGTCACAGCCCTGGCTACCGCTGCTCTAGCAACTCCTGACTTTAAATTCCTATAGCACCAATGTATTGTGAGGTCTCCTGCAACACATCCCTCCAATGTGACTTGACGCCTCCTCCATGGCTAAAGGTGTAGTCTGAGCCGCCATCCCCTCTCACTCTCTGATGGGAAGCCCTGCTTCCTCTCTTCCTTCACTACGCCACAGCCAGAATGACCTTTGCACACGTGAGGCACGTCATCACTTGTGTGAACCCCTCTGCTCACTTTCTCTCACGATGAATAGGAAGTCCACACACCTTACCATGGCCGGCAAAGCCCTCTGTGACTTGGCTCCTGCCAGGTGAATGTGAGGGGCTGTGGGGCCACAGAAGACGGGGCAAGGAGCTCTGCCTGGGGTTGAGGACAGGGTTTTGGGCATTAAGGAGAGGTGATTTTTAGGTTGAAGCTCAAAAAAGAAAAGGCAAGGTCCCCCAAAATAGCACAGAGGAAAGCACTCCACCACAGTCCAAGACCCGTGCATGGGCAGGCGTCTTCCTCTGGTCCCTCTGTAGGAGGCACAGACAGACCTGGGATGTGCAGGCGGTCGGAGAACCCCTGCTATTGACAATGGGCTTACATCTCAAAGGCACGTTCTTTCCTTCACTCTAGTAGATTACACTCCTAGAGGACATGACACAGACACTGACCAGCACAATCATAAATCCACTAATATTTCAAATGTTTTCTTCCTCTTCTGTTTTCCTCTCCGAGATACCAGGGAGCAACATATAAAACAAACCAGAAAATGGTAGCCCCTTCAGTACCTGGTGTACTGAGACAATGCAGAGTAATGGGTTTGTGAACGTGCAAGTGGCCTCATCTTTTAAGGGGAAAGTGGTTAATTGACCTAAATGCTTCTAGTGGTTAAGGGTAACCATGCTAATTTTAATTAATTCCTTCTCCTCCTAAAAAGTCATCAGAGATTGCCATGTAACCTCACATATGGCATATCGTAAATTATTCTGACTTAATGGAATAGGAGAATGTGAAATCACTGCTTCATAGAAACTGTGTTTATGATAGCAGAATACATAATATTCCAGAAAACTCACTTGCTTGTTGTAGGCAAATCAACCTGAATATGTACTTTATCTCAACATTCTCAGTGCTGAAAACAAAACAAATATGACTACCAACTAAACATCATCAAGAAAAGGTGAGAGATTTTATTGCCTGCATTAAACTCTAAGACACAGCCTAAGACCAAAGATAGATATTTTTTTCCCCACAATTGCTGTTTTCCATTTTATTGCTGTGGCTCGTGATTTTATAAAACACTTCAGTGCTTTAATTAATTTGTTGAGGTACCAGGTGCCTGACACTGTTACAATAGAAGGCACTTCTTTTAGAAATCTAAAGGAAATAATAAAACAATTTCCAGCTCAGTGAATTAGAGCTAATTGTAACCTATGGTACAGAGAGTCACCTCTGAGCTTGTGGACGTTAGCAGGCGCTCACACTGTCACGCATTTTTGGCTGTTAGATTTATTTCTGGGGAGGATAGCTCCTAAGAACTACCACCTTTAATAACAATAATAATAATATCATCATCATCATCATCATCATCATGTTAGAAATTATACTCAATGGTAAATGGAGAATATAAAAGGATTCAGTGAAATTCTATTCTTGGCACTTACTTTGATATTGGTGTCATTATTATATTGCTTTTACTCACCTATTCAAAATTCCAGTGTTCTACTGAACAACAGTGCAAAAAGCTCACCTCTTCTTCTGGGGCCAGCGAACAACCCGCATTCTGAGCTAAGACAGAGGCTCCTCTGACAACACCCACTTTTGGGATCAACACACCAAGTGAAAGTTTAGCCGCTCTGTGACACCAAACTACCTTGTGAAACCAATCCTGGTTCAGGACTGGTGGCACTCAATCACTGTCAGAGCACAGATCAAGGCTCCGGCACCAGTGCTAAGACTTTAGGAAGAAAAAGCTGAGAAACAAAGTTGGTTGTAGAGTTCTCTATTGCTTTAAGTTGAAAAGGGTCCTGCCATTCTCTAAACATATCCAGCGTGACTTTGCCTAGGACTAATAATCATCGTACTGTCACTGGCAGTCTTTTGTCTTCGCTAAAAACAGTATTCTTTCTCGTGCTGTCAATCTTTGTTACTACTTCTATAGCTGATTCCCTGATGTACTGTCTGTCACCCCCTTTCCTGTCCACCCACATGTCATACCGTCCCCAGGGTGAAACAAAAAGATCGCAGCTCAGGCTCACTGCCACCTTGGGGACAGAGAGCTTATGTTGAACGAAGATCACTGACATGGCCAGCTTCAGCTGTTTCAGAACAGGTGTTTGCTTCTCATTTTTCTCTCAAGAGCTGGCAGACAGTGAAGCTAGAATGCACATCTGCTTAGGAAGTACCAGGTTTGTATCGGATAATTAGATGGCCAACTTCTGGAGGGTGGTGGTCACAGACAGCTCACAGGGCACATGGTGGGTCTGGGATGAGAAGTGGTGTTGGTGTGGTGGTGACCCACTCCTGACCTCTTTCCCATCATATTTCTCAGGAAGAGCCACCATGCAGGCTTTAAAGGAGGGGCATGTCATGTTCCCCCATGACACTTTTAGATGTAGGAGTGTTTTGTCATCACCTCCTTCCCCACTGCTTGAAGTATTTCTATTGTTTCTGGGGTGGTCTAAGGTTCAAAGCAGCAAAGCAGGCAGGCATGCCACTGACCTCACCATGCAGGCAGCCAGAACCTACTTAGACTCTTTCCAAAGAAGCAACACTCTGGTCCCCTACAATGTCTTTCTGATTTCCACCCAGCTGAACTAGGAAATGGATATTAGTGAATAGAGGCCTTCAACACAGGGCTTATCAATGGATTCAGAATCTTTAAATGAAGGGAAAATAGAGTAGAATTGCCAATTTCTTACTGACTGGCCCTAGTACACTACCGAACTGTTAATGAGCTTTATCTCCAATGTACTTCCTTTTCTGTGTGAAATATACAAGCAGAAATACCTAGATTAGTGTTTCGTCATGACCTACACACAAAGCTGATTTCACATGCATGCTTCATGTCATGTGGTTTTTGGCGACAAAAACATTTGACACCTTCTATTCAGCACATACTCTGTGAATAAGACTGTGCAAGGCACAGTGGGAAATGATAAGAAATACAGCCAGTCCTTGCCCTCAGGCAATCCATTGTCCTGTAGGAGCCTGGCCAGGCCTGGCTGTTGGTCTTCTGACCACCTTGCCCAGGGCTCTTACCAATTAAGCACATTGCTGAACCACTCTACAACATCTCTAACAGATCTCGCTGGTTTGGGTGCATACTCTAAATCTAGAACACCCTCCTGCCATCTAAATGTTACCCCAATCATAATCTCTTTGTAGCTGGTCCTACTGGCTACATAACTCTGGTTAGGAGAAGATAGAATCCATGCTGATCTCAGTGGCAGCTGGCAACTGTGAGGTCTCCAGGGAGAAGCTGGTGACCTTCTACAGCACAAAGGTGGATGCAAACAGTTTGCGTGCAAAGGCTAGGCGTTGCGTGCAAAGGCTGAGCACTGGAGAGGACACGGCCCTTGAAAATGGAAAGAAAATATTAAAAATTCATCGGCAGCCATCCAGTCCCTATCCAGAGGATTGTAATGGATGAAAAAGCTTGGTTTAATTTTAAAGCTGGAAAGCTTAACTGACACAATAACAAATAGTGCAGCACGGGAACCTCAATATTTATAACATCAGAGATGGCCCATGACCTTCACACCATAGATAAGAAGGCAAAGAATTATAGGACAGAACTTTGATAGCTTCCCACTTAAAGACAAAGCAGTTCACGGGTTTGGTCAGCATCGTGACAGACAGCAGGACACTCTAGGGAGTCCCTGCGCTGAGTTCTTCATGGACTTGGACAGGCTTTATTTTTATCAAACCAATCTAAATTTATTTCAAAAAATTTTGCCCAGTGGCCCACTATTTTCCTACTTAGTACTGGCAATGGCTTGGCTGGGGTGAGCTGGTGGTGGGGAGAAGCTGAGCAGATGGCTTGTGGGTGGGGATTTCCTTCCAGCTGGTCTTAAGTACAGGTCGGGGCAGAAATTACAAATTTGGGCAGCACCAGGCCATCCCATAAGTATGCCCTGTAGGAGCAAGGTACTCCCAAGGTAGGAGCAGATTCTTTTTTATTTTGATGTACAGAAGAACCAGAAAAACAGGAAGCTACAATCAGGGTTTCCAGATCTAACAATAAACACTTTGTTCATATAACCCACTCTCTAGACAAGATAAAACGTGGCATACAGTATTTTCAACTTTAGGAAACTTATTGTGATTTACAAGAAGTACAGGTGCTATTTATCAAGGTAAATCTGAATCCCTTTTTTCTCCAAGGGTGAAAAATAGTGGCTTAATAGTGTTATGACAATTGCCAAATATTTACATTCAAATATGGCTACTTCTGGCCAAGATGAAGTAAGTGGGATTAGACTTACCCTCTCATTTGAAACCAGCAAAAAAAAAAAAAAAAAAATGCCCAAAATATACAAGACAATGGTTTTCAAGACATTAAACTATAGATATTGAAGCACAGTGATCCCTGAGAGTCAGAAAACAAACAAGGTGAGTCTACAGTTGCTTAAGCTCATTGCCCATGTGACTTTTCAAACTGTGATGCAGGGAATCAGGGGACTCAGGTGGAGCCTGGAGGTTTCTCTGAGTTGAGAAAGTGGATCTAGGGGCTCAGGGAGGTCAGGAGTTAGTGCGTACAAGGTAGGATACCACAGAGGATTGAGCTCCACAGAGAGAATTCTGAAGATCTGAAGAGTGACCTCAAATTTTCAGCCAGATTCTGATCAGTGCATACCTGCCTGTGGAGAGAGGATCTCAGGATGGGGACAGAACTCTGCCAAGGATTAGTGGGACAATACTTAGAGTCCACCAAAGGCCACAAATAATTCCTGTTCTCAGCAGCCAGCGTGGAACACCTCGTAATTCATGGGGCATCAGGTAAAGCACTCAGAAGGGTTTTGCTCAGTAGTGTAGAAAAATTAGCCAGGAAGAAGTGCTGATCAGTACCTGCCTAATAAGGCTGAAAAGCAAAACCCAGAATGATCAGACTCCTTCCGAGTGACATAACTTTACTCCAGAAAAAAGCTTAAGAATACTATGGGGGCTAGACATGGTGGCTCATGCCTGTAATCCCAGCACTTTGGGAGGCTGAGGTGAGTGGACTGCTTGAGCCCAGGAGTTAGAGACCAATCTGGGCAACACAGGAAGACCCCACCTGTATAAAAAATACAAAAATCAGCTGTGTGCAGTGGTGTGTGTCTGTAATCCCAGCACTTTGGGAGGCTGAGGCAGGAAGATTGCTTGAGCCAGGGTTGACGACCCTGGGCAATATAGTAAGACCTTGTCTGTACAAAATCCTTAAAAAATTAGCCAAGTGTGGTGGCATGTGCCTGTAGTCCTAGTTACTTGGGAGACTGATGTGGGAGGATCGGTTGAGCCAGGGAAGTTGAGGCTGCAATGAGATATTATCTTGCCACTGAAGTGATGGTCAACAGAGTGAGATGCTGTCTAAAAAAAATACTATGGCAATAAAAATATATCCAATACTCATAAAGGAAAAATTCATAATGCCTGTCATCTAAAAAATATCCCCTGGCATGTAAACAAGCAGGGTTATACAACCCATAATGAGAAGATGCAATCAATTGAAACTGACAAAAAATGACACAGATAACAGAATTACTAGACAGGGACAGTTAAACAGTTATTGTAAATGTATTTCGTATATTTAAGAAGCTAGAGGAATAATTTAACATGTCAAGTAAGACAAGGAAGACAAAAAAGACCTAAATAAGAACTGTAGAGAAAAATTTCCAAGGTCTGAGATGAAAAATACACTGAAAGGATGAAGAGTAGATTAGATACTGCAAAAGAAAAGATTAGTGACACAAATTTTCATAGCAGCATTAATGATAGTAGGCAAAAAGTGAAACAACCAAAATGTCCACCAACTAATGCATGGATAAACAAATTGTTTTATATCCATACAACAGAATATTATTCAGCCATCAAAAGAAATAAAACACTGATTCATGGATGAACATTAAAAACATTATACTAAATGAAAGAAACAGACACAAACAGCCTCAAAGCATATGATTCCATTCACATGAAACTTCCAGAGTAGATTAAATCCATAAAACAAAAAAGTAGACTAGTGGTTGCCAGGGATCACTGAAATGTACACTTGAAAAGGGCAAATTTTATGGTTTGTGAATTATAGCTCAACTAATAAAAAACACTCAATAAGGATATTTTGATAGGCCCATTTGGACATGGGGATATTTGGCTGCCATTTTATCAAAATGCTGGCATCAAAACAGCTGCGTCAGAATGTTCTATCTTTAAAATATGGTCTCTGCTATCAGGAAGGCTGGAGCTACGGAAGACTGAGAGCTCTGACGTGTTGGTGCTTTACATGCATCATCACTCACCTTCACCATAACCCTGCAGCATGGGTAAAATTTCCATTTCACAGAAGAAGAAACTGAGAGAGAAGTTGTATAATTTCCAGGAGGTCACACATGATTCACCAAATTAGGATTTAACTCAGTTCAGTCTATTTTCTGCCAATATCACCTGGCAAGATTTAGAAAACGCTGGGGAAGGGTTTCTAGTGAAGGCAACTAAGAACCAACACTTGCAGATGCATGCAAAAAGAGAATAGGCAGATGGGGTTGTTCAAAGAAGCGAAGGAAGGAACAAGTTTTAGAAAGAAAGGAGTAATCAATAATGTAAAATGAAAGTGCTAAGGAACAGGACATATCTATCAAGAATTAACTAATGCCAGGCACAGTGGCTCACTCATGCCTGTAATCCCAGCACTTTGAGAGGCCAAGGCGGGACGATGGCTTGAGCTCAGGTGTTTGAGACCAGCCTGGGCAACACGGAGAGACATCATCTCTACAAAAAAAAAAAAAAAAATAAACAAAATTAGCCAGGTATGGTGGTACACGCCTATAGTCCCAGCTGCTTGGAAGGCTGAGGTGGGATGATTGCTCGAGCCTTGGAGGTCAAGGCTGAAGTGAGCTGACATCATGCACTGCACTCCAGCCTGGGTGACAGAGGGAGACCCTGTCTCAAAAAAACAAACAAAAAAACTTACTAACCAAGAAATCAGTAGTGGCCTTTGTAGTAGAATAGTGGAGTGTCTAGATGGCAGCAGGTAGAGTTATTTGTAAGCACGGGAACCGGGATGGGGAACATAAACAATTCTTTCTCAAGCCTGGATGTCCAGAGGGGGAGAAAGATGTGTCAGAAACATGAGGGTCAGGGGATGTTTGTTGTTATGGCTTGTTTTGTTTTGGGGATGGGAGAGATGACAGAAAATATAGTTCCTGCCACGATTCAATTTACAGCCCAGGAGGGGAGAGAAACTCTCCTTAAATGAGCCACCCAGAAAGCTTCTCCTAGGCCAGATGTCATTTGAAGGCCCAAAGGCCTGATGGAGGCACTAACCATTTCAGTTGATTTTCTTTGATATTCAGTAATCTGAAAAAAGAAGCATCATCATCAAAAAGAAATGAAGATCTTGGAAAAAGAAAAACTGTCCCTCCCAGATCTCTCCACCATGGTTATGTAGCATTTCCAGGTTGCCATCCTTTAGGACTTGAAATCCACTTCCACCTGTGGTGGCAAGACCCTACACTTGCCCTCAATGATTGCCCCTTCATGTACATACCCTGCTGCTAGGAACTGAATGTTTGTGTCCTCTGAAGATATATATATATATATATATATATGAAATATATATATGCCCTAATTCCTAATGTGATGACATCTGTAAGTGGGGCCTTTGGGAAGTGATTAGGTCCCAAGAGTGGGGCCCTCATGAATGGGATTAGTGCTCTTATAAGAAGAAATATGAGAGCAATAATCTATCTCTCCCACATGTAAGGCTAGCAAAAATGTATCCATCTGCAAACAAGGAAGAGGGCCCTCACCAGAATCCAAATCAGCCAGCACCTTGATCTTGGATTTCTCAGCCTCCAGATTCATGAGAAAAAAAATCTGTTGTTTAAGTCACCCAATCTATGGTATTTGTTATAGCAGCCCAAGCGGACTAAAACAACTGCATAACAACCATGAACATCATGAGATACCACTCTCATGACTATCTTATATTACGTATTAAGAAGAAGATGATCTTGGGTGAGCCTGGCCTAATCAAGTAAGTTTACTAAAAGCAGGGTTTTCTCCAACTGGTCATAGAGGAGTATGTCAGAGATCTGAAGTCTGAGAAGGATTCAACACACCATTACTGCTTTGAAGATAAAGTAGGGCACACAGCAAGGAATGTGGGTGGCCCTATGAGCTGAAGGTGGTCCCTGACTGATAACCAGCAAGGAAACAAGGACTCTGGTACTACAAGCACACGAGATAGACTCTACCAACAACCTAAATGACTTTAAAAGCAAATATTTCTCCCGAGCCTCCAGCCAAGAACTCAGCCTAGCTGATTTCTTCATATTAGCCTTGTGATAATTTGAGCAGAGAATTCAAGTTAAGCCACTTCTGGATGTCTAACATACAGAACTGTAAGTTAGTAAATAAATGTTATTTTAAGAAAAAGAAAGGGAAAGGAAAAGTAGTGAAGATATAGCAAGAGAAACTATCTAGAATGAAACACAGAGAGAAGAAATACTCAAAGAAATGAACAGAATATCACTTTGAACAGGAGCTCTGGGGCAACTTGAAGAGGCCTAATAAATGTGTAATTAGAGTCCCTGAAGACGAAGAATTAGGACTGAAAATATTTGAAGAAACAATGGACAAAACACCCTATTATTTGATGAAAACTGTATAAAAACAGATCCAAAAATTTCAACAAACTTCAAGCACAAAAACAGGAAGAAAACAATATCAAGGCATATTGTAATCAAACTGCTCAAAACCAAAGATAAAGAGAACATCTTTAAAGCAGCCAGAGAAAAAAGACACATTATGTACAAAGACCCAAAGATAAGAATAACAGCAGATTTTCCACTAGAAACCATTCAAGCTGGAAATCACTAAAACAGCATCTTTAAGTACTTAAAGAAAAAAAATGCCAACTTGGATTCTGAACAAAGCAAAAATATTTATCAAAAGTATAGGTGAACAAAAACCAAAAGAATTCACCACGAGCAAATCTCCACTACAATAAATGTTAAAGGAAGTCCTTCAGGCAGAAGAAAAATGATACCAGATAGAAGTGCAGATCTACACAAAGAAATAAAAAATACTAAAAATGGCAATTAAATGAGTAACTCAGACTTCTTCTTATTTAAATTTCTTTAAAAGAAAACTGAGTGTTGATAATCAATAATAATAACAATGTATTATAGGTTCATAATATATGTAGAAGCAAAATATATAATCACAATAGCACAAATGCCAGAAGAGAGATGGAAATATGCTGTTGTAAGATTCCTACACCACGTACAAAGTGATATAATGTCACTTGAAGCTAGAATGTTAAAACTAATGACATATATTATGAACCCTAAAACAACCACTGAGAACACAAAAATAAGAGACAGATAGCTAATACATGAACAAAGGAGATAAATGGAATCATAAAAAACTATCCAATGCCAAAAGAAGGCAGTAAAAGAGGGAAAAGAAAAGAAAGAACATATGGGTTAAATAGAAAATACGGCAAGATGGTAGATTTAATCTCAATAAATCAGTAATAACATCAAATGCATATGAAAGCCGGAGATTTCAGATTGGATAAAAATGTAAGATCTAATTACATGAGGCCTATAAGAAACCTACTTAAAAATCAATAGACAAATAGATGAAAAGGTTAGTATGGAAAGATTATACCATGCTGAAACTAAGAGAAAGCTGAAGTGGCTCTATTAACAATGAAAAAAGCAGATTTCAAGGAAAAAAGTATTACCAGGGATAAAGAAGTTAATTTCATAATGATAAAGTGGCCAATTCATCAAAATGATAAAACTAAAACTTTATATACCTTACAGAGCTTCAGAATACATGGAGGAAAGGCTGATAAAATTGACAAAGGAAACAGACAAGTCTGCAATTACAGTCTGAGATTTCAAGCCCTCTCTCAGCTACTGGTAGGACATGTAGACAGAAAATCAGTAAGGGTATAGAATACTTGACAATGCTTCAACCAACTTGACCTATGACATTTGTAGAACATTCCACATAACAACAGCAGAGTAGACACTGTTTTTAAGTATGCATGAAATGTTTACCAAGACAGACTTTGCTGTGAGTCTTAAAACAAGGCTCAATAAATTTAAAAGGATTCAAGTCATCTGCGACATAATAAGAAATATATATTTGGTCTCTGTCCCCAACTTCTGACACAGAGCTCCTAAAAGCCTTGCACTTTGCTGAGTGATATGGATGCTAGAAGAATCTTTTGTTCTAACATTTGGTTTTGATCCCAGTTCCTGTCACAAAGCTCCTAAATCCCTTGGAATTTCCTGGGTAACAGAAGCATCATTTGCCCTAATAGACTGTCTTGGTGGCTCCTGGATAGTTTCAGGATAGGGGCTGGTCACCAAAAAGACCAAGCCATGATTAGAAGCTTGGAACTTTCAGCTGCCTCTCTCCCCTTCCTCTGGGGCTGGAGATTGAGTTAAGAATCAGTCATGTCTATGTGATGAAGCCTTATAAAAATCCCTAAAGTATAGGATTCAGAGGGCTTCTGGGTTGGTGAATGCATCCAGGTATCAATAGGGTGGAGCAACCTCTCTCTGTGGGGACACAAGCTCCTGCACTTGGGATCCCTCTGGACCTGACTCTGTGTACTTCCTCATCCAACTGTTCATCTGTATCCTTTATCATATCTTTTATAATAAACTGGTAAATGTAAGTAAGATGTTTCCCTGAGTTCTGTGAGCTGTTATAATAAATTATTCAACTTATGGAGGAGATTGTGAGAACCTCCAATTTGTAGCCAAGTCAGACAGACGTGTGGGTCACATACACACCTACTACTTGTAGTTGGCACCTAAAGTGAGGGGTAGTCTTGTGAGATTGAGCCCTTAACCTGTGTGGTCTGTGCTAACTCTGGGTAATTAGTGTTATACTTGAATCAAATTGTAGGACACTCAGGTGGCGTCCACAGAGAAGTGGATAATTGCTTGGTGTGGAAACCCCACACGTGTCGTGTCAGAGGTGCTGTGAGGAGAGGAATAGGGTTTTTTTTTTAATCATCCAAAGTATGTTCTCCAACCAAAGAATTACAAGTTAGAGATCAATAACAGAAAGGTCCTTGAGAGGTCCCCAAATATGTGCAAACTAAACATACACTTCCAAATAACCATGGACCAAAGAAGAAATCAAAAAGGGAAATCTGAAAATATTTTGAACTCAATGAAGATGAAAACCCAGTGTGTCAAAATTTGTGGACTGTAACTACAACATATACAGAGAAATTTATGTACTAAACACATACACAATGAAAGAAAGACCTCCAACCAATGACATCAACTAATCAAACCCAGTATAAGCAGAAGAAGAGTAAAAAGAATAGAAATCAGAAAGTGAGGGAAAATGGCAGACAGGAGGCAGGACTAACTTGAGGCTCCCATTCAGATGGACAGAGCAGCTTGTGGAGACACACTGTGAACTCTGGCTCCAAGAACTACTGAAGAACACACCAGGAAAGCTGAGAGAATCCACGGACCCTTTGAAAGAGGTGGCTTGTGGCTGCGGGCTCCATGACACACTGACAAACTATGAGTGTCTAAAGTGTGAAAGGGGAACGACTGCCCCCAAACACACATCCTCACTGGGGAGCCTGAAGAACCAGATCACGGGAGAAGGATTTGACCTTATAGGGAGCTAAGACAAATTTAGAGAGCTGAGCAAAATATAGGGGTAGGGGAAGCAGTGGGAAGAGTTCCGTGGGCACTCTCAGACCCCAGGGAAGCCATTTCTGCTTTTGTCTCTCAGGAGTTCTTGGGGAGGGGTGCCAGTGGAATTGGGGAAAGACCACAGGGAGAAGGAAAATTCCAGCTGAACTTTGAAACGATTTGTGCAGTTTCCTGGACAGAGTCTGGAGAGGAGGTGATCTGGGAGTACAGACAGGCGCACAGAAGCTGCTGCAGGTGGGGAGACGTGAAACCTTTCTCAGCAGGGAGGCTTGTAGCCTGGGGCATGTCCCTCTCGTGCTGTTGGGGGGACATGGTGGGAGTGAGACTGGCGTTGCTGGCTGTATGGGCATTGGGTAAGGCCTGTCACTGCCAGCTTTCCCCCAGTCCCCTGGCAACCTGCGTGACCCAGCAGAGGCAGCCATAATCCCCCTGGGAACATAACTCCATTGGCCTGAAACCACATCCTCATCCTCCACAACAGCCACAGGAAGCCCCCTCTACCAAGGAGAGTCTGAGCCCAGACATGCCTAAATCTGCCCCCACCTGATGGTCTTTCTCTACCCACCCTGGTAGCTGAAGACAAAGAACACCATCTCTTGGGAGCTCTATGGCCCTGTCCACCACCTAAGAAACCAAATACTTACCACCCAGGTGGCATTAGGGCAAGCTTGTATCCTCCCTACACTACTGCAGCTGAGGCTCTCTTGAAAGCACCACCTCCTGGCTGGCGGCCAACCAACACTAAGCCAGTGCACTAAAAACTACAACCAAGGACCCTCTCTGAGTCCATTTCACTCCCCTGCTATCTCCACTGGAGGAGGTGCTCGTTACTCACGGCTGACAGACCTGAAGACAGATGACATCAGAGGACTCTTTGCAGATACTCCCCAGTACCAGCCTGGAGCCTGGTAGCTCAGCTAGGTGGCTAGACCCAGAAAAAATATAACAATAACTACAGTTCGGCTCTCAGGAAGCCCCACCCCTAGGGGAAGGGAGGAGAACACCACATCAAGGGAGCACCCTGTGGGACAGAAGAATCTGAACAATAGCCCTTCAGCCCCAAATCTTCCCTCTGACATAGGCTACCCAAATGAGAAAGAACCAGAAAAACAATTCCAGTAATATGACAAAACAAGATTCTTTAACATCCCCAAGAGATCACACTATCTCACTAGCAATTGAGCCAAACCAAGAAGAAATCTCTGAATTGCCAGAAAAATAATTCAGAAGTTTGAGTATGAAGCCACACATGGAGGCACCAGAGAAAGGTGAATACCAACTTAAAAAACAATGTTATAGGACATGGATGAAAAAATCTCCAGAGAAACAGCATAAATAAATAAAAAACAATCACAACTTCTGAAAATGAAGGACACACTTAGAGAAATGCAAAATACACTGGAAACTGTCACCAATAGAATCAAACAAGCAGAAGAAAGGAATTCAGAGCTCGAAGGCAAGGCTTTTGAATTAACCCATTCCAACAAAGACAAAGAAAAAAGAATTTTAAAAAATGAACAAAGCCTCCAAGAAGTTTGGGATTATGTTAAATGACCAAATGTAACAATAATTGGTGTTTCTGAGAAAGGAAAGACATCTGGAAGTTTGGAAAACACATTTGAGGGAATAATCAAGGAAAACTTCTCTGGCCTTGCTAGAGATCTAGATAGCCAAACACAAGAAGCTCAAAGAACACCCGGGAAATTTATCGCAAAAGATCATTGCCTAGGCACCTAGTCATCAGGTTATCTAAGGTGAAGACAAAGGAAAGAATCTTAAAAGTTGTGAGGAAAAAGTATCAAGTAATTTATAAAGGAACATCTATCAGATTAACAGCGAATTTTTCAGCAGAAACCCTACAAGCCAGAAGGGATTGGGGTCCTACCTTTAGCCTCCTTAAACAAAACAATTGTCAGCCATGAGTTTTGTATCCAATGAAACTATGCTTCATAAATGAAAGACACAGAATTTTTTCATACAAACAAATGTTGAGAGAATTTGCCACTACCAGGCCAGAACTACAAGATTGCTAAAGGGAGTTATAAATCTTGAAACAAATTCTCAAAATACATCAAAATAGAACCACCTTAAAGCATAAATCTCACAGGATGTATAAAACAATAACAGAATGACAAAAAAACAACAACAAGGTATTCAGGCAACAACCTGCATAATGAGTAGAATAGTACCTCACACCTCAATATTGACATTGAATGTTAATGGCCTAAATGTTCCACTTAAATGATACAGAATGGCAGAATGGATAAGAATTCATCAACCAAGTATCTGCTCTCTTCAAGAGACTCATCTAACAACACATAAGGACTCACATAAACTTAAGGTAGAGGGGTGGAAAAAGACATTCCATGCAAATGGACACCAAAAATGAGCCGGAGTAGCTATTGTTATATCAGACAAAACAGACTTTAAAGCAAAATGTTAAAAAAGACAAAGAGGAACATTATGTAATGATAAAAGGACTAGTCCAACAGGAAAATATCACAACCCTAAATGTATATACACCTAACACTGGAGCTCCCAAATTTATAAAACATTTACTATTAGACCTAAAAAAATGAGGTAAGATGGCAGCACAATAACAGCGGGAGACTTCAGTACCCACTGACAGCACTAGACAGGTCATCAAGACAGAAAGTCAACAAAGGCACAATGGACTTACACTATACCCTAGAAAAAATGTACTTAACAGATATTTACAGAACATTCTACCCAACAACTGCAGAATGTACATTCATCAGCACATGGAACATTCTACAAGATAGACCACATGATAGGCCACAAAAGAAGTCTCAATAAATTTCAGAAAATTGAAATTACATCAAGTACTCTTTCAAACCACAGTGGAATAAAACTGGAACTCAACTCCAAAAGGAACCCTCAAAAGCATGCAAATACATGGAAATTAAATAACCTGCTCTTGAATGATCATTGGGTCAACAATGAAATCAAGAAGGAAATTTAAAAATTCTTTGAACCAAATGATAACAGTGATACAACTTATTAAAACCTTTGGGATACAACAAAAGCAGTGCTACAAGGAAAGAAAGTTTGGAGCATTAAATGTCTGCATCAAAAAGCTGAAAGAGGACAAACAGACAATCTAAGGTCATACCTCGAGAAACTAGAGAAACAAAACAAACCAAACTGAAATCCAGCAGAAGAGAAGAAATAACAAAGATCAGAGCAGAACTAAATAAAATTGAAAGACAAAATAATACAAAAGATAAATGAAACAGCTGGTTCTTTGAAAAGATAAACAAAATTGATAGACCATTAGCAAGATGAACCAAGAAAAGAAGAGGGAAGATCCAAATAAACCTGATTAGAAACAAAACAGGAGATACTATAACTGATACCACAGAGATACAAAAGATCATTCCAGGCTACTATAAACACCTTTACATGCACATAGTAGAAAACCTAGAGGAGATGGAAAAATTCCTGGAAATATACAACCTTCCTAGATTAAACCAGGAAGAAATTATAACTCCAAACAGACCAGTAATAAGCAGCAAGATTGAAATGATAATAAAAAATTGCCAACAAGAAAAAGTCTAGGACCAGATGAGTTCCCAGTTGAATTCTATGAGACGTTCAAAGAAGAACTGGTACCAATCCTATTGACACTAATTCAAAAGACAAAGAGGGAATCCTCCCTAAATCATTCTATGAAGCCACTATCACCCTAATACTAAAACCAGGAAAGAACATCACAAAAAAAGAAAATTACAGACCAATTTCCCTGACGAACACAGATGTAAAAATCCTCAACAAAATACTAGTTAATGGAATCCAACAGCATATAAAAAAGGTAATCCACCATGATCAAGTGGGTTTCATACTATAGATGCAGGGATGGTTGAACATATGCAAGTCAATAAATGTGATACACCATATAAACAGAATTAAAAACAAAAATAACATGATCATCTCAATAGACACAGAAAAAGCATTTGACAAAATCCACCATCCCTTTATGATTAAAACCCTCAGCAAAATCAGCACAGAAAGGACATACTTTAAGGTAATAAAAGCCATCTATGACAATCCCACAGCCAACATTATACTGAATGGGGGAAAGCTGAAAGCATTCCCTCTGAGAACTGGAACAAGTCAAGGATGCCCACTTTCACCACTTCTATTCAACATAGTACTAGAAGTCCTAGCCAGAGTAATCAGACAAGAGAAAGAAATAAAGGGCATCCAAATCAGTAAAGAGAAAGTCAAACTGTCGCTGTTCACCAATGACATAATGGTATACCTAGAAAACCCTAAAGCCTCATCCTAAAAGCTCCTAGAACTGACACATGAATTCAGCAATATTTCAGAATACAAAATCAATATACACAAATCAGTAGCACTGCTATACAACAACAGCAACCAAACTGACAATCAAATCAAGAACTCAACCCCTTTTACAATAGCTGCAAAACAAACAAAAAAACACTTGGAAATATATTACACCTAATTAAGGAGTGAAAGACCTCTACAAAGAAAACTATAAAACACTGCCAAAAAAAATAACAGATGACACAAACAAATGGAAACCCATGCCATGCTCATGGATGGGTAGAATCAATATTGTGAAAATGACCACACTGCCAAAAGCAATCTACAAATTCAATGCAATTCCCATCAAAATACCACCATCATTCTTCACAGAACTAGAAAAAAACAATTCTAAAATTCATATAGAACCAAAAAAGAGTCCACATAGCCAAAGCAAGGCTAAGCAAAAAGAACAAATCTGGAGGCATCACATCACCTGACTTCAAACTATACTTTAAGGATACAGTCACCAAAACAGCATGGTACTCATATGAAAATAAGCTCATAGACCAATGGAACAGAATATAGAACCGAGAAATAAAGCCTAATACCTACAGTCAACTGATTTTCAACAACACAAACAAAAACATAAAGTGGAGAAAGGACACCCTATTCAACAAATAGTGCTGAGATAATTGGCAAGCTGCATGCAGAAGAATGAAACTGGATCCTCATCTCTCACCTTATACAAGAAAATCAACTCAAGATGGATCAAAGATTTAAATCTACAAAAATTAAAGAAACCATAAAAATTCTAGAAGATAACATCAGAAAAACCCTTGTAGACACTGGCTTTGGCAAGGATTTTATGACCACGAACCCAAAAGCAAATGCAATAAAAAGAGAGATAAATAGCTGGGACTTAATTCAACTAAAAAGCTTCTGCACAGTAAATGCAATAATCAGCAGAGTGAACAGACATCCCTCAGAGTGGGAGAAAATCTTTGCAAACTATGCATCTGACAAAGGACTAACATCCAGAATCTATGAGAAACTCAAACAAATCAGCAAGAAAAAAATAATCCCATCAAAAAGTGGGCTAAAGACATGAATAGACAATTCTCAATTATACAAATTGCCAACAAACATGAAAAAATGCTCATCATCATTAATCATCAGGGAGATGCAAATCAAAGCCACAATGCGATAACCACCTTACTCCTGCAAGAATGGCCATAATCAAAAAAATCTAAAAACAATAGATGTTGGTGGGGATGTTGTGAAAAGGGAACACTTGTATACTGCTGGTGGGAATGTAAACTAGTACAAACCACTATGGAAAACAGTGTGGAGACTCCTTAAAGAACTAAAAACAGAACTACCATTTAATCCAGCAATCCCACTACTGGGTATCTACCCAGAGGAAAAGAATTCATTTTACAGAAAAGATACTTGCACACACATGTGTAGAGCAGCAGAATTCACAATTGCAAAAATATGGAATCAGCCCAAATGCCCATCAATTAACGAGTGGATAAAGAAAATGTGGTACAAACGTACTATGAAATACTAATCAGCCTTAAAAAAGAAAAGAAATAATGGCATTCACAGCAACCTAGATGAAGGTGGAGACCATTATTCTAAGTGAAGTAACTTAGGAATGGAAAACTAAACATTGTATGTTCTCACTCATAAGTGGGAGCTAAGCTATGAGGATGCAAAGGCATAAGAATGATTCAATGCACTTTGGGGACTTGGGGGAATGAGTGGGAAGTGAGTGAGGGATGAAAGACTACACATTGCATGCAACGTACACTGCTAGAGTAATGGGTGCACCAAGACCTCAGAAATCACCACTAAAGAACTTATACATATAACCAAACATCACCTTTCCCCCAAAAACTACTGAAATAATTTTAAAAAATAAAAGCAAAAAAAGAGAGATGACATTAGTGTTCAGAGACAGATAATCTATTCATGAATGTACGAAGGCTGGAAATCACAGGAAATCCACAAAAAATCAACATTGCCTGTGCTAAAACAAAACCTGATGACTCCATTTTCTTAAGAGCAAAATTGCAAAAAGTGACATTAACATCCATCCTAGAAGAATGAAACACACATCACCTTTACTGATATGAGTAAATGATTTGTTTTTCCTTGAAAGAGTATCCAAGTGTATTGTGTTCATTTTCACACTGATCAAAAACAGCACCCTTCTGTCAACAGGCATCTGCAGTTTTCAGGACCTGGCAGAAATTCTATCTTCTACCTTTAAAGGTCAGGCACAAAAGTAGAGGCAGCTGCTAGGCCCCTCTGCCCAGAGCCAAGTGACTGGGACCATCAGTGGGAAGGAGGGAGGCTTGAGCTTCCCTCGTCCCCCAGATCATCTGGGTGCTGCCCTCCCCCGCTGCAGCTGCACCCCGTGATGTCCCGAATTCCGCGAGGCACCGGCCTGGCCCGTGCGGAACCCTATGGCCAGAGGGTGCCAGCTTGCGATGCTTTGCGCGCTTTCTGGCGTCCTGATTCCAACGGTCACCAAGCTCAGCACACTTGGCCCCGGCCGCAGACTTCGGAAACTTCTGGAAGCTGAATTTCTAAGAGAACGTCCCGACTACTGCATTGCTGTCATGGGCAACTACTTGAGCTGGTACCTGGGCTGGCCCCGGACCATAGTGCCGCCCCGGGCCAGGGTGCCGCCCCAATCCCAGAAACACCGGGCCTTGCGGTCCAGGCCCCTTCTCCGCTCCCAGGTCAAGGATGGCTGCAAAGTCGTCTACGTCAATGGGAAGCGCTGGGTCCGCACCCGGCCCCTCCTCACCGCTCCTCCCAACTGGGACTATGCCCGTATCCAGAGAGAGATGGTCCCTGAGGCCTGGAGGCACTTTCCCAACAGGCCACCGCTCCTGAGCATCACTGGGCCGGACTTTTCTGAGGCTCACCTGGCCTACATGAAGCAGTGGCTTTGGAAGGCCCGGCACCCCCCAGCCCGTCCGCAGCCTGGTGACAGTGAAAATCGCCCCGCCGGAGCACAGAGGGGAGCCTGTATAAGCGCCACCTCCCCCCAGGCCCCAGATCCCTGTGCCAGGGAGACCATGCTGTAGGCCCTCAGCCAGCACAGCAAGGGAAAAAGGAAATTCGATGAGCCACTCTGGTTTGAGGTCCCAGACACCAAGCGTAGCAAGCAGATCCCATCACCCAGGCTATCAGCTTTCAAGCCCATCAGGAGACATGGAGAGGTCCCCGCCTTTGTGCCCAGGCCTGGGCCGCTCAGAAGAAGCCTCCACTCTCCAGCAGCAGTGTCTTCCAGGAGAAGCAGCCTTCCCTCAGCCTGCTGCCTGCCCTACTGCAGGAAGTACGCCGGCCACAGCCCAGTTGAAGAGCCACCTTGGGAGCTCTAGGAGTAGGTGCAACAATGTCTGTATTGGGCCTTCCTACACCCCAAGGAGCCGCCCCGGGAGGACCATGTACCTCTGCGCACACCCAGCCTGCAGCCCAGCCTAGAGTCAGGGCCCTGCCACCTTCTCCTGAGCCTCCAGACTGCCTCATCCTATTGACCCTTGTTTTACCCCCACAGGAGCCACTGTCCCCACCAGGGCACTTCCCACTGCTTCACCTGAGCATTCTGCAAGCCTCAGCCCCGCCTCTCCTTAGCCTGCAGAGCCCACACTGAAGAGACCGTGTTGCTCTCAAAACCCTTACCTTTCCCCTGCCCACCCACTTCTGCCTTCTCCCTGGGAACAGGAGGCAGGCATATCCTCCACTTTCACAGTTTGCATAGTTAAATATTTGTTCTTTTAAATAATAGTGTCTTTATTAAAAAAATTATAGAAATCAGTTGCAAATCCTTAAGCAAGAAAAGAAAAATTCAAGCCACACCTCACACTATATACAAAAACTAACTCAAGTGGATCATAGACTTAAATGTAAAACCTACATTTTTGTGACTTTGGGTTATGCAACTTTGTTTTTTTTTGTTTTCTGAGATGGAGTCTTGCTCTGTCGCCCAGGCTGTAGTGCAATGGCATTATCTCAGCTCACTGCAACCTCCGCCTCCCCGGTTCAAGCGATTCTCCTGCCTCAGCCTCCCAATTAACTGGGATTACAGGCTCACGCCGCCACGCCCAGCTAATTTTTTTTTGTATTTTAATAGAGACTGGGTTTCACCATGTTGCCCAGGCTGGTCTTCAATTCCTGAGCTCAGGCAATCCATCTGCCTGGGCCTCCCAAAGTGCTGGGATTACAGGTGTGAGCCACCGCCTCTGGCTGCAAATATTTTTTAGATAATACCAAAAACAGTGTACAAAAGAAAAAAATCATGAATTAAACTTAGTTAAAATTAAGAACATAACCTCTTCAAAATGTACTGTTAGGAGAATGTGAAACAAGCCCTAGACTATCGGGGAAAACTGTGTATCATTTAGCTCATATAAGAATTACAGAAAGAAAAGGTAGGGTGGCTGGCAAGATGGTCCGGTCATGGCCAGGCACAGTGGCTCACACCTGTAATCCCAGCACTTTGGGAGGCTGAGGTGGGCAAATCACGAGGTCAAGAGATCGAGACCATCCTGGCCAACCAACATGGTGAAACCCTGTCTCTACTAAAAAAAAAAAAAATTAGCAGGGCATAGTGACACACACCTGTAGTCCCAGCTACTTGGGAGGCTGAGGCAGGAGAATTGCTTGAACCTGGGAGGCAGAAGTTGCAGTGAGCCGAGATTGTGCCAATGTACTCCAGCCCAGGCAACAGAGCGAGACTCTGTCTCAAAAAAAAAAAAACCAAAACAAACAAACAAACAAAAAATTAGCCAGGGGTGGTGGCAGGCACCTGTAGTCCTAGCTACTCAGGAAGCTCAGGCAGGAGAATCACTTGAACCCGGGAGGCAGAGATTGCAATGAGCCAAAATTGTGCCACTGCACTCCAGTCTGGGTGACCGAGTGAGACCCCCATCTCAAAAAAAAAAAAATAGAAAAATAAAAAATAAATAAAACAGCTCTGGTCTGCAGCACCCAGCGAGATCAACGCAGAAGGCGGGTGATTTTTGTATTTCCAACTGAGGTACATGGCTCATCTCATTGGGACTGGTTAGACAGTGGGTGCAGCCCATGGAGGGTGAGACAAAGCAGGGTGGGGCACTGCCTCCTCTGGGAAGTGCTAGGGGTCTAAGAACTCCCTCCCCTAGCCAACAGAAGCCATGAGGGACTGTACCATGAGGAATGGTGCATTTGGGCCAGAAACTGCGCTTTTCCCATGGTCTTCACAACCCACAGACCAGGAGATTCCCTTGGGTGCCTATACCACCAGGGGCCTGGGTTTCAAGCACAAAACTGGGTGGCCATTCGGGTAGACACAGAGCTAGTTGCAGGAGTTTTTTTTTTTTCATATGCCAGTGGTGTCTGGATCACCAGTGAGAGAGAACTGTTCACCCCCCTGGAAAGGGGGCTGAAGCCAGGGAGCCAAGTGGTCTAGCTCAGCAGAACCCATCCCCACAGAGCCCAGCAAGCTAAGATCCACTGGCTTGAAATTCTCGCTGCCAGCACAGCACTCTGAAGTCAACCTGGGACCCTTGAGCTTGGTGGGGGAAGGGGCATCTGCCATTACTGAGGCTTGAGTAGGTGGTTTTCCCCTCACAGTGTAAACAAAGCTGCTGGGAGGTTTGAACTGGGCAGAGCCCACCTCAGTGCTGCAAAGCCGCTGTAGCCAGACTGCCTCTCTAGATTCCTCCTCTCTGGGCAGGGAATTCTGAAAGAAAGGTAGTGACCACAATCAGGGGCTTATAGATAGAATTCCCATCTCCTTGAAACAGAGCATCTGGGGAAAGGGGCAGGTGTGGGTGCAGCTTCAGCAGACTTAAATGTTGTTCCTTCCTGCCAGCTCTGAAGAGAGCAGTGGATTTCCCAGCACAGCGCTGGAGCTCAGCTAAGGAACAGACTGCCTCAAGTGGGTCCCTGACCCCCATGCCTCCTGTACTGGGAGATACCTCCCAGCAGGGGTCAATAAACATCTCATACAGGAAAGCTCCAGCTGGCGTCCGGCGGGTGCCCTTTCGGGACAAAGCTTCCAGAGGAAGGAACAGGCAGCAATTTTTGCTGTTCTGCAGCCTCCGCTCGTGATACCCAGGCAAGCAGGGTCTGGAGTGGACCTCCAGCAAACTCTAGTGGACCTGCAGCAGAGGGGCCTGAATGTTAGAAGGAAAACTAACAACAGAAAGGAATAGCATAACATCAACAAAAAGGACGTCCACACAAAAACCCCATCGGAAGGTCACCAACATCAAAGACCAAAGGTAGATAAATCTATGAAGATGAGGAAAAACTAGCACAAAAAGGCTGAAAATTCCAAAAACCAGAATGCCTTTTCTCCTCCAAAGGATTACAACTCCTGGCCAGCAAGGGAACCAAACTGGATGGAGAATGAGTTCGACGAACTGACAGAAGTAGGCTTCAGAAGGCAAGGTAAGGAATCTAAGAACCTTGAACAAAGGTTAGAGGAATTGCTAACTAGAATAACCAGTTTAGAGAAGAACATAAATGACCTGACGGAGCTGAAAAATACAGCACAAGAACTTCATGAAACACACAAGTTTCAATAGCCAAATCCATCAAGCGGGAAAAAGGATATCAGAGATTGAAGATCAACTTAATGAAGTAGAGGGTGAAGAAAAGATTAGAGAAAAAAGAATGAAAAGGAATGAACAAAGCTGCCAAGAAATATGGGACTACATGAAAAGACCAAACCTATGTTTGACTGTACCTGAAAGTGATGGTGAGAAAGGAACCAAGTTGGAAAACACTCTTCAGGATATTATCTAGCAGAACTTCCTCAACCTAGCAAGACAGGCCGATTGGGGGAACCCGCCCCCGATAATTCACATATGTTCTTTTCTATTTTCCCTAAGTGTTGGCCGGTCTGAGAAATAAAGGGAAAGAGTACAAAAAGAGAAATTTTAAAGCTGGGTGTCTGGGGGAGATATCACATGTTGGCAGGTTCCATGATGCCCCCCAAGCCGCAAAACCAGCAAGTTTTTATTAGTGATTTTCAAAAGGGGAAGGAGTGTACGAATAGGGTGTGGGTCACAGAGATCACATGCTTCACAAGGTAATAAAATACCACAAGGCAAATGGAGGCAGGGCAAGATCACAGGACCAGGGTAAAATTAAAATTGCTAATGAAGTTTCGGGCACACATTGTCACTGATAACATCTTATCAGGAGACAGGGTTTGAGAGCAGACAACCGGTCTGACCAAAATTTATTAGGCAGGAATTTCCTCGTCCTAATAAGCCTGGGAGCACTATGGGAGACCGGGGCTTATTTCATCCCTTATCTACGACCGTAAAAGATATGGTCATCTCCAAAGCAGCCATTTTAGAGATCTCTCCTTAGGGACGCATTCTCTTTCTCAGGGATGTTCCTTGCTGAGAAAAAGAATTCAGCGATATTTCTCCTATTTGCTTTTGAAAGAAGAGAAATATGGCTCTGTTCCGCCTGGCCCACAGGCAGCCAGACTTTAAGGTTATCTCCCTTGTTCCCTGAACATTGCTGTTATCCTGTTCTTAAGGTGCCCAGATTTGATATTGTTCAAACACACATGCTCTACAGTTTGTGCAGTTAACGCCATCATCACAGGGTCCTGAGGCAACATACACCCTCCTGAGCTTACGAAGATGACAGGATTAAGAGATTAAAGTAAAGACAGGCATAGGAAATCACAAGAGTATTGATTGGGGAAGTGATAAATATCCACGAAATCTTCACAATTTATGTTCTTCTGCCGTGGCTTCAGCCAGTCCCTCCGTTCGGGGTCCCTGACTTCCCACAACACAGGCCAACATTCAAATTCAGAAGATATAGAGAACACCACTAAGATACTCCTCGAGAAGAGCACCCCTAAGACACATAATTAGCAGATTCATCAAGGTTGAAATGAAGGAAAAAATGTTAGTAGCAGCCACAGACAAAAGTCAGGTTACCCACAAAGGGAAGCCCATCAGAATAACAGCAGATCTCTCTGCAGAAACACTACCAGCCAGAAGAGAGTGTGGGCCAATATTCAACATGCTTAAAGAAAATATTTTCCAGAATTTCATATCCAGCCAAACTAAGCTTCAAAAGTGAAGGGGAAATAAAATCCTTTACAGACAAGCAAATACTGAGAGATTTTGTCACCACCAGGCCTGCCTTACAAGAGCTCCTGAAGGAAGCATTAAACATGGAAAGGAATAACCGGTACCAGCAACTGCAAAAACATACCAAATTGTAAAGACCATTGACACCATGAAGAAACTGCATCAACTAAATGGCAGAATAACCAGCTAGCATCATAATGACAGGATCAAATTCACACATAATAATATTAACCTTAAATGTAAACGGGCTAAATGCCCCAGTTAAAAGACACAGACTGGCAAATTAGATAAAGAGTCAAGACTCTTGGTGTCCTGTATTCAGGAGACCCATCTCACGTGCAAAGACACACATAGGCTCAAAACACAGGGATGGAGGAATATTTACCAAGCAAATGGAAAGCAAAAACAAAACAAAACAAAACAAAAAAACAGGGGTTGCAATCCTAGTCTCTGATAAAACAGACTTTAAACCAACAAAGATCAAAAAAGGCAAAGAAGGGCATTATATAATGGTAACGGGATCAATGCAACAAGAAGATCTAACCATTCTAAATACATATGCTCCCAATACAGGAGCACTCAGCTTCATAAAATAAGTTCTTAGAGACCTACAAAAAGACTTAGACTCCCAAAAAATAATAGTGGGAGACTTTGACACCCCACTGTCAATATTAGACAGATCAATGAGACAGAAAATTAACACGGATATTCAGGACTTGAACTCAGCTCTGGACCAAACGGACCTAATAGTCATCTACAGAACTCTCCACCCCAAATCAACAGAATATACATTCTTCTCAGCACCACATTACACTTATTCTATAATTGACCACATAATCGGAAGTAAAAAACTCCTCAGAAAATGCAAAAGAATGTAAATCCTAAGAAACAGTCTCTCAGACCACAGTGCAATCAAATTAGAACTCAGGATTATGAAACTCACTCAAGGCCGGCTGCGGTGGCTCAAGCCTGTAATCCCAGCACTTTGGGAGGCTAAGGCATGCGGATCACCTGAGGTAGGGTGTTAGAGACCAGCCTGACCAACATGGAGAAACCCCATCTCTACTAAAAATACAAAATTAACCGGGCATGGTGGTGCATGCCTATAATCCCCACTACTTGGGAGGCTGAGGCAGGAGAATCACTTGAACCCAGGAGGTGGAGGTTACAGTCAGCTGAGATCACACCATTGCAATCCCGCCTGGGCAACAACAGTGACACTGTATCTCAAAAAAAAGAAAGAAAAGAAAAGAAACTCACTCAAAACTGCACAACTACAGAAAAATTGAACAACCTGCTCCTGAATGACTACTGGGTAAGGAATGAAATTAAAGCAAAAATAAATAAGTTCTTTGAAACCAATGAGAACAAAGACACAACGTACCAGAATCTCTGGGACACAGCTAAAGCAGTGTTTAGAGGGAAATTTATAGCACTAAATGCCCACAGGAGAAAGCGGGAAAGATCTAAAATCGACACTCTAACATCACAATTAAAAGAACTAGAGAAGGCCGGGCGCGGTGGCTCACGCCTGTAATCCCAGCACTTTGGGAGGCCGAGACGCGCAGATCACGAGGTCAGGAGATCAAGACCATCCTGGCTAACACAGTGAAACCCCGTCTCTACTAAAAATACAAAAAAATTAGCCGGGTGTAGTGGCGGGCGCCTGTAGTCCCAGCTACTCGGGAGGCTGAGGCAGGAGAATGGCATGAACCCAGGAGGTGGAGCTTGCAGTGAGCCGAGATCGCGCCACTGCACTCCAGCCTGGGCGACTGAGCGAGACTCTGTGTCCGAAAAAAAAAAAAAAAAAGAATTAGAGAAGCAAGAGCAAACAAATTCAAAAGCTAGCAGAAGACAAGAAATAACTAAGATCAGAGCAGAACTGAAGGAGACAGAGATACGAAAAACCCTTCAAAAAAATCAATGAATCCAGGAGCTTGTTTTTTGAAAAGATTAACAAATTAGATAGACCACTAGCCAGACTAATAAAGAAGAAAAGAAAGAATCAAATAGACGCAATAAAAAATGATAAAGGGGATATCACCACTGATCCCACAGAAATACAAACTACCATCCGAGAATACTATAAACACCTCTACTCAAATAAACTTGAAAATCTAGAAGAAATGGATAAATTCCTGGGCACATACACCCTCCCAATACTAAACCAGGAAGAAGTCGAATCCCTGAATAGATCAATAACAAGTTCTGAAATTGAGGCAGTAATTAATAGCCTACCAACGAAAAACGGCCCAGGACCGGATGGATTCATAGCCAAACTCTACCTGAGGTACAAAGAGGAGCTGGTACCATTCCTTCTGAAACTATTCCAAACAACAGAAAAAGAAGGACTCCTCCCTAACTCATTTTATGAGGCCAGCATCATCCTGATATCAAAACCTGTCAGAGACACAACAAAAAAAGAAAATTTCAGGCCAATATCCCTGATGAACATTAACGAGAAAATCCTCAATAAAATACTGGCAAACTGAACCCCATAGAACATCAAAAAGCTTATCCACCATGATCAACTCGGCTTTATCCCTAGGATGCAAAGCTGGTTCAACATATGCAAATCAATAAACCTAATCCATCACATAAACAGAACCAATGACAAAAACCACATGATTATCTCAATAAATGCAGAAAAGACCTTTGATAAAATTCAACAGTGCTTCATGCTAAAAACTCTCAATAAACTAGGTATTTATGGAACATATCTCAAAATACTATGAGCTATTTATGATAAACCCACAACCAATACCACACTGAATGGGCAAAAGCTGGAAGCACTCCCTTTGAAAACTGGCACAAGACAAGGATCCCCTCTCTCACCACTCCTATTCAACATAGTATTGGAAGGTTACTGTAGCCTTGTAATATAGTTTGAAGTCAGGTAGTGTGATGTCTCCAGCTTTGTTCTTTTTGCTTAGGATTGTCTTGGCTATGTGGCTCTTTTTTGGTTCCATATGAAATTTGGAAGTATTGCTCTAGCCAGGGCAATCAGGCAAGAGAAACAAATAAAGCATATTCGAACAGGAAGAGAGGGAGTCAAACTGTCTCTGCAGATTACATGATTATATATTTAGAAAACCCCATCGTCTCAGCTCCAAATATCCTTAAGCTGATAAGCAACTTCACCAAAGTCTCAGGATACACAATCAATGTGCAAAAATCACAAGCATTCCTATACACCAATACTAGACAAACAGAGAGCCAAATCATGAGTGAACTCCCATTCACAATTGCTACAAAGAGAAAAAAGTACCTAGGAAGACAACTTACAAGGGATGTGAAGGACCTCTTCAAGGAGAACTACAAACCACTGCCCAATGAAATAAGAGAGGACACAAACAAATGGAAAAACATTCCATGCTCATGGACAGAAAGAATCAGTATCATGAAAATGGCCATACTGCCCAAAGTAATTCATAGATTCAGTGCTATCCCCATCAAGCTACCATTGACTTTCTTCACATAATTAGAAAAAAACTACTTCAAATTTCATATGGAACCAAAAAAGAGCCTGCATTGCCAAGATTATCCTAATCAAAAAGAACAAAGCTGGAGGCATCACGCTACCTGACTTCAAACAATACTATAATGCTACAGTAACCAAAACAGCATGGTATTGGTACCAAAACAGATATATAGACCAATGGAAGAGAATAAAGGCCTCAGAAATAATGCCACACATCTACAACCATCTGATCTTTGACAACCCTGACAAAAACAAGCAATGGGGAAATGATTCCCTATTTAATAAATGGTGTTGGGAAAACTGGCTCGCCATATGCAGAAAACTGAAAACTGGACCCCTTCCTTACATCTTACAAAAATATTAACTCAAGATGGATTAAAGACTTAAACATAAGACCTAAACCCACAAAAACCCTAAAAGAAAACCCAGGCAATAATATTCAGGACCTAGACACAGGCAAACTTCACGACTAAAACACCAAAAGCTGTGGCAACAAAAGCCAAAATCGACAAATGGGGTCTAATTAAACTAAAGATCTTCTGCACAGCAAAAGAAACTAGCATCAGAGTGAACAGGCAACCAACAGAATGGGAGAAAATTTTGGCAATCTATCCATCTCACAGAAGGCTAATATCAAGAATCTCCAATGAACTTAAATTTAAAAGTAAAAAGCAAACAACCCCATCAAAAAGTGGGCAAAGGAAATCAACAGACACTTCTCAAAAGAAGACATTTATGTGGCCAACAAACACATGTAAAAAAAGCTGGTCATTAGCGAAATGCAAATCAAAATCACAATGAGATACCATCTCACAGCAGTTAGAATGGCGATCATTAAAAAATCAGAAAACAACAGATGCTGGAGAGGATGTGGAGAAATAGGAACGCTTTTATACTGTTGGTGGGAGTGTAAATTAGTTCAACCATTGTGGAAGACAATGTGGTGATTCCTCAAGGATCTAGAACCAGAAATACCATTTGACCCAACAATTCCATTACTGGATATATACCCAAAGAATTATCAATCATTCTATTATAAAGACACATGCAGCTAGGCGCAGTGGCTCACGCCTGTAATCCCAGCACTGTGGGAGGCTGAGATGGGTGGATCACCTGAGGTCAGGAGTTTGAGATCAGCCTGGCCAACATGGTGAAACCCCATCTCTACTAAAAATAAAAAAATTAGCCAGGTGTGGTGGCACACACCTGTAGTCCCAGCTACTCAGGAGGCTGAGGCAGGAGAATTGCTTGAACCCAGGAGGCACAGGTTGCAGTGAGCCAAGATCACACCACTGCACTCCAGCCTGGCAACAGAGTGAGACTTCATCTCAAAAAAAAAAAAAAAAAAGACACATGCACATGTATGTTTATTGCAGCACTATTCACAATAGCAAAGACTTGGAATCAACCCAAATACCCATCAGTGATAGACTGGATAAAGAAAATGTGAGACATATACACCATGGAATACTATGCAGCCATAAAAAGGATGAGTTCATGTCCTTTGCAGGGCCATGGATGGAGCTGGAAACCATCATTCTCAGCACACTTACACAGGAACAGAAACCCAGATACCACATGTTCTCACTCATAAGTGGGAGCTGAATAACAAGAACATATGGACACAGGGAGCACAGGGAGGGGAACATCACAAGCCCGGGCCTGTCAGGGGGTGGGGGGCTAGGGGAGGGATAGCATTAGGAGAAATACCTAATGCAGGTAATGGGTTCATGGGTGCAGCAAACCACCATGGCACGTGTACACCTATGTAACAAACCTGCACATCCTCTACATGTATCCCAGAACTTAAAGTATAATTTTAAAAAAGGGTATATTAAAATATTATAATAGAAATCTGTAATTATCTACCACTTACAAATATAATGAGCTGCATGCAACATAAAATAATAGTTTTTAAATGTGAGGACTATGACCTTCTTTTTCTCTTGCCCAAATTCCTATCTAAGGGCCTGGGGGAGTCACACCCTACAAACCATAAAATCTCATCAGACAGGTTTTATGAACCCTACATAATGTAGCTTGCTTTCCAACCTGACTCTGGTACACAGCATAACATGACAGATAGCAGATGCTGAAAGAAGTAAAAAAGATTTTATCCCACAGTATATTTCTTTAACGTGTTTTGAAACGGCTGCCACAGGATCATCAGACTAAAATGACCCTGCAAAGCTGTCTTTTGTGGGAATAATTTGCATCAGATTAATGTTCCATTAATGTAGTCAGACCTCTCCCTTTCTAGGCTTTCTCAGATCTGGAGAGATTAACTGAGAGCCTGAGAGCTTTGAAATCTTTAAAGAGACATTTTCCATCTATTCTCTCTGAGGGCTGCCACATATGAGGCTTCATTTACATACTAAGAACCTTGGTCTCCACAACCCCCTTAGCTTAACTCAAACATTCCTTTCTACTGATTTCAAGTTTTAGACATTAGCTTAACTATCCCAACCGTCAACTAAAGAATCCCTAAAACCCACCTATGATCTCCCCAGCCCTCTGCTTTGAGAGGTCTGGCCTTTTTAAGGCCAAACCAATGTATGCCTTCCTCATATTGATTTATGATTTTCCTGCAATTCATGTCTCCCTGAAATGTATAAAATCAAGCTGTAATCTGGCTGCTTCAGGCACACTTTATCAGGACTTCTTGAGATTGTGTGGCCTGGGCCATGGTCACTCATACTGACTCAAAATGTACCTCTTTAAACATATTTTGGCAGAATTTGGATTTTTCTATTATCAAATGTATTTTCATATATGGAAAATGAATACTATTTTTGTAAATTAATAAAATTTATAGTAATTTATAACATAAGAAAGAATTATATCCAGAATATAAAACTCTCAAAATTCAATAAGAAAACAACCCAATTTAAAAAATGGAAAAATATTTGGATAGATATTTTATCAAAGAACATATACAGCTGTCAAACACATAGAAAGATAGTCAACATTATAACATCATCAGTTATTAGCAAAAGGCAAATTAAAACCACAATGAGGTATCATGACACACCTATTAGAATGTCTATAAAAAAAGACTGATTATATTAAGGGTTGGCAAGAATGTGGAGAAACTGGAACTGTCATATACAACTGTTGAAAATGTAAAATGGTACAACCACTTTGGAAAACAGTTTGGCATTTTTAAGAAGTTAAACATGTAGCTACCATATGACCCAGCCATTTCATTCTTAGATATTTACCCAAGAGAAATGGAAGCAGATGTTCATACCAAGATTTGTACAAATCTTGTACATTTGTACAAAGATTTGGCTTTACTTATTACAGCCAAGTTCTGGGGGGAAAGCCCCAATTTCCATCAACAAGTAAATAAATAGTGATATCTATATAATAGAATTCTACGCACTAGTAAAATGGAATTGGTTATTACCAGATGGATGAATCTAAATTATGTTGAAAGAAGCCAGTAAAACTAGCATACATATTAAATGATTCCATTTATATAAAATTTTAGAAAATACAAACTAATCTCTAGTGACAGAACAGATCAGTGGTTGTCTGGGGTTTGGGGTGGGGGTGTAGAATGGTAGGCAGGTGGTATGACAAAGGGGTCCCAGGAAACTTGGAAGGTTGGTGGACATGTGTGTTATCTTGCATGGGATGATGGTTTCACAGCTGCGTACACATGGCAAAACTTACCAAGTTCTATACTTTAAGCATAGGGTAGTTTAGTATTTGTTCATTATTCCACAATAGATATGTTTTACAACTATAATGCCACAAACTTTCTTCGGTTTAGTTTTTTTGGTATAAATATTAATTTTCCATCCTTTTACTTATACATTTTTAATATTTTTATATTTTAGGAGTGTACTTTGGAAACGATCTAAAGCTAGATTTTACAGCATAAAAACGCACTTGAAACATACCTTTAGACTGTTTAATAAGGGAACACAGTCTAGTAATTTATTTTTTAAATTTTTATTTTATTTTATTTCTTTTTTGAGAAGGAATCTCAGTCTGTTGCCGAGGCTGGAGTGTAGTGGCGTGACCTTGGCTCACTGCAACCTCTGCCTCCCAGGTTCAAATGATACTCCTGCCTCAGCTTCCCAAGTAGCTGGGACTACAGGCACGCACCACCACACCTGGCTAATTTTTGTATTTTAGCAGAGACAGGGTTTCACCATGTTGGTCAGGCTGGTGTCGAACTCCTGACCTCAGGTAATCCACCCACCTCAGCCTCCCAAAGTGCTGGGATTACAGGCACGAGCCACCACGCCTGGCTCTGGTAATCTAAATCTTTGAGTTAGTTTAGAGAGTATAGTTCATGTAAGTCATTATGACATATTTGAGTTCATTTCTAATATCTTATTGTATTCTTTCAATTTCTCTCATCTCCCTCCTGGCCTTCCTTCTTTCCTTCTTTTTCCTTCCTTTATATTGATTGAATTTTTTTTAACCCCTCATTCCAATATTTTCCCATCTAGGGTTCAGAACAATATATATGTATTTTATTGCTCATCTTAGAAATTTTAACAGATATTTTAACATGGTTAAGTCTAAAATTACATATTATTTTTACTCTTTCTCTAGAATATAAGGACCTTATTTATGGTGGCTTGTTTCCTTGTGTGTGTGATTTCACATCTTAGTCGACTAAGTAGCCATAAGCACTGCAGCATTTTAAATTGGATTTTCAGAGCACAGTGGCAGCACAGACTCCAGCTCTTAAACTGCAGTGGGGCTGGCTTGTGGTCAAAGGTTCCTGGGGGAGGGCTTGCTCCCCATCCTCGGCTTCCCTCAGAGCTGGAGCTGCAATCAGTCAGTCTCCCGCAGGGTGAGTTTTCTTTTCCTTCCTTGTGCATCTGGCCAAGGTGTTACCCTTTAGAAATTCCAGATTTATGCAGGGTCCTCAGATCTCTCACCCAATTACCAGGCTTTGTCTCCTGTCCTTCACATTTACGGCTTTGACCTATTTTCCATAAATTTTAAATTAATCAGCAATTTTAATAAGTTCTCTATTCTCCATGCTGCTGGGTTAACAGTGTAGCAACTAACAATGTAAGTCCGGGACACAGATTGCTTAGGTTAAAACCAAGGCTCTACTACTTATCACCTGTGACTTTGGGCAAATTAATGAAATGTCTGTGCCTCACTTTCCTCACATGTAAAGAGAGGGGCAATAATACAACCTGTCTCACAGAGTTTTTGTGGACATTAAATCAATTAAGATATTGAAAGAGCACAGGGCAGTACCTGGCATGCAGTTAGAGCTCAAACATTAGCTGCTATTATGGCCACCATTTTTGGGCTTAAAGAAAATCTTTTGAAGTTGTGTTACATACTGTTCTACAATGGCATGAATGTCTTACAATAGGATTTCTTCTTCTTCTTCTTCCTCTTCCTCCTCCTCTTCTTCTTCTTCCTCTTCTTCCTTCTTCTTTTCTTCTCCTTCCTCCCTCCTCCTCCTCCTTCTCCTCCTCCTCCTCCTCCCTCTTCCTCTTCTTCTTTTCTTTTTTTTTTTTTTTGAGATGAAGTCTCACTCTGTCACCCAGGCTGGAGTGTGGTGGCGTGATCTCGGCTCACTGCAACCTCCACCTCTCGAGTTCAAGTGATTCTCCTGCCTCAGCCTCCCAAGTAGCTGGGACTACAGGCGAAAGCCATCACACCCAGCTATTTTTTATATTTTTAGTAGACACAGGGTTTCGCTATATTGGCTAGGCTGGTCTGGAACTCCTGACCTCAAGTGATCCACCTGCCTTGGCCTCCCAAAGTGCTGGGATTACAGGCGTGAGCCACCACGCCTGGCCAGGAATATTCATAATAAGCAATTTTTGACTTTCAAGCAACCTTATGTAGTTTATTCATATCTGAATGCAAATAAATGGTTTCCTTGCTGACAGACTAACAAATCATTTGATACCCATTATCTCTGTTCTTCTTCCTTTTAGACAATATTATTTCTTAAGGTTAGATCTTTAAAGTGTTTTCAATTGTAAATTATTTCTACTTGCTATTGGAATGGCAGATACCCCTACACAGAGAAGATTCTCCCACTGAAACATAGCATAACATCTTGTTTTTTAAGATTAAATGATGTGAACAGCTGGTTCATTTCATCTAGAGTCAGAAAACATCAGCATATGTATGTCAAGCTCTGGAACAATTGAGTAAATCACATGGGTTGGCATTGCTCCATTAATGACATCTGAATAAGATAAATTCCAAGTTCAAGTCATTCCCCCAAGGAACACATCATATTTCTTACATACCTGGTGAATGAAGCTTGGTGGTTGAAGCTGCTACTCTCTTAGGAGATGAAACAGCAGGTTTATTCGTATCTTGATCTTTCTGAGCATCTTTCTTTGTTCCTGTGTATAGTTGGAAAAGAGAAATAGGTAGAAAGTAAGCTACTTAAAATTGAAATGGCAACATAAGTTGTGGAAAGGGTGGCTTCAAGAAAGTCAAACATATCAACAAAAGAAATATTTGGGTGATTTGTTGCTATGGTCACCACCCCCTGTGCTTGATGAATGACACACTTCTTTATAGGAAAGGGAATTTAGTTTTGAGTGGTCAGGGGAGAAGTAAGGACACTGCTGTCTCTGATTTGATGAAAAACGCCCCCTTCTCTGAAGGTCACTGCCACCCCAATGACCCTGACCAAACTATCTGGGAATTAAAATTTTACATCCTCAGCCACCAATTTAGTCTGCCTGCCTCTCTCTGCCATAACAAATTTTCAGAAGACAGGGAAGGACGCTGTAGCTGCGCATAGCTGCTAATGACTTCGGCATTACCCGGAGCCAAGCCACGGGGGACATGGTCTGACTCTAATTAATTTCCATGCAGCGGGTCCACAGAGGTGACCTAGAGAGCCTTTTAGCTCTCTTGGCTGCAGCTAAGCCTTCGTGGAACTTGCTGCCAGAGCTGGTCCAGCAAAAGCATGTGGACGCTCCTCATATTGTGTCCAGCAATACCCAGGGCACAGTGCAGCTTCTCCTTTGTGTGCCGGGCACAGTGCTCACCTTCACGTCACGTTTGTCAGAAAGTCAAACAGCAGTGGATGTGAGATTAGCGAAATCACACAGACCTAGATTAACCCAAACCTGCCTTGGCTTCAGCACACTGTTAGGTCATTTCAAAAACAAAGCTTGCTTTTGTTCCTTAGATGCAGGCCATGGATGTCACCCCCATGCTCACCCCCAAACCCTGAGACCTCACTCTTCCTTCCAGAGGTAACTGCTACTAGCAATTTTGTGTTTATTCTCCCAGATTTTTTCCTAGGTATTTATAAATATACACACATATACAAATACAGCTATTAGATAAATATATGAAATAAACATTGCAATTTCTTTTTACCTACCCACATTTTTGGAGATCTTTTTCTTATCAGTGTATTTACAGATTTTTTTAAAAAGAGCCATATCAGGCTGGGCGTGGTGGCTCACGCCTGTCATCCCAGCACTTTGGGAGGCCGAGGCAGGCGGATCACGAGGTCAGGAGATCGAGACAATCCTGGCTAACACGGTGAAACCCCGTCTTTACTAAAAATTACAAAAAATTAGCCAGGCATGGTGGTGGGCACCTGTAGTCCCAGCTACACGGGAGGCTGAGGCAGGAGAATGGCGTGAACCCAGGAGGTGGCGCTTGCAGTGAGCCGAGATCACGCCACTGCACTCCAGCCTGGGAGACAGAGTGATACTCTGTCTCAAAAAAAAAAAAGCCACATCATACAAATGGACAAAGACATACTGTAATTCAGTTCACCATCGTCTTATGGATGAGCATTTAGATTGTTACAAGTTTAGCCACTGAAATAGCTTCTACTTGTTTCTTTGTACACACAGACCAGGATCTTCAGAGGACAAATGCACAGAATTGCTTTTGCTGGATTCAGTCTGCTCATTTGCAGTATTGCTATGCACAGTCCAATTGTCAACAAAAGGATCCACTAATTCATATTCCCAACAAACAGTGTCTGAGAACAGCTCTTCCAACATGCCCCATGCCCTACTGACACTGAAGTCTCAATCATTTAATCGATTCATTTAGTTAAGCAATCATTTAATTGATATGTGCCACCATATCAGATAGTGTAGCCCTAGATGACCTCACAGCCATACTGCTGTCACTGTCCCTGCCCACATCTGCCAGCCACAATGCCAGCCTTGTTGGTCCCCAAACATGCCATGCTTCCTCCTGTGGCTTGAGTTCCTCTGCACAGAATATTCTTCCTCTAGCCCTTAAGCATGGCTCATCCATCCATTCAGGAGGTCTCAGCACAGCAAGGTCTCCTCACCATGCCTGGTGCTCCAACTACTGTGGCCCTCTCATCACCTGCCAGTTTCCCCTTCACCCGCTTCATTCTTCCTCACAGCATTTGTCACTGCCCAACAATCTATTCTATCCTCACCTGTTTGCTTAGTGTCTGCCGTCCCCACCAGAACACAAACTTTGACCCAGATAGGGTCTAAGCGTGTACCCCTCCAACCCCTGCTCTCCTCCGGGCTTCTTTCCAGGAGGTCTGCCCAGGCATTTCAGGGCTCACAGAAGGCTGGACCTTCCAGGTATGGAAAGCCCAGCCACTGCACTCTGCTGAAGTCACGGGTACCCCTCAGGGTACCCACTATATGGCTAAGCTCCCCATTCTTTTCCTTCACTTGGCTTTGATTTTAGGTATCAACAAATATGGAAAGACACTAAGACTCCTGAAAGCTGAGAAGGGAAATGTTAAAGTCCCCAAATCTGCACTAAACCTAATGTTTTGTGCTTAAAGGAAAACAAAATACAATTATTTATTTAGCCTTTCAGTGTTTTCCATTCAGCTTTCATGGAGCACAATTTGAATTTTATCAAAAATGCAAATATTGATAGTTTTGACCCTGCAATTCCACTTCTATAAATCTCTCTTGGAAACACTTCTACAAGTATGCAAAAACATAAATTATAACATATATAACATAAGTTATATGAACTGTGGCATATTCAAACCAGGGAGTACTATGCAGCCATTAAAAAGGATGTCATAGCTCTATATTGTACTGGCATGGAAAGCTGCCCATGATAAATTAAAAAGCTAGTTGAACAGCATGCATGGAATTACCCCATTTTCATAACACAAAATGTCATATGTATTATGCTTAGAAATAAGTAAAAATATCTGAAAGATAAGGTACCAAACTTTTAATAATGGTTACTTCTAATCAGTAGGATTTAGGAGCTTTTACTTTTTATTTTAATATGCTTCTGCATTAGTTCCATATTTTGTAATCATCACATATTACTTGTATAATAACTAATAAGCAAAAAGGAGAGAAACCAAACCACTAATGAAAATAATTTGTCTGATCCATAAAAGGATAAGGACAGATAAGTCTAGTCCAAGCAGTCCTATAGGAATAACTCAAATCGAAAGTTTTACCCTCCCTTTGCTGGCAAAACTTACCATAGGAACACAAGGCTACCTGGAGAACTCTTGTATGGTCTGGGAATTCTTGATAGCACAGATAATTACAGAGATGAATCAAGACCTTCTGTTCTTCTTGCCATTTTTTTTACAATCTAGACTCAGCCTAAATGTCTTCTAAATACACGGTAAGCTTTCGTTTCACTCAATGAGATCCCTGAGTGTCTAGAAATGCTAGTGTGGTCTTTGGTCTCATGTTTTCCTACTGCCTCCCGGCTGTTGTCTCAGCCTTCTTGGCTACTCTGTCTTCTTTCCTTAGACCTGGACCAAGGTATCCCCAGTGCAGCCTCAGCCTTCTCCTGTCCAGTCTTCTGAGTGAGCTTATCCATTCAACAGGCTCACATCACCAACTTATGTACACTGATGACCACATCTGTGATTTCCAATCCAGGTAGGCCCAGATACCTCTCCTGGGATCCAGACCTGTTTTCAGCTGCCAAATAGACATTACTGCTTATCTATTTGATGACAAAAAACACTGTTCCCCAAATGGAGCTGGTTAACTTCTTCTCAAACCTATTCTCTGTCCTATATTTTCTCTCCTAGTCAATTGTCCTCCCAGTCACTGAAACCAGAAACAAGTCAGTCTTCTTCCTCATCCTACCATATCTAGCAGTGATGAGGTCTTTCTGACCTTCAGTAGCTCCTAAGTCTGGCCCCTGATTCATTCTCACTTTGTACCTCAGCTCAGTCCTCATTTCTTGTTGGGACAACTACAAAATTCTCTTCAGTAATTTCTGTCTTGTGCCTTAACCTCTGCATCTTTACCTAACTCACCCTCCTTAGCACTGCCAGAAAGACCTTAAGCCTTTAACAAGATCCCATGATTTTACTGTTAAAACCTTTCCAAAGCTTACCCTGGGCTTCAGTAGGAAGTCCCAACTCCATGGTGTGGGGTAAGCATCCTCCAGGATCTCCTGTCCTCTGCCAGGTGCCCCTGCTGTTTCCATGTGACCCTGGGTGTCTCAGCCTGTGCTGTTCACGGAGGCTGAGTGCTCAGCCTCTCCCTTGTCTGCCTGGCCTACTCCAGGTCATCTTCAATTTCAGCTCATTCTGTTTTAGTTTTCCCATTACCACTGTAACAAATTATCACTTAGCAGTTTCAGACAACACAAGTTTATTCTCTTCTAGTTCTGGAGGTCAGAAGTCTGAAATCAGGCTCACTGGGCTGAAGCCAAGGGGTCGGCCAGGCTGGTGCCTTCTAGACTCTCCAGGGGAGAGTCCGTTTCCTTGCCTTGTTCGCCTCTCGTGGCTTCCTTCATTCCTTGGCTGGTGGCCCCTTCTCCCATCTTGAAAGCAATCACTCCGATCCCTGCTTCCTGCATCATGTCTTTCTAATTCCTCCTGCCTCTCTCTTACAAGGATGCTTATGATGACATTGTCTCTATCTGGGTAATCCAGGATAATCTCCCCATCTCAACATCCTGAACTTCATGCAAAGTCCCTTTTGCCCTATAAGGTAACATTGATAGGTTCTGGTGATTCATACATGGACATATTCAGGGGCCAGTATTCAGCGTACTGCAGCTTCCCTGTCTAACTGAATGGCTCAATGACGAAACTCTTTTTACTCACCAAAAACTCACTAACTGCTTGGTCTCTATTAGTCCCTGGAGTCCCTGACACTTATTTATGAAGTTTTTCCTTATTTTTTTTTTAGCTTTCTTGAATAGCAGTATTTCCTTAGACCCTATTCAGCTTTCCCTGATCTCTTTCCCCCAGTGCAGACTCTGTGCGGCTAAGGCTAGCGGGCATCTCGTACTAGGCCTGACAGCTCCTTTGAACAGCACCCCTGCTGACCTTTGGGGAATCAACCCTTCCCTCCTCTTGTTTCATGTGGTCAGAGTAGCGGCCTGATGCACCAGGGCCTGGAGGGGGCGTACAACACAGGCCTGCTGGATCAGAGCTCTGCACCGCTCTGGTGTTACACAGTATCCTGGCTTGAGAATGAAACAAGATGTGAGTTGGGACGATGACAGCCCTACCTCGGGAATTTTGCTGGATTTACTAGACAAAAATTCTCTACTCGATAGATGCCCAAGCTGGCAGGATATGGGCCTGGAGCAGCTGCTGATCATCTTTGTTCCCATGTGGGGAGAGCCTTTCTGAGGATGAGCCAAGAGAGGGGAACAAGGGGCCAGGAGATGAAAATGCATTCCTGCCGCTGCGGTTGAAGTCCCCCCTGGGGGACAGTCGTGCCTCACGTCACCATGACCTCCGGAACCTCTCAGTTCTGTGAGCCCAAAATCCCTCTGCCCTTTTGCTTTCTTGTTGCCTAAGGCAGTTTGAATTAGGTTTCTCTAATATGAAACCAAAAAAGAGCTGAATAATACAATGCCGGCCAGAGAAAATAGCTCCTTAATCAATAAATGCACAGGCTCTTCTCTCATGGGGCCGTATGTTGGTCAAGAAGGCTCCTCGTGTGCCTTATCTATACGGAGATTCAGAGCTACATGAAAGAATGTTTGTACACAAACCCCAGAGCACTGGGGCTTTTGCCGGGAAGGAAGAAGGCAGCAGGAGGGAAAGAAATGCCAGCCTCAGTCTGGTCTCAGAAGAGAAGCCCTTAAGTTTAATTTGAAATACTGGCACTGATTATATTCACCCAATGCCAATCACTACAAACCCAGATGGTCCTAGACTGTTTCGCCATAGTGTAGCAAGAAGCATCTCAAAAGCCTACAGGGGTGGGTGCTGCCTAGCAATCCATAGAGAGTGTCTCAGAAAAGAGAAGGAGAGTGTAAAAGCTCAGTTTCTCCCGTGGACAAGGGCCTTCCACAATGCTATCAGTGGCTTCGACAACAGCTGGCAGAAGCACCATTGTGTATTTTATTCCTGAACCGGACATCATAAAAGTGACTTACAACTTGTTTATTACAAATGCTTAAAACAAAGACCAATTGCAAAGGAGCCATGAAAACATGACTTGTGGGCCCTAAAGCTGCCCAATCAAGAGTGATGGCTCAATGTGTCAATTATAGATTTTAAAAAATGAGGAAACTCTTTTTACTCACCAGAAAGTCACTAACTGCTTGGTCTCCATTAGTCCCCTGAGTCCCTGAACATAAACAAGAATAACGGCTCACTCTGAGGACGAGGCTGTCATCTCAAAAAAAAAAAGAAAAAGAAATAACAAATGATAATAGCTAATTCAGGATCCTCACTGAGCACATCTCAATGGGAAAACAAGATTTAAGAGAATGCTATATACTTTTTTTAATAAAAAGAAATCAGCACATCAAAAAAAAAAAAAACCTAAAACATTTTTATAGGCTCTTAATCTCACATACAATAGGCTGCAAATTCCTGCAAGTAAATCTCAATATAAGTAAGAAAAGATAAGAAACAGAAAGGATAAAGAAATATATACAGCAACAGACTTTATCCCCTAAGTATCTGAAGTTTTCCCTCCACTTGCCTGTGAAAGCACATGCCACGGGGCTGACCCTGCCCTGGCCCCACAGATCAGCTCCCACACAGGGAACACGAGGATTGCAGACGCAGACGGAGCAAAGCAAGAAGAGGGAAAAGCAAAGGTGGCCACAACGCAAGTGATGATAATCACTCCAGTGTAACTGGAAGGAGGTGAACAGAAAACATGAATGATGTAATCAGAAAAGACAGATTCTGATGCCATTTGTAAGATGAATTGAATGGGAACAGTTCAAGGTAGGATTTATAGGGATTGGATAGAATGAAGAAAGGAAACATTATCTCGATCAGAATATATCAAATAAAAGAGGAAACCTGGATGAGTTATAAACTAAAGAGAGAGGCCGGGCGCGGTGGCTCACGCCTGTAATCCCAGCACTTTGGGAGGCCGAGGCGGGTGGATCACGAGGTCAGGAGATGGAGACCATCCTGGCTAACAAGGTGAAACCCCGTCTCTACTAAAAATACAAAAAATTAGCCGGGCGCGGTGGCGGGCGCCTGTAGTCCCAGCTACTCGGGAGGCTGAGGCAGGAGAATGGCGTGAACCCGGGAAGCGGAGCTTGCAGTGAGCCGAGATTGCGCCACTGCAGTCCGCAGTCCGGCCTGGGCGACAGAGCGAGACTCCGTCTCAAAAAAAAAAAAAAAAAGAGAGAGAGAGAGCGCGCGCACAAGCGAACTCAGGAGAGTTAGATGCAAGGACTAGAGGAAAGGAAATCAGTTTTCAGCTGCCAATAGTAATTTTTTAAATATTAAGAGGAATATCTGATATTGAGGCACTAAAGTTAATAGGAGAAACAATCTGAATACTGGGAAGGTGGATTTTAACCTATTTAAGGTTTGTTCCATTTCAACACACATGTACTGCATGCATGAAGGTAGAAATTGTAGCTAGGAATTTAAGGGAGAATAGGGAGGTTTCTGTATTCAAATAGAGGCCTAGAAAAATTAGGCCTCCATTAGAAGCCTAATTATTACCTGGATAAGACTAAGGGATAATTAATTCTGAAGATTATTATGAAAAGATAAGGACAGAAGAGTGAACAAGTGGTTTTTGAAATATATGTATGTGTAAAAGCTTTGTAAATTCCCCCCCAAGCCCAATAAATTCACTGATCAATTCATTACTAAGCACAAATAACCTGTAAGGCACTGTCCTAGTGAAAGACACAGGTATGAGCTGTAACGGAAGTTACACTTTTGGGGGAAATATTTATCATAAGCATTTATAAACAGCAGATGCCAGGTTGCAGTTGCTTCTGTGTATGTTACCTCACCTGACACCTGTCCAAACTCTGTGGGTATTATTGGTATTACTGGTTTGCAAATGAAGGAACTGAAGGTACGGAGTTTGTAACATATCTGCATTTACCAGTATGTGCCTGAACCTGCAACTTCTGGCCCTACTTAGCCTGCATTTCACTACACTGCAGTGGCCTCAGTGAGTCCTGAGAAGTAACAAGTTCTACTGCCTGCCTGCTCACCTGCCCATAGAAGCACAATGGATCCAAGTAGAGTCTGATTCCATTTGAAGGAAAGAAGCAAGGGGCAGGGGTGAGAAAGCTTAGAAGAGAGTCGGGGTGTTGGGGAGAGGGCAGGAAGGCGGTGACTAAGAGACCAGGAAATGGCTTAAGCCATTTGTTTTCAAATGCTGGGGGCCAGCAAATCCCAACATTCTTTCCATCCCTGGCCCCAACCTTTCTACCTCTGATGCTTCCTCCATACTATGTGGAACTCCTTCTTCCTTTGGTAAAAAAATCTCCATCCCCTACCTTTGTCCTCAATCTCTCTCAGAGCAGTTTTCTCAAATGGTTGCCACTGGTGCTTTTCCTCCACATCCAACTATGTCCTGGTCAGGAGGTCTCCTTCAAACTCTCAAATACCCCACTAGAACATGAGGCCCCACACGTGTGTAAAGTACCTTTCCTTTGAGGTTCCAAGGTTCTTGCTGGCTAATTGAACACTATTCTTACAGCATGGTTACTGTCCCTCACACCCCCCAGGTGCAGTCTTCCCCTTTACCCTCAGGTCCTGACAGTGGCAATCCCCAATGCATGACTCATCCAGCATGCCAGCTTTCAGTTCTTTGACACCTGCAACCCAAGAGGCACCCTGAATCAAGACCCTGGGCATCACCATGGACCTTGTCATCACCTTAAACTTCGCCTCTGAAATTCACATATCCTTCTTTCTGGTTACAACCTTCTATCCCCTTGCCATCTCACTATGCTGTTGCCTCTCTATCAATTCATATCTACAACTCAGACTATAATCCCTTTCCCCACACCATCAGTCTCCTTCTGTCTTCACCTCACTTATTATTCAACCTAAAGTTTACACCAGATTCCTTTACTTCTACTACCTTATTAGTCACATGCTTGCTCTCATTTCACAGAGACAACAGACACTACCATGGTCAGAACTGTCTGCAGAACCCAACCCTAGCTCAATCCAGTTGTCACCCTTTTCTAGCCCAGCTGAGCACACAATGACACAGATAGGGACATCAAATTTATAGTCACCAGGTATCACTGTGGCCACAGCACAGTCCAGCAATTAATTCTTCCATTTTTTCCTTTTCATTCTTTGCATACCTTTTAAAAAATGATTTTTATTATTCTAATTGGCACATAGTAATTGTACATATGTATGGGGTACAGAGTGATATTTTGGAACATGTAAACAATATGCGGTGATCAAATTGGGATAACTAGCATACCCATCACCTCACACATAGATCATTTCTTTGTGTTGGGACCATGCCAGATCCTCTCTTCTAGCTACTTGAAAATATGCAATAGTGTATAATTAACTAGAGTCACCCTACAGTTTTATAGAACACTAGAACTGATTCCTTCTAACTGTAATTTTGCATTCATTAACTCATCTCTTATTGTCTCTCCTCCCTACCCTTCCCAATTTCTAGTACCCACTATTCTATTCTCTAGTTCTAAGAGATCAACTTTTTTAGATTCCACATATAAGTGAGAACATGTGATATCTGGCTTTCCGTGCCTGGCTTATTTCACTTAACATAATGTCCTCCAAGCTCATCCATGTTGCCATAAATGATAAAACTCGATTCTTTTTAATGGATGAATGGTATTCCATTGTGTATATGTACCACGTTTTCTTTATTCATTCATCTGTTGATGGACAAGGTTGATTCAACATCTTGGCTATTGTGAATAGTGTTGCAATAAACACAAGAGTCCAGATACCTCTACAATGTTCTGATCTCCTTTCCTTTGGATATATACCCAGTAGTAGAACTGCTAGATCATATGGTAGAAAACTATTTTTTAAAACAAAGTTCTGTACTGATACCTTTCTGAAAGGTCATTCTGCAAGGTTTTAAACAACAACAAAAACCACCCAGTAGTATCTTGTCTTATCCCTCCATACGCTTTCATACTCATCACTTCCACATTTTAAGCTGTTTTCTCTATTCATCTCCATAGATATAAGTAACATGTTTATAATGCTACTTCTTGATATTTACATTTTACATATATTTCAGTAACTTCTTATTACAGCAAATGACAATTTTCTTTCTCTGCAGGCTCCCTTCCACACTACCTCCCCCATCATTGCAATACAGTTGTACCATTTTTGGTTACGTCAAAATTCAGTTCACCTTGTTTAAACCAAATATAAATATTATTTACAACTGAACCATCTTCTTGTCTGACTTTTGTTTTCCCTGGGTTTAATAGCTGCCTTGGTTTTTGTTTGCTCAGTTTTCTATGTATATATTGCTAATTCTCCCACAAGTTCTCCATCAGCATATAACTTTCCTCTCACAATTATGACATGTAAGGTTATACCTCAGTGTGGTTTTGTTTTCTTAGAGCCATTCTTCCTGGAGCCCTCAATTCTCCATTTCATTCTAGACTGGTCATTTCTAGGGCTGTGGCATGGCTGTTATTTGAGTCACATCATCATTCTGGGAAATTCCTTTGCTTTCTTCCTACTTCAGGTTCCTATGCCTTCCTCTTTCTTGGTCTGCTTCCTTACTTTGGTAGAGCACATTTTTTTTTAAGTTCCTGAAGAAAGGTATACATGAGGTAAATTACCTGACAGCTTCCAAAGCTGAAGATTTCTTCATCCAACTGGTTGCTTGGCTGAGTGTGGAATTTTAACGTGGCACATGGCAGTCATTTCCCCCAGAAATGCTAAGGCATTTCTCTTTTAACTTCCAGGGTTGCTACTGATAAGCCTACTGATGCTATTCTAAATCTCAGCCTTTTGTGTGTGATCTGTCTGCTCTCTTGGGAAGTTCTTGGTGCCTTCTCCTTTTCCCCAGCGTTGTAAAATTTCATGCTGATGTGTCTTGCTCTGGATCTTTTTGTATCCATTATGCTGGACACTTAGGGGGCCTTTTAATCTGTAAACTCTCATTCTGCAGTTCTGGGAAATTTTCTTGATATGTTGCTTCATAATTACCTCTCCTCTGATTTCTCTGTTGTTTTTATGGAACTCCTAATATTTGTGTTCCATATATGTGTATACACATATACATGTAGACATATATCTTATTATACATCTTATCTCTCTATATAATCTCCAACCTATAGATGAATGTTTCTCTTCGGATATCTCCCATGCACATCACACTCCATATGTCCAAAATTGAACTCACTGTCACCTAACAAAACCTCTTTTCATTTTTAGCTTCCCTAACTTGGTAAATGTGCTTTTTTGCCCAAGCCATAAATAATGATCTTGCCTTCATCTCCTCCCTCTCTCACTTCTTTATGCTCAATAAAATGCCAAATCTTTTGAAATATACATCTTGTTGTCTGTCTTAAATCTAGTCCACTTTTTTTTTCCACAGTCACTGCAACTTCGTAATTCACACCAGTGCCATGCCTCCTGTAGGGAGAGCTCTGCAGCAGCCTCCTCCCTCTACTCCAACACATCCTTCACTCCTCAGCCTGCTGTTCTAAAGCTCTGGGGCCACAGCTTTACTACACTATGGGTTGAATGCCTTCTCACCTGTCCATATTCCCCATTAGACAATACACTTCACAAGCATTGCCCACTCAGTAAATATTTGTAAATAAATGAGTTGGTTATTATTACTAACTAATCACATTCTTCCCCCATGGAAAATAACATGAACCTTGAGATTAGGTGAATTCCTGACATTTTGAAATAGCTTTTTATCTTTCTTGTTTCTTCCTAGTACCTCTCTATCCCCACATAATAAACAGGCATGTTGTAAATGATCAATGAGAAATCCCTGTACATACTGCTTGAAACAAAATGAGTAAAGCTCTGAATATGATGGATTTGTAGGAAGAAAATAATCCAGTTCTCTTGGGGAATCAGGACTTTGCATGATCTATTAGATACTGAGAGCATGTGAATAAGTAACTAGTGGTAATAAATACTTTGCATTTTTAAAGCTACACAGGTAGATGTTTGAATTTTATTCACTGTGGCAGTTTTCATTAAGCCAAATAAAAGAAATGATCTGGATTATTTGTCTCTTTCTACCCAATAATTTATTTTCACCATTAATTCAAAAGCACAATAAAATTGTGCCCTTTTTAAAGCTAACATTCTCCCCGTATAAATTTAAAAATCCCTAATGTAGTCTATTTAGTATTAAGTGTCCTCATATTAGATCCTGTAGTTTTACTTGAAAGCCTGCCTCATCCTTTTAAAAATTTTTGGAGATATCATTTTCTTGAAAGAGCTCAAGCATTCCTTTATTCATTCATTTATCATATATTTATTGGTTGGCTACATCGTACTTGATATGGTATTAGCTGTTGGAGATTTCAAAGTGAAAAGACAGAATCCTCAGCTCTAGGAATTCACCAATTAGTGGGACATGTAAATAAGTAATGACAAGATATTGTAGCAAGCACCAGCCCAGAGGTTTGGGCAAAGATTTCTCTCTGGGAGCATGGAGGAGGAGCCAGGTAAGGCTTCAGTGAAGAAGGTTATGTTTGAGCTGAGACATGAAGTATGCGAGACTTGTCAAGAGGGCAAGGGCGCTGCAGAGCAGTGGGGTTGGAGGGATGTGGGGGCAGTGATCACGTGCAAAGGTACCGGAGTGAAGGGACAGCAGGTCAGGGAGAGCAGGGTAGGGAATGAGGCTGGAGGTTTGTTTTTGAGCCCAGCCTACATTGTCTCTAGCCCTCTATGATGTCCCACTTCACTAGACCAAGGCAAATATTCTTACTAAGTTTCCCTCCAGTGAGTCTGAACTCCCCTGAAACTCCAACTGGAGGCTAAATAAGACTACCTTTGATTAGATAGTAATTGAACAATTTTTTGCCTTCTTTTTTATAAATGGGAAACTTTGTGATTGAAGTTGCCACTGAATGGAAACAATGACTAATAAACAAATAGAAAGTAAACAATATGTTAAACTGTCTTTGGCTTCTATTGCTTATGGTTTAAACTAAGTTATCTGGCTAGGATGTCAGATTGAGACTCAGCCATCCAAGGTACATAAGTATTAAGATAAGTTATTTCCTTTCTTATAAAAGGACACGTATTCATTAGAGAGAAGTACAAAAAATACACTTTTTCTTCATTTGCATCATATTCTCAACCAGCCATAACCATTTAAATGCATTATTTCAAACCAAATTATACATATTCATTCACATATTTTTCTTAATCAACTACTATAATATAGTTTTAAACATATCTATTATAAAATACAATACTTAACACTTATCTGTGCAGTTTAACACATAATTATAAAACAAACATCCATGCAATTGTTACCCAGGTGAGGAGTGGGAATAGAAGATCACTGGCAGCCAGAGGGATGTCAGGTCTCAACCCCGCCTTTCCATTCGAGGAAACAACTGTCAAGAAGTCTGTAGTGATCATGTCTTGCTTTTCCTCATAGTTTTACCACTTCACCTGTGGCGGTAACAATATCCTGAAGTCTGTTTACAAACTTGACGTGGATGAAACCACACTGTCTGGATTCTGTGGTCTTGCAATTTCTACTACACATTGTACTTGTAATTTTCATCCACATGTAGCCCCAGTTCATCATTTGCATTGACAAATAATGATCCATTGTGTGCATACATCACAATAGATTCATTTATTCTAACATCAATGAAAGTTTGAGTTGCTCCCACTTCTAGTTTTTGGCCATTATGAACAATGCTGCTTTGAACAGGCTTGTCCATGTCTCTAGATACACATGTATGAATTTCTCATATATCTATGAGCAGAAACCCTAAATTATGGCACACATGGAAGTTTACTAGACAACACTAAATTATTTCCCAAAGTGGCTGTGTCAATTTCTCCTTTCCCACCAGCACTGTATGAGAGTTCCCCATGTACATCTTCACTAATATTTAAAAGGTCAGATTTTTAAAATGTCACCATTCTAATGGATATACACCTCGCTGTGATTTGAATTGCATTCTTCTGATTACTGATGATGGTCAGCACTATTTAAATATGCTTATTGGCTATTTGATTTTTTTACTTTTGTGGAGTGTTGACCAAATCTTTTTGTTCCTTTTTTGTCTGCCTTTTTGTGCACTCACTTGTAAGGGTTGCAATATGTAACCTTTTTAAAGCTTTATCATCTTTCATAATATTCATCTACACTATTTTTTCCAAGTGTAAACTAAATACTAACTTAGTTGTTTAAATCATAATTCACAGTTGAGACAGTAGCCACTAAAAAGTAGAAGTGGTAATTACGAATATCAATTATTTTCAAGTTGGAGGTGGAATTAGGTAAAAGACACAATGAAGAGGTTGTTCAGCATATGATTAAGGGCCCAGACATTCAGCTTTACTGTGTCCTTAGCTGTGTGACCTGAGGCAGGTTACTTGAACTCTCTGAGCATTTGTTTCCTCCTGTGTAAAATAGGTGACAACAGTAGCTACTCCACAAGGTTATTGTGAGAATAAAATGGGACTGTGGATTAAGAGCGCTTAGCATAAAACTAACACAACTGAACTCATGGAGATAGAGAACAGAATGAAGGTTACCAGAGGCTGGGAAGGGTAGTGGGGTTGCAGGCAATTGGGGATGATTAATGGATACAAAAATATAGTTAGATAGAATAAATAGGATCTAGTATTTGATAGGACAACAGGGTGACTACTGTCAACAATAATTTTTTGTATATTTAAAAATAATGAAAAGAGGATAACTGAATTGTTTGTAACATAAAGAAAGGATAAATGCTTGAGGTGATGGAGACCTCATTTACCCTGATGTGACCATTGCACATTGTATGCCTGTATCAAAACATGGCATGTACCCCATAAATATATACACCTACTATGTACACACAAAAATTAAAAATAAGTGCTTAGCATAATGCCAGGCCCTTATTAAGCATGCAAAATGGTATTTCTTAGCAATATTATTATAAATATTTATTTAGAACCTACTATGTGGTCTGAATGTTTGTGTCACTCAAAAATTCACATGTTGAAATCTAAATTTTTTTACACAACAAATGTTCATATTATTTCATTATTTTGTTCTTCAAGTTCAGGAGTACATGTGCAGGATGTGCAGGTTTGTTACATAGGTAAACATATGCCATGGTGGTTTGCTGCACAAACCATCCCATCACCTAGGTATTAAGCCCGGCATCCATTAGCTATTCTTCCTGATGCTTTCCCTCCCCCCATCCTCCACCCCACAGGCCCCAGTGTGTGTTGACCCCATCATGTATCCATGTGTTCTCATTATTCAGCACCTACTTATAAGTGAGAACATGTGGTGTTTGGTTTTCTGTTCTTGTATTAGTTTTCTGAGGATAATGGCTTCCAACTCCATCTGTGTCCCTGCAAAGGACATGATCTCATTCCTTTTTATGGCTGCATAGTATCCCATAGTGTATATATATGCACCACATTTTCTTTATCCAGTCTATCATTGATGGGAATTTGGGTTGACTCCATGTCTTTGCTATTGTGAAGGGTGCTGCAATAAACATACGCATGCATGTATCTTTATAATAGAATGATTTATATTCCTTTGGGTATACATATAGTAATGGGATTGCCGGGTCAAATGGTATTTCTGCCTCTAGGTCTTTGAGGAATTGCCACACTGTCTTCCACAATGGTTGAACTAATTTACCCTCCCACCCAACCCTCCCAGACAATGTTTACCTGTGTATGCAAAAGTGCTCCTTTGTCTCCACAACCTCACCAGCACCTGTTTTGTTTTGTTTTTAACTTTGTAATAGTAGCCACTTTGACTGCCATAAGATGGTATCTCATTGTGGTTTTGACTTGCATTTCTCTAATGATCAGTGATGTTGAGGTTTTTTTCATATGTTTGTTGGCTACATGTATGTCTTCTTTTGAGAAGTGTCTGTTAATGTTCTTTGCTCACTTTTTAATGGGGTTGTTTCTTATAAATTTGTTTAAGTTCCTTGTAGACTCTGGATATTAGACCTTCGTCAGATGGATAGATTGCAAAAATTTTATCCCAATCTGTAGGTTGCCTGTTCACTCTGATGATGGTTTCTTTTGCCGTGCAGAAGCTCTTTTTAATTAGATCTCATTTGTCAAGTTTTGCTTTAGTCACAATTGCTTTTGGTGTTTTCATCATGAAATCTTTGCCCGTGCCTATGTCCTGAATGGTATTGCCTAGATTTTCTTCTAAGGTTTTTATAGTTTTGAGTTTTACATTTAAGTCTTTAATCCATCTTGAGTTAATATTGTATATGGTGAAAGGAAGGGGTCCATTTTCGTTTTTCTGCATATGGCTAGCCAGCACTCCCAGCACCATTTATTAAATAGGGAATCCTTTCCCCATTGCTTACTTTTGTAAAGTTTGTTGAAGATCAGATGGCTGGAGGCATGTGGTCTTATTTCTGAGTATATGATTCTGTTCCATTGGTCTATGTGTCTGTTCTTGTACCAGTACCATGCTGTTTTAGTTACTGTAGTCTTGTAGTATAGTTTGAAGTCGGGCAGCTTGATGCCTACAGCTTTGTTCTTTTTGGTTAGAATTGTCTTGGCTATTCAGGATCTTTTTTGGTTCCATTCTGTGAAGAATGTCAATGGTAGTTTAATGGGATAGCATTGAATCTATAAATTACTGTGGGCAGTATGACCATTTCCTTTTTCTTTTTTTGACTGAGCACAGGGGACTTTATTGATGGTACATGACAAGGTGGGGCTCCCTAGGCCCCTCCCTCTTCAGGAGATCTGCATGGAAACTCTGAGGAGGGGGGATTCTCAGTGTGGAGGGGGACTAAGTGTCCCCCAGCAGTGAAGGCCTCTCTCTTCCTCTTGTGCTCTCACTGGGGCTGGTGGTCTGGGGGTCTTACTCCTTGGAGGACATGTGGGCCATGAGGTCCATCACCCTGTTGCTGTAGCCAAATTCATTGTCATACCAGGAAATGAGCTTGAAAAAGTGGTCGTTGAGGGCAATGCTAGCCCCAGCGTCGAAGGTGGAAGAGTGGGTGTCGCTGTTGAAGTCAGAGGAGACAAGCTGGTACTCAGTGTAGCCCAGGATGCCCTTGAGGGGGCCCTCTGACACCTGCTTTACCACCTTCTTGATGTCATCATATTTGGCAGGTTTTTCAAGACAGCAGGTCAGATCCACAACTGACAAGTTGGCAGTGGGGACACAGAAGGCCATGCCAGTGAGCTTCCCATTCAGCTCAGGGATGACCTTGGCCACAGCCTTGGCAGCGTCACTAGGGGCAGGGATGATGTTCTGGAGAGCCCCATGGCTATCACACCACAGTCTCCTGGATGGTCCATCCACAGTCTTCTGGGTGGCAGGGACAGCATGGACTGTGGTCATGAGTCCTTCCATGATACCAAAGTTGTCACGGATGACTTTGGCCAGGGGTGCTAAGCAATTCATGGTGCAGGAGGCATTGCTGATGATCTTGAGGCTGCTGTCATAATTCTCATGGGTCACGCCCATCACGAACATCAGGGTGTTGGCAGAGGGGGCAGAAAGGATGACCCTTTTGGCTCCTCCCTGCAAGTGAGCCCCAGACTTCTCCATGATGGTGAAGATGCTGGTGGACTCCACACTGTACTCAGTGCCAGCATCACCCCATTTGATTTTGGAGGGATCTCGCTCCTGGAAGATGGTGATGAGATTTCCAGTGATGACAAGCTTCCTGTTCTCAGCCTTGACAGTGCCATGGAATTTGCCATGGGTAGAACCATACTGGAACATGTAGACCATGTAGTTGAGGTCAATGAAGGGGTCACTGATGGCCACAATATCTACTTTAGCAGAGTTAAAAGCAGCCCTGGTGACCAGACACCTAACATGACCAAATCTGTCGACTCTGGCCTTCACCTTCACCATGATGTCTCAGGGATGCGGCTGGCAATGCAAGAGAAAATGTGGCTGTCTGTCGAACAGGAGAAGCAGGGAGCCGACCATTTTCATGATATTGATTCTTTCTATCCATGAGCCTGGAATGTTTTTCCATTTGTTTGTGTCCTCTGTGATTTCCTTGAGCAGTGGTATGTAGTTTTCCTTGAAGAGGTCCTTCATTCGCCTTGTTGGCTGTATTTCTAGGCATTTTATTCTTTTTGTAGTAATTGTGAATGGGAGTTCATTCATAATTTGGCTCTCTGCTTTCCTGTTGTTGGTGTATAGGAATGCTAGCAATTTTTGCAGACTGATTTTATATCCCGAGACTTTGCTGAAGTGGCTTATCAGCTTAGGAAACTTTTGGGCTGAGATGATGGGGTTTTCTAGATATAGGATCATGTCACCTACAAACAAAGATACTTTGACTTCATCTCTTCCTATCTGAATAATCTTTATTTCATTCTCTTGCCTGATTGCCCTGGCTAGAACTTCCAATACTATGTTGAATAGGAGTGGTGAGAGAGGGCATCCCTGTCTTGTGCTAGTTTTCAAGAACAATGCTTCTAACTTTTGCTTATTCAGTAGGATATTGACTGTGCATTTGTCATATATGGTTCTTATTATTCTGAGGTATGTTCCTTCAATACCTAGTTTATCGAGAGTTTTTAACATGAAGGAATGTTGAATTTTATTAAAGGCCTTTTCTGAATCTATTAGAGATAATCATGAGGGTTTTGTCTTTAGTTCCATTGATGTGATGAATCACATTTATTGATTTGCATATGTTGAACCAACCTTGCATCCTGGGATGAAGCCAACTTGATCATGGTGGATAAGCTTCTTGATGTGCTGCTGGATTCAGTTTGCCAGTATTTTCCTGAGGATTTTTGCATCAATATTCATCAAGGATACTGGCCTGAAGTTTTCTCTTTTTGCTGTATCTCTGCCAGGTTTTGGTATCAGGATAACGCTGGCCTCATAGAATGAGTTAGGAAGGAGTCCCTCCTCTTCAATTTTTTGAAATAGTTTCAGTAGCAATGGTATCAGTTCTTCTTTGTACATCTAGTAGAATTTAGCTGTGAATCCATCTGGTCACGGGTTTTTTTAGGTTGGTAGGCTATTTATTACTGCCTCAGTTTCAGAACTTGTTATTGGTCTATTCAGGGATTCAATTTCTTCCTAGTTCAGTTTTGGGAGGGTGTATGCACCCAAGAATTTATTCATTTCTTCTAGATTTTCTAGTTTATGTGCCTCGAGATATTTATAGTATTTCTGATAGTTGTTTGTATTTCTGTAGGGTCAGTGGTAATATTCCCCTTTTCATTTCTGATTGTTTATTTGAGTCTTCTCTCTTTTCTTCTTTATTAGTCTAGCCAGCAGCCTGTCTCTTTATTACTTTTTTTTTCACAAAACTAGCTTCTGGATTTGTTGATTTTTTAACAGGTTTTTTCATGTCTGTGTCTCCTTCAGTTCTGCTCTGATCTTGGTTATTCCTTGTCTTCTGCTAGCTTTGGGGTCTATTTGCTTTTGGTTCTCTATTTCTATTATTTGAGATGTTAGGTTGTTAACTTACAATCTTTCTAGCTTTTTGACATGGACATTCAGTGCTATAAATTTCCCTCTTAATACTGCTTTAGTTGCAACCCAGAGATTCTGGTACATTGCCTCTTTGTTCTCATTAGTTTCAAAGAACTTCTTGATTTCTGCCTTAATTTCATTTTTACCCAAGAGTCTTTCAGAAGCAGGTTGTTCCATTTCCATGTAGTTTTTAAGTTTTAAGTGAGTTTCTTAATCTTGAATTCTAGTTTGATTGTGCTGTAGTCTGAAAGACTGTTATGATTTGTTGTTTTTTTTTACATTTGCTGAGAAGTGTTTTACTTCTGATTATGTGATCAATTTTAGAGTAAGTGCCATGTGGTGATGAGAAGAATGTATATTCTGTTGTTTTTGAGTGGACAGTTCTGTAGATACCTATCAAGTCCACTTGATCCAGGGCTGAGTTCAGATCCTGAACATCTTTGTTAATTTTCTGTCTTGATCATCTGTCTAATATTGTCAGTGGGGTGTTAAAGTCTACCACTATTATTCTGTGGGAGTTTAAGTCCCTTAGCAGGTCTCTGAGAACTTGCTTTATGAATCTGCATGCTTATGTATTGGGTGCATATATATTTAGAATAGTTAGCTCTTCTTGTTGAATTAAACCCTTTACCATTATGTAATGCCCTTCATCTTTTTTTATCTTTGTTGGTTTATAGTCTGTTTTGTCAGAAACTAGGATTACCACCTCTGCTCTTTTTCTTTTTTTCCATTAGTGTGGTAAAATTTCCTCCATCCCTTTATTTTGAGCCTATGTGTGTCTTTCATGTGAGATGGGTCTCTTGAAAACAGCATACTGATGGGTTTTGGCTCTTTATCCAGCTTGCCATTCTGTGCCTTTCAATCAGGGCAGTTAGCATGTTTACATTTTAGATTGGTATTGTTATGTGTAAATTTGATCCTGTCATCATGATGCTAGTTGGTTATTTTTCAAACTTTTTTTAATGTGGTTGCTTCATAGTGTCCCTGCTCTGTGTACTTCAGTGTGTTTTCATAGTGGCTGGTATTGGTTTTTTCTTTCCATATTTTGTGCTTCCTTTGGGAGCTCTTGCAAGGCAGGCCTGGTGGTGATGAATTCCCTAAGCATTTGCTTGTCTGTAAAGGATCTTAGTTCTCCTTCACTTATGAAACTTAGTTTGGCCAGATCTGAAATTCTGGGTTGGACATTCTTTTCTTTAAGAATGTTGACTATTGGCCTCCAAACTCTTCTGGCTTGTAGATTTTCTACTGAGAAGTCTACTGTTAGTCTGATGGGTTTCCCTTTGTAGGTGACCTGGCCTTTCTCTCTGGCTGCCCTTAACATTTTTTCTTTCATTTAATCTTGGAGAATCTGATGATTCTGTGTCTTGGGGTTGATCTTCTCATGGAGTATCTTACTGGGATTCTCTGCATTTCCTGAATTTGAATGTTGGCATGTCTTGCTAGGCTGGGGAAATTCTCCTGGATGATATCCTGCAGTATGTTTTCCAACTTGGTTCCATTCTCCCCATCTTTTTCAGGTACCCCAATCAGTCATAGGTTTTCTCTCTTTACATAATCTCATATTTTTCAGAGGTTTTGTTCATTGCTTTTCATTCTTTTTTCTCTATTCTTGTCTGCCTGTCTTATTTCAGAAAGATAATCTTTAAGCACTGAGATTCTTTCCTCCTCTCTGTCCATTCTGCTGTGATTACATTGTGAATTTGTCATGTTGTTTTTCAGCTCCATCAGGCCAATTATATTCCTCTCTAAACTGGCTATTCTAGCTATCAGCTCCAGTATTATCATGATTCTTAGTTTCTCTGCATTGGGTTACAACATGCTCCTTTAGCTCAGCTAAGTTTTTTATTACCCACCTTCTGAAGCCTACTTCTGTCAATTCAGCCATCTTAGCCTCAGCCCAGTTCTGTGTCCTTGCTGCAGAGGTGCTGCAGTTATTTGGAGAAGAGGCACTCTGGCTTTTTGAGTTTTCAGCATTTTTGCATTGATTCTTTCTCATCTTTGTGGGCTTATCTACCTTTGATCTTTGAGGTTGCTGACCTTTGAATGAGGTTTTTGTGGGGTCTTTTTTGTTGATGTTGTTGTCTTCTGTTTATTTGTTTTTATTTTATCAGTCAGGCCATTCTACTGTAGGGCTGCTATGGTTTTCTGGGGGTCTGCTCCAGACCTTAGTTGCCTCAGTTTCTCCCATATGTGGTTATCACCAGTGAAGAGCACAAAACAGCAAAGATGGCAGCCAGCTCCTTCCTCTGGAAGCTCCATCCCAGGGGGTACTGACCTACTGCCAGCCTTCATGTACCTGTAGGAGGTGGCCAGAGACCCCAGTTGGGAGGTCTCACCCAGTCAGGAGGAATGGTATCAGGGATCCACCCAAAGAAGCAGTTTGGCTGCTGTCTGGTAGAGCAAGTGTGCTGCATTGGAGGGACCCTTCCTCATCTGGACCGCCTGTCTTCTCCAAAGTCAGCAGGCTGGCATAGCTGAGTCAACTGAACCACAGAGATGGTGGCTGCCTCCTCCCACAGGAACTTGAATCCATCTCAGGGAGACTCCAACCCAGTGCTGGGCTGACTGGGACTCTAAGCTAGTGATTCTTAAGTTGTGAGGTGCCATGGAAATGGGGCCCACAAAATGACACTGCTTGGCACCCTGGATTCAGCTCCCTTCCTAGGGATATGTATGGATGGAATTCCCATCTTCCCAGGGATCCCAGGGCTAGAGTATGTGACACTCCTGGGACTGTGTGTGTGCCTGAGTGGCTGCTCTGCCAAAACTCCACACAGCTCTGTGTATAGACCCAAAGACCTGAAGGCATGGGCTCACAAGGGGATCTCCTGATCTTTGGGTTGCAAAGACCCATGGGAGAAGCATGGTTTTCCAGGTGGGGTTGCACAATCACTCACTGGTTCCCTTGGCTGGGGGTGGGGGTTCCTTTGGCTCTGTGCCACTCCTGGGTGGGCTGTCAGCAGCCCCAGCTTTTCTTCATTCTCTGGTTTGTGTTGTTTGCCTAGTCAGTCCCATTGTGAGAATCTGGATATTTCAATTGAAGGTGCTGAATTCACTTGCCCCTTTTCATTCCTCTGAGTGCTGGAGACTGCAGCTGCTTCTAACTGGCCATCTTGGATCCATCCCCGAAATCCAATTTCTAATGTGATGGTATGGAAGGTGGGGCCTTTGGGAGGTGATTAAATCATGAGAGTGAATCCCTCAGGAATGGGATTAGTGCTTTTATAAAATAGGCCCCCAAAAGCTCATTTGCACCTTCTACCAGGTGAGGACACAGCAAGAAGGCACCATCTATGAGGAATGGTCTCTTACCAGATATTAAATCTTCCCATGCCTTCATCTTGGAATTCCCAGCCATAATTATTAGAAATAAATGTTTATTGTTTATAAGCCACCCAGTTGATGGTATTTTATTAAAGCAGCCTGAACAGACTAAGATAAAACCTATGGATTATACGCACTGTACTAGTGTATCCAGTCATTAACAAATGAAGTTGGTGTTATTTTCCTTTTTCCAATGAGGAATTCAAGGATCAGAGAAGTTAAATAATTGAATCAGGGTCACACAGCAATTAGTGGTAATCTCGGTCTAACTTCAAAGCTCATTCCTTGTTCCCCATGCCATCCAAATTCTGTGATAGAAACTAACAATTCACACTGTAGATTATTAATAAAGTTGTTCCATTCCTTTGAATGCAAATCATGTAGAGAAAGAAATATGTCCAACGTGGCTTTTAACCCAAAAATGTGTAGACCACTCTTTAAAAAAGAGTCTACAACTTGCCATGTTTTTCCCAGGTTGTAGGCACAAAGCAGTGCATGCTGGCAGCTAAGGCAGGCTGGGCCTCTGCTGGGTGACTCTGGGCCACAGCAGCTGTGTAAAGAGGGCCATCACCATCAGAATCACCCCATTCCAGGCCTACACAAAAGGGCAATGAGAGCTGCTGCAGGGTCCTAGGCAAGAGAATAACAGGCCCAGGCTGGCATTTGAAAGATGAAAGGCTACCACCAACAGTTCGGGGTGGGGGGCAAGCTGGAGGGCTTTCCCCTCATCCCTCACATCAGCTAGGCTGGTTGGGTGACTATTGATTAGCAAAGTGTGGGCCCAAAGTGGTTCTCAACAGAAATTTGCTGACTGGTGGGTTAAAGATGAAAGATGTGAAGGCTCTGCAATGCCAAATAAATATGTCACTCTTCTCCAGTTATCTTACAGAATTGATGACTGGCATTTGTTTCCTTCTTCCAGTGTCTTGATCTTGGATGTTCCAGCCTCCAGAACTGTGAAAAATAAATGTTCGTTGTTTATAAGCCGCTCAGTCTTAATTTTTTTATAGTGGCTTGAATAGACTAAGATAAAGCCTGTGGATGATAAGCTCTGTGCTAGTGAATCCAGCCATGGATGAATTAGGTTGCATTCATTTCCTTCTTATTCTTGCGTCTTTTACTACACCCCATGAAGAACTACTGTCTTCAAATAATACACCCCTTGAAGACTTCACTTCAAACACATCAAATACTACTCTTAGTATTTGGCATTTCTTCAATGTAATATAGCTAGTAGAATATATAAGTCTGAAAAGAAATGGAAAGTTTTAAAACAGTGACATGTAATTAAAAGTTTCATGCTCCTCATACTAAGAAATTGGGCCATATGATGGTAGCAATTTGCATAAGAATGCATTTATAGTACAGTAGGCAGATTTCTGAAACATACAAATGTTGAAAATCACAATGGAAAACTCAGCTCCAAAAGACCATCTGCATTAATTACTGTTGGACAAGCTCCCATAGCTCCTCAAGGCTGACAAGCAGGGTGGGCAAAATACCAGGTGTGCAACATTTTAAATACAATATGTGTATATGCTCTTAAATGAAAATTAGGGTTTTAGTGTCCTACTTTTGAAGAGCATCCACAAAAGGTTTCAGACCAGCCTACAGGGGGCTTAATATTAAGGTGGGTCACAAGAGTGTTATAAATTCTCTTCTGGCACTATAGGTATGTCCTGTAATGTCTTCCATATTATCTAAAATTACCTAAAATATTATTCTTGCTATTGTTTTGATGAAAGCATTTAAAAGGCATAGCAGAGAAAGATAAATGGATCTTTTCCCTTACTTGGATTCTTCTGTGACATTTCAATGACAATAGCTAAATAGCACCCTGAGCCACTTAATTTGTAATAGAGGATGAGGTTATTAGGGTTTTAAAATCAAGTGCCCCCCCCTCCAAAATTCAAATTGTTCCAATGAATTTTACTGGACTGCCCAGTAAAATTAGAGACTAATTAAACTGCTGTGAATTTTCTGTGCAATTTTTTTTTTCATGCTGTCTTTAGACCATTTCACAGCTTGCAAGTTTCTCCATAGAGGGCTTGGAAAAAAATGGGGGAGCATATATTTTCAAATTTACAAGGTATCTAATTGTTAGCAGCCGTAGTTCAAGATTTCAAGGGGAGCAAGGCTTGAGAAACCTCTAGCTTTACAAAGAAACAACTCATGTCATTAACCTGAATGGAATGCAGTTCCCCATCATCACCGGCCACTTCTATGGAAACTTCAGGTCTCTGCCAGCATGTTTTCTGTGCACTATGTTATGTCTCTGCACCATATGGCCTTCTGGGACACTCATTTCCCTTTCACAGCACTTAGCATAAACGTAACTCAATAATTAGGTGTGTAAGTACAAGTTTCATGTTGCTCTCTCCTGTGACCCCCATCAGCTCCACAGGGACAAGGACTGTGTCCACCTTATTCACCATGATTTCCCCAGGTATCTAACAAAGCGTTCAGCTTGAAGAGGGTACGCAATTAATATATGTTGAACAAATGGAGGCCCATCCAAATGTTCACCGATCCTTAGTCCCGGGATGTCTGAGAGTTGACTTTGGTGTCACAGCCTGTGATTCCCAGTGCTTCCTGGCTTTCCTTCTTCTGGCCAGAAAGAACAGCAGACAGACCATCTAAGACATGCACTCATGTGGCTCTCCAAATGATGAAGTAGACAGATCCTTCAACCAGAAATTGTATACATCATCTCCATTATATTTTCCTGTCTCTCTGATCTCATGCAAAGAAATGGAGCTCATATTTATTATCTTTATTATTCTCCCACAAAGATTCTTTTAAATGCTTCTATTCTCCTACAAACTCTTCTACCCCCAAACTAATTGCCACTTCCCTGTTGGCTTCACAATGACAAATAAGTTGACAGTGTGACAGCAATCTAGACTCAGCCTTGGGGAGACCACGGTCAGCATAGGGCAGTAAGGGCATCTTCACTGAAGATACCAGTGCAGCCTAATTGCTTTGACCTTGCCTCTTCTGGTGTCAAATCTGGGAGATTCCTGAACACTCCCAAGCGAACAAGAGCTTATGAGGCACCATGATTCTTTCATTACTGGAAAATAACATGCTTTTAGAGTTATTTACATTAAAGGAATGCATATCATATGCTACAGTAAGAATAAGCTCACAAATCACCTAGGACCACAATTCCAGTAGCCATCAAGTGACCCTATTTCTTACTTTGTTTTTTCCTAAGACTGAATATTTTATTTTAGCAAGGTCTTCCTCATTTTCTTCACTAAAGATGTGCACAGAAAGAGAAAATGATACTTGAGAGGACTGGACGAAGGCAGGGAGAACATGGTAGAACAGCTCTGTCTGGCACATGTACACATCATCAAAGTGCTCAACAAACACATTTTGATGATGTTAACAAGCTACTTATATTATCAAATTACAGTATGACCAGAAATCCCTAAATGTGTGAAATCAATAACAATTTATTTTTCAAGAAGCAAAATTAATTTTTATGACACAAGTAGAGTTTCTTTAGCCTACTGAGTAGCAGCCTATTCCCAGGGAATGTTTTTCCTTAGGTAGAGAGGAACTCAAATAATAATGTATCAGTTACTCATTTTTTATACAACTACTAGAAATCCTTCTGTACCTTAGTCTGAATAAAGGAATTTTATTTTCTACAACGCATCATATCAATATGACAGAATCAGAGGGCATATTGACAAGAATTCATCTTCAAATCAATATTTGCAGCTGCAAGTATTTTCCTATTTGCTACAACAGTGCAAGCCAGTTAGAAAAGTCAACAGGTACAGCCCCACTATTAGTGTAAAATTATATGGATCAATGCACTGAAGAGATTTTGTATTTGACATATGAACAGCAGAAAAACTTTTCATAAAAATTTTGAGAGGAAGAACCACTACATGACTAAAACTAAGTTTCAGGAATACTTGAGAGCCTTTCTTTTACACAGCACTGAATAGCATGTTTTGTGTGTGTGTGTGTATGTGTGTACACATATACTCATTAGCACTAAATCCGCAACACTTTCCATTGTTATCACACTGATCTCAATGATCATTATGAACTTACAGGAAATCAATATTATAGGAGTGGATCATATACCTCAAACATGTTTAGGACAGGGCATTAGCTCTTCGCCTGCATCTGAAACCCCTAAGAGGGACAAGTGTAAACAGACCTCAGAATTACTGTAGGGGAGTTGGGAAACTATATGTAAGGTAACTAGCAAGAATAACTAAGTCTCTAAGTCATATTTTTCAATCAAGGTAACTTCAGTAAAATGCAATTAATTGGCTTCCATCGAAGTAAGAATATTTAAATAGCAGAAGTTAGGTCTATAGGTTTTAAAGGCCAACAGGCTTAGGTTGATTCCTGCTACAAAGAAGTTGTATGACTAGGGGTGTGGGGGTTACTTAATTTCTCTAAACTACAGCTTCCTTGAGCATCAGAAGTTGAATATACAAAGCCCTAAGAATACTGCATGATGCATACAGTTCTTAACAAACGTATCTTTTTTAAAAAGGAAATAAGAAACGACTTTCATAAAATATTTTTGTTATTTATATGCCTGGTATCTAAAATACTTATGCATCCTTTCAATTGTCAACAGAATATTACATGTAAGACAAAGATGCCAAGGACATTCATTAGGTAAAATGCAAGTCTCTTCATTAAATGATATTAAGAAACTATACATCCATATGCAGAAAAATGAAACTAGACCCCATCACCATATATAAAAATAAACTCAAAATAAATTAAAGACTTTAATGTAAAACTTGAAACTATGAAAATACTAGAAGAAAAAATAGGAGAAATACTTCGGGACATTGGTCTGGGCAAAGATTTTATGGCGAATACCTCAAAAGCACAGGCAACAAAAGCAAAAATATACAAATAGAATTATGTAAAACTAAAAAGCTTCTGCACAGTAAATGGGACAATCAACAGGCTGAAGATACAACCTACAGAATGGGAGAAAAAAATTGCAAATGATTCATCCAACAAGAGATTAATATCCAGGATATAAAAAGAACTTAAACAACTCAACAGTAAACATCAAAATAATTCAATTAATAAATGAACAAATGAGCTGAATAGACAACCCTCAGAAAAGATATACAAATGGCCACCAGGTATATAAAAAATGTTCAACATCAGTAATCATCAGGGAAATGCAAATCAAAACCACACTGAGGTCATCTCATCCCAGTTAAAATGGTCATCATCAAAAAGACAAAAAGTAACAAACATTGGTGAGAACATAGAGAATGAGGAACTTTTACACACTTGGTGGGCATGGAAATTAGTATAGCCACTATGGAAAACAGTATGGAAGGTTCTCAAAAACCTGAAAATAGGCTGGGGGTTGTGGCTAATGCCACTTTGGGAGGTCAAGGTGGGAGGATTGCTTGAGCCTAGGAGTTCAAGACCAGCCTGGACAATGTAGCAAGACCCCATCTCTACAAAAAAAAAATTTTTTTTAATTGGCCAAGCATGGTGGTGTGTGTCTGTAATCCCAACCACTCAGGTGGGAGGATCACCAGAGCCCAGGGAGGTCCAGGCTGCAGTGAGCCATAATCGCACCACTGCACTCCAGCCTGGGTGACAGAGTGAGACCCTGTCTCACAAACAAACAAACAAACAAACAAACAAACAAAAACCTAAAAATAGAACTACCATATGATCCAGCAATCCTATTGCTGGGTATATATCCAAAGGAAAGGAAATCAGTATGTTCAAGAGATATCTGCACTCCCAAATTTATGGCAGCAGTACCAGTCACAACAGCCAAGGTATAAAATCTGCCTAAGTGTTCATTTAGCAGATAAGGAAAATGTGGTAATGATATGGTTTGGCTGTGTCCCCACCCAAATCTCATCTTGAATTGTAGCTACCATAATCCCCACATGTTATGGGAGGGACCCGGTGGGAGGTAATTGAATCATGGGGGCAAGTTTTTCCCGTGCTGTTCTCATGATAGTAAGTCTCATGAGATCTGATGGTTTTATAAAATGCAGTTCCGCTGCACACACTCCCTTGACTGCTGTCATGTAAGAAATGCCTTTGCTCCTCTTTCACCTTCCACCATGATTGTGAGGACTCCCCAGCCATGGGGAACTGTTGAGTCCATTAAACAAACCTCTTTTGCTTTATAAATTACCCAGTCTTGGGCATTTCTTCATAGTGGTATGAAAATGGACTAATACAGGTATGTATACAAATGGAATACTATGTAGCCATAAAAAAGAACAACATTCAGTTACTTGCAGCAACATGGATGAGCTTGTAGGACATTATTTTATAAGTGAAATAAGCCAAGCACACAAAGATAAATACTAAATGTTCTCATTAACATGTGGAAGCTAAAAAGGTTGATCTCATAGAAGGAGAGAGTAGAATAGTGGTCACTAGAGGTGGGGAAGGTAGGGGGTAGGGGAGTATAGGAAGAAGTTGGTTAATGGATACGAAAGTACATCCAGATAGGAGGAGTAAGTTCTAGTGTTCTATGGCACTATAAGATGACTGTAATTAACAACAATTTCTGGATATTCTCAAATAGCTAGAAGATTGGATTTCGAATGTTCCTAACACATAGAAATGATACATATTTGAGGTGATTAATACACTACTCTGATTTGATTATTACACTGTATAATGTATCAAAATGTCACACTGTGCCCTATACATACATACAATTGTGTGAATTAAAAATAATAAAAGTAAAAAAAAAAAAGGCAACAGCCAGTCAATACGTTATTTTCAAAGACATACTTCAGATGACTCAGCATTTCCACTTTTAAGAATGCATCCTAAGAACATATGGGAAACCTGTGCCTCATTGTGTAGGAAAGGAATAACTAAGCAGGCTTGAATTGCTTAAACCCTGCACATTTCCAAGAAGAGCCTGTTTCATGACTGGCCACTGGCCAGCTCCTGAGAGCTGGGCTTTTAAATGTTCTAACTCACAAGAGCATTTTGCATGCCCAAGGTCCTGAGCCATACTGCATCAATTTGCCTAGTTTACACATAGAAAAGATGCTGTGTGTATGTGTGACTGATCCATAACAAAAACCCTGGACAATCAGGCTCAGATGTTTTTCCCTCAATGGCAAAATCTGTTCATGTTTTCACACATCATTGCTGGAAATATGAAGTATATGTTGTGTGATTCCACTGAGAGAGGACTTTTGGAAACTTGTGCCTTGTTTCATTTGAACTTTGCCCCATGAGCTTTTTCCCTTTGGTGAATTTACTCTGTATCCTTTCATTGTAATACATTATAATCATAAATATACCAACTTCTAAGTCCTATGAGCCCTTCTAGGGAAATCATCAAGCCTGAAAATAGTCTTGAAAACCCCTAACAAATATGATTTTGCAAAATAAATTTATTAAATTAATTGTACTTCATTGTTTCATGATAGTGAAATACTGAAAGCAACCTAAATGAACAGGAGACAAGCAGTTCTCCAAACTATGGTTAATCAATATGCAGTTATTACAACATCATTAAAAAGAACCTTTTCACATATTTATCATGATATTGGAAAATTATTAGGATATAACGTTAACTGTAAAAGCAGGATACAGAACTATACATAAAGAATAACTGAGGTATGAAAAAAATCATACCCATATAGAGAAAAGACTGGAAGGAAATATACCAATATATGTTATTAGTGTCTAATGATAAACTGTGAGGCTTTGAGATATTTTTGTTTCATTTTTTTCTGTAACCTTCATGCTCTTTCCTTAGAACAAATTATTATCCTTTTTATTCAATTATCTGTATATATTTTATAGCAAGAATTGAAACATGTCTGGAAAAATTCTGACAATATAGAAAGAACAAAATTTAAAAATGAAAGTTCTTTTTCCTCATTACAACTTTTCCTCCAATTGAACACCACACTGATAATGGCTCTTGGCTATTTAAATGATATTTTCCAACTTTTTCTATAAATTTACAAAAAGGCATACATAAAATGATTTATTTTATTTCAGTTTTATAATAATGAGATTGTGTTCTATAGCTTTCTACCTTTAATGACATGTTATGGACATCTTTCCATGTAATTCATGTAGATCTATCTCATTTTTTAATAACTACATAAGCATTTATTAAATGGCTATATCATAACTTATTTACATATTTCCATATTGACAGATATTTAGATTGTTTCCAACTTTTTTAGCATTGTAACCAATGCTGCATAGAAAGTTCCTGCACATATATCATTATTGCTTGAACAAGGATGTTTTTGAGAGGGTCCTAGAAGTAGAAATACTGGATTACTTGTCACATAAATTTTCATAGTTATTGGCAAATTGCTCTCAAAAGAGTGTACCAATTTATATTCTCACTAACACTACAAGAGTGTTTGTGTACCACATTCTTACCAACGCTGGATGTAATAAATCTTTTTAAAGGTTTATAATCCAGTATTAAAAAGACTGTATCTCATTCTAAAAAGGGAATATGTTTAGTTATTAGTAAATTTGAATATCTTTTCATATGTTTATAGCCATTGACCACTTTGTACTTCTAGTGTGTAAAATATGCATTCATATCTTTACCTGTTTTTCAAATTAAGTTGTTTTTTGCTTATGATTTTCAGGGGTTGTTTAAACTGCATGTATATTCACAGTTTGTTGCAGCATTTTCTATCAGTTTATCATCTTCCTCAACTCTATGATGTCTTTCATTGTAGAAAGTTTTAAATTTTTATGTGATTTTATGTAATTTTGTCATTTAAAAATGTTTCTAGGTTTTATGTCATACTAAAAAAGACTTTCCATATCCCCACATTTTAAACTAATTATTTCATTGTCAGAAAAAAATTAAGACACATAATTAAAGTAATTGTCAATTATGTTGCTCAATACAACTTTTTAAAATTTACAGAATTAAAGTCTTTAACATTTGTGCTAGGAAATAAGTTTCTCTCTCCTGATGCAATGGCAGGCTCTTTTTTTCCCTTGAGTGTGTTTCTTCTTCTACCTTTAGCCAAGAAGCTCTAAGCCTAGTTTTGTCATGCTTCTCTCTTCTATTACTCAGATTTTTATCTCTATAATCCTGTGCCCTTTACTGCAAACTACACTGGATCTTTTCCGAAATGAAAAAAATGAGTAAATGACAAATAAATTAGAAAACAATTAAACAAATAATAGAAAGTGATTAAATAAATCTTCAATAAAACTTACTATATTTAATTTAAACTTTTTTCAGGTCATTCTTTTCTTAATCCATCGTACCGTGAACTCCTGATCTGCTAGAATTAACTGGAGTCCAGATAATAAGATTATAGGCCTCTCACTCTCACTCTAATTACTAGATTACAAATCCGTGTAGTTACTTACAAGTCCCTCAAGGGTTAAGACTGTTCTAATTATCTTTGAATCCAAGTCGCCTGTGAATTAAAGCAAGCACTCAGATGTTTGTTCAATGAGTGAACCAGAAAAGAATCACTCACCAAAAACTCACATCAGAAATCTAGGTTAAAGGAAACAGCCCAAGTACTTCCAGGGTACATTCTATTGTAGGTACACGTTGAGTGGACAACAGGGGGTGACGGTAATTGAGCAGGTGACGTTGACATGCAAGAGCTCAGCCATCATCAGCTTAGAGCCACCAAGGGAAGGAAGCAAAGTATCACAGCTGAGAAGTGTTTCCAACAAGGGTTAAAACAGTAAGAGTTAGTGTTATCTCAGTAATTAAAATAACTCAAACACCTCACAGTCCCAAGAAATCCAATTATTTGGGATTTAACTACAATCTGCATGCCTACCTTCTGCTTTTTAATTGGCTTGATAACAGAACAAGGTAATGTGAAACTAGATCTCATTTTAGAAACTGGACTTTATTTAAAACCAACAGGATACATGCAAAGCTAAAATTCTGTAATAAAATTTACCTTTTAGCAGAAATGATTTTGAAATGCAAGGAGGGCTTAGATGTTAGAGTTGGATGAAACTGAGAAAAGAAAGTCCTGGTTACATTTAAAATGAGTTTCTGCTTTGTTTTCCCAACTATGTCCTGCCTTGACAACTCAATTCCATTTTCTGTGGGTTTTTAGGCAATGTGTGTGGCCTCCTATCTGAGCTGGGAAACAAAATGAAGGCCTCTCCCTCATGGATCTTAGTCTCCTGATAATGAAAAAAGAAGGACAAGACATATTCTAAACGAGCGAGCCCTACGACCTCAACCATCTCATGAGGTCAGCAGGACCGAGGCTGATGGAGGTGATCACCTGTGAGCTCAGCTCAAAGGCTGGAAAAGGCAGAGCCACCAGGGGTTGCTGGACACCTGCAATATTCCCAGGGAGCCACAGCTGAGGGTCTGCCCAGTGGCTGGCATGGGGTTCTCTGCTGTGTAAACAAATGTTTGTTTAAAACACCCTAGTACCTCCCCTCTGAGTCAATGATGCAAAAATGTATACAACGTTTTATGCCTTTTGAAAACAAAAATGGAGGCTTAAGACACCATTGAAATTAGTTTCTTGGTAGATTTGGGCCAAGACTCAGGAACTGTCCATGGCGTGTCTCACTGGCTCTCCAGTGGCTGGGGCTGCCCCTCACTGTGGGCCCTGGAGGAGGAGACCACAGGGTTAACAACAGTGGAGAGACGAAACTAGGAGAGAGGTGCGCTGGGGGCTGCTGTGAGCTGCCTCTACCAGGCGGGCTCTGTGATTTGCTATCAGTGTCTCTAAGAAGCAACCTCCTCTGGACAGTTCCACAAGAGGCTTGGAACAGTTGGGTTCTCGGGTACCTGCTGGAGGCCATACTAACAGAAAGGCAAAGGGCACGTCTCTCATTTATCTTAAATATCTGGTTGTCTTGTTGCTTTATTATGTGACCATCTGCAACAAGACACAGGTACTTTCTGAGCACTCATTGTGGCAAGTGCTCTCAAATCACTAGGGGAATTGCAACTTTCATTTATTCGGCAGCTATTTGTTGAGAGCCTGCTTTGTGCTGGGCCCATTGTTGGTGCTAAGGATTTGGGGATGAGTACAACAGCCACGACTGCACATATGGGGCAGAGAGACTTCAGCCAATTGCAGACATCATTAGACAACTAAACTCGTGAGCAGAGCTACAAGGGGAAGAGCCCTGAACAGGCAACATTTAGGTCAAGACCTGAAGGAGAGACAGGTGTCACCAGAGAAAGGAGAGGAAGAGGGAACAGGTTGTGTGGGAGGGAATGGGGTGTAAGAGATGTTCCTGGCCAGGCGTGGTGGTTAACGCCTGTAATCCCAGCACTTTGGGAGGCCGAGGCAGGCGGATCACGAGGTCAGGAGATCGAGACCATCCTGGCTAATGCGGTGAAACCCTGTCTCTACTAAAAATACAAAAAAATTAGCCAGGCGTGGTGGCAGGCGCCTGTAGTCCCAGCTACTCAGGAGGCTGAGGCAGGAGAATGGCGTGAACCCGGGAGGCGGAGGTTGCAGTGAGCTGAGATCGCGCCACTGCACTCCAGCCTGGGAGACAGAGCAAGACTCCATCTCAAAACAAACAAACAAACAAACAAAAACAGATGTTCCTAGCAGAGACACTTACAGGAAAGGGAAACCAAGATGCAGCCTGTTTTCAGGACTCCCACCTTAAAGGGAACATGACCTAGGAAAGAGCTACCTTTTAACTGGTAAGTAAATATTATGGGTTTATAGACAAAGGCAGGAAAAATAATCCCTTAGAGAAAGGCACCGAAAGTATTACAGGGGCTTTTCAGTTTTCACTTTTTCTCCCCTAACTTTGGAATTGTACAGGCATCTTTATTGAAGATATGTAGAACGACAGGTAAGTTCTTCATGGCAACATGGTTTTCCTCTGCACTAGTGAATGCAGGTTTCTGAGGGGGAAATTCAGGGGAAAAAGAAATTTGATCATGGGCAGAGCAGAATGTGGGGTGTGGAGGTGGGGTAAAGCAAAAACATCAATAAACACCAATTCTGGAGAGTACATGGTAGGTTTCATTAAAACCCATCTTCTGCCTATGAGAGACTGGAAGGGGTCTGAACCCTCTAAAATTTCTTCACATTCCAGTTAACCCTCTAAAACTCAAATAGCCTTTATGAAATGCCTACTTTGGGCCAGGCGCAGTGGCTCAAGCCTGTAATCCCAGCACTTTGGGAGGCCGAGGTGGGTGGATTACAAGGTTAGTAGTTCAAGACCAGCCTGGCCAAGATGGCGAAACCCTGTCTCTACTAAAAATTAAAAAAAAAATTACCCGGGTGCAGTGGTGGGTGCCTGTAATCCCAGCTACTTGGGAGGCTCAGGCAGGAGAATCACTTGAACCCGGGAGGCAGAGGTTGCAGTGAGCCAAGATTGCACCACTGCACTCCAGCCTGGGCGACAGAGCGAGACTCCGTCTCAAAAAAAAAAAAAAAAGAAATGCCTACTTTGTTCTATGTCCTTTCATTTATGTTAATTCTCAGAACAACCCCATGGAGTAGGAACTATTATCCCCACACATTTTTTAACTGACTGAGAAATATGAAAAGATTCCTTAATGTTGATTTGTCCCAAGTCCAGTGGCTAAGACAGGCGGAGCTGGACTGGTGTCCACCCAGCCTCTCTGCAGGAGTGAGGCATCTTTACCATCCCATCCATTAGTCCATACTTGAACTTTGCTGTTTTTACAGATATAAGGCTGTTTAGTCACATATCTGTAAAAGCTAAAACAGTTTATATCACATGCTTCAATTACTACTTAGTCCTGGAGCTCTGATGAGCATCAGTGCCCCTGAACCAAAATCTTCTACAGTTACATGGTAGGAAAAAAGGGTATTTCAATTTGCTATACAAAAATAGGAGAACACTTATTTATTTTTTATAAAGGATTTTTTTTTAAACCCAGCTAGATTTGTTTTTGCATATGCAAAGTCAATCCAGAAAAAGTAGTGTTGCAAAACAACCCTGGGACAAAGAGCAGATTTGGCTGTTTTGCAGTCTCTGAGTCCGCTTAAAATGCAGCACGTGAAACGCTGAGACCAGGTGTAGGTGCTACTCTGTGATGATGGACAGGCATTATGGAGTGCCCTGCTGTTCTCACATTCTCACTAGTGAATCAGTAGGTAGTGGAGGGGCAGAATGCGAGTTAACCATTTTGCCAAAACTCCCCCAGAATCCATCTCCCAAGTCAAGTGGAGCCTCCAGCCTTAGACAAAGACAAGGTGGTGCAGCTCCTTTCCAATATCAGCCCCCTCATCCCATGCTGCAGGGCCTGGCTTCCTGCCCTAGTGCCACCCCCACCACCTAACAGGCCTGGCTCCAGTAATTCTTTACTTTTCTCACCTTTACTCCCTCCTTTTCTTGACATTTCTATACACAGAGGCAAGTGTCACTCATTCTAAAAAGCAAGAATTTCCTTTGCCCACTTCCCCTTTAAGCTACCATCCTATTCTCCTTCCCTTCCCCTTTCCATTCCTCAAAGAACAGTCTGAGCTCATGGCTTCCATTTCCTCAGCTGCTGCCCCGCTCTGTGCTCTGAAAGCTCTTCTTTCTCCAGATGAGCCTTCTTCATCTGCTGCTCCCATTTTGGTATTAGCAAGGTGGCAATCGCAGTTACCTTTGCACTTTCCATGTCCTCCCAAGCAAACTCACATCCCCATTGCCTCCATTCCCAGAGCCACAAGGATAAGCCCATGAATTCCACATGGAAATCTCCAACTTAAAACTTTCCTTAGAGCTCTTGGCTTATTCCAGCTGTCTACTGGACATTGCTAGATGGAGGTTTCCCAGGCACCTCAAACTCATCTCATCTAAAGCTAGATTTACTGTCTTTCCTCTACACTTGTCCTCCTTTTGCCTTCAGTCTAGTCACTAAGGGCAGTATTAGCCATTCAGTTGTATAAGTGAGAGAGCCTGCAGCCTCCTGACCAGGACTGACACGTCAGGCTGTATAGCAGCTCATTTAAACATCGGTCAACGTTTTAATAATTGTTTCTCTGTGCTTCTCCGCCATCAGCCTGTGAACCCTGTGGGGACAGGAATCGTGTCTCACTCATCTGCACATCTCCAGAACATCCTATCCCACAACATAATACCCGCTAACCTCATCACTGAATTGGTAAGTCTGGAGAAACTATTCAATGTGCTTTGGTCTGGAATAGGAAGAAAAGCAATTATTACACTCATAAAAATTTATACCTAGGAAAGCAAGTCTAGTAAATATCAGATGCCTGTAGGGCAGCTTGAAAGAATGTTTGAGTTTTCAACAAAGAAAGGGATAGCTCATCATAAGAAGGGACAAGCAAGTTTACAGAGTTAAAATTTTGCCTCTGGAGAAAGTAACACACATGTGTTCAGTGAGGGAGGACTGGGTGAATGTTTACACACACACACCACACACATACAGAGTGATGTCAGCTTTTAGGGAAAGGAGCACACTTCTCAAAAATGCATTCTTTTATGGAAAACGCAAATAGTGTGGGGTGTGCTCCACCACGAGCGAGAATAGGGAAGGACCACACAGAGGTTAAGGCATCCCCACTGGAACTCCTAACCGGGTAATCTCAAAGAGAGCCTGGCCTGAAGCACAAAGCCCTGGGCATCGCCCTGCTTCACACCATCCCCCTTCACACACATGCAATCTATTGGTAATGGACAAATTGCAGCCCACAGATGGAATTCTGATAGTCCTTAGCTGGATATTTATACTATTATTATAAGAAAAGGACTGGGAACATATACAACATCCATTTATTTCTGGATGCCATTGTGTGACCTTGGACAACTCGTTTCACTTGCTGCATCTGTAATAATTTCCCTGCCTACCTCTTAGGGTCTTTGTGAGAACCAAATTAGATTCTGTATATTAGTGTTTTATAAAGTAATACAAAGTGGAAGAAAATTGTTATCAAGAGTGCATGGCTTGGTGGCTCATGCCTGTAATCCCAGCACTTTGGGAGGCCAAGGCGGGCAGATCACCTGAGATCAGTTCGAGACCAGCCTAGCTAACATGATGAAACCCTGTCCTTACTAAAAATACAAAAATTAGCCCGGTGTGGTGGTACACGCCTGTAATCACAGCTACTCAGGAGGCTGAGGCAGGAGAATCACTTGAACCTAGGAGGTGGAGGTTGCAGTGAGCTGAGGTCGTGCCACTGCACTCCAGCCTGGGTGACAAAGCCAGACTCTGTCTCAAATAAGTAAGATAGATAGATAGATAGATAGATAGACAGACAGACAGACAGACAGACAGATAGATAGTGCATGGCTTTCAGAAATCCCTCATGTAGCAGAAACACTTGGAAAAGCAATGAAACTTATGGTCACACTACCTGCCTTTCCTCTTCTCAACATTTGAAATACCTTATTTCCATTTAACTTCACTTCCATGAAAACAGCCACTCTCTCTACACATTTTACCATGCTATTATATAACTCTTTAAACAGACACTAGAGAGACTAGCTGAGTTAACTTACTGTATTCCATTACCCAGCTTCAACAAAGAGCTACGTGTGGCCAGTGTTGTTTCATCTTTTATGTCATAGACTCTGCTCACCACCATCCTAGGTTATTTTGAAGGAAATACCAGATAGCATTTCATATATGTGAATTTCTAAAACATGACTCTTTTTAAAAACATAGCCACAAATACATCAAACTCAAAATATTAACAATAATTCGGGTGCGGTGGCTCATGCCTGTAATCCCAGCACTTTGGGAGGCTGAGGCGGGCAAATCACCTGAGGTCAGAAGTTCGAGACCAGCCTGGCCAACATGGTGAAACCCCAACTCTACTAAAAATACAAAAATTTGCCAGGCATGGTGGCACGCATCTGTAATCCCAGCTACTTGGGAGACTAAGGCAGGAGAATCACTTGAAAGCAGAAGGTGGAGACTGCAGTGAGCCAAGATCACGCCACTGCATTCCAGCCTGGGCAAAAGAGAGAGACTTGTCTAAACAAAAAATTAACAATAATTCCTTAATATCACCATATAGCCAGTGTTCACATTTTCCCAATATCTTCCAAAGTTTTTTTGAATTTTTGTTTGAATTTCAAATTTTTGTTCAAATGTTTGTTTGAATTAGGATCTAAAATTAGCTCCAAAATTGGCCTATATGTTTACATTTTTTTGTAATCTACAGGTTCCCATGCCCTCTTCATTTTCCCCAAAGATGTTTGGTTTTTATTTGTCACACTTTGTGTTGTTGTTGCTCTTGCCGAGTACATCAGAGGGTGTGTCCCATAGAGCTTCCCAGAGTCTAGGTTTGCTGATTCAATCCTCATGGTGTTTTTAACGTGCTTCTCTGCATTCCTTTGTACTTCTAGTAAATCAGTAGTTAACTCCAGAGGCTGCACCAAATCCATTTTTCCCCCAAAGACTAATTCCCAGGTAATCTGTATATATTTCCATCTGGACAGTTCGTAAAGTCTGGTGATTCCTCATACTGATGATCATTGCTTTTATCAACTCATTCATCAGAAGAGGCAAAAAGGGATGTTTTATCATGTGTTTTGTATTAGCTGGAATACTTTTATAAAGAGAAACTTCCCCCTCACCAGCTATTTGGTTATCTTGAGATACAGACTGAGTAGGAGAAATTACTAAAAGGCTTTTCTTTTCCTTTATTTACCAGATTTTAAAATAATGAGGTCATTTCCTAGCATCCTCCAATGTGACTAGTTTTGGAGGTTTTTTTTTTTTTTTGGTTTTGTTTTTTATCATATGCCCTCATTGATGGGTATTCATCCATTGTAAATACTAATCTTATTGATATTCAAACTCTTTCAGTTTTTCCTTTTTTTTTTCTTTTTTACCAGTAGGAGCTTATTCAAGTTGACCCCATAGGTCCTTTCAACAGAATCCTCATAGTTTTTATATTCTTCTTAGCCAGCTAGCATGGCAAGATGTTCTAGGATCTACATTTCTTGTCCTAGACCTGAAACAGCTGGTTCTTCAAGGATCCCTATCTCCCTCTACTGGGAAGTCCATTCAGACATCACAACCTGGGCTCTAGGAGTGCTCATTATGACTGGTTTAGTCACCACTTACAACTTTCCAGTAGATAGAGCTGAGAATATTGTTTTAAAGATAAATTTCAGATGAGTTCTGACTTTATCCTATAATACCCCTAATCCCATTCATCCCATAATACACATGTTCAGAATAACAGCAGATACAGAATCACAGTACTAACACCACCACCAATAATTTCAGATTTTCGTTGCAATTCTTTCTGAATCTGAGGTATATACCATTGGGAATGTACTTCTCTGTGTGGTTATGCCATCAACGGGCTATGCAATTACTTCCATTTGTTTAATTTCATTTTTGAGTTTTAGATATTATCTTTTAACATTTAATGTATAATTGTGTAAAATGTCTATGTAATTTTACATCTACAAAACAAGGTGCATTCAAAATGTATCAGTAACCTGTACCTCTTAGTCTCTCCTTTTATTCCTTCTTTCACCCTGAAGGCCATCATTTTTTTTTTTTAAAAAATAGCTTATTCTTCTATTGCTTTTTCTTAATATAAGTTCATATATAACATTTTCCTATTGTTTAGATAAAACATAGTCGACTACATTTTTTCCTCCATCTTTTGTTGCTCAATGACCTCCTGGAAATCACTTTCTAGTAATGTTGATACAAAGAGCTATTTCCCCATTCATGTAACAGCTACATAGTACCGCATCCTGTGGATATACCACAATCTGTTCAGTGAGCCCCCTATTAATGGACATTTGAGTTGTTTTCAGTCTTTTTCTACTTCAAAGAGTGCTGCAGTGAATCACTCCATGTACTATATTCTTGTCAGTCTACCTTTGGGAAAGACTCCTCGGTGTGAGACTATTATGTCAAAGAATAAATGCATGTATGATTTTGTTAGATACTGCCAAACTCCTCTTCCTCTTTGTACCATTTTATATTCCCACCAAAAATGTATGAGAATGCCTGTTTGCTTGCAGCCTCACAAACAGAATATGTTGTCAAACTTTTGGATTTTTGCCAGTATGATTGGTAGGGTATCATAATCTATTGTAGTTTCACCTTACGTTTTTCTTATCAGTGAGGCCGATTATTATCCTTTCATATGGCTAAGAGCCCTTTGCCTTTTTCTAAGAACTGTCTTTTCAAATTCCTAACCCATTTTTCTACAAGTGGCTCACAAAGTGTAATCCCTAGTCTAGAGGCACCACTTGGGAATTTGTTAGAAATGCAAATTCTCGAGCCCCAAACCAAACCTACTGAACCAATAACTCTGGGGATAGCGTCCAGTAATGTGTGTTTTTACAAGCCCTGTAGGTGACACTGATACACTAAAGCTTGAGAAACACTGGGCTATAGGGTTGATTCAACCACCGTGTTTTAACATACCATAGGGCTGTCTAATTATTTTCTAATTAAACCAAGGCCAAACTGTTAATAAATTGTAGCTGAAAGATTCAAATGCCATGTGATATCCATTCATTCATTTGTTGATTCAATAATTAACCCATAGATGTTAAATACCTACTGTGAGTCAGTCACTGTGGCAGGCAATGAGGATGCTGTGTTAAAACAGACACAGTCACCACCCCCAGAAGCTTACCTTCCCCTGAGGAAGAACAAAATTAAATGAGCCAATTTAAGTCTTAACAAAGGGAACTGCAAGGTGCTGCTAGAGCAAGAGGTTCCAGCTAGTCTAGTGGTCAGGGAGATGCAAAGTAAAAGAACTTTGGGATAATACTTCACTCCCATCAAGCAGACCAAAATTCTAGAAAGGGATAACACCTATTCCTAGCAGGGATATGGGTGGAGCCTCTCTGAAAGGCAATCTATCCATATCTATTAATGCATCAAACAAAGCAACACCACTCCAGGGAACTAATCCCATAGAAACAATGCCACCCACTCAAGGCTGTTTATTGCAGCATTGTTTGTTGTGGCAAATACTGGTTGCAAAATGAATACCCACTAGTGAAGGAATGATTGAATAAATCATGGCATATCCACAGCATGCAGCCACTGAAAAGAATGAGCCCTACCATTGCCAAGGGTATTTCTATGACCTACATTGAGTAAGGAAAGCAACATGTAGAAAAATTGATATAATGCAGTCTCATTTAAAAATACCTATAAAACCCGTATGTTTACATATATATATACATTGATATGATGATACATTGATACAAGCATAGAAAAAATATGGAGGAATAAACACTGGTATGGATGAGCCATCTATGGTGAATTAGGGCTCAACATTCATTCTACCATCCTGATAAATTTGCCTTCTATAATGTAGAAAAAGAAAAGCTAGGAACAAGATACACAAACATCCCTGCAGGCAAATAGATGCACTTGTGGGAGGGATGGGAGGAGAAGCATAGCAGGGGCCACACTGATGCTGCCTCGGCACTTTCTGCTGACAAGCACCTGTGCTAGTTACACCTTTGAATCAGCTGAATTCTGCATGTCCAGTCACTAGCTTTGTGGGTATGCACAGGTGGGGCACAGGGATCAGTTTTGCTGGACTGAATCTGGCAGGCCCAGTGTGGCTCTAGAGCCAACCCTACCATGGGAGTAGTGGATCCATCCCTGGATCCTAGCTTTGGAGATGTGAGCCTAGAGCCAGCAGGAGCATGGCACTCCTGGACTGCTGCAGAGGCAGCACTTCTCTCTGGGGTTCTGGGGCTCATTCCTGGAGGCGCAGCCTGAAGCTTGCTATCCTACAGTCCTTGCGATGATATCGTCAGCACCCACTTCCCTGAGCCAAATGCCAGTTTGCTTAAAATAGCTTGGTTCTTGCTTTCTGAAACGGAAACTGTGTGATTCAAAGGGTTACCAGTCATGGGAAGAGTGAGAGGCAGTTACGAGAATTTAAACATGAATATATGAAAGTGCCTTAAAAGCAGTGGTATTATTGTTACTAACTATCATTTAATCAATCATCCCTTCTAAATAACTGATGTACACAGGGGCTTTCAAAAGACTTTTTATTAATGCAGAAAGGGCACTCCACCATGGAGCCTCTCCAAGGCACAAAGTCTTACCAGCGGGTGTGGAAGTGGATTTTGGCGCTGGAAGTAAACTCCTGCGGGGTGCTGTCACACTGGAGGATGCTGGAGGGGCCACCCGGCCGGCCCCCTTGGGTGTGTCCTTAGAAGGCAGAGATGCCTTCAGAACTGGCTGTTCTTCATTCCCAAAGGTTGAACCTGTGGGAGGCAGACAGCGTGTTAATTATAACTTCATGAAAAATGGATGGAGCCCTCACCATTTGCACTTGCCAACCAATCCTACTGCCGTCATCTGCTTTAGAACTTGACCTGATTCTTAGTGAGTGACCTTGAAAAGTATTTTTCTGGAACCCTATGTGGAAAAGAACTCCCTTTAGTCACTGCATAAATATCTGTCACACAAATCCCGTGCACTAAACGGGGCTCCACAAAAGCCAGGAGCAGCCTGCATGCACACACACACACACACACACACACACACAGACATACATACATACATGCACACACACACACAGTTCGCTTATGTGTATGTGCAAATGTATGTGTATATAATAAACACTTATTTGATAACTCAGAATGAAGAGCCTTTTATTTTTGAAATACAGCGTGAGTGACCCAGGAGAAGTGAGAATAGGAATATACACATGTACCATGAGCCCAGGAATTTTATTCAGAGATCCCTGAAATCTCGCTCATTTCACCTCCAGAAGAGGAGGCTTGGGATGAAGGTAGAGGGGTAGAGAGCATGGGGACGAGAGAATCTCTCTGAAACTCAAGCAGGCTTTCTGTTTGAAAAGCTGAGGCCTCACCAAACTGTGAGGACCCTGAATTACTTCCAAGGTAGAAGACATTTATTGATAATTGCAGTTTACTAGTCAATTTAGAAAGAGCCTCTTTGTTTATAATCCACTGCTCTGAGACTCTGAAGATATGGCATACTGGGATTGTGTTTGTGTCAAATTTAAATACGCAAAGTTGTTTGGCCTAAACTTTTCTTCTATATCTTTCTAAACCTTGTGGTTAATACATTTTCAATCTCTTAAAGACAATGACATCACTATCTATTCTCTGTTAAAGGGTAAGTCTTTCTAATATACTTCTGAGTACAGCTGTGAGGCTAATCTATTAATTCAGAGAGCCTGAATGCACGGAGATTACCACTTGTTTGGAATAAAACAGTCCAGTGGTAGGAATATGACCATCTACCATGAAAAATAAGCCATGACAGCTGGAAGAAGTATACAATATTTTAGTAAAGGATTAAATTTTTTGTTTTCATCCTTTTCAAAGGTTAGTCTAAACATTGTATTTAGATAAGGCCTGCATAAAAATGATAATATTATTAAAATGGCTTTAGTGTTCCTAACATCCAGGCATTTTATTCAACCATTTAGAGTAAGAGATTATTCTTTTTCTTTCTCTTAACACCTGAAATTCTGTTTAAAATTGTGGAGATTTCTGTTGTTTCTAAAGAAAAGCATATTTAGGAAGAAATCAAAGAATGCACCATTTCTTAAAACAGGACCTATGCCCTATAGTTCTTTTAAAGTGCTGTGCAAGGTTTTTAAAATAGTTCTGCATAGGACTAACAGAATATATTTGATCTATGCAAAGAAAATAAATGCATTGAAACTCCATTGAAAGGATCTGCACTGTATCCTGGGTGTCAGATAAAAAATAATGCAGATAAAAAATATGTTTGATGCAAACCTAACCAGGAAAAGCAACACCATGAACTTGCAAAAACAGTGAGCCTCAGCTTCTGAATTATCCAGTGGATGCACCAGTCCAGTGCTAGAACTCAGAGACTCTCTCAGGAATTGAATGATATTTTCACATGGGGCATGGCTCAACCACTAGAAATATTTCACAAGTAATTATCTAATGTCTAGCCTCCTGCTGACATACTGCCAGAATAATCTGTTCACTGAAATGTGTAGCAGAAGCTGAATTGAGCGCAAAATCTCTCACAGTCTTTTATTTAACAGTTTATGAAAATTTCTTAAGAAGAGAAATATTTTGTATCATCTGTAGAGTTCAAATGCACTTGTATCAAATCCTCTTGCATCTGGCATCATTCTCTTACATGAAATTTATTATTCTGTGAACACGTCAATTTAGAGATTTGGCTGCTCTCCAGGCTGGGAAGTAATTCATCTGTTTGAAGTACAAGTATCAGGGAACTATGTACTTCCCTCTGAGGGAGGGCTTGAATTACCAAAAAATAAAATAATATATAACACTATTCTTATCTATTATTATGGGAGACAGCTGGCAATAAACAGTTCCACTCTTTGAAAACTGGCTTAAGTTGGCTGGTAATTAAAGATGCATTATTCAGTAAATGAAAAATACTCTGAATTTGGAAATGGCTGTTCAATTCTATAAATGCTCCCAGTACTTCACAATAATGCTGACAACATTAAACCATTGCTTGGTAAGAGGAAGAAAACAACTGGAAATAAACTGCTTGTGTGAGCCAGAAAAATGTTCTGGAGAATTCAGCCAGTGGAAATGGTTCACATGGCTAATTCAGTCTTTTCATTCCCAACCAATCTGAACCGACTCCAGCCTGAACAACCCAGGAAATTTACCTACCCTTCCACTTGACCACAGCACAGAAGAAACATCAGCAAGGTGGTTAATGGTGCAGATCTGGGAGCAAGATGGCTAGGGTTTGAATACCACCTCCTCTACCTACCACCTCTCTTGCATCATAGTTTCTTCATTCATAAGCGGGGATAGTGATAATCTACCTCACAGAGCTGTTGTGAGAATTAAAGGAGCTAAAGCCAGGAAATTTTTTAAAAAGTTAATGTAAGAGTTGCTATGAAAAAATACTTAGTATCTGATATATAGTATGCTCTATGTGTTAGTTATTAATGTACATGCTAATTTTAAGTTCTAGGGCTAAGTTATTACAACAAGTCAGTTTTTCATGGGAAAACCATTTGGAAAGTATTCAAGGATTAATATCAGATGGGCTGCTCGACGTGAGAAGAAAGGAAAGGATTGAGGTAAATCTGATAATACCTGTAGGATGAAAGACTAAAGAGAAGAGTGAGAGTATGATTGTCTTAAAAATATATGATAAACGATTTCAGACATACAAAAAGGTGAGGATAACACAATTGACCATCAAGCTTAAGAAGTATGAAACATCATCAATTCCACTGACAGTGAAAAACTGCTGTGACACAGGGAAGTTTGCTCAGTTTCCTGGATATTCAAAATTGCTTTCCAAATTGCTTGTTGCGATTCACATTAACCAGAGATAGTAAATGTAGCATCACTGGATTTTAATTTTGGCAACTGTTTTAATTTTATTAACTGGTTTTAATTTATACCTTTCTGACAGGTGGCGAGGCTGAGATTTTTTTCACATAGTTATTGGCTACTCAAGTTTTTCTCTTCCATAAGATGCCCATTCATAACTTTTGCCCATAATTGAGGTGGTTAGCCTTACTTCTTTAAATAATCTGGACACATTCTTTATTGGATTCTGTATTGGGTATCAGTATATTGGATACTGATATATTTCAAATACTCTCCCAGTCTTTGGCTTGTCTTCACACTTATGGTGCCTTTATTGAGAACTTTCTCATTTTAATGCAACCCTCCTGATTTGTACTTTGCCTGTCTTAGACTTTCAATCTCTCTCCTGAAATCATAAAGATGTTCTCCTATGTACTGTTTGAAAAATTTTAAAGTTCTGTTTTCACATTTACATCATCAATCCACCTAGAATGTTACATGGGGAAGAGACTGAATTTGTTGGTGTTGTTTTCTATATAGCAGCCCGCTGTCCCAGGCCTGTATATTAAATAGTCTAAGTTCCTTGCATTATCTGCCAAGCCAGCTGTTATATGCCAAGTTTCCATTCAAACATGATTTATTGGGGCAGACCCATAAACAACCCCAAAATTTCAGTACTTAACATAGCAAAAGTTTAATTTGTGATCATGAATCATCTTTTGCAGGTGCTCTGGATGGGCTGCTGCCTTGCATGCTCTCCTTGGATGAATTCAGGGACCAAAGCTCTCTTCATCTTGAGCTTTTGCCCTACTCTAGATCTCTTGAGAACTTAACAGTCAGCTGGTAGACAGAGGAAAGTGAACCGTTCACAGGAAAATTTCATGGGCCATGCCTGGAAGTGGCGTGTATCACTCCTGCCTTCAGTCTACTGGCTGGAACTCAGTCACAAAAGCCATCAAGGGAGGCTGGGAAATGTACTTTAGTTTATGTCCAGGGGAAAAGGGAGTGGTGTGATGAACAAATATCCACTGTCTGCCACGTGAGGCTCCATTTCTGAGTTCTCTATTCCGTTTCATTGGTCTATTTGTCTATCACCGTGCCAATGCCATACTGCATTTATTCACTACAATGTAAGATCAGTCCTGGTATACTAAACCTGTATAAGACAAATATCACAACCTTGAACTTTTACTTTAAAAATTGTCCTAACTATCTTTGGCCCTTTACTTTTGCATATAAGTTCCAGAATCAGCTTGTTAAGTTCCATGAAAAATGTCAACATTTTCAATGGACACAATTAAGTCTTCTTTTTCCGACTGCAACATAACTGAAAGAAAAGGAAGCACAGATGTAAAATCAGCAAACATGCTGAGTAATAATTATACCCTAGGACCACGTTACATGATAGAGATACAAAGAAGGCTTAGTATCATGAAAAAATAAACATCAAAACAAGTGTCTCCAAAGAGGGGCAGCACTACTCCACTGGGGATCAACATTTATGAGGATATTTTGGACTGAGGCAAGGCTGGCAGTTAGTGGGTGGCACTGTCAATACCTCTGTTTAGAAGACATGCAGAAATGTAAGAGACCATAGAGAACAGAGATTAATAACTGTTAGTTGAAGGGTATGAAGTAGGGAGAAGAGGCATTTCCAGTAAACAATCATATGTCATTGAGAGAATTTCCCTATATTATTCTTTTTTCTTATTTATTTATTTATTCATTTATTTATTTATTTATTTATTTGAGACGGAGTCTCCCTCTGTCCACCAGGCTGGAGTGCAGTGGCACGGTCTCGACTCACTGCAACCTCTGCCTCCTGAGTTCCAGTGATTTCCCTGCCTCGTCCTCCCCAGTAGCTGGGACTACAGGCGCCCACCACCATGGCTGGCTAATGTTTGTATTTTTAGTAGAGATGGGGTTTCACCATGTTGGCCAGGCTGGTCTTGAACTCCTGACCTCAGGTGATCCACCCACCTCGGCCTCCCAAAGTGCTGGGATTACAGGCATGAGCCACCGTGCCCAGCCCCCTATACTATTCTTAAATATTGAGCTGGTTGGTGGCCAGCTCATTCTCCTTAATTCCCTTCCTGTGCCCATGCCAGCGGGACACTCTACTTCCATCACACCATTTTCCCCAAAGGATGAAGGTATTCCACTGCTCACAGGAACTAAAGGACTATAGCCTCTTGCTTCACTGCTGAACAGTGGTCATCTTCTGTAGATATCTGAATCATCACATCATCAACTTACCATTTGCAAGGTAAGATCCCTTCATTAGAGTAAAATAAAAGGTATATATATGACTGAAAAATTGCAAGGTTATATATTCCGCATGATTACAGAATCCAGCTGGGTCCAGTTCAATACATGAACCGAATCTCTCTACAATTTTCTCATTAAACTGTTAGGACAAAATGCTCTTTCAGCATCAAATCCTCGGGGAATGCAATCTTATTCTTCCTCCAGGGACAGTTCCTACAGTTCATTCCTCACAGTGTGTGGACACCCTGAGCTGATCAACTGCATCTATCAAAATCTCATGTAGTTGAACTCCTACCTCACACCATAATTTGTTTTAAATTAGCAAAAACTAATTTAAAATAGATCTTAGACCTAAATGTAAGAGCTAAAAATATATAACTCTTAGAAGAAAACAAAGGTGTAAATGTGAATGATCTTGGATTAGGCAATTGTTTCTTAGATGTGACACCTAAAGCTCAAACAAGTTGAGAAGAAGACATATATCCCACTCCTAAGTACATACCCAAAAGAAAAGAAATCAGTGTATTGAAGAGATCTCTGCATTCCCATGTTTGTTGCAGCACTATTCACAACTGCCAAAATTTGGAAGCAACCGAAGTGTCCATCAATAGGTGAATGGATAAAGAAAATGTGGTACATCTATACAATGGAGAACTATTCAGCCATAAAAAAGAATGGAGCCCTGTCATTTGCAACAACAGCTATGGAGCTGGAGGTCATTATATTAAGTGAAGTAAGCCAGACACAGAAAGACAAACTTCCCATGTTCTCACTTATCTATGGAAGCTAAAAATTAAAACAACTGAACACATACAGATAAGAGTACAAGGATGGTTATTAGAAGCTGGAAGGGTAGTGGTGGGTGGGAGCAGAGGGAGTAGGGATGGTTAATGGGTACAAAAAATAGAATAAATAAGACCTAGTATTTACTAGGATAACAGGGTGACTATAATTAAAATAATTTAATTATACATTTAAAAATAACTAAAAGAGTATAACTAGATTGTTTATAACACAAAGAATAAATGTCTGAGATAATGGATACCCCATTTACCTGATTTGATTATTATGCATTGCATGCCTGTATCAAAATATCTCATGTAACCCATAAATATACATACTTACTATGTATCCACAAAAATTAAAAATAAAAATATTAACAAAGAGTTTTTAAATCTAAAAAACAATAAAACTTAAGAAGAAGTGAATGGACTGCAATGAAATAAAAAATTTGTGCTTCAGAGGACACTATTTAAAAAGTCAAAAGGACTCAGAATTGGGGAAAATATTTGCAAGTCATATCTGATAACGGTCTGGTATACAAAATATATAAAGAATTTTTATAGGCTGGGCATGATGGCTCACACCTGTAATCTCAGCACTTTGGGAGGCCAAGGCAGGAGAATTGCTTGAGGCCAGAGTTTGAGACTAGCCTAGGCAACATAGTGAGACCCTGTCTCTACAAAAAATTTAAAAAAAAATTAGCTGGGGCATGGTGGTACACACCTATAGTCCCAGCTACTTGGGAGGCTGGAGCTGGAGGATCTCTGGACCCCAGGAGGTCAAGGTTGCAGTGAGTTGTGATCACACCACTGCACTCCAGCCTGGGTGATAAAGTGAGACCCCATTTCAAAAACAAAAAGAATTTTTATAAACTCAATAAAAAGCCAAATAACCCAATTAAAAATGAGAAAGGGATTTGAATAAACATTTCTCCAAACAAGATATACAAATGGGAAATAAGTACATGAAAAGGTGTTCACTTGTCATTAGGGAAATGCAGATCAAAACCACAATGAGATACCACTTCAAACCCAGCAGAATAGCTATAATAAAAATATAGACAATAAAAAGTATTGATAGGGATGTGGAGAAACTGGAATCTTCATACATTGCTATGGGAGTATAAAATGGTGCAGCTGCTTTGGAGAAAAGGTTGGTAGTTTCTCAATGTGTTAAACATAGAGTTGGCCAGGCGTGGTGGCTCACACCTCTAATCCCAGCACTTTGGGAGGCGGAGGCAGGCAGATCACAAGGTCAGGAGATCGAGACCATCCTGACTAACACGGTGAAACCCCGTCTCTACTAAAAATACAAAAAATTAGCCAGTTGTGGCGGGCACCTGTAGTCTCAGCTACTCGGGAGGCTGAGGCAAGAGAATGGCGTGAACCTGGGAGGTGGAGCTGGCAGCAAGCCGAGACCACAACACTGCACTCCAGCCTGGGTGACAGAGCGAGACTCTGTCTCAAAAACAAACAAACAAACAAACAAACAAAACAAAAAACAAACAGAACAAAAAACCCCATAGAGTTACCATGTGATTTACCAGTTCTGTTCCTAAGTATATGCTCAAGAAAACTGAAAACATATGTTCACATAAAAGCTTGTACATGAATGTTCATAGCAACATTATTCACAAGTCAAAAAGTGAAAACTACCCAAATGGCCCCCCATCGACTGATGAATGAATACACTAAATATGGTATATCCATACCATGGAACATTATTCAGCCATAAGAAGAAATGAAGTAATGATACATGCTATATACCATGCATGAATCCTGAAAACATTTACAAAAGGACAAATATTATATAATTACATTTATATGAAATGTCCAGAATAGACAGAGAGACAGAAAGTTGATGAGTGGCTTTCAGGGGCTGAAGGGAAGTGGAGTGACTGCTAATTGATTCAGGGTTTCCTTCTGGGGTGATTAAATATGTTCTCGAATTAAATAGGGGTGATATTGCATAACCTTGTGAATATACTGAAAGTCACTAAATTATACACTTTAAAGAGGTAAATTTTACGGTACTTGAATTATGTCTTTAAGAAAAATCTCAAAAGATTTTTTTCTCTAGATCCCCTGGCTGGAACAAGTTCCTTAAATTGTGATTCAGCTCTTCACCTCTCCCCTGAGAGACTCCTAGTGTTCTTTTCTGGTGAAGTGTTTATTCCTATTCTCTGTCCCCTATCCCTGCATTGTGACTACAGTGGATTCCAACCAATCTGTCCCAGGGTTGTTCTGTCTTCTGATAACATATTCTTACATAATACTTAAAAAAGCATTCCTGAAACCTACTATTGCATCCCATTCATTAAAGCAAAATGACCAAGCTCCTATGTAAGGAGGGTGATACTCAGTTCCTCCTTAAACCCCTTCACTTTTCTTATACTCCTGCAGAATCAGGTGTAAGTCTGAGCTGCTCTGGTCCTACATTACTGTTATGGTTTGAATGTGTCTCCTCCAACATTCAGATGTTGCCAATGTGATAGTATTAAGAGATGGGGGCTTAAAGGTGATTGGGCTATGAGGGCTCTTCCCTCATGAATGGGATTAAGGCCCTTATCAAAGAGGCTTCATATTGCCTTTGGCACCTGGACCTTCCTCCCTGTTTCCACATTCCTTCTGCCATATGAGGACACAAAGTTCTTCCCCTCAGAGGGTGCAGCCCTCAATAGACAACCAAATCTGTCAGCCCCTTGATCTTGGACTTCACAGTCTCCAGAACTGTGAGAAAGTAAGTTTCTGTTCTGTATTAATTACCCAGTCTATGGTATTTTGTTATAGCAGCACAAAGAAAACTAAGACAGCTGCTGAAAAAGGAAGACACATGCAAATTCAGGCCAGAGAAGCCTGTGCTAAGGGAAGAAAACTCTCTTGTAAAATTTTTGGGACTGTGGGGAGGAAGGTAGTTTTATAGGTCACTTGATATCCCCCTACAAAGTAATGAGTGATTCCTACTCAACCTCCTCAAAAGGATAACTGACTGTGACTGACGTTCGAGTGAGAACTTAGGGCTTCTGATCCATATTCAGTGCACTTTTCACTACTTCATTTATTAGGAATACCAATAACTCAGCCTAAACTCCCAAAAGAAATAATGGCAACAGGGTATAAACACTAACCAGACCAAAATGAGGTTCTCAAGGAAGAGGAAGGCTGCAGAAGAAAAGCAAAACAGTCATTAATAAGAAGATGGCATCATAGCCAAACTCTAAGAAATGAGTTTCGCTGACTTTGGATATCAATATTATAATCATTAAACTACTCTCTTCACTGATTTTTTTTAACAATCCTAGGCAATCAAATTGTATAATGTTCCAGCTGCATGATTAGCTAACTGATGCATATTTCATTGACTTAGCAGCATTTATCACTTGGTGATAATATTTAGTTTAATTATTAAAGTATCAACTGAATGTTTTATTTCCCCATTCTGCATATTTTAACCGAAGTGTATATTTTCTTTCTCACATTAAAGGCCTAAAGTAAACCTGAGATCTTGCCATTGCCACAAAGCTATTTATTTCTTTTTCAAAATGAAATATTTGACTAAGAAAAGTTGAGATACCACAGAGAAAACGTTAGATATGAAAAGTTTCAAATTCTGGATCTCTTTCAAAGAGGAAGCATTAAGACTAAGAGTGAGGGGAAAGTTTTAAAAGATGGCTTAAGCACAATAAACCCTCACAGCAAGCTTTGGTGCTTATATAAATCCTTACATCATCTATCCACAAAACATTGATTGGTCACCCTTGATGTTTGAGGCACTGTGCTAAACCTCAGGGATAAGGACATGAGGGGTCTGGCCTATAATCCCCAGAAGTTCATATTTCATGTGACTGTGTCTATTTGCAGAAATTCAGGAAAGATACAGTAAGCATCGAGCAAATGCTGGCTGATGTTATTGTTATAAACCCGCACTTGGCAAATCACTGATGAACACACGAGCTGCTTGGTCCAGCAAAGGAACAAGACAGAAACACAAACTCCAATAAACAGGAAGAAAGTGAGCATATCTTAACAGCACCAAGAAAGAACAAGAAGAGCTCAGCCCAAGGGGATATGCGAAGGTACTAACAGAGACACTCCAGGTGGGTTTTGACAGTTAGGTGAGACTTGGATCTGTAAAGACAGGGAAAAACTGTGAAGGAGAAGGGATGGCATGAGTAAAGACCCAGCATTAAGGAAGTGCATGATTGGCAAGCAGTCTGGTTTGGTTGAAGAGTAAAATTCGGGAGGAAAAATGGAAAATTCAGGAAGAAAGATAGATGGAAGAAGACAGTAGCAGACTCCTCTCATAACCTCTCACTCATCCACCTTCACTCAGAAGCTGTTGCAGGGACAGAAAGTACAAGTTAGGCCCTAATTAGAAGAAGTTGCCAATGGTGGATGCTGGCAGAAACCGAGAGAAGAGGAATCCTTTACTAGGAGATCAGGAAGCCAGAATGCATTTCAAAGATTTATTTCCAGTCCTATTTTTAAAGGCATAGACTAGAAGGATGCTTAAGGTTACAGGCCCCAGAAGAATTTGAAATAAAGAAGAGGATATCTTTAACTTTAAATTTCTAATTTTACTTTCAATAGCAGAATGCCTCTGAAACTCTTCAGTTTACAAACTTAGTTGGGTAAAGTCAATAACATTTACAAGGGACAGAGAAGACGCTCTCTGATGGTGACAGGTAACAAGGAAGATCCCCGGGCTTGCCCTCAGAGCATGCCACAGCTCCCTGATGCGGCTCATGTGCCCGCCATCTGCTCAGGTGGCTGTGTGCCTGTCAGAGGGCCGTGCCAGCTTCAATAGCAATCAGATGCCACCAGATGCAGGATAAGGAGCAGCAGCTGCTCGACAGAAAGGGCCTTGTGATGCTGAGAGCTCACAGGGCCAGCCACACGAGCTTCCATACACAGGGAGCGTGTGCTCATGCTCGGGGCATGGTACCAGCCCCACGTGCCTGTCCACATTGTTCCTCCCCATAGGGAGAGATGAAACTTCAGAGAACTAGAAACTCAGAGAATGCCAGAGGGAGACCTCAAAGAGGGGGAGTTCCCATTTGTGCCTCTCCACCTCCATCCCTTTTCCCAGAGAGCTTCTCTCTGCTGAACTGCTTAGCCCTCAGGGATTTGCCGGCACTAAACTGTGCTTGGCTCTGACTCGCTTGGCTCTGAGAAGTAGTGCTAGAAGCTTGCTCATGTTTTGTGACAGGCATGCGGCAGAGGATGCTGTCCACCGCGTCTGAGACCTCCCTTTGGGGCCAGACTCCTCCTGAGGGGGGTGCTTTACCTCAGGGGCACCATGAATCTTTCAACACATGGTTTTTTGCTCTTTGATTTGGCTGCCTCTAGCAGGTCCCTGTGGTAGGCATTTTTAAAATGGTGGTAAAAGCACTTAATAACAGACCTGCCCTCTTAAATGGCAAGTGTGCAATCCTGCTTTGTTAACTCGAGGCATAAACCTGTACAGCAGCTCTCTAGAATGTATTCATGCTGCATACATGAAACTTTATACCCAACGAACGGCAGCACCCCCACCTCCCCTTCCTGTAGCCCCTGGCAACCACCATTCCACTCTCTGCTTCTATGAGTTTGACCTTTTTAGATACCCCATGTAGTTGAGATCACACAGTATCTGTGCTTCTGTGACTGGCTTATTTCACTTAGGATAATGTCCTCAAAATTCATCTATGTTGTCAAAAATGGCAGATTTCTCTTCTTTTTCAAAGGCCCTATGGTATTCTGCTTTACGTAGATACCACATTTAAAGACAATCCATTCATCTGTTGATATTCGTTTCCACATCGTGACTATTATGAATAGTGCCACAATGAACATGAGAGTGTAAATATCTCTTTGAGACCCCGATTTCAATGCTTTTGAGTATATACCCAGAAGTGGGACTGCTGGGTCATATGGTAGTTCTAGTGTTAATTTTTCAAGGAACCAGTGAACTGTTTTCCATAATGGCTGCACCATTTTACACGCTCACCGACAGTATACAAAGGTTCCTATTTCTCCACATCTTCACCAACATGTGTTATCTTTTGTCCTTTTAATAAGAGCCATCCTAACAGGTGTTAAATGTTATCTTTGTGGTGTGGTATTCATTTTGGATGTGCTGATGTTAACTCTGGCTTCGTATCATTTTCTTACCTTTGTTATTTCTTCCCATGATTTCCTTATCTATTTTTTTAAATTTTACTTTATTTTTTGAAACTTGAGGAATGTAAAACCAATAAAGCTGTCCCTGATTTACATTCTCAATCCCTCAAATCTCAGTTGCCTTTTAGGAAAGAGCAATGATGGCTTAAGACAAATTAGCAGACTTTTATCCACTCTCCAGTAGGGAAAGGCAGATTCTTCTCCAGGAAGAGATTGAGTTATGAATCTGACCTAAGGACAAATGGGCACTGGGGAATGACTGTCAGTTGTTAAGCTAATATTCTGTCAAATTTAATTCTGACCTGACTATATTCATTAATTTTATTATACTAGTTACTGAGCATGTTCCTGAGACACTGTTCTGCTCCTGTCCTGCCCCTGTCCAATTCTGGAGCTCATATTCTTGTAGTTGGGGATAGACAATAAATATAAAATAGCATAAAGAGAGGACAAGGCAGGAGGATTGCTTGGAGCCAGGAGTTTGAGACCAGCCTGGGAAACATAGGGAGACCCTGTCTCTACAAAAAATAAAAAATGTAAAAAGCTGGGCATGGTGGTGCACCTGTAGCCCCAGCTACTCAGGAGGCTGAGGTAGGAGGATTGCTGAAGCCTAGGAGTTTGAGGCTGCAGTGAGCTATGATCGCACAACTGGACTGTTGCCTGGGATCCTGGACAACACAGAGAGACCCTGCCTCCAAGAAAGAAATAGAATCATTACGGAATAGAATTCCACAGTATGCTATACAGTGCAAAATGCCATGAAAAAAAACAAAGCAGAGTGTGGGGTAGATGTTGTGACCTGGGGAAGGCCTCACCATGGAGGGCTGTGGAAAGATAAGACTGGAAGGAGGTGAGGGAGAAGACAAGAGAAGAATGAGGGCAGGGCTCGGGCCAGCAAAGGGACGAGCATGGCTGCCACAGACAGGAGGAGGAGAAAGCAGAGCATTTGATCTGAATGGTGATGAGGAGGACTTGGAGGGACTCGGGAGCATCGTGAAGACTCGACTTTCACACACACAGAGTAAAACGGGAGTCATTGGAGGGACACGGCTTGACCCTCAGTCTCTCCCTGTCCCTTGACTCCCTCCTAAAACTGAGCTGAGCATCCTTTATCTATTTTCTCAAAAGGCCTCTTCCTCAAATCCGCTGTCCATCTCAAAAAACATTCTCTTTTCTATTTCACAAAAACTTTCAAAGAGCTTATTGTCCCTTCCTCATTCTTGCTACTCATTCATTCCTTAAATCTGATGCCTATCACACACCGGGGCCTGTCAGGGGGTGGGGAACTAGGGGAGGGAGAGCATTAGGAGAAATACCTAATGTAGATGACGAGTTGATGGGTGCAGCAAACCACCATGACACGTGTATACTTATGTAACAAACCTGCACGTTCTGCACATGTACCCCAGAACCTAAAGTATATTAAAAAAATCTGATGTCTACCTTCAGATTACCTTCCTTAGGATTCTAAATGATCTCTTAGTTACCAAATACAACAGTCTTTCACCTGTTTTCATTTTCCCAGCTGGTGTGCAGCACCAGAAGCTTCTGAGCACCCCCACTTCCTTTGACTCAGTGGCCCCTTCCTGTCTCCCACCACCCTTTCTTTCTCATTCACTGGATGTCCTTTCTCCCCACAACCCTCGGATGCAGGCCTCCCTGCTGGTCCACAGACTTTCTTTTCTTTTCCTACACCCTCTCCTTTAGGGGCTTCATCCCTTAGATCTCGTGATATCAACCATGAACCCATGTGATTCCCACATGGTCATAGAGAATCCCAGCCCATCTTCAAGGAATCAGTCCCACATTGTAATGTGCCCGCTGGAACAACCTGGTGAACTTTCAAACTCTACATGTTTACTTATTCAATTCATGCATTTATTCAATAAACAACTGCTGATAGCTCTGGGTCAGGCCCTGCCCTAGGTAGGGGACACAGGGAAAATGTGGGCCTGTCTTCACATAACTTACATTGCAGCAGGGGTAACAGGCCACAAACAAGTCCAGACAAAATCACCACACACTGTGATTTGTTATGAAAGAAACACAAGGGACAGAACTAGAGAAGGCACTCAAGGGTGGACGAGGGGAAACCCACTTTGGAAGGCGTGGTTGGGAGGACCTCTTGGAGGAGTTGGCATTTACAACAAACATTCCTCTCAGCTGCGCCCACCTCCTTTATGCATTATTGATATCGTTATAGAAACCTAGAAACAAAGCATCAGAATCATTCTTGAACATATCTTCCCTTTGTATATACCAATGCAAGTCAGTATGCTTGTTTCCCTCATGGACTTCACATATAAATCCCCCCTCTGCTCCTGTGATGGGCACCAGGTTAGCCCTTAGTGCCTCTTGCTGAGACAATGCCACCAGCTCTTCTTCCCCGGCTCTTTCATTTAGATCCTCCTCCTCCCTGTGCCTGTCATTCAGTCTGAAGCACAGATGACTCAACGTAGTCTTCTAAATAAAGTCCAAACTGTTCTTTCTGGTATCTGAATCTTTCCCATCTGATTTCCTGCTACCACATCAGGCACAGTGTAAACCCCAGGCAGGTAGGATTCCATCCCGTGGCTTCCTGTCCTACTTACTTCATACAAGGCTGTGCTTGAGACGTCCGCTGTCCAAGCAGATAAATTACTGGCTGCAAATCTGTCCCAGGGGGCCACTTCCTATCATAGCCACATATTTTTCCCAGTTCTTGAACCCCAGACTCTCTAAAAGCTTCACACTTTTTGCAACTGCTCCTGGGAATGTAGTCACAGTGGGCATGACCGAGGTGGGCCATGTATAGTTTAAAAGTTAGGGATGATCTATAATATAGTATGATCATTTTCTAAAATTTTTGAAAACAATATGCAGGAAGATAAAAATCAGAGTTTATCAAAATTTAATGGTTTTATTTGGTGTGTGGGGGGGATAATTTCTGCCAAAGCACCACTACTCTTTCCCCCAAGAGAGGGTGCCATTTACCTAATAATTTTCTTCTGTCATCGTTTAGTTTTTACTTTGGCTTCATTGTAAGCATTAATCTCTGGGTTTGATAAAGTTTGAAAGGCTGATAGTTAAGTGGTTAGGACTGCTTGGGTTCAGATCTTGGCTCTGTCTCTTACTTGTGTCTGACTTTGGACAAGTTGCTTAATCCCTCTGTGCTTCATTTTTCATCCTTAAAATGGGGATAAAAGTGGTACCTAATTATTGGAATTGTTGTATGAAAGGAGTCATTAGAGTAAAGTGCTTAGAATATTGCCTGGAACATATCAGCACTCAGTGGTAATGCCACTGATATCACCCCCATTAACACAACATGGAGCCTTAGTCACAGCCCATCAGTCTTTTGACTTCCCTTTTCTTCCTGCCACTGGTCCTCCTATGGCTTCGTATCTTTCCAGGGCGATAACTATGATCACTCTCAGTGGTCTGGCTCGGAAGAGGCAACCCTAGAGAATGGCGGTGCTTTTTCCATCTGTCTTTACTCAGCACCCTAAGTCCGAGTGAAAAAGAGAGAAACACACAGGATGCTGATTTGGTTTTGATGTGTGCCCCACCAAATCTCATGTTGAAATGTAATCCCCAGTGTGGAGGTGGGCCTGGTGGGAGGTGTTTGAATCATGGCAGTGGATTCCTCATGAATGGCTTAACCCATCTCCTTGGAGATAAGTTCTCATGAAACCTGGTTTTGTAAAAGTTTGTAGCAGACCCCCTCCTTGCTCCTGCTTTTGCCATGTAAGGTTCCTGCTCCCGCTTAGCCTTCTGCCATGAGTGAAAGCTCCTTGAAGCCTCTCCAGAAGCTAAGCTGATATCGGTGCCATGCTTCCTGTAAAGCCTGCAGAACCATGAGCCAATTCAATCTCTTCTTCTAAATTTATAAATTACCCAGTCTCCAGTATTTCTTCATGGTTATACAAGAATAATCTAACACGGAAAACTGGTATTGAGGAGTGGGGCATTGCTATACAGATACTGAAAATGTGGAAGCAGCTTTGAAACTGGTTGACAGGCAGAGGTTGAAAGAGTTTGGAAGGCTCAGAAGAAGACTGGAAGACGAGGGAAAGTTTGTAATTTCTTAGAGACCGTTGAAATAGCTGTGCCCAAAATGCTGATAGTGATATGGACAGTGAAATCTAGGCTGACAAACTCCCAGATGGAAATGAGGAATGTATTGGAATCTGGAGCAAAGGTCATCCATGTTACAACTTTGTAAAGAGCTTGGCTGCATTCTGTTCATGCCCTAGGGATGTGTGGAAGTTTGGAGTGATGATTTATAGAATTTGGTGGAAGAAATTTCTCAACAGCAAAGTGTCTAAGGTATAGCGTGGCTGCTTGTAACAGCCTATTGCCAGATGTGGGAGCAACTAAATGACTTAAAGTTGAAATTCATATTTAAAAGGGAAGCAGTGCATAAAAGTTTGGAAAATTTGCAGCCTGGTCATGTGGCAGAGAAAAAGTAAAGAGGAATTCAATCAGACTATGGAGCAACCACTTGCTAGAAATATCTGTATAAATAAAAGGGAGTCAAGTGCTAATATCCAAGGCAATGGGAAAAAGACCTCAAATGCATTTCAGAGACCTTCATGGCAGCCCTCCCATCACAGGCCCAGAGGCCTAGGCGGGAAGAATGGTTTTGTGGGCCAGGCCCAGGGTCCTGCTGCCCTGTGCAGCCTTGGGATATTGCTCCCTGCATCCCAATCACTGTGGCTCCAACCTTGGCTCAAAGGGTCCCAGGTACAGCTCAGGCTGCTGCTTCAGAGGGTGCAAGCTGTAAGCCTTGGCAGGTTCCATGTGGTGTTAAGCCTTCAGGTATATAGAAGAGTGCAAGAGTTGAGGCTTGGGAGCCTCTGCCTAGGTTTCAGAGGATGCATGGAAAAGCCTGGATATCCAGGCGGGAGCCTGCTGCAAGGGCAGAGCCCTCACGAAGAACCTCTACTAGGGCAGAGCCAATGGGAAATGTGGGGTTGGAGCATCCACACAGAGTCCCCAATGGGGCACTGCCTGGGGGAGCTATGGGAAGGGGGCCGCCATCCTCCAGACCCCAGAATGGTAGATCCATTGGCAGCCTGCACCTCTCAGCAAGGAAAAGCCACAGGCACTCAACTCCAGCCCATGAGAGCAGCCTTGGAGACTAAACCCTGCAAAGCCACAGTGGGGGAGCTACCTAAGGCCTTGGGAGCTCACCCCATGCACTAGTGTGCCCTGGATGTGGGACATGGAGTCAAAGGAGATTATTTTGGAGCTTTAAGACTTAGTGACTGCCCTGCTGGGTTTTGGATTCGTGTGGGGCCTATTGCCCCTTTCTTTAGGCCAATTTCTCCCTTTTGGAATGGGAATGCTTACTCAGTGCCTATAATTACCATTGCATATTGGAAGTCGATAATTTGTTTTTTATTTTACAGGCTCATCAGTGGAAGGGACGTGCCTTGTCTCAGATGAGCCTTTGGACTTTGGACTTTTTTAGTGATGTTAAAATGAGTTGAGACATTTGGGAGACTATGTGCAGGGGATAATTATATTTTGCAATGTGAGAAGGACATGAGATTTGGAGGCCAGGGGTGGGATGATATGGTTTGGATCTGTGTCCCCACCAAATCTCATGTTGAAATGTAATCCCCAGTGTTGGAGGTAGGGCCTGGTGGGAGGTGTTTAGATCATGGGGGCAGATCCCTCATGAATGGCTTGGGCCACCCCCTTGGTGATGAGTGAGTGAGTTCTCATGAGATCTTGTTTTGTAAAAGTGTGTGGCACCTACCCCTACCCCTCGATTCTCTCTCTTGCTCCTGTTTCTGCCATGTGATGTGCCTGCTCCTACTTTGTCTTCTGCCGTGAGTAAAAACTCCCTGAGGCCTCCCCAGAAGCTGAGCTGATACCAGTGTCATGCTTCCTGTAAAGCCTGCAGAACTGTGAGTCAATTAAACCCCCTTTCTTTATTAGTTTCTTAGTCTCAGGTATTTATTTATGGCAATGCAAGAACAGCCTAACAGAGACGCATTTCACTACTCCCCATTCATCCAGAGAAAATATTAACTTCTAACTAAGCCAGAAGGTGGCCTTGGGTCTTTCTCAACACAGAACTCCAGGAGCCCAATAAAGAATTCCAGCCCTAGACCAGAGACCACACCCTTGTCTATACCTAATGCCCTGATCAAGAGGAAGACATACTTCTATAGGACAGGGGCTGGGAAGAAGATGGTAACTCTAGGTCCACAGGAACTTACTGGATTCCTACTATAGGGTCTAGTCTCCTTGAGCTCTTCTGGACAGGCTTTGAAAGCAAAGTCTTTAACAGTAATAAGAGTGCCATATAGTACAGTCAAACACCATAGGCTCTGCCCAAGTCCCATTCCTGCTTTGAAACATACTAATAACATTCTTCTAAGAAAACAAATTAATCCTCTTTTGTTAAATGGCTTGTTTACCTTCCGTCATTAGACTTATCTGAGAATTAAATGAGAAAGTGCATATAAAGCACTTTACAAAGTGCCTGGGACACAATACATGTTAGCTGACACCATCAGTACCAGCACCAGCAGAAGCAGCTCTCTTTCATCAGCTGTCATTTCTTCAAGATTCCCATCTGTCCCACAAGACCCAAGATGGCACCATATTTTATGAGATCCTGTCTCATGCAAGCCCCTATAGCAAGCCTTATGGAAATATCTTCAAGTCATCCCTAACTTCACCAGATGAACAATTCAAGCAAATGATTTGTGCAAGTGGCAGGTATTGACACTGACAGTCCTCCCCAGCTTCACAAGCTTCTACTGCTCTAGGGGGTAGTTTTCCCAGGGCCTGACTGACTGAGGACCTCAGCATCTCAGTGTCCCAGAGCTAGTCATAATTCCTTCAAACTTACTTTTTTTTTTTTTTACACTAATCACAATTTAATCATTATAGGGGGGAACAAAAAGTTCTCCTGCTGTTTATCCATTCCCTCAACCACCCAGACACTCCAGAGAAGCTTCCATATCTCCTCTGGAGTCCACTTTAATATATGACAAAAAGAGTCATCTTTCTTATTTCTTTTCAGGAAACAGGGGAAATATGGGTGCAGATGAACTGGTAAAATGAGACTTATAGTCCAGGGACACAAATGTAAAAGAGAAAGGAGGCCCAAATCTGAGAGAGCTGTGGCATTCTGCAACCACAGGCAAGTCTAGCAGTTCTTCACAGCCCAATTAAATGCCACCTTCTCTATGATTCAGTTTCCCTGTGGATAACAGAACTACTTTAAGAAAGACAGAGCTGCTTAACGAAGAAGGCAAAGGCCAGGAGTGCTAACACTGACTCTCTCAAAGTTATAGAAGTAATCACAGAAGATCAAAGCCAGCATCAGCCAGCCCAGGACTTCTGAACTTCTGGCACATAAATGGCTTAAAGCTTTCTTTTGATTTGGGAAATTTTCTTTAATATTTGCCCAGTCACATTCACATAGGAGAAAATTTAGTCAAATACTGACGGAGGTTAGTTACTTAAAAGACCAAAGGCTAATATATCAAGAGACCTTTGAGTAATTAAAGGCAACTTTTTACCATTCCTCTTTTATATCAATTAGACCCATTGTAATAAATCCCTTTTCCCTATCTGAAGTACTTAAAAGCTTGAGCCATCATCCATGAACACTCTAACTTTAGCTCATCATTGTCTGAATATCTTAGTAGTTAATACCTTGGGGAAAATATTTAAACTGGAGCATTTTAATTATATGCTTAGTGTGGAAGTTGTTAAAAGATAACACCATCTGATGTGAACCCAATTTAAATTCTGCTGAAGTTATTAATATGGTATAAAATTATAGAAATGATCAAGGGCTTATATAGTAGCTTTTATTAATAGAGCAATAAGAAAGTTTAGGTGCTCTATTTCTGTAGCTTGGATTTTTTCTGTTCTAAAATAGTCTGCTTCTGTGTCAGAGATCTGATTAGTTATATTGAAGCTTCTGAGGGACTTGTGGATTATTACATGTCAGATACTGCTTTAGTCAGCCACTTTTGAAAGCAAACCAAGTTCAAATCCTGAGAAACCAAGTCAAATGTTGAAAAGGGGATCACTGTACCTGAGCCCTAAACCCTTTTCCTGTATATGTATGAACACTTCAGGGACTGCGAGAAGGAGTCAGATTGTACCATCTGGTTGAGATTTCTTGCACTCTTAAAAAGAATCCTTTGACTTAGCTTCTGGGGAATATGAAATCTTTAAAGGAGAAGAAATTGAACAGTCTCCTAGGAAATAGACCGCATATTGGCCTTAAGGAGGTATGTCAACTTGTAAGTCAAAATAGTATTTATTCCTTGAACTTGAAGCTAGTTTCTCTCCCCTCTTGGGAGCTAGAAAACTCCCTCTCTTCTTTCAGGGTCCAGGCGGATGATAATCTTCCTTTTTTTCTTGTTCAGCACACTGATTTTATTGCCAGACACAGCTGGAGGACTCTTTCCCTTTAGCCTGGAGTTTTTCAACAGCAGCACTACCCACATCTTGGACCAGATAATTCTTTACTGGGGGCAGGAGTGCTGCCCTGTGTATTGTAAGAGGTTCAGCAGCAACCCCGGCCTCTACCCACTAGATGCCAGTAGCAATCTCCCTTTCTCTCCATACCCAAGTTGTAACAATTAAAAAATGTCTCTAGACTTTGTCAAATGTCCTCCAAGGGGAATACTGTCCCGATTAAGAACCACTGCTCTAGCTGAATAAAGGACTGAAAGATTTATCCAAAATACAGTCCTTACTTGTCTCAGTGTAAAACGAGACTGGTAGCATAAAAAAATCCTGCTGAGTTAGCTTTCTTGCTAAAAGCATTCACTCATTTTGTTGTTCAGTGTTAATTCTTTAGCTACATGGGGACTATATAGGTATGTGTTTTCAATATTCAACCATGTTTTAACCCATTTATGCCAGAGGCTGTAAATTCTTTTGTGTGAAAAATCAGACATTGGCAATGACATTGAGCGATAGGATATAAATAACTCCCACAAGCTTAGCGTTCCAGTAATGGAACACTAGGCATAAACGGGTTCATGACTGTTCAGTAGTAGTGCCTCTTCTGCTTTCCATATTTATTTTCTGCTCAGTCTCAGTCAGAAACTGGGGAATGGGACTGAACTTGCCTGATTCTGACAGCCTCGGTCCAAAACCTTAATCTTCAGGAGCTGTACTAAAGTCCAAAGAAAAAATATCTTGAAAACATAAATAGCAACTGATTTCAACTGAAATTGTGTTGTGTTCTATTGGGAAGCCCAGTGGAAAACAGATGGTGCTGCCTTTCAAACAACTTAAATCATCATGGTTTAGTGGAGAAGATTTCATTCACTGAAAGCATCCTATGGCATAGAGAAATAAACAGTTTTAAAAGTGCTAAAATTACTAGACTCATCTATCAAAACAAAGTGAATTCTTTTCTTTGCTCCGGCTGTTGGCTTTGATGAAAGCAGAGTGTGGTCACTGGGTTCCATGGTCACCGGGCACCATGGCAGGTGCTGCCACAGCACTGGGTACACAGCAACTCTGGGACCGTGACCTGCCTCAACCTGTGTTCTCATTTGTAACATCAGAAAAGCAAGCACTGTTGGGACTGAAAAATCACGTATAGAGTATGTGACACGTGGTACACACTAAAGAAAGGTTAGGCTCCCCTCTCCTGGCCTCTGAAAGTTTATGATGATCTTTTCCTTGAAAGTCTTCTTTAATAGAAAATGTCAAACATCAAGAGACCTATTTTTATTCATTTTTATTAGTAACGCTTTGATGGGTGTCTGCTGTCCCAGCTATCATCCATGCAAAATAAAATCGCAGACATCTTAAAATCTATCATAAAATCATTTGAGCAAATAGTATTCCAACTATTTTGGCCAATTATCATAAACAGGCTAATAAATAAACTTTACCATCTTTTTAAAGCCTCTAAATGTTTGGGTGATATAAACAAAGGCTTAACTTTATCCCTTTCCTGAGGGCAATTTCCCCAAGGAAGATGCCAGCAGCTTCAACACGAAGTCTTAAGCAGGGAAGAGACAGGTGGGTCTCTTTGCCTCTGAATTTTATGACTCTGATATTGCTCAGTCCCTCGTGAACTTGAATTCTTCTACACACTCTTCTCTCTCTTCAGTTGCTTTCTTCTTGAGGTGCTCCAATAAAGGCATATCTCCTGCTGGTTGATCATGAGGGAGCCACCCAGGCACAAGCAAACACTTCAGTCACCCTGTCTTTCCACAGGGCAGGGTGACCGACCAGCTGTGCGGGGGCAGAACTATCACACACATTCTACCTTCTCTCCACTCTCCGCCCCCACCCTGAGCAGTGGTGGGCTAATAGTTTCTTTTTCACTTTTTGTTTTTGTTATTGTTTTAAAAAATACATGCAATTGAAGAATGTTTGTAAGTGGAAAATAAGTAAAAGTATCTATTATTCATAGAACTTAGAACTCATAAACTAAGGTTGATATGCTGAAGCACTTTAATCAATAGCAAGACCTTTATTAGTCTGGATTCTTTATTCATCTGAACACATGGCTGAAGGGCAGAGAATTCTGAGAAAGCTCCTTGACTAAGTGGTGGTGGCTTTGGGCCCCAGGTAGGTCAGTGGGGTGATAACCTGAACCTTCCTTGTTTCCCACCCTGAACAGTGAGACACCAAGGCTGTATACACAGAAAGGAAAGAGTGGGTCAGTCTGCAGCCCTCAGGCTTAAGCAGAAGAGAAATAAATTGTTTCCTAAAATATTTATGAAATGCAACATCTGCTAAGATCTTCTTCTCTAAGGAAACTTCTGGTAAGTTAGGCAGCAGATAGAACAAAATCCTGGGCTACCCCAAAAAAGAAAATGTTTATTTTAAATAATGGCAAATTCTGAACATACATGTAATCAAGGCACGTGTTGTAGGTTGTATGCTAGGATGTCTCCCAAACAGCCATGTCCCCTGGTGGACACACCCTGCAGAATCCAAGACTGTGGATATGATGAATTTGACTCGTGGGATTAGGTTATGTTCTGTGGCACAGTTGCCTTTAAGAATGGGAGATGACCTAAGCACATGAGTCCTTGAAAAGCACAGCATTTTTTTTTCCTCCTGGAAGCAGAAGAGAAAGTTGAAGATTCAAAGCACAAGAAGAATTCAACACACTGTCGCTGGCTTGAAGGTGGGGGACCACATAGCAAGGAATGCAGGCAGCCTCTAGGGCAAGCAAAGGGTACCTCAGTCCTACAACTGCAAGGATGTGAATCCTCCCAATGATCTGAATGAGCTCAGAAGTGGATTATTCCCCAGAGCCTGGAGATGAGAACTCATTCCATTCAATGCCTTGATTCCAGCCTTTGAGATCCTGAGCAGAGAACTCAGCTCTTCTGCATGTGAGCTACTCAATAGGTGTTTTTAGCAGCTAAGTGTGTGCTAATTAGTTAGGCAGCAATAGAAAACTCCTAAAAATTCTTTCCAGTGCTGGTCCTACATAGTGCTGAGTAGAGGTGGCTTCAGGCAAAGAGCACCTGCAGGAGAGGGACAAGACTGTGAGCCCTCAACCTGCAGTGCCCAGTGGCTCATGGACTCTTGAGGCCACCCTGGCCCCCTGGAGCCATCTGCCTAGTGGAAAGCACATGGATCCACTACTATATGCTAGGTGGTCTCAGAAAAATTTCAGAATCTTTTTGAATCTAAGTTTTCTCCTCATCTGCAAAATGGGTTCTGGTAAAAATGAAAAGAAATAACCTAAAATATCCAGCAGAGTCCCTGACATGTCAGTAGGTATTCAGTGAACGTTACCTTCCTTCCTTCAGTCTCTTTGCCAACCTCCTCTTTCTAAGATATAAATTATTTCCAGTTGACGACCTTTCAATGATTCCCCATCTCTTATAAAATAAAATCCAAACTCCTTTTAAGATCAAATAAGGCCACTCCCTCCTTCACGTTAAGTTCCAACAACACTGGATTGTTGATCATGCTGTGAATATATCATGATTTTTTATTCGCTCTACCTGGGATGCCTTTCGCATTCCATGCCTGCCAGGTGAACTCTGTTTCATTCATTAAAATCCAGCTCAGGCATCAAAACCACAGGAAACTATTCTAGGAAGGTAGCAGAAGATGGTGATGACATCTTGCTCTGAGGCACCAAAGTCCTCTGCACATACAGCATATGGCCTTTCCACACCCCATGTGGTGGCATTAGGGAGTTTGGACTCCATTCTGAAGGCAACACGAAGCCACCGCAAGTTTTCAATAAAGGACTGACATGGTTATGTGTACATTTTGGAAAGATGACTAGGGCTGTAGAGTGGGAAAATGGATTTGAATAGGGCAAGACCAAGGGCAAGGAAAGAATGAGAACCTGGTCCAGTAGGTTGATGAGACAAAGGAAGGGTCCCAGCTAAGCAGTGTCCCAGGGCAGGGAAATGCACCTGGGAGATGGCGACAGCAAATATACATATATGTATATAGTAAAGAATACCGAGGTCCACCTTTTATTTTGCAACAATGTAGGTCAGGCCAGAAGAAGGCAACCTCCAGGAGGAAGTACCTGGAAGCAGGTGAGAGGAGCTGATTCTACTGTTGACAAGTCATTGTTGGTTTGAGAATACCTGCTTGGATAAGGTTTTAACGGTTGAGATATGCTAATGAGCCCCGATTTGGAGGAGGAACTCCAAGTCATGGAGGGTCCTGAATGAGGTATGAAGAAAGTTCATTTAAAGCAGAGCAAGCTGGTGTAGGATCAATGAAGAGCAAACCACAGCAATTAGAAACTACTTGTTAGAGATGCTGTTTGTTTTTGCAAAGTGGCAAACACTCTCAAACATTAGAATTAAGTCTTGTATTTATTTTCTCCTCTGTTTTTAGCCAATGAAATATGAGTCTATCTTGTTCACAATGACCTCAGTGCCAGCTATATGTGCAGACCCTGAAGAGATTTAGGACATGAAAGTGTGACGATAGGAAGGAGGCCCTGCCCTTGTCCCTCCGTGGTGCTTTGCCCTCCTTGCCCACTCTGGGCTCAGCCCACGCCCCTCTCTGTGGCCCCTCTGGCTCTGAGCTTCATCTCACAGACCTCGTCTTACAGGGCTTGGCACCTGGCCCCCTTCAGTGTCTCAGTCCTGACCACTGCGCTTCCCTGATAAGCCAGCCCAGGATGAGATGCCCCACCCTGGCCACCAGATTCCTCTCTCCAAGTCACTGCATGGGGACACAGACAGCCCACACTGGGCACCAGCTCCCCTTGGTTCATGGCCCCAACCACCATTGGGATAAGCTCTGTATCACGACAACACAGCTGGGATTCCTAACAAGTTCTTTTCATGTCTGATTTATCATGTCGGTATTATGCTAATACTCCAGTGCCCTTCTAAGATGACGCCACTGTCATACCGCCTGGGGCCTGGGACAAACAGGAACTAACATTGACCAGAGTACGGATGCCTGTCAAACTCTTTTATTAAGCACCTACATAGATGAACTCATTTAATCTGTGTAATCTTCTCATTTTATAAAAGCAGACACCAAGGCTGAGTCATTTGAACCAGGCCAGATAATAAAGGCAGTAGATACAGGGTCAGACTTCAAATTCAGGTCTGTCTGCTCCAAAGCTGGAGTGCTTTCAATAACTCAATGCAGCGTGTCCAGAAACTGAAGGCTATTCCTGAATGCTGACTCTCCAGTGGCTGGGCCCATTAGCTCTGGGTTCACCTCCTAGGTAGCACTGTCCCTGCTCCTGGAGTTCCCATGACCTTTCAGTCACCCCCTCCCCCACCCCCCAGGCTGTGATCAACAGCTCAGCCTCATAGATAGGAGTTGTGAGTCGAGTCAGCAAACCATGAAACTGTGCTCTCCTATCTCCTTCCACTCAAAATGCAAGATGAAAGTGCACTCAAATTCCAAAAGGTAAATCCTAGGATCTTAAAGTTGGTCCTTATGTATGTTTCTTACAGTGTTACTTAGTCTTTGATTTTATTTTCCAGACAAATGTAAAACTGCCATAGAAAAATGCCACTAATGAGCCAAAGGAAATGTAGAACCAATATTTAATATGGGTGAGTTCTTTAGTTTTGTGTGTAAATAGTCAAAATGTCAATTTTGGATGACAGAATGACAGATGGACCGGAGGGGGCTGTAAAAAATCCCAGTGGAAACTCATCTAACAGAGGAGGAAATCCTCACTTAATCTTGTCTCAAATGGAAAAACCCCATGATTAATCTCAGAAATAACACCATGCCTCTATCTGAACCCTTCCGTCTCTGCTCTGCTCAGAACACGAGAGCTGCAGCTCCCTTGGCCACTTCTGCTTACATCTGCCTCCAGCTAAGTGGGGTGCAATTACAGGGGCTGCTGTCAGAAAATGTTCACCGGGGAGATACTTACTGCCGATGCATGTGTGCACCGCTGGGAAAAATCACTTGCTTATAAGCTAGGGGATATTCAGAACTTGCCATCTTTCAGGAAAAAATCACAGGGTGCATTTAATTCAAGTAAGCCACTCAGAGAAACAAGCTTTTAAAAAACGATGGCGTGGGAATTATAACTTTAAAAGTACAGAATGAGGGAAGAATGAGAAAGCAAAAAAGCAAGAAGTCCATATCTGTGTAGAGTTGATTACTAGCATGGCTGGCACTTGTATATTTCTGGATCAAGAGTACAAAAAGATGAAAAACTGCAGGAAGAGGTGAGGTGGATGTAATCAGAGCTGGCAGTGTTTTCCTGTTTCTGTGAAGTGCTCCTCTATTTCTTGTCACAAGTAAAGAATCATTGGTGCAGAGAAAGCTAAATGAATTGGAGGTTTATGAGATGGGAGAGGAGCTTACTTTTAAGCCAAGAAGGGATTGGAAAAATTCTTCGTTAATGGTATGTTTTCAGAATAGAAATCCCACTGCCTATGCAAATGAAACACAGAGAAGGCTATGAGTTTCTGGCATCTAGCTTTCCCAGAACAGCAACACGGCCACGTGGCACACATCTTCCAAGTCAGAAACCTCAGTGTTGGTACGACTTGTTGCTGTACTGTACCAAGGTCCATCAAGTCAACTTGATTGACAAATGCCTCTGCCTGTTCCTGCAGAAAGTATTTTTGAAATCCATTTCCCCACTCTATCCCACAGCCTGGGTACAGGTCCAGGCCATTCTGCCTCTGTCTTCCTGTGTGCCTGTTTGTTCGTTGCCTCCTTTACTCACTCAATCATACATCTCATTAAAAAGAACATCCTCTGTGCCTCAGGACAGAATGTAAGCCCCAGTGGAGCTAAGCATCTAAGAAGGAAGATATTACACACAGAAGAACACTTAAAATTATTCACAATTAGCCATAATTGCAACCCAACCCTCTCATCCTCATCATGGTCCAGCTTCCCTATCTTGTGTCACTTCTTTTCCAGAACCTATCTCACCTTCTAACACACTATGTCATCTTCAGGCTTATTATGTTTACTTATTTACTTAGTCTTTGATATGGTTTAGCTGTGTCCCCTCCCAAATCTCATCTTGAAGGAATTCCCACGTGTTGTGGGAGGGACTCAGTGGGAGGTAATTACATCATGGGGGCAAGTCTTTCCCGTGCTGTTCTCGTGATAGTGAATATGTCTCATGAAATCTGATGGTTTTAAAAAGAGGAGCTCCCCTGCACAAGCTCTCTCTCTCTCTTTGCCTGCTGCCATCCACGTAAGATGTGACTTGCTCTTCCTCGCCTTCCATCATGATTGTGACGCCTCTCCAGACATGTGGAACTGTGAGTCCATTAAACCTCTTTTTCTTTATAAATTATCCAGTCTTAGGTATTTCTTCATAGCAGTATGAAAATGGACTAATACGGTCTCCTCCTGTTAGAATGCAAACCCTCCAGGAATTCTGTCTATTTTATTCACTGATGTATCCCATAGCAAGGACTCAATAAAATTTGTCAAATAAATATAGGAATAAATAAAAGAGCTCAGGACAGACGCTGGGCTGGAGGTGGAAAATTGAGAATGGGCAGTAATAGAAATGGTATATAAAGCCACAGGAGGATGTGATTTTTATTTTTTTATTTATATTTTTAATTTTTTTTTTGAGATGGAGTCTTGCTCTGTCACCCAGGCTGGAGTGCAATGGCATGATCTTGGCTCACTGAAACCTCTGCCTCCTGGGTTCAAACGATTCTCCTGTCTCAGCCTCCCGAGTAGCTGGGATTACAGGTGTGTGCCACCACACCTGGCTAATTTTTGTATTTTTAGTAGAGACAGGGTTTCACCATGTTGGTCAGGCTGGTTTCAAACTCCTGATCTCAAGTGATTTGCCTGCCTCGGCCTCCCAAAGTGCTAGAATTACAGGCGTGAGCCACTGTGACCAGCCGGGGATGTGATTTTTAGAGAGAGAAAATAACCCAGGATGAGGCCCTGAGAAGAAAAAAAAAAAAGGCCAAAAATGTAAAATGACAGAAAAGTCCCAAAGAGACACCTTTAGTATAAACATCCAATTCTCTTTCTAGGTTACCCACTGGAAGAATGTTCTCCCTACTTCTATTAGTCCATTTTCATGCTGCTGATAAAGACATACCGGAGACAAGGTAATTTATAAAAAAAAAAGAAGCTTAATGGACTCACAGTTCCATGTGGCTGGGGAGGCCTCACAATCATGGCAAAAGGCGAAAGGCAGGTCTTACATGGTGGTAGACAAGAGAGAATGAGGGCCAAGTGAAAGGGGAAACCCCTTATAAAACCATCAGATCTCGTGAGACTTATTCACTACCATGAGAACAGTATGAGGGATCTCGTGAGACTTATTCACTACCATGAGAACAGTATGGGGGAAACTGCCCCCATGGTTCAATTATTTCCTACTGGGTCCCTCCCATAACACGTGGGAATTACGGGAGCCAAAATTCAAGAAGAGATTTGGGTGAGGACACAGCCAAACCATATCACTGCTTTAGGGTGAGAAATTCTAGATGTTGGAAGGAGTTTTCTGGCAGCACCTAAAACCATGTGTCCTCCCCTGCCTCCTACATTTTCTAAACATGCAATCCCTGCAGCAACGCCTCACTCACTGTGGCCAGGACGCATTTAGACCTACTCCAGAAAAGGTTAACTATCAGGATGAGGCCAAAAGGGTTATGGGTACATCTTATTATCATTTGGTTATATTATTTGTGAATAAGGCCTAGTTTAATGACTCAGCCAGAAAATATAATAAGTCCACGGGAACGAGTATTTCATGGTCTAACTAGGAGCCATGACTTGGAAGTACTTCTCCACTAATTTGTAGAAAGGGGATTACTTAATAGTAATTATTAAGATACGATTATATTATAATAGTATTTAGATAGTAATTATAAAAATACTATTACCTGTAAAGTTAGTTTGGACAGGAGAAGAGGCCCTGGCGTCTGGAAGGCAAATCAGTTTTATTTCTATGCCAAGCTTGAGTGCAAAGTTCAGAAAGATTCCAAGTGTTTTGTTCTAATTTCTCACTGTAAACTCAAAAGAGCATGGTGGTTCCTCCAAAAATTAAACAAAATTACTGTGTGATCCAGCAATTCCAGTCCTAGGTATATACTCAAAGAACTGAAAGCAGGGACTCAAATAGATATTTGTAGACTCGTGTTCATAGCAACTTTATTTACAATAGCCAAAAGGTGGAAACAACCCAAATGTCCATTGACAGATAAATGAATAAACAAAATGTGGTATATGCACACAATGAAATATTATTCAGCCTCAAAAAGGAAGGAAATTCTGACATATGCCACAACATGGATGAACCTTGAAGATACCATGCTCAGGAAAGAACAAATACTGTATCATTCCACTCATAGGAGGTACCTAGAGTAGGCAAATTCATAGAGATGAGAAAAGTAGAATAGCAGTTCATAGAGATGAGAAAGTAGAATGGCGGTTGCCAGAAGCTGCGGGGGAGGGATAAATGGGGAGTCAGTGTTTAATGGCACAGAGTTTCTGTTTTGGATGATGAGAACGTCGAGGTAGATGGTGGTGATGGTTGCACAACAATGTAAATGTACTTAGTGCTACTGTACTGTACACTTATTAGGTTGGTGTGAAAGTAATTGAGGTTTTTGAAAAACTGCAATTACTTTTGCACCAATCTAATAAAAATGGTCAAAATGTAAGTTTTAAAAATGGTTTAAAAACCTCATGCCCATGCCAGATGGTAGGCATTTATTATTATTATTATTATTATTATTATCATCATCCCATTTTCACAGGTAAGAAAGCCAAGGCTGAGTGATATTAAGGGGCTTGCCTACATAAGTACAGAGTTTGGATTTGAACTTCAAGGTTTTAACCCCAAAGCTTCTGCTGTTAATTTTATGCTAAATGATCTTGTTCTCGTATTCACTCAGCAATCTTCACTAAAGCCACAATCACAACTTTATATTATAAATTACCATCTGATCAGTTTCTTCTTTTTCTACACTTTGAACTCTCAATGAAAAGAGGGAGCATTTCATGTGGAGCAAGAGAATCAGTGACAATGTCTGATAAACCACAAACCCTCTGGGTGATACCTGTTCCCAACAGCAGTATCAGTGCTGCTCTGGTATTTAAAACTTTGGTCAATATAGACAGTCTGCTCTGCTCTATGGGGACTGCACATCTTCTGAGCACTGAAGATTATTGTTTTTTGCGGGTTGGTGTTAAATTGAAATTTACGGGTAATAAAAACTAGAAATTCTTGGTACTTAACTAAGAAAATTTCCAAACCATAATGTTAAATTTGTAAAGCAGTTTATCCTGAGAGACTAGATGTGACAACACTAATCGCTATTTTTCAAAATGAGAAGTCGTATGTAAGCCAAAATTTCTGAAAGCATAGAATCAAAATCATTCCCTCTCCCCTGTGAAATGCGGAGAGTGGACAAAAAGGTGAGAATTCTACTTTTACGGTGTGATACTCAGGTCTGCCTTCTCTGCCTCTATGTGTAGTATTTCCCTCCGGAGTGTAGCTCCTGTGAAATGCTCCAAGATGATCTCGGATGCAAATTCAGCCATGCAAGAGTGATGAAATGCTTGCATTATTTCCAAAGATGAATTAAGACAATGAGGCAGCTCTTCATTTGTCAAGTAAGCAAGAATCATATTTTTCTGAATGGTCATAATCGATAGCACTGTTCTGAGGCCATTAAGATGGCATGCTGATACTGAAACTCATGTTCTTGTTCCAAACCATACAACTGAGCTCCTCGGGATTTTGATGACTGAATGAACATGCCCTGGTCACAGCAGAAAGACGAGAGCCAATGACACCACAACATAATCAAAATATTTCAACTTGAACATGTTATTCCTTCTTTTTCACTGTTTGAGTATTATATGCCACCTGGTTTTCCTTATCCATTTTATTTTATTTTATTATTTTTTAAGAAAGAATTTAGACTTTATTTAAACTTGTTTTAACTACTTTGAAAATTACAGGGTATCTTTTGCTGTGCAGAAGCTCTTTAATTACATCTCATTTGTCGATTTTAGCTTTTGTTGCAATTGCTTTTGGTTATTTCATCATAAAATCTTTGCTCATGCCTATGTCCTGAATGGTATTGCCTAGGTTTTCTTCTAAGGTTTTTATGGTTTGGGATTTTACATTTAAATCTTTAATCCATCTTGAGTTAATTTTTGTATAAGGTGTAAGGATGGGGTCCAGTTTCAGTTTTCTGCATATGGCTAGCCAATTTTCCCAGAACCATTTATTAAATAGGAAATCCTAGTATCAGAGTGAACAGGCAACCTACCGGAATGGGAGAAAATTTTTGGAAAACACCCATCTGACAAAGGTCTAATATTCTGAATTTACAAAGAACTTAAACAAATTTACAAGAAAAAACAACCCCATCAAAAAGTGGGCAAAGGACATGATGAGACACTTCTCAAAAGAAGACATTTATGCCGCCAACAAACATATTAAAAAAAGCTCAACATCACTGATCATTACAGAAATGCAAATCAAAACCATAATGAGATACCATCTCATGCCAGTCAGAATGGCGATTATTAAAATGTCAAGAAACAACAGATGCTGGTGAGGCTGTGGAGAAACAGGAACACTTATACACTGTTGGTGGGAATGTAAATTAGTTCAACCATTGTGGAAGACAGTATGGTGATTCCTCAAGGATTTAGAACCACAAATACCATTTGACCCAGCCATCCCATTACTGGGTATATACCCAAAGGAATATAAATCATTCGTTTTGGCTGGGTGCGGTGACTCAAGCCTGTAATCCTAGCACTTTGGGAGGCTGAGGTGGGTGGATCATGAGGTCAGGAGTTTGAGACCAGCCTGGCCAATATGGTGAAACCCCATCTCTACTAAAAAAAATGCAAAAATTAGCCAGGCATAGTGGTGCACGCCTGTAGTCCCAGCTACTTGGGAAGCTGAGGCAGGAGAATTGCTGGAAGCTGGGAGTCAGAAGTTGCAGTGAGTCGAGATAGCACCACTGCACTCCAGCCTGGGTGACAGAGCGAGACTCTGTCGAAAGAAAGAAAGAACAAACGAACAAACGAACGAAAGAAATCATTCTGTTATAAAGATACATGCATACATATGTTTATTGCAGCACTATTCACAATAACAAAGGCATGCAACCAACCCAAATGTCCATCAATTCTAGACTGGATAAAGAAAATGTGGTACATATAAACCATGGAATACTATGCAGCCATAAAAAGGAATGAGATCATGTCCTTTGCAGGAACATGGATGAAGCTGGAAGCCATCATCCTCAGCAAACTAACACAGGAACAGAAAGCCAAACACCACATGTTCTCACTCATAAGTGGGAGATGAACGATGAGAACACATGGACACAAGGCGGGGAACAACACACACTGGTGCCTGTTGCTGGGGGAGGAGATGGAGAGTATCAGGGCAAATAGCTAATGCATGTGGGGCTTAAAACCTAGGTGATGAGTTGAGAGGTACAGCAAACCACCATGGCACACATATACCTAGATTACAAACCTGTACATTCACCACATGTATCCTGGAACTTAAAGTAAAATAAAATAAAAAATATATTTAAAAATTTTTTTAAAAAGAAAATTACAGGGTATCGTATACTTTGGATATGACGGATTTTTCTTTTTTTTATATTTCAATAAGTTTTTGGGGAACAGGTGGTTATATGGATAAGTTCTTTAGTGGTGATTTCCAAGACTGTGGTGCACCCATCAGCTAAGGAATGTACACTACATGCAATGTGCAGTCTTTTATCCATGACCCCCCTCCCACCCTTCCCCAAGTCTCCAAAGTCCATTATATTATTCTTACACCTTTGCATCCTCATAGCTTAGCTCCCGCTTTTGAGTGAGAACATATGATGTTTGGTTTTCCATTCTGGTGCTACTTCACTTAGGATAATGGTCTCCAGTTCCATCCAGGTTGTTGCGAATGCCATTATTTCATTCCTTTTTATGGCTGAATAGTATTCCATGGCATATATGTCACATTCTGCTTATTCACTTGTTGACTGATGGACATTTGGGCTGGTTCCACATTTTTGGAATTGTGAATTGCACTGCTATAAACATGCATGTGCAAGTGTCTTTTTCCTAAAACGACTTCTTTTCCTGTAGGTAGGTACCCAGTAATGGGATTGCTAGATCAAACAGTAGATCTACTTTGAATTCTTTAAGGAATCTCCACACTGTTTTCCATAATGGGTGTACTAGTTTACATTCCCACCAGCAGTATTCAAGTGTTCCCTTTTCACACATCCATGTTAACATCTATTATTTTTTGATTTTTTGATTACGGGCATTCTTGCAGGAGTATGGCGGTATCACATTGTAGTTTTGATTTGCATTTCCCTGATAATTAGTGATGATGAGCATTTTTTCGTATGTTTGTTGGCCATTTACGTATCTTCTTTTGGGAATTGTCTATTTATGTCTTTTGCCCACTTTTTGATGGGATTTTCTTTCTTCTGATTTGTTTGAGTCCCTTGTAGATTCTGGTTATTAGTCCTTTATCAGATGCATAGTTTGCAAAGATTTTCTCCGACTCTGTGGGTTGTCTGTTTACTTTGCTGATTATTTCTTTTGCTGAGCAGAAGCTTTTTAGTTTTAAGTCCCATCTATTTATCTTTCTTTTGTTGCATTTGCTTTTGGGTTCTTGGTCATGAAGTATTTGCCTAAGCCAATTTCTAGAAGGGTTTTTCTAATGTTCTAGAATTTTTATGGTTTCAGGTCTTAGATTTAAGTCTTTGATCCATCTTGAGTTGATTTTTGTATAAGGTAAGAGATGAGAATCCCGTTTCATTCTTCTGCATGTGGCTTGCCAATTATCCCAGCCTCATTTGTTGAATAAGGTGTCCTTTCCCCACTTTATGTTTTTGTTTGCTTTGCCAAAGATCAGTTGGCTGTAGGTATTCGGCTTTATTTCTGGGTTTTCTATTCTGTCCAATTGATCTGTGTGCATATTTTCATACCAGTACCATGTTGTTTTGGTGAATATATCCTTACAGTATAGTTTGAAGTCAGGTACTGTGATGCCTCCAGATTTGTTCTTTTTGCTTAGACTTGCTTTGGCTATGCAGGCTCTTTTTTGGCTCCATATGAATTTTTGAATTGTTTTTTTTTTTTTTTAGTTATGTGAAGAAAGATGGTGGTATTTTGATGAGAATTGCATTGAATTTCTAGACTACTTTTGGCAGTTATGGTCATTTTCACAATATTGATTCTACCCATCCATGAACATGGGATGTGTTTCCATTTGTTTGTGTTGTCCGTTATTTCTTTTGACAGCATCTTGTAGTTTTCCTTGTGGAGGGCTAAAAACCTCTCACTATTGCCTTTGCTTGACTCCATTGCTTTAAAACCCAAGTACCCTCAGCTATACACATTCAGAAACTTATTCCTAATGAACTACATCTTGGGAGAAAAGAAGCCATAGCAAGGTGCTGTTTGAGTTCAACTTGGTAGGTCTGTGGTTTTTCCTGTGACTCCATTAAGAACCTTCATTAATAAGCACACAAAATTCCCACTAACTGCTTGGGAGCACAGCCTCACAAAGGCTGCCCTGGCTCAGCCGGCTCTCTGGTCTCTGAGTTCTGTGTTGAGCAGCAACAGGAGATCCGGGGAGAGGAGCTCCATGGGCCTCTTCTGCTTCTGGGGACTATCCTAAGGAAACTCAGAAGATCCGAATGGTCTAGGTCTGCCTCGGATGTTGGACCCTTTATCTTCTCATAGTTTCCTTCCTTCCCTAGTGTTCTTGCCTGCTGTCCCTTTTAAATCCTTCCCCTGCATTCTGTCCTTCATAAATCACCCCCTGGGTCAGAACTTCCAAAACCCCAGTCATTCCCATACCACCTTTGCTATTTTTTTTGCCACTTCTGCTATTATTTACTGAATATTTAAAAATGAACTTGCTTTTTAAAGACTTAAATACATATTTTACAAAGGATTTTATATGACATAAATATACCAGGATCATTTTCTATGACCGGGATCATTTTCTAGAAGAAAGGTAATATTAAAATAGATGAGGCTGGGCGCGGTGGCTCACGCCTGTAATCCCAGCACTTTGGGAGGCCTAGGCGGGCAGATCACGAGCTCAGGAGATCAAGACCATCCTGGCTAACATGGTGAAACCCCGTCTCTTCTAAAAAATACAAAAAATTAGCCGGGCGTGGTGGCAGGCGCCTATAGTCCCAGCTACTTAGGAGGCTGAGACAGGAGGCTGGCGTGAACCTGGGAGGCAGAGCTTGCAGTGAGCGGAGGTCGTGCCACTGCACTCCAGCCTGGGTGACAGAGCGAGACTCCGTCTCAAAAAAAAAAAAAAAAAAAATTAAAATAGATGAAATACTAACAAGACCCTATTAAAATCCAGCTTTATGCCTAAGGCCTACTCTGTCTTTGCTAGAAAGCAAGATTAGCAAGTGATAGAGGGATCTTCAAAGAATGGCAACGTATATGAAGACTTTCTCTTTCATGAGTTATAAGGATGGAAGGAGACTTGAAGCAGGAATCCAGCTCTCAGGCTGAAGGTCCCTGTTATCCAGTGCAGTTGCTGTTTACTCAATGCCAGACTTTGGGAAATACCTCCCTTCCACACCAGCTCCTGATTAGAACATACCTTGCACTTTCTTGCCTACCCCAAACTCATCTTTTCCCAGGATTCCTTTTTCCCTGCAGATTTCTCTGGTGGAAAATGCCACCTGTTCCATGGCCTAAATACTATGGAGTTGAGTTAGAAGAAAGTTTTACCATCTCTGCTTTCCTCATTCCAACAAAAACCATGAATTATCTACCACCTTCTGGTAAAATTCTCCCCTGCTTTGAGTCTCATTGCTTAACATCTATCTACCTCTCCTTATCTCACTAATCCTGATGCATGTCTATGATTGTCCTCTCTTATTCATCAGAAACATGGGCATCAGGCTCATCTTTTAACAGCTCAAACTTAACCCTTTATAGGATGTTTTCAATCTCCAGACAAATGATACATCCAATACCCTAGCCTAATATGTCCTTTACATCTTCCACTCAACAGACTTTTACTTTTTTTTTTTTTTTTTTTTTTTTTTGAGACGGAGTCTCGCTCTGTCGCCCAGGCTGGAGTGCAGTGGCGGGATCTCGGCTCACTGCAAGCTCCGCCTCCCGGGTTCACGCCATTCTCCTGCCTCAGCCTCCCAAGTAGCTGGGACTACAGGCGCCCGCCACTATGCCCGGCTAATTTTTTGTATTTTTAGTAGAGACGGGGTTTCACCGTTTTAGCCGGGATGGTCTCGATCTCCTGACCTCGTGATCCGCCCGCCTCGGCCTCCCAAAGTGCTGGGATTACAGGCGTGAGCCACCGCGCCCGGCCCAGACTTTTACTTTTAATTTTACCTCATTCAACCTTAACCACAGTCAAGCACTGCACCTTGGAGCTGATCCATATTAGCCTAACTTCCAATAGCATGCGCCAACCATGAGCTCCCATCCTGCCAGTGTGTTCATGCCACTCACCTTACCAGTCTTTCACCTGGATCTCAGTGGCCCATTCAGTCTCCATGCCCTTCATTTCCTCCTAATCAGCCTCCTCTGCCCTCACTTGCTTCTCTCCTTTTCCCGGGATCCATGGTTGAAAACTCTTGTACTGTTCCATCAGTGGGATCTTCAGAATCTACCACCCTGTCCTTACTGAGCCCATTCTAGACAAAACCCCAGCCCTCGATCATGACTGTAAGTCTCCCTCTCTGCACCCATACTGCTGGAGGAAATGGCCCTTTTAGGTTTTATTTTCACACTGGAACTGCATTAGGACTGTGTGTCCCCAACTACAGGTGGGCCATCTGCACAAGCTGACCACTGTTCAACTCCCCACCCTACTCCTTCCAGAATGTATTCCAAAGTTTTATCTCCTTTCTCAAGCCATGGAGCTCCAACTCCCTTCACCTATTAGCCTCACCCTTCAACTGAGAATACTGAATAGGCATGTGCTACTTCAACTTCCTACCTTTACATCTGTAAACTTATCTACAAACATACTCATGTTCACCCCTGGTCTCACAGACTCACATACTTGTTCTCCTGGTCAAGGCCAATGCCTCTGTGTTGCTATTAATCCCAACTACTCCCACCTCCTCTGAAATACCATTCTATCAATTATCCCAGTGCTTTTCAACCCTGGCTATAAATTAGGATCATCTAGGGAGCTATACAAATTGTATCGATGCCTCAGCCCTTCTACCAGACCAGCTGAATGAGTTTCTGTTCTTCAACGGCATCCCCCCAACTGCTTTCTCCAGCCCAGGTGGTTCTCACATATAGCCAGGGTTGAGAACTACTGAATTGTTTCCTTACTCTCTTATATTAATATTTTCAACACTTCTCCTTTCTGGGCTCCCTACCCCAAGTGTGTAAGTATTCTCAAATCTGTCATATTGAAAAGAAAATCTTCCTTTAATGCTCTAAGGCTTCAAGGCTTTAGTTCTTGAATCTCTCAAAAGAGTAGCCCTTACTTGCAATTATGGCCCATTAATTTCTAAATCCACTACCAACTGGCTTCCGACCTTGCCAGTCTTTGAAAGCAAATGTCATCAATAGCCTCCACATTCGCACATTGAGGAGACACTTTTGGTGTCATCTTCCTGGGTCTTTATGCTGCATTTGCTGCTTTCCTTGCCTCATCTGTCTGCCTATTGGCTCCTGCGGCCCAGCTATCTTTTGGTTCTCCTCCCATATCCCCGATGTTTCTTCTGGGTGTGGAGTGGCTTTGCTCCCGCTTTCCTGTGCACACTGGTGCTCCCCAAGGCTCAGCTTCAGCTTTTCTCCTTCTACACACTCTCCCCTGAGTGGCATCCTTTCTTGTGACTTTACTCCTCTTATATGCTAATGACAATTTATATTTCTAGCTTTGATTTCGTGCCCCAGCTTTAAATGAGTAGATGCAAATACCCGTTGAAAATTTCTCCTCAAGCGTCCCATAGTATCTCAGATTCGATCTGTCTCAAACTCTCTTTGTACCTTTTCCATTCCTGCATTTTAAGAACTATTATTATTTTCTGAGTTTCCTATCTCAGTTACCAGCACCACCATCGACCATACACCCAGTCTCCTAAACCAGTGGAAGTTACTTGGGCTAGTTACTTAACCTCTCTGAACCAGTTTAATCTATAAAAGATGACAAATGGTACTATCTTCCTCATATGCTATCGTGAGGATTTAATGAGATAATACATGTAATGTACTTAGAACCATACCTGGCAATAGTAGGTACTCAACAATGTTAGCTGTTGTTATTAGACTATAAGTTCTTCAAAGGCAGGGATGATATCTTACTTATTTTTTCATCTTTAGGATCCAGCACAAAGGTGCTCAAGAAATGTTGATATGAAAAAAAATCAAACCAACCTGGCTAAGGGTTCTCTACACTGGAAATTACCTGTGGATAAGTTATGCTGTAGCCAGGGTGCTGGTACCATCCAAACAGATAATTCAGAGGAGACAGGGGACACCAAAATAATAAGGTATACAGTGTTTTTGAAATATTTATTACCAAACAATTGGTTTTAAATTATAATATAGTTCTATTAGCTGGATAGATACAAGGTAGTATATCCATAAATTGGAATACTACTCACAATAAAAAAGGAATGAACGAATGATACCTGCTACAAGACAGATGAGCCTCAGAAGCATTAGTGAAAGATGCCAGACAAAAGAGACCACATATTGCATGGTTCCATTTAGATGAAATTCCTAGAAAAGGCAAATTGATAGACAGTAGATTACTAGCTGGGGATAGAAATAGGGATTAACCATAAATGGGCATGAGGGCTTTTACTGAGATGATGAAAATATTCTAAACTAGATATGGTTATGGTTGAACCACTCAGTAAATTGACAAAAAGTCACTGAAGTGTACTTCTGAAACTGGTGAATTTTATGATATGTAAAATATATCTAGTTATGCATAAAGAAAATGATAATACAGCCCTATGAAATTACTTTTAAAACTCTCTAAACATTTTCTAAATATTAAAGTAACATATATCTGGGATGAACGCAAAGCTGAATGGGATGCCAGGGTGAGCGGGCAGGAAATGGGAGTGTGGCAGGCAAGGCAGCACATACAGTAACCCTAACTACAGCACACCTCTCAGAACCACAGCTCCCCTGCCCACCCAGAAATGGGCAAGGCTTTCTAAGGTGGATTGGACAGACTGCCAGAACGTAAGTCAATTCACCTAGTGTGCTAGCCCAACCTCCACCATCATAATGTTTTTCATTCACTTAAAAATCAGGTATCTACTGTAGACAGTGCACTATCCTAGATGCTCAGTACACAGAGATAAACTAAGACGGGGTTCTTGTCCAAGAAACCCTTGATGAACTTGCAAGAACAAAAAGACTTAAACAGAACAAATGCAATCAAATGTAGCATGTGATTTTTGAGAAATCTGTACTGGGTAGGCAGGGGTTTGAAGAGAGACTGAAATGTCAATTCCACCTGGGGGAGGGCGGCCGCTCTGAAAAAGCTTCCCAGGAGAGGTGACTTGAGAAGGATGAGAGAGTCAGTATAGTGTGCTGGCGTTGTGCTAGATGCTGGGAATGTGAGACCCCGTCCCAACAAAGCAAAAAGGTACTACGCAAGTAAATAAATGAATACCTCCTTATAAATAATATAATTACTGAGAAAGGGAAAGACTAAGATGTTTGTGTATGGAGGGGTGCTATATTGTGACAGGCATTTGATTTTCACTTAAAGTCTCCATGAAATTGTTCTGTCAATTTTAAAGACAAGAAAAGAGAAATGGACAGAGGTAAGTGGTTTGCTCAAGGCTGTACAGAAAACTAGGCTCAGAGCTAGAAATAACCTCTAAGCCCTGTAACCCAGGGCTGGGGCTCTTTCAACTCTGTTGAAGGGTCTTCCCCTTTTCATAATTTCACATTAGGGCAGTATGTATTTGATACATATTAAATGTAATATATGTTTTTACTTTTTCCTCTCTTCTTTGTCAATAATTAAAAACATAAAAACAAATATGCAATGTCATTAAAGAAGCTGATAAGGGCAGAGAAAGGAGAAATGAGGCATCTTTTCTCATTTAAAAGAAATATAATTTTTCTTTTTTATAAGGTTGAATTTTATAAGGTTTTCATAAAACTGTTACACATATTGACTTTTAACAAAAAGAAAAGCAAGTCAAAAATAAAGGGGTAGATTTGAGATAAAAAATCAAATGCAGTTCATTAAAAATACTCTTCATAAATAAAATCATAAGAAATGTAAAAACTGCATTTGTTTGCTAAGAATATGCATCCCACAATCAGGGTTCCACTGTTTAGAAATTTTAATCATATGAGATTACCCAGAACCAAATTACCCTCAGATGATAACACACTGAAATTTTTATAGTGCATTGAGAATCCAATTAAAGAAAAAATAATACTTTATTTTTTATCTTACACTGACAAAAGTAATGTGTCGGTATTACAACTGTGATTCACACAGGGTGAAGGCAATTGAAATAGCAAAAGTGGGAGTCAACATACTTGACTTTTGTAAACAAGGATCAGATATTCGATTTCACACTGAGTCTTTCCATCATCATTACAACAGCATTAAACTTGCAGATGGTTTCTACAGCATCACATCTGGTAGCTGGGGTTTTATATGCTTGAATTCTTACAGTTGGGAGAGATGGCTGATTAGACCACAGTTGTTGCCATACTCTACCCGTATGGGGACTGAGTTCATAACATCTCCATAGTTTGTTAGTATTAATGCTGGTAACCATATTTAGACAGTGCTAGGAAGGGTAAATTATGTCCTGATGAGACAGTGGCCATGTTAACTGACTCTCATGGCATCCATGTGTCTGTTTATTTATTGTGTGGTTGAAACGAAATTATTTCTCTTTCCAGAAGGACTTGCAATCAAAACCTGAAGAGGTTTTCTCTGACATTGACTTCAGCAGTTCTTCACCCTAGGAGGTCTACAGAGGGGCTTCAGGAAACCAGAAACCACATGCACAAAGAAGTATTTTTCTGAGAATTGAGCTTATCAGTTTCTGGGTTGTTGTTTTTTTTCCAGATTTTCAAAGGATTCTGTGAGGCCCCCAAAACTTGAGAACCTCTTGGATTCATCTCTCCACTCTGGTTTCTACCCCCAGAATCTATCAAGTGGCCTCACTCCTGGATTACCTCCAGCACAAGAGAAAGTGCATATTCTGTCTGCTCTACTGGGCCAGGGGAGTAGGGAAAGAACAGGAGACAGTAAGGATAAAATGAAAGCAACATAAATGGGCAGCATAAAATAGAAAAAGCAGCTATTGCATCTCCCTCATTTCAGATTATTTGTCAGATATGCCCTTCCCCACACATGTGTGTATGCATGTTCCATTACATCACAGTTCTGTCCATCTGCCCGTCCCACTAGACCATGAATCCTTGGCAATCAAGACCATAACTCTCATAGTACCCAACACAATAACTGCCCTGTAATACATTCCCAATAAGTATTTGCTGAATTTAATTGAAGCAAATTAATAGAAGAAGACATATTGTGCATAGTTCCTATAATTATATACAAACTGAGGCCCAGAACTGAACCATTAGCCATGGTATTGGTATCACTGTCAACTCAGACTCCCAGGCAACAGTGTAAATGGAATTGGAACACAGGGACCCTCTCCTCACCTCCGCCCCTTTGTTTCTCAAATGTACAAATTCTAAATAAAATAGAACAAAATAAATTTTGTTTGGCTTTAGAGAGTATGTGTTCTTTCTTCCCAGCTTTACTGAGGCATCATTGACAAAAATTGTATACATTTACTGTGTGATGTGATGTTTTAATATATGTATACATTATGAAATAATGTAATAATCAAGCTAATTAATACATTCACCACCTCACACAGCTACCTTTTTTGTGTGTCTGTGGTGAGAACACTTGGGGATGACTCTCAGCAAGTTTCAAGTGTAGAATATGGCACTGTTAACTATAGTCACCATGCTGTACGTTAGATCTCCAGAACTTATTCATCCTGCATAACCGAAACTTCGTATCCTTGGACCAAGATCTCCCCATTTACCCCACCCTCCATCCCCTGACAATCACTATTCCACTCTCTGCTTCCATGAGTTTGACTTTGATGGATTTCATATGTAAGTGAAATCATACAGCATTTGTCACATGTGTCTGGCTTATTTTACCTATAGCATAATGTAATCCAGGTTCATCCACCGTGATGGTTAATACTGAGTGTCAACTTGATTGGATTGAAGGATGCAAAGTATTGTTCCTGAGTGTGTCTGTGAGGGTGTTGCCAAAGGAGATTAACATTTGAATCAGTGGACTAGGAGAGGCAGATCCACCCTTAATCTGGGTGAGCACTATCCCCTTGGCTGCCAGCAGAGCTAGAAAAAAGCAGGCAAAAGAAGGTGGCATTAGCAGACTTGCTCAGTCTTCCAGCCTTCATCTTTCTCCTATGCTGTATGCTTCCTGCCCTCAAAACATCACATTCCAAATTCTTGAGCTTTTAGGACTGTTGGACTTACATCAGTGGTTTGCCAGGGGCTCTTGGACCTTTGGCCGCAGACTGAAGGCTGCACTGTCAGCTTCCCTACTTTTGAGGTTTTGGGACTCGGACTGGCTTCCTTGCTCCTCAGCTTGCAGACAGCCTATTGTGAGACTTCACCTTGTGATGGTGTGAGTCAATACTCTTTAGTAAACTCCCTTTCATATTATACATCTATCCTATTAGTTCTGTCCCTCTAGAGAACCCTAATGCATGTTATCATAAATGACAGGATCTCCTTCTTTTTAAAGGCTGAACAACATTCCATTGTATGCTATATTTTTTAATTCACGTATCTGTCAATGGACATTAGGTTGTCTTCTTGTCTTGGCTGTTGTGAACAATGCTGTGATGAACATGGGAATGCAGAGATCCCTTCGACATACCAAGTTCAGTTCCTCTGGTATATACCCTGTCATGAGGTTGCTGGATCATATGGTAATTCTAATTTTTTGAGGAACCTCCATACTGTTATCCATAATGGCTGAACTAATTCATATCCCAACCAACAGTATACATGTTTCTTTTCTTTTTTTCTTTTTTTTACATTCTTATGAGCACTTATCTTCTGTCTTTTTGATAACAGCCATCTTAATGGGTGTGAGGTGCTATCTCATTCTGGTTTTGATGTGCATTTCCATGATGATTAATGAAGTTGAGCACACTTTCATATACTTGTTGGCCGTTTGTATGTCTTCTTTTGACAAATGTCTACTCAGGTCATTTGCCTATATTTTAGCAAAATAACTTTCAATTATAAAGTTGTGCTGAAATCAAGAAAGAGAAATCTCCAGGTATACAAAGTCAAGAGAGAATCGAAGTCACAGAAGTAATCCCAGAGTAGAAGCTGAAGCCAAAATGACAACAGACATACCCTTATTGTCTGGAGTCTTGATAGTCCTGTGGGCACTGGGTCCAGATAACAGATCACAGGGAGCTGGAGAGACTTACCCACCAAAAATCAGGACATGCAGGTCCTGGAGAATTCCACCCTCAGCCTGGAGAAGCAGCAGAGAAGCGTGAAATCTGCTTGGGGGCAGGGTGGTGGAATCAGCTGAAGAAAACTAGAGCCCTCTTAGCCTGAGACAAGGAGGATGTTGGGACTCAGGAAATCTAGGCTGAGAAATGACCCAAAAAAACCAGACCCACAGCTAGGGAAAGCTCCCTGGAGCTCTGGTAGGAAAATAAAATCATCTGTAAAGGATACTTCTCTAGCCCAGAGCACACAGGAGTGTCCTGGAAAGCCACCACAAATGAACATGAGCCCATAGTCAAAAGATTCTAAAATGTTAAAGAACCCTTTTAAATCACCTCCAGTGATCATATTTCTATATAACTAGACATAAATACCTAAAATAGAAGTAAGCCAGATCTGCTGGAAATTTTAAAAATGGTCTTCTACACAACTCTTAGATCAAGGAAGGCATCAAAACCACAACTGCAGAAAATAACAAATATTTAATGGGTACAGATGAAAACAGTTGGCCACTAGGGATAAGTTGATTCTTTTCTCTGTGTTTATTTTCCTGTCTTTCTCCTGCTCTTTCCAACAGAGAACAAGAATTGATACAATTGCTCACATTCCAGGACTCAGATTGGGATACATCTGTTAGTGATCAATATTAAAAATAGATCCATAGGTCTGAATGTTCTGCATTTCCCTTCCAGAAAGTCAGGATGGTAACAATAGCACCTGTTCCTGCATGGAAGAAGGCAGGAGCATCTCACCTCCTTTCTCTCTCTCTTCCTCCACTGGAGACCCTTCCATGGCCTAGACGAGCTGGACACTAGACATTCTGCACTAACAGCTTTTCCTTGCTCAGCATTACCTTTCTGTTTCCATTTCTCATAGCGTTGGTGGTCGTGTACTGTAACTATCCTAATACTGAATTGGATTTGGGCTTGCCCATTAAAATAAGTAAAATAGAAGAGTCTGCATGGTTGCCTTTCACCACAAGCTATTTCAACCTCTTCTGTCTAGGAAAAATTAGTGTTCCACACAGTTCACTCCAGCTTTCTAGGTTCTTGCCTAGGTTGTACTAGGGCTTGAGTTTTCAGGGAGTTTGTGGGAAAGTTGACTGACTGGGGTCAGAATTATGTGTCCTTATACTCCCAAAAATAATTTGATTAAAAAAATCTCACTCTAATTATGTAATAGAACATATCGAATACAAGACAATATTGAGTAAAATATACCTACTGTGCTAAGAGACAATAAAATAAATGAAGTAAGTGCTCAACAGAAGACGCTATAAAGAATCCAAAGAATTGCCCCCGGCAATTGAATGACCCTGACAAGCCAAAAGATGGATTTAAAGATAAAAAATAACAATAAATTAGAGGAGAAAGAGTAGATTAATAGGTTAAAGTTTTCTTTGAGGAAAAAAACTCAATATACCATACAAACATTTAGCTAATCAAGAAAAAATGCAAGTATATAATACTGGATATAGGAGGGGAAGACAGAGATTCAGATAAAATTTTAAGAACAATATGTTAGTAGATTAGAAAACTTGAGTGAAATGCGTAATTTTGTAGAAAAATGTTGTATATATTAATTGGAACACCTTAGTAGGCTAAAAAGCAAAAAATATCATTGAGAAAGTTGCCAGTTATTGATTTATAATAAGCTCCAGGCCAAAATGGTCATGAGTGAATCATAAAGAATTAATATGCAAATAACCTAGTCCAACAGTACAGAGAAAAATAATCCTAGAAAATCTATTTAAATAATTCATTCTGTCAATGAGTCAAGGATAAAAATCATAGAAGTCTGTTAATTATTGGTTTAAATAAACCTTTGAAAAAATTCAACATTTATTCTTGATTGAAAAAAAAGGATTGAATAAAATCTGAATCGGGATAATTCCTTAAAATGAACAAAGCATGCATTTCAGACCACACGTTTAATAGTTTCAACTGAACCATTAAGATTAACAAATACTAGAAGCATCCTCAATAAAGCTCAAGTGAGATAATAATTTAACATCACTATTTTTGAATATTATTTAAGAGGTACAGTTAAAATGAGAACTTTTTTTAAGGTTTAAATATTAGAAATGATAAAAATTACCATTATTGGCCGGGTGCGGTCGCTCATGCCTGCAATCCCAGCACTTTGGGAGGCCGAGGAGGGCAGATCACTTGAGGTCAGGAGATCGAGATTAGCCTGACCAACATGGAGAAACCCCATCTCTACCAAAAATACAAAATTAGCCAGGCGTGGTGGCGCATGCCTATCCCAGCTACTCGGAAGGCTGAGGCAGAAGAACTGCTTGAACCCAGGAGGCGGAGGTTGCGGTGAGCTGAGATCGTGCCACTGCACTCCAGCCTGGGCAACAAGAGCAAAACCAGGTCTCAAAAAAATTAATTAATTAATTAATTAACTAAATTAAATTTGAAAAATTACCATTACTTGCAGATGATATTAACATACTAAGTCCAAAAATAATCCACTGAAAATATCATTAACAATATGCATTAAATTAAATGATCAACTGACAGCTTGATTAGTTTAAGAAAGAACATTAAAAATCCCACTTAAATTATTTACAAATAAATAAAAACTTGTATATAAATTTAACTGAAAACATAAGAGACTAATAAAAAAAAAGTGGTAACTCCTATTTTTTGGGGAAGTGGCCTTGAAAAACTGATATCCAAAGGCCATGTTGAAGGATAAATCTGTGAGAATAGGAGGGGTTGTGGGGAATAGAAGAGGAAGCGTTAAGGGGGTGTACCACCTAAATGCTATACTATTACATAGTGGGAAACAGACTAATCCACGAAATGAAGGGTACAGAAGGAGATCTCAGCAGGTGACAGAAACAGCATTATAAATCAGAAAAAAAGGAGTTTTTTTCTAAGTGTTTGTACAATTGGTTAGCCATTTGGCTACAAATCAGGCTTGACCTCATTTTCAGGCTTTCCATCAAAATAATTTTTTAAATAAAAGATAGCTTTACCTAAATAATGGTAGAAACATGCAACTGAATACTATGTAGTCATTAAAGAGTTTGGTGCATGGTTATATTCATCAGTAAAGAATGACCTGTTGGATAGGTCATATTATGCTGCAGAAATGCTTGTGTAAGATAATCTCTTACAAAATTATTCACAAGTCTATGTGCATTTACCAATATCACGTGTGGAGGAGTCTTCGGTGGAATCCTCAGGCATGGTGAGAGAGGGTCCAGAGCATGCCTGTCTGTACACTACTGAAGCCCCAACACCTGGCCTGCACAGAATATAGTAGGTGCTCAATAGATATCTTTGAAGTGAAAAATCGAAATCAATTATTATGTGTTTATGTTTTTTAACTGTTTTATATTATAAAACCATATTATCATTATAATGGAAGAGGGACTGGAAGCTATTTTCCCTCCAGAAAAGCCAATTTATGTACTGCAGGGCAAAAATCATGACTGACTCTTGACCTGAAATTCACTGAATAACTGCTGATTTTCCCATTTTTTCTTAAAAATGTAGGCTTAGTCCTACGTAGCTTCTCTTTTGAGAAGCAGCTACAAAAATAATTGTCTGTTACTTCCCTTTGCCATGTGAGGTATGGCAGTGGCAGTATTCCATTTCAACTTTTCAAATGTCTTTTTCAGATGAGAATAACCTTCTGAAATGGGAATGACTAAAATGGCTCAGGTTTTTTTCTTCCAAAAGCATTCAAAAGAGTTGTTTTCCTTCCTTTCCTGTCAATCTCCAGGTGATATGTTAGATTTACCTCTCCCTTTTCGAAATCATGGCAGAAATGTTTCCCTGGAAATAGCAACTTCTTAGACAGAATTAAAAAGCTGAGATTGGATCACCACAAATACAAAATGTCTGTGGGTGAGTGAAAATACAAAATCACATTTCTCCCAGCACGAGGTTCTGAATTTTAGCTTGTTATTGGCATCTCCAGCAGGTTGCTGTTAACTACCAGTGGTAATAAAACTATTCAGCTACGTGCTTCAGACTACCAAACCTATATAAAGAGAAATATAAAATGACATCAATCATGAATGTCGACGATAGTTTTACTGTTATACTTCCGGGTAGACTTCACGGTGGGTACACTTCCCTACTTCGTCCCAAGATGCCTGTGGGGTCAGTGTGATCATCCCCCCTGGTGATATCACAAGTCTGTTCTCACCGATTGTCTAAGCCAAGTCCACTTTTTGGTCACCTATGTCCAACTGTGCTAGGCTCAGGGTGTTTCTACATTACCCCAAACTTTTTTTTTTTTCTTAAAAAATGCAAAAACCAAAACCCTCAATAAATAGCACTAAGCAATCATCCAACTACATCACAGTCGGAAGAATGAAGTGGAAAGAAAGGTGAACCTTATTAACCTATTTTTCAAAAAGGCAACAGTAAGGCCAACACATGATGGAATAATTTCACATGGTATTTACTAACTCTGCTTTCACATGACTTCAGAGTCATTTTGCTGTTCTTTTTGTTAATGTCCAGGCCCAATCCTTTTGTTTTCTTTTTGGACAGGAGACTCTGAACATTTAGGAACATTCACTGTGAAATCCCTCCTAATTCAGTTGAAAACAACAGCCGAATTTTAAATTCAAACACTTTAAATCTTGTGAGGAATGCTTTCACTCCCACAACGTTTAATACAGACATTTCTCCTGGAATAGCTAATGCTCCATGTTGTGAAAACAGAATTTTCTACCTACCTGAACTAAAGCAGGAAGCAAACAGTAATTAATTCTGAATCATAGGTAACGTGAGGAAACCCAGACAGTACTAACTCCCCCTTCTCTCCACATAGTCAAATCTATTAAGCTAAAAATGAGCAAAAGGTAGATAGAACTACCCAGTTAATTCAGGTAAAAAAATAAGCCACTTAAGCAAACTAACTATCATTCTTTGAACTCTTTCTGCTTTGATTTTCAACTTTTCAGATCAAAAATATTTTCTGTAAAACAGATTAGAAACCCGTAGTGTCCTGAACTCGGAGTCGGGAGTCCAGAGTCTGGTCTTACTCTTCCCCCCCAATGGCTATTTATTTTACATATACTCTAAAGTTCCATCCAGCTCTCACATTCTTGGAATTTATGATTACATAAAACTGAGGTTTTAAACTGACACAAGCCCAATCAGCACAATATACATGTGTGTGCCCATATGTGTATGTGTGCGTGTGTGTGTGTGTGTGCGCGCGCGCGTGTGTGTGTGTGTGTGTGTATGTATGTATATTCTGTTTGGCCTACACATTGTTTTTGGAAATCATGTTATTAATTAACAACATTCAAACTTGAGGAATTTCCTACAAAAATCTGAATTTCTGGCTTTTATTAATAAAAGCAGAAGATCTGGAAATACTAAATGATACCTAGCTGCAGTGAGGTAGAGACTTTGCACCTTTAGACAGGGCATGTATTCCTTTGCCACAGTCTCCACTGCCTATACAACTCTTAGGCCAAATGTAAATTACCATTAGTTGTCAAACTGTGCTTTTATTTCTCTTTTATTTGAATATAAGTAAAAAAATTCTTATATCCTCATATTAAAGCAACAAAATAAAGATCCAAAATACTGAATGTGCCATAAAAATGTGAGAAAATAATTTTCTTCACTTCCATGTAAAAATATGTTAGGTGTTTAACATGCAAATAAGCATATCTGTACTGAAGGAATACAGCATACGATGACATTTTGAAATAAACCACAATAAATGCTGGCATAGGGCAAGATTTATGATGAAAACTTAATAACATGAGAAAAAAGAACTACAACTTCAGTAAGATTTGTTTCTGAATGTGAACAAATAGCTGTTGCAACTGTGAAATAATGAGTTAAGTGAACTGCTGAACATGAAGCCTTTTAGGGGTGATGAGTTTTTAAAAGTGTTTATTGAATGTAGCTGTAATCGTGTATCCTGAACACACAGAAATAACCTTTTGTAAATATAAGTGTAGCCTGAAACACTGTTGTTCAGGGTATTGAAGAATTAGTGCAAAACGTGCAGGACAAGTTGCATGAAAAGATAAATTATTTGTGACATTTTCTATCACAGCTGATGTGAGCACTGTAAGCTCTATCTGTGATGTGATGAGAAATTTGGTGTGACCGAAGAAATGGTGGACATGGTGCCGATGAAACAGACAGCAGCAGGAAAGTATTTAGTTTTGTGTGTTGGAAAAAGTTTTAAAAAACTTTTTTAAAGGAGCTTAATGTAATAAGAATATCTAAAATTTTCCTCCTGGGGATGGTAATTTCATACGTGCTATAAAACATAACATGTTTATATTATAATATTCAATAACAACATTTTATAGAAATTATTTATGTCAGTTCATTGAATCATTCACCAGGAAATTCTTTGTACTAAAACCTTAAAAACACACATAATAAAATGATGAGTGAGATGGTTTGAACTGCTTGGGGCTTGAACCACAGCAATTCAATGCTTGGCTGGATGGATCAGATGTACAACATGGTATTTGGCTATGCTATATAAAATCAGATTATGGTATTAAAGATATTTTCTAAAGTACTGAAAGAAATCCTTTTTTCCCGTAATGCAGGCAAAATCCAATGGTGAAAAAAGGATTAAAGACTTGCCATTCTTGTGTGATGCTGCAACCCACCTAAATACTCTTCTGCATAGATATTCAGAAGGGAACACAAATATAGGAACTCACTGGTAAGGTTATCTGGCATGAACAATGCATCTCATTTTCCTATACTGAAATCAGTCTCCAGAAATAAAAATAAAGGCCTGCACTCTAGTCCTGAAATTGTGAAGTTGAAGCCTTAACTCTTCCAAAGTTACCTGATTTCAAAGTTTGTGAAAATAAATAATGCTTAATTGACATTTCTCATTATCACATGTTCAGCCTGCTTCTGACTATGAGGAAGTTGCTTATATCAGACCAACCCTCTCACTGAAAACAGCAAAAATCACAAGGCTACTTGAAGGTATTAGAGAGCAATAACAGCAGCTAGGATTTGTGCACGTTAATGCCAGCATGAAGCAAAACATATAAAGATGTAAGCCAGGCCTTCGCTGCTGATTTTTCTCCTTGGGTCCTTTGCTGACTTGGAGCACAGAATACCGAAGTAGAGAAGAAAGCAGCAACCTAGAGCTCCAAGCAGTCTCACAAGGTGATTTTATCAGTTTCTTCTCTCTTGATTTTTAGTTATTTAATGGTCCTTGTTCTTGGAATGCCTGGTAATTTTTATTTTTTATTTTATTTTTGTATTTTTATTTTTTGAGACGGAGTCTTGCTCTGTCTCCCAGGCTGGGGCGCAGTGGCGTGATCTCAGCTCACTGCAAGCTCCGCCTCCTGGGTTCACTCCATTCTCCTGCCTCAGCCTCCCGAGTAGCTGGAACTACAGGTGCCCACCACCATGCCCGGCTAATTTTTTGTATTTTTAGTAGAGACAGGGTTTCACTGTGTTAGCCAGGATGATCTTGGTCTCCTGACCTCGTGATCCGCCTGCCTCGGCCACCCAAAGTGCTGGGATTACAGGCGTGAGCCATTGTGCCCGGCCCAATACTTGGTAATTTTTAAAAGTCGAATGCTATACATTGTGTATAAAACTTTTTAGAGGTTCTTGATGATGTCGTCTTCATTCATAAAAAAATATAATTTTTATCTGGCTGCCAGTAAAAGTATGAGCAAATCACTGGCCAGATATAAGTTTAATCTAAATAAGGAAGAAATGTACACAAATGAAAATGGTTTACCTCTGAGGATAGTGAGTTTCCTATAATAACAGGAAAGAGTTCAGAAATTTTGGCCAAGCACTTTGTGGAAGTGTTTCAGAAAAGATTCCTGTATCTGAGGTATTGTTGGATTTTATACCTTTAAGATTTCCTCCTGAAACTGAGATTGTGAGTTTATTTTTAAAGACAAAGAAATTAAAATGGTAAATTGAGACCGAGTCCAACCCAAACATCCAAATTTAACTACAGGATTCATACTTTTAAAGCAACATGAAACACATTAGAGGTCCATGTGAATCTCTGTCGTTAATAATATAGCTACTTTGGATGGCTCCATGAAAATGTCAATGGGAAAGGAATCTGCATTTAGTATCGTACATATTAAAAGTGTCCTTGACCCTGAACCATGATAAAGTGGATTAAGAAGACAGACTGTTCCAAGTAAAGGTCAAGAAAATGAGTGAAAATGTTGAGGACAAAGTACTTTACAATGAAACTAATGGTTCAGATGCAGAAATTACACGAAAGCTAGAGGTCAAAACAAAGTTAAAGTCAGTGACCAAAGGTGGAACACAGAAAACAACCAAGAATTACTGCAGAAAACTAGAGGTCAAATCAGGTGATGCATGAAAGACAGGGGAGCCAGCAGAAACCAACCCCAGAATCAAGGTATCAAAGTCTCGGGGGCCTTTAAAATGATCACAGTCTGCCTCAGTGAAGAAGCCCCTCAGTGTTAACTTCATGGCAGAATCAACAGGACCTTCGTGGATGCAGGCATGCTAGCAGCCGGAGGCAGTGCAGTGGCTTATCCTTGGTGGATCTTTGTCCTAAGGATATTGTCTTGTCCACGTTTCTCAAGCCAATGCATAGCTGTTCCCAGAGCTATGTTGTTATGGGTCAAGAAGAATGCAAAGCACAAACCTGTGCATTTTTTCAATTTTACAAGAAGGGAGAAAATTTGTTTATCTAAAATTTGTATTACATATATCACACGTCTAATTTTATGTAATGATATAAAAGGGATGTTTTCTTCCCCCCCTTCTCCTTTCTCTTCATTTTTGCTTCCTTCATCCTCTCCTCTCTCTGCACCCCTTCCACCTCAGACAACCTGGTGAGTTACTTAGTTCCTCATGCTAATATTAGTTACAAAGCATATATGTACACACACAGGGCCAGGCCTAGTGTCTCATGCCTGCAATCCCAACAATTTGGGAGGCTGAGGCAGGAGGACTGCTTGAGCCCAGGAGTTTGGGACCAGCCTGGGCAACATAGTGAGGCTCTAACAAAAATTAAACAAAAAAAATAGCCAGGTGTGGTGGCACACTCCTGATGTTCCAGCTACTTAGGAAGCTGAGATGGGAGGCACACTTAAGCCCAGGAGGTTGTGGCTGCAGTGAGCTATGGTCACGTCACTGTACTTCAGCCTGGGCAACAGAGTGAGATCCCATATCTAAAAAAAGAGGTGGGCTCTTTACACTTTCTTGCATTTTACTTTACTCACGGGAATCCCTTCAAATCATCTGGCAGATTTCCAATTCATTCTCTTTAATGTCTGTACAGTATTCCACGACATGGAGGCTCCACAATTTATCACGTATTCACCCACTCCCCTACTGAATGCCATTCATTTCATTCCAATTTTTGCCATGACATGTGGTCATAAATATCATTATGCATATATCTTCATGTATTGATGCTTTTATTTCTGTGAGACAGATTCTTAGGAGTAAGATTGCTGGGTGAAAAAGCATACATATAAAATAGATACTGCCAAATTGCTTTCCAAAAAGGATGCAATAATTCACAAATGTAAGAAAAAACACTATAATTCTATTAATATAAAACTGGATATGTTTTGGAATAGAATACAAAAGTTACATAATTGTTTGGAAGACATATAAGACTTTAACAAAACATGGGACTTTCAGCCATCCACACCTTAATATTCTCTATGGCATGTGTTTTCTTTTCACTGCCAAGTTTGAGAGGCCCTAGATTGCATAATAGAAATAGTATGTAACTTCTAGGAGTAGCACATGACTCTCTTGTTTGGTGGAGTGTGCAACAGCAAAGCCTAACAGTTTTATTCCAAGGATAAAGTAACTTCCCTCTCAGAGGTTAGAGAGATAGCATTCCTGCCTATAATTTCATCTTCCCTTGTTTTCCACAAAAGGAAAGAATGCCAACCCATGTAGCACCAGAAAACCCTCAGATTCTCCTTGGTATGATGGTATGGAAGCTGTCTTAGAAGCAAATTCAAGAGATTGCCTTGATTTAATTCTTGGCTTCTTCTCTGGCAGGAAGAGAAGCCAAAGGGCTCAGGTCACTTGGTGCAGCTTAAGACAGCGAGCCCCTCGGGTCACTTGCCTGGGTGCTACAGACACATTCATAGTGGCAAAGAGATATTTAATCAATAGCTGAAACTCCCAAAGAGGGGCAAACCTCTCTCAATTTGTCATGACATAACACCACGGGTTTTCTTTTTGAGGATGAAGCTGCCTCTACGCAGTTTCTTTTTTTTTTTTTTTTTTGAGACGGAGTCTTGCTCTGTTGCAAAGGCTGGAGTGCAGTGGCCCAACCTCAGCTCACTGCAGCCTCTGCCTCCCAGGTTCAAGTGATTCTCCTACCCCAGCCTCCCGAGTAGCTCGTATTACAGGCACACACTACCACACCCAGCTAATTTTTTGTATTTTTAGTAAAGACAGGGTTTCGCCATGTTGGGCAGGCTGGTCTCAGACTCCTGATCTCAAGAGATCCACCTGCCTCAGCCTCCCAAAGTGCTAGGATTACAGGCATGACCCACCGCCCCCAGCCCCTATGCAGATTCAAGTCCAGGACACATGTAAGAAGGGAAGAGAAGACTTGAGAACCCTGCTATCATTCTGAAACCTGTAATCACTCTTCTTGAAAGGATTCTGAGATCAAACAACATCTTTACAATGGCTTAATTTTGGCTTTTAAGTAAAGCTTTAAAAGTAACAAAGCTTACATGTATGGCTATTGATTATTTCTATTTATTCAAATATTTTTCCTTTGGCTATTCAAAGGCATAGATTCCTTTTCCTCAGTAAAAATTTTAATATTAAAGAGACTTCAAGTATAAATAAAGGTAATTCAAGTTTTAAGGAATTTATTTCCACATTTTAGAATTCTGATGAACCCTACTAAATTTTATAGTCTTAAAAGCTTTGGAGAAAAAAATTAATATTTATCTAATATTTAAAATTTTAAAATATCAAAACAACAAATACAGGTCCTGTTTTGGGAGTGCAAATGAAGTTTCCTTGAAGTATCAAGTGATGGTGGCCTCTGACTGAGGGAAGGTGCCTAGCTCTCTGAATTCTTCATCTGAAAAGCTTTGATATTTTAATATTTTAAGTGAAAAGCTTTGATATTTTAATATTTTAAGTCAAATGCTGTCATCCCCTTCTCTTGATAGTATAAATGAGAATATGAAAAGCCACCTAAGTTTAGCAGTTAAATTTCACTGTACATGTCAAATATTATTTGGTGAAACCTACAATGAACTATTTCCAAGTATCTTTATTCCATTTTCATCTTTTAAACATGTATCTTTTAACTTAACCTAAAGTGAATGTAAATCTGACAGCCCCATGAAGAATATGTAATGTTATCTTTTTAATCTGGGGGAGGCTGCTTCTCTGGCATGGTTTAAGGTTGGGTGGAATGATGAAGATGAGATGCAGGCTAATATTAACTCAGCAGAACACTAGAAAGTACGGCCAGCACTAACCAAAATTTAATATGGCATTTTTGGAGATACAACCCTAATTCTAAAGGACATATCAATTCCAGGTTGATTACCATTGTTGTTCTATAAGCTTGAAGTAATGAACATACACAGTTTACTAAAGAGAAGGCGCAATTTCTTATTTACTTAGACTGTTGACAAATTGTTGAAAAAAATTACACAGAGTATGGTACATCCCAGGACAATACTAATACTGTATTATCATTCTTGTTCCAAAACACACACTAGATATTCTATTAACAGAAAATATTCTTTCGGTCAGCACATGAGCACAGCGATAATTTATGATCAGCAAAAAACCGTCAGATTTTCTGACACCACCTTACCTAAACTGGTAAAAACATTTTGATGCTAATTTGTTACGACAAGGAAACTAAAGAGAATTCATTTCAGCTATTTAAATCCTGTCACTGATGTCCATGCTTATGGCTCAGATAAACTATTCAGATGTCTCTTTCTAATCATCTTTCTTAAATTAATCTTTCAGCTGGTGGATCATGATATGATTTACCAAAAGAATGTCACCCTCAATTCTATGATTGTGTAAAGAGAGACAGAAGCAGGGGGTTGAAATGTACACAATTGCCCCGTTGTGATAGGAAAATCTTACAATAACACTGCGTAACTTTGGAAATTATTTTTTTAAATCAGATTTGAGGATGGGTTGAAAGGGCAAAATATGATCACACTATGATGTATATCCTCTGCTCTGACATATGCCAGTAACGGATTAAAAATATAAATAGAAGAAACCATGGTCCTCTTGCAAATGAAGAAAGAGTTGAGAATCAGAATTGGAAGAGAACACAAAGACAGGGAAGGGCTTGAGCCTTCAGCTCACCAGGCTCCCAGGCTGCAGGCAGGCTCCTACAGGAGGCAGGAACTGGGTGTGCTCTGCTGCCCAGGGTAGGCTGACAAGGAGCCAGTCTTGTGAAGGAAGCTGAGCAAAGCCTGCTGCTCACTGATGCCTGGGCCCCAGCTTCTGGGAGGCTGCAGCCCTAGGAAAGGTGGAGGAAGCAGACACAGCCTGGTGACCAGGAACCACCGCAGCCCCTCAACTCCCACTAAACCCTGGTGCAGTGATTGGATCAGTAATAATATCATCATTGGACAGGAGCTCAAGTTGCCTGTGAAGACCTCATTCTGGATTGGAGTCTCCAGAACTTGGTGGATTGGAGGCCCCAGAACTTGGTGGACATAACCACTAAATAGGGAGGGCAAATATTGTGGGAAAAAGAGAAACAGTAGCAACAACAAAATGAGCCTGTGAACAAAAGCTACAAAACTACTTAAGCCACACAATGCTAAGAAAGACAGCAAAAAGCACTACATGAATTTATCACAAAAGAATTAAATTTATGGACCAGACTGATGAAGATTTTAAAATAAGAATATTTAGGATACTTAGAAAATAAATTAAGGTACACCCATTTTAAAAATACCCCCAAATTATGGAACAAAACAGCTATAAAACAACATATAGATATAGGAGAGATATAATTAGAATTTTTGGAAATAAAAGATTTGGCCATTTAAATAAATAAAAACAGTCCAGATGGGATTAACTCTGGACTGTGCAATGAAGAACAGTATAAAAAAAAAGACATTAAAAAAAGAGTAGCTAAGCAACATGGAAAATAAATAAAGCGTAAGAGAAATATTTGAAGGGATAATAGCTGGAAAAATGTAAAGCACTCAGGACTACATCTTACAGAAGACATGAAGGGCCTTTTTGAAGTAAATTACAATATATTGCCAAGGTACTACGAGAGCACTTGATCATATGCAAATGTCATAGGATCCTTGGGGTGTCACTTTTCTGGCCAGAAACCTTTATGGCCAGTGGCACCTTTACCTGAGTTTTGCTTGGGTCCACTGGGCTCGTTCCACCCACTCAACCTGGCAGGTTGCGCTCCACTTGTGCTACCAGCCTGGATCCCATTCCTGCCAAGGGCAACCAGGTGTGGAGCAGCAAGGAATGTGTGAGTGAGAGAGTGTGGGGTCCAGCCACTGTGCACAGCCAGGCATGGTGGCTGCAGCAGGGCAGACAGCTCCAGGTGCCAGCACAGGCGCTGGTTCCGTGCAAGGCTGTGGTTGGACCAGATGTACCACAAGCAGCTTTCATGGCTGGCACAGGGAATGTGGTGGCTCCTGGAAGCTTGAGGACAAAAGGAACTGCAGAACTCCAAAGAGGGTGTCACAGCCCTGGCTCAGGGAGCTCCTAGTTCTGGACTCCCAGGAGGGCCACAGATCCTCTCTCCTTTCTTCTCTCCTTCTCATCACCTCCAACATGGTGAGCAAGGGGCATGTTTCAGCCTGTTTGTGTTACAGTTCTTTTGGCCACACAATTCAATGGGTCCCAAGTTCTTGTCCCATGTCCAGGAAGAATGAGGCTCATGGAGAGGTGGAGGGTGAGCCAGACAAAGAGGTGCTTTATTGAGTGTCAGAACATCTCAGAGGAGACTTGCAGTGGGTAGCTACTCTCTGCAGACAGGTTGTCCCAACATCTGATCAGCTCTCAGCAGAGGGGAGACCTGCAGTGAGTAGCTCATGTCCACGGGCAGGTTGTCCTGAAGTCTACTCAGCTCTCAGCAGAGGGGAGACCCACAGTATGTAGCTCTCCACAGGCAGGGCATCCATCATCTGTTCAGTTCTCAGCAAAGAGGAGGCCCACAGTGGGTAGCTCCACTCCACAGGCAGGTCATCCTGTCACCTGCCCCAGTCTGGTTGAGTCCAGGGATTTTATGGGCTTCAGAGGGGAGAAATTCCATGCTGATTTGTCCATGGGTGGCCATGGACAGGCCCAAAGAAAGCACCGTAAGTTCTCACTCCAGTCCACAGAACTGGCAGCCTGGGCCCCCAGGCCTTGGGCTATCCCTGACATGAGGGTGGGGTTTCACTAGGGACCCACCCCTTTCTGCCCAGAAGCCCATCTGCCTCCTGCTGCCATTAACCTGCCATCCATGGTGCCCACAGTGTCCAGACTGTTTGTGCCAAGGGGTGTCTGTGGGCCCACACTGAGCCACCCTTAGTCCTGACTTGGCCTCTGTCCCATGTTCGTTGGTGCCCAAAGTCCAGAGGGGGCCGAGACAGCTCAGAGCTGGCATGTTGGTGATGTCCTGAGTGTGTGCACACCTAGCTGGGTTGTGACAGCACTGGGGATTGGCCACAACTTTGCTCCGCAATTGGAGCAGATGCCAGGAGAGGGGAGAGGTCAGGCAGTGACAGCAGGCACTTCTGAGCCTGTAGGAAAGGGAGTCTTCCTGGGCCTGAGAGTGCAGAGATGCCTGGGTCCACAGCCATGGTTGGGCAGCTGCAGCTGCACCCAGGAGGGCGGGGCTCCCACCCCTCCAACTTGGAAGGGGTGGGGTTCTCACCCGTTCCTGGCTCCTGCTGGCTCTGTGGAGCATGCAGCCCCAGCTACGCCTCTCCCACTGCAGCTGGCATCATGGCAGCGTCTGCTCCAGACAGGCCACCACCTCCATCACAAAGATATAGCATATTCACTTGAAAAAGAAAAGATCATAAATATCAGTTATCCCAAAATTATTCTATTAACTCGAAGAATAATTTTAATATAAATCCTAACAACTGCACAAATTAATCCTAAAATTCATACATAAAAACAAAGGTTCAAGAACAGATAAGAGAATAATAAAGAAAAAAGAATGGCAGAAATCTCCCTGCCAGATCTCAAAATTTATGCTAAAATTATAAAAATTAAAATGGTGCAGTACTAGTACAGTGATAAACAGACAGACTACAATAGAATAGAGAGCTCAGAAACAAGCCTACACACAAGTAAAATCAATGACACAGCAGTTAACCACGGACATGTGCAAAGACAAACTTAAATAAATAGTTCCTGAACTGCCAGTTATTTCTGTAAAAAATCAAATAAAATTAAGCTGGGCATGGTGTCATCTGCCAGTAGTCCCACTACTCGGAAGGCTGAGGCAGGAGGATTGTTTGAGCTAGGAGTTCAAGGCTCTAGTGTGCTATGATGGTGCCTATAAATAGCCACTGCACTCCAGTCTGGGCAATATAGTGAGACTCTATCTCTAAAAAGAAAATAAAATGAGACATCTATCGCATGGTATCCATAAAAATCAGTTGATCAGTTGCAGGAGAAATAAGAACTATAATATGAAAAGTGAAACTTGAAACCTTATGGAAAATATATTGGGAAAAAAACACAGGTAAGGAAGATTTCTAAAGAAACAAAAACAGCACAAACAATAATGGAAATGAATGGTAAACTGGAGTAAAACTTTAAGAATTTCTAAAGAAACAAAAAGAACACAAATCATAATGAAAAAGAATGATAAATTTGATTAAAAATAAAATTAAAAACTTCTATCTAAAAAAGGCACCATAAGTAAATTTAAAATATATTTGTTATCCATAACACATGATTAGTAACCAGGATATATAAAGAAGTCTAAAATAGGAAAAAGATAAAACCCAAATAGAAATGTGGGAATTATATAAACCAGCAATTTGTAGAAATCCCAAACACCAAAAATATATATAAAAAATGTACTCAGGCTAATAATCAGAAACTGAAAATTAAAACAATAAGATACCATCTACACTGCTTAGTTGGCACAAAAAAAGTCTGGGAATAACAACTATCACCAAAAATGGAGAATAAACTACTTACACAGTGCTGGGGAATGTTAATTGGAAAATACTTTGAATGGCATTTGGCCATTGCCTTTTAACATAAGGTAAGAACAATATACTAACCCTATGACCCAGGAATTCTACTCAGAGACTTTCACAATCTGTGGTTCTCCTCTGAACCATAAAACTCAGAACACGTTTTGAGGGATTTTCTCAAATCTCCCAAGGATGTTTCATAGCTGTTCTAGATGCACAGGCAGGTGAGAAGCTAATTCCTACATAGAGTGGGTGACATGGGGCATTAGGGCTTAATTCTCTAGGGAACCCTGGAGGAGGAAGACTGTGAGAGAACGATGTAGAGGGATATTCACACCTCTATTGTTGGAAATAGTCTAAAGTAGAATAACTATGGGACTATCAATAGGATAATTGATATATAGTTTGTAATATATACTTCACCAGAACACTACACAGGCATGCCTCATTCTATCGTGCTTTGCTTTCTTGTGTTTTGCAGATATCACATTGTTTACAAGTTGAAGGTCTGCGGAAACCCTGTGGTGTAATCTACTTCTCAGTGCCATTTTTCCAACAACACATGTTCATTCTTTGTTTCTGTGTCACATTCTGGTAATTTTCACAATCTTTCAAACTTTTTCATTGTTATTATATCTGTTATGGTGATCTGTGATCAGTGACATTTGATATTACTGCAGCAATTATTTTGAGGCAACACAAAAACCATATCCATATAAGATGGCAAATTTAATTGATAAACATTGTATGTGTTCTGACTGATCCATTGACAGGCTCTTCCCTGTCCCTCTCCCTCTCCTTGGGACTCCCTATTCCCCAAGGCACAACAATATTGAAATTAGGCCAATTAATAACCTACGATGAGCTCTAAGTGTTCAGTCAAAAGGAAGAGTCACATATCTCTTACTTGAACTCCAAAGCTAGAAATGATTCAGCTTAGTGAGGAAAGCATGTCAAAAGCCAAAATAAGCTGAAAGCTAAGCCTCTTGCACCAAATAGCCAAGCTGTGAGTGCAAAGGAAAAGTTCTTGAAGGCAATTAAAAGTGCTATTCCAGGGCCAGGTGCAGTGGCTCATGCCTGTAATCCCAGCACTTTGGAAGGCCAAGGTGGCCAGATCATCTGAGGTCAGGAGTTCAAGACCAGCCTGGACAACATGGTGAAACACCATCTCTACTTAAAAAAAAACAAAAAAGTCAGCTGGTCATGGTGGCGGGTGCCTGTAACCCCAGCTACTTGGGAGGCTAAGGCAGGAGAATGGCTTGAACCCGGGAGGTGGAGGTTGCAGTGAGCAGAGATTGTGCCATTGCACTCCAGCCTGGGCAACAAGAGCAAAACTCTGTCTCAAAAAAAAAAAAAAAGTGCTGTTCCAGTGAACACATGAATGATAAGAAAGTAAAACAGCTTTATTACTGATATGAGAAATTTGAGTGGTCTGCATAAAAGATCAAACCAACCACAACATTCCCTTAAGCCAAACCATAATCCAGAGCAACATCCCAGCTCTCTTCAATTCTATGAAGGCTGAGAGAGGTAAAGAAGCTTCAGAAGAAAACTTCCAAGTTGGCAGAGGTGGGTTCCTCCACAACATTAAAGTAAAAGGTGAAGCAGCAAGTACTGATGGAAAAGCGGCAGAAAGTTATCCAGATGATTAGCTAAGATAACTGATGAAGATGGCTACACTAAACAACAGATTTTAAATGTAGATGAAACAGTCTTCTATTAGAAGATGCCATCTAGGACCTTCCTAACTAGAGAGGAGAAGTCAATGCCTGGCTTCAAAGCTTCAAAGGACAGGCTAACTCTCTTGTTAGAAATGAATGCAGGGATCTAGAACTAGAAATACCATTTGACCCAGCCATCCCATTACTGGGTATATACCCAAAGGACTATAAATCATGCTGCTATAAACACACATGCACACGTATGTTTATTGCGGCATTATTCACAATAGCAAAGACTTGGAACCAACCCAAATGTCCAACAATGATAGACTGGATTAAGAAAATGTGGCACATATACACCATGGAATACTATGCAGCCATAAAAAATGATGAGTTCATGTCCTTTGTAGGGACATGGATGAAATTGGAAATCATCATTCTCAGTAAACTATCGCAAGAACAAAAAACCAAACACCGCATATTCTCACTCATAGGTGGAAATTGAACAATGAGATCACATGGACACAGGAAGGGGAATATCACACTCTGGGGACTGTGGTGGGGTGGGGGGAGGGGGGAGGGATAGCATTGGGAGATATACCTAATGCTAGATGACGAGTTAGCGGGTGCAGCGCACCAGCATGGCACATGTATACATATGTAACTAACCTGCACAATGTGCACATGTACCCTAAAACTTAAAGTATAATAAAAAAAATATATATGACAAAAAAAAAAAAAAGAAATGAATGCAATTGGAAACTTTAAGTTAACGCCAATGTTCATTTACCTTTGTGAAAATCCTAGGGCCTTAAACAATTATGCTAAATCGTCTGTGCCTGTGCTCTAGAAATGGAACAACAAAGCCTGGATGATAGCACATCTATTTACAGCATGATTTACTATATATTTTAAGTCCACTGTTGAGATCTACTGCTCAGAAGAAAAGATTCCTCTCAAAATATTACTGCTCATTGACAATGCACCTGGTCACTCACTCAAGCGCTCTGATGGAGATGAAAAAGGACACTTATTTTCATGTCTGCTAACACAATATCCATTCTGTGGCCCCTGAATCAAGGAAGTAATTATGACTTTCAAGCCTTATTACTTAAGAAATACATTTTGTAGGGCTATAGCTGCCATAGACAATGATTCCCTTAATGGATCTGGGCAAAGTAAATTGAAAACCTATCGGAAAGGATTTACCATTCTAGAAACCATTAAGAACATTTCTAATTCACAGGAAGAAGTCAAAATATTCAAATTAACAGCAGTTTGAAAGAAATTGATTCCAACCCACATAGAGGACTTTGAGGGGTTCAGGACTTCAGTGGAAGAAGTCACTGTGTGTGGTAGAAATAGCAAACGAATGAGAATTAGAAGGCGAGGCTGAAGGTATAACTGTTGCAATTTTATGATACAACATAAACAGATAGGGAGTTGCTTCCTTTGGATGAGCACAGAAAGTGGTTTCATGAAATTGAATATCTACTCCCCATGAAGACACTGTAAACACTGGGGTTTTTAGGTGTTTTTTTTTTGTTTTGTTTTGTTTTGGTTTGGTTTTGGCGGGGAGGGACAAGGTCTCACTCTTTTGTTCAGGCTGGAGTATGACGGCACAATCATAACTCACTGCAGCCATGACCTCCTGGACTCAAGGAATACTCCTGCCTCAGCCTCAGTAGCTGGGACTACAGGCATGCATCACCAAGCCCAGCTAATTTTTAAAATTTCTTTGTGGAGACCAGGTCTTATTATGTTGCCCAGGCTGGTCTCCAACTCCTGATCTCAAGCAATCTTCCTGACTTGGCCTCCCAAAGTGCTAAGATTACAGACATGAGCCAGGACACCTGGCCTGTGAACATTGTTGAAATGACAAAAAAGAATTTAAAATCTTAGATAAACTTGGTTGATATAGCAGCAGCAGCAGTTTGAGAAGACTGACTCCATTAAAGAAAAAGTTCTGTTGGTAAAATGCTATCAAACAGCATCATGTGTTACAGAGAAATCATTTGTGAAAGGAAGAATCAGTCATTGTAAAAAACTTCAATGTTCCCTTAAATTTAGAAATTGCCACAGCCACTCCAACCTTCAGCAACCACCATCAAAGCAAGAACCACCACGACAAAAAAATTATGACTTGCTGAAGGCTCAAGTGATATTAGAATTTTCAACAATAAAGTATTTTTAAATTAAGGTATGTATATTTTTTAGACATAATGCTATAGCACACTTAATAGACTATAGTGTAACCATAAGTTTTATATGCACTGAAAAACAAAAATGTCCTATGACTCACCTTTATAGCAGTGGTTTGAAACAGAATCTGCAGTATCTCCAAGGTATGCCTATGTAATAGTTATTAGGAAAAACCCAAGCTAAATGATGTATCAATATGAATATATTTCAAAAATAATGGATCATGAAGAAAGCAAGTCACAGAATATAATACCATTGCTGTAAAAATTAAAAATACATAAAATACTATATTTTAAGTATAGGTACAAATATGTATAGTAAAATTATAAAACACAGGCACAAAACTGATAAGTAGCAAATTCAGAATGAAAGAGGACATTGGGGTTGAGTAGAGGTCTACAGAAAAATTCAACTAAAGGGTAATTAACGTCTATTTCCTTAAGAATCAAATTATGGAAAATATTATGTTAAACTTTCATGGTTGAAACATGGATGCTTGTAGTACTTCTGTTTAAAATAGCTCATACTGATGCCACCTCACACCCACTAGGATGGGCACTATCAAAAATGCAAAAGATAAGTATTAGGGAGGGTGTGGGAAAACTGAAACTCTTGTGCACTGTTGGTGGGAATTTGTAAAACTGGTGAGCTGTAAATTGTACAGCCATGAGGTTTTTCCAAGATGGCCGAATAGAAAACGCTCCAGTCTGCAGCTCCCAGTGAGACCAATTTAGAAGGCCAGTGATTTCTGCATTTCCAACTGAAATACCCGGTTCATCACATTGGGACTGGTTAGACAGTCAGTGTAGCCCATGCAGGGTGAGCAGAAGCAGGGTGGGGTGTCAGCTCACCCGGGAAGTGCAAGGGGCTGGGGACCTCCCTCCCATAGCCAAGGGAAGCCATAAGGGACTCTGCTATCCAGCCCAGATACTATCCTTTTCCCACAGTTTTTTCAACCCACAGACCAGGAGATTCCCTCATGTGCCTGCACCACCAGGGCCCTGGGTTTCAAGCACAAAATAGAGCAGCTATTGGGGAAGACACCGAGCTAGCTGCGGGAGTTTCTTTTCGTATCCCAGTGGCACCTGGAACCCCAGCAAGACAGAACCATTCACTCCCCCTGGAAAGGGGTCTGAAGTCAGGGAGCCAAGTGGTCTTGCTCAGCGGATCCCACCCCATGGAGCCCAGCAAGCTAAGATCCACTGGCTTGAAATACTCGCTGCCAGCAGCACTCTGAATCGACCTGGGACACTCGAGCTTGATGAAGGAAGGGACATCCGCCATTACTGAAACCTGAGTAGGCAGTTTCCCCTCACAGTGTAAACGAAGCTGCCAGAAAGTTTGGACTGGGTGGAACCCACGGCAGTGTGGCAAAGTGGCTGTGGCCAGACTACCTCTCTAGATTCCTCCTCACTGGGCAGGTCATCTCAGAAAGAAAGGCGGCAGCCCCAGTCAGGGGCTTACAGATAAAACTCCGATCTCCCTGGGACAGAGCACCTGGGGGAAGAGGACGGCTATGGGCACACCTTCAGCAGACTTAAACGTTCCTGCCTGCCAGCTCTGAAGAAAGCAGCAGATCTCCCAGCACAGTTCTCGAGCTCTGCTAAGGGATGGACTGCCTCCTCAAGTGGATCCCTGACCCCCGTGCCTCCTGACTGGGAGACACTTCCCAGCAGGGGTCAACAGACACCACATCCAGGAGAGCTCTGGCTGGCATGTGGCAGGTGCCCCTCTGGGATGAAGCTTCCAGAGGAAGGAACAGGCAGCAATCTTTGCTGTTCTGCAGCCTCTGCCAGTGATACCCACAAAAAGAGGGTCTGGAGTAGACCTCCAGCAAATTCCAGCAGACCAGCAATAGAGGGGCCTGACTGTTAGAAGGAAAACTAGCAAATAGGAAGAAATAACATCAACATCAACAAAAAGAACATGCACACAAAACCCCATCTAAAGGTCATGAGCATCAAAGATCAAAGGTAGATAAATCCACAAAGATGGGGAAAAAAAAAAAAAAAAAAAAACAGCAAAAAAATGCTGAAAACTCCAAAAACCAGAACACCTCTTCTCCAAAGGATCACAATTCCTCACCAGCACAGGCACAGAACTGCACAGAGAATGAATATGATGAATTGACAGAAGTAGGATTCAGACAGTGGGTAATAACTAACTCCTCCAAGCTAAAGGAGCATGTCCTAACCCAATATGAGGAAGCTAAGAACCTTGATAAAAGCTTACAGGAACTGCTATATAGAACAACCAGTTTAGAGAAGAACATAAATGACTTGATAGAGCTGAAAAACACAGCAAGAGAACTTCGTGAAGCATACACAAGTATCAATAGCCAAATCCATCAAGCAGAAGAAAGGATATCAGACACTGAAGATCAACTTAATGAAATGAAGCATGAAGACAAGATTAGAGGAAAAAGAATGAAAAGAAATGAATAAAGCCACCAAGAAATATGGGACTATGTGGAAAGACCAAACTGATGTTTGATTGGTGTACCTGAAAGTGACAGAAAGAATGGAACCAAGTTGGAAAATACACTTCAGGATATTATCCAGGAGAACTTCCTCAACCTAGCAATACAGGCCAATATTCAAATTCAGGAAATACAGAGAACACCACTAAGATACTCCTCGAGAAGAGCAACCCCAAGACACATAATCATCAGATTCACCAAGGTTGAAACAAAGGAAAAAATATTCAGGGCAGTCAGAGAGAAAGGTCAGGTTACCTACAAAGGAAGGCCCATCAGACTAACAGTGGATCTCTCTGCAGAAACCCTACAAGCCAGAAGAAAGTGGTGGCCAATATTCAACATTCTTAAAGAAAAGAATTTTCAACTCAGAATTTCATATCCAGGCAAACTAAGCTTCATAAGTGAAGGAGAAATAAAATCCTTTACAGACAAGCAAATGCTGAGAGATATTGTCACCACAAGGCCTGCCTTATAAGATGCTCCTGAAGGAAGCACTAACCACGGAAAGGAACAACCAGTACCAGGTACTGCAAAAATATACCAAAATGTAAAGACCAACGACATTATGAAGAAACTGCATCAATTAATGTGCAAAATAACCAACTAGCATCATGATGACAGGATTAATTCACACATAACAAAATTAACTGCAAATGTAAACTGGCTAAATGCCCCAATTAAAAGACAGAGACTGGGGCAAATTGGAAAAAGAGTCAAGACCCATCGGTGTGCTGTATTCAGGAGACCCGTCTCACATGCAAAGACACACATAGGCTCAAAATAAAGGGATGGAGGAATACTTACCAAGCAAATGGAAAGCAAAAAAAAAAAAACAATGTAGTATAGGTTCATAACATATGTAGAAATAAAATCTCTAATCACAATAGCACAAATGCCAGGAAAGAGATGGAAGTATGCTGTTGGTAAGATTCATACATCATATATAAAGTGATATAATACCACTTGAAGCTAGAAAGTTAAAGGATAAAAACATACATTAATATTATGAACCCTAAAACAACCACTGAGAACACAAAAATAAGAGACAGATAGCTAATACATGAACAAAAAAAAATGGAATCATAAACTATTCAGTGCCAAAAGGAGGCAGTAAAACAGGGAAAACAAAAGAAAAGAAAGAACATGTGGGTTGAATAGAAAATATAGCAAGATGGTAGATTTAAACTAAATTAAATCAGTAATAACATCAAATGTATATGAAAGGCAGAGATTTCAGATGGGATAAAAATATAAGATCTAATTATATATGGCCTATAAGAAGCCTACTTAAAAATCAATAGACAAATAGATGAAAAGGTTAGTATGAAAAGATTATTCCATGCTGAAACTAAGAGAAAGCCAAAGTGGCTCTATTAACAATGAAAAAAGTAGATTTCAAGGAAAAAAGTATTACCAGGGATAAAGAAGTTAATTTCATAATGATAAAGTGGCCAATTCATCAAAATGATAAAACTAAAACTTTATATACCTTACAGAGCTTCAGAATATATGGAGGAAAGGCTGATAAAGTTGACAAAGGAAATAGACAAGTCTGCAATTATAGTCTGATGTTTCAAGCCCTTTCTCAGCTACTGAAAGAACATATAGAGAGAAAATCAGTAAGGGTATAGAATACTTGACAATGCTATCAAACAACTTGACCTATGACATTTGTAGAACACTCCACATAGAAACAGCAGAGTAGACACTGTTTTTAAATAGGCATGAAATGTTTACCAAGACAGACTTTGTTGTGGGTCATAAAACAAGGCTCGATAAATTTAAAAGGATTCAAGTCATCTGTGACATAATAAGAAACATATATATTTGGTCTCTGCCCCCAATTTCTGACACAGAGCTCCTAAAAGCCTTGCACTTTGCTGAGTGATATGGATGCTAGAAGAATCTTTTGTTCTAACATTTGGTTTTGATCCCAGTTCCTGTCACAAAGCTCCTAAATCCCTTGGAATTTCCTGGGTAACAGAAGCATCATTTACTCTAATGACAGACTCTCTTGGTGGTTCCTGGATAGTTTTGGGATAGGCGCTGGTCACTAGGAAGACCAAGTCATGATTAGAAGCTTGGAACTTTCAGCTCCCTCTCTCCCCTTCCTCTGGCGCTGGAGATTGAGTTAATAGTCAGTCATGCCTATGTGACGGAGCCTTATAAAAATTCCTAAAGTATAGGATTCAGAGGGCTTCTGGGTTGGTGAATGCATCCAGGTATCAATAGGGTGGAGCAACCTCTCTCTGTGGGGACACAAGCTCCCACACTCAGGACCCCTCTGGACCTGACTCTATGTACTTCCTCATCCAGCTGTTCATCTGTATCCTTTATAATATCCTTTATAATAAACTGGTAAATGTAAGTAAGATGTTTCCCTGAGTTCTGTGAGCTGTTATTACTTAAGGAGAAGATTGTGAGAACCTCCAATTTGTAGCCAAGTCAGACAGAAGTGTGGGTCACATACACACCTACTACTTGTAGTTGGCACCTAAAGTGAGGGGCAGTCTTGTGAGATTGAGCCCTTAACCTGTATGGTCTGTGCTAACTCTGCATAATTAGTGTTATACTTGAATCAAATTGTAGGACACTCGGGTGGTGTCCACAGAGAAGTGGAGAATTGCTTGGTGTGGAAACCCCACACATGTGGTGTCAGAGGTGTTGTGAGGAGAGGAATAGGGTTTTTTTTTAATCATCCAAAGTATGTTCTCCAACCACATTAGAATTACAAATTAGAGATCAATAACCAGAAAGATCCCTGAGAGGTCCCTAAATATGTGCAAACTAAACAATACACTTCCAAATAACCATGGACCAAAGAAGAAATCAAAAAGGGAAATCTGAAAATATTTTGAACTCAATGAAGATGAAAACCCAATGTGTCAAAATTTGTGGACTGTAACTACAACATATACAGAGAAATTTATGTACTAAACACATACACAATGAAAGAAAGACCTCCAACCAATGACATCAACTAATCAAACCCAGTATAAGCAGAAGAAGAGTCAAAAGAATAGAAATTAGAAAGTGAGGGGAAATGGCAGACAGGAGGCAGGACTAACTTGAGGCTCCCACTCAGATGGACAGAGCAGCTTGTGGAGACACACTGTGAACTTTGGCTCCAAGAACTACTGAAGAACACACCAGGAAAGCTGAGAGAATCCACAGACCCTTTGAAAGAGGTGGCTTGTTGCTGCGGGCTCCATGACACACTGACAAACTATGAGTGTCTAAAGTGTGAAAGGGGAACGACTGCCCCCAAACACACATCCTCACTGGGGAGCCTGAAGAACCAGATCACGGGAGAAGGATTTGACCTTATAGGGAGCTAAGACAAATTTAGAGAGCTGAGCAAAATATAGGGGTAGGGGAAGCAGTGGGAAGAGTTCCGTGGGCACTCTCAGACCCCAGGGAAGCCATTTCTGCTTTTGTCTCTCAGGAGTTCTTGGGGAGGGGTGCCAGAGGAACTGGGGAAAGATCACAGGGAGAAGGAAACTTCCAGCTGAACTTTGAAACAATTTGTGCAGTTTCCTGGACAGAGTCTGGAGAGGAGGTGATCTGGGAGTACAGATAGGCGCACAGAAGCTGCTGCAGGTGGGGAGGCGTGAAACCTGAAAGTCCCGCTTGCTTTCTCAGCAGGGAGGCTTGTAGCCTGGGGCATGTCCCTCTCGTGCTGTTGGGGGGACATGGTGGGAGTGAGACTGGCCTTGCTGGCTGTATGGGCATTGGGTAAGGCCTGTCACTGCCAGCTTTCCCCCAGTCCCCTGGCAACCTGCGTGACCCAGCAGAGGCAGGCATAATCTCCCTGGAATCATAACTCCATTGGCCTGAGAACCACACCCCCATCCTCCACAACAGCCACAGGAAGCCCACCCACCGAGGACAGTCTGGGCTCAGACATGCCTAAATCTGCCCCCACCTGATGGTCTTTCTCTACCCACCCTGGTAGCTGAAGACAAAGAACACCATCTCTTGGGAACTCTATGGCCCTGCCCATCACCAAAGAAACCAAATACTTACCACCCAGGTGGCATTAGGGCAAGCTTGTATCCTCCCTACACTACTGCGGCTGAGACTCTCTTGAAAGCGTCACCTCCTGGCTGGAGGCCAACCAACACTAATCCAGTGCACTAAAAACTACAAACAAGGACTCTCTCAGAGTCCATTTCACTCCCCTGCTATCTCCACTGGAGGAGGTGCTCGTACTCACGGCTGACAGACCTGAAGACAGATGACATCAGAGGACTCTTTGCAGAAACTCCCTAGTACCAGCCTGGAGCCTGGTAGCTCAGCTAGGTGGCTAGACCCAGAAAAAATACAACAATAATTACAGTTCAGCTCTCAGGAAGCCCCATCCCTAGGGGAAGGGAGAACACCACATAAAGCGAGCACCCTGTGGGACAAACGAATCTGAACAACAGCCCTTGAGCCCTAGATCTTCCCTCTGACATAGGGTACCCAAATGAGAAGGAACCAGAAAAACAATTCTGGTAATATGACAAAACAAGATTTTTTAACACTCCCAAAAGATCACACTAGCTCACCAACAATGGAGCCAAACCAAGGAGAAATCTCTGAATGGCCAGAAAAATAATTCAGAAGTTTGAGTATGAAGCTACACATGGAGGCACCAGAGAAAGGTGAATACCAACTTAAAAGAAAACAAAGTTACAGAACATGGATGAAAAAATCTCCAGAGAAATACATAGCATAAATAAATAAAACAAATCACAACTTCTGAAAATGAAGGACACACTTAAAGAAACACAAAATACACTGGAAAGTGTCAACAACAGAATCAAACAAGCAGAAGAAAGAAATTCAGAGCTCGAAGACAAGGCTTTTGAATTAACCCATTCCAACAAAGACAAAGAAAAAAGAATTTTAAAAAATGAACAAAGCCTCCAGGAAGTTTGGGATTATGTTTAATGACCAAACCTAAGAATAATTGGTGATTCTAAGAAAGAAATCTGAAAGTTATGAAAACACATTTGAGGGAATAATCAAGGAAAACTTCCCTGGCCTTGCTAGAGATCTAGATAGCCAAATACAAGAACCTCAAAGAACACCCGCGAAATTTATTGCAAAAAGATAATTGCCTAGGCACCTAGTCATCAGGTTATCTAAAGTGAAGACAAGGAAAGAATCTTAAAAGCTGTGAGGAAAAAGTAACAAGTAACTTATAGAGGAATACCTATCAGATTAACAGCACATTTCTCAGCAGAAACCCTACAAACCAGAAGGGATTGGGGTCCTACCTTTAGCCTTGTTAAACAAAACAATTTGTCAGCCAAGAGTTTTGTATTTCATGAAACTAAGCTTCATAAATGAAAGAAAGATACAGTCTTTTTCAGACAAAGGTTGAGAAAATTTGTCACTACCAAGCCAGCACTACAAGATCTCCTAAAAGGAGTTGTAAATCTTGAGACAAATCCTCAAAATATATAAAAATAGAACCCCCTTAAAGCATAAAACTCACAGGATATATAAAACAATAATGCAATGAAAAAAAAAAACAACAAGGTATTCAGGCAACAACCAACATGATGAATAGAATAGTACCTCACATCTCAACACTGACATTGAATGTAAATGGCCTAAATGTTCCACTTAAAAGATACAGAATGGAAGAATGGATAAGAATTCGCCAACCGAGTATCTGCTCTCTTCAAGAGACTCACCAAACAACATAAGAACTCAAATCAACTTAAGGTAGGGGGTGGAAAAAGATATTCCATGCAAATGGACACCAGAAGTGAGCAGGAGTAGCTATTGTTATATCAAACAAAATAAACTTTAAAGCAAAATGTTAAAAAAGACGAAGAGGAATATTACATAATGATAAAAGGACTAGTCCAAAGGGAAAATATCACAATCCTAAATATACATACACCTAACACTGGAGCTCCCACATTTATAAAACAATTACTAATAGACTTTAAAAAAGAGACAGACAGCAACACAATAATAAGTGGGAGACTTCAGTACCCCAATGACAGCACTAGGCAGGTCATCAAGACAGAAAGTCAACAAAGTAACAATAGACTTAAACTATACCCTAGAAAAAATGGACTTAGATATTTAGAGAACATTCTACCCAGCAACTGCAGAATGTACATTCATCAGCACATGGAACATTCTCCAAGATAGAGTACATGACAGGCCACAAAAGAAGTCTCAATAAATTTCAGAAAATTGAAGTTATATCAAGTACTCTCTCAGACCACAGTGGAATAAAACTAAAAATTACCTCCAAAAGGAACACTCAAAACCATGCAAATACATGGAAATTAAATAACCTGCTCTTGAATGATCATTGGGTCAACAATGAAATCAAGATGGAAATTTAAAAATTCTTTGAACCAAATGATTATAGTGATACGACCTATTAAAACCTTTCGGATACAACAAAACCAGCATTAAGAGGAAAGAAAGTTCGGAGCACTAAATACCTGCATCAAAAAGTTGAAAGAGGACAGTCTGAGGTCACAACTCGAGAAACTAGAGAAACAAACAAACAAAAAAAACCAAACACAAATGCAGCAGAAGAAAAGAAATAACAAAGATCAGAGCAGAACTAAAGAAAATTGAGATAAAAATAAACAAAAGATAAAAGAAACAAAAAGCTTGTTCTTTGAAAAGATAAACAAAATTGATAGACCATTAGCAAGAGGAACCAAGAAAAGAAGAGAAAAGATCCAAATAAACTCGATTAGAAACAAAAGAAGAGATACTATAACTGATACCACAGAAATACAAAAGATCATTGCAGGCTACTATGAACACCTTTACATGCACAAAGTAGAAAACCTAGAGGAGATGGATAAATTGCTGGAAATATAAAACCTTCCTAGATTAAACCAGGCAGGAAGAAATTAAAATTCCAAAAAGACCAGTAATAAGCAGCAAGACTGAAATGATAATAAAAAAATTGCCAAGAAGAAAAAGTTCAGGACCAGATGAGTTCACAGTTGAATTCTATGAGAAATTCAAAGAAGAATTGGTACCAATCCTATTGACACTATTTCAAAAGACAGAAAAAGAGGGAATCCTCCCTAAATCATTCTATGAAGCCAGTATCACCCTAATACTAAAACCAGGAAAGAACATCACACACAAAAAAGAAAATTACAGACCAATCTCCATAATGAACATAGATGCAAAAATCCTCAACAAAATACTAGCTAATGGAATCCAACAGCAAATAAAAAAGGTAATCCACCATGATCAAGTGGGATTCATACTAGGGATGCAGGGATGGTTTAATATACGCAAGTCAATAAATGTGATACACCACATAAACAGAATTAAAAACAAAAATAACATGATCATCTCAATAGACACAGAAAAAGCATTTGACAAAATCCACCATCCCTTTATATTAAAACCCTCAGCAAAATTAGCATAGAAAGGATACACTTTAAGTTAATAAAAGCCATCTATGACAGTCCCACAGCCAACATTATACTGAATGGGGAAAAGCTAAAAGCATTCCCTCTGAGAACTGGAACCAGTCAAGGATGCCCACTTTCACCACTTCTATTCAACAAAGCACTGGAAGTCCTAGCCAGAGTAATCAGACAAGAGAAAGAAATAAAGGGCATCCAAATCAGTAAAGAAGAAGTGAAACTGTCGCTGTTCACCAATGATATAATGGTATACCTAGAAACCCTAAAGCCTCATCCTAAAAGCTCCTAGAACTGATAAATGAATTCAGCAGTTTCACAATACAAAATCAACATACACAAATCAGTAGCACTGCTATACACCAACAGCAACCAAGCTGACAATCAATTAAAGAACTCAACCCCTTTTACAATAGCTGCAAAACAAAGAAACAAACAAACAAAAAACACTTAGGAGTATATTACACCTAACCAAGGGGGTGAAAGACCTCTACAAAGAAAACTATAAAACACTGCCGAAAAAAATCACAGATGACACAAACAAATGGAAATACATGCCATGCTCATGAATGGGTAGAATCAATATTGTGAAAATGACCACACTGCCAAAAGCAATCTACAAATTTAATGCAATTCCCATCAAAATACCGCCATCATTCTTCAAAGAACTAGAAAAACAATTCTAAAATTCATATAGAACCAAAAAAGAGTCCATATAGCCAAAGCAAGGCTAAGCAAAAAGAACAAATCTGGAGGCAACACATTACCTGACTTCAAACTATACTATAAGGATACAGTCACCAAAACAGCATGGTACTGATATGAAAATAGGTTCACAGACCAATGGAACAGAATAGAGAACCCAGAAATAAAGCCTACTACCTACAGTCAACTGATCTTCAACAACGGAAACAAAAATATAAAGTGGAGAAAGGACACCCTATTCAACAAATGGTGCTGAGATAACTGGCAAGCCGCATGCAGAAGAATGAAACTGGATCCTCATCTCTCACCTTATAAAAAAATCAACTCAAGATGGATTAAAGACTTAAATCTAAGATCTGAAACCATAAAAATTCTAGAAGATAATATCAGAAAAACCCTTCTAGACATTGGCTTAGGCAAGGATTTTATGACTACGAACCCAAAAGCAAATTCAAGAAAAACAGAGATAAATAGTTGGGGCTGAATTAAACTAAAAAGCTTCTGCACCGTAAAAGCAATAATCAGCAGAGTGAACAGACAACCCACAGAGTGGGAGAAAATCTTTGAAAACTATGCATCTGACAAAGGACTGATATCCAGAATCTATGAGAAACTCAAATCAGCAAGAAGAAAACAAATAATCCCATCAAGAGTGGGCTAAAGACATGAATAGACAATTCTCAATTCTCAAATATAAAAATAGCCAACAAACATATGCAAAAATGTTCATCATCACTAATCATCAGGAAGATGCAAATAAAAACCATAATGCAATACCACCTTACTCCAGCAAGAACGGCCATAATCAAAAAATCTAAAAACAATAGAAGTTGGTGGGAGTGTGGTGAAAAGGGAACACTTGTATATTGCTGATGGGAATGTAAACTAGTACAAACCACTATGGAAAACAGTGTGGAGACTCCTTAAAGAACTAAAAGTAGAACTACCATTTGATCCAGCAATCCCACTACTGGGTATCTACCCAGAGGAAAACAAATCATTATATGAAAAAGATACTTGAACACACATGTTTATGACAGCAGAATTCGCAATTGCAAAAATATGGAATCATCCCAAATGTCCATCAGTTAACAAGTAGATAAAGAAAATATGGTACAAACATACTATGGAATGCTAATCTGCCTTAAAAAGAAATGAAATAATGGCATTCACAGCAACCTAGGTGAAGTTGGAGACCATTATTCTAAGTGAAGTAACTCAGAAATGGAAAACTAAACATTGCATGTTCTCACTCATAAGTGGGAGTTAAGCTATGAGGATGCAAAGGCATAAGAATGATACAATGCACTCTGGGGACTTTGGGGAATGGGTGGGAAGTGAGTGAGGGATGAAAGACTACACACTGGGTGCAGTGTACACTGCTTGGGTAAAGGGTGCACCAAAACCTCAGAAATCACAACGAAAGAACTTATACATGTAATTAAACATTACCTTTCCCCAAAAAAATACTGAAATAATTAAAAAAATAAACAAAAGCGAAAAGAGAGAAATGACATTAATGTTCAGAGACAGACAATCTATTCATGGATGTATGAAGGCTGGAAATTTTAGGAAATCCACATAAAATCAACATTGCCTGTGCTAAAACAAAACCTGACAACTCTCCATTTTCTTAGGAGCAAAATTGCAAAAAGTGACATTATCATCCATCCTAGAAGAATGAAACACACATCACCTTTACTGTATGAGTAAATGATTTGTTTTTCTTTGAAAGAGCATCCAAGTTTATTGTGTTCATTTTCACACTGATCAAAGAGAACACCCTTCTGTTAACAGGTACCTTCAGTTTTCAGGACCAGGCAGAAATTCTGTCTTCTACCTTTAAAGGTCAATCACAAAATTAAAGGCAGCTGCTAGGCCCCTCTGATGGTCCCTCTGACTGGGACCATCAGTGGGAAGGAGGGAGGCTTGAGCTTCCCTGGTCCCCCAGATCATCTGGGTAGTGCCCCCACTGCAGCTGCACCCCATGATGTCCCCGATTTGGCGAGGCACTGGCCTGGCCCATGAGGGACCCTATGGCCAGCAGGTGCCCAGCGAGCGATGCTTTGCGCGCTTTTAGTGTTCTGAGGCCAATGGTCACGAAGCTGTGTACACGTGGTCCCGGCTGCAGACTTCGGAAACTTCTGGAAGCTGAATTTCTAAGGGAACGTTCCGACTACTACACTGCTGTCATGGGCGGCTACCTGAGCTGGTTTCTGGGCTGGCCCCAGGCCAGGGTGCTGCCCTGAGCCCAGAAACATTGGGCCCTGTGGTCCAGGCCCATCCTCCGCTCCCAGGTTAAGGATGGCTGCAAAGTCATCTATCTCAATGGGAAGTGCTGGGTCTCCACCCAGCCCCTTCCCAAGGCTCCTCCTGGCTGGGACTATGCCCATATCCAGAGAGAGATGGTCCCAGAGGCCTGGAGGTGCTTTCCAAACAGGCCACCGCTCCTGAGCATCACTGGGTGGGACTTTTCCGAGGCTCACCTGGCCTACATGAAGCAGCGGCTTTGGAAGGCTTGGCAACCCCGGCCCATCCGCAGCCTGGTGACCATGAAAATCATTTAGCTCATATAAGAATTACAGAAAGAAAAGGTAGGGTGGCTGGCAAGATGGCCGAATAGAAGCAGCTCCAGTCATGGCCGGGCATGGTGGTTAATGCCTGTAATCCTAACACTTTGGGAGACCGAGGCAGGCAGATCACAAAGTCAGGAGTTTGAGACCAGCCTGGCCAATATGGCAAAACCCCGTCTCTACTAAAAATACAAAAAGTAGCCAGGCGTGGTGGCGGGCACCTGTAGTCCCAGCTACTTTGGAGGCTGAGGCAGGAGAATCACCTGAAACTGGGAGGTGGAGGTTGCAATGAGCCAAGATCATGCCACTGCACTCCAGCCTGGGTGACCGAGCGAGACCCCGTGTCAGACAAAAAAAAAAAAAGTAACAGCTTCGGTAACTCCCAGCAAGATCAATGCAGAGGGTGGGTGATTTCTGCCATTTCCAACTTAGGTACAAGGCTCATCTCACTGGGACTGGTTAGACACTGGATGCAGCCCATGGGGGGTGAGATGAAGCAGGGTGGGGTGCTGCCTCACCTGAGAAGTGCTAGTGGGTCTAAGAACTACCTCCCCTAGCCAAGGGAAGCCATGAGGGACTGTACCGTGAGTAACAGTGCATTCCAGCCCAGATACTATGCTTTTCCCATGGTCTTCACAACCCACAGACCAGGAGATTCCCTTGGGTGCCTATGCCACCAGGGCCCTGGATTTGAAGCACAAAATTGTGCAGCCATTTGGTAGACACTGAGCTAGCTGCAGGAGTTTTTTTTTTTTTTTTTTTTCATACCCCAGTGGTAATTGGAACATCAGCGAGACAAAACCATTCACTCCCCTGGAAAGGGGGCTGAAGCCAGGGAGCCAAGTGGTCTTGCTCAGTGGGACCCACCCCCACGGAGCCCAGCAAGCTAAGATCCACTGGCTTGAAATTCTCGCTGCCAGCACAGCAGTCTGAAGTCAATGTGGGATGCTGGAGCTTGGTGGAGAAAGGGGTATCCACCATTACTGAGGCTTGAGTAGGTGGTTTTCCCCTCACAGTGTAAACAAAGCTGCTGGGAAGTTCAAACTGGGCGGAGCCCACCTCAGTGCCACAAAGCCGCCATAGCCAGACTGCCTCTCTAGATTCCTCCTCTCTGGGCAGGGCATCTCTGAAAGAAAGGCAGCAGCCACAGTCAGGGGCTTATAGATAGAATTCCCGTCTCCCTGAGACAGAGCATCTGCGGAAAGGGGCAGCTGTGGGTGCAGCTTCAGTAGACTTAAACGTTGTTCCTGTCTGCCAGCTCTGAAGATTGCAGCAGATTTCCCAGCACAGTGCTTGAGCTCTGCTAAGGGACAGACTGCTTCCTCAGGGGGTCCCTGACCCCCGTGCCTCCTGTACTGGGAGATACCTCCCAGCAGGGGTCAACAGACACCTCATAAAGGAGAGCTCCGGCTGGCATCTGGCAGGTGCCCTTCTGGGACAAACCTTCCAGAGGAAGGAACAGGCAGCAATCTTTGCTGTTCTGCAGCCTCCGCTGGTGATACCCAGGCAAACAGGGTCTGGAGTGGATCTCCAGCAAACTCTAGCAGACCTGCAGTAGAGGGGCCTGACTGTTAGAAGGAAAACTAACAAACAGAAAGGAATAGCATAACATTAACAAAAAGGAAGTCCACACAAAAACCCCATCAGAAAATCACCAACATCAAAGACCAAAGGTAGATAATCCATGAAGATGAGGAAAAACCAGCGCAAAAAGGCTGAAAATTCCAAAAACCAGAATGCCTCTTCTCCTCCAAAGGATCACAACTCCTCGCCAGCAAGGGAACAAAACTGGATGGAGAACGAGTTTGACAAACCAACAGAAGGAGGCTTCAGAAGGTGTGTAATACCAATGTCCTATGAGCTAAAGAAGCATGTTGTAATCCAAGGCAAGGAAGCTAAGAACCTTGAAAAAAGGTGAGAGGAATTGCTAACTGGAATAACCAGTTTAAAGAAGAACACAAATGATCTGATGGAGCTGAAAAACATAGCATATGAACTTCATGAAACATACATAAGTTTCAAAAGCTAAATCGATCAAGCAGGAAAAAGGATATCAGAGATTGAAGATCAATTTAATGAAGTACAGCATGAAGACAAGATTAGAGAAAAAAGAATGAGAAGTAATGAACAAAGCCACCAAGAAATATGGGACTATGTGAAAAGACCAAACCAATGTTTGATTGGTGTACCTGAAAGTGATGGGGAGAATGGAACCAAGGTGGAAAACACTCTTCAGGATATTATTCAGGAGAACTTCCTCAATCTAGCAAGACAGGCCAACATTCAAATTCAGGAAATACAGAGAACACCACTAAGATACTCCTCGAGAAGAGCAACCCCAAGACACATAATCGTCAGATTCACCAAGGTTGAAATGAAAGAAAGAATGTTAAGGGCAGCCGGAGACAAAGGTCAGGTTACCCACAAAGGGAAGCCCATCAGACTAACAGCAGATCTCTCCGCAGAAACCATACAAGCCAGAAGAGAGTGGGGGCCAATATTCAACATTCCTAAAGAAAGGAATTTTCAACCCAGAATTTCATATCCAGCCGAACTAAGCTTCAAAAGTGAAGGAGAAATAAAATCCTTTACAGACGAGCAAATGCTGAGAGATTTTATCATCACCAGGCCTGCCTTACAAGAGCTCCTGAAGGAAGCATTAAACATGGAAAGGAACAACCACTACCAGCTACAGCAAAAACATACCAAATTGTAAAGACCACTGACACCATGAAGAGACTGCATCAACTGGCAGAATAACCAGCTAGCATCATAATGACAGGATCAAATTCACACATAACCATATTAACCATAAATGTAAATGGGCTAAATGCCCCAATTAAAAGACACAGACTGATAAATTGGATAAAGAGTCAAGACTCATTGGTGTGCTGTATTCAGACCCATCTTGTGTGCAAAGACACACACAGGCTCAAAACAAAAAAATTGAGGAATTTTTACCAAGCAAATGGAAAGAAAAAAAAAAACAGGGGTTGCATTCCTAGCCTATGACAAAACAGACTTTAAACCAACAAAGATCAAAAAAGGCAAAGAAGGGCATTACATAGTGATAAAGGGATCAATGCAACAAGAAGAGCTAACTATTCTAAACATATATGCACCCAATACAGGAGCACCCAGATTCATAAAGCAAGTTCTTAGTGACCTACAAAGAAACTTAGACTCCCACACAATAATAGTGGGAGACTTTGATACCCCACTGTCAATATTAGACAGATCAATGAGAAAGAAAATTAACAAGAATATTCAGGACTTGAACTCAGCTCTGGACCAAGCAGACCTAATAGACATCCACAGAACTCTCCACCCAAAATTAACAGAATATACATTCTTCTCTGCACCACATCACATTTATTCTAAAATTGACTACTTAATTGGAAGTAAAACGCTCCTCAGAAAATGGAAAAGAATGTAAATCCTAACCAACAGTCTCTCAGGCCACAGTGCAATCAAATTAGAACTCGGGATTAAGAAACTGACTCCAGTCCAGGCATGTGGCTCACGCTTGTAATCTCTGCACTTTGGGAGGCTGTAGTGTGCAGATCACCTGAGGTTGGGTATTCGAGACCAGCCTGACCAACATGGAGAATCCCTGTCCCTACTAAAAATACAAAATTAACTGGGCATGGTGGTGTGTGCCTGTAATTCCCACTACTTGGGAGGCTAAGGCAGAAGAATCGCTTGAACCCAGGAAATGGAGGGTGCAGTGAGCTGAGATCACACCATTATATTCCAGCCTGGGCAACAAGAGCAAAACTCCATCTCAAAAAAAAAAAAAAAACAGAAAAAGAAACTCACTCAAAACCACACAACTATATAAAAACTGAACAACCTGCTCCTGAATGACTACTGGGTAAATAACGAAATTAAGGCAGAAATAAATAAGTTCTTAAAAACTAATAAGAACAAAGCCACAACATACCAGAATCTCTGGGACACAGCTAAAGCAGTGTTTAGAGCGAAATTTATAGCACTAAATGCCCACAGAGGAAAGCAGGAAAGATCTAAAATCGACACCCTAACATCACAATTAAAAGACCTCGAGAAGCAAGAGTAAACAAATTCAAAAGCTAGCAGAAGACAAGAAATAACTAAGATCAGAGCAGAACTGAAGGAGACAGAGACACGAAAAAACCTTAAAAAAAAGTCAATGAATCCAGAAGCTGGTTTTTTGAAAAGATTAATAAAATAGACAGACCACTAGCCAGAATAATAAAGAAGAAAAGAGAGAAGAATTAAATAGACACGATAAAAAATGATAAAGCAGATATCACCACTGATCCCACAGAAATACAAACTACTATCCGAGAATACTCACCTCTACACAAATAAACTCAAAAGTCTAGAAGAAATGGATAAATTCCTGGGCACAAACACCCCTCCCAAGACTAAACCAGGAAGAAGTCAAATCCCCGAATAGACCAAAAACAAGTTCTGAAATTGAGGCAGTAATTAATAGCCTACCAAAGATAAAAGGCCCAGGACAGGATGGATTCACAGCCAAATTCTAACAGAGGCACAAAGAGGAGCTGGTACCATTCCTTCTGAAACTATTCCAAACAACAGAAAAAAAACAGGACTCCTCCCTAACTCATTTTATGAGGCCAGCATCATCCTGATACCAAAACCTGGCAGAGACACAACAAAAAAAGAAAATTTCAGGCCCATATCCCTGATGAACATCAATGAGAAAATCCTCAATAAAATACTGGCAAACTGAACCCCACAGAACATCAAAAAGCTTATCCACCATGATCAACTCGGCTTTATCCCTGGGATGCAAGGCTGGTTCAACATATGCAAATCAATAAACCTAATCCATCACATAAACAGAGCCGATGACAAAAACCACATGATTATCTCAATAAATGCAGAAAAGGCCTTTGATAAAATTCAACAGCCCTTCATGCTAAAAACTCTCAATAAACTAAGTATTTATGGAACATATCTCAAAATACTATGAGCTATTTATGATAAACCCACAACCAATATCACACTGAATGGGCAAAAGCTGGAAGCATTTCCTTTGAAAACCAGCACAAGACAAAGATCCCCTCTCTCACCACTCCTATTCAACATAGTATTGGAAGGTTACTGCAGCCTTGTAGTATAGTTTCAAGTCAGGTAGCATGATGTCTCCAGCTTTGTTCTTTTTGCTTAGGATTGTCTTGGCTATATGGCTCTTTTTTGTTTCCATATGAAATTTGAAAGTATTTCCCTAGCCAGGGCAATCAGGCAAGAGAAAGAAATAAAGGATATCTGAACAGGAAGAGAGGAAGTCAAAATGTCTCTGCAGATGATATGATTGTATATTTAGAAAACCCCATCATCTCAGCCCCAAATATCCTTAAGCTGATAAGCAACTTCACCAAAGTCTCAGGATACATAATCAATGTGCAAAAATCACAAGCGTTCCTATACATCAATAATAGACAAACAGAGAGCCAAATCATGAGTGAACTCCCATTCACAATTGCTACAAAGAGAAAAAAATACCTAGGAAGACAACTTACAAGGGATGTGAAGAACTTCTTCAAGGAGAACTACAAACCACTGCTCAATGAAATGAGAGGACACAAACAAATGGAAAAACATTCCATGCTCATGGATAGGAAGAATCAATTTCATGAAAATGGCCATACTTTCCAAAGTAATTTATAGATTCAATGCTATCCCCACCAAGCTACCATTGACTTTCTTCACAGAATTAGAAAAAACTACTTTAAATTTCATATGGAACTAAAAAAAAGCCCAGATAGCCAAGACAATCCTAAGCAAAAAGAACAAAGCTGGAGGCATCACACTACTGACTTCAAACTATACTACAAGGCTACAGTAACCAAAACAGCATGGTACTGGTATCAAAACAGACATATAGACCAATGGAACAGAACAGAGGCCTCAGAAATAATGCCACACATCTACAACCATCTGGTCTTTGAGAAACCTGACAAAAACAAGCAATGGGGAAAGGATTCCCTATTTAATAAATAGTGTTGGGAAAACTGGGTAGCCATATGCAGAAAACTGAAACCAGACCCCTTCCTTACACCTTATACAAAAATTAACTCAAGATGGATTATAGACTTAAACCTAAGACCTTAACCCATAAAAGAACCTAGAAGAAAACCTAGGCAATACCATTCAGGACATAGGCATGGGCAAAAACTTCATGACTAAAACACCAAAAGCAATGGCAACAAAAGCCAAAATTGACAGATGGGATCTAATTAAACTAAAGAGCTTCTGCACAGCGAAAGAACTATCATTCAAGTGAACAGGCAACCTATAGAACGGAAGAAAATTTTTGCATGGGAGAATGTTTTTGCAATCTATTTATCTGACAAAGGGCTAATATCCAGAATCTACAAGAAACTTAAACAAATTTACAAGAAACAAACCCATCAAAAATGGGCAAAGGATATGAACAGGAACTTCTAAAAAGAAGACACTTATGCAGCCAACAAACATATGAAAAAACGCTCATCATCACTGGTCATTAGAGAAATGCAAATCAAAACCACAATGAGATACCATCTCACGCCAGTTGGAATGGCAATCATTAACAAGTCAGGAAACAACAGATGCTGGAGAGGATGTGGAGAAGTAGGAACGCTTTTACACTGTCGGTGGGAGTGTGAATTAGTTCAACTATTGTGGAACAGTGTGGTGATTCCTCAAGGATTCAGAACCAGAAATACCATTTGACCCAGCGATCCCATTACTGAGTATATACCCAAAGAATCATTCTACTATAAAGATACATGCACACGTATGTTTATTGCTGCACTATTCACAATAGCAAAGACTTGGAACCAACCCAAATGCCCACCAATGATAGACTGGATAAAGAAAATGTGGCACATATACACCATGGAATACTATGCAGCCATAAAAAGATGTGTTTATGTCCTTTGCAGGGACATGGATGAAGCTGGAAACCATCATTCTCAGCAAACTAACACAGGAACAGAAAACCAACCACCGCATGTTCTCACTCATAAGTGGGAGTTGAATAATGAGAACACATGGACAAAGGGAGGGGAACATCACACACTGGGGCCTGTCCAGGGGATGGGGGGCAAGGGGAGGGATATCATTAGGACAAATACCTAACGAATGGAGGGATTAAAATCCAGATGATGGGTTGATGGGTGCGGCAAACCACCATGGTACATGTATACCTATGTAACAAACCTACACATTCTGCACATGTATCCCAGAAGTTAAAGTATAATAAAAAAAATTGTACACCCACTGTAGAAAATACTATGGTGATTGCTCAAAAAATTAAAAACAGAACTACCATATAGTCCAGTAATCCCACTTCTGGGTATATGCCCCAAAGAGCTATTAATACAAGCAGGAACTGAAACAGATATTTGTAGACTCATGTTAATAGCAGCCTTATTCGAAATAGCCAAGATGTGAAAGCAACTCAAGTGTCCACAGATGAAAGGATAAGCAAATTGTGGTATATACACATGATGGATTATTATTCAATCTTAAAATGGAAAGAAATTTTGCCATATGCTGCAGTATGGATAAAACTTAGAGACATCACGCTAAATGAAATAAGCCAGACACACAACAAACAAATACTGTATGTTCCACTCTATGAGTAGTCAAAATCATGAAGACATAGTAGCATGGTGGTTGCCAGGGAGTGGAGGAGGAGGCAATGAAAGGTTAGTGTTTCATGTGTAAAAGGTTTCAGTTCTGCAAGATGAAAATAGTTCTGGAGATGGATGATGGTGATGGCTGCACAACATTATGAATGTACTTAATGCTACTGAACTGAACACTTAAAAATGGTTAAGATAGTAAATTTGATGTTATGTGCATTTTCCCACAGTCAAAAAAAAAATTGAGGAAAAATATTAATATTTTTAAAAATCTGAGATTAAAGAAACTAATAAAATGTAGGTCTGCACATTTTTCTGGACCTGTAGTAGTTGCAGGCAGATCCCTGAGGTCAGGAGTTCGAGACCAGCCTGGTCAACGTGGTGAAACCCCCGTCTCTACTAAAACTGCAAAAATTAGCTGGGTGTGGTGGCAGGTGCCTGTAATCCCAGCTACTCGGGAGGCTGAGGTAGGAGAATTGCTTGAACCCAGCAGACAGAGGTTGCAGTGAGCTGAGATCGCGCCACTGCACTCCCACCTCGGCGACAGAGCGAGACTCCATCTCAAAAAAAAAAAAAAAATCTGCAGTAGTTTAGTCCTGTGTCATTGCAATTTGATTTTTCTGACAGCCTCTGTGATTCTGGGCTTGCACCTCTCAAATCCATCCTCCCCAATGTTGCCAGGGTGATCTCTTTAAAACATAAACTTGATCGCATCAGTCCTTCTTCAAAGTCCCTGCTTCAGGCTCCACAGCAGGCACACAGGCTTTCTGTGATGAAGCCCAGAAATTCATGAGGCTGGATATAGCCTCATTTTCCAGTTTCCCCAAATCATTTACTGCTCCCAAAAATACCAATTTCTTTTTGTCTCTTGCACACATCACACTGGTTTTTGCTTCTGTGTTACTGCTGAGATTGTTTCCCCTCATGAAACACTCTTCTAACAACAACCCTGGCCTCAGCTTCACCACTATGACTCCCTGACTGGCCCAGGCTGGGTGGGGCGCCCTTCCCTTGGCCTCCACAGGGCGTCTGGCTTTCCTTTCTTTTGGTGCTTGACACTCTCTGCATCTTTCAACATGAGCCGGAAGGACTGTGATGTACTGACTACTGTAGCTCTTTTTTTTTTTTTTTTTTTTTTCAGAATTAAGTTTTAATCTGTGATGGAATGCACATATATAAGCTTGAATTATTTTAACATTAAATGTGTTAAATTTCAAACTAGTCTACAAAAACACATAACTACGAAAATAGCTAATACATTCATGTGCACAGAAAAAATGGAGGAAAATATACCAAAATGTTAAAATTAATCATCTGTCATTTAGGAAATAGAATTTTTTAGCCATTTTTATTTTCTTCTTGATAACCTTTCTATAATATCCAAGTTTCCTACACTAAACCTGTATTACTTTTATTTTATTTTATTTTATTATTATTATACTTTAAGTTTTAGGGTACATGTGCACAATGTGCAGGTTAGTTACATATGTATACATGTGCCATGCTGGTGTGCTGCACCCATTAACTCGTCATTTAGCGTTAGGTATATCTCCTAATGCTATCCCTACCCCCTCCCCCCACCCCACAACAGTCCCGAGTGTGATGTTCCCCTTCCTGTGTCCATGTGTTCTCATTGTTCAATTCCCACCTGTGAGTGAGAATATGTGGTGTTTGGTTTTTTGTTCTTGCGATAGTTTACTGAGAATGATGATTTCCAATTTCATCCATGTCCCTACAAAGGACATGAACTCATCATTTTTTATGGCTGCATAGTATTCCATGGTGTATATGTGCCACATTTTCTTAATCCAGTCTATCATTGTTGGACATTTGGGTTGGTTCCAAGTCTTTGCTATTGTGAATAGTGCTGCAATAAACATGCATGTGCATGTGTCTTTATAGCAGCATGATTTATAGTCCTTTGGGTATATACCCAGTAATGGGATGGCTGGGTCAAATGGTATTTCTAGTTCTAGATCCCTGAGGAATCGCCACACTGACTTCCACAATGGTTGAACTAGTTTACAGTCCCACCAACAGTGTAAAAGTGTTCCTATTTCTCCACATCCTCTCCAGCACCTGTTGTTTCCTGACTTTTTAATGATTGCCATTCTAACTGGTGTGAGATGGTATCTCACTGTGGTTTCGATTTGCATTTCTCTGATGGCCAGTGATGGTGAGCATTTTTTCATGTGTTTTTTGGCTGCAAAAATGTCTTCTTTTGAGAAGTGTCTGTTCATGTCCTTCGCCCACTTTTTGATGGGGTTGTTTGTTTTTTTCTTGTAAATTTGTTTGAGTTCATTGTAGATTCTGGATATTAGCCCTTTGTCAGATGAGTAGGTTGCGAAAATTTTCTCCCATTTTGTAGGTTGCCTCTTCACTCTGATGGTAGTTTCTTTTGCTGTGTAGAAGCTTTTTAGTTTAATTAGATCCCATTTGTCAATTTTGTCTTTTGTTGCCATTGCTTTTGGTGTTTTAGACATGAAGTCCTTGCCCATGCCTATGTCCTGAATGGTAATGCCTAGGTTTTCTTCTAGGGTTTTTATGGTTTTAGGTCTAACGTTTAAGTCTTTAATCCATCTTGAATTAATTTTTGTATAAGGTGTAAGGAAGGGATCCAGTTTCAGCTTTCTACATATGGCTAGCCAGTTTTCCCAGCACCATTTATTAAATAGGGAATCCTTTCCCCATTGCTTGTTTTTCTCAGGTTTGTCAAAGATCAGATATTTGTAGATATGCGGCGTTATTTCTGAGGGCTCTGTTCTGTTCCATTGATCTGTATCTCTGTTTTTGTACCAGTACCATGCTGTTTTGGTTATTGTAGCCTTGTAGTATAGTTTGAAGTCAGGTAGTGTGATGCCTCCAGCTTTGTTCTTTTGGCTTAGGATTGACTTGGCAATGAGGGCTCTTTTTTGGTTCCACATGAACTTTAAAGTAGTTTTTTCCAATTCTGTGAAGAAAGTCATTGGTAGATTGATGGGGATGGCATTGAATCTATAAATTACCTTGGGCAGTATGGCCATTTTCACGATATTGATTCTTCCTACCTACGAGCATGCAATGTTCTTCCATTTCTTTGTATCCTCTTTTATTTCATTGAGCAGTGGTTTGTAGTTCTCCTTGAAGAGGTCCTTCACGTCCCTTGTAAGTTGGATTCCTAGGTATTTTATTCTCTTTGAAGCACTTGTGAATGGGAGTTCACTCATGATTTGCCTCTCTGTCTGTTATTGGTGTATAAGAATGCCTGTGATTTTTGTACATTGATTTTGTATCCTGAGACTTTGCTGAAGTTGCTTAAGAGCTACAGTAGTATCCATGACTACTGTAGCTCTTAAGACTCATTGAAATGCCTGGCCCTCAGGCACTTCACTGAGCTGAATGGTGTGTTCTATATTTACTACTACTCTCCCCCTTTCGAGTCCTCCCTAACTGGTTCAGCACTCCAATCTCACTGTATAAGAAAACAAGAAGTATAGTCAGAAAGTGGGAGGTCACTCTCCCACCAGCTCCTGCACTGTGTAGTGACCACAGAAAGAACATCAAGGTATATATTAACAGCATTTCTGCAGTTAGAGGCTGGAAATGAACCTCTTTCAACATTCTGCTCATTGACCTAAAATGTAAATGTATGATATTGACTCAGTCTCCCCAGAGTTAATCATGGATGAAAATACAAAATGCATTGTTTGGAGTCCTCCCCTTTAACCCCCACCAACCCTCTAGGCATCCAACTGTTATTCTCTTATATTATAATTTACCATCCCTGCTTTTCATCCATTCTGGACCTAAATTAACAAACTTAAACCATAGAGTGCTGTTCCCAGGTATAACGCAGGCAACCTGATCGTGGCCTTGGAAGACATAATACACCAGTTTGGGTTCAAAGATAAATTATTGAAATTTCAAGTGGATCATGAGAAAAGCAGCCTAGATAGCATTTTTAACAAACATATTTCTTTTTTTAGGCGAATCATAAGTTTTTTTAACTTTAAGAAATATTTTTAATTGATACGTAATAATGACATTTATGGGGTACACAGTGGTGTTTCAATACATATATAGTAATCATATTAGGGTAATTAGCATATATATCATCTCAAACATTTATCATTTCTTTGTGTTGGGAACATTTACTATCTTCCTTCTATTTGAAACTGTATAATATGTTATTGTTAACTATATTAATTGTTCAGTGCTACAGAACACTAGAACTTATTCCTCCTCTCTAGCTATAAGTTTGGGTCCTTTAATAAATCTCTCCCTATCCTTCTCTTTCACCAACTCTTCTCAGCCTCTGGTATCTTCTGTTCTACTTTTTACTTCTACATCAACTTTTCTTTAGTTTCCACATATGATTGAGAACATTTGGTGAACAAAGAAGTTTCATGCTTTGAACAGAGTCACATACCTAGTATTCTGTATACTTAGTAACCCAAACCTTTTTCAAAACATGTCCTCACTAAATTCTAATAAAAAAGTCTCAGAAAATCTAACCAAAATATCTAAGACCTAGATGAAGTTTAACAGCACACACACAAACTGAAATTACTTAATTTGAATGATTTACCACTCAATAAGTTTTGCCCATGTATCATCAATGCTGTAATAAAATATTTCAGCACAAAGTGAATTTTGAGATTTATGACATCCTCCTTACGGACTTCTATACTGTTCATCTCTTCCAAGGTTTACTTACCACTTGGGAAATAACTCACTGCATTGTAGTCACCACATCTCTGACAAATATCTTTTTACAGGTGCTGTACAAAGTCTGATTTTACACAGTAAATGGAGACTTTACTGTGGTAAAGAAGAAGGCATAGAAATTGATGATTGTGTAATTTCACAGTTATTATCAACTACTATATAATGTTAGCCATCCAAAATAGTGGGAGAGACACTCAGGGGAAATATGCCTTGAGTTATTTATTTTTCTTCGTGGGGCTGATTACAAAGGCTGTCATGAGCCAGGGAATGGTGGGCTGACAGTTTGCTTCACACCCAAGATCTCCAGGAGTCAGCATCTGGCAGGAGGCCAGGGGGATTCAGTGCTGGCTTGATCCGGCCCCAGATGGTCTCTTGGACACAGAAGCCCAGTCCCCCATGTTCCCCAGCCCATCTTTGCACTTCAGTGGCTCTCCTTCACAAACACGGCAAAAGAGCTCCAAGAACACAGGGCACACAAGGCACACACCCAGTTGCCACGATGTCAGAATCTCAGTTATGTGGAGCCCAGGGAGACAAGCTCTGGGGTCTGCTTTCATTATTGCCTGTCTGACTGCACAACTGCTTCTCATCATTGTTTTTATAGCTGTAATTCTCCTCCTGTATCAGTTTCCCTGTGAACCAATTATATATATATAAAAAAATGGTATCTCAGAGATTCTAGTGCCAGTGATGGAATGTTGAAGCCACTAAGAGACTGAAATTCTGACATTTTCCCATTTCCATTCCTTGCAATCATCAAAAAAGACAGCCTCAAACTCAGACTTGATTTCTGAATCTCCAAGGGCAGCATGACTAAAAATGAATACAACTTGGGCAAGCTGAAGCGTTATGAGACTCTGGAGAATAAGACGGACAAGTATATCTGACAATGCCATGGCCAAAACCTCCTGGGCTTCCCTCATACAGCTGTGTGGCAGCTGTAAGGTAACGCCGCTCACTTCTCTGCACAGGGTTCCCAAAAAGGCTCTCTTATAAGGAGCATGCCTATGTGGGCAAGCCAAGAGTATGGCATCTTCTCAGGGTAAATCACTTGCTTGGGTAGAAAGGGAAAAACACAGTTGCCCAAGTTCACTACTATGGTAATGTAGGTCACAGTGAACGTCAGGTCAACTGGTGGCCGAGGTTCACTGTCTAGCAGACCTGGAAGCAGCCCTCTATTGAGAGAGGACCATAATACCATCATCCTGCCTGGAAAGTACTGAAAGAGACTAAGTTATATATATGCAATGCTCTAGCTTGAGAATTACAATCCAATAATTAGGAAAAAATGCTGAGTACGTCTTCTCTCTACACAGTTCAGTCAGTGCACCACACCTAACTAACACAATGTTGCTCCCTGCACTCACCTGTGCCTACCACCACAGGCTCCTGAGCTTCCCTGGGCATCACTGCCAAGGCCACACAAGGCCAAACCAATCTGGAGGCGGGCAAGGTTCCCAACCACCTCCATAGCATGGGGCTTAGCAGAGGTGGCTGAGCATGTGGGCTACCAGTTCCAGAGCCAGGCGACCTGGGTGTGCATCCCAGCTCCACCACTTGCCAGCTTTATAAATGTGGGCAGGTGTCTTAGGTTTTCTTTGCCTCAGTTTCCCATCTCAATCAGAGGGTTAAAACAGTGCTTAATGAAGGACTGAGTTACTATATGAAAAGCTGTTAGTATTCCAAGTGCCATGGAATTCCAAGTGTTAGGTATTACACAGTATTCCCAGTGTTAGGTATTAGCTATGTTATTTTTATTTTTACTAGAGTACATGGGTATCTCGGTCTGCTTAGGCTGCTATAACGAAATACCATAGACTGAGTTGTTTAAACAATAGACATTTATTTCTCACAGTTCTGGAGGCTGGGAAGTCCAAGATCAAGGTGCTGGCAGACTTGAATTCTAGTGAGGGCCCTCATGCTGGCAGACAGCCTAGCCATCTTTTCACTATGTCCTCATATGGCTGAAGGGAAGAGCAATCTATCATCACTTCTTCTCCTAAGGACACTAATCTCACTGTGGGAGCTCTACCCTCATGATCTCCTAATTTAAGCCTAATTATTTCCCAAATGCCCCACCTCCAAATATTATCCTATTGGGGGTTAATGCTTCAATGTATACATTTGGGGGTAGAGGGACACATATTCATCCATAACAATGGAGAAAAACAAAACAAGTAGACCTTCCAAAGGTTTATCATGGAAGAAACTTTGAGGCCATAAGAGTAACTTCTTAAAGTCCACCTCAGCTGTGAGGTGGAGCTTCCTAGTTTAATTCAACGGGCAATAAATTATATTTTAAGTAAATAAAGTAAAACAAACAAGACATGGTGGAACAGTATAAAAGAGCAAGAGATTAGTCAAGTACATTGGCAAGTTGCATAATTAGAGGTGAAAGTGTCTTTTTTTTCTGGTTCATTTCTTTTTTTTTTTACTGTCCCTTTGCCTGAGCTAGAGAACATTAGTTTTATATTAGGTGGATATTACCAGTTTTAACAGCTTAACTAAAGCAAAGATAGCTTTACAGCCCTAATACTGTGAGGATAACACGAAGAGCTGTTGTAAGAATGCATGGGAGCATATCACTCCATGATGTAAGATAAATATTAAACATTATAACTGCCTCTTCTTTAGGAATAAAAAAGATGTCCACAACAAAGGAAATTAATTTTGGTTTTCTATCCCCTGAAGATACTTTCTAAAAGTTCACAAGTGTGAATTCCTGAACCTAATGTTTGTGAAAGTCCTGAATATTCTCTTCCCTCTCCTCCTGTGTGCCACACCTTCTAGGGATGAGATCAACATATATTTTACAAAACAGACAAGTAACTTAGGCTTCTGTGAGGGTCTCTGGCAATTCTAGGAACACTAATTCCTGAGCTCTGCCCTGCTGGACACAGAGGAGCTTCCCCAGGGTCACCGCTGATCTACTTCTTATCCCAGTCACTGGTGCTTCCCATTCTCATCATTTCTGACTTTCAGACTCTACATGTTGTTCATCTATCCCTATGGTACCTGTGTAGGGGGTCTGAAGAATTTAGGGATTGATCAAGGAAAAAAGATATGACCATGAAATGGCAGCAACACACACAAGGCTGTACTGGATAAGGCTTTGGCAGGTTTGCGTGCAGGGGGAGTCCCTCACTGCATGTAACTGACCAGAGGCTACTGCAGAGGGGTGGCTACTACTCAGAAGGGGAGGTAGGCAAGGGAACTCCTGGGAAAGAAGGGACTGAGAGGGGAAGCTTATATGTGTATGTTTCTATGTGATGTCAGTGTTACTCACCAGCAGAGCAGGGAGTCTCTGGTCAGAGATCCCTGAAGCACAGCAGTGGCCTGAGGGTCTTTTAGGCCTGGGGCTTACCTTATGTATGATTATAGATGTTGGATAGAGTTTTGGGGGTATGCAAAGCAGGTAGGCTCAAAATGGCTAAAACTCTGCTTATTTAAACTATGTTTAAAACAATTTGGATGTGCAAACATTTGAATATGGTGCTTGCAGGCTTTTGAGCTAATGGATCCCAGTCAGCTATGTAAGAAATAAACAATTTAGGGATTGATATGCAGAGGCCATTTCGGGCTCATTCATATAACATGCCTACTAGGGTAAATGAGCTCCAAGATGTATATCTTCCCAAATAGTATAATTTATATTTAAATCATTTCACCCAGGGACCTATTTATAATCTCCCACTCTTTTGCCATGGAATCACTTCATTTCTATGAATCTCAGTTCCCATGTCTGAAGAGCTGACTACCTTCTTAGTGTTTATTCCATTTCTCCTTGTTGCCGCAACATTAACTTCAGTCCTACAGAAGATACACCTGGGTTACCAAGGTGTTTGATAAAATTACAGATTCCTGATCCCTAACAGCCCTACCAGATCTGTATTCCTGGGAGGTAAAAATCAGTAATTTATAATTTTTGAAAATTCTCCAGGTGATGGACAGTCAGGCTAGGAGCCAAGGTCCTGGTAGCTTCTATGGGGAAATGTGGAAGTGATATCTGCCGTCAAGAACTTCCCAGGTTGTTTCATTGTTGAAACAAGGCAAATGTACTTTGGGAACAGATGGGAGAGGTTTGGGTAAGGGACACATTATGAATGAAGACAGAGGACCAGAAATCAACACAGAATGTTTATGGGGCAGTGAGGAAGCTGTCTGGACCTCTGTACTGGGTGTGTGTTCTGAGGCAATGAGGACATCAGGTTGGATAAGCAGGCTTGGCTGAAATCATCCTGGGGAGTGCCTGTTAATCAGGAATAATTTTGACCTCATCTGGTAGGAAATAAGGAAAAATCAAATGATAAATGACAAATAAAGAGTCATTCTGGAATGCAAAGTATTTTGCCATGTTCCATACATGTACAGAAATGAAATAAAAGACAAACTATGGGGCAGAACCTAAAATAATAGCTTCACAAACATCTCATTTAATGCTCAAAACAGTTTTCTTCCTAGTAATTTATCCATTTCACTTATCTAATTTCTTTGTATACAATTGATCAAAGTATTCCTTTATAACCCTTCTTATATCTCTAAGGTCAGTAGTAATGTCCCTCTTTCATACCTGATTTTAGTCATTTGAGTCTTCTCTTTAATTTCTCTTGGTCTGTCAAGCTAATAGTTTGTCAATTTTGTTGATCTTTGCTAAGAACCAACTTTTGGTTTCATTTTCTATAATGTTTTTCTACTCTCTATTTCATTTACTTTCTCTCTAATCTTGTTTCCCTCCTTCTACTTGCTTTGGATTTTGTTTACACTTTTTTTTTTCTGATTTCTAAGTGTGAAAAGTCATTGATTTGAAATCTTTTTTATATTTTAATATTTGCATTCACAGGTATATCCCTGTAAGCACTGCTTTAGCTGTATCACATAAGTTTTAGTATGTTGTGTTTTCATTTTCATTCATCTCAAAATATTTTCAAATTTTTCCCTTGTGATTTCTTCTTTGACCCAATGGTTATTTAGAAATGTGTTAAATTTCTATATATTTGTAAATTTCCCAAATTTCTTTCACTTATTGATTCCTAATTTTATTCCAGTCATTGACTAACATACTTTGCAAAATTTTAATCCCTCATTGAGGCTGACTTTATAATCTAACATTTTCGTCTGTCCTGAAGAATATTCCATGTGCACTTGAGAATAATGTGCATTCTGTTTCTGTTTAGTGGAATGTTCTATATATGTCTATTAAGTCTAGTTGATTTATAGTATTGCTAAAGTTTTCCACCTCCTCGTTTGCCTTCATTCTAGGTGCTTTATTATTGAAAGTGGAATACTGAAATCTTCAACTCCTATTGTTGGATTGTATTTCCTCCTTCAATTATGACAATTTTTGCTTCATGTATTTTGGGGCTTAGTTGTTAAGTGCATTAATGTTCATAATTGTTATATATTCTTGAAAGAGCAGCCTTTTATTATTTTATCTCTCATCTCTAATGATAATTGTTGCCTTAAAGTCTATTTTGTCTGACATTAATATGACCACATTAAATATCTTTTGGATCCTGTTTACATTTTTCCCATGTTTTTTGAATTATTTTTCCCATTCTTTACTTTTACCTATTTGTGTATACATTGGATCTAAAGTGTATCTTATAGATAGCATACAGTTGGATCATTTTTTAATTCAGTGTTTAATTCCTTTTTAATTGGACTGTTTAATTAATTTACATTTAATGATTATTGATATGATTATTTATGTTTGCCATTTTGTTATTCTATCTTTAACAATTTAAAAAAATTCTTTTGGAAACAAGGTCTCACTCAGTTGCCCAGGCAGGAGTGCAGTGGTGAGATAACAGCTCACTGCAGCCTTTATCTCCCTGGCTTGGGCAATCTTCCCACCTCAGCCTCCTAAGTAGCTAGGACTACATGCATGTGCCACCGTGCCTGGTTAAGTTTTTTTTAACTTTTAGCAGAGATGAGGTCTTTTTATGTTTCCTTGGCTGGTCTCAATCAAACTCCTGTGCTCAAGTGATTCTCCTGCCTCAGCCTCCCAAAGTTCTGGGATTAAAGATACGAGCCATCAGGCCTAGCCTTAACATTCTATAATGTCCTTTTTATTCAACTTCTATAATGTCCTTTTTATTCAACTTCTATAATGTCCTTTTTATTCAACACAAACTGCTTTGTGTTAGATATCTTCTAGTTATATTAATTCCTTGTCATTTTTCAAAGGATTATTTTTAATATTTCTTGTACGAAATATCTGATAGTGACAGATTTCCTTTAATGTGAAAATACTTAATTTCTCCTTCATTATTAAAGGATGGCTTTGCTGGATATAGAATTCTTGATTGATAGGTTATTCTTTGAGCACTTTGAATATGAATATGTCATCCCACTGCTTTCTGGCCTTCATGATTTTTGGGGGGGAGAAATCAGCTGTTAACATTACTGAGGATCCCTTGCACTTGTGATGAATTGCTTCTCTTTTCAATATTCTCTCCTTGTATTCAGATCTTCATGGTTTAATTATGATGTGTCTAAGATGGTTCTATTTGAGTTTATGCTATGTGGAGTTTGCTGAGCTTCTTCAACAATGTGTAGATTAATGCTTTTTAGCAAAATTGGGAAGTTTTCACCCTTATTTCTTCAAGCATTCTTTCTGTTCCTTTCTTTTTCTCCTTTCCTTGTGGGACGCCCATTTGCATATGTTGGTATGCTTGATGGTGTCCCATAGACCTTTGAGGCTCTGTTCATCTTTTTTCATTCTTCTTTGCGTTTTTTCAACTGGATAATCTCAATTGATCTGTCTTCAATATACGTGATTCTTCTGCTTGCTCAAATCTGCTGCTGAGCTCCTCTAGTAAATTTCTTATTTCAGTCATTGTACTTTTCAACTCTAGATTTTCTATTCTATTCCTTTTCTAAAACAAAAACTTTTGTATCTTTTTTGATATTTTATATTTAGGGAGGCATTGTTCTGATACTTTATTTCTCATATAGGGTTTCTTTTAGTTACTTGAACATATTTAAAACATCTGCTTTAAAGCCATTGTTTTGTATGTCCAACTAGTATGGACTTCCTCAAGGAAGTTCTCTTGACTGTCTCCCTACTGCCACCATGATTTTTTTGGCCACACTTTCTTTATTTTTGCATGTCTCATCAATTTTTTGTTAAAAAACTAGACATTTTAAATGATATAAATTGGCATTTTGAAAATCAGATTTTTGTCATTCCCCAAGGTTTGTTGTTGCTGTTTGTCGTCCGTTTGTTCAGTGACTTTTCTAAATTAACTCTGTAAAGTCTATATTTTTTGTCACGTGTGCCACTAACGTCTGTGCCCAATTAGCTTACAGGACAGCTAATGATTGGACAGAGATTGCCTTAAATACCTGGAACTAATACGTGTCCCAGTCTGCCAAGTGGCTCTGTGTGTAGTTAGTGCATGTCTTCAACACTCAGCCAAGAAGTCTACAACTCCACATTAGCCTTCATGTCCTGCTTTCCCAATGCTTCAAGTTTGGATAGAAGTGAGAGCTTGGGGCTTTTTCAGGTCTTCCATGAACATGAATATAGCCCTGAGAATGCACACAGCCCTAGGTAGAAGCATGGTCTTTAGATTTCTAGGAGCATGATGTTCAAGAACAAGCTATACTAATTGCTGGTTAAAAAAAATCAGAACAGTGGAACAGTGACTGCCTTTGGAAGGTGAGGAAATAAGGGAGGCCCCTGGAGGGGGTGGGGAACAGTAATGTTTTATATATTAATAGAGTTGGGTTATATGTTACATCCATTTGTCAAAGGTAGCTGAACGGCATACTTGAAATTTTTACATTTAGCCACCAGTAAATTTTACCGAAAAAAAACAGCAAACAAATATTGAATTGTAGATAATGATATGCACAATACCTGCTGAAGTGTTTAGGGGTAAAGCCTGCAACTTACTTTGAAATGTGCAAAACGTAACATGGCTTGATGGCTTATAAAGCAAATAAAGAACAATGTTAATTGTTGAATCTAGATGGTAAGTAAATAGGCAAAAACTGTACAGTTAACTTTTTATGTTTAAATATTTTTATAACAAACTACGGGGGAAGAAAGAGTAGTAAAAGACCCTATCTTCCTTTATACAGACCTGGAAAATTCTTTCTGTAGTAAAATTATGAGTAAGATAATATGAAAAAAGGATGCAGAAGACCTAAATAACATTATTTTTAAGGTCAATCTATCAACCTTATTTGATCCAACCGATCACTTTTTAAGTAATTTGTTTTCATTTAGCTTCCAGGAAACTATACTCTTCTAGTTTCCCTCCAACTTCACTGTTTGTTCCTTTTTGGTGTCCTTTGCTTTTTCTTCTTCTTTCTCCTCATCTCTTAACATTAGAGTGTCCCCAAGATTCATCCCTTGAACATTCTCTTTTCCTATACACATGCTCTTGGTGATCTTTCCAGTCTTATGGTGCTAAATTCCATCTATTGGCTCACAGCTCTCAATTTTACATCTCTAGCTCCAACTTTCTCCTCTGAACTCCAGACTCGTTACTTGATATTTCCATTTAGAAGTCTAATAGATAATTCCAATTAGCCACGTCCGAAACAGAACTTCTGATTTCTGACCCTACCCCCAAATGAATCTCCTAACCTGTTCCCCCTGCTGTTTTCCTCATCTCCATTGATGACAGCTCCATCCTTCCAGTTGTTCAGATCAAGACCCTGGTCATCATCGTTGACTTCCTTGACTCTCTCTCTCTCTCTCTCTCACCCCAACATCCAATCATCAGGACATCCTGTTGGCACTGACTCCAAAGTGTAGCCAGAACTTGGCTGCTCCTTACCATCTCCTCTGCACCTTCCGTGGTACAATTCATCCTCACATCTTGCCTATATTATTGCAATAAAACTACAGAACACAGCAGCCAGATGGATATGATTAAGACATAATGCTGCTTCTGTGATACTCTGCTCAAAACTTTCCACTGGCTTCCCATTTCGCACAGAGTAAGGCCAAAGGGCCTTCGGTGGGTCCCAGATCCTAGATTGTTCCTCCTCGTCATCTGTCAACTCATCTCCTGCTACTCTCCCCCTGCTCCCTCCCCTTCAGCTGCACTGGCCTCCATGCTACCCTTGGAACTCACTAAGCCTGTTCCTACCTTAGGGTCCCCCACAGTGGTTGTTCCCAGATATCTGTTAGTTAATTCCTTCACCTTTTCCACACCTTCACTTAATTCAACCCTCTCATCCAATTTAAGTTTCCAACGTATTCTGGTATTCCTGAACTCATACTCTCAGACTTTTCCCTTCATACATATCACACACTAGCATGTACTTATTTATTATATTTATTACTATTTGTCATCTTCTGCTAGAAAGTAAACTTGACAAAGGCAAACGTTTTTTCCTCTCTTCTCTCTGATGTATCCTAAGAATCTAGCTAAGATCCTAGCACATAGTAGGTTCTCAGGGAATATTTGTTGAATGAGTAACAGGGATGTATTGTACAAGGTATAAAGGTGATGCAGAGGAGGAAATGATTGATTCTGCCAGGGATGGTCTGGAGGACTTACAGATGAGTAATGCAACGCAGTTTTACTAAACTACGTACATGTTACACATGCAGTTATGAATGCCTTAGACATTAAGCATATTTTACAGACAGTCCCTTGCAAGCACCAGTCATCAGTGGAGACTGTATAGATGAAAATAAAGAAGGCTAAGCAGAGCTGGTGCTGAACAGCCCAGTTTTGGCTAAACTTTGAAGTTAGTGTCAACATGTCCTCATGGATTGGATACTGGGTGTGAGAAAGAGAGAGAATCAAGGATGACTCCAAGGTTTTTGTCTTAGAACTTACCCTCAGGCTCAGTCCACTCCAAGCTATAGATATCTGAACCTTCTTCTTCAGAAATATTGGACTAGGAAGAATATCTCTAACAGTAGCCACCAGGGAGGGGCATCCAAGGGAGAAAGAGATACACATATTTAACTAATTTAAGCAGGGGCAAAAGGAGGCTGAGAAAAATGGAGTAAATCCTATAATTCTTCTTAACTCATTACAGTATAATAAAAACATGTACAATGTGAGAGCACTTTCTTAGGAATATTTAACCATACCAGAAGAGTATCTGTTAGTTATTTTCTATTATCAGCAAGAAAAAAATGTTTATCAAAAATGTCCTGATCAAACACTCCAGTACACACACACACACACACACACACACACACACACAGTAGTATATAAATTATAATGATTTCTGAAAAAGCTCTACATATAACAGAAATTTCAAAATGCCTTTTAAAATCCTTTATTAGAAAACCTATTAAAATCACTCATATGAATTTATTATTAGAGTAAACAACCCTGGTAACCGAGTAAAAGTTTGTTTTGATCCATTAATCATATATATTAAACAAATCTCTTCAAAACTGCTAAATCCTAACCCCGAGGCAAGCAAAGTGAGGAGCTCCTGCCCCAGAACCATTTCTCTGATGATTAAAAATGGCAATGCTTTGCCTACTACAGCTTCAAAAAGTGCTGGCATCAGGAAACTAGCTTTCTGCAATTGCAATCTATTTGCACCCAGGCTGGTGTCCAGTGTGACAATGGGCAGGCTTGGGGTCCCCAGAAACCTTGGTGGGTGGTGACACAAGCAGCAACTGCCCCCACCTCAGCCCTCATGTCACTGTGGCCAGGTTGTCAGTTCTGTGGGTCCCTGAGGAAGACCATTTGCTCTTGTCATCAGAGATGATAGGCACATCGGAGGATGCCTGCTGCTACCAGTGGCTGATAGGGTTACACAGTCGGTACTAAGGAACAGATGTTCCAGTGCAGCACTGTGACCTCCGGGCCCATCGAGAGAATATGGCTGTGGTTTCACAGCATCACCCACTACCAGCTCTCTCCCTGACGCTCATTCGCCAAGGCTTTTGAAATGGCGAAAAGGGGAAGAATTGCCATATTGTTTCTTCTGGAAGATTTTAACACCTTCCAACTCTATGCTATAGAAAGAGTTCAACAGGCAAGATAATTTTTTTTTCAGGATATTCTGAAATAACTTAAAATCAAATGGACATACAGTTGTTTTTCAGTTAGGCTTTAAAATCCTGTTAGGAATATTTCTATGTTGAAGAGAATACAATTTGTGGAAAATTATACTTGCTTCAGAAGACGGGGCATGAGTGTGCTGATGAGGCCAAAGGCTACCCCGGACAACCCTCTCATAGGCGCTGTCCCACTTGTAAGAGCCAAATCCCATAAGCATGCAACCAACTCTGACTCCCTGTTCATTAATGACTGAACCAGAGGTGGCCACTGGACTCAAGTGAAGCCAGTTTATAGCCTAGCCAGTGACCTGTGACCTGGAGCAAAACAATAAGTTTGGATAAACCTTAACTTGAAGAAAATAGAAAATCAATGAAGCACGGTGTCACATGCTATAGATTTATCTGAGGGTATAGACAGATGTCCACCTATGCCCATAAATGTCCAATTCTCCCAGGAAACAGTTCATGTACTTTTCCAAATTGAGTGACCTTAACATCTTAAGATTTGCCTATGTAAGATTTACAACTTATTAATTTGCTTTTAATTTGCTTCTATCTTTGCCCTACATTCTACTTTTCTTTATCTCAGGGTTGCTTGTTTCTTTATGATACTTGTGTTTGGCAATTGAAATTAATATTGTGTATATGTCTGTGTTCATAACCCATTTATGCGCTTTGGAGGTATTGGGGTCAAGTGACCTACTCAATTGCATGTTTCATGGAAGATTGTAGTTCTGAGTGGAGAGATCAATCAGCCATGACAAAGTGCTTATAAAAAGCTGGCCTTCAAGGAATACCTTCCCTCTCTAACATTAAAGATGCATAAATTATTCAACCCCTTAGAAGAGGGTTTTACAGGGAAATATTCAAAGTCATTAAAAATCACTTTTCTTAAAGAACATCTTTATTTGAAAACCAGCCAAAGACAAAGTAGTTAACCAAATTTAGCAGTGAGAAAGCTTTCGCTTCACCTAACACAGTTTATGTTCTGATTTCTGGATAAGTTTTGTCCACCTCAAATGCGTACACAGAATTGGTGCCTAAGAACACAACAACTGTTACTAGTTCTTAAAGAGTTTATTTATAACCCATCCTTAAAATTTCTCCTCTAAGGAAAAAATTCCTTCAGATATTTTAAAATGAAAGAGTTCAGCTGTTTTTATAGACCAAGTGAGATAACCAGAAAATCTGAAAACATATATGAGCTGGTACAAAGTATAAGTACAATTTTAGGCAACAGTGTACCTACCAGAATAATGTTGCACACCAAATGTATTTTCAGATTTTTCAAATAAAAATAAAAATCACCAAATTTTCAAAGTTTGTTTTTAATTTGTTTAAGAAATATATTGACTTCCTGTGCTTTTTCCCTAGAAAATTCCATTTGTTAAGGACACATGGCATCATTGTCTAACATTTAGTTGGCTGAGAATAGAAGGTATAAACACCTCCTCAGTCATCCATCCCTTTCTTTCTTTTAGGGAGGAATCTCTCCATATTACCACTGTTGCTGTTATGTATTTCCAATGGCATTGTCCTCGAAACCTCTTTTGAAAAAATGTAGGCAAGAAATTGATCTCCTAAAATCTTAACTCCCTTTATATTTAAGTGTGTTCATTTCTTTCCATTTCCATACATTTCCTTTGGATCATACCATATTAACTCAGGTTAAACTGTCCTCTGCATATGGTTAACGCAGAGATATTTTTTGGAAGATAATCAGAGATGTGTTTTCTTTTCTTACTAACCTCTTGGGTGTTAACCTTTCCTTCCAGTGGAATAAAACTGATCTGACTGTCTCTTCATGGATCGGCCATAAACATCCATCTATTACTCTATATTCTGAGCTTTGGCTTATGTTACATTAAAACAATGGACACAAATAAAGTGCTCTACAGAAATTTCTGAATGTCTGGGTAAAGATTCTCAATCAACAGCACAGTTTTCTGTAACTGAACAGTGGAAAGTAGGCAGCCAAAGCAGCTTCTACTTGGAGAGTTCACATATCACTGCACTACATCTCTCTTAAAATCCACTTCTGTGGCTGAGCCCTACTTCATTTAAATTCTGGTGCTCCACTTTAATTTACGTAGTCTTACTAAATCTTCTAAAATCCCACCAGATTTTCCCATGTTTCATGCCTAATGTGATTTGACCAATTAAATCCTCAAGTCCACAACACTCTCACAAAAGACAGGAAAAATGATAAGGTTTTGGGGAGACTTAAAATCTACATATATAAATTAGAATGTCTTAAATACATTTCTATTGAGAAAAAAATTTTTTTTTTTTTAATAATTCTGTCCTTTTGGCCATGATTCTCAACTGGGAGTGATTTTGCTCCCCCAAGGGACATCTGGCAGTATCTGGAGATATTTTTGACTGTCACAACTGGGCTGAAGTGCTACTGAGGGTGTTGGCCAGGGATGTTGCTAATCATCCTACAGTTCACAGGACAGCCCCCAACAGCGAAGAATTATCTTGCCCAAAACTCCAGTAGGGCTAAGGTTTAAAAACTCTGCTTTAGACCATAATTCCTAACTCTGGTTCTGCAATTCATAGAATATCTCCGAGGATTTTCAAAGATTATTCCAAAATTCTTTTTAAAAATTCATTACAATTCACTTTAAATCTGGGGAGAAAAAAAAAGCAATGGGTCGTTTGGGAAAGTAGGGTATGACCAAACAAAAATTGACAAAGTAACAAAATTCGACAAATTTGAATTTCATTAATACAAATGCTTTAGTCAAACAATTTTAAACTTTAAATTTTATAGCATTTCTGTTGTTTGGTATTCAACGTGATCAGACCTATATGCCAAATGCCCGGTAGTTCGCTGTAAATTCTACAAATATGAGCCCATCTAAGCAAACCAAGGGAGTAGAAAGAGCTCCCATGAAGGACTGCAGCCAACCACCGGGGCACTGCAGACAACAATGCAGCTCTAGGACTTGACATTTTATGTGTTGCCAAGACCCTTGGATCCTAAAAAAGCCATGGTCATCACATTCAAAATTTTGTATCTTCTTTCTTCCTGGAAAAGAAAGCAAGCAAGAGTGCACCAGGGAATCTGAGGGATCCTGGGAGATAACAGTGGTGGGTTTCCTTGACTCCAGATTCCTTCATAGAAGGTGTAGCTCAGGGTCCTCATCTGAGCACACATTGGAGCTTCTCCACGATGCTACTATAGGCAGTCCTGTACCAAGGGTTAAACTTATCCAGTCCTTGACTGGAGAAGACCTATTCCAGTCTGTGGGTCATGGCTGAGTGTTTTAAAGAAGTTTCCAGGAAGGAAGTAGGATTACCTGTTTTTTTGAACCAATTGCTACTTTGCTCACCCTAAAATTTATATCTGTTTGGAAAATAAGTTTCATTACATGTTCCAGTTTGAATCTACTGAGAAAGCACTGTGTCGACTAGTGAAGGGTTCCAGGCCTGGTGAAAAAGGTTCTGAGATCAATTAGGGAAGTTTGGGGAAAAGGAGAAATGTCTGCCCATTTGGATCTATTCCTTACAACTTTCACAGGTAAAACTTGAATGTCCCATCTAGCCTTAGGGCCTATGATAATTTTCTTTAAATAATTATTATTATTATGTCCAGTAGCTTCTTTTCAGTATTTTTTATGAACCCATTTTATCTCCTTAGTTTTCATCTATATACACTTCCTTTGTGATTTTATCTAGTCTCATAGCTTTAAGTATGACTTAAAGGTTACTGACTTCCAAATTATTATCTCCAACCCAGAACTCTCCCCTAAATTCTAGAACTATGTCTGCAACTGCCTGCTCCACTGTATGCTTATTAGATATCGCAAATGTAAGATCTTAGGCTAAAAGTAAACTTCTCATGTCCTCCTCCAACCTGTTCTCTGCACCAACATGGGTGGCCATCAAGAGAGTGAAAATGATGGCTGAGCAAGTCTAGAAAGAGAGATGGATGAGATGACCCATCTCTCCCCATCCAGGTATACTGGCATGGAAGAAACCTCAAAATCTCCCTACAATCTCTCTACGGCAACAGAGATCATTGACAGTAAAGAGCCACCATGCCTGCCGGGGACTCCATAGCAGAAGCTCAGGGGTGACTGTCCAGAGAGAGGAGGGAGGAGGGATGCAGGGAGGCTGCTGTGCCAACGATGGCAGAGATGTGGAGATGGCCAAGCCTCACGAAGAGCTGTTATCATGGTCTGAATTTTGGGGTGCCCCCAAATTCATATGTTGAAACCTAATTCTCAATGTGATAGTATTAAGAGGTGTGGCCTGTAGGGAAGTGATTAAGTCATGAGGGTGGAGCCCTCGTGAAAGGGATTAGTGAACTTATAAAAGAGGCCTGGGGGAGCTTGTTTGCCCCTTCCACCATCTGAAGATATGGCTAGAGGTGTCATGAAGCAGAGAGTGGGCCTTTGATCTTGGACTTCCCAGCCTTTAGAACTGTGAGAAATAAATTTCTGTTGCTTACAAATTACCCAGTCTAAGGTTTGAGCAGCCCAAGTGGACTAAGACCCTGGACAGGCTCTGTGAGCCGCACGAGATAGCACCTGCTCCAAGAGAACACACAACGGACACCACAGTAGGGAGTGCCGGGACAATAAAGACTGATAACCAAACACTAAGCTGGATGAGATCTCTCAGTGCTGTGAGGTCTGGAGGACAGAACATGAACCAGGTCCTCCTGCCCTCCACCATGATGCTACATAATTCTCTCTCCTAACCAAGAGCCAATGGGGAGCAAGGAAGAGGAAACCTGAGAAAAAAGAGCAGTACAGTCAGGGAGTCTGAAATCTGTACAGAAATAAAATGAAACAAAAAAATGAACTCATTGAATATTTACTCAAAAGACAACATTTTCAACCCTGCAGAAACTGAGCTACCTTGAAGTAGCAAAATCATATTCTCTCTTATCCACAGAAACGGTGAGCTGATGACCAAGTTGAATTTATCTATAGAAAGAATGAAAAAAAAAATCCTCTTTATGACCAAGTTGGGACTGTAAATTTCAAACCCACTAAATACATAAAGAGAACATATAAATACATATGGCTGTTGAGCTCACTCCAAGGCCAGCCTGTCTCTGTTACAGTTGTACTTTAATGTTTAAATAAATTATAAATTTAAAATATGTGTGATATTTAAATAAATGCTCAGCAGCCACAACAGGATATAAGCAAACCTCTGTTGTGAGTTTCCAGAAAAAAAAAAAGAAAACCTATTGTTGAGACTCTAAATAACAGAGCTTATATTTCCAGGCAGCATTTGTTGGCCACATCCACATAAGGCCAAAGGTCTGTTTCTGTTAGCAACACCCTATTGTCTTGCCCAAAAGCAATCATTAGTGAGATCAATATGTTCAGCAATCTAACAAAACACTGGAAATACTGTAGCCCTCAAATGCCACAATGCTTCCCAAAGTCACTGATGGTCAGCACAAAGCAGTAATGACAGATATCTACACAGGCTGCTTTCTTTGTTACCATCCTAAAGCAATTTTTAGCCCACGTATAAGTGGAGAACACCCGTTGTCTAATGGCTATTGCAATGGAGTATTGTTATTTTTTTCTCTGTTACTGCCTATGAACGCTTCAGATGGAAATGACTGTGATTATGAAGGGACAGACAGCAAATCTCCTTCCCCTGGGAGTAAATAGAATGAAATCCCATTCCTTTATAATGACCCATAAATATTTATGTTTTATTGTCCACTAGTCTTTGCATTACAAAAGAGGCATATTCTTTTATCTTTCATTATTTAAAGAATAAATTTAGACTTTATATTTACAGTGTACAAATAATATTGGATTTCAGGGTCAATTTTTCTGTTTTAAATTACTTCCAGCTTGTAATAAAAAATGCAAATTTTCTAAAAGCAGAATTAAACAATATGTTAAGAGCCTCGAGAATAAGATTCTCAGATCCTGGTTATGTATAAGACTTAAATATTCCCCTTAGATTCAAGCTATTCATTTGATTTACGAACATGTTATTGGCTGAAAATATAATTGAGGCATGAAGAGGCTGAATGGTTGTCAGTGAAGGAATAGCGAACTGCTTCAATTTCTAGACTGGAAAGATGTTGGCCAGGCACAGGCATTTTACATTTACTCTGCAAATAGTTAAACTTTATAAAATGTAAGTCTCAAGGAATTTAATTTTTCATGAAATACTGGCCATAAATAATCACCATGTGCCCTGCTGGGATAAAGGGACAAACCCTTCCATTTATTCCACCCAAGTGTTATAATACTACGCAGAGGGGAAATTCTTGTCCACATGGTATGGACTATGTTGGTATTATAAGAAAACCGCAACCACTACCGTAAGCAGAATTAAACATAAAGCCCCTAATCAATGGAGAAAAACATACTTATTAGGCAAATTGAGGGTAATTTTAGAATGCAAAACAGAATGCAGTTTGGCTAATCTTTTATTTGTACATCACTTGTTCTCACAGTCCAAACCAGACCCTGTTTCTGTGGCATAATATACCTTCAAATTCCGTAATTCAGTATGGACAACCATGACAAACACTAATGAATAGAGCATGCAAGCTACTGTTCTGGTTCTGATGGCTCACTGGTTTTTTAAATGTTGAGGCTTAAATAGTGTGAAGGATTTCTCAAGGGTAAAACAGTAAATAGAAATGCTCAAACTGCCAGGGGACCCTCCTTCTTTTGTGGTCAGGAAATTGGTTTCTTGATCATCTCAGAGGTAAAGAGAATACATGAAGAGTGCACCCAAACATGCAATATGCCACCTTACGCAAAATAAATGGTGTAGGCATATCATTGTATTTCTAGGTAGCATGGAACCATCTGGGATAAATGAAGCACACTTTCCAATAAAGAAAGGCTGATTTAAGGAGGAAACACGAAGGAACAACTGTTAACTTATAGGTGTGTTTTTTAATAATTAATATAAAATCAAATGAAATCAGACTCCCTTTGCAAGCACAATGTCACAATATGCCTTCTACAGGGTGTAGGAGTCCATATTTCCTGAATAGAATAGAACAGGAAAATGCCACCTAAACATCTAAATATTCATATAGGGAGGAGAGATTTTAAAATCTCAATTAAAATTTGAATTTAAGTCTATGTTAAGTCTAAGTTTAAGCCTAGAAGGTTAATTCATATCAAAGATGTGTTTTTGCGATTTTTATTTCAGGAAATAGATAAGGGGAGTTTTTTTAATGCAGGTTTATTTAAGGTACAAAATAAAAGTGAGAAGAGCAATATAATTTCTTTGACTGTAGTACTGACCCACTGATAGTCTTCTCAGAAGGGTTCAAATAATTCATCATCTTAGCCATCTCCAGGAGAGAATCAATATGCTATTTCCACCCTAATCATTCATCCTGAACTATAATTCTTTCCTAAAGAAATGAAAGATGTTTAACACAGTACTAAAGGTACGAATATCTTGAATTAGTAAACCCTTCCACTGACATACGAAAATTACAGATGGGTGACAGACCAAACCACCAGAACTTTATAAGGAAATGCATAAATTGAAATGTGAAGGTAAACCAATTCTAAAATATTTAGTGTCACATAAACTTCTGAATTGTAGCTTATTTCCTTAAAATCATTAACATTTAGACCTAAAGAGAAAACAAAATGGACTTCAAAATCGAAACAAGTGATTGGAGAATTCAGGCAGACAAGCACTTTTGGCCTCATGACTTACATAACCTGGGACTTGAAATTGCCAAATAACAGCATCCCTTCTCAATTTCTCTTTGTGAACATAAACAAACCCTTAGAGTAGAACAGATGACTCAAAAAAGGAAATATTGAGGACACAGAGATATTGATTTTAACATACCAAATATCAATAAGAAAAGAAAAATAAGTTATTATAGAACAGTTTACAATAAAAAAAGCAGGTGCAATTATTTTACAACCAGCACAAACAAGTCCCAGATATCAGAATTTGGTGCCTATATGAAGGTTCCTGGCACATACTAGGTACACGAGATATATGTTGGATGGAAGAATGAATGAAAGAATGAAGAGGAAAAATCTATTTTTAGAAAGTGATTTGATGATTAATTTGGTCTTACCTAGGACTACTACATTATTTGCAGGACCAATATAAAGTAAAAATGCAGGACTCCTTGTTTTAAAGTTTTTAAAATTTCCTTCTCTACTTTGTACACATTTTAATCACTGCATGATCACACCTTCACATGGTTTTATGTACTTGTCTGTGACTCCACAGTAGCCTGGTAATGTCTCCTTGTCCCTAATCTAGTTCCTGGCCTTTGGTAGATACTCAATTTTTAATTGAGATAAACAGTCCCCATGTCTGGGTCTCTCTTTGTAATTTTATCTTCTTGAAGGGTTTCAAGCTTGAGTGTGCAATTCAATTTTATTATAATAAATTATAATGCTAATTTCAGCCAGAGTCAAGAGTCCTAAATTGAAGAAGACATTGAACTGGATATTGCCAACATTTAATTCTCCATGAAATATCAGGTCTGCCTAATCCTTTAATTCATTACACCATTTTCTTCAGTTCATTAAATGCTTCAATTTGCTGGGAAAGTTTTCTTCTCAGAGGCCAAACTGCACTCACTTGAACAAGAGTCAGTCCTTGATGTACCTAAACCCCAAATAACGAAAATCATGAATCACTTTAGTCTTGTTTTGACAACCCACTTTCAGGAGAATAGAAGCCAGCATGTTTGAGGGGGAAGTTATCTTGGACATTGTCAAGTTCTGCATCCATGCTTTAAAAATGATGGGATTGAGGCTCAGTAAACTGAAGAGACCTGTCCAATGTCACATGGGGAGTCAGTAGCAAAGCCATCATGAGATTCCAGACATAGACTCCTACAAATAGTTGTTGTTTCCATGATACCACAATCACCTTTTCTCTCCAAGCTTCACAGCGGAGACAGCTGGTTGTTTCCCTGTGTGCACTCTCTCCTTTCCCCTTAATATAACCCAATTACTTTAGTGGGGCATGTGGCCACCTGGAAGAAACAGGACCTTTCCCAGCCTTCCCTGCGGCTAGATGGGACTACATGGCTAAGTTCTGACTCAGGAGACGTAAGTAGAACTATAGTGTGCATACTTTGGAAACTGCTATTTGAAAAAGGAACTAGCTCTTCTTTGGCTACTTTTCCTTTCTACTGACTGGAATGCTGACATAATGACTGGATTTCAAGCAGCCATTTTGGACTATGAGGTAGAAGCATTGAACTACAGTTGGTAGAGAAATATAATAGAAGGAGCTTGGGTCCCTAACACCATGCCATATAAACCCTGGACTACCTATCTCCAGATTTATTTTACACAAGAGAAAAATAAATTCTATCTTGTTCAAACCATAATTGTTTTGAATTTTGTGTCACGTGCAGACAAACCTGACCCTAACTGATGTAACTTACATGCCTTATCTTTTCCTCCATTTGACTTCATCTACTTGGAGATCTCACCTCCACCACTACTAATAGGTCTACTTTATCTTTCTCATAAATCAGAACAAGTCCCTGTCTGACCCATCTCATCTGTGAGGTCTCATTACTGCTGACTCAGGAAAGTAAGTTCCGGTACAGATCCTATTTTGGCCTGATCACCTGTGCTTTCTGTGTAACAACCTACAAAGTCCACAGGTATTCAGGTCCTGCTGGATTCTTATTCACTAATTGGGATTCAATTGTGCTCAACGTTCCATATTTATCAGGCAATGGAGGACCATGAAGCATTGAAGAATAGATTTTCACTAGAACCTGAACAAAAAATGGTTCTTGTTAGCCCTACATTAACCAGAAAATTTAATTCGCTACAATTACCCACCCAACACACACACATACACACACACACACACACTCTCTCTCTCTCACTCACTCACCAAGCCTTCCTGCTAAATGAGATCCTGTGTTTCCAGGTTATCTTTGTAAGAATATGCACAATGATCCTCAGTTAACACAGAGAAAACAGTTGGAAAAGGTACAGGAAATTTCTAAGAGTCAGGCTACCAGTCAGTGAGCACCTTATTTCCTGATGCAAGGATTCATGAAATAGTAAGCCACACTCCCTCGCCATTCAAGCCTGGGATGGCTGCCACATTTTTTAAAGATGTTTTTATCAATGGTGTCTAAATGTAGAAAGCTGTTTCAAAGAACAACATTACTGAATAACAACCACAACAAGAGACACACACTTTATGGGAAGTAGAATATCTGTCACTGTCCAGGGCTGGAGGAAAATTTGGAGTTGGTAGCATTTCTCCAAGCTGTCTGTTGGCCCTAACACCAGGTGTGAGACTCATTTAGGCACATGTGTACTTGACAGCAAATGCCCCGCCCCATTTGGGAGACCTTTGGGTGGAGGGCAGCAAGGAAACCCAGATGGTCTGGCTCAGCTGGAAACCGGCTTAAATTACTAACATCTGTATTCAGTTTTACAGTTCACTCAGCATTTTTATATAAATCATGTCATCTGATTAAAATATTCATCCCCAGGGTTTCCTTCACCCCACAGCTCTCTTAGAAGCAGACGTGGCCTTTTTATCAGAAGTGCTAATAAAAAGTGGCCTGTTACTAGAAGCATAATGTTGATGAAACTCTGAATAGGCGTTAAGCTCTAATTTGTTACTGCTCACACAATTTCATTTCAGGTTGCTAGTTCTCATGAGGGTAAAGTTAATATTCATGGGGGTAATAGAACAATAACAATAAGAACAAGAATAGTAACAGTAATAGTGGCCACTTCCTCTCACTAAGCAAAGCTCTCTTTGCCCTTATCCTAAGTTCCTCCTTTATCAGATGCATTGCATTCTTGTATGTTTTCCTCCACCTCCTCTAAATCAGTTGATCCTCTCACACTTGAGTATCCTCCTTCCCAAGGGTCTTTGTCCCTCCACCATGGTTCTCATGTCTGCAGGCAATTCTTCTCAGGCCTTCACTTCTTTCTCCATGCTCTCATCAACCACTACTGTGATTTTTCTTTGAACCTTTGCTAATATATCAACATTAGCAAACAACCATTTGCTAACTGTCAGGCAATGACAGGTCATGGGGTCCCTCAACAGAGAAACAGAGGTGACAGGTTTGGGGGACTTAGCTAGGCGAGGCAATAGGAAAGGCAGATGCAAAATGTCAAATCCTTGTCCTAGGCTTGTCTGCAACTCGCTTGCCATCACCTTTACCTCCTGTAGGTGTGGCTGCACGGCCCTTATGCAGTAAGAGGGCAACCCTGAAGCTTCACACATGAGAACTGGCTGGAAAAATCCTTAAGCGCTCATCAAAGTTCAGCAGGATAAGAAAAAATTAAATACTTGCACAGCAAAGTGATAGATAAGAGGAGGACTATCTCTAAACTGAGAATGAAGTATGGCATTCTATTTATATGTATAAAATATATACACATATATCATATCATCTATATCTGTCTGAAATGTTTACCCAGCCCCAGAAGAGTCTCCTGTATATAATGCAAATACTTGATTAATGTCTCTGACACACACGTAAATTAAAAGCCAGACTTATTTTTCTGGTAAAAGCTCACTGCCGCAAGCACCACCTCTTAAATTCCAATACAAAAAAGAATGAATCACACACTCAGAACCATTTTCTCTTCCAAACAACTATATTTTTTATTTTTATTTTACTCTTAAATTCTAAGAAGCTGTCTTACCTACGCATAAATCATACTACCAATGTGCTTCTTTTTATTCTATAAAATATAAGCATATTTCACTAGAGAGTCTATAGAGAGCTCCATCCTTCAGCTAATATTTTGCTTTATTACTAAATCTCACTTTTATAAAATGACAAGCATTACATTTCAGTCTCTTCAACATCTATGCAGTTTATGAAAATTAGTAAGGCCTAATTTTGATTTCATTTGCTTTTGTACCCCAGCAAGCCTGGGACACAGAAATCAAGACTGAGGCAGCTGTCCTATCAAAAGTTTTTGGGCAGGTCACAACCTAAAAAGAAAAGTCATCTCATTGGTGGTCACTCCAAACATCTGATTCAGCTGTGAATATAAGGGCAGAGTTGACCTGTACATGACCTAGAAATGATACTGGCATTATAACATATTCTTCACACACACACACACACACACACACACACAGATTCATAAAGTGAAAGGAGACAAATGTGTGTTGTGGTGTCTGCAAAACAGTAGCATTCTCCCCCTGGGGCCAGGCTTAAATTGCAGGTTTAAATCCCTCCTCCTTAGAACTTACATAGTGATCCTGGAATACTGGTACTAAGGGCTTCGGGTGGAATAAAGAAGGGGCAAATTTGTTCACAAGGCTAGAAATAAAATATTCCAGTTGTCAGTAGTGTCACATTTGAACGCCTATCCCATCTTCCTGCCCAAAAATGAGGGCCTCCTTGTTTGTTCTGGAAATTAGCAGACATTTGGTAAAATTAAGTAAGCAAAGCCATAGAGAGAGATTTCTGAATTGTGAATGCCGACCTTTGCTCTGACACTGTAGTTGTTAGTTATTTATCTATTCAACTCTAAGATGAAGTCAATGGCAGTTCTCTTCCTTGTGAGAATATGAAGAGATAATTCACAAAAGAACACTGACTGCTAGGTTGTAAAATCCAAAGATTTTTGTAAGTACAGAGCCATCACCTCACATTATTTATTAATGTTAGATGGAACATTAATAAATAGTTAGGGGCTATGGAACAAGGTGCTTTTCTAAGCAGGTGGAGCTCAGCGGAAATCTGAAACATCATCAACGTCCATAACAAGCACAAATCATACTCAAGGGCTAACGTGTTGAAAAGTCAGCAGTTTCTTGTTTAATAACCTAACGTCGAGGGAAGGCATCTGAGTAACATAGAAAACATTCAGCTAATGTTCAGAATATATCCTCCTCTATATTTTCTGAGATTTAGTAAGTTATTTTGGCTTGTTTCAAAATTAATATAAACATTAAATGTGTCAAAAAAGATACATGAAATGTCAGCTGATATAATTTAAAATGATGTCAGTTCAACAAAATTATACATTGTTCCTTTTGTATTTTAGTTAAAAGGACGTAAAAACATTGGTTTTGCTTTCCTCTTGCCTGTCATGTACTCCTATTTATTTCAGTATTATGCATACATGAATAATACATACAATATCTGCGTATCCTTTACCTGAAATGTTTGGGAAGAGAAGTGTTTCAGATTTTGGAGGATTTGGGAATATTTGCATTATACTTACTGACTGAGCATCCCAAATCTGAAAAACCCCAAATGCTTCAGTGAGCATTTGCTTTGAGCATCATGTTGATGCTCAAAGAGTTTTGGATTTTGGAGCATTTTGGATTACAAATTTTCAAACTTGGGATGCTCAACTTGTATTACTTTATGAAGTCCTTTGCTGTGACCTTTTTCATAAAATATATTTTGATTTTAACTTTTCTGGTTAAATAAGACAATTTAAAAAATATGATTATCTTCTAATGATCAAATTTAGAAGCCGTTCAAGATGTTCTTAGTTTTCAACAATTGAAGTGATTGCATTACAATTCAACTTACATAAACCACTAAGCTAGAATGACTTAGAAAGTAATTTATTTAAAAAAAAAAAAAGAAAGAAAAAAGTGGTTACATTATTAGAAATCCTTCTTTTTTTTTTCTGAGATAGAGTCTTGCTCTGTCGCCCAGGCTGGAGTGCAGTGGTGAGATCTCGGCTCACTGCAAGCTCCACCTCCCAGGTTCACGCCATTCTCCTGCCTCAGCCTCCCAAGTAGCTGGGACTACAGGCGCCCGCAACCACACCCGGCTAATTTTTTGTATTTTTTAGTAGAAACAAGGTTTCACGGTGTTAGCCAGGATGGTCTCTATCTCCCGACCTCGTGATCCGCCCGCCTAGGCCTCCCAAAGTGCTGGGATTACAGGCGTGAGCCACCGTGCCCAGCCAGAAATCCTTCATTTTTTAAAAGCCTAATGATCAGTTCTAGAGAATACTCAAGAATTATATCTTAAGAACACAAGAACTTATTTGTGACACTAAGTAAAACACATGGCTTGGTAGATACTTCTGTTCTTCCTATCATACAGCCACAGATACTACATTATTGGAAAAACTGAATGAGTAGGAGCATACTGAAAAGCAACCGAAATACATTTACTTTAAAAACATGATCAATTGAGCTGAATTTTATTTTAAAACTAATTTTTTTTCAAGACAATACATCTTTACTTCAAGAACAGATTAAATTTTATGATTAACAATGGTAGGCTACTGACCTGGCAAGTATTTAAATGCAAAATTCTCAAACAACTTTTTAAGGAAGCTAAAGTCTAAAAAGATGTATTGTGTTGATTTTGAAAGTCTAAATGTAAATACATATAAAAACTACCAATGCAAACAGCTACTAGTCTGACTTCCCAGGGCAAATAAAAATCTATCCATTTAAGTATGTTCTAAACCTAGAAACAAAACTGTATCCAGTTAAATCCTGAACATCTATTGCTGAGAATTACTAGAGGATTCAGAAAGGCAGAGACAGATAATGGGTCTGGGGCTGACACCCATCCACAGAAGCAAGAAGCCTCATGGCTCATTCTGTCTAGAGCTGCTGGAACAAGAGTACCCATGTTCCAGTGACTAAGAGCTGGCCTGTTCAAGAAGGTGTGTTGAAGGGTTCTTTTGGTCAGAGGGTTCATATCTGGAATTCTACTCCAACCTTCTGTCAGTTCTCCATGTTGGCCTGTTTTTCGTCCTCAAGTCTACGGATCAGTAAAACTATGTTTCAAAGATCCCGTAACTTGTGTTTCCAATCCAGAAGTAAATATTATACATGTAAAATCTTAGTCCTAGAGAAATAGATATTGCAAGGAACTTAATGTCCTGTGTCCTCATTCTACTTAGAATGAGTGGTCAGGTCATCCTTTCCAAAGTGGAAGCATAGTTCTGTTTTCACCAGTAGCTGCAACCTGACATGAGTCACCACCACAATCAAGTTACAAAACAATTCCCTTACGACAAGGATCTCTCACACTTCCCTTTTAAAACCACACTCACCTTCCTCCAGCCATCCCACCCTAGCCTCGTCCATAACCTCTTGAACTACTCATCTATTCTGCATTTCTATCATTTTGTCATTTGGAGTGTTTTGGTGAAAGACATGCTTCCTCACTGCATCAATTTTGTGGAAATTCAATTTTCATGGCATTTAATTATTCCCCACCATCCACAGTAGGAAAAAAATATTTCAGAGCAACAAGAGCTGCATCCCTAACATTTCCCTTCCACTCAGAACACAGTGGACATGTTAATGTTGCATTAATAGCAGAAACTGTAATGATAGCCAAATAAATACAGAAGATTTCTCTACAACATCGTCTACTGCATCAAAACATAAAACCCTTATTTGAAAACACAGCAAGTGTTTTAAAAGCAATTTACTTACCTTATATTTAAATTAGCCATTAAAGAAGGACTGGCCCCACACATTGTTTTCACTTCCTCCCAAAATTTATATTAAGGTGTCAGGAAAGACAGCAGATATCATGATAAGCAAAACTGGGCTTAAGTCCCAGCTCTTAAGCAACTATGGGCTACATAGAGGTCAAGAGTTACTGTAGAATGATCTTAAATGTAACTACAAAAATGCAGCTCTGATAAGAGCTAATGGACAGAGACATGATGAGGGTGTTACGTGTGGTGAGATGGTGGCGAAGGTTTATCTAGTTAAGAAGGTCAAGACAAGCTTCCTTGAAGATGGGTTGCTTTAGCCGAGATCTGTGAAGAATGGAGGGAAGGATGGCCCTGGGGTGAGAATAGAATATGCAAAGGCCCAGTGGCAGGACAGAAGTTCAGACACAAGTACCTGAAAACTGGTCAGGGCCATTTCAGTGAAGAGAGTGAGGGATTACTGATGTGTGATGACACCAGAGAGCAGGGAGGAGGAAGAGCCCACAGTTCCATAGCTCCTGCTGTGTAGTGCAGTTTCTATTTTAAGGGCCACAGCAAGCCATTGAGATTCCAGCTTTTCAACATTTTTCTGGGTCTAGAGAAATACCTATTCTTAGAGTTGAATTTCTAAGAAATTTTTAAAATATTTCAGAACAATACATTTCTACCTTAAATAAGCCCTTTCCCATAATTTCAGTGCTTAGGCAGAAAAAACTATCTAATTATTTCATTTTTTTCATTTACTACTAATAGTAGAGCATCTGATTTTAAAACAGTTTTACTTAACGTGGACAGAAATTATTTCCCACTTGAAATTACTTTATATGGCTAATACATAATTATTTGTGGTATCAGAAATCACCCACCATTTTTCTTCCTTGAAAGCACACTCTTTTTAATATGCTGTAAGAAGGATCTTATCTTCAGTCATTTTCTCTTTGTGGGCTCCCACTCTAGTGCAAAAGTGCTGTGAATTTAATTCACATATACATCATCCCTAGATGAAGGATCAGAATACCTCAAATTATATCACATGATAGACTGAAACTAAAAAGGCTTTTCCCCAAGAACCCTGTCAATAACCAATCTTTAAAAAGAAGTCAACTTTGAGTGCCACAGACATTTACAATCATTGAAACCATTAAGATTTATGTAAGATACCTACATGTCTTCCCACTGTAGCGCACATCTGCCAAAATCGCTGTCAAAAATCTAAGCCCAATGCACAGTGCTGCTGACTTCAGGACAGAAATAATGATGTAAACAACATGAGCAGACCGCAAAAATCGTGCCAGGAAAGCAAATGATGCTGACTGGAGCCTGGAAAGGCAGAGCGAGAAGGGAGCCCTCCAGCCTGTTGCGGGCACAGGGCCGCTCCTGGTGAGGGGTTACAGAGCACTGTGTGCACACTGTTTTATTTTCTAGTCATCTAGCCTAACTGCCCATAAGCAGGTTTGGGTAGGTTTTATGGTGTGGAAAAGGGGAAATACCGCACAACAATTCTTTCTGGATCTTCTATTCTCTCGGGAACCACAGGCACAGTAGGGACTTTCTCCTACTCTTCTGAGCCACTTTCAAGCCAGTTAAGAAAGGGCGTGTAGCAGAGTTTTCAGCGACGTTTAGCAAAAGGGCGCTCGAGCTGTGGGCAAGCAAGGTCAAGCAAAGGGGTCCGCACCCTGTTAGGGCATCAGGGCTCCAGATTTCTGGAGTGTAGGAAGACATCATGGAGGTTAGTTTGAAAGGCTTTTTCTAACACGTATGACTGCATGCACTGTGAACTCCAAAAAGTGTCTCATGCATAGGTTGCAATGTCACTCAGGATGGATGAGAGAGCCCTGGCTGCACATCCCTACATGCGCTCGCTCAGGAGTGCCCTGGACCACCTTGGAATCAGCCAGAATAGCCCTGATCTGCTAGTGGGACTGAAATGAAGTCAAACTGTAGGGGGTCCTCTTAACTGAATCTGACCAACAACCACCTAACCATTCATAGATGTTCCAGAGCCAACCCCTAGAATGGACAAGTGAACACTCAACACATACATGCACACACGTGAACACATATGCACACGGGTGTGCTGACCCATGATGGAACATGAGGCAAAAGGAAAAAAATGTGTGTTCCTACAGACACTTGTCAGAATATCCTCCCATATTTTGAACCAAGTGGAAAAAGTAAATAAAAGCTATACAATAAAAACATGACTATATATAATACCCACATGGCTCAATCTGCTCATACACCACTGTCAGCCCTCAGAAAACCCCTGCCGAGGGGACGGGAGCCCAGCCACAAGGACCAGGACCCACTGGCTGTTCCTGATGACTATAATACAGTGTCATAAAATAAACAGCAGCCCATTTTCATTTAAAAATTTGATGATTTGTTGTGAATTTTAATGTTATTTTTAACTTTTAAAAATAGGACATTAAAATATTATTTATCTTGATTACTGAGACTTTTGATGCCCCAGTTGTGAAAGCCTCACTCACCCCACCCTATTCTCCACCCTGTGATATACACTCCTTACAGCACACACATACATGCGCACACATCACACACATACATATATGCATGCCCACACACATGTTAGAACTGAACAAGATCTAACTTTTAGAGACAAGACACAGAGTTAATTTTCTCCTGACCTTCAGAGTGCATTTGGGGCCACTGCCCATTTGCAGCCCACAGCAGATAATGATCAAACTCAGCTGCACCAATGAGCAGCAGCAAGTCTCGGGCATACGAAGTCCTAGATTCTCAGAGGATGATCTGGCTGCAGTGACTCAGCAGTCCATCAGAAAGCGAGAAATGAAGCAGCAGTCACTGAAAGTGCTTTGTTAGCAAGTGCACGGATGCTCTGAATTAGACTCATGTGGTTCTTTATCTCTAGAAATACGATCAAACACAGCAAAATTGTCACTTAAATACAGCAAGAATATAAATTAGAGGACATGATGTTTATTCCAAATGGCTAAAGAAGGTCTCTGTTTTAACTGATCACTTGGTATTTTGTATTTGTCTATCTGTTCAAAAACATGGTCAAAGAAGTTGACATGTCCACATGTACTACCCTTAAAAGGGTGTCATTGTATTATAATTCATCACAGATGTAAACACACTCTTTAATTTAGTGAGATTCTGCTCTTTGCTAGACAAAGCATCAGGAACTTGGGATATGATCAGGACCAAAAAAAAAGAGTCCTGCATCTAAGAAAATTACATTCTAGAACCAAGAGTCAAACAATAACAAAACAAATCACTTATATAATTAATAGAGTATGTACACTGAGTTAATAGTGTCCCCCTAAAATTCACGTTCACCCAGACCCTGTGAATATGACCATATTTGAATCCAGGGTCTCTGCAGATGTTATCAAGTTAAGATGAGGTCATATTGGATTAGAGTGGGCCCTAAAGCCAATATGACTGGTGTTCTTATAATAAGGGGGGAAATTTGTACACAGAGACACACACAGAGAGAAGGGACCTCTGTGAATACAGAGGCAGTGATTGGAGGGATGCTAAATTTTGAAGTGTCTGGCGGATATCTAAATGGAGATGTAGATGTCAAGTGTGCAGCTAGATAAATGAATCCACAGTTCGGGAGAAAGGAGTGAGCTGGAAATATAAGAGTGGGAGTAGCAGACACACAGATGGTGTTAAAGCCACGAGAGCATGTGCAGGCAGACTGGGGCAGAGGATCAGCCACTGAGCAGGCATTCTGCTGTCAGAGGTGAGGCAGAGAGTGGGAACCAGGAGGCCACACACAGAAAACACAGCAAGAGGGACGCTGCCAGCCATGACAGAGGATGCTGCTAGGTCAGGGAGCAGGGGCTGAGAACTGGCGCCGCAGTTAGTACTGGTGATGTTGATACCTTTTGGTAAGACTGTGGAGATGAATCCTAATTAAAGTGAATTAAAGAGAGAATGGAAGAAGAGAAATTGGGTGCAATGAGTATAGACAATGCTTTCATAGAGTTTTACGGAAAAGGGGAGGAAGTTATTAATTTTATCTTGCGGGGAGCAAGTTATTAATTTTATCTTGCAAGAAAAGAGTCGAAAATTTCAAACTGGTTAAGTCCTTCAGTGATTGTATTACTAATTAATTTATTTCTTATAAATACCAAGCTATAACGTATACTATATATTATAATAATATATGTTATATAATTATGCATTATATAATTTATACAAATCAAAAAATCATAACTTTAAAATTATTTTTTTCCTTCAATTATATCACTCACATGAAATTTTGAGAAATTAATACGGCGCAATCTTCTACACCCTACACTCAGTTCCCCCCAGTAGCAACATCTTGGAAAATTATAATACAATATCACAATCAGGATACAGACATTGATACAATCTGCTGATCTTGTTTAATTTCCCTGTTTTTACCTAAACTCATTTGTGTGTATGCACGTGTGTGCACGCATATTTAGTTCTATGCAATTTTACTACATGTAGTTTCAGGCATCTGCCACCACAATCAAGTTACAAAACAATTCCCTTACCACAAGGGTCTCTCACACTTCCCTTTTAAAACCACACTCACCTTCCTCCAGCCATCCCACCCTACTTCATCCATAACCCTTTGAACTACTATTCTCCGTTTCTATAATTTTGTCATTTTGAGGTTTTATACATGGAGTCATGCAGTATGTAACCTTTGGGACTGGCTTTTTGCACTCAATCAATGAAGATTCATCAAGGTTGTTGTGTTTATCAGTACAGTTGACCCTTGAACTATGCAGGGGCGGGGGATGCCAACCCCAACGTGGTTGAAAATCCAGATATAATTTTTTTTTTTTTTTTTGAGACGGAGTCTCGCTCTGTCACCCAGGCTGGAGTACAGTGGCCCAGTCTCAGCTCACTGCAAGCTCTGCCTCCTGGGTTCACACCATTCTCCTGCCTCAGCCTCCCAAGTAGCTGGGACTACAGGCATCCACCACCATGCCCAGCTAATTTTTTGTATTTTTAGTAAAGACAGGGTTTTGCCATGTTAGCCAGGATGGTCTCGATCTCCTGACCTCATGATCTGCCGGCCTCGGCCTCCCAAAGTGCTGGGATTATAGGCGTGAGCCACCGCGCCCAGCCCCAGATATAATTTTTGACTCACTGAAACCTTAACCTCTACTAGCCTACTGTTGACCAGAAGCCTTACTGATAACATAATTCATGGATTAACATGTATTTTCTATGTTATATGTATTATATACTGTATTCTCACAATAAAGTAAGCTAGATAAAAGAAAATATTAAGGAAGTCACAAAGAAGAAAAAAGAGATTTACTTTTTTCTAGAGGAGAGTTGGTATTGTAGTCTCAGGGATGGCAGAGGCTGAAGAAAATCCACATATAAGTGGACCTGTGCAGGTCAAAGCTGTGTTGCTCAAGGGTCAACTGTGGTTTGTTCCTGATTACCGCTAAGTAGCAGTCTGTGGTGTGGATGTGCCACAGTTGTTTAATCATGTGCCCACGGAAGGCCTTCTGGATTATTTCCAGTTTTGGATTATTACAAATGAAGCCTCCGTGAGCAATGGTGTATAGGATTTTTTGTGTGAACGTAAGTCTTCATTGCTCTGGGATAAATGCCTGGGAATACAATCACTGGATTGCATGGTAATGGAATGTTTAGTTTTACATGAAACTGCCAAACTGCTTTCCAGAGTGGCTGTACCATTTCACATTCTCACCGGCAACACAGGTGGAGCCTAGTTTTTCCACATTCTCACCTGCGTTTGGTGATGTCGCTATTTTCTATTTCAGTCATTCTGATAGGTATATACAGTGACATCACATTGTTGTTTTAATTTGCATTTCCCAAACGGCTAATGATGTTGAACATCTGTATATCTTATTTTCCATCTGTACATCTTCTTCAGTGAGATGGCTGCTCATATCTCTTATCTACGTTCTAATTGGATTTTTTTTTTTACTGCTGAGTTTTAAGAGTTCTTTATGTATATTAGTCCTTTGTCAGATATGTGGTTTGCAAATATCTTCTATTAGTCTGTGGCTCATATTTTCATCCTCTTAGGGTATTTTGCAAAGCAGAAGTTTTTAATTTTGATGAGATCTAATTTATTAATTTTTTTCTTTTCCGGATCATGCTTCTGACACCCAACCCAAGAATTCTTTGCTTAGTCCTAGATCCTGAAGATTTTCCTCCTATTCTTTTTCCTAAAAGTTTTATGTTTCACATTTAAGTCCAGAGTACGTATGTATGTGTCTATGTGTATATATAGTATACACACACCTAGACACACATGCACATAGAGAGAGAATATTAAAATAAGTCCAAAACTTTTTATAAAATCACCTATTAATTTTAGTACGTGTCTTTCAAGTCCTGGATTTGTTATAAAGTTTATATTTATAGATCTGTATTGTAAAAGTTTATATGCACACATACATACACATAACACATGTATATATAAACTTTTTTAAAACACAAAACTAGTATTATACCACCTGAATTTTTCAGTATCAATCACGAACATTCTCCACGGTAACTTTCTTTCACATCATTTTTAAAGCAGCACAGTATTCCATTGCACAACTAACTCCAATCTGTTTAGGAAATCTGCTCTTAGAGGTCATTTAAGCTGTTTCCAAGTTACTGCTCCATCAAGTTGAGCCCTCCCGTTCCTGGGCTCTGCTGGTTTATGCCAGTCTCCCGCTGGTGGGCTTCTCTGGAGGCAGCTGGACATTCCGAAGACCAGACCCTGGTTCCATCCCCGCTCCTTCTCATTGCTGCTATCCTTGAACAGTGGGTTCCCTGAGCATCTTAAAATAATTCAAAACTCCTTCGCTAAAAGCCAGAGGGAAAAATGAAGCAGGTTAGGGTGAAGACACTGGGACAGATCTCAGAGGCATCCAGCTAGAAGGACTTGTTTTTCTCTCATTCCACCTGTCTCCTTTTCTTGAGAGATAAGCACAGAGGTAGAAGCAACTGCTGCATCCCCTATTCCTTTCAGTCTCTCTGAGGGTGACAGAAGCCAAGAAGGTATTTTTTCTTCCATGTCTTCCTTGCTCTATGAAAAACAGCTCTCTTGAATTGCTATAGTCTGTTCTTTCTGGGTCCAGCTCTCACTGTGGTCCTGATACTGCCAGGCTCTGGAGAGACAGAGTGAACTCAAGTGTCCCTGATTGGCCTGGGCTGAGCCCTGGCTTTGACACTTGGACATTTCCTGCTAATTAGCAAAAAAAAAAAAAAAAAAAAAAAGCGGGGTGGACGGGGGTTGGGGGGTGGGGGGCGGGGAATGACCTATCTCGTGGAATTGTGGCGAGGTGTAAATACGAAAGTACATGAAAGTCACTCAGTGCCTGCACTTGGTAGGTCCTCCAGAACTGGCAATCTTTTCATCTATTCTTAGGGCATTCCTTCCAGAAATCAAAGTGCTCAAAATCCCAGAAGCAAAGACGTTTGAGGGAGTCCGGGAGGGACAGTCCCCTTGGAGTGAAGAGCTTTGACTGTGCCTGTGTGAAGATTATTTGCAGCAGTCAGTAAGGAGACGATTACAAAACACATCCCAAGAAGGCACTCATGCCAGAAGTCGATGTTACATTTTTAAAAGTCAGAGATGTTTCACCTGATTTTCCATATTTCTTTAGAATTCCTTTCTCCATTTCTATTTTGTCACGTAGACCCACTTAACCAACTTTTTGCATTACTCTTGACTGACACTATGCCCAGTGTTGAGCTTTTCTACCTTGTTTGATGAATCATGATCGATCTATATCTATATCTATATCTATATCTACATCTATATCTGTATCTATATCTATCTATCTATATATATATATCCTAACCTAGGTATAAAGATTTGCTACAGAGTGTGTTGGAAATGCAGATTCTTGGCGCTAGCTTTGGTGATTCTGACTTAGTGGCCACATACAGCATTTCACTTATTCCTCCCGAGACTTCGGAAAGTTCAGTCTCTCCAGGACAGAAAGAGATGTTGGAAGCCCATAGCAGCCACGGCTAGGAAAGGCAGTGCTGGGGTTTCACTCATCCTCAGAGCTCAAGGTCCTGGGTACTTTCCATTTCTTTATGTTAGGTATCTACTTTGGTTAACATGGGTCAACGTTGACACAAACAGAATTACCACCACTTGCTAAACTGAATCAAATTCTAATATTTATTCATAGACCCATGAATATTTACTCATGTTCATTTAGATACTATTAAAATTAAAAAGTCAAAAACACCAAGGGCTGGTGAGTATGTGGAGAATTGGGGACTCTTACACACTGATGGAGAGAGCAGTGCAAATTGTTAGCACTACTTTGACGGCATTTTGCTAACTCTACTAGTGGTAGAGGTGTGCACATGACCCAACAATTCCACTTCTAGCCCTAGAGAAACATTAGACAGGTGCACAAAAGATATGTGCAGATATGCTCCTCACAGCTTAGTTTGCAATAGTTCCACATTGGAAACAAACCGAGATACCCACGAGCATGGCAGAGAATGCATGTAATGGAGTTTGGGCAGCAATAAAAATGAATGAATAAGAGCTGCGTATATGAACATGGATGAATCTTATAAATGTTGAACGAGTTACAGGAGAATACAGAGAGTTTTGGTATCTTTATCTAATATTTAAAGACTCTAAAGACAATACTATATATTATTCACAGATGCACATTATCTTCTCCATGGTAAAAGTTTCACAGCAGGCACAGAATGCGTATGTATACCACTTGCACATGGCTCTGAGGCGGGGTCGGGGAGTGGACTGGGAGGGTAACAAAGCGGGAAAAATTCATATTCATTTTGAGTGTTGAGTATCAGAATATTTGGAAAACTTCAGAATAATTTTAAAAGATATCAATATAGGTATCTTTTCATATAAACGAATAACTCTTCCCATTCCAAAAGTCCTTTGGAGTTAATGAGACTTGCCACTTACACCATATCCTCCAAGTAACTCCAAAGTAGGCAGGGGATACGTTGCCACAATTTGACGAAAGAAGCTCAGAGAGTCTAGTGACTTGCTGAAGATCACACAGCAAGTAGGAGGCAAAGCCAGGATTCAGACCCAGACTCCAGATTTGGCACTGCTTCCCCTCATCATCCAACATCTTTCCAGACATCTTTGCTTGTAATGAACATGTCAGGGCTTTTTATTGCACAACCTTGGGAGCCTTTTGTCAACTATGGGCACGATTTTCACTTGGCAGGCTGGAAAACCAATATAGATAAAGCTATTTTTATAGGTGATACATTCAAGATCACACAGCAAAGCAGTGTTTGGATCTATACTGACACCCATGAACTTCTGACTCAACTGTGACTTATTCTTTTGAAATGCTGTCAACTTTCCAGTTTTTGGAACTAAGAATCAGACTTATAATCACTTATAATTCAATTCTTACAAACATCTTAACATGACATAATTTGTTCACTGCACAATTATTTATAACACTAGAAAATGGGAGCACCCTAAATAATTAACAGTAGGGCAAGAGATAGGTGATTATGTTTAATGAAGTCATTAATGCTTTACTCATAGACTCTGCAACAATAGGTAAGAGTACTTTCAATCAAGGTCAATATTTAGCCAGTGTGCATGGGTATGGGCAAACGGCTGTTTATGGTTACTGTCCATTCAGACCAACTATTTACTGCCCTGCCTCCTATGTCAATATCTGTGCTATACTAGTTGTTAAATATTTTTAAGATTATCCTCGTAATGATAGAACATTAAGCAGGAACAAGCAGAAGTTAATGATATTATAATTAACAATCAGAGACATGTGTGTATGTACATGTATATAATCTAGATGAGTATACATGTATATATACATATCTCTATGACTGTAATCATAGTGTAATATAATTCAACTTCTGCTTATATATATAATGAAAATATATATACACACATATATTTAGTTAGAAATACAGAATTTCTGGTGTTTTCCTCTCTAGATCATACATTTTCCACAATCTTCTATGGATATTATAATTTACAGACTGAATACTGGGGTATTAGAGCACATCTTAGAGCATATCCATCCTGAGCCTGCCTCTTCATGATCCTCTCCTGCACTTTCTCTCCACCCTGCTCTTCCCATGAGGGCATGGCTTCTGTGCTGAGGCAGTGAAGTGTGATGCATTGTTGAATGAGGAGACACAACAGCTCCACTTTGTCTTCAGTGATGAGATCAAATGCACTGGACTTATTTTATATGTTTCTGTTTTGCTAAGGGTACAGCAAATTATACAGTGATATGGAAAGACCAAATGCTATCAGCCTCTTTAAATGAAATTCTGATCCTCTGAAATCTCCCAGTTCACTCAAGTCTTATTTCCCCCATTGGGGTGTTACAAAAACCCACGCATCTCTTCAAGGCTGAGAAAGCATGCTTAGCGCTATCGGAGAGAGTCCAGTTTCATCAAATACAGGTAAACCTTTCAAATCATATAAACGGTACTATATTTTACCTTTATCAACCTTCCTAACCATGAGAATTCATCCTTACAATTCAGAGAAATGAAACTTGAACGTTAAAAACTAGGTCTGGGTTTCTTGGTACAGACGCCTATGAGCTCAGGTTGCTCTCATGGCATTAGGCTCCAGCAGCCGAGGCGGCATCAGTTAAACTTACCTTCTTTTCCACTACCCTGTTAAAAGGGACAATGTTACTGTGACTTATGTCTGTGTGCCAATAGCTACTTTACTCTCTTTTTTTGAAGTAACTGGTTTCTTAAAAAATTATAGACTCAAAATATAAGCAAAACTAATGAGGTTATGAATTGTGAAGCAAATCCACCAGGACAACTGAATGTTTCCCTGTGTCATAGCTAACACATGAAATCCAATCTAGCTTAGCCATATGAAATAATTTCAAGAGGTATAAATCTGTCAAACAATTATGTAAGCAAAAGATGCAGCACATTGTATGATGACAGGTAATTTGAGTTCTTTTCCTGCATTGATTCTCCTGGCAGAAGGATCAAGTAATGTCCCAACACTTTGGCTTTTTGTCTGGCATTCCAGTGTTAGCTGTGCCGAAATCCCATTTTGCACTATCATTGCAAAAGTCTATTATTTATGAAATTGATTCCCGACACACTGTGTTGTGAGAAGGTTAATGGTTCATTGATTTAGCCAGTAGTAGGATTTGTTATGTTTAATAATGTATGAGATGATGGCCTTTTAATTCTTTTATATTTCCAGGAAGACAATGAACTTCTGCAATAATACAGGAAAGGTATGTAAAATGATTCTTTGGTGTTGCTTTTAAACACTTGAAAAGCATTTTAAAACTGAAGAGTAACCAAATACATGAGTTCAGATATTTCACAATGACATAGTTCATGATGAAAATCCAGAGTTTAAAACTTAGTTTTCCTATAAATCTTATATGTTCTCAACTAAGAATTTATCTTCTATTAAGTTAATCTATGAAATGTAGTAACATTTTGCTTTCTCTAATTTTGCTAGTTGGCTACCGGTGAGCTACGAGACAGCAAGGCCAGGGCTGGAACAACACAGTAACAATGAATCGAACTCCAACAGCCAAGTGTGCCTCCATGCACCACCCTCCAACACCTTCTGAACAGGGACAAGTAGATTCTTTTGGATGCCCCTGACTGTTTTTTCTCTGAGCCACCTCAATACCCTTTCGACTCTCAAAACTTCCTTACTGAGCAACAGGGAGTACAGAGGTACATATAACAGCTGCATACTTCTATTATCCTTCCCACCAAATAAAACGTGAAGACTTTAAAATGTTAAAAAATACAGTGTCACCTGATGCTTTTTCAGCTTAAGTGAAACACTGTCAAATAAAACCAAATAGGAAGAATAAAAGAGGAAAATAAAGAGAAGTAGGAGGAAAAGAAGGATGCAGGAGGAAGAGAATTGAGGAGGTCTGGGGATACTGAGGGTCACTTAGCAAGAGCCAAGGGGAGAACTGGAGATGGGCAGTGTGTAATTGAGCCCATAGCATGGTGGATACAGACAAGCCCAGTAGGGTTCTCTTACAGCTGGAGGCAGTGCCAGCCATCCTTCCCCTCCTGGAGACGGAAGCACACAATGGGAAAGAATCATGGACTAGGAGGTTCCTGCCCCCTCCTCGCTTAAAGCATTTGCAGTGCTAATATTGCATGAGAAGAGGTTCAGGTAGGGATGCTGAGAAACAGGCAGAGGAGGGGTTGTGCCAGGCAGCCAGGAGAAGGAGAGAGTAGAATTCGCTAATTCATTTCTAAGTGAAATATATTATTGTGGATTTGTGGGTGGTTAGTTAAAAATTCTGTTATGTCTGTCACCAGGAATGTGAGGTTCTTTTTTAACTTCTGAGGTCTCTCTAGGCCTGATGGTAGGTTAACAGGACCTGCACTGTCTTGTCTTGCTAGGAAGCTGGGCTTCACTTTGGACTGAAGTGTCAAGAGCCATCAGAAACCACTGCTTTACCAAAATCAGGAGGCTTGCAGACAGAATTCAAGACAATTTAGCTTGAAGGCATCATGGAGTTCATCTGGCACAACTCACATTTTGTGCATGTTAACCTGAAGTTCAGAGGGGTTAGGGTATTTCTCCAGGGTCACAGGATCTCCTAAGTCCATCAAGTACTTTCCTTTCACACATTAAGCCTCCCAGAAAAGAAAATAGAAAAAATCTTTATCACACTTTTAGGAAATTCCTCCCTATCTGTGGTAGACAGCCTCTGAGATTGCCCCCAAGTATCCCCATCTCCTGATAGACATGTCCTTATGTAATCCACTCTCCTTGAGTGTGGGCTGGACTCATTGCGGTTTCTGACAAATATGGCAGAATACAACAGAACATATGGGATGTCACTTCTGAGATGAGATTGTAAAAGCTTGTGTTTTCCATCTTTGGGGCCCTCTCTCTCTGATTTCTCTCTCTCGGGGAAGCCACATCTTGAGGCATCTCTACAGAAGGGTCCATGCGGCTAGAAACTGAGGGAGGTCTCTGTCCAGCAACTGTCAATGAACCAAATCTTGCCAGCAGCCATGTGAGTGAGCTTGAAAGTGGGTCCTCCTTCAGAGGAACCTTCAGATGAGACCACTGCCCTGTCTGACAGCTTACAATCTCACAGAGATCCTGAGCCAGAGGATGCCAGCAAAGCTGCACCAGAATTCAAGACCCTAGAAACTGTGTAAAGTAATAAGTATTTGCTGTTTTATCCCTCTAAGTTTTGGGATAACTTGTTATTCAGCAGTAGATACTAAAACATATTTCTAAGTCACACACCGATTAGTCTCCTAAATCTAACAGGTAGTTTTACTCCACATATTAAATATTCCAGATTATTTTTAAATGAAAGAACTTTTAGCATATGTTTAGGGAACTCCTCTCTATCTTAATTTCTCAGAAGACATTTATTATGGTGATTATTTAGTACTATTTTAAAAGGAAAATTGATTGGAAACAAACCATTGCTATTAATTTGGGTATAGTGTGAATTCTACCAGACACACAAAGAAGAGCTGACACCAATCCTACTGAAACTATTCCCCCCCAAAAAAAATCAAGGAGGAAGGACTCCTCCCTAACTCATTCTATGAAGCCGGCATCATCCTGATGCCAAAATCGATCGAAGACACAACAATAAAAGAAAACTACAGGCCAATATCCAATGAACATAGATGCAAAAATCCTCAACAAAACACTAGCAAACCTAATCCAGCAGCCCATCAAAAAGGTAATTAACCACCATCAAGAGTCTTTTCTCCTGGGATGCAAGGGTGGTTCAACATATGCAAATCAATAAATGTGATTCATCACATAAACAGAATTAAAAACAAAAACCATATGATCATCTCAATACATGCATTAAAACTTCTGATAAAATCCAAAATTCCTTTATGATAAAACCCTTAGCAAACTAGGCATTGAAGAAACATACCTCAAAATAATAAGAGCTATCTATGGCAAACCCATAGCCAACATCACACTGAATAGATAAAAGCTGGAAGAATTCACCTTGAGAACTGGAACAAGATAAGGATGCCTAATCTCATCATTCTTTTTCAACATGTACTAGAAGTCCTAGCCAGAGTAATAAGGCAAGAGAAAGAAATAAAGGCATCCAAACAGGAAGAGAGGAAGTCAAATTATCCCTCTTCACTGATACGATCATATACCTTGAAAACCCTATACATTACTCCAGAAGGCTCCTACAACTGATAAACATCTTCATTAAAGTTTCTGAATACAAAATTAATAGACAAAAACCGGTGGTATTTTTATATATCAATAACATTTGAGCTGAGAGCCAAATCAATAATACAATCCCACTTACAATAGTCACAAAAAATTAAAATATCTACAAATATATTTAACCAAGGAGATAAAAGATCTCTAAAAGGAGACTACAAAACACTCCTGAAAGAAATCATAGATGATAATAACAAATGGAAAAACATTTCATGTTCATGGACTGGAAGAAATAATATCATTAAATTGTCATACTGCCCAAAGCAATCTGTAGATTCAATGCTATTGTTATCAAACTGCCAATATAATTTTTCACAGAATTAGAAAAAAACTATTCTGAAATTCATATGAAACCAAAAAAGAGCCCAAATAACCAAAGCAATCTTAGGCAAAAAGAACAAAGCCATAGATATCACACTACCTGACTTCAAACTATACAAGGCTATAGTAACCAAAACAGCATGATTCTGGTATGAAAACAGACATGTAGACGAATGGAACACCATAGAGAACCTAGAAATAAAGCTGCACACCTATTAATACAACCAACTGATCTTTGACAAAGTCAACAAAAATAAGCCATGGGGAAAGGACTCCCTATTCAATAAGTGGTGTTGGAATAGCTGGCCAGCCATATGCACCTGAATGAAATTGGACCACTACATATCAGTATATAAAAACATTAACTTAAGATGGATTAAAGACTCAAATGTAAGATGTAAACTATAAAAATCTTAGAAGAAAACCTAGGAAATACCCTTCTGGACACCAGCTTTGGCAAAGAATTTATGACTAAGTCTTCAAAAGCAATCACAACCAAAACAAAAATTGACAAGTGGGACCTAATTAAACTAAAGAGCTTCTGCACAGCAAAGAAACTATCAACAGTGTGAACAGAAACCTATAGAATGAGAGAAAATATTTGCAAGGTATGTATCTGACAAAGGTCGAATGTCCAGAATCCATAAGGAACTTAAGTGAAAGACAAATAACTTCATTAAAAGGTAAGCAAAATACATGAACACACACTTCTTAAAAGAAGACATACGAGGAGCCAATAAACATATGAAAAAATGCTCAACCAAATCATGAATGAACTCCCACTCACAATTGCTACAAAAAGAATAAAATAAATAGGAACACAGCTAACAAGGGAAGTGAAGGATCTCTTCAAGGAGAACTACAAACCACTGCTCAAAGAAATCAGAGAGGGTGCAAACAAATGGAAAAACATTCCATGCTCATGAATAGGAAGAATCAGTATCATGAAAATGGCCACACTGTCCAAAGCAATTTATAGATTCAATGCTTTTTTCATTAAACTACTATTGACACTCTTCATAGAATTAGAAAAAACTATTTTAAAATTAATATGAAGTCAAAACAGAGTCCAAATAGCCAAGGCAATCCTAATCAAAAAGAACAAAGCTGGAAGCATCACACTACCCAACTTCAAACTATATACTACAAGGCTACCATAACCAAAACAGCATGGTACTGCTACAAGAACAGACACACATATCAATGGAACAGAATAGAGGATCCAGAAATAAGACCCCACACCTACAACCATCTGATCTTTGAAAAAGCTAACAAAAACAAGCAATGGGGAAAGGAGTCCCTTTTTAATAAATGGTGCTGGAAGAACTAGCTAGCCAGAATATTGAAACCAGGCCCCTTCTTTACACTATATACAAAAATAAATTCAAGATGGATTAAAGACTTAAATGTAAAACTGAAAACTATAAAAATCCTAGAAGAAAATCTAGGCAATACCATTCAGGACATAGGCATGGGCAAAGATTTCATGACAAAGATGCCAAAAGCAATAGCAAGAAAAACTAAAATTGACAAATGGGAACTAATTAAACTAAAGAACTTCTGCACAGCAAAAGATCATCAGAGTGAACAAGCAACCTATAGAAGGGGAGAAAAAATGTGTAATCTATCCATCTGACAAAGGACTAATATCCAGTATCTACAAGGAACTTAAACAAATTTACAAGAAACAAACAACAACCCCATTAAAAAGTGGGCAAAGGACATGAACAGACACTTCTCAAAAGAAGACATACATGCGGCCAACAAACATAAGAAAAAAAGCTCAATATCATTGATCATTAGAGAAATGCAAATCAAAACCACAATGAGATACCATTTCATGCCAGTCAGAATTATTAAAAAGTCAGGAAACAACAGATGCTGGTGAGGCTGTGAAGAAATAGGAATGCCTTTACACTGTTGGTGAGAATGTAAATTAGTTCAACTGACATTGTGGAAGATGGTGTGGTGATTAAGACCTAGAATTAGAATTACCACCCGATCCAGCAGTCTCATTACTGGGTACATACCCAAAGGAATATACATCATTCTATTATAAAAATACATGCACACATATGTTTACTACAGCATTATTCAAAATAGCAAAGACATGGAATCAACCTAAATGCTTATCAATGACAGACTAGATAAAGAAAATGTGGTACATATACACCATGGAATACTATGCAGCCATAAAAAGGAATAAGATCATGTCCTTTGCAGGGACATGGGTGGAGCTAGAAGCCATTATCCTCAGCAAACTAAGGCAGGAACAGAAAACCAAACACAGGGCCGGGCGCGGTGGCTCACGCCTGTAATCCCAGCACTTTGGGAGGCCGAGGCGGGCGGATCACGAGGTCAGGAGATCGAGACCATCCCGGCTAAAACGGTGAAACCCCGTCTCTACTAAAAATACAAAAAATTAGCCGGGCGTGGTGGCGGGCGCCTGTAGTCCCAGCTACTTGGGAGGCTGAGGCAGGAGAATGGCGTGAACCCGGGAGGCGGAGCTTGCAGTGAGCCGAGGTCCCACCACTGCACTCCAGCCTGGGCGACAGAGCGAGACTCCGTCTCAAAAAAAAAAAAAAAAAAAAAAAAGAAAACCAAACACAGCATGTTCTCACTTATTAGTGGGAGGTGAATGATGAGAACACATGGACACATGGGGGGGCAACAACACACACTGGGGTCTGTCAGAGGGTGGAGGTGGGAAGAGGGAGAGCATCAGGAAGAACAGCTAATGGATGCTGGGTTTAATACCTAGGTGCAGCAAACCAGCATCGCACACATTTACTTATTTAAGAAACCTGCACATCCTACACATGTACCCCTGCACTTAAAATAAAAGTTGGAAATGAAAAAAAAAAAAAGCTCAACATCACTAATCATCAGAAAAAAAAATCAAAACCACAATACGATACCATCTCACAACGTTCAGAATGGCTATTAAAAAGTAACAAAACAACAGATGGTGGTGAGGCTGTGGAGAAAAGGGAACAGCTTATACACTGTTGGTGGGAATGTAAATTAATTCAGCCACTGTGAAAAGCAGTTTCAAAATTTCTCAAAGAACTGAAAACAGAACTATCATTTGACCCAGCAATCCCATTACTGGAACATACCCAAAGGAAAATAAATCATTCATTTGGCCAAAAAGAGACATGTATGCATATGTTCATAGCAGCACTATTCACAATAGCAAAGACATGGAATCAACCTAGGTGACCATCAATGGTGGACTGGACAAAGAAAATGTGGTACATATTCTCCACGGAGTACTATGCAGCCATAACAAAGAACAGAATCATGTCCTTTGCAGCAACATGGAGGCAGCAGGAGGCCATTATCCTAAAAGAATTAATGCAAGAACAGAAAACCAAATACTGCATGTTCCCACTTTAAGTGGGAGCTAAACACTGGGTACACATGGAGATAAATATGAAAAAAATAGACTGCTAGGGACTAGTACAGCGGGGAGAGAGAGAGAAGGGAAATGGTTGAAAAACTACCTATTGGGTACTAAACTTAGTACCTAGGGGACAAGATCAATCAAACCCCAATCCTCAGCATCACATAATATACCCATGTAACAAACCTGTACATGTACCCCCTCAATCTAAAAGTAAAGCTAAAATTTTTTAAAATGGGCATAATTTTAGCATTGCACATACAAAATCCTTCTTTTAAATAATCTATGACCATGAATACAGGAAGTTTCTGATTTCAAATTCTGGGTCTAACAGATACTTATGACTGCTAAAATCATATATAACCAACTAGCTGGTGGCTTCCATTGTATCAACTGTAGAAGTTTTCCAAGGAAAGGAGTTGATGTGTGGGTGTTGGGAGGTTCCAACAATGAATTTAACCTCATTCATATCATAGCCTTGGCAAATGAACGTTATCTCCTTTCCTCAATGATGGTTAAAAAAAAATGTGGCTTAGAATGAACTGAGTAATTGATTTGGCTTTGACATGACTTATAGGCTTTATTTGAACTTCTTTTACATACAATGGGTATTACAGCCACCTAAAGTTCACAAGAATATTTGCAACAACTGCTGTTACTCACTAGTCCTTAGTGTGATATCTCATTGTTTCTTTCATCCTGACTGAAAATTGACACCACAACAACAATTATCATCCTTTATTCATTCATGCAACAAACATGTACTGCACACTTAATAAATCCTGTGCCATCCTAGGCACTCTAAATAAATTATCTTTCATCCTTAAAACAATCCTGCAACATATTGTGCTTCCCATGTCACAGGTAGAAGACCAGTTAACTCAGGTCTATGTAGGATTAATATACTCAACTTCACCAAGACAATGTGAAGATTACAAGCCAAATATCACAAGTCTTTATACTGGCATTTAGTCATATTTGCATAGGTAGTAGGTAGCCTTTCTTGTTGGATAATTTATTTATCTTAAGTGTCAAGTAAATAGTTTTCTCCTGGCATGTTTACCAAATATTAATAAGGAGGTCTGATTTGGGATTTAAAAATGACAAATTATTAACTATAAAACAATGATGGCAGCTGCTGAAATTGGATGCCTAGTAATCTGTAGTATGAATTGTTCAGACATTGTTGTTCTAAACATCTGTATAAAGAGCTGAAATCTTTGGATTAAGAAATGCGAGTGTAACTCTGTTTTAAATTATAGTTACTGCTTCTCAAATATTTACTTCTCAAATTTGTTCTTAAAGTTACATCATTTTAAATCAGACAACAAGCTGGCCATGTATAGATATCAGTATTAGAAACCAGACACCTAAATTCTCAATTTCTAAAATACAGATAGGTCCAGAATATTTGTATCTTATGTTGTGCCTGCACACTACTCCAGCCAGGGTGAAGGAGAGACTCCCAGAAGTTATGATGTATTCTTTATGACAAAGGTGTTGACATTCTTTGGGAGAGGGTAAAGCTTTATTTGATACTTTATTTTAAACATAAATTTTGATAAAGCACTTTATGTAATGAACCAAGATATATAAAGAATCACCATCATCAATAGCAAAAAAGTTTACAACAAATACAGAAGCAAAAAGTCATATAACAATAGTAGGCACATGGGTAAGAGTGTTGGCTGAGTCAGGTGCACCCATGTTGTCCCTTAAAGAAATAACTTTTGTCCAGCTTTCTTTACCATTTGAAGGTGTGTTTTATGTGCTTCCATGAATTGGTTGTGCTTGCTTCCAAAACTATTTACACTCATCATTCTTGCTATTGTAATTATGCAGTTCTACTAAAATATGCCATAAGCTGAAATACAAGTGTGCAAAGAGAAATATTTCTATGAAGAAGTGGAATGCTTTGAAAACATATGATAATAGAAAGCTGCAGAAAAATATTTCTGGGAATCTTAGAAGATTTTGGGGTGGCAGGGGTGGGTGGGGTAACACTCTAAGTCCAATTTTTCAATTGGACTACCTCACACATGTCTTCAACAGTTTGATCAACTAAAAACAAACCTAAACTGAACATTGGAAATGGCCTTGGTCTTATAATGTTGACATAGTCATATTTATGAATTTTTTTTTGAGATGGAGTCTTGCTCTGTCACCCAGGCTGGAGTGCAGTGGCACAATCTCGGTTCACTGCAACCTCCATCTCCCGGGTTTGAGCAATTCTCCTGCCTCAACCTGCCCGGTAGCTGAGATTACAGGTGCCCACCAACATGCCCGGCTCATTTTTGTATTTTTAGTAGAGATGGGGTTTCACCATCCCGGCCAGGCTGGTCTTGAACTTCTGACCTCGTGATCCACCCACCTCAGCCTCCCAAAGTGCTGGGATTACAGGAGTGAGCCACTGTGTCCTTACTCATTTATGAATTTTAGGTTAAACTGAAATATTTAAGACATATGTAAATTGTGTCCTTTTTGTCTTACTTTTCTGACCAATAATTACAATAGTAATTTGTTATTGCTAGTATATGTGAACTTTGATAAAAGTCAATAGCACAACACTAAAGGGCAATTTAATAAGGGCAGCCCTGGCAGATCCAATTATAAAGTCATCCAGCAACCTTAAATGATTCAAGAATGTAGCCAAAAGTACCAAGAGAAATGGATGAATAACATGTCTGATAATTTCCTAAATTTGTCTCAGATGTGTTCTTCATGAGGCAGTCTATAGTATATGACTGTGGCAGACATACTGTAAGGTGTGACCACACTCCCATATTACCTAACTCTTATTGTTTATGACCTGTGTAACCTCTTTGTCTTGAGTGCAGGTGGAACCTGTGACTTATTTATAATCAATAGAATATGGCAAAGATGATGGGCTATCACTCCCATAATTAGGTTATTTGATATAAATCTCCATTTTAGACTGGAGTGAGAGATTCATCTTGCTAACTCAAGGAACACTAAGGGATTATGTTGAGCAAGCCCATGTGGCAAGGGTAGCCTCTAGGAACTGAGGGTGACCTCCAGATGACAGCAAGCAAAAAACTGGGATTCTCAGTTATATAGCACAAGGAAATCACTTCTGCCAACAACTCAAATGACCATAAAAAATGGATTCTTGAGCTGGCCACAGTGGCTCATTCCTGTAATCCAAGCAAACTGGAAGGCTGAGGTGGGAGAATCACTTGAGCTGAGGACTTCAAGGATGCAGTGAGCCACGACTGCACCACTGCACACTAGCCTAAGAGACAGAGCAACACCCCCAACTCAAAAAAAAAAAAAAATTATTCCCCAGTCAGACCTCCAGATGAGCATGCAGCCAGCCAACACCTTGACTGCAGCTTTCTGAGACCCTGAACAGAGAAACCATCTAAGTCACGCTCAGACTCCTGACCCACAGAAACAGAAAATGTGGGTTGTTTTAAGCTACTGAGTTTCTGTAATTTGCTACACAGCAATGGAAAACTAATAGTTATTTATTTGGCAGTTTCACAGCCACATCTGTTTACTTTTATGTCCCTCTTTCTGGATTGTCAGCTAGTTTAAAGGGAGGGACTGCGTCTTCATTTACTTTTGTTCCCTACTCACCCTGCTGTTTAGCACAACTGTCTGACACACAGATGGTCAGTGTGTACTGAATAGAGTCCAGCAAATGAATGAATAAATGAATAAATAAATATGGCACTATGGCACTTCTGCATTCCAATAAATGTGTTAAGCACCATGACACATTGCTTTTCCCTCTAATATCTCTTGGTTAATCAACATGCTGAGAAAATGAAAACTATTTCCTTTTCTAAGAAAGTCACTTATCTTCATTAAAATGGAACTGCTGTCCTATTTTCTGGTCATACCATTTGATTAACTCCTTCTGGAATATTTCATAGAATTCTCTATGGTTTTTACCAGCCTACATAATTTTGTGTCATCAGTTACTTCAATGAGCTAGCTACTTTTCTCCAACTAAATATTTCATATACTAGGCACCAATTCCTGAGGCACCCCATCAACTCCATTCTATGAGGAAATCTGCACAAATATCCTTTCTCTGAACCAATTAAAATCTAAATGAGAACTTGATTTCTCATTCTGTCATTAGCAATAATAATCATATTCATACTTTTGGATGATCAAAGTACTTTACACCAATTATTTTGCTTGTAAGTAGACATGCTATATAACCCCCATTTTTTAGATAAGAAAATTGAGGCAGAAAAATGCTTTTGGAGCAAGGTTTTTATTTGTTCTGTGAACAATGTATTAAGCACTGAACATATATGGAGCACCAAATTTAGAAAAAATGAAAGGAAAACAGATCTGTCTTGTCTGCCTTATGAAATTGAAAGACTCCTACAGTTTTATCTGTGTTTTTTCCATTTTATTTTTTTCTACTAGTATTTCCACATAAGAAAGCTAGGCTTAAGCCTTCCCTACCTGACACCTAGTAAAATACAATAGGCTTCTGTGTGCTTTGGGCTCATCCCGACCCTGTTTATCCAGCACAGGACTTAGAGAATGCCTTGCTAAGCTCGATTTATTGCTGCTGAGCATCCTACAGTGAATTCCTGGCGCCCACTGTTCAATATACAAACATGTTGGCTTTGTTAAAGACCCTGGTAGATACTTCATTCACCTTCCTTCCCAATCCAATCTTCTCTGGTTTTTGTTTGTTATTTCATAACCAGAAATTCTCTACACAAAGTAACTAGCTTATTGCTCACTTAAGCAAAACTTCACTTTTGTACATGCTGCCTTGCTTTATGTACATGTTGCCCCTTCAAGTCAACATGCCCTCTTGGCTTATGTTTGACAACTCAACTGCCCTACCCTTTTTCAAAAACAAGAACAATATTCACCTGATGACTAACTCTATCCAGCTCTACCTGGGCCTTCAGGCTTTGGCTCCCATAAGCCTGAACTTCTTTTTTTGTTTTTGTTTTTGTTTTGAGACAGTCTCACTCTGTTGCCCAGGCTGGAGTACAGTGGCACGATCTTGGCTCACTGCGACCTCTGCATCCCAGGTTCAAGCGATTCTCCTGCCTCAGCCTCCTGAGTAGCTGGGATTACAGACACCGGCTACCACGCCCAGCTAATTTTTGTATTTTTTTAGTAGAGACGGGGGTTCACCATGTTGGCCAGGTTGGTCTCAAACTCCTGACCTCAGGTGATCCACCCGCCTCAGCCTTCCAAAGTTCTGGGATTATAGGCGTGAGCCACCACGCCCAGTCTCATGAACTTCTTTAATTTGCTTGCATTCCTATCAATGGTTCTGGACCAGGAGCATCAGCATTACCCAGGAATTTATTAGAAACACAAATTATTGGGCTTCAACTCCAAATATACTGAATCAGACATATTAAAGGTGGGCCCCTCAAATTGTTTTAACAAACCCATCATGTAATTCTAATGCACTTTAACATGTAACAACCCCCAATTTATCGGTGTATGTAAATATATAAGTTAAAATATATATACACATATAATTACCTAAATAATAATACTTAAAAAAATTAGATCCCCATAGCACTTTGGGAGGCCGAGGCGGGCGGATCATGAGGTCAGGAGATCGAGACCATCCTGGCTAACACAGTGAAACCCCGTATCTACTAAAAATACAAAAAAATTAGCTGGGTGTGGTGGTGGGTGCCTGTAGTCCCAGCTACTCGGGAGGCTGAGGCAGTAGAATGGTGTGAACCTGGGAGGTGGAGCTTGAAGTGAGCCGAGATCACACCACTGCACTCCAGCCTGGGCAACAGCGTGAGAGTCCATCTCAAAAAAAAAAAAAAAATTAGATCCCCATTTAGACTTCAAGCTGTTTTGGATAACAGGAAATGTGATAAAATTTAACTATTATTGTTTTTCTAAACCACCTTAGCACATAGAACAGTGTTTTGCACAAATTTTATGCTCATTACACATATTTGGCTAATGCCACATTTCTTTATCCCATCTTGACTCATTAACGTTTATTTAAGCACCTTTGACCAAAGGAGCACAAAGAAAATAAAGTAAACATAGCACATTATCCTTATTAAGTATGTATTTGCAGCTCTGATTAAGGTTAGGAAGACTAAATTAGTTCTGCACCCAAAGCTTGTCGTCATGGGGCTCCATGAGGTTAGACTTCTATGACCCATCTCCTGGGGCTCCTATGTGCTTCTGTAACCACAAGGCTGCAATCAAACTGAATTATCTGCACCTCTCCAACAGCATCTCTAGGCTGTAACTTCTGCCCGAAAACGTCCTCTACTCACTATCTGCCTGGATATTTCCAATGTATCTGTTAAGGCTTACCTTCAGGAAGCTTCTTGACCCCCAATATTGTAAGACACTCCTCTCTTGTGCTCCTGGGCAACCCTCTATTTACCCTGATCGTGGCACTTACCACACTGCATTCTGAAATAATTTCCACCTGTCTGTCTGCTCCACTGCACTGTAAGGTCCGGGTTCTCACTGCTGTATTCCAGTGCTTATCATACAATTGGTGCTCAACATTTGTGGACTGGGAAAAATATAAGTGGGTAAAGTTTGGTATTAATGTAATTAAGTTTTCTATCTTTCAATTTCCTCAAATAACCAAACATTAATATATTTTATGCTAATGACAAATTTAGTTCAGAATAAGAATGTAAATTTGTCTCTGATGGTGGAAGGGGTCAGGGGACCCCTAAGGCTATTTCTTTACCCCTCCTAATATCTAGTGCACATCGACACCGATTTTTGTCAGCAGGTACACCAGTAATCTAGAAATAGAATGCCAGGCATGGGATGAGCATGAGCATATACTTTGCTGTGTTTTCAAGTATCACCTGCAGACACACAGTCATTTGCATATGCCTACTTCCCATGAGGGAAGCCTTCTTGAATGTCCACCAGATGAGCTCCCTGAAAATACGGCTAATGACTAGTCACCAAACTCAACAGAGGAAGAGGTGATTTTCTAGTGATTGGTGTTTCCTAATCACCTACCAGAGAACTGGGGCAGGCAGAGGTGAAAAAAACAAACGAATGAACAAATACCTTTGGGTGATCATCTTCCAGGCCAGTAAGCCCTCATACCATCACTTAGAATGAGGAACAATTTGTTCAGAACACCACCAAACACTAGCAACTTGGTTTCCTACAACAGGAAGACATTCCAGAAATAACTGCGGCATTTAGCACTGATTTCTGTTCTCCTTCACTACGCTGGCATGCTGTCTGACAGGACGTGAGACTGCAGAGAAGCCAACCTCACAGCAAAGTCATGCTTGCATTGGCCACAACTGTTTGTAAGCAGTGCCAGAAAATACTGTGTTGCTTAGCCCTGAGATTCTTCAGGAGCAGGTCACCCCTGTGAGAAGATCACCTTCCCATCCTGTGGGTATCCACCTCTTCATGGCTTATTCCTAAAAGTCTGAAGACTCTAAATTTAAACGTTTTTCTTCATTTATTCCTAAATGAAGATATTCTCCTCATTTAAGAAACTGCTTATTTTGACAAAATCAGGAGAGATTTTATGCATTATATTCATAAATAAATCTCTCTATGTTGATGAAGAAAAGTTAAAAATTTTAAATGACATCTGTAGCAGCCCTCAGCGCAGTTTCTCATCCGTGAAAACTCAGAGAAAGAAGAAAATTCTCAACGCTGACAACCACGACTGAAGACAACCTCGTGTTTCGATTAAAGGTTTGCAAAAACGTTGCTGACTACAGGGCAGGTGATGATTAATAGAGGAAAACCAATCCTGGAAACACTGGCTGATGGAGAGAGCGCCAGAGGAAGGGGAGGATAGTTATTCCTCTTTGCCCATGTGCCTGCTGTCTCAGAGACCCAGAATCTTCACCAACCATAAGTCTAAGAGCACGAGAATGAGGAATCATGGCACAAAAGGATGAGTGGTAAGTGTTAAAACCAGTTAAAACAAATATGACTCTAAATAATCATTGTATATTTTTGCAAAACAGTGCCATTTCCTTATAATATAAGACAATGCAATAATTACCTAGATCTGAAATCACAAAGACCAAACCGTAGAGTGAAGATAACGAGATAGTAAAAGGGTACAAAATTCTTTGTCTCAAATTGGACTAAGTAAAGTGAACAAAGTCCATCAACAGACATTAAATTTAGTATTATATTAGATATTAGAATTTAGCATCATAATAAACATCTCAAATGGGGGGAAATGAATAGTTTTACATACTGTTTTAGAACCACTACCAAACTATTTATTATAAGTTAAAATGAAAGTCTTGCCTAACTGTGGCCCTAAGTTAATTTTAGATAGCTTAAAGATTTAAATATAAAGATGTGAAGCACTAGAGGAAAACAGAAATGCATAGTGTAAAGAAGAGCTTTCTGAGCATTATCCCAGTGCAAAATCCAAGAAAGAAAAAATACAAATATGTAATCATCAGCTTGAGTTAACCATTTTGTGCTTGTGCTTTCTCACTGTAAGATGGGGTATAATAAAAGAACCTCTCATTAGGGTTGTCTGTGTGTCAGCACATATGTGAATACAGCTTACATGCATAAGTGCCTGAGATAATACATGCAAAGTACCTAGCATAAGGCTGGGAACGTGGAAAACACTCAATGCATGTTAGTAAAGAAAAAAAAAAAAAAGACAGGAGGAAACTGAACTTAACATATTAACATAAACAGGTACTTACTCCATATCACTGGGGGCAAAGGGGAGAAACCAGCTTCCAAAGCAGATGGGAGATGTGCTTTGTCTTAAAAAATTAAAATGACTCAGAAATTTACTATAATAATACCTTATTAAATAACTGATAATTTTTCACTCAACTTATTCTAAAATATTATTCATATGGTGGTGGCTCATTTTCAGCAAAACTGCCTATGCAGTGGCATTTTAAAATGGCTTTATGTTGACTTTGGATGAGTTATTTTTTAAAAAAAAAGCTTTAAGAAAAAATTTATTTATCATAAATTTTACCCATATAAAAAACACAATTCAATGGTTTTTATTATGTTTACAGAGTTGTACAACCATCGCTATAGTTTAGAACATTTTTGTCATCTCCAAAAGAAACCCTGCACTCATTAGTCATCCCACTCTAGTCATCCATCTATTAATTTTTAATATAGTCTTTCCAGTAATGTACTTGAGTTATAAAGTTTATATTTATATAACTCAAATATAAATATTAAAAATATATAAATATAATTTATATACATATCTTTTATTTATATAAATAATGTATAATATTTATATTATATATTTGGTATTATAAAAGCATATGAGGATTCTGAGAAGATGGCAAAGTAGGAAGTACAGGAAATCTGCCTCCCCACCCAGACAACAATTACATTGGCAGAATCTGTCTGATGTAACTGTTTTGGAACTCTGGAGTCTATTGAAGGCTTACAACTTCCTGGGGAGGGTGAGGATAGCAAATTGTAGTTAATTTTGGTCAATTTCCCCTCTTAGCACCTCCAAGGAGCAGCTACCCATCCCCCAGTCCCCAGTCCCACAGCAGGCAGCTGTGTGCATTCCTAGAGCAATCTGAACACAACTTGCAGGAGCTGGAGTGAGTAAAAGGACTCTGTCTTCCAAATGTCAAGGATCTGTGCTCCACTCCTGTTACTTCTTCTTATCACAGAGGTACAGAAAAAGAGGCACCGATGTTCCACCTCCTCCCTATGTTGTTCCCCCTCCTGCTCATCCTGAAGTAACTTCCACAGGATTGAAAGGCCAATGCCTTTTTCTTTCAACCTCTTTCATTTTTTTCTCTTTTGGGAGGTAGACATCAAAGATTAGGACATTCAACTGCAACCATATATATGGGGTAGATTAGAAATTCGGAGCACATGTTCAAGAGAACATCTCTACTAAAGATACAAAAAAAAAAAAAAAATTAACCAGGCACGGTGGTGTGCACCTGTAATCCCAGCTACCTGGGAGGCTGAGACAGGAGAATCGCTTGAACCTGGGAGGCAGAGGTTGCAGTGAGCCAAGATCACGCCACTGTACTCCAGCCTGGGCGACAGGGTGAGACTTGTCTCAAAAAAAAGAAGAAAGAAGAAAGAAGGAAGAAGGAGGGGAAGGAGAAAGAAGAAAGAAGAAGAAAGAACAAAGAAGAAAGAAGAAAGAAGAAGAAGACTGAAGAAAAGTAAACAGAGCTCTAAGGGACTTGTGGGACACCATCAGGTCAACCAGCAATACACTGCGGTAGTCCCAGAGGAAGAGGGAAAAAGGTAGAGAGAATATATGAAGAAATAATGGCCAAAAATCCCCATTTGGTGAAAAACATGAATATAAACATCCAAGAAGCAGGGAGATAGGATGAGCACGGAAGCAGGATGAACTCAAAGAGGCCCACACCAAGAAACAGTATAATCAAACTGTTAAAAGACAGAGATAATTTTGAAAGCAGTAAGACATAAATGGTTACATACTAGGGATCCTCAATAAGATTATCAGCAGATTTCACATCAGAAACATTGGAGGCCAGAAGGCAGTGGGTTGATATAGTCAATGTGATAAAAGAAAAAAAACTGTCAACCAAGAGTTCTTATAAGGATGCAGCAGAAAAAAACAAAATGTTTTTCCTCTGCTTAACCACTCACAGTCTACACAACACAGAATATTTCATCTCTGACTACCAAATTGTGGGGAGATTTCTCTCTACCAGCAACCAATCAATTCTTCAGCAGACACTAAATGGGTATCCTTCAATTCCATTCTGATACTGTCTACCTGGAAATAGCATCACATCCCACAGGCTGAGGCTTACTTAGTCCCATAAGACTGGTTCCCATATCAGATGCCAGTTGCCAAGTACTAGGTTGTCACATATACTTCTGACTGAGGGTTCATGATATCCTCCTTGGGTTTTGATTAATTTGCTAGATTAATTAACAAATTAGAGTGGCTCACAAAACTCAGTACAAAAAATACATATGAATAGCCAGATGGAAGAGATGTATAGGGTGAGGTAAGGGAGAAGGGGTACAGAACTTCCATGTCCTCTTTGGGCCAGCCAACCTCTAGGCATCTCCATGTGTTCAGCTATCCAGAAACTCCCTGAGACCAGTCCTTTTGGACTTTTATGGAGATTTCATTATACAAACATGACTGATTTAATCATTAGTCACTGGTGATCAAACTCAACCTTTGGCCCTTCTCCCCTGCCCAGAGGCTGCAGGGTAGGACTGAAAGTCCCAACCTCCTGATGAAGCCTTGGTCATTCGGGTGACCAGACACCATCCTGAAGCTATCTAAGGGGCCACCAGCCACTTGTCATCTCATTAACATGCAAAAGACCCTCTTATCGCTCAGGAGATTCCAAGGATTTTAGGAGCTATATGCCAGTAAACAGGGACAATGACCACATATATATTTCACAATATCACAATTCTATATCTGGCGAAACTGTCCTTTAAAAGTGAGGAGAAATTAAGATATTCCCAAATAAAAGTTGAGGGAGTTTGTTCCTAATCAACAGACATGCCCTGCGAGAAATGCTAAAAGGAGGGCAGGTTGAAACGAAAGGACATTAGACAGTAACTTGAAGCCATATGAAGAAATAAAGATCTCAGTAAAGGTAGTAACATGGGCAATTATAAAAGCTAGTATTACTGTAACCATGATGCATAACTCAACTTTTTGTTTTCTATGGGACTTAAGAGTCTAATACAATTTTTTAAAAGCAATTATTAGTCTAAAAGCTAGTTTTATCATAACTTTGGTTGGTAACTCATTTTTTCCTACATATTTAAGAGACTAATACATTACAAAATTATTAGTTTATGTTTTTGGACACACAACAAATAAAGACGTAATTTTGTAACATCAACAACAGAAAGTGGTAGAAACAAAGCTGTTAAAGGAGCAGAGATTTTGTATGTTATTGAAGTTTAACTAGCATAAATTTAAATTAGAGTGTTATAACTTTAGGATGTTAAATGTAATCTCAATGGTAATCTCAAAATTACTATAGAAAATACACAAAAGGAAATGAGAAGGAAATTAAAATGTTTTACTAAAAAAAAAATCACCTAAACACAAAGAAGATAGTAATGCAAGAAGTGAAGGACAGAAATCCTATAAGGCATATAGAAAACAAATAACAAAATGGCAGAACTCAGTCCTTCCTTATCAGTAATTACTTTAAATTCAATGGATTAAACTCTCCAATCAAAAGAGACTGACAGAATGGATAAAAAACAAAAACATGATCCAACTATACGCTGCCTACAAGAGACTCACTTTAAATCCAAGGACACAAATAGGTTGAAAGTGAAAGGATAGAAAAATATGTTCTATGCAAACAGTAACCAAAAGAGAGCAGAACTGGCTATACTACCACAAAATAAACTTTAGATCAAAAAAAGTTATAAGAGACAAAGAAGGACATTATAGTAGTCCCCCCTTATTTGTGGGGAATACATTCCTATATTCCCAGTGAATGCCTGAAACCACTGTTTTTGCAACGTGATAACTGAGATGGCTACTAAGTGACTAATAAGTGGGTAGTGCACACAGTATAGATATGCTGGACAAAGGGATGGTTCTGACGTGGGTGGAACAAAGTGGGACAGTGTGAGATTTCACTGCGCTATTCAGAAGGGCATACAATAATTAAAACCTATGAATTGTTTATTTCTGAAAGTGTCCATTTAATATTTTCGGACCTTGGTTGAAGTAGGTAATTGAAACCTCGGAAAGCAAAATCATGGATAAAGGGGCCTACTGTATATATTATATTAATGAAAAGTAAGGGGGACTATTGTATATATTAATAAAAAGTGTTGGCCGGGTACGGTGGCTCACATCTGTAATCCCAGCACTTTGGAAGGTCAAGGCGGGCGCATCACCTGAGATCAGGAGCCTGGCCAAAATGGTGAAACCCCGTCTCTACTAAAAATACAAAAATTAGCCAGGTGTGTGGCGGATGCCTGTAATCCCAGCTACTCGGGAAGCTAAGGCGGGATAATTGCTTGAACTCGGGAGGCGGAAGTTGCAGTGAGCCAAGACCGTGCCATTGCACTCCAGCCTGGGTGACAACAGTGAAACTGTCTCAAAAAACAAAAAAATAAAGCGTGATACAGAAGGAAGATATATATAACAATTATAAACATTTAAACATCTAATAACAGACCATCAAATATATAAGCAAAAACTGATGGAACTGAAGAAAGAAATCATTCTATAGTAATAGTTGGAGACTTTGATACCCCATTCTTAATAACCTACAGGAAACCCAGACAGAAGATAAGTAAAGAATAGAGAGCTTGAACAACACAATAAACCAATTAGATTTATACAGAGTACTCTACCCAATAACAGAATTCACATTCTTTTCAAGTGCACATGGGAAATTTTCCAACCTAGACATATACTAGACCACAAATTAAGCTTCAATAGATTTTAAAAGACAGATTACAAATTTTCTTCTCTTACTACAACCAGACGACATTAGAAATCAGTAACAGAAGGAAAGTGAAAATTCAAAAATGTGTGGAAATTAAACAGCACACTCTTAAACAACCAACAAATCAAAAAAGAAATCACAAGGGAAATTAGAAAATAAATAGAGACAAAAAAAATAAAAATACAACATAACAAGACTTAGGGAATAAACAAAAGCAGTGCCAAAGGGCAAATTTGTAGCCATATGTGCTTACAATAAAAAACATGAAAGATCTTAAATCAACAACCTAATGTTACAATTTAAGGAACTTGAATGAGAAGAACAAATTAAACCCAAAACTAATACAGGAAGGAAACAGTAAAGGGTAGAGCAGAGTACAGGAAGGAAATAAAGAATAAGAAAATAATAGAGAAAATCAATAAAACCAAAAGCTGTTTCTTTGTAAAGATCAACAAATTGACTAACATTTAGCTGGAGGAGACACACTTCCTAATTTCAAGACTTACTCCAAATCCCCAGTAATCAAATCAGTGTGGTACTGCAAAAAGATAGACATACAGACTCATGAAGTAGAATAAATAATCCAAAAGTAAACCCTTACATTTATGGTCAAATGATTTTAACAAGGTGCCATGACTATTCAATGGGGGGAGGGAAATCATTTCAACAAATGATTCTTCGAAAACTGGATATTTCCATGTGAAACAACAAAGTTGGGCCTTTACCTAACATCATATACAAAAGTTAATTCAAAATGGATCAAACATCTAAATGTAAAACCTAAAACCATAAAGCTCTTAGAAGAAAACAGGACAAAAGCTTCACCACATTGGATTTGGCAATGATTTCTTAGATATGACACTGAAAGCACAGACAATAAAAGAAAATCTGAGGACTTCTGAAAATTTTAAAAATTTGTATATCAAAAACCATTACCAACAGATTAAAAGGCAACCCACAGAATGAGAGAAAATATTTGCAAATTGCATATCTGATAAGGGATTAATATCCAGAATACACAGAAAACTCCTGAAACTCAATAACAAAAAACAAACAATACCATTCAAAAACAGGCAAAGGACTGGAGGAGACGGATCTCCAAAGAAGAATACAAATGGCAATAATCATATGAAAACATGCTCAACCTCACTAATCATTATGAAAATTAAATCAAACCTATAATGAGATAGCACCTCGCAACCATTAGTATGGCTACTATTAAGAAAAAAAAAAACACAAAATAACAAGTGTTGTCAAGAATGTGGAGAACCTGGAACCCTTGTGCACTTGTGAAAATGTAAAATGGTACAGCTGTTACGGAAAACAGTATGGCAGCTCCCCAAAAAATTAAAAATAGAATTACCACATCATCTAGCAATTCTACTTCTGGATATATACTCAAAAGAACTGAAAGCAGGGTCCTAAAAAGATATTTGTATATTTGTACCCCCAGGTTCACAGTGGTATTAACTGCAGTAGCTAAAATGTGGAAGCAACCAAAATGTCCATTCACAAATGGATAAACAAAATATGGTCTATGCATACAAAGGAATATTATTCAGACTTAAAAAGAATGGAAATTCTAACAGATGTTACAACATTAATGAACCCTGAGGACATTATATAAGTGAAATAAGTCAGTCACAAAAACACAAATACTGTATGATTCCAATTATATGAGGTATCTAGAGTGGTCACATTCATTGAGACAGAAAGCAGAATTGTGGTTTCCAGGGGCTGGAGGGTTGGGGGAAATGCAGAGTTGTTGTTTAATGGGTACAGAGTTTCAGTTCTGTGGATGGGTGGTGGTGATGGTTGCACAACAATGTGAATGTACTTACTGCCACTGAACTGTACACTTCATCGTTAAGATGCCAAATTTTGTCGTGTGTATTCTACCACAATAACAAACATGGGAAAAAAAGCTATAGAAAGCTTAATTAGGTTTTTGAATGCAATGACAGTAATTTATAGAAGAATTTGAAGAGAACAGGAATCTGCATAATGTTGAGTCACCCAGGATCAGGCTGTATCTCTCCAGGTTAAGTTCTATTCCTTCAGTAAAGATTTTACTTTATCCCATAAAAAAAGAAAAGTATATGTATGTGTATATACACCATGCACATGCACTCACACAGACACAAGTATATGAAACGTACTCATTCCAGAGTTCTGGGGTCATGTCAATATTTGGGCTGAAACCTGGCTGTACTACTTCCCAGCAGTGTCATCTTGGGAGGTCATTTAACTGCTCTGCTTCTCATCAGTAAAATGGAGCAAATAATACCTACCTCACAGACTTGTGGTCAAGATTTTTAAAATGGGAAATCAGCACTAAATGCTAGTGCAGCACCACAACACGTAAGGATTCAATCAAAATCATGTCATCATCAACGTCTCTGGATGGTAGAATTAGGGATGACTTTCATTTGATACTGGGAACAAACTGGTGTTTTCCAAACTCTCCACAGTGAGCATGTGTTGCTTTTGTGATGAAATAAGACAACTAAACATTGTTTAAAGCCATCTAGAGGGATGGCTAAGCCAAGTGGAGGTGAGCAGGAAGCCAGGCTTCTTTAGCTAAAGAGTGCAGCCTCTCATCTTTCACAGCATTAATCCCTGTAGCTCCCAGCAGGCTTGGACCAGCCGTTGATGCTGACCTACAGATGTCTCAGGCTGTCCTGTTTCCTTGTGGAAAAAGACAATGCCTCTGCCCCACCATTGCCATGGCCATGTGAAGGCAGCTGTCTGCCCACGCCAAGTCCTCCTGAGCTGGGCCTCAATGGCCCCCACCTGCTGTCTGGGATCTGTTGGCAGCACTGGCTGCTGTCTCAGGGGTAACATCATTCCAGCCAGGAGGTAACCAGGGCATCTCTAAGTTAGCTGTCTCATATCCAGTATGTCATAGTGGTCAAGACAATCAGCTTTTGAGTCAGTAAGACTGGGATTCAAAACAAGGTTCTGTCAATCTCCAAAACCTCTAGGGCTCAGCTTCTCTTAACTACAAACTAAGGATGACAGCTACCTCTATGACTATAAAGAGATTAGCTCAAGGCCTGGCATGTCATAAGAAGGTAAGAGGACTTTAAAACATCATGATGCTTCTCTGTTCAAGGCATCCCCATGATAGACACAAGGAGTATCATTTTAGACCAGTGGAAAAATTGACCCATTGAATCTTCTGTCAATTCCATTCAACACCTATGTGAGGACCTCCTGAGTGCCATACACAGCTGAAGGCACTTGGGATACATCAGTGAATAAAAGGGATGAGGATCTCTCCCTTCCTGGAGCAGAGGGAGATGAATGATAATCAATATCAATACACATAAAAATAAATAGGCTGGTTGCAGTAGTTCACGCCTGTAATCCCAGTACTTTGGGGGGCTGAGGCAGGCGGATCACGCGGTCAAAAGATTGAGACCATCCTGGCCAACATGCTGAAACCCCGTCTCTACTAAAAATACAAAAATTAGCTGGGTATGGTGGTGCATGCCTGTAGTCCCAGCTACTTGGGAGGCTGAGGCAGGAGAATCACTTGAACGCAGGAGGTGGAGGTTGCAGTGAGCCAAGATCACACCATTGCACTCCGGCCTGGCAACAGAGCAAGGCTCCATCTCAAAAATAAATAAAATAAATAAATAAATAAATGTGTAGAAATTGAATACACATAATGAATAAGTGTGCTAGAGGTGAAAAGTGCAAGAAAAAAATAGAAGAGGGCTGAGTGTGCAGGGGCAGAAGGCAAAGGTTGTCATGTCATTAATGTGGGCAGTTGAGCAGGCCTCACTGGGAAGGTGAGATTGGGCAAAGGCTAGAAGGAAGAATTATCTGGGACAAGCATTTCAGGTCTCGAGCAAGGGTGAGCCCGGTGCCTGGGCAGAAGGAAGAGCGAGGAGGCTGGAGTGGCTTGAGCAGAGTGAGGAGGGGAAGCAAAGGAAGGGTCAGGGAAGAATGGGACCAGATAACATGGGGCTGTGGTGTCCAGTATAATAAGGACTTGGGCTTTATTCTGAGTCAAAGAAAGAGCTGGAGATTTTGGAGTGGAGAGAAATTTGATCTGAGTTAAACGTGTTAATTAATGACATACTCAAAATCTACACATATTCTTGCTCCCTTCAGTAAGGATATCCAAGGCATGACCAAATCCTCTCTCTTCTTGGACTCACTCCATTCTGTCCTCCATATGACCAAGACAAACCCTAACCTTGCTCTTTCAAAGCTCTTGGCTATAAAGCACTCTGAAAACACAAAGGGTGAAGGCTCCATGACAGCAATGATTGACAAACAGCAGTAAGGCCTCCCCAGTACCGAGAAAGGTCTTGGGGTTTCACCTAAGTGTAAAAATAAAACTAATCCTCAATGTTCTGACCTTAATGGACCAAGAACCCTCACCTCACCCTGCCCCCACCATTCTTTTTTGAAGAGAGACTATTTTCTGCTTCATGATGACAGCCCAAGCCCAACAGTGCACACCATACTGAAGTACCAAGGCTGCCCCTGAGAACCAGCATGCTGGGCACAGGCAGTTCCTCACCAGCCATGACTCATTTTGTTGTCCTTTCACTCACAATCACGTATCATCACCTAAAATAAAAAGTCATCTTTAGAACTGATTCCTCCTATCATTACACATTCTATGCATGTAACAAAACATCACACGTACCCCATAAATATGAACAAATATATCAATAAAAAAAACTACAAAGTAAAAATAAGTTTGAAAATGGAAAGAAAACAGTCATCTTTACTAAATAGGCTGAACCTCTTTGTTTAAACAACAATGATATGAAGAAGACAAGGTAGATTTGCTTGGGAAACATATTCTAAGTGGAAAGATCACCCTCCAGTCTTTTGCACAGGGAATCCAACCTTCGGGAAAGGTTGCCATCATGAGCCCAAATGTTCGTTTTATAAATGCAATTATGAAAAAAAGACCAGCATACAGAATCTGGACTCTGGCCCAATGACAGAAATACAGAATTACAGTTCTCTCAAATAACAGAGCTAAATGACAGCCAGTCCTTTCTGAATCTGGAATGTCATTCCGGATGGGGAAAAAAAAAAAAAAAAAAGACTGCCAGGGGAAAACAGTTCCATTCCAATACCTGAATATATGAGTAATCATAGTACTAAATATTTATAAACCAGAGAAAGTGCACAGAGTGTCCGCAATTCCACAGAAATGCACTTGCCACCACATTTAGAGAAATCTAAAGAAATGTTCTACAAGGCCCGACATTTAGGGCAATGGTTTGAACTAAACCTTTGTTTTATCATTTACAATTTCCTTTTAAACTAGGGTCATCCTTTGATGCACAATATAAAGGCATCAAAGATGAAGGTTTTCCTCATTATCTTATTTTTTATGTAATCACCGAATACATTTAGACTTTGTTCAGTTTTATATATATGAAACACCCAGGCATTGATCAAAACACCCAGACATGGATCAAAACTGAAAGTAGGCACAGAGTGAGGAATACAGTTGAAGGCAACCTGGCATTTTTTTTATGTTTGAATTAACAACATGAGTGACACATGGCTAGCATCAAAAATTTTAAATAATGATTAGAAGATAAAGAAAAAAACTAAAATTACCCCAAATGCCACCATTCATAAATATTCACTGTTGACTTTGGGAAATTATATTTTTCATCCTTGCTCATGTAAAGATTGCCAGTTCTTTATTTCCCTTTTCATTGAGGTGTATAATTCACCTTCCGTAAGATTTTCAAAATCATGTTATTGACATTTAATGTATATGCACTCACATTTTCTGGTATTTATAATGCGAAATAATCCTGAAGACCTCTTTTGCCCATCCTTTCCTCTCCTTCCTGTCGCCATCTGAGTCCCTCTGCATCATCTGTCTCTGGGCGATTCCTAACCGGTTTCCTCTCCTTGAGTTTCACCTTCTCTAACCCACTCCCTTTGCCGCCTATTATGTGGTCTTTAATTCATAAATCCAACTCACTCCTCATTGAACATTATTTTCTGGTCCCGCTGCATGTCTTCACGGCCTGAGAAAGGCCTGCCTGCCCAGCAGTGGCCCAGGAGGTCTAATCCCATCTCGCTGCTGCAATGTGTCATGCCTCTACAAATTCACATGGCTATTCTGTCTGTCTGTCCCACCTGCAAACTCAACTGATCCTTCAAATTTGTCTCTTCTTCTACTGCCTTCTTTGATGTCTCAAACTTAGACACCTTTCTAATACATTCAATTCCTCTGTACGCACCTCCATTACGCATCACATCAACATTTGCTTCAACACTGATCTCACCAGCCTGCAGCTCTGGAAAAGCAGGGATAGGTTCTTTTCAGGTTTGTACGTATAGCACTTTGCGAGGTATGTGCCATACCCCCAAAATTCAATAAACATCTGTTGAATACACTAATCTGTAAAACCACGCTGCTTAGCAGGAAAAATGGAAGTATTCAATATTAACTAAGCTATGGGACAAGCACATGGAGAAATGTGGCTCCTGCCAGTGAGCAGCTATCGGATCAGAGGAGAATCAGGGCAAGCGGGGCCCGGTGCAGCCATGTGCAAGCTGTGAGAGGCTGCAGTCAGCCCTGTCCAGAGACAGAATCAGCAGAATATGAAACACACACATGCACAGAGATTTCAAAAAATGAGATTACCCAATTATGGGGGCTGACAAAGCCAAAATCCACTGTGCAAGCCTACAGGGTGGAAACTTGGGGGCAGGAGCTGATGTTGCAGTCTTGAGGCACAATTTCTTTCTCTTCAGGGAAGCCTCAGTTTTGCTCTTTAAGGCCTTTGAAATGATTGGATGAGGCTCACCCAGGCTAAAGAAGATAACTTCTTTTTCTTAAAGTCAGCAAATTATAGATGTTAAGGACATCTACAACATACCTCCATGGTAACATCTAGATTCACATCCAAGTGAATAAGTGGGTACTCTGGCCTAAATGAGTGTCCAGTGAATAACTGGGTACTCAGGCCTAGCCATGTTGACACAGAAAACTGACCAACCCAGAGGGGAAATCCAGGGAGTGTGGAAGGACAGGACAGAGACCTCTCACTCACACTTGGGCAGGGGGAGGGGGCATGATATCAGGTAAGGATCTCTGGAGGAAGTGCTACTAAAGCTAAGGTTTTAAGGCTGAAGAACAAGTTAGGTGGTGTGGGAGCAGCTCAATGGCTGGGGCCAGGAGCAGGTGAGCAAGACGCATGTGGGTACACAAGAGACACCCAGGAGCCCAGACGGAGAGGGCACCCAAGACAGCACCTGGGGCAGAGGCTGGTGATCAGAGCACTGAACACTGACTGAGCACTGACCACATGCCCACCACTGTCCAGTGTGCTTTACATGCATTTTCTCTTTAATCCTCACAATCGCCCTGTGATATGGGTACCATTAACCACATGTGCTGATGAGAAAACTGGTGTACAAAGTGGCCAGTGAACTTTCCAAGGTCTCCCAGCTCCTGAGTAGAGACGCAGGACCCCAACATAGGCATTCTAAGGTCTTCAGGTTGTAGGATGAAGTAGAGCAGGGGTGTCCAATATGTAGCTTCCCTGGGCCACATTGAAAGAAGAATTGTCTTGGGCCACACATAAAATATACTAACAACAGCTGATGAGCTAAAATTTAAAAAAAAAAATCACAAAAAAATCTCATAAGGTTTTAAGAAAGTTTACGAATTTATGTTGGGTCACATTCAAACCCATCCTGGGCTGCATGGAGCCAGGAGGTTGCAGGTTGGACAAGCTCGAAGTAAAGGGCAGAGATGAAGAAATTACTTTAGCTTTGGATAGAAACAGGAAAGCAGAGCTAAAGACAGGTAGAGCGAGAGGGGTAAGTGGCAGTAAAATGGGAATTCTGTAGTGTGGTGGAGGTTTGGAGTAGCCACTGTGGAAAATGAGGCGAGAAATGAAAGAATGGGAAATACGGCTGTAGGTTAGCACAGAGAACAAAGATTTCAGAGGCTGACAAGGCACAGGATGTGACTACACGTATGAACTCTTCACATGGGATTGAAGGTTACTGCAGTCATAGAGGTAAGGAACTGAAAAGACCTCCTCCCCGTGGGTTCTCAGTAAAGGGCAGGAGTTAAGGGAAAGAGGAAGTGCAGGTATGAGGACAGCCCACCAACCTCATTTTTGGTATATGGAGAAGTTAAATGCGTGTCAAAGTAGTTCACATACATAGCTATATTCCTCTCCTCACTGTCTACTCCAGATAGTCTGTTAAAGACAGTGAACACAGCAGTCTGAGTAGAATATACAGTTCTTGCTTCAGAAGAAAAGAGAATCCCCAATTATGGCTATCCTTTGGCCAATCCAGTGGAATCATTTCAATTTTGTACATTTGCCACTGACTTTATTTCTGTGGATCACAGAATTCAGTAAGGGGATGCCTCAAACAGAAAGCTGTCTCATTTAAGTCTGTTCTGTGGCTCTGTGCAGGAAGTGAACTGAGTAATCTAACTATTGTCTTTGTTTGCTAAGTTTAACCAAAAAGAAGTCCTCTGGGTTTAAAAAATCATCATGAAATAAAGAGTTTGCCTTTTAACAACTTCATTTTACTGAGTGATTTTTATAACTTCCCAGGTAAAGCTATTAGTTTTCAGAGTGTAAATCCTGCGGCAGGTTGCCTCTGGGCTCTTGAAAAACCTAAGGTGCTTTGGCTAAGAAAACAAAACACAGGAGTGGCTGCATGAAACCGTTCATGTAGAAACAGCACAGCATATTCTTGACAAAGTGTTCATATTATTCAATAAAGTAGCTAGAAATGAAAACATTTAGATTCAACGTTTCTTCTTTCATTTTAGGAGATACGAAATTAATGTTAGATTTGCTTCTGTTGACAGCAGTCATGTTGCTTGGCAACCTTAAGTGTTTCTTGGGTTGAATTGCAAACGACTCAAGCAGCTACTCATTTTAAACCAAGGAAGCTGCTCAAGAAGTTCAATGTGATGCCTATCACATACCCCATCACTCACACTGATGCAAGAGATTTATTTGTAAGATGCTACCACTATTGGATGTAAACACCTACACCCCATTGGCCCTACAAGCTGTCCTATAGTTATCAAAGTGACATTTTAGCCCACTTGATTTAGTTTTCTATTTCTTTATTAACAACTAAATAATTGGCTGACATTGGACATTTAAAATTTATTTTCTAACTGTGGTAAAATTCACATAATATAATTTTACTATTTTTAAGTGTAAAGTTCAGTGGTATTAAGTACATTTACATTGTTGTGCAACAATTACAACCATCCATCTCCAGAATTTTTGCATCTTCCCAAAGTGACACTCTATACCTGTTAAACAGTAACTTCCCATTCCTCCTTCTCTTTAGCCCCTGACAACCCCATTTTACTTTCCGTCTCTATGAATCTGAGTACTCCAGGTACCTCCTATTAGTGGAATCATGCAGTATTTATTTGTCCTTTGTGTCTGGCTTATTTCACTCAGCACAATGTACTCAAGGTTCACCCATGTTGTAGCATGTGTCAGAATTTCTTTTCCTTTTAAGGCTGAATTGTCTTCTGCTATATGGATAAATGACATTTTGTTTATCCATTCATCCATCAATGGTTACTTGGTCTGTTACCACCTCTTGACTGTTGTGAATAATACAACTAGGAACATGGATACATAAATATCTCTTCACAAGCCTGCTTTCACATTTTTGGGGTATATATCCAGTAGTGGAATTGCTGGGTGACACAGTAATTCTACTTTTAATTTTTTGAGGAATTGTCATCTTGTTTTCTATAGTGGGTACACCATTCTAGTCCAATCGGCAATGCATGAGGGTTCCAATGTCTTCACATCCTCACCAACACTTGTTATTTTCTGGGCTTTTTAAAAAAAATAGTAGCCAACTTAATGGCAACCAGATTTTATGTGTTTTATTTTTTCATATCTCTACTTCTTTAAGTATTATACTATATTGTAATAATTTACATTCAATTAAATTACACTATATTGTAATGATTTACATTAAATTAGAATATCAGTATCCTCCTCCACTAATCTATGACCTGTAATGGAAAGAACCAAGTCTTCTTCATCTTAAATACCCTCTAATTCAAACAGGCAACAACATGCCTAGTCCTAAAATAGAAGTTTCCTGAATATCTGTTCCATTCCTCATTACCAATGGAATAATGAGGCTTCGGGTAAGAAGTTCAGGGTAGACTGAGAAAAATCCTGAATGCCAAGCTAATGTGTTTACCTTATTAACAAGGGAGAGAATTATTTGTCATTTCTGTAAAAGGATGACATAGTCAAATATTTGGCAATGGTGTGTTGACCTAAGCAACTAGAGTCACAGAGTCCACTTACCTGGCTGGACAATACCCCCTGGAATGAGGGCAGTGGGCATCTGCAGGGGGATGGCAGCCTAGGGAATGAGGCGGGAGGCCCGGGGACACTACCACCATGTTCTGAGAACACTTGGGTTTTACCCTTTAAGGAGACTCCCAGTTTATCCAGGGCTCTCAATACATCATTCAGAAAAATATGTTTTTCAAGTGTGTGTGTGTATGCGTGTGTGTGTGTGTGTTTGTTTTGAGACGACTCTCACTCTGTTGCCCAGACTGGAGAACAATGGCATGATCTTGGCTCCTCCACTCCCAGGTGTAAGCGATTCTCCTGCCTCAGCCTCCTGAGTAGCAGGGATTACAGAAATGCACCACCATGCCCAGCTAATTTTTGTATTTTTAGTAGAGACAAGGTTTCACCATGTTGGCCAGGGTGGTCTCAAACTCCTGACCTCAAGTGGTCCGCTATTCTCGGCCTCCCAAAATGCTAGGATTACAGGAGTGAGCCACTGCACCCACCCAAAGGTTTGTGTTTTAAATATTAAAATAGAAATATCAATGTGGTAAGTCAACAAATGAAGATGAAATGTAAATGAAAATTACATTCTCAGAGAAGAAAAAATTTAAATGAAAATTATAAACACAATGAATCACAGAGTATTTAAACTACCTATGAAAAATGAAAAAAATAAAATCAGTAGCTACTATAAACAGAAAACAATAATTTAAAAAAAGAACAGTGAAAGGAAGCAAAAGGGATACTATTTAGAGAAACTAAAACAAGTGCTGATTGTAAATGAATAAAAATTTCAAGTATTGAGAGAATATTAATGCAAAACAGGAAGCTTTTTTAAAATCTGAAGCATAGAAACGTCAGGGATAAAGAAAAGGAAACATGCTAGAAATTTAAATTTTGCTCTTTACCATAGTTTTTAAATTATTTCCAATTATTAAACACTTTCTAGCACCTGGTATAGACCAGGCATGGAACTAGGCACTGGGGACAATATAGATAGTGGCTGATCATTAGAAATTGTCCACAAAAGCTACATTTTAAAAATTCCCTCCTGGAATGATCTATTTTTCTGACAGAGTTTAAAAGGATTGAAGGAGAGAGCCAGTGATACGGACAGGGATGTGAATTTATTTAAATAAAGTAGCACCATTTAGTCTTTTTTTCTGTTTCTGATCAAGAAGGTAGAAATTTCAATTCCTATAAGAATCTCTAAAAGGTAATCAAACAGTCATAGGTGGTGATAGAACCCACAGGGTGAGGGCTGATTTAGACAGATAGTGACTTGGTCCCAGTGGAATGCTCTCCCCATCTGACATGATTTGGCTGTATCCCCACTCAAATCTCATCTTGAATTGTAGTTCCCACAATTCCCACATGTCATGGGAGGGCCCCAGTGAGAGGTAACTGAATCATGGGGATGGTTATCCTCATGCTGTTCTCATGATAGTGAGTGAGTTCTCACGAGATCTGATGGTTTTGTAAGGGGCTTTTCCCCCTTTGCTTGGCACTTCTTGCTGCCTCCATGTGAAAGAGGCGGTGCTTGCTTCCCCTTCCGCTATAATTGTAAGTTTCCTGAGGCCTCTCCAGCCACGTGGAACTGTGAGTCAATTAAACCTCTTTCCTTTATAAATGACCCAGTCTTGGGTATTTCTTCATAGCAGCATGAGAACAGACTAATACAGCATCATTTCCACCAACCCAAAGCCTCCTGTCTTTTAAGGCCCAAGTGAAACTTAGCCCCTTCTCCCTCCTCAAAGCTTCAACTGCTTACCTAGGATATCAGACCCCTACTCAGGGGACTCAATCCAGGGGCTGTTTTTGCATCAGTAAAGAGTACAACTTTCTGCTCAAGATTTAGTTATACAACAAGTATACCTACTTGTACTACACTTGATAACCTTTAGCCTACAAGGAACCTCAATTACATGTTTTTATTCTGACAATACAGCGAGAAGTGAGGTTTTTAGAAGTGAAAAAGTGGGCCGGGTGTGGTGGCTCACACCTGTACTCCCAGCACGTTGGGAGGCCGAGGAGGGCGGATCACCTCAGGTTGGGAGGTCAAGACCAACCTGACCAACATGGAGAAACCCTGTCTCTACTAAAAAAAAATACAAAATTAGCTGGGTGTGCTGGTACATGCCTGTAACCCCACCTACTCGGAAGGCTGAGGCAGGAGAATTGCTTGAAGCCGGGAGGCGGAGGTTGCGGTGAGCCGCGATCATGCCATTGCGCTCCAGCCAGGGTAACAAGAGCAAAGCTCTGTATCAAAAAAAAAAAAAAAAGTGAAAAAGTGAAAGTGTGAGTGACTAGCAGAGCAGGGATTTGAACTTAGGCCTTCTCTCTGGAAGTTCTGTGCTCTTTCCTGGCATTCACCAGAAAAGGCTTTGCATGGAACTCAATTTCATTATTATATATCTTTTTAAAATTCCCCATATCTATCTACATGACACTGCCTGTGCTCACTCACTCTATCTCTTGCATGTGTGTGTGTGTGTGTGTGTGTATTTCATTACATAAAATTAATTTGATATAGGGAAATAAGGAGTCTTTTTTCTTAAGCAATATAAAGTAAGCTCTTTAACGCCCAGATCTTCATCATCCATGTTTGTTTCTGCCTTGTTACTCAAGTGTCCAGCACAGAATAAAAGCAATAAAGCAATGGGCTCTTAATTAATATTTCTGTAGTTATTCTTAGTATGAGAGCAATCAAAGACATTTTCAGGGATCCATGCCTAATGACATCTGTTGAGCTCATCCTAAGATAGTTTCCTTAGGGATAAGTGAGATTTATTTCTTATAGCTGTCCCATAAAATGTCTATATTGTTACCTCTAAAAAAGTAATAAGGACTTACGGGGAATTTTATGACCACTGAAATAACACTCCCTTGAGAAATTCAGGAAGATGGCAAAATTTCAAATGCTCTTACACTTTGTTAGGGGAGTGCTGTGGCATTTTGTTCCATGTACTGTCAATTTTAAAACATGACATGACTTATAAAAGTGGCTTTTATCAAAATCTTTTCTGAACATAAGCAGGTTCTGCTTTTTCTTGCTATATCAATGATTTTATACAACCTTCTTTCATCTTTTAATTTTTGTCAGAATGTTGTAGAGATTGTTTCAGCCTGACTTTGATCTCCACTGCAAGAATGAACTGAATTCAATAATAGAGGGAATTGCAATGCACATCGGACCCCAAGGGGATCAGCCCATCCTTTAGTGGAGGGCTCCTGCCTCACTTCACACTGAAATTTAAACTCCTTCTCTGGTCCCTGGTAACTACAGGTGAATTAGTCCCTTTCTTTTTATTCTTCTCTTATTTTTAAGTGGCGATATATTTCCAAAAAATTCTTTTTTCTTTTCTTACTTCATGCTCCATGTTTAGAAAATATAAGCAAATAAACATGTTTTAAAGTCTCCAGTAATCCCAACTATTTACATGAAAATAGAAAGTAATCTAGGAATTTATCTTTTATTATATATTTTAATATACAAGTATAAAAATAGTCTCATGCATAATACTGTTCTGATTTTTTCCATTTAAATAATCATGGATATTTGTGAAAATATATTTTACTATTACAACAAGAATGAAGGAGCATTATTTTAAATATATCTGTTTGATTATTTTCTCAAGGTAATTTCTTATGTGGAATTACTTGAAAGAAAGGTATTCATGATATGAATACCTTTAAGGTTTCTTTTTTAAATATTAGTAAAGTATCTCCTTAAATATAATATCAATTTGTGATTTTGACCTCAGTGTATGAGACTGCCCAGTTTGCCACATACTCACCAATACTCTATGTATTACTATCCTTTTCAATCTTCGTCAGTCTAATATTTTGGTTAATTTGTTTCATGATATCAATTGTAATGGCAAAAAATTTATCATAAGTTTGTTGGATATTGGCTTTGCTTTTCTTATGAATGTGCATTTATTTATGTCCTATGCCCATTTTGCAATTGAACATGACCTATTTTTATGTATTCTTTTTACTGATTTGTAAAGGTTCTTTACATATTCTTGTGATTGTTAATTTTGTGTCAAACTCACTGATCCACAGAATGCCCAGCTAGCTGATTAAACTTGATTTCTAGGTGTGTCTGTGAGGGTGTTTCTGGAAGATATTAGCATTTAAATTGGTGGACTAAATAAGCAGATGGCCTCTCCCAATGTGGATGGGCACCATCCAATCCTTTAAGGGCCTGAATGGGATAAAAAGGCTACAGGAGGTTGAATTTGCTCTCTTCCCTGACTACTTGAACTAGAACAGGGATCTTCTCCTGCCCTCAGTACTCCTGGTGCTCAGGTCTTCAGAATCAGACCGGAATCTTTCCCTGCAAATTTTAGTTGACTTTTTACCTTAATTACATAATCAGATAATTTATATATATCAAACTTATAATGCTTAACGGACTAAAGTTTTTAAGTTACTAAATTTCACAAAAGAGGTATTTTCAAAATATCACATAAAAGAATATATGAAAACTTTTTGTCATATATGCTTTCAAACTTAAAATTCCTAATAATAGATCTCTAACTGCTTTCTACTATTTACTAAGCCATTTATCATTTTTTTTTGTTATGCAGTGTCCACAAGGTCCAGCAACAAAACAAACTATATGAAAGCAATATAACCTTACCACTATTTAGATTGTTAAAATTAGTTTTGGGGAATTTATTCCTCAGTTAATCAGGTCCAATGTGTATCTATGTACTGAGATTCAGGATTTTATCCTGTTAGCACTACCATAAGAGTTTAGATTTCCTTAAATGAGAAAAATGCAATATGTGTATGTTTTAGATATATAGCTCTGCAATTATGAATTTCTATCAATAATATTATACATAGAAAACGTATCTTGTATGTCCTCCAATTGTGATCAGAGAAAAACGTACAAGAAATATTAGGAGCCTTTTCCTTAGAGTTTCTGAATAAAAACATGAGAAGAAGCAAACTTGTGTTCGAGGGGTGCTAAAACATCCTGCAAATCTTCAGCTCTGGAGTCACAGGACCAGACAACTGGGATCCATGAAGGCATCTCAGGACTCACCGTCCACTCCCTCACTTCCCAGGGAGGACACTGGTCACCCACAGGGATTATGTGATTTGTCCAAGGTGACAGCACAAGTCAGTGTCAAGATGCCCACTCTCCTATAGTCCTAGTCACTGTCCTGCCCAGCTTGCTGCCTCTCTTGAGACTTTGAGAAGGAGCACAAGGCCATGCCAATTTCCATGCTCAGCACAAACACTCACACCACCCCCACTGCTCTCCAGGGATCACTCACACAGAACCTCAGCCAGTACCTACACACTGCTAACAGACTCCCACAAATGTGAGGCAGCTGAACTCAGCTTCCCACGAGCACTCAGCAGAGGGAAGACCATAGGAAACTGTGAGAGTCTAGTTGGCTGCCAATTTATTAATATGTTGTAGGACTTCAACAATAGAATCTCATCCTCAGACTCAAGCTACACATGGATGCCTCCCTCCAATAAGCCATGGTGCTACATTCAGTGCCTCTTACCCTGCTGTGCATCACGGGATGAGGACATCAGAGCCAGGTTCCAGCCCAGTGTCCATCACTAACCTCACCCTGGAAGAGTAATAAGAATCATCTCACCTCTCCTGGCATCCATCTCCTCCCCTGTGGAATGTTATGTGGTCACCTGGATAATATCTAGGGTGCCAGTATCACTATTCTAGGCTTCCGTGATGGTAAACAAGGGCTTGGGAAGAAGGAAGCTAGTGATGACTATGAAGACAGCCCAAGAGATACACAGGACTCTCTCAAGGCAACGTACATTTCCTGGGTGAGAAACCAGGCTCCAGGCAGAGAACACATCTTTTCCTTAATTGTAATAAAAACCAGGGAGACGTGGTCTATTTTTCATGCACCTTCAAAGCCACTGGTGCACACAAAACTAATAGCACCTGCTTCAAACAGCAGCAGCTCTTTGACCTCCAGCCTAATTAGCGCATTTCTCCAGTGAAACCATCTGGACAGGGTCCGCCCTGGCTCATTTCCTTCATTAACAAATCTTCCAAGTGGCAACAGAAGTCTCCTGTGTTGGCGCCAACCTTACAGGCACACCTCACGGCTGACAGGGCCCGAAGTGTGGTGGCATTTTTCATTTTCTAATCAAAGGGGTCAGCGTAAATGGGTGTTGGCAGTTGACGGCTGCAGCTGTCTGATGTGTCAACTCCTTGCCACACAGAGTTTCTAATAAATGGTGCTGGAAAAATAATTCACCCCTCAGCTTTCTGTCACAGCGGCTATGGTGGGAGATCCTTGGGTGGCCGCTTTCCTGTCCCACTTATTTGTGCAAGAGGTGGGGAGTGTGTACATGTAGACACAGTTACATCCATGCATAAACACTCATGCACAGGAATGGGATGGAGGAGCCCTGCATTACTGTGGTCGTGTTTTTAGTACTCAACCCTGAAAACCAAGGAGAGTGGGTGGGGAGGGACACCAGCATCTGCTAATACTTAACGCGAGCATGGAAGCCACTAAAAGATGTGGAGGAGGGCAGCTCTTGAAGCTGCTGGTGGCCCTCTGTCCTCATGCACAGGTGATAAGAATGACAGGGGTCCAGCACCTGGTCAGGCCAGGGCAGGGCATGCTTAACTGGAAGTCCACATGGGTCGCAGAAGGCAGGGAGACACAAAATGCTGTGGCTGCAGCATCCAGAGAAGCCCATCCATCTTAACCTCAGATCCAAGCTGAGGGGCTATCAAGAAAGGAAAGGATTGTAAAATAGCTCATTCTTTGCTCACAGAACCTCAGCACACAAAGAGAGAACCAAGTACTCAAACTAGAGAAAGTATCATGAACACGGTAAAGAAATACTCCCAAAGAAGGAGAAGGGCCTGAGTTAATCTTTCAGAACTTCTTGGAAGAAGTAACCCTACCTAGCAATGCTGGGAAGAAACACTATACTTGCAGTCAACTTGAAATTAGTACAGTAGTCCCCCCTTATCCATGGTTTTAGTTACCCAGGGTCAACTGTAGTCCAAAAATATTAAGTGAAAAATTCCAGAAACAAACAATTTATAAGTTTTAAATTGCATAACATTCTGAGTAGCAAGATGAAATCTCATGCTTCATTGTTCAGTCCCATCCAGGATGGGAATCATCCCTTGGTCTGGGAGATTCACACTGTAAGCCCTGCCTACCTACCCTGAGTCACTTAATAGCCATCTCAGTGATCAGATGGACTGTGGCGGCGTCTTAGTGCCTGTGTTCAAGGAACCCTTATGTTACTTAAGAATGGCCCCAAAGTGCAAGAAGAGTGACGGGCTGGCATATTATTACAATTATCTATTTTATTATTATTGTTCTTAATCTCTTGCTGTGTCTAATTTGTAAGTCATACTTGATCCTAGGTATGTATGTATAGGAAAAAACACGGTATATGTATCCTTTGGTACCATCCAAGGTTTCAGACATCCACTGGGGGTCTTGGAACTCATCCCTAGGAATGGATAAGGAAGAATTGATGTACATAATAGAACCATAGACTAAGTCCCCTGATATAAGAAAGTAAAATCTCAATGTCTTGGCTATAGTGAGAAAAAGTTCTCACCAGTTCCTTAGGAAGAACTAGACAAAACCTACCACACATAATCTAAATTTATTGCATATATTTAGGGTAAAAATAATACATAGTAAATACATCTAATTCTATCTTATGGATTTAGTTATTCTCAATTTATCCCTTTTGTCTTCATAAAGTTCTGACTTGCTTGACAGATATCTGAATTGAACCCCATATAGCCCCTAGCACAATAGAGAACATGGGGCCTAGGGGCCAGGCATGGAAGCAGATTTATGGAAGCTGACTCATATTTTACTTATGTCTCGGTATGCTCCAGGTTAAAACAGCACATTATTCACAGATATCTACATGCCAACACAGTAAAGACTCAGCAACAATCCTATAATGCCTGGTTGGTCTAGTTGATATCATGCTCTGTTATGGCCCCACCACCCTTAAGTAGAATAAACACACACATTCTGTAATTCAGCTTAACATGTGTAAGACTTCTTTTTAAAGAATCAGTTGGAGGGAACACTGAATATCACTGAGTTCAAATGCTTCCTTTTACTGATGAAGAACCTGAGGCCCAAACAAGTAAATTAATTAGCTTGCCTACGGCCACCCAGCCAGTTAGTTTTAAGAGGGCCCAGTGGTCCTGGCTACCAGTCCACCTCTCCTTCCTTAGGTTTCACTACCTTGTGAAGTTAAAGGAAACCAATAAATTACATTTTCGTATGTAATTATGAATGACTTATTAGATACAAAGATACGTTATCTTTAATGCATACAATCTTTACAATATTTAAATCAGTTATCTTTTTCTTATGATTTTTGACAAGATGAACTAAGTCTAAATGAAAATAAGAAACAACAATGCCTAGTCTTTAGTGAGTCTGGTTATTGGTTACTCCAGAATATGTGGCTGGCTGACATATGGCCTGGTCAAAATCACCCTTAACAACTAGCCAGAAAGGAACCTTCAGATCCCAATGCCAAATTCACACATGCACATAGGACTCCTTGATATTCAAACTCCAGTTGGGAAAGCTATTTTATTGACATCGCCAAAGGAGCCAAAACTGTCTCACAAATGTACGACCTGCATATATTCAACCGCATAAGAACATTCAACAGAATACATCAGCTTAGCATTGACAACTTACCACATTCACCTAGTCTGTTGGCAGACTAGACATATTCATGGCAGTTATCGCATTAATGGGATCTAGACATTCTTAATCACAATGTCTGTAATATTTCATTTTAATAGTACCTGCCAGCAGATAAAAAAAATCTACATTTCATTTCATTTATCCTGTACATTTCTCTCACATCTTGCATTACTTTCTATTCAGGTGGCTCTGGCTCAAGAATATGCAATGCAGGTGCCTACAGTAATTTAATAGCTCTATCATCTGCATGGCAAATTCATGGGGGTAAGATGTGTATGCCACAGAAATAAAGTTACCTTTTTATCTAAGCACCTACTTAAAAAATTTTTCTGTTTAAACAGTATTTCAGAAGTAATCTGGCATTGCCCTTAATTGAAAATACAAATTTCCACACCTTAAGAGATCCCAAGAACTGCCTCAAGCTGAGGCGTTAGCTCTGACCCTCATTGCATCCCTGCCTGGGGAGGGCAGGGCAAGCGAGCAGCTGGACAGGAGGTCTTCAAGAAAACCAGGAAGAGGATAATAGTGCACCAATGGCTCCTTATTCCCTTCTCAGTTATTCCCTACCATGGCCATCTTACTATCTGCACCTCAAGCCCCTCACTTCCCTTCCTTACTTCCTCCATCTTTCCTTTGATTTAATATATTTCTCTCCCCCTCCTACTTTTCCTTCTAGTTTTGATACTGTCCACCTTTACCTACATAGAGTGAAACTATTATATTTAGACACTATGAAGGTATCTTGAACAAAATGTCAAATTACATCTGCTCTGCTGCTCTTACATATGAGGATGGATATGGCTCTGATCACAATGGATGATTTATTCCATCTTCTATGAACTAGTCTTCTGATCAACAGTATGAACTTGTAAAATAAACAAGTGGGGATAAAGACAGCATCTATGGTCTTAGAAAAGCATCCCCAGTCCCAACTCCTATACAAAGCTTTAAAGTGAAAACGTGAGATCTTCATTAGCTCTATGTCACCAACTGTATTAGTCTGTTCTCATATTGCTATAAAGAAGTACCTGGGACTGGGTAATTTATTTAAAAAAAAAAAGGTTTAATCAGCTCATGTTTCTGCAAGCTGTACAGGAAGCATAGTGGCTTCTGCTTCTAGGGAGGGCCTCAGGAAGCTTCCAATCATGGCAGAAGGTGAAGGGGGAGCAGGTATCTCACACAGTCCGAACAAGAGCATAAGAGAGACAGGGGGAGGTGTCACACATTTTGAAATGACCAGACCTCGGGGGAACTCACTTGCTATCACAAGGACATACCAAAGGGGATGGTGCGAAGCCATTTAAGAAAACCGCCCCCATTATCTAATCACCTCACACCAGGCCCCACCTCCAACACTGGGGATTACATTTCAATATGAGATTTAGGTAGGGACACACATCCAAACCGTATCACCAACCCAGGACCCTAAAGTTCCAGTCTTTAGGAATTCATGTGGTGCAGCTCCACATGAAGGAAGAAATAACTGCCATTGTGAATCTTGAAGATGCTGCTGTAAGAAGTATTGTTATATCTTTAAAAAAAAAATCCAAACCGATAATCCAGTCTAGAACTGTACTATCCAATAAGGGAACTACTAGCCACACATGGCAACACAAAGTCATTAACATTAAATAAGATTTAGAACTCAGCTCCTCAGTTATGCCAGCCCCATTTCAATGGCTCATTAGCTCCATGTGACTAGTGGCTACCGTATCAAGAGCAAAGATGAACACTGCAGAAATTTCGATTGGGCACAGCTGATCTAAAGAGACAGGAGGGCCCTATTACAAACCAGCAATAAGAAAATGCCTTTCTTGGCAATTTGACTATAGTAGCGAATTCTGTCTCTAATTCTTGAGGCAAGTGGGCATACCTGCCCTAAAGCCAGCAATTTTCAACTGTGCTCCATGGAGTCCCTTAGTGGCTGGTGCAGGTAGAAAGGACAGGAAAGGGAAAGGCAGACAGAGCAGGCTCAGGGCTGCATACATCCCTCTTCAACCAGCACCTCTGCTTCCATAGAGTTGTATGTATCACTTGACTCCAAGCTCCTGAGAAACATTATATATTCACTTTGGAGTTTTAATTGCTATAAATTATCATGCATGGGGAAAAAAATTGGAGAGACGTGGGATCTACCACCACATCACTGGAGACGGCCCTAAAATCCATCAGATTGTTTCCGGTATAAAATCATGTTTTCCAACCTCACATGGGCCTTCTGTGCAACTCTGCAATTCCCCCATGCACCTCTTACTGACTCAGTGTATTACTCAAAGAACCATTACCTGCCTCTTTATGTAATCCCATGTCCAATTCCATCATGGTTACTCTCTGCAAAAACTCTACTTCTTAATTACCTGGGACAAATGAGGCGACCTGATATGACCTCCTTGAAGTCTTTTCTTCTCTGTCCAAAATTTCTCAGCACTCATCCCTTATGCCTTTGTTTCTGTCTTCATGGCTGTACCTCCACTTGTATATTAAATAGCATTCCCTCCTATTTGCCCCAGGAATTGCTCCATCTACTATTCTCACTTGCTTTCATCTTCAATCTCTCCCTGGTTACTGGATCTTTCTCCTCAGAGCATAAGCATTCTTATGTGCTTAAAAAAAAGAGCAAACACATAACAAACCAACTTCTCCTGCTACGGTTCTTTCCCTTTTCCTCACCAAACTTCTCAACAGTAGTAGACACTCTCCACCTTTACCTTCCTTACCCCCTTGTAACCTGATTTCTGCCTTCATACATTTTGTTAAACTCACTTCAAAGCTACCAGTGACATCTTAATGACAGTCTGCAGACCCATTCTCCTCAATATCAAAACATCTCAGCCCCACAGCACAGATGGCTTGACCAGCCATCTCTTTCCAGGAACCTCTCTCCCTCAGCTTTGGTGATGCTGGTCGTGTCTGACACTCCTCTGCCTCGCTGACCAAGCCTTCTCCGGCTGTCTCCTATCTCCTGCCCCTGCAACCTAGACAGATACTCCCTACACAATGTGTCAGCTTCCCTCTTCCCATTTCATTCTGCATGCACTCCCTCAATGATGTCAGTCACAATTCCAAACATCACTTATTTTCCATGGCTGTTCTCCTTATTTTCAGCCCAAATCTGCTGGATGTAGTTATAGGAAGGGAAGTATGCTGCTGTGGATGTACTTATAGGAATGGATGTATGATGTAGTTATAGGATGGATGTCTGCTGGATGTAGTTATAGGAATGCTTCTCAACATGACCAAACCCAAACTCATCAAAGCCTCACAAATAAGCTTCTCTTCCTGTACACAGTGTGGAATGGCACTTTCTTACTTTATCATTCCCACTGTAACCCCCTAGTTTGGGCTCCCATTAACTCTCTCCTGCTAATTGCTGCCTGTTACAGGAGCCCAAAAAACCCTCTGACATAACCATATAAATTATTTTATTTCTCCTTGCAAAAAAAAAAATATATCAATCTCTTCGCTCTGTCTACTGCCTTTGGAAAAATACCACAAGGGTTTTTGCGAACCTTCCCAGAAGATGGCCTATGCATGTTACAACAATGCAAGAAAGCACATACTGTTGGCAAAGTTCCCATGAGAAGCAAGATTCATCTAGAAGCTATGTTTGCTTGCTTTTTGATATTCTCACTCTGCCATAGTCTCAAGTGAAATTAGAGTTGTGACAAAATGTGACCTCTGACCTAGAGTTTCTGCTAAGATAAAAGCAACAAAATGTATGAAAATGTTTCCTCCTCCTCTTCCTTTCCACCTCCTTGCATCTCCTCATCTTTGTTCTGGTACTGGACTAATAATCCAAGATGCTCGGCATTAGAGAGAGGGTAAGAGCAAGAAAATAACTCCCAAGCATCTCATAGCTCTGCATTTTACAGAAAAAAGCAAGGCAGTAAAACCTTTGCACTGTTCTCTGTTATTGTTCTAAAATTTTTATCTTATTAAGACAGAGAAAAAATAACAGAAGTAAAGTCTGGCCCAGAGGGAAAGCATCATTAATTTTGGAAGAACCAAGATGTCTCATGCCCAGTTTCCCTTCTCCAAACTACTTTATTCACCATTATCATATTAATTTTCCTTGAACACAATTCTACTATTCCTTACTTAAGACCATAAGTGGTTCCATTTTTTATACAGAATAAAGTCATAGAATACCAGCTCTTGAGAGCCCAAATTGGTCAATTCATTTAATCCAATCCCTCTGAACTTTATGATAAAAATCTTAGTCCAGCGAGGTTAACTGACTTTCCCAAAGATCATTCCATTATTGAAAATGCTGGGTTTATGCATATTATACATGCTAATATGTCATATTTCTTTTCTAAAATACGATTTCCATAGCTCCAGGTATCTTTTCTTCATTAAACATATTGAATGGGCTAGAACATCCTAGAATATGGCACTTATAAACTTTATAAACCTCTAGAGAAACAATATGATTTCTAAGTTAGATCCAGATATCTGAGTTAAGGTGGATAAACTAGGAGTTACTGAAGCAATCAAGAAAATATTTTCACTTAAAGGCAATGCTCAAAAACACTCAGAAAAAAAAATGTTCTCCTTTGTAAATGTGTGGGAAGGAAGCAAAGAAAAGAGGAAAGAGAAAGAACTGAATGTGTGGGAATAATTGGGAAGATTAACAGCAAGATTCACTAAAAATGATTCCATTTTTTTTCTTGTAAAGAATACTTTAAATTTCATAATTACAGATTCCAGGGAACTAGATACTTAAATCCATTAGTGACATTTGTTTGACTTCCGCATTTCCAGAGGAAATCAGAAGCTTATTTTAGTTTTTGTTCTCACTCTTCTCTTTTTCACCCACCCAAATTGGGTTGAGATGTTTGACAAAGTAAGCCCTAGTACAATGGAAATTAGGCTCTAGCAAAATGAGAAGCTGTGCAAAGCCCTTTAAGTACTGTGAAATCAAATGTTCCCATTCTTCCAACAGATATTGAAAAGGCACAGAAATAAAATCAGATCCAACTCTCACTTTCTATTTTGAGCAGAGGGTTTAAATGCCATCAGCTTAGATTAATGTATTAGTCACCTCGCATAAGTATGTTTCATTTACAGGGAAGCCAAGTGAATATATTAACTAAAATGATAATGTGCTGAAGGCACGCCATAGCCTTTTTAAATAAAGAAATCATGATTTTCCTTGTCTGTATTTTGTAAATGTCCAAACCACCACAAGTTTACAACTCAAAAGAAAGAGATTGCCATGAAAATCAAATGATCAACCTCCACTTTCATGTCTCAAAAACGATATGTTTTTAGCTTAACACTCACTCAGAAGGTTATTCACCATATATGTGTGAGGTTGTTATAAAAATTCAAAACTAGAATATATGTCGTCTGCCTGACTCAGATGTCAGCAGAAGCACTTTCTTTACTCCATCACAGATACATTAATCCATCATGGTCATCTTTTAACTGAGTTTCTGAATCCTTACACACATGGCCAATGGATGGAAATGCCCACAGAAACATCATTATTATTGGGCAAATCTCCTTTCTAAGTACTTTGCAGATATTAATTCCATCTGATGCTCCCATCGACCCTATTGATGGTTTAACTTATTTTAATCATTATTAATATTATTATTATTTTACAATGAGGAAACAGAGAAAAATTAAGCAACTTGCCCAAAGTCACAAAGCTAGCAAACTGCAGAGGTGGGATGTGAGCCCAGGCAATGTATCTCCAGAGTCTGTACTCTTCACCACTACTGTGTCATCTCATCAGTATGGGGAGGTATTGGTTAAAGGGTTCAAAGTTTCAGGTATTCAGGAGGAGTAAGTTCTGGAGATCTAATATACAGCATGGGGTTGATTATTAATAACACTATATTGTATACTTGAAATTTGCAAAGAAGATAGATCTTAAATGTTCTTACCACACATACACACACACACATATACACAGAAGAGGTAACTATGTGAGGTGATGGATATGTTAATTAACTTGATTGTAGTAATCATTTCACAATGCATATGTATATCAAAACATCATAATGTAAATATACACAATCTTTATTTGTCTGTTATACTTCAAAAAGGTTAGAAGAAGAACGGTTGTCTAAGAGCTTTCTAGGGACCACTAAATGTAAAAATAAAATAAAACAAAAAATAAATAAAAACTAATACAGAGAGAAGGTGGGGTTTTAACCTTCTATGGAAATGTTCAAACATACACAACAAGTGAAGTAGTACAATGAATCTTCATGGTTCCATCATCCAGCTTCAAATATTTTCAAATATTTGTCAATCTTTTTTCACCTATCTTCTCCCACCTCTAGTTGTTTTTCCTCCCCTTTGGTGGAGTATTTTATAAGCAAATTCAGAAGGTTGTCAATTACCTAAAACCAATGTGGAAGAATTCCATCTGAAGACATAATGCAGTAGTGCTGAGCCAGCCTGGAGAGGACCTGCAGGGCATGAGGTCTTTCTTCACCTCACTCAGGATGCATGGATACTTCCCCCTTCCTGTGCCTCCTCCCTCCCCTGCCCACCAAATGCTGTGTGGTCTTCAATCATAGCCATGCTAACATTTCCCTGCATGGCTTTATGTGCATAATCCTGTCTCCCCATTCCCTGCAAGTGTGAGTGAGGACTCACCCTTGTCCAGGTCATGGCAGCCCTGGCGCTGAGCTTATGCTTACCACATAGAATATGCTGAAAGAATGTAGAATCGGGAAAGGGTAAGCAGATAATCTAATCTTCATAAAACAAGCCAGCCAAGAACACTGAAGCAGTTCAACTAGACATTATTTGTACTATAAATAAAAATGTTCCCCAAACCTTCAGTTTATCTTATAACCAGAAATGGTCAACATCCTTAAAAATAAAACAAAACATGCTTGCAATCTAATCCTATCTCTGGGTGCAACTCATCATTGTCTGAGTGCTTCTGAAGAGAATGAACAAAGACATCATTAAGAGTAACATCAAACAGGCAATAGCTTCTCTGAAGTCTGACCTCACAAGCCACCTTTGGCTGCTTTTTCCATGAATAAAAAATGACTCTCTCATTGCCGATGAACATGAGATGGGTTAATGGCTGTTTCTGTAAGTTATTAATAACATTTCTTGTCAACCCTGATCTTATTTAAAATGCATGTCAGACGTAGAAAATCAAATGTGTTATGTATGTAAATGTATTTTATAGTATTCATCAGTGTAAACCCTAAAGTTAACATTGCAAAAAGCTTTCATATTAACCCTCATTTTCATTGATTAACCTTCCAAAAGGCTAGCAGTTTTCCACTTCAGATAATTATCCCCAGAACCCAAATCCTATTCAATAATTAAAAGAACATTTACTTATTTTATATATTAAAACAAGAAATAAAACTCTAGAATTTAATAAGAATATCTATACTTGATCTTAGCCAAAAGGCTGAGAAGTGATTAATGAGAATATCTAACCTCCTCAAAACGAGACATCTAAGTTTGGAAACTTTGAAATTCTCTCACGAATAGCCTCAAAGGTAGGGTTTTAGCCCAATTCTTTAAAAACAATTAAGTATATCCAAGGAGATATATAGGTTACTGGATACTTGTGAGACTACTAAGTCAGTCTTTATGATGTTTATCTCTGAATATATTTAGAGTTCAAAGGGTTTTCTACTCTTTGGCTTATGTAAATTATCTCTATGTATACCACAGTCAATAAAAATAACATTTTAGAGGTCCTAGAAGAATGTGAGAGCCATAATTATGAGCTTCATCAACTATGAAAATCCATGCATAAAGTAAAAATATGTTCCCAATACAAAATACTCTCAAAGATACCTAAGTTACTCTCAAAAATCTTTTTCCATACCCTTACATAAGAGAAAAAGTTTCTATTGGGAGATAACTTCCCTTAAAATTCTACTATTGTAAAGGACAGTGTCCTTTAGTGTGAGAGATACTAAAATTATTAAGAGGCATAGCCCCCACCCCCTAAGAGCTTATAGTCTGTAGGGGAGAGAGGACATAAAAACAAATAACTACAAGAACTAGTAGGTAATAAAAGTGATACAAGCCAAGAGCCCTAGGGGTTTCCAGGAACAAAAAAATCACATTGAGGGATTTTTAGAGGAAGTAAAATTTGAAATGTACCTAAAAGTGATAGAATCTGCAGAGAGAGATGGCAGGTGGTGCGGGTAGGGATAGAAGGCCGGGGGAGGTGTATTCCAGAGATGAATGGTTTAAATCAAAACCAAAAGGCAGGAAAGCACAAAGCCCTCATAGAAAAATGTGAGCAACACATTTTTGTTACTCACATTTGGCTAGTTGGGAGTATATGTCAGGATGGTATGCAGGGAAGGTGGGAGGGCCAGGTCATGGAAGACCTGGGAAGTCTGACAGGTGAAGCAGGCATAGGGGCACCATGCAGCAATTGAAACGGGGTCAAAGGGAAAATTACCAAGGACCATGTGCTTGTGGATTAGAAAGCACTGCCACAGTTTTAACAGAGATGAGGAGAGAGAAGAATGAGGATGTGGTAAGTGCCAGAGAGAAAGAATTCACCAGAAATGATGAGTGAACAGAAAAGAAGGCAAAAAGCAGCCATGACATGGCCAGGCACGGTGGCTCATGCCTGTAATCCCAGCACTTTGGGAGGCCGAGGCAGGTGGATCACAAGGTCAGGAGTTCAAGACCAGCCTGGCCAAGATGGTGAAACCCCATCTACTAAAAATACAAAAACTAGCTAGGTGTGGTAGCACATGCCTGTATTTCCAACTACTCAGGAGGCTGAGGCAGAGAATTGCTTAAGCCCAAGAGACAGAGGCTGCAGTGAGACGAGATCATGCCACTGCACTCCAGGTAACAGAGCAAGACTCCGTCTCCAAAAAATCAGCAGGCATGACATAATGCTGATTTTGAAATTCCCAACCTGGGTTGCCAGGTGATCACAGATATCATTAAAAGATAGAGCAACTTCCAGAGAAGGTTTTGGTTTGTACTAAAAAACGAAGAATTTGTTTTCTGAAAAAGTGTTCAGTTTGCAGTGAGCTGGGCCATCGGGTTAGAGATACTTGATGGCTCATTTGAAATGCAGGTGAGTAGTTCTAGAGGGACATCGGAGCTAGAGATACAGATATGAGCATTGTGTCCAAACTGTTAAGGGCTGAAACTGTAGATCAGATGACAAGGTGAAGACTAGGAGACCTGAACAGACACATTCTGAGAACAAATCTTGGGGAGCTCAAATATGTAGGCTTAGCACCCAGGAGACAAACAGCGCCACGATGAAGTGGCAGGCTGCACCAGGAATGGCAACTCCTCAGATTCAGGAAGTTTTCTGAATGCACCAACAGCACCGCTCCCCTACCAAAGATCTCCTAGAGTTCATCTCCACCTTCCAAAAGGCTGTCTGGCTTACAATCCCTTCTGAGAAACAACCTGATATCCTCATCAGAAATTAACCCTCCACTTCATGACACTTTTCAGGCTCCGAAAACATACATCCTTTGCCAGGATTATTTATGCGAACGTCAGCCTCTCTGCCCACCTCCCCAGCTGTATCCCTACTTCCCTATCATCTGAATACTTCTGTGCACCAGGAAAAAAAGAAAAAAACAGGAGAAAAACTTCTAATTTTTTTTTTACTTGTTTTTTAAATTCTTTGCCCCATGATTTCTGTTCTTAGGTTATCCCATGGAGAAAACATGGCAGTATTTGAAAAGAGAGGAAGAAGAGGAGAAACTGGAAAGGAAAGCTGCAAATATCATATTCTTCATGTACTTCTTTGATAGCTATTTTCTGTTTCTTGGGCACCCAGTAAATGAAGTGCTATTCAGAATACATAATGACATAGGATCTTCCACATAAATTATTCTATCCTTGGGCGATATGATCTATTTTCATTAATGATTAATTTATGAAACCTAAGTCATCCTATTTTCCCTCCGCACATGTTCCTAAAGATTTTGACTTTAAGTCGCATCTGCCTACCCACTTGGAAAATCAAGTCTATACCTAATTACTGATTAATGTGATAACGAAGTACAGGTTGAGTATCCCTTATCCAAAATTCTTGGGACCAGAATTGTTTTGAACTTTGGAATTTTTCAGATCTTGGAATATTTTTATTATACCAGTTGAGCAACTCAAACCCCAAAATCCAAAATCCAAAATGCTCCAGTGACTATTTCCCATGGGCATCGTGTCAGTGTTCAAAATAATTTTGGGTTTTGGAGCATTTCGAATTTCAGATTTTCTGATTTGGGATGCACAACCTATACACATTAGGTAATAGTATGTTTCCGACACTAAATTCTATAGTACGGTCATTATTTTTATCAGTAAGTTTCTATCACCTAAAGTATATTTGGGATCTTTTTTTCATCTCTGAACATTATAAAAGAACTAAGGAGCCACATCCTGGGTCAGACCGATATGTTAAGTTTACGCTTAATTTCTAAGTTAGAAAATTACGTTCCCTCTTTCAATGTAAATATTTTTTTGAAAAGCTATGGGTCACTAATTTGAGGCTCTAAATGGGCCAACCTTGTAATCTTCATGTGACGAACTGGTAAGGGAATGAAGGGAGCTGCCTAGGGCTATCCTGGAGGCACGATACACATGCAGGTGCTGTGTGAGTCCACAGGAACTGTGGCTACTTGTTGAAGATTACAAGGAGGCAATCTGAACTCATAGAGAGCACTTCCTAAGGAGAGCCTCAGAGGTGGCTTCTGCGTAAAGCGGAACCCTCTCTAGCTCTTAAGAGCATTCCCGCAGGGGCTGGCTGACAACCTGGGAAGCCTGAGGGGCCTCTCAAGTCAGCTCTGACTCTAAGATTTGCTTTACTAATAGAAAGAAAATATATTCAAATCATGCATATATCTTCCCTGTATATGGCAGCTTTAAGAAGGAAATAGAGTAGAAAGAACACCAGCCCAGGACCCAGGGCAAGTCAACCTGATCTCAGTTTGCTCAGCTGTAAAATGGGTGGTAAACTGGATGGTAAGATACCTTCAAGTTCTGAGGACCTATGAACATAATTCATTTCCCTGTGCCTGTCTTGTTTGCCACAACCTTGTGGAAAAGGTAAAAAGACATAGAAGAGCACCTGACTTAGAAAGCCTCTGCTCAATGGGGTTGGGCTAATGGCCTGAAGCCTGAGCCCAGGGTGGATGCGGACTCTATGTGGAACAGCTGAGACCCCAAATGGTCCTGCCATCTCATGTCCAGGGGGATGCATGGGGCTCCCGTTTCCACATTCATCATCACTTGCCCCTCAGGACCCAGGGAAACAGCAAGGAAGAGTCTCAGTAGAGCCAGGCTAGCCTAGGAAACACTCATAAATTCATAATGAGTCACTTAAAAGTGTCCCAATATAGCATGCCACAGTCAGTGTGGACATTGTTTAGACTGTTAATATGCACAAACATCTAAAAATATGAATTATACTTTGCAAATACCATATGCACCACATAACGATGCTTCAGTCAACAACAGAACACATATAGGACAGTGGTCCTGTAAGATTATAAATGAGCTGAAAAGTTCCTATTGCCTAGTGACGTCTTAGCCACCGTAATGTCATAGCACAACACATTACTCACGTTTGTGGTGTTGCTGGTGTAAACCAGGCCTCCAGGATAGCCCTGGTTTATCACATAAAAGTGTACAATGATGTCCTAGACCTTCATATTCATTCACAACTCATTCTCTGACTCACCAAGAGCACCTTCCACTCCTGCAAGCTTCATTCGTGCTTACGTACCCTATACAGGAACAGCATTTTTAGTTTTTAAACCATAGCTTTACTATACTTCTTCTATGTTTAGATATTGTTACATATACCAATACGCACTATTGTGTTATAATTGCCGACAGTATTTAGTACAGTAAATGCTCTATAGGTTTGCAGCCTAGGAGCCAAGGCTATACCATATTGCCTAGGTGTGTAGTAGGCTATGTCATCTAGGTTTGTGCAAGTACACTCTATGATGTTTGCGCCACGATGACACTGCCTAACAACATACTTCTCAGAACATATCCCCGTCATTAAGCAATGTGTGACTATAGATTCTTATCATGCTCATGTTTCAGATTTTGAAACATCTACTCTGCATGACATAATCCCTAATTACAGCAGTATTCCTTAAATGAATCCTATGTGAAAATAATGTCTGCAAAAAGACCAGCTTTCCAAGAAGAAGAAAAAAGGACCGATTCTGATACCACATTGGCTGTTTCCATGAGCTGAACCAGCAAAGCTTTGCTCCAGCAAAGCTTTCCACACACCATCTCTGTAAACTCAAGAAAGAACAGAGAATGAACAAGCTTGGAGAAGAAAGCTTTGTTGGAAAGATATATACCATATGAGAAGTTGATCTAAGGACTTTTAGCTCTCTCAAGAGCTTCATATTTTATTTATTCCCTGTCATCAAAGCATCATCTCTTCGCTAAAGAACAGAAACAAAATATTTATTGACATTACATCTAATAACAAGTATAGGTATAATGATTAGTAGTACTTAGACAAATCAAATTCATGGGGGGTTTTTCTGTGATTTATTGGTGAAGTAAAAATTACATATATAGTAGGTAGCAGATAATTAAAAATCAATTCTAACATATGTTTCTTAAAATAGAAAACAATTCTGGATAGACATTCATATAAAAGTGTGACTTTTAGTATGAAGTCTTTAAACTGGGAGTTATTTTCTCTGGCACATACAGCTCTTATCCCCTGGGTGCTCAGGGGTCCCTCTCTAGTATCCTCTGAAGCAGAGGTGAGAAGAAATGTCCTAAGCGCACCTGCAATTATTCTGTCCAGACCTGTCAGCTCTCTGTCAGCAAAAGCTGCTGTCATGTGGACATGGCTCATCTTGCCTTGAGGTTAATTTTTTTTAAGACATCAAAATCTTAACTCCTTTGTTGGAAAGATATATATCATATGATAAGTTTTTCCTTCATACTACTTTCTCTAAAAAAGAAACACGTCATCAGGAATTTTATTAATAAAAATGATGATAAATAGTTGCTCCTGTATTTTCAAATCATCAGACTGCTAATATGCACATGCATATCTCAAAACATGAATTACACATTTGCAAACAGTTCTTTATTACATTCATGTTTCAGATTTTGAGACCCCTACTGTGTAATGATGTAATCACTAATTACAGTGATATTCCTTAAATGTATCCTGTGTGAAAGCAGGCCTCAGCTACGGCACCTTCAGGAAACCAACAGAGCAAATAAAACACCCTTAGAAACTGCTTACAAACACATCAAGACAAAGGGAAATGTAATGTATTACTTTTATAAATAACTAGGTAGACCAAAATTTAGAACTACGCAAATGTTCCACACATCATCTCTGTAAACACAAGAAAGAACAGAGAATAAACAAGCTTGGACAAGAAATTGACAAAATAACAAATCAATCGATCTCTCTCTCTCTCTTTCGAATTATTCCAGCTTGATTCAACTTCTATAACCCCTTCAAAACAGCTCTCTACGTGGAAACCTCTAAGACTTTCCTGGGCCCCTGGCAAGGTCTTGAAAACAACATCTGAGATGTCATGGTTTCCCATCCAATAACATTGACTTTGAAGTGGTGACTGAGATGGGGTTTGGTCATCAAAGGCACAGCTGAATGGGCAACCTCCAGATCTTCCTCAGGGACAGCAGCTGTTGTAACATGCTCTGCAGGTTATTCATTCATACTTTAAAATGCAGTCTACAATACCAGTCTCAGGAAATGGGCCTGCAACAGCACCATCTCAGCTAATGGAGATCTTCCTGGGCATGGACTTGAAGAAGCTTGGCAGTGCTTTGCTACTTTTAACATCATTTATTTAACTTTCAGAAATCCAGTCAAGTGCTCTGGCAGTGTGAAGGCATTACTGGTAATCACAGGCGACTAAATGATTCTTTCAGCTAATATTAAATATCTAGTATGTTTCATGACAGCACAATGTAGGTAACACCTTTCTTGGATCTTTCTTTGACTTCTTACCTAGAATCTGCAAAGCAAAGGGCTGCTGGAATCTGTCTCTGGATAAGTCATTTTCTACATCCTAAGAGGTGGTTACAATCTTTTTTTCCTGGCACACTAACTCCCCATAACTGATGGTGTCAAATGGGCTATTTTTCTTCAGTAGATGAATAACACAACAATGGGAAGCTAAGGGAGGTGATGCAAATTCTTAAATAATCATGCAAAGAAAATGACACACAGTTACACAGGCGCGCCGGTTTTAATTCAGTGAAGGCACCCCACCCTGCCCCACCCCACTTACGGGTGGCTGGCCGGCCCTGCTCTGGCTGTGCACTGTCCCCGGACTGGGTGCTGGAGACTGAGGAGACGCTGGAGCTCCGGACAAAGCCAAATGCCGCCAGTTTGGCTGCCGGGAGACGTGAGTATCCGGGAGGACGGAGACCAGATTTCGGGAGATTGGATTTTGCAGCATTTGAACTGGAAGCTTTCTTTAAATCTGCTAAAACGAACCCAAATAAAATTAAAAAATTATTCTCAGTTCATAATGAGATAATGAATTCTACAGATTATGAATTCGAACCCAGTTCTATCATAAACAGACTAAAATTAATCTTGCAAGGTTTGATTCAACACATCTAAAATGGACCTTGGAAGAGAAAGGCCCCTTATATTGTGGGTCAGGTGCCTCAGAGAACTCAGAGAGGAGGTGGTGCAGCCCCAGCCTGGACAAATTTACCGTCTACTTAGGCAGATGAATTGAGGAAGACAAATAACTCTATTTTAAGGCTATAAGAAAAGGTATCAAGTGCTTAAGACAATGAGTGAAAGCGAATAGTTATTGTTGCATGTTACCCCAGATTCGTGAAATTGAGATACACCTTAAATTTTGACATACAATGGGCAAAGAACCATTGGGGTGAACATTCACTAGTAATTTTAAGCAGTTTGTAATAAGTCTTATGAAAAATATGTACAAAGAATCATCTAACCTTCTGTTGGGTGCAGGAATGAGGAGGAGATAGTGCAGACTGTGGAACTAGCCAGGCTGGAATATCAGCTCTCCCAATGACGAGCTGTGTAACCTCAAGCCCTTGTCCTAACACTTAAAGCCACAGTTTCCTTTCATGTGAAGACTGGGAATGATAACACTGACTTTGCAAATCTAGTATAAATATTACTGCTTATACCACAAGAACTTGATATGTGCTCAAACTGATGTTAGATTTCTTTTCTCCTTTTTACACTATCTGTTATGTTAGTCCAAACTTCAGAATTAGTTCCCAGATATGTGCAAAGTCAGCTTGTTTTGAAATAATAAAACATCAAGTTATAAATCTAGCATCTCAGCATCCCCATACTCTAAGTCTGAGCCAGGCTCCAGCAATAGCAACTGCAATGATTATCACAACACTATGAGAAGGCGCTCAGCACCAGAGAGAATCACAATATTGTCAATATACAAATGCTCTTTAATAGGAAATCTAAAAGGCCCAAGCTTCCTCACGTGCTGTAGTGCTGTATAACTGTCCTCATTGATTCCTTTAACAACGTTCACCAGCAGGCATATTTACCATGAGTGCCTATATACTGCCCATTCAGTGGCATTCTTATGCTAGTCAAGTCTTCATTATCCAGTAAAATATTAACCAGGTTTCAGAGTAAACGAGGATTTAGATTAAATGACCCATTTGAAAAAAAAATTCCACGTCTATAAATCCATGAAGAAACCACATATTAGAAAGCATCTATGTGTGGGAATAAGAGAGCAGCAATAAATGATACACTGGGTCTAAATGGTACATAGAAAAGTACCTCTTCCTCTGCCAGCAGCTCCCCCGAAAGTGAGGCTATGGAGAGCCGTGTGTCCAGTAAAGGCAGAAGCTGCACAGCTGTGGGTTCCTGATGCCTGAGTCAGGACTAGGATGGGGAGGAACCGAGTAAGTGCAAAAGGAAAAAGAAGCAAAGAGCTGGGGCTGCAAATATTCCCAACTCAAGCCTGTCCTAGTGCTTGGGAAAAGCACAAAAAACAAAAAACAAAACCTCAACTATGAAAAAGAAGAAACAATACACTAACAAGTGGTAATGGCCCGTTTGTATCAGCAATTTATGCCACGTTTAATGACTTCACATTGTTGTTCTCACATTATTTTGAATACTTTTAGTTCATATCCCCAGAACAGTGAAAATATCCCTATATATCAGATATCATGTTCACAGTGAATTTACGACAAATTGATTGTGGACGATGTCTGTAGAACAGGAAAAGAGTTGCTAAACATCAGATGTAATTTCAACAATAAGTATACTCTAAATCCATTACACTTTGATACTATTTTAAGTTATCTATCACCTCCTTTCTAACCTAGTTAATCAATAATTATGCAAAATCGAGTGAGGAGAATATGAACAAAATAATTTTTCTGAAAAACAAACTATATTTTGGAAGAAAAGTTAAACTCAGAATTTTTAACAGAGTACCTAGGCATGCAGTAAGCATTTACTACTTAGTCAAGAATGAAAACTAAGTTTGTTAAATCATTATATAAGACAAGCCACTGAACATGTTCAAAAAGAAATTTATCTTATTCTGCACTTACTTATATTCCATTATTGTTGATTTCATCAGTAGAAAAGTAGCACTGGAACATGTAGAGACGGGGAGGACAAGCAGCACAAGATCCCAAGCACACAGGAAGCCAGTCTCTAAATTGTTTTCTAGGTTTCCCTTTCCCATAGTCCAGATCTTTATTTTAATAAAGACACACATGGGCTGTGTGTTTGTGTGTGTGTGCATGCACGCACATGTGTGTGTGTGTGTGTGTGTTTAGATGACTTGCAAAAGTATACCTTGCCCCAACTCTCTGCGCATACAATTTTTGTAAATCTAATGGTACCTATATCATACACTAAGTTACTATATAATGGTCTTTCCTTCTAGCAGATTAAGCTCATGAATATCATACACGCCTTCAGGGTTTGCAGAAGCAAGTCTTATTCCTTTTATACCACCAGCTCCTAGCACAATGGTTTCCACAATGTATTTGATAAATATTTAGTTGAAGTTTACATTAGCCAAGCTTGTACCACACAAATTTAGCCCACAGTATAAGTCAAATATCTCAACTAGTCTCTGCATGAGAGTTGGTCTGGAGTAGAGCTCAAGAGTCTGCTTTTTAAACAATCACGTCAGTGATTCTGATTCAGGTGGTCCCTGGATCTTTGAAAACTTCAACAGAATACGCCAACTCACCCTGTGAAATAACTGCATTCAGCTCTTCTGACTGAATGTATCTTAATTTAATCTTAGTGTCTCATAAGAAAGACATATTTATAAAAATATATAGTACTTACTATTTCTCAAACAAGTCCAGTGTTATGGATGGACTGAATGTCTGTCTCCCCCAACCCCAAAATCACAGGTTTAAATCCTAACTTCCAATGTGATGATATTCAGAGGTGGGACCTTTAGGAGGTAATTAGGTTATAAGAATGGAGCCCTTGTGAATGGGATTAGTGCCTAAGTGCCCATATGAAAAGAAGCTGGAAACAGAGCTCCCTCTGTTTCCACCATGTGAAGATATAATGAGAAGATGGTGGTCTGCAACCCTGATCTCAGACCTTCAGCCACAAGAACTGTGAGAAATACATTTCTGTTTTTATACGCTACACTGTCTATGGTACTTTGTTATACGGCTGGAACTAAGACATTTAGCATGTTAGAGGAATATATGTTTCCAAGTACTTAGTGTTCTTGGACTATTCAAGAATATAGACTTTGACAGAAATACAAATGTTACAAGTGCATAATAAGCCTTCAATAAACAAATGATAGCTATAAATATTACAGGAAAGCTGAGGTGGCACATAAAAAAGACAACTTCCAAAATGGTGACATGAGGCTTTCCATGGACACTCTTCCCAGTGAAACAAACATAACTGGTAAAATAACATTTAAAATAACAACCACCATTTAAAGTTTCCAGAAATTGTTCTATGAACATGTAGCACTTAAAGAAACATTTATATAAGAAACTCTACTAAATCCAGTAAGAACAGTGAAAGTCAGTGGCACTTGAACCACAATCCACTCTCTTCCTCCCCTACTATCATCACAATATATGAAAGCTCTACTCTGGATGTGTGTGGCCAAAAGGATGGGTTTCCTCTCCTAGAGTCAAGGACTATAGTATCTTCCTGGGATGGGCAGGCCACCACCAATTCTCACTCCAACCCCACCCCCAGTTCCATGTTGTAGAGGCTGAATTACATGAGAGAGTGGTCAAAAGGTCAGGGAACCTTCCTTCACTTGGCCCAAACATATAAGACAGAGGTACTACCCCAGGCACAGCAAGCCAAACAATACTGGGGCCCCAATCACCATTTCCCAATCACCTATGGCTCACCATAGGCTAGAAGTTCAACACTTGAGAGAAAAAGGGAGAAGACTAGAAGCTACTGTCCCTACCTCGCACCTCGCTTATAAACCAGGAGTGTCAATCCAAGAGAAGCAGTCCACTGTCCCCAACCCCAGCTTCAGAATGGTGACTGAGAGATTTTGCCCAATCATAGAGGCAGGCCATAAGAACAGAGATCTCCAGAGTCCTCTACAAAGGAATTAACTTTGTTTGGAACAAACTGTGAGGGAAGTTTGGGCCTAACGGCAATCTCAAAAACAATAAAGATTTTGATGGTAAGCAATTAGGAGGAGGCTGGTAGCTCCATGAAGCAAAATAATAAACCATAGACAAGGTAGTTTATTAGAGAGAGCCAAGGAAATAACTGAAAAGAGCTATCCAGGGGTCAGAACTAACCTCAAAGAGTGGCTTTAAAAACTACCCTTGAAAAGGAGCTTGAATTTAACTGGATCAGACTGTGGAATAATGTATGCCCCAGGACACTGTAGAAAATTATAGAGCAATCAGTCAGTAATTAGTGGAACCTGACAGCTGAATGTGATACCAAAGGGAGGAAGACAATGTAACACAGATCCGGGAGAGACAGCCCTGCTAAAACATTCTTAGTGTGATTGTGTACATGCCCAAGGCTATGTCTTCTGTGGAGCAACATTAGTGAATTCACAGTGCAAGGGAAATAGGCTTCATTAAAGTAGATCAACCAAGTTGTTAAACAAATAAATAAGCAAACAACAAGCCCCAGAGAGGAAGAGAGATAATTAGTAGTCAAGGATGCTACATAATTATCTAAAAGTTTCATTACAACAAAAATAAAATGAGACACACAAAAGAAAAAAATACAGAAAAGGGTGATTCAGATACTAGAAAAAAGCAGGCAACAGAAACTGCCTATGAAAAGACCCAGCAGTCAAAAACTTCAAAAGAGCTATTATAAATATAATAAAATAACTAAGGAAACTATGCTTAAAGAAGTAAAGGAGCTATGACGACAATATTTCATCAAATAGAAAATAACAATAAAGAGAGAAATTATAAAAACCAAATGGAAAGTTTAGTGTTAAAAAAGCAAAATAACTAAAATGAAATATTAACTAAAGGGGCTCTACAACAGATTTGCAGTGGCAGGAAAAAAAAAGTGAACTTGAAGATAGATCAATACATACTACACAATCCAAGGAACACAGCACAAAGAAATGAAGAAAAATAAGTGGAGCCTCAGAGAGATGTGGACCATCATTAAGTGCAACATCATACAGAGAATGGATGTTTCAGAAGCAGAAAAAAAATTTACATAGTCCAAATCTTTGAAAATTTATTTAAATTATTAATGTATACATCAGAAGATCAAGGAAAACCAAATAAGGTAAATGTAAAGAGATCCACACCTAGATACACCATAGTAAGAAGTGTAGAAAGGTAAAGAGAAAAACAACTGTCAACCCAGAATGAAGAGGGATAGTTCACAATGATAAAAAGGTCAATGCATTAGGAAGATACAATAATTATAAACGTATATACACCTAACAACAGATACCCAAATTACATCAAGCAAAAATGAACAGAATTGACAGGAGAAATAAACAATTCAAAATAATAGTTCGAGACTTCAATACCTCACTTTCAATAATAGAACAATGAGGCAGAAGATAAACAAGAAAATAGAAGATCTGAACACTAACTAAACCTAACAGACCTCTATAAAACATTCCACCCAAGAGAAGCAGAATACATATTTTTCTCAAGTGCACATAGAATATTCTCCAGGATAAACTATATCTTAGGCCATAAAACAAGCATTAATAAATTAAAAAGGATTGAAATGATATAAAGTATGTTCTGTGGTCATAACAGAATGAAATTAAAAATCAATAACAAGGAAATTTGGGTAATTCTCAAATATATGAACACACATAAATAACCACTGGGTCAAAGATAAAATTGAAAGGGGAATTAGAAAATACTAAGATGAATAAAAATGAATGACATACCAAAGCTTACGGGAAGCAGCTAAAGCAATGCTTAAAAGGAAAATTATAACTGTAAATGCCTACATTAAAAAAGAAGATAGATGTCAATTCAATAAAGTAATTTTTGACTTTAAAACACTGAAGAAAGAAGAGCAAACTAAACTTAAACCAAAAGAAGAAAAGAAATAATAAAGATTACAGTGAAAATAAATAAAACAGAGAATAGAAAAACAGGAGAGAAAGCCAATGAAAACAAAATCCTAGTTCTTTGAATTATCAATAAATTTGACAAACCTTTAGCTGAGCCAGCCAAGAAAAACAGAAGGCTCAAATTACTAAAATTAGGAATGAAAGAGGGAACATCACCACTTATTTTGCAGGATCATATGGGAATATTGTACTATGAACAACTGCATCTCAACAAATTAGACAACCTAGTGAAATGGACAAATTCCACAGAAATACAAACTATAAAAGCTGAATCAAGAAGAAATAGAAACTCTGAAAATCTAAAAGAGAGATTGAATTAGAAATAAAAAAAAAAATTCCCACAAAGAAAAATCCAGGCACAGATGTCATTAGTGAATTCTATCAAACATTTAAAGAAGAATTAATATGAATTATTCACAAATTACACCCCCCACCCAAAAAAAGAAGAGGGAATACTTCTAAACTCATTCTATAAGTCCAGTATAATCTTGATGCTAAAACCAGATAAAGACATCTCAAGAAAACTATAAATCAATAACTCTTATAGATTCAAAATCCTCACCAAGATACTGCGCACTGAAGCTGGCAACATATACAAAATATTATATACCATGATCAAGTGATATTTATGCTAGGAATGCAAGATCGGTTTTACATACATAATTAATCCATGTACTATACCATATTAATAAAGAAAAACCATATGATCTTCTTAATTGATTCAGATAAACCACATGATAAAAACATTTAAACTGGTAATTAAAGAAAATATATTCAATCTTATAAGGGCTTATTGGAAAAACCTACAGCTAATACAGTAAAAGACTGAATCCTTCCCCTCTAAGATTAAAAACAAGAAAAGGTTGTCTGCTCTCACAATTTCTGTTTAACATTGTATGGAAGGTGCTAGCCAGAGAAATTAGGCAAGAAAATAAAATAAGAAATGTACAGATTGGAAACAAAAAGGAAAACTTTCTCTTTGCAGATGACATGATCTTATATATAGAAAATCCCAAGAAATCCACTAAAAAACTATTATAACTAATAAATGAGTTTAGCAAGTTTACAGAATACAATTCAACATACAGAAATCAACTGTATTTCTACACATTCACAATAAATCATCAAAAAATAAAATTAAGATAACAATTTGTATTTACAGTAGACCAAAAGGAATAAAATACTTAGGAATTATCATAAACGATCAGACTCCATAGTTTTTTGTTTTCTGTTTTTTTGAGATGGAGTGTTGCTCTGTCGCCAGGCTGGAGAGCAGTGGCATGATCTCGGCTCACTGCAACTTCCACCTCCTAGGTTCAAGTGATTCTCCTACCTCAGCCTCTCGAATAGCTGGGATTACAGGCATGCACCACCACGCCCAGCTAATTTTTGTATTTTTAGTAGAGATGGGGTTTCACCATGTTGGCCAGGATGGTCTCAATCTCTTGACCTCGTGATCTGCCCGTCTTAGTCTCCCAAAGTGCTGGAATTACAGGCATGAGCTACAGCACCCAGCCAATACTCCATAGTTTTTTGTTTGTTTGTTTGTTTTCACTTTGACTGCTAACAGCTTTTAGCCTCAATCCCCACTCCTTTGGCCCCATATCGGGGAAAGCTGTTAAGAAAGCCCAATGCACCCTCTTTTGATGCTAGGAAGTGGGACAGGAGTGAGGGTGGTAATTTAGATCAAAACCTCACAAACTCCGTCCCACTTCCATGAGAACACTTACACTTGCCCCACTCCATAATGATAATAAAAATCCTGAGCCAGCATTCTTTCCTTGTGCTCTCAAGCCATTTCAAATGTATGAGAGGCCAGTCCTCTCTTCCCAGAGACTTCAATTATGTAAGTCATAAAACTTTTCAAACCCTCTTGCTTTGTGTGTGGAATAATTGATACATGATTTTTCTGTCACTTTGCCAGCCAGAGACCTCCATGGCCAATGACGTCTCTGCCCAGGGCCTCACTTGGCCCTGGGCCTGTTGCAGAAGGTGCCCCATCCACTCGTCTGGCGGGGCCATGCCTGGCTTGTGCACCAGCCTGGATCCCATGCTCAGCCTACAACTGGGCCAGGTGTGCCCCTGGCCCAGCTCGTACCCGCATTCAGAGGTTCCGAAGTTCTTGTCCCACATCCAAGATGAATAAGGTTACTCTGACAATCGAAGGGTGAGGTGGGTGAAGAAGAATTTTATTGAGTGAAAGAATAGCTCTCAGCAGAGAGGGGATGCGAGGGTGGTCCCTACCCAAAGTCAAGTGGTCACCCACCCAGCGTGGCTGGGTCTGGGACTTGTATGGGCTTAGAATGGGTGAGTACATGCTGATTGGTTTGTTAGTATGCAAAAAAAAGGCTAAAACAAAGGCACCATGTAAAGGTGGGCATGACAGTGTAAAAAAACAATTAGGGAAGAGTAGGAATATGTAAAATGGGTGAAGGGTTAGAATCAATCAGAGGAACGCACACCAAACAGAAAGAGAGGTTCTCAGTCCATTCCATGGGTTTGACTTGTAGCTTGGCTTTCAGGCTTTAAATTGGCTTTGGCTTGAAGGTGTGGTTTCACTGGGAACCCAACCCTATCTGCCTAGGCATTTGACTGCCTCCTGCTGCTATCATAATCACTCTTGACATCTAAACCAAATTTTTGGCTGAGGTTCATCTTACCTCTTCAGGGTGGCTACAACAACAGGTGCCGGATCAGGATGCTGAGACAATGACCACCTCCACCGGGGTCTTTCCTCAGGCTTTGGCTTGTTAACAGGCTCTGCTGCCTTCTAGCAAGCATGTACTCTGCACTGTTCCTTCTTGGCTTCTTGTGCTTTGAGCTGTGCTGCTCTGTGCTGCACTGTTGAGTCCTACAGAGCTTCTGTTACAGATAATGCTGAACTAAATTGGAAGATTCAATGATTAATTGATTTTGGAATAAGATTATGAGATTGGGGTAGGGCTTTCTTAAGCTGGCCCTAGGCATGTGTCTCAGTCTGGACCTATCTGTATTTCTAAGAATGAAGTTGTGACTTATGCTAGGCTCAAGGAAAGATTACCCTGTGACAACTGGTTATGTGTCTCAACTAGGTATTGGCTCCAGATCTATAGAGCACTAAGGGGAAGACTGGATCATGTGAAGATATAAGCCTACTGGGCAAAAGCTCATGAAAGAGTGGTCATTAATGGAAAAAAAGGAAAAAGAAACAAAGGCCATAATGTGGAGTACTGAGATCGGCATTCCTTAGAAGCAGACAACTCCACAGGACCTTAAATATCTTAGTTGCTGTTGCCTAGACCTCTGTAGCCACAAAAATCCTGACCCTCAAGCTTATAGAGAAAAACACCCATGGCACCCTTGTGGCACACTGAAGAGGTTAATTCAGACTCTACTTGTATTAGTCTGATTGTGTCACTATAAATAAATACCTGAGTGTGGGTAATTTACAAACAAAAGAGAAAGGGGCAGGATGGCTGACTAGATGCAGCTGGGGGAGCTTCTCCCACCTAGAGAGACAGAACCTATTGAGTAGACTGCCATATTCCAAGCAGATCTTCAGAAAGAAGGCATCCAGAATCAATAGAGGAAGGATACAGACCCTGGGGCTGATGAGGAGGAGGTTGGAACCCTGCACAAAGTTGCTGAGTACCAGAAGTCACTGTGGGTCCCAAGTGGCAACCAGAGAAGGGGTGAGTGAGCTAAGAATAGAGTGGACTACTCTCTCCACAGACCTCCAGGATCCTAGCTGCAGGATACTCCACGAAACCCACAGATATATTTGAATTCATGGGGAGAACTGCCTGGAGAGGTGACAGAGACAGAACTCCAGTCTGCATGGGTCCCAAAGGGTTTGGCATGGGAATGGCTGCAGTGGAGCACAGCCATAGGTGCCCATCCCCAAAGACTTGTTAGAATCCTCTAAGTGGCTTTAGCCTTCATTAGCTACCAGACCTAAAGAGAGCAGGGCTCTCCTGCACAGAACATGACCAGTTTTGTATGGGCATCCCCTGTCTGCTGGCCTCTCCTGCAGTCCCTGCCTACCCATGCCCACATGCAGTACAGCCTTAAATGCCCTGCTGAAATGCTTGCTGGCAGCCACTGCCATAGTTCTTTCACCAGGAGCCCCTGCCTTCCCATTGGAACATTTTTGCCACCAGTGTGCAACCAGCTACAGCCTTCCTTCACTGGCATGTGCTTGCTTGCAGCCTCCCCCAGTCACTCCACTGGTGTGGGCTCGCCTGCAGCCCCCTGACTACAGTGTACTCTCCTGCAGCCCCCACGACCCCAGCACAGTGAACTCTCCCACAGGCACTCCACTACCCTACCAGAGCACTTTTGCTGGCAGCCCCCATCAGAGTGTTGTTTTCCAGAGAACTAGGAACATCTCGGCTCTTCCAGCACAGGAGATGCCTGACCTCAAGGGGCCAGAGAACAAAACCAAAAGCCTGGTCTCAGGTCCCCAGGGTTAGAGCATGCAGCCCAGGAGTACTGACTGAGCCTTTGCCCACTGAAAGCATCCAGAAACAAAGTCAGCCAAACCCAACTTATACCACAGTCAAACCTCAAGGGCATCAAAGAACATAAAAGCAAAAAGTTTCACCCAAAAAACAGCAACTTTAAAGATTAAAGTAATATCAGCCCATAGAGATGAGAAAGAACCAGGGCAAGATTTCTGGCAACCATAAAAGCCAGAGTGTCTTAAGACATCCAAATGACCACATTAGCTCCCCAGCAATGTTTCTTAACCAGTTTGAAATGGCTGAAATTAACAACATAGAATCAAAATATGGATGTCAAGGAAGCTCAGTGAGATACAGGAGAAGGCTGAAACCTAATTCAAAGAACCAGTAAAACAATCTAACAGTTGAAAGATGACATATCCATTTTAAGAAAGAACCAAACTGAACTTCCAGAAATGAAAAATTCACTACAGGAATTTCATAATGCAATAGGAACCACTAATAACAGAATAGACCAAGCTGAGGAAAGAATGTCAGAGCTTGAACACCGCTCCTTTGAATCCATGCAGACAAAAAAAAGAATTTAAAAATGAACAAAACCAGCAAGAAATATAAGATTATCTAAAGAGACCAAACCTATGACTCACTGGCATTCCTCAGAGAGATGAAGAGAAAGCAAGCAACTTGGAAAACATATTTGAGGATATGGTCCACAAAAAATTCCCTGACCTTGCTAGAGAGGTTGACATATAAATCCAAAACTTCAGAGGACCCCTGTGAAATACTAGACAATATGACCTTTCTCAAAGCACATAGTCATCAGATTCTCCAAGGTCAATATGAAAGAAAAGACCTTAAAGTTAGCTAGAAATAAGGGGCAGGTCACATACAAAGGAAACTCCATCAGCTTAACAGTGGACCTTTCAGCAGAAACCCTACAAGCCAAAAGAGATCGGGGCCCTATATTTAGCATCCTTAAAGAAAAGAAGTTCCAACAAAGAATTTCATACCCAGCCAAACTATGCTTCATAAGCGAAGGAGAAATAAAATCCTTTTCAGACAAGCAAATTCTAGGGAAAATTGTTACCACCAGATCTGCCTTAGAAGAGGCCATAAAGGGAGGGCTAAATATGGAAATAAAAACCTGATACCTGCTATTGCAAAAACATACTTAAGTACATAGCCCACTGGCAATATAAAGTAACTATGCAATCAAGTCTACATAACAACCAGCTAACAACATGATGACAGGAACAAACCACATATCAATATTGACCTTAAATGTAAATGGATTAAACATCTCATCTAAAAGACAGAGTGGCAAATTGGATAGATAAGCAAGACCCAACTGTGTGCTGTCTTCAAGAGATCCATCTCACATGCAATGACACCCATAAAGTAAGGAGATGGAGAAAAATGTATGAAACAAACAGAAAACAAAAAGAACAGGGGTTGCTATTTTTATCTTAGAAAAAAATAGACTATGATTTAATAAGCCCACTATTATGAGAAAGGATAAAGAAGGGTATTACATAATCATAAAGGGTTCAATACAATAAGATGATTTAACTATGCTGAATGTATATGAACCCAATATTGCAGCACCAAGATTCATTAAAGACCTATAAAGAAACTTAGATAACCACACAATAATAGTGGGAGACTTCAACACCTAACTGACATTAGAAATCAAGGCAGAACATTAACGAAGATATTTGGGACCTATACTCAACACTTGAACAAATGGACCTAACAGGCATCTACAGAGCACTCCACACAACAATGTAAGAATGTACCTTATTCTCATCTGCACATGGCACATACTCTAAGATCAACCACACACTCAGGCATAAAGCAATTCTCAACAAATTCAAAAATACCAAAATCCTACCAACCAACCACACTCTGAGATCACACAATAAAATTAGAAATCAATACCAAGAAGATCACTCTAAACCATATAATTACATGAAAATTAAACAACTTGCTCTTGAATGACTTGGGTAAAAAATAAAAATTAAAGCACAAATAAAAAAGTCTTTGAAACTAATGAAAACAAACATACAACATACCAGAATCTCTGGGACACAGCTAAAGCAGCATTAAGGGGAAAGTTTATAGGACTAAACACCTACACCAGAAAGTTAGAAAATTCTTTTTTTTTTTTTTTTTTTTTTTTGAGACGGAGTCTTGCTCTGTCACCCAGGCTGGAGTGCAGTGGCATGATCTCAGCCCACTGCAAGCTCCGCCTCCCAGGTTCATGCCATTCTCCTGTCTCAGCCTCCCAAGTAGCTGGGACTACAGGCACCCACCACCACGCCTGGCTAATTTTTTTGTGTTTTTAGAAAAGACAGGGTTTCACCATGTTAGCCAGGATGGTCTCAATCTCCTGACCTTGTGATCCGCCTGCCTCAGCCTACCAGAGTGCCGGGATTACAGGCGTGAGCCACTGCACCTGGCCAGAAAATGCTTAAACTAACCACCTAACATTATACCCAGAGGAACTGGAGAAATGAGAGCAAAACAACCCCAAAAATCATGGAAGGACTCCTTCCTAACTCATTTCATGAGGCCAGCATCAACAGCTAATGACTATCAATGCCATTTTTCACAGAATTAGAAAAACGTATTCTAAAATTCCAAATACCAAAACCTGACAGAGACACATGAAAAAAGAAAACTTCAGGCCAATATCCCTGATGAACATAGATGCAAAAATCTTCAACAAAATACTAGGAAACTGAATTTAGCAGCACATCAAAAAGCTAATCCACCACAATCAAGTAGGCTTTATTCTTGGGATGTAAGGTTGGTTCAACATATGCAAAACAGTAATTGTGATCGACCACATAAACAGAACTAACACTACAAACCACATAATAATCTCATAGACACAGCAAAAGCTTTCAATAAAATTCAACATCCTTTCATGTTAAAAACCTCTAACAAACAAGGCATTTAAGGAACATATCTCAAACTAATAAGAACCATCTATGACAAACCCACAGCCAACATCATACTGAATGGGCAAAAGCTGAAAGCATTCTCATTAAGAACTGGAACAAGATAAGGATGTCCACTCTCACCATTCCTATTCAACATAGTGCTGGAAGTCCTAGCCAGAGTAATCAGGCAAGAGAAATAAATAAAGGCATCCAAATAGGAAGAGAGGAAGTCAAATTATCCCACTTCACTGATGATATGATTCTATACCTAGAAAACCCTAAAGACTCCTTCAGAAGGCTCCTAGAAATGATAAACGTCCTCAGTAAATTTTCAGAATACAAAATTAATATATAAAACCCAGTACCATATACACCAATAACATTTGAGCTAAGAACCAAATCAAGAACATGATAGCCACAAAAAGAATAAAATACCTAGGAATACAGCTAACCAGGGAGGTGAAAAATCTCTACAAAAACTGCAAAACATTGCTGAAAGAAATAATAGATGACACAAAGAAATGGAAAAAATTCCATGCTCTTGGATAGAAACAATCAACATTGTTAAAATGGCCATAGTGCCCAAAGCAATTACAGATTCAATGTTATTCCTATCAAACTATCAATGCCATTTTTCACAGAACTAGAAAAACGTATTCTCAAATTCATATGGAACCAAAAAAGAGCCCCAATAGCCAAAGCAATCCTAAGCAAAAAGAACAAAGCTGGAGGCATAACACTATTCAACTTCAAACTATACTACAAGAATATAGTAACCAAAACATCATGGTACTGGTACAAAAACAAACACACAGACCAGTGGAACAGGTTAAAGAAGCCAGAAATAAAAACCACACACCTACAATCTTGAAGACTTAAATGTAATACCTATAAAAACCCTAGAAGAAATCCTAGGAAATACCATTCTGGACATAGGCCTTGGCAAAGATTTCATGATAAAGTCTCCAAAAGCAATTGTAACAAAAAGAAGAAATAAATAAGTAAGATCTAATTAAAGATCTTCTGCACAGCAAAACAACCTATCAATAGCATAAACAGAAAACCTACAGAATGGGAGAAAATGTTAGCAAATTATGTATGCAACAAAGACCTAATATCCAGAATCTATAAGGAACTTAAACAAATCAACAAGCAAGAAACAAACCTCATTTCAAAATGGGCAAAGAACATGAATAGACACTTCTCAAAAGAAGACATACATGCGGCCAACAAGCATATGAAAAAATGCTCAACATCACTAATCATCAGAGAAATGCAAATCAAAACCTCAATGACATACCATCTCACACCAGTCAGAATGGCTCTTTTTTAAAAATCAGTAAATAACAGATTTTGGCAAGGCTGAAGATGAAAGGGAATGCTTATACTCTGCAGGTGGGAATGTAAATTAGTTTGGCTACTATAGAAAGCAGTTTAGCGAATTCTCAAAGAACTTAGAACTGATTTTGACCTAGCAATCCCACTGCTGGGTATACAGCCAAAGGAAAAAAAGTCATTCTACCAAAAAGATACATGCATGCCTATGTTCATCATAGCACTATTCACAATAGTAAAGACATGAAATCAACCTAGGTGCCCAATGAATGGTGGACTGGATAAAGAAAATGTGGTACATATACACCATGGAATACTACACAGCCACAAAAAAAGAACAAGATCATGTCCTTTGCAGGAACATGGGTGGAGCTGGAGGCCATTACCCTAAGCAAATTAACACAGGGACAGAAAGCCAAATTCCACATGTTCTCATCTGTAAATGGGAACTAAACTTTGAGTACATATGGACACAAAGGTGGGAACAATAGACAGTGGGGTCTACTTAAGCAGGGAGGGTGACAAATGAATGAGGGTCTAAAAACTACCTATTGGGTACTATGCTTACTAGCTGGGTGACAAAATTATTTGTACATCAAACTTCAGTGACATACAATTTACTCATGTAACAAACCTCACATGTACCCCCTGAACTTAAAATAAAAGTTGAAAAGTAAAATAAATAACAGTTACTAAATAAAAGAAAAAGAAAAGAGGTTTACTTTTGCTCATGGTTCTTCTAGCTGTATGAGAAACATGGTATCACCCTCTGCTTCTAGTGAGATGTCAGGAAGCTTCCACTCATGGTGGAAGGTAAAGGGAAGCCTGCATGTCACATGGCAAGAAAGGGAGAAAGAGAGAAAGAAGGGAGAGGTCCCAGATTCTTTTAAACAACTGCATCTCCTTGCATGAACGAACTGAGCAAGAATTCACTCATCACCAAGGGGATGGCACTAAGCCATACATGAGGGATCCACCCACATGATCCAACACCATTAGCCCCACCTCCAACATTAGGGATCACATTAACATGAGATCTGGAGGGACACACATCCAAACCATATCACTAGTTAAACCCAGTGTTCTTAAACCCTATAAAGTAACCTCTGAGGTCAGGCACAGTAGCTCATGCCTGTAATCCCAGCACTTTGGAAGGCCAACGGTGAGGGGGGGGGGTGGATCACCTGAGGTCAGGAGTTCAAGACCAGCCTGGCCAACATGGTGAAACCCCACCTCTACTAAAAATACAAAAATTACCTGGGTGTGGTGTCATGCACCTACAGTCCCAGCTCCTAGGGAGGCTGAAACAGGAGAATCGCTTGAACCCAGGAGGCAGAAGTTGCAGTGAGCTGAGATTGCATCACTGCACTCCAGCCTGGGCGACAGAGCAAGGTTCCATCAAAAAAGGAAAGAAGAAAAGAAGGGGGGGAGAGGGGAGGGGAGGGGAAAGGAAAAAGAGAAAGAGACCATTGCATGGAGGAGCCCCTAACCCTGACAATACTGATTTGAACTTCTCTGGAGGATGGAACTTATAAATCTAAGCAAAGTAGAGAGAATGCTCAGTAACAACAACAGTTGTTTTGTTTTTTTTTTTAAGGAGGGTGGAGGGAAGAAGAAAGAGATGGAGAAAGCAACCAGATATGAGACAGGAAACAAAAAAGTGAAACAGAGGCCCACAGTTGGACCCAATTTGAAATCCAAAATTTACTAAAAGAATTTATACAACGTAAGATTTAAAAGGGCACTAACTGGCTTTTGTACTTCTGCAACATAGGTTCTGAATTAACTTTAACACAATTTGAATGCACCAACAGGCAAATCTTCATGGCCTTAACACTGAGGCTCAAACTACATTTATTCCTGGGATCTCATTAAATTTAAACAAATTACCCCCTATAATTATAATCTATAATATAGATCTAATTTATAAGTCTTTCATTTACAGATTAACATGCTATAATCTTAGGGGAGTTACTGAACAAAAAATAGAGGGCACATAAGTATGTTTCACCTTAACTGCAGGAATTATTGTCTAAATTTTCCAGTATCATAGCATTCATTGTCCTAAAATATCCCATAGTGAGCATGGACACTCTGGCCTAATGATCAATACATTTAAATATAATTAAGAATTTGACATATACAAAATTGGCTTGGCAAAATGAGACCCCATGGACCATACCCCTAGTAAAACCAGTTAGTATGGCTCAATGTAAATTTAAACAGAAACTTACAAGTACTGAAATCCATCACATGCCTCCATTGTTCCTTCATATAAGAACTCAATTTGGCCTGTTCTTAAATTTGGAATGAATGACACTACACAGTGGATTATGTAACCTTAATGCCATAGTGCTACCCAGTAAGGCCCCCAGACATTATATTATTGAATTGACTGACTCCATCTAATCAGCAACTGCAACGTATTTTGCTATTATAGATTTGGCTAATATGTTCCATTCAGCTCCCACTTCAACAGCTTCTTAGTCAAAACTTTCCTTTACCTCTAAAGGAATACAACCTATCTTTAGCTGGTGGCCACCCACAGGGTACCCCAACAGCCTTGCCATCATACACAAGCCTTTGCAGGGAAGGTCTTAACTGCACTCAACTTTCTCCAAGAGTACAGGCATGACATTATATTGATGACATTCTCTTCTGAAGGCATTCATTCGACATTCGACACACTCGTTCAGGACATACAAATAAAAACTCACCAAGGAGTTCACAGAAGAGAAATGGGCCATTGCCTTGTGCATAGTACAACGTCTTGCCACCATGCTAAATTCCTGAAAATTACCTGGTAAACTGCAGGGAACTCCATCCCCTGACTCTTAAGAAATAGCTAATGATTGTATCAGCACCAAAAATAGTAAGGGAAGCCCAGGGTCTTTTAGGCTTTTTTGGGTTCAGGAAGCAAAATATCCTTCCTTTGTAAATTTTTATTGAAGCCCATCTTCAATGGGCTTCCCTCCAACAACCGCCTCTAGAATCTGTCCAAACTGCAATCAACATGCATTTCCTTTAGTTCCCTCAGAGACTCCTCACTATAAAAGCTTTAGTAACCTCCTCTCATGCTTCCTGGAGTCTCTAGACCACTTATAATGGCTATAAGTTACCCCTGGACTTCTGATACAAGAAACTGAACCCCCTTGGCCCTGCTGTATACAATATAAGAATACCAAATTCTGGCCATGTGCTGATCTCTCCTGAGAAGAGAAACTTCTGTTCTCTGAACCCGTGACCCTCCATACCCAGGTCTCCATTATGCCTTGAGTCATACAAGTGGCACCCTGCAAGCTTGGCATAGCTATTGAGGCCTCTTTGCTACAGGACAGGGCCAAACGTGGGCCCTCTCGCATATTCTATTTGCCAAGTTGTAGGAGGATGAAAGGAGGGCCTCCCCTTTCCTCAGACCTTTGCCTGATGCCACAGTGCTGGAGGAGGTCACCCCTTTAAGATTTGGCTATGTAAGGAGCCACTTGCAATCAACTAATCAACAGCAATGGGAGTTCATACATTTTACAGATGAAAATATCACCATCAGGCATGACGGAGCTCACTGGAGAGCTGCTACTTTTCATCCCCTAATCAATATGTTGCTGATACAAGATGGGACCTATCTTAGTCAGCTCAGGCCGTCATAACAAAATGCCACAGACTGGGTGGCTTAAACAACAGACATTTATTTCTCACAGTGCTGCAGGCTAGAAGTCCAATATCAGGGTGCCAGCATGGTCAGGTTCCAGTAAAGGCCCTCTTTCTAGCTTGCAGATGGCAGCTTTATTGCTGTGTCCTCACACAGCAGAAGAGGAAACTCAAGTGTTTCTTCTTGTACTCCCACCATGGGGGCTTCATCCTCATGACCTCATCTAAAACTAATTGCTTCCTGAAGCCTCAACTCCTATCACATTGGGGGTTAGAACTTCAACATATGAATTTTAGGGAGACACAAACAGTCAGTCCATAACTGAAACCAAGGGTCACCACAATCGGACAAACTTCAGGCAGTCGTGTAACACTGGATACTCCGGCCAAAAGTTGATTCCATCTGCATATTTTTATATTCTTGGGTCATTGCCAGTAGTCTGACACTCTGGTCTAGTCAAAGACCACAACAATTTCTCGTTCAAGGTTGCCACACTTGGGGTAAAACAAAAACAAAAACAAAACAAAACAAAACAAAACAAAAATAACCAAACCTCTGGTAATCTCTCGCCCTACAGATACCCAAAATATAAATTAAAGTCACACATATCTCTACACATGCCCAAGCCACAATATAAGGTCTCATCAAGACACTCCTTATCTATTAGGTTGGTGCAAAAGTAATTGCAGTTTTTGCCATTACTTTGAATGGTAAAAACTGCAATTACTTTTGCACCAACCTAACACTTTGGAGTTCCAGACACTGATAGTACAAGAAACGTTTTGCTTCCCAGAACACACAATGCTGGGCTCTTGAACAAGGGATTCAATGGAATGTTTGTCTTCCTTATTGGCCTCAGGCTATAAGCCTCATAGAGCACCATAAGGGCTTACTAAACAAGCTCAAATTCAATAAAATAATATATAGTATGTTTTAGTCGTCAGTTAGACATCAGGGTGAATTGTAATAGTAAGACTCCTGTGTTTGATGTTTGAAGCTGTCATCTTTTTCAGCCTCACTGCTCTCATTTCCCCTTATGGCCCACATCTGGACTGATCACAAAGCCTAGATGCTCCCTCCTCTGGTGCTTGTGGGAAAGTCAAACCAGGCAAGTTCCTGTTTATGTACAGAAACCCTTGCCCCACCCTATACCCTAACCTCAATAAAAACTCCAAGCCAATCTCCTTTCAGTGCTCTCTCAAGACATTTTCAATCTGCTTGAGAGGACTGCCCTGCTTTATTTATGTCAGTAATAAAGCATTGCCAAAGGAGATTAACATCTGGGGCCAGGCGCGTTGGCTCATGCCTGTAATCCAGCACTTTGAGAGGCTGAGATGGGAGGATCACCAGAGGTCAGGAGTTCAAGACCACCCTGGTCAACATGGTGAAACCCCATCTCTACTAAAAATACAAAAATTAGCTAGGCATAGTGGTGGGCACCTGTAATCCCAGCTACTTGGGAGGCTGAGGCAGGGGAATCACTTGAACCCAGGAGGCAGAGGTTGCAGTGAGCTGAGATTGTGACATTGCATTCTAGCCAGGGTGACAACAGTGAAACTCTGTCTCAAAAAAAGAAAAAGAGAGAGAGAGAGATTAACATTTGAGTCAGTGGACTGGGAAAGGCAGACTCACCCTCAATCTTGGTGGGCACAATCTCATCAGCTGCCAGTGCAGCCAGATTAAAAGCAGACAGAAGAAAAGACCAGACTGGCTTAGCCTCCAAGCCTACATTTGTGCTGGATGCTTCCTGCCCTCGAACATCAGACTCCAAGTTCTTCAGCTTTGAGATATGGACTGGCTTCCTTGCTCCTCAGCTTGCAGACAGCCTATTGTGGGAGCTCACCTTGTGACAGTGTGAGTCAATACTCCTTAATAAACTCCCCTTTATATATCCATCTATCCTATTAGTTCTGTCCCTCTGGATAACCCTAATACACCATGGAATCACCTCATTGCTAAAGTTCCAATTAATGTAAGAACCAAAGTAGAGTAGTTTGGGGTTTTTTTCCTCTGTATTAATTTTAACTCATACCAAACTACTTTATAAAAAGGCCACTCTATAATATTCCACTTTGCTTTACTACAAATTCAAATTACCTAAATATTTTCCTAATACTAAATGAGAATCCAAACAAAATTGAGATACGAATCCACCTATGTCCACAGAGCAGCTACAACAGGTATAAATTTAACAAAAGAAGTATAAATCTTTTACTCTGAAAACTATATAATATTGTTGAAATAATTTAAGAATACATAAATAATTAGAAAGCATCCCATGTTCATGGATTGGAAGTCTTAATATTGTTAAGATGGCAATACTCCCCAAATTGATCTACCGATTCAATGCAATTCCTATGTAAAATGCCACATGGCTTATCTGCAGAAATTAACAAGCTAATCCTAAAATTCATATAGAAATTCAAAAGACAAAGAATAGCCAAAATAATCTTGAAAAATAAGAACAAAGTTGGAGGGCTCATACTCCCCCATTTCAAAGCTTAGTGTAAAGCTACAATAATCAAGACAGTGTGGTACTAGCATAAAGATAGACATATAGCTAAGTAGAACAGAATTAACATTCCAGAAATAAACCCAATATTTGTGGTGAACTAAATTTCATCAAGGTTGCCAAGACCATTCATTGGATAAAGAAGAGGTTTTTCAACAAATGGTGTTAAATATACTTATTCCAAAGAAAGCTAGACCCCTATTCATCTATATTTTAAAAATTCAAAATGAATTAAAAGCTTCAAGGTGTGTGAAAAAACTACAAAACTCTTGGGGAAAAATAGGTATAAATCTTGATGACACCAGATTAGCCAATGGTTTCTTAGCTATGACATGAAAAGCATAAGTAACAAAAGAAAAATTTAGGTAAGTTGAATTTCATCAAAACTGAAAGTTTTTGTGCTTCAAAGGACACTATCAAAAAAGAGAAAAAAACCCTAAGAATGGGATAAAATATTTGCAAATAAGTGTCTAATATCCAACATGTATAAATACCTATTCCAACACAACAATGAAAAGAAAAATAACCAAATTTTAAAATTAGCAAATAAATTGAATAGGTATCTCCCCCAAGAACATGTACAACTAACTGGCCAGCAACACATGACAAAATGCACAGCATTTTCAGCCATCAGAAAAAGTGCAAATCAATGCCATAATCAGATACCATGACACACTCATTAGGACAGCTATAATTAAAAAGACAGACAATAACAAGTGTTGGTGAGGATATGGAGAAACTGGAGCCCTCCACATATAGCTGGTGGGAATGTAAAATAGTGCAGCCACTTTGGAAAACAGCCTGGCAGTTTCTTGGAAGATTAAATACAGAGGTGCAATGTGACCAAGCAATCCTCCTTCTAGGTATATTCCAATGAAAAGATATGTTTACATAAAACTTGCACATAAATTTGACATTATTCATAAGAGACAAAAGTTGGAAAGAATGCAAATATACTTCAACTGATGAATGGATAAACAAAGTGGATTACCTATACACTGGAATATTTTTCAGCTATAAAAAGGAGTGAAGTACTGATACATGCTGAAATGTGGATGAAGTTTGAAAGGCCACATATTATATGATTCCATTACACGAAATGCCCAAAATAGAGACAAAATGGCTTAATGGTTTCCCAGAACTGGGGCTTGAGGGAGTGGCTGCTAATGGATACAAGATTTCTTTCTTTTTGGGACTGTGAAAATGTTATAAAATTGCAGTGATATTTGCATAATTCTGTGAATATACTAAAAACCACTAAATTGTATCCTTTAAATTGTGAATTGCATATAGTACACGAATTATATCTCAACAAAGCTGTTATGGTAAATAAAAGTTCTTCAGCTCAGGAATAGGCTTACATTAAGACAGAGCTATGGCTGTTTTCCCAATCTATATAAATATCTTCACTTTCAAAGGGCCTGTGTCAGATAGAAAACTTGGTCTGTTATTGTATGTCCTCTACAAAAACACTCCTCTCATGCAGGTGGAATAAATGTTTTGTATGGCAGATCAAAGACTCTTCTAAATGAATAAAATCCTAATAGGGAAATTAATTTAAATAAATCCAGAAGCTAATAAACATTTTTTAATAAAAACCTAAGATCAAATATTCAAATCTCATGCAAAGAAGCTGAAGTGGACTCATTTCTTTCATTTTTATCATTATATTCTGACAAGATTTTGCCCAAAAAAAAGATGAAAATTTCTATTCGAACAACAAAAAAGATTGTGCTGCTGCTGAACTTTTAAAAGATGTGTTGTTCTTTCAAAATAATATCATTTTTCTTTTAAAAGATAAATCCTTTGAAAAAACCAGATATTCTCATTTTGATGAAACTTGAAGAATTAAGTTTGTTTTGCCATTTTCCCTTTTTGTATTGATTCTCCTTTTAATGACTCTGTAATGTTACAAAAATATCTCAATCAACTAAAATCATAGCGTTTTAAGTTTTACTATTATATTGATAAAGATCCATCCAACATTGTCAAACGTTCTTGACATTCCAGGCAACCAGTAAAGAAGTTAAGAAAGTAAATGTATATTAATCCAATTCAATACGCATTCACAGATGCCTACCATTGTCAAGACACTTCACAAGGTGTTCTGGAAAATTCAGAAACAAAGAAGGAGTAGTCCCTACCAGGGCTGACAATCTGCTGGAGCACTGTGGCTCACTGATAACCACAGCCTAAGATAAAGTGGGTAACAGGACCGGAATAGAGGTGAGAGTAAGTGCTATGGGAAGAAAAAACTAAATGAAAGCAAAACACATCAAGCAGAATGATTCAGTGTTTTTATTCAAGGGCCATGTTTTCCTTATAATTTCATATTTGAAGTTTTTCTCTGGTACATTTATATGTACAGGGCAATATATTGTTTGGGCTCATTTTTTTTTTAATTTTACCATAGTTCTTCCTAGTTGTTTTTACAGTTTCTCCTTTCACAGATACTTTGTTAGAGAGGTGGTTTGCTTTGTTCACATGGCTGAGAAGCAATTCTTCCTCTCTCACCTTGCTTGGAAACATAAACAAACAGCAGCTGTTTTTTATCAAGCTTTCTTCACACTGGGACAAACCTCTTTAAACACAACTCTGTAGTATTAGGGCTACAGCTCTCCCAAAGGAGAAAAGAAAGACACAATTAAACAAAGCAAGAGAAGTGGCACATTTCAGAACTGTATTACAGATCTGCATTTTGTATAATTACTAGCAAGTGTATAATCTCAAGAAAGACTCAAACTCTTTGAATTTCAGTTTTCTCACATGAAAAATGAGGATAAAACCATCTATTCATTACAATGATAGAAAAGAAATTGCATCTAAAATGCTTATCATATTGCCTAACATATAATAAACACCCAACAAATGATAGGCATTGCTATTGCTGCTATCATTAATGCCACTCTTACTGTAATTGCAAAAGCACCTTTCCACCAAAAGGAAAAATAGAACATAGGTCAAGGTGCACAGGAGCTAACTTCCAAGATGGTGGCTCTCCAGTGATCCTCACACCAGTGAATCAGGGCTGACCAGTAAAATACTGAGGAAGCGAAGTGTGTGACTTCTGAGTCTTGGTCATAAAGGATACTGCAGATTCTTCCCTGGGCTCTTGGATTGCTCATCGAGGGGGAAGCCAGCTATGCCATGAGGACATTTAAGCAGCCCCGTCCAGAGGTTCACATGGGGAGGAACTGAGGCCTGCCAACAGCCAGCATCAACTCGTCAGCCATGTGAGTAATCACTTCATCTCAGAAAAGGGTTCTCCATCCTCCATCAAGCCTTCAGATGTGTAGAACTAACCAAATCTGACTGCAAACTCATGAGAGGCTCCAAGACTGGATCACTCAGCCAAGCTGTTCTCAAATTTCTGACCCACAGAAACCATTAGATCATAAATAATTGTTGCAGTTTTCAGCATCTAAGCGTTAGAGTGATTTGTTATTTAGCAACATATAACTAATGCAGATTTTGGTACTTGGAAGAGGGTGCTATTAATACCATAATAAAAAACTTATCCTGTAAGAGTGGCTTTGAAGCCAGGCAATGAGTGGAAGCTGTAAGGAACTTGAGGAAAGCATTACTGAAAGCCTAAGGAGCTTCAAAGAGACTTCCAGAAGAAGCTTTATGAAGAAGCTGTCAGTGAAGGCTTAAAGGAAGCTGAGGAAACTAATGGGAAGTGAATTCTTGTTAATGAATAGCAGAAAATTGAGCAACAATGTTACCTTCTATAATACGAAACGTATAGATTGTAACTTATGAACTTAAAAATCTAGCTAAGGAGATTTCCAGATTTCCAGGTAGAGTTTTGAAGATGCTACCTATCTTCTTCTCACTCTTCTGGTAAAGTGTAAGAGTAGAAGGATAAGCTAAAGACTTCAATATAAACCAATTGCTAAATGTAAAGGAGGTAGGACTTGTTAGAGGTTTGAAAAGTCCAAGCCTCTCCAGATGGTAAATAATACCAAAATTAAGAAATGACTTCTAGGCAATGATCCTGTTCAGACACTAACAGGAAAATATGGTCTAATGGTGAAGCTAAAGGTGTGACTAAAATCCTTGGGTTAAGACCAGAAAAATCTAAGGCAGTGTCTTAAATGACTGGTAATCAATAGGATTCTAGGAAACATAAAGTTGTTGTCCCTCAGTAACCTCAGTGGAAGCCCAAGGTAGAGAAAGGCTTTATTTTGAAGTGATTTTTTTGATGTGGCTTTTATCTAATGGAGTGAATCCAGTAATATTCATAGCAGACTCACAAACTTTTTAAGATAATTATATTAGCAGAAACAGTCAGCTTAGACTAAAACAGTCAGAGATAATACTAACTGAAAGGAGATCTTGAGACAACCAAACTTCTGCAGGCAGAAAACAGGCTAAGAACACTCTTAGGATTCAAAACTTTTATAAAAAAGGAAAGTAGACAAAGAGGGCAGAATCAAAAGTCCAGATGGTAGAGTCCAGAGCCATGAAAAATCACTTAGACAGTGGAACAACTTAGCCGTACCAACGTGTGTTCAGAGCTGCTCTGGGATAGTGAACCCTGTGTGCCTCCCGTTGTGTCTCTTTTACAAATGGGAGGGGGCAGCCTGAGTAGATTAACACAGGAATGAAATGCTGATATATGGTGTAAACTGGATGAACCTTGAAAACATTAAGGCAAGTGAAAGAAGCCAGACATAAAAGGTCACACAGATTGTATAACTCCATCATATAAGATGTCTAGAATAGGCAAATGTATAGAGACAGAAAGTAGATTAGTAGTTGCCAGGGGCTGGGGCTTGAGAAATCTGGAGCGACAGTATATTGATAAGTTTCTTTTTAGGGTGATGAAATGTTCTCAAATTACTGTAGTGATGGTTGCACAACTCTGTGGATAGGATTAAAATATTTGAATTTATGCTTTAAATGGTGGAAATATATAGTGAAATATGTGAATTATATCTCAATAAAACTGTGGTTTAAGAGAGACAGAAAGTCAGAGACAGACACTGAGAGAGCCCTAGAGCTAGCTAGCTAGTTAACTAGTTCCGGGAAAGGAAAATAAAGAAGTAAGATCAAAGATACAGAAAACTGGGAACAAGATCAGCCCCTCTCAACCCAGGAGATAGGTGACTAAAATAGAAGCACTCGTAGTGTCAGTATTGCAGTCACTTGAGAGGAGCACAGAAGCTTAGAAAATGAAAATTACCTCAGGGACAGTAAAGCTGAAGAAGTAGGAGAAGGAAGAGAACAGTGAAGACATATCCTCTGCCTTCACTCAGTTCAGCTGAGTTTGAGAAATAATCATTGAATGTACACCGCGTGCCATGACAGCTCTTATGAAATAATTTTAAAAAATGACGCACAGTTCCTGCTATCAGACACACATGTGCAGAAAAATGACACTAAAGGGTGCTAAGTGGCATGACGGAGGCATGGACCCAGAGCTGTGGGAGCACACAGGAGAGGGGATCCCTAGCACCACCCGGACTAAGCAAGGAATAGGTTACTGGAGGAGGTAAACTTGACCTGAGTCATAAAGGATAAAAAGGAGCTAGTCAAGTTAGGACTATAGAAGAAATAGGGCATTTTAGGGGAGCAGAAACTGCAGAGGTCAGCTGGAAGAGTCTTGCTTGACATTAAGGTGTCTGGCCCTTCTTCTGACAGCAATGTGGAGCCAACAAAGAATTTTAAAGGAGGGAGAACTGGGTATGATTTGCTATGTGGAAGATGGGCTGGAGAGGGGCAAGGCTGAAGACAGGGAAATCAGTTGGGAGGCAGCCAATAAAGAGAGAAATCCTGGTGTTCTGAGAGCAGGAACGGGGCTGAGCGGATGGATTAAGTTACAGAATTCGCAGGTCTTGCTGAATGATTAGTTGAGAGGCTTGGGGGTGAGCAAAGAGTAATCCTCTTTGTTATAGGAATGAGAAAAGGTCTACATACCTGAAAGATCTCCAAGGGAACCACTGTAGTTAAACCATGTCCCACTGAGAGCATGCACACCTGAAAATACAATCATTTGTAGGGACTTTAGGAAACTTTGGTCTGAAAAGCTCTATGGGAGGCTCTCCTACAGAGTGGTCAGCCTGTAGGGTTACTCCCCGTGATCAGCAAAGTGAGCCCCAGAAAGGTGAATAATGAAGAAGGGCAAGATGTACACATGGTGCCTGCACAGGCAAGGCTGTAAACAGATGGAGGAAAGCTTAGACCTCATGCTTTTGATTTTAAAAATCTATGTAGCAAAAGGTAAAGGGTAACCCCCCACCCCCAAACACACACACACACCCGCCTTTCACTAACCTCATTACACATGTGTACACAACCTGGGAATTATGAGCAATAATAGAAAGACTCATCAGATAGTTGTGGTTCCCTGGCATTATTTAATATCCAGGCCAGAAAGAGAAACTAGTCAAAGTTGTTTGTTTTGTTCTATTTTGTTAATGTTTTTGGAGTTGTGAAGAGATTGGTTGAAGGTAAATACAAAACACGAGGCTAACTGAGCAAGAAACTATAAAACCAAATAAACCTATTCATGCAGTGTGTTTTTAATTGAGGTTCAAATCTTGAGGTGACTTTCTTTCAACAACCTAAGAAATTGAGGTTAAGCATTTTTGGGTTATTAGAATAATCCAAAGACCTGAGTGTCTGCATTTGCACTTCTGTTTGGGTCGTGTTGTATCATTGAAAGTGACTGCATATAACCCAGACATTCACAAATATCTAGTGACATCTTTTCCACCGGATTAGAATAAAACGACCACCAGAGAGAGTTAACCCAATGTCATAGAAGGGAAATGGAAAGTGAAGGATTGTGGAATGAACATGACAAAGTGCTACCAACAGAAGGAAATTAGCAAAAGGTAAGGTACAAGTCATATATAAATGCTGCAAATGTCAGGCTTTGTTGCTGGACAGATCTGCTTATAAATAGACACTGTTTGAAAAGATACGTCAAATACTGAGTGACCTTGTACTAATATCTTTCAGAATTAGAAGAGTTGGTCAATGATTTTTAACTGATTCTAAATCTACTAATGCTACTCAACTGTTATGTTATAAATATGGATTGCTAAAGCCCCTGGATCCTTCATAACAGTGATTTTCAGGAGAAACATCAGAGGTCCAAAAGCAAATTAAAAGAAACAATATTTTTTGTGAGCAAATTCAGTTGAATCATGTTTTCTGATCAGTGGCTTTAGCATTTCAAAATGGAAGTAAAATTAAAGCAGGTATTCTATTTGCTAAGGAAACAACTCAGAAAACTGTAGTATGATGACATAAGAAGTCTTTTCTATGGAGTGCCCTTAAAACGCATTTTCATAATGTTTTTACAATACAGTTGAAATGCCCTCATTTTACAATACTGCAAAGCACCCTCAGAGATGCTGGTCAACAACATTGACTGGATTTAAGAGAATCTAGTCAATGTTTTGTTGACTAGATTTTGGCGAGACTGCCAGCACAAGATGAGACAGAATACAGGTATTTTTATCCTCTCTAATCAAAGATGCTTGAAAATGAGAGTAATTCAATTGTAAGAGGTAGAATTAAAAATAACAACCAACATTTACTGAGTGCTTTCTATTAAGCACTCTGCATATTTAAACCTAGATCAAAAAAAGAGAAAAGAGACAAGTACTTACTGAGCTAGATATGTCACAATTTCTGGAAACAGGACACAGATGGAGGCCCTAAACTGATGAACAGAGGAAGAGATGCACAGCCTGCAGCAGATGAGACAGCAATGCTGCAGTAGAAGAAGAACCTGCTGACCTACCAGCCTGGAGGCCCAGAAACTCCAAGATACAGATCCAAGGGAAGATGGAGGAAGAAATGGGCTGAGAAATGAGGCAGGAACTATATACCCCCACCCACCATCTCCTCTTCTGGGCATAGGGTAAGCACCCAGTACGCATACATTTTCCTCTTACTCCCACCCCCTGCCACACCTCGGAGTTGGAGGAAACAGACTTCTGAAGAATTTGAACAAATTAACTCAAGCTCATCCAACTCAATAATAAAAGATCACAAAGAATTTGAGAAAATCTTCCAGCATAAAACAAATAAAAAGCAAAGAAAAACTGCCCTGAAGAATATAAAGAGAATTCAAGCTGTAATCCCAGCACTTTGGGAGGCCAAAGCGGGCGGATCATGAAGTCAGGAGTTCGAGACCAGCCTGACCAACATGGTGAAACCCCGTCTCTAATAAAAATACCAAAAATTAGCCGGGCATGGTGGCACGCACCTGTAATCCCAGCTACTCAGGAGGCTGAGGCAGTAGAATCACTTGAACCCGGGAGGCAGAGGTTGCAGTGAGCCCAGATCATGCCAATTTTACTCCAGCCTGGGCAACAGAGGGAGACTCTGTCTCAAAAAAAAAAAAAAAAAAAAAAAAAAAAAAAAAATTCAAGCAACATAGAGATCTTTTAAAAAATCTAATTAGTATCCTCAGAGAAATTTGGGAAGATATTGCAACAATAAAATAAAGAACAATGTGCTATAAAAACAAGCAAGATGCTGGGCACGGTGGCTCACACCTGTAATCCCAGCACTTTGGGAGGCTGAGGTGGGAGGATCACGAGGTCAGGAGTTGGAGACCAGCCTGACCAACATGGTGAAACCCCATCTCTACTAAAAAAAAAATTAGCCAGGCATAGTGGCGCACACCTGTAGTCCCAGCTACTCAGGAGGCTGAGGCAGGAGAATCGCTTGAACCCGGGAGGCAGAGGTTGCAGTGAACCGAGATAGCACCACTACACTCCAGCCTGGGCGACAGAATGAGACTCTGTCTCAAAAAAATAAATCAATAAATAAACAAAAACCAAAAAAAAAAACAAGCAATCAGAAGCCAAGAAGGCATTCTTAGAAATTAAAAATACCAAAACAAAAATTCAACTGAAGGGTTAGAAAATTAAGTCAAGTAAGATTGTCTAAAATGCAGAAGGAAAACATAAGGTAAGAGAAATCACACCAGAAAAAGGTAATGATACAGGTAATCACTTTATGAAGTCCAAAAGCAAATAACAGAAATTCCAGAAAGAAAGAGAAAACAGAGAGGTAGAAACTAACAAGAACACAAGATGATTGCCCAGAGCTGAAGGGAGAGACAAGTTTCAAACAGAGAGACAAGTTTCAAACAGTTTAACAAATCCTTAGCAACATAAACCTCTCTCTCTCTCTGACACACATTCTCACGAGCATATACACACATCCACACACAAATGCCACTAAAAAGTTTTAAAACACCAGGGATGAGAGAAGATTCTAAAGCTTTCAAGGAGGAAAAAAAAGAAATCAGATCACCTACAAAAGAATATTTACCCAACTGGTGTTACCGTTTCTCTTGAACAACACTGGAAGTCTCTATAGTTGAAAACTCTTTTCAACCTAGAAAATGATTTTTAATCTAGTAAATGCAGACTACAGATGATTTCAAAAATATTAACATTCTGCAAGTTTGCTTTCTTTGAACTCTCTCTTAGGAAATTACCAAGGATGTACTCCAGCAAAATAAATAAGTAAACCAGAGAGGAGAAACACATGGATTAACCCTCAAGAGAAAGGTGAGTAGAGGTTCCAGAGGAACATTTGAGAAGGTAAACAAAGAGCAGAATTGAAAATTTCAGAGGCAGGCACCAGGAGAAACAGGAAAAGCCATCCCGAGATAGAAAGCCCAGCACAGCTGGTGTCCAGTAAATATTTATTGCATGATTCCATCCCCTCTCTCCAGCATGAGATTCCATCTACCCAAATCACTCAGTACTGTCCACCTTCTCAGCCTATGCTTTGAAGTCATGATTTTTATATGGTTTTGGAATAATGAAGGGAAGAGTGTAGAAAATAGGATACATCCCCTTTTTGTTATAAAATCCAGAAGAAAGCTTTGTGCTAGGAGCTCATATACAATGATAAACAGGACAGATACTTTGAGATTTTATATCAACCAAAGGTCAAAAGTAACAGGACAAAAAAAATCCAAATTATTCATCCTCATCTTTACTATCCATTTTAAAAAACAAACACAATTACAGACGAATCAGGTCATTGCAAGGGCCATACGCTTCAGCTAAATCTCTTCGAATTAGTTATGGATTTTTGCCAGTAGAGTTGAGCTAGAGCTGCTTTTCCTTGCTTTTTCTTCCTTAATTCTTTTCCCTTTCAAATTATTCTTATGTGAATGTGGCTCACAGTGTCAGGAGGTGTCATAGTTAATTTTATGTGTCACCTTGAGTAGGACATGGGATACTCAGATATCTGGTTAAACATTATTTCTGGTGTGTCTGTGAGGGTGTTTTTAGAAGATATTAGCATTTGAATTGGTTGACTGAGGAAAGCAGATGGCCTTCCCCAATGTGGGTGGGTACCATCCAATTTGTTGACAATCTGAAAAGAGCAAAAAGGTAGACGAAGGTTACATTCACACTCTGCCCAACCTGACGGATTGAACTAGGACATCAATCTTTTCCTGCCTTTGATGTTCCTGGTTCTCAGGCTGCAGACTCAGACTGGAATCTATACCATTGGCTCTCAGGCTCCCAGGTCTTCAAACTGAAACACTAGCTTTCCTGGGTCTCCACCTTGCAGACAGCAGATCATGGGACTTCTCAGCCTCCATAACCATATAGGCCAATATTTTACATTAAATCTCTTATTTCATATTGGTTCTGCTTCTCTGAAAAACCCTGACTAATAAAGGAATTTAATTAAATCCACCTCCTTAAACCCATCTACTTCTCTCCATCCCCTACCCTCCCACTACCTAAGTTGGGCTGTCCTTTCTGGTATTCTGCAACAGCCTCCTAAGGGGTCTCTTTATGTCCAATCCTTCCTACCCTACCCTACTCCACTCCTGTCTTCCAAACTTCAGTCCAACTAAAGTTTCTAAAAAAGAAGGAGGATCGTATCAATCCCTTGCTTAAACCCTACAATGGCACCATCTTGCTCTTAGGATAAAAGGCAAACTCCTCAGCAGCTCACAGTGGTGTCACAATCTTCTCCAGTCCCTTTTCTCATCTTTCCCCTGACACTCTACAATCTACCTGTGCCAATCTTTACATATACCATTCCCTCTGTCTGAAGCACCCTTTCTTCCTTTCCTGCCATTTCCTCACCCTCACACCTCAAATCCTTTGCCCTTCGTACTACACTATACCTGATAAACTTCCTGGACTTCAACTGGGGGTTGAATTCATCTCCAATGTTCTGATCTCAGACACTCTGCCTCACAACAGTCAATTACATGGTATCATAATTGACTGTGGAACCTCTTCTATCTGGTTTATGGTTCTGTCTTCAGTGCCTGAGGATATCTGATGCACAGTAGGTGCTCAGTAAATACTGATTAAAGATAGTGTTTCTCCAAATAAATTGAGAAATATTTATTACACCTGTGCTTCACACTCCAGAGCCACTGAAGCTGACTCTCTGGGTGTAGACGGAGGAAACTTGGATTTTTAATGTTTCTTCAGGACATTACTAGGCATGCTGAGTTGCAATGAAAGTAAGCCAAAGATAGGACAATTTTGTTTGTTGAATGCACAGTGAAAATACAGGCATTGCCAATGTCCATTTCAATAATATGTAGAAATGGGTAACACTGTGATATATACTAAATATCAGAACAAATTGAATGGTTCTTTTGCAGCCTCCAAGATAAGTTCCAAGGTCAATGGTATCATTAAGACCCAAAGGAATTATAATAAGACCATCTTCTCTTTTACACCATCTCAGTAATTCACTAGTTTGTCTTATGGGGATATTTTCCCATTTGATTTAAACTTCCTTGGTAGAAAGTATAGTTGTAAAATTAAGTAAAACAGTGGTAAAAAATAGTGAAGTGGCACTGAGGTGATGCCAATCAATTAATTGTTTTTATTCTTCTCACAGGAATCTTTGCCCACTCTGTTTTTCACCTATTTTTTCCCTCTTTGGTCTTAGAAGAATCAGTGTTCCACTTACATTCCAGGATCCACCCTTCTGCATGTGACCTCAATCCCTCATTTCCTGTTCTCTGGAGGGCCTTGTCTAACAGTTATCACCCCCATACCTTTCACCAACTTCTCTCCACAGGCCACTGTAGCACTTCTATTTCACATTCCTTCCAATCTCTCCCACCATGCTCTGAAACATAAAATGAAACTCAACTCTTCTTCCCCCTCCAGTCAGCACCCGTGGCTCTTTTATCCATCAGCACATTTTTAGAAACAGCCGTCTATTCTCATTGCTTCTACTTCCCCACTTTCCATTCACTTCTCAACCTACTAATTAATATGTGACTTCCACTCCCACGTTTTACTAAAATTGCTCATTCAAAACTAGGTCACCAACTGCTTCCTAATTTCCAATCCCAACAGCCTCTCTGTATTTTTACTGGTCCTCTTGTCTATGAGACAGTCTTGACCACTTTCTACTTGGAAACTCCCTCTTCCTTAGCCTCATACACTACATTTTCCTGGTGTCTCCCCACTCCCACCCTACAGTGTTCTGTCTCTTGCTGGCTTCTCTCCTCACCCCTTCAATATGGATGGAAAGTTTCCTTCTTGATCATCTCCTTACTCTATCCTCCCCCCTCTCTCTGAATCTGCTCATCTATTCCCATGGCTTCAACTCACATCCATGGGGTAATGACACCACATTGTATCTTTGGCTCAGACTTCTCCTTAGCTCCAATTTCAGCATTTTGGAAATTTCTACCTAAATGTCCCTTAGGAACCTCAAACTCTGCATGTGTCAAACAACTATCTTCCACCACCCCCAATCCTATAAAACATACCCCAGTGTTCCCCTACTGAGTAACTGGCCCCTTTAAGGGATCCTAATAACCCAAATTGACAGCCTCCCTCCTTGACAGATCTATATTCTACCTTTGCCCATGCTCAGCCTGGCAAACTTGTATTTTTCCTTCAAAATCCAACACAACTTGGCTTAGAAAACTTTCCAGAGCACATCTCTGCCCAAGCCTAGTGGGTTCCTCTCCTCCTGTGCATTCTGCACATGTCTCCATCAAGTATTCATCTCTTCCTAATGAATTACTGATTTATCTCTTTATATACCCATTAAGTTATGGACTATGCATTTAATCTGTGCCTTCTACATACATAGACCAGCATCTGGCCCATAATAGGTCCTCAGAAAATCACTGAATGAATAAAGGAATGAATCTGATCATCTCAAAGGTGATTCTCTAAAACAGCGATCATTCAGCAAACTACAGCCCATGGACTAGCCACCTGTTTTTGTAAAAAGAGTTGTAGTGAAACACAGCCATGTCATTCATTTACATATTGTCTGTGGCTGCCTTTGCACTATAACATCGGAGGTGAGTAGTTGCAACAGAGACAACAAAACCCACCCCTGCTCCAAAACATCTCAGGACCTAATCACTTCTTGATAATTATAGGAAAAATAACAATAACTACTACCACTGCATTGCTATTATTAACATTTATTCAAGAGATCTTGATGTTTTAAATCCCTTTGTTATCACAGACTATATGCTGCAGCGGGGTGAGAGATAATAAATGTGTAAAAGCAAAATAAGAAAATTATAGATCACAATAAAGAAAGTGAAGAAAACACAGGGTGTGTTAGACAGCATCTGGCTGAGAAGAGGTCACTGGAGAGAGGGTGATCAAGGCATCCTGTCCCTCTGAGGCAGAGACATTTATGTTGAGACCCAAAGGAGGAGACAGAGCCAGCCTTGGAGAGAGTTGAAGTACATTCTAGAAGACGTGGCAAATAAAAGGCCCTTAGGACAGAAAGAGGGTGGCATGCCTGAAGAACTGAATCGAGGCCACTGTGGGTTATGCGTAGTGAGAAGACAGAAAGAGACACAAACAGGCTCAAGGGAGGAAGCGGGAGGAAACCTGACCCAGGGGGCTTTGCATGTCAGGTGGGGGGGGGTTTGAATTTGTTGATTATATTCTGAATGCCAGGCCCTATTCTAAGAGCTTTCATTCAGTACTTTTAACAATCAAGTGCTTTATGTTCTGCTATTATTCTCATTTTTAGAGATAAAGAAAGTGAGGCTAAGAGAGGTATAGATTAAGTAATAAATAGAGAATCTGGGGTGAGACTCAGAGCACCAGGACTGACTAGGAGACTGCACAGCCTCTCCATCTGCTCCTCCTGAGTTCTACAGTGTCAACTTAAAAATTACTGCAATCCCACAAAAGAAACTAACAACAGAGTTAACAGACAACAGACTATGTCTGTTTATTTTTTCCCAGGTAAATAGACAAATTTACAGGGGAAAATATTTGAAAACTATGCCTCTGACAAAGGTCTAATATCTAGCATCTATAAGGAACTGAAACAAATTGATAAGAAAACAACAAACAACCCCATTAAAAAGCATGCAAACGATATGAACAGACACTTCTCAAAAGAAGGCATACATGAGGTCAACAAGCTATGAAAAAAAAGCTCAATATCACTCACAATTAGAGAAATGCAAATCAAAACCACAATGAGATACCATCTTACACCAGTCAGAATGGCGATTACTAACAAGTCAAAAAATAAGAGATGCTGGCAAGGTTGTGGCGAAAAAGGAACACTTACACACACTGTTGGTAAGAATGTAAATTAGCTCAACCACTGTGGAAAGCAGTGTGGCAATTCCTCAAAGAGCTAAAATCAGAACTACCATTCAACCCAGCAATCTCATTACTGGGTATGTACTCAAAGGAACATAAATTGTTCTATCATAAAGACACATGCATGCATATGTTCACTGTAGCACTATTCACAACAGCAGAGACATGGAATCAATCTAAATGCCCATCAGTGGAAGACAGAATAAGGAAAATGTGGAACATACATACCGTGGAATACCATGCAGTCATAAAAAAGAATGAGATCACATCCTTTGCAGGAACATGGATGGAGCTAGAGGTCACTCTCCTTAGCAAACTAACACAGCAACAGAAACCAAATACTGCATGTTCTCACTTACAAGTGACAGCTAAGTGATTAGAACTCATGGACATAAAGAGAGAAGCAGACACTGGAGCCTGCCTGAGGGTGAGGGATGGGTGGGGAGGAGCAGAAAAAATATCTATTGGGTAGGGTATTAGGCTTAGTACCTGGGTGACAAAATAATCTGTATAAGAAACCCCTGTCACATGCTAACCTATATAACAACCTGCACATGTACCCCGAACCTAAAATAAAAGTTTAAAAAATTTATTGTGATCACAAAAGCAATATATAGCATTATAAAAATCTGGAAAATATGACAATGTGTAAAAACATTATTATCTTGTGCTTACACTACAACAGTAGTTTCCTCACTGGCCTCCCTACATTACTTATCCACAGTGCCGCTCAGAACTGTCTCTTCAAAATATAAAATTATGTCAATTCTCTATTTTAAAACCTAAAGATACCCAATTCTGTCAAAAAAAAAAAAAAAAAAAAAAAACCTCCAAACGTAGACTGGCGCTGAAATCCCCCCACAATCTGGCCCCAACCTACCCATCTGGCTTTATTTTCAGTGACAACCAACCCACACACTCTGTATCTATCCATAAAACTGGCCCGTTTCCTAAAGAAGCTGCAAATCTCCATGCCTCTGCCATGTTCCTTCCGCATGGACCTCGCTGTTTCACTTAGTCCATCTAATAAATTATTCCAGGCCCAGTTCCCATGCTACCACTCTATGAAGCCCTCGTTAATACAGGATAAGCTGCCCGCTAACATTCTTCCCCCTTTAATAACACTTTTCCACAACACATCCCAGTGCTCTGTGCAGAGCCAGCGCTAGGAGCAGGTTAACAGAATGAATCAATGCGCCCCCAGGCCTCATGCTTTCTATCACTGAGCTCTGCCAGAATGTGAAGAGGTGGAGAAGCCCCTCCTGCTGTCTGAAGGGCACCCATAGGATCTGATGTTAACATCCACTGCACCCGCTTAAATTTGTTAAAAATTAAAACTAGTCATCTAATACAAATCAGAAGATTGAGAACTACCATATGCTTTGCTACCAAAGAGACTAAAGTCATGGAGAAAAAAACTGTCATATTTTCAGAATTCTTATACCAGAAATACTGAGCAGATGTGTACACTTTGATAAATTTCTAACATTATCATGGCTGCCCAGACTGTGCTTGTTTAGATTGTTCCAATCAAGTTTACCTGCTCTTTAAGATTTTTTAATAATTTCACGGTCTTCATGTTATAACTTGGTATGATTCATCCTATTTAAAAAAATGACCAAAGAGGAAACTTTACACAGTATGTCAAACTCTAAAATAAAATTTATTTTAATAAGCAGAATTCATAACAAAACTGGATGTATGTTGAGAAGAACTGTCCCAACTTTTCTTACACGATTGAATTTCTCTGGTTATTTATAGAATGCAGTACTCTCATCTATTCCTTTAAAAACTTCTATTCTGACACTTCAACTGCTCCTATCAAAAAATATTACAGTTCTTTCAGGTTGCATAGTCTGACACAAAAACATTATGCTTTCAGGTACAACTGGGTATATTTATTTTAGTTGCATTTACCATATGCACAAATTACATCCTGACATTCTGTACACTGTACAGGTTAACAATTTTTATACAATGTGTTAGGCCATTAAGGAGGTTTTTCTGAAGAAAGAACATGAAACACATAAAAATCTACTAAAAAGGCAGTGTAGAAAAGTACTGCCTTTTTACTTCTTAGAAATGAGGATTCTAACAACAAATTTTTAAAATACACGATCTTAGGTTTCACTAATAAAAATTTCATGCTCACCTAAAGGGAGGTAATAGTTCTGCTGTATTTTGAGCACTCAAACAAGATCTTGTGTTTCATACCCAGACCTGACGACAGTCCAAACTCAAAGTTTTAAGCATGGTTACGAAGTCAAAGAACACTGGATTCAAAAACACGAAAATGATGTAAGATGTAATGAAGTGCTCAGATTCTTTTATTCTCCAGAAGATACAGTCACATCAAGATCTGTTAAGACTCAAGGGTCTTAGGAAATATCATTCATTTATGACACAGAAACACTAGGAGGATCCTCATTGTAGACTAGCATGTATTTCTTGCATGTCCAGTTCTTTTAGGCCGCTTTAAGACCACCGTAAACCTAGTGATACTTACAGGATCAACATAGGAGGGAAACACCAGAAATTATTCCCGATATCTAAGTCACAGCATACTGGCCTGTTATTAATCTAAGAGGTTTCCTATCTGAGAACTGAAAAAAAAATGGAGTGTAATTTACATATCAAACCAGGTCTTAGGTTTCAGAACAAAGAAAATCACTTGAGGTTGGAAATATGTAAATGCTAAATTTCAGGGCACAGCATCACGGGCTGTTTCTGTCTCCAGCTCTTATTTGCCAGTGTGATGGTACTTAGATCTTTGAGTGACCATGTAAAATAAAGGTATGAGAATAGCCAAAGTTATTCTCACAGAAGTTATTCGCACCAAAGACCTACACAGAATCCTAACCTGGTGAGTATGTGACACCTGTTAAACATACACATACAACCACATACTAACATGTTTTTAAAGCATTCTTGAGGCTGGGCATGGTGGCTCATGCCTGTAATCCCAGCACTTTGGGAGGCTGAGGCAGGTGGGTCTCTTGAATTCAGGAGTTCAAGACCAGCCTGCCCAACATGGTGAAACCCCGTCTCTACCAAAAAATACAAAAATTAGCCAGGCATGATGATGCGCACCTGAGGTCCCAGCTACATGGGAGGCTGAGGCACGAGAATTGCTTGAATCCTGGAGGCAGGGGTTAGCGTGAGCCAAGATCGTATCATTGCACTCAAGTCTAAGCAACAGAAGGAGACCCTATCTCAAAAAATAAAGCATTCTTCAAACAGTAACAAAGTAAAACAATCATAAAAAATAGCCTGGAACTAAAAGTATAAACACAAAAGTTAGTTTCTTTCAGCTACAACAAAAACTATCTGATGCTAATAACCTTTGATGAATATGTAAGAGAAAGTTCACACATGAAGAATTAACTTATATGGAAATAGCCATAAACAGTTAAAAAACAAACAAAATATATGAAGCTAACATTTTCAGAAAGTATACAATAGCCAGCAAAGGGCTATGATCCTCAGGGAAGGAAAACAAACAAGGTGTGTCAAGTCATTGCCCTATCTCTCTGCCTAGAGGAAGTTTCCTGGCCACAGCACAGGATGGAGAAACTCAAATAGAAGCTGTCCATCATGGTAAGTTGAAGATACAGACCAAAGTTTGGGGAGGTCAAGGCAGCTAGAATGTATGGGACAGAGAGGAGGGAGACATGCCCACAAAATATCCAAAAACCTGCATAAGAGTCCCATTAACCCTTTGGATGAATATCAATCTGCATGCATAATTTAACAAAACCCCAAAGACTGAGTAAGAACAACTTTTGAGGAAAGAACAGCTATGAGGCAGCTGTAAGATAAACAATTCCCAGAACTCACACAGGCTGATAACGGTTCCACTTCACTACAGCCAAAATGGAGACATCTTGTTGAATACACAGGTACTCAACAGAGACTTCAGAAATCAGCTCTAGAAGAAAGGTTACTTTATAGATATTCTAAAAGAACTTTAAGCCTTGAAAGAATCAAACTAATTGAAAAGTAACTAAACTACCTGCCAGAATGAGTTCAATAATCTTCAAGGAAATAGAACAATATACAGTATCAAACAAGATAAAATTCACAATGTCCAACATCCAATCAAAATTACTAGAAATAAGAAGAAACATGGCTGGGCGCAGTGGCTCACGTCGGTAATCCCAGCACTTTGGGAGGCTGATCACTGGAGGTCAGGAGTTTGAGACCAGCCTGGCCAACATAGTGAAACCCTGTCTCTACTAAAAATACAAAAATTAGCCAGGCGTGGTGGCGGGCACATGTAGTCCCAGCTACTCAGGAGGCTGAGGCAGGAGAATCACCTGAACCCAGGAAGCGGAGCTTGCAGTGAGCCGAGATCACATCACTGCACTCCAGTCTGGGCAACACAGCAAGACTTTGGCTCAAAAAAAAAAAAAAAAGTCAACTAATCCAAATGAAAGGAGTGAAAGGGGATAAAAAGAATGAAGAAATAGGTCAAATAGAAAACGAATAACAAGATGGCATATTAAAACCATACTGATAATTTCATTAAATGTAAATAGTCTAAAATTAAAAGGCAGAAATTGGAGGATTAGATTTTTAAAGCCTATTTTAAATAGAAAAATACAAACAGATTAAAAGTAAAAGACCGAAAAGTGATTTACCAAGTAAATAGTAAAAAAAAAAAAAAAAAAAAAAGAAGGGCTAGGAGAAACCACATTGGGATCCACCAAGGCAGCAGGTGGACACAGACAGCGGAGAGGGGTGAAGCTGGGTACCAGCTTCTCTGGGCTCAACATGGAGCCAAGAGAGCCTCTCTGACTTGCAAAAAACCAGCAACTTGGGAAAGAGTGAGTGAGTGAGAGCCCCTGGGGATTCACACTCTCCACAAGGAACTGGAGAAAACTGGGAACAGAAGAATCCCCTTGACACCCCGCCCCACCCCTATGCTTCTAAATTGAGGCAGAGAGCCACCTGGACATTTTGTGGGGGCAACTCCCAAGTCCAAGGGGACCACCACAAGCCTTGGTCCCCAGAGAAGACTAGCACCAGCACCGTAGCCCCAATAGAGGCCACAGTCATGGTGCTTGGGAGCAGTAAGACTGCTGCACCCCCTTGCTAGACAAAGCTCAGCACCAGCTTCCAGCCCAGCAGTCCTGCTTTGGCCTGAACTTGGCTGGCAGCTGCAGCCTCCTGTTGTTCCAGGAAGCACTCAAATGGCAGGACAGGTGACCCAACCCACCCCTGCCACTGGGAGCCAGGCAGGCAATGCCTGCTAGAGCTTCTGGCCCAGGAGTGCTGCTTCTGTGGAAACTCAGCTGGCAGGCACAGCCCTCCTGTTGTTCCAGGAAGCCACCAGATGGCAAAGTAAACAACCCCACCCTTGCCAGTGGTAGCTAGATGGGCAACATATGCTAGAGCTTACAGACAAACGGTCCCACTTCTGTCTGAACTTAGCCAGCAGGCATGGCCTCCTGTTTTCCTAGGAAATGCTAGGACAGCAGAGTTGATGACTCCACCCGACCCCAACTCTCATAGCCAGGCAAGCCATGACTGCTAGCACTTTCAGCCCAATAGTCCTACTTCTACCTGAATTTGCCAAGTGGCACAGCCTCCTATTGCCTTGGAAACACCTGGATGGCATGGCAGGCAACTTCACCCACCCTCGCCTCTCACAGCCAGATGGGCCACACCTGCTAGAGCTTCCAGCCAAGCAGTCCTACTTCTGCCTGAACTCTGTGGGCAGATGCAACCTTACATTCTACCAGGAAGCACTCAGAGAGTAGATTAGGGCTGATTTGGTAAGGATATGGCCTGTCTGCCAACTGCGACTCCTGCATCAGGGAGCCTTGTGGACCAGAAATGTGGTCATGGAGACAGTAATTGGAAGGGGCTCCTGCAAGACGTAGGAGCAAACTAGCTTTGAAGCCAGTTGACTAAATCCACCTTATGCCATAATCAAACACCCAAAGGCATCGAAGAAGATAAAAGCAAAAAAAAAAAAAAAAAAAAATCCAAAGAATAGCAACTTCAAAGACTGAAGGAAAATCAGCCCACACAGATGAGAAAGAACCAGTGCAAGAACTCTGGCAATTCGAAAAGCCACGGTGTCTTCTTACCTTTAAACAGCAGCACTAGTTTCCCTGTAATGATTCTTAACCAGGCTGAGAAGGCTGAAATGACAGGAATAGAATTCAGAATATGGACAGGAACGAAGATTGTCAAGATTTGGGAAAAAGCTGAAACCAATCCCAGGACTCTAAAGAATACAATAAATCAATATAGGAAATAAAAGATGAAATGGCCATTTTAAGAAAGAACCAAAGTGAACTGATAAAGCTGAAAAATTCACTTCAAGAATTTCATAATATAACCAGAAGTATTAACAGCAGAATCAACGCAAACTATCGTAAGGACAAAAAACCAAACACCGCATGTTCTCACTCATAGTTGGGAATTGAACAATGAGAACACATGGACACAGGAAGGGGAACATCACATACCAGGGCCTGTTGTGGGGTGGGGGGAGGGGGGAGGGATAGCATTTGGAGATATACCTAATGTTAAATGACGAGTTACTGGGTGCAGCACACCAACATGGCACATGCACATGTACCCTAAAACTTAAAAGTATAATAAAAAAATAAAAAAATAATAATTAAAAAAAAAAAAAAAGCATCAACCTGGCTGAGAAAAGAATCTCAGAGTTCAAAGACCAGTTCTCCAAAATAACTGTCAGACAAAAATAAAAAGAAAACAATAAAGAAGAATGAACAAAACCTCCAAGAAATGTGAAACTGTGTAAAGAGACCAAATCTATAACTCACTGGTGTCCCTGAAAGAAAGGGAGAGTAAACAAGCAATTTGGAAAACATATTTGAGGATATCACCCATGAACATTTCCCCAACCTCAGTAGAGAGGCCAATATTCAAATTCAGGAAATTCAGAGAACCCTCGTAAGACACTATACAAGATGACCATCCCTAAGACACATAGTCATCAAATTCTCCAAAGTCAAAATGAAAAAAAAAAAAATGTTAAAGGCAGCTAGAGAGAAAAAGAAGCTCACCCCATTAGGCTAACAGCAGAACTTTCAGCAGAAACCCTATAAGCCAGAAGAGACTGGGGGCCTATATTCAAAATTCTTAAAGAAAATAAATTCCAACCAAGAATTTAATATCCAGTCAAACTAAGTTTCATAAGAAAAGAAGAAATAAAATCCTTTCCAGGCAAGCAAATGCAAAGGGAATTTGTTACCACTAGATAAGAGGTCCTTAAGGGAGTGCTACATATGGAAACACCATTGCTGGCCACCACAAAAACACACTAAAGAACATAGACCATTGACAATATAAAACAACCACACAATCAATTCTGCATAATAATAATCAACTAACACCACAAATACAGGATCAAACCTGTACATAACAATATTAATTTTGAAGGTAAATGGGCTAAAAGCCTCAATTAAAATACACAGAATGGCAAGCTAGATAAAGGACTAAAACCTGACTGTATGCTGTCTACAAGAGACCCATTTCAGATGTAATGAAATCCACAGGCTCAAAGTAAAGAGAGGAAGAAAAATCTACCAAGCAAAGAAAACACAGGAAAAAGCAGAGATTGCTATTCTAATTTCAGGCAAAACAGACTTTAAGCCAACAGTGATCAAAAACAGAAAAAGAAGGTCATTACATAATGGCAGAGGATTCAGTTCAATGAGAAGACCTAACTATCCTAAATACATATGCACCCAACACAGGAACATCCAGATTCACAGAGCAAGTTTTTAGAGACCTATGAAGAGACTTAGGTAACCACAGGATAATAGTGGGAGACTTAAATACCCCACTAATAGTATTAGACAGATCATTGAGACAGAAAACTAACAAAGATTTTCAGAACCTGAACTCAATTATTTGACTGAATGGGCCTAACATATATCTACCAAACTCTCTAACTAAAAACACAACATACAATCTTCTCTTCTGCACATGGCATATACTCTAAAATCGACCACACAATCAGCCATATAACAATCTTCAGCAAATTTTTAAAAACCAAAATCATAACAAACACACTCTTAGGCCGCAGCACAATAAAAACAGAAGTCAATACTAAGCTCAAAACCATACAATTACATGGAAATTAAACCACCTACCCCTGAATGACCTCTAGGTAAACAATGAAATTAAGGCAGATATCAAGAAATTCTTTGAAACTAATGAGAACAAAATACAACATACTAGAATCTCTAGGACATAACTAAAGCAGTGTTAGGGAAATGTACAGTGCTAAAGACCCACATAAAAGTTGGAAAGATATCAAATTACAACCTAACATCACACCTAGAGGAACTACAGAAACAAGACCAAACCAACCCCAAAGCTAGCAGAAGACAAGAAATAACCAAAATCCGAGGTGAACTGAAGGAAACTGAGATGTGTAAAACATTAATACAAAATATTAATGAATCCAAGAGTTTAGTTTTTGAAAGAATAAACAACATGGATAGACCACTAGCTAGATTAATTAAAAAAAGAGAGACGATGCAAATAAACACAACAAGAAATGATAAAGGGGACATTACCACTGGCCCCACAGAAATACAAAACCCCTTACAAACTAGAAAACCTAGATGAAATGGATAAATTCCTAGAAACACACAATGTCCTGAGATTGAACCAGGAAGAAATTCAATCCCTGAACATATGAATAACAGGTTCTGAAATCAAATCAGTAATAAAAAGCTTACCAACCGAAAAAGACCCAGGACCAAATGCATTCATAGCCAAATTCTAAACAATGTATAAATAAGAATTGGTATCATTTCCACTGAAACTATTCCAAAAAATTGAGGAGGAAAAACAAAGTCAACAAAAACAAGCAACAGGGGAAAGAGTCCTTATTCAATAAATGGCGCTGGGGTAACTGGCTAATCATATGCAGAAGATGGAAACTGAATCCCTTCTTTACACCACATACAAAAATCAACTCAAGATGTATTAAAGACTTAAATGTAATACTTAAAACCATAAAAACCCTTGAAGATAACTTAGGAAATGCCTATCTGGACATAGGAGGAAATGCCATTCTGCACATAGGACCTGGCAAAGATTTCATTTCAAAAACACCAAAAGCAATTGCAACAAAAACAAAAATTGATAAATGGGACTTAATTAAACTAAAGAACTTCTGCACAGCAAAAGAAACTATCAACAGAGTAAACAGACAATACCAAATAAGAGAAAATATTTGCAAACTATGCATCCTACAAAGGTCTAATATCCAGAATCTATAAGGAGGTTAAACAAATTCAAAAGAAAAAAAAACAAGCAATCCCATTTAAAAGTGGGCAAAAGACATTAACAGATACTTTTCAAAAGAAGACATACACACAGCCAACAAATCCATGAAAAAATGCCCAACATTACTAATCATTAAATAAATGAAAATGAAAACCACAATGAACTACCATCTCACACCAGTTAGAATGGCAATTACTAAAAAGTCAAAAAGTAAGAGATGCTGGTGAGGTTGCAGAGAAAAGGGAATACATATGGAATACTACACAGCCATAAAAAAGAACGAGATCATTTCCTTTGCAGAAACAGATAACCAAACATGGCATGTTCTCATCTATAAGGGAAAGCTAGATATTGAGTACATATTGAAACAAAGAAGAGAACAGACGCTAGGGCCTACTTGAGGGTAGAAGGTGGGAGGAGGGTGATGATTGAAAAACTACCCATAGGCTACTGTGTTTATCACCTGGGTGATGAAATAATCTGTATACCAAACCACACACAATTTACCTATATAACAAAGCTGCTCATGTACCCCTAAACCTAAGATAAAATTAGAAAATTAAAATTAAAGGCAAAAAGCTAGAGTACTATATTAATAGCATAGGAAATTGGTTTTCTGAAGAAGGAATATTACCACGAATAAAGATGCATATTTCATAATGAAAGCCAGTAAATTCAGTAAGAAGACATCAAAATCCCAAATGAGTTTATGCACCTAATAATAGAGCTTTAAAATGTGAAGCAAAAATTGGTATTACTGAAATAGTGTTTTAAATCCAAATTTCCATCTAGAAATTTTAGCATTCTTCTGTAAGTAACTGATAGAACAAATTTTTTAAAAAATAATAAAAATGTAAAGGACTGCAATAACGCTATCAATCAACTGGACCTAATTGACATTTATCCATCAGTATACCAAACATAAGCACAGACCATACTTGTGAGTATAAAATAGAAGCCACAATAAGCTTATAAAGATTCATATTAAACAAAGCGTGTTCCCTGAACATATGGAATGAAACCAAAAATCAACAGAAGAGTATCTAAGAAATCCCCAAATTTGGAGGAATTAAGCAACATACTACTAAATAGACTCTGGGCCAAATATGTCATGAGAGAAATTAGAAAATCTTCTCAATTGAAAGATAACAAAAATACATATCCTAGATCCATAAGGTGTACCTAGAAATTAAAATATTTTAAATATTGCCAGTAGCATAGGAAAACATAAAATACCTTGGAATTTTTTTGATTGTGGTAAAATTCAGGTGTCATAAAAGTTACCAGCTTAATAATTTCTAATTATATAGTTCAACAGTGTTAAGTATACTTAAACTGTTGTGAAATTAATCTCTAGGACTTTTTCATCTTGCAAAACTGACGTTCTGTACCCATAACACAACTCCCCCTGTCTCTCCAGCCATGGCAACTGCTATTCTAATTTCTATCTCTAAATTTGAATTTGCCTAGTCAAGGTACCTTATTTAAGTAAGGTACATGAAAACTGGAATTTATCAAAATTAAAAGTCTACTCTTTGAAAGACACTGTTAAGTAATGAAAAATCAAGACAAACACCAGATGGAAATATTTTCAAAAGATATATCTAAACAAAAACTTGTATTTAGAATATATAAATATCCCTTACAGCTAAATAATACTTGGGAAAAAAACAACAGATTTTTTAAATGATCAAAGGATTTGAACACACACTTCACCAAAGAAGATATATGAATACAAATAAACACAAAAAAAGCTGTTCAACATCATTCATTATCAGAGAAATGCAAATTAAAACTAAAATGAGATATTGCCACATGCCCACTGGACTGGCTAATATTAAAAAGACTAACAATTTCAGACACTGGTGAGCCTGTGAAGCCACTGTAACTCTCATAGATTGCTCATGGGACTGTAAGATAGGAAAACTGCTTTGAAAAATATTTTGGCAGTTTCATATAAAATTAAACATACATTTACTGTATAGCCCAGCAGTTCCATTCCTGGGTATTTGTCCAAGAGAAGTGAAACCATATGCCCTCAGAAAGACTTGTACATGAACATTCATAGCACCTTCATTTGTTAGAGCCAAAAACTGAAAATAACCCAAATGTCTATCAACAGGTGAATAGATGATCAAATTGTGGTATGTACATCCATACAATACTCGGCAATAAAAGGAATGAACTACAAATGCATGTAATAACATGAGTGAATCTCAAAAACATTATGATGAGTGACAGACACCAGATACAAAAACAGTACATACTGTATGATCCCATTTATACAAAAGTCTAGAAAATATGATATAATTTATAGCATCAAAAAGCAGATGAATATTCACCTGGGATAAGGTAGTAGGATTGGGAATTGTCTAGTAAGGGGCAAAAGGGAAATTCAGGGGATTATGGAAAGGTCTTATTAATTCAGCTAGGTTTGACCTTAACTTGCAAACCTCCCCAAACTGGAACCTTCCTATTTGCCCAAGGGGACACTGTGAACTGGGCCTTCCAGTTGCACCTAAATGGCAATGCTCTGTCATCTTGCTGATAAACAACATGAATTAGTGCCCACATGGATCTCCACTTGGGTACTACTACTCTGAATTATTAGACTTGTGATCTTGTCAATGTTACTTAGTCACCCTGAGCCTCATCTGTAAAGCAACGTCCTTATCTGTGAAGAAAACAAAAGAACAATCTCACAGGCTTGTTGGCAGATTATATAAAATACATATAATAACTCTGAATAGTCACATTAGTTATCTTCATTGTATTTATAATGATACATTAGTATCATTATCATTGTATTAGTTCATTCTCACGCTGCTATGAAGAATAAATTATCCAAGACTGGGTAATTTATAAAGAAAAATGTTTAATTGACTCACAGTTCTGCACGGCTGGGGAGGCCAGGAAACTTACAATCATGAAGGAAGGTACCTCTTCACAGAGCAGCAGGAGAGAGAATGAGTGCCCAGTGAAGGGGGAAGCCCCTTATCAAACCATCAGATCTCATGAGAACTAACTCACTATCACAAGAACAGGATAAGAAAACCACCCCCATGATTCAATTATCTCCACCTGGTCCCTCCCCACAACACATGGGGATTATGGGAACTACAATTCAAGGTGAGATTTGGGTGGGGATACAGCACCATATCAATCATCATTATACTTAGGTTGTTGAAATAATTCTGTATACAAGTTTAGCCTTTAAAAAAGTCATTACTTTCCCTGAAGCATGTCAGAGTAACTCTTCTCCCCACAGTCTTACAATAGGCATCTTTCATTGTTTGGGACAATAGCTTACTTAACTTCTATTTATCCTCTGAAATTTCTTGCAGTAAGCCATTCAGAGGCTTTGTCCATTTGCTTGGACCATTTTCCTTGCCCTTGCTTCTTTAGGATATCCTCTAGCTGCTAGCTGTTTTGATTTTCTTTTTCTTTTCCTTTTCTTTTTTTTTTTTTTTTTTGCTCAGGCTAGCATGCAGTGGTGTGATCTCGGCTCACTGCAACCTCCGCCTCCCAGGTTCAAGTGATTCCTGTGTCTCAGACTTGCAAGTAGCTGGGATTACAGGTGCCTGCCACCATGCCCGGCTAATTTTTGTATTTTCAGAGAGACGGGTTTTTGCCATGTTGGCCAGGCTGGTCTCGAACTCCTGACCTCAGGTGATCTGCCTGCCTCACCCTCCCAAAGTGCTGGGATTACAGGCGTGAGCCACTGTGCCAGGCCTGTTTTGATTTTCTAAGAAAAAAGCTGAGCAAAAGGACTGCAAAATGACTGCAGACAATATTTTGTAAAATTACAGCAATAAAATTAAAGTATCAATTACTTGTGAAGTTAATAGACTTTTTTGTGACCCCGAACACATTTGGGGACAGCTGACAGTGCTGTGTCTATTTGGGCCAAGGTCAGTAGAGAAGTGATTTTCAAGGAAGTTCTGCATGTGAGTGTTGTCAAATTATTGTTAAGTGGTTTTCAGAAACCCTGACCATAACAGAATCATTCTCATTTCCTGAATAATGAAAGAGCTCCAAGTCTTGTCTGGCCATTTTTGCTATTTGCCCCTTATATTTCATAAGCCTGAGGTGGCTACACTTGGGTGTCAACTTCCCTCTCTCTGGCTAATAAGGATTGGTCTCCATGACTCCACTTAAAGTGTTCTTGTAAAGAGAATCAACGTCTTCCATATTGCCAAATTCACTGATCCTTTCTCTCCCTCCAACTGCCCAGTGGCATTCAACATTATTGACCATTTTTTGCTTCTTTGAGGCACTTCCTTCTTGTGGCTTCCGGGACACCATATTCTTCTGGTTTTCCACCCTCTATACTAGCTGTTGCTGCTGAGCCTTCTTTGCCAGATCTTTAAATGTCAGAATGTTGTAGGGGCCCATCTTGGGGCACATTTTCCCTAGCTGCAGTCCTCTGACTTGGCATCTAGTGAGACGCAGATTTCAATCTCCAGCCCTGACCTCTTCAAGAACCCCTGACTCATAATTACCTCTGTGAAAACTCCACAAGAATTCCCAAAAGGGAGTTCTTCATATTTCTGCACAGGCCTAGTCCCTCCCTAGTTGACCTGGTTAGTCAACCTACATGAATAAATAACATCACCATCCTTCCGGTAGCTCAAGCCAAAATCCTAGCAGTCATGATTGGTTCCTCTGTTTCCCCATCACCCGTGCTCAGAGTCCAATCCTATTGGCTCTACCTCCAAAATGTATCCCAATAATTTCACCCCTTTCTCCTTCCATCCTCCCAGCTGTCCTGACAGTAACTCTCATCTGTAAACTCTAACAGCTCACAACTGACCTCTCCGCTTCTGCCATTACCTCTCCTATTCTACAGAGACTACCCAGGATAATCTTTGTAAAAACATAAATCAGATGATGTTTAAAACTTTTGTGGGGTTTTGGAATTAATATCCAAACTTCTAACCCGGGCCTGGAGGCCCCATGTGATCTGTACATCACCCACCTCCCTACTTCCTCTCTCACTCTCCTCCTCTCACTTACTCCACCCACACTGGCTTTATTCCTGTTCTCTGACCACACCAGGCTCACTCCCACCTCAAGGCTTTTGTGTGTGTTGTTTCTTCTGCCTGGAACGTACTACTTGTGCAAACAGCTAGACAGGAAGACCTCGTACTATGAGATGAGCTGAGAGTCCAGTGGAAACCAACATGGCATATTCTCAAAGCTTTTCAAGACATGAGGCAGAAAGTCCAGAGCTTCCCTGTCCTTCTCTGCAGGAACACAGGACACGGGTAGAACCAGAGTGAAAGATCAGGCAGTTACCCTGTGTTCACTGGTGGTGAAGCTGGGTGTGAAGAGGGGGGTAAGATGACGCTGATGGTTGTGACCGAGGTGGATGCCAAGGGAGAGGGAGAGCACCCCTGGGGCATATTTGAGAATCAGGGAGAAAGAGACAGGCTCCAGAAAATATACAGGATAGGAGATATGAGGAGACAAAAGGAAAGTGAGAGTTTGGAGTGGTGAGGATGGGGTCACTTGCTTTGTAAGAACCAGGTGTGGATTGGAATATCTTATTTTCTCTTGGTGGCTGGAATAAGCTTCTTAAATGTCTCTGTTGAGATGAGTCCATGCAGGCCCCAGGACTTGCATAAGGGGGAGTTCCAGTCTCTGTACTTCATTTTGACCATAACAGGTAAAACTGATTGGGTATCTAGTTCCCTAACATTTTATGGTAATAAAAGTATATAAGAGAAAGGGAGAGAAACAGAAAAAGAAAACACTTTTTGGGTTTCCTAGGGACCCAGGCTCTTGAATCTGGGGCCTAGCAGTTGTGTGTAGGTAAGGAGAGAAAGGGGAATAGGGAGGTGGAGACTCTGACCCTTACTCATCTTCTCAGAGGGCAGTTCTTCCTGTCCAGCTGTTTGCATGAGGTTCATGCAGGAAGGGCTAGAGCCGGGTTCCATGTTGGCGGGAAATCTCGCTACTCACAGGGAAGCTCCTTAGGACCTGAGGTATGTGTGAGGGGCGCAGGCTCTTTTTCAACCTGGGCTTATCTCCAGACAAATGAAGTTGGCAGCTGCGGAGCTGCTTGTATTTTAGAGTCTCTTGACACCACACTCACTGGTTGACTATTGTAAAGATGCAGGTTATGTCATTCTGCTGCCTCCCTGCTGCTCTGTGGTAGGGAGCACAAGGGCTGTGGATACTCCTGCCTCCTGTGCATCTACTCGGCCCCATTGCTCTAACGTGGGATTCCCAGTCCCGGCCTGCAGGGCGAGCCTCCTGCTCTGTAGGCTCCACTGACCTGTCCTGAGACCCACAGCTGAAGGCATCCTCTTTAGGTGTTTTCTGCATTTGACAGACTTCTTAGGTCCACTCTCTTAAAATCATCTCAAGAGAAAACCTTAAGGGGTTTTGGAACGAGAGAGGAGAACAGTCCTCGACATTCCTTTAATGGCCAGTCTCTAGCTTCATTGCTAAACCTCTCAGCCAAAGGGCTGAGTTTGTCCAGATGATGTTTGGCATATGACTGACAGCTCCACAGCTGTGATCCTGCCAGCCTGTCAGAGATGGGTAAACTTCAGCCTCCCTAAGCTCTACAGCCCCCCGCTATCCTAAGGGCCTCATGGGAGCCTCCCTGGCACTAGTACTCCAGCATGGTCCCCAATGCCTTATGATGGGACAGCTCTTCATAAAAATAGCAAGCAAACAAAAGGATGTCCTTGTGAATAGATTTCAGAAGAATCCATTAATAACATTTAAATTCACCTTGTCTTCCATACTTAGACTCTCACTGGCCAAAGAGTTGCAAAATCTGCCATTTGCTTTTTCAGCCTAAATGGCACCATTCTGAATAGTAACCTGACAATATGCAAAGAGAGGGTCAACACTCTTTTTCTTAACGGGTCAGACAGTACATGTTTTTGAAAGAATTGCTGATCAGTACACGCCTAATAAGGCTGAAAAGCAAAACCCAGAATGATCAGACTCTTCCCCAGTGATATAACTTTACTCCAGAGAAAAGCTCAAGAATACTATGGGGGCTAAGCATGGTGGCTCATGCCTGTAATCCCAGCACTTTGGGAGGCTGAGGCACGTGGAATGCTTGAGCCCAGGATTTACAGCATCACAGCAAGACAGTCTGAGCAACACAGCAAGACCCCACCACTATAAAAAATACAAAAATTAGCTGTGTGCAGGGGTGTGTGCCTGTAATCCCAGAACTTTGGAAGGCTGAGGCAAGAGGACTGCTTGAGCCCAGGGGTTTGAGATCAGCCTGGGCAATACAGTAAGACCTTGTCTCTACAAAAACCTAAAAAAATTAGCCAAGGGTGGTGGTACATGCCTATAGTCCTAGTTACTTGGGAGACTGATGTGGGAGGATCGTTTGAGCCAGGGAAGTTGAGGCTGCAGTGAGCCATTATCTTGCCACTGCAGTGACGGGCAAGAGAGTGAGACCCTATCTCAAAAAATTACATGGCAATACAAATACATCCAATACTCATAAAGGAAAAATTCACAATGCCTGTCATCTAAAAAAACATCCTCTGGGATGCAAACAAGCAGGGTTATACAACCCATAATGAGAAGATGCAATCAATTGAAACTGACCAAGAAATGACACAGTTGATAGAATTACTAGACAGGGACAGTTAAACAGGTATTATATTTCATATGTTTAAGAAGCTAGAGGAATAACTTAACATGTCAAGTAAGACAAGGAACATAAAAAGGACCTAAATAAGAACTGTAGAGAAAAAAATGTCAATGTTTGAGATGAAAAATACACTGAAAGGATGAAGAGTAGATTAGATACTGCATAAGAAAAGATTAGTGACACAAATTTTCATAGCAGCATTAATGATAGTAGGCAAAAAGTGAAACAACCAAAATGTCCACCAACTAATGTATGGATAAACAAATTGTTTTAAATCCATACAATAGAATATTATTCAGCCATCAAAAGAAATAAAATACTGATTCATGGATGAACATTAAAAACATTATACTAAGTGAAAGAGACACAAAAAGGCTTAAAGCATATGATTCCATTTATATGAAACTTCCAGAGTTTAAGTCCATAAAACAAAAAAAGACTAGTGGTTGCCAGGGATCACTGAAATGTACACTTTGAAAGGGCAAATTCTGGCCAGGCGTGGTGGCTCACGCCTGTAATCCCAGCACTTTGGGAGGCCAAGGTGGGCGCATCACGTCAGGAGATCGAGACCATCCTGGCTAACACAGTGAAATCCCGTCTCTACTAAAAACACAAAAAATTAGCCGGGCGAGGTGGCGGGCGCCTGTAGTTCCAGCTACTCAGGAGGCTGAGGCAGGAGAATGGCATGAACCCGGGAGGCAGAGCTTGCAGTGAGCCGAGATTGCGCCACTGCACTCCAGCCTGAGCGACACAGCAAGACTCTGTCTCAGAAAAAAAAAAAAAAAAAGAGTAAATTTTATGGTATGTGAACTATAGCTCAACTAATAAAAAACACTCAATAAGGATATTTTGATAGGCCAATTTAGACATGGGGATATTTGGCTGGCATTTTATCAAAATGCCGGCATCAAAACAGCTGCATCAGAATGTCCTATCTTTAAAATATGGTCTCTGCTATCACGAAGGCTGGAGCTACAGAAGACTGAGAGCTCTGATGTGTTGGTGCTTTACATGCAACATCACTCACTTTCACCATAACCCTGCAGCATGGGTAAAACTTCCATTTCACAGAAGAAGAAACTGAGAGAGAAGTTGTATAATTTCTGCAAGGTTACACAACATTCACCAAATCAGGATTTAACTCAGTTCAGTCTGTTACGAATGATGCTCAAAATCCTAAGGAAATTGAACACTCAAACAAAGGATTCTTAACAAAGCAATTTTACTTCTGCGCAGAGGGGTGCCTCCTTGGCCAGTCACCGTGAGAGCACACCTGAACAAGGGGGCACGAGAGCCTTTATTCCTGACGCAAGTCCTGCCTCTGTACCCTTTCCCCATTGGCTGGGGTCAGGTCATACAATCTAAACTAATCCCAGTTGGCTAAACATTTGATTTTTTTAGATAAGGTGGGCACGTAAAAGAAAGTGGAGAGGAAAGGGGAAGGGGTGTCTGTAGAAAGTTAGTCCTCTTTCCGAATAAGGAAAGGAATGTGAGCTGGTACTGATAATGCCTGGTACTGCGGCGTGCCTAGGCATCTAACAAAGGCAAAAAGGGAAAAAGGACAAAAGGAGGTGGGGGAGGGGTACTATGAATCAAAGAATAAAAGATTGATCCAGTTATTTGAAGAGAAACCTCACCATATCCCACAAGTCTATTTTCTGCCAGTATCAGCTGGCAAGATTTAGAAAATGCAGGGGAAGGGTTTCTAGTGAAGGCAACTAAGAATCAACACTTGCACATGCAGGCAAAAAGAGAACAGGCAGATGGGTTTGTTCAAAGAAGTAAACGAAGGAACAAGTTTCAGAAAGAAAGGAGTAATCAATAATGTCAAATGCCAGTGCTAAGATAAGGAACAGAACATAACTGTTAAGACTAACTAAGGCCAGACACAGCAGCTCATTCATGCCTGTGATCCCAACGCTTTGAGAGGCCAAGGCAGGACAACAGCTTGAGCTCAGGAGTTCGAGACCAGCCTGGGCAACATACAGAGACCTCATCTCTACAAAAAAAATAAACAAAATTAGCCAGGTATGGTGGTGCACGCCTATAGTCCCAGCTGCTTGGAAGGCTGAGGTGAGAGGATTGCTCAAGCCTGGGAGGTCGAGGCTGAAGTGAGCTGACATCACGCACTGCACTCCAGCCTGGGTGACAGAGCAAGACCCTGGCTCAAAAAAAAAAAAAATACTTACTAACCAAGAAATCAGTAGTGGCCTTTGTAGTAGAATAGTGGGGTGTCTAGATGGCAGCAGGTAGAGTCATTTGTAAGCACGGGGACTGGGATGGGGAACATAAACAATTCTTTCTCAAGCCTGGGTGTCCAGATGGGGAGAAACATGTGTCAGAAATATAAAAAAATGTGTCAGGGGATGTTTGCTGTTATGGCTTGTTTTGTTTTGGGGATGGGAAAGATTACAGAAAATATAGTTCCTGCCATGATTCAATTTACAGCCCAGGAGGGGAGAGAAATCCTCCTTAAATGAGCCACCCAGAAAGCTTCTCTCCTAGGCCAGATGTCATTTGAAGGCCCAAAGGCCCGATGGAGGCACTAACCATTTCAGTTGATTTTCTTTGATATTCAGTAATCTGAAAAAAGAAGCATCATCATCAAAAAGAAATGAAGATCTTGGAAAAAGCAAAACTGTCCCTCCCAGATCTCTCCACCATGGTTATGTAGCATTTCCAGGTTGCCATTCTTTAGGACTTGAAATCCACCTCCACCTGTGGTGGCAAGACCCTACACTTGCCCTCAATGATTGCCCCTTCATGTACATACCCTGCTGCTATGAACTGAATGTTTGTGTCCTCTCAAGATTTATATATGGAAGCCCTAATTCCCAATGGGATGACATCTGTAAGTGGGGCCTTTGAGAGGTGATTAGGTCCTGAGAGTGGGGCCCTCATGAATGGGATTAGTGCTCTTAGAGGAAATAAGACAGCAATAATCTATCTCTCCCCCATGTAAGGCTATGGCAAAAATGCATCCATCTGCAAACAAAGAAGAGGGCCCTCACCAGAAGCCAAATCAGCCAGCACCTTGATCTTGGATTTCTCAGCCTCACCCAATCTATGGTATTTGTTATAGCAGCCAAAGCAGACTAAAACAACTGCATAACAACCAGGAACATCATGAGATACCATTCTCATGACTATCTTATATTACGTATTAAGAGGAAGATTATCTTGGGAGAGCCTGGCCTAATAAAGTAAGTTTATTAAAAGCAGAGTTTTCTCCAGCTGGTCATAGAGGAGCATGTCAGAGATTTGAAGTCTGAGAAGGATTCAACACACCATTACTGCTTTGAAGATAAAGGGGGACACATGGCAAGGAATGTGGGTGGCCCTATGAGCTGAAGGTGGTCCCTGACTGATAGCCAGCAAGGAAACAAGGACTCTAGTACCACAAGCACATGAGATAGACTCTACCAACAACCTAAATGACTTTAAAAGCAAATATTTCTCCAGAGCCTCCAGTCAAGAACTCAGCCTGGCTGATATCTTCATATCAGCCTTGTGATAATTTGAGCAGAGAATTCAAGTTAAGCCACATCTGGATGTCTAACACACAGAATTGTGAGTTAGTAAATAAATGTTATTTTAAGAAAAAGAAAGGGAAACAGAAAGTAGTGAAGACATAGCAAGAGAAACTATTCACAATGAAAACCAGAAGAAATACTCAAAGAAATGAACAGAGTAACACTTTGAACAGGAGCTGTAGGGCAACTCCAAGAGGCCTAATATATGTGTAATTGGAGTCCCTGAAGAGGAAGAATTAGGACTGAAAATATTTCAAGAAACAATGGGCAAAACACCCTAAATTTGATGAAAACCATATAAAACAGATCCAAAAATCTCAACAAACTTCAAGCACAAAAACATGAAGAAAACAACATCAAGGCATATTGTAAACAAACTGTTCAAAACCCATGAAAAAGAGAACATCTTTAAGGCAGCCAGAGAAAACCGACACACTATGTACAAAGACCCAAAGATAAGAACAGTAGATTTTCCACTAGAAACCATTCAAGCTAGAAATTACTAAAACAGCATCTTTAAATATTTAAAGAAAAAAAATGCCAGCTTGGATTCTGAACAAAGCAAAAATATTTATCAAAAGTATAGGTGAACAAAAACCAAAAGAATTCACAACCAGCAAACCTCCACTACAATAAATGTTAAAAGAAGTCCTTCAGGCAGAAGAAAAAGGATACCAGATTAAAATGAGGATCTGCACAAAGAAATAAAGAATATTAAAAATGGCAATTAAATGAGTAACTCAAAAGACTTTTTCTTATTTAAATTTATTTAAAAGAAAACTGAGTGTTGACAATCAATAACAATGTAGTATAGATTCATAATATATCTAGAAGTAAAATATCTAATAACAATAGCACAAATGCCAGGAGAGACATAGAAATATGCTTTTGTAAGATTCTTACACCATATACAAAGTGATATAATATCACTTGAAGCTAGAATGTTAATTCTAGCTAATTGTTTATCTGATATAAAGTCTATCAGACTTTAAACAATCAGACTTTATTGTTTAAAGTCTAGAGAAACAGACTTTAAAACAAAAGCAGTTAAAAAAAGACAAACAGGAAGATTATATAATGATAAAAGGACTAGTCCAACAGGAAAATATCACAACCCTAAATATATATATATATATCTCTAACACTGGAGCTCCCAAATTTATAAAATAATTACTATTAAAACTAAAAAAAATGACATATGACATAGACTGCAATAAAATAATAGTGGGAGACTTCAGTACCCCACTGACAGCACTAGACAGGTCATGAAGACAGAAAGTCAACAAAACAACAATGGACTTAAACTATACCCTAGAACAAATGGACTTAACAGATATTTACAGAACATTCTACCCAACAACTACAGAATGTACATTCATCAGCACATGGAACATTCTTCAAAATAGAGCATATGATAGGCCACAAAAGAAGTCTCGATAAACTTCAGAAAATTGAAATTATATCAAGTACTCTCTCAAACTACAGTGGAATAAAACTGGAAATCAATTTGAAAAGGAACCCTCAAAAGCAGGCAAATACATGGAAATTAAACAACCTGCTCTTGAAAGATTGTTGCATCAATAATGAAATCAAGATAGAAATTAAAAAATTATTTCAACTGAATAACAGTGACACAACCTATGAAAAGCTTTGGGATACAGCAAAAGCAGTGCCTGCATCAAAAAATTGGAAAAAGGACAAACAGACAATCTAAGGTCACACCTCAAGAAACTAGAGAAACAAGAACAAACCAAACCCAAACCCAGAGAAGAAAAGAACTAACAAAGATCAGAGCAGAACTAAATACAATTGTAAGAAAAAATTATACAAAAGATAAATGAAACAAAAGCTAGGTCTTTGAAAAGATAGACAAAATTGATAGACCATTAGCAAGATTAGCCAAGAAAAGAGGAGGGAAGATCCAAATAAACTAGATTAGAAACAAAACAGGGGATATTATAACTGCTACCACAGAAATACAAAAGATCATTCCAGGCTACTATGAACACCTTTGCATGCACATAGTAGAAAATCTAGAGGAGATAAATAAGTTCCTGGAAATATACAACATTCCTAGATTAAACCACAATGAAATTAAATTCCGAACAGACCAGTAATAAGCAGCAAGATTGAAATGATAATAAAAAAAATTGCCAACAAGAAAAAGTCCAGGACCAGACGAGTTCACAGTTGAATTCTATGAGACCTTCAAAGAAGAACTGGTACAAATCCTATTGACACTAATTCAAAAGACAGACAAAGAGGGAATCCTCCCTAAATCATTCTATGAAGCCAGTATCACCCTAACACTAAAACCAGGAAAGAACATCACAAAAAAGAAACATTACAGACCAATCTCCCTGATGAACGTAGATACAAAAATCCTCAACAAAATACTAGCTAATGGAATCAAACAGCATACAAAAAAGGTAATCCTCCATGATCAAGTGCGTTTCATAGTAGGGATGCAGGGGTGGTTTAACATAAGCAAGTTAATAAATGTGATATATGACATAAACAGAATTAAAAACAAAAATAACATGATCATCTCAATAGACACAGAAAAAGCATTTGACAAAATCCACCATCCCTTTATGATTAAAACCCTCAGCAAAATCAGCACGGAAAGGACATACTTTAAGGTAATAAAAGCCATCTATGACAACGCCACAGCCAACATTATACTGAATGGGGAAAAGCTAAAAGCATTCCCTCTGAGAACTGGAACAAGTCAAGGATGCCCACTTTCACCACTTCTCTTCAACATAGTACTGGAAGTCCAAACCAGAGCAATCAGACAAGTGAAAGAAATAAAAGGCATCCAAATCAGTAAAGACGAAGTCAAACTGTCACTGTTCACCAATGATATAATGGTGTACCTAGAAAACCCTAAAGCCTCATCCTAAAAGCTCTTAGAACTGATAAATGAATTCAGCAATGTTTCAGGATACAAAATCAATATACACAGATCAGTAGCACTGCTATACACCAACAGCAACCAAACTGAAAATAAAATCAAGAACTCAACCCCTTTTACAACAGCTGCAAAACAAACAAACAAATAAACACAACAGAACATTCAGGAGTATATTACACCTAACCAAAGAGGGGAAAGACCTCTACCAGGAAAATTACAAAACACTGCCGAAAAAAATCACAGATGACACAAACAAATGGAAACATATGCCATGCTCATGGATGGGTAGAATCAATATTGTAAAAATGACCACACTGCCAAAAGCAATCTACAAATTCAAGGCAATTTCCATCAATATACCACCATCATTCTTCACAGAACTAGAACAATTCTAAAATTCATATAGAACCAAAAAAGAATCCACATACCCAAAGTAAGGCTAAGCAAAAAGAACAAATCTGGAGGCATCACATTACCTGACTTCAAACTATACCATAAGGCTAAAGTTACCAAAACAGTATGGTGCTGGTATGAAAATAGGCTCACAGACCAATGGAACAGAATAAAGAACCCAGAAATAAAGCCAAATACCTACAACCAACTGATCTTTAATAACGCAAACAAAAACATAAACTGGAGAAAGCACACCATATTCAACAAATGGTGCTGGGATAATTGGCAAGAATAATGAAATTGGACCTTCATCTCTCACATTATACAAAAATTAACTCAAGATGGATCAAAGACTTAAATCTAAGACCTGAAACCACAAAAATTCTAGAAGATAACATCGGAAAAACCCTTCTAGACATTATCGTAGGCAAGGATTTTATGACCACGAACCCAAAAGCAAATGGAAAAAAAACAGAGATAAATAGCTGGGACTTAATTCAACTAAAAAGCTTCTGCACAGTAAAAGCAATAATCAGCAGAGTAAACAGACAACCCACAGAGTGGGAGAAAATCTTTGCAAACTATGCATCTGACAAAGGACTAATATCCAGAATCTATGAGCAACTCAAACCAATAAGCAAGAAAAAAACAAATAATCCCATCAAAAAGTAGACTAAAGAAATGAATAGACAATTCTCAAATATACAAATAGCCAACAAACATATGAAAAAATGATCATCATTACTAATTATCAGGGAGATGCAAATCAAAACCACAATGTGATACCACCTTACTCCTGCAAGAATGCCATAATCAAAAAATCAAAAAATAATAGATGTTGGTGTGGATGTGGTGAAAAGGGAACACTTATATACTGCTGGTGGGAATGTAAACTAGTACAAATCACTATAGAAAGCAGTGTGGAGACTCCTTAAAGAACTAAAAGTAGAACTACCATTTGATCCAGCAATACCCTACTGGGTATCTACCCAGAGGAAAAGAAATCATTATACAAGATACTTGCACACACGTTTATAATAGCAGAATTCGCAATTGCAAAAATATGGAATCAGCCCAAATGCCCATCAATTAACGAGTGAATAAAGACAATGTGGTACAAATGTACTATGAAATACTAATGAGCCTTAAAAAGGAATGAAATAATGGCATTCGCAGCAACCTGGATGAAGTTGGAGACCATTATTCTAAGCGAAGTAACTCAGGAATGGAAAAGTAAACATCATATGTTCTCACGCATAAGTGGGAGCTAAGCTATGAGGATGCAAAGGCATAAGAATGATACAATGGACTTTGGGGACTTGGGGAATGGGTGGGAGGTGAGTGAGGGATAAAAGATTACACATCAGGTGCAGTGTACACTGCTTGAATAATGGGTGCACCAAGACCTCAGAAATCACCACTAAAGAACTTATACATATAACCAAACATCACCTTTCCCCCAAAAACTACTGAAATAATATTTCAAAAATAAAGAGAAATTAAACGAGAGAAATGACAGTAGTGTTCAGAGACAGACAATCTATTCATGGATGTAGGAAGGCTGGAAATTATGGGAAATCCACGTAAAATCAACATTGCCTGTGCTAAAACAAAACTTGATGACTCCATTTTCTTAACAGCAAAATTGCAAAAAGTGACATTAACATCCATCCTAGAAGAATGAAACACACATCACCTTTACTGATATGAGTAAATGATTTGTTTTTCCTTGAAAGAGTATCCAAGTGTATTGTGTTCATTTTCACACTGATCAAAGACAGCACCCTTCTGTCAACAGGCATCTGCAGTTTTCAGGACCTGGCAGAAATTCTATCTTCTACCTTTAAAGGTCAGGCACAAAAGTAGAGGCAGCTGCTAGGCCCCCTCTGCCCAGAGCCAAGTGACTGGGACCATCAGTGGGAAGGATAGAAGCCTGAGCTTCCCCGGTCCCCCAGATGGTCTGGGTGCTGCCCTCCCCCGCTGCAGCTGCGCCCTGTGACGTCCCTGATTCCGTGACGCGCCGGCCTAGCCCTTGCGGGACCCTATGGCCAGAGGGTGCCCGGCGCGCGATGCTTTGCACAGTTTCTGGCGTCCTGATTCCAATGGTCACCAAGCTCTGCACACTTGGCCCCAGCCGCAGACTTCGGAAACTTCTGGAAGCCGAATTTCTAAGGGAAGGTCCCTACCACTGCACTGTTGTCATGGGCAGCTACCTGAGCTGGCTCCTGGGCTAGCCCCGGGCCAGGGTGCTGCCCCGAGCCCAGAAGCACCAGGATATGCGGTCCAGGCCCGTCCTCCGCTCCAAGGTCAAGGACCGCTACAAAGTCCTCTATGTCAATGGGAAGCACTGGGTCCGCACCTGGCCCCTCCCCAAGGCTCCTCCTGGCTGGGTCTATCCAGCATCCAGAGAGAGATGGTCCCCAAGGCCTGGAGGCGCTTTCCCAACAGCCCACCACTCCTGAGCATCACCGGGCCAGACTTTTCCGAGGCTCACCTGGCCTACATGAAGTGGTGGCTTTGGAAGGCCCGGCACCCCAGGCCCGCCCGCAGCCTGGTGGTCGAGCTTGGTGAGGGAGGGGCAATTCCTGAGGCTTGAGTAGGTGGTTTTCCCCTTACAGTGTAAACAAAGCCACCAGAAAGTTCGAGCTGGGCGGAGCCCACCGCAGCACCCCAAAGTGGCTGTAACCAGACTGCCTCTCTAGATTCCTCCCGTCTGGGCAGGGCATCTCTGAAAGAAAGGCAGCAGCCCCAGTAAGGGGCTTATAGATAAAACTCCCATCTCCCTGGGACAGGGCACCCTGGGGGATGGGGCAGCTGTGGGTGCAGCTTCAGCAGACTTAAACATTCCTGCCTGTCGGCTCTGAAGAGAGCAGTGGATCTCCCAGCACAGCGCTGGAGCTCTGCTAAGGGTCAGACTGCCTCCTCAAGTGGGTCCCTGAACTCCATGCCTCCTGACTGGGAGACACCTCCCAGCAGGGGCAGACAGACACCTCATACAGGAGAGCTCCGGCTGGTATCTGGAGGGTGACCCTCTGGGACAAAGCTTCCAGAGGAAGGAGCAGGCAGCAATCTTTGCTGTTCTGCTGCCTCCACTGGTGATACCCAGGCTAATAGGGTCTGGAGTGGACCTCCAGCAAACTCCAGCAGACCTGCAGAGGAGGAGCCTGACTGATAAAAGGAAAACTAACAGAATCCAATAATATCAACATCAACAAAAAGGACGCCCATGCAAAAGCAGTAACATCAACATCAACAAAAAAGATGTCCCATCTGAAGATCACCAACATCAAATAACAAAGGTAGATAAATCCATGAAGATGAGGGAAAACCAGCACAAAAAGGCTGAAAATTCCAAACACCAGAATGCCTCTTGTCCTCCAAAGGATCATAACTCCTTGCCAGCAAGGGAGCAAAACTGGATGGAGAATGAATTTGATGAATTGACAGAAGTAGGCTTCAAAACGTGGGTAACAACCAACTCTTCTGAGCTAAAGGAGCATGTTCTAACCCAATGCAAGGAAGCTAAGCACCTTGAAAAAAGGTTAGATGAATTGCTAACTAGAATAACCAGTCTAGAGAAGAACATAAATGACCTGATGGAGCTGAAAACACAGCATGAAAACTTCGTGAAGAATACACAAGTATCAATAGCTGAATCGATCAAGTGGAAGAAAGGATATCAGAGATTGAAGACCAACTTAATGAAATAAAGCATGAAGACAACATTAGAGAAAAAAGAATGAAAAGGAATGAACAAAGCCTCCAAGAAATATGGGACCATGTGAAAAGACCAAACCTACATTTGATTGGTGTACCTGAAAATGACGGGGAGAATGGAACCGAGTTGGAAAACACACTTCAGGATATTATCCAGGAGAACTTCCCCAACCTAGCAAGACAGGCCAATATTCAATTTCAGGAAATACTCAGAACATCACAAAGATACTCCTCAAGAAGAGCAACCCCAAGACACATAATTATATGATTCACCAAGGTTGAAATGAAGGAAAAAATGTTAAGGGCAGACAGAGAGAAAGGTTGGGTTACCCACAAAGGGAAGTCCATCAGCTTAACAGTGGATCTCTCAGCAGAAACTCTACAAGCCAGAAGAGAGTGGGAGCCAATATTCAACATTCTTAAAGAAAAGAATTTTCAACCCAGAATTTCATATCCAGCCAAACTAAACTTCATAAGCGAAGGAGAAATAAAATCCTTGACAGACAAGCAAATGCTGAGAGATTGTGTCACCACCAGGCCTGCCTTACAAGAGCTCCTGAAGGAAGCACTAAATTTGGAAAGGAATAATCAGTAACCAGTCACTTCAAAAACATACCAAATTGTAATTACCATCAACACTATTAAGAAACTCCATCAACTAACAGGCAAAATAACCAGCCAGCATCATAATGACAGGATCAAATTCACACATAACAATATTAACCTTATATGTAAACGGGGTAAACACCCCACTTAAAAGACACAGACTGGCAAATTCGATAAAGAATCAAGACCCATCAGTGTGCTGTATTCAGGAGACCCATCTCACGTGTAAAGACACACATAGGCCCAAAATAAAGGGACAGAGGAATATTTACCAAGCAAATGGAAACCAAAAAAAAAGACAAGGGTTGCAATCCTAATCTCTGATAAAACAGACTTTAAACCAACAAAGATCAAAAAAGATAAAAAAGGGCATTACATAATGGTAAAGGGATCAATGCAACAAGAAGAGCTAACTATCCTAAATATATATGCACCTAATACAGGAGCACCCAGATTCATAAAGCAAGTTCTTAGAGACCTACAAAGAGACTTAGACTCCCACACAATAATAGTGGGACACTTTAACACCCCACTGTCAATATTAGACAGATCAACGAGACAAAATTAACAAGGATATTCAGGATTTGAACTCAGCTCTGGACCAAGCCAACTTAATAGACATCTACAGAACTCTCCACCCCAATCTGATAGAATATACATTCTTCTCAGCACCATGTCACACTTACTCTAAAATTGACCACATAATTGTAAGGAGGTTAGATGTAAACAAATCTGTCCTTGTTTACCTTTGAGATTTGGGCTAAAACATGGTAAATGTACAATACATAATTATCAAAAAGTGCCAACTGTTTCTTCTTCGCCACAGCTTTCTGAATTTGAGTCTTAGGTGACTCTCACTCCCTTCCGTCAGAGGACTTTTTGTAATGGAGGAACAAACTGAGAGTGGCCTTGGGAAGGTACTCACAGTGCCTCCATGTGGAATCTTAGCTGTTGGGTTTTTCTTTTATTTTTCTTTCTTTTTTTTTTTTTTTGAGACAGTCTCACTCTGTGGCCCAGGCTGGAGTGCAGTGGTGCGATCTCGGCTCACTGTAGCCTCTGTCTCTTGGGTTCAAGTGACTCTCATGCCTCAGCCTCCAGAGTAGCTGGGATTACAGGCACACACCCCCAAGTCCAGCTAATTTTTGTATTTTTAGTAGAGATGGGGTTTCCACATGTTGCCAGGCTGGTCTCAAACTCCTGGCCTCCAGCGATCCGTCCACCTCAGTCTCCCAAAGTGCTGGGATTACAGTCGTGAGCCACCACGCCAAGCCTGGTTTTTCTTTTTCTTTTTCTTTGTTATTCCAGAAGTTATTTTTTATTCCAGGTATTTCTCTTCATTTCCTGGGACAGTCTGAAAGTTAAGCCTCCTAGATCTCAAGTTAAGGGAAACTATCAATAGTGTTTGGTGGATAATGGCTTTGGCTCTGTGTTCAGTGAACCATCTAAGTCTCTTGTGAAATAAAAAGAAAACAGGGATTGAGGAGCAAGGGAATATCTCTGAGGACAACATGAAGAAAAATGGAAAGGTTTCAGCAGAAAGAAAAGAAGAGAATTAATAAGGCATATTGCCAAAGTTGAAGATGGAGGCACCAGGGATTCTAGCAAAGCTGTCTGACAAGGGAAAGGGCCTGCTGCCTGCAATCGGCCAAGTGACCAGGCCAAGCCAAGAGCTACTGGCCTGGCTCAAGGGCTCAGGGGCCAAGGGAGCTGAGTCCTTGCCCTCTAAAGCTCCCTGGTCTCCAAATTAAGAACCTCTCATTGTCCCAGAGCCTCTGGCAGGTGATCCCCCCAGCAGCGCTAAGAAGGCATGTGACATCTTCCATGCCCTGTAGGAGTGATACCCATCAGTGTTACTAGTTTTGCTGGGTGTCCAATGATCAACCATGGGAACATACATTGTTCTCTAAATTAAGACACCCACAAACCCAAGGAAAAGTGTTTGAGTCCTGAAGGAGTAGGATGGAGGCAGCCCCTCATATGTGTACTTCTAGGACTGAACTGAGTTTGAAGAAGTGACACCCTTATTACAAAAATGTGTAAATATGAATGAGCCAGCCTCAGAAGAATTTGATCTGCCTGTCTGTATCACGGTGGTATTTTTATGCAGTAGTATAGTCTTAAAACCTTGACTGTTGCAAAACAAACTCAACTAAGATTATTTTTATAACTTTGAAGTTTTTCCATATTTTGTGCATAAAGTAAAACTGTGAACATTTGTCACATCATACTATTTCAAAGGTGCATAATTCAAGTTCACATCAAATTTATAACATCCTGATGAAGGTGCAGTGGTGGGGGACAGCAATGGTAGCTTGGTGAAGGACAGCATCACAGCTTTGAATATCATCTCTCTGCCTACAGATAACGCTTTTACATCTCTAGCCAGGTCCTGTCCTCTAAACTCCAGTCCCATAAATCCCATGCTGTATCCTGCCGGATGACCAAAGACATTTCAAACTTCTCATGTCCTTGCTTGACTCTTATCTGCCTTTCTAAACGCACTTCTCTATGTGGCAACTCCATTCTTCCAGTTGCTCAGGCCAGAAACCCGGAGTTCTCCTCCATGGCTTTCTCTCTTGCAGCCCATGCCCAGTGAGTCTGGAACTTCTTTGGCTCTACCTTCTCTCTGTCTCGACACCAAATGGACCAAGGCCCTAAACAGTTATGACATTAACCCCTTAGGACCTACATACTCCAAAATATTTACTCTTTGGCCCTTGACAGAAAACAACTTCTGAGCCTTGTTTTATAGGGCATATTAGAGAAGCAAGAAATTATGAAAAGCTGGATGGTAGTAACAAGGGCCATCAGTTTAAAGGTGACATGAAGGATGACAGTTGCACACAGATGAGTTTCACAAATGTCTGCATCTACAGACATATGGAAGAACAGAAAAAGGCTCTCCTTAAAGGATGAAAGGCATTCATATTTTAGACAATTATCACCATCTTACATGATGACTATCTAAACGTACAGCAGGAAAAGGCAGAAACTGTTGGATCGGTTACCTGAAGGATCGGAACTGTAGAGACTGGTGGCTGTTGTTATGGGTCCTGGTGGGTGGATGGCGCTCGCTGAAGACCTCTGACTTGCAATCAGAATCCTGCTCTTTGCAGATGGTAAACGGGACATTGCACCCAATCCTAGCTGGGGCTTAAGGAGCATGGCTGACCGATAGAAAGTTGGAGGGACTTCATAATGAGCATAGGGAGGAGAACAAAACTCTTCTTTTCCAGGGTGGTCTGTAACCTATGATAAATGAACAAAAACTCAATCAGAGACCTTCACATCATAGTGTGAGTTCTATACAGGACCACGAGACCGAGGCTGAACCAATGACCACTCTGGTACCACTTAGCTGCTTGATCACAAGTCCCCTACCTTCCCCGGGCCACAGTGTCTTCGTCTCCTGATTGATAACACACTGGATGATCTCTCAGGTCTCTTCCAGTTCTACTACTCTAGAATCTATAGTTCACTGGAGTTAAAAAGAACTCACTGGATAAGATTTTTTTAATTCCATTGTTACAAAATCACTAGAATCTGAGTGAGTAGCCAAACTATAAATGTCAATAAAGCAAAGAAAGCATTTAGCAAATGTTCATAAAATTATGAAAGTTTTATTATACCTGTGGGAAAAAAGCTGTAAGTTGTATGATAACCTAGTCTTAGACTCACTAGGTAAACTGTGTCCATTTATATTAGATCTTTACTGGGCTACTTAGGAAGCAAAAAATTGCATTGTTAATAAAGGAGGAAACATTTTCCAGAAAAATAGGGAAGTTAATGGAAAATGTATTTTCAGATCTGTACTATGTGTTTACCTAGTTAAAAACCTGAGCCTGAGTTATCTCCTCTGGTCGTCTGCTCGAGTGAGGCGATGCTCCCAGGAAGGTTTGAGCAAGTTTCACCAGAATGGAAGTTCTAGGGCACAATCTCATCAACCGCTGACTTCATAGCACCAAAAACAATGTCTAGCACATAGCTAAAGTCAATAAATATTTATTGAAGAATCATGTTTCCATTTTTTCCTAAGTTTAATAATAACATAACGTTACTGTCACTTTCTCCTGTAGCTAGCAGTTTGGCCTAGAATACAACCTGTGGGCAGTACCTTTTATATATGCAATTCTGTACTCACTAAGTCTGTTCATATTATCAGTGTTTTATTAATATTAAACAGGAAAAAAAGAGAGAGAACTAAATAAACTATTCCTTTAAGTTACAATAAAAAATAGTGCTAAGGGCCATGCATGAAAAGATACATCTGTTAATTAACTCTGTTCTAAATCACAGCACATTTTATGTGTCAAACTTATATCTCAGGAATCATAAGCATTTAACAGTATTCTTTAATGGGGGCTATAAAAGCTTTGATCCAAGCTGTTGAAGAGATAAACCCTTAAATTGATACTCATTTAATGTTGAAATAGATACAAAGTCCTCCTTCAAATTGACATTGTAGAAACAAAAGATTAGGCCTTTAAAGTTTTATCATAATCACACTGTAAAATATGCATGACTGTTATAGTAGATAGTCCTTGGCTATAGCAAATTATATTCCTATGAAAGAACATTCTACATCTGCACTCTGATAAATTTTTTACCATTCTCTACTTACTCTCACTATCAATCTCTGGTTTTTCTCATATATACCCTTTTTTAATTTTAGTTTCTAAATTTTGGGTCCCATTGCACATTGCTTTGAGCAGGTGCTCTTATGAAGAAATTAATATCATTTCCAAACTACATCTGTCAGGTTTTAGGATTGCAATATGCTGATCTTAGTAGTTACTCAGTGCCTTGAAACTGAGTTGTTTTTAGGGATTAAAATTCACCACATTCTCTCTCAACAATGATCTTAAGGATTTCAGTAACTTCAATGCCTGTCATTTTGTTGGGTAATTTGTTTCTGGTGAGATCGCAAATTCTTTAAAAGGGGGAAAACTGCGCCTTTGATGTCTAGTCTGTGCATTTTTAATTAAACAAGGGAATCTACAGAAAGCTTCATACTCTTTTCCTTCATCTTTACTGACAGAATACAGCAGGTGATGCTGCACAGTCATAAAACAACGTTTGGAAACCCCAAACGTTGCTGTTCCCCTCCCTCCATCCCAATGGAGGGTTTTTAGAGAACTCACTTTGAAAGCAAACAAAAGAACCCTATGATTTCAAACAAACTCGTTAAGTCAAGGCATATGAACAAATACATTCTTACCAGGCTGTCCCTCTTCCTATTTGCCCTGCACTGTCCTCAATGGGATAGTGTGCCGTGGAGACAGAGGGTACAGGTGAAGGCTTTGTTAACAAGCCACTGGGATAGTGGTGGGGGAAGGGTGTCTGGGATGGTTAATTTTATGTGTCAACTTGGTGGGGTTGCAATACCCAGATATTTGGTCAAGCATTCTAGATGCTGCCATGAAAGTATTTCTTATATTAGATTAACATTTAAATCAGCAGACCTTGAATAAAGCAGCAGACCCTTCAGCATGTAGGTGAGTCTCATCTAATCAGTTGCAGGGTTTAATAAAAACAGACTGACTCCTCCTAAAGAAAAGGGGATTCTGCTAGTAGATCACCTTCAGACCCAAGCTGCAGCACCAACTCTACCCTAAGTCTCCAGGCTGCTGTCCTGCCCTGCAGATTTTTGACTTGCCAGCCTCTACAATCATGAGCCAATTTCTTAAAATCAATCAGTCAATCAATCTCTCTCTATATATATATATAGAGATTATGTGATGTACCCTCTCTATATATACATCTATATCTGTCTCTACATATGAGATATATATATTGAAACATATATAGATAATATATATTGAGAGACATAAGTATAGATGAATATAGACCTGTGAACACACACCACACACACACACACACACACACACACACACACCTATTAGTTCTATTTGTCTGGCAAACCCCAATCGATGCAGTGCCCCCCAGAGATGAGTGGCAGCAGACAGTGAGGAAGGAGAGCAGCCCTGGATCACACCTCTGTACACTGCACGCACATCGCCTCACTCCATCCTCTCAGCCAAGCCCCTTTCTTCCCACCTCCCTTTACCAAAAATAAAAAGGGCTCCCAAGTTGTTGGAGGGAGGGAGTGTCCCTGAGACCTCAGGAGAGCCAGTGGCAGAGGGCACCTGTTTAGGTAAACATATTTAATACCTGGACATGACTAGATCCCAGATGATCTTGGAAGCCACTTCTGGAAGTTTTAAATGCCTGTGCTGTTCCTGCCAATTGGGAAAAGAGTTCCTCTCTCAGAAGAGTGCTTACTCTTGATTTTTCCACTTCTACCCATGCTATGTAACCAGCAGGGATCTGTCGATAAGGATGGAAGAGTCTGAAGCTGGTTTGAGTTTTTATTTTTAAGAGGTTCTCATTTTATTTAAAAAAAAATCTGGCTTCTATAACTGAAAAATACTTCCATTGCAACACATTATCAAAAATGTGTTCTTTTCCTAGAGACCAGACTGCAGCCACCCCATGATGAGCTTGGGGCACACTGGCAGAAGAAGTCGGCTGTTTTTTCTCCCTGCACTGAGCTCAAACACAAGAGGGGGACTCGCTGGGTTACATCATGTCATAGCTGTAGCAGGTGGCCAAGGACCAGCCTGTTCCCCACTTTTGAGTAAAGAAGGTTACCACAGAAATGAGCCCAGCGCAACCTGAGAAGAGGCCTGGGTCTCGTTCTGATGATGGCAGAAAATGGTCCCCAGATACAGGGAGGGAAACTGACATTTCAAACGAACTTGTAAAGTCGAGGCCCAAAAACAAATAAATTCTTTGAAGAAGACTTTGGGATGCTCGAGGTGCGAGGCCATGATGCTCTCTCCACACCAGTGGGGTCTCTCTGAACCCCTCAGAACCGCCAAAGCCACACAATGTCCATACAATCCCATTTCCTTGAGTCTTGACGTGGTGCCTAGATAATGAAGTAGAGAAAATAGTTTGGGGAAAACTATGCATGTAATATATAAACTATTCTTGGAGGAAGCAGAACAACACAGAAAAGAAATATACACGAAAATATAGAAGGGCACAAAGAAAGAATTACAGACAATGTGGGGTTTGGGCCTACATATCCAAATCAATTTCCCTCATGAGTTTGTTTTTATAGAGAAAAATCTAGGCTCTGGCTATGGTTTGGATATGGTTGGCTTGTCTGTGCCAACTCTTATGTTGAAATGTGATCTCCAATGTTGGAGGTGGGGTCTAGTGGGAGGTGTGTGGGCCATGGGGGCAGATGCCTCATGAATGGCTTGGTGCCCTCCTTTTGGTAATGAGCAAGTTCTTGCTCTATTAGTTCCCATGAGAGCTGGTCCTTAAAGAGAGGCCTGGCACCTCCTCCACTCCCCTCTTGCTCATCTCTCACCACGTGATCAATGCACACGTGGTTCCCCTTCTTCTTCCCCCTTGAGTGGAAGCAGCCTGAGGCCTCACCATAGGCAGATGCTGGTGCCATGCTTCCTCTCCAGCCTGCAGAACCATGAGCCAAATAAACCTCTTTTCCTTATAATTTACCCAGCCTCAGGTATTCTTTCATAGCAACACAAATGGACTGACAGGTCTCTTCATGGAACCTCTGCAGTGATTCCCTGCCTTATAGAAGAGCAAAGCTTCAGAGCCTGACCCTGAGCCTCAGAGGCCCAGGTGGATGAATGTTTAGAAATTTGAAAATGACTCACTATAACTAAACTCAGAGACTGACGTAAAAATCCAGAAGGGCAATTTGTTCACTTTTAATTGGAGACCACTGCCTAAAGCCAGACTCAAGTGTCCTCTAGCCAGAACACGTTCTCATTGCAGGGCACAGAGTAAGAAGCCACTTATAAACAAGATGCCATGCAGCCCCGCACAGCAAGACAAACCCCTGCCAAGCTGACTGGACCCCTGAATTCTCCAGCCAGAATCCTCTCTCTAGAGATGTGAGGTAGGAAGTCCGTTATAATCAGAGGCCTGTTGGCAGGCCCAGAGTCAGAACACAGGGAGCAAGCTGTGTGATTTGGTTGCTAAGGACCTGCGGCAAGGCAGCACAGCTGGTCGGCTTGTTGGGGCACCTCGTCAGTGATTGCCTAAGTCAATGTCTGCTGCCGAGAATGGATTCAACTTTGTCTTTGTGCTAGATATGACAACTTCTGTTGTGATTGATGCATTCTTTAAATATGCCAATATATCTAACCAAGCTAGAGTCCAAATTTGGACTCAATCATCCTATCTCTAGAAACCCTTGGTACACTTTTGTTTAGTTCCAACACATATGGAGTTCATGATTCAGTTATCACTCAACATTTTTTGAGCACATACTTATAAGAAGCACCATTCTAAATTCTGGGAACACGGGGAACAAAATATTGAAAACAATCCCTTCCCTCATGGAGTTTACATTATAGTCAATTCAGGAAAACTAAAAAAGTATTTATGGCAGGTGGAGGTAGGTGCTAGGAAGAAATAAATCAGAGAAAAGGGATTCAGAGAGAAGATGGGTGGCCTTCCCAAGGAGATAACATTGGAACACAGACCTAAAGGGAGTGAGGGAGAGAGCCATCTGGATAACTGGGAGAACATTCCAAGCAGAGGGAGGTGCAAAGGTCCTGAAGCAGCAGAGTGAGAAAGGGAGAGTGGAAGGAGAGGAGGGCAGGTAGCTGACGGACCCCCAGTGAGCACATCCCATCCTAAAGGCAGAGCCATCCTACAGGCTCCAGCTTGTGTTCCAAGCAACCTGGGCAGCCCTGGAAGGTGTTAGAGACAGGATGATCTCATCCTGCCCTTGTTTTTGAGACTGAGTCGCGCTCTGTTGCCAGGCTGAAGTGCAGTGGCGTGGTCTCAGCTCACTGCAACCTCCACATCCTGGGTTCGAGCAATTCTCCTGCCTCAGCCTCCCCAGTTCCTGGGACTACAGGCACATGCCACCACACCCAGCTAGTTTTTGTATTTTTAGTAGAGACGGGGTTTCACCATGTTGGCCAGGATGGTCTCGATCTCCTGACCTTGTGATCTGCCCATCTCGGCTTCCCAAATGCTGGGATTACAGGTGTGAGCCGCTGTCCTTGGCTCCTGCCTTACTTTTAACTGATCACTCAGCTGTCATGAAGAGACTCCTTCAGGAGACAAATCTTAGTTCTGAGGTCTCGAAGGATGACTCACCATAGCTAAAAAGGACAGCACAGTGCAGTCTGAAACTGCACAGGCCTGAGTGAGACTCTCAGAGCTCTCCTTCCTTTGTGGTGGGTGACTTAAAGCTCTCTGTCTGTCTCTGTATCTATACGGTGATAAAAACTGCAATACCGGCTGGGCGCGGTGGCTCACGCCTGTAATCCCAGCACTTTGGGAGGCCGAGGTAGGCGGATCACGAGGTCAGGAGATCAAGACCACGGTGAAACCCCATCTCTACTAAAAATACAAAAAAGTAGCCAGGCGCGGTGGCGGGCGCCTGTAGTCCCAGGTACTAGGGAAGCTGAGGCAGGAGGATGGCGTGAACCCAGAAAGTGGAGTTTCCAGTGAGCCGAGATCGCGCCACTGCACTCAAGCCTGGGCGACAGAGCGAGACTTCATCTCAAAAACAAAGAAAAAGCCAAAAAAAACATAAACAAACAAAAAACTGCAATACCAACCCTCAGGGAATTACTGCAAGGATTAGTGAAGATTAACAAAGATCAAACGCTGTATTATATGGGCCCAGTGTAGAGCTGGCCCTCAATTATATGTTAGTTGTAATTATTACTTTTATTTTAAAGAAAGAGTCCATGCCTAACACACCGTTTTCTGCTCATTTGCTGTTCTTCACGCATGCGAATAAGAGATACTCCCAGGTAGAAAATACTCCCCATTGAGGAATGAGTCTGATCTATTTGAAGAACACAGTAATTTTGCATTCTTTCTTCCTTTAACCTGGCTTATATTATATTATATTCACTTATTTAAACATGGAAGCCTATTTAAGGCATACTCATCTAATTTCATATGAATTATAGCAAGTGAAATTTAAATGGGTCTCCTTAGATATTGGGTACATCTTATTAAGATAATCAGACTCTTCTAGTTAAAAATGGTCATTTCTCTAGACAATCTCCTCTAGTCAAAAACTCCATTTCTTCACAAGTGTATCCATGAAAATCTGTAATTCACTTAAAGAGGACATTTTACTTTCATAACTCATTGAAAATATGTCACAGATATTGGGACAGTCAACTTATAGACCATATCATAATGACATTCTCTTACCTCCTGCAAAAACTTTTCACTCATTTGACTGAAAGGATGTCCCGGGGGCTTGATTCCAGACACCATCAATCCGGAACTGAAGACCCTTGGCTTCTGCAGGTCTGGCTTGAATTTCTCATAGAGGTTGGCAGATGGCTTCAGGTCACCACCTGCTGCCTTCTCTTCGTGGGGAAGAGGCATGGTACATGTGGGCGGGGCATATGGAAGCCCCACTGGAACCAGCGAGGCGTCCACCTGGCCCAGGGCCTGGGGATTCCTCCTGATGTAGGTGATGATCTTGGGCCTCACATGCTTGGGCTTGGGCATAATGATGGGCTTAGTTTCTGTCCTCTCCTCTGTTTTTTCAACCTGATAGTTCTCCATTCCCTCCTGCGAGGAAGGTGTGTCCTTGGAATGTGTGAAGACAGGCTTGGGGATCCCACTGGGGCAAGTGTTCTTGTCAGGCACTTTGGGGGACGTGTTCAACAAGCGTGCACTATCAGTAGGGGGTGGAACTACCAAGGGGGACCCCGCATCCATACCGAACACGCTAACATCCTGAAAACTGCTACTGGGTGTTGTAGGCTGGTAGGTCATGTTCACAGTTGTCTCTGGGTGGAGGGGTGCTGGAATATTGAGAACTGAATCTGCTCTTGCTGAGGTGCTTTCAATCTTATCTGCATTCTCTAGAAGGTTCCTGTTTTCAGCAACAGATGTGGTGACCTCTTTGCTTTCCCGTGCTTCTGAGCGGCCACTTTGAGGGTCCAGGGGCTCAGGCACCTCCGTCTTGTTCTCTCCAACAGAAGGATTGAACACCAAAACCATAACACTGTCCTTATTCCCACTGCCCAACCGCCTTTCCTCCTCAATGACATCCAAGGGCTTGCTGTCAGTCAGATTATTAGGAATAAAAGCCACATGACTGTCACCTGGTGAAAAGCTGCTGGATGTCCTTTCACCCAACTTCTCACCTGCACATGGTGAAATTTTGCCAGTGGGCTGATTATCAGCCCCTCCTAAGGAAGCAGAGCCCTGTTTGGGGGTGGTGTGGAGAGAATCCTGCTCCCCTGGGTTGACTCCTCTCTTCTCTTCACAGTTGCCTCTTCCCACCCCAAGGTGGTGGAGGTCACTGTTCAGCAGATGGCCAAGTGCATCGGTGGCTTCCGGGTGTGCTTCCCCACATGGATCCCTTCCCTCCAAGGCTGACAGATTCTCTTCCTTGTGGCATCCCAGATACCCTTCCTGGGCTGCCTTTCCCTCCTGTTCAACTCTCCTGGGAGGAACATATTTCAGATCCAGCTTGGCCTCTCCCTTTCCCTGACCTAATTGTGCTTCCAGTTTACTTGGGATTTCCTTCGATGCCAAAGTCAAATTCAGAGCAGGCTCTGGATGGGCGGAATGTGATGTGTGCTCACTGCACACCTGCAGTACATGTGCCCCCACTGTTTGGGTCTCTGAGGGAGTGCTCTGCTTGCTTTCTGAGGTAGATGGTTTAGGATGACGCACACTCTTTCCCTCTGAGGTACTGTCAGTTGCAGGGAAAGCTGCCGGGACAGCGTGGTCTGGCAATGTCTTCTGTGGCCCCTCCCCACCCCCAGGTATCTGACCCCGTGCTTCCCGGGAGTCGAGGGATAGAGGCTGTGGATGCTGCGGAGTCAGGCTCCCGACTGCAGCTACAGAGCTGCTTGCTCTTTCCAAAGAATGCCTCCTCAGTTCCTCATTGTCAAGGGTCTTTGCCAGTTTATCCTTGGGAACATGCCGGGGAATTTCAGCATCCCTTTTAGCCAAAACGTCTAGACTGGCCTCACTCATCACATTCCTCCAACTCGACAGACTTGGTCCCTGAATACTCCGCGTGGTCTGCAGGCTATCTGTGCCTCTCTCCACTGTGTGCTCTTCATTGAGTTCCCTCTGAATGGTTGAAGAAAGTCTAAAATCTTTCAGGCTGGCAGAGCCAGCCTGAGAGCCTTTCCCAAAGCCCTGAAGTTGGTGAAATTCCTTATGGAAATGGGTACGGTTTTCTGGCTCACTTGAATTTGTATTTCCAATTTCATCTCCCAGGTCACATGTCTTGGACTCGTCATGAGAGGAGCTGACCTCCAACATGATTTGATTGGCATTCGTATCTCCCAGACTTAAGATGCTTTCATTATTATTTCTTGCTGCATTTCTGTTGTCCCGCAACTGAGTGTAACATGATTTCTTAGGAGCCACTGGGACGCTCATTGTCAACCCTTTGGTGGGGCTGCTTGCCATGCAGTCCTACTTAATGGAAATGGGCTGCCTTCAAGCTGCAATCAGATTAAGAGGAAATTCTCAAGCTGCTTGTTCTCCCCTGACAATGTCACCTTGCGACACTGCTTTAATCATTCTCAGAACAGCTTGAAAACCAAGCATTGTCTTGATATACAGCAGGAAGACTTATCTGTTAGGTTCCTGCTGAATGAGAGCCAATCAGTCCATGAGACCTAGAGAGAAATAAAAATATATTCACATTAGATTGACAAATAGAACTTCTCAGGAGAAAAAAGTGGTAAACACAGATTTATTTGTCATTTCTATATTATTATTTCATTCAATCAATAGTTTTCTCAAAAAACCTTTCTGATCAGGGCTCCTCCTGGCCAAATACAAAAATTAAACATCAAAATGTTTAATGTTAGAAATGGATTATAAATGCATGTGAGATCTTAAATCTAAATTTTAAACATCCACAAGTCTATACTGATACTGATTTAAAAGGATGGAGGAGAAGTAAGGGCTCTTCTTTACAGAAGAATATCAACGAATGTAGAAAAAAATTATAGAATTTGAAAAATCACTATTTTGCAATCGCTACATTCATAATTATCTTACACAAGGGATGCCAAAGGTACAAACATTGGGTAAAAGATTGTTGGGGAACAAGATATTCATAGATGCTTAAAGTATCTTCCCCCAGGCTACTTCATTTCTTACAAAACGAAAATTTTATCTTTACAATGGAGAGATCTGGTAGACACCACATTAACCACGTGATCAAATTTAACATCACTAGTAATGAAACTGACATTACGGACTCCTGATATTAGTTAGTTCTCAGGGCCACACATCACCTATGCAGTAGTTAATGTTCAACCAGAATTTAACCATGAGACAATAATCTGGCAAATTTAAATTGAGGTATGTATTGCAAAATAACTGGCCTAACTGGTCCCAAAAAATGTCAGCGGAGCCTGGATTTTCAAAACATGTTAGCAAAGGATATTATTAGGACAATTAGAGATTTAAATATGGACTGTATATAAGGTACAGGTATTTTATAATTAATTTTCTTGGGTGTGTAATCGTGCTATAATTATGCCAGAGATTAATTTGGTTCTTGAAATATACATGCTTTAGAATTCAGAGGTAGTATGTCATGATTTTTCTAACTTATTCTCAAATGATTCGACCAAGAAAAACGTGTATGTATGTGTGTGTGCATATGAGAAGGAGAAAGAGTAAAAGAGAGAAACTGGCAAAAGTCAACCATTTGAAAATCTAGGTAATAATTCTATTACATCTGCAACTTTTCTATAGGTTTGAAATTTTCCAAAATAAAAACTTGGGGGAAATGCTTTACTCTGGCCTTCGAGGCCTGCATGATCAGGCCCTGAACACCTTTCTGGCCTCAACCCCACCTCACCCTCTGCTCTGCAGGCTGCAGCCACATTGGCCTCATTCCTCACAGTACCATGTTCATTACTCTCTGCCTCAGGGCCTTTGCGCATACTCTTCCATCTGCATGGAATGTGGAATCCTCCCCCAACCTCATCTTACAAGTCCTTTGCATCCTTCAATATGCAACATAACTACCACTTCCTCCAGGAAGCGTTCCTCACTAGGTCATCCTATAATGATGGATTTGTAGTATCCTGTATTTTCACTTTGAAGAATTAAAAAAAGACTTTCAGATTTGCTAGACACTGAAAATAAATATTGTCTAATACCTGGCATACATATTAGGCACGTATTATGTATTTGCAGCACAAATGAATGAATAAATGTCCAAATGAATGATGAGGAAGATCAGCGTTATTTCTGCCCCCAAAGAGTTTAAAATCTACACAGGATATGCTTTTCTGTTAAAGTAGACTCACAGATCACCACTAAACCATTCTATTCAAGGTTGACATTGTTTCATCCACTATTATGAGTGCATTTTATTAGGCACTGGGGATAGGGGATTTTAACAGCAACAAGGTTCTGCCCCGTCACCAATTCCCCCAATGGAGACTTGAAGCCTTCCACACTTTCCTCCTCATTCATCAAGAATGTGCAAGCACACGTGCACACCACATGTGAGGCTACTGTTATGTTTCTCCTGAAACAGGTTACATGGCAACGTGGCCACCCACTTGTTTTCCCTTTATCCCTGTTAATATGTTGTTTCATATATTAAAAAGAATATGAGGGCTGGACACAGTAGCTCACACCTGTAATCCCAACGCTTTGGGAGCCTGAGGTGGGAGGATCACTTGAGGTCAGCCTTGGCAACACAGCAAAACCCTATCTCTATTTAATAAAATGTATATGTTACAAAGCAAAATAATATAACACGTGACAGCCCATCACCCAACCCAAGGACACCTTGCAGCCATCCTCATGCTCCTCCTCACTGAAGCCCTCTGTGTTTCCAACTTAGAGATCTCTTTTCTTTTGCGTCTATACATAAGCATGTAAACTTTTTTACATACATAAGATCATTTCCTATAAGCTGGTTTTTGTTCCATTTTTTAAAATTTGCCTCTTCTAGCCCATACCCCAAGACACATTAACATCTAGATCTTTCCATTTCTTTCCCCATGTTTGCATGATCATGGGAAAATACAGAGTCATACATGTGCATGTGCGCTTGCATTTCCGTACCACACTGCTCTTCTGTTCTTTCCACGACTCCCTCACTGTCCTCATCCTCCCCGCTCTCATGCTTTTTCTCCTTCTCCATCTTCTACCAGCCTTATCTCCACTAAGCCAGTAGCACCCCCTGGTGCAGCCTGACCCCAATATAGCCCTCAACCAAGTTGCTCATACCCTGATCACAGTCTTCATTTCCTGACACAGAGGGGATTCTCAACAAACCCTTGTGTCTTTGTTTATTCAATTTTAAAAGCGTTTCCCTTGAAGATACACATGTTCTCTAAGCACAAATACAAAAAGCATGTAGGCAAATCAATAAGATCACAGTTTAAAAGAATGCTGTGCTCTCTGGGATGAGAAACGGGTATCTTGCAAAGTCAAGAAGGGCAAGAAAGTTCATAAATATAGGCCATCCACAGAAGGGAACTGCCTCTAATTTTCTGTGGGCAGAAGTATAAATATGCAGCCAAGAGCCCTCTTCGGTTTGAATTGTTGAAGCTGGGAGAAAGAAAGAAACTTTGCTCAGCAGAGACAAACAAAAACAAAGTACCAAAGTCCACAACATGTAACATGATTGCAAGAAAGTGACAAAGAAATATAAAACCAATGTCATGCTAGAAAGAGTTGTATTTTAATTTTTAAGGAACTACATCATAAATGTTCTTTATCTTTGTCAGTAAACAACTGGTACTCACTGGTAAGGGGACAGAAAGAAAGGTGGAACCTCCTAGGGGCCCAGTATTTTCTCAGCCATTATACAAATTTGTTTAAAAAATTGAGACAGTATCTCATTCTGTTGCCGAGGCTGGAGTGCAGTAGCACGTTCATAGCTCACCACAACCATGAGCTCCTGGGCTCAAGAGATCCTCCTGGGTCAGCCTCCCAAGCAGCTGGCACTCCAGGTGCACACCACCACATCTGGCTAATTTTTTAATTTTTTGTAGAGATAGGGTCTCGATACATTGACCAGACTAGTCTCAAACTCCTGGCCTCAAGTGATCCTCCTATCTTGGCCTCCCAAAGTGCCAGTATTACAGGCATGAGTCACAGCACCTGGCCTAAAATTTAATTTTAAATTAAAATTACACAATTACAAGTCTTTAATATTCAATTTTAATTTAAGTTAGGACACTTAATAATATTTATAGCAGGCCTCCAGAGACAGGTCTTCACATCCCCTTGCTTTTTTTTTTTTCCCACGTCCTGGTAAGGAAATGAAAGCACAGAGAAGGTAACATTCCCAAGGTCACACAGCTCATGAGTGGCAGAGCTGGGACACATTTAGAAAGCAGAAGCTGTAAAGAAGAAAAGCTGCCCATGAATGGAATCATACACCACACAGGAAGAACAAAAGGAAAACAAACTATTGTAAGAACAAGAATAGAAAAACAAAACCAGAAACCAACACGTGGAAGTTCACATAAGACAGGAAAAGCAAATTTAAAAACTTTCTTCAATTTTATCAGGCAAAATTATATACAGGAAGTCATGTTTCCTGTCAGCTTCCCTCCTCCTTATGTGGCCTCACGCGTCTCCCTCACTCCAGCTCCCTCATCCTGCCATAAGACAGCGGCAAAGTAAACACAAACACGAATTTCTGTCCGGATCTAAATTTCAATCCAAGGCCTTCTACTAAGATAAACGTTTTCACAGAATATATAACATGATCACAGAAGTTCAAACTTGTACATAATACAAGACTGTGTGTGATTAAATAAAATATGCAAATAGGTCAACCAATGGTACAAACCCCTAGTTGAGGTGCATTTTCCCAGAGTGAGACATGTAACTTTCATATGCCTCAGATCTATTATTACAAAAAGTTAACAATAATGGCCTTAGAAGTAATTGATATTTTATCTTGAAAAAAATCAATTAGTTCAGTACTAGTTTGAAAGGAATGTAAAGATCTAGGCTTATAACCTACCTGATGCTTAAGAGTCTTCTAAGTGGCTTCCCCTGGTTCTAGGGCCAGAAAACTCACCACACATCTGGGCAGGGTCTCTGTTGGCAAGCTCTGCCTCTCTACAGCAGAATGATGCAATTCTTCCACCAGATGACCTTTCAGGTATTTACAAAGAGCTATATGCTCCCTTCCTCCCAAAACCTATTCTACTCCTTGTCAAAGAACTCAGATTCTCCCAACTGTGGGATTAGCTTTTGAAAACTCCCACCATCCAAACAGCTTTCCTCTAAGTACACCGTGTAGCACCAGGGAACCTGAAGTCCCTCCTAAACAAGGTGACCAGAGCTATGCACAATACTTCAATTCTAACTGCACCATCTAGAGTCATAAGAAAGCAAGCCTTCCATTCTCTTCTACTTCTAACCACGCATTCTAAGAATGACCTCCTCATGGACATATAAATCACCCTCTAGTTCCACATCATTAATTAAAACACCAAAGTACCATATAAGTTGTCCTAAACTCCACTGACCCAATCCGAGACATTTGTAACTGGTTTTAGCACCCATGGGTGGGATCATAAAAATATACTTCTCAAACATCACCTTGCTGGTCTCAATGCATCGTTCTATCCTTTTAAAACTTGTGGAGCCCATCCTTAATTTTTCATCGAAAATATCTGCAATCCATTCTTGTTCCCATACTATCGTGGAAAAGCTAAGAGTTCCTTCTACATTATCATTCATTGATAATCCACTGATAAATCACTCACTGGTGTCATTCATCGACACCAATGTTAGCAGAACACAGCAGGGGACAAAACAGCAGCCCCCGGTGCCAAAAGGATGTGATCCCGCAATGCTTCCACAATGCTCATCTGATCAGCACTCCTCAGGCACCCCTCTTCCCACCAGTCCCTGCAGCCACTGTGTGTGCCTCCATCTTGTCCACGAGAGCATCATAAGAAACTCTGTCAATCATGACGCTGAAATGTTAGTAATTGTAACGTTGCCTCTCATGAAAAAATAAAGAAAATGAAAGTGAAGAAAGACAAGAAAATGAGGCTGAAGTACCATGACCGGTCCTACACAGTAACCTACAGTTGTGTAAGGGCCATTGTTTATTTTTCATAGTACTCATAACTCACCAATTATCAATGCTTTAAAAAACCTAAGGCTCAGCATCAGGGTTGCTAGCATGAAGCCAGAGTATCACATGCTCTCCTTGCTCAAAACAAAATTGTATCTGCCCATCTTTCATAATCAGGCACATCTTCAGCTCTCCTGAGCTCACAATCTCTGATAATGGTTTGTGAATACACATACATTTCTTTTTCTTTTTTTTTTTTTGCAGGGGGCGGGGGCGGGGGGAGGGGCTGGAGACCGAATCTCACTCTGTCACCCAGGCTGGAGTGCAGTGGTGTGAGCTCAGCTCACTGTAACCTCCGCTTCCTGGGCTCAAGCAGTTATCCTGCCTCAACCTCCTGAGTAGCTGGGATTACAGGCGCACGCCACCACGCCCAGCTAATTTTTGTATTTTAGTAGAGACGGGGTTTCACCATGATGGCCAGGCTGACCACAGGTGATCCATCCACCTTGGCCTCCCAAAGTGCTGGGATTACAGGCATGAGCCACTGGGCCCGGCCAAATGCACATACATTTCTAAATCATGAAGTGAAATGATAGCATCTACACACTCATATAGAATTTCTTCATCCATTTTAGGCTTTGATTTCCAGTGACCCATGTTTTTTTGGTGCAATACAGCATGAAAGGCATTCCTGAATGAAGGGAAACTCACTGGATCCACCACGGTGCCATCCAAGAATATCACCCTGAGTGGCCCAGCCCAATGACAGGCTAAAGTGACACCTCTCGGCTTGACATTCAAGGTCCAATGAGCACTGGGCCTACATGTTTCCAGATTTAATCCCCTTTACTCTTCTACTTAAAGTACATTTGCCCTGTAAAATCATCCTCCTACCCAAGAGCTGCAGACTCTAAGCATCAAAGTCCAGCTCAAAGCCCACCTACTTCATGAAACCTTTCGTAAATTCTCTCCTCTCCTCCCTTCCCCCACCAAACAGGTAGAGGTGGAACTAGGTATTTTCTCTCTGTGTCCTGAATCCACAGATCTTTCCTTTTGGAACTGTCATATCATGCTTTTTAATCATAGCCACGTACATCTAAAATAGTTAAGTGTGTCTTTTTATTACAGTTATATGTGACTCATTATTATCGTTACATGTGTCTTATTCCCTTTATGAAATTATGAGCTCGCTAGGCTGAAGGTTAATGCCACAGGCACTTCTGTTTGCTATGTAATTTCTGGGACAGCACTTTGCACATAGTAGGCACTCCAGATGAGGTAATCTCATCCTAACCTCAGCTCAAAAAGGTGAAATGTTCACTACAATGTGAGTTTTTTTTTTTTTCAATCTTTCAAGATGAAAATTGTAAAGCCACCCTTCCCAACTGAGCAACTGGTTAGACGTCCTCCCAAGAGGGCCATATCAGAATATCCAAGTAAGAGTAGATAGAAAAGTATATTCTGATCATCAGTTTGATTTGTATTTGTCATAATACTTTACTTTGAAAATAAACTGAAGAAAATTTGGGGGATGTTTAAGTTATTAAAAGGAGGCATGGGTTTCGAAAGATTGAGAAGTACGGTTGTACAGCTCTCCTTAGCTGCCAGGTCTGCTGTGTAATGCTTTATCAGTTGTGAATTTTCATATGTACATTCAACCACCATGCCTCTGAATGTAAATGCAAGTTCATCTGACTTCATAAAACTTATTTGCCAAAGGAGCTCCAACTACACCTCCTGCCATGCAATAAGTTACCCTGTAGAACTTTAGGATACAGAAAAATGAACAGAATATGAACCCAAAATTCAAGGGTAAATATAACAATGCAAAAAAATCCAAAATCCTAGCTTTCAAAGTTTAGTTGGCATCTCTACTGGGTACGTGTTTGGTGCCTATAGTGTTTTGCCACATTTAATAGGATAATTGTATATGTAGTTACATATTTATGTACAAGTCAATGTATTCATCTGAAAGTCTCCTGGTAATAATACCTCCATGTTTTCTGCAGTTATAATTACTTAGGAACATTCAGGTTCTTGGTCTTATTTCATAATGTTGGGTATGTTTATTCTCATCAGGCACAATTATAATCTAACACTTGATGCTCTGCACACTAAATGAAACTTACAAGTACAGTGTCCTTACAATATGGTTAAAAACTGAATTATTCTTTGGGAGATGCTAAAATACATATTCAGGGACTCTGCAGCTATGTATGGTGTCACATAACACAAAATATAATAGCTCTCTGGAGCCTGCTTTGTTCTCTTTATCTTATGTACATAACATGGGTAGCATATCGCATTTTATTCTAATATATAAACAGGACTGTGTTCAGAATATCTTTTTTATTGAGGTAGCAGAGGCTATTTTATTTTTATTTTACATAAAATGAGTAGAAAGTAGTAAAGAAGAGTAGGGTAGAAAGAGTAAAGAAGAATATATACATGAGTAGAAAGAATAAAGAAGAATATATACATAAATGATATATGCTGCTATTTCCCCTCTACAGAGGACCAGGAAAGGGGGTAATGGTTTTTCTTAGTTTAGACCAAGGTGATATTTAAACAAAATATTATGTTCATTGATATTTAAAATCTCCCCCAATAAAAATGCTGCATATTTCTCCAAAAGAAGTTTCATTCACATTTGCCAACAAAAAGCATTTCAAGCATACCCTTAAAAAAAAAAAAAAGTCCTTTCCAGGGGAGAATTCCACCCAGAAAATAAAGAGCATTCATTCCTTGCCTATTGTGCTTAATGTTTATTTTGTTTTGTTTTTGTCTTGGATGATATTTTTCCAAAGTGGAACTACTTACATTGCCAATTATAAAAGAAATGAATTGGCCAGGCATGGTGGCTCATACCTGTAATCCCTGCATCTTGGGAGGCTGAGGTGGGTGGATCATGAGGTCAGGAATTTGAGACCAGCCTGACAAGCATGGTGAAACCCCGTCTCTACTAAAAATACAAAAATTAGCTGGGTGTGGTGGCGCAAACCTGTAATCCCAGCTACTCAGGAGGCTGAGGTAGGAGAATTGCTTGAACCCAGGAGGCGGAGGTTGCACTGGGCCGAGATGGCACCATTGCACTCCAGCCTGGGAGACAGAGCGAGACTTCATCTAAAAAAAAAGAAGAAGAACGAATCTTCATTAGCTATAAAAAAAAGAAAAAGTAAAAATATAGTATTTTTGTTTTTTTGTTTTTATACACATGGAATGAGTTCTATAACCCCAATTTTTCACTTTGCATGTCATGTTCTTCCTCCCATATAAATACATGTAATATAATAAATACTTCATCATGTTTAATAATCAATTACACTATAATCTATTCACCAGTTCCCCTTATTGTTAGAGTTTAGGTTGTCTTCAGTTTTTGTCTTGTTAAATAACTTTTCACAGAAAATCAGTGAATGCACAACTTTATGACACCTTTTACTTCCTTCAGATAAATTCCTAAAGGCAAAATCCCTGTGTTAACGGGTATGCACATTTGCATCTTTATACAGAACTCTTAAGCTCCAGCATGGGTTTTTGTTTCATTTGCAAGTACTTTTCCAGTGCCTAGCAGCGCCTGGCACAGAATGAGTACTCTGTAATTATTTGTTGAATAAATACCTACTACCCTCAAGAGAAAAACATGCCACTCTTCATTCTATCCCTCCATTTCCCCACTTCCCGCTCCATCCCTTTTCTTGAAAAACTCTTCCTAATTAGAATGATCAGAGCACCTAATTAGAATGACCATCATTCAAATTGGAACACTTTTTTCTTGCTCAGGATGTTATTCTGCTTTTTACTAAAGTATAATTTACACACAGTTATCACCATTTTTACTGTACAGTTTTGCGAGTTTTGGCACACAGTCTTGCAACTCCCACCACCTCAATTATAGTTCTATCATCTCCAAACAGTCCTCCAACCCACGGCAACCAATGATCTGATTTCTGTTCCTCCAACATTGCTTTTCCAGAATGTCGCTTAAATGTAACCATACAGCAAGTGGGTGGCCTCTAGGTCTAGCTTCTTTCCCCTAGCACAGTGCACCTGGGAGTCATCCCGGGCACTGTGTCCATCAGTGGTTTGTTCCTTTCTATGGAGGAAGAAGAGTCCATGCAGAATGCATCTCCCATGGAAGCCACACATCTCCTACCATGCTCCCGGACTTTGCTCTTGCTTCTCTAACGAGCCATTCTCCCTGTACGTGGCAGCGAGGGGAACATCTTGACAGGTTAATCAGATCAGGTTATGTTTTGGCTACAAAATCCCCACTGGCAGCCTTAACCTGGCCTGCATGGCACTGTGAAACTTCCCTCACTCTCAGCTCTAGCCACCTTTGCCTTGCTGTCGACACAGCTCTGCATGTGCCATGCCTGACTCCCCCCACTCTAACATTTTAGCCCTTCTGAGGAGGGGCTTTCCTGGATGGTCCTCCTCTACCCTCAGTCAAAGCCCCTTGTCATTTCTTTCCCAGCCTTTAACAGCTATTTTATGTGTTTGTTTATTGGTTCATTGTCTTCCTCTCCCAATAGAATAAAGGTAAGGATGGTAAGTCCTGCTCACCACAGATCCCAGTGACCAGGCTAGTACTCCATGCACTGCAGGCACTCAATAAATATCCGTTGAATGAATTAGTATGGTGTCATCATTAAGCTTTCCTAATTTATTTAGCTTTCTGGGTCATGTCTTGCTAAGAGTATATTAATCACTGAATGTTAGAAGTGAGAAGAAACAGATATTATTAGTTCAGCCCTCTTGTTTTATAAATGAGGAAACCACAGTCTTGAGCAACTGTGTGAATTACTCAAAGTCCCACAGGTAGGCCCTGTCACAGCAGGGTGGGGCCTGGCTCCTCAGCCCCAGTCTGCTGCTTATTCCCCTTCACAGACTGCAGCCTGTGTGGAACAAGGCCTCCTGGGTTAGGGAGGCGAGAAAAGCAACACAACGGCTCTGAGATGGACCTGATTTACTGAGCATCGAATGGCTTAAAACACACAGTGTAAGGAGCAATAGGAAATGAAAGACAAAGAGAAGGGTCCTAATCCTTGGAGAAATTGCTATCTCCTGAGGGAAAATGATATGACGTACATATAGTTAATCACTAATAAAAGCTAGACAGGATATAATAAAATATGCCATTGAATAGAAATATGAAGTACCATGTAATGGTAAGAAAAAGACAGAAATTCCAATTGAAGGGGTGGGGAAATGAGATCTTTGCGTCTTCCTGCAATGTAGGTATGCGTGTGCCTGTGCACGTATGTGTGTGTGTGTGGATAGTTTAACAAAGTATCAGGCTGGCCTGCGGCCACTCACACACATGGAAGGTCTGTATCATTCAAGGTCTGAGTACAGGATTTGTAAGTGATGCCAGAGTTACATGTCCCCTTTAACCCTAGCTACCCATTTCCTTTTTAGTTCCTTGTTATTGCCCGGTGGTGAAGTCTTAAAGAAAAGAAGCCACTGGGAAACTCAAATCTGTCAAACACTGTTTGCTCTAAAAAAATGATTTCATAAGGAAAGAGGGTAAAATAATACCTAAAATAAAGCATGGGATTGATCTATGGACTTTAATTATCTGCAACCCTATCTGCTTACCAGAAAAACTGAGCGTTATCTGTTCTGGTGAAGGAAGGCAATTTTTTTAAATTTAGTTTAAAACACTGGCAGCTTCAAATGGCAACAAGAACACTGGCTTTGACCACCAAGAGTCGGTGACAAATTCTCTGCCATTGCTTCATGAGACAGGTTTGAAAAGCCAACATACTGAAGATTAACATGCCATCTACAAAATAACAGATAAGATCCAAACTGCTCCAATACCAATGTTATGTGCTTGTGTTCATTAACAGAAGACTGAAAAAAGGAGACACGGACTCCAAACGAAGAGAAAAGGAAACACCCCGAATCACAGAAAAGACAATGTATTTTTCCTATAGGCATTTCAACTGGCACCTCAAGAGCTGAATCACACAAGGTTTTTGTTGTCTTGTCACAGGAGTAGGCAACAGTGCTTTTAAAAATGGAATTCAAGTGTATGTTTGCAGGGCACACACTTTTCCCTTCTGCAGTGGCTACTTGGCCTAGTAACTCACACCTGGTTGCTTCATAGCCTCTGCTACCTGCCTGGCACCTGAACGCAACTGAGGTTGGACCCACTCTTTTTTTTATTGAGATGTAGTCTCGCTCTGTCACCCAGGCTGGAATGCAGTGGTGCGATCTCGGCTCACTGCAACCTCTGCCTCCCGGGTTCACGCCATTCTCCTGCCTCAGCCTCCCGAGTAGCTGGGACTACAGGCGCCCACCACCATGCCCGGCTAATTTTTTGTATTTTTAGTGGAGATGGGGGTTGCACCGTGTTAGCCAGGATGGTCTCAATCTCCTGACCTCGTGATCCGCCCGCCTCGGCCTCCCAAAGTGCTGGGATTACAGGTGTGGGCCACCCCGCCCGGGCTGGACCCACTCTTTTAGCATATCTCTTTCTAAGTAGTCACCTATTAATATAGCACTGTAATATTTCACTAATTTATTCCCTTCCTAATTTCTAACCACAAACGCCTTATATGAATATTCCCAACAAACCCTCTCCACTTCTTCCTTCCTACCACAAATCCGATGGCCTTATTCTCCTCTGCAATGTGGACACGCTGGACTGAGTAGCTGCCGGAGAATCCCAAAATCCACCTGAGTAGGTGGGGAGAAAAGCTAATTCCAGGGAGGGCAGCTGATTCCCGGGAGTGGGCGTGAGTCGGGTTGGTGCAAACTGAAAGGGCAGCACGGACAGTTACTCAAGCTCCTCTGCTAGGCCACTCTCCACCAAGCTTCGCCACATGGGTTTACTTCAGAGCAGGAGGCACGCTTGAGCTGCACGTCCTTGACTCTCTTCCATACGCCTTAGACTCACGGAATGGATGGAGGTGGCACAGGACCCTCCCTTATCTACAGGACTGCAGGCTATAAACCTCAGGGGTTGTTTGCTATCTGAAAGGAAGAAATACATCATTCTAACATCATCAGGAGTGAAGTGAGGTTCACTTACAGCTCAAAAGCCTGCACCAGGTCACTTTACACAGGGCTCCTTCAAATTCCTTTTTATCCTGAAGGTGAATTTCTTTTATCTTTCATCAGAAGCTCATATCCTTTCTTCTGTCAAATGAACTAGATCCCTAGAAGGATGAAGCTGAATATGTGACACCATGATGCAACCAGAAAGCAATTAAATAAACTGCACAGGTGAGTGCAAAACCCTCCAACTAAATGGAAAGGTATACACTTTCATGTTCCAGGGCCCGTCTGGAAAGACTCTGTATTTTCATTAGTTAGACTTTGTAATGAAGAAAGCATTTTGGATCAGCAGGCTTGGAATATATTAAAGGAAGAGATAAGGAAATGAAAATAAATTAAAAAGGAAAAACCATATTATTCAGTTAGGAACCAACTCAGCCCAGAAACATGAAGGAAAAATAAATGATATATGCTGGGGAGAATGACTGGTTTTTCTGTTCAACTGAGATAAATGAGTAAGATTGCTTTGGATAACTTGTAGTAATCCTCCAATATTTCACCAAAGATTGAAGAAAAATAGTAAAAGATATTTATATTCCCAACAAAATTTAAGAGTATTTTTTAAAAGAGTAGCATGTTGATGTGCGTTTGAATAGCACCCAATCTATAATGCAAGGGGGGAAAACTGTCTTGCTAGCATTTTCAGGATGGCGTTTAGGCTTCACACATCTTCATTATCAGAATAGACAATTTCTCAAAGCAACAAAAATCAAACATTCTCAAAAGCACAAACCTGAGTAAGTATGAATTTTCATGGGCATGTTTTAAATATATAAAAATCGCTTTAGAAATTCACTGTTAAATACCCAAACACATCCATTTTAATCAAAGACGCTCAAAGAAATTCCATAGGTCTCATGCTTCTTATTTTTTAAATAAAATAGTTAAAAAGCTTATTGGTCAATTCGGTTTAGTGATTCAGTCACATCCTCTTACATGTACAACATGTATGCATAAGTGTTTGGCATGGGAAGGGGAGCAATGATGCTAACGCGTCCTCTCTGGCAGGTGGTCCTGACAGCTTCCAGGGAGGCTCCTGACTCCAGGGGCACCTCTCCCAGGGGCAGCTCTCCAGGACTGCAGCAGCAGCCCACATAGTCCTCCACCATCTGACTGCTGGGACTAGCATAGCTATACACTGACTCCCCTTCTCCTGACCAGATAAATCTGTTTCAAGTCTACTGTTAGGTGGTCTTTCTAACTAAAGTGTGAGGACAGTTCTGATGGGGTAGGAGAAACCAGGACTTCTGATCAACACAGTTTTCAGCTCTCAATGGGAGCACTCACTGATGTCGACAGGGATTGTGATAGAGCAAGTAAATAGGAAGAAAACCTCCCCACAGCAGGGGGACAGAACTTCCCAAGCAGACGGACAGGCTGAGAGTGTGGTCCGCATGTGGCGGCCTTCTCAACCCCAAAGGAAAGAAGGAAAGGGGTCCTAGCCTAGAAAAGGCCAGAGCCCTGTAGGCCAAGGACGTGTTAGGAAAGTGGCAAGGAAAGGGAGACCCTTGAGATGGTAAGTCCTCTGATTAATGTGAAAAGAATAAAGTAATGCTGGACAAATTATCCCAAGACTCCATTCCCCACCAAAAGCCAGATTTTGGTTCCAAGGAGGCTGGAGGAAAAGAGAGAAGAAAAAGAAGAGCAAAACTCAAGAGGTATTAAAGTAGAAAAAGATAATGTATTTAGGAAAGAGGAAGCATTCTGCGTGTGACTGTAAGTGTGCATGTGTGTGTCAGTAAGCATTTTATAGCTTTTTTTTTTTTTTTTGAGACGGAGTCTTGCTCTGTCGCCCAGGCTGGAGTGCAGTGGTGCGATCTCACCTCACTGCAACTTCCACCTCCTGGGTTCCAGCGATTCTCCTGCCTCAGCCTCCTGAGTAGCTGGGACTACAGGCACGTGCCACCATGCCCAGCTAATTTTTGTATTTTTTAGTAGAGAGGGGGTTTCACCATATTGGCCAGGCTGGTCTCGAACTCCTGACTTTGTGATCTGTCCGCCTCAGCCTCCCAAAGTGCTGGGATTACAGGAGTGAGCCACCGTGCCTGGCCTTTATAGCTTTTTATCCTCCACACTCTCAACACCTATTAGAGCAAAGGCATACAACACATAATATGTGGCCCTAGATTTCAATCAGCTTTTTAATGCCTGATTCTTAAATATGAATGAGTAGCAAAAAATGACCAAATATGTAAGAAAGACTTGAAATGAAAAAAGGCACTAAAAAAATAAAGAAAACATAAGAAAACCTTTTAAAAAGATTTTCATTCACAACAATATATTCATTCATTTTGGTTTATAGTTCTGTAAGTTTTGACATATACACAGAGAAACCATGAACACAGTTAAGATACAGAACAGTTGATAACCCCAAAAACTTCTCTCATGTTACCGCTTTGTAATCAGCTATTCTCCCCGAGCCACTAGCAAATATGACCTATTCTCCATCCTTATAGTTTTGTCTTTTCCAGAATGTCATATCAATATAACCAAACAACAAGCAGCCTTTCAAGTCTGGCTTCTTTCATTTTTAATATGGATAAACCTAGATTATATTATACTATATTATTAATATTTTTGATATATCATTAATAAAAGTAGTTGGATATATTTATTATAGTTAATAGTGTACAATACATATTGCATTCAAGGTTCATCCATATTGTCACATGTACCAATAGTTTGTTCCTCTTTATTGCTGAGTAGTATTCCATTATATGGCTGTGCCATAGATTGTGTATTCCCCACTTGAAAGACAGGAGAAAATATTTTTAAATTCCAAGTAATTTTTTCAGAGAGATAAGAGTGTCCATAAAACAAGTATAGGGTGCTATAGAAAGAGACAGGGAATAAATAGGTTCTTATAGAAATAAAAAATATGACAATTAAAATGTAAAAATCAAAGAAGGCATTAAAGTCAAGGAAATCTCTCAGAAATTAGAACTCCCCACCAAAAAAAAGAAACTAAGAGAGAAAAGATAAAATAATTAGATGATCAACCTAGGAGCTCTAAATTCTAACAGATACACAGAAAAAAAAAGAAGAAGAAGAATGGAGAAAACAAAAGGAGAAAATTACCAGGGAAACAAAAGAAGAAAATTCTCAACACTGAAAAACACAAGTCTCCCAATTAAAAGGGCCCACCAAAAGTCTAGAAAAAAAATTACAATATGCAAAGCACAGCATCAAGTAATTCCAGTGTCCTAGGAACAAATGGAAAGCCCTAAATCCTCAAAAGACTTAAAATAAATCACATATAAAAGGAATCACACTGGCAACGGATTTCTGAACAGTAAAAGCGAGTATTTGGTAACACCACAAGAAAAAACGATTTCCACCTAGAACTCTATATCTTGCTAAACTATCAAATCAAGGGTGAATACAGAATAAATACATTTTCAAACATGCAAAAATTCAAACATATGTATATTCCCCAAACCTCTAAAGAATATGCTTCTGCAAAATGACTATGTAAATGAAGAAGACAGGGGAGCCAGGACAGATGAACCAAAAGGAAATGGGTGGTGGCCAGGCCCAGAGATGAACCAGTTCAGATTGGAACAGAAAGACAGAAGGCGGTGGAAAGTAGATCCAGCGAGAAAAATGTGACTGATGGTCCTGAGGTGCTTGGTTGATTGCATTTATTAAGTGTTCCAAGGGGTTTTGGAACTCTTCTCTGAGTGACAGAGAGGATGTTTCTTCCTTGTTTGTCTCTCTAAGATAAAGAAACCTTCCAGAGGAAAGCCCTGCAGGCTTTTCCCCTCAGGGCAGGAGATGGGGCTCTGTTGACTGACTTGGCACAATCAGGAGTTACTGAATCAAGTGGCAAAGGGGCGAACATCACAACAAAATCAGAGTTCAGCCAGCAATGAGAAAGAGGAAATGGCTATTGGGCAGCAATTAGCAATACCAGCCTCATGCGGCATTTACTAACTCCAGTGGGGGGGATGTTTCATGACAAAAGAAACCGATCATCATGGTACACTAATAAGAATATCAACAAATTACAAATAATAATCATATATGGTTGACGCCTGAACAACGTGGGAGTTAGGGGCACCAACCCTGTGCTGTTGAAAATCCACAAATAACTTTTGATTCCCCCAAAACTTAACTATTAATAGCCTGCTGCTGAGCAGAAGCCTTATGGATAACATAAACAGTTGATTACCATATATTTTGTATGTGCGTTATATATTATGTTATTACAATAAAGTAAAGCGAGAGGGAAAGAAAATGTTATTAAGAAAACCCCAAGGAAGAAAAAATATGTTTACTATTCATTAAATGGAAGTGGATCATCACAAAGGTCTTCATCCTTGTCATCTTCACGTTGAGTAGGCTGAGGAGGAGGAGAAAGAGGAGGGGTTGGTCTTGCTGTCTCAGGAGTGGCGGAGGCAGAAGAAAATGCAAACAAATGTAAGTAGACTCACACAGTTAAAGTAAATAGTTACTGCTAATTTACCCAAATTTTGGAAGTCTGAAGAAAGGGATATGTTTAGTAAGAATACGCAGTAAGACATCTGAATTCTCCCCTGCTGTAAAGATAAATATCCAAAATTGATGAAATCAAAAGACAGAGCATCTTCTTAGAATGGTGGACCTGGGTATCAGAAGAATCAGTGAAGTTATTTGATATCTGTTGCCTCTGGGGAGTAGGAGTTGAAATGGGAGGGGTGGGCAGACAGAGGACTGCAATTTCTTATAATAAGCCTTTTATCACTATAATAAAAATTTAAAAATTTAAAACAACTGTTTTCTTATGATACAATTAAAGGAAACTATAGCAAAGTGTGAAGGTTTAGATAATTTTAATGAAGGATTAAAGCTACAAACCCATTAAAAAAATCTACCTTGTGATTTTCCAAGTTTAAATTGAAATTTTAAATTTAAGGAATCTAAGAGGATCACTGTATTGGATGTCTAGGAACACAACAGATTGGACGTTCTTGCTGAAATAACAGGACATCTGAACTTGAAGCTGAATCAGTGGGAGGAAAGACACATATTTCTTGTGTGTTCAGAGACCAGCAGACCCCAGATTCACCAGGGGCTGAGCAGGCAGATGAGACCACATCCCCACCTGTCCCTGAGTTCAATGGATGAAGGATTTCCAAGAAAAGCTGAGCTACTTTAAATTGCAGCATCAGAAGAGAGTCACAGATTTAAAGATTGTCCAGTTGCCTGTGGAATGGCAACTCAGGATGTTTCTGAATTATCCAGCATGTTCTATCAGGTAGTGTGCTCCCTAGAAGACACAGCCCTCCTGTCATAAAGAGATACAAAAACAAACAAACAAATGAACAAACAAAAACCTGCCTATTGTCAGGCCTCTCAGGATGCCTTCAAAATGGCCACCATCCATACAAAGCAGAGGTAAAGGAGGTGCTGGAATGTGGCACCCTCTGCTTTGGATCATGGTTCTGTCATCCTGTGGCTATGTGGTAACTCACTAATCTCATCCTGTGTCCTTATCAGCATTCGAATGGACCTAAAAATAGAGGCTTGTAGCTTTGTTTGGAGGACTAGGAAAAAATGTATATAACACACTTATTCCATAGGGGGGTTACTAAATAAACGGAGTATATATTATGTCACTGCATTAAAAAACTATATGTTCAGATTCATTGCTATGTACCTTGTTGATTGGGCCACAGAAAGGAGTAATGCCCAGAGATGTAAGAAGGAGTTTTGTTGCTGTTTGTTTTTATGTGTTCCTAACAGCATCTGGTGCAGAGTGCTCTGTGCCCACAACTAAACTTTTGCAGCACCTGGGAAGATCCTCCACTGGTACCTCACCCTTCATCTACCCACTCTCAACCCCAGCTTACAGCTGCTCCACGTCCACCTACCTTCTGGTTTTGCCCTACTCCCCTCTCCAGGAACTTGCACAGCCCCTCCATACAAGAGAAATATTTAGTCTCTGTTCTAGAAACCAAATCCCTACATAGTAAGGGACTGGTGAAAGTGTCTGAGTCAGAACTGCATCTTTAAAAGAGCTAGCTACAATCAGATAAGAAAAGAATTGTTACAATGGGCCATCTGCCAGAACATGGAAATAGTTTCATCTTCAAAACTCAAACGGCAATACTATTCCTTTTCAACATTACATCCATGGAGCATATTCCTAGAGAGCAGATTCTGTGTTCAGCAGAGCCTTACAAGACACAGAAGTACTTTGGCGCAGACTATGTCCTAGGTTAACAATACCAGGTTACTTTTTGTGAGGAAGAAGCAGGTTTGCAAGATATTCGTATCATTACTAAAGAATAACAACAGACAAAAATGTGCCTGGTTCACATGTGCTAAAGTCAGTACAGAGTTCCCTGCTTCCTTGTGTCCAAGACGACGGCTGCACTTTCTCTGCCTGTGCCTCGCTTACAGCACTTAATGCCTTTCCATGCTTACTGCCATTGGTTATTTCTGTATATGCTTCCTCCCGACTCCTCTCCACCCTGCTTTGTTCCCAGGACTTGGCTTCTCTAGAGGGCAGGGTCCTTGTCATTCAGCATCTGCAGATCCCTTTCTGTACCAGAACTTTCATGTAACAGACACTCAACAGAACTTTGCCAAGTTCATAGATAAATCACCATTTACAATTTGGAGATGGGCAAACACTGGGATCAAAGCCCTATTTGTGAGTTCTTGCCCCTCTCCAGCTGCTGGGCCAGCACTACTTCCCCTAAGAACTCCCAAGCCCCTCTCTGGCCCACAGAAACCTGTGTGGGGCCCTCGACCATAATGCTGGTGGCTGAGTACTCATCACTGTCCACAGGAGCTCTGCTGCCAAAACTAGGTCCACTCACTCACCCTACGTACATTAAGCATTGACCTGATGGCAGAAGTGGCCGGGGTTGTAGGAACAAAGACATGCTAAGACAAGAATCCTACTGCAGAAAGGGGTCTGTGAGCCCATGCTGATCTCCATGGCCTCATTGGCTGCACCATGGCAGGCACGAGGTGTTGGTGAAGTCCCTCTAGAGAGCAGCCCTGAAGTCCTCCTTTACTCTGCAGAACCTGCTCATCAAGCACTCGACAACTGCACTCCTCTGAATTCCTATGCATTTTATTTATTCCCTTCCCATGATCCTCATCACTTTCTACCTTGTACAACTATTTGCTATAGGCTTGTCTCTTCTTCTGTACTAGGCTTCCAGCTCCTTCAGACGAGGATCCCAGCCCAGTTTACCTCCATATCCTTCATAACACCCAGCAAAGGGCCTCACCCATGGCAGGTTCTCAGTTTGTATTTGCTGAAAGAAACATGCTTGTTTAGTAGGCATCAGAAATTAAAACCCATCACATTCTAGCAAACTATTTTTCTGGCAAGCTAAACTAACATGCTAAAATATTATATTGGGCAACTTCTGATGATACACATAGTCTGGAAACTACCAAGTGTTGCTTTTCATTACACAAAAGATCCATGTTTTCTTCTCATTTTTGCCTGCTTTGTTGTCAAGGTAATAAATCCCATACTTCAAGAATCTATCTTACAAACATTCACTTAAAGACCAGAATTGTAAAAAGGTTTGTCTACTATATAAATAAGCATTTCATGACTACAACTACGCATTGGGAGTTATTTTGAATATATAATACTATATAGAGAATGCTGTAGGACAAGACTTTCAAACTCAAATCAATTTAGTGAGTCACGGCCAGCATTTTTTTAAATGAGAATATATACAAACCATCAATTTATTACATTTACATGGATAAGAATTGTTTTCTGAAATCTTTTTCAGTTAATGCATGTACATGCATGCATGCATGCACAATACATGTGCGTGCCCATATATCCTTTCTGAGTTGCAGACAGAAAATGTCAAAGCCACATTGTAGAATTATTTGTCATTGTTTCGGGCTGGCAGGAACCAAACCAACTTCCTACTTTTGGGTAATTCTGTGTGGTCAGTCCTGGTGGAGGCAAGAAACCTACACTCCATAAAAGTAGCAAAATGAGGGAGCTCCTCACCCTTTCTTTCCCCTGGGAAAGTGAGCCAGTGTTGGCTAAATAGGTGCTCTTACTTGAGCCTTTGAATCTGAAACACATGACATGAAGACTATGATGATGGTGAGACTAGATGAGAGACAGCACCTGTGAGCAGCAGCTGCAACAAAGAGTGGCAGAAGAGCCATCCACGGAGGCTGTGCCAGGGCCGCAGGAGCACTCTGCCTAGTTTGTTCCCACTGCCCATGCCCAGCACTCCCTTGCTCTTGTCTATCACCCGGGTATCATCCATGGCCTTCCTTTTCTGCACAAAGTGACCTGAGAAGACTTCTCTTGCTCACAACCAAAAATATCATGCTAAGGAGTCTGGCCCCTATTCTGCAGGAAATGGGAAAACACTGCATATTTTTAAACAAGAAGAATGACATCTGGTGATACAGTACTAGATATGTCGAATTAGAGACCAGAAACAGTTGGGGCAGAATAAATAGCTGGCCCAGACCAGGACTTGAATTAGGACACGAAGTGTTCCAGAGGAATCCCACTAACATGCTTGAACTACATTTAAAAGTGGAAGAAGCATATAGGAGAGGGAATTCAAGACTATAAGCTGAAAAGATCCAGTGAGGCTAGCACAGAGCATGGCTAAGGGCATGGACTCCCTGGACTTGAATCCAGACTTGCCAGCTGGATGCACTTGAGCTGGTTACTTGATCTATCTGTGCCTCAGTTCTGCCATCTGTAAAATGGGAACAATGATAGTACTTTACTCAGAGTTGCTTCATGAAAACTAAATCATTAATTTATGCAAAAGGCTTAGAAGTGTTAGGCACACAGTAAGCGGCATGTAACTGTTTCTTAAATTAAAACATTAAAACAAAAAAAGTCCCATCCATTCCAATCTCTATAGCAAAGCTGTTGCTTCGGGTCTAACTTGAGGCGTGAACTCTCAGTGTGTTGCTCTTCTTGAACTATTTTAACTGTACTTTTAGTTGTTTATAGTTCTATAGGGAAAGGCTTTCACAATAGGGTTGGTGCGCAATTGGAGTCTAATCTTTGAATATCTTACATTCTTATTCATGAATTTATCCACTGCTAAAGTTCAATGGTGCTCTATTACCTAGCATCACTGGGGAACTAAGTGTACCAGATAAACTGATTTTCTAGCAACTGAAGCATATTTAAGAGCCAATGCACTTTAAAGTTTGAATTATGTCAAGAGGGAGCTTGTAAAATGTACTGTAGAATTTTCTAGTTTCTGAAAGAGTGCATCAAAAGTAATCTAATATTTTCACAGTGACTTAAGGTGATCATTTTGAACATTGGTCACTGAACTCAGCATGACGATCTAATGGAGGGATTAACTGCTAGATTTAAAGATCTGTTTGCTCCTAAACTATTTGCTCAAATATGACTGTATGAAAGCCCTTGCATCTCACTTTTTACTTTAATTTTCCCTGCATCTGTCCCTGCTATTAACTGTTACATCCTGCAACTATCACTATTTCTGCTTCAGAATAGAACTTTTCCTATTTTCATATCATCTGAAACCACTTTGTAATAGATAATCAAATTCTGTATAAATTGAAAAGCATATAGTATATAGTATATATGGGTATATAGTGTATCAATTGTGGTATAAGCAGGAAACACCAGCCAAGAGCAGAAAACATATACTGTACATTTTGGGAAATCCACTTAGCCTACCTTCTAAAAACTGTTCCCAGATGTTTACTATTAAGACAGCTGAGGCTGCCAAAAGAACACGGTCATTTTGCTGAGTGATGAGTGACAGCTGAAGTGAAGGAAGGTAGGCTCTCCCTAAGCCCCAGACGTATGTATAATACAGCCCACTCAATATCTTCACTGCATTCATTTCCTATAACTGCTGTAACAAATTACAACTTACTGGCTCAAGACAACACAAATTTATTATCTTGCAGTTCTGGAGGTCAGAAGTTCAAGATGGGTCTTAAAAAACAAAAGTCATGGCACTGGCAGGGCCGCATTCTTTCTGGACACTCCAGGAAGAATCCATTTCCATACCTCTTCCATCAAAAAGCTGGAGAAATGTATCTCACAAAATGTGAGATACAGAGGCGACCTGAATGCTTAGCTGTAGCCCCTTCCTTCTATTTCAAAGCACATCAGTCCAGCTTCTGTTTTGATCATCACATCTCCTCCTCTGACTTTGACACTCCTGCCTCCCTCTTACAAGGACCCTAGAGATTTCATTGGACCTACTCAGATCATCCAGGATAATCTCTCCAACTCAATATCCTTACCTTAATCACATGTGCAAAGTCCCTTTTGCCACATGAGGGAACATATTCACAGGTTCCAGGGACTGGGATATGGACATTTTGGGGGGGCCACTGTTCTGCCTGCCACATCAGCACAGATGTTGAACAGATCTCAAGCTTAACTTGCACAAAGCTAAACTGCTGATATTTCTGCTCACTCCCACCACCTCTGTCCAAAGCTGCTCTACCCATATCTGCCTGCGTTTCAGTTGATGTCAAGCTCATCCTTCCATTTGCTCAGGGCAAACAGCCTGGAGTCACCCCTGACTCCTCCTTTCTCTCGCATTCCACGTGCAACCTGTCATCTAGTTCTGTCAGGTATCTTTTTAAAAATAGATCCAGCATCTGACTACTTCTCCCAACCTCCATAGCCACCACCATCAAAGCCACCATCTTTCCTCAGTGAGATCCCTGGAACAATGTCCCAGATCCCATCCTGTGGTTTATGATGAACCCTATAGCCAGAAGGATCTTTTTAAAACTGGAAATTAGATCATATCACTCCTCTCTTCAAGACCCTCCAGTGGCTCTTCAGCTCACTGAGAATAAAAGCCAAAGTTCTTATGAGAAGCATCCCAGCAAAAAGGGCAAGAAGAGCAGTTTTCCAGGAACTGAATGCTGCTCAGTGTGGCCTGAATAATGACTGTGAGAGGGAATGAGAGATAAGCATGTGCATATGGGCAAGGGCTGGCACCCTCCCTACATTAAATAGCCTGATCCTACCCTAAGGACTGTAGAACGCTGCTGACAAGTGTTCAGCGGAACTGGGGAACAACCATCTCTGCACTTTGGGAACAGAGCTCTGGCTGCAGCCTGAGGACAGGTTAGAGTGGGCTGCGTAGAAGGAAGGAGAAGGACTGGGAGGCTATCAGAGGTATGCAGTAAAGAGAAGACAATGGCAGCAGACGGAAAGGAGAGTAAAAATATTTGTGGCTATTTAGGAGGGAGAAGTGGCAAAACTTGGTGATGGCTCAGATGTGAGGTCAAGGGTGACATCCAGGTCCTAACTTAAGTGAATGGACCTGATATATTTAAAGCGCTAAAAGAAAAACACTGTCGGCCAGGCACAGTGGCTTATGCTTGTAATCCTAACACTTTGGGAGGCCAAGATGGGTGGATCACCTGAGGTCAGGAGTTTGAGACCAGCCTGGACAACATGGCGAAGCCCTGTTTCTACCAAAACTACAAAAAAAATTACCCGGGTGTGGTGGCGTGCACCTATAATCCCAGCTACTTGGGAGGCTCAGGCAGGAAAATTGCTTAAACCCAGGGGGTGGAGGTTGCAGAGAGCTGAGATCACGCCACTGCACTACAGCCTGGGCAACAAGAATGAAACTCCAACTCAATAAAAAAGAAAAAAAAGGAAAAAACACTGTCAACCAAGAATCCTATGGGCAGCAAAACTGTCCTTCAAAAGTCAGAAGAAAATTAAGACATTCCCAGATAAACAAAAGTCAAAGAATTTCATTACCACTATACCTGCCGTGCAAGAAATGCTAAAAGTAGTATAACTGCTATGGAAACCAGTATGGAGATTTCTCAAAAAACTAAAAATAGAATTACCATATGATCCTCCAATCCTACTACTGGGTATACACCCAAAGGATGAAAGCAATACGTCAAAAACATATCTACTCTCCCAAGTTTACTGCAGTGCTATTCACAGTAACCAAGGCATGAAATCGACCTAAGTATCCATCAACAGATAAATGGATACAGAAAATGTGGTAGATATACACAATGGAATACTATTCAGCTATTAAAAAGAATGAAATACTGTCATTTGCAACAACATGAATGAACCTGGAGGACATTATGTTAAGTGAAGTAAGCCAAACACATAAAGACAGATACCACATTATGTCACTCATATATGGAATCTAAAAAAGTTGGTCTCATAGCAATAGAGAGTAAAATAGTGGTTACCAGAGGCTGGCGGGGGATGGGGCAGAAGAGGATGAGGAGAAGCTAGTCAATGGGTACAAAGTTACAGTTAGGAGGAATAAGTTCTGATTTCTATTGCACAGTAGGGTGACTACAGTTAACAATAATACAATCTATATTACAAAATAGCTAGAAGAGAGAATTTTGAATCTTCTCACTACAAAGGAATGACAAATGTTTGTGACTGATTTGCTAACTGTCCTGATTTGATCATTACACAATTATGCACATATTGAAATATCACATGGTACCCCATAAATATGTATATTATTTGTCAATTACAAGTAAAACTTTCAAGAATTAAATAAATAAATGTAAGCCCTATGAAAACCACAAAGAAACAAACTATGTCCCTGTCTGACAGCTTTGAAGAGAGTAGTGGTTCTCCCAGAACTTAACTTGAGATCTGAGAATGGGCAGACTGCCTCCTCAAGTGGGTCCCTGACCCCCAAGTAGCCTAACTGGGAGGAACCCCCCAGTAGGGGCGGACTGACACCTCACACGGCCAGGTACTCCTCTGAGACAAAACTTCCAGAGGAACGATCAGGCAGCAGCATTTGCGGTTCACCAATATCCACTGTTCTGCAGCCACCACTGCTGATACCCAGGCAAACAGGGTCTGGAGTGGACCTCCAGCAAACTCCAACAGACCTGCAGCTGAGGGTCCTGACTGTTAGAAGGAAAACTAACAAACAGAAAGGACATCCACACCAAAAACCTATCTGTACATCACCATCATCAAAGACCAAAGGTAGATAAAACCACAAAGATGGGGAAAAAACAGAGCAGAAAAACCGGAAACTCTAAAAATCTGAGTGCCTCTCCTCCTCCAAAGGAACGCAGCTCCTCACCAGCAAAAAACAAAGCTGGATAGAGAATGACTTTGACAAGTTCAGAGAAGAAGGCTTCAGAAGATCAAACTACTCCGAGCTAAAGGAGGAAGTTCGAACCAATGGCAAAGAAGTTAAAAACTTTGAAAAAAAATTAGACGAATAGATAACTAGAATAACCAATGCAGAGAAGTCCTTAATGGACGTGATGGACCTGAAAACTATGGCACAAGAACTACGTGACAAATGCACAAGCCTCAGTAACCGATGCGATCAACTGGAAGAAAGCGTATCAGCAATGGAAGGTCAAATGAATGAAATGAAGCGTGAAGAGAAGTTTAGAGAAAAAAGAATAAAAAGAAATGAATAAAGCCTCCAAGAAATATGGGACTATGTGAAAAGACCAAATCTGCGTCTGACTGGTGTACCTGAAAGTGACGGGCAGAATGGAACCAAGTTGGAAAACACTCTGCACGACATTATCCAGGAGAACTTCCCCAATCTAGCAAGGCAGGCCAATATTCAAATTCGGGAAATACAGAGAACGCCACAAAGATACTCCTCAAGAAGAGCAACTCCAAGGCACATAATTGTCAGATTCATCAAAGTTGAAAAGAAGGAACAAATGTTAAGGGCAGCCAGAGAGAAAAGACGGGTTACCCACAAAGGGAAGCCCATCGGACTAACAGCTGATCTCTTGGCAGAAACTCTACAAGCCAGAAGAGAGTGGGGGACAATATTCAACATTCCTAAAGAAAAGAATTTTCAACCCAGAATTTCATATCCAGCCAAACTAAGCTTCATAAGTGAAGGAGAAATAAAATCCTTTACAGCAAAGCAAATGCTGAGAGACTTTGTCACCACCAGGCCTGCCCTAAAAGAGCTCCTGAAGGAAGCAATAAACATGGAAAGGAACAACTGGTACCAGCCACTGCAAAAACATGCCAAATTGTAAAGAATATCAAAGCTAAGAAGAAACTGCATCAACTAACGAGCAAAATAACCAGCTAACATCATAATGACAGGATCAAATTCTCACATAACAATACTAACCTTAAATGTAAATGGGCAAAATGCTCCAATTAAAAGGCACAGACTGGCAAATTGGATAAAGAGTCAAGACCCATCATTGTGCTGTATTCAGGAAACCCATCTCACGTGCAGAGACACACATAGGCTCAAAATAAAGGGATGGAGGAAGATCTACCAAGCAAATGGAAAACAAAGAAAAGCAGGGGTTGCAATCCTAGTCTCTGATAAAACAGACTTTAAACCAACAAAGATCAAAAGAGACAAAGAAGGCCATTACATAATGGTAAAGGGATCAATTCAACAAGAAGAGCTAACTATCCTAAATATATATGCACCCAATACAGGAGCACCCAGATTCATAAAGCAAGTCCTTAGAGACCTACAAAGAGACTTAGGCTCCCAAACAATAATAATGGGAGACTTTAACATCCCACTGTCAACATTAGACAGATCAACGAGACAGAGAGTTAACAAGGATATCCAGGAACTGAACTCAGCTCTGCACCAGGCAGACCTAATAGACATCTACAGAACTCTCCACCCCAAATCAACAGAATATACATTTTTTTCAGCACCACACCTATCCCAAAATTGTCCACATAGTTGGAAGTAAAGCACTCCTCAGCAAATGTAAAAGAACAGAAATTATAACAAACTGTCTCTCAGACCACAGTGCAATCAAACTAGAACTCAGGATTAAGAAACTCACTCAAAACTGCTCAACTACATGGAAACTGAACAACCTGCTCCTGAATGACTACTGGGTACATAACGAAATGAAGGCAGAAATAAAGATGTTCTTTGAAACTAATGAGAACAAAGACACAACATACCAGAACCTCTGGGACACATTCAAAGCAGTGTGTGGAGGGAAATTTATAGCATTAAATGCCCACAAGAGAAAGCAGGAAAGATCTAAAATTGACACCTAACATCACAATTAAAAGAACTAGAGAAGCAGGAGCAAACACATTCAAAAGCAGAAGGCAAGAAATAACTAAGATCAGAGCAGAACTGAAGGAAATAGAGACACAAAAATCCCTTCAAAAAAATCAATGAATCCAGGAGCTGGTTTTTTGAAAAGATCAACAAAATTGATAGACCGCTAGCAAGACTAATAAAGAAGAAAAGAGAAAAGAATCAAATAGACGCAATAAAAAATGACAAAGGGGATATCATCACCAATACCACATAAATACAAACTACCATCAGAAAATACTATAAACACCTCTATGCAAATAAACTAGAAAATCTAGAAGAAATGGATAAATTCCTTGACACATACACCCTCCCAAGACTAAACCAGGAAGAAGTTGCATCTCTGAATAGACCGATAACAGGCTCTGAAATTCAGGCAATAATTAATAGCTTACCAACCAAAAAAAGTCCAGGACCAGATGGATTCACAGCCGAATTCTACCAGAGGTACAAGGAGGAGCTGCTACCATTCCTTCTGAAACTATTCCAATCAATAGAAAAAGAGGGAATCCTCCCTAACTCATTTTATGAGGCCAGCATCATCCTGATACCAAAGCCTGGCAGAGACACAACAAAAAAAGAAAATTTTAGACCAATATCCTTGATGAACATTGATGCAAAAATCCCCAATAAAACACTGGCAAACGGAATCCAGCTACACATCAAAAAGCTTATCCACCATGATCAAGTGGGCTTCATCCCTGGGATGCGAGGCTGGTTCAACATACGAAAATCAATAAATGTAATCCAGCATATAAACAGAACCAAAGACAAAAACCACATGATTATCTCAATAGATGCAGAAAAGGCCTTTGACAAAATTCAACAACCCTTCATGCTAAAAACTCTGAATAAATGAGGTTATTGATGGGATGTATCTCAAAATAATAAGAGCTATCTATGACAAACCCACTGCCAATATCATACTGAATGGACAAAAACTGGAAGCATTCCCTTTGAAAAGTGGCAAAAGACAGGGATCCCCTCTGTCACCACTCCTATTCAACATAGTGTTGGAAGTTCTGGCCAGGGCAATCAGGCAGGAGAAGGAAATAAAGGGTATTCAATTAGGAAAAGAGGAAGTGAAATTGTCCCAGTTTGCAGATGACATGATTGTATACCTAGAAAACGCCATTTTCTCAGCCCAAAATCTCCTTAAGCTGATAGGCAACTTCAGCAAAGTCTCAGGATACAAAATCGATGTGCAAAAATTACAAGCATTCTTATACACCAAAAACAGACAGAGAACCAAATCATGAGTGAACTCCCATTCACAATTGCTTCAAAGAGAATAAAATACCTAGGAATCCAACTTACAAGGGATGTGAAGGACCTCTTCAAGGAGAACTACAAACCACTGCTCAATGAAATAAAAGAGTATACAAACAAATGGAAGAACATTCCATGCTCATGGGTAGGAAGAATCAATATCGTGAAAATGGCCATACTGCCCAAGGTAATTTATAGATTCAATGCCATCCCCATCAATCTACCAATGACTTTCTTCACAGAATTGGAAAAAGCTACTTTAAAGTTCATATGGAACCAAAAAAGAGCCCTCATTGCCAAGTCAATCCTAAGCCAAAAGAACAAAGCTGGAGGCATCACACTACCTGACTTCAAACTATACTACAAGGCTACAGTAACCAAACAGCACGGTACTGGTACCAAAACAGAGATATAGATCAATGGAACAGAACACAGCCCTCAGAAATAATGCTGCATATCTGCAACTATCTGATCTTTGACAAACCTGGCAAAAACAAGAAATGGGGAAATGATTCCCTATTTAATAAATGGTGCTGGGAAGACTGGCTAGCCATATGTAGAAAGCTGAAACTGGATCCCTTCCTTACACCTTATACAAAAATTAATTCAAGATGGATTAAAGACTTACATGTTAGACCTAAAACCATAAAACCCTAGAAGAAAACCTAGGCAATACCATTCAGGACATAGGCATGGGCAAGGACTTCATGTCTAAAACACCAAAAGCAATGGCAACAAAAGACAAAATTGACAAAGGGGATCTAATTAAACTAAAGAGCTTCTGCACAGCAAAAGAAACCACCATCAGAGTGAACAGGCAATCTACAGAATGGGAGAAAATTTTCGCAACCTACTCATCTGACAAAGGGCTAATATCCAGAATCTACAATGAACTCAAACAAATTTACAAGAAAAAAACAAACAACCCCATCAAAAAGTGGGCAAAGGACATGAACAGACACTTCTCAAAAGAAGACATTTTTGCAGCCAAAAAACACATGAAAAAACGTTCACCATCACTGGCCATCAGAGAAATGAAAATCAAAACCACAATGAGATACCGTCTCACACCATTTAGAATAGCGATCACTAAAAAGTCAGGAAACAACAGGTGCTGGAGAGGATGTGGAGAAATAGGAACACTTTTACACCATTGGTGGGACTGTAAACTAGTTCAACCATGTGGAAGTCGGTGTGGCGATTCCTCAGGGATCTAGAACTAGAAATACCATTTGACCCAGCCATCCCATTACTGGGTATATATCCAAAGGATTATAAATCATGCTGCTATAAAGACGCATGCACACGTATGTTTATTGCAGCACTATTCACACTAGCAAAGACTTGGAACCAACCCAAATGTCCAACAATGATAGACTGGATTAAGAAAATGTGGCACATATACACCATGGAATACTGTGCAGCCATAAAAAAACATGAGTTCATGTCCTTTGTAGGGACATGGATGAAGCTGGAAACCATCATTCTAAGCAAACTATCCCAAGGACAAAAAACCAAACACTGCATGTTCTCACTCATAGGTGGTAATTGAACAATGAGAACACATGGACACAGGAAGGGGAACATCACACACCGGCGACTGTTGTGGGTGGCAGGAGGGGGGAGGGATAGCATTAGGAGATACACCTAATGCTAAATGACGAGTTAATGGGTGCAGCACACCAACATGGCACGTGTATACATATGTAACAAACCTGCACGTTGTGCACATGTACCCTAAAACTTAAAGTATAATAATAAAAAATAAAAATAAAAATAAACATTAAAATAAACTATAGAATATACATAAATGAAAATGAGAAGAAATGAAACTAAAATATTTCACTACAAAGAAAATCAACCAAGCAAAAAAGAAGACAGTAACATATGGTACAAAAATAGACACACAAACCAATGGAATGGAATAGAGAACCCAGAAATAAAGCCACACATGTACAGCCATCTCATCTTCAATAAAGTCAACAAAGATAACAGGGAAAGGAGTCTCTATTCAATAAATGGTGCTGGGATAGCTGGCTAGCCATATGCAAAAGAATGAAACTGGACCCCTACCTTTCTCTAGATAAAAAAATTAACTCAAGATGGATTAAAGATTTAAACATAAGACCTCAAATATAAGAATCCTAAAAGAAAACCTAGGACACACCCTTCCCTCAAGAGGGACCTAATTAAACTAAAGAGCTTCTGCACAGCAATAGAAACTATCAATAGAGTAAACAGACAATGCACAGGAGAATAACAAAATAACAGGTATTGGCTAAGATGTAAAGAAACTGAAACACTTGTGCATTGTTGGTAGGATTATAAAATGGTACAGCTGCTAGAGAAAACAGTACGGCAATTCCTCAAAAAATAAAATAAAATTAGAATCACCACATGATCCAGCAATCCCACTTCTAGGTATACACAAAAAGAATTGAAATCAGAGTTTCAAAGAGATATTGGTATACTTGTGTTTACAGCAGCATTAGTCACAATAGCTAAAATGTGAAATCAACCCAAATATCCCCCTATGGATAAATGGATAAACAAATGTGATATATACATACAATGAAATATTATTCAGCCTTTAAAAAGAAGAAAATTCTGACACATCCTGCAACATGGAACCTTGAGGACATGTTGCTAAGAGAAAAAGATCAATGAAAAAACACATACTGGTGGTGACAACAAATACTGTATGATTCCACTCACATAAGGTACCTAGAGTCACCAAATTCACTGAAAGTAAAATGGTCATTGCCAGGGGCTGTGGGGAGAGATGGAAAGTTTTTTAACGGGGACGGTTTCAGTCTTGCAAGATGAAAGACTTCTGGAGACGGATGGTGGTGATGGTTCAATGTAGTTAATGCCACTAAACTGTACACTTAAAAATGGGTAAGACAGAAAATTGTATGTTGTGTATATTTTACCACAATAAAAAGAAAATTTTAAATATGAGCAACTAGGACTCATTATCCAAGGGCCCAGGGGAGCATGCGAGGGATGGCCAAACTGAGTCTTAGAAATGGTCAGGCATAACCCAAGCTGTTGGAAGTGGCCATGAACCACTGAAAATACAATTATTAAGGAAATAGTCAATAGTACCTTCCTGGAAGTATGCAAGTGTGGGATATGCTCACAGTATGCAATGCTGTAAATCTCCCTGCTTCTAGTCCATGTGCAGCCGTCAAAACCATCTCTTCTTACCCCCCACCAGCTGGAAAAGGCTGCTCAGACTAGGCAAGTGCTCGTTCCCTCCTTCACCTCCTCCTCCCTCCGGCAGTCCTCTTATCTGCTGTCTTTTGGCTCTGAAACCAAACACTAATATCAACTTGCCACCATGGAAAAAACATTTGTTGAAATAGCAATGTCTTTCTTCTGTTTTCCCTTTCTCCATCTACCTCCCCCAGGCAGGCTCCATGATTCCCTGGGGAGCTTTGTGACTGCAGAGGAGGAGTTGCTGCTAAGACACTTCCCTTCCTGGTTTTGGTTTCCAAATGCTTCAGCCCATGGAGGGGAAAAAAAGTTTCAGGCCAGAAGAGGTGTCACTGTGGGAACTACAGAGAAGAGAAGGGAGATTGAGAGAGTCCCCCAAAGTAAATTTCCCAGGCCCACAAAGGAGCAGACTGTAGTTCCTAGAGGTAGGCAGGCTCTGTGCTGGCTGCTCTCAAAGCCAGCTGAGCCTAGAAAGGGAGGAGCAGCTTCAGCCAAGCCTAGGCTGGGCTCCAGGATTGCACAAGTTCCCAGGTACAGAGACAGAATCACACTGGCTGATCCTAAGAAACCCTTGACATCTCAGAGGTAACTGCTGTGGACCTGAGACACAGGATCAGAGGGATGTCTCTACTACCTGGGTGCTGCCTCCAACCCAGGACCTTTAAACAAAGGGGAAGGAGGGAAAAAGGATAAGAAGTAGCCAGGTTTAAAGCTCCTGCCAGCCCAGAGCAGGAAAAAGGCTCACAGTCTAAATTAAATTAAATTTTAAAGACATTGAAGAAACACCCGGGCGCGGTGGCTCACGCCTGTAATCCCAGCACTTTGGGAGGCCGAGACAGGCAGATCATGAGGTCAGGAGACTGAGACCATCCTGGCTAACACAGTGAAACCCCGTCTCTACTAAAAATACAAAAAATTAGCTAGGCGTGGTGGTGGGCACCTGTAGCCCTACCTACTCAGGAGGCTGAGGCAGGAGAATGGCGTGAACCCGGGAGGCGGAGCTTGCAGTGAGCCAAGATCGCACCACTGCACTCCAGCCTGGGTGGCAGAGCGAGACTCCGTCTCAAAAAAAAAAAAAAAAAAATTGAAGAGACAAACCTGAGTTTCATAACTGGTACACTACCTCAATGGAAAGAAAATAAAGAAAACAGCTGGACAGGGAAGACAAGTCTAACCTACACACATTTGACTCTGTGATGTTTATTCACATTCTATCCCACATGATCAAGAGCAGCAGGGACCCTAACTGCATACCTTAACATAGCAGCAGTCTTAAATGAGCAAAAATTCTTAAAAGTCTAGCCCTCAAGCATGCACTGGGTCCCCTGCCTCATGTTGTTTCTCTGCCCAGCAGCAGCAGCTTGTAAATATGCGAATGTGATCACGACAGTTCTCTGCTAAGTGGTTCCCTCTTGCTCTTGTGTCCGGAATTTATTCCTTCTGGTGGGTTGTTGGTCTCGCTGACTTCAAGAATGAAGCCGCAGACCTCGTGGTGAGTGCTACAGCTCTTAAAGGTGGCGCATCCGGAGTTGTTTGTTCTTCCCAGTGGGTTCGTGGTCTCGCTGACTTCTGGAATGAAGCCGCAGACCCTCGCAGTGAGTGGTACAGCTTATAAAAGTAGTGCTGACCCAAACAGTGAGCAGCAGCAAGATTTGAAGAGCGAAAGAACAAACCTTCCACAGCCTGGAAGGGGACCCAAGTGGGTTGCCGCTGTTGGCTGGGGTGGCCAGCTTTTATTCCCTTATTTGTCCCCGCCCATGTCCTGCTGATTGGTCTATTTTACAGAGTGTTGATTGGTCCATTTTACAGAGTGCTGATTGGTGCATTTACAATCCTTTAGCTAGACACTGAGCACTGATTGGTGCGTTTTTACAGAGTGCTGACTGGTGCATTTACAATCCTTTAGCTAGACACAGATTGCTGATTGGTACATTTTTACAGAGTGCTGATTGGTGCATTTACAATCCTTTAGACACAGACTGATGATTGGTGTGGTTTTACAGAGTGCTGATTGGTGCATTTACAATCCTTCTGCTAGACAGAAAAGTTCTCATGCCCCCACTACACCCAGTAAGTCCAGCTGGCTTCACCTCTCACTCTTAGAGCAAAATCCACACTCCTGAGCAACTGTAAAGTCCTTCACTCTCCAACCAGGACTGAACTTGCCAATACCATCCCCCATCCTCTCACATAGACTCTGTCCCTAATTGCATAGAAAAGAGTCACTCCACAAACACAGCTCCTTCCGAAGTCCCAGGCCTCCAACATCTCCCTGGCCTGTAATTCCCCACACCTCCAAAACATCTTGTGCCTGGCACAGAGCAATTCATAGATACATGTTGAATGAGTGACTCACTCAGTGAAGCCCCAATCCACAAGACATCCTCCTGCCAGTTCACAACACCTCCCAGGCAGCCGAAGATTCCACTACCTCCTTCCATATAAGCCCTGGTTAGGAAAGTAGGGTAGGGGGCAGAGGGGCCAGGCACACAGGCCAAATCTGACCCTCATAGGTGTTTTATTTGCCCCTCACAATGTCATGATTTGAACTCATTATCAACATGCACAAATCAGGCAATTCTGCAAAAAAAAAAAAAAACAAAACAAAACAAAAAAAAGGCCCAAAGCCTGACTTGTTAGAGAATGAGACACCCTGGCATACATGGCCCTGCAGTCCCATGCAGCAGCTGGCTCTCTTTAAGATTCGCATGTGCTTCCCTGTTCACCCCATCCTCACCCCTCATACTGTCTCCCCAGCAGAAGGAGTGAGGTGGCTGCCGTCCACCCTCATCCTCCCCATCCAGCCTCCTGTGGGCCCTGTGGACACCTGTAGAGAGGACTGCTGGAGCAGAAGACCCAACCCTCACCAAACTGTGACCCAGATTCATAGACTCCTCCATTCCCATCCCCAACAAGTCAAATCTAAGCCTCTTCAAACCTGCGACCTCCTCCTTCTTAGAGATTGCTGAGGGATATTTTTCTGGGCTTGGGAAGCTGGCAAGGGACTTTGTTAATGAGGCCAATTTTGTATTCAGTGTCTTAGCTGTATGTCTGAACTACATATGCTCCCCTAAAATTTCCTCATACATGTATCCCTTATCGAAAAAGGTGTCACTATCTTGGCCTCATTTTCATAAGCTCCTTTCACTGGTTGGGTCTTGGGTAAGATGAGAATTCATCTGCAAATGCCCAAATTACTAAGCAACCATTTTCCTGAGCCTGCCTGGACTCTGTGGCTCTTTCACATATCAACAGATTCTCAGCTCCCAGCACTCCACTAGCTTCACAAATTTTATAAAGCATGCCCAACAGAGCATCTTAAGTTATCAGGAATCAATATAAATCTCCCTCAGCAGACAGGTCTAAGCCAATGAAACTGCTGACAAGAAAGCATTTGCATCTCTTGATTAGAAGCTAGTCCAAAACCAATTGACTCAAAGTGCAGCCAAGCTGGTTTACAAACAATTGCTTTTGCTTACAAGGAAAGCTAAATGAGCAACATCTTCCTGCTGGAAAGAGGCTTGTTCTCATATTAAACTAATATTTTAGACATGAGCTTACATCACTTCAAGCTACATTAAATTCAGGGGGGAAATAGAACTTTATTTCCCCCCTGAATTATTCAAAGCCTTCTCTAGTTTTTAGTATACATAAATAATCTCTTCTTTAATAAAAATGCTTCCTCTGAAGAATGCCTCAGGTCTTTGTCTACTCCAAAGGCAACTCTTTGAATATTTGATAATTAATGGACTTTTAACATTTTCGTGTTAAAAGGGATAATTACATTTTCTGAAATAACTGTCTATACTCAGTGAACACTTTGTACATTCAGTTTACTAAAAGCTTTGTTAGTGGCTGTATACATTTAGATTTCATTGTTTTTCCTGATTTGTTTGCTCACAAATCCATTTCTCTAATTTTCTGTTTTCTCCAAAATGAATTAATAACTTCTCTAGTAGAACAGTAGGGATAGAAATTGAAAAGTAAAGTAATTCCTAGAAGATTATCACTAATGAGTATGACTCTTTTGCTTTACAACACATCTGTACAAAATGAATTCCCCGGGAACAAACAGATTTTCAGAAGCACAAAGACATGATGACATAGCCAGGTAGGTGCATATATCATTCCCACTTTGCAACTAGAAAAGTTAAAGAATAGCTGAGCTCAAGTCTTGGACATCATGAAATTCTCCATTAATCTTGCTGTGGTATCCTCACACCCCTAATTTAGCATAATCCATATACATCCTCACTTTTGTCCCTCCAGTCCCAGAAACAGAAGTTCCCTACACATGGATTCTTATGCTGTTTCTTCCTGTCTCTATCCTAATTGCTAATTATTTCACCTTTTCAACATTGGCTGTAAAATGAGATCACTTTTTCATTTTAAACAATTCTGCTACCTGGGTCCCTCCTCCAGACATTCTGACTTCATTGTTCCAAGGTATGGCCTGGGGTTTAGGATTCTATTGCACAGCCAAGGCAGAGAGTAATGCAGGATCTATTCCCCTAGCCCAGAAGTCACAAACTCACAGCTTGTGTGCCAAAGTGGCCCAGTGGTATGTGCTTTTTGTTTTTTGGTAAAAAACACAAAAATTGTACCATTTTAACCATTCTTAAGTGTACAGTTGTGCAGCATTAAAGACATTCACATTGTTCTGCAACGGGATGTGTGCTTTTTATGGAAACACATGTTATTTTAAACGTGTTTAGAATTTGGCACATTTCACATAAAAATCCAGATGTGTGGACTCTGGCAACAGAAAGCTAATATGGTCTCCCAGCAGCAATCAGCTGGGACAGGATGGTGGTGGCCCCCTCCAGGCAGGGCATGTGTCTCAGGGACGGCCCCCACCCCAAAGTTGCTTCCAGCCTGGTTCCCACACAGTCTTTACCTTAGTCTATTAATAGGGTCGAGCTTCCTCAAGCCTAAAAGTGTCCTGTCTTTTCATTTCATGTCTCTTTCTAGCTGCCCAACCCCCATCTCCTTCCTCTCCCTCATCTCTCATTTACTCCTCAAAGCCGTGATATCCAGCTTTCTCCCCCTCTAGTAGGCTGAAACAGCCCTCGCAAAGACCAATGACCTCATGGTGCCACTGTGCAATGCGACTCGATCTCTCTGTGCTGCACTAGATGTGCTGCATCCTTCTGGAGCCTCTGTCCACACCCTCTGTGTGTCTCCACTCTTCTCCATCTTTTCACCCAGGGTTGCCTCTTGCCACAGGGAGGGAAGATTTCCTGCACACTCAAGGCTCACTACCACCTGTAGGCTGACAAGTCCAGATCCAGTGGACGAGTCCAGAGCTCCAGGAGAGTCCGAGGGGTCCAGCTTTGAGTTCCCAGCTTTGTCACTTAAAACTGTGATTTGGGGTCAATTATTCAGCCTAAGCCCCAACATCTTCATCTACAAACTGGGGATAATAATTCCCACTCCAAAACACCATGGGAGTATATAACAATGTACACAAAGCTCTGGACTAGAGCATGGCTGTCCAGCCAACTTTCTGTGAGGATGAAAATGTCCCACATCTGTGGTGTCCAATACAGAAGCCACCAGGTATATGCAGCCACTGAACACTTGCAATGTGGCAACTGTGACTGAATAATTAAATTCTTAATTTAATTATTTTAATTGTAATGTAAATAGTTACATGGGACCAGTGGCTCCCTAGTGGATAGCACAGCTCTGGAGTGATGAACACTGAACACACATCAGCAGACACAGCTATTAACATTGTCACTATTCACAAAGGGAATAGTAATACCAAGCTGTTCCAGCTCAAGCCTCCATCTAAGACTTGGACTCTACAGGAACAGATCTCAGCCAAACTTGATGCCTGGTGCTGTTAGAGGATTCTATGCTCGGGAGAGTAGCCCAAAATTCATCAGGGGACACGGTGAACATTAAGGAGTTGTTTTGTCTTAGTTCTTTGCATCTGGTGAGAAAGCAGGCATGCAGCCACAGTCTCCAGGACACTGGAGGTAGCATGTTTAATACAACTAAGTGGGAGTCCCAGCTGCTGCGTTTCCCTCTGGGCTCTGAAGCCAGGAAGCCAGTGCCCACCTAGTGTATGCATCAGGGACTCTGCTCTACACAGCAGGCAAGTTCTTACATCCTGTGTCTGTTAACACCTCTCCATGAATCACCATCACCCTCAAGACCACTGTCATCCAGATGTGTACTGGACACCTCCATATGGATCTCCATAGGCCCCAACAGCTCCCAACTAAGCCTGCCATCTATGCCCGCTCCCAAGGCCCATTCTCCTTCCTGCCCCCATCCTCCCAACCACCCAAGCCTGGGCCATCCTAGATGCTGCTTCAGACCCAAATAACTTCTCACACTCTTAAAGGAAACTTTGGAAGCCATCATCTCCTATGTTCCGTTTCTATAAATGAAGAAAAACCAAGTAAGGTCAAGAGAGGTCCATTCATCAGAGCTCGAGAGAAAGAGATTGAGATTTATTTTAAAGAATTAGCTCGCACAATTATGAAAGCTGGCAAGTCCAAAAGCTGCAGGGTGGGCCATCGGGCTGGAAACCAGGGAAGAGCTAATGCTGCAGTTGGAGTCCAAAGGCTGTCTGTAGGCAGACTTCCCTCTTGCTCAGGAGAGGGCTATCCAGGCCTAAAACTGATTGGATGAGGCCCACCCACATCATGGAGGATCAATCTGCTTTACCCAAAATCCTTCAATTTAAATGTTAATCTCATCCAAAAATACCCTCACAGAAATATCCAGAATAATCTTTGACCACATATCCGGGCATCGTGGCCTAGGCAAGCTGACACATAAAATTAACCATCACAGAGGTGAAGTGACTTAAACAACGGCACTGAATTAAAACCAGAGAAAAACCAAAGATAAAGCTTTTTAAAAAAAAAAAAAAAAGAATACCATTTCTTCGATTGCTAAAATATTTTAAAATATAAGGAACAAATTTTGATAAAATGCATTTATAACTGGAATGACAACAGACAATGCTACTTATTAACATCCCCAGTTATTATAACAATATACCAAATTATCACTTATTGAATTTTTAAAGACCAAACTCTGTGCTAACTGCTTTCAGTACAGTATCCCATTTAGTCATCACAATGAACCTATGACACTGTGGTGGATTTTTGCAACTACCTTGTGTTCTGCTTTCAAAGAAATAAAACTTTGTGTAGCATGCATATACAGCCAGATTCAAAGATATGTCTGAATTGGATAATCTTTTTCTGTCTTAATGTTAAAATCTTAACATTAAGCTCCGATATCTGGGAATGTCCATATATATTTCTGGACACTGACATATAGTTCTCTCAGGTTGTTGGCAAAAATACCAACTCCAAAAGGTTGACACATGAATCAGCTCTTTGGAATCTTCTCCTAATCTGGGGCATTCCTCAGCCATTCCAAAATAAAAGCCACACATTTGCTAATCTGGGTTTATTCTGTTATTTCAGACAACACAGGCACTACCAAAGTCCACAATCCCTTATCCATTATCCTGAATGCCAAAAGATCTAAAAGCTGTGAGGTTGTTTTTATAACTCATTTGACAGGAAAACACAACCCAAATGTATGAAGCTATTTATAGTCTTTTTGAGAAATCTCATTTAGTGTGAATGCCCATGTTTCACTTCAGAAATAACGTATCTGATACAGGGCGCTGCCCTAGCCCTTCCTTAGGAATGTCATGTTATATACAACACAGGCACAATCTTAAAACCTGAAGCGCAAATTCATGCACATATTTGGCCCAGATGGTTTTATAGAAAGTATTGAGGATCTCCTTTATCCTCATTTGACAAATTACGTCATAGGGGTTCGAAAAGAGCCCAAATACAGCTCCATCAGATGTCAGTGCCAGAACGGGGCTTCCAAACAACTCTATCGTAGGCACGCTGACCTTCACTCCATGACAGAGAGTGCGCTGCAAGCTGTGATGCAGCACTGGAAGCCGTTAATTCTACCTTAAGGACCAGGAGGTAGAAGCACTGAGAAGGTGAATGATTTGCTCAAACACATCTGGTCTCATCAAAACCAGATGCAGAAGTCTCATAAAGACCCCTTTTATGGATACTAGGAAGAAACCAAAATTTCCCCCAGAAGGAAGAAAGGAAAGGAGGGGTAGAAGGAGAGAGGAACAAATTTAGAGTCTCATTTTTCCCAAGAGATTCTCAACTGCATGAGATTTCCAAAACCAATGATAATTTAGCACCCTTCCCCTAATTCTTCACATCTTCCCCTCCCTTCCTGCCTGAGCAAAATGAAGACACGATGCAGAATTCAGCAAAGTTCACATGAGTGCTCAGCTATCGTCCTTAACTCAAGTGCATCAAGTAGCAGAAACTGACAAGAAGGACTCCCTTTGTCCCCAGGGAGCGAGGAGAAGGGAAAGTGGAATCTGTTGTCAAGCCCACTGAACATAGAGCTGGAAACAGGTAAAGAAACAAAGTGGGTGAGAAGCCACATAAGCAGAGAGTGGAGAGACAGAGAATCCAGAGCAAAGCAAGAGAGCGCCCAAACAGCTGCGAGTGCCTGTGCTAATCTGCACCTGCAGTCAGTCCTTCCTGCGGTAAGCTGTGATTAAAGGTCAAGGTGCTTGGCAGCAGTGATAAAGCAGCCTGTTAGTTTAGTGTTAGTAGTTGTTAAACTGATTGAGACAGAGTGCTCTAGAGCCCTGGCTCTCAAACTTGAGCAGATGTTAAAACACAGATTGCTGGCTCCATCCCCAGAGTTTCTGGTTCCAAGGGCCTGGGGTGGGACCCAAGAATCTGCATTTCTAACACATTTTCAGATGGTGCTGCTGCTCCAGAAAAATGCTAGTCAACAGAAATACAATGAAAGCCATCCATGAAATTTTAGATTTTCTAGTAGCCACAACAAAAAAATTCAAATCAAACAAGTGAGATTAATTTTAATAATACATTTCATTGACCCCAATGTTATTTCAACATACTATCAATATAAAATTATTAACAAGGTATTTTACATCATATATTTTTTCAGATTAAGGCTCCAGAATCCAGTGTGCATCTTACATTTACAGCACACCTCAACTTGGATGAGCCACATTGGAAGTGCACAACAGCCACACATGGCTTCTGGCCACTGTCCTGGACAGAAGTTACAGAAGATGGTCACTGTAAGTGAATGACAATGCATGTAGCAGGCAGATTAGCTTGATGGTCATGCAAGTGATGGCATATGAGAGAAGTCGGGCCACTCTGGAGCGATAGAGAGGTGGACCTGCCAGGGACCTCTGTGTGAGGAATCACCCACTGCATAGGTGCCTTGTTCACACTCACCTGAAGGAGATGACAGCCACCCTGCCTCGGATTTGCAGGTAAAAAACCTGCTGGCTTTAGCTCACACCCCTTGAATTTTTCTTAAGATTATGGTTTTATGGTAAGATATCCAAAACATTAAATTTGCCATTTTAATCATTTTAAAATGTATTCACTAGTTCAGTGGCAGTAAGTACATTGTTCTGCAACCATCACCACCATCCATCTCCAGAACTCTTTTCACCTTGCAAAATTAAAACTCTATACCTATTAAACAATTCCCCCATGTTGCTATCCCCAACCCCTGGCAACCACCCTTCTACTTTTCGTCTATGAATTTCACCACCCTAGGTGCCTCATCTGAATGGAATCACATAGTATTTGTCTTTTTATGACTGGCTTATTTCCTTTAACATAATACGCTAATATGCTCAAGGTTCATCCATGTTGTAGCACGTGTCAGAATTTCCTTCCCAAGGCTGAATAATATTCCACTGTTATGTACAGACCTCATTTTGTTTATCCATTCATCCAAGTGTCAGTGGGCAGTTAGGTTGCTTCTATCTCTTGGCCATTGTGAATAATGCTGCTGTGAACAGAGGTCTACAAATACCTGTTTCGGTCCCTGCTTTCACTGCTTTTGGATACAAACCCAGAAGTGAGATTGCAGGATCAGATGATAATTCTATGTTTGATTTTTTGAGGAACCACCATACTGTTTTCCACAGCAGCAGCAGCAGCATTTTACATTCCTACCAATGGTGCACAACTGTTTCCATTTCTCCACATTCTCATCAACACTTGCTATTTTCTTTTTTTTTTTTAAATAATAACCATCCTCATAGGTGTGAAGTAGTAGCTCACTGTGCTTTGATTTGCATTTCCCTAATGACTAGTGATGTTGAGCATTCTTCTGATTTTGACTCTTGACCTCTGCTGACTTTCGCATCCACCTCCCATCCTGGACCCAGAGAATGTGCCTTTTTCCATCTGTCTTCACTGTCTTCCTGACCCTGCACCCTACTTACCTGTGGAACCTTCTGTTCTTGCCCATCTAAACATTCTTTTTACTTGGTCCAGATGCAGCAGACATTTACATTGGCCATTAACTGGCATCCTCTGTCACAGCCAAGATTGATTCACCATGTAAGAATCCTTTCCCTATGCCACGAAGAAACAAGGGCGAATCCCTAGGGCATTCAAGAAAGGCTGGGGCACTCGGAAGCAATTATCAGGCTTCCCCATTCCCTCCAGGTGAAACGGAACCAGATACGCTCATACCCACTTGAGCCTCGGGGTGACACAATGGTGGGCCGCACTCATCCTGAACCCCTGACCTTAGCATCTGCAAGATCCCTAAAACAGGCCAGATGAAGCGTTAGAGTACCACAGTTTCCTGAAGCGGCAGGGCCACCGATGACAGCTAGAAAAGTGCAAGTGGCACAGGGGTCACTGGGCAGGAGGCCCATTGCCAAGCGCCACTCAGCTCATGCTGCCCTTGCCCAGAAGAGAAGCCAGACCAGGCAAGACATCTTTCCCAGAGCTCAAGGGAAACAATACTGGGAACTCTACTTTTTTCCATCACTTTTTTCATTTCTCTTTTATTAAGCTATAATTTACATGCAGCGAAATGTACTCCTTTAAGTGTATACTTCTATGAGTTCTGAAAAACACACAAAATCCTGTAACTACTACCATAGTCAAGATATAGAACAGTCCCATCACCCTCCAAAATTTCCTCCAGCTCCTTCGTAGTCAACCCTCCCTGTGCCCTCAGCCCCTGGAAACTACCTACACGTTTGCTGTTTCTATAGTTTTACCTTTTCCAGAATATCTTTATGAATAAAATCATACAATATGTAGCATTTGAGACTGTCTTTTTCCTTTTTCTCATTTTATCTAATTTGTTTGAGATTAATCCATGTGGGTTCATATATTAGTAGTATCTTTATTTAACTTTTATGCTTTATATTGTGGTAAAATATACATAATGAAATTTACCATTTTAATCACATTGAAGTGTACAGTTCCATGGCACTACATACATTCATACTGTTGTGCAATCATCAGTGGCTTCACTTTTAAAGGCTGGCCTCATTAAAGGATTACTTTTGAATTTTAATTCCATTCAAGGTCTCCTGAGAAAAATCGGAAAGTCTTATGGCATATTCTGTCAGCAAAGCTAACATTAAGTCAAGACATGTCCCAGATTACCTGGCAAAGTCCCGGCTTATGCCTGTTGCCCTAGTGTGGTTATTAATAAGCCACTTTTCACTCTCAGAAGTGTCACGGTTCAGACAAAAAAATTACATGGCCATGCTTGCCACAGGAAAATAGTTTCCTTCAAACATTCCTGGTGAGAAAGCAAAATTCTGTTCTAAAAAACAAACAAACAACAACGACAAAAACACTCTGAGGAATAACCTGACATCTATCAAAATTACAAATATTGATCCAACAATCTCATTTGTGAGACTTTATCCTACAGATATTCCTATACATGCATATAAAATATCACAGCAGTGTTTGTACAAGAAAAACATTGGAAACAATCCAAGTAGCCATCCCCGTGAGCTAAAAGAAGCAGCTCCCTGTTTTCTGATAATGGAAACCGCTCTAGGATGTACCCTTAAGTGAGGAAAACAAAGGACAACATATATACTACGCTATTTTTATGTAAAAAGGGGAGTAGGGAGAAGCACAACATATATTTGCAAAAAGAACTGCCTCCAAAGATCCTGGGAAAATACAGAGAAACTAGCATGTTGGCCTGTGGGGCAGAAGGGTGGGATGAGGCAAACGAAAACAGGGTTGGCAGTAAAACTTCTCAAAGCATACCTTCTAATGTCTCTCTTAACTTTTTTAACAATGTAAACAAATGTATTACCTATTCAAAAACAATTAATTAAAAAGAAAAACTAGGGGGAAACATTCTTGGGAAAAGAACTGCCAAGTTTAATGCATGGACTCTATTGTAATCAATTTATTTTCGATATTCACAAAATCAATACATTTACCTTTTAAACAATGAATGTATTCAAAAGCCCTCAAGTATCAGGAAAGTGACTTCCTTTTCAAAATTCATCATCTAATTATTCCTTTTCAAAACGCATCATGTAGTTGGCCTAAGCATAAGAAAGTTCCTTCTGATGATTTGCTTTAAATTTAAACATGTCATCCCAAAAGCAAGAGAGTACCTCCCTAATTCTCTTCTGGGTGTTATGTTTACTTCTTTTAAGGGAGCACTGGTTCTTGATAACTTGAATCATTTTAAAGTCCCCCTCCCCAAAAAAGGTTGCTCCAAATTTTAAAACATTATCGTAATATCATTTCAATGTGTACATTAAATGTTAGCATTTAACATTTAATGCTAACGTTAAGATATGCTGCAGTGTATTCTGGGAAACTGGGCATCTTCTGAGGCACTAAACTCAGACTCTCATCAGAGCCTCTTACTCTCCCAGATTCCCTTTCCATTTTGAACCTGGGAATCACTTCAGACCTCATGGAACTGACTCCAAGATAGCAACAAAAACCTAAACTCATGGTGACTACATGTTTTACCATTTAACTCTTCTATTAATTTCAAACTTGTTATTTCTAAATCTTTTCCTCAAGATAATATAACTAAATCTTTTTAGAAAAAAAACAAAGGGTTGTTTTAGGATGAGAAAAGCAAGAGAAAAGTATATGCTGGATTTCTACACCTTAAAGAAATCCAGTATATTCTTTAATTTCCATAATTTTATTCTTAAAAATGGAAAGGGCCTGAAATGGTTTTCAGGATGAAAAGGCATTGTTAATTTTCAATAATTTTTGTTTATAACAATGATTTCTGAAAAATAATAGAGCAGCTCTAATTAGGCAGCATTCTGGTAGAATTTACAAGCATAAATAGAAATCAATAACAATTTGGCCATGGAAGTCAGACCTCTCAACACAGAGTACCTAACAAAGAGTTTTGTTTAAGTCCTCAACTGTGGCTGGTCACGCTACCTACTTAAAACAAGTTTCTCTCAATCAAGCTTTCTTCCAAACTTCAGCTCCTGAAGGAAACCACTTGGAATCTGGTAGTTATTCTAAAATGTTCACTGGAACTCTTTGCAATGTCTGACTGCAGAGGTTACAGATGTCTCTGAGGAGTGTAGAAGGGGACTTGCCTCTCTTCTGAATGATCCACGGGGCTGCTTTCCACAACCCTATGCAGAGACAGTCATTTTGGGAAGGTCATATTGAGTGAAATGGAGCGGTAGATCCCAGGAAAGAGCCTCACTGGCTGGTTGTACTCCACCAATCTTAGCTGTCAGAGCCTAACAGCCTTTGATAGCACCACTGGCAAGACCTGGGCAGATAGTGTAGAGTCCACTGACCCGTCGTCACAAGGCCAGAGCCATGAATGCAGCCTGTTAGGTCACTGGGGCCCACAGATGTGCTGCTGTCTTACAACAAAAGGATGTTATCATGAGGAATTACACTCTACAGGACATACATACCTGCAGTACATCTAAATCTGTATTTTAAAACAAACTATAATCACAACCATCACATCACAGTAATTTCCAATGAATTAGAGATCACTATCTTGTTTGAGTTCTAATATAACAAAGATGGCCTGCTAAGCAGATAAGAACACTGTAAGAGTTTACATAAGGAAAGGTATATTATTTCTACATCTTAAAATGGAAACCAGTGTATAAATGATATCCCCCTTCTCATTCTTCTTCCTGCAAATGATGTTGTTTATGCCCTTTATGTTGCTTAATCTAATAGTCAAAGTTTGCATTCCTGACTGCTTCTCTGGATATTCTATCCTATTCCCTAATCAAAACTGTCTCTACAAAGTGAAGGGTCAAGGCTTAGTCTATTGCAATGAACTGTTTTGTAGAACTAGAAAAATCCTTTTGATGTAAGAAGATCTTAAATCTAGGGGGAAATTTTTCACCACTAGGTAGTTGAGACACTTGCCTATTTCACTTAACTTTCTATATTCTTAATATATTCTAATGAATGTCAAGTGCAATAAAAGTGGTTAAAGAAAGAAAGAACACATGTGGCAAGGTAAATGTAGCAGAAAAAAATACAGTTCTTTAATTTGGCAGATAAATTCTATCTCAAAGAGCAATGTCATGTACTTTGTGCAGTACTGTAATTATAAGTCATTTTTCTATCTTTGTGACCATGGCATGGCTACAAATCTCTTGCAGGGGGCTGTGGTAGTCCGGGAAAGAGACAGTGTATGTATTACAGCTGGCAAAAAGTGTGATGCTGAGAGAGGTTAGGTTTGTAAATTAGTATTTCAAAACTGAAAACATTAAACAGGCAAAGATGATGATTTTCTAGGTGAGTTAAGACTTGAATTTCCTATTAAAAATAAATGAATAAATCCTGGACTCCACCAGCTGAAAACCAAATTAGTAGAGTGCTGGCTTTTTAATAATATTTTTTTTTCTGTCTTCACCCCAGTGAAGGGAAAATTTTTAAATTATTTTGATTATCATAAAGGCTTTCATCTCCACCTGATAATACAGCGAAGTAACATTATGATGATTGATGTACATGTGAAGCTACTAACAGCCTATAAATGTGTGTTACAAAACTCTATTTTGTCGGATAATTGCTTAATAAGAAGCACATAAGAAAACCAATTACCTCGTAGGTTATATTACAGAAAGTTTAGGAGGAAGTTGTTGGGAATTGAGAAAATAGTCTCCCATAAAAATATAAAAGGTAGTAAGTTTCCCAGTTTATTTCCCAAAGTCATTTGAACCTGTTAGCAGCTGATTATAACTGCTGAGTTCTGGTCATTGAAAAGATTTCCTATTCCTTCTCCTAAGCTAAAATTCCTACTCTCTTAAAATTGGTCTAAATAAAGGCCAATTGGGTTGAAATACCTTAAAATAATGCTTTTAATAATTTTAAATGAAAAAGAGACACCAGGATGCGATTCATCAATCATACTTAAATTCACTGTGAAAAATGTATCTACAACTGACTCATCATCCCCTCTCCCCCGCAATGACCCCACCAGATAAACCTACTCCCTCACCTGCATTTGTGAACCCAGGGTTATGTACAACTAATTCCTCTCCTTCACTCCCCATATCCAGTTCACAAGCAGAGATTTGATAAAAAGAGGTCATATATTCCCATGGCATCAAACTCAAAGGGGGGAAGGGTATATCATAAAACCTAAGCCCCTTCTCTCTATCCCTTCCCCCAACCACCTAATTGTCCTCTGCAGAGATAACTCACACATCCTTCCAGAGTTAGTCTATGCAAATTTGTTTTGTACAGTCATGATTAGCATAGCATGCAGATTATTTTGTATCTTATTCCTCCCATTCACTTCCAATGTTTCAAATTCATCCATGCCATTTACATAAAGCTTCCTGATGCTTCCTAACAGCTGATCATGCACCCTAGTATACATATAATATAATCATTCCCTCACCACAGCCCATTTAGATATTGCCAATCACTGTTACAAAAAATGTCCTACTTATTTTAACTTCTAAATGTTTCTCATATCCATTCTCTCATCTCCTCCTACTGTACTTCCAAATGGCTTTATTCTGTAGCTCCTCATCCCTCCCTGGACTATCACAACAGCCACATAATTGATCTCCCTTGATTCTTACCTTCCCCTCCATTCATCCTCCAAAATGCACTGCAATCTACTGAATTATATTCCAGTCCACACCTGTTCCAAGCTTAAAATAAAACAGCCACTACTACTTACTCGATGAAAGCCAGGCTCATTAGCACATTATACATGCCTCCTACAATGTTCCACCCATTGCCATCACATTAATTTAGTAATATCAAACTGTTTGCAGTTCTCATACAACATTAGGTTGCTTCATACCTCTCTGCCTCAACTCATGCTGTGCCTTCTTCCTGGAACACCCTCCCATCTTATTTCTCTAATTCTTTTTTTCTTCTTTTCTTTTTTTTTTTTTTTTTTTTTGAGACAAGGTCTCATTCTGTCATCTAAACTGGAGTGCAGTGGTGCAATCATGGCTCACTGCTGCCTCGACCTCCCAAGCTCAATCAATCCTCTCACCTCAGCCTCCTGAGTAGCTGGGACTACAAATGTGCACCACCGCACCTGCCTATTTTTTATATTTTTGCCTCCAAGGCAGCTCTGCCACCACCTCCCTCAGGAAGTGGTCTCTATCCCTCAGAATGGACAATGACCTTTCATTGCTGCCTGTGCCCACCTCAGTCCTCCCTTGCTTGTCACAGTGGAATTTTTCATCTCCTCCACTGTACGCTCCAAGAGGGAAGGAATCCTGCATTGCTCATCTTTATAACGGAAATACAGTAGGTCATAAATGTTCACTGAAATGAACTGGTATGGAAAGCAAAAAATAAGCTGAGTTTCAAAAAGGCAAAGATAATCAACATGTTCCTGTGCCTCAGTTTCCTCACCACAAAAATTAGGGATAAAAATAATATTGTCCTCATGGTTTCTGGCAAAGATTAAATGAGATAAAATGCATCAAATATTTGCAACAGTGTCTGGCAAATGGAATGCACTCAACAGATGTTATTATGTCCAGAAGGAGAGGAAGGATGGAGAAAAGACATTTGGTTGACTGACCACACTGTCAAGGTGGTCTTCTGATGGGTTTTCCTACAGTGCTGAAGGCAGGGGGCTGCAGGGGAGGGCGATGCTGCCGCAGGGGAGGGCGATGCTGCCGCAGGCGAGATTGGAAACGCCCAGTGAGTAAACTGCCGAAGAAGCCACTGTGGAGAGTCAGAGCCGGGACCAGGAGAACTCTAACAGGACTTCAGGGCCGGGCAAAGACCCCACTGACCATGCCGCGTTTCTGTGGCCCAGGCCAGGCAGAAGCAAGTCGGGAAGCAGGGAGAACTAAGGACAGCTCTGAAGTGATTTTTAGAATCAAGAGACTTAAAATAAGACTTTGATGGCTCTGGCTGCTAGGGATGGAAAGGATCATGATCAAATTCCTACCCACTCCACACTAACATTTTCAATAGCATTCTGCTGCCATGGATCCAATCGGGCTGCCTACTGGGTTAAGTGCGGAAGAGCCTTAATTGTTCTAGAATTTCCTCAGCACTGCAATTTCCTGGGCTTGATCAAATACCCATATGGAACTTCATTTTCTTCTTTTATAACTGAAGGATTATCACTCGATCCTTACATTTCCCCTAGGAAGAAAAGGCTCCAGATGGACCAACCCTCATTATATGATTTTCCAAGAGCTATGCATATTTTCTTTGTATACATAGCTTTGCCATTTATTATTCATTCTACTGACTATCTAATCTATTAATGTGCTGAGCTTTCTTTATAAATCATGAATTAGCTATGTGGCATTTTGGTGAACAGTAAAACTGTCAGGATTTGACATGTGGAAAAGCCTTGCACAGCAGAAATTTCCTCTTACTATTAGCCCCGAGAAAATAACACAAAACTGGTAAACAGCAAGTATGTTTTTTAACTCAGATTTTCAATTCTAAAGGAACAGGAGCTGTATGTTTTCATCATTCATTTATGCATTGATTGGACAAACATTTATTATGAACCTATTATATAACAAGCCTTGTATTAAGTGCTGAGGAGCAAAGACAAATGAGTATTATTCAGAATTTCACAGCTCCTTCAGCACTCATTTACACACCCAGGAGGAAACAAGCAAAATGACAAATTAGGTCATAAGGAATCAACATTGGTGTTCATGATTTCTAAAAACTTAGCCATTTCACAGTTCTGTTCCCTTAACATAGAAATTTCAAATCAGTGGCTCACAGTCTAAATTCAGATACAGTTTGTTTGGCCCAAACTGTGTTTTTAAAAACGTGGCTCAGTATTTTAAAAACTAAATCAAGAGACTTCACAAGATTAAATTAATTTTTAAAAATATTTCCACTTTCTCTTGGAAAACGCATAAAAATATCTAGCAACATTGGATTCTAATTCCCACAAAACAAAACTCCCCTAGAGCAGAGTTGCAGCTGTCCCTGCAGAGCCCACCACGGAAACTTACCATAAGAAACTACTCACCGTCCAGTTAGCTCTCTGCGTCCACACAAGCATCAAAGACAGAAAATAAAAGACAAAGAGGGCAGTATAACAAGAAAATTGGGAGAGAGAATATACGTCTGAAGGAGTGAAGAACTGTTCCATGCATTAAATGTGCAAACATGTTACACCCAGCACGCTTTACTCACTTACATAAAAACACAGGCTGCTGAAGGCACCTACATTTTCACCCTCTGCCCTAAGTGCAACACATCACATACCCGACAGCAGAGAGCACCATCAATTCTAGTCGTTTTCTAAGGCTGAAGTCTGTAACATCAGGTATCAAAATATTAGCTATTTCTCGCCTGCCTTCTTCCAATCAACCTAGAAAGATCCCAGCCTCTCCTTTCCACATGCTTTATTTTTCTTGTGACTATCCAATACTGTGATAAAATTACAAAATGTAAACCTTCAAATAAATGGATTTCTAACACTTAGAACTGACTTATTCTTAGCCTCACCAGCAATAGGGAAAAGCAAACTATGATTACAGTTAGAAACCCTTGTCACAAAAGCCTAGTGCTAAAATGTGGTAAAATAGGAGGGAGCCCTGCAAATAAGATGCAGTCACTTTCATAAGCAGTTTGGCAACATTCAGGATAGCCGAAGATGCATATATCCTGTGACCCAACAGTAGGTCTTAGGTACATGCCCTAGTGAGGCAGCTTCCAGTTTTTCACTATGACCCTCAGAAATATATTTTACATCACAGCCCAGTGCACCTGCATATATAAACATCTAATGGAAAAAAGTTTAACTAAACAAAACTTACCCTTATAATATGCAATAATGACAGTTTTCAAGACAGCCTGTAGGATACCTCTCATGTCCATGGAGTTACCTGTCAGAAGTGTTGTTTCATTACTCTTGCTAAGAGTGAAAAATTTTAAATAATTTCAGTGTCTATCAACAGCAGACAGGAAAAACTAAATTTTACATCCAACTTCCTATTCATATCATAGAGCAGGCTAATAAATTTACAGCAGTTAATAAATAAAATCTATTTTAATCTCAAAAAATAATGCTAGGGATTTTTTTCTAAAAAAGCAAGCTACATACAGAGTGTATGTCCACTGTAAACATACAAAATAGAACTATATATATTTTTTGATATATACATATATAATAAGAGGATAAAATCATGCAAGGAAATGTTCATATCTACTCAGACTAGCAGTTTTATTGGGGGAAGGGGCACAGGGAAAGAATTTAGATAGGGGCTTAACTATCTCTGCCTGAACATTTCTCTTAAAAAGTCTGCAGCAAATGCAAAAAAATCAGCATCTCTTAGAAGTGGATGTACATAAAGGTGAATTATTTTCTGTGTTTTTGTGTTTAAATAATTCACAAAACAAAAATTGTTAAGTAATTTTTAAAGAATTACCTTTTCAAGGTACACTTTCTCCCATAAGACAGGAACTGAGCTTTGAAGAACGGGAAAGCCATTCTCAAACACCCTGCAGCTCTCAGAACTCGGGGCTGCGACATTAGTATTTAGGTTTTACTGTACCTTGGGCCAAAGGGTAAAACTAACCTAAGTGGCTGTGCTTTCAGTATTATTTACAATTTGACCCTTTGAGAAACTAAGATTGTTTTGGGTTTCTGAACATTAAAAGGTCCTAGGTCCAAATGCATACTGTTTATTCTGAAGCTTCGGTGATTGAGAATGCTGCCTGGTGCTGAGCAGGCATGATTTTAGCTGACTCCTCACAGGGCCACCTGCGAACACAGTGCAGAAGGACATTGTGGGGACCAATTATTTCTTAGGTTAATAATGCTGACTGTTTTCTGCAGTCAAGTGTCCCGGAAGAACCGGAGAGTCACTTATCAGAGAAGCCATTTGTTATTGTACCTGTGACTGCTGTGATGCCAAGGGCTGCATCTTCCCCCACCCAGGGTGTGGACCCTGCCACCCTCCTCACCTTCCAAATACAGCTTTATTTGTGCAGATCTAAGATGCTGAGAAGTATTCAAAATGGCTTTGATCTACGCAAAATATTTCTTTCTCCTCAATAGTTGTTCTGCGTGCAGAGTTTTAACACCCCCAGACTCAATGCCATCTATATCTTGTGAAATTTGAAAGTTCTCATTAATACTAAAGCCATAAATCATATGTTTGTTTTCACCCTTGGCTATTAGCACTTTAAATCAGTGTTACCATGAATTGTCCAGCATGGCTGTTTGCATGCAGCACATGAATTGCATCGGTTACTTTATTTACAAGGCAAGCTTTGGCATGGCAGAAAACATGAAAAATGGGACAAGAACATCTCAATTTGTGTCCTGTTTTGGCCACATGGAAGCTTTCTGACCTTGGGTAAGTGCTGTCACCATTTTGAAACTCAGTTTCTTTGTCTACACTTTCTCACATGTTTATATGAGAAGTAAACGAGCTCAAGTGTGTGGGAAGCCCTGCGTAAAATAGAAAGCATTATGAAAACGTAAGGTGGTGCTGTTATTAGTGGTAATAGCAATGAATGTAATGTCTGCACCCCATTATATAATGCAAATAAAATCCATAAATGGGACTGCTATTTCCATATTTGTTCACTGTGGCCCATTCCATTTTTATATAGCTCTTACTGTTGAAGTCCTAATGGGTATAGTATTTCTCTCACCTATTAACTTGAATTCTTCATTACAATTTCTTTTTCAGCTTGAGAGAACAGGTACTCAGATTATTTCTCAAAATGAGAGCCTGAGGATTCCTTCGGACATATCCTAGGTACTTGGCTCACCAGACCATGGAGTTCCATATCAAAATCATACCATTTGTTTTCCTTGTGAAACAGCTCATTTTGCTGTGTTTCAGTGGCCCCCAACCATATAGCTGGCTTTAAGTCACCAATATCAAGGGAACAACACTACCAGTAATGAGTCAGGATATTATGATTATTTTTTAAAATACTCTAAATCCAGATATTTTTAAAATGTTTTCAAGTGACTGAAATGAAGAAGCTTTCCCATAGTATTTGAAAAATCCCAAATCCAACACCAATCTCTACTTTCTGGCACGATTTTTCAATGTGTGTTCCAGGGATGAAGAGCATATAATACTGATTTGTGAGCAACATTTAGAATAAAACACAGGCGATTTAATAACTATCGAGTACTGCTTTTACACCTGTTTGCATTAGCTGCTCTTGCAAATCACAAATCCACAGGATAAAATACCACGTGGATGCCTCTGTCACACTGGATCCTGCCCTCAGCATGAGCACGGTGGACCCTATAACCCTGAGTGCGGCGTCTCCTCTGGTCACTGACAATGTGCATGCTCTGGAGAAACACATTTATACAGCTCTTGCTCCATGGCCCTGATATGACAGGAACACTGTATAGGTTTGCAGGCTGTGCTGCTGCCACGATGGAGGGGGATGGAGGGGAATATGGCATCTGAGGGCCGGGAAAACTAAGTTTTCAAATCTTTCTTCTCAGAGAGCACAAATGTAAGCATTTCTTGCATAAAAGATATTGTTTCACAGTAAGGTCAAGCCTTCATCTTCTTACTTTTCTTCCTGTTCTAATTTATGGTTCCAGAGCAGAAGGATGCAAACTTTTTCTACGAACAGCCATAGAGCAAATACTTCAGGCTTTGCAGGCCACACAGTCCCTGTTGTAACTAAACTGCTGTTGCAGTGTGAAGACAGAGACAACGCATGAATGAACGATGGTGGTTGTGTTCCAGTGAGATTTTATTCACAAATACAGGTGGCAGGACAGATGTGGTCTATGGGCCATAGGTTGCCAACCCCTATTCTAGAGATGCTCACATTATTCACAAGTTCCAATGGTGTCTGAGGAATGTTTTACAATATAAAAAATTTATATTATTCTACATTTGTACATATAAAGATCTAGACAAAGCATGCATGAAGCATAATACTAAACATTGACAAATAGACAATGGTATTACTGGAATTATTTTAAAAATCATTTTCATAAAAATAAAACTAAATTTTCTAACTATTAAACTTCTAGTGTTCTTTATCACTGTAGGATGGCTATAGTTAACAATAACATATTACATGGTTTTGGCCAGGTGTGGTGGTTCACACCTGTAATCCCCGCACTTTGGGAGGCCAAGGCAGGCGAATCACCTGAGGACAGGCATTCAAGACCAGCCTGGCAACATGGTGAAACCCTGTCTCTACTAAAATTACAAAAATTAGCCAGGCATGCTGGCAGGCGCCTATAATCCCAGCTACTCAGGAGGCTGAGGCAGGAGAATCGCTTGAACCCAGGAGGCAGAGGTTGCAGTGAGCTAAGACTGTGCCATTGCACTCCAGCCTGGGCAAAAAGAGCAAAACTTCAGCCGGGCGCAGTGGCTCACGCCTGTAATCCCAGCACTTTGGGAGACCGAGGTGGGTAGGTCATGAGGTCAAGAGATCAAGACCATCCTGGCCAACATGGTAGAACCCCATTTCTACTAAAAATACAAAAATTAGCTGGGCGTGGTGCTGCACGTACCTGTAATCCCAGCTATTTGGGAGGCTGAGGCAGGAGAATGGCTTGAACCCGGGAGGCGGATGTGGCAGTGAGTCAAGATCGCGCCACTGCACTCCAGCCTGGGTGACAGAGTGAGACTCTGTCTCAAAAAATAAATAAATAAATAAAATAAATAGTGCAAAACTTCATCTCAAAAATAATAATCATCATAATAATATATTTCATGGTTTCAAATAACTAGAAGGAAGATACTGAACGTTTCCAACACAAAAATGATAAATGTTTGAGATGATGGATTTGCCAATTACCCTAATGATCTGATCAGTATACACTGTATATGTTGAGACACTACTGTATATCCCATGAATATATATAATTATTCTTTGGCAATTAAAAAAATAGTTTGCAACCAGCTTGGGCAACACAGTTCAACCATGTCTCTACAAAAAATACAAAAATTAGCCAGGCACGGTAGCTTGCACCTGTGGTCCCAGCTATTTGGGAGGCTAAGGTGGAAGGATTACCTGAGCCCAGAAGTTCAAGGATGCAGTGTGACATGATCATGCCACTGCACTCTAACCTGGCCAACAGAGCAAGATCCCATCTCTAAATAAAAAATTAACAAAATTATACAAAAAATTGCAGCTTTATAAAAACAACTTTATTTAAAATTTTGATATCATCAGTTGTAGTCTATATTTTGCCTTTTAGTTTTACTGTATAATTTTTGAATAATTTTGAAGAGAAAGTTTTTAATATTTTAAACTTCACATTTACTTTTATTTACATTTTTAGTATACTTTGAATAAAATTTCACTACTTTTTAATCCTTTACATGATAATGAGTACAAGTGAAGAATGTTTTAGAAACAAATTATGAAAGTAGAATTCAGAAAAGACAAAGTTTAAAAAGTTAAAAATCTTCAAAGAAGCAATCTGCTTAAAATTTTTACTATTAAAACTAAAAGTGAGCAGGCTCTGTAAGGCACGAGTCATATAAAACTCATAAATAGGACATGAAAATTTTTTTATTTAATGAAGATTGAATTACTGAGCAAAACACTAAAATTGAACAAGAAAAGTATCTCATCCAGTCCAAGTTCTAACCTGTTAAGTTGAAATCCCAGGAACTTTAGATTCCTTATTAAATCAAGATTTAATTACAAAACTGGCCCATTTTCTGCATTTAATAATAGTGCAAAATAATAAATTCAATCATTTGACATTTTTCTGATATTCACTGATATAAAAATCATAACTACACTTTTTAAAAATTTTGCCATTGCAATGACGTATTTGCCAAGGTAGGGAAACAGAATACATTTTATTTAACACTTTGTTAACTCAATGTATACCTTTAAATACCTAAGCATATGATATGTGGGCCTTTATTTTGTACTTTGGCCAGCCTCACAGTATGAAATATATTTTGGTTCATCCAAATAATTTAAAAAATGCAAACGTTAAAAATAAATTTTTAAAACTAACTTTTATGAAAAAAATGAGACACAATGATACCTCAAAAAATCAGAATCACTACTGCAGATACTTTCTATACAGTCATGCAGCAAAAGGCAAATTGGAGAGACTGGAAGGTATTGCAGTCTAATGTTAGCAGGTATATCTCTGAATGGTGACATCATGAATAATTTTTATCTATTGCATGTTTCAATTGTGTAAACAATATTTAAAGAACTATAAAAATAAACGCTATTGAAATAATAACAGGGTGTAGTTCTGTCCACATCTCCAACATTTTCACGTTCATACATGTTTTTATGTGATATTTATAACACACAGGAACTACAGCCATATACTCCATATGAAACAAATGGCTCTCTCTATATACACAGACTCATGGCTCCTGGAACATATGCTGGGCTACTTCTTCCAGGGATGATGAATTTTTGCACAGATCATGTCATCTGGGTAACAAGGGCATGTGTGTGTGAGGTGGCTGACTTGAGAAGGGGGAAATGAGAAGGGCCACGGAGCTCTAAATCAAGATCCTGCCTCCACTGACACCAGTGTCTAATGCTATGACCCAAGCAGACAGTACTTTTGGTGAATAACATTCAGAATGGCCTCCAACAACTTGATAGAAGCTTTTCCATGACAATGATGATGACAATAACAGCACAGATGCTTTAGTTCCTACAGCACGTTCTCTGTTGGGTAAATCAAGAGTCTCTTAACAGACCAGAGCTTTTTTATTTCTTCTTACTGGCAAGACTACAGGGATATAGGTGGGGTAGAAGACACACTGTAAGTCCAATATGCAGTAAATTATAATTACACTTTGTTAATTTTAACCTTCCTGGAAAGTTCCTGATGAGTAGATCATTTCAGAAATGCCTCTCCCCCCGGCAATATAAATAGTAAAATGGTGCACAAGGAATATTAATATAGTAGTCAGGCCCAGGGTGTGCTACATGTTCAAAGCAAAAGAAGTTAAATTTATTTTGTATAATACTCATCTTCAATGATGCTACTGACCATTCCATATGACTCCTCCCCCTGCTGGAATTAAGGTGGCAAGAACTTATTTGAACTTACTCACACATTGCAAGTATAGTGCCTGGTAAGTCTTGTAGGCAGTTTCATGAGGTAGTTAATGATGTCCAGTGTATGAAATTGCTATCGCAGTACTATTACTGCCAGATCGTGGTAACAGTGGTCAGGATATACTCACATTTACCACACTTAATCAAGGGAAAATTTGCTACTATTCTCAATAAATTCAGCTTGTACAAATTTCCTCTGAGGAAGATTATCCCTCAAATCAAGAAACACTGTACAATTGTAAACTTCCTTAATATTTCAAAATGGGTATTATTTTCATGGAGTATAAGCCCAGGTTTGCAACGCTAAACCTTCCCAGTTTGAGAAATGTTCAAAAAATAATAATCAGTTCTTTGTTTTTTTTTTTTTTTTTTTTTTTTGAGACAGGGTCTTACTTTGTCTCCCAGGCTCAAGTACAGTAACACCATCACAGCTCACTGCAGCATGGACCTCCTAGGTTCAAGCCATCCTCCTGCCTCAGCCTCCTAAGTAGCTGGGACTGCAGACATGTACCACTATGCCCAGCTAATTGCTTTTTAATTTTTTGTAGAAAAGGTTCTCACTATGTTGCCCATACTGGTCTTGTACTCCTGGGCTCAAGCCATCCTCCCACCTCAGCCCCCACAACGTGCTTGGATTAGAGGTGTGACCCATTGCACCCAGCCGATAGCCAATTCTTGAATTAGGCATAAACATGAATAGAAAATTATCTAATAAGAACTTGTGCAAAATCTAAGTATTTCCAAAGCAAAGAATGTGCAAATAAACTGAATATCTTTAAACAAGTCTCTAAAATAAAAGGCTATGATAATTAGAATCTATTCTTGCAAGCTGCTATAGAATTTCCTAGGAATTAATCATTTTTTTTGCAATGTTGGTGCTAATGCAAAAGAGGGGGAGGTCATATCTTTAATTTGCTAAGTATTATTTGGAGGGTATCATAAAATAACCCCGTGATTAAAGGCTCTAGCTTTTCATTATTACTTTATTTCACTATTATTATTTGGTTAACAATGGTAGGGAAAATATAAACATTTCATTTTTACCAGATATTCCAGAAATCTCTTTGTAAAGATGCCACTTTGAGCACTGTTTAGTTAGCCAGTGTGATGGTTAATTTTTATACATCAGCTTGGCTAGGCCATGGTGCCCAGTTGTTTAGGCAAATCCATCTAGATGTTGCTGTAAAGGTATTTTTTTAGATGTGATTAACATTCAAATCAGTAGAGTTTGAGAAAAGCTGATTATGCTCCATAATGTGGGTGAGCCACATCCAATCAGTTGACTGCCTTCAGAGAAAAAGATTGAGGTCCTCAGAGGAAGAAGGAACTCTGCTTCCAGACTGACTTGGGACTTGAGCTGCAATATCAGCCCTTCCTGGGTCGCTGACCTGCTCACCTACCCTGCAGGTTTTGAACTTGCTAGTTCCTACAGTTGATGAGCCAATTCCTTAAAATAAACCTCTCTTATCATATATATACACACACACACATATATGTATATATGTGTATGTTATGCATATATACATATATAGCGTATACATTCTATTTGCTCCATGATTCTTTCTCTGAAGAGCTCTAATACAACCAATCGCTCAGGCACACATTTCTGAATTCTTAACATTCAATACAAAGAGGCTTCCAGGCAGTTCTCTCTCATAACCAGTGTTACAACCTATTAAAGGAATCACTGCACACCTAAAACCGTGTAGACAGGAATGAGAAATGCCAGAAAGCCCCCTTTAGAATCCAAACACTGAGATTCAAGATCTAGGCCCACTGATTACAAACGATGGAACTTAAACAAGTGACTTAGAGGCCACTTGTTTCCACGCAGTTTCCCCTTGTGTTGAATGGGGCACCTGCTACCACTTCTGCCTACCTCAGGAGGCTCTAAATACGATGAGGCTATTGAAAGAACTTTGTAAATTATAAAGAAATGTGCCACTGGCAGGAAGAGCTAGAAGAGAGATCATAAATCACAACCATCCGTGTGAACTTCATTATGACAACACGGGTTAAAACAAGAGACTCTCTCCACTATGTTACCAAAATGGAAAGTGACACACATATGCCATGGGGTGATTGCAATTACTGCGCTGCTCATCAGCTAAAGGGAGCAATCGCACACAAACCGCATGTTTCTAAAATGGGAGCCCCATCAAAACAGGGAGCATATGGGACTATCAGATATACATGCACAGCAGGAGACCCTGCCAAGATGAGCAGAGTTGAGCTCGGGAACGCAGAGATGCTGTTCAGAAATGTGCAATCGAGAAAGGCCAGCCATCACCACAAGGTATGGATGGGACTTTGGGCATTAGGGTTCTTCTAACCCAAGACCCAGGCATTAAAAACACAAAAAAGCTTCTTGTACATGACTAAAGCTCAGACAGACTGAAACACTGACCCAGTTCATTGAAACAATGACCCAGTTCACTTGAGGTCCCCAAAGCAATGCCCAAAAAGCAGCAACAGATCTGTTTATCCCCAATGTCACTTGCAACTCTGCAGACACACCTGCAATCACCATCCTTCATAATTCAGCGTACCTCTCAAGTGCCAGGCAGTGTTTAGGTGCAGTGGCTGTGCCAGTGAACAAGACAAGACTGGCCGGTTTGACAAATAGAGATGCGTTGCTGCTGGTGGTGTTAATGGGTCGGAATTTTATTCTAAGCTGTGCAAGGAATGACACAATCCAATTTACATTTTCAAATTTCTCTTAATCACAGAATAAAGACCAGATGAGAGGAACAGGTAGAAGGAACAGTGGCTTGGACTAGAGTAGGAGCAGTGAGGAAAGACAGCAAGGACATTCTGAAAAAAGAGGTCATAGGACTTGCCAGGATTGTTGACTTAGCAGCAGAGTCAGCAGTATTGCCATTTACTAGACTGCAGATGACCAGGTAGGAACAGGTTGGGGAGGAAAGAATTAGGAAAACTACTTTGGCAATGTTAATTCTGAGACCCCTATTAGACACCCAAGTACAGGTATCAATTAAACAATTAGCCTAATAAGTTTGGAGCTCAGTGGAATGGTTAGGGCTAGAGGTTAGAATTTTGGAAATATCATTTTCATAGCAAGGGCCTGGGGAAGACTTATGGGGAAAGTAGAAACGAAGGATGAAGAGTTCACAGCTGAGCTGCAGGACAATCTAACATTCAAAGGTCAGGCTGGGGGGAGACTGGGAAGCAGTGAAGCCAGAGGAGTGGCAAGAGATGGGAAAGAGCATTTCAAGAAGGAGGGTGAATGCCATTGTGCCAAGGTCGTGAAAGGATAAGATGACAACTGAAGTGACCACTGCAGCTGCCAAATGAAAGTTCTGGTAAAGTTGACAAGAGCAGTCTCCATGGAGTGACGGGATGGAAGCCTGACTGGAGTGGAATGAGGAGAAGGTAAGAAAGCGTCCACAGACAACTCTTTCAAAAAGTGCTTCTGCATAGGGGACTGTGTGAAATGGATGAAAGAAGTGGTAGAGCCAAGAAAGGGGTTTTGGTTTTGTTTTTAAAGAAAGGATATATTCACACACACACACTCTCATACACATACACAGAGATACACTATATATAGGCATGCATGTGCATATACACACACGTTTATGCTGTGTTTAAACAGACCATTTTTTGTCTTCACGGAAAGAAAGTGGGTATCTGGTGTGAAAGGGACATTTACTTTTGATTATAAAATTTTTGCATTATTTACACATATGCAGATACTCTATTTCTTTTTTTGTTTTGTTTTGTTTTTGTTTTTTGAGATGGAGTCTCGCTCTGACGCTCAGGCTGGAGTGCAGTGGCACGATCTCAGCTCACTGCAACTTCCGCCTCCAGGGTTCACGCCATTCTCCTGCCTCAGCCTCCCGAGTAGTTGGGACTACAGGCGCCCACCACCACGCCCGGCTAATTTTTTATATTTTTAGTAGAGATGGGGTTTCACCGTGTTAGCTAGGATGGTCTCGATCTCCTGACCTCGTGATCCGTCTGTCTCGGCCTCCCAAAGTGCTGGAATTACAGGCATGAGCCACTGCGCCCAGCTGCAGATACTCTATTTCAATTAAAAGAATGAGTTTTGAAATATAAACTTCTACAAAAAAGAAAGGAAGGCTCAATTACAGTATGTTTATGAGTTGTTTGGAAATGATAGAGTAGAAAGGGGGGATACTGATGGTGCAGGATAGAGGACCCATCAGAATTCTCAGGGCATTTCTCCTGCAAGCTTGGCCCACCAGTCCCAAAAGTGACACTGATCAGGGCTGGTCTGACTGCACCACACAGACTCAGTGTCCACAAGGCTCTGGAAGTTCTCACACTGCTCTAAATCCAGCACCTCTGAGACACCCAGAACAAGTCCTGGGTAGAGAGGACTCTGTAACCTTCCCAAATCTTGGTTTACTAAGCCCACAAAATAATAATGAATCTAAGACTGAGGCAAAGGAGACCTAAAAAAGGTTACAAAAGAATCTTGAGAGTTTCAGGAGCTAGGATGGCCAATGGCATACACCAGCTGCAAACAGGAAACTGGCTTTTCTGTTTTCTTTTAAAGAAACTTCATTTCCACTAATTCCTCAGAGTGACCTGCCATCTACAAAGCTATGTTAAAGATATACCTAGAGGATATATAAAACAAAAAACCTTGCAAAAGGTTGAAGGCTGCAATTCAGGAGAGAATACAGCCAATATACCAGTAAACTTATATTTGTCTAGGTAATTTTATTATTAAAAAAAGTAAGAACTTTCTAAAACCAATATTCCAGAAATTTATAATATGGGAAATATCAAGGAGTTGGGGCCAGGAACAGTGTGGGAGAGGGGAGAGAAGAGAGATGAAAACACATCTAGACTCTTGACTTGACTGGTGGAAGAGTACATTTGATATTTTTATAAGAATCATATATATACACATACACGCTTTTCCCATCATGTAAGCTAGTACAATTTTTCAGGACAACAATTTGTTAAAAATATCTGAAAAATGTATATTTTTCAGATATTTTTAAATATCTTCATTTTATATGTATATAGAGAATATTTTAAAATCTCTTTATATGTATAAATATGTATATAAAATATATATGTATAGAAAGAGATTTTTAAATATTTATTCTCTGCAATCCAAGAATTCTACTCCCAAAATCCTATCCTAAGAAATAATCAGAGGTACAGCCAAAGACTGATAACCAATGATGGACATGGGAGTGTTATTTAAAATAACAAGAATTTGCAAACCACCAAAATAACCAAACATAAATCATTTTACCCTCAGAGTATGGAATGTTATGCAACCATGAAAAATCATGTCCTAGAAGACTATTTAACAAAGTGGAAAAACTCACATGATCCAAAGTTGAATGAAAAGGTACACTGCAAAACTACGTATCTTAGATGATCCCAGTTTTGTAAAGTGTACAATAAAAAGACTGGATATAAAACACATGAAAAACTTGACAAAATTTCCAGGTGGTAGGATTATGAGTGATTTGCATTTTAGCTATGTTAATCCCAATTTATCAATAATTAAATTTTATTTTCATAATCAGAGGTTTTATCATTTAAAATTTTAAGCTGTAGCCAAATGGTGGGAAGGAAGAGTTGATGGAAGTAATTATAACGGAGTACAATAGAATGTGTCTAGGTTTCACTTTGCTCTGCTCTCCACACTTTCTGATGAGAAATCCAATGTCATTCTAATTGTTTTTCCTCTATAGATAAGGTGTCATTTCTATGATGCTACTTTCAACATTTTTTGTCTTTTGTTTTCACAAGTTTGATTAGAATATGTTCTGGTGTGGATTTCTTTGGATTTATCCTGTTCCAGATTCTCTCGGTTTCTTGAATCTTAAAGTTCTTGAAAGTTTCTATCTTGAACAAATTTAGGAAGTTTTCAGCCACTATTTGAGTAATTTTTAAGTCCATCCTCTTTCTCCTCATTTTCCAGGATTCTGATGACATGAATGTCAACAAAAATCTTTTGTTAGAGTCCCACAGGTTCCTGATGTTCTGTTAATTTATTTTCTCTGTTGTTTAGATAATTTCTATTATCCTATGTTCCAACTCACTGATTTTTTCTCCTCTGTCTCCTCCATTCCTCTGTTGAGCCCATCCATTGAGTTATTTATTATATTTTTCAGTTCTACAATGTCCATTTGGTTTTTCTTTATATCATCCATTTCTTTGTGGAGACTTTCGTTTTTTTCAAGTGTGCCTGTAATTTCCTTTTGAAACATTGTGTATATTTATTGAGATATAATTCACACACCATAGAATTCATCCTTTTGAAGTATATGATTCAGCGGTTTTCAGTATATTCACAAAGTTGTGCAACAACTACCACTACCTAATGCCAGAACATTTGTATCACAATATAAAACCCCATACCCATCACCAGTCACTCCTCATCTCCCTTTCTCCCCAGTCCCTGGAAACCACTAATCTATTTTCTGTCTTTATAGATTTGCCTATTCTAGACATTTCATGTTTGAGTGGAATCATACAACATGTGACCTTCTGTGTCTGGCTTCTTTTACTCAGCATAATGTTTTCAAAATCCATCCATGTTATAGTATGAATGAATACCTCATTTTTTATGGCTGAATAACATTCAATTGTATGAGGATATATTGTGTATGCACTTGTATTGTTTCTACTTTTGAATGTTATGAACAATACTATGAACATCTGTGTACAAATTTTTGTGTGCATGTATGTTTTCACACTCTTGGATATATACCTAGGACTAAAATTACTGAGTCATATGATAACTCTATATCTAACTTTTTGAAGAACCACCAAATTGCTTTCCAAATTCTTTGTACCATTTTATAATCCCACAAGCAATTTATGGGGGTTCTAACTTTTCCATATCCTTGCCAACATTCTTATCACCTGTCTTTTTTATTATAGCCATCCTAGTGGGTGTGATGTGGTATTTAATTGTGGTTTTGATTTGCATTTTCCTAATGGCATTGAGCATTTTTTTGTGTGTTATTGAAGCAATTTTATAATGGCTGTTTTAAAATCTTTGTCAGATAGTTCTAACACTTGTCACCTCAATATCGGTATCTATTGATTGTCTTTTCTCATTAGCTTTGAGATTTTCCTGGTTTTTGGTATGACAAATTCTTCTTTATTGAAAACTGGACATTTTGCATATTATGTTATTTGTTATGAGATGCTGACTCCTTTAAACTGATAATGCTCTGGCAGAAGAAATGGGGAAGGGGGCTGCACCATCACATTACTGACAGGTGGTGTGATACGGTTTGGACGTTTTGTCCCCTCCAAATCCCATGTTGAAATGTACCCTCCAATGTTGGAGGTAGGCCTAGTGGCAGGTGTTTGAGTCATGGGGACAGATCCCTCATGAATGGCTTGGTCCTGACCTAGCAATAATGAGTGGGTTCTCACTCTATGAGTTCACTTGGAATCTGGTTGTTTAAAATTGCCTGGCACCTCCTCTTTCTCCCTCCTGCTCCCTCTCTCACCATGTGACTCACCAGCTCCCCTTCATCTTCTGCCATGAGTGGAAGCTTCCTGAGGCCCTCACCAAAAGCAGATGCTGACACTAATACTTTGTGTACAGCCTGCAGACCATGAGCCATACAAACCTCTTTCTTTATAAATTACCCAGTTTATAGCCATGCAAACAGACTAACACAGGGCTAGAAGTCCAGGCTCCCCATATGGCTTCCACTGAACCATGGAAGGGGTATGCGACCTCATTGCTAGTGGGGTGATGAAGTCCTGCCTCTCCACTGGGCCTTCTCTGACACCACTGCAGTGGGTCATTACAATCTCAGAAGATGGGGAGCCTAGGCTCTCCATGTGACATTCACCGGCACAGGTGGAAGTGGCGGCACACTTTTTCCGTGGTGTTCAGCTGGAGTCGAGAGGTGATCAGAGAAGTTTCCTGTCTTACTGAACTGCTCCTTTCCTGGTCTTCTGGCTAGAGAAAGCCGGCTGTTGTTGGGGCTTTTTCCTCTGTATCCATGGGCTCTTCTGGGTTACCAGCTGCTTCTGCTCCCACTCTGAGACAGATGAGGCAAGAAGCAAGCCCAGGGACCCCCACCACTGTGTTCCTCCTCAAGTCCTGAGGTCTCTAGCTGGTCTGCCTAGGAGTATTCACTTATATTCTCAGAAGCCTACCCTCTTCCCAGAAGCATAAGTCCAGCTTGTTTTTTTAAATACTAATTTTTTAAAAATTTGTTAAATATTAAATATACACATAGCTTTAAAGTGAATTATGCATTGCCTTATCCTTCTGAAACACAGGCCACTGAAATGAATTTAACCTTGCTGACAAGCTCAACGATGCAAACATCCACAGCTACAGCTTTCTTTATTCCAAAAGATTCACTTGGAGTTTGCTATGTGATGCGCACTCTTCCATTTGCTGTCATGTTAAATGGGACCTGTTGACCCAATTTTGGAAGTTCCTGTAATTGCCTGTTCCATTTTCTACTTCTAGCTCTTGTCAATGTGGCTGCCTCCAGAGAATTTCCACACCTTTTAATCTGCTACTTTTACCAGCGTGCAGCCTGAGACACCAGACAGTCAAATCTTTTGGAGATATTTTTAAACAATAGTAAACAGACTAAGAATAACAGACTCTTCACTTCATATACAAATTTCCCAACATCAATTTAGGCTGCTCCAACATCCTTTAGGCTTACTTATATTTTCCTCACCATCTTCAGTTAGCTGAAGTTGGATATAAATGATCTTAAATAGCATGCAGTGCCACCGTACTTATAGATTCATTTTACGTTAATAAAGATAAATCAAGCAAGCAGTAGGCTTGCGGGAAAACAGGCAGCCCACGCCAAGTACAGACAGCTGGGAAAACGCCCTCCGCCTGGTGGCTCTACAAACCCACTATCCGGGGCAGCCGGAGATCACAGATAGGCTGGGAGCTGAGGATTCCAAACTACTATGCTAATTAAGCAGGAGGCACAAGTTAAATTCAGATGCCTAATAAGCACTTGGACATTTTTTCTTACTTTATTACTGTTAGAGCACAGCCAACGCTGACAATTCCAGCACAACGGGTTGCAGCACCTGTTCATTTCAGAAAAAAATGGCTGTGCTCGGAGACCATGCCCCAGGCATGTGGTTTTTCAAGGTGTCTAGGCTAGTAATTCATTAAAGGTCCACCTTACAGTTTTGTCACATGTCTCCTATCCCATGCCTATCACAAAACATAGAATGCTACATTCCTGAATTCCATAGCAAATAGAACCAATTCCTGGCATCATATTGCAGGGTTCATGCACATCTGTGCTTCTGAGAGAAAAGACGTGGTTCCCAAGAAAGAGTGTGAGTTTAGAATCAGAGAGTTCTAAATTCACCTCTGTGGCCTTGGCAAGTTACCTGAATACAGCCATCTCCCAGTATCCACAGGGCATTGGTCCCAGGACCCCCCCCTCCAGATACAAAAATCTGTGGGTGCTCAAGTGTCTGACATAAAATGCCATAGTATTTGCATCTAACCTGAGCACATCTTCCTGTATACTTTAAATCCTCTCTAGATTACTAGTAATACCCAACACAATGTAAATGCTAGATAAATAGTTGTTATTCTGTATTATTTAAGAAAGAGTGACAAGAAAAAAAGTCTGTGCATGTTCAATATAGATGCAATCCTCCTTTTTTCTGAATATTTTCAATCCACAGTTGGATGAATCCATTAATGTGGAACCAAGGGATACAGAAGACCAAAATGTAATAGAATAAGGAAAGTATCCCCCGCTTTACTGACTTATGATAAACTTTGGAGAGAAGAACCATGGTGCAAAGGAAACATGGGTATTGAATGAATGGCAAATGTCATCACTGGTATTAATTTTTTTATGTGTAAGGAAAAGATCACCTCTTCATAAAGGGAAAGGATACCAGACACTAACACCAACTGATTAGCACCCATGCTAATGGGCCAAAGTACCAAGTTGTTTCTATTCCAGTGAGAATCCAACCATTATCTCCACGTCCAGAGCTCTTTGTACACTGTGATACATCTTTTAGCACATGTGGAAAGGCAGGTGCAAGCTCCAGACTATGAAAGCATTGCTCTTTCTCTAGGGCAGCCTTCTTCCTTCTGTCCCTGCCACACTTCCTTCCCGCCAGCTCACCTATCTCTAGGGCAGCCTTCTTCCCTCTGTCCCCCAACACTTCCTTCCCACCAGATCGCCCATCTCGAGGGCAGCCTTCTTCCCTCTGTCGCCATCACACTTTCTTTCCACCAGCTCACCCATCTCTAGGGCAGCCTTCTTCCCTCTGTCCCCGCCACACTTCCTTTCCGCCAGCTCACCCATCTCTAGGGCAGCCTTCTTCCCTCTGTCCCCGCCACACTTCCTTCCCACCAGCTTATCCATACAACCTCCCCAGGACTGCCTCCCACTGCTCCCTCACTCCCTCTATCTCCCTTTAATCCTCCAAGTTACAGTGTTTGTTTCATTGGTGTTTTTGTTTCTTCCAGCTATACACACTCCCCTGAAGTTTGGGTCTTTATTATGTATGGTCTTTACCCAGTAGCCCCCTCTGCTTTCAGTGCAACCCTCCTGACCTCTCATATCTCCAATTCTACAGGATTCTATCCTTTTTGAAAAAAGAGGCTTTGGTGGGGAAGCCAACCAAGTTTTACTGGGATGTTTCATACAAAGGTGGGAAGCCAACCTCCAGTGGGGGTGGAGCAGGTAGACCAGAAGGAGCACTGGGTTGCTGCCGCCCTATTGAACTGATGTGGCACCATCTACAACCTGTGGCAGGCGAGAACCTTAAGGGAGACTCCTACCCGGTGCTGGGGATAGGAGTGAGGGTGAGGGTGGGGACTGAAAAAAGCTAGTGACAACCATGGCGGAAATGATCTTGTGACTGAATCAAGAAAATTCATCCATGTCTATGAGATTAGAGACTATTATTCTAAGTGAAGTAACTCAGGAATGGAAAACCAAACATTGTATGTTCTCACTGGTATGTGGGAGCTAAGCTATGAGGACGCAAAGGCATAAGAATGACAGAATGGACTTTGGGGACTTGGGGGAAAGGATGGGGGGGGGCAAGAGACAGAAGACTACAAATATGGTGCTGTGGATACTGCTGGGGTAACGGGTGCACCAAAATCTCACAAATCACCACTAAAGAACTCACTCACATAACCAAATACCACCTGTGTCCCAATAACTTCTGGAAATTTTTAAAAAAAGAAAATTCATCCATGTCTGGAGCAAAGCAAGGTGTCTAAAGTTCCCATGATGGTCCAAGCAGAAAGGGGCATGCCATGAAGGCCTGCAGTGGCCCCTCTTAGATCAGGACTGGCTCAGGCAGGCACTTCTCCCTGGTGCCAGGTCAAGTGGGTGCTGGAATTCTATCTGGCATGTGAGAGTGATAAAGTGTCAACCTCAACCTCCCCATAGATGACAGCAGAAAGGAATGAGGGAGACAATGGCATCTGAAGGGAGGGGGAGTAAGAAAGGATTGGCTTACAAATGAAGCTTTCATTTCAGCAGTGAAAACCATCTCAGACACGGCCATCCATTTTCCCAGACACAGACACCTAGAAAACCATCACATATATGGGTCACACTGAGCCCCTCACTTACATCAGAGACCTTTTATGGCGGCATCATTAAGCTATTTATAGTGAGCAATTAAAGAGGACCTAAGTGGGCCACCACATTCCCATCTGGCTGGCTCTGGCTAATGTGGCAATATGCTGACAACAAGATAAAGGCTTTCCTTAAATGCTGTACCACACAAAAGCTGCCTCTAGATACTTATAAATCTGCTTTTAGTTTGTATTTATATTTTATTCTTTAAAGTCAGTTCAATTATGCATGGGGTGCATTAACCATAATGCAAGCTGCATTACGCAAAACTTCACAGAAATCGTGCAATGTCAGGCTGGTATTACTGTGGGCAGGTGGCAGGGGCGCAGATGTAACATGTGGGTAAAAGACAGTGTCATAGGTTAGAAAGGGCAAAGTCTTTGGATCCTATCAGACCAGACTCTGAATAGCAGCTCTGCCAATAAACATAACCCAGTGAAAACTGGTCTCGTTACTCAGTTTTCTTACCTGTAAGACCAGGATCGATTGCTGACTCCACAGTGTTCTTGCATGGGAAGTGCCTAATGAACCTTGGCATCTGGAATTGCTCAGTAAATGGTAACTGTCTGGGGGCAGTCAACAGAGCACAGGCCAAATAAGGTCATGGTTATGAAGAGACTTCTGAATGGACTCTACTCCAACCACCCCTCGAAGTGACCTTTCCAAAACAAACTCAGCCCTATACGTAAGTCTCCCATGCTGGAGGCCCCACCTCTGATCATGTAGGGCTGATCACTCCTAACCTGATCATTCCCCTCTCTCCTCACATATCCACTTCACCAAACTATTGCACATGCGTGTGTGCTTATGTCACACACGTTCTTGGAAGGCCACCTTTTCCATTCCACCTGTTAAAATCCTACCTCTGCTTCACGGCTCCACTTCAATGATGCTCCCACACCACCACCTTCCTCCTCAGAATCTCTTAGCACTGCCCACACCCACTCCCCATATGGGCCACTATGAATACATTCCTGAATAAAGGAACACACCCTCCCTCCTAATTCTGCCCAGCTGCATTCGGTTAGGAAATGCCCCGTGTGCATGGACTAATGAGAGAAGAAACTAATGGAAGGTCACAATTTTCTTTTGTTTTTAGGTAATTAATCTTGTACCATCTGTGTCATCTGTAGTGCCTTGAAATTAAGAAGTGACCCACTGGGATATTCCCTCAGACTTGTCAGCACTTATGGTGTGAGGTCAGCAAATGACTTGACTGTCATTGTCACAGTCACTGAAATACACCAAAATGAGCCGCCACTGAGAAATTCTTCAGCAAAGATTCTGCATTTTTCTGTGGAATTTATTCGCAAATGCCATGAATATTTATCTGCATTGTTGATAAAAATGAACACACTCTGCAAATTCTTTTTTCCCCTGAAATTTTTAAAAAGTAGATATATTTTAAATATACTACTCTTTTAACAACAGAATTTAAATACCGCATTGTCATATTTTAAACTTTTACTTATACTGAGATCTATTTCTGGAGTCTCCATTCTGTTCCATTGACACATTTGTCTATCACATTGATTTTATTATAGTAGCCCTTATAGTATGTTTTAACATCTGACAAGGGAAGCCTTAACGCCCCCTTCAGTATGTTTTTGGGACTCAAATAAATGGTGCTGACACCTTTGGCTGTCTATTTGGAACAAAATTAATTTGGTCCTCTTACTTGCCCCATATGTAAAAATTACACAAAGTAATTTTACTAAAATACATAAAAGGAAAGGCTAGATGTCAAAAATAAGCCAATAGGCTCTTAAGAAGAAAATCTAGGGAGGGGACTATATGTACAACCTAGGAATGCATGGAGAGCTTATCCCACAAAACATATAAACATAATACTAAAGATACATATTTGGCTATATGGAAATTTTAAAATTTTGCAAAAGCAAAAGATATCACAAGCAAAGTTGAAAGACAAATAAAAGGCCTAAAAATATTTGCAATAAACATTTTTAAATAAAATGCTGATATCAATAGAGCTTTTGAGACAGAGTTTCACTCTTGTTGCCCAGGCTGGAGTGCAATGGCCTGGTCTCGGCTCACTGCAACCTCCACGTCCAGATTTCAAGAGATTCTCCATTCTCAGTCTCCCAAGTAGCTGGGATTACAGGTGCACACCACCATGCCCGGCTAATTTTTGTATTTTTAGTAGAGATGGGGTTTTACCATGTTGGCCGGGCTGGTCTCAAACTACTGACCTCAGGCGATCCACCCACCTCGGCCTCCCAAAGTGCAGGGATTACAGGCATGAGACACTGCGCCCAGCCTAGAGCTCTTAGTTGATAGAAAAGCAACTCAGTAGAAAAATGTGCAAAAAAAAAAAAAATGAATAGGAAATTCCCAGCAAAGTCAAGAACAAAAAGACCAAGTGTATAGAAAGCTGCTCAAACTCAACATTTCCATCCAGATGCAAAAATCATAAAGATTAGCACTTATTGCTAACAGAGATGTCAAGAAAGGGGCATTCTCACAAATTGCTAATGGCAACTGTTAAAAAAATTTTAGAAGCAATCTGGCAATAGCTATTGCTAAAGGTACATTTTAATGAGATCCCACTGTAACACTTTTTAAAGTAAAAATACCAGTACAAAAAGAATGTACAAATACGTTTATTATACCACTATTCCTAATGGCAAAAAAGAAAACAAAAGGTGACAGTTGAATAAATAATAAGAGGTCCATACCATGGAACAGTATGTAGCCATAAAAGAATGAATGTGAGCTATGGCCAGTTGAGTTGGAGATGCTTCTACGAAGTTTTGTTTAATGAAAAAACTAAGATACAGAAAAGTGTGTTTAATATACCATTTAATAAAAGTTAATAAATATTCTCAACCCCTTATGTTTATATGTTCACATATGGTTACCTGGGGATAGAGGAAAACATAAAAAGATATGCACCAAGTAATTCACGTGGGTTACCAAGCATGATGAGAGATAAGATGACAGAAGAGAAAGTAAGGGAAAACGAAAAAAATCTGAAAGAACACCCAATATGTGTATGATTCCCATGCATATGATATTAGGAAAAAAGAGATGCAGTTAGATCTGCATCTACTAATTTGCAGGAATGTACATGATCCATTGTTAAACTGAAAACGCAAATTGCAGAATAATGAGTAAAAATATTATTCTGTTCAAATAAAAATGGAATATCAGTGTATGTACAAATGAGCTCATATATTTGATGGAGCAAGAATGTTTTGGAAAGTTATGTGTGAGGTTGTTAACACTGACTGTCTCAGGGAGTTGTGTTGGATTGGAAAGAGCTTTACATCACTAATTTTACCTACGTATCTTTGTACCAAGCTGCTTCACTTAGTAAAGCAAATATATATTACTTCCGTAACTAAAAGTATCAAATAAAGAAATTTTCTTTTTTAGAAAAGGAGAAACAGTAATAATTGTGACAGGAAATAAAATATGCATCATGAATTTTTTTTCAAAGGTCATCCAGGCATTTGCCACTGGTGCACTTCCACACAAAGATGGGTTATGCGGGCATGCTGCACACAGGCACTCTATCACCAGCCCTGCCCTTCAACAAATGCCACCCTGCCCTGGCCAGTACCAGAAGCTCTGTCACCTGGCATCACCTACTAACAGATATCATACCAAGTCAGATGCTTCATCTTGGTTTCCTAATCATCGTGCTTGGGATAAAATGCAAGACTTTAAATTTTTTTTTTTTCTTTGAGCCAGAGTCTCACTCTGTCATCCAGGCTGGAGTTCAGTAGTGTGATCTTGGCTCACTGCAACCTCCACCTCCTGGGTTCTGGCAATTCTCGTGCCTCAGCCTCCCAGGAAGCTGGGACTACAGGCGTGCACCACCACACCCAGCACATTTTTGTATTTTTAGTAGAAATGGGGTTTTACCATGTTGCCCAAGCTGGTCTCAAACTCCTGGCCTCAAGTAATCTACCCACTGTGGCCTCCCAAAGTGCTGGGATTACAGGTGTGAGCCACTGCACCCAGCCTCAAGACTTTAATTTTTTTTAATTAAGAGAATGCACTCACAAAACTAGGAGGAGAAGGAAACTGCCTCAATATAATAAGATCACATATGAAAAGCCCACAGCAAACACCATACTCAGTGGTGAAAGACTATAAAATGTTGCTGAAAGAAATTTTAAAAGACAAATAAATGAAAAGACATTCCGTGTTCATGGATTGGAAAACTTAATATTACTAAGATGTCAATACTATCCAAAGTAATCTACAGCTTTAATGCAATCTCTATCAAAATAGTTTTCAGTGTGTAAGTCTTCTGCCTCCTTGGTTAATTTCTAAGTATTATTTTTGGTGTTATTGTAAATGGAATTTTCTTATTTTGAAATGTTCATTATTAGTGTACAGAAATGCAGCTGATTTTTTGTGATTCTTTTGCATCCTGGTACTTTGCTGAATTTATTAGTTCTAACAATTTTTAAGTGGAGTTTTTAGGGTTTCCTAGATATAAGATCATTGCATCAACAAATAGATAATTTTACTTCCTTCTCAATTTAGATGTCTTTTACAGGTACACCTTGTTTTACTGAGTTTCACTTTATTGCGTTTCACAGATTTTGTGTTTTTTACAAATGGAAGCTTTGTGGCAACCCTGCATCGTGCAAGTCTATCGGTGCCATTTTTCTAATGGCACATGTGCTCACTTCATGTCTCCATGTCACATTTTGATAATTCTCACAATATTTCAAACTTTTTCATTATTAATATATCTGTTACAGTGATCTGTGATCAGAGATCTTTGATGTTACTATTATACTGTTTTGGGAGCACCATGAACCATGCCCATATAAGATGGCAAACTTAATTGATAAATATGTTTGTTCTGACTGCTCCACTGACTGGTCATTTTCCATATTTCTCTCTCGCTTTGGGCTTCCCTATTCCCTGAGACATAACAATATCGAAATTAGACCTAAATGTAAGGCTAAAGTCTTAGAAGAAAACAGAAAAGTTTCATGACACTGGATTTGGAAGAATTTATTGGACAGATGCCAAAATTACAAGCAACAAAGGTAAAAATAGGTAAATCTGACTACACTAAAAGACTTCTATGTATCAAAAATTGTCATTAACATAGTGAAACGGTAACCTATTGAATGGGAAAAAACATTTGCGAATCACATATCTGACAAACGATTAATACCCGAATGCCCTTCAGAGCTTCCACAGCTCAACAACAAACAAAAACAAATAACCTGATTAAAAATGAGCAAAGGACTTGAATACAAATTTCTCCAAAGAAGATATACAAATGGCCAACAAGAATATGAAGATGGTGAACAGCACTAATCATTTGGAAATTGCAAATCAAAACCATAAAATGTCACCGGGTACCCATAAGGATGGCTAGTATCAAAAAACAGACAATAACAAGTGTGGGCAAGGATGTGGAAAAATTGGAACCCTTGTGCACTGTTGTGAATGTAAAATAGAGCAACCATTGTGGAAAATAGTACAGCAGTTCTTCAAGAAATTTAAAATAGAATTACTGCATGATCCAGAAATTCCCCTTCTGGGTTGGATACATATTCAAAAGAATTGAAAGCAAAGTCCTAAAGAAATATTTGTACATGGATGTTCACAGCAGCATTAGTCACAATAGCCAAAATGCAGAGGCAGTGCAAGTGTTCACCAACAGATAAACAAAATGTGGTATATCTTTACAGTGGAATATCATTCAGCCTTAAAAAGGAAGGAAATCCTGGCACATTCTATAACATGGATGAACCTTGGGGGCATTATGCTAAGTGAAATAAGCCAGACACAGAAGGATCAATATTGTATGATTCTACCTACATAAGGTACCAGAGCAGTCATATTCATAGAGACAGAGTAGAATGGTGGTGGCCAGGGGCTGGGAGGAAAATAGGGAGTTGTTGTTTATGGATATAGTTTCAGTTTTTCAAGGTGAAAAAAAGAGTTCTAGATATTGGTTACACAATACTGTGAATTTAATTAACACTACTGAACTATACAGTTAAAAATTGTTAAGATGGTAAATGTTAGGTGTATTTTACCACAATTAAAATATTTTCAAAACATTATGAGAATTGGATATTGTAATTAAAAGATAGCAAGATAGGCGAAGTAATGGTAAGAAACTGTGCTGGAAACAGAGAGAAGCTGGAAACAAGTAAGCAAACCCAAAAGCATTCTAAAAGCCAGAGCCCCAAGGCAGGCCACTGGCTACCATTCAGGGTAAACTAGCTGCCCATTAAACTGGTGCCCAAACCATACACAACAGAAAAACCGATTCTTGTGGCTCAAAGTCAAAGCCTGGCTCAATGAACGGGAGAAGAGATGTTTATTTTCCCTAAGGAGGGTCAGCCTCCCATAAAATGAGCAAAAGAATCCCTTTCTGTGCAACAAAGATTGAAAAACAAGTTTCTTCTTAATTTGGAAAAAAAAATTTAAACATTTATGTTCTCCTACATACACATGTTCCCTTTTATATACTACATATAAAATACACTGGATATGGTAAAAGAAAAAATGAAGCTCAGAGATGTTAAGCAACTTCTGAGATTTACAAATTGGTAGCCCTCCCAGAACAACCTTAAGTCCAAAGGGGGACCCACTGGACACCCAACATGGGAGTAGGGAAGACCACCAACCCGTACTTGAGATCTGAACTGAGTTTATAAGACCGGGGGAGTGGACACCTGTTATAGTGTATACAGCCATATGGGGGCCCAAGACATGCTGTTTCCTTTCCCCACCCCTGTTCCCCTGCTGCCACACACATACCTGTGAAACAAGCAATGCGAACATTACCATACATTATAACTCCATCACGGTGCTCTGGAATATGTTGCCAACACGGTTATTAAGCCTCCTCTGATATTTCAACAGATTGCAAGCATCTATTTTATGAGAGGGTAGAAATAACCTATATTGGAATAAGGGGGAAAAATCTTAGAAATCAAGAAGACTAATTTTCTAAGTAATAGAGGAACCTCACGCACAGAACTTCAGACAGGCAGGTGCCTGCCATCTGCTTGCATATTTCTAAATGCAGAGAATGTCGCTGCCTAGCAAAATAGTCCATTCTATTTTTTAGCAGCCCTAAAGGATTATAAAGCTCCTTCTTATACAGAACCAATAAATGCCTCCTGTAACTTCTACCTGTGGGCCTGAGCCTTAGTTTCTTAAAATTGAGAGATTATCTAAAATTATGTAGGTGATTTAGGATCATTTGAAAACACATTTATCGACCACCTGAGGTAACATTATTTGCTTGGAGGAATACAGAAGTCACACAAGTGAGTAAACAGCTGGCTAATGAACACTTAGGCACAAAGTTCCTACCCTAAATGAGTTTAGATTTTGGAAGTCAGATTAACAGCAAAATTATTTTGCTAGTGAAAAATAGCTACATCGTGTTCAGTAATTTTTGATTGCATAAATATGCTAGCTCTGAAAATGATCTGTCATCTTTGAACAAGAAAAAGACAACCTGTGAATTTTGGTTTGAATTTCTAAAGAAAATTTCCTTCAAAGCATAAACAACATACTTAAAACCAATTACAGTCTCAAGCAAGCCACTGAAATTGACAACCACAAAAAATAACCATGTGGCCAAACATCCCATGTATTAAAAAGTTTTAATGGGCTCTATTTCTAAAAGCATCCTCAAATATTTATCAAAGAAAGAGTAGCATACACACAATTACTTATTTTCCTTTCTTTGAGGAAAGGCATGAAAATTAAAATTAGACTAAAAAATGACTTATATTTTCCTTAAGTGTAACATTTTAAATGTGAATTAACTAGCACTGGGTAAGACCTGAAAGGTGTTGGAGATACAAGTGCTACAGTTAGATTCTTTACATACTGAGTGGGGTGAAGTCAATACCTATAATTACGAAGCTGCTTTGGGTCTAAAAGAGGAGCTCGCTTATAATTTGTTTCCATTAACAGCAATAAGCATTTTTTTTTGCAAAAGCCGAAAGATCTCATGTGGCTTTGGTAGACACTTTGAAGACCCCGTGTAAATGAATATGTCATTCGCAAACATATTGAGGTATTAATACAAAAAAGTTAATGTCTATCAAAAGAAAAGTATAAAATTCAATTTAAATGCTTTCTCAAGCATTATTCTTTTCTAAAGTAAACACTCGCTCATGCATTCCAAAGCAATGGTCCAGCCCCTAATCTTTAATTCAGTTCCAGGTTGCACAGCCATCACAAAGCACCTACTAAGCACCAGACCTTTGAAAGCATCCCCTGCTTTCAAGCAGCGACACTCTTTTCAGCTGCAGTTCTTAACAGCCAAAACATAAAAGCCCAGTAAAACTTTAATTAGTAAATTCAAGGCTCAAATTGAGGCAGTCGGATAAAGTAATATAAAATCTTATGTAAGCCACAGTAAGGAGAGTGAACTCAACCACAATAAAGAGCACAGTTAAGTAAAAATATTCTTTCCTGGGGGCCCTTCTTACTCTCTACATCTGGGCTGTAATGTTTGTAAACTGTGGCTAATGTGAATACCTGCCTCACAGGTATGTTGTAAGCATCATATACGAAATATGAAAGGTGCTTTGGGAATGCTAAAGCTCTCTACAAAGGAAAATGACTTCTACATGGAAATAGTTCACATCAAATGAATGAAGAGCAAGAGTTAAAAACTGGTGACTGGTCAGGTGTGGTGGCTCCACCTGGAATCCAAGCAGTTTGGGGGGCCAAGGCAGGAGGATCACTTGAGGCCAGGAATTGAAGACCAGCCTGGGCAGCACAGTGAGACCCCATCTCCACAAAAAGAAAAAAAAAACCCTGTTGTCTAATTTTTGTGAATGCCAGTCCATCTAAGCTAAGTGATATCTGAATTTCAAATTGTTTGAGAAAATTACTAATTATTCTTTAAAGCAACCTCTGAAAAACAACTTTCGGTTCTATCCATGTTGATATGCCTGAAGGAAGATCATAGGAACCCCCAGGATGATGTTACATAATAGTTGTTGTTATTGGGCATATCTGATGAGCATTTATGATGCTGATCAAGCCATCTCCCTCAAACACCTATGCCATGACTTTTTCCTTAGGATCTACCGAAAAATTACATTTGTGAATTACCTCAGCTTCCAAAAGTCCTATTCCCTTGCACCCCTCAATCCCACTCCTTAGCAGGAACTCACATGTGTGTGTGTACATGCACACTTGCACGCAGGTATGTGCGCGCGCACACACACACACACACACACACACACACACACGCAGACAGAAAGAGAGATACCAGGAAAAGTAAAAGCACCATTGGAAATGCTTGCTAGACTGGTGAATTTAAAGGGCCTTCTACATGCTAGTTACTTCTAGCTTTCTGAGTCTTCCAATTAACAAAATGTCAGTAAGAGAACTTTTTCCTATAGCTAATACTTACAGATTACCATTGTTATATTAAACTATATAACTGTGAAGTTTAAAAGATTACAACACTGCTACACAAACTCCCTTTTACATATCTATAGCTGTGTGCTAAATGCACTACTGAATACATCATCATCCATGAGGTAAAGCTGTCTTTCAGAGTCCTAAAAGACCACTACATACATTTTCAAAAGAGTACCTACCAGAAAACTCTTCTGGACATTGCCTTAGGCAAAGAAATCACGATTAAAACCTCAAATGCAAACACAACAAAAACAAAATAGAAAAATGGGACTCACACTATAAAGTTTCTATATAGTCAATTCTGAAATAATCAACAGAAAGAAGAGACAACCTATGGAGTAAGTAAAAATATTTACAAACTATGCATTCAAATCCAGAATCAATAAGGAACTCAAACAACTCAACAACAACAACAAAACACAAATAACCCCTTTAAAAAGTGGGCAAAGGATATGAACAGACATTTTTCAAAAGAAGACATACAAATGGCCAACAAATATATGAAAAAATGTTGGACGTCACTAATCATCAGAAATGCAAATTAAAACCACACTGAGATATCATCTTACACCAGTCAGATGTTATTAAAATGTCAAAAAATAACAAGATGTTGGCAAGGATGTGGAGAAAGGGAAACACTTATACACTGCCAGTGGGAATGTAAATTAGTACAACCTCTGTGGAAAACAGTATGGAGATTTCTCAAAGAACTAAAAATAGAACTACCTACTGGTATCTACCCAAATACTCTACACTACTGGGTTGAAACCCAAAGGAAAAAAAAATCATTATATCGAAGATACCTTCCCTCGTATGTTTATTATAGCACTATTCACAATAGCAAAGATATGGAATCAACCTAAGTGTCCATCAGCAGACGACTGGATAAAGAAAATGTGGTGTATATATATATATATAATGGAATACTACTCATCCATAAAAAACAACGAATCATGTCTTTTACAACATGGATGGAACTGGAAGCCATTTTCTTAAGTGAAATAATTCAGAAACATAAAGTCAAATACTGCATTTCTCACCACTCAGAGCTAAATAATGTGTATGCATGGACACAGAGTGTGGAATGATAGATACTGGAGACTCAGAAGGGTTTTAAGGGTGGGAGGGGGTGAGGAATAAGAAGTTACTTAATAGGTTCAATGTACATTATTCGGGTGATGGTTGCACTAAAAGATCAGGCTTCACCACTACACAGTATGTCCATGTAACAAAACTGCACTTGTGCCCCTTAATACAAATTTGTTATAAGACAGTAAAAGAGAAAAAGGATGTACCTATCACGAATGGTGTTTATAGTAAATACAGTGCTTAGTGTGGACTTCGATGACAAGCTGTGTGATTTAGCCTGTTCAGACCACTCCCACAGCCCAAGGATGAGTTCCAATTTTCAAATATAAAAAGAGGAACTAAGTCATCACAAGTTTTAATTTACAAAACACAGATACTTAATAAATGTTGTGGCATAAATAAGCAATGTTACATTACCATAAGAAAGAGCAATAGAATACAACTAATAACTCAGAAGTAAATGTCATTATATACAAGACCACAAAGGATTCATCACAAAGAATGGGAAACATTGAACAAATGGTTGGGACTTACTAGCTAGCACTCTGTAATATCTATACCTAAAATTTAGACAATCCATTTGAAGCACACAGAAGTTACCCTGACACCATTTTATACTTAAATATATAAAAATAAAAGTGTAGAAAAAAATAAAACAGAATTGAAAATTTCTCTATACACTTAGAAGAAATAAGACCTGGTATTCGATAGATCAGTCAAGTGACTATAGTTTACATTGATCTGTCATACTTTCAGAATAGCTAGAAAGCAATAATTCAAATGTTCCCAGCATAAAGAAAAGATAAATATTTAAGGTGATGGATATACCAATTACCCTGATTATATGAATGTATCAAATTGTATCAAAGTATCCCATGTACCCCCAAAATATGTATATTATATATTAAAAAAAGAAAATTAGTCTCTAGAAGTAACATCTTCTATGCTTAGAAATTCTAAAAAAACCACAGACTTGCCTACGTAAAAATCTAACACCAATACACTACAAAAAAAAGCAAACAAAAAACTAGGAAAAAATATTTTTAGCAAATATGATTGTTTTATTTTTGTTAAGTAAATTGATTTTTTTAAAAAGAAGCATTAAGTCTTAAGAGGTAAGCAAGTAATGGATAAAAGCACTCCTGAGCATCCCCTAGAATAGCTCCTCAATGTGGCATTCCCTGCCCTCCAGAGCCCAGGCCCACTGTGCCTTCCAGCCACCCCTCCAGCTTCCTCCCTATGCATCCGGTGCTCTTGCCATATTGAACTGCTTACAATCTCCAGCTGAGTCAAGCTCAAAGCCCTGGTTCACTGTGTTTTCACTCAACTGGAATGGCCAACTCTTCATTCTTCCACCTGAAAATTCCTCTTTCTGAGCAGCTCAAGTCTCACCTCTCTACCAGGACCCTGCAATGCCCACCTCTGTCACCCATCGCCTGCCCTGCCCAACAATGTCCAGAAACAGTTGCTGCAATGATGGAAATGTTCTGTAAACGTGCAGTCTAACATGTCACCCCTAGCCACATTTGGCAACTCAGCACTTGAAATGCAGCTAGTGTACTAAGAAACTGAACTGTTTAATTTTCATTTAATTACCATCTGTGGCTAAGGACTACCAGGTTAGACAGCACAGTAATCCTGATGGGGTTCACTTTGTCTTATTTTTCCTGGTATCACCATCACTAGCCCAATGCCAGATACACGAGCAGAAACTCAGTAAATGTTTATCCAATGAATAATTTAAGGTGCTAATTATGAACCGAAGACTATGCTGGGCACATTACATATATTACCTAACTAGCTCTAAAAATAGCAATATGAAATAAGCACTATTACATTCCTTAGCTTTCTGATGAGGAACTTAAGGAACTAAGCAACTTGCCCCAGATCACATTCATAGGAATGTCTGAGAAGGGATACTAAGCATAATGCCAGAGGAATGTCAGCTTGAGGGACTGTGTTCTTTTAACTATGTTTTCAAGCTTTTTGTGATAAGGATATGGTAACCTTCTAACTCACATTTTTTCTTAGTATTAATATATCGTTTCATAAATTTTTATTAAAATATACAGAAAAATGATTAAATAATTAAATGAATCAACATGAAGTACACCTTAATGAAACTACCACTGGAATCAGGAAACAGCACATTACCAGCACCCTGGCAGCCTCCTGTGTGCTCTCCCATCTTCCCTCCTCCCTGCTGTCCTCTCTACAGATAACCACTAACCTCACCTTTAACACACCAGAGTTGTTTTGCCTGTTTCTGACCTTGATAAAAACTGAAATCATATACTACATTACTCTTTTGTGTCTAGCTGCATTCACTCAACACTGAGATGTATCCATGTCACCATGTAACAACAGCTCTACTGATTGCTGTATAGGATTCCATTGTAAGAATACACCACAGGCTGCTGATCTATTCTCTTACTGAAGGACATCTGGGTTGTTTCCAGTTTGGAGCTGTTAGGAATACTGGTCCCATGAACATTCTTGTATATGTCTTTTGATGCTAATATGTGCCATATTTGTTAGTTATATTCCTAAAAATGTAATTACTAGTCTATAAGGCATGCAAATAATATTTAACTAACAGCTTTACAAACTGGTGTACAAATACACATTCCATCAATAGAGTATGAGTTATAATATTCTCCAATATTGTCAATATTGCTATTTTCATCTTTTTAATTCCAGTAATTCTTGGGGAGTGGCAGGGTGCTGGTATCTCATTGTGGTTTCGTTGCATTTCCCTGATGACTAATGAGGTTGAGCATCTTTATTTATTGGCCATTTGGATATCCTCGTTTGTGAAGTGCATGTCAACTCTTTTGCTGATATTTCTATTGAATTGTTTGTTACTGCTTTAAGTGAGTTATTTAAATATTATAGATGTAAGATCTTTGTTACTTTCATGTATTACAAATACCTTCTCATCATTATCTTGCCATTTCATACTCAGTGATGTTTTCCTGATAAACAATTCTTCACTTTAATGTAGTCCAATATTTTCTGATGAGATTGATGTTCATGAGTTTTTATATCATACAATGAAATGCATCAACATTTGAAAGACGAAAGATCTGCATAACTCAGTGAATGAATATTTTCCAAATGACCAATGCATAGTGTTAGAAAACCATGCACTAGTAAAAAATAATTTAAAGTGCAAGATAGCCCAATGAATTTTAATGTAATATAGCACTAAAAGCTCATCGGTATAATTCCAGATTCTACTTTGCAGGTAAGCTTAAGAAACTACCACTTTCCAAGTTTGATGTACCAAAGAATATTCACAATGATTGAAGAAGCTATTAAAATAGTCCTCCTTTTCTAACTATACACTTTTGTGAAGCTAATTTTCTTCATATACGTCAACCAAAATAACATATCAAAACAGAAATGTTGTCTTCTATTGCTATATCTTCTGTTAAGCTAAACATTCACCAAATTTTCAAAAATATTTAAAAATATAAAATACTAAAATTTTAAGACAAATTTTGCAAATTTTGCAAAAATATAAAAAGATATTTTTAAGTTTTTGTTTATAAAATAGAAATTAACATAAGCATGTCTTGATTTGTTATTGTTCTAAATATTTACGTATTATATTCATAAATGTTTTTAAATTCCTAACTTAAATTCCTGTAGTGTATTATCCATATACATTACAGTGTATAAACACATATATACAGTAAGCATATGCAGAATATATGTAAATACAGTAAATATAGACAGAATATACCCACATTAATGAATACAGTAAATATAAATATAACCCACATAAACAAAAGATCTTTGTAGTCCTCAAAAATGCTTAAGAGTGTATAGGGGACCTAAGACCAAAAAGTTGGAAAATTATTGGTATAGTTGTTCTAACAATGACTGAAGAGGAGGTGTTAAGATCTACAACTATGATTTTGAATTTTTTTTTTTGCTTTGTAGTAATCTATTAGTTACCTACATATTTAGTATAGCTATCATTCCCTCTTTATGTCCAGTAATGATCCTTGCCTCAAAGTCTAACTTAGATGGTAACAGTATAGTTACCCTAGCTTTTTTTGGGTTAATGTTTTTATGGTACATGTTTTCAGACATTATCTCTTCAAACATTACTTCTCTCTCTCCTCCCAGCCTCCATCCCCCACTCATTTTCTGGAACTCTAAATACACTTACCACAGATCTTTTTACCATGTCCCATGTGTCTCTCATGATTTGTTTGGCGTAGTTTTCTAATTCCTTTTTATGTCCATGCTTCAGCTGGACATTAATCTATTTTCTAGTTCACTATTTCCTTCTTTACCTATATCTAATCTGTACTTAAACTCACTATTGAACTCTCAATTTCTGTTTTTTTTAATATTCGAATATTTATACTCTTACAGTTTCCAGTTCTACTCTCTTATAGTTCTATTTCTAGTCCAATTCTCCATCTTATTTAATTGCCTGAATATAGTAGTCAAAGTTATTTTAAAGTCTGGGTTTGATAACTCCAGTAACAGGGTAACCTCCAACCCACTAAGTAGTTACTTCCCACGCCCCTTCTCCCCACAAACCCTGGTAAACACCAATTTGCTGTCTGTATGGATTTACCTATTTTGTATATTCCATATAAATGGAATTATACAATATGTGACCTTTTATTTCCAGCTTCTTTCACTTAGCATCTTTTTCAGGTTAAGCCACACTGTAGCATGTATCAGTACCTAATTCCTTTTTATAGCTAATAATATTCCATCATATGTACACAACACAGTTCACTTACCCCTTTTTCTGTTGATGAACATCTGGGTTGTTTCCACCTTTTGGCTGTGGTTAAGCACTGCTGTGAACATGACTGCACAAACATAGGTTTCTGTGTTATTTTGGCTTATTAATATGGTTTGGCTGTGTCCTCACCCAAATCTCATCTTGAACTGTAGCTCCCGTAATTCCCACGTGTCATGGGAGGGAACCAGTGGGAGGTAACTGAGTCAAGGGGGCAGGTCTTTCAATTGTGTTCTCATGATAGTGAGTAAGTCTCATGAGATCTGATGGTTTTATAAAGGAGAGTTCCCCTGCACAAGCTCTTTCTTGCCTGCCGCCACGTAAGACATGACTTAGCTCCTCCTTCACCTTCCACCATTGATTGTGAGGCCTCCCTAGCCATGGGAACTGTGAATCCATTAAACTTCTTTCCTTTATATATTACCCAGCGTTGGGTATGTCTTTGTTAGCAGCATGAAAACGGACTAAGACACTTACGTTCTCTTAGTTTTTTTTTTGTTTGTTTTTCACCTTTCCTAGTTTTTTCAGCAGGTGAACTGGTTTGCAAGAAACCAGTCCACCATCTCCAGAAGTAACACTAAAATTAAAATTTTATTTGGAAAAATTGCAATAGCAAAAAATTGATCCTGAACCAATAACTAATGAAAAATTATTTTGGAGCATAAAGCAAACACTCAATTTTATGTAGCATGGCAAACATTTGGAAACTGTTTTGTTGATGCTTCTTAAATATTACCCAAACTTTCCTTAGGCCTAAATACAGAAACAATTAGTATTGCAAAAAGCAATTCAGCCCCAGAGACATATGCTACACAAATTAAAACATGAAAATTCCCTTTTACACACAAAATATAAACAAACAGTCTTGAGTATTTAGCCTTTTATTTCTCCAGTTAAAAATGCCCCTAGTCTTTAGCTACCTGTTGCTCCCACACTAAAAACGTTCTGCAGTGGCTGTAAAGATACTGGCTTTTAAAAGTTAGCATCTGACAGGAAAGACACAATGTTTCAATACAAGGAAGAGCAGCAGTTGGGCAGAAGCAACCCAAATTTCCGGCCCAAAAGAGAAAACTGAGCTTAAGAACTAGGAAAGCTCAATGTAAAAAGCGAAACATTGTAAAGTTTGAGAGGAAACTGAAATGGAAATACAAAAATAGACTTGCTCAACAAAGAAGAGAAAGTGGTTACAGCGCTGAAGTATCAGATTACTTTGGTTAATTCCTGAAAAGTCTAGAAATGTGAAGCAGAATGAAGAAATTACAAGTGTAGAAATCTGATTGCACAGTCCACCTACTATCACATACCTATGCTATTAAGGGCAGAGAGTTCATTTGAAAAGCACAGTATTAAACGATGTTCACTTTTATGGATTCTCATTTTAAAGTAAATACAGCTATCTCATATGCCTTACAATGTCTTAAATTTAAAGTCTCAGTACGCCCGAAGCACTTAACTCGCTGGCTTATTTAGTCTTTAGTAAGGAAGGTGACTGGTAGAGTTAAAGTAAAACATTTGTCCTTTTTGTGCCTGTGTGAATCTCAATTTCTCCAATAAGTTCCCTTCTATTTCTAAAACTAAAAGATCCCATACAGAGAATTTGGGGGCATCTCATACTTGGGTACCACATGTTAGTAAGCAAGAAAAATTAGGCAAAATTATTTTTAATATAAAATGTTTCCTCCAGACTATAACCCCTAAAAAATCTAACCTTCTTTGCAGTATATATCCACTACTGATTTGAAAGAGGGCAAGAAAATATTCTTATCATTCTGATTAACACAACAATAATCATAAGACTATATATATTCTTTTTTAGCAAATTCTTTAGGAAATCAAAAAGACTATTTTTTTTTTTTTTGAGACAGAGTCTCACTCTGTCACCAGGCTGGAGTGCAGTGGCACAATCTCAGCTCACTGCAACCTCCACCTCTGGGTTCAAGTGATTCTCCCGCCTCAGCCTCCTGAGTAGCTAGGACTACAGGCACGCGACACCATGCCCAGCTAATTTTTGTATTTTTAGTAGAGACAGGTTTCACCATGTTGACCAGGATGGTCTCGATCTCCTGACCTCATGATCCGCTCGCCTTGGCCTCCCAAAGTGCCGGGATTGCAGACGTGAGCCACCGCACCCGGCCAAGACATTTTTAATAAAGTCAGCGATGTTTAACAATAAATTACACTTTGTTATATTCTCAGGAGCCTGCATGCACAAGGGATTGGATTAGGGAAGCATCCTCATTCCGAGGCATGCAGGACCTCTGGATAAATGGGAAAGTGTGGGTCAGTGGTTAGGAATCTCCATAAGTTGCTCTTCTTTTAAAGGAGTGAGGGTACCAAAGCTCCGGCCTATTAGGCTCAGTGTCTTCCTTCTTCAAGTCTTTGTCTTCAGACCTAGAGGTCAGCTGACCCAAATACTGGCCCCACCAGCCACAGGAGCCAGTCACTGTCCCCTTAACAGAAACCATGGCACCAAGAAGGTCACTGCACCCCACTCAGGGACACTCTAGGCTATGCTCTGAGGACACGCAGGACCCACCTACACTGTCCCAAAGTGGCCAGAAACCTGGGCTTTGTGCCAGGATGACAGCCATGACAGAGAGCTAGGAAGTCCATCAGGCGGTGTGAAACTGTGTCCAGAGTTGGTTCCTTCCAGTGGGTTCTTGGTATCCCTGACTTCAAGAATGAAGCCAGGGACCTTCGCTTATAGCTCTTAAAGAGAGCAGGGACCCAAAAATTGAGCAGCACAAGATCTATTGTGAAAAGCGAAAGAACAAAGCTTCCACAGTGTGGAAGGGGACCTCAGCGGGTTGCCGCTGATGGCTGGGGTGGCCAGCTTTTATTCCCTTAATTGTCCCCTGCCCATGTCCTGCTGATTGGTCCATTTTACAGAGCACTGATTGGTCCATTTTACAGTGTGCTAGTTGGTCCATTTTACAGAGTGCTTACTGGTCCATCTTACAGAGTGCTGATTGGTGCATTTTACAAACCTCTAGCTACCTACAGTGTGTTGATTGGTGCATTTTACAATCCTAGCTACAGAGTGCTGATTGGTGCATTTTACAATTCTCTTGTAAGACAGAAAAGTTCTCCAAGTTCCCACTCGACCCAGGAAGTCCAGTTGGCTTCACCTCTCAAAATCACCCTCCTCCTTCTGAGCATCACTGTTATTTCAGTCTATAGCCACAAGAACTGACTCCCCTAATAATCCTTCAAATCAAATTCTGCCCCTATTTCCTCCACAACCCCAGCAGTTCTCTTTAAGAAGTAAAAAGTACATCCCATACAGAAGGTCACATCATGTTGTTACAGCACAAAGGAACAAACCGGAACTCCCAAGTAGCAGAAGCCACACACCATTTTGAATATTAACAGACAGGCTTCCCCTGCCCACTGCACACTTTCCTCCACCACAAGGTCTTCATTCAGGCAACTGAGCATTCGGCACCATCTCTTCAGGATCAACATCTCAGAAGAAAGCAGAAGACAACCCAATCAATTCTTGGCTTTTGGGTTTCAAAGCCTCAGGGGACACCGGAAATGCCTGATGAGAAAAAGGCTAACTTGTCACACCCCACACGCCCTCCTCCAACGCTGCCAGACAGGACAGATTCTCCGTACTGAGGTGGAAGGGGAAGCCAGGAAGGAGTAGCTGCAGGTTCCAGAGGAAGGCACTCCATGTTCTTCCCCCAAGCCACACCAGACACTCAGTCCCATCCAACGAGCTCACCAAAAGGCACAGGCACCGCAGGAAAGCAAAGAGGCCAGCACCACCGCTGCCTTAGCTGTGAGCCACAGGCACCCCTAGAGACTCCTAGAGATAAGGAGCAATTGAAGGCCCTGTAAAACTAGGTCAGGATTAAAGTCAGATAAAGCATTTTTATCTCCAAGTAAAACATGCAGTCAAAATAAATCCATATTACAATTGTAAAAGGAAGAAAACTTATAAACCAAGTTGACTTTCAAAGGCTTAGGGTGCAGGGGTAGGGGGTGCTAGTTCGAGGTGACAAAGGTACCAGCATGCTGGCATGACACCTGCTTTCCCGCTAACATCACATAATCATGCAAACATCATGGCAACTAACGAAGTCCCTCCTGCTCAGGGCCTGTAAAAGAACATGGTGAGGCATGATTTCAATTCAGAGTACCTCTTTATTTCCCTAATACAAAATCTTGCCTCAAAAAACGAGTCTGGGCCAGGCCTGGTGGCTCACACCTGTAATCCCAGCACTTTGAGAGGCCAAGACGGAAGGATCACTTAAGGCCAGGAGTTCAAGACCAGTCTGGGCAACAGAGCGAGATCCCATCTCTACAAAAAGTTTAAAAATTAGCCAGATATGGTGCTACAAGCCTGTGGTCCCAGCTACTCAGGAGGTTGAGGTAAGAGGATCATGAGCCCAGGAGGTCCAGGCCGCAGTGAGTTATGATCACACCACTGCACTCGGGCAACCCAGACAGACTCTGTCTCTTAAAAAAAAAAATGAGCCTGGTCTTTGGAATGTTTGCACCCTGAGGCTGAGTTAAAATGTTTATAATTGCATTTGCTTTCCTTCTGGGTAGTGCCCTAAGACCAGGCTCATCAGACAATAATCCATGGAGACTCAAGGATGGGGCTTGCCAGGAGCAGCATATAATCCCAGAAAGTAACCACGAGAGGACAGCATGTAATCATTATTGCTGTCAGTACAGTCACTTATACATATGTGTATAATGGAACTATAAATGTGTTCCAGAGGACTTGTCTGCAATATTTCAAAACCAAAGGAGAAAAAAAAAAGGCTTTGGTGAGGATGTAGAACAAGTAGAAGTACAAACACTGCTCACAGTAGTGTAAATTGGTACAACCACTTGCAAAAACTTTGGAATTCTCTCCTAAAACTCAACATACGTTTGGCAATCTCTCCTAAAACTCAACATATGTACATCCTATGACTCAGCAATTTTACTCCTGTTTAGAACAAAAGAAATGGACAAAAATGTTCATAACAACATCATGCAGAATAGCTGAAAAACCTAGAAACAACCCGAATGTCCCTAAACAGTAGAATGGATAAAGTGTGGGCTATTCATACTATAGGACACTTCACAGCAATGAAGAAAAGAACTACAAAATGTCATGTGCTGAAGTGACAGTGTACAGCAAAAGAAGCCAGACACACAAGTGCACCTGATCAATGATTACATCTGCACAAACAAGAAGCATGGGCAAAAAAAAAAAAAAAAAAAAAAAAAAACGCTATGGAGATGAAACAAGTGGTCACCTACGGGTGGAAAGGGCTGGCAGGGGTACCAGGGAGCTGCTGGGGTGCTGGAAATATTATATAACTTGATGGGGATGGTGGTTACACAGTATTGTATGTGTGTCAATTTCATTGGGTTATACATGTAAGATATGTATGCTTAGTGTATATAAGTTATAACTGAATACAAAAGTAAATGCCTGTAATCTCAGCACTTTGAGAGGCCGAAGCGGCCAGATCACCTGAGGTCAGGAGTTCAAGACCAGCCTGACCAACATGGAGAAACCCCATCTCTACTAAAAATACCAAATTAGCAAGGCATGGTGGCACATGCCTATAATCCCAGCTACTCAGGAGGCTGAGGCAGGAGAATCGCTTGAACCCGGGAGGGGAAGGTTGCAGTGATCTGAGATTGCACCACTGCACTCCAGCCTGGGCAACAACAGTGAAACTCCGTCTCAAAAAATAATAATAAATAAAATAAAGTGAACGTTTAAAAAAGCATATCATTCTGAGAACTTCTCCGAGGTAAAAAAATAAAAATAAAGTAAATCACACAGCATATTCACCACAGAGATGGCCTTTAGTAAACAGTACCTAAGCCCTTATACACTTATTTATGTAACAGTGAGTGAATCTAGAAAAGTGAACTTTTCTCTAGAAGTATTAACTGGAACCAGACATAAGAATAACAAACACACAAGAAGAAGAAGGAAACATATGAAAACCCAATGCAATAGTAGGGATACATGAAATAAACTTTAACTAATCAATATCTCCACCATGTACAAACATTAGGCTGACTTTTGTGTTACACTACGCAATTTGTCTATTGTTTACAAGCATGTACAATAGATTTACTTTATTTTCTGGCAAGAGCCTTCACTTAATTGTGGTAGTTGGTAGGAGAGTGAGAACTAATTCTGTTAACTCCACTCCTGGGAAGTGTAATCTGATAATATAAAATGTGCACATATAAAGTCCTTCAGAATTTGTTGCAATTAAAATTTATATCCATACATTCCCATTTCATTAGTTCAAATTGACTAACAGCCATCTAAGCATGAAGTCAAGGAATCATAAGTCATTTTCCAACAGAGAATCCCATATAAGCTGCAGCTCATTGACCAATGGCTATTCTCATCTAGGAAATGGTCTCCCTTGAGAGGCAGCACAGAGAGTGGAAATAGTAAGGTCTCTGGAACGGACAATTGTGTGACCTTAGTTAAATACCTTATGACCCTGAGCATTTGTTTCCTTGTTTGCTGAATGGTGGGAAATAAGGTTCATCTTTACAGGGCTTCTGTAAGGATAAAACAAAACAACAGTCACTGGACGCTAAGCCCCACAAGGGCAAAGTCTATATCATGTCATCACTGTGGGCCCGCCCAATCATAGAGCAGGCAACCCCATTAATATATGTTGTGATGGTTAATTTTAAGTGTCAACTTGATTAGGTTATAGCGCCCAAACACCAGTCAAGATGTTGCTGTGAAGGTATTGTTTTAATGGGATTAACACATATGATCAATTGACTTCAAGTAAAGCTAATGACCCTTTCATAATGTGGGTTGGCCTTATCCGATCAGTGGAAGGCCTCAAGAGCAAAGACTGAAGTTTCCCAATCTGGAAGGGATTCTGCCTCAATACTGCAACAGAGAAACCCTGCCTGAGTTTCCAGCCTTCCTGGCCTGCAGACTGTAGACTGAAGATTACAACATCCACTCTACCTGAGTTTCTAAGCCTGCCAGCCTGCCCTACAAATCTCAGACTTGCCAGCCCTCACAATCATGTGGGCCAATGCTGATAAATAGATAAGTTAACAGATCAATCAATCTGTGTGTGTGTGTGTGTGTGTGTGTGTGTGTGTGTGTGTGTGTGTTCTGATTCTCCAGAGAACCTACACTAATATATACATTGAATGAGTAAACAGAAAGCACTCAGAACAATAACAAATTTCCAGGAGACACACAACACAATGTGAGAACCTTACCTTTTTTCCTCTTTATTTGGCTAATTCCCTTCTGTGCAGAAACTATGCCCTTTATTTTGGATGTATATCCCATATTTTCATTATTTAAAATAGCTGCAATTTATTTATATCATATCATCTTCTAAGAGTCAAGCACTGCACTAACAGGATTATTTTATTTTAAGCCTTAGAACAGAACCCCCTGTGGGAAGATCAGATTCCTGTTTTACAGAAGGGAAGACAAGCACAGTGTTAGTTCTCTATTACCACAATGCTACATAACAAATGCAAAATCTCAGTGGCTTATAACTACATTTATTTTTCTCACATATGAGTCTGCACATGGGTTGAAGCTCAGCTGGTCCAGGCTGCACTCACCTGCAGGGCTCCAGGTTGAGGTGGGTTCAGGTCTGTCCCGTTTCTCACCCCGTGGAGCCCTGGATAAAGGGACAGTAACTCCAGGGCACATTTTTATTGAGCCTGAATCACCTGAGCACAAGCCCAGGCACACAAGTAGAATCAAGCCTCCTCTTACATCACATTTGCTAATATAGTTGTCTCTCAGTACCGTGGGGTATTGGTTCCAGGACCCCCACAGATACCAAAATCTACAGATGCTCAAGTCTCTGACATGAAATGGTGTAGTATTTGCATGTAACCTACACACATCCTCCCACATATTTCAAATTATCCCTGCATTACTTACAATACCTAATACATTAAGATGAACCTTATTTCCCACCATTCAGCAAACAAGGAAACAAACGCTCAGGGTCATAAGGTATTTAACTAAGGTCACACAATTGTCCGTTCCAAAGACCTTACTATTTCCACTCTCTGTGCTGCCTCTCAAGGGAGACCATTTCCTAGATGAGAATAGCCATTGGTCAGTGAGCTGCAGCTTATATGGGATTCTCTGTTGGAAAATGACTTATGATTCCTTGACTTCATGCTTAGATGGCTGTTAGTCAATTTGAACTAATGAAATGGGAATGTATGCATATTCACCACAGAGGTGACCTGCAGTACTTATAATACATTAGGTATTATAAGTAATGCAGGGATGATTTAAAATATATGGGAAGATGTGTGTAGGTTGACACCGCATGTTCTCACTCATAGGTGGGAATTGAACAATGAGAACACATGGACACAGGAAGGGGAACATCACACAACGGGGACTGTTGTGGGGTGGGGAGGCGGGGAGGGATAGCATTAGGAGATATACCTAATGCTAAATGACCAGTTAATGGGTGCAGCACACCAACATGGCACATGTATACATATGTAACAAACCTGCACGTTGTGCACATGTACCCTAAAACTTAAAGTATAATAAAAAAATACCTAATACAATATAAACAGTCATTATTATGCTGTATTAGTCCATTTTCACACTGCTAGGAAGAACTTCTGGAGACCGAGGAATTTATAATGAAAAGAGGTTTAATTGACTCACAGTTCCACACAGCTAGAGAGGCCTCAGGACACTTACAATCATGGTGGAAGGGGAAGCAGGCACATCTTACAGGGTGGCAGGTGAGAGAGAGAGCAAGCAAAGGAACAACTTGCCAAACATTTATAAAAACATCATATCTTGTGAATACTCACTCACACAAGAACAACATGGGGGAAACTGCCCCCATGATCCAATCACCTCCCACCAGGTTCCTCCCTCAACACCTGGGGAAGTTGAGATTTGGGTGGAGACACAAAGCCTAACCATATCATCTGTATTTTGTTTTATTTGTATTATTTTTATCATTGTATTGCTATTTTTTATTTTTTCCCAAAAATATTTTCAATTGGTGGTTGATTGAATCCACGGATGCAGAACCCGAGGATACAGACATCAGCCAAAGCAAGTCACGGGGCCATGCCCAAAGTCAAGGAAGTGTGCTCCAATGAGCGTGAGGCCAGGGCCAGGGAACAGAATTCCATAACAGAGGGTGAAAAACTAGGCTCAATGATTCAATCTGTAACAAGGAACCTGTCCAAAGTCATGGAATGGTTAGTTAAAACCATGACCCAGGTCCACCTGACTCCAGGTCTGCCCACTCCACTATTCTAATTCTTCTAAAACAAACAGCTATAAAAGGCCAATTATTCTCAACTCCACTAGTAGGAGTTATTGCAATTACCTGTACTTTTTTCAACCCATCCCAATACCCCACAAATCCTATACGTAACAGCTCTAGGGTTACTAATAGGAATGTCCTCCCTCTGGTGTGCTGGGGACTAACACTAACCACCATTAAGTGTATCAGACCAAGAAAAAATGTTCCAAATTCTACTCTGCTATAGTAGATTTTCCAGGTGGGATTCTACCAGGGGAACAAGGAAAGTACCCAATTAAACTAAAAATCATTGATCTTATTAAAACCTCCTATCAGTGCCTGAAGAGCTAAACAAATCTTAGATATGTGAGATGTTCTTGTTGAAATGCTAACCACTGCCCTATGCACTGAGTTCTACACACTTTTCCTCTACCTTCTATTCACACCAAAAGAGAGGGACCCACACATTTAAATCTACCCAGTAAGGAAACAGAAGTGCTATGGAGGACCAATGCCTGGCTCCCATTCCCAGCCCAATGGAACAGAGGAAGACAGGCAGGGTTCCACCCCACCACACACAAGCCGACCCAGAGATAAGCACCCGGGCAGTCCCACCATGCAGCTTCTGGGGAAGGTGCTCAGTTTACCTTTGGAAAAAATGGTAGGAGAGCTGCCTCGAGGCTGCCGATGACCAATTATGCCTGAACAATCACATTTTAGTGGCGAAAACATAACATCATTTTTCTGATAGAGAATCTTCTATTTAAAAGATAATTTTGATTATGAGCATACCTAATTTTACTATGTGAGGCTAAAGAATAATTCTGAAGAAGGGAAAATGAAAGACTGTGGCCTACATTTTTTTCTTGAAAAAGTTATCACATAAAAAAGAGATGTCTCATGACTGAGCCAGACCTTTGGAAATAAATCCCAGTGCCATCTGGGATTCTGCCCTCTCCTCCTCACCTGCACATCTCCATGTCCTCAGGCCTCCCTTTCCCTCCTTGCAGCCTCAGCCCCACCTCCTCTATCCAACCCTCCCCTCCACAGGTCACCAGAGTTTTCTTCTTAAAACACTTGCCAGACTGTGTAACTCTCATCCTCAAAAATGATCATATACTACACAGTGGGGTCCCCTCCAGACACTCAGCTCTTGCTGAGAGCAGGGGCTGTGACTGCCAGGACCACCAAGGTAGACCAAGCAGGCAGCACACACCTGACACTTAGCAGGTGCTAAGAAGTGTTTGCTGTTGGGTAAATAAACCTAGGTTTCCGGACTCATTCCCTACTAAATAAAGTCCTCCCTCATTCACCCTGGATTTTGCCAAAGGTCTCCAGTCATTCCCTGAATGCAGTGTGGACTCTCCCCTTCATAGCGGTGCTCAAGCTGGCTCTCTGCTTGAAGTCATGGTTCCAGCCACTTCCTACCCATCAAATTTCATATTTCAGGCCAAGCTCAAATATCAAGTTTCAGGCCTTCTCAGATTTTTCAAGTGAAATATTTTTATGTTTTTTATTGATACATAATAGATGTACATATTTTCAGGGTACATGTGATAATGTAATACTTATAATTTGTAAAGATCAAATCAGTGTCATTGGGATCTCTACCACCTTAAATACTTGTCTTTTATTTATGCTGGAAACATTCAAATTATTCTCTTCTAGCTATCCTGAAATGTACAATAGATTATAATAAACTATAGTCACCCTACTGGCCTATCAAACACTAGCTCTTATTTCTTTGAGCTAACTGTACATTTCTACCTATTAATGAACCTCTCCTTCAACCCACCCTTCCCCCACCCCTTCTCAGCTCCTGTTAACCACCAATCTACTATTTACCTTCATGAGATCCACATTTTTGGTTTTGACGTATGAGGGAGAACATGTGATATTCGCCTTTCTGTGCTTGGCTTATTTCACTTAGCAGAATGACCTCCAGTTCCAACCATGTTGCTACAAATAACAGGATTTGTTTCTGTAACTCAATAATATTCCATTGTGTGTATATATGTATGTGTGCATGTGTACACGTGTGTTTCAGACACACACACACATACGCACACATATCTGTGGGGCTCCAGGTGATATACATATATATCACATTTTCTTTATCCATTCATCCATTAGTAGGCACTTAGGTTGATTCCATACTTTGGTTTTTGTGAATAATGCTGCCGTAAACATGGGAATGCAAATATCTCTTCGATATACTGATTTCCTTTGTTTTGGATATATACCCAGGAGTGGAATTGCTGGATCATATGTTAGTTCTATTTTTAGTTTTTTGAAGAACTGCCACACTGTTTTCCATAGTAGCCGTACTTACATTCCCACCAATGGCATATAAGGGTTCCCCATTCTCCGCAGCATTATTTTTCTTTTACATAAAAGCCATTTTAACTGAAGTGAGATACCTCATTGGGGTTTCGATTTGCATTTCTCAGATGATTAGTAATGTTGAGCATTTTTTCATATATCTGCTGGCCATTTGTATGTCTTCTTTTGAGAAATGTCTATTTAGATTTTTTGCCCAGTTTTTAATTGGATTTTGTTTTTTGCTATTAAGTTGTCTGAGTTCCTTATATATTCTGGTTATTAATCCCTTGTCAAGTGGGTAATTTGCAAATATTTTCTCCCATTCTGGGGGTTATGTATTCACTATGTTGCTTGTTTCCCTTGCTATGCAGTAGCTTTTTGGCTTGCTGTAATCCCGTTTGTCTGTTTTTGCCTTGGTTATCTCTGCTTTTGATGTCTTACACAAAATTTTTTTTTTACCCATGTCAATGTCCTGCTATATTTATGCAACATTTTCATCTAGTAGTTTCATGCTTTCAGGTCTTAGATTTAAGTCTTTATTCCATTTTTATTTGATTTTTGCATATGGTGAGAAATAGGAATCCTAGATTCATTCTTCTGCGTATGGATATCTAGTTTTCCCAGCACCATTTATTTCCCTATTGTGTGTTCTTGGCACCTTTGTCAAAAACGAGTTGGCTGTAAAGGTGTGATTTTATTTCTGGGTTCTCTATCTGTTCCATTGGTCTATGTGTCTGTTTTTATGCCAGTACCATGCTGATTTGGTTACTGTAGCTTTGTAGTATATTTTCCAGTCAGGTAATGTGATGCATCCGGCTTTTTCTTTTTGCTCAGGATTGCTTTGGCTATTGAGAGTCTTTTGTGGTTACATATAAATTTTTAACTGTATTTTCTATTTCTGTGAAGAATGTCACTGGTATTTTGATAGGGATTTCATTGAATCTGTAAATTTCTGTGTATAACATCAATTGAAATAATTTTATCTCTACTTAGAACTGATTTTCTAGGATTATTGCTTGGCTGTCTATCTCTTCCATTGTAGAGAACTTAAAAGCAGGCATTTTGTTTGTAATTCATTTTTTAAGAGACAAGGTCTCATTTTGTCACCCATGCTGGAGTGCAGTGGTGCAATTACAGCTCACTGCAGCCTCCAACTCCTGGACTCAAGACATCCTCTCACCTCAGCCTCCTGAGCAGCTGGGACTACAGGTGCATGCCACTATGCCTGACTAATTTTTTCTTTTCTTTTTTTTTAGAGACAGGGTCCTGCTATGTTGCCCAGGGTGGTCTCAAACTCCTGACCTCAAATGATCCTTCAACCTCAAATGATTCTTCCACCTCAAACCCCCAAAGCACTGCAAATACAAGCTATTTTTTGTATCTTTCTTGTGCTGAACACAGCATTTTGCAAACAGCAATGAATAAAAAGTGTTTATTGAATCAAGTGTCATAGGCTGCTGCAAAATTCATAAATTATGTTTCTATTTACATCAACCAAAAAAATAATTTTAGGCTATACACACTGTACGTTTAAGTAGAAGAAAATCTGATTACTATAAATGCTATAGCACCTGGTTATATCCCACAAGTGTAACAAAATCTTGATGCTGTGCTACCTTTCTGCACCTGACTCCCCAGGGAAGCAAGAATCTAACAAACTAACAAATATTAGAGTCCCATTTATGCCCACATTGGCCAAAAAATCCAAGAACAAACACACATCAAAATAAAAAGGCTTTAATGGTCTTCAAAATTCATTATTTTTTAACTATTATTATTTCAGCAACTAAACAACTTCACTGACACAAGTCCCTTGCATGAAATTACATACTACATAGCAAATTGTATTATATAATTTTAAATACATTTTTATAAAAATGATTTGTGGGGATTTATGGGAAAATTTTCTAATAATGAAAAGATGATTGATAAACTACTCTCAATAAAGAGATGAAATCAGAATGCACAATCAACTACCAAAATTAAGCCTGTACGTTTATTTTTAATAAATAAGTTTGAAAAAGAAATCAGAGTTAGACAATAAAATGGCTGGCCTCTTTCTCCTGCAGTACCCATGACTGAGTTTATGTGATTAAAACGTGACGGGGAATTTACTTAATTAAAATTAAGTACAAGTTGTCTTATTTGATTAGCTCTCTCCTTCACACTCAGGTCCTGGAACTAAATGCCCTGGTGCAGGCTCTTAGACACAGCTGTCATTTTAATGGGTATATACTTCAGTAAATTCAGCAAATTTCTGTCCACCACCAATTGTTAATCCATGTCAACCTCATTTAACAACCAGAAAAGCTATTATGAATTTGTCAGCGCTTTAATTTCCCTAAAGGATTTTAATTGATTTTTTATTACTCATCTGGTATTAACATCATCTTCTCTTAATAACAAAGTACAACAAAATTACCCAACACAAATGCAGACTATTTTTAAGTCCATACCTTTTGGAAACAGATTAGCTTGGGATTTGTGTCTTCAATAGCTTGCCTCCAATTTGACTGCCATGAAGAACATAATAATGAGAAGCTGAGGAAAATTCCCATCCTTGGGATTAAATAAGGAAGAGGGGGTGATCAGAAGAGGCTGAAGCAAAGCACTGTTCATTCAAACAGGGTAACGTTGCCTCAAGCTAAATATAAGCGTACAGCATTTTTATTACTAGGACAGGGTATTCAAGACCCTGGTGATAGATACCAATGCCAAGGTTGTTTTATTTTTAAGTGTGTATTCTAATTCCCATAGTCATATCTACTTTCTTTTGGTTTCATAATAAGAGCAACCATCCACCACAAGAAACGCTAACAGCTATTATGTGTTTGCCATAAGCAACGCATTGTTCTAAATGCTCTGCATATATTGTTCCATTGAGTACTCACAATACCTCGTACAGTGGTACTGTATTTCCCCAGTGAGTATATAAGGAATTTGAGACACCAGAGGTGAGTTAACTTGCCCACGGCCCAAAGTTTGTAAATGGTACAGCCAGGATACAAACACACGTAGTGAACTCAGCCCTGGGTCCTTAACCATGAGGTAGAGTTTCTCTCACCAATGTGACCACTCCACAGAGAAATGTGAGCCCCACCAAGTCAATCAAATGGCACTTAAGATTTTCAAAAGATAGTACTAGAAATTTAGTAAATGTTTAAACTGCTTAAAAGTAGCTAATGATTAGTATTTCTTCATAAAGGATAATCAAGTATTAGTTTAAAATACTTAAATTGATTACATGTCCACATATCTACTAGCATCAAATTCATTTTCATGTACTCAATGAAAATATTAGTCCTACATAAAACAGAAAAATACAGGAACTTAACCAGGAATTCGTTAATTGTTCAATCATTACATGAGGAGAACCAGAATCAATGTTTCAAGTTCTTTAAGTAAACTTAAATTCCACTGACTCCTGCAAGATAGAAATGATCAACAGCTTCTTGTGTCAGATAATTAAGAGCAACATTCCAATTCTAGGTAAAATGCAAAAGTGAAATGATCCAAAACTGCCTTGCTTAACCCAAACCATTCCACGGCCTAAAGGCAAACAGGGCATCTCACTGTCCTCTTAGCATTAGAGAAAGGATCTAAGACAGGGAGCAGGAATTAAATTATTTCTTTTGCAATTTAGTGTACAACGGAATCAGTCTTACTAATGGAACACATCTTGCCTGACAAGACGAATTTGATGCTGGTTTATCTTTCCAAGCAGAAGGCGATGTGTGTACCCTTTTCCAAAGGAAAAACCGCCATCTAGTAGAGATCTCATCTGCTTCTCTACTAATACTCACTAATCTTAAAGTGATTTCCACACTTTTTCCATTCCTTTTCAGTGCCTAAAATACAGGAATAACCTCTAGACAATCCAAAGATAGTTCCTTGACTGAGGGTCTTGGGCACTGCTTCAAGGGATTGAAACTGGGAGGCCAGATGGCCAGAACCCTCCCCATCAGCCGGGACAAGCGCTGACCACAGTCACACAGCCAGAGAGGAAAGGGCAGTGCCAGCTCTGTGCATCATCCACACAGAGGGGCAGCAGCAGCTCCCCGCCTTTATTCCCTATGCACGTAGATTTAAACTTTTGTTTTATATTAATGGAATGACATGACTCCACACCAGCAACATTAATTCAGCCTATTGGGACTTTGACCTTGGCCAGACACAGCAGAGCACTGTACATCTGTACTCAAGAGCGGGAGGATACTGCTTGATTGCAGGATCATTCTCAAAGCTTTTCAAGACAAGGGAAATGAAAACAAATCCAGAAAGGTAATGAAAGCTCAGCAACAAATACACAATTCTGAATAAAACGGCACAGACTCACTTTTCCCTGCTCCTCCATGCTAAGTACAACTATAAACCCTGGAAATAAAGCAAAAGTTAGCCAAAGCAGGATTCTGAAAGGTGTAAAGAGAATGGTGGAATAGTCAGGGACCTACCTAGGACTGTATAAGCAGCACGGTGGCTTAGGACCCCCCTCCCAAAAGCAGAAAGCAACCCAGGCCTGCCATTTTCTGATCCTCAACCAAGCAAGAGAAGTGACTCATTCCTCCCCTGAATCAAACTGGAATCCTACTGACAATACATATGAGCCACACTGGGACTGATGGGGATTCCTGCAGACAATAAGTGACTAGGGGAATCACTCTGCTCCCAGTTGGGAAAAAGTATTAACCTCCACTGAGAATCACGGTGGGGAGGGTGGAGAAGGGCAGCTCTAACAAGGGGAATTCTACCACAGAAAGTATCCAGGGTCTGACCCTAAGGACCTACAGGCACCAGGGAGACCTGCAGCACCGGCAAGAGGATCCTCCCACAATAAGTAACCAGCCTGGAAGGTGCTCTAGGACCCCACAGGCAAGGTGAGCTCATCACAAGTGAACTAGGTTGGGAAGCTGCTATGTTCCTAGGTGCCAAAGACTCCCCTATCCCATCAAGAAGCACTGGACAGCACCACTAAGAGAGATCTCAACACAACAAGCAGCTGGACACAGAAAGCCTCACTGACTCTTCTATGGTCAGCAGACAGTCTTCCCCGTCTAGAGGGGCAAGGCGTCCTGGCCTGTGGGAAGCTACTTCCACCCCATCGGCCAGCACCAGCAGGGACCAGAGGGAGCATCAATGGCATGAGATACACCAAACAGTCTTAAAGATTAAATTATCTTTGGAATCACAACCCACAAATGTAGGCCAGGTCCTGCATACTAAACTTATACAGGGTGACTGCCTTCTAAAATGGAAGATCTAAACAGGACTCAGAAGCTCCCAATGGAATAACCAAAATGTCCAGAACACAATCAGAACTCAATCATCATACCAAGAAACAGAAAAATCACATCTTGAATGAGAAAAGACAACTGACACCAACACTGAGATGAATCGGATGTTAGCATTCTCTGACAAGGATTTTAAAGCAGTCATGATAAAAATGTTTCAACAAATAATTAAAAATTCTAATAAAACAAATAAAAAGGAAAAACACAACAGCAGAATTTGTTTTAATTCGGGGATCGATAAGGAAGCAGAAATGACAAAGGAGAGAATACATAAACTTTAGAACAAATCAATAAAATTTACCCAATTTTAACAATAGAGAAAAGATAAACCAGAAAAAAAGGAACAGAGCACCTGTGCGACAACAGAAAAAGGTCCAACATTTGTATCGCTGGAGTTTCAGAAGGAAAGGAAAAGGAAAGTGGGCTAAAAGAGTATTTTAAGAAATGTTGGTGGAACAGAGCAAGATGGCCGAATAGAAGTCTACACGATTTGTTCCCCCAACAGAAACACCATATTTTAACTAACTACACACAAAAAGCACTATCACAACAACCAAAAATCAACACTCATAGTACCTGGTTTTAACTTCATATCACTGAAAGAGGCACTGAAGGGGGGTAGGAAAGACAGTCTTGAAGTGCCAATGCCACCCGTCTCCCATCTCTTGACAGTGGCCGCCTGGTTTGAAGAATCTACGCACCTGGGAGAGGGAGAGCGCAATGACTGGGGGACATTAAACTGAACTCAATGCTTCTCTGTCACAGCAGAAAGCATAACAGGAGCGCACCCAGCAGATGCCCACCCAGAGAGGGAGCATTTGGACCAGGCATAGCCAGATGGGAATCAGCCATCCCAGCAAATGGAGCCAGAGTTCCAGCAAGCCTTGACAGTGCAGGCTAAAGTGGCTCTGGGACCCTAAGTAAACTTAAAGAGAAATCTAGGTGACAAGGACTGCAATTCCTAGGCAAGTCCTAGTGCTGAGCTGGATTCAGAGCCAGTGGCCTCGGCAGGGCCACACAATGTATTAGTCTGTTCTTAAACTGCTGTAAAGAAATACCTGAGACTGGGTAACTTATAAAGAAAAAAGGCTTAATTGACTCACAGTTCCACAGGCTATATAGGAGGCATGGGTAGGGAGGCCTCAGGAAACTTACAATCATGGTGGAAGCGTGAAGGGGAAGCAAGCACATCTTCACATGGCAGCAGGAGAGAGAGCAAAGGGGAGGTGCTACACACTTTTAAACAACCAGATCTCATGAGAACTCACTCACTATCATGAAAACAGCAAGGGGGAAATCTGCTCCCATGATCCAATCCCCTCCTACCAGGTCCCTACCCAACACGTGGAAATTACAATTTGACATGAGATATGGGTGGGGACACAAAGCTAAACCACATCACATGCCCTACTGAGACACCAACCAGCCAGGTTGTGCTTGTGCCACCTCTCCCCCATCCCCTGGCAGTGGCTGCATGGTGTGGAGAAATCCGTGCACTTGGGAGAGGGAAAGCACCGTAATCATGAGACTTTACTTTGATCTCAGTGCTGTCCTGTTATATTGGAGAGCAAAGACATGCTGGGCTCAGCTAGCACCCACACACACAGGGAGCATTTGGACCAGACTTAGCCAGAGAGGAACCACCCATCCCAGCAGGTGGAACCTGAGTTTCTCAACAAGCCTCACTAGCACAGGCCAAAATGCTCTAAGGTCCAAAGTGAACTTGAAAGGCAGTCTAGGACACAAGGACTGCAATTCATAGGTAACGCCTATGCTGAGCTGGGCTTAGAGACAGTAGACTAGGGTGGCACATGACCTAAGAGACACTAGACAGAGTGGCTAAGGAAGTGCTTGCACCACCCCTCCCTCAACTCCAGGCAGTGCAGCTCACAGCAACAGAAAAGACCCCTTCCTTCTGTTTGAAAAGAGGAAAGTGAAGAGCAAAGAGGACTTTGCCTTACATCTTGGATACCAGCTCAGCCACAGTAGGATAGGGCACCAGGCAGTCATGAGGCTCTAGCTCATAACAGACATTTCTAGAGACAGAATAGGCCAAAAGGGAACCACTGCCTTGAAGGCAAGGACCCAGCCCTGGCAGGTTCATCACCTGCTGATTAAAGAGCCCTTGGGCCCTAAATACCCAGCAGCCATACCCAGGTGATAGGCCATGGGCCTTGGGCTCTGAGATGTGCTGGCTTCAGGTGTAACCAAGCAAATTCTCAGCTGTGGGAGCTATGGTTTAAGACTCCTGAGAAAAACAAGGGGAAATGTAAAAGGGACTCTGTCTTGTACCTCAGGTACCAGCTCAGCTGCAGTGGAGTAGGGAATGAAGCAGGCCCCTGGGGTCCCTGAGTGCAGGCCTAGGCCCTTGGTCAGCATTTCTGGACCTGCCTTGGGCCAGAGGGGAGCCCACTGCCCTAAAGGGTGAGTCCCAAGCCTGGCAGCATTCACCACAAGCTGACTGGAGAGTCCTTGGGCCTTAAGAGAACACCGGTGGTGGCCTGAGAGAAACTCCCTTGTGGTGGTGTTGCTGGTGGCCACAAGAAGAGGCTCCTCTGCCTATGGAAAGGGAAGGGAAGAGCAGGAAGGACTTTGTCTTGTGGTTTGAGTACTAGCTTAGCCGCAGTAGAACAGAACTAAATATCTAGGCTTTTTGACTCTAATCCCTAGCTCCCAGGCAGCATCTTTGGACCCACTCAGGGCATCAGGAAACTCACCACCCTGAAGAAAGGGACACAAACCCAGCTCGGTTTATCAACTGCTGATCACAGAGCTATAGGACCTTGAGTAAACATAGGTGGTAGCCAGGTAGTGGTTATAGTGGGCCTTGGGAAAGACCCAGTGTTGTGCCAGCTTCAGGTCCATATTAACACAATTCCAGTGGTGGTAGCCAAGGGGCACAGTGTCCCCTCACCCCTAGTTCCAGGTGACTCATCACAGAGACTCTGATTGTTTGGGAGAAAGTAAGGGAAAAGAACAAGACTCTGCCTGGAATCCAGAGAATTCTTCCGATTTTATCAAAGACCACCAAGGCAGCACCTCTATGTGTCTGCAAGAACCACAGTGTTATTGGGTTTGAGGCCCAAGTCCTTTTGAATATCTAGAAAGCTTTCCCAAGGAAAACTGGCAAAAACAAGCCCAGACTGTGAGACTACAATAAATGCCTAACTCTTCAATGCCCAGACATGTTAACTCAATAAATGCCTAACTCATCAATGTTACTGATGAACATCTATAAGCATCAAGACCATCCAAGAAAACATGACCTCACCAAACAAACTGAATAAGGCATCAGGGACCAATCCTGGAGAAACAGAGATATGTGACCTTTCAGACAGATAATTCAAATTAGTTGTGTTGAGGAAACTCAAAGAAATCAAGATAACACAGAGAAGGAATTCAGAATTCTATCAGATAAATTTGACCAAGAGATTGAAATTATTAAAAAGAACAAAGCTGAAATTCTAGAGCTGAAAATGCAATTGACATATTGAAGAGTACATCAGAGTCTATTTAGGGCAGAATTGATGTAGAAGAAAGAATTAGTGAGCTTGAGGACAAGCGATTCGAAAATACAGTCAGAGGAAATGAAAGAATAAAAAACAGTGAAGCATGCCTACAAGATCTACAAAAATAGCCTTAAAAAGGCAAATCTAAGAGTTTTTTGGCCTTAAAGAGAAAGTAGAGACAGAGATAGGGGTAGAAAGTTTATTCAAAGGGATAATATAAGAGAAATTGCCAAACCTAGAGAAATATATCAATATTCAAGTGCAAGAAGGTTATAGAACACCAAGCAGATTTAATCCAAAGAGGACTACCTCAAGGCATTTAATAATCAAATTCCCAAAGGTAAAAAATAAAGAAAAAAATCCTAAAAGCAGCAGGAAAAATAAATAATATAAAATGGAGCTCCAATATGTCTACCAGCAGGCTTCTCAGTGGAAACCTTGCAGGGCGAGAGAGAGTGGCATAACATATTTAAAGTGCTGAAGGGAAAAAAAACTTTTACCCTACAATAGTATATCTGGCAAAAAATATCCACCAAAAAAGCAGAAGAAATAAAGACCTTCCCAGACAAACAAAAGCTATGTGATTTCAGCAACACTGCACTTGTCCTATAAGAAATGCTAAAGGGGGTTATTCAATCTGAAAGAAAAAGACATTAATGAGCAATAATGAATCATCTGAAGGTATGAAATTCACTGGTAATAGCACACAGAAAAACATAGAATATTTTAACACTCTAAGTGTGCTGTGTAAACTACTCTTACCTTAAGTAGAAAGACTAAACAATGGACCAATCAAAAATAATAACTACAAAAACTTTACAACACAGAATAAGACACAAAGAGAAACAACAAAAAGTTTAAAAATGGGAGGGATTCAGTTAAAACATAAAGTTTTTTATTAGTTTTCTTTTTGCTTGTTTGTTTATGCAATCAGTGTTAAGCTGTCATCAGTTTAAAATGATAGGCTATAAGATATTATTTGCAAGCCTTATGGTAGCTTCAAATCAGAAAATAACATATACACACAAATTAAAAAGCAAGAAATTAAATCATACTACCAGAGAACATCACCTTCACTAAAAGACAGGAAGGAAGGAAAGAAGGAAGACCACAAAGCAAAAAACAAAAACCAAACAGCAAAATAGCAAGAGTAAGCTCTTACTTTATAAATAATAACATTAAATGTCAGTAAATGAAACCCTCCAATTAAAAGACAGAGTGGCTGAATGGATGCAAGAAAAATAAGAATCAATTATCTGTTCCCCACACACACAAAAAAACCACACTTCACCTATGAAGATGCACACAGAGTGAAAATAAATAAAAGGATGGAAAAAAATATCCCATGTCCACAGAAACCAAAAAAGAACAAGAGCCAGTAAATCAGATAAAATAGATTTCAAGACAAAAACTGTAAGAAGAGACAAAGGTCATTATATAATGATAAGGTGGTCAATTCAGCAAGAGTATATAACATTTACAAATATCCCAGTGATAGAGCACCCAGATATATAAAGCTAATATTATTGGAGCTAAAGATTGAGATAGACCTCAATACAATAATAGTTGGAGACTTCAATACCCCATTTTCAGCACTGGACAGATCTTCCAAACAGAAAATCAACAAAGAAACATCTGACTTAATCTGCACTGTAGATCAAATCAACCTAACAGATATGTACAAAACATTTAATCCAAAGGCTTCAGAATACATATTCTTTTCCTAAACATATGGCTCATTCTCAAAAATAGACCATATGTTATGTCACAAAACAAGTCTTACAGCGTTCGAAAATAAATAAAACTTAATATCAATAACAGAAGACTTTTGGAGACTATAAAAAATACATGCAAATTATACAACATGCTCCTGAATTACCAGTGAAGAAATTAAGAAGGAAACTGAAAATTTTCTTGACACAAATGGTAATAGAAACACAACATACCAAAACCTATGGGATACAGCAAAAGCAATACTAAAAGGGAAGTTTACAGCTTTAAGTAACTACCTCAAAAAAGAAGAAAAACATCAAACAAACAACCTAACAATATGGCTTAAAGAACTAGAAAAGCAAGAGCAAGCCAAACCCAAAATTAGTAGACTAAATAACAAAGATTAAAGCGAAATAAATGAATTTGAAATGGAGAACACAATACAAAAGAACAACGAAATAAAATCTTGGTTTTTTGAAAGAATAAATAAAATTGACAAATTTTTAGCGAGACTAATGAAGAAAAACAGAGAGACTACCCGAACAAATAAAATCAGAAATGAAAAAAAAAAGACATTACAACTGATATCATAGAAATTCAAAGAATCATTAGTGGCTACTATGAGATAAATTCCTAGACATACACAACCTACCAAGATTTAACCATGAAGAAATCCAAATCCCAAACAGACCAATAACAAATAATGAGACAGAAACTGCAATAAAGTCCCCCAGTAAAGAAAAGTTCAGGACCCAGTGGCTTCACTGCTGACTTCTATCAAACATTTAAAGAAGAACTAATGCCAATCCTACTCAAACTATTCCAAACAAGAGAGGATAAGAGGACACTTCCAAATTCATTCTACAAGGACAGTATTACCCTGATACCAAAACCAAATAAGGATACAACAAAAAAAGAAAACCACAGGCCAATATCTCTGATGAAAATTGATGTAAAAATACTCAACAAAATACTAGCAAACCAAATTCAACAATACATTAAAAAGATCATCATCATGACCAGGTCGGATTAATTCCTGAGATACAAGGATGGTTCGACCTAAGTGAATCAATGTGATACATCATTTCAACAGAATGAAGGACAAAAATCATATAATCATTTTAATTGATACTGAATATGTATTTGATAAAATTCAACATCCCTTCATGATAAAAACCCTCAAAAGACTGAGGATAAAAAGAGCATACCTCAATATAATAAAGGCTGTATGTCATACACCCACAGCTAGTATCATACTGAAAGGGTAAAAACTGAAAGCCTTTCTCTAAGATCTGGAATGCAACAAGGATACCCACTTTCACCATTGTCACTCAGGATAGTACTGGAAGTCCCAGCTAGAGCAATCAGACATGAAAAAGAAATAAAGAGCATGAAAATTGGATAGAAAGAAGTCAAATTATTTTTGTTTGTAGATGACATATTTATATTTGAAAAAAACCTAAAGACGCCACAAAAATCCGATTAAAACAGATAAACAAATTAAGTAAAGTTGCAGAATAGAAAATGAACATACAAAAGCCAGTATTTGAACAATCTGAAAAAGAAATTTTAAAATCAATCTGATTTACAATAGCCAAAAATAAAACATCTAAAAATTATCCAAAGAAGTAAATGATCTCTACAATAAAAACTATAAAACACTGATGAAAGAAATTAAAAAGGACATAAAAAATGGAAAGATATTCCATGTTCATGGATTAGAAGAATCAATGTTGTTAAAATGCCCATACTACCCAAAGCAATCTACAGATTCAATGCAACCCCTATCAAAATACCAACGACATTTTTCACAGAAACAGAAAAAACAACGCTAATATGTCTGTGGAATCACAAAAGACCCAGAATAGCCAAAGCTATCCTGAGCAAAAAGAATGAATCTGAAGGAGTTACTTTGCCCGACTTAAAATTATACTACCAAGCTATCATAACAAAAACAGTATGTTACTGGCATAAAAACAGACACATAGACCAATGGAATAGAATAGAGAACCCAGAAACAACCCAAACACCTACAGCGAACTCATTTTCACAAAGGTGTCAGAAACATACAATGGGGGAAAAAAGTTTTTTTTCAATAAATGGTGCTGGGAAAACTGGATATCCATACACAGGAGAATGAAACTAAACCCCTATCTTCTGTCATATACAAAAATCACATAAAAATAGATTAAAGACTTAGAAATCTAAGACCTCAAACTATAAAACTACTACAAGAAAACATATGGGAAATGCTCCAGGACATTGGCCTGGGCAAAATTTCTTGAGTAATAACCCACAAGGACAGGCATCCAAAGCAAAATGGACAAATGAGATCATATCAAGTTAAAAAGCTTCTGTACAGCAAACAAAACACAACAAAATGAAGAGAGAACCCACAAAATCGGAGAAAAATATGTGTAAACCACCCATCTGAAAAGGGATTAATAACCAGAATATATAAGGAGCTCAAACAACTGTATAGGAAAAAATCTAATAATCTGATTTTAAAATGGGCAAAAGACCTGAATCAACATTTTTCAAAAGAAGACTTACAAACAACAAACAGGCTTGTGAAAAGGTGCTCAGCATCACTGATCATCAGAGAAATGCAAATCAAAATTACAATGAGATATTACCTCACCCCAGGTAAAATGACTTTTATCCAAAAGACAGGCAATAAGAAATCCTAGTGAGGATATGGAGCAAAGAGAACCCTCATACATTGTTGGTTGAAATGTAAATTAGTACAACCTCTATGGAGAAGAGTTTGGAGTTTCCTCAAAGAAACTAAAAATAGAGCTACCATACAATCCACCAATTCCACTGCTTAGTATATATTCAAAACAAAGGAAAGCAGTATATTGAAGAGCTATCTGCACTCCTATGTTTCTTGCAGCACTGCTCAAAATAGCCAAGATTGGAAGTAACCTAAGTGTCCATCAACAGATGAATAAATAAAGAAAATATGGTACACATACAAAATGAAGTACTGTTCTGCCATTAAAAAAGAATGAGATCCTCAATTCACACATAACAATATTAACCTTAAATGCAAATGGACTAAATGCCCCATTTAAAGGACAAAGAATGGCAAGCTGGATAGAGTCGAGCCCCATTGGTATCCTGTCTTCAAGAGACCCATCTCATATGCAAAGACACACATAGGCTCAAAATAAAGGAATGGAGGAAATTTACCTAGTAAATGGAAAGCAAAAAAAAGCAGGGGTCACAATACTAGTTTCTGACAAAGCAGGCTTTAAGCAAAGATTAAAAAAATAAAAATAAAAAAGACCAAGAAGGGGATTACATAATGGTAAAGGATTCAATTCAACAAGAAGAACTAACTACCCAAAATGTGCTTGCACCTAATACAGGAGCACCCAGATTCATAAAGCAAGTTCTTAGAGACCTACAAGGAGACTTAGACTCCCATGCAATAATAGTGGGAAACTTTAACACCCAACTGAAAATATTAGATCATCGAGACAGAAAATTAACAAAGATATTCAGGACCTGAACTCAACTCTAGATCAAGTGGACCTGATAAATATCTACAAAACTCTCCACCCAAAAACAACAGAATATGTATCCTTATCATTGCCACATTTGCTCTAAAATTGATCACACAATCAGAAGTAAAACACTCCTCAGAAAATGGAAAAGAAGTGAAATCATAACAGTTTCTCAGACCACAGCACAATCAAAATAGAACTCAAGATTAAGAAACTCACTCAAAACCACAAAACTACATGGAAAATAAACTACCTTCCTCTGAATGACTCCTGGGTAAATAATGAAATTAAGGCAGAAATCAAGAAGTTCTTCAAAACTAATGAGAACAAACAGACAACATGCCAGAATCTCTGAGATATAGCTAAAGCAGTGTTAAGAGGAAAATTTATAGCACTGAATGCCCATATCGAAAAGCTGAAACATCTCAAATTAAACTCCTAACATCACAACTAAAAGAACTAGAGAACCGCAAAGCTAGGAGAAGACAAGAAATAACCAAGATCAGAGTGGAACTGAAGGAGATACAGACACACACACAAAAAACCCTTCAAAAAAACCAATAAATCCAGGAGCTGGTTATTTGAAAAAATTAATAAAATAGACTGCTAGCTAGACTAATAGAAAAGAGAGAAGAATAAAATAGATACAATCAGAAATGATAAGGGGGATATCACCACTGACCCCACAGAAATACAACCATCAGAGAATACTATAAACACCTCTATGCACATAAACTAGAAAATCCAGAAGAAATGGATAAATTTCTAGACACACACACCCTCACAAGACTGAATCAAGAAGAAACAGAATCCCTGAATAGACCAATAATGAGTTCTGAAGTTGAGGCAGTAATAAATAGCCTACCAACCAAAAAAAAGCCCAGGACCAGATGGATTTACAGCTGAATACTACCAGAGGTACAAAGAAGAGCTGGTACCATTTCTACTGAAACTATTCCCAACAATTGAAAAGGAAGGACTCCTCCTTAACTCATTCTATGAGGCCAGCATCATCCTGATACCAAACTAGATATCAGAGATACAAAAGAAAAAGAAAACTTCAGGCCAATATCCCTGATGAATATCGCTGCAAAAATCCTGAATAAAATACTGGCAAACCAAATCCAGCAGCACATCAAAAAACTTACCCACCACAACTAAGTTAGCTTCATCCCCGTGACGCAAGATTGGTTCAACATATCCAAATCAATAAATGTAATAAATCACACAAACAGAACTAAAGACAAAAACTACATGATTATCTCAATAGACACAGAAAAGGACTTCAATAAAATTCAACATTCCCTCATGTTAAAAACTCTCAATAAACTAGGTATTGAAGGAACATACCTCAAAGTAATAAGAGCCATATATGACAAACCCACAGACAATATCATATTAAATGGGCAAAAGCTGGAAACATTCCCCTTGAAAACTGGCACAAGACAAGGATGCCTTCTCTCACCACTGCTATTCAACATAGTGTTGGAAGTTCTGGCCAGGGGAATCAGGCAAGATAAAGAAATAAAGGGTATTCAAACAGGGAGACAGGAAGTCAAATTATCTTTGTTTGCAAATGACATCATCCTATATCTAGAAAACCCCATCGTCTCAGCCCAAAAGCTTCTTAAGCTGATAAGCAACTTCAGCAAAGTCTCAGGATACAAAAATCAATGTGCACCCATTAACTCGTCATTTAGCATTAGGTATTGTGTACATGTACCCTAAAACTTAAAGTATAATAATAACAAAATTTTTTTTAAAAATGTGCAAAAATCGCTAGCATTCCAATAAACCAACAATAGGCAAACAGAGAAACAAATCATGAATGAAATCCCATTCACAATTGCTACAAAAAGAATAAAAATACCTAGGAATACAGCTAAGCTAACAAGGGAAGTAAAGGACCTCTTTAAGAAGAACAACAAACCACTGCTCAAGGAAATCAGAGAGGACACAAACAAATGGAAAAACAATCCATGCTCATGGATAGGAAGAATCAACATCATGAAAATGGCCATACTTCCCAAAGTAATTTAAAGATTCAATGTGATTCCCATTAAACTACCATTGACATTCTTCACAAAATTAGAAAAAAAACTGTTTTAAAATTCATGTGGAACCAAAAAAGAGCCCATATAGTCAAGACAATCCTAAGCAAAAACAACAAAGCTGGAGGCATCACGCTACCTGACTTCAAACTATACTACAAGGCTACAGTGACCAAAACAGCATGATATTGCTACAAGAATAGATACATAGATCAATGGAACAGAATAGAGAACTCAGAAATAAGACTGTACACCTACAGCCATCTGATCTTCGACAAACCTGGCAAAAACAAGTAATGGGGAAAGGGTTCCCTATTTAATAAATGGTGCTGGGAGAACTGGCTAGCCATATGCAAAAAATTTGAAATTGGAACCTTTCCTTACACCATATACAAAAATTAACTCAAGATGGGTTGAAGACTTAAATGTAAAACTCAAAACTATTAAAAAAATAAAACCTGGAAGAAAACCTAGAAAATACCATTGAGGACACAGGCATGGGCAAAGATTTCATGACAAAAACTCCAGAAGCAATTGCAACAAAAGCAAAAATTGACAAATGGAATCGAATTAAACTAAAGGGCTTCTGCAGAGCAAAAGAAACTATCATCAGAGTGAAGAGACAACCTACAGAATAGAAGACAATTTTTGCAATGTATCTATCTGGCAAAGGTCTACTACCCAGGGCCTACAAAAAATGTAAACAAATTTACAAAAAAAAAAAAAAAAAACATTAAAAAGTGGGCAAAGAATATGAACAGATGTTTCTCAAAAGAAGACATTCATATGGCCAATAAACATATGAAAAAAAGCTCAACATCACCGATCATCACGAAATACAAATCAAAACCACAATGAGATACTATCTCATACCAGTCAGAATGACAATTATTAAAAAGTCAAGAAACAACAGATGCTGCTGAGGTTGTGGAGAAAAAGGAAAGCTTTTACTCTGTAGATGGGAGTGTAGATTAGTTCAACCATTGTGGAAGACAGTGTGGCAATTCCTCAAAAATCTAAGAGGCAGAAATACCATTTTACCCAGCAATCTCGTTACTGGGTATATACGCAAAGGAAAATATATTATTATATTATAAAAATATGACCGGGCAAGGTGGCTCACGCCTGTAATCCCAGCACTTCGGGAGGCTGAGGCGGGTGGATCACGAGGTCAGGAGATGGAGATCATCCTGGCCAACATGGTGAAACCTGGTCTCTACTAAAATACAAAAAATTAGCTGGGCATGGTGGTACGTGCCTGTAGTCCCAGCTACTTGGGAGGCTGAGGCAGGGTAATCACTTGAAACCAGGAGGTGGACGTTGCAGTGAGCCAAGATCGTGCCATTGCATTCCAGCCTGGTGACAGAGCAGGACTCCATCTGAAAAAAAAAAAAAAAAAAAAAGCAGGGCGCAGTGGCTCATGCCTGTAATCCCAGCACTTTGGGAGGCCAAGGTGGGCAGATCACGGGGTCAGGAGATCAAGACCATCCTGGATAACACGGTGAAACCCCGTCTCTACTAAAAATACAAAAAATTAACCAGGCGTGGTGGCAGATGCCTGTAGTCCCAGCTATTCAGGAGGCTGAGGCAGAAGAATGGTGTGAACCTGGGAGGCAGAGCTTGCACTGAGCCGAGATCACGCCACTGTACTCCAGTCTGCACAACAGAGCAAGACTCCATCTCAAAAAAAAAAAAAAAAAAAAAAAAAAAAAAAAAAAAAAGCCATGTATATGTGTGTTCATTGCAGCCACTATTCACAATAGCAAAGACATGGAATCAACCCAAATGCCCATCAATGATAGACTGGATAAAGAAAATGTGATACATATACATTATGGAATACTATGCAGCCATAAAAAGAAATGAGATCATGTCCTTTGCAGGGACATGAATGGAGCTGGAAGCTGTTATCCTCAGCAAACTAACACAGGAACAGAAAACCAAACACTGCATGTTTTCACTTATAAGTGAGAGCTTAACGATGAGAACACATGGAGGGGAACAACACAAACTGGGGCCTGCTGGGGGGCTGGGGGGAGGAAGAGCATCAGGAAAAGAAAGAACAGGTAATGACTGCTGGGCTTAATACCTAGGTGATAGGTTGATCTACGCGGCAAACCACCATGGCATACGTTTACCTATGTAACAAACCTGAACATCCTACACATCTTCCCTGGAACTTAAAAGGTGGGGAAAAAAATAAGAACAAAAAAAGAATAAGAACAAAAAAAGAATGGAAGGATGGAACTGGAGATCATCATGTTAAGTGAAATAAGTTAGGCACAGAAAGAGAAACTTCACATGTTCTCGCTTATTTGTGGGAGCTAAAAATCAAAACAATTAAACCTGTGGAAATAGAGAGTAGAAAGATGGTTACCAGAGGCTGGGAAGGGTAACGGGTGGGATGGAGGGAAATGGGAGTGGTTAATAGATATAAAATAAAAATAGAAAGAGTAGGACCTAGTATTTGATAGCACAACAGACAGACTACAGTCAGTAATAGTTTAATTGCACATTTAAAAATAAAAGAGTATAACTGGATTGTAACACAAAGGATAAATGCTTGAAGGAACGGATACCCCATTTTCTGTTATGTGATTATTATGCACTGCATGCTTGTATCAAAATATCTAATGTAGCCCATAAATATATATACTTACTATGCACCCACAAAAATTAAAAAATAAAAAGAAACAATTGCTGAAGAACGGCTGTGATTTTTGCACACTGATTTTGTATCGTGAGACTTTCCTGAAGTTGCCTATGAGCTTAAGGAGATTTTGGGCTGAGACGATGGGGTTTCCTAGATGTACAATCATGACATCTGCAAACAGGGACAATTTGACTTCCTCTTTTCCTAATTGAATACCCTTTATTTCCTTCTCCTGCCTGATTGCCCTGGCCAGAACTTCCAACACTATGTTGAATAGAAGTGGTGACAGAGGGCATCCCTGTCTTGTGCCACTTTTCAAAGGGAATGCTTCCAGTTTTTGTGATTCAGTATGATATTGGCGGTGGGTTTCTCACAGATGACTCTTATTATTTTCAGATACATCCCATAAATACCTAATTTATTGAGAGTTTTAAACAGAGAGCCAAATCATGAGTGAACTCCCATTCACAATTGCTTCAAAGAGAATAAAATACCTACGAATCCAACTTACAAGGGACGTGAAGGACCTCTTCAAGGAGAACTACAAACCACTGCTCAATGAAATAAAAGAGGATACAAACAAATGGAAGAACATTCCATGCTCATGGGTAGGAAGAATCAATATCGTGAAAATGGCCATACTGCCCAAGGTAATTTATAGATTCAATGCCACCCCCATTAAGCTACCAATGACTTGCTACACAGAATTGGAAAAAACTACTTTAAAGTTCATATGGAACCAAAAAAAAGCCCGCATCGCCAAGTCAATCCTAAGCCAAAAGAACAAAGCTGGAGGCATCACGCTACCTGACTTCAAACTATACTACAAGGCTACAGTAACCAAAACAGCATGGTACTGGTACCAAAACAGAGATATAGACCAATGGAACAGAACACAGCCCTCAGAAACAATGCCGCATATCTATAACCATCTGATCTTTGACAAACCTGACAAAAACAAGAAATGGGGAAAGGATTCCCTATTTAATAAATGGTGCTGGGAAAACTGGCTAGCCATATGTAGAAAGCTGAAACTGGGTCCCTTCCTTATATCTTATACAAAAATTAATTCAAGATGGATTAAAGACTTACATGTTAGACCTAAAACCATAAAAACCCTAGAAGAAAACCTAGGCAATACCATTCAGGACATAGGCATGGGCAAGGACTCATGTCTAAAACGAATTCAACCATTGTGGAAGTCAGTGTGGTGATTCCTCAGGGATCTAGAACTAGAAATACCATTTGACCCAGCCATCCCATTACTGGGTATATACCCAAAGGATTATAAATCACACTGCTATAAAGACACATGCACATGTATGTTTATTGCGGCACTATTCACAATAGCAAAGACTTGGAACCAACCCAAATGTCCAACAATGATAGACTGGATTAAGAAAATGTGGCACATATACACCATGGAATACTATGCAGCCATAAAAAATGATGAGTTCATGTCCTTTGTAGGGACATGGATGAAGCTGGAAACCATCATTCTCAGCAAACTATCACAAGGACAGAAAACCAAACACTGCATGTTCTCACTCATAGGTGGGAATTAAACAATGAGAACACATGGACACAGGAAGGGGAACATCACCCACCGGGGCCTGTTGTGGGGTTGGGGGAGGTGGAAGGGATAGCGTTTGGAGATATACCTAATGTTAAATGACAAGTTACTGGGTGCAGCACAACAACATGGCACATGTATACATATGTAACTAACCTGCATGTTGTGTACACGTACCCTAAAACTTAAAGTATAATAAAAAAACAAAGAAAGAAATAGTTGCTGAAAATATCCCAAATTTGGTGAAAGACATAAATCTAGAGAATCAAGAAACTGAGTGGATTCCAAATGGGATAAACCCCCCAAAATTCACACCAAGACACAACACGATTAAACATCTCAAAACTAAATACAAAGAAAAATCTTGAAAGCAGCCAAAGATAAATAACAGACGGCCCACAGGGAAACACAATTCAGATTACTCACCTGAAACCATGGAGACCAGAAGGAAGTGACACAATGGTTTTTTAAGTGCTGAAAGAAAAGAACTGTCAACTTTCTGTCTCGATTATCTGTCTAATGTTGACAGTGGGGTGTTAAAGTCTCCCATTATTATTGTGTGGGAGTCTAAGTCTCTTTGTAGGTCACTCAGTACTTGCGTTATGAATTTGGGTGCTCCTGTATTGGGTGCATATATATTTAGGATAGTTAGCTCTTTTTGTTGAATTGATCCCTTTACCATTATGTAATGGCCTTCTTTGTCTCTTTTGATCTTTGTTGGTTTAAAGTCTGTTTTATCCGAGACTAGGATTGCAACCCCTGCCTTTTTTTGTTTTCCATTTGCTTGGCAGATCTTCCTCCATCCCTTTATTTTGAGCCTATGTGTGTCTCTGCACGTGAGATGGGTTTCCTGAATACAGCACACTGATGGGTCTTGACTCTTTATCCAATTTGCCACTCTCTGTCTTTTAATTGGAGCATTTAGTCCATTTACATTTAAAGTTAATATTGTTATGTGTGAATTTGAGCCTCTCATTATGATGTTAGCTGGTTATTTTGCTCGATAGTTGATGCAGTTTCTTCCTAGCCTTAATGGTCTTTATAATTCTGCATGTTTTTGCAGTGGCTGGTACCGGTTGTTCCTTTCCATGTTTACTGCTTCCTTCAGGAGCTCTTTTAGGGCAGGCCTGGTGGAGACAAAATCTCTCAGCATTTGCTTGTCTGTAAAGTATTTTATTTCTCCTTCACTTATGAAGCTTAGTTTGGCTGGATATGAAATTCTGGGTTGAAAATTCTTTTCTTTAAGAATGTTGAATACTGGCCCCCACTCTCTTCTGGCTTGTACGGTTTCTGCCGAGAGATCTGCTGTTAGCCTGATGGGCTTCCCTTTGTGGGTAACCCGACCTTTCTCTCTGGCTGCCCTTAACATTTTTTCCTTCATTTCTACTTTGGTGAATCTGACAATTATGTGTCTTGGAGTTGCTCTTCTCGAGGAGTATCTTTGTGGCGTTCTCTGTATTTCCTGAATCTGAATGTTGGCCTGCCTTGCTAGATTGGGGAAGTTCTCCTGGATAACACCGTGCAAAGTGTTTTCCAACTTGGTTCCATTCTCCCCATCACCTCAGCTCTGCGCCAAGCAGACCTAATAGACATCTACAGAACTCTCCACCCCAAATCAACAGAATATACATTTTTTTCAGCACCACACCACACCTATCCCAAAATTGACCACATAGTTGGAAGTAAAGCACTCCTCAGCAAATGTAAAACAACAGAAATTATAACAAACTGTCTCTCAGACCACAGTGCAATCAAACTAGAACTCAGGATTAAGAAACCCACTCAAAACTGCTCAACTATATGGAAACTGAACAACCAGCTCCTGAATGACTACTGGGTACATAACGAAATGAAGGCAGAAATAAAGATGTTCTTTGAAACTAACGAGAACAAAGACACAACATACCAGAATCTCTGGGACACATTCAAAGCAGTGTGTAGAGGGAAATTTATAGCACTAAATGCCCACAAGAGAAAGCAGGAAAGATCCAAAATTGACACCCTAACATCACAATTAAAAGAACTAGAAAAGCAAGAGCAAACACATTCAAAAGCTAGCAGAAGGCAAGAAATAACTAAAATCAGAGCAGAACTGAAGGAAATAGAGACATAAAAAACACTTCAAAAAATTAATGAATCCAGGAGCTGGATTTTTGAAAAGATCAACAAAATTGATAGACCGCTAGCAAGACTAATAAAGAAGAAAACAGAGAAGAATCAAACAGACACAATAAAAAATAATAAAGGGGATATCACCACCAATCCCACAGAAATATAAACTACCATCAGAGAATACTACAAACAACTCTACGCAAATAAACTAGAAAAACTAAAAGAAATGGATAAATTCCTCGACACATACACCCTCCCAAGACTAAACCAGGAAGAAGTTGCATCTCTGAATAGACCAATAACAGGCTCTGAAATTGTGGCAATAATCAATAGCTTACCAACCAAAAAGAGTCCAGGACCACATGGATTCACAGCCAAATTCTACCAGAGGTACAAGGAGGAGCTGCTAGCATTCCTTCTGAAACTATTCCAATCAATAGAAAAAGAGGGAATCCTCCCTAACTCATTTTATGAGGCCAGCATCATCCTGATACCAAAGCCTGGCAGAGACACAACAAAAAAAGAGAATTTTAGACCAATATCCTTGATGAACATTGATGCAAAAATCCTCAATAAAATACTGGCAAACTGAATCCAGCAGCACATCAAAAAGCTTATCCACCATGATCAAGTGGGCTTCATCCCTGGGATGCGAGGCTGGTTCAACATACGAAAATCAATAAATGTAATCCAGCATATAAACAGAACCAAAGACAAAAACCACATGATTATCTCAATAGATGCAGAAAAGGCCTTTGACAAAATTCAACAACCTTCATGCTAAAAACTCTCAATAAATGAGGTATTGATGGGATGTATCTCAAAATAATAAGAGCTATCTATGACAAACCCACAGCCAATATCATACTGAATGGACAAAAACCGGAAGCATTCCCTTCGAAAAGAGGCACAAGACAGGGATGCCCTCTGTCACCACTCCTATTCAACATAGTGTTGGAAGTTCTGGCCAGGGCAATCAGGCAGGAGAAGGAAATAAAGGGCATTCAATTAGGAAAAGAGGAAGTCAAATTGTCTCTGTTTGCAGATGACATGATTGTATATCTAGAAAACCCCATTTTCTCAGCCCAAAATCTCCTTAAGCTGATAGGCAACTTCAGCAAAGTCTCAGGATACAAAATCAATGTACAAAAATCACAAGCATTCTTATAAACCAATAACAGGCAAACAGAGAGCCAAATCATGAGTGAACTCCCATTCACAATTGCTTCAAAGAGAATAAAATACCTACGAATCCAACTTACAAGGGACGTGAAGGACCTCTTCAAGGAGAACTACAAACCACTGCTCAATGAAATAAAAGAGGATACAAACAAATGGAAGAACATTCCATGCTCATGGGTAGGAAGAATCAATATCATGAAAATGGCCATACTGCCCAAGGTAATTTATAGATTCAATGCCATCCCCATCAAGCTACCAATGACTTGCTTCACAGAATTGGAAAAAACTACTTTAAAGTTCATATGGAACCAAAAAACAGCCCGCATTGCCAAGTCAATCCTAAGCCAAAAGAACAAAGCTGGAGGCATCACGCTACCTGACTTCAAACTATACTACAAGGCTACAGTAACCAAAACAGCATGGTACTGGTACCAAAACAGAGATATAGACCAATGGAACAGAACACAGCCCTCAGAAATAATGCTGCATATCTATAACCATCTGATCTTTGACAAACCTGACAAAAACAAGAAATGGGGAAAGGATTCCCTATTTAATAAATGGTGCTGGGAAAACTGGCTAGCCATATGTAGAAAGCTGAAACTGGATCCCTTCCTTACACCTTATACAAAACTTAATTCAAGATGGATTAAAGACTTACATGTTAGACCTAAAACCATAAAAACCCCAGAAGAAAACCTAGGCAATACCATTCAGGACATAGGCATGGGCAAGGACTTCATGTCTAAAACACCAAAAGCAAGGGCAACAAAATTGACAAATGGAATCTAATTAAACTAAAGAGCTTCTGCACAGCAAAAGAAACTACCATCAGAGTGAACAGGCAACCTACAGAATGGGAGAAAATTTTCGCAACCTACTCATCTGACAAAGGGCTAATATCCAGAATCTACAATGAACTCCAATAAATTTACAAGAAAAAAACAAACAACCCCATCAACAAGTGGGCGAAGGATATAAACAGACACCTCTCAAAAGAAGACATTTATGCAGCCAAAAGACATGAAAAAATGCTCATCATCACTGGCTATCAGAGAAATGCAAATCAAAACCACAATGAGATACCATCTCACACCAGTTAGAATGGTGATCATTAAAAAGTCAGGAAACACCAGGTGTTGGAGAGGATGTGGAGAAATAGGAACACTTTTACACTGTTGGTGGGACTGTAAACTAGTTCAACCATTGTGGAAGTCAGTGTGGCGATTCCTCAGGGATCTAGAACTAGAAATACCATTTGACCCAGCCATCCCATTACTGGGTATATACCCAAAGGATTATAAATCATGCTGCTATAAAGACACATGCACACATGTTTATTGCGGCACTATTCACAATAGCAAAGACTTGGAACCAACCCAAATGTCCAACAATGATAGACTGGATTAAGAAAATGTGGCACATATACACCATGGAATGCTATGCAGCCATAAAAAATGATGAGTTCATGTCCTTTGTAGGGACATGGATGAAGCTGGAAACCATCATTCTCAGCAAACTATCCCAAGCACAAAAAACCAAACACAGCATGTTCTCACTCATAGGTGGGAATTGAACAATGAGAACACATGGACACAGGAAGGGGAACATCACACACCAGGGCCTGTTGTGGGGTGGGGGGAGGGGGGAGGGATAGCATTAGGAGATATACCTAATGCTAAATGATGAGTTACTGGGTGCAGCACACCAACATGGCACATGTATACATATGTAACAAACCTGCACATTGTGCACATGTACCCTAAAACTTAAAGCATAATAATAGTAAAATAAAATAAAATAAGAAAGAAAAGAACTGTCAACTGCAAATTATTTATCCAGCAAAACTCTCATTCAGGAATAAAGAGGGAAATAAAGACACTCTCACATGAAGAACAACTAAAATAATATATTTCTAAAAGACCTATCCTCACAGAGTGGCTAAAGGAAGTTCTTCAAATAGAAGGAATTTTAGATGAAATGGTCCAATTTCTCAAAAACCGCAAATTACCACAACTCAATCCATATGAAAGAAATCATTTGAACAGCCCTATAAACTACTGAAGAGTTTAATTCATCAGGTAAAAACCTCCCAAAAAGGAATCTCCAAGCCCAGCTGATTTCACTGGAGAATTCCACCAATGTTTAAAGTAGAATTAGCACTAATTTTATACAATATCTTCCAGAAAACAGAAAATAAGAAAACACTTCCCAAATCATTCTATTTAATAAGAAGCCACTATTACCCTGACCAAACCAGACAAAGATAATACAAAAGACAGTCCACAGATCAATATTTCTCATGAAGTTAGTCACAAAAAATCCTAAACATAATATTAGCAAATTGAGTCAAACAGTGTATAAAAAGAATTACACACACTAGGATTAATCCAGGTATGCAAGGCTGGTTCCACATTTGAAAATCAATCAATGTAATCCACTATATATATTAGCTAAAGAAGCAAGATTGTATCAATTAATGTTAAAATTTTTTTTTTTACAAAATCCAACACCCACTCATGACAAATACTCTCAGCAAGTTAGGAGTAAAGAGGAACTTCCTTAACTTGTTCAAGAATGAGTACCTACAAAAAACCTACAGGGGACATTATATTTAAGTGAAATGCATTTCTTAATGCCTGAATGTTTCCCCTAAGATCAGGAGCAAGTTAAGGTGATCCACTCTCACCACTTTTATTCAACATAGTACTAGAAATTCTAGCCAGCAAAATATGGCAAGAAAAAGAAACACATTTGGATTAGAAAGCAAAAAATGAAACTATCCTGGTTTGCATATAATTTGCTACATAGAATTTCCCAAGAAAACTATTTTTTAAAATCTCCTGGAAATAATAAGTTCAGCAAATTCACAGGACACATGATCAACATGTAAATATCAATCATGTCTCTATATGCTTATAAGAACAAGTATTAACCAAAATCGAAAACACAAGATTTATAATCTCTCCACAAAAAATGAAATACTTAAGTGTGTACTTAACAAAACACATACGGAAACTTCAAGCTGAAAAGTTTTAAATTCTGATAAAAGAAATCAAAGATCTAAATAAAAAGGCATATTGTTTTCATAGAAGATTCAACATAGTAAAGATGTCAATTATTCTCAAACTAATCTAATGCAATTACCATCAAAATCCCATCAAGGTTTTTGTTTGTTTGCAGATGAACAAGCTTATTTTAAAATTTATATGAAGAGGCACAAACCCTACCATAATAATCTTGGGAAAAAACACAATAGGAAGAACTACTCTATCTATTAAGACTTACTTTATTGCTACAGTAATCAAAATAGTATGGTATTGGTAGAGGCATAGACACACAGACCAATGGAACACAGCAGAGAACCCAGAGATAGATTCACAAAAATATGCCTAACTAATATTTGATAACAGCAAAAGCAATTCGATGGAAGACAGAGAGCCTTCCTAACACACAGTGCTGGAGCTGTTGTGTATCAATAGGCATAAGAAAGAACCTCAACCTAAGCCTTATATCCTATTGCAAAAATTAACTCAAAAAGGATCATGGACTACTTACATGTGAGACCTGAAAATTTTATTTAAAAAATAATAGGAGAAAATCTTTGGGATCTAAGGCTAGACAAAAAGAGTTCCTAGGCTTAATGCCAAAAGCATAATCCATACAAGAAAACATTAAATTGCACTTTTCCAAAATTAAAAAGTTTTGCTCAGTGAAAGACGCTGTCAAGGGGATAAAAAGAGAAGCTACGCATTGGGAGAAAATCTTTGCAAACCACATATTTGAAAATGAATTACTATCCAGAATATATAAAGAACTCTCAAAAGTCAAGACTTAAAAAATTTTTTTTTAATGAGCAAAAGACATGAATAGACTCTTCTCCAAAGAGGATATTTAGATGCAATAAGCACAAGAAAAGATGCTCAACATCATTCTTCATTTGGGAAATGCAAATCAAAATCACAATAAGATACCATTTATCAAAATGGCAAAAATAGGAAATAGCAACACCACCAAATGCTGCTGAGGATGTGGAGAAACAGGTTCACTTGTACTGTGGGAATGTAAACTGGTACAGCCTCTCTAACACAGCTTGGCACTTTTTTAAAAGCCTAGACATGCAATCACAATACTACTGAGAAACTGCAGTCTTAGGCATTTACTCCAGAGAAATGAAAAGTGATATTCACAGGAAAACCTGCACATGAATGTTAAGCGCTGAATTGAGTCTCACACTCCAGATTCATATGCTGAACTCCTAAATGTCTGTTGTCTAACCTAGTTTGTAGTGCTTTGTTATGCCAGCCTAGTCAACTAATACAATGTATGTTCGTAACAGCTTTATTTGTGACAGCCTAGAACGAGAAACCACCTAGATGTCCTTTAGATGGACTGTGGTACCTCTATATCATTACTACTACTCAGCAGTCAAAGGGAACAAACTATTGATACAACAACTTGGAATAATGTTCAGAAATTATTCTGAGGGGAAAAAGTCAATCTTAATGGTTACACACTGTATTGTTACATTTATTTTGTCTTCAAATGACAAGATTATAAAAATGGAGAACAGATCAGCAGTTGCAAGGGATTAAGGATGATGGCAGAGAGCAGGTTGGGGGAACAGTGTCTGTGGTTATAAAAGGGCAACATGAGGGATCCTGGTGGTGAAGGAATTCAGAATCTCGCCTGTGGTAGTGATACATGAACCCACACTGATTAGACTGCATGGAACACACACACATACACACACACACACAGCTACAGGTAAAACTGGTGGGAGAATCTGAACAAGGTAAGTGGATTGTATCAATGCCAATATTGTAATCGTTGTTAAAAGAAAAACTTTAGCCAAAAGAGTTTAACTGGGGCTGCACGCAATGGCTCACGCCTGTAATTCTAGCACTTTGGGAGGCTGAGGTGAGCAAATCACTTGAGGTTAGGAGTTCGAGGCCAACCTGGCCGACATGGTGAAACCCCGTCTCTACTAAAAATATAAAAATTAGTCAGGCATGGTGGTGCATGCCTGTAATCCCAGCTACTTGGGAGGCTGAGGCAGGAGAATGGATTGTACCCTGGAGGCAGAGGTTGCAGTGAGTCGAGATCCTGCCGTTGCACTCCAGCCTGGGTGATGGAGTACTTTTTTACTCCATCTCAAAAAAAGTAAAATAAAATAAAATTTAAAAAAGTTTAATTGAGCAAAGAACAATTCATGAATCGGGCAGCCTCCAAAACGTTAGCAGGTTCAGAGACTCCAGTGCAGCCATGTGGTAGAAGACGATTTATGGACAGAAAAAAGAAAGTGACAGAGAGAAAATGGAAGTCAGATATAAAAACAGCTGGATTGTGCTGGGCATGGTGGCTCACACCTGTAATCCCAGCACTTTGGGAGGCCGAGACGGGCAGATCACAAGATCAGGAGATCGGGACCATCCTGGCTAACAGGGTGAAACCCCGTCTCTACTAAAAATTCAAAAAAATTAGCCAGGCGTGGTGGTGGGCGCCTGTAGTCCCAGCTACTCAGGAGGCTGAGGCAGGAGAATGGCGTGAACCTGGGAGGCGGAGCTTGCAATGAGCCGAGATCACGCCACTGCACTCCAGCCTGGGCGACAGAGTGAGACTATGTCTCAAAAAAAAAGAAAAAGAAACAGCTCGATTTCTTACAGCTTCGCATTTGCCTTATTTGAACAGCTGGCCACCTTTGGCCAAAATTTGGTGATTGGCACAAGAGTTGGCTACACTCTGTTTACAAGTTCATTTAGGTTACAGTTCACGATATACAGAGAAATCTTTTGGCTGAACTTAAAATATGTAAGGAGGCAGTTTCAGGCTAAACTTGATTTAACATTGTGATATTTTACTATTGTTTTACAAGATATTATTATTGAGGAAAACGGTACGTGAGATCTCTATTATTTCTTGCAACTGCATGTGAATCTACAATTACCTCAAAACAGAAAACTAAATAATGTCAAGGGTAAATGTATTTATTGCCTGAAGAAGAAAAACTGAGACATCCTCCTTGCCAAGCCAGCGTGGTTTGTGGTAGACACTGAAAAAAGGTGGGAGGAAAGGGAATTTGAATTATTTGCCAAATAAAAGGTACGCATCTTCATCGAGTCTTTGTGTTATTTTATTTTCCTTAAGCACCCATATGGCAGGCAAACACTATGCACAGTTCAATCACACATTTAACTAAAGATGATCCACACATCATAGCTCATGTGAAATCAGCATTTAAATGCCAAAAATTCGCAGCCCATTACATGATATTATTTGCTAAGTATGTCTAAAATAAAAATATTAATGTCTCCACAATGATTTCTATTTTGCTTTTTTATTTGCAGTAATGATTCCCATTGAGACATTCAAAATGAAAGAGAAAGTTCTGGTGTAATTGTCAGCTAACAAACTAATGAATGCCAAGCCCCCAGCTAGTGTGGCACTCAGATGGTACTTTCTAAACCACATCATTTATTTTATTTGAAGAGATAATGTTCACAATCAGCAGGGATACGGTAGTTCATCATGTACTCTTGCTTTACAATGGATTCAGAAAAATAATGCTATCTTCGGTGTGATGTTCAGGATGGAAAGACAAACCACTGTGGAAAGAGCAGGGCTCTGGCCCCAAACAACAACCCACGAGGAACATACCATGCTCTGATATGGTGAAGCTGAGACAAGAAAGGTTTTTAGGTTGTGATAGTGTTTTTGGCCATGTATCTCTTACTACTCACCTTCAGAACTCATCAGAACCTAGCCAATTTGGCTCACTCACCAGCCTTTAAACCATGCCATGCTACCCCATGATTTGGAAGGGTTCTGTGCTTGGTTTAAAGCTCTTCTGTCATGGACTACAAATACCTACGAATTTTTTAACAGGAAACCCCGTATTTTTATTTTGTACTGGGTCCTCCAAATTATACAGCTGTTCCTGCATCAAACACATCTTATACTGCCCACTCCCCAGCCCCCCAAACAAAACTTCAACCTGTTCTTTTTTTTTATACTTTAAGTTTTAGGGTCCATGTGCACAATGTGCAGGTTAGTCACATATGTATACATGTGCCGTGTTGGTGTGCTGCACCCATTAACTCGTCATTTAACATTAGGTATATCTCCTAATGCCATCCCTCCCCCCTCCCTCCACCTCACAACAGGCCCCAGTGGGTGATGTTCCCCTTCTTGTGTCCATGTTCTCATTGTTCAATTCCCACCTATGAGTGAGAACATGCGGTGTTTGGTTTTTTGTCCTTGTGATAGTATGCTGAGAACGATGGTTTCCAGCTTCATCCATGTCCCTACAAAGGACATGAACTCATCATTTTTTATGGCTGCATAGCATTCCATGGTGTATATGTGCCACATTTTCTTAATCCAGTCTATCATTGTTGGACATTTGGGTTGGTTCCAAGTCTTTGCTATTGTGAATAGTGCCACAGTAAACATACATGTGTGTGTGTGTGTCTTTATAGCAGCATGATTTATAGTCCTTTGGGTATATACCCAGTAATGGGATGGCTGGGTCAAATGGTATTTCTAGTTCTAGATCCCTGAGGAATCGCCACACTGACTTCCACAATGGTTGAACTAGTTTACGTCCCACCAACAGTGTAAATGTGTTCCTATTTCTCCACATCCTCTCCAGCACCTGCTGTTTCCTGACTTTTTAATGACTGCCATTCTAACTGGTGTGAGCTGGTATCTCATTGTGGTTTTGATTTGCATTTCTCTGATGGCCAGTGATGATGAGCATTTTTTCATGTGTTTTTTGGCTGCATAAATGTCTTCTTTTGAGAAGCATGTGTTCATATCCTTCACCCACTTGTTGATGGGATTGTTTTTTTCTTGTAAATTTGTTTGAGTTCATTGTAGATTCTGGATATTAGCCCTTTGTCAGATGAGTAGATTGCAAAAATTTTCTCCTATTCTGCAGGTTGCCTGTTCACTCTGATGGTAGTTTCTTTTGCTGTGCAGAAGCTCTTTACTTTCATTAGATCCCATTTGTCAATTTTGGCTTTTGTTGCCATTGCTTTTGGTGTTTTAGACATGAAGTCCTTGCCCATGCCTATGTCCCGAATGGTAATGCCTAGGTTTTCTTCTAGGGTTTTTATGGTTTCAGGTCTAACATGTAAGTCTTAAATCCATCTTGAATTAATTTTTGTATAAGGTGTAAGGAAGGGATCCAGTTTCAGCTTTCTACATAAGGCTAGCCAGTCTTCCCAGCACCATTTATTAAATAGGGAATCCTTTCTCCATTTCTTGTTTTTGTCAGGTTTGTCAAAGATCAGATGGTTGTAGATATGCAGCATTATTTCTGAGGGCTGTGTTCTGTTCCATTGGTCTATATCTCTGTTTTGGTACCAGTACCATGCTGTTTTGGTTACTGTAGCCTTGTAGTATAGTTTGAAGTCAGGTAGCGTGACGCCACCAGCTTTGTTCTTTTGGCTTAGGATTGACTTGGCAATGAGGGCTCTTTTTTGGTTCCATATGAACTTTAAAGTAGTTTTTTCCAATTCTGTGAAGAAAGTCATTGGTAGCTTGATGGGGATGGCATTGAATCTATAAATTACTTTGGACAGTAGGGCCATTTTCACAATATTGATTCTTCCTACCCATGAGCATGGAATGTTCTTCCATTTGTTTGTATCCTCTTTTATTTCATTGAGCAGTGGTTTGTAGTTCTCCTTGAAGAGGTCCTTCACGTCCCTTGTAAGTTGGATTCGTAGGTATTTTATTCTCTTTGAAGCAATTGTGAATGGGAGTTCACTCATGATTTGGCTCTCTGTTTGTCTGTTATTGGTGTATAAGAATGCTTGTGATTTTTGCACATTGATTATAGAGTGCCTCCCACTTCATCACTGCTGTTGGAATCCCACTGGTTATTTGAAAATCCAGTAAAAGTTACAACTCTTCCCTAATCATCTCAGTCTAACATCTTGTATTATTTATTATCTATACAATTACTCCAATAATCAATCACATGCTGCCCAGAGACACTGCCGATAAAAATGTTAATTATGTTTTCTTTTATCCTCTCCTTCTGCACATCTTTCTATTCCAGATTTAAAATAGATTTAAAATTAATCAGGGGCAGAAAAAAATGTTCCCACACCACATTATCCAATAGAACTTCCTGAGCCGGTGGAAATATCCTACATCTGCACCATCTCACAGAATTACCACTAGCTGTTTTGGCAAATGAGTATGTGAAATGTGGCTGTGCAACTAAGAAATGGAATTCTGCATTGTATTTAACGTTAATTCATTTACATTTAAATTCCCACTGGTGCTAGTGGCTACCATATCCAACAGTGGAGGGCTACTGCTTCTCTGCAGTTTCCATGGCACTGGTGCAGATGTGTGTACAATGAACAACTCAGTTATTGTGATTTCCCAAGAACTTAATACTCATCTTCATGGACCTACAGACGGTCAACCATATTTTAAGGGCACAAGTTTTCCAAAGATTATATACTAAATCTCCCCACTGCTTGAACTATGCCTGGTAGATACACACTATCTAATAATACTATTTAATCTAAAAGAATGAATGTAACTCTCTAATTGTCTGAATTAATATTGGGGAGTTATGTGGTTCCAAATTCACAATACTCAACTATAATTTTTTTGACTTACAGAACTCCTCAAAATAGTTTTCTACATCCTAAAAGTCCATCACAAGCACAGTTCATTATTACACAAATTAGCATGAAAAACAAGTCAAGTAAAACCCATGAAATACTGCCACTATATCAGCCTAGTACAATAAAATGCTTAGAGGACATGCTCTCTTCCAAGAGGGATGCTGTCTCAGAGGCCCATGAAACTGCATTCTAAGGGAGTCCCACTGTATTTCGGATCTGGGAGGTATAAAAACATAGCTGGGACTACTTCCACAAATAGATACGAGCTTCCCCTTCCCCTTTTGTTTTTCTAAATATAACCTGGCATATATGAGGCTGGCCTTCAGCCACTGTGAACAAATGATTTTTAGAAGAGCTAAAACTGACAGATGGATTTCGAGATCTTCGAAATACATTCTTTAATCCTTTTTCTGTTTTAAACTGTTTCATCTTACGTACTTCTTTTATTGCTACTGTGGTCCCCAAAATTGATATTAATCATAAATTAGCCAATTCATTAATCTGACTATACATCCAAGAACTTCTATATTTCTACATGAAGCTAGTAAAACACACAAAAGGCTCCAAGAGTCCATACTTAGAGCATACATTTTCCCTGGCTGCAAAGATTTTACTGATTCTTAAGCAAAGTATGCCCTACCCTTTACCAAAATTTGTCACACAAACCCACCCCAGTTTTTCATCTTGGCCTGTCTCTATCAGACATTTATATGCCAAAATGCATTACATAATACAGTCTAAGGAATGGTATAGCATTTCTATGTAATAAACACATGACCTTAAACCCTCAGTTGTCCTAAGTTTTGCACATGGTAGCACTGTATTGGTCAGCTTGGGCTGCCACAGCAAAACACCACGGAGTGGACAGACTGGCTGGCTCAAACAACAGAAATTTATTTTCTCAGTTCTTGAGGATGGAAGTCCAAGATCAAGGTGCCAGTAGATTTTGTTTGTGGTGAGGGTACCCCCTTCCCGGCTTGCAGATGGTCAACCTCTTGCTGTGTCCCCACATAGCAGAGACAGTGAGCTCTGTTCTCTCTCTCTCTCTCACTCTCACTCTCTCTCTCTCTCTCTCTCCCTCCCTCCCTCCCTCCCCCCCCCCCTCTCTCTCTCTCTCCCCCCCCCCCACCAACTCTCCTTCTTCTTATAAGGACATTAATCCCATCCCAGAGGCCCCACCCTCATGTGACCTCATCTAAACCTACTTACTTCCCAAAGGCCTCATCTCCAATACCATCATGTTAGGAGCTGGAACTTCAATATATGAATTGTAGGGTGAAGGTGGAGTGGGTACACAATTCAGTCCATAGCAGAAAAAGAGATGAAGAGGGAAGTTAAACAGCGTGGGATAGCCTGGCAGACCCTGAAGAGCAAAATGATACAACTCTAAGTTCTCAACAACAAACTCACTCTATGTGCCTTTTGCCCATCACTATAAAACAAAGTGTGACTTACTTGCTGTACATGCAAAATCTCAAATCTTTAGCAAAACCAAAACAATGTCGATCTGGTGCCTAGCTTTACAACATATTTCTTTGAGTCATAAAAATTTGCAAATCTGCACATGACAGAAACCAAGACTCACAACTCAAGGATAAGAATAATTATAATCATGTTCTATTCATATGGAATGTCTGTTTAACCTGTCTTCTCATTTAGTCAGCTGTAGCTTTAAAAACCACGTGGAGGGTATCTCAATGTTGCTTCTGATGTTGCTAAAATCCCAGCTCCTCCAGGGAACCAGCAAAGCACAGTATCTTCATGGGATGCTTCTGTTCCTATATTTCAGAAAGTTTCAGAATTACTCATGATGAAACCTTAGGATAATTACTAGACATTCCAATCCCAATAGAAACGTACATAACGAACCAATAATATAGCCTGTGCCTGGCAGCTCCAAGATTCTTCTAACCACAAATCACATCAGTTGACCAATGGCTTTACCTTCGGCACTCAGGAAAAGATCACATCATTCTTATTGTTTCCTTGGCCACTTCCCGTCTATGTTTGCCCTGTGCCACTTTCTGTATTAAACTGGAGACAGAATGAATCCTTAATGATCTCGTCAAAGCACCATGTGCCAGAACTACTTTCCCTTCTGATTTTGTTGGTTTTCTTTCCCTACATGAATACCTCTTCCCAGCTGGCTTAATAAATAGCTTTTCAAGCTGGTTTTTCTGTCTGGCTAGGACACCTGACTCTGCCTACAGCTCTGATACATCAACTGCATGCTCAAAAATCTCACTGGCTCCCGTCTACCTAAAGAAGAAAGTCCAAACTTCTCCACTTGCAGTAAGAACCTCCATATACACCTGAAAATGAACCCTCCAAGGTTATTTCTTGCTGCTCCTCCTCTCCAACCATGTGGAAGGCCATCCTGTCTGCAGACATTTGCTTCTGCTGTTTTCTCCCCAATGAATGCCTACCACCCCAAGACTCCTCACATCTAAATTCCACATGCTAAAAAAAAATCATTCCCACCATGAAGACTTCTTTGGTCTTCTCTGCATTGGAAAGAAGTCCTCCTTCCTGTGAACTCTCATAGACACCAACAGGTTTTCTCCTGTGGCTTGCATCACTTTCTGCCTTGTTTTAGAGTCTTGTACCTGAGGTTCATTGCAAGGCCATAAGCTCTTCACCAAGGTCCCCCACATGCTGGGCAATGTGTTTTACATAGTAGATTCTTACAGAAATCAGGAGATAAGGGAAAGAGAAGAATGAGAAGGAGAGAAAGAGAAGTGTCAAGAAGGAAAAAATGCCCAATCCAGATAACCTCTCATCCAACCCCACCAGGTGATTCAAAATGCACTCAATGAACCCAGAGTCATCTTCAATCTGAAGTAAAAATTAAAAAGCAAAATAGCACAAATTTTTTTAATAATGTGGGTAAATATTAGGTATGTCTTGCTATAAAATGTTAGGTGTGTTTTGGGTTAAAACATTTTTCTTTTAGAATGGGTTGTTCTAAAAGGATAACCTCAGTCATGCCTCTGTGCCCTTGAACTTGCTGTTCACCTTGCCCAGGGGGTTGTCTCTTTCTTCTCAGCCTGGCAAATGCTTACCAAGACCTCAGGATGGCTCCAGCACCAGCTGCCCCAGGAAGCCTTCCTATACCTCACCCATAGCCCCAAGCGCCACCCGCACACATGTGATCATTCAGTACAGATACATCCCACGCATTCACTATGCCGGGCATCTCACTGACATAACACAGGGTATATAAATACTAAGGAGACAGTCCATCCCTCAAGGAGTCCAGGAATATGGAGTGAAAAAGGCTGAGAAGTAAATGAATAATGGTATCTGTATTAAGTAGACTCTTACAAGCCTAGAAGGCTGTGGGAGTTGCTGAGAAACAGGAAGGGAAGCCCTAGAGCCAGGCTGGTGAAGGGGTTAGAGGGTTAAGGAGGGCTTCCCGGGGAAAATAGCAGCTGAGCCGGATCTTAGGGGAGAAGCTAGACCAAATAGAGTATATCAGGGAAGGGAAAAGCCTAGAGATAAGGTTTTGTCCTTTGTTGTTATTCTTTTTTTTTTTTTTTTTTTTTTTTGAGACAGAGTCTCTGTGCAGTGGCGTGATCTCGGCTCACTGCAACCTCCGACTCCCTGGTTCAAGCGACTCTCCTGCCTCAGCCTCCTGAGTAGCTGGGATTACAGGCACGCACCAGCACAACCAGCTAATTTTTGTATTTTTAGTACAGATGGGATTTCACCATGTTGGTCAGGGTAGTCTCCACCTCCTGATCTCAAGATCCGCCCACCTCGGCCTCCCAAAGTGCTGGGATTACAGGCATGAGCCACCGTGCCCAGCCTGTTGTTATTCTTATTTATTTCATCTTCTCCTTTCAGCACATTGCCCCTATTATCTTTTTGTTCCCTTAGGAACTTAACATTTACAAAGCTCCTCCCTCATACTATTTTTTAATGCCTTTCAGTTCAACGGCCTACGATTCTGCCTTTTTTCAATATGTGTGTGTATGATTTTTTGAATAGGCAATACATTGTATGGTGTAAAATGTGAAACATAAAAGAGTAGATGGTGAAAAGTAAGTTTCACCTGCCACCCAGTTCCCTTTCAAGAGGCAACCACAAGCACCAGTTTTCCAAGCCTTCTTTAAATTACCGTTTCTGGCTCTTTACAGGGATACTGGCTGGATCCACTGGTTCCACCTGCAACTTTTGCATCTGAGAAGACATTGGCTGCTTCCAGCTTCCAGGTGCTCATAGCATTTACGAGCACTAATTAGTACAAGCAAAACGTATCCCACATGTCCTCAGACAAATCTCTTCTCCCATAGCTTCGTTCCCTGCAAAGGGCTGACTTATACAAGCAAGGCAGGCAGGGGCTCGTCCAGAGGGGAAAACTGACACTTTGTAGGGCTGATGAAGAGGAGACTCTGGGAAACATGACAGCTTTCTTCAATTATGCAAAGGGCTGTAATGGAGAAGAGAGATTAGAGTTGGTCTCTGATGTCAAAGGGTAAAATGCAATGGATGGAAGGAAGCCATGGAGCTTGCCCCATGAAAAGCTATTCTAACAGACACAGCTGGCTCAAATGAAGTGGAATCCCTGGAGGCCTCGGTCTAGGGCAATGTAGGCAACAATTAAACACCAAAAAGCCATGAGACTAGATGACAGGATCAATGCTTCTCACAGAAAAATACATACTCCATTAATAAAATGTAATCTAATTTTAGGTAGCATAAAAATATCCCACTAATAAAATCTAATTGTAAGTAGCATGAAAGTAACTTTTTATTTCAATGGTTTTATGCATATTTCTATATATAAAAATATATAACTAAGAAGACTAGCATTCTGTGAGCACTTACTATGTGCTAGGCACTACTGTAAATATTTTACTTTTTTCATTTAATTCTCATAAAAACGCTAGGAGACAGAGATTATTATTGTCTCCATTTTGCACCCAGGGAAACAGAGACACAAAGAAATGTAGTGACGTGCTCCCAGTTGCCACACCAGGAAGATGTAGAGCCAGGATTTGAACCCAGGTAGTCTGGCTCCAGAGTCCTAGCTGCAACATTATCAAATCCAAACAGTATGCTTCAGATGAGGCTAAGCCAAACAGGATAGAATCCAGAGAGACGTAACTAATAATGGTAGTTCTTATATACAGCAAAAAGCATGGCTATAATAACACTCAAATCACTGGTGTTTGAAACATACTTGTCTAGATGTTTCAGTAAGGTCCCTTCCGAGCCATCTTATAGAATTATGATGTAATCACTGAGAGCTCTAATAACTCATGCAGTTCTGTGATCATGGAGTACAAACCATCACAAGTGAAGCTACACTGCCAAAATAAGGATGTTCCAGGGACAACACTGCACTTTACAGTCTAATAAAAAGTTGCTATGTTGCATAGAAACTTTCTTGCTATGCCCTCCAAAACAAACACTGGAATGCAGGTGTGGACAAATGTAGCCAAGACCTTAACCGAGTATCACTGGGGCACCCCACATCCTGCATCCCCTCACCTCAGCCTCACACACCTGCATTACAGTGGAACAGATCTGCCCTCTCATGCCCAAACTCCACTTAAGAGCAGAAAACACATGCATACACTAAGTGGGAGCTTATGGGGGTCATGCCTGGGTCTCTAATTGCTACTCTTAGGGACTCTTACCCTTATTGCTATTGATTATTATGGAATCACTTAGAATCACAAAATTAGAGCATCTCAGAGTTTAGTGTTTTGTCCATGTTTCCCCAGGCATGGCTACCTTCTAAGAGGAAAAAAAAATCCCTCTTCTTTTGAAATGCATATTTCAGCATGCGTCATAAAGCACCACTCTATAAGTGTTTGCAAGAGATACAGAAACCAAGGGAACACGTGGAATCCTTGAAAAAGAGACACACCCATGCTCAGTGCACACTTCCCCTTCATCACAACTTCAGATGCAAGCCCAACGACACAGAGAGTTATTACCTAATGACAAGGTAGCTCACCAAAGTCTGTGATGACTGCTATAATTAGAAAGTCTGAAATAATGAACATGTACCTGCAAGCGTGACACGAGCACAGAAGAGAAAATGCTACTGTGGAAATGAGTTTAATTACTCTGGGGTAGGCAATGCTTATCTTAATTCATCTTTGCAAGTAAGTGAACCCGAAATGCCTCCAACTTTTTTTCCCCTTCAATGGAACCAACATGAGATCCTTTCTTTTTTTTCTGAAGCCTGCCACACAGAACCAGGAGCAGGTGAAGAGCTACACCTCCAGGGAACAGCTGAGAACAAATGAACAATGAACCTGTCACCACCATCATCACAAGGAATTAAAAAGAAATTAAAACAAATGGATTCTATGAAGCACCCTCGGTAAATGCTAATTACTTCCAAGTAGATACTTGGTTGTCGGAACTTCAATATCAATTACACTTTTCCTGGGAGAGGGGTGGAGGGGATGGTTCATGCTAGCATACAATTTTATTTCTTATCCTTTAATCTTTCCAAATGATTTGGGTTGTCCCTTACCCTTTGCCCTGGACACTTGACAATGCAATTCTAAATGTAAAGGATGCAACCCAAAGGTTGCTTGCAATATCTCAAGGGACCAATTCTCTCTCTCGAAATATCTCTTGTTTTTCAGATTTTACAAGATCAATATGGGGTTTGCAGGCAGAATAATAATCAACAGCATCCCTTGATTAAGATGCCAAGAGGAGCCGAGCGCGGTGTCTCATGCCTGTAATCCCAGCACTTTGGGAGGCTGAGGCAGGCGGATCACCTGAGGTCAGGAGTTCGAGACCAGCCTGACCAACATGGAGAAACCCCGTCTCTACTAAAAATACAAAAATTAGCTGGGTGTGGTGGCCCATGCCTGTAATCCCAGCTACTCAGGAGGCTGAGGCAGGAGAATCGCTTGAACCCAGGAGGCAAAGTTTGCGGTGAGCCAAGATAATGCCATTGCACTCCAGCCTGGGCAACAAGAGCGAAACTCCATCTATCAAAAAAAAAAAAAAAAAGATGCCAAGAGGAAAACCAGATAGATGGGGTCTTCTCCATCTGATATATTCTCATTCTGTATGAGGCATCACTCTTTCTGTTCTCTCTACTTTCACTGTCCTATTTAAAACATTTTTACCAGTGTTTCAATAGCTATTTTTACTGTATTCATAAAATGCTATTTAGTAAAACTCTGAGACCCAAATATCATGCAAAGCCCCAGCAATACATGGTTCAGAAGCATTCAATCCATTAAGAACTCAGACAAATATACAATAGTCAACAGTTCAAACAAATAATGGACAGAGAGGAATGAACAGTGTTTTATAGGGTCCCAGGATTAAACTGTTCTGCCAGGGAGACAGGCAGGAATAAACAGGTAGGAAAGGTTTCACAGAAGAGTGGTACTAGAGCTATGCGACTGGATGGCCAACAGCAGGTAGAAAAGGTGTCTGAGACAAGGAGAAAAGCTTGAAGGAAAGTAGAAATGGCAAAGTGGGAAGATACTTCTTAGAGTTTAGGACAGAGGAAGTTAACCATGCCTTTGGGACTTCCAGGCAGAGGTAACAGAGAGGCAGTCTAGATGTCATGAAGGAGGTAAGAAGAGAAACTAACTGCCCAGAGGATAGCTGAGATCAAGGGAAGAGATGATAGCCCCAGGGAGTGGCATGGGAGAAGAAAAAGGTCCTAAAGCAGACCTCAAGGGACCCTCCTCACATGTGCAGCCATATGGGCCTTTGCTCTTGCCCGAGTGCATGAAGGTCATCCCACCTTGGCACATGCCTGCAAGGTCCAGAATGCTCTTCCTCCCTCCCTTTGGCCCACTGAAGTCCAGAGCTCAGCTTACAAGCCTCTTCCTCAGCTTCAAAGCCCTTATTTAAGTTCTCTGTAGTTTCCCTTCCCAGGGCTTAGGAAACCCAAAACCATGCAGTGGTGTGTGTGACCATTTATGGAATGTCTGCTCTCCACTAGACCCTGCCTGCCTCACCCGCTGTGCCCAGCATGAGGGCTGCCACAGAGCAGACTCTCACTAAGTATCTCCTGAGTCAATGATGGGGCAGCTGTGGTCAGAGACATGGGAGGTGCGTCAGAAACGAGTAGCGTCCAGGGAGCCGAAAGGGGCGAGGGTATCTGGAAGACAGCAGTCAGCCATGTCAAAGCTGCCCAGAGAATAAGCATGATTATACACCAAAGAGGCCTACTTCTAAGAAACCTGAGGGAATGATCAAACTTCCCAAGGCAGTAGTTCAATCAGGTCAACTACCCAAATCAACCCCTTTCAATCATGGCCAATTATCCACAAAATGAAGGCCAACTTCCTTAGCCAGCACCCAGAGCCTTCCTCAAGCAGGATGTACTTCCAACCTTAACCTCCGCTGATCTCCAACTCGAACCTCACGTTGTCAACACAATTTATTGTGTACCTTGCACTAGCTCTGTACCTTGCTCTGTACCTTGCACCACTCCAGAGACACTGGCCTCCTAGCGCTCCAACCTGCCAAGCCCTACAGGCGCTTCAAAATCAAGGAAAAGCACCAACTGCTCATCACAGTTCACCTAATCCTAAACTGCTGTGCCCATGGCCATCATTCTGCATCTGAAGTGCTGAAGCAGCTTTGGTCTCAATGGTGAGAATGAATGAATGGTTTATCATCCATAAACGTCGTGTACTTTGTAAGTCTGTGCATACTTTATCCCCCCTTACTTATCAGTGAGTTTCTGGAGAGCACATTCCTGGAGAGTATTTTACACTTCTGTCTGCTCAAAAGTGCTACCATGATGATTTGCACATAGGCAACACACATTTCCCCTTAGCACTCTCATACTTAATCCGTAACTGAGCCCCTAATCTGCCCTGCCACACTCTTCCCCATCTCAACACACAGCATTCACAACTTCATCTCTTTCCCTACTTAGACCAAACAACTTGCAGTCCTTCTCAATCCTCTCTTCCTCTCATACCTCATAGCTAATCCATCAGCACTTCCTGTGGGCTCAGCCTGGAAAGTAAAATCCGATTTCGACCACTTCTCCCCACCTCCACCACTAACCCTAGACCCAGGTCTCTATAATCTCCTGCCTGCATTACTGTGATGGCTTTGAACCTGCCTCCCTGCTCCCCTGCTGGCCCCCTTCCATCTCTTCTCAGCAAACCCCTTGAGTGATCCTTTCAAAATTAAGTCAGATGACAGCACTCCTCTGCTCAAAACCCTCTAGCCACTTCCCATCTCGCAAAGTAAAAGCAAAAGTCCTAACAATGGCCTACAAAGCCCTTCTTGGTATGGCCCCTACATCCCTCTGACCTCACTCCTGACCACCCCTCTCCCCACCAGCAACTCTGCCCAGACTCATTGGCCTCTGCTGTTCTGTGCCACACCAGGCACATTCCAATCTGGGGCTTGGAGACTCACTATTCCCTCTATCGGGAATGCCCTTCCCCAACTGCTCCACAAGCCTCACTGCCTCCAGGTGGCCCAGTGTCACCCACCCTGTGAGGCTCTCCCTGATGAAATATCAACCCACTGCACTACATCCTACAGCCTTCCCTTCTAAAGGTTTTCCAATAGACCTTATCACTATCTTAACATATATTTTACTTGTTTTCCTTGATTTTGATCTGTTTTGTCCACTACTATATCCTCAGTCCCTAAAACATTGCCTGGGATAATTAAAAACTCAATAAATATTTGTTGGATATATATCAAATCAACAGCTATTCACTCTCAGAAATAGTGTTGAATATTCACCTTTAAGATTGGTCCATACAAGCATGTGTTGTAAACACTTCCTGCTTATAAACCATGGCCATCCAGAGCTAAAGATCAACAAAGGTAGTAAAATTGGCGTCTTCCTAAATTTGACCCCAGGAACTCATGGTTCCATACTTTGATGCCTCTCCAAAATAAGTCTGGATCCTAACTTGGGCATTCACCAGCTGTCTAACCTTGGGAAAGGTACTCAGTGTTTCCAGGCTTCAATTTTCCCTTGTAAAGAACACTTAATCCCCCTAAATAAGGCACGTATAAAAGTACAACAGTAGTTGCAGAACAGGTTTCCATAAATGTTGACAATCAGTGTCAGCTTCTTTTCCTTCCCTTTATCCACAGAAGTAACCCCTGCCCAGCCACTCCTCCCTGCTGACCTCTTGGTATCGAGTTGCCAAGAACGTTTTTAAATCTAGTTGAACACATATGTCTGTATTCTCGCCAAACTTTCTCACTAATGTTTACCAGATGATGTATAAAACAAAATAGAATCACTGCAGAGCAAGATAAAAAGCAAAGTATGAATGATGCTTTTCCTAAAACACCCAAATCAAATCTGTTAAGATAAAGCTACCATTCAGAAATTTATTTATTTACTTGGGGGGATTAATGACCAGGAGTCAAAATGATTGATGATAAATTTCAAAAAGTGGACCCTTACCTTAAAAAAAACTTAAAAGGTGCAATTAATTTTTATACACACACACACACAGGTGAGGACGCTGACAAAATGATAAACTCTCCCAACAATTGGTAAACTTTCCCAATAACTGCAGTTAGTTTTTTCTGTTTCCTGTATACCAGGAAAATTTGTGGCTTGTCTCAAAAATAAACAAAAAAAATGTGTTATTTGTGTTATTTTGAAATGACTATACATTCATTCACAGGAAGTAACAAAAAATGCAGCAAGGTCCTATGTACATTTCGCCCAGCTTCTCCCAGTGAGAACACCCTGCTTAACTACAGTAAAATATCAAACCAGAAAACTGCATTGGTACATCTACAAACTTCATTCAGATTTCACTAGCTTCAAATGCACTCACTCCCGTTCCCCGCTCCCAAGTGTGTATATGTGTGTGCCGTGTGTGTACTCATGTGTGTAGATCTATGCAATTTTTATTGTGGTAAAATACTCTTAAAATTAAGCTGTTAAACTATTTTAAGTGTACAGTTCAGTGGCATTAAGTACATTTACACTGCTGTACAGACATCACCACCATCCATCCCCAGAACTCTGTTCATCTTGCCAAAGTCTATACCCATTCCTCTCTCCTCCCAGCCCCTAGCAACCACCATTCTACTTCCTGTCTCTATGAATTTGCCTAATGTAGGTACCTCATGTAAGTAGAATCATACAATATTTGTGCATTTGTGACTGGTTGATTTCACTTTGCATCATGTCCTCAAGGTTCGTTCATACCTCAGCATAGGTCAGAATTTCCTTCCTTTTTAAGGCTAAATAATATTCCATCATATGTATATACCACATTTTGTTTATCCATCCATCCATCAATGGACATTTGGGTTGTTTTTACCTTTGTCTAAAGTGAATAATGCTGCTATGAACATGAGTGTACAAATATCTATTTGAATCCCTGCTTTCCATTCAGACTATATATCCAGAAGTGGAGTATATATCCAGAAGTGAAACTGCTAAATCATATAGCAGCTATTTCTAATTTTTGAGGAAACATCATACTATTTTCCATAGCAGTTACACCATTTCACATTCCCCCCAGCCAATGCACGTGAGTTCCAATTTCCCCACATCCTCACCAACACTTTTTATTTCCCTAACTTCCCTAACTTTCTAAATAATTGCCATTATAATGGGTGTGAAGAAGTATCTCACTACAATTTTGGTTTGCATTTTCCTAATGATTAGTGATATTAAGCATCTCTTCAGTGCAATCTGATAACATGTTTAGTTAGAATCATGTAACCATGGCCACAATCAAGATACTGAACTGCTCCATCACCACAAATCTCCTGCCTCCTCCTGCTACCCCTTTATAGCCAGACCCTCCCCCATTCCATACCCCTGGCAACCACTATCTGTTCTCCATCTCTATAATTTTGTTACTTCAAAAGTGTTATGTTAACAGAATCATATAGTATTTAACCTTTTTATATTGGCTTTTTTTCAATCCACATAATTCCCTGGAGATCCATCCAAGTTGCTGCATGTATCAACAGCTCATTCCTTCTCATTGTTACATAGTATTCCATGGTATGGATGTATCACAGTTGTTTATCCACTCATTAAAGAATACTTTGGTGGTTTCCATTATTTTTCTATTCTGAATAAAGCTGCTATGAACACTTTCGTGCAGGTTCATGTATGAAAATAAGTTTTCATTTCTCTGGAACAAATACTCAATAGTGCAATTGCCGAGTTGTGTAGTTAGTACATTTTTAGCTTTACAGGAAAGTGCCAAACTGGATTCCAAGGTGGCTGTACTATTTTACATTACTCCAGAAATACATCAGTGATCCAGGATTTCTGATTTCTCAGCAGTATGTGGTATTCTCGCTATTTTTATTCTAGCCATTCTGATAGGTGTGCAGTGATATTTCACTGTGGTTTTAATGTGCATTTCCCTAATGGGTAAAGATATGAACATCTTTTCGTGTCTTATTTGCCATCTGTATATCCTACTCACTGAAATGTCTGTAAAGTCTGCTCATGTCTTTGCCCATTTTCAAATTGGATTGTTTTATTACTGAGTTTTGAGAGTTCTTTATATATTCTAGATACTGTCTATTTTTGGACGTATGGATTACAAACATTTTCTTCCAGTCTGTAGCTCGTCTTTTCATCCTCTTTTTGCTTTTTAGAGCAAAAGTTTCTAACTGTGGCTTGCCTTTTCATTTTTTTATGACGTCTTTTGAAAAGCAGTTTTTAGTTTTGATTGTCTATTTAAAAAAAAATTTTTTAGAGACAGGATCTCACCCTGTCACCCAGGCTGGTGTGTAATAGCACAATCATGGCTCACTGCAGCCTCAAACTCCTGGGCTCAAGTGAGCTTCTTGCCTCAGCCTCCTGAGTAATTGAGACTACAGAAACATGTCACCACACCCAGGTAATGTTTTGTTTTGTTTGTAGAGACAGAGTCTCACTCTGTTACCCAGGCTGGCCTCAAACTCCTGTCCTCAAGCAATCCTCCCACCCCAGCCCCTGAGTTGCTGGGATTACAGGTGTGAGCCATTGCACCAAGCTCCAAAAGTCTGTTTTATTAATGTTTTCCTTTATGGGCCATGCTTTCGGTGTTATATCTAAGACATTGTCTTACATTTAGGTCTATGATCAATTTTGAAATAATTTTTGGCCGGGCGTGGTGGCTCACACCTGTAACCCCAGCACTTTGGGAGGCCAAGGCAGGCAGATCACTTGAAGTCAGAAGTTTGAGATGAGCCTGGCCAACCTGCCCCTACTAAAAATATAAAAATTTGCCAGGTGGATGGCATGCACCTGTAATCCCAGCTACTCAGGAGGCTGAGGCACAAGAATTGTTTGAACCTAGGGGGCAGAGGTTGCAATGAGCCGAGATCATGCTGCCGCACTCCAGCCTGGGAGACAGAGCAAGACTCCGTCTCAAAAAAAAAAATTGAAATAATTTTTGTACACATGGTGTGAGGGAAGGATTGAAGACTCAATGTTCTGCACATGGATATCCTATTGTCCTAGCACCATTTGTTGAAAAGATTATCCTTTCTCCATTGCAATACCTTGATACCTTTGTCAAAAACCAATTGGCCATAAATATGTAGGCTCATTTCTAGACTTTCTATTCTGTTCCATTGATCTTTATGTCCATCCTTTGGCTACGGCCATATTCAGTAACGTAAGTCCTCAAAACTGTCATCTTTTTTCAAAACTGTCTTGGCCATTTCTTAAAAGAAGATATACAAGTGGTAAACAAACATGAAAAAATGCTCATCGTTACTAATCACCAGAGAAATGCAAATTAAAACCACAATGAGCTATAATTTTTAAATAGTCAGAATGGCTATTATTAAAAAGATAAAAAAAACAGCAGATATTGAAGGATGCAGAGAAAAGGGAATGCTCATACACTGTTGGCAGGAATGCAAATTAGTACAACCCCTTTGGAAAACAGTATAGAAATTTCTCAAAGAGCTAAAAATAGAACTGCCATATGATCCAGCAATCCCACTACTGGGCATTTACCCAAAGGAAAAGAAATCATTTTATCAAAAAGATACCTGCATTCATAGTTTATTGCAGAACTATTCACAACAGCAAAATCATAGAATCAACCTAAGTGTCCATCAATGGATGACTGAATAGAAAAAAAAAATGTGGTACATACATTATGGAATACTATGCAGCCACTAAAAAGAACGGACTAATGTCCTTTGCAGCAACATGAATACAACTGGAGGCCATTATCCTAAGTGAAATAACTCAGAAACAGAAAATCAAATACCGCATGTTCTCACTTACAAGTGGGAACTAAACAGTAAGTACACATGGACATAACAATGGCAACGATAGACACTGGGGGTCTCCAAGTTGAGGCAGGGGCAGTGAGGGCTTAAAAAATTATCTATTGGGTACAGTGTCCACTACATGGCTGCTGGGTACACTAGAAGCCAAAACCTCACCACTACACAGTATATCCACGTAACAAACCCCCCAAGTCTAAAAATTAAAAATAAAGAAATGAAAACAAAAGTATCTTGGTGATTCTAGGTCCTCTGTGTTTCCATAAACACCTCATATTTACATACATAGTTCTATCAAAAATACTCATAAAAACAAATGATTAACTATAATCTATTCTAGAACTCCACCTTTTATAAGATTTCTCTCAAAAAGAGACCATGCTGTACTGTTAACCATGGGTAAAATCGTGTCTGCCTCATCTTTTCAAGTGACAGGAATAGCTGAAACCTACTAAAAATAATCCCTAACACTTAATAAAAGGAAAATAATATGTACATGGAAAAACAAAATCTGGTATACTCAAAATATTACCTGTGGTTACAGCTGAGTAGTGTGACTAGTGATGACTAGGTTTTCCTTTTTACAGTTTCCCAAATTTTCCAAAGTATGCATATGTTACATTATGACTTGTTTTTTCTAAGTACATTGATCTTCAATGTTTAATTTTCCTTTTATTATAACCTTTGCTTTTTGATGGATAAACACTGTGTTACCATCTAAGTTGTTAGCATGAATACACCACTGTTTACCACGAGTCCTGGACTTTCCTTTTCCACTTCACAAAATCCAAGATAGAACAACAAACTTGATTCATGCTTTGCTTTATTCATTTACTGCTGTGTTTCATAAATATTCAGGAATCGACCTTGCTTGATTTGTTCTGATCTTAATAAAATGTATTTTTTTCCTCATTAGCCTGGAGTGATATGCAAATAAGAAACAATAACCAGTAGACAGGAAGGAAATGAGATTTCAACTTCACCAACAGTAAATGCTTTTTTCATGTTTTTCAGAGAGTTGGTGTGAGTTCAGCATAATGAATACAGATTTCTTCCTTAAATCACATTATTAACCAAAATGCTTTGAATAGAACAGTGAGACAACATGTTGGTGAAAAGAAGTATCAACAAAAATTGACAAGATACGTAATGAAATGGTGAATGGAGTATTTCAGTAGCTGAATCTCTTGTCTTCTCTCAATATATCAGGTCCTTTCTAGCTTTATTTCTTTGCCTCAACCTCACGACTTCAGATATTATTAGCACAAATACCCTCAACTTCTTGCTTCCTTATCTCTCTGACCTGGATCAATTCAACCACTTCTACCTGGGTTACTGAACATTGACCCTGAAAGCCATGTAACTGTGCCAATCACACTTAGATACATCTCTAATATCAGTATCAGTTGCACACTCAACCCTAAAAGGAAATTCTTTGACCTCACTTTAGAGAGTTTTCCCTCCCATCAATTTGCAACCTCTGCTAGATCATCAAGGGGCTTTATTATTTGATGGAAATCATTTAAAACTCTCTCTTAAAGCAGATAGAGCAAAATATCCTATTCAGGAGAAATTCACTCTCTCAAATTTACAGCAATGATGTTTCAAGAATATTTTCAAACAAGGAGAGGCCCCAGGTCAAGATTTCAACATCAGCCGTTCACATAACCAGCTCACAAAATAATAGGTCAGAAGTCTTGGCAACCAATGAAATACACCTTCTAAAAAGTAAAATGGAGCCCCCCCACCAGGCCCTGCCCTACCACATACTATGACCTTACGTTCAGGTTCATTAAAAGAGGGTAGTAATTAAATTGCTTCCCACTGGTTTCATAAATGATTGAGGAAAAGGTCATTCTCACTTGAGTTTTCCTATCCACCAGCAGGCACTTAAGGAAAACATATTCTTTTTTGAAACTATCAACAGAGTGAACAGACAACCTACAGAATGGAAGAAAATTTTTGCAATCTATCCATCTGACAAAGGTCTAATATCCAGAGTCTACAAGGAACTTAAACAAATTTAAAAGAAAAAAAAATTAAAAGTGAGCAAAGGACACAAACAGACACTTCTCAAAAGAAGACATTCATGCAGCCAACAAACATGAAAAAAAGCTCAACATCATTGATCACCAGAGAAATGCAAATCAAAACCACAACAAGATACATCTCATGCCAGTCAGAATGGCAATTATTAAAAAGTCAAGAAACAACAGATGCTGGTGAGGTTGCAAATAAAAAGAAATGCTTTTACACTGTTAGTGAGAGTGTAAGTAGTTCAACCATTGCAGAAGACAGTGTGGCGATTCCTCAAAGATCTAGAACCAGAATACCATTTGACTCAGCAATCTCATTACTGTGTATATACTCAGAGGAACAGCAATCATTCTACTATAAAGATACGTGCACATGTATGTTTTCTGCAGCATTTATCACAATAGCAAAGACCTGGAATCAACCCAAATGCCCATCAATGATAGACTGGATAAAGAAAACGTGGTACATATACACCATAGAATACTATGCAGCCATAAAAAGGAATGAGATCATGTCTTTTGCAGGGACATGGATGGAGCTGGAAGCTGTTATCAGCAAACTAATGCAGGAACAGAAAACCAAACACCACATGTTCTTACTTGTAAGTGAGAGCTGAACAAGGAGAACACATGGACACAGGGAGAAGAACAACACATACTAGGGCCTATAAGTACAGTGGTGGGAGGGAGAGCCTCAGGAACAACAGTTAATGCATGCAAGACTTAATACATAGGTGATGGGTTGATCTGTGCAGCAAACCACCACGGCACATGTTTACATATGCAACAAACCTGCACATACTGCACATGTACCCCAGGACTTAAGAGTTGAAGAAAAAACAAAAAATGTATATGTGTGTGTATGTGTGTGTGTGTACACACATACACACACATATATACACATATACACACACACACATATATACATATATATACACACACACACACATATATATATATATTCTTTTTTAAGCCACAAAGCTCAATGTTTGAAAGTATTTGGGGCCATTAGACGAAATGTCACCAAATTAGACTAAACGTCACCAAAAAGTTTGATCTTCATACACATCAATTAAAGCTACAGAGATTACAAAGCATGCACCCTAATCCACCAGCCACTACTCAAACGCTCAACTTGGCATCATAATGGAAGAAAATACCTCAGCCCATGCCCTGAACTCAGGAGGTCAGTAGCTTCATTTCCAAATGCAAAAGAACACATTTTTCGGATATGATAAAACAAACAAGCCAGCACCTCTGAGTTCTGAACTACTTGCAGAACAATAAACACCAGCATAGAGAATCAGCTAAGGAATCCAGATGCTAAATTTATTTTACATAAATTTAAACCAACAATGTAAACCAACGATGGCACCAGCAATAGAAGAATTTAATTACAGATTATGGCATCAAGAGATAAAATATACATATCCCATATTACTATGGATCAGCATGAAAGCTTCTGAGTATCTTCTTATGGATTCATTTAACAAAGCATCATCATCACTACGTTAGTCACAGGATTTATAGTAATCTCACACCAAATTCACTTCTTTTAACTGAACAAGTTTCGATGAGTAATGTGAGGTTTTATGGCTCCTACCATATGCCATGACTATAATATGACATTCTCGGTTATACTTCTACTGTCTTACAAGTTATAAATAATGAATCAGATTTCCTTTCTTAGTTTTCCTAAGGATAAACCCTTGGACTGTAATATGCAAGCAAAGTTATCTGAATATATACCTACCAAGTTGTTTTATTATAAATTATTTTTAATAATTCCATTAATAGCGAAATAACAACGGGCTACTTAAATAAGTTCTGTTTTTCTTTTTTTTTTTTTTTGAGATGGAGTCTCAGTCTGTCGCCCAGGCTGGAGTGCAGTGGCACGATCTCACCTCACTGCAAGCTCCACCTCCTGGGTTCATGCCATCCTCCTGCCTCAGCCTCCTGAGTAGCTGGGACTACAGGTGCCCGCCACCACGCCCAGCTAATTTTTTTTTGTATTTTTTTGTTGTTTTTTTTTTTTGTATTTTTAGTAGAGACGGGGTTTCATCATAGCCAGGGTGGTCTTGATCTCCTGACCTCGTGATCCGCCCACCTCGGCCTCCCAAAATCCTGGGATTACAGGAGTGAGCCACCATACCCAGCCTTAAATAAGTATTTTTTAAAGTTCACTTAAAAGTAGACAATAAGCAACGTATAAATGTTTATCTCTCAGGAAACGAGCAATCATAGAACTCAGAAATTAAATCAGAAGATAAAAAATTAATTTAATAAATATTTATCAACAACCTATTATGTGCCAGGGATTGTTCTAAGTATGGGGGACATAACAAAGAGGATAAGGAACATTGTTTGATCATTTACCCAGCGTGTTTTCCCTCCTTCCTAATGAAACCCTGATTCTGTTCAGGGATTCACCTCTCCTCTAGTGCTTCCCCTCACTCCATGGGTGGGTCTGACCGATCCAAGGGTAATTCCATATTCATCACTAGTGATGGGTTCAGGAATGTGGCCCAACCTAGGCCAAAGACCCACAAAGAGGGTGATAACTTTCATGGACACTTTTGGAAAAGATCTTCCTCGATCTTCTGCAGCTTTCAAGAAACAACTCTCTCTTCTTCTAGACGGTGTGTTGAGAAGAGAGTTTTGGAACTGCTGCAGCCATCTTTAGGATGGCTTGGGGATGTGGAGAAGAGAGCCAGGACAGTCACATGGAAATGAATCTGGACCCACCAGATGATGTCATGCGGGAACCCTGCCGTACTGCTCAGTGTCCATATTTATGTGTGCCAATAAATCTCATTCTTTAACCAATCTTTACTGGATATGCTGTGTAAACATCTGAAACCAACCTCTGAAGGTTATACATGGTCTCTTTGCTTCAGAATCTCTAATCTAGGGAGGAACACAGACCCCAACCCAATATTCAGTATTAGGCTCTCTGTGATGCTGTGTCCACAACTCACCAGGGTATTCACTCATCTCCAACTGGGAATCCATAAGGAAATTGTGCACTGACTAACACTCAGTATACAACTTCCAAGAAGAGGAAAAGAAGAAAGGCAGAGGCAAAGGCAGAAAATTAGAGGAGCTACCACCCTCCTCAGAGAGTCATGTTTCAGCTATTAGCTAAGCCATTTAAATAGCAGCATTTCAGAATAATGGTGTGCAGGCAGCTGCAGGAATTTGGCCCTTTCTGGCATTCCGCTACCCAGCCAAGTCTCATCAATGTTTAAATTAAAAGAAAATTTTAAACGGGTTTTAATAGACAAAATAAATCATGAATAAAACAAATTCTAGAACATTACAAATAGCAAACCTACAAAATGATCACTTAAGTAACTGTTGTCTTTTTAGTAAGAATAATTCTTACCCATATATCCTTAACATCAATAAATAGAAACCATTTTTTATTTAAAGATATAATTTTATCTTCCTTACTCATCCCAAGCTGTTGAAAATGGTCATCAATATTCTTGAGAAACACCAAATGATCAATTACAGAATTCAGCTGAATAACTTTCTCCCTGGGAAGAGGCTAAATCCATACAATTCAACAGTGCAGATTTACTTATGTGGGCTGTTTTTTCCCTTCCACAACAGCACATATACTAACAGTTCTTTTAAAAATAAACATTAACATGAATACAGAACACTGAAGACATAGGTTGACTACAACAGCAATGTAAGGGCATAGCCAGGATAATAAACAAAACGAAACAAAAAACAAATCCACTTTATCTAAGTTTGGAGCTTCTCTAATCAAGAACCAATAGCATCTACTAGATTCATTTATTCATTCATTTAACACATTTTTACTGAGCATCCATTATGTACCAAGTACTGTGCTAGCTGGTGCTTTATCTAAGTTTGGAGGTTCTCTAATCAAGAACCAACAGTATCTACTAGATTTGTTTATTCATTCATTTAACACATTTTTACTGAGCATCCATTATGTACCAAGTACTGTGCTATCTGGTGCTTTATCTAAGTTTGGAGGTTCTCTAATCAAGAACCAATAGCTTATCTACTAGATTTGTTTATTCATTCATTTAACACATTTTTACTGAACATCCATTATGTACCAAGTACTGTGCTAGCTGGTGCTGCCTTGGACCAGCCTTCACAAACCATTTTTCTAAAGGGGAGACAACAAAATACCTCCATCAGTATACATGAACTACAACTGTGGTAAGAATATGAACAAAAGACTGGTGTAGGAGATCCTACTTCTCTCATGATAATTGATACCAAATCAAGACCTCTTAGAGGGAATCTACTTCAAACAAAACAAAATTTTCATAATAAATGATGAAAAAGAAAGGATAACTTATGTGGCAGCCAACCCTCAAGATTATTCACAATGATCCATGACTCCTGGTATTCCTGTCCTTACATAGCTCCATCCCACAGTGAACTAGGGTTGCTCCTTGTGTGAACTGAAGTTGGTAAAAGTGACAGTGTGACTTCTGATGTTACGTCATTGCAGCTTCTACCTTGGCCTCTTGGACGGTTTGCTCTCTGGGGAGCCAGCAACCATGCCTTGAGGACCCTCAAGCAGCCCCACAGAAAGACACACATGGGAAGCAACTGAGGCCCCAAGCCAACAGCCAGCCATATAAGTGAGCCATTCCAGCCTAGCCACACCTATAGATGACTGCTGTTTACAACTGTCTGAGAGATCCTAAAAGCGAGCCACCTAGCCAAGTCCTTCCTGAATTCCTGGCTAACAGAAACCATGAGAGACAACAAAAGATTCCCATAGTTTTAAGCTATTAAGTTTTTGTAGGATTTATTATACTGAATTAAATAAATTGAATAGTTTATCTTGAAAGATGGCTAAAAATGAAATTAAGTGGCGGGGCATGGTGGTTCATGCCTGTAATCCTGCACTTTGGGAGGCCGAGGGGGGCAGATCATGAGGTCAGGAGTTCAAGACCAGCCTGGCCAAGATGTACTAAAAATACAAAAATTAGCCAGACATGGTGGCGGGTGCCTGTAATCCCAGCTACTTGGGAGGCTGAGGCAGAGAATTGCTTGAACCCAGGAGGCGGAGGTTGCAGTGAGCTGAGATTGCACCACTGCACTCCAGCCTGGGCGACAGAGCGAGACTCCATCTCAAAAAAAGAAAAAATTAAGTTCATCTCATCCAACACTTAAGAATATTTAAGAAAATCATTCTTAAAATGAAAATATTAATCAAGTGTTGATTAGAGAGCAGGATAACATTACCAAATGATAGTATAACACAAAATACTTATTGTCACTTGGAACTTTTACAGGATTATAAAAGAGTAATTTTGTAAAAATAATCAATTTTCCCAAAAGCCTCTTTGTAATTCTTTAATTTCCAAATTATTGTCTATTAAATGTCCACTCTGGCTTCTTCAATTATTAATAACTCTGCCAGATCTTTACCAGTCATTACCAATGCATGTGATTCTAGGAGTTCAACATCACTGTCACCAAAATTCAAGAAATTCTGCATAGCTGGCAATATGTGTGATTTTACTTTGAAACCCATTTGTATTGCATTATTGTAAACATCCAACTATCCACTAGAGATTAATGGATACAAGACACTGACAGGATAAACACTAGTGTTAAGGCAAAAAGTCTGAGTGGGAACTAATTTTATATGTTGTCAGTTCACAAATATTCATGTTATGGTAACTGCCCTATTCAATGTTGTGTGTAACACTCTAGTAATATTTGGATATTTATGACACCCTTTACAAGAGGACTTGACTTAGTTCTAAACTAGACAGGGTTCAGAGAAGGCTTCAGGGAAGTGGCATTTGTGCTTCTATCTAAATGATGAGAGTGGGTTAACTTCTCAAAGAGATGTGAGAAAAACATCAGACAGAGTAAACAGAATGTGCCTCAAACACTCTTGGCAGGAAGAAAATTTTCCCCCATGGTATGTTCAAGGAACTCAAACATGTGTCACCGAAATATATTATTCAATCCCACATCTCCACACTTCCATTTGGGTCTGTGGGAAATACAGCTTTTCAGTTTTCATTTGTCTAAAAATATATTTATTTTGCCTCTATCCTTGAATGATATTTTCATTGGCTATAGAATTTTAGTTTGGCAGTTACTTTCCTTTAGTTTTAAAGACATCATTTCATTGCCTTCTAACTTTCATTGTTTCTCCTGAGAAGTCAGCTGTCAGATTTACTGTTAGTCTGTTGAAGGAATTGTGTATTTGAGGTTTGTAATTTTCCTGAATCTATCATATCTTTCATCAGATTTGGAAAATTCTCAGCCATAATCTCATCAAACATTGCTTATGCCCCAGAGTTCTCTCCTTGGATGGCTATAGTTGGAATATTTGTCCCCTTCAAACCTCATGTCGAAATGTGATCCCAAATGTTGGAGGTATGGCCTAATGGGAGATGTTAGGCAAATCCCTCATGAATAGATTAATGCCCTCCCCGGGGAGAGGAGGCAATGTGTGAGTGAGTTCTCACTGTACTCATTCCCACAAGAGCTGATTGCTAAACCAGCTCCCTCCCACCCACTCTGTTACTTCCTCTCTTGCCATGTGATCTCTGTACATGCCAGTTCCCCTTCACCTTCCACCATGTGGAGAAGCTGCCTGAGACTCTCACCAGATGCCCAGTCTTCCATCCAGCAGAATAATGCACCAAATAAATATTTTTTCCTTTATAAGTTACCTAGCTTTAGGTATTCCTTTATAGCAACTCAAAATGAACCAAGACACCTAATACGGATCTCAGTCTATCCAAAACAAATCTTTTGGTTTTTTCCCAAAAACCTATTATTCTCCAAGTATTCCCCCAATGAAGTAAAAGCCATCGTATCTACTCAAATGCTCAGGACAAAAACCTAGGAGTGCTGTTCAATTCCTCTCTTTCCCTTACACCCCCCATGAATTCATCAACATATCTTTTAAAACATCCTCTAAGTTATCCACTCCTCCTCCACTGAGCCACCAGCACCAAGGTCCATACCACTGTCTCTTACCCAGACTCCTTCTCCAGGAGCCTCCCAGCTGGGCTCCTTACAGTCTAATACCCACTTATAACCATGGTCAACATTTTAAAACATGAGTCAGCTCACATGCTTCCCTCTCTTCCTACAAAGCTCCAATGTCCTGCCACATGTGGAATAAACTCCATCCTTTAGCATGAGGTCCCAAGCCATTGTGATCTGCCTCCTGCCTCCCTCTCGGCCTCCTCCCTCCTGGTCTGGCCAAACTCACCAGTCTGTAGATCCTTGATCCCTCCACCGGGCCTTTGCACTTGCTTTTCTGTCTACCTGGGCCACTCCTCCCCTGAGATATTGGAATGGTGGGCTCTTTTGCATGACACAGGTCTCTGATCAAATGTCAACTCTACAGAGAGGCTTTCCTTAACCACTCTAAAGTAATCCCCCCACTTCAGCAATCCTATCTCCTTATCCTGCTGTACTTTCTTAATAGTAGTTATTACTACATAAAATATTTTCACATGACTATTTGTTAACGATTGACTCCTACCACTAAAATAAAAGCTCCACAAGGACAGGGGTTTTGTCTTTTTTGCCCACTACTATATCCTGAGTGATTAATAGAGTAGTTGGTATATAGTAAGCACTCAACATTTATGGGGTAAATGAATGAATGTAATCTCATTGAAACAGATGCCCACTGTAATTTCTCTCTCATTCTTCTATTTCTCTCCTATCCATTATCATCTTATAAAATAAGTGCTCATTACTATGAGCCCCTATTCAAAAACTTCACTGAGCCACTATAATCCCAGAATAAAGTCCAGATGCCCACACCTGACATGAAAAGCTCCTCATAACTAGGACACGTCAAAACCTTCCAGCTTTTTCTTTCCCCTCCCACTTACATAAAAATTTCACTCCAGCTGAAATAACATAAGGAGATAGAAGGGCTTGTGGGTCAGTGCTACCAACACTGTGTCCTTTCTTCCAGAAGTTAAGAAATATTTAATAATTATAAAAATTAAAAATAAATACTGTGTCCTATTAATTTTATTTAACTTATCTGGCATGAAGCTATAAGGATTACACAAGATAAAGCACATGACAGTAGTTGTAGCATTGAGGGTGCTTAATAAACATGTGTTACATCATTAATGTAGGTGGGGCCATGTCTCTCATACCTTTCTATTCCCAACACTTAGCCCAGTGCTCAGTAGATATTTGATAATGATGCACCAAAATTCCCTCCTTTGCTATCAAAAGCAACTAGAACATGATAGAAATTATGACATAAATTTATAAATAGAGGCAGAATTCTTTCCATGTGCAAGCTGTGGCAAGAACTAAAACTGAACAACTGGGTGTCATTCATGGGGAGGAGGAAGAGAGGGGGATTTCAAAGCAATCCACTTTCTCCTCTCAGAAAATCAACAAGTCCAGTGACTTTACTGGTCTCCCATACTTAAACAAATTATAGCTCTGCAGTTCTTCCACTGCCAGCCAGACTATCCAAGTTAGTCTCTGGCTTCAAAACAACTTACTATCTCTCTCAGGACCTGCTCCTACAAACTCTTTTCTAACTACCACACCTGATCAACTGCAAATTTAATCAAACAAAATAATTATCAACTAATCAACAAGCTTAACCACCAGAAGCACAGATATCCATAACCTGGGCAGTCAATGTAAGGAGATGGGGAATGGGCCAACCAGAGAACTTCACTGAAAAAATGATAGGAGAGGCTGTGACATGGAGTCCCACTCCAATGGGTCTCCTTCCCCCTCCCATACTCTGTCATCTGCCTGCCTTACCAAGCAAAGCCGTTTGTCCAGCCAGGTGGATAATGAATATAATATCAAGATTGTTGTTGTTTTACTACTGAAACAGTAAGAGATATTTCATTGGGATTCCTTCTTAAGATCTAAGGTATTTTAAAGTAAAAATTTCATTAATTTTCAATCTAATACTATTTCACACACCTTTTTACTAATATGTATGAGGAAATCAGAGTCTGATAGTTACCAACAATGTGTTATATAGTTTCAAATACCTAGGAGGATATTGAGTGTTCCCAGTATAAAGGAACAATAAATATTTGAAGTGATGGATATGCTAATTACCACGATCTGATCACTATACATGATATATATTGAAATATCACTGTATGACCCATACCCATGAATATGTGCAATTATTATTGTCAACTTTAAAAATACAGAAAATGCATATAAAAGAATTTTATACATAACATTCAAAAAAGAAAGAAATTAAGAGTCTGCATCCACTTAAAAGTTAACATCTTAATTTAAATATCTGACAGTAACAAAAATTTATGTATTACACAGAAGACAGACACATAAAATATAGGGGTCTGCTCACTTCGCTTTTGGTTTTACTACTTTTTTTGTTTGTTTTGTTTTGTTTTGGAGACAGAGTCTCGCTCTGTCACCAGGCTGGTGTGCAACGGCGTGATCTCAGCTCAGTGCAACCTCCACCTTCCAGGTTCAAGTGATTCTCCAGCCTCAGCCTCCTAAGTAGCTGGAACTACAGGCACGCACCACCACGCCCAGCTAATTTTTTGTATTTTTAGTAGAGATGGGTTTCACCATGTTGGCCAGAATGGTCTCTATTTCTTGACCCCGTGATCCACCCACCTCAGCCTCCCAAAGTGCTGGGATTACAGGTATAAGCCACTGTGCCTGGCCTTTACTACCTACTTTTAACAAAGCTTTACGAATATTCCTGAAAGGAAAAAGAGTCTTTCTTCATAATAATAACTGATTTACAAATGGACCAAAATCTATCCCTTGTAGAATTACTTTAAATAACGGTAAAAATGACTTGGCATTTAACTGCTTTGAAAAGGCCCTATGATCGAGGTCAATGTGAAGTCATTTGAACAATGAGTTATCTAGTTAAATTCAGTGGAACCTGAGAGAGCCAACTTTAATTACTTAGCTTTAAGAACTCAGAAACCCACAGCAGGTTAAAAGAGCTAGGTCCAACGAGTGTAGGAGTGGAAGCCAGGGTCAAGATTTCAAAGAACTCTTCAACAGCTCCAAATGGTTCTTCTTTGTGAATGGGGTGCAGATTATCAAATCAACCCTGTGTAAACATTACAGGTGAGTGGTTTCAAAAGAAATCCCAGAGAAGTTTCTGGCAATGCTCTGGATACAAGTTAAATGTCCGCCAACCTTCTCCTTCGTGCTTGCACCTAAGAGTAAAGGGAGACTGAGAACCTCCTGCACACACACAAGCCATGGAATGGGATCACTCAGAGGAGCACAAGGGATCTGACTCAGCCCAATGCTTCCCAAAGTCTAGTCTGACATGAACTTTTTATCACTCAGGCTACGGTGAAATGTTTAAAAGATGGCAGATAGGGACCTTATATAAAACTGAATTTATTCCATTTCTAAAGGACTGATAGTCTAAAATTATAGTTCTCTTGCTTTTCTGGAGTTAAAATGTCTTTTCTTTTATGAACTATGGGCAACAAAACGTGGAGAGAATGACACTGATGGTGGCAGGTGATACTGAGGCTATTTTAAAACCACTGGATTGTCAAAATAAATTTGGGGTAGTTTTCCCAGGAAGATCTGGTTCCTGAAATCCAAAAATCTAAGGATGCATTCATCTATTCCCATCCCTCCCTTTGTAAGGCCTGAATTCTCCTGCTGATGAAAGTCCGTCGAGAGGAGCACCATAAACAGACACAAACTGGACAAAAGGAACACCCTGGGCAGATGTGACCAGAATCTGCAATATAACATGGAGGCTGTGGCGCCAACCCAGCAGGCTGAGAAAGAGCTTACTAACGAAGAAAAAACACCAGTGTTGCCACTGACTATGATACTTCTGATAACTCAGGGTGAGAGCTAAACCACTGCAGAAATAAAGGTTCCAAGGCAAGAAACAGATGGATAAACCTATCACGAAGAATAACACTATTATAAGGTAATAAATTATGAATTACTATATCACGATGTGAATTTTCACCTGAATAGGATAAAATGCACATCCAAAATCCTCTAGGTTCTGAATTGGTGAGAAAGTGCTGCTGACATCTTTTTCCTCCCATTTTTTCTTTAAAGCAGCCCTGTAATCCCTTCATCTTTGTTATAAGCAGATAAAGATGAATGATTTGACCAGAAAGTGTTCTGAGTTCCTTAGAAGTAGACAAGAAACAATGCAATTGTCTAATTATTTGTGATGGTGTTTTCAGGATTCCCAAAGAATCACAGCTATCTCAGGACATTAAACCATCAGGGCCCTAGAGTCTGAGCAAGCAACACATCTTGGGGATGATGGCTGTGCAGAAAAGGCTCAGCAATGCAATCACTGCCCTGGATCCTTGTACAGTATTTCAGAAAAAAGAACAGGAGCTGCAACAGTCAGCCACTTGGCAAACAGTAGGCACGGGATGCAGGTGTGAAAGCTGCCAACATCCTCATGATGGCTGAGCCAAGTCACACTGCCTAGACTCATGACCTACAATAAAATGCTGCACTCTCTGCTAGATATAGTAACTTCCAATATTCTTATTATTATTACAGAAGAAAACCCATACCCACAGATTAAGAGTTGTAATAGAGTTTAAACATGTGAGTCTTCTAATATGAAAAGCTTTAATCTTTCCCTCCCTTGGATATGTTTTAAGCAATACAAGCTGATATTTGGCAGAAAAGAAAACCAGCAGTGAAACTTTGCTCAAGAGATTTACTGAGGTTCTAAATTACATTCTTCTCCGGAAGCCCCTAGTACATTCAGTGGGTCTAGAAATTTCACTTTGTATTATTGGTTAATACAATGCCTTCTTCTCCATATTTTTTCTTATAATTTTTTTCTTACATTTAAAAATCTATATTAAATCAAGTATGAGGGGAAACAGAGAAGAAAAAAAGAGCTTTGGTTACATATTCCCAAGGGCTAAAGCCATTAGCAAGTTTTGCTTAGTAGTAAGAATGATAGAAGTATTTGCTTAACATTAAAGAGCACAGGTCCTTCCTTCAGAAGCTAAAAATGTTGCCATTCTTGGCAACTCTCTTGCACAAGATTAGACCAGCTTACATTCTCTCACCATGATTCCACCCTTCCATGTCTACCAACTGCCAGTGAAATAGGGTAAGTATGATTTAAAACTTCCCTAATGTTTTTATGGTTCAGCAGGGATTTAGGAATTATTTATGCAACTTAAACAGTTACTTGAGGTAGCAAGTGTAAGATGTTGCATTGTGATTTATTCACGATCCTACTGCTGTCCTTAAAAACTTTATCAGAATTTTTAAATTCATTTTATAATTTTAGTCAATCCTCATAATATATTATTAAATATATATATTTCGAGGAGGATGTAGTGACTTTAAAATGCAGGTATGGTAGACATATACAGAAGGGCATCCTTTAATCAAACAATACAAGACAGAGGAACCTGTCTAGTACTCAACCAAAAATAAAGGCTGAATTCAAACTACTACAAGTTAACATGAAAATTACATATACTTTATCTAAAACCCATTCTTGGCAACCGTGCTCTAAATCTTATACAAAGGCATCTTTAAGATAAGATAACTACATGAAAAGAGTTCATAATAAATGTAAGTATTTATCTCAAACCATTTCAGAATAACTTCTGAAACCTGGCTTAAAACCAAGAATCAGTCATTTTAGTATTTAGATACAGAATATTTCTAACCCAAGAAGCACAGATGCCATAAGCACCAATAATAAAAAGCACAAAGACCACACAACAAGAAGCTCGAGGCGGCACACAGCTCTTCGCTACTATCATGCTCTCCGTGGACACCTGTATAAGCATTTGTGCTTACCAACTACTTGAAAGTCAGGAAAAGGATGCTCTGATACCTGAATTTCACAAGAGAGAAGAAAAAGTCAAACAGCTTATGGTGATCCATGGTTCAACTGACATTTAAGCTCACAGGGTCAAAACAACGAGATAGTGCAGTAATCAGCACCAGAAATGTGGCACCGTGTCGTACCAGACACAAGCTCCGTGCTCACATGTGCTCCCATGCATAGAGCAAACACCTTCTCGCTAATTAGCATCAGAACCACCTACCCAGGGAGGCACGAAAATCCTGTCCTCATGAAAATTTAAATACAGCATCAGTGAACAGCCCTCCCCCAAGTATGAATACTTGGCCTTTTACAGACAAGTGAGAAACCTAAAAAACATTCTATTCGCTTTTGAAATGAAGAAAAGTAGAAATCCAAACTCTAGGCAGATTTCTCCAACTGCCTCAGATGGTTTGATTCTAGTATTGTTTTCCAGAGAACAGTTTGTCTCACTCATCAAGGAAATCATAAGAGAAAAGCAATTACAAAGACCTGCAACAGCTGAGCCTGCAAGAGACTCTAGTGTGGCCAGTCAACCCAGAATGTCATCATAGGGAAAACCCGATAGCTGGCTCCCAATAATACTGCTCCTTCTCTGCTGGTTCAATCAATGGGCTAATTTCAAGAGAAATACCCCCAGACAAGCCATAATCCATCCATGGTGCAGAAGATTCCACCATCAGCCAAAGCCCTGACTGTTACACAGGACAAGTTGTATTTTCTCCCTGCTTAAAATGTGCAGCCCATGATGGATACTTGATGCTAAAACAATTTGCATAACTAAGCTCGGCCTCTCATTATCAAGCACTTACAGAGGAATCATAAAGTCACGCTTGGAAGCACAAATGGCTGAGAAAAGCATGGCAATTTGCCAACTTAATATGATGATTTCGTATTTTCTGGGTGTTTTATCACTTTAATTTGCTTCTGACATATGAGTGCAGGCCTGACCCAAAGAACTGGGGAAAGAGCTAGAACCACCATGAAAATAAAAAGGACTCCATTAGCACCATGCTCATTACTCTGAAGCGATGTTTCTTTAAATCATGGACCTCTGTACCACCTGCAGCCCAATCTTTAACAGTGCTTATTAGAGACACAGAATCCTGAACCCCAGCCCAGAGCTACTCAACCAGAATCTCAAGGGTCGTAGGAGCCATACATGTCATCTACTTCCCAGACAGGTAGATCAGCTGAATAGACACACACACGTGTGTGTATACACACCCCCATATACACATACATACAGACACACACATAGACACACACACATATACACAGACACACATGCATTTGCAGTCACTTGAAAGAATTTTAGATGTTATTTCAAACTTTAAGTCAAAAGTACAAATATGGTTTCATATTCTTCAAGAGCGAGCTGCTATGTCTCTACTAAACAAAAAACATCAACTATTGAAAGCTGTCAATTATGTATATGGGAGCAAAATCAAATATTAAAAAAACAAAAAAGGACAATACTCATGAAAATAAGCTAGTGATCACAGACTTGGAACCAAGGTTCACATTTACCAGTCACCAATGTATGGGTCTCCCTCTCTGGGAAAACACCCAATTTTTCCCCAAGGGAGGACTGAAGTGAAAATGCCCAACAGAACTAAGTAATGACCTAGCATTTTAGGTGTGAAGAATCTGAGTGGGGTATTTTTGTTTAGTAAACTTAAAACCGTACAACTTCTTGATCAAGCACAGTCTCAGGCCCACACCTTTTTAACCTTCTTAATTTAGCTTGGCCACTGTTAAGCTATCATCATAGGGTTTTTAAATTCATGGTCTTCAGCTATTAATTTAATGTGTTTTAACTTCTGTTAATTATGACTTGTTTGAAATTTGTTCATTTGCTCCTCCCTCACCGACATGATGAGCCAGGAGGCCTGAGAATTTCAAGAGCTGCAGGTGTCAGTCTCTTGCCACAACACATTCCCACACTATGGCCTAACATGATATCCTGAAATCAGGTCAACCTTGCCTACCCCATAAAATAGGGTAGAGAACAATCCCACTTTCCTTTTATTTTTCATGGACCCTTATAACATACTTGCTATGATGAGCATGTAGTTAACAACCTTTATAGTATGAACTCACAATTGGTATGTTTCTAAGGGAGCATCCTGTGTTTGCTAATGTGTAGGGGAGGAGGTACAGATGGTTAGAAATTCACCTGAATGAATCTTCATAGATTTTCAAGTAGGCAAAGGGGTAGAAGAGGAGAACCCAATTTGCAGGGATGTAATTAGTGATTCCTAGCCCACAGCTTCTGAATCCCAGAAAAGCAACAGCACAGAGGCAGAGGACTGAAAATCAACTTATATTAAAACACATCTGGGGCTGAGCGCAGTGACTCGTGCCTGTAATCCCAGTATTTTTGGAGGCTGATGCAGGAGGATCGCTTGAGCCCAGGAGCTCAAGACTAACCTGGGTGACATAGTGAGAACCTATCTCTATAAAAAATAAAAATTAGCCAAGTGTGGTGGTGCATGCCTGTAGTTTCAGCTACTCAGGACGCTAAGGCAGGAAGATCACTTGGGCTCAGGGGTTTGAAGCTGCAGTAAGAAAAGGTGACACCATTTCAATCCAGTCTGGGTGACAGAGTGAGATCCTATCTCTAAAAACATTTTTAAATACAAAAATATAAATTAATTTTTAAAATAAATTTTAAAAACATCTATTTTCAGAAGAATGCGGAAGCACTTTGCAGCACCTGTGAGACATTCTTCTGCTAAGATGTGTTTTTTCCTCACTGGTAAGCCTCCTCCAGGCAAACCTAGGAAGACAGGCATACAAAGCTCACTCGCAGGCAAGGAGCAGAAAGAAACGGTGTTTACTAATACCCTCTTACGTCTAAGGCCAGAATTCCTCAGCCTCGGGCTATATGAGAACGTTGACAAGGCTTGACACACCTTTAATGACACTGTGTGTTTTTATATAAAGGCTCATGGTGGGAACCAACAAATTGTAACCGAGTGGGAGGCTAGCAGAGGACCTGAAAGGTTTGAAACAGAAAAGCGTCTGGATTTTAATAAGGAACAATCTATTTTCCTGGGGACAAAGCCTGTAGACCAGCTTCTGAGAGCCCTGGAAGCCAACTGCTTAGGAAACACAAGGAAAGCTAGAAGTAGGAAAGAATGCAGAAGAAAGTTCCTGAATTTGATGAGCTTGTGGCTCTGTTATAACTTTCTCTGGATAAAGATGAAGCTTAATCACCAAAGCTCTCCTGCACATTACTGGAATGTTTCGAAACAAAAGATGAGACAGCATGTGAGTTATTTTCAAATGTTTGCATTTTCTATAATTTCTTCATTTTGATCTCCCTCAGCAGACTAAAGGTAATCACTTAAGTATATAATGTCTGAAAATATAAAACAACAAAAATTTTGCACATTTGGGAAATAGAGAAAAGGAAGAATCACTCACAAAACCATGACTCTACTGGGAAATATCTATTATGATGTATTTCTTCTTTTTCATACATGTTTAATTGAAGTCATTTTGTATATAAAATTTTTATTCTAATTTTTCCTTTACTATCATGTTCAATTTTTTATGTTATAATAATCTTCAAAATGATCACTTTCAATGACTGGAGAATTCACCAAGGGAATATACCCCAATCTCTGAGCACATAAGATGTTTCCAATTTTCCACTACAATAAATAAAGCTACAATCAACAACTTGTGTGTAGAGGGTTTGGTTTGGTTTGGTTTTTGAGTGGGAGTCTTGCTCTGCCGCGCCCAGGCCGGAGTGCAGTGGCACAGTCTCTGCTCACTGCAACCTCCACCTCCCAGGTTCAAGTGATTCTCCCGCCTCAGTCTCCCAAGTAGCTGGGACTACAGGTGTGCGCCACCATGCCTGGCTAATTTTTTTGAATTTTTAGTAGAGACAGGGTTTTACCATATTGGCCAGGCTGGTCTCAAACTCCCAACCTCAGGTGATGCACCCGCCTCGGCCTTCCAAAGTGCTAGGATTAAAGGCGTGAGCCACCATGCCCAGCCATTTAAATTCTGTTTTCTTCTGGCTTTTCTAATGTTTGATTGCGTTCCTGCTGTTAATTTACTATGTAATCATGCAGAATTTGGGTATATCCTATCAGGTATCAGCCTACATAAATGTTTCCCAAATTTCAAACCAACCATGTGACAATATTGTTGAATAAGCCCATTCAGATTGATCTGTGCTATTTCCTTTGTCATGCACACATTTTCTATTCATGTGTGAGGCCAAGGGGGTATCTATAGACAAGGGGTATACACACATGCATGTGTTAGGGTCAGCTTCCAAGTTCCTTTATAAATTTAGCCTCTCTCTCTCCTATGTTAAGGGTGAAAACTAAAAAGGGTTTTCTTTCCCACACATTTTTGGGAGTTGGGTATATATGGGGTAGAAGATTGCAGCAAAAATTGAAGGGAAGGAGCGTATGGGGGTTCCCAGGGAATCTTTAGGGACGGGTCAGGGAAACCAGGCACAGGAGGGCATTTCCCACTCAAACACTCCACAGGGTCGCCACCTCCACTCACGCCTCCAGAGCAGTTCCCTTTCACACAGGCACTCCTCAGGCTGCTGGATACGGGGAATATCTGCCTCACTTTCCCTATTGCTCCACACAGCCAGTAAGTACCAACCAAGTGCCTACCATGTGCCAGGCACTGTTGTAGGCTCGGTAAAAACACCACTGAACAAAGACCCTAGACTCCTGATTGGTGACAAATATTCCCAAAGATTACATTGTGGCCTTAAAGTAACTGCAACTATTGCCTACTGACTGACTGCTAAATGCCAGGCATTTTGCTTCTTTATTCACATACATGCAAAATCATCTCGTTTAATCTTCAAGACAATCCCTGGGCTATGTTAACACCATTAAGGGTAAAAAAAAAAAAAAAAGAAAAAAACAGAGGCTCAGAAGGGCTACATGCCTACACAAAGTCATTAAATGACAGAACTGTACCCATGCCAGGCCTGTCGGGCCCCACAGCCTTCAACTACATGCAGAGCAATAATTTTGCAGAGATTAACATGGATGTGCTGACTACCTGTGATTCATTCTCTAACTCCAGCAATCATTGTTAAATGGACAATTAATCTATATACTCTCACACGAACATTTTAAAAGTATTACATTCTATCACATAGGACTTCCCATTGTACGTACCATCCTAACTCCAGAGGGCTAATTTCTCTACTTAATGCCACAACACTGGGAAACTGCCCCTGTAAGGGTCCCACAGAGACACTGTCCAGCAAGCTGCCCTGCCCTCTACCAGCCTGGTCCCTGCCCTGCAGATGTTTAACCATCTCTGCCTGCTGGCTCTCCCCAGCAGGCTGATAAGATTCCCTAACAGACTGGTTACCATCATGATAAGAACAGCATTTGTTACTGATGGAACTAGCAAGGGACTGTCTGCCTGACACTGGCGAGGTTCTGTTCTCAGGCCAAGCCACGGGTGTCCAGCACAGCCCTACAACAGGTACAATGCAAAACGAGGGACATACACTGTCACACTGTACCAAACATGTAACCCCAAGTGTTTGCAAAAACTGAGCGTGACAGGAGGAGAGTTGACATATATATGAATTTTCTCTGAAAGCACTGTAAGAATGACTTGCCCTAGTTCCTCCAATATCCAGCACACACAGGGAAACATCTGAGGTGGATGGGAGCAAGGAGGGTGCGGTCAGTCAGACTCCAAACATCCAGGGATAAGCCTCGTGCATGTCCCCCACTAGGCTGACATGCAGCATGTGGCGATGTTTTGCTAAGGTGCACTCCACTGCCGCCACTGCCTTGACTGAAGGCCAGATAGCCCCCTTCCTAGCCGCATTTTCCACATGACACTGGATTTCTCCACTGGTTTCACATGAGGAGTCTGAAAAAGCCAAGACCTAGGTCTCCTTTCCAAATCCCACATTCCGGCCTGGTGATGGTACCTGACATCTCAGGGGTTCTCTGCTCACATCACTTCAGATACTAACCTCTTAGGGGGAAGAAAGTCAAACAACCTGATTCCTACAAAAAGCTGGCAAAAGAGTGACTATTAGAAATGCTGCCTCATTTCTCCTCTAGCAATTGAGTCATTTGCATGTTTTCACAGAAAATGAAAATAGTTATCAGGAAAAAAGAAACAACAGTATTTGTTTAAGGGAGGACGACCCTCAATAAAATCTAGAAATTGTATTTTGATTTTATCTCCAAATGGAAGCTCTCCCTGCAGATGGCAGAACATCATAGCACATGGCAATTAAGCAAATTCTAAATCCATCCTGCCAAAGATTATCTACCACTTTGTCTAACTGATCACAACTAAATGTAATATAAATCAATCCCTCCTTTCAACACTGCCTCAACCCAAGCACAAGGTTCTGCAATGAAAGTAGGCAGGATGGAGTGTACTGATCAGTAAGATTAATTCTGAAATAAAACCCTACAATCTGCCTCTCTCTCTCTCGTCAGGCCTCAGGGGAAGATGCTACAGGAAGGGCCTCCACCCACCCCCGTCTGTGGATCCTGGTCATCCCTCACAAACTTTGTCCCTGAACAACATACAAATCTCCCATATTCTACCCTTTCTCCTGTATGTTTCTCTGTGCAGCTCCTTAAATAAACACAGCCTTTCTTAAATCAGTCACAGGATGGTCTACCCCATCATCCTGCATAAGTTAAATATGTTTTGCAAAAATACAAATGTACCTCTGTCCTTAAGTCTAATAATGGATACTTCTACTCTACACGACACTGAGTTCTGCAAAGTCATGAGAGCCTTCATTACTGTAGCTTAGAAAGCTGGCAGATGCCCACACACACAGGGCCTAAGCAGCCAGCACATGCCTAATTCCCCAGTCCTAGAAAGTAAAGGAGGATTCAGATAGGGCCAGCTTACGAATGGGGATGTAAACACATTTTTCCACAGAAGTCACTGGACCGCAAGGATGAGGTCCATGAGTTAGTCCCCAAAGTTCTTTTGTTCATTACATCTCTGAAGAACCCAGCCATGCCTGCCCACTATGGGGATTGTCCTCAGACATCCAACCAGGGACAATGCCACAAGCAGCCCACAGTTCCCACTGGGCCCCAGCCACCCCTGTAGTACTGACCACTGAACAGGGCAACACAGGGTCAAGTCCAACCTGGTTCTAGCCCCACTAGGCCTCAACTTCTCCTTCTGTAAAATGCAGCTAGCAACACCTAATTCAGGATGTTATGGAGAGAGCAAATGTGATGACTGCACAGGGCCTCCCATGTAATTATCTACTTGCCCCTTTCCCAAAAAGCAGCCTGTCTTGAGTACCTGCCGTCTCCTGCTACCAAATTATTCTTGCTTCCCTTCCTGGGTTACCCAACTTATTGGCTGTCTTTACCGTTTCCCACTCCTCTCTCCACCTGAGTGGCAGCTCAGTTCAGGGAGTGTGCACTGGAGAAGGAACTGACAGATCTGGCCTCAACTCTAGGTGTCCCGTTTCCTCATCTGGCAAAGCTCACCCCTTATCTGAACTTCATCCCCACCCACTCTGTCACTCATCCAGCTAAATCTTCCCTGTTCTTCCAGATTTTGCAGGAAGCTCCCCGACAAACATACACCCTACTCCCTGTCCCCTCTCCACACAACAGTCTGAATTAGGGGTTCCTCCTTCATATTCCAACAAGCCTTGTACATGCCTCTGGAGAAATTAATGCATTCTATTTTAAAGTATATGTCCCCTCTCTAAGTGCTAAGTTTGAGGGTGGGGGATAGATGGTGGGCACGTGCTGTAATTTTATTGTCAACTTCCAATGCAGCAAACCTTCAAAACACATTTGATGTTGCCATAGATAATGACAACAATGTTCTGCCTGTCCTACCTGCCTGGGAGGTAGTGGATGAAGAATGGGAGGAAGGAGAGCCAGGGACAGAGTAGAGATACAAGTTTAAATAACTATATGAAAGAACTCAGCCAACTATTAATTGCTATGCAATTAATATAGTTTTCTCCAGCAGGTCAGTGAAAAAGACAAATTTGCAATTCCATGCTTTTTTCTTTAGACATGGGTTTAATTCCTGAGCCATAACCCCAGTATAATACACTTACATAAACTAAAAATCTGATGCAAGGTAGAAAAGTCTTTCAATCCTAGATACCTTCATTCAAGAATCCTTCCTATAAGATAATTTCAACTTAAGGGAAGATCTACACATCCTGAAACTCCCAAGCATATGAAGACCTAGCCTCTAAGGGAAAGGCACATTCCCACTCAAGGGCTTTTTCCTTCTCATTTTTCAATTAGGTCAAATCCCTCTACTTTATATCCAGAGCACCACACTGCTCTCCTGCATGGTACCCAGTGCTGTTGCAATCGTACACTTGTGCTTTTAATGAGATTTAAAACAGCAGGGGCCAAGCATGGCTTTATACACTACAGTGTTCTTAGTGCCCAGTCCAGGACTCAGGGCATGTAGCAGAGACTCAAAAGGATCTCTGGAAAGAATGGAAAGGTAGATGGATGGATAGATGATGATGGGTAATGCTGGAAATACCGAAGTGAACCCGTAAGGTAAGATTCTGCGCAGAACACTGGAGCAAACTTGAACATAAGTAGGCATCTCTCCTGACCTTGATTTGTTTATATTCTGATTCCCTAAGTACTTTCTTACATAGTGATCATCAAAGTTCCATTAACATGTCCTTCACTGCTTCCATATTATGTCAAATGTATTTCCATTCCCTTCAGTATTTATTAAAACACTTGAAAAGGGCAGTTCTGTAGTTTGACTTTCAAAACCATTAATTATCTATTTCTGCCTTTTCCCCAAAGGCAGCCTGTTCTCTGGCACTTGCTGCCTCTTGATATGAAAACCCTCTTTCTTCCTGGATACCCCACTCCACGTGTGCAGTATCTTTACCTTTTCTTTCAGGAGCCAATTTTGTTCTTATCTGAGTCTCTACTCCATTTCCCACATGATATCTTCCTAAAGACTGATCTCTGATCTTCCATCCCTCTAGGAAGTTCACGGACCCTATGACTTTAGCCTTTCAGATTTTTAAAAAGACGAATCACTAGTTGGATGGTCAAGTTTCTACATTTAAGAAGGCTTGCCTTTGTCTTCTAGATCTATCATCTTCATAAATTTTCTCAGTTGGTACAACATTCCCTGTAAGAAGCCACCCATTCTATACTCGAGATGGCTCTTTGAAACAGTATTAATAGCTACTGTAAATTAAATTTAACCTGTCTTAATACACTCAATGCCGAGGTCTTCCCTTGCCAGGTAAACCAGGCAAATGGGCAATCAGCCCCTTCAGGAAACACCAGCTCCTCACTTCCTTAGAGTGTCTGGGGTGAATGTGCGCAACCGCTCAGATGTTTTGACTCAGTGGCTACGAAGTTGTGTTAGCAACACTATAAATGACAGGAGTCTCTCTCTGCACAAGTGTCTTGCTTTTTTGGTTTGGAGTTTTAGTGGAGTTTCTTGTGGGAGAGGTTGTACGGATATACTGCAACTTAACAAAATCACAGCAAAAAGCAAACAAAGATGCGAAATAGGACTCTTTATTTTGGCGGGGTAGGGAGGCTTCTGTTCTACAGCCAATGAAAAGTAGTCATTTTTTAAATCCTCCTTAGGCCATTTTCAGTTTTGTTGGCTAGCCAGCCGTAAATGCACAACTTGATATTCCGTAAACAAATCTGTCAGAGAGATTTCCCCAGATAAGCGGCAGAGTTCTGCAAATTTGCAGATGCACACAACTGCAAACATCAGCACCACTGCTGTTGTTGCTGGCAAAGTGACAACAGAAGCCCTGTTTCCAGCTGATGGCCCATTATCGCTTGGGCTTCCAAGATCCTGCCTGCTTTCCCAGTGGCTCTATCTGTTCAGCCAAGCGCCAGGCCCTCGGAGACACCCAGTCTGACCAGCTATGAACTGCAGTCTCAGGATGTGTCAGACTGAGCATGCATCCCACATTGTTGGCTGCATTTGGGCCTCACCACTGCTAAAAAAGATTTTATGCACAATCTGGGACTTCCCTACATATGCAGCCATCCGTTTACTCAAACAATACTTAGTGTGCCTAAATGTGCAATGTGTCCAGCTTTGCAAGGCAGCAGTCTTCAAACTGGAGCACACAGACACATTTCAAAGGTGCTCATTTTAAGGGAATTAGTTTACAGAACCTTATATTCTATTTGTACTTTTTCCTAAAATTGTTCTGCCTGGGAACATCTTTTCTCTCACAACTACCCTTCTTCTGTTTCTTAAAGAGAAGAATACCCCTCACACATCCTGAATCTTTCCAGGGTACATAGATGTGCGGTATAAAACCTTCCAGTGACAATCATCAGAGAAACGCAAATCAAAACCACAATGAGATACCATCTCATGCCAGTCAGAATGGTGATTATTAAAGTCAAGAAACAACAGATACTGGCAGGGCTGTGGAGAAATAGGAACGCTTTTACACTGTTGGTGGGAATGCAAATTACTTCAACTATTGTGGAAGACAGGATGGTGATCCCTCAAAGACCTAGAACCAAACATACCATTTGACCCAGCAATCCCATTACTAGTATATACCCAAAGGAATATAAATCATTCTATTACAAAGATACATGCATGTGTATGTTCAGTACGGGACTATTCACAATAGCAAAGACATGGAATCAACCCAAATGCCCATCAATGATAGACTGGATAAAGAAAATGTGGTACATATACACCATGGAATACTATGCAGCCATAAAAAGGAATGAGATCATGTCCTTTGCAGGGACATGGGTGGAGCTGGAAGCCATTATCCTCAGAAAACTAACACAGGAACAGAAAACCAAACACCACATGTTCTCACTTATAAGTGGGAGCTGAACAATGAGAACATACAGACACAGGGAGGGGAACGACACACGCTGGGGCCTGTCAGTAGTGGGGCAGTCTAGGGGGAGGGAGAGCGTCAGGATAAATAGCTAATGCATGCTGGGCTTAATACCCAGGTGATGGGTTGACAGATGCAGCAAACCACCATTGCACACGTTTACTTATGTAACAAACCTGCACATCCTGCACATGTATCCTGGAACTTAAAATTTAATTTAATTTAAAAAAATGACTAGTGCCTGTGAGATGATAGAATTATGCTACTAAAGAATAATCTATTAAAATAAAAAAAAAACCTTCCAGTGACAAAAGCACAATTCGTATCGGCATATCAATAAAAACTGGTATATTTATCTGTTGGGATCTAACCAAAAAAGAATGAGTCTACTTTATTTGGCACAGAGGGAATTACTGCAGGGAACTGACTAAACCAATGAAGGAAGAGCTGGTAAACCAGCTGGGAACCTCGGAGAAACACCAAGATAAGTAAGGGCTGGAAGCTAGCACCACCCCTGAGCTAAAGGGACAAAAGGAGGGGATGTGTCACCAGAGCATCCCCAGGAGGGAGATGGAACCACCATGAGCCCATCCAGTGGGAGCTAGAACTGCCAGGATACTAAGCTGCTACTGGACACGCCACGGAAGTCAGAGAGTGGGAGGGAAGACATTCTCTGGCTCCTCCCACTGAGAGCCTCTCAAATTACCCAGTGATCAGATTCTACTGGCTAGACTGAAAAGCGGAATATAGCTGGTTTTATTTCTTAAATGTCAATGTTTACAACAACCTAGGGATTACTTTGTAACTTTTAAAATTTATGATAAACCAAAGGAACTTTTAAAAATGGGCGGGTATATATTATTTTTCAAGGCTTTTTAAGAGGTACATGAGCAAAAGTTTAAAGATCTCTGTGCTGGGAAATACAAAGATAGAGAAGAGCTATCCCTCCCTCAATGTGTTCATGGACTAACAACGCAGAGGGGAAAAGGCAAAACTGAACGGTGGTTCCTGAGAGGGCTTCACATTCAGACAACCCTTATAAATCTTCTGGGAGGCAAGGATTGTTGTCTCTGTTTTACAGATGTGGGAACAGAATCTCAGCAGGTCATTAAGCTGCCCAAGGCCAAGTTTGTAAGCAACATAACTAGAAGTAAAAATCAGACATCTTTAGTTCCACAATTTCTTGTGGAGAGAAATGACTTCCTGGTTTCAGATGCACAGAAGCAGCATCCTTATAAAATATTCCCTAAAGGAGTGTTTCCCAGACTGTAATGTGCATACAAATGACCTGGGATTCTTGTTGAGATGCAGATTATGATTCCAGAGGTCTAGGGTAAGTCTTGAGATTCTGCATCTCCGAAAGGTTCCCAGCTGATGCCTCATTTGCAGACCACGCTTTGAATAGCAAGTCCCTCAAGCAGTGGACACTAAGCTTTCTTGAGTGGACACCCCTAACTGTAAGAAGCTTTGAGCATGCATCCCCCAATACAAGTGTACTTGTTTATTCATGCATTGTAGATTACATGTATTCTGACCAGTAACTACTATAACAAGCCATCCTATACAGATAGCACAAGATACACTGTTATAATACTAGCTATGAATCCATATTTCAAATAATCTTCTTGATGATCTTGAACTCCTTGGCCAACTTCTTATATAGTAGTATTAAGTTATCATCTGTTTTTATTTGGCTAAGGCAATTCTCACACAAACAGTAGCAGAAGGAATATAAATTCTGCCACCTCTTTGATGCTCATTTGCACTTTTACTTTTTAACATGATGGTCAATCTCTGGTTTTTAAGCCACTTCTGTATTTTGTGAAGGTCAATTTGGTTATAACTAGATAATGTAATTTGTAAATCTACTTAATCCCATACACATATGCAGCAAAAAGGACAAGGGTATGAAGGTGTCACTGTTTCCACTCCACACAATGGAACTTCCACCAGCTGCCTCAAGACACCTCGGTTCAGAGCCTTACAGGTTGCCCAAGTGAGGCCATCTGTGTCAGTCCTTATAGCAAAATATAATAAAACCTTAGTTTCTGTCTCATCAGCCACCCCCAGCAGAATTTTAGGAGCCTCCAAGGCATCCACTCCGGCCACTGCCGTTCTAGAGAAGAGGAATATGTAACCAGTAGGAACATGGAGAACAAGAGATCACTTTAACAATTCAATGTGCTGCTGCTTTCAGGATCAATACATTTTCATAAAGTTAACAAATATATCATCAGTGGAGAAAACATTTTAGATGGGACTTTTTACCTCTTGAAAATTAAACTCCCCGCCTACCACACATTCATACATTGAACTGTCCCCTCCCTTTCCCACTTTTCGAGATTTAAATCTCTTCCAACCAGATCCAACATGAAGGCATTTAAGACAACAGAACATTTAAGTAACTGTTGATTAGAATACAATCTCAGACCTTTTTCAGATCATCAGATGCCATCCATCCATAGGAATCTTGCATGAAAGTTTTTTCCAAGGAATGAATGAATGAATGAATGTATGTATGTATGTATGTATGTATTTAAGACAGAGGCTCGCTATGTATGTATGTATGTATGTATGTATGTATTTAAGACAGAGGCTCGCTCTGTCACCCAGGATGTATGTATGTATGTACGTATTTAAGATAGAGGCTCGCTCTGTCACCCAGGATGGAGTGCAGTGGCGTGATCTGCATCCCAGGTTCAAGCAATTCTCCCTCCTCAGCCTCCGGAGTAGCTGGAACTACATGGGTGTGCCACCACACCTGGCTAATTTTTGTATTTTTAGTGGAAACGGGGTTTCACTATGTTGCCCAGGCTGATCTCGAACTCCTGACTTCAGGTGATCCACCCACCTCGACCTCCCAAAGTGCTGGGATTATGGGCATGAGTCATTGTGCCCAGCCTTTTTCCAAGGAATTTTAAAATTCTGTAAGTTAGTGTTGCTCAGAAACAAATATATTTTTAGCCTCTCAAAATAGAGTCCTGGAAGACCATTAGCCTCCCTTTTCACAAACTGTTGAAGACAGACCTCCCAGCTACTGTCCCACCATGTCTGTATTAGTTTCACTCACTTTTTTTTCTAACAGATATTTAATGAGTGCCTCCTGTATACCAGACCCCATCCAAGGTGTGGGGAAATAACGGAGAATAAGAGCCATACAGTCATCCTCCCAGAGCTTCCAATCCAACTGGAGAGACAGATGAACAAAGGAGTATGTAATGTACGGAGAATGCTCTGAAGAAAATAAGTCAGAATAAAGAGGGCAGGGAACACAGAGGGGCACCAGATAGTGTGATCAGGTGAGGCCCCTCTGAGGACGGACATTTGAGCAGGTGGAGAAGAGCCAGCCCTGTGCTAAATAGGAGGGAGTAATCCTGCAAGCAGAGGGCACAGCAAGTGCAACCCCTGAGACAGGAAAGTGACTGAAGGTCTAAGAACAGCAAGGAGGCATCAGGAGCGAGGGGGAGGGAGATAGATGTGGGGTTCAAGTCCCGGTGTGATGGAAAGCAAGTGTGAACATGAGAGTGCTATCATCTCATTTAGGTTTTAAAGACTCACGCTGGCTACTGTGTGGAGAGTAGACTCCAGGAGGGAAGAGTGGAAACAGCACACACCTACAATGCCACCCGCTCCAGGAAGCGGTGCCCCAGGCCAAGCTGGGCGCTAAGTCCTGCTCAAGTGCTCCTACCCACTCAGATACATCCCACAGGGCCGGGGCGGAAACTGACACTTCGGGGATCCTCACTTGCACAAGCCCCTTCAACATACACATTCATCTCTCTACCAGGTGCTCCTTTAGTAATTTTGTATATTTTTTAAGGAGGGCCTCTGGAACTGTGCGTGCTTCAGGACCCTGGTCAGAGTCCTTGTCAGCAGGTACCAGAAGTACCGGATCTATACTCATCTATATTTCCTCTTAGACTCTAAGTGCCTGGAGGGCAAGAACCATATCATATATATCTTCGTATCTCTGACATCTGCATAGTGCCCACTATGTTGTAGTCACTCAGTACATGTTTTCTTAATTATTTGCATATACATGTGATGATTTGTTTTTGAAACAGGTACTCTGATTCCTTTTCTTTGTAGATCAGCCAATGCCATGGCTTTGGGAACCACTGGTCACTTACAATGAATTCCATCACGGTCAATGGACAAATGTATGTGCTTACATAATGGCATTTAAAAACATAATTTTGAATGTTTCAGAATCACCAGGCCTGCATTTGAATTATGTGAATGTTACAGATCTCTTATTTCTCTTAGGTCCACTCCAGATATTTTTATCACTTATCTCTACTTCCTATACCAACATAAGTAAAGGCTTTACTGCTAAGAAACAAGACAAAATAGAGCATAGAGACAGCCCTCAGAGACACCTCAAAGCCTCACAGAACAAACAGCTTCAGGCAAGAACAAGCTTCCATCCTTTTCAGAATATGTTTTAACTTGCAAATAAATGATCATCCTCATTTAACAGCGATATTCCCCTCCCTTCTGGCAAACGAGAGATACACTCAGCTGCACACAAAAAGGGGAAATTTTCATCTAAAAATAAATGAAACCATGGTAAACAGGCAACTGAATTCTGAATGCAAAAATCAAGGTAAATTTTCTCTACCCAATGATCTCATATGAATAGAAAACAAGTGATTGTAATAAGAACAGGTATAATAATGAAATTTTATACCCACCATGAGATTTTAATTTTAATATATCTGTCTGAGTTTTGCTAGAAAATGAATCAACTGTCTAAAGACCAGTCTCCAGGATGGTTTAGAGACATCCTTAAGACATCCTGCACAAAGAATGAAAGTTCTCTGTATCAAAATTAAACTTCATTTTCACAAGTCCCTTCTCCCTCTACTGTTTAACACCTTAATGTTAAGCATACCCTCTGGGCAATTTATGTTTTTAATATTGCTCTTGTAAATAGAGTTGATCAGAACTCACTGCTGCTGGGAATTCTACACAATATTGCAAAGTTCTGGGTTGAATCTAGAGAGAGGGTGCCTGGTGAGACTGACAGAATGCCTAGCCCAGCAGGGCTGTCGCTGGCCAATTAGCCAAGCTTGGCCCCTCTCCCTGAACTTGCCACGAGCCAAGATCAGAGCACAACAAGAGACACACACACTTTCCATGTTGTATCTGAACCCTGAGAAAACAGGGCTGTCCAAAAACTGGGATGGGGCCCTATACAGAGGGGAATGTATCTGTCTAATGTCAGGATGACATTTACATTTTTGTCTATTTCTTGAGTTTGCGGACAATATAAAAGTACTCCTTCAGGTCTCTTTCTTTGTCCAGGTAAGTACTATCAGAACCTTCAAAGGACCTTATACCAACGAGCAGACTGTTGTGTACAGCCTGTGACAGGCGTCCATCCAGTGGGCCCTGATGAACCAAAGGGAGATGCTCTCCCATCCTTACGGCCTGTTCCACCAACCATGAAAAGCTGCATTTGTCCCATTCATCGTTTCGAAGCACCTGAGGTTTCTATAGAATGGAATCTGATAAAACATGACACTACCTTGTTTCCTGGATTTGGAGGGGGTAAGAGAGGGCCAAATAAGATTGTTAAAGACTTTTTATGCAGGAAAAACTTGGGAAGGGTTTCATACAGGCTGCTGAACTTGAGCTGAGTCTTGGAAAACTCAGAGGTAGAGAGGAGAGGGAAAACAGCATTCTAGACAGAAGAACGTCATGGGCAATGAGAGAGAGGCAGCACAAGGCATGTTTAGAGGAGAAGCAGGAAAGTCTGGCTGGAGCAAAGGGTTCAAGCAGGAAAACGGTGAGAGAGAAATTGGGAAGTCAAGCACTTGGCTTTCCCAGCAAAGCCAGCACAGATGGCGTCCATGGGGCAGTGCAAGGTAATTTCTGAGCTGGCTGTAGTTATATCTGTCTGTGCCCCTAGCCTCAGGTAGTGCTGCTGTGAAGCTCAGTTTCTAGTTCCTCTAAGGACTCTGTATGATGCCCACTTATTTTCCTATTAGAGGTTTGTGTTGAGTTTGCTTTTTGGTGCAGCTGTTTGCTTAGAGCATATTCCTCTGTGGCTGTAGACCAACTGGGCTTTCATGAACTTCTGCTGTGTTTTTGCCTGTTCAGCTCTGCAAAAAAGCTGATGCTAGAGTTGATAACTTTCTATCTTCTCCCTCTTAGAGATCCAGGTGTCTTATTTTTACTGACCTAACACTTGCTTTGAATCTTTGAAATAACTCTCATAAACTCCGGCACATATTTTCCATTTATCTAACTCTGAAAGTACAAGAGGAGTGTTTGGAAAACAAATAAAATGCTACTATCTTCAGGAATATATGCACTTATGCATTTAACAAACAAATACATATGAATTGTGGACTAGGTTACAGGGTCTGTGCTAGACACTGGGGATACATTAGTAAAGCTCTCCAAAACATGCTAAGTGATCATCGAAACTATTCATCTGATGGATTAAATCATAACAAGGCTGTTATAAGAAGACCATGCAGCAATATAGGCTATTCATCCAGACTGGGGTTTCTCAACTCTGGCACTACTGGCATTTGGGGTGGTAAGATCCTTTGTGGGGAACTATCCTATGCATTACAGGATGATGAGCAGCATCCTTGGCCTTTATCTGTTAGATGCTAGTGGCACAGTGTCCCCAGTTATGACAGCCAAAAATGTCTCCAGACATTGCCAAATGTCCACTGGGAGAGTGGGCAAATCCTTGTAGGTTGACATCGAGACCATTCGAGCCAAAAATATCTCCTCGTCAACAGCAGCGGGATTGGCAGGGAATAGGGTGGGGCTAGAAATATCAATTATTATTATAAAGTGATAACGGGAATGTTTACTGAAAGACTCTTCTAAGTTAATTTTCTTTGAAACTCAATAATCACACCCCTTGTTACTGAAAATACTTCTGAAATATTCATCTCTCTTCCTACCACACTAGATACCACTCACACACCAGGTACCACTAACATTCCAACAAGTTTGTTTTTATTATTTATCGTATAATGTAATCCTTTTGACTATTATCATTCTTAGGGTATCTAACACTATTTTTCAGAACAGCAATTATTGTCATACAATACTACAGATATAAAACATCACAATCAAACCAATATTGGCTGACCCCAATACATATGAACCATGAGTGGCTTAGGAAGGATGGAGAAAAGGGGCTTGTGAGTCCCACCTCTGTGTTTCCCCATTAACATTCCTTTAAACTATTTTTTTGAAGTTGTTTGTATATTGGGCTATACCAATAGATAGTAAATTCTTGGAAAGATAGTAAATTCTTGGAAAGCAGAAACCAAAGTTTATTCCTTTTGACGTTCTCAGCATCTGGCACAGTGATTATCACAAAGCAGGCATTCAATATATATATATATATCCCTGAACTAGAAAAGGAGGGTGTGACAGGAAATGTGGATAAAACATAGAGTGTGGGACAGGTCTTATATTCCTGCTAAGAAATCGGGGCATTATCCTGCAGATAAGTGTATAGTGAGGTCAGATGACAGGAGGGCTGAGCCTGGCCAAGGCAGAAAGCCCTGGTAAAAGCCCACCTGTGACAGTGAATAGGCCTAGCTACTCCCCTCCTTCCCGCTCTCCTCCCAAGTCTGAGCTTTGCATAACGTTGGCGCCCAGAGGCTGCATCTATGTGAGGTCCATCCAGCATCAGGAAGTATAACTCTGAGACAGCATCAGTCTTCAGGGCTGCTGCATGGTTTCCTTGGACAGTGCCCTAGCAAGACTTGAGACCAGCCAGGAGATGGGCCCGGGAGGTGCTGAAAAAGCCAAGATGAAACAAAGTCTAGGAAGATGCTATCAAGAGAGTCACAGATGGAAGAACTAGGCCACACAGGAAAGGAAATGAGGCCTTCCCTGCAAAACCACCCTGCCAACTCCTTATCAATTTGCCAGAGCCACAACAAGACAGAGGATGCAGCGGAAATTGATAGGCAAGGGGGAGAGGTACAAAATCACAATAAGTTATCCTCAGTGTCCTCTAGACGAATCCAGGCCTGACATCCCACTGAGCCCCATTTCTAGAGATCCTCTTGCCTTTGCCTTTGGACTACTCCCCTCCCTCTTCCTTTGCACTGAGAAATCCAAAATCAGAGCTCCTATGCCCTGTGTCCCTCTATCTGGGAGGCAAAAACTTATACTCCACCCTCATCCTCACCTTCTCATTTGCACTGGAACCAAGAAGAATCCAAGGAACCAAAAAAAAACCTCAAGTGATATTGACTTTATTGTCAGAAACTCTATATTGTTCATGCCTATTTGAATATCTTCCCACTTTGTCAAAAATAATTACCTTAGGTGATTTTCTGGCAGGCTTCTCTTGCCATCCTAAATACAATACAGCACACTGGCTCAGCAGGAACCTGACGAGGACATGAACTCTTCCACATCACCCCCAATTAAAACTATGAGAACCACAAACAATGAACCCAGCCCTCTGTACTTTGCTCAGAAAATCCTCATTGATTCACCAAGTATTTATGGATCCCCATTACGTGTAAGACACTTTGCCAAATAATATTGGGAATGAATAAGACATGGATTACACCACTGAAGAAGCATACAGCCCAGTAAGGAAATAATGTCTGTTCACAAATAACTATAATACAAGGTACAGGGATGCATGAGGTATGAAAAATCGCGACGGAGCTAGGACAAATTAGTGAGTTTCATAGACTATCAATTTTGTTATGTTTGCCTTTGAGAAGGAAGATGAGTCCTGATACCCTCTTCTATTAAGATTCATTGTTTCTTTAAGAGGGCATTTTCTTCCTAAATGAAAGACTACTTTGTTTTCTGAATGCATATACAAGAACTGCTTCTACATGAAGCAGAAGAAAACATGAGCTCTTCTGACAAGCAGTCTATTAAAAACGCACTGTAAGTGGCATATTATTTGCACATCTATAATAGTCTGTGGAGATTAACCTGCCCTGATAATTTCTCCTAAAGAGGAAAGAAGAAAACTACAACTAAAACATTTAAAAGACACACACAGCTTTTGACTTGATGGACTGAGAAGTGTATCTGTATGTCCTGGTGGATGTTAAAACGCTTGAGTGAACTGAAATGCCTCTTAGAACTTATAATTAGCCAAGTGTTTTCAATATAATTCTTTCGTGTTCTTTAGTTATTACAGAGACCTGACGATTCCTTTAAACTCCAAAGAGAGAGCTGCCCTGGATTGGGAGACCTCAAAAACTTAGTTTAGATTTCCCCCGTGGTCTCTCACGTGGGTTCCATATTTAAGAAATGTTCGTTCATTAACAAACTAGTTCAGATCAGTGCAGTTATGTAAATGCCTAAACACGATCCACAGTGCCAGGCTATAACTCAAGCAGCTCTACTTTCTTACAGGACTCTGTTTAATATGCCCTATTCTGAAGGAGGAATATATATATATATATATATTTTTTTTTTAAGAAAAAGACTGCATATATGTTTTTAAGAAAAGCAGTTAAATTAGCAAGTCTAGTAATGTCAAGTTCTTAAAGGAGACTTAAATGAGGCTTCATTTGGAAGTGAGAAGCAACATTTACTTTGTGGCAGGCACTGTTATATTATTGAGTGCTCTCCCTTCTCATTTCATGTAATCCTTACAGAGCTGCAAGCCAGGTACCATCCCCTTTTAAGGTAAGGAAACTGTAACATAAGTAAAGTCACACACTAAAAAATGCCAGAGCTGAGACATGACCCAGAGTGTCACCAAAGTCTACATCGTCCTTCTTTGTGGCTATCTGATGACTTACGTACCCTCTTATTCTGAGCAACATGTATAGCAAGTTGTCTAGGTTAAAAAAAAAAAACAAACAAAACAGAGAGGGAACATAACAGGGACCTCTACCACGAAGCCAGTCCTTCCATTAAATAAGTATTACACCATAAAGGATAATTTTTTTCCTTCCAATTTCTTAAATGAAGTGTCTCTCCTTGATCTCTCAATATGTCTCTGTGCTGCTGAAAGAATAAGCAAAAGACTAGGTAAATTTGTTTTCCTTTGAGATGAAAGAAAAAGAATTCTACTTCCCAGAGACACAAGCTTCAAATGGCTTCATTCATTCCAGAAACATTTCCTTAGTGTCCAATGCATGTTAGGCATTTATTGGTCAAAGTGTCAGGAAAATGGTAGTGAATAAACAGACAAAATCCCCACCCTTGTGAAGTTTACATTCTAGTGACAAGTGAAATTTACAGCAGAAAGATTAGAAAATGTTGCTAGCCAGGAGCGGTGGCTCACGCCTGTTACCCCAGTGCTTTGGGAGGCGGAGGCAGAAGGATGGTTGTTTGAGATCAGCTTGAGCAACACAGCAAGATGCCATCTCTACAAAAATTTAATAAAAAAAAAACTGGCCAGGCCTGGTGACACTTGCCTATAGTCTTAGCTTCAAAAGCCTGAGATGGGAGGACTGCTTGAGCTCAGGAGTTCAAGGTTACAGTGAGCTATGATCACACCATCACACTCCAGCCTGGGTGATAAGGTGAAATCCTGTCTCTAAAAAATAAATTAATTAACAAGTAAATTAAATTAAAATTTTAAAAAAGAAAATGCTGGCCAGGCATGGTGGCTCATGCCTGTAATCTCAACACTCTGGGGAGCCAAGGCAGACAGATCTCCTGAGCTCGAGTTCGAGACCACCCTGGGCAACATGGGTGAAACCCTGTCTCTACTAAAATACAAAAAAATTAGATGGGTGTGGTGGCGTGCGCCTGTAGTCCCTGCTCCTCAGGAGGCTGAGGCATGAGAATTACCTGAGCCTAGGAGGCGGAGGTTGCAGTGAGCCTAGATCATGCCACTGCACTCCAGCTTGGGCTACAGAGTTAGACTCCGTCTCTCTCTCTCTCACACACACACATACACACACACACACACACACACTCACACACAAATGCTGCAGACCCCTTCCTCCCTCCCTATGTGCCAAAGCTGCTCCCCAAGCCATGTGGGGTGGACGAGTACTTCTGAAAAGGCCTTTCTCCTATCCTGGCATCTAAGAGAAATATCCCCATATTAGCAACTGAACATTAAATACACACACACGCACACATGCGCGCACACACACACACAGCATTTTAAAAATCTGGACGCTAAGTACAATGAATAACAACTACATAAATATGACAAAGAATTAAATACAAAATCCCTTTCAGGCAAAAGCAGACATTAAAAAGCCATTTTTAAAATGTCATTTAATTCATTCTCCTATCTCCTAGACAAAACCAAACTCAACCTTCAAAAGAACTATAAATGATCTCCCTATGCAAACTCCCCAGCTTCTGCCCCAGGAAATCACGACCAAATGGCTGATGTGAGCTCAGGTTCTCAGTGCTTCTACAAGGAGAGGGCAGAAATCCACATTGTATTAAGAATGTGCACATTGAAGCAATAACTCATACAACATTTGAATAATTACCTATTCATTTTGAATTATTCTGTAATTCCTGTGATAATTTCAAATATGATGAACTCCTTTGACATAATATGAGTATCACAGGAACTTTTCCAGGATTCTCATTGTAATTCCTCATTAACTGGATGCATGTTCAAATATTACACAGCTCCCCGCTATCTGCTTCTAATAGCAGAAGCAAAGCCATTTCGTTTGCCTACTGGCATGCTTACCCAGTTAATTTCCAAAGACGACACAGTGCCAGCATGACCCATCCCCCGTGTGTGCCCTGATGACCTAGTTTAATAAAATCTGGCCTCATATCAAACAGATCACAGGTTTAATTCCTGGCTACAGCAGCTACATAACAGTACATACAAGAGATTGGTGCAGGGTAAATTGCACAGTCTTATGCATCATTTAATAAAGGACAACAAAGAAGCTTATATGGTTTCTATCATCTTAAGAGAATTGCCCATGTGACATTTACTGAATCCACCAGTCCCTTTATCCCAATAACCAACATACTAAAATTCTGGGCTCTGGATCTATGAATTTAAATATTAACATGTGTTTGGTCTTTTTTCTCCTCCTGTGTTTTCTGCCTAAGGAAAAAGATGAATTAGGGAAAGGATTAACCTTACCCTGCCTCAAAAAACAGACTTTGTGACCCCGGTGCTTCCAATCTATTCTTGAGGATAATTTTAAAGCAGAAAAATAAGATGTACACACCGCTGGGTTCCTTCACATTCTCGAAATCTGAGGATATTTCAATGATATAGATACTTCTGAATCACATGTAGAAAAAAAAAATAACCTTCAGGAATCTCTCAGGTCTCTGGGAAACCAATTGCAACCAACAATCCCCTCACATCTCATTATGTGGCACAAATTTAGTTCTAGGATTCCCCTGGCCTTGTTCAGCTGGTGTCCTCTAATGATAGAATTCTCTGCTCAATTTTAAAGCAGCTCTGGGGGATGAGACAGGCTGGTCTAAAATGCATAGTATTTGAGAAATGAAAAAGACATTGAAGAGTAGAGCCAGTCCGGATCCAAGGAGACTGGAAAGCCTAGTGGCAACAGGCATGTCTGGCTACATTAGCTCCATCCTTCACCTCTCAGAGCTGTAAAATAAGAGCCATGGCAGCACCTGTCCCAGAGGGGGTTCTAAGGAGCCACTGAGATAATGAGTGTTGGGCTCAGCACAGTACTGAACTAGGAGCACCCACTGTATGTGGCTGCTACTAGCATCTGCACAGGGTAAAGTCATTCCATCCCATTAAGCACACATCAAGCACATGGTGCTCTATACCTAATCTAACATTCGTTGCAGGAAAACCCACTAACTCCCCTTTTTCAAAAGCTATGCTATCCTAAATCTCTCTTGCTGCAGAGTATATACATCTTTACAGAATCATCATAAAGGATCTCTTCTTTAAAATAATGAGGACAACTATGTGGACCATACAGCGATAAATTATTTCAATCCAAAAATCATGAAGTTTCAGGACAGTGAGAATACCAGATCATCATCAAACCTATCATTCTGTTACATTTTAATATTCATTAAGCCAGTGTTTTCACAAATATTCCGTCTGTGTTTTCTAATAAGGAATATCATTCTCTCTACTGAAAGATAAGGAAACATGAAACTCAAAATTATTAGCTCAGTATCACAGCTGCCAAACATCAGATCCAAAGTGTCTTCATATTCTCACTCCCCTTGGTGTTCCACAGTCAAGGATAATGTCCACAAAGTAGAACAGACAGCTAAACAACTGCAGGGGTGGGAGGAATTAACTGATCTAAGTCTTCTTTATCTGGTTTCCCTTTTTCCTTCTGCTTCCTCCACTCATTAAAAAAAAAATCCACATTTTTTTCTTCAAAACATAGATCATTTGTGTGTTGGGGGAGCAGAGGAGAGGTCGTTTTAGATGTAAACAACACTGGGGCCTTTTGCACTAAATCTCATGAATGGTGTTTGTAATCGATCATGTTTCTGTGCTTCTGTATTCAGAGTATCAAATCCTCCACCATACACATAGAGGGGAATGGGGGAGAAGGGGGTAAATGATACAATAAGAAAACAAACTTTGGCCGGGCGCGGTGGCTCACGCCTGTAATCCCAGCAATTTGGGAGGCCAAGGCGGGCAGATCATGAGGTCAAGAGATCGAGGCCATCCTGGCCAACATGGCGAAACCTCGTCTCTACTAAAAATACAAAATCTAGCCAGGCGTGGTGGCACGCATCTGTAATCCCAGCTGCTCAGGAGGCTGAGACAGGAGAATCGCTTGAACCTGGGAGGCGGAGGTTGCAGTGAGCGGAGATCACGCCGCTGCACTCCAACCTGGGCGACAGAGTGAGACTCCGTATCAAAAAAAAAACAAAAAAACAAAAAAAAACACACACACACACAAAGAACTAACTTTGCATCACCACAAAGAGGAGGCCCCTTGAATATCCCTCTTGTCAATTTGTCTCCAGCACCCAAGAAACCAAAAGCTTTTACTTAGGCCACATACTTTGTGTCCACAGCATGGCATCTTTTCCACATGTCATCTCTTCCTTCTCATGTGTCTTCAGCGCCACAGTGGCAGCTGCCAGCTCTCCACTACCAACCTTCCGGCCGCTCCAGCGGCCACCACCATCCTCACCACCCCACAACCTGCACCACTTTCACCATGCCTCCAACTACCATGACTGCCACATCCACCTACTTACCCTATGACTTTTTCCCCTATCTGTTCTAATTTCCTCAATAACTTTCCAATCACCAGTCACATACTCCACCCGTAGCCCCTAAATCTGGCCCCAAAGTATTGCCACATCCCATTTAGCCTGCATTTGTCAACCAATATCTATCAAATACACATTAACAGCAACATCATAGCTTTTTGTTTCATCAGAAGATTAATTACAAAAATTTGTAAGTAATGAAGAACCATCCATTATGAATACACTCGACATTCTGAAAGCAAATCTCTTTTACTGGGAAAAACAGTCCAAGTTTAAATCGTCTTTGAGAACAAGGACATCACACAGGTGGTGGTCTATAGAATGAAGCTTTCATGATTAAAGTAGGGCGAATCTGAAAGCACATACTATAAATCACCACATGGCAGAAACTCAGTCATAAATTTAGTTTAAAGCACAGTTTAGGTGTTTCTTTCCCAGTTTTAGCCCTAAAAAGCTCAGGCTACCCTTTTGGGACCCCAAACCTACAGCTACTGTGCTTCTGGTAAGTTTCTTTTGAGCCACCCAAGTTTCTAATCAAAGCCAAACCTCAAACTCTTGTTTCTATCTTCTGTCCTCTATGACCAGACCTTAACAAAAAGTGTCCCTTCCTTAGAGTCTATCATGAGTTGAATCCCAACAAGGCAGAGCCAACTTCCCAGTTGCTCAGGTTGTGCACTGTGGAAGAGCACCATGTTTACGGAGGCATCGGGCTCATCATGAGCATCTCTCTACTCGTTTAAAAGTTGTTTGTATTTTTATTAAAACTTTGCTGATTTAAAGATGGGTAATTTGATTATTCATATTACAATTTTCCAGCACATGGCAATAAAATGTCTTGTTCTAAAAATCAGTATAGCTGAATAATTTCCCATCAGATGGAAGTGAATGTCTTACAGAGGGGTGCCTTTGTCTAATTTGCACAAAGCGTCATATGGGCTAGCAGCAGCCCTCAGAAAAGCTTCCCTCAAATGTTTTAAGCTTTCTGTGGTCTTGGCTGTTTACTAAAGCTTCTGCTCTTAGTTTAATGGACTGTTTGCACTGCATTCACGTTTTTCCTCCCAGTCTGGTCGTCTTCTCTCAGTAACTTCAGTTATCAGGCACATCCCCTACTTAAAGCTCATGTCCTATGTCTGTCCATTAATATTACTAAACACATGCTAACAATAACATGACCCTTTGTTACTGAAGATTAATTACTACTAAGTAAGAGGTGTCAATTCTAAACACCCCCTACAAATTTAAAATCACTAACACGTTACTTGAACTCAGTCAATATCTAACTAGATTCCTCACAGCTTTAAAAAAAAAAAAATTAAGCTTTCATATAATTTATTTTCATTGACTTCTTTCATTAATAATATCACTTTAAAAAAAAAAAAAACTACCACCAGCTATTTACCTTGAGTATAAGGAAGTAAACAACATTTGAGAGACAATCACAGGCCCAAATAGAATGGAATAATAAATCAGGTAGAAATCCACATGAACTCACCCTATTCCCCAGAAAATGAGTTTTACTGCCATTGGTGACAATTGGCCCTAGTAAACAATCCAGCTGTGGAAACCTTAAAAAGAAAAAGATACAGGAAAATTTAGAAGGAGAAAGATTCAGGAAAGCATTAACAGTAATTTTATTATAATAGGTCTTCTCACCAAAACATAAAGTTAGTTCAGAAGTCCCTGAATCTATGCAACAATTATACCACAAACTCTTCATAATTGGAGTTGCTTCATCAACTCACCATTTTTTCCATTAGCTGAGTCTAGGATTTTAGAGATACTTAATCTTATTTTCAGATTAATCCTCAGTGGATTACATGACTTCAGTTTTCTTTCTATATTAATCCCTCAAGTAGTTAATGATCTGAAAACTGATTCTTAAATAAACCATATAAATGAAGTATCTTAAGGACTTAAGACAGAGCTTTTGTCAGGGGAAGAATACCTCTGATATATGAATAATCACGTCCATTTTGTAGATCTTAATTTTCATATTGTGTACCAAATTTATACTGTCATGCTTATTTTCTTCTAATTCAGAAGCAATAAAAAACCAGAGTAGCTATGAATCCTACAGTATTAACAACATTAATATTAATTAAATCGTTAAGAAAATTTCAATTCAAAAAATCAGCAAATTACTCTCTTCTCTAAATTGTCCAACAGGAAGATTAGTTGCTAGTGGTAGAAAAGAGACAAATTTTCCTCCCAAATGTGGAGGCATAGACACCACAGAATGCCTGCTATTATTAGGTTGACTTATACAAAATTGCTGATACTCAACCATTTTTTTACCTACACATATCGCAATTTCATAATTTTTCCAAACAAAAAAAAAAATCAGGATTGAAAACCCCAGTGATTATGAAACAATTACATTTTCTAAACTACCTATTGCTCAACATACATCATTTTTCTGAGCAACAATGGTTTGGGTATGAGTAACTGATTCCATTCTAACTTACCATCAATGGTATCTAAAAGATAAGAAAGGAAAGGAATTAGCTCCAGCATTTGGAAGGGCTTATGTGTATCTTTTCAATTCTTTCTTCCCACCCAGTCCCCAATTACTTCCAACCCCCTCGGCTTCCCCCTTGCAACATAAGACTCTTTTCCAAGAGCATAGATATGACAGAAAGAAAAGCTGAGGGCTGGAAGACAAAAAGGTGAGAGGGAGCATGCTGATCTCTAACAGGGGCAGGTGAAAGGGAAAGCAGGCAAGAGCAAGCGAGGGACAAGATGCAGGGGGCAGATGGATGCAGGAATAAGATGCAGAGGGAAGCGTGGGGAAGAGCTGCCCACTAGCTCAGGACAGGCATGGCCAGGGAGCAGCATCCCACACAGGTCCAAGCCCAAGTCCATGGGGCAATGAAGGGAACATTTACTTCTGTCTTGTAATAAATGTAGTAACCCATCTATTTTAGGACCTACCACAACTACCACCACCAGCACAACAGCATCACAACCACCCCAACACAATGTTAATTCGAAGCATGCACAACACTAATGGAAGTAAAAGCTAGTGGAATCAAGGCCATTTGGGTACCCCAGATATAGAAAATTCACAAGTTCCCAAAGTGCATTTTCTTCTGAGAAGGAATAACAAAGGGTTTAAATAATTTTCCCTCCCACTAGGAGACCCATTAAATCAGCAGCCTACTATAAATTGTTTTGTTTTTGCATGAAAGAGCAGCCAGCTGCAAAATAAACTTTTTAATCTCCTTTTAGTGCCACCCATTTCTCTTTCCCTATTTTTTAGATTAATTATGTGAGGATAAGATGTAAGATTAAAATCAGCATTCTGTGACATGGTCACAGAATGGTGGTGACGAAGTCAAAGTTGACATGCTAGATGAAACCTGTCATTTTGTTCACATCCAATCAGAATCTTAAAAACACATAAGACCATGAAATGAAATGCAAGCAAAGTAAATCTGACATTCAGAGGCACTCTGTGTTGTTCCAATAGCGACTTTCCCCTTTAAACAGAGATATTTGGATCTACTGTGGACCACTACAGGGTTGAAGGTAAATGTACCAATGATGGCAGTGATAGTACTAATTGTAACAGAAAAAAAAAGAAAATTGTCATTATTATTATAATGGGTATGGTCATAGATAAAGAGCTGCAAATAGAACAGCTCTGAATTAACAGACAAGTTGGAATTATACTTCACATTGTGGAAAGGAGTTAGAACGTGACTTTATGTTAATACAGATATTAAATAAGAGTGTGAACAAAATTAAGGAGTACTGGCTAAAGTCTGTGAAGTAGATATATACATGTGTAGAAGATGTCAGGTACCATTTCAATGAGGCCAATCTATGAAGAGCCACCTAAGAACCAACTGGTCAACCTCAAACAGAGTAGCCCTAGGCCACTGGTAATTACCAACTGTGATCAGACTAGGGTCTACAGACCACCGGCCAGGAAACAGTACACGGAAGCTGATGTAAGAGGTAGGAAGAGCTGATGTTACCGAATGGCCCAGAATCCTAGATAAGAGTTGAGGACGTGAACTCTGCACATTGGTATGCAAACCCGAAACAGGTGGCTGCATAATAACCACAAAGAGAATTTGTTAAACATAGATTTGTTAAACATAGATTCCTGGACACCACCCTGAGGCTGATTGTTGTGCTCCAACAATTTATATTCTTGAAAGCTTTCCCTGGGTACTGCTGGAGCACAACTACAATGAAGAACAGGAGCTAGGGCAACAGATGGACACTACCAGAGAAGCGGTCTCTCGATTCAGCAGGAGTCTGAGCTGGACCATCAGGTATGCTTCACATACTAGTTCACTTAATCCTCATAGCAACAGCCTGAGTAGATTTCAATCACCCAATGTTGCAGAATAGGAGACTAAGGGGGGCAGATCTGAAAGGTCAATAACTTGCCCAAGGTAACAACACAAGAAAGATCAAATCCCACCTCATCACTTACTTCTTGAAGCTCTTCTGTGGGTGTCCACTGCCTAATATGAAATGCATTCTAAAGCCCCTTGTAGGTGCCCTCAAATAACATGGCCCTCAGCTCCAGCTCAGCCACACCACCCTTTCAACCACCCATTCCTGCTCCATGTGAACCAAGCTATAAGCAATCTCCTGGGCAGTGCTGTTGCAAGCCTCCCTGCCCTTGCTCCTGCCTCCTCCTAGAATGCCTCTGTCCTCATCTACCTCCTCTTCCAAGATGGAGCTCAGGCCTCTCCTCTTTGCAAAGCCCTTCCTGACCACTACCAACTCTTTCCCAGATAGAACTGACCACTCCCTTCCTTGGGTCTTGCAATAATTAGCACAATAAAACATGATACTTCTCTCCAGTATTCATACGACTGACCCTATGTAGAAACAGACTATGATTTTTTGAGAACAGATGTCAGTAAATATTTTAAGAATAAATAAATGCAGCACTACAGCCAAAGCTAGAATTTGAATCTGGATCCAACTCAAAACCAGTATACCATGCTGTGTCTCTGAAAGCTTTGCATCTACTTTCATGAAAATCACTCTTAACACTGTCAAGACAGTAGCCACTCAGCAAGGGGTGGCCAATGAGCACTTGAAATGTGGCTAGCCTAAACTGAGACGTGCTGTAAGTATGAAATACTTTATTTTGAGGATTCAACATGAAAAAATGTAAAATATTTCCACATGAAAAATGGTATTTTAAATATTTTAGGTTAGATAAAATATATTAAATTCCATGTTTCTTTTTGATTTTTAAATGCAGGTACTAGAAAACAGAAAATTACATATACAGCTCACATTATATTTCTATTGAACAGAAATATACCCTATAAAGTGTACCTTAACTCCTCCTTATTAATAAACCCATTAACACGATGCTAAGCATAATTTAGCCTTTCCGAATGACATAGAGCCAGAGCATCAAAGACTACTGCAGTGCTGAACAGCATGGCCCTGCTAAACACACAGAGTTTGTCCCTACACGAAAAGCTCACAGAATATTTTTTCAGAGTTCTACTGAGCCACTAAGTTTCTACTCTACCATAGCTGCTGGCACTTCACATGTAACTTCTCAGGTTTCTAATCTTCCAATCTAGATATTTTACTGAAATCTGAGCAGGACCAGGGCAAGGCAGAGCACCTGCCTTGGGGGGAACTAAAACTCTCAGAAATGAAGATAAACAATTTCTTAAATAACAGCTTTACTGATATGTAGCCCAGATACCATAAAATTCATGATCTTAAAAGGTGCAATTCAATGGTTTTTATCACATTCGCAAGGTCATGCAAGCATCGCCACTATCAAATTCCAGAACATTTTCATCACCCCCCAAAGAAACCCAGACCATTAGCAGATACTCCACAGCCCTCCTCAGCCCAGTCCCTGACAACCAGTAATCCATTCTGTCACTTGAATTTGCCTATTCTGAATACTTCATATAAACAGAATCATATAACAGGTGGTATTTTGTGTCTGGCTTTTTTCAATTAACAAAATGCTTTCAAAGTTCAGCCATCTGTACCAGAAATCGGTACTTCACTGCTTTTTATGGCTGAATAATATTCTATTGTATGAATAAGCCATATCTTATTTATCTATTAATCAGTTAATGGACATTTGGATTGTTTCCAGTTTGAGGCTCCTATGTACACATTCATGTGCAAGTTTTTATATGGATATGTAAGTTTTCAATTCTCTTGAGTATACACTTAGGAAGAGAGTTTCTGGGTCATGTTGTTACTCTATGCCTATAATTTGAGTAACTATCAACTGTTTCCCAAAATGGCTGTACCATTGCACAGTCCCACCAGCAAGTACCAGGCTTCCAACATTTCCATATCTTCACCAACACTTAATTTTGTCTTTTTAATTTTAGCCATCTTAGTGATACATTATTGTGGTTTTAATTTGCATTTCCCTAATGACTAATGTAGACTGCCTTTCCATATGCTTACTGGCCACTCGTATATCTTCTTTGGAAAAATGTCAATTCAAATCCTTTGTTGAATTTTTAATTGGGTTGTCTTTATCACCCCCAAAAAGTTATACTGCTGAATGAAATCATTTTTATATATTCTGGATACAAGATCCTTATTAGATACATAATTTTCAAAAAATTAATCTCATTATTTGGGTTGTCTTTTCTCTTTCTTGATGATATCCTCTGAAGGAAACAATTTTGTAATTTTTATTAAGACTAACCTATATATTCGTCACTCCTGCTTTTTGTTACATATAAGAAAATATTGCCTAATCCAACATCATGAAGATTTACTCTTACTTTTTTTCCTGAGACTTATTGTTTTATATTTTACATTTAAGTCAATAATCCATTTTGAGTTAATTTTGTATATGGTATGAAGTAGGATCCAACTTCATCCTTTTACACATAGGCATCTAGTTATTCCAGCACCATTTATTAAAAAGATCATTCATTCTTTCTTGAATTGAATTATCTTGTCACTCTTTTGAAAACCAATTAATAAAAAATGCAAGGGTTTGCTTCTGGGCCTTATGGATCAATTTTATACCACTGATCTATAAGGATATAATTTGCCTGCACCATGCTGTCTTTATTACGGTAGTTTTGTGTTAAGTTTTGAAATTAGAACTTGTGCTTCCTTCAACTTTGTTCTGCTTTTTCAGGATTACATTGACTATTCTGGGTCCCTTGCATTTCCATATCAATTTGAGGATCAGCTTTTCAATTTATTGGGAGGAAAAGACCTCTGTGTTTTTGATAGCGATTACATTAAATCTGCAGATCAATATGGGAAGCACTGTCACCTTAATAATATTAAGTCTTCCAGTCCATGAACACAGGATGTCTTTCCATTTACGTACATTATCTTTAATTTCTTTTAACAACGTTTTGCAGTTTTTAGTGTACAAGTCCTGAATGTCTTTTGTTAAATTTGTTCCTAAATATCTTATTCTTTTTGATACTATTACAAATGGAAATTTTCATTTTCATATTAATTGTAAGTGCAGAGAAATACAATTGACTTTTATTAATCTTGCATATGGCCACCTTACTGAACTTTTTAGTTCTCACAGTCTGTGTATACAGTCCTTAGGATTTTCTACATACAAGATCATGTCATCTGCAAAGAGATAATTTTACTTCTTCCTTTCCAATCTGGATGATTTTTCTTTCTTTTCCTTGCCTTGGCTAGAACATCCAGTATTAGGCTGAATAAATGTGAAAACAGTAGACATCCTTGCCTGTTCCTTGTTTTAAGAGGAAAACAGTCTTTCACAAGTACGATGTTAGCTGTGGGTTTTTCATAGATTCCCTTCATTAGGTTGAGGAAGTTTCCTTCCATTCCTAGTTTTGTATTTTTATCATGAAGTGCTGTTTGAATTTGTCAAGTGGTTTTTTTGTTTGTTTGTTTCTATTAAGATGATTATGGGGTTTCTGTATTTTATTCTATTAATATGGTATATTAAATTGATTGATTTTCAGATGTTAAACCAGTTGCCTTCCTCAGATAAATCCCACTTAGTCACGGTATACAAACCTTTTTATATGTTGCTGATTTCTGTTTGGTAGTATTTTCTTGCAGATTTTTGTATCTGTATTCATACAGAATAACAGCGATACTTTTCTTGTGATGTCTTTGGCTTTTGTATCAAAGTACTACTGGCCTTAAAGAATGAGCCAAGAATGTTCCCTCCTTGTCTACCTTCTTGAAAAACATTATGCAAAACTGCTGTTAATTCTTTAAATAAACATTTGGTAGAATTTACCGTTGAAGCCATCCCAGCCTGGGCTTTTCTTCATGGAAAAATATTTGATTACTAATTCAATCTCCTTTCTCATTATAGGTCACTTCAGATCTGCCCTTTCTTCTTGAGTCAGTTTGGTAGTATGTGTCTTCCTGGGAATTTACCCATTTCATTCAGGTTATATAATTTGTTGAAATAAATTTATTTAAAATGTTCTTATTTTATTTCTCTAAAATGGTAGTGATTCTCCTTCTTTTATTCTGATTTTAATAACTGATTCTTCTCTCTTTTTCTATTAGTCAGTTAGGTAAAGATTTGTAAATTTTGCTGATCTTTTCAAAAGACAACTTTTTGTTTTTATTGATTTTATTGTTTTTCTATTCTCTATTTCATTTACTTCTGTTCTAGTCCTTACTATAGTTTACATTGTGTACTTATTTTTATTTATATTTATATAAATATATAATTTTAAATATATACAATTTTAATATATTGTCATATTATATATATTTATATATTTAGCATACTTATTTAGTTTGCCCTTCTTTCTTTACATTATTAAGGTGTAAAGTTAGGTTGTTGGTCTGAGATCTTTCTTTTGTTCATACAGTCATTAACAGCTAAAAAAAAAATCCCTCTAAGTATTGATTTAGTTGCATCTCAGAAGTTTGTGTTTTTGTTTTCATTCTTCTCAAACTATTTTCTAACTTGCCTTCTGATTTCTTCTTTAATCCACTAGGAGTATATTAATTTCCACATTTTCTGTATTTCTGAAATTTCCCTCTATTCTTGATTTCTAATATCATTCCATTGTGGTCAGGGAACATATTCTGTATTATTTCAGCCCTTTTAAATTCATTGAAACTTATTCTGTGACCTATTACATAGTCTATTTTAAAGAATTTCCTACAGGCATTTAAGAACAATGTATATTCTGCTACCACTGGGTGAAGTGTTCTTTAGGTGTCTGTTAATTCCAGTTGGCTTATAAAGTTGCTCAAGCCTTTTATTTCCTTGCTGATCTTCAGCAAGAAAATAAGATCTTCTGTTTCAACCCATTTTTGAAAATGAGGTATTGATGCCAGGCACAGTGGCTCACACCTGTAATCCTAGCACTTGGGGAGGCTGAGGCAGGCAGATCACCTGAGTTCAGAAGTTTGAGACAAGCCTGGCCAACATAGTGAAAGCCTGTCTCTACTAAAAAAAAAAATACAAAAAAATAGCCAGGCATGGTGGCATGCACCTGTAGTCTCAGCTACTTGGGAGGCTGAGGCAAGAGAATCGCTTGAACTCAGGAGGCGGAGGTTGCAGTGAGCCAAGATGGCACCACTGCACTCCAGCCTGAGCAGCAGAGTGAGACTCTGTCTCAAAAAAATAATAAATAAATAAAAAAGGAAGGAAGGAAGAAAGGAAGGAAGGGAGGGAGGGAGGGAATGTGTATTGAAATCTCCAAATACTATTGTTGAATTTTCTATTTCTTCTTTCAATTCTGTTTCTGCTTCACATATTTAGGGGATCTATTGTTAAATACATGCATGCTCATATTTGACTTCCTGAGAAATTGATCCCTTTAACAACAGGTAATGACCTTCTTTGTCTTCTGCAATAATTTTTGACTTACAATCTGTTTCACTTCATATCGGTATAGCCATTCCAGCTCTCCTTTTATTACTATGTTCAGGTTATATCTTATTCTATTCTTTTACTTTCACAGTATTTGTGTCTTCATATATAAAGTGAGTGTGGTGAATGGCATATAGTTGAGTCATGTTTATTTCATGTTTATTAATTCTGCCAACCTATGCCTTTTGACTACAGTGATTAGTCCCTTTATATTTAATGTAAAAACTAAAAATGGCAGGATTTTACATCTGCCATTTTGCTATTTGTTGTGTTACGTCTGATGTCTTTTTGTTCCTCCACTACTGCCCTCTTTTGTGTTAAATAGATATTTTTCAATATATCATTTTCATTCCGTTTCTTTTACATTTTTTAGTTATTTTCTTAGTGGTTTGTACTCTTTTATATTTACCTATATAATTACCTTTACTGCTACTCTTTATTTCTTCCTGTGGATGTGTGTTACTGACTTGTGTCCTTTAGTTACAAACTGAAAGATTACCTTTAATATTTCTTGTAGGGACAGTCTGCTAGTGACAAATTCTCTGTTTTTGTTTTTCTGAGACATCTTAATCTTTTGTTCTTTTTTGAATAATAGTTTTGCTGGATATAGAATTCTTGATTGACAGTTTTTTTGTCTTTCAGCATTTTCAATACATCATTCCACTATCTTCTAGCCTCCAGTTTCTGATGAGAAGTCAGCTGTTAATCTTATTGAAGATCCTCTGTACATGATTACTCACTTCTCTCTTGCTGCTTGAGTTTTTGTCCATTATTTCCTCAAGTAATCTTTCTGTCCCCTTACTCTCATTCTTTTCCTTTTGAGATTTCAATTATACATATGTTGGTATTCATAATGGTGTCCCATAAATCTGATGTTCTGTTCATTTCTCTTCATTCCTTTGACTTTCTGTTCCTCATAGTATATAATTTCAATTGATTTATTTTCAAGTTTGCCGATTCTTTCTTCTGCTAGTTCAAATCTGTTGATGAGCCTCTCTAGTAAATTTTTTCATTTCAATCATTGTACTTTTCAATTCCATAATTTCTATTTTGTTCCTTTTTTAACAATTTCCCCCTTTATTGATATTCTCTATTTGAAGAGACATCATTTTTCTACTTTAATTCTTCAGACAAGGTTTCCTTCAGCTCTTCGAACACATTTATAATAGCTAATTTAAAATGTTTGTCTACTAAGTCCAGTATCTGGACTTTCTCAGGGATACTTTTGTTTTTCCTGTTATGGCCCATATGCTACTGCTTGTGTGTGTGGAAATTTTATGTTGAAAACTGGATTTAAAAAAATATGGCAACCTAGAAATAAGATTCCACTCTGCATAAAGGTTTGTTGTTATATTTGTTGCTACTATTGTTTCTATTGCTATTTCCCAGACTAATTATGTAAAGTCTACTTTGTTTATCATGTGCAGCTGCTGAAGTCTAGCTTCAGTGGTCAGCTAATGACGGTACAGAGATTTCTGTCTTTGCTGAGGGATTACGCGTGTTGGGGGGTGGGGTACATGCTTTTAACACTCCAGCAGGTAGTTTACAACTCTTAGTCTTCTCTTCCTACTTTACTTATGCAAAGCCTCATTGTTAGTCTGAGATGACAGATTAAGGCCTTATTAAGTATTTCCTGGACATACAGACATGGGACTTCTAGATTCCAAAGACTACATCAAAGGTTTTTAAAGCCCCCATAGGTAGCTCCTTTTCCAATTTTTCCTTTTAAGTTTTTTGGTTAACCTCTTGTTAACCCCAACTGGTGTCACTGCCTCAGGCAGCTGAGAGGTTAAACAATTACTGCTGATTGTTTTCCAAAAATGCCACAGGGCTCTGCAAAACAAGCTTTGAGAATGGAGTTTTTTAAGAAGCTTCTAGAGCAATCATATAGTGACAATTTTCTGAGACTGGGGATCTTAGAGGGCTCTAAACCTGTTTTGTCCCTTTCAGTGGCTTCTAGGCTATTAGTTATTGTTTGTTTTTTTTTTTAGACGGAGTCCTACTCTGTCATTCAGGCTGGAGTTCAGTGGCGCAATCTCAGCTCACTGCAACCTCCACCTCCCGGGTTCAAGCGATTCTCCTGCCTCAGCCTCCCAAGTAGCTGAGATTACATACACACACCACCATGCCTGGCTAATTTTTTTTTTTGTACTTTTAGGAGAGACAGCATTTCACCTTGTTGGCCAGGCTGGTCTCAAACTCCTGACCTCAGGTGACCCACCTGTCTCAGCCTCTCTAAGTGCTAGGATTACAGGTGTGAGCCACTGTGCCTGACTTAGGCTATTAGTTTTGAAGGCTACAATGGAGCTGCGGATGAAGGAATGGGAATAAGGTAAGTTTAAAAATGACAAAGTTCACTGTTCTTACTGAGATTCAGTCCTTTTTCTTGAATAAATATTCCTCAGATTGTTATAAACCCTTCGTTAATTTCCACCATTCTAAAATGGTTTATTTTGATATTTTTGCCAGTGCTTTCATTGTTATTGTGCAGGAGAGACTTTTCAGAATGTCTTTACTCCAATAATTCAGATGTGTTCCAAGATAAATAATATATTAATGCAATATTTTTAGGAAATCAAAATTAATGTAAAAAATCCATGATGAACGAAATATTAAAACTTTATAGATAGGATCAGTAACAGTGCTATTACAAACCAAACTGGAGCCTGACACAAAAGGAAAACTCAGTAATACTGATCCTGTCTTCCTTTAAAATTTTGATATTTTGTTCATTATGGATTTTTTGCATTAATCTTGATTTTCTAAAATGCATAAAATATTTATTTGTATTACTAAGTGTCTTGGTGTCCCTTAAATTTTGTACCTGAGGCAAGTGCTCAACTAGCCTCTCTCTACTGCTGACCCTGGAGTGTTGCAGGAAGTCAGGGACCCCGAACGGAGGGACCGGCTGAAGCCATGGCAGAAGAACATAAATTGTAAAGATTTCATGGACATTTATTAGTTCCCCAAATTAATAATTTTATAATTTCTTACACCTGTCTTTACTGCAATCTCTGAAGATAAATTGTGAAGATTTCATGGCCATTTATCACTTCCCCAATCAATGCTCTTGTGATTTCCTATGCCTGTCTTTACTTTAATTGCTTAATCCTGTCATCTTCATAAGCTGAGGATGAATGTCACCTCAGGACCCTGTGATGATTGTGTTAACTGCACAAATTGTTTAAACAATATGAAATCTGGGTACCTTGAAAAAAGAACAGGATAACAGCAATGTTGAGGGAACAAGGGAGATAACCTTAAAGTCTGGCTGCCTGTGGGCTTGGCAGAACAGAGCCATATTTCTCTTCTTTCAAGAGCAAATAGGAGAAATATCGCTGAATTCTTTTTCTCAGCAAGGAACACCCCTGAGAAAGAGAATGCATTCCCAAGGGGAGGTCTCTGAAATGGCCACTTTGGGAACGTCTGTCTTTTACGGTTGTGGATAAGCGGTGAAATAAGCCCCAGTCTCCCGTAGCGCTCCCAGGCTTATTAAGACGAGGAAATTCCCGCCTAATAAATTTTGGTCAGACTAGTTGTCTGCTCTCAAACCCTGTCTCCTGATAAGATGTTATCAATGACAATGCATGCCCAAAACTTCATTAGCGATTTTAATTTCACCCCGGTCCTGTGATCTCACCCTGCCTCCATTTGCCATGTGATATTTTATTACCTTGTGAAGCATGTGATCTCTGTGACCCACACACTATTCGTACACTCCCTCCCCTTTTGAAAATCACTAATAAAAACTTGCTGGTTTTGCGGCTTGAGGGGCATCACGGAACCTGCCAACATGTGATGTCTCCCCCAGACACCCAGCTCTAAAATTTCTCTCTTTTGTACTATTTCCCTTTATTTCTCAGACCGGCCAATACTTAGGGAAAATAGAAAAGGACCCACGTCAAATATTGGGGGCTGAATTTCCCCCGATACTGAAGAAATGTGGCTGCAGGTCACATTCCTGCTTTTATTGTTATTCTCTAAACTGAGATATTAATGCTAACTCACATTTATATTTTATTCCAATATCCTGGGCCATTATCAAAATTATAATCCTAAAATTTAGCAGAAAAATTTCAGTATAAAGTTTGGGGGTAGAGGACAATGTATTTATATTAAAATAACTTCAAAATCTGCTAGTAGTGGCAAATTAGCTCACTCAATATAAAACTAATTACTACCTGCCAGTTAAACTAATACAATGTGGATTTAAAAAAAAAGAATACTTGCTAGAGTCTTCAGAAAACTAAACCTAATGTTTGGCATGTTCACTGTACAAACTTCCAATGATACCATGTAACACTAATGGAAAATGCATCAGGCTTAGAAACATCAATTTCAACCAAAATTATTCTGCTACATGATTTCAATTCTCAAATTAACTTTCCCTGAAATAAACTGATAGTAATATAAGAATTAGAAGCAAAAAAATGTGTTTGGCTTAATATGTGGCAACATTTCCAACCTGAGAACACAATTATTTGTGTGTAGAAAAATACTGCCTGTCTTGAGAAGCTATTTTCAATGAGTAATGTCAAACAGCTTAGCACAAAGATAATTAATTCAGGATGATTTGAGATTACTTCTCCCGTATTTACAGAGCTAGTGTTCATATTAAATTTTTAGACTAGTACTCTGCAGTAGCAATCTGATGAAGTGTGGAAAATAAACTTCCCTATTAAGTGTTATTTGCTTCTGCTGTTTTATTATCATTTATTGTAATCCAAGGCTATATATTCCTGGCTTTCTCTATTGTACTTTTGGGGAAAAGCACTTAAAATCAGTGTATCAATATCAGCCTGTTTCTGGACAAATGTATTTGCCTTATTACAGTCTTCATAGACGCTAATGCATTATGTTGGCTTTTCATTTCTGCAAGGTGAGTCAAACTTTCTAAAGTCAGTATCAGGCCATCATCAATACTGGTTTGGCCCTAATCACACACACTGCTGGCTTATCTATAATGACTGTGTGTAAACACTCTTTTGTTTTTCTATGGGAACTGAACATACTGGTACAATGGGTCTACAGTAAACAGAGTAAAAAGACTAATAAGGAGAGGACCTCAGAGATCATATAGCCTATCCTCTCTGGGACAAGGGAAGTACATTTGGCTGAAATACAATAATCTTGTTTTTAAAATCTCTCAACAGATAAACAGTCTCGTCTTCTATCTAGTCTGATAATAAAAAATAGAAATAAAGAGACCAAAGTAATCATTTTTTATCTATTCATTCATCTAACCATGTATTTTAAATTTATTGATTTATTTACTTATTTAGCAGATGATATGACCATCTATCTGGAAAATCCAAGGAAAATAACCACAAAACAAGGTTATAATTAATAAGAGCTTGAAAAGTGCTTGGTTACATTACATTTTAGAATAGCTTTCTATATATCAATTATTGGTTATATGTAATACAACCAACATATAGAATATATACAACCAATTAGAAGAAGGCCCACTTACAAAAGCTAAAGAGGAGTATCAAATACCCAGGAATGACCTTAAGTTCCCCATTTTCCAAATACAATAGGGCACGTGAGAGAAGCTTGCAAAGTAAGAGACCACATGAAGTCATGACAGGCACAGAGAAGAGTCAGGAACACCAGACTCCTATAAATGCCACCTCCCCAATGCCAGCTGCATATGCTCACTCAAGCTGCTGTGATGCTCCCTACCCACCAGCAAACAATCCAAGGAACCTCTATATGAGAGATTTGTGTTTTGGTTGTTGAGAGTTTAAAATGGTTACAAGCTAACAGCTTAAAAAATGAAACAGCTATCCCATCCTGGTTCCATACCCCTGTCCCCATGAGTATAGAAAGGCTGTAACTAAAAACCAGCAGACAGGCCCTGGCTGCTGCTCCCCAATGGTTTCTTCACCTTCTCCATGGAGAAATTCATGACAGCCTGTTGCCAGGGGTGTGTGTGTGTGTGTTGTTCTGGTTAGCAGATGTTGAGCAGCCATCTGGGCATGCAGGAGCCTCGGTCAATGACTGAGTAATTTCCCCTCCTCAAACCCTAACCAACCCCAGTTCCCTTTAAGCTGGGGATTCTCTCTAGGCTCAGTTCAAATCAGAAAGTTGTTCTAGGTTCCTGATATTAAGACATTCCTCGAGAAAGAGCCGTGTGGTTTCCACTGTCCACATCTTTTATACATCATAGTTCCATTTGTTCCCAGGGTGACTGCAGGGAATCCAGGCTGGAGTGAGCTTGCCCCCAGCCTCTTTCCTATGACAAACCAGTGGGAGCCATCATTGAAAACATACACTCTCATTCCTTACTCCTATTCAGGTATGGTCTAGGCTGGATTCCGATGCCCTGAGAGGTCCTCAGTTCCAAGCCACCATACCACTAAGGCCCCAAGAACAACACCAGTGTTCGTGGGCAGCCTCAGGTGGCTGGAGTGGGGGATGGGGCTGCTGTCATGAGGAAAAGCTGGCCATGAGCATGAGATTCCCCCACTGCGGCCTGCAGCTGCCTCCCTGTGCTCCCCACAAATGCCAGCTGCACTCTGGTCAGGTGGCTCACTCTTCCATCTCCTTTAGGGCTCTGCTCAACATCTCCTTTCAGTGAGGCATTCCCTGACCACACTACTTGAAATAGCAATTCCCCATAACCCACTCCTGCTCCCCCATCTCTGATTTATTTTCTCCATAGCAGTATCCATACCTGATATATTAAGTACTTAACCTCATCTGATTCATTCCATTACACTGTAAGTTCCTCAAGGATGCAGTTTTTGTCTGTTTTATTTGCTGCTCTATACCTAATATGTAAAAGTGCCTGGCCTATGGAGACACTCAAACTTTTTTGTTGGATGGTGTTTAAAAAAAAAAAAAAAAGCTAGACACTGGTTAAAGGCAGTAAAGACAGATTTTACCCAGTACAACTGCAGTGAGAGAAAGAGACTTCAGTATAGAACTGAGCTCAACTCCAATTCAGGTAGAGGTGACTGGGTGTTTTAAAGGGAGAATAAGGAAGTAGGGAGGAGAAATGAGAATGTGTGGGGGCTCAAGCAGGGTCAAGGACACAGAACATTACAGCAATCAGGCAAGGGGGCTTGCCAATGAGACTAGGCCATCTGTGACTGCTAAATGGCACTTGTCAAAGTTAGGCTCCTACCCATCTACAGAGACTAGAGGACAGAGCCCTATCCTCCCTGATGATTACACTTCAAAGGAATGGCTCACAGACACTGAGGAAGACACTCCAGGTGGTAGGAGATACACATATATCTCAAAGGCACAGAGAAAGAATTACAATTGTAAGTTTTTAATAAACGATCTAACAAAATGAAAGTCAGGGGCCTATTATCATTTGTGTGGGCTAGAACAAAAGATAAATTCTTTGGGGCAGCCTTGAGCTTTTCTAGGTAGGAATGCAAGTGAGGCTGGGTGATCCCAGACACATGGCCTTAGGCTGCTAGATGCCATGTTATATGGTTTGGCTGTGTCCCCACCCAAATGTCATCATGAATTATAATTCCCATAATCCCCATGTGTCATGAGAGGGACTAGGTGGGAGGTAATTTAATCATGGGGGAACTACCCTCATGTTGTTCTCGCGACAGTAAGTTCTCATGAAATCTGCTGGTTTTATACGGTGTTTTTCCCCCTTTTGCTCATTTTTCTCTCCTGCTGCCATGTGAAGAAGGACGTGTTTGCTTCCCCTTCCACCGTGATTCTATGTTTCCTGAGGCCTCCCCAGCCATGCTGAACTATATGAGTCAATTAAACCTCTTTCCTTTATATATTACCCAGTCTTGGGTATGTCTTTATCAGCAAGGTGAGAACAGGCTAATACACCATGCTACAGTGTTTTCAAATCCGTTGGAGGGTGGGAGCACAGACAAAATTGTTTGTGTTGAAAGCTGCAGTTCTTACGGGCCAAGGTTGAGGCCCAGTTGAGAAGAGGGCTCAGGGGAGCCTGACTAAAGTTTGGTCAAAAAGAGAGTCTCTGTGGATGGGTGGGTGGATGGTAGATAGATGACTGATGGATGGGTAATTGATAGACAAGGTATACCCGTTGGTGGGAAGGGTCAAGATGATAAGATCTAAAGGCATCCAAATTCACATAGGAAGTAGAAATCATTTCAGAGAAAAGGGGAAACTCCTTGACTCTTTTCAACAACTCGTTTCAAACATGTGTGTGGTAGATATTATAAGCCTCCCACTTGCTCATAAAAACTGCTAATGGGAACAAGCAGATACTCATCTAGTCCTTCCAAACCTGCATTTGTTTCCTGTAGGATATTTTCGAGGAATGAGTTTGTTTGCTTACTGTTGAAAATTCGTATTAGAGACCAATCCTGAGCTTACAGAAGGATCTCCTATGGAGCTGATGCTATCTGTTCCTATTAACATTTTATTAATGAAGCATCTTTCAATAGTTTTCCTTCCTTTCCCCTTGGCATCCTGCCTCTGAGAGGAGGAAGAGCTTTAACCCACTTTCCTCCCTTCCCCAACCCGTTTCCACTCTTCTCCACCTCCAGCTCACACACTGATCCAAAACAATCCCATGTGTGTGCGATCACGAGGCAAAGAGCTAGTTCTCCAGGTATGTGCCTGATTTCAGTGGCTCTATACAGCCCTAGGTTATAGCAGTTTGCATTTTCTCAGCAAGTCAACTATGATATTGTACAGATTTTTTTCATCTTTTCAGATGACAAAAATTAAACTAAGAATAGGCAATTTTATAAGTTAATACTTGAACACAGGTTTGAAGACAGGGATAGATTCAGGGTCTGTGGAACCTTGGGTTTATATAATTGGGGGGTGGGAATATAGAAAGAGTACTCTCCTTATTTAAAAAAAAAATCCAAAAGTACAAATACAAACTCAGGGATGACCACATGAACACACTGCCAGTGCCCCTCCCAGAGGGCTCCAAAGAAGCCTCTGTGACGGAGGGACCTGAGGCTTAGGTTCATTAGCTCCCCAGTCGATCTGCCTCTGCTGGAGATAGAAAGGACTAGAGAGGTTTCTGCCACAGCATTCAAATCTCTAGAAAATCGCTAAGCATAACAGTCTTCTATTACATCAATCCCCCAGATGCTATTCTTACCTCTCTTTCACAAACCACCATCCCTGCTGTTCCCTCCAATTTGGCAACAGCAATTCATTATAAAAGTGCGTATGCCGGAGTGGGTTTCGGCATCCTCCTGGATTTTGGCTTTAACAGTCTAGTTCCGTGTCAATTATGTAATAGCCCAAACAGGGAGTTTAATGGAGTACCAAAAGCACAGTCATAGCTCTTACATAAGCCTTCATAAACCATCCATAAGATCTGCTCCTAGATTTGGATATTTGGGATTACATAAGGGAGACAGAAAACACTGACTCAGAGGCCAGGTTTCTTTCTGACCTTAAAAACAATAAAAACTTTTTGCACTTAATTTACTAGTTTATAGTAAAAGTTTTTAATTTGATATGGAAAATAATCTTTCCTATGACTTACTTTACCGTGTAAACATAAATGAATATCCTGCCACTACTACTCAACTTTCATTGGTACTTCTGCAAATGAAATATATCACTTAAGATTCCCGTAAGTATTCTACATGGAATTATGGGTCCCTAATAAACATCAACTACTCTTCGCAGGAAAATCAAGAAAGAGCATTTAGACAAAACACAAAAGTCTACATGCTGTAATTCTCTGATGTGTCCCCTTTCCAATACCATTTTTTTCTTCCCATGTTTCTAACAACGTATTTTTGACTTACCTTAAACCACTGTAGCAACACCATAGGCTACAGAAAGTGACAATACAATGCTCCACAATGGGTCTCACCCCTGGCTACACGTTAGAATCACCAGGAAAGCTTTTTAACATTACAGGTATCAAGGTATCAGCCCAGACCAATTAGAACAGAATACTGGGTGGAGGAGGGACAAGGGCTGTTCCCAGCCATCAGTATATCTGATGTTTTCTACTTTTGTATTTTTACCTGAAAAAAATAGCCATAAATGTGAGTACTGGTTTTGGGGCCTGGGGAAAGGGAAGGGAAAGAGAGACACATCTTTAATAACTGGCAACTCACAATTACTAAGTTTCCATCAGAGATAAAAATAAAATCATTCAATAGTTTGAAAACTAGAAAGTATACATGTAGGATCTTTTTATCAATAAGTAGTCAAAGAATTCTCACCAATTCCTAATAGACTTTACAAAACCAATTTTTTAATGCTTTACAATTATACCTAATGACTTTTTTAATATAGGGTCCTATATTATCTTAAAAGGGTACCTCAAGCTAAGACCACTGCTTATCTCCAAGTAAACTAAAAGCATGACACTCTCTTCTTAGGTGCTCTGGTAATCACACATAACTTTACCAATGAGCAAATTTTTTTAAGCATTTATATAACAGAGAGTACAGGCGCCTTTGGTATCCTGCCAAGAGTACTTCTTTCCGTGTTTGTATTTAAAATAGAATGGTAGTAACATCACTTGTGTGCCTGTAATTCCTTCTGTGCACAGGCACAGAATGAAAAAAAAAAATGGATGTAGCAAGCCGCTTCACTGCTTTACCATTATAAAGCTTGAAGGAAATAACACACTCATACTAAATTAAGACGAAGACTCAGACCAAATTATCCAAAGCTGGGGGTGGGTAGGGGAGAACTCGCCTTAACTAACCTACCAACGCCTCTAAAGCAGTGGGTGTTGAACCTGGCAGCAAGCGAAGGTGCCAAAAGAGCTGCAGTCCCTAAGCCAGAGCAGGTGATGTGGGCAGGAAGCATCAGCGCTCTGGAGACGAGAAGCCGAACCAGCCCGGCGCTGCCCCGAGCCCGGCTGCGCGCTCCCCAACTCCGCTCACCTGTCTCCGGCGGGTCCAGAGGGCGGCAGCAGAGCCAGCCGACCCCACCGGACCGCGCAGCAGAGGATTCGCTCACCTGGGTCAAAAAGAGCCAAGAAAGATGTAATGTCCAAGAGGCCACCACTGCCCTCACGGAGACGCTCATCTCGGGCCGGGTTCCGCCACGCTGCTTCCTCCTCCTCTCCAGCTCGAGTTTTCTATTTACCGACAGGTCTGTACTCCGCTAAGCGGTCAAGGGTTTCCGCAGAAGGGGGGAGATAAACTTGCCCTGAGAGCCGGCGGCGGCGGCGCAGGTGGAGCGCGAGGGGCGCCCCCGCACCTGGAGCCGCCGGCGCTCGCTATCACCTCTGCCCGCCCACGCCCGCGCCGCGGCTGCGCTCCGCTCCGCGCCCCCGCACTCACCTCGGCGCAGGCACCGCCCAGGCCGCCGCCCCCGCTCGAGGGCCGGGGCGCAGCCGGGGACCGGAGCCGCCCGCACGACGCCCAGGCGCTCCCGGCTCCGCCGCGGCCGCGGCTGCTCCTCCAGCCGCCTCGCCTGGACAAAGAGAAGCCGCGGGGCCGGCGGCCGCCCAGCCCAACCTTCGCAGCGCGCCACGCAGCCGGCGCGCCTCGCCCGCGAGGTGCCGTCCGCGGTGACAGTGGCCGGGCGGCGAGCGGGCCCGAGCGGTAGGCGGCGCGGGGCAGCTGATGCGCGCACCCCCTCCCGGCCGCCCGGAGACGCACTCGCCGAGACCCAGGCGCCTCCTCCCGGCCCGCGCTCCGCGCCCCGCGCCCCGCGTCGCAGCTCCGCAGCCGGGAGCCGTAGCGCCCTCTGCCGACGGCCCCTGCGCCCGCTCCTGCGCGCGCGCCTGCCCGCCCCAGCCCCAGCCCCAGCCCCAGCCCCAGCCCCAGCCCCAGCCCCCGCCCCCGCCCCAGCTCCCGCCTCAGCCCCAGCCCCAGCTCCAGCCCCAGACCCAGACCCAGACCCAGCCTCCGCAGGCGGTGGGCGCGGCGCGGGCCGCTGCCCGCTGCGCGGCTGGTCACCGTGGTGCCCTAGCATCGGACCCCAGGAGAAAGGAGTAAGAATGAGTTGGCCGTTCCAGGGCAGGCCTCCAGGAATGGGTTCCGCTGTTTTCCGCTCAGAACAGAAGAGGGAGCCGCTTCGAATTAGGCGCAGCAGGAGGCATTGGGGTTCAGCATCGGGAAGAACTTTGGAGGACGCTAGGGTGCCTGATTCATAGGAGCCCAAAGCCAGTCTCTGAAAAGATTTGCGCAAAAGGCAGGCGTTTCTTTCTAGAAGCAAGCTTATTTCTATGTTTAATGAGCACCAAATGTGCCTCCCCACTGTCCGAGGGGTTCCAGCGAGCCTTGACTGCTCTTATGGTAAGGTAAATAGATTAATTAATGATTTCTCAAAGACCTTTTTCCAGTCCTACCTGAAATGCTCAGACTCCCTCACGCGGTGCACCTGGAGGTTTGAAAAGGCAAGCGAAACCAGAGGACTTCTGCAGACTGATTCAAACAGCAATGGAATAAACATTTACCATTATAAAGATGAAACGATGTTGCTGGTCTTTGCACTATTTAGGTTGGCGTTTTTTGTTTTTAGGGGATGTCTTTCCAAACCACTGTGTTAACCAATACTTTATGACAGTTAATTTTTTTTTTTAACCAACTGGACTACTTGGTGAAGGGAAATCATGAAATGGCACTTTTTTTTTTCAGACCACTGTCTTTAAAAATTATTCCAGAAGCTCTCCCTTCTCCCCTGGAAGAATCTGGGGCAAATTTCATAGCTTTTCCTGTCACTTTCAGGTGTTCATAAACAGTCAGATTTGCTGATAATAAAAAGTCCAGCCCAATCCAAATCAAAACTTTAATCGCAATCCATTCAAGCCTTCCCCACTAGCCTCCCACCACCCACCAGACCCCAACCTGACCCAAGCTCAGAAGCCTGCAAGGAGGAGGAAAACGACCTTCGCTTCCTGCTTCTGTGTTCTCCCCAGCTAGCTCTGTGAAGACGGGTTCCACCGCCGGGCACGGAGGCTCACGCTTGTAATCCCAGCACTTTGGGAGGCTGAGGCCGGTGGATTACTTGAGGTCAGGAGTTCGAGACCAGCCTGGCCAACATGGTGAAACCCTGTCTCTACTAAAAATACAAAAATTAGCTGGGTGTGGTGGCGTGCACCTGCAATTCCATCTCCTCAGGAGAATTGCTTGAACCTGGGAGGTGGAAGTTGCAATGAGCCGAGATCATGCCACTGCACTCCAACTGGGCGACAGAGCAAGCCTCTGTCAAAAAAAGAAGCCGGATGCGGTGGCTCACGCCTATAATCTCAGCACTTTGGGAGGCCGAGGTGGATGAATCACGAGGTCAAGAGATCGAGACCATCCTGGCCAACGTGGTGAAACCCCGTCTCTATGAAAAATACAAAAAGTTTAGCTGGACATGGTGCCACATGCCTCTAGGCTCCTCTACTCGGAGGCTGAGGCAGGAGAATCGCTTGAACCCGGGAGGTGGAGGTTGCAGTTCACGGAGATCGCTCCACTGCACTCCAGCCTGGCGACAGAGCGAGATCCGTTTCAAAAAAAAAAAAAACACTGGTTTCTCAAGTTGGGCAGGGTGGGGTTCTGACCCTGCAACTTCAGCCTCAGCTTCACTGGTGGTCAGCCTCATTCAGGCCCTCTGCAAGGCACCATGCCCTGGCAGTCAGTCCCAGCTACCTTCCACCACGTGCGTGCTGACCCACGGACACCAACTGGCATTTGGCCCATCACGCTATAGAAGTGCAGGCCACTGTCACTGCAGTTCTCTTTTCTTCTTCTCTGGTCACAGGTAACTCTGACCGGCCTCTTTCCTTGAAGCTTCTCAGCCATCTCTGGGTTCATGCATGTCCCCACACTCCAGGTGACACATGCCAGGCTCTCCAAGTAGTTCTTTGGAAGCATGCCTTTCTTTGCATGAAGTGGGTGGGTCCTCCTTCTCCCTGTCAGCACCGTGTCGTTCTCATCTTCTCCCTTGATTGCTCTCTCCTTTCCTTCAATTTGGTCTGAAGGTGGCAGAACCCCAACTTAGCAAATCCTACAAAGATGGTCCAATACCTCCATTTATATGGATTTATGTGTGGGGATACCTATCTGTGTGGTGGCATGGAGGGAGGTGATCCCCTGAGATCTTGGAAGCTTGAGCAACTGACAGCCTTCAGCTGTCACACATTTGGATCCACCACAGAGCTCATACCAAGGTCACACATTCCCCAGCTGTTTCCAGCTCACAACGGAACATGGTGAGAGCGCTAGAGCTATGCCCTTTCTGCCTCTAGTGGGCAGTCTTTGCTCTGGAATTCCTACCACCCTACCAGGGCTTTCTCAGAATGTGCTGCAGTCTGGAGCTCTTCCTACCCAATCTTCTTCCCTTCCCTCTCTCCATTCACAAGTGTCAGACCTGTATTGCAGTCAGAAGGCACTCCTCACCTGCATGCCAGGCTCCTTCTCCCTCCTGCACTATCCTGCACAGGTGTTTTCTTTAAAATATTTTGGCACATCTAATCCTATCTTGACATCTGCTTTTCAGAGGTCCCAAACTGTCATAGTTATCTATTGGCCCACCTGGCAGCATTCCAAGATAAGTCTTATTTTAACAGTTGGTTATGCTGTATTTAGAAACTGTGAAAAGAACAATGGCAAAATCATGGAGCCAACCTGAATGTCAATGAACAGTTGACTGGATAAAGAAGATGTGGTCCATATATTAATGCATCATGGAATATTATGCAGCCATCAAAAAGAATGAAATCATGTCTCTTGCAGTGACATGGGCTGGAGCTGGAGGCCATTATCCTAAGTGAAGTAATTCAGAAACAGAAAACCAAGTACCACACATTCTCACTTATAAGTGGGAGCTAAACAATGAGTACACATGGACATAAAGATGGAAATAATAGACACTGGGTCACCAAAAGAGGGGAGGGTGGGCAGGGGGCGAGAGCTGAAAAATTACCTATGGGGTACAGTGTTCACTGTTTGGGTAATGGGTACACTAGAAGCCCAATCTCCAGTATGCTCATGTAACAAACAGGCACATGTACCCCCTGAATCTAAAATAAAATTAATTTTTTTTGAGATGGTGTTTCACTCTGTCACCCAGGCTGGAGTGCAGTGGCACAATCTCAGCTCGCCACAACCTCCACCTCCAGGTTCAAGTTATTATCCTGCCTCCGCCTCCCGAGTAGCTGGGATTACAGGTGCATGCCACCATATCCAGGCTAATTTTTGTATTTTTAGTTAAGATGGGTTTTCACCATGTTGGCAAGGCTGTTCTCGAACTCCTGACCCCAAGTGATCCGCCCGCCTCAGCCTCCCAAAGTACTGGGATTACAGGCATGAACCACCGCGCCCAGCCAAATTAAATTAAAAAAAAAAAAAGCTGTGAAAGGAAGAGTAGAATGTTCTCTTGAATTAAATATATATATATATATATATATATATATATATATATATATGATCAGCAAGTATCATAGTGTATCAAGTATCGTAGTGTAGATTCCTTCCCAAAGCAGAGACTGGTAGAATGACTTGGATACAGATAGTTAATTGTTATTGTTTTTTGTTTGTTTGTTTGTTTTTTGAGGCAGAGTCTTGCTCTGTTGCCCAGACTGAAGTGCAGTGGTGCAATATCGGCTCACTGCAAACTCCACCTCCCGGCTTCAAGTTATTCTCCTTCCTCAGCCTCCTGAGTAGCTGGGATTATAGGCGCCCGCCGCCGTGCCCGGCTAATATTTGTATTTTTAGTAGAGATGGGGTTTCACCACGTTGGCCAGAATGGTCTCGAACTCCTCACCTCGTGATCCACACACCTCAGCCTCTCAATCCTGCTGGGATTACGGGTGTGAGCCACCACGCCCAGCTAGATAGTTTATTTTTGAAGGTGATCTCAGGAAGCAGGAATGATGAAATTGAGATGTTAAGACAGAGAAGTATGAAAGGCAACTTAAAAGTATATTCTCAAGGCCACTGTTATATGTAACAGGCACACAAGGACATAATACCACTTGGATCTCTGAGGAGCTTACAATGGTCATTTCAAAGACACAGGGCCGAGCATTTACCCTCTGGGCTCCTGTTCTCCATTGATTGGAATTGCCTGTGGAGCTTTAACTCCCAAAGGCGCCTAGTGCTTTAGAAAAGGCTCTAGGCAGAGAATCAGAGTGACCCATAGCCGCATCCTTGAGATAAGACATTGTCAACTCACAGGGAGCACCCATCAGAACTATGGCTGAGAGGGAGCCAAGGAGATGTGCAGGGCAGCACAGGTGTCTGCTGGAGCCTTTTCCCAGGGCCTTACTAGACTGAGGAGCATGTGGGTAGAACAGAGGCATCTGCCTTGTGAAATTCCAAAATGATGAAATGCCAGTGGGAAAAGCCTGAGGAAGAAAGAATAGAGTGGCGTTTGCAAGTCATGAATAACACTTGGGTAGCCAACTGATGTACCAGAGAGCAAGGTAGGTATTAGGGGTCAGGGCCTCTGGGAAGGGATGGGAGCCAGGATTGGACAGAGGGAGAGTTTGAACCATGATTCAAGTCCAACAAAGCCGCTGTCCTAACCACAAGAAGTCCTGGAGCACATACAGAGTGGTGTGCTGAGCCTGCTCCTACCAGCTCCTGAGCATCACTTGTTAAATTTTTGTGAATTGGTTGTTAAAACAGCCATTATTAAAGATTAAATTATATAAACCTACAATTACATTTATTTATTGAAAACAAAGTGAATACTCAAAACTCATCCTTCCCTAATTACTACATGAGCAGTAAAGTACACTGTTGAGGTTTTTTTGTTTTTCTTTTTTTAATTGAGACCGGGTCTTGCTATATTGCTCAGTCTGCTCCCGAACTCCTGATCTCAAGCGATCCTCCCACCTGTGCCTCCCAAAGTACTGGGATTACAGGTGTAAGCCACCTCCCCCTGGCCAGTGTTGAGTTTATTTACCACTGGCATAGCTGTATGATGGAAATACTATGTAGTAGTGTACTATTTTGCATCTATTCCCAACTTCACATTTAGTGATACTACTTTGGTAGCTTGAAACCATCTATGGAGGATGTATTTTCACCACAGAAATTAGCAAACACTGCAAATCAGGATGTTTTCCTTAAAGGAGCCCGTTATTAAACATTTACATGCACACTGCTACATGTAGGACTCATTCAGAATTGTCCCAGGGTGGGCTGAATGGTTAAGGTCTCTATGTCCCTACCAGATCCACCATTGGCTATGGACTTTCCAGGGAAGGTGTATTCTTGGGCGAGGGGGCTCTCTGCAGGTGAGGCAAACACAAGGAGTAGACGGCCCAAGACAATCTGCTCACAGCATTGCCAAGAGCTGAGGCGAGTCCTTCCTTTAAGGGACAGTTCTGTATCCTTCACAACTAGCATGGAGTTGTTTATATATATATATCGTCATTGCAGTGCTCTCTTCATAGTATTTTCTTACTCGTTTTAAATACCTGCTACTTCTATAGTTACAGCCATTTTTTTCTAATATTGTTTAGATGTGACTTTTTTCTTAATATTTGTTTTCTTAATTCATTAAGCCTGAAGTTTGTCTCCTTTTTGTCTTTTTAAAGAACCAGCTTTTGACTTTGTTGACCCTACTGTATTTTCTTTACAAGTTTACTAATTTCTGTTCTGATTATTATTTTTTCCTTTATTCTATGTTCTTTGGGCTTATTCTATTCTTTTTCTCACTTCCAAATTGAAAACTTAGCTCATGATTCTTCAATCTTTTTTTGCACATATATATTTCCTGTCTTTTTTTGCACATATATATTTCCCACACATTTTTAGCTACAGTACTTTCAATATCATTAAATTATAAAGTTCTTAATTTCCGTTGTGATTTCTTCTTTGACCCATGAATTATTTTAGAAGTGTGTTAATTTCTAAATGCATGAGGCTTTTTTAGATATCTTTTTGCTATTTTTAATTTAATTTAATTGTGGCCAGAAAACATGGTCTTTTTGATACAAATTCTTTGAAATAGATATACACTTGCTTTGCGGCCTACTCAAAAATACTGCACATTCTTGAGAAGAATGTGTATCTTCTAATTTAGGTGTAGGGCTCTACATTGGACTTTTTAGATTGAGCTTTTTAATTTTTTTCATCCAAGTAGTCTATCTTTTCTGAGTTTGTCTTCATGAGCTATCAATTACTGAGAGTATTACAATCCCCCACTGTGATGCTGAATTTGTTAATTTCTCTTTGCAATCCTGTGAGCTGCTGCTTTGTATATGTATTGAAGCTACGTTACTAGAGGCAAATAAGTTTTGAAATGCTATATATTCTTGGTAAAATATATTTTATAATTATGAAGTGACTCTTTCCTTAAAACTGTTTACCTTAAAATATATTTTCTTCTCCTGTAAGCATTTCTACAGAAGCTTCCTTTTGGTAAATAAGAGGCATATATCTTTTTCCATCATTTTACCTTTCTGTGCTTTCTTAGGTATGTTCCTTGTAAGCTTGCAATATCTGGTTATTTTTATTCAGTCTGACGACATTTATCTTTTAACCTGTGGATCTGCCCCATTTAAAACATTTCAACGACTTATATAATAGAACCTATTTCTGCCATACAATTTTGTGCTTTCTATTGGTCCTGCTTTTCAATGCATCTTTTCTTCTTTTCTACCTTCCTTGGATTGACTAAGGGAAACTTTCCATTGTTTTTTATTCTCTGTTTTAAAAATTATACACTATATTTTTTTCTCCCAGTAGTTATATTTAAACTTGTAACATGTAGTAACTGGAAATTCTAATGTTTTTTCTTTTTTGAGACGGAGTTTCGCTCTTGTTGCCCAGGGCTAGAGTGCAATGGTGCGATCTCGGCTCACCACAACCTCCACCTCACAGGTTCAAGCAATTCTCCTGCCTCAGCCTCCTGAGTAGCTGGGATTACAGGCATGCACCACCACACCTGGCTAATTTTGTATTTTTAGTAGACGGGGTTTCTCCATGTTGGTCAGGTCTCAAACTCCCGACCTCGGGTGATCCACCTGCCTCGGTCTCCCAAAGTGCTGGGATTACAAGGCGTGAGCCACTGAGCCCAGCCAAATTCTAATTTTTTTACGTCTTGTGTCTCCCCCCACAAAAAAAAAACAACTTTTGAGCACTTATACACCAATGATTCTCCACCTGTTCTACATTATATCAGGAAATATTTTAGTGGGGTTCTTTTACCTTGAGAATTAGGCTATTTTATAGTGAGTGTTACTATTTTATAGTGAGTGTTTTCTCATCATTCCTTCTTAAATCGTAGATCTTCATTCTGGGATCAGTTTCCTTCTTTTTGGAAGTGCATCATCAAAAATTCCTTTGTGAATGTTTATTGGTTAGAAATACTCTCCAGTTTGTATTTCTAAAAATGTCTTTATTTCATTTTCATTTTTGCGTGATAGTTTTCCACTTTTACAATTCTAAGTTAACAATTACTTTTCTTTCAGCTTTTAGAAAATGTTTTCCCATTGTCTTCAGACTTCAGGTGATGCTGCTAGGAAGTCAGCTACCAATCCAATTATGCCATTGGAAGTGATCTATCTCTTCTATGTTTGCTTATAAGATTTTCCCATTGTCTTGGTTATTTCAAAGTTTGCCTCTTTGTGTCTATGTGTGGATTTATTTTTCTTTCTTTTGCTCATGGTTTATTGTGCTTCCTACATCTAAGAATTCTTGTCTTTTATCAATTTTGGAAAACTCTCTAATACTATCTTCTAATATTGATTTTCCCCATTGTATGTTTTTGCAATTCCAATTAAATGCACGTTGTACTTTCTTATTCTATTCCATGTCCCTTAATCAATTTTTCTTATTTTCCTTTTTTTCTCTCTGTTCCCTTCTGTCTCCCACTGTCTTAGTCTCTCATTCTCTCTTTCCCTCTACATTCTGGATAACTTCTTCACATCTTTATTCCATTTCACTAATTGTTTTTTCTTGAGACAGAATCTCCCTCTGTCACCCAGGCTGGAGTGCAGTGACTCCATCTCGGCTGACTGCAACCTCTGCCTCCCAAGTTCAACCAATCCTCCCACTTCAGCCTCCCAAGTAGGTGGGATTACAGGCCTGCACCAGCACACCCAGCTAATTTTTGGATTTTTAGTAGAGAAGGGATTTCGCCATGTTGGTCAGGTTGGTATCGAACTCCTGACCTCAAGTGATCTACCCACCTCAGCCTCCCAAAGTCCTTGGATTACAGGTGTGAGCCACTGCGCCCAGCCCATTTCACTAATTTTTAAATCTGTAATGCCTAATCATCAGTTTACCCCATTTTAAACTTGTCTTGACATTCGTTTTAGTTCTTTTTCATTTCTTATAGTTTCTTTTTTCATTTCAGTCAGTTCTTTTTCAAATATGCCTGTCCATTTTATAATCTCTTTTTTTCTCATATTTTGAAACTGGTGTTTAATTTTAGTGAACATGTTGGGATTTTTTTTTTTTAATTTTTACATTTGATTAGTCTAATACCTGAAGCCCTCAAGGGTCTAATAATATTATTTGCTTTTTGTTTTTTGTTTGTTTGTTTTTGTTTTTGTTTGAGACGGAGTGTCGCTCTATCACCCAGGCTGGAGTGCAGTGGCACTATCTTGGCTCACTGCAAGCTCCGCCTCCCAGGTTCACGCCATTCTCCTGCCTCAGCCTCCCGGGTAGCTGGGACTACAGGTGCCTGCCACCATGCCCAGAGAATTTTTTTTGTATTTTGTTTAGTAGAGATGGGGTTTCACCATGTTAGCCAGGATGGTCTCGATCTCCTGACCTCGTGATCCGCCCGCCTCAGCCTCCCTAAGTACTGGGATTACAGGCGTGCGCCACCGTATCCGGCCTGCCTTTTGTTTTAATCAGCTCAGGCTGATATAATAAAATATCATAAACTCAATGGCTTATAAACAACAGAAACATATGTCTCACAGCTCTGGAAGCTATAAACCTAAGATCAGGGTGCCAGCATGGTCAGGTTCTGGTGAGGGTTCTCTTCAGCTTTGCAGGTGGCTAAAGCCTTTTCTTATATCCTCAAATGGTGAAAAAATAGTGATCTAGTTTTCATGTCTCTTCCTATAAGGGCACAAATCCCATTTATGAAAGGTACACTTTCATGACCTTATTACCTCCCAAAGGCCTTATTTCCAAATGCCGTCACCTTGGATGTTATATGTCAACATACAAATTTTGGAAGAGCACATTAAATGTACATGTTAGTCTGTTCTCACACTGCTATAAAGAAATACCAGAGACTGGGTATTTTATGAGAAAAGAGGTTTAACTGGCTCATAGTTCTGCAGGCTGTATAGGAAATGCGGTGGCTTCTGCTTCTGGGGAGGCCTCAGGAAGCTTCCAATCATGGTGGAAAGCAAAGGGGAGCAGGCATCTCACATGGTAGGAGCAGAAGAAAGAGAGGTATGGGGGGAGGTGCTACATGCTTTTAAACAACCAGATCTTGTGAGAACTCACCCACTATCATGAGAACAACACCAAGAGGATGGTGCTGAGCCATACATGGAAAAATCCACCCCCATGATCCAACCACCTCCCACCAGGCCCCACCTCCAACACTGGGGATTACAATTTCACTTGAGATTTGGATGGGGACACAGATCCAAAGCCAGTCTCCCCAAATCTCATGTCTTTCTCACATTGCAAAATACAATCATCCCTTCTCAACTGTCCTTCAAAGTCTTAACTCATTCCAGCATTAACTCAAAAGTCCAACGTCTCATTTGAGACAAGACAAGTCCCTTCCACCTATGAGCCTGTGAAGTCAAAAACAAATTAGTTACTTCCAAGATGCAATAAGGGTACAAGGGTTGAGTAAATATTCCCATTCCAAAAAGGAGAACTCTGACAAAAGAAAGGGGCTATAGGCCCCATGCAAATCTGAAACCCAGCAGGACAGTCACTAAATCTTAAAGCTCCAAAATAATCTCCTTGACTCCATGTTTCACACCCAGTGCACACTGGTATGAGAGGTGGGCTCCCAGGGCCTTGGGCAGCTCTGCCCTTGTGTCTTTGCAGGGTTCAACCCCCATGGCTGCTCTCATGGGCTGGCGTTGAGCACCTGTGGCTTTTCCAGGTGCGGGGTGGAAGCACTTGATGGATCAACTATTCTAGGGTCTAGTGGATGGTGGTCCTCTTCTCACAGCTCCACTAGGCAATGTCCCAGTGGGGACTCTCTGTGGGGCTCCTACCCCACATTTCCCCTTCCCACTGCCCTAATAGAGGTTCTCCATGAGGGCTCCACCCCTGCATTAGGCTTCTCTCTGGACATCCACGCTTTTCCATACATTCTCTTAAATCTAGGCAGAAGCTCCAAACTTCCACTCTTGCATTCCGTGCACCCACAGACTTAACACCACATGGAAGTCACCAAGGCTCATGGCTTGCACCCTCTGAAGCAATGGCCCAAGCTTCACTTGGGCCCCTCTGAGCCACAACTGGAGTTAGAGCTAGAGTGCCTGGGATATGGGGAGCAGTGTCCTGAGACTGCACACAGTAGCAGGCTGCACAGGGTAGCACGTCCCTGGGCCTGGCACACTAAACCATTCTCTTGTCCCAGGCCTTTGGGCCTGTGATGGGAGAGGCTGCCACAAGGTCTCTGAAATGTGAGGTCTCAAAAGTCCTCTTTGAGGCCTTTTCCCCTTTGTCTTGGCTATTGGCACTTGCCTTTTTAGTCTCGCAAATTTCTCTAGCAAATGCTTGCTCCACAGACTGCTTGGATTCATCCCCTGAAAATGGGCTTTTCTTTTCTCTATATGGTCAGTCTGCAAACTTTCCAAACTTTTATGCTCTGCTTCCCCTTTAAATATAAGTTCCAACCTTAGATCATTTATTTGCTCATGCATATGAGCATAGGCTGTTAGAAGCAGCCAGGACAAATATTGAATACTTTACTGCTTAGAAATTTCTTCCACCAGAAGGCTAAATCATCACTCTCCAGGTCGAGGTTTTACAGATCCCTATGGCAGGGGCACAATGCAGCCAAGTTCACAGCTAAGACAACAAAACTGACCTTTGCTCTGGTTCCCAATAAGTTCCTCGTTTTTATGTGACACCTCCTCATCCTGGCCTTCTCTGTCCATATTTCTATCAGCATTTTGATCACTGCCATTTAGCCAGTCTCTAGGAAGTTCCAAACCTTCCCTCATCTTCCTGTTTTCTTCTGAGCCCTCCAAACTCTTCCAACCTCTGCCTGTTACCCAATTCCAAAGTCACTTCCACATGTTCCAGTGTCTTTATAGTAATGCCCTACTCCTTGGTTCCAATTTTCTGTGTTAGTCCATTCTTGCATTACTATAAAGGAATACCTGAGACTGGGTAATTTATGAGAAAAGAGGTTTCATTGGCTCATGGTTCTGCAGGCTGTACAGGAACCATAGCAGCTTCTGCTTCTGGGGAAGCTTCAAGAAGCAGGGCAGAAGGCAAAGGGGGAGAAAAGCATCTCACATGGCCAGAGCAATAGCAAGAAAGAGAGCGGGGACGTGCTACACAGTTTTAAATAACCAGATCTTGTGAGAACTCACTCACTATCATGAGAGCAGCACCAAAGGAATGGTGCTAAACCATTCATGAAGGATCCACCCCCATGATCCAATCACCTCCCACCCAGCCCCACTTCCAACATTGGGGATTCAACGTGAGATTTGATGGGACACAGATCTACACCATATCAATTTGTAACACTTTTTCTGCTGACTCTCACACTGTGGGATATTTCCTAATATATTTGCAATTGTTTATTTAGAGATCTTTTTTTTTTCCTGGACTCATTTTACTGATGGGTTGGTCTTTTTATAATCCACACTTTTACTGATGATGCAGCCCTTAAAGGCTTTATGCAGAGATTTTAGCTCCGACATCTCCGGTTGTAGAAACCAAAGATCTAATCTTCTACCCACAAAACATCAAAACCCTAGTTTATAGGTCATCTATTTATTGAGTACTGTACCCACTTACTTACCACTCTGGCCTCATCTTTCTCTTTTTCTTTTAGTGCCTGGCTTACTTTCTTGTGAATTTAGCTATGCATTTAAATGTGTCATTATGGCCTGAGTTCTCCTAAATGCAGACCATGAGACAAAATCTTATGTGCAGGTAATTTATTTGGGAAATGATCCCAGGGAACAGCAAAAAGACATGAGTGAAGGGGGGAAAAACAATATTAAAATTCATTATCAAGTTAGCCACTGCTCCAGATGACTTATGCTTGATCTTGCTGGGCTCTTATAAAATGCATCACAGATACATCTCCTTGCGTCGCTCATATCTCTTGTGCTTCCTACTAAACTCAATTCGTAAAATAGTTCCATTCTCAGTGGCAGCCAGCAGTAATCTCTAAAAAGCCTTAATACCAGTGGGTTAGAGGACCAAGCTACAGCCTCTTCTGTTGTGCCTGGTGCCTAGAAGGTAACTGATAATGAACATTTTCCTCCTCTATTTTCCATTCCAGATTTTCTTTACCTCTGCCAAGACTTTGGCCAGGCTAGTTTACTTGTCAGGTGGGGCTTGGCCCCTTAGTGGCCTTGTCTCTGTTTAGCCATGACCTCTTCAATTGCCCATTCATTGCTGTTGCTGGTCATGGAAGCACTCCCCTGCATTCTGGCATACTCCTGCCCACCTTGCGCAGCAACAATTGTAGCTCCTCACGATAACCAGGATCAACATCTCCTGCCAGAATAATAACTACTTTCTTTGCCTGCTGGTCTATTGGCATGGGAAGCTCAAAGTGACCAGATGGTAGTTGTACCTTCAAGTTCTTTGGAACTATTGCAGTGATCAGAGCCTCTAATCCAGCAAAGTCCAAGGTTTCAGAGGAAGCACACATTATGAGTGGGTCACTGGGAGTATTGATGAGAGGACCTACTCCTTCTTCTGTTCTGTGGTTCTTGGACCAATATATTTTAGCTATTGACCACACAGCACCACATTAGCCAATAGGTTAGCACACATACCTGAGAAGGTTTTGCCACAAAATATATGTATATACGTGTGTGGGCATGCAGGTTTGTGAGTGTATGTATAAGCTTCTTATTCCTGGAGGAGGGTCTGTATTTTTCTGCTCAGGCCGAGCTGAAAGCCAACATTGGGTACCAGCATGGAGGCAATGGCGGGACCACGTGGGCAGATCTTGAAGAGCACAACACCACGTCATGGGGCATAAGCCTTAGGTGATATTTACACAGGAAATCAAGCAAGTGGAGTTTTCTCTCCTCTAGCAAGAGGGAATGACCTGCTTCTACCAGCCCAGATGTTCAAGGAAATCTAGGGATTCAAAATACTCAGGCTTGTCAGCCCTAACATCCCTATCCAAGACCTCAGGACCTTCTTGTCTTGTATCAGAGCCCTGATTCTGACACGGGAGACCAGTTGAGGCTGTGCCATCAGTCTCCTGGGAAGCTCTGCCACAATCCTTATAATTATTTTCCCCAAACTGTTACATTTTAAACATACTTCAAATCTCAATGCTTTCATTTCCATTTTTGCCTCAGTCTAATCCATCAGATGAGAGAATCTTTTTTTTTTTTTTTTTTTTTTTTTTGAGACGGAGTCTCGCTCTGTCGCCCAGGCCGGACTGCGGACTGCAGTGGCGCAATCTCGGCTCACTGCAAGCTCCGCTTCCCGGGTTCACGCCATTCTCCTGCCTCAGCCTCCCGAGTAGCTGGGACTACAGGTGCCCACCACCGCTCCCGGCTAATTTTTTGTATTTTTAGTAGAGACGGGGTTTCACCTTGTTAGCCAGGATGGTCTCGATCTCCTGACCTCATGATCCACCCGCCTCGGCCTCCCAAAGTGCTGGGATTACAGGCGTGAGCCACTGCGCCCGGCCAAGAGAATCTTATTAATTTTGGTGCCACTGCGTACCAGGATTATCACTCTCAATGTATGCTAGCAATGGAGTCCTTATTGCTGTCTGACTGGAAAGTGATCCAGCCAAAATCCCATCCTGAGGGGCTGTTTTCCAGAGCTACTTCTAGAACTGTCTTAGCACAGGTTGCCCTAAAAGCAGAGAACGAGGGGGTGTAAGAGGAAGTTCATGTTCAAGTAGATTACTGGGTAAATGATCCCAAAAAGCAGCTATATAGAAGGCAGTTGTAGAACATGGAAGGAGGTCATGTAAAATATTGGATGCTTTATTGAGTTGGCCACTCAGAAGGTGAATGGCATCGGATCTTTCCAGGTCCTTTGAAAGAACATGTTATAAAACGCATCTCAGAGCACCTCTGCCTGGTGGCGGCACCGTCTGAAACATAAGGAGCGCCCTCTGGTGGCCACACCGCCTGGGAAGTGAGGAGCGCCTCTGCCCAGCCGCTGTGCAACCCTCCAGGTGTGAAGTGGCAGCCTTGTGTGTGATCTTTCTGCCCTCCTCAAGTTTGCATTTTCCACAGTAAAGTTTACTTTTAAATTAGAAGATTTAAATTGGGGAAGATTAAAAAATGCGTCTCAGAAATATCCTCCTGGGAGATGAAAGGGGACACTCTTTTAGCCACTGGCTTCCATTTTCTATTGGTCAAGGGCGGTGCAGGAGTTTTAACTCACCCACTCAGCTAGAGTGTGCATGTGTGAGAGATGAGAAGTGTCTACAGGTACCCCATGCCATGATGCCAGAGATTCTTCAGGGAGGAAAGCGAGAGATCCACAGGGCATAATCAAGGTGAGGGTACTGCCTGGTTACACTGGCATGAGGCTGGTCTAAGCCTCTTGAAATCGGTTGCTGCAACAGCAGCTGGAACAAACAGTGGGACCAAGGGAATTTGCAGAGATCTCACAAGCAGCATCCATCACAGCTATTCATTGGATATTTTATAGTATTTTAAAGTATTTAAGTCAGGAGTTTTTTTTTTCCTAGAATATGCAGTCTCTCTAAATCTGGAAGGAGAATAACCACACTAGTCTCTGTGCATGTGTCTATGGAGTTGGCTTGAGAAGTCTCACAGTGGGATGGGAAAAGCACCAAATATGTCAAAGCCAGAAGATATTTTTTCTGGTCTTACATTGGCTATATAACCTGAGCAGGTTACTTAGCTTCTGTGAGGCACAGTTTCTCCATCAAAAAGGAAGGGGAATAAGAAAAACTGTGTCACCTCCCTTGTAGGACAGGAATCAAAGATGTAATAAATGCAAGTGTGTTTTATAAACTGAAAAATGCCATACATATATAATTTATGATAATTATAAACATTAAGGCATATTCTTGGTGACCTGGCTGTCCTCTGCACTCCCAGAACAAAACCCACACTGAGACTTGGGCTGTTGATAAGAAAAAAATTGACATGAGATGGATGCTTTCGAGGAGAGAGAAAAAAGTAACCAGATGTGATAGTATTCTTTACAATGAAGCAGACGTGTTCCAGTCACATAAAATGTGACCAGAAGCAAGGTAAATGGAACCCTTGTGCACTGTGATGTGAATATGAGATGGTACAGCCACTGAAGAAAACAGTGTGGAGGCTCCCCAGAAAACTAAAGACAGAACTACCATATGCTCCAGCAATTTTTCTTCTGGGTATATTCCCAAAAGAATGGAAAGCAGGGACTCAAACAGATATACGCACACCCATGTTAATAGTAGCATTATTTACACCAGCCAAAAGGGAAAAGCAACGAAGTGTCTGCTGATGGGTGAATGGATAAACCAAATATGATCTATCCCTACAATGGAATATTATTCAGCCAAAAAAAAAAAAATCCTGATACATGCCACAACATGGATGAACCATGAGGACATTATGCTAAATGAAATAAGCCAGTCACAAAAAGACAAATACTGTACAATTCCACTCATACAAGGTACCTAGACTAGTCAAGTTGATGGAGACAAGAAGTCGGATGGTGGTTGCCAGGGGCTGGGGGCAGGGGGAATGTGGAGTTGATGTTTAATGGGTACAAAGTTTTAGTTTCACAAAATGGAAAGAGTTCTGGAGGTGGATGGTGGTGATTGTTGCACAACAATGTAAATGTACTTAACACTGTTTAAAAATTGTTACGGTGGTAAATTTTATGTGTATTTTACCATAATTTTTAGAAACGTAACCAGGGATTGAAATAATATAGAAGGCAAAGGGGCGATTTTCACAAGAGCACCCACGGCATCAAGGATCAATGGGATCTTTGTCTTCCTAGGCGTTTTGTCCTGGATCTGCGTAAGGCTGGGGGTGTGTGTGCAGGCATCTCCATCCAGTGATGGGGAGCCATACCTCCCCATTTCAAACACACTGCCCAGCTCCTGGGTACGTGTGCCCCATAAGTCCTGCTCCACATACAGAGGCTCAGGACCGCCCAGCTTCTCCTCATCCTTCCGCTGCTGCTTTGCCACCACCAACCTGGTTCCAGGGAGAATGGTAATCCTTTCATCCTGAGCAGGGAAAATGGAACAGAACAACCAAAGGCCCAAAGGCAGACCACTCTAGCTTCTGGCCGTGTTGCTTAGAGCCAGCCTTAACTGTCTTTCCTCCCTTAGCAGGGTTCATGACACATTGCCTGCAGTTACTAAATACCATCAACACCGCCTCCTCCAATGTAGATTACATAGTTGGTTACCGTTCTTGAAAATGGCCTATGATTTACTTTTGGCTTTAATATTCAAGAGCTGAAGGACTTCTTTTTGTTCTTCTAAAATTTGGTTACAATTTGGAGTACTATAGCTAACACCCTAAAGAAAAAAAAGGCATAAACTGCGTTGGCTGTTTTTGTCTCAATAATGCACACTCCTTTTGTAAGTTTGCCTTGAAAGTCTGTTTTTACTGAGATTTGAGATTGCTCTGCTTTTTGTTTTCTAGTGGCAAAAATTATGGGAAATGAAACAAAATCATAAATTCTGTCCCTAGACCTGTGGTAAATTCCCCCAGGCAATTATGTTTGCTGTGGCGAAAACATTAGTAAAATAAAATGCCTGCAACCCTCTTTGTGCTATTTAAATTTCAAATGCATTATAAGTCCCTTGGGAATATGACATTAATTTAGGGCTATAACTAAAATTCCGTATTTTAAAAAACATGTTATTTGCTTCCCTTTGCTTTTTTTATATACTTAATAGTGGATTAAACTTTAGTTATTATGGCAAAGCCTATTGGAAAGTGTACACATGGATTTTACCACAGAATTTGCCGTAGAGCACACAAAGAATCCTTTTCAGGAAACCTGATCTATTCAAACTAGTTTTTCTGATGTTTCCCTACCTGTTATTTATGTTAAAGATCTAAAGTCCTCATCACAGAAGACCTTGCAAGAGGCTTTCTTAGCAGAATGACAATCCCCTAGCATTTTACCTATGATCTCAAAAAGGCATTTCTCTGCCAAGTAGTAAATATTAACCCCCAAAATCTGAATATGATTGTAAAATTGCAGAATGCTGGTACACACATTACTTATATTCCTTTGAGCCTTCCATATTTTGGCCAGTTTGGCCCAAGAAAGTCCTTTTCTTTTTTTTTCCTAGGCATTCATTTCTCAACAGGTGTTCACTGATCATCTACTTTGTGCCAGCACAGTGTGACAGCAGTAAACACATCACACATAGTCTCTGTACTTAGGAAATTCACATCCTAGGCAATTTCAGATTGTGCAAGGACCATGGAAAAAATAAATAAGATCCTACGATAAAAACTTGGAAGGGTTGAGTATGTACTTTGGCTGTGAGTCTCCAGCACTGTCTTCCAGGCAGAGGGAAGGAAAGTGACAATTCCCTGACGTGAAAAAGAACTCACTAATTGTATCTTTTTTTAACTACAGGTTTTTTAAAGCCTTTATTTCCTCACAATTGAATTATTGGGATACAGAAGTTAACATACTTATGGCTATATATAATAGATTGTATATACATACATATATGTATGTGCATATTATGCACATATACACATACACACCTGTGTGTGTGTTGTGTGTAAAGAGAGAGATTCAACTAAAAAGACTGCACCAATTTGTACTCCTAACATCAATGTACAAGAAAGCCTATTGTTTCACCTTTATTTTAATCTCCGTTTAAAAGTCTTGCAAATCTGGTCAATAAAAATCATATCAAATTTCTTTTATCATTCATCATATTAATATAACATTGAAAAATACAGAGAAATTTATGTAACATATATGTAGGTTATAAAACAAAATAACACATGAACTCATGACCCAAGCCAAGGCCTGCATCCCTTAATGGGCTCCTCCTCTATCCCATTCCCTTCGCCTCCTCCTCCTCATGCCACCCCCCAACATAACCTTCATCCTGAATTTTAGGTCGATTCTTTCTGTCTTTTAAAATAATTTTATCACATATGTATGGATAACTGAATAATATCTTGTGATGTTTCTTTTTAGCTTTATAAAAACTGTATCATCCTTAATAAGGTTCTGCAACTTGCAATTTTTACTCAGTATAATGTTTCTAAGAGTCATCTATGTTGTAGCACACAATTGATGTCAACTCATTTTCTCTGCTATACAATAATCCATCATTTCCCTGATGGGTTGTTTCTAGTTTTGGTTAATATGAATCCATATGAACATCTCATAAAAGTCGCTTCGTGTATCAAAAAAGTATTCAAAATAATGCCAAACATTTTTCTAATGTGGCTGCACAATGTCCCGTCTCTCCAGCAATATAGATTTCCCATTTGTTCTCATCCTCTTCAAAACTTTATATGGTAAGAGTTGTTAAATTTTGGCAATCTAGTGGGTATAAAATATCTAACTGTGGTTCTACTTGGTATTTCCTTGATTACTAGTGAGACACAGCATCTCTTCTTATGGTTATATGCCATACATATTTTCTGTTTTGTGAAATACCAGTTCATTTCTTTTGCCTATTTTTCAATTGTGTGGTCATATATTACAGATTTATAGATCATTGCGTATGCACTATACTAATCCTTTGTTGGTGATATGTATTAAAATATGTTCTCCTGAGTGTGGCTTGACTTTAATTTTCTTTATGTCATTTTTTTTTTTTTTTTTTGAGACGGAGTCTCACTCTGTCACCCAGGCTGGAGTCCAGTGGTGCGATCTTGGCTCACTGCAACCTCTGCCTCCCAGGTTCAAGCGATTCTCCTGCCTCAGCCTCCTGAGTAGCTGGGATTACAGGTGCATGCCACCATGCCCGGCTAATTTTTGTATTTTTAGTAGAGACACAGCTTCACCATGTTGGTCAGGCTGGTCTTGAACTCCTAACCTCGTGATCCACTTGCCTCTGCCTCCCAAAGTGCTGGGATTACAGGCATGAGCCACCGTGCCCAGCCTATGTCATTTTTAAAGAAGTCTTCAAAATATAATACATATGAAAGCCCTAAAATTAATCCTATTTCTAATTGGAAAATGTTTAAATTGAAAACTCATTAAGATTATACAAGTAGTTGCCGTTTTAACTGACATGTTTGTTTTCATTTTTTTCTTTTTTCTTTTTTTTTTCTTTAGACAAGGTCTTGCTCTGTTACCCAGGCTGGAGTGCAGTGGAATAATCACAGCTCACTGTAGCCTTGAACTCCTGAGCTCAAGTGATCCTCCCACTTCAGCCTCCAGTGTAACCAGCAGACTTCATGCCCAGCTAATTTATTATTATTATTATTATTATTTTGTAGAGACAGTGTCTCACTTTGTTGCCCAGGCTGGTCTTGAACTCCTGGGGTCAAGTGATCCTCCTGCCTCAGCTTCCCAAAGTGTTGGGATTACAGGCATGAGCCGCTGCACCTGGCTTAAGTTTTTAATTAAATTAGCATGCCAATTCTTTTTTTTTTTTTTTTTTTTTTTTTTTTTTTTTTTTTTTTTTTTTTTTTGGTGATGGAGTCTCGCTCTGTCGCCCAGGCTGGAGTGCAGTGGCTCAGTCTTGGCTCACTGCAATCTCTGCCGCCCGGGTTCACGCCATTCTCCTGCCTCAGCCTCCCGAGTAGCTGGGACTACAGGTGCCTGCCACCACGCCGGGCTAATTTTTTTATATTTTTAGTAGAGACGGGGTTTCACCATGTTAGCCAGGATGGTCTCAATCTCCTGACCTCGTGATCTGCCCGCCTCAGCCTCCCAAAGTGCAACTATTCCAATTACATTGTGTTTAACCAAGTTGAAATTAAGCTTTCATTTGCTGCCCAATTTCTCTAGAGAATCTAAATTTACTAGAACCTCATAGTAATTCACATCTCTGTTACTTATTAGCCAAAATAATGAAGCTGCTTTCAAAAAAATTTACTATTTCCAGTTTCTAGATTATCTTATGAAATCTCTTGCCTGTACAATCTGGAATGGAAGAATATACACTTTGTTGTTAAAAGAACTAGAAACATGTCATGCAAATGGCTTCTCCATATTGAAGGTATGCTGGCATGGGTGAGTGTCCGTCAGGGGAGCCTTCCCCCATTCTCCCAGGTGGAATCTGTTGCTCTTCCTTCTGTAGTCCCGTAGCTGTGTGTGTGTAGAACTTGCATTGCAATGTACTTTTGTTTACATGTTTGTTCGTCCCCTTTGGCTGACCTCATGCCTTATTTATTTCCAGTTGTCTAATACCTATCTTGGTCCTTATCACATAGGAGATGCTCAATAAATATTGGCTGATTGATCAACTCATTGGATGGTTACACTGGTTGATGTTAAAGTGGGTGGCCTATTTGCTTAGCTTCTGTTCTCCAGAACAGTTAGACCAAGATCAATATATAATCCACTTCAACTGTTGTTGACATGGTCATTCTTTTTTTTTTTTTTTTTTTTCTGAGAGAGAGTCTTGCTCTGTAGCCCAGGCTGAAGTGCAGTGGTGTGATCTTGGCTCACTGCAACCTCCACCTCCCAGGTTCAAGTGATTCTCCTTCCTTAGCCTCCCGAGTAGCTGGAATTACAGGCACCCACCACCACACTTGGCTGACTTTTGTATTTTTGGTAGAGACAGGGTTTCGCCCTGTTGCCCAGGCTGGTCTTGAACTCCTGGGCTCAAGCAATCCGCCTGCCTTGGCCTCCCAAAGTGCTGGGATTACAGGCGTGAGTCACCACTCCTGGCCAAAATGGTCATTCTTTTATATCTCTCAATCTAGATAATTTTTGGAGGACCCAAACACCACATAGGAGATAAGAAAGGGGGAATTTTAAAGGATCATCCCCACTTCCTAAAGCTAAGTTATTCTAGCAATTTAATAAATTGGATTAGGGTAGGAAACATGGAGTCCAAGTCCAGCTCTTCCCCTGAACACCTGCTTAGGGCTTTAGTTCTCTACAAAACTAACCAGGGTTAGAATCATTCATTAGGCAACCACATTGCACAGTGGAAAAACAGGGGTTTTTGGAGTCAGGTGGATCTGGCATTGAGGGCAAAATATCAGTTTCTAGCTTAACAACCTAGGGCACATTATTTAAATTCACTGATTGTCAGTTTTCTACGGGAAATACAATATCTGCCTTGCAATGTTGCTAAATGAGACAAAATGTATGAAGCGCATGCCACTGTGCTTAGCACACAGTAGAGTCTAGACAGGGACTTCCGTGGTGTAAATCACACTCCTGTGCTTATACACAGAGGAAGCTCATCTTTCATCAGTTTTTTTTAGGCAGGGTCTCCCTGTGTTGCCCAGGCTGCAGTGCAGTGGCACAATCACAGCTCACTGCAGCCTTAATCTCAGTGGGCTCAGGTGATCCTCCCACTCACCCTCCTGAGTAGTTGGGACTACAGGCACACACTACCATGCCCAGCTAATTTTTGTATTTTTTTGTAGAGATGGAGTTTCACCATGTTTCCCAGGCTGGTCTCAAACTCCAGAGGTTCAAGTCATCCACTTGCCTCAGCCTCCCAAAATGCTGGGATCACAGGCATGAGCCACTGCCTGGCCATCTTTCAGTTTTTACTTATGCTTTACAATTTCTCTCTCTCTCTCTCTCTCTCTCTCTCTCACACACACACACACACACACACACACACACACACACAGAGTGAAATAGGGAAAAGACAGCAAAAGTCCACCAGGTTTAACAGAGTATTTTCCTATGGTTTTGGTACCATCATTGCCAGAAAAGAAAGGTTATCATAGAGTCCGTGATTTAATGGTTAAATATAAAATTCTTTATGCCTTAAAATCATTAAAGTACTATTTCTCAGGTAATTCTCCCTATGTCCAATAAAATTAAAAGTCACCACATGTTGAGAACTTGGAAATGGGAGTGATTACATTTTTTTTTTTTTTTTTTTTGAGACAGAGTCTCACTCTGTCGACAAGGCTGGAGTGCAGTGGTGCTGTCTTGGCTCACTGCAAGCTCCGCCTCCCGGGCTCATGCCATTCTCCTGCCTCAGCCTCCCGAGTAGCTGGGACTACAGGCGCCCACCACCACGCCTGGCTAATTTTTTTGTATTTTTAGTAGAGACGGTGTTTCACCGTGTTAGCCAGGATGGTCTCGATCTCCTGACCTCGTGATCCGCCCGCCTCAGCCTCCCAAAGTGTTGGGATTACAGGCGTGAGCCACCGCACCTGGCCTGATTACATTATTTAAGCCCTGAACAAAAGTACCATTAAGGTGTAGGCCCATTCCAATAACTTTTAAAGATTATGAAGAATACTTCACACACAGTAAGCAAGGTTATATGATGGCACAATTCAACAGTGGAACCAACTGCTCAACATGTTGTGTTTCTGCTGTACTTTACATGGTAGATCTGGATACTAAAGTTTGTGACTGCTTGGTTTTAAGCAAAAGTCACCTGCTTACAAGGTAATTCACTTTAGAACTGGCTATTCAAATCTGCAGCAGCCTTCAAAAGTGCAGATGGAGAAAACTGATGCTCAAACCATTGTCTCAAATTGGGTTTTGAAACTGGAATAGGGAGCATTTTCTTCACAGATTTTGAGGTAGAGCTAATTCCTGGTTTGCCCAGCAGAGGGCAACAGCCCCCACGGGAAAGTGCAAGAGTGTTCACCCGCTTTAAAAGCCATCTTCCCAGCTACTCGGGAGGCTGAGGCAGGAGAATGGCGTGAACCCGGGAGGCGGAGCTTGCAGTGAGCCGAGATCGCGCCACTGCGCTCTAGCCTGGGCGACAGAGGGAGACTCCGTCTCAAAAAAAAAAAAAAAAAAAGCCAACTTCACCGGAGGTCCACGGAGAGAAAGCGGCGGCCAAGGGGTGGGTGACATCATTCCTGGTCAAGAAGATCACCCAGGGACAAGCATAAAATGGAAATGCGGGTCCCTTGTTAAAAAAGAGAAAAAAAGCGTTTCTTCTGCAGTCTCTCTCAGTTGACCTGTCCAGATGTTTTGTTTGCTATTTAATGTCACACTCCCTCACGCACAGAGATGCTGGCAGGCTGGGGACAGACCCTTAGGGCACCAAGGGCCCGCCCTGTGGTTAGGCGTGCAGAGGGTCATGCCTGGCCCTGCCCCCACCCTGCCCTGCCCGTCTGGTGGAGGGCGGCAGGGGCACCGTGTCGGGCCTCTCAGGATGAAGGGCAGCAGCAGTTCTGAGCAGGAGCAGGAGCAGGAACAGGTGACCCAGACCCAAGTCCGCGAGGTGGGGAGGAGGCAGGAGGCAGGACCGCACAGGAGCCGAGCCTCCAGGCCCTGGGGAACAAGCCCCATTGTCCCGGACTTCACTTACAGAACAAAAGGAAGGATAACTGTGTTGAGAATTTCAAGATGGTGTCCATGGAGCCTTGAAGCCCAAGTTGGGGGGCCCCTAAGAGCGTGGGGCCCTGCCGGCGTACCTCGCCACACACCTGTCCAGAGGGTTGGTTACTCTCTGAGCCTAACCAACGCCAACCAGCTGGTACACCTAAGCCCAGACTGTGCTGTCACCTGCCTGCTTTCTAGTTCCTGGAAGAGAAGGGGTTGTTACACCCCGGGATGCTCACTACCATCAGGAACAGAATCTCCTCTCTGCCTGCTGGCTCTGGCTATATTGATCTCCACCACGTTCCTGGAACACCCAAGCTTGCTCTCCCATAGGGCCCTTAACTGTGTGCTTCCCTGGACTGCTCCTTCCCAGAGACTATGAGGACCCCTCCTTCCCTTCATTCAGATCAGGGACGCTTTCTCCAGCTAAAATAGCAACCCCCTCCAGGCACATCTCACCCTTTAACCAGCTTTATTTTTCCTCATATCGCATATCATCCGTTCCTGATGTCTTGTGTATTTATTTGATTGCTTTTGGTCTATCTGCTCTGACTGGACAGTCTGGCAAGGCACCTTAGCTCATGCCTGTAATCCCAGCATTTTGGGAGGCCAAGGCAAGAGGATCGCTTGAGGCCAGGAGTTCCAGATCAGCCTGGTCAACATAGCAAGATCTTGCCTCTACAAAAATACTACTACTACTAATAATAGACTGTCCATGGGAGCAGGATTTGTGGGGGAGTTTTTTTGTTCATGACTATCTGCAGCTCCTAGAACCACTGCTAGTATGTGTAAACACTCAAATGTTGAAGTGAGAATAAATGTCTTGATAACCTACTGGCTGATGGCAAGGTGCCTACTAATGAGACCAAGGAAGAACCAGGACAGGGTTGCTACCAAGCAGGACTTAAGTAAGTAAGTCACTGAGTGGCTGGTACAGGAAAGAACTCTTTACTTGTTTGCAGATTTGCCCTAATAAAGAATGCCAGCTTCACATAGTATCTTTATATTTCCCATCTCCTAAGCTGTGATATTTTTATAACACCCTTAGAGAGTGACTTAATCATGCCATTTACAGGTAAAATACAGAAAGCCCAGAGAAGTAAAGATCTTACAGAACGTCACACAGCTCATAGTGGCAGAGCCAAAACTACAAGACCCAAGGCTCTTTTGAGTTTTATCCTGTGCTGTTTTCAGAGATCATTCTTTTCTGAACATGTGGTCTGCAACCTGAGCTTGTAGTTTTATATTCAAGGTCAGGAGGCAGCAGAAGAGACCTACTGTCTCTAGCAACTCTACTTAGTGGCCCAAGACCTTGGGAGTTTACTCAGCTTGTTTCCAGAGATCAGTCCGCTTTGCTTTGGTTTCAGTTCAGGGTTAGCATATCAATAATTCTTTATTAATAAGGCCAAGCATATAATGTTTCTTAGCAGTTGCATATCGAATATGGAGAGAAAACATAGGGAGTGTACTATGTATTGTGAAACATTGCACCAGACAAGCATATTCTAAGCCATGTGATTCTAAGCATTTGCTTCCTAAATGATCGTTGATCTCTGGCCGCTGAAGAGTTCATTGTCTATCTGTGAACAAGTCACTTGTTCCAGCCCATTACCGCAGCTAATTAGCCACAACTACATTTCACGTAAGGGTTGCCTTTGTGTTGAACTTTAATATTCAGCAGGAGAATAGACACTGCATCCCTTTAATTGTGTTTTCCTAATTAAATTCCAAATTCTAATTGTTTCTTCCCCTTGAAATGAAGATCTTAGATTTTATCGTCAAGTTCCTATGCTCAAGTTTTATTTTAACTGTTTTTAAAACCTTGCCACAACTAAGTAACCAAGTAGACTTTGCACCACAGATAACTTTTGGATACATGATTATCTAATAGTAGATGTATAATGATTACAAAAGGGACAAGAATAATACACTTCAGGGTCACTAGACAAAATGAAATGTATCCTCTCCTTGTCATGAACCACTGTTTCTCATTTCCTAATCTCTAAAATGGAAGAAATTCCATCTGACTTTTATTGACTTAAAAGGAGATTAAGAAGATTAATTTAACACTGTTAGAAAAAACAAAAATATTATAGTATACATTTTGGCAAGCAAAAGTACCATGTTAATAATATTATTATTTACAACATAGTTGCTTTATAACAGATTGGTAAAAATGAGAGGATTTGTAGAACACAGAATTTTGAAACTAGGAGAGACTCCAAAGGCGATCTGGTTCAAATTCATTTTACAGAAGCATAAACAAAAATTCAGAAATAACAAATTTTCAGTTTGAAATACCTATTTTAAAGTAATTTCTACAATGAAGTCTTTGACATAATAAAATTCTATAATAAATTAAATTTAAAGAGGGAATGAAGCTTACTATTTAACTTATTTAGAATACATGACAATAGTGAGACAGCTAATATTTCTTTCAGAGGCTCCAAAGTATTTAAAGCAGTTTCTTTACTCTTCATAGATAAAGTTTTCCAGATCCTTCTGATTACCTGATTGCCCTTGATATATTTCAATTTACCAATGTCTTTCTCAAAATTACTAAACTTAAATTCTCAATTCTATTCTCACCACTTTAGGGAACTATGGGTTTATCACCTTTTGCTTGCTTGAAACCCAGGTGAATTTAATTAATGCAAACCAAATCACACCCATTTTTTGAACACCTGCAAAAACTAAAACCCCTAAGCCTCTTCTATGTAAACTGCCTTAAAATCAGGGGACATCTGTCCTTTTTGACTGCTCAGTATCCATTTCTTCTTCTGCAACTGAGAAACAGTTTGGCTTTGGAAAATTACCACTCTCTCCACTGGAGATGGAGATGGAGAAACTGCTCATGCACATGGTATGTCTTACTCTGGCCAAGAGTCGGTTAAGTGACTGAAGCCAGACCAACCAACTGCTCACTCTTTCTCTTTCTGGCATCCTGACCCAGGAGGAAGTACTAGTAGGAGCTCATTGATTCCAGTGCGGTCCTAAAAAGAAAGTCAGTCACTTCTAGTTTCCTAGATGTTCAAAGTTATTCTGGTTTTGGAACTTCCAAATTTTGGTTCTTCAGCCTTTTCTTTGATTCTGTGAACAACTCTGTATCCTCCCAGTAAAATCCTTCTTTTGCCTTTTGTTAAAGCCAGTTTCTGTTGTTATTAAGTAAAATCTATACCTGGTACAACTGGCCTGATATTTTCTGGTATATTTGTTTTCTTGTCTGTTTTCTGCCTCTCACCCTTTTCTATCAGGAAAGGGATCTTGTCTGCCCTGTTTGTTGCTGGAACTCCAGAATCAAGAATTGTGTCTGTAACATGGGCAGTTCTCAAGAAATATATGTTGAATGAATGACTGATACCCAATTCCCTAAATAATACAGTTATCATCTGGGCCCAGTGGCTCATGCCTACAATCCCAACACTCAGAGGCTGAGGAGGGGGATTGCCTGAGCCCAGGAGTTCAAGACCAGCCTGGGTAACAAGTCAAGACCCTGACTCTATGAAAAAAAAAAATTTAATAATAGTAATAATAATCCAGTTGTCAATGCCAAGTACCTAGGGATGATAAATTAAATAAATAAGATTTCTTAATCTACTCATTTAAGAACACAAAGTCAGAAAAGGGGGAAAAGTCTTACAGAGGTATTTAAAATCTGATCCTCATTAACTAAGTGCAAGTAATATTTCCTGCCCAATTAGCCTCAAAGTTGAGCAGGTGGGCCATGGGTGGAGAGGCCCTTGTGACAGAGTTGATGGTTCAGCTCATTCTTCCTCAGAGCAAGTAAATCTCTGGAGAGGGGATATAGCTGCTGTGGTCACAGTAATGCCTCCCACACCACTCACCTCCCAGTCCAGCAAGCCAGGGACAAAAGTAACTGAGTGGAAATGATCCATATAAATATGACTTTGCATTTCTGTACCTGCTATCAAATCCAGGGTGGATTTAATGTGGACCTAAAACTAATCTCCATTAAAAGGAGTGAAGATAAACAATAAGGAGGAGAAGAGTTGTGCTGATAGGATGCTCATGACCAGTGTTTGCTGACAACAGATAACTGGGTGAATATTGAAGACATAAGAACAATAAGATGCGCACAGACTCTTCCCCTTCTCCCTCATATGAGATAAACAAAATGTTAATTATTGGGGCTATGGAGGCCTTAGTAAACTGCAGAGATGATCTTGAGTAAAGACTTGTATTACAGAAGAAGTGCCAGTTGTGTCTTACATCACAAGCCCCAACAGAGATGCTCATTAATAATAGCTGATGGGAAGTGACCGTCTACTGCATATCAGGCATGGGCTGTGCTAAGTGATTTGCACACATTTTCTTATGTGATTGTACAGTCCCCCGGGACAGGTACTACTTTGGTCTTCCATTTAACCAATTAGGAAGGTGAGGCTTAGAGGGTTAGGCAACTTGCTGAAGGCCATACAGCTGGCAAGATTTCCACTGGATAACAAGAGATGCTCACCTGCAGAGAGAATTACCTAAAAGGGGAAACTTGAGAGCAGATGGGACTGCTGGAAAAGATCCCTTCACGACTGACAAGCGGCCACCTGAACTTTTCAGTGTTGCTGCAATGGGTGGGTCTTTCTCTGGCCTCCCTGAGCTGCTCGCCTTCCCCACCTCACCACAGGTAATGCTTTCTCTCTCTTTCTCTCCTTTCCCTTTCCTATCTTTTCTGTTACTCAGGGCGACTGTCTTGCCCAGAGACCACATGGTGAAACTCCTGGTAGGAGGTCCCCGAAACAAACGAAAAAAACTGGATGAAGTTTCCCTCTCTTCTTGTTTTATGTCCTTGGGAGCTTGACCTGGTGCATTCGTGGTTAAGTCATAGCCTTCGTTCAGATTTACTGGTTTCACCTGGGAGTTAACCTTTGGTAAAGTTTAAAAATCAGAAATATTGGCAGTTTGGCATGGTTAAAATTGGGTAATAAGAGATCTAAAAACTTTTTTTTTCTTTAAAAAGCGCGATGGTTAAAGGTCAACTTAATTAAAAGTGGATCGAGCCCTCTCAAAATCTAAGGTTCTGTTCTGTTCTGCACTGCATTAACTGATGGTTTTGACTTTTGGGGGTATCAGAAATTACTTCGCATTATGAGAGAGCTTTGGTGTCTAATAACTATGTAGGAAATATAGTTTTGGGGATAGCTAATGGCAGTTATGGGGGGATACTCGGCTCTTTGCATGTTTGGATCAGAGAAGCATCCTCTTGGTCACCTGGAAGTTATGGAAAGGTCTCCACTCCCCCCACCCCCAACTGAGAGATAAGACTCCCATGGGGGATGGGCTAATCACAGAATGGGCTGATGGGCTTTGGGTTGCTTTGCAATGAAATGCACGGTCAAATCATGGGATTGTTGTTCTGTAGCATTTCTCTTTGAGGGATCCAGGATTCGGTATTAAAATGGAACCCTTAATTTTGGGGCTCTGTTTTCGCATTCCAATTGTGCCTGCTAATTAGACCATAGAAACTGCATGCTTTCCTGGCCCTGTTCCTCCAAGGGCTCCACCCTGAAGCCAGTAATCCAATTAAGAAACTGGCAAATGAAAAATCTTACAAGCACTGGATCTTCTGTCTGTGTATTTATGTGTGTTGTGTGTGTAGTAAGAAAGAGCTTTGATTAATTGGTTTAAAAATAATAAGTGCTTAAATCAAATATTTTGTCAGAAAAGTAAAAAGTGTAATGCCTTTTAGTTCATGTGACTTAAGTAATCTTTGGGAAATAAGAAAAGTTTTACATGCAGAGTGTATAAGGGAAGCGAAATGTGTTTTTGGTAAAAGATTATAACATGCCATGGGAATGTGGATTTTTTTTCTTTTGCCTAGATTAAAGGGTTAAAGAATTGTTTTAAGTTAGATAAGATAAAGCTGAAGGTTTGAGCACATTGTGGAAGGTTTGCGAAAAATTAATCTTGTAAAATAAATTCTGTGTGTGAACATACAGGCTGAAGTTAAAGGGGTATTATTCAGCTTTTCCATAAATTGAACATTGGAATAAAAGCACAATGGGTTTTTCATAGAGCACTGATCTTCTCTTTCACAAAAATTTGAAAAGGGGTACAAAAGGTTTATGGTGTCTTACCTTATGGTCAAACCGATTAAGATTGGATAGATTTGTCTATAAGGTTTTATTAAGAACTGGTTTTGAAATCAATAGCACACTAATGCAAGGATGAGATTTGGCTTTCTCTCTTGAACAAGATTTTCATGTAATATCAAAAAAAAAGAAAGATTTTTGTTTGCCTTTTGAATAAACTGTAGAAAAAAGAAGGGAAAGAAAAGAGACATAAAACTTGAAAGCTGTCTTCCCTCTATTAATGACTAAAGTTTTTTGCCTTTGAAAAAATTTTAAGTTATCGTTTTGGCTAAATGAATGTCTTACGGTAACCTGAAATTCTACTTTAAAATATAAAGCATTTAAACATTTGAGATTTGACAAACTTTCCAAAATCAAATTATAAATTATGTCTTTGGGGGATCTGGCAAGATGGCTGAATAGGAACAGCTCTGGTCTGCAGCTCCCAGCAAGACCAACACAGAAGGCGGGTGATTTCTGCATTTCCAACTGAGGTACCCAGTTCATCTCATTGGGACTGGTTAGGCAGTGGGTGCAGCCCACAGAGGGCAAGCAGAAGCAGGGTGGGGCATTGCCTCACCCGGAAAGGGCAAGGATGGGGGACTCCCTTTCCCAGCCAAGGGAAGTTGTGAGGGACTGTGTTATCCAGCCAGATACTATGCTTCTCCCATGATATCTGCAATCTGCAGACCAGGAGATTCCCTTGTGTGCCTATACCACCAGGGCCCTGAGTTTCAAGCACAAAAGTGGGCGGCTGTTCAGGCAGACACCGAGCTGGCTGCAGTTTTCTTTTTCATACCCCAGTGGTGCCTGGAACCCCAGCAAGACAGAACCATTCACTCCCCTGGAAAGGGGGCTGAAGCCAGGGAGCCAACTGGTCTCGTTTGGCGGGTCCCACCCCCACGGAGCCCAGCAAGCTAAGAACCACTGGCTTGAAATTCTTGCTGCCAGAACAGTAGTCTGAAGTCAACCTGAGACAATTGAGCGTGGTGGGGAGAGGGACGTCCACAATTACTGAGACTTGAGTAGGTGGTTTTCCCCTCACAGTGTTAAGGACTGGGTGGAACTCAACACAGCACAGCAAAGCAGCTGTGGCCAGACTTCCTCTCTAGATTCCTCTTCACTGGGAAGGGCATCTCTGAAAGAAAGGCAGCAGCCCCAGTCAGGAGCTTATAGATAAAACTCCCATCTCCCTGGGACAGAGTACCTGGGGGAAGGGGTGGCTGTGGGCGCAACTTCACCAGACTTAAACATTTCTGCCTGCCGGCTCTGAAGAGAGCAGTGGATCCTGACAAAGAGGGTTCTCCAAGCACAGTGCTCGAGCTCTGCTAAGGGACAGACTGCCTCCTTAAGTGGGTCCCTGACCCCTGTGCCTCCTGACTGGGAGATACCTCCCAACATGGGTCGACAGACACCTCATACAGGAGAGCTCAGGCTCGCATCTGGCAGGTGCCTCTGGGACAAAGCTTCCAGGGGCAGAAGTAGGTAGCAATCTTTGCTGTTCTGCAGCCTCCGCTAGTGATACCCAGGCAAATAGGTTCTGGAGTGGACCTCTAGCAAACTCCAGCAGACCTGCAGCAGAGAGGTCTGACTGTTAGAAGGAAAACTAACAAACAGAAAGCAATAACATCAACATCAACAAAAAAGACCTCCACACACAGAAAACCCATCCAAAGGTCATCAGCCTCAAAGACCAAACGTAGATAAATCCACGAAGATGAGGAAAAAACAGCACAAAAATGCTGAAAATTCCAAAAACCAGAATGCCTCTTCTCCTCCAAATGATTGCAACTCCTCTCCAGCAAAGGCACAAAACTGGAGAGAGAATGAATTTGATGAACTGATGGAAGTAGGCTTCAGAAAGTGAGTAATAACAAACTCCTCTGAGCTAAAGGAGAATGTTCTAACCCAATGCAAGGAAGCTAAGAATCTTAAAAAAGGTTAGATGAATTGCTAACCAAAATAACCAGTTTAGAGAAGAACATAAATGACCTGACGAAGCTGCAAAACAGAGCATGAGAACTTCGTGAAGCATACACAAATATCAGTAGTCAAATCAAGTGGAAAAAAGGATATCAGATTGAAGATCAGCTTGATGAAATAAAGCATGAAGACAAGATTAGAGAAAAAATTGCAAAGGAATGAACAAAGCCTCCAAGAAATATGGGACTATGTGAACAGGTCAAATTTATGTCTGATTGGTTTACCTGAAAGTAACAGAGGGAATGGAACCAAGTTGGAAAACACTCTTCAGGATATTATCCACAAGAACTTCCCCAACCTAGCAAGACAGACCAACATTCAACTTCAGGAAATACAGAGAACACCACTAAGATACTCCTCGAGAAGAGCATCCCCAAGACACATAATTGTCAGATTCACCAAGATTGAAATGAAGAAAAAAATGTTAAGGGCAGCCAGAAAGAAAGATCGGGTTATGCACAAAGGGAAGCCCATCAGACTAACAGTGGATCTCTCTGCTGAAACCCTACAAGCCAGAAGAGAGTGGAGGCCAATATTCAACATTCTTTTTTTTTTTTTTTTTTTGAGACAGAGTCTCGCTGTGTCACCAGGCTGGACTGCAGTGACACAATCTCGGCTCATTGCAACCTCCACCTCCCAGGTTCAAGCGATTCTTCTGCCTCAGCCTCTCACGTAGCTGGGACTACAGGTGCATGCCACCACGCCCAGCTTATTTTTGTATTTTTAGTAGAGATGGGGTTTCACCATCCTGGCCAGGATACCCTTGATCTCTTGACCTCATGATCCGCCCACCTCAACCTCACAAAGTGCTGGGATTAAGGTGTGAGCCATCACGCCCAGCCTCAACATTCTTAAAGAAAAGAATTTTCAACCCAGAATTTCATATCCAGCCAAACTAAGCTTCATAAGCAAAGGAGAAGTAAAATCCTTTACAGACAAGTAAATGCAGAGAGATTTTGTCACCACCAGGCCTGCCTTACCAGAGCTCCTGAAGGAAGCACTAAATGTGGGGGGGAAAAAAAAAACTGGCACCAGCCACTGCAAAAACATACCAAATTGCAAAGACCATTGACATCATAAAGAAACTGCATCAACTAATGGTCAAAATAACCAACTAGCATCATAATGACAGGATCATATTCACAAATAACAATGTTAACCTTAAATGTAAGCAGGCTAAATGCCCCCAATTAAAAGATACAGACTGGCAAATTAAATAGAGTCAAGACCCATCAGTGTGCTGTATTCAGGAGACCCATCTCAGGTGCGAAGACACATATAGGCTCAAAATAAAGGGATGGAGGAATATTTGCCAAGCAAATGGAAAGCAAAAGGAAAAAAGCAGGCATTGGGCTGGGCACAGTGGCTCATGCCTATAATCCCAGCACTTTGGGATGCCAAGGCGGGCAGATCACAAGGTCAGGAGATCGAGACCATCCAGGCTAACACAGAGAAACCCCATCTCTACTAAAAATACAAAAAATTAGCCAGGCGTGGTGGCATGCACCTGTAGTTCCAGCTACTTGGGAGGCTGAGGCAGGAGAATCGCTTGAACCTGGGAGGCAGAGGTTGCAGTGAGCCGAGATCGCACTACTGCACTCCAGTCTAGGTGACAGAGTAAGACTGTCTCAAAAAAAAAAAAAAAAAAAAAAAGCAGGGGTTGCAATCCTAGTCTCTGATAAAATACTTTAAACCAACAAAGATCAAAAAAGACAAAAGAGACAAAGAAGTGCATTGCATAATGGTAAAGGGATCAATGCAACAAGAAGAGCTAACTGTCCTAAATATATATGCACCCAATACAGCAGGACCCAGATTCATAAAACAAGTTCTTAGAGACCTACAAAGAGATTTAGACTTCCACACAGTAATAGTGGGAAACTTTAACACCCCACTGTCAACAAGACAGATCAATGAGACAGAAAATTAACAGGGATATTCAGAACTTGAACTCAGCTCTGGACCAAGTGGACCTAACAGACATCTACAGAACTCTCCACCCCAAATCAACAGAATATACATTCTTCTCAGCACCACATCACTCTTATTGTAAAATCGACCACATAATTGGAACTAAAACACTCATCAGCAAATGCAAAAGAATGGAAATCCTAACAGTCTCTCAGACCACAGTGCAATCAAATTAGAACTCAGGATTAAGAAACTGACTCAAAACTTTGCAACTACATGGAAACTGAACAACCTGCTCCTGAATGACTACTTGGTAAATAATGAAATTAAGGCAGAAATAAATAAGTTCTTTGAAACCAATGAGAACAAAGACACAACATACCAGAATCTCTGGGACACAGCTAAAGCAGTGTTTAGAGGGAAATTTATAGCACTAAATGCCCACATCAGAAAGAGGGAAAGATCTAAAATTGACACCCTAACATCACAATTCAAATAACTAGAGAAGCAAGAGCAAACAAATTCAAAAACTAGCAGAAGACAAGAAATAACTAAGCTCAGAGCAGAACTGAGGGAAATAGAGACATAAAAAACCCTTCAAAAAACCAATGAATCCAGGAGCTGATTTTTTTAAAAGATCAACAAAATAGATAGACTGCTAGCCAGACTAATAAAGAAGAAAAGAAAGAAGAATCAAATAGACACAATAAAAAATGATACAGGGGATATCACCACTGATCCCACAGAAATACAAACTACCATTAGAGAATACTATAAACACCTCTACGCAAATAAACTAGAAATTCTAAAAGAAATGGGTACATTCCTGGACACATACACCCTCCCAAGACTAAACCAGGAAGAAGTCGAATCCCTGAATACACCAATAACAAGTTCTGAAATTGAAGCAGTAATTAATAGCCTACCAACCAAAAAAAAAAAAAAAAAAAACCCAGGACCAGATGGATTCACAGTTGAATTCTACCAGAGGCAAAAAGAGGAGCTGGTACCATTCCTTCTGAAACTATTCCAAACAATAGAAAAAGAGGGACTCCTCCCTAACTCATTTTATGAGGCCAGCATCATCCTAATACCAAAACCTGGCAGAGACACAACAAAAAAAGAAAATTTCAGGCCAATATCCATGATGAACATCGATGCAAAAATCCTCAGTAAAATACTGGCAAACCAAATCCAGCAGCACATCAGAAAGTTTATCCATCACAATCAAGTCGGCTTCATCCCTAGGATGCAAGTCTGGTTCAACATACATAAATCAATAAACATAATCCATCACATAAACACAACCAATGACAAAAACCACGTGATTATCTCAATAGATGCAGAAAAGGCCTTTGATAAAATTCAACACCCTTCATGCTAAAAACTCTCAATAAACTAGGTATTGATGGAATGTATCTCAAAATAAGAAGAGTTATTTACGACAAGCCCACAGCCAATACCGTACTGAATGGGAAAAGCTGGAAGCATTTGGCTGGCAAGATAGCCGAATAGGAACAGCTGCGGTCTGCAGCTCCCAGCGAGATCAACACAGAAGGCAGGTGATTTCTGCATTTCCAACTGAGGTACGCGGTTCATCTCACTGGGACTGGTCGGACAGCAGGTGCAGCCCATGGAGGGCAAGCCGAAGCAGGGTGGGGCATTGCCTCACTCGGGAAGTGAAGCGGTCAGGGAATTTTCTCCCCTACCCAAGGGAAGCCATGAGGGACTGAGCCAGAGGAACCATGCATTCTGCCCCAGATACTGCACTTTTCCAGTGGTCTTCGTAACCTGCAGACCAGGAGATTCCCTCTGGTGCCTACCCCACCAGGGCCCTGGGTTTCAAGCACAATACTGGGAGGCCATCTGGGCAGACATCAAACTAGCTTCAGGGTTTTCTTTTTGCCATACCCCAGTGGTGCCTGGAACTCCAGAGAGACAGAACTGTTCACTCCCCTGGAAAGGGGTGCTGAAGCCAGGGAGCCAAGTGATGCGGCTTGGCAGGTCCCACCCCCACAGAGCCCAGCAAACGAAGATCCACTGGCTTGAAATTCTTGCTCCCAGTGGAGCAGCAGTCTGAGATCCACCTGGGATGCTCGAGCTTGGTGTGGGGAGGGGTGTCCGCCATTGCTGAGGCTTGAGTAGGCGGTTTTACCCTCACAGTGTAAACAAAGCCATTGGGAAGTTTGAACTGGGCCGAGCTCACTGCTGCTCAGCAAGGCCACTGTGGCCAGACTGCTAGACTTCTCCTCTCTGGACAGGGCATCTCTGAAAAAAAGGCAGCAGCCCCAGTGAGGGACTTACAGATAAAACCCCCATCTCCCTGGGACAGAGCACCTGAGGGAAGGGGTGGCTGTGGGCACAGCTTCAGCAGACTTAAACGTCCCTGCATGATGGCTCTGAAGAGGGCGGCGGACCTCCCAGCACAGCGTTCGAGCTCTGCTAATGGTCAGACTGCCTCCTCAAGTGGGTCCCTGGCCCCCGTGTATCCTGAATGGGAGACACCTCCCAGTAGGGGCCGACAGACACCTCATACAGGAGAGCTCAGGCTGGCATCTGGCAGGTGCCCCTCTGGGATGAAGCTTCCAGAGGAAAGAACAGGCAGCAATCTTTGCTGTTCTGCAGCCTCTGCTGGTGATACCCAGGAAAACAGGGTCTGGAGTGGACCTCCAGCAAACTCCAGCAGACCTGCAGCAGAGGGACCTGACTGTTAGAAGAAAAACTAACAAACAGAAAGGAATAGCACAACCACTCAAAGACCCCATTCAAAGATAACCAACATCAAAGACCAAAGTAGATGAATCCACAAAGATGTTGAGAAACCAGAGCAAAAAGGCTGAAAATTCCAAAAATCAGAATGCCTCTTCTCCTCCAAAGGATCACAACTCCCCAGCAACAGAACAAAACTGGATGGAGAATGAGTTTGAAGAATTTACAGAAGTAGGCTTCAGAAGGTGGGTAATAACAAACTACTCCCAGCTAAAGGAGCATGATCTAACCCAATGCAAGGGAGCTAAGAACCTTGAAAAAAGGTTAGATGAATTGCTAACTAGAAAACCAGTTTAGAGAAGAACATAAATGACCTGATGGAGCTGAAAAACACAGTACAAGAACTTCGTGAAGCATACACAAGTATAAATAGCCGAATTGATCAAGCGGAAAAAAAGGATGTCGGAGATTGAAGATCAACTTAATGAAATAAAGCGAGATTGAAATAAAGATTAGAGAAAAAAGAATAAGAAGGAATGAACAAAACCTCCAAGAAATATGGGACTATGTAAAAAGACCAAATCTACATTTGATAGGTGTACCTGAAAATGACAGGGAGAATGGAACCAAGTTGGAAAACACTCTTCAGGATATTATCCAGGAGAACTTCCCCAACCTAGCAAGACAGGACAACATTCAAGTACAGGGAATACAGAGAACACCACAGAGATATTCCTCAAGAAGAGCAACCCCAAGACACATAATCATCAGATTTACCAAGGTTGAAATGAAGGAAAAAATATTAAGGGCAGCCAGAGAGAAAGGTCAGGTTACCCACAAAGGGAAACCCATCAGACTAACAGCAGATCTCTCTGCAGAAACCCTACAAGCCAGAAGAGAGTGGGGACCAATATCCAACATTCTTAAAGGAAATAATTTTCAACCCAGAATTTCATATCCAGCCAAATTAAGCTTCATAAGCGAAGGAGAAATAAAATCCTTTACAGACAAGCAAATGCTAAGAGATTTTATCACCACCAGGCCTGCCTTACAAGAGCTCCTGAAGGAAGCACTAAACATGGAAAGAAAACCTAGAGGAGATGGATAAATTCCTGGAAATATACAACCTTCCTAGATTAAACCAGGAAGAAATTAAAACTCTGAATAGACCAGTAATAAGCAGCAAGATTGAAATAGTAATTTAAAAAAGAAAATGCCAACAAGAAAAATTCCAGGACCAGACAAGTTCACAGTTGAATTCTGTGAGACATTCAAAGAAGAATTGTACCAATCTATTGAGACTATTTCAAAAAATAGAGAAAGAGGCAACCCTCCCTACATCATTCTATGAAGCCAGTATCACCCTAATACTAAAACCAGAAAGGCGCATCACAAAAAAAGAAAATTACAGACGAATATCCTCAATGAACATGGTTGCAAAAATCCTCAACAAATTACTAGCTAATGGAATCCAACAGCATACAAAAAAGATAATCTACCATGATCAAGTGGGTTTCATACTAGGGATGCAAGATGGTTTAACATACGCAAGTCAGTAAATGTGATACACCACATAAACAGGATTAAAAACAAAAATAACATGATCATCTCAATAGACACAGAAAAAGCATTTGACAAAATCCAGCATCCCTCAGCAAAATCAGCATAGAAAGGAGATACTTTAAGATAATAAAAGCCATCTATGACAATCCCACAGCCAACATTACACTGAATGGGGACAAGTTGAAAGCATTCCCTCTGAGAACTGGAACAAGTCAAGGATGCCCACTTTCACCACTTCTATTCAACGTAGTACTGGAAGTCCTAGCCAGAGCAATTAGACAAGAGAAAGAAATAAAGGGCATCCAAATCAGTAAAGAGGAAGTCAAACTGTTGCTGTTCACCATTGATATAATGGTATACCTAGAAAACCTTAAAGCCTCATCCTAAAAGCTCCTAGAACTGATAAATGAATTCAGCAAACTGACAAATGAATTCAGGATACAAACTCAATATACACAAATCAGTAGCACTGCTATACACCAACAGCAACCAAGCTGAGAATCAAATCAAGAACTCAAGCCCTTTTACAATAGCTGCAAAGCAAACAAACAAACAAAAAACACTTAGGAGTATATTACACCTAACCAAGGAAGTGAAAGACCCCTACAAAGAAAACTGCAAAATATTGCCGAAAAAAATCACAGATGACACAAACAAATGGAAACACATGCCATGCTCATGGATGGGTAGAATCAGTATTGTGAAAATGACCACACTGCTAAAAGCAATCTACAAATTCAATGCAATTCCCATCAAAATACCACCATCATTCTTCACAGAACTAGAAAAAACAATTCTAAAATTCATATAGAACCAAAAAAGAGTTCTCATAGCCAAAGCAAGGCTAAGCAAAAGAACACATCTTGAGGCAGCACATTACCTGACTTCAAACTATGTTATAAGGCTATAGTCACCAAAACAGCATGGTGCTGGTATGAAAATAGGCTCCTAGACCAATGGAACAGAATAGAGAACCCAGAAATAAAGCCATATACCTAGAGCAAACTGATCTTCAACAACGCAAACAAAAACGTAAAGTGGAGAAAGGACACCCTATTCAACAAATGGTGCTGGGATAATTGGCAAGCCACATGCAGAAGAATGAAACAGGATCCTCATCTCTCACCTTATATAAAAATCAACTCAAGATGGATCAAAGACTTAAATCTAAGACCTGAAACCATAAAAATTCTAGAACATCGGAAAAACCCTTCTAGACACTGGCTTAGGCAAAGATTTTATAACCACGAACCCAAAAGCAAATGCAATAAAACCAGAGATAAATAGCTGGGACTTAATTAAACTAAAAGCTTCTGCACAGTAAAAGCAATAATCAGCAGATAAACAGACAACCCACAGAGTGGGAGAAAATCTTCACAAACTATCCATCTGACAAAGGAATAATATCCAGAATCTATGAGGAACTCAAACAAATTAGCAAGAAAAAAACAAATAATCCCATTCAAAAAGTGGGCTAAAGACATAAATAGACAATTTGTAATTCTCAAATATACAAATAGCCAACAAACATAAGAAAAAATGCTCATCATCACTAATCATCAGGGAGATGCAAATAAAAACCATAATGTGATACCACATTACTCCTGCAAGAATGGCCATAATAAAAAAAAATAGATGTTGGTATGGATGTGGTGAAAAGGAAACACTGGTATACTGCTGGTGGGAATGTAAACTAGTACAAACCACTATGGAAAACAGTGTGGAGACTCCTTAAAGAACTAAAAGTAGAACTACCATTTGATCCAGCAATGCCACTACTCGGTACCTACCCAGAGGAAAGAAGTCATTATATGAAAAAGATACTTGCACACACACATTTATAGCAGCAGAAATAGCAATTGCAAAACTATGGCATCAGCCCAAATGCCCATCAACGTATGAATGGATAAAGAAAATTTGGTACAAACGTACTATGGAATACTAAATGGCCTTAAAAATGAATGAAATAATGGCATTCGCAGCAACCTGGATGAAGTTGGAGACCATTATTCTAAGTGAAGTAACTCAGGAATGGAAAACTAAACATCGTATGCTCTCACTCATAAGTGGGAGCTAAGCTATGAGGATGCAAAGGCATAAGAATGATTCAATGCACTTTGGGGACTTGGGGGAATGGATGGGAGGTGAGAGAGGGATGAAAGACTACACATTGGGTGCAGGGTACACTGATGGGGCAAAGGGTGCACCAAAACCTCAGAAATCACAACTAAATAACTTACATGTGTAACCAAACATCACCTTTTCCCCAAAAGACTACTGAAATAATTCTTAAAAATAAATTAAGCAAAAGGAGAGAAATGACATTAATGTTCAGAGATAGACAATCTATTCATGGATATACGAAGGCTGGAAATTATAGGAAATCCACATAAAATCAACATTGCCAGTCCTAAAACAAAACTTGATGACTCCATTTTCTTAAGAGCAAAATTGCAAAAAGTGACATTAACATCCATCCTAGAAGAATGAAACACACATCACCTTTACTGATATGAGTAAATGATTTGTTTTTCCTTGAAAGAGCATCCAAGTGTATTGTGTTCATTTTCACACTGATCAAAGACAGCACCCTTCTGTCAACAGGCATCTGCAGTTTTCAGGACCTGGCAGAAATTCTATCTTCTACCTTGAAAGGTCAGGCACAAAAGTAGAGGCAGCTGCTGGGCCCCTCTGCTCAGAGCCAAGTGACTGGGACCATCAGTGGGAAGGACGGAGGCTTGAGCTTCCCTGGTCTCCCAGATCGTCTGGGTGCTGCCCTCCCCCACTGCAGCTGCGCCCTGTGACGTCCCCGATTCCACGAGGTGCCGTCCTGGCCCGTGCGGGACCCTATGGCCAGAGGGTGCCCAACGCGCGATGTTTTGCGCGCTTTGTAGCGTCCTGAGGCCAGCGGTCACCAAGCTCAGCACACTTGGCCCTGGCGGCAGACTTCGGAAACTTCTGGAAGCCGAATTTCTAACAGAAGGTCCCGACCATTGCACTGCTGTCATGGGCAACTACCTGAGCTGGTTCCTGGGCTGGCCCCGGGCCAGGGTGCTGCCCCGAGCCCAGAAGCACCGGTCCCCGCCGTCCAGGCCGGTCCTCCGCTCCCAGGTCCAGGACTGCTGCAAAGTTGTCTACGTCCATGGGAAGCTCGGGGTCCACACCCGGCCCCTCCCCACCGCTCCTCTCGATTGGGACTATGCCCGCACCCGGAGAGAGATGGTCCCAGAGGCCTGGAGGTGCTTTCCCAACAGGCCACCACTCCTAAGCCTCACTGGGCCAGACTTTTCCGAGGCTCACCTGGCCTACATGAAGCGGTGGTTTTGGAAGGCCCAGCACCCCCGGCCCGTCCGCAGCCTGGTGACCGTGAAAATCGCCCCGCCGGAGCACAGAGGGGAGCCTATACAAGCGTCACCTCCCCCCGAGGCCCCAGCTCCCTGGGCCAGGGAGACCATGCTGAAGGCCCTCAGCCAGTGCAACAAGGGAAAAAGGAAATTCGACGAGCCACTCTGGTTTGAGGTCCCAGACACCAAGCAGAGCCCGTCACCCAGGCTATCAGCTTTCAAGCCCATCAGGAGACATGGAGAGGTCCCCGCCTTTGTGTCCAGGCCTGGGCCGCTCAGAAGAAGCCTCCACTCTCCAGCAACAGTGTCTTCCAGGAGAAGCAGCCTTCCCCCAGCCTGCCGCCTGCCCTACTGCAGGAAGTACCCCGGCCACAGCCCAGTCGCAGAGCCACCGCGGGAGCTCTAGGAGTAGGTGCAGCAATGTCTCGGTGTCTTGGGCCTTCCTACACACCAAGGAGCCGCCCAGGGGAGACCATGCACCTCTGAGCACACCCAGCCTGCAGCCGGGCTCAGAGTCAGGGCCCTGCCACCTTCTCCTGAGCCTCCAGACTGCTTCATCCTATTGACCCTTGTTTTACCCCCACAGGAGCCACTGACCCCACCAGGGCACTTCCCACTGTCTCAGCTTACTGCTCTGCCAGCCCCAGCCCCGCCTCTCCTTAGCCTGTGGAGCCCACACTGAAGAGACCGTGTTGCTCTCAAAACCCTTACCTTTCCCCTGCCCGCCCACTTCTGCCTTCTCCCTGGGAACAGGAGGCAGGCATATCCTCCACTTTCACAGTTTGCATAAATATTTATTCTTCTTTTAAATAATAGTGTCTTTATTATTTTAAAAAAATAGAAATGAGTTGCATATCCTTAAGCAAGAAAAGAAAGAAAAATTCAAGGCACACCTCACACTATATACAAAAACTAACGCAAGTAGATCATAAACTTAAATGTAAAACCTAGAAATTTATATCTTTTAGAAAAAAAGAAAGGAAAAACTTTTGTGACTTTGGGTTATGCAAATATTTTTTAGAAAACAGAGTCTATAAAAGAAAAAATATGAATTGGACATGGTTAAAATTAAGAACATAACCTCTTCAAAATGTTCTGTTAGGAGAATGTGAAACAAGCCCTAGACTGTGGGGGAAATTGCCTATCATTTAGCTCATAAAAGAATTATAGAAAGAAAAGGCAGAGTGGCTGGCAAGATGGCTGAATAGGAACAGCTCCAGTCTGCAGCTCCCAGTGAGATCAACACAGAAGGCAGGTGGTTTCTGCATTTCCAACTGAGGTACCTGCTCATCTCACTGGGACTGGTTAGGTAGTAGGTGCACACCATGGAGGGCTAGATGAAGCAGGGTAGGGCATCACCTCACCCGGGAAGTGCAGGGGTCAGGGAACACCCTCCCATAGCCAAGGGAAGCCCTGAGGGACTGTGCCATGGGGGACAATGCATTCCGGCCCAGATACTACACTTTTCCCAACCCACAGACCAGGAGATTACCTCAGGAGCCTACACCACCAGGGCCCTGGGTTTCAAGGACAAAACTGGGTGGCCATTTTGGCAGACACCGAGCTAGCTGGAGAAGGTTTTTGTTCATACCCCAGTGGCGCCAAAAACACCAGTGAAACAGAACTGTTCACTCCCCTGGAAAGGGGGCTGAAGCCAGGGAGCCAAGTGGTCTAGCTCAGCGGATCCCACCCCCGCGGAGCCCAGCAAGCTAAGATCCACTGGCTGGAAATTCTCGCTGCCAGCACAGCACTCTGAAGTTGACCTGGGATGCTCAAGCTTGGTTGGAGGAGAGGCGTTGGCCATTACTGAGGCTTGAGTAGGTGGTTTTCCCCTCACAATGTAAACAAAGCTGCCAGGAAGTACCAACTGGACGGAGCCCACTGCAGCTCAGCAAAGCTGCTATAGCCAGACTGCCTCTCTACATTCCTCCTCTTTGGCCAGGACATCTCTGAAAGAAAGGCAGCAGCCCCAGTCAGGGGCTTATAGACAAGACTCCCATCTTCCTGGGACAGAGCACCTCAGGGAAGGGGCAGCTATGGGTGTAGCTTCTGCAGAATTAAACGTTCCTGTCTGCCGGCTCTGAAGACAGCAGCAGATCTCCCAGCACAGCACTCGAGCTCTGCTAAGGGACAGACTGATTCTCAAGTGGGTCCCTGACCCCCATGCCTCCTGACTGGGAGACACCTCCCAGCAGGGGCTGACAGACACCTCATACAGGAGAGCTTAGGCTGGCATCTCAGGGGTGCCCCTCTGGGACGAAGCTTCCAGAGGAAGGAACAGGCAGCAATCTTTGCTGTTTTGCAGCCTCTGCTGGTGATACCCAGGCAAACGAGGTCTGGAGTAAACTCCAGCAGACCTGCAGCAGAGGGGCCTGACTGTTAGAAGGAAAACTAACAAACATAAAGGAATAGCATCAACATCAACAAAAAGGACGTCCACACAAAACCCCATCTGAAGGTCACCAACATCAAAGACCAAAGATAGATAAATCCACAAAAATGAGGAAAAACCAGTGCAACAAGGCTGAAAATTTCAAAAACCAGAATGCCTCTTCTCCTCCAAAGGATCAAAACTCCTCGCCAGCAAGGGAACAAAACTGGATGGAGAATGATTTTGATGAATTGACAGAAGTAGGCTTCAGAAGGTGGGTAATAACAAACTCCTCCAAGCTAAAGAAGCATGTTCTGACCCAATGCAAGGAAGCTAAGAACCTTGAAAAAAGGTTAGACGAATTGCTAACTAGTATAACCAGTTTAAAAAAAAAAACATAAATGACCTGATGGACCTGAAAAACACAGTACGAGAACAAATACACATGTATTAATAGTCAAATTGATCAAGCATAAAAAGAATATCGCAGATTGAAGATCAACTTAATAAAATAAAGCATGAAGACAAGATTAGAGAAAAAAAATGGAAAAGGAATGAACAAACCCTCCAGGAAATGTGAGACTATGTGAAAAGACCAAAACTACGTTTGACTGGTGTACCTGAAAGTGGAACCAAGCTGGAAAACACTCTTCAGGATATTATCCAGGAGAACTTCCCCAACCTAGCAAGACACACCAACATTCAACTTCAGGAAATACAGAGAACACCACTAATATACTCCTCGAGAAGAGCAACTCCAAGACACATAATCATCAGATTCACCAAGGTTGAAATGAAGGGAAAAATGTTAAGGGCAGCCAGAAAGAAACGTCAGGTTATGCACAAAGGGAAGCCCATCAGACTAACAGCAGATCTCTCTTCAGAAACCCTACAAGCCAGAAGAGAGTGGGGGCCAAGGGGGCCAATATTCAACATTCTTTTTTTTTTTTTTTTTTTGAGATGGAGTCTCGCTCTGTCGCCCAGGCTGGAGTGCAGTGGTGCGATCTTGGCTCACTGCAACCTCTGCCTCCCGGATTCAAGCGATTTTCCTGCCTCAGCCTCTCACATAGCTGGGACTACAGGTGTGTGCCCCATGCCCAGCTAATTTTTGTATTTTTAGTAGACATGGGGTTTCACCATGCTGGCCAGGATAGTCTCAATCTCTTGACTTCGGGATCTGCCCACCTCAACCTCAAAAAGTGCTAGGATTACAGGTGTGAGCCATCGTGCCCAGCCTCAACATTCTTAAAGAAAAGAATTTTCACCCAGAATTTCATATCCAGCCAAACTAAGCTTCATAAGCAAAGGAGAAATAAAATCCTTTACAGACAAGCAAATGCAGGGAGGCTTTGTCACCACCAGGCCTGCCTTACAAGAGCTCCCGAAGGAAGCACTAAATATGGAAGGGAAAAACTGGTACCAGCCACTGCAAAAATATACCAAATTGTAAAGACCATCGACACCATGAAGAAACTTCATCAACTAACAGGCAAAATAACCAGCTAGTGTCATAATGACAAGATCAAATTCACACATAACTATATTAACATTAGATGCAAATGGGCTAAATGCCCCAATTAAAAGACACATACTGGCAAATTGGATAAAAAGTCAAGACCCATGGGTGTGCTGTACTCAGGAGACACATCTCATGTGCAAAGACACACACAGGCTCAAAAAAAAGGGATGGAGGAATATTTACCAAGCAAATGGAAAGCAAAAAAAAAAAAAAAAAAAGCAGGGGTTGGGCTGGGCACAGTGGCTCACACCTGTAATCCCAGCACTTAGGAAAGCTGAGGTGGGCAGATCACGAGGTCAGGAGATGAAGCCCATCCTGGCTAACACAGTGAAACCCTGTCTCTACTAAAAATACAAAAAATTAGCCAGGCGTGGTGGCACACATGTGTAGTCCCAGCTACTCAGGAGGCTGAGGCAGGAGAATTGCTTGAACTGGGAGGCAGAGGTTGCAGTGAGCCAAGATCGCAACACTGCACTCCAGCCTAGGTGACAGAGCAAGACTCCATCTCAAGAAAAAAGGAGGGGTTGCAATCTTAGTCTCTGATAAAACAGACTTTAAACCAACAAAGATCAAAAAGACAAAGAAGTACATTATATAATGGTAAAGGGATCAATGCAACAAGAAGAGCTAACTATCCTAAACATATATGCACCCAACACAGAAGCACCCAAGTGCTTAGAAACCTACAAAGAGACTTAGACTCCTACACAATAATAGTGAGGAACTTTAACACCCCACTGTCAATATTAAACAGATCAATGAGACAGAAAATTAACAAGGATAATCAGAACTTGAACTCGGCTCTGGACAAAGTGGACCTAATAGACATCTACAGAACTCTCCACCCCAAGTCAACAGAATATACATTCTTCTCAGCACTACATCACTCTTATTCTAAAATCGACCACACAATTGGAACTAAAATACTCCTCAGCAAATGCAAAAGAACAGAAATCATAAAAAACAGCCTCAGACCACAGTGCAATCAAATTAGAACTCAGGATTAAGAAACTGACTCAAAACTTCACAACTACATGGAAACTGAACAACCTGCTCCTGAGTGACTACTTGGTAAATAATGAAGTTAAGGCAAAAATAAATAAGTTCTTTGAAACCAATGAGAACAAAGACACAACGTACCAGAATCTCTGGGACACAGCTAAAGCCGTGTTTTGAGGAAAATTTATAGCACTAAATGCCCACATCAGAAAGCGGAAAAGATCTAAAATAGATACCCTAACATCAAAATTAAACAAACTAGAGAAGCAAGAGCAAACAAATTCAAAAGCTGGCAGAAGACAAGCAATAACTAAGATCAGAGCAAAACTGAAGGAGATAAAAACCCTTCAAAAAATCAATGAATCTGGGAGTGGGTTTTTTGAAAAGATTAACAAAATAGAGAGACTACTAGCCAGACTAATGAAAGAGAAAAGAGATATCATCAAATATACACAATAAAAACTGATAAGGGGGTTATCACCACTGATCCCACAGAAATACAAACTACCATCAGAGAATACTATAAACACCTCTATGCAAATAAACCAGAAAATCTAGAAGGGATAAATTCCTGGATACATATGCCCTCCCAAGACTAAAACAGGAAGAATTCAAATCCCTGAATAGACTAATAACAAGTTCTGAAATTGAGGCAGTAATTAATAGCCTACCAACCAGAAAAAAAAAAAAAAAAAAAAAACCCAGGACCAGACGGATTCACAGTTGAATTCTATGAAAGGTACAAAGAGGAGCTGGTACCATTCCTTCTGAAACTATTCCAAACAATAGAAAAAGAGGGACTCCTCTCTAACTCATTTTAGGAGGCCAGCATCATCCTGATTCCAAAACCTAATACAGACACAACAAAAAAAGAAAATTTCAGGACAATATTCCTGGTGAACACCAATGCAAAAATCCTCAATAAAATACTGGCAAACCAAATCCACCAGCACATCGAAAAGCATATCCACCACGATCAAGTCGGCTTCATCCCTGGGATGAAAGTCTGGTTCAACATATGCAAATCAATAAACGTAATCCATCACATAAACAGAATTGATGACCAAACCATATGATTATCTCAATAGATGCAGAAAGGCCTTTGATAAAATTCAACACCCCTTCATGCTAAAAACTCTCAATAAACTAGGTATTGATGGAACATATCTCAAAATAATAAGAGCTATTTATGACAAACCCCTAGCCAATATCACACTGAATGGGCAAAAGCTGGAAGCATTCCCTTAGAAAACTGGCACAAGACAAGGATGCCCTCTCTCACCACTCCTATTCAGCATAGTATTGGAAGTTCTGACCAGGGCAATCAGGAAAGAGAAAGAAATAAAAGGTATTCAAATATGAATAGAGGAAGTCAAATTGTCTCTGTTTGCAGACAATATGATTGTATATTTAGAAAACCCCATCATCTCAGCCCAAAAACTCCTTAAGCTGATAAACAACTTACAAGAGCTGTGACAGACTTCTTCAAGGAGAACTACAAACCACTGCTCAAAGAAATAAGAGAGGACACAAACAAATGGAAAAAAATTCCATGCTCATGGATAGGGAGAATCAATATCATGAAAATGGCCATACTGCCCAAAATAATTTATAGATTCAATGCTATCCCCATCAAGCTACCATTGGCTTTCTTCACAGAACTATAAAAAAAACTACTTTAAGTTTCATATGGAACCAAAAAGGAGCCCGTATAGCCAAGACAATCCTAAGCAAAAAGAAGAAAGCTGGAGGCATCACACTACCTGACTTCAAACTCTACTACAAGGCTACAGTAACCAAAACAACATAGTACTGGTACCAAAGCAGATATACAGACCAATTGAACAGAACAGAGGCCTCAGAAATAACACCACACATCTACAACCATCTGATCTTCAACAAGTCTGACAAAAACAAGAAGTGGGCAAAGGATTCCCTATTTAATAAATGGTGCTGGGAAAACAGGCTAGCCATATGCAGAAAACAGAAACAGGACCCCTTCCTTACACGTTATACAAAAATTAACTCAAGATGGAGTAAAGACTGAAATGTAAAACCTAAAACCATAAAAACCCTAGAAGAAAACCTAGGCAGTACCATTCAGGACATAGGCATGGGCAAAGACTTCATGACTAAAAACACCAAAAGCAATGGCAACAAAAGCCAAAATTGACAAATGAGATCTAATTAAACTAAAGAGCTTCTGCTCAGCAAAAGGAACTATCATCAGAGTGAAAAGGCAACCTACAGAATGGAAGAAAATTTTTGCAGTCTATCCATCTGACAAAGGGCTAATATCCAGAATCTACAAGAAACTTAAACAAATTTACAAGAAAAAAACAACCCCATCAAAAAGAGGGTGAAGGATATGAATAGATGCTTCTCAAAAAAAGAAAAAAAACATTTGTGCAGTCAACAAACATATGAAAAAATGCTCATCATCACTGGTCATTAAAGAAATGCAAATCAAAACCACAATGAGATACCATCTCATGCCAGTTAGAATGGTGATCATTAAAAAGTCAGGAAACAACAGATGCTGGAGAGGATGTGGAGAAATAGGAATGCTTTTACACTGTTGGTGGGAGCGTAAATCAGTTCAACCATTGTGGAAGACAGTGTGGCGATTCCTCAAGGATCTAGAACCAGAAATACCATTTGACCCAGCAATCCCATTACTGGGTATATACCCAAAGGATTATAAATCATTCTACTATAGACATATGCACATGTATGTTTATTGCAGCACTATTTACAATAGCAAAGACTTGGAACCGACACAAATGCCCATCAATGATAGACGGGATAAAGAAAATGTGGCACATATACACCATGAAATACTATGCAGTCATAAAAAAGGATGAGTTCGTGTCCTTTGCAGGGACATAGATGAAGCTGGAAACCATCATCCTCAGCAAACTAACACAGGAACAGAAAACCAAACACTGCATGCTCTCACTCATAAGTGGGAGTTGAACAGTGAGAACACACGGACACAGGGAGGGGAACATCACACACTGGGGCCTGTCAGGGGCTGTGGGGCAAGGGGAGGGAGAGCATTAGGACAAATACCTACTGCATGCCAGTCTTAAAACCTAGATGATGGGTTGATAGGTGCAGCAAACCACCATGGCACATGCATACCTATGTAACAAACCTGCACGTTCTGCACGTGTATCCCAGAACTTAAAGTAAAATAAAATAAAAAGTTAAAAAAATAAATAAATTTTGTCTTTTCTGACCTAATTAATCTTTTAGGTATTAAGTCCCCTAAAGTACAAAAATGACATATTTGGCTTATTTGGCATAAAATCATACAGGAAACATTGTCAAATATGAAACACATTGTCAAATATGAAATGGTGTTAGGCTTTCTTTGGGGTTTATTTGTATACATATGTTATTGGTGTGTGTTCCAAAATTATGGGAAATTCCTATAATTCTGATATGACTTAGTGTATGTTATTAATGTTTATGATTGTTATGTAAAATTGTTGTATGCCACAGAAGTAACCAAAATTTTCTTGTCATTTATGGCTTTAATATTGGCTGTCCTAACTAAGATGTTGTGTCATCCACAATTGTTGTCTTGTTGTAATCCTCTTTAAAAGGTGGTTTAAAGACAGCTATAGGACTTTAACAGGTGTTCTTAAAGCAGGTTTCTGATAACTTTGGAGATTGTGACATTAGAATGGAGAAAAAATTTTGAGGACTCTCATGGAGAACTGTAATACTTATGAATGTCAAGCAGAACAGGAGTTAACTGTATGGACTGAACTAATGGAAGACTGAAGTAATCTTTTTGACTTTTTGCTTTAAACATTGCTGATCCTTCATTTTGTTTTTCAGAGTCAAGGAAACTTTTCTTTTGAGCTACTGACAGCTTTTAACAATTGAGTGAACAAAATTTGGAGCATATTTCTTTCTCTCTACCTGATTTCTTCAGAATTTAAAAACTATTTGTGAGTATTCTTAACTTATGGCAATATAGTTAATTACATAAATGCAGTAAGAATCTGTTTTCTTTTGCAATAGGACACAATTGAGAAACTGGTTATTTTAGCAAGGCTTTTCCTGTAATGGTATACTTTTCTTTAAGGAATCAAATTTGACTTATAGAGCCAATAAAAGCCCCTTGGGAAACCTGGCCTCATACCTGTCTGCACAGTCTCTGTACAGGCTTTCTGAACTGTGATAATTAAAGAATGTCACTTTCTGAAAGTCCCAGTTATCTTGGGACCTCAAGGGCAGAGGAATTTATGGTACAAACCCATGGTGGGCTCAGCTTTAAAAAAAAAAAAGTCTTTGGCCAGGCGCAGTGGCTCATACCTGTAATCCCAGCACTTTGGGAGGCTGAGGCAGGCAGATCACCTGAGATAAGGAGCTTGAGACCAGCCTGCCCAACATGGCAAAACCCCATCTCTACTAAAAATACAAAAAAGTAGCCAGGCATGGTGGTGGGTGCCTGTAATCCCACCTACGGGAGGCTGAGGCAGAAGAATCACTTGAACCCGAGAGGCAGAGGTTGCAGTGAGCCAAGACTGCACCTCTCAAAAAAAAGTCTTTATTTGTGATTCCTCTATGGAACAAAGTTTCATCAAAGCTCATTTTAAAAGCTTATGTGAAAAATACTTATTTTTGCTGCACTTTATGCAAATAATCAGGCCAAGAATAATAAAGCAAACTGATCTTACCATGATGTGTCTTTAGTAAAAATGGAAGACTGAAGAGAGGAAAAATACATTTCAAAAACTATGGTACACTTGTTATTAGATTATAGTCCAATTAGTTGTTTTTCTGTTTTTTCCTGCAATTTAGACTGACCCTGCTTATTCCTGTGAACCAATCAGTGATCTCTGACTGCAGCTCAGAATAAGTCAGAGGAATTGGTAATGTAACAATTTGGATTAGTGTTCTAATTCTGGACACATATTGGAATCAGCTAGCAACCCCATATCAGCTTGGTTCCAACAGTTACCCAGTTCATGGAAAGCGTTCTTATTTAGTTTATTTGGGATAGTTTTACTTATTTTGCTTTACTCTTGTAAAATATATTGCTGCTGTACTCTATGTGTAGGAATGCAGGATAAGCTTACTCAATGTTCTCTTAAATTGGACAATTATTAATCTTCCAGATATCACCTTTTGTTGGAACTCAAGAGTTATGAGCAGTCCTCGACACACCCATGCTTTCTGACTGAGCTCCTCTCTACCCTGAATACAAGAGACCCTAACAGTTAGGCAGGAATATCATCACCCCTCTCTAGCCTGAAGAAGTTACAGAAGATGGATCTTTGTCTCTCTACAACCCTTAGGATTAAGGGTTCCCTTGTAAAAGGGAAGGGGGAAATATGTCAGAGGTGTTTGAACCACAGTGATGCCATTTTGAATAGCGGCTGGGTAAAATGAGGCTGAGACCTACTGGGCTGCATTCTCAGGAGGTTAGGCATTCTAAGTCACAGGATGAGATAGGCTGGCACAAGGTAAGCTCACAAAGGCCTTGCTGATAAAACAGACTGTGGTAAAGAAGCCGGCCAAAACCCACCAAAACTAAGATGGTAATGAAAGACCTCTGGTCGTCCTCACTGCTCATTATACGCTAATTATAATGCATTAGCTTGCTAAAAGACACTCCCACCAGTGCCATAACAATTTACAAATGCCATAAGTTACCCGATATGGTCTAAAAGGTTGGGGGAACCCTTAGTTCCAGGAATTGTCCACCCTTTTCTGTGAACACTCATGAATAATCCACTCCTTGTTTAGCATTTAATCAAGAAATAACCATAAAAAATAGCCAACCAGCAGCCCCCAAGGCTGCTCTTCCTGTGGAGTAGCCATTCTTTTATTCCTTTAATTTCTTAATATGCTCGTTTTCACTTTAAAATAATAATAATAATAAATGTAAGCTTCATGAGGACAGCATCTTCAGCATCTTGGACAGGGTCTGCTACATACAGTATTCCCAAAACTATTTGTTAAATGAATTTACCACTCGTCCTCTTAAAATCCTCTCTTCCTTGGTTTCCATGGTATTACACGGTCCTGATTTCCATCTTCATTAATTTCCTAGGGGCACTGTAACAAATTGCCACAAACTAAGTGGCTTAGAACAACAGATGTTTATTCTCTTACAGTTCTGGAGGTCAAAAGTTTGAAATCGAGGTGTCAACAGGACCATCTTCCCCCTGAAGGCTCTAGGGACAACCTGTTCTTTGATTCTTCCTGCTTCTAGTAGCCCCAGGCATTTTTTGACTTGTGGCTACATCACTCTAATCTGTCCCTGTCTTCACATCACCTTCTCTTCTGTGCATATCTAATCTCCCTCTTGCCTCTCTTTTATAAGGATATTTGTCATGGCATTTAGGGTCTATCCATAAATCCAGGATAGTTTCCTCATCTTAAAATCCTTACCTTAATCACATCTACAAACACCCATTTTCAAATAAGGTAACATGCTAGGAATTTGGACCTATCTTTGGAAGCTATTATCAACCTACTACATTCTTCTACCTCATTGACCACTCACCTACCTCCTTTATAGACTTCTTTCCCTGGACTTTAAATGTTGGTGCCCCCCAGAATTCTGTTTACCCTCATTTCTTTTCTCATTCATTCTATACTCTATCCATGGTAAATCTCATTTTCTCTCAACATCTCAATTACTGACTCTAAATTAATGATTTTCAAATCAATATCTCTAGATCAGAAATTTTTTCTGAACACTAAACCCATATAACCAATGATTAGAAAACTGTTATTGGATGTCTCACAGAAACTCAAAAGTCAAATGTTCACAATTGAGCCTTCTGTCTTCTCCCATATCTGCCCTATTCCTGTGTGCCTGTGTTGGTTAAAGGCACCGGTTACCAGCTGCTTAATCCTGAACCTTGACTCCTCCTCTCCCTCAAACCTCTCATTTACTTAGTCCTAAGTCCTGGTGATTCCACCTGCAAAATAGCTCTCCAGGCTGTCCAGATGCAACACCTACCATATTTACTGAGGCCAACCTCCTACCACATCTCCCCACCTACAGTCTTTGACCATTCCAACTAGTTCTCAAACTACAGACATTATGATTTTTCTAAAAGCACAGTCTAAACTTATTACCCTTGCCTAAAACCTTTCAGTCACCCCTGAGGGCATATGGGCTTTTCAAAATATGGCTGCCACATCTCCCATCCACATGCTGCTCTACAATGTCATCTTGCCTCTCCCCCTTCAAGAGGTGGAGGCTAATTCACCTTCTCTTGGATCTGGGCTGCCTCTGAATGGCTTCCACATAACCAAGAGGATGCATCAGAACCAAAATGGTGCTCTGTGGCTTCCAAGGCTAGGGTGGAAGGAGCCTTGCAGCTTCAGCCTGGGTCTCTTGATATGCCCAGTCTCCAGACACTTACTCTCAGAACCCAGCAGCACACTGGAAGGAGCCCAAGTCAACCTCATGGAGAGGCCACATGGTGGTCTCCAGTTCACAGCCCAGTTGATTCCAACCTTCAGGCCATCCCAGCCCAGGCGCCAGACAGGTGAGTAAAGAAGTCTTCAATGACCCTGTCCCCAGCCACTTGAGCCATGTCCAGGCATTCAGTCTTTGAGCTAAGGCTCCACATACCATATAGCAGGGACAAGCCATCCCTGCTGTGCCTGTCAGAATTCCTGACTCACAGAATCTGCACATAACAAAATGGTCACTGTTTGGTGCCACTAAGTTTGGGGTAGTTTATTACATGGCAATAGATAACTGGGACATCCTCTGAGGTCTTCAAGGTAAAAATCCAAACTTGTTAATCTCTCCTTCATGACCCCATCCCTACACTTGCCATTTCTCCCACTTGAGTCCATCCTCTGACTCTACTAACCACTGTCAGTTCACTAAACAAGGCTTTTTCCTTCACACTCAGCCCTTTCAATGCTTATGGCCACCCTGATGGACTGATACATTCACTCTCAGCTTCTATCTCCCTTCCACTTCCACAACAGTGTCTGGGATGGCAAAACACTCCTGCTCTCAGCCTTCTTTGAAGCTAAGGGAGCCATTTGTGACACTGTCTAACCTATGGAAGTTAAGCCATGGTCTCCTGGAAGCTTCTAGGACAGGTTTTGCTTTCCTGATTAAAAGGATAGACATTGCTAATAACTTTCCCTGATTTTTTGTGCCTTGAACACAGAAATGATAATCAGGCAGGAATAGCTATCTTGTGACTGTAAGGAACATGCCAAGAGAATCACAGGGGTGCCACCTGACATCAGTCTGCTGAACCAAGGCCAGAAGTTTCCTATGCCACCTCCTTAGGATGTGATGAAAATAGACTCCAACTGCTTCAAGTCACTTTTAATCAATGCGATATACTCTTACTTGAATCTAAAATCATTCCTAACTGTCAGGATGTTATTCCTTTTGCCTGGACACTTGGTCCCTTCCCTCTTTATCCTGTTAGCTGTTTCTGATGCTTCATGTCCAAGCTTAGATTTCAGCTCCTCCAGGAAGGCTAAATTCTGGATCTGACCCTGGCCTAAGTCTGGATCTGACCATCCTCCCAGGAATTTCCCCAAGGCATCTTGTATTTTCCTTACTGTCGCATTTACCGCACTTTTTCTTTTCTCATATATCCCACATTACTCTGTGTTATGGGATGAATTGGGTTCCCCCAACGTTCGTATGTTGAAGTCCTAACCCTCAGTACCTCAGAATGTGGCTGTATTTGGAGATAGGACCTCTGGAGAGGTGATTTAGGTTAAATGAAGCCATATGGGTTTGCCCTAATCCAATGTGACTGGTGTCCTTATAAGAAAAAGGGATTCAGGCTGGGCACAGTGGCTCATGCCTGTAATCCCAGCACTTTGGGAAGCCAAGGACGGTGGATCACTTGAGGTCAGGAGTTTGAGACCAGCCTGGCCAACATGGTAAAACCCCATCTCTGCTAAAAATACAAAAATTAGCTGGACTTAGTGGTGGGCACCTGTAATCCCAGCTACTCGAGAGGCTGAGGCAGGAGAATTGCTTGAACCCAGTGGTCAGAGGTTGCAGTGAGCTGATATCATGCCACTGCACTCCAGTCTAGGCAACAGAGCAAGACTACATCTCGAAAAAGAAAAAAGCAAAAGAAAAAGGGATTCAGACACAGACACACACAGAGGGTGACCATGTGACGACACAGGGAAAAGGTGGCCCACTGCAAGCCACGGAGAGAACCTCAGGAGAAACTAACTCTGCCGACACCTTGATCTCAGACTTCTAGCCTCTAGAAGTGTGAGAAAATAAATGTTCATTGTGTAAGCCCCCCAGTCTGTGTTACTTTGTCATGGCAGCCCTGGCCAACTAATACATAACCAATACGGCCAAGCTGATGTGCCTTCACTCCCTCGATTAGGTTATATTACATAAAACCTCGTCTTAGCTGCCTGTATAGTGAGAAATTCTCCTGCTAGTCTCAGATGCAAACAGCCATGGTGTGGACTGTTTATGGAGAGGACCATGTGACTGGTAACTACAGGCACCTCTAGAATCTGATGGTGGCTTCCAGCCACAAGCAAGTAAGAAGCTGAGACCCTCCATTCTATAACCACAAGGAAGTGAGATCTGCCCACAATCATGAAAGCTTGGAAGAGAATTCTGAGCTCCAGATGAGAACACAGTCTGGCTAATACCTTGATTGCAGCCTGTGGTACAGAACCCCAGCTAAGCCGTGCCTGGACTCCTGAGCCATGAAAATGGTGGGATGATAAATGGCGGGGAGCATTAAGCCTCTAAGTTTGTGGTAATTTGCTACACAGTGTAGAAAACTAATACATGCTTGATGATGAAGTTTCTGTTTCCTGCTGGGAGATGACGGAGGTGGGGCAGGTGATATCCATGACTCCAAGCTAGGAATTCTCACTGGAAAATCAGGAATTGCACTGAATATGAGAAGGGAAAAGGAAATGAGAAATGTTATGCAACTCTCTACCATGCTCAAACATATTTTTCTCTCAAGGTTTGATGGAGTAAACAACTAATATAGTGTAACTTGAGGAATACTGAAAAGCTAGGTCAAAAAATATCTGCCCATCTTCCTGTCTTGACATTTAAGATATTTATCTGCAGGGGGAGTCTTTATGCAAAAAGAAGCATTTGGAGTCCCTGTTTAAAGTGCGCATGCTTGAGCCCCACCCTACACCCTCAAAATCAAAGTAGACATTTTAATCGGGGTTATCCGGGTGCTTCTGATGCTTGCATCTGGGGGCTGTCCCTTGAAGAACACCACCTTAAGCACCTTCTGGGGGCATGCACATTACAACTGGAATGATGCGGTCAAGAATTTGGAAATTTATAAATTATCTTGAATAGAAAGAGGACCTCTCCCGTCTCCCCTCTCAGCCTGGCCCAGGTCTCAGGGCCTGTTCTGGAGCCGCATCTGGACTTGTTCCCCGTCAGGACTTGTTGCCAGGCTCTCAGGCTGCTGCCCAGCCTGTTGAAACCTCTGCCCACCCTGGGCAGACTGGGCATGCTGACCTCACTCTGGAGCTCCTCTCAGCCAATGCCTAGTCTCCTAACTGGATTCCCGTGAGTACCAGGCCCCTACACACACGTGCACATGCACGTGCGTGCACGCATGCACACACACACACACACACACACAAAACACACACACGCACACACCAGTAGAAGGTTTGAGCTCAAAGCTGCCACACTCCTGGTTCTAGAACCTTTGCCCCATGGAAGGCTGTGGGTGTCTAGGCCAGCATGGACAGAGGAGTCGGCACGGGGACAAGCTCCTGACTTCTCAGTTTGCTTCGACAGTCCTTACCCTCCCCTCCCCGCTCCTCCTCAGAGACCTGTGGCATTATTTACAACACTGAGGGGCTGGGAGACCCCAGGCAGCTATTGCCCTCACTGGGATGTCCCAGGTTGCTAAGGATGTCAGAGTGAGTGAGTCACTAGCATGGCCCATCCCTCCAACACCACCTCATCCCGCCTTCATCTTTCCTGTTGCATCTGCATTCCAGGTGTCAGCCTCTGTTACCTGGGCAGGAGTTCCTAATGACAACTCTCTTCATAGCATCAAACACACCAGAAATATCATCAGCGCCCTCTAGCAAACCACACCAGACGGGGTTGAGGACCATATCTGGCACTTGCTAATGAGTTTGTTCTACTTTTCACCCAGAAAACTTGGAATCACTCCCTCCAAGTGCCAAGACTCAGGATTAATTAGAATTTAGGGCAGAGTCCAAAATGCTTACTGAAAGCTTTGTGCTTGGTTTGAGCTATTTTATGTAACAGCATGCAAGGAGTCTTAGGAAAAACAGCATTGGAAAGATGACCATTGCTTTTATCATCACTACAGAACACTTTATAGGCTCTGCTACTGCAATGGCCATTCTACACTTTTGTTCTGTTTTACAGTTCACAATCCCATATTATGTATTCTCACAATTCTCCAGTGAGGAAGATAATATTTGACAACAGGGAATTGAGGAAGTGGCTCCCCCAGGCCACACAGCTAGTTAGTAGAGAAGAGCTTAAAACCCAGACTTCTCTCCTTGCTCTGTGTGCTTCCATGCTTGTGCATCAATTTTTAGGCTCCCAAAGATGACCTTGAAATAGTTTCATTGGCACTATCTTCATTTTTTTGTTGTTGCAGGATGAACAACAATTTTAAGACAAATCATCACATTTCCCTTCAGAAACAGAATTATTTTCATTCATCTTCCTCCAAAAGGTCATACAATTTGTGACGAAGCTGCCCTGTTTATGTTGTTGCTGTTTTGGTTTGCATTGGTCTTTTCCCCCTTCTGAGCCTCTTCAAAGGCTTCCATCCGAGGTGCTCTGGAATGGAGTGAGTCACTGAGACACAGATGCAGGGCCACCTGTGAGCAGCTTGAGTCAATTATTCTAAAAATTTTGAAACTTATTCATCAGTGGGGGTTTTCAGGATGTCTTGTCTTCAAGTATCTAAAAATATCAGTGCCTGCCCATTTCAGGCACTCACGGCTCATAGAGATTGCCTGATATCTGGCTATGTTCGTCTAGATTGAGAGCTGCTTATGGGCAGGGCCCATGTCTTAGTCAACCTTTGGTTCCAAGGCCTAGTAGAGTACCTGGTACACAGTAGGCACTCAATAAATGTGTGATTAATCTGGTTGGGTTGGATTGCAAACCCCTATGCCCCGCCAATCCAAGAAGAAGCAGGGAGACCAGATGAAGTCTGATGTACTGCCAAGTCAACCAAGCATCCCTGGCTGGTGCCCCAACTTCTGCTGCTCCTCTTCATGGACCCCAGTCAGTGCCTTTGCCTGTCGACCCCCACAACTGCACTGCCCTCCTACTCCCCCTGGCCAGACTTTGAGGAAATGGGAGGCCAAAGTGGAGACAGAGAGGCCTCCGCCAACACTAAAATGGTTCACCTTGCCTGTTTGTGTGCCCTTCTGGTATCCAGAATTTAATATTCTTGCACTGGTTGTCTGTCATTTATAAATGTTAATGTGCACATAACTACTTTAAGGAAAAAAAACATCTACTTAACTAAAATATTTCTCATTCTGATCTATATTCAAACATGAATTTTTATAGTGTTAGAATAATCAATGATTATACTATGAACTATTATGTGTGCTTATTTTTTAAATATCATCTGTAGACTTCCATATTCATGGTTACTTTGTGTTTTATTATACTGATGTACTATTGTCTGCTTGACATTTGCTATTCATTGGTTACTTGGGTTGCTTCAATTTTTCACTATTATGAATTGTGCTATGATAAACATATTTGTTTGAATTTCCTATTGGTCTTTTAGTATTCCTTAGAATCTGTTTCTTAGACTATATGCCTAGTAATAAGATAACAAGGGCAAAAGAATGAATGGACACACACACATACACACACACACACACACACACACACACACAAACACGAGCCATGTGGCATTACAGAAAGATGAGAATAAATTGTTAGTTTCTATTTGACAACACTTTTTAGGCAAGGGTTTTTTAAGTCTTACTTTTATTTATTTACGTTTTTTTTTTTTTGAGGTGGAGTTTCACTCTTGTTGCCCTAGCTGGAGTACAATGGCATGATCTTGGCTCACTGCAAACTTTACCTCCCGGTTCAAGTCATTCTCCTATCTCAGTCTCCTGAGTAGCTGGGATTACAGGCATGCACCACCATGCCTGGCTGATTTTGTATTTTTAGTAGAGACGGGGTTTCATTATGTTGGCCAGAGTGGTCTTGAACTCCTGACCTCCGGTGATCCACCCATCTCAGCCTTCCAAAGTGCTGGGATTACAGGCATGTAATGTTGCCTTCTTCAACATTACAATACCTTGTTTTCACAATCCGTTATAATCTGTTGTTCAGGTTAAAGTACATGAAGAAAATCCAGCCTCACACAAATAGGTGATTGTGAAAGAATAATTTGTAATAGTCTTTTCAGATAAATCTGGGTATTCTTTTTGGATACTAAACTTTTTTGATACTAAACTATATATTAGAGCAAGCAAGGTAGAAGCTAAAAAAGAAGAAAAAGAAACTATATGAATGAACTTTTTATACTCTGTTACATTAAAATTCGTTGGTCTATCTTGCACTTTGAAGGACTCTTTTGCCCATGCATGATTTTATAACATCATTCATTGGTCAGTTGGAAAATTTAGTTCAATAGTATAGAGAGACCTTTTAAATGTAGACACATTGCATTATCCAATATCAAAAAATTACATTGGCCCAGGACTAGATGGCTTCACTGGAGAATTCTACAAAATATTTCAGAAAGAATTAACACCAATTCTTCTTAAACTTTTCTTTAAAAAATGAAGAGGAAGGAACACTTTCAAACTCATTTTTTCAGGACCCCACTACTCTGATAACAAAATCAGACAAAGATACTATAAGAAAATAAAACTGGCTGGGCGTGGTGGCTCACACCTGTTATCCCACCATTTTGGGAGGCTGAGGTGGGTGGATCACCTGAGGTAGGAGTTTGTGACCAGCCTGGCCAACATGATGAAACCCCATCTTTCCTAAAAATACAAAATTAGCAGGGCATGATGTTGCATGCCTATAATGCCAGCTACTTGGGAGGCCGAGGCAGGAGAATCGCTTGAACCCAGGAGGTGGAGGTTGCAGTGAGCTGAGATTGCACCATTGCACTTCAGCCTGGGCAACAAGAGCAAAACTCAGACTCAGAAAAGAAAAGAAAAGAAAAGAAAAGAAAAGAAAAGAAAAGAAAAGAAAAGAAAAGAAAACTACAGACCAATATCCCTGATGAATATTGATGCAAAAATTCTCAATGAAAACTATCAAACCAAATTCAACAACACATAAAAAAAAGATTATACATCATAACCAAGTGAGATTTATTTGTGGAATGCAAGGATGGCTCAATATATGATAATCAATCAATGTAACACACCATATTAAAAGAATGAAGGACAAAAAAAACCACACAATCATCTCAATTTATACAGAAAAAAAGCATTTCACAAAATTCAGACCCTTCATGATAAAACACCCAACAAACTAGAAAGAGAAGGAAATTATCTCAACATAATAAAGGCCATATGTAAACAGGCCACAACTAACACCATAGAAATTGTGAAAAACTGCCTCTAAGATCAGGAACAAGGCAAGATTCCCACTCTCATCACTTCTATTCAACGTAGCACTAGAATTCCTAGCCAGAGCAATCTGGCAAGAAAAATAAATAAAATGTATCCAAATTGGAAAGAAGGAAGTAAAAATCTCTGTTTGCAGATGATATATTTTAATATGTATAAAATCCTAAAGATTCCACCAAAAACTATTAGAAGTAATTTTAAAATACAACAAAGTTGCAGGATACAAAAAGGAATTGTGTTTCTCTACACTAAACAATAATCAATTCAAAAAGGAAAGTGAGAAAACAATCCCATTTACAATAGCATCAAAAAGAAAAAAATACGAATAAACTTAAAAATACAAAGGATTTGTACACTGAAAACTGCAAAAGATTGCTGAAAGAAATTAAAGAAGACACAAATAAATGGAAAGATATCCTGTGTCCATGGATTGGAAAAATTAATATTATTAAAATGTTCATACTACCCAAACTGATCCACAGATTCAATGCAATCCCTATCAAAATCCCAATGGCCTCTTTTGCAAAAATGGAAAAAAAAAGTCCTCAAATTCATATGAAATATCAAAGCACCCTGAATAGCCAAAACAATCTTGAAGAAGAAAAACAAAGCTGGAAGCCTCACACTTCTTAATTTCAAAACAGAATACAAAGCTACAGTAATCAAAACAGTATGGTTTTGGCATAAAGACAGACATATAGACCAAAGGAACAGAAAAATGCAGAAATAAACCTTCACATATATGCTCAAATGATCTTTGACAAGGGTGCCAAAGTCACTCAATGGAGAACAGATTGTCTTTTCAACAAATGGTCCTGGGAAAACCGGATATCCAGATGTAAAAAAATGAAGTTGGACCCTTACTTTAAAACATAAACAAAAATTAACTTAAATGTATTAGAGACCTAAATATAACACCTGAAACTATAAAACTTCTACAACAAAAAATAGAGGAATAGCTTTATGATGTTAGATTTTACAAGGATCTTAGACATGACACCAAAGCACAGGTAACAAAAGCAAAAATAGACAAATGGGACTACATCAAACTTTAATACTTCTGCACAGCAAGGGAATAATTGACAGCATGAAAAGGCAACTTACAGAATGGAAAAAAAAATTTTCAAACCATGTATCTGATGAAGGATTAATATCCAGAATATATAAAGAAGCCCTAAGTTCAATAATAACAACAAAAAGCAAATAACCTGATGTAAAATGAGCAAGAGACTTGAATAGACATTTCTCCAAAGAAGAACTACAAATGGCCCACAAGCACATGAAAATATACTTAACATCCTAATTGTTAGGGAAATGCAAATCAAAATTACATTAAGTTATTACCTTATGCCTATTAGAATAGCCACTATCAGGAAAACAGAAAGCAACAGATGTTGGTGAGGACTTGGAGAAATTCGAGCCCTTGTGGACTGTTAGTAGGCATGTAAAATGGTGTAGTCACTATGGAAAACGATATCAAGTTTTCCTAAAAAATTAAAAATAGAATTACCATATGATCCAACAATTCCACTACTGGGTATATCTCCAAAAGAACTGAAAACAGGATCTCAAAGAAATAGTTTCACACTCTTATTCATTGCAGCATTATTCATAATAGCCAAGATACAGAAGTAACCTGAATGTCTATAAATGAACAAACAGATAAGGAAAATGTTGTACATACCTACAAAGGAGTATTATTGAGCCTCAAAAAAGGAAATCATGTTATATGCTACAACATGGATGAAACTTGTCGGGATGTTATGGTAAGAGAAATAAGCCAGTCAAGAAAAGACAAATGCTGCATGATTCTCCTTATATGTGTATCTAAAGTAGTCAAACTCTTAGAAATTAAAAATAGAATGGTGGTTGCCAGATGCTGGTGTGAGGGGGAAAAGCATTGTTGTTTAGTGGGTGTAGAGTTTTAGAGTTGTAAGATTAAAAACATTTCAGAAGTCTGTTGCACAACAGGGTGCATGTAGTTAACACTGCTGTACTGTACACTTAAATGGTTGGGATGGTATCTTTCATGTTATATGTTTTTAAAAATAGTAACCAAAAAATCAGTGAGAGTAGAGGAGAGAAGGAAGGGAGGAATGAATAGGTGGAACACAGGTGTAGGGGAAGAAAAATATCTTTCTCTACCCATCCTAGGTTCATGGCTGAGGCCCCTGTAACAAAAGACAGATTAACAAGAGAAAAGCATATAAATGTATTTAAGTTTTATATGAAGACTTTACATGAAGACCCCACAGAAATTGTTAAACTTGGTTATTCTTTTTTTTTTTTTTTTGGAGGCACGTTCTCACTCTATCACCCAGGCTGGAGTGCAGTGACGTGATCATGGTTCACTGCAGCTTCAATCTCATGAGCTCAAGCAATCCTCCCACCTCAGCCTCCCAAGAAACTGAGACCACAGGTGTGCACCACCGTGCCCAGATAATTTTTTAATTTTTTTGTAGAGACAAGGTCTCTATGTTATGTTGCTCAGGCTGGTGTGGAACTCCCAGGCTCATTCTCCTCTCTCCAGCCTCCTCTTTCCTCTGCTGCTGTTAAAACCATAATAGCCTTGACCTTTGGTTAGCGCATCCAAGTTTGATGAAGCACTGTCCCATTCATCATCTCCTTTGGATTTTGATCTTCAACCTTTGTGAGATAGTCATCCTTCCCACTTTTCTACAGGAAAATGAGGCGCTGTGAGGCAGGAATCTGCCCAGGTGCATAAAGGTGCACCTTTCTCATGTCTCTTTTCAAGATCTTTCCAATCTCCAATAGACTAATTTATAATGAGGTTTACCTGATGGCTAGTTCCGTCACATGTTCCCTCCAAGAAAGATTCACTTTATAAAGTGGAATTAAAAAAAAAAAAAGCAACATTTGTATCTAAGAAGTGATTCCCTAATCTTGAGACTCTTTTTTTTTTTTTTTTTTTTTTGAGACAGAGTCTCGCTGGGTCGCCCAGGCTGGTGTGCAATGGTGCAGTCTCAGCTCACTGCAACTTCTGCCTCCCGGGTTCAAGCAAATCTCCTGCTTCAGCCTCCCAAGTAGCTGGGATTGCGCCTCTACACCAGCTAATTTTCTTTTGTATTTTTAGTAGAGTCAGGGTTTTGCCATGTTGGCCAGCCTGGTCGTCTTGAGACTCTTATGTGCCATCATGGTTTGTGCCTCCCAAGGAGAATAACTACAAGGAGAAATAGAAAATAGCATAATTTTTCAAGTAAAGTGGAATGGGTATGCATTTTGGAAATTTTAATAAATAAATATAAATATTTACATTTACAAGTGACCCCAGCATCCACTGTGTGCCTTTTGCCCCAGTAACATCTGGACACACCACGTGTTCCCCTCTGCATGACATAATATATGCGTCAAGATTGGATACGTACAAGAGTTTTAGCGGAATTGACGAGGATTTCATAACCTTGCTCCTTTAATAGCCACAAACCATTTAGTAGGACAACTAAAAGCCCAATTAAAGTAAACCACAAAGAGTTAAAAGGAAAAAGCCTAGAGTCCAAACCCGGCCAGCTGAGTCTTTGAAGTACTTTTACAAGGCTCTGGCCAGATGGGGGAGTGCTTTAAACGGAGGAAACAGGAAGTACCTAGATTAAAAGTTTGTTTTGTTTCTTAGGAGGGGGTGCTCTTTCTAGAAGTGCTCTTCCAGGAAACCTGCCCTTTCCCACCTAGATATTGAGGTTTCCTGAGAAAAAAATAAATAGCTTCTCCTTAGCACAGTGTAGAGGATCAGTTAGGCAGTAAAAAGCCCAGAAATGGAGCCGGCTCTGCTCGATGTTATCAGCGCAAAGGAAGGGGAGGAGGACTTTGAAGCAAGGGCCTGAGGAGAGGAGGCGGCAGGAAGAAGAGGCGGAGTGCAGGCGGCCATCCGAAGACCTCAGGCCACTGCAGCAGCAGAGGGCAGAAATGGCACGCAGGAGCCAGGGCGTTTGTTCCTGCGGCTGAGCTTCAGGGCTGGGCTCCGTTCCCCCGGGGAACAGCATCACTGCAGAAGATGGCCGGCTGGCTCTGGGATGCGGGGGCATCCAGTTAAGGCACCGAACACCGCAGAACAGAGACCCAGAAATAAAACCCTTCTCAAACCGTCCCGTTTTGCTCAGGGCTCCACAGGAAGAACCTACCGTTGGCTAGAATGGCCTGATCCTCGTGGACCACACTGCCCACTGGTGGAGGCGTACTCGAAGCACCATCCACGGGGGCAGTTCGGAGCCGTGGGCCTGAGGAACCGGGTAGTCTATCTCGAATGGACGTGCAGAGTTGTGGCTTCCTGAACACGTACACTCTATCTTCCCAAATATCAGACTGCTTATCAAAATACGCTAGCTGCCGCTGTATCTCAATGCATCCTTCTTAAAGTTACTTTCTCCCACGCCATCATGTCCAACTTCCCATGGCCTTTAGCCGGCTCCACCCTTTCCCTGGCATGTCTTTCTTCTTTCATATTTTACACAGAGGCTCCTGGGTAGATTACATACCCAGCTTCATCTTTGCCCTTAGATGCCCAGCACGCTGCTTCTATTCCTAATCCCAGTGAACCCAGCTGCCCTGTGTTTCCCCTTTCTCCTGAGCTCCCTTCTAAGGAGTCCGGCGACTGTCAGAGGCCATGTGATGTAGTCACTGTTACAGAAAAAAATGACCCAGTGATACTTGTTAAAGCATGGTGTGGCCAACTTTCTTCAGGACCATCGCTATAGGTATAGGGACCACCAAGCAATTAGATTTTGCAGTGGGAGACAGAAATTGGGCTCAACTCTGAATACAGCATGAGCAAGTAGGAATGTATAGCCAAGGAGCAGGGTGGGGGTCGGTGGAGGGAAAATCACTAAGAGGGAACTTCAGGACTGAGAAAGACTTTAGCTAAACCAACAACAGGATTCTTGTTGAAGACAGGCCAGGAAACCAGACATCGCCTGGGGGCTGGTGGAGGGAGAAGAACCCAATCAGACATGAAGGTGATCAGATATTGTAGGTGGGGGATTCTTGCTTAACTGACTTAGCAGGGTTCTTTGCTAAAACTAGATTTTACAAGGAAGTGCATAGAAGGCCCTAGGAGAAGATTCCAGAGCCTGACTAAAGTTTGCCCAAGCAAATAATTTTTGCTGCAAACCGCCAGGCTTTCTTAGTAATCTTTATATTATTTGTCAAAAGCTTCAAAAAATTATTTCAACCAAGCGAGCCATTGCTAGTAACTGCTAAGGAGCTCTCTGCCCTGTCACCCGCCTTGCTTGTGGGTGGCAAGAGGTCCACATGGCCCACTGGTTCTACACTGTTTCTGCCAGCATGTGGCTGGCTTATAAACTACAGGCATGTGAGTACGCCAGGCAGTGACTCAGCACTTCCCTAACTGTAAAAGCCCAGAGGGAATATGCATTCCAATGTAGGAATGTCTGTGTCAATATCTGTAACATTCAGCATTTCTTTCTTTCGTCTTTCCTTTCCTTCTTTCCTTCCTCTTTCCTTCTTTCTTTCTCTTTCTTTCTTTCCTTTCTTTCCTTTCTTTTTCTCTCTTTCTTCCTTTTTTTCTCTTTCTTCCTTTTTCTTTTTTCTTTCTTTTTTTAGATAGGGTCTCTCTCTCTCTCTGGCCATCAATATTTTCTTTCTTTCTTTCCTTCTTTCCTTCTTTCTTTCTTTCTCTCTTTCTTTCTCTTTCTTTCTTTTCCTTCCTTCCTTCCTTCCTCCCTCCCTTCCTCCCTTCCTTCCTTCCTCCCTTCCTTCCTTTCTCTTTTTCTTTTTTCTTTCTTTTTTCAGATAGGGTCTCTCTCTCTCTGTGGCCCAGGGGCTGGAGTGCAGTGGCACCATCGTCACTCACTGAAGTCTCAAACTCCTGGACTCAAGCAATCCTCTGGCCTGAGCCTCCCAAGTAGCTGGAAACTACAGGTGTGCACCAACACACCCAGCTAACTTAAAAAAAATTTTTTTTTGGCCAGGTGTGGTGGCTCACGCCTGTAATCTTAGAACTTTGGGAGGCCAAGGTGGGTGGGTCACCTGAGGTCAGGAGTTCGAGACCAGCCTGACCAACATGGTGAAACCCCATCTCTACTAAAAATACAAAAAATTAGCTGGGCGTGGTGGCGGGCACCTGTAATGCCAGCTGCTAGGGAAGCTGGGGCAGGAGAATTGCTTGAACCGAGGAGGCAGAGGTTGCAGTGAGCTGAGATCGCACTATCGTACTCCAGCTTGGGTGACAGAGCGAGACTCCGTCTCAAAAAGAAGAAAAACAAATTTTAAAGATGGGGTCTTGCCCTGTTGTCTAGGCTTAGCATTATTTCTGAAGAAATATAGTGCTCATACTTTGAGAGAAGCACAATTAGTACTTACCTTGAACCAACAAATATGATTAAATGTTATAATAATTAAGAGATAAATAGAAATGCTGATTTCCTCATAATAAATAAATGTCCACATACTTTTTTTCAGAGACTTTTTCAATACAGGGAACTGAGATGAATGTAGAGTTTCTTGGAGGGTGAAAGAACAGTTAATAATGTCTGTTGAATTCTGAAACATTTGGCGATTTCACAAAAGAGACTTTGTAGTGTCCTTGTGATAACTGTAAAATAAAGTAGGAAACAAACCTGAATAAATATATAGAAGAGAAAAACAAGTTACGGTAGGCTAAATATAAGATACAAGGTAATTCCTTTAAACTTTCAGTACAAAATATACCTCAGAACAAATAGAATGTACTGAGAACAGCCAAACAATCCTCATTTTAGATGTCAGAGCCATAGGATTTCTGGCACCCGGTCAGAATGCGCAGGAAAATGTTAGCATCTGAGAGATGGGTTATAAAGTGTTTGCAAGAACTAATGGAAGTCTCAAATTTATTTTGTCCCCGAAGAAGTTTGTTTTTTAGAGAATTTCTGGAAAATGACGTTAGGTCATTAGAAAAATAATAATTCCTGGGCGTTGCCCTGTTGACAGCCAACATAAATGCTGCATCTCCCTGGATCAAAGAAACTAGCCCTTCAAAGAAAAACTGGACAACATCAAGAATTAAATATTTCAAACTATGAGAGGAATACTTCCAAAAGAAGAGGAAAGTATAGGGTGTTTGGAAAGGAGGTGGCAGATTTCTTTAAATGCAGAGAATTTTTTAAATCATAATAATAAAATACCTGGTATCAACGGAGCATTTTGTATGTGCCAACACTATTTGCTAAGAGCTTTACACATGCAATTTCATTTTAGCCTCACAAAACTCCTCTGAAGGAAGTACTGGTATTGTCCCCATTGCCAGATGAGGAAACAGAAGCATAGAGAGGACATTTCCTTGCCTGAGGCCACAGATGTGGTCAGACAACATGGCCTGTACCGTCGGCTCTGCTCTGATGCCTTCTTTCTGGCCTATGCAGGGTACAATGCTTTTAACACTTGCAATGTCCCAAGCACCTTTCAAAGGACTTTACAGGTACTAACTCATTTAATGCACACAGCAATAGCCAATGAAAGATACACGATCAGCATCCCATTTTACAGATGAAGAAACTAATAGGCTGAGGGAGCTGTCCAAGATCACCCAGCTATGTGCCAGAGTGGGATTTGGACCTAGGCAATCTGAGCTCAGAAGCCAAAATCTGAATCATTTCACAATACCATATCTCATGCAGCAAGAAAGTTTCAGTCTTACATATATCGTTATGTCGTTTCCTTTCTTCCTTTTTCCCCTTTCTTTTTTTTTTTTTTTTTTGGAGGCGGGGTCTCACTATGTCACCTAGACTGGAATGCAGTGGCACAATCTATCTTGGCTCACTGCAGCTTCATCCTCCCTAGCTCAAGCCATCCTCCCACCTCAGCTTCCTGAGTAGCTAAGACCACAGTTGCACACCACCATGCCCAGATAATTTTTATATTGATTGTAGAGACAGGGTTTTGCCATGTTGCCCAGGCTGGTCCCAAACTGCACCCAGCCGTGTGTCGTTTCTGAATTGCACTCTATGCAAATAAGTCAACAATGTTAAACAATAGGGAAAATGAGTAAATGAGTATTTTCTTTATTCACATTAATTTCAAGTTCAGGAAGGACTGAAGAAAGGCATGGCAGAAAATGCCCACGTGAAGCCCAGATTTGTCATTACCAGCTCCTGGTAATAGCAGTAGAAGTGAGATGTGGTGAGTAGAAAATGTGGGGGAGGATTCGGGTCAGAAAGTCAAGAACTGGAAGAACTGGCAGGGCCTTGACAAGAAAAAAGCCAAACAATGCCTGAGCTTCTGCACCAGCCTGGGATCCAGATTAATGACCGAGTGGAACAGAAACAATAAAACACCACATTGTCAAGTACCTGATTCTTCCCACAAAACAAACCAACAAACAAAACACAGCCCCTGTGCTCTTGAGTTTATCCTCCTTTTACAGAAGGGTGTTATCTGACTCTGTGCTTAACTATACTTGGCAGTCTTTTACCAGCTCTCATTGAAGATTGGCTAGGTCTCTATCCAGTATCTACATGCCCTTGAGGGAGGTGTTGGAGGAATGAGCAGTAATGCGTTGTGGACAGTTAACGTCAATTTTTTTAATAAACAAATATTTATGGAGTCCTTACCATGCACAAGAATTCATTCCAGCTCTTGACTGAACTGCCAGCTGTTTGAGAAGATGAGGAAATCATGTCTCATGGTGGTTATGATCATTGTTTCCTTAACCTGGAAAAACTCACCCCCTCCTAAACACTCCCCACACTACAATAGAAAATAAAGACTATGCCAGTGGGTAGTTTCCTGGCAGTATACTCACAGATGGTTGATTACACCACCAGCTGGATGCCAGTGGATTTGCTGGAATAAAATAGGTTAGGCTGCTGTAACACCAACACACACACACACACACACCCCTCAGTGACTTAACACAACACTTATTCAAGGCTCACAGACCACATGCAGTGTGAATTACAGGTTTCATGGGTGATGGGAGCACTCTTCTCATTGCAACCATCCAAGGACTCTGATGGGCTGACAGAGGGTCCCCTTAGGTAAATGCTCCCACGATGCTGGAAGAATGAGAACAGAATTGTTCACAGGCTCTTCATGTTGCCTCCTGGAAGTCTCATATAATTTCTACGCACATTTCATTGGCCAAAGCAAGTGGTATGATATGCTTATTTTTTAAAAAGACAACAAAATGCAAACTTAGTTTATGTCTAAGCTCATGAGGCTGGGTAATTTATTTTAAAAAGAGGTTTATTTGGCTCACAGTTCTGGTGACTGGAAGGTTCAAGACTGTGCAGCTGCATCTGGTGAGGCCCGCAGGCTGCTTCTGCTCATGGCAGAAAGTGGAAGGGGGCAAGCATGTGCAAAAACATCACATGGCAAGAGAGGAAGCAAGAGAGACAAACCGAGGAAGCCAGACTTTTTTGAACAACCCATTCTCACAGGGTGTACACCTGTAGTCCCAGCTACTCAGAAGGCTGAGGTGGAAGGATCACTTGTGCCCAAGAATTAAAGACCAGGCTGGGCAACACAGTGAGAGTGTCTCATTAAAAAACAAACAAACAAACAAACAAACAAACAAACAAACACTACTCTGGTGGGAACTAATTCATTCCGTGGAGAGAGAAAACTCATTCGCTCCTTTGGTAGGGCATTAATCTATTCAAGAGAGATCTTATTAGGCCCCACCTCCAACACGACCATGTTGGGGATCAAATTTCAAGATGAGTTTTGGTGGGGATAAACCACATCTAAGCCAGAGCAGTATGTGCCCAGGATAAAGGAAGACTGCACTATTCACTTAAGTGTGGCCCTAATGACTATGACATTGAGTAAATAGCATTGAGTAAAGGAAATTGGATGTTAGAATATGGAAGCATGGGGTCACCAAAAATGGCCCCTTTTAACTTTGTGCACCTCAGACTAAAGACCTGCATAAAGTGGACTCAAGAATGATGACAGGTGTTAAAAATAATTAATTAGAGCTGAGAGTGGTGGCTCATGCCTATAATCCCAGCACTTTGGGAGGCCAAGGCACATGGATCACTTGAGGTCAGGAGTTCGAGACCAGCCTGGCCAACATGGTGAAACCCTGTTTCTACTATAAATGCAAAAATTAGCTGGGTGTGGTGGTGCACGCCTGTAATCCCAGCTACTCGGGAGGCTGAGGCAGGAGAATCACTTGAACCTGGGAGGCAGAGGTTGCAGTGAGCTGAGATCGCGCCATTGCACTCCAGCCTGGGCAACAAGAGTGAAAGTCCGTCTCAAAAAATAATAATAATAATAATTAATTAGGAGGCCATTAAGTTGGGGTTGCTCCCATGCCCTGGGTTCCTAGGTGAGCAATCCAGAACCCAACTCAATGTCAATGGTTGGGTTAACCAATCAGAAACCACCAACCAACCTCTAACCAGGGACTTTTCACTGGAATAATCCAAATGACGCTATTACTGTACTTCAACAAATCAAGTATTTTTTTTTTGTCTTGCTTCTGAGTGAACTGGTCTTGTAAAAGACTTCTCCCCCACCTCTGACCCCTACCCCTTTGCCAGAGCCCCAAACTGCAAGAGCCCCACAAACAGGGAGCTCCCTGTTTATGAATAAGACAAATACACCCTTTAAGATTTTAAAGCGCCTCAATTTATCTTTTCACATTGGTAATGTTTTAGTAGGTATATGTGCACATGGGGAAAGGGCCAGATGGAACTGGCAGTGAGTGGCCAATGACTACAGAGACAAGGACAACAGAAACCTGCCATGCTGTTTCCAGTTTAAGAACTTGCAACTGGATCCTGAAGTTGCCAGATGCCTATGGGTCTCGAGGTCACAGAGAGGGTGGTATATTTGAATTTTAGGAAGAGAAAATACTTGAGACTATTTTGTCCACAGCCCTGTGACTCTTTATGAACATCCAGTAATAAAGAAAATGATCTTATGCAAAGATGAAAGCTCAGTGCTGGCAGATTTTGAGATTTGGTAGCAATCTCTCTACATGGGACTTCATGGCTTTGGCCTTGATCTTTGACTCACTAAATGCCCACAGTCCCTGGTGTTCTCCATGCCAAGCCACTGGCACAAGATGACCTTTCATTCCTGGCAAAATTTAACTAATCCTTCTTGTGAAATAAAGCAGCAGGGAGGACCAGAAATATGGGAAGAAAAAGGAAAGGGAAATGTTTATGGCTTTGTCCCCCAGAGCTTTTCCCAAAAACAGGACGCTGCCTGTAGGGACTGTGTTTCTCTATAAAATGGGAGCACTGGCCAGGTGCGGTGGCTCATGCCTGTAATCCCAGAACTTTGGGAGGCCGAGGCAGGTGGATGATCTGAGGTCAGGAGTTCGAGACCAGCCTGACCAATATGGTGACACCCCATCTCTTCTAAAAATACAAAAATTAGCCGGGCATGGTGGCCTGTAATCCCAGCTACCTGGGAGGCTGAGACAGGATAATTGCTTGAACCTGGGATGCAGAGGTTGCAGTGAACCAAGATCGTGCCACTGCACTCCAGCCTGGGTGACAGAGCAAGACTCCATCTCAAGAAAGAAAAAATAAAAGGGGAACACTAATGTGTCTGAGAAGCTGTTGAATCATCAACCATCCATACCAAGCCTTGTTTCCACTCTGCAACCTCACTGGAAAGTATAAAGCACACTTTTAAGTCTCAAACCAAACAAGGACTCCAGTTAATTGATAAGAGAGCCAAGCAGGTTAACAGCCCAGAAGGCCTGGTCTTCCTGTCCTTCAGGGCTTTCTGCTCTGCAGCTCTAAGAGGATACAAAGCACCTGTTTGCTTCTTAGCACAAGTGTCATTTTAATGAGGTGCAAATTCAACTTGTTCAGTAATGCTACAACAAGACAGCACAGTGCAAAGTGTGGTCCTTCCATCAAGCAATAGCAGCGATGCCCAGTGCTTGTCTGAAATGCAGAATCTGAGGCACCATCCTGACCTGCTAAATGAAAACCTACATTTGACAATGTCCCCAGGTGATATGCAGCCACATTAAAATCTGAGAGACCCTGTTCTCCAGAGTTTTAGATCCTCTGTGAAAGAAGTCATTGCTACTGCCCTCTAATGAACAGAACAAAGGAGAATCCAGGCTCCTCCCAGCCTGCCTTCTCTCTCTTGTTAAACAGTAAAATTAGCGCCAAATGCCCAAGTATTAATTCATCTGCTTCCAAGCCTTTATAAAACAATGTGTTTATATGAATGAAACTGTACTTAAAAAGGGTAAGTCTATTTCAGTATGTCCCCATAGCTCCTAAAAGTACAATTTTTTTAAAAAAAATCAGTTTTAAATGCTTACTTCCATAAACAGTACACTTATTTTTCCCAGGCTATCAATTTCGCCTTCATCTTTGACTCACTGAATTTCCACAGTCCCTGATATTCTCCATGCCAGGCCACCAGCACAAAATGACCTTTCACTCCTGACAAAATGTAATTAATGCTTTTTGTGAAATAAAGCAGCAGGCAGGACCAGAAATATGGGAAGAAAAATGAGAGGGAAATGTTTATGGCATTGTCCCCCAGGGCTTTTCCCAAAAACAGGATGCTGTTTGTAGGGACTGGGTTTCTCTATAAAAACGATCATTTTATTTCTAACTCCCTTTCCTTTCTCCATCACCATTGTGTCAGAGGCATGTGAACCAGAGCAACTCCATCTTGAATAGGAGCCGGGTAAAAAGGCTGAAACCTACTGGGCTGCATTCCCAGATGGTGAAGGCATTCGAAGTCACAGGAAGAGATAGGAGGTAAGCACAAAATACAAGTCATAAAGACCTTGCCGATAAAACAGTTTGCAAAAAAGAAGCCAGCTAAAACCCACCAAAACCAAGATGGCCATGAGAGTGACCTCTGGTCATCCTCACTACTATACTCCCACCAATGCTATGACGGTTTACAAATGCCATGGCAATGTCAGGAAGTTACCCTATATGGTCCAAAAAGGGGAGGCATGAATAATCCACCCCTTGATTAGCATATACTCAAGAAATAACCATAAGAATGGGCAACCAGCAGTCCTCAGGGCTGCTCTGTCTATGGAGTAGCCATTCTTTTATTCCTTTACTTTCCTAATAAACTTGCTTTACTTTACTCTATGGACTCACCCTGAATTCTTTCTTGCATGAGATGCAAGAACCCTCTCTTGGGGTCTGGATCAGGACCCCTTTCCTGTAACAACTGGCCAAGTACCACATAGGTTAGATGGCCATTTGCTTAACATTATGTCTGTTTACAGAAATTCCATGGGATGTTGTGGTTTTTATTCTGCTGTTTTGTTTGAGACTAGCTGGGAAGTCTGGACTATGTCCTGCTTGAGTACATTCATCTGGGCTACTCTCGTGCCTGTGTCTGAGGGATTCAGTAGAATGCCGAGAGATGCCACCGGGGGAGAAAGCTGATGTGACCCATTCTCTATTTTTTTAAAAGGTATGAACCATCATGCTTTACCTTAAAACGCTAATGTTCAATAGCAGAGTGGCTTAATTTGAAAGTTAAGTTTTATTGTGCTATGGGAAATGTCATCATGATGTATGTGTTAATTATGTCTCATCTGCTTTGAGAATTTAAATGAAGTAAGTAAATAGATGTTGTACTCAAACTCAAGGAGGCTGCATTTAAAAAGATACTTTGGGGCCAGGCATGGTGGCTCAGTCTGTAATCCTAGCACTTTGGGAGGCTGAGGCAGGGGGATTGCTTGAGCCCAGGAGTTGGGAGACCAGTCTGGGCAACATAGCAAGATCTCATCTCTACAAAAAAATTAAAAAATTAGCTGGGCATAGCAGCATGTGCCTGTATTCCTAGACACTTGGGAGGCTGAGATGGTAGGATCACCTGAGCCCAGGAGATTGAGGCTGTAGCGAGCTGTGATCGTGCCACTGTACTCCAGCCTGGGCCACAGAGCGAGAACCTGCCAAAAAAAAAAAAAAAGATACTTTGCTTTTCATTAGCATTTACTTCTTAACCTCAAGAATCTCCACTCGGCCCTCAAAAGATAAAATTGCTAATGATGGGGTTCAAGACACACAACCCCAAAACATACTACCCCAAAACATGGCACCTTGGCATTGGAGACAACAGCAACAGGAAGGTCCTTCTCACCTTCCTCTCGCTCTTCTCCCCTGAAGCAGGCCATAGCACCAGCAAAAGCGTCTCAGGCCTTCCCCTGAAGGCAGACCTAAGACTGTTATTCAAGAGGTGCCCTCCCTCTACCCAGGCAAAGGAACTTCCTTATCTCTGAAGACACAGGACCACAGAGAGGAATCTGAACAGACTCTGCCGAGTTCCCCTCGCACTGCGTTACCACCAGACCATACTTGTTTTTTATTCAGTTGTACTTCTCCATGACTATCTACTTCTTCATCAAAATGAACATAAAAAATACACAGGTCTACTAGTTTCTTTGGGTCTTCGTTTCCTTATAAAGTCTCCTGCATCATGTAAAACTTATATCAAACATACTTGGATGCTTTTCTCTTATTGATCTGTCTTTTTTTCTTGTAAGGGCCTCAGCCATAATGGGAAGGAAAAATATCCCTTTTCCCCTACAGTACAGTTGACGTGAATGTGTGTTTCAATATTACTGATGACATCCCAGAAACTGTGTTCTCTGGAGGGTTCCCAACAGCCTTTAAATAATCCCTAGTAAAACAGTAGAAAGAACATTTCCAGGTGGCAATGGAGCTGGAAGTGATATGACGTTTGTACGTGATGAAATACTCACTTTCTGAAATAAAGAATCTGTGAAGAGAGGAATTATGACTAGTATTTACATCAACTTTTCATAAACATCCCCAAATTCCAGGCACAAGACAAAAGGCATGACTCATCTCACAGTAGGCGCTGTGGCCGGGGAAGTGGCCCTCATGGAGATTGCTTCCCTAATGCCTGAGAATGGCTCTGGTGAGATCTGTAGGAAGCTGATAATAGGGTATTTCACTTGAGTATCGCCAGTCAAAATCTGGTTTTTGATCAAGAGCACTTCCTCAGCTAAAAATGTCATGCTTCCAGACCTCGATCTGATTTTTTTGGTAGATCATGACTGAAAAGACTGAAGACTTGATGAAACAATATGGATGATTGCAATCTTTAATTTCTGTGTCTTTTGAATACACATGAGATTATCCTGATGACTGTGGCTTGAGTTCTCCTATGTGCTGGAGCTTTAGGGGGCCAGGAAGTTCCTCTCCCCTTCCTATCCCTCTTCCCCTCAGCTAATAATGTCCAGAACCCCACCTGCAGGAGGCCTTCCTGTGGGTGAATGCGGTAGTGCCTATAGGAGCTTGTTTAAAAGCCACACTTCAGGCCGTGCACAGTGGCTCATGCTTGTAATCCCAGCACTTTGGGAAGCCAAAGCAGGAGGATCGCTTGAAGCTGGGATTCAAGACCAGCCTGGGCAACACAGTGAGACCCAATCTCTACAAAAAATTTAAAAATTAGCTGGGCATGGTGGCATACACCTGTAGTCCCAGGAGGCTGAGGCAGGAGGATTGTTTGCACCCAGGAGTTGGAGGCTACAGTGAGCAGTCATGGCACCACTGCACTCCAGCCTGGGCAACAGAGTGAGACCCTGTATCTCACACACACACACACACACACACACAAAATCACACTTTGTGACCCCAGTCTCAGGGGTCCTACTTGGTCTGAGGTGGGGTTAGGAGTCTGCATTTTTATAAGCACCTGCCCCTCCAGATGATTCTGAGTAGTGATTTTCAGAATAAGTTTAGAGAAACACTGACTAAACCTAGTTAATTCCTCATATTTAAAAAAAATTGTATTAAAAACAGAAATTAAGTGTAAGATGAGGAGAAAGGGGAACCCTTGTACATTGCTGGCGTGAATGTAAAATAGTGCAGCCGCTATGGAAATCAGTATGGCAGTTCCTCAAAAAGTTAAATATAAAATTACCATATGATCCAGAAATTCCACTTCTGGGTGTACATCCAAAAGACTTGAAAGCAGGGACTCGAAGAGACAGTTGCACACTCATGTTCCTAGCAGCATTATTCACAATAGCCAAGAGGTAGAAGCAACCCAAGGGCCCACTGACAGGATGAGTGGAGAAACAAAATGTGGTCCATCCATGCAATGATTCAACCTTAAAAAGAAAGGAAAGTTCGGCCGGGTGCGGTGGTTCATGGCTGTAATTCCAGCACTTTGGGAGGCCAAGGTGGGTTGACCTCCTCACCTGAGGTCGGGAGTTTGAGACCAGCCTGATTCAGAGACGTGGTGACACTCTGTCTCTACTAAAAATACAAAAATTAGCCGGGTGTGGTTGTGCGCACCTATAATCCCAGCTACTCGGGAGGCTGAGGCAAGGGAATCGCTTGAACCCAGGAGGTGGAGGTTGCAGTGAGCCAAGATCGCGCCACTGCGCTCCAGCCTGGGCGACAAGAGCGAAACTCCATTTCAAAAAAAAAAAAAGGAAGGAAATTCTGGCACATGCTACAACATGCATGACCCTTGCGGACATTATGCTACGTTTAGTAAGCCAGTCACAAAAGGATAAATACTGTATGATTCCACTTATATGAGGTACCTAGAATGGTCAACTTCACACATAGAGAAAGTAGAATGGTAGTTGCCAGGGGCTTTGGGGAGGAGAGAATAGGGAGCTGTTCAATGGGTACAGAGTTTCAGTGTGGGGAAATACAAAGAGTTCTGGAGACGGCTGGTGGTGGTTGCACAAGAATGTGAATGTATTCAATGCCACTGAACTATTCACTTAAAAAATGTTTAAGATGATAAACTTTGTTCTGTGTGTTTTACCACGATTTTAAAAAATAATTTAAAAAACTATTCAATACCCCTTAAAGGGAAAGGACATTACACAAAAAATAAATTATTATCTCAGTGACTGTTTTTCAGGTAGGAGATGGAAAAATACTAGTTAAAACTCACTTTTAAGGCTGGGTGCGGTGGTTCACGCCTATAATTTCAGCACTTTGGGAGGCTAAGTCAGGCGGATTGCTTGAGCACAAGAGTTCAAGACCATCCTGGACAACACGGTGAAATTCCATCTCAATAAAAAAATACAAAAATTAGCTGAGCGTGGTGGCATGCGCCTGTAATCCCAGCTACTCAGGAGGCTGAGGCGGGAAGATCACTTGAGCCTGGGAGGCCAAGGTTGCAGTGAGCCAATATCACATCACTGCACTCCAGCCTGGGCCTGGGCAACAGAGTGAGACCCTGCCTATTTAAAACAAACAAACAAACAAACAAACAAAAACTCTAGGATTCATAGACGTTAAAAAAACTTTCTCAAGGTCAGACATGGTATAGCCAGGATCTGAATCCAGGCAGCTGACTCCATGGCTCCTCCACAGCTGTCCCCTCTGCCCACTGTCATTCATTTCTGTTTGGGTGTAAGGACTAATAAAAAGAGAGTGTGATGCAGACTCTGATGTTTCAGGTTTGGGTCCCTGAAAGACAGGGTTTCAGTTTACAAAAGTGGGACATTCAGGGGAGGATGCTGCTGTGAAGTGGAAGGGGAAGAGATAGAAGGTTCCATTTTTGAATTTGTTCATCTGACTGACAGAAGACAGCAGTCTGTTGGAAATGCTGGCCTGGCATTCATGGGAGGGGTGGATTTGGGAGCTGTTGCTGGGCTAATTAGTAAGAGCAATAAGTGGGTAAGCTCAGCAGGGAAAGAAAGGAGGAAAAGAGGCAGAAAAGGGGGAAGTGAGAGGAGCCCAGAGCCAAAGCCAGAAGCTGGGGAAATGCCCACACTGTGTTCAGTAAGCAGACAGAGAGAGGAGCCATCCTGGAAGACAGAAGCAGCAGGTGCACCCTGAATGCCCAAGACGAGCCTGAGAGGCTCTTACTGTGGCAAACTGCAATGTCTTGGGCTCTGAGTACAGATTAGCATATGTAGATCATGTTTCAGGCCCATAGTTCTGGAATCTCTGTGACAGCTATGTGAGGTCAGCAGAGAAGTGTCATCATTTCCATTTTACTAAGAAGTCAGCAACCACAATACTGGTCAATTTCTCAAGGTCATACACCAACACTACGTCCATATCTTCCAAGTCCAGATTCCCACTCCCTGAGGAAGAGAGTGAACAGTGGGAGAGGGAGCCACGTGTAGGCAACAGGGGATGCATCACAAGTAGACACACATACAAAAAAATCGTAAAACCAATGGTACTAGCGATTCTACACAAAATGCACCTTCCTGAGAAATCTTTTTGTGGTGTAAGTTCTAAACAATTGCTGCAGTTATTGGTGAGTTTTACTAGTACATATGTAAGTTTCCAATTAACACACTTGAATTACTTATTCTCTCATAATCATCGTCTTACACTTACAGAAGTTACTCTGGAGAATCCTCAGTGATTCTGGCTTACCAGGACTCATCCACAGAAAGGTGTTTTCAGAATAAATTGGTAACACTTTGGAATCACTCAAGTTTGCTTCCAGCCCATTACCTGGCTCCAACCCTGTGGTACCATCTCCTACTCTGTTTAAAATGCTGGGTGCAGTGGCTCACGCCTGTAATCCCAGCACTTTGGGAGGCCAAGGCAGGTGGATCTCTTGAGGTCAGGAGTTTGAGACCTGCCTGGCCAACATGGTGAAACCCCGTCTCTACTAAAAATACAAAAATTAGCCAGGCATGGTGGCGGGTGCCTGTAATCCCAGCTACTCGGGAGGCTGAGACACGACAATCCCTTGAACCTGGGAGGTGGAGGTTGCAGGGAGCCAAAATGGTGCCCCTGCACTCCAGCCTGGGCCATAGAGTGAGACTAAGGCAGATTTGAAATAAATGAGGAGAGTGCAGTGATTGTGAAGATGAAGAAGCAGAACTTGCAATACTTTGATTTTATCATTTTATGTGATGACTTGTGTGATGGTTAATATTGAGTGTCAACCTGATTGGATTGAAGGATGCAAAGTATTGATCCTGGGTGTGTATGTGTGGGTGTTGCCAAAGGAGATTAACATTTGAGTCAATGGGCTGGGAAAGGCAGACCCACCCTCAGTCTGGGTGGGCACAGCCTAATCAGCTGCCAGTACAGCCAGAATAAAAGCAGGCGAAAGAACGTGGAAGGACTAGACTGGCTTAGCCTCCTAGCCTATATCTTTCTCCCATGCTGGATGCTTCCTGCCCTCAAACATCGGACTCCAAGTTCTTCAACTGTGGGACTTGGACTGGCTTCATGCTCCTTAGCTTGCAGACTGCCTATTGTGGGACCTCACCTTGTAATCATGGGAGTCAATATTCCTTAATAAACTCTCCTTTATACATACATCTATTCTGTTAGTTCTGTCCCTCTAGAGAACCCTAACACAGTTGGAATTTTTTTTTTTTTTGAAACAGAGTTTCACTCTGTCACCCCGGCTGGAGTGCAATGACATGATCATAACTCACTGCAGCCTTGACCTCCTGAGCTGAAGTGATTCTCCCACCTCAGCCTCCTCAGTATCTGGGACTACAGGTATGTACCATTATGCTTGGCTTTAGGAAAAAAAAAAAATTGTAGAGATAGGATCTCACTACGCTGTCAAGTCTGGCCTTGAATTCCTGGCCTCAAGCAATCCTCCCACCTCAGCCTCCCAAAGTGCTGGCATTACGGGTGTGAGCCACCTCACCCAGCTGGAACTTTTTGTGTGCTTAAAATGTAAAAGAGTGAAACTGAGTGCCACCTATGAAGTGTGATTTTTTGGTTTGGCAATTGCAATTTTAGTTTATACCTGAAATATTTTACTAAATAATATCTCTAAAATTAAAATGTATCATTTTAAATTGAGAGAATAATGATTATTACTGATTATTACATGACCAGTAGTGGAAGTAATTTTGTGTGTAGAAAACACCTGGTGTTAAATACTCTGAGTACACCACTGCATGCCCAAGCTGGAGCCCAGCCCTCAGGGGACCCTGGCCCTGGTGAATAGCAGCCGCCACCACAGCTCTACCCCTTCTCCCTTTTACTTTCCACTCAGTTTGCAGATTCCCAGCGAGGAGGTGGCATAGTTGTCAGAGATCCCAAGCACCTCAAGATTTTCTCTATCACCTCTCTCTTTTTACTTTGAGAGTGCACAAGGCTTTAGAAAGTGAAAAGTAGCTTCTCCTCTCAGCAGGATAGAGATCCCTATTCTGGGATGGTTAAGAAAATCCCAAGGTCTAAGGGGAGAAGTAGATTTTGGAGAAGTGATTGTCCCAAGGAGCTCACACAAGTAGTTACCCAGTTTGTTTAATGTAGCTTAAAACTAGCAATTAAGGAAACAGATCACTTCAAATTCAACATTAAACGATGTCTGGCTGGGTGCAATTGTTCACACTTGTAATCCCAGCACTTTGAGAAGGCCAGGTGGGGGGATCGCTTGAGGCCAGGAATTAAAGACAAGCATGGGTGACAGAGCGAGACCCCGTCTCTACCAAAAAAACCAAAACAAAACAAAACAAAAACACGATTATTCTCAATCATCATTTGATTTTATAGATGTAAATAGACATTATATAAATACACATGTAGAACCAGATAAATATGCATATATAAAAGATGTAGCTGTGACCGGGCACAGTGGCTCACGCCTGTAATCCCAGCACTTTGGGAGGCTGAGGCGGGTGGATCACGAGGTCAGGAGTCTGAGACCAGCCTGGCCAACATGGTGAAACCCCATCTATACTAAAAATACAAAAATTAGCTGGCATGGAGGGACGCATCTGTAATCCCAGCTACGCAAGAGGCTGAGGCAGGAGAATCGTTTGAACCTGGGAGGCAGAGGTTGCAGTGAGCCAAGATCACGCCGTTTCACTCCAGCCTGGGTGACAGGGCAAGACTCCATCTCAAAAAACAAAAAAGATGTAGTTATTAAATATATGTATGTGTATATATACGAAAGATGTAGTGTTAACATTGTGTATGTGGAGACATGTATAAATTGATGAGCATATGTGTATGTACATGAAATTGTAAATTTCAAAGAAAACTATAGTATAGGGACATGAATGTCAATTGATGAGCTCCTTCACCTGAGGTGGAGTGCAGTGGCACAATCACAGCTCACTGCAACCTTGAGCTTTTGGGCTCAAGCAGTCTTCCCGCCTCAGCCTTCCAAGTCGCCGGGATTACAGGTGCATGCCACCATGCCAGGCTAATTTTTTAAAAAAAATTTTGTAGAGACAAGATCTTGTTATGTTGTCCAGCTGGTCTCAGAACTCCTGGCTTCAAGCGGTCCTCCAGCCTTGGCCTCCCAAAGTGCTGGGATTGTAGGTGTGAGCCACTGTGCCTAGCCTAGCCTCTATTTTCATTAGGCATCATTTAATGAATGGCTTGCACTCATACCTTCTCACAGAATTTACTACAAAGTGCAGAAAAGTCTACTTTCCCCTAGATGTTAAAAAGTACCCACCTTCCAAAAAAAATTAAAATCACTTCTTGAATGACTTTCAAACAAATAAACATTTTTTAAAAGAAAAAAAATAGGCTAGGCAGTGGCTCATGTCTGTAATGAGCACTTTGGGAGGCCGAGGCAGGATCACCTGAGGTCAGGAGTTCGAGACCAGCCTGGCCAACACGGTGAAACCCCGTTTCTATTAAAAATACAAAAAATTGGCCAGGTGCGGTGGCAGGCATCTGTAATTTTAGCTACTCGGGAGGCTGAGGCAGGAGAATCGCTTGAACCCAGGAGATGGAGGTTGTAGTGAGCCAAGATGGCGCCATTGCACTCCAGCCTGGCAACAAGAGCAAAATTGTCTCAAAAAAAAAAAAAAAAAGAAAAGAAAAGAAAAGAAAAGAAAGAAAGAAAGAAAGAAAGAAAGAAAGAAAGAAAGAAAGAAAGAAAGAAAGAAACTTTTTTTTTTTTTTTGAGACGGAGTCTTGCTCTGTCTCCCAGGCTGGAGTGCAGTGGCACCATCTCGGCTCACTGCAAGCTCCGCCCCCTGGGTTCAAGCAATTCTCCTGCCTGAGCCTCCCGAGTAGCTGGGACTACAGGCACCCGCCACCATGCCCTGATAATTTTTGTATTTTTTTAGTAGAGACGGGGTTTCACCGTGTTAGCCAGGATGGTCTCGATCTCCTGACCTCGTGATCCGCCTGCCTCAGCCTCCCAAAGTGCTCGGATTACAGGCGTGAGCCACCTTCCCGGCTGAAAATAACTTTTAATAACAAAGGACATACAGACAAATGTAAGTCATGAAAAAGAATTGGATGTATTTTGAAATTATTTTCAACAGAGTATAAAATTGTCAAAGGTGTATGTCGAGTACATTACAAAGATCCAGACACTACCTAGGGAATACTAGGGAAGGTTTGTGTTGACTTGTAAAGCAGTGCAAGTGGATTAAAGGCATCTAAGTCAATGCAGCATGCCAAAGGAGGGTTCTGAACCTGCTCATACATAACCAATCAGCCAGTCTTGAGTTTGCTGGACAAATCTAGTTCATACTTCAAATCCCATGCCAGAATTGTAGTTACTTTAGGGAATCCTAAAGTGAAAGGCTAATTTATAGTCTCTGTGGGATCTCTTTAAGTTTTAAGTTGACTTCCAAGCATGTAGCCCAACTCAGCCCAAATCACACTTAGTGCTAGTAAGAAGCCCCAGTGGACTTCTAGAACATCCCCATACCCTAAAGCCGTAACCCTTGACAAAAACAAGAGAAAGTGATGGTAGGTTTATGCAAACTGGCATCGCCCAGTGACAGCCTCCAGAGTTTTGGCTTCAGAACTGTCTCAAAATTCATACCAAGTACAAGATATGGTCTTGTATTAGGCTTCATATAAATCTCTGCCTGATGCTTAATTCTCCTTTGACATTTCACTGTAGATGACACTCCCAGAGAAGAGTAGAGACACAATGTATGCTGCTGAGCTGTGGTCCCCCTAGGAGCTGACAGAAGGCAGGAGATGGATTCTGCAGCTAAATCTTGGTGTTTTTCCTCTATGTGGTTTTGAGGAGGTTTTCTTCTAAATCTTTGAGCGCTTCCTGTACTCATTACCTAAGTTACATATTTGGCTCAATGTGATTTTTTTTTAAGGACATAGGACTCCTAGAGGAAACGAGACAGACATAAATATACTAACATTTTTTTGAGGCTATAGGTTCCGTGAATAATAGCAGTTGCTGGTACAAATGGAACAACTGGGAGTTGTGTTACTCCATTTTGTATGAATATCACAAACATAGTCTTTATGTTTACGCCATATCTGTTTCTGAAGAGCTCAAAAGACTTTTTCAATTTGTAAGAGGTTTCCGCCCCACAGTCCACACTAAGATTGGTGTGGGAAACCTCGCTCCAAGGCAGCTGGAGATGCAGCCTTCTCCTGCGTTTCACTCAAGGCTAAGTCTTGCAGAGTCAGAACAAATGATTACAGGTCCTTATCTGATGTCAATGATGAGAGATTCCCATGGCTCACGTTCCCCTGGGTCACAAGACCTGGACTTCACTTTGATTTCCAGAAGCAAGGCTGCCATCATCAGGTCCTCTCTAAAATGGCCAATGGCCTCCCTCTGCGCATGTCTCCAGTGACAATGACAAGTTTCTGTTTAATATAATTCACCTGTCTGTTTTGCAATCACTTTAGAGCAAGGATTTTTCGTCTACCTTTTTTTGTATTTCATGGTAGAGTATCCAGCAGAGAATAGATGCTCGGTAAAGAGTAAATTATCAATGAAATTCACTCCATTGGCTCATGCCTGTAATCCCAACACTTTTGAAAGCTGAGGCAGGAGGATCACTCAAGGCCAGGAGTTTGAGACCAGCCTGGGCAACATTGCAAGACCTTGTCTCTACTTTAAGAAAAAAGAAAAAGAAAAAAATTCAGTCCATTGTCATTTTCATTTCTGCAATGAAATGAAAATTGTGATGACCCCAAATCTTTTCTTAGTTTGTACAAGAAAGGTAAGCAGGTTGAAAGTGAAACTGTTTGGGGCTTCTGGAAGCTTGGGAAAGAAGCTAAATTTGGCCTGAGAACAACAGAATTGGGCACATGACATGTAATTTTTGCTTTTATTTGAGCCTCTAAGCCCTCTGACTATTTAAGGAAGAACTATCAGGTGACAGTGAGTTAGAACAGGCAAGTCCTATAAAAAGGGCCTATGAAAACGTCTATTCAGACCCCTTAACCTCCACCCAAATACCCTCCAGTATGAGTCACTTTTTAAGTTTTGTACTTCAAAGAAGCTGTAATAGTAAGAGGCACCTTCTTGATATGCTGTCAAAATGTTCTTCCCCGGAAGAGAAATATGGAAAGGTAGAGGGCGTGTCATAGGTCTGGTTCCTAGGAAGCCCAGAAGCCCACTCCAAGATGGAGTTACGGGCACAGGAAGTGCACTGAGGAGGCCCTGGGGTGGACGCCTGAGAGGAGTGAAGGCCACAGGAGAAGCAGCAACAACCAAGGCCTCAGGGGGCCTCCAGGGAGCTCTGGGGCCATGATGGCCCTTTGGAGTTATTTTCTCATACTCCTGGAGGCTGAAAGTTCAAGATCAAGGTGTCAGTAGGTTTGATTTCTGCTGAGGCTTGCAAATGTCTACTTTGACTTGCAGGGATGTCTTGTCTGTTCACTGTCCTCTTTCCCTCTGTGCACACGAGCCCCTGGTGTCTCTTCCCTTTTTTTTCTTTTGTTTTTCTTGTTTGTTCGTTCGTTTTGTTTTGTTTTTGAAACAGAGTCTTGCTCTGTCACCCAGGCTGGAGTGCAGTGGCACAATCTCGGCTCACTGAAACCTCCACCTCCCGGGTTCAAGAGATTCTTGCGCCTCAGCCTCCCAAGTAGCTGGGACTACAGGCGTATACTACTACACCTAGCTAATTTTTGTATGTTTAGTAGAGATGGGGTTTCATATATGTTGGCCAGGCTGTGCTCAAACTCCTGACCTCAAGTGATCTGCCTGCCTTGGCTTCCCAAAGTGCTGGGATTACGGGTGTGAGCCAACATGCCAGCCTGCCTTCCTCTTCTTATGAGAACACCCAGTCCTCTCGAATTAGGACCCACTCTAAAGACCTCATTTAATCTTAGTTACCTCTTTAAAGGCCCTTCTCCAAGTATTTCTGTCACATTTGAGGTAAGCTCTTAAACCAGTGCATTTTGGGAAACAATTCAGTCCATAACTGTATGTTACATTACCTAGTGTCATTTTCAGGACTTAATACCATAACATTTTGGAGTTGGATGAGTTATTAGAAGTGTTCAAATTTACTTTTTCCTCAAACCTAGAATCCCTGGCAAACAGTGCTTAATTCACTGGAGAACAGTACTTTCCCAGTTGGTAAGTCTGGTATATGGGATTGATCATGTATAGCAGGTAAAAGTAGAAGGAGAGGTGGGTGGAGGCAGGGTTAAGCAAGAATACTGAATTCCAAAGCAGAATTGATCTGTAGTAATAAAAGGAGGTTACAGGCCGGGTGCGGTGGCTTACAACTATAATCCCAGCACCTTTGGAGGCCAAGGTGAGGGGATTACTTGAGTCCAGGAGTTCAAGGCCAGACTGGGCAAGATGGTGAGACCCCTGTCTTTACAAAAAATACACAAATTGACCAGGCATGGTGGTGGCATGTGCCTATAGTCCCAGTCCCTGGGGAGGCTGAGGTGGGAGAATTGCTTGAGCCTGGGAGGTCAAGGCTGCAGAGAGCCATGTTCACACTACTGCGCTCCAGCCTGGGTGACAGCGTAAGACCTTGTCTCAAAAAAAAAAATGCTTTTTTTTTTTTGAGATGGAGTCTCACTCTATCGCCCAGGCTGGAGTGCAGTGGCACCATCTCGGCTCACTGCAAGCTCCGCCTCCCAGATTCACGCCATTCTCCTGCCTCAGCCTCCTGAGTAGCTGGGATTACAGGCGCCCGCCACCACGCCTGGCTAATTTTTCATATTTTTAGTAGAGATGGGGTTTCACCGTGTTAGCCAGGATGGTCTCGATCTCCTGACCTCGTGATCCACCCGCCTCGGCCTCCCATAGTGGTGGGATTACAGGCGTGAGCCACCATGCCTGGCTTTTTTGTTTGTTTGTTTAAATTAAAGGAGGCTACAGAAAAGTCAATGACAACGAGAGTAGAAACTGATGGCACATTAAATGCAGGGCCCAGAATGGTCGGCATAGCCCTGAGCTAGGCGCAGGGACCCCAAGGGCATCTTAACTCCACACCCAACAATGGCTTTCCCGGGGGTGTACCCTCCACTCCCAGGAAATGTGTAGAATAATTAAATAGTTGCGTTAAGGATAACGAATAGGCTGTGCAAGAAATTATAGGATATAGATGAGGAGGAGGGTGACCTCTCTCTTTTTTTTGAGACAGGATTTCACTCTGACACCCAGGCTGAAGTGCAGTGGCGCAATCTCGGCTCGCTGCAGCCTTGACCTCCCCGGCCTCAGATGGTCCTCCCATCTTAGCCTTGCGAGTAACTGGGACTACAGGCACATGCACCATGCCTGGCTAATTTTTTTTCTTTTTTTTTTTTTTTTAGAGAGATTGGGTTTCACCATGTTACTCCAGGCGGGTCTCGAACTCCTGGCCTCAAACAATCTGCCCGCCTCGCTCTCCCAAAGTGCTGGGATTACAGACATGAGCCACCGCTCCTACCGCTCCTGCTCCCCTCTTAAATATAATTTCTCTTCCAAACCTGGACACTCCTTTAATTCCCTATCCAAATGGAATGACTCCTATAAATCCAGCTCTGTAGGGGATGCTGGGAGTGGTGCCCTGAGACTTTTTTCAGGGCTGAAGCCTCATTTCCCAGCTGCTGGGAGTGTGGGCCTTAGGGCTCTCAGCTGAGTTGGTCTACAGGCACTCCCCCATGGAAGAGAGCTGCCTCATCCAAGCTTATGCCCTCTTCCTGGGCAGTGTCTCCCCTCTCCTTCCTGCCCTCATTGGTTTCCTTGCCTTTCCTCCAGCATGCTAGGTACACATCCACACAGGCCATACCTTCACTGGTCTGTTTCCTGGAATGCTTTCCCAGCTATCTGGATGGCAAACTGCCTGGCTTCCGGCAAGTCTCTGCTCAAGCTTCTCTCCTCAGTGAGAGCTGCCCTAGTCAACTGCGTAATCCTACAGCCCGCCCACTCCAACCCACCTCAGCATGCCCATCCTTCAGGTCCTTTTTTGACTTTTTCTTCCCCTAACCTTTTTTTTTTTTTTCTTAAGAGATGGGGTCTCACTATTTTGCCCAGGCTGGTGTCAAACTCCTGGCCTCAGGCAATCCTCCCACTTCAGCCTCCAAAGTCTCTGGGATTACAGGTGTGAGCCACCTGCTCAGCTACTTCTAACCTTTTGGTGTGCTGTCTCCGTTCCCTAGAAGGTACCCTCACGAGGCAGAAGTCTGTTTTGTCCATAGATGTGTTCTAAGCGCATAGTTGGTACTCAAGAAATCTTTGGTACTCAAGAAATTTTTCATCAGCCAAAGGAGGGATATAATTTCAGTCTTTAGATGATCTTAACTCTCTGACATCAGAAAGAGTCATGATGAAGAAAATGTGGTGGTCTTCCTTAGATACTAGAAATTTTATACTGTCTCAGAGAATTCTTTCTGAGTCTCAAGTTTCAATGCTGTAAAAGCAGTGGCATAATGCGTAGCATATTTGACAACCATACCAAATCGTTCTTCCACGCCTCCTTGGCTGTAAACAACAAAACTATTTTCAGTAATTACTAAAAATAATTTTATTGTTATACTTAATTTTATGCTTGTTTGCTTGATTCCTTCTTGAGTTTAAAGCAATTAATAAAAATAATAAATTTTTACCAAAGAAAAATATTAAGTCCAGCCCACATTCAAGAGAGTGGAATTGGAAGGGAAGAGTATGGAAAAATTTCTATATATATTTTTAAACTACCGCACACAGCAATTATTTAGAACTAACAGATTTGGTGAGGGTGCTTATTTTATTCACAGATGTTGTTTAGAACTGCTGGCCCAAGTAGATAATAAAAAGCAGAGGATCCTTTAGTCATTTTTATTACGTTTATACATCCTTTACAGACAATTGCCTCTTGTTGTCTGTACCTGGGCGGAACACTCCTGCTTCCCTGCCCTTAGTAAACCATCAAATAAGAAAGAAAGCAGATATAGAAGATGTAGGGTATTATGGTTGAATCATGGTCCTTAAAAAAGTATGATGAAGTCCTAACTCCCAGTATCTTAGAATATGACCTCATTTGAAAAATTTGCAAAATAGTGTCATTACAGGATATAATGAGTGAAGATGAGGTCATACTGGACCTCATTGGATTGGAGTGGGCCCCAATCCAATATGACTGGTGTCTTTATAAGAGGGGCACCGAGACCCAGACACACAGAGAGAATAGCCTATGATGATGGAGGCAGAGATTGGAGTGATGCTACAAGCCAGAGGATGTCAAGGATCGCCAGCAGCCACCAGAAGCTAAGAGAAGCCCATGGAATAGATTCTCCCTCAGACTCTCCAGAAGGAACCAACCCTGGTGACACTTGATTCCTGTCTTCTGGCCTGCAGAACTGAAGGGAATACATTTCTGCTGTGTAGGTCACCCAGCTTGTGGTACTTTGTTACCGCAGCCCTAGGAAACTGACTCTCGAGTCTTCAGGAAAATCCATCATAGCCACAGCTTGTGGAACACTAGATAGGGAATACTGTGGGATAGCAGATTATTTGGGGAAGGAAATTTTTTTTAAAAGAAAAAGACAGCCAGGTGTCGTGGTTCACGCCTGTAATCCTAGCACTTTAGGAGGCCCAGGCAGGAGAATCACTTGGGCTCAGGAATTTGAAACCAGCCTGGACGACATAGTGAGATCTTGTCTCTATTTATTTTAAAACGAATGAAATAAATAAATAAAATATTTTTTTTTTTTGAGACGGAGTCTCACTCTGTCACCCAGGCTGGAGTGCAGTGGCGCCATCTCAGCTCATTGCCAGCTCCGCCTCCCGGGTTCACGCCATTCTCCTGCCTCAGCCTGCTGAGTAGCTGGGACTATAGGTAGCCGCCACCACACCTGGCTAATTTTTTGTATTTTTAGTAGAGACGGGGTTTCACCATGTTAGCCAGGATGGTCTCGATCTCCTGACCTCGTGATCCACTCGCCTCGGCCTCCCAAAGTGCTGGGATTACAGGCATGAGCCATCATGCCTGGCCAAATAAAATAATTTTTAAAAAGAAAAGAAAAATTGGAGCGTTTTGCTTAGTTGTGTTCTGAATACTTGCAGATTCTTTTTCTTTTTTTTTCCTTTTCTTACAAGTTCCATGGCAGGAAATACTTATAGATTCCACTCTGATTACCTACAGCTTTCCTGCATATTGCAAACCTATCTATCATCAGGGCTGCAGGGAGAATGAAATAAACTGAACCATAATTGATCAGAATTGGAATGAATGCTGACCAGACAAATTCCATCTCCCCTAATTTAAAGATAACCAAGGGCGCAGTTCTCCCTCCCTGAGCTGGTGACTGTCCTGTTTTCATAACCCTGGGCAGTGCAGTGACCTCGAGGACACCAGTGGTAAAAACTGAGTAACATGGGAGCAGCTGTAGGAGTGGAAAGATAAGAGAGGGCAGTTTACCTTCCTGCAGCATGAGCAGCAATCTGAGCTCCTCTTTCTCAAAACTTCTTAAGCTTCTTAACTGCCTCCTTAAACTGCTCCTTAAAAACTCCACTTTCTGGCTGGGTGCGGCGGGTCACGCCTGTAATCCCAGCACTTGGGGAGGCCGAGGTGGGCAGATCACCTGAGGCGGCTGGGAGTTTGAGACCAGCCTGACCAACATGGAGAAACCCCATCTCTACTAAAAATATAAAATTAGCTGGGTGTGGTGGCGCATGCCTGTAATCCCAGCTATTTGGGAGACTGAGACAGGAGAATTGCTTGAACCTGGGAGGCAGAAGTTGTGGTGAGCCGAGATCGCTCCATTGCACTCCAGCCTGGGCAACAAGAGTGAAACTCCGTCTCAAAAACAAACAAACAAACAAACAAAACTCCACTTTCTGTTAGGAAAACAAAGGTGGACAGATGGGTGGTAGCAGGGCCTGGGTTCCAGGGAGGACTCCATCCTAGGGCACAGGCCTAGGTCAGGGCAATGTGTTCCGTGGAGGATAACACAGTCATTTCACCTGTGGCTTGTGTTTTCTTATGGGTAGGGTGAGAGGGCTGGACTAGCAGATTTCCACTTGCCGTGAGTCTTACTGATTTCTGAGTCTGGTTTTAAATAGATTGATCCAGGCAGTACAAAAGCTCCCCTCAGTTCCTCCCTGTACTTCAGAACAGTTATTTCTCCATTCTTGACTCTACTTTTCTAGATAAAGGACTCTTGACTGCTAGTGAGTAGTTAACATCCACTATCCTCTTATCTTGGGCTACCTATGGCAGTCCCAGAAGGTCACTTTGCCATGTGGTTACTGATTCAACGTTAAAGCTTGTAGAACCACTTGGAAAATATCAACCTTTGAGAAGTTCTAGGTTTTAGGAAACTAAAGCTTTTTAACAAATAGCAATGACTTTGCATGTAATTGTTCTATTGTTTTCCTCTCATTTCTTTTTGGTTAAACTTTTTCTGGTTATAAATTAATACATATTCATTACTAAAAATGTGGACAATATAGAAAGTCATACTGTCTATGGTATTTAATATGCAAACAAAAATTGTTAATAATCCTACCCCTCAGAGACAATTGTTAGTACCATTTGATATATTACTTAATAGGCTTTTTTCTATGCATTTATACATGTATTTATTTTTTAAAAATTAGGATGTGCTATGCCAAATATGTTTTGTTGCCTTTTTTTCACTCAATATCATGACCTGAAAATTTTTCCTTATAATTAAATATTCTACGAAAATAATATAATGGCCTTTCTCAACATAAAACTATATGTATGCACTGTTCCCCTATTATCATATATATATATATATATATATATATATCTTCTTTTTTTCCATGTCACAGAACACATGGTTTTTATATATATAGTTATAGTTATATCTTGGTATATATTTAGATTTTTTTCAAATTACAAACAACCAGATAAAAATCTAAATAGCTAAATTGCTATGAAAATTTCTATTATTTCATCAGTAAGACTTGCTGAGCAGACAATGTATAACGATTTTAGTGTATATTGTTAAATTATGATTCTGAAAAAAGTTTTACCAATTCACTTTTTACTGGCAAAATATGACATTTTGTTCATTTTACTTCAGGCTGGCCAAATGAATATATATGTTCACATATATATGTATGTATATACACACATATAGTTTTGTTTTGTTTTGTTTGAGAGATGGGGTCTCACTATGTTTCCCAGACTAGTCTGGAACTCCTGGCCTTAAGCGATCCTCTTGCCTCAGCCTCCCAAGTAGTTGGGATTATAGGCACAAACTACTGTAATTTAAGCTAATTTTATCTTAAAAACAAACTATTTGCTCATTTTGAACATGAAAGATTATACCTTAATTGTTATCCTGGTATGTGTTTATTTGATTACTAGTGAGGTTGGACATTTTTGTCCCTCTTTCTGGTTGAGAATGAAATTTCAGATAGAATTACAATTAGTCTGGGAGTGACACATTTTAGATTGGTTTTATAAATAAAACCTTTTCCATTTCTGTTATTACATATCATATTTCAAAATTGTTTGTCATGATAGTTTGCTGAATGTTCTGGTACACATGTATTTTAAGTGATTCAGCCAGACAGAGCTTATTGTCATAAACTCAGCTTCTTAAAAAAACAAATGCATCAAACAATTATTCTCTGTGGTTCCCAAGGGTAGATTAGGTGTATAATTCCATAATTTGGGAGTACTGAACAAAACCACCTCATTTCATCCATTTGACTAAGATTTCCTGCATGCCAGCCCCAATTCTAGATATGACACAGTCATACAAGAGTCAGCCATGGTCCCTGCATGCACAGAGCTTCATTGTAGTACAGGGCACAGATGACCAAAAAAGGCAAACATACAAAAATATAAAACAATATAGAATGTGAAGTGTTAAAAAAAAAATCAAACAAGAAGTTATCGAGCTAGAGAATAGCACTTTCCTGCTTTGGGTGTGACAGTCAGAGAATACTTTAAGGTGACATTTCAGCTACACCTAAAGGAAGGGAGGGAGCAGTGTGGCAATCCTGACGTGGGAGGGATTTTGGCGGGCTGAGGTTGCAGGAGAGATGTGGCCAGATCCTTAGGGGTCTTTCAGGTCATAGTGAGGAGGTTGAGTGTTACTCTGAATTCAATGGGGAAGCCATTGATGGTTTCAGAAGAAGATCATGTTGTATTGCCCAGGTAGGAAACAGTGAGGAATGCAAGTGAGAAACAGTGGTGGCTTAGGATAAGGGTAAGGAGCTGGAGGTGGAAACAGGTGGGCTAACCTTCTAAACAAGGGCTATATTGTGAAGTCACATGCATGGGTATTTAATTTACTTGCTGGCTTTAAACCCTTTCTTCCTGCTATTCCCAAGCCTGTTAAGGTTGGACTGACTCTTCTGCAGGGGAAATGTCAGTTTGGAGTGGTGGCCGGCTTGTCATTTATAATTTCTCAAAGATAGTATGAGGTGTGTCTGATTAAGCAAGAATGAGATTCAAATCCACACATTATTGAATACCCACCAATTGCCATCCCCTGTTCTAGGAGCTTTTACCTGCTGCTATAGGAAATAAGCCAAATTTAAGTCAGTACACAGATAAATCAAATTAGAGCTTCCATCCTACTGCTTGTAAGAAATGCCTTCTTCATTCTCTGAGCTTTTCCTTCCTTGAAATGTAAAATCCTCCAGCTGCTTACTTAGTCCAAATGAGGTAGTCCTGTTTACTATCGTTACGCAGAAAAGAAACTGAGAAGTCTAGTCACTCTGCCTAAGGTTCCAACCACTGCTCTGGTGAGGCTGGTACCAGAAACAAGATGTTCAGCTCCCAGGCATAAAGGTTGTGGCAATGGGTACTCCACACCATAGGACACTGGGTTCCTGGTTACAACTCTAGTGACAGATAGTTGCATTTACAGTTAATCAGCCATTTCTCTTGACAAACCCCACGGTCCAAGGTGGTAGACCAGGTTGTGATGCAATCACATGACTCTGTTCCTCACTGACCCTCCCCCAGGATAAGACACCACCACCAACTCCACCACCACTGTCACCACCAACACGGTGGATTCCTCCTTAAGGGCTGTTATTGTACATTTCTGACAACTGAGACTTCTTAGGACCATCCCAGGCCATCAGAAGTGTTGTAATAACTTGAGACCTTAGAGGGAAAGGGTAAGGAGTTCTGATTTACAAGGGAACTCCTTGATCGCTTTGCATTTTGTTCACCTCTTCAACAACTTTCAAATGCCACTCAGCAATAGACCAATAGCAAGACAGAGCTCATCACCTTAGCCAAGCCAAAAAAGAGATGTTCGGTCTGAATGCTAAAAAACCAGGGATGTACTTTCCTTACAGCCACACACCTGAAAAAGGTATAGATAATACTAGTTATATTTATGATGTAAAATATTTGCAATGCATTTAATGACCAAAAAGTCAGGGATGAGTCCTAAGTCTCCGTATCTGTTAACTGGATAGGTGATGTCACTGACTGAAACAAAGATTATAAGAGGGTATCAGATGTATGAGGAAGATGAGATCTGCTTTGTACATTTAAAGTATACAGTTTTATGGGGTTTGGGTTTTTTTTTTCTTTTGTTAATACAAATAAAAGGAAGTTCTGGGTGTCAAGTTCAAGAGAAGAGGGTGGGCTTGAGATAAGAGATTTGGAAATGGTCAGCATATTTATGGTAGCTGAGTCATAAGTGTATATGAAATTGACTGGGAAAAGGTCGGAGCTGAGATAGGGCCTGAGGCACAGCACCATCTGAGAAGCAAGCTCACAGAGGAAACCGAGACGGAGCTCTCAGGGTAGCAGGAAGACCATCAGGTTATGGAACCCAAAGGGAGAAAAGATTTCCAGAAGGAGGAATCTGTTTCACAGTATCCAAAGCAACAGAGGTCAAGAAAGACAAGGCTGACATCAGATTATGAAATTCTCAAGTAGATAAGACCTACTGAGGCCTATTTTGGAAACTTATTAACCAAGGTCATATGATTAGATCATATTTCCCTTCCACAATTTGTGCTTAGAGTTGTATCACATTACTCTTATCAGAGCCATTTTGACAATCATCTACTAAGCAGAAATTGGTATAATTGAGGTCTTTTCATCACATCTTACTTTGCTGATTTGATCAGAAGTAAACAAGCCACTTTCTTCTTGAAACCAACAAAATCTCATAGCTACTCTATTCCACTTTGGCTTTTGCCATTTGACCATGGCACTGCCCAGCACAGTATGTGTTCTTCTGAGTTCAGTATGTCTATTTGTGTGTAAGGCAATGACTTCAGTCTCCCAACCATACCTCTTATTGAAATACGATGGAAACTTCTCTTGAACAGCATGATATGACATTGTTTGGTCTTCACTTAGTTTGGGCGTATCATTTACATATTTAGTCCACTTCTTTTCTCATTAGTCTGACATCATTTAGGTACGGCTGCTTGCAGCCAATGTGATCATAAGCAGAAATACAAATATAAACACAAATAAAATGTCAGTACTTGATTACAAAACAATTCATAATATGCTAACATTAAAATTTATAGGTCATTTAAATGAAAATATAAAATTTCAAAATCCTGGAGACCCCTTTCCCGAAGAATACACCTCTTGATCTACGTTTCAGAAACACGGCCAGGGAGATCACGTCTGGTGAATGGCCACTGCTCCTTGCACACTTGCTTTTATTTTTTATTTCTTCTCTCAGGGTCTTTGAAGGAAGAAGGCTGGAGTGGGAACCTGTGAGGAGCAACAATAGCTGTGGAGAAACGGGAGTGACAGGTCTTGATGGTTTCCATGTAGTTGGTTTTAGAATTGCTTTTACTCCACAGTGCCCAATAGAGTGACAATTAACAGTCAAGGCTTCTTTGATACATACTCAAGCACTTAATATTACTTGAAAAAAAAAAAAGGCTTCCATAATGACTGTTGTCGTTTAGTAGGAGACCTGGGGGCCGGAGCCGCCTGTGGACAACCATCCGCCAGCTTCTCTCGCTCCGTCGATTAGGAGGAGTGGTGGCGACCTCGGCCTTCAGTGTCTCCAATGAAGTGAAATGGCGGCAGCGGCGGGGATGATGTTGCTGGGCTTGCTGCAGGCGGGGTGGGTCGGTGCTGGGCCAGGCGATGGAGAAGGTGACAGGAGGCAACCTCTTGTCCATGCTGCTGATCGCCTGCACCTTCACCCTCAGCCTGGTCTACCTGTTCCGTCTGGCCGCCGGCCACTTGGTCCAGCTGCCCGCAGGGGCGAAAAGTCCTCCATACGTTTTCTCCCCAGTTCCATTCCCTGGGCATGCCATAGCATTTGGGAAAAGTCCAGTTGAATTTCTAGAAATGCATATGAGAAGTATGGACCTGTATTTAGTTTTACCATGGTAGGCAAGACATTTACTTACCTTCTGGGGAGTGATGCTGCTGCGCTGCTTTTTAATAGTAAAAATGAAGACCTGAATGCAGAAGATGTCTACAGTCACCTGACGACACCTGTGTTTGGGAAGGGAGTTGCATACGATGTGCCTAATCCAGTTTTCTTGGAGCAGAAGAAAATGTTAAAAAGTGGCCTTAACAAAGCCCACTTTAAACAGCATGTTTCATTGGGAGATATACCTAATGCTAGATGACAAGTTAGTGGGTGCAGCGCACCAGCATGGCACATGTATACATATGTAACTAACCTGCACAATGTGCACATGTACCCTAAAACTTAAAGTATAATAAAAAAAAAAAAGAAAAAGAAACAAAGGAGTACTTTCAGAGTTGGGGAGAAAGTGGAGAAAAAAATGTGTTTGAAGCTCTTTCTGAGCTCATAATTTTAACAGCTAGCCACTGTTTGCATGGAAAGGAAATCAGAAGTCAACTCAATGAAAAGGTAGCACAGCTGTATGCAGATTTGGATGGAGGTTTCAGCCATGCAGCCTGGCTCTTACCAGGTTGGCTGCCTTTGCCTAGTTTCAGATGCAGGGACAGAGCTCATTGGGAAATCAAGGATATTTTCTATAAGGCAATCCAGAAACGCAGACAGTCTCAAGAAAAAATTGATGACATTCTCCAAACTTTACTAGATGCTACATACAAGGATGGGCGTCCTTTGACTGATGATGAAGTAGCAGGGATGCTTATTGGATTACTCTTGGCAGGGCAGCATTCATCCTCAACTACTAGTGCTTGGATGGACTTCTTTTTGGCCAGAGACAAAACACTTCAAGAAAAATGTTATTTAGAACAGAAAACAGTCTGTGGAGAGAATCTGCCTCCTTTAACTTATGACCAACTCAAGGATCTAAATTTACTTGATCGCTGTATAAAAGAAACATTAAGACTTAGACCTCCTATAATGATCATGATGAGAATGGCCAGAACTCCTCAGACTGTGGTAGGGTATACCATTCCTCCAGGACATCAGGTGTGTGTTTCTCCCACTGTCAATCAAAGACCTAAAGACTCATGGGTAGAACGCCTGGACTTTAATCCTGATTGCTACTTACAGGATAACCCAGCATCAGGGGAAAAGTTTGCCTATGTGCCATTTGGAGCTGGGTGTCATCGTTGAATTGGGGAAAATTTTGCCTATGTTCAAATTAAGACAATTTGGTCCACTATGCTTCGTTTATATGAATTTGATCTCATTGATGGATATTTTCCCATCGTGAATTATACAACTATGATTCACACCCCTGAAAACCCACTTATCCATTACAAACGAAGATCAAAATGAAAAAGGTTGCAAGGAACCAATATATGTGATCATCACTGTAAGCCACAAAGGCATTCGAAGAGAATGAAGTGTACAAAACAACTCTTGTAGTGTACTGTTTTTTTTGAGTGTGTAATTCTAAAAGCCAGTTTATGATTTAGTATTTTGTTAACTGAATGGTTCTATCAAATATAATAGCATTTGAAACATTTTCTAATAGCTATGATACTTATACATGTGCTTTCAGGAAGTTCATTAGTAAAACAATTGTTCAGGAGGATCTAGGTAATTGGCAGATTCTAAATAATATAATTTCCAGGTAGTAATTTTAAGAGTACTCTTAGCTCTTGCCAAATAAGTTCAGGGTATTCAAATCTTGGACTAGTCCTGCAAGGTATAAAGAATAAAAATCCCGGTGAGATACTTGGAAACCTCAGGTTATTATTTATCTGGGCAATTATTGTGTGGGTGAGGATGGAAGGGCAGGGAATAATTGAACATCTAAAGCCTTGAATGAGAGAATACTAATTCTTTTGGTATGATGATACTCAGAAATGGAGATGTTGTAGAAAAAAAATATCCTTTGGAATTTTAACTAAAATCACTGAATATAGGAAATTAAGAGATCCGGGACCATATTTGATAAGATTTCCTAAAAATAATGTAATTATTAATGCCAAAAACTGCTCATGTATCTTGATCTAATTACGAAATAATTACATATTTACCTGATAAATATGTATCTAGGTCTTCAAGGTCACATTTATGTGGAAGTCCAAAGTCAAGTCCTTAGGGGATAATTTTGTTTTGGCTCAGTTGTTCCCTGCTTCCTCTCTCTCTCTTTTTTTTTTTTTTTTTTTTTGAGATGGAGTCTCGCTCTGTCGCCCAGGCTGGAGTGCAGTGGCGCGATCTCAGCTCACTGCATCCTCCGCCTCCCGGGTTTAAGCAATTGTCTACATCAGCCTCCTGAGTAGTTGGGATTACAGGCACCTGCCACCACGCCTGGCTAATTTTTGTATTTTTAGTAGAGACAGGGTTTCACTCTTTTGGCTAGGCTGGTCTTGAACTCCTGACCTCGTGATCCACCCGCCTCGGCCTCCCAAAGTGCTGGGATTACAGGCATGAGCCACATGCCTGGCCCTCCCTGCTTCCTCTCTAGAATCCAATTAGGGATGTTTGTTACTACTTATGTTGATTAAAACAGTTAACAAACTTTTTTTCTTTTTAAAATGTGAGATCAGTGAACTCTGGTTTTAATATAATCTGAAACAAGGTCCTTGGGAGTAATATAATTGGTCACATTCTGTAAAGCACATTCTGTTTAGGAATCACTTATCTCAAATTATAACTCAGGGCCTAACTATATGAGATGGCTGAAAAAATACCACATTGTCTGTTTTCACTAGATGATGCCAAAATATTTTGCTTTACGTATATTACAGTTCTTTTTAAAACACTGGAAGACTCATGTTAAACTCTAATTGTGAAGGCAGAAACTCTGCTAATTTTTCACATTAAAATTCTCTTTGAAAAAATACAAAAAAAAAATGACTGTTGTCACCATAGCGATCAGCAGCAGAACTCATTAAGAAGACCTGGCTTTCTTCTTCGTGTGGAAGAGTAGGAATGCAAAGCGTGGAAGTATATTGGACATTAATTATTTTTGCCCCATAAGAAAGGACATTTTCAGCAGGGCACGGTGGCGCATGCCTGTAATCCCAGCACTTTGGGAGGCTGAGGTGGGCAGGTCCCCTGAGGTCAGGAGTTCAAGATCATCCTGGTCAACATGGTGAAACCCTGTCTCTACTAAAAATACAAAAATTAGCCGGCCATGGTGGCGCACACTTGTAACCCCAGCTACTCAGGAGGCTGAGGCAGGATCATTGCTTGAATCCGGGAGGCGGAGGTTGCAGTGAGCCAAGATCCTGCAACTGCACTCCGGCCTGGGTGACAGAGCGAGACTCCACCTCAAAAAAAAAAAAAAAAAAAAAGGACATCTTCTAAGTGCCGTTTAGAATAATATAGTACTTAGTACAAAGTACTGCAACTTAAAATATTATGTCTTCCTTGCAAACTGTATCTTACTCATGTTTGTTTATCTTCTTTCCAATATCCATGCTCCATTGTTTGAAACTCATAACAAGTGCTTCATAAATGCTGATTTGAAGAAGCTGGGAAGTAAGATTAAGTGGCAAGTCCAAGGTTACCAGCTACTAAGTATCAGTTAGGACTCAAACCTAAGACGTTTAACTCTGCATTCAGTGACACAACTGTCATTTAAGGAGTGCTGAGGAAGAGAAAGCAGCTCTGACATCCAGGTGCTGGAACTATCAGCTGGGCCTTGGTGTTGCTAAGAACTTTTCTGGACCATGGTGTTCTGTCGAATGAAAACAATTTCACGGAACACCAAAGTCAGACAAGAGCATTCTGTAACCATGATCAAGACAAAAACAAGACCACGTCATAATTTTGTCTGAACACGGACAAAATTTAGGCACTGTCTAAACCACAAAAATGACAAATATGTGTGACTGTTGCTTCTTTATCATTCATGGCTTTAGCCTCTGTCTAGTCTTGACTCCTAAATAAGACTTATTAAGATACCCAATCATAGAATTACTGCCATTTCCTGACAGCAACCAATCCAGAGTAAGGCCTTGCTTTCTTGAACTCTTCCCAAAATCACATAACGCAAGCCCATAGTAAATTCTAACACCTTCTTACTGAGATGCCCCCACGGTTCCTCATGCATGCATTTCTCCTGGCTTCAAGAAGTAGTAGCTCAATTCTTTTACTACAAGTTGTTCCTGGTGGGTGTGTTGGAGAGCACTGACAACTCCTCCTATGTCCAGGGGCTGTGTTGTGTATACATGCTGAGTGTTTAATTAGACAACCCTGTAAGACTTATCATCCCCACGTGGCAGATAAAGACATGGAGGTTCATGAAAATTTAACGATTTGCCCAAGTCCCCCCTCCCCTCCCCAGGAAAAGCCAGCGACCACATTCCAACCCTCCGCTAACTCTGCATTGAGCACTCTCTTTCCTATGCCCTCCACCTGCGCCCATTCCCCTCTTCTGCGGGCCGACCGGGATCCTGCTGGGGGCTACAGCCCAAACATGTTACTTTTCCAACTGTTGTTTTATGTGTTTCTATGAGAAAGGATATTCGGATTCAGAAATGCTTTGCAACTCCAGAGCTGTTGAGCCTGCGGCGCGGCCCACCACTCAACAGCGGTGCTGAGTGGCTGCTCGGTCGCGCGGGATCCACTCCGGGCCTCCGAGGGTGGGTGCACGATCCACTAGCCACTCTCCAGGGGAGAGTGACGTCCGGGTGGACCAATCGCCGCTGGGGCACCGACCGCTGGGCCCAATCGCAGGAGAGCCGGGTAGAACAGTGACAGCGCCGCGGCAGCCGACCCCGCCTCCTCGGCGGACAGCGATGCTCAGCTGGCTGCGGCCGAGTCATCGCCTAGCGCTGGCAGGGCCGCTGACCGACCGACGGAGGCGCCGATTGGCCGATTGTCCACTGCGCAGAAGGAGCAGCTGCTCCGCGCCCCGCCGCGCCGCGCTGAGGCCGAGGTCCGCAGGGCCGCGGGGAAGCCGAGGGCTGCCGGAGAACCCTGCAGGTGTCACTCGGGACGCGGAAGTGCGCTTGCCGAGGTTTGCTTTACAATACGCTTGAGACTCCCCGACAAGCGTAATTTGGTCGAGTTCGACGGGAAAGTACTCTCCCCACCCCAGCGCCGGCCGCGTAGTCCGAGGTTACTGTCCCCGGCGCGTCCTCTGTTGCCCCAGTCCAGAGGCTGCCCTTGAACCCGGGCGCGCACGAGCGCAGGGCATCCGAGGCGACAGCCCCTGGCACGGCCCGACCTGTACCCAGCCTGGCAGGAAGACTGTAATCGTGGGGTGAGTTAAAAATAAGGCCCTTTCGATTGGGAGCTGCTTTTTAAAACGCCCCCTCCCTGTCCGTTTTTAATACGCAGCAAAATAACAATAACAATTGTGCAACTGTCGCTTCCCAAAAGGAACCTCATTGTTGAACTTACGAAAAATCAGTTGGCAATATACAGTGTGGGAACTGTACTGTGATCATTGGCTAACCAAGATGGGTGACAGTTTATGATTTCAAAGACTCAAAGGCGGCTTGAGTCCTACAATGTCCTACTCATAAAAATGGAAAGCATGGCAGCCTCAGGTTGTTACAGAGTACTCTACTCCAAAGTAAAAGTTATTCTCTGAGAAAGTGCTTACTGCCTTTTCTGTTCTCTAGTTTGCTTGTTTAAACATTTACTCCACAAAATTGCTCAAACTTACCCATCTTTGAATATCTAGCCTCTGGGATGAGACAGATGATCTTTCTCCGTTTTCACTTTTTATAGAATACAGCTACCTACCCAGGCAATATGAAGATTTTATTTGTAGAACCTGCCATTTTCCTTAGTGCATTTGCTATGACTTTGACCGGTCCACTGACAACGCAATATGTTTATCGGAGAATATGGGAAGAAACTGGCAACTACACTTTTTCATCTGATAGCAATATTTCTGAGTGTGAAAAAAACAAAAGCAGCCCAATTTTTGCATTCCAGGAGGTAAGAAATTACAATATCCATAGTATTTAATAAAATGGGAATGTATACCGGGCTTTGAGTTAAAGAGGACCGTGAACTCATCATCCATTGGTCTCTCTAGGGCGGCCATCAAAGTCCTAAATCCCAAACCTAATGGCCTTTACTGGGAACTCACCTCATTTGAAGTTTCCTGACACCTTTCAAATCTGCCTCTTCTTCTTAAAACACCCTCCTGCTCTGTGACACTAGCTCTTCTCCTTTCTCTCGGAAAATTTCACCACAGTGTCATCTCTTCTGTGGCTGTCTCCTTGCTTTGTCCTAAAAAAAAAAAAAAAAAAAAAAAAAGTCTGAAAATTGGGGCAGGGCAGGCTGGAATGAGCTACTTGGTGGACAGGGGTGGCTGAAACATGGTGTTTCTGTCTCTCACTTGCTCTATTCTTCCCCAATCCTTTTACTGTTTCTGCATGTCCCAGCTTTCAGGGACTCTAGAAAGTGGCCCATCACTGAAGATTGTGAGCCAGTGTCTGTCACAGGGTGGGGTGGAGGAGCATTTATTATTTGGTGGTGGTATCAAATCAGCCTTGGCTCTCACGTGTTGAGGAGCAGCTGTGTGGGGACATCTGGAGTGGGGAGTACCCACCGTTGACACCAAAGATGTTTAGCCAGATATTAAGGAGGCTTTCTTCCTCCCTCTCCAGCAATCTCCCCAGTTTTTTTGTGTGTAAAACAGGAGGCAGGCACTTCACCATTCTCCTGGTCCCTTGGGCAGTTTTTGACAAAAGTCTACCATTTCAAAATGCAAAGAGATAGTATCCAGGTTTGGAAATTTTTTTTTTTTTCCTACAATGCCTCAAAAACAAATCACACCTGTAAACTCTAAACTCTTCTTCTGGGGGATATTTTGTGATTGTAAAGGAGTGGTGCTGCCTTCCCAGTGAAAGATGAAATGAATTAAAAGGAATTGAGTCACCTCCTGCTGGCTCTGTGAGTCTCTGTGACTGGGAGAAGAGCCTGAGAAGGAGGAAATGGCAAACCGCCCCAGAGGCAAGGTTCTAGCACTTCCCGAGGTGTCAGGTGGAACCTTGCTGGGGTGAGGTTAGGCAATTTGGCACAATCCCTAATCTTACTCATTTCCTCATTCCCATGGGAAACGTTTTCTTGGGAGTGATTATTTCTGAGCAGCCTGGAAGACATCAAGGTTCTGGCGTAGAGTAAGGTCATAAAAAAAAAGGGCCCTGAGTCTCACCCAGCGGTCTTATCTCCCTTCAAGAATGTCTCCTAGGTCATTCCCGGGAGTGAGAAGCTTCGATCGGCTCACAGTTTCTTTTTGTAAGTGTTTATTCATGCATTAAACAAATGTTTATCACACATTATCCTGTGGTGACAAGGATAAGCAAAACGGCTCTGAACCCGAGAAGCCCAGAGTCTCTCTAGGTTGAGAAAAACACACATAAACAGAATAGAGTTTAACAAATCCTCTTAGTTTCAAAGTTGGGGTCCTACAGCAGGGATGCTCTTCAGATTTCGGCTCTGGAGACGTTTGTTAATATACATACTTGAATCCCATCCTGGAACCTCTAACACAGTGTTTTTTAACCTTGACTGGACATGGGAATCACCTGAAGTGTTTTTTATTTTATTTTGTTTATTATGTATTTATGCATGTATGGTACTTTTTGAGACAGGGTCTCATTCTGCTGCCCACGCTGGAGTGGAGTGGCGTGGTAATAGCTCGCTGCAACTTTGAACTCCTAGGCTCAAGGGATCCTCTCACCTCAGCCTCCTGAGTAGCTGGGACTACAGGCACGTGCCACTACACTCAGCTAATTTTTGATTTTTTTTTTTTTTTTTTGTAGAGACAGGGTCTTCCTCTGTTTCCCAGGCTGGCCTTGAACTCGTGGCCTCAAGTGAGCCTCCTGTCTGGTCCTCTCAAAGTGTTGGGATTACAGGCGTGAGCCACCGTGCCCGGTCTTATTTTATTTTTTTAATTGACAGATAATCATTGTACATATTCATGGAGTATACAGTGGTGTTTTGATACATACAATGTATAGTGATCAGATCAGGCTAATTAGCATATCCATCAACTCAGACATCTCTCATTTCTTTGTGTTGGGAACATTCAATACCCTCCTTCTTGCTATTTGAAACTATATAACATATTACTGTTAACTGTAGTCACCCTGTGGTGCTACAGAACACCAGAACTTATTCCTCCTGTCTAGCTGTAATTTTGTATCCTTTAACAAATTTCTTCTTACAGGCTCATCAATTTCTGTATTTGATTCTGTGCTTTCTTTTGGCTGACCTGTAGGAGCAGGCCCCCTGGTTGCAGTGGGAGGGACCAGGGAGGAGAGGACAAGAATGTCTGGGAAAGTCTGCTGCTCTTGCCCTCTTGGACTGAGGGAAGACGGGCCTTGGTCCAGCCAGCTTGGTGGCTTCTGCAACCATACAGGGGGCAAGTGTTGGCCCACCTCCAGCCTGGCCCAGCTGCTGAGAGCCCCCTACTGCCCACAGCAGTGGTCTCATGTCAAAGATTTTTGCCGAATTTTCAAATTGACTTTTTCATTTATTGTTTCTTAATTGGATTAATATTCAAGAGAACCTACTACTCTAGATCCCTTCCCTTAAAGTTGGTGCTCTTAGACCTCTGGGAACCAGAAACCACCCCTACCCTCACCTGCCACCCACGCTGGAGTGGTGGCCTACTCTCTGTTTGCTCCTTAGGACAAAGGAACATTTTTGTTTCCCAGGAGGCACCACCATCGCCTTCAGTGATTCATTCAATGACTAAAAACGGTTTACATCTGTTTTTTAAATCAGCTTAGCATTTCCCAGTATACAAATGGCACACACTTTTTATATTGACTTTGGAAAATACAGAGCAATGGCAAGCAAAAAATGTTTTAAGATCATGCAAAATTTCTTCCATCAAGTAACTAGTGTAATGATTGACACATCTTCCAATCTGTGTGTGTATGTCATCTGTCATTGTCATTTTGGTCCTTGGAAGTTGAGTTTATCTTACTCCTCAGGTCATGACATACTACCACCTTTATTTACTTTTTATTTTTATTTATTTGAGATGGAGTCTCACTGTGTCACCCAGGCTGGAGTGCAATGGCACAATCTCAGCTCATTGCAACCTCTGCCTCCCAGGTTCAAGCAATTCTTCTGCCTCAGCCTCCCAAGTAGCGGAGACTACAGGCGTACGCCACCACGCCTGGCTAATTTTTGTATTTTTAGTAGAGACAGGGTTTTGCCATGTTGGCCAGGCTGGTCTCAAACTCCTGACCTCAAGTGATCCGCCCACCTTGGCCCCCCAAAGTGCTAGGATTACAGGCGTGAGCCACCGTGCCTGGCCTAGTTTTTTTAAATTTATTTTTAGAGACAGGGTCTCGCTATGTTGCCCAGGCTGGTCTCAAATTCCTGGGCACAAGTGATGCTCCCACCTCGGCCTCCCACAGTGCTGGGATTATAAGCGTAAGCCACCACACTCAGCCACGGTATGCTACCATCTGTAGACAGTGTAAGTCTCCTCTTTCAATTTTATCTTATTTTAAATTCTTTTATTTAGTAAATAAAGGAAGATGTTTCTCACTAATCTATCTGTGAAGACATAGGTAAAAAAAAAAAATAAGGGCAACAGCCAAGCTCTCCCTAAATAAAGGTTTTTTTTTTTTTTTTTTGTATTTTTTGGTAGAGACAGAGTTTTACCATGTTGGCCAAGCTGGTCTCAAACTCCTGACCTCAAGTGATCCTCCTGCCTCAGCCTCCCAAAATATGAGGATTACAGGCATGAGCCACCACGCCCGACCAAAATCTGAAACTTTTTGATCACCACACTTTACCACAAGTGTAAAATTCCACACACAAGTACTCAATGGCAACTGTTTTATGCACAAATTTGTTTAAAATATTGTATAAAATTACCTTCAGGCTGTATGTATGAGGTATATATGAAACATAAATGAATTTTGTGTTTAAATGTGAGTCCCATCCACAAGGTATCTCATTATATACATGCAAATATCCCAAAGTCTGAAAAAATCCAAAATCGGAAATACTTCTGGTCTCAAGCATTTCAGATAAGGGATACTCAGTCTGCATTGCTTTATAAACTGGATGAAAATGTAAGCTCTATTAGTCCCGCCCATCCACCAGAGATTCCCCACCCATAACCTACTGGCCACAGGGAAAAAAGCATATGCACCATGATATTTTTATACACGTTGTGTTAACTACTGTAAACACATTGTCTTCTTTATATTTCTTTGCAGGAAGTTCAGAAAAAAGTGTCACGTTTTAATCTGCAGATGGACATAAGTGGATTAATTCCTGGTCTAGTGTCTACATTCATACTTTTGTCTATTAGTGATCACTACGGACGAAAATTCCCTATGATTTTGTCTTCCGTTGGTGCTCTTGCAACCAGCGTTTGGCTCTGTTTGCTTTGCTATTTTGCCTTTCCATTCCAGCTTTTGATTGCATCTACCTTCATTGGTGCATTTTGTGGCAATTATACCACATTTTGGGGAGCTTGCTTTGCCTATATAGTTGATCAGTGTAAAGAACACAAACAAAAAACAATTCGAATAGCTATCATTGACTTTCTACTTGGACTTGTTACTGGACTAACAGGACTGTCATCTGGCTATTTTATTAGAGAGCTAGGTTTTGAGTGGTCGTTTCTAATTATTGCTGTGTCTCTTGCTGTTAATTTGATCTATATTTTATTTTTTCTCGGAGATCCAGTGAAAGAGTGTTCATCTCAGAATGTTACTATGTCATGTAGTGAAGGCTTCAAAAACCTATTTTACCGAACTTACATGCTTTTTAAGAATGCTTCTGGTAAGAGACGATTTTTGCTCTGTTTGTTACTTTTTACAGTAATCACTTATTTTTTTGTGGTAATTGGCATTGCCCCAATTTTTATCCTTTATGAATTGGATTCACCACTCTGCTGGAATGAAGTTTTTATAGGTTATGGATCAGCTTTGGGTAGTGCCTCTTTTTTGACTAGTTTCCTAGGAATATGGCTTTTTTCTTATTGTATGGAAGATATTCATATGGCCTTCATTGGGATTTTTACCACGATGACAGGAATGGCTATGACCGCGTTTGCCAGTACAACACTGATGATGTTTTTAGGTGAGTTCCAAGTGTAGCTTTAGAACTAACTATGTATTTGATATTCATATAAAATGAATTTAGTCTACTGGGGGAGAAACTTTAATCTAAAGCCCTCTATTTAAGCCATTCTAGTTCAATTAAAGGGTAATAACTAGTTTGCCAGGAGTCAATAAGCCAAAAGCCGAATTCACTTTAAAAATTTAATCCACTGAATAACCACAATTTCCCAAATGTGTATATTTGCCTCAAAATTGTTTTGAGGAACATTCTTCTTATGAATCAGTTCTTCAATATAGCTTTCATTAAAGTGAAGATTTCTTAAAATGCTGCTAATAAGACTACTTCCCATAAAAATATTTAGGACAATGATATAAAGTATACTAAAAATACTTATAAGAAAAAAACTATATCAATTTAATATATTCAAGAAGAAATTTTTTAAAGACAGGTTTTGCAAATTGATCTTTCAGCAAATTGGCCATTTCATAAATTGATTTTTGATGAATTGCTGGTTGGCAAATTAGACTGCTTCCTTAACTACCTACCTTATAACTGTTTTTGCAGGATTCAAATGAGATACTGCATTGAAAAAGGCTGTGGAACTATAAAATGAGACTCTGGGAAAGGTCCAATTTACTCTTTTCTCTAATAAAAGTGTTAACCCCTTACTATCTTGCAGGGAAGCAGTGTGACCAAATAGAATTGGGCCTAACTTCCATCTATAGTACTAGATGATCTTGGGCAAGTTACTGAACTACTCTCAGCCCTCATTTTCTCATCTGTAAAATGGGCGTGGTACTACCTAATTTAGAGGATTACAGTGAACATTAGGTAGCTGTCAAGCACTCGCTTGGCACAATCCCTACTATTCAATAATAGCCAGTTTTTCTCCCTGTCTCCCTAAGAGCTGCCAAGGTCAGGTAAGTTAATCTATGTGAAAACACTTTGAGAATTGTAAAGTGGTCTGCTAATGTCATATTTTACTATTTTATGATGTAATTAAAACTACTGACTATTAAGGGTCATAACTGAAGACCAGAGGTAATTTGTGTTTATGAAGTTATTCTGCCACAAAGATGAACAGGCAAGATGATAAAGAACCAGTTTACCAATAAATAAATCAATATAATAAAGGCATGCTAACACTAAGAGTGCCAAGTCTGAAAAAAGCACAAACAAAAATGAATTAGCAGTCTCAATTTGCTAAATAAGAGGTTAATATATAATTAGGAAAATAAGCAGATCAGTTTTTTTTTTTGTTTTTTTTTTTTCTTTGAGATGGAGTCTCACTCTGTCGCCAGGCTGGAGTGCAGTGGCATGATCTGGGCTCACTGCAACCTCCACCTCCCGGGTTCAAGTGATTCTCCTGCCTCAGCCTCCCAAGTAGCTGGGATTGCAGGCATGCGCCACCACGCCTGGCTAATTTTGTATTTTTAGTAAAGACAGGATTTCTCCATGTTGGTCAGGCTGGTCTCGAACTCCCGAACTCAGGTGATCTGCCCTCCTCGGCCTCCCAAAGTGCTGGGATTACAGGTGTGAGCCACTGCGCCCGGCCAGCAGATCAGTCTTAATCGGCAGATTATATAAATAGATCTAGACCTAAAAATTACATGAACTCTTGTTCTCTGTACTGGAATAAGAATTCTAGAGTAAAGTAACCTTAAACTGACCTGTCCATAGTCTACTTTAATTCATCAAACAGAGTTCTACAATTAATTAATTCAATTTTTAGATACAATGAGTTAGGATGCTTGTAGAAAAGGAAGTATTTAGACAGAGTGAAAGTGTTTCCTATTTTAAATTGGCCATTAGCTTTCAGAATCAGCCAGTGATTTTGAATCCTTTCTCTCACAGCCAGGGTGCCGTTCCTTTTCACTATTGTGCCATTCTCTGTTCTACGGTCCATGTTGTCAAAAGTGGTTCGTTCGACTGAACAAGGTGAGTTTAATTTGCTTAAGAAATATGAATCTACCATCTTTACAAACTCAAATCTGTGTACAATCAATGTTTAATGCTTCAGAATATTCTACAGCCCTTTTTATGCACGGATCTCCTTTTGAATAAAGTGGTAAGCTCTGTGAGGGAAAGGCTTACACTCTTGCAAGGGAGCCCCTGCCTAGGGCCTTGTACTTTAGAGAGCTCCCTCGGCTCTGGGCCGTGCCCCGCCCTAAGAAGAAAGGAGCTCTCAGGGCCAAGTGGGAGATGCCCACTGGGAGCTCACCACATCTCCTTCCTTCTAGACTGAACTCTGCCCACCTGGGTCCCTGCAATTCCCAGCCCAGTTCTGGGCTTATGTCCAGTAAGGGCCTGGATGATCCTCTTCCTCAGCCACCTTCTCCTGAGGGTGGACTGTGCCCAGTGTGCTCACCTGTAGACCAAGGAAGGAGCCAAGGGGCGACTCCTTCTAAAGGGTGTGGCTGGACTTTGGAATCACAGGGTGGGGCTGTTCCACACCCTGTAATGACCCTTTCTGAGCAGGGTGGTGCAAGGGGTAGAGCAGAATGGGGGTGGGCTCCAGCTGGGCACCAAGGGCTGAGGGCCAGTTCACCCTGGGCTACCCTGTTCCTACGTGGAATTCTGAAAACGTCTGAGAATCCTAAGTGTGTGCGGGTCTCCTAGATCATTCATTACAAAGGGATATTTTTCACAGTAGGAAGGCATAATATATTTTAGTTAACAGTTTGTTGGCCAGATTTCAAATAACTGACCACTTTTAAATCCTAAGAATATAATATATAGGCCTCTGATAATGTTCTTACACTGGCCCCTACAACTGTCACAGCTGGGCCTGACTCAGAGTCCTGGCAGAAAACGGGGCCCCACTCAGCTGGTTCAATCAAGAAACTTTCATGAAGGCCATTATAGAGAGTGGGCATTGTCGAGGCAGCCAGAGAGATGCCCCAGATAGGAAGCAGAGAAGAAACACCATAACCTTTCTCCCCCATCATCCTTTTAACCAAGTGCAGCAGGAACTCGGGCCAGCAAGAAAGTCCAAGTCATATAATTTGTGGGGTCAGCCTCCAAAGCACAGAGCAGGGTACACAAAGTCAAACAGTTGAAGGGGCAGGCAGAGAATAACCAGGATGCAGCAAAGACAAAAATTAAATTTCCATTGAGAACTAGTTACTAGTTAGATATCAGGCATATGGGCTTGTCCTCCTTCCCTTTTGTATCATATGAATCTTATTAGACATTGGCACTTTCTTTAATGTCATATGTTAGCCCGGTGCTGTGAATGTACTTATTTGATTTATGAATAATTCATAATTATGCTGTTGTATTTTTACCAGTTTAGTCAATACTGGAGAAGGCTACATAATTCAATAAATTAAAAATATATTTCTTCTTTTACTTTCTCTCTTTTTTTTTTTTTTTGAGACGGAGTTTCACTCTTGCTGCCCAGGCTGGAGTGCAATGGTGTGATCTCGGCTCACTGCAACCTCTGCCTCCTGGGTTCAAGCAATTCTCCTGCCTCAGCCTCCCAAGTAGCTGGAATTACAGGCTCCTGCCACCATGCCTGGCTAATTTTTGTGTTTTTAGCAGAGACAGGGTTTCACCATGTTGGCCAGGCTGGTCTCAAACTCCTGACCTCAGGTAATCAGCCCGCCTCAGCCTCCCAAAGTGCTGGGATTATAGGCGTGACCCACCGCACCCGGCCTCTTATTTTTCACTCATAAGATGTAGCTATATATTCACACATCTGTTTATAGATGATGTGATGATGATTGCTTTGAAAACCAATAACAAATGGAAAAATTTATATAAACTATGTAAAAATCTATCTGCTTCTTTGGACTATGCAATAGTTTCTTAGATATGACACCAAAAGCACAAGAACAAAGGAAAAATTGATAGATTAGACTTCATCCAAAAACTTCATTCAAAGTTTGTCCTTTGAAAAATTTTTATGTTTCAAAGGACAACATCAAGAAAGTGAGGCCAGGCGCAGTGGCTCACATGTGCAATCCCAGCACTTTGGGAGGCCAAAGCGGGTGGATGACCCGAGGTTAGGAGTTTGAGACCAGCCTGACCAACATGGTGAAACCCCGTCTCTACTAAAAATACAAAAAAAAAAAAAAAAAAGAAAAGAAAAAGAAAGAAAGTGAAATGACAACCGACAACCCACAGAATGGGAGAAGATATTTGCAAATTATATTTGTCTGAGCAGGAACTCGTATCCAGCATATTTAAGAACTCTTAAAATTCAACAACAAAAAGACAACTCAATTTAAAAATGGGCAAAGGATTTGAATAGAAGATATACAAGTGACCAATATGCGCATGAAAATGCTGGATATCATTAGCCATCAGGGAAATGCAAAGCAAAACCACAGAGTGGGCTGGGGTGGCCAAAATAAAATAGGCCATAGCAAGTGTTGATGAGGATGTGGAGAAATTGGAGCCCTCATACACTGCGAGTGGGAACATAAAATGGTGCAGCAGCTGTACAAAGCAGTTTGGCAGTTCCTCAGAAAGTTAGTTGCCTTATGACTCAGCAATCCCTCCCCTACTTACATACCATGAGAAGTGAAAGCATATGTCCACATAAAATCTTGTTCATGGCAGCATTATTCATAATAGCCAAAAAGTGAAACCTATGCAAATGTTCATGAACTGACAAATGGGTAAACAAAATGTGGTTTATCCATCCAGCAAACTGCTCTTCTGCAATAAAAAGAAATATCGTTCTGTTACATGCCATAACATGGATGAACTATGAAATGATTATGCCAAATTTAAGAAGCTAGTCACAAAAGGCCACATATTGTCATTTAAATATGATTCTGTTTACGTGAAATGTGCAGAATAGGCAAATCCATAGAGACAGAAATTTGATTAGGGCTTGACTGGGGCTGGGGAAGGGGAATGACTACTTATGGGTATACAGTTTCTTTTCGGGGTGATGAAAATGTTCCACAGATAGTGGTGATGGTTGCACAAATCTGCAACATACTAAGAACCACTGAATTGCAGACTTTAAAAGGGTGAGGTTTGTGGGATGTTAATTATATCCCAATAAAGCTATTGGGAAAAAAAATTTACCTGCTTTGACTTAGAGCTAAAATAGAGCTGTCAAGAGGTATAGTTTATTTTTGTTTATATTTGGTTTAGTTTATAAAGGCTTTTTAAAATTTTTTTTATTATACTTTAAGTTTTAGGGTACATGTGCACAACGTGCAGGTTTGTTACATATGTATACATGTGCCATGTTGGTGTGCCGCACCCATTAACTCGTCATTTAGCATTAGGTATATCTCCTAATGCTATCCCTCCCCCCTCCTCCCTCCCCCCACTCCACGACAGGCCCCGGTGTGTGATGTTCCCCTTCCTGTGTCCAAGTGTTCTCATTGTTCAATTCCCACCTGTGAGTGAGAACATGTGGTGTTTGGTTTTTTGCTCTTGCGATGGTTTGCTGAGAATGATGGTTTCCAGCTTCATCCATGTCCCTACGAAGGACATGAACTCATCCTTTTGTATGGCTGCATAGTATTCCATGGTGTATATGTGCCACATTTTCTCAATCCAGTCTATCATTGATGGACATTTGGGTTGGTTCCAAGTCTTTGCTATTGTGAACAGTGCCACAATAAACATACGTGTGCATGTGCCTTTATAGCAGCATGTTTTATAATCCTTTGGGTATATACCCAGTAATGGGATTGCTGGGTCAAATGGTATTTCTAGTTCTAGATCCTTGAGGAATCACCACACTGTCTTCCACAATGGTTGAACTAGTTTACAGTCCCACCAACAGTGTAAAAGTGTTCCTATTTCTCCACATCCTCTCTAGCACCTGTTGTTTCCTAACTTTTTAATGATCGCCATTCTAACTGGTGTGAGATGGTATCTCATTGTGGTTTTGATTTGCATTTCTCTGATGGCCAGTGATGATGAGCATTTTTTCATGTGTCTGTTGGCTGCATAAATGTCTTCTTTTGAGAAGTGTCTGTTCATATCCTTATAAAGGCTTTTAAAAAGTCATCTCCGCCAGGTGCAGTGGCTCACATCTGTAATCCCAGCACTTTGGGAGGCCGAGGTGGGAGGATCACTTGAGACCAGGAGTTCAAAAGCAGTGTGGGCAACAGAGGGAGGCTCTATCTCTACGAAAAATAAACATAAAAATAAAAAAGTCATATCATACTGTTAAATATAGTAATATTTTAAAATGTTTACATTTTGGCATTTCTTATTTTGAATTACGGTAACTGTGAATTGTGACTTCATTATTCTAGGATACTTACTTTGTTCTTAACTGCAAACTAAACAATCTTTTGGATGATGTCAACATTTCTATAACTAAATGTATTCGCATCCTTCATTATTATTTAAATTGGCCATTTTGTGAAAATATTAGGCACTTTAAATAATCAGAGGAGTGGGGAAATACTGCCGAAGTTTTCAGTTGGCTCTCATTATTTCTATTATCTTAAATAAGAAAGGTAAGAAAGTGGAATTCTGGTAATTATTTTGCAATCTCTGCGCTCTGCACCACTGTGAACTCATAGCTGAAGCTGCCTTGGACTATTTTACCTGGGCATCACCCATATACTCCTTGTTATTATAAATTGGGAGACAGTAAAACAGACTTGATTTTTGAGGTCTATTGCATTAAAAAAAAACAGAATTTAGAAGATGAACTCAGTTGTACTTATCCTTTAATCCTGTTTTATCTCTGGCAACTATTAAACAAGTCGAACTGCTCAGAGAAGTTGGGCAATAAGCTAAAGCTACTTCATAATAGTATGGTTCCATCAGAACAGATGGTGCAGTGTCTGACCTATTTCCCATCAAGAATAGATTAAAACTCTTACATAATAGAACTAGTACTGTGCAGTCTGTTTTCCATAGCACTATTCCTGGCTGCAGAAAGAGATCAGAAATAAAAGAAAATAATGTAGTTAGACAAGTAGAAGAACATCCTTCCAATTAAACTGACTTAATGTATTATCATAAATCATGGAGGCAGTAAGTCTGCATGCTACTTGATGACTGGTAAATGGGATCCTGAATTAAGCTTTGATTCATTCATTTGACAAATATTTATTAAATGTCTGCCATGCACCCGGACAGCTGAGCCCTAGGGATACAGCTGTGAGCAAGGCAGATGTACAAGGCAGATCGACAAAGCTTTCATTTTAGTCAAAAGAAGACACATAAGTGAGCACACGATATTTTGCAGAGATAGACGTATGTTTTATGAATGTTTGTCCTATCATTCAATGAATAATTTGAAGCAATATATGAGAATATGTACAATAAAATGAAAAAGTTTAAATAGATAAAAATCAATACACAGTCTAAAAGATGAAGACCATGGGGAAAATTAGAATATACACATAAGCCATATCTAACTTTGAAAGATAACCCTCAAGCTTGGCCATTTCCTTCCTATCAGTCCAAGCAAACACAATTATTTACATGATTTGTATTGTCAGTAAGAAAAATGCATTGCAGTTTTTCATGGAAAAGTAAACTTGGCAAAGTAGGGAACAAGCATAGTGACTTGTTGACAAAATCTGCAGAAAGCAGAAGCTACATATATAGGAACTGAGACCAAGAAAGCCAGGTCAATCTGACTGAAAATGGTCATGAAATTTTATATCTGATGATGAGCAATTTGACAAAGAGGAAGAAAAGCACATGAAGATGGCCAGCCTGTCTTTTGGAAGTTTAACTCTTCAGTTGACATGGTCTTGGATTCCAGACAAAACTAAACATAGGTAGAATACTGTCTGTTTCTCTCTGATTGTGAGCTTGCACTGACCATGCAGACTTCATGAACAATGCTGAGTGGCCTACCCTTGACCAACTTTGGTGTATAGCAAGTGTGACCATAGCAGAATCCCCACTCTTCATCTTGTAAGGCACCTTAGGGCAGAGGCAGTTGCAAGCAATAAGGTGGAAACATATGTTTTAAAGAATCACTTAACATTAAACTGTGGCATAAACCTTCACTAGAGCACAAGATGGTTAATTTGATGAGTCAAACATGCAGAATCTAGTAGTGATGGGATTTTTTGGTGACTTTGAAGAGGGATAAAATTCCAGTTGCAGAATGTATAAGAATCTCCTCTCTTTGTCTGCAGCTGTCACTTGCCAGACTGAGGAACAGATAAGAAGGTTTTCTTTACCTTTCAAAAGGCTCTTGCAGGAAGCATTGCTTGTTAGGAGCCATCCTGTGCTTTCAGGTGTCACAGATTAGCATGGGGTTGGAGGGTGGGAGACAGCATCCTGAAGAGCAGGGGTAGGTGTGGCTTTGCCTGGGGCTGTGGCAGAGAGGAGAGACATGCAGTTATCAAAAGAGTCAGCTGCACTGTCTTTTTAGCTTTGCCCTGTGGACACTGGAACTCAGCTATTTGGAGTTTCCAACATCTCTCACATCAAGTCCAAGGAGAACCTTTCCCTTAGTTTCCTCAGCTGCAGAATGGGCTGCTGACTTCTCAGGGACTTTGAGGGAATAACTTTCATTTCATTCACCCAGCAGTGCCCTCATGTTTACTGTTTTCAATGAGTAACAGTTGTCTCCATTAGTTTGTGTTTGTTGTTTTGTAATTCTGCCTTTTTTTTTTCCTCTCTCTCTATCCCTACTCCAAACAGGTACCCTGTTTGCTTGTATTGCTTTCTTAGAAACACTTGGAGGAGTCACTGCAGTTTCTACTTTTAATGGAATTTACTCAGCCACTGTTGCTTGGTACCCTGGCTTCACTTTCCTGCTGTCTGCTGGTCTGTTACTACTTCCAGCCATCAGTCTATGGTATGTCATTATTTTTAATCATTTTATCAGAGGGTATATGGATTAAGTGAATTCCCTAACCTCACCAGTAAATTACATAGGTCTGTTGAAATTTTGCCTCAGAACGTGCTTTTCTCAAGAACTTTTAGACATGAAGTGCTCGCTTCAGCAGCATATATACAAAATTGGAATGACACAGTGAAGATTGGCATGCTCCCTGTGCAAGGATGACAGGAAAATTCATGAAGTGTTTCATATTTTAATAAAATAAATTTTTTTAATTAAAAAAAAGAGAACCGGTCATGGTGGTGTATGTCTGAAGTCTCAGCTAGTCAGGAGACTGAGACGGGAAGATGATTTTGAGCCCAGGTGTTTGAGACCAGCCTGGACAACATAGCAAGACCCCCATCTCATTAAAATAAATAAAAATACGTGAAAGCATCTGTCAATAATTTGGGGAGACTTAGGAAGAAAAAGAGAGTGACATGGGTGAAGAACTAAAAGAAGGATTGTGTTCATTATAACTCCCCACCTTTAAACCATTGATTAAATTAGCATCTAAAATTAGAGATGTATACCTTTAAACTATGATTTCCCAGAGTACAATATCCCCTGATGGTCAAAGATTGCTGTAATGAGATTGACTTTCACATGGATTCTTGTATAAATGACAAAAGCAGATAGGATGTGCTGACTATTGAGTTCTCTTTCCAGAGTTGGCTTGTTTAATGACTTTGTCTTGTTTTAATGACTTGTTTAAACGTTAATGTTTAAATGTTTTTAAATTTAAATATTCAAATTAAAGAAGCACAAAATTCCATTTATGAATAGTACATATAATGGATAGATCAGAAGCATAAATATAAAAGCAATATTTATGCCTTCTTTTTGCTTTCTATTTAACAAAAAATGTGAGCCAACTAGATGAATGATTGCTGAAACGTCCAAGCAAATTTATTTGACACATTAATGAAGAGCTCATTAATCTGTTTCTGCTGAGCTCTGTGCATTTCATGTGGCTGATAGCATAGCACAGTGACGGGAATCAAGGCAATGGGGCCACAAGAAGCCAGGCCTTCTCTGCTTTCTCCTAAGCACTTTGGGGTAAGGCTCTGAGTTAGGGAGGAAAGTGCCTATAAGCACAGGTGTTAAGCATCCTGCCAAGATGGCAAACTCCCTAAAGGGCTGGCTCATGTCTTATAGTAGGAGCTCAGTACTTATTGTTTCTATTGAATTCTGATACCTAGATCTGTGTCAGAGAACAACAGTATTTGCAGTTCCTCTAATTTTGATGAAAAGTTATTTATACTAGTTATCTTTTTTAAAAAGAGACTATTCACCTATCGAATTAACAAAATTACCAATACATGCTGTGCTGGTAAGCACATGAGACAACTGATCTTACACATTGTTGATAATAGTACTATTCAGCTGTATCATAAAGCAATTCATGAATATATCAAAAGCTCTTTTTTCAAAGTTCATAGTGATTGATCCAGCAATTCCTTTTAGAAACATACTCTAAACAAATAATGAGTAATTTTGTCAAAAATTGATATATAAAAACGTTAATTACAGCAAAAAAATTTTAAGTGACCAAACTGTCCAACAGTGGGAGAATGTTTAAGTAAATGATGGTACAGCCATTTCATGAAAAATGACTTAACTAACAAGAATTGTAGCAGGCACCGTGGCTCACACCTATAATCCCAGCACTTTGGGAGGTTGAGGCAGGAGGACTGCTTGAGGCCAGGAGTTCAAGACCAATCTGGGCAACATAGTGGGACCCCCATCTTTACCAAAAAAAAACAGATTTTTTTAAACAGTAGGAAAATAACACTTAAAGAAAAGAATTGCATACATGGTGAGTAGAATAATAGGTAATTCTAATTTTAGTCTTCACATGTTTATAAATTCTGTTATAACAGATAGATAAAAGGCAGTTGTCCTTTTAATAATAAGGTAAAGTAGATGGGCTTCTGAGCTTTTTTTTTAACCTTACACTGCTCAATATTTTAAAAATCAAAATTACATACTGTCTTACCTCCAAATGTCCAAGCTTCTGAGCTTCAGCTATAGCTATTGAACAGGAACTTCAGTAATAGCTTTAGTTATAACTAGTTTATGTGGACTACACAGAGTTAACCATGGGACAGATGGGATACCTTAGGGGTCTAGAAGAGAAAAAAAATCATGCAGTTTTAAAATTATTTTAAGAACACCATGCATGAGTCAGCTGGATTCAAAATGCCAGGATACTCCTCCTAATAATCTGCATAATTTATTAAAAGCTATGTAACTGGGAAAAAAAGTTGGAAAACAGATTACTTATTTATGTATTGTCTTAATCTCAACTTTAAAATGTCTTGTTTCCTTTTATAGTGTTGTCAAGTGTACCAGCTGGAATGAGGGAAGCTATGAACTTCTTATACAAGAAGAATCCAGTGAAGATGCTTCAGACAGGTGACTGTGATTTAAACAAACAAAAAAAATCTATGAATGCACATATCATATACCATGACTTCTGAAGACTATAAATGAATTCCACAATCAGTGCTTCACTGAGAACCAATTTTACCTATCTTTTCTTCTAAACTGAACAGTCAGAGAGACAGCTCCTGGCTTTAGCTTCTTGTGGTACCACGCACTTTGAGCACTTTGTGCGTATCATGCAATATACTTGCAATACACAGAACAAATTTCAAATACGCCTCACTTTTAGACTTAGAAGAGAAACATTAAAACTTAAGGGTGTAAGGAGGGATCAAGAAACTTGATAAGGTCAAAAGCAATAATCTCTCTGACATATTCCAGGCTCTTACACTGAGACCAAAGAGAAATCTTTACCTCAGTTTCTTCATCAGCAGAATGGGTTTCTGGCCTCTCTCAGGGATAATTTTGAAGGCATAATGAAAATTATGATGAATCACTCATTGGTAGGAAAATAATGATATAAGTTTCAAATATGTATGATTTTACCTATACTTGGTAATGCTTTATTTTATAGAGCCTGTTAAGCTGCTATTGATAGTCGGAGCTTATATACTGTGACTTCTGAAGACTATACATGAATTCCACAATCAGTGCTTTGTTGATACAAAATCCTTAAAAGGGAGGCACTTTAAAGAATATGTATTTTTCACTTTTCTTAATATGTTTCATCGGTGACAGGCATGATAATATTTCTATATGTAATGGGTAATTGGGAAAAAATAGATGATAAATAAAATTGCTCTAAAGAAGTTAAAAAACTGAATGAACAGCTAATACTGGTATAAAGTAACTAATGTTTGGAGCCAACATTTGTTCCTTGTGTCAGCAAAAGGATATTCACATTCCATGATCCCTGGCTGAGAATTCTGCCTCTAGTCTTTCTTACCCAGCTGTTGTCTATCCTTGTTCAATTATAAATACTGCTAAGGGCATTTTTAAAATACGATCTTGTACTCCTTAAATTTGAATCCGTCAACACGGTCACTCATAGGAAAATGATCAAACAAGCAAGCCAGTCATGATTTGACTCCTTCCCATCTCATTTCTTACTGCCTTACGCTCATCCTGAGGTCCACCTTGGTCTCTAAAAACACCATGTGTTCTCATGCCTCCATGTCTTTTCACACACTGTTCCATTTGCTCTTCCTCCCACATTACATTGAAACTTTCAAGCCTCAGTCGAAACATTGCTTCTTCTGGATAGCAGCCTTCTTGACATCCCTCCTCACTCCCCAGTCCCTACAGGGCTTCCATAGCTCTTTGTGTGCACTTCGATCCCAGCATTTTCCATCGACTTGTAATTGTTTCTGCTACCTGACAATCATCGCCTTGAGTACTGGGACAACCTTTGATTACTCATTATATCCTCAATAAATATTTGTTGAACTAAACTAAATGACTACAAAATTTTATTTTTACTTGTAAAAATCATTTAGAGCTATATATTTAATGCCTTATGAGAGTAACCACTGTTATCATGCCAATCATTAAGCCAGCCTTGCAAACAAATTGAAAAATATGCCAGTTTATACACTTTTAAAACTGATTTACAGTATTTTCATAGGTCCTTTAATACCTCCCATTTTCGAAGTTACCATAAATAATAACACAAATGCCCTAACGTGCAACTAAATGAGTAACTTCATTGTAATCTCTTGAAAGTAGATACAATCTTCTGTTTTATAGTATTGCTTAGGGCTTTAAGAAAATCAATGATTGCTTGACTAGTGAATAGCACTCATAATTTAATATACTAGAAATCCTTATTTCCAAGATCATTCCTTTTAGGTTTAGCTAGTATCTTCTGGGCTTGGAGCCCGTGTAATAACTAATTCTCAGATTGACTGATACATTTTTGTTTTCCTTCCTGTCCAAGGTTCTTCCCAAACCAAAACAAAAAGCATCTTACAGTTTATAAAGTAGATATTCATTCTCCTCATTTTACAGAAGAGGAAGATAAGTCTCACAGAGATTTGGCTGGACCGTGGTTATTCAGTGCCTATCAGTATGACACATGAATGGACTTCACCCTACTGAATGAAGTCCAGCTACTTCATAGCTAGGGTTTGCAGTAATAGATTATAAACCCCAAAGCAAGAATTGTACAGGGGTAGCATGATGTACTCATCAAAAACAAATTAACAAAAAACTGTACCCAACTAACTGCCTATAATTATTATCTTTTTTGAGCTTAGACAAGATGGTCTATAAACTCTCTTCCAGCTCAACATTCCATGATTTTACACATCTCATCTGAACTGAAGAGGTACTGTGTAATACAGTTGAAGGGTTAACAGATGATTACTTGAGCAAAAACTCTATTTGAGATGTAGCAAGTATATCAGGAGATTAGATTGAGGTGGCCAAGGGCAAAAATGTAGCACAAATGAACTTAGCCATCTCCAAAGTGTCTAGCCTAAGAGACAATTAGTAAATGTGGTGCTGAAGAGACTAGAGAACCATGCAAGCTGATGGGATGGGGAACTATAGACTCAAAACAGAAATGAAAAAAAAAAAAATCTAATTTCCCATCATGTAACCCGATTATCTGAAGAAAGAATGTTAATGGAAGGACTGGTCTTTATGGAGCCCAGATAAAGAGAAACCAGAGAGGAAAAAACATGTTCCATGTTATCCAGCAGTGTACAAAGGGGGTTAGATTACCATATCTACTAGAAATGAAGATTCTCATCATTACAGAGGACTAGTCAATGGGATTGTCCACAGCCTGCATTGCACGGCCTCATACATCTAAATCCCTTTTCTCCACTTCCATACTCACTAGATAATTGTGTCCAGAGTTGGTTCCTTCTGGTGGGTTGGTGGTCTCACTGCCTTCAAGAATGAGGCCACGGACCTTCACTGTGTTACAGCTCTTAAAGATGGCATGGACCCAAGGAGTGAGCAGCAGCAAGATTTATTGTGAAGAGCGAAAGAATAAAGCTCCCACAGCGTGGAGAGTGACCTGAGGGGGTTGTGGCTGCTGGCTTGGGGGTGGCCAGCTTTTATTCCCTTATTTGTCCCTGCCCATGTCCTGCTGATTGGTCCATTTTACAGAGTGCTGATTGGTCCATTTTACAAACCTCTAGCTAGCTGCAGAGCACAGATGGTGCGTTTTCACAGAGCACCGATTGGTGCATTTTACAATACTCTTGTAAGACCGAAAAGTTCTCCAAGTCCCCACCCGACCCAGAAAGTCCAGCTGGCTTCACCTCTCATAATCTTCTAATTACTCATTCAATGCCCAAGAATCTTGACAATAGAATAGCATGGCCTGGGTTCAGTATTCTTTTAAAGAAATCCCTGCATATGAGAACCATCTGAAGAATTTAAAAATAAAAATAAAATAATTAATTAGTAAAAATAAAAATCCTTGGCCTCATGTACTAGAGATTCTGCTTCAGTAGCTCTGCAGTGAGGTCTTGGAATGTATTTCTAAAACCTCCCCAGGTGACTGATACACATCCAGACCTGGAAACTACTGCCCTAGATGACTGATTTTCAACCCTAAATGCACATTAGAATAATCAGCTTTGGGGTGGGAAGTAAAATGAATACATAACACCAACTCTTATTCTCATCCAGTAGTTCTCAACCTGCCAAGTCAAATCACTTGGGGAGCTTTTGAAACTTCCAATGGCCTAGCCTCAGCTCAAACACATTAAATTAGAATTTCTAGGTATGAGAGCCAGACAGTATTTTTTTTCAAACATTCTCCAGGTGATTCCAATATGTGGCTAGAGTTGAGAATCACTACTCTAGGTCAGGGGTTAGAAACCATTTTCTGTAAAGGGCCTGAGAGTAAACAGTTTAGGCTTTCTGGATTATACAGTCTGTCACATTACTTAACTTTGCCATTGTAGCACAAAGTAACCAAAGACCATACATAAATAAATGGACACAGCTGTGTGTGATCAAGATGGGACCTGGCGCAAATGGTTTCATTGCTAAACATTTAAGGAATAAACATATTAGTACTACCTACAGCTTTTCTAGAAAATAGAAGCAAGGAACACTTCCCAACTCATTTTATGAGGTCAGCATTACCTTCATGTGAAACCAAAGAAGTTACAAGAAGAGTAAATGATGAATTTATATCCCTCATGAACGTAAATAAAAAATTCACAACAAAATATTAACAAATCAAGCAATATATTAAAAAGATTATATATACTGACCAAATGAGGTTTGTCCTGTGAATGCAAGGCTGACTCAACATTTAAAAATTACTTAATCACTATATCAACAGAATAAAGGGAAAAAAACCCACACGATCATATCAATGGATGCAGAAAAGACATTTATCAAAGTTCAACATCCGTTTATGATAAAAATTCTCAAGAAACTAGGGATCAAACTGATAAAGGGCATCTATTTTATTTTTTTAAAAGCTTACTGCTAATGATACTTTATGGTAAAAGGCCTGGCTGCTTTCCCTCTAAGATTGGGAATAAGGCAAGTGTATCCAGTTTCACAACTCCTATTCAACACCATACTGGGAGCCCTAGATATAAGGCAAGAGAAGGCGATAAAAGGGATATAGATTGGGAAGGAAAAAGTAAAACTGTTTATCTGCAAATAATATGACATAGAAAATTCTAAAGAACCTTCATTAAGATAAAGAAACTACTAGAACTAATAAATGAATTTAGCAAGGTTGTGAAATATAAAGTCGATATGTATGAATCATTGTATTTCTGTATACTAGCAACAAACAACTGAAAAAATTAAGGTTAAACCAAACCATTTAATAAAAGCATCAAAAAACAAAAAATACCTAGGAATAAATTTAACAAAATATGTGCAAGACCTGTATGCTGAAAACTATAAAACACTGCTGAAATTAAAGAAGACCTAAATAAATGGAAAGAAATATGAGTTCATGGATTAGAAGACTCAACATTAAGATATGAAAGTTAATACAAAACTTCTAGAAGAAAATAACAAGAAAATCTTCATAATTTTGGGTTAGGCAAAGATTTTAGACAGGACCCCAAAGATGTAAAACACATACACATAGCTTAATTGGATTTCATCTAAATTAAAATGTTCTGCTTTGAAATACACAGTTAAGAAAATAAAAAGGAGTGGGTGCAGTGGCTCACACCTGTAATCCCAGCATCCTGGGAGGCTAATGCAGACAGATCGTTTGAGCCCAGGAGTTCAAGACCAGCCTGGGCAACATGATGAAACCCCATCTCTACAAAAAATACAAAAATTAGCAGAGCATGGTGGTGTGCACCTGTAGTCCTAGCTACATGAGAGGCTGAAGTGAGAGGATCACTTGAACCCAGGAGGTCAAGGCTGCAGTGAGCCGTGAATGTGCCAGCCTGGGCAACAGAATGAGAACCTGTCTCAAAAACAAACAAACAAAAAAAAGGTAAGAAAAGAAAAAAGAGAAAAAAGCAAGCCAAGACTCCAGAAGATATTTGCAATACATATACCTGACAAATGCTTAATAATCAGAATATGTTAAAAACTTTTACAACTCAATGAGACAAATTTAAAAAGAGTGTGGGGAAGTGGACAAAGTATTTGAAAGGACAAGTCACACAAAAAATACAGTAATGTTCAACACCATCAGTCATCAAGGAAACGCAAATTAAAACCATAATGAGATACTACTACATATTCACTACAGCGGCTAAAGTTTAAAAAGTGTGACAATACCAAGAGCTGATGACACCGTTAAGCAAGTGGAAATTCGCGCATACACTTACATATGATGCAGTAGCTCTCTCCTATGTCATTTGCCCCAAGACAAATGAAAACACATGTCCATACAAAGGCTTGTCTATAAATGTTTATAGATGCTTCATCTATAATAGCCCCAAACTGGAAATGACCCAAATAACCTTCAATAGATGAATAAACAAAATATAAATATCCATACAGTGAATACTACTGAGCAATAAAAAAAAACAAATTACTCACATATTCAACAACATGAAGAGTTTTAAAAACATTACACAAAGCAAAAGAAACCAAATACAAAACAATTACATACTGTATGATTCTATGTACATGAAATTCTTGAAAAAAAAAAAAACCCACAAACTAATCTACAGTGTGAGAAATGAGATGAGGGGTTGCCTGGGGCTTGGGGCAGGAGACACAGGGATTAAAAAGTGACAGGAGAGAACGTTCTGGGATGATGGACATATTTTTTATTTTGATTATGTTGGTTATACAGTTATATACATTTGTCAAAATATATGAATATACTGTGTTATGTAAATTATACCTCAATAAAGTTCAAAAGATTATATTGACCCTTTTGGGAAAGACAGGTAGCAAATGAAGAGGGGATTTACGTAGGCAAAGCACTCCAACATTCTTGTCCCTCAAAGTTATTTGATTTCTTTCTTCTATACTAGTGACTTTCAAAATATGGTCCTTAGTTTAGTAGCATTACCATAACCTACAAACTTGTTAGAAATGCAAATTCTCAGGCTTCAACTCAACCTTTCTGAATCACAAACTCTAGGAGTGGGGTTCAGCAATCTGTGTTTTTAAAAGCCCTCCTATGATTCTGGTGCACACAAAAGCTTGAGAACTGATGCTCTACTCTATGTCAAGGACTTCTGGCATCTCCATTTCACTTAGTGTGTGCCTGTGGTGAATCCAATTTTACAAAGTATTAAGCCACATCCAGCTCCTTGAAATATTTGAGTCTAGAATTATCTTACATAAGGACATTATACAATATTCTAAAAGCACATTCAAAATCTATTCCTTCATTAAGTGGTGTTGAGTCAAAAAAAAAAAGTCTATTCCATCACACACCTGAATTTCTTTTTTTTAATTTCTGTATCCAGCAAAACTAAGCTTCATAAATGAAGGAGAAATAGTCTTTTCCTGACAAGCAAATGCTGAGGGAATTTGCCACTACCAAATCAGCACTACAAGGAATGCTAAAGGAGTTCTAAATCTTGAAACAAAACTTGGTATGTACCAAAATGGAACCTGCTGAAAGCATCACAGGGTCTATAAAGCAGTAACACAGTGAAAAAAACAAAGTATCTATGTAACAACTAATATGATAAATAGAATAGTACCTCACATCCCAATATTAACATTGAATGTAAATGGCCTAAATGCTCCACTTAAAAGATACACAGTGGGATTTCCAGCCAGATGGCTGAATAGGAACAGCTCCAGTCTGCAGCTCCCAGTGGGATCAACAGAGAAGATAGGTGATTTCTGCATTTCCAAGTGAGATACCTGGTTCATCTCACTGGGACTGGTTGGACAGTGGGAACAGCCCACGGAGGGTGAGCCAAAGCAGGGTGGGGTGTCGCCTTACCTGGGAAGTGCAAGGGGTCGGGGGATTTCCTTTTCCTAGCCAAGGTAAGCTGTGAGAGACTGTACGGGGAGGAACAGTGCACTCCTGCCCAGATACTGTACTTTTCCCACATTCTTTGCAAACGGCAGACCAGGAGATTCCTTCCAGTGCCTGGCTGTGTGGGTCCCACACCCACAGAGCCCAGCAAGCTAAGATCCATTGGCTTGAAATTCTCGCTGCTAGCACAGAAGTCTGAGATCGACCTGAGACGCTGGAGCTTGGCTGGGGGGTGGGGTGTCCACCATTGCTGAGGCTTGAGCAAGCAGTATTATGCTCACAGTGTAAACAAAGCCGCCAGGAATTTCGAACTGGGAGGAGCCCACCGCAGCTCAGCAAGGCCAACTGCCTCTCTAGATTCCACCTCTGTGGGCAGGGCATCTCTGAACAAAAGACAGCAGCCCCAGTCAGGGACCTATAGATAAAACCCCCATCTCCCTGGGACAGAGCACCTGGGGGAAGGGGCAGCTGTGGGCACAGCTTCAGCAGACTTAAACATCCCTGCCTGACAGCTCTGAAGAGAGCAGTGGTTCTCCCAGCACAGTGTTTGAGCTCTGATAACAGACAGACTGCCACCTCAAGTGGGTCCATGACCCCCGTGTAGCCTGACTGGGAGACACCTCCCAGTAAGGTCCAACAGACACCTCATAGAGGAGAGCTCTGGCTGGCATCTGGCAGGTGCCCCTCTGGGACAAAGCTTCCAGAGGAAGGATAAGGCAGCAGTATTTGCTGTTCTGCAGACTCCACTGGTGATATCCCGGCAAACAGGGTCTGGAGTGGACCTCCAGCAAACTCCAACAGACCTGCAGCTGAGGGACCTGTTAGAAGGGAAACTAACAGATGAAAAGAATAGCATCAACATCAACAAAAAGGACATCCACACCAAAACCCCATCTGTAGGTCACCAACATCAAAGACCAAAGGTAGATAAAACCACAAAGATGGGGAGAAACCAGTGCAGAAAGACTGAACATTCCAAAAACCAGAACACCTCTTCTCCTCCAAAGAATCATAACTTCTCGCCAGCAAGAGAAAAAAACTGGACGGAGAATAAGTTTGACGAATTGACAGAAGTAGGCTTCAGAAGGTGGGTAATTACAAACTCCTCCAAGCTAAAGGAGCATGTTCTAACCCAACACAAGGAAGCTAAGAACCTTGAAAAAAGGTTAGATGAATTGCTACATAACCAATGTAGAGAACATAAATGACCTGATGGAGCTCAAAAACACAGCATGAGAACTTTGTAAAGCATACACAAGCTTCAGTAGCCGAATCAATCATGCAGAAGAAAGGATACCAGTGATTGAAGATCAACTTAATGAAATAAAGCGAGAAGACAAGATTAGAGAAAAAGGAGTGAAAAGAAACAAAGGCTCCGAGAAATATGGGACTATGTGAAAAGATCAAATCTACGTTTGATGGCTGTACCTGAAAGTGACAGGGAGAATGGAACCAAGCTGGAAAACACTCTTCAGGATATTATCCAGGAGAACTTCCCCAACCTAGCAAGGCAGGCCAACATTCAAATTCAGGAAATACAGAGAACACAACAAAGATATTCCTCAAGAATAGCAACCCCAATACACAAAATGATCAGATTCACCAAGGTTGAAATGAAGGAAAAAATGTTAAGGGCAGCCAGAAACAAAGGCTGGGTTTCCCGCAAAGTGAAGCCCATCAGACTAACAGTGGATCTCTTGGAAGATACCCTCCAAGCCAGAGAGTGGGGGCCAATATTCAACATTCTTAGGGAAAGGAATTTTCAACCCAGAATTTCATATCCAGCCAAACTAAGCTTCATAAGTGAAGGAGAAATAAAAGCCTTTACAGAAAAGCAAATGCTGAGAGATTTTGTCATTAACCAGGCCTGCATTTCAAGAGCTCCTGAGGGAAGTCCTAAACATGGAAAGGAACAACTGGTACCAGCCACAGCAAAAACATGCCAAATTGTAAAGACCATCGATGCTATGAAGAAACTGCATCAACTAACAGGCAAAATAAATAGCTAGCATCATAATGATAGGATCAAATTCACATATAAAAATATTAACTTTAAATGTCAATGGGTTAAATGCCCCAACTAAAAGACACAGACTGTCAAATTGGATAGAGTCAAGACCCATTGGTGTGCTGTATTCAGGAGACCATCTCACATGCTAAAACACACATAGGCTCAAAATAAAGGGATGGAGGAAGATCTACCAAGCAAATGGAAAGCAAAAAAAAGCAGGGGTTGAAATCCTAGCCTCTGATAAAACAGACTTTAAACCAACAAAGAGCAAAAGAGACAAAGAAGGGCATTATACAATGGTAAAGTGATCAACGCAACAGGAAGAGCTAACTATTCTAAATATATATGCTCCCAGATTCATAAAGCAAGTTCTTAGAGACCTACAAAGAGACTTAGACTCCTACACAATAATAGTGGGAGACTTTAACACCCCACTGTCAATATTAGATTGATGAGACAGAAGATTACCAAGGATATCCAGGACTTGAACTCAGCTCTGGACCAAGTGGACCTAATAGACATCTACAGAACTCTCTACTCCAGATTAACAGAATATACATTCTTCTCAGCACCACATTGCACTTGTTCTAAAATTGACCACATAATTGGAAGTAAAACACTCCTCAGCAAATGTGAAAAAACAGAAATCACAACAAACTGTCTCTCAGACCAGAGTGCAATCAAATTAGAACTCAAGATTAAGAAACTCACTCAAAACCACACAACTACGCGGAAACTGAACAACCTGCTCCTGAATGACTACTGGGTAAATAACGAAATGAAGGCAGAAATAAAGATGTTATTTGAAACCAGTGAGAACAATGACACAGCTTACCAGAATCTCTGAGACACATTTAAAGCAGGGTGGAGAGAGAAATTTTTAGCACTAAATGCCCATAAGAGAAAGCAGGAAAGATCTAAAATCGACAACCTAACATCACAATTAAAAGAACTAGAGAAGCAAGAGCAAACAAACTCAAAAGCTAGCAGAAGACAAGCAATAACTAACATCAGAGCGGAATTGAAGGAGATAGAGACACAAAAAAAACCTTCAAAAAATCAATGAATCCAGAAGCTGTTTTTTTTTAACAAGATCAACAAAGTAGATAGACCACCAGCCAGACTAATAAAGAAGAAAAGAGAGAAGAATCAAATAGACACAATAAAAAATAATAAAGGGTATATCACCACTGATCCCACAGAAATAACAAACTATCATCAGAGAATACTATAAACACCTCTATGCAAATAAACTAGAAAATCTAGAAGAAATGGATAAATTTCTGGACACATATATCATCCCAAGACTAAACCAGGAAGAAGTTGAATCTCTGAATAGACCAATAACAGGTTCTGAAATTGAGGCAATAATTAATAGCTTACCAACCAAAAAAAATCCAGGACCAGATGGATTCACAGCTGAACTCTACCAAAGTGACAAAGAGGAGCTGGTATCATTCCTTCTGAAACTATTCCAATCAATAGAAAAAGAGAGAATCCTCCCTAACTCATTTTATGAGGCCAGCATCATTCTGATACCAAAACCTGGCAGAGACACACCAAAAAAAGAAAATTTTAGGCTAATATCCCTGATAAACATCAATGCAAAAATCCTCAGTAAAATACTGGCAAACCAAATCCAGCAGCACATCAAAAAGCTTATTCACCACAATCAAGTCGGCTTCATCCCTGGGATGCAACGCTGGTTCAACATACACCAATCAATAAATGTAATCCATCACATGAACAGAACCAACAACAAAACCACATGATTATCTCAATAGATGCAGAAAAGGCCTTCGACAAAATTCAACACCTCTTCATACTAAAAACTCTCAATAAACTAGGTATTGATGGAACGTATCTCAAAATAATAAGAGCTATTTATGACAAACCCACAGTCAATATCATACTGAATGGGCAAAAACTGGAAGCATTCCCTTTGAAAACCAGCACAAGACAAGGAGGCCCTCTCTCTCCTGTTCAACATAGTATTGGAAATTCTGGCCAGGGCAATCAGGCAAGAGCAAGAAATAAAGGGTATTCAATTAGGAAAAGAGGAAGTCAAATTGTCTCTGTTTGCAGATGACATGATTGTATATTTAGAAAACCCCATTGTCTCAGCCCAGAATCTCCTTAAGCTGATAAGCAACTTCAGCAAAGTCTCGGGATACAAAATCAATGTGCAAAAATCACAAGCATTCCTATACACCAATAACAGACAGAGAGTCAAATCATGAGTGAACTCCCATTCACAACTGCTTCAAAGAAAATAAAATACCTAGGAATCCAACTTATAAGGGATGTGAAGGATCTCTTCAAGGAGAACTACAAACCACTGCTCAACGAAATAAAAGAGGACACAAACAAATGGAAGAACATTCCATGCTCACGGATAGGAAGAATCAATATTGTGAAAATGGCCATAGTGCCCAAAGTAATTTATAGATTCAATGCTATCCCCATCAAGCTACCACTGACCTTCTTCACAGAACTGGAAAAAACTACTTGAAATTTCAAATGGAACCAAAAAAGAGCCCACATAGCCAAGACAATCCTAAGCAAGAAGAACAAAGCTGGAGGCATCATGCTACCTGACTTCAAACTATACTACAAGGCTACAGCAACCAAAACAGCATGGTACTGGTAGCAAAACAGATATATAGACCAATGGAACAGAACAGATGCCACAGAAATAACACCACACATCTACAACCATCTGATATTTGACAAACCTGACAAAAACAAGCAATGGGGAAAGGACTCCCTATTTAATAAATGGTGCTGGGAAAACTGGGTAGCCATATGCAGAAAGCTGAAACTGGATCCCTTCCTTATACCTTATACAATAATTAACTCAAGATGAATTAATGACTTAAATGTAAGACCTAAAACCATAAAAACTCTAGAAGAAAACCTAAGCAATACCATTCAGGACATAGGCATGGGCAAAGACTTCATGACTAAACACCAAAAGCAATGGCAACAAAAGCCAAAATAGACAAATGGGATCTAATTAAACTAAAGAGCTTCTGCACAGCAAAAGAAACTATCTTCAGAGTGAACAGGCAACCTACAGATTGGGAGAAAATTTTTACAATCTATCCATCTGACAAAGGGCTAATATCCAGAATCTACAAAGAATTTAAACAAATTTATAAGACAAAAACAAACAGCCTCATCAAAAAATGGGCAACGGATATGAACAGACACTTCTTAAAAGAAGATGTTTATGCAGCCAGCAAACTTATGAAAAAATGCTCATTATCACTGGTCATTAGAGAATGCAAATCAATACCACAATGAGATAGCATCTCACGCCAGTTAGAATGGTGATCATTAAAAAGTCAGGAAACAACAGGTGCTGGGGAGGATGTGGAGTAATAGGAACAATTTTACACTGTTGGGAGTGTAAATTAGTTCAACCATTGTGGAAGATAGTGTGGTGATTCCTCAAGGATCTAGAACTAGAAATACCATTTGACCTAGCAATCCCATTACTTGGTATATACCCAAAGGATTATAAATCATTCTACTATAAAGACACATGCACACGTATGTTTACTGCAGCACTGTTCACAATAGCAAAGTCTTGGAACCAACCCAAATGCCCATCAGTGATAGACTGGATAAAGAAAATGTGGCACATATACACCATGGAATATTATGCAGCCATAAAAAAGGATGAGTTCATGTTCTTTGCAGGGACATAGATGAAACTGGAAACCATCATTTTCAGCAAAGTTACACAAGAACAGAAAACCAAACACTGCATGTTCTCACTCATAAGTGAGAGTTGAACAATGAGAACACGTGGACACAGGGAGGGGAACATTACATGCTGGGGCCTGCTGGGGGGTGGGAGGGCTGGGGGAGGGATAGCATTAGGAGAAATACCTAATGTAAATGACGAGTTGATACTTAATGTAAATGTAAATACCTAATGTAAATGACCAACATGGCACATGTATACCTATGTAACAAACCTGCACATTGTGCACATGTACCCTAGAACTTAAAGTCTTATAATTCAAAAAAAAGAATTAGAAAAAAAAGATACAAAATCAGAGAATTAATTTAAAAAAATACACCAACCAAATATTTGATGTCTTCTAGAGCCTCACCTGACAGATAAGGACTCATAAACTCAAGGTAAAGGTGTGGAAAAAGATATTCCACACAAATGGCAATCAAAAGTGAGCAGGAGTAGCTACTCTTATATAAGACAAAACAGACTTTAAAGCAACCACAGTAAAAAAAGACAAATAAGGACATTATGTAATGATAAAAGAATCAGTCCAACAAGAAGACACTACAATCCTGGATTTATATTTACCTAACACTGGAACTCCCAGATTTATAAAACAATTCCTACTAGACCTAAGAGATGAGACAGACAGCAACACAATAATAGTGGGGGACTTAATACTCCACCGAAAGCACTAGAGAGATCATCAAGACAAAGCCAACAAAGAAACAACAGACTTAAACTATACCCTAGAACAAATGGACTTAACAGCTATTTACAGAACATTCTCAACAACTATAGAGTATACATTCTTCTCATAGGCACACGGAACATCCTCCAAGATAGACCATATAACAGGCCACAAAACAAGTCTCAATAAATTTAAGAAAATTGAAATTGTATCAAGTATCTTCTCAGATCAGAGTGGAATAAAACTGGAAATCAACTCCAAAACTATATAGATACATGGAAATTAAATAATCTGCTCTTGAATGATTTTTTGGTTAACAATGAAATCAAGTTGAAAATTTAAAAATTCTTTGAAATAAATGATAATAGTGACACAAGTTATCAAAACCTCTGGGATATAGCAAAAGCAGTGCTAAGAGGAAAACTCATAGCATTAAATACCTACATCAAAAAGTCTGAAAGAGAACAAACCGACAATCTAATGTCACACCTCAAGGAACTAGGGAAACAAGAACAAACTAAACCCAAAGCCAACAGAAGAAAAGAAATAACAAAGGTCAGGGCGGAACTAAATGAAATTGAAACAAAAAAAATACAAAAGATAAATGAAACAAAAAAGCTGATTCTTTAAAAAGATACACAAAATCGATAGATCATTAGTGAGATTAAGAAGAGAGAGGTCCAAATAAGCTCAATTAGAAATGAAACTGGAAATATTACAACTGACCTCTGAAATACAAATGATCATTCAAGGCTACTATGAACACCTTTATGTGCACAACCTAGAAAATCTAGAGGAAATGGATAAATTCCTGGAAACATATAACCCTCTTAGATCAAATCAGAAAGAAACAGAAGCCCTGAACATACCAATAACAAGCAGCAAAATGGAATCATTTATTTAAAAATTGCCAATGAAAAAAGTACACGACCAGATGGATTCATAGCTGAATTCTACTAGACATTCAAATTGGTACCAATCCTACTGAAACTATTCCAAATGATGAGAAAGAGGGAATCCTTCGTAAATCATTCTATGACACCAATATCACCCTAATACCAATAGCAGGGAAGGACATTTAAAAAAAAAGAAATCTACAAACCAATATCCCTGATGAACATAGATGCAAAAATCCTCAAACAAATACTAGCTAACTGAATCCAACAGCACATCCAAAAGATAATACATCATAATCAAGTGAGTTTCACTCCAGGGATGGTTTAACATACACAAGTCAATAAATGTGATACATCACATAAACAGAATTAAAAATAAAAATCATATCATCATCTCAATAGATGCAGAAAAAGCATTTGATAAAATCCAGCATCGCTTTAGGATAAAAACCCTTAACAAAATAGGCATAGAAGGGACTTACCTCAAAGTAATAAAAGCCATATATGGGAAACCCATAGCCAACTAGCCAACATCATTCTGATTGGGGAAAAGTTGAAAATATTCCTCCTGAGAACTGGAACAAGACAAGGATGCCCACTTTCACCATTTCTCCTCAACATAGTTCTAGAAGTTCTAGCCAGAGCAATTAGGCAAGAGGAAGAAATAAAGGGCATCCAATTTGGAAAAGAGGAAGTCGAACTGTCGCTATTCACTGATGATATGACTGTATACCTAGAAAACCCTAAAGACTCATCCAAAAGGCTCCTACGTCTGATAAATGAATTCAGTAAAGTCTCAGGTTACAAAATCAACATACACAAATCAGTAGCACTGATATACACCAACAATGACCATGCTGAGGATCAAATCAAGAACTCAATCCCTTTTATAAAAGCTGCAAAAAACAAACAAACAAACAACCTAGGACTCTACTTAACCAAGGAGGTGAAAGAGCTCTACAAGGAAAACCACAAAACACTGCGGAAAGAAATCACAGATGACACAAACAAATGGAAATATGACCCATGCTCATGGATGGGAAAAATCAGTATTGTGAAAATGACCATACCGCCCAAAGCAATCTACAGATTCAATGCAATTCCCATCAAAATACCATCATCATTTTTCACAGAACTAGAAAAAACAATCCTAAAATTCATATGGAACCAAAAAAGAGCCCACATGGCCAAAACAATATCAAGCAAACAGAACAAATCTGGAGGCATAAAGTTACCGGACTTCAAATTATACTGTCACAGGATCCTTAGGGTGTCGCTTTTCCAGCTGGAAGCCTCTGTGGCTGTGGCGCCTTTGCGGGAGTTTTGTTTGGGCCCACTGGGCTCATTCTGCCCACTCGGCCTGGCAGGCTGCGCTTGGCTTGTGCCACCAGCCCAGATCCCATTCCTGCCAAGGGCAAGCCAGGCACAGTGTGGCAAGGGGTGCGTGAGTGAGCGAGCACGGGGTCTGGCCACTGTGCACAGGCAGGCACACTGGCTGCTGTGGCGGGGCAGACAGCTCCAGGCACCCGCACAGGCACTGGCTCTGTGCGAGGCTGTGGCTGGACCAGGCATACCGCAAGTAGCTTCCACTGCAGGATCCAAGAAATGTGGTGGCATCTGGAAGCTTGGAGATGCCAGGAACCACAGGGTTCCAAAGAGGGTATCACAGCCCTGGCTCGGGGAGCTCTTAGGTCTGGGCTTCCCAGAGGGCCACAGCTCTTCTCTCCTTCTCCTTCTCACAACATGGCCAGTGGGTTGGGGGGTGTGTTTCAGCCCTGTTTGTGTTATAGATCTTTCAGTTCTGCCATTTGTCAGGTCCCAAGTTCTTGTTCCATGTCCAGAAAGAATGAGGTACGTGGACAACTGGCAGGTGAGCAAGGCAAAGAGGTGCTTTACTGAGTGACAGTACAGCTCTCAGGAAACACGAAGTGAGTAGCTCCTTTCCACGGGCAGGTCATCTGGATGAGTGCAGCTCTCAATGGAGAGGAGACCTGGAGTGGGTAGCCACTATCTGCAGGCAGGTTATCCCGATGTCTGTGCAGCCCTCAGCAGAGAGGAGATATAGAGTTGGTAGTTCCTATCCGCAGGCAGGTAGTCCCTACACCTCTGCAAGTCTGGCTGAACCCAGTGCTTTTCTGGGCTTCAGAAGGGAGAAAGTGTGTGCTGATTGGTCCATGGGCAGCCATGGGCCGGCCCAGAAAAAGCACCATTAAGTTCTTACTCCATCCAGGCTGCAGACTCCTCACAGAACTGACAGCCCAGCCCCCACGCTTCAGGCCATCCCTGACTTGAAGGTGTGGCTTCACTGGAGACACGCCCCTTTCTGCCCAGGAGCCTGTCTGCGTCCTGCTGCTGTAAGTCATGTCATCCATGGTGCCCAGGCTGTTTGTGCGGAGGGCCACCTGCAGGCCCATGCCAAGCCACCCTCAGCACCACCTTGGCCTCCCTCTCACGTTTGTCGGCACCCAAAGTCTGGAGGGGGCCTAGGTGGCAGGGGGGTGGGATGTCATTGCCACCCTGAGCATGCACACCCGGCCGAGTTGTGACAGTACCCAGGTTCAGCCTCAACTTTGCTCAGAAATTGGAGCAGGTGCCGGGAGCAGCAAGAGGCCAGGCAGCAGGAGCAGGCACTCCCAAGCCTGCAGGGGCGGGAGACCTGGAGTGGGTAGCTACTATCTGCAGGCAGATTTATGGAAGAACACATCACCTATGAAGTGACTATTTCAAAAATAATGAACCTGAACCTTATCAAGATTGTAGATTCAACTAGCAGTTTATAGGCAATACTAAGGAAAGAAAACAACATGTTAGACTATCACAAACAGGCAGACAGTGAAATCTAGACTGTGGGAAACTATAGAGCAACCAACTTGGTTTTTTCAACAACTAGCAAGACAAAGAAAAATGAGATGGAGGTGGAACCCATATATTTGGACAATTGGCACAATTTATATATGACACTTATTGGACCATTAGGAATTTGAACGATGGGTATTTGTCAGGAATTACTGTTAATAGTTTTATGGTTATGCTAGTGTTATAAACTGAAATATTTACACATGAGATGTCTAGAATTTCTTTTAAGGCAATATTGAGGGGAACAATGGGTGTAAAATATAGATGAAACATGATTATTATTGAAGACAGATGATGGGGACATGGGATTATGTTGTATTTTTCTACTTCTGGATATTTAAAAACTTCCATAGTAAAAAGTTTAAGAAGAACAAATGTGCACCACTCCTTGTGCCTTATCAGTTTCCTCCATCTTATCTTCTCTTAAATTTTATTTATTTATTTATTTATTTATTTATTTATTTTTTTGAGACGGAGTTTCACTCTTGTTGCCCAGGCTGGAGTGCAGTGGCGCAATCTAGGCTCACTGCAACCTCTGCCTCCCTCTGCTGTTTTGCTTCCTGGTTTCTTTCTTAGCCTGCTCCAGGTTCAAACAATTCTCCAGCCTCGGCCTCACAAGTAGCTGGGATTACAGTGCGCCACCATGCCCAGCTAATTTTGTATTTTTAGTAAAGACAGAGTTTCGCCATGTTGGTCAGGCTGGTCTTGAACTCCCGATCTGCCTGCCTCGACCTCCCAAAGTGCTGGGATTACAGGCGTGAGCCACCGTGCCCAGCCTCTCTTAAATTTTCATACCCTAGTGCCTACTTCAAAGCTACCACACAGAATGGAGCAAGAACCACCACTCCCGATCTCACTCTCGACTTGCTCATGCTGTGATGGGCAGAACATTGGTAGTGTTAGGGTCAGCAGTTGTTCCCCTTATGGCCAACATGGTATTTCTTTGGCCGTAATATCTATGATTATGATAACAAAAATATCTCAAATTATATTTGATACTCTGAAATAACAATGAAAAATGCTAAAATTAAATTTAACATTTTGACATCAGTCATTTTCAAATTGAAGTCCTGCTCAATAAAATGGTTAGGTTTAGGCCATCAAAAGGGTACTGTGTAGAAATAGACTCTAAAGCATTTAAGAAGAATCCATGAGTGCATAAGGACACTTGAGGAGAGGAAGAGAGATGTGGGGAAACTCTGCTTTACAACTTGTCAGCCAAAACAAGTAGAAAAAGAATGCCACGATTTTGTAGCCCTCTTTTGACCCCCATGACCATGTTATAAATGATTTGGGCAAAGATTTTCCATGGATACTAAAACCTCAGTGAAAAGTTCTTGGGGAACAGGATATACACAAGGTCTCAAATTATTGCTTCACAGACTACTTATTGATTACAAAAAGAAAACTGTACTTTTACAGTAAAGATCTCTGATAGCCATCACCCATTAACCAGGTGATCAAACTTGGCATCACCAGCAAGCGGGACACCCTGATATTGTATGACCCCTGATGAGCTGCAGTAAGAAGCAGACATCGCCACCGCTGTGGATGTCCTGCCAAAAATGTTTCTCCTGAATTTACTCACGAGGAAATAAGACAATATGTTAGAGACATGAAGGTTATATGGGTGCTTTTGTTATTATTCTTCTAGATTTTCTCTAATTTTGAAATTTTAAAAATACAAAAGTATTGAGTTAAAATCAATTCATCTCTCCAAAAGTGTGGCAAAAGTCAAAGCAGAATTCTACCTGATCCTCCACTGACCCAAAGCCATATCCTCCGTGACCTCTATTTTGTCACAGTGCTGAACAATATAACTTTTTCCTGTCTCCATTAAGCCAAGACATTGAAAAGCAGCAAAAAGCAAAGTACAGCTGACAAAACAGGTCTACTGGCTCCAGAAGTAACTTCCAAATCTGGAAGCAAATCCTAAACTTTCAAAACTTAATTTTTCATCTTTAAAGTTTTTAAAGTCGGCTGGGCACTGTGGCTCACACCTGTAATCCCAGCACTTTGGAAGGCAGAGGCGGGCGGATCATGAGGTTAGGAGTTAGAGACCAGCCTAACCAACATGGTGAAACCCCGTCTCTACTAAAAATACAAAAATTAGCCAGGCGTGGTGGCAGGTGCCTGTAATCCCAGCTGCTCAGGAGGCTGAGGCAGGAGAATCGCTTGAACCCGGGAGGCGGAGGTTGAGTGAGCCGAGATCACGCCACTGCACTCCAGCCTGGGCGACAGAGCGAGACTCTGTCTCAAAAAAAAAAAAAGTTTTAAAGTCCATTACACTTTTTCAACCTGAAAAAACAAAACAAACAAACAAAGACAGCCACTTGGGAGGCTGAGGCAGGAGAATCGCTTGAACCTGGGAGGTGGAGGTTGCAGTGAGCCAAGATTGTGCCACTGCACTCCAGCTTGGGCGACAGAGTGAAACTCTGTCTCAAAAAACAACAAACAAAAACAAAAACTAGTAGTATATTCTCATTCTTTAGGAATATTTAAAGATCTATAACATATTAAGTATAGGTTCTTAATGAAGCATTTCTTGTATATGAAGGAAATTGAATTTCAATTTTGAAGTCATGAGGAAAGTAAGTCCAACAAAGTGTCACAGCATTTTTTGTTTTATTGAAACAGCAGGTCAAAATTTGGTTAAATTTGACTCTGGCCACACTTCTGAAGAGATGAGTTGATTTTAACTTATATTTAACTTATATTTCATGTGTTTGAATAAACACATTTATCCAACTGTAGAATCCAATGAAAGAATTATATTTCACATAGTTCTTCCATTTTTCAAAAGCACTTGTTCAGATCGTTTTTCTCATTCTTGAATGTCTGCATTCAAAGAAATAACAAGCTGGGGGCATGGTGGCGTACACCTGTAGTCCCAGCCACTCAGGAAGGTAAGGCAGGAGGATCACTTGAGCCCAGGAGTTCGAGGCTTTGGTGAGCTATAATCATGCCTGTGAATACCCACTGCACTCCAGCCTGGGAAACATAGCAAGACCTCATCTCTAAAAAATAAAATAAACAAAGGAATAACACAATGTAGAAGAGCACTGAGATGTATTCCCTGTCCTCCAGAAAAAGGGATAACACCCATGGTAAAGGGCAAAATTAAGAAAAAGTAATAAGCCTGTTATTTACATTCTGTAGAGTGAAAAGTTGTGTTTAGTGCAAGAGCCATCCCGTGGTGTGCGTGTTCAATTATACACCAAATCCCCAACACTTCCAGATGGTAATAGCCACCAACTCCTTTGTTCTCATATATATTAAAAGGCTTAATATAAAATTAGATTGTGCCATTAGGTATGCTTTTTAGTATTAATAAATTTTAATCAAGGACTGTGATATCATGACTAGAAGCTTGGAATCTACAGCCCCATTCAACCAACCTCATCGTCTAGGAAGGGGAGAGGGATTGGAGAGTAAGTTCATAATTGATCATACCTACAAGATGAGGCTTCTATCAAAACCCCTGAACTTTCAGGTTGGTAAACACGTGGAGGTGTCCGGAGGGTGGTGTGCCAGGAGAGGGCATAGAAGCTCCTAGCACCTTCCCCCTTACCTTGCCCTATGCATCACCTCCATCTGGCTGTTCATCTGTAGCCCTTGCAATATCTTTTATAATAAATAGATAAATGTAAGTAAAGTGTTCCCCTGAGTTCTATGAGCTGCCCTAGCAAATTATGAAACCCAAGGAGAGGGAAAGTGGGAACCCCAATTTGCAACCAGTCGGTCAGAAGCACAGGTCACAACCTGGGAATTGCAATTGGCAATTGTCACTAACACAAAGGCAGAGCAAGCAAAGAAAGGGAATAAAGCATATAAAAGGTTCTCAACGTGGAGAGCTTTCAAAAAATATACTTCCTGGGATCCATTTCAGACTAGTCCTACTGGAATTTATGAGATTAAAATACTGACACTAAAATTTCTTCAAGATTCCCAGCTGATTCCTATAAGCATCCAGGGGTGAGGGCCACTGGTAACACAAAGGTTAAAAGAGGAGAGAGGAGGCAAAAAGACCATCAGAAAGTGTTATTTGTGATTACCAAGTTCTATATTAAAGCCTCACATTTTCCATTTAAACTACACTCTTAAACACAGTACCCTCTACTGGTCAGGAAGGGTTATCTATTATTCCTAGGTTTAAGGTACAGAAGAAATCTCCAACTTCCTTAATTAAGGAGAATATATGTAGAAGCAATTAGTGAATCTTTATTATTTCTACATTTTCTTATTATTTAAGTGTAAAGTGGGCTGGAGAACACTGTATTAGCAAAGACGATTCTAAACTTAATCTCAATAGGTAAGAGCAAGATATCTATTTTAAAAATGTGTAACGGGCCAGGTGCAGTGGCTCATGCCTGTAATCCCAGCACTTTGGGGAGGCCAAGGCAGGAGGATTACTAGAGGCCAGGAGTTCAAGACCAGTCTGGGCAATATATAGCGAAACTCCATTTCTATAAAAAAATAAAAAATTAGCCAGGTGTGGAGATGCACCCCTGTACTCCCAGCTACTTGGGAGGCTGAGGTGGGAGGATTGCTTGAGCCTGGGAAGTCTCAGCTGCAATGAACCATGATCTCGCCACTGTACTCCAGCCTGAGCAACAAAAGAAATTTTTTAAGTGTACTTGACTTTTCTCAAGGTTTGTCAACTTTAGCAACTACTGACATTTTGAACCAAATGATCTTGGTTGCAGAGTGCAAACTGTATGTAGATGGTTTTAGAATGTTCATAAGTAAGTTTTTTAAAGACATAGAATGCTACTGTACAAATATAAATTGTGAGTTTTAAATTCATTTCCCTTTAGTGTCTTCAACTAGTTACAAGACCATAAATTGATGCTGATGTTCCGTGCATTTTAGGATCTTTAGCTGTATTCCTGGCTTCTACCCACTAGATGCCAGTAGCAGCCCAACCCCAAAGTTGTAACTCCAAAAAGTCTCTAGACATTGCCAAATGTTTCAAATCAGTAATTTATCTAATCAAAGATGTTCCTAAGAAACTGATAATCAAAATATACTTTTAATTGTAAAAGATGATCCATTCACTAATGTTCTAAAAATGTAAATTTTTATATATCAACTTCATAAAGAATACCTTACAGTATCTTGTAATATATAAATTAAGAACAAGAAAAAATGAGTTTTACTTTTCTTTAACAGTGTTGCTTGGCAATATATTAATTACATATTAAGTCTATGAAGTAAAAGTTTAACCTACATCTACTGGTTGCTTTAATTTTTCACTTAAAGACCAGACCAAAATCAAAACCTTGGAACTTCTACTTTTCAACCTGAAATAATCAAACAATAACTATAATCCTAAAATAGCACTGACACAGTAAATATTATTCTTATGAGTGTTAATGGACGACACTGATATATCTCATATTGTAATCAATTTGAGAGTTGCCACTGAAATCAATTAAAAATGTTTATTCTGAAAGATGCTACTATAAAGTTTATAGACTCAAATGCTTATAATGCTTAATCAAAACTAAATTTACAAAAAAACCTAGAAACAGGTTGAATTGAAACCTGTAGATCATTTTATAATATTCATGAGCAACAACTTTTTTAAAGACAAAGGCTACTGTTTTAATATAAATTAAGAGCTTTAACATGATCTCCCTTTAGTGCTTTTAATTGTCACATGGCTGTAAACCAAAGACCCCTCCAAATTTTAAATGATCACTGATACTACTTGAGCAGAAATTCTCAGGTGTCAGTACTTTTAATGTTGTGTACATCAAATTACAGTACAAAGATGACTATAAACAAGATGCAGCCCTCGGTTTCCATGAACAGCACACTATTACAGTAAACCAAGTTTATATTCCACCATCAAGTGTGGCTCTCCCATGACTTCGCTTTGTGATGGATCTGAAAGCAAACAAAAACAAACATTTTAAAAGACTCTCAAAAAAGAGATACATTCAATGATTCTGCTTACATAAGAATCCAGAAGAGTCAAAACTAACCTAAAGTTATAGAAAACAAACCAGTGATTGCCTGGGGCTGGGGTGGGGTGACTGACTGAAAAGGGACCAAGGGAACTTTGTGAGGCAATGAAAACATTCTACTCCTCTGTTTAGGAGACCAGGTTCCATGTTAATTAAAACCCACAGAACTGTACACTTAAAAATAGGTGTACTTTATTGTATGTCAATAATATCTCAAAATAGTGGATTTAAAAAGAAAAAACAGATTGACAAAAGTTTTTTTTTCAAAGTTCTTAAGTTTTCTAGTGGCTTCCCACAGGACGGGAAACAATCTCTTAATTCACAAAAATGTTTTATCTGTATTGTCTTCTGACCTGTTGTATCCACACAAACGTAAGAATTCTTAAGAAAGAAAACCTTTAAAAATCATCACTTTTGTGTTTACAGATGAGTCAGACAAAAGCCTTATTTTAACTGTGATTATACACCTAAAAGAACTTTTAAAATTAATACCAAGCATAAGCTTCCTAAAGACAGAGACTTTTTCTTTGTCCTCTACTCAACATAGGACTAGAAACAGAATAAAAACCTAATGAACTAAATCGTAAAATCACTTTGTAAAAATGAATAACCCTGCACATAATAATGGTGGCTACCAAGAGGAACAGTTCAGTACAATGTGGATGTTTCCTCACTGGACCTCCTAAGAGACTGGAGATTAATAAACTGCTGTGTATATAAAAGGCACTCAAAACCTCAACTTAAAAAAAAAAAAGGCAATATTTTTGACTACATAGAAAGACACGCAGAACAGTCTGGAAGGACAGACTAAACCAAACTAAAACAGCCGGTAATTAGGGAACGAGAAAAATGGGATTGAGGGTCACTACAGCAAATCTGAGTTTCAATGGTAATATTTCAAATTTTTGCACAAAGAATATACTCATTTATGTAACTAAACTTTTCTCCACACCCTGCTTTTTAAAGCTTCTTTAATAAAATGCATTTATTAAATAAATCACTTGCACCAAAAGACAGCATATCATGTAAGCAAGGCACTGGTGGAGACGGGTTTTGCATCTGTTGTACCACAAGCTCGCCGTGAGACTCTGAGTGAGGACTGAGCCTCTGTGAGCTTCCATTTACTCATCTTCCAGTTAGGGGATTAGAGTACATGAAAGTCCCCTTCCAGCATTAAGAAAAAGTCTATTTTTGATTCTACTAGTGTCCTTATACGTCCTTCTTAATCTTGTAAAATGTACAGAATTAACTTGCCTAAGTACTTCACTGATAAGCAGGCAAAAAAGTCATCATCTCCAATACTGTCACAGTCTTTACACAGTATTTAGATTAACAAGCTACTCTCTGATTATAGACTTAACACTGTGTTTTGTGTCAAAGGTGATAAGAATGTGATCAACATGACCCTTAACTATGGATCAAGCCCCCTATCAGGTACTGGGAACACAACTGTTAACAAGAAAAAAATCTCCAGCTCTCCTGACACGTATATTTAAGTTGGACAAATAATAAATAAGAAAAATATCACATAAGTGTTATGTAAAGAATTAATATAAGGCAGGGTGACAGAGCGGGGATTACTTTAGATTAGGTAGTTGATATGGTTTGGATGTTTGTCCCCTCCAAATCTCATGTTGGAAATGTGATTCCCGGCCAGGCGCGGTGGCCCACGCTTGTAATCCCAGCACTTTGGAAGGCCGAGGTGGGCAGATCACGAGGTCAGGAGATCGAGACCATCCTGGCTAACACGGTGAAACCCCATCTCTAGTAAAAATACAAAAAATTAGCCAGGCGTGGTGGTGGGCGCCTGTAGTCCCAGCTACTCAGGAGTCTGAGGCAGGAGAATCGCTTGAACCCGGGAGGCAGAGCTTGCAGTGAGCAGAGATCGCGCCACTGCACTCCAGCCTGGGTGACAGAGAGAGAAAAAAAACAAAGCCATGTGATTCCCAGTGCGGAAGGTGGCCCTGTAGGGAGGTAACTGGACCACAGAGTTGAACACTTCATGGATGGTCTAGCACCACCCCCCGGATAAGTGAGTTCTTGTTCTGAGTTCACACAAGTTCTGGTTGTTTAAAGCTGTGTGGCAGCCCCCTCACTCTCTTGCTCCCTCTCGCCATATAATTCACTGGCCCCCCTTTGTCTTCTGCCACGATTGTAAGCTTCCTGAGGCCCTTACCAGAAGCAGATACCAGCACTATGCTTCCTGTACAGCCTGAGGAACCATATGCCAAAATAAATTTTCTTTACAAATTACCCAGCTTCAGGTATTTCTTTATAGCAATGCAAGAACAGACTAACAGTAGTTAACGGAGGACTCTCTGAGTAATATTTAGGTTGGGATCTGAAAAATGAGGGTAAACTATTTGAGGCAGAAAGGAACAGCTAATTCAGGTCCCTAAGGTGAAGCCCTAAGTTAACCGTATATTATGCAATAACAGTTCCCACAAGAAAAAAACTACCCCAAATACAGTGGTCTCACTGTAATCATCTACCAGGTGGATAAAAATCATCTACCTGGCCGGGCGTGATGGCTCACGCCTGTAATCCCAGCACTTTGGGAGGCTGAGGCGGGCAGACTACCGGAGGTCAGGAATTTGAGACCAGCTTGGCCAAGATGGTGAAACCCTGACTCTACTAAAATACAAAATTAGGCAGGTGTGGTCGTGGGCACCTGTAATCCCAGCTACCTGGGAGGCTGAGGCAGGAGAATTGCTTGAACCCAGGAGGTGGAGGTTACAGTAAGCCGAGATCGCGCCACTGCACTCCAGCCTGGGTGACAGAGCTAGACTCGTGTCTCCAAAACAAAAAAAATCTACCTAAACAGGTGATTTTTCCTAATAGCTACCTTAGAGAGACACAAGGAATGAATTTTAAAAGATGCCCACAAGATAGCAAGTGGCTTATTTTTTATTTTTTGAGATAGGGTTTCACTCTGTCGCCCAGGCTGGAGTACACTGGTGTGATCCCTGCTCACTGTGGCCTCAAATTCCTGGGCTCAAGTGATCCTCCTGCCTCAGCCTCCTGAGTACCTGGGACTACAGCTGCACACCACTATGCCCAATTAATTTAAAAAAAAAAAATTGTAGAGACAGGGTCTCATCTTACCCAGGCTGGTCTCAAACTCCTTGGCTAAACTGATCCTCCCACCTCTGCCTCCCAGAGTGCTGGGATTATGGATCTGAGCCACCACATCCAGCCAGCTAGTGACCTTTTTAAACATATAATTCCATCACATTACATCCTTACTTAAAACTGCTCAATGGCCTTTTTTTGCATTCTGAAGAAATTCTAAACTTCTTTTCATGGTCTGTAGGCCCTGATTCATCTGTTCCTTGCTGAGCTTTTTGATCTCAACCTTATTCTACTCTCTACTTTGCTCAAAACATGCCAGCCATATGGGCCTTCTTAAAGTGCTCTTATATATGCTGGGAGACAGTTCTCTATTGGTCTCTCCATTCTGCAAGCTGGGAGCAGAGACACTAAACTGCCTTTGTTCTAGGCTATCTTTCCAAAGCCGTTTCAGCCTCATAAGACAAAGCAGCACAGGACAGGCAGGTTTACTGCCAGTTATAAGGCTGAGGTGGCCTGAACATGGAGTTCCTCTCCTCTAACGTAACACACTCAATGTACAAGGCTTCACCTTACCCTCTTCTTAGCTGCCCCATAGGAAGTGGGGCTAAGGGAACCAAAAGAAATGCTGATACTCTGGCTACGCTATTGCTATGAATAAGAAACTGTCCTTTAGGAGTCTCTTGTCTTCTGCCAGCATCCATGAATTCATGGCAGGCTAACAAGTTAGCTTCAAAGTAGAGTAAGATCTCAAACCGTTCAGAGTTCTTCAGCTGTTCTCAGGTTACATACCCTGAACATACTCATCTCTTCTGTCTGAAATACTCTCCTTCTACTTCTAGGTCAATGATTTCATGTTTCTTTCAGAAATTCACTTCTGTGTTGTATTCCCAGAGGTATGTGCCCTCCCAACCCAAAAACATCCTTTTTATTCCTAGAATTATCAAATTGTATATTTGTGTTTATGTGTTTATCTCCCCCATTTGAAAGCACAGATATTTGTTTTGTTCACAGCTGTATATTCAGAGCCTAGCCCAGTGCCTGACACATATTTGACTGACTAGATAAATGCTCCTAAGTCCCTCTCCCTTTCTTTAAACAGAATTACAGAAGCAGATTTTTAAATGAATGCTTTTGTAACTAAAGACCTGAACTATCACCTTAGTAGTTTTAAATAAGGTCTAAGTTCAATGTAAAAGCTTAAGAATCCCAGCTTTTCCTGCATCCAAAATGCTCCCTCAGGGAAGATTCTGAAAGGAGGCTCACTAGACTTCTGTTATGTCCACAGCATTTCCTTACCGGACATCAGCAGCCAAGCAAAACTAATAAAACTTAATCCTGTTGGATATTTTTGTTTCTCCTGCACTGCTGGGGCATAACGAGCAGAGGCAGCATTGGACAGGATTGTATTTGTTTATCTTCCTCAGGACCAGAAAAAATAGAGGATGCTGCATATATTGTTCTTACTTAAATTCATTTACAATTATTCAGGGAATTTTATTAAAAATAACAGATTCGGCCGGGTGCAGTGGCTCACGCCTCTAATCCCAGCACTTTGGGAGGCCGAGGCGGGCAGATCACAAGGTCAGGAGTTCGAGACCAGCCTGGCCAACATGGTAAAACCCCGTCTCTACTAAAAATACAAAAATTAGCCGGGTGTGGTGATGGGTGCCTGTAATCCCAGCTACTTGGGAGGCTGAGGCAGGAGAATTGCTTGAACTCAGGAGGCGGAAGTTGCAGTGAGCTGAGATTGCGCCACTGCACTCCAGCCCGGGTAACAGCACAAGACTCCATCTTGAAAAAAAAAAAAAAAAAGACAGATTCCTCTTTCCTATTTATCACCTGTAGAAGTACAAAAATTACTTTTTTGGGGAGCTACTTTTTAAAGAAAGATTTATTTTCCAGTTGTTTAAAATGCTAGTCAAAAAACCCCAAAATCAAACTAAACACACAAAAACAACACCAGTCACATCCCAACAATGTGAATTCTGAAATAATTATCATTGTTTAAGTCACCCTAGGAATATCAGACTGACATATTACACTTGAAGCTCAGGACATGAAGTGAATAACCACCATTACTAGACTGAAATGACTATGTACTCTTAGAATTTCATAAATAATTTTCACTTTTTTTCTTTTTATATTTTTAGTAGAGACAGGGTTTCACCATGTTGGCCAGGCTTGTCTCAAACACCTGACCTGAGGTGATCTGCCCACCCCGGCCTCCCAAAGTGCTGGGATTACACGTGAGCCACCGCACCCAGCCAATCTTCACTTTTAAAAACAGTTAAAGAACAGTTACTACCATTAAACTTTATCTTAATGCAATGAATAAAGTGAACCCAATCAGCTGTAAGTTCCATGAGGACAAGAATTTTGCCTATTCTTTTTGCAGCTGTTTGCCTTTTAAATTACAAGGGCTCCATAAAAAGGTGCTGAATGACACTTACCATTAAGAATATCCTCAAATCCAATAGTCTCATCATTACCCCTCAAAACATCCAGTGAAAGATTTGAGCTTGAAAGAAATGGAAGACGCTGAACCTTTGGGGAAAAGTATGAAGGGACAAGATTAGAAAAAACTCAGGGGAAAATGACAGAATATATAGTCTAATTTCATGTTCTTTATTCTTTGTTTGAAAATTCGCAAAACCAAATACAAGATCAATTTAACAAGTGGAAAAAAACACTAGTTCATATTTTAGACACAAACTAAGTTGTAAAGACACTGAAATTATACTTTTCATTAACAATAATCCTACCTGGTGTGCATGTATTTTGAGGCTTTGCTTCTGCTCAGGAAAACTACGGCATATACCATGTAATGAAATGCAAAATCCCAGAGCTTAACATCACGCCTCATTCCTGATACATGTAGGATGATCAAATTCCTGAAGAAAGTCCAACTCAATAGGTTGCTTAGGCTGGTCTCAAACTCCTGGGCTCTAGTGATCCTCCCACTAAAACTGGGATTACAGGTCCATGTCACCAAGCCCAGCTAATGCAGATAATTTTTGATATTCCCACAGACTACCAAAATAGGTGGTCTTTGACTAAATGATAGTAGTATTTTAAAGATAATCACACCGTTAGAATCTAAGAGGGCAGTTTCTCACATTCCCCCCACCCCCAACAAAATGTATCCAGACTAAATATATTATTTTCAATTACTAATGTTCCATAGAGATATTTAAAATCTTTATAGTGTGGAAAAATTTCTCTAGATTGTCAAACCTAAAAAAAAAAAGGAAGTGGGAGGAAGAGGAAGAAACAAAAATAGGAACCTGTAAATTAAACCAGACAGCAAGGGGTCTGGTAGTTAGATCAGAGTACAGTCCTAAGAATGCATCAAAAGCAGGGAGGAGCAGGCAGCTGTTATACATCTTGACAACCCAAAACTGCAAAAGTATAGAGATAAGAAAAAAAAAAAAAAGACAGAGAATTCTGGGCAAAGATATTTGGATCAAATAGTATTAAAAACTTAAATCCAGAATTTGAGCAATCTGTAGTTGAAATCTGAGTAAGAGGAAAATAAAAAGGGAAGCTAACAATTTTGTGCCAAACATGTGATTTCATTTAATCTTCAGAATAATCCTATGCTACTCTTACTGTTCTCCTTATTTCACATTAAATTAAAAAATCTAAGGTTCAGAAAGCTCTCCAGCTTACTCAAGTTCTTAAGACTAGTAGATGGCTAAGCCAAGATTCAACCCTAGGTTACTCAAAACCATGTTTTTTAAGAGCTTTATCTTTGGAAAACGAGTAGCTTCCAGAATGACTTAGCCAAATACAATTGATAGTATTAGTAGAATTTATCTTATTATTATTTTTTTTGGAGATGGAGTTTTGCTCTTGTCGCCCAGGCTGGAGTGCAATGGTGTGATTTTGGCTCACTGCAACCTCTGTCTCCTGGGTTCAGGCAATTCTCCTGCCTCAGCCTCCCGAGTAGCTGGGATTACAGGCACATGCCACCAGGCCTGGCTAATTTTTGTATTTTTAGTAGAGACGGGGTTTCACCATGTTGGCCAGGCTAGTCTCGAACTCCTGACCTCAGGTGATCCATCTGCCTCGGCCTCCCAAAGTGCTGGGATTACAGGCATGAGCCACCCAGCTCGGCCAATAGAAATTTATTGAAAAAGACAATTTAGCTAGGTCAGAGAAAGGAATCTGCACCAGTAGGAGAAATGTGTGCAAACGCCTAACAGTGAAAGAACTTAATGAATTAGGAAACTGCAAGTAGTTTAAGAGGATAAGAAGTGTGGTGGGAAGCAAGGAGCCAATTCATGGACAGAGCCACACTAAGTGTTGGGTTTTATTTTTATTTAGAGGGTAAAGTGAGGGGAATGACATAATCAAATCTGTGTTTTACAAAGATTATTCTGATTAGAGTCTTAACAAGGATTGGAGGGGCAGCAGGGATGAGTGTTGCAGTAATCCAGATGAAGTCTGACAGGGGCAAGGACCAGCATAGTAGCAATGGTGGGGAGAGCAAGTAATAAACTGAATGATTTGGGGGAGCAGGGGAAGAGGTTAGGATGGGTGCTAGGTGACATAACCAAGGCTAATTATCCAATTTCTGCCTTAGGCAGAAACCTATTCATATGGGATAAGGAGTATGTGGGGGATTATGGGATTATGAGTTATTCTGTACTTGTCCATGTAAAACTGGAGGTGCCTGTGGGACTTCCAATTGGGCTTTCCAATTGGAAAAGCCTATAGGTTTATAGCTCATGAGAATTGTAACTTGGGGGTCATCAACATATTTTATTTTTTGAGACGGAGTCTCATTCTGTCACCTAGGCTGGAGTGTAGTGGCACGATCTCGGCTCACTGCAACCTCCGACTCCCAGGCTCAAATGATCCTCCCACCTCAGCCTCCTGAGTAGCTGGGACTATAGGTGTGCACCACCACGGCTGGCACATTTGTTGTATTTTTTTTTGTAGAGATGGGGTTTTGCCATGTTGCCCAGGCTGGTCTTGAACACCTGAGCTTGAGTGATCCACCCACCTTGGCCTCCCAAAGTGCTGGGATTACAGGTGTGAGGCACCACGCCCAGTTGGAATCATCAACATATAATTGATAACTAAAGCAACAAGTAGGAAATAGGGTCAGGAAAGGACTAGAGATGGGGCACTAACAAAACTGGCATTTTAGGAAACAGGCAAAACAAATGGAACCTACACAGAGACACCTGAGAACAAGGATTCAGAAAGGAGGACATCAGGAAAGTGTGGTGTTCTAAAAGCCAAGGAGGTGGGATGATAGCTTGAGGCCAGGAGTTTAGGACCAGCCTAGGCAACATAGCAAGAGCCCGTTTCTACAAATCATAATTTTTAAAACTAGCCAGGCGAGGTAGCAAGTGACTGTAGTCCCTGCTACTCAGGAGAGTGAGGCAAGAGGATTGCTTGAGCCCAGGAGTTTGAGGATGCAGTGAGCTATGATCATACCACTGCACTCCAGCCTGGATGACAGAATGAGATCCTGTATCAAAAAAATAAATACAAAGTAAAAACATAAAAGCCAAGGGAAAAAGGAAGAAGCCATTATTAGTGTCAAATACTACAGGGAGATGAAGTAAAGTGAAGGTAAAAATGTCCACATTGTTCAGGAGCAGTTTCATTGGTGTCATGGGAGACAGAAACAGTGGGTTAAATAAATAGCAGGGAAAGGAGTATAGAAAGCAAATGTAGACAACTTTTCAAGAAGCAAAAGCACACTCAATGAGAGACAAGTTACTATAAAGGAATTTGAAATTGATACAATTTTTTTTTGTTTTAAAAGACAACAGCGGTTCAAATGCTACTGCTGAGACAGAGCAAGCAGAGAGGGGTTAAAGATATCAGCTTGAGAAGGCATCATTGATAAAGGGATTTTCCTGAAGTAATGTAACAGGATAGAATCCAAAGCACAGGTAGGAGGGTGGTTCTTACATAATTGGAAGGACATTTTCCAAGTACTTATTCCTTAGAAACAGGTATATTCAACTATATACAAATTGTATACTTGACACCTCCACTTGGATATTCTTAGAGGGATCTCAAATTCAATGTAATACATAAAAAAAAAACCCAGAAAAACATGAAAGCAGATGCAGGTAAGTTTTCAGACACTGAGCCTGTAATTTGAAGTTTTCCATTTAATGACTTCTTTTTTCCCTCTATGAAGTAGAAATCAAGGTCATACCCTAAAAAGGGGGAGGGAAGTAGAATAGGTTGTAAGGTAGATAAGGTATAAATAGCTGTTATGAAAACAGAAGATTCCTCATGAATGATATCGACACATATGCAACAGAGATCCATCAACTCACCTGCTGCACTGCCTTGAATTCCATCTGTAATTTTAGCGGAGCAAATAGACCCTGAATGTTTCTCAGTGTGGAAAAATTCATTTTATCTTGGTTGAGCTGGAACTACAAAAGACAATGTAATTTTAAACATTACACTCAATACTCTGCTTTCAAAACAGTTAGCAGTGGCATATATATAACACAATAGTTAGATGAAGAATTTTAATATCCATACCTGTAATAAAAACTAAGTATTTTTACTAATTTTTTCTGACAAATTTTAGACCACATATGTCTATATTTCATTTAGCATGCAGGTGTACTTTTACCAGAGTAAAATTACTACCAAAATTCCAAATTTATAAAAGTAAAGGAATGTGTCTCCTATTCAAAAGTAGATTTACAAGACAATCATATTTTAGCGCTTTTGATTAAAAGTACTGCAAAACTAGCAAAGGTGTAATTTGAGATCCAGAAAATGTCACATCCACTGACAAAAATAGTTAATTTCTAAGTATGAAGGCATATATTTAAAAGGATTCAGCAAAAGAAATAATCTGACCACTAAATCATCCTGTTAATTAAACTATGTTTAAACTCCACTTATTTTTGGTACTTGCCTCAGGGGAAAAACAAACATCTCTCAAAAGTTTATTCAATTTGTATTGGGTACTAATCAGCAATTTTTCCTGGATCATACTTTCACTAAGTACTGATATTACATTTAGGGAACTTTGGCCATAACTTAATGTATTTCAGGCAAAATGAATCGACTTGACTCATGGATTCTAAAACAGTTTCCAAAAATGGCTCCTAAGGATAGTGAATGTAATATGCAAACAGACTGTTACAAAGATTTGTCTGAGCTAAGGTGATTATAATGAGGTAAAGTCATTTCTTGTCATTTTTTATTACACGCTACTCTCTTGATAACATTGTCTTCTAATAGTAATCAAAAAGGTCATTTTGAACAAAAATCTATTGAGAGATTAGCACCTACTTGGGATATGACTATGAAGTTTGAAAGTAAGGTGACTAACCAAATGCTTTTTAATTACTTTAGCTTTACACAGCAAATTTTGACAGATGGTCCTTAGGGAAAACCTGCAGTATTTTATTATGGGTATATGATCTGAAGTTCTAAGTGAAGGGTTTGCTTTAAATATTGGCTTATCCTCATGATAATACAATTTTATTCTAAGAGACGGGTCTTGCTATGTGGCTGGAGTGCAGTGGCTATTCACAGGCACGATTATAGAGCACTACAGCCTCGAATTACCAGGCTCAAGCAATCCCCCGCCTCAGCCTCCCACGCCGCTGGGACTACAGGCACACCCCACCACACCCAGCAGTAAATGTAATTTTATGTATAATAACTCAATTTATGTAAATTTTGATGAATACAGCCATCTTGTAATGTGATATTAATACTGTAATTATCAATCAACATGTAAGTTAGCAACCGTGTGCAAAATTAGGCTCTGTGGCAACACACAACAAAACTGAACAGCCTACCTTGGAGATTATAATCCAGTTTGGAAGACATTATGTATGTATCTCAACCCTCCGCACTACTGATTTCTTGGGCCAGATAATTCTTCACTGTGGCAGGCTGTCCTGTGTACTGTAGGATGTTTGGCAGCATCCCTGGCCTCTACCCCATAGATGCCAATATTACATCCCCCCATCCCCCACCGCACCACTTGTGACAACCTAAAATGTCCTCAGACTTTGCCAACTGTTCCCTTGTAGGGGGCAGGAGGATGATCCTCCCCTAGTTGAGAACCACTGGTACAAATGATGATGGCCATCTTCCATCACTATCACCACTGAAGCTCCCAATCATGCAGAGCTACTAGAGGCCAGCAATATGCCAAGGATGGGCTATTACTAACTCCAGATGAGAAGACTAAGGCTTAAAGAAAATTAAGCAATATGCCCCAAGTTTACTTAGCAAAGTGGGGTGCCCACATAGTTCAACTACACAATCCATGCTGAAGGATTTATAATAGACAGTAAGAGTCACATAAAGAGTGAGACTGCCATTAGCTGGCTAAATGATTAAAGAAGAAGAGATGCAGTAGATGTATGTAAGTCTCAAAAAGATCTCTGAAGTTTTTAGATTCTTCACAGTTCCACCTAGTCTCACTCAGATTTGTCAGTTTCTCTTAATATGTATTGCTTAGAACTAAACCAATATTCCAAATCTAATAGCCAGACTAATACACAGGAAAATAATATAATCTCCCTTGATTTGAGCCCCATCTTATTAACAAAGCCCAAGACTGCATTAACCTTTCTTTTTAGTAACTAACGTAATCTGCTGGCTTATAGTGAGTATACAGTCAATTAAAATAGTCAAGTTTTACAGAGCAAGTCACTTTACCCTGCCCAAAGGTGTAGAATTCATTTTTTGAATCCAAACGCAGAACTTCACACTCACCTCTATAAATGTTTTCCTTAAATTTTGGTCTAGACTTTGGTCTATTTTATCACCATGATATAGTTCAATTATTCAACAGAATGAACTATCCTTCTCAACCTTTTTTCCAAAAACCTAATATACATTCTTTCTTTGGTTGCCCACAAGTCCTTGAAAAATACTTATCCTTCCTATGTGTCCACCTGACTACCTAAGATGTAGACAGAGGCCAAAAAGCCCTATCAAAATATTCCCTCCAAATTGACTATTCCCTAATCACCGTTCTCTGGGTACAGTTACCAACCTCATATACTTTACCCTACACTACTTTCACTCGGTTAATAATCCACCATGTAATCCTCAATCTTATCCCTTGTCAGATAATTTGATCCCTTGACTGACCCATTTGGCAACTGAGTAAAAGAGTGAACTAAAATTAATTTGCTGAGTTCATTCAGATGCTGATGATCACTGCTTACCCTATTAAATGCTCACAGCTCACTCAATAGTCCACTTAAGAAACAGTTTCAGGGATCAATGTTACCACAGACAATCTTATTTTTTAGTTAGATCCTTTATACAAAAGTGGAATATGTATCCATCTATAACCAATTTTCATTTCTCCCATTAGTTCTCAAAGATGATCAACTGTGCTTTTATAATCATACTCACATACTTATAAGTGTACTCTGGGCTGTCAACTTCTGCACCTGAAACCTGAATTCACTTAAATCGATGAGGAATTTTTTTATTTTTCTCATCTAATTTGAACTTCAATTTCATAATTACATTATTTGTTCTACTCTTTCTTATAGGCAGACCTATCCTCTTATTAGAAAGCGAAACAAACAAACAACAAAAACAAAATACAGATCAGTTTTCTGTTACCTAACAACTGCATCATCTTCCCCAAGTAGTCAGAAACCTTTTTCTTCTTCCTCTAAATGTTTATTTAAGAATCCTTTAAATTGTGTTTTGGACATGTATACATGCTATCCTCTCTTTAGGAGTAAACTTTCTGGTCTAAAACTGTTCAAAGGTCCCTCCTCTTCTATAAAGCCTTCCAAAAAAGCCCTAAGCACAGGTGGCTGTCACATCCTTGGTCTTCTCTAGCATTTTACGAAGCCTTCTCCTACCCACTGCTTGTCTTCCTCATTAAATTTTAAGTTATTTAAGGATGGGGATGATGTCATATTCATCGAAGTACCTACTGTGCCTAGTGGCTGTGTCCTACAGTAACTCGGAGATGCAGGACTTAAAGAGGTCAAAACTAGAGATATGAACTTGGAAGTCAACAGCAAAAATGGCAGGAAAAATATAAAAGAAACAGCATTATTGAAAGAGAAAATTCCTGTGAGAGGAATGGAGAAGTGGATCACCCTTTGGAGACGTACATTAAAAAGGCAGGTAAGAACGCATAGAAAGGGAGCTTTAGAGGAGCAGTGTAATTTTTAAGTCTATCCTACAAGGGGTTTGAAAATAACGCCTCATATTCTTCATGGGCAAATCCTCAGTACCAAAATTGTTTTAATAAAATGAAACCAATATTAGTAAAAGTATTTATCTATTAGAAGATAAAAATAAGGACATAATAATATACTTACATTTTTTTCTGATAATTCAAGGGGATGACTAGGCAAAAGTTCATTTTTCACACAAGAAAAACTGAAAGGACATTAAAAAAAAAACATTTAGAGGAGATTAAATATCACTCAATACCCAGAGCTCAAAATCATATCTATAAAGGGATGGCATGAGAGAGTTTTTTGGGGTGACAAAACTGTTCTGTATCTTGACTGTGGTGACAGTCATAGGAATTGATACATGTGCTAAAAATTCATAGACCTACACACCAAAAGGAAAAAAAAAGGTATATATAATAATGTAAGAATGTATCCATTATAGACATTGGTGGTCAAGACTTCAATCACTAGGGAAAACTTGCCAAAATCTGGTGCCACATCTAGAAGAAATTTAATGAATGTATGTTTATTGCTATTACTCTGATGAGGTACTTCTTGCACTATATAAACTAAGCCTATTCCCTTCAGGTCTAACACTTTCAATATTTAATATATCTTTAATAAACATGTTGAACAATAGGTTTAACATTTACTGAACACCTACTATGTATAAAGTATGTTAGGTAAGGCACAACTAGAACCAGGCCACTGGTCTTTATCACTCTAGCTATATAAAGATGACTACCTTATTATCCAAACTAGGATTTTAAAGCTAATAAAAACCTTAGAAACCCTGCAACAATTGTTTATTGAATATTGTCTTTTTACAAAACATTATCCAGGAAGTGGGTTTTGAAAATGGTCCTGCCCCAGTCCAATCAGGAAGAAGAAGGAACATTTCATGTGGGGGGAAAAAAATCTTCAGACCTTAGTTACTGCCTAGCCAATCAACTTGATTATAAATATCAAATTATATCTCCAATTTCACAGGCTATATGCTGCATTTTTTTACTACAAAACTGAAAGTCTGTAATGAGGGATTATATTTGTACTCAGACACCAGCATTAGAATGCCATTCTATTATAGTAAGAGTAAATTACGGCCAGACGCAGTGGCTCACACCTGTAATCCCAGCACTCTGGGAGGCCAAGGTGTACGGATCACTGGAGGTCAGGAGTTCAAGGCCAGCCTGACCAACACAGAGAAACCCCGTCTCTACTAAAAATACAAAATTAGCCGGGCATGGTGGCACATGCCTGTAATCCCAGCTACTCAAGAGGCTGAGGCAGGAGAATCACTTGAACCCGGGAGGCGGAGGCTGCGATGAGGGGAGATCGCGCCATTGCACTCCAGCCTGGGCAACAAGAGGAAAATGCCATCTCAAAAAATAAATAAATAAACAAAAAATAAGAGTAAATACTTTAAAATTAGATGTAAAATTCAAAAATTCAAAACACAAAATGTTTATGGGGGAAAGGTCGTTATCCTTATTTTATTAAGCAGAAAAGTGACCTGCAAAGAGTATGGTCTAGTACCAGAAACTGAGACCTAAACATACAGAAACAAAAAGGAAATCAAAAACATGGCGTAACTGCATGCTAAAGCTAGAAAAGAAAAAAAATGGTAGCCAATACATACTGAGTGCTTCTAATGTCAGGTACCATTTAAAATATTTTTCAGGTATTAACTCATTTATTCCTCAAAAGAAGATACAGACTATTATTAGGCCTATTCTATCCATAAGGACACTGAGACATTAATTATGTGATTTGTCCAAAGGCACACATCTAGTAAAGAGCAGAGCCACGATCCAAACCCAGGCCGACTGAATCCAGAGTTTAATCTCTCAACTGCTATGTTCTAGTGCCTCCCAAAGAAAAGTGAATTACCCTAATAGTTAAGACAAGAAGGCAAATGGCTAAGTTATCAGTAGCAAAAAAATAAATAAAAAGAATCCTACCAAATCATGCTAATGGGCACCACTGCCTAGGAGGATGCTCTAATTGGGAACCTACTACTTTGATGAGACACCTCTTCCACTACAGAAAATATCTAAGCCTCTTCCCCTCTGCACCCCATGTAAGGTATATTACTTGCCATCTGCCAACTAAATACACATGTATAGCCTATCAAAATACTTAAAGAATATTGTGAAAATTCACAGAAACATAACAAAATCAAAGTCATAACTCCCCCATATACCCTTTCCGAAGAAGATCATGACTTTCAAAAGGTCCACTTGCTGAAAGTTCAGTAACTGGAATACTGTCCTTTAGCTCAGATCCAAGTCCTCTGGCATTCTACAACACAAATAAAAAACATTATTAAATAGAAAAAAAATTTAAACACACACCCAGGCAGCTGTGTCAAAAATATTGTTTAAGTAGGAGACAGAAAAATAAGAGGCCCTCAAAAAGTCCAGACTAGACAATTACAGCAAGCCTTAAACATTATGATATGATAGAGACACACATGGTACAATGAAAATACCAAATTTAGATGTGGGAAGGATTCCTGAGGTGATCTCTGAATGCTGTCAGTTTGAAAGGCATTCCAGGAAAAAATAACATGAATAAAGGCAAGAAAATATAAATGAACAAGCTTCAGGTAGTTTGAGATAACTGGCTAAATATGTTTCCAGTGAGGCAGAAGTAAAGGCTGATGAAATACAAAAGTGAAACATCTTATGTGCAAAGAAATATGGGTTTTATTCCAAAACTGAAAGCCTCTGAAAGGTTATGGCATGATTGAATTTGTTTCCCCTGGAAAAACCACTCCCTTAGGTTAGAGTGTATAACACAGAATAAAAAAGTTGAAGACAGCATCCTCGGGAATACTATTCCCTGAGGACAAGGAAAAACAACACAGAAATGGGATTAACAGACAGGATGGATAAAGAAAAGTAGAGAAGCTGGGAAAAAAAGGGAATTTCAGAAAGTGTTTGGTTTCTATATGAAGATAGCGCTACCTATAAAAACTATGTGTATCTAATCAGGATAGTATAAAACAAAGTAAAAAAGACAGTGCATTTGGTATTGGTGTATGATTACCCTACGCTACTGTGAAATGCGCAATCACCAGATACTTATTAGCCATCTACTATGTGTCAGGTACTCTGCTAGATACTGAAGCTACATGTCTACCTCCCGGGGCTTCAGCTTATGAAAATATATTAAACAAGCAAAGAAAACATGGTGTTACAACAGGCAAAGCATGAGATGCTAACTTTATTTATTTACTTTTTGAGATAGGGTCTTGCTCTGTCATCCAGGCTGGAATGCAGTCGAGCAATCACGGCTAACTGCAGCCTAGACTTCCCAGGTTCAAGCGATCCTCCTGCCTCAGCCTCTCAAGTAGCTGGGACTACAGGCGTGCAACATCACGCCTGGCTAATTTTTTTATTTTTTGTGGAGATAAGGTCTCAACTATGATGGCCAGGCTAGTCTCAAACTCCTGTGCTCAAGCCATCTTCCTGCCTCAGCACCCCCCAAAGTGCTGGAATTACAGGTGTCAGCCAGCATGCACGGCCCAAGACGCTAACTTTAAATCACTTGTTGCTCAAGTCCAATATCCCTGTGATTCTGCAGAAAAATGTAAAACAGCTACAGGTAGTTTTAGTATCAAATTTTATATTATTCTAGAAGAAAATATTCTGAGAAGTCAGCTTTTTAACTGATTTCTTAATTCGTTTGTATATTTGATTTAGTCAGGTATTTTATCCTTTGCAGGGTTTCTTCACTATACCACTCCAGCCCAGCCTATCACACATGGATAACTTCAACAGCATTCTACTGGGTCTTGCTGCCTTTAGACTCACCCATTTTCCAGTTCTGTATATCAAGGTTTTCCTCAAGCATGAAACCTCCTCCAACAAAACTGCTATAAAATCTTTGTTGGTTCATCGATGTCTGAAGCACAAAGTTCAGACTCCTTAGCCTGGACCTAAAGAACCTGCATAATAGGTTCCAACTCCCCTACATACAAGAAGTCATGGTGGACGAGGAAAAGAATCTGGACTCTAGTGTGGACTGTCACTAACCTACTTTGTGACTGCCAGCAAAGCACCAACCTCTCTGGCCTTGTTTACTCATCTGCACCAAGGAGCTGAACTCCTACCAGGACTACAAATGCTCCTTGACTTATGATGGGGTTACTTCCTAATAAATCCATCTTAAATTGAAAATGTCAAAAGTCAAAAACACATTTAACACACCTAACCTACTAAACATCAGGCCTTAGCCTAGCCTACCTTAAATGTGCTCAGAACACTTACACTAGCCTACAGTCGGCCAAAATCATCTAATACAAAGCCTACTTTATTAAAAAGTACTGGGTATCTCATGTAATTTATTGAATACTGTACTGAAAGTGAAAAACAGAATGGCTGTATTGGTACTCAAATATGGCCTCTACTGACTGTGTATGGATTTCACACCATCATAAAGTCAGAAGATTGTTGAACCACCAGAAGTTGGGGACCTTCAGCAGAGATGTGTGATTGTTGCTTTCCAAATGTATCTTCTATTACTTCCCTATATGAACATTCTCCTCCTTCTGGACTGCTTTATTGTAAAGTAACAAGGTTTCAACGCACAAAGAAAAGGTGAATTCTGACTTCTGGATTCTGTTATTGTCATTTTTCCCAATTTCCTTCTGTAAAATATCAAGATTAGTACTTGCTGTTTCTAATAAAGGAAGGAGCCGAGAAAGGCAAATCTACGAAAACCTAACTACTAGTTACATTTGAGAGTGCCTAAAAAACTTTTTAGATAACGATTAGCAGTATTTACCAATAGAAACTTTCTAGATTTGGATGGATGGCCTACCAGCAGTACCGATATCAGAGTCTGTGGCAATGGTGACTCAGTGTTCTTCTCAAATACCACAACTTCTAAGTTAAAAAGAAAGAGAAAGTGGTGGGGAGGAGAAGGAGGGAGGAGATATACTAACAATACTGGCAAACAGGGAATAGCAACTGTCTGATTTTTTCCCCTCTAACATCTAGCACACTACAAGCTCTCAAAAAAGTTTGTAGAGCAAAGCTGCGTTACACAAATGCGACCTATAGTTGTGGGCTGTTTACTAGGCAGTTACAAGGGCGGGGGCTGGGGGAGATGAGGAGTCTGAGAGCTCTGGGCTCCCAGAGGTTACCCGTCAAGGAAAGGGTCGCCAGCGCCACCCCACAGAACGTTGCACTTTCACGGCTGCCTTTTCCACTTCTGCGCCAAGTAAGGGGAGGAGGTCTGGGCCTGCTGGGGTCTAAGGGATGGAAGGGCGCAAACCGAGCTAAGAGGAGCAGGATGAAGCCGAAGCACTGCTAGTGGGACTAGTGCCGGGCCCCGGCGACAGTCACGACCCACCCAAACCCCGTGACTCGACAGATTATGGCGCCTGAGGCCGGCCTCAGCCCCACGCTGCCGCCGCCGCCGCCACCGGGGACGGGTTGGGAGGCGACTGCCTGTTTCTGCCGAGCCACGGTCCCGAGCCCGCGTGGAACTCCAGCCGCCCGGGTACCCACTCACCATCTTCCGCAGCTCTGCGAACAGCCTCTCTGCCCCGTTACCGTCAGTCGACCCCGCCGCTCACTTCCGTTTCCGAGGGCTGGCCCCCACATCCGCCGGAAGTGCGTCCGTCCTGGCGAGGAAGGAAGGAGGGCGCGGGACGCCGGAGGGAGCTGCGCGGGGCCGAGGCTCCCACGCTTGCAATCCCAAGGGACCCAGGGCCAAGGGCGCAGTAAGGGTGTGGGCTGGGAGGAGGGAGGGGTCGGGACGAGACGTGCCTGAGGGGAGGGAAGACACGGACTCCGGTTTATTAATAAACATCTACGGTTTGTACGGCATTTTAAGATGTGCAGTGTGCTTTTGTAGGTACATCGCCTTATTTAACACAAAACCTCTCTGAGGTAGCTATTACATTTCACAGAAGGGTAAACGAGGCGTAGGTGGTTTGAGTGATTTGCTTGAGATCGTTCGGCTAATAAAGCAAAATTGGGACACAAGGCTTTTGTCATTTTTAAAAAACATAATATTGAAGGCCTGGTATGTTCCGAACCCTGTGCTGAGGCTAGGAATACAAAAAAGGACCAGGCCGGTGTGGCCTCTGGGCTAGAGGAGCAGGGGTACTCCGGAGGCTAGAGGGGAGAGAGGGGACGATAGTGACTACAAATTAAGTAAATGTGATCATGACCGACATATGTTGGGCCCTTTGAATTGCGTTATCAACACAGTTCTAAGTGCTTACATCCTTTATCTCTTTTAATCTTTTCAATAACCTTACAAGTACAATTTACAGGTGAAGAAACCGAGACATGAAGGGCTTAAATAAATATGCCTAAGGACATATTTATGAGTCTAGAATCCATGCTCATTACACTATTCTGTATTGTTCAAATATAATGTAATAAAACGGCCTTATAGTCTGCTGCCACAGGATGGAGACATCTTAGGGAATCTTTGGACTGACAGCTAAAAGATAAGAGCGAACTAGTTTGGGGTAGTAGGATATTTAAAACAACATTACGTGCAGATCTGCTTGTGCAAAAACGGAACTGGAAAGAAGGCCTAAGTCTGGCTAAAGTTCAGAAAGTAAAGTGGAGAGTACTGTGAGATGAGGTTGTAAGTAGATGGAGGCAAGTGGTTTTTGTTGTTGTTTTTGTTTGTTTGTTCTAAATAATGATAGGGTTTAGCTATGTTGCCCAGGTCTGCGTTGAACTCCTGGGCTCAAGCGATTCTCCTGCTGCAGCCGGCTGAGTAATGGGAACTACAGGCGTGCATCATGGGACCTAGCTACAGGTTTTTTATGCAGCCTTTGTAGGCAAGATTAAGGATGAGGCTTTGTCTTTAAAAAGCCATCGAAGGATTTGAGAGAGGAAAATGATAAGGCCATATATGTTATGTATATCCACTGCCATGGTCATACAACTTTGAAGTTCCAGATGTTATGTGTTCTGCCATGCTGTCCTTTAGGTGTCTTCTGGTCCTTCACAATAGCCATGTTTAATCCTGAGATTTGAGTTGGAGTGTTTCGTTTGCATCTTTTTTTCTTTCCGTCAATTCCACCTGAGAAATTGTAAAACTGCGAATCTTTTCTTAAAAATCATTTTAACATTTGCTGATTGCTCACAGTTCAATGAATATGTATTGAACATTTGCTTGGTACTAGATTCTGGAGCTATAAAGAAGAAAAGAGCAATTCCCTGTACCTGAGATGCTTATATATTTTCCTGGGGAAATAGACATGCAAACAGATATTTAAAATGCAGCATGGGCTGGGTGCAGTGGCTCACACCTGTAATCCTAGCACTTTGGGAGCTGGAAGCAGGCAGATCACTTGAGGTCAGTAGTTCGACACCAGCCTGGCCAACATGGCAAAAGCCCATCTCTACTAAAGATACAAAAAAAAAAATTAGCCAGACATCATGGTGCATGCTTGTAGTCCCAGCTATTCAGGAGACTGAGGCACGAGAGTCGCTTGAACCTGAGAGGTAGAGGTTGCAGTGAGCAGAGATCACGCCACTGCACTCCAGCCTAGGTGACACAGCAAGACTCCATCTCAAATAATAATAATAAAATAATAAAATGCAGTGTGATAAATGCTTGATAGAGAAAGGGGCTAAACCAGAAAGTTGTTGGGAGCAGGAGAAAACAGCATTCACGGAAGAGGAACATGTAAAGGCAAGAGATCTGTGAAAAGTCGTGTTGTTATCTGAGTAATGGAAAACATTTCCCTGTGGCTGGAGCTCTGGGTGAGCAGGTGAAGCAAAATGAGATGAGGTTGGAGGGACAGGTTGGGGCCAAAACGAAGGGCCTTCTATGGTATGCTGAGGTTTAGGGCTTTTTCTTATAGACAACAGGAGATAATGGAGGTCTTTTCACAAACATTTGGCATTAAAAAAAAAAAATTCTGGTGGCAGCATGAAGGACAGACTAAGATTGGGAGAAAGTAGGAACCAGGATACCATTTAAGCCACTAATGGTACGCTAAGGTAGTGTCACATACTGGAAAGGCTTTGAAAGGAAGGAAAAAGTAGGAGTGAACCTAAGAAATACCAGAATTCAAAAGACAGCCAGAAGAAGGGGAGCCTGCTTTAAAGGCTATGCCATCTTCGAATCAAAAGGGCAAGGAAGTATTGAGAGGTTAGAAAGTAGTTCAAAAGTAGCTAAAAAGGGATCATAAAGCCCTGAAAATAGGCTTTTGGTGACCAGTGTGAAGAGTTGTTTTAGTGGCTCAGCAAGGAGAAAATTCCCTTTATTTTGAGTCTTACACTCAAGTTTATGTCCTATTTTAAATGGTTTGTTACAGTATTAACTAATACGGGGTACTTTTGAGTATGCTAAATAAGAAGTAAATTAGATTTGATGCTGGAATGATTTAATTATGTTTACTTAAGCTTTATGTTAAATAGCTTAGAGGATAGAACATTAGTAATGATAGCTAACATTTGTTACATGTCAGGCCAGGGTTTAGTTTTTTGCATATATTGTTTCAATTAATCCTGTGAGGTAGATACTATCATTATGCACATTTCACAGAAAATGCTGAGGCATTGTATGAGAACAAGCACCCTATTTTGTTTTACTTTTTGTAGTCGTCTTTGACTTTACTCTTAAGTCAGTCTGGTGACATAGCTAGGTAAACTGAGGACAAATTCAGCTTCATTCACATCTGGCAAGAACCCTCCTCCCTCCTCCTAGCTCTTTCCCCATTTGTTACCTCATCTGTCTCCTGTTTGGGTACTATTCTTGTACTTCATCTTGTCAGCTGAATTTGGGTCTTCTGACCTAAATTTTAGTGCTCCCTAACGATCTAAAATTACACTTAACTTTGCTCTTTTCTGTTATTTGCCTAAGCTTGGCCCTGGGCACCCAAACCCTATTACCCAGCCTGCTTGGTTAGCCCCCTCTTAAAAGCTGCTTTGTCTCCACAGCACAGTGCCTTGCATACTTTAGGCAGGTACTCAGCAGGATTTTGAAATCTAGTATGTAGTGAGTGTCTCTTTAGAACTTAAGAAGCTGGAAGAGGCATAGAGAAGAGAGGTCTGAAAATGTCTCAGAGCTAAGGAAGATACGATGTTGAGATAAGGGAATGACCAGTGATGTCAGATAATGATTATGGGAAGATCGATGGGGTTTGGCAAATGGGATGTCATTTGCATAATCTTCTGGTGAGCAGTTTAACTATAAACCAGATTGTTAGGAATGAAGAATTTATAAGAAGAAAATGGAGGCAGCCAAATTTTATAGATCATTCTTTTCAGAAAGTTGTCCATTTCAAAAAATAGAATCAGGATTTTGGTTTGAATGAAAGTTGGGTTTTGTTTTTGTTTCATGTGCATGATTGGACAGACCAAAGTTTGTTAGGCAGATGTTAGAAAGAGTTGGTGAAGGGGCAAGAGTGAAGACAGCAGGGAAGAGAAGCAGCAAGAAGGAATGATTGAGATAATGATCTCTCAGATGCCCAGAACAGTTGTGAGAGGGAATCAAGGACAAAGATGCAGCTGTTAGAAAAAGGAGGCAGGCCCAGGCGCAGAGACTCACTCCTGTAATCCTAGCACTTTGGGAGGCTGAGGCAGGTGGATCACCTGAGGTCAGGAGTTCAAGACCAGCCTGGCCAACATGGTGAAACCCTGTGTCTACTAAAAATATAAAATTAGCTGGGCATGGTGGTGCACGCCTGTAATCCCAGCTACTCGGGAGGCTGAGGCAGGAGAATCACTTGAACCCAGGAGGTGGAGGTTGCAGTGAGCCGAGATGGTGCCACTGCACTCCAGCCTGGGCGACAGAGCGAGACCCTGTCTCAAAAAAAAAAAAAAAAAAAAAAAAAATTATGCTTCCCTACAAGGCTAGGGGTGGAGGAGTAGTTCATATAAGGGTAGTGGTATTATACAAATCTTAAACAATAAGAAAATTACTAGGTTTTCGAGGGCCTGAAAAGAATCTATAAGTTATAAAAAATATATCCAGATCTTCTTTAAATGATTTAAATTCTTACAGTGTTGGGAAGGGTTCAATATGCATAATTTAGGATAAGTCATATTTACAAATCTTCTCTGCAAGCCCCTTCCTATGTGTTAAGAGATGGAGAAATATCAAGTTCATTTGACCCTTTAACCCTAAGAGATGAGTGTTTCATATTTTGAAATATTTTACTAGCTATAATTTCAGATGCAGCTGCTTTTAAAAGAGTGTCTGCTGATTATGAAAAGCTGGGTTTTGAGAATAAGTACTAGAGTAGACTATTTGGAATCCAGGAGTTTTATTTTACTACTTTACATCTGCATTGCATCAGACATGGCGCAAGTTAGCATTCCATTTTTCATGCTTTTGTAGCCCTATTTTAGGTCTGTCTGTGCTCAGAATTGGTTTATATTTTCACCATAATCTATTCATTTGCCTGCACAGCATACAGCTGATAGATTATATGCAATGAGTTTTAAATTCTACACCTATTTCTTTTACTATAGCCTTCTCCCATCATTTGCCAGCCCACATGTGGGAGCATGGAGTAATTTTAATATTAGCCAAATAAAAATTTAATTCAGAAAGCATATCTGCCAAAAGTATCATGTGCAGAGCCTCACAAAGCCTAATATATACATGTATACATGATGGTTTCAATTCCATTATATTTTTGGATAGTGTCAGTATTCCCCTCCACTGGCATGAATAATTAGTGGGAATATCTGTATTTTGAAAATTCAAAAATTTATTCCCTGAAGATACAGACTTGAGGAAAGAAATTTAGCCTACTCAAAACACACCAGAATGTTACCTTGAAAGCAGTTTACATTAATCTTATTCAGAATTAGAAAGTCGATGCAGAATCAGAGAGCTGAAAAAGATGGCCTGCGACATTCTGATTGTATGGTTGGTATTTGACTTTTTTGTTTTTTCTTCCAGAAGCAATGCATGTTCACTATAGAAAATCAGACAATGCCAAAAGGCAACAAGAAGAAAATAGAGAACACTTAAACGCATTACCCAGAGATAACCAACGTAAATGTATTGGTGGATATCCTTAGACGTTCTTCTATGTGACAGAATATATCTATTTATCTTTAAGAAAATAATAGATTGATTCCATTTTCTAAGTGAGCTCGGAAATTTTCTTTTGGCTTTTTTATGACCATGTTATTATTTAATAAAACCTGTCATTGTGGAGACTTAGAAAACATCCTTCCTTTACTTCTTCGGGAATGAGAAATTACACGTAGGCAATTTATTCAACATTTTTCATTATGTCAGCATGATTAGATGCCAAATGGCTGTTTGGAATTTTTGAAGGTATGTTTTTTGGACACTTTGCCAGGGAAATCATAACTCTTAAAATTCTCCAGTAACCCTAACCATACAATTGGAGTTATGGATAGATACTATGTTCCATGTTTTGTTGTTTTCTCACTGTTTCAGTATCTGGGATTAATGCCAAAAACTATTCAGCCTCACTCATTTATTAAATGAGGGTGTCCAACTAAGTTTATACAATAGAGTTTAGAAAAAAAAGAAGACCTTGTTTGTTTATCATTCTAGTTAGGTGTTTTTACATGAGCAAGAAAGAAAAGTATTGTTTCTTAAATTCCTTGATGAACTTGCCTGGTTGAGAAGTAGAGTATCATGGATAACAGAATTAATTACCTGACACCCGAGCCACAAGCAGACATCCTTGCTTATTCCAAACCGTCCTCCACACCGCTGCCAAAGTTGTTTTCTCAAATTCAAATTGATTACTTTCCTTCTTAAAGCCCTGAGTAGCTCCTCTTTACCCGCCCTACAGATTTAATTTATGACTCTTTAGAATGTGAAACAGGCTTTCTGTAATCTGTCAACCCCACTCTTAAATTCTTTACTCCAGTCATATTAAAGTACTTGGAATTCTCTGTTAATGTTGATTTCATACCCCTATACATTTTTTCCTGTTCTCCCCTCTTTTTGGAATGTGCTATCAAACCATGTCAGGTCAAGCATCGCTTCCTCTACAAAACCTTTCCTTACCATCTCCGCTGCCCTACTTTCCCTGCTTGGGGAAAATAGACTCTTTATGCCTCATTGTTTATGCATACATATGAGTAATTGTATCTCACCAGCAGTAACACACTGTTGTACCTCTTGTTTTCACATGTGCTTCTCCTTATTAGACTATAAACTCCATTCACCATCTTTCTGGAGCTGTCATCTTTCATTAGGAACATCGTAATAGCCTTTCAGCTAGTAGCCTGCCCCCCTCCACTGTTACCTGCTTTTGAAGTGATTCTCCCCATCTCCAGAGTAAGTGGGCTCATCAAACTATGCTTCTCTGTGTGAAAGGTGTGGTGGTGGGAACTGGGTGAAATTAGCTCCAGGACACCATTAGCACTTGGTCTAATTTATTTACTACAGTAGGTATCCATGTGCTGAGAGGTTCTCAAGAAGGATGGGGAGTGGGGAAGAGTAGGAGTAAGTGGAGAAAGTAGGGGCTGAGAAACTAGGTGAAGAATCAGAATCAGGTGTAGACAGCCATACGAGTCACAGATCTGAAAAGGTCGAGTTAGCCAGAGTTCAACCAGGGCTGCCAGAACTTGTGTGGTTAGGGTGTGCCAGGCAGTGCCGTTAGGAGCTTCCATGTATTCAAGGGTTGGAGTGGTCATGAAATGAGAAAACGCTGTGCAGTGACAAAAAGTAGTTGCAAAATTCTGAGTTTGGAGCCGAGAGGAACATACACTGTGGGAGATACAACGAGCAGCCTAAGTCAGAGTCTTGTCAAAATCCATTTCATGAAAAGCTGAACTTTCAAAATAGTGTAGTTATATTTGGTGCATTGCAATGCCACATAATTTCCTCCTTGACCACTATATTAAAGGGTTGCTTTCAAACGTCTTCCCCAAATGGTAAACATGATTCCAAGTGGTTTAAGTTCACATTTCTGTCAACAGAAATTTAACTTTTGTGGTTCTGATGGGTGAGAAGTGATAACTCAGGATTACTTTAGTTTGGATCTTTCTGATTACTGTTCAGATCATGCATTTTTTCATGTTTACTGTTTAGATTTGCTTTTCTGAAAATGCCTATTCACACATTCTTTACTCGTTTTTCTGTGGAGTTTTTTTTTTCTTTTTCCTGTAAATTTTTGGTCACTCATTTCATACTATAGGTATTAACCTTTTTCTGATACATCCCAGATATTTCTTGAAGTCTACTGTATAATAAGATTATTCTTTTCTTTATGGTATCTTTGACAATACACATGTTTAAAAAATTATCTTTTCCTTTGCAACTCCCTGGTTTGCTATTTCAGTTGAGAATGTTTTCCTAACCTGTAGTGTATAAATTCATTCTCTTAAATTTTATTCTAACATATTAATTTTTTTACATTTTTGTTTTTAATCCATATGGATTTAACTTTGGATATGGATTAAATAGAGGTCTAGTTTTTTTTCCTCTAGATGGCTATATTAAAATCCCATGTATACTAAGATACATTTTGGCACTCCCCATTTTAAAGATTTATTTTTCTGAGTAATACTAGCCAACACATATCAGTGCATATACTATAGATGTCAAATCCTGTCCTGGGTGCTTTACATACTTTACTTCATTTAATCCTGGCAGCATCATTGTGGGTAAATTCTGTTCCACATGAACTTTAAAATGCCTTTATCAAATTAAAAAGAAACCATTGGAATTATGATTAGAATTACATGAAATTTATATATGGATTTTTTGGAGAATTGACATGCTTTATGTCTTTCAATAATATTTTATTTTCTTCATATGTCTTAAACCTGTCTTGTCAAATTTAGCCTTAAGCATTCTGTACTTTTATCACTATTACAGAAAGAATATAGTCATACGTCTCTTAACAATAGGGATATGTTCCGAGAAATGCAGCATTAGGCGATTTTGTCGTTGTGAAAAATGTCATCGTGTCGTTACACAAACCTAGGTGGGATAGCCTACTAACACCTAGGCTGTATGGTCTAGCCTATTGCTTCTAGGTTACAAACCTGCATGGTATGTTACTGTATGGAATCCTGTAGGCCACTGTAATACAGTGGTGTTTGCTTATTTAAATATATCTAAACATGGAGAAGGAACAGTAAAAATAAAGTGTTTCATTATAATCTTAAGGGACCACCATCATATGTGCAGTCCGTTGTTGACTGAAACATCATCATGTGGCATATGACTGTGTTTTTCCATTCTCACTTCTTTTTGGTTACTGCTGTAACCATTCCTACAGATGCAGTAAGGATGGTATGTGTATTAGTCAGGTTTGTCTAAATTACACTGCAATAACAAGCAACCTGAAAATATCAGTGGCTTATAACAACAAAAAATTTCCTGCTCATACTGCATGCCCATCCCAAGCTGGCTGCAGCTCTGCTTCACATCACCCTTACTCTGGGGCCCAGGCTAATGAAACCATTGCTGTCGGGCACATTGCAGTCTTGTAGTAGAGAGGAGTCAAAGTATAGCATCTACTGGTTCTGAAAGCTCCTGCCAGGAAGTGTCACACATCACTTCCCCCACACTTTATAAGCCAAAGCAAGAAGTGCCCATATCCGACATTGAAGCATCCGGGATGCCTATGTTCTCCACAAGGAAGGGCCCTTCAAGTCACAATGCCAAGCCTGACACCTAAGAAATAACCAGTGAGATAGGATCAGTACTCTTTCAACTTGAAGGGCAGCAAATATTTTGATCACTAATACCATGTATCGCAATATTTTTTTGTTAAGTTGGCGAGATTGAGAAATCCTAGAAAATGACACCTATGCAATAGATGTTTATCTCCATTCAACCATAATTGGTTTTTCTCTTACTTTCAAGTATGCAAGAAGGTGACGCTTTTTCTTGTCTCTTAAATATAGCCAGCCAGGTGCAGTGGGTCATGCCTGTAATCCCAGTACTTTGGGAGGTCAAGGCAGGTGGATCACCTGAAGTCAGGAGTTTGAGACCAGCCTGGCCAACATGGCAAAACCCTGTCTCTACTAAAAAATACAAAACAAAATTAGCCTGGCATGGTGGCAGATGCCTGTAATCCCAGCTACTAGGGAGGTTGAGGCATGAGAATCGCTTGAACCCGGGAGGCGGAAGTTGCATTGAACCGAGATCTCACCACTGCACTCCAGCCTAGAGGATACACCGAGACTCTATCTCCAAAAAAAAAAAAAAAAAAAAAAAATTAGATATAGCCATGTGACTAATCCTGGCCAATGAAAATGTGAGTAGAAGTGATGTGTGTGTTTCATTCCTGCACAGAAGCATTGAGAAGTTGAAGCATGATTCTCCATATCTTCCCTGTCATAGTGATAATAGAAGTATATGCTGATGTAGAAGTACCGAAAGGGTAAAGTAGCTAGAATGTCATCATATAGAAGACAGTGGCTCTGGATGTCATCCAGATAAAGAGTCTGTGGTTTTAAGTCACTGAGACTTAAGGGTTTTTTTGGTTTTACTTCTTTATTACTGTAATATAACCTAGCCTAGCTTTAATCAGGATAGGCTAGGTTATGCTGTAGTAATAATACATATTTAAAATATTTTAACATAAAACATATGTGTGTGTGTATATATATATATTCATTTATCCATAATGTGATGTAGGACAAGGTCCTTCTCTTAAGTATGGGTCTACTGATTTGGAGTACCATGATATCTTTCTTGCATAAACTACATCAATAATGCATCATATACAGTTTTCAGTTTGGATTTCTCTAATGTGGTTCAATAACTTAATAAGACTTGTAGAAAAATGCAAATACAAAATCTTAAAATTTTCTCCTTATGCTTTACAATTGTTATGCCCAAACCAACAGCATTTTTTTGCAACCTGTCTTTATTGAACCTTTCTAAAGCAGACAACAGCTTCCATGAAAACAAAAATTCATTCTTATCACATTATTATGTGTTGGCTTCAGTAGTATTTGTTCAAGTTACTTGGTTTATAATAACAGTACAACTGTCATAAAAATGTTTAGGAGCAAGCACAACTAGAAATTGGTAAACAAACAACTCATCTGGTAAAAGTGGAGTACATGGTTATGTAAGCGAGTAGCTCACAAGTTGAGTGCATTTTTTCTGCCATAAGCAATAGTCTGTAGGTTTCACAGATGACATTGAGAGCTTGTGTAAACCCCAAGAGTTATTTAGATAGAAGCAAACGAAGAGAACATATGGAGAACAATGTACACACGTATGTATATTCACATATTTATGTATCTTTGTGTATTTATCTTGTGTCCAGCCATGTTAATTAAACAGATATGTTCTTTTTAAAAGCATATCTTAGAGCTTCTAAGTATGTTGGCATATTATCAGCAAAAAGATAATTTAATCTCTTCTTTCCCAAATTTATATTATTTTCTTTCCTTATCTTACTGTACCTGCTAAAACCTCCAAAATAATGTTGAATAAATAATGGTGATAGTGAATGTCCCAGTTTTTTTCCTGATTTCAGTGTAAGTATATTTAGTGTTTCACTCTTTGGGACGATATATGTTATTAGTTTTTTGGTAAGGTCTTTAATATTTTAGGTGGTAACTTTCTGTGGCAGAGACTGGCTAGATGCTCACCCATACATTTTCCTTTTCTCCTGAGAACAGAGATCAACTACATTTTCCAGTCTTGCTTATGGTTATGTAGACCCAACCTAACTGAATTTTGATCAGAAGAATGTGGGTGGAAAAAAGAGATTATGTTTCCAGTACTAACCCTGAGCCTCCCACACTCTCCACACTGCCTTCCTTTCTCTACCAGTCAGATGCAGAGGACTTGGGACATCTTTCTAGAAGATGGAAGAACTACTGATGGAAAGAGCCCAGGTCTTTGAATGACTGTGGGTAGGAGAGCTCCATTGTTGTCCCACACTGGATTATGACATGAGGAAAAATAACTTACTGTGTCAAGCCAATAAAGTTTGGGGCTCTTTGTAGGACAAGTTAGCTTCTGCTGACTAAAACATCTAGTCAGATGTTACAGAGAGTTTTTAATTGGGATGACTGCTCAACTTTTTCAAATGCCTTTTAATCATCTATTTATATAATCACTATTTTTCCCCCGCTAATTTGCTGGCATGATGAATTATGTTGACAGGTTTCTTAATATTGAAATCATACCTGTATTCCTAGACTAACCCCACTTGTTTATATTTTTTTATTTTGAAATATTGTTTCTTAAAATTGTATCCAGAATTTTTGCAGTTATAGTCTTAAGTGAGGTCATTCTATATTTTCCTTTGTTATACTATTTTTAATCAGATATTCAGATTAATATTTTGCTGACTTTATACAATTAAATGTGGAGCTTTCTGTCTTTTTCTATGGTCTAGAATGATTTGATTTTAAAAACATTGAACCAGGTGTAGTGGCTTAGTCTGTAATCCCAGCTATTTGGGAAGCTGAGGCAGAAGGATCAATTGAGTCCAAAAGTTAAAGACCAGACTGGGCAACACAGCACAACCCCATCTCTAAAAAATATTTTTGTTGGATTTATTTCTAGATATTTTACATTTTGTGTTATTGTATCCCCTTAAAATTAGGTTTTGTATCTGTCTTGTGTTAATAGAAATGCAATCGACTTTTGCCTGTTGATTTTATGTCTAGCAATCCTGCAAAATTTTTAATTTTCTTATAATTTGTAGCAGACTCTTTGAGTTACCCATGTAGAGAATTATTGAATTTATAAAGTATGACAATTTTATTTTTTCCTGAGTATTCTTTGTGTTTTGTTGTTATTGTTGTTATTGTTTTTGATATTCTGCAATGGCTAGAACTCCAACACAAAGTTATTAGGAGTGATGCTAATTTATCTGTCTTATATCCTTTTAAAGGGAATGCTTTTAACTTTTTTTTTTTTTTTTTTTTTTTTTTACTGTGGAGAATTACATTTGCCAGAGATTTATTTTTGCAGATACCGTTTATTAGGTAGGCTAAGGACGTTCTTTTCTACCCTTTTTGGATGAGAGTTGTTTGTTTTCATTATAAGTGGCTTGTTAAAATTTATTGAATGTTTTTTCTGCCTCTTTTGAAATGACTATATGATTTTTCTATTTTAATCTGTTGATGTGGTCAGTTACATTAATAAATTGTCTAATGGTGCAGTAACCTTACATTCCGGGAATAAACCCTATTGATCATTATCTGGATATGGTTGCTAATATTTTGTTTAAGATTTTTATCCATAATCAAGAGTGGAGTTAGACTGTAATTTTTTTCTTCTGTGGTTTTTGTATGAAGTTATATTAGTCTCATAAAATGAGTTAGGAGATGTTCCTTATTTTATACTCTCTGAAAGAGTTTAGGATTGGAATTATCTGCCTTTGGATCCCGGTAAACTTGCCTATAAAACTACTTGGACCTGGACCTGGTGTTTGTTTTTTTTTGTTGTTGTTGTTGTTGTTGGTTTGTTTCTGAGTCTCGCTCTTTTCGCCTGTGCTGGAGTGCAGTGGTGTGATCTCAGCTCACTGCAACCTCCGCCTCCCAGGTTCAAGGGATTCTCCTGCCTCGGCCTCTTGAGTAACTGGGATTACAGGCGCCTGCCACCATGCCTGACTAATTTTTCTATTTTTAGTAAAGATGGGTTTCACCATGTTGGCCAGGCTTGTCTCCAACTCCTGACTGCAGGTGAGCTGCCTGCCTCGGCCTCCCAAAGTGTTGGGATTACAGGCGTGAGCCACCTCGCCTGGCTCGTTTTCTTTGTGGGAATCAACTACTGACCGTATTTCATTAATGATTATAGGCTTTTGTTATTTTTATTGCTGGCACTCCCAGTGCCATGCCATTAATTCTCTGGGAGATTTGTTTTTGGAGGGAGACACTGTGAAAAATGTATTTATTTTGTTAGGACAAAAGTCATGCAAATGCAGGAAACTAATTCTAGTAATTAACAGATATGGAGAGTTTATGTGCACGTATACAAATGCCTCTTTTGTTTGAATGCCTGGGTATAGCAGCCATTGAAAGGTCAGCAGTTCTGTTAAAGACTTTGGAGGAGGGCTTGACTCCAAATGCTCATTTCCATTTTGTCTTCATAAATCTGGACACTGTATTCAAGTAGTCTACACTTGATATTTGAAAAATAACATCCTAACTAGTCACTTCAAACACAACCTAATACTTGAATAGCATTTTGTTTGTTTGTTTTGAGACAAGAGTCTTGCCCTGTCACCCAGGCTAGAGTACAGTGGCGCAATCATAGCTCACTGTAACCTCGAATTCCTGCTCAAGTATCCTCCCGCCTCAGCCTCCTGAGTAGCTAGGACTATAGGTGCATGCCACCACACTGGGCCTTTTTGGGTTTTTTTGTTTTTTTTTTTTGAGACAGAGTCTCACTCTGTTACCCAGACTGGAGTGCAGTTGCTCTGTTGTAGCTCACTGTAGCCTTGACTTCCCAAGCTCCAGTGATCCTTCCATCTCAGCCTCTTGAGTAGTTGGGACTATAGGCGCATGCCACCACAACCGGCTAAGTTTTTGTTTCTTGTAGAGACAGGTTTCGCCGTGTTGCCCAGGCTGGTCTTGAACTCCTGTCCTCAAGTTATCCTCCCACCTTGGCCTCCGAAAGTGCTGGGATTACAGGCATGAGCCATTGTGCCTGGCGTTGAACAGCAGTTTAGATTCACAAAATGCTTTCATGTGTATTAACTCATTATTTTTTGTTGCACTTGTCAATAGTTCCCCTTTTTTTGGTAGTGAATAACTATTCATTGGTTCAGCAAATATTTACAAACTGAAGTGTTTACTGTGTTAGTTTCTTGGAGCACAATGCTCGCCAGACATGGTTCCCGTCCTCGTGGAGTTTCAGCCTTGGAGGAGCACACCTTAATCAAATGATAAAGTAAACCGAAATAAAACTGCAGCTTTGCAGGTGCCACAGAAGAGAAATAAATGGTCCTCATAGAGGAGTCAGTGAGGTCAGAAGGCTTCTCTGATCTGATGAGTAGAAGTTAACTGAGTGAAAAAGGAGTGAGAATAGATACAGGCAAAGGTCCTGTGATATGAGGGTGCCTGGTGACTATGCGGGACTAGAAGAAAGCCAGTGTGGCCGCATCAGAAAAGCAAGGCTGTTTGAGGTTGGCAACGGTCCCGAACACGCAGGGTCTTGCAGGTAGAGGGGCCAGAAGAACAGTGAGGAGGCTGCAACAGAGGACAGTAGCTTGAGGATGGGGATTTGACAGCAACTCAGAAGTCAATGACAAGATTTGGTGATGAATTGGCCATAGGGAATTATGAGAATGATGTCAAAGGATGACTGTTTTACTTTTTGTTTTTTGTTTTTTGTTTTGAGACGGAGTCTCGCTGACTCCCAGGCTGGAGTACGGTGGCGCGATCTTGGCTCACTGCAGGCTCCGCCTCCCGGGTTCACGGCATTCTCCTGCCTCAGCCTCCCGAGTAGCTGGGACTACAGGTGCCCGCCACCACGCCCGGCCAATTTTTTGTATTTTTAGTAGAGACAGGGTTTCACCGCGTTAGCCAGTATGGTCTTGATCTCCTGACCTCGTGATCCACCTGCCTCGGCCTCCCAAAGTGCTGGGATTACAGGCATGAGCCACCGCGCCCGGCCTTGGTTTTTTTTTTAGAAACAGGGTCTTGTTCTGTTGCCTCGGCTGGAATGCAGTGGTGCAATCACGGCTCACTTTAACTTCGAACTCCTGGGCTCAAGTGATCCTCCTGCCTCAGCTTCCCAAGTAGCTGGTATCATGTCCAGCTAATTTTTAATTTTTTTTTTTTTTGTAGAGATGAGGTCTTGCTATGTTGCTCAGGCTGGTCTTGAGCTCCTGGCCTCAAGCAGTCCTCTTGCCTTGGCCTCTCAAAGTGCTGGGATTACAGGTGTGAGCCACCACACATGGCCAAGGATGACTGAAGTTTCTAATTTGTGCATTAATGGGTGTAGTGGCATTTCCTTAGATATGGAACACGGGAAAGGTACCAGGTTTGGGGGAGTCAATATGAGTTCTTACTTTAGACATGTTGAGTTTGCACCTTTGAGGTATTCAAAAGGAAATCTCAAGTAGACTGCTGAAAGACAGGCTTGGTGTCTGGAGGAGATACATAAATGAGACATCAGCATAGAGGCATTAACCAAAGCCTTGGGCATGGGGAAGTTCCTGCAAAGAAAAAGATACTTTAAGAATAGGAAAGAAACAGGAAGGAGCTAAAAGGAAAGTAGCTATCACTGAGCAGCACTTCAGAGTTCTCCACTGAAAAAAATCCCTAAAAACAGAAGAAGGTGGATATTAACAGAGGGCGAGGAAGGAGGGGCAGTAGTTGGGCATGATTCAAAACTGTTGACTGCTAGCACAAAATTTACACATATTTTACATTTCAGGAATGCCTAATAGATCCTTGTTTGGTTTCATCAACAACAGAAAACAAAACTTCAGCCAGGCACGGTGGCTCAAGCCTGTAATCCCAGCACTTTGGGAGGCCAAGGCGGGAGGATTACGAGGTCAGGAGTTCGAGACCAGCCTGGCCAACATGGTGAAACCCCGTCTCTACTAAAAATACAAAAATTAGCTGGGTGTGGTGGCACGTGCCTGTAATCCCAGCTACTCAGGAGGCTGAGGCAGGAGAACTGCTTGAACCAGGACCCGGGAGGTGGAGGTTGCGGGTGAGCCGAGATCACGCCATTGCAGATCCAGCCATTGCAACAAGAATGAAACTCTGTCTCAAAAAAAAAAAAAAAAAATCAAACAAAACAAAACTTTAAGGTTATTTACCCTCAAATGAAATTGATACTCTAAGAAGATATTTATCTTCTGGCTATATACATCCCTGACACAATCCTGAATTCTTCTAGGTATGGGTATAAATACTCCATTTTAAGGATCAAGAAGATACAATTCTTTTTAGGAGCCAGGAAATCGTAAACCAGAGAGGCTAAGAGACTGACAAAAATTGCCCATCAAATCAGCAGTAGGATCTTGACAGAGCCTGAGTTTCATGATTCCTAACCAGTGTTCCACTTTTATCAACAAACATCAAATATCAAACACAGGTTGATAATCAATATTTCTCAAATACCTGCTAAGGTACCAGGTAGTGTGTCTTCTACCGTGCCACAGCCATGTCAGACTTAAATGGAGTTTCATGACCCACTGATACAGTCTAAGACGTGAAATACAAGATTCTTGTATTGTTAAGGTTTGTATGCACTCACTGAGACAGATCATTCATTCTTAGGAAGAGGCAAGACATGAAAATCAAGATGAATTGGGAGATCTGGCTTAAAGGAGTTGCAGATGTAAGTGCAGAGAGGGAGGAAGGTGAGGAGAGAGACAGAATGGCTATAAAAGTAGCCAGTTCCCTTTACTTTCCTCCTTCTCTCTCTCAAACAGCTCAGTTGTCTTTTAAAAGTAGGTATGTCTTTTGAAAAGAAGCCATCTGCAAGTGAGCTTGAGGGTAGGTGGACCATTGATTGCCTCTGGAAAGCTCTTGTGTCTGTGGCTAACTGCAGCTGGGAATACAAGATCACTATAAAGGTGCTGAGATAAAACATGATCATGTCCCTCACTAAGACATTGTAGTGCCAGCGTGCTAGGTAAGCTCTGAAAGCCTATGCCAACTCTCCTCTTTCCCCATCTCATGGATGCACTTTCCACAGAACTCAGAGAGCTGGGCTACTATAGAGGCTTTCAAAAACCCAAAGAGGCCAGGCACAGTGGCTCACACCTGTAATTCCAGTACTTTGGGAGGCCGAGGTGGGAGGATTGCTTGAGTCCAGGAGTTTGAGACCAGCCTGGGCAAGATAGATCTTGTCTCTACAAAAAATTAAAAAATTAGCTGAGCATAGTGGTGCATACCTGTAGTCCCAGCTACTTGAGAGGCTGAGGCGATAGGATTGCTTGAGCCCAGGAGGCTGAGGTTGCAATGAGCTATGATTGCACCACTGCATTCCAGCCTGGACAACAGAGCAAGGCCCTGTTTCAAAACACAAACAAAAATCCAAAGAGACTTGAAAGGTTTGTTAATCGTGTTGACCACTGCTGGGTTTTCCCCTCCAGTGTAGGGAATACCCTTCAAGTTTCGCAAAGAAAGAGGCATTCTCATGGCCAGGGCAGTCACTGCAGGCTTAACAGTGTTTCTACAGTAAAGATATGGTGATTTAGAAACTTGAAGTCTGGCTTGGGGTTTGAGGGCTGGTTCTGCTATTGGTCAGGTTCCCAGCAGTGCCTATAACTGAAGCTGGCATGAGAGGACGGTCCTCTTCCCCCTGGTCCAGCTACCTCACAATACCTGACTGCTGTCGCCCAGTGTTCTTCATAGGTCAAAATGTCACACACATTTGATGACAATTCATGGAGTCGTGTCTTCAAACAGGTGAAAGAGAGCCTAGCGGGGCATTACCTCAGTAAGCGTTTCTGTCGTGAGGAGGGCTGCAGCTTGTCCTGCTGTTGAGGAGAGAGGCTGCCTGTGGGGAATTTGGATTTCCTTCTTCTTCCACTACGTCCCTGGTCATTAAAATGGGGGATCTCCACAGAGTTAAAGGTTATTTTACACAGGAAGCACATTCAGTATTAGTACAACAAATGTTTTCCTTTCTCCAGCCATGGAAGGACTCCACTCACAGGGAGTTGTGATAAATCAGAGCTTCAGGCCTTTCCGCTCGGATACCAATAAGTCCTGCACTTAAGAATTGCTGACCTAAAAAGGATACTCAACAACGAGCATGTCTTTTTTTTTTCTTTTAAAGAAAGCAACACCAGAAGCAGTCTGATTTCCTTGTACACTTAGATGCGTAAAAAAAAATAAAAATGAGTCACTCCGAGTTTCTAACTTTAGTTCATAGAAACAAAGCACTAAATCATATAACTTGTCAGGAAAGACCTAGATATAGTCCTATCTAGATAATGTTCATATTAAAAGAAGCTAGAATTCTATTTTTGTGGTCGAGTTATGGGATTGGAGCTATGACTGTCTACTTACTAATAATTCGGCAGGTCAGGATGTAACTGTAAAGAACATCCCAACAGAGATATCATAAAACCATCTCCATAGCACAATCTGCCCTCATACTGAATCAGCCGCACTTCAGATCAAAGCTTGTCCTTTACGTCCAGAACTGACAAGGAACTATGAAATCAATGCTGGGAAAACACTCATAAACTCAGTCTAAATATTAATGTTAACCATGCTGTGGAGGAAATGAAGGATTTTCTAAAATTATCTTTTCAGTTCAATAAAAATCTATATATAAAATTATTGAATAGATAATAAATTAGAGCTTTCATACATTCTCATAGAAACCCAAATCTTTCTTCAAACTAAATTCTTTTAGATGCCTGACATAACAGAATTAGTCTAAATAAATCACTATTCCTGTTTTCTGACTCCTCCCTTAGAAAGTAGTGGTCTCCTACTGTGATTTTTTTTTTTTTTTTTTGAAATGGAGTCTCGCTCTGTCACCCAGGCTGGAGTGCAATGGTGCAATCTCGGCTCACTGCAACCCCCACCTCCGGGCTCAAGCCATTCTTCTGCCTCGGCCTCTCGAGTAGCCGGGACTACAGGCATGCGCCACCACACCAGCTAATTTTTGTATTTTTAGTAGAGACAGGGTTTCACCATATTGGCCAGACTGGTTTCAAACTCCTGACCTCAAGTGATTCGCCCATCTCAGCCTCCCAAAGTGCTGGGATTACAGGCATGAGCCACTGCCTCCAGCCCTCTGATACTTTAAAATCTTTTATTATCTCAAATACACATGCACTACCTTTCCCACCATTCTTATGAGCATGTAATTATGGAATGCTACTCAAGAATCACAAGCAATTATTGATAGCAAAATTATGAAACAATTTTTAAAACAACAACAATTGAGCTACCTCATGTCACCACTCTGCCATACTGCCTCCCATTAAAGTAAATTAAGCAAAACAAAATAATTTGCTGGTTCAATACAATCCAAAGCCATGATCTGGGGATCTGGGGAGTATCTGGTATTTTAGAATCTTTGCATTACCCAACCATGAGAGGTTTTTGGGTTTTTCTGGTAAGATTTCCTGAAATCATGGAATATCATTTATCACGCACTGTAATTTCCTTTAGCCGGATTTCATTAGAGTCTTAAAGAATGATAGGTTCTGCATGCATATTTTGTCATTTCTATATGGATGAGGGTCACTCTGTTTCATGACCTTCTTCCATCTTTTGCCCTCACAACATGAGCTGTAGACTGCTTACAAACATGCATGCTGGTGAGAACAGCCATGTAATCCCATGAGCTGATAACAGAAAGGAAGCGAGTTGAAAAGAGAAGTGGTGTTTGATTTCCCTCAACTGCTGCAGAAAGTCTTTTAGGTTCCTTGTAATTGATTTAAGGACTTGGACATATGTCCTTTTTTATTATAACAAGTTATTATTTGATGGATTCTATCTGAGTCCTGTGCCGAGCTCCTTACACATGTTCAATCCTCACAACAACCTTTCAAGTGAAGGACTACTAATATTTGCCATTTTGCAAATGAGCAAATTAGGCTTACAAAGCTTCATTAATCTGCTCAGATCACATAAGTAAGTGAGAGTCAGTTTATCTGATTCTAGAGCTCAAGCTCTTAAAAACTTTACTATACTGCCTGGGTAGAGAACCCACAAACGATGAGGTGAAAACAAAACAAAAACCAGAAATCATGATCTAGCCATGTGCAAAATAAATATTTGTTGAAGTTTTTATAAAAAACAGCAAACATTTTGAAGCTATTTCGAGGTAGCACAAGACAAGAACTGTTATTTCTCTTTGCAGGACTATATAGGGCCCATATGATAGCTGTAGATGGAAATGACCAGATATTACATCATCCAAAGTTGCTTTGCTTTATGCAAACAGCCCCGTAAAGAAAGGGACCACCATTATACAAACCCATCTCTTATAGGCCACTGCAGATTAGATTGGACTGAGGGTACATTTTCATCTTGTCCTATTCTGACATAGCAGTCCATCACTGACTTAATTAATATCACTGACTTTAAAAAAAAAAAAAACCCAAATCTGGAAATATTTAGAGGGAAAGAGAGCTTTTATTCTTGAAAAGCCTGTTTCTTCTCTTCTTTATTAAAGGTGGCATTAAAATCAGCTTAAGCCTGGGTGTGGTGGCTCATGCCTGTAATCCCAGCACTTTGGGAGGCCAAGGCAGGGGGACTGCTTGAGGCCAAGAGTTTGAGACTAGCCTGATCAACATAGTGAGACCCTGTCTCTACAAAAAATTAAAACAAACAAATCCCACTCAACATGAGAGGGGGTGGAACTTGGTAGCACTGGCACTCAGTATAATTCATTCCCGCTCAGTGCTGCACTAATTACTTACTACCCGTACACAGAATAAGGCAAAACCCAAGGTAGTGTCTATTTCCCCTCTAATTTTAAGTAAGACTGAAAGACATGGTCAGAAATGCCATTGGCTTGAATCCTATACTATCTTTAATCAAATGTCAGCATTCCATTTTTCTAAATGCGCAGTCAATGTTTTTAGTATCAATAAGCAAGTTTCCCACTCTATGAATGAGGTAGAGGAAGCCTTTATCTAGGTGGGGGTGGGGCAACAAAAATGCCTAGGCTCCTTCAATAGCAATCTGAATCCCCTAAAGTGAAAGTACTTGCTATTTGTCTTTAGCAAATAAAACAAACAGCAATCTTTTGATCTTTAGGAAGCCCTTTCTTGTTAAGGTAACATTCTGTCTGACTTTTATGTTTCAGCATTCATTGTATATTTAATTATTTTAAAAAGTTTTGTTTTAAACTATTAAACTTTTTCAGCATTTAAGATAAACATGGACATGCTTTGTTAAAGACCAAAAATAAGTTTCACACGAAACTGCAAAGTGTAGCAAAGATAATACCACATGAGGTCGGTATGTTCCAAAACATGATTCTCAGGGGACCCCCCTCTGAACACACTGCTTCATTAGAATTCTTGTTCTGAAAAGCTTCAGGAAGCCCCTGACTCTAACCCACCCTTTCCTGAAACTGGTGAAAGTATGAAAAAAAAAAAAAAAAAAGGAATTAACAGTAAAGTGGAAAAAGAAGCAGAATCTCAAATCAAGGAGGCGTGTTTTGTCTGTATTCAGACTGCTACTATTTTCAAAAATATATTGATGCTAACCTTGTCATAGCTTAATTAATTAATTTATTTATTTATTTATTTTGAGACAAGGTCTCACTCTGTTGTCCAAGCTGTAGTGCAGTGGTACAATCATGGCTTACTGCAACCTTGAATTCCTAGGCTCAAGTGATCCTCCCGCCTCAGCCTCCCAAGTAGCTGGGAATATAGGCATGTGCCTCCACACCCGGCTCATTTTTTTTTTTTTTTGTATTTTTTGTAAAGACATGATTTTGCCATGTTGCCCAGGCTGGTCTTGAACCCCTGGGCTCAAGCGACCCTCCTGCCTTAGCCTCCCAAAGTGTTGGGATTACAGGCGTGAGCCACCGTGCCCGGCCTAATTTTGTAATAGCTTTCAAACAGGAGCACACTGGGATAACAATTAGAAAAAATAAATAAATTTACATGTCTCCATGGGAATGCTATCAAACAACTGTTTTTAATATGAATTGAGAAAAATGAGTAGATCCTGTTTTTATATTGAAAATATCATCTCATTTCAGACTATTGAACTTTGGTTGTGATCTTTTATAAATACGGGTTTCCTTTTGGAAACATCAAAATAAAGATAGAAACGGGTTTCCCTTGGTGATTCATTTTTCAGGTGTATTCCTCAGATGCTCATTTGTTCTTCCGTTTTATTCTTTCTTTCTATTCTAGTACATTTCCTCTTTCTGCGGTTGGGAGAGTCACCTGCCCTGGTGGTTTTGAAATGCTCCTGCAGTTCTTGGAGCAGACAGTGGGTGGTGATAAGAAGCCATGCCTCCAAGCCAGCCATTCTTTCTGGAAGTTCCAGGTCAGAATCGTGAGTGGTCTGATGTAATGGGACAGGGGGCGAATGCTGCCTAGCAGAGAAAGACAGGCTGAAAATCAGAAAACGTGACTGTACTCCTCCCTCAGCTACCCACATTTATGACGAGGACCCAGCTTCTTTACTTTCTAATGGAAAACAGTTCTACCGCAGTTCAGCAATACCACCCCAATTGGAGGAATCAAATCTTTAGACCCAGTGCCAAAAGATTTGACCTACTCAATGCCTATGACGTTACAACTCCTATCATGGCAGTGTTGTCTGCTAAAACTAAACGAAAATGCACGTATGTGAATTCAACAAAATTCAAACAGTGGTTTTAAAAAGTATAGAATTACAAGAGTCCTTTTACAGATTCAATTCTAGCCTTAGATTCCTGCAAGGAAATATTTTCCAAAGGGAATAAAGAAATAGAAACGTTTTCTAGGTTTTCTTTAAGAGAACACTTAGAAAATGGATTACCCAAATATGTAAATGGAGCTATAACTATGGCATTTAACCCAGAGTGCAATGTGATAAGCCATCAGAAAGGAATGCAATCTGGGTTCACTGGAATGATGTGAGGTTTATTAGTTATCCTTTCCCAGGACCAAAAATTAGCAATTGGTTTGGCCTAAATGAAATTGTTGCTATTTGAACAGGATTGTGGGAATAAGAAAAACCTTAGAAAGCTACAAATTTCATCACCTCATGGTTCTGACATTGGGCCATTGCACAGTCTGTGAAAAGTAGCAGTAAAAGCAAATGAATTCAAAGCTAAATCTTAAAAAAAAAACACCAAGTAGAATTATATAATCTTGGAATTAGAGATCCTGTGCTCTGACCTCTCTCCAAAAGCAAAAATCCCTAGAAGAACTTCTCTAAAAGATGACCTTCTAGGCATTTTCTGAAACACTTTGAGTAAAGAAGTTCTAACGACTTTTTAGAATACTTCGTTCCATTCTTGAACTCTCAATTTCAGCATTTTTAAAAACTACGGTACAGACCCTGAGATATATAGAATTATTCTTGGAGGTACAAGAGTTTCATACAAGATCTAGAAATAGTTGTCTTTTCATGTGGACAATAATCTAAAAAGAACTAATACATAAGAACTTTATGGTGACCACTTTCTTAAAAATTAGTAGACTTCTTCTTTTCCTGAGCGGTTTTAGGTTTACAGAGACATTGAACAAAAAGCACAGAGAATTCTCATATACCCCCTGGCCCTCCATCCCTAATTTCCTCTCCCCCACACTTTTTTTTTTCCTTTTTAGACATGAGGTCTTAACACGTTGCCTAGGCTGGAGTGCAGTGGCAGTTCACACTCCAGCCTCAAATTCCTGGGCTTAAGCAATCCTCCTGCCTCAGCCTCCTGAGTAACTAGGACTACAGGTGCACGCTACTATGCCTGGCTTCCAATTTCTTCTACTTTTAGCATCTGACATTAGTGTTGTACATTTGTCACAATTGGTGAGCCAAAATTGATACAACATCATTAACTAAAGTTCAGCCTTCCCATTAGGGTTCACCCTGATTGTATTTTCTATGAGTTTTGGCGAATGTAGTAATCACTTTTTATCTGAGGGCTACCAGAAGGTATCTTTCAGTGCTCATTTTTGTTTATGTGTTAGGAGAGTAGATCCACTTTAATTGGGAGTGAATTAAAAAAGAACAGAATTGGTCCTAATAGGTAACCATGATGTCAATTTTAGTGAAGGAAAGTAACCTTATAGCATACTTCATAAATGAAGATTTCTCTATGGTTCAGAAAAAGAAATGTGTTTGGTTTGTGTTATCACAATTCACACGGCGGTCTACAACTGCCCAAGGCAAAAGCCATCGATACCATATTCATGCTCTGAATGACGATTTTGCTTCAGCAAAACATCATCTCTCCCATTAAAAGAAGGTTGTTTATTTAAATATTGTTGACATTGTAGCTTTGCTTGTCTTTAATGTATACATTTATACATTCAGTTTACAAACTTAATTTGTAAATGTGTATAACTGTAAGCATAAGAACTTTATACCTAGTTGTATGTTTGTCCATAACTAAGAACTGTTATAGAAAAACAATTCGTAAACCCTGGAAATTTGCGAGAATTTTTTCTATTAGGGAGTCTGTACATGACTCAGGTTTAAGAAACAGTGTCCTAAGCGTTAGACAGTTTTCCCCCTATTTGGGGTACAATACTGCCTCCCTGTAATTTGCACACACTTATCCTGGCTCTGCCCTCTGAAATCTAATCCTTCTTCTATACAAAGCCCTCTAAAGAGTATTTGAATGTAACAATTGCTCAGTTTGGAGCTTTCTCTTTTACATTTTAAAGGGATGAAACAGATTAATATAGGTTGAATTATGTATAATTTTCTGGAGACTGGTTATAACCCTTCCTTCCTCCTTTTCCACTAATTGTTACACACCAGGGTATTGAGAGCTGAGGGTAAGGTTTGCTTCTCTAACTTACCAACCCACCCCAAAACGGAAACAAGGTCAGCCTGGCCTGATTTGCACTTAGTGAATTCACGTTGACTCTTCAGTCTTCTTGGATTTCTTTTCTGAACGTCCACAGTCATGTTCAGGAGAGGTTGAGCTGAAGAGTTTATAGTTTCTGTAATACAGCCCTCTCCCATTTGAAACCTGGGAGAATGTTTTCCTATAAGCAGTGTTCTGGAAACTGTCATCCTGTATGATTTCTCAAAGAGAACTGAGGGTGCGTTCTCGAGTAAATCCTCAGGGATTTTGTTCCAAGTACTATAGCTGGGGTTACTAGGGCCTCAGGTGAAACTGTATATATGAAATATGTATTTATATGTAAATGTATATATGTAAATATATGTATAGATTTATATAAATGTATATATAAATATATGTATATATGCAAATATATGTATATATTTATATAAATGTAAATATAAATGTACATATATTTATACAAATGTATATATAAATGTATGTATATTTATATAAATGCATATATAAATGTATGTATATTTATATAATGTATATGTAAATATATGTGCGTATTTATATAAATGTATATGTAAATATATGTGCGTATTTATATAAATGTATATGTAAATACATGTGCATATTTATATAAATGTATATGTAAATACATGTGCATATTTATATAAATGTATATATAAATATATGTGTATATTTATATAAATGTATATATGTGTATATTTATATAAATGTATATATAAATGTGTATATATAAATGTATATATAAATATGTGTATTTATATATACACATATATTTATACAAATATATACATATATTTATATATAAACACATGAAATATATATTGTTTGTTTATTTGTTTACTTGTTTGTTTACAAGCTACTTACTCTACGGTAGTGGTGCTGGCTGGTACTCTATGAGTGGTGCTGGCTGGGGAGGACTGTGTCCCTAATAACAAAAAGGGCGTGGTGGCTCGTGCCTGTAATCCAGCTACTCAGGAGGCTGAGGCGGGAGGATCCCGTGAGGCCAGGAGGTCAAGGCCAAGTGTGAGGAACCTAACGACCCAGTCTCTAATAAATACATAAATAAAAATAACAGAGTTAAGGAGTCCTTGCCTGGAATCTCTGATGCTCCAGTTGAGGATGCAGCTTTCAGAGTTGAGGCCAAAGTATGTGACAGCTAAAGGTCCCGTGGAATTGGGAGAGGGGTGAGCTGATCACTAAAACAGAAAATAAAAATGCTCTGTCAAGAGAACCCGTATTTCTAGCCTGGAAGTTTACAGTGTGTGTTAGGCCCAAAAATAAGGATCAAAGGTAAAGACTAAAGAAACGAAAGTCAGTGACTTGAAGAGTTGAGAGCAGGTTGGGGTGAGGTTTGAGGAAATGTTTCTTCAAGTAAGAAGCTAGGGACTGAGTACGTGGAAGGAAAACCTGTCCTGGAGCACCGTTTAATATGGGGCACCCGGCAGAGGGTGAAGGGTGTATGGGGGGCGTATGCATGTGTGCGTGCACAACACAGAGTGGAAATGGAGGGAAAGCAATTTGCACATAAACTAACACTATACAATCTAGCCTTAAAAGAGGAGGAAAGGCCGGGTGCGATGGCTCACGCCTATAATCCCAGCACTTGGGAGGCCAAGGCAGGTGGATCACCTGAGGTCAGAAGTTCGAGACCAGCCTGGCCCACATGGTGAAACCCTGTCTCTACTAAAAATGCAGAAAATTTAGCCAGGCATGGTGGTGGGCGCCTGCAGTCCCAGCTGCTCGCAAGGCTGAGGCAGGATAATTGCTTGAACCCAGGTGGTGGAGGTTGTGGTGAGCCGAGATCATGCCATTGCACTCCAGCCTGGGCAACAAGAGCGAAACTCTGTCTCAAAAAAAAAAAAAAAAAGAAAAGAAAAAAGAAAAAACCATTCTTACCTGCTACCTTTTCAGTAGTGTGACTTTGACTAATGTTTAGAATGAACGATGAGGCCCTTAAGGGGCAACTAGTAATTTTGATCATCCAAAGCCAGGAGGTCATTCCTGCTGCTCATGAGTAAGGCTATGTGAAAAAGCCAATGTCTCCCAAGGCCAGCCTTTGCTAATGCAGGGATAATGCTTAGATATGCTTTGGGTTACATGAAGACAAGCCTGCATAGTCTGACTATAACACAGCAGCATGGATCTTGGAGCCAGACGAGCCTGGATAAGAGTCCTTGTTCCAACATCTACTAGCCATGTGACCTTGAGAACCTCTGTTCCAGGGCTTCCTTCTCAGTCAAACAGGATGATAATAATACACTTAGCTCTTGGGGTTGTTGTGAGAATGATATGAGTTAACACATAAAGTACTTAAAGAATGGCCCGTGGAAACTGTTATGTTGTGTAAGAATTATTATTTTTGAATTTGGCAGTGCCTAACTATGAAGGAGGCTGGGAACATGAGTATGTGGCACAGAAGAATGGAATGACAGCAAGTGACTCAAGCCCAGCATCCCCTGGAATTTCTCAGACCTGATTCCCTAGGAACAGGGTCTCTCCACCTGGCATCTGCACCAAACTTGTGTCAGCAAGGAAGAAGGGGAAGGGTGGAAATGGTTGTAGAAGAAGCTGCAGACTGGTCTGCTACATACCTTGATTTATAGGTGGGGCACAGAGACACACGGAAGCCTCCTCCAGATGACAGAGCTGTTTAGTGGTTAACCATAGCAAAATCCCGGGCTCTTGCTTCATTATTACTTCTCGGCACAAAATGATGGGATAGCTATCTATGTGCTTCTCAACTATCACGGCCCTGATGCAAAGTTTTGATATACAAAATTTATAGACCTTAAAAATTCTGAAGAGTAAAGTACAGCTATTGCATGATCACAGACCAGCAATTAAAGTGTCCTCCTAAATAACAGAGCACATGTTGCATAGGCCACTTGCTCTGAATTCTCAGGGTGCATGATTCTCACTCACCTGTGGTATTCTGCTTGGCTCGTAGGACTGGAAGACTTCCAATATCTTTAAAAACATATGACATTTCCAGTCCCTGGTATACAGCTCCTGCTTTTAGAGTCTGGATCGAAAAGAGTTAGCTATTTCTTGCCAACTCACTCATTCCATTTTGAAACGACCTAAATATCCAGTATTATAATTAATTAAATTATGATTCCATTATGAAATATTGTGCAGAAATTAATCTCCTAAGTATAGACTGTGTAGCAACAGGGAAGTGTTTGTGTTGTAATTAATGTTAAGTGAATAAAGCAGGATAGCAGACACTCTGGGACCGCCCATGTCTCTTAGGGCTCTCAGGGTGTTGCAGCCAAGTTCCAGCTAACCACCTCCAGCTGTGGACACCCACACAGCTCAGGCACTGGCTCCCCCTTTCCTCCCCATGAACAGTCCTCAAGCAATCACCGTGGGCAGTTAATGCATAGATACCCCAGCTCCATCACTCCTAGAGTCGGATATTTGGAAGTATAGGTTTAGCACCATGTCCCCGAATTTTCTTGGGGAGTAAGCCTCCATCACTTAAGCCCCTCTTTTTTTATTTATTTTTATTTTTTTTTTATTTTTGAGGCAGAGTCTCACTCTGTCACCCAGGCTGGAGTGCAGTGGCACTGTATTGGCTCACTGCAACCTCCATCTCCTGGGTTCAAGCAATTCTCCTGCCTCAGCCTCCCGAGTAGCTGGGATTACAGGTGCGCGCCACCACGCCCAGCTAATTTTTGTATTTTTAGTAGAGACGGCGTTTCACCATGTTGGCTAGGCTGGTCTCAAACTCCTGACCTCAGGTGATCTGCCCGCCTCAGTCTCCCAAAGTGCTGGGATTACAGGCGTGAGCCACCGCGCCCAGCCTTAAGTGCCTCTTTATTGGTTGCCTTTCCTTCTGTGTTTTGCTTCCCCACTACACTAACACTGCTACCTGAACTTCCCAAATCAATAATCCTCTCATGAATCCTTTTCGCAGGATCTGCATCTGGAAAAATCTCAGCTTCAATGGCAGGTTAGGGAATGTGGGTGTATCTCTGTCTTCTGCTGCTGCTGCTGTGTAGACGATGCGTTTGCACACAGGCTAAGGTGGGAAGGAATGAACAATTGTGGGAGTTGAATGAGGATGGTGAGAGTATGTAAGATTCCCCTATTTCCTAAATGTCCTAAAGTTGTTAGGTGGTTTTAAAATATTTGTTGTTTTCTATCTTTATTTCTTTATTAACAAAAATTTAGGCTGGGCGCAGTGGCTAACACTTACAATCCCAGCACTTTGGGAGGCCGAGGCAAGTAGATCACCTGAGGTCAGGAGTTTGAGACCAGCCTGATCAATATGACGAAACCCCGTCTCTACTAAAAATACAAAAATTAGCCAGGCATGGTGGCATGCGCCTGTAATCCCAGCTACTAGGGAGGCTGAGACAGAAGAATTACTTGAACCCGGGAGGCAGAGGTTGCAGTGAGCCGAGATCATGCCACTGCATTCCAGCCTGGGCAACAAGAACGAAACTCCATCTCAAAAACAAACAAACAAAAAAAATTAGGCTAGTCAGGTGAAGGTGAAGCAGTGGGAGTGGAAAAGGAACATAGAAATCTGAACTGATAAACACCACTGCACTTGGACCAGCCTGATTGATATTTTTAAGAAAACAATAAAAGCATCTACATTCCAAATCCACATGCACAGGAGGCTGGAAAGAGAAATGAGAAATAGCTGTGGAAGAAATGAGCTATCCCAGAATGGTCTGTTATAAGGAAGCGACGGGGCGGGGGGAAGAAGAGGGACAGGGAAGTTTCTGGAGCCAGGCAGGAGTAGGGGACATAACCTTGTAGAAACCAGACCTCAATCTGGTCTACATCTAAAATCCACATAAATCCAAAGTTTACATTGTTTAGCGCCCTGAAGTACAGAAATACCTATTTTTTTTTCAGCACAAACTGTATAAATGCAAAGATATGATGCATTTCTTCCAATTTTTTCCTAAACTCCAAATACCTAAGCATTTCCTCTGGAAAATTCCTTTGCACATAAGTGAAATCATTTCTGTTGTAAAATTATGATCTACGGTTTTATATGATCAGAGCTTCTTTTATTTTACTGATCTATTTTCCACATAAAGCCTATTTATAATCTGAAGAGGAGAGTTTAGTTCTCCTGCCTCTTGGAACATTATAACAGGCTGTAGAAGCTAACATATCACTTTATTGTTCCATCATTTTCCTCTTTAGGACTTTTGACTAAAAAGGAAATACATGCACACACAGCTAGTTCTATTGCAAAGAGAATTTAAGCACAAAACCAAAACCTAAACATAATCTAGGTGTAAAGCCAAACTAGACATATGGTTTTGGAGATAAAGTATTGTACTCAGCAATGCTACTTTTTAAAATGGGGAGGAGTGGAGAGTAAATGCATCCAAGAGGATAACTAGTTTTCTTTGAAAGGCTAATTAACTCAACTTACAAGTTTTTCTTCTCTAGTAGACAAAGAGTGAGTGAAGTAACTTTCCAGTAAAATGAAGAAGGAAAATGTGCTCTTTACTTTCTATGATCTTTTCATCACAGCAGGACTGATATGGGTTGTATGGTAGTGAAAGAGTCATGTTTTTAGAGCTAGAGAAATCAAGGCTGAAACCCTGGTTCAGCCACTCATGGGCTGTGAGATCTTACGTGACTTGCTTAACTTCTCTGTGCCTCTGTTTCTTCCTCTGTAAAATAGATGAACAGTTTTTCACAATATCAAAGGATGCAAAGCAACTAAAACACCCATCAACAGACGGTATGGAAAGATTTCACAGCAGAGGAAATCAATGAACTTCAGCTACATGTGACAAATAGATGGGTGTAAGGAATACAATGCCGAGTCAACAGACAAATAAGTAAGTCCAAAATAACTAAAACAATAAAGCATTTAGGCATACAGTAGAAAAAAATGAGGAAATACACAATTCTGTATAGTGGTTGCACTTGGGAAGAGGAAGGGAGTGGAGTGGGAGGAGCCCGTGTGCGGATGCAGGTTATGGTTCATGTTCTAGTTTTTGGGTTGGGCAGTCGGTTCATTTTATTATTTAAAATATGAATAAATGAATAAAAGATGAATGAGAGAGGACCATGCTTGGAACAATGATAGTGTGGCCTGAACCCAGGATTATGATGCACCCAAAGCTGTTGCATCTGAAGTTGAGGGAAAAAGGTGAAATTGGCAAGATTATACCTACTTCATAGAGCTGTTCCAAGAATTAAATGAGAAAAACACAGGGAACTGAATATAGATGTTATCTCAATTGCTCTCAGTTGACTAGATGTCATCTCAATTGCTGTTTCACAAAATTATAGTTTTAGATTATTTCAGATCTTTGCAATGTCTCATACTTAGCGTGTATTAATTTAAAACAACTAAGATTAGTTATAAAACTGTCCATTTAGTCAGCTCAATTCTACACATATTACAGATGACTAAAGCAGATCGTTGAATTCAACCATTTAGTTTGTTTGTTTTTTAATAGAGATAGGGTCTCATTCTGTAGCCCAGACTGGAGTGCAGTGGCACCAGCATGGCTCACTGCAGCCTTGAACTCCTGGGCTCACACTATCCTCCCACCTCAGCCTCCTGAGTAGCTGGGACTACAGGTTCATGCTACCACACCGGGCTAATATTTCTATTTTTTTGTAGAGACAGGATCTCATTTTGTTGCTCAGGTTGGTTTCGAACTCCTGGCTTCAAGCGATCCTCCTGCCTCGGCCTCCCAAAATGCAGTCTTTCATTTTTGAGGGCCTGCCATCTGTCAGGTTTTGTGTTGAGTCCTGGAGACTGTAGTAAGTAGCACGTCTGGTCTTTGCTGTTGTGGAGTACATGGCTGGAGAAGGAGTGGACCAGTAATTACCTACTTTTCAGGTGGTTATGGCTATGAAGGAGAGGGACATGCTGCTGAATGTGACCTGGCATGGCTAACCTGCAGAGATGCAGCATAGCATGGTGGGGGTAGAATGAGGGTTTGGCACAGACAGGCACCAGTCACTAAAGGGCCACAGTCCTGGGCAAGTAACCAGTCTCAGGGCCATGATGAAGAGTAAACAAATTAGCATGCATCAAGCATTGAAGAGTTCCTGGCATATAACAGGCATGATGTTCATGTTATAAAGAGAGCAAACATGCATATACGTAAGGGGTAAGTCTCCACTTACATTTTTATACACTGCCCACAGACACTCCTAATCTGTAAAAGGGGGCTTTTCATACCTCCTCCTACGGTGTGGAGAAGCACTGAATGAGAAAGTGTGTGTGAAGTGCAGGGCATAACATGACATTCACAAGGACATTATTATTGCTGTTACCTTCAAAATGATCTTAGGGAATGATTAGCTATTCTTCAATATTCAATGCAAGGAAATGGTGCTGAATGCCCTCATCTGCGTGGATGTCACATGGCCTGGAGGATTGTGAGCAGAAAGCTATGAGCCTTCACCTTCACTGCCTCATCCCCAGCCCCGTGCACACATAAAACCATTGAGCACATACCCCTTCCTAGCTCCAGGCCTCACCTGTGGCAGGACACATTTTTGACTGTTTAGGATGGACAAAAGCACAAGAACATGATCACCCCACAGCCAGAGGCCCCAGGCCTCCACAACCCTCCCTTCTCTCCCACCGACAATCCCACCCTTAAAAGGCCATCAAGGAATAGTATGACTGGGCGCATGCACAAACTGGAAAAGTGTCATCTCGTAACGTTAAGAGCAGCAATACTCCAAGTATTATGGCAGATGTGATTAGCATAATGGTCCCCAAATTATTATACGCAATGGAATTGACAGAGACATTTGGCTATAATCACTGAGACGCTTTTTTATTCAGTAAGTGCTCCTTAAACATCATGGGGACCTATGCAGACACTGTATAAAGAGGTATTGGCTTTCACTTATCACTTGGCACAAACATACTCATAATAAGCTTAAGAGATTATTCATCATAAGCATTTAAATGCATTTCTCTGCTTCTGCGCCAAACATAGTTGATTCTATGGGGGAAATGAAGCATTAACATATGGAAGGTGAATTCTTAACCACTGCAGAATGATGATCCGTGACTCCTAAATTCAACATGAAAATATTTTATTCTTGGCTCAGGAGCTGCGAAGGAGTTTGGCTAGGGCTGTACTCTCAGACAAGTTAAGAACAAGTTGGGATTGCTTCTCTGTTACTGTGAGAAGGTGTTAGATAAGGGTGCAAATGGGTGTCAACTTTTTGCAAGCACCCTTTGTACAAAAGGCAAAGCAAATGTTTTTAGAGTAAAGAATGACTGAAGGTTTTTTTTGTTTTTTGTTTTTTGTTTTTTGTTTTTTTGAAATGGAGTCTCGCTCTGTCATGCAGGCTGAAGTGTGGTGGCGCCATCTCAGCTCACTGCAACCTCCGCCTCCCAGGTTCAAGCAATTCTCCTGCCTCAACCTCCCAAGTAGTTGGGATTACAGGCACACTCCACCACATCTAACTAATTTTTGTATTTTTAGTAGAGACGGGGTTTTACCATGTTAGTCAGGCTTGTCTCGAACTCCTGACCTCAGGTGATCCATCCGCCTTGGCCTCCCAAAGTGCCGGGATTACAGGCATGAGCCACTGTGCCCAGCCAACGATTGAAGTTTTTAACCCTCTAGAAATGCTCAGCAAGGACCCACTATTTCATAGCTCTCAGGGCAGGGGCCCCAGGGTGTCCCACCTTCACCTCCAAGTCACCTGGACCTAAGCCTAGCAAGGACGCAAAGCTTTCCACATCTCTGTCCCACTTGGTCCCACCTTGATTTTGACGTAAAAATAAACAATGGATTATCTTCCTTCTCTCATCTCATATCACCTTAGCCCTCTTAACATACACAGAGACTATAATATTTGGAATTACTGAGTCCCTTCATTGAAACGTATGCTGTCATATTAGATCAGGTTAATCTTCCCCCTTTCTCCTTCCAGTGGCCTCAGAAGAGAACAGAGCCTCACAGCTGTGAAGGTGATGGGAGGCACTGGCTGCAGGGCAGCGGAGTGGGCTCTGTGGCCGTTTCCCCGCTCCTCCTTGGGGCTTAGGTCCTTGCCACTAAAGGTGATGGGCTCCACCTAGGTCACCTCTAAAGCCCCTGCCAAAGGGCCAGATTCACAAGTCATCCAGGCCTGGGGCTGTTTGCTGGTGCATAGTTTGTAGGAGGGGAGGAATTCCACAGACTTGGTATCTAAGTCAGCCCAGCTCCCAGGCTCCATTGCCTCTCCAAGGTAGAAACCTGCCAATACAAGCAACTTAGTCCCTTTCAGTTTGAATTCTGCTGTTTTGGAGCAGCCCCCGGTCAATTCAGGCCCCTCCCTTTCTCCTTCTTCCAGGTGGGGTCAGGGCTGACAATGTGGGGGCAAGGCTGTTTCTGTTCTGTGGTTGCTGTTGTCTTCAAAGAGCTGGACCTCACCTCCCAGGCCCAGTGTGCTGCCCTCAATCCCTGCTGATGGCCAGGCTTCCCCCTGGTTGTAGTGTCCTGCAAGTGGCATCCCCGTGGCTGGCCTCTCAGCCACTTATATGCATCCTAGGCAGAGGCAGGTGGTGCCAGGACACTGCAGAAGCCTGCCTTGGAATCACGCTGACATGCAGGCCCAATTACGGTGCCCTGAGGCCTTCTGCTGTGAGTCCTCCCTCCTATTCAGGTGCCGAACCTGAAGGTAGATGTCAGACGTTGAAACGAGCGAAGTTCCCTTGTCCCCCTCACAAGGTGTGCAGCGGGGGAGTGGCTTGCTTCTTCAGTGCCCTGTTGCTCAAACCTCTAGGTGAGCATACAGACGGGCAGGCTGTGGAGGCTCCAACCCCATAGCAGTGTCTAGGGATGAATGTTTACAGACCCAGTGGGCGTGTGTTACAGGGTGCTCTTTTAGTTTGGCTGTCCGTAGGCGGCTTGTGTTAGTCAGCTCAATTAGACCCCTGCCTTACCACAACGACAGAGGGCTTTCTGTATCCCAGTGTTCCTGCCTTGGTGTTTGAGAATGCGTGCAAGGTTTTATTGAGTGGAAGTAGCTCTCAACAGATGGGGGAGCCAGAAGGGAGATGGTTTTCCCCTGGAGTGGGGCCACTCAGCAGCCTGGGCTCTCCTCCAACTGCCCCAGCCAAACTCCCCATCGTTCTGCCGGTTGGTGGCCTGCTGGTGCCTGTCCATGCGTTCCTCTCCATGTCCAGCCACCTGTGTGTTCCTCCACTGAGGTGCTTCTCTCCATGTCAGGAGGTGTCTGTGTCTGCCTGCTAGGGTCTCCAGGGGGTTTTCATAGGCACAGGATGGGGGTGTGGCAGGCCAGGGTGTTCTTGGGAAATGCAACACTTGGGCAGGAAATGCCTGTCCTCACCTAGGTCTGTGGAGCCCTAGCCAGGGACCATGCCCTCCTTTACCCAGCACTTCCCTTTCCCTCTTCAGTATCATTTAAAGGGACCACGCTCTTCCCTTCCCAGCACTTCCCTTCGGTATCAACGTGACGTCCTCCAGACTCATCTAGGTTCTGTATTAAGGCCTTTTCTTCAAAGACACTGCATCTTTCTCAGGGGCTCACGGCATCTGGACATTATCCCCATATCCTTCAATTCTCCTCTTCCCCATTACTGGCCCCATTCAACTCAGCTTGGCTAGAAAGCAGCTGTTATGTTATCCTGAATCCCCCCTGGCCAGGTGAGGTGGCTCACACTTGTAATCCCAGCATTTTGGGAGGCTGAGGCTGAAGGAATGCTTGAGGCCAGGAGTTCAAGACCAGCCTGGGCAACATAGTGAGACCTTCTCTCTATTTTTAAAAAAATTATGAAAAAGAAAAAATAATCCTCTCCCTCCTGATTCGCTTACAAAATAATTTATTTATGGAATAATATAAGCAATGAGGGTGAGGGGCCCATTTGGGAATAGGTAGGCCTAGTTCATTCTCCAAAGAATTTACATAAAAAGAAAGATGAATATATATACAGTTTATGGAGATATTTGCAAAGAAACATTAGTTACATTGAAATCCAAGTGCTCAGAGATACAAATGAGACAATGGGCAGAATTAATCTGGATTGCAAACTGCAATCCAGAGGGAGGGAGGAGAGGAAAGGAGAGATTCACACCAGCAGTGGAAGAGAAAGGAGTCCCAGGTCTGGAAGTGGGTTTTGGTGAATGTCCAGGGGTTGCTGGAAGTTCAAAGCAAAGCATGTGGATTTGAGGCTGTAGAACTGGGTGGGAGGCACTGAACAATCTTTTTTTTTTTTTTTTTTGAGACAGTCACACTCTGTCAGCCAGGCTGGAGTGCAGTGACACTGTCATGGCTCCCTGCTGCTTTGACCTCCCAGATTTAAGCGATCCTTCCACCTCAGCCTCCTAAGTAGCTTGGACCACAGGTACATGCCAGCATGCTTGGCTAATTTCTTTCTTTCTTTTGTAGAGTTTGCAGTAGGGAGGTGGTCTGTGTATGTTGCCCAGGCTGGTCTTGAACTCCTCAGCTCAAGTGATGCTCCCACCTCCGTCTCCCAAAGTGTTAGGATTATGGGTGTGAGCCACTGCACCAGGCCTAGTGAGCACTCTTGATCAGAACCAAGCTGCCCAAGGAGGGTGTAGGTGAAGAGGGAGGCAGTGGGTTAGCAGCCAGAAGAAACATCCAAGCAGGACAGCACTGACTTTGATTTGATAAGATGATTCCAAAGGTTCCCAGCAGAGTGGAGTAACATGGTCAAGCAGGAGAAATGGCTGCAGCTCATTCAATACCAGCCTGTAGTGGAGATTGGGGGTGGATATAAAGAACAATGTTGCAAACTGCAAAGCCATAGAGGCCTGGTCATGAGATGTGGATGGGATTCTGGGGAAAGGAAGGATACGCTCAGCTGTCAGGCAGGCTGCAGAGAAGGAAGCTGCTGTCCTTGGCAGCTGACGGGGTATGATGAAAACTAGAGAGGCGGCATGGATTACCGAGGCTGCAGGCTTGCGGAAGCGATGGGGACTGGCAAAGCTCACCAGGACAGAGAAGTTGGGCAACAGGCAAGGCTGGGTGAGGGAAGGGTGGGGAGTTTGAGGTCTCAGGCCTATTTGTATTTGGTTGGCAATGTCCTGGAGCCCTTGGTACGTGACTTATAGAAGAAGGAAGGCCGGAATGTGTCTTGGGCTAGGAGGGTGGTGGGAGGCAGTTCTAGGCCATGCAAGGTGCATGGAGGAGCCCCGAGCTGTTCTCTATCCAACAAGAAAGACAAGTGCTCCCCTTAGCAATGTGTAAGTCAGTGAAGGACCTTGTCAGTCCCCTGTCCCTCCGTCTCTGAGCTTGGAAAGTTAAGAACACAGAGCTGGGACACCACTGTCTCAGCTCACATTTGTTTTATGTATAATGTGACATTTGCCTTTAAATTATCTTTATCTTTAAATTATCTTTATGTATATCCTTAAATTATATTTAAATTATCTTTAAAGCATTGACAAAGTAGCATAGTGTACTCACCTGAAAAGAGTTTGGGTTTTGGAGACTCACAAACTTGGATTAAAATCCTAGATCTGGAAAGAAAATGTGGTCTATCCATACAATGGAGTGTAATTCAGCCTTAAAAAAACCAGGAAATTCTGACATGTGCTATAACATGGTTGGATCTTGTGGATGTTATGCTAAGTGAAATAAGCCAGTCACAGAAAGACACATGCTACATTATTCCACTTAGATGAGGTACCTAGGGCGATCCGATTCGTAGAAACATAAAGTAGAATGGTGGTTGCCAGGAACTGGGAAAAAAGGGAAGGAGGAGTTGTGGCTTAATGGGTCAGTTTCAGTTTTGCAAGATGAAAAAGTTCTGGCAATTGTTGCACAATATGCACGTAGTTAACACTGTTGTATTGTACCCTTGAAAACAGTTAAGATGGTACATTTTATGTTAGACGATTCTACCTCAATTAAAAAAAAAAATCCAAGATCCAGTCCTAGTGACTGTGTGGTCTTGACTTTGCACAAGTCACCTAATTTTTTTTGTTTTACCTAATTTCTTGTAGTCTCAGTTTCTTCATCTGTAAGATGGGCGTAGAATACCCACTCATAAAGATATTCTGAGGATGGAATGAAAGCATGTATGTGAAGCCTCCAACGTACCATCAGCGCATAAAAGATGTTTGCATGTTAGTTCAATTAAATGTGCTACATTTAATTCCACTATCATCAAAACCTAAATGGTTCCCTTTTAAGAACCCAGACCCTTTTAAGAAATAGCAGTGTGTCTCAGTGCAGCCCACACAGTACTGAGGATAAAATGGTTAACAGTAATACCCTGAGCTGCTACACCCAAAGGATTTGTAATAGGGCTGCACGAGAAGTGAACCAGCATTTCTTTTGTTGTTGTGGTTGTTTCCAAGACAGGGTCTCACCATGTTGCAGCTGGCCTCAAACTCCTTGGCTCAAGCCCCAGGCTCCCAGGAGTCAGGGACTACAGGTACATGCCACCACGCCTGGTTCTGCATTCTTGTTTTTGATGGGAGAGGGGTCCCATTTAAAAAGGTCACTCTTCTTGTCAAAAGAAGCTGAAAATATTCCCTCCTGACCACACAAATTAGGAAGAAATCAAATACAACTAGCCAGAACTTTGGGTTCTCAGATATGACAGGCCTCAAAAATATGGAGAAGCTTTTTGCAAAAAGTAGACGTCACAAACAACAAGCATTTTGGTTAACCCCAAGGGAAGGAGAAACAAACCTCCTTAGGAATATGATTGCTAAATATTTGATGCTCAAAGTGAAATTTGAACAAGTTCCAGTGTAGAGACAGAGGCCTTACTAGAGAGGTAGAACCAGATAATTGTGGAATATGCTTAGGAGAATCACTAGAACTTGGAGATCCAAGATGAAGAAGAATTCAGCCAAGACTGGAACAGAGAACATTTCCTTAGCCATTCCACGCTGAGTTTTTCTCATTCTTTAGTGAGAAGAATTTGGTGGTTTATGCCAAAATGCCTTTCTATACCATGTGTGGTTTGTTGCATAAAATTAGAAGTTAACAGGAAATGAACTGGATTGGTCTTATTTTATAGCATGGGTTCAAACCCTCTCGATACCTCCTTTTGTTATCTTCATAAAGTCCTGGGTTAAGGACAGCCTCCAGCTATTATTGTAGCAAGATACCTGTGCAGGGTGGACCCCTTCATGATTGCAGTTCAAATCCTGGTGCCCGGAGTTTCCAGGTAAGCAGCAACTCTCACACAATGTTGTCTGGGTGTGCGGCATGTGTAACAATAGTGCACCACACCCAGAAAGACGATATGCCAAAACATTAAAATATCCTACCCAGCCACTGTGTCACGTAGAACACGCATGGCCTAACACAAGCCAGTCCCTCTTAAAATATCAGGGTCATTGACAGGGTCAGTCACAGGCTGACTTAATACCTGCACATTGCTCTCAACTTTCTTAGGCTGTTTACTTAAGCTGTCTCAGGCTTCCTCTCCGCCTTGGTTAACAACATGGCGGCGGGGCTTTGGCATCAGGCAGAACTGAGTTGGAATTCCATCTCTATCCCCTCTAATGACTGTGCAAGCTACTCATGTTACTCAACCTTGCTGAGTTCTTCAGAATTCTGCATCCATGCAGCCATAAAAAAAAGAACAAGATCACGTCCTTTGCAGCAACATGGATGGAGCTGGAGGCCATTATCCTAAGTGAACTAATGCAGAAACAGTAAACCAAAAATCGCATCTTCTCACTTCTAAGTGGGAGGTAAACATTGGGTACACACAGACACAAAGATGAGATCAAGAGACACTGGGGATTCCAAAACAAGGGAGGGAGAGAGGGGATTAAGGGTTGAAAAACGATCTATTGGGTACTATGTTCATTACTTGGGTAATGAGATCATTAGAAGCCTAAACCTCGGCGTCATGCAATATACTCACGTAACAAATCTGCACATGTACCCCCGAATCTAAAGTGAAATTAAAAGAGAAAAGAAAAGAAAAAAAGAATTCCGGATCCTTAGAGAGAATTTAAGAAGCTACCCCAGGTTCAGGGGGAGCAGAGAGAGGACATAGCTGAAGATCACCTGGTCCACATGAGCTCCACTCTAAATGCCAACTGCCGCCTCTCACGTCTTCCCTGTGTCACCCTTTCTCTCATTGCCCCTGTTGCTGATTCTTGTTTCATTCTTTCTCATCCCAGGAACCTGCTCCTAGGCCTTGACCTCTTTCCTTGATGAGCTCTTTCATTCACAGACACTCCTATGCTCACAGAATCTCTGATAACGTCCTTCATGCTCACAAAGATTTCATCTTCCTTTACACACACTCTCCCTTAACTATGTTTCTCCCTTTATTAAAATAAAAAATGGACTGGCCCTTCAATTTCATGCTTGTCCCAAATGCCCTAAATGGATGTAAGAGGGCTGCTAACTTTTCAATGTTCTCTGATCTCACTCTTACAAGGACGTGTATCTTTTTCTTATCATTAAGGTATCTGGTCTATAGGGCAGGGTCTTGTGGTTCGTGTTCCCATCCTCTGTGTGTGTGAGAGAGAAGGCACGTGTTTTCTCGAACGTGTCTGTTTTTCTGTCTGGGATACTGGCACCACGTTTTAATCTGGATCCTGTATCCCACTTGCCCTCGAGGCCCGGCAGGACAGCTGAACCCCTACGTGCGCTCGGCCAGCTGCGCCTTCCACTTCGGCATCCTGCTTGGGAACTTTCTCCTACGTAGATGCTCCTGATTAACTCGACCTAAAACCCGGTTTCCACAGCTACGTGTTCAAATGAAACGGCCATGGAGACATCGAGGATCTCATTGCTTCCTGCGGAGGAAGATCAATTTCTCCTTCCTCCTTTAATTTGCAACCGACTTCCTCCAGGAAGCGGGCGTTCCTCAGGACATGTCAGAAAGTAGCGGTTACATATCGGGTCTTTTACATGAGAAGTTGCAGGGTTTTAAGGAGTGCCGAAAACCAGGCACTTTCCCCTGGGTCTTGCCCATACAATCACATCTGGCTCACATCAGCTCCTGCTGACTTAACACGTGTCTCCGTGGCTTCCCCATCCTTACCGTCCAGGGCCAACCCGACTGCAAAGCTTGTTTTTTCTGTCTCATGCTCAAAACAAAAGCATGTCCCTGCTTTTGACCCAGGCCTGCCCTCACGTTTAGAAATCACAAGGTGGGTTGTTGGTCTCCTGCGGTCACTTCTGGTGAAATGATGTGGGTGGCTGAGGAGGGTTTTATAAATGAGGTTTGATCAAAACAGGGGCTGGGTCCCCCTGCAGCAAACCCCTGAGGCTAGGAGTTCGAGACCAGCCTGGCCAACATGGCGAAAGCCCGTCTCTACCAAAAATACAAAAACTAGTCGTCGTGGTTGCAGGCACCTGTAATCCCAGTTACTCGGGAGGCTGAGGCAGGAGAATCGCTTGAACCCAGGAGGCAGAGGTTGCAGTGAGCCGAGATGGCGCCCCTGCACTCCAGCCTGGGTGACAGAGTGAGACTCTGTCTTAAAAAAAAAAAAAAAAAAAATCACATAGTCATTGTCCAAATCAGGAACCTCGTGAGAACCCAAAGAGTTGGAGCAGGACTGGCTGGTGCAAGGAAAGGTTTGGAATTAAGAATCTTCTGAGCTGTGTTTAATAGCCATTCATGTATTGGATGATTTAGATCTTGGTTTCCCAAAAATGGGAGTTACCACAGGATGGCTGCCATGTTTAAATAAGAAATTTAAAGATATTTCAGTGAAAAGAAATACATTGATTATTACTACAGTGATGGTAAGTAATATAATATAGGTAATATCCCTTTTGTGAGGGTATCTATTCCTCACAAAATTTCTGAGGTGAGTACTATGATTCTCCCTGGCTGACAGAAAAGGGCTCAAAGTTTAGGGAAGTGACAGCAAAGGGAGATAGGAATGCTGCTCTCTTGGCCTGGCTCTAGATGTTTGCCCTTAACCACCACACTAGTATTGATAGTTACCTCCATATTGGTAATGGAGGTAACTAGTATTGGTAACTAGTAGTGATGGTTATCTCCAATTGGTAATACTTGGTAATTATTACCAATTATTATTACCAATAATTGGCTTCTTACCAATATTCCAATTTAGTAATAATTGGTGATTAGTGCAATGTATACTTTTTATAAATGATAAATTGCGAATAAAATTCATGTTCATTGTAAAAAAAAAACTCACACAACAGAAATTTTGTAAGTATTTAAAGTTAAAAGTGGTAGGCCCGTCCCCCGAGAAGGGTGTCGGCTGTTTGATAAACATCCATTCAGATTTTTTTTTTGATGCCTGTACACTGAAGGCTGTTTGTGTTCACAAAAGTTAAATCATACCTTATGCATTGTTCTGCATGACAGTTACATCTTTTTTTTTAGATGAAAGCAATGTAGGGTAGTGGCTAAGCACAGGCTTTGGCGTCTGAGCTGTGTTTAAGTCTCCAGCCCCCTCCTAGTAGAGCTGCGTGTCCTTGGGCTAATTACTTAACTTCTTTAAGTCTCATCTTTAAAATGGGTCTCATGCAAGAAGACATACGCATGGGCAACAAGCATATGAAAAACTCCTCCACATAACTGATCATTAGAAAAATGCAAATCAAAACCATGGTGAGATACCATCTCACACCAGTCGGAATGGCTACTATTAAAAACTCCAAAAATAGCAGAGATTACAGAGAAAAGGGAGCACTTACATTGCTGGTGGGAATGTAAATTAGTTCAGCCACTGTGGAAAGCAGTTTGGAGATGTCTCAAAGAATTAAAACAGAACTGCCATTTGACCCAGCAATCCCATTACTGGGTATATACTCAAAGGAATATAAATCACTCATCACTCACGAGGTCAGGAGTTCCAGACCAGCCTGACCAACATGGTGAAACCCCGTCTCTACTAAAAATACAAAAATTAGCCAGGCGTGGTGACGGGTGCCTGTAATCCCAGCTACTCAGGAGGCTGAGGCAGGAAAATGGCGTGAACCTGGGAGGCGGAGGTTGCAGTGAGCTGAGATCGTGCCCCTGCATTCCAGCCTGGGTGACAGAGTGAGACTGTCTCAAAAAAAAAAAAAAAAATCACTCATCATAAAGACACATGCACGCATGTGTTCATTGTAGCACTGTTCACAATAGCAAAGACAGGAAATCAACCTAGATGCCCATCAACAGTGGACTGGATAAAGAAAATGGGGTACATGTACACCATAGAATACTACACAGCCATGAAAAAGAACGAGATCATGTTCTTTGCAGCAATGTGGTTGCAGCTGGAGGCCATTATCCTAAGCAAATTAATGCAGGAACAGAAAACCAAATACTGCATGTTCTCACTCACAAGTGGGAGCTAGACACTGAGTACATATGGACATGAAGAAGGGAACCATAGGCACTGGGGCCTGCTTGAAGTTGGAGGGTGGGAGGAGGGTGAGGATTGAAAAACTACCTAACCAGGTACTATGATCACTATCTGGGTGATGAAATAATTTGCACAGCAAAGCCCAGCAACATGCAATTCACCCATGTAACAAATCTGCACATATACCCCCAAACCTAAAATAAAAGTTGGAAGGAAATAAATAAATAAATATGTAACTATTTAATTTTAAAAGATGGGCCTCATGCTATTTACCTTTCAGTGTCCTTATGATGATTAGAGATGACAGATGTAAAATTGCCAGGCACGTATGAAGTAGCGGGAGTCATTATTATTTTTAATAAGTTATTTAAATTCTGGAGCATTTTTCGTTCTTGAACTGCAAAACAAGGTAGGTTGTATTCTATAAAGTTACTCTCTTAGATGCTTTATTCTGATGAATTCTCAGTGGTGTTCATTCCTGTTTTCTTTTTTAAATCAGAGGTTTTCGACCTTCAATGCAAATTACAATTACTTGGGAGGCTTTAAAAAGTCCCAAACCAGGCCACACTGCAGAGCAACTACATCAAAATCTCTGCTCTTGGGACTTAAACATTAGTCTTTTTCTAAAGTTCTCCAGGTGATCCCAGTATTCAGGCAAGCAAGAGAATCACCACTTTGTATGGTACTCTCTGTGCTCCCAAGAAATAAATATATAGACAGGAAGGGAATGGATTTCATTTGCTGAATATATTTGAATCCAAGAGTTTATTACTTTTCTTTCCTCAATGCAGTATAATCAATATTTAAATACACATGCAGAGTGAGAGCCAGATAAATTAAATCAAACAAAATATCATAAATTGTTAAGTATATTCTATATTTTTCATTGTAAAAATACAAAAAAACAAAATTTAAACATAAAAATCAGGCTGGGCGTGGTGGCTCATGCCTGTAATCCCAGCACTTTGGGAGGCCAGGGTGGGCAGATCATCTAAGGTCAGGAGTTTGAGACCAGCCTGGCCAATCCCACCTCTACTAAAAGTACAAAAATTAGCTGGGTGTGGTGGCAGGTGCCTGTAGTCCCAGCTACTCGGGAGGCTGAGGTGGGAGAATCGCTTGAACCCAGGAGGTGGAGGCTGCAGTGAGCGGAGACTGCACCACTGCACTCCAGCCTGGGCAACAGAGTGAGACTCCATCCCCCCCGCAAAAAGAAATTATAGTCCTACCACCTTAAAATATACATATACTTTATATATAAGTATACATATATATATTATATATATATACATTTTTACTGGTGTCTAGTGTAGATGGATTTTTTTCTATAATAGACTTTATTTATTTATTTATTTATTTTTGAGACAGGTCTCTCGCTCTGTCACCCAGGCTGGAGTGCAGGGGCACCATCTCGGCTCACTGCAACCTCTGCCTCTCGAGTTCAAGCGATTCTCCTGCCTCAGCCTCTCAAGTAACTGGGATTACAGGCACCCACCATGCCCAGCTAATTTTTGTATTTTTTGGTAGAGATGGGCTTTTGCCATGTTGGCCTGGCTGATCTCGAACTCCTGACCTTTGGTGATCCACCCACCTCGGCTTCCTAAAGTGCTGGGATTACAGATGTGAGCCACCATGCCCAGCCTATAATACACTTTAAAATACGTAATTATATCCAATATTATAATTCCATATACCTTTACATTAGTGAAGAAATTACATCATAGAGGAATTGGCTTCAGGTTAACATCTCAGCAGCTAGGAGGACCCTGTTATTCTCAGCTAAGTGCAATTCCTTATAAAGTTGTCTATAGTGGGGAGTGTACATTCATTTAAACTCTTTTTGTTACGTTGATTTATTTTTTCCTTTGGATTGAAGTAACTCAGTGGGAAAGTGAAGAAAGGCATTGGCTGGGATGAGGAGAGAAGGAAAGAGAGTCATTTCCACATGTGACTGTAGTACCACATGATTGTAGTAATTTGTCTTCCATAGTGAAACCCCTACTTAAGCTGGTTATAAAACCTCTGGAAAAAAAAAAGCACATGCAACAGGCAACAGTGGCCACCTACAAATGGGGATACATGTGGCTGGGGAGAGGATTCACCTTGAATACCACATTCACACACTACTTCTCAAAGAAAAACTGCATTATTGAAAACAATCTGTCCTTTACTACCAGTAACTACTCTCCATTGTCACTTCTCTGGGATAAGCGCTTAGTTTATCTGTGTTTTCTCGTTTGGCTTATTTATGCATTTACCTCGTAATGATACTTGTATAAATAAACAGATAGTTCTTGACCTCTGGAAGCATACTGATAAATCAGCCCACAGACATGCGGAGGAACCAAGGGCAAAGAGCAGACAATTCACTTGGTGCAAGCCACAAGGAAGGTGTATTTGAGGGAATGCATTGTGGGTGGAACATACTTAGTCAGGGTGGGGTCACAGGGAAATCACCTTTCTTGCTGAAGAGATTCCAGGGAAGACAGGAAGATTGTGGAGGTGGTTTCAATGGCCAAGGAGACATTTGTGAAGTATGGGGGAGGAAGGATGATGCAGACACAGGTGTAGCCTCAGAGGTGACTTAGCCAGAACACTGTTGCAGCTGACCAGGGGCTCATCACATGGAGATCCCACAAATGACAACAAGAGAACATTTGATTAGAGATTTGAAGGAATGGAGGGAACACGTCGTGAAGGTGTGTGGGAGGGTAATGTTCAAGTGTGGAAGCAGCCACTGCGAAAGCTCTGGGGCAGAAATGTGCTTGACATATTCAGGAGACGGTAAAGAAGCTGTTGTGGCTGAAGCAGAGGGAACTATATTACTCTCTAATCCAAACTGTAAGCTCCTTGAGGTCAGAGACCATGTCTGCCTGGCTCAAGGTTTTGCCCCTAATGACTCACACTGGGGCCAGCGTATGCTCTAACTGAATTAATTCACATCTTACAATAGCTTCCCCACTGATGTAGTTTCACCCATCAGATTCTGAATGGGGTAGACAGGGAGCCTCTGGACAAAGGTAGATTTGGGCAACAGAGGAACAGGATTTATAAAACAAGAATAGCAAACACTTGGGGGCTTGAGAATAAACCTGACGGGTACTGCTTGATGCTCCAGTGGTCAAAGCTGACTATGGAAGAAGGCTCTGGAAATGACTTCTTATAACCATACCAGGTTATATATATGCACTCTTTCAGATGACTAATGACTTAATATGAGATAAAAACAACATCCTCTACTTACTCTGTGCCTAATACTTCACTAAATGTTTTAGCGGAATTAGCTTTACATGATTGTTGTGGAGATTAAATGAGATATCTCCATTTTACAGATGAACAAACTGACTTTTAGACTTGCCTGAGGTCACACAAACAATGGCAGAGACAAGTAAGGAGCCTGGGCAGTGTGATTCTAAAGTCTTTACCGTTAAACCCTGTTCCGTAATTGCCTCCCTCCTCTTCTTGTCCCATGGGATGGTCTTATTATCGTGGTATGGACACGCCAGTGAATGAAGGTACAGAGAATAAACCTTAAATCTCAGATTGGACTCCCACTTCAGTGTATTTTTAAATCAAATGATGGCAGCTGCCCCCAGTGTTTGTCTTCTGGCTTGGGGTCTAGTCCTCAGGAATGAGGGCAAGAAGCAGCTACAATGAGAGGGAAGTCTTTATCAAGGAATCTATGACCTTGAGGCTTGAAATTGACTGAGAAAAGTACCCCTGACTAGGAGGGAGCCCGGTGATAAAAGGAAGTAATGCCTAACAAGGGAACGCCTGGATGTTTTCATGGAAAATGGCAGCACAGTCCTGGAAAATCCCTGTCATGCCCTATCTCTCCAAGACACAGATGAGATGAGCTGTGTGGTATTCCCACCGGGACAAGCACTGACAGGAAAGTAGGGTGGCTGGGAGGGCAGAAGCACCCACCTAAGGGATCGAGATATGCCTCCAAAATCAACAGCCATTGATTCATTAACTTACAAGTAAAAACACAATGGAGATGTTTTGGCTGTTGACACATGGCCCTGCCACTGAGGCCCAGCAATGTCAATTAGGAAGGAAACGGTTGAATGCAAGTTCTTTAGGTTGTCCGTGTGACCTCTAACACGATCACAGGCCTATTCAAAGGGTGTATGGAACTAACAGTAAGATGACTAACTCAAACCCGGACAGTGGCTAAGAGCAGTGAGTTCCCTGAGAAGTCCTTTAAAAGGAAGAATGTGGGCTTTCCCATCTCTATCTACTTCCCTCTGGAGAGTCTTTAAAGAAATCAAAGAGACTGAAGACAGGAAGTAGCCTTTATCCTGTGATCTCACCACAACCCACTTGGTGCTTTACTGCCAAACAGAGGCCTCTTCCCTGATGTGATAAGAAGAGCTGCTTTCTTGAAGATCTGAGTGGTCCTTGGCGCTTACGGCAGTCTTGTCAGCAGTATGTTGGCCGCTGGATCAGGGGCTGAATCCTAATCTCTGGGAAAGCCCTGTGGATAAAACCGTGAAGAGTTGACATGAATGCAAAACAGTGAATGAACCCATTCTCCAGATTAAAGGAAAATGGGGGATGAATGGAAGATGCTTGGGCCAGTTCCTTACAGTATCGCCAAAGACTGTAACACCAGGCTAGATCGACTTCCTGCCCTTTAATTTAGCTTCTGAATTTTCTGCGAGAACACAGATATCTTTATCAGGATAGAAAATACATGCGCATTAATTCCTCAAAGGAGGGGAAGCGCACTGAAACACATCAGGATGAAAACAAAACACACCAGGGCAAGCGACAATGAGGAAAACTACAAAACATCTGCCTCCATCTGGTCTAAAGGCAGGGCCATTAGTGCAGGATGTGGCACCAATTCAGAGCTGATTGCCAGAAAGCCCGTTACTCTGATCTTCGTGGACCACAGCATGAACTTTGTGGGCTTGAAAGCACAATGTTGGTGTTTGTGTGTGTGTGTGAATACGTTAAGGAAGAAATTGAAAATGAGTAATCAATGTCAGGAAGTCACATCTCTTTTTCAGACATGACACATGTTTATTTTTAATGTGGTTCTAATGTCCCTCACCAGCAGAAAAAGTATTGAACTAAGAGCGAGGCCCAAAACCTGGGTCTGGTTTTGGGTTTTCCACTAAGTGGATGGCCTTCAGTATTTCAAGTCAGTTGGGATTTTAGAGCCTGCAGTTTGTAATGCCTTGGGCTAAACACACTGGGAGATATAAAGATGAACAATCCAAGACATCTGTCCTCAAACTTGCATCCAAATTGAGCAGACAGGCAAATGAAAAAAAAAGAAAAGAAAACCATTGAAAGCATAAGGGAGGGGGTGGTAGGTGTTAAAATAAGAGTACAACATGTTAAGATAATAGGAAGCTGGAGGAGATTGATTTCAACTGGCAAGATATTTAATAGGCATAGAGGGATTACATTCTAGGTGGAGGAAATAGCATTATAACCTGGCAGATTTATAAAAACAGAACCACAGTGAGATACCATTTCACACTCATTAGGCTGGCTACTATAAAAAATAATTAACATGTTGGTGAGGATGTGGAGCAATTGGAACTCGTGTGCACTGTTGGTGGGAATGTAAAATGATGCAGCCACTATAGGAAACAGTATGACAGTTCCTCGAAAAATTGAAAATAGAGCTACCATATGATCCAGCAATTCTGCTTCTAGGTGTATACCCCAAAGAATTGAAAGCAGAATCTCAAGGAGATGTTTGTACACTCATATTCATAGTAGCATTATTCATAATAGCGGAAACGTGGAAGCAACCAACCCAAGTGCCCATCAACAGTGAATGGATAAACAAAATGTGATACATACATGCAATGAAACATTATTTAACCTTACAAGGAAATTTTGACATGTGCTACCACATGGATGAACCTTGAGAATATGATGCTAAGTTAAATTAGCCAGTTACCAAAAGATAAATACAGTAGATTCCACTCATATCGAGGTACTTAGTCATCATATTTATAGAGACAGAAAGTAGAATGGTGGTTCCCAGGGCCTGGGATTAGGGAGGGGAAGTGAGGAGCTGTTTAATGGATACAGAGTTTCAGTTTTACAAGAGGAAAAGAGTTCTGTGGGAGGATGGTGGTGGATGATAACACAACAATGTGAATGTACTTAATGCTACTGAGCTGTACACTTAAAGATAATCAAGGTAGTAAATTTTAGATTATGTGTATTTTATCACAATATAAAAAACAAGAAGAAGCAGGGTAGATTTAAGAGAAAAGAGTCTGTGAGCCAAGGGTTTAGGAAATAAAGACCAATCAGGGCTCTTGGGGAGGGTCTCGAGCCAGGGCAAGCCAAGTTTTTTGCCACGTGGTACCTACCAATGAGAGGGGAGAGGAAGAAAAAAATAAACTCAAGATAGGCCATCTATGGGGAGAAATACATTTTGTCTTGGGAATGACCCAATAAATGTCATGGTCATATTTGTTATCAATATGTTTTATGAGTTTTTGCTATAAATATGGTACTTAGGAATATCCCAGTGCCATTTGGGATAAGACAGATTCTTATCCCATCTGAGAAAAGTCTTGTGGGGCCACGCCATGCTCCATTCCCATGACCCAGACAAGCAACTTTCTATCTGGATGTGAACCAGGTGAATATCCCAGATGGCACATCAAAATTAGGATTAGAGGAGGGCTAAATATAGGGACACTTTACAAAGATGTGAGTGGAGTGTAGGGGAACCATGAGGAAGAGAGCAGTGTACTGGAGCAAGTAACTGGGACTGTTACCATCCCCAGACCTACAGGGTGAGGAGAGGGAGTGAGTACTGGCTCTGGAAGGAAGGGGCCACGTTGCTCAGTGACTGCCTTCAGAAGTACAGTGACATTGGTGCCCTGCTGCAGCCAGTCCTAGACAATCCCACAGGGAACGAACCTGGGAAAAAAACAACTCTGAACTCACTCCTATCTGGGACCTCCTGCCAGTGTTCCTCACCTGCCAAGGCCGAAAGGGAAACCCGTGGCTAAGCGGCCTGTCTGATGTCGTCCAGGGCTCTCTAACATCAGCACTCCCTGGAAGGCCTGGTACAACACAGATTGCTGGACCCCACCACACCGTTTCTGATTCAGTAGGTTCTGGTGAGGCCTGAGAATTTGCATTTTTAACAAGTTAACATTTTAACAAGTTAACAAGTGGGGACCACACTTTGAGAACCACTGACGTAGCCCATGCAGATCAGCCTCCTAGAACAAACAGCAGAAGAAAGATGGAGAGTAGATTTGCAAAGGCAAACACCTATTTAATTTAATTTAATTTAATTTAATTAAGGATGCTGATGGACCCCATATGAGTATCAAAATCTTTGCAGGCCTCAGTTTCCGTGCCTATACAATACTCAGTTTCCTTGCTTACTTTTTGAAGTGTCCCCTATATTCAACTCTCCTCTAATTCTAAGCCCTCCTATCTCTAAAAGAGACCTGTAAGATGCCTTCTAACTCATTCTGTGATCCCATGGATGCAGAGCTGCAGTACCTAAAGCTCCATCTCTTGAATGACCATGAAGATAGTACTTCCTTGTACAAGTGAAGCAGTTACTATTGCTATAGACATCTAGTGGTTCGTAGAGTCATGTGATGCATTATGTGGATAAATTTTTGTTTTCTAATTGTTTTTCCTATTTGATTTAAAGCTACTTTGGACAGGACATATACAACGACCTTTCCGGAATATTTCTCTATAGACAAAAAGAGGCATTCACTACATCAGATAACCTATGCTCCAAAATAGGCAGGTCCCATTTGATTTGTGCAAAATCAGACATCAAGGAGATCATTTTAAATGTTATGAGAGAATGAACCTAATTAATAAAAGTCCAGTGGGTTTATACTAACTATGCCTGTAAAATTGCTATTCAGTGTTGCCTATGAAATACTTTTCTCTTTTCCAGAGCTCATTTGTTAGAATCAAAAGACCCCTGTGGTCCTCCAGGTCATCGGTGACTGCACATGTGTAAGTGTGTACATGGGCTCTGAGTGTTTATGCATCTCTTGGCGGGTGTTTGATTTTGGGTCCCATATATTCACAGTGATGCGGATGATACATAGGCATGGCTGAAAGGGTTTGGAAAATACCTATCTGTTCTTTGGTTCCCATTTTTTCTTTCAATTAACAACAACAACAAAAAACCCTTTTCTTAAGTTCTTATGCAATGGCTGGTTGAAAATAGACCCCCTCCCAGAAGTCTCCTTCTTCCTGCAGCCTCCAGGAATCTTAAAATGTCTTTTAAACAATCATTTTGCTCTCTCTTCAGGGTGTCTCTGACCCAGAAATTTAAGCTGCTCTTAAGTTACTGATTTACGTATTAATTCACGGATCTGTGGCTATGAAGTCAATCTGTGGCTTAAGGATACGTGAGTAAGTCATGGGGAAGATTTCAGTTGGGATATTTCTGGCTGGATTCTGGAAGATTAAAGACTTTCAGGTGCCTTTAGGGTAGATCTTTCATTAAGAGCTTTCAGAGACTTGGGCCCATGGAATAGCCTCCCCTATAGATCCATTTCATTCATTCAACAAACTTTTCTGAGTACCCACGATAGTGCTCTAGAAACCCATCATGGTGTGTGGTACGGACTCCTCACGTAGCAGACTTAAACCTGTATATGAGGTACATGAGGAGCCAGAAGTCAAAGTGATGAGTTCTCCCAGTAGACTTCTAGGGCCCCTGGGGACAGACACTTATTCATTTCATGACTGTATATCTAGCTACCTAGCACATACTGGGTTCTCAGTATTTATTGACTGAGTGCAGTAATGGAAAAGTAAACAAAGAGCTGTGGGGGCATTGAGGTAGGACTGCTTCATCCTCCCTGGGGGGCCCGGGATGGGCACCAGCTCACTAGGAGAAGAAGGGAGAGGCCTCTGTACCCTTGTCTTCTTAGGAGGCCATGAGCAGCCCTCGCTCTGTACTAAAAGGTTCAATTTGTTTTGACAAACCAAAGAGACAAACAAAACAAGCCTGAATTTTGTTCTAAACATATTACCTCAAGCTTTTAGGGCCAACAACCTGAAAATGTCTGCAGACCTTTTACACGGAATTGCCATTCATGGTTCACTTGACTCTGGGTGGGGAGGTGATAGATTCAAGCCAAATTACTTGTGACTTCAAAATGTATTGATTGTGAACTGAAGAGACCTGAGCATCATCCTTCTGAAGAATATACAGAAGGTATTAAATGAGCTGGAGCCCCTGCCTGCTCTCTTCTTGTTCCCTTGTTATTTTTACTTGGGCATGGACCTGGGATGGGGCAGAGTATTAGGGGATGAAGGTGAATATGGTGAGTAGAACCATAAAGCCAGAAATTTCTTTTAAATAAGAAGGAAAAGGAAACTCCCAATGAATTTACCGTCTTCCGGGAATTACCTGATTCTGGATTAGGGAGGCAGGGGAGTTCTGTTGATTCAAGGGAAAGGCATGCTTGACATGGGAGTGTAAGAAGAGAGAGAAACTTTGCTCATTTGTTCCTTCTCTTCCTGTAACCAGCCACAGACTGAAATAAACTTAAGAGGCCCAGTGGTCGCTGGAGACCAGCTCACGAGAGCCAATCATTAAGTTTTCAGGAAATTTACCAAGCGGCTGATAAACACATCTGTTACTAAAAATTATACAAACTTACAATTAAATAAATTATATTAAAAATAAAAGTGATAAATGCTCAAAACTCATAATTATTACATGTTTTACTATTTGGTATGCTTTTGAGGTTACTTATGTCTGTTAAATCTGTATGGTGTAAATATTATAGGTGGAATGTTACCACCCATCTCTTCCTCAACCCTATGCTTAGTGGCCTCATGTTTTTCCACCCCCACCAGAGTCAGCTGTTAAACATTCACTAGCACATCACTGCAAAAGACCCTCAGAAGTTTCTTAGGAATAGATTTACTTAAGTTTTCATGGGCCTTGGGGTGCTGTGGGCAGTCCAGCTTGGTGGCCTCTGAGGACAGCTATCCTGAGCAATGTGTGCTGGACCATAATATTGGCCCTTCATTTGCAGCACAATTGTTGTGTATTGGGGCATTATGACATTCTGTGGTTGGAAATATTTCATTATGTAATGAAATAGAAAATAATTCAGAAGAGAGTGTTAACAGCTTTATTAATATATAATTCACAGACCATATAATTCACTCATATAAAGTGTACAATGATTTTTAGTATATTCACAAAGTTGTGCAGCTGACACCACAATCAATTTTAGAACGTGCTCAACACCCTAAAAAGAAACCCTGGGGCTGGGCGCAGTTGCTCACGCCTGTAATCCCAGCACTTTGGGAGGCTGAAGCAGTCGGATCGCCTGAGGTCAGGAGTTTGAGACCAGCCTGGCCAACATGGTGGAACCCTGTTTCTACTAAAAATACAAAAATTGCCAGGCGTGGTAGTGCATGCCTGTAATCCCAGCTACTCAGGAGGCTGAGGCAGGAGAATTGCTTGAACCCAGGAGGCGGAGGTTGCAGTGAGCCGAGACCATGCCATTGCACTGCAGCCTGGGCAACAGAGCGAGACTCCATCTCAAAAAAAAAAAAAAAATAGAAATACCATTTGACCCAGCCATCCCATTACTGGATATATACCCAAAGGATTATAAATCATGCTGCTATAAAGACACATGCACACGTATGTTTATTGTGGCACTATTCACAATAACAAAGACTTGGAACCAACCCAAATGTCCAACAATGATAGATTGGATTAAGAGAATGTGTCACATATGCACCGTGGAATACTATGCAGCCATAAAAAATGATAAGTTCATGTCCTTTGTAGGGACATGGATGAAGCTGGAAACCATCATTCTCAGCAAACTATCGCAAGGACAAAAAACCAAACACCACATGTTCTCACTCATAGGTGGGAATTGAACAATGAGAACACACAGACACAGGAAGGGGAACATCACACACCAGGGCCTGTTGTGTGGTGGGGGTGTGGGGGAGGGATAGCGTTAGGAGATATACCTAATGTTAAATGAAGAGTTAATGGGTGCAGCAAACCAACATGGCACATGTATACATATGTAACAAACCTGCATGTTGTGCACATGTACCCTAAAACTTAAAGTATAATTAAAAAAAAAAAAGAAACCCTGTGCACATTAGCCATCACTCTCCATTTCCCCTTAGTCTTCCCTCTCCTCTCCCCTCCAAGAATGAGGCAACCACTAGTCTTCTTTTGGTCTCCAGAGATTTGTCTATCTGGACATTTAATGTAAATGGCACCATACAATAGATGGCTTTTTCTGACCCACTTCTTAGACATAATATAATGTTTTCAAGGTTCATCCATGTTGCAGCATTTGTCAGTACATACTTCATTCCTTCTTATTGCTGCATAATATTCCCTTGGTTGGATATACTACCTTTTTTTATCCTTTCATCAGTTGATGGATATTTGGATTGTTTCCACTTTTTGACTATTATAAATAAATGCTGCTATGAGTATTCGTGTACAAGATTTTATGTGGGCATAAGTTTTCATTTATGTTGAGTATTCACCTACCGAGGAGTGAAATTGTGGGGGTAATATGCTAACTCTGTGTTTACTATTTGAGGAACTGCAAAATATTTTCCAAAGAGGCTGCACCATTTTACATTTCCACCAGCAATGTACAAGAGTTCCAATCTCTCTACACCCTCACCAATACTTGCTATCTGATTTCTTTATTTTAGGCATCCTAGTGGGTGTGAGATGGTATCTCACTGTGACTTTTATTTGTATTTTCTTAGTGACTAGTAATGTTGAGCATCTTTTCGTGGGCTTATTGGCCATTTGTATATCTTCTTCGGAGAAATTTTCATTCCAATTATTTGCTCATTTTTAAATCGAGTTGTCTTTTTTATTGTTGAGTTGTAACACTTCTGGATTCAAGTTGCTTATGAAATATATGATTTGTAATTATTCTCTCCCACTGTGTGGCTTGTCTTCACTTTCTTGATTGTGTCCTTTGAATCACAAAGGTTTTTAATTTTGATGGAAGTCCAATTTATTTTTGTTGTTGTTGTGCTTTTGGCATTATATATCTAAGAAGGCTTTGCCTAACCCAAGTCCACAAAGACTTACTCCTGTTTTCTTCTAGGAGTTTTGTAGCTTTAGCCCTTAAATTTAGGTCTGTGATATATTTGGGGGAACTTTTGTGTACAGTGTAAGGGAAAGATCCAACTTTATTCTTTTGCATGTGGATATTCAGTTGCCCTAGCACCATTTGTTGAAAATAATATTATTTACAAATTGAATTCTCTTGGCATGGAATAGATTTTGAGGTATTACCTTACTTTTTCACCTGATGCTACCCCTAATTTCTTTAAACATCTATTTATTTCCATTAATCATTTCTGGCCTCATAGCTCAGGCTGCTTGGCCAGGCCTTCCCCTGAGGCACCCATTTTAACACAGACTGGTGTATAGAGCCCAGACCAGAGGCACTCTCTAATCTCCATGTGCATTAGCCAGGGTAGACCAAGTACTGTAACAAACAGCCTCCTACATCTCAGTGGCCCAACACAATCAAAGTTTATTTTTCTCTTATCGTAGTCCCATGTGAATCGGTGGGGGAAGGGATGTTCCATGCACGTACTCAGGACTCAGTCTCCTTCCAGCAAGAGGCTCTTCTGTTGCCTAGGGCTTTATAGTCCTCTTTTTTCCCTTAGCTGCTGACCAGACCCAGATGGTCGGGTCTGCTGTCCCCAAGGGCTTATTGTCCTTCACTAGATCTTCTGGATCTGGCCAGTAGTCAAAGAAAGAAAGAGAGAGAACATGGAGGATCTTGCAGGAGTTTTTTTAAGGGCCAGGCTTGGAAGCAGCACACATCGTTCCTAATTCCCCAGGATTCATCATACAGCTCCAACTGGCTGCAAGATAAACTGAAAAATGTCGACTCACTGTATGCTGGGAGGAAGAAGAGACAGGATTTGGTGAACACAGAGCAGTCTCTGCCATAACATCTATATAATCTATTTTAAGAATTGACCCCCAAAAATTATGAGTGTGAATATGTTTGCTCCTAGCTGCTGCAGAAACCCTCCACCTCCAATCTCCCTCCTCCACATTCTGTGACAGGGGAATATCTCTCCAGCAGCTCAGTTGCAGTTTGTGTGAGCCCCCTTGGAAGGCAATTGCTGGTTTGCAGAAAGGCAAAGATCTGTCTGAGCGGAACAGAGAGCAGAACTGCAGCAGAGTCTATGGGAAATCCAGTAGAAAATTCCAGGAGGAGGGAGCTGGTTTCCTGAAACTTTAAGCTTGATGGGACCTGAACAATATATCATGGCAAATCCTTGGGTGTTGAGTATGCTAAGGTTATAGTCTGTATTATGACTTTGGATCTTGTAAATGTCCATTTATTGAATGTCATAAACTGAGGAATTATGAACAAATGAGGCATGAAGACAGAGCGGGTTTCTCCTGTCTGGAAAGAACTCCTAGGATTGTAATTTTGTGGGCCTCTGATTAAACTGTGCTTTTGTTGCATGTCATATGAGACACTGATTTTTCCTTGTCTCTTCTATATTCTTCTGCTGAAGCTGAAGTCCTTTCTACCACTCTGCCATTCACAGGAGTAGAAGCAGCAACTACATGTTTTCCAGAGCCATCATTAAGAAAATGAGAAGGCACCAGGTCTCTCCTACACCATGTGCCGTCCCCAGTAAACTAGCCCCATCCTTTTATCTTTTCCTCATGGAGGCCTCAACTGCTGGTCCCCTTCAGAAGGGCTCCAAGCCCCCTGCACCTCACTCTAAGTCTGGGCCCTAAACTGAACTGATACCCATGTTAGAGGAAACATATTTGTGCATTTCTGAAAGACTCAATTTGCCAACTTTTCAGAAAATCACAGACCCCATCTGTGATTTGCTCCTTCACTAGTGATTTTGAATAATATCATGTGTGGATGGGCGTTTGCTTCCTTCTACTCTGACTGTCCCTTGAAATGTGTCTCAGGCCACACCCTCTACCTGGAACACCCGCTTCACTCCAGAAGCCCCCTCCTACCAATATTCAAATAATTCTAAAATCACGCTTCTCTCACAGAGCCTTTCCCAGTAAACTGGACCAGGATGATGGTTCTCTCCTCCCCCCACCCCCAAAACCCATCCTGTCTGGACCTGCCATGCACGGGTCATTCGTCACACAACCACACCAAAAACTCTTGCACCATTTCTTTATTCATTACATTTACTAATTAATACATTTGTTGTTTGTCTCGGGCTGGTTTGCCCAGTTGTAGCTGTCAGTCTGAATCAGTGAGCTCCATCTGACACTGCAAACTTCTAGAATAAGGGATCCTTTCATTCTTGATTATAGCCACCAATAATCATGTTCTGTTTTTTCTTGGGTTCTGGCCTGTGGTCACACAAAGCATCAGAACTGAAGTGCTGCCTTTAGCTCCCACAATGCATATGGTGACTAAAGGGAAAGAAGGGAAAGTGGAGTGAGCCCAACAGATACTAAGACCATTTATCATGGGCCCCGATTTAAACACAGCACTTTAGGGATTCTTACCTGAAGCCAGTGAGGAACATAGCTTCGTCCTTATTTTCTAGATGAGACTCAGAGAGGTTAAGTAGCTTGCCCAAAATCAAACCCTAAATTCTGGAACCATTATGCAAATCATGTCTGTCTGATTTTCTGTTTCTTGATGCCTCCCTAAGCCCAAGTGACAGGTGTTACTGTTCACCACACTTGCTTAGAATAAAGAGCCTCAGAGCTTTCTCTACATACATGTGTTGATCACAAAGGAGAGAGGATAGCAGCAAAAATCCATCTCTTCTATTAGACCATTAGCTCAATACATGTGCCCTATTGATAATAGGTGAGTACTTTCATTTAGGTACTCATCTATCAAGAAAGATAGCAAGTGCAATGAAACGGGTAGAAACATCCCATTCCCCTCCCCCACCCCCATGAAGGAGCTGAGTAATATTTCCATAGAGAAAAATTACATGGTCATAAGAATGAATTTGGGACTCAGTTCTTTCCTATATGTTGGTGAGAATGGATTGCTTTGAGGAAAGATAACAGGCTAGCATGTATGGACTAAAAAATATTTAAAGGGTCCCTTTCTCTGCACATAGCTGGGCTTGTAAAGTTCTTTCACAGCCTGTAGCAGTGACCCAGGTAGTGTTCAGGTACATGGAAAGGGTTTTACAGAAGATTCCATTAAGTACACAGTGAAAGGCTTTTGGCTTTTGATTATTAGCAACTGATAGGACCATCGGGACGTGCAGATGAAGTGCAGTTGATTCCCAATGAGGCTATTTCTGTCATTGGTCAGGTCTTCTCCCAGATCCTCCTCCCTCACAACCACTACCTGGCCTGGCAGGCAGCAGTGAGGGTGAGGGTCACGGAGAGGGAAACAAAAACAACAGTAATGCCATTTACCTACCCCTGATCTCAAAACACAGTGGCTTAAAACAACTATTCATTTGCTCACTAATTTATGGGTTAGTAATTTGGACTGTGCTAAGCTAGGACAGCTAATCTGTGCTCTGAGTGGTGTTGGCGGTGCTCAATCATGTGGCCAGGTCTTGTTGGCTAGAAAGGCTGGGCTGGCTGAGTCTCCCTCCATGTGTTCTTTTGCCCTCTAGGAGGCTAGCTTGGGCTGTTTACATATTGAAGGAAGAATCCCCACCAGCTAGAGAGAGTAGGTCCCACTGTAAATTTGCTTTACAAGCCTCTGCTTGTATCACTGTTGCTAATATCCCATTGATTGAAGCAAGTCACACCGCCAAACCTAGCATCAATGTGAGAGGGAACTATGCAAGGACATGAGTTCAGGGAGATGTGATGTATTGAGGACCATCACTGTAACAATCTACCACACCATATTTTATAGAATATATGCCACAGTGTGTTTTATGCTCTCCATATGAGCAACTTTTTCTTTTGGAGAAATTCATTCTTTTTTTTTGCCTCAAAAAGTGACATTTATTCACAGAAAAAAATGACAAAATGTCCATCCCTTGGCTCCCTTCCCTCCCGCAGCCCTGCTGCTCCTCAGCCCCCAAGATTGAACTCTGGCTGGGGCTAGGAAGCAGGACAGCCCCTCAGATGAGGTCAGCAACATTGAGGGGCATTTCCTCAATGGAGGTATTATAGAAGGTCTCGATGTCTCAAAGAGTCCTCTTGTCTTCTTCTGTCACCATGTTAATAGCCACACCTTTACGGCCAAACTGTCCACGTCGACCGATTCTGTGGATATAGTTTTCCCTGTTGGTGGGAAGGTCATAGTTGATGACTAAAGAAACCTGCTGCACATCAATGCCTCTGGCCAGCAGGTCAGTGATAATCAAAACTCTGCTAGAGCCAGAATGAAACTCCCTCATGATCCCGTCTCATTCCTTCTGGTCCATATCTCCATGCATGGCAGAGACAGTGAAATCTTGAGCATGCATCTTCTTGGTAAGCCAGTCCGCCTTCCTGCGGGTGTTGAGGAAGATGACTGCCTGGGCAATGGTCAGGGTTTCATACAAGTCACCCAGTGTGTCCAGCTTCCACTCTTCTCGTTCCATGTTGATGTAGAATTGGCAGATACCCTCCAGGGTCAACTCTTCCTTCTTGACCAGAATCCAAATGTGTTCCCTCATGAACTTCTTGGTCACCTCAAGCACATCAGAAGGCATTGTAGCTGATGGCAAAACTACCTGGGTGTTGCTGTTGAGCTCTTGGAATATGCCATAGATCTGGTCCTTGAATCCATGGCTTAACATTTCGTCAGTTTTGTCCAGCACAAACATCTTGATGTATTTGGGAGACAGGTATCTCCAGTTAAGCATATCAAACACATGGCCAGGGGTACCCACAATTATATGGGGAGCTTCCATCTGCAGTTTCTGTACCTCAGCATGAACGTTGGTGCCCCCAATACAGGTGTGACAGGAGGCATCCATGTGGTCTCCTAGTGCTATGACCACCTTCTGTATCTGCTGAGCCGATTCTCAAGTGGGTGCTAGGACCAAGGCCTGGGTGGCTTTTACATCTAATTCAATCTGATGCAGAATTGATATGGAAAATGTGGCCATTTTCCCAGTGCCAGATTGGGCTTGAACGATCACAACATAACCCCTGATACAAGGTAGAATGGCTCGCTGCTGGATGGCAGAGGGCTTCTCAGAACCATAGGCGTAGATGCCATGGAGAAGGGACTCCAAGAGGTTCATGTCATCAAAGCTGTCAACAATTTCATTCCAGTTACTCTCGATGACACCTTTGGGCTCCATCCCATCAGGGCCATTGTCTCTGGATCAGGAATCCTGACTTGCGACATGATCCTTAGAAATTAGCAACAAATTAGTTCTTAATGCACATTGATTACTGTGATAACCAGCCTCTAAGATGGTCCCCAATGATTCTCACCACCTGGTGATCCATGTAGCTAGTAAGATATTGAGGAAATGACTGTGTTACTTCAGAGGTTAGGTTATAAAAAGACCTTGCAGCTTCTGCCTCACTTGTTTGGATCACTTACTTTGGGAAAATTAGCTACCTTGTCATGAGAACACTCACTCAGCTGTATAGGGAGGTCCACGTGATGAGAAATTGAGGCGTCCTACCAGCAGCCAATACTGGCTTGCCTAACACATGAGTGTGCCATCTTAGAAGCAGATCCCCCAGCCTCAGTCAAGCCTTCAGATGACTGCAGTGCTGTGACAGACTGAGCCACAACCACCAGCTAAGTCATTCCCAAATTCCTGACTCACAGAAAGCATGAGATAATAAATGTTTATTATTATTTTAGGCACTAAGTTTTGGAATAACTTGTTATGCAGAAGCAGGTAACTAATACGATTACCTACCAGCTTTATTTAGGCAAGACATAGAAGGTCTGAATTAACTTCTGAGATATTTTGATTACCTAGAAAAATTAAACTTATTTATCTTAGACACCAAATCTATTTTTTCCCTTAAGGAGAAATAGGTTTTGCCTTTAATATAAATAGTATTTAAAAAATAAATGGATAGCAAAACATTATATCTTGTGCAAAAAAATATCCAGCATCATCAGATGTATACTTTCCTCTAGCAAACAAAAGCAACAAATCATTCCCTGGTTTGTTATGCAAAAGAGATATATTTTTGAATATTTTAAGATATAGGGAGATAAGGAATTTGACTGAGCAGCATGTCCATGGAGACTTCTAAATTTTCTTCAAACAAATCCTATATTTAGAAAATATAACTCGTGATGATTCCCTTGGGAATTCCCCTAAGCCCTACTTTACTGCTTGGTACATGGTGTGCTCTTATTAAATATGGTTGTGTCATTTGAGATTTAAGCAATACAGTGTTGGGTTGAATCCTGGCTCCATCATTTCCTAAAGTAATTTCTCAGAGCTTTGCTTTCCTCATCTCTACGTGGAGCTAAAGATGCAAATCGTGTGGGATTGTTAGGGGACTTACATGTGGTAATGTATATAAGGGACTTATATCTATGTTATATATCACATATACAACAGACTTGTGCTGGTAGCAAGACCCGCTGTTATCTTCTTTGTGGCACTGTCTCATATGCGTTTTATGACTCCTCCATGCAGCACATTTGTTTTGTGCTAGGAAACACACTTTCATAGTAGGAAGATTCATAAAAATATTACACTGATGGCCTCATATAAACTTTATGCTCCTGGGAACTATTATAGTTCTTTCTATCTATACAATAAACCCAAAAGAAGGTGAATTATCAATTATTAGAGATTCTTTAATAAAACACTGAGTAATTTAAAAAATAACATTAGGCCAGGCACAGCGGCTCACGCCTGTAATCACAACAAATTGGGAAGCCCAGGCAGGAGGATTGCTTGACCCCATGAGTTTCAGACCAGTCTGGGCAACATAGCAAGACCCAATCTCCAAAAACAATTTAAAAAATTAGCCGGGCATGGTGGTGTGTGCCTGTAGTCCCAGCTACTCAGGAGGCTATGGTGGGAGGATGATTTGAGCCCAGGAAGTCGAGGCTGCAGTGAGCTATGACTGCCGCTGCACCCCAGCCTGGGCAAAGGGGCAAGACCCTGTCTTTAAAAGAAAAGAAGAAAAGAAAAGAACAGAGAACACAGAGAGAAATTAGAAACAAGCTTATTGCAGTTGCCAATTCTGTGTATCTCATGAAGTCCTGACTCTCCCTCTTTGGAACACTTGGGCCAATAGAGCTTAATTGTATGCTCAGTTTGATCATATTTTACGTGCAGCTTTAAAAAATATCATTTATTCATTCATTCAATAAATGAAAGGACGGACTCCAAGATAAGCAACTGCAGAGTGGGTGTGCCCAACCAGACCTCAACCCCGTCCCCAGTTCTGATTGTCTTCTGTCTAAAAGTTGTACGGACATTGTCTAATGCTGCCCAGTTGTGGAGAAAGGTGTAGGAGAGACAGCCAAAAGAGGGAGTGTCGCTTGGGCAGCCTGCACTTCCTCCATTTGACACAGAAATGGCCCATGAATTTCCTGTGGGTTTTCTAGACAGCTGAGAGGTGGCTAGACTTAAGCTACCTTAGGTACCCCACCGAAGGCCACTGTCCTTCATGCAGGGCCAACCAAGGAGCTGTGGTGAAGGCCGTAGGTGAACGCCAGCCAGAACCCGATCTTCACGCCGCAGAGCTGCAGTAGGGAAGGACATCTGAAGCGCGTCTAGAAAATCCAAAGATTGGTTCCAGGAGAGATCCAGCATGTGACCCCTGCCTCACAAGCAGTCAGACTGTTTGTGTCTGTAGCCCACAAGGCTACAGCGATCCAGGGAGAGGAGACTGCCTCCCTGCTCCGGGCAGCCCAGCAAGGAGCTGTCCCTGCTGCTCTGTTCCACCTTCTGCTGCGACCCAGGAGGGTAGGTCCAGGGGAGCTGGAGGGGAAAAATGTGTACCCGCCATGACTTTGTCTCCTATGTCACGCTGCTGGGGGAAGAGGAGGCTGACTTCAAGCAGAATCTAAGGTTACTATTTTAAAAGGAAAACTTTTTATTGGAGAATTTCAAACACAATGCACAGCTTTAAAAAATATCATTTATTCATTCATTCAATAAATGAAAGGACAGACTCAAAGATAAGCAACTGCAGAGTGGGTGTGCCCAACCAGACCTCAACCCCGTCCCCAGTTCTGATTGTCTTCTGTCTAAAAGTTGTACAGACATTGGCTGATGCCGCCCAGATGTGGAGAAAGATATGAGAGACAGCCAAAAGGGGGATTCTTTCTATTTCACAAAACAGAAAGAATAGTGTGCTGACTCCCGCCACCAAGCTTCAAGCTTCAATAATGACCAACTCAGCCAGTTTTGCTCATCCATACTTACCCTCCAACTTTCCCACCTCAATTATTTTTAAGCAGGTCTCAGACGTCAGGCTATTTTACCATAAATATTTTAGTAGATATTGCCAAAAGATAAGGACTTAAAATAGCCATTATATTCCTGAATATTATCAGATGTTCCCAGATTGTGCCATAATTTTTTATAGTTTGATTAAGAATCCACATAAGTTCTATACGTTGCACTTGATGTTTATATCTTTTAAGAGTCCTTGGCTGGGCATGGTGGCTCACTACTGTAATCCCAGCACTTTGGGAGGCCGAGGCGGGCAGATCACTTGAGGTCAGGAGTTAGAGACCAGCCTGACCAACACGGAGAAACCCCGTCTCAACTGAAAATACAAAATTAGCCAGGCGTGGTGACGCATGCCTGTAATCCCAGCTACTCGGAAGGCTGAGGCGGGAGAATCGCTTGAATCCGGGAGGCACAGGTTGTGGTGACCTGAGATCATGCCATTGCACTCCAGCCTGGGAAACAAGAGTGAAACTGTGTCTCAAAAAAAAAATAAAAACAAAAATAAATAAATAAAGAATCCTTTAATCTGTGGTTTCTTCTGCTTTCTACTTTATTTTCTTGCAATTTATTAAAGAAATTTGGTTGTTTTTCCTGTAGAGTTTCCCACAGTCTGGGTTTTGCAGATTGCTTCCAAGCGACCTTGTTAAGATGTTCCTCTGACCCACATTTTCTATAAATTGGTAGTTAGATGGAGAGGCTTGATCAGATTTAAATTGGTTTGATTTTTTGGCAAGATTATTTCACAGGTTATTTCTCTCTCTTTTTCGTTTTATTGTGGCAAAAAAAAAAAAAATGAAACCACATACCTAAAATGTACAATCTTAAGTATTTTTAAGTGTACGGTTCAGTAGCGTTAGTATCTTCACACTGTTTTGCAACCATCACCACCATCCCTCTCCAGAACCTTTCCATCTTGCAGAACTAAAACTCTGCACCCATTAAACAAAAGCCCCTCATTGACCCCATTCCAGCACATGGCAATCACCATTCTACTTTCTGTCTCTATGAAATTGGACTACTCTAGATACCTCATATAAGCAGAATCACACAATATTTGTCTTTTGGTGACAGGTTTGTTCACTTATCATAGTGTTCTCAGGATTCATGTTGTAGCATGTGTCAGAATTCCTTTCACTTTCAGGGTCTCCATTGTATGTGTGTACCTCATTTTGTTTATCCATTCATCCATCAATCTGCCCAGTCTTTGGCCGTTTACACCTTTTGACTATAATGCTGCTATAAACATGGGTGTGCAAATATCACTTCAAGATCCTTCATTTAATTCTTGTGGGTATATACCTAGAAATCAAATGACTGGATCCTAAGGCAATTCTATTTTTAGTATTTTGAGGAAACTTCAAACTGTTTTCCACAGCAGCTGCACCATTTTACAATTCCACCAACAATGTGCAAGCGTTCCAATTTCTCTGCCTCTGCTCCAACCCTTGTTTTATTTTTGTTTAATTGCGTACTTTTTTTGTTTTTTGATTAGCCATCCTCACAGGTGTGAGGTTATATTTTATTGTGGTTTTGATTTGCATTTCCCTAATGATTAGTGACGGTGACGCTGAGCATCTTTCATATGCTTGTTGGCCATTTGTATATCATATTTAGATAAATGTCTGTTTGAGTCCTTTGCCCATTTTTTTAATTGAGTTTTTGTTTTTGTTTTTGTTGAGTTGTTGGAATTCTTTATATATTCTGGATCCTAACCCCTTATAACCCCTTATATGAATTGCAAATATGTTCTACCATTCTGTGGGTTATTTTTTCACTCTTTCGATTGTGTCTTTTGATACACAGAAGCTTTTAATTTTGATTAAAATTAATCAATTTTAATTTTGATTAAAAGTCCCATTTGTCTATTTTTCCTTTTGTTGACTGTTCTTTTGGTATCATACTGAGGAAATCCTTGCTAAATCCAATATTGTGAAGCTTTTCCCTTATGCTTTTTTCTACAGTTGTCTTTTTAGCCATTATTAGTGATTATTGCCAAGAACAATGATTTCACCAGAGGTTCCAAAAAATGTGATATTCCAATTTAATCCTTCTTTCTTTATTAGCTGAAATACTTCTGTAAAGATAAATTTCCCTCTTTAACTACTGGGTTGTCCTGAGGCTCATTTTATGCTGGAAACATTTATTTTTTCTTTTTATTTACAAGTTTTCAAAATAATGTGTTGGTTGCCTAGTCATCCTTAAAAGAGGACAAATGAGAGAGTTTTTTGAAGTTTCATTGTGAACTTATACATTTAAGGATTTTAATGTGTTTAATCCACTGCAGTTGTTATTTTTATTGTTCAAACATTTCCATCTTTAGACAGAAGGAGACTTCATGCTGGCTCCTGGATTCTTTTGGCATGGGCCTAAGATTTTTTTTATCGATTCCTTGCTTTCTGTTATTTCAAGGTGTTTTAGACCTATTTAACAATTTGATGTCCTAGACAAAGAATTGACCATTGAGATAATATTTAAGTATAAATAGTAATGAGATTTTAAAATCTAGAATGAGACTACTTTAGTAATCTCAACATCGGCCGGGCGCAGTGGCTCACGCCTGTAATCCTAACATGTTGGGAGGCTGAGGCGGGCAGATCACCTGAGGTCAGGAGTTCAAGACCAGCCTGGCCAACATGGTGAAACCCCATCTCTACTAAAATACAAAAATTAGCTGGGCATGATGGCGGGTGCCTGTAATCCCAGCTACTTGGGAAGCTGAGATAGGAGAATTGCTTGAACCTGGGAGATGGTGGTTGCAGTGAGTCGAGATCACACCACTGCACTCCAGCCTGGGCAGCTAAGCGAGACTCCGTCTCAAAATAATAATAGTAATAATAATCTGGACATTGTGGAATTGGACTGAAGTATCCCAAGATTCTTGAGTATTGAGACTAGCATAATCAGGGCAGTTATGGAAAAACATGAACCGACTTCATGTTTATACCCCCAATGAATTGAAAATTCATAATGGGTTGATACAGACATCCAAGTGGAGAGGTCAAGAAGGCAGTTGGAGGCATAATTTAAAACTTAGTAGGAAGATCCAGGCTGAAAGCACAGATCTGGGAATTATCTTGTTGACTTATCTGTAAGTCTCAGGGATAGTTGAGATGCTCTAGAGAGAAAATGCTGAGGGAAAAGAGAAGCAGGCCAAGGACAGAGCCCTGGGCTACACCAACAGTTAGTCATTTGAGAAGAGGTGGAACCAGTGAAGGGATCCAAATGTTTATTAAGTTAGGCAGAAACCAGGACATCGAGGTGGTCCTGAAACCAAAACAAGAGTATATTTCAAGAAGGAAGTCAATTGTGTCCAAGAGAGAAGCTGAGAGGAAGACCAGAAAATGGCCGTTGCATTTGGCAAAGTGGAAGTCATCTGTGACTTTGACAGGAAGGGTTGCTGAGGTCAGTGGGGTTGGAGGCATCAGTGGAGTGTTTTGAGGCGGTGGACTGTGTCTTCACGGAGACTTCAAGGTAGTGGGCTCTCAGTTATCCCATGACATCAAGTGGCAGGTCAAGGCATCTCATTACCAAAGATCAGTCTTACACACAGGGAAGGAGAGCTCCATGTGTTCAAGCGGGCAGGCGGGCAGACAAGAGGGCAGCAAACTATGGGGAGATCAGGTCCACTCTTTATCTGCTTTTTTTCAAAACCATGGTTTTAAAAAACACATAACAGAAAACTGGCCATCTTAACCTTTTTTTTTTTTTTTTTTTTGAGATAGGGTCTCACCCTGTCACCCAGGCTGGAGTGCAGTAGTGTCATCTCGGCTCATTGCGACCTCTGCCTCCTGGGTTCAAGTGATTCTCCCACCTCAGCCTCCCGAGTAGCTGGGATTATGGGCATGAGCCACTGTGCCCGGCTATTTTTTTTTTTTTTTGTATTTTTAGTAGAGACGGGGTTTCACTGTGTCAGCCAGGTTGGTTTAACTATTTTTTAAGTTTCCAATTCTGTAGTGTTCATTAAGTATATTCACCTTATTGTGCAATGGATCTCCAGAACTTTTCTTCACTTTGCAAAACTGAAATTCTATACCCATTAAACAAAAACTCCCCATTCCCCCTTCCCCTCAGCCCCTAACAACCCCCATTCTACTTTCTGTCTTGATACATTTCACTACTCCAGGTACCTCACAACTTACCTCCTTATTTAAGAAGTCTGGAAGCCGGCTGCAGTGGCTCACACCTGTAATCCCAGTACTTTGGGAGGCTGAGGCAGGAGATTGCTTGAGGCCAGGAGTTTGAGACCAGCCTGGGCAACAAAGCAAGATCTCATCTCTACAAAAAAAAAAAAAAAAAAAAAAAAAGTTTTTAAATTAGCTGGGTGAGATGGCACCTGCCTATAGTCCCAGCTACTCAGGAGGCTGAAATGGGAGGATTGCTTGAATCCATGAGTTGGAGGCTGCAGCGAGCTATGACCCTGCCACTGCACTCCAGCCTGGGTGACAGTACAAAACCCCATCTCTAAAGAAAAAATAAGAAGCAAACTCAAATCTCAAAGAGCCATGTGTTTGAAGGACTCTGTGAAAGAACAGTTGGACTGTCCAGAGAAAATATAAGTGCAAGCTGCAAAGCCCAGACTGGGAAAGGTCCAGCTAATCAAGAGCAGCATTCTGGGGACTCAGAGATAAAACTGACCACTGAGGGTACCCTATGCTTCCCCAGCCCACGGCTGCGCAAGCCAAGGAGAGCCAGGTAGACTGCGAGAGGAGTAAGAGGCAACATCCCACACAGAGAGGAAGAAGCACCAGCCAGTGGCTGTTGTGAGGCGGCTTCTGCAGCTGCTGGAAAAGGCTCTGCTGAGAGGGCTCAGCTTGACTGGCCTTGCCTTGGAAACAAAGAGCGAAGGGTGAAAGAGAAGCTTAAAGTCCAAAACAAACATTGCACCCATCCTGATGAGGAGCTGGGTATTGCTAGGGCCTGATGGGCCAGCTCGAGGCCACCCTTCTTTTTTGGAATAATGCTCAATCCTCCTCCAGGAAGATGTCTGGGGAGGCCAGATTGGGTGGCTCTTTCAAAAGGGAGCCTGCCGCCACAAACTCAGGCTCATCTCTCAAAAGGCTTATAGAGCATCCGAAGCGAAGACGCCAAATGTTGCAACCAGCTTCTCAGAGTCTCCAGTCCTGGCGCAATAACATGGGGCGACCCAGTCTGAGTTTTCCCGGTTACCGTCTTCAAAGCCAATGCTAAGGGGAGGTAGTGGTAGGAGAACTCACTTGCTCAATCGGCTCACTCATTTGGTAATGCTAATGTGTGCATTTTAGCTGCCATGTCGGCTAACATTCAGTGTTGCAGTGCGGTGTTTCTATTCATGCCTAGTAACTGACCTGGGGCGCAGGAGCCCCAGGCTCTAGTCCCAATCCTGCTACCTATCAGCTGTGTGACTGTGGTCAGGCCACTCAACTTCTCTGAGCCTTGGTAGCAGATCTGTCCCACAGAATTGTTTTATTAAAGAAGATTTATATACCTAACGTTAACTTTTAACCATAAATGATTACCGAAAGTTTAGATTTTATGTTTGATCCTTAAGAATGCATTTTATCAAATTTTAATGAAGTCCTCCAGTGGCTTCCCATTGCCTTCCATTGACCTAAGAGTGTAAGTGATTTGGGGCCTGCCTAACTCTGACTTCATTTCTTACTCTCTTGCTGTCTTCACACACAGACTCTCGCCCCACTGAACTTATTTCTGTTCCATAAGTATTTCAGTGCTGTTCCCACCCCAGGGCTTTGGCCCCTGTTCTCCCTTCTGCCTGGAATCCTTTTCGTCACTCTGGTCCCAACTCAAATATCATTTCATCAGATCCATCAGATCCATCATTGTACGTAATGTTGCCCCCTGACCTCCTTACAATCTCTGTCCCAGTAACTTATTGTGTTTTCTTCATGAAACTATCACCCTCTTATTTCTGTTGGTTTTGCTTATTTATTGTTGTGTTCCCTATGAAAAGGGATATAAAAGCTAGACGTTTGCCTTATTCACTTCTGTCTCTTTCACCTAGAGTGGCACGTGGCTTATGGAGGAGTTTAATAAATATTCATAAGGCCGGGCGGGGTGGCTCAAGCCTGTAATCCCAGCACTTTGGGAGGCTGAGGCGGGCAGATCATGAGGTCAAGAGACTGAGACCAGCCTGGCCAACATGGTGAAACCCCGTCTCTACTAGAAGAAATTAGCCGGGCATGGTGGTGGGCGCCTGTAGTCCCAGCTACTCCAGAGGCTGAGGCAGGAGAATGGCGTGAACCCGGGAGGCGGAGCTTGCAGTGAGCCGAGATTGCGCCCCTGCACTCCAGCCTGGGCTACAGAGCGAGACTTTGTCTCAAAAAAAAAAAAAAAAAGAAAAAAAAAAAATTAGCTGGGCGTGGTCCAGCACCTGTGATCCCAGCTACTCGGGAGGCTGAGGCAAGAGAATCGCTTGAACCTGGGAGGCGGAGGTTGCAGTGAGCCAAGGTCGTGCCACTGCACTCCAGCCTGGCGACAGAATGCGATTCCATCAAAAAAAAAAAAAAAAAATCATAGAACAAAGTAATTACCACTAGGGAAATTCCATCAAAAAAAAAAAAATTCATAGAACAAATTACCACTAGGGAAATTCTTCCTATTAAATATTTAAGCCAGCACGGTGGCTCACGCCTGTAATCCCAACACTTTGGGAGACCGAGGTGGGCGGATCACCTGAGGTTGGGAGTTCGAGACCAGCCTGACCAACACGGATAAATCCCATCTGTACTAAAAATACAAAATTAGCCAGGTGTGGTGGCTCACACATGTTAATCCCAGCTACTCCAGAGGCCGAGGCAGAAGAATCACTTGAACCTGGGAGGCGGAGGTTGTGGTGAGCCGAGATGGTGCCATTGCACTCCAGCCTGGGCAACAAGAGTGAAACTCCGTCTCAAAAAATAAATAAATAAATTTTTAAGTAGGTTCATTCATGGAAGCAAAGTAAATTTCAAATAGTAATTTTATGTGACTAAGAATCCGGTTCTTCAGGTCCTTCTATACATTTTTTAAAAAAAACAAAAACTATACTCATATTGAATATATGATCTTGTAATCTACTTTTCTCAACATCACTGAATCTTTCTTCTGCAACATTTTAATGGCGCCATGTGGATGTACCGTAGCTTACCTAACCAATTCTCTGTGGTGCATATAATGAGAAATACTGCTTTGAAGAGCCACTAATAAATATTCCAAATGTCTCTCCAGAAAAGGTTTGCCAGTTTACACTCCTACCAATGAATAAAAGAGATTCATTTTCTGAACTCCGGCCAATACTGAATTTCATCACTAAAAAAAGGAAACAAAATGTTTGCTAATTAGATAAGTGAAAAAGGATCTCATTGTTGCTTCATTTTGCTTTTCTTTAATTACTTGTGAGTGTGGAGTGTTTTTCTTCATTTGCGATTTTATCATGTTGTATTTCCTCGCTTACAAATTATCTCTTTATGTTTTTCTTGGCTTCATTTTTTTAATTGTCATTGTTGGTTTTCTGTGTGGTATTCATCTTTTATTGATTTGTAAAGGCTATTTTTATATTAAGGTGATTTGCCTTTGTCACAGATTGCAAATATTTTCCCAATATGTTTGTTGTCCTTTAATTTTGTTTTTGGATCTAGGGCAATATAAATCCCTAGCCAGGCTCATGTTCTGGAAGCTAAGCCAGCCAGAAGGGAAAGTTCCTCTCGGTGAAATCTAAGTCCCAGCCTAGCCAGTCTGGGGCCCTGAAAAACAGAAGGCCAGGCTAGAGCATCTGAAGCGTTCAGATAATTTCAACTAAAGATTTCTATGGCAACCAACTGCCATTTATTCTTACTAATGGACACTGCCTCTGATGTGTGGGTATTTAAATTTTAGGAACTTTTAAAGATGGGAATAAATGAAGGTATAATGGTAAAATAACAGCCATTAAAAACTTTAAAAACTTTTAAAAAGTATTTTATTCATTTTTTTTTCCCAGAGGGCAGTCTTCTTCTGCCTTCTCTCTCATAGCCAGTAATGCAGCCAGATGTGGTGGCTCACACCTATAATCCCAGCACTTTGGGAGGCTGAGGAGGGAGGATCACTTGAGGCCAGGTGTTTTAGATCAGCCTGGCCAACACAGTGAGACTCCATCTCTACTAAAAATTTAAAAATTAGCCAGGTGTGGTAGCATGCACCTGTAGCTACTCAGCTACTCCCAGCTACTCAGGAGGCTGAGATGGGAAGATCACTTGAACCCAGGAGTTTGAGGCTACAGTGAGCTGTGATCATGCCACTGCACTCTAGCCTGGGTGACACAGCAAAGACCCTGTTTCAAAAAAGAAAGAAGAAGAAGAAGAAGAAGACGACGATGAGGAAGAAGAAGAAGAAGAAGAAGAAGAAGAAGAAGAAGAAGAAGAAGAAGAAGAAGAGGAAGAAGAAGAAGAAGAAGAAGAAGAAGAAGAAGAAAGAAACAAGGGCCAAAATACAATAGGAGGTGAGCCCTGTGGAGAGAGATAGGAAGTAAGGAACATTTAGTGTAGGGAGGGAGGAAGTATGTCACATGCCTTCCATCTCCAAATGAGTATTTGGATATCCTCAGACAGCTGAGGCTGCCTCTCAATGTAGCATGACCACCAGGCCCTGTCACCCATCTTTTGTCAAAAACTTCCAGAAGACTGGCAAGCCGTTCCTTGATCCAGTCCTCTTGGAATGTAAACCTGTTCCTCTCATTTCCTTCCCTGTGGACACCACCTCCCCTGCCCCATTTGGAGCTCTTGGGATTGTCATTAAATCCCTTCTCAGCCATCCCACCTTTCTGCCTTGCCCAGGGCCCATTCCCAAACCCCTCCAGCCTCTTTCATTTGCAACCTTCCATTCAGTTCTGCTGGTTCTGCTCTGTGTCAAGAGTGTCAGAGAATTGGGGGGAAGGTGAATTATGAGGTGGCTGGCAGGAGGAATGTGAGAAAATAAACAGCAAAGGCCCGAAGAGTGATTATTATGCTGAGTCGGTTTCTAATTGTCTCCTGCTCCCTGGGGCTCTCACTGTCCCAGGGAATCCCCAGGTGCTCAGCAGGGGCTCCCCTGTGGCAAAAACCCTGTTGGCTTCAAAAGCCTCAGCAATATGGAGCCTGTACATTGAGGAAACATGGTTTCCAGCTGTGTGAAAACACCTTGGGGCAGAGTCTTGTGCCAAATATAGTGCCCTTCATGAAGCATTGAATAAGAATCCTTGATGTTTTATGAATGTGGTTCAGCATAAGTATGCAATATGAAAATTTTAATAAGAATATGTTTAAACAGAAGCCGAAGTTAATTTGTGCAAATATTCCGAACTAAATCTTTACCCTAACTATTCTATTAACATACCTAGGGCACACCACTGTTTTAGGCGTGTCGTAGGATTTGTGTATGTGTGCCTACAAAGCTTTAACTGATCTCCAGAAAGTAAGTCTTTGAAGTTGATCTACTTTCATTTAGTTAGTTTTTTTAGAGACACGGTTTCATTCTGTCACCCAGGCTGGAGTGCAGTGCTGTGATCTTTGCTCTCTGCAGTCTCCAACTCCTGGGCTCACGTGATCCTCCTACCTCAGCCTCCCAAGTAGCTGGGACTACAAGCACACATCATGGTGCCTGGCTAATTTAATTTTTTTTTTGTAGAGACAGGGTCTCTCTATGCTGCCCAAGCTGGAGATCTACATTTTCTTAATCACAACAGTGATTCGCTGTCTATGGTCCATTTCATCTTCTTTCCTATAGAATTATCTGTAGAATCCAGACATAGGCCTCTGTTTACTGGGTGTGACCATGTTTCCATCTGCATCCCAGCAAAAACTCAATCCCCATAATTCACTGACTTTTGCTATTTTATTGTCTGTCACCTGTGCCCTGGGGTATGGTGGCCTCTTTTCTTTTCTTGTTTAGGTAAAATGAAGAATGCTTTGTCAGCTCATATTTCTTTTTCAGCAGCTGTGTGGCAGAGTGTCTGAAAGAGATTCACAATGATCTGTTGGAAATCCATCATAAAGCTGGTTGTCTGATCCCCTGACATGATCACGTCAGATCCCACAGAGCTGCCCTTTGTCTTGTGTCACAATCTTGAAAGTGAAACTAATCTCACTTTGAAATGTATAAAACACAAATTTATGTGGCAAGAATTAGCACTGAAGCCATAAGTAATCTTATATGACTTTAATCAATTTGAAAGTATTTTATTGAGCAACTACTCTGTGCCAGTCATTACTAGGGACTGGAAAGAAGGGAATCAATAGTAGGTATTGAGATTGAGATTAGTAAAGATTGGGAGTAAAGGAAAACTCTTTCGTGATGTTAACCCATATTTAGTACTTTTTCAAGTCCTTTAAAATAGGAATAACCTTAGAAGAAGGCAGTCCACAAATATTTCCCCAAGCAACCTGCCTTGCTTCCTACATTTCTCAGATGCCCCTGTTATCTTGAGGGTTGTCAATGTTCTGCAAAGAAACACACCAAGAGGAAGAAGATATCAGGCACAGGACCGAGCACGAGTCCATCGAAACCTCACTGAATTCCCCATCTGCCTATCCTTTCCTCATTTCCTTTGTACATTTTTTCTTAAGCTCTAGTTAATGTTTTCCACCCTAAGGCTTTCCCAACAATTCCATCCATCTACCCTGCCAAAGTATACTTGGGATTTACAAAGTTTGCTAGTAATGCCACAAGTAAAATCAAATTATAACAAAGTGTCTATTTGACAAACCAAGAGATTTTAAAACCTTAGCCAGCCAGATTCTCTTATTGGAAGTAATCTTTGTTAGGATGTATTTTATGATCTTTTAGAGTTTGTAGCATTGGAATTTGACTTGTAATAGCCCTGGAATGTTGCATCAGGTTTCTTTTTATATTATAAATCCCAGAAAACTAGAGATCACAAAATGTGGTTTTGGTGTCCTGCTCAGAGGGTGACATGGACACTTACCGGTAGGTATGTGCTATTTGAGGATATGGTCCATAGGAAATGGGCTTAGGCAGCCTTTATTCACCCACGGACAAGGGAGAGGGCAAAACTCACTTTTTGCCCAATAACAACAACAAACACCTACTGAACATTTAACAGGTACCAGGGACTTCACTTTTTATACATTTATTATTATTATTATTATTATTATTATTATTATTATTATTATTATTTTGAGATGGAGTCTCTCTCTGTTGCCCCGGCTGGAGTGCAGTGGCACGATCTTGGCTCACTGCAACCTTGGCCCCCCATATTCAAACAATTCTCCTGCCTCAGCCTCCCGAGTAGCTGGGACTACAGGCACGTGCCACCACGCCTGGATAATTTTTTGTATTTTTAGTAGAGATGGGGTTTCACCATGTTAGCCAGGATGGTCTCGATCTCCTGACCTCCTGATCTGCCTGTCTTGGCCTCCCAAAGTGCTGGGATTACAGGTGTGAGCCACTGCGCCTGGCCTCATACATTAATTCTAATGGTCTCCACTCCATCCCGCTTCCTCCTTCAGCCCCTACGTTTTACAGATTAGGACTGAAGCCCAGGAATCATGCCCAGTCACCCGGCTGCCACAAGCTAGGACTGGGATCGAACCCGGGCATGGCTGTTCCGAGGCCGAGTCTTCTTCTCCGCAGCATGTTGCCGAGTGACCATGAGAACGGAGGTTTCTGAGCAGATTCAGAAAAAGGGGTTTGTTTTCAAGAGCTGCCAGGGTATTTAACCTGTTTATTTACATGTCCAATCTGTGCATTCTTTTACTCATTCTCGTCAGTAGTTGGGATTCTGCAGTACTGCTGGGGCACCCTATCCTCCGGGCTGCTTCCTGGGCGTCCGCGTGGACAGCTTCTCCCAATGCTGAGTAGTCTCACGGTGTTTGCTTCAAAGCGCTAAGTATCAATCACCACGCCCATGTGCACACAGCATTTCTGGGGAGTGTCAGCCCACAAAATCTCCCCCTCACTCGTGTTTTATCTGTTCCCCCAGCAAGTGAGTGGGCATGAGCCGCCCGGGATTCTGCACTGTGCTTCGCACATTTCCCTTGATCCCGGAGGAGGAAGCCAGAGCCCCGGCGGACTCTGTTCTGATGCCACACTCCCTCCTCTCAGCCTCTGCCTTCCTGGCTGCATCAGGCTGCGGTCGCTTCACTTTCTGCCTGCAGAGCAGATGGCCTCGGTCGGGAATTCCTGGGAGAAAATTCCATTCAGGAATAGAACTTTGCAAACACAAATATAGAGAGAATATCTGAACCACTGATGGGCAAGTGGATGAGAAAAAAAAAAAGAATCAGGACATTACAGAGAGAGGCGCACATATAGACGTTTCTGAATTTCTAGACTTAGATGCTGTTAAATAGATTACCTAGATAGCCTCAATGCAAGGGATGCTTTATTTTCCAGGAAAATTTAATAGAACAGTTCTAAATACATTTGCTGGAGATCTAGAAATACAAAATAAATTTTAATCCATGTTGCTCTACACTTGGGAAAAAGAGGGGACGAATATAGCCAAGGGAACCAATATTTATGGAGTATCCACTATACTGCAGCTTTTTCCTCTGCTGTTTTCTGTCACCTTCTTGACAATTTTGTTAAACCTCATGTATAAAGACAAGGAAAGTGAGTCTCAAAAAATTGAATAACTGACCACCCTTACTCGAATGTATATTCTGATGTCGAACTTCAGAGAGCTGGGCCTCTCCAGGGTGGTTTTAACCCGTAAGTGAGCTGCTGCCCCTGCTCCCCCTGCCACCGCCAACACTCCCTCTGTCCCTTGCGTCAAAACCACTTCCCTTTTCCCCACATCATGGCAAAGCCGCAGGAGAAATCCCTGCTAATTTCAGGTTGCTTGAGAGATGGAACCTCCAAGTCTCTTGGGAATGTTCCCTTCTCTGGTCTTAGGTGAAATCCATGAGTTTCTTCTCCTTGTTACGGCAAGATCTACCTGCCGAGTGTCTCTTTCCAGCCCTACTTGGCAGCTCTCTTCCTGTCTGCAGAGATAGCCAGGGTAGCTGGGGAAACAGAGGAAGATGTAGGACTGTGACTATGATGTCATACATCCCCTGGGCTCCGTGGGGGCTCTCCCCCGCCATGTCTCACTGTGCATATCCTGTTACATGTCTTGTGCTGTTTGACAAATGGCCTCTTGACCTTTGCCCAATCCTCTTGCTTCTTGCAGCTGAAACAAAAAAAAAAAAAAGAAAAGACTTACTGTTTGAAGCCTTATGAAAACCTACTAGAGTAAAACAAATGCCTTTGATGATCATATATACCCATACATAAAAATGAAAATTCCTTTTAGGTGGCAGTAAATAAGGATAAGAGATGATAGTCAGGCACGTAGGTTGGAACCAAGCTGCACACACCGCACAGTGGAGAGAGACCTGATCCTGCTTAGGGCAGAGTGGGGGAAAGGAGCCAGGGCCTCCTCCTGCTCTGATCCCCACCAGCTCATGACCTTGGACCAGCCCGTGACCTCGCAACCTCGCAGAACTGTAAAACTCTAGTAGCTGCACGACGATGAAGTGGGAGCTTTGGAAATGTTAGTAAGTTTTCCTTTCTAGACTTACTCATTGTTGTGTTTTTGTTTCTGTAAACTTTCCCCCCCACCAGGTTTATTGAGGCATAATCCACAAATAAAAATGGAATATATTTACCAGGTACAATGTGATACTTTGGGTTGCTTTTAACCAATCCAGGCCTCTCTGTCTTTTGATTGGTGACCTTAGTATGTTCACAAGTATTTTGAGTACTGATTTTTTTTGGCTTATTTCTACTGCCTTATTTTTGTTTTCTATTTGCTATACTTTGTCTTCTTTTCTCTCTCTCTCTGCCTTTTATTTTTTATCCCCACTTCTTACCTCTACATTTGGAAACATAACAGCCTATTTCTAATTCTTTAGTGGTCCTTAAACTTGGAAGTGCAACAGAAGACTGGAGACTTCACATAGACCATTGGGCCCTTCGCCCAGAGTTTCTGATTTAGCAGGTCTGAGGTAGGACCTGAGAATTTGCATTTCTGATAAAGTCTCCAAATGACACTGATGCTATTCCTCTGGGAGAACACTTTAAAAACTACTGTTTCAGAACAAAGATTTGTTGTTTTAAAGGATGTGAACAGACAACTTTTCCAAAGACATACATGCAGCCAACGAGCATATGAGAAAATGCTCAACATCACTAATCATGAGAGAAATGCAAATCAAAACCACAATGAGATGCCATCTCATACCAGTCAGAATGGCTACTATCAAAAAATTTTTAAAAAATCAAAAAATAACATGCTGACAAGGTTTTGGAGAAAAGGGAACCCTTATCCACTGCCGGTGGGAATGTAAATCAGTTCAGCTATTGTGGAAAGCAGTCTGGTGATTTCTCAAAGAACTTAGAACTACCATTCAACCCTACAATCTCATTACTGGGTGTATGCCTTAAGGAATATAAATTGTTCTACTGTAAAGACACATGCATGCGTATGTTCATCACAGCCCTGTTCACAAAAGCAAAGACATGGAATCAACCTAGATGCCCATCAATGGTGGACTGGATAAAGAAAACGTAGTACATATACACCATAGAATACTACACAGCCATAAAAAAGAATGAGAGAATGTTCTTTGCAGCAACATGAATGCAGCTGGAGGCCATTATCCTAAGCAAACAAATGCAGGAACAGAAAACCAAACACTGAATGTTCTTATTTGTAAGTGGGAGCTAAACACTGAGTACACATCGACACAAAGAAGGAAACGATAAACACTGGGCCTACTTGAGGACAGAGGGTGGGAGAAGGGTGAGGATTGAAAAACTACCTATTGGGTACTACACTTATCACTTGGGTGATGAAACAATCTGTACACCAAACCCCAGAGACACTCAATCTGCATATGTAACAAACCTGCGCATGTACCCCTTGACCTGTAATAAAAGTAAAAAAAAAAAAAAAAGGATTTGTTTGTTGGGTGTGGTGGCTCATGCCTGTAATCCCAGCACTTTGGGAGGTCAAGGCAGGCAGATCACTTGAAGTCAAGAGTTCAAGACCAGCCTGGCCAACATGGCAAAACCCCGTCTCTACTAAAAATACAAAAATTAGCCAGGCATGGTGGTGGGTGCCTATAATTCCAGCTACTCGGGTGGCTGAGGCAGGAGAATGGCTTGAACCCAGGAGGCGAAGGTTACAGTGAGCGGAGATTGTGCCACTGCACTCTAGCCTGGGTGTCAGGGCCAGACTCTGTCTAAAAAAAAAAAAAAAATTATTACCTTTGACCAGTCAAAATGCATTCAAAAATACTGAAAACTTTGATCATCTGCCTCCCCAAACTACATGTACCCACGAAATTTAGTATTCAATCTTTGGGATTTGTAGTCCTTCCACCCCAAACCAATTCATGGATTCCCTAGGAGTCCCTGGGGAACTCCGGTAAAGATCCTCTGTTTCAGAGAATAATTCTATTTTTTGAGGAAACCCTGATATTAAAATGGATAATTTACATTCTTAGGGTGCTACAATAACCTGAGCATATAACTATTAAATATAATTCTTTTATTCAATGATTCGGCCGCAAATAGGAACTGAGTATTTAGCATGTGCCAAGGTAATGACGATAAAATCCCAGGATACTTAGATGGCTCACGTGGCAAGTAAACAAAAGTGTGGACCATTGGCAATTATACCCCTGTATGTGTTAATAACAGCACAATCACAAAGGCTTCCATCCTATATCCTACCAAGTCCCCAGGGTCACTCCAGCCATTCTTGAAGAAAGGCCTGTAGTCCGGCTTTCAAGCTGTGTGCTGACTTCAGTCCTCTTTTTGTGATGTATGTGGCTGGCCTTTCCACGTGCAGTTCCTTCTGCATTTGATCTTTGTGCTGTGGGACCAAATAAGTGAGGCATTTAAACAAAAGAGTCTCGGAATGTTTCCTGGAGAAAGTGGTGCTGAAATCGAGATCTCAATGATGAATAAGACTTAGGCCAAGGGACATTTGAGGAGGGCGTAAACATGTTCAGGCAGTGAGAACAGTATGTTAGGAGGCCTAAAACTGAAAGCCAGGTTAAAGCAGTTGGATTTTTTTGCAAAAAAAAAAAAAAAAAAGAGGAAAAGAAAAAGAATGTGAGCCACTGCAAGATGTTAAGGAGAGGAAGGAGGGAAGGCAGGATGTTAAGGAGGGGAAGGAGGGAAGAGGCAGGGCCTGTACCACGGGCATGCGGGGCCAGTGCAGTTGCACAGGACAAGCACCCAGAAGGTTAGGGTTTAACACTCTATAATTGCTCTCTTGAAATTCTTCAGAATTTTACCTTTGAACTTGTGCTCCCTAAGTGAAGTGTAACGAGACAATGGAGCCTGCCAGGAATGTGGAGCCTCACGCATGCGTGCTCCTGCCTCCTGTTGACTCCCAGGATGTTTTCTCAGACATCTGTTCTTCTCCCGGTGCCTTGGCCCTGCCCAATTTCCCCTCCCTGCCCCCACCCTACTACAGATGCTGCCCTTTACCCAGGGAAGTAGCTGGGTCACACGAAGTGAGGAGACCACGTTCCACCGTCACTCTCCATCCCTGGTGGGGGCCCAGGAGGACACATGTGGCAGGCTGGTGTCTTAGTCTGTTGGGTGCTGCCATAACAGAATACCTGAGACAGGGTCATTTATAAAGAACAGAAATTGACTATCTCACGGTCCTGGAGACTGGGAAGTCCGGGATCCAAGGTGCTGGCATCTGGTGCAGGACTTCTTACTTGATCCACATGTGGCAGAAGGCAGAAGACGAAAGGGCAAGAGAGAGTGAACCCACTCTCACAAGCCCTTTTTGCAATGGCAAGCAAGATTCCACTCATGAGGGCAGAGCCCCAGTGACCAAAGCACCTCCCAAAAGGCCTCACCTCCCACACTGTTGCATTGGGGATTAAGTTTTCAACACAAGAATTTTGAAGGGGACAAAAACATTCAAGCCACAGCAGTTGGGCATACGGCTTGCAGCATCTCAGGGCAGAGCAAGGCAGCAGGTGTCAACCCCCCGACACACTCAGTGGGAAGCTAAAACAGGGCCTTATGCCCACCCCAATCTGGGTACCAAGTGCATTCCAGTGTGGAGATGGCAGCCCCTCGGAGGCCGGCCATCGGCTATGGGTGGGTGCAGCAGAACCTGCGGGAAGGGAGACTGGCATCCCAGCCGCAAGGTGGGGCACTGCATTTTCCCAAAAATGATGAAGCCAGCCTGGGCCCTTGAGAAATTCTAAGAATCAGATCATTGATGTCCAGCTGCACTGGACTTCTAAGTAGAGTGAGAATGAGTGTGGGTCGTGTGTCATGTCACTGAGATTTGGCGTTGTCACCACAGCATGACCAACTCATCCCGCCTAGTGGTTCTTCCAAACTTTCACTTTTCTGCTAACCCTCTGCCCTAGCCCAATCCCATTCACTCTCACACTTTGCCTCCTCATTGCTGAGCAGATAGAGGCCATCAGGAGAAAAAGCCCTCAACTTCGTTTTCAAGCACATGGGAACATTTCTGCTTCTAAGCCCACCTTTGCCCCATGGAATTGGCATCTCCCCACCCCCAGGTCCCTGCTTCCTGTGCCTTCCAGCTCCCACCCCCTTCTCATCCCACCCCGCATGCTCAGGGGCATGGCTCCACGTAATCCTCCTCTCTCCTGTATTTCAACCTCTCTCTGTCTCTGCTGGCTCACTCCTCTCAGCATCTAAACCTCAGTTTCTCCCATCTTAAAAAAAAAAAAAGACATCACTTTGAATCATAAACCCCCTCATAATCAAGTCTCTTGGAGAACTGACAACTTGTTCATTTCTTTATTCAGCATACACGTATTGAGTTTGTACATCCATGCTGGCTACTTTACTGGCGGCTGTGGACACAAAAGATGAACACAGTGGGGTCCCCATCTTCAAAGAGCTGGCGGTGGGGTGGGGAGAGCAAGGACGAACAGGTGGCAGTGCTGACCATGGGGTACCATGCTAGCGATGAGCACAGGGAGCTGAGAGCTGAAGGGAGGGGGGATCCCTGGGGTCTCAGTCCAGGCAGAGCAGAGGGCTTTGGGGAGCAGAGCTAGAATGGGAGGCATTGGGGGGTGGAGAGGAATCTTGGGGACTTGGTCATGAAGAACTTTATAAGTGAAACTTCATCCTGATTTGTGTTTTTAAAAAATATTCCTCAGTTTTGTTTAAAGTTAGGCAGCAAATCTTGGAAAGACTGGATTAAGGCGGGAGGGAGTGTGGAGAACAGGGAATGGCATCAAGAGATCCTAAGGGAAAGGGATCAACAGAACTCAAAAACTGGCCAAGTACATCATGTGGAAAGAGGGAGGAGTCCGTGATGCCCTCTGGTTTCCAAGGGGGCCCTTCAGCAAGACAGCGGCCCCCCAGGAAGAATAAGGCATCAGGAGAAGAGAGTAACTTCACTTTCTCATTCACTGCAAATTGGCTTTTATCCCTGTCACCCCACTGAACCTGCTCTTATGAAGGTCTCCAATAACTGCCCAAGTGACAAGTGCAAGGAGAAGTCCAAGTTTTCATTTTACTTTTTGGAGACATTCTGAATTACTGGCTGTCAGGTACCACATCATCAATCGCACCCCAAGCCCAATGCCTCCTTTTTGCCCCCGAACACTGTGGCCCTGGTATTCCCCTTGGAGCAAGGCACTTGCCCTGGCGCTACCATCCAGCCAGAACTCTGGAAGCCCCTCTGCCCCTCTCATTCACCTCCCACATCTGATTAGTTATCAGATCCTGTAGATTCTGTCTCTCAGCTATGTCTTCAACCCAAATCCTGCTTCTTACTTGCAACACCACCATCTGGGTTCAGACCTTCACGGTTTGTCATCATTTCTACCATCGTTGCCTCACTGGTCCCCCTTCCCCTGCCCCCCTTCACTCATCCTCCACCCTCCCACTTTAACTACCTTTTTCCCATGAGAATCTGCTTCTGTGCTACCCCTAGTTAGAATCTTTGATAATTATTTATTTTTTTGAGACAGAGCCTCCCTCTGTTGCCCAGGCTGGAGTGCAGTGGCACAATCTTGGCTCACTGTAACCTCTGCCTCCTGGGCTTAAATGATTCTTCTGCCTCAGCCTCCTGAGTAGCTGGGATCACAGGTGCCCACTACTTTCAATAATTCTTCAAAGCTTCAAAACAAAATTCAAACATCTTAGCTCACCTCCCAAGTCTTTTCCTGATTGACCCCCGCTTATCCCTCTGGCCTCATCTCTTGGTTCTTCTGCACACCCAGGTGTGTAGGCTCCTCTCCCTCCCCTGACCTCATCACGGGCTTCTCACCTCTGTGCCTCCCCACTGCTGTTCTGGCCTTGGAAGTGCTTCCTCTGTTTGTTCATTTAGAATCTAAGTTCTAGGTAACACCTGCTTGTCCTTCCAAATAGGTAACACCTGCTTGTCCTTCCAAATTCAGCTCAGGTCCCAACTCCCAGGAAGCCTTCTCTGAGCCTGTATTCTGAATTAAATAACCTTCTTCTGGGCCCCTGGGCTTCTGAGGCATTCCCCCAACACAGAGCTGACCAAGAGTGCTATAGTAATTGTTTCCCAGCTGCCTCTGTCTTAAACTGGAATTTGTCCCCCACTTCTGGGATAGGATCTGATGTGTAACAAGTGTTACGTAACCAATTGTGCAGCAGGGTTGCCAATTCATGCAGGTACCATTTGACATATAGATTAACCCACCATGATTTAATTTGGTCTATAAATAACTGGATCATTTTTATTTTTCTCTGTCCCCATCCATTGGCTACTGGGAACATTTTCATGAAATGGCTCATCCAGGTTAAAGCTTACCCCACTCCAAAATTTAAATTATTTCTCTTTTATTTTATTTTTATGTATTTATTTTTTTTGAGACGGAGTTTTGCTCCTGTTGCCCAGGTTGGAGTGCAATGGAGCAATCTCAGCTCACCGCAACCTCTGCCTCCTGGGTTCAAGCGATTCTCCTGCCTCAGCCTTTCAAGTAGCTGGGATTACAGGCATGCAGCACTGCACCAGGCTAATTTTGTATTTTTAGTAGACACAAGGTTTCACCATGTTGATCAGGCTGGTCTCAAACTCCTGACCTCAGGTGATCTGCCCACCTCGGCCTCCCAAAGTGCTGGGATCACAGGCATGAGCCCCCATGCCCGGCCTCAATTATTTCTCTTTTATAATCACTTGTGTAAATCACTTGATGATTTTTACTCGTGTAATCACTTGATGATTCTAATTGCTTCTCTTGTATAATCGCTCACTCTCTCAGATGGCCTTGCCTCCCTCTGGCTTCTTTCCCTAAGATGGCATCTGATGTTGGGGGATGGGGAGTGTGGCTGTTTCGTTCTGTGGCCGTTGAGGAAGAGAGGGCCCCTGGGCTCCTGCAGGCATGAAGGCATCTGCTTTGTGGTATCTGCTGGCCTCTGGTGTAAAGTCCCTCATCTGCCCGGCTGTTGCTTGTCACACCTGTCTGGGAGTCCAAAGTCTATGGCTATTGAGTTCATAGTCTGCTCAGTTCCCGTGAGCAAGCAATCATCCTTGGGGTGCTGGGGTTGACTGGGCCTCCCCTCGTTTCCCGTTGACTGTGGATACCCTCATATTCCCAATAGGAAAAAAATCAATGACTGCCGTCACAAGACACAGTTGTTGAACCTTTCATCAATGCTCCGTAAAATACTTTCTGATTCTCAGACTCTCTTCTAAATATTCACAACAGGAAACATTTCGTCCAGCCTTACCTTCTGTGGATGATTCTGAAAACAGGTGTCAAAACTGATATGCCCTCCTCCAGAAATGCTGCTCTGTTGCTCCAGCTGAGCCTCCCTGATAGAGAAAGTCCGCCCATCAACAACATGTGTGTTGCTATCAGGTCCCCACGTCCTCTTCTAAGAAACACTGAAAACTTCCTGTTCCCAGGGGAAAAGATTTCACCTCACATTCCCAATAAAACCTAGTAAATAGAGGTGTGAGTCATTTCATGGAGTCCTCTGAAGAACACGTCAATGAATAAAGGCTGTTTTGTGAGTCATCGAGTTACACTGCTAGACGTGAACCATCGAAAGCAGTTTCCACCAAGGCAATCTGAGCGATGATGCGTCAAGCATTTCCTCTTCCTCCAGAGCATGTGTGACGGGAAGTTCGTGGCCTAGTGTGCATGGCTCTGTGCTTGAACATTTGCTCCAGGGCCTTTTGCTGCCCCTTCATCCTTGGCTTCCCACTCTAGTTGTGGGTCCAAGATGGCCTTGACAAGGGCTTCACAGAGAAGGTAGAGGAACAAGACCAAGAGAAATGGCAGGAGGTGGAAAATTGTGGAATTAAAAAAAAAAAATTAATGATACAGAGGTGAAGTGAAGGAAATGGTTGGAAACATCATTTCCTTTTGGCTCTTTCTTGGCCCTCTGAGTAGGCCAGATTAACCCCTGGCATCCCACCTCCCATGTGCCCACTGTGTCACAACCTGTGTGACACTTGAGGACTTGGTAGTTAAGATCCATTTGGACACCCCAAAGAGGAGAGCATGGAGATAACAAGGAAATGTTGAAAGACCCATATGTATGTGGGATTAGAACTGATTTTGGAACAGGCCTTGCGTTTGAATCCAGAGATCCAATAGGTCATATCTAGATGTGTCAAAATGCTTGGAGGTAGGAAGAAAGGGAACTTAAGAGAGAAGCGGTGGGGTGGGGCCAAGAGAGGGACATTGCTCAAGATAGGCAGAGAATTGCACTTGAAGAAGTGCCCTAGAGCTCTGGATGTGGGTTAGGAGGGTAGCATGGCCAGTGTCTCAAAGCTGTTTGTCCATCCAGAGGAGCGCAAGGCCGGCGTCATGTACTACATTTGCCCAGAGCCCCATGCTCAGAAGAGCCCATGCTTGGTTCAATGCTCTCTTGTCATCATTTTGAAATTCTTAATTTTTGAACAGGGGCTTGCCATTTTCATTTTGCACTGGGTCCCACAAATAATCTAGCCAGTCCTGGATGGGGGCATTTAGAACTTTGTCTGCACATGCCAGATGAACAGCCTGGGACTTGTGACAGACTGACCTCCCAGCTGCCCGTGAGCAAGGAAAGAGAAATTTTTGGCTACTACCGTTCGAGGAATTTCAACTTGTACATATTCAATGAGGAGGATGCTTGAGAAGGAAGCCTTTTCAGTTTCGTATCATGTCGAGGGCTTCTGGCAGTGGAGGGTGACTGTGCTGACAGTAGAAGCCATCTTTAGCGTAGATTTGGATGGACTCATTTTAAAGAATTCCAGAAGGTACATCCTTTGCAGAAAAGCCCCCCAAAGCAATATTAGCAAGATTGCTTTAAAGTGTTTAGTTTTATGCACTTAATATTAACAAATAAATACAAAACATATATTTGTGGTCTACTTTTTTTCCTTTTGTTACTAATTTTTAGTGGCTTGATGGTATGAAATGACTTTCCAGGAATTTGTTCTTTATTTATAACCTTATGACCACAAGAAATAAGGAGACAATGGCTTGAATTGCGACATGAAAAATTAAGACATTCACATAATTGGAATATTCAAAATACTTAGAAATAGATGTAGCAAAACTCCCAAAAACTCACCAATTTCCTCGTACTTTCAATGTCTCACGCACGTGCACGCACACACACAGGCACTCTCTCTCTCTCTCTCCCTCACTAAGTGAAACAGGTATACATTTTTTTCTTACAAAGCACAGTCTAATTAGACATGGGCACAACTCTTTTCCCTATACAAGTGAAACCAACTTATCTGTCATATCTTCTATGCCCAGCACAGTGTTAAATCAACATTTGTTGCGTAAATGAATGAAAAGTACTTAACTGAAAATGCAGAAGATTCTCCATGGTTTCAATGCCAAATGTTGAAGTGATTTCAAAGGATCAGTTAGTACCATGCACTGGTGGAATGGTGTTGGCATGCCTAAGGAGACACATAGGAATGGCCTACAGGTATACACAGGGACAGATGGGCAGGGCAGATATTGGGGAAAATGACGAAGAAGAAAAGTTTCTCTTTGGGATCTTCAGCTTCACCATTTGGCTTCGTTTTCCCCCCAACTCCTCTTCTCCTAAAGCTACATCTCTTTCTAGCCCCCCTTTCCCAGGACCCATGCTTTTTATCTGCTTCTTTTCTAGTGAAATAAGAAAAGCCCAGTACCTGATAAAGTATGCATAGCTGCTACCATGTTTTGAATGAGCTCCTGAAGAGTGTTAATATTTTAATAGAGGAAAAAGGAATGGATTACAAACTGTGGCATTCCCAGAATTAAGAAGCACTATAGGAATTGGGGGTGTGGGAGAAGAGACATTTCTGGTCCTCACAGGTAGAAATCACTCTTCTTTAAAAACAAGGATCACTCCTCTTTGAAATAGAACTGTTCAAATGGGAGGTGAAGGGCATTGTTATAGGAACTGCCATACCTTTTCCTCCTTTTTGTTTTGAAACAGGGCCTCACTTTGTCGCCCAGGCTGAGGTGCATTGGCACAAACACAGCTCACTGCAGCCTCAACCTCCCAGGCTCAAGTGATCCTTTTGCCTCAGCCCCCCAAATAGCTGGGACTGCAGGTACACACCACTGCCCAGCTAATTTTTGTATTTTTAGTAATGACGGCATTTCGCCATGTTGCCCAGGCTGGTCTTGAACACCTGACCTCAAATGAGAGGCCTGCCTCAGCCTCCCAGAGTGCTGGGATTACAGGTGTGAGCCACCACACCTGATCCATTTCCTTTTTTTTACATGCCACAAAGAAACTCAGCCTACACAGAGAGAGACGGAGACGCAGAGAGAAGCAAGTGACACAGGACTCAGAGGTGACTGATCCAGCTGAAAAATCACGTCTAAATTCCAAGCCATGAGCAAGGCTCTGCTCTTCCTTTCCAGGGGACAGAGGACAGGCCTGGGTGAGCCAAGGTGAGACAAGCACTTGTGGCTGTCTGACCGCTCTGCTGGGTTCTCTCAGGCATATCTGGTCCCATCCTGGTCTGCTCAGACAGCCAGACCAAGACCACATTTTAAATTTGTCTTTGGCTTGTCTTTTATGCTCAAGGTATAAGCTCCCAAGCCAAGCCATCCTCTTGGTTTTGAAGGAAATTGGCAGTCCCAGATGACAATTAACCAACCAAGCAGCATTGACTGAGACCTGCACCCAAGGCCCAGAGCAGGGTCCGTGAAGTACACAAAGACAAAGAAAAGGAGCTAGCACTCTACTGGGGATGTAGACACAGGCACATAGAAAGGTAACATCCAGGCATGGTGGCTCACACCTGTATTCCCAGCACTTTGAGAGGCCAAGGCAGGAGGATTGCTTGGGGCTGGGAGTTCAAGACCAGCCTGGGCAACACAGTGAGACCCCATCTCTACAAAATATTAAAAAATTAGCCTGGCATGGCACACACCTGTAGTCCCAGTGACTCAGAGGAGGCTGGGGTGGGAGGATCATTTGAGTCCAGGAGGTTGAGGCTACAGTGAGCTATGATTGCGCCACTGCAGTCTGGGCATCAGCGCGAGAGTTTGTCTCTAAAAAATAAATAAATTTTTTAAAAGAAAGGTAACTAACAGAAAGGAGCAGAATCTCACAATTCTGGCTTCTGCTGAGAAAGAGATCTCATTATTACCGTCTTTAAAAAGCAATCAAATTTAATTGTTCCAAAGGTTGCAGTAAATAGCTAAAGAGAAATGGCTCCAGATTTCCGCTCGCCCCCAGTCAGGTTTTGCATATTTCCTCAGGAAGTGCCACAAACTCACTCTCCAATTGTCCAAACAAGTCCTTCACTTTAGTACACAAAACAATATATACACATTGTGTGTGTGTGTGTGTGTGTGTGTGTGTGTGTGTGTGTGTGTGCGTGCGCCTATGATAAAATACTTCTTTACCCCACCAAGAATTTTTTTGTCGTTGTTGACATTGTCTCTTAAAACATAAAGAATCTGGCTGGGCACGGTGGCTCATGCCTGTAATCCCAGAACTTTGAGAGGTCGAGGCAGGCAGATTGCTTGAGCTCAGGAGTTCCAGACCAGCCCCGGCAACATGATCTCTACCAAAAATACAAAAAATTAGCCAGGCATGGTGGTGTGTGTCTGTAGTCCCAGCTACTTGGGGGGCTGAGATGGGAGATCACTTGAGCCTGGGAGGCAGAAGTTGCAGTGAGCTGAGATTGTGCCACTGCACTCCAGCCTGCGCAACAGAGTGAAACTCTGTCTCAAAAAAAAAAAAAAAGAAGAAAGAAAAAGAAAAAAAAACATGAAGAATCTTTACTACATAATTTTGAACTTTATAAACCATATATTTATCCACATTCCTCTTAGCCATGGCGCTGAGCACAGAGTCATTACTCAATCCAGGAAGTTGTCATTTTTTTTTTTTTTTAGATGGAGTCTCCCTCTGTCACCAGGCTGGAGCGCAGTGGTGCGATCTCGGCTCACTGCAACCTCCGCCTCCCTGGTTCAAGCGATTCCCCTGCCTCAGCCTCCCAAACAGCTGGGATCATAGGCACACATCACCACATCCAGCTAAATTTTTTTTAAGACCATGTTGCCCTGGCTGGTCTTGAACTCCTGGGCTCAAGTGATCCACCTGCCTTGGCCTCCCAAAGTGCTAGGATTACAGGCATGAGCCACCACGCCCAGGCTTATTTCTGTTTAGATCCTTTACCTGGGACAGAATGAAGAGGTTGAAAATGTGTGCATTTGAGGGTAGGGCTGAGGAAGCTTTGGAAAACTGAATCCAAATCCTGGCTTTGTGACTCTGCAGTGGGCCCTGTGACTCAGTCCTCCCCAGGACTGCCTCAAGGTCAGCCTGGGGCTCATCTGAGCTTTTATCTTCTTAGGGTAATTAGTAGTTCCAGGGACATCAAGCAGCCATTGAATGAGCGTTTCAATTGGAGTGAAGAAGTTATGTACAGACGTGCAGAAACGCATTAATCAGACGTTTTCAGCAACCAAAAAGGGTTTTGTCCCTTCCACTGTTCATATTACTCTTTCAGCTTAATCTCAAATACTCAAAGCTCCCAACTCTGTCTTTTTTCCCAAATCTAAATTAGTCAAAGCATTCCCAGTTGCCCAATGCAGGACAACCAAGTCAACCAATGGGAGTAGGGGGAGGGGACTGGTTATTGTTTCACTAACAAGCACTGGTTTCAGTATTTCATTAAAGTCAAACAACAAGAGTAGCTGGGTGATCTTTCCCCGCCATCTTTTTGGACCATTAATCAATTGTTAAGTAACCATCTGTGTAATCAGGACAAACTACAACCTATCTGGTCTCCAATTTTCTTACGTATAAAGTGAGAGGGCAGAATACACGCTGTCTACCATCACTTCCGGTTCTGAAAATACTTCTCCTAACTTTCAGCAGTGTGTATAGTGTGTTCTGTTGTAAACCAAAGGGCGAGGGCATGTACTTGGAAACGTGAGTTAGAGAGCCCTGATTCTGAAGACAATGAGAATACTTAGGAAAGACAAGAAAGATGGCGACAGAGACCCACAGCCTGATAGGTAGATGAAGATCAGGAGTTTGAGACCAGCCTGGCCAACATGGTGAAATCCTGTCTCTACTAAAAATACAAAAATTAGCCGGGCATGATGGCGGGCGCCTGTAGTCCCAGCTACTTGGGAGGCTGAGGCTCGAGAATCGCTAGAACGTAGGAAGCAGATGTTGCAGTGAGCCGAAATTGCACCACTGCACTCCAGCCTGGGTGACAGAGTGAGACTCTGTCTCAAAAGAAAAAAAAAGATGGAATCCCTAATATGGAGGGGCTTAAGGTGATGACAGGTGAGGAGGAAAAGCCGAAATGGAGGAAAGCCACTGCAGGGCCGGGAGGGAAGACGTCAGTCTTGGTAGCCAGACAGGAACTGTCCCCAAGAAGGGAAAGAATGTCATGAAATGCAGGTTATGGCTTGAGAACGTGAGAAGGAGAGCAGTGCTGATGGATCCTGAAGTTTCCTATCTCTTGGTTCCTGTAGAATGAGTCCAGTTGAGGAGAGCTGAGAAAGAATTCTTGGGTGGCATAACCTAGGGATGTGCACTTTATGCTGGAAAAAGAGGGAATGGCCAGTCAAGAGCACAAGAGAACCAGGCAGAAATGACTTTGCCTCCTTGGTGTTCAGAGGATTTGAGAGAAAGCTCTAGTTTTGTCAGAGTAAAAGCAAGGTTCAGCCCAGCTCGGGGGATGGTGAGGGCGGTATCAGTGAGGACCCAACTGCTGGATGGAGCAGCACAGTGGTGCTGGTGACAGGATGCCCATTGCGTTAGCAAAGCCTGAGTGCCGGGCATGTCATACAGGCCTCTTTGGGTCACCAGTAAGAGAAGCCAGCTCCAATTAGCTGGAGCAGTGCCAAGCAGCCAGCTGCTGAAAGCTCTAAGAGATACTATCAGGCCTTGGCTTCTCTCTCTCTCTCTTTCTCTCAGCTCTAGTTCCTCATACACTGGCTTCAGTGTCAGGCCAATCCTCTCTGCAGAGTGGCCTGTGACAGTCTCAGGACCATTCCTCAGCACAGCAACCCCAGAGGAACAACAGAGCAGCCCTGTCACTCCAGAAGAAGCTCTAGGAATGAGACTCGGAATGAGGTTGATCCTTGAGCTAGTCATGATAGGATGGAGTATGTTCATTAGCCTGAGTGGATCATGCTCTGCCTTGGAGCTGGGGAAGGAGGGAGCAGGGGTGGGGTGGAGTTGGCCAGCCATTCTCAGATAGAACTAGAGTTGCCACGATGTGATTCTCAAAAGGACCATCAGGGAGCTGTTGCCAGGAGAAGGGGGAATTGAATGTGGGGCAGGCAGTGGCAAGAGATGTCCATCGACCCAGCTTGTACCCACAACTAGCCTGAATTGTATGTAGGAAACATTCAGGGACTGCCACAGACAGAAATAGCTTGCACATTCCCTCACTAAATCCAAGCTGTATGGGTGAACTGTTACGAAGCCACAAGTTTCCAGGAGAGGCAAAAGGAAAAGGTGGCCATGAGGGGGTGGTGCTGAAATGAATCAGAAACAGGATTCTGAGCAGATTTTTTTTTTGAGTCTATTCTATTACAATACCATAATCCCTTCTGGTATGGTTTGTATGCCTGTACTAAAAATTAACTCCAGAGGGGTCACAATCCCTTATAGCCCATGCTCTCGCTTAAACCATCCACACCTCTGCCCCCAGAGGACAAAGATCTAAATCATCATGACCTACCAGGTCCTGCTACACTCCAGCCTCGCCCTGGACCACACTCCCTGTTATACGCAGCATGTCAGTGACTTGGGCCTCCTTTCAGTCCTTCAAATGTACCATGCTGCCTCTGACCACAGTACCTTCGCACAGGACCTCTTTCCCACCTACCATCTTTCCTCCATCTTCACCTGCTTAACTCTTCCTCTTTCTTTATATTCAGCCCGGTCGTCGCCTCCTCAAGTGACCTCCCTGGCTACAGACGTAGCCTCTCAAAGCCCAGGTACCAGGCATCATCATTGTAATTTCCCATTCATTTTTGTGATTCTTAAATTCTGTCTACCTCTACCACTAGACCGTAAGGCCCATGGCAGCAGAAACTGTGATTTTTCTTTTCTTTTCACCATTAAGTTGCTTGCATGGTTCCTGGAATTTAAATATTTATTGAATGAATAAATGAATGAAGATGTTTACAATCTAAGTGAGACACAGTGACCCAAACACAATGGCTGTGCACATCATAAGCATTCAATTTCAGGGGCGATTTCAAAATATTTAATAACCTATGTGGTGCAATCATCAGCCAATTGGAACAGGTACTGGTATGGCTGTCCTCATATGGGTCAGCAGATCAGCCCTGAAATAAATGATGTGTGAACGTGCTTTGAAGCCTCAACAGGTGATAAAACGTAACATACTTTGGTGGTTACAAAACAACTCAGAAATGCAAAAACTGTACAACTTCATTTTTAAAAGTACGGAATTTAATTTTGTTTCTTGAGCCCCCATTCTGTTGCTTAGTCACTTCAGAGTAAATCCAGGCAGGATTTTATCTGTTGATTCAGACGTGTCCCTCCCCACTCATGTCCCTGGAGTTGCGTCTGAGTTCTAGGGTGCTAACATAGTGCCACCTGTTCAAAGGATCAGGTCCCTGGTTGTCTTCATATATCCAGGCTGACATCTGCCAACATGCTCCCTCTTCCACTGGGTCTCTGCCCCACCTGGGCATTGGCTGAGATGGCCGCATTTCTTCTGGTCTCTGGGAGTGGGCCAGGCAGTCGCAGTTGGCCCTCCTTTACAGGTTGCCTGACCCTCTCTGTTATCTGCTTGTCTTTTTTAGAGAAGGAGAGATGGTAAATTTTTGGATGCCCCACACTAAGGACACAGGAGACTTGGCGGGGCTGTCTCAGACCTTCCCTGTGTGGATTGGCCAAGCTGCATGCTCACCTGCCTGTGGCTGTGCCCCACAAGCATGACACAGCTTTGCCAACAAGCCAGGCTCCTGGAGACAGAAGCACAGCTCTCCTCTACAGTCCATTAACCCACCTAGGGGCTCCACCATACCCTACATCCCTGCAACGTCTTCCCTGCCTGCCCTATGGTCTGGATTACTTCATTGGAGAGCAAAATCTCATTCTCATCTGATCATTCCTTCTTCTAACTATGTCATTTATGATGCCAACTGTATGTCCTAAGTTCTTCAAGGCCTTGTTTTTTGCGACAAACTTTTTCATTTAAACTCTTATCTCTGCTGTGAGACTCAAAGCCCATTTTGAAATCCAAACCTGAGTGTGGCTTTATTTCATTCTCTCTGCATTTCTGCTCTAAGTTCTCGACCTTGAGGACAGTCAAAATAGAGCCCCACGCTGCTGTCTGACTGCACTGGGGGTGGCAGAAAATACCAGAGACAAACCATTTAATAAGATTATACCTCTTATTAAAACAAAGACAAAACCATTTAATAAGATTATACCTCTACATGATTATTACATTATTATTATTATGTTGATAACAACTTGCTGAATAAATACATAGAAAGTGTTAGTTTAAAAGAAGGCATTTAGGCCAGGCACAACGGCTCATGCCTGTAACTCCAACATTTTGGGAGGCCAAGGTGGGAGGACTGCACAAGGCCGTAAGTTTGAGACCAGCCCGGGCAATACAACTGGACCCCATCTCCTTAAAAAAGAAGAAAAATTTAAAAATTAGCTAGGTGTGGTGGTGCATGCCTGTAGTCCCAGCTTCTCAGGAGGGTGAGGTGGGAAGATCACTGGAGCCCAGGAGCTCAAGGTTACAGTGAGCCGTGATCATAACACCACACTCCAGCCTGGGCAACAGAGCGAGACCCTGTCTCAAAAAAAAAAAAAAAAAAAGAAAAGAAAAGAAAAAGGAGACATTTAAATTAGTAGATGAAAGTTCAGGTATGCTTTATAAAAAATTCAAATTTTACTGTTTCTGTATTGAATGTAAGCTTCCACATACATTTTCTCACTTAATGTCCTTCCATTTCTTTTTAAATCTGATGATTTTAGATGAGAAAAGTGAAACCCAAAGAATTTTGATGACCAGCTTGTGTAATCCTGTCAGTAAGGGACAGGATAATAACAAGGATCCAGATACTCTGGCCTCCAGTCCAGAGCTCTTCCCATGGCAGTCCAAAACTGGAAGGGGCAGGAGAAAAGATGAGTTGAGGTTGACATATATGACCCTGGGGCTATTCTGTTGGCTTAGCTGGCCTGCTTCATCAGAGAAGCAGTGTCAACAGTGTGATATTTTTGTATTTTGGCTGTCGGGCTGCTTGCATTTGTCTGGGTTCTTTGTGACAGTTTTCATTTAGCAATGCCTTCTCATCAGCAGAGCTTGGTCTACAACCGAGCCATGTTTGCACTCCAATTTACATCAGAATGAAGCCTCCTGGATGGGAAAGCATGGACATTGTAGATGAACGAGCTGGGCGGCCAGACTCCCAGAAGACAGCCTGGAGCTGCCAACCTCCTCCGTGCCGGCCAACACCAATCAACCACATTTGGAAGGCAAGTCCTCCCAGTTGCGGGGTCCAGAAGGAAATTCAAGATCTACCTCAGTTTTAAACTTAGCATCCCTGATTGTCTACTAAAATTAACTGTTTCTGTGATCTTCAGATTTGCCCAGAATTCAGGCATCTTCTGACAAGCCAGGTCCAGTCTCTGTGGGCAGAGCGGAGGAGATGGAGTTCAGGGAGGACACAGAAGTCTTTCTTGCTCAAACTTGGATCTGTGGTGGGGCAGTGGGAGGTGCTTAGAGCTGTTTCGGCCCCACACTGGTGTAGCCCCAAGCGCTTCTGCCAACCCCGGGACAACCCTAATCACCTTCCATTCCTGTTCAAAGACCCAAGTGTGCCTTCTGGAAGGCCAGATCTCAGAAGAGAGTGGACCTAGTGGGAGGTTTAATCGAAATCTGCCAACCCTAGGCAGAACTGACTACAAACAGGCCCACATGAGACGGGTAACCCAGCTGGGAGTGACTGAAGATAGTGGGATGGTGGCTCCTTGGCTGGGATGGGGTGCCCTGCCCGAGGAAAGGGAAGAACGTGTTCGCCCGGAGGTTAGGCGATTTGATCAAGAAAGCTCTAAACTGGCTGTGGAGGAGGGAGAAGAATGCTCAAAAAAAAACTTGTGAAACCGGTTAGTGTGGAGGATGCAGGAGCCACTTGAGAGGCAGCATGAGCACAGGAGAGGCCTAGAGTTTCCCTGGAAAGGAGCCCAGAACCGCGCCTTAGAGCCTCAGTGGATGCCCTCCTGGCACCCAGAGCAGGGGGAAGAAACAAAATGGATTCAAGGCCATGAATGCATGGGCATCACTGCAATTGTAGCAGCGCCGCATGGCATGCTGGAAGAATTGGGGTCCAGCTCAGTGGACCATGGGAGGGGCTGACCAGAGCTCAAGGCAAGAGCTCCCATCATGAGCACCTCAAATGCACCTGGTTGCAGCTGAACCATCCTCTTCTCCCTGTTCACCCTACACTCTGTCTTGGGAACAGCACCAACACGCACTCAGCCACTAAGCCAGAAATCAGTCCTTTTCTTTCCTCTTTGTCCCCAGAGCTGGTCAGTCACTGTGACCCACTGGTGTCTCTTTAATCTCTCTCCTCTACATCCCCATGACCACTTCCTTATTTCAAGGCCTCATCATCTTTTGCCTGGCCTCTGTCCCGGCCTCCCAGCAGATCGTCCTGTCCCCAGTTTTCTATATTATCACGGGGGAAGCAAAATTGATCATGTCATTTCTTGTTTATAAAATCCTTCGAGAGCTCCTCATTGCCATCAGGGTGAAATCTGAATGGCCTTGGCACAGCATTCAAGGCTTTTCGTGACTCCATCCCTGCCCATCCTCCTAGCCTCGTTTCTTCTCCCTTGGCTGCAGATCCTCTGTGCTTCAGCCATTCTGAATAGCATGCAGGTCGCCCAGACATCCAAGCACACCACGCCTTCTCCCGCCTCTGCATTTGCTACTACCCCTGCCCAACAGGTCTTCCCACCCACAGCCCCTGCACAATCTCAAATGCCTGGTGGTCCTGCAGGACTCAGTTCATACACTACTTTCTCAGAGAGAAGTCCCTGACCCATCTCCTGCTCCTCACCTGGGGTGGAAACCCCTCCTCTGGGCTTCCTGGCCTCCTGGTTTGCCTCTGTGGGCCCTTCCTTACACATTCTCCACAGACCCCTGGCCCTGGGTAGCCTTTGTGGGTATAAGAATGCTGGCACAGAGATCCAGCTTTCCCCGACTCATGTTCTCAGTGCAGATCCCCGTGGTAGAAACTCAGTTCCACCTGCTGACCATTTTTCACAGGGAGACAAATTCTTTCTCCTCCCCAGGTGTTGTCACCAGTGACAAGCCCAGTGGTAGCAGGTACTCGGCTTTTGGGCAGGCTCCTCAATAGCTGGCGGCCAGTAGGGATACCAGGATAGGAGTGAATCAGCTAGACCTCCCCCACCATCATGGGCAGCCACAGGCCATGCAGATCATCCCCTCCCAGGGGAAGGGCCTGGTCTGGGAAACTCCCCACCGGGCCTACTAGGTTTCATCTCCCCAGTCACTGATCATTATAAGCCATAATAATCATCATAAACCATCACTGATCATCACAAACCATCATAAGCCACTGCTTCCCAGGAGTGAGCAGGGGGACAGAAAGAAGCTGGATGGCCTCCTCCTTCACTTTCTTTCTGGGAGTGGTACAGTCTTTCCCATCTGTGGAAATATCAGAAGTGGGAAATAAGTGTGTCCACCACCCTAGCACCCATGGCCTAGGTTTCCTCCTCCCCTTAATCTCTTTATTGCTGGGTCTCATCATGGTGCCTAGCACATAGTAGTTGCTTAATAAATGTTTGCTGACTAATAGAATACTTGAACATCCAGCTACTTGTGCAACGAAACAGTTAAGAACATGGGGGATTCTGAAATCAGGCAGCCTGGGTTCTAAGTCAGCCTCCATCCTTTACTGTGTGACCTGGAGAAAATTGCTTAACCTCCCTGCGATGTGTTTATTTATCTGAAAAATGATGATAATAATAACAGCACCTATTTTCTAGGGTTTTGAGCATTAAGTGATTTAATATATGTAAACCAATCAGACAAGTGCTTGGCATACAGTAGATGCCCAGTTAGTGACAGTCTCTTGGAAGGAGCATTGCAGATAGGATCCAACTTGCTGTTCCCAAAGTCGAGCAGTCCAAGAAGAAATTTTCTTTGTAAAAGGGAAAAAGAAATTTGATTAGCTATGCATGCATAGAACCCTAGCAGAATAATCAATGCATCACATTACCCTTTGGTGGCTGTTCGTTTAGATATTCCAGGAAGACTACACACTCAAATTCCGTGTTCAGCAATCCCCCTGGGAGGGTTGAAAAATGAACGTATTAATATGTATATGTAAAACTATTTTTTTAAAGAGCAAACCATATTAAGGCAAAATGCCAAAATAGTGGGACTATTCTCATTAGAGGAATAAAATTTAGAATTTGCAGTTTGAAACATGGAAGCATCTTTGTTGCAGAGTCATCTCAAGAGAAAAATGAGTGGATTGAATAACTGTGGCTGAAATATGGTATTTTTCTCTTGAAAATAATGTAGCGGAATCCCAGTATGAGCCTGATCTGTGCCCACTCTGAGATTTATTCACATTTGGCAATGGTGGAGAAACAGGGGGGGCCCTAATAGGATATATTTGTTTTGGTTTGCATATTAGTCCATTTTCATGCTGCTGATAAAGACATACCCAAGACTGGGTAATTTATAAAGAAAAAGAGGTTTAATGGACTCACAGTTCCACGTGGCCGGGGAGGCTTCACAATCATGGCAGAAGGCGAAAGCCACGTCTCACATGTCAGCAGGAAAGAGACAATGAGAACCAAGCAAAGAGGAAACCCCTTATACCACCATCAAATCTCTTGAGACTTATTCACCACCATGAGAACAGCATGGGACAAACTGTCCCCACGATTCAATTATCTCCCACCAGCTCCCTTTCATAACACATGGGAATTACGGGAGCTACAATTCAAGATGAGATTTGGGTGGGGACACAGCCAAACCATATCTGTTTGGTTTGGGCTTTTTTATTTTTGAAATTTATATTTTTTAAATTGGCAAATAATAATTGTGTATATTTACAGGGTACCATGTTGTATTTTGATCTCTATATACATTGTAACAAGGGGATATATTTTAATAAGGGGGAGAAATTAGAGTATCTTGCTAGGGGACAACTCACCCTGAAGAGAGGGAGCGCCTTTGTACATGTCTGGCCAGAGATCAACGTGCTCACATCAGTGGTAGGGTGGGGATGGCTCATGCGGTGGGTCAGACAGCCTTTAGTCTCCCTGCACATGGGGATCCAGCCTGATTCGTGGTAAGGGGGCTGCCATCAACGAGAAAATATAAGTTAGAAGAATGAGAGAAGTTTGGTGCAAGGCATCTACAACCTTGACACCCACATCCCAAGCAACAATCAGACATGGTGTGTTTACAGCCCAGTTCCAGCAGCCTTGATGCAGGCACCAGGGTGTGTTGGCTGCTGTGGAGGGAGCTTTGGCAGGCACTGTTCAGAAGACATGGTGCTCCAGAAATCACGAGTGGCACAAGAGCAGAGCTGAAGCCACACAACTCCAAGAGGATAAGTTCCTAGAGGACACAAGAGGCCCTTCTAGGGATTCTCAGAACTATTTGGAAGAACTGGAGGCATGCCAGAGGAAGGTGGAATTCCCTCCAGGGAAAGCAGAGCTGCTATACTTTTATGTTCCAAAAAGTTTCATGCAGGGAACCGTGCTATTTTTCCTCAAGATAGTATGGGGAGCAGAAGTGTCAATAATGTCAGCCAAATGGAGCTTTGACCATCAGTGGTCAGGAGACCTTAGAACATGGAAATTCTGGGTTAGGCTCCACCATCTGAGGCCTTCCATCCAAATCAACATTAGAGACTGCAACTAATACCAGCTGCCAGATTTCCAACTCTTTCTCCTCTCAGGAGTCCCTGTTTATAAGCAGATGCCTCACCTTTTGCCTGAATGTCTTTGGATAGAAATATTCAGTAATCATCAAGGTGATGAAATGAGATTGGAACATTCCAGACACAAATCAATGTACATAATACTTAAAATCCTTGGACTTGAAATGAGGGAAGGGCAGGCAGGCCTGTTTGCTGGCATTGAATACATCGTTACCTGGTCTGTTATCCAAGAATCTGTGCTTTATACAACTCAAAAACAAAAATCCCAGTTAGAAAATGGACAAAGGACATCAATAGACATCTCTCGGAAGAAGGTACACAAATGGCCAAAACACACATGAAAAGATACTCCATATCATCAATCAGGGAAACATAAATCAAACCACAATAAGGTGCCACTTCACAACAGATGGGTGGATGAACACAATATGGGCTGGGCTATCCCTACAATGCAATGTCATTCTGCTGTGAAAGAAAGACAGCCCCGACACTGACACACGCAGATGGATCTTGAAGATGTTATGCTAAGTGAAACAAACCAGACGCCAAAGGACAAATATTGTACCATTCCACTTATGTGAGGAAGCTAGAGTAGTCAAGTTCATAGAGACAGAAGGTCTCTATGAAGGTAGAGCGGTGGTGGCCAGGGGCTGGGGGAGGCAAGAATGGGGAATGACTGCTCAATGAATGCAGTTTAAGTTTTGCAAGATTAAAAATTTATGGAGATGGATGGTAGTGATGGTTGCATGAGTATATAAAGGTGCGTAATGCCACTGAATTGCACACTTGAAAATAATTAGAACAGCCGGGCACAGTGACTCACGCCTGTAATCCCAGCACTTTGGGAGGCTAAGGTGGGTGGGTCACTTGAGGTCAGGAGTTCGAGACCAGCCTGGCCAACATGGTGAAACCCTGTCTCTATTAAAAATATAAACATTAGCCAGGTGTGGTGGCAGGCGCCTATAACCCCAGCTACTTGGGAGGCTGAGGCAGGAGAATCACTTGAACCCAGGAGGTGGAGGTTGCAGAGAGCTGAGATCGCGCCATTGCGCTCCAGCCTGGGCAACAAAGTGAAACTCTTGTTTCCCAGAAAAAAAAGAAGAAAATAATTAAAATGGCAAATTTTGTGTTACATTTCTTTTATCACAATTTTGTAAAAAGAAAAATATATATGTATATACACATACTTATAGGCATATATATACATATATACATATGTAAAACACATAACACATACCTAGGTGTGTGTACATATGTAAACATATATACACACATACATAGGTGTGTATATATGCATATATTATATATAATGAGATTTGTAATATTCTAAGATTATGTCCTCTCTGCTATTTTGATATTGAAATGTCCTTTTTTCATGAAATAATCATGATAGTAGATGGTAATTGTTGTTTTTAATGTCTTGATAAACCAAAATATATATTGGCCTCCCAAGCCCTTTTCGGAAAGGTTGCTGGTCTGTGACACCAAAGGCCTGGGAAGCACTTGGTTGCTGGCCTGGAGTCTCCGGGAGTCTCCCAGCCATGACGTTGTTCAGTTGAGGACGGTGGTTCTCAACCTTGGCTGCACACAGGCGTCAGCCGTGGAGTTTTTAAAAGACTGACACCTTGGCCCAACTCCAGGGATTCTAATGTCATGGGTCTGGGTGTCAGGACTTTAAAAGCTGGCCAAGGAGAAATAGGTGAGTGAGCTGGGGCAAGGAGCCAGACGGTGGCCATGTTTTTACTTTTTCGGGTTCTCCTAATCAAGTGCAAACTCGTCTTTCTTTGTTACTCCCAGAGTGGAAAATGGACCAAAGAAAAACAAACAGGAGTGGGAAAGGTCAGACAATGGAAAGAGAGAGCAGCAAAACATTTGTTTTAGAATGAATTCGCTTTTGGAAATGTATCTTTTCGACCGCCTTTTGTCTTTATACCACTTAGGCTTTGGAACTCCTTGACTCCTAATTAATTCTGTTTGAGAAAATCTCATTCTTTTCCTTATTTCATTTGTAAATAACTTTCCACAGGAACAGTAAAACAACACGAGGAGAAAATCTCTCAAAACATGCCAAAGAGCCTTTGGTATTTCTCTTCATGCCGTGATTATGACATCACCCAAAGTGTTTGGTCATCCAGAAATGTACTTCCTCTTGGCTTTTAGAATTCCTTGCATATTAAGATACGTTTCTAATTATATTCAAATAGAAACCAGATGTTTTGAACACTGTACTTTAAAATCTCTTCCTGAGTTTTATTTAGAATATTTTAGGAGAGGGTGGCATTCAGCTCACTCTTTCTCTACTTTTTCTGTGTATTCCCAAAGATTTCATATTCTCAAATATTTTTCCTGGGAATTTAGAAATCTGACTCCAAGAGAAAATTGTGTATACCAACTGACCTTTCACAAGGCTCAACTCTGAGTACTAAGAAAAGGAAAGGGTTAATTTTGTGGGTAGTGGTATTTCTGGAGTTTTCTGTAACATCCTTAGAATTAGAAAATAGCTTCCTAGTTGATTACCCTCTTGTCTCTGTCAAATCTTGGCTTTCACCTTTCTTATAAATGGAACAAGCCTTCTTTGTGCTGTATCTTGCCTCAAGCACGCTTGCTACTCATATAATAGGGAACTGCAAAATAATACGGGAACAATTAGCCTTTTAAATTTGTTTTGTTTTGTTTTGTTTTTTTGAGAGAGTCTCTCTCTGTCACCCAGGCTGGAGTGCAGTGGTGTGAGCAGAGCTCACTGCAACCTGGAATTCCTGGGCTCAAGCTATCATCCTGCCTCAGCCTCCTAAATAGCTTGGGCTGCAGGCATATATCACCACACCTGCCTAAGTTTTTAAATTTTTATAGAGCCAGGGGTCTCCCTATGTTGCCCAGTGTGGTTTTGAACTCTTGGCCTCAAGCAATCCTCTCACTTCGGCTTCCCAAAATGCTAGGATTATTATGGCGAGAGCCACCATATCTGGACCGATTACCCTTAACTTGGAACATAAATTTTCTTTTCCTCCTGGGATCTTGCCAGTAGGAAGGAAACACTACAAGTTCAAGACTACATATTAGCCTAGATTTGTTTAAGTCTTTACTGTGTCATGAACTATACTGAGTGTGAGCTTTTCACTCTCCACAGGGGCAGTTGCTGGGGTCTGGGTGTGAAGGGGTGTCCACCTAAGGTAGGACCAATAGAAACAAAGGTTTCCTGTGTTTTCAAAGGTCAAGACCACCGTCTTCTTTCTTACCCCCAACTAAGGTTGCTGAAAAGAAGTGGTCTGGGCCTGGGAAGGGACAGGAGACTGACTTCTGCCAGCCCAGTTCACCTGCCCAGAGGTGGCTTCACAGGAGGCAGGTCTGGAGAAGACACCTTTAGTTTGGTCTTTTTCCTTTACTTATGCGAGCCTTGTGCATAGCAAGGTACAGGAGACTTGAGACCATCGGCCTCTCTGGCTGGTGCGCAGGGTGAAATGAAATGTTTAAGTCTTACACTTCTTTTCTCATAAAATACGTCAGTTCAAAGGAAAAGGTCAGTCCCCAGTGGCATCTTCTGCCCACCTCATTCTTCCCTTCCCCTCTTGCTATAACTGGGATATCCCCTCCCTCTATAGGTTTTCTGCCTCTTCTAGGCCCAGCGAACTCACACTCCGCCCTTGAGACCCGGGTCAAACAGCACCTCTTCCCTGCAGCCTTCCCAGCTCCCACACTCAGCTAGCTGTTGCCACCTCCACGTCCCCACACCATTTGTACACACCTTTCTTTATATTTCATTTTCTTGTAGTTATTTTTAATTTAATTTAATTTAATTTAATTTAATTTAATTTTATTTTATTTTATTTTATTTTATTGAGACTGAGTTTCGCTCTATTGCCGAGGCTGGAGTGCAGTGGTGAGATCTCAGCTCACTGCAACTTCTATCTCCTGGGTTCAAGCAATTCTCCTGCCTCGCCTCCCAAGTAGCTGGCACGCCTGGCTAAATTTTGTATTTTTAGTAGAGATGGGGTTTCACCATGTTGGCCAGGCTGGTCTCAAACTCCTGACATCAAGTGATCTGCCCGCTTTGGCCTCCCAAAGTGCTGGGATTATAGGCATGAGCCACTGCACCCTGTCTTTGTAGTGTAATTTTTGGTTCATGGCTGTGAACCTCACTAGGCTGTGGACCCTCAAGTATGAGGAGAGAGCCTTTTCTTTGTGTCTCCTGGGCCAAGTGCAGTGGATTGACTCCTGGGAAAGGCTTGGTGTGGTGGAGTCACAACATATATTTGCTCAGGGAGGTGAGAGAGAGAGGGATGGTAAGGAGAGACAGAATCCTGGTGATTCTGCCTCTCCCTGTGTGACCTCCTGAGGTGAGAAAGAGAGGAGAAACCCAAGGCTGCTGGCTGGCACCTGCTGTGGCCCTCAGTGGTGTGAGTGACTGTATCTCATAGATCCCAAACACAAGTTAGCTACCGCATCTGGTGTCAAGACCAGCCTGGGCAACATAGTAAGACCCCCCCACAATCAAATCTCTAAAAAAAATTTTTTTTTTAATTAGCCAGGTATGGTGTCGCATAACCTGTATTCCCAGCTACTCGGGAGGCTGAGGTGGGAGGATCACTTGAGCCCAGAAGTTCAAGGCTGTAGTGAGCTATGATCATGCCACTGCACTCCAGTCTGGGTGACAGAGCATGATCCTGCCCCTTAAAAAAATGGTGTAAATATTTGTAATAATATAAAAATTTGTAACATTTGTACAAAATTTCTTTTCTCCTCTGCTTTATTAGGACACAGTCAACCCCTCCAATCCCAGAGGTAAAGTGGCTCTTAGACTAAGAGAAAATAGAGTACTATAATTTATAGGCAACTTAAGAGTTTCTATTATATCAGTTTGGTCGTATATGCTCATTTGGGAACTCAAGCCCCCTGCAAACAGTTAGGAATGAAAGCCTCATTCCCTTTATAGTTGCCATGAGCTGGCGGAAGGTAGGCGCAGGGGGACGGACTACAGAAACATTACTGCCCTCTTTCTCTAGAGGGAAAACAACAGAAAATACAACAATGTTCTAGAGACATGGTTTATCTGAAACACAGAACTCTGGACCATAAGGTATTTTATCAGATGTGAGAGAGAGTGACGCTCATTAAAGTAATCAGAACACACCTGACCACTTCAATCTTCAATCTTAAAGCAACTTCTGTTCTATGGACTGAGCGATGAGTTAGAATAACCAGCTGCTCTTAGCAGGTTTACGACATGCCTCTGAGATCAACCGCTTCCAGCTTCCGAAACACACTAATGTAAGAATGTTAGGGATGGTGCCGGGCCATTTCCTCTCAAATAAGGACTTCACCAAAATATCTCTATACAAACAAACATGTTTCCTTGGACACAGTTTTCTTTCCTTCATTTGTTCTTCCATTCAACCGAAGTGTGCTGAACACCTAATATATATCCCTTGCTTAACCTTGCGTATACAGGTGTAAACAAGTCTAATGTAGTTCCTGATCTCAGAGCTCATAGCCTGGAGGGGAGACCTGCCTTAAACAGGTGATTAAATACTACTTGGAGAAGGACCGGGTGTTATACAAGAATCACACTGAACCTACTTTCTCTCACTGAGCCTCAGTTTCTTTTACATTATTTATATTTTATACTGTTTGTATATTTACCTTGCAGAGTTTTTCTGTAAAGCTTAGGAAATGTAAGATGTCTAATAACTGCCAATCAATTGTACTATTGTTTGAGTCAACTTAAAACTTCTGTGAGCTAGTCACAGATGGAAAGACTAAGAAAATAGTGTAACTACTTGGGAAGGCGAGGCAGGAAGATCACTTCAGGCCAGGAGTTTGAGACTAACCTGGGTAACATAGTGAGACCACCCACCCACCCCAATCTCTAAAAAAATTTTTTAAAAATTAGCCAGGCACGATGTCATGTACCTGTATTCCCAGCTACTTGGGAGGCTGAGGTCAGAGAATCACTTGAGCCCAGAAATTAAAGGCTGTAATGAGCTATGATCATGCCACTGCACACCAGTCAGGGTGACAGAGCGTGATCCTGTCCCTTAAAAAAAATAGTGTAAATATTTGTAATAATATAAAAATTCATAACATTTGTACAAACTTTCTTTTCTCCTCTGCTTTATTAGGTAATTGGAACCAGCCAGTGGAAAATTATCTGTAAAGACTTCATTTTCTGTTCCCATGCTGCAGGTGTAATGACATTCTGCCACTAATGAATGTGTGAGGCATTCATCCTGTGACCAGAATGAAGGCTCCTGACTCCATCTGGCCACCTTTCACGGTGCTGCATGGGCACACTGCCTTTTGGGTAATCAAGCTGAGAAGGAAGGAGCTGCCTCCAGGTCAAGATGGTGCCGGCTGTTTTAGAGGACGATATTAGTTACTGCCAAATACGTCCATTTAAGACAGCAAAGCTGCCTGGCTGCAGGCTTCGCTTTCTGGCATATGCAGATCATGAAAATACCAAGTGTTAATCTCCCAACTACCTAATTCTATGACTGCTGTGAACTTCAGTGGAAGGAGAGAAGGGTGCAGTATCCTTTGATCTCCTCTTCATGCCAAGGAAGATGTATTTTCCAATGGATTTATCCTGTCTATCCACAGAGCACCCCGAATAACTGAAACTTTGGTAGTTCATTTCCGATCATCTCAGCCACCTTCAAGGTCCAGGAGAACTTTCTAGAAAAAGTTAATTGTGTATTTGAACAGGGCCTAACTCCTTCAGAGTTTTAGCAGAGATTATATTGCAAAGTATGGGGATGGAGGTTTTCTTCTGGTGAGCCTAATGCTGACAGGATAGCCCTTTTCAGTTCCAACTGGATGTGATGAGCCTGTCATATTTCCAGCCCCTCAATTTAAGGAGGTGCCGGGGGGCACCTAAAATTTTCCTTCCTACTCCTCTAGGTCACCAAATCCGAGCTTCAGGTTCTCCTGGGTTAGGTTTGTCCTCAGGGCAAAAGCAGCTTCAGGACTTTCGCAACTCTCTGGGTTCCTCGTCTCTCTTTTTTTTTTTCTTTTTTTTTTCTTTTTGAGATGGAGTCCTGCTCTGTCCCCCAGGCTAGAGTGCAGTGTCACGATCTCGGCTCACTGCAACCTTTGCCTCCTGGGTTCAAGTGATTCTCCTGCCTCAGCCTCCCGAGTAGCTGGGACTACAGGCGCCTGCCACCGCGTCTGGGTTCCTCTTCTCTAGCGAATTTCTTACTATTGTATCTGAGCTTTCAAGATTTTTAAAAAATGCATTTTACATAGCATTTTCAGTTGTTTTCAGCGGGAGGGCTGTTCAAGTAACCTCCCCTATTCAATTCCAGGAAAAGAAAGTATTCTCTGTTTTATTTTCTTAATAACACGTATCAAACCTGGAATGTCCCCCTTACTCTTGGTTATTCTCTTGCCCTTCCGATGAGAATATGCAATCCATTGGAGTCTGATTTGATCATTTGAATGTCCCCAAGGCCTAGAATAGTGCCTGGCATGTGGTAGGCATGTAATAAATATTGCGAAAGATAATAATGATGATAATAATAGTGAAATAATAACAACAGTAACCGATCTTGACCATGAGACACATAGAGTTTTAGCCGAAGCTCTGCATCAGTCTCCTCCTTTCTCCAAACCATCCTACTTGTGCTGGGCGATTAACCCTCTCAGAGCAGAGCTCTCAACTTTTAATGGGTCCCCATTGCCTTTCCCAGAAAGATCACATTTCTTTTGCTTGTTAGCCATACGAGTCTGGGCATGATTTTCTATTATTTTTGTGTCCTGTGTTCCCCTCAAACCAGGCTACTTGGCATTTCCCAAGCATGCAACACAACTTTGCTCTCACCAATTTCCCTGCCTTGATTGTTCTTCCCATCATGTCTCCTTTCTGTTTCAAACTCACTAATCATTTGACACACCATCAAATTCCACTTCCTCTAAGATTCCATCTCTTGTTCCCTGACAAGAAATAATGTCCCTTTCTTTAAACCCCCAGAGCGTTTGAGGTTTCCTTTTATTTCTTATCACATGTGCTTTGCATTATTGCTAGTTATTTACATGGATTAATGCCTCCCCACAAGACTTAATGGTGCTTTGCATATATCAGACACTCAGTAAATATGAGTAGAATAAGTGGATCATGAAAACAGGCTTAGATTATGGATTACAATCAATATCAGGAATCCTTGTTTATTATAGCCAGAAAAACCTTATTTTGCAGGCTCTTATGGGCTTCTGAATACAGTTAGTTGAGCTGGGCAGTAGCCATGCTAATGGACACATGTCATTTTAAATTATTATTATGAGGCTATGTTGGACACAGTGGCTCATGCCTACACTCCCGGCACTTTGGGAGGCCAAAGTGGGAGGATTGTTTGAGCCCAGGAGTTTTGAGACCAGTCTGGGCAACACAGCGAGACTCCGCCTCTACAAAAAATGAAAAAATTAGCTACTCAGAAGGCTGAGGTGGGAGGATAGCTTGAGCCCAGAAGGTTGGAAGCTGCATTGAGCCAAGATTGGGCAACTACATTCCAGCCTGGGTAACAGAGCAAGACCCTGTCTCTAAAAGAAAAAAAATAATTATTTGTATGCTCCAGTTGTTTGACATCTTTTACAAAATGGTGGGGGGGTCTGATGTTCTATTGCTTTTTTGTTTTTGTTTTTCTCACCTTTTTTAGAGAATACAGAACTAAAAGTTAATGCTAATAACACCCACACCAAATTAACTTTGACTCATATTTCTGATCAGCAGTTCCTGTACCCTTGTTGAATTTTTCATTTGTACTATTACTACACTGAAAGCCACCACTCTAAAAAACAGAAACCCGAGATAGCATTTCTCTTGTTTCTGGAGGCTGGGTTCTAAAGATGAAGACTTCTAAGTTATAAAATTGAGCATTTGAAATCCTACGTCTTCAACATAATGTGATGTTTTTCCTTTGAAATAGGAGTTGCCAACTTTCAGTTGAGTTAAGGCAACAGAACAGACTGCATTCTCATATCTGGTTGACAACTAAGAATCTTCTAAGTTCTACAGAAAAATATTTGTGGTCCATGTATTCCATCTGGGACTTTTTCAAATGACTTATACAAGGAGGGAGAAATACTACTATTAATAAATCAATTACTACTAATACTCCTACATCAATCGAGGAGATAAACTGGACTAGGGAGAATTTTGGGGGGCCTCCCTCATGTTCAGGAGAAAAGTTTGAGTCATTAAAGAAAACACCCTCGCAAATAATATGTTTTGAGTTGACAAGCTGACGACTAAGGGAAAACAAATCCTATAAAAGGAACTCTTTGACACATCACAAAAACCCAGCCAGGAGAAGAGAACCGAAGGGAACACATGAAAGAAATGTGAAGTTAAATTTCGGAAAGACAACCTCTCTGAGACAGGAGTATCCTAGGCCAAGAAATCAAAATTTGTTGCCAGAAAACTGAGCTGGAACTCAGGAGATTCTAAATGAAGGAACTCGGTGATTGGGGGATGCCAGATGATGCTTGTAGATTTTCAGTTCACTGAGGTTAAATCAGGTAATGTCTCATAGCTCCTCAAGCCTGACATCTTGTTGATAATGTTGGAGGCATACTGGTGTGGAATGTGCTGCCTCCAAACAAGGTTGCATGCCTCACATCCATTCTTACCATAATCACTGCCAGAAATCCAGGCCTCTCTGATCACCCAGGATCACACACCATACCGCTGTGTTCATCCCAATGGGACCCAATCCCCACCAACCCTCCATTGACCCCCCAGGAGTCACCCCTCTACAATCAGCAAACCCCTCCAGCTCTACCTCATTCCTTCGGGAGAGCCTAGCTGACCCTGAGAATGTTCCACACTGCAGTCCGACCCATGAGAGACTGTTTCTCTCTCACACATCCCCGCTTGGATCTCAGGACCAGAAACAAATTTGTGTGTTCCTGAGTCACATTACCACTTGCAGACCATGTCTCTCCCTCCCTCACACCACTCACATGCTCACATGTCACCTCTTCCTCCTCCTAATGAATGTCACACACAGACTTCCAGGATTTTTCCCGCTACCCACCCCCCACACACACACACACATACACACACTCATGTACTAAGGGTTTTCACTCCTGGCTGCCTGTCTTCCTTTCCACCCCAACTCTTGCAGCATTCGTGGTCACTTCAGTGTTCAGGGAGATGGCACATCCACTACACTGGCCTCTCCGGCTCTTTACTCAATAGTCTTGACAGCAGCCACCCACAGGCAGGTTACACCCTGCACTGTGTCATTATATTCTCCCCAGTCTCTCAATCTGTTTTAGTCCATTTCATGTTGCTATAAAGGAATACATGAGGCTGGGTAATTTCTTTAAAAAAGGTTTATTTGGCTCACAGTTCTGCAGGCTATACAAGAAGCATGGGACCAGCATTTGCTCCTGGTGAGGCCTCAGGAAGCTTCCAGTCATGACAGAAAACCAGCATGTCACACAGCGAGAAAGGGAGAAAGAAAGAGAAGGAGGTACCAGACTCTTTATTTTATTTTGTTTATTTATTTTTAAATTTTATTTATTTTGAGACAGGGCCTTGCTCTGTCACCCAGGTTGGAGTGCAGTGGCACAATCATAGCTCACTGCAGCCTTGAGCTCCTGGGCTCAAGTGATCCTCCCACCTCAGCCTCTCGAGTAGCTGGGACTACAGGTGCACACCACCATACCAAACTAATTAAAAAAATTTTTTTTTGTAGAGATGAGATCTTGCTGTGTTGTCCAGGCTGGTCTCAAACTCTTGGCCTCAAGCAATCCTGCTTTGATCTCCCAAAGTGTTGGGATTACAAGGCATGAGCCACTGTGCCTGGTCCATGCCAGGCTCTTTACAGCAACCAGCTCTCACTTGAACTAATAGAGCAAGAACTCACTCATTACCTTGGGGACGGCACCAAGCCATTCATGAGAGATCTGCCCTGCCCCCATGACCCAAACACCTCCCATTACGCCCCACTTCCGAGACTGGAGATCAAATTCCAACATGAAATTTGGCAGGGACAAACATCCAAACTATATCAGATCCCATCCCCCTTACCCTCCACACCTTCCTGTTCCTCTCCTACTCCTGTTCACACACCTCCACCATAACCATCCTCCCACTCCATCCAGACCACTTCCAATCACTGTCAGCTGAAGGCCTTTATTTTTGTTTTTTTCACTTACAAAAGGGCAGACATGAAAGGGGCCTCTCCTCTCTTCCCACCCTCAAATCAACAAACCTATTAGCACCTGGCACCTTGTTCCCTCCTGTCTCACCTTCCCTGCTCATGCATTTGCTGTCCTGAAACAATGCTCTCTCTTTCTACTCAGGAGGGCTTTCCAAGGGCTTGCCAGTGTGTTTTAGTGCCCACCTCTCTGAGAAGAGCCCTTCCCCGATGATGTGGTGTGCTGGAGCTGGGTGATAGTGCCTCCCAGGGGCCAATGCTAGATTTTTCAGGAATTTTATGAGCTGTTTGACAACATGTTGGTAGCTTGATGTTAGCCATGGTGAGAGTATTCATATTACCACAAATGGAGGCTTTGACTTTCCAGAGGGTGCATTGCTAAACATTTACCAGCATACCCGTTTTATTCCTCAGCCTCCTACTGCTGCCTATGCCTTTCTCTGCCACCCTGTCACCTCAAAACTAACTGTTGCAAGAGCTGTCAACAATGTTGACTTCCCATCACCTGTGTGCTCATCAAACCCACTCTAACCCAGCTTCTGTCCTCAGACTTCTCCAAACGACTCCTGTCCAAGCCGCTTAACACCTCCATATTGCAAATCCAAATAACCGGCTTTCTGTTTTTATCTTACTTGACCTTTGCACTGGATTTACCTAACTACTTCCTCACTTTCCTCCTGGCTTCCGAAGCTCCACTGCTCTGTCTCCTTCCTCTTTGGCTGTTCTTTTTCAGAACCTGTTGCAGGCTTCTCTCTGCCTCCCCCTGCATGGATGCACAACTCTAAAGGTTGGCTTTCCAGGGCTGGCTCTAGCCTCTCTTCTCCCCTCTATGCTCTCTTCTGGGTGACAGCATCCTTTCTAATGAGGATGCCATTTCTATGCTAAGGATCTCCAAAAGGACACCCAATCCTCTCCAATCCCCCGACTTCTCCATCCAGCTTCCTATAGGACAAATCCACTTGGAGGCATGCTTTGCTTTATTTTTTAAAAATTAATATATCATAGTTGTACAAATTTGGCAGGTACATGTGATATTTTGATACATGTACACAATGTGTGTGATCGAAACAGGCAACTGCCATATCCATCACCTCAAACATTTATTTTTTCTTTGTGTTGGGAACATTACAAATCTCCTCTCACAGCCATTTTGAAATATACAATAAATGGTTGTTAACTCTAATTTTCCTACTGTACTATCAAATGCTAGGACTTATTCCTTTGACCTAACTATATTTTGGTGGCTGCTAGCCAACTTCTCTTCATCCACCCCTTCCCTTCCCTGCCTCTGGTACCCACCATTCTGCTCTCTACCTCCCTGAGGTCCACTTTCTGGCATGGTTTGCTTTAAATGTAAAATGTCCAAAGTGGAGCCCTTGATTCCCTCACCATCTGGCAAACCAGTTCCTCTCTAGCCCCAGCAATCCCATCTCACTCACTGGTGACACCATTCAGCCATCTACGGGAGCCAGAATTGGGGGTACACTGTGATTCCTGCCTCGTTCTTGCCTCCACATCCAATGTCTCGGTAGGGCCTGTCATTTCCACGCCCTGGGTATGCTTGCATCTCAGCTCCCTCCTTTTCCCCCACGGCTGCGCATCATCTCAGCCGCCCTCAGCTCGCCTGTCTCTCGCAACGGCCTCCTTACTGGTCTAGATTCCACTGCTGCCTCCACTTCATATATTTACCACGAAACAACCAGAGTCAACTCTTGCAAAAGAAAATGCCGGAAATTAAAGTCACTTTTAACAACATTAAGGATACACCAAAAAGTAATTATTTCACTATTGAAATTGCCAATTTGTAAAGCTATAGATAAAACTATCAGTAAAACCGTTTTTAAAATTACATAGAAATGAACGAATTTATTTCAGGTAAGAAAGTATAACAGAAAAATATTTCCCATTTGATGGAAATTAATCTTTTAAGTGTATAGAATTTACATAGGTACCATTTAATCCCCTTTCACTTAAAGAAATGATTTCCATTACCTTCACTTAAGCCTTGAAATTGTAGCTGCCATTTTTAAAACAGCAATAGACGCAAGCAGAATTTTACAATTCAAGTCTTAACAAAATTTTTGCAAATGATCACCAAGGCCTTCCCCATAGTAGCTATGGCAATAAAACTTCTGAATGTAAGATCTGCCTGAAATGATCTAATCAAAAAATTACCAACAAGAATTCATCCTTTGCTGTGGCATAAAAAGAAAATTAAAACGTTACACTTACATGCCTGTGGACTTTTGTAAATCTACTTTTAAAAATAAATCAGCCAGGCATGGTGGCTCACACCTGTAATCCCAGCACCTTGGGAGGCCAAGGCAGGTGGATCACCTGAGGTCAGGTGTTCAAGACTAGGCTGGTCAACATGGTGAAACCCTGTCTCTACTAAAAATACAAAAATTAACCAGATGTGGTGGTGCATACCTGAAGCCCAGCTACTCTGGAGGCTGAGGCAGGAGAATCGCTTGAACCTGGGAGGTGGAGGTTGCAGTGAGCTGAGATTGTGCCACTGCACTCCAGCCTGGGCGACAGAGCAAGACTCTTGTCTCAAAAAAAAAAAAATAATAATAATAATCAGCTATTCCCCTTAACCCTTCCTATACATTCTGGAAATTAAAATGGCTTTTAACAATTTCAAAGATACATGGGAAAGTCATTGTTTAATCTTTGAAATAGTCAATAACTTTTCTTTTGAATTCACAGTTTATCTATTAACACAAAAGCCTCCTGAGTCAGACAATCTGTTTTAAAAAACAGAAAACAGATCGTCTTATTACACGGCCTAAAAACCTCCCATCACACCTTGGATGAGACCCATATGCTTTCCTACAAGGTTCTGCATGATCTAATTTTTCTTTGTCAACTTCTTCTCATCCTTCTTTCCTTCTAACTTTATTATTTATTATTATTATTTAGCACCAGGTCCATTGACACATCTCTGTAACTTTCTAAGCATCAGATACAGCAGCTTCCTCTTGGTCCCTGGAACACCCTCTATTTTTCTCGTTAATGGTGGGGTTAGTAGGGGGTTAGTAGAGTGGGAGGGAGTGAGGGGTTTTGCTTGATTTTTGTTTTTGCCTCAGGGCCTTTGCACAAGCTCTTCTCTCTGTCCAAAGACACACTCCCTTACACTTTCTGCTGACTTCATCTTATCTTTCAGGGCTTATCTCAAATACCATCTTCCTAGAATAGCCCAGCAGGAAAAGGGCCTGATAGAGCAATGATGGGTAGATTAGTAAACAGCACGTCAGCTCTCTCTAAAGTAAGTAAATACGTCTCTTATATTTACTGTCTGTCTGGTAGAGCAGCACTTCTTTGTATCTGTTGTTTATTCATCAGTACTTTGAGGTTAGGGATTAGCAGTCAGGATAGCACTATGCAGTGAACATTTATAACAATTAGCATGCTTACTATGTTCCAGGAATTGTGCCTTATGATCCAGCCCTTACCCACCTGCTCAAGCACAGTGGCTTCACCTGGATAATCCTCACAGTAACTTGAGAAGTCAACATTGTTATCTCCATTTTACAGGTAATAAAACAGAATGCGAAGTAGCTTGTCCAAAGTCCCAGGATAGCAAGTAACAGAGCTGGGAATGCAGGCAGTCCAAGCTCAGAATCTACTTCCTGAAGCACTAAATAGACTCCAGTGCACCCAAAGTCCTTATTAGGTCCTAGGATACAAAATAAAAATAGACAGTTGCCGAGCTCAAGGAATTTTAGGTTACAGGAAAGACAATGCAGATGAACAATTATAGTAGAATGATAACTGCTCTGGTGGTGGAATGAACAACGTGCAGTTAGAACTCAGAGAAAGGGCCAGGTGCGGTGGCTCACGCCTGTAATCCCAGCACTTTGGGAGGCCAAGGCGGGTGGATCACCTGAGGTCAGGAGTTTGGGACCAGCCTGGGGAACATGGTGAAACCCCATCTATATTAAAAATACAAAAATTAGCTGGGCATGGTGGCGGGCGCCTGTAATCCCAGCTACTTGGGAGGCTGAGGCAGGAAAATCGCTTGAACCTGGGAGGCAGAGGTTGCAGTGAGCCAAGATCATGCCACTGCATTCCAGCCTGGGCAACAGAGTGAGACTCTGTCTCAAAAAAAAAAAAAAAAAAAAAGAACTCAGAGAAAGGATTCCTGAAGTCAGCCCTCAGGTGAAATGACCCTGTAAATCTCTGACTTGGAGGGTGAGTGGGAGATTGCCAGGTGTCAATGGGGAGACAACAATGGGGAAAGAGAAGGGGACCAGCATATTCAGAAGGTAGGAAGTTTAGGGAACTGAAGTAGGTCCATGTTTTCAAGAGCTTAAAGTATATTATAGGAGAGCAGTAGAGATGCACCAAAAGGCAGGTAAGGGCTAGATCATAAGGACCTCTGTCATGCAATGGATGGTTGGGTTTCACCTGTGGATGATGGGGAGCCAAAGAATCACTTGCAGGGTAAGGCTCTGATCTGACTGGAACTAATAGAAAAACGAATGGCTGTAATAGAAATCTGGAAGACAAGAGGAAGGTGATATGGTTTGGCAGTGTCCCCACCCAAATCTCATCTTGAATTCCCATGTGTTGTGGGAGGGAACTGGTGGGAGGTAATTGAATCATGGGGGCAGGTCTTTCCTGTGCTGTTCTCATGAGAGAAAATAAGTCTCACGAGATCTGATGGTACTATAAGGGGGAGTTTCCCTGCCCAATCTCTCTTTGCCTGCCGCCATCCATGTGACTTGCTCCTCCTTGTCTTCCATCATGATCGTGAGGCCTCCCTAGCCATGTGGAACTATAGGTCATTAAACCTCTTTCTTTTGCAAATTGCCCGGTCTCAGGTATGTCTTTATCAGCAGCATTAAAACGGACTAATACAGAAGGGTTGTCTCCAGGGGCTCATTTTCACTGAGTGTTGAAAACAAAGCTATAACCCATCCTCTACCAACTCTAACATTTACTGACAGAATTTCATACTTTTTCACTGGTTTAACTGATCACATGATATTGTTAACTCAGCTTCCCCAGGGAGCTGCCTCATTGGCGTTGGGTTGGTCATCACTTGGCTGAGCACCTAGGGGCCAGAAATCATTGCCAGAGAAGCTCTCAGGAGTTGGCCTGGCTTGGCAGTGTTTGGCTGACCTTTCCATCCTCTGCTCTCCCACACTGGTGAATGTTGGTCATGGCCTGTGTCTTAGGTCAAGTTTCCTAGAAGCTGAGCTGAGCAGGAGATTCTTGTACAAGTGGTATTTTGGGAGCACACTCTCATAAGGGACCTGAAGGGAGAAGAGAGAAGTAGGAAATAGAAGCAGAGCAGCTAAGAAAAGATGCCATGTCTTAGTCAACTTGAGCTGCTACAACAAATTACCACAGACTGAGGACTCACACAATACACATTTATTTCTCACAGTGTTGGAAGCTGGAAGTTCAAGATCAGAGTGCCAGCATAGGCAGGCTCTGGTGAGGGCTCTCTTCCTGGCTTGCAGACTGCCACCTTCTTGCTGTGTCCTTACATGGAGAAAAGGGAGCAAGCTAGTTCTCTGGCCTCTTCCTATAAGGGCACTAATCCCATTAACAGGGGATCCACCTTTATGACCCAATTACCTCCCTAATACCATCATCACATTGGGATTAGAGCTTCAACATATTAATTTTGGGAGGGCACAAGCATTCAGTCTGTTGCATGTGGTTTCAGCTGGAGTCCAGCCTCAGCTTGATCCCGCAGTTGCTCTGGAACATAAATGGCACCACCACAGAGTTTTTTCCTCTTGGAAGATAGGTGTCTGGGCTTTTGTATCCCTGTATCCATCAGTCATTGGTAGAGGGTGCCTTGATGGGATTGAAAAGGAGGGACAGGAAATCTCGCAGACATTGAGGTGGCTCCCGTCTGTGTGGGATGTAGTTGGGAGCTGGCAGCCATTGACACTGAACAGCTGGGCTTTGGTGCATCCCCCGGTAAGAGAGATCTGGGTGTAGAACAAAAGGTTAAAGATCATCTTAGGGGAGAATTTCTCACCTCGGCACTTTGAGGGCTGGACAATTTTTTGTTGGTGGGAGGAGCTGTCCTGTGCATTGGAGGATATTTAGCAGCATCCCTGGTCTCTACCTGCTGGATGCCAGTAGCACCTTACCACCATCACCACCCCAATCTCTAGACATCACCAAACATCCCCCGGGGCACAAAATTGCCCTCCCCTCCCAAACCACCATACCATTCTATGATGTCATTGGCCAACCCATGGAGAAAGCTCTTGGCAATTTCACGGCCTGTTCACCAGGGGTGTAGCAGCTTACACGCATTGTGAGTTGAATGAGTGTGTCCACGTGTGTGTAGAGAGAAGCCTCAAGCTTCTCTGAATATGACTTGCCAAACCAAGACTATGTCAAGCCAGAATGAAGAGGAGGATCAGAGGATCAGGGGCATTACCAGAATTAAATGACTTAGTGAACATGGGGGTTAAGGGAGAGATAGACTGTGAAGTTTCTGGCTTTGACAAATGCAAAGGAGTTCAAGTTTGGAGGGGGAAAGAACAAGTAAGATTCGGATTCATTTAGTTCGAAGCGCCGTTAGCTCCCCTACAGATATGTCTGGAAGGCACATGTGTGTCTGGGTCTGGGCTAGGCTGGGGTGCTCAATCTGGGAGTCAGCACTGTCAAAGTCAAGGGCACAATATAATTGTTTAGGGAAGGTACCTGTTGAGAAAGAATAGGGCTGAGAAAAGAGCTGTGGGAAATTTCACATTTAGGGAATAGAAGGAGTATGAGACAGTCCCAAAAGGGACTAACATGGTACACATAGAGAAGTAGAAGGAGAACCAGGGGAGAGTGAAGCCATGGATCATGGAAACAGGTAGGAGAAACTTTTGATCTAAAAAAGAAGGTACAGTTTCTTAGGCTGTCATCAGACTTCACTTCCCAAGGATGCTAGGGTTTCATAAATTATCACAAATATTGTTACATAAATATGTTAATGAAAGTTCAATCCCATCATATGTGCATCAGAACAGTGATGCAAAGCCATATGATTTATCAGTATCACCCGGGGAGCTTGCTAAAGCACAAGCTCCTGCACTAGAAGAAATTGTTGCTTAAAAGAATCCCGTGATTCAACTCATGGAATGGGAGGAAATATTTGCAAGTCATATATCTGATAAGAGCATAATTCCTGGAATATATGAAGAACTCCTACAACTCAACAACAAAAAACAAACAACCCAATTAAAAATTGGGCAAAGGCCTTGAATAGGCATTTTGCCAAAAAAGATATATAAATGGCCAACAAGCACATGGAAAGATGTTCAACCTGACTAGTCAATGGGGAAATGCAAATCAAAACCACAATGACATACCACTTCACAGCCATTAGGAGAGCTGCTATCAAAAATATAAGTCAATAAAAGAAAGAAAATAACAAACATTGACAAGGATGCGCAAAAATTAAAACCCTTGTGCACTGCTGATGGGAATGTTAAATGGTACAGCCACTGTGGAAAACAGTATGAAGGTTCCTCAAATAATTAGAAACAGAATTACCATAGGATCCAGCAATTGCACTTCTGGCTATATACCCAAAAGAATAAAAGCAGGATCTTGAAGAGATATTTGTACACTCATGTTCACAGCAGCATTATTCACACTAGCCAAAAGGCTGAAGTGACCCAAGTATCCATAGACAGATGAATAGATAAAATGTGGCAGAAACACACAATGGGATATTCAGCCTTAAAGGTGAAGGAAATTCTGACACATACTACAACATAAATGAACCTTGAGGTTATTTTGCTAAGTGAAATAAGCCAGTCACAAAAGAACAAATGCTGTATGAGTTCACTCATATGAGGTCCTTAGAGAAGTCAAAAATCATCCACAGAAAGTGAAATGGTACCAAAAACGGGCTGGCAGGGAGGGAACAATGGGGAGTTCATATTTAATGGGCATGGAGTTTCAGTTCCATGAGACAGATGAGTTCTGAAGACTGGTTGCACAGCAATATGAATAAACAACACTATGGAGCTGTACACTTAAAAACGGTTATGATGGCAAAAAAAAGAATCCAATGAAAAATTATTTGTAGAGAAAACTCACTTGACAAAATAAAAGTAAAATAACTGCTCTATAAATATAAATTGGTATATTTTCATATTTGCCTAAAGCCAGCTACAGTATTCTAGCAATTTCTGGCAGTAAATTATTTAAATTTTGGAGGGGGGTGTTTTATGATCTATTTTTTCTATAATCGACTTGAAAAGACAATTCCTAGATTAGAAAATTAGAAGGAACTATGGATCCTTGGGAATGGCACTTTCATTTTTAGAATCCTCTGCTGCCCCAAGATGAGGGATTTTCCTTCAGGCAGTGTTCCCAGCCAGGCCTTGCCTATGCAGATCCTCAGAACAATGTTTGCGTTTTTCAATACTGGGTTGTCTGCAGGGAGTTTCCTGAATGAAGATACAGTTCCAGGATGAATAAGACTCATCAAAAAGCTGACCTGATATAGTGGCACTGCTTCCCCCAGGCATGGCCACGCCCTCCCATACCACCTCTAAGTCACAAGGGATCACAGAGGGGAGAGTTCCTCACACGGACAGCAGAGCACCTTCGAGAGGAACAGAGTGCTTACTCGTGTCCAGTTCATCTCTGTACAATTTGACTTGGCTGAAAAACAAAACTTCCACCCAGATTCATTCAACATTTATTCGATATCAACTGTTATGTGAGTCACCAGATGATAGCTATTGAAAATGAGGACAGAACTTTTTTCAAGTAGTTTTACTGAGGTATAATTTACATACAGCCGGGCACGGTGGTAACTGTAATCTCAGCTACTTGGGAGGCTGAGGTAAGAGGATGGCTTCAGCCCGGTTCGAGACCAGCTTGGGCAATATACTGAAATCCCCACCTCTAAAAATGTAAAATAAAATAAAACACATAGAGTAAAATTTCCCCTCTTAGCGTGCAGTTCTATGAGTTTGACAGATGTATATCATTGTATAACCAGCACCATGATCAAGATATAGAATATTTCCATCACCCCAAATAGTTCTCTTGTGCTCCTTTGCAGTCAAGCCCTGCTCATACCACCAGTTCCTGGCAACCACTAATCTGATTTTTGTACCTGTAGTTCTGTGTTTTCCAAATTTCACAAAAACAAAATCATAAAGTATGAGAGGTACATAGCTTTTGTGTCTGGCTTCTTTCACTTAGCATAATGCTTGTGAGACTCACCCATATCTTTGCATGTGTCACCAGTTCACCTCCTTTTTAGCACTGAGGAGTAGTCCATTGTGTGGATGTGCTACAATTTATTTATCCATTCACTAGCTGACAAACATTCAAATTCTTTCCGATTTTCAGCATTATAAATGAAGCTGCTACAAACACTTGCATATAGGTCTTTGTGTGGACATAAGTTTCCATTTCTTGTCGAAAAATACCTAGGAGTGGGGTAGCTTAGTCATTTGGAAAGCACATATTTAAATTTACAAGAAACTGTCAAATTGTTTTCTCAAATGGTTGTGCCCTTTGACATTCCTACCAGCAGTGTCTTAATTATTCAAACCCACAGTATTCATGAACATTATATCATTAGCAATGAGTGGTTATGTGTTGAAACTTTCCAATCTGTAAACCCAGAATTGTGCCTTTCTCAGTTGTTTACATGATGCATACTTTTCTTCATAAAACAGTAATATAAAAGTATCTTAATGAGGCCGGGCGCCGTGGCTCACGCCTGTAATCCCAGCACTTTGGGAGGTCAAGGCGGGCGGATCACGAGGTCAGGAGATCAAGACCATCCTGGCTAACACAGTGAAACCCCGTCTCTACTAAAAGTACAAAAAATTAGCCGGGCCTGGTGGCGGGCACCTGTAGCCCCAGCTACTTGGGAGGCTGAGGCACGAGAACAGCGTGAACCCAGGAGGCGGAGCTTGCAGTGAGCCGAGTTTGCGCCACTGCACTCCAGCCTGGGCAACAGAGCGAGACTCCAACTCAAAGAAAAAAAAAAAATCTTAATGATCTTATTAGGTTTAAGAAATTACAGCAAGGCAGAGTTTTGCTTGTTTGGCCCATAGCAAAACAGAAATATGCAGATAATGGAATTTACATGGGTGGTGATAGAAGAGGTCTTAAACACTGTCCCCGAAGGGATGCTTGCCTCCTATCTTACTATGTAATGAGTCATCCAGGTTCCACTGTAATCTGACTTCTTTTGGGGGATCTTACTTCCTCCTGAGGCAGCTGTATCAATCAGAAGTCTGTCTGTTACCAAAAGATACAGTCACCAGGAACGGTGTAAACTGTAGATAATCACTCTCATTTTCAGGCTTCTCTGGCAGGCCCTGTCGTGTTGGGACCACTTTGACTATGTGATAGGTTTATTATTGTTGGTGGGGCACAGGTGTGTGTGTTTGAGTCCAGTCGGTTTCTCTGAAGTTCTTGCCCATGGGTCTTTCCTCGGGGCATGGGAGCCTACCTCATTTCAATTCTTATTTTATCTGACATCTTTTCATACATTTCAAACATGAAAGCAGCGCTCATGTTTCCTAAGGTATCTCCTCTTTTCCAAACTAAACATCACTTATGTCTCTTTTTTTTTCCAGGTTTTAAAAATAACCTTTTTTTTTAAGTTAATATGTGCATTATAGAAAACCGAAAAACGCAAGAAGCAAAGAACAAAGTCATCCACAATCACAAGCAGTTTACAGTTTGACGAGTCTTTCCAGGTCCTGTGTGTGTGTAGACACAACATCCAATTTTATGGGACTGAGACTGTACAGTATATATCATGCTTTTTCACACATCATGAATATTTACCAACTCAAAATCCCACAGCTATAGGAGAATTTTGATAACCAAGAATAGACTACACCAACTCACTCTGTTAGAAAAAAATGTAATCCTGCCTTTCTTGAGACAAAAACTTCACAGAAGACCAAAATGGCAACACACCTCTATATAAAAACATTGGCAGAGTTCTGATTAAAATACTGCAATGCTCGATTTAAAATGAAACACACAGCCGGGCGCGGTGGCTCACACCGGGCGAATCACGAGTCAGGAGATCAAGACCATCCTGGCTAACACGGTGAAACCCCGTCTCTACTAAAAATACAAAAACAAAATTAGCCGGGCGTGGTGGCGGGCGCCTGTGGTCCCAGCTACTTGGGAGGCTGAGGGAGGAGAATGGAGTGAACCCGGGAGGCGGAGCTTGCAGTGAGCCGAGATCGCGCCACTGCACTCCAGCCCGGGCGACAGAGCGAGACTCCGTCTCAAAGAAAAAAAAAAAAAAAGAAAGAAAGAAAAAGAAAGAAACACACAGCAAAAGAATCCACTAAGTATAGTGTTTCTAAGAGGATTCATTAGCAGATCCATACCATTAAAATATTAGCAAGAAGGTATGTGTCCACTGAATTACTTAATGTATTTCTACAGCACAGCCAAAAGAGATGCACACACATCGATGGCTATCATCAAAATGTAAATATGGACACATCTGTATACATCTTTCTTTATATACTTCTTTCTGTCCCTCTGCTGCCAACCCAATGAATAAGTCCTGACATACACTGCTCAGAGGTGGTTTAACAATTCCATATCCAAGATGCATCTTTTCTATCAGTTATAACCAAAAGATATTTACAAATTGATTAATTCACTAGCTCTACTTTTTATCATACATTATCAATCCAGGACATTCTTAGATGTTGCAAAATAATGAATTTTGTCCACAATAAACAGAGGCACTTTACTAAAAATGCTCATATAGACCTATGGTTATCATCTAAAACCATCTTCTAGATATGCAGATACTAGCGAAAAACCCTTCCGTTCACTCTTCCTCTTTCCCTCTTTCATCATCCCAGTGACTAAGTATAGGATGTCTAGCTCCAAAAGGTGGATTAACAGAGGTCACACCCAGACAGGCCTTCCTAAAAGCTAACAAAGAAGCATTTATAAAGGGATTGCTTTACTACCTCTACTTTTCACATTCTTTGAGCATTAGGACTTGTTTATCCTTTAACACACAACAATGTTAACTAAAATGCACGTGTAGAACAGTGGTGAGACCTCCTGAACTAATCCAACTCAAGGACACAGAACCCTTCTCCCTACATACCTCCTCCTCCCTGACCCACAGCCACCCAGTGAATAGTCAGCATACTCTCCAAAACATCAAGTTTAACAATTCCATTCTCAAATGCAACCACTCCTAGGAAAGAATGAAAAAAATGTTTAAAGAGTGTTATTTTAGCCCTCTTAACCTATGTTGTGCACTTTTAAACATCTAGAAAGACTAGATGTTTCAAATGGGACTTAAGTTTTCCACTATCTTCACAGTAGCATTGAATAAATAAATGGTGCATATACATAACACAAGCTATAATTTGAAAGTGTCTTCTAAATAGGAATATTCTGACCTAGAACCCTTTCCCTTCTGACCTCTGTCAACCCAGTGGACAGGTATAATCATCTGTAATGCTTAGAGGGGATTTTAACAACTTCACTTCTGTGTTTTTGAAAACAGTCTGCCCTATGAATCTTAACACAAAGTTACTCAATGTATTAGTTTACTAACTCTACTTTTGTCATACACTGGCAACGTCTTTAACATCGAGAAAGACTAGACATTGCAAATTAGGACTCCTTTGTCCACTTGTATACACTATATACACAGCACAGTAAGAGAAAACGCAGACATAAGGGACAATGGTCAGTGTGCCTCACCATAAACACACTGGTAGAAAGCCCTTTGCACTTTCTGCTCCTCCTTCCTTTTTGAACCAGCACAAATATAATAATGTGTACCACTCAAGGAAGTGGTTTGATCAATTTCCAAGAGACAATATTGCACATGAATCAAAAGGATATCTACAAAATGTGTTATTTACTACCTCTACTTTTAACATACTTTGTGCCCTTCTAAACATCTGGAAAGACTAGATGTTTCAAATACGGACTATATACTGTGTATATAGATACACAGTAGTGTTGAATAAACTACACACATGTAACAATGGTTATATCTTAAAGTGTCTTCTAAAGAGGAACATTCTAGTTTAGAATCCTTCATTCCTTTCAATTCCTCTCCACCACCAGCCTGGTAGATATAGGCACATGTGTCACTTAGAGCTGATGTTACCATTTCAATTCCAAAACTCCTTTTCAGAAGACAGCCTTTCTATGAATTTTAACAATGTGTACAAAATGTGTTAGTTTACTAACTACTTCTGTCATACAAGGCAATCTCTTACCTAGAGACTAGATATTATAAAATTAGGACTCGTTTGTCCAGTAACAGCTCAGAGGAGACCCACAGTGGGTAGCTCCTCTCCGTAGACAAGTCAGTCCAGTCCAGTGTTCAGCTCTCAGCAGAGAGGAGGCCCTGGAGAGGGTAGCTCCTCTCTGCTGCTGGTCCTCCAGACATCTGCTGCTCTAAGCAGAGAGGAGGTCCTGGAAAAGGCTTGCTCCTCACATCTGCTGCTCTCAGCAGAAAGGAGGCCCTGGAGAGTGATTGCTCCTTTCTGCAGCTGGTTGTCCTTCATCTCCAGCTATCAGCAGAGATGTAGGTCCTCTCTGCAGCTGGTCATCCCGGCCATGTCTCTCCATCCTCTCTGTCCTCTGCCCTGCTCTGGCTGACTCTGGGGCTTTCATGGGCCTCAGAGGGGGGAACTGCGTGCTGATTGGTCCATGGGCAGCCATGGACAGGCCCAGGAAAAAACACCATCAGTTTTCCCTCCAGTCCACAGGACTGGCAGCCCTGACCCCAGGCTTCAGGACTGCCCTGGCCTGAAGGTGGAGCTTCACTGGGGAGTTGCTCCCTTCTGCCCAGGAGCCTGTCTGCCTCCCACGGCCAGCCATGGTACCCAGGCTGCTGGCACCAAAGGGCACCTGCAGGTTGGCACCCAGCTGCCCTCAGTCCCCCTCAGCTTCTCCTCCCGAGCTCCTCCATTCCCAAAGTCCAGAGGGGGCCAAGGAAGCAGGGGGCTGGCACGTCAGCATTGCCCCCAGCGTGTGCACACCCTGCCAGGCAGTGACAGTGTCAGGGCTTGGCCCCAACTCTGAGATCAGAGCAGGGAGAGACCAGGCAATGGGAGTGGACTCCTCTGAGCCTGCAAGGGCAACAGGGCAGGGCTTCCCAGGATCCCCAAGAGTGCAGGAATGCCTGGGTCTGCAGCCCTGGTTTTGGCAGCTGCAGCTGTTGGGGGTGGCTAGTGGGATGGGGGGGTTGGGTTGGGATGGGGAGGTGGCTGGGGCTCCTACCTGCTCTGTGGAGCTGGAGGCCCAGATCCAAAGCCACAACTTGGGCGGCTGCAGCCCAGCCCAGGAGGGCGGGGCTCCTGCCTACTCCAGGCTCCCAAGAGCACAGGGGTGCCCGTGTTGCAGCAGCAGCTTGGGCAGACACAGTTGCATCTGCAGAGCTCCTGCCCTCCCAACTTGGAAGGAGCATGGCTCCCGCTTGTCCCTGGCTCCTGCTGGCTCTGTGGAGCACAGCACCCAATCGCTCTCCCTCACAGCCTAGGGCAGGGGCTACAGGTCCTCGCTGGGTCTTGGCTGGCATCTATGGCAAGGTCAATGTATCCATTGCTGCAAGCTCCCCCTGTGGCCCCGGCACTCAGAGGCGTCTGGAGCTTCCCCTTGCCTGGCATACAACCTGGCCAAGCATCATCGTGCAGCCCCCAGGGCAGCGGGTTGTGGGGGAAGTGGTGGGGGTGCTGCTTGCCTCCTCCCTGTGCCCTCCCTGCAGTGGCCTGTGTGATGGCAGTGGCCACACCAGACAGCTGGCTGCTGCCATCAAAACCCGCCACCAACTTGTTCCAGCACCCAACCCAGATGTCTCACACCGCGTGGCGGGCATGAGAAAGCTTGAGTAACATCTAGAAATCTAGACACTCTATATATCACTACTGAGCTAGGGGTCAGAGCATCCAAGAGAAATGAGAATATCAGCCTGCTATGAATTGTATTGAGTAAGAAGTTCCCCCACACTCTCACCGCATCCCCCCATTCTGAACCCCTGCTTTCACTAATCAAGGAACATTACATAAACTAATTCACATACAGCTAAAGATTATTGAAAAGACAGACTAGTATGAGCTCCTGGAGTGGCCCAGCTCACATGAACAGATTAATAATGTGTGTAAGTAAAGCATATACCCTATGCAGGGGAAATTGATGTGGGGGGTGCCTAAGCCTTAATGTAAGTTATAAATCTCATGTAGTGCAGTTTGGGCAGTGCTCAAGAGACTGTGAGAAAGACAGGTGTGAAGCTGAACTTCTTAAGTGATCCTGTTTGGGCAGTGGAGACCAGCAGCCTGAAAACTAGCTGAGTCTACAAAGTAAGACAGGGGTGAATCACAAAGGCCAGTCCTGCTGGGCCCAACCAGTTCACAGAAGGCAAAGGACTGCTTTGGTCACTCCAAATCCAGGTGGGAGAAATCAAGGGCTACCAGGTAAAAACCCTGTAGGTTTTTGGTTCTTCTCTAAGAGACAGGGTCTCACTCTGTTGCCCAGACTGGAGTGCAGTGGCACGACCATAGCTCACTGCAGCCTCGAATTCCTGGGCTCAAGCAGTCCTCCCACCTCAGCCTCCAGACTAGCAGGAACTACAGGCATGTGCCACCACGCTCCGCTAATTTTTAATTTTTTTGTGTGGAGATGGGGTCTTGCTGTGTTGCCCAGGCTGGTCTCAAACTCCTGGCCTCAAGCGATCCTCTTGCCTCTGCCTTCTAAAGCATGGGATTACAAGCGTGAACCACTACAGCCCGTATGTATTGTTAACAGACATTTTATTGTGCCCATGGAGTATCTGTAGTTCTCTGGTTTGGATTTTGGTGCTCCTCCCCTTCTTTTTAAACAGGGGTAGAGATTTCCTTTATATTAGAAATTGACATGAAACCACGGGTGTAAGGGTGGTTTGGGTCGCTGCCTGCTCTAATCCCAAGGAGCAAACCTTTGGGAAAAAGTTGTATCCTCGGAAAATTCTGCAGCCTCCTCGTCCAGAAAAGCCACTTGGTCTCCAAAAGGTTTCCTGCAGTGCTGGGGAAATGCGCCTCTTACCCAGAGAGGCAGCTGCCTATCGCTTTCAAGGACAAAGTTTGAACGTAGTGTGTGGTGTGGTGTGTGTGTCGCTCATTTCCACCGGGAGAAACCCCCACGGATAGTCACCAAAGGGAAGGAGACTGCATCTGATTTTCTCCGCCGGCCCAGGCTCCGTGCGGCAATTCTTCGGTTCTGTTGTTTACTTCGCCCCACCGCCCCCCACCTCCTAGTTTTTGTTCAGCCCGGGGAAGCCGCGCCGCAGCGCCTCAGATGTTATTTATCTTTTCCTGCGAGGGGCTTGTGACAGTCCAGGGTGTTGTGTATCCTGTGCGATTGTTTATCGCCCGGCCCATGCGGTGGCCTGAGCAGCCTCGCGCCGGCACTTCACGTACCGAACCCCGGGACTACGTGAGCCGGCGGAGGGCGGGGAGGTGGCGCTCGGGCGCCGGCGTGAACCCGCGTCCCCCGGAGCCCAGCGCCGTGTCCTCAGGCCCCGGCCCTGACCTCAGGGCGCTCAGGTGGAATGGCCCCGCAGCTGCGCGCTGCTCCCGCGCCCCCGCCTTGCCCCGCGGAAATCGCCCCCGACAGTCAACCCGACCGGGCGCGCGGCGCCCCCGGCCGGTCCCCGCCCGACCCCGCGCAGGGCACAGATCGGGGCGCACGCGTTACTCGTATCCGGTCACCCGCGGGTCAGGCCGGCCGAGCGGCTGGGCTCAGGGGGTACTCCTACGTGCGCAGCCGCCACCCGGCCTGGCCGCCCAGACGCCCCCGGGGGTTCGCGCCGGCCAGCCCAGCCCGAGCCTGGCGCCGCGCTGCGGCCGCTGCTCTCCACTCGGCTCCGCGGGCGCTCGGGGCTGGGCGGGTGCACTGGGGGCGCGGGGTGGGCAGCAGGCGGGTGGACATGGGGCGCGGGTTGGACAGTGAGCGGGTGGACAGGGGGCGCATGGACATGGGGCGCAGGGTGGACAGCGGGCGGGTGGACATGGGGCGCGGGATGAAGGGGGTGGACTGGACGCGGCGCAGGGTGGACGAGAGGCGTGGCACTTTCGAGTATGCATTTGCCCTTGGCTAGCTGCGGGTTCGAAACGAGCCTCTGGGGAGACTTTGGGGAGATTTTATTTTCTTTTCCCTTTCCCTTCTCCTTTCTTTTAAAAAATTTCCTCTTCTGTTCCATGCTTTTCTTTTCCCCCGTTTCCCCCTTTCTTTTTCTTTCTCTTTTTTCTTTTGAACGTTTTAGACAGCTAGGTCTCTTTTGCCACTTTGGGAGCCCGCCAGGGGAGCAGAGGCAGGGCAGGAAGGGACAGTGCCCTGCCTTTACCAGCCTATTCAGCCTCACACACACACACACACACTTTCACACTCACGCACTCATACACTCACGCACTCATACACACACGCACACACACCACACACACACCACTCATGCACAAACACACCTACTCACACAGACACAAACACACTACAGAGACACACATGCAGACACACACAGACACACACACCACAGAGACACACACACATACACACTCTCCACACACACACACCACACATGCACATACCTACCCACACAGATACACATACTACGGAGACACACATAGACACACTCCCACACACACCACACATATACACACACCCCCAACACACAATCTCACACACAGACGTACACCACACATGCACAAATACACCCACCCACACAGACACACACCTCACACAACCCTATGGGGAAGGATCAAACAAACGCGCTCACGGGGCCGGGGTCTGTTTTCTCAGGCGTCCTTCCCCATCGCCACATTGTTCGCGGGACAATGGGCTCCTGTGTCAGTCTTGTTGGCACCAGCGTTGTACGATGCAGGAAACAGCATTTCCTGTCGGCGCTGGAAAATTAACTTGGATCGTGCTTTTCCCTTTTTATTGAGAATCCGCACACACCCCGGGAAACCCAAGCTCCCGGCGAGGGGAGGGAGCGGCAGCAATAGACATCCCGAAGGCTCCCGCGGCGTCCGTCCCCTTCCCGCTCAGCTCCCGCTCCCGCTCCCGCTCCGCCAAAAGAGGAAGCCCCGGCCTTAAACAATGAGATGGGGCTGCTGTCTCAACCGTGACCCTCCCGCTGGGGCCATCGGGACCGACCGTGCCAAGCCTCCGAGCTCTCGATCTGTTGGGAAGGGGAACTTGGCAGAAGGGGCTCCCGACTGCCCAGAAACCCCTACCTCTGCAGCTGCTAGCTGTCTGCTCAGAGCATGCCAAGCTTGGGCAATGGGCTGACTTGTCTAGGTCGTCCTCACATTTACAAGTCTGAACAACATTTGGCCCCACAAAACTACTAGTTAATATTCTCCTATTCCACTAAGTACTTCTATTTTGGTATTGGTATCATTCTGCCCTGAATTGCTGCATATAGTGTCCTGGGTGCTCTAGTGGAAGAGCACTAGATTGCAAACTCGGAGAGGCAGGGAAAGGTCTATTTTGTTTCTGCATTTTCTGGGCTTAGAGGCCTGGGCATTTCACATAGTAGGTTCTGTATCGCTATAAATGTATATGAAATATGTAGACATTCTTGCCTCTCCTGGACACCCCTACCACCATATCTTGTTCCCGTTTGCACGCTGGGAACACTATCATCTGACTGTTGAGCATACACACAGAATTTGCATGTATATATGACATGCACACTGTTTTATATGTACCACATGTGTGTACACACAAACATGCTACACACATACAATATGTGTTTAGTAACTGCAATACCACCACCATCCCACGCTCCCCACCCCACCCTCGATGAGAAAGAAAATGGAAGCTATGTGTGAAATCTGTCATAGATACGCTGTCCTTCTCGTTAATCTCTTTTTGCCACAGACAAACTCTTCAAACATTTTGTGTGATTTCAATTTTGGAAAATGTTACTTCCCATCACATTTTAAACCTTCAAGTTTAGAGTTTATCATCATGACTACCAAAAGAGAGAAGGTCGAAGAAGTGCTTTGCGGACTTTCTAAGCTATATATTGGTAGGGCATAACTAGTATTGGAATTAGAGATCAGTTCTTAGCAGTGGCCTCTGACCCTTCAGATTTAAATCTTTGCTTTTTGCCTGACCACCCTCAGCTGTCCTTCCCATCTTCCCCAGCTGCAAGACTTAAGGATCTGTATAACAATATTTAAATATTTAAATCCCCTGGGGAAGCACACTAAAAGGAACCCTCTGGGACTCTTTATAATGTGAAAATCATCCTCTAATTGCTTCACTCCCAGTTGCTTAGTCCTCTGCCCTTTGCCCAACAGAGCTGAGTCAAGCCAGCAGTAAAAGCCAAGGCCACTTAGTGCTTCTTGAACGGATGAATGAATGAATAAATGATCATATTCTATTTTTTGTTTACATGTAATCATGTTATTTATATTTATTTATTTATTGAAATGGAGTTTAGCTCTTGTTGCCCAGGCTGGAGTGCAATGGCACCATCTCTGCTCATCGCAACCTCCACCTTCTGGGTTCAAGCAATTATCCTGCCTCAGCCTCCCCAGTAGCTGGGATTACAGGCATGCGCCACCACACCCGGCTAATTTTATATTTTTAGTACAGATGGGGTTTCTCCATGTTGGTCAGGCTGGTCTCGAACTCCTGACCTCAGGTAATCCGCCCACCTCAGCCTCCCAAAGTGCTGGGATTACAGGCATGAGCAACCGCACCCGGCGTTATTTTATTTATAAGCTTAGGGGAAAAAATTATAGCTCCTGGTCTGTAGAAATAGATTTGGGGAAAACGAAGTGGAACAATCCCTAAATAGTATAAATTGGGCATATCCTAATTGTTTAATACATATCTTTAATAATGAAAAATGTAGTTCACTCCTATGCTTAGCCAAGATGAAGTGAGAGTTAGGGCAGCAGAGTGTATAAGACCCTGTGATATTGTGAGTTCACCTTCTTGGGAGAGTTCTCTCTGTTTTTGCAAAATGCTTGCTGCCCCTGAGAGCTGTGTTGCTGTGGCTTTTACATATAATGTGCTACTTTGATTGGAACCTACTGTAGTTGTTATCTTTTTATATATGTGTCCCAACTAGATTGCGAGCCCCTTAAAGGATCGCCTTATATCTGCAAGGCTTGCACTGTTTTCTGCCCCTAGAAATAGACAAATAAGTGTCTGAGGGTGACGATGGGACTAGCCTGGTCATCCATGTGAAATGAATTCAGAGGTCAAAAGTCATCATGGAGCAAATTAAATGATGTCTAATGCCCTCCAGTGGCAGTTTTCCAATGGCATTCCATGGATGTGCTTCAAGGGATCAGTGGAGGAGAGTCTTCTACTACAGCAATTTTAGATTTGAGGTCCAGCTGCTCTGGACATTTTTGCAAACATCTACCTCTGAAGAATGACAGCAATGGGCAAAGGCAGGTTGCAATCCCAAACCAATGAATAGTGGAGGAAGATATTCAGGAGTGAACTTCCCCTATCATCAACTCTTATTTTTTTTCTGAACATAGTTTATATTCTATGAATGAGAAAGAAAAGAAAACGTTTCAGAGAAGAAATGCTCAGAGTTGGAGGGGAGTGGGGAAAAGGGACTCTTTGCATCTTTTGTTCTCTTCAACAGAAATAGCTGTCTGTCCCCAGCAGCTCCAGATGCCTGTCTCCATCTGTCCACACACCCTACTGGCATTTCCAATTCACTTTATCGCTGCCAGCACAGAGGCAGGTTAGTCCCCACAGTCTTCTCACAAAAAGATTAGCAGAACTTAAACTTAACAAGGCAGAGGCTTATTGAGTTGTGTTTCTTTGATAACCTTCAGCTAGGAGGTCTCCAAGGCTCCTCAGCATCTAGCACCTGAAGAATGGTTTCAGCTCGCCTTCACCTTGCCTTCTGGTGGGCTATTCATGTTGGTTTACCTTGTGTAGGTTACTATGGACCTTTTATTTTCCCACGCATTGCTGAAACTATCAGGAAAGCTGTTCCTTGTCAATAGAGGTCTATATGAAATAAATCAGTTCGAGGACTTAACGACAAACTATCCCTTGCTACTTGAGGTGTCCTCCTCCCTCCCCATTTCCCCGCTCTATTCCTAGACCTCAGATCTGGTCCTGGTTTCCTGCCCAGTGATCTTCTTCTAGGGCCTTTGCCAGGTCCCTTTTTCTAGATCTTTCATCCTGAGGCTGGGGACTGGTTGCTAGCCCCACAGCTGCCTCCTGCCTACTATTACACTTTCCTATGGAATATGCCCACCCAGATTTCTTAGCATGCTGTTCTGCCCACATTGTCGGACATCCTTTTATTCATCTTAGACTCCTTTTCCCATTGCTGATTAATTTCCTGGACTTGAAAAGATTATGATCAACTGTGGACGCCCCTCTGACATGAGCATCGTCGGCAGGGTCGCCTCTCCCGGCCTCTGTTCCGCTCCTTTGCTGGGGCCTTCCTCTTTTTCACTTGCTGCTGCTTTTGCAACGGTCTGACCACTTCCCCCCTGGGACCCAGTGGCAAGCTCAAAAATCTCTCTGAACAAAGGTAGATCTACGTTAAAAAAAAAAAAATCAATAGAGAGTCCTAGTTATGGCACCTTAAAAAAAAGAAACATGTGAATCCTAATGAGGTTTGAAATACCTAGGGATGTTTGCGATGGCCTTGCGGGTTTGTTTGCGATCGCCTTGCAGGTTTGGGTCTGCAAGGCTAGATTCCAGTCAGTTTGTTTCCTCCTGGAATCCTGCTCACAGTTTAAGCAAGCTGCCACATTGGAAGCAGGTGAGCAGTAGTACCTTAGATTTTTCAATGCCTAGATTCTCCCGTAAGTAAAAATCACTGAGTCCAAGACTATAGCATGCCTTTAATAAATTACACTTATAAAAGATGAAGTTCTTCTCATTTATTTATTTATTTATTTATTTATTTTTGAGGCAGGGTCTCACTGTCATTTCCCGGGCTGGAGTGCAGTGTTGTGATCTGGGCTCACTGCAGCCCCAACTTCCTGGGCTCAAGAGATCTGCCCACCTCAGCCTCCTGAGTAGCTGTGACTACAGGCACGCGCCACCCCTCCCGGCTAATTTTTTGTATTTTTAGTAGAGATGAGGTTGCGCCAGGCTGGTCTCGAACTCCTAGGTTCAAGCGATCCACCCACCTCCACCTCCCAAAATGTTGAGATTACAGGCATGAGCCACCACGCTGGGCCAATGATGTTCTTAATATAGAAACTCAATGTAGTAAACAACATTCTTTAAAAATCTTAAACATGAATTTTTTTTTTTTTTTTTAGGCAAGGTCTCACTCTGGAATGCAGTGGTAAGATCTCAGCTCACTGCAACCTCTGCCTCCCGGGTTCAAGTGATCCTCCCACCACAGCCTCTTGAATAGCTGGGATTACGGGCACATGCCACCACACCCAACTAATTTTTGTATTTTTAGTAGACGTGGGGTTTCACCATGTTGGCTAGGCTGATCTTGAACAGTTGACCTCAAGTGATCCCCCTGCCTTGGCCTCGAGAAGTGCTGGGATTATAGATGTGAGCCACCGCACCCAGCCAATAAAGTTCTTAATATAGAAATCCAATGTAGTAAACATTCTTTAAAAATCTTAAATGTGAATTTTTTTAATTTTTATTATTTTATTTTATTTTATTTTTTTAGCCAGGGTCTCACTCTGTTGCCCAGGCTGGAATGCAGTGGTGTGATCTTGACTCACTGCAGTCTCTGCCTCCTGAGTTCAAGTGATCCTCCCACCACAGCCTCTTAAATAACTGGGATTACAGGCACGTGCCACCACGCCCGGCTAATTTTTGTATTTTGTATTTTTTTCTTTTTTTGAAACAGGAGTCTCACTCTGTCTCCCAGGCTGGAGCACACTGGCCTGATCTCGGCTCACTGCAACCTCCGCCTCCCGGGTTCAAGTGATTCTCCTGCCTCAGCCACCCAAATAGCTGGGATTACAAGGCCTGTGCCACCATGCCCATCTTAAACTTGAATATTAAAGAGCAATATGTTGACTTCCTACTGGCAATGTCTTATAATATTTTGTTTAAACTTCTGAATAGCTCTACCCTGTCCTAATTAGTTTAGGGTCTGTAAATTAGTTTATACTGATTTAATTACTTAAAACATGATTTAATTAAATAAAACATCTGGAAAAGATATAGTAATAAATACAATTCAGTTACCTTGTCACCAATCTGTAGCTGTTTTCAGTCTCTGTTTCCATGTATATATTTGAGTTGAAAACACCTTTCTCACACATCTCAAACCCCTCTTGGCTTTGGTTTTCAGTCCTGCATCATTCTCCACCAGACTCTCCTCTGTATAAGCTCTGGAACATTATAACAGAAAGGCTGTCCTCCACCAGTGTAGCGGGAGCTATATATATATACACACACACATATATATGGCTTCCTTGTCTCTCTCTTGCCCTCTTTGTTTCCATCCTGTCTTAGTCCGCTTGGGCTTCTATAAAAAAACACCATAGACTAAACACCATAGGCTAAGGATTAAACAACAAATATTTATTTCTCACAGTTGCAGAGGTGGATGTCTCAGATCAGGGGGTCAGCATGGTCAGGTTCTGCTAAGGGCTCTCTTCCTGGCTTGCAGATGACTGCCTCCTGGGTATGTCCTCACCAGGAGAAAAGACAGCAAGGGAGCTCTCTGGCCACTTCTTACAAATGCACAGTCCTATACGTGAGAGCTCCACCCTCATGCCCTAATTATCCCCCAAAGGTGCCTCCTCTTACTACCATCACATTGAGATTAGGGTTTGAACATATGAATTTTGGGGGAGACATAGACATTCAGTGCATTATGCCTCCCAATGGCCCTGAACAAAGAGGGAGAAACAGCACATGCAGGCAGCAACATGGAAACCACAGTTGTCTTCTTGCCAATCAGAAGATTTTATATTTTGGCCATGTTTTTTAACGATTTGCTATTTGATACTAGAGTTCATGTTCAGATATCTGATATTCTGGTATACCCCTCTGAGTGTGTGCGTGCACACACACACACAAACACACACACCTCATCCCACCTAGGGCAAACCAATTCACAGACTTGACTGAACCAGCAAGATTCAGTCTTTTGAAAATTTAAACCATGAAGAGATACAAGCAGTGAGTTGACAGATGCAACATTGTAACGGGAGCATCCTAATGACTATAAGTACCATCCGTTTACAACTTGCTCATCGCATTGAGCACCTGCATGCCTTTTCCTTCCTGTCACCCTGTGAGAGATGCACTGTTTTTATCCCTGTGTTGCAAATGAGGAGACTGAAGCTCATGAAGTTGTGTCTCTTGCTGAGATAACCCAACTGGCCAGTGATGGAGATGGGATCCTAAGCTTCCTTGCCTCATGGCTCTAGGTGCCAAGGTCATCCAGGCTCCCCTTTGGGAAGCCACATGTGCAGGTTTTCTGGGATCCCATGAGATCTAAATCCCAGTCACCCCCACTTCCTCTGCCATCTCGCTTACCTGGTTATTTTGGTCTCCACTTGGCATCAAAGACTCCTCAGAGCTCTTGTGGAGAATCTGAAGCCTGCTTTGTCTCAGGAACTAAAAACTCTTTTACATTCTTCTAATTTTATAGACAAAAACATAAAGGCAAATTTAGAAAAGGTTTTTATGAAATGAAGACATCTCCATAAGGATAATTCTCAAGAGGTTTGACAGAGGACCAAGTTCAAGAGCCCTAATGTACAACATGGTGTCTATAGTTAGTAACAACGCAGGGTATGCTTGACAATTGCTGAGACAGTAGATTTTAAGTGTTCTCACCACAAACAAATAGTAAGTATGTGAGGGAATACATATGTTAATTAGCGTAATTGAACCATTTTACAATGGGTACGTATTTGAAAAACTCATGTCGTACATCATAAATGTGTACAATTATTATTTGTCAATAAAAATGTAAAGAAAGAAAAAAATAAAGAAAATTCCCAAGATGAGTGAGAAGGTGAGTAACTGTTGCTCATGCAATCAAATTCAACAAAGTTGGTGGAAAAAGGTTATGAATGAGAATTGAGTGTTACGGTACGTGCATTCTATAAATAGTGAGACTATGGTACAGTTTTTAACTTGCTAGATTACTCACCACTTTTAGGTTTATGTCTTCCTCTTTTCATTTGTGTCACTTCCCACATATGCCCTCTAATTTTCTTTTAACACATAATGACGTTTTGTAGCATTTTAACTTATGGTAGTAATATCTTGTAATTCTTTGACAGACCCTGGGAAATACTGAAGAAATTGTGCCTCAGATTTCTGTGAATTCTAAAAATAGTGGAGAGTCAAGTTTGTAATACTCTTAAAATAGTGAATTGAGAAACTGTAGGTTGACTTAAAAAATAGGTTTAAAAAATTGTCTTACTAGGTTTTTTTTTTTTTTTTTTTTTTTTTTTTTTTTTTTTTTTTGAGACCGAGTCCTGCTCTGTTGCTAGGCTGGAGTGTAGTGGCGTGATCTCGGCTCACTGCAACCTCTGCCTCCCAGGTTCAAGCGATTCTTCTGCCTCAGCTTCCTGAGTAGCTGGGGCTACAGGCACACCACCATGGCCAGATAATTTTTGTATTTTTAGTAGAGACAGGGTTTCACCATGTTGGCCAGGATGGTCTCGATTTCTTGACCTCATGGTCTGCTCGCCTCGGCCTCCCAAAGTGCTGGGATCACAGGAGCACTGCGTCCAGCCGACTTTATTTTTTAGGAGCAGTTTTAGGTTCACAACAAAATTGATTGGAAAGCACAGAGATTTCTTATATACCCTCTGTCCCAACACATGCGTATAATTTTAAAATAGTGGAAAGGTCCCATTAATTTAGTATTTTTGGTAAATTTCTGCTAAAAATCTTGGTGTAATTCCTAGGCACAAGAATTTCACAGAAATATAGTTGATAAACTTTCGATCTAAACTATTCAAGAGAAAAAACCGCCTACTGGGTTTTAAGGATCTTGGAGGACAAATGACTCACAATAGGCACTCCTATATTTCTTGAATGGATAATCAGCCTAATCAGGAAGTCATTTTTATTTCCTAACTTAATGCCATGAACACCTTTCAATAGCATCTCTTTGGGATGGAGAATGCATCTGTGTCTTCCTGGCAATAATTTTCTGGATGCGAATGCTTAGAACACATGAGGATAAAAATGTCAAAATGTGCCTAATTCTCAGTCTGCCCAGCTCGAAGGTCTCACACCAATTACCATTTATGGTGTCGGCTTCACGAGACGGGAAGCATGCCCGGGCTGTGGGCCCACCAACAGTGTGGCAGAGGACAAAGAACTTGCACTTGAGTTCCTGCTCTACCACTTACTTGTGCACGATCCTGTACAAATTGCTTCACTTCTCTGAGATTCAGTTTTCATTGTCTGCTAAGTTGTGCTTATAGAATTCCTGGTTTGGTGGTAAGGACATAAACGGTTGTTCACATTGTTATCCAGAATATTCTTCAACATCAAATTGCATTTGAAAACATGCCTATACAACCTTCCAGACCAAGGCTCTGATGTTCTGGTCAATACAGAGCATTGATGAGTTAATTGACAGAGCTATCCGTGGGCTGAATTGCACTAAGCTAGGCTCCCTCTGCCTCATTTCCCATCATTGAGGACCAGGCTGAGAAGGGTTTTGGGGTGAGGGGTGTTGGTGTTGTAGGAATATATACTATTGGTTTGGCATGCCTGTACCCTCCTCCCACAATCATGTGATCAATTTTTATAACTTATATTCCCCTTCAAGATAATGCTTCATAGTTTTCGTAGCTTAATTTGGGATTAAAATATTGAGAATGGGAATAGTTTGAGTTGCTCAGTGGCCTATACTTTGAGAGAAATAGCCTTCCAGCCTCTATCCTGCCAGAGTAGCCTTGGTCATAAAATTCCCACCTTCAAGTTTCATGGTAAGGACATGATGAGAAAAAAATCTATGATCAGACACTCTTCACAGCCTTGTGGGTTTGAACCATGTCCGTATTATCTTCTTTCCAGAGGAATCCCCATTGTGTCTGCCATCTTCACGGACCAATAGAGCTAGCCGGTTGACCACTTTAGTTACCCATCTGTGAAGTTCCGGCTACATGATTTGCAAGGCCCAGTGCAAAATGAACATGTGGAGCCCACCCCACCAACCTTTCTAAAAAAAAAAAAAGCATTAAGAATATCAAGATGGCAACAGCAGAGCATGAAACCAAGTATGGAGCCCTTCTGAGCCCGGGGTTCTGTGCAACTGAACGGTTGCATGCCCCCGAAGCTGGCTGTGCACCTATGGATTTTCCCTTAATGTCTTTCTCTTTCTTGGGGACTTATCAAGTGCATTGTTGATGATAATATTTCTAGTAAAAATGTTACTTTTTTAAAATAATGGTAAGCTTTCTTTTTTCTTATTTATTTATTTATTTTGAGACAGAATCTCGCTCTGTTGCCCAAGCTGGAGTGCAATGGTGAAATCTCGGCTCACTGCAACTTCTGCCTCCCGGGTTCAAGTGATTCTCCTGCCTCAGCCTCCCGAGTAGCTGGGGTTACAGGCGCCCACCACTATGCCCGGCTAATTTTTGTATTTTTGGTAGAGACAGGGCTTCACCATGTTAGTCAGGCTGGTCTGGAACTCCTGACCTCAGGTGATCTGCCTGCCTCAGCCTGCCAAAGTGCTGGGAATGCAGGCGTGAGACATCATGCCCAGCTGCTTTTGTAAACATTCAAATATGTTTTCTGGCATTTTGTTTTTCTGAGCCAATCAATTGCAACTTCTTTTTTTAAAAAATCAGAATACATATTCTATTTTCTTAGTTATTATACAGTGAAATATTCTTCAAATTATCTTTATTACTCTTTTTTCTTTCAAAACATATGGATACCAAACAATATGTAGATATGCCAAGAAGCCTAACAAGGGTTCAAGACAGTAGAATCATCAGTCAATCTGACTGAAACATCAAATGGATTATTTTTCCACAAGAAAGGAACAATTAACAGAGTAAAGAGACCGTCTACGAATTGGGAGAAAATATTTGAAAGCCATACATTTGAAAAGGGATTACTATCCAAAATATATAAGGAACTCAAACAACTCTATAGAAAGAAAATAATCTGATTTTAAAATGGGCAAGAAACCCAAACATTTCTCAAAAGAAGACATACGAATGGCCAACAGATACGTGAAACAATGTTCATCATCTCTAATCATTTGGGAAATTACAAATGAAAACCACAATGGGATAGCACCCCCACACCTGTTAAAATGGCTATTGTAAAAGATAAGTGTTGGTGAGGATGTGAAGAAAAGGAGACCCTTGCATACTGTTGGTGGGAATGTAAATAAGCACAGCCATAATGGAAAACAATATAGAGTCTCCTTAAAGAACTACATATGATCCAGCATAGAACTACCATATGATCCCGCAATCGTGTTGCTGGATATTTTCTCAAAAAGTGTGAAATCAGCATGTGGGAATGATATCTCCTCCCCATGTACATTGCAACACTATTCTCAATAGCCAAGTTATGAAATCAGCCTAAGTATCCATCAATAATGAATGGATAAAGAAAACATGGTATTATATATACAGTAGAGTATTATTCAGCCTTTAAAAAGGAAGAAATGTTGTCTTTGTGACAACATGGATGGACCGAATTGGAGAACATTGTGCTAAATGAAATAAACCAGGTGCAGAAAGACAGATACCACATGTTCTTGCTTATATGTGAGATCTAAAAACAATTGAACTCAAAGAGACAGAGAGTAGGATGGTGGTTATTGAATGCAGCCGGGAGGCAGGATGGAGAGATGAAGGTAAAGGGTAGAGGGTCACAGTAGATGAAAAGAGCAAGTTGTTTTCTTTGAGATATATTGCACAGAGTAGTGAATGTGGTAAATAATGTAGTGTACATTTCAAAATCACTGAGAAAATTTCAAATGTTCTTACCACAAAAAGTAAGTGTTTGAAGTGATGGGTATGTTAATTAACTTGATTTAATAATTCCACATTGTATTCATACTATATTCATAAATTCATAACATGACTTTGGATGCATAAATATATACAACTATGATCTGTCAATTTACAATTAAAAAATAAAAATTTTAAAAATTGTGATTTTTGGCCAGACAAGATGGCTCACGCCTATAATCCCAGCACATCGGGAGGTTGAGGTGGGCAGATCACTTGAGGTCAGGAGTTCCAGGACAGCCTGGCCAACGTTGCGAAACCCTGTCTCTACTAAAAATACAAAAATTAGCAGGGCATAATGGTGGGTGCCTGTAATCCCAGCTACTTGGGAGGATGAAGCGGGAAGAATTGCTCGAACCTGGGAGGCAGAGGTTGCGGTGAGCCGGGATTGCACCACTCCACTCCAGCCTGGGTGACAGAGCAAGACTCCGTCTCAAAAAAAAAAAAATGTGGATTTTTGTCTTTTTGACTTACTAATATTTTACTTAAAATTTCAGCTTCTGATGTTCATAAATGGAATAATAAGATTTGATTTGCTAAAATTTCATGTAGCATGTATCTATTTCTAATATTCATAAGTGAAATTGGTTTATATCTTTAATTCTTACCATTTTCTTATTTGGTTTTGGGATCAGTGTTATGTAACCTTATGAAACAAATTGGGTAGCTTTCACTCTGCTTATCTGGAACATTTTTATGAGAAAGAGATGATCTCATTCTTTTTTTGTTGTTAGGTAATTTAGGATTAGGATGATTCTGGATATTAGGCGTTTGTTGGATGCATTGTTTACAAATATTTTCTCATGTTCTGGAGGTTTTCTATTTACCCTGTTGGTTATTTCTTTTGCTGTTTTTTTTAAGCTTTTTGGTTTAGTTAAGTCCCATTTGCCTATTTTTGGCTTTTTTTTATGTGTTTCCTTTTGAGGGCTTAGTCATAAATTCTTTGTCTAGGCTAATGTCTAAAGAGCTTTTCCTAGGTTTTTATCCTAAGATTTTCATACTTTCAGGTCTTACATTTAAGTACCTAATCCATCTTGCATTAATGTTTGTATATGTTGAGATATGGGTCCACATTCATTCTTCTGCAAATGGCCCTCCAATTTTCCTAGGACCATTTTTTGAATAGGGTGTCCTTTCCCCAGTGTATATTTTTGTTGACTTTGTCAAAGATCAGTTGGTTGTAGATATGTGTCTTTATTTTTTAGTTCTTTATTCTTTTCCACTGATTTATGTGTCTGTTTTTAATACCAGTACCATGCTATTTTGGCTACTATATCCTTGTAGTATAATTTGAAGCCAGGTAATGTGATGCTTCTTGCTGTATTCTTTTGGCTTAGGATTGCTTTGGCTATTTGGGCTCTTTTTTTGGTTTCATATAAATTTTAGAATTATTTTTTCTAATTCTGTGAAGAATGATGTTGGTTTTGGAGGAGGGGTGATGGATAGGAAAGAAATTTTTTTATCTTAGTTTGGTCTCATTAATGGTTATTAATCCATTTGAGCTTCTAACTTTTTTTAGTCAAAAAGTTGTAATTGTTTAATTAAATTTAAAGTTTTATTTCTGAAAAAGAAAAACAAAGATCTAAATTTCTATTATCATTTTAAATATTTTAATATATATGTTCAGCTTTTTCTCAAGGAAAAAAATTTTGTCAAGATAATACTTGCAGAAAAGTATGAAGGTGGAAGTTTTTTGTTTTCGTTTTAGAGACAGGCTCTCACTCTGTTTCTTAGGCTGGAATGCAGTTGCACTATCACAGCTCCCTGCAACCTCCACTTCCCAGGCTCAATCGATCCTCCTCCCTCAGCCTCCTGAGTAGCTGGGACTACAGACATGAGCCACCATACCTAGCTAATTTTTCTTTTTTTCCTTTTTTTAAATTTTTTTTTTTGTAGAGACAGTGTCTTAGTATGTTGCCTAGGCTGGTCTTGAACTCCTGGCTTCAAACAATCCTCCCATCTCAGCCTCCCAAAGTGCTGAGATTACAGGTGTGAGCCAACGTGCCTAGCCAACATTTTTTTTTAAAGTTACTTCAAACCCCACTATTAGGAAATAATCATACTAGATCAAAATGTAACTAGATCAACATTTATCCACACAATTTTCAATTATTCATGCAGATAGGATAGATGAATAGATTAATATTTTTAAATACTATTTTTAGATAAATAGAAAAATATTTATAAATGTTAATTTTCCTCAAACTTATTCAAAGAAAAAAGAAAATGAAATTGAATTGCAAAAAGATTAATTTCTCTAAGTTTTCTCTAAGGTTAAAACAAGAATTTTTTAAAATTAAGGTATTAGAGCCATTTTTATTTACCTTTAAAAAAAATTTGGACATTATCAATTGACTCCCTGCCGTTAAAAGAAGAGAAAAACAGTAATCTCTTACTTCCTTCCACTTCTCTTCACCTCCTGAACTTTGCCCGTTTTATAACATTTACATTCTAAGCAACAGAATTCCTTACACATCCCATACATGTTTAGCATGTATGTAGGTGTATGTCTCTATGTCTTCAAATGGATTTAATGTTCACCTTTGGTCCTTTCCCCATTGCTCCTCATTCCTGAGTTCTTATATTTGATTGATTTTTTTAATTGGCTGGATTTTATTGTCATGAGTGATGGGCATGAATAGTGATGGGCATTGCATTCCCTGAATTATTTCATGTTGGAGAAATTCCTGCCTCTACCTTTCTACTTGAATAACATCTTGGCCTGTTTTCATGTCCTTCATTCCCTTAGAGTTTTGCAGACTGTGTTCTTGTCTTCTGCCCCTGGAGGTTGCGATGGAGAAGTCTGTGGCCAGTCTAATTTCTCTTTGCTTTTCTGCTTGATTAGCTAAAAACTTCGTTCTTTATCCTGGAATTTTAATAATTTCATTAACATACATATATCTTTGGTATTTTACTGTATTAAATTTTCCTGGAATGTCATTAGTTCTCTTGATTTGCAGAGTCTGTTTTTGTTTTAATTTTATGAGTCTTTTCTTATTTATTTTAAATAAGCATCGTCTTTCATTTTTAGATTCTTTGCTTTAGGGGCATCAATTGTCTTTAAGTTGGAATATATAAATCTTTTTTTTCCATTTCTATTAATGTCTCATTAATTGCTTTAATATCTTTGTCTGTCTTTTTAATTGCGTGAGGATTTTTTTAAATTTATTTTTTATTTCAGTAGGTTTTTTGGGAAACAGGTAGTGTTTGGTTACATGAATAAGCTCTTCAGTGATGATTTCTGAGATTTTTGTGCACCCATCACCCAAGCAGTGTATGCCGTACCCAGTGTAGTCTTTTATCCCTCACCCTCCTCCCACCCTTTCCCCCAGATCCCCAAATCCCCAAAGTGCATTGTATCATTTTTTTTGAAACCGAATCTCTCTTGCTCTGTCGCCAGGCCGGAGTGCAGTGGCACAATCTTGGCTCACTGCAACCTCTGCTCCCAGGTTCAAGTGATTCTCTTGCCTCAGCCTCCCAAGTAGCTGGTACTACCGGCACACATCACCATGCCCGGCTAATTTTTGTATTTTTAGTAGAAACAGGGTTTCACCATGTTGGGCAGGCTGGTCTCAAACTCCCGACCTCAGGTGATCTGCCCGCCTTGGCCTCCCAAAGTGCTGGGATTACAGGCGTGAGCCACTGCACCTGTCCCATTGTATCATTCTTAGGCTTTTGCATCCTCATAGCTTAACTCCCACTTATAAATGAGAACGTACAATGTTTAGTTTTCCATTGCTGAGTTACTTGACTTAGAATAATGGTCTCCAATTCCATCTAGGTTGCTATGAAAGCCATTATTTGATTCCATTTTATGGCTGAGTAATATTTCATGGTATATATATACTACATTTTCTTTATCCACTCGTTGATGGATGGGCATTTGGGCTGGTTTCATATTTTTGCAATTGCAAATTGTGCTGCTATAAACATGCGTACACAAGTATCTTTTTCATATAATGACTTCTTTTCCTCTAGGTAGATACCCAGTAGTGGGATTGCTGGATCAAACGGTAGTTCTACTTTAGTTCTTTAAGGAATCTCCATACTGTTTTCCATAGTGTTTGTACTAGTTTACATTCCCACCAACAGTGTAAAAGTGTTCCCTTTTCACCACATCCATGCTGGAGTGCAGTGGGACAATCACAGCTCACTGCAGCCTCAACCTGCTGGGCTTAGGCAGTCCTCACGCCTCAGCCTCCCAGAGTGCTGGGACTACAGGTGTAAGCCACCATGCCTGGTCCCTTTGTCTTTTTCATATGAATTACTTCAAATATGTCAGGACTTACCTTTATGTCAATAATTGGATTTTCAGTGCTATTTCTTGTGTTCCTAATTTGTATGTCTATAATGGCTAGTTGGACAGGTAAGGAGCTTCGAAGCTGCTACTTCCTCTTAACAGCATGTAAAAAGCTGAGCAAACTGAAAAATCAACAATTCTTTTTAGATCCATAAGAGAAAAATCCACAGGGAAAACTGCTGCCCCCAGATTTGGACAGACAGAGAGGTAGATGCAGAGAATCACAATATACTGGAGCAGAAATTTCTGCAGGAACTGATGCTGGAGTAGGAAAACCTGAAATGTAATTACAAATTGCTGGACACTGAGTGTGGACAAGTCAAAGACTCCAGAGGACCCAGTTCTAGTGGGGGCCTCCACGCTTGTGAGTTTTACCTCCAGGAACTCCACCAAGTTCTCATAGTAAATATTAGAGAAAAATTCTGCGCTTCCAGCAGGGAGAGAGGACCTGTATTTTGAAATACAGAGTGCTCCGTTCTTCTTAACAAGGTTTGCTTTCAGGAGAAACTGGTCAACCAGAGCCTAACTTGCTAGGGTTTAATTACAGCCTAAGTGACCTGGGAGAACGGAAACATCCAGCTCCAGCTCACCCTAGCCATCCTTTCCCACCTAAAAGGGGAGGAAAAAACTAAGAAGCACTTGTGAAAGGCACAGTTCAGAGACACAGGCTCACTAAAAGACAGGCCTGGCAGGGCATGGTGGCTCACGCCTGTAATCCCAGCACTTTGGGAGGCCAAAGTGGGCAGATCACAAGGTCAGAGATGGTGAAACCCCCGTCTCTACTAAAAATGCAAAAATTAGCTGGATGTGGTGGTGCACGCCTGTAGTCCCAGCTACTCGGGAGGCTGAGGCAGGGGAATCGCTGGAACCCGGGAGGTGGAGGTTGCAGTGAGCCAAGATTGCGCCACTGCACTCCAGCCTGGAGATAGAGTGAGATTCCGTCGGAAAAAAAAAAAAAAAAGACTGAGACCTAATCACAGGACTATAGGGTGCTTTTCCTCCCCCTGCACCTTACCTCCACATCACTAAAGGCCTATTTACAGCAGGTCCTTTTACCCAGCACATCATGTATGGCTTTTAGCAAAAAGTTACAAGGCATACTAAAAGACAAAAAATACAGTGTGAAGAGACAGAGCAAACTTCAGAAGCAGATGTGGCAGGGATATTGGAATTATCAGACAGGGACTTTTTTAAAACTGTGATTAATATCCCAGCACGGTGGCTTACGCCTGTTATCCCAACACTTTGGGAGGCCAAGGTGGGCAGATCACGAGATCAGGAGTTTGAAACCAGCCTGGCCAACATGGCAAAACCCCGTCTCTACTAAAAAAAATACAAAAATTAACCAGGCATGGTGGCAGGTGCTTGTAATCCTGGTTACTTGGGAGGCTGAGGCAGGAGAATAACTTGAACCTGGGAGGTGGAGGTTGCAGTGACTATGATTAATATGCTGTGGGTGCTAATGGATGAAGCAGACAGCATGCAAGAACAGACAAGCAGCATGAGCAGAGAGATGGAAATTTTTTTTTTTTTTTTTGAGACTGAGTCTCACTCTGTCGCCCAGGTTGGAGTGCAGTGGGGCAATCTCAACTCACTGCAACATCTGCCTCCCAGGTTCAAGCGATTCTCCTGCCTCAGCCTCTTAAGTAGCCAGGATTACAGGTGCCCGCCACCACATTCGACTAATTTTTTTTGTATTTTTAGTAGAGACGGGGTTTTGCCATGTTGGCCAGGCTGGTTTCAAACTCCTGACATCAGACGATCACCCCACCTTAGCCTCCCAAGAGATGAAAATCTTATGGAAGAACCAAAAAGAAATGCTAGAGATCAAGAGCACTGTAACAGAAGTGAAGAAGGCCTCAGAGGGACTTCTTAGTAGTCTAGACACAGCTAAGGAAAGAATCTCTGAGCTTTCGGATATGTCAATAGAATCCTCCGAAACTGAAAAGCAAAGAGAACAAAGACTGAAAGAAAACAAACAAACCAGAACAGTATATCCAAGGACTGTGGAACAACTACAAAAGTTGCAAATACGCATAACAGGAACACAAGAGGACAAGGGAGATAGAAAGGAGCAGAAGTATTTGAAACAATGACTGAGAATTTCCCCCAAATTGATGTGAGACATCAATCCACAGGTCCAGGAAACTCAGGGAACACCAAGCAGGATAAATGCCAAAACAAAAAAACAAACAAAAAAACCAACACATAGGCATATCATTTTCAAACTACAGAAAATCAAAGATTTTTTAAAAATTTTCTGAAAGAATCGAGAGGAAAAAAATGCCTTACTGATGGAGGAGCAAATATTTTATCTGACGTCTCATCAGAAGCCATGCAAATAAGAAAAAGGTGGAGTGAAATATTTAAAGTGTTGCGAGAATAAAACACCAACCTAGAAGTCTGTACTGGGCAAAATTATCCTTCAAAAGTGAGGGAGAAATAAAGACTTCTTATACAAATGAAAATTGAGGAAATTTGTTGCCAGTAAACTTCCCTTACAAGAAATGTTTAGAGAAGTACTTTAGAAAAAGAAAAATAATGTAAGTCAAAAACTAAGATCTACATAAAGAAAGAAAGAGCATCAAAGAAGAAATAAGTGAAGATAAATTTTTCTTTTACCTTCTTATTTTTCTTACTATTAATTGATCTAACAGATAAGCTTGTTCAAAGCACTAACAATGTATTCGGTTGTGTATGCTTTTGTATATACCATATTTATATGCTTGTGTATGCTTACATATAAGTGAAATGAATGACAGCAATGATACAAGGGGTGAGAAGGAGGAACTAATATTATTTTATTTTTATAGCCTGGCCAACATGGCGAAACCCCATCTCTACTAAAAACACAAAAATTAGCCTGGTGTGGTAGCATGTGCTTGTCGTTCCAGCTACTCAGGAGGCTGAGGCAGGAGAATCGCTTGAACCCGGGAGGTGGAGGTTGCAGTGAGCTGAGATCGTGCCACTGCACTCCAGCCTGGGTGACACAGTGAGACTCCGTCTCAAAAAAAAAAAAGATTATTTTTATAAGATATTCCCATTACCCAGGAAGTAGTGTAGTATTATTAAAAAAAAAAAAAAAAAAAAAGAAAGAAAGAAAGAAAAGAAAAAAAGAAAGAAATGCAACTGGTGTGCTAAGAAAGAAGAGAAAATTGAACCATATAAAATGTTCAACTGAAACTGCAACAGGCAGAAAAGAGCAGAAAACAAAAATAGAATACAAGAACAAAGGCAACAAATAGAAAACAGTAACAAATATGGTAGATATTAATCCAACTATATGAACAATCACTTTGAACATCAATGATCTAAATGCACCAATTACAAGATAGCATGAATCAAAAAACAAGAAACTCACTTTAAATATGAAAACAGATATAAATTAAAAGTAAATGGATGAAGAAACGTATGCCATATTAACACTAATCAACAGAATGCAGGAGTAGTTATGTTAATTGCAGACTTCAAAGCAAGGAAAACTATCAGGGATCAAGACAGGCATTACATAATAATAAAGAGATTGGTTCTCCAAAAAGACATAGTAATCCTTAACATGTATGCACCTAAAAAGAGACCATCAAATTACATGAGGCAGGCCCCGGGCAGTGGCTCACACCTATAATGTCAGCACTTTGGGAGGCTGAGGCAGGTGGATCACTTGAGGTCAGGAGTTCAAGACCAGCCCAGCCAACTTGGTGAAACCTTGTCTCTACTAAAAATACAAAAATTAGCCAGGTGTGGTGGTGCGTGCCTGTAATGCCAGCTACTTGGGAGGCTGAGGCAGAAGAATCTCTTGGACCTGGGAGGTGGAGGTTGCAGTGAGTTGTGATGGCACCACTGCACTCAACTCTGTCTCAAAAAGAAAATAAAAATAAAAAATAAAAACTCTGTCTCAAAAAGAAAATAAAAATAAAAAATAAAAAAATTACATGGGGCAAAAACTGATAGAACTACAAGAAGAAATAGATAAATCCACTATTACGGTTGGAGACTTCAACATCCCTCTTTCAGAAATGGACAGATTCAGCAGGCAAAAAGTCAGTAACGATGTGGTTGAAGCCAACAAGACGACCAATCACCTGGATATAATTGATATCTATAAATGATATCATCCAACAACAGCAGAATATGCATCCTTCTCAAGCTCATGTGGAACATTCACCAAGACACCATATCCTGGGACATAAAATGCACCTTAACAAATTCAGAAGAGTAGAAATTATATAACGTCTGCTCTCAGACCACAATAGAATTAAACTAGAAATCACTAGTGGGAAGATAATCAGAAAATACCAAAATACATGGAGATTAAACAACACACTTCTAAATAACACATGGGTCAAAGATGAAATCTCAAGACAACTTTTAAAATGTTTTGACCTAAATGAAAATGAAAACACAACTTACCAAAATTTGTGGGAACAGGCAAAAACAGTGCTTAGAAATTTATAGCACTGAATGTATATATCAGAAAAGAAAAAATATCTAAAATTAAAAAATCAAAGCTTCCACCTTAGGAAACTAAAAAAAAAAAAGCAAATTAAATCCAAGTTAAGTAGAAAATAAATCAGTAGAGCAGAAATCGATGAAATAAAAAACAGGAAATCAATAGACAAAATCAATGAAACCAAAACCTGGTTTTTTGAAAAGCTCAATACGATTGATAAGCTTTTAGCTAAACTACAAAAAAAGAGAGAGGACACAAATTACACAAATTACTAATATCAGAAATGAAAGCGGGGACATTGCTACAGATTCCATGGACATTTAAAGGATAATAAAGGAATTCTATGAACAATTCTATGCCCACTAATTTGATAATTTAGATAAAATGGACCAGTTCCTGAAAGACACAGTCTGCCAAAAGCCACACAAGAAGAAATGGATGATCTGAACAGGCCTATATCTTTTAAATAATTGAATCAGGAATTGATTACCTTCCGAAACAGAAAGCACCAGACTCAGGTGGGTTCACTGGTGATTTCTACCAAACATTTAAGGAAAAAATTATACCAGTTCTCTATATCTCTTATGTAATGATATGGTTTGGACATTCAGTTGTTTTCCTTAGGTCTGCAAACTCATTTATTTCATTCTGTTTTTTCATAATATTGGTCAGGATGAACTAGGTTATGATACAGTAACAAATCTAACCACAACTTTTCAGTGTCTTATCACAATGAGGTGTTTTGTTTTTTTTTTTTTTTTCATGCAAAACTGGGTGAGGGCTGACAGCTTTCCAGAGCAGCTCCTTTCCAAGAGATAACACAGAGTCCAGGGTACTTGCATTGTAAAGCTATCCCACATGGAACCTTAACGCTATACCACATGGAGTTGATGGTTTCTAAGTTGCCCAGGCAGGAGAAATGACAGCATAAAGAATTCACACACACTTGCTGGCCTGGCATTGTCTTGAATTGGCCTGGAATGTTCACCTATCAATTAGATTTATTGCTAGAATATACACTTTTGGGTCAGATGGTAGGATTCAAGGGAATGCAAAATGCCTGTGTGCCCAGGAAGAAGAAAACGACACAAGATTTGGTGAATCCATAACATTATCTCTGTCACATTTACTGTATCATATCATTCTTGAGCCCTTATTTTATTAAATTAATGGCCTTTATAAAATTACTTTCTAGTGTAAAGAGATTGGGAAGAATTTTCTTCTTTTATTTGAGAAAAGTTTTCTTGTAAGTTCTTTGCCAGTCTTGTGCTTATTTGCCTGTCTGCTTTTCTTTTTTCTTTCTTCTTTCTCTTTCTTTTCTTCCTTCTTTCCTTCTTTCCTTCCTCTCTTTCTTTCTTTTTCTTTCTTTCCTTCTCCCCCTTCCCTCTCTCCCTTCCTTCCTTCCTTCTCTTCCTTCCTTCCCCTCTCTTGCAGCATCTTTGCCTAGTTATAATGCTGTTTCTTTTCATCTTGAACAATTCTGTCCAGACCTTCTATTTTCTGTAATACAATGTGGATGACTTTTTTTTAACTCCTTTTCCACTATACTTAAAAACAAATTTTCCCCTCCGAGTTATAGTTTGTGGATTGAACATTTCATATTTTCTATATATTTTAATATAAAAATGGATAGTTGGAAAGGAAGAGTTTATCTGTGGTTCTAAGTGGTATGTTTTAGAATATGTGAACCTTTTCCCTCCTCTGAGATTTTGTTAAAATGCTCATAACCAGGACTCCCAATCCCCATGTAAGGACCGTCTCAGATTTGGGATTTTTTTTTCTTGTGATATGTTCACTTGTATTGCTACTATTCATCAGACAGAAGAGGAAAAAGATTAAGACACCTATATAGCTTATACCTCTCCAGTGGGTATTAGTGGGAGGCGTTAATGAGAATTCTTAGGATTTTTCTACTCACCAGCATGGTTTTGGAGCAGAGGGTAGGATTAGAAGCCTAGCCTTTCTGTGCTTTTCAGCTCTGCTCCAGAAGTTCCTTGGCTACTAATATTTGAGGTGTGTTTCATTAAGGTATAATTCCATCATTGCCTGTGTGCTGTTAATGAATATTTGGGGGTTGGTTTTTGTGATTTTTCTTTTAATGTGTTAAGGCAGGGAAATTCTTTGATATAAATCCCATCTGTCATTTTCATCTAGAATCTATTCAGTCCAATTTTGTACTTTTTTATAAATCATTGTCAATGTAATCTAAATTTTCAAAATTATTGCATACTTTAATCCAGAAGGTTTTTGAATGATTTTTACAAACTCCAGACTGTATCTGTAGATTTGGTCCCTTTGTTAATTTTTGTCTCCTCTGTCTTTTTTCTTTTCTTTATTAGGCCTACTAAAGGACTGTCTAGCTTTTGTTTCAAAATCACACTAAAAATGGAAATCCTTAAAAAGTTTAAGACATGTTTTCTACCCTTAGTAAGCCTTGAACAAAAGTGTAAACATTATAAAATTAAGATTTAAATAGTATGTTATTGGTTACAAGATAAACTTTTAATTTTAAGAATTAAGAAAGCAGATAGGCGGGAATGGTGTTTACTAGGGCCTCATGACAAGGTGCTATGTACTGAGTGGCTTCACAGAAATCTATTCATTCATGGTTCTAAAGGCTAAAAACCCAAGATCTGGGTGTTGGCAGGTATGTTTTTTTCTTCTCCTTAGCTTTTAGATGGCCATCTCCTCCCTGTGTCTTCACATGGTCTTGCCTCTGTACCTGTGTTCAAATTTCCTCTTCTTATAAAGACAAGTTATATTAGATTAGGGCCACTTTAATCACTTCATTATCACCTCTTTAAAGATCATATACTATGGTTTGAAAATGTCCCCTCCCAAATTCAGGTGTTGCCAATGTGACAGTATTAGGAGGTGGGGCCTTTAAGAGGTGATTAGGTCATGAAGGCATCTCCTTTCATGAATGGGATTAAAGCCCTTATAAAAGAGGCTTTGGCCAGGCGTGGTGGCTCACACCTGTAATCCCAGCACTTTGGGAGGCCGAGGCAGGCAGATCACCTGAGGTCAGAAGTTTGAGACCAGCGTGGCCAACATGGTGAAACCCTGTCTCTACTGAAAATACAAAAATTAGCTGAGCGTGGTGCTGGGCACCTGTAATCCCAGCTACTAGGGAGGCTGAGGCAGGAGAATCGCTTGAACCTGGGAGACGGAAATTGTAGTAAGCTGAGATCGCGCCACTGCACTCCAGCCTGGGCAACAAAGAAAGACTCTGTCTCAAAAATAAATAAATAAATAAATAAATAAATAAATAAAAGAGGATTAATGTATTTTGTCCACCCTCTGCCACATGAGGACATGCAGTTCCTCCCTTCTGGAGGATGCAGCCCTCACTCAACAGCAAATGCTAGCACCTTGATCTTGCGCTTCCAGCCTCCAGAACTGTGAGAAATAAATTTCTGTTCTTTGTAAATTACCCAGCCTGTGATGTTCTGTTATAGCAGCACAAGCAAACTAAGACCTCTTATCTCCAAATACAGTCACAGGCTGGGCACAGTGGCTCACGCCTGTAATCCCAGCACTTTGGGAGGCTGAGGCAGGCAGATCATTTGAAGTACGGAGTTCGAGACCAGCCTGACCAACATGGTGAAACCACATCTCTACTAAAATACAAAAATTAGCTGGGCTTGGTGGCGGATGCCTGTAATCTCAGCTACTTGGGAGGCTGAGGGAGGAGAATCGCTTGAACCTGGGAGGCGGAGGTTGCAATGAGCCAAGATCGCGCCACTGCACTCCAATCTGGGTGACAGAGTGAGACTCCCTCTCAAAAACAAACAAACAAAAAAACAAATACAGTCACATTCGGAGGTACTGGGGATCAGGGCTTCAACATATGAATTTTTGAGGGGACACAACTAAGCTCTCAACAAGTAGTCAGGAGAGACTTTTTAATGTTATAATATAGGCTAAGACACTAAAAAAATAGTGGCTCAAAAAAATAGATCATTTTCTCTCATGAAGCAATCTAGAAGTAGGTAGTATGGAGCTTCTCGTATGTCATGCAGTGACCCACGTCCCTCTAAATTGTTGCTGCTCCATTTCCCAAAGAATTGCTCTCATCCTGTGTCTAGCATGTCTAGTCACTCAGTGAATGTCTGTGGAATAAATGAATGAATAACATGGTGTGTTCTGGGACAATGAAGGGACTAGATGAAAGGAAGTGAGACTCTTGATAGGATTAAATAAATAGAAAATATGATTAAATATTGACGTCTGACCAGATTTGAGGAAGCCTTGGAAGCCAGAGGGTGTTGGAAGCAAAAGGGATGAAGCAAACCCAACTCATTCATTTTCTACAAATGAGGAAGCTGAGGCCCAAGAAAGTAAATTGGTTTGCCCACATAGCTAGTAAGTAATCCACTCTTCTGATTCCAAGCAAAGGTCACTGCTTTTCCCACTATCATAGGCACAATATGGATACTCTGCAGTTTTTAACATGGAAAGCGATGACATGATGTATGCTTTGTTGTAGGAAGGCCAATTTTGATGGCTTTTCAGTGTCATTCATCAATGACTATCTACTCACTGTGACTGACACTGATTTTGTGCACACAAAAGATAATTTTTTTCCTCTTGGCTGCTAACAGGCCCCCCCATATTGTTCAGGTTGATGGGAGGGAAAAGGAGATCCTTTGTTCTAGGAGAGGGAGTGCCCGGCCCAGCGTGTATATGTGTGTGTGTGTGTGTGTGTGTGTGTGTGTGTGTGTGTGTGTGTGTGTTGGGGGATAATCCCGATTGGGCCAGTCATGCTCATTCCACTTCCCTTTGCCAATGATTGGTCTAAGGGTTGACACGGACCAGTAGATATGTGACCTAGTTCTGGCCAATGAGATATAAAGAGTATCCTGGGTAGTTCCTTGAAAGAGTTTTCTATGACTTAATAAATAGATAGGATTCAGCAAGGAGAGGACTTCTTTGCCCCACCTCCTGCCTTGAATGTAGTTGTACAAGCCACCTTGTGACCATAAAGCGACATCAGAGTTGGCAGGGCAGAAGACAGGGAAGACATGCCTGGCCATTTCATCACATTGTGAAATTGCCTTATCCAACCTGAAACTGCCTTCTGCAGACCCCTTACTATGTGAGATTATTGAATTTTGTCTTTATTGCTTAAGTTGCAGTTAATCAGGTGTACTGTTACTTGCAACCAAAAGCATTCCTAACTGGTATATTCACCATTATATTTGCTTTTTAAACAAGCAGTTAAATGACAAAAGATCTGCTTGCAGTTCCCTACAGTTTTCTTTTTCACATATATTTATTTAGAGACAGGGTCTTGCTCTGTTGCCCAGGCTGGAGTGCAGTGGCACAATCATAGCTCACTGCAGCCTCAACCACTTCGGCTCAAGCAATCCTCCTGACTCAGCCTCCTGAGTAGCTGAGGTGGGTGCCACTGCTCCTGGCTAATTTTTTAAATTTTTTTGTAGAGACAGGGTCTTGGTATGTTGCCCAGGCTGTTCCCCACAGTTTCTATACAAAGAAGTACAAGATAAAAATTCAGAACTGTACATTCCAGAGGAGAGAAGGGTCTGGTTGACGAGAGGGCTCAGGAAAGACTTCCTGGGCACAGGGCACCTGGGCCCACACTCATACATGGTAGGTGAGAGTTGAACAGTCTGACAGAAATTGTCAGGGTGTTCTGGGTGCAAGTGCAGGTCCCAGCATGAGCAAACGATGACAGCTCCTTTGGATACCCTAGTGGACCTGGATTCCAGTCTGGATTCCAGACTTGAATTCCAGTTTAAACTCTTGCCTGCGTGTTCTAACGTTCGTGGGTGCTTCAGGAAGTCTGCTCTTTCAGTCTTACAACACTGCCTGAGGATCATCAAGTCAGGCATGTGTTGAGACAGGAAGCTCCGAGGCTGAAGAGCACAATAACAGCCCCCCTCTCTTACCCCACCTTCAGGCTGCAGTGCCTGCCCTTGGCTCTGAGCTGGGTGAATTTCCTGACTTCTTAATATACCTTCCTCCTGGGGCTGAGGTCTTTATCTCCTTCCTTTGTGGCCCAAGTCTTAATTTTAGTGTCAGGGGATCAGACCGACAGTCTGAAAGTTTCCTTCCAGGACCCAGAGAAGTCTTTTAAGCTAAAGGTACTCCTGGTGGCCTGTTGCAGACTTCCCAATTTTTAGGTGTGGTCAGGCTCTTCAAATCATCTTACACTATTAACGATTTTAAAAAAAGTACCATAAATAACAAAAAATACATGTTTAAGTGACTCTTGGCTGGGCATGGTGATGCCTGTAATCTCAGCACTTTGGGAGGCTGAAGCGGGAGGATCGCCTGAGGCCAGGAGCTTGAGACCAGCCTGGGCAACATAGTGAGAACCCCACCTCTATGAAAAATAAAAAATTAGCTGGGTGTGGTGGCACACACCTGTAGTTCCAGCAACTGGGGAGGCTGAGGTGGGAGGATTGTTTGAGCCCTGAAGTGCAAGGATGCAGTGAGCTATGATTGTACCACTGTACTCTAGCCTATGTGACACGGCAAGACCCTGTCTCTAAAAAATAAACAAATAATTAGTGACTCTTCACTTGCAAGACCTGGCACTGTGACTATAGAAGAAAAGCAATTACTTTAATATTTGGGGGCTTCTTTTTTTATTTATAAGGAACAGGTTTTGGGGGCTTTTCTAAACTGAAACTGTATTTTCAGTGGTTGTTAATTATAACTGCTATTCTTTCTAGATACTGAAATCACAGGATTCCTACCTTTTCCTTTTCCACTATCATTTTTTTAAAAAATGGGATAGCATTTTAAGTGCAAAGTACAAAATAAGCCAAGACAAAAGTGAGCCATGGCTTGCCCAGCCAGGCAGGGGGGACTGGTGGCCAGAAAAGGCCTAGGCAGGCCAGCAGCCTGTCAGCTTCCACCTCCTCCAGCTTTTTTACTGAAGCCCATACCTGTGGATTCTTCCTGGTTCTGGAGCTCAACCAGATCATGCAGTCTGATGGAAAAGGGAAGGGTGGTGCTCAAGACAGAAGCAAGAGGAGAACCTCGGGTGGGCTCTGGACAGGGTGTGCCACCTCCGCTGTTGTGTTGCCTGAGCCTTTAGCTGGGTCCTGATAAAGGTTCCAGCTATCCCGGGGATGCTGATGGAAGCTCAGGGAAGCAGTTGTCCACAGGTGTGAAACCCCATAAGGCACCATGGAGCCCTGAAGACCAGTCCCCAGGGGCAGGAGTGATTGCTGGGTTACCCAAGGAGAGGAGATGTCAGGACAAGAGGAGGACAGAGAGGTCTTCACCAAGATGAGCTCCTCACCAAGATGAGCTCCTCCCTCTGAGATCAACCTTGGCAGATCAAGGTTTTTGTTTTATTTGAGGAGCCAGGGTGGGGGAGGGTTCTTACATAGAGATAAGGATTTTGTGCTAGGACTTTGGCAGCAGAGGCTGGTAGAGAGAGAAGATGAGCAACTGGACTGGGGCAGGACAGAGAAGCAAGGGAGCAGGGAACAAGACAGCAATGAACTGCCCTGCAGGAACAGCCACGCAATCCAACAGTTACCCAGGGGCAGGGTCCCACGAATGGGCATCTGAGGGCTTCCAGTCCAGAGGATGGGGCTGGCACCCAGAGGCTGGCTTTAACCATCAGGGCACACTTGAAGTCAGAGAGGCGGCGGGGTCTCAAACGATGCCTAAGGGGAAGGAAGAAAGTGTTCAGTCTTGAGTAAAAAGGCTAGCAAATGTACACGGTGTGCTGGTGCCCATCCAAGGCCCAATCCCATCAGAGACCTGGAATTTGAGGGCAGAAGTATAGCTAACCCATGGAGATAAGTACTGAAGGATCAGTCAGGCAGCAGGCAGGAGGCATATGGCAAACATTACTCACGTAAACATACTTAACACTTATCCAGTGCTTAGTTTGGTCCAGACACTATTATAAATGCTTTTCTGGATTCTTCCTTTAATCCTCACAACAACCCTACTATTCTATCATCATCCCTGCTTTGGAGATTAAGAGACTAGAGCCCAGAGACATTAGGTGGCTTGCCCAAGGTCAGATATCCTGCAAGAGGCAGAGTCAAGATTCAAACCCCCGGTAGGCTGGCCTAGGAGCTGTGCACAGACCCACTCTGGCAGTAGAAGTTCTTTGCCCTCTGCTCTATGTTGCTTTCTGGGTGCAAGTGACCCTGGGCCCAAAGGTGGCAATCTTACCTAAATAAATTCTGAGCTGACCTGCAGGCAAATCCTGCCTGCCTTTCACTGACTGATGAGATCATCTCACAAGCATCCAGAGAACAGAGCAATGCATCTTTAGGCTCTCTCCTTCTGTGAAGAGGCCAGAAGGCATGGGGATCGTGTGGGGAGACGCTCTCAGCAATAGTCTGAGAAGGTCAAGGGTTACCCCTCCATTCTGATTCAGGTGTGACTGGCCAAGCACATCACCTCGCTGCCTCTTTCCTCAAAGCAAGATCAGGTGATTGGACTAGATCTATAAGGTCCACTTGCACACTAAGATTGTATGATTTTGTGTTTATCTTTACCAATCAACCTGCTGAATTTCTTTCCTTTTTCAATCATGGGGACTTGTGCATAAGTTCTAGAAAAAAATGGCTAATGGTCTTGCAATATTATCTTCCTGTTCCCAAATTGCCTAGAATGCTTGCCAACAAATCCTGTTTGTTTTGTTTTGTTTTAAAAACATAGTTTTTAAAGTCCTTTTTAATAATGTCATTAGACGATGCAGCATGGGTTTTAATCCTCTCACCCCAAATTTCATTTTCTCTACTTCATGATCTCCAGCCATCATTTTCAAATAAATAACATGGAGAAGAAAAGGGATTTTTAAAGGAATTTATTTAATTTTCAACAAATAAAATGAAAAAGAAAAGTGATTTATTTTCCTCCTCTCCATCATATAGATAGTAATTTTCTGGATTTTTCCTTTCAAAGGGTTTTCCTGTTCTTTTTCTTCAGCTGCATTGTTTATATGTTTTTTACTTCTCCGTGCTACTTCTTTCTGCAGCAGGCTTTCCATATCAACTAGGATTTGTTTCCTCTCTGATTGCTTTACACCTCTTCATGCCTCTTCATCACACGCACACACAATTTGCTAGAAACTCACGGGGAGGACATATGTCTTCCTATCAGTGAAACCAAAGCTCTGGCCAACAGGTTACATTCATTATCCCGCCTTTTCTCTGTAGCCTCAGGCTCAGATCCTGAAATTCACTTTGGACCAATTTCAGACTAGAAGAGAAAATTAACTTTTGCTCTGAAAAAATTGTAAGCATATGCATAAGAGGAAAGAAATGTTCATAAATTAGGTCTGTTTCAATATTATCAATACATGGCCTATCATGTTTCATCTTCACTCCTCTTGGATAATTTTTTAAATTGAGGCATAGGAAATGTACATATTTTTGTGGTACGTGTGAAAATTTAACATATTCATATAATTTGTAAAGATAAAATCGGTGTAATTGGGGTCTTGGATAATTTTGAAGCAAATCAGTCATTTTATCACTTTGTGATTACTTCAGCATGTGAAGAAAGAGAATTTTATTTAAATAATAAACTATTATTTGGCTGGGTTTCAAATTTTAGCAAGAAAACCCACACTAGTGGTATAACTGGAGCTTATTTTTATGGATTATTGTTTTTTCAACAGAAAAATCTAAAGCCAATTATGATACACAATTCTTCCCTCCACAGTAGGTTTCACTGAGCTTGGGGATCTAACTTTCTTACAAATGCCAGCCTTGCCTCTAGGATGGTGACACAGCCGTGTTTCCGTAGGCCTGGCTGACTGCTGGGCAGATGGCCTGCAGTCCAGGGCAGAGTGTGGCTGGCTGCTCCGTGACTGCTGCCACTGCTCATGACAAGTGTGTCCAGGAGGAGCCTGGAAGAGACGCAGGAAGGAAAGGGCTGGTCTTCCACAGAAGTCGCCAGCAAATCTGCCCTGAGGGTGTGTCTGGAGTTCGGGAACTTTTGAAGAAGGAAGGCTAAAACTGGAGTACTCTGCTGGGCACCCCTCCTTACTCAGAGGTGGAAATTAAACTGCCTGGTCAGAGCCTAGCCATTACAGAAAACTCAGGCTATCTATCTCAAATATATGTGATTTTTGTCTTATATAGATACAACGTATATGTTACATGTAAAATTATAACATATATACGACATGTGAAGTCAGGATATAGCACTACCTGTTGAGTTTCTACTTCCTTAAAATGTTTAGACCTGAGCTGGCCGGGCGCGGTGGCTCACGCCTGTAATCCCAGCACTTTGGGAGGCCGAGGCGGGTGGATCACGAGGTCAGGAGATCGAGACCATCCTGGCTAACATGGTGAAACCCCGTCTCTACTAAAAATACAAAAAATTAGCCGGGCACGGTGGCAGCCACCTGTAGTCCCAGCTATTCGGGAGGCTGAGGCAGGAGAATGGCGTGAACCCGGGAAGCGGAGCTTGCAGTGAGCCGAGATCATGCCACTGCACTCCAGCCTGGGCGACAGAGCGAGACTCTGTCTCAAAAAAAAAAAAAAAATGTTTAGACCTGAGCCACACTATCCTGTTGTCTTTTAAAATATTTATTTATTTATTTATTTTTAGAAACAGGGTCTTGCTGTGTTGCCCAGGCTGGTCTTGGATTCCTGGACTCAAGCAATCCTCCCACCTAGGCCTCTCAGGTAGCTGAGACTACAGGCACACGCCACCACGCCCAGCACGCCATCCCTTTAAACTCTGCCTTGGCTCCAGCCTGAAAATAAAGTCAGTTGCTTTCAATTGCCCACTCATCCCAACATGGCTAAAACTAAGTCCTCCTGCCTCCTCTCCAGCCACCTCTCACAACATCCCCATCAGCCAATGCCTGGCTTCCTTAGGGTCCTCCCAGGAACCTTGAAGTTCTCCTGGGCTTTTCCCTCTCCCTCACCTCAACCCCAAACTTAATTATCTCTACATCCCTTCCCTGAACTGCTAACCAGAGCCACCCTGCACCCTCCTCTTCCCCTCATGGTACCAGTCCTATTCTATTGCCTCTCAATAGATTTGCTTGTTTCTTCATGAATTCATTTAATAGTTTATTCATTTCCCTCCAGTCTCATTCCCTTGCAACCCACTATTGGCCAGTCTAACCATCCTAAAGCCACCCCTTTCTGTACTGACAGAATGAAACACACGTGAGTATCTCGCAAGTGTCCAGGCCTCAACCTTACCTGTGCAAACTCAGCCTCCCTGTTCCCAACACCTCCACCCCTCACTGGCCTCTCCCACTGTTGACTGGTTTTATTACCTTCTCCGCCTTTCCAGAATGCCTTCTCTTCTCTGCTGATATAAACTGTTACTACCTTCAAAGCCATTTCCCAATACAGTAACTAATGATTCCTTTTAGCACTCATAACTGTATCTTGCCTTTAATCGCCTTAGAAATGTTTCCTAATATTTCATGGAAGCCTGGCCTTCTCTAATAGAGTGCAAGGTCTTCTAGAGTAATAATTGTATCTCCTATGTTACTATTTTCAATCGAATTAGCATGGCATTGCTGAATGAAAGAATACGTTTCCTGGATCATGCACCATGCTACGAGCTGTTTCCTTCGACTGCTCAGCCAGGTCACTGTTGGACTAAGCTGGTAGGGTTTTAAGTAAAGCAGGGATATTGATGAGCGTGCATGTGCGTGTGTACATCTGACTAAAAACATTCCAGTGTCAAATTAAGATTATTTTGGAATTATTTACAATGCAGAAACTGGAATGTCTAGCAAGAGGATAATAGTTTGCGGCTATTAGCTACAACAGTTATGAAGGCTCTATAGAAACATGGAAAGATAAAAGCCGTCTGTATGGAAAAGGCTCGAATGAAATACACCACAGTGATCACAGTGGCTCTGCTGAGATGATGGAATTATGACTCATCCTCCAGACCTTCCCTTCTTTTAATCTTTCTAAAATGTTATATTTAATGACTATGAGTGTATTAAAAGTAATAAAACAGGAAAAAGAGTAAGGAGAAGAGTCAATGGCTGGCAGTTAAGTGCTGAGATACAACTGACCTTAGGCAAGATAGTAGTGATACTGATTAGAGGAGGTTCCTAGAGATTACTCTAATTGGCCACTTTTCCTTTAGGCCTTATTTGCTTCTCTGATTTGCCGCTTCCCCTGCCCCATGCTTCTCTAACTATCCCAGTCTGGTCTTTTTGTTTTTTTTCCTTTCAACTTTTCTAGTATGCCTTCAATAAAATGTACCTGTCTTATTTTCTCTTGCTAGGACCATCAATTATTCCTAAATAATGACATGGTAAATGTGAATGAGTTAATATGCAGCCTCCTTTGGTGAACATACAGCTAGAGATAATGACACAAAGGAATAATTTGAGTCCTTCCTTGGTTTGCTCAACCTCCACAGATCTCTACTTTCATCCATCCATTCATTCATTCATTCATTCACTCACTCAGCTTTGTCCTTGTCAGTGATTTTGATGATGACCCAGAAGGCACGTTTACCGTATTTGTGGATCATTTGAAGCGGGAGCTATAGAAAGTCCACAGGATGGCAGAATCAGAGACCAGAAAGACTTCGACATGCTGGAAAGACAGACTAAAACAAACAAAAGGCTTAAACAACACGCTCAGGGCCTGCAGCCTGAGTCAACCCAAGCGGCGGCTGCACAAGGGCAGCCAGATAGCAGCTCTCATGAGAAAGCCTTGGGGCTTTAACCAAGAATAAGTTCTGGAAGAGTCCAAGGTATGAAGGCGCTGACAGAAAAGGCTCCTTTGATCTTAGGTCCCAGGAACAGAAGCAAGTTCTCTCCGTAGTAGCCCCTGGGAGTAGCAGGAGGAGAATTCCAAGTAAAGCCAATGGCGATCTTATAAACACCAGCAGCGCCCACCCATGCCCGGGAGAAGGTAGTCAGGAGCAGACGGGAGCATGAGTAGCAGGAACAGGAGGAGCCAGGGAGCCCAGGCCGGCGGCCCCAGAGGTGCCACCAGGGCAGTGCTGCCCTGCTCTCGGTGGCACTGGCCTTATCTCCAGGAGGGGGCTGTCCCCTTTGCTTCCTTCTCCACGCTGCTCTTCCCACCTGAACGATTTTCCTTCCTCGCTCCCACTGGGCCTTCCCACAGGCTTTTCTCTCTGCCTGAAAGAAAAACTACCTCTAGGAGTAGGGAAATGATAATTGTGCTGCATTTTCAATCCTAAGCGTGTCACCTGCAGGGACACTGATATGCTGGATGGAATTTCTGGAGCGTGTCAGCTGAAGAGTGACCAAAGGGATGTGGATGTTGAGGCTGGAGACAAGATGCCCATGGCACAGGAGGTGTTTTTAAGTGTTCAATAAATTTTCATGTGGAGATATTGGAGCATTGAATAGGAATTCCACGAATTGACTCGGTAGATGGGTTGAATGGCTTTTAAACCCAGTACAAGATGTTTAAGTTCTTTGAAAATGGGGGCATTTCAGCCACAGTGGTAGCTTCCCATAGCAAGACTTTTGAGCCAATGGGGTCATCAGCATCTGATAAGTAAACTCATACATGTGCCTGCCTGGTGAACTCCGCAGAACTTCTTAGCAGAGATTTGGGAGCGTGTGCTTTTTAGACCAAGGAGCCTGAACTGTCCAGAGGATATGTACTGTGAAGCTTTTTAAAATATAACACAGAAGGGTTTTATGAGATCATTTGGTTCTTGTATTCAACCATACATATTTGCATTATGCAGAGTATGCCCATAGAGTGTATTTTTCCTTTTGTATCAAGCTACCTAACCCAAGTGGAAAAGAAATTCCTGACTGATCCTCAGTGACTGTGGCTGATCAGCTCCATGCTTGGTCTTTGGAGGAAGGTGAGAGCCTGGGCTCCCTCCTGTCTCTCACACTGGTGCTCCAACACTCTTATTCAGTCTCGAATATTAAAGCTGATGGATTTAGCAACAGTGTGCTTCTGAATAGGGGTGAGAAAGAAACCTCAAGAGAATGTTTGTAGCTGATAACAAGAGAGAGTGTCTGGTTTTGCTAACCAAACAGGAGATGAAATGTTCTTTTGTATGTGAGCAGGAAGCAAGCAGATTGCCTACTTCAATAGCTTTTTATACCCACCAGGCGTGTTGAATTCCATCTTCTCCATCAGTATTATCTATAAAACCTCTTTCATTAGTGATTTAGTTAGGAGAGTGCTATAGCCCATTCTCATTCAAAGGTATTATCTCTTTTGGGGAGAGGATTGGGAGCTATACATTTATTCCCCATATCTAAGCTAAAATTTGTAGCATTTTTGAGTTCTTTGTGAGAACGCTAATGCAACTAACAAAGAAGTCATAGTCAATAAATTGCTGACTCTAATTAAAAGCAACTTTTCAAAAGAGTAGTTGGGAAATGTGGAAGCCCACCCTTACTGCAGCATAGTTTTAATATAAATCTTAGATTCGACTGTGACTCTACTAACCTTAAATAATTGAGCAACATGTTAATATCATTGATTAGCATCTTAGATTATAAAGATTGTTTCAGCTGTCCATCAAATACCTGTTCTGGCTTTACAGACACAATGTAGATTCATTGCTGGCAGCAGGTTTGGAAAGTGTTGTCTCTTTATGAGTTAAAAATATCAAAATGGCATTTGAAAAAATGTATTAGCAAATTAAACCTTTGTACATGGTACTATGGACCACTTTCCCCCAGAGTCAAATGTGTGTCTCTCCTGAGAAGCCCTCCTTGGGTTTTCCCTGCCAATAAATGTGCCTTTACTTCTCTGAGCTGATGGAGGACTAAACACCCCTCCAGCACTGGAATGCCGGTCCTGCAGCCACTTCAAGTGTCCACCTTCTTATCACAGTCCAAGCCCTTTAGAAGGCAAAGATGATGGCTCTCCATCAGTGTTTTCAGCCCTAACCCAATGCCTGGCCCCTGTTGAATGCTGCAGAAGGACAATGCTGACAGCTTCTCCTTGAAAGAGGGTGTGGGAGTGACAAGCAGCTCTCAGGTGAGACCAACAGACACTGTGGCTCCGCACGTATGTCCCAGGCTGTGTTCTGGGCTGGGGGACCAGCAAGGAGAAGGATCAGCTGTCCGCTTCCAGCTGTTCTGAGGGATGATGCTGTGGGTTTTAGAGGAGGCAGGGGTGCGGGAGGCAGAGAAAGGCGCCAGGAAGAGTGGTGAGGAGAACTGGAAAAACAGAAAGCGCTGGTGAAGCCAGCAGGCAAGCAATGACTCCGGCAGTCTTCCTTGCCTCTGAAGCAGAAGGGATCCAGGGACAGTTAGTGGCTCAGGTCCTGCGGCTCCAGGTGCCCAGACGTGCATTTCCTGTGTGGAGTGGCCGGGGCCTCTCCTTGGTGTGCAGCCCAGAAATGTGGCAACTTTGGGTTACCCAACCTTCCTAGGCGGGGAGGTAGTCCAGTCCTTCAGGAAGAGTCTCTGGCTCCGTTCAAGAGCCATCACAGTCCCTTGTATTACATCCCTCTGACGGGTTCCAATAGGACTATTTTTCAAATCTGCGGTATTTACAGAGACAAGACTGGGCTGCTCCGTGCAGCCAGGACGACTTCAGCCTTTGAGGTAATGGAGACATAATTGAGGAACAACGTGGAATTAGTGTCATAGCAAATGATCTAGGGCCTCAAGTTAATTTCAGCCGGTTGTGGTCAGAGTCACTCATCTTGAGTAGCAAGCTGCCACCAGAAAGATTTCTTTTTCGAGCATTTAGGGAATAAAGTTCAAGTGCCCTGCGCTTCCAAGTTGCAGGAGCAGTTTCACGCCTCAGCTTTTTAAAGGTATCATAATGTTATTCCTTGTTTTGCTTCTAGGAAGCAGAAGACTGAGGAAATGACTTGGGCGGGTGCATCAATGCGGCCGAAAAAGACACGGACACGCTCCCCTGGGACCTGAGCTGGTTCGCAGTCTTCCCAAAGGTGCCAAGCAAGCGTCAGTTCCCCTCAGGCGCTCCAGGTTCAGTGCCTTGTGCCGAGGGTCTCCGGTGCCTTCCTAGACTTCTCGGGACAGTCTGAAGGGGTCAGGAGCGGCGGGACAGCGCGGGAAGAGCAGGCAAGGGGAGACAGCCGGACTGCGCCTCAGTCCTCCGTGCCAAGAACACCGTCGCGGAGGCGCGGCCAGCTTCCCTTGGATCGGACTTTCCGCCCCTAGGGCCAGGCGGCGGAGCTTCAGCCTTGTCCCTTCCCCAGTTTCGGGCGGCCCCCAGAGCTGAGTAAGCCGGGTGGAGGGAGTCTGCAAGGATTTCCTGAGCGCGATGGGCAGGAGGAGGGGCAAGGGCAAGAGGGCGCGGAGCAAAGACCCTGAACCTGCCGGGGCCGCGCTCCCGGGCCCGCGTCGCCAGCACCTCCCCACGCGCGCTCGGCCCCGGGCCACCCGCCCTCGTCGGCCCCCGCCCCTCTCCGTAGCCGCAGGGAAGCGAGCCTGGGAGGAAGAAGAGGGTAGGTGGGGAGGCGGATGAGGGGTGGGGGACCCCTTGACGTCACCAGAAGGAGGTGCCGGGGTAGGAAGTGGGCTGGGGAAAGGTTATAAATCGCCCCCGCCCTCGGCTGCTCTTCATCGAGGTCCGCGGGAGGCTCGGAGCGCGCCAGGCGGACACTCCTCTCGGCTCCTCCCCGGCAGCGGCGGCGGCTCGGAGCGGGCTCCGGGGCTCGGGTGCAGCGGCCAGCGGGCGCCTGGCGGCGAGGATTACCCGGGGAAGTGGTTGTCTCCTGGCTGGAGCCGCGAGACGGGCGCTCAGGGCGCGGGGCCGGCGGCGGCGAACGAGAGGACGGACTCTGGCGGCCGGGTCGTTGGCCGCGGGGAGCGCGGGCACCGGGCGAGCAGGCCGCGTCGCGCTCACCATGGTCAGCTACTGGGACACCGGGGTCCTGCTGTGCGCGCTGCTCAGCTGTCTGCTTCTCACAGGTGAGGCGCGGCTGGGGGCCGGGGCCTGAGGCGGGCTGCGATGGGGCGGCCGGAGGGCAGAGCCTCCGAGGCCAGGGCGGGGTGCACGCGGGGAGACGAGGCTGTAGCCCGGAGAAGCTGGCTACGGCGAGAACCTGGGACACTAGTTGCAGCGGGCACGCTTGGGGCCGCTGCGCCCTTTCTCCGAGGGAGCGCCTCGAGGAGTGGCTGGCCTGGACCCGCGAGCATCAGCGCTCAGACCGGGTCCGCGCTGGGGCTGTCCGTTTGCGACAGGATCGCTGATCCCTTATCCAGCTGTCGGGTTGGGGTCTCACTGCCGAGGCCCTGGGCACTAGGAGCAGCACGCACCGGGACCTGCCTGGCACCCAGAGCCCATTCCCAGAGGACCTGGGGCAGGTACGCAGGGTCCCCCGGAGCCGGGAGCAGAGGCTCCTGAAAGCCTGCCAGGCTGCCCGGGGCTGGGCTGAGGCCGGGACTTTGGTGATATTGGGCACTGGCCGCGACCTCGCGTCACGAGAGTGTAGGAGGGGAGCCGATTTGGAGGGGACTCGTGCCTGCGGGGGAGCAGGAGGATCTCAGGAGAGGGCCAGCGCCGGCATCCCATGACCCGCTTGAGTCCCCAAGCCGGACTGTCCCGGGGAACGCTCGGCGAGCGCCCGCTCCTCCCCGCCGCTCTCGGACCGCGGGGCCCCAGTGCGCTGCGCTCAGCCACCCGGGTGGGGCCTCTGCCGGGAGCAGGCGTGGTGCGCGGTCCAGTCCGTGTCGCGGACATCAGTGACCCTGACCCACAAGGGCAGCCCAGGGCCCAAATACCGTTAACTTACTGACTTACAAGCCTAGCCTTTAAAATCCGAGCGAAGAGAGGGCGGGCGATTTTGACCAAACGATGTGGTTTGAGGAATCGATGAGGTCCGCCCGCCACCTAAGTCAGCCTTCGCTGGGCGTTTGGGAGACGGGCGGTGGAACAGTCAGGGGCCGGGGGTTTTACCAGCAGTTAGACCGCCGCCATTGAGGGGTCAAAGCCCCGAGGAACTTGAGGGTTCGGACTCGCAGTCTCTGCTCAGTGGGGCTGAGTGGCGGAGATTTGTGCCTCGTTCCCCTGGGCGCAGAGAGCCAGATTTCGGAGCGCCTTTCTTTTAAGCATCGTGGAGAAAAGGTAAAATATGAAATAAAATATAGTAATATAAAATAAGTCATTGCAATGATTCCCGGGAAGAAAAGTCAATAGGATGGAGCGTAGTACAACAACAACAACAACAAAAAGCTTGTTAAACCCAAAAAGCAGTAATAATTAAATATTCTTTCTCAGTGGGAAGACTAACTAGACCGTCAGTTTCCAAGTAACAAGTAATAGTTCCAATTAGATTGGAGAAACTACTAAACCCGGAGACAGGGCGAAGTGGTAACTTCTGAGAACTCACTGTAGGTTGGGAAAGGTGCTAACATAACTATATTAAATAAAATGTTGTATTTTCTATTTCACAAATACATTTTTTGTTTTGAAAAGTCACTTGTATTAAAATATAATTGCTTAGAGAATTTAAATACCTCACTCGACTATTATGTAAAGATAAATCTAGCTAAATTACATGAATCTAAAATTACGGAGGGAAAAGTACGTGATTTATTAGATTTTCTGCTTCACATAATTATATCTTTATTTTGAAAACATGCTGACTTTAGTGAAGCATCGTTTTCTTTGTAATTGGAAGCATCTTAGATCAGTGGAAACTTTACAGAAATGTGAGTGGGATCCTCTTGTGATTTTTCTTAGATTATAATTTACTTAAATGGGGCAGCAGTTTTGCAACTCTGAATTTCTTTTTTTTTTTTATTTGCACTTTTTTGGGAAGAAAGGACTAACATTGGCAAGCTGAGAACCTCTTTACCTAACAGTTAACAGAACACTCTGTTAGTTCATGTTAGCTCAGTCGGCATCATGGGTGCTTTTGAAAACTCATAGTTTCTCTGTCTGGTTAACAAGCATCTCACAGTAAAACAATCAGCTACCGCCTACTTTACAAACCGCATCAGGGCTTTCATGCTCAACTGAGAGGCTGCATATCCGGGAAGCAATGTCTAGTAAGAAGCCACGGTTCCCCACTGCAGAGTTCTCTTGCGTCATTATGAACCTGGGTCTGCCTTCCTTCAGGTACTATGTAATCTTTGAATACTTATCAGCTATTAATATTCTGTGTGTGTGCATGCCTGGTGTGCACATGCATTGAGAGGTAAAATAACCAGAGGCTCAGTATTACAAAAAGATAATGCCTTTCCCCTCTAAAGCGCTTATTTACCTCTTCCAGACATTCTGGGAAATAAAAAGATGCCAATAATTCAGATACTTTCAAGTCCTCTCTATTGCTCTTTCTCTATAAAGGATACCAGTCCTCTTTCTCCAGCTCTGAGTCTCATTTCTTACTTTTAAGGTATCACAACCTGGATGAAAGCTACAGACCTTTTTCTTTGCCCTCATTTTTCTTGAGTTCTTGAACAGCTAACATTTACAATTTACTATAACTAAGTGGAAATACTGAAATTGTGAATTTTGTGAAGGAAGTCCATATTAATAATATTAAATCAAAGTGCACATGAAAATACCTATTTCAAATTGAATGTAATAAATCTCTTATAATAAAGTTAATTTTTTGTAACAATTTTTGTTGTTTTCTCCAAGGTTTTATGAAGCTGCACTTTTTTTTGGTCTAAATTGCATATTCGAAATATTAATTATTTAGGAGCTTTGGCAGCCTACAGTTTTCCAACTGAAGCATCATGTTACAAAGGAACTGTAGGTGACTACTTACTCCAGTTCCTCAAATATTGTTGCTTACTATTTTAGCACTTTGTTACATTTTTAAAATTTCCCTGTTGGACATTCTATAATAGGCTATCTGGTTTCTTTTCTAACGATCACCAAGTGGGTACTTTGTTTTCGTATGTAAAATGAAGACGTTAGTATAGGTGGTTGATTTCTAAGGCCCTTTTCTGACTCCAAAATTCAATGAATGATTCCAAGAAATGGCCTGAACACCGTGTCTGTCTTTCTCTTTTCTCTTCCCCACCTTATTTATATTTGTATATAGAGTGGATGAGAAACCATATGATGCTGGGGCTGTTAGGATGAACTGGGTTTCCCCTGCTAATCACATTAAACTTTCTTTTTCTTTAGTAGCATGTACCTAAACAGCCAGTCAATTTGGCCTTGAATAGGCTGTTTTGGAAGAGATGGGCTGGTAGAGGATGCCTGAGCCAGCAGTCATCTTTATCTTGGGCTTTTTTCACTAGCAGAATGTATAACTCTATAAAGTAGATGCTCCCTCAAAACTCTAGTTGCATTAACTCTTCTAAGGATAGCAGTCATTTTAAACCCCTATTTATTTCTTGAATTTTTAAAGCTAACACTTATTTGATTAACAGAATGGCTTTATTCTTTTAAAAAAAGTTCCAGATTTTAACAGGGATACTAAACCCCTTATTTAAAATTGAGTCTACTTTACGTGACTTTTAAGAAACAAACCAAGTAATTACTTTGTTCTTTCCAAAAATGATCGAGACATTTCTAAGTCTACTTTAAATTTATTTAATATGGAAGTTGAAGGTGATGTGTTACCAAAAAATGGTTTCATATTGACCAAAATAATGTAATGTCCTCGAGGAAGGTTATGCAGCCTATTGAGATCTACACAGCAGAGTTATGGCTGATATTTGACCTGGCTTGGGCAGTTGGGCAAGACAAGAACAAATAACAGAGTAAGTAGCTTCTGTAGTGCTTTAAACTGATATGTGTATGTGGGTGGGGATAAGAATGGAGAAAAAGTGAGAGAAGCTATCTTGGCACGTGAATGTTAAATGCGAAGCCTGCTGGTGTTAGTAGAGGCCAGGCGTGTCTAATTCTTGGTTTGGATCTCACAGTTAGGGGTGTGTTGGGTATCAAGTAAATATCATCATTTTTCAGTGCATTTGTCATTGCAGGTAGGGGAGGAAGGGCATTTGAAATCATACCAGACTTTTTTTTAAGTAAAAATATATTACTGTGAGTAGTTAAAAGTATAGACCATCTGTGGCATTTGGTTTAAGCAATTTGGTAGAACCGAACAGTCCATTCTGCTCCATTGGCCTTCGTTTATAGGAGAGGCTTGTAAGAAATGACAAGATCTCCTGCCAGATGCTTTCCAGGATCACTGGTGGTTCCTCACACTCTTGGGTGCTGTGGAAATTGCATGCTGCTGATTAAATTGCTGGATTTTATACCAGATTGAGGGAGGGGAAGGAAATTGGAGGAATGGGGTATTTGAGGGAGGGCTTGAAAAGAAAGCCTCTGACTTAGCTCACGGGGCTGCAGGGGGGTTCATTAAGGAAACAGTTGCATTGAGTCTGCTGAAGATAGTGGACTAGATTTCCTGCATTGCCGCTGGGGCGGATGTGGGGAGATGTCAAGAATTCCTGGGGATTTCCCATCCATCTTGGTAAAGCTGGATGCCTGAAAGCTGTTTCTGATTGCTGCTCCTTTCCTCAATTTTGAGCTCTTTGAGGAACTTGATCTTGTCTCACAGATACACACACACGTTGTAAGAGCTAGATGGAACCTCATTGACCCAATCTACTCATGCCAGAGATGAGAAAACCGGCCCAGAGGAGGCCAGTGCTGTTTTTCAAGGTCAACAGCTGGCTAGCGGCAGGCCTAGGAACAGAACCTGATGTTCCTGCTACAGACAACATCTCTTCTTCACTGGTGTATTTCCTCTTCCCCAGACGGAAGACAGATGTTCAAATATTTATTGACTAACATTATTACAGTGCTAAAATTTCTTTCGAAATGACATCTTTTTAATATGAAGTTTTCTTCTATTTTCTTAACGCACATAAGGGGTTTAAACTAAGAATCAAAATGATGGCTGCTTAGTAGCATGCCAAGAGATTTGATGAGAAGATTAACTTTCCTTACGAGCACTTGGTATCCTTTTCCTGAACAGCTGTGGCTTACATACTTGTGGCTTATGGTACTAGCTTTGTCTTTCGCCACTTCTCTCCACACACACACTGGGTTCCAGCTACACAAACTCTACCCTAGTCAAACAAATTATTCCCCCTTCTTCAGAGGCGCCTTCACTTTCATCACTCTGTTCATGCTGCTCGTCTGCCTGCAAGACCTTTTCCCTCCCTCTGTGTCTCCTCCTCTCCTGCTGGCAAGATCCAGCCCAGTAATCACCATCTCTGGGAGCTCCTCCTTGTAGCTCCCAGACAGCACTTGCCATTTCTTCTGCTCTCCTGTAGCCCTGAGGTGTACTCCTCCTTCAGTAATTCTCACTTTGCATTGTCAGGATTTTATGTGTCTGTGTCCTTTCTCTTTGGTAGAGACCCCATGTCTTAGCTGTCCTTAGACCGCTGGCACCTAATATAAAGCCTAGTACAGAGACTCTCGGTAAGTGTTGGAACGAATGAGTAAATGAATGAATATGTGGCCACACTATCATTTCGCAGAAGCAATCTCAGACACAAATTTATTCCATGAGTTTATTCCAGTATAGTAATGTGCTCCTGCCTGTTCATTTGGCCTCATTTACAAGGGATTACTTAAAGTAACTGTTCTCAACAGATAATATTTGTCCTCTTCAGTGAGCGATTGAGATGTATGAGATCAGCTATGATTTTCAACTCTTTGAGAAACTGTCTCATGTCCTCCCCTCCTGTGTGGGCATGATGCTTCGCTGGGGCCTGTGAGCCACCAAAGCCAGGCTCTGGTCACTGCAGAAGTCCTGTGTTAGCCTCTGTTGGTGAGGTGCTAAGCACCTCAGCCTTTTCCTGCAGCGTGTTATACAATTTTTAGAGAGAACAGAGTCCTCAAATTTTAGGGTTTGACTTTCTTGCCCTCTCTTAAACCCAAGTCCTTGGGTGCTGGGCTGAGATGCATACCTGAATGACAGAGGTCTGGCCACAGTCAGAATCAACTCTGTTTTAATAGGGGCCTTGGTTACAGGACCACACTGGTCTGTCTAACTTCCTCTTTCTTTAGGATGAGGTTTCCTCAACCCTTCATATAAATGGGTTCCTGGCAGGACTACCCTGCTAGGTGCGAGACATGTTCTTAAAAATTGGAATCCCATGGCTTGGGCTCGAGCTGGTGCCTCCCTATCCTCACCCCCATCCCGGCCCACACTGCACATTCCCACATCATACTCCAAAACGTGCTTCTCTCTGTGTGCTCCGAGGTCCAGCAACATCAGCATCCCCTGGGAACTTGATGACTCAGAGCCTATACTTTAATAAAATCCCCACGTGGTTTTGTTTGTTTGTTTTTTCATTAAAAATCGAGAAGCATTGATTTTAGTAAAGGATCCAAAGTCAGTTCTGGTGTCAGGGTCCATTTCCTTTTTTTTGAGACGGAGTCTTGCTCTGCTGCCCAGGCTGGAGTGCGGTGGTGCAATCCTGGCTCACTGCCACCTCCACCTCCCAGGTTCAAATGATTCTTGTGCCTCAGCCTCCCAAGTAGCTGGGATTACAGGCATGTACCACCATGCTCAGCTAATTTTTTTGTGTTTTTTGTAGAGACAGGGTTTTGCCATATTGGCCAGGCTGGTCTTGAACTCATGGCCTCAAGTGATCCACCCGCCTCGATCTCCCAAAGTGCTGAGATTACAGGCGTAAGCCACCGCGCCTGGTCCCATTTCCTCTTCACTAACACCCTAGTGATGAACTTTGACGTGTGTGACTAAGGGACTAGACCTGGGCCAGCCAGGAACCTCTCTCTTCTGGCTCCCACGTTGGTCTCATGCCGCCTTCTGCTGGGACATCGGTGTCCTCCTCCAAAATTCTTTACAAAATCTTGTACTTGGCTTAGACTTGTAATCAAAGTAAACAGAGGTTGTGGTCTTGAAGAATACCATGGTTAACCAAATCATGGGTGGCGAGATCAAGGTCTTGGAAAATATGGATTTGGTGGAAAATAGTAAAAATGCAATTAAATAGCCAGGTTTTCACCATAAAGTTCTACAAGCCTTTTGCTTTTGAAAGAAAATGACTTGGTGGCAAAAACCAGCAGCGGTAAGTATCCTGCAGAATTTTTGGTTGTCAGGGAGGTGTCATTGTCTCGCTGCATTGTGCCGCTGCCGATCACACATTTCATGTGCCTCTTACTGTCTTGAAATGGAATGTATTTGCACTTAACATTCTTCCTTGTCATCATTGCCAGTCTTGACAAATGCTTTTACCTTTTCACAGATTATCACGGTGCTCACAGGCACTTTTTCTCAGCCTGGTCTTCTATCCTTCTATTTAATGGGTGGAGCACAAATGGATTTCCTCTCAAGCCACCGAACCACCCATGTGGACTACACAGGCAGAGCTACAACAATTATCAGATTCTTTTGTTAAAAGAGGCCTGAAGTGAACCTAGCATAAATGAAAAGCCTTGGCTGTTATTATACACAAATATAAAACCACTTAAACTCAAGGCCACCTGTAGCAAAACCCTAATTAGGAATTAGTCTGCCAAGTGATGTCTATGAAAGCCTTTGCCTCTCTCTAGGGCCGTGGTCCCCAGCCTGGGCTCTACATTAGAATAATCTGGAGAGCTTTTAAAAATCCTCGGGTCTTGGCTGTACCTCTGACCAATTTAATCATGAGCTCTTGAGAGGGACCTAGGCATAGGTAATTTTAAAGCTCCTGGGTGATTCCAATGGGCAGCTGAGGTTAAGAACCTCAAATTTCATCACACATTAGAATCACCTGGTGGGCTTGCAAAACTAGCTGGCTGGGCCCCACCCCAGAGTTTCTCATTCAGTAGGCCTGGGATAGGGCCAAGAATTTGCTTTTCTAACAAGTTCCCAGGGGATGCTGTTGTGCCTGGTCCAGAGATCACACTTTGAGAACCTCTGCCCAGGGGCCAGTTTGAGAGGCCTGGCCACATGGGAGGCACCTGCCCAAATGCCAATCTGTAAAAGGCACTAAATCATCACTAGACATACGACAAGGTGGAAGAAACTATTTACGAGAATTCCTGCCAGGAAGAGTATGTGCTAGTAGAGTGTGCAAGAAAGAATACTTAGATCAAATGCCAGGGCATTGAATCAATGAGTCTAGATTAAATTGCCTTCTGAGGAGAGGGGGACTGTTTTGCCGAGTGAGGTACGTACGTTAGGGGCAGAAGTGAATTGCCCGTCTAGACTAACAATGGTCCTCCTTCTCTGCCTTATGCTTCTGCCTTATGCTGTGGAGTGCTCAGTCTTTTCTCTATGTAAATATTGGCAAACACCATACTATTGGCCTGTCCCGGGCACCCACGTGCCTTGGTCCAGCCCTGGTTTCCTCCAGTATGACTGCAAAATTTCCTCTCCATCCGGGCCTCCGTATCTGCATTTCCGGTGCTGGGATCAGTATGGCTCCCACTTGGGTGGCTGAATTCTATCTGTTGGAGGCAGGGTGGCCTCCTAACTTTCATGATGTGCCAGGGTTCTGTCCCCACTGTTGTGAAAAGCTACTGCTGGTTGGAGACAGAGCTGGCCTCCCATCGTGTGAAACCACGGTCCTGGGAACACTTCTTGTGAAACACCAAGAATTCAAACTGCTTCCCCCTTCCTGGGGGCATCCAGGGTAACCCGTACAACATGTAATTCTTAATATTGCGTGAGCTCCACTTTGGTGCTTTTATTTTCAAATACAGAAAGAGCATACACTTGAACTACCACACAGTCACTGTTTCTACAAGGCTGAGGCACAATAGCCATTTGGATCTGCCATCTATTTCTACATAACGAGATGTGCCAAAACTTAGTCACCCAACACAACAATGCATTATGCTTCATGATTCTTCTAGACCTTTGGGCTAGGCTCAGCTGAGTAGTTTCCCTTCGGGTCTCACCTGGGTTTCTCATGCATCTATAGTCCTTGGCATTTCCACTGGGTCCTTGGTGCTGGGCCTCCCTCTTCATGAGATCTTTCCTCATTCAGTAGCCTGGCCGGGGCTTCCTTTCCCTGGGGGCAGCGGTGTTGCAAGAGTGTGATGGTGGAAGCTGCAAGGCATATTGAGGCTTAGGCTTTGGAACGCCTACAACACCGCTCTACCACATTCTATTGGTCAAAGCAAGCCCAGCTCAGATGCGAGGGGTGGGAAGCAGATGCCTCTCTGCGTGGAGAGGAGCACAGCCTCACAATGGACCACACCATTGTGTAACACTTCATGTTTGCTTTTCAGTCTAGCTATTAAGCTGGAGTTTGGCCAAGAAAATACAGTAAATAACTTATTATAGTAAATAACAATAAATGCTACATAATGTCTTGACCCTTCTAAACAGTATCTGGGAGTAAAAATAAATAAATAAATAAATAAAAAATAAAACAGGCCCCAGAGAAGAGCTTTCTATTCTTAATTCAAATTTTGTTTTGAGTACCTGACAGGCATGCTGGGCAGCAGCCTCTGATGACTAACATGACACCAGCAAGGGAGGACAGCTGACCCCAAGATTCTGAGTGCAGGCAGCTCTGCAGCTTCTTGGGGCTCTTATCATAGAGGCCCTGATTTAGCACCTTTTTCTGGAGGTGCCGAGACTGCAGGGACAGACATGCTTTGGGGAAGGGAGAAAGGAGGCAACCAAACCCTACTGACTATACAATCAATATATGTAATTGATTTACATATATTTTTTATTTCAATTATATATTTATTAGGCATTTAAATATTACAGACAAATATTTCTTTTTTTATACTTTAAGTTTTAGGGTACATGTGCACAACATGCAGGTTAGTTACATACGTATACATGTGCCATGTTGGTGTGCTGCACCCAGTAACTCGTCATTTAACATTAGGTATATCTCCTAATGCTATCCCTCCCCCCTCCCCCCACACCACAACAGGAGTTACATATATTATTTTACTCAGTCCCGAGAGGTACGGTCCTCTTAACCATGCAAAAACTGATGCTTAGGTAAATTAAATACTTTCCCTAAGATCACAGAAGTGGTAAGTAAACTTGGAATTATTTGAATCTGAGTCTATCAGACTTGCAAACCCGACATTTAGGGATCCTCCTACCATGCCTTCAAGCCTAAATGAAAAGAGGAGAAGGAAAAAGCATCAAGGGGACTGTGCTAGTCTTTCCCTCCTTCTGTCCTTGGAGTTTGGCCATCTCCAAAGAATGTGAGAAGCCACTGCTACTCCAGCTTAAAGTGGCCTTGGGAGATTCCACTGCTGTATGTGGCAGACACTGTTCACATCTCCAATAAGACAGAATTTTAATCATGTGAGTTTTCTTATCGTAGGCATTCAAGGACCTCCCAAAAAACTTAGTCAGAAAAGGAGCCCCAAAGCCATCAAGGACATGATTTTATGTGGGCTTCCAAACTGCTCTCCTAGATATGGCTTTAAACCAGTTCAGATGACAAACAACAGCATGAGGACAGCACTTTATTCTAGAAAAGCTCATATCAGGCAGGTCCGAGGAAAAAGCTGGGACTGCCCTCTCACAGATGGTTTCCAGGAATCCAACGTGGGCTCCTCTGCACCTTTCAGATTCCAGAAAGCTCACAGCTTTTCCAGAATGAAACTAAAATACCTCACAGAACGACCTGGAAGTGTGTTTGACCCTGAAGGCAGATGCTACATGAATTGGATAGGGGAGGACATTAACTGTCCCCCAGGGAAGGGAAAAAAATGTGAACATGTCAGCACAGGGCACTTTCTGTGTTAACTCCATCAAGTCTCTTCCTAGCCACCTACTGTGCACACCTGTAACTTTGTTTTATGGATTGAAGCCCCAAGGCTGAGGAAACCCTGCTGACTTGCTGAGGGCCATCCATTTATGGAACAGCCAAGCCAAGATTCAAACCTAGGTCTTTTTAATTTTGAAATCGGGGACTCTTTCCACCAACATTTACTCAAAGTATCTTGAATGATTAAATCTAGGAATTAAAGAAAAAAGGCAAGAGTTTTGTTTTCAGGGTTTGGAATAAAAAAACTGTCATATTTATGAGAAAAGACAACCATCCAAGAGCCTTTTTCTTAAACAAGTTACTGTCAGTCACTTTGATTTCCCTGTTTGATTGGCAGTCCTTGTACAGTGAGCAACACGGGGAGCATTTCTTTAAGCCCCGTAGCTCCTGTGTCTCTCCCTCCTTCTTAGATCATTCCTTTAACATAGACCTGCAAGAAGTCAAGAAGGAGAAAATAGCGTTTTCCTTCTTCTTTCTTGACCTGTTACTCGGAGAAGGACACTTTTTCAACCAGAATACTGTCATGTTACCAGAAGCTGAGAAAAATCCTATCCTGCCACCTATTGAGGAGTTTTATCTTTCACTCCAAAGAAAAAGCTGGAACGTTTGGTCAAATGGATACATGCTTTAGATGGAAATTATACGGAATGGTGTATATACTATGTAAAAATATGCATGGTGTCTATGTATGTAAAAATCCACTGTTGGATTTTTATGATTGTTTTCTTTCTCTAAGTTGGCATTAGAGAAACCAAAAATGTATGTAAACAGATGGGGAGGCAGGGATATGCTAGAGAGGATTACAAACAAACAGTTTTAAAAGGCAGTGTAAACTCTGGCAACAACACTGCATCTATGATTAATGGTATTGTTTTCTTTTTGGAAAACATTGTTTAACTCTCTTTTTCCACTTAATGTCTCCTGCTAGATCAGATTTTTGTTCACTGCTGTTCTTTGAAAATTTTTATGGCTTCAGAATCCTCTCCATAAGGACTTCTGGTAGAACTAGAGAAAAATATATGTGTGGAAATAGAGTAATTGCAGTGCCCTGGAATGGACTTTGAGTACCTGTAACTTCTTGAGGGTTAGGAAATATTTGACACACATTGTTGATGTACAAGCTAAAAGTGGTTCAGCCACTCAAGCTCCCATCCCATCCTCTGTCTTCAAAACTGGTCAATGAAAAATACCCTATCAAAGTATTCGCTACGCAAAGTCACTTAGAAGGCAAATGGGAAATTCAGGAAACTAACAGGAGTGAATTTTCAGGAATTTCTACTTCACTTTAGCCTTTTGAGACTGACATTAAACTTAGTGGTTCTATATCCAGATTATCTTTTCTTAGAGGGAGTAAAATCCTAAACTGTAGAAATAAAGTTTGCTTGGTTGTTGTTATTTCTTAAATGCGCTTTATAGTCCAAACCGATGGGCATGGAATTGCCTTGCTGGAGTAATTCATTCACCATTTTGGGATAATGTTAAATACAAACTTAGGAGGGGAGGTTTAAGAAATATTCCTCTTCCAATGATTTGGAGGGCTGTATTTTCTTTTCTTTTTTTTTCTTTTTCTTTCTTTATTATTATTTATTTATTTATTTATTTTGAGATGGAGTTTTACTTTTGTTGTCCAGGCTTTTTTTTGAGATGGAGTTTCACTTTTGTTGTCCAGGCTGGAGTGATCTCGGCTCACTGCAATCTCCACCTCCTGGGTTCAAGCAATTCTCCTGCCTCAGCCTCCTGAATAGCTGGGATTACAGGCATGCACCGCCACGCTGGGCTAATATTGTATTTTTAGTAGAGATGGGATTTCTTCATGTTGGTCAGGCTGGTCTCAAACTCCCACCCGCCTTGGCCTCCCAGAGTGTTGGGATTACAGGCGTGAGCCACCACACCCGGCGAGGTCTGTATTTTCTCCCACAACTGCATGAGGAAAAACATGAGCCATATTAAATTTAATTCTCCTGATCCCGATTTTATAGCCAGTCATTATTCTAGATTCATGCCCTATTTCCAAGCTGAGTTCAGGAATGTGTAGAAGATTTTTATTTTATAACATTTTAATACATTCATTTAAAAGATGCTCAAGGGATTATCATCAAGTAATCCATTATATTTTATTTTGAGGTATAGATATGGTTGTATTCATTGTGTTACATGTTTATCATTGAATAAGTGTTCTTATTTTGTGAATTTAACTGAGTTTTACTAAGATAAATCACTTATGTTGGTGAAGAATGTGTGACTTCCTATATTAAAGGATGTGTTCCTTAAAGACATAGTGTACATAGTTTGCAGGAGATCTCTATTTGTTGACTTAGATTATCTTCCATATTTCTTAGTATTCACCTATTCTACTTCTAAATGACAGCCCCTAAGAGGCCAGCTTAGAGCTGAAAGACCTTCAAGAGGAAGAAATGTTTCTGACCCATCTTTGCAATTGTGAATCCAGTACAGTGCCTGGCACATAATGGTCACTCAATAAATACTGGCTGAACTGACTGAAATCATATCCTGAGCCATTTCTCTGGGTCTGAGGCCCTTCTAGGAGTCATGGTTCCTCATTGGTTCACCTTCTAAGTACGTGTATGTGTGTGTGTGTGTGTGTGTGTGTGTGTGTGTGTGTGTGTATAAGCGGAGGAGGTTAGGAGAAATATGGCCAGGAGCTGGCAACAATTCTCCCAATACACAGGCAATATTCTGTTCCTTCCATTTGGGTTATCTTCTAGGTCCAGTGACCATTTTCTCATTTTTGGCTAAGCTGGCCATGTTCTCCTGACTCGACTGTAGACTCAGGATTGAGAATGAGGATCTACACTGCCCATCTTCTAGAGAATTGCTTCCCAGGAGATATTTTCCTTGAGATGAGCCTTCCTGCTGGGAGACTGTTAACTGGCTTAGGTTCCCAAACAGCACAGAAGATAGTTGATTGGAACCTTTAATTTCTAGGTACACCAACAGAGCCCGAGTCACTAGGTAATGTTACTATTGCTGCCATTGTTTTGTCACCTGGAATGAGAACATTTTGGTTGAAAATTATTTCCTCTTGGCTCTGGGTCATGTGTGGTACTGGCTAGGTGACCTGCCAAAAGGAAGGACACGTTAAGAACATGAAGTCCTGGCTAACGCATCACATCTGACAGTCCTCATTCATTCCCTCATTGCTGAGTCTCCACCCCGGTCGTCTTCCGTGGTGCTCTGTTTTAACAAGCACAACGTGACCTGGGTATGTATCTAAAGTATGATTACTTGTGGCTTTTTTCCTAGTGGCAGGTGAAGTCAGGTAGACCCCAGACAAAAAATATGCGAACCACAGCATTGAAAGAAGATGATAGAGCTTTCTCCTCCCAGCACAGAGGCTGAGGAAAACAAGAGTTCTAAGAAACAAGGAAATGTATGTGAAACTGTTAGAAGAAAACACTTGTTTAAAAGGAAAGATGAAGCTTAGAGGGTGGAAAGATGTGGAAGTCTTTGAAGGAGAAAGAGACCCTGCTATTTCTTTTAGCAAATACACATTGATTCTTCAGGTCTCACCTCCAACTTTATTCTAATAGAAGACTCTCACTCCCTGGGCTGAGTGAGGTACCTCCACACCTGGCACTTCCCCATGATAACACACAAATATAATGTAATTTTCTATTTCTTTAAGCAGAAATTATTTTTATGCATCATTACATATATATCTATATATACTTATTTATCTGTTGTCCATGCTAAGCTATAAACACTGTAAAGGAAGCAACCTCGTTTGTCTTGTTTATTGTTGTATCTCTATCGGTATACGTTCAAAAAATTAAATGAAAGAATAAATGTTGAGGTTAAAGATGGAAAAATAAACAAGGTAAGGGAGTGAGAGAAAGGGGTCATATAGAGAATGTAGTGAGGGGAAAAACCAGGATTGGTGGCAGTAAAAGAGAGATAAGAAGCATAGCTAAATGAGGATGGAGTTCCCAGACTCCTGGGATTGCACCTAAGAGTCCAACCCTTAACTCAGTTCATCAGTCTCATCCAAAGGAGGTGGTGGCTTAATTTCATGGGAGCAGCTTCGGCATTGGGCACCTTACTACCTCTCCACAGAGCTGTTCCTTTTGGTTTTATGTAACTTCTACTTTGGTTTTGGTTTTGTCCTACAGAATGAGCTGATTCATAAGTTATTTTAAAGCTGTTGGGTTGGTGGCCAACTGATAACAGAAATTGTTGTTTTTCTTCTATCAGAGATATAATGTCTTGGATGATATTTTTAAAAAAGCTAATTTCTAGAAATAAAGTTCTAGATAGAGTAATGAAGGTGTATGGGTATATATCCCCTGAGAATGAAAACCAGCATTCCCCAGGCATTGAATACAAACAACGCTAAAGTCTTCTATGGGTATTTGTAAGGAAGGCCTTAATATCACATGCCGAAATGAGTGAAAAACATTCGGTAAATTATTTCTTTTAAAAATTCAGATACTGCTGGTGAAAATGTACTACTTTTAATGGATTACTTTTCCTTCCAGAAATTTGACTCTCAGCAAAACTTGTATAACATGAATTCCATCTAAGATAAGATTTTTTTAAGTTTTTGAAATCTTAGGAAAGCACAGCTCTTACAAATACTTACTACGTGAAGGATATCTTAAGAAAATGTGAAATTAGAAAAACCCAGAATAAAAAATAACAGTTTAATCAACATGTCCACCCCATTTCCGAAGCATGATTAATCTCCAAAATATGTGTAATGAAAGGCAATTATATTTCAAATTGTTTAACTTAGAAGGAAACTGATTATGACAATAGAAAACACAATCATCAAGAATGTGTTTAATGAGTCTTAGAAATTTGCTAATGTAGCTTTCAAAAACTCAATTCCCCTATGATGGATAACTTTATTGCACACTCTTGGCCATTTAAATCTCAAAGGTCAGAGGGTTTGTATATATTATTGGTTGCAAAGATAGAGATCTTCTCAACTTTCCTGTTAGTGGGTGAATTTAAAGAATACCCTTTATGAACAGTCTAAAGGACTCCAGAAAGATGTTTTCTATATAATTTGGACTTCATAAACTGTATCAAAGTAAGCTGAAAATTAACATCAGAACTTTATCACATTCGGCCTTCCAATCTCATTTCATCTCTCCTCCATTTTTATATACAAAGCAAATGGTATTCTGTCATTATTTGTAATCGATTCTGAAGCTGAAAGTCTGCATGAGGAGAATAGATAAGGCTTTGTATTGCTATAATAACATTTTTGGCTTTTCTGGCATGAACAGCTACAGTGCTAAGGTGCACACTTGTCTGTCTGCCTGTTTGCCAGCCTTTCTTATTCATTTTATTATACAAAAATGTGAAGGCACTATTTGGGAATCAAAATAGAAACTGGAACAATATGCATTTTATGGTAGTTTAACAGCATCACATTACAGCTCCATGACATATTCATTTTTTTCCAGAAGGAACTGTGTGTGGATCTGAAGATTATGTCACATGACAGGTTATAAGACGTAGTTGAATAAAATTTAAAAGTTCCAATTCCCGCTTTTATACTTAAACTGTTACATGGCAAGCTCCTATACGGAATTGATCAAATATCTCCCAGATCTTTTCTGTGAGACTTTCCTTCTAAGGGAACCCACAGGGATCCACATAAATGACAAATCCATAACATTGAAACATGCTGTCATCATCTCTATAGATGCCTGGAACTTTGACACTGAACAGTAATGAAAGCAGAGTATTTGGTAAAATATCTGGACATAGACCAAACTGTAATCCTGATGCTATGTAAAACAGAAAACTTTCCATTTTAGATTGCGAGTCACATGCATTCCATGCTATGCTTCCAAACTGGTAATTGTTTATTTAAAGAGAACACGGAGGATGCCTTTGGCAGAACTGAAATTTGCAATCCTAAATAATTTAGAGATTAGAAATCTAAAGTTAAGGCAGTTCAAGCATGTTATTAGTACTACTAGTCTTAATAATACAACTCTATGCAAATGCTCTTGCAGCTAAAAGCATTTTGTCACTGATCAGACACTATGATTCTAAAGAGGATGCACAAATTGATAAAAAATTAACAAACTAATTTAAAAACTCAGTTACTTTCACTAAGCCACCTGTATATTTAGTCTCACATACATTGAGTGTGTTTATTGAAATGGCATCTCCACTGAGCAATCAGTTGTCATGTCTCTTCCAGGTGTTCACAATCTGAAAATGTGTATATTTCAGCCTGAAACAACTTCTGAGTAGCATAACACTACTGGCAATTATGATCCATTCTATAAGACGTGACGTCAGAGCTCAGTTTCCTCTCAGACCTCTAAACAGTGACATTGGATAAGAACATAAGCCCGTGGGGAGTATGCTTCAAATGTAAAAGTGTCCTGCCACTGATAGAGAAAACAGAGATGTGTCCAAGCCCTTCCTAACAGACAAAACGTTCCTGTATGCATTTTTAGGGTGTAAAGAGTGTTTTCTCTGTTCGTGTCCATTTGCATAACCAGACGAAGGTCTACCAGACTTCTCTACCGAGTATTTTACGAGTTATGTCTCGTGCCCTGTCAACCAGATCTTGACCTTTGCCCTAGGCAGCTCAGATAACTTTCATGACATCGTATGGTAAACTGAAATGACATATTGTTAGACAGCTCTATGGAGGTGGTTTTTGAACTCATTTAATAACAGACCAGCGGTGTAGGAGTAGAGCATTTTTTGGGAAAAGGTAACTCCTTGGTCAGCAGGAGATTTCTCCCAAACCAACCTTAATTAACTCTGATGTCACATGAAAAGGAGTTGTGCATGGCTATAGGTCATTGGAAGGGTAGGTCCCTGATGGTAGCCTGGTGACAGGCCTAATGATCAATGAATGTGCCCTGTTAAACTGTGACCCTCAAAGAAGGCAGTGTCAAGTAAAAAGCTCAGAGAGGCATGCGGAAGACATGTTTCCCTCATAAACATAGACAGTAGGAATGTTGACGTTATTAGAGCATTTTTTCCTGGTAAACATTTTAAACCACACAGATTTTTTTCCGTGTAAATAACTTTTCTGAAGCTTAAGGAAAAATGAGTAAAGTCAATGACCCATGTATGGATGGGATGAAAACTGTCCAAGTTTTGATGATTTTAGACTTTGGCCACTTCAGTGGCTAACACTGTGATGTCTTTTGTGCCAAGAGCTACAAAACCTATCTATGAGTTTCATTGACAGACAATTAAAATATGAATTGTAAGACAGCCTTAAAATGAACAAACCAGAGCAGAATTATTGAAATGAACATAATTGCGGAGAAGTGCCAATTCCAGTTGCTGGTGTTAAACATTTAGGTAATTTCTTGATTTATTTTTTGACACCTGGATTCAAGACATAAATGCTATATACGTGACTATTTTGAATTTTCTATTCAGACTTTGAGATCAGAGACTTCACATATTGAATCTAATAGTTTGAGGATTACTTAGAATGGCAAAACCTCTAAAGCAAGAAATCAGTGTGGTAAAATAGTGCGTTTAATATACTATAAAGATTTAAAGGAAAAAGCAGGTTCCTAGGATTAGAAACTTTCTACAAACTAAATATAATGTTGCTGGACAGCAGCTGCCTAAACATTCAGTCCTATTGTGGACCTTAAAGACCAATAACACAATTACTCTAAAATAAAATATTACATATTTGTAAAGTTGCCCATGTAAAAGTCACAAATAATCTTATCTGCATAAGGGATTAGTCAGCAGTGAGTCACAGCTTCATACTCTTGCCACATTCAAGTCAATTTCTAAATCCCCGCCTAGAAAGAGCTTTCCCTGAGCCTAAGCTGAATGAAAAATGTAATTAAAGCACACACCAAAAACCTCTTCTAGTTCTACATCAACCTCCCCACCACCACTCAAACAAACTTGACGTTCTCATGGAGAGAAAAGTGTATGCATGCGTGTCAGCAAGCGTGTGTGTGTGTGTGCATGTGTGTGTGTATTTATGTGCACATTCTTTCATTTCTTTACATTCTTTCTTGATTTAAGGCCAATTGTTTTGGAAGACAAACCTGACATTTTAAAAATTAGTATCATTGCTAACTGTGGGACTGAAAAAATATGCTTTCAGTTCATACGAATCCCCATGACTTTCACATCTTCTATTTAGTCTGTTGGTGGATGGAATATGAACTCTCTGGCCTTTCTCCATCATTCTGGAAGTGAGAGGAGATGGGACATTATAATGCTCTTCATCAAAGCATGGGCCCTGTCAGCATAGCTGGTAGTGTAGTCTCCATTTAATGTGGTTACTTTAATCTAGGCATTCACTTATAATGCCCACTTCATATTATCTGATAAATACTTGGATAGAGATATGACACAGAGGTTAAGAACTAAGAGTTAACTTTTTTTTATTAAGTTTCAGAGCCCTATAAGAATAAGCATCGCAAATAAAAATGTTGGTAGCGTCCGGAAATTTGCAATTGCATTCTTAACCCTTCTCCCATCCTTGCCACCAACCCCAAAGATTCTATGAGATTTAGTCTATGAGATTTCGGCCTTTAATAAGCTACATCTTAAGGAAAGAATATTTTCTCTTATTGTGAATTATGCTTAATTAACCTCGAACAACCTTTGTAAAAGGCTCATGATCTTAAATTCAAATTTTAGAAACATGATACTTAGGGATCTCTATTTAGATAAAGAGGCCATTTATCATTCAGGATTATGTACTACTGAAAACACAGTATGCAAAATCAAAGACAGATGCATTTCATTTCAAATAAACGGAATATACAGAGCTTTAAGTTAAAAACAAATAAATTAGAAATAAAAAATTGATATAAAAGGAAACACCAGATTTATTCAGAGTCCTAGTGACATAATTTGTTAAAAATTTCCATTTAAATAGGGAAAATTCAAAATATGCAATTAGGAGTGATTTAAAACTAACACTAAATTAAATTGAAAAGATTGTAACGGGGGAGGGAACAGCAAGTTTTTTGCAACATGTTTGTAAACTTCTACTATTAGGTAGTGATGTTACAGAACATTAAGGGAAAATTAGGTCTCTAAAATCAGCCTTCTAAAGTTTTAAGCTGGAAAAACAACTAGTGTAAAATCTCACACTGATGGGGTAATATGTGGCAACAAATTTCAAAATAACTGGATATTCTAGGCCTTCAACATAACTCTGTGATTACTTTAGTCATCAGTTGCTGGGTTTTTAAAAATAGCAGCTTTATTGAGGTAAATCTCACATACTATAGGAGACCAGAATATGACACCCCAAAATATGACTGTAAGAGACAAGAATATTAAAGTATATAATTCAGTGGTTTTTGGTCCATTCAAGAGTTGTGCAACCATCACCATTAATCTAATTTTAGAACATTTTCATCACCCCCAAAAGAAACCCAATACTGATTATCAGTCACCCTCCATCCCCTCCCCGCAAGCCCTGGCAACCACTAATCTACCTTCCTGTCTCCAGGATTTGCCTGCTCTGAACATTTCATATAAATGGAATCATACAATATGTGGCCATTTGTGACTGGCTTCTTTTACTTAGCACAATGATTTGTGGGGTTTGTGTGTGTGTGTGTGTGTGTGTGTGTGTGTGTGTGTGTCTGTGGTTGTTTTGTTTTGTTTTGTTTTGTTTTTGAGACAGAGTTTCTGTCGCCCAGGGCTGGAGTGCAGTGGTGCAATCTCAGCTCACTGAAATCTCCTCCTCCAGGTTCAAGTGATTCTCATGCCTCAGCCTCCCAGGTAGCTGGGATTACAGGTGCATGCCACCACACCTGGCTAATTTTTGTATTTTTGGTAAAGACAGGATTTCACCATGTTGTTCAAACTGGTCTCGAACTCCTGACCTCAGGTGATACAGCTGCCTCAGCCTCCTAAAATGCTGGGATTACAGGCATAAGCCACCATGCCCGGCCTGTTTTTTGTTTTTTAACAATAAAACTAGAGGAATTTATTTTCTCATAATTCTGGAAGCTGGAAGCTTGAGATCAAGGAGATCAAGGTGCTGGCAGGTCTGGTTTCTCCTGAGGCATCTCTCTGTGGCTTGCAAATAGCTGCTTTCTCCTTGTGTGCTTACATGACGTTTTCTCTGTGGGCCAGCATAATGTTTTCAAGATCATCTATGTGGCAGCACATATCAGCATTCCTTTTTATTGCCAAATAATACCACATTGTAAGGATCTGCCATATTTTATTTACCCATTCATCAGATGATGGACATTGGGTTCTTTCTTTCTTTCTTTCTTTCTTCCTTTCTTTCTTTCTTTCTTTCTTTCTTTCTTTCTTTCTTTCTTTCTTTCTTTCTTTCTTTCCTTCCTTCCTTCCTTCCTTCCTTCCTTCCTTCCTTCCTTCCTTCCTTCTTTCTTTCTTTCTTTCTTTCTTTCTTTCTTTTCTTTCTCTCTCTCTCTCTCTCTCTCTTTCTTTCTTTCTTTCTTTCTTTCTTTTGAGATATAGTCTTGCTCTGTCACCCAGGCTGGAGTGCAATTGCGCAGTCTTGGCTCACTGCAATCTCCGCCTCCCGGGTTTAAGCCATTCTCCTGCCTCAGCCTCCCAAGTAGCTGGGACTACAGGCGCGCACCACCATGCCTGGCTAATTTTTGTATTTTTAGTAGAGACGGGGTTTCACCATGTTGGCCAGGCTGGCCTCGAACTCCTGACCTCAGGTGATCCACCCTCCTCAGCCTCCCAAAGTGCTGGGGTTACAGGCGTGAGCCACTGCGCTGGGCCTGGGTTGTTTCTTTTTGGCTGTTATAGGTAATACTGCTGTGGACATTTGTGTGTAAGTTTTTATGTGGATGGATGTTTTCATCTGTCTTGGGTAGATACCTAGGAGTGCAATTGCTGAGTCATGTGTTTAAATTATGATCAACTCTTATGTTTAACCATCGAGGAATTGCCATACTGCTTGCCAAAGTGGGTTGCACCGTTTAAAAGTCCTACCTGCGATGTAAGAGGGTTCCAGTTTCTCCACATTCTCACCAACACTTGTTCTTATCTGTCTTTTTTATTTAAGCTTTCCCAGTCGGCATGAAGTGGTGTCTCCCTGTGTTTTTTATTTGCATGTTCCTGATGAATAATGATGTCCTTTATCTTTTCATGGGCTTATTGGTCATTTATATATCTTCTTTGGGAAGGTGTCTATTCAGAGCCTTGGTTGATCTTTAAAATTAGGCTGTTGTCTTTTTACTAACCATAAGTATTTCTAAAATGTGATTTCTAACTTATACATTGTTATCAATTACTGTGACCCCAGGATCAGAATTTTTAGCTGGAAAGGATCCTAAAAACCGAACCCTAATCTCCTGTGTTGACAGATGAAGAATCGGAGGCTTAATGTGGCCCGCCCATGGCCACAACAGAACTCACAAATGGCAGAGCTAGGGAGATTAATGACTCATAATAAAAAATGGAAAAACACAGATGTTTCATGAATTATATTCAAATAAAGCTCCTTTCTTACAGAGAATAACCCTAAGACTTCAACAGAATAAGGGGTGCCAAGGTGGCATCTGGTGGGAGAGAAACCAGGGGATTTGTCTTGAAGTTGGGTTCGACCAGCTAGAACACTGTTTATTTAGATTAGTAAAAATAGCAGTTTTCTAAACATACTCTTAGTCAGACTTTACAGACTTTACATTGAGAGTCTTGAGTTTTACAAGTGACCTCAAGGCTGTCTGGTTCATAATGACCTCCAGTGGGAGTTGGCTCTTTTAGTATCCATCATGGCAGCTTTGAAGAGCATTTGAAGAAAGAGCCTCAATCATCTGGGCTTTGGATTTAGTTGCAAAATAAAGCCATCATTTACTTGGATATGTATTCACTCTTCCCAATGAAGTCAAAGAAAACATTCCATTTTGCCTAATGAAACTAAGGTGGGGAATTAGGGGTGGCATTTTAGAACACTCTACGTATAGGCTTTCTATGTGAGGTCTAGCATGTGCGAAAGGAGAGAAGGGATTTGTGTCAAAGAGTCATAAAGTTCTGTTCCACCTGCCAGATAATACAGAACAGAAAAACAATGAAGAAAAGACTCAGATAAGATCAATACAAAGTGTCAGTGTTCAAATAAGTCCACGTTCACATGTTGGTTTTTTAATGCTATTAGCCTACACTGCTTGACCTTAACAGTTTTTCTAACAAAGTAGCATGGGATAAAGCCCATTTTCATGCTCTATGTTGAGTTTTTTTGTTTTATTTTATTTAAATGTTTTCGTGATGTAAGGAGATCTGTATGCCTCTTATGATTATATTGTAATTGACTTTGATGAAAACAGTAGTTCACAGAAGGGACAAGATCATTTATTGGGAGGACAAAAATCATTCTTTTAAATCAGATTTCTAGGCTGCCATGTGAAGCATTAGAAAGTTCTCATCTGCATCTGAGATTCATTGCTAAATTATAGCACTCCACCCTTGAAAATGAAATAGCCTGTAGGTTTGTTATGTAAATGGGCAACATGACTCTGAGCTACTGAGACGATCAAGCTGACTTCCCCATGCTATGACTATGCATGTGTTTATGGGTACGTACATACACATCTATCTTTATATAAATCACTAATAAGATGGGCAAGTGTCTAGCATGCAGTAGATGCTAAAACAAATGTTGAATCTTTGTTACTCAGATAGGTACATGGACATGAAACTGCCTCAAAGAAATGTGTTAAGGCCTAATAATGTGAATTCAAAACATTCAAGAAATAAATATTTTCACTTTCCCTTTTTCTTATTCGTTTTCCTGTTAAACTATAATCTTGACACCTCCAATAACCTTTATGAGATTCTAGTTTCCTATTAACTGAAGGATAGTGATGCACTCAAAGTCACCAGTTACTTGGAAATTTGTTCCTTATACTTCTGTTTACCTGTGTTTTGGTTAACTGTTTTTTATCTAGCTTCCTCATTCCAGGTGCAAAATACACTGATGTTACTGGAGACAAATTATGTGGCAACGCTTTTTTTTAGAATAACCCCATTTTTGTCAGTGTCTTTTAACCACTCAGTTATGTTGTCTTCTGGTTGGGGGACAGCATGGGGAGTGTGGACACGAACAAGTAGAGGGCACACTGTCTAAGAGATCTTCTCTAAATAGCACTTCTTGCGCGGCGCGGTGGCTCACGTCTGTAATCCTAGCACTTTGGGAAGCCGAGGTGGGCGGATCACCTGAGGTCAGGAGTTTGAGACCAACCTGGCCAACATGGCAAAACCCCGTCTCTACTAAAAATATAAAAATTAGCTGGGTGTGGTGGCAGGCGCCTGTAATCACAGCTACTTGGAAGGCTGAGGCAGGAGAATCGCTTGAACCCAGGAGGCGGAGGCTGCAGTGAGCTGAGATTGTGCCATTGCACTCCAGCCTGGGCGACAAGAGCAAAACTCCATCTCAAAAATAAGTAAATAAATAAATAAATAGCACTTCTCTCAGCTGGGCTTTGGGTGGTTCTTTGAAGTTAGCGGTTTCCTCTGATGAGGGTCAGGAGTACTGGTGTTCTAAGTTGCTGATAAAGAAAGATTCATGTGGTCTGGAAACCAAGATGTAGGCAGTGGGATGTCACAAACAGGGGAACTGCTTCTTTTCCTGGACGGGAGCGCTCAGCATCTCCAGACAGACCACAGAGATAACTACAAGTAATGCCAGAAGTTTCCACAGGAAGCTTCGATGGATCTTTTCCAGCACATGAACAATTGCTCAATTAAATCCCCAGAGTTCCATGCCATAAAGAAGGGCAGAAACTATTCTGGCATGGAAGTTTCTCAGGGCAGGTGTTATCCATTGCTGGCTGTGGCTTTAGAAAAGTCTGGCGTTTCCACAGATCCCTGATTTTGGGCCACATGTTGCCTCAAGAAACTCATAAAGATAAGTATGAGTTAAAATACATTCCTAGGTACCTGAAGGGGTTGACTTGATCTAGGAGGTTGTTTGATAGACCAATGGGATCCATATGAAACAGGGATTTTAATTTAGTTAATATTCAGCCATTTTATTTAGGAGTACTTTGATACCGGGATCTACTGTCTGTAAAAATTACTTTTAATATATTAATTTAGGCTGGGCTCATGCCTCTAATCTCAACACTTTGGGAGGCCGAGGCAGGTGGATCACCTGAGGTCAGGAGTTCAAGACCAGCCTGGCAAACATGACGAAACCCCATCTCTACTAAAAATACAAAAAATTAGCCACGCTGATGATGCGCACCTGTAGTCCCAGCTACTCAGGAGGCTGAGGCACGAGAATCGCTTGAACCTGGCAGGCAGAGGTTGCAGAGTGAGTCAAGATCGCACCAAGGCACTCCAGCCTGGGAAACAAAGTGAAACTCTGTCTCAAAAATAAAATAAAATAAAAATTTAAAAGATATTAATTTATATCATCAGCAATACCAGAAAAGCATATGTTAATTTAGTATCTTTGAAATTATATACCCAGCAAAATATTCTGACAGAAGCAGGGGGAGGGGAAGTGATTCCCCTAGATGTTGGTGATAGTGGGCATCTGCCACGTGCCAGGCAGCAAGCCAGCCTCTTCCACAGCACAGCACCGAATGCACACACCCTGCCTGTGAGGTGGCTCGTAGGCTTTCCAGTTCCACTCACGAGGAGCCTGAGGAGCAGCCAATTAAGTGATGCCAAGGTCATGCAGTCAGTAGGTGGAAAAGCTAAGCCTCAAACGCAGATCTTCTAACTGAATCCAGTTTTTGAGATAGTCAAATCCAAGAGAAACGCTGGAGAGGACTGCTGGGCATAACCAGGGTATTTGACACACACATCATCTCACAGATCTGTGACCTAATGGTAAACCCTCCATGACCATTCACTTAGAGCTTCTACCTTTGCTTCCACTGTTTAAACTGATTTTTTAAAGAAAACTATACCCTGAGATTGGTGCCAAATACTAAGTTTTCCTCCCTCCAAGAATTTCTTTCCTCTCTCCTGCTAACTTCTATTCCCGCCTAAGGAACGCTAATCCTGGGCCCCTCATTCCCTGCCTTTCGGAGGCATTGCAGCTGCCTGGGAAGAGGGGAGGAGGAGGAGGCTGGTGAAGAAGAGGGAGAAGGAGAAGAGAGACTGAGGGATGAGGGGAGGAAGGAGGCGAGAGAGATCCTTAGTGATAGTATTCTGATTGGTCAGTAATAGCTTCAAGGGAGGCTCAGCCTCTGTAGCACCTATGGTTCAAAAAATCATGAGGCTGTCTGTTAGGCTGTTCTTACATTGCTGTAAAGAAATATCTGAGGCTTGGTAATTTATTAAGAGGTATAATTGACTCACAGTTCTCCAGGCTGTACAAGCATGGTGCTAGCATCTGCTTGCCTTCCAGTGAGGCCTCAGGGAGCCCTTACTCATGTCAAAGGCAAAACAGGAGCAGGTGTATCACATGGTGGCAGCAGGAACAAGAGAAGGGGGGAGGTGCCACACACTTTCAGATAATCAGATCTAAACAACAGCACCATGCCATGCATGAGGGATCCACCCCCACGACCCAAACACCTCCCATCAGGCCCCACCTCCAACATTGAGGATTACAATTCACCATCAGAATTGGAGGGTCAGCATCCAAGCTATATCAGGCTGGGACTGTGAGAAATGGAAGGTCAGAGATTTCAAGGTCGTCTAGTCCAATCTCTTTTTTACAGATAAGATAACTGAGATCTGGAAAGAGAGATGACTTGTCTAGGGTGATACAGCTAGTCACTAAAATGGATGTCATTATTGCATCATATGGAGATGTGTAGATTTTAAAGCACTTTCACCACCTCACTTTATTGCCTCACAACAATCCTCCGAGATGTTTGTCGAATGTCACGTAAGCGTGTGAACAGTTCCCTTTTGACTGTACCATTGTAGAGGGAACTCATAGATTACGTAAGACAAACCAAATGTCTTCTAAAACTGATTTTGATTCTATAATTAGTTTTCCAAATGAGGAAACTGGTTCAGAAAGGGAAATGATTGGCCAAAAATATCATTGCTCAACTAATGATTGCATGAAATTCAGAGCCCAGGAAAATTTCTGTACTTTTTATTCAGAAAAAAAGATGAGACAGGCCTATAGGACTAGATGACCCACACTGGAAAAAGTTCAGTATTGAAAATATATTTTGGATGACACTGACATTTATTCTTGAGAGTTTTTACTAAGTTATTGCATATTTGAATATTATAACTAGTTATATATTTTAATATAATTTCATTGAACCTATATGAATCCATTACCATTCTACATAAATAGGCTTTTGGATGTTATTTAGGTCATTTGGTATAAAAGGATATATAATATTTATGAGCAAGGGTAGAGCTAGAAAAAATTTGTGAATTAAGAGAAATTTGTATTAGTGTATCTTTTGCTTATAAATTAAAGATACAAGTAAATTAAAGATGTAAATAAATTAAAAATGAAAAACTCACCTTCATGGAAAGATAACTTAAAAAAAGGTAAGAAGACAATTTACAAATAATACATTTTAAAAATTTGTTTTTCAGGATCTAGTTCAGGTTCAAAATTAAAAGATCCTGAACTGAGTTTAAAAGGCACCCAGCACATCATGCAAGCAGGCCAGACACTGCATCTCCAATGCAGGTAAGTGGCTGTGTTGGTTTGGGAATAATCTAGTTGCCATGCCTAAGGCAAAATCATTCCCTGGCAGAGTAAAAAGGTAGGGACCTCAGTGATCTCCTGTGATCTGCAAAGTGCAAACCATAGGCATCCAGCTTCCCATGAAAGGGGATTCATGGGGAAGGGAGAGCATTACTCACTCAGGGAAATGGGGGAAGGGATGCCCAAATAGTTCTGCATCTTTATTCTGAGTATTGTTCTACAGCTTTTCTGAATGTGTTGCTTTCCCGTAAAGAGGAAGATGACTACACTTAAGAGAGGACCTCCGCTTCCTAATAAAATGAATGCTGAGGAACTGGTGCTGAGCCTAGGGCCCAGCCATAAATATGTTTTGTTTTCTTATCTGTGATTGCAGGGGGGAAGCAGCCCATAAATGGTCTTTGCCTGAAATGGTGAGTAAGGAAAGCGAAAGGCTGAGCATAACTAAATCTGCCTGTGGAAGAAATGGCAAACAATTCTGCAGTACTTTAACCTTGAACACAGCTCAAGCAAACCACACTGGCTTCTACAGCTGCAAATATCTAGCTGTACCTACTTCAAAGAAGAAGGAAACAGAATCTGCAATCTATATATTTATTAGTGGTAAGACTTCCATTTTCTACATTCTGTTTGCTTTTGCTTTGCAAATGAGTCATAAATCTACCCTGATCCATTGGAAAGGTTGCTTTCCTAGTGAGTATGAAAGAAACGGGTTAGGAAAGAGATTCCATCCTAGTTGTAGACACTTTCGTGGATGTCAATTTTAACCAGAATTGTCAAGGCCCAGTTAGTCACTATGTGCTCCACAAAGAGAGAGACTGGTCTGTATAGGTCACCTCTGTACCCACAGCTCCTAGCACAGTATGTGGCCCATAGTTGGATGAATAAGTGAATAAAAGGATTTTAGTTCTATTTCTTAGTTATTGAGAAGCCCAAAATAGAATACATGATTTTTGTCATTTAACACAGCTGCATTCTCTTATATGTTGGAACTGTAAAATACTGTTGTTTCTACTAAATTAATAAACGCAATGTTGCTGTTATCTCGAGTGTTATATAACTGGTTCCAATGGACAATGTTGTATTATTTCATGTTCACTGAGGAACTACTATAATGACATGAGAACTGGCACTGACCAAGATACAGTGCAAAGGGCAAAGGGCAAAAATGAATCATGTTTGATTCATTTTTTATGGTACTCGTAAAAAAATCATTTTCATTCATTCATAATTTTTATGATACTGTTCTTCCTTCCTTAGAGAATGAACAAATGAAGTAACATTCAAAGGGGAGAAATGCAAAATCTTTTAAGAAGTAGAAACTCACAGTAAAATTGGAACCCTGAGAAAGAATAATAAAAATGGCCTGTCACTTTCTTCTTCCTTGTTTAGTTCCAATTTTCAAATCTTGAGGGGATTAAAGAAAAAAACGCACACACACAAACAAGGCTGTAGAGAACACAAAGCAATATTAGTAGGCACTTCAGGCACAGAATCAGGTTTAAAAAAAACAAAAGAAAACAACCAACCATCAGCATCAATAGCTAAATATACATTGTGGGTCTACCTTCTGGTGAGGTCAGGAACTGGGTCTTTGCATTGGAGGTAGTACAATAGAACTAACATTTTAGTGAGGCAGTTCTTTTTCGTTGTTGTTTGTTTGTTTTTTTGAGATGGAGTCTTGATCTCTCACCCATGCTGGAGTGCAATGGCAGCTCACTGCAACTTCTGCCTCCCAGGGGCAAGCGATTACTCCTGCCTCAGCCTCCTGCGTAGCTAGGATTACAGGCGTCTGCCACCACTCCTGGCTAATTTTTGTATTTTTAGTAGAGACTGGGTTTCACCATGTTGGTCAGGCTGGTCTCGAACTCCTGACCTCAGGTGATCCACCTGCCTCGGCCTCCCAAAGTGTTGGGATTACAGGCATGAGCTACCGTGCCTGGCCATGAGATTTTTTTTAATTTGTGAAATAAGGCAACTAGACAGTGTTTTTCCCTGAGCATAACATGTACATATCCAAATTCAGGATTAGTCTTAGGAGACAGCAGAACAGTTGCCTGTTATTGACAGTAACCTCTTTGTAGCTGCTATCAGCCTGATTTTGACTGAGCCACTTTCATGTCCCCGATCCTCCAAATTCTGTTTTGACATTTTGTGCTTGTCCAGGGGGTAGATAACTGTAAGGGACTAACCATCCAAGCAGTTTGCCGTCAAGGGATGCAATCAGCTCACTTCCACATATGAGTGGGAGGTAGGCCGGGGAATTTTGCTTGGGGAAGTCAGCCCACTTCTAAAGCAGGGATGAAAGGATGGTAGGCAGGAATGAGGAAGGGTAGAGAAGGTGCAGCATTAAGAGCAGAGACTTTCAGAGAGGTAATTTTGCAGCTGAGGGGGAAAGACAACACGCTTGATAGTGGTGGAAAAAGCCATGTACTCAGCCATCTGTTCTCTTTCTCTAATTCCACGTAGCATATTGTGTTCTTTCCGACATCTGTGGAGAAAGGAAAACACTGCAGTGAGTCACAGACTGCCCCTGTCTCTATAGGGGAGTGGGAGAAAAATTTATTCATTCTAATATTTTCATAAAACTTTCTCCTATAGGTTTATCAGTCTGACTTGCAAATTGAACACTTAAATGAATAAAAAGAAAACCATCTCTTTTTTTCTAATAAATAGTGTTCAGCTATTTTCACCTTTAACTCCTAAACTATTCAATAGACATCATGGCTTTATGAAGCCAGGGAGTGCAAGCCTCTCCACTCAGTCCCCTACTATCACAAAGGAGAGACACTGCTATTTAGAATTAGTTCCATTTCAACTATACAACAGAGCAGATCTGGCAAACAATCATGACTTTGAGTGTCAAATCCATTGTTAATCTAAGCCCTGTGATGGCACGGTCCATGTCTGTCCTGGTTACTTTTATCTGCAATGTGCCTCCCTGGTACAGTGCCTTGCACATATTAGGAAATCCATAATAATTGCTAAATGAATAAATGAATGGATTAACAGGTGCTTTGTGGAATACTATGTTAAAATTGACATTGAGGATAAATTCCAGGCTTAGTGGGAAAAAGTGCCATGATTGATTATTGATGTCTCTTGTGGGATTGTCGGGGAGCAGTGGCCGTTAGGTCATGTATTTATCATGTCTGCCTTCCTGTAATAGTCCACAACCATTCGCAGAAAATTACAAGTTCCAATATCATAAAACACTTGCATAATTTGTTGGACATTAGGAAATTATCTATCACTTAGATTGTTTTTGGATAAGGAAGGATTGTGAAATGCGTTGTATTTCATAGATTATTATGGAATACACACATATACATACATACATATACTACGAATATTATATGAGCTTGGTGGAAAAATTGTTATGATAATATTATGAGACCACTATTTTTAAATAGCACTGATACTAAAAGATATTGGAATCAATAATGGTAACCATAGAAGAGCCTTCTGAATCTTGTTTGCTAATTAATTTAATCAGCAAATATTTAGGAAACAGTTACTATGAGCCTGTAACTGTACTACTATGAACAGTAACATCTATTTTGTTATTTGTTTCCTGTTAGGGTGATATTGGTCTCATAATCACACCTTATTAAAGTCCAAGGTAGCTGTGATATAATCCATTAAACAATCATAACTTTTCCGAGGAGTCTAATATTTTATGTCTCTCTCTCATTATTTTATTAACTCTCTTTCTGAGAAAATTTGATCTTCTGCTTCCATTGTTACCGAACACTTCCATGACAGGTTTATTTTAGTTCAGGAGCACAAAACTTATCTCTGATGACTCAGAGCATTGTCTCTGGCATTAATAAAACTCCAACCATTTCCTAATATACAGCTGTGATTACTCGCTAGATATTAACTTGGTTATCATGTATTTATTATTGTTGAATATTTACTTTAGAATATGTTTGGGGGATTTCAGCCCCAATAAGCATCTGCAGATTATTGGGATTTCATTTTATTTTTCTCTAAGGATGAGTAACCCTATGTAAACACATCTTTTGAAAAGGTAGATTTGTAGTCTAATAGGGTTTTAAGAAAAAGAATCAGGAGTATAGCTCTGTCTACATGTCACAAAACCCAGCATGTAAATTATGAACAAACTCTTACTTAGGCATTATTGATTGCCTGCTGTGTAACAGGCGCTGTTCCCACCTGAGCACTGATTAGGATGTAACATCTGATATGTAATGTACAGAAAAATCAATATCAGCACTTTATCATTCCAGCTTGTATAAATCCACCAAACCTCTAGCATAATGTATTAAATCAATTTAAGTACCCAAGTAATTATATTTAACTACTTTACTTAATTACCGAATTATCTAGTAAATTTAAATTTCCGCTAATATAATAATTTCTTACATTTGTTTCTTTTCACTTAAACAAATGGTTTCATTTACTTGATGCCATTTAATCCTCACAACCATCCAATGAAGCATCGTTCTCTTCATTTTACAAGCAAAGGACCAAGAATTCACTTCACATTAGGGCTCTGTGGGGAGTCATGGGAAAGTGCTCGCACTGGAATAAGGTGGTCAGGTTTTCCCTTCACATTCTCAGTGGCAGGAGGAGGTCGGAAGGGGCAAGACTGAGGCAGGAAGGCCAGATAGGGGCCTGCTCTGTGCATCAAAGCAGGTGGAAGGTGGTGTCCTGAGTTCACTTTGGTCGTGGTGGGGAAGGAGAGTTGACAGAATTGGGGGATTCGTTGGCCTTGGTGATCAGAGGTTGAGTGGCTGAGGGAAAGAGGGGAATCAATGTGACACTCAGAATCCTGGAAGGGGCCACTTGGTCCCACAGCCAGGTGGAGGTTTGCCACACTAAATTACCTTGATGCAAAGGCACCATCATTATCATCATTCTCTCTGGATATACCCTTGGTATGGCTTTTGAATCATAATAGTGGAAAATATGATATGCATTTGTAAAAATTGCTTTGTTAAAAATGAATTGAATCTAATTATAGCTACGAAACACCAGGTCATAAACAAAAACAAATTACAAAGCACCTCCTAATTACAATAGAGTACAATTCTTCTATTAATTTCTAGAAGAACAGTAATGTTGGGGCCATTTAAGTGAACTTCATCCCCTTGGAGAGAGAAAGGAGCACTTTTGCACTTCTTTTCTGACACTCTGGTGTACACAGGAAATGGGCTCCAGGTCAGCCTTTTCTCACAGTTAGAGGATTTCATTGAAAATATTATTGTAATATATGAGTTATGACTGTAAAGTAAGAAAACTGACCAGACGAGTTTTTTAATGGCATCTCTGAAGTAGTTAACACTTGTCAGTATCTTTAATTTAGTTAGCAAGACCTTAAACTTAGGGTGTTGAGCTCCCCACACTGTGAAGTTAGCTTATATCTCTCTCTCACCAGCCGTAAGCTTCTAGGGCCTATTTAAATATAATATCTCCTCTTGAAAAATTACAATCGAAAAGCAAAATGATGGGGCTGGGTGGATCCCTTCTAGTTCATCCCTGTAAAAGAAACTCATCTCTTCTCTTCTGTTTCTCTTTACTTGATTATTTTCCTCTTTGGCTCTATTAAAGTCAATGGGTTGGAGCATTTTTATAAGAAATTTTTCCGCAGTTGATTTTCCCATATGCATAAAACTCATGAGATTTGCACAGCGGCATAATCTGAGGTAGAAACATTATCGGACACATTGGGTATATAACTGAAAGCAGTAGAATTTCTAACAACTTAGATATTCTGGGAGAGAATAATAATTATGCTTTTATATAAATGTGTTTAGCGGGGGAAAAAAAGGCTCTACCTGGCTATGAAACCTTGAGCAAGTAGAAATCCTACCAGTGCAGATATTCTGAGGATTCTTTTTTTATTCTTATTTTTACTTTTATTTTTTGAGATAGTCTTGCTTTGTCGCCCAGGCTGGAGTGCAGTGGCGATTCTGAGGAGGATTCAATGAACTCATTTGTACTGAACTTCAGATTTCCTTAAGAGCTTTTACTTAATTATCTCTGAGAGAAAGGGAGTTGGTATTTCTTCCATGTTATATATGAGAAAACAACCTCAGTGACTTGCATGAGCTGGACAGAGCTCATACATTGAGAAACCAGGATGAGGATCCAGCTAGGTTAGGTCTATTTCCCCTGTACTGGAGTTGCAGCTCTTGACATCAAACTACGAGCTAGTTGTTGTTTTAATTGTTAAGAACATAGATTATACAGTTATTAAAATTTTGTAATCTCAAATTTATTCTTTTTCTTTAAAGGAAAAATTTACTAAGTTGAGCAGGGCTTTTAAAAATGTGCCTCCAAATTCATTAATGGGCTATGGAATCAAATGAATGGGTTTCAACCTGCATTAAAAAAAAAAAAGCTAGGAGCTGGGGCATCCACCTGTAGTCTCAGCTATTTAGGAGGCTGGGACAAGAGGATCACTTGAGCTCAGGATTTGAGGCTGCAGTGAGCTGTGATTGCACCTGTGAATAGCCACTGTACTCCAGCCTGGGCAACGTAGTGAAACCCTGTCTCAAAAAAGAAAAACCAACCCAGAATAGAAAAGAAAATATCCAAGTAAATTGCAAAGAGTAAGGGTAAGTGTTGTTTAGTAAAACTATTTTTGTTTCAATTTTATACATTCATATATCCATTTTACCCTCATAAATGTAAAGTACATACGTGCGTGTGTGTGTGTGTGTGTGTGTGTGTGTGTGTAATGGGTCTGACGTAAAATGTATTTCTTTTTGTGAAAGTTAGCATAATAAGTTTAAAAGTTACCAGGATAGACCATATCTATTATTTAGGTAAGCAGTGCCAATTGTAAGCACTGTGATTTTTTGGGGGGGTGGGGTGGGGGGAGGGGCACACCAGTACTGAAACAGAGGTCTGGAGAAAATGTGGCAGTGGAAAGAAGCCCTCTCCTTTAGCTGATTTGGGTCCACTGCTTTTGGTGGTTCTGTGCAATCCACTCATTTCACTCCTGAACTGAGTTTTCCCACTCGGAGGCTTGGCCCAGGAGTTTCCACCAACAGGAATCTGTCTGCAGATGTTGATTACATACCTACTCCACACAAGGCCCTGTTGTTTGATCTGTGAGAGACATAAAAAGCAAAGTCACAGAATCCTGCAATTGTGAAGTCCCCCAGTTACTCTCTAGGACCATAGCTCACAGATTTGTAAGTATTTTTTAAAGCATGAGTTTTATTTTTTAGAGAATAACTATTGTTCAGAAGTGGGTCTCTAAGGAGTGAAGAGGGCTCTGTTAATAGCCCCTAATGGGGAGCCCTATTCATGTTCTGTGAGGCGTGGCTGTTGCTCCAGCACTGCCTGCCTTTAGATCCCTTCCCAGATCTGACACAATTTGGCACACACAGAAGGCTCAGTCAACACTGCCCAGCTGGGTGATGGTTGGGCAGATGGTGTTTGTTGCCCAATCTGCCAGACTGGTATGGCAAGTCCAATAAACATCTCCATGGAACCAGCAGGGACATCAACAGAGTAGCAATCTGCAGGCTTCATCGCCGAGCCTTGCCGCCTCCACTTTCCCCCTGTGGGGATCAGAAGGACCCTTGTAAGATGGAAATGCACCAGGAATGTGGGCCCTTCATCCCCAGACCGAAAGAAGGTGTTCACGCTTTCATGCAGGTCAGCACTGTGTTGGGCAGAGAGCAGCACATGGCTGAACAGATTGCCAAAGCTTCAAAAATATGTCAATGGAATCACTATAATTTCATGAGAGAAACTTTAAAGAGAAAATATTGTTTCTATTCATCAAAATTCTCCTCCAAGGGAAAATAGGCAAAAACAGTTTACATTTTGCAGGAAGAAAACAAGAAAGCGCCCAAAATAAAACCCAAACTCATAGCCACACTAGTTGGTTGAATTTTTTAGGCATAGATTTCTTAGGAAATCCATGACGTTATCTAATATTGCTTGGTTAATGTCTAGAGTCTTCTCTGGTTTTAAATTTCCATTTTCCACATGGCCTCATTCTCTCCTCCACCTGCCCATCCAAAGAGCTTCCCTCCCTTACTCATCTCACCTCTATCCCTAACATGTGGCTCCTTCCATGTATTTTCTGAAATGTGTGTTTCTTCTAACACTAATCTTCCAGTAGGAACTGGTTTCCAAAGTTTTGATCAGGAATTGTCTAGGGTTCCCACCATAGAGTCGCTTGAGTCCCTGCATTACCAGGAGGCCACAAGTGCAGACAGGTTGGGTGATGGATCCTGTTTTTCCTCTCACATCCCTACTGGATGCATTTGCTCAGGAGACAGGTGAACATGTTGGGGTGAACAAAGGTAGGACTCTCAGTCTCTGGATGACATGTCTGGAAACCCAGGTGAGATTCCTAAAATGGCAGCAACCTGAGACTGACGTGCATCTGCAGAATTATCCTTCAAATTCTCTAAAGAACTCCTAGGAATTTTCTGGCCCATCTGCACACATCTTCATCAAAAACCTAGTGCAAGGTCAGGTTTTGCTGGATTTATTTTTTCATTTTGATAAAGATGTGAAAGAGGGGAAACAGATATTTCTAGGGTTTAAAATACACACTGATGATGTTGTTTGCAATCGCAGTTTTTTTCTTGGGAAATAGACCCCTCTACATCCTGGCTGTGCACTCCTTCTAGGGCTGAAGTATGAAGGAGATTATTCATTCTATCCATCACTGGCAGACAGCTGATTAGGACCACATGGTGAGAGTTTAGAGAACAGTAACTTAACTCTTAACCATTTTCCTTTCCAGCTACGTGGAAATTGGATGGAAGACATTCTTGATATCTTTAAGCCCTGACATGTCACATTTCCCTTCTAAAAACATTTCTGTCATTAAACACTAAGGGAGCTTGACTATAGAAGACCCTGATATATGATTGGGACAGAAGCCACTCACATTGGTAGACTTGCTGGCAGTCAGGAACAAATGCATCTTCTCTCTTTGGCCCCTGCCCCAGACCCTGTATTCTCCTAGGATGTCCTAATAATTTCATCCTTAGCACTTGGTGTGTGGACATGTAAAATGTTCAGGCCATTCCCTCAGAGAGAAAACAATTTCTGGGGCTCTCTAAAATCCATACCAGAAAAAATTTGGCATGCCATCCCTCTAGAGCCACATTGCTAAGACTTACTAGCAACGACGCAGTTATACATCATCAGGCATTTAGTAGAACTATATAAGTACTCAAAAATAATCAGAATGAACATAGTCCTGAATAAGCCACTTGGACACAATTTAAGGCTTTGAAAAGTTGATGACTGTGGTGGAATTATGAAATCTAAAGATGGGCCGGGTGTGGTGGCCCATGCCTGTAATCCCAGTATTTGGGAGGCTGAAGTGGGCAGATGACTTGGGGTCACCAGCCTGACGGACATGGTGAAACCCCGTCTCTACTAAAAGTACAAAAAAATTAGCCAGGTGTGATGGCGCATGTGTATAGTCCCAGCTACTCGGGAGGCTGAGGCAGGAGAATCGCTTGAACCCAGGAGGTGGAGGTTGCAGTGAGCCAAGATTGCGCCACTGCACTCCAGCCTGGGCGATAGAGCAAGACTCCATCACAAAAAAAAAAAAAAAAAAAGAAAAGGAAAGAAAAAAGGAAAAGAAATCTAAAGATGGCAATGAAGTCCAAAGGTAATAAAATTGACCATATTCTCTCATTTTTCCCCTACAATCAAGAAGTGTGAAAAACAATTGATCAAAACTTTATGGTTTTAAGGATTTTAAAAACTCTCCCTCAAGTGATCTTTTAAGAAAAATAAGCAAGGGACTTTTTCAGAAGAAATCCCCTTAAGCTGAAAAGGCTTTAAGTTTCTGGCATTTCATAACTTCAACAATGATAATGAAATGCTTGCCTTGCTTGGAGATGAGGAGGTGATCTGTTTTTATCTTTATGGTCCTTCCAGTTCTAATATTCTACAGTTTTTCCTTTAACTATTTAAAATATTTGTTGTGTGTCATTTGATGTATTTTTGCTGAATTATGTTGGCTAGCTGATTGTGTTGTTCAAAATAGGTAGCTTACTAAAGCAGTAAACACCCCTCCCTTCCTTCCTTCCTTCATCAAATGTCAATTAATAAGCTACAGTTGAAACAACATGATCCAGGCTTCAGACTGCTTTCAAATCCCTGTTCGGATACTCACTAGGTCTTTGACTTTGGACAAATTGCTTAATAAGGAGAATGGTTAACATTTAGGTGGGTCTTAATCCATGCTGGGTGCCATCCTAAGCACTTTGCATTCATTAACAGATTTTATCCTTACAACAACCCTGTGAAGTAGTGCTCTCATTTTAAAAATTAGATGTGTGTGCATGTCTATGTGTGTGTGTGTGTGTATGATTTTTTTTTTTCCTAGAGCAGTTTCAGGCTCACAGCAAAATTGAGAGGAAGGTACAGAGATTTCCTATATACCCCTTGTCCCCACATGCATAGTCTTCATTATCAACATTCCCCACCAGAATGGTACATTTGTTTCAATTAATGAACCTACAGTGAGACATCATAATCACCCAAGTGCAAAGTGTACATGAGGGTTCACCCTTGGTGTTGGACATTCTATGGATTGGAGAAACATACAATGACATGTATCCACTATTATAGTACCATACAGAGTATTTTCACTGCCCTAAAATCTACTGTGCTCTACTTAGTCATCCTTTCCTTAATCCCAACCCCTGGCAAACACCTATCCTTATTTTTCTTTCTTTTTTTTTTTTTGAGAGGGAGTCTCATCCTGTTGCCCAGGCTGGAGGGCAGTGGTGCAATCTCAGCTCACTGCAACCTCTGCCTCCAGGGTTCAAACGATTCTCCTGCCTCAGCCTCCCAAGTAGCTGGGATTACAGGTGCCCACCACCACACCCAGCTAATTTTTGTATTTTTAGTAGAGACAGGGTTTCACCATGTTGGCCAGGCTGGTCTCGAGCTCCTGACCTCGTGATCCACCCACCTCCGCCTCCTAAAGTGCTGGGATTACAGGCATGAGCCACTGTGCCCGGCCGGCAAACACTTATCTTTCTTACTGTTTCCATAGTTTTGCCTTTTCCAGAATTCATGTAGTTGGAATCATACAGTATGTAGCCTTTTCAGATTGGCTTCCTTCATTTTGTAATATGCATTTAAAGTTCCTCCATGTCTTTCCATGGCTTAATATCTAATTTCTTTTTATTGCTGAATAATATTCCATCATATAAATATTTTTATATTCATAGTTTATATATTTTTATATTCATTATATAAATTCATTATATAATTATATTCATAGTTTATTTACCCATTCACCTACCAAAGGACATCTTGGCTGCTTCCAAGTTTTAGCAATAATGAATAAAGCTGCTATAAACATCCATGTGCAGGTTTTGGGTGGATGTAATTCTTCAGGTCCTTTGGGCAAATACCAAGGAACATGATTGCTCAATTTTAGGGCAATAGAAAGGCTAGTTTTGTAAGAAACTGCCAAACCGTCTTCCAAAGTGGCTGTCTCGTGTTGCATTCCCACCAGCAGCAAATGACAATTCCTATCACTCTGCCTCCTTGCCAACATTTGCTGTTGGCAGTGTTCTGGATTTTGGCTGCTCTAATAAGTATGTAATGGTCTCTCATTGTTATTTTAGTTTGCATTTTCCCAATGACATGACGTGGAGCACCTTTTCATATGCTTATTTGCCATCTGTAGGTCTTCTTTGGTGAAATGACCCATTTTAAACAGAGTTGTTTGTTTTCTTACTGATGAGTTTTAAGAATTCTTTGTATGTTTTGGAAAACAATTCTTTTTTCAGCTGTATCTTTTGCAAATATTTTCTCCCAGTCTGTGCCCTGTCTTCTCATTCTCTTGATGTTGTCTTTTGCAGAGCAGGAGTTTTGAATTTTAATGAAATCCAGCTTATCAATTGTTTTGTAGATCATGCCTTTAGTGTTGCATCTAAAAAGTCATTGTCATACCGAAGTTCATCTAGGTTTTCTCCTGTTATATTCTAGGAGTTTTATAGTTTCGCATTTTACATTTAGGTCTCTATGATCCATTTTGTGTTGATTTTTCTAAAGAGTGTAAGGTCTGTGTCTAGCCTCATTTTTTGTTTGTTTGTTTGTATGCAGATGCCCAGTTTTTCAGCACCATTTATTGACAAGATGATTTTTGCTCCTTTGTCAAAGATCAGTTGACTGTATTTATGTGAGCCTATTTCTGGGCTCTATATTCTGTTCCACTGACCTATTTGTCTATCCTTTTGCCAATATCACACTGTCTTGATTACTATAGCTTTGTAGTAAGTCTTGAAGTTAGGTAGTGTCAGTCTTCCAACTTTGCTCTTCTTCAATATTATATTGGCTATTCTGGGTCTTTTGCCTCTCCATATAAACTTTAGGATCAGTTTGTCCATATCCACAAAGTAACTTCTGGGATTTTGATTGGGATTGCATTGAATCTGCAGATCAAGTTGGGAAGAACTGACATTTTAACAATATTGAACCTTTTTATCCAAGATGAAATATCTCTCCATTCATTTAGTTTTTCTTCAGTTTTGTTCATCATAGTTTTGTAGTTTTCCTCATACATATAGATTCTTATATATATTTTGATAGACTTATGTCTAGGTGTTTCACTTTTGGGGGTGCTAATGCAAATGGTATTGTGTTTTTCATTTCAACTCTACTAGTTTTCATTGCTTGTATATAGGAAAGCAACTGACTTTTGAATTTAACTTTGTGTCCTGCAAGCTTGCTATAATCTTTTACTAGTTCCAGGGGTATTTTTGTTGATTCTTTTTGATTTTCTATACAGATGATCACATCATCTGTGAACAAAGGCAATTTTATTTTTTCTTTTCCAATCTGTATACCTTCTATTTCCCTTTCTTGTCTTATTGCATGAGTTAAGACTTCCAGTGTGATGTTGGAAAGTAGTAGTGAGAGGGAAGATCCTTGCCTTGATCCTGATCTTAGTCTGAAAGTATTATCACAGTCATCTCCATTTATTTCTCAGAAAGGTTAAGTAGCTTTTTCAAGGTTATATAACTAGTGTATGGCAGAGATGGCAACAAAGTTCTTGCCTATAACCACCTCCCATAATCAAGAGTGCATATGTGCAAAACATTTAGGACGGTGTTTGGTGTATAGTATGCACTATATACGAGTTTATTATTATTAATACTACCACTCATTATTACCATTTTTTGAGCTTGGTTTTCTCAACTGTAAAATGAGAAGAGTATTACTTCAGGGGCTATTAGGAGACTACATGAGACAATACAGACTGCCTAACACTTAGGAGGCAGTAGTGATTGGTAGTAATCCCTGTGTGTGAAAAACACCGTGCTGGACACAGTAGGAAGTACAAAGATGATACCAACAACTTTTAAGGGGCCTGCAGTTTGGTAGGTCAAAGAAAATGAGTTACAATTAACCATACTGGGGAAAGAGCAGTAAGAGGGGTGTGGACTGGGGGTGCTCTGCCTGGGACATTCCACCCTTCCCCACTCCCCCCACCCAGCTCTTCTGTAACAGCTCACTCTTCCTCACTTTTCAGGTCTCAAGTTAAATATCCCCCCTCTGGGAAGCACCCTAGGCACCCCCAAACTCGGGATGGTGCTCCTACTGACCTTTCACACAGGACTCACCTCTCACAAGCTCTACGGACAGGACTGAGTTCGTCCTGCTTACCATGATAGCCCCAGGACCCAGCACAGGGTATAGTACACAGAAGGTGCTCAGTAAATCTTTGTTAAATGAAAGAAACATGGGATTTTTAAGTATATTAGTCTTACCTGACTTCCTTGACTTTAAAAAGGAAATTGAGGGCACATTGAGAAAATGAGACAAATGTGGGGGTCAAAATCATGTCATGTGACTAAATCACGATCCCAAAATTTTCCAACAAACTAGAGCAGTGAACAGGGATTAGCAAAATGAGATTTAACAGGAATACATGTAAAGGCCTGTATTTGGCTTGCAAAACCCACTAACTACCCTAGTACTGGATGGGGGAAGCCATTGCTGAGACAGCACACATGCAAAAGACTTCAGACTTTCAGTTGACTCCATATTTACCAAGAGAATGTATCCAACCTTGGGATACATTAAGAAATATGTAGCACCCTGCCAGGCGTGGTGGCTTACGCCTGTAGTCCCAACACTTGGGGAGGCCGAGGCAGGTAGATCACTTGAGGTCAGGAGTTTGAGACCAGCCTGACCAACATGGTGAAACCCCATCTCTACTAAAAATACAAAATTAGCCCGGTGTGGTGGCACATGCCTGTAATCCCAGCTTCTTGGGAGGCTGAGGCAGGAGAATCACTTGAACCCAGGAGGTAAAGCTTGCAGTGAGCTGAGATGGCAGCATTGCACTCCAGCCTGGGCAACAAGAGTGAAACTCTGTCAGAAAGGAAAGGAAAGGAAAGGAAAGGAAAGGAAAGGAAAGGAAAGGAAAGGAAAGGAAAGGAAAGGAAAGGAAAGGAAAGGAAAGGAAAGGAAAGGAAAGGAAAGGAAAGGAAAGGGGAGGGGGAGGGGGAGGGGAGGAAAGGAAGAAATATATAGCACCAGGAATAAAGGTAGTGCCAGACTTAGGTGGTGCCAGACTTGCTGTTTAGTTTACACCTCAAGAGGGACATTAAAAATAGGAATTTCAAGCAAATTATTAATCCCTTTACACTTCATTGTCATCATCTTTAAAATGGGTGCCTGCCTCATAGGGTTGTGAGCATGAAGTAATTTGATGATTTTATTATTTTCATTGGCAAGAAGCAATTGAAAGGACTTAAATATTTAATCTAAAAATATAAAGAACTGGGTGGGAAAATAGGAGACATGAGTGACAGTCTCATTCAAAGTTCTCTTATGTGAAAAAGAGATTAAGCTTCGTCTTTATAATCCTAGATGGCAGAACAACTATCTAAGAATTTCAGCTTGACTTAAGGAAACACTTTCTGACATGCAAAGCTGTCCCAAAGTGGAAGGAAGGAATGTCTTGGGAGTGATTAGTCCCCACGCATCTAGGAAGCAGACACTCACTTGATGGGACCAGATCAGATGAGGCCTCAGGACCTTTCCTCTGCTGGGATTCATTAAGCACCTGGTGTAGGTCACTATCGTTTATTAATGTCCGGCTCAGGCTTGTTATTAATACATACATCATCTCATTTCATCCTCGAAACAACCCAATAAGAGAAATTCCTTTACAGAAAAGTTAAAGAAATTCAATACCATGTTTAAGGCTGCATACTTCGTAAATTATCCTGTCAAAGCTTTGGGCTCAAGTCTGGTTGACTCCAAAGCCCCCGGTCTTTCTAACGTGTCCTTGCCTGGGCTCCCACCCCAACTCCCTCAGAACTTTGTGTGCATTATAAAATGGGAGAGAAGGGACAGGAGTGCATGCAGGGTTGCAAACTGGAAGTATGCAGGCTGGATTCAGCTGGCACACATGTTTTGATTGGCAGACACAGCACTTTTAGCTGCCAATGCTTAATAGCTAGAAGAGTTCACGTAAAAATTTCATTTCCTACTTATCTTTAAAAACTGGAAACACTAGCCACACTGGCGCATATTTCCACTTGGCAACAATGGACTGCAGCAAGCAGGGACGGCCCCTTCAGGCATGGGCTCACGTTCCCAGCTGCCACAACACCTCCTGTCCCACCTCCAGTTCCTCCACTCGTGTGTCTGGCCCCCGGAGGGATGTCAGTGTGCTACGCCCAGTGTGAACATTTCAAATGAATGCATAACAAATCGCGAGTTTAGGAACAGGAAAGTGCCTGTCCCACATTCCAGATGAGGAAGCTGAGCCCTAGAGAGTCCCGTGGTGGCGCAGGTCATCAGCGCAGCACTTCGACACAGCCCGACTCCTCCCCTGACTCCTGCCTCCCCTCAACTGCCCTCCTCCACCCCGACCCGCTCCCCTCCCCCGCCGCCCCGCACACAGCTATGCTGATGGAATGCATCGGGGCTGTCCTCTCGGAAAACCCACTGTCCCCAGTGTCCCTGCTGGAGAGGAGTCTGACCAGGCATCCTCTGCCCCTGAGAGGGAATTTCCTCCCCAGGCTCCAGAAAACAGGGCTTGCTCTGGTGTGACTGTTGGTTTTTGTTTTGTTTTGTTTTTGTTTTGAGACGAAGTCTCGTTCTGTCACCCGGGCTGGAGGGCAGTGGCACGATCTCAGCTCACTGCAACCTCTGTCTCCCAGGTTGAAGCGATTCTTCCACCTCAGCCTCCCGAGTAGCTGGGACTACAGGTGCCTGCCGCCACGTCTAGCTAATTTTTTGTATTTTAGTAGAGGCGGGGTTTCACCGTGTTGTCCAGGCTGGTCTCGAACTCCTGAGCTCAGGCAGTCCTCCCACCTCGGCCTCCCAAAGTGCTAGGATGACAGGCGTCAGCCACCGTGCCTGGCCAACTGTTGGTTCTGAGGTTGTCCTCACCATCTCCTAAAAAGTCCTCAGCACCTTACAGCAGAGAGCTAAGCAGAGGGTCCAATGACTGAAGCTTGGTTTCCGCGGTGAGTCTTCATCAGTCCGTTGCTTCCCATTTCTAGTCCCCGTCAGAAGGCCCCATGCTACCCCTGTTTCTGGGCCCTCATTTCTCCCACTGAGTGTGGATATTTGAAGATGTAATTGTCACGCTTGAGTCATTGAGGAGTGTCAGGGCCAGATTTTGGTGTGGTGGAGGGAGACTAGCCTCAGATCAGGAAGCGTAAATTCAGTTTTTGCTCAGCCATTAATTGTATTCCTGTGCTTGTGGGACAGTCTCTCCTCTCTGGGCCTCAGTTTTCTCATCTGTAACATGATAGGCAGAATTAGGGCATCTTAAAAGTCCTTTGACAGTTTTATAATGTTATGATTCAGAGGCAGAGCTGGGAATAAATAATAGGACTTGGGACATGGCCAAAAATCTTAGCAGTAGAAGAAAGATTTATAGTAATCCATTAGAGTTCCTTGCTTTTTCTTTTTCATTTCCCTCCCTCCCTTCCTCTCTCCTTCCTTCTTTTCTCCCTCTCTCCCTCCTTTCCTCCCTCCTTCCCTTCTCCCTTTCTCTTTTTCTTCTGAGATGTCTCAACTGATCAAGATGAAGATCTCTGACTGAGGTCAGTCATCTGGTTAACAGAACCTAGAAACCGCCAGCCAGCTTAGTGTGAAAACCCAGAGAGCACAGAAAGCTGAGACATTCTTAATCTTACAGTCCATCAAGCTTAAATCTAGCCAGCATTCCACTCTCACTGAGATCTTCAACTCACTTACTCAGATCTTAGCTGTAAATTTTTAAAATGAGGTCCCTACTTCCCTTCAAGGCAGGTATCAGTACTGTTTCCTCTAATCAACATGAGCATTCTTGTGTGTGAGGTGTGTGTGTGTCTGCTCAGCTAGACTCTGAGGACTGGAGTCCAGGGACTGTCCGTGTGCACAGTGCTGGGTACATAATACGTCCTGATTTCACCTTTCTTGCTTGCTTCAATCTTATATCTTCTCCATAAACATCTGTTGACAGTGTGCCATGTGTCCGCCTCTGCTGGACATTGGATTGAGGGGAATCGGTTTTCCTGATCCCCTGCCGCTAGACACCCACATTCCAAAGAGCATCCCAGGGGGCTTAGGCGAAGCCAGAGGAAGGAGAAAAGGAACCACCACTCCTGTTCCTCCTTTCTAATTCTTCTCCTTTGCTCTGCTCTTGCTGTTCGATCTGCTGTTATAAGTGAAGCAATGCAAAACAAACAAAACAAAACAAAACAAAAAGCAATGTCTTTCTTCTGAGGAAAGGCAGGTAGTAGGCAAAGAGCTCTTTTTTAGAAAGAGGCACTTCTTATTTTTTACCACACAAATAATACATTTTTAAATGTTTCATTTCAGAATGGCATCTTGAGTCTGAAACACAATGACTTTTCTCTAAGTTTACCCTGCTCAAATAGAAATATTTGTGTAACATGTAAGTGTCTGTCTGGATGGCAGAAACTAGCAACTGATTTTCTGATATTCCTAAGCCAGTCTCAGTGAGATTTTTTATCACCTTTGAATTTGTATATGAATCCACCAATAGTGGCGACAGTTGTTATATTTTTAGCTGATAAATTATAGTTGAGGTTCTTAAGATATTCATTTGGATAATCAGGATAGCTTACTAGGAGATATTAAATTGCGCATTCCATGTGGACTATAATACCCACACACACCAGGCAAGTATTCCCATCTATGTGAAGGCAGAGATGTTTCATTATGCCACCTGCCCACCAGGGACTGCCAACAAGGAACTGAAGGACATTTTTTTTTCTTAGAGACAGGGTCTTGCTCTGTCGCCCAGGCCAGAGTGCAGTGACACTGCAGCCTTGAATTCCTGGGCTTCGATTGATCCTCCTATCTTAGCCTCCAGAGTAGCTGGGACTATAGGTGTGTACCACCATGCCCAGCTAATTTTTAAAATTTTTTTGTAGACATGGGGTCTCACTGTGTTGCCCTGGCTGATCTCAAACTCCTAGCCTCAAACAATGCTTCTGTCTTGGGCTCCCAAAGTGCTGGAATTACAAGTGTGAGCCATCGCACCCAACCTTGAAAGACATATTTAAATCATGATGGTTCTATCACAGGGGAAAATTTTATTTTTTGTGAGTGGCCTAAACTGGATGCAGGAGGGGAATGGGAGAGAAATGCTGCAAAGACTCATAAGGTGAGGAGTTTACCCTGGGAGATCTCTGGGAACCATTCCAGCTCAGCCAGCTCAGGAAACAGTGGATCATCATTTCTAAGAAAGAGACTAAACCTCTGTTTTAATTCAAAATAAGTTTTATTGAGATATAATTTACATACCACACCCATTTAAAATGATGATTCAGTGGTTTGTAGCATATTGACAGATATATGCAACCATCATCATCACGGTCAATTTTAGAATATGTCATTGTCTCAAAATAAACTCCATAGCCTTTAGCTATCACCCCTTATCCCCCCAGCCCTAAACAACCACTTATCTACTTTCTGTTCCCATAGATTTGTCTCATGGATATTTTATATAAATAGAATACATAATTTGTAGTCTTTTGTGACTAATTTCTTTCACTCAGCATAATATTTTTGAGGTTCTTTCATGTATCATGCATGTATCAGCACTTGATTTCTTTCTATTTCTGAGTAATATTCCATTGTATGGACATATCACATTTTAGCTATCCATCAATCAACTGATGGACATTTGAGTTGCTTCCACCTTTTGCCTATTATGAATAGTGCTACAGTAAACATTTGTGTACAAGCTTTTGTGTGGACACAAGTTTTCATTCACTTGGGTAGATACCTAGGGGTGGAATTGCTGGGTCATCTGGTAACTCTATGTTTAACAATTTGAGGAACTGCCAGACTGCTTTCCAAAGTGGGTGCACTACTTCACATTCCCACCAGCAGTGGATGAGAGTTCCAGTTGCTCCACATCCTTGCCAACACTTGTAATTATGTCTTTTTTATTATAGCCATTTTAGTGGGTATGCAGTGAATCTCATTGTGGTTTTGATTGGTATTTCCATGATGGCTTATGATGTTAAGTATCTTTTCATTTGTTTATTCCCTGCTTGTTTATCTTCTTTGGGTAAATGTCAGTTCAGATCCTTTTCCCATTTTTAATTAGCTTGTCTTTATTACTGAGTTGTAAGAGTTCTTCAACTTTTTATTATTTCATACAATTGTATATTATAATATATTTTATATGTTCTAGAGATATAATATATAGATACATAATATATCTAGATTTTTATGTATTCTAAACATATGTTTATATATTATATATGTAGATTTTAAAAATATATTTGAGGCATATAAAAATATATTTTATACATTCCAGATTTAAGTCCCTTATGAGATATATAATTTGCAAATGTTTTCTCCCATTCTTTGGGTTACCTTTTCACTTTCTACACAGTGTTCTTTGAAGCATGCAAGTTTCAAATTTTAATAAAGTTCAGTTTATTTTTTCTTGTGTTGCTTGTGCTTTTGGTATCATATATAAGAATCCAATGCCATATTTGAGATCATGAAGATTTACCTCTGGTTTCTTCTGAGAATATTGTATTAGGCCAGGTGTGGTGGCTCATGCCTGCAATCCCAGCACTTTGGGAGACCGGGGCAGGAGGACTGCTTGAGCCCAGGAGTTTGAGACCAGCCCTGGCAACATAGTGAAACCCTTATCTCTACAAAAAAATTTTTAAAAAAAAATTAGCTGGGTGTGGTGGCACATTCCTATAGTCTGAGCTACTCAGGAGGCTGAGGTGGGGGCATCACTTGCGCCTGGGATGTTGAAGCTGCAGTGAGCCATGGTCCTGCCACTGCACTTCAGCCTAGAAAAGTGAGACCCTTTTGCAAATATATATAAAATATATAATATATTATATATTATATTATATAACTATAAAATATATATTTTTTATAGTTAGCAGTTTTTGGTTAATATTTGTATATGGTGTGATATAAGAGTACAACTCCATTCTTTTGCATGTGGAGCTGTTCCAGCACCATTTGTTGAAAAGATTATTCTTTCCCCACTGAATGGTCTCCTTGAAAATCAAGTGGCCATAGACACATGGGTTCATCTCTGGAGTCTCAATTCTATTCCACTAATCCATTGTGCCAGCACCACACTGTCTTGATCATTGTAGTTTTCATCTGAAATCAAGAAATGTGGAGTGCGGTCTTCCAAGATTGTTTTTGCTTTTCAAGATTGTTTTGTCTATTCTGGGTCTCTTGCAATTTCATATGAATTTTAGAATCACCTTGTCAATTTCTGTGAAGTCATCTGGGATTCTTACAGTTATTGCATTTAATCTGTAGATCAATTTGGGGGACATTAACATCTTAACAATATTAAGTCTTCTAATCCATGAACATGAGATGTTTCCCACTTAGTAGATCTTCTTTAATTTCTTTCCACAATGTCTTATAGTTTTCAAAGTATAAGTTGTACATTTCTTTTGTTAAATATATTCCTAAACACATTATTCTTTTTGATGCTGTTATAAATGGAATTGTTTTCTTAATTTCACATTCAGATTGTTCATCGCAAATGTATAGGAATATAATTCATTTTGTACATTGTATCCTGCAATCTTGCTGAACTCATTTATTAATTCTAGTAGTTTTTTAGTGGATTCCTTAGCATTTTGTAAGATCATGTCATCTGAAAACAGAGACTGTTTTCCAAAATACCTGTACCATTTTGATCTTCCCAATCTGGATTTATTTTTCTTGCCCAATTGCTCTGTCTGGAACCTCTAGTACACTATTGAATAGAAGCGGTGAGGGTGGACAACGATGTCTTATTCCTGATCTTAGGGGGAAACTTCCAGTGCTTCACCATTAAATATGATGTTAGACGTAGGGTTTTTTCTAGATGCCATTTATTAGGTTGAGGAAATTCAGTGCAATTCCCATTTTCCTGAGTGTTTTCATCACGAAAGGAGCTTGGATTTTTGTCAAATCCTTCTTCTGCCATTTTAAGATAGTCATGTGGGTTTTGATGTTTATTCTATTGACATGATATAGTAATTACATTGGTTTTTGGATGTTAAACCAATCTTGCATTCCTGAAAAAAATCCCACTTGGGCATTGTATATAATTCTTTTTATATGTTTCTGAATTCAGTTTGCTAGTACTTTATTGAGTTTTTTGCAGCTATATTCGTAATAGATATTGGTTTGTCATTTTCTTGTGATGTCTTTGATTTTGATATCAGAGTAAAACTAGCCTCCTAGAATGAGTTGGAAAGTTTTCTCTTCTCTTCTATTTTTTGGAAAAGTTTGTGAAAAATTGGTATTAGTTCTTTATGTTTGGTAGAATTGACTTGCCATCTGGGCCCTGACTTTCCCTCGTGAGCAGCTTGTTGTTGTTGTTGTTGTTGTTGTTACAATTCAATCTCTTGTTAAAAGTCTGCTTGGGTTGTCTAATTCTTGTTGAGCTTGTTTCAGTAGTTTGTGTCTTTCCCGGCATTTATCCATTTCATCTGTGATCTAATGTAATGGCATATAATTATAATATTCCTTCATAATGCTTTTTAATTTATAATTTTAATAGTAATGTCCACTGTTTCATTTCTTTTTAGTCTAGCTCTGTCACCCAGGCTGGAGTGCAGTGGCACAATCTCGGCTCCTGCAACCTCTGCCACCTGGGTTCAAGCGATTCTCCTGCCTTAGCCTCCTGAGTAGCTGGGATTACAGGAGTCCACCATCATGCCTGGCTAATTTTTGTATTTTTAGTAGAGATGGGTTTTCACCATGTTGGCCAGGCTGGTCTTGAACCCTTGCCTCAGATAATCCACCCGTCTCAGCCTCCCAAAGTGCTGGGATTACGGGCATGAGCCACTGCACCTGGCCCTGTTTCATTTCTGAATCTAGTAATTTGAGTCTTGTCTCTTTTTTTCTTGGCTTGTCTGGCTTAAGGTTTATTAGTTGTGTTTGTCTTTTCAAAGAACCAGCTTTTGGTTTAGAAAATTAATGAAACTAATTTATTCTGTTGTTTTGCATTCTCTTTAATTTCTACTATAATCTTTATTATTTTCTCCCTTATGCTTTCTCTAGGTTTAGTTTTCTGTTCTTTACTCAATGTTCTAAGGTGGAAGTTTAGGTTATTGATTTGAGATGTTTCTTCTTTATCAATATAAGCATTTATAGCTATAAATTCCCCTCTAAACACTGTTTTAGCTTCATCCCGTAAATTTTAAATTTTAGTATGCTGTGTCTTCATTTACATTCATACCAAAGTATTTTCTAATTTCTTTTTAAATTTCTTCTTTGACCCATTGATTATTTAGGGATGTGTCAATTTCCACATATTTGTGAATTTTTCAAATTTATTTCTGTTATTGATTTTTAATTGCATTCCACTGTATTCAGACAACATACTTTGTATTATTTCTATCCTTTTAAATTTATTGAGGTTTGTTTTATGGTCTAGCATATGGTCTATCTTGGAGAATGTTTCATGTGCACTTGAGGAAAATATATACCCTGCTGTGATGGGTGAAGTGTTCTATAGATGTCGTTGGGTATAGTTGGTTAGTAGTGTTGTTCTGGTGTTCTACTAGCTTTTTAAAATCTTCTGTCCAGTTCTTCTATCCACTTTTTTTTTTAAGTGGAGTCTTGCTGTGTCGCCCAGGCTGGAGTGCAGTGGTGTGATCTCAGCTCACTGCAACATCTGCCTCCTGGGTTCAAGCCAGTCTCCTGCCTCAGCCTCCCGAGTAGTTGAGACTTCAGGCGTGCATCACCACACTGGCTAACTTGTGTATTTTTAGTGGAGATGGGGTTTCGCCATGTTGACCAGGCTGGTCTTGAATTCCTGACCTCAAGTGATCCACCTGCCTTGGCCTCCCAAAGTGCTGGGATTACAGACATGAGCCACTATGCCTAGCCCACTATCTACTATTGAAAGTGGGGTATTGAAATCTTCACCTGTTATTGTTGAACTGTCTATTTCTCCCTTTGATTCTGTCAGGTTTTGCTTCCTGTGTGTTAGTGCTCTGTTATTAGGTACATATATGTTTTTAATTGTTATATCTTCCTCAAGGATTGACCCTCTTAATATTATCAAACACCCCTCTCTATCTTCACTAACCATTTCCTCACTAATAATTTCTTATTTAAAAGTCTATTTTGTCTGATGTTAGTATAACTACTCCAACTTTCTTGTGGTTGCTCCAAAGCTCTGTTTTGAGTTGTCAGTGGCTTTGATAGGCAGTGTAAGTCATGGAAGAACCTGCCTGTTTTCTTTTCTTGCTCATATTTCAAATAAAATATTTTACCAATCAGTACATTCTCCTTGAGTATTACTTACGGTCCACAATATGAAGATCTGTGTGATGTGAAAACTCTTATGTCTAGATAGAACCCTTTTCATGGGATTGGTTAATTCATTTTTTATCCTCTCCCCTTCATCTTCAGTAAATGAAAATCATACCCTCCTTTAAAATGACTAGATGTCCTCATGACCAGGATAAAAATGCAATTAAAAGAAAGGCAACCAGGAAAAACTTTGTAAAAACCATAAATATGTACATGTGCTAGAAAACAATGTGTTTACTCTTGAACTCCTCTTCAAGTCACAAGTCCTAAATTTTGAACATTGTTTACTTGCTCTGAACACAGCAGAGCTCCCAGGTGATGCCAGTTGGAAATGGAATCCATTGAGGATAACATGCAGGGGCCACTATGTCTGTATGCTTCAATGTGCCAGCATGATTACAGATTTCAAAAGGAAAAAACACATTTAAAAAATAGACATCGTTCCATTCTGAGCAAGGGTCCCTGTTTGATCTTTCTCTGTGTCTGAGCCCACTTGTTGTCCTGAAGGATAGGTGACAGCCCAGATACTCCCAGTGGGTGAGAAAACCTCATATTCTATGCCAGTTTCCTGTCACTGCTTTGAGCTCTAAGAGTTCAGAGAGGTGAGGGCAGTGTGACCTCCACCTAGCTGAGTGTTGGCATGAGTCCCTGGTGACAGTGTGTCTGAGCTGCCAGTACACCGGCAGTCTTTGGAGCAGCTCTTCCTCACTCTTTCAACAACCAGCCAATTTGGTCTCAGGAAATCACTCTGCAGTGCTGGCTGGGATTGGAAGTCATTTTTAATTTTGTGACAAAGACAGATGTGTCCTACGGGAGTAGTAAGTGGTTTTACTGGTGATATTAATGGAACCGTGACCTCTTCTATATCTATGGTCCTACAAAACAAAATATGTTTGTATTATTATATGTCAGGCAAATTCATTCTTAGCCCTTCCTTGAAGTAAATTGCAGAGGAAATATACTATTAATAAGCCCAGAGAGTATTGTTCGTGTGTTCGTGTGTGTGTGTGTGTGTGTGTGTGTGTGTGTATCTACAGTCATATGCTCATTTGCAAACACAGTGGATTTATAATGCCACTTTTGACTGTCACACAAATAATGTGTTTTGCATAGTGTTTGGAGGGACACAAATCACTGAAGTTCTGATATCTTCGGATAGAATTTCAGTGGACCCAGTGCTGAAATTGGTATTGGCTTTTAGAGGCCAATAGCTGTAGTAAAATTTAAGTTTTTTGGGGATCCACAGTACCAAAGGGAAAGAAGAAATTCAAAGATATGTTGAATTAACCTTTTCTATTTTCATTTGGGATTGGTATTCATTAGTCTAGAAATGACTACACTGATTTTATTATCTCCTGTAGGAACTTTTTGTGCCAGTGTCCTTTGTTGAAAACAGTTGCTTAAGGAGACAGTAAATTAAATATGAAGGATTTACAATTTAGTTAAATGAATTAAACCATTTCTTAGTGTTTGTGTTTACCTTGGGATGCACAAAAGAGACAAAAATATAGACTCACAAGAGGAAGGAAAGGAATGATCAAATCCCAATAGTCCATGGCTGAATGTCTAGCTCAGCAACTTTATTTAAAGGAAGAATTTAATTCTGATAAGAAACCCTTGTGTCTATCTGATTAACTTTTTCTCTCTGCATATGTTACTACACCCACTGAGATTTCCTAATAAACACATAAGTTTATTAACTGTGACAGTTAATGTCTCATTCTATTATAGAGGATGAAACTCAGGTAAATCAAATGCAAAATTTATAGTTTTCCTTAAGCAAAAATGGATGGAGCTTTATCATTTGAGTTTTAACTTTAATAATTAAAAATATTACTATAAAATAATGCATGATCATTCTAGAAAGACTGACAAATATAGAAGAAGGTAAATAAGAACAACAATAATCCATAAAGCCAACACCCAAAGATAATCATTTTTAACTTTTTTTGGGCAGAGAAGGGATCTTGCTATGTTGCCCAGGCTGGTCTCAAACTCTTGGCCTCAAGTGATCCTCCTGCCTCAGCCTCCCAAAGTGCTGAGACTACAGGTGTGAGCCACTGCACCTGGCTCTTAAAATTTTAGTATGTTTGTTTCCAATCCTTTTTCCTATGCCACTATATCAATATATATTTATATTTTTGATAGTTAAGATGATGAGTATAATTTGTGATTTTCATATCTACCTACTGGTACCAGCAGCGAATCTGTATGGGTCTACAGCAACTTGATCCTTGCCTCCTTGGAGGAAGGAATTCAGCCAAGGGCATTAGTAGGTGTAAGGCAGAGGGAGAGACTGAGGCAAATTTTAGAGCAGGAGCGAGAGTTTATTAAACAGTTTTAGAGCAGGAATGAGAGGAAGCAAACTACACTTGGCAGAGGGCCAAGCAGGCAACTGGAGAGATTCAAGGGTTTGTGTTTATTTTCCCCTGATTTTTCCTTTGGGATGGGCTGTCCACATGCACAGTGGCCTGCCAGCACCTGGGAGGAGCCACATGCGCACTGTGTTTACTGAAGTTGTGTTTGTGCTCACTTGAGGTGTTTTTCCCTTACCAGTTGAGCATTCACAGAGGAAAGTCATATACCGGTTAAACTGTGCCATTTTGCCTTTGAGTGTGCATGCTTGAGCCTGCTCCCCCAACTTCTGAGATCTTATCAGGAAGCTGCTGATCACCAGCTTCAGGTGTTTCCTATCTGTTGGGAGACGGTCTCTGGTGCCAGCTGTGACTAATTATTATTTTAGAAAGACAGTTTAATAACCACCTGACCATCACCTGATGGTCACCTGACATTCTTGGGAGGAGGGGCACTCTCCTGTCCCACTCATGTCTGCCTAACTGCCAACTCTAACACTTTGTTCATAAGTTCAAATGAGTCATAATAATAATAAGAAAATTAACAGCTAACTATTTGCCAGGCATCATTCTAAGTGCTTTACATATATTAATTCATGTAATCCTCATCATAGCCCTTTCACTTAGATTTTACAAATGAGGCACAGAGGGTATAATGATTTCCCCAAGGTCTCACAGTTACACAGGACCACAGCCAGGATTAAACCCAGGCTTTGAGGCGTACTCTGAACCACCTCCCTCCGACTCAAAGCCTGCCCCAAAGCCTGCTCTCACACACCATGCCTTGGTGTTCAGCCCTTTTTCAGAATTTCTCCAACACTATGCAGTACCATGAGGCACTTACTTTCCCACTGAATGTGTGGAAATCAGCCTTCATCTCTGAAAAACCATTGTCACCTGCTGGCAGCCCTTTCTATGGGGGCCTTCAAGAGAACGTAGCCAGAGGTTCAGCCTTCAGGGTGCCGCCAGGGAAGGGGCTCTAGATTGGAGGCAGAAGTAACTGGCCTACAGGCCTGGCTGTGCCCATCTAGACAACTCATTTCACCTGTTTGTGCCTCTTTTCTCATCTGTAAAAGGACGGGGTTGGATACCCGTTCACTCATTCATTCAGTACACATGAGACAGACATGAATACAATCCATTTCCTCTCCTCTAGGAATGTAGCATCCAAGGAGTACCCAGAGAAAAAAACTGCTGGTTCTGTGGACCGTGTTGTAACAGAATCAATGGGAACACTGGGAAAGTCCCTAATGTGGGCTAGGGTGGAGAAGGGTGCAGGAAGGAAGGGGGCTAGCAAGGCTTCCCGGAGGATGAGTGGGAATAATTAACATATAGGTGCCAGGGACCACACAAGATGGGCTGTGGTGAAAGGGTCTCTCTAGAGCTCACATCTGTGCCTCCATTCCACACTGCTGTGCAGAAAACTATCCCATCTTCAGCAGGCTACAGCAATGGCCCACTTTTTTTTCTTTTTTGGCTTAAAACTACAGAAATGTATTATCTCACAGTTCTGGAAACTCTAAGTCTGAAATCAAATCATCTGGGCCATGCCCCTTCTGAAACCTGCAGAAGAACCCTCCCTCGCCTCTTCCTACATGCTGGTGGTTGCCCGCAATCCTTGGCATTCTTTGGCTTGCCGCTGCATCACACCTGTCTCTGCCTCCATCTGCACATAGTGCGAGTCTGCACACCCTGTCTGTCTTCACATGACTGCCTTCTTACAAGGATGCTAATCACATTGGATGAGGAGCCCTCCCTTACTTAGCTTAAGCAATTACATTTGCAACAATCCTGTTTTCAAATGAGGTTACATTCAGAAGTACAGGGGGGTTAGGACTTCAGCATATCGTTTTGGTGGGGACACAGTTCTACCATAATGATCACTGTAGCCACCATCTAGTCTGGGCAACCATTGCCTGCTTACTGCTTTTGTTTCTCTCCAATTCCTTCTCCATTCAGCATCCTGAATTAGCTTCGTAATCCACAAACCTGAGGCAGGACCAGCAAGCAGGTGGGGGCCTGGTTGGTTCTTTCAGGTCCAAATGGAGAGAGTTCACACAGGACTTCTTTCCATTTAGTATATAAGGCTGGAACAAATGCGGGACGATCAGAACACAATGACTCCCGAAGAGATCGTTGCCTGAGGATGTCAATAGATTCCCGAGGGCAAGGGCAGGGTAGACTGAGAATGTTTCTAAAAGGATCTTGGACTCATTCTGGTTCCCTGAGGAGTTACAGGGAAGCTGAACAGGTGTTTGAATCCTCCTTGCCTCTGAGACTGGCCAAATGCCACGCTTTTTAAGGAAGTATTGGTGCTTAAAGTCTTTTCCAGACTTCTCTGCAGGCACTTGCACAGACTTTGCTATTAGCAGGTAAGTAGCGCATACTAAAGAAATAAGCCTAATATACATATGAAATAAATGCAGCATTCAACACAGCTTCTCCGGCCTGTCCGCCTCCCCCTAAGCAGCTCAGACCTTCTCATTCATTATTATTAGCCTCCGAGGAAAAGTCTAGAAAACCTTTAAGTCATGCTTCTGTCATTCAAATGATAATCCTCTCCTCAACTTGCTAGACTTCTGCATCACCTTGAATTCTCCAAAGAGAGTTGACCTTCGCCACTGCATCTATGCCCTTTGAGCACTTACAAAGGCTCTGGAGGGCGCTTCCTGAGGCACTTAGCATAGCTGTGGTGAGAAGTCTATGCAGAATTTTCTCCTTTCTCTCCTACTGCACTTTTAGGCTTTTTCCCACAGTGGTCCCCCCATACCACATTGCATATTAAGGTATTGGGGCAATCTGATCAGAGGCCAACAACAGATATGAAATTAGGTTTTATTAGGGAAGCTTTCTTTTTCTGGGTAGAAACACAGAGGGCCAAATTCAGAGACAAAGATGTGAATGTATGGATTACATTAAGGGAGAATGACGTGACTGTGGCAATGCCTACCATACCACACTAGCTACAGTGTCTAGATGCTTGCATGTCAATCATTTATGTATATATTTTTTTCATTTTCTTCTCATTCAGATACAGGTAGACCTTTCGTAGAGATGTACAGTGAAATCCCCGAAATTATACACATGACTGAAGGAAGGGAGCTCGTCATTCCCTGCCGGGTTACGTCACCTAACATCACTGTTACTTTAAAAAAGGTAAATTTGAACACCGCTATTCTCAGCATACTTTCACTGCAAATAAGCATAATGAAGTTTTACTCGTTCTATCTTTCTGGAATAATTTCCTTACAAACACCTGGGCTTCTCAGTGGACTTTCCTGTAACATCCTTTTACTATAAGGAATAGTGCTAGAAGTTATGTCCATGCATGTGGTTAAATAGAATAAAATGATGGTGTCTTAAGCATAAATCGATGTGAATAATGAAAGAACTGAAATCGTGAAAAATGTTATGTATTGCCACAAACCCAACTGTGTGCAAATGTGAGAAAAATCAATTCTGCTGCTTACACAAATTAATAACTTTGCAGAGAGTGGATTATCCAGATTACTGCAGAGAAGACAGAATGTCAGCAGGGTGCCCAGTTCTCCAGGCATCGATATGTTCTGGCTTCATGCATAAGGAGCCAGCACGTTTGGTTTGAATTGGCAAGTTCCTTGTGATAAAAGGCCTGTCTCCTGCTGAGCACCCAAACTTCATCTCTTAGGGAAAAAGGGAGGAAAGAAGGCCATACGTGAAACTTTTCTTCATACTATATTGTAAATTGTACATATGGAAAGGTAAAAGATTTAGGGTAGAATCTAATAAAGACAAAAACTAAACCTATGACATTCTAGCTAATTAATCAGCAGTAAGAGTTAGGAGTATACCAGGACTCAGAACTGGATAAAAGCTCCCCAAACGGAAAACTGTGCTAAGTTCTGAGAGCTTAGAACTTTAAGAGAGAAAGTCAAGTCCGCCCCAGAGCAGCACCTCGCACAGTGCATCACAGAGCAGGCACTCAGGAAGTGTTTGGTGCTGGTAGCTGTGGCAGTTAGGCTGGAAAAGTTCAGAGAATGATGTTCAGTCTCACCCATCAACCCTGAGTCCTGAAATGTGGTGGAGGATTCTCCTTATCCTCTTTCCTTGCATTCACTCTCCTGGGTTGTTACTCACGTAGGCCTTCAACATAGTCCATCAGAGACAGGTTTTGGCCTCCACTACATTTGTGTGCCATCGCCAGGAAATAGAAAGTCATTATACAGCAGAGCTGGAAACGCCAGAGGAGTTGAACTCCTCAGTTGGTCAAGATAAAAACACCCTGGTTTCCAGAGTGTCAGGAACTTCGCAGGTCATACTGGGCATTTGAGCCAATACCTTGCCTTCTCATTCAGTGTTCCTGCCATCCTTCTTGAATGGTCTAGTTCATATAGGAGGAAGACAAGTGTGGTTAAGAGCAGAGGCTGGTGCCACATTGCCTGCACTCTGAACATACTGCACTTGTCACTGGGCAAACTAATGAGTTATCAAACCTCTCTCCACCTCACTCTCCCCATCTGAGGAAGGGGGTAATGACAATAGTACCACCTCACATTGCTGTTAGAAAACTTAAGTCAGGTGATATATGGAAAGCACTTAGAACAGTATCTAAGTACAAGATCAGCCCTATTCAAGGGTTAGCTTTAGCATTATTTAACAGTTTAACACCCAATACTGTACTTGGTATATTACCAAGTCATGTTTTCAATAGCATGGCATTACTCCCATTAGTCTGAGATAATTATTGCTGTATGATTAATATGGAAAACACCACGTGGAGAGGGAAACGTTCTCTTTCATGGGAGCGCTAATGCAGATGGGTTGTTTGGTCATCAGGAGCATTCCAAAATTCCCATATAAAAATCTGGGGCTGGTGGGAGTCTATTTACTGTTTTTTCTGCCTACGATCTGGAGTGCACAATTTAAAAAGAGAGAAAGAGAAGTGTAAAATTTTCACAGGGATTTTGGTTTGGCACATATATACTGGAAATATTCTAACCTATGACGTATTTCTGCTGACATGAAGTTAATATCTTTCCCTTTCATTTCTCTTATTGTCCCTTTTCTTCTAATTTTCTGTCCCCTCCCTCTCCTTTTCACATGCCTGCTTTGTCGGAGCCATGGTCAGCTGCAGACAGGCCTTGCTGCCCAGGGCTTCCTTTCGAGGCTGAGATCCACCTGCCCATCTGCCTTCATTCTTACACATGCGGTGGTGGCCACAGCTGATGGGCTACAGTCTTTGACTGCTTTAGATCTTGTCAGCTAAATGTAAAGTTACTTTGTCAATGGAATGCTACTAACAGCCGTAATGGATAGATGAGAGTAAGAGAAACACTTCGGAGGAAATTTTAGTGTATTTTTAAGTTGTACTGAGGACGTCTGTCAGCAATCCTTTCTTTTAGATTCAGCACATGCTTGTTTTCACTTATTTGTAAAGTACCATAGATTTCAGTCCCTGACTTAAATTTTTCTGGGTTTTTCCTTTGCTTGCACTAAATTAGAAGAGAAGGTTCTTTTTTTCCCACCGACTGCATTCCTGAGTTTACAGGTAGCACCTTGATTTACTGAAACATGAAAGCGAATCCTTTAATTGCTTTCAGTTCTTCATAAACAGGATGTAATTAATTTCAAACCCAAGGAACACCGGTAATACATTCCGATGTAGGCATAGTCCCTGGAAGAGAGGCACTAGTGGCTTCTGGACTAGAAATCTCTGCCATAGGATCACAAATCCAGATCAGCGCCTTCAGCAAGCAATAGAAATAAATGATAACTGGATAGAGCGAGGGATGCCAGGTGTACTTTTTAAAAGGCGATAGAAAAGGTTTCGAGCTTCTTTGTGGCTGTTTGGTATTTCCTTTATAATCTGTTGGGGGAAGGTAATTTGATTTTTTTCCCCCTTTTTCAACTGGGAATAAGGAATAGTGGTAGTTGGGAGTCTACCACCACTGAAATTGGGCTGGCAACCTGGCATCAGGGGAATTTGGCTGGGCCACTTTATGGAGCAATGACCCTTTATAAATAAAGTTTAATCCCAAGGCAGAGTGTTTATCTTGTAGTCTTTAAATGTTACATTCTTGATGTCAGAAGAAGGCATAAGGAGAAAGTCAGATCATGGATTATTTTCTTCTGTTTGGACTCACCGTGCTTGGGAATACTTCTGAGCATTAGAGAGCACTTCATTCATTGCAGAGTCTCTGGCCTCCGAGGCTGCCTTCACCATCAGCAGCTTCAGCTTCTGGGAGTTTCCTTTCCAGAGGCAGAGCTGATGCCTTCCTTGTGACACAGCAGGATCGTCAGAATGACAGCCCCAGTGAGTGCTGAGTTAATGTTATGAATCTTGGAGGACCTGGAATTATTTACACTCTTTTGAAGACAGCCACTTCTTCAGTAAACTATGCAAAATGGGAGGAAAAACTATGGCTTGTTAAAAGCGCTGGATGATGAAAACAAATGAGAATAATCTGGCAGCCCCGGTAGAAAAAAAATGCTAATTGGTTTCTCTCTCTGTTTTTGAGACAGAGTCTCGTTCTATCACCCAGGCTGGAGTGCAGTGGTGTGATCTCAGCTCACTGCAACCTCTGCCTCCCGGGTTCAAGCGATTCTCCTGCCTCAGCCTCCCGAGAGGCTGGGATTACAGGCGCCTGCCACAATGCCCAGCTAATTTTTGTATTTCTAGTAGAGACGGGGTTTCACCATGTTGGCCAGGCTGGTCTCTAACTGCTAACCTCAGGTGATCCGCCCACCTCGGCCTCCCAAAGTACTGGAATTACAGGCGTGAGCCACCACGCCCGGCCTCTTAATTGGTTTGTCTATTGAGTGTCTGACCAGCTTATTATGAAGATTCCCGGAGGCCAAAGAGTTATGGGCTCCAACTGAAAGTCTGACATGACAAGTAGGTCTATCCTGGGTAGATGCCACTTGTTGCCAAGGCTGATAGTAAATTATCATAATTACTATAATTTATCATAATGCAAATATCTTTTGCTATATGCAAAAAAACTCAAGAACCAATTATAACAAACTAGAGTTTTTAACCTAGTTTGTTATAAGCAAACTACAAAGTTTTACTATTTTCATTTTAGATGAAAAATCATGTTTTCACAAACTGCTGGTGAAACAGTATTGCCAACCAGTGCTAATAGGACCTTGTTAATGCATGCCTCTTCCTTTTCAGTTTCCACTTGACACTTTGATCCCTGATGGAAAACGCATAATCTGGGACAGTAGAAAGGGCTTCATCATATCAAATGCAACGTACAAAGAAATAGGGCTTCTGACCTGTGAAGCAACAGTCAATGGGCATTTGTATAAGACAAACTATCTCACACATCGACAAAGTAAGTGATGCTTCAAAGGCATGAACATAAGCCGAAGTGCTCTGTATTTTTATCTGTGTAATGAAATCTTAATTTTAAAAAATTTCTCTCTTATGCTTGCAGCCAATACAATCATAGATGTCCAAATAAGCACACCACGCCCAGTCAAATTACTTAGAGGCCATACTCTTGTCCTCAATTGTACTGCTACCACTCCCTTGAACACGAGAGTTCAAATGACCTGGAGTTACCCTGATGAAGTGAGTGACCCATTTTTCTATTTCTTCTGCAGGACAGTATTTTAAGCAAGTGAAATCCCGCAGGGGTTTTGAGATGGGAAAAATCAGAAAATCCTGACTCCTGTGGCAGTGTTAGTCAATAAAGAAGCTTTGGGTTTGGTTTGAGTGCTTTCTTTGCCTGGCATTTCATGAGTGTGATATGCATAGATACTGTCTTTTGATGTCTGGGGGTTTTGTTTTGAAGAGTGTAGACTGGTATTTCTATTGCATGATTCTAGGTGGAAGAAAAGGGATTGTTTCATTCTTGGAAACTACTCTGTAGGATTTAGAGATGAGAGAGAAATTTATCACCAAATGCCAGGCAGGGACTGCCTTTTGTAACAACAACAACAACTTTCCAGGAGGCTGTCTCTGTCAGCGCATTCATTTAAGATACTGGCAGACAGTCAGGCACCTGATTGGAGCATGTTTGGAAAAGATATTACAACCCAGCCATCCAATATTCCATTTGTTAAGTGTCAGGGGAGCAATTCTGTCCTTCAGAAAAATGAGAAGAATGAAGCCTGCGTTGGGTTCCCTTATTCAAATCGAACATCCTTGCAAACAATAATTGTTTTAAAAATGTATAGATGGGGAAACTATGATAAACTGTTACGGAAATTTTGACAGTAGTTCTAGCCCCCATTTCTTGTGTGTCAGCATGATTTATGCGGCATATCTCAAGTACAATCATTTGTTATGTCGTTCAGATTGCCCAATTACAAAGTCAATTTATGATTAAATTATGTATGAAAGATTAATGCATCAGCCTCAAGCTAGTGTTGTTTTTCATCGACATTTCTCGCCATGGAAATGGAATAACTTAGCAACAAAAACGTGTAACGAGTGCCCTGTAGGGACACATTAAGGACTTATCAGTCATAAACTATTCTCTAGGAGAGGTATTGTTTCATTTAAATAAAAATGCTATGGCTTGTAGCAATATTTTCTGGGTTTTAATAGAAATCAAATATTCTCCGTAAGTGCCAAGAGGGAAGAAACTTTTATCCTGCTAGCATTGCTGCTGTAAGTAAGAGTATCTACAACACATCTATTAAATGCTAATAATCTTCTAAAACAGCACTGTCCAGCAGAACTTTCTGTGATGGAAATATCCCGTATTTGTGCTCCAGTACTGTGCCACTAGCCACATATGGCAGATGAGCACTTGAAATGTGACTAGTGTGACTGAGGAAATGAATTTTTGATTTCATTTAATTTTAATAGCCACACGTGGCTGGTGGCTGCAGTACTGGGCGAAGCAATTCTAAAACACAGGATGAGTTCTTTCCCAAGTCAGAAGCAATACCAGTGTTACTCAGCTTGGCAAAGGAAGTAGTACCTGTATAAATAGAGCTGCAGAAAGCTCCCTCAGTCTGTTACGTTAGGGGACTAGTTCTCTGACTTTTGATAGTGGCAATTGACTTTTCTCTCTGGTTATTGCTGAGAATGAAGAAAATGGCCTCAACATGTGTCTGTCTGTTCCAATGGGGAAGTAAAAGGACAGGTGGGTAGAAGTGTATTAAACGTGGCACAGAGGAGAACTAAGCTCAAGATCCAAAAATCAGTTCTGGACAGCTCCCAAAGACATTTTTCCATGCTCCTCCCCTCCGCCCCCTATGACTATGGGGAAGGATTGAGAGGTGGAAATAACTTATTAGTTATAAAATATAGTGCTTAAAAAAAAAAGGAGACGGCAATGTGATCTTGTCTTCTCAAAACAGTGAGCAGGACTGTCATTGTGGCCAGGTCAGATTGCAGAGCCTAAGGCTAATTCTTGATCTTCTCTGAGACAAACCTGGGACAGCACCTTCCAAGTCTTGGTTAAAGATCCATTTACTGTGATTTAGCTGACATGGGCAAGCACTGTTCAAATAGTGAAATAATGAAACTATAGCATTATTCCACCTTAGTAAGTACAGCCAAGACTCATTATATTTTCCTTCATATCTCGTAGGGACAAAAAAGGAAACTCACATGGTGATTTGGTGAGAGAAGCACTGTCATTAAGCCAGACACTAACTAAGGCTTATGATTGTCCACGTTTGTGTGCGATATCTATGCCTAGGGAACAGGTTACTGTGTAGAGAGGTGTGTGTGCCAGAGGAAGGACACTAGATTTATGCTCAAACAACTTCAGTTCCTAGCCAACTTGGGCCAGGGTATCACTTCCTTCAGTTTTTTCATCACTAAAAGGGCAGTCAGCCTGCCAATCTCATTAGGTTGTTGGGACAAACAATTGAGATAGTATATGTGAAAGTGTATTTGAAGAAAATTAAGTGCTAAATAAATCCTGCTATGCTACATATTTGAAGCACCTCTAGACACAGATGTAGTTTCCAAACATTACGCTCTAGGTGGATTTGACATGATTCTTAGTATAAAACAGAAGCTGTTGTCGAACTAATGATCTAAGAAATGTTAAAATCCTATATAACTTTAAGCATGAACACTCACTCCTTCTACATTTGTTATACATTTTCTTTCTAGAAAAATAAGAGAGCTTCCGTAAGGCGACGAATTGACCAAAGCAATTCCCATGCCAACATATTCTACAGTGTTCTTACTATTGACAAAATGCAGAACAAAGACAAAGGACTTTATACTTGTCGTGTAAGGAGTGGACCATCATTCAAATCTGTTAACACCTCAGTGCATATATATGGTAAGCATAGTTCAGCGTTGCCAACTCATGCTATGCTTTCTAATCATTGTAGATGTCTGTGTTCTCTAAATAAGTCAGTTTTCTGTTGGCCAAGAGTTACATTATCATGAATGAATACAGCTTGGCCATGGTTCCCTCCTCCCCCTGTCAAAAAGCAAACCACATTAAGTACTCTTTACATTTAATACTTTTGAATTGAACAGAGAGTCCTTTCTTTAGATGCTTATTATGGCTAATAATTCGGTTAGAACCTAATATATTTATGAAATTCTTAGTGTTCTGTATAAACAAAACAGAAAAAGATGATGAGTTTTATCTTTATTATCTAAGAAAAATTTCTCAGGTACTACCATGAATTAGAGAAATAAAAATATGGTATGCTAAATCATTTAGAATTAATGCTATTTTATTCCTGCTTTTACTCTCAAGGAATCCTAATGCTGTTGCTTAATTTCAGTATGCAAATTCTATAAAGAAAATGCTTAAAGACCTTATTTCCATTGCTGAAAAGGAAACAGTGTGGAGGGCAGAAACTATGGAACAATTCTATCAGTAGCCTTTATTTCCTTTTGTCTTTCTCCAGTTGATTTTTGATATCAAATTGGTTGTTTTAGGGTGTACAGAGCAACTTTTTCTCACCTTGCTTATAGTGGCCAGGTAGATTTTTAGAAATATCTTCCCACTTCTTTGTTATTGTGATAGAGATATTTAAGGTGTTTCACTTTCTGTTGCTCTGCCACTGTTTTATGTGGCTAGGACGTGATACCATTTGATTTGAAAGGCGTTCACCAATTACAGTGCTTTTAAAGTATCCTATTCATGATCAACATTTGGGCTCATTGATAGGCTCTATCATAATTCAGCTCTGTTTATTTACTCATTGATTACACCCTCCCTGAATGAGGCCCTAAGGTTTTGTTTATGGAAATTATTCTTTTCTAATGTATGTATCACTTCTCCTTTCAAAGATAAAGCATTCATCACTGTGAAACATCGAAAACAGCAGGTGCTTGAAACCGTAGCTGGCAAGCGGTCTTACCGGCTCTCTATGAAAGTGAAGGCATTTCCCTCGCCGGAAGTTGTATGGTAGGACCATCCTTATTTCCATAACAGTTTAAGACATACTTTGTAAGTGGGAAGCTGCAAGAGCCTAATGACTCGAATTCCTGACAAAATACCAAGAGACGTTCCTCAGACAGCCCCAGAGAGCTCAGAACTCTGTAGATTCTTGGGTGGTGGAGGTGAGAAGGGCTGGGGAAAAGGAAATAATGTAGCAAGGTAAGCGAGAGATGAGGTTTGTTTGAGTGCTCGCTTCAGTCTAGTCTCTTACTGTGGCTAACTTTCTGCATCTCTAAACCTTCCTATGATGTCAACATTCTTTGAATGGGATGTGTTGAGCAATGACTAGGAAGCATTTTGAATATGTAACATGCTCTATTAACCCTGAAGAAGTGGGCTCTTGTAATGAGAATGCTGAAAATAATTCTTTTATATACAGCTGGGTTGAAAGTTCCAGTCCTGTTTTAAAATTAAACAAACATTAATAGAGACAAGACTTACTCATTTGAAGAGGGGGACGATGGGGCCTATTTGAACTAATTAAGTTTTTTTTGGCTAGAAAGATACATATTCAAAACCTCCTTCAGCAGTTGTTTTTTAAAACACTGGTACAACACCTGATGTAAAACAATGTAATCTGTTTATGATCTGCAATCATTTTACAAAATTACTGTTAAATGCCAATATCTTTGGCTCAAGTCATTACATTTTAAACAAAGGGTATAGTACAAAACTGATTAGCAAAACAATCCATACAATAGGGATGTGGCGCCATTTTAGAATCTCCCTAACCAGAGCTGATTTGGCTTTCAATGTCATATGAGGGCAGTGTTTGTTTGCAGTTCCCTCAAATACTTAATAGGGAATTAAAGAGAAAATTTTAACTTTGTGCTATGTCTTCATGCCATTGCAGTAGAAAAATGATCTTTTTTGCTTCAGAATATCAAAAACGTTTAGTAGTAAATTTTTAGGTTTAATAGTAAATTGAATAGTAATCTGATGACTCCAGGAGGTACATTCACTCTTCCAGTGTCTGAGGGCACGCTCATCTGTTAGTGTTGATTTCTTCAGTAACTAAGTAGCAAGGGCATTAAAAAAAAATTCAATCCACCGTCAAAAATGCTGACTTGTTGTAGGAAATAATTTAAAGTAATACCAAGACAATATTTGTAATCACAAAGTGTAGCATCCTCATTTTAATTACTTTGGATCTGAGACACACTAGTAATGGGAATTTGTTTGTAGGACTTTATAATCATGCATGATAATGAACTAAGTTCCCAATATTAAACCTTTATACAGAACACAAGAAACTCCTAATGGATTAAAACTGCCTATTTAAAGAACCATGCATTTTAATGAAATCATAGAATTTTAGAGTTATAAGGAAACTTTGAGAACCTCTAGAAAATTTGAGAAAATTGGAGCCCAAACTGGTTAGTCACATTTGCAGCAGCCTGCAGTGAGTAGCAGAGCCAGGTCAAGCACCCAAGCCTCTGACTCTCAGTTCTGTGTGCAACAGAGTGATATCAATGCATCGATTCAGTATTTAATACGTTTTTAAAATTTCTTTAAGTTTATGCTTTCTGTTTTTTTTTTTTCTGTGCCTTAACTGTTCTTCCTCAGAGGAAAAATCTTGATAGTCTTGATTTCACTCTAGTTTATGAAAGGGACAACTGGTGTGACCATTTATAAAACTAATAAGAACTCCACATGAGACCACAATAGAAAAGTCTATTTTTATTTTTATCTGGAGAAGTGATCTACTTGATCTGACTTACAATGGCCCTTATACTGCTGATGGAGCCTCGTGGAAAACTCTGAAAAACATCTCGGATGGAATCAGAGCCCCTGCTTCTGGGTTAATACTTAAGTCACAGTGGCCACCAGTATGCCTGTGGGCACACTAAGCTACTGCTTTTCTATCTTCGCTCGCTTTATTTCTTCTTCCTTGCCAATAAATATGAAGTGTTACCCAGTCTAAAAATCATATCTGCCTTTACTCAAAAGTTAATGCCTACATTTTAAAAATCAACACTGATGATCAAAGGTTTGAAATTGGTCAACTTGAGCTCAAAAACTTCAATGACCGTGTTATCAAAGTGATATTGAGAGGCCGTGTGAAATGACTTACTGATCATGTTTTTAACCACAGGTTAAAAGATGGGTTACCTGCGACTGAGAAATCTGCTCGCTATTTGACTCGTGGCTACTCGTTAATTATCAAGGACGTAACTGAAGAGGATGCAGGGAATTATACAATCTTGCTGAGCATAAAACAGTCAAATGTGTTTAAAAACCTCACTGCCACTCTAATTGTCAATGGTAAGTTTGCTGTTCATACTTTCTTCTGGTTCTGGTAGGCAACAAATTAGTGAACATTTATGAATTCAAAAATCAGCGTAACAACATCAAAGATAGCAAAATTTCAAATAATCATTTGAAAAAACACTTAACGTTAAGTTCCCATCTTAACAATCTCGTGTTTGTTTGTTGTATTCCATAGGCGGCATGATCTTTTATCACTGTAATCACAATGTACATACCATGGAATCAAATTATTAATAATCTCAAAACCCTGCTACTACTTTTAAAAATCTGCATTTTCTTGACAAATAGGAGGGTTTATTTGTTTTTTTGTTTCTTGTTTGTTTCCCTGACATCAAAGCCAGTGAGAATGTGGTCCTTCATGTGTGGCCCAGGAGAAAGTCATTAGAACTGCTCTTGACTTCTGTCCCGTTCTTCATCTCCTTTCCAGTGAAACCCCAGATTTACGAAAAGGCCGTGTCATCGTTTCCAGACCCGGCTCTCTACCCACTGGGCAGCAGACAAATCCTGACTTGTACCGCATATGGTATCCCTCAACCTACAATCAAGTGGTTCTGGCACCCCTGTAACCATAATCATTCCGAAGCAAGGTAGGGACAGTCAGTTTTTTTACTAACTTTCAAATACTTTTTGACACCTGGAATTAAGATTTTTTAATGGACGCAGATGGGAATCTGCATGTGGGATGTACTGTATATTTGAGGCAAAGGCTCTCCCTGCCTTGGAAAAAGGTGGGCAACAGCTACTCTTCTTTCTTACTGAATATACCCTATCACTGGCTAACAATTTCATAATTTTTCTCTCTAGTTTACAGTTTTAGAAGCACAAGCACAAAACTAAGGTCCTCCCATGAGCTGTGACATGAGCTCAGGTTGGAACTCTGGTCTCCTGTTTCTCAACTGAAGATCCCTAGACTTTGGCAATACCACTATGTCAGTTGCATTAGCATTCCCATTTTTCATTTTGTATTCTTTGGTTATGATCCAAGTTCTTCCCAACACCAGTGATCACTATGTTTCCTACTTTTGGGCTTTGCTCTTCCATCTGTCTGAAATGCACCTCCACCCATTGCCTGCCTCCTAAGAGGGCTTTATTTATCAAACCCCATGGCTCAGCTCTTACGTCACCTTCTCTGTGAACTCTCCTCACTGCCTCATTCAGAATCACTTCTTCCCCCTCAGTATGAACAGCACTTTGTTCACGCCCTTGTTACATCACTCGATGCGCAAAGGTTTGTCTCTCTCTAAGCTAAGAGCTGATTGAGAGCACCCTTGTGTCTTTAGGCTGGGCCAAGGCTGGCACACAGTAGATACTTAGTGTATATTTGCTAAATGAATACATCCCTACCCTCTGCTAATTGTGCAGCATTTCCTTGCATCCTGTTGATGACTGAGCCTTGTTTGCTTTTTCCTCTTTTTGTTTAGTCTAGAGGGATGATACTAAGGATAGTTTATGGGAGCTAATTTGAAGAACAGGAATAGACTTGATAGGTGCAACAATAAGATATTATTGAAACTGCCCAAGGATTATCATTATGCCAAACTATTTTCCTTATTACTTTTAACTCCACTTGCAGAGTGTTCAGGAGGATTGTTATTCAAAAAAAAAAAAAAAAAAAGATTGACAGGAAAAGTAAACAAAGCATAATCCTAACATAAACAGATAGAAGTGGCTATTTGATTTTCTAGATTCTTCCCACAATTCCAACTCGTTTTGCTTAGGGTGTATTACTCTCAGAGTGGAAAGTTACTGGTGAGCTATGGAATTCCTGGGAAGTAGCTGTTTTCCACACATCTGATTTCTCATTTGACTGTCATTTTCTAAGAATAGAAATAGAGAAGACTTACAAATCTTAAATATCTTCTTTACCACTGTGAATGTTTAACACATAAGACAGTGAGATCTACTGAAATTCTATACTATTTTGCAAATTTGGGGTATGCATCAATATTTATCGACCCATCCGTTTAGGGTCTTGACATATGTGCCAACCTAACATGCAAATAAATAAAAAAAAAACTAAATAATTGAAGCTATTAGATTCGGATAAAAGTGTAGAGTTGAATTTTTCTGGAATAACAGAGCCTTTTCTAAATATATTTAAATTTTGTTTTGGCAATATTAAATCTAAAATTTCTATTCTATCTAGGATTAGAACTAGTAACTATGTTAGAAAATAACAATTATGGTGATAGAACATAATATTTATAAATTTGGGTTTAAGTGATGCTAATAAAATATGGTTTGGGGAATGAGGCCACCTCGAATGGAACTTTGTAAACATTAGCTTTCTTTCCAATTTCTTTGTGGTGTAAGGGATCTCTCTTCTGTGTGATGGAATAAGTTCGCCAAGGCCTGAAAACATGTCTTATTCCTTTCAGAATGGTCTCAAGACTCAGAGCATTACCTTAAATGTTTGTTGGCCATTTGAATTATTCTCTGTTCAAGGCATTTTTTTTCACTACTTACAAGACTGATCACAAATGGAAGTTTAAGGTTGCATATGCTTTATTTCTTTAATACGTTGCTGCTTGAAATTATCTGCCAAAAACGTACACATCTTTGATGTACAAGAATGACAGCTCGATGTACATTAGTCAGCAGGTACTAATTGAGTAGCCTACCTGTGTGAGGCCCAGATTTGGTGCTTGGTGGTTAAATCAGTACAGTTAACTTAGAGGTGTTTCAGAAATATATGTAGAAACTTTGTACACCAGAAAATAAACAGAACCACTCTTTCACCCTCTCAGAGAGATGAAGCTAAAATTTATAGATAAATGAAACCCTCTTTAATTACCAAAAGTTCTCAAATATGTCTTTATATAAACATATTTATATACACTTAGACTAACTTAGATTCAGTTGTAGACAGGAATTTTAGTAACACATGAGTAAGAAATGCTCCATTGCACTTATTTTGAGTTATATGGTAACATATTTGCATACTGGTGTCTATACATGATCATCAAAAGAGATTGGGTGACTAATATATGCACATTACTCTCAAATACGTAGAATAATTCCTGGCATTTAAATTTTAGGCTCTAGTGAAAGGGCGTATCTATGTATATCCACGGCCAAAGCATTCGCTTAGTTTGAGGACAGAATGTACTTGTTTAAGGAGCTCAAAACTATTAATTGGTTTAATATGGCCAGACAGTTAATGTATCTACTATAGAAAGAGGTTCAGACCTAACTCAAATTATTTAGTGTCTTAGAGTCTAATAAATATGTAAATATGTTAAGTTATTATAACTACCGATAGTTCAACTGAAAATGTCACCCTTTAAAAAAAAAGTAGTAAAATATGCTATGAAGGCGAGCTAAGTTTTGACTGAGTAATATTGTGGCTTTCGTTTTGCCTAGAATTTGTTCTTATAAAACATTAGGAATAAAAGAGAGGAGGGAAAGGATGATTACTTTTAAACTCATACAGGTAATGAACCAAGAAGAAATAAAGCAGAATCTTTCCCTTTTTAGTTTTTTTTTTAATTAAAAAAAGGAAAGTGGGGCCAGGTGCAGTGGCTCATACCTGTAATCCCAACACCTTGGGAGGCCAAGGCAGGAGGATCACCTGAGGTCGGGAGTTTGAGACCAGCCTGGGCAACATAATGAAACCCCGCCACTACTTAAAATACAAAAATTAGCCAGGAGCGGTGGCAGGCACCTATAATTCCAGCTGCTCAGGGACAATTGCTTGAACCTGGGAGGTGGAGGTTGCAATGAGCTGAGATCGCACCACTGCACTCCAGCCTGGGCAACAAGAGCGAAACTCCGCTTCAGAAAAAAAAGAAAAAGAAAGAAAAGAAAAGTGATAATAAAACTGTGATATCTCTTTTGAATATTAATAACACCAAAATAAGTTATCAACACTGAATAAGGTGGAATATTTTATTTTTCTCATCCTCAGCCAACAGGTAGACTTCTAAATAGATATTCCTAAACCTGCTCCCATGAGTCTGAGCAAAAAGCCAGAGAGCATCATAAGGATGTTAAGCATATAGTGCCTTCCACATGTCTATAGCTTGCAGCCTCTGCTCATATAAAGTAAAGATAATGATATACACTTCATAGAGAGACTATGAGGATCGAATGAGGTAATGTATTTAGAAAGTTACAGAGCACCACAGATTTGCAAGGTTGTAATCATTGCTAGCATTGGGGTACATTTCTTTAAATAAGACCTGAGAACCTTTAATGAACTTAAAGGATATTTCTGCCTACTATAGAGCTAGTTTGACAACAGTGAGCAGTTTTGCCAAACATTTCTAAGAAATGAATGCAAATTATGGAATGTAAAATGCAGTTTTGTTGTGCTTTAAGAATAGTAATTTAGTAGGTCTGGGGTGGAGGGTGGCTGTGGAATTCAGGAAAATATGACTTTTCAGAAGAAGAAAAATTAAGGAACTACAGAAGAGTTAGACAAAAGTAAAAGGAAGAGTAAATGGAAGGGTGTCATGAGGGAATGAAGTAATTCTCCCAGTTCGTGTGGCCTGCCCCATTCATTGGTTTCCTGTCATGAGAGGAAGTGGTTCTGCCCTGTGGGTTGGCTGAGGCTGGGGTGGGCTGACTGGGCATGTGGGGGAGCTGATGCCTGCTCAGCCAGTCCACTTTCAATTTCTAGAACTTCACGTTCCGCCTGCATTTTGAACAACTAAGTAGTACGAGTAAACCCCCCAAGGACTGAGCTCCGCTTGATCTTACAGTCCTCCATGAACTCTGCCAGAGTACTGATGCAGCCTCACAGGAGATACTATTTAGATAAGATTGTCCATGGCAAGGAGGTTGGTTGGTTTCTAAAGGAACAATAATAATACAGGACTGGAGGGAAGGGGACCTTCTCTGTGGAATGGAAAGGGTGGATTTCAGGAACCCAGGAGAGGATAGGGCAAGGACAGTCTTGGCATAATCAGTTTGTGCTGCAGATCACTGTTTTCTCAGGAAGAATCTAAGATGTTGAAAGTCTACTTTTCTTTACGTGTGCTTGAATACCAAGGAGACCCTCGGGTAGCTGACTGGACAATTGTGTGGCCTGAATGGGTCTTTGCGCTCATCTGTTCCCCACAAACGGGATGGTGGGGGGCTTCTGCTGATCTCCTTCCTGGTACTCTCATGAGCTCTGATCACCTCCTCCATGGGTGTCTAGAGTCCACCTGGTTGTTTCTGGATTGTCTTTTCTTCTTTCTAAAACAAAGATCTGTTTCTAAAATGTTGAATGTGTTTGGGTCTTTATTCTAGGGAGGTTCAATGCCTGCAGCCTTTGATTACTGCAGTTTTGTTTTGAGAGCACACATTCTTTAGATCACAGTCCAGTTTAATTCTCTCTCCCTATATAATTATCACAAATCATAGTTTCAAAGGAAGAAGTAACACTGATTGATTATAATAGACAGAGTTGTACCACGTACTAAGTTATTCCCCACTCATGGGAAAAAAACTTAGGTAACATCGGGTTCTTTGTGAAAAAACTCGTTTTCTTTATAAGCTATCTGTGATAACTAGTCAAAATATGTAGAGAAACATTTCTGTCTACATTGCATTAATATTGCTGACATCTTACAAAGCAACTTGGCACGTCACTGATATTCAATCTAAATATACTGTCAACCATCTGCTCATCACACAAATATTTATTAGGCACCAACCACGTGTAAAACATAAAGGTAATACCACTTGTCTTTAGCATTTATGTTTGCATTATACAAGATTAAACATATTTGGTGATTACTTATTGGATCTATATATGTATCTGTAAAATATCTACTACATCCTCCCAAGGATAGAGAATTGGGAATCAAGGAAGCAAGTTCTATTCTTGGCACCGTCCCTGACTTCTGTGTGACCTTGGCCAGTTCTTTAATCTGTGTTTCTATTTCCCCTTCTGTAAATGGCAATGGTCGTGCTTCCCCTTTCCTATCATACACAGCTATGAATGAGTTAACTTAGAAAATCACTGTAAATTATATTTTCTTCCTTCAAAAGGGCTTGAAAGTATTTCCCAGTGTTTGCACACTGATGTTTCCCTTCTGTTTCTTGTAAACTGTAAGGCAATTTGACCATTAACTCTGAGGATCGGTAACAAATTAACAGAAAATTTCAACTTATGAAAGTAGAATGGCTGTCAGAAAAGTCTTAAATGGAGGTACAAACTCTGTGATACAAAACTGACTCTGTGATTATAATGTTAATAAGGGCCCAGTAAGGAAAAAAAAAAGTGCAGCAGCTCCTCCACCATTGGGGCCAAGCCGTATTTTCCGCAGTGCCAACCTGGACCACCTTGCCAGCCTCGATCCAGCCCAAACAAATGAAGGCATGCTCATTCTCTGCCCAGTTAGCTCTAAAGCTTTGCCTGCTTTATTTGCTCTTCTGCAGATGAGTCCCTTCAGGGTGTGAAAAATGTTGGGTTCTCAACTCATGGAAGGTTGAGGGAGAACATTATTCTTTTGGCTTTCTTAGATAAAATGGGGGGTTTTCTAAGAAAAATCTAGTAGACATGCATGGACTCTCAAGGAACCGCTTGCAAAACTCTAAAAGTAGGTCAGGACTGGAGTCTAAAATAGTTACATGCTTTAGAAGTTAACTAGAAAATAATGTTTCCCGCCATTCTCAATGACAATGTGACATCTCATGTCTGAAACACTCTTCGTGTGCACCAGCAGTAGAGTACTATGGGGGGCTGGGGTGGATGGTGTCAAGAGAAAGCTGACCACTCTAAGAGTAAGGGTGGTTTACTGCCTTCCATCCGGGGATGGGGGGTGGGGTGGCCTACAATATCACAGAAAAGCAGAGGCATCTAGGAACTCTGAGAAGGGCTTCCGAGAGGGGCTTGCCTAATTGCATTTCTCTATTGTTTACGTCAGCAAATTGGCAAAGAAAGGAGGGCCTGAGTCATTAGGGATGTGTTAGGGATAGATCATTTGGGGGAAACATAGTTTGGCGCATCAGTGGGGTATGTAAAATTAACAGGACAGAAACAAGACAATTGTTAATGGTAGTTAATTAGAAATGTACTCAAAGACCCAAATTTAATTGACTGCCAACATGAATGTCTATTATTTTTATGCTGTAACAGTTTTATGTCCCATATTTTATTTTCCACCTACACAATGAAAGTTTTAACACTATAAAAATTGAAAAAGTCAACATTTCCTGGGGGCAAAATGTAGGTCAGATGTCTGAGGGAAGCTATAATTTAAGACCTCTTCTTTTGGAAATACGGTCACATACCTCATGTTTTAATATTGATCACATTCTTCCTAAGTACACATACAATTTGTATCCATCCATGTGTCTCAACATATATTCTATGCAGTGTGTGTCTGGGTATGCAGCCTCAATTCAGCCATGCTACAGAGAATTTTAATTTACCACAAACAAAACCTTGAATCAAAATGAGGACTTTAAAGAAGACCACTTGACCAAAGACCACTTTAGCAGGACTTTGAGCTTGAACAAACAGCCAAATAAAACTGGCCATCTTATACAGGAGGCTTTCATCACAAGCCAAAAGTGAATGTTCACTTACTAATGAGAAACTTCTTGCATTCTGTTATATAATTACTGGACGAGGAAGTGCATGCTGCTTAATGTGACTGTTCGGACAACAGCCCTTATTAATATTTCATACAAAGTCCTGAGAACAGAGCATGAGTTCTTTTGCCAAAGGCCCCTTTGCCACTTTTCTCTGCTTTGTGAGATTTTCCTCCTTTTCCCACTCTTCTTAGTAATACAGTGAATATGATGAATAATTGTTTCTAATGAGTTAACTGTCTCCTGTAATTGCTATCAAACATTTCATTATGTGTTTTAAATTAAACTAAAAGGCTGAGTCACAGGAAATCTATGCGGGATGTTTTTTGTTTTTTGTTTTGAGACGGAGTCTTGCTCTGTCGCCCAAGCTGGAGTGCAGTGGCACGATCTCGGCTCACTGCAACCTCCGCCTCCTGGGTTCAAGTGATTCTCCTGCCTCAGCCTCCCAAGTAGCTGGGACTACAGGCGCGTGCCACAACACCTGGCTAATTTTTTGTAATTTTAGTAGAGACGCGGTTTCGCCATGTTAGCGAGAATGGTCTCGATCCCCTGACCTCGTGATCCATCCGCCTCGGCCTCCCAAAGTGCTGGGATTACAGGCATGAGCCACCGCACCCGGCCGCTGGATGGTTTTTATAGTGATCTTTTCAGCAAGATTCAGTGTAGCTTCTCAGGTTACCAGAAGATAGTGACACAAAATTTGTGAAGATTCCTTAAGAAGATTGGCAGAACCTCTCAGATTGTCTTTGGCCAAATTTACAGATTTTTAAAAATTGAATGAGCATTTTTATTATTGAATCTAGAAACTAATGTCCTGACACAAGATCTTTAGGTGATAGATAAGTAGAACAAATCACTTATAAAACATGCACTTCTGCCTGGGGATCTACATTTTAGTATATCTTCACTGACTTGGTAGATTGTTTCTTAAAATATGGTATCTATGTGACTTTAATGTAAAATCAGTGCCCTTTTAGGTGACAAAGCAGAACCTGTTGGATTGATAAGATGGAAAGGGCATGATGGATTTAGACTCTGGCCCTGACAGTGCCTTTTAATGAGCTTCTAATCACTAGCCCTTGTTTCTTCATACTTTCTCTAGAAGCCTCCTAGGACGTTTTGCCACCTTGAATGCAATGGTCTACTTCATTATAATAGCTGTGATAGACTTAATCAATAAGTCATTTTTGGTGCCAAAAGCCATGTTCATCCCTTTACACACATTATCTCTAATCTGAACAACAGTTTTACGGAATGGTGATTACTTGCCCTATTTTCCCATAAGTAAAACTGAAGCTCAGGGAGTTATTTCTCAGGTGTTTTCAGATTATGGTATAAAGGGGGAGGGCTGGGTACAGTGGCTCATGACTATAATCCCAGCACTTGGGAGGCTGAGGTGAGAGGATCAGTTGAGCCCAGGAGTTGCAGAGACCGGTCTGGGCAACATAGAGAGGCCCCATCTCTACAAAAAGATAAAAATAAAAAAAATTAGCTGGGCATGGTGACATGCGCCTATGGTTCCAGCTACTCAGGAGGCTGAGACGGGAGGAAGGCTTGAGCCCGGGAGGTTGAGGCTGCAGTCGTCACTGAACTCCAGCCTGGGAGACAGAGTGAGACCCTGTCTTAAATAAATAAATAAATAAAATACAAGGGGCTAGATAGATTGGTCTTCCAGAAGGTTATTTTTCCCTGGTGTCCCATAGGACTCCTCAGAGGACATCCCTGTGGATTCCCAGAGGAAAGAGCTGAAGTCTGCAGGGAATAGGTTTGGGAGGGCGCCTGCCTAACCTGGTAGGTTTGCTCTTGTCTGTCGTGAGTTAGAGCTGACCCATCTGTTGAGTTAGAGTTGAGCAGAGGATGGGAGAGGAAAGGAGAAAAAGACGAGCAGCAAATAGGTGAATTGGGCTCAAATTTCATGATATCTTTGAGAACCAGTGATGACCTACAGCTGTCTTGGGCCCCAGATCTGCAGTTGGGAGTAGAAACTGGAGTATAAACTCCAGTGGGATGAGCAGGTCTAAATAAGACCAGCCTCAGGAGGGTGGCAAGTCTAACTAACAGTTAATGGGCCTGCTTATTGTGGCACTTTCCCCTATTCGTATTGTCCTTTTCTGTGATTTTCCCACCATCCAGGGGTATTTGATCTCTTGCAGGGCAGGGAAGCCCCATTCTCTCATTTATTGTTCAGAATTAATGTCCTGGATTAGGATTCAGCAAGCACTCAGCCCTCAGTGGGCCTCACAAAACTCATGGCTATTTAGTCAGGAGAGCAATTAAAGGAGATGAAAAGGAGGGGTCAAAAGAAAATGAAGGAGGAAACATGAGGGTTTGTAGTTGATGAGGGAATGAAATGGGGACATAGAGGCTGCTAATTTCAGCCTCGGCATGCCTTGACCTAGTCACTTCAAACGATTAATTCACTCAGCATTGAAGAATGTTGAGCCAGGCACAGTGGCGTGCTCTTGTAATCCTAGCTATGTGGGAGGATTGTTTGAACCCAGGAGCCCTGGGCAACATAGCAGGACCCCCATCTCAAAAAAAAAAAAACGGAATTAAGGAATGTTAAAGATTTAATTTTTAAAAAGAGATTGTTTTATAGGTGAGAAATTGTGGCTCAAAGATAAATAGTTATCTCATCTCACAGCTACTTAATGGCAAGCTCGGGACTAGATGCATGTCTCTGATTTCCTGTTTACTATTATTTCCACCATAACACTGTATTGAGTCTCCATGGGAGGTGCTTATAATCTGGCCAAACGAGCCGACCATGGGTGGTAGATGGTGAATGTTGCAGTTTAGAGGCCGCACCAAGGAGGAGGTGGGATCCGGGCCCTGAAGAGGATGGGTAGATCTTGGAAAGTTAAATGGAAGGGGAGAGGGACAAAGATGTGATGCAGTAACACAGGCATACAAACGGGTTGGAAAGTTGAAAAGAACTTGCCAGAGATGAATGTGGTTGGTTCATCAGATTTGGTTGAGAAAAAATAAAAACCAAAATTGGAAAGGTAATTTTGGACCTGATGTGAAATTTTTTCAGTAGAGGCTGAATGGTTGAGGCAGGCAGTCACTACCTGGCTAGTGCCTGGATGTTCTGCTATCTATTGGCCAGAAGCCCACTTTGTCCCTCCTTCCAGGCTGATGGACTTTCACAGACTTATTATTGGTGGTCTTCTACCTGTGGCACTCCTTCAGCCTGCAGTATGCGCACTGTATCTCAGAAACTCTACCCTCCATGCCTGAAAATCAAAGTCTTGGGTTTTCACTCACCCTTTTAAAAAACATTACATGGGTGCATGTTATTCCAATTTCTTAGGTCTTTAATGTTCCATTTGCCTTGTCATCATCATTGAAAATTATATAAGATGATCACTGATTGCTACCTTATTGACAAATCAGCCCTTGTGAGTATGAAAAAAGTACTTGAACACGTAGGATGAGGAAAACAAAAATTGGTACTTAAAGACCATCTAGAGCCAAATATAATAGAAGATGGTGGCTGATAGAGGCTGTATAGCCTGGGGTTCCTATTTTTATTTTCTTTATAGCTAAGTTATTAAGCATTTACCTATGTGGTGTTAAGTGCTGGATATGTGCTTTATATGCATCATCTCATTTAATTATCACAGAACTTCTCTAAGAGAAATGCTAGAATTATTACCATTTTCCAGATCAGGTAGAGAGTTTGAGTATCTTATTAGGACACTAGTCCTGGTTAACATGTCAAAGAGCCTGAAAGTGAGCAGCTTTCCAGCACAACATCAACCAGGCAATTGAAAGCATATCATTTGTCACTACCAGGATTGGTTGTGTCACAACTACTTAGACATTAAAATGAGTCATTTTTAGTCAAAAGCTCACGATCCTGAAAACCAGTAGGGTGACATCAAAAGCTCACAATCCTGAAAACCAGTGTGGTGACATCAAGAGATGCAACATAGTTTAGAGTTTAAGGACGTGGGCTCTGTTGCCTGAGTCCTGGCTCTGCCACCTACTGGCATCCATTGGCTGTATGATTCTGGGCAAAATAAACCACCTCTCTGAGTCTGGGTTTCCTCATCTACAAATGGAGTTAACAGCACTGACATCATAAGGTTGTTTGAGGAAGTTAAATGTCATAATAGGTGTGAAGTACTCAGCACAGTGGCTGGTACATTGCGAGTGCTAAGTTTGTTTGCTGAAAGGTACCTGGTACTTCTAGTACTTTTAGGCAGCTCTGGGGCTGCCCACTGCAAAGCCACTTCCCTCTGAAGTGGCATCATATACACACTAATGTCCTGACAAGATGATCCATGCTATTAGGTTAATGTTCTCCCAGGAAATATATTTGCATCTTGGGACAGGTCCTCTGACTGTTTATTCCAAAGAAATCAGAATGGGACCAGAAATGGTGGCTGTTTCAGATTATTTAGGAAATCAAAGGAGTTACAGTATCCAAGGATCTACTCTCATTGGTGAATTCTACCTCAGCTATTCAAATGGTCAATCACCCAAGTCTTGTTCAGCCTATAGTAGTATATGGGCTTTTGTCATTTTACTTGCCTGTGCTCAATTGTATTCTGATATGTTTCCATGAATTTGACTTGTCTCTTCAATAAACATATATGTTTCTAAATAACAGAAGGAATTAAATCATCTAATTCTTGCAAGGGGTGTGATTTTACATCTTACATGAGATAGGAGTGAGCAAACTCTGTTTTAGTTGAATAAAATGGTGCTATTATTATTATTATTATTATTAAGATGGAGTTTTGCTGTTGTTGCCCAGGCTGGAGTGCAGTGGCGCGATCTTGGCTCACTGCAACCTCTGCCTCCCGGGTTCAAGCAATTATCCTACCTCAGCCTCCCAGGTAGCTGGGATTACAGGCATGCGCCACCACGCCTGGCTAATTTTTTGTATTTTTAGTAGAGACAGGGTTTCTCCATGTTGGTCAGGCTGGTCTCGAACTCCCAACCTCAGGTGGTCCGTCTGCCTTGGCCTCCCAAAGTGCTGGGATTACAGGCATGAGCCACCGCACCCGGGCAAAGTGGTGCTATTATTGACAAGCCAATATTTGTGCCTATCTTTGAAGATAGGCAAGAAGAGGAGGCCATTGCCAGTCAGTTTCCTATTTGCCATTAGACTGGATGACACTGCTTTGCATGTCAGCATCCTTGCCTGAGTTGAAACTGTCCATGACTATGGGTTTGTCAGGTGCTGACACTGCTGTGCTGAGGTTAGCCAGGGCCCTGGCAGATCCCATGTATCCATTAATATTCATCATTGCAAATGGAGAGGTGCTGATGGTGGTGACATAGTGCTTAGGTCAGGGGTGTATGTGAGGTCATTTGACAGTCACTAGAGCCCCTTTTTCAGCACACTTGATTGAAGTGTAGATGGCAGGGTTGACATCTGATGTGAGGTAGGGTTGACATCTGATGTGTGATTGGGTCCACATCTCATCTGGCCATTCTTTGGCAGGATCCACTCTTTCATCAGGGAGTTAACTGAGCAAAAGACAAGTGTTGCTCACCCACTGTTTCCCAAGTGATTGGGCCAGGCACCAAAGCTATAATGATGAACAAAATATAGTCCCTGTCCATACGTAAGTAGCTCTCGATGAAATCAGATAATAAACTGACAACTAACATTAATGATTTGTTTCCTGTGTGCCAGGCACTGTGCTAAGTGTGTTACACATTAAGTATCACCCTAATATTTGCTGATGTCAAACCAATCTTCTTTCAATTCTTTATTTAAATTATTTCCCTTATGTGTGCATTTTTAGTGCCTGTAATAAAACTAGTAAGACATGGTAGCATGGGGTTGCTTTTTTGAGTTGGCTATGCTAAGAACACATCCATTCCCAAAGAATTTGAGGTAGTTCACAAAAAGGACAATACATAACTAAGCAGCCTTGGTGAAGTCAAAAAATGTGTAAGACTAGTATGGAGTTACGGCCCACAGGCTTTACTTTCCAGTTGTCAAGAGCGAGAAGAAGTGAAACAAACATTTGCAAAATTAAGGGGCTCATAAGATACCTTTCAGAGAACTGAGATCCAAGAGAAATGATTTCTTCTCTCATACGCTGCGGGACACTAATAGTAGGCAAACTCCCTGACCACACTTCTTCCACAGTGAGTGTCAGCTCTGGTAACTAACATCCCTCAATGTTGGCCAATGACATAGCACCAAAGCAGAATTTATTAAAAGTGATTTTGTGGGCTGGTGTGATCTAAGGACAAAATTTTAGAATGATACAAGAAATCAACAAGACTGGTAAGCCCTCTGAGCAATCTTCTGTGACTACGATTCTCAAAGTCAGGTTTTTGACATCCACAGTTACATAACTAGGATGTTATAAAACCATGATTTCACCTCAGGTCTGACTAGCTCTAACATCTATGTTTCTTATGCTAACCTGTGATTCCCTACCTCCACTCCCAAAAGCTTTCTGGATGTTTCAGTATTGACCACTAAATAAGAAGTAAGCTGTTCTCTTCCTTTTTGTGAGAACAAAATATAATGATAGCTTAAAATATTCTCCACTGAGTGAATGCAGCTACTATTTTAAGCCTCCTTCTTGAATGTGTTAAAGGATATTTTTTGTAGGCACTCCTAATATTTTTTTAAAGATTTCTTATTTCTCAAATCACCCTTCCTCACCAACTAGTCCTTCACTAAGAAGAAAAGTGAATGAACAAAATAGGTATCCTGTGAGGCTCCTATCTGGGTGTAGCCAAGTAAACACCCACTCTTTTAGCCTTTCAGTTACCCCAGTGCGGGGCCACGAGGATCCCCTGGCCCTGGAAAAGACTGTGTGAAGGAGAGTGGGGAGCTGGGAGGGAGAGAGTGTCTGGCTTGGGGGGTGGAGGGCGGGGAGATTGCTGGCACTCACTCTAGAAGCCAGCAGAAGGAGCCAGGAGGAAGGAAAAGCAGAGGCTGGGAAGAAGGGCCATGTTCTGAGTGTGAATGGACCACAGGGCCCTCGAGAGCAGGAAGCAGCATGAGCCAAGACGCTCACGGAAAAGCTCTTATCTAAACAGAGGTGGCCCAGGACGCTGGATCCCCTCCACCATTGTCCAGGGAGCCGACCCAAAGCCCACAACCCCCGAAACTCTTCTCCACTCCCCCTTCTCCATTGAGGCAAGAAGTAATTTTCAGTATGAGCTCCAAGGCGTCACAAGGTCTCTCACTGCACAAGAAAGTCACTCCTCCAGGATCTCCTCAGCCTGACCCTGTGACCACCCTGAAGGCCCAGGCCCTTTTCCTGGAGCAAGAGGAGCAGGAACCATTCTGTCTAAACACTCCTTCCAATGCTACGCCTTTTTCTGCCAGCATCCACTCTCCTATATTGTTTCATCTGTTTTAAGAGAACGTGGCCGGCCGTGGTGGCTCTGGCCTGTAATCCTGGGAGGCAGAGGTTGCAGTGAGCCGAGATCGCGCCACTGCACTCCAGCCTGGGCGACAGAGAGAGACTCCGTCTCAAAAAAAAAAAAAAAAAAAAAAAAGAACGTGAGGGGCCTGGGATGTTGCCTCACTCCTGTAACCCCAGCACTTTGGGAGGCCAAGGCGGGTGGATCACTTGAGGTCAGGAGTTCGAGACCAGCCTGGCCAACATGGCAAAACCCGTCTCTACTAAAAATACAAAAATTAGCCAGACGTGGTGGCACAAGCCTGTAATCCCAGCCACTCTGGAGGCTGAGGCAGGAGAATCGCTTGAACCTGGGAGGCGGAGGTTGCAGTGAGCCAGGATGGTGCCACTGCACTCCAGCCTGAGGAACACAGTGAGACCCCGTCTCAAAAAAGAAAGAAAGAGAGAGAGAAAGAGAAGAAAGAAAGAAAGAAAGAAAGAAAGAAAGAAAGAAAGAAAGAAAGAAAGAAAGAAAGAGAAAGAAAGAAAGAAAGAAAAGAAAGAAAGAAAGAAAGAAAGAGAAAGAGAAAAAGAAAGAGAAGGGGGAAAGATAGTGTTTGCAGATTCTGTTAATCTGATGGCTCAGACACACAATCGCTAATGTTTTGACACGACACCCACAGTAGCAGAGGAATGTTTACATCAGGCCCTGCTACAGGATGGCCGCCATAATGGGGGCCAGCCCCGGTTGTGCCCTCTGGCAGGGTTCCAGATGGGCTTTTTTTTCCTTCCTATTTTTTTAAAAGACATTTTACAGCTTCAATTTGCTTTTCATTACTCCTCTATCCTTTTGTTTCCTAGCTTGAAATGATTCAATATTCTTTACAAACAGATTCTAATCACAGTTAGCACGTGCAGTACAATCTCATTAAACAGATAAGCAGAGTTCACACAAGTCCTCAGATTTCATCATCCAAAAAAGAAAAAAAGAGAAGGAGATTATTATCTGTCTTGAGACTTTGTAGAACTTTCTGGACCCTCTTTGTTGCCAAATTAAATGTGCTTTCATTATACATTTATATAAACATTCATTCCCAGACAATGGCTCTGGCTCAAATAGGCAGCCATCGGGTGTTGGGTACTCAAATCACCACTCACCCACACTCCTGTCCCCGGGCCACTCATTCTAGTGTTGGAGTTTGTAATAAAACAGGCCAGCTTCATCCCAGAACATGCTCACTGAGCATGCAGACAAAAATATGTTACCAAGGAGAGAAAAAAATTGTGATAAATATTGGATGGTTTTATTTTGTTGTAAGTTTTTTTTTTTTTTTTTTTTTTGAGATGGAGTTTCGCTCTTCTTGACCAGGCTGGAGCGCAATGGCATGATCTTGGCTCACTGCAAACTCCACCTCCCAGGTTCAAGCGATTCTCCTGCCTCAGCCTCCCCAGTAGCTGGACTGCAGGCCACCACACCTAGCTAATTTTTGTATTTTTAGTAGAGACAGGGTTTCTCCATATTGGTCAGGCTGGTCTCGAACTCCCAACCTCAGGTGATCCACCTGCCTCGGCCTCCCAAAGTGCTGGGATTTACAGGTGTGAGTCACAGCGCCTGGCCAGATTTTTTTTTTAATGATAAAATGTATCAGCCAGTAGAAGGTAAAGAGTTCCTATAATTTCACCATCAAAGCATGTTTATGACCAAAACGAACTAGAATTTATGCCAAAAATGTAACTATAAAGTAGTCTTCTGCCCCTTGCCCCTGTCCTTGTCCACCGATAGACAGGCACATCTTCTTTCTCCCTCTTAAAAACATAAATTTAATTTTCCTGGTGTCTGACTTTGTGCTAGTTTGAATTTAGAGGCCCCCCAGAGTTTTCCTCTGTAACAGGTGACTCTGAGCCAGACTTCTCCCATGGTGGGAAAGGTCTGGGGAGGTTTCTTGGGATCAGAAGTCACCCTACGTGATGCACAGAGCTCTGGGATAGTGAAGAGTTAGGAGAGTCTGGGTTCTGATCCTAATTCTGCTCCTTTCCCTGTGAACTTGAGCAAAGCATTTGATTTTTCTGAGTCTCAGTTTCCTTATTGATAAAAGGATTTATGAAATAAGGATCATAATGCTTGCTTCATAGGGTGACTGTGAGAACTAATTGAGGCAAAATGTGTATTGCTTCTAGCCCAAGCTTTAGTAGCACATAGTAGCAGCTCACAAAACTTGTTTCCCTTCAAGCAGCCAAGAATCAGATATTGGCACAACAGAGATTTGAAATGCCAGCTTAATATCATTTATTGAAAGAGGATCCTTTTAAAAAAATCTGTGTGTCTTAAGACTAAGGCTGTAGAGCAGACCTTCTAGAATCAATGTGGTTATTAGACTGGCAGGAAATCATTTATGAAATGAGAATTTTATACTGGATTGCTATAGGAGTCTTGGGTACCATAACAGGCACTAAACAGATGGGCAATTTCTAGAAAGGCTAAATGAAGTGTTGAACCATCCCACCCAATTCTCCAAGAGAATCGATCATTTCCTCACAAGAGAACCACTTCAAAGAAAACACAATACTTACTATCAGTAGCTAACGCTCACCCAGCTGGGCTTTCCCTTCTGATTCCACCAGATGTGACAATCTATCCTCTAAAGGAAAGAAAGTACCAGCTCTGAGCTTTAAGTAGGGGGAGGGGAGAGGAAGGCAGGAGGAGTGAAGAAAATCTAAAAATAAGAATTGTTAAAAACCAGCAATTAAGAAAAAGCACAGGTGAACACAAAGGGGTACCTTTGGGTGTGCATTGTGCATTATACTTCATTGAGTGTTGGATTTGTAAAGGTGAATGGAACCTGTCTTGAATTCAGGAACTGCAGGGTGACAAAGTGAGCTCTCATAGAAACTGTAATATAAACTGTAATTGCAGACTGTGCATGCACTGGTCATTCAACATATTTTGGTTGTGTGAGATGAGAGATGTTTAGCAAATTTTGGAAAGAGACTGACCATGTTATGCAAAAGTAGCTAAAAAAAAAAAAAGCCATGGAATCCTCAACATAGTAATGGTATTTGTGTACTGAATATTTGAGATGTCTTTTCTTACTATGTCCAAGAAGTACTGAAGCATAATAATTTCTTGTCACATGATGGTAGTACATGGATATCATGTTACTTATGGTGTTGGGGTCAAGTGCACAGGTTCTGAAATGATCCAGAACTGAGTACAAATTCTGCCAGCAGTCAATACTGTCAAGATGGTAGGTTTGGCCAGGAGCATTGGCTCACACCTGTAATCTCAGTACCTTGGGAGGCTGAGGCAGGCAGATTGCTTGAGCCCAGGAGTTCGAGACCAGCCTGGGCAACATGGTTAAACCCCATCTCCACTAAAAATACAAAAATTATCCTCGCATGATGGCACACACATGTAGTCCCAGCTACTCGGAAGGCTGAAGTTGGAGGGTCAGTTGAGCCCAGGAGGTCAAGGCTGTAATAAGCCAAGATTGCTCCACTGCACTCCAGCCTGGGTGACAGAAAAAAAAAAAAAAAGAAAGAAAGAAAGATCGTAGGTTTGACCTCTGTTGGCTTTGCCTTTTTCTGTGGCCCCAGACTGCCTTCATCTGTCTTTGGTCACAGAGAAGCCAAATACTTTTGAGTGTGGTGGGAAGAGGGCAAATTCATCACTGTTACAAGAAAATCAACCCAAAGCATGTAGGTCAGTAGTGTCATCTGCATATATAGAGGGTGGCAGTTTCCCATAATGTGTCAAGAGAAGAAGACTAGTAACTTAGACCAGATGGGGAGTTCCACAGATGGCTCCCACTTGGAATGTAGAAGGCTGACATATCACACATGAGGTCCTAGCTCCATGTGTTGGAAACATAATTGGCTGCTTTCTTTTAATTTATTTATATCAATCTCTAGTCCGAAATTAAGTTGTTTCAGGTCCAGAGCAATCAGCAGAGATGACATGGAGTACACTCTTAGCCCATAATTTTTTTTTTCCTTTCAGGGGTTATAAATACCTCCCTGCCATTGTACTTGGCATGCTGTATGCAAATGGAGGTAGGAGTCATATAGCTCATTAGGAAAGGGACGGAGGCTTGGAGCAAAGAGAGGACAGCGCCGAGCTGAGGCTGATAACAGTGGCCTTGTCCAGAATAGTGCATGGGAGCTTTCTTATCTCGCTTTGGCAGGAGGTGCTGTGGACTTCCTGTGCGAAATCAGGAGCGAACGCTGCTTTCCTCTTGTTGTTCGGCTTCCTCCCCCCTCAAGACAGTTCCCAGCACAGTGATTATCTTTGCATCTTCAAACATGGCACAATCTACTTCCTTAAGAGCTTGATGTATTCTTAAGGCTTAGGCACATTCCCCTCCCCCTAAATCTCTTTTCAAGTGCTGTTATATAGTAAGGCTTCTAAATGACATTCTATTTTTATAGCCCCAATTACAAAGAGGGAAAAATAACAGCCCCTAAATTAGAAAATAGCCACAGAATCTGTCCTTTTTATGTGGAAGAGCTGGCAATAAGTCTGGCCTATAGTTTCCATACTAGGGCTTGTGCCCTTAGTAACTGCCCTCAGAGTCATGGGTGTGGGATGGGGGAGGTGTGGGGTGTCAGAGGTCAACAGCCCCAAGTGAACTCAGATAGCAGACTGTATTTCCCTTGAGAAACACCCAGGCTTGCCTTACTCTAACATATTTCTTTGCATTTCCTAAAGCCCAAGAGTATGAAATTAAGATCTTTGACTAAGGTATCCCCGATCTTTTTCCTTGCTTTGGGGGAAAAGGAATACA